>NC_000010.11:62870368-67870368 GCF_000001405.40 Homo sapiens
AAAACAGACAAACCAATATATGCTGTCAGAAGTGAGGAGAGAGGTTAGCTTTGGTGAGGAGGGAGGAGGCATGAGAGGGCTGCAGGGTGTTGGTAACACTGTCTTCTTGAGCTGGGTGCTGGTCACACAGGTGTGTTTATTTTATAATGTGTGTGTTTTGTGCACTTTTCTGTACCTATGTTGCATTTCAGTCATGTTTTAAAAATATATTTTGGTTTGCACTAATTCTAATGTCCTTTCTTCCAGTGCACTGTTTCCACATGAGTTCATCCTAAAACAATACTTCTTGGAAGGCTGGACTTGATAGAGAATTCAGTTAAGTAGTATTCGGTGGTTACCTAGGCTCCAACTATTAACTATTCCCCAGGATCAGGTTGGCCTCCCTGCCGCTCCAAGTCACTGCTTTCTAGGAGTTAACAGCTGCTTCCTAATTCACTTTTTTAAAAGTACTTTTTCCTAATTTTGTTTCTGGAAAGTGTTCTTACAAAAGAGGTCTATTTCGCATGAGAAGACCTGAGGCCTGCTTCCCCATGAGCTGAGCTCTGAATATGCAGCTTCTATCTTACATAACGCCCCCCACCCCATCACACCTGACTGCCTGGAGTTGAATTTATTAAACTGATCCTTTGCGTGAGCAGAGGCATCGCTTTCAAAACCGAGCAGTAAGCAAATGACTAACTGCTTTCCCATCTGCACACATTCTGCATCGGCTTTCAGGGGGGTTTACCTACTACGTCTAAAGTAGTTATGAATAATCAAAATATAGTTTTCAGAAGAACTGCTCATTACACATTACATCACATGACACTTCCATCTCAGTTCAAGAAAAAAAACAAAAACCAAAAAAACAAAACCTTAAGAAATGCATCTGCAGACAAATTTTCCTGATTGAGTGTCATTTTGTTCACCCTTGGCAGCCAGGACAGATAAAATGTTGGCATAATAAATTGCAATTTTTATCTAAAGTTTTCGATTCTCTTTGAAATTCTTGGTTGAAGATCAAAATGGACCAAAGTTTTCTCAGTTTTCCCACTGGGAACTGCTTTTGTGAAGAAAGCTTAATTGATTTGATAAACATTTTTTTCATTACTACAAGCTAAATTCTGTGGCTGGTTTAAATACATATATATAATTCAGAATGCTTCCAATTTATTAAGGGAGACAAAAATGTGAAAGTATCACTCTAAGACAAAGCCCATAGTGAAAAGTATTGAAACAGAGGTACCGAGGTCAGGACTGGATTCCTGAAGGAAGTAACATTTATTCTTGAAGAATGGGTGGCATTTTAAAGGTGGAGATGGAGAAGAGGAAAGGTCATTCCAGGTAACAGGAACAATTTTAGGAAATGTAGAAGAGCAAAGGAGGACAGATGAGAGAAATATGAGAATGTATTAAACAATGTAGCCAGAAGTTTGGGTGGGAGATGATATTAGAAGTTAACACAGTGCTGGGAAGGAGACCAGAAGCCAGATGTTACAGAGTTTGGGTTGAAGGTTTAAAAAGATTCCTGGGCCGGGTGTGGTGGCTGACACCTGTAATCCCAGCACTTTGGGAGGCTGAGGTGGGCAGATCACCTGAGGTCAGGAGTTTTAGATCAGCCTGGCCAACATGGCGAAACCCCGTCTCTACTAAAAGTACAAAAAATAGCCAGGTGTGGTGGTGGGCGCCTGTAATCCCAGCTACTCGAAGCTTCAACCTGGGCATTGGAGGTTGTAGTGAGTCCAGATCTCACCACTGCACTTCAGCTGGGCGACAGGAATGAGACTCCAGGAGCGATGGCTCACGCCTGTAATCCCAGCACTTTGGGAGGCCGAGGCGGGTGGATCACGAGGTCAGGAGATCGAGACCACGGTGAAACCCCGTCTCTACTAAAAATACAAAAAAAAAAAAAAATTAGCTGGGCGCGGTGGCGGGCACCTGTAGTCCCAGCTACTCGGGAGGCTGAGGCAGGAGAATGGCGTGAACCTGGGAGGCGGAGCTTGCAGTGAGCCGAGATCGCACCACTGCACTCCAGCGTGGGTGACAGAGCAAGACTCCATCTCAAAAAAAAAAAAAATCAAGAGTGAAGTAATATTGTTTTCAGGCGTGTGTGTTTGTGTGTGTGTGTGTGTGTGTGTGTGTGTTAAAACATACATAACATAAAGTTTACCATATTAATCATTTTTTTTCCTTTTTGTTGAGACGGAGTTTCCCTCTGTCGCCCAGGCTGGAGTGCAAGGGCAAGATCTTGGCTCACTGCAACCTCTTCCCCCCAGTTCACAAGATTCTTCTGCCTCAGCCTCCTGAGTAGCTGGGATTAGGGTGTGTGCCACCACACCTAGCTAATTTTTGTATTTTTAGTAGAGACAGGGTTTCACAAGTTGGCCAGGCTGGTCTCGAACTCCTGACCTCGTAATTCACCTGCCTTGGCCTCCCAAAGTGCTGGGATTACAGGCGTGAGCCACCGTGCCTGGCCATCAACCATTTTTAAGTGTACAATTCACTGGCATTAAGTACATTCACATGGTTGTGTCACCATCACTACCATCCACCTCCAGAACTTTGTCATCTTTCTCAACTGAAACTCCCCATTCTCTGCTTCCCAAGCCCCTGGCAACTACCTTTCCACTTTTTGTGACTGAATTTGACTACTCTAGATACTTCATATAGGTGTATATAAAATACAAACTTTGTCCCTTTATGGTTTATTTCACTCAACATAATGTCTTCAAAATTTATTCATGTTGTAGCATGCATCAGAATTGTTTCCTTTGTAAGACCTAATAATATCCAATTGTACGTATATGCCACAATTTGTTTACCCGTTTATAACACTTGGGGTGTTTCTACTGCTTGGTGAATAATGCTGCCATAAGCATTGGTGTACAAATATCTGCTTGAGTCCCTGCTTTTACTTATTTTGGGTCTATACCCAAAAGTGGAATTGCTGAATCGTATGGTAATTTTATGTTTAATCTTTTGAGGACTCATCAAATCATTTTCCACAGTGGCTGCACCATTTTACCTTCCCACCAGCAATGTACAAGGGTTCCAGTTTCTCTGCATCTTCACTAACACTTGTTATTTTCTGGGTTTGTGTTTTTGTTTTGTTTTGTTTTGTTTTGTTTGGTATTGTCATCCTAATGGGAGTGAAGTAGTGTCTTATTATGGTTTTGATTTGTATTTCCCTAATGAGTGATATTAAGCATCTTTTCATGTGCTTAGTAGCTATGTGTATTTCTTTGGAGAAATGTTTATTCAAGCCCTTTGCCCAATTTTAATTAGGTTGTTTTATTGTTACTGAGTTGTAAGAGTTCTTTGCACGTTATGGATATCAATCCCTATTAGGTATTGATTTGTAAATATTTCCTCCCATTCTATGGATTATCTTTTCACTCTGTTGATAGTGTCCTTTGATGCACAAACGTTTTTGTTTGGTTGGGGATTTTTTGCTTAGATTTGCCTTTTATGTATTTTTATTGACACATAGTATTTATATATATATTTTGAGGTACCTGTGATATTTTGTTACATGTATAGAGTGTGTAATGATGAAGTGAACATTTCAAGTCCTCTCTTCTAGCTATTTTGAAATACGCAATACATTATTGTTAACTATAGTCACCCTGTTCTACTATCAAACATTAGAACTTATTCCTTCTAACTGTATGTTAAGTAATCTCTCTTCATCTCTTCCCCCACCCACACACCCCTCACAGCCTCTGGTATCTATTATTCTACTGTCTATCTCCATGAGATCAACTTTTTTAGCACCCACACATGAGTGAGAACATGCGATATTTGTCTTTCTGTTCCTGGCTTATTTTACTTAACATAATGGCCTCTATTTCCATCCATGTTGCTGCAAATGACTTGATTTCATTCATTTTTATGGCTGAATAGTATTTCATTATGTATATAGACCACATTTTCTTTATTCATTCATTCGTTGATGGACAGCTGGGTTAACTGATGCACAAGTGTTTTATTTTGATGAAATCTAACTTATCTATTTTTTCTTTTTTACCTATGCCTTTGGTGTCATATCTAAGAAGTCATTGCCAAATCCAGTGTCATGAAACTTTATGTTTCTTCTGAGAGCTATAGTTTTAGCTCTTACATTTAGGTCTTTGATCCACTTTGAGTTAATTCTTGTACACAGTGTAAGGCAAAGATCCAACTTTATTCTTTTGCATGTGGGCTATCCAGTTTTCCCAACATCATTTGTTGAAAATACTATCCTCTCCCTATTGGATGGCTTTGGCATCCTTGTTGAAAATAATTTCTCCGTATATGCAAGGGTTTATTTATGGACTCTGTATCCTATTCTATTGGTCTATATGTCTGACTTTATGACAGTTCCACAGTTTTGATTACAGTAGCTTTGTAGTAAGTTTTGATTACTGTAGCTTTGGTCTACAAAGTTTTGTTTGTCTGTTTCTTTGTTTCTTTGTTTGTTTTTGAGACAGAGTCTCACTCTGTCACCCAGGCTGGAGTGCAGTGGCATGATCTTGGCTCACCGCAGTCTCCACCTCCCAGGCTCAAGTGATTCTCCCACTTCAGCCTCCCGAATAGCTGAGACTACACCACTATGCCCAGCTAATTTTGTATTTTTAGTAGAGATGGGGTTTCACCATGTTGTCCAGGCTGGTCTTGAACTCCTGACCTCAGGCAATCCACCCGCATTGGCCTCCCAAAGTGCTGGGATTACAGGCATGAGCCACCATGCCTGGCCCATGTTCTACTATAGTTCTGAATTCAAAAAATGTAAGACCTCCAATTTTATTCTTCATCTTCAAAATTGTTTTGGCTATTTGAGGTCCTTGAGATTCCATATGAATTTAAGGAGGAATTTTTCTGTTTCTGCAAAAAAAATCCTTGGGATTTTGACAGAGATTGCATTGAATCTGCAGATTGCTTTGGGTAGTACTGACATCTTAACAATATTAACTCTTCCTAATTCATGAACATGGACTGTCTTTCCATTTACTTGTATATTTTAAAGTGACATCTTATTTTTTTATTAACATTTTCATTCTATGTGTGTAACCTGTGACAAAGAGGGCTGTTAAATGCCACACAGAAGGCACATGATAAATGCATGTCGCTGAATCAAAAACAAACAAAAAGCAGAATGACAATTGCAATTGCACAAACTATGCTCACCAGAGCTAACAATTATAATATGCAGCTAGGCTTATCTAAGCAAGATTGTGAGATTGGTCATTCATTTCTTCTCCCCCTCCCTTCAGAAACTCTCACGCTTTTCACAATTCCCCCTTTGCTGTATCCATCTCAAGCCTCTCCTTAGGAATCCTTCCTCCTAGAAAAGAAAACTATGTTTTAAAACTCTAGTTCATGGAGTTGTAATAGAGTGAAATTCACAATTTTAAAATGCATGGTGCAGTAAGTTTTCACAACTGTTTACAGTCATCTAATCTCAGAGCCAGGCTTTGGAAGTAGACTCAAGGGCAGCTTCGTCCATCACACATGAAAAAAGTTGGTTTGCCGTTTGATGGTTCCTCAAAAAATTGAACAAAATTACCTTATCACTCAGCAATTCCACTTCTAGGTATGGACCCAAAAGAATTAAAAGCAGCAGCTCAGATATTTGTACACCAACGTTCATACCGGCATGACTCACAATAACAAAATGGGGGAAACAGCCCAAGTGTCTGTAGATTGATGAATGGATACATGTTATATACATATGATGGAGTATCATTCAGGCACAAAAGAAATGAAGTCCTGGCACACACAACAACATGGATGAACCTCAAAGACATTATGTGAAGTTAAATAAGCCAGTCACAAAAGGACCAGTACTGTATGAGTCCACTTACATGAGGCACCTAGAATAGGCAAGTTCTAGAGACAGAAAGTAGAATGGAAGTCATCAGGGGCTGGGGAAGGGGACAATGCGGAGTTATTATTTAATGGCCACAGAGTTTCAGTTTCCAGTGATGAAAAATTTTGAAAACAGATAGTGGTGATGGTTATACAACATTAGAAATGTACTTAATACCATTTAACCATTCAGCATGGTTACAATGATAAATTTCATGTTATGTATATCGTATCGATTTTCATATTTTTTTTCAAAAGTGGGTGGTCTTTACCATGAAGGAACACAGACAACTTCAAATCCTCTGACTTAACATGGGACACACACACAATCATGAGAATAAATATAATATTGTAAAAATATAGAATAAGAACAGATCAAAGAACACTGCAAGCTGGGAGAAGGCTGGAAAAAGAGAAAGAATCTGAAGGCAGGGCCACCAGATAAGAGGTACTGCAATGGTCTCAGAATGGCCTGAGCTGAGTATCACAGAGGGAAAGGGAAGATGGTTCATGTACAGGAGGAAGAGTGAACTCATGGTATCAATTAATGTGGCACAAGGCAGAAGGAAGAGGGGAAAACGCAGGCCAGGACCACATCATGACTGTCGTGGGCCCTGGGCACTTTTCTTAGAGAATGTTTCCTCCCTAAAGTATATATATATATGTTTGTATTCTAGAGGAACAACGTTTTTTTGTCCTGAAGGTACATTTTTTTCTTTTAATTTAAAAAGGAATCAAAACATTTCATGGGCCCCTAAATGGCACTGCCCCTCCTGAGACTGCACTGGGCCAGTCCTGTGTGAGGAATAGATGGTCTCCTGCCAAGAATATTCATCCTCCTTCCCCTTCCCCTGCAGCCTCCCTGTCTCATTTATTGCTTGAGGTATTGAGGACTTTGTTACTGCAGATATGTGATTGGGTGGCACAATGCTGTTGGGGACAGTAACTCAGTGTGGGGGTTAGGATCCAGGACTCCAGAATCAGAACAATTTGGGCCTGAATCACAGCTCCCACTGCCTGGCTGTGTACATTGAGCATGTTACTTAACATTTCTGAGCCACAGTGTCTGTCAAATGAGTATGAGTTCCCAACATCCTAGAGGTTTTGTAAGAATTAAAAGTCGTAAGAGAACAACCAGCTCAGCATGGCGCCTGGTACATGGCTGGCAAGTGCAGGCAACTCCATCACCTCTCCTGGCTTGGCACAAACAGACACAGTTGTTTGGAGTTTGTAGTGAGTGGGAGGAGGAAAGGCATGAAGATACCTGGAGAGGGGAAACAGAAGGGGCAGGAAGTCCAGAGAGTAATGGAAGGGACACGAACCGTTTGCAATTTTGCCAGGAGCAGGCCCAATTAGCCTACGATCTCCCACCACACTGCCTGGAGTGTTGCCTCTTCTAAGCACACAGAGGCTCCTGTCACCAGCTACAAATACCCTTGATATGCTCCCCTCTCCCAGAGCTGGGAAACAAACCAAAGGCATTCAAGGTTTCCAATTCGCTTTAGTTCTCGTTTCCCTGTGGCCTCCTTTTCTCCTTTCTCGCATCCATCCCCACTCCAGATTTGCCATTCCTCACACTCTCCTGCCTTTTGCCTCACGTGGTTTCTTTTGCCTGCAATGCCCTTTGGGAGAACTTCTGCTCATTCTAGAAGACCCAGCTCCAGTGTCTCCTCTGCAACTGCCTCTGCAAAATCAATCCCTCCCTCTCCTGGGTTTCCACTGCACCTGCGTTACTCTATTTATTACTCTTCCAGATAATCATTTGTTTACATCTCTCCCCAGCTGGAAGGTGAGCTCCAGAAGGGGAGGGGCTGCTGGACTCTCCCTCCTGGGCCACCCCCACCCCCACCTCACCCTGCCCCCACCCCAACCATTGCCCCACCTCCTGCACATGCTGGCAGCCCATGAATGAGGAAAGGGAGGTGTCTTCATTGTTTACTTGATTTTGGAATCGCTCTTCTCACACCTGTTCCAACAAAGGACTCTGATTTATGTGGCGAATTAAAGATTCAACACTTAACAAAGTTGCAGTGCGACATGAAGGGGCAAGAAACTAGAATTGCTTCCAAGACAGGAAAATAACAGGGGGATTAACTTGGTGATTACACCTGGGTCCCCAGGCAGCTATTTCTAAGGGAATGGGGTGGAGGGAGTCAGTGGTACCCCCAAAGGCTTGGGATTCAGCTATATAATCAGCACCCAATGGGTAAAAATTAGGGCAAGGGGCTGGATGGCTGCCTCCAGCATCTCCCCCACTCCCACATTTCTCCCTGACTCCCCCAGCCCCTCCCCAGACAGCACTGGGTCTCTTCTCTTCTTCCCTTTCAAGGTTATTCCCCTATTACTGATTTCTACTTAACCTTGACCTCACGCAGGTGGAAACTCTGGGATTAGGAATAATTTGTCCTAGTCTCTTGGAATGGCTCTGTCAATTGCTTTCTGGAATTGCTTTTTTTCTGGGGGTTGTGGGGAACAATCTGCCAGACCCCCAGTGTCCACTTCAGTGGTGTGCTCTTAGCAGGGCAGGGCAGACTTCGGTGGTCCTGATTCATTCTGGATTACTCCTTCACCCCGTCTGACTCCTCCATCACCTGGAGCCTGTAGAGGCACTGTGTGCCTGAAACCTCTGGCCATCCCTACAGCTGCAGAAGAGTTGGGGTGTCTCCATTCTCAGAATTGCTGGGGCGACTGGCGAATGAAGATTGGCTTCTAGAGAACAGCCCTGAGGAGCATGGCGAGAAGCTGCTGTGGCCCTGTAGCCAAGGGTCCTGCTTCCTCCTGTGCATCTGAGAGCTTATTGTGTATCAGGTGATCTGGGAGACACCTGGTTGTCATGACTGTACACTGCCCTGGAGCAGGCTGGAGCCCTGGAAGGTGGTGCACAGACCGCATAAACCCTGGTTTCATTAGTTTTGTCCCTAAGGACCTATGTGTCCCTGCCATCCAGAGCATCTGTGGCCTTCTTCTAATTCTCATGGGCACCACCCCGGCTCAAAGTCCTTGAAATGAAATACATGTCACCCAGGCTCTTGCAAGAATCTCCTCTTTTCCTCACTTACTTTTGCAACAATCTCCTCACTTGCTCTTGCAAGAATCTCCTCCCTTCCTCACTGTACTTTCTGTACAGTGCTGCTGAAGAAATGTCCTAAAGTACACGCCACAGCTATCCATTTACTGCAGTTTAATAACAAACTAATCTAGGTGATAGGAATCAGAAGAGCGGTACTTGTGCATATGGTGACTATTGCCTTGGATGGAGCATGAGGGAGCCTTCTGGGGTATTTGAAATGCTCTGTGTTTTGATCTCACTGAGCTGCATATTATTACTTATGTTACATTTATAAAAATTCATTGAGTCTTCCACTTGAGATTTGTGTGCTTTGGGCTGGCCTCAGTGGCTCATGCCTATAATCCCAGCAACTCAGGCAGCTGTGGCAAGAGGATGGCTTGAAGCCAGTTCAAGACCAGCCTGAACAACACAGCAAGACCCTGTCTCTACCAAAAAAAAGTTAAAAATTAGCCAGCCATAATGGCGCACACCTGTAGTCTCAGCTACTTGGGAGGCTGAGGCGGGAGAAGCCCTTGAGCCCAGAAGTTTGAGGCTGCAGTGAGCTATGATCGCGCCGCTGCACTCCAGCCTGGGTGACAGAGGGAGACCCCATCTCTTAAAAAGAAAAGAAAAGAAAAGAAACATTTCTGCACTTTACTGTATGTATGTTAAGCCTCAGTAAGAAAAGCAAAAAAAATAAAACTAAGTCTGCATTCATAAAAAATGATTTTAGGGCCAAAAACGTGTTAGGGATTCAGGGATAGAATACTCAGCCTCTACTACCCATTCCTCCTTCACATTTGCCTCCTAGACTTCTCACCTCTTCTCCTGGAGTATCACAACTAGACTGTTTCCTGATGTCCCAGATACATCCCTTTACTCGTCAGCTTCCTCCGAAGCCCTCTGCGGGCCTTGCTCCCACCACCATCTCTTCCTACTACTCCTGGTCTCACTGCAAGGCTCAAAAACAAGATTAGCTCCTGAATGAAGCTTTCACCTTCTGAAAGGCGCATGCTCCCTTCTGCAATCCTGCATTCCTTGGTGCTTCTCTGCCCACAAAACTCCGTTTTGGGAGTTCTGCCCCTTTCCTGACCTTTTCTAGTTCTAGTAGACACAAGCTCCTTGAGGCAAGAAACTCATCTCTGATTCACCTGTGATCCACAAATACCTGCTGAACTGACATAACAGAGAAAGGAAAGGGGGAAACACCATCAACGGTGTCCCAGACCCTCCCATCTTGGTCTCTCCCTGTTTAATTGCTGATGAACACACAATTCAAAATGTGAGCCAAAGCCTTGTTACCATCCCTGCCCCTAGACTTCTGCCCTGGTTAGAATGAGGGATTTGGGCTGCAGTGGTTGGTTAAGGCATTCAGTGCTCCAAAAACTAGCTCCAATGGCTTCATCGGAAAAAACAAAAGGGGATTGGGGTATGGGGCAGGAAGAACAACAGAAAAATGAGCAAATATGCCCACTGGCAAGTGGTCCCTCTGGGGACGTGATCTGCTTTTGTCTTCCTAAGAGTCTGTGTGGGGTATCTTTTCTTCTTCCAGAGGAGAGATCCCTGCTGCTTCTGCCACAGAAGAGAGAGTAGATCCAATTCCCAGGCATCAAATGGATTGGATCTGACTACCCAGAAAGCTGTCAGTTCTGAATGTGTACTTCCAGAGCATCACTTCAGAACATAACTTTGTGTACTGGCTTACATATACCTATGTTGCACAATGGATATGTTAATAAACAGATTGATCATCTACCATAAGCAAAGATTTGTATTAGGGATAATAGAGGATTCAAGAAACAGAATTCACTGTTCCTGCCTCCCACAGGATTTAAAAGGAGTTTGACATATTTAAGGGATGTTCGCTGAAGCATTGTTTACAAGAAAAAATTGGAAGCAACCTAAAAGTCCAACATGAGAAGGGCCAAACAAAATGCTGTACACTGGTTCCATAGAACACAGTGGAGCAATTTTTTTTTGAGGGAAGACATTATAGCCCCGGCCCCGACCCTTTCGAGATAGAGTCTTGATATGTTGCCCAGTCTGGAGTGTGGTGATGTGATCATGGCTCACTACAGCCTCAACCTCCCAGGCTCAAGGGACCCTCCCACCTCAGCCTCTGAAGGAGCTGGAACTATGGGCATGCACCACCATGCCTGGCTAATTTTTTTTTTTTAATTTTTCATGAAGACAGGGTTTCATCATGTTGCCCAGGCTGGTCTTGAACTTCTGAGTTCAAGGGATCTGCCCTCCTTTGCCTCCCAAAGTGCTGGGATTACAGGCGTAAGCCACTGCAACCAGCATAGAATATACAGTAGAGCAATTTAACAGAACTTACTAGGGCTTACATATGTCAATGTTGGTAGATCTCAAAAATATATTAAGTGAAAAATATCATAGAATGATGCATACCATACAATGTCATTTATGCAAACACACACATAAGGAAAATAACACTCTATATATCTTATGAATACATAATATATCTGCATGTAAAAGTGTGCTTTTTAAATGGCACAGAAGGACACATACCAGCTCTCTCTCTGGGACAGAAATGAAAAAGGGATGAACCTAGCTCAAAGTGGCTTTTGCTTTTCTCTATAATTTTGTTTTAAAAAAAGAATACATTTGTGTCTTACTTGTGAAATAAAGTTTTGAGTAAACCATTTAAGTAATTAGGAAGGCATGGCCTAAATACATGAGAAGCTTAGTAGTAAGAGTTCACCGATAACCACGACAACAATATAAGCAACATCACAAGGCAGAATAGATGTATTGCTCCACCATCAGCATCTGCAGTAATGGCCAGGAGTTCAGAAGAGGAAGAGCTTGCTGAGTGCTGGGGAGCTCTGAAAGGGGGCTAAGAAGTCAGGGCCTCTTTGAAAGTCTTTTAATAAAGGAATGCTGTGACCAGGTGGAGCTTTGTGAAGATCCATCTGGGCACAAGGGTGCAATGTGTTTAATTAAAAAATTGCATTATGAGTGTAGAGGTTTTTCTTTTTTTCTCCTTATACTTGCCAGGTCCTGGAAATTGAAGATGGTATCATACGATCTAAGATCTAGGAGGAAGTTAGAATAGGAAAATGAGGGATGCTTTGGTATAATCCTCAAGCCAAATGAACAAGTGATCAAGGACCCCCAGGAGGGTGTCTGGGGATCACCAAAGTTTACTTAGTTTCCTCCACTGGATTGTGAATTTCTTCAGAGCCGGGGCTATGATGTCTTCCCTCCTGGAGCCCCAGTGCATAGAATAGAACAGTACAAGATGCCACACAACAGGTACACCTCAGTGAACACTTGTTGAACGAACGAATGCTTGCATGCATGAATGAATGAATACTGCAGAAAGGTCAAAGAGATTTGGATTTGTAAAAGGTTTGTCACTTGAATGGCTACCTCTTCAGTTTTGAGGGACATCTGTCCCTTCTCCATTCTCCCCTGCCAGAGCCCCCCTCCAAGTGTGGCTTTCACTTGCCTCTTGTCCCATCCCACCACCCCTCCACTACTCCACCCCTAAATCCTGGAGACCCTCTTTAAGACAGGGTGGAGAATGGCTGTCAGCTCTCAGTGGGGCTGGGACACAGAGGTCAAGAGAAGAGAACAAAATTAAAAAGTATTTGGAGGTCAGAGCTGGGAAGAGCTTCACAGCAGTTGGGTCAGAGAGTGATGTGTGTTAGGCGAGTGGGGACCTCTGACCTAAGGTGGAGGTGAGATGACCCCACAGGAAGAGATCAGGCAAATGAAAGGATTAGGGCCAGATTTCAGAAACTTGGATGTGGAACTGGTTCTTGCAGAGGCTTTCAAACATACATCTCAGAATCCTGGGGTTCCACAGATAACCTCCAGGGGTTTCCCAAACAATGAGGCTGCTTCTGCCAAGGAGAGAAGATGAGAACTGCCAGAGGGACCTGCTCAGCTGTTATCTGTCTTACACACTGGGGTTCTGAGTAACAGTTCATTTGAAGGAAGGACCCAGGACAGGAAAGAGAGAGAGAGAAAGAGAGAGAGAGATCATTCCACTAAAGCATTTGAAAGAACATAGAGTTCATGGACTCTCTTTTTCTCTCTCTCTCACATGAAATGCGACATTATATAAAAAGTAATCTGGATGGAAAAGGTTCTCGATGAGTGTATTGAGATTGGACATAAAAAAAGAACTCAAGTGAAAGACAAATTCATTTGGAATTACCACAAATTTCCTGCCCCACCCCCTTCTCAGGTTTGGCATTACCCGCTAAAGGTCAAAATTCAGAGACTCAAAGCTCAGGATAAGGGAAGAAGTGGGGTATAGATAATTGGTGTTTAGTTGTTATTAATAATTATCAGCACTTTATTAAGTATTTTTCAGAAGTTCTGCTAAACCATTACATGCCTGATCTTAGGAATTCTCATAACAGCTTCTGAGGTAAACCTTATTATCATCCCAACCAAGGCTCAGAGAAGTTGAACAACTTGCCCAACATCACACCAAATTGCAAGCAGCACAGCTGGGCTTTGTATGCTGGCAGCCTAACTCCAAAGGCTCTAAGCATAAGCCCAGTTCAGTGGTGTATCCCCAGCGACCATGCAGTGAGCAAGTGTGATTGCAGTAAGGTACAGGTCCCTGCAGTAAAAGGTCCTGAGGAAGAGAGAACAACACTTCTCACCACCTGGCAAAAATACCATGTGACACTGTCCTCCATGGAAAATTCCAGAAGCCCCTCCCTGGACCTTCAGGTGAACTAACCACACATGCAAGGTTCATTCACTTCTGGATACCACATCTGAGGAGGGCTGAAAGGTATCTCATTTTGCATCAGTGAATAGCAGGATGAAGGATCTGACTAACCATAAAGAGAAGACATTTAATCTAAAGAAGAGATTAGAAGGGAAGGAGGGAGCTATCTCAAATGCTCAAAGTGCTTTCTCAAAGAATAGTGACCAGACTTGTTTTGTGCAGCTCTGAATGGCAGAACTAGGGACAATGGGTTAGTAAGAGGATGGACAATGGGTTAGTAAGAGGAAGACAAATTACAAGTCAACATTGCCACGGATTTTCCTTAGATCTGTCTGAAATGGCCACACTAGAGGTACTGAGCTCTTTGTCAAAGGAAGCCATCAAGCAAAGATTGAGAATCAGGAATCATAATTGGTAAGAGAAAACTCATCTGTTGAGTGGAAGGTCACATGGCTACTAAAGCCTCTTCTGACACAAAGATTCCAAAAATTTATAATCATGTTTATTTTCCTTTTCAAAAATTCTGCCTCCACCAAAGACTTAAGAATGAACCCAACTGACAGGCCAGCCTCTAAAAGCATGGTGTCTTATGAATTCCTACATTCTGCATGTCTGTGAAAAAAAAGCTCTGACCTGTGACAGGGACCTATATGTCTCTCAGCAGAACCAACATCTTTCACACTAATAGTACAAGTCAGAATAAATACCATCTCCATTTGGAAGACAGTCCTTGACAGAAGAGAATTGGCCTGCTTGATTAGGAATATATGTCAGGCACTGATAATAGGGAAATCCTTTTCAGCCAAACCCCAGAACCTGAACAGTCATAATGAGGCGATTTAATGAGCCTCCTGTTCTACACAATATTAATTACAACCCTGTGGCAGAAGGCAGCCAACTCAAGATAAAATAGGTAAAATGCACAGGAACTGGATCACATTCAGAATCTCTTCCCCAGATACAAATAGGCTTGCAGTCACATACATGTGTCTCTAGCAAGCAAATAGATTTAACACCTTTAAGCTGTTTGGAAGAAATACTAATGGAGTCAGTCTAAACAGCAGAAAAGCTTCTGAACTTTGGGTTTATCTCTTAGAATACATCTACCCCAAATAAGTCTGGTGAGCCTGATCAGTCCCAACTTGTTGCTACCCTGGAGAAAGAAGAAAAAAAGAAGAGCAGTAAAGGCACCACTTGTCCGGACACCGTGGCTCACACCTGTAATCCCAGCACTTTGGGAGGTCAAGGCAGGTGGATCACTTGAGGTCAGGAGTTCGAGACCAGCCTGGGCAACATGGTGAAACCCCGTCTCTACTAAAAATACAAAAATTAGCTGGGCATAGTGGTGCATGCCTGTAATCCCAGCTGCTTGAGAGGCTGAGGGATGAGAATTACTTGAAACTGGGAGGCAGAGATTGCAGTGAGCCAAGATCACGCCACTGCACTCCAGCCTGGGTGACCGAGCGAGATTCCATCTCAATAAAATAAAATAAAATAAAATAAAATAAAATAAAATAAAATAAAATAAAATAAAATAAAATAAAGGCACCACTTGTTGAGCAGGTAGGCATGCCTCCATCCCTTTTTTGGGGTCAGGTCTCACAAATATTTCCACTTAAATAAATAGAATTTCTTCAGGTCAGATATCATCAGTCTCATTCAATAAATCATCACCAAAAGCCTGTTGACTGCTAATAGCTGTTGAGCACTTACTATTTGCTGGAGATTTCTTTACATGCTTTAAGTATTTTAGCTCATTTGGTCACCATGAAACACCCTGTAGTCAGTACTAGCAATGTGTCCCTTAATAGAAAGCGCAGCGATGTTAAGTGGTTTGTCCACACTACCAGTTAGGTGGAGCCAGGATTCAGACACAGACTGATTATTCTAGAGCCAGGGTGCTTAACCACTAGGCAATGCTGTGCACTGTGTGTTTGCAGGCAACTTGTTCATGAAGTGAGTGCTGACTGAGCACCACTTATGTGCGCTGCACTGTGCTAGATGCTGGGACAGTGATCAACGTGACAATTCCTGTCAGAGTAATCAGGCAATGCCAGCAGATCTAAGAAACTGTCCCATTCCCTGTGTGGTCAGCAAGGGCTTCTAGAAATGGTGACATTTAACAAGAAGCCTGAAAGATGAGTAAGAGTTAGGCAGTGAGTCAGGAGGGAAGCTGGAGGAGGAAGAGGATACGGATGGGAATCCCTAGGGGTCAGTTCACAACGGCAGAAGCGCAGACACTCTGCAAATATCAAGGAGTTACACACAGAGAGTGGAGAGACAGTCCTGACAGGGACTCAGGAGGAGGTAAAACTTGATCTAGGTCCTTAAAAATAGAGTAAGGAGGTAGGAATGTACATGATACATACTTTACATCTGTTGACATTTTCTCATATTTACATAACCCTCTCACTCAACTCAGACCCAGGGAACTGCCACATGGACAAAGGACTGACTCCAAGGGGTTAATCACCTGCCAATCAAAAGAAACCACAATGGACTGTTTTCTCTTTTCTCACTAAATCCACATTGCAGAGATTTTGATGGCGCAAGGATGGGGTGGCTGCTGAAGGAAGCACCAAAGAGGACAAGCATGGAATCCTGAGCCTCAACCCAGGCAGGCGCCTACCCATTCTGACACAGAGCATCGGAAACAGTTGGAAGCAAAGCCCACATCCATACAGCATATGCCCAGGGTCCATAGACTTGAAAACTCACACGGACCCCAGGCTCTGTCCCACAGCACACTGACTTGCAAACCCATGAAATGGTCCATGCCCACTCCCAGCTCCCCACTACTAGAGTGAGGCATCTTGCCTGGACCACCTGGCTCTGCCCATCTCAAACCTGCCTGCCTATGCAGTGGTTCTCCAATTTTAGCACACATTCAAATCACCCACAGGGCTTGCTGAACCAAAGGTTGCCGGCCCCACCTCCAGAGTATCTGGTTCAGTAGGTCTGGGATGGTGCCAAGAATGTGCATTTCTAACAAGTTCCCAGGTGATGCCGATGCTGGTGGTCCCACACTGAGAATTGCTGCTCTTTGGCACCAGGCAAAGGCACCTCTCCAGAAAGACTTCCCCCAGCACTCCAGCCCGGCTGGCTTCTCTCCCCAGTCTTACTGCACATTTAAGTTAATATAGACTACAAAGATAAACCCAATTGCCTTGAGGAGCCTGACAGGCAATAGAATATGCGGGTTTGGACCGGCTTAGGTACATTTGAGTACAGTTGTATGAAAGATAGAAACGACTGTAAACTGGAGAATTCAGACACCAATAAAAGGGGGAAACTCACTCAGTTCTAGCCAATTTTTGCTGGGTGTGATTACAATACTACTATTGCAGAAATCTTGATTTTTATGTAAACTATCGCAATTTTTTAAAACTGGTTCAAGATTTTTGAAGACAGTAGGATGCATCAGGTGATCTCTTAGGCCTCTTGCAGCTTTAACACTTGATAGTTTGGGGCTTGTCAGGCATCCTGTAGAAAGTTCCCCAATCTGGGTCTGTGTGTTGTGTTTTCATGATTAGATTAGGGGTATGGACTTTTGTAAAGAATACAGCAGAGCTGAATGTCCCTCATAGACATGTTTCTGATGTTCCTCCCTGTGATCAGCCACAACACACCATCAAAAGACTTTACAACAGCCCCACAGTGGGGAAAAGGGAGCCATGACTGGTCACATTTGCCAATTTCCATGGTGTAAATATTCCCACCACAGCCAATGTGGAGCACCCAGTGTGATGGCACCAAACACGAAATTGGAAAAAGGTGTGCACAATTAGCCAGCTCTGTAGTAGGAGCGGGCTCCTGCACTGCTTGTCAACTTGCTTTATTTATCCTCTGTGTTCTAAATCTCAACCAGGCAACCCTCCCTTGGTTCTGACTGAATGCCAGTCATGCACTCAGCACTCCACTAAAGGTTGTAGAGGAGAGCAAAGGGCTGTAAAAGATTAGTCAAGAAGGTAGGGTGAGTGAGATTGCAAGTTTTGAGAAGCCTGGTTTCAAATCCAGATCTGCCTCTTGTGAGTGTGTAACCTTGGTCAAATTGCTTAACCTCTTTAAGCAATTGATTTTGTATATACAAATAAATATATATGTGTATATGTATGTTTATATATGTGTATATATTTTATATATGTACATTTTATATATACAGTACTTGCTAAGTACTAAAAAATTGTATATATATACATTTATTCACACACACGTAACATATGTCATATATATATATATACACACACACACACACACACAGCCTCTCAAGGAGCTTTCAGTCTAGCCCATATAAGGTTATATTAATATGTTCTAATTTAAAAGTTGGGTGGTAGTTACATGGGTGGTCATTTTATTATTCATCTTTTAATTACACATGTATGGCATATAATCTTTTGAATGTATTATTTCACAATAAAAAATGATAATACAAATCTAAATGAAGTTCATCACTAAAATATGTCATCTCATTATCGCCCCAGCTCATCCATGTTACCATCTTGAAAAATGAGGTCATGACCCATTGGGAACTTGGCAGAGAACTTGGCCCTGTTGGATGTCAGCTGGACGCTTGAGAAAGCTAAGGGCATCTTAGTCCGTTTGCAGCTTATGGATGCCAGACTTGAAGAGATGTGAAGAGATCTCACTCAACTAAAGAGGATATGTGTTTATTCTTCCTGGGGACCCAAGTCAGAAATTCTAGCACTGCTACCACCACCATTGAGGGCTCTATTAAACTACTCCTGCAAATCATTAAGCAGGCTCAGAAATGGGGATAAGAGGAAATCTAGTGTGACTCAGAAAACACATAGGCCCATTTTTCACCTTCTATTTGAACACACTAGATGAAAGGCTTTCCAACAACTGAAATAAGTTATTCATATTTCTACCCAGGATCCACTAAATGTGGAGACTTCTCCCCCTTGTCCAAGTGATGCCTTGTTTTCAGGTGCTGTGTGTACTGAGAGCACCTGGAGCACTGGTGGACAGCAGGCATCCACCATTGACAATCAAGACCACGGGACCTTCCCTGGGCCTCAGGTTCCTTCCTAAACCAGTTAGATGCATCAGGTGACCTCTTACGCCTCTTGGAGCCTTGATGCTCACTGGTTTGGGCTGCAGTAGAATACTCTGGTGATGTGTTCTGGTCTCTCAAGGTGAAGAAGAAACCCACACAATCAAATCACATTACCATTACCCCCTTGATTTCTTATGCTTTTCCTTTGTTCCCAGTAAGATATTCTGATGCAGAAAATAAAGAGGGAAAACAGTTTATTGCATTTAACCAAGTAAATGATTAAATTAACTAATGTGGCTGGACAAGGTGTTCCATGCCTGTAATCCCAGCACTTTGGGAATCCAAGGCAAGTGGATCACTTGAGGTCAGGAGTTCGAGACCAGCCTGGGCAACATGGAAAAACCCTGTCTCTACCAAAAATACAAAAATTAGCTGGGTGTGGTGGTGCACGCCTGTCATGCCAGCTACTCGGGGGGCTGAGGTTGGAGAATCACTTGAACCTGGGAGGCGGAGGTTGCAGTGAGCCAAGATCGCACCACTGCACGCCAGCCTGGGTGACAGACTGAGACTCCATCTTGAAAGAAAGAAAGAAAGAAAGAAAGAAAGAAAGAAAGAAAGAAAGAAAGAAAGAAAGAAAGAAAGAAAGAAAGAAAGAAAGAAAGAAAGGGACAGAGAGAGAGAGAGAGAGAAAGAAAGAAAGAAAGAGAGAGAGAGAGACAGAGAAAGAAAGAAAGAAAGAAAGAAAGAAAGAAAGAAAGAAAGAAAGAAAGGGAGAGAGAAAGAGAGAAAAAGAGAGAAAGAAAGAAAGAAAGAAAGAAAGAAAGAAAGAAAGAAAGAAAGAAAGAAAGAAAGAAAGAAAGAAAGGGTAACAATAAAATAACTAATGCCTAAATAATGCCTGCTATGTGCCAGGCACCACTCTAAGTACTTCACAATATATTGATTCAACTGAGGAAGATACTATATTATTGTCACTCCCAAATTACAGATGAGTAAACTAAGGCATGGAGCAATTAAGTGGTTTGTCCAAAGTCTCATAACTTCTAAGTGGCAAAGCCAGGATTATGAATCCAGGTAGTTTGGCTCCGGAATGCAGACTTTTTAGACTGTATGTTATCCAAATATGTGGCTGATAGAGTTGCCTTCCTTTGAGGAAGGAAAGCTAAAAGATCTCATTTTGTCAAGCTTAGAAACTACTCAGAATCCAGAAGTTTGAAGTTTCTATTTAGAATCATCTTTGTCACAGATTCTAAAAAATGACTCTGATTTTACCTGAAAAGGTATCCAAAGTTTTGCCTAAAAATGTTATCAGTCACTTCTTAATAGATCAGCAGTGGGAAGACTTTAAAACACAGGACAAATCAACGTGGTAGAGAGCACACTTCACAGAGGCAGGAAACCAGGGTTCCAGCCATTCAGCCTCCGACCCAACAAGCTGTGCACCTTGGGGCAGGTGCTTCACCTCTCTGAACCTCAGATTTCTCACTTGTTGATGAAGAAGTGAAGACAGATGACTTTGGAGATCCTTTGCCTCTCTAAAAGAGGCTGTGAGTCTCTATTCTTCCCCCAACTATACAGATTGTTGGTGATGAAGAGATAAGGCAAATGGCAAGCAAGTTTCGACTCTGCTCTGAAGGCAGACACCAGACATGTAAATTCAGATCCCAGGAATGTGAGAGGAAGCTCTGGCATGGCCTTCCTATTTCAACAAACAACTAATCAATGCAGCAGCAGCCTGGTAATTAATAGCCACCTTTTCATTTTCAGACTCTGCTCATCATAGACTAATCCTTCAAACTACATATTTTTACCAAAGTTCATCCCAGACCCAGAAGGCATAGACAAGAAGGGACCTTCCCACCACAATCCTCCTTCACACTCTCTATTTTTTACATTTGATGATAGAAACAAAACTCTTAAAATATTCAACACAAAATGTTTGAGACTTCCAAAGTTTATGAATCATAACATATCATCAATCTGTATAAAACATGACAAATAAATGGTAAGTTCCTTCCCTATACCACAGAATCTACTGAAGAGCAGGCACTCAATGAATATCTGTTGATTTGTAATAAGCGTGTTTATGTGAAGTTCTAATTGCTACCAATAAAGAATCAGACTCATGCATGTGCTGATGAAACCTCAGTTCCTTCTGGGTTAATCACATACTTCATTCATCATCAGACAAGGCGGTAAGACCTCCTCAACATTTACCGCGGAAACTAAGACTTTACCAGAACATCCAATGCCCAGACTTCTCTCTCACACACTTCACTTAGGAACCAGCAAGACGGATCTAGCACACAGACGCTAATACCTACAGTCACTCATGCTTGGGAAACCCTGAGCCTAGGACTTGATGAAAGTTTGGTGGATTATTCCCCAGCTCTCTTACCCATTTGGTTTTGTAACCTCAAGAGGTCAGAGCCAAAGGGCTTGTCAGTAAATGAAAGTGATTGGGGGAGGGGAGAGCGGGCAGGATTGTTAGTGAATTTAGGAAGTCACAGTCCAGTGGCTAGAGCTGCTTTGTCTTAAGAACCCCGTGTTCTGACTTTGAGGGACGCTGGATATCCGTGGCATTACTACCCAACCCAGGAGAAACCTGTCTCATGCAAGCCAGGAGACTTGAATCCATTATCTTAGTCTGTGTCTTTACAATCATGACACTAGGGTAGAGTAGCCTGAGGATCTTTTCTATATGGCCTTTTCTGAAAGGTCCGTATCAGGCTTGAACCATGAAGTAATTTGAAAATGACATTCTCATGGGATTTATTCCCAATTACAAAGACCATCGGTTAGTCCAAAGATGACCTTTAATTATCATTGTCATCATCTGAAGGCATTCAGTGACACTGGACTGCTGCTAGGATGTGTTGGGGAAGATGATATTCACCCTTTGGGAATTGAAGCACATCTCACTTCCTTAGAGTAACCTTTAGTCTTACAAAGAAGGCACCGCTCCTTACTTGACGAATTCTAACTAGCAATGAGATCTAGCCAAGGCTTGGAAGGTCTGGTCCTTAAATTCCAACTCTGCTGAGCGGAGAATGCATGTGGCCATTAGCTGAGTTTTCATCCTCAGTTGCCAATACTTCCTCTCTTAAGAATAATCACAATAACTGTCATACTTCCAACTTTTATTGTATAGTTTTTTTTCAACTGCTCAAACATCTTCCCAAACAATACCTCATTTGGATCAACTAAATTCTAAATAGTTTACTTTACCCTGTCATTCTGTTAAAAGTTTTCTTTTTTTTCCAGCCAGTTCTGGAATCCCTCTTAATTTTCTATTGTGAAGTACTCCCCAGACCTCCTTTAAGCTACCTGGCTTAAAAAAAATGAAGAGTTAAGGGCAGGGGTGTCCAGTAGAAGTTTCTTCAATGACAGAAATGCCTTATTCCTGCACTGTCCAATAGAACACTTGACATGTGGCTAGTGCGACTGAAGAACTCAATATTAAATTTTATGTTAGTTTAATTAATTTAAGTGAAACCAGCCACATGGGACGAGTGGTGCTGTAATGGACAGTGCAGAAGTTAAACTGTCAGTCATCATGATTTAACCTCCTTTCATTTCCAAGTGATACTGATTTCCACCCATAAAAGATTTTAAAGTTTAAGTCAAGTTTCTATATACTCCATATGGTTTAAAACTGGAGTTGTGTGCTCTCCCCTCAAATGCAAATATGGCCCAACCACAATGTGCGGCAGTAGCAACTTTATTCTTCTGTAGGGTCTAGGAACCTTCACATCCCTGCTGGGAAGGCTCCATTCTTTCAGGCTTGTGAATTCCCCACCCGGCACCCACACAGCTCAGGGCTTCTAAAGAGCGGCCCTTTGTCCCCTTGCCTTGTGTGTCAAGGAGGCAAAGGATTCTGCTGCATGGTAATTAATCAAGTGACCCACTCCTACCTTTGATGTGGAAGAAAATAGTTAGGACCACATTGAAGAGGAGAAAGTGAAAGACAGCGACAGAGAAATGGGGGGCAAAAGGAGAGACGGAACTTGCTAGAGAGATGAGGAAAAGATAAGGCAGAAAAGGGAAGACAGACATGGTGGTAGTGTAGGGCACAGGCATTTCAAAGACAGATACCAGCCATCCTTCACCATTCCCTATTCTCAGAAAAACCAGGATGCCTCCCACCACTGTGGCAAGTTCCTTTTCTACTGCTGGCCACATTCAAGCCATGAGTCAGCCTAACTCAGAATAGGGGCCTCATAAAGGTTTATTGGGATGGTTTCAACAATACCTATTCACTTCCTGCTCCAGGGTCCCTATGCTAGTTTTTGCTTGTATCAACAAGAGGTGCACCCAAAGGGAGCATTCAGAAAGATCCTGACTAAGCCAGGGTGCTCCAAGGAACACATGGTAAGTCTGCAGGTCTCCTGTAGTCGGAAACTGCCTTTATCCAACTGAAAAAAACAGAAATCCACAACTAACCACAGAGAAGGCAGGGACTAGGAATAATTTGTGATTAAATACAATAACTTGGTGGCAAAACCCTTCTCAAAGCCTTGCAGGGTTACCTTTAAATGAAGCTCTTTAGACAGTGGCTGGGTGGAGGGTAGCCCTGAAAGAGAGGATTGAAAAAGATATGGTGTTATTTCATTCAATGAAAGAGAAATGAAGTAGTCAAAAACAACGGTTATGTTGGCATTTGTTTTGCCTTCCTTAAAAAAAAAAGAGCAAGAGCTATAATATGTGTTCCTTTTGTACATCTTAAAAACATGTTAGGGACACACTGAGCTGATAGATATGCAAAATTATGAATATTCCACTCAATAATTAAGCATGTCTTCTTTTCTTGGCCCTTTTAATGACAGCATTTCCTGTACAATCCATTTTAATCCAGTTCTTTGATATTTAAAAAAATGGAGATTCCTCTAATTGATTCATAGAGAATTTTTATTTATCCAAAGGAACTGAGAAAAGTTCAGTTTGGAGATAATTACTGGAGCTTTTTTATGAGGTTAAGAGTTGGCATGTACAGGGGAAATTATCAAAGATGCAACAAATTGATCTGCAGTTTCTCTAGAGAACAAACTTGATTTCACTCAACTGCATAAACACACAGACCCAACACACTTACCCTCTTCACAGTTCTCAGCTCAGCTGGACTTGGGGCCAGGCTATAATGTTATAAATGTTTTAAATGAGGAGCCAACCCTCTTGGGTCCTGTAAACATGTCCAGTTTTCCCTGATCAGACATCGGAGTCTGCTTAGGTCTGTCATAGGTGAATAGGTTTGTTCCCAGCCTATCCAACTCAAACCCTCTAGGAACTTATTTGAAAACCACAGAACATCATTCCATGCTTGATTTTGCACTAAGATCTTTCAGTGGGTTGAAACATACTGCACTTAAGAGCAAGTGTTCCTAGCTCCCGGCCCAGCTCCACGCCTGAGGAGGCTGCAGAGGGCATGCCATTCTCATTAACAATGCACCATTGCCAATGTCTCTTCTTGAAATAGGCTCACCTTGTTTCAGACAGAAGAAGGGGGTCAGACACAAGCAATACCTTGGCCACTCTATCTCCTGGGAAAATGCTTGCTTGCAAACTGAGGAAGGACACAAATAAGCATTAATACATGACTGTTCTCTAGATACATTAAGAAGGCCCCAAAGTGTCTTGAAGGGCAAACTTTGCCCTTAACCCTGATCTGTTGATACCCAAATTGATCCTAACATAGAAGGAAATTCAATGAGTATCTCCAATTACAGAGGATGGCCGATCAGAGATTTTATTTTATTTTACATTTTTTGAGAGAGGGTCTCTCACTCTGTTGCCCAGGCTGGAGTGCAGTGGCACAATCATAACTCACTGCAGCCTTGACCTCCCAGGCTCAGGTGATCCTTCCGTCTCAGCCTCCTGAGTAGCTGGGACTACAGGCATGTACCACAATGCCCAGATAATTTTTTTTTTTAATTTTTTTGTAGAGACAGGGTCTCACTTTGTTGCCCAGGCTGATCTCAAACTCCTGGGCTCAAACAATCCTCCCACCTCAGCCTCCCAAAGTACTGGGATTACTGGCATGAGGCATCATGCCTGGGCCAGAATTTTAGATACTATATTGTGTGACTAGCTGGAATGATATGGAAGATTTCCAAATCCAGAAGACTCAAAGACTCATTCTCCTTTCCTAATTTCCAATGAAATGCACATTTTGGGTCACTGGTGACTTACACAAGCTGATAAAATATCATCTCTTTCTGAACAGCTGTCCTGTCAGCTCCAGATAGTTGCTAAAGTGCTAGTAACAATAAAACATTGCAACATCACAAAGACTCACTCCGTCTATTTGACCAGGATGTCACGTACAGCACTGAGAAAGAATATCTTCTGTCAGAGGCCCACCCACGGCCTTCCCTGCAGACTTGGTGGGGGGAGTGCCATTGTGCAGGCATGGAGCTCCGTACCCTCCACACCCAACTTGCTCACACTTAAGCAGTTCTTCACATCAGCCTGGCTAGCTGGCTCCAGGCCTCCAAAAATGAGAGGGAGAATAAAAGGGTAACTGGTCAAAAGCAATTTCTCTTTCCAGGCACTTCATTCCTTTTGCATTTCAATAGTTGCTGTAATGAAAGAAGAAGGAGGGGAGTTTCTCCACTAAGTGTGGGAGAAAATGAAGGGAACCGCATGAGGAAAAGAAATAGGAAGGCACAAAAATCTTTATGATTTGACAAATATAAATTATTCTAGAAACATAATAAATAACACTTATCAGGCCAGGAGTGGTGGCTCATGCCTGTAATCCTAGCACTTCGGGAGGCCGAGGCAGGTGGATCACTTGAGGTCAGGAGTTTCAGACCAGCCTGGCCAACATGGTGAAACCCCCATCTTTACTACAAACACAAAAATTAGCCTGGTGTGGCAGCACACACCTGTAATCCCAGCTACTTGGGAGGCTGAGGCAGGAGAATTGCTTGAACCTGGGAGGCAGAGATTGCAGTGAGCCGAGATTGTACCACTGTACTCCAGCCTGGGCAACAAAAGCAAAGCTCCATCTCAAATAAATAAATAAATAAATAACACTTATCATCAAGTATTTACTATACAACAGGCACTGGGTGTGCATTATTTCATTTACTTCCAATACAAGTTGCCCTATGAGGTAGACATTTTATTTCCCTTTTACAGTTGAGGAAAGTCAAGCTTTCAGCCCCAGTTGCACAGGTGGTAACCAAAAAAGGCAAGGTTTGAGACCAGGCCATCTGATCCCTAGGCCTGCCTCTTATAGGCTGTAATACCTCTGCTATGACAGCCAGACAGAGGCACATGAGGACAGCTTCTAGCCCAGCAAACATCTTAAGAGCAAGAGAAATATGTTCCATGTCACCTTTCATAATTACCTACCATTACATTTTAGGATGCCCATCTTTCTTTTCACTGGCTTCTTCTCTAGTGCAGAGAGCAAGGACTAGCTCAAGGGCTGTCAGGTGGCACAGGAAATCAAACATTGGTCCTAAGTGGCGAGCACCTGGCCAAGTCAGGCCAGACAAAGGCCAACCACATTTTCTTTTTAATAAGGGTATTAGTCTGCTCAATCAGGAGACATGGTGTATCTGATGTTCAGCAAGATATTTGACCAAGTCTTTTAGGATACTCTGGTGGGCAGGATGGAGAAATGCAGAGATTGGCAATTGTGACAAGTTGTCTTCCCCACAAACTGCTGAGGAATGGGCTGGTGTCAGTCTCAGACATTGCTCTCCAGACTTTTTATCAACATTCCAGACAATCTAAACTCTCACAGGTGCTCCCCATTCCCCTCTGAGGAGTTGAGCCCCTTCTCCTGGCATCTCGCTCTGCCAGTCCCATTCATACATACCCACCGCCCCTCCCCCAGGCTGTGCTTTCTTTTGTCTCTGGTCCTTGGATCATGGGATTGCCCCACCTGGAACACTCTTCTTTCACTAATGCCACATCTCTTGCATCTCAGCTTAGAGGTCACTTCCACAAAGCAGCTTTCTCTGACCACCACCCTCAAAACTGGACAAGATGTTCACCCCGGGTCACCCTTCCACGTGTGCACCCAAACATGCACACCACTCATCATCACAGGTACTGTTCATGTTGTTGGTAACTGGTTTGTATTCGTCATTCGACTATAAATTCCATGACAGAAGGGATATGACTACCTTGCTCACCATTTTATCTCCGATATCCAGTACCATGATTGGCATATTATAGCAGGTTTTCAGTAAATGTTTGTGGAATGAATAATTGAATAAAATCAAGTAACCTCGGACTAATGACAAAATCAGCATTTTAAAAAGGTGTCAATAGTCTAGGACAGTGGGGTGACTCCAGCAAGATTAACTGGGATCAATGTTAAATAAAACACATGAGTTTAAAAAAAAATCATCAACTCAAATACTAGGTGGGAGACATATGATTGTAGCAACACTTGTGAAAAGACATGGGATTTTTAATTGTGAGTTGAATGTCATTGGTCCACTCAAAATGATAATGTAATTTTTGTATTTATGGTTAGGCACAAAGTATCTTAGAAGTAATGAATTTTGAACCAGTCAAACCACACTGAGTACTGGTTCTGTTCCAGTTGCTATATTTTAATATAAAAGATGACAAAACAGACTGCATGCAAAGCAAAACAATCACAAAGAAGACAATATTAAAAACCAAGTTATACAAAAAATGGCCAAAGGATCTTGGATTGTTCAACCTCGACAAAAGAATGTTTAGCTAGAAGGCATGATCACAGTCATGTGGAAGGCCAATTAGACTTGTTCTGTATCTGTTTTGAAAGTAGGCCCAGCACTGGGTAGAAGGTACAGGTGTGGAGGAGAGATTTCCAGCCCAGTATAGAGCTAATCGTATGGGATGAGAGTTGTTAGGAAGTGGACAGGGGAAAGGGGATTGGCGTGGTTGGGAGCATCCCAAGAAGTCTTCAAAGAGAGTAGTCTTCAACTAAATGGATGCCTACTTGGCAGGGATATTATATTGGGGATTTTAAGAAACAAATGCAGATTTAGACTTGACAGACTCCACAAAGACCCTTTCAGATAATTCAGGAAATAATCTGCAGGCCTCGTGTTGTTGCATTTCAGTGACATCCTCAAATTTGCATGACGGAGCCAAGGCAGCCACATTACTCGATCCCACTAACCCTGAGCTGTTTCAGATCTGTGTTGTTGTATTTCACCTCTTGACTTGAAGCCTTATAAACTAGAACTCAGGAGACCTGGTTTTAGTCCTGAAGTCCAGAGGATAACTTGTCACTGATTAGCTGAGGGCTTATCATTGTGTTTAAGCTCAACTTCTACAGCTGTAAAATAAGGAAGTTTGGACCCATTTGTTCACTTAGTTCTTGCCATATACACGTTTTAAAGCATTAATGTTTCTCAGACCTGGTCCTAGGACCACAGCATCAGAATCACCAAGGGATACTATTGAGTATATCGATTCCTAGGCTCCATGCTAGAATCTGTGAGTAGAACCCAAAAGTATACATTTTTAATAAAACACCATCAATCACTAATAGGCACACTGAAGATCTAGAAATGATTTAAAAGGGTCTGTGTTCCTTTAAGATCAGCACAGCAGATAGGCAGAATTCAGGCATAGAGAGGTTAACTTGGTGGCCCACATCTCTTGGTAAAATTGTTCCTAGAAGAAAATAATCAGGACATCTCCTGTTCTCTTTGAGGACCTGAAAACTGAAATCAGGTGGGTGGAGAACTAGAATAGTCTCCAAGACATCTCTAGTATGGCTGGAGAAGACTCAAACCCTGTCTGGTGAGGAGAGAACCAGAGCTTTATAACAATAGGCAGCCACACACTCTCCAACTCTCCACAGCAGGTGAGGACAACAGCAGGCACAACTCCACAGCAGGTGAGGACAAAATAGCAGGCAAAGCTGCCAGACTGTAGAGAAAAGTGTAGGGCAAGGCCTGGCAAGAAGCTCTCACTCCACACATTTATCCCTTGGGAGAAAGATGAATCAGGGGTTGAAAAACTGGGCAAATTAAAAAGCAAGGGATGCTCTTAATTAACTGAAAACCATGCTCCACCAGGCTCAGGAAAGCAAGCGTTTCAGATCACGGAGCGATGACTCTATCACAGTTGTAATCATTACACAGAATATTTAGCCCTGCAAAATATTTTTGTCTCTCAATTTCGAGGTCCCAGAGAACTGTTTTCTCAAACTTGCCATGAAATTTCCTTGGTTTGAAGACCGAGTAAAATTAATAGAGTTCTTTATTTTAATTGGTGAAGAGGAGTCTGTATTTAAAAGCCCTTTGGCTACAGACCCCAAGTAGATGTTAGACTATCACCACTCACAAGTCCATTTTCTCACATATAATTCCACTGAGGTTTTCCTGAAACTGAGACTCATTAGTAAAAGTTTTTTTCTTAATCTCTGTTTGAAATGCACATGACATTGCTGGTTATAAAAATTCTGGTTTTGTCCTATAGCTTCTTATCTAGGCAAGCGCCCTAAAATAACAGAAGTTTCACTAAGTCAGCGGCTTGCATAAGCCTCACTGTCTGATATTTAAGCTGAAATGTCCCAGATGCTGGCACATTCAATATTTATACATTTAGCAACTACCTCAAACTCCTGCCCAATCCCTCCACAAAAACAAATCCATGGATGCTCATCATAAATAGAAGTATTGCCTAATAGAGAGGTTTCCAACTGTTTCGATGAGGCATATTGAAAAGGTTAAGACCACAGATTTGCCCATGAGCATGCCAAACATTTGGGTCTTGCACGAACCAGAACAACTTTTGATGTCCCTCTCCTCTTAAAAATTACAGAAAGGCTTTATTTCTAAGTCATGAGCACTAGTCAATCACAAAGTCATACACACTGAAACCTCCAATAGCATCTCCTTAAATGACACCTTCTGTCTCTCGGCTCTAAAGTCACTTAGGTGCCTTTATCAAATCAGCTACAAAGCAAATAAATCCTGTGAAGAAAATATTACTAATGCTGAAAAGAATAAAAACTAAAGCTTGCCTATGAAGAAAGTTAATTTCATATTCCTATCAGAGAGTCATCCAGTAATACTTCTGGAAAAATAAAAAGTACCTTACCCAGAAACAGTTGAATTAGCAGATGGATTTTGACAGGACCTGCATAATTAAAGTTTCCACTGCAGCTTTAGAAACTCCTGTTCTGAAACCCATTTTGTCAGCCAATGCTAAAGAATGTTTTTTTGGCTCTGGAATATAAAATCCAAATAGTCCCAGAGGAGAAGCTGCCTCTCAGCCTGGACACCCTCAAGAACTGCCTTTCAAAGAACAACTCTTTCCCCTGGAAATGGATCTTGACATTGACATTGTCATGTTAATTGGCCAAATTCAAACACAAGTCATCTCTTGAACTAGCAATTGGAAGACCTTTGGGTAGTCTGTTTTAAAACTTTTTCCTAAAGGAAAAGAGACATGCTAGTAAAAAGTCAGCCTTGGCATGCTAGTCCCTAATAATTAAGGACCCAAGACCAAAATGCTGTTTGTTAGCTGCTGCTGGCCAAGAAAGCCTTCTTCTTTCCACATATTCTCCACTGGGCAGTACGAACATGCACTCAGACCTCAAAACCCAATATAATAATAAATGGTTAGACGTGGTATGAATAAATTGTCACCTACATATGTCTAAAACCTTGTATCAACCAACAGTTTTACTCTTCTTCTGAAGCAAATTTTGTTCCATTTTAATACACACCTATTCACAAGGAACAGAAATAAGCATTTAAAGGTGGGGCAATGAGGGTCTCACAGCTCCAGATCCATGGCCTCCATACAAAGCAACCAACTAAGGGGACTGGGGAAATGCAGAATACAAAGCTCGTGATGGATAAAAGATGCAATATCCCCAACTAAAATCTTCTCACCTACCAAAAATAAAAATAAAAACAAAAAACAAAAAAAAACAGTAAACAGCATTCTTGAGATGGGATTTTGATTTCTGGGCCTGAAGGTAAGATGTCAGTCATGTTGCCAAAACCAGTGCTATTTCTGAGTCATTCTGTTCCTGGGTCTGGAAATGACCATGGCAGAGTTCAAAGAAGGATGACTTAGTTTCTAGGACTCCATAATTGGAAACCATAAGGCCCTGTCTCACCAATTACTAACCAAGAAATATTTTTGACACATCGTTTCTGCCTGGTTCAGATCTACTACTGAGGACATATCCTTAAACTTGATTAAAAGAAATGAATGGCACAATTGGAAAGCATAACTAGAAATAAATGCTCCATATGTAAGAAAAATGTAGATTTTACATACCTGAAGACATGTAAATGTTGGCTGTATTACAGTTTCTGTAAAACTCCTCCCACTGATTTGAAACCCTCAAGCATCAGTTCAGAGGAGTCACTGACAGAGTCTCTTGCCCAACTGGTTGCAGGAACCTAATACTGGCAAATGTGCAGTGTGCAGCACGTATGTCTCTGCTTTAGAAATCAGGCTGTGCGGGGCCACTGGTGTTGTGAAATAAGTCTTCCATCTTAGGAGTGAAACTAAAGGCTCGATCTGTTTGTATCTGAGAGCTGGAAAAACCCAGGAAATGGACTCCCTCTTTAGAAATGAGCAATGAGCAAAATTAAGATGTAAATTAAATGGCCTGGAAGTCAATGCTGGCTTACCTTGGGGAAGCTGATGGTGCTCTGTAACCAAGTCCTAAATAGCAGATGCTTTGGGCATTCCCAAGAGGGTGGCCACTTAGGCCCCTGGGAGGGTTGGGCACACCATAGCACTGCCTCCTGGTAGAACTGAGGACCCAGAAAGAAAGAAACAAAGAAAAGTTGAAGGAAATCAGAATATGCCATCCCAAAAGATGCCAATTTGGCATATTAGGTATTTTGAGCTGAAGGCAACTAAAAAACAGCAGATGCAAGAATGACTCTTTGGCCTTTCCCTTTTTACCTAAAGAAAGAACTAAACTTCCCATGACAATGGTGCCTTCTCTTTTGCCAAAAAGAGGAAAACATTCTTATTATGGGGTGAGGGATGGAATGGGATTAATCTGTATAAACAAACCTACCAAAATAACCCTTATGTTCCATTAGTTCCTCCATTATTTCCTCATCACTTTCTCACAATTTGCCACCCCTAGCCCAAATCCCTTTTTCCTTTGTCTTGTCAGATCTTCATAATTCACTTTTTTTTAATTAAAATTGTAAATAAGCTTTCAGACCTATCTCTTTTTTTGGATCTTTATTTCCTTTTTTCTTTTCTTTCCTTTTTTTTTTTTTTCCACAGGGTCTCACTCTGTTGCCCAAGCTGAGCACATTGGTATGATCACAACTCACTGCCACCTCCGCCTCCTGGGCTCAAGCAATTCTCCTGTCTCAGCCTCCCAGGTAGCTGAGACCACAGGCATGCACCACCATGTCCAACTAATTTTTTATTTTTTGTAGTGACAAGGTCTCACTGTGTCACCCAGGCTGGTCTTGAACTCCTGGACTCAAGAGATCCTCCTGCCACCCACCTCTGACCTCCCATCTCCCAAAGTGCTGGGATTACAGGTGTGGGCCACTGCTCTCGGCCGGAACTTCATTTCCTATATATAAATGCATGTAAAAATATTAACATCAAATAAAGTTTGTATGCTTTTCTCCTGTTAATCTGTCTTTTGTAAGTTTAATTCTCAGGCCCAACCACAGAACCTCAGAGGGTAAAGGAGAAATCTTTTCCCCCATACAAGGTCTTCAGGGTCTGGGAAGGCCATAGAAGTAGCTTGATACAAAAGTGTTTACAATGGAGAGAATACATTGTATTCTGGGCTGGGTATAATGTAACTGATGTGGAAACACAAATATAAATATATAACCCCACCTTGGCAGTGGTTTTATGCATAGTTGGAAGAAACCAGTAGTTCTCAAGAGCTGGTCCCATTTTAAAAATTATCCCCCCCTATCTTATCACCCTATGCCACTACATTCACACACACACACACACACACACACACACACACACACACGTGAAATCAGGTTGAAGAACCATAGGGACATCCTTATTCTGAAGCCTTCAGAGAACACTTAATCCTATCCGCTAATGTGACCAAAGAGAATATTGAGGTTAGAGACATACTGTGACTTAGCCAAGGTCTAGGCAGGACTACAGTCCAGGCACCCAGTCTCCTAATCCAGTACTCTCTCCTCTACACTAGCTAAAATGTGTGAAGGTGCTTAACCACAGCAATAGACATTGTAATAGCCATCCTCTCAACCTTTCACTTATAGGACACATGTTCACTAGCCAAGCATTTTAGTGGCTTCATCTCTCCTTAGGCATGGCTCCAGTCTTCACTCCATTCTCCCCACACCCTCACTTCTAGTCTAAGAAGCCTAAGGTGTCTCCGCCCATTTCATCAAAGCCACAGAAACTTAAAACTGAGTGGCCCAGGAATGGCAGAGTCTAGTAGGGCTGGAGCACTCTGTTTATCAGAGGGAAGAGAGAACTACTGGAGGCCAATGGAAATGGAAGATATTTTGAAGATAGATTGCAATGGGTCTCGAATATCCTGCTGAGAGATAGAGAATAAAAAAGGCTACGAACCTTTTTAATGGATGGCCCCAGCCTGCTCGAAGATGACAGATTCATTATGATAGTTGTATTTGTTTCTTTCTCTATTTAATGTTTGTGATCCCGCTAGAGTGGATGCTCTTTGAAGGCAGGAACAATGACTCTCATGCTCAACTCCACATCCCCAGTGGATAGCAAAATGCCTGACACACACAAGTCCTCCAAAGCTATCTGTTGACTGAAGGAATACACACAAAACTACAGACATACAACTCCCCTTACATTTGTTATTGTGAACTCTCTTGGTCAGTGGCCAACATTTATATTTTGGGAAGTAAAGATAACCCAGTTGTCACTCCCTTGGTAGTTTGTCCCCACCAGTTACAAAGATGGAGGGAGAGAGTTAGCCAATATCAGGATAGAACAATGGCCTGGAAGTGAAGAAACTTCTCTGGCTGGCTCAGTCTCTGACTCACACATGACCAAGGACAAATCATTTAACCTCCTCTTGCCTTGTTTTTACTGTATGCAAAATAGAGCCGATAACAATACAAGCCTCCTCCTTCCCTCTGAGGGATATTCTGAGAATTGGAGAGATGCTATCTTAGAAGTGATTAGAGCTCCTAAGAACTGGGCTTTCAATACAGAAGCAGTGTTGTTCTCAGGCTGTGCTACAGCTGTTGTTTTTCATTATGAAAGGTAATATTGTAAGGCCTTGTTGGCAACAATAGGAAACTGTTGCTATGTGTTGACACAATGATACAACAAGCAGGAGGGCAGGCACCTTAAAAGTTTAATGGTTCTGATTTCATTCATTGAATTCCTTCTTCCTCACCTCAAACCTCAATCTCCATTATTCTTTATGGATAGGTGTTTTTAAATTTTTTTCTTTCTGACTTTCCTCAGCTGCCAGGACATCTGGAGAAAAAGCTGGTCCAAGACATAAGTATATTTTTCCTAATTGAATCATAGAACCATGGGGGGAACGTGCTTCGTAAGGAGTCACTTAGTTCATTCAATTCGACAAACTATTTCTGAGGATTTTCTGTAAAAGGACATATATAAAGATGAATAAAAGCTGTGACCATATTTTCGGAAGAGATGTATGGTCTGACAGGCACGGGTGTACTTATATGAGCAGTAAGACAGGAAAAAAAAGTCACTTCCCTGGAAAATCATGATCATATAGAGGTTGTACATATTAAACATGGTTTCAGCTTTTGCAGGAGCTCACAGGCAGTGCCAGAAACAGATACAAACTCTTCACTACAAAACAAGGCAAGCTGTAAATGACTTAGAAGTAAACTTGCCTGGGAGTACAGAGGAGAGAATTTATAATTCTGACTCTGAGGATTAGGAAGAGACATTCAGAAGAGGGAACATTTAAGCTCAGCAAGGATAAGTCTCTCAACAATGAGAACAGTGTGTGCAAAGCCACGGAAACATAAAACGGAGTCAGAAGGGATGGTCATCAGAGTCCAGGGGGCTGGAGTACTGTGCACTTTGGGGAGGGTTGGATGGGGTTAGAGATGGAAGGGATTTGAGAGACAACTTGTAAAGAGACAAAAGTATCAACACTTGCTGAGAGGGTGGGAATTCATACTAGCAATAAAAGGCATCATAAATGTTGAGTTGGACAGGACGATACAACTTGTGCTTTGGAAATGATAGCTCCTAGAATCTGGGAGACGATGTGGATGACTACTGCAATAATTCAGAAAGCAGATGCTGAGGCTTGAACTAGCCTTCAAGATATGGAAGAGAGGAGACAGGGTTTAATCAACTATGAACAAACAGGATGAGGTTCTCGAAGCAGAGGAGGAGTGGAAAGTGATGCTTGGAAGAACTGTGGTCTAACTATTCCATTATGTTTATGCTATCAGCCCAAATGGCACCTTCCTATGCCAAGACCTGTGGCCTGAAGTTGAACCACCTTCTGGGTTTTAGCATGAAATCCTTACTTCCTCTAAAGCAAGAATTGGCTCCTGTTTAGATTGGAACACCATAACCAAGCCATGTTCATGGGGCCACAGAGTACAATGGCAGGAAAGAAAGTAGATGCATAAAAAAATGAAACAAATAAAGATAGAAGAAAATAAGAAAAGTTGGCCAGGTGCAGTGGCTCACGCCTGTAATCCCAAAACTTTGGGAGACCAAGGCAAGAGGACTGCTTGAGCCCAGGAGTTTGAAACCAGCCTAGACAACATGGTGAAACCCTGACTCTACAAAAATATACAAAAATTTGCTGGGTGTGGTGGTGTATGCATGTAGTCCCAGCTACTCAAGAGGCTGAGGTAAGAGGATCACCTGAAAGATCAGGAAGTTGAGGCTGCAGTGAGCCATGATCATGCCACTGCACTCCATCACGGGCATCAAAGTGAGACCCTTTCTCAAGAAAAGAAAGAGAGAGAGAGAAGGAAAGAAAGAAAGAAAGAAAGGAAGGAAGGAAGGAAGGAAGGAAGGAAGGAAGGAAGGAAGGGAAGAGAGATGAATGACTGCCAATAATGATGTCTCACTCCGGGTGCTTTCTCCAGCTCTAGAGCTTAGAAAGTCATCTGAAAGAATATTCCCAGTCTCCACAGATGAGAGACAAGCAGCTATTGTTCTTGGCCTCTTTCAATACATTATAACTTTAGGGGACTAGTTTAGAGCAAAGAACTCTGTAAAGACCATCACAATCTCTCTAACTTGGGATTGCCAATGATGTCAATTTTTACTGCAACGTTTGAAATGTCTCCATAATTAACTAACTCATTTTGCACATGGTTTGACTAGCCATTATGATTGTAAGATCTCCAAATGCATTAATTCATTCAACATTCGACCAAGTTTATTATGTATATACCATACACTCAGCCCTGTGCTAGGCTTCAAAGAAACTGACGTGAACAAAACTAACAATCCCTGACTTCATGGAACTTATAGTCTAATAGGGGATACAGAGAAAATATTTTAACACCTAAACATTTTCATTACAATTTGGTCATGAAGGAATAGTATAGGCACCATGGAGCAACCAGATCTGGTCCCATCCATTTTCACAGACTTGAAGGATGGGTGGGAGTTTGCCAAGCAATAACTGGAAGAAAGTGGATTCCAGGTAGAGACAATAGTGATGTGAAGGCCTGAGATGGGCCTTCTGGAAGGACAATGTGGCTGGAGCCTTGAGAGCAAGTGGCAGAGTAGCTGGAAGTGAGTATGGAAACTCACAGAGGCAAGCCTTTTCCATGTCCTGTCATTACTGCCTTAGCATCTAGAATCAGAACACATGAAGAAATGCATCATGGAGTACTAGAAGTATCCTAGCCTATTGGCAACAAGATGCCCCCCGTGCTGAATTCATCTTTACCTAATGGCATGAGGCTGGATGAAATGGCTTTCATAACTTTGCTTATGCCAAGAACAGCCTTGTAGAAGCTCACAAGAATGAAGATAGCATCTCTCTTACCTGTGTTATTATTCATCTATTTCATGGCAGTAAAACCAATGGTTGTAAACTGACTCTAAAGTTAGTTCAATACCCCCTTTTCATGGAAGAGGAGAGATATGCAGGAGCTAGTTCTCAACAGCCATGTTGATATAACAGACACTGTTCTTTTAGGTCAAATGTCTTTATCCACTATTTCTAGGCACCCAACCCTCTTCTCTGCTTCAGGATCCAGTTCAGATTCATCTCTCCTATGGAACATGACAAGCTCTCCACTGTCATGCTCTTAATATCTTTCCCATTCTCTTTAAGTTCTACCTTATAATAATCTATCTTGTCAAGAAGCAAGAACAGCTCTTCTACTCCTTTCCATTTCCTCCTAAGGTTTGACATAAATGAAAACAAATGCATGAAGATGAACTTGTTATATAAAATGTACATAAATGGATGAATGATGAATCATTCTGTGAATACCAAAGTGCTACAGTTCAACTCACAGGGGCATTCTTATCATCTGGACCCTCATGCTGATTTTTTTAAGATTGGAATCCTTGTCAGGTTTATAGTCTTGTTTCCCTTTCCAGGGAGAGAACGGTAAGAGCGAACAAGCAGGGTGGGGAAGAGCTCTGTATTCTTAAAGTAGGGACTCCAGTATCTGGATTTAAATGAAATCAAGAGAAAGGTGAAAGACACAGATGAATCTAGACTATCATAGAAGTGTAAATGAGTATGAGGCTACTGTTTCCATCCACTAGTGACTCAGCAACGAGCCCAGGACTGATCCCAGGGCAGAGAACCTCTTAGCCACAGATACACCTTCATACCTGGTAGCTAAAGAAGGAGATGTCAGGTGCTACAGTGTCATTTGAGGCCAAAAACCCATAGGGAGGTCAGTAATCTATAGAGGGGCCACAAGAAAATATGATCCTAGCAAGCTGGTGTCGAAAAGGACTCTTAATCTTTTTTTTTCACATGCATAAGTAACTGTACGCTGCATGTCAATGAGTTTTCTCTAAGCAGCCAGGCATTGAAAACCATTTACGTGGCACTGGGTATGTATTTTAATAGCATCAGTCTAAAGGTCAAGCAATGCAAAGAAAAGCAGACAGGAAGCAGGCCAACAGCTCAGGCAGGTAATTGAGCGTGCAAAAGCACTCTCCTACCATAGCGACTACTGACATCTTTGTTTATCTCTCCACTACCTGGTGTGGAAATGGTATTCTTTTATTTTCTCTTCTCTGTTTATGTTAGAAAGTAGCTATCAAGATAAGGATTATCCTTCTAGAAATAATATTGCTATTGGCAATAGTCTATCAGCAAAAGATGGGCTTTCACTATACAGAAGAGAGTCAGGGAGTGTCAGGTGTCAGATCTCAGAAGAAAACTCAAGTATCACAGGGAAGATCAGAACAAAACTGAGAGTGGAGGTGGACCTTTAAAAATATGGAAATCCCCAATGTTAATTCCAGTTTGGAGTCCTGGCAGATCAGAATGTTGAGGGAATACTTTTATAATTCATTGCAAGGTCTGCTTGCTGCAGCTATAGAGAATGACATCCATCCATCTATCTGTCCATTCATCCAACATACAAGCATATATTTAGCACATGAATAATAGTGATAATTATATGTAGCTACAATTTCATTCATTTCTCATTACATTCCAGGAACTGAGAATATATATATATGCTTCTTTGATGCTTGTAACAACCCCCAACACTTCAGTTTGACAAAAGTGGAAACTGAGACTCAGAAAAGATTAAGTAAGGCTGCTTGAGGAGTCAAAAAGTAGTGGGACTGGACCTAAGGGCATGTCTGACTCTAGAGTCCAGGCTGTTAATCCTGAACTGATGTCTACTTTACTTCACATGAGACTCTGCTAGGTGCCATGGAAGGCACTGCCCTCCAGGAACTTAAAGTGTAGTAGAGAAGAGGAACAATGTAAATCACTAAGAAATACTAGTAAGAAAAATAGCATCTTTCCCGAGGGCTGTACAGAGTTTCAAAGCTCATCAGGTTTTCCAGGGTGTAGTGAAAGATTTCATGGAAGAAGGAACAATTGAATAAATTCTCTGTTATCCATTTTAGAAAGCCAAGAAGTACTAAAAAGAACTTTCTAGGTATTAGAAATTTATCTAGAGTAGTGCATGCATTCACACACACACACAAATGTACACACTTTGAAGATGACTAGAAATGACTTCTCTATGAAAGTTTTGCTTAAGCTAATTTCAAAATGACTTTGTATTCCTTCAGAATACATCACTTGCTATGAATGAGAGCCAGAAAGATGCTAAATGAACAAGGGAAGAATGTTAAGATTTTTTTAATTCCCATGGAAAATTTTAAAAGTGGTCTATGCAGTTGACACCATAGGTACCACTGATTGAGAACTTGCAATGTGTCAGGCTTTGTGCTACACACACTATGTAATTTTACCCTCAATTTTATGAAGCATGTCCTTATTCTTCATTTAATGATAAAACTCCTGAGGCTCTGGGAAGTTAATTAATTTGCCCAAGTTCATGAAGCTATAAGCATCATGCTAGAATTTGAGCACAGTTCTCTTCAACGTACAGCTACTAACTAACCCATATTTGTGGTCATGAATCTATAGCATTAATCCTGGTAATTCAGCCTTCAAATAAATACTAAACGATTGGTAGGCCAGAACACTTCCTAAATATGTCCTCTTTCTTAAAGGAACAAAAGGGGTTTTTTTAACGAAGAAGAAAAGCGAAGAAAACAAAGAGAAAAAAATTAATTTATGACTTAGAATATACCAGTTATTCATTGAGCCCATTTATTTCACAAAAGTAAAATGCCAGAAGGCAACATTTCTCCAAATTACCCAGCCATAAGGGGCTAAGTTTAGTTAGACTTTCAGTAACTCTGCTGAGGATGGAAGGAGAGAAGACAAAGATGGCAAAGAGACAAGACTCAAGGAGAGAAAAACCAATGGCCCATTAAAAAAACCTACCCAACTATTCCTCTAAAACTTCAGTTTCTGTGCACAAGGCTAAAGGAGTTTGGATTTCTCCTTTCCTCTCTGAGTCACCAGCGACACTGTCCCATTTCTTATTAGAAAAATAAGCTGAAGTCAAGACATTTCCTAAGGAGAAGGAGAAGACTAGATACAAAGATGTTGAAGAGGCAGTGGCTGACTGATGAAATTTAGTCCAGAGTAACTCAGAAGGAACTCAGCTCTGAAGCCTCAACACTGTGGAAAGACTTGGGAATAAAGTAGTATGATTGATAGCCAAGAGCTTCTGAATCTCCAAACATGAGCTTGTGCAAAAAAAACAACTGTTCTCAAAACTGTGTAAACTGCTGGGGAATTAAAACAAACAAAAACAAAAACAAACCAAAAAAAACAACTTCCGGGCTAATATTTCTAAGACATTTGTAGTTTACACAACTGGCAGAAAACTTGCAATGGTTCAGAAGGGATAAAATTGGGTTTGTCTCTTCAAGGAGGCAAGAGCTTCCCCACAAGGGGCAGACAGTTTCTCCCAAATGCGAATGGTACCTCCTAGGAATCCAGGCTGAAAGGGAGGGTAAAGATGGCAATCCAAACAGGTGTGTGTGTTTCACTCTGGGAATGGAAACTAAGTAGTTCAGAGTGCTCCCAGGAGATATAATTCATAAAGTTCTTCTCAGACCAGTGTCTCACATGGCCCACATTGAAGGGCTGTAAATGCTGTTAGGAAAGAGAGGAGCCATCTGATCATCCACCTAGACTAGAAAAACATAATCTTTTTTTCATATAATTTTAACTTTTCTTTTAGATTCAGAGGGTACATGTGCAGGTTTGTAACCTGGGTCGATTGCATGATGCTGAGGCTTGAAGTATGATTGATCCTGTCACCCAGGTAGTGAGCACAGTACCCAGCAGGTAGGATTTCAACCCTTGTCCCACTCCCTCCCCCACCTATAGTAGTCCCCCGTGTCTGTTGTTGCCATCTTTATGTTCATAAAGAGCCTGGGGAGAGTAGTACCAGAGAGGTCCTCATTAGCCTGTGGACCCATATTTTGGAAGAAGCTCTGCTGCAGAGACTCCTCTCCCTCTATCTTTTCCTCTACTGGTGGCCTTCGCAGCAGGATGAAGCTGCCGGTGACCAAGGCCAGTCCGGTTCACTCCAGTCTCTGAAGCTTCTTCCTGAGGCCTTCTCCATTGGCATGAGCAGTGACTGGATACATGGCAACCAGAAATCAGTGAGGATATCTCTGGAGGTGCCCAGTTCCTCCCACTGTTCTGCTCTGGGTGCTGCCAGAACCAGCTACAAACTATTAGAAAGCTACAAGAAGCAAGGAACCACGTAGGTAGCCAGGATATCTCCCCTTCTCACAGCTACCTCCCTCCATGTTCGTTTCGGTGTGGAGCCCAGGGCCTTTGGAGGGCTGGCTATTGTGCTGGGACTCCTTTCCCTGCTTCCTTCACTCACTCTACAGAACTAGAAAACAAACAAAGCAAAAATGCTTGCAACCCCAGGGGAGATGAGAGGACTGTCCTAACTCCCTCAAGCTTTTCTGTGCAGATCCTAAGAGGCCCAGGATGCGGCCAGAGTCCTAGCCTGAGGACACTAACAAAGTTTGGTTCCTAAACTGTTGGCGCCTTTTTGAGATAAAAGTGGATGCTATTCAGAAATGGGGGAGGGGGGCGGTTCCCAATGACTGAGAAATCAGTGTGGGCTTTTATTGGTTATTGCTGAATATTTATGTCCCATTTATCACTGATCGTTGGCTATGAAAAAGCTAGATAAAGACATTGGGCCACCTGAGTGCCTGGGGCTTTCGATCACTAACAAGCCAGCCTATCAGAAGGCCCCATTTCTGAGGATCTGCCAGAGACAAAGGTTCTTTGTTAACTGGAATGCCCCAGAGCGAGGAGTTGGAGCTGTGTTGCTCTAAACAGAAGGAAGAGGGAGCGGAAAGACGAAAAGAAAACCTTTTGCTTTCCCAGCAGAAACCTAGGATTGAAAGCAGGGACTTTTGAAGGGAAAGGGCTCTTGGGGAATGATGAAGATCAGGGTAGGTGAAATCATCTTTCATGGATTTCCTACTCAGACTGATGATACAGCTCTGACCTGGCTGCAGGCCCGGGAAGGCTCCCTGATAAAGATGCAGAGCTGAGGTGAATTTCCAAGTCTCCCACTTTAATGTACCTTTGCTGCTGCCTTCCCCCAGATCTGGAGAGGCTAAAGAACTTTATTTTTCTTTTTTGGAGGGGGGCTGAGTACAGGAAGTTGAGAAGCTTGGAGGAAGATATGTTCAAAATAAACTGAGAACTCTGATGATTATTTTTAGTCTGGAAAGAGAAGAACAATTCTTTTATAGAACAAGCATTCACTTAAATAGGTTTCCCCTATCTGGGGGATCCCCAGAAATGCAAATCATCCACTTGTGACACTTAACGGTTCTTGCCCGGGATTTTGTTTTTTTCTTTTCTTGGCTGGATGAGCCATCTGGAATAAAAATGGGACAATCAAGTCCAGACCAGATCATTAGAAATGGACAATGGAATTAGGAACCACAGCCCGAGACCAGGAGGGTAAGAACTCTGTAAGATAGATTCAACTTTATCCCTTTCTCACAGTTATCATTTTTATTAGCCCATTGCTAATAAACATGAACAGGAAACATCCTGTTAATAATTTGCAGTAGGACGAAATGAAAGTTTGGAGCTTGTTTCCATGGGGCCATCAATGAAGTGAGCTGCTGTGGATGCTGCCGCCCAGCTGCCTCGGACCAGATGGAGGGAAGAACCCAGATGGAAAGCTAAGGCAGTGTTTAAAAAGGAAAGGGGCCTGAGAGAGCTGAGTTTGGAGGACCCCCCCAGGAAGGTGGAAAAACCAGGGAGCAAGCTTGGCTGAGACAGCCTTGGACCTTCCCAGGAAATCATCCTAGGCTCCCCATCAAAGGCAGCACAGTGGGCCCAGGTGTCCTGTCTTACTTATGCACTCCAATCATCACCTCAGGATGAAATCAGATCAGCATTTTAAAATTCCATTCTTTTTTTCAAAAACTATAACACTATACTTAGTTTTTAAATCCACATCATATAATTAATATTCGCAGCCCTCTGCCCCACTTTAACCCAATCCTCCTGCCCCAGAGGCAACCACCCTCACCTCATGCAGCTCTTGCCTCCCTAGGCATTTCTATGTTTGTAGGTGTGCTTACAATGCCATTTCTTGATGTATTAATTTTAAGCATTATTTATTGGTTCCCTGCCAAAGAAGATAGGAACTTTGCTCTTTCATACACACACACCCAACTTTCCTTCCCCCATCACCCCAAAAGAGTAATATTATATGGTTACATTAATAGTCGACATTCACAATAGAAGCATGCAAATATTATGCACCACTGATATGAGTAGCGCATAATATTTGCATGCTCCTATTGTGAATCTTGCTCAATGTTTGCTTTCCCCTGCACCCTTCATACCCCTCAGATGACTGAGAACTTTTCTAAGTTCCTGTAGAAGAGATGTCCAGGTTAGTCTGTTCAGTCCCTCATAAACACCACTGTCCACCCCCAGCACTCTGCCTTTATTTGCGTTGTTCTCCTACTTCTCTCTTCCTTCCCTCCAAATCCCAACACCTTATGTAACATTTCCTCCAAGAAGCCCCACTTGTTTCATTGCTCTTCTTTGCTCCTAAATGTCTGTATAATTCACAATCTTGAATACATAATTAATCCATTCATTATATTCTTTCTTATAGAGTGTGGCGTTATTTGTTCGTGCTATTCTTGCCTCTCCAACTGTAAGCTCACTGAAAGCAGGTATTTTCTGCCTTGCACATTCTCTGTATTTGTCACCCTCAAAAAAGTTCCATCACAGTGTAGCCCTCAATATATTTTCTGAGGCTACTGCTTTGGAGATCATTATAGCTCCCAGGTATAAGCCCTGGACAAATTCATCCTAGCAATCAGTTTTCTCTTAAACCCTTCTCCCTAAACAGAAACAGTCGAGATCATTACCCAGTGGGGAATTACAACCAAGCTAAAAATCCTCAGTCATCTTTGACAGGTGTTCTACCTTACCTACCCCATATCTGATCAGCTGCCACATTAGTGCCATGGTGTCTCCTCTCTGCCTTCTCATTGTGTTTCTACTGCCTCTTCCTCTTCCTCTTACTCTCCCACTCCTCTTCATGACTTCCATTGTCTATAGCCCAGACTGTTTTAATTACTTCTTGAATTACCTCCCCTTTCTTATCTCACCTTCTAAACCCGTCTACTAGATAAATTTTTCTACAGCATAGTTTGTTTTCATTCTGTGAAATCTTCAGTGATTCTTCATTGTTCTCCTACCTTACATTCCAGGTTCTTCTGGCATTTGAAAGTTTCCATTCAGTCTTAGTGCCTATTACCCTCAACTCATCCTCTACATTACCTCCAACTAGAGGCCTCATTATTTTCCAAACATACCTCCATGCTTTGTGGCCTTAATGCCTTTGCATGTGCAGTTCACCACCTGGAATTCTACTCTTCATCATTCCTACTGTCACTTCCACCATGAAGCCTTCCCTCCTCAGCTCAGCTAGGTCCTCCTCTAATCTGAATTTCTATAACCTTTCATTCCGTCTTTCTTGAGGAGCTTGTTACATTTCACTGCTTATTATCATTATTTGTGGGTCTGTCTTATCTCCCTGCCTAGTGTGAAAGATCGTGGATGGCCAAGACTCAGTAATTTCATATTCCATTCTCCACAAACATGGCAAATCACACAGATTAGGAGAGGCAGAAGTTGAATAAATGTTTATTAAGCAAGTGAATGAATGAAAACAAAACTGTGCGTTTGTCTCTTGAATATACCAGATCCTTCAAAAGACCATTCTGATACTCTTTGCTCTCTCTCTAGTAGGTGGCAGGGATAAGTTTCAATGCCCAGCTTCTAATAAAGTAGGAGAAGGGTGTAGCTAAGTTAAGCCTAGATGCTAGGCTTGCCAAAAAATGGTGTTCTAGAGTTAAATGGAGTGCCTCCTACTCTTATGCATGGGGAGGTTGCACTATTTCCCAATCCAAAGACCCTTTAGGGTATGGGTTTCAATTCGAAGAGATGGTAATTCTCTTCGAACACCAACCCAGCTTGCCTCAACCTCACAACTCAGCTCTAACTGCAAAACAGTGCCCTCCCCATCTGTAAGTGGAAAAGGAAGTCTCTGTCTATTTTTACAGAGATGAGGGGGAGGCCGAAGGAAGAATTTCATTTAATTTCTATTTCTTCTCTTGGCCTCTAACTTTCTGGCCAGGGGTTTCTATTTCAAAAACTCTGTATTATGTAAACACAGAAGGGCCCTTCTCAAAAACAGAAGCAACTTCTACTAATTTCCAGTCTCCTTTCTGGCACTCTCAGGAGTCCTGCTAAGCATCTTGATCCCAGGCAAATTTTTCCTTGGCTACAAAACACTTGTGATGGCCAACCCTGGGTCAACAGCTTCATTTGGCTCTGTGTCCCCAAGATTTTTGCAGTACTCTTCAGTTGAAAGCTTTCCTAAGAAAGAGGATGTTGTCCATGACTTCTCTGTTAGGCCAGCTCACACAGAGCCAAACATGTTTCCATTGAACAAAGCCTACCACAGCCAAGAATAACTCTTTAAAATGCCCTTTCTAACCCATTCCACAATTACACAAATAATTCAGGCAAAAGTGAATTGTGAACTACACATTCCATATCTTGATGCTGTGTAGACTACGTAGCCTGAACTCATTCTAAACAGGTAGACTACCTGCCTCCCCTATTAAGGAGATACAGCAGAAGGTAGACAAACACACAGGTGCAAGCTCCAATGGGGACTGTGTCATTTTTTAAATGGTCCAACAAAAACATGCCATTGAGATTGCTACCAAAGCTGGACAGCCTTCATAGCTCTGTATCAAAGAGGGCTGGGCCCATGCCCTGGAGATCTGAGATCTAAGATTAGCGAGCTCACCTTGATGCAGTGATGAATCAGATGAAATTATAAGAAAACAAGAATTATTTTTATTTTCCCTGCCTTTGTGCCACATACTAGTACCCTCAGGGAGAGAATTTCTGGAACCGGGATGCTAATAATGTAGATGAAGTGCATAGACGGTTTGGAACTATTCTGGATTCCTAGTCTTCTAGTCTACCAAGGATGGTAGCAGATGGCACAGGACCCAATCTGTTTCCAAACGTTACATTTGTGAGTAGAAACAGGCACTTTGGCCAGATTCCAGTTGGTACATTCAACAAAGAATAACATAAGCCTCAGATTTCCCATTGGTAAAACAAAGGAGGTTGGGTGAGCTATTCTCTAAAGTCCCTCCCAGCTCTAATATTTTATGATTCTCAGTGGTAAAAATTCAGGGATTTGGAATGACCAGTCTCATTCTCCCATTAAGCTCTGGGTGAATCAAAGGCCAGCATCACATTGCATCATCTCATGTACAGTAATATGTGAATGACATTACACAATGCCAGCTTTTATTAATGGGAACACTCTTCCAGCAATAATGCAATACCCTTGAGCTCATTCTGGCCTTCTTTGTTAGTACCCAACCCAGCTGCATTGTCAGGAGATACAAAATATTACATAGACGTTGGAAGTAGGAGCAGTAGAAGAGGGCAGACACATCAGCAAATGACACAACTAACAGCCTGTAGTCCTGTTCATGCTCACAGTGGATGCTTAGTGAATGCTTGGTGACTAACAGTGAGTAATGCAGAAACACTAGTGGATCTATTAACTGACTAGAGTCAACACCTTTGCACTTTGCTATTTTCCTAGGGGCCAAGTCTCGGCCAGAATGGAAGGGAGGGAATTCAAATTTAAGAGCACTTTTAGAGTTCCCATAGGTTGAGAACTCTCATATATTGGTGTTCCAACTCCTAAGTATATGGATGGGTTCTCCTTCATTAAGCAGATACTCCATTCCTAAGAGGTTTGGCACAGACAAATTTTGAGTCTATTTTACATGCTTTACTCCTGGCATGGGCTTCTGTCTTAAGTCCTTGTTGGCTCTTTAATGCTGCAGGCACTAGAATGGGAACCAGAAATCCTCAAGTATCTCACCACGTCTCTTACCTTGAGGAGTCCAAGAAGCTCTCCTTGAGTCCCTCGCTTGGAATTCCCCTGGCCCTCTGTAGACACCAACCCTGGCAAACAGCACCAACTTATAGCTCTGGAAGGAGAGAAGGAATAGGCAACAGGCTTAATGTAATCTTCTTTCAAGACACAAATGTCCCACCTCCTATGACTTCAAGAAAGAGTTGAGTTCAGCATTGTCCTTTGATGGTTCCACTACACCATTTGTTTCTGGAAAACACTGATATCCAACAGCCACCCTATGCATGCTACCTTTCTCACATCAAGACAATTCCTCTCCAGCCCCATTTTCACAAGACCCTTCTCTGAACTGTTTTACTGGAATCTACACACTATTATTTACTGGGAGCATACATCATTCCTTCTTTTTGGTCCCTGAGTGCCAGAGTGCAGGGTCAGGTTAAGAGCCTGGTTGGTCCCATGGGACAGAACAAAACCAACTGGCCACACAGAGACCAAGTTTTGAGAGAAATAAACTTTAGTAATAAGACACTTGCTAAATGGAAGAGAAGAATGTTAGGCTGGAATGAATTTTCTGTTCGTTTGGCCCCACTGTCTCTGCAAATCATATCAGATTCATAATGTCAGAGGAAGAGCTAGTTAACGTTTTATAAAGTGTGACACCCAGCACAGTTCCTTCCTCTGAGGTTCTGACTGATTTCTCTCTGTGCTCATTCCCCTTTTGTGGATGTTCCTCTCCTCTTGTCAACTCAGGTTTCACTGTTTTCCCTTTAACCACATTGAACAGGCTGATATCCCCTCATGCTGTAAAGGTGTGAGTTGTACTTGGCCTTGGACGAGCTTGGAGGACTTTTTCTTTTCAGGGAACTTAAAGGTGACATCTTCCATTGAGTCAGCCAGCCATTAGTTCGGGGAAACTTTCACATCATTTGCAGTTGGAAAGCAGTTAACATTGACGTGAAGTCTCTGCTTAGAAGTTTGCCTCATTAAGAGATATTTGAATTTCTACACGGCTAGATATTTAAATATTTAAATAACCCCAAAGAAGTGTAAACACAAAACCTAGAATAGTTACTTGCGTAATGAAGCTGAGGGGAAGCACCTAGATGAGAAGTTTCATAATTTTACAAGTTGCACGAATTCTTGGAAATTCCATAGAAGTGTCTGAAGAAATGGACCTCAGTAGGCCCTGTAATAAGTATGTTTGGCATAAGAGATTGCTGCCTTTTGGAGACCAGGCCTTGGGAAGAGGACTGGGTTGGTGTTACGAGTGTTCTCCAGAGAGGCTGGGGCCTTGTTACCACCTCTGGATATTTGGTCTGTTCTTCCCCCCAAATAGTTTTTAGAACCACCTCTAAGAGGTGTTCAGTGTGCATGATTCCCCAGGCTGCAAGATGTGACTTTGTGGCCAAGTAACAAGGACAGAAGGTGATGTAGGGAAACTGGTCCAGCCAGCTTGTGCTTAAAGATATGTGACATGTCTGATGAGCTGTTTTGGCTTTTGGACTCAAAGATTCTTCATTTTAACAAAACCAGGAAAACAAACCATAGAACTTTCTAGTGTTTCTTCTTAGCAGGGAAGATGAACCACACACCTTCTCACTCCATTCCTCAAGCTCTCCCCCTCCCCGGGCTTCACTTCAATACTGCCCCTCATGGCCCTCCTGGATCTCTGGGGGTAAAGTTTGAGCCCCGCAAGAGTCAGAGGCAGAGTGAGACCCGGTGATACAGCCTAACACGGGATCGAGAGATGCTGTTGTCTTACTTAGTAACAAAATATAAGAGTGTCTGTTGCAAAAATAACTTGGTAATAGAAAGCAAAATGTTTACACTTTGGCTGCAGCCAAGTTTGACAACATTAAGATGCTCTGCCTCTTTTCAGTAACCAAGGGGCACATAGAGTATTCAGAATCAGTGCTTTATGAGGTAACAAAAGCTAGTGTCTATGCAATATTCCCTTCACATGCTACTCGCCTGCAAAGGTTTTAGCAAACAAATCAAAACACTTTTTTCTTTTCCTCCGAAATGTTGAAAGGATAGAAATACAGACACTGAAGTCTGTCTGTTTTATTACAGATTAAAGCTAGCGTAGGGGCTGTGAAATTAAATATGCAGTCACAATAGTTTTCTAATTTATGTCAGAGTAAATCACACTTACCCAGCCAGGCACTGGTGGAACTGGATGACCGCAGGTCCATCTCCAGGCAGGTAGAGATGGCTCACCTTATGGCAGAGTAGGAAGCAAGCTTGGCCTGAGAACAGACGGCTCTGAGAAAGTACGGGAAAAGATATACCATGTTCACGCTAATCAAAAGAAAGCTGGAGTAGCTGTATTCATATTAGAAAAAGTAGATTTCAGATCAAAATGATGAAAAGGTCTTTCATAATTCTAAAGGAGTAAATTGATGAAGAGGGTATAACAATTCTTTGTGTGTTTTTTTTGTTTGTTTGTTTTTAGATGGAATCTTGCTCTGTTGCCCAGGCTGGAGCACAGTGGTGTGATCTTGGCTCACTGCAACCTCTGCCTCCCAGGTTCCAGCAGTTTTCCTGCCTCAGCCTCCTGAGTAGCTGGGATTAGAGGCGCCTTCTACCACGCCCGGCTAATTTTTTTTTTTTTTTTTTTTTTTTTTGGATTTTTAGTAGAGAGGGGGTTTCACTATGCTGGCCAGGCTGATCTCAAACACCTGACCTCAGGTGATCCGCCCACCTTGGCCTCCCAAAGTGCTGGGATTACAGGCGTGAGCCACCGCGCCCAGCCACAATCCTAAACAGTTATGCACCTAGTAACAGAGTTTAAAAATATACAAACAAAAACAGAGCTTGATGCCTTAAAGCAAAAACTGATAGAACTAAAAGGAGAAATAGACATATTTACAATTATAGTTGCTGACTATAACACTCGTCTCTCAATAATGGATAGAACAAGTTGACTGGAAATCAGTAAGGCCTTAGAACTTGGTAAGCAAACTACATACCTTTGGTCCAAATCCAGCTCATTGTGAGTCAAATATGGTCACACCCATTTATGCATTGTTTGGCTACAGCTGCAGATTGGCGTAGTTGCGACAGAATGTATAGCACAAAACTGAAAATATTTAGTATCTGGCCCTTTATAGAAAACATTTGCAGACCCCTAGGCCCCTAATTTGCAAGACTTGACAATGTCAACCAACTTAACATAAATGACATTCTTAGAACACTCCATTTACAGAGGACACACATTCTTTTCAAGTGCACATTGAACGTTACCAAGACAGACCAGTACCTAATTTCAAGACTTCCTAAAAAGCTAGTTATCAAGACAGTGTGATATTAGCATAAACAGAGACACCTACATCAGTAGAAAATAATTGACAGTCTAGAAATAGACTCACACAAATATGGGAAACTAACTTTTGACAAAGATGAAAAGACAATTCAGTGGATTAATAGTTAATCTATTATTAACACATATTATCGTCTACATTTAATGCTCATAACAACTCTATGAGGCAGGAATTGTTATTATACCCACTTTTAGATGAGAAAACTGAAGTCAAACTAGTTTGTCCAAAATTTAAAACTAGTAAGTGGTAGAACTGGAATATAAACTCAGTTTGACTCCAGAATCCATGCTCTTAATCATTCCACCACATGTTACAATGTGCTTTTCAGGAAAACAATATACCAGGTGCCACACTCTGAAACCATTGTTCCAGGAAACCATTTTTAAGAAATGTAATAATTTACTAAGAAAACTAACATTTAAAACATTGTAGCAATGGAGATTTTAAAATAATTTTAACGTTCTTAAAGCAGCCACATACTTCAATCATTCATATGGTAAATACTTATTGAGCATGGTTAACTATAGGACATACTTCTTATTCAATTGATACATTACCATCATATCAATGAGGTTCTCTATTAGAAAAAAAAAATTTAAGGTTAGTATAGGCTATCCCTAAAACAGCATTTCTTTGCTTTCAAAATCCATTTATTTTACAACCTCAGATTAGCTTTCTCCCATTCTTTCACTTCTGAGATTTGACTGCACAGGATTGCATAAGATGTAAGTATATTTAACATAATAAAACATAATTGTAGTTAAGCCACAAGGAAGAAATCTTTCTATCCAGCTTGGCTGTTACCACTGCTTTGTGCTTAGTGGAAAAATAATACATATCCTGAAATTTAACATTCAAAACAGGCTTGATGCCTTAAAAGGGAGCATACTTTGTAAAGTAAATATTTAAACACCAGTATCCATTTAACTTTAACTTTCTAAAACCCTATTTCATATATCTAGAATAAAGTACAGTGCAAGTTTTCTTAATCAAATGCTATTTAACCAATTTACCAGAAAAACCAATGCTCTCCATTTCCTCTACAAAACACACTGATTGATGGCCAAAACATGCTGGAAATTTGCAACTATAGACACCTCTGCAGCAGGCAATTACAATTAAGTTTTCTGCTTACCAAGAGCCAGTTGCACTTGTTTCCAAATGTATTTATGCTGGTTCTATGTGTTCCTTTACTTATGTAATTTAATCAAGTATTATATAAACCAATATAAGTGTAAGATGAGTGCAAGAAGAGAATTGTTTCTATAAAAACTTAGTCAAGTGTTTGAATTGCCTTTGAATATAATATGTGTAGGTTAAGTGTAAAATTTTAGAAGTTTTTCATAAAATTACAGAATGTAGAAAAGTTCTTTATTCATCAGCTTTGTAAATGTCTTTAAATTCCTTAAATAATCTGCTTTAAAGATAATGAGGCCAGGCACAGTGGCTCACGCCTGTAATCCCAGCACTTTGGAAGGCCGAGGTGGGTGATCACCTGAGGTCACGAGTTCGAGGCCAGCCTGACCAACATGGTGAAACCCTGTCTCTACTAAAAAAATACAAAAATTAGCCAGGTGTCGTGTTGGGCACCTGTAATCCCAACTACTCAGGAGGCTGAGGCAGGAGAATTTCTTGAACCCGGGAGGCAGAGGTTGCAGTGAGCCAAGATCACACCATTGCACTCCAGCCTGGGCAACAGAGTGAGACTCTGTCTCAAAAAAAAAAAAAAAAAAAAAAAGATAATGAAACTTGAAAAGTAGATGAAGTATTGTCAAGTGTGGTTTGACCAAGAAAGATGACAGGAAACTCTGTAGGCAAAGATGCATAGGCAAAAGTAAGGCTGAGAATTAAATCCTCACCCTTTTTCTCTCTTGCCCAAATTCCTATCTAAGGAATCTGGGGAGCCATGCTCTACAAGCCAAAAAAATATCATCAGGTGGGTTTTATTTAACCCTACTTGGCTTACTTTCCAACCTGACTCTGGCATAATATCATATGATGAATAAAGAACGAAATCAAAATATTTTACCCCAAAATATGTTCCTTTGCCATATTTTAAAATGGTTCTGCAAAGCTGGGTTTTGTGGGGGAAATTTGCAACTATAAAGAGTCCATATTAACATACAGATCTCTCCCCTTCCAGGACCTCCCAGTCCTGAAGAGGTCTAGCACCTTTTAAAGATATGAATAGGAAACATTTCCTATCTATTGTCTCTAAAGGCAGCCACCTATGAGACTTCATAAGAACATTGGTCTTGGCAACCCCTTATCTTGACCCAGACACTCTTTTCTACTGATTCCAAGTCTTCAGATAATAGCTTCAACCAACTGCCAATCAGAAAACCTTTGAATTCACCAATGATCTGATAGTCCCCTCACCCCCACTTCCAGTTCTCCCACCTTTCCAGACTGAACCAATGTATATCTCACATGAGTGGATTGATGTCTTATGTCTTGCTAAAATGTATAAAGGCAAGCTGTAACCCAACCACCTCAGACACACATTCTCAGTACCTCTTGAGACTATGCCTCAGGCCATAGTCACTCATATTTGGCTCAGAATAAACCTCTTTAAATATTTCACAGTTTGTAAACTTTACAAACTCTGTAAAGTATTTCTTTTCGTCAATGAGGCTATGGCTCTGCCTAAAAGATTGGCTAATCACATCAAGCTAAAAAGCTCTTGCACAGCAAAGGAAACAATCAACAAAATGAAGAGACAACCAGAGTGGGAGAAAATACTTGCACAACTATCTGACAAGGGATTAATAACCAGAATATGTGAGGAACTCAAATGACTATAGGAAAAAAATCTAGTCTGATTTTCAAATGGACAAAAGATTTGAATAGACATTTCTCAAAAGAAGACAAACAAATGGTAACCAGGCATATGAAAATGTGCTCAACATCACTGATCATCAGAGAAATGCAAATCAAAACTATAATGAAACATCATCTCACCCCGTTAAAATGGCTTTTATCTAAAAGACAGGCAGTAACAAATGCTGGCAAGGATGCTGAGAAAAGGGTACCCTATACACAGTGGGAATGTAAATTAGTACAACCACTATGGGGAACAGTTTGGATGCTCCTCAAAAAACTAAAAATAGAGCTACCATATGATCCAGCAATCCCACTGCTAGGTATATACCCAAAAGAATGGAAATCAGAATATTGAAGAGATATCTGCACTCCCATGTTTATATCAGCACTATTAACAGCCAAGATTTGGAAGCAACCTACGTGTCCATCAACAGACAAATAGATAAAGAAAATGTGGTACATATACACACTGGAATACTATTCAGCCATAAAAAAGAATGAGTTCCTGTCATTTGCAACAATATGGATGGAACCAGAGGTCATTAAGTTAAGTGAAATAAGCCAGGCACAGAAAGACAAACATTGCAAGTTCTTACTTACCTGTGAGAGCTAAAAAGTGAAACAATTTAACTTACAGAGAGAACAGAATGATGGTTACCAGAGGCTGGGAAAAGTAGTAGGCAATGCAGGGGGAGTGTGGATGGTTAATGGGTAAGAAAAGATAGAAAGAATAAGATCTAGTATTTGATAGCACAACAGGGTGACTACAGTCAACAATAATTTATTATTATTTTAAAATACTAGTATAATTGGATTGATTCTAACACAAAGAAAGGATAAATGCCTGAGGTGATGAATACCCCACTTACCCTGATGTGATTATTAGTGTATGACTGTATCAAAATATCTCATGTACCCCATAAATACATACACCTACTATGTACCCCCCAAAATTTAAGATTTAAAAATATTTTAAAATGGCTAAAGCAGTACATGCATGTATTGTTATTATTTCTCACTTTTTTCAGCTTTACTGAGGTATAATTGATACATAAAAATTGTACATATTAAAGGTGTAAATGTGATGCTGTGATTTACACTTACATTGTGAAATGATTACCACAATCAAGCTAAGTAACACACCATTACCTCATAGTTACCTTTTTTGTTGTTCTAGTTGACTTTTTCATTTAACCCACAACTAATTTTAAGAGTATAGAGTAAGAATGGTTCTGCTTAATTGATGCTTCCTGTCCCCAAGGATGCAGGTCGCAGAGATGCCCAGGTCCTGCACCTAGGAGGGCGGCCTCAGGTGCCCCGGGGAGTTCCCGCCCCGCCAACTCAGAAGGGGTGGGGTTCCTGCTTGTCCTGGCTCCTGCCTGCTCCGTGGAGCCGGAGGCCCAGGTCTGCAGCCGCGGTTCAGGAGGCTGCAGCTGCACCTGGGAGGGCAGATCTTGCCTGCTTCTGGGCCCAACTCCAAGGGAACAGGGAGGCTCGGATCCACAGCAGCAGTTTGGGTGGCTGTGGCCCCGCCCAGGAGGGCGGAGCGCCTGCCTGCTCCGTAGAGCAGGAGGCCTGGGTCTGCGAAAGGGCTTTGGGCGGCCGCAGCAGCGCCTGGGGAGCTCCCGCCCCAACTCAGAAGGGGCGGGGTTCCCACTGGCTCCATGGAGGGTGCAGCCCCAGCTGGGCCTACCTTAAAATGCCAGGGTAATGAGACCACATGATACAAAATACAGTGATGTATTAATAAGGAAACACTTTATATAGCTTTTCTCAAAAGAGGGTGAATGGCAGGCCCTCATGTCATCACGGCAATACATTGGGGTACAGAATCAATAAATCAATACAAATTTAAACCACAATATATAATGAATAATTATAATAAAATTGAGAGTCCAGACTTGTCTGAGCTTGTATTGATAAAATTACCAAATTTGAGTAAAAGGATAAAGAGGGGAGAAAAAACATTAAAAAAGTAGTTGTGTATTTTTAAATGCATAGAGATTCCCCCATTTTAAATCACCATTGCAATATGAATAGCTTTTTAAATATGTATTTATTTTTTCAGATGAATCCCTCTCCCTTTATTTCTGTTCTTTTTTTACATTAGAAAAATCTGACTATTTTTTAAGTGATGAAAAAAATTTGCAAACACACATTATGAAATATGAAGAATCTTGGGACTCACTGACCACTTCAGTGATTATGAAAACTGTAAACTATTTTTAAAAGCAGATTTTTCACTGTTCTTCATTAAGTCTGATTACCTTGCCCATTAGCATTTGGCTCTTTTATTATGATGATTGTGAAATACTGTAGATGTTACCACTAATGGATAAAAAAACTTTACATGGTTATCTTGATTAACTCATCAATAATCATTTGGAATAATTTTTCTTCATTCAGTGAATGGATCATTCACATGCCCTAGAATAATTGTCTACATTTAGGTGCATGAAATTAGCATAAAAACTATCTACCCTAGAGAGCTAGTTTTCACTTCTAACACCACTAAAAGTTAATTCAGACTAACATTTGAAGGCTTTATCAAGTGAGTGAAAGAAAGAAATATGATTCTTTGGCCATTTTCTCTATAATGCTATTACACAAACAGCCTTCCATTTTTAGGGTCCCACACTTACAAATAAAGAGCAAGATTAGAAATGTAACAGCATACCTAAATCTTCCTTCTTGCTATTTCATTTTTGATAAGGGAAAAATATCAAGAAGCTTTTATAAAACAATATAATAGTGACTCCCAGTAAATAGAAAAATTATACAAGTGTATTATTCCACATTCTTCTTTCTTTGATGAAGAAAGAAAATGATAGCATTTCAAGTCTTGTTCTTATAATGGAGTTCAGATTTTAAGTGAGTTTTACATAGTTTGGGATTTGTGTCTCAGCTACTACCAGAACAACTTAGAAACAGAAGACCTTGGTTCTAGTAGGTTTCTTATAGATCAGCTGATCCAATCCAGACGAGAAAACTGAGAGAGACTGTGTAATTAACCAGGACCTCTCATCCAGATCTTCTGACTTGATCCAATAATTGCTTTTTTAAACCACAAGTCATCACTAACACAAATATCCTGAATCTGGCAGGAATCCAGACAAAACAAGAGTATGGAAAAGGTAGCTAAGGGAGATAGAAACTTCCAGATTAATTTTTCCCCTGAATTATAGCACGTGACAATCTCTCTTTAGCCAGGCTCGGGAATGTACTGATCCTAGTTGGTCTCTGTTCTCTTTCAGGAACTGAGACAGTGAATCCAGCTGTTGTCTTATCTCATAAAGGCCTTGCTTGGCACCATGAGTCAATTTGTTTTCAGGCACAGGTGACCATATCAATAGTGACTAATATAATCTAAGATATGATTTCTGGTTCTCCTTCACTTACAGTTTTCCTAAGTTGATTGAAATTAATGATAACTAGTCCAAGATCACTGATTACATTCCTCCATGGACAGGCTGTTTTCAGGGAATTCAGTTACACGGCCAGATTGAACCTTGAACTCTGACTGGGCATCTCACAAACAGATTCCCTAGTTGACAATGAAGAGAGAATATGGTGGGTCAGTGACACACACAAACTTGGCATTACAGGGCAGGTGACATTGATCTGGATGATTTTATATATAACTAGGTAGTGATACCTTTGGGATTTTGGAACTAATCCACAAAATCCATAAAGCTGGCATGTATGGGGCAAGTGCTGGCAACAGAAATACAATGTGAGCTACATATAGAATTTTAAATTTGCTAGGTACCACATTTAAAAAGGTAAAAAACAAAGGTGAAACTAATTTTAGTAATATATTTTATTTGACACAATATGTCTAAAATATAATTTCAACTTGTAATAAACATAAAAAATATTAATTAAATATTATACATTCTTTTATTTGAACAAAATCTTCAAAATCCAGTGTGGATTTTATAGGTACAAAATATCTCAATTTATATGCCTAGAACTACTTTATCTGATTTAGATTTCATAAACTATACCATTTAAAAAGCAGATTTTTATGCCCAAGTTGTTCCGAAAACACTAAAAGTTTTCCAATCATTCCATCAAGTATTCAAAAATCATTTTCCTTTAACATTTGCATTTACATTGACAAACTGGTTCTTTTAAAAAATAAAAAAAAAAATTGCTGGCCGGGCGCTGTGGCCATAATCCCAGCACTTTGGGAGGCCGAGGCAGGTGGATCACGATGTCAGGAGATCAAGACCATCCTGGCTAACATGGTGAAACCCCGTCTCTACTAACTATACAAAAACAAAAAATTAGCCAGGCGTGGTGGGGGACGCCTGTAGTCCCAGCTACTCGGGAGACTGAGGCAGGAGAATGGCGTGAACCCGGGAGGTGGAGCTGGCAGTGAGCCGAGATTGCGCCACTGCACTCCAACCTGGGCGACAGAGCGAGACTCCATCTCAAAAACAAAACAAAACAACACAAAACAAAATAAAAAAAAAATTTCGCTTTGATTTTGAAGCATAAGCATTTTCAATTTCAAAACCACATTCATTTAACTACATTCAGTTACGTGAATTGTTACTCCCGTGTCTGCTCAAGATTAATATCAAATTTTAAAAGTATTTAATAAATTGAAATACAACTGTAAATTTATCAATATCAACAGTGTTCAAATTTTCCTTGTACTTTTGACAATTTTCATGAAAATATTCTGCATATTAATTCATACTCTAGAAAGTATAAAATCACTATTGATTTGTATTACAAAAAGTTTCTATTTCAATATAAATTGTTCTATCTGTCTAGTTAGGTCACAAACAAGTTTTACCTTTCCTTGGAACTTCAAATTTAGCTCATTCATATGTGGTGTGATATCAGTGAGAAAATGTAAAGCACACTGCCACTTTTGTCTTTAATAATTGAATGTTTGGCAAGCATTCTTTTTGTTTCAAGAAAATTAGAGCTAACAATACAGTAAATCTGTAAAGCTCTTCCACAGCTCAACTAATGAGCATTGCCAAAGAATACAAGATCACTCAATTCATTGTCTTCTGTTTCTTTCAACAGTTCCATAAACTGCCAATGATTAATAGCATTTGCACACACATATGAAAGGATGTTAACAACTATATCAAAACACTTTCATACAGTCTGTACCAGCAAACCACACAAATATTTTCTTTTTCTTTTTTTTTCTTTTTTTTTTTTTAGTATTTATTGATCATTCTTGGGTGTTTGTCGGAGAGGGGGATGTGGCAGGGTCATAGGATAATAGTGGAGAGAAGGTCAGCAGATAAACACGTGAACAAAGGTCTCTGGTTTTCCTAGGCAGAGGTCCCTGTGGCCTTCCATAGTGTTTGTGTCCCTGGGTACTTGAGATTAGGGAGTGGTGATGACTCTTAAGGAGCATGCTGCCTTCAAGCATCTGTTTAACAAAGCACATCTTGCACAGCCCTTAATCCATTTAACCCTGAGTTGACACAGCACATGTTTCAGAGAGCAGGAGGTTGGGGGTAAGGTTATAGATTAACAGCATCCCAAGGCAGAAGAATTTTTCTTACTACAGAACAAAATGGAGTCTCCTATGTCTACTTCTTTCTACACAGACACAGTAACAATCTGATCTCTCTTTCTTTTCCCCACATTTCCCCCTTTTCTTTTCGACAAAACCACCATTGTCATCACGGCCCATTCTCGATGGTCACTGTCTCTTCGGAGCTGTTGGGTACACCTCCCAGATGGGGCGGCCGAGCAGAGGCACTCCTCACTTCCCAGACGGGGCGGCCGGGCAGAGGCGCTCCTCACCTCCCAGACGGGGTGGCGGCCGGGCAGAGGTGCTCCACATCCCAGACGATGGGCAGCCGGGTGGAGGCACTCCTCACTTCCCAGACAACGGGCAGCCGGGCGGAGGCGCTCCTCACTTCCCAGACAGGGCGGCTGGGCAGAGGCGTTCCTCACTTCCCAGACGGGGCGGCCGGGCAGAGGGGCTCCTCACATCCCAGACAATGGGTGGCCAGGCAGAGACGCTGCTCACTTCCTAGACGGGGTGGTGGGTGGGCAGAGGCTGTAATCTTAGCACTTTGGGAGGCCAAGGCAGGCAGCTGGGAGGTGGAGGTTGTAGCAAGCTGAGATCACGCCACTGCACTCCAGCCTGGGCAACATTGAGCACTGAGTGAGCGAGACTCTGTCTGCAATCCCAGCACCTCGGGAGGCTGAGGCGGGCAGATCACCCGAGGCCAGGAGCTGGAGACCTTTCCGGTCAACATGGGGAAACCCCGTCTCCACCAAAAATACAAAAACCAGTCAGGAGTGGCAGGGCCTGCCTGGAATCCCAGGCACTCGGCATGCCAAGGCAGGAGAGTCACGGGAACCCGAGGCAGGGAGGTTGCAGCGAGCCGAGATCATGGCAGTACAGTCCAGGCTCAGCAAGAGAGGGAGACCGTAGAAAGAGGGAGAAGGGGAGGGGGAGGGGGAGGGGGAGAAGCAAATATTTTCAATATACATCATATAAGGGAAATATCAGTCACTTATTTTAAAAATCCAATAAATTCATTTTCAACCTAACACAGTTGGAGCATCATCTATCATTATAAAAAGTATTTTTCTTTCAATTCTACCTTGAACACTCTGACAAATGTAAAAGACTCAGAAATTATGTACATTATGAGTTTAATGTTAAGGCACAAATTTTCAACATTTCTTTGAAATATGGAAGCCCCTTGAGACAAAATATACCTGAAGAAATTAATTGGATAGTGTCTCTTATGTTGCATAGCCTCTGAAGCTAAAGAAAAGTACTTGTAATTTTTCAAATTTTGAATCACCTGATCATTTATATTGTTGAAAGTTCATGTTTAGGCAATTGTTTAATGACTTATTTTTTAAATCTTTTAGTTTTTATTCATAAAATCTTTTACTTTCTGTAAAATATGTTTTACTCTCTATCCTCATAATTTACTAACAATTTCCATAACTAAACTCATAATTTATTTTACCATTTTTCCAGCTAAATGGTGTGTGTGTGTGTGTGTGTTTGTATATGTAAAATATTTTATTGGACACTTAATTCCAATTTCAGGTGACTTCTCTTATCAACTTTTTTACTGTTTAGAGGAGACTTCTTACCAAAATTCAGTATGTATTTCCTGAAAATGTCTCTTAATATTGTCCACTTTATTATCTTAGGAAAGAATTATACAATAAACAGCTCTGCCACAGCAAATTGCAATTGCCATTCACTGTGAAACTGGCAACATACCTTCTTCCAGTCTCTTCTTTACTGTTGTACTACTTCTACATCTCCATTTGATTCTCCATTAGTAGCATGCCTTCATTTGAAATCTAAAATTCATTCATACTTATTTTCTAAGTAGAAAAAAAGTTTAATTATACTATAATTAAAATACTAAGTATTTTAATTTATATGAGTATCACTTTAACTCATGCTGCCTGCATACAGTATTCAAATAAACACGTTCTTGTGTCACATCAATGCATAGAAAAGAATAATTTGAACTGAATCCCAACTACTCGATTATGTGTTTATATGTAACATTAGAAACAACACAGACGCATGACAATATAATATCTGACACTGCAATGGTTAATGTGAAACGCAGTCCTACCAGAGAAATGAGTTTATTACAGGAAAAAATATACTGCTTCAGTTTTTAAATATAAATTAGTTAAAATTAAATAATATTAAAAATTCAGTTCTTCAGTTGTCCTGCTCACATTTCAAATGCTCAACAGCCACCTGTGGCTGGTGGCAACTATTTTACACAACACAATTGTAGAGCTTCTTGGACAGTATCTAGTTCGAGAACAACTGATCCATGTTTATTGTTGCTAGTCTTTTTAAGTAAATTTAAATTTCAGTTTAAGCTTTAGAGGCTTTAAAGTTTTTCTCACAGCCCTTGCTGGCTTCTCTGGAAGCTGCCGCTTGCAGAGGATTAGGAAGTAATTCCATTAATAGATAACGCATTCAGGCTTCCACTGCAGAAGTAGAAAAGAATGAGAAAACATTTATACACTTGCCCATACTTTCTACTTTTAGAATATTAAGAACTGGTTACATCTTCTTTAAAAACTGTGAAATAAACAGAAAAAAAGATAGTTTTTAAAAGTGCAAGTGTCTTTACATTTGTTAAATTAGTAAAAACCGGTTACTTTTTCTTACATCTTTGTTTATTGTTCTTTTACCAATAGGATGCCCAAGCCCTTTTCACAGCATCAGTTCAGCTGCTTGCAGATTAAATCCAGTTGCTCCCTTATCTTTAGTTCTTTTGACCCGTGCCTCACCTACCAACAAGAGCTAAAACTGTCTTGATGACTTTGAATAGCAACAACAAAAAAATGAGCAGAATATTTAGCATACATAATAATAAAAACTCTGAATTTCAATAATGTAAAATGATGCATTGCTTTTAACAATGAAAAACTAGAAACAATTAAACAGTAGAGGTCAAGCATGGTGGCTCACACTTGTAATTCCAGCACTTCGGGAGGCTGAGGCAGAAGAATCCCTTGAGGCTAGGAGTTCAAGACTAGCCTGGGTGGGCCAGGGGCAGTGGCTCAGGCCTGTAATCCCAGCACTTTGGGATGCCAAGGCAGGCAGATCACCTGAGGTCAGGAGTTCAAGACCAGCTTGGCCAACTTGGTGAAACCCCATCACTATAAAAATACAAAAGTAGCCAGGTGTGGTGGCATACACCTGTAGTCCCAGCTACTCGGGAGGCTGGGACAGGAGAATCGCTTGAACCTGGAAGGAGGCCGCAGTGAGCCAAGCTCATGCCTCAGCGAGACAGAACGAGACTCTGTCTCCAAAAAAAAAAAAAAAAAAAAAAAAATGACAGACTACTAGCCTGGGCAACATAACGAGACTCCATCTCTACAAAAAAAATTTTAAAATTTGCCAGGTGTGGTAGCATGTGCCTGTAGTCCCAAGCTACTCAGGAGGCTGAGGCAGGAGGATTGCTTGAGCCCAGGAGTTTGAGGCTACAGTGAGCTATGACTATACCACTTCACTCCAGCATGGATGACAGAGAAAGACCCTGTCTTGAAAAAAAAAAAAAGAAAGAAAAAAAGGCTGGGCACTGTGGCTCACACCTGTAATCCCAGCACTTTGGGAGGCCGAGGCGGGTAGATCACTTGAAGCCAGGAGTTCAAGACCAGCCTAGCCAAAATGGTGAGACCCTGTCTTTACTAAAAATACAAAAATTAGCTGGGTGTGGCGGCACACACCTGTAGTCCCAGCTACTCGGGAGGCTGAGGCAGGAGAATCACCTGAACCTGGGAGGCGGAGGTTGCAGTGAGCCAAGATTGTGCCATTGCATTCCAGTCTGGGCGACAGAGCAAAACTCTGTCCCAAAAAAAAAAGTAGAGATTCGGTTAATTTTGGCGCATCTATACAATGACATCCTCTTCAAGCTTTAGAAATGAAAAAGTTAATGAATATTTATTGGCAGGGAAAGATGCTTATAATAATGTACTAAGTAAAAAAGCAAATTCTATAACAATATATACTGTATGATCTCATTTATGTTCTAAAATGTGTGTATATAGTATATATTATATATGTGTACACATGTGTATCTTAAAATATAAAGATCTGAAAAGTGTAACATGTTTCTTAACCCTTTAAATTTCACTCTTTAACATGGGTGTTTTTATTTCCTTCTTTTTGTTTTTCTGTACTTTATATAATAAAAGCACATTTTATGTTTTTATATTTTAAAACATAATAATATTTATTATTTTTTCCTCTCTATTGTAGTTTCTATATCTGCCATTACTATTTGTTTCTAATTCACTGAAAGCCCTTCCTTACAGGTAAATAACCATTTTTTTTTATACTTTAATTTTTAGGGTACATGTTCACAACATGCAGGTTTGTTACATATGTATACATGTGCCGTGTTGGTGTGCTGCACCCATTAACTCGTCATTTACATTAGGTATATCTCCTAATGCTATCCCTCTCCCTCCCCCCACCCCACGACAGGCCCTGGTGTGTGATGTTCCCCTTCCTGTGTCCAAATGTTCTCATTGATAAATAACCATTTTTATACCTGAGCTCTCCCTTCACCCTCTCTGGCATTTTGAAATCACCAGACAACATGAGACACAGGTCAGAAACTATTTAGGTGGATTTGTCGACAGTGTCCTAAAAACCCTGCTCTGTGTATGTCGTGAGATTTTGAGAATTACAGATTTGGGTCATTTCCCAGTAACTTGCCCCTTTTATGAGCCCAGCTTGGGCAGTATAAGCAAAGAAGAATGTTTCAAGGAGACTGAGTCCCCAAAATTCCATGTGAGTACCTGACCACCCCGAAACGCAGTGTGTTGTCCACTCCGGAGAAACCCGCTCTTGCTGAGTGCTGAGCACCTCAGTCCTTGGCCTCTTTGCCCTGCCTCTGTCCTCTCTCTAGCTCTCTTTCTTACAGGCAGAGACTGATACCTTCTTTCCCATCAGCGCTTCATCTTATGACTAGAGCATGTTTCTTAGCCAAAGGATTGTGAGTCAAGGCCCCAGAAACTCGTCAAGGAGGACATGTGTAGTTAATAAAGGAAACTATCATTTCATTTGACAACAGGATGCCAGCCCTCAAGGAGGTCATGGACCAGTTTAGGAAGCAAAGGGATATACATGCAACCTGTCTTAGGAAAACTTACCAATAAACAAGCACAAAATAGTGCAGAATAGATTGGATTCTTTCAGTGTGGAGGGAGATGAGATCAACGTGGGGTTGGATCAATACCAAAAAGCTTTAACTGGGGACATTGAGGCTGGCTCAATTATGCTCAGAAGGTTCTTTCATGGAGCAATTTCATGGGAACCAGGGATTGTCCAACCCAAAAGTCCCTAATCTCTGGACACCGACTGCCCAACTTTCCCGGATAAATAATTCCTCTGAGTTGAAGCTCCAAAGGCCACTATTAATCTGGAAATGTTAATAAAAAGGGTTAACATATTTGGCTATCAGCCTTTAGTTACCACTGATTTTATTACTGGATTATTAGTTTAGATGCCCAGTCACCTGGCAAGGTTTGAGGAGGTAGAACCCGGATAGAAACATCTTGATGGAGAGAGGGTGAGCTGAGAACCCAGGACACTGGCCCATAGCATGCTCAGGGCGGAATAGCAAAAAGGCAGAAAGATGGCTCAGGACCCAGAGCAGGGAAGAAGCCAAAAGACCAACAATGCCTGTTGAGAAGCCCTGGAGAGCGAGGCCATCAACGGGTGGGCAAAGAGGAAGGGAAAGAAAAAGCGTGCCCCAGCCTGCTGGAGGCATTTGGAGTTCACAGGGCCGCTCATTCGCCACCCCAATTAAAGGCTTTCTGCTTCGTGCCTCGCCTTGCTGTGGTTTTTCCAGACAGAAGTGGCTTTGTTACTGGGTGAGCACCGGGGCCTGGAAGCAGCTGTGAGTATGTGGACTTCCTGGTTGCAGCCTTTCTCCTCTGAATGCTTCTCTGGGACCTCTTGGTCCGGAGCCTTTTATCTCCCGTGTTTCATCTGATTCTCACTGAGTATATTCTGTAATTTGCTTTGTCAACTGCCGCTTCCAAGGAATCATTCTCTCTTGATCTTTCACTCTTCAATACCTTTTTTTGTTCTGTCCAAAACATAATTTTTAATTAATGTTTTAGCTTAAAATGTATCAAAGTTCAAAAGTCAAATAGTCTAAAATGTTTCACCAAAAAGGGCAGTTCCTCGCCTTTCCCATCCCACCCACATGCAACCACATCATCTCTGAGTGATTTTTTTTCTTCTAATTTATCCCAAATCTTTACATAATACAAATATACTGCTACCACTTGATTTATCAATTTTAAACATCATCTACTGACTTCTTATAGCAGAGGAAGATATTAGCACTCTCAAATACCCTTCACCCCCTTCATTCTCCCAACTAGTTACCTCATAATTTGAGGGTTAATCTATTTTGAGTGTTTTAGTTATTATGATTAAGTACTGTTTTCTCCTAGTTTACTGTGATCATGGTAGTATGCTATGATTAATTACATTCTTGAAACGTTTTTGTTTTTCCTGGAGTTCACAATTACTTCTTTTTTCCAAATGTTTAGTTAAAAAATATGAACTGTCTTATGATTTTGTGAGTCCTTCCTGGGCAAGGGCCATGTAGTGGTGCCTTTTCTTTTCTCAGCTGTAGTGCACATGTAACCAAATAAATATTCTCATGACTGTTTCCCTTTCACTCAAAATCCCATAAAACTACAGGTCCTATTTGATGACAAAAATTATCTCCAATCACAGGACCAACACTGAGCCCTACGCATAAGCAGTGCTCCATAAATATTTCTAACTTGATTTACTGTCCATGGTCCATGATCTTGTGCTGTGTACAGCTCCCACCAATACCTTCACATATTCTGTAATAAACCAAGTTTTACTCATCAAAGTTCAGCACAATGAGATAAGGATGCACACACATCATACGAAGTGTAATGAGTCTTTTGCACTGCCTCTCAAGCATATTCCTGTATAAGGCAACTGTAGCTCTATCACCTGGAGCTAAGACTTCCAGAAACCCTATCCTTCTTCTCTTGGAAAAAGTATCTTGTACCCACTTTCTGTAATAGAAACCAACATTTACTATCAGTAACTCTTTCAAAAACCTCACTCATACTGACTCATTTAATCCTCAAAACTGCCCTCAAATGCTGAGAATGTTTTTCTGAGAAGGAGGAATGACAGGGATAAAATATTACTAAAATTGGATCATTCCCAGATTGATCAATCAGGAATTAATCAATTACAGAATAGGTTTGGCTGTCCATAACACAATACTTAAAAAATAGTGGCTTGTTTACTTAAAGGTTTCTGTTTCTCATGCAACAGAAATTCCACTGGAAGGCACTGCAGGGCTCGCACAGAAACCCCACAGTGCCATCAGACTCCTACCTTTCCACTCAACTATCCTTTGTATGTCTTCATGCTTGTTGCTTCATGGTCCAAGATGGCAGCCCCATCTCTGCCATCACATCTGCAGTCCAGGCAGGAAGAAAGGGAAGGGCAAAGGTCAAAAATGTTTGCTGGCTGAGTATGTCTCCTTCAACAAGAAAACAGTAGCTTTTCTTTGATGTCTCATCAGGTGGCTTTCCCTTATGTCTTTGGCCAGAATGAGATCATGCAGTGATTCCTTTCACTTACAAGGAAATCTGGGGAATGTAGGATTTTTTTGGCGGGGGGGGGGTGTCAGGCAAATTGTCATCCCAAATAGCATTGAAATCCTATGTACAGGCTATTAGCAGTGTCTCTGCTGTTCACATATGTGGGTTAACAATACCAATATATCATGGAAATTAGAAGAAAATCAGACTTTCTACAAATGATAGAATTGAGCCTATTTTTATTCCAGTGTTACTTTAGTGTAAAAAGATTGTTAAGCCTTCATTGCACTACAAGTCTAGATCCAATTTCCCACATATAATCACATTTGTTATAATAATTTTTTGTGCGATCTTGCAAATCCTCATTATCAAAAAAGGTTTGAAATTTGTGCATGTATCTAAACCCTCACATACACAAAGACAAAAGAAACAAAAAAGTAGTGCCCAAGCAGTCAGGAGTCAAGTAAGTAAAGAACATTCGGTGATAATCAGGATTAATTTTGAGGAAAATGATACTGCTGGGATTTTAGAAAGAATAAATAACTGACATAATGAAATATTTGCAGTATTTTTACCTTATGCAAAGGGAATTGTTTTCTCCCTTCAAGATGTGAATATCTGTTACATACATATTAAATATAATTCTTATAATTACAATGGGGAGGAAACCTTCAAACACTTTATGCTTTAAATTAAGTTTATCTCCTCTATCCAAACCTCTCCTTAGCTAGTAGGAGAGCTATAATTCCTACAACTTCTAAAACATTAGAATCTAAGAACTGGTCGAAGAAGACATTTTTGCTGCCATCATGATGCAAAATAACTGCCCAGTAGTATTCTCTACAGAAATCAAGTTAATAAAAATGTGCAAGTATTAGCTAACACTTAAAATCCTCAGAACTGAACAACTAAAAATACAGCAGTGGATCTCATGGAAGATGGCTGCATTCCACTTTCATTTTAACTTCTTCAGGTTTGGTGGGTTTTTACAGGAGTGTAGTTTGAGAGAGAACTCAACGTCTCCATTTTCTGTGAGGTAAGAACCTCTTCTGTGCTTTTATCATCACCAGTCAGGAACGCTTTCTTTCCCCTCTCTGCCTTATTGGATCTCTTTGTTGTTCAACGCCACACCTACGAAGCCTTCCTTGATACCTTCCCTCTTTCCCCATAATCTGATTGAACTCATTGTAGTATAACTTGCATATATGATGACCTTATGATTTATCAGACAAACCAGGACTATTTTGGAAAATGAAAGGAGACACTATTAGATATTTTACCAAGTCAACAGGAGTCAATCAGGAATATCCCAAGCAACCTAGGATGTGCGGTCATCCTACTTATTTGATCTATGCAGGATACATTCCCATAACTTCCAGAAGGTCAAAATCATGAAAATAGGTTCAGATTCCTGGTTTGTCTCTTAAATCTATTTGCATTTCAACACATACGTCTCTGGATGCCACCTATTTACTACAAGAAAACTACCCTTTTGAGTTTTCTCTGTCATTTGGTGGGCGTTTTTTCACTATGAAACAACACCATTAAAAACTTCATGTGACACCAAGGTAGGAGTGGATGCTGAGCCATCTGCTAGGTTCATGAACCACAGAAGGGACAGATACGGTCTCGGCAGCCTCAGCATGCACATGGGTAAAATTCCTACCTCAGCAAAATGCCGAATTGATACGCCATGGATCTCCCTTGTCATTTCTCACAAGTTAAAGCATTAACATTGAACATGCAGTAATTACACATTGCCTGGACCTTCACTCACGTTCAAAACTCCATGGTTTCAGTGAATCCTTGCTGAAGCATTTGAACTGCTATGAAGTTGTTTTCTGAGAAAAGCTGTAAACTAGTCTACAGGAATTCCAGTGCCCGTTCCCTGAGAGAAATGGAATGGCCCTTTTCCATTCACACATCTAATATTTAAGACTATTTATGGCTGGGCACAATGGCTCAAGCCTGTAATCCCAGCATTTTGGGAGGCTGAAGTGGGAGACTTCCTTGAGTGCAGGAGTTCAAGACCAGCCTGGGCAATATGGCGAAACCCAGTGTAACACACACCTGTAGTCCCAGCTACTTGGGAGGCTGAGGTGGGAGGATAACCTGATCCTGGAGAGGTCAAGGCCACAGTGAACCATGATGGCACTGCTGCACTCCAGCCTGGGCGACAGAGTGAGACCCTATCTCAAAAAAAAAATGTGTTTAAAAAAAGACTATCTATGCCAAAATCCTGTCCTCCTTCTCCTCACGGCTGAATTTCTAGGAGATGTGTCTACACTCTTCACTTCTTTTTTTTTTTTTTTAGATGGATTCTCACTCTGTTGCCCAGGCTGGAGTGCAGTGGTGTGATCTCAGCTCACTGCAACCTCCACCTCCCAGGTTCAAGCGATTCTCCTGCCTCAGCCTCCTGAGTAGCTGGGATTACAGGCATCTGGCACCATGCCCGGCTAATTTTTTATATTTTTAGTAGAGACAGGATTTCACCAGTGTTGGTCAGAATGGTTTCGAACTCCTGACCTCAGGTGATCCACCCGCCTTGGCCTCTCAAAGTGTTGGGATTACAGGCGTGAGCCACCGCGCCCATCCACTCTTCACTTGTTATGCACTTCTCATCCTACTGTCTTCTGGCTCCAGCACCCTCTGTACTGTAGAAGCTGTTCTGAAAAAAGCCAACAACAAACTCCAGCTGGGGAAAGTCACTGGAAATGTTTTCAGGCTTTATTACATTTGAACTGTTCTCACCAACTATTTCTCTTTGCCAGATGTTTTATTCCTTGGCTTCAGGCACATCACTCTCTTCTAGCTCACAGTCTCATTTGCTGAGCTCTCTACCTTCACTCCTTCTTGAATATCAATGTTCTCCAAGATTCTATGCTAGGGCCCTCTTTCTTCCCCATTCTCTCATTCTTCTCCGGCAAACACGTTGACTTCCATGTCTTTGCCCAATACTACACTGCATAAGCAACAGTCATGGGCTCTAAATTTTCTAATCAGTTCCAAATTATTCTACTCCATTTTTTCTGTGAAAGTTATTTTTGTTATGCAGTTAAATGTGACTTAATTTGAACATTTTGTGGGATTTTTCACATACATATGTAAATCCCTCCTTTGTGGCTTGTCACACCATCCTCTGTCTGGATTTTTGGTTAGGCAAATATGTTTCAGTTCAAATCCCTACTCCATCTCTCACTGGTGTGAACTTGGGTAGATTATATAAAATGGGGTTAATGACAGTAAGTCCTATCTCATACAGTCACAGGGAAGAGGACATGAACTGAACTACATGTGAAGCACTGGGATCAGTGTTGGGCATATAGACTTACATCCATGTTAGCTACTATAATTTTACATGGTCGACCTATTTATATATTAAAGTCTCTGCAAGATCTGTCCTCTTTTCTGAGCATTAAACTGCCTGTTCACATGGAGTTCCTGTGGGTACCTCAGTTGCAACATGTCCAACTCTTGAACTTACTGTTTTGTCCAACAGACTTCCTCCTCTGTTCCCTGTTTACACTAATTGTGTCATTTATCACCCTCCACCTAGCCATGAAATAGCACTATTACTTTTAACTCCCCCCACTTTCCATCCATCAATCGGTAATAAATACTATTGCTTCCAAATGTCTTAGATTGTACCCATTTCTCCATTATCACTGTCACTCATTTTCTCTCAACTGTACCCTCACTTCCTCTTTTTAAAAATTTTTTAGAGATGGGGTCTCTGTCACCCAGGCTGGCAATACAGTGGTGTAATCATAGCTCACTACAGACTAAAACTCTTGGGCTCAAGCGATCCTCCCACCTCAGCCTCCCAAGTAGCTGGGACTACAGGCCTGCACCACTGTGCCCAGCTAAGTTCTTTACTTTTTGTAGAGATAGGGTCTCACTATGTTGCCTAGGCTGGTCTCCAACTCCTGGCTTCAAGCAATTCTCCCTCCTCAGTTTCTCAAAGAGCTAGGGTTACAGGTGTGAGCCACCATGCCTGGCCTCACCTCACTTCCTTTCCAATTCAATGTTACTAAGACCCCAGTCGGGTCATATCACTACACTTTATAATAGTCTTCCTGAGCACTCCATTGTCTCCAGCAGTGCTATCCAACAAACTTCCTGCAATGATGGAAACTTCTATGTCTGTGCTCTCCAGCATGGTTACCCCTAGCCACATGTGGTTATAGAGCATTTGAAATGTGGCTAGTATAACTGAGGAAATGAATTTTTAATTATGACTAATTCTAATTAGCCCCATGTGACTTGTGCCAGCACAGGTCTGGAGGATAGAGCTCCCCCAACCTGGCTTGGCAAATGCCACATTCCCCACCCCAACACCTGTCTGCTTATCTTTTTCTGACATTCTTTGTAGTTTTATACATCTGTGCTTTTGTATATGTTGTGCCCTTTACCTAGAAGTCCTTTCTCATCTTTTCTATTCAGCTTTGCAAACCTATGTCAAATGTCACCTCCTCTCAAGTCTTTTGACATCACACACCAAGACACAGACTTCCTTTTTCTTCTGTGCCTCCCTGCATATTAATACTTATACCTCATTATTTTTTAACTATGTGTTTGTCTTCTTCCAAACAAATTATAATCTCCTCTAGTGTAGACCCTTGCTTAGTTTCTTTAACTTACTAAACATTTGTAGAGTGCACAAACAAATAAATGAAACACAGAAAACTAATTATGGTCAATAGCTGAATACCTATACCTTGGGTTGAGGGCATTAGTAATCTCATGTTTTTGTCATTTTTAATCATCTTAAATCATTGGTACAGTGCCTGTCAAAGTACCAACTGCAACAACTGACTGTGAAATAAGTTGGCAAAAGATTTATGCTTGTCAATCTGACCCTATATTCTTAAGGCTCTACCCTTGTACTAAATCTGATTCTCAAAGAGGCATATACCTAACTTCCCTAAGAAATACTAAGCACTACAGCAAGCTTGCCCGACCCGCAGCCCACAGGCCACATGTGGCCCAGGATGGCTTTGAATGCAGCCCAACACAAATTCATAAACTTTCTAAAAATGTTATGAGATTTTTTTTTTTTTACATTTTTTTTTTAGCTCATCAGCTATTGTTAGTATTAGTGTACTTCATGCGTGGCCCAAGATAATTCTTCTTCTTCCAATGTGACTCAGGGAAGTCAAAAGATTGGACAACCCTGCACTACAGTGTAACACTATGGTCTCATTTTGTGTGTGTGCAAGTCACTATTTAAACAACAGTCATATGAAGACTGAATTTTTAAAATAATTCTATCAAAAACAGTGTCCATTATGTGGTTCTGTGCTCCTTATAGAAAGACCTACATGAGAGCTCTTTCATGAGTACAATTCTAGAGAGATTGCATCCTTTCTAACAAACTTGCACACATCCTTTTAGAAGCTAATGACAGCTACATGACCCTACACATTTCCCATCAGCGCTAAGAAGCATGGAGTTAAGTTGCATGCATTATTAATTAATAGCTTTTTATTTAAAGCTCAAGGTAAATTCCATTCTTAATCTCTGTCTTAATGGTTTTATTGGTTCTAGGCCATTTGTTGTTAGTAGTCTCAGATCATTTTATATTATCAAATGTCCTTTTAGATACTATAAATGTTAAATAAATAAAATATACAACGTTTCCCATTTTAAATGATCTATTTGCTTGTATCTGTCTTTTCTCTGCAGCAGATTAATGCCTTAAAGACAGGAACTCACCTTTTCTCACCTGCGGCATCCTCACTGTGGCTGTCACACCATCCTGCATATAGTCAGTACTCAATAAATAGTTATTGAGTAATGGTATTGAAGCTAATTAATTCATCCAAAATAAAACCTTTGTGGTCTAATTCTAACATTGAAAAAAACTACTTGTAAAGCTGAGCTCTATATTAATAAATCTTAAGGCTAAAACAAAAAAATATGTTTAGTTTCATTAACAGTCAAAGAAATAAAAATCAAAATACTAAGTTACTATTCTTGGATTGTCTCATTAGCAAATTTTTTTAAAATGATAAGCTACATGCTAGCTAGCAAACATCTTGAGAAATAAATGGCATTCTAATCACTGGGGGTGAGAGTTATCCCTTTTTCTAGAAGAAAATTTGGCAATATGGATGAAAAGCTTCAAAAATGTTTATATCTTTGATATTGCAATTTTATTTATGAAGATGTTTAACCTAAGAACACAGTAAATGTGTAAAAAAAAAAAGTCATATCCAAGGATGTTCATCACATTATAACTTACTATAGTGACAAATTGAAAATCACTTCAATATTGAACAATAGGGGAATAAAAAGTGGCACAAAAGTTGCAATTTGTCAACAATTATATCACATGTTCTTTTGGGGTAAATTCCTAGGAAATTGCTAGCAATCCTTTTTCCTAGGAATTTACCCCCTTCTATCTAGCAATCCTTTTCTTGGAATTTTTCCAAAGAGAACATGTGAAACAGTATATACAAAAAGATATTTATCTCAGCATAATTTTAAATGTCCAGCTCTAGGAAATTGGAAAAGTGAAACTTGGAACTTTCATGTGATAGAATACTAGGCAGCTATTAACATGGTGTTGTAGAAGAAAATTTACTGACATGGGAAAATGAGCACAATAAATTGTTTAGATACAAATATAGTCTATACAAAAGTATTCATAAAATGTAATCATTTCTGTAGTTTAAAGCTATGTTCACATTTAGATATACCATTGTGCTTTTCTGTACTTTTCAAATTGCTTACAATGAACAAGTATTATATTTTCAAATCAGGAAACCTTCCAAGATAGATACGTGTTTATGATTTTAAAGCCTAAGTATGAAAACAGCTAACAATAAAATGTCAGAACCCTCTGAAGAAAGTGGTTCTCTAGGTGTGGATCAGGCACTTTATTCTCTGTCCTTAGGCACTTCAGAGAAGCTCTATTAGGGTTTTAGGCAGTGCACTTCTTAAGCATCTGAACCATGTCAGGAAGCCAGGTTTACTAAGGCAGGAGCCTTTTATCTTCTCTGTGCCCACACACAGACCCGAGCCTGCTTTCTCCCTGTTTTCTGGCTCTAACCACCACAGGGTCTGGCACCCCGATCATGGTTTCTCCATCAGAGGGGCTCATAAGCCCGAAAAAAAGAGCACAACCTCTAGGACTGAGGCAGAAGAATGCAAGAGAAAATGGCCTCATCATGTTTTCTGTTTGGCTGCTGCACCCCAATATATGGGCCTGTGCCTTACCACAAAAATGTAAAACAGTGTTTTGCTTTCTGGTATATTTTGCCAATTATTATTTAGAGGCACTAAGTGGTACTAACAGGTCTGAAAAGAGATAATGTGTCTGGCAAAGTCCCAAAACTAATCTTTTATTTAATTCAACTAAAAAAATGTTACTGAGCACCTTAACACTTCAGGGAACTATGCTACTTGATGTGAAATGTAGAAAAGGCAGGGACCTGATATTCAGTAGGCAGCTGCCAGAAATCAGGTGCCAAGCTTGAGCTTCACATTCCTGATCGCTTGCACTCTGTCAGTCACCTTGGGAGGTAGTTACTCTAATCTCTATCTAACAAACGGCACAGTGGTGCGAGCAGAAACAGAGTTCCCAAGCCCAGATTCTAGGTGGTGGAGCTAGAATTCGAACTCAGATCCACCTGATCCTAAAGCCCATGGTTTGCCCATTATTTATCAATCTCTACCTTACTGGAGTTTATAAGTCACGTATCTAATATGAAGAAGAAAAGAAGAAGAAGTAGGAGGAGGCAGAGGAGGAGGAGGAGGAGATGTCTTCTAAGCACATTTCAAAACTCTAAAGGAAGACAAAAGGAGAGTGCCTGTTAAGGGATAGGGGAGGAAAATTGTCACAAAAGAAAAAGGCGGCACAGAGACCAGGCCATGGAGTTTTGATAGGATTCCACCAAGATGGCAGCGACGACATTCCAGCAAGAGATGGGCACAGAGATAGGATCAAGGGCGTTAAGCTTGAGAACTGGTGAGTGTTCCTGGGTGCCTGAAGCAATAGATGGAAACACAGCAAGTGAGCCCAACTTAAGCCAAGCCAGAGAGAGGCCTGAATTGATTCTATGGGCAGTTTTTGAGCAGAGGAACAGCACAATCGGTATTGTGCTTCAGAACATGTTTACTCACAAGCATTTGCTCCAGGGAGTGTTTTTCCCCATTTAATTTCATAAGGAATCTTGGTCTTCAAAGAGCAAATAATGGCCATCTTGAAAGGTAAGGTCAGAAGTTTGTTGTTTGTTTTTTTTTTTGTTTTGTTTTTGTCCTTTTCTATTTTTAGTATGTGGATTTCCTTATCTAGGTTCTTAACTACAATGTAAATCTGACCATTTAGGAACTCACTGTCTGAGCCTCACATATTAGTCCTTCATCATAGACCAATGTTATTTTCCCATGCACCAAATTTCTTCAATACAGGCAAATGTGGATTTGTTGCTAAGATATTTCAATAAGCTCAGCTTGGTTAATGAAGAATACCGACGTTGACGAATGGGTGAGTCCATCAGTGGCCCCCTTAGGGGCTGTGTCATTGCAACCTCCCTGCTCACTGAAATCAGCTCGAGTGCCTCAGTGTTTCAGGATGGAAAGAAAGCTGGGCTGACCAGACAAAACCAGTGGAGACTTAACTTGGAAGCAGAAAAGACAAATGTACATGAACGTAAAGAGCTGGAGAGATGAGTACGGCCTGCTTCCTTTTTTGTTGTAACTCTTCAATTCTGCCTGACAATCAATTCAATTTAATATAACCCCTTGGGAAGCACACTTTCTTCCTGAGCAGGGAACCGCAAAATGTCAAAAATACATAAAAGGTGGCTTACATCTGGAAGAGGAAAGACAGTTATGCTTCTAGAAGGAAAACCCTTGAGTTGGACCCCCAGAATTAAGCAGTTGCAGTGCTCATCTGTTAATGTTTCTTTATTCCTATCAGAAGGACTGCAGTTTAAGGATGAGTTCAAAACTCCTCACTCAATATTCCAAATAGATTATGAGCCCCAGTACTGAAAATGAAATTTAAGGTATAATGATCAGCTTAGATAAAGATACTGGGAATAGGACATGGGTCTCCACTCCTCCCCTTCCCTCCTCCTCTCCCCCACCCCCACTCCCAGGCCCTCAGCACCTCACACCTGAATTCCTTCACAGTTACCTCTTTTGTTCACCTCTTCTTACTCTTTTCCTATTCCAGTTCACCCTGCAATAAGCTCCCTTTGAGGCTATATGTCTGATCATCTACCATTCACAACTCCCTACTGCTTCCCCCTGGTCTGGATTTTCAAGCAGCTTCCAGAGGTACACCTAGGTATGATGGACAGACCTCAAGGGTAGGGTGGGGATCGTGGAATTTGGCTCCTGGACTCGCGTTCCCCTTCACCCAGAATTTATCTGTTTCATCTGTTTTATTTACTGAGCTTCCACTTACAGTTGTTTTTTTTTTTTTTTGGTTTTTTGTTTTTTTGTTTTTTAAGAAAAAGCTTCCGCCGGGCATGGTGGCTCATATCTGTAATCTCAGCACTTTGGGAGGCCGAGGCGGGTGGATCACTTGAGGCCAGGAGTTTGAGATCAGCCTGGCCAACATGGTGAAACACGGTCTCTACTAAAAATATAAAAATTAGCCAGGCTTGGTGGCACGCGCCTGTAATCTCAGCTACTCGGGAGGCTGAGGCAAGAGAATCACTTGAACCTGGGAGGCGGAGGTTGCAGTGAGCCGAGATCGTGCCACTGCACTTTAGCCTGGGCAACAGAGCAAGACTCTGTCTCAAAAATAAGCTGCCATTCCCAAAAGAAGTTTGAAAAGTACCTTCATTCCCTACTGCAAGCCTAGGTTCACACCTCTCATCATCTGGCCCACCGGCTTTGCCAGCCTCGTTTCCAAACCACTCCAATGCTCACTATTTTTCAGTATGTCTATTCTGTTCCATGTGCTCCAGCCAACTCACCCCTCAACCAGGTTGTAAAGAACTCTTCCTTCTCAGGACATTTCTTTGGCTCTTGGCCATGTCATGCCTTGCAGTCCATTTCTGATGCATTTTCATCTCTGCATGTCTTGTCTGTCCAAGTGGACTATAAGTTCAGTGCAGAGACACTCAGCACTCATTCACACATGGAATGTCCACCCACAGACATATGGCTTATGCTACTTCCCTGTGCCCGCTGACACCCTCCTCCACCCTAACTCCACTCCACTCCACAGTCAGGATCTGAGCCCTCCTTTTTTGCAGCTACCTCTTGCCTCCTTCAATCATTTCTGGCAGCTCCAGTCTGTTCTGACTTGCCCTCCTCTGATTGAGTTCACATCTGGTCAGTACCACATGATGTAGCATGTCATTATCCCTGCCATGAACATTATTCCTTTTCTCTGGTTGTTGCAGGTGTTACTTTTCTCTCCCTGACTGAACTGCAGTTTCATTGAGAAACGGGCTGGGTCTTAGCACTTCTCGATGAAGGCAGATGGCCTGATTTTTTTTTTTTTTTAGACACAGTTTCACTCTGCCACCCAGGCTGGAGTGCAGTGGTGCGATCTTGGCTCACTGCAATCTCTACCTCCCAGGTTCAAGCGATTCTCGTGCCTTAACCTCCTGAGTAGCTGGGATTACAGTCATGCACCACCATGCCCAGCTAATTTTTGTATTTTTCGTAGAGATGGGGTTTCACCATGTTGGCCAGGCTGGTCGCAAACTCCTGACCTCAAATAATCCACCAGCCGTGGTCTCCCAAAGTGCTGGGATTAAAGGCATGAGCCTCTCCCTCTCCCTCTCCCTCTCCCTCTCCCTCTCCCTGTCCCTCTCCCTCTCCCTGTCCCTGTCCCTCTCCCTCTCCCTCTCCCTCTCCCTCTCCCTCTCCCTCTCCCTCCACGGTCTCCCTCTGATGCCGAGCCGAAGCTGGACTGTACTGCTGCCATCTCGGCTCACTGCAACCTCCCTGCCTGATTCTCCTGCCTCAGCCTGAGGAGTGCCTGCGATTGCAGGCGCGCGCCGCCACGCCTGACTGGTTTTCGGTTTTTTTTGGTGGAGACGGGGTTTTGCTGTGTTGGCCGGGCTGGTCTCCAGCTCCTAACCACGAGTGATCCGCCAGCCTCGGCCTCCCGAGGTGCCGGGATTGCAGACGGAGTCTCGTTCACTCAGTGCTCAATGGTGCCCAGGCTGGAGTGCAGTGGCGTGATCTCGGCTCGCTACAACCTCCACCTCCCAGCCGCCTGCCTTGGCCTCCCAAAGTGCCGAGATTGCAGCCTCTGCCCGGCCGCCACCCCGTCTGGGAAGTGAGGAGCGTCTCTGCCTGGCCGCCCATCGTCTGGGATATGAGGAGCCCCTCTGCCTGGCTGCCCAGTCTGGAAAGTGAGGAGCGTCTCTGCCTGGCCGCCCATCGTCTGAGATGTGGGGAGCACCTCTGCCCCGCCGCCCTGTCTGGGATGTGAGGAGCGCCTCTGCCCGGCCGCCCCGTCTGAGAAGTGAGGAAACCCTCTGCCTGGCAACCGCCCCGTCTGAGAAGTGAGGAGCCCCTCCGTCCGGCAGCCACCCCGTCTGGGAAGTGAGGAGCATCTCCGCCCGGCCAGCCGCCCCGTCCGGGAGGGAGGTGGGGGGGTCAGCCCCCCGCCCGGCCAGCCGCCCAGTCCGGGAGGGGGGAGGGGGGGTCAGCCCCCTGCCCGGCCAGCCGCCCCGTCCGGGAGGGAGGTGGGGGGATCAGCCCCCAGCCGGGCCAGCTGCCCCGTCCGGGAGGTGAGGGGCGCCTCTGCCCGGCCGCCCCTACTGGGAAGTGAGGACCCCTCTGCCCGGCCAGCCGCCCCGTCCGGGAGGGAGGTGGGGGGGTCAGCCCCCCGCCCGGCCAGCCGCCCCGTCCGGGAGGGAGGTGGGGGGATCAGCCCCCAGCCGGGCCAGCCGCCCCGTCCGGGAGGTGAGGGGCGCCTCTGCCGGGCCGCCCCTACTGGGAAGTGAGGACCCCTCTGCCCGGCCAGCCACCCCGTTCAGGAGGGAGGTGGGGGGATCAGCCCCCAGCCGGGCCAGCCGCCCTGTCCGGGAGGTGAGGGGCGCCTCTGCCTGGCCGCCCCTACTGGGAAGTGAGGAGCCCCTCTGCCTGGCCAGCCGCCCCGTCCGGGAGGGAGGCGGGGGGGGTGGGTCGGCCAGCCGCCCCGTCCGGGAGGGAGGTGGGGGGATCAGCCCCCCGCCTGGCCAGCCGCCCCGTCCGGGAGGTGAGGGGCGCCTCTGCCCGGCCGCCCCTACTGGGAAGTGAGGACCCCTCTGCCTGGCCAGCCGCCCTGTCCGGGAGGGAGGTGGGGGGGTCAGCCCCCCGCCCGGCCAGCCGCCCCATCCGGGAGGTGAGGGGTGCTTCTGCCCGGCCGCCCCTACTGGAAAGTGAGGAGCCCCTCTGCCCGGCCACGACCCCATCTGGGAGGTGTGCCCAGCGGCTCATTGGGGATGGGCCATGATGACAATGGCGGTTTTGTGGAATAGAAAGGCGGGAAGGGTGGGGAAAAAATTGAGAAATCGGATGGTTGCCGGGTCTGTGTGGATAGAAGTAGACGTGGGAGACTTTTCATTTTGTTCTGTACTAAGAAGGGTTCTTCTGCCTTGGGATCCTGTTGATCTGTGACCTTGTCCCCAACCCTGTGCTCTCTGAAACATGTGCTGTGTCCACTCAGGGTTAAATGGATTAAGGGCGGTGCAAGATGTGCTTTGTTAAACAGATGCTTGAAGGCAGCATGCTCGTTAAGAGTCATCACCACTCCCTAATCTCAAGTACCCAGGGACACAAACACTGCGGAAGGCCGCAGGGTCCTCTGCCTAGGAAAACCAGAGACCTTTGTTCACTTGTTTATCTGCTGACCTTCCCTCCACTGTTGTCCTATGACCCTGCCGAATCCCCCTCTGCGAGAAACACCCAAGAATGATCAATTAAAATAAATAAATAAATAAATAAATAAATAAATAAATAAAGGCATGAGCCACCACGCCCAGCCTCTTTTTGACAAACTGCATTCAAGGGTCATCGGATGAGTTTGAGACCCACTTAATTCCAGCAGAAGAGAATGTTCTCTTTCTGTTTTGCCAACCTCATCTTCATATTCAACTGTTGCAAATAACTCTTATAAATGTCATGCATACTTATAAAACAGTATGTTTTGGCTGGACACGGTGGCTCATGCCTGTAATCCCAGCACTTTGGGAGGCCAAGCCCGGTGGATCATGAGGTCAGGAGATTGAGGCTACCCTGGCCAACATGGTGAAACCCTGTCTCTACTAAAAATACAAAAATTAACTGGGCGTGGTGGTGCACGCCTGCAGTCCCAACTACTCAGGAGGCTGATGCAGGAGAATCGCTTGAACTGGGGAGGTGGAGGTGGCAGTGAGCCAAGATTGTGCCACTGCACTCCAGCCTGGCAACAGAGCGAGACTCTGTCTCAAAAAAAAAAAAAAAAAAAAGCAATTTGGAGGGGTGGAGCCAAGATGGCCAAATAGGAACAGCTTCAGCTCCCAGCATGAGCGACACAGAAGACGGGTGATTGCTGCATTTCCAACTGAGGTACCAGGTTCATCTCACTGGGGAGTGCCGGACAGTGGGTGCAGGACAGTGGGTGCAGCGCACTGTGCATGAGCCGAAGCAGGGCAAGGCAACGCCTCACCCGGGAAGCGCAATGGGTCAGGGAATTCCCTTTCCTAGTCAAAGAAAGGGGTGACAGACGGCACCTGGAAAATCAGGTCACTCCCACCCTAATACTGCACTTTTCCAACAGGCTTAACAAACCGCACACCAGGAGATTATATCCTGCACCTGGCTCGGAGGGTGCTACGCCCACAGAGCCTCGCTCACTGCTAGCACAACAGTCTGAGATCAAACTGCAAGGCGCAGCGAGGCTGGGGGAGGGGCACCCGCCATTGCTCAGGCTTGAGTAGGTAAACAAAGCAGCCTGGAACCTCGAACTGGGTGGAGCCCACCACAGCTCAAGGAGGCCTGCCTGTCTCTGTAGGCTCCACCTCTGCGGGCAGGGCACAGACAAACAAAAGACAGCAATAACCTCTGCAGACTTAAATGTCCCTGTCTGACAGCTTTGAAGAGAGTAGTGGTTCTCCCAGCACGCAGCTTGAGATCTGAGAACAGGCAGACTGCCTCCTCAAGTGGGTCCCTGACTCCTGAGTAGCCTAACTGGGAGGCACCCACCAGTAGGGGCGGACTGACACCTCACACGGCCGGCCAGGTACTCCTCTGAGACAAAACTTCCAGAGGAACGATCAGGCAGCAGCATTTGCAGCTCACCTATATCCACTCTTCTACAGCCACCACTGCTGATACCCAGGCAAACAGGGTCTGGAGTGGACCTCCAGTAAACTCCAACAGACCTGCAGCTGAGGGTCCTGTCTGTTAGAAGGAAAACTAACAAACAGAAAGGAGATCCACACCAAAAACCCATCTGTACATCACCATCATCAAAGACCAAAGGTAGATAAAACCACAAAGCTGGGGAAAAAACAGAGCAGAAAAACCAGAAACTCTAAAAATCAGAGCGCCTCTCCTCCACCAAAGGAACGCAGCTCCTCACCAGCAATGGAACAAAGCTGGACGGAGAATGACTTTGACGAGTTGAGAGAGGAAGGCTTCAGAAGATCAAACTACTCCGAGCTAAAGGAGGAAGTTCGAACCAATGGCAAAGAAGTTAAAAACTTTGAAAAAAAATTAGACGAATGGATAGCTAGAATAACCAATGCACAGAAGTCCTTAAAGGACCTGATGGAGCTGAAAACCATGGCAAGAGAACTACGTGATGAATGCACAAGCCTCAGTAACTGATGCAATGAACTGGAAGAAATGGTATCAGTGATGGAAGACGAAATGAATGAAATGAAGCGTGAAGAGAAGTTTAGAGAAAAAAGAATAAAAAGAAATGAACAAAGCCTCCAAGAAATATGGGACTATGTGAAAAGACCAAATCTACCTCTAATTGGTGTACCTGAAAGTGACATGGAGAATGGAACCAAGTTGGAAAACACTCTGCAGGATATAATCCAGGAGAACTTCCCCAATCTAGCAAGGCAGGCCAACATTCAAATTCAGGATATACAGAGAACACCACAACAATACTCCTCGAGAAGAGCAACTCCAAGACACATAATTGTCAGATTCACCAAAGTTGAAAGGAAGGAAAAAATGTTAAGGGCAGCCAGAGAGAAAGGTCGGGTTACCTGCAAAGGGAAGCCCAACAGACTAACAGCTGATCTCTCCACAGAAACTCTACAAGCCAGAAGAGAGTGGGGGCCAATATTCAACATTCTTAAAGAAAAGAATTTTCAACCCAGAATTTCATATCTGGCCAAACTAAGCTTCATAAATGAAGGAGAAATAAAATACTTTACAGACAAGCAAATGCTGAGAGATTTTGTCACCACCAGGCCTGCCCTAAAAGAGCTCCTGAAGGAAGCACTAAACATGGAAAGGAACAACCCATACCAGCCACTGGAAAAACATGCCAAATTGTAAAGACCATCAAGGCTAGGAAGAAACTGCATCAACTAACGAGCAAAATAACCAGCTAACATCATAATGATAGGATCAAATTCACACATAACAATACTAACCTTAAATGTAAATGGGCTAAATGCTCCAATTAAAAGGCACAGACTGGCAAATTAGATAAAGAGTCAAGACCCACCAGTGTGCTGTATTCAGGAAACCCATCTCACGTGCAGAGACACACATAGGCTCAAAATAAAAGGATGAAGGAAGATCTACCAAGCAAATGGAAAACAAAAAAAGGCAGGGGTTGCAATCCTAGTCTCTGATAAAACAGACTTTAAACCAGCAAAGACCAAAAGAGACAAAGAAGGCCATTACATAATGGTAAAGGGATCAATTCAACAAGAAGAGCTAACTATCCTAAATATATATGCACCCAATACAGGAGCACCCAGTTTCATAAAGCAAGTCCTGAGTGACCTACAAAGAGACTTAGACTCCCACAAAATAATAATGGGAGACTTTAACACCAAACTGTCAACATTAGACAGATTAACAAGACAAAAAGTTAACAAGGATATCCAGGAATTGAACTCAACTCTGCACCAAGTGGACCTAATAGACATCTACAGAACTCTCCACCCCAAATCAACAGAATATGCATTCTTTTCAGCACCACACCACACCTATTCCAAAATTGACCACACAGTTGGAAGTAAAGCACTCCTCAGCAAATGTAAAAGAACAGAAATTATAACAAACTGTCTCTCAGACCACAGTGCAATCAAACTAGAACTCAGGATTAAGAAACTCACTCAAAACCACTCAACTACATGGAAACTGAACAACCTGCTCCTGAATGACTACTGGGTACATAACGAAATGAAGGCAGAAATAAAGATGTTCTTTGAAACCAATGAAAACAAAGACACAACATACCAGAATCTCTGGGACACATTCAAAGCAGTGTGTAGAGGGAAATTTATAGCACTAAATGCCCACAAGAGAAAGCAGGAAAGATCTAAAATTGACACCCTAACAACACAATTAAAAGAACTAGAGAAGCAAGAGCAAACACATTCAAAAGCTAGCAGAAGGCAAGAAATAACTAAGATCAGAGCAGAACTGAAGGAAATAGAGACACAAAAAACCCTTCAAAAAATTAATGAATCTAGGAGCTGGTTTTTTGAAAAGATCAACAAAATTGATAGACCGCTAGCAAGACTAATAAAGAAGAAAAGAGAGAAGGATCAAATAGACGCAATAAAAAATGACAAAGGGGATATCACCACCGATCCCACAGAAATACAAACTACCATCAGAGAATACTATAAACACCTCTACGCAAATAAACTAGAAAATCTAGAAGAAATGGATAAATTCCTCGACACATGCACTCTCCCAAGACTAAACCAGGAAGAAGTTAAATCTCTGAACAGACCAACAACAGGCTCTGAAATTGAGGCAATAATTAATAGCTTACCAACCAAAGAAAGTCCAGGACCAGATGGATTCACAGCCGAATTCTACCAGAGGTACAAGGAGGAATTGGTACCATTCCTTCTGAAATTATTCCAATCAATAGAAAAAGAGGGACTCCTCCCTAACTCATTTTATGAGGCCAGCATCATCCTGATAACAAAGCCTGGCAGAAACACAACAAAAAAAGAGAATTTTAGACCAATTGATGCAATGGTCTGCAAAAATCCTCAATAAAATACTGCCAAACCGAATCCAGTAACACATCAAAAAGCTTATCCACCATGATCAAGTGGGCTTCATCCCTGGGATGCAAGGCTGGTTCAACATCCACAAATCAATAAAAGTAATCCAGCATATAAACAGAACTAAAGACAAAAACCACATGATTATCTCAATAGATGCAGAAAAGGCCTTTGACAAAATTCAACAACCTTCATGCTAAAAACTCTCAATAAATTAGGTACTGATGGGACGTATCTCAAAATAATAAGAGCTATCTATGACAAACCCACAGCCAATATCATACTGAATGGACAAAAACTGGAAGCATTCCCTTTGAAAACTGGCACAAGACAGGGATGCCCTCTCTCACCACTCCTATTCAACATAGTGTTGGAAGTTCTGGCCAGAGCAATCAGGCAGGAGAAGGAAATAAAGGGCATTCAATTAGGAAAAGAGGAAGTCAAATAGTCCCTCTTTGCAGATGACATGATTGTATATCTAGAAAACCCCATCGTCTCAGCCCAAAATCTCCTTAAGCTGATAAGCAACTTCAGCAAAGTCTCAGGATACAAAATCAATGTACAAAAATCACAAGCATTCTTATACACCAATAACAGACAAACAGGGAGCCAAATCATGAGTGAACTCCCATTCACAATTGCTTCAAAGAGAATAAAATACCTAGGAATCCAACTTACAAGGGATGTGAAGGTCCTCTTCAAGGAGAACTACAAACCACTGCTCAATGAAATAAAAGAGGATACAAACAAGTGGAAGAGCATTCCATGCTCATGGGTAGGAAGAATCAATATCGTGAAAATGGCCATACTGCCCAAGGTAATTTATAGATTCAATGCCATCCCCATCAAGCTACCAATGACTTTCTTCACAGAATTGGAAAAAACTACTTTAAAGTTCATATGGAACCAAAAAAGAGCCCGCATTGCCAAGTCAATCCTAAGCCAAAAGAACAAAGCTGGAGGCATCACGCTACCTGACTTCAAACTATACTACAAGGCTACAGTAACAAAAACAGCATGGTACTGGTACCAAAACAGAGATATAGACCAATGGAACAGAACAGAACCCTCAGAAATAATACTGCATATCTACAACTATCTGATCTTTGACAAACCTGACAAAAACAAGCAATGGGGAAAAGATTCCCTATTTAATAAACGGTGCTGGGAAAACTCACTAGCCATATGTAGAAAGCTGAAACTGGATCCCTTCCTTACACCTTATACAAAAATTAATTCAAGATTGATTAAAGACTTACATGTTAGACCTAAAACCATAAAAACTCTAGAAGAAAACCTAGGCAATACCATTCAGGACATAGGCATGGGCAAGGACTTCATGTCTAAAACACCAAAAGCAATGGCAACAAAAGCCAAAATTGACAAATGGGATCTAATTAAACTAAAGAGCTTCTGCACAGCAAAAGAAACCACCATCAGAGTGAACAGGCAACCTACAGAATGGGAGAAAATTTTCACAACCTACTCATCTGACAAAGGGCTAATATCCAGAATCTACAATGAACTCAAACAAATTTACAAGAAAAAAACAAACAACCCCATCAAAAAGTGGGTGAAGGATATGAACAGACACTTCCCAAAAGAAGACATTTATGCAGCCAAAAAACACACAAAAAAATGCTCATCATCACTGGCCATCAGAGAAATGCAAATCAAAACCACAATGAGATACCATCTCACACCAGTTAGAATGGCGATCATTAAAAAGTCAGGAAACAACAGGTGCTGGAGAGGATGTGGAGAAATAGGAACACTTTTACACTGTTGGTGGGACTATAAACTAGTTCAACCATTGTGGAAGTCAGTGTGGCGATTCCTCAGGGATCTAGAACTAGAAATACCATTTGACCCAGCCATCCCATTACTGGGTATATACCCAAAGGATTATAAATCATGCTGCTATAAAGACACATGCACACATATGTTTATTGCGACACTATTCACAATAGCAAAGACTTGGAACCAAGCCAAATGTCCAACAATGATAGACTGGATTAAGAAAATGTGGCACATATACACCATGGAATACTATGCAGCCATAAAAAATGATGAGTTCATGTCCTTTGTAGGGACATGGATGAAGCTGGAAACCATCATTCTCAGCAAACTATCGCTAGGACAAAAAACCAAACACCACATGTTCTCACTCATAGGTGGGAATTGAGCAAAGAGAACACACGGACATAGGAAGGGGAACATCACACACCGGGGACTGTTGTGGGGTGGGGGGAGGGGGGAGGGATAGCATTAGGAGATATACCTAATGCTAAATGACGAGTTAATGGGTGCAGCACACCAACATGGTACATGTGTACATATGTAACAAACCTGCACGTTGTGCACATGTACCTAAAACTTAAAGTATAATAATAATAATAAAGAAAGAAATTAATAAAAATCATTGTCAATTGATTTAAAAAAAAAAAAGTTTGTTTTAAAAGGAGAAACTACAGCCCTGTTGACCCCATTTCCATCTTGGACAAGCTTCAGTAATTGTGAGTGACAAACGTAGTCATCCCAGCCAAACCCATAGCAGGCATGTTTGTAAGGATACAGGGGAGTGCACAAAATCCAGGGGCAGCACATGGAGAGACACATGGCTTCCTCAGAACCAGAGGTGAGAGCAGATGCCAAGACTATCCCAGCACCTCCTCAGAGATCACAAAGTCAGTGTTTCAACCCATAGCAGTGCCTTTCTCTGTTTCCTTGTGGCTTCTCAGCTCATGCACACCTTCGAACATTACATAGATAGGCACGTGCCTCTTCCTGCAGCCCCAATACTTGGAAAACTCTCTAGTGTCCCTCTGTTCAAATCTTCAGAGAGACAATTGGATTGGCTCATCCCAGGCTGTGGTTGGGTCCCCTTCTGTCAGGTGTCTGGTAGGTAAAAAAGAGGGCCCTTGTACAAACAGGACATGCCAGGGGATCTGGAGAGAGAATCTTATTACAGGGGTATGTCTGAGAAGGCAAGGACTGGCCCCCCTTTTTTTTTTTTTGAGACTGAATCTGGCTCTGTTGCCCAGGCTGGAGTACAATGTTGCAACCTCGGCTCACTGCAACCTCTGCTTCCCAGGCTCAAGCAATTCTCCAGCCTCAGCCTCCAAAGTATCTGGGATTACAGGCGCATACTACCACGCCCAGCTAATTTTCATATTTTTTAGTAGAGACGGGGTTCCACCATGTTGGCCAAGCTGTTCTCAAACTCCTGACCTCAGGTGATCTGCCCACCTCAGCCTCTCGGAGTGCTGGAATTACAGGAATGAGCCACAGCGCCCAGAAAGGACTGGTGTCTTTAGTGACACTTATTATTACTTGCAACACATTAAAAATGTGCTATAGGCTCCATCTCATTTAACCCCTTCTGTTTTCCAAATATGCTATTCTCTCAAATAGTGCTCCTAATTTTCAAGCGCACGGACAGAAAGAAATCAGCAACCTGGACCCCACCTGGGTTAGACTGAGTGTGCCTACTCAGTGAAGGTTGACACCAACAGGGTCTGTCTCAAGAAGCTTCTATCCTCTTAAAAATCCCCTAAGTCAGCGGTCCTAGCCTTTTTCACACCAGGGACCAGTTTCATGAAAGATAAATTCTCCATGGACCAGGGAGGTGGTTGGGGGATAGTTTCAGGATGAAACTGTTCTACTTCAGATCATCAAACATTAGATCCTCATAAGGAGCACACGACCTAGATCCCTCATATGTGCAGTTCACAATAGGGTTTTCACTGCTATGAGAATCTAATGCCGCTGCTGATCTGACGGGAGGCGGAGCTCAGGCAGTAATGCTCACTTGCCCACCACTCACCTCCTGCTGTATGGCCAGGCTCCTAACAGACCACAGACCAGTACTGGACCTCAGCCTGGGGGATGGGGACCTCTGCCCTAAGTTTCGGTAGAATCAAACTTTGTGTCCAAATTGGGATACTACCTTTAACTAATAAGCTTGTATTCTGTTATTTGCATTTTGAGCTCATTAAAAATGCAATTTTCCTACGGTTCTCTCAAAATTCCATGCCTATGTGTTCTGTGAGGCTTCCCCAGTGAATACCTTTATATCATGGGATTTTTTTTTTCCTACTGGACAAGATAGTATATGTCGTTCAATAAAAAATACTTTGAGATATGAGATTTCTGTCTGAAAATCAGCACAATTTTTTTCAGATGAAAACTTCCAGGAAGAAGTTTGTTTTTAATTCTGTCAGGTTTTGGTGTTGCCAATCTTGTTTTCACTAAAACAAATAAGTTAGAAAAACTGGTTGCCATATCATTGCATTATTGTCCTGTGATTCTCTATTCTGCAAGTTTTAACGTAGAAATTGTTCCCATAAAGTGAAGACCAAAAATAAATGAGAATTTCCACCAGACTTCCAACAAAAACATAGTCAAGTTGTAAATTGCAGAAACGAGAAATTTAATTAATTCTCCAGTAAAGAATTATGGAAACACAACTAGAATTTTATGAACTAAATGTGTATAACACCAAAGCCAAACTAAACATTTCTGAGACTATTTTTACCTTCAGTGATAATAAATTATTGAATTTTCTGCCAAAAGAAAGACTTATAGAAGCCACAAGACCCAGATTTAACAGAAAACAAATCAGTATTATTGGACATTAATGATTTTTGAGTCTTTGAGATGGATTTTACAGTCAACAACGATTCTGTCTTACTCACATTGAATCATGTAGAAAGGAGGGATTTTGAAATTGGCATTTCCCACACAATTTATTGCCTACAACTAAAGGCAAACACTGGTTTCCCCCGGTATCTCTCAACTTTACCTTCACTACTTCTGCATGAGAGCAGAACTCTCTTAACAAGCATTTGTGTGTGAAATCAGAACTCTGCTGTAGTGAAGAAGTTCTTCAGATCCTTTTTGCTACCACTCTCTTCCTGATCTCGTAGATATACTTTGATACATACAGTATTGCCTTTGCTTATAGACTCCCTAATCGTCTACCTGATGCAATATACATATGAATGTATTGCTATTTTTAGCAGACAGTCAGATCCTTTTTTTCTGATTCTGAATATAGAGATAATACATTGTTCAATAATTTATTGCTCCTTTTTCTATGTTTCCGTGGCCAAGAGTACCTCTGTTTTAACATAAGTAATATAAATTGCCTTATGTACTGAGTAGCCAACCAAATCACAAATCTCTCCCTAGGCCATACTCCTTAAGGAAAGAGAGTGTCTCCAAAACCTTTGCATCTCCCAAGGTCCCTGGCATAGAACCTGGTGGTGCCAAGGAGTGTCTTGTGGGCGCTGCAGTGTCTCATCCTCAGCCATCCCGAATAAACACATAACCCAAGGGAAAACTGTACTTGGCAAACTCAACCTTAAGATCATTTCCCTAGTTCATTCCTCTTCATCTTCCAACCTGGTTACATAACCCAAACCTTCTTCTTAAAATAGAAATTACAGAGCTGCCTGTCACTTAGTAGAAGGGGTCAGGAAATGGGGAGGGGAGGGAAGTCCAGAGAGAAGGAGACAAGAGAGGAAAAGGAAGAAGAGAGACAGCTAACATATTTTGGGCCCCATAAGCCAGGAAGCATGTTAAATACTTTACATGCTTTATCACATTGAATCCTACCAACAGCCCTAAAAGGAGAGTACCATTATTAGGTTATTTTTTAGCTGACAAACTGCAAAAGTTAAGTAACTGCCCAGACTTACCAGTAAGAAGCAAAGCCAAATACTCAGAAATTGTTATGAGATTGCATAAATGATGCTTATTAGTAACCATCATCCTTCTCCTGGCACTTCAATAGGAGAGGTCAAGAACTAGAGTAAGATAAAAGCAGTCCATCATTTCACTCCCCAGCATTTTGGGCTTACACACATATACCAGTCTATCACATTGGATTAAGTGCTCAGTGTACCTAGCCAAGATACGGAAACTTATTGGAAGCATGACAGCCACACAGACAGAAGCAGGTACAACATATTTCAGCATAGCTTCTCATGGTTCCTGGAACTGCTCAAAGGGAGACATGGCCAGCTGTTGGAGACAGCATCAACACAAAGTAAGCTCTAATGAAACCTGGAAAGCTCAGTTTTTGCTACACCACGGCCTTCCATACCCAAGATTCCAGACAAACTTTCCGTTCCAGACAAACTTAAACTAACAATCTACATGCTTCATTAAGGAAACGTTTACAAACATTGGATTCTCCTGGTTCTTGAACGAAATCCAGCTTTAGCAAACCCATATCCTTCTCCAGAGAGAGAAACTAGTTAGTGCTCAGGTGTCCTTGAACAATCACTTGGCCTTCAGTTTTCCCAGCTGGGGGAGCCAGTTTCTCGCACACTTCAGAAACCTCAAAAAAAAAAAAAAAATTAGTATTTCCAGAAGTGCAAACCACAAACCTCTGTGTCAGAATTTCCTGGTACATTTTTTGGAAGAGCTGATGCCTCACGCATCCTGGACCTACTAAATCAGAATATCCAGGATTGTAAACCCTAACTTGGCATTAACATTGTGTTTCCCAGTACTGGCCTGCTCATTGGGATCTCCGGATGGCTATGTAAGGGTGGGATGTTCCCAGCTCGCAAGGAGAATCTCATTTATGTAAGAATAGCCTTCCATTTAAAGCATTCAAAACTCATTACTGTTGCAGACTTTTCATTCCAGTGCCTGGCTTTGTAGAAGAAGCCAGGGACCTAAAGTTTTAAGCTTTCTTAAAATTGTACTCATTAAACAGCATGTTAATCATGGATCAGGGAATGCACATTATACAGTCCATTAAGCTTGTGTATGTTCCTGGAAGACTGTAGATTGTATAAAAATACAAATGATCCAGCAGTTAAAATAATTGGCTATAATGAACAGCAAAATTAATTATGAATGACCACATTGCTTACCCAGTTGACCTAAGTCATTAGCAGATGTAATGGGTCAGGTAAAAATAAGATGTATTTTGGCTTCTACAAATTGCTCCACAAGCATCCGCGATAGTCCAGGGATCTCATGGCCAGAACAGAGGCTAGACATGAGACAATGTATGAGAGTGAGGCCATTGATGTTCGTCGGGGAAGCATTCACTACAAATCCATCATAAGAACATAATCTATTATAAGATCACGGATTTATTACAAGCAGGAAGAAAATTATTTACCTTTTTGAGTTAAATGAAGTCTTCTGTACCACCAAGATATTTTCTGATCAACTAAGCAGTGACTCACTAAATCAGCATTTCCCCCAATATGTTCAGTCATTCCGCAGAAGACTAATGCTAAGATAAGTTGTGGGGGCTGGGCACAGTGACTTACGCCTATAATCCCAGCGGTTTTGGAGGCCCAGGCAGATGGATCATTTGAGATCAGGAGTTCAAGACCAACCTGGCCAACATGATGAAACCCCGTCTCTACTAAAAATATAAAAATTAGTTGGGCGGTAGTGGCGTGCACCTGTAATCCCAGCTACTTGGGAGGCTGAGGCAGGAGAATCACTTGAGCCTGGGAGGCAGAGGTTGCAGTGAGCTGAGATCATACCACTGCACTCCAGCCTGGGTGACAGAGTGAGACCCTGTTTCAAAAAAAAAAAAAAAAAAAAAGAGAAGTTGGAGGTCCATTGGGAGGTGGAGGTGGGTGTGGAGGCAGGGCTTCTGGATCAAATGCTTTTAGAAAATGCCACATACTTGAGCCCTGTTTTGGGGAATTATGAACTTTAATTTGCATCGAGTCTATTAAAGGTTCTGAGAGTCGAGCAGTGAGGAACTTCACTTCAGTTCTCAATTAATCAATGGTCTTGGCCATAGGCAGCCAGACAAATGCTACCTAACCTAAGAAAAAAGGGAATCACAGAGAGGATTGGAAGTAACTCCCAGAATAGGTGAGAAGCCTGGAAAATCAACAGTGTCAGAGGCAGAAAAACACTGAAACCACCTGGCTCGGGCATGGCCAGGGCCACTGCAAGACATCTCATCTCTCCCTTTCCCTTTGTGACATTCCCCTGATGAACCATTTCAGGAGAAAGCCATTTGAAGAGACAAGCCCAGGTTAGAAGGCTGTTCTCCAACCAATGGAGGCAGAGAAAATAATTATCCGCCCTGCCAAATTCCTTCCAAGGAGCAGTGAAAACCCTCGCTTCAGAACTCACACAGTAGGCAGTTCCCCTCTCCCGGTCTCACACAGTCAGTAACAATTTTTCAGCTCAACTTTGTTTAACCCAGTGTTTCCCAAAATTATTCTATCTCTATTTCTTCACATAACACATATAAGCAGTAGAAGAGACTTTTAGATATGGGGTTAATAATAGTAAATGGGGTTAGCATGTACATGAGGCACATGATTACTGTGTATTATACACAATTAGTATATCCTGTCATTAGCATGGTTAATTTTGAAGGTATACTGAGTTGTCACTTACATTTGCAATAGCATTCTGAACAGGTCATCCTGGGGAAGGCAGAGATTTTGAGGCAAATCAGTCTAAATACCTCTGTCCCCCAATTTTAAAACAAGTCTACAAGAACTTTGTTTACAATGAATCCCAAGGCAGCCTTGATGGGAAGAAATTAACAAGAAGACATCTTCTCAGTAATGTTGGGGAAGGAAATTGCTTGTGTTGTTACTCTCTTCATTAATGAAATGACAATAATCTTCATGGTGTTTTCTGTTCCACAGTGTGCCTCCACTCACCTTACCTCTTTGATTCTAAGAGCTCTAGACCAATTGTTCTCATATGATCCTAAGTTTCTCTGAACTCCAGCTCGCAGACCTGCCTCCTCTTTGCTCAGCAGCAGGCTGCCTCCCTGAGTCACTGCATAGAAGTGTCTCTGATTATGGCTTGCCAGGTCTCACATGATGCTAACCGAGGAAAAGATGCTACTCTCTGCCCCTGTAGCATTAAGGCTTCTGTTGTTTGTGTCTCCAGTTTTCCCACACTTCAGAGTCCACAGTATTCACAGTCAAATTAATCCCCAGGGAGTGAATGAGCTCAGTGCAGGGGAAATGAGGACCAGTGGGGATGCAGCTGGCCCACACACGACAGAGAGAGGAACAGAGCTGATTCTCACAAGCCTGGATGTTAGAGTCAGCCAGCTGCTTACAGATAGCCCCAAGAAGAGAAAGAGAGGCTCAGCAGAATAGTTCTGCCTTCACAGTCTCTGAAACAGGCACAGGCTATGTCAGCTCTGCCTGCCTCTGCCTCTGCTCAACCCATGTTTGGCCCTTGCAAGGCCATCTGTCCCCTGCACAAGGAATACCTGGCTTGACAGCAAAATAGCTACTTCTTCCCCATCAGTGATTGTGACCCAGATGGTTCACACCCATGCATTGGGCTGGAGTTCGAACATTGATCCTAACTAGTCTGCCAGATTCCTGGTTGCAACTTCCACACTAGTTTCCCAACTAGACTAGACACAAGCCACACGTCCCAGTTCTCTGGGGCTGATTCCTGTTTCCTGTGCCTTCTGGTTAACTCTGATGAACCTCTCTGTCAGATAGGTTAATAGAAAACCCAGAACAAAGTGGCTTAAATACCAAAAGATTTGTTTCTTTGTGTAAAAGAAGTTCAAAAGTAAGTGGTCCCATACTGGTAAGCTGGATTCACAAAGTCATCAAGGAACTCAGCCTCCTATCTTTCTACTCCTCAAGGACTCTCATGGTCCAAAATTGCTGCTGGAGCACCACTTATCACATTCACATTTCAGACAGCAGAAAAGAAGCAGCAAAGAAGATACAAGGGACTTTCTCCAACTGTCCATATCCCTTCTAAGAACTCTTTTCAGAATTCTGCACAATTTCTGCTTTATTTCAATGACCAGAACTCAGACACATTGCCATGCACAGCTTCAAGAGAGGCAGGGGAATACAGTTCTATTGTTGGATACACTGCCACTCCCAATAATATAAGGGTTTCATTTGTGTATTAATTAGGATTAAGTTCACATTAATGTAGGTGGTCTAGGGTTGGTTTGGAGGCTCCATGATTACCAAGGTCTCAGACTCCTTTTACCTTATGGTTCCACCATCCTATCATGGGACTTCCACTTCATGATCATTAATGGCTGCTCCTGCCCAGTTGTCACATGTACAATCCAAATAGCTGGAAGAAAGAAAGTCAGGAGATATTAAATATACTTCCTAACGGTTTCATGTGTCACTATGCTTGAACATATTAACTATATTTTAATCACATGGCTGCTCCTAGCTGCAAGGGATGCTGAGAAATAAATTCAAGGTGACCATGTACTCAGCTAACATTTGGGAATTCTACTTTTGGAAGAAGGGGAAATGCACGTTGTAGCTAAATATCAGTTTCTACCACCATTGTTTTTTGAGCCAGGGTCTCTCTCTGTTGCCCAGGCTGGAGTGCAATGGCATGATCATGACTCACTGCAGCTTTGACCTCCCAGGCTCAAGTGATCCACCCACCTCAGCCTCCCAAGTTACTGGGGCTACAGGTGCATGCCACCACACTTGGCTAATTTTTTATTTTTTGTAGAGTTCGGGTTTTTCCATGCTGCCCAGGCTGGTCTTGAACTCTTGGGCTCAAGCAATCCTCCTGCCTCAGCCTCCCAAAGTGTTGGGGTTATAGGCGTGAGCCACCACACCTGGTCTCTACCATCATTTTTAAGGAAGAGAGACAGAATGGATGTTGGGTAAGTAATTAGTAATACTTACTATTATTATAACCTCACTAATCCGCTAGGACACCCACTAAATGCTGAGACTTGCCTTGGCCAAGCTCTGTCAGCAGCCCTGATCCCTTGGATCTAATTGAATTGGATGAGACTTTGCCAGCTCCCCTAGGTTTAAAATGTGGTATCACCCTAGAGCTGGCCAATTATTCTGTCCTAACTATCCCCCGTCATTCCCTAGCCCTGTCTAAGAGCTCCCAGCATATTTTACACTCCAGACTCAGCCAGTTCCAACAAATAAACAAAGCACTGCTGGTTACTTAAAAAAAAAAAAATCACTCATGTCTGATCACAAAGTAGGTTTAGTCTTATGGAAATGCCTCTTTAAATTCGCCTTTTGATGAATTTGCATTTGTAAACAGAAGCGTATAGATGAATAAAATAACCATTGAATGAAGTGAGGCTTTGGTTTCAATCTAACCACTGAGTATATTATATTTGTCCTCTGCATGAAAACTTAAGAAGCAAATCGCCAATTTTAACCAATAAAAATCTCAAGTTCATCCCACCATATTGAAATAAAAGAGTAACCGATAAACATTTTCAAATAGGCATACCATAAGTAATCATTGTTTTGTCAAATTCAGGGAAACTTTGGAGGTTATAGACATGTCTGTTGGTCCTGCCTGAGGTCAATAGTTCTTAGCACATGAGACTTGGGAAAGGTTATAATACTACCATGATGGCATCTAATTTCACAGCATCCTGAATAAATGTGCTGGTGAGAATGCTGACCTCACAATAAGAAAATCTGGGTTTATATTCCAGCTTTGGAACTTTTTAAACTTTGTAGCTGTAGGCCAGTTACTCCACTCAAAGACTTTAGATTCTTCTTCTCTCGACTGAAGATGACATTGTTGGATTGTTTGAAGATTAAATGACCATATATGAAGAAGAAGCTAATATAATACAATATTTGGCCCATAGAAAACAGTCAATAAATGTTCTCTGAATCTGAATTTATTTAGAGAAAAAGTTTAGTGCTATACTAATTAAACACAACATCCATCATTCTTTTTAAGAACTTTTAAAAAACCTCATCGTGAATTTCTCATTTTAGAAAAACAAACTAAGTATTTTCAAAGCTTTGTAACTAGTATAGTATATAGTACCATGAGCTAGTCAGTTATTTTTCATTAAAATATATAAAAGCTTATATTGGAGATTATATCCATAAAGCCCATTTAGTTTTACAACTTAATTATATGTAGTAAAACTTTACTACCACATTTAACAGGTATTAACCTAATTCTTTTTAAACAAAAGCAATATTTGACTGGAAGTGAACCCTAAGTTGAGAAAACAAAAAGGAACTCCCTTAAAATATTTCCTTAGTATTTATTTTTCAAGAAAGGTCAACTCAGCTAATGCATCAGCTTGCTTAATGTCTTATTTGTGTTATCTCAATATTTTTAGTAAAACAAATTTGTTACTATGGTGTTCAATTTTAGCATTACCAAGAAATAGGCCAATATCAGGAAGGCAAAACCAACTGTGAGTTTTGCAATAACAAATTTTAGTCAATTGAATTTATACTTTGGTTAAAATATTTTTAAACTCAAGCAATAGCTGGGAAAAATGAGTATTTTAGATAGATGAATCTCTTACTATATTCTAGACGATGTGTCACTTTATTTCAGAATAAAACCAAAAAAGAAAAGAATCTATCCAAGTGCTGAAAATACATTACTTTTAATCTTAATATACTTCGGAGTGAAATCTTACCAGAACTTCTACCTTATTTAATGTGTTCCTGTATGAAATAAAATATTCTTTAAAGTTCTCAATAAAAATTCATAAGATACCATTAGATCCTTAAAATATGTTTCATATAGAATATTTACAACTCATAGCTTTGGAAGGTGCCAGCATACATATTCATGAGTAATAATACAGACTTCTTGGATGATTATCTGAAATTCAATTTGACTCTAAAACTACGTATTGACTACTGTATAATCAGAGATAACAAGTTTATATAATGAATGAGATCCACTCTTCACAAGACACCATCAGCATCACCAACTATCATTTGTGGAGTTTACTACAGATATGTAGCCATGTGGCAGGTTCTAGAGATACAAACTCATATAAAATACAGTCTCTGCCTCAAGACGTTTGTTATTATTATTCTCAATGCTGATAATGCCAGTATATTACACTTGCATAGTGCTTTTCAATGTATGAAACATATTTCTATCCATTATTTTATTTAACACTGTCAGTATCTTTGGAAGGTAGCTGCACAACAGGTAAAACCATTTTCATTTTATAGATGAAACCTCAGCAATTAGGCGTCCTGCCCGGGTCGGAAAGCTAAACTGATGGCAGAAGTAGGATTAGAACTATATGCTTGTCTAAGAACTTTTTTCCCCCTCTAATAAACTTCCTCAAGACCTTTATTTAGGAAATCTAGACATATTGAAAGGATTTATAAAACACCAATAACATATGGTAGATGTAAAAACCAAATGACCAATGTAAGATGCATTAAGAAAGCTGTGTGGGGAGAGAACTCCAGTTCTGGACCCTCTCTGCTGAATCAGTTGTAAAGGATAATTAAGAGGCAGAAAAGCAGGGAAGAACCAGGGAGGTATTGCAGGCAGGGTAAGCTTGATCCAAAATGTTCTGCTCAAACTGCCCTCCTTTCCAGAGCACAATAAGCTGAGGCTAATTCATATTTTCTTCAGGCTTAACCTGTAATGCCTAGCACAGGACCCCTGAGGATTGCAGGCTCCGAAGCAGCACCCCTGACCTCTTCCCATAGCAGGCCCTCAATAAATGTCTGGTGAACAGAGAATCAGAATAAATGAATAGACCAAAAGAACCACTTCCATGTCATTCAAGGATTCGGAAAACTGTTGCATTTCTGAATGAGTCTGTTCATCATTTACTCATTCATTCATTCACTCATCAATTCATTCATTCATGCATGCATGCATTCCTTTATACCAGTGGTTCTCAACTAGGGATGATTTTCCCCAAGAGAATATCTGGACACTCTTTTTAGTTGTCACAGCTGAGGAGTATTACTGGCCTCTAGTGAGAAGAGGACGAGGACAAGGATGCTGCTAAACATTCTGCAATGCTGATGAATGCACAGGATAACCCCCTATAACAAAGAATTATCCAGTCCAAAATTTCAATAGTGATGAGGTTGAGAAACTTTGCTTTACAATAAGTTCTAGTAAATGTTTTTATTCTTCCTTTTTTACTTTTTTAGTTTTTTTGTTTCTTTTCTTTCTTTTTTTGTTTGTTTGTTTGTTTGTTTGTTTTTGAGAGACAGCGTCCCACTCTGTCATCCAGGCTATTGTGCAACAGAGCAGTCATAGCTCACTGTAACCTCAAACTCCTGGGCTTAATCAATTCGCCTGCCTCAGCCTCCCAAGTAACTAGGACTACAGGCACTTACCACTATGACTAGCTAACTTTTTAACTTTTTATAGACATGAGGTCTCACTATGCTGGCTGGTCTCGAACTCCTGGGCTCAAATGATCCTCCAACCTCAGCCTCCCAAAGTACTAGGATTACAGGAATGAACCACTGTAGCCAGTCAAGTTCTAGTAAATATTTTGGTTTAGTGATGGGAACAGATGCTTCAAATGACTAAATAGATTATTTATTATAAGTAATCATTAATAATAATTATAAACCATGACAAGTACCATGAAGGACAAAACAGTGCTATTGGGAGATTTTAGATGGCTTATTGCTTCTGAGCAGGAAAGGATAACTGGTCGTGTCCAGAGGACAGCATTTTGGAAAATCTAAGGCAAACTAACTAGAAATCCCAATACACAAAATACCCAAAATGAATGGGTTGTCTTTCTGGAAATATAAAATAAAAATACAATGCCTAAAGCAATGGCTCTGCCATTTTTCCTCTGAAATGTGGCATCGCTCCCAACAGCACAATCAACATTATATATATATATATGTTTCATATAGAATATTTACAACTCATAGCTTTGGAAGGTGCTTCCTTCCATATATATATATATGATAGTGTTTAAGGCTCAATGGACTCCCATTTTTATAAAAATGCAAAGCCAATTTTTTTTTTAATAGAGAGCTATTAGGGTTTAAAATGAGGTCTGGTATCCATCTAGTCTTCCTCTCTTGGGAGGATCAGCCCTTCCCCACTCCTTGTGATTCCAAGAGGGTGCTAATCATGGGAACTCACACCTCCTATACTGGAGTACCCACATGACACAAGCTGGACCAATCAATCTCTCTCTCTCGGCACTCAAAAGGAAGGTCAATGAAGCAGATTCATTCAGTGTAGCATCCTAGAGAACTTGGCTGTGTATTCCTGCTGCCATAATCTCTAGGACTGTTTTGACCACTTGCTTTTATAGACCTTGTTATTTATCTGTCCTTGGCTTCTGTAAGGAACCCTGGCATTTTCCTGATAACACGTGTTCTCTTTCTTGAGTTGGCCCAAGTAACCGTCTTTGCTTGCAACCAAAGAACTTCACCTGATAGAGTTTGGTACTTTGTTTTAGGAATGGACAGTGGCTCAGTGAGGGAAGTAGAAAGAACCAGGGCTTTCTTTTTTCCAATTCCTTACCCACCCTTCCAACAGCACCCATCACACCTTCTCTAAAAGCCTTCACTGGCTATTTCAATGTAGCGTCACCTCTTGACAGATATTGTCACTTGAAATGACCATTATTTATTGAACATGCATTGTCTTTTACTGTTAGTGTTTTTTTCCTAGACTGTAAGGACTATGCAAATGGGACCACACATGGTATTTTTTCTTATCTTTCACACTGACAAGTAAATACTCCATTAACAACTGTCGAGTGAATAACTGTGGAAGCCAGCCTCCATAATGCTCCCAATGATTCTCACCCCTTAGTGTTCATGCCCTTATAGTTCTCTCCCACAGTGAATAGCTCTGACCTGTACACCTAATTAGATATTTTAGAAAGAAATGTTGTGACTTCTAAGGCTATATCCGTCAAAGTCATTTCAGCTCCTGCCTTCATCTCTTTTGGATCACTCTATTGAGAGAAACCAGTCACCACATCATGAGGACACTCTAGTGGCCTTATTAAGAGGTCCACTTGGTAAGGAATTAAATCTCTTGCCGACAGACAGACAGTACTGGCTTGCCAGTGTTTGCCATCTTAGAATTGAATCCTCTGACCCCAGTCAAGCCTTCAGATAACTGGTAATCTGGCCAACATCTCAATTCTAACAACATGAGTGAGAAACTCTGAGTCAGAACCATCCAGTTAAGCCACTTCCAAATTACTGACCAACAGAAACTGTACAATAATAAATATTTGTTGTTGTTTTAAGACACGAGGTTTTTGGGTAATTTGTTATATAACAATAGATAACTAATACAATAATTAATTCTATCCTGGGAGAAACACAAACCTTATGTTTATCTGAACTGTAAGAATGAAAGAAAGATGGGCCGGGTGTGGTGGCTCATGCCTATAATCCCAGCACTTTCGGAGGCTGAGGTGGGTGGATCACTTGAGGTCAGGAGTTCAAGACCAGCATAGCCAACATGGTGAAACCCTGTCTCTACTAAATACAAAAATTAGCTGGGCATGGTGGCACGCGCCTGCAATCTCAGCTACTTGGGAGTCTGAGGTGGGAGAATCATTTGAGCCCAGGAAGTGGAAGTTGCAATGAGCTGAGATTGTGCCACTGCACTCCAGCCTGGGTGATAGAGCAAGACCCCGTCCCAAAGAAAAATAATAAAAGTAAGAGGGACCAATTTATTTGTTTCCTTGAAGAAACAATTTCTATAAACAAAGCTACTCTAATATATGAAGACTCAATTCCATTTAGAGGCTAAAAGCAAAAACAAAAACAACTCAGATTTTGTGCCAATTATAACTTTTTTCAGCTTTATTAAAGGATAATTGATAATTAAAATTGTATATATACGATGTACAACTTGATAATTTAATACTTATATACATTGTGAAATAATCACCATGATCAAGCTAATCAACATATCCCTCACCTGACATAGTTTCCATCTTCTTTGTGTGTGTGTATGTGTGTCTGTGTGTCTGTGTGTGGTGAGAAAGAACACTTACGATCTATCTACCCTCTCAGCAAATTTCAGGTATACAATACAGTATTAACTACAGTCACAGTGATGTCCTTTAGATTTCCAGAACTTATTCATCTTACAAAACTGAAACTTTGTAGCCTTTGGCCAGCGTCTCTTCATTTTCCCCTTCCCCCGCCCCTGGCAATCACTCAGCATACTGTCCTCCATGTTCATCAAAGTTGTTGCAAAGGGCAGGATTTCCTTCTTTCTTAAGGCTAAATAATATTCCACCAATTATAATTCTTAATATGTCAAATACTTAACAATAAATATAGTGCCTTTTTAGATACTTAGCCAAAAGAGAACCGGGTAGATTTCTTGTAGAGAAAAGTCTTCTACTGAAAGTAGATGGAAAAAAAGCTTGAGTGTGGTCACCAGATTTTCTGAATCCCAAATTAGAAAATATGGTTGTTGTTTATGGAGACAATGGACTACAATATTTGAAACCAAAATGGTTCTAGAAAATCCAAGATACGTGGTCTTAGTACCTAAGACCGAACTGGGTGCTTAAATCATGCTAAAGACTAAACTTATTAACAACTACTATTAGAAGATTTAGTCACAATGTTTTGATTTGTTCAGAAGAAGGAAAACAGTTTTAAAAAGACTCTGTGCCATCTTGAGAAAGTAATTGTAATTTTAAAATAATTCTGACTAGGAAATGGCTTACTAAGAAATGGATAAAAATTATGTGAATCATATGTATTTGAAAAATTAAAGTAAGTATCTCTTCTCAAAGTTATGATCTTAATAAACCAAGAAGACCTAGATGTTAAGTCTAAATGACTTCATTTTTTGACAGATAATAGAAGTATAAATTTGATTCTATCTAGCAAATTCACCACATATTAATCCTTAAGTAGAAGTATTATAGGTTTTTAGCTGTATATATCTGTTACCATAAAAAAATTACCTTATAAAGACCTTGGCTGCCTTCTAACAACATAACTGAGTTTACGCATCTAAACAAGATGACTCCTATGCTAGGCTTATCAACTTATTCCTAAGGCATCGTCATTATGCAAAATACTTTTAGAACTCCTCATTTGCTTTTCCCACCACTGAGGAGATAATAATTTCATGGTTAGGAAAAGACAAGTAATTTACTGATTAGAAATAGTGACTCTGGATTTAGATTTTCTGGGCTAAAACTCTGGCTTCAGCATTTACTTACAAAAGTTATCAGGTGCATACAGAGGAAGGTCCAAGGGAGAAAGAAATATATAAACAATAAAATAGACACATAAGTGATACAGTGAGTAACCTTAGGCAAATCACTTAATGTCTCTGCCTTAATTTTCTCAACTGAAAAACTGAAATAAATAAAAGAATCCATCTCTTAAAGTTGTTGTAAAATATAAATGAAATAGTACATGTAAAATTCTTAGACACTCCAGCACACAAAAAGTGCTCTATAAATGTTAGTTGGTGAAGTTAGTTAATTAATTAGTTAATTAGTGATGAGACTTTTATCCCCCAAAAAAGTCCTCCTAAAAGTATGTGCAGCAGTGCCATAATTATAAAACATATTTATTCTCACAAGGACCCCAAGAAATTAATACTTTTTCAGGGTGATAGTAAGTGCTTGTTATATAATTAATGCTGTTGTTGAATGAATCTATTTGCATTCTTTGACTTTTAGAATACTTCTTCATAAACAAAGATCAACTAAGCAGACAAACCCTGTTGCTAAGAAAAACTAGAAAAGCTGGATAATGTGCACAGGCATGCGCGCGCACACACACACACACAAACACACACACACACACAATGTTTGAAGGCTTTGGATAGCTATAAAGACAGCTAGGACTTGAGGGTCTAATATCCCCAATAAAGAGACATTCATTGAGAGAAAGCTAACTTCTACCTTTCTTTTTCCATCAAGGCATTTGCTGATTGATACACAGTTTGCTCAGATAAACTGAGGAACCCAGCAAAAAGCAAGAGGAAAGAGGCAGAGAAGCTGAGTGGAGATTTTCACAGTCTGCTAGGACTGGGGAAGAGAAATTGAGGTTCCTAGCCACAAAGTCATCCAGCATGTAGGGGACTAAGATCACAAATTAAAAAGAAGCATAGAAAAAGAAAGGCTGAGACTGATAGTTTGATCCACTTTTCCCTTAAAGCATTTGCTGACTCATAAGCTGAGTGGACTATGAGGCAGAAGGGCTGAGCAGAAAACAGCATAGAAGAGCCTGGACAGCTAAATAGAGCAATTAAATAGTTTTAGTATGCTAGGGAGATAAAAATGAGTTCAAGTATACTGAGGAGAAGGGCATCTGATAAATTCCTCAGATTTTCAGATTGAACTCCTGAGGGACTATTTTCTAAGAATAAGGGTGAGTGAGAAATTGACTAGGTCTCCTGATGGTTGAAACCAAGCCTAGAACCAGCTTAATCCCTCAGTGGATTAATGCAAGCTACTCCTACTCTTAATGCCTGCCAGAAACAGAATCTTCCCTGGAGGAATTTTCATTAAAGATATTCAGTATTTGATCAAAAGTTATCAGGTGGATCAAGAGACAGGGAGAAAAAATATAAACAATGAAATAGACCTATGAGTGATACAGAATCAGTATTATCGCATATGGACTTCAAAATGACTGGGGTTAGTGTATACTGAAGGAGAGATCAAGACGGAGAATTTTAGCAGAGAACTGGAATCTATAAAAAATGACAAAATGGAAATTCTATAACTGAAAATACAGTAGCTGAAATTTAAACTCATCAGGTGTCTTCAAAAGAAAATTGGACAAAGATGAAGAGGAGTTAAATGAGAAGATAGGTTAGTAGAAAATATATGGAATGAAGAACAGAAAGGAAAAAAGATGGAATATACAGAAAAGTTTATGAGACACTTGGAATAGAGTGAAAGTTGTAACATATGTGTAACTAAATCCTAGAAGATGAGGAGAAAGAGAATGAGGTAGAAGAAACGTGAGAATGAGGTAGAAGAAAAATGTGAAGAAGCAAGCTAAGGATTTTTCAGAATTGACATGACATAAAACCACAGATTCAGAAAACGCTGTGAACCCCAAGCAGGTTAAATACAAACACAAACAAAAAAACCCAGGCAGGTTAAATACAAGCAAAACAAACAAATAAAACCTTAAGCATATTATATTAAAACTGCTAAAAACCTAAGAAAAAAGAAAATCTCAAAAGCAGCCAGGAAAATACACACACACACACACACACACACACACACACACACACACACACATTATTTCAAAGGAGACAAAACATTGACAACTGACTCCTCATTGGAAACAAAATGAGGTTGAGGTTAGTGAAGCAGGAAGAGGCTATTCTGTAGGGCCTTATATACCATGTGTATTAGTCTGTTCTCACGCTGCTAATAAAGACATACCTGAGACTGGGTAATTTATAAAAGGAAGAGGTTTAATGGACTCATAGTTCAGCATGGCTGGAGAGGTCTCACAATCATGGCAGAAGGCAAAGGAGAAGCAAAGACACTTCTTACATGGTGGCAGGCAAGAGAGCTTATATAGGGGAACTCCTCTTTATAAAACCATCAGATCTCATGAGACTTACTATCAAGAAAATAGCATGGGAAAGACCCACCCCCATGATTCAATTACCTCCCATGGGGCCCCTCCCATAACACATGGGAATTATGGGAGCTACAATTCAAGATAAAATTTGGATGGGGACACAGCCAAACCACATCATTCCACCCTTGGCCCCTCCCAAATCTCATGTCCTCACATTTCAAAACTGATCATGCCTTCCTAACAGTCTTCCAAAGTCTTAATTCATTTCAGCATTAACTCAAAAGTTCATAGTTTAAAATCTCATCTGAGACAAGGCAAGTTCCTTCCATCTATGAACCTGTAAAATAAAAAACAAGTTAGTTACTTCCTAGATACAATGGGGGCATAAGCATGCCCCCCATTCCAAATGGGAGAAATTGGCCAAAACAAAGGGGCTACAGGCCTCATGCAAGTCTAAAGTCCAGTGGGGCAGTCAAATCTTAAAGCTCCAAAATAATCTCCTTTGACTCCATGTCTCACATCCAGGGCCCACTGATACAAGAAGTGGGTTCCCATGGTCTTGGGCAGCTCCACCCCTGTGGCTTTGCAGGGTACAGCCCCCCTCCTGGCTGCTTTTACAGGCTGGTGTTGAGTGTCTGCAGCTTTTCCAAGTGCATGGTGCAAGCTGTTGGTGGATCTGCCATTCTGAGGTCTGGAAGACGGTGGCCCTCTTCTGACAGCTCCACTAGGCAGTGCCCCAGTGGGGACTTCTGGGTGGTGGCTCCAACCCCACATTTCCCTTCTGCACTGCCCTAGCATAGGTTCTTCATGAGGGCTCTGCCCCTGCAGCACACCTCTGCTTGGACATCCAGGCATTTCCATACATCCTCTGAAATCTAGGCAGAGGTTCCCAAACCTCAATTCTTGACTTCTGTGCGCCTGCAGGCCCAACACCACATGGAAGCCGCCAAGGCTTGAGGCTTGCACCCTCTGAAGCAACCACCTGAGTTCTATGTTGGCCCCTTTTAGCCACAGCTGGAATGCAGGGCACCAAGTCCCAAGAATGCACAAAGCAGCAAGGTCCTGGTCATGGCCAATGAAACCATTTTTGCCTCCTAGGCCTCCAAGCTTATAATGGGAGGGGCTGCCATGTCCTGTGACATGCCCTGGAGACATTTTCCCCATTATCTTGGCAATTATCATTTGGCTTCTTGTTACTTATGCAAATTTCTGCAGCAGGCTTAAATTTCTCCTTAGAAAATGGGTTTTTCTTTTCAAGACTAGGTAATTTATAAAAGAAAGAGATTTAATTGACTCAGCATAGCTGAGGCAGCCTCACAATCATGGTGAAAGCAAAGGAGAAGCAAAGTCACGCCTTACATGGCAGCAGGCAAGAGAGCTTGTGTAGGGGAAGTCCCCTTTATAATACCATCAGATCTCATGAGACTTATTCACTATTATGAGAACAGCATGGGAAAGACCCACCCCCATGATTCAATTACCTCCCACAGGGTGGGAGCTACAATTCAAGATGAGATTTGGGTGGGGACAGAGCCAAATCATATCACCATGTTAAAGATGTTATCATTATTGGGGGAAAAAATGGAAAGATACTGGAGATGTAGAGCAGATTTGTGGAATTGTTGCTTCTTTGCTTGTTTGCTTGCTTGTTTGCTTGCTTTTTAAGGTAGGTATGAGGCTGCTAGGGGCTATCACACAGGGAAGTCTGCCTGGAATGGAACTCAGCAAATAGAAAATCAAAGCTGATAGATGGAAGTGAAACCAACTCCTGAATACTTACTTAAGGAAAACAGGAGGAGGAGCCAGTCTGAGAGTAAAAGGAGCTAGGAGTAGGATAACGGAAGAGGATAAATTTAATTGGGGGATATGATGACATGAGAGACATATGCAACAAGATCAGTGCTAGGCCACTGGAATTGGATATACAAATCTGGAAGTTAGGTGAGGGATTCAAACTGGAGGATGAAAGTGTGTGCTCAACATTTGCTTGCTGGTGGTCAGAATCTCAGCAGTGGATGAACAAACCAGAATGAAGATTATTCAGAGGGCCAAAGAGGTCAGTGAAGGAAAGGTGCCCACAAAAGCAATTCAGGATGAATTATTAGAGAAATGGAAGGAGAACCAAGTGAGAAAGGAAAGAGGATAACATTTAATGAAAAGAGTTCACAGGCTTCAGAAGTAGTCTGCCTCTCCTGAATATTTGGTTTGTGTTCCTTTCTTTACATTGGTTGCTAGGAAGCTCAGAAACTTGGCATGCATCTAGCAACTGCACAGAACTTTATAATCATTATGTTCAACAACCTTATCCTTAGTTTATTTTTCCAATCTTTATTTCCCCCCAACCCTATTCCCTATTTGTTTACTTTTTATTGCATTTATTTGTATTACCTTAAATCCTGAGGTGGAAGGAAAATAAGTAAATAAACTAACACATTGCAGCTAGTGTAAGATTCCAAACTTCTGGCATGCCAGAGTGTCCATCATTCCCAGTTGACTTGTGTACAGCCTGCCTCTCTCATTTATCTTATCTGCCTCAACTTTGTACTCATCTGAGTCTGAGACTCCTAGGCCAAGCAATCACTAGGATCCTTTTATGCTCTAAATTTGATGAATCTATATTCCTTCAATGCTAAAATCTCATGAGTTAAACTACCAAATATAATATCAAGTAGTTAGAATAGCAGTTATTTCTATTAAGTCCCACTTTAAAAAAACAAATGGTAACAGTGAACATGTATGGTGTGCACAGCACTTGAGAAGAAGTAGGTTGGGCTTAAAAAGCAACATGATGGCATTTACTCTGGATCTTTGTAATGCATCACTATGAGGTCCAGAACTAGCACATGTGTTCAATAGGATTTAGAGCAAAATGACTGAGTGGCACATCATTAAACCATGATGTTCAAGGCTAATTCCCTGAGCCTCTGCATTAACAGAGCGATATTCTGTTTGGCTTTATTCTCTTTATATTTATAGTGTACTCATTACCATAGCAACTAAGTGCTTTCCACAAAGACCTGATCAAATTATTAGGGAGAGGTGAACAGGAAAGGAGAGGACACTGCAGGAATTGAAAGGAACCTTCTCCTTCTGATCTAACTCTAAATAACCCTTTCCTCCCTTTATCTGACAAAATGGGGACCTCATAGAACATTTATTTAATGCTTTCCCTCCCAGAATCCTACCAATACCCAATCTTGCTTCCCTAGAGCACTGCTACATGTCCTATTGGGTTCTTCCTTGACCAAAAATGGTGAAACAGAAGAAGGAGTTTGTCTGCAACCCTGATTTTGCCTTTTTGTGTCCCCTTTTCCTCTTACAAATCAGATTTGCCTGCGTTTGAATTCGAGCTCTCCTACTTATTAGCTAGGTCTTTTTGGCAGGTGACTTAACCCTTCTGTTCCTTGGCTTTCCCTTTTGTGAAATGCAGATACTAAGAGTGCCTACATAATAGAGTTATTACATAAGAATCATGGCCGGGTGTGGTGGCTCACGCCTGGAATCCCAGCACACTGGGAGGCCGAGGCGGGTGGATCACAAGGTCAGGAGATCGAGACCATCCTGGCTAACACGGTGAAACCCCGTCTCTACTAAAAATACAAAAAAAGTTAGCCGGGTGCGGTGGCGGACACCTGTAGTCCCAGCTACTCCGGAGGCTGAGTCAGGAGAATGGCGTGAACCCAGGAGGCGGAGCTTGCAGTGAGCCGAGATAGCGCCACTGCAGTCCCGCCTGGGCCAAAGAGCGAGACTCCGCCTTAAAAAAAAAAAAAAAAAAAATCAGACCGAGCGTGGTGGCTCATGCCTGTAATCCCAGTACATTGGGAGGCTGAAGCGGGAGAATCACTTGAGCCCAGGAGTTCAAGACCAGCCTGGGCAACACGGCAAAATCCCATCTCTACAAAAAAAAAAAAAAAAAAAAAAAAAATTAAAAATAGCTAGGTGGAATGGCATGTGCCTGTAGTCCCAGCTACTCAGGATGCTAAAGTGAGAGGATCAACTGAGCCCAGGAGGTTGAGGCTGCAGTGAGCCAAGATGGCGCCACTGCACTCCAGTCTGGGAAACAGAGTGAGATACTGCTGACGATAGAGAGAGAGAGAGAGGAAGGAAGGAAGGAAGGAGGGAGGGAGGGAGGGAAGGAAGGAAGGAAGGAAGGAAGGAAGGAAGGAAGGAAGGAAGGATGGAAGGAAGGAAGGAATCAAATGAGCTGAGCTGATAAACATTAAGTGTATTAAAGAGTTCCTGATCCATAGTAAATGCTCAATAAATGTTAGCTATTATTTCAACATATCCTATTCTTGTATTCCCAGTCACTAGAATACTCATGCTATCCTGGTCTTCTTGGTTCAGTGAATGGAAAAAACTATTACTGTCAGACAGGGTCCTTCCTACATACAACACAGAGAAATGAGGAAGGTTACCCCTGTCTGGCCAGATCTATTGGCCAGATCAACAAATGCCTAAATCTCTGCCATTGGAAGCTCGTTTTTGCGGGTAAAACAATGTCTTTACAAGTGTTTTTTCCAACTAGATTCAACTTTCACAAGGGCAAGGAGCGTGCCTCAGTCATTTGTTCCCAAATGTAGAGACAAATTCACTCTCACATCCTATTCATACTAAGGTGTAAGTGAATAACTTGTTATCCCTCTCTGAGATTATGTATATAGGCATACACAGAAAGTTATGGCAAGCCTATTATTTCAGGCTCTATGACAGGTGGTACGGGCTAATAAGTGATTGACACATGTTCTTTAGCCTTCATGAAGGTTAAATCTAGTGGGAGAAAATACTGGTAAAGGAAATACATTACCCAAAGAAACTGAGTTTTAAGAGGAACGTGGTGAGGTCTTCATGAGTTCCTCAAACCATTCTAAACAGAGGACCACCGATTCTAGTAGAGGTTAGCCCAGCCCTGGCATTGAGTCAGCTGAATTCTTCTCCTGGAGAGCTACCTCCCTATTGTGGTGTGGCAGTACTGATCAATGCTACTGACTCATCTTTGCACAATTACCAAGAGACTATCTCAGACAAGGTCGGAAGCATCAACACCCAAACCCAAGAGTTAAGATTTCAGATAAGCATACTTGAAACTTGGAAGAGGTCGTTTTAGGATAAGTAAAGGCAAACATTCTTTTACGCTGTGGGTAGTTAATTCATTACCTCATCTGGAACTTGTTACTGCAAGAGCCTATATAAACCAAAAATAAAATTAGGTTCAAGAAGGTTGAGATAAATGGATGAATAAAGAGTTACAAACAGGCTCTTGAGATAAGATTAAGAAGGCCTTCAATTCAATAGGAATCTACCAAGGATCCTACTACTACGTTCTGACCACAACTTTGAATGTGTTCCTGACTTTCTGAAGATCTCATTTTCTTCCATCATATATTCTTTGGTTCCACTGCTGAAACAAGCTGGGTTAGAGAGAGAGTTTGCTAACCACTGAGAATTTTCCTATATCCTTTTGCTCTTTATAAGCATGATTTACTGACCAGATCTTAAAATAATAGGGTCCTTTCTCCCTCACCCAGACCTTGGAGAATCATCTACCAAAGGGCAATGGTTCAACTCCAGAAGGATAACTGGAAAGCCTAAACTGTGCTATAGAAAAAGGAAGGGTAAACCACATCTGCCCCAGTTTTCAAGTTGTCCTGAGCTGAAATTCTTAGATTAATTACATTCTTAAGACTGTTTTTGCTCTTGCATTTGCTCTTGGGTTCCATGGGTGAGGTGGCTTTAGTTACAAGTGGAGTAGGTGATCTCCTGGGAAGAATGATGAGAGGCTCAAGAAGCCCTGTTCTCCATACTGTCTTTCTACCTCAATTGACTGATAAATGCCTCAATACTACTGGGTCATAGCTTGGTCAATTTAGGTCAGTGATTTTCAGACTTTACTGTATATCAGAATCACCTAGAGGGCTTGTTAAACTAGATTGCTGGATCTCACCCTCCAGAGTTTCTGGCGGTCTATAGGAGGGCCCAAGAACATGCATTTCTCACAAGTTTCCAGGTGATGCTAATACTACTGATACAGAGACCACACTTTGAGAACCATTGCTCTAGGCCTAGACGCCCATTCAAAAGCAAGCCTCTACATGGAATGGATGGCACTCAAGCTGGCATCAACCTCTTACACCCAAAAGTGGGGTTAGTACACCTATCAGATGAGAGAAACTCCCAATTAGGAGAAAATGAAAATAATGAATATATCCACAGAGCAGGTTTGGGGTACCCAGGATCTCTGATTTTGCTCATAGGAAAAGACTGAAATGAACTATCTCTGAGTCCCTTCACCCTTTGCACACTGATCAACTGAGAAGTAAAAGAAAAGGAAAAGAAAGGGAGGGTTCATGTACACTCATATTCAGATTTTTCCTCACTTTCCACAGAAAGATTTACAGAAAGAAACCCTGCCTGCTTTCCTAGGTATCTTATACATGCTCATCAGTGGGGAGACTGGTTGGGCTGGAAGTCAGCTGGCAAGTATGCTTTGCTCCTCCCCACCCTCCCCAGTCCTCTTTCTTTCCTCCATCACCCAAAGATTCACTTACTTCCTCCTCTGGTAACATTTCATCACCATGAACAAAGCACCTTCACCTTCTACCCCACCTTGGAAGTCTGCTAGGCTGCCCATCCTTCCACATGCTTTTTTTTTTTTTTCCATGGAAGCAGTCATCTTTAAACCATATAACTGAAACCTTCATTGTCAGAGGATTTTTTTTCTAAGTAAATAATATAAAATAGGAATACTGCACCAAGTTAAATATCAACATTATCCATCTTTGTAGCTGTCAAAGGTAAAAATATTGAATATATTACTTTGGTGAGCAGCAAGCACTGATAAACCATCAGGTATCTCATCTTCCAGGGAGTTATTTTTAGGCAGTTAAGTTGACATGAATGTGCATCTTAATTCCCTAAATTTTAAAAAGAAATTGAGGTAATAGTGTAAGCAAGTTGTGACTCCAAATGTGCTTTAACTGAAAACAGTATCTCTAGGGAATACTTTTAAACGACCCATTCTAATGTTCTTCTTACAATTAGGTTTATTTCCCAGGTTTATAAAATGCAATTGCATTCCCACAAAAGAAAAAGAATTCACCATCTTCCTTTCCTTATGACAAAGCCCCAGCAGCAAGTCATTATCACTTTTGACTAATCAGAGGGAAACCACCTGCAGGAATACTCTCCTTTCTGTGGGCTCCCAGCAGAAGCTTCCAAATGATGATTAATCACTGAGTAAACGGCAGAATTGACAACAGCATAATGACAAAGAGAAAGCAGAGAAGGGGCCTGAACCGTGGGTGCCTGTGGCCCAGCCCCAGTGGGTGGAAGGGCCAAAGAAGATGGATGGCCCTGTAAGCGCCGGACACTTGAGTATCTTGTCTTTCATAAGGGGGGGGGGGGTCACTTTTGCCAAATTCAACAAATAAGGCACCACGCATCAAATGGACATGCTTCCTATGTCTGTCAGAAGCAAGGAGAAATGTCTTAAAAGTTAAACTAATGAGTTTAAATTGGCATCCTAAACTCAGACGATCACAGAAATAAGAGATACTACAAATGACAGCCTAATCCATTATCGTGGAAGGCATTCAGAAGGTTTTACTGATTACAGCTTCAGATTACCCTAACTGTGTCCCTACTAATTTGAAAAATGATGAATCACTAAGTTCAAACAGGGCTCAGAAGAGTCAATTATACTAAGCAGTGATATCAAAAGCTCATATTTTCTACACTAAGGAATAAAACATGTTGTGCCTAATAACAAACAGAAATGAGGCATAATACCCACTCTCAGTTGACCCAGTCATTAGCAATAAGAATGTTTCTCTAATTTTTCAATATTTCTTTCCAGGATATATACTCCCTGCCCTAAGGAATCCTAGTAGCCAAAGTTTATTAACACAAAAAAAAGATTTGTAGCAAATGAAATATTGGTTTGCAGTCAGCTGAAGGTCCTTCAGATACCATGCGTTTCCAGGCCTTCATGCTTCAGCAAAAAGAGCAGTTACTGGTCAGAACCATTATCTCCCAGGCATCATGAGTACCATCATCTTCTTCACCATGATCATATTCATCACCACCTTCTCACCTTTGTCATTTTTTACCCCCTGTAAAACAAAGAGAACTTCCAGTTCACAGAGGTCAAAGAATTCCATGCATTTTTTCCCATTAATCCTAACTTAAACAGATTCGCCTGGCCAGTGCCCTTTCTCTAGACACTTTTTTTTTTTTTTGGAGACAGGGTCTCACTCTGTCACCCAGGCTGGAGTGCAGTGGCACTCTCATGGCTCACTACAGCCTCAACCTCCCGGGCTCAGGTGATCCTCCCACCTCAGCCTCCTGTGTAGCTGGGACTACAGGTGCACACCAACACGCCCGGCTAATTTTTGGATCTTTTGTAGAGACAGAGCTTTGCCATGTTGTGCAAGCTGGTCTTCAACTCCTGGGTTCAAGCAATCCACCTGCCTCGGACTCCCAAAGTGCTGAAATTACAGGCATGAGCCACTGCGCCTGGCCTCTAGACACTCTTTTGACATTTCTTCATTCTGCCTCGCCACATGGGCCACTCTTCATGTTAATTTATATCAACGGAAAGCATTTAATTGTGTGACTATGACATCATATATTGACATGTCCCAACACCATTAGGTACATTTTCTGTATATGATGTCTTTTTCTCAACCTTGCCTAGAACCATGTTGCACATTGTAGGTGTACAACAATTGCCTGTTAAATGGCTTTATTTTCTGTTTCTTTTTCTAGACTTAACCAACATGAGGTCCTATACTTGAGATCTTTGAACTCCTTCCCAAGGGGAGTTCTTGGGCATATGTAGTAGCATTAAGACCTGAAGGGAGCAATTGAAACAGTAGAGGAATCTGGGAACCCAGGATTATAAACAGATCTTGAAGTAGTCTCTTTTCTCAGCACTTATGGTATAGCCATACCATAACACACTGGGAAATTATTTTTCCCACCAACATTCAATTTCTAGCGTCCTCCAGTGATTTCAATGATCCAATGATTTCAGAAAGTTTAATCTCATATTCAAAACAAGTTTCACATTCAAATTCTCTGGCCAGGTTTTCAAGCCTCTACCCAAGATACTGCCATGCCTGCTTAGCCAACACCACCCCACACCAACACACACTGTTTATGTTATGTTCCCTCCTTCTGCCTTTCCCCTTCGACAGGCTGGCTCTCCCTCTTCACTTTCATTCATGCCTTCTCATCTTCCTTGTACCCCACCACCCTTCTTTGGAGCTCCCTCTCTTCTAAGATCTTACAATCTTTCGTCAGATACTTGGAGAGGCTGTAACCAACCACAGCCAGTGTCAGAGAGCATGAACTTTGGGACTATCAAGCCATCCCAAGATCTCCATTTAATCCCTACCTGACCTTGGATAAGTTGCTTAAACTCTCAAAGAACATTTCTACATCTGTGGAATTGGAGTGAGAATATGTACCTTAGGACATAATTGAAATAACGTGTAAGAAATGCCTGGCCCAGATACTGTACAATTAATTGTTATTAATATCACTGTCTGTCATGGTTATGAATATTTCAGGTGGCAAATGCATGGGTCTGGAGCAAGAAGTACCAGTTCTCTTTAACAGGCATTTCTTGTACAATCATTAGAACCATGTGGCCTATATAGTGGGCAATGTTTATAGAAACAAATCAAATACAGGCTTCTGCTGCCTTCCCTACCTCTGCCTGTCCCGAAATTTCATCTTCTTTTTTGGGGCTTCAATGTTCCAGTGGCCCTGCTTTGGACAGTTACCTGTAGCCCAGAAGCTGCTCCTCCCATGGTCCACTAGTTCCAGCAGCTGTCTCACCAGTGATGCACATACAAGCTTGGATACCCCTGTGAGGACACGTGTGCTTACACTGTATTGGCTTCCAGGTCAGGGATGCAAATGAACAGCAAGAGAATGTGCCGCCTAAAGCAAGAGACCGGTGGGCTGCTCCCATCTACTGGTAAACAATTTGGTTGCTTTTTAAAAATTCATTGCACAAACATTTTGACATTAGTAGTGAAAATCAATATCTTAAGGACTTATTTGTTTAAACTACCTATAATCCCACCACTGTAGCTCATTATGTTTTCATTTGTTTAGATGTTCCCAGTCCATATACAGATATACTATCACACCGTTGAATTACAATTACAGCAGTCGTACCATTTTGTGTTCTGGCTTTTTTCTTTTTATTTATTTATTTATTTATTTATTTATTTTTTGAGATGGAGTCTCGCTCTGTCACCCAGGCTGGAGTGCAGTGGTGTGATCTCTGCTCACTGCAACCTCTGCCTCCTGGGTTCAAGCGATTCTCCTGCCTCAGCCTCCTGAGTAGCTGGGATTAAAGTTGTGCACTGCCATGCCTGGCTAATAGCATATGCATCTCCATATTGCCACACTTTATTGTTTTAAAGCCTACCAAAAGCTTTCTGATAAGGAATAAAAGATGGGAATATCAAAATGTTGACCTTATTTCTTGAGGCATCCTCCCATGACCCCTCCATCATCATGAAGTCTTCTCATGGGGCTCTCCCTTCTCTTACTGTATTAAGAACCTTGGACAGGTGAAATGTATGAAATTCAAAACAATGCCCATGTGTAGTTCCAAAGCACTTGAGGTTTAGATCAAAATCACCTAGGAAGGGTGTTAAAAAGTATAGACTCTGGCTTCAGGCAGACTTGGATTTGAAATCCGATTCTGCCACTTACTAGCTTTGTGACTTTGGACAAGTTATTATCCTGTCTATGCTTCAGTTTCTATTCTGTAAAATGGGGTAATAGTATTCCTCTCCGAGAGCTGTTGTGGGGATTAAATGAAAGGACACATACAGAATGTTAAATAAAATTTTGTTGAACGTTTTGTTATTTTTCTCATTATTACTATTATTGCTTTGCGTAAGAGCAATCTTTTAGGCACTGTGGGGACTATGTTTTTGCTTCTTCTGCTAACTTTGAGCTGGATGAAAGAAAAGATTGTTTCATTCATTTCTGAATTCCCAGTACAAACCTTTGGGCCTAACGCATAATAGGGGTTCAGTAAATGTTTACTCAAAATTGATTGAAAAGTAAGCAGACACAGAGAGGGAGAAAACACACATGCACTTGATTCAAAGTTTAATTCAGTAAAATGAAAGCTTTGGTTTTCTTATGTTATCTTTTATTTTTAAAATTATTTTATCTTTCCTTTCTAAAAAAAAAATCCCTACTTCTTATATCTACCGGCAGCCACGTCAAATATTAGGCATTGCTCATTAATGAGCAGCAGAAACTAAATGAGTTTAGTTATCCTAATCTGGAGTTCCAGCTGCTCTTCTTTCCTCCTCCCACATATTTACACAACCCCAAAAGGAAATCTGAGGAAGCTCCTGTGCAAGACAGGTGTGAATTTGCCCAAGAAACTTAAGTATAAGGCATCCCCAATGAGCTCCTCTCTGATGGAGAGATTGGAGGTTTAAAAGCAACAAGAGGTGCAGACATCTCCCCAAAGGCAACTAAAGACAATAGGTTCTTCCAGCCACATAAATGTGAGTTTGGTGGGGAAAACATCATAGAAATTATGGAGTCATTAGATAAATAATTATTAAATAGAGTAAAATTAAATATAAAATGCTAGAAACTAAAAGAATAATGAGGTGGTTTTAATTGCATGGATTTGGGGAGGGAGTCTAAATTCTATATAGATTTTATATCCAGAGCTTCCTAGTTTGGGGATCTTTTTGGATTTTTGGGATTTTTTGCTAGCAATCATATTTTTTACAATGATCTTTGTTACAATTAATTGAAAACTACAAAAAATTAAATATATTAATAAATCAAGTTATTGAATAAAATAGCAAAATAAAACAGAAAAAGATACTTATTCCTGAAGACTTTTCTGAGATATGGGGGCCTTTGTCCCATATCCTTCTGGTTTTTTTCACTTTGGGATTTGACAATTTTATAAACAAACAAAATGCATCCTTTCTTTCTAAACCAAGTGAATTCGAATGTGTAAATGGTGCTTTTAACAAATATAACATCAATAACTATTTTATTTTTAATAATGTTTTCATTCTCTTTTCTACCTGTCTTCACAAAACAGATTTCTTTTCCCGCTATAATTTAAAATTTTAACTGAATTTCATATCTTAGGAGAAGAAGGTTCGGCACATGAAGTTTTGCACCACTTGTTAGGAATTTGGATTTGGTTCTCCACTCAATATTTGCTCAATAAAATTTGTTACATTACATTTGAGTGTTCAGTGAAAGAGGGAAAAATGTTCCTCTTGAGTCTCCACTGTGGTGTTTGGAGGGCCAAAGCTCTCTTGGCAAAGCAAAGTCCTAACTCCAGGCTGCCTGTGTGCAATCTAAGAGCAGACTGGGCCTTCTCCCACAGGGCCCACGCCTCCAGAATATTCTTCCCCTCCTGATCAGACACAGGCTGAAATCTGTGATGCTCTCTGCCCAGTCAGGCATTTTCCTGAGGCCTGTGGGTGGACAGGGATCAGAGATTAAAGTGGTGGCAAGTCTTTATTTATTATGACTGCAGAGTGGTCTATCCAAGCCATCCATTTATAGGGACGGGAGATGCTCTTGTAACAGCAGAGAAAATCATTAGCATTTGATTTCTCCTCTTGACTACCTGTCTGTTGTAGTTGTGCTCACGTTCACCCAATCAGGGCACAGAAATGGTTTCCTGGCCTAAGGGATGAAATGTGAGGTGGCTCACCTCCCAGGCCAGACTGGACGCATGGAGACAGCATGGTCCAGTGACCTAAGCAATGAGCTGGAAATTCCAGACTAATTATGCCCTTTCCATCATCAGGCTTGCTGTGTGATGCCAGGTGAAGCACCTACCATCTCTGAACCTCTGCCTTGGCTTGTTTGCTACAAGCTGAAAGTGGTTGCTACAAGATAACAGGCAACTAACAACCTTCTTGAACCTTGGCTTCCTCATCTATAAAACAGGACTGACTTTAACAAGTGTCTTTGTTGCCTCACAGGGTCACTGTGAGGCTAAAATGCACATAAAAACTCCGGTAATTTGTAGAGTACTGAACAAATTGGTTCTTCCTCATGCCATTATTAGTACTGGAGTAAAGCTGGGACTCAACTCTAGGTCTGCTGACCTCCATTTCCAGGACCCAAGAAAAGCCAAATGGGCTAAAATGCTAAATCCCCCTTGCTTTTCATGAACAGCCAACAAATCTTGGACCCAATGGACTGTGGTTTCATGATACAAACATTCCTGCAAGGGTTCAAGCATGTCCTAGTGTTGGCTAAATCCAGAAAAATCACTAAGCCAGCACGCTTTGGGGCATTTTGTCAGGTTCTTAGGAAACCAAGAAAATGTGGTGCAATATTTTTATTTACAGCGAATGTAGAAGTTAGCCACACTTCTCTTTAAGTTCTTAAATGTATAGGAAGGTTCCATTTGAGGATTAGACACAGAATGGCAAGCTGGCTTCCCTCCACCCTGAATCCCACTTGACCCTCCTCATTATATCCCTAGTTAATTCTTCAGTAATTGGGGAGCTGTGGTCTTTGCAAATGTCACAGTTTCACCACAGTGTATTTACTTCTGGGTGGATTAGCATGAATGTGTCGATTGTATTGGTTTGCCAATTTTGTGGGAGTGATTTGAAAGCCTGCAGAATAAACTGTTATTTAACTCGGGGAAATGGGAAGAAAAAAATGGCAGTATTTTATGTGTTGCTCCCTTTGATTCATATTTGCATGAAATCCTCATAACCCAAGGCAGCTGGAATCCCAAGTATAATGACAACATTGGTGGGAAGAAGTTTAGACCTGGATGGAAGGTGAGGCTTGTGTAGGAGGCAATTTTTCCACACAGATGTAAAGCATAAGAAATATTTATTAGTAGAAATTATATACGAAGATTAGGGTGAAAATAGGCTTGTTTTTTAAGAAATTGTTCACAGTGTAAGCCAAAGTATTCAGCTAACTTGGTTTCCATGTAAAGACGTTTCCTATTGTATCCCCTTGCGAATATTCATGATTGTGTAGAACATTTGCTTGTCATTCATTTTCCGAAAGAACCTCTTGTTTGTGGGAATAATGCAATTATATTGTTTATACAAATCAGCTAACTCCAAACTGACAAAATAAATTGCTTTTTTTTTCCCCCGAAATCATCAGAATCAGGGGTGGGACAATGAATGAGGCCAATATGAAGAGTGCTGAGTTTTCTCACACAGGCACTGCTGATGATGAATGAACATCCTAGTCACTTACATCATTGGATTAACAAGCCTAGGGAGTTGCTACTTTCTCCTCCTTGGCTCTCGTATCTCTTTTCCACCTTGTTCTTCTGCCCTCTTTTGTCTTCTGAACATATCACTAATGATCTCCATTATGATCATGAGGGTATTTTACGTGAAAGACTCCTACAATGTGCACTGCAGAGACAAAAAACACCAAAATGGCGGCCACTGTTACCATACTGTGCATCAGAGGAATTTTGGCCACAGTCTATTGGTGAAGGCTGGATTCCAATCAATCACCCTAGAGAGCAAGATATCACTGCTGGCTAAGGCAAGGAGTTCACAGGTCTCAATTAAGCAGAATCTAAATAAAAAGAATGTCCAATTATTGTTGTTTGCCTCCTTTTTTTTAAGCAAGAAAATGGAAAACTACCATAAAAGTGTGCCAGAGTAAAAGAAGTACTAGGTTAGGAAACTAGAAATGTGGTTTGTAGTCCTCAAGACTGCTTCTAGGAAGTTCAGAGAGAGGGCAAGCACATCACTTATCTCTCGGGTCCTCAGTTTTCCAACATGAAAATGGACAAGTTTGGCTAGAATCATAAACTTTTTCAGCTTCTAACATCTATGTTCTATTTTCACAATGTCTTCTTTTTATTAACTATTTTTCTTATTACATAAACAATATATCTTCATTAGTTATAACAAATAAGTAATAAAGAACAAAATTAAAATCACTTGCTGATTTACTACTCTGAGACAACTGGGCTTACAAATAAATATATATTTATTTGTAAATATATCAAAATGAGGCTATGCCAAATATCCTGCAATAAATTAAACATTGATTTATTTTTTTTCCAAAAGGTAACACTAAATGTTTTGCTTATTGCCAGAGCACGCGGGGCCCATTCTCTTTCATTCTCTTCAGATATTGCTACAGGCCCGGATAAGAATTAATAATGGGATGCTGCTGTCCCTGGCCATCAAAAAGAAAGGATAGAACCTCAAAGGAGCACTCAAAGGAGCCATAAAGATCCCTTGAAACTGCCTTCTAAACATTTTACAGATGAGAAACTTAAAGCCAAGAGTCAAGTGACAAGTCAAACATCGTCACTGGATGTCAACGCTGGAACAAGGATCTCCCACCTCCAGTTTTAAAACTGTTTTGCACTCTTTCATTGTTCCTACAGATTTTTTTACCTTAAACAAGCAGTGTTGACTTTTTTTTCCTTCTGATTGAGCTTTGGTTAACAGGAAAACTTGATTTAACCAACTTTCCTGGTTAATGGAGGTCTCACCTTACCACACTCCAACCTCACACCCTGTCACTAGCAGGCTCCAGGAAGAGTCGCCTTGAATGACAGGGATGAGTCATGGACCATAAATGGTACTTAGCAGGAAAGGTACCGAAAAAGTACGGAAAAGTACTGTTACCCCTCACTATGATATTATCCAAGCAATATAACCTTTTTTTTTTTTTTTTTTTTTGAGGAGTCTCGCTCTGTCGCCCAGGCTGGAGTGCAGTGGCATGATCTCTGCTCACTGCAAAGTCCACCTCCAGGTTCAAGCTATTTTCCTGCCTCAGCCTCCCTAGTAGCTGGGATTACAGGTGCCCACCACCATGGTCTTGGAACTCCTGGTCTCAAGTGATCCACCTGCCTCAGCCTCCCAAAGTGCTGGCATTACAGGTGTGAGTCACCACACCTGGCCTCAAGTGATAGAATCTTAATTTTCCTTTAATTCATTAAGTTTCTTTACATATTGCGCCAAATGAAGGGACATAGCTTGCAATAGATACTCCCAATAGATACTCCCTAAAGGTATGTGTAGATAGATTTTCCTTTGCATACCTTTAAAAAAGCAATGCCAGGAAACAATGTCAGATACTTAATAAATATTCGTTGACTGATTGAGCTTGCTCCAATCAAAGGCACTGCTTTTCTTGGTGTTCTTGTTTACCATGAGATGGGGAAACAGCACCAGCCCACGCCTATCTCACGGAGAGGCCAAGAGAGTGAAAGAAACAAGGGAGATCAGATCCTTAGAAGAAAAGCACTAGGTGTATTCAGAGCTCACTAATATTAATCATCAAGCCAGAGCACCTGGTCCCTAAGTAAGGCTACTTCTTGGCCATTGAGAACTATCAGGCTTATTCTCAGTCTAAAAATGGCCTCATTCCCTAGATCACTCCATCTAACGTTTACAATTCCTCACCACAATTCCCCACCCAGTTTGCTTTCCTGAGGTCATATCTGGTCCTGGTCAAGGTTACTTCAAGGGCATCTAGCCTAGTTGTCTTTTGTTTTCTTTTTTTTGTTTTCCTCACCTCAGCTCATCTGAAGGATACACACATTCTCAAAGACAAGGTGGAGCATGCTTTCTTGTCTTGAATACAACCTTCTGGATGGTTCTGATAAACCCACCTCACCCCTAGTGAGTCTCCCTGATTGCAGTTCAGCAGAAGAAACTGTGAGTCAGAGACTGGAGATGGTGTGTCCAGGGTTTCATCACTAGCAGGAGGAAGAGAAGCAAAAATCTCTTTCACATTTTAACTTTTCATAATCCGTTTTTTTCACTAGGCTCTGATGTGGTCAATCCTGACATTGTTTCATTTTATTTAAGGGTATATCTTAGCATCTCCCTATAGAATCAAGCAGATCACTTTGCAAATTGTTGATGCATAGTAAATACATGAATGAATAAATGAATCCCAAGCTTGTTTTTCTCTTGCTGCTCTTTACTCAGTTTTTACCACTTATCTGGACCCAAGTCTATTTCAGTGGTACTCAAACTAGAGCATGCATCAGATTTACCTGGAAGGTTTGTGAAACAGATTGCTGGGCCCAACTCTCAAAGTTTCTTATTTACTAGGTCTGGGGTGTGGCCAATAATCTGCATTTCTAACAAGTTCCCAGGAGACACACTGATGCTGCAGGTCCAGAACTGCATTTTGAGAACCAATGGTCTATCTTATCCAAAGATTTCATGGGATCTCAGCTTTTTTAAAAGGTTCATTTTCAGTCAATTAAAGATTCTATGTTCACTCACCACTTTTCTCAGGCCTATTCTCAATCAGTGGTCTGATTTGCTTACCAATTTTCTTCTTTTTTTTCTTTTTTTTTGCTTACCAATTTTCTTAAGCAACACTATCCATGGTAATCCGCAACACTCATATTTATCTTTATTTACATCTATCTATATATTAATCTTTCTATTAAGGATTGTCTTATCTAGAATATTTTTCCTTATTTATACTATTATTCTCTTGCTATACATACAAACAAGGCTTATTAGCATAGGCCCATGTCTTAGTTCCCCCTAAAAGAAATTAGCACCCGCACTGTGTTTCGTTGACCGTAGACTACTGTTCAATAATATTTGTTACAGAGAATTATAAAAATTTAGAATTGCAATAGACCACAAATACAAGTATAATCACCAACACATTTTATCAGGGGAGAAACTGACACACATAAAGCTGTGACTTTTCCAAGATTTCACAGGTCAATGGTAGCACAACCAAGATTAGAACCCAGCTCCCCTCCTTTCATATTTTTTAAGCCTACCATAATGCCTCTTGGGCATCATGAAGCTATAATTGTGTGTGGTGCTATTGCAATGGATAATTTATTATTTTTTTATATATAATAAAAAAATACAACAATAGTAACAACAATTCCTATAGTAAACAACAATTCCTCTGATGATTAATTATACAAAGATCTAGCTTTTAAAAAGAAAATGCATTTGCAATAGGAGTTCCCTATTATCATAAAGATCTCAATGTTCTCAGGCACAGGGCTAAGAACTTTATATGAATATTCTCACTTACTTCTTGAGTGAACCCTGGAGGTGGATATTGTCCCCAATTTTCAGATGTAAAAATTGAGACACAGGAAGTTGTTTGCTCACACTACTAGGATTAGAACTTCTGACTATCATTTCTTTTCTGAATTCCCAACAGACAGTGAGCTTCATGAGGGCAAGGATTGCACACACCTTAATTACTATCTCCCACCCAGTGCATAGCTCATGGAAGGAGCTCAATAAATATATGCTGAGTGAATGAATGAATGAAAATCCCTTTCAATATTCTTGGTCTTACCAACTGTTTCTACACTCCTTATTCTACCATGGAGTATCCTTTAATAATAAAAACTGACAATTGTCCTGGCATCATGAGGAAACATGTTTTCTTATGCAGCAAAATCTATAGTTTATTGTTTTTGCCTTGACATTTGTATGCCACCAAATGTTTCCAACTCTTTTAGCATGATTAGGCCCCTATAGAAGGCTTTGCTTGCAAAGTGCTTTTTAGTTATTCACAATGAATTGTTCCAGTGGTAAATGTGACTCATCATCTCATCATTCCCATTCAACAGAGGGGAAACACACAACTAAGTCACGTCCGAGGTCAAAGTCAAGCGAATGGAGGAGTCAGGCATGAAACTGGTGACCCTAGCCCCAAATCTAGTTAGTTATGCCTCCGGCTCCTGGTCTCTTCCAAGATTTCTACACAGTTCCAAGCTCTCCTGCATTTGCCAGATGTTTATCACATCTTTCAAGTGGAAGCAAGTTCTTTCAATTAAGCTCATCAGGGGAAACCCACTCTACTTCTCTGAAAGAGGAACGGCTGAACCAGTTCGCCTAAAATAAGAACTGACGTGAGTCTTTGTCTGAATTCTGAAGCTGTTCTGACAGCGTTTTCTAGTTGGCTAAGGTCCCACCAGTAATGAACTGGAATATAAAAACAAAGGCTGTTCTCATGTTGTTTCCCAACCAAAGAGGGCTGTCCAAGCACTGGGTGAGTACTGAAATATCGGGATGTTTATCTGAGTCTTGAGCCTGACTTTTCCCTACCTAAATACTCCATCAAGTTCCCACCAGTATGCACACAAAAAGACTATGTTTCCGTGTTTCTACAAGAGTCCCAGAAAACAAGCCAATTTCTACAGTCATTTAACAATTCTCCCCTGATATCTCTGGATTTTTTTTCTCTCTTGGGGAAATAAATGAGCAGCTGAAAATAAAATAGAATTTTTAAGTTGCACTTAGGATATAATTGAAGTGCTATGACTTGTCTTTACTCCCAATTTTATAATCCAATTTTCAAGTCTATACTAGCAATTTAATGGTGCCACATTTGTATAGTTTCTTTGAAATTTTCATAATCTCATTAATTAAAGAATTGAAGAACATAAAAGGTAAGAGTGAAAAGGCCAAGAAAGAACAAAAGCATAGTGCAAGACTTGAATACTAATTAGATTTACCATCAAGGTATTCTTTCTGGAGTGAAAAATCACTCCAAAACAGCTACTGTGGATCTAATCTGAGAAGCAACTAATAAAGGTCATTGCAACAGTCTTTCCAGGTTTTCCAGAATTTGAGACAGCAAACCTCAAACCCCAAAGTATTTCTCTGGAGAGGTTTTCAGGTTAAACTGGGAACCACAGATAATTAAAGCAAGCTAACTGGTAGACAGTAGCTGCTCTGGCAAATTTACTGCAAGGGCATTCCTTGGCATGCTTGATGTGTTGGCTTCCACAACAGAGAGGCTGGAGGAAGAATCTCTGCTCCCACCTCAGTGTCTTATCTGCACTTTCTCCCCCAGCCCCTACTTAAAAAACAGAGAAGAACCTCACAGTCCTAGCCCTGATTGCTTCAAATTGGTTTAGGAGCTACCATCAAATTGAACATATAGTGGGGTAGGAAGAGGATTTGGGCTAATATTTTATATTTTATGCTTCCCTAGTTTAGCTGGATGTTTTTTTCTTTATTGCTTAAATCAGGGACAGAGCTTAAGCTAGGACAGTGCTTGAAAACACAGATATTTACAGGAGAAAAGCATATAACATCAACACATATAGCAGGCTGGGTGTGAGAAGCACACATCCCACTCAGTCTAGCTTTATTTTCCCACTTTTAATGAAGACTTGAATGTAAGAAATAGATTGTTTTTACCTTAACTCTACTACACAAAAATAACATTCCAAATTCAGTGGTAAATGGCAAATGACACTAGGCGTTAATGTGGGCAGTAGGGAGTGGCAGGGACTGTGGAAAATAGAGCAATAAGCCCATCTAAAGGTGGTAGCCACTGCACACCTGCAGCAGATTGCTGGCATGCTGGAATTCAGGACCCAGGGTCCTGTCTGATGTTTCAAGAGAAGCCAGAAATTTGGGTATGTCCATGTTGGCAATTTATTTTGGTTTTGTTGTTGTTGTTTGCTGTTTTAAACAGCATGGTTCCAATGAACACTGTGTGGACCAAAAAACAAACAAAAAAACCGAAACATAAAACCTGTGTGCAACCTCTGCTTTCAGGTCCCGAGAGGGTAATTAGTTTGGTTTCTTGGCTTTTATTTCCCATCTCTCTCCTACCCCCCAACCCCCAGCCCTCAGCCTTCACCTGTCACTCTCTGCTCACAGCCCTTCATTTTGGCTAAATCTAAATTCAGCACACAACTTTAGGTTCAGTAAAGCTAGGATTTGTTGATTTGTTTTCTCTTTTATTTTTTATTTATTTATTTATTTTGAGACGGAGTCTTGCTCTCTTGCCTAGGTTGGAGTGCAATGGCATGATCTCGGCTTACTGCAACCTCCACCTCCCGGGTTCAAGTGATTCTCCTGCCTTAGCCTCCCGAGTAGCTGGGATTACAGGCGCCCGCCATCAAGCTCAGCTAATTTTTTTTTTTTTTTTTTTTTTTTTTTTCTGAGACGGAGTTTCGCTCTGTCGCCCAGGCTGGAGTGCAGTGGCGCGATCTCGTCTCACTGCAAGCTCCGCCTCCCGGGTTCACGTCTTTCTCCTGCCTCAGCTTCCGGAGTAGCTGGGACTACAGGCGCCCGCCACCACGCCCGGCTAATTTTTCTTTATTTTTAGTAGAGACGGGGTTTCACCATGTTAGCCAGGATGGTCTCGATCTCCTGACCTCATGATCCGCCTGCCTCGGCCTCCCAAAGTTCTGGGATTACAGGCGTGAGCCACCGCGCCCAACCTATAATTTGTTTTCTTAGAGTACACTTCTATTTTTAAAAAAAGTATGTCCTGGTGGGGAGTCTAGCCCACATTGAGTTGAATCCCAGACATACAAAGATAAGTCAACCAAACAATGAAAGAATATTTCATAGCAATAATATTGAAATTTAAACTCCCAGGATCATTCAACATTAGGCATAGAAATTTCCTTCAACATAAAGCCTGCTTCAGTCCACTCCTTTTATATCCGAAGGAATTGAAGCCTAAAGAGATTCAGTGTTTGGGGGTGACTAGAAAAATAGCTAGCTAATCAGGAAAGCGGATCTAAGATCCAAGTCTCCAGTTTTCATTATTAATGTGGTTTTCATTATCTGCTGTTCTGATGATACTATCATTTGATTGGAGACTATATTCACCAAGCTAAAAAGAGTAAAAAGAAGACTATCCTTTGTCAGTCATGCTCATACATTTTGGAATCTATTCTTGGATGGCATATCACAATAGCTACTTAGCTCCAGAGACAACAAACTACCACGTTATTATTATTATTATTATTATTATTATTATTATTATTATATTGTATTCATGTTCACTAAGCATTGAATCCGGGCTTCCTATGTAACCACATTGCTCCTTGCTCTGTGATTGGCAGGGTCTACTGTGCTACACAGAGGAGTGGTACACAAATCAGCATAAGCACATCATGACTCACCGCTGAATACATTTTTTCCTCTGAAATTACTCAATCAGAAGATGATAGTATCTCACCCAAAAATACACAATTAAATCATTGTGAATGGAAAGACAGACTGTAAGCAGAAGGCTGGAGTGATCTCTTGTAGCCACCATTTCTAGCTCTCAAAATCTGGGGTAGATTTGGTCCCAAGTGTCTGAGCCTATGACAAAGGGGTTCTACCCCCCAAATTCTATAGAGTGAGACCATGGTGGTGTAGAAAGAGCAGTGGGCCCTGAGCCAGGAAAGAGCAGTGGCAATGAATATGTCTACTCCGGCATTCAGTTTTCTCCTCTGTGAAGGGATTAAACGAGGTGACTCTGAGAGTCTCCTTCAAGTTTCAGCATCCTCTGCTTCTCCTACCACAGCTAGTGGTAACTGACTTGAGGTTTTCTGATGAAAACACACATACCACCACACACATAATGACATCTTTAGGGAATGACACATCGTATAGGGTTCATTGCTTAAGTGGCCAAGAATATATTCTGGGTTGGGCACAGTGGCTCATGCCTGTAATCCCAGCACTTTGGGAGGCCACGGTGAGCAAATCACTTGAGTCCATGAGTTTGAGACCAGCCCAGGCAATGTGGGAAAACTCTGTCTCTACTAAAAATACAAAAAATTAGCCAGGCATGGTGATGCATGCCTGTAATCCCAGCTACCTGAGAGGCTGAGGTGGCAGAATCACCTGATCCCAGGAGATCGAGGCTGCAGTGAGCCATGATCGTACACTGCACTCCAACCTAGGCAACAGAGTGAGGCCCTGTCTCAAAAAAACAAAAAAAAAAAAAAACAAAAAAAGAAAAGATATAAAATTAATGTATTTTGTCCTGATGTAAAATAATTATCTTTATGTTGTTGTAGCTGCTGCTGTTGTATGCTTAGATATACTTTGATATTGTCTTTATATTTCCAGATATTTGTTTACAAAGTTTTTGGAGTATCTGCCTTTATATTTTGAAAACTTTTGAAAAACACACCCACAAATCTCAGATTTTCTCTTTAACCTTAATCTTTTAGGAGACAGAGAAGCAAAAGAGAAGGAAACACGTGCAATTTCTTGGCTTTTGTCTCAACAGGAAAACCTTTTTCTTTTCTTTTTTTTTAACATCTTAGACTTTTTTTCAAAACAAACATCACAAGGAAGGGAGGAAATCATAGCCAGAGACACTAAAAGGCCAAAACACTGCATTTCCACATCTTGTGATGCTTCTTTAACAATGAGTTGAAGATTGATGCCTTTAGGGATAATGAAGCATGGAACTACCTTTCAGACATACAGTTCCTTTTCAGTTCCTTCTCTGCATGGGCCAGGATATTGGAAAAAAATCAGCAGATTTCCACGTGTTAATGTTCAACCAGGTACAGTGATGGGTATAAAGCACAGAGGGCAAGACAGATCTGTTTGACATGTTCACCACTCCAGCCTATTGAAGAAGGCATGTACTTGCCTTGTATGTTGCCTTGTCTAATTAGCTGCTGAGCTGTTCCCTGGCTCCCTGCTCCTGACTGAGACTTAGCGGGAAAACTGTCACAAGGCATGATGAAGTGGCGCTTGATTGTGCTACAAGATGTCCTGTGGATGCAGTCCAGACTGTTTCGACTAATCATCAACTTTGCAGATTCCAACACCAGGGCTTGTCTGCCAGGGCAAGGGCTTTGCAAAAGTCAGAGTAAATGATCTGTAGCTGCAGAAAGAATATAAGGAATTGCTTTGTTTATATATTTTTTAAAGGACTGACTTCAATAGGCAGCTCCATGAGGGTGCCTCAGGAAAGGGGACCATTTCAAGTCACGTCTCCTCACAGCACCATCCTAGGAACGAGAAGCACCAGCATTTACTATCATTTACACACACACAGATATGTCGCCATGTTAAGTACTAGGTAAATTTTTAGCCATAGCTATATAACTATTCAGTTAACTCCTCCCTTCCATCCCAGCATTATCACTTACTCTGTACCTTTGGACAAGTTACTGTCTTCTCTGAGTCTCGGCGCCCTCATTTGTAAATTATTTTATATGGTTTTTGTGAGTGACTTTTATTTTATTTATTTATTTATTTACTTTTAAATAGAGAAAGGGTTTCACCATGTTGCCCAGGCTGGTCTCGAACTCCTGAACTCAAACAATCCACCTGTCTCGGCCTCCCAAAGCACTGGGATTACAGGTGTGAGCCACCACGTCTGCCTGTGAGTGACTTTTAAAGGGCTTAGAACATAGTAAGTGCTTATTCATGTTACCTGCAGGTATCATTACTATTATGGTGTTTGAGTCCATCATTCTAAAAGTGAATGTGATTTAAAAAAAAAAAAAGCCACCAGTTGATAAGCATCATCTGCACAGTGTAGATTCAAAAGCTAACTACAGGTTACAAACGATAGTTGAGAGTGTATCTTGAATGATCTTCAGAGGGTTGTAATAACAAGGAAGGCTTCTGATGCAGATTTGCAAGGTGAAACAAGAAGAGCAGGCTGTTCCCCCTGTTAGTTAGCACTACCATAACTTGTTGGTGACAAAGGCCATTCCAAGCAGTATTTTTAAAAACAAACACATATGTCCACCACTGGTAAAAATAGACCTGAGTCTATCCATTCTTTAAATTTTGGCTGCCTGTCACTAGCATAAGATTAGTACTAATCATAGAAGAATTACCCCAAGTCAAAACACAGCATTTAGTTCGGAAAACAGAAATAGAGAATGTAAGATCCGGACAGAAACAAAAGCAAATCTAGTCTGCTCTACCCTGGCTCCCATTTTCAAGTGGAGAACCTGAAGCCCAGAAGGGGGACCTGCTCCTTTGTGTCAGAACTGAATCCAGAGCGAAATCTCCCACCTGCACTGCCTCCCAATCAGGGGCTCACATCCTCTCTAACCACGGGATGAGTTTCATCTTTGCAGTGGGTCAGAAGTGATTGACCCAAGTCAACCAGTTAACTGGCTAGGGCTCAAATTGAGATTTTCCTCCAATTTACCTAGCGAGGACTTCCTAAAATAAAGGATGAGGATGATAAAAAAGAGCAAACCTTATTTCATAGAATGATTTAATGGCTAAAAATAGACATGATCAGTTTTCAAAAAGGAGAGCTATATATATGTACTTGAATGATTTAATGGTTAAAAATAGACATGACCAGTTTTCAAAAAGGAGAGCCATATATATATACTTGAAAAGATATCCAAAACATATTTTTAAGTGAAAAGAAGTACAGAAGAGTCTATAGAATATCCATAAAATGGCCAGGCATGGTGGTTCACACCTGTAATCCCAGCACTTTGGGAGGCCGAGGCTGGTGGATCATTTGAGGTCAGGAGTTTGAGACCAGCCTGGCCAACATGATGAAACCCCATCTCTACTAAAAATACAAAAATCAGCTGGCTGTGGTTGGACACACCTGTAGTCTCAGCTACTTGGGAGGCTGAGGCAGGAGAATCACTTGAACCCAGGAGGCGGAGGTTGAAGTGAGCCCAGAGCACTCCAGCCTGGGCGACAGAGCATTACTCTGTCTCAAAAAAAAAATCCATAGACAGGCGTGTGTGCGTGTGTGTGTGTGTGTGTGAGAGAGAGAGAGAGACAGGAGAGAGTCTGAGTGTTTGTACACGTACATAAGTACATGAAAAAAAAATTGAAGATTTGCACCAAATTGTTAGCAACCCTCTTAGGAAGGAAATGGGATTAAGGAAACAAGAATAAGTAGAAGGCAAAAAGACACTTTCTTTTTTTTCTACCTACTTCAGTTGGTTTGAATTTTTTACAGAAAGAACTTTTTTTTACAGTAAATGTTACTTGTGCAATTATAAGCTTATTTCATATATTTCAATATATTATCCATGATCTATTATCACCCAAAGCATCCCCAAAACTTTTGCAAAACTTATCATAACAAAGGGAAATATTTGGCATATGAAGCTAATTTGCTTCTGTTCTCAAACTAAGACATAGTGAAGCTGCATCTCTACTATGGCCCGATAATAATAATACGTAAATCTTGACTTGGTTATTAGTAGTGTCAGTAATACAAATACAATCTTAGAATATTAATTAAGCTTCTAAAGCATTTTAAGAATAGCATGTAACAATCTAAATACATCAGTATTCTAAGGTTTTTATTGAAGTTTGCATATAAATATGCACAAAAGTTTCCCATCTTTGCAGATAAGTTATATTTTAAAAATTAATCATAGAGCCATGCTTTTATTTAGGAAATTCTATGTGAAATATTTTTAATTCATGGTGACTTTATTCTCCAAACCTCCTGGTGATTTTATGCTGGTAATTCAGCAGCAAAATAAAAATCAAGCTATATTAATCCCAACTAGCAAAATTACCTTCTAATTATACTTTTGCTTTAGGAAGTGGTAAATTATTTCACATTAGGACATTTTTATTGGATAGTCCTTGTATCTGAATGTCAATTGAAATTTTAAACTTCTTGAATTTTAGTTCAGTTTTTCCTGTGAAGCAGAAATAAAAAGTCCCAGCTGTAGTGTTGCTTATGTAGGGAAATCATCAGAGAACACAACTGAACCTCAGCTTGCACTAATAATGACTAGATAGCCGTCATTTTTAAAAACAATGTCACAAAAGCTATTTCGATGCTGTCATGCTTAAGAATAATTAGTTTCCATCAAAGCAACAGATTATCTGTTCATGTTGTCCACTGGGTCATTACAATGAACAACCAATACAGATAAATGATATCTAATCTTTTCTGCTCTTCTATTGGGCTGATTGATGGTTATAACAACTCCAATATTATAAGGTAGAAAAATTATGCTGACATTTAGAAGCAAAAGCACAGCAAGATAAAACTAAGTACAAAGCATGCCCAACACTATTGGTGGTGGTGGGGGGAGAAATATCTAAAGACAAATAGAACTGAAAACAGAATGGCAATTAGGCCAAAGGAGAGTTATGGGAGGCAACGACTATACCTTGTGGGTGGCAGGCAGCTCAATTAATTATATAACAAGGGGGACCCGGGAATTTCTGTAAGACACATTATTAAAAGGAATATTGACTTAAGCATTTTTTAAATTTTATGCCCTAAAAGAAGACAAAAGGGTTTCCCTAGTATTGATCTGCTCCTGAATCAGGTTGACTTTAAAGGATCACATAATGAGAAACGGTTGAGCTGCAAATGAGACTAAGAAGAAACTGCAACTACTTACAACTCACATTTATCAGGTTCAATAGAGTCTATCCTTTTCATGTTGCTTTGTGTTCATGCTGTATTTGTGAGCCAGAATTGGAAAACAACCATTAAGCTTGCCGTAAATATGAAACAGCAGTTTGGGACTGTACCTTTGGTTCAGTCTATTAGCATTGATCATTTGTAGAAAAAAATACGTAATGAGGATAGCTTAGACTGAGAGTCAAGACAAAAGCTGCCTTCAGTTTATTTATCAGATATTTGAAAAATATGTACTAGTATAGTTGTTTTTGCCTCCGAGAGTGTCGATTCCAGCTAAAGATTTTCATTTTAAGCAGAAAGAGGGGAACTTTTTAGCTCAGTGCGTGCTAATGGGGATAGGCCCCTACTTAGAAAAGTCTGCTCACTGTCATTTATCCTACCTATGTCAATGTGGCTCACATTTTTTTTACAGCAAATGTTTTTTAGATTTTCTCTGAGAATCACCAGTTTTCCAGGAATACATTCTATACTCTTTCCATTAAAAAAACTATGCTCCTTCTAAATGCAATGAGGCATCCTAGGTTGAATCTTGGAACAGAAAAAGGACATTTTTTGAAAAACTGAGGAAATCCCAATAAAGACTACAGTTTAGCTAATAGTATTGTATCAATCAATGCTAAGATCTTAGTTTTGATAAATGGGCCAGTTATTATGCAAGGTGCCAACATTAGAGGAAACTGGAAGAAAGGTATGCGGGAACATTCTGTACCATCTTTGCAACTCTTCTGCAAATCTAAAATTATTCAAAATAATAAGTTTTTAAAAATATGCTCCCTGGGGTACCAATTCCCCTAACCCCATCACACTTAAGAATTAATGGTAAACTGGCAAATGAGCGGATGCTTGTTAGACTTACACACAATGCCATCATTGTGGTCCACTGGCAAGACTTCAATACCAGGAGAGAAGAGTTGTAAAAAAAAAATTCTAAAGTTGTTAAAAAAAAAATCTAGGTTTTTCTTCCTTAACACAGAGAACAAGAATGAGAGCAAAAGAGAGAGGGGGAGAGAAAAAAATGAGAGGTGTGCTTTTTTCTTTAAGCCAGTGGTTCTTAACTGGGGGCAATTTTACACATCCACCCCCCGCCCCAGGGAACATTTGGCAATGTCTGGAGACTTTCAGATGTCACAACTGGAAGGTGCTACTAGCATCCAATAGGTAGAGACCAGGGAGGAGGCTACGTATCCCACAATGCCAACAAAGCCCCCTATGACAAAGAACTATCCAGCCCAAAATGTCAATAGTGCCTACATTTAATGATCAAAACAAAACAAAACAGTAACAACAAAAAAACTTGCTTAAAGCAATTAAAATTCAAAAGCAAAATAGACTGGGTGCAGTGGCTTGTGCCTGTAATCCCAACACTTTGGGAGGCCGAGGCGGGTGGATCACTTGAGGTCAGGAGTTGAGACCAGCCTGGCCAACATACATGGTAAACCCCGTCTCTACCAAAAAATACAAAAGTTAGCCAGACGTGGTGGTGTGCCCCCGTAGCAGCCTGATTCTCCCAGCTTACCTACTTGGGAGACTGAGTTGGGAGAATTGCTTGAACCCAGGAGGTGAAGGTGAGCTGAGATCTCACCACTGCGCTCCAGAGTAAGACTCTGTCTCAAAAAAAAAAAGCAAAATAGATGAGAGAAGATATCAGACTAAAGAAAAGCTGTCCCAAGTCTTCCCTTTAAAAAAAATTCAGTAAGGATGGGAGAGATTCTACTAAGGAATGAATAACCCGAGCACAACTCACTGACAGCAAATATTCCCGGCATCCCTACCCCTCTTCTTTCAGCTTATCCAAATTGGCTCTCCTTATTGTGCAGCTTAGTTCAAGTCAGACCTTAGGAATCCTTTATAACCTCACTGCCTTAAAATTCATTGATAATTTCTCCCATGGTTTTCCCATTTCCCAAATTCACAGAACTTACTCTGAGGATTATTTTTGATAATGCTTATAACTCATTTTATCCTTTACCTGGTCCTTGATAAATATTTTTTAAATGTAACATATGTACTAACATATGTACTAACTACCACATTGCACTGAATCAGTTTAAGATGTAACATTATTTTATATACCACTAAAAATGAAAAGATGCTGCCAATTAGGCTGCCAAATAGTAAATCATTATCACTTATTAGATGCATCCCAATAATACAGACATAAAATGTGAAAAATACTACCTTAGAAGCAATAATATATAATTTTATTACTCCTTTAGCATTTACTATGTATTTTCACAATCATTGCATGGAAATAGATCTTATCTCTTTAAGCAGTTGAAAATCCCATTAAAAGCCTATACATCTTATATTTCTCTGCTCATCCCCAGCACCAAGATCAGCACTAGAGCCTTAGAATCAGTGGTGGAAAAGTAGTAATGATAATAGCACTTTACATGCCATGTAGCATGGTAGCATTATTATTACCCCTTTTAGTAAATGAGGAAAGCAAAGTGATAGAATGTGCCCAAGGTCACCAAGCAGGTGGGTGTGCGGCAGAACCTCAGTTCACGTAGCCAGTTCTTTTCATTGCAGAGGCCAGGTTCCCAATGTCTATGCTGCTCTGCCCTCAGAAATGTGGGCAAAAAAGCTACAACGGGCAGGTTTAGGATAGGAGACACTGACCATATGGTGCTTTTTGGACATACCCATGTGAGTTTTCATTTTACAGCAAGGTTTTATATTAGTCTGTTCTCACATTGCTATAAAGAAGTACCTAGGCTGGGCGTGGTGGCTCACGCCTGTAATCCCAGAACTTTGAGAGGCCGAGGCTGGTGAATCACCTGAGGTCAGGAGTTTGAGACCAGCCTGACCAACATGGTGAAACCCTGTCTCTACTAAAAATACAAAAATCAGCCGTGTGTGGTGGCAGGCGCCTGTAACCCCAGCTACTCGGGAGGCTGAGGCAGGACAATCGCTTGAACCTGGGAGGCGAAGGTTGCAGTGAGCCGAGATCACACCACTGCACTCCAGCCTGGGCTACAGAGCAAGACTCAGTCTCAAAAAAAAAAAAAAAAGAAAAGAAACACCTGAGACTGCGTAGTTTATAAAGAGACAAGGTTTAATTGGCTCACAGTTCTGCAGGCTGTACAGAAAGCATGATGTTGGCATCTGTTTACCTTCTGGGAAAGCCTCGGGAAAATTACAATCATGGTGGAAGGCCAGGAGGGAACAGATAGGGCTGGAGCAGCAAAAGAAAGGAGTGGGAGGTGCCACACACTTTTAAATGACGAGATCTCCTGAGAACTCACTCACTACTGAAAACAGTACCAAAGGGTGGTGCTAAGTCATTCATGAGAAATCCACCTCCATGATCCAATCACCTCCCACTAGGCCCTACCTCCAACACTGGGGACTACAATTCGACATGCAATTTGGCGGGGACACAGATCCAAACCATATCAGTTTTATCCTCACAAACAGGGCCATTAGCAATAGCAACCAAAAACTAAGCCAAAATTGTTTGTTTACAACTTTAAGCCACTAGAGGGCAAGTATTAATAATCCTCCTCCACAAACGAATGATGTCTAATAAATATGCTCTGAATGTGATGATGCCTTTGGTCACCCCATAGCAAATAGTTTCTTTTAAAGGTTGCCACAAGTATGAAATTTTGTGGGCACTCTTTAGATTAAGGACCTACAAGGCTTTAATTTTAAAATCATTGACAAGATATTACATCAATATTAAGAAACATTTCAGTAAAGAATAGTACAATAAATTCCGTCTTCCAATTCCCTTCTCCCATATTCTAATGTCGTAATTTTTCCCATAGGCTTATCCATTCTATATGATTGTGTACATGGCTCAATTCATATTCTGCTCTTTCATACAATCTATCATAAGCTTCTTTCCAACTTTCTGTGCCAACCGTCAAAACCATGCCAACATAGTATTTTCTCCTGCATTTGGTTATTAAAGCATTTCCATCATGTTAAATGTTTGGAATTTCTACTTTGTTAGCTTACAAGTTGAGTTGAGTCTCCCGTTATTGTAAATAGCACCATTACGACCAAGCAGTGAACGGCAAAGAGACTTATTTCTGTGGATTTATTTATTTAGTAACTATCCTTAGGTATGGGATTATTGAGTCAAATCATATGAACATCTCTATGTTCATGAGATGATTTCTTAATAGTTCAACAGTATAAAACAGAGATCCCCATATTGAATTATTTCATTGTCCTGGAAAAAAAGGGGAGAAGGAGCAAAAAATTATAGAATAATAATAGTCGGCATTTACATCACACCTTATACTTTTCAAAGTGCCTTTGCAAATGGAAATAAAATACTACTTCGCCAAGCTGTAAACAACTGACTTTCTTAGGGACACAGTTACTGAAAGAGCTCATGAATAACTCAAGTGTGTTTAAGAGAGACTATCACAAGATCAAACAATGTTTGTTAAATTAAGAGATAAAGTCTGTCAAGGAAAAAAAACTAAGGTGCCTGTAGATTATTTAAGTGAAATATTGATCAGATTGATCACAAGCATGCTAAAGGCATAACTACATCTGTCATGTAAACTCCACTTAGTTCATAAAGTATTGAACGGGAACAGTAATTGTTTTCCTGTTAATGAGGCTGTAGACTATGTTCTCAGAGTGACTCACTTATTATTTAGTTTATTTCGAAATGGAGGGTGGCTCACCAGCATTCAGCTAAATTGGATAGATTACTACCACCACCACCAACAACAACAACCTCCAAAGTTGGGCTTCTGTCCAAAATATGCAATGGAGCTCTCACCAAAAACCAAAACGAAACAATTCTTTGAGTCATAAGTAGGCCAAACTACTCAAACCCACCAGTTACTATTTCCCTTCACTTAATTTTTGTAACATAACCCATAACTTAAAATCATCCTAAAGGAAGATTTTTGTTTTTAAGTAAGGTTAAAAATTAACCAAATAAGCTTGTGAATTATATGAAATAAGATTTTCCTATATCTGTTTCTAAGCAAGCTCTACAAGATGACACATTATAATGGTGGAAAAGTGACAGGACCCACAACATGGTTTGGGATTGATCCCCTGGATGATGGATGAGCCTTCTCTGTTACTGTGCATAAAACTTCCCTCTACTCTGTATACCAAGTACAAGTTTCCAAAAGGACCTTGTTCTCATCCTCTTCACAAGTCCTAGCATATCTGCTTAAAATACCTAGCCCTGCCAAAAGTTGGAAGAATCTAAGATGGCCTTCAGCAGGTGAATGGTTAATAAACTGTGGTACATCCAGACAGTGGGATATTATTTAGTGCTGAAGAGAAATGAGCTATCAAGCCATGAAAAAACATGAAGTAACCTTAGATGCATATCACTAAGCAAAAGAAGTCAATCTGAAAAGGTTATATACTGTATAGTCCCAACTATACGACATTCTGGAAAAGACAAACCTGTAGAGACAGTCAAAAGACAGTGGTTTCAAGGGCTGAGGGAGGAGGAAGGGATGAGTAGGCAGAGCACAGAGGATTTTTAGCACAGTGAAACTACTCTGTAGGATACTATAATGGGGGATACATGTCATTATACATTTGTCCAAACCCACAGAATGTACACCACCAGGAGTGAATCCTAATGTAAACTACAGACTCTGGGTGATAAAGATGTGTCATTGTAGGTTCCTCAGTTGTAACAATTGTACTTAATGGGGGAGTCTACACCTTGGTGGGGTCAGAGCGTGTATGGGAATTCTCTCTATCTTATGCTCAATTTTTGCTGTAAACCTAAAATTGCTCTAAAAAATAAAATCTATTAAAAAAAAACAAAAACCTTATCCCCACCTTCTTCACCTAGCTAAAGCTACCTGCCCTTCAAAATGTAGCTCGTGGGTCACCTCCTAGCTAATGTTCACTTTCTCATGTCTTCCTCGTCTTGACCTTCAGCCGCTTGAGGGCAAGGACCTTGTTTCATCTGTCTTTGGATCCCCGGATCTAAGCACAAGCACATAGTAGAGGCTCAGTAAATGTTAGCTAAATGAATATGTGAGAGAAGTTTTTTCCAGCCAGCTCTAGTTTGGCGAAGAAAATATCTAGTTGGCCTTTGTAATTAGCCACATACAGAGATGCATCAGAAAAGGACAGAAAACCTCCCTAAACTAACTAACTAACTAAATAATAAATAAATAAAATCAGCATTCTACCATATTCCAGAAGTCTGTGGGATCCTTTTATCAATAATGTGTTAAAATCCAAGCATGCTATAGCCCAAAACAGAGTTTAAAAAAAAAAAAAAAAAAAAAAACTCTATGAATCCTGCTTTCACTTCAAGCCCCCAAATGATTAAGAACAGGAAAAAAATCAAAGCTCTTGTTTAAACCAGGTGAAAATCGCATTCAAGAGCTCCCTCCGCCTTGCTTTCTGCCCACACAGTGCAGAAGTGTATAAAGTGCTGGATTGTGGAGAAAGCCTCACCGTGGTTCCAACCATGGAGAAAAAAGAAACTCCCTTGGCTCCGATTTACATAGTCACAAAACAAAACCCAACATGACAGACATAAAGGGCATATACATAGAGGAGAGTAAGAACCTGAGAACCCCATTGGCAAAGCGGCATCCGCCTAACGCAGGGTTTGAAATGAGTAATTTGTAGCTAAGAGGTAGCGCTGTCATGCAAGGCATCGGCTGTAGCTTTCCTCCCACCCCTCCAGAAAATAGTTTTGAAAATACTTCCAATTTAGGGCAGTCTAGCATACACAAAAGCAAACAATCAGTTCCTGAGAAAGTGCTTTCTGGGAGCGTCTCCATGCAGCACAGGTGAGAAGACAAGGTTAACTATAGGTAGACAGGCAACAAGGGTTTCATTTCGTGTCACTCTCTGCCTTTATTATGCATTATCCTTTCGGCCCAAAACTTCTGATCGCCCTCACCCCTTAAAGGACATCATTGCTGAAAGGAGTTTGGGGAAGAATTAGCAGTCATCTTTTCACCCTCCAACAATGACATCTTTCTCACAGGTTGTTGCAAGGCTTCCAAGTAATGTAAAGTGTACATAGAGAGCCTGGCACATAAAAGGTACAAGTAGCAGATGTAAAAGATCAAAAGCAGGGCTTGTCACTACTGAGGTGAGGTGGGGTGGGGTGGCAACATGTGGGCCACTGGACCCAGCCCTCACTTACAAATATGGCATCTAATTTAGACTTCTGAAGTCATCTCTGAATAAGGTTATACATACAATTTACAGATATAAACCAAGAGATGGAAAGAAGTTCTTTTACCAACTTTCAAATTGTTGCATAACTGGATCATATCACCCGTATTGTCCTCTTTCTATAAATCCTAAAATTGTATTAAGGCTGGCACAATATATTACAATGCAATGTATTTTTATATTAAAAGTGGTGATTTGTTAGGTATAAATGTTTGCAATACAAAAATATGGAGCAATTTATGTAACTCTGCTTCTGGCATTTTCCATCTTTAAAAATTTACTATGAAGCAAAAAAAAAAAAAAAAAAAAGAAAGTGGCCTGGTTCTCTCATAATCTCTGAGATCCAGATTGGAGAACTGTAGTTTCTGGGTCTTTCTTGAAAGAGATTAGCAAATGCATAACCAGCAATCTGTCTATATTAGTGCTGTCTCCTAGAAATTTATAATGCAAACCACAAATATTAGCTACATATGTGATTTTAAATTTCCTTCTAATCACATTTCAAGAAATAAAATGACATGGGGAAATTAATTGTAATAATATATTCTGTTAAAATATATTTAAGATATCATTTTAAGTGCTATCAATAAAAACTTATTAATGTAATATTTTTACTTTTTTTTGTACAAAGTCTACAATCTGGTGTGTACTTTATAACCTACAGCACACCTCAATTTGAACTCACCACATTTCAAATGCTCAGTAGTCATGTGTGGCTAATGACTACTACATTGGACAGCACAAATCAAAAAAACCATAATCTGCAGAATTTTCCCTTCAGGTTTATTTGTATAAGTGATGTCTGGGCACTTGCCATTTTAATGGTTAACAGTGGCATTTAAAAGAAGGCAGTTAAAAAAAAGATGTAAGAGATGGCAACTGACACCTAGTGGACCTGAAATGAACATTTTTAGCAAGAAAATCAACTAAGAATCCATAATTTAACAAAAATGTAAGAAAAAGAAATATTTTCTCATTTCTGATAGTCTTCCCAGGCCATGACTCCCTCCGTGGAAAATGTTCTGTGAACATTTCTGCAACAAGAAGCCAACTTTGAAAAAACTCAGAGATTCTGAACTGACTGTGATTCTGGAATACACAAAATAAATAAAATTCCATGAGCAAACGATAAAGTGCTTTATTAGAAAGAACTCTGGACTTGAGCTCCTCACCTCAGTTTCATGAAAGCAATCCATTTCTACCTGTCTCAAATATTAAGTTTCTGCATAAAAGTTCATTTGAATATGGCTGAGCATGGTGGTTCATGCCTGTAATCCCAGCACTTTGGGAGGCTGAGGCAGGCAGATCATTTGAGCTCAGGAGTTCCAGACCAGCCTGGCCAACATGGTGAAACCCTATCTCTACTAAAAATACAAAAATTAGCTGGGCATGGTAGTGCATGCTGGTAGTGCTCCAGCTACTCAGGAGGCTGAGGCAGGAGAATCACTTGAACCCAGGAGGAGGAGGTTACAGTAAGCCTAGATTACACCACTACACTCCAGCCTGGGCAACAGAGCAAGACTCCATCTCAAACAAAACAAAACAAGTTTGTTTGAATAAAAACAGTTCCTAGTGGAGTAGAAAAGAAAGGGAAAAACCATTGGACAAAATGATCTCCTGGCTATTTGAAATAAGTTGAACTTACATTTTCACTCATATGACATTCTGGAAAAGGAAAAACTGCAGGGATAGAAGTCAAATCAGTGGCTGCCAGGGACTGGGGGAGGGACTAGGGATGAAGAAAGAACTGATTACGGAGAGGAACAGGGAGCTTTTTCGAGTAATGAAAATCTTCCACATGTTTATTTTGGTGCTCTACACCTAAAAAGTGTGTCTTTCTTGTATATAAACTATATCACAATATACATGACCCCATAAAATGACGTCTCTAAGCCCCCTTTGTCTCTAACTGCTAGAAATCTTGGGGATGTCAGCTCTCAGGCAGAATGTGTGAAATGCAATTTGAACACTTAGACTGTCATTGCTTATTTTTTAGCTTTGTTACTGGGCACTTGTGGGCTTTTATCCTTAAGTTTATATCCCTTTGTTTTGTCAGTAACATCCCATTTCCTTTTGAGGAATTAATTCTCCATCAAATGCTATCTTGGTGAGACTGTCAGTGCAATCCTCTCCTACCCAAGAAATAGGCATGTGACCCTAGCTTTGCCAGCTACGACCTCTTTTCCAAGACTTCAAGTCTTCATAATGAAGGGAACAATTATGTCCTTTTGAGAAATGTGTCTTGATTGCTGTCACCTAGACCTCCAAAGCAGCCCTTGCTCTTGTCTCTTTCTGATTCTGTTTCCTAGACAACTTCAACCCTTCCATTTCTGTATCAGAATAATACAGAATAATGCATAATGGCTCATCAGAATAATACAGAATAATGCATAATGGCTCATCCAGTATCATCTCTAAGCCCTCTGGCATCTCTTCTTGTACTATAGAGGCTAGAAATTAAAACTACATTTCCCAGAGTCCCTTGCAGCTAGAGTTCATATGTGACTAGAGTTCACAGGAGATTGGGAAGACAGTTCTGAGTTGCATGAGATGGTAGCTTCACATAGGAGATAAGGTCATCTTGGGTAACTTGGGTAGAAGTTCTGTTATTTGTAACCCAAGAATCCTACTAATACATCTAGTCATCAAGTAATTCAGTAAATTATCGTTGGACATCTGCTATGTGCCAAGTACTATATTAGAACCTGGGGATATAAAGATGATAGAAACAGTATCCATGCCTTACACACAACCACATGGATGAATCTTAAAGACACCATGTTGAGAGAAAGAAGCCAGACTCAAAAATGTACATCCAATATGATTCCATTTATATGAGGTTCAAGAAAAAGCCAAATAAATCTATGATAGAAGTCACAGATTATGACAGATGTCAGAAGAGTGGTCACCTCTGAGGATGGGATATTTGACTAAGAAGAGGCCTAGAGAAGTTTTCTGGGGTTTTGGAAATACTGTGTGGCTTCATCGGGGTGGAAATGTAAAAAAAATCCTCAGGCTGTACACTAAATATTAGTGCATTTTAGGAATATTATATGTAAATTAAAAGAATTTTAAGAAGCCCATAACCTAGCTGGAGAGCCAAGCATCATTTAGAAAACTCAAATATAGATGATAAGGCTGAGAGACGGGGATTAGATCCTATTAAGTTACAGAGAAGCAAGACATGATGAGCTCTCCTTAAAGCAGGCATGTCAGTGGCAATCAAGGAAGGTAACTTGTGGGTAGACTGAAAAGGTCCTTAAATGCCAAGAAAATAAAAATATTTTTAACACAATTATCATTCATCTTTCTTTTGGAACAGGAAGCTAAATTTTTCTTGAGATGGGGTCTTGCTCTGTTGTCCAGGCTAGAGTGCAGTGGCACAATCACAGCTCACTGAACCCTCAAACTCCTGGGCTCAAGTGATACTCCTGCCTGAGCCTCCTGAGTAGCTAGGACTACAGGCGTGTGCCACCACACCTGGCTCATTTTTTAAAAAATATTTTGTAGAGACGGGGTCTTGCTATGTTGCTGAAGCTGGTTTCAAACCCTCGGCTTCAAGTGATCCTCCCGCCTTGGACTCCCAAAGCATTGGGATTAAGGCATGAGCCACCATGCCTGGCCAAAATGCTAATTTTTTTAAAGAGAGAAAAACTAATTTTATTCTCATCTTATGTCTTTCCCAGGCTTTTACAGAATATAATATCCTTCTATGAATTATTTAAAGTATCCTGTATTCAAACTGCTAGTCAAAAAATAAAATTTTTAATTAAAAAAATACAAAAATAACTATATAAAACCTTTGTGCTCACTGGAGCATAAAAAAAAAAACAACAGCAACAAACGCTGAAACTAGTTTTGCTTTTGATTTTCCAATTTAAGGTTTTCTTAAGGCAATCTTGAAGGTTTAGAACCCAAAGAAAATAAGAATTTTATTTACCATTATTGGAAGTCTCCCATCCTTTCTACTTAATTCTTAAATGATTACTGTGTAATCCCCAAACTCAGATGAATGTCAGGTGGACCTAGAAATTGACCTTTAAAGAGGTTTCAGTATAATCATAAACAAAATTAAAGTGCTGCTTGATGAATAAAAAGTAACTTTTAGGCATCTTTTTTTGTCTGTCCTATATTTTTAACAAACTACTCCCAATTTATGCGTGCTTGTCCTTTTACTTCATTAAGAGCATATACTGCATTTAAAGACTATGAACTGTTTAAGTCTGTTTTAAAACACGACAAGATATCAGCACATAAACAGATTTTAGTGGTACTTTGTTCCCACTCACAGAAATACCTGCAGCATTTTGATTGCCCATGTATATGTAAAGTTGCCTCACATCCTGGGAGTAAGGAAAGGATGCTTACCAACTAGATTTTGCAGAAATGAAAGGATTGTTGCAAAACTCTGTAAAGAAGGTATCTCAACAACATACACAAATAAACATGTATATGGTGTTTACAGAAGAAGCGGGGCTGGGAGAGGAAAAAAATATAATATTGCAACAGTTTTTTTTTTAATGATTAAAATTGCAAGTAAACTGTGTTTAGGCTACAACTGTAGGTTTCTGAATCGCAGTCTAATTTTGGCTTTTTTTAAATAATGGAATTGTGAAATACAGATCAAATGCCATTTCAACAAATATAATTACAATACATGACAAATTCCAGTTAATACTTCACAGAAACAACAAGACACCCAGCAAAATAAAATAATTTAAACAGCCCCTTGGAGTTTATTCAATAATTCAACTCTTCATTCAATGACTATTCATTATGTAACTATTAAGTATGAAGCATTGCACTAGGAACTAAGGAAACAATGAGTAGAATACAGTACTTTCTCTTGAAGATCTTACAGAGCAATGACAGAGAAAGACATAAATGAATGATTACAGTAATGAGGAAATAATATCTTAGAGTCACACACAGGGTATGAATGTACAGAGGAGAGTGTGTGTCTTAGTCTGTTTTCTGCTGCTATAACAGAATACCATAGATGGTAATTTATACAGAAAAGAGATTTATTTGGCTCACTGTTTTGGAGGCTGGGAAGTCCAACAGGCTATATCTGGTGAGGGCCTTCTTGTTGTGTTATAACATGGCTGAAGAGCAAATGAGCATGCAAGCATGCAAGACAGAGAAAAAATGGCCTGAATTCATCCTTCTTATCAGAAACCCACTCCCATGATAACTAACTCACTCCTGTGCTAACTGAATTAATCCCTTCATGACAGCCAACCCCTTGGGGTCTAATCATCTCTTAAAGCCCCACCTCTTGATATTATTACAATGGCAATTGAGTTTCCAACACATAAACTTTCAGAGATACATTCAAACCATAACACCATAGCTACCTCTGCTGGGGCATCATCAAAGGAGACATGATTGACTTTACTCTTTAAAGATATAGGGGAGTTTCAGGTAGGAGGGGAGGCAAGGGAGAAGAGCCACAAGAGATGAGGTTGGAGAGCTAGGCTGGAATCAGGTCCTAAAGGGCTTGATGTCTTGCTGAGGACTGTGGATTTGCTATAGTAGGCCAAAGGAAGCCAGTGAAGAATATTCAGGAACTTGGCCGGGTGCAGTGGCTCATGCCTGTAATCCCAGCACTTGGGAGGCCAAGGCAGGTGGATTACTTGAGATCAGGAATTGGAGATCAGCCTGGCCAACATGATGACACCCCGTCTCTACTGAAAATACAAAAATTAGCTGGGTGTCGTGGCTGTAATCCCAGCCACTTGGGAGGCTGAAGCATGAAAATCTACTTGAACCCGGGAGACAGAGGGAGACAGAGTGAGCTGAGATTATGCCAGTGCACTCCAGCCTGGGTGATAGAGTGAGACTCTGTCACAAAAAAAAAAAAAAAAATTCAGGGACTGAGTCAGGTGTGTATTTCCGTAAGAATCATTACTGCCCCAGCATGGATGATGGGTGGTATGGATGAAACTAGAGGCAGGGAAGCCAATTAGGAGGTTGCAGTGGTTATCCAAACAAGAATCATGAGGACCAGAAGAAATAGGGAAGTAGGCACAGTTCTGAGAACTATTTGGAAGTTTCAGATTGACTATTTTGGGGAGACAGAGATCTCCAAAATATCTGAAGTTTTCAGCTTGACTGACTGAGTAGATGGTGATTTTATTAAAATTAAAATAAAAACAGAGGAGGAGGAGCCATTTTGGAGAAGAGAAGGCAAGTTTGGTTTTGTAACCAAATAATGAGCAGGAATTGACTATAAGACATCCAGACAGAGGTCAAGTAGGCAGTTGAATATACAGAACTGGAATCAGGTTAGCCTGATTATTTTGGTTCTCATTTTTTGCAAAGAAAACAAGAGCCCCTGAAAGTACAATCCTTGATGTCTCTTAGAATAAATTATTGATAAACTAATGTTCTCTTCTTCTTAGGACTCTGTTATCAAACTATATAATTTGTTTAAAAGGGTGGAGATATTCACTGCTTCTCAGAGCTGTCAGCTTAAGGCCAAGTCTTCATAATTCCATAAGAAATTATTCATATTTTTTTTCAAAAGAAAGGAGATGAGAAATGAGATAATATATTAAAGGAAATCAAATAAATTTACAATAAAAGATCATTAGGAAATGAAATCTTGTCAGCCTGGATAAATGGGCCAGATTATTATATTTAAGTCAAACTAAATTACTGTCCATGTATCTATTAAAGCATTTATAAGTGTCGAAAATCAAAATGTTAGGATCCTGACTCTAAGTGTAAAATCAAAGTGATTTTGATAAGTTTAAACAATCTTTTACTGTGAAGAAAAGGCAATTTAAAATCAGAAAACTATATAAGTATCATAGGAAGGTATATAGATTCCTTTTCTTAAACATTGCCAATGATTTGGGAGGCTAAAAAAAAAAATTAGAGACATTATTTGCACAATTAAGCATGACAATCAGATGATCTTAGCTCCAAATAACCAATTATGAAATTTTTTAAGCTGGCAAAGTCTTATATTTTCTTCTTAAAGAACCAAGAGGAAGCTGCTGAGATAAATTCAACTTGTATAGAGAAAAGCAATCTGCTACGTGTGTGTGTCCATCTCTCTCTATCTGTCCAACAGAAAACTTAAGTCATTATTGCTCTTTTTTAATGAGATTCTGTCTAACCAGACTCTCAGTTAAGCAATTAAGCAGATATTGTTTACTCTCATTTGTAAGAGAAAGGGACCAAAGATAAGAAAAGCATGTACATGTATATGTTGTCGCTGTTCTTGAATTGCATTGAATCCATTGAGATTTCCCAAGGATGACTCTCAGACACCAGAGAAAACTTTAATTCTGGATGCTGAATGATACGTTCACCTGCACCTGCTTACCAAACCTGGAAGGGTGGGAAAAGCACCTATGTCACTTGAGCCATTCATGTTTTGGGTTCTCTCATGTGCGAAAAGATAACTGGACTAGATGATCTCCATAGAAGTGATGAAGTGATTGCCAAACCTTGAGAAGTGTTTTTAGTTTTTGTTTTGTTTTGTTTTGTTTTTTGTTTGCTTGTTGTTGTTGCTGTTGTTTTCGTTTTTGTTTTGAGACGGAGTCTCGCTCTGTCGCCCAGGCTGGAGTGCAGTGGCACGATCTCGGCTCACTGCAAGCTCCACCTCCCAGGTTCACGCCATTCTCCTGCCTCAGCCTCCCGAGTAGCTGGGACTACAGGCACCCGCCACCACGCCCAACTAATTTTTTGTATTTTTAGTAGAAACGGGGTTTCACCGGGTTAACCAGGATGGTCTCGATCTCCTGACCTCGTGATCCACCCGCCTCGGCCTCCCAAAGTGCTGGGATTACAGGCGTGAGCCACCGTGCCCAGTCAAGATAACTGGACTAGATGATCTCCATAGAAGTGATGAAGTGATTGCCAAACCTTGAGAAGTGTTTTTAGTTTTTGTTTTGTTTTGTTTTTTGTTTGTTTGTTGTTGTTGTTGTTGTTGTTTTTGAGATGGAGTCTCGCTCTGTCGCCCAGGCTGGAGTGCAGTGGTGCGATCTCGGCTCACTGCAAGCTCCGCCTCCCGGGTTCAAGCCGTTCTCCGGCCTCAGCCTCCCGAGGAGCTGGGACTACAGGCGCCCGCCACCACGCCTGGCTAATTTTTTGTATTTTTAGTAGAAACGGGGTTTCACCGGGTTAGCCAGGATGGTCTCCATCTCCTGACCTCGGGATCTGCCCACCTCGGCCTCCCAAAGTGCTGGGATTACAGGCGGGAGCCACCACGCCTGGCTGAGAAGTGTTTTTCAAACACAGATCACCAGACCCTTCCACAAATCTATAAATCAGAAACTTTGGTGGGGAAAGGAAGTTTGTTCTGTTTGTTTTGTTTTGTTTTGTTTTTTTAAGCTCTTCAGGTGAATCCAATGACCAAATAATCACATTGGGGAACCATAGCACTAAACTACCAGTTTTAAAGCCTATGAAATTACGAGTCAGATATTTTAAGACTCTTAAAAAAAAGAATTCAACAAAACAAAATATGTGACTATCCACTAAATTCAATACAAAATTTGGCAGCCTTTGTAGTTGACACCCTGGCACCACTGTAATGATGATCATACTGTTCCTCACACCCATGCCCCAGTCCTGGCCACAGGGGCTTCCACGAGAAGTTTCCTCACAAGAACTAGTCTGATGTTTCAATCTTCTTTCTTACTTTCCTGTCAATTTCATTGCCCACTGTAGAACCAATAGTATATTTTTACATATAGGAGGAGATTTACTATAAGGAATTGGCTCACGTGATTATGGAGGCTAGCAAGTCCAAAACCTGCATTGCGGTCCAGCAAGCTGGAGATCCAGAAGAGCCAGTGGTGCAGATGAAGTCCAAAGACATTACTGAAAAACTCCCTCTTGCTAGGAGAGGTTGGTCTTTTTGTTCTATTTAGGCCTTCAACTGATTAGATGAGGCTCAGCTACAATATGGAGGGCAATCTTCTTTACCCAAAGTTCACTGATTTAAATGTTAATCTCATTCAAAAGCAGCCTCCAAGTTAATACATAAAATCAACCATCACACCCACCAAGCCCATGAGTTGATCAACAACTGCGCTTAAATCAGGGGATCCTGCTGAGGAGGGCTCTCTCCATCCAATCTCTGCTAATCCAAAGTAGATTCACTATTGTAAGGATGTTCATTTTCTCCAAATTATGTTATATGTTGAATGTAGTTCTGTTCAATATTCCCCAAGAGTTTTCTTAATCCTATTTACCAGATGGGTAATTGGAATAAAAGAGATTAGATCCATGGATTGTTGGTTCATATGGGGTTCAATGGAGCGGTGATAGTGGAAGAACAGAACAGAAAAGCTAGGAGATGGTGCCCCAGGGTGGAATGATTAAAATTGAAATTATGCAAGCACTGGTGATGATAAGGTCTTGGGTATTACCATGTGTTTTTGTTGGAGATTCTTCAGATGCCGACCTTCAGAAAATAATTCAGGTGCAAATAGTTTTATTTGGAAAGTTATTCCAAAAAATACTATTAGCATAGTGGGGAAGTAAGACAAAGAAGGAAAATAAACGAATAGAGGATGTGAAGTCAACTAGACCTTAATATCATTGGGAGCTCTAGGAAGGAGTATAGAACATGTTCCCTAGTTATTCCACTCACAGTCCTGCCATCTTTGGTTGAGGGCTGCTCTGCAGTTCAGTTTTTAGTTCTCCTGGCACTTGCTGCCTGCTGTATGAATGGGCAAGGTGAGCTCCCACAATTATGTGAGGTCAAATCCATATAATAAATCCTGTACCATTACCAGTAGAGGGGAAAAAAAGGATTACTTACACATGGAATATTGTATGCCTATTTCAAATGATACAGAATTATATCTATTGGAAAAAATACTCAAATTTTCTGATTTCAGAAAAGAAGTTTGTAAGATAGAATCTTCCACTTTCTTTACATCCACACCCACAAATATGCACAGAAAAGGATTTAGAAAAACACACATGAAAGCATTAACAGTAGTTGTCTCTGAGCAGGTAGTTTATGGCTTCAATACATTCTGTATAAAATGTGAAATCGGTGAAGGAAGTGTCCAGTCTGATCCCCTGGGTCATAGCCCTTCAATTCTTGAAGATTTTATGTCCTGAATTATGTTGTGTTTTCTTCATCCATTTTTTTCATATACTGAGGATATGTTTATGGAAAGAAACAGACGCTTTCCATGGAGAGGATCAAAGCAGAGATTTTAATAGATTTAACTCTTGTGTTAGTAAGACAGTCTTACTGCATTGTTAGTGACAATGCTATGACTTCTTTGCTAACTCTTCATCCAGCTGGCATCCAGCAATGCCAACTGTACAAGGCTTTGTTAGTCTCTCGGCTATTACGGGTGTCTTTCAAGGCAATGTGATGTGATAACTTATCCTGCAAGATATTTCAATGGATTTTTCATTTCTAATTTGAATAGCTATTAGAAATATTTTGGGGCTTTGAAAGAGCTCATGATTTTTCCTAATTTAAAATATTCAGTTTCTTTTTCTTTACCTCTGAATGATTGGTCTTAAAATGATGCCACAACTTAAATGGCACCATAATCTTATTTGAAACTATTCTGTTGCATAAGACACAAAAAAGCAAATCATTTCACCTCTAATGCCAAAGGCAAGATAGATTTTATCATATTTTTGCTTCTTATTTAGATTTTCACCCAGGATTTTTTTTGGAGTAAATTCCTCCCTTACATGAATCAGAAAATTCTCTAACATATAAGTTTTATCTTGTGCAGCATCTTCAGATATACATGGAGCATCTGTGGGTTGAGAAAGTGAGTCTTCTAATTCTCTTTTTAAAGCCAACAATCTGTCCTTAAATATGAGAAAAATATATTACAAAGAAAATGTATTTTCATTTAGGATGTACACTATTGTTGAATTCTAAACAATAGTAGTTATAAATAAAATGTAATTATTTAAAAATTTTTTTGGAAAATATTTTACAGGCTATGCAAAACAAGACAAGAGCATGTATTTACTACTTATTGTGTTTCCACTAAGCTCAAGGAGAACTTTGGGATTTCAAGATAATGATTTATTGGATGATAACAATGCTACAGAGATTTTTGCAGGCATAATTAAAACAAGTTAGTAAAAACACAGTAGGAGTACTGAGAACAGATTGAATTATTATTTGAATATGCACATATTTAACCTTAGAAAATTCTAAGACTAAAATTTTATGATATATTCTTATAGCCAAAAACAATAACAAATAGAAGAAAACTTAAACCAGTGGGTTTTTTTGTTTGTTTGTTTTTGGTTTTGTTTTTTGAGACAGGGTCTCATTCCGTCACCCAGGCTGGAGTGCAGTAGCACAATCTCAGCTAGCTGCAACTTCTACCTCCTGGGCTCAAGAGATCCTCCCACCTCAGCCTCCCAAGTAGCTGGAATTACAGTCATGCACCCCTACCCTTGCCTAATTTTTGTATTTTTTGTAGAGCTGGATTTTGCCATGTCACCCAGGCTGGTCTTGAACACCTGAGCTCACGTGATCCACCCACCTAGGGCTCCCAAAGTGCTGGGACTCCAGGAGTGAGCCACCGCACCCGGCCACCAGTGGTTTTCAAAGTACTGTTTGGGGGACACCTAGAGTCTCAAAAACTCTTTTAGAGTTCCAGGAGGTCAAATCTATTTTTGAGCCCATTGGCCAATTTTTAGTCACATTTTCATGCCTTATCTGCAAGGAAGCTGGGATTCTCTCCCTGCCCTTTGGGCAGGGTAGGGCAGGAAACAGACCCAACAAGATTGCAAGCCATGAAAGAAAATGGAGGTTTTATTGGAATATAAGGAAATTATTTCAAGGCAAGGAAATATAAATCTTTATTTCACAGATAATTAAAAATTAAGAACAACAAGACTTTTAAAGATTGGGTTACTTGTATGGGTGTCAGACTGGAAGAGGACAGAGCCAGGACCAATCCTCAGTCCTCTGACTCCCATATCTGGGTTCTTTGCCCCACACTTAGACCTTTTCTGGTGCAAACATATCTGACAAAATAACCAAAACCACATCTCTCTCAAATAAACTCTTAGTACCAGGGGAAAATGAGGAGACATTGAAATTATTTCTTCATGGAAGAAGGTGTATAGTTTTGTCTTTTAGAGGTAATAGGTCTCCTTTTAGAAAAGTTATTGACATGTGAATGAACTGACTCCACCACCATTCCCTAGAACCTTATAAGAAGCCTTCCAATCACCCATTTTGCAACTGTAACTCTGGCTTCTCATTATCGGGGACTTGTTGCCCTTGCATAGTAGTTTTGAGGGCACTATGTTGGCATTGCTTTGCAGACCACATGTGTCCCGCACATAGTAGGATCGCATTAGCATGCAACAGAAATAAGTATCTTTATTTAATCATAAGTACTTCTTATGACTCCAATGGTTCCCTACTAATAGTCGTTCCCAATCTACATCTTCCATAGGCAAAGACTTCTTCCTAAGATAAATTTTTTAAAACCTGATATTTTCCTAACCTTCCTTGCAGATAAGGCATGAAAATGTGACTCAAATTTGGCCAAGGGACTCTGGTAAGAAATTTGCTGAGGATGGCTATGAATCGTTTTCTTCTCCAAGAAGACACAAGAGAAAAAAATCTCCCTCTCTCTTCCTGTGGATGCTTGAGAATATGGAACCTGGGTCTGTACCAGTCATCATGTGAATATGAGAGTCAAAGCTAAGGACAAGTCAAAACACTGACCTGACTGTAGATGGCACAGTGGAAAGATAGAAAGAGCCTGAATCTTTGATATCATAGAACCAGTGAATTAACCCTGGAACCACTCCACCTCTGGACTTCTTGTATGCAAGATAACAAATGTATTTTTTAATTTAAACCAGTTTTAGGGTACTGAAAGTATCTTAAATGATACAATCGCTTTCCAGGGAACCAGGCACCTAGAGAAAATTTAGCAAGTTTCTAAGACTACCGCGTACTATATGCAATAGGTCTTACCAGGTACACATACACTTATAACTCAAATATATGTGACAAAATAAACAAAAACACATCTCTCTCAAACTGTTAGTACTGGGGAGAAATGGCGGGGGGTGGGGGACATTGAAATGACTTCTTCACAGAAGAGAGTGTATGATTTTTGTCTTCTGAGGATAATAGTTCTCCTATTGGAAAAGTTATTGATATGTGAATTAACTGACTCCACCGCCATTCCTAGAACCTTGTAAGAAGCTTCCCAATATCTATTTTGCAATTGTAACCCGGATGAGCCCTCCCTGTGTTTTTGCCCCAAGTCCTCTGTCTTTCTGAACTCATTTTTTCCTTAAAAATTAAAAAAAAAAACCAGTATGAAATAAAATGATGAGTAACCAAGATCTCATTGTAGTCTACTGGTTATTTTTGAATGTTTTTCAAAATTCCTATAATGACAAAAAATTGTAAGTGTCCAACCATTCAATCACAGACCATGGGAAGATTAGTGCCTCCCAAGACTCAGCTCTTGCATTCAACCCTCACTATAACTTCCTGCTCCCACTGGACTCTTAGGCTCACTAGTAAGTCTTACTTCCTACATTTAATGTCATCCCAAAGATTGCACAAGTCTCTTTTTTGCTTTAACTTCCCAAAGCCACCACTAATACAAGGTTACTCTCTATAGCCCACTTTTAATGAAAGATTCAACCGTAAATGTTAGGCATCCTTGTTTTTAAATTTCCCTGACCATCCCTGTCATTAATCATCCTTTCTTCTTGGGCTCTGACCTCCCAATAGGCTTCTGGGCCCTCTCTCTTCCCCAAATCGCTTTACAGCTCCCCCACTGTGTTCTCTTCCAGCCCTTATGCCCCTATTTCCTGGGAAACTCAAGAACTCCTCTCCCCTATGTAGCACAACAAATCAGCACTCTCTTTGTTTCACCCCCTCCTTGCAGAACTGCTGGAATCACCTTTTCAAATCAAAGACCTCCATCAGGTTATTTTCCTAAATAAATAAAAATTCATCTTCCCTGAAATGAACTATGACATTCCCCTTATAAGATACAAGTAGCAGCAGATGCAGTTAGTTTTTGGTTTTCAATAGCAATGTTTTTCTTCTCACTGTGCCAGAATGCAATTACTTTGCAGTCAATGCAACAGGATGTTAAAAATGAAACAACTTTCTGCCTCCATTTTAGATGAGGCCTAATGGCCAAAAAGTGCCAAGGCTCATGGCATTCTAATTTGCGTGCTAGGCCATCTAGGCAGGAGTTGCCAAAAGGGTAGCTAAAAAATACTTGTTGGCCCTTAACCCACCACCCCATCTAAGAATATAAAAGGGATAATAAAACAAGGATATAAAAGGTTTGAAGTTGTAAAGGAACATAGAGAAAATGTATTTGGAGTTGCTGATGTTTTGTGCATTCCTTTCTCCCCAAGTGAGGGAAAAGGATGGAGGAGCTTGTGAGAGAGGGAACTGGAAGAGGATCACTCAAAAAGCCCAACATGTCTCCTGGAGTAGAAGTGTCAGAGGCATTTGAACAAGAGCAACTCCATCTTGAATAGAGGCTGGGTAAAATAAGGCTAAGACCTACTGGCTGCATTCCCAGATGATTAAGGCATTATAAGTCACAGGATGAGATAGGAGGTCAGCACAAAATACAGGTCATAAAGACCTTCCTGATAAAACAGGTTGCAGTAAGGAAGCCAGCTAAAACCCACCAAAACCAAGATGGCCATGAGAATGACCGCTGGTCATCCTCACTGCTACACTCCCACCAGCGCCATGACAGTTTACAAGTGCCATGGCAATGAAAGGAAGTTACCCTATATAGCCTAAGAAGGGGAGGCATGAATAATCCACCTCTTGTTTAGCATATCACCAAGAAACAACCATAAAAATGTGCAAAGAGCAGCCTTCGGGGCTGTTCTGTCTATGGAGTAGCCATTTTATTCCTTTACTTTCCTAATAAACTGCTTTCACTTTACTTTATGGACTCACTCTGAATTCTTTCTTGTTCAAGATCCAAGAACCCTCTCTTGGGGTCTGGATCGGGACCCCTTTCCTGTAAGAGAAGGAGTAGAAAGACTGTGCGGTTGCATTGGGAGAAAATTGCTTCTTCACCAATGGCAGGGTAAAAATGTACGAGATCAGACTGAGCTGAATCTTGCCCAAGAGACTTTCTCAAGGAGCAAAGTGACCCAAATGAGGGAGGGACCATGGGAAGTCCAGGGGTGAGAAGGAATTCTGAGTGACCAGCCAAAGAGTGGACTTTCATATGCCATGGAAACTACAGTTAAGGGTTCTCAACATGGATATTTTTGCAAGCAACCCACTAAAACATCAAATGAGAGAGAAAAAAAAAGAACCAAATTGAGAATAGTGCACACCCAGCAGGCATCATCACCAAATGTGATTTGTGCCAATCATGGGAATCCTATCCTGAGACTTAGCTCTCTTCACTCTCCCCTTCAACCGTGAAGGAGCCAGAGACAATTAGGTAAAGAACAGAAGAACCAGGTGAAGAGCAAGAGAAGAACAATGCAGACAAGTGAAAGAATCCAATCACATTCCACATCCCCAGCTGCAGGCTTGCTGACCTGAAGCAAGCTCAAGGTGGAAGGATGGAGAGCATGCAACTCTGAAGGAGACTCTGAGTGTCAGTTATTAAACTGGCTGGATAAATCAATCACTGAAATGAGCCTGTTCTTAAGACTTAATGTTACTAGAAACTTTTATTATTCAAGATTGATGATAAAACTGTTACTGGAAACAGGTCCCAATCCAAACCCCAAGACAAGGTTCTTGGATCTCATGCAAGAAAGAATTCAGGGCCAGTCTATAAAGTGAAAGCAAGTTTATTAGGAAAGTAAAGGAATAAAGAATAGCTACTCCATAGACAGAGCATCCCCTAGGGCTGCTGGTTGCCCATTTTTATGGTTAGTTCTTGATGATATTTTTAAAAAGGGTGGATTACTCAGGCCTCCCCTTTTTAGGCCACTTAGGGTAACTTCCTGTTGTTGCTGTGGCATTCGTAAACTGTCATGGCACTGGTGGGAGTGTAGCAGTGAGGACAACCAGAGGTCACTCTTGTCACCATCTTGGTTTTGGTGGGTTTCAACCAGCTTCTTTACTGCAACCTGTTTTATCAGGAAGGTCTTTATAACCTGTATCTCGTGCTGACCTCCTATCTCATCCTGTGACTTAGAATACCTTAACCGTCTGGGAATGCAGCCCAGTAGATTTCAGCCTCATTTTACCCAGCCCCTATTCAAGATGGAGTTGCTCTGATTCACATGTCTTTGACAAAACTTATGGAATCTATTCAAAAGTTTATTCAGGGTAAGAAAAAAAAAAGTAGTCCACACAGAGCATTTGATAAAGCTGTGCAGAGTAATCTGCGTATCTAAGATCAGGTAGGAGCATGTAGGATATGACAAGCACACAAAGAATAACAAAGTTCAGCAGTCAGGAAGAATGATAAGGATCACTGAATGTGGCCTAAAGGAAAAGTTCTATTTTGCACATATTCTTGGGTTTGTCTTGGTTTTTGGTTGTTGATGCTGGTTTTTGTTGTGGTCGGTATTTTGTTTTATTCAGTGTTATAGGTCCATTGTTTGGAATACTGCCTGGCACACAGTAGTGCTCATTAAACATTTATTAAATGTATTGTTAGATTTGAAACCAGAAAACAATGAAGAGATATCATCATCTTGAAAAGAAAATAAAATGCCAATATAAAAACCTAGAATTCTACAATAGTGAAAAATAGTTGCAAGAATAAAGACAAGCCAGGAGCGGTGGCTTACATCTGTAATCTCAGAACTCTGAGAGGCTGAGGCAGGAGGATGGCTTGAGGACAAGAGTTCAAGGCTGTAGTGAGCTATAATTGAGCCACTACACTGCAGCCTGGGCAACACAGTGAGACCCTGTCTCTTAAAAAGTAAAAAGAACAAAAACAAAAACTGAGAGAATTCATTCTTTTTTTTTTTTTTTTTTTTGAGACAGAGTCTTGTTCTGTCACCCTGGCTGGCACTATCACGGCTCATTGCAACCTCTGCCTCCCAGGTTCATGTGATTCTCCTGCCTCAGAATCCCAAGTAGCTGGGTCTACAGGCATGCATCACCATGTCCCGCTAATTTTTGTATTTTTAGTAGAGACGAGATTTCATTGTGTTGGCCAGGATGGTCTTGAACTCCTGACCTCAAAGTGATCCACCCACCTCAGCCTCCCAAAGTGCTGGGATTACAGGCATGAACCACTGTGCCAGCCTCTTTAAAACTTTTTTTTTTTTTTTTTTTTTTTTTTTTTTTTTTTTTTGAGACGGAGTCTCGCTCTGTCGCCCAGGCTGGAGTGCAGTGGCGCAATCTCGGCTCACTGCAAGCTCCGCCTCCCGGGTTCACGCCATTCTCCTGCCTCAGCCTCCCAAGTAGCTGGGACTACAGGCGCCCGCCACTACGCCCGGCTAATTTTTTGTATTTTTAGTAGAGACGGGGTTTCACCGTTTTAGCCGGGATGGTCTCGATCTCCTGACCTCGTGATCCGCCCGCCTCGGCCTCCCAAAGTGCTGGGATTACAGGCGTGAGCCACCGCGCCCGGCCTAAAACTTTTTATAGACACAAGGTTTCTCTATGTTGCCAAGGCTTGTCTAGAACTCCTGGACTCAAAGCAATCCACCCACCTTGGCCTTGCAAAGTGCTGGGATTATAGGAATGAGCCACCTGACCCAGCTGATAATTCATTCCTAAAGGAAATAATAAGGGCCATTTATAATCCTACATGAAAGTTTGGAAATGCAGAAAGACATGAAGAGCAATTCAAAAAACAAATATTTAAAGACACATAAATGAATGCTAGCCACAGAAAATACAACTACTATTAATAATGCCCCTTAGGAGAATAAAATGTACAACACTTGCATATAAGTCAAAATGGGAATTAATGGAATTAAGTGTTTTATGGTCCTTGTACATTCTGGGAAGAAAATGAAAGCGCCAATTAACATTTTTCTTTATAAATCAAGGAGGCTTATAGTCATCTTTAAGGTAACCACTGTAAGTCTAATTTTTTACAATGTAATAATAAAAATTACTGATTCCAAACATAAAAGAAAAAGGAAAAGAAAATGTAATACAGAATAGCAGAGATAAGTGTCAGGGTATAAAAGTAATTATATTAAATGTAAATGTTAAATGACAATGTACCCAAAAGCCTAAATTTAAATATAAGGACAGTCAACTCAAATTCTGAAAAGCTCTGCTCTTCATAAGAGACACATCTAAAACACAAGGATTCAGAAAGACTGAATGTAATCACAATGAAATAAGATACACCATGTAAAAATTAACATTACTATCAGAGCAATTGCCTTTGGAGAAATAAGCACTACCAAAAATACATAGGAACACTTCAAATTGAAGAAGATATTAGGAATAAATAACAATTCTAAATTTGTGTGTACCTAATTACATGACTTCAATATATATCAAGCCAAAATTGGTAAAATTAGAGTAAGAGGAAAAATACAAAATTATAATGGGAGAATGTAGCATATCTCCCTCAGCAACCAACAGAAAAAGCAGTTAAATACCAGTATGTGTTTGTGTTCTCTGCTGAAGAAAAAAACATCAGTATGTTTTAGTATGTATACAGAAAATGTGCACAATACAATTAAAGGACTTAATCTGTTGGACTAAGAAGAGTGCCACCTCACAATTTCAAATCTCATATTAATTAATCAAAAGTTAGGCTACAGAGCAAGTCTCAACAACTTAAAAAGCTTGAAATCATACAGAGTGGTCCTATAATACAACTAAACTAAAAGTACAAAATAATAATAATAACCAAAATCCCCACATATTTGAAAGTTAAGAAATATAACTTTTAAGATAAATTATTGAAGGAAAAAAAAGAAATACAACTTTAACACATAAATTCATGAAGAAATAAAAATAAAAATTAGAAAATAGTTTGGACTGGCTGCGCAATAATAAAAACACTACAAATCAAAACTCATGAGATATAAGTGAAACAATGTTTATAGGGAAATTTCTTCTCTTGAATGCATACATTAGAAAAGAAAAAAATGCTGAAATTAACGAACTAACAATCCACTTCAAGAAATTAGAAAAGAAAGACAAAATGGACTCCAAGAAAGTAGAAAATGGAAATAATAAAGAGCAGAAATTAATAAAATATAAAACAAACATAATATAAAAATTAACAAATCTGAAAGTTGGCTAAATGAAAAACTAATGAAATTAATAAAGCCATGGTGAGACTTACAAAGATAAAAATAGAGGACAATTAAACAATATATAAATAGATGAAAAGGAAATATACTCTTATACTTTGTCCTACATAAAAGAAATTAACCTTCTTCTGATACATTTGGAAAATTTTAAATGAAATGGACAAATCTCTAGAGAATTAAACTTTCCAGAAGTTATATAAGAAATACAAATGTAACTAGTTCTATAGCAATCAAGAAATTGAATCTGTCATTAAAAATCTCCTCATAATGAAACCCCAGGTCTAGATGAATTTATCAGCTAATGTAGCCAAATATTTAAGAAAGGCCAGTCTTACATAAAATTTTCTAAGTAGTAGGAAAAAAGGAACATTCTTCAACTTCTTTTATTAAAAAAAAAAAGTAAACTGATTACTAAAACTTGACAAGGACTTTGTAAGAAAGAAAAAATTGCAGATCAGCTTAATCATGAAAATCAATCCAAATTCCAAATAAACTATTAGCCAGCTGAATTTATCCAGCAATACGTAGAAAGGATAATACAACATGACCAAATAGCATGTTTCACAAGGCTGTTGGCAGAAGGTCTCACTTCCTCATCACATAGACGTCCATGAAGGGCCACTTGAGAAAACTCGTGACATGGCAGCTAGTGTCCCCCAAAGAAAGCAAACCAAGAAAGAGCACAAAAAGGAAGCCACGAATGCCTTTTATAACCTAGTCTTGAAATCACACACCATCGCTTCCACTATATTCTCTTCCTTAGAAGCAAGCCGCTAAATCCTGTCTGTACTCAAGAGGAGGAAAATTAAGCTCCATCTTGTAAAGAAAGAGTATCAAGGAATTTGTGGATATACTTTTTAAACATCACAATAGATAACCAAACAGAAAAAGAGATACAAATGAGGAAAAAAATGTTCAATGTCATGCAAATTAAATAAAAATTACCATTTTGATCTTTAAATGGGGAAATCTTAAATTATAATACTCAGTGCTGGAAATGGACATGGTGCAGTAGTCACCATCATAAAATGCTGAAGAAGGTATAAACTTTTACAGCCATTCTAAAGAATAATCTAGCACTATGCATCATGTGATTTGACCCAAGGGGTAGACTTCTTGTTGTCCTCCCAAATTTATCTTCACTGTATAGTAACAGTATGTTCACTAACCATATGGTGCCCAGTTATAAACTATATTACCCAGACTCCTTTATAGCTAGATGTGACCATCTGACTAAGCTGTAAACAATGGAAGATGAGCTGAAGTGATTTTTGCAACCTCCATGTGACTTATTTTAAAGGAAATTGTCTTCTGCTTCTATTCTTTCCATTTTCCTATAGACTGGACTGTGATAAGCTAGTGGCCCAGAACTGATCGGATAAAGACAACCCCCAGAAAATAGAACAACAAGATGGAAGGAATTGAGTCCTTGACTTTCTAGCAAACCAGAGCCGCCCAACTTTCTGGACCACTCAACTCTGGATTGCATTTTGGGGTCTCTTCCCTATAGCAGTTTAGCCCACTCCCTAACTATAGTTTCGCAGACTATATGTTTAGAAAACCAACAAGTAAAAAAATGAAGATGACATTAATTAATCAAACAGCTAATAAAGATGTCTAGAGGTGAGATAAATATGTAATACTCAAGTACATTCAAGTAAAATACTCAAAATTATACTAAAAATATAGTCTGATAGTATAGTAAACATACCAAAAATGGTAAGTTAAAATGCATAAAATACACAAACTAGTATTTTATCAGTTTTATTCAGATCATTTTTCCTAATTATAAAACCATATGCTTCTGTTAAAGAAAACATAAAGTGATAAAAATTATAAATACATTTTTCTAATTTGTTCTTAAATTTAATATAACTCAAATTTAGGTTTTTTCAAGTTTTTAAAAAATAAATGTATATGTATTTGATTTGGTTTTACATAGTATAAGTAATTTTAAATATTTTATTTTGCATCTTCCTTTTTCTTTTCACTAAACAGTATTATGAGCAGTTTTCCATGGCTACATAATCTCCTATCACTTGGTCATATCATAATTTAACAACTTAATAAACAGTGGGTTTCTTCTAATTTTTTCTAAAATATATACTGTTTCATTTTCCATAATTGTGGAGTGCTTCCTTAATTATTATAGCAGATTAAATTTTTAAAAGTTAAATGACTGAGTTGAAGGGCATGAAAACTGTAAATCTGTATGTTATAAAAATTTCCTGCAAAAGGATAACATTAATTTATAATGCTAGCAGCATTTTCTGAGAGTGCCTCCTTTATTGTAGTTTTGCCAACACTGAGTATTAACTTTGTTTCATCATCCCCAATTAATTACAAAATAATAATGTTCATTAATTGATTAAACAAATATTTATCAAGTGTCTATCTAGGAATACAATGGCAAGCAAAAACAGACCTAATCTCTGATTACTTGGTGTGTGTGATTTGGTATAAGAGGTAGATATTGAACAAATCATACACGCTAAAATATTACAAACTGAGATCAATGCACTGAAGGAAATGAGTAGAGTATTACGAGAGTGGCTTGAGATAATGGTCAAAAGACAGCTGGGGAGTTTTGAATACGGGTGACATGATTGGATCTGAATTTTGAAACTTGCCTTCTTAGCTGCAATATAAAGAATGAGGCCGAGTGCTGTGGCTCATACCTGTAATCCCAGCACTTTGGGAGGCCAAGGCAGGTGGATCGCCTGAGGTCAGGCGTTCAAGTCAGCCTGGCCAACATGGTGAAACTCCATCTCTACTAAAAATACAAAAAATTAGCCTGGCATGGTGGCGGGCACCAGCAATCCCAGCTACTCGCAAGGCTGAGGCAGGAGAATCGCTTGAACCCAGGAGGCAGAGGTTGCAGTGAGCTGAGATCACGCCATTGCATTCCAGCCTGGGCAACAAGAGTGAAATTCTGTCTAGAAAAATAGAGAGAATGAATTAGTGAACAATCAGAGTGGATCAGGAGAGACCTGTTCATCAGTTATTGCAAAAAAAAGAGAAAATCATAGTTTCTTTTTTTTATTTTTTGTAAATGGTAGTTTCAACTCCAGTTGCAATGCTCTAGTTGAAACTACCATTGCAGTAAGTTGAGAAGTTCCGAAATATGTCAATGGTATTTGAATCTGAATATGTCTGATAATTAGTAAGATTGAACACTTTTCTGAGTGTTTGTTAGCATTTTATGTTTTGTGCCTACATATGTGTGAGAATGAGACAGTGAGAGACTGAGAGAGAAAGAGATGGAGAGGGATATTAGGCTAGTCTTGTTTTTTGGTTTTGGTTTTTGCTTACTTTCAATTGAAGTTTTCAGCATTTCCTTGATTAATTGTGAAAGTCCTTTATACGTGACTGTATTTCCATTATAATTCTCCAAACAATTTAAAAAATCCTAGTGGTTTACAATTGCAAGCATCATTTCTTCTTTATAGTCCTATAGAATGGTGGGGGACCTCTGCTTCGAGCTTACATGGAGACAGGTCTGCTCCACGTCTCTCAATCTGGGACCAGTGTCTTCTCAGGACACGCTCATCCCAAGACAGATGGCAGAAGCATAAGAGACCAAAGCAAACTATGCAAGCATATGTAATGCCTCTGTTTTTATCATATCTGCTAACTTTCCATTGGCTAAAGCAAGTCCTGAGGCCAATTATAACATCAAAAGAGCCGATATGTTTATGCCACATATTTTACTTGGAGGCTTTGCCAAGTCACATGATAAACTAGGCAATTTGTAATTCTCTTACAGAGAGAATGTAAGGAGTTAGCAACAATGATATGATCTACCAAGGGACATTTATCTTTTTTTTTTTTTTGAGACAGGATCTCGCTCTGCTGCCCAGGTTGGAGCACAGTGACATGATCATAGCTCACTGCAGCCTCAACCTCCCAGGCTCAAATGATCCTCCCACCTCAGCCTCCCAAGTAGCTGGGACGATAGGCACATGCCACCACACCTGGCTTTTTTTTTTTTTTTTTTTTTTGTCTATTTTTTGTACAGACAGGGTTTTGCCATGTTATCCAGGCTGGTAACAAACCCCTGGGCTCAAGCAATCCTCTCACCTAGGCCTCCCAAAGTGCTGGGATTACAGGCATGAGCCATGAGACCCAGACTATCATTTGTTCTTTATATATGTATCAATATTTTTTCCCAGGATTTTGCCATCAATTTTTTATTCTATTCAAAAATTTCATGTAATAAAAGTTATAGTTGCTTCCTTTGCATTTTTTTGTATTATCTGCAGGTTTAGGAAATCCTTGCCTATTTTAAGCTCTGAAAAATATTTGCTTAATTTTTTTAGTAGTTTCTATCATTTCTTTTCCTATACATAGCTATTTAATTCATCTGAAGTTTATTTGGAGTATGTGATATAAACGTCTGATTCCCATTTTCCTTAATAGTTAATTAATCACCTAAAATTAAAAAAAAAAAATTTTAAGAGATGAGGTCTTGTCCCGTCACCCAGCCTGGAGTACACTGGTGCAATCATAGCTCACTTCAGCCTCAAACTACAGGGCTCAAGTGATCCTCCCACCTCAGCCTGCTGAGTTGCTGGGATTACAGGCATGAGCCACTATGCCTTGCTAATTGCCTAAAAATATGTTAATAAACCTTTCTGTGTACAATATGAAGAAGACTACTTTGTTGAAGGCTGTTAATGAAGCAAAATTTCAATAAATGAATAAATGTGGCATATATCTAGACAAGAAAGTTAAATGTTATAAAGTTTTCCATTCCTAGATAATTGCTGTGCATTGTAGACAGAAGACCATTGAAAAAAAGAAAAAAGCAAAAAAAATGCTATGTAAATGCAATGAAATATCAACAGAATATTTTTAATCTGACAGAAAATAATAGAATATGTTTGGAAGAATAAACAATGAAGGATAAGTTATGAAAAGTGGTAAACTAAATATTACGAATGACAATTATTAAATATGTTTTTGGTGGCAAGAATAGAAAGACCAGTAGAATAAAATAATCCAAAACCTATAAAAATTAAATGTATCACAAAGAAAACAAACCAAATCAGTAGCAAAAAAAGATTAATTTTTGAAATAAGAGGCAAATTTCTTTAGGGAAAATATTTGCTTAATACATTTTGCTCATTATCCTTCTGGGATCAATAATAATAGTAAAATTACAGCCACATATCCTTTGTATACCAACATAAATTCCAGACAAACTAAAGTTTTAAATACATACTCAGAAATTAAGCAATGAAAATAGAAAATGTTAGGAGAATGCTTGCATAAGTTCAGACCTGGGAGTCTTTTTTTTTTTTTTTTGAGAGGGAGTCTCGCTTTGTCACCCAGGCTGGAGTGCAGTGGTGCAATCTCGGCTCACTGCAAGCTCCGCCTCCCGGGTTCACGCCATTCTCCTGCCTCAGCCTCCCGAGGAGCTGGGAACTACAGGCGCCCGCCACCACGCTCGGCTAATTTTTTGTATTTTTAGTAGAGACGGGGTTTCACCGTGTTAGCCAGGATGGTCTCGACCTCTTGACCTTGTGATCTGCCCGCCTCGGCCTCCCAAAGTGCTGGGATTACAGGCCTGAGCCACCGCGCCCTGCCCGTCATTCTTAAGGAAAAGCGAAACCTACATAACAAACCACTAAGAAATGTAATTACATAAAAATTTAAAATGTCTGTGTGGCAAACACATAACCTCCAGGGACAAGTAATACATTGGGTTTTAAAAAATGGCAATGTATATGACAAAAGGTTAAAAACCTTTGTATATATAGAGCTTGTAAAAATAGGTTTAAAAACAGTAACAACAACAACTTCAATAGGGATAAATAACAAAAGGCCTAAATTCAAGATATGACATCACAAAATTTTAGAACATCAGGAATAAAAAATATTTTATAAGTGAAAGGATCAGGATTCAGGAGAGTATCGACTACAACAATGAAAGCCCGAAGATAATGTTGTAATGTTTCAAAAATTCTGAAGAAAAAATAATCTCCAACCCAGAAGCTATATGGAGCTAAAACAATTAATAAAGTCTGCAGGCTCCTTAAAGACATCTTCAAAATTACATTCTTAAGTCAACCACTATGAAGTTTTTGATGAAAATAAGATAGTATCTTCAAGATCTTCAATAGATAAATATTGTTTGTTCAGAACACAAAAAGCACTAACCCTTTAAAACGTGAAAAATTAGACTTCACCAAAATTTAAAAGGTATGCTCATAAGTAGTTATTATTAAAATTAACTGACAAGCCACAACTTGGGAGAAAATATTTGCACACGTATATCTGGCAGAGGTATTGCTTCCAAAATGAGAGGTAACAGCATGCTGGCAGTCCTCACAGCCCTCGCTCGCTCTCCGCGCCTCCTCTGCCTGGGCTCCCACTTTGGCGGCACTTGAGGAGCCCTTCAGCCCACCGCTGCACTGTGGGAGCCCCTTTCTAGGCTGGCCAAGGCGGGAGCCGGCTCCCTCAGCTTGCAGGGAGGTGTGGAGGGAGAGGCGCGAGCGGGAACCGGGGCTGCGCGCGGCGCTTGCGGGCCAGCTGGAGTTCCGGGTGGGCGTGGGCTTGGCGGGCCCCGCCGTCGTAGCAGCCGGTCGGCCCTGCCGGCCCCGGGCAATGAGGGGCTTAGCACCCGGGCCAGCAGCTGCGGAGGGTGTACTGGGTCCCCCAGCAGTGCCAGCCCACTGGCGCTGCGCTCGATTTCTCGCCGGGCCTTAGCTGCCTTCCCGCGGGGCAGGACTCGGGACCTGCAGCCCGCCATGCCTGAGCCTCCCACCCCCTCCGTGGGCTCCTGTGCGGCCCGAGCCTCCCCGATGAGCGCCGCCCCCTGCTCCACGGCGCCTAGTCCCATCGACCACCCAAGGGCTGAGAAGTGCGGGTGCACAGCGCGGGACTGGCAGGCAGCTCCACCTGCAGCCCCGGTGCGGGATCCACCGGGTGAAGCCAGCTGGGCTTCTGAGTCTGGTGGGGAGGTGGAGAACCTTTATGTCTAGCTCAGGGATTGTAAATACACCAATTAGCACCCTGTGTCTAGCTCAGCGCTTGTGAATGCACCAATGGACACTCTGTATCTAGCTACTCTGGTGAGGCCTTGGAGAACTTTTATGTCTAGCTCAGGGATTGTAAATACACCAATCAGCACTCTGTATCTAGCTCAAGGTTTGTAAACACACCAATCAGCACCCTGTGTCTAGCTCAGGGTTTGTGAATGCACCAATGGACACTCTGTATCTAGCTACTCTGGTGGGGACTTGGAGAACCTTTGTGTGGACACTCTGTATCTAGCTAATCTAGTGGGGACCTGGAGAACCTTTGTGTCTAGCTCAGGGATTGTAAACGCACCAATCAGTGCCCTGTGAAAACAGACCACTCCACTCTACCAATCAGCAGGATGTGGGTGGGGGCCAGATAAGAGGATAAAAGCAGGCTGCCGGAGCTGGCAGTGGCAACCAGCTCGGGTCCCTTTCCACACCGTGGAAGCTTTGTTCTTTCGCTCTTTGCAATAAATCTTGCTACTGCTTTCTCTTTGGGTCCACACTGCATTTATGAGCTGCAACACTTACTGCGAAGGTCTGCAGCTTCACTCCTTAAGCCAGCGAGACCATGAGCCCACCGGGAGGAAGAATAACTCCAGATGCACCACCTTAAGAGCTGTAACACTCACCGTGAAGGTCTGCAGCTTCACTCCTGAGCCAGGGAGACCACAAACCCACCAGAAGGAAGAAACTCCGAACACATCCGAACATCAGAAGGAACAAACTCCAGGCGTGCCACCTTAAGAGCTGTAACGCTCACCGTGAGGGGCCGCAGCTTCATTCTTGAAGTCAGTGAGGCCAAGAACCCACCAATTCCGGACACAAAAATATATGAATAATTCCTAAAACTTAATAACAAACAGTTTAATAAAGAGTAGACAAAAAGCTTGAATAAATACATGAAATAGTGCTGAACATCAGTACTCATCAGGAAAAACAAACCAAAACCACAACAAGACACTTTTCACTAAAACAGCTAAAATGAAAAAATAATAATAAATATTGGAGAGGATTTGGAGCCACTGGAACTCTTAGATATTGCTAATTGGAGTGTAAAATAGTACAGTCACAACCGGGTGTGGTGGCTCATGCCTGTAATTCCAGCACTTGGGAGGCCGAGGAGAGTAGATCTCTTGAGGCCAGGAGTTCAAGACCAGGCTGGCCAACATGGTGAAATCCCATCTCTACTAAAAATACAAAAAAAATAGCCAGTTGTGGTGGCACGCACCTGTAATTCCAGCTACTTGGGAGGCTGAGGTGAGAGAATTGCTTGAACCCAGGAGGTGGAGGTTGCAGTGAGCCAAGATCACACCTCTGCACTCCGACCTGAGTGACAGAGCAAGACTCCATCCCCACCAAAAATAAAAGTACAGCCACTTTGGAAAATAGTTTGGTAATTTCTTTAAAAGGTTAATGTGCATCTGTTTTATGACCTACCAATTCCATTTCCAGGTATCCAAAAGAAATAAACAAAAATTAGAAGCAAAATGGCTGGGCTCAATAGCAGAAAGGAGGGTACGAAAGAAAGAATCAGGCCTGGCGCAGTGGCTAATGCCTGTAATCCTAGCACTTGGGAGGCTGAGGAGAGCAGATCACTTGAGGCCAGGAGTTCAAGACCAGCCTGGACAACATGGTGAAACTCTGTCTCTACTCAAAATACAAAAATTAGCCAGGTGTAGTGGCATATGCCTGTAATCCCAGCTACTCAGGAGGCTGAGGCAGGAGAGTCACTTGAACCTGGGAGGCAAAGTTTGCAGTGAGCCAAAATTGCGCCACTGCACTCCAGCCTGGGTGACAGAGGGAGACTTCAACTAAAAAAAAAAAAAGGTAGGGCAAAAGGCCAGGTACAGTGGCTCACGCCTGTAATCCCAGCACTTTGGGAGACCAAGGCCAGAGGATCGCTTGAGTCCAGGAGTTTGAAACCAGCCTGGGCAACATAGCGAGACCCTGTCTCTATAAAAATAAAAAGAAGGCAGGGTGCGGTGGCTCATGCCTGTAATCCCAGCACTTTGGGAGGCCAAGGCGGGCGATCACCTGAGGTCAGGATTTCAAGACCAGCCTGGCCAACATGGTGAAATCCCTCTCTATTAAAAATACAAAATTAGCTGGGTGTGGTGGCAGGCGCCTTTAATCCCAGCTACTTGGGAGGCTGAGGCAGGAGAATCGCTTGAACCCAGGAGGCAGAGGTTGCAGTGAGCTGAGACTACGCCATTGCACTTCAGCCTGGGCAACAAGAGTGAAACTCCGTCTCAAAAAACGAAACAAAACAAAACAAGCAGAAGAAAGAATTGGTAAACTTGAGGAAAGAATGCAATAGAAAATACCAAATCTGAACAACAAGGAGGGAGGAAATAGAAAAAAATAAAAAGCACCTGAGGCACCTGCGGGCCTTAAGAAGTTCTAACGTTCATGTAATCTGTGTACTAAAAGGAGAGGAGAAAAAGAGTGATGCTTGAAAATTACCTTAAGAAACAATGGCTGAGGCAGGGTTCAGTGGTTCATGGCTGTAATCCCAGCACTTTGGGAGGCCGAGGCAGGTGGATCACTTGAGGTCAGGAGTTCAAGACCAGCCTGGCCAACATGGCGAAACCCCATGTCTACTAAAAATTCAAAAATTAGCCAGGCATGGTGGTATGCACCTGTAGTCCCAGCTACTCAGGAGACTGAGGCAAGGGAATGACTTGAACCTGGGAGACAGGATTGCAGTGAGCTGAGATCGCGACACTGCACTCCAGCCTGGGCGACAGACTCTATCTCAAAAAAAAAAAAAAGTATGCACTATATGCAAAATACATAAACCTACATATTCAAGAAGCTGAGCTAACCTGAAACAGGCTAAGCCCAAATAAATTTACTCCAAGAGATATAATAATTAAACTTCCAAGAAATATCAAAGATAAAGAAAAAATTTTCAAAGCAGCCAGGGGAAAACAATACCTTACCTACAGAGGAAAACGATTTTAATGACAGTGGATTTCTCATCAGAAACCATGTGAACCCAAAAGAAGTGACACAGTATTTTTCAGGTGCTGAAAGAGAAAATCCTGTCAACCCAGTGAAAATATCTTTTAGGAATGAAAAGGAAATTAACACATTCTCACATGAAAGAAAACTAAGAGGATTTGTTATCAGTAGACCTACCCTAAAAGAAATGACTAAAGGAGGTTCTCTAATTAGAAAGGAAACAATAAAAGAAAGAATCTTGGGACATCATATAGCAAGAAAAAACACAATAAGCAAAAATACAGCTAAATACTAGAGACTTTCCTTCTCTTGAGTTTTCGAAACTTGTTTGATGGCTGAAGTAATCTTTGTAACGTTAACAGACGTGATTTTAAATATATGTAGACGAAATTCCTAGAAATTATGTTATAAATGGAAGAGGGTAGAAGGACATAAAGAAAGGTAAGAGGCCGGGCGCAGTGGCTCACGCCTGTAATCCCAGCACTTTGGGAGGCCGAGACGGGCGGGTCACGAGGTCAGGAGATCGAGACCATCCTGGCTAACATGGTGAAACCCTGTTTCTACTAAAAATACAAAAAAAAAAAAAATTAGCCAGGCGTGTTGGCGGGCGCCTGTAGTCCCAGCTACTTGGGAGGCTGAGGCAGGAGAATGGCGTGAACCCGGGAGGCGGAGCTTGCAGTGAGCTGAGATTGCGCCACTGCACTCCAACCTGGGGGACACAGCGAGACTCCGTCTCACACACACACACACACACACACACACACAAAAAGGTAAGATTATTATTATTTTTGTGTGTGTGTGAGATGGAGTCTTGCTCTGTCACCCAGGCTGGAGTGCAGTGGCACGATCTCGGCTCACTGCAACCTCTGCCTCCCGGGTTCAAGCAATTATCTGCCTCAGCCTCCCGAGTAGCTGGGATTACAGGTGCCTGCCACCACACTCAGCTACTTTTTGTATTTTTAGTAGGGATGGGGTTTCACCATCTTGGCCAGGCTGGTCTTGAACTCCTGACATCATGATCCACCTGCCTCGGCCTCCCAAAGTGCTGGGATTACAGGCATGAGCCACCGTGCCTGGCCAGGTAAGGTTATTCTTATTCATGTTATTCAAAATGGTAAAATGACAACAGTAAACTATGATAAGTTATGTATGTAAAATGTAATTCTTATAGCAACCACTGTAAAAGCTATACAAAGAGAAGGCTGGGCGCGGTGGCTCACGCCTGTAATCCCAGCACTTTGGGAGGTCGAAGCAGGTGGATCACGAGGTCAGGAGATCAAGATCATCCTGGCTAACACGGTGAAACCCCATCTCTACTATAAATACAAAAAATTAGCCAGGCTTGGTGACAGGTGGCTGTAGTCCCAGCTACTCAGGAGAATGAGTGAATGAGGCAGGAGAATGGCGTGAACCCAGGAGCCAGAGCTTGCAGTGACTGGAGATCGTGCCACTGCACTCCAGCCTGGGCAACAGAGTGAGACTCTGTCTCAAAAAAAAAGAAAAAGCTATACAAAGAGATAAACTTAAGTTTTAAAAAAAAGACAGTAGCTCAATTAAAATGGAAATCTTAAGGATATTCACATAACCCATGTGAAGGCAGGAAAAAGGAAACAGACAAATGAAAAACAGAGAGAAGCTGGGCACAGTGACTCATGCCTTTAATCCCAGCACTTTGGGAGGCTGAGGCGGGCGGACCACTTGAGATCAGGAGGTCGAGACCAGCCTGGCCAACATGACAAAACTCTGTCTCTACTAAAAATACAATAATTAGCCAGGCATAGTGGCACATGCCTGTAATCCCAGCTGCTTGGAAGGCTGAGGCAGGAGAATCGCTTGAACCTGGGAAGTGGAGGTTTCAGTGAGCCAAGGTTGCACCAATGCACTCCAGCCTGGTCAACAGAGCAAGACTCTGTCTCAAAAAAAAAGAAAAGAAAGAAAAACAGAAAGAACAAATAAGAAAACAAAAAATAGAATGACAAACTGAAGCCCTAATACATCAATAATTACATTAAATGTAAATGGTCTAAATATACCAATTAAAAGACAGATATTGGCAGAATGATTTTTAAAACATGACCCAATCCTATGCTGTCTATAAGAAACTCACTTCAAACATAACAATATAGAAAGATTGAAACTAAAAAGATGGAAAAATATATACCATGCAAACACTAATTTAAGGAAAATAGGACTGACTATATTAATTTCAGATAAAGTAGACTTCAGAGCAAAAAAAAAAAAAACTGGTTACTAGAGACAGAAGGGGACATTATATAATGATGAAAAAGATTAATCCCCAAAAAGACATAGCAATCCTAAATCTAAATGCATCAAACAACAGACTCCAAAGAAGCAAAAACTGATAGAACTGAAGTAACAGACAAATCCATGATTATAACTAGCAGGTACAACACACCTCTCCCAAAATTTGATAGGACAACTAGACAAAAAGTGAGCAAGAATATATTTTAAAAAAATCAACAACATAGGCCAGGTGCAGTGGCTCACACCTATAATCCAAGCACTTTGGGAGGCAGAAGCAGGCAGATCTCTTGATGCCAGGAGCTCAAGACCAGCCTGGCCAACATGGTGAAACCCCGTCTCTACTAGAAGTATAAAAATTAGCTAGGTATGGTGCCGCACACCTGTAATCCCAGCTACTCAGGTTGCTGAGGGATGAGAATTGCTTGAACCTGGGAGGTGGAGGTTGCAGTGAGCCAAGATTGTGCCACTGCACTCCAGCCTGGGTGACACGTGAGACTCTGTCTCTAAAAGAAAAAAGGAAAGTTGCAAAATCAACATCAACCAACAAGATCTAAACATTATAGAGCACATTATAGCAGAATACGAATACTTTTCAAGTGCTCACAGAACATATACCATAAGATAGCCCTTATCCTGGGCCATAAAACAAACCTCCAAACATTTAAAAGAATTGCAATCATACAGTGTGCTCTCTGACAATAATGGAATCAAACTAGAAATCAGTAACAGAATGATAAAAGGAAAACTTGCAAACACTTAAAAACCAAACAACACACTTTTAAAAAAGACATGAGGTCAAAGAGGATCAAAGAGGAGGTTCAGGGGAATTTTTTTTAAGTATATTGAAATGAATGAAAATGAGAATACAGCATATGAAAATTTGCGCTAAAGCAGTGTTAAGAGAGAAATTTATTTAATGTATGCACTAAATGCATACATTTAAGAAGACAGAAACATTACAAATCAATAATCTAAGCTCCCAACTCAAAAACTTAGAGTAAGTAGAGCAAAATAAACCCAAAGCAAACAGAAAAAAGAAAATAATAAAGATTTATCAAGCGGAGTCCCATGGATGGAAAAAAAAAGATTTAAATTGTTTTTAAAAAAAGAAAATAATAAAGATAAAAGAAGAAATTAATGAAATGGAAAGCAGAAAAACAAGAGAAAATTGATTTTAAAAATAACTGGTTAATTGAAAAAAGCTGTAAAATCTCTAGCAAGATTAACAAAGAATAAAAGAGGACAGAAATTGCTAACTTAGGAAGTAAACAGAGTATATCACTAAAGACTACGCAGAAATCAAAGGAGTAATAAGGGAATATTAAGAATAACACTATACACATATATTTGACAACTTAGACCAAAAAATGATTTGTTTTTTTTTTTTTTTTTTGAGGTCTCACTCTGCCACCCAGGCTGGAGTGCAGTCGTGCAAACATAATTCACTGCAGCCTTGAACTCCCAGGCTCAAGTGATCCTCCCTCCTCAGTCTCCCAAATAGCTGAGACTACAACCGTGGACCACCATACCTGGCTAATTTTTGTATTTTTTTTGTAGAGACAGGGTCTCTCCATATTGCCCAGGCTTGTCTCAAACTCCTGGGCTCAAGCAATCCACCAACCTCAGCCTCCCAAAGTGCTGGGATTACAGGCATGAGCCACCACACTCTGCCAAAATGGACCTTTTTTTTTTTTTTCAATTAAAGACACTACAAATCGCTCAATATGAAATAGATGATATGAATAGCCGTATAACTATTAAGAAAGTTTAATTCATAATTTTAAAACTCCCAAAAAAGAAATATCCAGACACAGATGGTTTCACTGGAAATTCCAATCTTGTGCATCCCCAAGAGAAACGAAAATTTATTTTCACACAAAAACCTGTACATGAATGTTTATAGCAGGTTTATCCATAATAGCCAAAACTGGAAACAACTCAGCTGTCTTTAACGAATAAATGGTTAAACAAACTGCAGTATATTCATATCATGGAATACTTCTCAGCAATTTGAAGAAACCAACTACGGATGCACACAATATTTTGAATGAATATCCAGAGAATTATATTCAGTGAAAAAGAAGCCAAACCAAAATGTTACATACTATATTATTTCATTTATGTAACATTCTTCAAAAGACAATACTTTAGAAATAGAGAAAAAATAGTAATTGCCAGGGGTTAGGGATACGGAGGGAGTAGGAGGGAAGTGGGTGTATCTATAAAATAACAACATGAAAGATTCCTGTGGTGATAGAAATGTTCGGTATCTTGACTGTATTAATATCAGTATCTTTGTTGTGATTATTGTACTATGGTTTTGCAAGACAGTACCATTGGGAAAAACTGGGTAAAATTTACACAGAATCTCTGTATTATTTCTTATAATTGCCTGTAAATCTGTCTAAAATTGTCTCAAAATGAAAAGGTTAATTTGTTTAAATGTACATAACTTATAATTCCACTTACATGAAGCTTTAGAATAGGTAAAATTAGCCTATGGTGATATAAATCACATCAATTATTGTGGATGGGAGAGATTAATGGACTGGGAAGAGGCACAAGGGAACTTTCTGTTTTTCAGGAAAAACAAATGAATATTGGTAATAACAATTTATTTATGAGCTTTGTGGCATTTTATCTTTCCCTAGACCCATCCCTCACTCCCCAGTTAAGCAATATCCTTAAGAATAATATACCATATACTTGGTAATATAAAGAACAGACAGACCTCACTTGAAAAGAATTCTCTTTATTCGATCTGTCTGATGGCTTCCTGAAAGACCCACTCAAAAGGCTTATCTTTATTTTGCCTAATTTGGTAACTAAATGCTAAATCCACTACCCAAAGGCCATTTGTCAAAAATATTTCCAGGCAAATATTTTAGTTGCTGCTGCCTGAGACAATGGATAACATTTGTAGCAAACCACACACTAACCAAAATCTTGAGAAGAAAGGCAGGGGAATGAGATTTACGTATGGGCTTTGATTACTCCTGGAAATCTAAAAGGCCACATGCCACTCAGGGCAATGTACATACTCAGCAAAGACCAGAGAAAGCCCTAAGACCTTATCTCTGAATGACGTCATGGCTCTGCGCAAGCAGGAAGTGAAGGCAAATGCAGAGTTATCAATTGCCTGGCTGAGTGTTGGAAGGCATGCCCCAAAACATACACGTGGCCCTTCCACAAAGTCTGGAAGATTTTTAAATTCCATGCCTCTAAGGCAACTGTTCTCTCATTAGCTGACCACTAAGCTAATAGAATAGAGACAGCATTGGCCACACATAACAGAAAACACAGACTGTATAGACTTGGTTTAGTAAAGTCACTAAACAAAACAACTACAACTGCAACAAGCAGCACCAAAAATAAACCTTGAGAAGGAGGTAGAATCTGATTTCCAGAGTTGCCACATTATATTATTCAAAATATCCAGCTTTCAACAAAGAAAAACAATGATGAGGCGTTCAAAGGAACAGGAAGGTATGGCTCACAAACAGGAAAAAAAAAAAAAAGAAATCAGTAAAAATTGTGGAAAAGAAAGTCTGGCCCATATACAGAAAAAAAAAAATCAGTAAAAATTATATCTGAGAAAACCCAGCCAGGCGCAGTGGCTCACACCTGTAATCCCAGCACTTTGGGAAGCTGAGGCAGGCGGATCACGAGGTCAGGAGATCGAGACCATCCTGGCTAACACGGTGAACCCCCGTCTCTACTAAAAATACAAAAATTAGCCAGGTGTGGTGGTGCGTGCCTGTAGTCCCAGCTACTCAGGAGGCTGAGGCAGGAGAATGGCGTGAACCCAGGAGGCAGAGCTTGCAGTGAGCTGAGATCGTGCCACTGCACTCCAGCCTGGGCAACAGAGCAAGACTCCTTCTCAAAAAAAAAAAAAGAAAACCCAAATGCTGGGTTTCCTAGCCAAGGAACTTAAACCAGCTATTTTAAATATGTTCAAAGAGCTAAAGGAAACCGTGTCTAAAAAACTAAAAGTATAATGATGCCTGATAAAATAGAGAATATCACTAAAGAGATACAAATTATTTAAGAAATAAACAAAGTTGAAAATGTGATAACTGAAGTGAAAATTTCATTAGAAAGACTCATCAGCATATTCAGGCAGGAAGAAGGAAGATTCCATGAACTTTAAGGTAGATCAGTTAATATTATCTTGTTTAAGGAACAGAAAGAATAAAGAAGATTGAACAGAGCCTCAGAGATCTGTGGTACATCATCAGGCATCCCAATATATGTAAAATATAAGTTCCAGGAAAGAGAAAAGAAAGATAAAGACAGAATGTTTAAATAAATAATGGTTGAAAACTTCCCACATTTTATATAAGACATAAATCTACACATCCAAGAACTTCAACAAACTCCAAGTAGGATAAACTCAAAGAAATTCCCATCAAGACACATCGTAAACTGCCAAAAGACAAAGACAAAGAGAGGATCTTGAAAGCAGCAAGAAAGTGATTCAACATATAACAAAGGGTCCTCAATAAGGTTAATGGCTGATTTGTTATCAGAAATCATTTAAGTCAGAAGGCAAGGGATAATATTGAAAGGGCTGAAAGAAAAAACTGTCGGCCGGGCGCGGTGGCTCACGCCTGTAATCCCAGCACTTTGGGAGGCTGAGGCGGGTGGATCACCAGAGGTCAGGAGTTTGAGACCAGCCTGGCCAACATGGTGAAATGCCATCTCTATTAAAAATACAAAAAAAAATTGGCCAGGCGTGGTGGCACGTGCCTGTAATCCCAGCTACTGAGGAGGCTGAGGCAGGGGAATTGCCTGAACCTGGGAGGCAGAGGTTGTAGTGAGCTGAGATTGCGCCACTGCCCTCCAGCCTGGGTGACAGTGCGAGACTCTGTCTCAGAAAAAAAGAAAAAGAAAAAACTGTCAAACCAGAATTCTATATGTTGCAAACTCTCTCAAAAATAAAGGAGAGGCTTGGCGCGGTGGCTCACATCTTTAATCCCAGCACTTTAGGTCAGGAGTTTGAGACCACCCTGGCCAACATGGTGAAACCCTGTCTCTATTAAAAATACAAAAATTAGTTGGGCATTGCAGCACACACCTGTAATCCCAGCTACTCGGGAGGCTGAGGCAGGAGAATTGCTTTGAACTCAGGAGGCAGAGGTTGCAGTGAGCCGAGATTGCACCACTGGACTCCAGCCTGGGCGACAGAGCAAGATTCCATTCAAAAAACAAAAAAAGTAGAAGGCCAGGCGTTGTGTCTCATGCCTGTAATCCCAGCACTTTGGGAGGCCAAGGCAAGAGGATTGCTTGATCTCAGGAGTTCAAGACCAGCCTGGGCAACATAGCAAGACTTTATCTCTACTAAAAATCAAAATGTGGCCAGGAGTGGTGGTACATGCCTGTAGTCTTAGCTACTTAGGAGTCTGAGGTGGGGGGATCACTTGAGCCTGAGCCTGGGAGATCAAGGCTGTAGTGAGCTTGATCACACCACTGCACTCCAGCCTGGGCGACAGAGACTCTGTCTCAGGAAAAAAAAAAAAGGGAGAAGTTAAGACATTCCCAGACAGACAAAAACTCAGGGAGTTCATTGCTAGTAGACCTCTCCTACAAAAAATGCTAAAGGTAGTCCCTTCGTGCTGAAGTTAAAGGACACTAGACAGTAACTTTGAATTCACATTTTAAATGAAGAACACCAGTAAAGGTAATGATGTAGGTAAACATAAATGACAGTATGAATGTACTTTTTTGTTTGTAACTCCTGTTTTTCTATATGATTTTTAAAATAACTGTATAATGCAATAATTATAAATCTAGATTAATGGCCACACAATGTACAAACGTAATTTGTGGCAATAATACTATAAAGAGGAAAGTAAATGGAGACATAGAGGAGCAACATTTTTGTAAATTATTGGAACTAAGTTGGTATTAATCTAAATCAGATTGTTATAAATTAAAATGTTAATTATAATCCCAGGGGTGATCATTAAGAAATAACTCAAAAAAGAGAAAAAAAAACATTAGTGAAGGAACCAAAAAGAGAATTAAAATGGTCCACTACAAAATACCTTTTTAACACAAAAGAAGCCAGTAATGGAGGAATTGAAAGGGAATAATGGATATGAGACATTAAAAAATAGTGAAATAGGAGCATTAAGTCCTCCCTTATCAGTAATTACATTAAATGAAAACAGATTAAACTCTCCAATTAAAAGATATAGATTGGCAGAACAGATTTTTTTAAATGGTCCCACTACATGCTGCTTATAAGAGACTCACTGTAGATTCAAAGACTCAAAGAAATTAAAAGTAAAAGATTTAAAAAAAAAAAAAAGATATTCCATACTAACAGAAACCGAAAAAGAATTGGAGTGGCTACACTAATGAGACAATACACCTTAAAACAAAAAAGATTATGAGAAACAAAAAGGATATTATATGATAAAATGGTTCATCCATCAAAAAATAATAGTTATAAACATATATGCAGTTTACAATGGAGCCCTAAAATACATGAAGCAAAAACTGACAGAACTGAAGGAAGAAATAGACAATGCAAGGACAGTAGTTGGAGACGTCAGTAGCCCACTTTCAATAACTGATAAAGCAACTGAAAAAAATATCAGCAAGGAAATAGAAGAATTGAGAAACACTATAAACCAACTAGACTAACAGCCTTCTATAGAACAGTCTGCCTAACAACAGCACAATACACATTTTTCTCAACTGCACCTGGAACATTTTCTAAGATAGTATGTTAGGACATGAAACAAATCTCATTAAATTTTAAAAGATTGATATCATAAAAAGTATGTTCTTTGAAACCAATGGAATGAAATCAGAAATCAGTAACAGAGGAAATTTGGAAAATTCACAAATATATGGAAATTAAGAACATATTCCTAAATAACTAATGGGTCAAAAAAAAATCACTAGGGAAATTTATGGGATGCAGTGAAATCATTGCTCAAGAAGAAATGTATAGCTGTAAATGCCTGCATTATAAAAGAAGAAAGACCTCAAATAAATAACTAAATTTTTTATTTTCTTTTTTTGAGACAGGGTCTCACTCTGTTTCCCAGACCGGAGTGCAGTGGTGGCAACATGGCTCACTGCAGCCTAGACATCCCAGGCTCAAGCCACCCTCCTTATGCAGCATCCCAAATAGCTGGGACTACAGGTGCATGCTACCACATCCAGCTAATTTTTGTATTTTTTGTAGAGATGCAGTTTTACCATGTTTCCCAGTCTGGTCTTGAACTCCTGAGCTCAAGCAATCCACCTGCCTCAGCCTCCCAAAGTGCTGAGATTACAGGGGTGACCCACCACACCCAGCCTAATCTTTAAGCTTAAGAAACTAGACCCCAGGCACGGTGGCTCATGCCTTTAATCCCAGCACTTTGGGTAGCCGAGGTGGGTGGATCATGAGGCCAGGAGTTCGAGACCAGCCTGGCTAACATGGTAAAACCCCATCTCTACTAAAACTACAAAAATTAGCCGGGTGTGGTGACACACGGCTATAATCCCAGCTACTCAGGAGGCCGAGGCAGGAGAATCGCTTGAACCCAGGAGGCAGAGGTTGCAGTGAGCCGAGACTGTGCTACTACACTCCAGCCTGGGCAACAATAGCAAAATTCCATCTCAAAAAAAAAAAAAAAAGGAAACTAGAAAAAGAGAAGCAAACTAAATCCAGAGAAAGAAGGAAATAATAAAGAGTACAGCAGAGATAACCAAAATAGCAAATATATAAATAATAAAGAAAATCAGCAAAGCCTAAAATTAGTTCTTTGAAAAGATCAACAAAGTTGTCAAACCTTTAGTTAAACTGACAAGTGAAAAAGAGGAGACTGAAATTACTAAAATCAAGAATGAAAGAGGGGACTTCACTACTAATCTTATAAAAATAGAAAGATCATAAAGGAATATTATGAGCAATTGCATACCAACAAATTAGTTGATCTAGGTGAAATGAACAAATTCTTAGAAACACACGAACTATCGAAACTGACTCTTGAAGAAATAGAAAATCTGAGCAGAACTATACTAAATAAACAGATAGAGTCATCAATTGAAAAACTTCCAACAAAGAAAAGCTCAATCCCAGAGTGTTTCACTGGTGAATGCTACCAAACCTTTAAAGCAGAATTAGTAGCAATTCTTCTCAAACACTTGCCAAAAATAGAGGAGGAAGAATCACTTCCCGACTTACTCTATGAGGCCACTGTTACCCTGATACTAAAGCCAGGCAAAGACATCACAAGAGAAAAAAGCTACAGACCAATATCCCTTATTACTACAGATGCAAAATCATCAACAAAATAATAGCAAACTGAATCCAGCAGCATATTGAACGGACTATACACCACAATCAAATGGAATTTATTCCCCAAATGCAAAGATGGTTCAATATGAAAATCAATCAATGTAATACACCATATTAATAGAATAAAGGAAAAACTAAATGTGATGATCTCAATAAACACAGAAAAGGCATTCATCAAAACCCAGCAGACTTTTATGTTAAAAAAAACAACAACAACAACAACATTCAACAAACTAGGAATAGAAAGCATCTTCCTTAACCTAATAAAGGGCTTCAATGAAAAACCCATGGCTAACTTCATAGTCAATGGTGAAAGACTAAAAACTTCCTGCTGAGGTTAGAAATAAGATAAGGATGTCCACTCTTGCCACTTCTATTCAACATAGTACTGGAAGTTCTGGATAGGCAATTAGGCATCAAAAAGAAATAGAAGGCATTCATATTAAAAAGGAAGAAGCAAAATATCTTCATTTGCAAATGAAATAATTTTGTATGTAGAAAATCCTGGCCAGGTATTTTGGCTCATGCCTATAATCCCAACACTTTGGGAAGGCAAGGTGGGAGGATTGGTTGAGCCCAGGAGAGAGAAGCCAGCCTTGACAAAACCCTATCTCCACCAAAAAAAATTTTTTTAAATAGCCAGGTGTGGTGGCACACTCCTGTAGTCCCAGCTACTTGGGAGGCTGAGGCAGGAGAATCACTTGAGCCCAGAGGTCGAGGCTGCAGTGAGCTGTAATCATGTCACTGCATTCCAGCCTGGGTGACAGAGTGAGATCCTGTCTCAAAAAAAAAAAAAAAAAGAAGAAGAAGAAGAAGAAAATCTCAAAGAACCCCCCAAAATACAATTAAAGCTAATAAGTGAGTTCCACAAACTTAAAGGATAAAACCTATAATACTTTGTTGTATTTTTATATACTAGCAGTGAAAAACCCAAATACAAAATTAGGAAAACTTCCATTTACAATAGAATCAAAAAGAAACAGGAATAAATTTAACTTGTACATTTAAAAAAAGTGCAATATTTGCACATTGAAAACTATAAAATGTTATTAAAATAAATTCAAAAGACCTAAATAGAAAGCCCTCACATTCATGAACTGGATGATAGTATTGTTAAGATGATAATACTCCCCAAATTGATCTGCAGATTGAATGCAATCCCTAGCAGAATTCCAGCTACCTTTTTACGGAAATGGACAAGATTATCCTAAAATTCATATGGAAATTCAAGGGACCCCAGATAGACAAAACTATTTTGGAATAAAGTAATAAAGTTGGAAGGCTCACACTTTCCAATTTCAAAGCTTGCTACAAATCTACAATCATAAAAATAGTGTGGTATTGGTAAAAAGATAGGCAAATATATCAATGGAACATAACTGAAAGTCCAGAAATAATCTTACTCATTGATAGTCAATTGATTTTCAAGCATGCAAAGAACATTCAATGGGGAAAAGACAGTCTTAACAAATGGTGTTGGGACAACTGAATATCCACATGCTAAAGGATGAATTTGGACTTGATTGATTGATTGATTGATTTTTAATCTTACTTTAATTTCTGGGATACATGTGCAGAACATGCAGGTTTGTTACATAGATATACATGTGCCATGGTGATTTGCTGCACCTATTGACCTGTCCTCTAAGTTCTCTCCCCTCACTCCCCATCCCCCAACATGCCCTGGTGTGTGTTGTTTCCCTCCCTGTGTCCATGTGTTCTCATTGTTCAACTCCCATTTATGAGTGAGAACATGCAGTGTTGGTTTTCTGTTCCTGTGTTAGTTTGCTGAGGATGATGACTTCCAGCTTCATCCACGTCCCTGCAAAGGACATGAACTCATCCTTTTTTATGGTTGCATAGTATTCCCTGGTGTTTATGTGCCACATTTTCTTTATCCAGTCTATCATTGATAGGCATTTTGGTTGGTTCCAAGTCTTTGCTATTGTGAAGAGTGCTGCAATAAACATATGTGCATGTGTCTTTATAGTAGAATGATTTATAATCCTTTGGGTATATACCCAGTAATGGGATTGCTGGGTCAAATGGTATTTCTGGTTCTAGATCCTTGAGGAATCACCACACTGTCTTCCACAACTGTTGAACTAATTTACATTCCCACCGACAGTGTAAAAGTGTTTCTATTTCTACACAGCCTTGCCAGCATCTATTGTTTCTTGACTTTTTAATAATCGCCATTCTGACTGGTGTGAGATGCTATCTCATTGTGATTTTGATTTGCATTTCTCTAATAATCAGTGATATTGGGCTTTTTTTCATATGGTTGTTGGCCATGTAGATGTCTTCTTTTGAGAAGTATCTGTTCATATTCTTTGCCCACTTTTTGATGGAGTCGTTTGTTTTTTTTCTTATAAATTTGTTTTAAGTTCGTTGTAAATTCTGGGTAGTAGACCTTTGTCAGATGGGTAGATTACAAAAATTTTCTCCCATTCAGTAGGTTGCCTGTTCACTCTGATGATAGTTTGTTTGTTTGTTTGTTTGTTTGTTTGTTTGTTTGTTTGTTTTTGCTGTGCAGACGCTCTTTAGTTTAATTAGGTCCCATTTGTCAATTTTGGCTTTTTTGCAATTGCTTTTGGCATTTTCGTCATGAAGTCTTTGCCCATGCCTATGTCCTGAATAGTATTGCCTAGCTTTTCTTCTAGGATTTTTATGGTTTTGGGTTTTACCTTTAAGTCTTTAATCCATCTTGAGTTAATGTTTGTATAAGGTATAAGGAAGGGGTCCAGTTTCAGTTTCCTGCATATGGCTAGTCAGTTTTCCCAGCACCATTTCTTGAATAGGAGATCCTTTCTCCATTCCTTGTTTTTGTCAGGTTTGTTGAAGATCAGATGGTTGTAGATGTGTGATGCTATTTCTGTGTTATTTCTGAGCTCTCTGTTCTGTTCCATTGGTCTATATGTCTGTTTTTGTACCAGTACCGTGCTGTTTTGGTTACTGTAGCCTGTTTTACACTGTTGGTGGCCCACCACTGTGGCACGCCCAGGCAGGTTCATCCTCCTAGTCCAAGGTGGCATCCATGTTCTGAGCAACAGAATGGAGAGTGTTTCAAAAAAGGGAAAAGGAAACATACTAGTTATTTCTTAAATAATGTTTCCAGAATCTGGCCAGGTGCAGTGGCTCATGCCTGTAAATCCAGCAATTTGGGAGGCCAAGGCGGGTGGATCACTTGAGGCCAGGAGTTCGAGACCAGCCTGGCCAACATGGTGAAACCCCATGTCTGCCAAAAAAAAAAAAAAAGGATGCAAAATTTAGTGGCTCACACCTGTAGTCCCAGCTACTTGGGAGGCTGAGGCATGAGAATTGCTTGTACCTGGGAGGCAGAGGTTGCAGTGAGTCAAGATCCTGCCACTGCACTCCAGCCTGGGTGACAGAGTGAGACTCTTGCCTTTTTTTTTTGGAGACAGAGTCTGGAGTGCAGTGGCAAGATCTCAGCTCACTGCAACTTCCGCCACCTGGGTTCAAGCGGTTCTCCTGCCTCAGCCTCCCAAGTAGCTGGGACTACAGGTGCACACCACCACGCCCGACTAACTGTTTGTATTTTAGTAGAGACAGGGTTTCACTGTGTTGTCCAGGCTGGTCTCGAACTCCTGAGCTCAGGCAATCCACCTGCCTTGGCCTCCCAAAGTGTTAGGATTACAGATGTGAGCCACCTCGCCCAGCTAAGACTGTCTTAAACAAAACAAACAAAAAAAAATTTCCAGAATCTGTTACATCTGTTATATAACATTTCCACTTACATTCCATTGGCCAGAATGTAGCCACATAGCCACACCTAGAATAAGAAAGGCTGGAAAATGTAGAATTATTTATAACATCAGCAGCTACATTACCAGCTAAAAAATTCTACTAGTTCTACTATTGTGAAACAGAGGGTGAATGGATAATTAAGGGCAATTAACGGTCTCCACTGCACCAGGTAACCTGTGTACAGAGGGATGAAGATGAGCCCTAAAATGACAGCTGTAGGGTAGACCTAGGTAGCTCATTCCTGATTAGAACAAATGACAGAAGGGAACCGGGGTGATTTTTTTTAAGGGAAAAAATAAAGTAGAACTGAGAGATTAGGTGATGTGTATGGCCCCACTGAAAGGCATTTCATGGTTCTAGTGGAGAGTTTGGAGAAGAATTAGTGATAGATACTAAAAATATATATATTTTTTAAAGGCAGTCATTAATTTCAGTAATAATAAAATAAAGTTGTACTTAAGGCCAGGCGCAGTGGCTCATGCCTATAATCCCAGCACTTCAGGAGGCCGAGGTGGGTGGATCACCTGAGGTCAGGAGTTCAAGACCAGCCTCGCCAACATGGTGAAACCCCGTCTCTACTAAAAATACAAAAAGCCGGGAGTGGTGGCAGGCACCTGTAATCCCAGCTACTCGGAGGCTGAGGCAGGAGAATTGGCTTGAACCCAGGAGGCAGTGAGCTGAGATCACACCGCTGCACTCCAGCCTGGGTGACAGAGTGATTCTCCATCTCATAAAAAATTTAAAAAGTTGTACTTAAAAAGAAAATGCAATCTTAGTACAACCCATGTATTATTTACTTAGTCATAAAAATCAAACTCTAAATATGAATTTAACAAAAAACGCTGATGTGCATGTATTAGGAGGAGGTATGTGGGGGTGGCAGGAAGTGTCAAAGAGTGCTGCTTTCTCATCTTGTATAATTCAAAGTAAATAGACAATTTCTAAAGCTGAAGATAACAAAATAGGCTGGCTGGGCACGGTGGCTCACGTCTGTAATCCCAGAACTTTGGGAGGCTGAGGCGGGTGGATCACCTGAGGTCAGGAGTTCGAGACTAGCCTGGTCAACATGGTGAAACCCTGTCTCTACTAAAAATACAAAAATTAGCTGGGCATGGTGGCATGCCCTGGAATCCCAGTTGCTCGGGATACTGAGGCAAGAGAATTGCTTGAAGCCAGGAGGCAGAGGTTGCAGTGAGCTGAGATCGCACCATTGTACTCCAGCCTGAGCAATGAGAGCGAAACCCCGTCTCAAAAAATATATATATATATATAATTAATATTAAGAAATATGGAGCAAAATGGCGAACAAAACAGCTAACATTTTTATGTTATGTAAATATAACATATTTTATGTTAACTGACTTCGACTTGTAAAGCAATGTATATAAACAGTATTTGATAAAAATGTAAATCAAATTTTTAAAAGGTCTAATAGCAGCTTTCATTTACAAATCTGCTTCCCACCTAAAACTTTGTTAGCTTCAATAGAGAATAATAGTAATCGTGCTATATGGATTAGATACCAAACCTGGATTTACTTTTAAAATTTTTCTTCCTCCAATTATTAAAATCTTTCAAGGTCCCAAAAAATAACCATAAGTGCAGAAGAAACTTTTTATTGACTGTTTGTATTTCTTTGAATGTCTTCAAGTTAGCAGTCTATTTTTTTTGGATGTCTTTCTTAATTATTATTTCAACATCAAACTTTCCATTGAATCAAACCCTATGAATAATTCATGATGGCAAAATAAATGGGATTAGTGCTTCTAGCTTTCAGAGTCTACAAATCTCATGATCGGGAAGGATGTAGTTTTCCAATGTCAATTCCCCCCACAAATAACAATCCAACTTGCAGCCAGCAGATATTTAGACTCCGTGATCCAATAGATCTAATCCATGTAGGTCATGTCATCAAACAGAATGTCACCTCTCCCATCGACGGCAGTTGGCTTATTTTTGCAGGTTCCAGAGCCTGCCCTATCATCTCCTAACCTATAGCTTTATTTTCAGCAGCCACAGCCCTGTCTCAGATGCTTTGTAGAAACAGCCTCATTATCTGCAGTGTTATAACAGCAGTTAGAAACCGAATGACATTCAATTAAAATGATATTAGCAGCTCAGGAGTGATTTTGTTTAATTTACTCCTACTCAGATGTAAAAACATTAGCGACTTTTAAAATTGGACCTCATAATGTCTAACTCCTACTCAAATGCAATGAAATTAAAGACTTTGGTGCCTAAATACCGCTTAATTTACTCCTACCCATCTATAATGACATTAAAGATGCTTTAGGGTAGATATTGTTTCCAATCAATTTTATTCAAAAGAAATCTGAGCTCACAGGTACTATTATTAAGCATATAATAAAATCACACAAGAAATATATCTTTACAATTGGGGATACGATGGTTTCCAGCAATATTAAAAAGTAATCATTTTTATTTAATGCAAGGATATTAAAAAGTAATATCTTAAACACAAGATTTTGTAAAGTTTCCAATTGCTTAAACAAATATGTGATTCCTAGCCTGTTAAAGAAATGTGCATTGTTCCATGTGAGTTTGAAGTGAATTTTATACAATTATGGCATGTGATTTGTTTATGCTTGATAAGAAATTTTAGCTTAAACATGACTCAGAGAAAAGCAATTTTTGTAAATCTAATGTTAATAATTTTTTTAAATCCTACATTAGTTTAAAGGATGAAAATTTCGAACCTTTATTTTGCTGAAAAGGCTAATTTTAAACACAGTAGGGTTTTGAGTCCATATATGCTTGGAATAGAGTAGGTATTCAATAAATTCTTGCTGAAAATTGGAATTAAAACTATCATTCATAATAGTAGCCTATATTTACAAAGTCCCTACTAAGTGCCTGATATGATGCTGAGTATTTTAAATGTATTAACTCATTTAATCATTTGAATTAAGTAATATTCCTAGTATACAGATAAAAACAATAAAAGGAGGGTTGGATGTATGCTGCTGTTATAATTCTGTGGGTTGCCTTTAGTTTGGGAAGACTTTTAAGCACTTACAATTTTATACTCTATAATAGGAACTTTCCTTCATAAAATTAATTAAGAAAATTTAATTGTAAAATTAGAAGTATTTGATGAGGACACAAACACCCATACGTATATGGGATATTGCAGTCCAGAAATACAGGTTCATTTGGATATTTGAGAAATAATTTCTCAAGATATTTTCTTTGAAAAAGGTTGATTTTTTTTTTTTTTTTTTTTTTTTGAGATGGAGTCTCACTCTGTAGAGTGCAGTGGCATGATCTCGGCTCACTGCAACCTCCACCTCCCAGGTTCAAGCTATTCTCTTGCCTCAGTCTCCCAGGTAGCTGTGATTACAGGCACCTGCAACCACGCCTGGCTAATTTTTGTATTTTTAGTAGAGACAGGGTTTCACCATGTTTCACCATGTTGGCCAGGTTGGTCTCGAACTCCTGACCTCAGATGATCCACCCACCAATCCTAAAGTGCTGGGATTACAGGTGTGAGCCATTGCAACCAGCCTAAAAAGTTTATGATGTTTTAAAAGACCTAACATTAATATTGATGTATCTAGATGCTCTCAGCAGTTGAAACATCCTGGTCACAACTCCTGGCTGTGCTCACAGATGCTTGCAGAAATAGAGGAGTAGACATTTTAGTCACTCCAGTAGTACTGCTGTGGCTGAAATGTATGGCTCCTCCTAAATTTGATTTCTTGCTCTGCCACTTGGTGGTGGTTTGATCTTAGGCAAGATATTGAATCCTCTCAGTCAGTTTTCTCATCTGTCTATATAGCAATAAACCCCATTGTCTTCTCAAATATACTGCTCATTTTATGTTTCCTATTTTGGCAACTATCATTAAATTCATTTATAATTGCTTGATCCAGACTCCTAGAAGTCATCTTAAATCTCTCCCCTTCTTTCTCTCTCTTTTTGCCACATCCAATGAATCACCAAGTCTCTTAAATATGACTCAGAGTGTCTAAGCTGCAATGAGACAGTATAGAATATGTAAATGATAGAAGACTGTTATCCACCACATTTATTCTCCTAACATTTATAAAGCCCCAGCTTTTTGCCAGGAGGTGCTAGAATATCAGGAATGCAGAGATGGTAATTTCTGAACTCAAGGAACTTTGTGTTCAATAGGAGACACATACAGTAAAATTTCAGGTTTCAATATGATATGATAAGTTCCTTAACAGCAGCCTGGTTATTGCAGAAAATGTCAATTTGGAGTGCATCTGGCTGCAAGTAACAGAACACCCAACTACAGTGATTGCACCAAATATGGTTTTATTTTTCTCAAATAAGAAAATGTTCAGAGGTAGGAAGTCCAAGGCTGCTGTATCAACTCAAAGAATTCAAGTCCCTAAGGCCATTCTAACTTCCTGCTTCACTAGCATGATGGTTAATATTAGATGTCAGCTTGACTGGATTGAGGGCTGCTAGATGGCTGGTAAAGTATTGTTTCTGGGTGTGTCTGTGAGGATGTTTCCAGAAGAGATTAACATGTGAGTCAAGGAACTGAGAGAGAAAGACTCTCTCTCATTGTGGGCGGGCACCATTCAAATGGCTGCCAGCATGGCTGAAACAATGCAAGCAGAAGAAGGCGAATATCCACCTTGCTGAGATTCCTTAGTCCCCCTTCCCGAGAGGGAGCCTTCTTCTCCTCCTGCCCTGGAACATCAGACTCCAGGGTCTTCGGCCTTTGAACTCTAGGACCTGCAGCAGCCTCCCAGGGACTCTCAGTTCTTCGCCCTCAGACTAAGAGCTGCATTATAGGCTTCCTTGGTTTTGAGGCTTTTGGACTTGCACTGAGTCACGCTACCGGCTTTTCTCATTCCCCAGTTAGCATACAGCATATTGTGAGACTTTACCTTGTAACCATCTGAGCCAATTCTCTCTAATATACTCACATATACATGGGTACATTTCATAAATATATATATTTACAAAATATATAAAAATGTGTTATGTATATTATTATTATATATAAAAGTATAAATGTACATATACTTCTATTGGTTCTGCCCCTCTGGAGAACCCTAACTAATACAACTAGTGTGTGACTTTTGTCTTCACAGTCACAAAATAGTTACACCACCTCCAAGCATTGCATCTCTGACCCAGGTAGGAAAAAGTTGGAAAAAATCTCCCAACCTCTTTCTCCACATCTTGTAGAAATTCTACAAGTGACCAATATCCTTCTAAAAACCCAATGTGCTGCCTATAGTAACAATAGTCAATTTCAGATGCTTGTGGCTAAAACATCACTGATTTATGCCTTTACCACATTTGATCTAATACTAAATTATCTGATGTGCCTTTGGTACATCAATCACTTCTAAAAAGTGAATAGAAATAGGCAAGGCATGGTGGCTCAGGCCTGTAATCCCAGCACTTGTGGGAGGCCAAGGTGGGCAGATCACTTGAGGTCAGGAGTTCCAAGACCAGCCTGGCCAACATGGTGAAACCCCATCTCTACCAAAAGTACTAAAAATAGCCAGGCGTGGTGGTGGGTGCTTATAGTCCCAGCTACTCAGGAGGCTGAGGCATGAGAATCACTTGAACTCAGGAGGCGGAGATTGCAGTGAGCCAAGATTGTGCCACTGGACTCTAGCCTGGGGGACAGAACAAGACTGTCTCAAAAAAAAAAAAAGTGAATAGAAATCATTTTAAAATAACTCTAAAGTTGTAATAGTTTTACGTAATTATCACATTTACTACAAAGCTATAACCATTTCTTTTTATTTTGTACAAAACTTCTCGGCATACCAAGCTTGTTTTCGAACTATCTGGATCACTTTTGAATAAAGTTGCTTAATTTTAACATACAACACTCCACAAAAAGTTGCTTAAGTAAGAAGGAACTGAATAGCAAATTAAAGTTTAAAAATTGAAGTGTCAGATACAACTGTTACTTATTGCCAAGGCAAAGTAGGTGCTCATTAGGAACCGCATTTTTGCATAGATGAAATGTATGCTGTGGTAAAGATACAAGAAGAAGATATCCGCAAAAAGGAAGAATAATTAGAAAAGAAATCAAGAACTAGTTTTGGCTCTTTTAAGAGTAATGTTTCATTATTTTTAGAAAAACCATAGTTAAGAATGTCAACCAGGCCAGGCGCAGTGGCTCAGCTGCGCAGCTAGGGCTAACTAGGATACCTCCTCTCTTGCTCCAGCTCCCTGTGACCATAGTGAGACCCAGGCTCCTGAAAGCCACAAAAGCCCATTTGAGAGATGCTGTCCCCGCTCCAGGTGTGGGGACTTGAGCCCGTGAGTCAGGGTCTTACTCTGTCACAGGAATCCTACTGCAGCGCCGCCAGGTGCTCCCTGCAGAGCACGGGGATATTTTTCAGACAATAGCAGTGACTTTTGAACTACGTCCCCTCTCCCTAGGAAGCAGGCTCAAGTCCGTAGGGCCAGGCCAGAGGACAGTCTGCCCTTCCTCATCTTCGCTCAGCTACAATTTCATGCATCTTTTCACTGTTGTGTCCTAAAACTGTCCAAGCACCAAATATATAAAGGCCCTCTGTACAGGAAGTGGGTGTTGAATGAATGGACACACAAGCATTCATTTTGGGAGGGGTCTCCTTTCTCTCCTAGGGGATTCCCTGCTCCCTCACGTAAGTGTATTCCTAGCAGGAAATTTCTTGGGAGGTAGGGGAATGTGTGTTGCTATCCTTATCTCACAGACGGAGAAACTGAGATGCAGAAGGGTTTTAGTGACTTGCCTGGGAGCTCCACTGCCTCATTATGTTGACTGAGTCCCTCAGTTGTTTATGAGTAAAGCATCCCATGCCATTTGCCTTAAACAGCTTTTTTTAACTCTGTATTTATTCAGGGAAATGGGGAAAAGTGACAGTCTAGGAGAAATTAACAAACAAGTTCATAGTGAAAAAAAAAAAAAAGCTCAATTTTTGGAAGTCAGTGACCAGGCTCCCCACAAAGAATGCCTCAGGGCACTCCAGCCATTTACTTGTCCTTACAATAAGATGTGAGTATGAGCCTAGGAAAATTTCCCACACTGCCTGACTGGGGGAGCTTTTTCAAGGAGAAAGGAACTCTCTATTAGCCTCTAGTCTGATTTCTATGCTTGTGCTCTGAATGCTCAATTGTCAGGCAGGATTCTGGGGTGTATAACTATATAATTATACTGCATAGCAAAAACCATTTAAATAGCTCAGGTTTTGGGTAAGATCCTCAATTATGATCTTCAATTTCTAGTCATGTGGTTTGGACTTTGGATTTCTAATGCTTTGTGGAAATACAAATTTTACATCCCCAAATCTGTTTTCTTTTAAAGGGCTTAAAAATTTGATAGTTTAAATATTTTATTTTAAGGTTTTATAAATTTTTTTTCTTTTTTTTTTTTTTTTTTGAGACAGAGTTTTGCTCTTGTTGCCCAGGCTGGAGTGCAATGGCGTGATCTTGGCTCACCACAACCTCCGCCTCCCCGGTTCAAGCAATTCTCCTGCCTCAGCCTCTCAAGTAGCTGGGATTACTGGCATGCGCCACCATGCCCGGCTAATTTTGTATTTTTAGTAGAGACGGGGTTTCTCCATGTTGGTCAGGCTGGTCTCGAACTCCCCACCTCAGGTGATCCGCCTGCCTCAGCATCCAAAAGTGCTGGGATTACAGGCATGAGCCACCACGCCCAGCCTATACATTTATTTTCATGTGTCATACAAACAGCTACATAGTAGGCCCCACCTCACCAAATAATGTAATGGTTCTATTTTTCTATGAATAATAAAAAACACAGCACTTGCACAGATACTTGTCACTCAAGAATTCCCTTCTAAAAGAGGAGCAGCCTTACGGGTGAGGGCCTCTGTTTCCCTTGTATTCACAGATTTTCATGTTTTATTTGTCAAACAGTGTCCTACATTGCACTGGATTTAAGGAGAATACTCTGGCCAGAGAACTCAGAAACCTTCTTGACATATTATCCTCGGGAATTATCGCCTGCATGTAAAAGTCATAAATAGCAGAGACATGCAGGGAGGTTAATGCCAGTCTGGCAATGGCAGACATCAAGCTAAAGTTTTCTGACTCCTTGACCTATGCTATGGTGACCTACATAGTCACTATTCTGCTAAGCAAAGACACTGTGTTGATCTATATGATAAATGTAATATATATCTTAAGTCTGAAGCAACTGGGAACGGCTATAAAAAGTCTTATTTTCATAGCTGCCCCATTTGAAGTCACTGTAGGTCGGTGGCCTTTGGCCTCCCGCTGTGGGTCTTCAGAGTCCTCCCACGCCCCAGCTTCCTTTCTTTTCATCTCCTTCCTTCTTGAAAGTCGAAACCTCCATCTTTGAAGACCAACCCTGGCACTATGCTACAGGGAACCCTTGGCTTCCAAATACATCAGAGACACCAGGAGGGAGCAGCCAGATGACAGAAGACTGTGTCTACATGGTGGCCAAACTGCTCAAGCAATCACACAGATCAGATGCTCAGAGACTTTGGAGTCAGGAGATAAAGCAACCAGCAAGCAGTTGTTTTGTGCTTTCTTTTTTGTTTTTCTTTCTCCAGTGCTCTACTTGGATATGAGAATGGCATAAAGTAAGAAACAAAAAAGAAAAAGTTGCATCTAGGCAGGGTTGGATTTTTAAAAATCATAACTAAGAGTTTTTGTAGTAAAGTTTCTACTGAGTGGAGGCTTCCCGAATGTGTCTGTCCCCAACCAGATGTTTTCTCCGTTTTCTCCAAAGTCCCCTGGTGCCATGTTTATGCTTTTATGGAAATTTTTACATTCTTTATATAAAACAGTCATTTCAGTACATGCTGTAGGTCCCTTGTTAGGCTGTAAGTTTCCTGAGGGAAGGAGCTAGAGCTTGTATGCCTTTGTGCTACCCACCAAGCCCAGGACCACATCCATAAATCATAATGAATAGTTGCTGAATTGAGGTTTGCTAGTTTTATTCAAAATATTTTATTTTGTAAGCAAGTGTGGCCATATGTGCCATTTGAGCACCACTGTGATTTAGCAAAAGCGTCGGTATTAAGTACTGGGGGAAAACCATTGATTTGGGGCTTTAACTTGTTTGGGGAAAATATATTGATTTATGTCAAGAGTTTTTATTAATTGCTTTGTAACTCAGGGAAAGTGTCAATTGTCAGTAATAAGTGATTATTTTAAATATTCCTTATGACTACTTCTGGGCAAACTGTAATTAAAAACTAGGGCACGGCAGGGCGTGGTGGCTCACGCCTGTAATCCCAGCACTTTGGGAGGCCAAGGAGGGTGGATCACTTGAGCTCAGGAGTTCGAGAACAGCCTAGCCAACATGATGAAACCCCGTCTCTACTAAAAATACAAAAATTAGCCGGGTGTGGTGGCACATGCCTGTAATCCCAGCTACTCAGGAGGCTGAGGCAGGAGAGTCACTTGAACCTGGGAGGCAAAGTTTGCAGTGAGCCAAAATTGCGCCACTGCACTCCAGCCTGGGTGACAGAGGGAGACTTCAACTAAAAAAAAAAAAGGTAGGGCAAAAGGCCAGGTACAGTGGCTCACGCCTGTAATCCCAGCACTTTGGGAGACCAAGGCCAGAGGATCGCTTGAGCCCAGGAGTTTGAAACCAGCCTGGGCAACATAGCGAGACCCTGTCTCTATAAAAATAAAAAAGGAAGGCAGGGTGCGGTGGCTCATGCCTGTAATCCCAGCACTTTGGGAGGCTGAGGTGGGTGGATCATCTGAGTTCAGTAGTTCAAGACCAGCCTGGCCAACATGGTGAAACACCGTCTCTACTAAAAAATACAAAAATTAGCCGGGCATTGTGGTGGGCACCTGTAATCCCAGCTACTCAGGAGGCTGAGGCAGGGAGAATTGCTTAAACCTGGGAGGAGAAGGTTGCAGTGAGCTGAGATCACGCCACTGCACTCCAGCCTGGGTAAAAGAGTGAGGCTCAGTCTCAAAATAAATAAATAAATAAATGGGAAAAAAATAGGAGAAAGGGAGGTACCAATATATGCCTCTTTAAATCGTTTTTAAGAACAGGGAGGACTTTATATGTAAAATGAAAGTTTTAGAAGATTGGATATTAAAAAGTAAAAATTAATTATTGATCCTCATCAAATTCCATAGGTCTGTGTGATGCCATGAGCAGTAGAATTCTACTACTCAAAACTGAGCAAAAGAGTGGTTTCTGTTGAAAATAGGACTCTCGGAAGAAAAGAAGCATTTCACTGAAAGCCTTATTTGCCTGAGATAAAGGGAATGAGACAGAATTTTGCATCAAAATAAATTGCTATAGAAATTTATTTTACTTTAAGCTGCTGAGTTCAAATGTTTATTACCTTCTCAGTGGAAATTAACCTCCACTGGGAGCAGCCTAGCATCCTGCTAGGCGTAGTGAGGACACTGGTCCAGAGCAGGGCTTCCTGGACTTTAATGCTCATACCCATCACCTGGGATTTTACTGAAATACAGATTCTAGTTCAGAAGGCTTGAGGTGAGGCCTGAGACTCTGCATGTCTCAGCAGTGCCCAGGTGAAGCCAACCCTAGTTCAGGGACCACAGCTTACATCGTGACTGGTGGTCTTCAGGGACTAACTATAGGGCAGGCAGTTCCCAGTGAGGGTCACTTCCTAACTCAGCCCTTTGGGATTACAGGCTGACAATTCTTCCAAAGGCTATGTTGTTAGGAAGTTGTTAATTGAGGCAGATCAATGCCACAGGGAAGACAGAATCCAGAAATGAGCCAAAGTTTAAAAGGTGAAAAAAAAAAACTGTGAATTGTGCCCAGGTACGGTGACTTACACCTGTAATCCTAGCACTTTGGGAGGCTGAGGTGGGCAGATGACTTGAGGTCAGGAGTTCGAGACCAGCCTGGCCAACATGGTGAAACCCCATCTCTACTAAAAATACAAAAAAAAAAAAAAATTAGCTGGGCGTGGTGGTGCGTGCCTGTAATCCCAACTACTTGGGGTGGCTGAGGCAGGATAATCGCTTGAACCCAGGAGGCAGAGGTTGTAGTAAGCTGAGATCGCAGCACTGCACTCCAGCCTGGGCAACAGAGTGAGACTCCATCTCAAAGAAAAAAGAAAAGAAAAAGAAAAAAAGAAAAAAATTAGAACACACAGTCCATAGAGAAACCAGAAGTCCAAGACTGTCTAAGGAAAAGGCAAAAAGAAATACACAGATGCAAGAAGGAAAAATGGGGGCAATTCTGAAGCTAATCCTGTGTTCTTTTTTGTTGTTGTTGTTGTTGAGACAGAGCCTTGCTCAGTTGCCCAGGCTGGAGTGCAGGGTGTGATCTTGACTCACTGGGACCTCCACCTCCCAGGTTCAAGGGATTCTCCTGCCTCAGCCTCCTGAGTAGCTGGGATTACAGGCGTGCGCCACCACACCCAACTAATTTTTGTATTCTTGGTAGAGGTGGGGTTTTGCCATGTTGGCCAGGCTGGTCTTGAACTCCTGACCTCAGGTGATCCATCTGCCTCAGCCTCCCAAAGTGCTGGGATTACAGGCGTGAGCCACCACATCTGGACATAATCCTGTGTTCTTTAGATCTACACAGTGTATTAATTTTATGTGCAGTCTGGCTTGTTTCTCTTGGTCATAGGCAAGCTTTTAAAAGGGCTTGTCTGCGTAAGACAAAAATAATATGGAAGTAATCGGGGCAGTGCAAAGCATCTGTATGGGTTCAACAAAATCACTGGGGCCAGGTGTTTTCCTGAATGTGAAGTTTTTCAGACTTTGTACTTTGCACTACATAACATTCCCAGCAGAGCCTGGGAAAAAATAAAAACAGCCTAAAATCATAATCGAAGGCACTAATATTCTGCAGCAAAGCCTGTGAATAGGCAGCCACACTGAGTGGGGAAAATAAGGAATCTAAATAGCCTCGCATCCATTTGGGACAGGTATTGCGGCCAAATTAGTTCCGGTAAAGTCAGGTTTTGTCACCAAATGAGTTACAAAAGTATCTTTTGACTTTCAGTGCTTTGGGAATTTCAGGATTACAGTTTAAGAGAGTGTACACATCTTTTCCAACTCCTCCGTCTCCTGTTAGGGGTGTTCAATCTTCTTCAGCCAGGCAGTCCTCACACATTTCTTCTTCTCTTTTTAAAATAAACCTCTTATCTTTTTTCAGTTATGCTAAGGTGTAAATGACTAACAGCCAGCTCAGGTATACTTGCATTTTTAACAGAGGTAACAACTACATCCTGAATGGAATTTGGGACATTAACCAATCATTAATTTGATCTAGGAATTTAACATCCAGCTAGATGCTAATTAAGAAAGAAAAGATTAAGTGGTTCAATTCAATTAAATAAATTGTAGCTAATCGAAAAAAGTTGTTCCCTGCCTTTGGCTTAATTGACTTTGAAGTAGCCTACAGTTTTAAAAGTGCTTTTGCAATCATTATCTCATTCCTTGTACATTAACCTCTAGTTTTTTGGGGAGGGGCTTGTTGTCTTTTCTTTGAGGAAAATCAGGTTCAAAGGAGTGACTCATCCAAGGTCATGGAGTTGAAAAGAGGCAGAACCAGAAATCAGACCCAAAATTTGGCTAAAATTAAATCCTTTCTGTAAAACATTGGTTAGAAAATAAGGCAACAGTGTTTGTTTCCTCCCAGTTGGTGAAATGCAAATGTGAACTTAGATGATGATGATTCACTGTGGAAGCAGTAAAAGACATAAGAGAGAAAATGTATGTGTTCTTTTTCAGAGTGATCCCACTTTGTCTCATGATAGCTAATAGACCAGCTTTGAAGCAAATGTTCCTTGAGGTGTTGTTACCATCTCCATAATTTCTACTAGTGACAATAAAATCCTGGACTCTGAATCCCCAGACGAAATTTGCTTGGGTCATATTTATTTTAACCATCTGACATAGGAAGCTTAAACTGTTATGGAGGTGGCCAGAGATCATTTCCACAAACATGCATGTATTGCACACACTGCCAAGCTAACAGTAGGTGCTCAATAAATGTTAACTGAATGAATGCATCCCCTGTGATGACAACATTCCCTTTTGTCATTTTGACTAAGACAGTGGCTCCCTTCCCTCTATTGCTTGAGTAGATACAACATTCCCTAAAACAAATGCCTGAATCGAAGCCTAGGAGTAAGGTTAATTTGCTTTAAGGAATGAATCTGGGAGTTGCTTCCAAAAATAATGCCACAGTCTCTATAGGAAAAGCTTCAAGATAAATATAGAGTGTACACAAGCAAAATGGAAGCTAAAGCACATCGTCTGTTTCTCCTCTCTAGGAAGTTCCTTGTCACTCGTATTTCACTTTCTCCAAGAGGAAGTCTCCCGTGATTACACCAGTTGTATTCTTGTTTTATGCCTAGTGGGATGTACTGTAGTAAAATTCTGCTGGGATGCGTACCTCATTTTTGGCAACCATACTCCTTTTTATGTTTTACTTAACAAAAGGTGTTCATGAATCAGCTCAAAATCTCAGTTCATATTTAGATGACGCATTTTCTTCAACTGAACAACAGTCCACAGTTACAAATGCCAAACAGGAAGGGCACATCTGCGAAAAACAAGCCTCTTAAGCTGGAAGAATGAATAATGATGATGTGTGGGCTGTGCTTTCTACACAGCAAACTCTGGGAAGACCTTTCTGTGAACAGCTATCTGATAACAATTGAAGAGGCTTTGTGCTCCCACCCACCTCCCACTCTCTTTTGTATCAGTAACTCCGCAGGAGAAAAGGAGATTGGTGGTAAAGATTCCTTGGTCATTAGAAACTCAGGTATCTATTCAGAATCACAGAATCTCCAGGTATTCTTTTCTTCATCACTTATAGTTTTGAGTGTAGAGTAAATCTTTGAGTGTTTTCTTTGGGGATATGAAAGTTGTTTCTACTTTGAGTCTTAAATCCCCAGTAGAAGCTTCTAGATAATGAACCAGCTACTTAAATAAAATACTGGTTCAATTAGGATTTAATTAAAGTTTATGGTTATAAAACAATTCCATTTTCATTATAGAAATTATATGTGGAGTTTCCCATTTTTATTTTGCATAAATTTCTGTCATTCTAGAAAATGTATAAATTTGCTTCTAATTTGAATAATCTGTGTGTGCGTCTTTGTGTGTGCTTATGTGTGTGTGCGTTTAACAAAATGAGCTTACTGTTCAGTAAAATAATAAAATTTGAGTTTGGCTAAGCAGTCAGCGAATTAGCATGCTTTTTTGCCATCTTTGATTCATGGTAACATTTATAACTAACTTTCTTTAGTTTATAGATCCTTCTCTGTTACTGTCATATAATTGCCATAATAATAAAACCCCTCCTTCCCATATGGAATTCCATTAACAGTTTGGCTACTCTGATTATTGCTACTGTTTCATCCATCATGAGAAGAGTTTGCTACTGAGGAAGATGCTAACAGTATTAACCCTGGAACCTCCCACCTCCTCCCCCCATCCCCAAACTCAATTAAACCAGCATCACACCAAGACACACACAAAAAAGATGCCGCCTATTTACATAACACAATGATCAAGTAATAAATCAACATTAATCATGAATGTTGCAACAAGTCACTGAAAATGATGTTTGACCTCACCATGGACTGGACTCATCCATCCATAAACAGCATTTATTTCCAACTGGGAGCAACTTCCCACACCCAAGAACAGGGTCAAGCATTTCGGATACATATGACAGGCAGGTTTGATCTTTCCTTCCGGGTATCACTTTCCTTTTGTCCTAACTTCATTACCTTCAAATCCTGCAACAATCTTATCATAGAAATTATTCCATTTCCAACACCCTGAGTCCAATTGCCCGTTTTCTTCAAATCCCTTCTTAATGTCTACTTTCTTATGATGCTTTCCCCACTAATATGAATATAGCTTCAAAGTACGGTATACCTAGGCTTCCTGATTCAGTCTACAATATTATGTTTGAAAATTTATGGGAAAAATTGAAGCTAATTATTTTTGGTTAGTTCTGGGGAGTGTTTGACAAGAAGATATAATTCTCCAAGGCATGGTTCAGGCATTTGTTACAGTAGGAGCCACCTGTGCATCACCCCGACCCGTTCTCCCCATCCTTGTCTTCTCCTATAAGCCTCCAGTTAGAAAACCACTCCTCTCCATGGCAGGTCAAACATCAACAGCCTTACCCTTGGGCTTGGAGTGAAGTCATAGTTCAGCATGCAGCACCCTGAGGCAATCTTGACATCTCTATCACACCACACTTTTTAGTACATATCCACTAGATAGAGATAGGAGTGAATTTCTCTTCTTCCGGAACTTGCTTTATAAGCCTCTGAGCCTTTGCATATGCTGTTGGTTCTTTCTAGAATACCATCCTCACCTGTCACCAATACTCCCACCTCCATAGTTGTCTGTCTGGGAAACTGTTATTCACACTTCGAGTCTCCATTCAAGTCAGCGTCAGCCCCTGCGGAGTCTTTCCAGTCACTCTCAGGCTGACTTTGACACTCCTCTCTGTGCCTCACTGTGCTTTGCCCAGACTCCATGTTGGAGCTCATCTCTGCTTGCATTTGTGTAAGCGTCTGATCATCACTAGATTGTAAGCTAAGAGAAACCAGGAGCCATGTCATTTCATTTCTCTATCCCAGAACCTAGCACAATGCCTGTCATGAGAAGGGTTCAATGAAAAATTTAATGAATGAATGAGTGAATGAAGCACAATTCAACTGAAGCTAAAAGAGGGAACAACTAGGAGGATAATTGTGGTGAAATAATCAACATTCCTCTATCAAGTCAAAATTAAACTGCCTTGCAGTTGACTCAACTTTTTATTATTTTCAATTATTTCTCCAAATGTGCCTCTTCTTAACTATTTTGATGAACACGGCAGATAAGTGTTTAATACCAGTTGTCCCTCATTAGTTAGCTGATTAAAATGACAATATTAAAAGAAACAAGGTATGACTAATTCAGTGTTTTAATAGGAAAAAAAGAACATTTGCATACAAAAATCAGCCTGTGTCAGACGTAAATTGTGCACCATCACACTGATTACCTGCTATGGCCAATGACATGGAAGTTGAAAATAATAGAAATATGATGTGGTATTTAAATTAGTATCTTTCACAGCCATATGTTAAATATATGCTATTTCCCACATGACAAACTGATTAAATAACTTAGATAATGTTTTAATACACATCATTATACAAAAAAGATTAGAATAAACTATGAATCATTCTGTCAACTTGTGATTCAACAGAATAATGTATATTTTTCATGGTTATTAATATTTAGTGTCTTTCAGTAAATTAAAAATCAAGCTTAACAAAGGTTAAAAATATCTGATGACACATAGATGATTGTAAAAGTAATATATATTAATGAACCTTTGAATGACTGACTTTTTTTTTTTGGTTAATCACTCACAGAATTATGTCAAACATATATCAAGACTGGCTCCTTTTTCAGCCAACCTTCCGGCATTTCATTACTATAGTTACCTGATTAATGGATGCAATAATATATATGGCATGATATGATATGTTCGCATTAAATTTTAATCAAATATTACTAAATTCAGAAAACATTAAGTAAATCATGACTGATGAGGCAATATTGCTGTACTGTCATATTGATGATTCTGAAACTTCACTACTGAGAGTAACAGATTAAGCACAAGAAGTGAATTTTATGAGGAAATATAAGTATCTCAACTTCCACAGTTGTGTTTTTTAATTGCTTTACGGCCACCAGAGGAGATGTGAGATCCATCAAGTCTATTGATGTCACAGATCTCATAATTCCCTTTCTTGGTTTCAAAAATTTTATTTGCAGTGATAGAGGGGCCCATTCATTATCTATGGGGGTTTGTTTTTCCTATCATGGTTTTTACCTAAAAGCTATTGTTATTCCATTTATACGAGGCATCTAAAATAGTCAAATTTCTAGAAACAGAAGAAAATGGAATGTGGTTGCCAGGGGCTGGGGGAGGAGGAAATGGGAGGTGTTGTTCAATGGGTATAGAGTTTCAGTTTTGCATGATGAAAAAGTTCTGGAGGTTTGTTGCGAAACAATGTGAATATACCTCCCACTGCTGAACTGCACAGTTTAAAAACGGTTATGAGAGTAAATGTTACGTTATGTGGTTTGTTGTTTGCTTTTGTTTTTGTTTTTATTCTTGAGGCAGAGTCTTGCTCTGTCGCCCAGGCTGGAGCGCAGTGATGCGATCTCAGCTCAATGCTGAGATCACTCCATCCCCTGGGTTCAAGAGATTCTCCTCCCTCAGTCTCCTGAGTAGCTGGGATTACAGGTGTGTGCCACCATGTCTGGCTAATTTTTGTGTTTTTAGTAGAGACAGGGTTTCACCATGTTGGCCAGGCTGGTCTCAAACTCCTGACCTCATGTAATCCACCTGCCTCGGCCTCCCAAAGTGCTGGGATTACAGGCATGAGCCATTACGCTCAGTTATGTTATGTGTTTTTTAATCACAATTTATTTTAAGTTGTTTATAAATACACACACACACTATATATAGATATAGATATCTATATATATCTATATACACGTATATAGTTTTTTTTTTTGAGACAGAGTCTCGCTCTGTCACCCAGGCTAGAGTGCAGTGGCACTGTCTTGGCTCACTGCAGCCTCTGCCTCCCAGGTTCAAGCAGTTCTCTTGCCCCAGCTTCCTGAGTAGCTGGGACTACAGGTGCACGCCACCATGCCCAGCTAATTTTTGTATTTTTTGTAGAGACGGGGTTTCACTGTGTTGGCCAGGCTGGTCTTGAACTCCTGACCTCAGGTAATCTGCCTGCCTCTGCCTCCCAAAGAGTGGGATTACAGGCATGAGCCACCGTGCCTGGCCAAGTTGTTGTTATATTTTAAATAGAACTTAAAACCTAATACTGACTTTTCAGTCTTGCCAAGAGGGAAAGAAACAGGAACTATCATTTGCTGGTGACAGGTACTCACAGACAGACACACTGCTTCTGTAGAAGGCAGGTCAAATAGCAGCAGGCTCACCCTAGGGCTTGAAATGAAGTCCTAATTGAGCACACAGCACCCTGAAGCAATCTTCAAATCTCCATCACACCACACTCTTTTTGTCCAGGTTAATTAGATAGAGGCAGTAAAGCATGAGGCATTTATGTGCATTATCTTATCTAATCTCACAACAAAGTCACAAAGTGGGCATCTGTATGCCGGTGTCACATATGAAAAAACACATAACTGGTGAGTGGAAATACAAACTGTCAGCTTCCAGATGTTGTGTTTTTCTTACTGAGACTTCCAGTGCTCATCCATACCCCTTTCTCCTCATTTTCCTGAACTCCCTGAGGAAAACATACCCCAGCCACTCTTGCTGCCAGGCAGGAACATGTAACCCACGTAGGTCATCTGGGTCTCGGGCAGCAAAAAGCCCCGTGAGACTCTCCAGGTGCTCTTCCTTGGCTCGGGCAACTCTGGCAGCCATGTGCCGAGGTGGTGGGATTGGATATCTGAGTCACCTTGGGAACGGAAGATACCTCAGAGAACCCACTCAACCCACAGCAGGCTTTGTGTGAGTGAGAAGAAAACTGTTGCATGTTTAGCCACAGGGGCTTCAAGCATTCATGTTACTTCAGGATTGCTTATCCTGGTCTGCCTAATACACTTCTGTAGACTCAGAAAATGGTTGGTTAGGATTGGTGCCATGAGCTGAAGTATTTGTCCATGTAATAATCAAAAATGCTTTTTACCGGCTGGGCATGATGGCTCACACATGTAATCCCAGAACTTTGGGAGGCTGAGGCGGGTGGATCACTTGAGGTCAGGAGTTTGAGACAAGCCTGGCCAATACCGTGAAACCCCGTTTCTACCAAAAATACAAAACATTAGCTGGGCGTGGTGGCAAGCGCCTGTAATTCCAGCTACTTGGGAGACTGAGGTGAGAGAATCGCTTGAACCCAGGAGGCAGAGGTTGCAGTGAGCCAAGACTGCACCATTGCACTCCAGTCTGGGCATCAGAATGAGACTCCATTTCAAAAAAAAAAAATGCTTTTTACCTGAGCCTCATCACTCAAGTCCATGTTCATATTTTACAATCATCTAGCATCCTAATTACCAAACTTCTCCCCACCTCCTCCTTCTCCTCCTCTCTTTCCTTCTTCTTTTTCATAAGATGAATGAGATATTGAGTCTCATGTTAGAACAACCTAAATCAACTGGTTTTACCCTTCTCACATTGACATGGGATAGTGTTCTTGACCAAGCATGTCATGTCCTCCAAAGGCCAACCTTACTGTAGTTTTCCTAAAATGGGGTACTCAAATAAATTTTAGGTACTTCACAAATGATTTTGTAGTAGTTACATATTTATCTGAAAGTGTATTAGAAAAATATGCATAAGTATATAACATATGTATGTGATTCCATGCTTATTGCTGCTTACAACAATGCTAAAGGAGATATTTGTGTTTTTAAAGTAGATGTACGTTTTTAGAAAGTAAAAAACAGCAGGGCAGCCTGTGCACTGGTACAGCAAAAATCCTGGACCCAAAAAAAAGCCCTGAGCCAGGGTGAGAACCCTCTAAGCAGAGTCAGTGCTGGTCATGCCAGGTGATCAGCTCTCCCTCCTCCCCTCTAGCCTTTGGAGAGTATGATAAAAGGAACACCCTCTTGTCTGTGTTTCCTCCCACCACAGGGGCAGGTAGGCAAATCCTCCCTGCCCAGGCTTTTCCTCCTAGCACCAAACAGCTGTCCATGAAAGCCCACAGATCACTAGACAGAGCTATGAAAGCGTCTAAGAGCTAAATTCGATATCCGTCTTTTCTTAGTAGAGCTCAAGATCTCATTATCAAGAGTGGAGCTGATTGTTCAGCTGATCCCATAAGAGACCCTGCTGCTTTCTGCTGGCAGGGGCAGGAGGTGCAGGGGTGGAACCCTGGGCTAAGGCTGAGTCTCTATTGCTCAAACATTGCTGTAATGTTTAGCCTGGGTCCCTGCCAGGTTCTCAGGATGGGGGCAAGTCGTCCAACTGGTCGCAGTCTGAGCACCTGGGTTCTCTGGCAAAAGGTGGTATAAAAATGCAGAGATAGGCTGGGCGCAGTGGCTCACGCCTATAATCCCAGCACTTCGGGAGGCTGAGGCGGGTGAATCACGTGGTCAGGAGTTTGAAACCAGCCTGGCCGATGTGGCGAAACCCTGTCTGTACTAAAACTACAAAAAAAAATTAACCAGGTGTGGTGGTGCATGCCTATAATCCCAGCTACTCGGGAGGCTGAGGCAGGAGAATCACTTGAACCTGGGATGCGGAGGTTGCAGTGAGCCCAGATTATGCCACTGCACTCCAGCATGGGTGACAGTGAGACTCTGTCGCAAAAAAAAAAAAAAAGAAAAGAAAAGAAAAGAAAAAGAAAAAGAAAAAAATGCAGAGATAGGTAGATTGATCCCGCCTCCCATATGTTTAGGCGTTTAGCACAAACTGAAATACATGAATGGTTTGCCCTAGTCAGAACTCCAAAGGCTGCTTTAACATTAGCATCACTGCCTCTGTGCTATACTATATTTAGATAAAGGTGCCATCTTGCTTTCTGCATGATTCTCCCCTTCCTTCTGCCTTTAGTTTGACCCAGGGGAATTCACAACACATTCTGGGTTCTTATCTTCTGTAGAACGAGTTGCAGTTTCCTCGCCACCATGAGCATGTTGCCTCCCCCCTCAGCCCTTAGTAATTTGTCAAGTGACACGGCTGAGTCTTGGCTCTGTCTCCCTTCCTCTGGTCTTCCAATAACAATCCATAACTATTCTCTTCCATGGACCTAAATCAAACAGAATTCAGACCCAAAATGGAAAAGGAGAAACAGGGTCATGGGAATAGGACATTGATTTCCTCCCATTGGACACCAGCCTGGTCCAGAGCCAATCACCTGGGCCCCCAGGATGTGGTGAAGGGGAGGAGAGGAAGCTGTTCTCCCCAACCTAGCTGGTTTGGCCCACTGAATTTCTGCCATCATTCATAAAAGTCATCTGTAGGCCAGAGGAGTCCCTCTGGAATAAGAAGGGGGAAAAAAAAAAAAAGCAAGGGAAGCAGCCAAAACTAGAGATGTTTTGTTTGTTTGTTTGTTAAGACAGGATCCCACTCTGTGGCCCAGCCTAGAGTGCAGTGGCACTATCATAGCTCACCGCAACCATGAACTCCTGGGCTCAAGCAATCCTCCCACCTCAGCCTCCTGAGTAGCTGGAACTGCAGGCACAAGCCACTACATCCAGCTAATTTTTTTGTATTTTTTTTTTTTGCAGAGTCGGAGTCTCACTATGTTGCCCAGGCTGGTCTCAAACTCTTGGCCTCAAGCCATCCTCCTGCCTTGGCCTTCCAAAGTCCTGGAATTATATGTGTGAGCCACCCCACCCAGCCTAGAGAAGATTTTCCAAAGGAAATTTTCCCAAAACGGAAAAGGATAGACTGTTAATCTGTTACTCCACTTGGGAGCCTGGAGCGATTGTGAAAGGAGCTATGTAAGCAAGGACATTTTCAATTTGTAGGTGAGTTGGGTATTGAGGTGGAGAATATGTGGCCCAAAGTGGGAAAACAGGAGTAAGATAAAGAGCGGGAGAGAAAACTGTTGGAAAACCCCCTGGAATTGGTGCGACTTCTGAGCTAGCTTTGAGCCTGCTGGGGCAGCATGAATTTCTGCCCAAGCCCTCGGGGACTCTCACAGAGCACCTCGCCTGGTTGGTGAGAGCTGCTGTGGGGACACGGGCTGGTCGTCCTGTTGTTGTCTCAGCCTGTGCAGCAGAGCTTCCGACAGGAGAGGCAGCCAGCCGAGCGTGGGCAGACATGCCAGGAATGCCACAGAGCCGCGGCTTCCCTTTGCATCATACCTCCTGCGACAACCAATTTCATTCCCACCTGAACTTGGGGTGACAGGCTGATTGGTGGATTGATGTGGGACCAAAGGTCTAGACTAGACATGGGCTCTTCCACTCCAAAAGGCCCTTGGAAAATGAGTTTCTTTTGACACTAATCTGGTACTACTTCAGGTCCCTTCTTAGTTGGAAGACATCAGCAGTACTATTCCCTGTTGGTGTGGATCTGCTGAGAGTTACACAAGATACTCAGTGTGTGTGAAGCAGGCATCTGGGCATCCTACTTGCCGTTTTCTGCTTTATGTATGCAGTTCTATTACGTTTCAGAGAATAGACTTTGACCTGTGGCATATCTGAATGAACTAATAATAATAATCCATGAAATTACCAGAGCTAGCATATCAGGTGTGGGTCTATTTTATTTCTGAAACATATTTAATCTGCTTATGAATCTGCAATTGCATCCTTGCACCTGAGCTTTGAAATGAGTAGAAATTGGACCCTAGACTTCCAAGATTTATTTATTTATTTAGCAACGTATGGCCTGATAGGTACAAATGGACATTTGTCTGAAAGTTCTCTATGAAGTGGTGGAAAAGAAAGAATTGTCAGGCACACCAGCATATAGGGGAATCCCTTTTGTTTAAAAAATGCATCTTCAAAAGAATCAGCATCCAAGACTCCCTTTGAGGCCATGGTTGCGTGGGAAGCTCTGTGGGTCTCCCTACAATGACAAAACAGAGGATCTTGCTTGGATTGGTGCTTCACTCAAAATGCACAGACGGGGCAAAAACTGCAGACACAAAGCACGCACAGAAGAGAAGTCAGTGTTGAGCAGAGTGTGGGCTGAAGAATCCTGCCTCCTAAGGAGGTGACAGTCAAACAACACTTGCTCATCATGTGTGTCAAAGGCAGCGTTCGGCAGGTAAATAGCAATTAAGCATTTCCCACCCACTCACAAATTCCACGCTGGAAATGCTGGTATTGCAGGCGCCTCTTCCACTGTTGGGTCCATTCATAGCCAAGCTCTTTTTAAGAATGAAACAAACTTCTAAGACAGCAGACACTATTTCAGAGTGTTTTCAAAAATAACCCTAGAAAAACTATAACTTTCCGTCTGATGCCCTGGCATTTAATCACTTACACTGGCCCTATTTTGCTTTCAGTAAAATGAGATGAAAAGTCAAACTGCAACTATTGGATCAATGCGTAGTGTAAGAAAACCTAATCAAACAGGACCTCATTTGAGAAGGACATGGGTTCCCCTAAGCTTTGCACTGTTATCTAACACAGAACCAAAGTTTTCTCATTTGGACAAAATAGGAAACTTTGAAAAGCAGATACAATAAGATTTTCATATAGGTATTGCTTTCCAAATTATCTTTAAAATACAGCGCAAATATTACTTCCACTGAAGTAATATTTGATTTGATAAGTGGTGTATCAACCCATGCCACTTAAAATGTTGTCTTTCAAATAGTTGATGTCACAGTCAGTCAGTGACATCTATATTAACCAAAAGTTATGATCTATGAGAAAATATAGCTTTGTCTGTGAAGGCTTCTACTTTAATGTTGCTTCTTATTGAAGTAAAGTAAAAATAGGAGACAATCTTCTCTTTTTCTCTCCCAACTTCCAAGGGAGGTGTAACTGCATAATATAACCCATTATGCACTAGAGATCTGGGGGTTTTTTTGTTTTGTTTTGTTTTGAGACGGAGTCTTGCTCTTTCCCCAGGCTGGAGTGCAATGGCACGATCTCAGCTCACTGCAACCTCCGTCTCCTGAGTTCAAAAGATTCTCCTGCCTCAGACTCCCGAGTACCTAGGATTACAGGCGCATGCCCACCACAGCTGGCTAATTTTTTGTATTTTCAGTAGAGACAGGGTTTCACCGTGTTAGGCAGGATGGTCTCGATATCCTGACCTCGTGATCCACCCGCCTCGGCCTTCCAAAGTGCTGGGATTACAAGCGTGAGCCACTGCGCCCGGCCGAGATCTGGGTTATTTTTAATGAAGGGAGGAAAGGTGGAAAGGAGAAATAGTGAACACTAGTGATACAATTAAATAAAACAAACTGTGGTTTTGGGGTTTTGGTCTACAACCAGCCAGACAGTGAGTGAAAGAGAAATCATTGGCAGGTGCTGCATTTTGGATGAAGGTTTTTGCAGGCTGGGTAAGTCAGCCCAGTGCCAGCCTGTGTAGGAAGGAGGACAACCACCTACGTGGCATAATTTGAGATGTACAACAAGGCCCTGCTGGCCATAAAATAGCTCTTCCATGAAACTGCAACAGCCCAGTATTCTCCTCAACCAGTAAGTGTAAATCAAACAGTTACTCTATGCCCAATTGTGGCTGAACACAAAAGCAAATATGAGATATTATCCCTGCCTTCAAGACCTAACAATTTTATCAGAGAGACAAAAATAAAGTCAGTGAGGTCATATCAAATAAATTAAGGTAATGTATAGTTAAAATTGTATGATAAAACTTTCAGCTGCTATAGACTTCAGAAAAGGAAGGAAAAACTGGAGCAATCATGGAAGGCTTTTTCCATGGATGAGTGAGTGGAGGAATAAGATCTTGAAGGATTGTAAGGATTAGAAGAAAGGAAGAAAGATCAGAAAGCCCAACAACCCAGGGACACAGGTAAGGCAGGGGGTCTTTCTCATGAAAATGAGACACATCTGATTAAAAGAGTGCACTCTAGGCAGTGTCGAGAAATAACTAAATAGACAGAACCAGATCAGACAATGGGAAACTCTCATTTGTTGTCAAAAACCACGTTCATAGCTTCGTCTTTGCTAAAGACTAAGAAATGAATCCTCCTCCCCAGTTATACTTTATATCACCACCCTATTTATTCTTTCATAAGGATTTATCATTATATTTTATTATCTTACTTTTATTTCATTTACTTCTGGTATTTCTGGACTTACTTATTTACTATTTATTGTACATCTCCTGCCTGGTACATGTGGACCAATGGAAACCATTCCAGAAGACACTTGGTGGAGTTGGGTGGGATGGTCTTTAGCTTTTTTGAGGGGGAGGGGGAAGGTATCGGGGGCAGAGTCTTGTTCTGTCACCCAGGCTGGAGTGCAGTGGTGCAATTTTGTATCACTGCAACCTCCACCTCCTGGGTTCAAGCAATTCTCCCATCTCAGCCTCCCAAGTAGCTGGGATTACAGTCATGCACCACTACTCCCAGCTAATTTTTGTATTTTCTTAGTAGATAAAAAATACTACTTTCACCATGTTGGCCAGGCTGGTCTCAAACTCCTGACCTCAAGTAATCTGCCTGCCTCGGCCTCCCAAAGTGTTGGGATTACAAGTGCGAGCCACTGCGCCCGGCCAGCTCTCTTTCATTATCTCAAACTCACTGAGTACTTTATGTTCCTCTTGAAGACAGAAGGAGCCCAGTCCTGAAGAATCCAGAAGAAAATATTCTTTCTGAGGAGTATGGAATGGGGATATTTAGGAACAAGGCAAGCCATGTGAAATTTAAGAATGAAAGAGTGCCACAAGGGAGAATGCCATCCATTGGTCACAGGGAGATTGAAACGGGGATCCTTTGAGCCCGGAATTGCAAGTCCAGGCTGGGCAACATAGTGAGATCCTATCTCTAAAAGTTAGATTAATGTTAAAAGTTAAAAAAAGAAGAAAAAAAAAGAACAACAGGCAAGTATAGAATTAAGAAGCAAAAAGGAAGCCAGGCATGGTGGTGGCTCATGCCTGTAGTCCCAGCACTTTGGGAGGCTGAAGGGGGAGGATTGCTTGAGCACAGGATTTCGAGACCAGCCTGGGCAACATAGTGAGACCCCATGTCTTTAAAAAAAAAAAAAAAAAGAAGAAGAAGAAGGAGAAGATGGAATCTTAGAGAAGATCTATTAAAAATAAAAATTTTTTGGCCAAGCGCAGTGGCTCATGCCTTTAATCCGAGCACTTTGGAAGGCGGGGGCGGACAGATCACCTGATGCCAGGAGTTCCAAACCAACCTGACCAACATGGTGAAACCCAGTCTGTACTAAAAATACAAAAATTAGCCAGGCCTGGTGGCATGTGCCTGTAATCCCAGTTACTTGAGAGGCTAAGGCAGGAGAATCACTTGAACCCAGGAGGCAGAGGTTGTAGTGACTTAAGACTGTGCCATTGCACTCCTGCCTGGGCAAGAAGAGCGAAACTTCATCTTAAAAAATAAATAAATAAATAAATAAACAAACATTTTTAAAAATTAAAAAAAAAATGTAAGAAGTACGAAAGAGAAAAAATGGGTGAGTGCATAGAAAGGCAGTGAGCATGAAAAGATGGAAGTATTCCTAGGATCTACCTTGTACTGAGTCTAGAACTGGGTCGAATCACAATAGCAGCGACCTCATCCTGGTGTCTTGCTGAAATGTGGAGAATAGCTAGGGAATCCGAAGGTTTATAAAAACACAGAGGTCAAAAGACTTAAGCAGTTATGATGGAAGTCTGGGTCAAAGGAGGAGCTTTCCCTGTGAAGTGAATGTCACTCCAGAAGTGTCTGCACTTTAATTAGACTAATTAAGTAATTGGTATACTCATCTCTTCACTCATCGCATGACAGAGTCTTAGGGGCTGAAAGGCATTAGAGAGACTTTCAATCAACTATCAACCTTCAGATAAACTTTTCCCAAAATATTCTGAACTAAAAGCAACTTATTCTCATTTTTAAAGCACAGGGAAACAAAACTCTACTGCAATTCATGTTCAATAATGAAATAAATGTTTCAGGAAATTCTTTCATGACTCAATACCAAAAAATCTAGCTTCGACAGAGGCGCATGCGCATCCAGGTGCAGTTCTAAAACTGATTTGCAGAGACCAGGCCTCTCAGTTTCCCTTCTTGTAACAACCATCAAATGCTAGTTCTCACCCACCACAGGTTCCTTGCTTCCTTCCTGTCTTGGTCTCATCTTGTCTTCTTCCTGTTCCATGTCATGGTGGAGAATATACTGAAGGACACTGAGTCACGCAAGACAAGAAGCTAAAATCCCACCCTGTCGGAATAGTGCGGGGCAGCTGTCTACTTTGTCTTTATATCTAACTCAAAGTGCTTGACCCACTCACCTATTTCCAATATTTATGAGATCCTGTGAGAAACAGAGCTACAGACATATAAAGTCCTTAATGTTGAAAGAAAATTTTGTTCAGAATTTTTCATTTTTTACAGTTTTGCTCAATTGGTGGAAGACTGTCTCTGCATTATTATTTTTTTTTCTTTTTTGAAACAGACTTTGGTTCTTGTTGCCCAGGCTGGAGTGCAATGGTGCGATCTTGGCTCACTGCAACCTCCGCCTCCTGGGTTCAACTGATTCTCCTGCCTCAGCCTCCCAAGTAGCTAGGATGACAGGCATGAGCCACCACGCCCAGCCATTTTTTTTTTTTTTTTTTTTGTATTTTTAGCAAAGACTGGGTTTCACCATGTTGGCCAGGCTGGTCTCAAACCCCTGACCTCAGGTGATCCACCCACTTCGACCTCCCAAAGTGCTAGGATTACAGGTGTGAGCCACTGCACCCAGCTGATTTTTAAATTTTTTTAAACAAGCACATACTACCATGCCTGGCTAGTTTTTTTTATTATTATTATTTTTAGTACAGCTGGAATCTCACTATTTTGCCCAGGCTGGTCTCGAACTCCTGAACTCAGATGATCCTCCTGCCTTGGTCTCCCAAAGTGCTGGGATTACAGGCATGAGCTACCATGCCCAGACTGCACTATTCTTTATAGTACACAAAACAAGCTTTTCAAATATAACCTTCTGGCAAGGCATGGTGGCTCACGCCTGTAATCTCAGCATTTGGGGAGGTTGAGGCAGGAGGATTGCTTGAGCCCAGGAGTTTGAGACCAGCCTGGGCAACATAGTAAGACCCCCTCTCTACAAAAAAAAAAAAATTAGCCAGGCATGGTGGCATGTGCCTGTAGTCCCATCTACTCGGGAAGCCGAGTCAGGAGGACCACTTGAGCACAGGGGGTTGAGGATACAGTGAATTATGATCACCCCACTGCACTCTAGTCTAAGTGACAGAGTGAGATCCTGTCTCAAAAAAATAAATAAATAAATAAAATAAAATGTAAACTGTCTACTCTCTTTGGAGCCAAATATGGAAGATTGGGAAAAAAAAGTGCTTTGAAAATTAGTAACTATGTTCATGTTGAGAATCATGGTTCCCATTGTGGAAGAAGAGACATGAAAATATGAAATTGGGGAAAGCAAGAAAGAGTCCTACAGGGGTGTATTAGATTTGGAGGTACTGGTGTGAACTGTGATTTCTAAAATATGTCTATGTAGGTATTATATATGCATATCTGTGTGCACATGTATATCATAAATGTATGCATATGTGTATGTATGTGTATGTATATATGCCTATATACACATATGTATTTCTTAGCTCTCTACACTTTTAGAGGGCCAAGAGGCAAATACCCACCAGTAGCACCCAGATCTTGGATTCTAATACCATTCTCCACTAAAAGGATCCAGGGATTCTCAGAGAAATGTCTGATTACAGGAACAGGACAGGATAGGTGCAAAAGAACCTGGAATATCTGGCTATTCCAGAAAGGAAGAAAATGCTCCAAACAATAATGAAGGCATATTACAAGGACACAAGAGCCAGCTTGGCTGATTCTGGCCAAATCGAGGACAATGTGAGTATGAAATGTCCTAGCACCAATCATGAATTAGAAACCATTGAATGAATAGAAATTCACGTCCATTGCAAAAACACAAGGAAAAGTGATGATGATGATGATGGTGAAGATAGAAGATAGATGGACAGACAGACAGACAGAAAATAGATAGATTAGGGGTTTTCACTTTGTTCGAATCCTCCCCCACCCCGTCTCTGTATGGGGGAGCTGTTTTCTTCTTCCTTCCTTCTTTCTTGCCTATTAAACTTTTTGTTCCTTAAAACCACACACACACACACACAAAAGATGATAGATAGATAGATGATAGATAGATGATAGATAGATAGATAGATAGATAGATAGATAGACAGATAAATAGATATAGATAGATAGATAGATAGATGAAAAGAGAGATCTCTTTCTTGCAGTAGAATGCGGAGGGCTGAATAGTAGATATGGAAGTAATGCTAAAGTTAGAAAATTATCATTTTACAACTACCATGGTTAAAATCAAATCAGGAAAAATTTATCAATGAAAGTTAAATACTGGAGGAAATTTTGATAAGATGCAAGATATTTGCATAGTCCTATTACTTGCAAGAGAGAGAGGGGAAAAAGTAATTAGATAGTGGGGAAATCAGGCTGCCTTGACCAGTGTATCAAAGTTAACATCATGGATGAGAGAGAGATGGACATTGCAGGCCTCCTGATGGGATGTCCTAAAAGGACACATCACCGATGCGGTAATCTGCTAAGGAATGTAGTACCTCAATCTAGCACCAGGAAACACCACACAAATACAAAATTAGAAATGTTACATTTATAAAAGGGGGACAAACTATGTTCTTTTTAAAATGTCATAAAAGACAAGGGAAGGTTGTAGGATTTGTTCCAGATTGAAGGAGGCTAAAGAATTCTGACAACTAATTGCAATGCTTATTCCTAGACTGGATCCACTGGAGAGAAAAATATACTATGAAGGACATTACTAGATTACTAATAAAATTGGAATATGGATGGTAGATAGGATAAAAGCGTTATATCAGTGTAAATGTAAGAAGAAAACAGCCATATTGTAGTCATTCGTAGGAAATAAACACAGAAGAACTTAGGGGTAACAGGACATGATGTTTGTAATTTACCATTAAATAGTACAGAAAAAAATACAGAGGGCCGGGCATGGTGGCTCATGCCTGTAATCCCAGCACTTTGGGAGGCCAAGGGAGACAGATGACTTGAGGCCAGGAGTTTGAGACCAGGCTGGCCAACATGGTGAAATCCGGCCTCTACTAAAAATACAAAAATGAGCCAGGCGTGGTGGTGGTGCGTGCCTGTAATCCCAGCTACTCGGGAGGCTGAGGTAGGAGAATTGCTTTAACCTGGGATGTGGAGGTTGCAGTGAGCTGAGATCATGCCACTGCACTCCAGCCTGGGCAACAGAGCAAGACTCTGTCTTAAAAAAAAGAAAAGAGAAAGAAAAAGAAAGAAAGAAGGAAAGAAAGAAAGAAAGAAAGAAAGAAAGAAAGAAAGAAAGAAAGAAAGAAAGAAAGAAAGAAAGAAAGAGAGGGAGGGAGGGAGGGAGGGAGGGGGGAGGGAGGGAGGGAGGAAGGAAGGAAAGAAAGAAAGATGAAAGAAAGAAAGAGAAGGAGCAAGAGACCAAAGAGTTCAGATGACAAAGTAAGTGGGGTAAATGCTAACAATAGGTCAATTCTGTTAAAAGGTATAGGAATGTTCCTTATAACTATCTTTACTTCTACAACTTTTTTGTAAGTTTGAAACTATTTCCAAATAAAAAGCTTAAAAAAAGAAATGCTTTGACATTGAGTAGTTCTAGGGACAAAGGAATAAAGGTAGATGATTTCATCCAATGCTTTATTATTATCTTTTAATTATAATTGAAAATTAATTATTTCACTTATTTGAATGTAAATCTTAAGATATTGAAAGTGCCACTTTAGATGTTGCACACTTCTGTTGGGTCATCAGTATTCTAGGCCAGGGTCATGGAGCTGGTAGATAGAGTCAACAGATCCTCTAGCCTACAACAAAAATTCCCTGGCCACATGCACATTGACCCCACCCACATTTATCAGTGTCAAATCCCACATTACAGCCCCCTCCTCACAACAGATCCTCCCACTGAATATATTTTTAGAATTCTCTCCAAGCCCAAATGTGAATAATAAAGGAAAACAGATTACAATTTGGATCCCAGAGCCTGACAACTTAAGCCTATTGCAGAGTCTTCTTGGACTCTGTCTTTTGTGCCCACTCTAATTTCCATAATACAAATTCAATTCACATTTTTCAATAAAGCTGCTCCCCTTTAAAAAATGTGCATTCTTAATCTTTGCAATCTGTACATCTAACAAAGGACTAATATCCAAATCTACAAGGAACTCAAACAAATCAGGAAGAAAAAAACAATCCCATCAAAAAGTGGGCTAAGGACATGAATAGACAATTCTCAAAAGAATTTATACAAATGGTCAGCAAACATATGAAAAGATGGTCAACATCACTAATGATAAGAGAAATGCAAATCAAAACCGTAATGCAACACCACCTTACTCCTACAAGAATGGCCTTAATAAAAAAAAAAAATAGTAGATGTTGGCATGGATGTGGTGAAAAGGAAGCACTTTTACACTGCTGGTGGGAAGGTAAACTAGTAAAACCACTATGGAAAACAGTGTGGAGATTCCTTAAAGAACTAAAAGTAGAATTACCATTTGATCCAGCAAGCCCACTACTGGATATCTACCAAAAGGAAAATAAGTAATTACACAAAAAAGATACTTACACACGCATGTTTATAGCAGCACAATTCGCAATTGCAAAAATATGGAACCAGCCCAAATGTCCATCAGTCAACAAGTGGATAAAGAAAATATGGTGTATATATATATACCATGGAATACTACTCAGCTATAAAAAGGAACAAAATAATGCCATTCAAAGCAATCTGGATGGAATTGGAGACCATTATTCTAAGTGAAGTAACTCAGGAATGGAAAACCAAACATCGTATGTTCTCACTCATAAATAGGAGCTAAGTTCTGAGGACACAAAGAATGATACAATGGACTTTGGGGACTTGGGGGAAAGGGTGGGAGTGGGGTGAGGTATAAAACACTACACATTGGGCTGGGTGTGGTGGCTCACACCTGTAATCCCAGCACTTTGAAAGACCGAGGCGGGTAGATTACCTGAGGTCGGGAGTTCGAGACCAGCCTGATCCACATGGAGAAACCCTGTCTCTACTAAAAATACAAAATTAGCCGGGTGTGGTGGTGCATGCCTGTAATCCCATCCACTCAGGAGGCTGAAGTAGGAGAATCGCTTGAACCCGGGAGGCAGAGGTTGCAGTGAGCAGAGATCGGGCCATTGCACTCCAGCTTGGGCAACAAGAGCGAAACTCCATCTCAAAAAACAAACAAAAAAAAAGAATACACACTGGGTACAGTGTACACTGCTCAGGTGATAGTTGCACCAAAATCTCAGAAATCTCCACTAAAGAACTTATTCATGTAACCAAACACCACCTGTTCCCAAAAAACCTATTGAAATATATATATATTTTTTTAAATAATAGGCTGGGCACAGTGGCTCATGCCTGTAATCCTAGCTCTTTGGGAGGCCGAGGCGGGTGGATCACGAGGTCAAGGGTTTGAGACCACCCTGGCAAACATGGTGAAACCTTGTCTCTACTACAAATACAAAAAATTAGCCGGGCGTGGTGGCGGGCGCCGGTCATCCCAGCTACTCGGGAGGCTGAGGCAGGAGAATTGTTTGAACCCAGGGGCGGAGGTTGCAGTGAGCGGAGATCGCGCCATTGCACTCCAGCCTGGGCAACAAGAGCGAAACTCTGTGTCAAAATACTAACAACTAATGATAATAATAATAATACAGAACAATGGGGGAAAAATGTGCTTTCTTTAGCCCCAGTGGCATTTTTAAAAACAATTTAACCTAAACCATTTGTATTAGGAGAAAGTTTTCTGAGTAGTCAACATTGCAGAAATAGAAAATCAGTATTTTACCTAAAATGAATGTGAAAAGTTTATTAAATACTTAGAAGTACTTATTACCCAAAATACTTCATTCTAATTTATCAAAATGCTCTATAGAAGTGATTGCAGAACTTGTTCTTACAAACTGAACCCACACTCGGCCAGCTGGCAGAAGTACTCGAAAATATCCACGAATGCTGGTCACTGAAGACACCTAGAGGACGTATTTAGAAACTACACAAAAACAGGACAGCAAATGTTCAACAGCTCCTATTACTGTCGTTGTGTTTAAAGAGCATTTGCTCAGGACACCCTGTGGGAGGAGGGGAGCGGAGTGGGGAATCAGGCCTTTAGTGCCAAAAACTGGAAAATCAGATTCTTGGCACATGCCAGAGTAATTTTCACAATGTGCTACATTAGTTCCATAAGAGCATGTTCTGTGATAGTCCTGTTGCTATAGATAAGAATGTGTGTCTCACTGGCTAAAAAAGAACATCATTGAAAACCTATATTGTGATTGACAGTGGTCAAAGATGCCAGGAAAATCTTTGCTCTGTCCTAGTTCCTTATTTGCTTTCCTGTTGCTCAGTCCTATTTGCACCCATGATTGTGGAAATTTTAAAAAGTTATTTCTAGGTCATTAAAAACTCTCCTTTGACTTTCCAAAAGCCCCAGTTATGGTCTACCCTTTGGTAGAAAGGAGAGATGACTCATCTTGTCCCCTTTGGCCCATGAACCTCCCAGTCTTCTTTCCAATTAATAGCAGGCTGGTGCGAAAGAGTGTTTTGTTCCTGCTTTAGGAACCTAAATTTTACAATCTGGGTGAACAGAAATATGCAATGACAGCAAATGTAACAATCATTTAAAACACAGCTACAACTCTCACAAGAATGACTATTTTTAACACTAAATTCCATGGCCCAGAAAGAAGTTTAAATATTTTAAGCAATATTTATTACAACAAGAATGCAAGCTGTGTCTAGCCATCCTTGATAATGGAATTTAACCAGGGCCCTCCTGTGGAGTATCATACTACTTTATGAGAAAATTCCCTTTTCCTATGTTACAGAGGGATCAGACCATGTATGTATAAAGAGTATTACTTCAGGAACATCTGCTTTATTGACCAATTATTGATTTAAAATATTTGAGCTTTCTTTATAAGAACTATTTGAAAACTTTAGCTTAAAAGTTTTCATCTCTTTTGTCGGGGTAGGGATCAGAGAACAGAAAGAAGTTGCTTCCCAGTGTCTGGAAGTACTTACCAATGACAAACTCGAATCTGAGGTTACATTTTTATGTCCAGACAGGGTGTGGCTGGACATGGAACAGGGGAAAATGTGCATTTGGCAATTTTCAACTTCTTTTTCAAGGAGGAAAACAATGTATAAGACTGGTTAGTTTCTGGCTGGGTGCAGTGGCTCACGTCTGTAATTCCAGCACTTTGGGAGGCCAAGGTGGGAGGATCACTTGAAGCTAGGAGTTCGGGACCAGCCTAGGCAACATAGTGTGACCCCACCTCTGCAAAAATAAATTTACTGGGCGTGGTGGTGTGCGCCTGTAGTTCTAGCTACTCGAGAGGCTGAAGTGGGAGGATTGCTTGGGTTTGGGAGGTTGAGCCTGCAGTGAGCCATGATTGTGCCATTGCACTCCAGTCTAGGCAACAGAAAGAGACCTTCTCTCCAAAAAATAAAATAGTTTCACCAAGGTTAAAAGGAACATTTGCTAATATACATGGGGATGGCATTATTGCTCAATCTTTATTGAACACCTACATGAAATGGGCAGTATTAAATGATATGAATAATTATGATTTCCATACATAACATGTTTCAGTCTGGGGCTTGAGTAGCAAAATTCATTTAAATCCATGTAAAAATAAGCACAATGGAATCTTTTTAGATGGTTAATTAAGTTCATATGATGTTAAAAGATTTTGAATTAAACTGAAAGCAAGTCACTATTACTGTGATATTTAGTAAGAAAGCAGAAATCCAGGAGACTCATAAAAAGTGGAAAAAACAAAGGCCTAATTCAAAAGATATAAGCTGGGGTAATTTTTTTTCTCTCTTAAGAAGTAGGGCTGGGCGCAGTGGCTCACGCCTGTAATCCCAGCACTTTGGGAGGCCAAGGTGGGTGGATCGCCTGAGGTCAGGAGTTCAAGACCAGCCTCACCAACATGGTGAAACCCCATCTTTACTAAAAATACAAAATTAGCCAGGCATGGTGGCGAATGCCTGTAATCCCAGCTACTCCAGAGCCTGAGGCAGAAGAATCGCTTGAACCCAGGACAGGGAAGTTGCAGTGAGCTGAGTTCACACCACTGCACTGCAGCCTGGGTGACAGAGCAAGACTCTGTCTCAAAGAAAAAAAAGAAGTATCCCGCACATCTAGGGCATCTAAGATAACAAATGCTGTTTTTTTTATTTTTAGTAGTCCAAGGGATTTTCTCTATTTTAATTGTTTTAATTTTTAAATACATAATAGACCCACATGAGTTCAAATTTTTGGAAGAAGAAGATACGGCTATAAAAAGTTTTCCTCCCACTTCTGTCCCTTAGCAACCAGTTTCCTGACTCAGAAACAACCAGTCTTATTAGTTTTTTTAATGTATTCTTTATTTTATACATAAACAAACAACACACACACACACCTTCTTTCTCTTGCTTTTTGTGCCCTTGTGAGCATTCTAAACGTTGTATTCTGTGCCTTGCTTTTTCCACTTAATATCTGTGCAAGCATATAGTACATATACCTCTCTCACTCTTTAATTCTTTTCTTTATCTTCTTTTAGAAATGGTGTCTCACTCTGTTGCCCTGACTGGATTCAAACTCCTAGGCTTAAGTGATCCTCCCACTTCAGCCTCCCAGGTGAATGGGATTACAGATGCCTGTCCCAGCTCTCATTATTTTTGTATATCCACACAGTATTCCATTATATGGATGTACCATACTTTATTTAATGAACCCCTTATTAGTGGGCATTCAAAAGTTGTTTTCAAATCTTGTTTCTAATCCTGATTATTACAAGATTGGCATAGTAAATAACTTTGTACATTATCTGTATCTATAAATTCCTTGAAGTGGAATCCTGAGTCAAAGAACATGTGCATTTGTAATTTTGCTAGATACTGCCAAATTTTCTCCAAAGAGTTGTGCCTTTTACACTGCACCAGCATTGTACAGAGGTGTCTGTTTCCTCATTCTCCCCAGCACATAGACTTTAAAAAAATATTTACTGGCCAGGCATGGTGGCTCATGCCTGTAATCCCAGCACTTTGGGAGGCCAAGGTGGGCAGATCACAAAGTCAAGAGATAGAGACCATCCTGGCCAACATGGTGAAACCTGTCTCTACTAAAAATACAAAAATTAGCCAGGTGTGGTGGCGGGCACCTGTAATCCCAGCTACCCGGGAGGCTGAGGCAGGAGAATCGCTTGAACCCAGGAGGTGGTAGTTGCAGTGAGCAGAGATCACACCACTGCACTCCAGCCTGGCGACAGAGCAAGACTCCGTCTCAAAAAAATAAGTTAAAAATATATTTACCACCTTCTTCCCTGAGCCTGAATATTCTAGTTTTCTAGGCTTTCTCTATTCTGGGTCTCGTCTGCATAAATCCCACAACATTTTAACATCAACTCTCTGTTGCCATTTGCCGCTGTTTCCAGCCCTCCCCTTAACCACGTAGACCTTGCCTCCACCCCAGTTACCCTGCCTTGGGTCATATTATTTCCTCCGCTGGAATATCTTTTCCTGTCAATACCATCCCTCCAGCCTGCCCAGCTTTCAAAATTCTCCCTTCACCTCCATGAAACTTTTGTCAATTATCTGGCTCTTATTGATCTCTTCTAAGAACTTCCCAACAACAATTTATTGTGCCATAAAAGGGTTACAGGCAAATGGAGCTACTGATCCCCCTCAGATCTCAGGATAGGCAGGCACGGTCTGCGTGAGAGCCCCTTGATTGGTGTTTCTGGCCAGGTCTGCTTTATCAGTTTACCCCAGAGTCCATACAATATCATCATTTTCTTTCTTTTTTATTTTTTATTTTTTTTTCTGAGACAGAGTTTCACTCTGTCGCCCAGGCTGGAATGCAGTGGCGCGATCTCTATTCACCGCAACCTCCACCTCCCTGGTTCATGCGATTCTCCTGCCTCAGCTTCCCGAGTAGCTGGGACTACAGGCGCGTGCCACCACGCCCAGCTGATTTTTGTATTTTTAGTAGAGACGGGGTTTCACCATGTTGGCCAGGATGGTCTCGATCTTCTGACCTCGTGATCCGCCCACCTCGGCCTCCCAAAGTGCTGGGATTACAGGCATGAGCCACTGCGCCTGGCAATATCATCATTTTCTATGCAAGCCATGACATGAAAAATGAAGATGAGCTTACCAAGAGCACTATGCTGGCACAAAGTCGATGCACAGTAAATACTGTCCGATTGATTGACATGATTTCCTTTAGGTTCTTTGTTGTCTTCCATAATCATTTCTGTTTTTAGCCATAATAGCCACTAGTAAATACTATCATTGTTTTTTTTCCTTTTTCCATTATTTAAAAATAAAACCTACACTCTACTTCACCTCGATCATTTCCTACTTCCTGAACATTCCTGAAACTTTGTAACCAGCATCTCCACCTTCAGCTGTCCTCTGGAATGATCAGGAAGATTCACCAGCACCTCCATGGAGCACTGAGGGAGAGGCGAGTCTCTCACAGAATCAATTCACGTGGCTTTGATAGAAATGGGATACTCCACTGAGGGATGCTTAAGCAACCAGAGGTAGAGCCCTTGTCACAGGCTTCACCTGTGTCTCCGCCTTTGGCAGGGCTGGTGTCAGCAGTGCTGGCAGTCACACCATGGTTGGCAGGGACACTGCACATCATAGCCCCTGATAACTGCGTTCAGCTATTATGATGGTGACCATACGAGGCAGGCAGCACCACTTTTTGTAAATATCTCAAAAGCAAGGCTAAATAAGAAAAGGATACCTCAACAGCTAACCTTTATATGCAGTTTCTTTTTTTTTTTTTTTTGAATGGCCTGCCACAGCTGCCCAGCTGCAGTGGCACCTATGGGGTTTCTATATGTGAGAGATCACACTTTACATATGTTAATTCATTTTAAATCTCACAATCATAACAGAGAAGTATTATTGTTATCATCCTTTTTTTTTTTTTTGAGACAGTCTCGCTTTGTCACAGACACCATCGTCGGTACACTGCAACCTCCGCCTCCCATGCTCAAGCGATTCTCCTGCCTCAGCCTCCCAAGTAGCTGGGATTACAGGTGTGTGCCACCATGCCTGGCTAATTTTTGTATTTTTAGTAGAGACGGGGTTTTGCCATGTTGGCCAGGCTGGTCTTGAACTTCTGGCCTCTAGTGATCTGCCAGCCTAGGCTTCCCAAAGTATTGGCATTACAGAAGTGAGCCACTGCACCCAGCCTCGTCCCTATTTTCAAGTAGGAAAACTAAGGGACAGAAAGATTAAACTCCTTGCCCAAGGTCACTTAGCTGGTAAATGGCAGAGCTGGAATCCATACGCAGGTACTCCAGGCTCTGAAGTCCATGCAGGGAGCTCTGTACTATGCTAGCTCTCTTTACCAGGTACTGGTGGCATAGTTGCCCCTTCAGCCTTAGTTATGCAAAGAGACATCATCATCATAGAGGCTCAAAGGTGTACAGGAGGCCGGGTACGATGGCTCATGCCTGTAATCCCACCACTTTGGGAGGCCAAGGCAGGTGGATCACCTAAGGTCAGTGTTCGAGACCAGCCTGACCAACGTGGCGAAACCCCATCTCTACTAAAAATACAAAATTAGCCAGGCGTGGTGGCACATGACTGTAATTTCATGTACTCATGACTGTAATCATGTAATGTAATGTAATCATGTAATGAGTACATAACTGTACACGTACTCATGTACTCATGACTGTAATCTCATGTACTCGAGAGGCTGAAGCAGGAGAATCACTTGAACCCAGGAAGTGGAGGTTGTAGTGAGCTGAGATCACACCATTACACTCCAGCCTAGGCAACAAGAGTGAAACTCTGTCTCAAAAAAAAGAAAAAAGAAAGAAAGAAAGGTGCACAGGAGGAAACTGTCAGAAGAATTAAGGTGAGGATCCCATTCACTCATGAAAATATTTCATGCCAATAAAAAATGTTTCCTCTAGGTAGCCACAGTCGCCAAGCCTTGGTGAGCAGATGGTATTCGCATGTCAATTAAGAAAAAGTATTGGCCAGGCGTGGTGGCTCACGCCTGTAATCCCAGCACTTTGGGAGGCTGAGGTGGGAGGATCACAAGGTCAGGAGTTGGGGAACAGCCTGGCCAATATGGTGAAACTCTGTCTGTACTAAAAATACAAAAATTAGCCAGACGGTGGCAGGTGCCTGTAGTCCCAGCTACTTGGGAGGCTGAGGCAGGAGAATTGCTTGAACCCGGAAGGCAGAGGTTGCAGTGAGCCGAGATCACACCACTGCACTCCAGCCTGGGCGACAGCAGAGTGAGACTCTGTCTCAAAAAAGAAAAAAAAGAAAAAGAAAAGAGAAAAAAAGGAAAAGTATTTCTCCAGGCAGAAGAAGCCCATGAGGTTTAGTGAGTGAAGCAAGGGCTGGATTTCAGCTCCCACAGGATCCCCCAGCTGAGAGGCCTTGACATTCACAACTATGATGGTTCCAAATTAAGGACAGGTGAGAGACAACACAAAATCAATAGCTCAATGTTCTCTCTTATATAATGATATCTACAGATTATGTTAAAGATCTGGATGACTTAAAATGACATTATGTGTATGTAATCTGTATCTTGCTTGCCCCATCAACCTATGCAGTCAAAAAGAGGTCAGAGTTAATTTTGGTGCCCAAATGGCCATGACTCACGATGTACCCTTCAGTTCCTACCTGCTGCTCAAACCTAACTCATCTGCCCCGATACAAGTTTCTGGAAGGCCCCTAAGGGGAGCATCGCGTGTGCCTACAGCCAAGATAGTAGTTCTAGGCTCCGGCTTTCCCACATCATGGGCTTCTCCTAACCACAGAAGCTCTGCCAAGGTTTTTTAGAAGCCACCAAAGCTACCAGTCCTCAGAGTACCAAGGGAACCCTGGGAGCAGTACAGAGGGAAGGAAACTGACCCCCTCCCCAATTTTGTGCCACATCTTCTCACCTGAGCCCCAAAAACAGATCTGTCTACATCTAGAATCTCTCAAAATCTCGAAAAAAAAGTTTTTACCTCATATGCAGAATTCTACCACACCTTCCTGTCAGTTTCTTATCTTTACCTCTTCAACTAGAGGGAGTCAAATTCAATCCAAGGGGCTGAACAGGAAGACAGACACGATCACCATTGTCTCCATTCATTCATTAATTTACGTATGCACTCATCCATTCAATCAGCATTGATTGAGGCCAACTTCTGTGCTTGACACTGTTCTTGGCACTGAGGATAAAACATTAAATAAGGGGAGATGAAGAGCTTTAGGAAAAATAGCTAATGCATGCTGGGCTTAATAGCTAGGTGACGGGTTGATAGGTGCAGCAAACCACCACAGGACACATTTACCTATGTAACAAACCTGCACATCCTGCACATTTACCCTGGAACTTAAAATAAAAATAGAATTTAAAAAAAAAAAAACACTAAATAAGACAGATAGGCCTGGCGCGGTGGCTCACGCCTATAATCCCAACACTTTGGAAGGCCAAGGTGGGTGGATCACCTGAGGTCAGAAGTTCAAGACCAGCCTGACCAATACAGTGAAATGCCGTCTCTACTAAAATTACAAAAATTAGCCAGGTGAGGTGGCATGCGCCTGTAGTCCCAGCTACTCAGGAGGCTGAGGCAGGAGAATCGCTTGAACTGGGGAGGTGGAGTTTGCAGTGAGCCAAAATCGAGCCACTGCACTCTACCCTGGTTGACAGAGCGAGACTCCGTCTTAAAAAAAAAAAAAGGTAAGGTCACTAATATCACAGAGCTTACATTATAGTGTGGGGAAGCAGAAAACAATCAAACCAACAAATTAATTAACAAGAAGCTATTAGCTAGTGATAATTGCTATGATAACAAAATAAGGTTTCAAACAAAGATTGAAAAAATCTAAAAAAAATTTTAATAAAATAAGGTGAGGTGATAGGGAGAGACAATATTTTTCAATACTGCAAGACCCAGCAGCCTCTATTCATAACACATATTTTATTTTGTTATTAATTAGTTATTGATAAAAATTGTATGTATTTATCTCACAACAAGTTGTTTTGAAATATATATACATTGGGGAGTGGCTAAGTCGAACTAAATTAACATACACATTACCTCACATACTTATTATTGTTTTGTGGTGAGAACACTTAAAATCTACTCTCCTAGCAATTTTTTTTTTTTTTTTGAGACAGTCTTGCTCTGTCACCCAGGCTGGAGTGCAGTGGCACGATCTTAGCTCACTGCAGGCTCTGCCTCCCGGGTTCATGCCATTCTCCTGCCTCAGCCTCCCAAGTAGCTGGGACTACAGGCACCCCCCACCACACCCGGCTAATTTTTTTTGTATTTTTAGTAGAGACGGGGTTTCACTGTGTTAGCCAGGATGGTCTCTATCTCCTGACCTCGTGATCCGCCACCTTGGCCTCCCAAAGTGCTGGGATTACAGGCATGAGCCACCACGCCCGGCCTCTCCTAGCAATTTTTTAAAATACAACACATTGGGCCAGGCATGATGGCTCATGCCTATGATCCCAGCACTTTCAGAGACCAAGTCAGGAGGACACTTGAGCCCCAGGAGTTCAAGACCAGCCTGGGGAACATAGGAAGACCCCTACCCGCCAACAAAAAATTTTTAAATTAGCCAGGCATGGCGGTGAGTGCCTGCAGTTCTAACTACTCAGGAGGCTGAGGTGGGAGGATCACTTGAGCCCAGGCAGTTGAGGAGACGCAATTATCATGTAAATTGATGAAAGATAACCTTTTGTTTTGTTTTAAGCATTATGTAGAATTGTTCCTTATTTAGGTAAAGCATGTCATCAAGGACAATGCCGCTGGTAATATTTGAGTGAGCCATAATTGTGCCACTGCACTCCAGCCTAGGCTGGACAAAGGGAGGCTTTTTCTCAAAAATAAATAAATAAATAAATAAATAAATTCTAGTCACCATGTTATATAATAGAGCTCTTGAACTTATTCTTCTACCTAACTGAAATTTTGTATCCACCATCTCCCCAGCCACTCCCACACACCCCCACCCCATCCCTGGTAACCACCATTCTACTCTCTACTCAGTATTTTTCAACTCTGTCAGACCCAATAGCCTTTATTAATAACATATTTTATAACAGAGTTTGTGATTCTAAAATGAAATTCATAGATGATACAGTCTACATACACACATGGTTTAAAATATATAAGTATACATATATTAGGAATACTGTATATATGTTCCTAACTATAATAAAGAGAAATAAGAGGACATATTTATAATAAAGGATGCATTTCAGTATGTAAATGATTGGGCATGACTATACTTGAAGACATAATGAGACTGTCAGATGTTTGCTTCCAAACAGTGAGTCACTGTGAATGTAATAGCCTCAAACGTCCACTGATTATAGGAGTGTTACGAAGGACTCAAATATTATCAGCAGCATTACCCCTGATGACTTGATTTATCTAAAAAAGGAACAATTCTAGGTAATGTTTCAAACAAAACAAAGGATTATCTTTCATCAATTTACATGATAATTGCATTTCCAAAAATTTCAGTGTCTGTTATAACTAAGCAAAAAATACTTAGCCATTAGATTTCTATGGTTCTATGGAGTGGGTTCTTGGTACAGGTTTTTCCCTACACGGCTGTCCAGAGGAACAGTCAAAGTCATGTAGTACTGTCGGGTATGGTGGTATGTACCTGTAGTCACAGCTAGTTAGGAGGCTAAGGGGCGAGGACCACTTGAGCCCAGAAGCTTGAGGCTACAGTGCACTACAATCCTGCCTGTGAATATTCACTGCACTCCAGCCTGGGCAACATGGTGAGACCCTGTCTCTTTTAAAAAGAGAGAGAGAGAGAAAGAGAGAGAGTAGGGTAGCTGCACTCTTACAAAAAAAAAGGTATGTAGGGCAGTCCTTCATTGGGAGGATTCTATTGTATATTGTGTGATATCTAGCATCCCTGACCTCCCTTTCCACTCTGTCACTAAATGCCAGTAGCACCCCCAATTATTGTGACCAACAAAAATGTCCCCAAACATGGCTGGACGCAGTGGCTCATGCCTGTAATCCCAGCACTTTGGGAAGTCAAGGCAGGAGGATCACCTGAGGTCAGAAGTTCAAGAACAGCCTGGCCAACGTGGTGAAACCCTGTCTCTACTAAAAATAAAAAAATTAGCCAGGTGTGATGGTGGGCACCTGTAATCCCAGCTACTTGGGAGGCTGAGGCAGGAGAATCACTTCAGCCCAGGAGTCAGAGGTTGCAGTGAGCCGAGATCGCACCATTGCACTCTAGCCTGAGCAACAAATGTGAAACTCCATCTCAAAAAAAAAAAAAATGTCCCCAAACATTTCCTAAATGCCTGCTAGGGAGTGGTACCACCCTCATAGAGAACCGCTCTAATAAGCGATTAGGGAAGGGCTTGCTAAGGAGCTATCCTCTGAGCCAAGAACTGAATAACCAAAAGGAATGAGCCATGGGGAAAGAGCATTCCAGGCAAAAGAAACACCTGGTTCAGAGTCACTATAGTGACACCTCAAGCCTGGAGGGTTCTAGGAGCAGGAAGACTGCTGGGACTAGAATGTGTTTAGTAAGGAGTGTAATGGAGGATTGCTTTGGAAAGGTGAGCCAAGGTCAAACCACAGAGGGCCTCACAGGCCAAAGTAAAGAGTTGAACTTTCTTATTAGTGTGATGAGAAAGGAGGGTTGTTGAGGAGGGTTATTAAGCAAGGAAAGGTCATTATTTAATTTGGTTCATTGCTGTGACTGTGGAGAATGACTGCACTGTGAGAGGAGAGGCAGGGAGACCAGCTGGGAGGCTGTTTGCAGGTGTTCAGGAAAAATGATGGTGGATTGGCCTAGGGTTATTAGCAGCAAGGATGGAGAGAAATGGATGGCTAGAAGAATAGGTGTGGGAGAAGAGCCAATGGGACTTGGTAATGAATTGGAATTAAAGGGAGTAAAAGAGCAATTAATCAAGGATGACCACTGGTGGTTTTGACATGAGCAACTGAGTGGTTTTGGCACCATTTCCTACGTTGGTAAATCTGAGGAAGGAATAGTTGTTCATTAATTTGCTTTAGTGGGTGTCAAGAGTTCTATTTTGGACACATTCCATTTGAGATGTCTATTAGAGATCCAATACTCAAATAGGCAAATAGGCTGCCTGGAGTTCAAAGGTAAAGAAAGGCTGGGTTAAAACCTGATATTTAAAGCCAGCCTGCATATACAGTTGACCCCTGAACGACACAGGTTTGAACTGCATGAGTCCACTTACGATGGATTTTATTCCAACTCTGCCACCCTGAGACAGCAAGACCAACCCCTCCTCTTCCAAGACAATGAGGATGAAGACCTTTATGATGATCCTCTTAATAAATAGTAAATATATTTTCTCTGCCTTATGATTGTCTTAATAACATTTTGTTCTCTCTAGCTTATTCTATTGTAAGAATACAGTTATATAACACACGTAGCATACAAAATATGTGTTTATCAATGTTATGTTATAGGTAAGCCTTCTGGTTAACAATGGGCTATTAGTAGTTAAGTTTTGGAAGAGTCAAAAGTTATATGTGGTTGGGTGCAGTGGGTTGGGCCTGTAATCCCAGCTACTGTGAAGGCTGAGGTGGGAGAATTCCTTGAGCCCAGGCGTTAGAGGCTGCAGTGAGCTATGATTTCACCACTGCACTCCATCCTGAGAGACAGAGCAAGACCCCATCTGTAAGGAAAACAAGTTATTTGCAGATCTGCAACTGAGTGAAGTTGGCACCCCAAGTCCCTATCCCGTACTCCCAACCTCCTGTTGTTCAAGAGTCAACTGTAGCTGGTATTTAAAGTCACAGGCTGAGGAAACAGCATTTGGCCGGGTGCAGTGGCTCACGCCTGTAATCCCAACACTGTGGGAGGCCGAGGCAGGAGGATTGCTTGAGCTCAGGAGTTCAAGACCAGCCTGGGCAACATAGCAAGACCCCCATCTCTCTTAAAAAATAATAATTAATTAAAGTCACAGAGAGTGACAAGGGAGAAAGTGTGTCTGGGGCAGAGGAGGGTCCCCAGCAAAGAGCCCAGGGGCACAACACCTGGTAGAAATTGAATAGGGGAGGAGGTAAGGAGTCAATTGGAAAACCAGGGTAGTGGCCATCATGGAAACCAATGCGGACAGATCCACATTGTGTGGGGCCTCATGGTTTTACTATTTGGGAGGAATCTGCTTTATTTTCTTTTATTTTTATTTTTATTTTTTCTTTTTCTTTTTTTTCTAAACCTCAGCATCCACCAGAGGAATTTATTTCTAATATTTTTTGAGACAGGAGCTCACTATTTTGCCCAGGCTAGTCTTGAACTCCTGGCCTCAAGCGATCCTCCTGCCTTGACCTCCCATAGTGCTGGGATTATAGGCATGAGCCACCAAGCTTGGCCAGAGTCTGCTTCAATTTAAAAGATGCAAAGTTATTAAAATAAAATTAGGTTCAGAGTAAACACTTACTTAGAATGAGAAAAAACATCACCACATAATAAGTTTTTTTTACATGTTTTGGCTTCATATGGCTATATCTTTGCAATGTAATTGTTTATGGTATGAATAGAATGATAATTTAATCTTTCCTCTAGCATTGTTGATTGTTTGGTTTTGAAATAATTATGAGGCCAGGTGCGGTGGCTCATGCCTGTAATCCCAGCACTTTGGGAGGCCAAGGAGAGCGGATCACGAGGTCAGGAGATCTAGACCATCCTGGCTAACACGGTGAAACCCTATCTCTACTAAAAATACAAAAAAATTAGCCAGGTGTGGTGGCATGCACCTGTAGTCCCAGCTACTCGGGAGGCCGAGGCGGGAGAATCACTTGAACCCAGGAGGTGGAGGCTGCAGTGAGCCGAGATCGTGCCACTGCACTCCAGCCTGGGCAACACAGCGAGACTCCGTCTCAAAAAAAAAAAAAAAAAGAAAAGAATTATGAATAATTTACAAATTTCTTTCAGCTTCACAAGTCATCATTTGTAGTGTCATGTATATTTTTAGGAATGATGTCAAGTTTGGAAAACATCTATCAAGTTTATTTTACAATCTGTAAGTTATTTGGGATTTTAAGTTATCTTTTGTAGTAACTGTCTTAACTGCTTTTTGAATTTACAACACTCACTAACCAATTGTCATTGATGTCCTTGTATCGTGTCATATTAGATGTTATGTTAGCTTCATCAGAGTCAGTTTTTCATGTAAATTAGCAAGAAATTTAAATCTTTTTCCAATGTGTTTATTTGCCTCTACTAGTGAGATTTTCAAAAAAAATCTGTAAGTTCATTCATTACATCTACTGAAAATATTTTTCTTCTTTTTAACGTGCTACTGCTTTGGGTTTAATCTGCAAATTTTTTATGATTTGCTTCTCAATATCAGAAAAATTTTTCTATCACTTTTGTTTCCAATTTATCTTTTATTCTGAATTTTTTCTATATTATTAATATTTAACTTATGTTAATTTTAAATGATATAAGAAAATATCCTTTATATAAGTCCAAATCAGATGTCTGTAATTTCTCACTTATTTTATTAAAATATTGCAAAACATTTTCCAAATGGCAATTAAAAGTGCACATTCTAGTTTCATAAACATTTTATTTTATTTTATTTATTTATTTATTTATTTATTTATTTGTTGAGACAGAGTCTCACCCTGTTGCTCAGGTTGGAGTACAGTGGCAAGTTCTCTGCTCACTGCCACCTCTGCCTCCTGGGCTCAAGTCCCATCTCAGCCTCCCGAGTAGCTGGGACTACAGGCTTGTGTTACCATGCATGGCTAATTTTTGTGTTTTTTGTAGAGGCAGGGTTTCACCATGTTGCTCAGGCTGGTCTCAAACGCTGGCCTCAAGCAATCTGCCTGCCTCAGCCTTCCAAGCACTAGGATTATAGGCATGAGCCACTGCGCCCAGCCCATTAACATTTTAAATAAACTCTTTGCATCAGGTTGTGTTAGTCTTTCTCTTCCGAGTCTTTGAAAAATGTTTTTTGGTTTCTTTGTTTTGTTTTGTTTTTTGCTGTTTGGTTTTTTTTGAGATGGGGTCTCACTTTGTTGCCCAAGATGGAGTACAGTGGTGTGATCTCAGCTTACTGCAAACTCTGCCTCCCGGGTTCAAGCTATTCTCCTTCCTCAGCCTCCCGAGTAGCTGGGACTACAGGTGCCCACCACCACGCCCGGCTAATTTTGGTATTTTTAGTAGAGGCGGGGTTTCACTATATTGGCCAGGCTGGTCTCGAACTCCTGACCTTGTGATCTGCCCACCGCCCAAAGTGCTGGGATTACAGGTGTGAGCCACTGCACCTGGCCTGAAAAATGTTTTAGAATCCTTAAAACGTTGTATTCATCTTGCAAAGCTTAGAACATCTATGGCAATCTCCTTACACTTAGACTTACTACAGAAAAATCCAAGTTGGCATGTTTATTTAAGATATTCCACATATGTTGAGTGTCAGGATGGTATTGCAACATAAAATGAAATAAAATATTCCATATATAAAGAACTCAAGAGGGAAAATATAACCTGCAAAATGTGGAAGTCACCAACAGCTTTAGTTATTCTCAGAGCAGCTTTTTCTCCATCAAAATGCTTTTAATTCCTCATAATTATTATTATTATTATTATTATTATTTTTGAGACGGAGTCTTGCTCTGTCACCCAGGCTGAAGTGAAATGGTGCAATCTTGGCTCACTGCAACCTCTGCCTCCTGGGTTCTAGCAATTCTCCTGCCTCAGCCTCCCGAGTAGCTGGGATTACAGGTGCCCACCATCACACCTGGCTAATTTTTGTATTTTTAGTAGAGACAAGGTTTCACCATGTTGGCCAGTCTGATCTCCAACTCCTGACCTCAAATGATCCACCCGCCTCAGCCTCCCAAAGTGCTGGGATTACAGGTGTGAGCCACCGAGCCGACTCCAGCTCCTTATATTCACCTTTCCTAGAAGTTGCATAATAGTACAACAGATCATGAATACTGTTCAATGGAAGCTTGCAATTGCCGAATAAAGTCACAAATAAATAGATTTCAATTAACCAAAGTTAAAAATGGCTCATGAGTGCTTCTATTAATAATGTAGAATAAGCCGGGTGTGGTGGCTCACGCCTGTTATCCCAGCATTTTGGAAGGCCAAGGCAGGCAGATCACTTGAGGTCAGGAATTCAACACCAGCCTGGCCAACATGGTGAAACCCTGTCTCTACTAAAAATACAAAAATTAGTTGGGCATGGTGGAGGGCACCTGTAATTCCAGCTACTCAGGAGGCTGAGGCAGGAGAATTGCTTGAACCCGAGAGGTGGAGGTTGCAGTGAGCTGAGATTGTACCACTGCACTCCAGCCTGAGTGACAGAGGGAGACCCTGTCTCAAAGAAAGTAACAGTAACTATTTCATTTTGTACATATTGTTAACCTTTCATAAGTTTTTAGATGTTACATTTGTTCTTTTATATTGACTTTTTTCCAAGTCACAATGCAAAAATAGAATAGAATCCAGAAATTAGTTCAATGATCCCTATGAAAGTACCTTTGTGTGAAGAACACTATATTTTTACTATGACCTCTGAAGCAACTTTTATTTTAAAATTTAATAACTACAGCTACTCTTTGTAGCATTATGTTTTATTTTTCAAGAAATTAGTCTAGTGCATTTTTATTTGATTTACATGTATTCTAAGTAAACATGGCCTCCTAATTTTTCTGTGGAATGTACTTGACTTTTGAAACTTCTTAATTTATTTATCCATCCCCAAAACCCATCTGTTGTAATGTCTGCCCTGTTGAAAACAGTTTACTAACAAAATGATAAATGCAACCTTCAGTCTTAGAATAGGCTAAGCAGGTTATACCAGTTTGACCATTTTTAAACATTCTAAACAGATATGTCTTTGAGAAACATGTTTTTTCATGAGCTGCTCTGTTTGCTCCTCTGTAAATATTAATAGATCAAAAATTTGAAAAAGCAAACTTTTCTATTATTCAGTGCTGAATAAAATTATTGCTCATCATAATGGACCACAATGAAAGATCATGGCAATTATCAAAATCAGTGAATTCTCAGATGAGAACACATTAAAAAAAAAAAAATCAATGAATTCACCAAACTGAAGCGCCTGCTGACCTTCTTGTGTGTTCTGTTGACTACACAAAATTTGTTTTTTCTTTATTATTACTTTCATCTTCCTTATTCCATTTTCTATTTCCTGTTTGGGTATCTTGATTATCATAGTCATTCTTATTTTCTCTTTTGGCTATCAAGAATATTTTTCTAATCCCAGTCAGGTATGGCGGCACCCCTCTGTAGTCCTAGCTACTCAAGAGGCTAGGCAGGAGGATCCCTTAAGCCCAGGAGTTTGAGGCTGCAGTGAGCTATGATTTCACCACTGCACCCAAGCCTGGGTGATGGAGTGAGACCCTGTCAAAAAAAAATTTTTTTTTCTAATCTTGATTGCAACTAACAGAGCTTTTAGTTTCTGTTGTAATAGTATTACAGCAACTTTAAAGTATTTTAAAGCTTCTGTCTTCTTTCTTGATTTCCACAAAGATGCCTTCTCCTCATCATAGTTGAACAGTGAAATGATCATCAGTACAAAAAAAAACTAAAACTAAGACATATACAAAAGTAATTCAAATGTGTTTCAAATTGCTACTACATTGCATAGAACAATTGTGCAGTCAAATTCCTTATATATTGCATACATCGACTTACTGATGAAGAAGTGCAGGAGTTCTGTGTCTGGATTCTTCAGACCACTTCACTTTCTGATGCCAGTTTTTGTGCTATTTCATCTAGAACCAGGAGATTTTGAAGAACAAGATGTGACAAATATACTAAAATGCAATCCAGCCAGGCACGGCAGCTCATACCTGCAATCCCAACACTGGGAGGCCAAGGCCGGAGGATGCTTGAGTCCAGGAGTTCAAAACCAACCTAGGCAACATAGTGAGAATTCACCTTTATTAATGTTAGATATGAGTTCTAAGTTTCTTTTCAAAGAATCAATATGTCAGTAGGTCCAATTCTTTGCCTTCTACTTTTAAACTTAACTTCCTCATAAAGCAACTTTTTCGATTACCTGCTCCACCCTGACTCATTTCAATCACCTGCTCCACCCTGACTCATTCCGATTACCTTATCCACCCCGACTCATTCCGATTACCTGCTACCTGCTCCGCCCTGACTCATTCTCCACCCTGCATAACCATTTTTCCTGCCAAACCACTCACCCAGTCACTTTCTTTAAATTAGCCAATCGGAATTAGTTTAGCCTGTGTGATCTTAACCCTAGCCAATAGCGGAACGACACAGCAGCAGGGGCCACGTGTGTCAGAGATAAGGATCCCCTTCCCCTCCCTTGTCCAAGTGTGCACTCACCACTGCTCCATCTGTAAGGGCGCACCCTTCTATAGAAGTAACTTGCCTTGCTGAAAATTAAAAAGAAAATTTTTTTTCGAGTGCTATTTCTTTTGTGCACCGAAATTTTATTTACAACATTAAGGAAAAAAGTAATAATAAATAAAAAATAAATTTTAAAAAATGCAACCCCATGTGTTGGAATGTATAAAACCCATGACTTCAGGCTGGGTGTGGTGGCTCATGCCTGTAATCCCAGGATTATGGGAGGCCAAGGCAGGGGGATCAGTTGAGCCCAGGAGTTTGAGACCAGCCTGGCCAACATAACAAAATCCCATCTCTACAAAAAATACAAAAAATTAGCCAGGAGTGGTGGTGCTCACCTGTAATCCCAGCTACTCGGGAGGCTGAGACAGGAGAATCACTTGAACCCAAAAAGGCAGACATTTCAGTGAGTTGAGATTGTGCCTCTGCACTCCAGCCTTGGTGACAGAGTGAAACTCCATCTCAAACAAACAAATAAATAAATAAAACCCATGACTTCATACATGTGTATACTCATTGTAGTACTCTTCAGGTTTCTGCCCTAGAAACAGGAATTCTGACAAATTTTATTTTGCCTCATGTCCATTTTTTAAAAACAGTACTTTTTTAGATATATATGCTGCACGATCAAGTATATTCCTAGCCGGGCGTGGTGGCTCATGCCTGTAATTCCAGCACTTTGGGAGGCTGAGGCAGGTGGATCACCTGAGGTCAGGAGCTCGAGACCAGCCCATCTCTACAAAAAATAGAAAATATCAGCTGGGCGTGGTGGCACATGCCTGTAATCCCAGCTACTTGGGAGGCTGAGGTAGGAGAATTGCTTGAAACTGGGAGGCAGAGGTTGCAGTGAGCCAAGATTGCACCATTGCACTTCAGCCTGGGCGATAAGAGTGAAACTCCATCTCAAAAAAAAAAAAAAAAGTATATTCCTAACAGAAGAGGATTTCTAATTTAATATGCTGTCAGTGAGAATCTAATTCCTCTGCTTACAAGTTTATATGCTTCAAATTAGAAGAAATTTTTACAGATTAGCTTCTGGTTCTACGTGTTTCAAACACTGTTTTTCCCCAATTTTTTTTTGCTTTGAAACAGTCTTGCTCTGTCACCCAGGCTGGTGTTCAGTGGCGTGACTCAGCTCACTGCAACCTCTGCCTCTTGGTTTTAAGCGATTATCATGCCTCAGCCTCCTGAGTAACTGGGACTACAGACATGTGCCACCATGACCAGCTAATTTTTTGTATTTTTTGTAGAGACAGGGTTTCGCCATGTTGGCCAGGCTGGTCTCAAACTCCTGGGCTCAAGTGATCTACCCGTCTCAGCCTCCCAAAGTGCTAGGATTACAGTCGTGAGCCACCTTGCTGGGCCCCCAATTTTATGTACTTACAGAGCAGAATGCCATAGAAATTGTTGATGTTATCATATGACATCAAGCCTTGCACCTTCATGTCACAACCCTGGGTGAGATGGTGCAGAGGTAGAAAGAATATTCCTGGAACTCCTTCTATATGGTATGACCACACTGGTATGACCAAATCCAAACTAAATGTTTGTAACTCAACTTTCCTGAGCTGGATCCCAAAATGCAGAAAGAATGTGATCAAGAAGAGGTCAGAGTGAAAAGAGACAGTGGTCTTGACTGACTGTGGTAAAAATAGTTTGCAAATTATACAGAATTACATGACCTTGTGAACTCATGGCTAGAATTCCTTGTAGGTCCTTGGAAGGAGCAGGTGGCAGTGAAAAGCCCTGTGTCCTATGCTTCATTCTCTTCACAGAAAATTATTCTCCACAAGGCAATAAAGTGTTTTAAGAGGAAGATAGGGTTTGCCGCATCAAATGCTGCCAAGAAGTATAATAGGATAAGGACTGGCACGCAGTCCAGTCCTTTGGACTTGGCAATGGAAGGTCTTTAGTGCCCTTGAAAATAGTGATTCTAAGCCGGGAGCAGTGGCTCATGCCTGTAATCCCAGTACTTTGGGAGGCCAAGGCAGGTGGATCACAAGGTCAAGAGATCTAGACCATCCTGGCCAACATGGTGAAACCTCGTCTCTACAAAAAATACAAAAATTAGCTGGGTGTGGTGGTGCATGCCTGTAGTCCCAGCTACTTGGGAGGCTGAGGCAGAAGAATCGCTTGAACCCGGGAGGCAGAGTTTGCAGTGAGCCGAGATCGCACCACTGCACTCTAACGTGGTGACAGAATGAGACTCTGTCTCAAAAAAAAAGAAAATAGTGATTCCATTAGATGATACAGAAGCCATATTAGAATAGATTAAGGAAAGAATGGGAGATTAGGAAGATAAGACAATGGCAACATGCAAAAACTTCTGTTTGGCTATGGTCTTTCTGTACTGATATAGAAAGATTTCCAAGATACATTGTCTAGTGAAAGGTAGAGAATAGTGTGTACACTATACATCTCTTGCGGTATGGATTGATATGTGTATCTCTCAAAGTCCACAGAAGATGCCTCCAGCGAGGGAAATTGGCCTTTGGAATTTTTGAAGCATGCAAATGTATTACCTATTCAAAACATAATTTTTAGCCAGGCATAGTGGCTTGTAACTGCCCAATGGGTTCACCTTGCCTGCTGCCTAGACAGCCAATTTACCAGGGGAAGTGCGATAAAGAATGAGTAATTGATACAGAGCCGGCTGTGCGGGAGACCAGAGTTTCATTATTATTCAAATCAGTCTCCCCCAGCATTGGGGATCCGAGTTTTTAAGTACAACTTGGTGAGCTGGGGGAAGCCAGTGAGCCGGGACTGCTGATTGGTTGGGTCAGAGATGAAGTCATAGGGAGTGGAAGCTGTCTTCTTGCGCTGAGTCAGTTCCTGGTGCGGGGGTGACAAGATCAGATGAGCCAGTTTATCAATATGGGTGGTACCAGCTGATCCATCAAGTGCAGGGTCTGCAAAATATCTCAAGCACTGATTTTAGGCTTTACAATAGTGATGTTATCCCCCGGAGCAATTTGGGAGGGTCAGAATCTTGTAGCCTCCAGCTGCTTGACTGCTAAACCATAATTTTTAATCTTTTGGCTAATTTGTTAGTCCTCCAAAGGCCGTCTAGTTCCCAGGCAAGAAAAGGGTTTGCTTTGGGAAAGGGCCTTTGTTTTAAACTATAAACCATTGGCCAAGCGTGGTGGCTCACACCTGTAATTCCAGCACTTTGGGAGGCCAAGGCAGGTGGATCACCTGAGGTCGGGATTTCGAGACCAGCCTGGCCAGCATGGTGAAACCCCTATCTCTACTAAAAATACAAAATTGCCAGGTATGGTGGTGCATGCCTGTAATCCCAGTTACGTGGGAGGCTGAGGCAGGAGAATCCCTTGAACCTGCGAGGCGGAGGTTGCAGTGAGCTGAGATCGCGCCATTGCATTTCAGCCTGGGCAACAAGAGCGAAACTCCATCTCAAAAAGTAATAATAATAATAAACTATAAACTAAGTTCCTCCCAAAGTTAGTTCACCCTACACCCAGGAATGAACAAAGACAGCTTGGAAGTTAGAAGCAAGATGGAGCTGGGGGCTGGGCGAGGTGGCTCATCCCTGTAATCCTAGAACTTTGGGAGGACGAGGTGGGAGGATCACTTGAGGTCTGGAGTTCAAGACCAGCCTGGCCAATATGGTGAAACCCCATCTCTACTAAAAATATAACAATTAGCCAGGTGTGGTGTCGGGCCCCTATAATTCCAGCTACTCTGGAAGTGAAGGCAGGAGAATCGTTTAAACCCAGGAGGTGGAGGTTGCAATGAGCTGAGATCGCACCACTGCACCCCAGCCTGGGCAACACAGTGAGATCAAGCTGCAACTACATTTACTGGGTGGGAGAGGGAGCTGGTGACAGGAAAAAGCAATCAGAAACAGGAGAAAGACCTCATCCCTACAAAAAACTTAAAAACCAGCTGGGCGTGGTGGTCATGCCACTGCACTACAGCCTGGGCAACAGAGTGAGACCCTGTCTCAAAAACAAAAAAAGTGATCTCACACTTACTGTTTTTTTTGTTTTTCGAGACAGAGTTTCACTCTTGTTGCCCAGGCTGGAGTACAATGGCACGATCTCAGCTCACTGCAACCTCCAGCTCCCTGGTTCAAGCGATTCTTCTGCCTCGGGCTCCAGAGTAGCTGGGATTACAGGCACCCAGCACCACAGCTGGATAATTTTTGTATTTCTAGTAGAGACGGGGTTTCACCATGTTGGCCAGGCCTGTCTTGAACTCCTGATCTCAGCGATCCACCCATCTCAGCCTCCCAAAGTGCTGGGATTAGGATTACAGGCGTGAGCCACCGAGCCTGGCTACACTTACTGTTGATATGTACTGAGAACTATGGTAGGACATTCACATGTGCTACTTCACTAATTTATTTATTATTCAAAAATATTAATTGAGTGCCTGTAATGTATGTGGCATAAGAAATACATTTGGTCTTTGTCTCAGGTTCCTATGACAGAGTTCCTAAAACCCTTGGAATTTCCTGAGTAATAGTGAAACTGCCTTTGCAAAACTATGACTGAGACAGTGAAAGAGATCTAATGTAATCGACTCAAACTTGCTTCTACCCCCCAAGCTGTCCTTGTTCATTCCTGGGCATAGGCTGAACTAACTTTGGGAGAAACTCAGTTTATTGTTTGTAGTTTAAAACAAAGACAATAACAGCACTTTCCCAAAGCAGACCTCCTTCTTGCCTGGGGACTAGATGGCCTTTGCAGGACTAATATTAGCCACAAGATTAGGAATTATGGTTCAGGAGTCATGCAGCTGAAGGCTACAAGACTCTGACGCTCCCTAAACTGCTCCTAAGATCAGTGCTTGAGATATTTCGCAGACCCCGCACTTGATGGATCAGCTGGCACCACCCAGATGGACAAACTGGCTCATCTGATCTTGTGGCCCCCACCCAGGAACTGACTCAGTGCAAGAAGACAGCTTCCACTCCCTATGATTTCATCCCTGACCAATCAGCACTCCTGGCTCACTGGCTTCCCCGCACCCACCAACTTGTCCTTAAAAACTCTGATCCCTGAATGCTCAGAGAGACTGCTTTGAGTAACAATAAAACTCTGGTCTTCCGCACAGCCAGCTCTGCGTGAATTACTCTTTGTCTATTGCAATTCCCGTCTTGATGAATCGGCTCTGTTTAGGCAGCTGGCAAGGTGAACAACCCCTTGCGTGGTTACACTAGGAGGGTGTCTCTGCATCCCTCCCCGTATCATACCCTATGCATCTTTTCATCTTGCTGTTCATCTGTATCCTTTATCTATTTTTTCTTTTTTTTTTTGAGACAGAGTCTCACGCTGTTGCCCAGGCTGGAGTGCAGTGGTGTTATCTTGGCTCATTGCAACCTCTGCCTCCAGGGTTCTAGTGATTCTCCTGCCTCAGACTCCTGAGTAGCTGGGATTACAGGTGTGTGCCATCACCCCCAGCTAATTTTTGTATTTTTAGTAGAGACGGGGTTTTACCATGTTGGCTGGGCTGATCTCAAACTCCTGGCCTCAAGAGATCCGCCTGCCTCGACCTCCCAAAGTCTGGGATTACAAGCATGAGCCACTGCACCCAGACCTATATCCTTTATAATATAGACCATTAAACCAAATCCTGGGGAAGGAGGGTTGTGGGAATTCAATTTGTAATCAGTCAGCAAGAAACACAGATCAAAACCTGGGACTTGGGACTGGAGCCTGAAGCAGGGCAGCCTTTTGGGACTGAACCCTTAACCTGTGGGATCTGACCCAATCTCCAGGTAGGCAGCGTCAGAATGGAATTGAATTATAGGACACCCAGTTGGCATCTGCTGGAGAATTGCTTGGTGTGTGGTGAAAAACCCACACATCTCTTCACAGAAGTGTTTTGTGTTGGGTGTGAGTAGAGAGAAAAACAGTTTGTTTTTTTCTTTACAATGTGCTGGCTACTACGCAGGTGCTGGGTTATGGTGGTGAAGAAGCTAGACAAATTCCTGCTCTTGGACAGCTTCCAGTCTAAAAGGAGGACATAAAGGACAAAACAGATAACTACAATATCATGTGGTAAAGGTTCTAAGGCACACTATGGAAGACAGAGGAAAGATTATGTATTACGGGCTGGGCTCAGTGGCTCACACCTGTAATCCCAGCACACCGGAAGGCTGAGGCAGGCCTTAGGTCAGAAGTTTGAGACCAGTTTGGCCAACATGGCGAAACCCCATCTCTACTAAAAATACAAAAATTAGCTGGGCATGGTGGCGCTCACCTGTAATCCCAGCTACTCAGGAGGCTGATGCAGGAGAATCGCTTGAAACCGGGAGGCGGAGTTTGCAGTGAGCCGAGATCACACCACTACACTCCAGCCTGGGTGATGAGAGCGAAACTCTGCCTCAAAAGATTGTGTGTTAGTGTGCAAAGGCAACCATAACAAAATAACACAGACTGGGTGGCTTAAGGCACAAAGTTTTATTTTCTCACAGTTCTAAAGGCTGAAAGTTGGAGACCAGGTGCTGGCAAGCCTGGTTTCTCCTGAGGTCTTTCTTTTTGCCTTGCAGACAGCTGCTTTCTTGCTGTCTCCTCACATGGCCTTCTCTGTGAAACCACCTTTGCAAAATTATGACAGTAAGAGAAATCTGACAACATTGACTCCATCTTGCTTCTGACCTCCAAGCCATACTTGGTCATTCCTGGGCACAGGCCAAGCTCTCTTTGGGAGCATTTTAGTTTAACTTTGAAGCAAGGATGACAGTAGTCCCTAAAATTAATCCAATCCCTGTTCAGGGGCTGAAACTGCCTTTGTAAGACTAACGAAAGGCCACAAGATTAGGATCAAAGGAATGACGTGAATTTTGCTAAAATGTAGGCGTAGTTCCTATAATCCCTTACTGCTCAGGGGTACCACCATGTGGTACAAGGTCACAAGACTTATGACTTCCCTAATTGCTCCTATAGATAACATCACTATTGTAGAACCTAAGATTGGTTTTCTTTTTTTTTTTTACTTTTATTTTTTTTGAGACTGAGTCTTGCTCTGTTGCCCAGGCTGGAGTGCAGTGGTGCAATCTCAGCTCACTGCAAGCTCTGCCTCCTGGGTTCACACCATTCTCCTGCCTCAGCCTCCCGAGTAGCTCAGACTACAGGCACCTGCCACAGTGCCCGGCTAATTTTTTGTATTTTTAGTAGAGACAGGGTTTCACCGTGTTAGCCAGGATGGTCTCGATATCCTGACCTTGTGATCCACCCGCCTCAGCCTCCCAAAGTGCTGGGATTACAGGCGTGAGCCACCGCACTCAGCCTATAGAACCTAAGATTGGTTTTCTGAGATGTTTTCCAGACTGACCCCACCTGGTCATGACTGATGACTCAACTGGTCCTGTGGCCCCACTGACAGACTCAGCATATAAAGACCATTTTCCACACCCTGTGATTTCATCCCTCACCAATCAGCAGCACCCTTTCCCTATGTCCCCCTACCCCCCACCAAATTGTCCATCAAAATCCTAACCTCTGAGCCTTTGGGGAGACTAATTTGAGTAATACTGTTATGTCCTGCGTGGCCAGCCTCATGTTGATTAAACTCTTTCTCTACTGCAATAGCATGTTCTCAGTGAAGTAGTTTTGTCTTTGCTATGGGCAAGAACTCACAGGGCAATTACATCTGTGCAGACATACCCCTGGTGTCTCTGACTCTTTTTGTTGTTGTTGTTGTTGTTGAGACAGGGTCTTACTCTGTCTCCCAAGCTGGAGTACAGTGGTGTGATCTCACACCACTCTACAACCTCTGCCTCCCGGGTTCAAGCAATTCTCCTACCTCAGCCTCCTGAGTAGCTAGGATTACAAGCACCCGCCACCGCATCTGGCTAATTTTTGTATTTTTAGTAGAGACGGGGTTTCACCATGTTGGTCAGGCTGGTCTTGAACTCCTGACCTCAGGTGATCCACTGAAGAGGGAGTGCTGGGATTACAGGATTGAGCCACCTTGTCTAGTCTCTCTACCTCTTCTTACAATTATACCACTTCTATCAGATTAGGGCCCACCCTGACGACCTTACTTAAACTTAATTATCTCCTTAAAAGCCCTGTCTCCAAATATAATCATATTAGTTGTTAAGACTTCAACCTATGAATTTTGGGAGAACATAATTCAATCCATTAACAGGTTAGGTTTCCAGAAAGAAATCTCACCCAAGGTAAGGCTTGAGTTTGCATGTAATTAGCCAGGTAGAGAGTGGGGAATGGTGGGTGTGGTGGCTCATGCCTGTAATCCCAGCACTTTGGGAGGCTGAGATGAGAGGATTGCTTGAGACCAGGAGTTCAAGACCAGCCTGGTCAACATAGTGAGACCCCCATTTCTAAATACAAATTAAAATTAAGGAACCAGGCGCAGTGGCTCACGCTTGTAATCCCAGCACTTTAGGAGGCTGAGGAGGGCAGATCACGAGGTCAGGAGTTTGAGACCAGCCTGGCCAACACAGTGAAACCCCATCTCCACTAAAAATACAAAAATTAGCTGGGCGTGGTGGTGGGTGCTTATAATCCCAGCTACTCAGGAAGCTGAGGCAGGAGAATCGCTTGAACCCGGGAGGTGGAGGTTGCAGTGAGCTGGGATCGCGCCACTGCACTCCAGCCTGGGTGACAGAGCTAGGCTTCATTTCCAAAAAAAAAAAATTAAAATTAAAATTAAAAAAGAGTGGAGAAAAGGTGCTTACTTCAGCAGCATATATACTAAAAATTGGAATGATACAGAGCAAATTAGCATGGCCCCTGTGCAAGGATGACATGCAAATTTGTGAAGCAATTAAATTTAAAGATAAAAACAAAGAGTGGAGAAAAGAGTGCTTCAGACTGCAGGTAAACGCTGGTCAAAGGCCAGAGAACAAGAAAGTATGGTACGTCAGAAAACCAAAAGTATTTTCTTTTTTTTTTTCTGAGATAGAGTCTTGCTCTGTCACTCAGGCTGGAGTGCAATGGCACAATCTCGGCTCACTGCAACCTCCACCTCCCGGATTCAAGTGATTCTCCCACCTCAGGCTCCCCAGTAGCTGGGATTACAGGCGCCCACCACCACACCTCGCTAATTTTTGTATTTTTAGTAGAGACGGGGTTTCGCCACGTTGGCCAGGCTGGTCTCGAACTCCTGACCTCAGGTGATGTGCCCGCCTTGGCATCCCAGACTGCTGGGATTACAGGCGTGAGCCACTGCACCCAGCCGAAAACCAAAAGTATTTTCTAGATAATACCAGAGAGGTCAACAGAGAACCTTGGAAGGCCTTGGAAGTCATGATAGAATTGGGGCTTTGTCTCAGGGCAATAGGAAGCCAGTGGAACTCTGTAAGCAAGAGACTGACAGAACCATATCTACATTGATCACTTTGGCTTTAGTGTGGAGAGTGAAGTGAAAAATAGTAACATTGGAAATAGAATGACAAGTTAGGAGGTTTTTATAATAAAATAGGTAGGATGGGAATAGAGAGAAGTATGCAGAATTGAGAAATCTTCAGAACTTGTAGTTGGCAGGACTTGCTAATGAACTGGAAAATAAGGAATAAACTGAGGATGATGCTTAGGTTTCTGAGTTGAGCCAGTAGTTGGGCAGTTAGTGACATGCCCTGAGATAGGAAACAAAAAAGCAGATGGTCAGGGGGAGGGCCGGATGGTAAACTCAGTATTCAATACAGTACATTGAGTTGTAGATATGTGAGTCATAAAAGTAAAGATGTTCACAGCCTTATCAGCTAGCTATTTTCATCCCTGTTTTAGAAATAAAAAGGAACAGGCGAGGCACGGTGGCTCACACCTGTAATCTCAGCACTTTGGGAGGCCGAGGCAGGTGGATCACCTGAGGTCAGGAGTTTGAGACAAGCCTGGCCAACATGGCGAAAGCCCATCTCTACTAAAAATACAAAAAAATTAGCCGGGCTTGGTGGTGGGTGCCTGTAATCCCAGCTACTCCAGAGGCTGAGGCAGGAGAATCACTCGAACCTGGGAGGCGGAGGTTGCAGTGAGCGGAAATTGTGCCATTGCACTCCAGCCTGGGTGACAAGAGTGAAACTCCATCTCAAAAAATGAAATAAAATAAAATAAAAATAAAAAGTAACAACAGCTGACGTTTCAAGACATTAAGTGAAATGGGATCCATGCCCAGGTTCATAGGACTCTATACTTTTTCAACCACAGTCCACAAAATCTTGCCCAAAACTCCGAGTCAGTCAGATATATTTCAGAATTCAGAATTTACTGATTTTAGAAAGATAATATAGTGCCTATACTCTATATTATAGAACAGGGACTGGGAAAGTATCTCACAATCAAACACATTGATAAATCTTTAATGAATCATGTGAATATTCATAAGTGGGTTAAAGAAGGACCAAAAATAGTCTTGTGACAGTTCAGGATGAGTGTGCCATTAAATGAGTGTATAAAAATTTCACCAGCCTGAGCATCACAGTGAGACTCTATCTCTATAAAAAGTTTAAAAATTAGCTGGGGGTGGTGGTGCATGCCTATAGTCCCAGCTACTCGGGAGACTGAGGTGGGGGGATCACTTGAGCCTGTGAGGTGGAGGCTGCAGTGAGCCATGATTGTGCCACTGTACACCAGCCTGGGCAACAGAGCAAGACCCTGTCTCAAAAAAAATAGAAAAAAACAAAAAGAAAAAGAAAAAAAAACAGGCCAGGTGCGGTGGCTCATACCTGTAATCCCAACACTTTGGGAGGCCAAGGAAGTTATCACTTGAGATCAGGAGTTTGAGACCAGCGGGGCCAACATGGTGAAACCCTGTCTGTACTAAAAATACAAAAGTTAGCTGGACATGGTGGCACAGGGACCTCTAGTCCCAGCTACTTGGTTGGCTAAACACGAGAATTGCTTGAACTTGGGAGGTGAAGATTGCAGTGAGCCCAGATCGCACCACTGCACTCCAGCTTTGTTCTGTCTCAAAAAAAAAACAAAAACAAAACAAAACAAAACAAAAACCTTGAGAGCAAGGTTCTGTCTCAAAAAAAAAAAGAATTTAGTTTTCAGGGTATATTGGATTTTGAAATTATGGATAAATGATAAATGAGTACCTTCTAAGATAATACTGTATGATAGAAGTCAAAAAAATAGAGTTTCAAGAAAAAAGTGGTGTTAAATATTACTGTGAGATGAAGGACAAGAATTGAAGAAAAGTCATTAAACTTGATGATCAAGAGCTTAGTAGAGATATCTTCAGAAGCACCTTGTTTAACTGCATAAAGTAATGGGAACAGAAGTCAGCTCTTAAGGGGTTAAAGAGTAAGACAATCTTCATATCCAGTAAAATTGTTAAAATTAAAAAGACAAAGAATACAAACTATTGACAACCTTTTAAAGCAAGTGGCATTTTAATTCACTGCTGGTGGTAGTGTATTTTGAAAAACTGTTTGGCGATCTCTGCTAAAGCCAAACATATGCATAATCCTTGATGCAGCAATTCTAGCCTATATAAGTGTTTAGCTAAATGCATGCACATGAACTCAGGAAAACATGTACAGGAATGTTCACATCAGCTTTGTTTTGGAGTAGTGGTGGATATTCATTACATTGTAAATCAAATTAACTACAAACAAAAGGTACCATGCATGAACCACTGATGACAATTGGTCATGAACCAAGGATTATAATTTATTCAAATCTGTGCGGTAAGGTTCATAAGAAAAGGGGAAGAATGTAAGTCATTAATGAGAAGGCACCTATCCAAAAAGGGATTAAGCCAGGTGCAGTGGCTCACACCTGTAACCCCAGCACTTTGGGAGGCCAAGGCAGGCAGATTACTTGAGGCCAGGAGTTTGAGACCAGCCTGGCCAACATGGTGAAACCCCTTCTCTACTAAAAATCCAAAAATTAGCCAGGCATGGTGGCACGCACCTGTAATCCCAGCTACTAGGGAGGCTGAGGCAGGAGAATCGCTTGAACCTGGGAGATGGAGGTTGCAGTGAGCTGAGATCTCGCCACTGCACTACAGCCTGGGTGACAGAGCGAGATTCTGTCCCAAAAAAACAACAAAAAAAAAGGATTAATTATTTATACGTTTACAAAGTAAACATCCTGTTAAAGCCAGCCAAGAATATTTGCTCCATGATGATGGAAGAAGTCTAGAGGTTTCTGCAAATTATTTCAATATTGTGACCAAAACTTTTCCAATTGGTCCATTTCTCTCTCTTCTTTTTTTTTTTTTTTTTTTTTTTTTTTTGAGACAGAGTCTCGCTCTCTCGCTCCGTCACCCAAGCTGGAGTGCAGTGGCACGATCTCGGCTCACTGCAAGCTCTGCCTCCCAGGTTCACGCCATTCTTCTGCCTCAGCCTCCTGAGTAGCTGGGACTACAGGCACCCGCCACCACGCCCGGCTAATTTTTTTTGTATTTTTTTAGTAGAGACAGGGTTTCACTGTGTTAGCCAGGATGGTCTCGATCTCCTGACCTCGTGATCCTCCTGCCTTGGCCTCCCAAAGTGCTGGGATTACAGGCATGAGCCACCGCGCCCGGCTCCAATTGGTCCATTTCTCTAATTACTTTGCTCCCTTCCCCAAAACCCTGAACTGGAAAAAAATGAAAAAAAAAAGCCTGTGATATATATGGCAATCATGCTGGGAAAGTCAGAGCCCTGCAGATTTTAGAAATGACAAGGGAGAACTCAGTGTAGAATAACCTGTGTCTAGCCAAAGCTGAAGCCTGGCCAGGCTCCATGTATGTTGTGAAAATTCTTTGGCCACAGTCCTGATGTCCTAACATCTGAGGTTGCATCATTCTTCCCGTAGTTGCTTCTGGACTGAGTGTCAACAGCGTATGATGAAAACATGTCAGGGTAGAGGTAAAAGGTATTTGTCATATTTTCTTTTTCTTCCTTCCTTCCTTCCACAGAAGAGTGGAGAAAATATTTTAAAAGACCACCACAGAAATAAAGAATACAGTGAAAATGAAAGGTAGAAAATTCAATTCATGGTAAAATTCTTATTTTTCCTGTGCTGTTTGGCTTGACCCTTCCCTTTCCTGAAGCCCTCATATGGCTTCCCAAGATGTCAAACACATATCTTCTGTGCTAGTATCATTTAGGAGGGACAGCAGCAGGCAGCATGGAACACAGGAGAAACAAAATAGATTAACAGTGGATTGAAGAATCTTGGCAACTGTGGAAAATACTTTTAAAAGGAGGCTGGAGGCAAATTTCTCTTAGAAAATTTAATAGCAGAGGCCTGGCACGGTAGCTCACACCTGTAATCCCAGCACTTTGGAAGGTCGAGGAAGGCAGATCACTTGAGGTCAGGAGTTTGAGACCAGCCTGGCCAACATGGTGAAACTCCACCTCTTCTAAAAATCCAAAAATTAGATGGGCATGGTGGCAGGCACCTGTAATCCCAGCTACTCAGGGGGCTGAGGCAGGAGAATCGCTTGAACCTGGGAGGCAGAAGTTGCAGTGGGCCGAGATCACACCATTGCACTCCGGCCAGGGGGACAGAGAGAGGCTCTGTCTCAAAAAAATAAAAAGAAAAGGAAAGAAAACTTAAGAGCAGTTGCTGAATTTATGCCTTATGATTTAGATCATTTCTAAGTGTCCTCTCACTGACCTTTACTTAAGGCCATGATACTCTACCATCTTCTAATATCTCATGATTCCCTTGATCCCTTCCCAGTATGTGACCACTCTATTTGAAATAAAGTCCAGATTGACTAGCATTTTCCGTCAAAGGGTCAGAGGAAGAGGTGGAACTGGAAGTTTGAGGTCTGTATAATTGGGGGTAGTGAATACAGTGGATGGAAAGGATTTGATTAGGATGTCTTAGTGTCCTGAAGTGCCTGGAAAGAAAATGTAGGTAAAAGGGATTTCCCTTGTGTCCAACCCAGCATAGATCAACAGGTAAGTTATATATATATATATATATATATATAAATTCGCCAGGCTGGAGTGTGGTGGCACTATCTTGGCTCACTGCAATCTCTGCCACCCGGGTTCAAGCGATTCTCCTGCCTCAGCCTCCTGAGAAGCTGGGACTACAGGCACGTGCCATCACGCCCAGCTAATTTTTGTATTTTTAGTAGAGACAGGGTTTCACCATGTTGGCCAGGATGGTCTTGATCTCTTGACCTTGTGATCCACCTGCCTTGGCCTCCCAAGTGCTGGGATTACAGGTGTGAGCCACAGCACCCAGCTGAAGTTATATTTTATAGATAGAAAAAAGGCAGCACTACTGGTGCACCAGAAGCTGAGTGGTCCAAGGACATTAGGATTCTGGAGGGTTCGCTTCAGCTTCCTTTTTTGAGAAACACTAACTTAGTACAAAGTCGATTGAATCATTGCCTTTCTGCATTTATTTGACTGCCGTTTCCCAAATGTCAGCTTACTGAATAAAAAACTACCCTGAAATTCTGCTTTCCTTGGACTCTCCTCTATTGAACTTGGTTGAATAGAATGCCTGACTCCTGCCTAACTTGGCTTTGTTCACCCTGGCTCAGGCTGAAGCAACTGGACAAGTTGGCTCAGAGTCCGAGGAGTTAGAGCCTGCTGACCTCACAGCTACCCTCCCCCTTCTCACATGGCCAGTTCCTGCCCAGTCTAGTTTGTGAATAGTTCTTGGAAAATACCCTGGAGGAGAATAGAGTCACTAACAATAGCGACTCTCTTTTTAGCCTGAACCTCTTAGTACTCAGGACTGTGAACCTAGGAAAACCAAAAATAACAAATGTAATTGCAGTGGGTTACCCTCTATTTCTATTATTACCAACATCCAGTCATTCTGGTAGATATTTAGCTGCTTGTCGTGGAAAAATAACTGGGTTTATAACCAGACAGAGCTAGATTCAAGACCTAGCTCAGCCATTTATTAATTTTATGACATTGGACAAGTCCCTAATTTGAGCCCGTTAGAATTGAAAGAGGGAATGTACATGTAAGTGCTTGGAAACGTGCAAAGTATTATACAGTACAAAGTCAAACCATTAATATTGGGAAATAGGGATAATTTGAAAGTTTCAGGAAACAGAATAATTTAATTGTTCAAAAAACACTTGAATCAGCCCGAAGCAAAATGGGGCTTACTAGTCAACACCAGTCTTAAAAATAAACAACTAAACTATACTGTAGTTAGTTTCTGTTTAAAGTTAAAGGCAGTCTTCCCTTTTGTTCATGATGAAGTTGGAAATGGGGAAGGACTTATCAGATCCTTTCATATCAGGGAATGACGCAGAAGGATGATGGGCCCTCACACCTATTAAGTACAGGAAAGATGGCCATTGCTTACATGCTGGCTCTGCTGGCAAACTGTTTTTTTTTTTTTTTTCTCTGAAGTTAAGCCCTTGTTTTTGCCACTTAGTATTTTTATTTTATATATAATGAAAGGGGTTGGTTCTTCAGACTTGGGCATATTTTTACCCTATATCACTCTTGTGCATATATAAAAAGGGAAACAGGCCAGGCATGGTGACTCATACCTGTAATCCCAGCACATTGGGAGGCCGAGATGGGCAGATTGCTTGAGCTCAGGAGTTCAAGACCAGCCTAGGCAACATGGCAAAAACCCATCTTTACCAAAAAAGATACAAAAATTAGCCAGGAATGATAGCACAAGCCTGTAGTCCCAGCTACTTGGAGGCTGAGATGGGAGGATCACTTGAGCCCAGGTGGTCGCGTTATCAGTGAGCCAACATTGTGCCATAGCATTCCAGCCTGGGTGACAGAGTGAGACCCTTTTTAAAAAAACAAAACAAAAAAAAAAAGCCCTGGTGCGGTGGCTCACGCCTGTAATCCCAGCACTTTGGGAGGCCAAGGCAGGTGGATCATGAGGTCAAGAGATCGAGACCATCCTGGATAACATGGTGAAACCCCGTCTCTACTAAAAATACAAAAAAAAAAAAAAATTAGCCCAGCGCGGTGGAGGGCGCCTGTAGTCCCAGCTACTCAGGAGGCTGAGGCAGAAGAATAGCGTGAACCCAGGAGGTGGAGCTTGCGGTGAGCCGAGATCGCACCACTGCACTCCAGCCTGGGAGACAGAGCAAGACTCCGTCTCAAAAAAAAAAAAAAAGATACTCCCCCAAGTCCAGATCCCTATGGTAGCTTCCTGCTCTAGTTCTTCTTTAACAGGCTCAGTTTCAAAGATTACCATCTACCTCACTGTTCTCATATCCCGATACAATGATCTCTAGCCCCTGGCTACCCTCTGCTGTCTCCAGAGAGCCCCCAGGTTGCTGCCCTCTATTGTCTTAGACATCATGTCCCTCTCTCTACCAGGTAGTGGGGCCACAGTTCTGTCTTGTAGTAGTGTTGGCTTTGCAGTAGCTTAAGAAAGAGCCTATCCTGCTGGATATCTTACTTGCAGAATCTGAACTAGTTTGTAGAGCAGCTTCCCAATTCCAATGGTGAAATGTCCTAGAATCTTTTATGGTGGGATGGTGCCTGAAGCTCTTGTGAGTGGAGAAGCTGTTGCTGGTGCCTCCTGGGCTGCTTCTGCCCTTGTTCTTTTTGTAATTTATTTATTTACTTTTTAGAGACAGTTTCTGGCTCTGTCACCCAGGCTGGAGTGCAGTGGCCCAATTATAGCTCACCGCACCCTCAAACTCCCGGGTTCAAGCAGTCTTCCCATCTTGGCCTCCCAAAATGCTGGAATTGCAGGTGTGAGCCACCATGCTTAGCCCTTTTTAAAATTTCTAATGGTCTCATGGCTAACGACTGGCAGGAAGATAATTTTCAGATTTACTTATCTTCATTTGTCTTGCTGCTATCTTCACATAACCTCCTGTAATGGAGGATTCTCTAATTTAGAGTTCTATGTTCTGTACCTTCCCCTTGCTTCCTATCTTTCCATCTGGACCTCAGCACTGACCTGGGAAACTCTCTCTCATCCCATTCATTTATGCAGCCTTTATTCTGTTATTATTATTATTTTCAGATCCAGACCTACAGATGCAGCCTTTACTCTATAAGATTGAAAGGAGAGATCTCCCTACTGGCCCTTTTGCTGTTTTCACAACACTCCTGCTAGTGATCTCTACTACTGTAGTCACCACACTCGTTCTGCCTTCTGGGGATCCCTTGGCAGCCCCTGGCCACATGCTAGACATGCTCTCCAAGGATATGCATGAAGCACCCGCACAGCTAATTTAACACCCACTGAGGACGCGCTGGTGGTCCTGCTGTGACCATCCTGGCTCCTTTTCCTCCTGGGCCCTTGCTGGCTGCCCCTGACATTGCTGTGCTATCTGTTCTGGACATGTGGACTTGGATGCAGCCAAGCGCCCAGCACTACTCTGGGGCCTGCTGCTGCCCCTGCTACTCCCAACCCTGCTGTTGTCCCTGTTACTGTCTCTGTGGCAGGCCTTGTAGGTTTTGTGACTACAGAAGAATGCTCTTGGGTGGCTTCACTGGGCAGTCTGCAAACATCATATGTGTGGCAGGTGCACTGGACTCCCTCTCCTACTGCATAATGGAGGTTCATCTTTTTCTCCTGCTCAGCAGAGAAGCTCAGAAAGCAGAAAGTGGGACCAGGACAGTCTGCTCCACTCTCTCCCCATAAATGAGCAAACCAAGGACTTATAACCGGACAGGCTTTTGAGGTAACCAATCCAAGCTTCCACCTGATGCAGGAATCCCTCTCTCTAGCAGGCCTGTCAAATGGTCTGGCTAGTTTTGTTTGAACTATTCCAAAATTAGGGAGGGTACTATTATGGCACCCCAATGAACATCCTCACATACCTTTATTTTCTACCTCTGTGCTAGTATTTCTGTAGAGAAGGTTTCTACAATGGGGATTGCTGAGTCAAGGATATGCACATTTTGCATTTTGATACAGGGAACAGATTGTGCCTGGTTGCACACACATATGTTATAGTGATTTATAAGAAAAAAAAATTCAGAGCATAGCAGTCATGGGAAGACAGATTACAATTCACACAAATGAAAGACTTTCTAATAGTAAAAAAAAAAATCCAATATCAAATATACAAATGTTAGAATTTTAAAATATATCCTACCACAGATTGGTCTGCCTTGATTTGAGTAGTTCAAGGAGAGACTGGATTATCATGATGGTAAAGAGATAATTATAATAATTACAATATTGAGTATGAGATTAGAGCAGCTAATATCCAAGGAATGTCTGAAATTAAGCCTTGTGGCACATTCTGGAGAAGCATCAAGAACCTGTCCAATGTGGCAAATACCTCAATACTGGCCCATTTAGGCTTGGGCTCTTTGACATGAAATGCATTTTCCTGGGGAGCCTTGAAGAGCACCAAAGGCTTTGCAGGACCAGCTTTTAGATGCTCTCTCAAAGCACCCAGGCCCCATTTTTTCTGAGTTGCAGAAGCCTTACTGCTTGGCTCTTCTTGTCTCTCATTTAATAATAGGCATTTCCATTGTGTCTCTAGTTGGGATTGCCTAGGGATTAGTGCAACTCTCCACTGGTGGTCTCAGAAAATAAATGGCTTTTTCTGATAACTAAAGAAGTCTTCCATGTATCCGAAGGGATACAAAAATGCAAAACAAAGAACACCCTGTAGCAAGTTCAGGCGTAGCTACTGTTTCCCAAATATCAAGGGAAGAAAGCTGGATAGGTTTTATTTGTTTGTTTGTTTGTTTGTTTGTTTTTTCCAAGACAGAGTCTTGCTCTGTGGCCAGGCTGAAGTGCAGTGGCACAATCTCGGCTCACTGCAACCTCCGCCTCCCAAGTTCAAGCGATTCTCCTGCCTCAGCCTCCCGAGTAGCTGGGATTACAGAAGGGTGCCACCACACCCAGCTAATATTTATATTCTTAGTAGAGATGGGATTTCACTGTGTTGGCCAGGCTGCTCTCGAACTCCTGACCTCGTGATCCACCTGCTTCGGCCTCCCAAAGTGCTGGGATTACAGGCGTGAGCCACCGTTCCTGGCCAAAACCCGGATAGTTTTAAAGTCTTTGTAGGTGCTATGGATTGAATGTGTCCCCCAAAAAGCAAATATTGGAAACTTAATCCCCAATGCAACAGTGTTAATAGGTGGCACCTTTGAGAGGCGATTAGGCCATAATGGCTCCACCCTTATGAATGGACTTAGGCCAGTTATAAAAGGTCTTGAGGCTGCAAGTTTGATCTCTTGCTTTCTTGCATGCATGCTCTCTTGCCCTTCTACCTTCCCCCATGGGATGCTGTAGCAATGTTTTAGGACCAACAGCTTGCATGCCAGATGTGCAGTAACAGACTGAGACAGCAGAGTTTGCAGCAGACAAAGAGTTTAATGATCACAGTGCACAGGGCCAGCAGATGGGAGGAGGCCCTCAAATTAATCTCCCCAAGGACTTCTGGGCTGGGGTTTTTAAGTGAATCATGGGGGATGAGGGGCTGGAAAATGGAAGTCATTAGTTGTGGTAAAAGGAATGAAATAATCAGGACATGGCAACTGCATTATTTGGTGAGTCAGCTTCTTGTTGGGTCCTTCAGACCAGCTGGTGTCAGTAGTTTCACTGGTATGCAGGACTTGACAGATTATCTCAAAGAGGAAAACTTAATGTTTTATAATGTTCAAGTTGTTATCTATAGAGCAGGGGTCCCCAACCCCCCATGCCACAAACTGGTAATTGTCCACGGCCTGTTAGGAACCAGGCCGCACAGCAGGAGGTGAACAGTGGGCAAGCAAGAATTACCACCTGAACTCCGCCTCCTGTCAGATCAGTGGCAGCATTAGATTCTCATAGGAGCACAAACCCTGTAGTGAACTGCACATGATCTAGGTTGCTGAGGGGTCTAGGTTGCTGGCTCCTTATCTAATGAGAATCTAATGCCTGATGATCTGAGATGGGGCAGTTTCATCCCAAAACCACCCCGCAACCCTCGTCTGTGGAAAAATTGTCTTCCACTAAACCAGTCTCTGATGTCAAAAAGGTTGGGAACTGCTGCTACAGAGCATTTAAGGGGATCTATAATCTTGTAACAGGGTCTATGTGATTCTGAGGCAATAGGCAGCAAATAACTATGAGGCAGCAGGTTAGGGAGAGCAAGCTGATCTTATAATTCATGCTGAATGTGCTGCAAGCTTGGTTTATTTTTGTTTTTCCCCTTTCCTTCTTCCCTGATTAATTCATAAAGTTTATAAGCATAGTTTCAGTAAGAAGGCCCTCACCAGATGTGAGCCCCTCAACCTTTGACTACCCAGCCTCTAAGACTGTAAGAAATAAATCCCTGTTCTTTATAAATTACCTAGTCTCAGGTATTCTGTTACAGCAGCACAAAATAGACTAAGACAGTAGGTTTATAATATCTTCCCTTAATAGCCTGGCCAAGTCCAGCATGCTCTTCACAGCCTGTGACTGACTGACCAACAGCATGACATCAAATGGCAGAGGATGGCACAGGTGGGTGCTATGCCCATCATCACCATTTGGACATGGTTGTAAAATTCCATCCTTTCTCCTCTTTTGCTGATCCTGATGAAGTGGTTGTCACACGTCAGTGTGTTTGGCATGTACCTGAATATATCACATTTTCCTTCCTGTTGAGTAGTTGCTGAAGATGCCCTCAGAGGTATTAAGCCCACTGTGCAGCAGCCTCTGTGGATTGAGTAGTGCAATGACATGAATTCACTACTCATGGTTATTGTTTTTTTCTTTATTTTTTCTTTTTGACATGGAGTTTTGCTCTTGTTGCCCAGGCTGGAGTGCAATGGTGCTATCTTGGCTCACTGCAACCTCTGCCTCCCAGGTTCAAGTGATTCTCCTGCCTTAGCCACCTGAGTAGCTGGGATTACAGGCATGCGCCACCACGCCTGGCTAATTTTGTATTTTTAGTAGAGTTGGGGGTTTCATCATGTTGGTCAGGCTGGTCTCGAACTCCCCACCTCAGGTGATCTGCCTATCTCAGCCTCCCAAAATGCTGGGATTACAGGCGTGAGCCACCTTGCCTGGCCATGATGATTGTTTTTCAAGAAAATTCTGCCTCTGAATTCCACTCTCTTGAGGGGTCTGCAATAGTTTTCTATGCCACATAACAAACTTAGCGGCTTAAGACAACACACGTGTATTACCTCATAATTGTTGTGGGTCAGGAGTCTGGGCATGTCTTTGACAGGTCTTCTGCTCAAGATCTCACAAGGCTGCAATCAAGGCATAGGCCAGGGCTAGGGCTCACCTGAAGCCTGGGGTAAAGACTGGGGACCCCTGCTCTATAGAAAACAACTTGAACATTATGAAACATTAAATTTTCCTCTTTGAGATATTCTGTCAAATCCCGCATAGCAGTGAAATTACTGACACCAGCTGGTCTGAAGGACCCCACAAGCTCACATGGCTTTTGAAACAATTCATTTCTTTGAAGCTGTGGAATTCACAGTGGCTTCCTTCCTCAAAGCTGGTAAGGGAGCATCCTCTCTTCAGGAAAGATCTAGCCCCTCTTTTAAGATATTTTAACTGATTAAGTTAGGCCCACCCAAGAGAATCTCTCCTTTGATTAACTTAAAATCAACCAACTGGAACCTTAATTACATCTACACATTCCCTTCATCTTTGCCATATAATGTGGCCTAATCCTAGAAGTGATATGCCAACATATTCCCAGGTTCTGGACACACTCAAGGGAAGGGGGTTTACAGTGCATGCATTCCAGGGTAAGAAATCTTGGTGGCCATTTTAGAATTCAGCCTACCATAGGACTAGAAATGGTAGTCCTATGGAGAGGAGAGATGGTGACTGCTTACTTCCCTGTCTCCTCTGGAGCCTCTGCTGTGGCAGCCATTGTGGTCTGTCATATACTGTTTTATTCTCATCCCCCAGCAGCTGGCCCCTCAGGGCAAAACCTCCATCCTCCTCCCCAAAATACAACCTCCACCTCCCTACCCTCCACCCTCAGGCAGGCCCACTCTGCCAGGTGTGGTGAGGGCAGGAGTGTGTGTTAAAGCCATTATTTAGAGAGGTTCTGAGAGAGCATGGGGTTTGCACCCTTCCTCAGAGTAACTACCTAATCAAAGAAACCGCTTGCTTATGTATTTGCAAATGGGCCATTGTGTATTATCCTGTTAACTTCTGTCAGCTGAAGAATAATGAGGTTCATAAGACTGGAAAGGAAAGATTTCTTTCATTCCTTTTTTTTTTTTTTTTTTTTGAGACGAAGCTTGCTCCATCACCCAGGTTGGAGTGCAATGGCATGATCTTGGCTCACTGCTACCTCTGCCTCCTGGGTTCAAGAGATTCTCCTGCCTTGGCCTCCAGTGTAGCTGGGATTACAGGCACGCGCCACCATGCCTGGCTAATTTTTGTATTTTTGTAGAGATGGGGTTTCACCATGTTGGCCAGGCTGGTCTTGAACTCCTGACCTCAGGTGATCCAGCCACCTCAGCCTGCCAAAGTGCTGGGATTACAGGCATGAGCCACTGCACCTGGCTGGAAAGATTTATTTCTCATAAATGGTTGCAGCCTGGAGAGTGGCCATTCCAACAGACTGGGAAACAGTCTCTGAATAGAAGTCAGAAAGAGGCACTTCAAGGGAGGGGCAAAAGGAATAAGAATTTATGCTGAACTGAGTGGTCAAATATACATTATTTAATAGCTACAGGAGGAGTCATAAATATTTATGAAAGCGGAAACTGAGCTTCATGCCTCTTCATGGAAGCCTGGAGGCATGGGTGGAGTTTTCTGCCCTCTGATGTCAAAAGGTGAAGCAGAGGACACTAAGGTACTCAGTGTGCATCCTTTGTAGACTGGCCAGAGCCACTCCAAGGTCAGTGGTCTATTATCAGGAAGGAATGCTGGTTAGTTGTTGTGTCTGGTTGCTCTGTTGAAACCACAAAAAGGAGTGGAGTGAGTTTTTCTGTTTAACCCCTAGGGAAGAAAGCCTAATGGTGATTAGCAAGGGAGAGAGTATAATGAGGAATTTGTGTCCAACCTCTCATCATCCCATCACGGCCAGGAACTCAGTTTTTTTGTGTGTGGTTTTCTTGAGACAGAGTCTCACTCTGTAACCCAGGCTGGAGTGCAATGGCGTGGTCTCAGCTCACTGCAACCTCCACCTCCCGGGTTCAAGCGATTCTCCTGCCTCAGCCTCCTGAATAGCTGGGACTACAGGCACGTGCCACCACACCTGGCTAATTTTTGTATTTTTAGTAGAGATGGGGGTTTCACTATGTTGGCCAGGCTGGTCTCGAATTCCTGACCTCATGATCTGCCCACCTCGGCCTCCCAAAGTGCTGGGATTACACGCGTGAGTCACACGCCCACCTGGCCGGAACTCAGTTTTTAAGGTTTCTGTGGGGTCTCCTTGGCCAAGAGGGAGTCTGATCAGCTGGTTGGGGGGCCTCAGGATTTTATTTTTCTCACCTCTTTTCTCATCATACCTCAGGCCTGTTAACTGTCTCTGAGAGGTAGGTGGTGATGTCAATGCTTACAATGGGATATGGCCAAACTTCAGGTCTAGGACAACATTTGGTTCATGCTACTGCTCAGAGTCTGGTTTTTAGGTCTCCACTGAAAGAATCAGAAGATGTAGTTAGTGAATTCTGGACATACAGGTCTCCCACAAACTGTCATTCACTTGGCCGGATGCGGTGGCTCACGCCTGTAATCCCAGCACTTTGGGAGGCTGAGGTGGGCGGATCACTAGGTTAAGAGATCAAGACCAACTTGGCTAACACAGTGAAACCCCATCTCTACTAAAAACACAAAAAATTAGCTGGGTGTGGTGGTGGGCGCCTGTGGTCCCAGGTACTCGGGAGGCTGAGGCAGGAGAATGGCGTGAACCCGGGAGGCGGAGCTTGCAGTGAGCAGAGATCACACCACTGCACTCCAGCCTGGGCGACAGAGCAAGACTCAGTCTCAAAAAAAAAAAAAAAATTCCTGTCATTCACTCTCCCTGAGTCTTCTCAGTACTAACCCTACCTCCACCAGACCTGAGGCCCAGCTCAAATGGCAATGCCTCCATGGCCTTCTGTGGCCCAACATCTAAAAGAAACCTCTGCTCCCTTGGCACTACCTTTACTTCCTTTCGACATTACTTTTTGCCTTATTTATAATTTCATACCTCAAATGGGCACTCAGCATTACCCACAAAATAAACGGTTTCTCTCTTAGGTTGACTTTCCCACTCTGAGGCTTTCTTTTGTCAAGTTTAGCATAAAGCTGCCTCTTACATATTTTAAGTTTGGCCTAAGGCTCCTCCATACCTAGTGAACTGTAACCTCACTGGATGTGTAAACAAACTGTAACCCACTCTTGTAACAGGAGCTGAGTCTCAGCCAATCACAGCAGCCATACTTCAACCATTCACAGGTGGCCAACTGTTCAAACTGTGTTCAAGTAAGGTAAACACCCGAACTTTAACCAATCCAACTGTTTCTGTACCTCCCTCCTATTTTCTGTACATCACTTTCCTTTTTCTGTCCATAAATTTTCTCCCACCACACAGCAGTAGTAGAGTCTCTCTGAATTTATTCTGGATCAGGGGGTCTGCCTGATTCAATAATCATTCTTTGCTCAATTAAATTCTGTTTTAATTTTCCTTAAGTTTTTCTTTTAATGTTTTTAGATAAACTGTATCCCCTCTGTTCTCAGTTAATAATTTTACTTCATGCTTCATTTTTTTCTTTCTTCTTTTTTTTAAAAATTATGCTTAAAGTTCTAGGGTACATGTGCACAACCTGCAGGTTTGATACATAGCTATACTTGTGCCATGTTGGTTTGCTGCACCCACTTCATTTTTTTTAAACCAGTAATTGGGCCGGGTGCGGTGGCTCATGCCTGTAATGCCAGCACTTTGGGAGGCTGAGGTGGGTGGATCACCTGAGGTCAGGAGTTCAAGACCAGCCTGGCCAACATGGTGAAACCCCATCTCTACTAAAAATACAAAAAAAAATTAGCCATGCATGGTGGCACACACCTGTAATCCCAGCTACTGGGGAGGCTGAGGCAGGAGAATCACTCCTGGGAGGCGGAGGTTGCAATGAGCCGAGATTGGGCCACTGCACTCCAGCCTGGGCAACAAGAGCAAAAGTCCATCTAAAAAAAAAAAAAAAAAAAAAAAGCAAGCAGTAATTGGCTTCAAATCCCCACATTTTCTCCATAAGTAAACTACACAACTACTTTTATATGACCATCTTTTCTCTTTCCTACTTGTTAAAATGGAGCAAGCATCCTTCCTTCCCATGGACAGTTTCTGTATTTGGGCTCTGAATTCCATTCCTCCTTCATCTTCTCAAGGAACTTCATCGATACAGTCAATCTATCTACATCACCTATTGTCTTTCTATTTCATATTTTTATGTATGTCACTTTGATTCTTTCCACCACTGTCCCATTTTTATTCTCTATGGAATGTCTTGGATTTCCTTATTTCATTGGCTCTGCCTTCCTCTTCTACCATATGTCTAATTGCTGGCTCCTCAGCAGCAGTTCTAGGTCTGCTGCTTTTTTCTGCAGCAGAAAATGAAATGTGGCCGGGCACTGTGGCTCACGCCTGTAATCCCAGCACTTTGGGAGGCCAAGGCGGGCGGATCACCTGAGGTCAGGAGTTTGAGACCAGCCTGCCCAACATAGTGAAACCCCGTCTCTACTAAAAATACAAAAAAAAAAAAACTAGCCAGGTGTGGTGGCACGCACCTGTAGTCCCAGCTACTCAGGCAGGCTGAGGCAGGAGAAGTGCTTGAACCTGGGAGGGAAAGGTTGCACTGAGCCAAGATCCTAACATTGCACTCCAGCCTGGGCAACAGAGGGAGACTCTGTCTCAAAAAAAAAAAAAAAGAAAAAGAAAGAAAAGAAAATTAAATGTTCTCCCTATTAAAATTAATGTATTTACCTAGACCAAGCTTGTCCAACCCACAGCCCACAGGCCGCATGCGACCCAGGACGGCTTTGAATGTGGCCCAATACAAATTTGTAAACTTTCTTAAAACATTATGAAGTATGTATAATTTTTTTGTTTTTTGCTCATCAGCTATCATTAGTGTATTTTACGTGTGGCCCAAGAAAGCCAAAAGATTGGACACCCCTGACCCACACCTTTCCTGAGCTTCAGTCTTTTTGTTTGTTTGTTTGTTTTTTGAGACAGAGTCTTGCTCTGTTGCCCAGGCTGGAGTGCAGTGGTGCAATCTCGGCTCACTGCAACCTCCGCCTCCCGGGTTCAAGCCATTCTCCTGCCTCAGCCTCCTGAGTAGCTGGGATTACAGGCACCCGCCACCACGCCCAGCTAATTTTTTTGTATTTTTAGTAGAGACGGTGTTTCACCATGTTGGTCAGGCTGGTCTCGAACCCCTAACCTCATGATCCACCTGCCTCAGCCTCCCAAAGTTCTGGGATTATAGGCGTGAGCCACCGCGCCCGGCCTCTTCAGTCTTGTATATCTACCTGCCTACCTCACATATCCACTTGGATGTGTGAAAATAATTAATAGGGAGGCTATTAGGCTGAGGTGGCTCCAGAGTCTTGGGTCTTGGACTCCTACTTAAGCAAACTAAAACTCAATTCAATGTAAACAGTAAAACAAAATTACCGGGTGCAGTGGCTCACGCCTGTAATCCCAGCACTTTGGGAGGCTGAGGAAGGTGGATCACCTAAGGTCAGGAGTTCGAGACCAGATTGGCCAACACAGCAAAACCCCGTCTCTACTAAAAATACAAAAGTTAGCTGGGCGTGGTGGCAGGTGCCTGTAAACCCAGCTACTGGGGAGGCTGAGGCAGGAGATTGCTTGAACCAGGAGGCGGAAGTTGCAGTGAGCCAAGATGGTGCCATCGCACTCCAGCCTGGGAAACAAGAGCAAAACTCTGTCTCAAAAAAAAAAAAAAAAAAATCCAGCAAGACAAAACTTAACCAGTTAGAAATCACCAACCAGCCAAGCACAATGGCTCACGCCTGTAATCCCAGTGTTTTTGAAGGCCGAGGTGGGTGGATCACGACGTCGGGAGTTCGAGACCAGCCTGACCAATATGGTGAAACCCCATCTCTACTAAAAATACAAATATTAGCTGGGCGTGACAGTGTGCACCTGTAATCCCAGCTACTCAGGAGGCTGAGGCAGGAGAATTGCTTAAACCCGGGAGGCAGAGGTTGCAGTGAGCCAACATGGCACTACTGCACTCCAGCCTGGGTGAAAGAGCGAGACGCTGTCTCAGAAAAAAAAAAAAAAAAACCACCAACAAACCTCTCACTAGGGACTCTCCACTAGACCATACCCAAATAGGGCAAATGCTTAGCTATAGCCAATCAAGTAATTACTTCCACATTCAAGGAATAAAAGTTCACTGCCTCTGCTGCTGTGGGCAGCTCTCTGAAATTTTGAGTGCTGCCTGATTCACGAGTCATTCTTTGCTCCAGTAAACTCTTCTACATTTAATTCGTCTAAAGTTTCCCTATTAACAGATGTTGGCTGGGCACAGTGGCTCACACCTGTAATCCCAGCACTTTGGGAAGCTGAAGAGGGTGGATCACCTGAGGTCAGAAGTTTGAAACCAGTCTGGCCAACATGGTGAAACCCTGTCTCTACTAAAAATACAAAAATTAGCTGGGCAAGGTGGCTCGGGAAGCTGAGGCAGGAGAATCCCTTGAACCTGGGAAGTGGCGATTGCAGTGAGCTGAGATCGCACCACTGCACTGCAACCTGGGCGACAGAGCAAGACTCCATCTCAAAAACAAACAAACAAACAAAAACAGATGTGAAATCTTTCATTTGTATGTGCCAGATATTTTGTATTACTCTTTCCAGATCCGGTCTCTACTTCTTACTACCCTGCTCCCTGCCCTTGGAGGCTGATTTTTATGAATTACATCAATGGGCTCCCTTGCCTTCTGGCTTTTGATTGGGTTTGGACAATGGAAGTCAGGGGAAGAGGAAATAAGGTGATTTCCCTGGATCCTCCCTGCAAGGTCACCTCAGGATAGTGTCCTTGATTGAAGGTCAGTGCTTCTTCAAACTATATTCTACATTTTTCTCCTCATTTCAGATTTCCCTCTTATTCATTTCTCTTTCTTTTTTTTTTTTTTTTTTTTTTTTTTGAGACAGAGTCTTGCTCTATCTCCCAGGATGGAGTGCAGTGGTGCGGCCTCAGCTCACTGCAACCTCTGCCTCCCAGGTTCAAGTTATTGTCGTGCCTCAACCTCCAGAGTAGCTGGGACTATAGGCATGTGCCACCATGCCTGGCTAATTTTTGTATTTTGGATAGAGATGAGGTTTCGCCATGTTGGCCAGGCTGGGCTTGAACTCCTGGCCTCAAGTGATCCGCCCACCTCTGCCTCCACCTCCCAAAAGTGCTGAGATTACAGGTGTGAGACACTGTACCCAGCCCCTTCTATTTCTTTCTTTATAGCCTAGGAGTTATTGCTTTTCTCATGTAAATACCTAAACTCTGGCCACACCTTTGTAAAACAGTCCGTTTATTAAACCCTTCTGGGATTATTTTGAGTATGTCATTGATTTGCTTTAGATACAATGCCTCTGGTAGTCTCAATAATGGTCCGAAAGATACCCAGGTCCTAATCTGTGGAAGCTGAGAATGTTACCTCATATGGCAAAGGGACTTTGTAGGTATGATTAAGTTAACCTTGAGATAGGAAGACTATCTTTAACTATTTTGTGGACCAAATGTATTCACAGGGTCCTTACTAGAGGGAGGCAGAAGGATTTTAAGAGGAAATGACATGACAAAAGCAGCAAGAGCTTTGAAGATGCAGTGCTGCTGGCTTTGAAGATGGAAGAAGGGGCTGTGAGTCAAAGGAATGCAAAGAATGTAGCTCCAGAGGCTGGAAAAGAAGGGGGCAAGGCCTTGCTGTATACCTTTGTTTTGGCGCTATGAAATTATTTTGGTCTTGGCCGGGCATGGTGGCTCACGCCTGTAATCACAGCACTTTGGGAGGCCGAGGAGGGTGATTCACGAGGTCAGGAGATCGAGACCATCCTGGCTAACACGGTGAAACCCCGTCTCTACTAAAAATACAAAAAATTAGCCAGGCGAGGTGGCAGGCGCCTGTAGTCCCAGCTATGTGGGAGGCTGAGGCAGGAGAATGGCGTGAACCCCGGGGGTGGAGCCTGCAGTGAGCCAAGATCGAGCCACTGCACTCCAGCCTGGGTGAAAGAGCGAGACTCCGTCTCAAAAAAAAAAAAAAATTATTTTGGTCTTCTAGCCTCCAGAACTGCTAGCCTCCAAATTTCTGTTGTTTTAATCCACTAAATGGGTAGTAACTTCTTACAGCAGTCATAGGAAATTAATACAGTGCCCAAGATAGAACTTTTCATTTTCCATACAAATTAGCTCCTTCCTATTGTTACCAGGGGGTCTTTGTTCTTAGAGCTCCCAAGATGGTGGCAGGCCACTTCCAAGATGGCGGCAAGCCTTTTGTTCTCTGACCTGGGGTTCTTGGCCTCACGGATTCCAAGGAATGGAACCTTGGGCCATGCAGTGAGTGTTATAGCTCTATTAGAAGCCGTGGGTCACAGAAGAGAACCGTGGAACCCAGCAACTAGTGTTCAGCTCGATTAGGACAAACCCTGGGCACTTAGCCTTGCAGGAACAATGGCGAGCCTCTAGCCCGATTGGGAGCAGCAATGGGCGCCTCGCTGGATCAGGAGCACAGTGGACACCCTGATGGATCCAGAGGGGTGGAAGTCAGCGGCGGGTCTGTGATGGCAGCAAACAGCGGTGGTGGACGGTGAGTGAAAGCTCAGCTCAAGCTGTAACAAACATGGACCAGAAGAGTGTGCAGTTGCAAGATTTAATAGAGTGAAAACAGAGCTCCCATACAATGGGAGGGGACCCAAAGGGGGTTGCCACTCCCTGCTCGAATGCCTGGGTTTATATCCTGATCATTGTCCCTCCCCCTGTGCTCTCAGGCGATATATGATTTGACTATTTCTTTACCTTCTGCTTCTAGCCTAATTTGTATTTTAGTGAGCCCTCTTTACTACCTGATTAGTCGGGTGTGAACTGAGTTACAAGCCCTGTGTTTAAATGTGGGTGTGGTCACCTTCCCCAGCTAGGTTTAGGAATTCTTAGTTGGCCTAGGAAATCCAGCTAGTCCTGTCTCTCACTATCTTGTCCACTTGGTTGTTTACTTTTTTATTTTTTTATTTTTAGAGACAGAGTCTCTCTGTGTCACCCAGGCTGGAATGCAGTGGTGTGATTGGTCTCAGCTCACTGCAACCTCTGCCTTCCAGGTTCAAGCAATTCTCCTGCCTCAGTCTCCCCAGTAGCTGGGATTACAGGCACGCGCCACCACACTTGGCTACGTTTTAGTGCTTTTAGTAGAGATGAAGTTTCACCACGTTGGCCAGACCAGTCTCAAACTCCTGGCCTCAAGTGATCTGCTCTCCTTGACCTCCCAAAGAGCTGGGATTACAGGGGTGAGCCAGTGTGCTAGGCCACTTGGTTGTTTAAATACGAGATTTGATTCTTCCATTTTCTGTATGCTTTACTGCCATTCCATCACTAACTCCTCTCAACCTGATGCCCAAAAATATATCTTGAATATATCTACTTCTCTTCCAAGGTTTCCGGCACATGGTAGAAACATGATAACTATGTAATGAGTGGATGCATGACCCAATCTTCCCTACTTCCATTCCAGTCTGAGCGCCCATAATTAGTCAATCAACTAGCTTGTCTTGGTTCTTTTTCCTTAGGCCTTCCACAATCTATTCTTCACATTACAGGGAAATTAATCTTTTCAAAACTGTAAATTAAAGCAGATTATTCTCTAGCTTAATATCCTTTACTTATTTCCCAATGCACTTTGAGTAAAATTCAAATGTTTCATTGTGCACTGCAAGGACACCTATGTTTTGGAAGTTTCCTATCTCTCTGGTATCTTCTTTTGCATCTCTCTGAAATGCTGCAGCTCCCGCCACCCGACCTCCCCGCCTTTAGAGTTGAGGCATAAGACATTTCCTTTGTCGAGAAGGGTCTTTGTTTAACTGGCATTTTAAGGTTTAATCTTAAAGATTACGCCCTTAGCCAGGTGCGGTAGCTCATGCCTATAATCCCATCAGTTTGTGAGGTCCAGGAGGGCGGATCATTGAGCTCACTTGAGCTCAGCAGTTCAAGATCAGCATAGGCAACATGGCGAAACCCCATCTCTACAAAAAATACAAAAATTAACCTGGCCTGAGCACTTGTAGTTCCTAGCTACTTAAGAGACTGAGGTGTGAGGATCGCCTGGGGCAGGGGGCGGGCAGAGGGAGGTTGCAGTGAGTGGAGATTGCGTCAGCAAGACACTTTCTCAAAAAAAATCACGCCCCCCATGAAAGGCTTTCCTTTACCACCCAACTCCACCTTGGTTACTCTATCACAGCTCCCTATGTGTTCCCTTTCCAGCATAAATCACAACTATTTGTCAGTGAATTCCATGACAGAACGAACCTAGCTTTTGTTTGGCACATAATTGTTAAATGAATGCAGTATTATATTTGGCTAGACCAAAATTGTTTCCCTATCAGTTTGTGAGCAACTTGAGGGCAGAGCCCTAAATCATTCGAGTGTGCTGACCTCTAGGGGGGTTAGTCCAGTGCATGGTCTAGAATTGCTCAAATCGGCCTTTTGAAAAAATGAATCATGTACAATGATAAAGGTGTGGACAGGACCACAAGTAACGGTGTAACGATTAGCAGATTTAAGGAAAAGTCAGTCTAAAAGGAAACGTGAGAAGCTAATTGCAGAAGACAGCCATTTCAAGTCTTCAACAGCAAGGCTGTACCTCCTCACGTGACTTCAGTGTAGACTTTAAGAACCTAAACTAACGCTTCTCGCGAGAGGAAAGATTGACCGCTCGCAAGCGTACATCAGCTGGTGCCCCGCCTTCCCTGGGCCCCACCCACTGCCTGTCCTCATTCCCACCTTGAACCAGCCTTTTGCGCGTGTGACGTCATGGCGCCGTGCGTGGCCTCGGCGGTGGCGCAGGGGGCGGGCCCGCGGCGCGGCGCCGGAGGAGGAAGTGGTGAGGTTGTTGCTCCTTCAGCGCCTATCGCTGGCTCTTGGGGCGCAGAGAGGGGCCGCAGTCTCCGCGGCTGCGTCGAGCTCCCTTGCAGTCCCCTCCATGTTCCCCGGCGCCACTACTCCCCTTCCTAAGGCCGCCGCTTACCCCGGGGTCTATGGAAGTAATGGAAGGACCCCTCAACCTGGTGAGTGTCCCACAGAATATAGCGTTCGTCTTGGGTGCCTTTGCCTCAGGAGCCCGGCCCCGTCCCCGGCGCGTCGGCTAACCCTTTAGGCTGGGAGGTTGGTTTGGCAGGAGTGGTCGCAGAGGCTGTGAGGGGCTGCTAGGCAGGCCCTGGCCCAACTGCGGCTCCAGGCTAGCCACTTCAGACTTTGCCCTCCTGGGGGATCCCCGGGAAGTCCTGGCGCCCCCTGTCGCGGGGCCCCGGGCGAGGGGATGCCACCACCTGGGGCTGCCACCTCCTCTCTGGCTGGGGGAAGTCCTCTTAGCGCCACGTAGCCACCTCCCTACAGCCTGGAGAGGCACTGAAGCCGGCCAAGGCAGAAATGGTGTGATACTGGTTTTAAGTTCTAGCAGCAGGGTCTGAGTCTGAGTCGCCCCGCTTTGGAGAGGTGGAGGAGTGAATAGCCTCCTCACCCTCCACTTCCCCCTCCTCACCCTTCACTTCCCCCTCCTCACCCTCCACTTCCCCCTCCTCACCCTCCACTTCCCCCTCATTTCTCACATACATTCACATGCATAAACTGAGTCTACCGTCTTCCAAATATATTAGAGACAGCTGGGAAAAAGACAGCCGTTCCTGTATTTAGCTCAGATTCATCAATTTAGGCATCATGAAAGTGTAATAGGTGTTTGCTGTTCTCAGGAAAATGGCTGATAGCCTGTTTACTTGTGTTTTAAGGCGTTTCAGGTGTTGCAATTAAAAAACAACACAACAGAACCCCACTAACAACGGGAAGCATGAGTTCTTTTCAGACTGGCCATTGCATCTTTTAGTTTTCCAGAGAGGTTACCCATTTTGGATGTAAAAGTCAGATTACTTAAGGTTGCACACAGGAAGAACTTTTGAGTCACAGGTTTGCAATTCATTTGCGATGGTGGAATTGAAAGAAAGCTCTATAGAGGATTCTTTTCTCACATTAGAACTCTGAGTCCTAGAAGAGCAGTAGAGTCAGGTGGTTTAAGACTCTAGGTTTTGAAGCTATGCTGCTTGGATTTGAATTCTAACCTCGTCACTTGATATCTGTGTTACCTTGGGCAAACTACTTGGCTTCACTCGGCTTCAGGTTTTTTGGGAGGATTAAAGGAGTAAATAGGTGTAAAGCACTTAGAACTGTACTAAGTACATAGTACAGTGTAAGAGTTAGCGATTATAACCAGACCATAAGCCCTTAATTTAAAATCTATTTGTAGAATAAAGGTTTGGACTTGAGCTTTAAAAGCCTAAGATTCTCGGACCAAATCACTGGTGCCAGGTTAACTGTTGTGAGGCGCCCCTCCCTTTTAAGTTGGGTCTTGCCCCAGGTGGTAGGTATTTACACTTAAGACGAATTGGACTACATTTGCGAGTTTTTTTTAACCAGGGAACTGGCCAGGCGCCGGGGCTCACGCCTGTAATCCCAGCACTTTGGGAGGCCGAGGCGGGCGAATCACTTGAGCTTAGAAGTTCGAGACCAGCCTGGGCAACATGGCGAAACCCGGTCTCTACAAAAAATACAAAAATAGCCTGGCGTGGTGGCGCCCGCCTGTGGTCCCAGCTACTCGGGAGGCTGAGGTGGCAGGATCGCTTGAGCCCAGGAGGTGGAGGTTGCAGTGGGCCGAGATTGTGCCACTGCACTCCAACCTGGGCGACAGAGCGAGACTCTGACTCAAATAACCAGGGAACTGTCTTGCACTTTTCTTGTTTTTAAGGCGACATATAGTTGGCAATGAAATACAGTGGATGGCTCAATACTGAAACTTCACAGGAGTATTACTAGAAATAATCAGCTGTTTACGAAGTGCTTCAGAGTTCAGGTGTCCTTGCCAAATGAGCATTGGTTCAGTTCTAGTTAGCTTCACATTATTTGGCTGCAGAATAACCCCCGCCAACTGCCCCACGAATGTGTGATGTTTTAAAAGGAGACTAGAACTGGGTGACAGTTGCAGATAGAACTGCAGAATCACTACCAGTTCAGGAAAAATTAGTTAAATGGTGGCAATACCATTTAAATTCTCCTCCATAAAACGGAGCGAGTTTCGACAGAGTCTTTTTAAGCAGGCTAGCGTAACTCCGTATTTCAGCCATAAAATTTATGTAGGCAAGTATCAGAAATTTGGCATCTTGAATTCTTTTTTTTTTTTTTTTTTGAGATGGAGTCTCTCTCTGTCACCAGACTAGAGTGCAGTGGCGCGATCTCAGCTCACTGCAACCTCCGACTCCCTGGTTTAAGCGATTCTTCTGCCTCAGCCTTCTGAGTAGCTGGGATTTCAGGCACGCGCCGCCACGCCCAGCTAATTTTTGTATTTTTAGTAGAGACGGGGTTTCACCATGTTGGCCAGGATGGTCTCGATCTCCTGACCTCGTGATCCCCCCGCCTGGCCTCCCAAAGTGCTGGGATTACAGGCGTGAGCCAGCGTGCCCGGCGGACACCTTGAATTCTTAAACCATTTGAGTCTTGAAAGATCTAATTTCCAGCATAGTTGTTTATTGGAAGGTAACAGTAGAACAGACGTTGACGGTTACTTGAATGAGTACCAATTACAGGCCTCTGGCACTCAGAATTGTCACTCACAGTTTTATAAGATGAGGTTTTTGAAAATTCAGACTTTTTTTTTTTTTTTTTTTCTTTTTTGAGACGGAGTCTCGCTTTGTCACCCAGGCTAGAGTGCAGTGGTGCGATCTGGGCTCACTGCAGCCTCCACCTCCCGGGTTCAAGCAGTTCTCTGCCTCAGCCTCCTGAGTAGCTGGGATTACAGGCATGCACCACCCTGCCCGGCTATGAAAATTCTGACATTCTTTTATGTCAGTGAACACCTAACTTAGTATCTAGTTGACTCAAGATGAGAGTTCTCAATGCTATAATTTGAATGTCTTTGAAAATTCCACTAGTATTATACAAGCTTTTTCTTTTTCTATACTCAGAGAGTTACTAATGCAATAAGCTTTGTCAAATGACGTCGTAGTGTAGTCCAAATTCATTGTATAAGGACTTATCACAGTACATGGATTTGTAATCATGTGTCCTCAGAGCATCCTCGGAACTTAGTAAGGTGTGTTTTCCAGTTTTACAGATAAATAAGCCTAAGCTGAGAGAATTAGGTAATTACTTAGGTCAGTAACTTAAATACATTATGAATCACGAGTTATTTTGATATCAAGACCTCTTTCTAGCAATGCTGCCATATTGTACTCATCATGTTCATTTCAGTATGGTTCTCATCTATATTGAACTGTAGATTCTGTGTTAGCATTTATTACCTCTGCTCCAGTATTGATTCTTTTATGTTAGGTTTGGCAGTAAGGGCCTTAGAAATTCCTCACAGTGAATTTTTAAGATCTGGAAGAGACTAGTTTGAAATATTCATTTTAATATGTACCACAGAGGTAATGGATTCTAATTATCTGGTTATTGAAGTTTGTCAAAAGAAAAATTGTACTTCCACTGAAGAAAAAAATAGCTAGTCTTTGCACTCTGAATAACTTTGTTTCATTAGGGTTTTTTGGTCAATTTTTCTTTAAGAGACAGGGTCTTACTCTGTTGCCCACACTCAAGGGATCCTCCTGCCTGAGCCCTCCACAATAGCTGGGACTACAGGTTTGCACCACCATGCCCAGCTAATTTTTTCAAAAACTTTTTGTGGAGATGGGGTCTTGCTGTGTTGCCCAAGCTGGTCTTGAACTCCTGGCCTCAAGCAATCTTCCTGTCTCAGCCTCCCAAAGTGTTGGGATTACAGGCATGTGCCACTGTGCCCAGCCTGTCAGTTTTAAATATGGAAAAATTATAACTTATAAAATTAGTGTATATTTAGATATTTCTTTCCGTACACATTTTGTCAGTGTGACTACTGGTAACAAATGTCAAAACTCTTGTGAGATAATTTCTAGTTCTTTGGTTTGTTTGCTGCTGATTTGGAAAGTGATGTCAGATCTTAATTTATATGTGGCTGTTGCTCATGTTTTGCTTACCTCTGCTGCAAAGGGCAGGGTCCATGTGACTGCCTGGCCACAATCGTTTTCTATGTGTTTAGCCCTTAAGAGTGCTGAGAATGTTTGTTGAGTAACAGCTTCCCTCCAGAGTGGTCAGTTCTCACATCACATGAGGTAGTTAATGAAGCCTCTTACTTTCCAGCTTCTGTAAGAAAAGTAGTCAGATATCATGGTCCAAGGAATGGCCTTATGCATACCTGGAGTCCTTATACCTATCCCATTTTAATTATATTGGCTTTAAAATCTTCAAGGTAAAAAGAGGCAATTTGAACCCCTTCTTTGTTGCCCTGAAAAATTCCAAGGAAAATTTCTTTGTCACAAGCTGAGCTAGGCATAATGAAAGCACTCTGGAAAAAGGAGGTAGAGAGTACTAAGAGATATCCAGCAATTATTGCTAAGTGGTAGGATTGGCATCGGGCACGTTATGTATATTTTTTATCTTTTCCTCTTAATAGCTAAATATGAGATATTCCCCCTATTTTAAAGATGAAGACTTTGAAATGCAGGGTAAGTGGTGATAGTAGGATATGAAGGCAAGATTGGGCTGGGCACAGTGGCTCATGCCTGTAATCCCAGCACTTTGGGAGACTGAGGTGGGTAGGTCACCGAGACCAGCCTGGCCAACAAGATGAAACCCTGTCTGTACTAAAAACAAAAATTAGCCAGGTGTGGTGGTGGGTGCCTGTAATCCCAGCTACTTGGGAGGCTGAGGCAGGAGAATCGCTTGAATCCAGGAGGTGGAGGTTGCAGTGAGCCAAGGTCACGCCCTTGCACTCCAGCCTGGGTGACAGAGTGAAACTCCGTATCAAAAAACAAAACAAAACAAAAATTAGCCAGGTGTGGTGGCACATGCCTATAATCCCAGCTACTTGGGAAGCTGAGACAGGAGAATCGCTTGAACCTGGGAGGTGAAGATAGTGGTAAGCCAAGCTCACGCCACTGCACTGCAGCCTGAGCGACTGAGCGAGACCTTGTCGCAAAAAAAAAAAAAAAAATTGGGAGGCCAAGGCGGGCAGATCACGAGGTCAGGAGATCGAGACCATTCTAGCTAACACGGTGAAACCCCGTCTCTACTAAAAATACAAAAAATTAGCCAGGTGCAGTGGCGGGCGCCTGTAGTCCCAGGTACTCGGGAGGCTGAGGCAGGAGAATGGCCTGAACCCGGGAGGCAGAGCTTGCAGTGAGCCAAGATCGCACCACTGCACTCCAGCCTGGGCGACAGAGCGAGACTCTGTCTCAAAAAAAAAAAAAAAGTCTTTCCTGGAATTCTCCAACACTTGAGCGCTTATCTTCAGTATAATTGCGTTATATTACTTAGTCAATTCAGTGCTTATTGATTTGAGATAACTGTTTGCTACTTGTTTGTAGGAGACGCACATTGATTGGGAAAGGGGGAGTGAGTGAGGTTTCTCTTTCAACTGAAGACCCTACCATAAGGTCAGGTGTATGTTAGATTTTCCTCTGCTGCCTTTTCAGTGCTGTGTTCATATGGTGTTCCTTTTCTTTTTTTCTTTTTCGTTTTGAGACAGAGTATCACTCTGTTGCCCAGGCTGGAGTGCAATGGCGTAATCTCAGCTCACCACAACCTCCGCCTCCGGGGTTCAAGCGATTCTCCTGCCTCAGCCTTCCTTGTAGCTGGGACCACAGGCGCGTGCCATCATGCCTGGCTAATTTTTGTATTTTTAGCGTAGATGGGGTTTCTCCACGTTGGTCTGGCTGGTCTCGAACTCTTGCCCTCGTGATCTGCCCACCTTGGCCTCCCAAACCAAAGTGCCTGGATTACAGGCGTGAGCCACCACGCCTGGCCTGGTGTTCCTTTTCTTTTCATCTTTACTTAACAGCTTTCCCCAAGGACACAGAAAAAAATAATAGAAAGTAATACTGTTTTCTTTTGGGAAAGAGGGTAGTATTGAACATGTATTTTTGAAGCAGTTAGCATGTGGAAGTAAAAGGTACTTGTCAGTGATGGCAGTCACTTAGTAACCTAGTTGTTGTAGTTAGGATTTTTGTTGGTTGTAGTTGATGAAAACCCACTTGAAATTAGCTTAAGCCAAAAGAGATAATTTACTGGACTCCAAAGAAAGGTGCAGGAAGGGCAGGGGTATAATGTAGCTTGGTTTATGACCGTATAGAGCCTGTCAGTCCGACTTAATCAGACTCTCCCTCTCTTTTTTTGCCTTTTCAGGCTTGTCTGCTTCACTCCTCCTTTCTGCAGACCTATATTTCCACCTGGCTAGCCTCTGAATGTCACATTAATTAGACTTTCTTCATATTGTCTGCTCCTAAGTTTGAAAATCTGGAGAAGGGATTCTTTAGGTATCCAGACGACAAGGTAATACAACAATGTGGGCCTGGTATGGTAGCTCACACCTGTAATCCTAGCACTTTGAGAGGCCGAGGCAGGTGGACTGCTTGAGCCCGGGAGTTCAAGACCAGCCTAGGCAACATAGTGAAAACCGGTCTCTACCAAAAGAAAAAAAAAAATAGCTGAGCATGGTGGCACATGTCTGTGGTTCCAGCTACTTGAGAGGCTGAGATAGGAGGATCACTTGAGCCCAGGAGGTTGTGGCTGCAGTGAGCCGTTATCATGCCACTGCATTCCAGCCTCTGGGTGACAGAATGAGACCCCATCTCAAAAAAAACAGCAAGGAAATCATAAGGAAGAGAAAATATAGTTCTATACTATAGTTATCAATACCATAAGTTTATGTCAGCTGTTTACAAAACGAATCATCTGTCAGAAATGATGGGCAACCACAGCTGTAGACCTCAATCTAACGTAACCCATCAAGCAATTAAAAAAGAATGTGGGAAGTCCCACAGAATCATATGGATTGCCTAGGAAGTACACAGAGGTGGGACTGCTTTATTGTGAATTTCTTTGAATTACCAGAGAAACATGTTTATGGACTTACTACCCTTTTCTTTTTGAGACAGTATCTTCCTCTGTCCCACAGACTAGAGTGCAGTGGCGTAATCACGGCTCACCGTAGCCTCAACCTCCTGAGCTTCTGATCCTCCTACCAGTCCCTCCTGTAGCTGGGACTACAGGTGTGCACCACTACACCCAGCTAATTTTTCTATTTTTTGTAGAGATGGGGTCTCACTATGTTGCCTATGCTGGTCTCAAGCAGCCCTCCCACCTCGGCCTCACAGAGCGCTGGGATTATAGGCATGAACCTCCGTGCCCAGCCTATTACTTTTTTTTTTTTTGAGATGGAGTCTCACTCTGTCACCCAGGCTGGAGTGCAGTGGCGCAATCTCGGCTCACCACAACCTCTGCCTCCCAGGTTCAAGCGATTCTCCTGCCTCAGCCTCCCGAGTAGCTGGGACTACAGGTGGGCGCCACCATGTCTGGCTAATTTTTGTATTTTTTGTAGACATGAAGTTTCACTATGTTGGCCAGGCTGGTCTCAAACTCCTGACCTCGTGATCTGCCTGCCTCGGCCTCCCAAAGTGCTGGGATTATAGACGTGAGCCTCCGCTCCTGGCCTCAGCCTAGTGCTTTTAATGGCTGTGATTCTACCAAGAACAGTATTTAAAGAGAGACTAGTTTTAATATGTGTAAACTGTAAAAGTTGTTTTAAAAATGAGAAGCACCACCAAGATAGGTTTTCTGTAAAATCTTCAGTTTATAAAAAATGCAATTTAGCTGGGCATGGTGGCTCATGCCTATAATTCCAGCACTTTGGGTGAGTGAGGGAGGAAGATTGCTTGAGCCCAGGAGTTTGAGACCAGCCTGGGCAAGATATCAAGACCCCACCTCTACAAAAAATAAAAGTTAGCTGGATGTGGTGCCGTGTGACTGTATTTCCAGCTACTCAGGAGGCTGAGGTGGCAGGATTGCTGGAGCCCAGGATATTGAGGCTGCAGTGAGCTATGATTGCACCACTCCACTCCAGCCTGGGCAACAGAGCAAAACCCTGTCTCAAAAGTAATTAAGATGAAAATTTTTTTAAAATGCAATTCAGTCTAGACCCAACTATATTGTCAACTTCTTGATGGCAGGTACTTCCATCACTTCTATTGTCTTTTGTAGTACTTAACGAGGGCTATATCGAGTATGTACCAGTACCAGGCACCATTCTAAGCACTGTGATGTTTCAACTAGTTTAATTTTCACAAACTCTTTTGTTTTTGGTGCCATCAAATTTACATAAGCAGACAATAACTTTCATTTTAGAGATGAGAAAACTGAGGCAGATAATTGGGAAAGCCGGGCTTATGTGTCTCATATGTGGTCAAACTGAGATTTGAACGTTGGCAGTCGAGCTCTATAACGAGTTTGCTGTGTGTCTGATAAGAACATAGTAGGAAATGTACTTAAAATACGAAATTTGATTGCTCTGGTGCCAAATAACCTAGAGGAGATGGTGTGTTTTTGTTGAGCTCAGTAATAATCTGAAACTATAATGAGATTTAACTCCTAAATTGGCAGACTGGTTAGAGATTGGACTCTACATGGGGATGTTTTAAGGGAGCTGGGAGAGCCATGAGGACCTGCTCTCACTGTTTGAGAACTTTTTATTTTTTTGGTGTTCAATTAAGAATTTATTCCGTCATCACAGAGTTTGAAGTTTAATTATGGAGCTACATAAATATCCATACTAGAAGAAAGTGATTGAAATCATCAGCGACACACACAGATAGAAAAAAGGTGTTAGAATGAAGTAACCTGAAATAGCATCTCATCCCTGCTTCTTAGAGTGTATCCATAAGCCAGCAACTTTGGCTTTACCTGGGTGGAATCTCAAGCCGTACTCCAAACCTCCTGAATCAGAACCTTTGTTTTTTTTGTTTTTTTTGTTTTTTTTTGAGATGGAGTTTCACTCTTGTTGCCCAGGCTGGAGTGCAATGGCACGATCTCAGCTCACTGCAACCTCTGCCGCCCTGGTCCAAGCAATTCTCCTGCCTCGTCTTCTCAAAGTGCTGGGCTTACAGGTGTGAGCCACCATGCCCGGCCTTTTAGAATCTGTATTTTAACCAGGTGATTTGTATTTTCATTAAAACCTAGAGCCTTATTGCTTATTGATTTAATACCACTTGCTTTAATAGTATCAAAACATGTTCATTAGAGAAATTAGGTTAATCATAACTGCTTGTGCATACTAGCTTTCTTCATCATGTACATTCTTTTCCCAAAATACCTGTATAATTTGTGGGTACTAGAAAATGCTCATGTGTTCAGAATGTATTTTTTGCTCAGTCCAAGTCTCCAGGTTAAAATTCATCCATTATTTTAAGCCCCCAGTCATTTCTTTTCTTTCTTTCTTTCTTTTTTTTTTTTTTTTTTTTGAGGCTGTCTTGCTCTCTTGCCCAGGCTAGAGTGCAGTAGCACGATCTCAGCTCACTGCAACCTCCGCCTTCCAGGTTCAAGCAATTCTTGTACCTCAGCCACCTGAGTAGCTGGGATTACAGGCATGTGCCACCATGCCTGGCTAATTTTTGTACTTTTAGTTGAGATGGTGTTTCACCATATTGGCCAGGCTGGTCTTAAACTCCTGGCCTTGAGTGATCTGCCTGCCTCAGCCTCCCAAAGTGCTGGGATTACAGGCATGAGCCACTGCGCCCAGCCTACCCAGTCATTTCTTGTGACCTATTGTTGTTCCCAGGCATATGTTAAGACTTAGAGGAAAGTTTGATTACTATTTAAAAAATAAAAAGTATCTGAAATCCTGTAATTGAAAGGCACGAATCTTGTCTTTAAGATTGTTGCTTCTTTCCTACAAAAATAGAAGTGGGGAAAAGGCAAACAGCAAGGCATTGCTGGAAGTGCTGTTTTCTACTTTTGTCTTCACCTGTGTTTTATACTGAGTATGATTTGTAAACATGCCCAGAATATTTATAATCTCAGTTGCAAACGTGATTCTGTGAAGTACTTTTATGCAGCATCAAAGGGACATGTCTTTAAAAAGCATCCAAGACAAATCATTTTTCAGCTAACTGACAGAACAGATTTGTTTTTTTTTTGGGACCGAGTCTCACTGTGTTGCCCAGGCTGAAGTGTAATGGTGCGATCTCGGCTCACTGCAACCTCTGCCTCCCGGGTTGAAGCGGCGATTCTCTTGCTTCAGCCTCCCGAGTAGCTGGGATTACAGGCACCCACCATCCTGCTGGGCTAATTTTTGTAGAGACGGGGTTTCACCATGTTAGCCAGACTGGTCTCAAACTCCTGACCTCAGATGATCCACCCGCCTTGGCCTCCGCAAGTGTTGGGATCACAGGCATGAGCCACCATGCCCGATTTTTTTTTTTTTTTTTTTTTGAGACAAGATCTCACTCTGTTGCCCGGACTGGAGTGCAGTGGTGCGATCACAGGTCACTGCAGCCTCCATTACCCAGGCTCAAGTGATTGTCCTACCTCAGCCTCCTCAGTAGCTGGGACTACTACTACAGGTGCGAGCGCCACACCCGGCTAATTTTTGTATTTTTTGTAGAGATGGGTTTTCACCATATTGCCCAGGCTTGTCTCAAACTCTTGAGCTCGAGTGATCTGCCTGCTTTGGCCTCCTAAAGTGCTGGGATTATAGGCATGAGCCACAGCACCCAGCCACTTTTTACCTTTTTTAAGTGATGTAAAAAACACGTGAAGTTTACCTTCTTAATTATTTTTAAGTGTACAGTTTAGTAGTGTTAAGTATATTCGCATGGTTGTGCAACAAATGTCCAGAATTTTTTCATCTTGCAAAACTGAAACTATGCCGTTTGAATACCTACTCCCCATTTCCCCCTCCCCTGTTCAATGATGAGTTGTTCCACCATTCAACTTTCCTGTTTTTAAGAATTTGACTACTTTAGATACCCAATAAGTCGATTTGTATAGTATTTGTCCTTTTATGACTGGCTTATTTTATTCAGTCTAATGTCCTCACAGTTCATCCATGTTGTAGTATGTGTCAGAATTATCTTCCCTTTTTTTTTTTTTTTGAGACACAGTCTCGCTCTGTCACCCAGGCTGGAGTGGAGTGGCGCGATCTCGGCTCACTGCAAGCTCTGCCTTCCGGGTTCACGCTATTCTCCTGCCTCAGCCTCCTGAGTAGCTGGGACAACAGGTGCCCCCCACCACGCCTGGCTAATTTTTTTTGTATTTTTAGTAGAGACGGGGTTTCACCGTGTTAGCCAAGATGGTCTCGATCTCCTGACCTTGTGATTTGCCTGCCTCGGCCTCCAAAAGTGCTAGGATTACAGGCGTGAGCCACCGCGCCCGGCCAGAATTACCTTACTTTTAAAGACAGTACCTTTCCATTGTGTGTGTATACTGCATTTATCCATCTATCTGTTGATGGACATCTGGATTGCTTTCACCTTTTGGCTGTTGTGAATAATGCTGTTATGAATATGGGTGTACAATGCTTTTTGCTTTTTTGTGAAGCTGTGAAGCTTTGCTAAATCGTGTGTGTTTGTTACTGAGGAAAATCGTTACATGAGGTAGAAAACTTTAGCTGATTATCTCTGCCTTTCTCCTTGCTAGTTAAATGTATAATCTTATGTAAGTTACACGACCTCCCCATCAGTCTTTTGGGCCTCCTTATGTAAGAGAGGAAAACACATTAACAAAGTCGTAGTTAAAGCAGCTGAAATAATGTATATTAAAGCTTTTTTTTTTTTTTTTTTTTTTTGAGATGGAGTTTCACTGTTTTCACCCAGGCTGGAGAGCAATGGCATGATCTTGCCTCATTGCAACCTCTGCCTCCCAGGTTCAAGCAGTTCTCCTGCCTCAGCCTCCTGAGTAGCTGGGATTACAGGCGCCCGCAGAGACGGTGTTTCACCCTGTTAGCCAGGATGGTCTCGATCTCCTGACCTCATGATCTGCCCGCCTCGGCCTCCCAAAGTGTTGGGATTACAGGCGTGAGCCACTGCGCCCAGCTAATTTTTGTATTTCTAGTAGAGATGGGGTTTCACCATGTTGGCCAGGCTGGTCTTGAACTCCTGACCTCAGATGATCCGCCTGCCTCAGCCTCCCAAAGTGCTGGGATTACAGCCATGAGCCACTGTGCCTGGACTTAAAGCTCTTTTGAAATTATTAAAGTGTAAGGAGGCCAGTGACTGCTTATTTAATAAGTTTTCCTTCAATTACATTATTTGCTGTTAGAACTTCTGATTTTTTTGACTTTGTTCTTTTGATGAGATATCTTTAAAACAATCTTTGTAATATTAGATGTTGGTATCATGAATTCATCAACTGCAATGTCCAAATTTTTTATTTTAAAAACAAATAGTAACTTTAATGTTGAAAGAATGAGATGATAGAAGAGAAGCTTGGATTTTACTACATGATGAGTGATTTCCTGATTATAGTTTTTAGACTATACAGATTAGTGAAAGTATCTACAAAATAGCTCTTGTTTTGAAAGGAGCTTGTTAAAAATCAAGAAAATAGACATTTTGAATAACAATCTATGATTGTAACTCTTGGTTTATCTCCAAAGAGTGGAAGAATGTGAGTCACTGAAGGAGTTAAGTGCCTGGTGTTAACCTTGAGAGGGCTTATGGTAGAAGTGAAAGAAGTTGCCAGTTCCTTTCAGATGCTGCAGTTCTAGGCTCTACCCATTACATTTCCCCAGCTACAGATAGAGCTGTAATAGTGATTTGATATGTGGCAACAAAACAGTATTATTTATCTTCTTAAAAGGTAGTTGCTTTTTGAAAGAAATCATGTTTTATTTTATGATCCAGAGGAACTTAGGGATGTTTGTCTTCTAGGCTCATCAACAGAGCAGACGAGCAGACCGTTTATTAGCTGCAGGCAAATACGAAGAGGCTATTTCTTGTCACAAAAAGGCTGCAGGTGAGTATTCTTATTAAGTACTCAGTGTAAAACTGAAGAGCAGAAAGTCACAATAGTAATAATGTGTGTTGCTTTTCATATGCAAGACTGATACTGCTGACCCACCAGAATATCAGCTTTGATTATTTTTCAAGTAAGTGTGTTGGATTTCCCAGCTCCTGCTAATCCAATCTTCTTTCTAAATCATGAAGATGGCATAAATGTGGTAAACAGTTCCTGGATACAGCTCTCTGAGCCCAAAGATCCCTAAAAACAGGAGCTGATTGTAACAAGTCTGCCATTTTATCTTAGTTATTATAAAAAGGAGTTTGGGTTTCAAATAGTTGGCCATTTCAGGTTCTAAAAATAGTAATTCAATTCAATTCCAACCAATTCATTTTCACTGAGCTTCTGTTTTCTAACATGCTGATAATGCAAAACTTACTATAAGACTTTTGTTACCTAAAATGTGGGAGATTTTTCCTGTGGTCTTTTTTTTAGCTTCCCTTCTGAATATCTCATCTCTACATGCATGCCTGTAGTAACATGCTGATGTTAGCTTTCATTTCAGTATGAATTTTAGAATTGTTAGCTTCTTATCAAAGACCTAATTTTACCCTAGTCAGTCAAGCAACCTAGCATATGTTGAATTCAGAAATAGATCTTGGGGGCCTGTTTTGCTTAGACCAGTTTCTGTTGGCTGAGTAACCAAAAAACTTTGGGTCCTCGTTAGTGTAGTGGTAAGTATAAAAATAAAAATAAAAAAATTTAAAAATCTTTGGGTAAAGGATGTTTTACTCATGCCTCATCCAAAATGAGTGCAAGTCACCTTTCTTAGGGCAAACCCTGAAGTCTTCTGCTGGCAGGCATGTTCCTTTCCCTCTAGGCCAGTATGATGATCAGAGCCATATTCTTTCTTGACAGAGGCTGCCCCTCCCTTGTTATTTTACTTGTGAAATACAGACTGCAAGGTGGGCAGTAGATTGGATAAGTCTTCTTACTACAGTGGTTTTTGCCTGGAAGTTGGTAATTTTCAGAGAAAATTAAAATTTTTTTTTTTTTTTGGAGATGGAGTCTTGCTCTGTCGCCCAGGCTGGAGTGCAGTGGCACCGTCTCAGCTCACTGCAACTTCCCGCCTCCTGGTTTCAAGTGGTTCTCCTGCCTCAGCCTCCCGAGTAGCTGGGACTACAGGTGTGTGCCACCACCCCCGGCTTGTATTTTTGTAGAGACAGGGTTTCTCCATGTTGGCCAGGCTGGTCTCGAACTCCTGACCCCATGATTGACCCGCCTTGGCCTCCCAAAGCGCTGGGATTACAGGCGTTAGCCACTGCTCTCAGCCTTTTTTTTTTTTTTTTTTAAGTTCTGGGGTACATGTGTAGAATGTGCATGTTTGTTACATAGGTATACACGTGCCATGGTGGTTTGCTGCACCCATCAACCTGTTGTCTACATTAGGTATTTCTCCTAATGCTATCCCTCCCCTAGCCTCCCACCCCCGCTTTTTTTAAAAAAGAAATAGTTTTGCCACTCAAGTGTACTGGAGTTATCTGCTGTAGGGCCAAGCATACAGTAGATATTCCATAAATCTTTGGGTGTTTTTATGGTGAGAGGGCTTTGTACAGTATTAAACATGTCAACTAGTGCTCTTTAAATCTTTCCTAAACCATATTTTGTTATGAATCAGATTGTTAAATCTGTAGTCACTACAAAGACGATGTACCATGTTTAACTATTTAAGAAAACCATGTTTTATATGGATTCCCTAGTGAAACAATACCTTATGTAACCCAAAATGGTCATGGTTACATATATATAACATATGTTAAGTGGAGTGAATCAGCATATGTTAGGCACTGAGCTATGGGATGTTATGAATATATAAAGAGAAGGAAATTTTAGTTGTAACCTAATCCTTGTCTTTGAAGACTTAAAACTGATGTTGGGCTTCAGTTAACCACTCCCCACTCCAGAAAAATACGGCAAACTGTTAGATCACATTAGCTTAAATTATAGAGACAGAACTTAATGTGATTAGTAAATCCCACTGAGTTGATTGGGTTTCCAACTTGTGTTTTAGAATGGAGTTGAAAGTTGACGTGGTTGAAATGAGCTCACTTTTTGAAATTGACTTGCATCTCTAGGGCTTATAACTGGTCTTGGAAGGTATGGGTTAGGTGTATTCTGAAAGGAAGCAACTTATTATTTGGAAATCATTTTAGAGATGTGACAAGGAAAGATCAACATCTGAGAAAGACTAATAGGAAGGAAAGGCTGAACTGAGAGAATTTAAGGGCAAACAGAGGGGACCTGGGTGTCCACCTGTCAAAGATCAGAGGAGATTCTGAGACTAAAAAACTTACCGTGAGATTACCTAGCTAAGGACTTTATAGCCTCTTTGTAGTGTTTGTATTGTAAATGTGCTGAAATAAGTTGCTTGATGTCTCTTGCCTTTTGAGGAAAGGTAGGATCTACTCTTGAGGTGGACAATGGCTGAATTAAATGAAACTGAGCATGTGAGCATTCATTTGCCAGATAAGCACATCCCTAAGTGAATTTCTCTTCTTTCATACACAACAAAAGAACAAAACCTGAAATAAGTTAATAGCCATTGGCAGTGCTTAGAACTCAAAGTGAGCATTTCAGAAGATGAGCAGGCCCCAGAGTACACAGTATTTGGATGGATTTGATGAATATTTTGTTTGAAAACAAATCTTAACCTAAGCCTTTTGAAACTGGTAACATGAAAATGATTCTATCCTTATTCAGAGGCAGTATATTGCTGCACTTTGTATGCGTTGGGACCAGTTTAACAGATTCCTGTTAGAAGAGTAATAGATGTTACTATTTTTTGGTTTTTGGTTTTTGTTTGAGACAGAGTCTTGCTCTGTTGCTCAGGGTGGAGTGCATGATCTCAGCTCACTGCAACCTCCGCCTCCCAGGCTCAAGTGATTCTTCTGCCTCAGCCTCCCAAGTAGCTGGGACTACAGGCATGCGCCATCACACTTGGCTGATTTTTGTATTTTTTGGTAGAGACAGGGTTTCTACCTTGGCCTCCCAAAGTGCTGGGATTACAGGCGTGAGCCACTGTGCCCGGCCCAATGTTGTTATTTTAAGATATTCTTCAGATTTCCTTAGTTCCTTTATTGTATCATTCGCTTAATATCTACTTTAAATTTTAGCCTCGTGTCATAATTAAAGGAAGTAGTTTAACGAGGATTGTTAGCAGTTTTTGAGATACTCTGTTTCTAAATTTCTGTGTTGCTATACTTTTGTTTCTATTGTGAGTCTGTGGAAGAAATCCATGAACATGGAATCAGATTTAAAATAATTTTTTTCTTTAAAAATAACTTTAAAATGCCCCACTTATAAGATTTAAATGTGGGGAATACTTTAAATGACAGTATGATTCTTGTTGAATTCTTTGTGCTTTGGGATATCCTTCTGTAACCTCCTTTGTCATATACAATTTCAAGGTTCTACAAAGGGTGGCATTTCAGTTGGCTAAAGCTTGGTTTTGTGAAAACTATTGTTTGTTAAGAAAGTGGATTTAAAGCAAACTATAGTTCAAACAGGGAGACAAATATATGCAGGCAAGATGGAAGAGATGTCTAAGAAAATGTGTCTACAGTGTATCAGAGCGGTAGCAGAGCAGTTAGAATGTCTCCACAGATTTTTTTTTTTTTTTTTGAAACGGAGTCTTGCTCTGTTACCCAGGCTGGAGTGCAGTGGCGTGATCTCGGCTCAGTGCAACCTCCACCTCATGGGTTCAAGCGATTCTCCTGCCTCAGCTTCCCTAGTAGCTGGGATTACAGGTGCCTGCCACCACGCCCAGCTAATTTTTGTATTTTTTTTTTTTTTTAGTAGAGACGGGGTTTCACCATGCTGGCCAGGCTGGTCTCGAACTCCCGACCTCAGGCGATCCACCAGCCTCAGCCTCCCAAAGTGCTAGGATTACAGGTGTGAGCCACCACACCCGGCCGTCTTCACAGATTTAAACATGAACAAAAGGAAAAGAAATAGTATGCAGCTGTACAGACATACTACAGGAAAAAAAGACAAGGGTTGTGGGAAGGATGTAATTATGGTAAGCATAGCTGGAGCAAAGACTGTATAACCAACTCTGTTTTTTCTTTCCTTTTTTTTTTTTAAATTCTTTTTAAATTGATACAGGGTCCCGCTATGTTACCCAGTCTAGTCTTGAACTCCTGGGCTCAGGCAGTCCTCCTGTTTGGCCTCCCAAAGTGCTAGCCACTGCGCCTGGCTCCAACTCTTCTTTTTCTTGGAAAGGGAGCATCTAATTCAGCAGTCCCAACCTTTTTGCTGCCAGGGACTGGTTTTGTGGAAGTCAATTTTCCATAGACCTGGGGTCAGGAAAATGGTTTTTGGATGATTCAAGCACATTACATTTATTGTACACTTTATATTTTACAATGTAATAATAGAAATAAATAATTATACAACTCAACATAATGTAGAATCAGTGGGAGCCCTGAGCTTGTTTTCCTGCAGCTAGACAGTCTCATCTAGGGGTGATGGGAGACAGCGACAGATCATCAGGTATTAGATTATCATAAGGAGAGTGCAACCTAGATCCCTTGCTTGTGCAGTTTGCAGTAGGGTTTGTGCTATGAGAAGCTAATGCCGCTGCTGATCTGATGGGAGGCAGAACTCAGGCGGTAATGCAAGCAATGGGGAGTGGCTGTAAATACAGATGAAACTTCACTGGCTTGCCTGCTGCTCACTTCCTGCTGTCTGTGTGGCCCAGTTCCTAACAAGACATAGACCAGTACCGGCCTGGGGGTTTGGGACCCCTGATATAATTGTATCTTAAAGACTGTGGTAGAACCTAGCAGGCAAGAACTCTTAAGTTATGACATCAAAGCATTAAATTATTTGGATTAAGACTGGACAGAAAGCAATGCCTCGTAGTATCTGCAAAAGGGCAAAAGAGGAACTTAATGTAGGTATGAGAGATGCCAAAAATGTTTATAACAAGCAAGATAAAAATGGAGATTCATTATGGACAATTCATTGATAATAGAGAACTTATTTATACCTAACCTTGTTCCCGAAAGGTTATAAAATGTCTTACAGATGAATGTACAATAAAATATCGAATGTAATTAAAGATACATAGATAAGGACATCCATAGAGAAAATGAGAAAGGACTAGTAGTGTAGTTCACAAAATGTACCATTAGTTCTTGCATATTTTTTTAAGAACTTGACTTAAGTTTTCTAGCAGTCATCCTAAAGAGGAAAGATAATAATTTTTACATTGGCTATTAAAATTCAAACAAATAGTCACCGAGGATCTAAGATCAGAGAGAAGTTTATTGAAGGTCTTCATAAATGACATTATACTGTCCTCAGTAACTTCCTCGCAGTAAATATGTCAACAAGTTCTTAGGGCTTTTAACCATAAGGCTGATGGTTTAACTCAGAGACAATTCATTAAAAGTGATTCTATAGGAGTCCAAAATGATAGATTCCAGGTATTCAGACGGATAAAAAGTCATTGATAATCTCATGATATTTTTGTGAGTATGATGAGTAATAGGGTTTGGATAGGTTCTTGTTTGATTTTTATCTTTCCTAAACCTATTTTTCTGATTAGACCATCTTCAGTTTCTGAATTATAAAATCTGTAGGAGTTTTAAATAACAAAACCTTCAAGATAGGGTAGGGAATATTTTCATTTTATTGCCACTGACATCCTTTTGGGGGAAGTTAAGAATTCTTTTAAAAAATCCCCAATTGTATCAGAGTTATCAGACCAGTTCTCTTTGTCATATGAAGATTATTAAAACTCTTCCTTTTACCTGTTAATTACAAAATGAAGACACATATTAACATGCCTATTTTTTCTCTTAACAGCATATCTTTCTGAAGCCATGAAGCTGACACAGTCAGAGCAGGTGAGACATATTCCCAATATTTGCGACAAGGGTTAGAAAGGTTTTCTTGTGGAGGCTTGAATTGTGTGTAAAGCAAAGCATTGTGTCCCTCTCAAAATGCTATAGTCAAAAATATATAAAATGGGCAAGGGAAGAGCACTTCACAACGGAAATTAAAACTAAATGAACTGCAGTCGATGCCCCAGACATGGAATGCAGAAACTTCTTTTTTTCTAGTGGTTACTCACAGATCTCAGATTGCCAGCCAGATGTACCTTTTAGAGAGCCCTCTTCGGACCATTCCTAATCATTAGCTCTTATTTGATCATTAGCTTACAGTCAGTAAACAGGCCTGGCCAAGAGGAAACTAGTTGGACCACCCTTTGCTTGTCAAAGATAATTTAAATCTGACCAGTCTCCCACTTGTCTTTGCTTGAATTCTTAAGCAGTTCAGGCACTTTTAAATTTGTTTCACCAATTGCTTTAAATTGTCTTCTGTGTTTGGGGAGGCCCTGCCAAGTGTTTCAAGATACATTTATTCATAAGACTGGGCATGGTGGCCCATGCCTGTAATCCCAGCACTTTGGGAGGCCAAGGCAGGGGGATCACTTGAGCCCAGGAGTTCGAGACCAGCCTTGGCAACACAGTGAGACCCCATCTCTACAAAAACTTAAAAAATTAGCTGGGCGTGGTGGCACATGCCTGTAGTTCTAGCTACTTGGGAGGTTGAGGTGAGAGGATCACTGAACACCTGAGTCCAAGGCTGCAGTGAGCTATGACTGCGCCATTGCACTTCAGCCTCAGCAACAGGGACCCTGTCTCTAAAATAAATATATATAAAATATCTTTTTAAAAACTTTTTGTTATAAAAGTATTAGTTAAAGAGATCATTTCTGTGAGGTATATCAGTGGCAGGGAAAGCCACTAGTTTCTCAAACTGAACCAAGGGAACTTTAAAGTTGTGTTCTATCCCTTTCACTGCCTTTGAAAGTATAGAATCTGCTCATGATACAGGCATGCATTGAGTTATCCAAACACGCGGTTGATAGGAAGACTTTCTTTTTAGCTGTTGGTAGAATTAATATGTCTACAGAGGAAAGATTTCTAATTTTGAGTACAAATGACATTACACATGGGGTCAGGCACATTGAGGAAAACATCCAATTTAGTGTATTGATTGGGAATAGGACTTCTGACTTTCTGAATGGTATTTTTGCAAACATAGTAAATTGTAAATTGTAAGTGTTGGGTTATTCACAAAGGATTTTGAATAGTGTATGTTGGACATTACTAAGATACTTAAAATATTCTTCCAATTTTATCTTTCCTTCTATGTAATAGGCTCATCTTTCACTGGAATTGCAAAGGGATAGCCATATGAAACAGCTCCTCCTCATCCAAGAGAGATGGAAAAGGGCCCAGCGTGAAGAAAGATTGAAAGCCCAGCAGAACACAGACAAGGATGCAGCTGCCCATCTTCAGACATCTCACAAACCCTCTGCAGAGGATGCAGAGGGCCAGAGTCCCCTTTCTCAGAAGTACAGCCCTTCCACAGAGAAATGCCTGCCTGAGATTCAGGGGATCTTTGACAGGGATCCAGACACACTACTTTATTTACTTCAGCAAAAGAGTGAGCCAGCAGAGCCATGTATTGGAAGCAAAGCCCCAAAAGATGATAAAACAATTATAGAGGAGCAGGCAACCAAAATTGCAGATTTGAAGAGGCATGTGGAATTCCTTGTGGCTGAGAATGAAAGATTAAGGAAAGAAAATAAACAACTAAAGGCTGAAAAGGCCAGACTTCTAAAAGGTCCAATAGAAAAGGAGCTGGATGTAGATGCTGATTTTGTAGAAACGTCAGAGTTATGGAGCTTGCCACCACATGCAGAAACTGCTACAGCCTCCTCAACCTGGCAGAAGTTCGCAGCAAATACTGGGAAAGCCAAGGACATTCCAATCCCCAATCTTCCTCCCTTGGATTTTCCATCTCCAGAACTTCCTCTTATGGAGCTCTCTGAGGATATTCTGAAAGGATTTATGAATAATTAAAATGGAAGGCCACAGAAAAGGGGAAAAGAGGAAATAATACAGTAATCGTTAATCCAGCAAAAAGAAATGAAAAGGGAAAACCACATAGAAGGGTAATCCCGGAAATGCTTCATCTGGTGGACTGTGGGAGCAGAGGCATTGCCAGGACTTGGGAAACAGTCACTGTGAAATGCGCTGCGTATCTCATTCACTCACTTCAGCTAATGATTCCGACTTGGCAGACGCTAAACTCATGGAGGTTCGGTTTCTCCTGATACAAACCAAATGGCTACCTGGAAGAATTTCTTTCAAGCAACAGTTATTTTTCTTATCTTCAGGGTTAAAATGTATAAAAGTTATGTGTAATTAATCTATAATGCCATAAATGATAATGCAAAACCTAAATAATATGGTGGCCGGAGGGGCTGCCTTATATTTGAAACATGCTTTCTATCATGCATTGACTGTATGCATTTTGTTAATGCACATTCTGTTTGTTTAAGGTGTGTAAGATACACACCCTTCTAGATGAAACTATATGTGCCACACTTTGCACTACTCATAATGATAACCTCAAGACTATCAGAAGAAATATTTAAATTTCCATTTTATGAAGAAAGGAACCAAATTATTATGCTTTTTAAAACAAATTACCAGTTTACATAATTAATCAGGGTGCATTTTAAGTTCTAACTTCGTTTATTGTATAATGCATCATTTGAAAATACCAAGGAGGAAATACCCTTTGTTTTTAATGATGCAAGAGTGGACGTAATGCTAGTTGGCAGTATTTTATTGTAAGAAATCAATAAAGTAATTGTGTTTTATACCTTTGTTGAACGTGGTTGATAGTTAAAAAGCAAGGCACTGAGTGGCTTCTCTGTGCGTTGTAAACTTTGAATTTGAACAGATGCGGTTAGATGATTACTTTTGTGTGTCAAGGATTTTTTTTTTCTTTCAGTGTTTTGTAGTCCATTTCCCTTACAACTAGGGTGACAGAGAGTACAGAAGTTCCTGAGGTTTAAATGTATTGTTTCCAACCTTTTTCCTGACCACCACATGGAAAATGCTCAGGGCTGCTCTAGGCTGGAGGCAGCTGTCCCTTGGGCACCTGCCACCCTGTCAGAGCATAGTGTGGGGAAGTGCTGCTTTGGATTCTCTCTACCAAGCTGGATGATGTTCCATGAGAAGGAAGGGGAAGAGGAGAATATAAGCAAAACATTTGGGTGCAAGCTACTGGGCATGTTTAAAGCTTGGATTTGCTGTGTGGAATTACAGAAGTGAGAAAAATATATTGCCTTCTCTGAGGACAATTGGGTTGAGGAAGTTGGGTTAGGCTCACAAATCCAGTGACGAAACTAGTAGAAATAGGGCCAGGCGTGGTGGCTTATACCTGTAATCCCAACACTTTGGGAGGCTGAGGTGGGAGGGTCGCTTGAGCCCAAGAGTTTGCGACCACCCTGGGCAACATAGTGAGACCCTGTCTCTACCCAGAAAAACTTTAGCTGGGTGCAGTGATGGCGCGCCTGTAGTTGTGGTTACTCCAGAGGCAGAGGTGGGAGGATGACTCGAGCCTGGGAGGTTGAGGCTGCAGTGAGCTCTCATCACACCACTGCATTCCAACCTGGACACCAGAGTGAGATTCTGTCTCAAAAAAAGCAGAAGTGACCATGGAGAAATCATATTTTTTCCTGTCTCATCTTGCTGCAGATGAAACCAAAAATAAACTAGCCTGCCAAATTGTCTTGAGTTCTATACTTTCTTAAAAGTTACATTAATTTGCTGGGCACAGTGGCTCACGCTTGTAATCCCAGCACTTTGGGAGACTGAGGCAGGCGGATCACCTGAGGTCTGAAGTTCGAGACCAGCCTGATAAATATGGCAAAACCCTGTCTCTTACTAACAATACAAAGATTAGCCGAGTGTGGTGGCATGGGCCTGTAGTCCCAGCTACTTAGGAGGCTGAGCAGGAGAATCACTTGAACCCAGGAGGCAGAGGTTGCAGTGAGCTGAGATTGTGCCACTGCACTCCAGCCTGGGCAACAGAGCTGGACTCTGTCTAAAAAAAAAATATATATATATTAATTTGTTTATCTCAGTGTTGTTGTTTTTTTTATTATTTTTTCTGTTTGGTTGACTAGAATTTCTGTTCTGCTAAATATCTCAGTGTTTTAATATCCTAGACTCGACATTTTACTTGCCTAACCTTGCTCATAAAACTTGACATTTAAAAGCTTGTGCCAAAAATAGTCATGTGTTGCTTAACAAGGATGTGTTCTGAGGAATGTGTTGTTAGGTGATTTTTTCATGTGAGCATCCTAAAGTGGACTTACACAAACCTAGAAGGCAGAGCCGACTCCACACCTAGGCTGTATAGTCTTGCTCCTGGGCTACAAACCTTTACAGCATGGGACTGTACTGGCTAGGCAGTTGTAACACAATGGCATTTGTATATCTAAATATAAAGGTATGGTCTTATAATCTGTCATGTGGCCCATCATTGGCTGAAATTTTATATGGCACATGACTCTATTAGCCTAGCCATTTCTCTCTAAAAGATGAGCTCTGTTAGAGGTACCACTGTACCTCTGCTACTTTCTGCTTCCCAAGGAGGCATTGGAGACTAGGATATTGTGATTTATAAGAAGAAATAAATATTTTGCTGTTTGTCTCTGGTTCCTGGCACAGAGCTCCCAAGTCTGTAATTTCCTGGCTGGTAGGAACTTTTGTTCTAATGTGATGACTCTCAGTGGGCCCCTGGATAGGGATTGGACACAAGAGAGACCAGCATGATTAGAAGCTTAAAACTTTCAGCCCCATGCCCCATCCTTTGGAAGGGGAGAGAGGCTGCAGATTGAGTTACAATTGATTATGCCCATATGATTAAGTCTCCATAAAAATCCCTGAACTACAGGATCCTGAGAGCGTCCGTGTTACGGAACATGTGGAGCTGGTGTGCCCTGAGAGGACACAGAAGCCCCGTGTCCCTGCCCCATGTCTGTCTCCCATCTAGCTGTTCTGATAAGTACTTTCATAATAAATGGTTAAATGTAAATAAGATGTTTCCCTAAGCCATTCTAGCAAAGGATTGAATCCAAAAGTGTGAGGCAGCAGTGGGGAGTGTTGTGGGAACCTCTGATTTGCAACTGGTTGGTCAGAATACCAGGTTGAACCGGGGATTTGTGGTTGGGTCTGAATTAAGGGTAGTCTTGTGGGACTGAGCCCATAACCTCCAGGTAGGTAGAGTCAGAGTTGAGTTAATTTTGCAAGATCACCTACCAGAGAATTGATGTGTGGGAAAAAAAAAAAAAAAGCTCACATCCGGTGCTGGAAGTGAAGTACTGAGAGTGGAGAGAAAAAAAGTGTTGCTTTTTCATTTTTTTTTTTAAGATCATTTTATTTTTTGAGATGGTCTCACTGTTGCCCAGGCTGAAGTACAGTGGATCAATCATGGTTCACTGCAGCCTTGATCCTCCCGGGCTCAAGGGATCTTCCTACCTCAGCCTCCCAAGTACCAAGGACTACAGGTGTGCCACCACACCTGATTTTTTAATTTTTTGTAGAGACGGAATTTCACTATGTTGCCCAGGCTGGTCTTGAACTCCTGGCCTGAAGTGATCCTCCTGCCTCAACCTCCAAAAGTGCTGGGATTACAGGCGTGAGCTACCACGACTGGCCTGGTTTTTCTTTATTCAGAGACCATCTGGTGAGACTTGAGTTTGTCTTTACACTCAACAGAAAAAAACTTCATGTCCATTTTTAATGATAACCCTTCATTTGTGAGCAGTTGTGGTTAGAATCTTGTTTGAAAATGACTAAGATGGATGCTTGTGTGAGGCAGCCTGCCACAGGGTGTTTATAACCTATTTGAAGAGTCAGGGTGTAAACTAATAGTAGCTATTATTTATTGATTCATTCTAGATCATAGGTTATGTGAAGATTAAAAGTGTTTAATTTTAGTATCATTATATTGTGTCATAATCCCAGTGTAGCCTAATCAAAGATCTCTGGGAGTGGATGGCGTGACTGTTTAAAAAAGTAAAGGGCATCCTCAGATTATTTGTTGTTTCCCAGGTGCAATCTTGTCCTTTTACCAGCTACTGCTAACCAACACTGCCATCTGGTGGACAGTAAGAAACTTCTGGTTCTTGTTGGGTCCATTAGCCAGGAAGGGTATTATGGTGTCCAGACTCAAGGCTAGGCCCTGCCAATGACTGACATGGAAAAATGAATCTGTTGGGGTCTTACTTGACTTCCTGTCTGGAACAGATATGGAAAACCAATTCAAAAAGAGTCTTTAAGAAGCCTGGGCCAGGTTAGTGCAGGCAGGGACTGTAGTCTTGCATACTAGTTTCCTGTCTGATAAGACCTTTCAGGTTTTGCTGCCTGGGTTTAATCTCAAGAAGGTTGACCCTCAATGGGCCTGGAAGTGCCTGGAGGTTAGGTTGAAAGCTATCATTAGCAAGACTTCGTCTAGCTTGGGAGAAGGGTTTACTGATCTGGAGAATTTGGCAGCCAAAGCAGGCCTGAAACAATACCAATTTCTTTAGAAAAGAATCAACTTGATGTTTGCTCAGGACCTGGGAAGGAGGTGTGGTGGGCCACAAAGAGTTAACCAAGTCTGGACGCAGTGGCTTACACCTGTAATCCCAGCACTTTGGGAGGCCGAGGCGGGTGGATCATTTGAGGTCAGGAGTTCAAAACCAGCCTGGCCAACATGGTGAAACCCCATCTCTACTAGAAATACAAAAATTAGCCAGGCAGTAGTGGTGGGCACCTGTAATCCCAGCTACTCAGGAGGCTGAGGCAGGAGAATCGCTTCAGCCTGGGAAGCGGAGGTTGCAGTGAGCTGACATCACACCACTGCACACCAGCCTGGGCGACAGAGTGAGACACTGTCTCAAAAAAAAAAAAAAAAAAAGTCCTTAGTTGGATGCTAGTAAATGTCTCATAGTAAGAGCAGTTTATAAACATCTTGCCTTATGCTACTAAAAATACAAAGTAGCTGGTATACTTTTCACCTTCAGGAAAGTATCTGGGATCAAAGAATGGGGAAATGACTTTCTAGGTATTTCTTTTTTTTTTCTTTTTTTAGACGGAGTCTAGCTCTGTTGCCCAGGCTGGAGTGCAGTGGTACAATCTCAGCTCACCACAACCTCCGCCTGCCGGGTTCAAGCGATTCTCCTGCCTCAGCCTCCCAAGTAGCTGGGACTACAGGCATGCGCCACCACACCCAGCTAATTTTTGTATTTTTAGGAGAGGCGGGATTTCACTATGTTGGCCAGGCTGGTCTCGAACTCCTGACCTCGTGATCCACCCGCTTCAGCCTCCCAAAGTGCTGGAATTACAAGCGTGAGCCACTGCGCCTGGCTGTATTTCTAGAACAGCAGGAACAAAGGCATGGAATTAAGGGAGGTGAGTAATCTTGGTCAGAATCATATCATAGTAGGACAATATGAGATGAAATTTGAGGGAGGCTCAAGTGGATTAGCTTTTTATTTCCTAAAGGTGAAGGGGCCAGGATCAGGTTCCAGACTTGAGGAATGGAAAATATTTGGAATAGGCCCTCAGAGTTAGGGCCGAAAGAATCCAAGTGAAGGCGAGTTTAGTTTTTGCGTTCTTAGTCTGTTTCTCTAATGTGGGCACACTACATTAGAAAAAAAGTGGGAGGGGTAGTCCAGATATGACAGAAGGATAAACGGTGAAGGAATCAAGAATACAAATGAGAATGTCTTTAAAGTTGCTAAACACAGATTCCAGGATGTACAGGAAGACAAAGGAGACAGGTTAATTAGGGAGTGGGATAGGGCTGAGGGACCAAAGCCTCCTAAGTAAGTGATGCCCAAAGGTAGTTTCCAGAAAGAGGAAAGGGAGTTTGTCATCTGAGAGAGGGACTCTTGATTTGGTTGATTAGAAGAACCAAACAACGATTAGCCCTAGGCTTCCTCCATGGAAATTCCCTAAAGAAAAGTCTTGCTATTCAGAGTGTTATTAAGTCCCAGGGTCTTCATTGCCACTAATAGATCTTTTTGGAGGGACTGATATCAGATATTTCCCTATTCTTAGGAGGAGATGGCTGTTCAGGGAAGGCCAGATGTTAACAGAAGAAACAGAAGGATATTAAACATGCCATTAAGCTGGTGACTGGAAAAGAAAAAAAAAGTTAAACATTGCCACAAAATCCTTTGGTTTCAGTGTTAAAACTAAATAAACCTCTATGGAGGCAGCAAGATGTTAAATGGGGCAAGAGGGTCATAGACCAGTTTTCATCCTTAGGTAATTTTCATTTATTTGAAATACCCACACTTTGGGCATTGTGGTAAATTCCAGAAGGGCACTTGTCTTGGTCTTTAAATTTGGTTGAATACAGTACTTGAGGTATTGGTTGGATTTTTGAAAGGTAGCCTCATTTATTGAAAGGCTGGCAACGATAAATAGGCTCACGATTCAAAATGGAGCGATACAGACTTACATTGCTTGTCCATGGTTCTGTGATGATAAATCTGTATGTGGGACTATGAAGCTATTAGAAATGTTCAGTTTAAGTGTTTGACATATTGATATGCTGACAGAAAAAACGGTATGCCAATTTTTATGTAATGATCTATGCTCTGTAGAGTGGAATACATAGAAAAGATTTGTCAGAAGTAAGCCAATAACCGTGATCGCCTCTGGGTGGGTAAATTACAGGTGTCCCCTCTCCAGGTACCCTCCCTTCCCCCCATTCCTTACACTTCTTAGTCCTCACATTATCTTGATAAGTTTGGGAAAAAAATAGATAAAACCCGTGAGGTTTTTAAGAATCAGAAACAATTTGAGCTCAAATCAATTAGTGGTCACCCCTGTATACCTTTTAAATAAACCCCTCTAATAGTTGACAGTAGTGGCTTCTGGCTCACTGGGTATCACAGAAAACTTTAGCTTAACTTAGTTTAAACATTAGGAACACAAAATTAGGTGACTATGAGAATTTTCCAGTTGACCAAAATTTTTTCAACTGACTTGAAAAATCCAGCCACCTGCTAAAGGTTGGAAAGACATGACTGGAATACTTAGCTGGACTCCTAACTCAGGTTGCATACAGGAAAGCAGACTACAGTGGCCCAGGGATGAGCAGCAATTTTCTAGGACTAAGTAATTTCTGGAGCTTGTACATTTAGAACACATTTACAACAATTTGTCATGGGACTCAATCTAAAGGGGCTAAATTGCTACTTTTATTTATCCTCTGGGAGGGAATGTGAGAAATAATGGATCAAGTCACATGATACCAATTCAACAGATATGCCAAATCCTTAATGTTCTAGAATGGGTTTCTGAAATCCTATGATTTCATTGGTTTTAGAAAGCTTTGATTCGAAGAATCTTTTGGTGTACAAGTTAATTCAGCTGTAAGTTAGTTTTGAACATGTAAATTTCTTCCAACATAATATATTGTTTGCTTAGTGGGCAATTCATTCTGCAAGAAAATGAACGCAGAAAACTGCACCTCTTGAACCAAGCTGCAGGGAAACACATAAAGCACATACACACACCTCCAATAGATACCAGCTAACTTCTTTCAGTGACATTGAACTACACCCATCCATACTCCCTTTCCCTCTGATTCTAGATAGCCCACCTTCCAGATAACCCACCTTCTTTTCCCTCTATTCCAGATAGCCCTTCATTTCACAGGAAGTCAAATCACAAACCACAACCCTTCTGAGGCCCATTTCAAGTCGTCTTCAAGGTAAAGTGCCATATTTGTTTGTAGTGCTTATATATTTCTTAAATGTTTAACATGTGTAAACCCACTGTTTTTAAATGTGTCACTGGTGAAGTTTTAAAGTGCTATGCCCTAATACCATTTTTCATATAAGCCCTGTGGTTTGTATTTGTGGGACTTTTCATAGTGTAGTGATTTTTAGAAACTAAAATGGAATTCAGTTTCCTAAAAGGTTGTATAGGCTGGCCTTTTTCCTTTCTGTATGAAATGTTTGCTTAATAAAATATTTTGTTGTTCAACATAATTTGTTTCTGCAAAACAGGAGTAAATTCTAGTTATTCAAAAATTTTGGGGACGAGTCCCCACATACGGATTACCCACTCCCAAATAAATTAGGGGATAAAATAAATATATTAGGTTGGCTATAAAATGTTTTTTTGTTTGTTTTGGGAGGCGGGGTCTGGCTGTGTCACCCATGCTAGAGTACAGTGGTGTGATCTTGGGCTCACTGCAACCTCTGTCTCTTGGGTTCGAGCTATTCTCCTGCCTCAGACTCCAGAGTAGCTGGGATTACAGGCATGCACCAATACACCCAGCTAATTTTTGTATTTTTAGTAGAGACGGGGTTTCACCATGTTGCCCAGCCTGGTCTCGAACTCCTGACCTCAAGTAATCTGCCGGCCTCAGCCTCTCAAAGTGCTAGGATTACAGGCATGAACCATCATGCCCGGCCTCAGTTCACTGATTAAGAAAAACGCCTCAGGCTACCACAGTATCTTCTAGATGTTTAATGTGAAAATAATGTGATTGTATTTTATCTATAGAATGGGAGAGATGAGACTACATTGACTTGCCTATGACATCCTGGTAGTTGTTTACTGGACATCTATGATAGGAATTTGTCTATTTGACATTCACCTCTTATAAAGGCCATTCCAAGAAGCAGCTCCTTCCCTGCTGCCCTTCTAGAACAAGAAATGAAGAGTGAATGACTTTGTAAATCTCTCTTGAAAAGTGTATAGAAGTCTCAGTGAATGTGTTTATAAAAAAGGGCCAAACGGAGATCTAAATATGTACACATTTGCTGTCCTTTTTGTTACTTGAAGGGTTGTGCAAATACTACCTTTCTGAAGCCTTCCCTAACCCCAGGCAAAATTTATTACAGCTTTTCCAAATACTTTGTATATACCTGTTATATAATATTTAGCATAGATGGGCCAATCCTCAGCATCTTTTTTAAAATTTTTTAACCATCACATCACCAATGCCTGCCTAACACTTTTGAATAAGTTGTAAATACAAGTTTATTTTTTGTTTTGAGACAGAGTCTTGCTCTGTCTCCCAGGCTGGAGTGCAGTGGCACAATCTCGACTCACTGCAACCTCCGCCTCCCGGGTTCAAGCAATTCTCCTGCCTAAGCCCCCTGAGTAGCTGGGATTACACGCCTGCACCACCACACCCAGCTAATTTTTTGTATTTTTAGTAGAGATGGGGTTTCACCATGTTGGTAAGGCTGGTCTCGAACTTCTGACCTCAGGTGATCCATCCGCCTCAGCCTCCCAAAGTGCTGGGATTACAGGCGTGGGCCACCGCACGTGGCCCAAGATAGTTCTACCTTACACTTACGTAGGGCATGGCATGTGTGGCTGGAAACAGTGATCCCTGAGTCTTTATCTTGAACTTCTTCCACTTACTAAAGCAAACCTGTATCACCTACCTTGAACCGTTGTTTCCATATTCCACAGTAGCCCCACCTGTCAGTTACCATCCTTACTATGCTGCCAGAGGACCACACTCGCTCTCCTTGGGAAAGCAGTCAGTTCGCATCTCATCTTATACTTCCTTCTCATTTTTTTTTTCTATTTTTTTGAGAAAGTCTTGCTCTGTCGCCCAGGCTGGAGTGCAGTGGCACGGTCTTGGCTCACTGCAACCTCTGCCTCCCAGATTCAAGCAATTCTGGTGCCTCAGTCTACAGAGTAGCTGGGACTACAGGCCTGTGCCACCAGGCCCAGCTGATTTTTATATTTTTAGTAGAGAAGGGGTTTCACCATGTTGGCCAGGCTGGTCTCAAACTTCTGGCCTCGTGATCTGCCCACCTTGGCCTCCCAAAGTGTATTTGTTTACTCATCCAGCTCTCCACATCTTTTATCATCTGCAAAATTTGGGTCAAAGACTAAGGGGTGGTGAGGTGGTGTTGGCTTCTGTACCCATAATGCCCTTCCTCTCAAAGTGGAGTCCATTTGACCCACCCATACAACACAGGTCCTTGGTATACCCTCCGCTGGCCCCAGGGCTGAGGTCTTTTTCACAGACAAGACACAGAAGGACAATCCTGTTTTAGCTATAGCCAGTTGTGAAAACCTCCCCAGCCAAGAAAGGGAACTAACTTACAAGGCATGCAGCCAGTGACCTGGAGCCTGCCAACATTTCATTGTCACTTAAAAGTCAATTAATTGTCATTAAAAGAACCAGGCTGATTACTGTGGGAGCCAAAGTACTTCACATACTACTCACATTTGCTATATTTTTATACGGTTTCAAAGCATATCTATCTAGGTTTACATAGTAATTGCATAACCAGGCCATGTCATAACTTTTGCAGTTGGAAAGGTCTGAGTCTGCATCCTGGTGACAGGCCTGGCAGCATACATAACCTTGTGTCTTGGCCAACTTGTTATCCCAATTCATACTGAATACTGTATTGAATACAGAATGATAACTAGCTGGGCGTGGTGTCCCACGCTTGTAATCCCAGCACTCTGGATGGCCAAGGTGGGCGGATCACCTGAGGTCAGGAGTTCAAGACCAGCCTTGGCCAACATGGTGAAACCCTATCCCCACTAAAAATACAAAAATTAGCTGGGCATGGTGGTGTGGGCCTGTAACTTCACCTACTTGGGAGGCTGAGGCAGGAGAATCACTTGAATCTGGGAGGCAGAGGTTGCAGGGAGCCGAGATGGTGCCACTGCACTCCAGCCTGGATGACAACAGCAAATTAGCAAACTCCGTATCAAAAACAAAAACAAAAACAAAAAACAAAAAAACCATTATATAGAATAACTAAATCACTTTTTCCTCTCCCATGGCTGACTGCTGATCTCATTTGTGAGAGCATCTTTAATAGGCTGGCATCTAGAAACAGAACATGTTGTATCAATCTATCTATGGTATACATGCACAGAGCAAAGTAAAGGTATGACAGCACTTTTCTGAAGCTTATTAATTTTACCCAGATGTTATTAAATCCATAACCCATCTACCAAGAAGGGAAGTGACAGAAAACCAGACACTGATTCGTCTGGGTATTACAGTCCCCAGATGCATGGCAGAAATGAATTTGAATGCACGTATTGATTATTCATGAAAAATCCATATTCCAGTAAAAACATTATCAATTAGGGCCAGGTGTGGTGGCTTACACTTGTAATCCCAGCACTTTGGGAGGCTGAGGTGGGAAGATCACTTGAGCTCAGGAGAGACCAGCCTTGGTAACGTAGTGAGAGAGACCTCATCTCTTCTAAATAAATAAATAAATAAATAAATAAAATAAATAAATAAATAACATTTTAAAAATCACGCCTCTAATCCCAGCACTTTGAGAGGCTGAGACTGGCAGATCATCAGGTAAGGAGTTCGAGACCAGCCTCGCCAACGTAGTGAAACCCCATCATCTCTATGAAAAATAGAAAAATTAGCCAAGTGTGGTGGCATGCACCTGTAGTCCCAGCTACTCCGGAGTCTGAGGCAGGAGAATCACTTGAACCTGGGAGGCGGAAGTTGCAGTGAGCCAAGATCACGCCATTGCACTCCAGCCTGGGTGACAGAGTGAAACTCAGTCTCCAAAAGAAAAAAAAATTAGCTGAGCACAGTGATGCGTGCCTATAGTCCCAGCTACTCGGGAGGTTGAGGCAGGAGGATCACCTGAGCCCAGGAGTTCAAGGCTACAGTGAGCTATGATTGCACCACTGCACTGCAGCCTGGGCAACAGAGCGAGAGTGTCTCAAAAAACATTATACACTAGAATGGGAAAGAACTAAAGTAAAGTATTCACCACGACTTTCCCTTTATAAAGGCTCTTTGTTGTTTCTCAAATTATTGTACACATTTAAGATAACACCATACCACCGTCTGGAGGGAGCTGACATACTCAGACATACTCCTGAGGCGCATCAGACCCAACCAAAAGGATGGAGAGAAAAAGGCCAGAGGAACTGCTCCAGTGATTAGGGAGTAATCAGCAATCAATCAACTCCCCAGCCTTCCAAAAAGCTTACAAATGTCATTAAGGATGTAAGCATTATGGTCCTCTCTCTTCACCCCAGATTTACAAGGAATTAATTAGGTCAGCAGCATGGAATTCAGACTATGGATACAATATTCTTCAGACTACGGATAGAATACTGTCATTAAGGTGGGTTTGCACTGAAACAAGCCACATTACCTGGCTTTATCTTCGTTAGCTTCAGCTATTCAGAATAAGTTGTAAATATGGTTAAAAGGTGGCTCATGCAAGAGCAAGAGAAGCAAAAGGTTTTGAGGAAAAACAATCACCACAGACTTTGGGATCCTGGCAGGCTTTAGGGGACCAGCAGGTGGTACTCTACTCCAGAATTAACACCTTGGCTTTCACTTAATTTTACATCAAAATTAAATCAGATGGAACATATGAAAGCATTAGACAAAAGCCACTTTATCAGCTGAGGCACATTTGGAAAAATGGTATTTAAAAAAGTCAAAAGCTCACCAAAGAAGGTTCACAAAATCATCTGAAATATTCCTCAGGCCAATTTTTCTTTCTAGCCAAGTAGTCATTATCCATCCCATGATAAGTATAGGTAATTAATGTGAAATGCCACATGTAGGTAATTCACATGAAATGTAATTGCTCACATTCCTGGCTGAACCTTGCCTGAAGTGGAGGGTGTTGTAACAGATTACATGGAGCTAAACGATGGTGACATAAGGAAAAACAGTATAAACTAAGCAACTTGCAAGGTGTCACAACTTGGACTCCCACTTTTTTCTTTTAAGCTGAATGCTTTCAGTTGAGAAGAAAGGCTATCCTCTCAATATCCTGCAGGTGTCAGTGGAGAGCTACATCTTTCCAGTAACTTAAAGGGTTGGGAATATGTCAGCCTTAACCAACCGACAATAGCAGCCAGCTATTAAAACCAAGACTTCAAATTAATTAAAATAACTTTCTAAGGTCATACAGTAAGTGGCAGAACTCATATTTATACCCAGGATGACTGACTTCGGGCTCTTCTCTGCCCCCAGTGTCATGCTTGTCAACAGAGGGAGTACTCTGGAAAAAGTCAATTTTTGATAAAGTCCTTTTAATGGAAAATGTAAAACCCCTTTCAACTTTAATGTACAAAGCCATATGTAACACTTGCACTTTAACAAAAGCAAGCCAATGTTTTAAAAAAATACATCATTAAATGTATATATGTATATATTTACATAGCATATTAAGTTTAATATTTAGCTTTAAAAGTTCACATAAATTTTACCAAAATGAGACAATTTTAAATAAATTACACCTTTTGAAAATGTTTAATTGTACAGTCAATAGCTTCAACAAAATATTGAAGTGTCTGTATTTAGTATCTACTTTATATACTTTATACTTTACAAATTTTACAATTATTTGGCAGTAATTTTCTGATTATGACATGACTGCTGTGCGATTCAGCAATTTCCCAGATGCAGGCAATAGCTGGTGTTTGTGTCCTATTCTCACAGTAACTGTCTCAATGTAGTGAAAAATATCAGTAATTTTAGTAAACTGTACAAGGTCACATTTACACTTGATCAACAATATAGCATAGAATTTTTTATTTTTTACCAAAAATAAATACATCATTTTAAATCTGGCATTTTCACAAACATCATATACACTATAATACAAAACAGCTATATAGTGCTGCTTTTAAAATTCTGCTTGTTTTATAACATTGAATCACAGGAGCTGTGACATATGCTATACTGCTGTGGTGTCAGTAACAAGTAATTACTACAAAGAGAATTTCTTGGCACTGATGGTTTTATGAAGCTTAAAGTCAGTGTGCATACATATCATCATTCAAGGTTAAGTAATCCCAGTTCAACAACCTAAAAATATCAAACTGGATCACACTTAATTTTCTTCCATATCCTCTACTTCATCCTCGTGTATCTTCAAGGCTCTCACCATTTCTTTGACTGCATGATACAAAATATTTTTAACCTGAAAGAGATGTTGATATTTCTAATCACTTCAGTTCGACAGAAATTAATTAAAAAATGACAACTTCCAGATTTAAAAAAATAATAGGGAACTAGGAAAGCCAAATATAAGAAAAATGTTTGAAAGTGTTAAGCCAAAAGGGACACTATAAATCATACAATTAAATACATGTTGGTGTTAATCTTTGGTTGTCACCCTAATGTGACCAACTAGGCAATGACTGCCTAAGCTGTTATACATGTATCATATTTCTGAATATAAAAAGCCTGAAGAACAGGACCTAGAACACCCAACTCTTACCTGTAGTTTATCATCATAATTGATTTCTTCCTTCAAAAGTCTCAGTTCCTGTGTTAAATGAAATGACTCTACAAGATGTTCTGGAGACACAAAATCTTCAGTTACCTGAATACAGCTGTGAAAATTCTGAACCTATCCCCAAAAGAAAAACCGTGAAATACAAGTTTTAGGAGGTGGAGCAAAGAAAAGCCAAGTTATTTAAAACCAATAAACACAAGAGACAATTCTGCTGGAGAATTTACTTTCTCCAAAACATCAAATGGATTTTAAAGCAGAAGACCACATTTTATGAGAAAGTTATGTCACTGAAAAGCTTCATGTAAAGTGACTTTGTAAATGGAATATTTTTAAATGATAAAAAGAAAATAACTTTTCCAGGAATCCTTTGGAGAGGCTGATAACCAGATATTAAATTATCAATTTTGCCAAAGTGGACTTTTAAAAAATGTGTTACTTTTAAAAACTAACTTGAAAGAATTTATGAGGCAATCTATCTGAGTATGTTTATTGTTGCTCCATTGGCTTTCAGGATTTTGGTCATTTCACTGTTAACTCTTACATCAGAGAATAAAGAAAAGAAAATGAAACTTTGTTAGGAACTGGGATGGAAAATGTAGTCCCAGACAGATCTACTGACCTCGACTGAGTTTCAGAAATATCCCAGGATTTTGGTTATTCATGCCTTTCTTTTGTGACTTTCTTTCAAATTAGCCAATTAAAGATACCCCTTCAATCACCGGTGACATCAGTACAACAGTTTTTCAACAGTTTTCTCTCTCCTGACCAAACAGTTTTCCCAAGAAGCCAGTCAATAGTCTTATCTGTTATTTGTTCAGCATTTACAAACTGACTTTGCACTTGACTATTAGAGCTGCTTTCTATTAATGCCAGTAAAACAACAGAGGAAGGCCCAAGCTGATCCAATCTGGGATTTGTGGTGTTTCTAGATTGTCTTCTAGTGATATTAAAAAACATCATAAAAATTCCTGGGAAAGGAGAAATAATTGAAAAACTAAGCATTTAAAGTTACTCTAAGTATGCAAAATAAATTTAATTGGGAGGAGTGAGATGAAAGAGATAGTAAGTGGGAAATGGAGACTGTGGGGAAAAAAAATCTAATTGATGATAGGGTGATGGAATTCCAGAGGGGCTAGAATTCCTCCTCTGGGCATAATGACCACCTGAACAGCTGCTGAAGTCTGCAGAGTTCTTTAACTCAAGCACTGTGCCTCTATTGATAACTTGGTAGCATAGTAAAGTAAACATTCTCTTTCTTTAATCATTAGGCTGTTGGTTCCTCTGGAGGATGAACATAGTGGATGCCTCACATTTTCAGCATTTCTGTACAGTCTCACTGGCTCTTCATAATGTGTCTGTAGAACAGATGCTCTATTTCACAGAGCAGGAAACTATGGATGAGATGTTCAGCGCCTGTCCCAAGACAAATCAGCCAATAAATGGCAAGTCAACAGGAGCCCAACTCCTGCGGTGTCTTGTCTAACAGATGCTTTACAGTCCTGCTTATTAACTCTCATACCAGCATACAGAGTCTCCAAATGCCCTCTCTCCTTATGTCTTTCATTTATCTGAACTTAAGGAGAGTAAGTCTTTCCAAAGTTTTAGCATGAAAGAACTTTTGGTATATCTAGCTCTAGCATGTCCTAAAATCATTTGTAGCTCCAAAATGTATACTTGGTTCTTTTTTTATATAATTTATTGATATTCTCACTTTGTTCATCCATCGTTTTCCTGATTTCTGCTGGCTCTTTGAGCATATTTAAGACAGTTGTCTAGTAGTAAGTCCAATGTCTGGGCTTCCCGGGGAAGGTTTTTGCCAATTTATTTTCTCCCTTTGAATGGGCCATACTTTCCTCTTTCTGTGTATGCCTTATACCTTTCTGTTGAAAACTGGGCATCTGAACATTACAATGGGTAATCATATTCTCTCCCTGCCTCAGGGTTTGCTGTTGTTGATTCCTGAGGGCTCCAGTCATCCATTTGTTTAGTGACTTTTCCAAACTGTTTTTGCAAAGGCAGTATTCCTTGTTGGGTGTGGTCACTGAAGTCTCTGTTCCACTATCTCACTGGTCAGCCAGTTACCTAACAGAGATTTCCTTAAATGCCAAAAATCAGCTGCCCTTTTCTTCATTAAGCAGTCTCTTGGTTGCTGTTGTAAGTTTTCAATTAGATTCCAGAGTTCTGAAAAAGTTCATTCTGTCAGTCTTTGCCAGCTTATGGTTGTTTTAAAATGACTTTTAGAACAGTAACCTTTATTAGTGCTTACAAGATGCTATTAGGTTTCCTAATGACCCCTACCTGATATATTTTGGATAAAGGCTTGAGGGTTACTTTGAAGAGCCAAGGTTCAGTTTTAAAGCAGAACACAACTCAGCTTCTCATTCTGATTATCCCTTTTCTTTGCCACATTTGACTCATTTATATTTCACTTCCTTGACATTGTCTTATTCATACTTGCCTAAAAGCATCAGTTATAATTATAAATAGGTAATGTTAAGAAAATATAATTTGTATTCATAGTAGGAAGGTTATTATATTGACACTGTGATTGCTATTTACTCAGTTATTTGTGAGAACTTAGTGTGGAAAGATTTTGCCAAGAAGTCCTTTTGGTCATATAAATACAGAGAATTACAACTTTACAATTTTCTAAACTCATGATAAATGACCAAACACAATCAAAGTTAGTATTTTTCGACAAATTTTACTAAAGATTATGTGTTAACTTAAAAAAAAAACAACTGTTGCTGTTTTTAAGTAAAGGCCACTCTAAACCTCAGAATACTACAGCTGAGACAAAAATCCTGGAGGTCAGGGTCATTGCTCTGTGGAGGGATGTACAGGAGTTTCACAGACTGAGTCCCAGTTACCAAGGTAAGATTTGTAAGTCTCCAATTCTAGAATAGTTCTTAGCATATAAAGAGGGCTGTGGCTATGCTGCTTTCCCTCAGCTTGCTAAGATTATATATCTCAGCTTCCTTGAACAGACAGCCCACTCTTCTCAGTTTGGCTCTGGCAATGGTCATTGCTGACGGGCCAAAGAACAGAATGTTGTTTCTTCCCTAGCACTGCTGGCCCTTGTCATGCAGAATCACTTGGTTGAAAATTTTTTGATAGGTGCCTTGGGTTTGCATGAGATTCCTATTTGTGTGGTTTCCAAAGTGTGGTCCCTGAACAGTAAAATCAGCATTTCCTGGAAACTTGTCAGAAATCTATAGTTTCAGGTCCCTCCCCAGACCCATTGAAATCAGAAACTCTGGTGGTGGGGTACAGCAATCTGCTTTATCAAGCCCTCCATGAAATTCTAACATATGCTGAAGTGTCAGAATACTGATTTAGAGTCTGATTATTCTGAGGGCCACCTATAGCCTACTGGAAGTGTTGAAGTCATTAACAGTTTTCAGAACTTCTAAGACCTAAACAGGTTGTAAGTAATAATGCATCTCAAATCCAGGTTAATATTGTAAACACTTATTACTTCCCTTGAATTTTCTCTTAAAACTGCATTGCCACCAATTGTGAATTACGGACAACATCCTTTCAACAGAGTATAAAGAGCTGTGTTGTTGTCATTACACCCCACAGGAGAGGAAAGGTAGCAATTCCCTTTTGTACAGCTGGCAATTTCTGTGCCAAAATATGTAGCAAAGAAGTTAGATCTTGTTTTGGATCACTCAGCAATTTAGTGGCAGAGCTCAGAATATAATTTGTCAGTCTAGGTCATATATGCTGCCTTGGTGTATTTAGATATAACATTTTTTATAGATGTAATCTTGTTTCTATAATCTATGTGAATTTTCTAACTATCTCAAAGAAAATGTGTATAGACATAAAGTGGATTCCAACCTAAGTAAACTTTTGGAAGTAGCCAGAGAAAGCACATATAGGAAGAAGTAAACATTTACATGTTTTACAAAAAGCCCAATACATATAAATTATAGAAAGCCATAAATTTGTTTTCCTCTACCCTTGTGCAAAAACATGTTGTTACTGAGAACGTATTTTCTGGCCTTCAGAATAGAGACTTATTAATAATACAAACATTAAGTGCATTATTCTAGGCATGGGAAGAGAGCAATGGAAAAGATAAATCTCTTACTTCATCATGCTTACGTTCCAGTGGGGGTTAAAAGACAAGCAAAGTGAGTAAATTATAAAGCATATTTTAAGGTGACAACTGAAATGGAGGAAAATAAAGCAGGAAAGACGACAGAAAGTTGGGGGACACAATTTACAGCTTTAAACTAGACCTCACCAAGAAGGTGAAATTTGAATGAAGCCTAAAAAAGTGTAAAGAAGCAAGTCTTACAGATACCTGACAGAAAAACGATTCCAAGCAAAAAAGATTAAGAAGCACAAAAACCCTGGGGGAGGGGGGAAACATACTTGGTGTGTGTGAAAGAAGCAAAGAGGGCAGGATGGCTAGAGAGGAACTAGGAGAGCCATACGAGATGAAGGCAGTGAGACAGAGGGGGAAGTGTGGATATGTAAACCAACCTAACTTTTTAACAAGGTCACTTTGAGCCTACTAAAAGACCACTGTTCCCAAAAAAGTAGCAGCAGGGACACAAGTGTAAGCATGGAATCTCTTTGGGGTAACAATGATTGCATCTGGAAAAAAGGAACTGGGGGAAAAATGTGAGATACTGAATTTTCACCGTGAACTTTTTATACTTTTGAATTTTTCTGTTTATGTATTACATTTTCAAAAGAAAAACATTAAAAAGTAGTATTTTCAACAAATAGTACTGGAACAGCCAAATGCCCATATGCAAAAAATTGAACCTCGCTCCATACTATGCACTACATACAAAGATGAACTACATTGCATACCCAAATGTAGGACCTCAAACTATAATGGTTCTAGAAGAAAATGAGGAGAAAATCTGAGTGATCTTGGGCTAGGCAACAATTTTGTAGATACTATGAAAATACCATCCATAAAAGAGAAACTGATCAACTGGACCTCATCAAAATGGAAAAAACCAGCCAGGTGGGTTGGCTCATGCCTACAATCCCAACACTTTGGGAGGCCAAGGCAGGAAGATTGCCTGAGCTTAGGAGTTCGAGACCAGCCTGAGCAACACAGCAAGACCCCATCTCCACAAAAAATTAAAAAATCAGCTGGGCATGGTGGTGTCCATCTACAGTACTAGCTACTCAGGAGGGTGTGGTGGGGGGATCACTTGAACCCAGGAGTTTGAGATTACAGTGAGCTATGACTGTGCCACTGCACTCTAACCTGGGCAACAGAGCAAGATACTGTCTTTTAAAAAATGGAAAAATGAAAAAAAAATGCTCTTTGAAAAGAGAAGCTACAGGAAAGGAAAATGTATTTGTAAAACACATTATCAGATAAAAGACATTATCAGAAATTGGCAAAAAACACTCAAAACTCAGTAAGAAAAAAAGCAGCTAAATAGACAGAATATTTGAACACATATTTAACCAAAGTAGATATACAGATGGCAAATGAAGATATAAAAAGATGCCCAATGTTTAGTCATTAAGAAAGTACAAAGTAAAACCACCATGAGACACCACTGTACACTTACTAGAATGGTCTAAAAACAAAACTGACAGTAACAAGCACTAGTGAGGAAGCAGAGGAAATGAAACTCACATAACCCTGCACTGGGAAATGAAAATGGAACAACCAATTTAGAGAATAGTCTGGCAGTTTCTTAAATTTAATCATACATTATAGTATCACCAGGCAATCCCACCATTCAGTATTTACTTAACAGAAATAAAAATCTTTGTTCACATAAAACCATGTATATGAATGTTTATGATAGCTTTATCTATTATTGCCCCAAAGTGGAAAAAACCAAAATGTACTTCAGCTGGTGAATGTACGGATTTAAAAAATGAAAAAAATATTCATACAACTACCCAGCAATAAAAAAAGAATCAACTGATAAATACAACAATAGGAATGAATCTCAAATACATTAAGAAAAGCCAGACTTAAAGGGTACATACTGTGTGAGTCCAAATTTACAGCATACTCATAAAAGAGGAACTATAGGGACAAAAAAGCAGATTAGTTGCAGGAACTTTGGGTGGGAAGAGGCTGACTATAAAAGTGCAAGAGGATGCCGAGCATGGTGGCTCATGCCTGTAATCCCAGCACTTTGGGAGGCCAAGGCAGACAGATTACCTGAAGTCAGGAGTTCGAGACCAGCCTGACCAACGTGGAAAAACCCCATCTCTACTAAAAATACAAAATTAGACAGGCGTGGTGGTGCATGCCTGTAATCCGCAGCTACTCGGGAGGCTGAGGCAGGAGAATCGCTTGAACCCGGAAGGCAGAGGTTGCAGTGAGCCAAGATCGCGCCACTGAGCTCTAGCCTGGGCAACAAGAGCAAGACTCTGTCTCAAAAAAACAAAAAACAAAAAACAAAAAAAAAAACTGCAAGAGGGAATTTTTTCGGAGTGATGGAATTGTTCTACATTTTGATTATGTTGTTACCTAACTATGCATTTGTTGAAACTCACAGAATTATACATTAAATAAGGTAAATTTCACTATATGCAAATTATATCTCAATTTACAAAAATGACTACACTACCTAGGTTAACTTTATAAAAACTGACATTGGATAAATTCAATATGTGAATAAAGATCTTCAAGGGAATCTACTTTGTATTATCAAAGGATTATTCCTATGTACAAAAAGATTTATAATACTAGTCTCTTAAATAGGCTCTTCTTTTGAGAGCATTTACATTTGAATACAGATTAGCTATTTTCTGCTAAGAGTCTAGAAGTCAAAGAAATGGTGTATAGGGTGAATCCCAGATTAAACATGAAACATAAATAATATGACATCTCTGAAATAATCATAAGTCCATGGGAAAATATAACCACTTAATGTAAATACATTTTTTCCAGGAAATTATCATAGAGAAAAAGGTATTTATTATTATGACATTTGTATTTTACTACTGTATCATAAATGCCATTTGAGATCTAATAATGATAAATCTGACCCTGAATCTGACACATCCTAAAAGCTAAGCAATTATTATCACCTAAGTAGTATTTGTATGGAAGAGTGCCATAAATGCTAAAACAGTCAATGACTATACTTATATAAAATGTGAGAAAGTTTCCTTGGTAAACTAATATACATCAGCTACATCTCAATTACTTAGCAGTGGAAAAGGTGGAGAACCAACTGTTGAGGCAAAGCAGCTTTTGAGTTTTTTCTGGTTTCCCTGGTACACCTTGTTAATTTTAAGGGTTAACCTGGGCTGTAGTAGCCCCATTCCACCTATAGGAATCCACTGTGTACTTTTAATCCCACCCTCCATAACCACTGCATCTATTCTATGCCATTTTTCCCGGTGCTGGAAAAATTAGGTATTTTAAACTAGGTATTTATTTTAGTTTTTATGTTTTGTGGATCAACAGTTATATAAATTACATACCATCTTTCTTTAGACAGGCCCCTGATATGCTAGCATGCTGAAGAAAGGTAGGAGGTATGCTTAAAGCCTGATAAAAAGTCTGTATACTGTGTCCCCCCATGCTTTTAAGCCTCACTATTCAGAGGTATACATGTCACCAGGAGGGCTTAAAAATCAGATTTCGATCTATTAAATCGGAGACAGTATACAAATAGAAATCTGGCTCATGTTAAAACAATTTAAAATCTTAAGGAAATTATGTGAGATTTCTGCAAGCACTGAGATGTCATTCTAATAAAGGCAGACTGGTGCAGGTAATTCTCTTATTTGCATCTTCTTCCATTTATATCTATACTAAGAGCAATTTTTTTTTCAAAACTAGTTCTTTCAGTCAGTAAAAAATATGTTAGAAATAAGTTTGTATATACCTGATGAAGTGCTCCCGCTGGCAAAACAATAGCATCACCAAGGAACTGAATAAGAGTACAGGTTCTGACTCCATATTCTTCAAGCAGCCTTTGACGGAGCTTTTTGTTCACATACCAACTTTGGTCACGTATTGGATCATGTTCTGGTAGAACTTCAAGGCCTTGTTCTTTTGAAATCTGAAATATGAATTAAAATAGACACTCCAATTTAAGTAAGGAAATGGTAAATCCTGTTCAGTTAAATTTCAATTTTATTTGTAATAACAAATCTTTTCTTCTCAGAATCAATGGAACAACTGAATGAGCTTCTTCAGTTAAAAAATAACATTCTGCAATAATTTGGAAAGCCAAAGAATATTAAAACAATACAGCAATGCTGAAATGCTCTTAACAGTTTACTACTTCCTTCTCACCACCTCCTTCCACTATGAAGTTTCCATCTATCTGGTTTCCTTCCTTATAACTGTTTCAAAAGTATAGCACATGGATGAGGAACAGGGTATTTTTTTTTTTTTTTTTTTTTTACCAAAAGCCAAACCATTCATATGTATGGATTTCATAAACATTTATTGATCCTTTTTTGAGGTAAGTATAAATACCTTTACATGGCTAACCTTCTAACACTTGAAAAATCAATTTCAAGGGACTCTTTAATCAGTTAAATAATCTGCTTTAGAAGGCACAAATGATCATACTTCAGATTAAAATACAGGTAAGTATTCAGGGATAAAATGGTACAAAAAAGGCTGTAACTCTTTTACTTCACATTGATCACAGACAGAACTTACATCCTTTCAGAAAGATGATGTATCAGCACTGAACATTTCTTAAAACAAATTTCCATAATTACGAAGTTTAAAAAGTACCTGAGCAAAGGGTTTCAACCAATTATTTCAGGTTGATATATAAATTTCTTTCAGAGTATATGCCAACTACAGTCAAGGTATGATTACTCAAAATCTGAGTCTACTCAGTAAGTATCATAGTATCAGATGTGATAGAGTAGAATCATTCCCTAGGTCAGCAGCCAAAAATATCTATCAGATTCAAAGAAAATAAAGATCCTACCTTCTTTAGACGTTTCCATGAAATATTTGTTTTTACATCCCGCGACTCCAGATAGCTACTTTTCGCCACCCAACTAATATCTGGCTCAAGAACAGATCAGTCTTTTATTAACAGGGAATGGAGGCACACTACCAACTGGGAACAAATCACCATTCAAAACCCTCAAAATGTTAACAGACTTTCAAAGAGGAGCAAGAGAAACAGGGTTTTGACTTTCAACAAAAACTCCCATCTACTTTGAAGTAAAAATTATGTAATGGTCTTATATTGTTGAATGCCAAGTGAAGGTACGGCAACAATGAATAAGTCCTTGCTTGAGGGGAAGAGATATTATTTGCAAACTAACTTATACCTTTTGAAGAAATTCCCTTATCTTGTCAACATCTTTCCCAGCATAAATATGCCACAGAGCACCAGGTATTTCACTTGAGTCCTTCAATCTTTTCCTTAAAATGTCATCCAAATCTTCTTCCTCAAATTTCTTGAGAATTCCTGAAACAAAGGAACATAATTTCAAATTGTCGGCAAAGAATACCAGAAAGCCAAGTCTCCTAAAGTTGATCTATCAGAGCAGCAGAGTGCCTGACTAGGATCAGTACTTTTTCTTTTTTGGTCACCCAGGCTGGAGTGCAGTGGCATGATCTTGGCTCACTGCAGCTTCCGCCTCCCAGGTTCAAGCAATTCTCTTGCCTCAGCCTCTCAAGTAGCTGGGACTACAGGTGCAAGCTGTCACACCCGACTAATTGTTTGTATTTTAGTAGCCGTGGGGTTTCACCATGTTGCCCAGGCTGGTCTTGAACTCCTGAGCTCAGGCAATCCACCTGCTTGGGCCTCCCAAAGTGCTAGGATTACAGGCATGAGACACTGTCCCTGGCCAGATCAGTACTCTTAAAAAAGAGTCAAACACAGTTATATGTTCATAACTTTTAGGACTACAAGAATAGATAAGTGGATACAAAGCAATAGTGATTTTCCCAGTTTGTTTTATGCAAACCAAGAAGCAGGAGATAGAAAACCTAAGAGCAACTATGTAAAATTTAACCACCTTCCTTCCCTGTTCCAAGGGGGTGGTCCTAACAATGACTTGTACTCATAGCATTTCCTAACTTACAAAGGTCTTTTATGCTCACTATTTATTAGTTGGCCCCTATACTTACTTAAGAATAAGGGATAACCTCTATTTTATACCTGAGTAAAAAGGTTCCATGAGGTGAAAGGTTTTACTCATTACCATGACTAATGAACGGCAGGACAAAATGTATTCTGATTAATTTCGAGGTGCTCTCATATTTGATAATGGTTAATCTGTAATCAAATGCAAATGTTTCACGAACAAAGTTGTGGTTTTGAGGAAAATCAAGCCATCCTTCTAAAATGTTGACAAACTAAAATTCCTACACGTATGTATGTACAGAAAAAAACTTTAGAAGTGTACAAACAAAAATAGTAACTAGTTGTCTCTAAGTGTAGGACCACAGGAAGGTCCTTTTTTAAAAGGACCAGTGAACATTTAAATAAATATTCTTTTTAAAAATTTTGTATAAATTTAAGGGGTACAACTGCAATTTTTGTTACATGGATATATTGCCTAGCGGTGATGTCTTGGCTTTTAGTTATCATCACCTGAATAATGTACATTGTATCTACTAAATAATTTCTCATTACCCACCCCTGTTAACCACCATCCTCTGAATCTCCAATGTCTATCAGGATAAGGAATCAACTTAAGTGTCCATCCACGGATGACTGGATAAAGAAAATGTGTGGCCGGGCGTGGGATTACACCTGTAATCCCAGCACTTTGGGAGGCCGAGGCAGGCGGATCACCTGAGGTCAGGAGTTCGAGACTAGCCTGACCAACATGAAGAAACCCCATCTCTACTAAAAATACAAAATTAGCTGGGTGTGGTGGCACATGCCTGTAATCCCAGCTACTAGGGAGGCTGAGGAAGGAGAATCGCTTGAACCCAGGAGGTGGAGGTTACGGTGAGCCAAGATCACGCCATTGCACTCCAGCCTGGGCAACAAGAGCAAAACTCCATCTCAAAAAAAAAAAGAAAAAAGAAAAAAAGAAAATGTGATATACATACACAATGGAATACTATTTAGCCATAAAAATGAAATCACTGCTGGGTAGGTGGCTCACATCTGTAACTCCAGCACTTTGGGAGGTTGAGGTGAGTGGATCACTTGAGCCCAGGAGTTTGAGACCAGCCTGAGTAACATGGTAAAACCCGTCTTTACAAAAAAATAAAAAAGTTAGCCAGGCATGGTGGCGCCTGTCTGTAGTCCCAGCTACTCTGGTGGCTGAGGTGGGAGGATCTTTTGAGTCCAGGAGGTTGAAGCTGCAGTGAGCTGAGTCTGTACCACTGCACTCCAGCCTGGGCAACAGAGCAAGGAGACCCTATCTTTAAAAAAGAAAAAAAAAAAAAAATCATGTCTTTTGCAGCAACATGGATGGAACTAGAAGCCATTATCTTGAGCAAAAAAACTCAGAAAGTCAAATATGTTATCACTTGTATAAACTTTTTAAAGAAAGCTGTTACCTGCTACAAAGTATATATCAGATGTTTCCTAATTTGTGACAGTAATGTCTATTTTATATTCAAACTTAGCTGCAAACATATTTTTTTCTTTTTTTCTTTTATTTTTCGAGACACAGTCTCACTCTGTCGCCCAGGCTGAAGTGCTGGGGCACAGTGGCACAATCTCGGCTCACTGCAACCTCTGCCTCCCAGGTTCAAGCGATTCTCCTGTCTCAGCTTCCCAAGTAGCTGGGACTACAGGCACCCGCCACCATGCCCAGCTAATTTTTCTATTTTTTAACTACAGATGGGGTTTCACTATATGTTGGCCAGGCTGGTCTCGAACTCCTGACATCAGGTGATCCACCACCTTGGCCTCCCAAAGTGCTGGGATTACAGGCGTGAGCCACTGCTAATTGAAACATTTGGTAAGTGTTTACTATGTGCGAGGCACTGTCCTAGGAAGTTGGGAATTAGAATTAAGAAAGATCCATTCAAGAGCTCATGGAGTTAAAGAGGGTCCTAATAAATCTAGACAAATAAACATCACATTGTGGTAAGTGCAATCACATCAGTACAAAGGGTACAGAGACAGGTTAAGTCCTCCAATGTTATCTGTGACAAAGTCTTTTCCCAGTCATGGTAAAACAAAAAAATTAAGGGCAATGTAAAAAGTTGAACATAAAAAAATCATCCTTTACTCTGGTATCTTTTTGTTTGTTTGTTTGTTTGAGATGGAGTTTTGCTGTGTCACCCAGGATGGAGTAGAGTGGCACCATCTTGGCTTACTGCAACTTCTGCCTCCCAGGTTCAAGCAATTCTCCTGCCTCAGCCTCCCAAGTAGCTAGGATTACAGGCATACACCACCATGCACAGCTAATTTTTTTTTTTTTTTTTGAGACGGAGTCTCGCTCTGTCGCCCAGGCTGGAGTGCAGTGGCGGGATCTCGGCTCACTGCAAGCTCCGCCTCCCGGGTTCACGCCATTCTCCTGCCTCAGCCTCCCAAGTAGCTGGGACTACAGGCGCCCGCCACTACGCCCGGCTAATTTTTTGTATTTTTAGTAGAGACGGGGTTTCACCGTTTTAGCTGGGATGGTCTCGATCTCCTGACCTCGTGATCCGCCCGCCTCGGCCTCCCAAATAATTTTTGTATTTTTAATAGAGACTGGGTTTCACTACGTTGGCTAGCTGGTCTCAAACTCCTGACTTCAAGTGATCCACCCACCTCAGCCTCCCAAAGTGTTGGGATTACAGGCATGAGCCACCGTGCCTGGCTTATCTTTCTTATAGAGAGTTTGAAATGTTCTCTTTAAAAAATGACAGTTGATGTTTCTAAAATCTGTTTTCTTAACAAAATTAAAAGCTGGAAACTTTAAATTGGTTTTCTGACATTTTTCCTTTAAATTTTACTGCTCTGCAAATTAAAATAACAAGTACATGAGGCGGGGGAGGCATCATAATAAAGAGAATGACTGGCTAGAGCATAGTAAGTTTACTTTCTTTAATGAAGACTTCTAGGGTGAATGATAATCTGAGTTACAATTGAAAGAATGAATACAGAAGTTTGCCAGGAAGACATGGAGCTAAAAGACACATGGCAGATGGAGAAAAAAATCATGATCTTTTAAGTATTTTTCAATGTGTTTGAAACATTATTATAACCCTAAAATGTTGCTTTGTGACCACCTATAAAAAGTGACAAAAACTTTTTAGATAAAGAAAGAGAGCAAAAGGATTATTTAAAATGTTGAAATTCTCCTGAAATTTTCTCGAAAGAAATATGCTAGGAACAGAAGCTGGGGGATATGCATAAACAAAGATGAGGAAGAAAGTTCTAGCTTTTAAGGACATGAATGAATAGTAATGGAGGAAAGCAGGTTAACTTCTAAGTGCTACAGGGAAAGATCTGAACAAACTACAATGAGATACAAAGGATGTAACTCCATGGCATCACAGGATTAGAAAGGATAAATAATCTGAACTACAGGTCACATTTCTGTGGCAGCGCTCAGACAATAACTCAAGTGTGCCCACTGACTCTCAAATCTCTGGGGGATAGGGGTGGTTACCTATTATAGTCAATAGTGTCAGTTAAAAAGCTGAGTAGCATAATGTAAAAATGAGTTTCTACAGTTTTGAGGGATTTTAGGTTGTGTATTATAAAATTGTCAAATGTACACAAAAGTAGAGTGAATACTATAATGAATCCCATGTCCCCAGCACCTAGCCATTAAGCTCCAATCTGGGATCCAGATATACAACTGGTGATCTATTTCATGGCTGGATGTCATCCACAGAATTTCACAGAAAGTGCATGTGAAGTAGAAAAGGTAGCGAACATCTGAAACTCCGAAGAAGCCTCCAACTCCATAAGGTGTCAGAATCAGAAGTGGTATCACAGAAGCAGAGAACTATATTCAAAGAGGTTGTGATTAACGGTGCCATTCATTATAGACAGGGGTGAGTAATAAACGAACCAGAAAGATACACTGAATTATCCAAATACGTGTGAGTGACAGCAGTAGCAATAGTAAATTTCAGACCAGTATGGAATAAGACTGCAATGAGCTGAAATGTAAAAGGAAAGTGACAAAGATGGTAAAATATTTCTTATGAGGGTAGAACCAATAGGATGGAAAGGTTTAAAGGAGGCTTTCTTTCGAGAAAGAAAAAATCATCTTAGACTCTGCTTCTATTGTACAGAGAAAAAGCCAATGGAGAAGAAAACGTTAAAGGCCTATGACTGTATCTATGTCTTTGTAAAGAAGGGAATAACTGACACCATGGTTTCAGAAAGAAATTGAGGGCACAGAAATGAAAACCTATATACTGGATAGAAAGAGAAAAGACCCCCTTCTTCCTCTTTTTACTGGAGGGGAAAAAAGAATGTTTGAGTCACAAACCATATTTTAACCATCTTTAGAACCCTAAGAATTAGTTCCTATTCTTCAATAAATTTTTTTTGTTTGTTCATTTTTTGGTTTTTTTTGAGATGGAGTTTTGCTCTTGTTGCCCAGGCTGGAGTGCAATGGCACTATCTTGGCTCACCGCAACCTCCGCCTCCTGGGTTCAAGCGATTCTCCTGCCTCAGCCTCCTGAGCAGCTGAGATTACAGGCATGCACCACCACACCCAGCTAATTTTGTATTTTTAGTAGAGACAGGGTTATAGCATGTTGGTCAGGCTGGTCTTGAACTCCTGACCTCCAGTGATTCACCTGCCTTGGCCTCCCAAAGTACTGAGATTACAGGTGTGAGCCACTGCGCCCAGCCTCAATAAATGTTTACAAGTGCGCTTAATGGTGTATTTTCATCAACACAATACTTAATGATAGAAAAGAAGTTAAAATATTCAATTTTAAAATTAAAATTTCACTTACATAAAAAGAAATAGGAAAATTATTCAATCTTCAAGTAATAAGGGCTAAAATGCCCCTACATCCATTGCAATTCTTTTTGAAATCTTCGCTGTTAACTCAGAAGCTGATATTCTGGACAATACTAGTGAATGTGATTATTCAACTCTTATTTCAAAGACTACTTATTCTTTTAAGTTTACCTGCTTTTGAGAGAATGCCATTTCCTTTTGCTATGCCAACATAAACTAGTATATTTACAACATCAGAAACTTCAATATGGAGATTTGTTGTTCCTATATCATGATCTTTAGCAGCAACTACACCTGTATATAAAACAAAATTTTACTTGACAAAATATTTATATATATGTAATAGCATAATCAGATATTCCCCCAAATTAGCTCGATCTGCATAATTTAATTGTAATTTGAGTTTTAGTTTCCTTATTACAAAAACCTGTTCCAAAAGCCACAATCTATAAAAGACCCTATTATTTGAATAATTACATTTCTATAATAAAATGTACTATGATTAAAAATCAAATAAATAAAAAATCAATAAGCAGGTACTTAACTATATATTGGCTGTTAATTCCTAACATGTTGCTTCATATAAAAAAGGGTTTCGATGGATTAAAGGAACAGATTTAGTAGAAACTAAAAATCATTAGACAATTTGTAGGAACAGTAATTCTTTTTTTGAGAAGGAGTCTCGCTCTGTTGCCAGGCTGGAGTGCAGTGGCATGATCTCGACTCACTGCAACCTCCACCTCCCGGGTTCAAGCAATTCTCCTGCCTCAGCCTCCTGATAGCTGGGACTACAGGTACACGCTACCACACCCAGCTAATTTTTCTATTTTTAGTAGAGATGGGGTTTCACCATGTCAGCCAGGGTGGTCTCAATCTCTTAACCTCATGATCCACCCACCCACCTTGACCTCCCAAAGTGCTGGGATTACAGGCATGGGCCACCACGCCCATCCTTGAACAGAAATTTTTTTTTTTTTTTTTTTGAGACGGAGTCTTGCTCTGTTGCCCAGGCTGGAGTGCAGTAGTGCAATCTCAGCTCACTGCAACCTCCACGCCTCCTGGGTTCAAGTAATTCTCCTGCCTCAGCCTCCTGAGTAGCTGGGACTATAGGCGCACGCCACCACACCTGGCTAATTTTTGTATTTTTTAGTAGAGACAGGGTTTCACCATGTTGACCAGGATGGTCTCAATCTCCTGACCTCGTGATTCACCCGCCTTAGCCTCCCAAAGAGTGCTGGGATTGCAGGCGTGAGCCACTATGCCCGGCCTGAGCAAAAATTTTAAAAAATCCAATATAATTCCTACATGGGAGAAATGTGAATATATACCTACCATAGGCACTGCACAACCTGGGTCCTAGATCAGGACGTACAAAAAATCCTGGCAAATGAGAGGCCAAATTGAATTTTCCTTCTGGATTACAATATTCTGGCAATGGCAGACTTTTTAAAAGATCTTCGTATCTGAAGAAAAACAACATTGCCTTCTTATAAATAAAGATTTGCATTGCTAAGTATTTTCACATATATAATTTTCAAGTTGTTCAAAACAGCAGACTACCTTTCCATAAGACAGGTAACAATTTTCCTTGACTCAAGTGATACTGACTAAAATAGCAATTCTGCTTCTCTAACCATTAAACCATTAAAAAGCTCCAATAGAAGGGAGGTCCTAAACAGGGTCCTGTGTTCTCTTTTTTTGAGACAAAGTTTCACTCTTGTTGCCCGCCTCAGCCTCCCAAAGTGCTGGTATCACAGGCGTGAGCCACCGTGCCCAGCCTCTTTAACATGAACATTCTTTCCTTCACTGTCCTAACATAAAGATTTTCCCACTGCTGAGGCTACCAACTCAGTTTTGCTATCAATCAATCCATCAGACAAGGTCTCACTCTGTCACCCAGGCTGGAGTTCAGTGGCACGATCTCAGCTCACTGCAGCCTCCACTTCCTCCACTCCAGTGATCCTCTCACCTCAGCCACGCAAGTAGCTGGGACTACAGATGCCTGCCACCATGCTTGGCTAATTTTTGTATTTTTTTGTAGAGATAAGGTTTTGTCATGTTGGCCAGACTGATCTCCAAGTCTTGGACTCCAGCGATCCCCTCGCCTTGGCCTCCCAAAGTGCTGGGATTATAGGCGTGAGCCACTATGACGCTCAGCCTCAAGTTATTTATTTTTAATTGAGAAAGAAAAAGCCTACAGGTCACATTTACGGTTACTTATCCTATCTCTGGGGACAGTCTTAGCTCGATCTCAAAAAGTCAAGAGTCAAAATGAAAAGTTTCAAACCTTGCTGGCATCATAGTCTTGAAGTCTTCTCCTGAAGGCCAGTCTTTCAATTTTAAAACAACTGTTTCTCCACTCTTGTTTTTCTGCCGTTCTATAAGGAATGCAGTTAATTACTAAAAGGGTAATTTCTGCCTTTTTATCTTTATTAACATTTGGAAAGAAACGTAAATGAATGAATGATTTGATTGTTGCACATTACATGCTTAATGATTGCTTGCTTATTGACTTATTACTTATGTACTTATGTAGTATTAAAACCTTTGTTCCTTTTGTACATGAATAGAATTCATTAAATTACCCACTTGTAATATCTCAAAAGTTGTTTTTAAAAATCTTGGTAACATCACAATCTTACATCTACACTTTTAATTTTCAAAGAGTTTTACATAAATAATTCCATTTTCAAAAGCTTATGGAACTGCCAAACATTTCTCCATAAGCAAAACAGTATAAACGGCATCTTTAAGGTCAAAGGAAATTAGTGCTAGAAATAGGGATTAGGACCCAGTATTTTGTTTCCAATTACTTGTTTCTTTTTATTAGACAACATAAAACAGATGTTTCAAAGACTAAAAATCTGTTAAGTTACATTTGGAATTTATCATTTTGAAGGAGTATGATGGAGAAAATAGTAAAATAAAAACCAACATACTTGAAACTTCTTCAAAACCATCCCAGAATTCCTTAACATTGGCATTTGAAATGATGCTATCTTTGCAGTTCAGGAGATCAGCTTGGTGGTCTCCAAAATCAAGACTAATTGATTCCGCCTTCCATAGGCTAATGTTCATTTTCTTATGCACACCAGAAACCACTGCAGGCTTATAAATAGATAAATAAATAACAGTTAAAAGATATATAGACTTTCTTTTTTGTTTGTTTGTTTGTTTGTTTGAGACAGAGTCTTGCTCTCTTACCCAGGCTGGAGAGCAGTGGCCTCATCATACCTGACTGTCACCCTTTGGGCTCAATCAATCCTTCTACCTCAGCCTCTTCAGTAGCTGAAACTATTAAATTTCGAGCCTAATGAGTTATTCTCTGAAAGTGAATGTCTCCTTTGAAATTACATAAATTCAAATTCCCTCACAGCTTTCTTACACTTGGTGGCGGAGGGTAGATGTCCTCTCCACCCAAATTCCCTAATAGCTTTCTAATAACGCAGAAACCAGTAATGGAAGATTTACAGCTTCTAAAACTACAATAAATGATATAAAAACATATCTAAGAACATCTGATGTATTATTCTCAGGTTTTAAACAAATTCCTGTACTCTAATGAAGCAGAATTCTGGAATATAGAGAACACAGTAAGCTATGACTTAAAAGTTTCTGAAAAATGATATTTACTAGGCTGGGTGTAGCAATGCATTCTTGTAGTCCCAGCTCCCAAGGCTGAGCTGGGAGGATTGCTTGAGCCCGAGTTTGTATCTTGCCTAGGAGACACAGCAAAACCCTGTCTCCAGAAACAAACAAACAAAAAATTTAAGTGATTATTAGTATTCTTAAACTTGTAACATAATTAAAATATAGGAACCACAAAAGAATAATCTCTAGCTAGATTTTTTTTTTAATTACAAAAGACATCTTTAAAAAGAAAAAACACCCTAAATTCTGGTTTACTACATGGTTGAATGTTCCATTAAACATTTTTTCAATGAGCCAATAATATATACGACTTTAAAAATAGGTCCAGGTATTAGTTAACTCTTGCTGGCAATTCACAGATTAATTCCTAGTGCCTAGTATCTATCCAATAATATTGCTGCTATTAGGGTAATCAGCAGCTTGTTAAAAGTAAATTTTTTAAAAAAGATAAGGGTTAAGCTAATTAGTGTATCAGAATAATTCAAAGCAGAAATCTTAGGCTATCACCATGATCTTTTTACTTTTTTTGGAGACAGGGTTTCACTTTGTTGCCCAGGCTGAAGTGCAGTGGCATGATCATGGCTCACCACAGCCTGGACTTACTGGGCTAAAGCAATCTTCCTGCCTCAGCCTCCCAAGTAGCTGGGACTACTGGTGTGAACCACCACGTCTGGCTAATTAAAATTTTTTGGTAGAAACAGGGTCTCACTATGTTGCCCAGGCTGGTCTCCAACTCCTGGGCTGAAGCGATCAATCGTCCCACCTTGGCCTCCCAAAATGTTGGGATTATAGGCAAGAGCCACAGCACCAGGCCTGTAAAGCTTTCTGATTAGACTCCTTGCCAATGGTATTATTCTCTTCTAACTCAACTTCTAATCTGCCTTGCTGTCAGTTATTATAAAATGTCAATTTGATTATACAGATTCCACAATTAAAACTATCACCTAGAGTATAATGTTAAAACTCCTTAGCATGATATATAAGGGCATTTCATGATCATTCCTCTAGCCATCTCCTTACACCACTCTCCCCCATGAACCATCATGTATATTGCAGATAATCACACCTACTCAGAGAGTTCCCAAAACACCTAATGTTCTTGTATATGTCCAGCCTCTTGTCCACCTAGCAAAAAACTTCACTTAACCTCTAAGGAATCAATTTAGACTAGCCTTTTTGAACTAGTATCCTAGCTTTGACATTTCCTTTTCTGGGTTCTCATAGCACCTTGAACAAAGTTCTTAAAACACTTCACATAATTATGAAAACAATTATTTGTGTGACGCTTTTCTACCTCAAAAGCTCACACAAATTAAATAAAATTTCAGTCCAGTAATGTCATCAGGGCTTGAAGGAGACCAAGGCAAAAAAGACATGCTAAATCTTGTGTATATGCAATGCACAAGTGTGCATTTCTTTTTTTGGGGTGAAAGATTCAGCTTTCATCAGATTTTGAAAGGGATTAGTAACCTAAAAAGATCAAGCAGCATTGCACTAAAATGGTTCTTACTCATTTTTACATAGCTTACTCATTTTTATATATTCTTACTGCCTATGACAGAGACTGCGTCTCTTATTAGATGCTCAATAACTGTTGAATAAACAAAGTAAACATTTTCCAGAAAACAATAAATTTAACAGAATACTGTCATACAAACACTTAATTTGTTCATAATTTTTGCATTAATGTAGTAAATTGCCATCTGAAATGTATATCAAACATTATCAAAACTTTTGTCCAACAAAATCATTTATATTAGAGGAGAATGAAACAATATAGTTTGTCATTCAAGATTTGATGAACTAATTTGTAAGTAAATGTTCTGTGTATAAATATTACAGATAAGAACATCTACATAGGTTCATGAAAAATGCTGCCAATATTAATATTTTAATAGTAGACATGGATCTACTAACTGGACTAAAATACCAATCTAAAAAGAGGAGAAAGGAACTGCATTTTGTAAATTCAAGGCGTTATTACATGTCTGTTCTGATAGATCAAAAAGTAACATAAAATAATCAACGTTTCCCTATTAATTCATATTAAATCTGGCCAAAAAACAGGAATTGAGAAACAAGCATTCTGACAATCTTTTCGGTACTTTTATATCTTATTGTCCCCCAAATGTGTTAACCACTATTTTTCCCCCCTCCATTTCTATTCCTAAGGAGGGAACCATTCTATTTAATAAGCTTCAGTTCCACCAAGAGTGTTCTTTATCAGCCTAAAATACACACCTGTCCTTGTTTCCAACATTCTTTGAAAAGCTTCCAATTACTGCTATTCTTATAATCCTTAAGCCATAAAATATGCTTCTCACAGATCCAAGAATGTGGTATATCACTGTATAATTTATTATTTTCATCCACTGCAGATATTATGCTTTCTTCAGGCTCTTCTTTAAGCTCTGGTTTTACATTTATCTTGGAGGTTTTACTTGGTGGAATTTTGTTTTCAACAACTGAAGCAATTATGTCATCAAGAATGTTAGGCATAGTCCGTCCACTTTTGCTACTCTATTAAGGAAAAAACAAAACAAAAAAAACCTGTTTTTGAGAGAAATCAAATACATTTTCCTCCCACAGACTTATTTTTTTTTAAACAATATCCCTACACTCCACAATATGCACTTCTCTTAGATTTGAGTTCCTATATTCCTGACAAAATGCAAACCAGAAGTCTGGTTGTGTGAGAACTGCCAGGTCTGAAAAACTTAGAAGTACAGCCTTCCTGTCTTTTACATTGTTATAGGCCTGGGACAGAGAATACAAGTAGGTGGCATCCCTCATATACATTTTTTAAAATTTTTAAATATTTTATAAGAAATAGAGATGAGGGTCTTGCTATGTTGCTCAGGCTGGTTTCAAACTCCTGGGCTCAAGCAATCCTCCCACCTCAGCCTCCCAAAGTGCTAGGATTACAGGCATGATTGACCCCCCAATACTCCATATATATATACACATTTTTTTTTTTTTTTGAGATGGGAGTCTCACTCTGTTGCCCAGGCTAGAGTGCAGTGGTGTGATCTCAGCTCACTACAAGCTCCGCCTCCCAGATTCAAGTGATTTTCCTGTCTCAGACTCCCAAATAGTTGAGATTACAAGCATGCATCACCATGCACCATGCCTGGCTAATTTTTGTATTTTCAGTAGAGACAGGGTTTCACCATGTTGTTGGCCAGGCTGGTCCCGAACCCCTGACCTCAGGTGGTCTGCCCACGTCAGCCTCCCAAAGTGCTAGGATTACAGGCGTAAGCCACCACACCCAGCCCCCATATACTTTTATTTTTTTTGAGATGGAGTCTCGCTCTGTCGCCCAGGCTGGAGTGTAGTGGCGTGATCTCGGCTCATTGCAACCTCCGCCTCCTGGGTTTAAGCAATTCTCTGCCTCAGCCTCCCAAGTAGCTGGGATTACAGACACGTGCCACCACACCTGGCTAACTTTTGTATTTTTAGTAGAGACAAGGTTTCACCATCTTGGCCAGGCTGGTCTTGAACTCCTGACCTCGTGATCCAGCCGCCTCAGTCTCCGAAAGTGCTGGGATTACAGGTGTGAGCCGCCGCACCCGGCCCCCCATATAGTTTTAAAAGAAATTATACTGCTCTTTTTTCCTGGTAAATAATTAAAGCAAAATTTGACTTCTAATTATTTTAAGTAACATACAACATTCACTTCCATGTGGGTTTTTCCCTTCACTAGACAAATAGTTTCCAAATTCTAAAGGGGTATCTTAGGGACCTTCTGGAATCGAAGAGCACCCCCCCTCCACCTTTCACCTTGGAAAAAAAGACAGAAAATGCCAGCTTTCAAGGTAAAGAGAGTTATAATGCAAATAGAAACATGCCTAGCAATTTGGTACACTTGATTTCATCAGCATACTGGGTAGTTCAGAGCCAAAAACTAAGTCTCCAAATCATCTCTATTTAAGGCCCACATTAAAACCAAAAATCTGGCATCACTCACTGGGGCTCCCATTGAATATACTGGGGCAAAGGCAATGCCAGCATCTGTAGACCCCACACGTAGCTTTCCAGCTGTTGTAGTCAGCAAATCCCGTAAGGTTGAGCCTTGTTCATTATTCTGGGACACAAGAGGTGATGTTCTGCCATTTGGAGATTCAGAGTTGTCTTGTTCTCTTTCTTCTTTAATTTGGTTTTCAAGGGTAAGTTCTTTGTTTTCTGAAATAGAAAATTTCACAGATTTTGTTTTGTTTTGTTTTGAGACGGAGTCTCATTCTGTCGCCCAGGCTGGAGTGCAGTGGCGTGACCTCGGCTCACTGCAACCTCTGCCTCCCAGGTTCAAGTGGTTCTCCTGTCTCAGCTTCCCAAGTAGCTGGGACTACAGGCATGTGCCACCAGGCCCAGCTAATTTTTCTGTATTTTTAGTAGAGACGGGGTTTCATCATGTTGGTCAGGCTGGTCTTGAACTCCTGACCTCAAATGATCTGCCCACCTTGGCCTCCCAAACTGCTGGGATTACAGGCGTGAGCCATTGTGCGCAGCCCTTACAAATTTTAATTCTATTAAGCATGGTGCTAAAGTACAGACAAAACTGGCCCCAGCATTTTCTACTGTGAGATAAAAACTGAAGGAAGCATTGTGATTTATTCACCTAAACACAAACCTGAGGATGAGTGAGGTTTGAGACCAGCTTGGCCAAATGGATTCAAACAATCTAAATATAAAAAGGCCTTCCTCAATATTTAAGACATGTTTACACCTGTTACAAATGAAAAACACTACAGCAAAGACAGGTAGAAAATACAGGTAAGTGGCCGGGCGCGGTGGCTCATACCTGTAATCCCAGCACTTTGAGAGGCTGAGGCAGGCGGATCACTTGAGGTCAGGAGTTCAAGACCAACCTGGCCAACATGCTGAAACCCTGTCTCTACTAAAAATATAAAAATCAGCTGGGCATTGTGGCACGTGCCTGTACTCCCCGCTACTTGGGAGGCTGAGGCACAAGAATCGCTGGAACCTGAAGTCAGAGGTTGCAGTGAGCCGAGATCATGCCATTGCACTCCAGCCTGGACAACAGAGTGAGACTCTGTCTCAAAAAAAAAAAAAAAAAAAAAAAAAACACAAAAAACAAAACAAAAAAGAAGACATAGGTAAGTTACACTTCTAGTGCTCTGGTGGCTATATCAATATGCTCATCCACAAACAATTCTGTAACTAACTTTGATATGTAGTCAAAGGAAGGCTAAGGCTGGGTATGGTGGCTCATGTCTGTAATCCCAGTACTCTGGGAAGACGAGGTAGACTGCTTGAGCCCAGGAGTTCAAGAACAATCTGGGCAACATGGCGAAACTTCATGTCTACAAAAACTAAAAAAAAAAAAAAAAAAAAAAAAAAATTGGCCAGGCATGGTGGTTCACACCTGTAATCCCAACACTTTGGGAAGCCTAGGCAGATGGATTACCCGAAGTCAGGAGTTTGAGACCAGCCTGGTCAACATGGTGACGCCCTGTCTCTACTAAAAATATACACTAGCTGGGCATGGTGATGCATGCCTTTAGTCCCATCTACTTGGGAGGCTGAGGCAGGACAATCACTTAAACCTGGGAGGCAGAGATTGCAGTGAGCCAAGATCGTGCCATTGCACTCTAGACTGGGCAACAAGAGCAAAACTCCGTGCTCCCCGACCCCTAAAAAGAAAATTAGGCATGGTGGTACATGTCTGTAGTATCAGCTATTTGGGAGGCTGAACTGGGAGGATCGCCTGGGCCTGAGAGGTCAAGGCTGCAGTGAGCAACGATTGTGCCACTGCACTCCAGCCTGGGTGATAGTCTCAAAAAAACAAAAACAAAAACAACAAAAAAACAACAGGCTAGTTCCTAATAAGTGAAGACAAAATGTTTTACATTGAACCTAACCCATAATTCAAGAAAAAGACCAAAGTAAATTGTTTACCTCAATATTAACAGTACTTTATTGTACAATAGTACATTGTTGGTTAGTTATACTATACTCCTCTCACACATGCCTAGATAATCAATTATGTTTACCTTTTTTTTCCTCTCTGGCTTTTTGCTCTGCAAGATCTGCTAACCAGTGCAGTGGTGACTGGGATTCTGGAGGAGTTAACTTGTTATCTGTGCCTACATCACTCTCTGGGCTGCTGCCACCATTTTTCTCAGACTTCGGAGGAGTATTTTGCTGCTGAGACTCAGGCATGCACAGAGAAATTTTATTACTGTGATTAAGAACATTCTGTAAAACCTACAAAGGTAGAACAATTACATTTTTAAACACTTTCTTCAATAATTCAATTAGTAGTATAGATACAAAAAATTTACACAGAAACACAGCAAACCTAATTCATACATAAGTCCTAAACCAAATTTCAAATAAATATCAAAGTTGACTAATTTAACCACAGATTTTATTTGAATAACCAGAGATTTTTACTCACTTGAGATACACCATTCATTGTAGGAAAATTTCCAACTTGTAAATTCTGTTTGTTAGTACAATGACAATGGGATTTAATACCATATTTTTCCCTAAGAGTGTGCATGGCATCTAGAAGATCTGTCAAAACTACAAAATAAAATGGTAGTTAATAAAAAGATTACCACTAGTTGTTAATGCTGTAAAATTTTTTTCTTACAATATTTTGTATTATAATTGGGAATAACGGAGGTTTTCTTGTGCCCTTTAAATTTCTTCCATTTTTCTCCATTCTCTTCCATCTATTACAGTTTTGATTATTCAACCAAATTTATGTTTTTTTTGTTTTTTTGTTTTTTTTTGAGACGGAGTCTTGCTCTGTCACCCAGGCTGGAGTGCAGTGGCGCCATCTGGGCTCACTGCAAGCTCCGCCCCCCAGGTTCATGCCATTCTCCTGCCTCAGCCTCCCAAGTAGCTGGGACTACAGGCACCTGCCACCACGCCCGGCTAATTTTTTGTATTTTTAGTAGAAACGGGGTTTCACTGTGTTAGCCAGGATGGTCTCGATCTCCTGACCTCGTGATCCGCCGGCCTTGGCCTCCCAAAATGCTGGGATTACAGGCGTGAGCCACTGCGCCCAGCCAAATTTATGTTCTCTATTCTTTTCTCTCTTTATTAAAAATTAGATATGCTCAAAAATTATAAGAAGCTTTCATTAAAAATCCAATAGGCCTTTTCATTACACTCCAGCTTTCCACTTCTAATGGTGAACTTTCTTCATCACTGAGGCTTGGACTTATCTTCTGAGCTTTATTACATAGAGGATTTCCAATAACTGAGCAAGACAATTCAAAACTAGTTAAATCTCTCTCCACCCTGTTATATTTCTAGATACTCCTTTAAGTGTTTCCTTAATCTGGAGCAACCAAGAGCAGTTATATTACATGAAGAAGATATACTTACCAGAACCAGGTATAATTTGGGTTGGCATTAAATGTTTGTGATCATGAGGCTGTCCCTTCACACACTTCATCCAAGCATATAGTTCTTTATCTGTAAGATAATAAAACTTGTATATCACACTCATGGTTTCATAATTATAAATTGATAGTGTAAAGAACTTAACGATTATATAAAATGTTTCATAGTTGGCTAGAGTCACAGCCAAAGAGAAAAAGAAAAAAATAAAAATAATGAAATAAAATGTCAATGATATGCTTTAGATGTTTGGTTCTGAAACAAGTCAGGAAAAACAGTTCCACCATTTCCTGATTTTATAAAAACACTGACACAAAATGGATATAATGATAGCCTTTCTAAAAATTACCAGTCATTATTATTAGTGACCTCTATCTTTGTAGCTAATCTTCTATCTCTTAGCTGTTTTCTGTGCCAAACAGAATTTATGCCTGATCCTAGTACATCAGACTGACACAGTTTGAGATGACTGTTAATTCATTTTCCTCTTATGCTTCAAAGACATGTAGAGAAACATGAGACATGTGAAAAAGCTGGTACCATACAGTTACTATTAACTGCTATTGCTGACTTCAAATAAGGTTTCATCCCTGAAGTTGTAAAGAATTAAGGCATAGCATAGGGCATAACATAAAGAATAAAAGCATTTGATACCTTGATCTCAAGAACCTTCTCTACAAATTTAGTGACACAGACAGCTACTTACGACGTGGCTACAAGAGTTTCAGTGTCACAAAGTTCAATAAATTCAGCATAAAAAAATCTAGAACTAGACCAGGCACAGTGGCTCACACCTGTAATCCCAGCATTTTGGGAGGCCAAGGCAGCGGATCACTTGAGGTCAGGACTTCAAGACCAGCCTGGCCAACATGGTGAAACCCCATTTTTACTAAAAATAAAAATTTAGCCAGGTGTGGTGACACATGCCTGTAGTCCCAGCTACTTGGGAGGCTGAGGCAGGAGAATCACTTGAACTCCAGGAGGTGCAGGTTGCAGCAAGCCGAGATCGCGCCATTGCACTCCAGCCTGGGTGATAGAGCAAGACACCATCTCAAAAAAAAAAAAAAAAATCTAGAACTATTGTTTCATAAAAATATACATTAAATAAAATTCAAACCCAGTCTAAAACTAGTTACCTTTAAAAGCTTTGACTTTCCTCTGCAAAACCTACACGGTAACTTGCAAATATTTCATATATTGCTTATATTTTAGACACTTATGTGGATTACCACTCCATGAAGCTATATATTAAACCTACTCAATCTGAGTTTTATTATAATATTTAACAGTAAAATAGATATATAGATAGTATGGACAATAACCCAAGGCATAAGTTACACTTAAAAGAATGATACAGTGGCCAGGCATGGTGGCTCACGCTTGTAATCCCAGCACTTTGGGAGGCTGAGGTGGGCCGATCACGAGGTCAGGAGATCGAGACCACGGTGAAAACCCGTCCCTACTAAAAATACAAAAAAATTAGCTGGGCTTGGTGGCAGGCGCCTGTAGTCCCAGCTACTCGGAGAGACTAGGCAGGAGAATGGTGTGAACCCAGGAGATGGAGGTTGCAGTGAGCCGAGATTGCGCCACTGCACTCCAGCCTGGGCAACAGAGTGAGACTCTGTCTCAAAAAAAGAAAAAAGAATGATACGGTAACAAGACTATACTTTCAAAATTAATACTACTATGAAAATCAGCAGGCTGGGCGTGGTGGCTCATGCCTGTAATCCCAGCATTTTGGGAGGCTGAGGTCAGGAGTTTGAGACCAGCCTGGCCAACTTGGTAAAACCGTGTCTCTGCTAAAAATACAAAATTAGGCATGGTGGCACATGCCTGTAATCCCAGCTACTCGGGAGGCTGAGGCAGGAGAATTACTTGAATCCAGGAGGCCAAGATTGCGCCACTGCACTCCAGCCTGGGCAACAAGAGTGAAACTCCGTCTCAACAACAACATCCAAAAAAAAAAGAAAAAGAAAAAGAGAAAGAAAATCATCAACAATACAACAATTTACTTTTAATATAAATATTCTTTATCTTATTCAAAAAAAGCATTTATGGTAGCTTACATCAAATTTTATAACAATTGAAAATATCAAAATACATGTATTGTGGTTTCACATTTTACTCATATTAACATATTTATTGCATATCCCAGAAACACTTAGCTGTAGATGTTCAGCTATGCTTCCACATTTGCTCAGGTTTCTTTGGTAAGAAAGGGTAAGAGACTTTGGTTAATCCTATCAGTAGAAGATACTGATGGTTAAATCATGGTTCATCTACCTGATACACTACTCTGAAAAAAGAGCGGCCTGAAATGAAAATGACACTCATTACTTTGAGACAGACAATCTATACTAAGTACTTCTAATGTTTCCACAATATTAATCCTCTTATTTCATCAGAACTCTACTCCTAACAAAAAATTCAATACCAGCTTTAGGTAGTCACTTCCAAAATTGCCTTGGATAATCTTTCTAAAACACTTTTGATTCATTTAATTACTTCCTTTCTGAGACAGGGTATCACTGTGTCACCCAGGCTGGAGTGCAATGGGGCAATCACAGTTCACTGCAGCCTCCATCTCCTGGGTTCAGGTGATCCTCCCACCTCAGCCTCCCAGGTAATTGGGACTACAGGAACACACCACCATGCGCAGCTCATTTTTTGTATTTTTTTTTTGTAGAGATGGGGGTTTTGCCATGTTGCCCAGGCTGGTCTTGAACACCTGGGTTCAAGCAATCTTTGGAAGCCAGCCTTGGCCTCCCAAAGTGCTGAGATTACAGGCATGAGCCACAGTGCCCGGCCCACACACTGGAATCTTAAAGCAACAAGGCCTAACCTAAATTTGGGCTACATTAAGGAACTATCTGACTGAAATGAGAAGATGGATATACTCATGAGGCTGATGGGTGTAGATGCAATTTAATTCTAGAAAATATAGCCGTTAATAAACTGTGGTTACTTCTCCTCTTAAAAACAAACTGAAAAAAAATACTTAATACATTAATAAGGAAAGTAGGAATAAAAAAACACATCTCATGTTCTAGAAGAGTGATCCTAAAGAAAAATTATAAAAAACTTCAATTTATATAAACTTATACACCAACCTCTAGAACTCTTCCTTTCCTTTGCCTTGTAACAATCTAAGCAGACCACAAATCCACATTTTTGGCAGACCCAGTGAATGTTAAACAATGTTGCTTCACATGCATCACACATCTCCCGGACTCCTCTCACTGCTCTTTTCCAGGCAATTTTGGCTGAAATACAGAAAAAACAAAAATTTTAAAGGCAAACATGCTCTTTTCCAAGGCAATTTTGGCTGAAATACAGAAGAAATAAAAATGTAAAGGCAAACCAAGAACTTTCAAGGCTATATTAACTGAAGACCAATAGCTTTCTTGAAGTAATTTGTAATTCTCTTTAGAAGACCCATAAATGATCATTAAGTGAAAAATAAAAATGCCGTACATCTAAGCAGGGTTTCTCAACTCTGGTACTTTTGACATTTTAGGTTGAATAATTCTTTGTTGGGAGGGATTACTCTGTGCATTGCAGACTGTTCAGAGGCATCTGTAGCCTCTACCTATCAGATGTTGGCAACATATCCTTAACTCCCTCAGTTATGCAACCAAAGATGTCTCCAGTCATTGCTAAGTGTCCCCTGAGGGGCAAACCAGTGATTTCAAGGAAGGGAAGGAAAAGAAGCTAATATTTAGAGCATCTACTATGTTAGGAACTATTAAGTACTTAAGTAAACATAATTAACATAACTACTTTCTAAACAAATTAATGAGATAGTTATCTTTCCTATTTTCCAGACCTGCCTGATATCCAGAGAGGTTATTTGCCAAAGGTAACAGTTAGGGAGTAAAGCTGAGATTCCAATACAAATAATTGGGGTAGATTATGTCTTTATAAGCCAAATGCTGAAATTTCACAATTTCTAAAGTGGGTTTAACACATTAACTTAATGTTGTAATGGCAGAAACAGCAAAATGCTATTGTGATTTCACAAATGGTTAATTGACTCAATTCACCCTCTATAGGAAAGTATCTGTAACCTTAAATACATACTGTAAAAAGGTATCATTATCATAATTAAAAATCAAGGTTAGATAAGATTAGGGACTTCTTTCACAAACATAATTCAAAGAGAAATTCTTAAAATGAAATTTGTGCAGTTCATGTTATATTTAACTTCCTTACCATCCTTTTTCACCCAGGACAAAGCTGTTTTTTCAGATGTTACTAATTGACAGAACTTATCACCTATTATATCCAAGATATATTTAGAAGTCTCTATATCTAGTTCATCATCTTCAAAATTTTCATGTGTCCACAAACTCATAGCTTCATCATCATATTGGTCAGGAGAAGAGAAACCATCTATTCTAACTACTCCGTTTTTACTAAATGACAACCTGAAATATTAAAACATAAAAGTATTAGGTACCCACATATTAAAACATAAGTCCAGTCTTTAAAATTGTAAATTTATAATTATGTTTACATTGCATTATAAAATATGAATTACATTAAAAACAGGAAAACAGGTTAATTCTTCACACACTAATTATTGAATTAATTTAAATAACTCAGGTGTTATGCAAATGGCAATAAGTAGTAGTAATTTTAGGTTATTTCAAGAAATAAGATCACTTATACTTACTTAACTCCAATAAAATGAAAACTGTTTAAGTGTTTGATGAATGACAAGAGTAAAAATGTGGGCCCAATGTTGCCCAGAGCAATGCTGTTATTTTATACATAATCTAAATCGGAATCACCAAAGCTGAAATGGCCTTAAGACTTTCACCAGGAGGACTTTAAAAATGCCAACTATACATATATTTTCATTAATTAGACTGACACATTGCTGAAGTGATTTAAGAGAACAAGGATGAAAATTCTTAATAGTTTTATAGGAACCCCATTAATGTGCTTACTTGCTCTTAGCTTCTGATATCCAAATAACTACTCTATTCAGAGAAGTTTATGGTAAACGGAAGGCAAAATTGCCATTCTCTTACTGGCTGGTGGTTATTCCTCAATTATATTGTACTTCACTCTCTTTACTCTCAAATAGCTGATGTCTAAGATACAAGTCATACTGTATTTTTCATATGAACAGCAACATTTCTTTTATCCCTACTTTTCATACCTTTATTATTCTTTCCAAAGCTTCCTTCTTTTTAAACCAAATTTCTCCTTTTTGTCATAACCCAGCATCTTATTTTGGTTTTATGTTATAATCTTTGCCTGAACATTTCTTTCCTTCAGACTTTTCCTAGATTTTCTTATGCCTCAAACCTACTTTCCTTTTGATTCCTTTTTTCATCTCTTCTGCACTTCCATGGGTACTACCTCTTATAATTATTCCCTGAAATTGTCTTGTCTTTTAGGGATTGTTGGCTACAAAGTGAGGAAGAAAGAGAACCTGGTTCATTCTTATCAACACGTATTTTTGGAGGTCTATACTGGGCTACCAGCATAGAGTATTCAGCAGAGTAAAGTGTCTCAATTTCTTAGGAAGATAATTACAGCTAACAATAGAGCATTTCATATGCGCATGGGACTACACTTAAGGACTTGGCATACTTATCTCATTTAACCTTCATTAAACCTCTCTTAGGTAGGTACTAACATTTACATTTTGCAGCTGAGACAGGCTTAGTTGTCCTACCACAGTTAATAAACTCACACAGGAACTAAGAGACAGAGATGGAATTCACAACTAGAAATGACTGATTCTGGAGTGTGACATGTTAATTAGTCTTTACTGTCTGGGTTATCCAGCTATTCTTTAGTTGAACTCTTGCAAGTCTACCTTTAAGTTTTTAATTTTAAAATATTATTTGGTAATATTCATATTAAGTTAGTATATAGGTTAACAACTGTTAAGAAAAAAATCATTTTCTCATTAAGAATAAATCTCTCAGAACAGAAAGGTCATATGGAACATGAGTAATAATGTATGTATTTAGTCTTATAGTTAGAAATTGTTAAAATTTAGCACGAAAACATTTAATAACTCTTTTATAATGTTTCCAAAACATGGAGACTCAAAGACTTACTCCCCCATCCAAAAGGGACACTCAGAATAACACTATATAATTTCCAATATCAAATCAATAAATTACTTTTTTCCCAATCTCATATTTTCACTTACCGTCTAAAGTAGTAAAATCTACAAAATACTGGTGAGTGAGCTGGTTCTTCTCCTTTTTTACTGCGAATAAGTCTACATTCTCGACACTTTTGTAAATTAGGCCCTATCTCACAGCAGGAGTCATCCTGTAAAAAGGATTCCCCAGTTTGCTTCAGCTTCTTGACTTTACGCCAATCTTTCAATACTGAACGAGGAATGCCAGCTGTAAAATCAGTAGGAAAGTTTTAGCAAGATTATGCTTTGTAAAAAGTTAAACTCCTTGAGATGAAATTCAAGTCAGTTATACAATTGTGATGATACGGTAAGACTTTAGTAAAGAAGCAAAGACATTAAGAGCTCTAGGTACTGATTAATGACTAAAAAGTGCAGCAGCGTTTCTATTTACTTACTAACCAATTCTATTAACCAAATGAACCACTCTTATGTCAGTGTACTGAAAATGCAGAACTAAATTTTCCAGCTGACTGAACTCTTTAAATATCATTCATGTATGTATAATAGCAAACATAAGAATCATTCATATTCTGTGTATATCAATAACTGAAAATACAGTCCTTCTATACCAAAAGTTGGTTTACATAGGAGAAAGCTCTTTCAAGATCCACAGCAAGAACGTAAAGATTAAAGGTTTATATAGTTAGAAACTACAGGTTAGTTTCAACGTATTTCTATTGAAATACATAATCTGATTTTCCAAGGTAAGTGTGGCTCATTAAGACAAGTGGTAATTTTATAAAACCTGTATTTGGGAGAAGAGGTGCTTAGCTATTTCTCCTAACATCTTTCCTTTATTATAATACCCTGCATTTGATATCAACATACTGATGGTGGCAGTATCTTTTAGAAAAATAAAAGGGTTTGAAGAAAGTAAAAGGAAAAAAAAATTAACTTGGCTATCTTTATTGATGAATTAAAATAGCCATCAAAAAAGTAAAAAGGACAAAACTCTAATGCATTATACAGTCTAATATGTGAAAAAAAAATCAACTTATTTACATACTCTACATCATTGCTCCATCACATTTACTGACTTATGTTTAATAAGTACAAGAACATTGGCTCAAGAAATCCGTCATCTAGAGAGTAAGAAGAATTTCTGGACCGAGAGGAACTCCAAAAATTAAATGTTGTCTATTAAAATTTTTAAAAACATATTTATTTAAAAGTAAGCTGGCCGGGCACGGTGGCTCATGCCTGTAATCCCAGTACTTTGGGAGGCTGAGGCGGGCGGATCACCTGAGGTCGGGAGTTCGAGACCAGCCTGACCAACATGGTGAAATCCCGTCTCTACTAAAATACAAAAAATTAGCCTGGCATGGTGGCGCATACCTGTAGTCCCAGCTACTCGGGAGGCTGAGGCAGGAGAATCACTTGAACCTGGGAAGCAGATGTTGCAGTGAGCCAACATTGCGCCACTGCACTCCAGCCTGGTGACAGAGCAAGACTCCGTCCAAAAAAAAAACAAAAGAGGAAAGAAAAAAAAAAGCAAGCTATGTTGGGGTCCAGGTGCAGTGGCTCATGCCTATCCCAGAACTTTAGGAGGCTGAGGTGGGTGGATCACTTGAGGCCAGGAGTTCAAGACCAGTCTGGCCAATAGGTGAAACCCTGTCTCTACCAAAAATACAAAAATTAGCCAGGCGCGGTAGCACGCACCTGTAATTCCAGCTACTCGGGAGGCTGAGGCACAAGAACTGCTTGATCCCAGGGGGCGGAAGTTGCAGTGGGGTGAGATCGTGCCACTGGATTCCAGCCTGGGTGACGGAGTAAGACTCTGTCTAAAAATATATATAAATAAAAGCAAGCTATGTTAGGATCAGCAATTAGTTGTTGGCTCTAACTTGTAAGTGTCTTATTGCACCCATATTAATGTATCTATATGTCAGATATTAGATTTACATAGTTTGCTATTTCTGTCATGCTGAAAGAATAAAACTGTATTTCCTACCCTTGTGTTTTCTAATCATGCCCAATGTGTGGATCAGAGGTACAGCTATTCTCCTGAGACTACGTACTTCTTGCAGAAACTTACAAAGCACTGTGTTTAAATAAACCATATAGAGTGACCCATTTGAAATCAGGTCCAATTATTAAGCACTTCTGAATTGCTGCCTCGTTCTTTACAATTACATGCTTTCCCCTCTCTGTCTCTAACTTAGGGTAAGGAGCCATTTGGCTTAATCCACTAGAGAAACACCCATGTGTATAACCACACACCACATCTCCCGGTTATGGTATAAACCCATTTCCAGAAGACTTATGTAAAATGTTTATTTCCTCCATTGTGCAAAAGAGATTTTTCCTATGAACTGTGTAAAATATTCAGAGCTTTTACAAGTTGGAATGAATGATAGAATTGTTATACTGCTGATAAATTTTTATTTGGAACACTTGCTTCTAATCATCTATTTACTTTTCAATTTATTACACTAGAATAAACTAAATACAGTCTATTTCTTTTTATTATATGCCTTTAATTCCAGATAATGGAACAGTTCAGAGTATGGATCACCATACCACTGTGAACAACTCAGATAGTACTATAGTAAAGAATCAGACATTTCAAAGCAAATCTCAATTATGTGACACAAAATAGGCATTTAGAGCTTTTTTTCAATAAAAGAATAAATGAGTACAAAGACATTAAGGCCCAATTCATACGTAGAGCTTTTGATATTATAATTTTTGCTTCTAGACAAGGCCACACATGACTGCAACTAACTCCTTTTATGAATTTAACTGTCATAGTATTTGTACAATAAATAAAACTTCATCCTTCAATTCCATATATATATAATTTACTGGCAATATATAAAACCTAGAAGTTTGAGATTAAGACACTTAGTCAACAAAAAAATACCTAACTCAATGGATACTTCTTCATTTATAGTAAGAACCTTAGTTCTCTAGTAGCAAATCCACAAATAGCTGCTCTAACAGAAAACTGGGGAGGAAGAAAGTAAGAGACAAATACTTGCCAAACATTAATCTCTGATATGCCACCCCCTTAAAAAATATTTTTTTGGAGATAGAGAAATTAACTGTGATCATAAACCACTGGTTTTGTATTGTAGAATTTATATATTTGAATATAGTGGCAATTTCAGATCATAAAATTAAATGTAAAAATTAGATAAAATGTAAGATAGAAGTAAATAAAACATAAAAATTAGTGGAGAAAAAGCGGCTGACTTTTAATTAAGAGAAACAAAAAGGTAGCAGAGAGGAAGACATTCCAAAAGAGTAGATAAGACAAAATCTATTATATCTAGCTTTAATGTACTAAGAAACACACTATTATGTGTATGTGTATATAAAATATATAATTATACATGTATAACGGTGTATGTAATCATATTACATAGTTTAGGTGTAAGCCTAACTCATTCTTTTTGATTGACCATGACTGATGACAATTCTACTAAACAATAGAAAGAAAATAGACATTATTTAATCCATGAAGTAGATAATCCATTAATATTTAGAAGTTCCCTGACTTATGAAAACTCCCAACTTAAAGAACTTTTCTGTGCTCAGGAGACTGAGGCAGGAGGATTGCCTGAGCCCAGGAGTTGGAGGCTGCTGTGCACTATGGTTACACCTGTGAATATCCACTGCACTCCAGTCTGGGCAATGTAGGGAGACTGTCTCTAAAAAATATTTAAGAAAAAAAAAACTTTTCTAGGTAGCCTAGAACAAAAGCAAGTCAACTCTGTCCACAATTAATAGATGACATCTAATATTGACTTAATATTACTTTGGACTTGGTGAACAAATGGGTCATAAAACAGCCTCTCTAAAGCTACATGCTAGTTACCAAGCAGGGGAGATTTGACTAAACATTACAACCTGGGGGAAAAAAAGGCACTCATTCTGGCCCTTTTCTTAGAACTCTTACATGTGAATATGTATATTCGTCTCAAGATGAAAAGAGAATACGTATTTCACTAACACTTAATTTCATAAATTTAACTTCACAAGAGTTTTCTAGGCATTAAAACCTGGAAGGTACCTATCTTTTGTTTTTGTTTTTTAAGTTTTACTCAAGTATCTGAACACCCAACACCAAAGGAAATGTCATATAAGACAGAAGAGAAACAATTAAATTGCTCACACTAAGCCTATTATGAATTCATGGGGGTAGTGAGGGAGAGTAAGGGGAACACATAAGAAAAAGCAACACTGTATATAATCCAATATTCAAGTAAATGGCAGGTATCCTTCGATGTTAATCCCCCTCTCTGTCTTCTGACTATGCTTGCATTTCAGTCTGTCAGTCTCTGGCTCTAGTTGAGTTTGTCCTTTGTTCTTTCACTTTCTGACTGTCCTTTTCTATGATTCCATCCTCCTGTTTTCCTCTCCTTCACTTTGCCTCTGGTTTCCACACAGGCATGTGGGAAAACCTCATTCAGTTAAAAGGCACAAATGGGAGCCTTCAAGCATCCAAGTGCTTGTGAAAGTACTTTGAGTGTCCACATTGTCACAGATATTTCATATATTGTATGTGGATGAACACACGGACATAGTGAAACTAAGTGCTTTCTGCATTGTGCAACATACCTAAAAAGAAATAAGCAAACTGAGAAAAACTACTACTAGAGTAAAATGATATAGAAACACTTTATAGTGAATATTACTGTTAAGTATCTCTTATTTTGTCCAGCTGTTGCCACAAAGGATATATAATCAGTTGTGAAGCTATTAATATGGCAATTCTTTAACATCGAAATGAATACACAAAACCACAAGCCTCCCCTTATGTTAATTTTTACCTATTGTTAAGGACTGTTTGAATGAGCAGCATTAAATAGATAGTAATTTCCATAAGCTTCCAATTTTGTCACCAGATGATATAAGAGTGAAATACAGTCCACATTCATATTACTCTGAAGTAAAATTGGCCCTCCATAACCGTGGGTTCCAAACCCATGGGTTCAACCTACCATGGATCAAAAATACTTGGGGGAAAAAATATTCTACAAAGTTCCAAAAAAACAAAACTTTAATTTGCCATGTGCAGAGTACTATGTTCAATCCTGCATAAATGAAGTGATGTGTAAGCGTTGTGTTGGGCATTATAAGGAATCTAGAAATGATTTAAAGTATATGGGAGGATGTGTGTAGGTTACATGCAAATATAGTCATACACTATTAGGCAATTTCCTCACTGTAGGAACTTCATAGCATGTACTTACACAAACCTAGCTTACAAACCCGTACAGTATTTACTGTACTTTATACTGTAGATAATTGTAACACAAAGTATTTACGTATCTGAACAAAGAAAGAGGTATAGTAAAAACACAGTCTTACGATCTTATATGAGACCACTGTCATATATACATTCCATCATTTTTTGTTTATTTTTTGAGACATGGTCTTGCTCTGTTGCCCAGGCTGGAGTGCGGTGGTGCAATCATGGCTCACTGCAGCTTCAACCACGCCAGCTCAAGTGATCCTCCTGCCTCAGCTTCCCAAAGTGCTGGGATTACAGGAGTGAGCCACTGTGCCCAGCTGTGCATTCTGTCACTGACTGAAAAGTTGTTATGCAGCACATGACTGTACTATGCTATTTTATATAAGGGATGTGCACATCTGTGAATTTTGGTATCCGTGGGGGCGTCCTGGAACCAATCCCCCACAGGTATACCCAGGGACAACTGTAACTATCTTCTAGAAATTTGCCTCAAAATATGTGTATGTGAGCAGAATTTCTTTCCTGACTACATCTTGTTAGAGGTAAATATCTTAGCTGATATTACAAATCCACTTTTGGTGTGACAGCCATAACTGCATTTTGACAATTCTTAGAAATGGCCAAAATTACGAGTAACTACTAAATTCCACGTTAAATTACGCAAATTACCTACAATGACTGTCAGGTAAGATATATATTTCTACAAGTCTTTTAAAAATAGAGGAATAAGTGTTCTCTCATTTCCTCTTAAAGGGTACTTACTTGTGAAATGTAGAAATGAGATCAATGAGCATATACATAAAGCTAAGGCACGCAAATGAAGACAAAGGATGCCTTTAAGCTCACTGATCTTTAAAGCAGCACACTAGTATAGCTAAAACATTCAGCCCATTTTACCTGAGATAAAACAAAGTAACTGACTTACTATTACTGTTGCTTTGCAACTTCAGTTTACTTCTTTCTTTGGCACTCCTGCTGAGAACTCCATTGGGTTTCAAATCTTCTTCTATTTCACCTTTTCTCTTTTGCAAATCATTTTGCTTCTTTTTGTAAGTTGGCTTAGGTTGTCTTTTAGTCCTTTGCTCTGACTTGCTTTCACTTTCATCTGAGTCTCCACTTTCAGAGCCAGATTCATAAGTTCTTTTGGCTTTTCTCCTGTTGACTTTATCATCTTTTACATATTTATCAACTATGATCTTACTATCTACACTATTTTGTATATCACTAGATGTAGAGGCTATTAAGTTGACAGAACATGGCTTAATAATTTCTGATACAGAATTCCCTGAATTTTCCATTTTATTAGTATTTTTATCTTCTTCTGAGTGTCTGGTGAGCCAGGCCTTTTTCAGTTTAGTATGGTAGTTTGGTTGACTTGTCTGGGAAGCTTGCCCATTTCCTACAGAGTTTGCTTTGTTAATTGTACTACAGATTACAGTGCTATCCAGAGGAAGGGAGGCTGAAAGTGTCTGATTTTTTATAGCATTAGGTTCAGTCTCACTGGCATTACTACTTTTATACTGAGCTGCAGCCAATGCTGCCTTGTGCTTTTTTAAATGGATAAAATCAGTTGTGCCTGAGAACCCAGAACTGGGTTGAACAACACTTCCTGTCTTACTACTGGCTAATGTAACTGGTGCTGTGGTGCTGACCTTGCATTCTTGTTTTTGAGCCACTGGCTGACTGACACTTTTTGAAGATACACATTCTGATGATGTAGAGGCCAAAATGGTATTTGATAAAGAGGAAATTACTTCTGAACCACCCCAGCTGGAAACACTGGTAGTATCGGCAGCAGATGTGATTACATCCGTTTTGGTATTACACATCGTATTTACAGCAGACATGACTGAACTGGGAACACTGCCCTGTGAGACAGCCTGAAAGTTTTTTTCAGATTTTGTGTGAACACTGTCTGAATTCACATTTGGCAAAATGATTCTTCCAGTTTCTCCGGCTTCTGCTAGTTTGAGGCAATCTGTTTTATGTGCCCCAGCTGAAGATCTTTCACTAACACGATCTTTAGAAGCTAACTGCATTGCTGGCATACTATCAGTTTTTGTACTAGAAGATGGACGCACAATGACAGATGCCATAGCAGCCTGTAACTTTCCGCTGCTTTTCTCCACATGCCATTCAGTTTTCTCTTTGCTGAGGTTATTATTAGGTCTCCACATCTCCGTCAAACTCTGTTCTGAAGAACTCTTAAAATTTGCCTGGGAGTCTTTTGGTTCGGGTATTAGAGTTGGAGGCTTCTGTGATTCTTGAACTTTACCACCAGCATTTACTGGCATCACCGGAGTTAAAGTTGGAGGGGAAAGACTACTATAGCTGCCTTCCTTTCTTTCCAGGCTGTGATGGATTGGTGGGTGAAATACTGGTGCTCTATGTAATGCAGGCATACTGCGGAGTGTATTTGTAGAAGAAACTGTCAAATGGGTAGGACTCCTACAATCATTTCTGAAGGTTGTTACTGAGTGAGATGCAATCTGATGTGGAAGATGTTCTGGTATCTTGCCTACTAAACCTTCACTTTCTGGTTGGTGTTTAATCAAAGGTGGAGGCTTTGAAAGAGATGTTATAAATGAAGTCAGAGTTTGAGGATTAGCTGCTGCCGCTGCAAGGGCATTACTCTGTTTATCACCGTAAATATTTGAAACTTCTTTGGATGGGTATGATCTTGGTGGTTCATTGACCACACTATTAGACAATGTAGTGAAATAGTTACTTTGGGGTAAACTCTGAGGCACTGAGTGCTTCATTTTATAAAGATCTGATACTGAGCGTTCTACATCCATATCTTGTTTGATGATATGGCTTTTAGGACTGGAAGATGATGATGCCACTCTGGAATAATTCTCTCTCTCACCCTCAAGTCCCTTGATTTTAGTTGTAAAGGGAGCAACATCAATACTTTCTTGAAGAATTCGACGGTGTTCCTCTTTGTATTTGTTTAACCTCTCTCCAGTCTCCTGGGGTGGCCTCTGTAACTGATTTAATACTGGATCCACAAAATGCCTATGTAAGTGACAATCTTTTCCAGTCTGTGACCTATTTAGATCCAGGTCATTTTTGGCTGATGTGGATGCAACAGACCGTAATGGTTCCATAAAAGCTTTTCTTTCTAATTCTCTGTAAAGAAAATACACAAATATTTCTGTAACCACTTTTTCCTGCAAAATACAAAGACAGCTTCTATGCAATATCATTCTATTATGAAAGTAAAAGACATCTTTGCATGTACTCTAATACTATAATAAATTTGAAGAAATATCAAAACAGAACAAAGCCTAATCTTAAGATATGTGTTAACTTAAAATTAACTATTTAAAAGGCAAATTAAGAAAAATTATGAACAAGGTATTTATAATTTTTAAGCACTGGTGAACTTACTCCTTATGATGATCTACTAAAGTTTTTGTCAATGGTGGACTGGAATGGGCTGTAATTTTAAGAGGCCGATGAGGCTCTGCACTGGAAGGTCTGACAGGAATGTGACTAAGTAATCCAATACCATCTGCTGAGGTCACAGGGGTGGGCTGATGTAGCCAAGGACTGGGAGAATTCTATTAACAAAACAAAACAAAAAAAACACCTAGATTTCAGTTACTAGAAAAAGCTAAACACCGTGTCACAGTAGAACTGGGTATGATCTTGGTGGTTTATTAGTTCATTCAAATAGCAGTTTCTTTGGGAAACTTGTAACTTTTTCTAAATACATCTTATGAGAAATATTCAGACAAATAATAACATAATTAAACAGATTTTTCCATATCATAATCAGTATTAAATAATTTATTGTCATCTTACTAAAAACAGATCTTGAAATCAGTGCCTTAAATTTACTATAAATGCCATATACAGAACCTAGTTTATATGATTTCCTGATTCTAACAGCAAAAGTATATTGCTAACAGTAAAAACAGAATATTATTCCTAAAACACATTTCATCAGAAATAGAAATTATAACCAAATTCATTTGTCAATTTTTGTCATCAAAAAATTTAACTTTTCCAATGTAACAATTTACTGACAATTGGCAGATAATTACATTTCAAAACCCAAATGCACTCCCCATTTCACTCTAAGCTATAAACAAGGTTGCACCATTAAGCTTGGAGGTGTAGAAGTCTAATAAAGTTAATTTTATACATCAATATGCTGCCTGTCTCATGACTGAATATAAGGTGACAGCAACCTCTTCATCGAGACATACAGCTATCTGACTACATGCTTAAGGATTTTTCTATATTCTGACTCACTGACATCCTTCCAGAACATGTTTTATGAATTTGTTAATAGGATGATAGTCAAATAGCAGGAAAATACAACCTCCTTTGTATTTTCTCTAACAAAGGGAATACGTTTTACTTCTCAAAATAATGCAAAAGCAGTATGTCACACCAAAAATATACTGCTATGAAATTAAAAACATACACTATAGCCATAAACCCCACATAAGAGAAAAATACATAAATATACACATAAGGATCAAATATGTGTCTCAAACGGCCTCAGTTCTATAAGATCCAGAAATCTTAAACAGCAATCAATTATGGCAATGACAACAAAGTTTTGCTCTATAAAATGCCATTCAAAATTATTTCTCAATAATAGTGTCTTATGCTTGTATTGTTTCTTCACTTTTGGTCAATAGTAGGGGGTAAGATATTTTTATTTTTCCTCAAAATGTTATTCAAATTTACTCCTTTATGTTGTAATTTTATATAACAAATAAAAATCTGATACACTTGTTTTTAGTTTAACACATTTATGACCAGTTAATAAAATATTTTATGTACTTATAAACACAGAGGCTAGACAGTCATGGTCTAAGTCCATATACATGTGACACATACTGAGTATTGCTCCCTTCCAAGCCATTTTTAAGTTACTTAAATCTGTTTTCAAGAGTTTGGATGTTAAGGAAAAAGACACAAATCTGTTAGCCAGCTCTTGGCTCTCCTGTGTTCCTCTAGCTAGCTTATCTTTGTGCAGCTGCAGCTACATTAATGACGTGAGAGTGAAGGGTCAGAATAAACATGTGAGTGCAACAATAAAAATAGAAACCTTGAATTAATAATCTGAGTACAGTAGGGCACTTGGGTCACCAGGCCTGCTTTCTATTCTGGTAAAGAGGATAATATAGTGATTAGTGATTCTTCACTGAGTTTGACTATGTAACACACAGGTTCCAGTATGACTCCCATCTACGACAAAAGCAACGGCACCCTCCAAAATGGTAATGGAAAGCTTGTGATCAATGGCAGCATAATTCTGGAACTGAGATCTTGTCAACCTCAAATGTGGTGATGCTGGTGCAGAATCAACTGTGGGCATCACTGGTGAGACTTCATTAAAGGCCAAAGGTCATATGAAAGTAGAGCCAAAAGGAGTCCATGTTTGCAACAGGAATAAACCACAGGAAACATCTTTCAAAACTGGTAGACCTTATGCAAGATGCATCATCAACCACTTGGTGCCTCTTATCATCAAAGTTCACCCATCACATGGTTGGGCATGGTGGCTCATGCCTGTAATCCCAGCACTTTGAGAGGCCGAGACAGGCGGATCACTTGAGGTCAGGAGTTCGAGACCAGCCTGGCCAGCATAGTGAAACCTCGTTTCTACTAAAAATACAAAAAATTAGCCAGGTGTGGTGTTGCACACCTGTAGTCCTAGCTACTTGGGAGGCTGAGGCAGGACAATCACTTGAACCCGGGAGGCAGAGGTTGCAGTGAGCCAAGACTGTATCACTGTACTGTAGCCTGGCAACAGAGGGAGACTCCATCTCAAAAAAAAAAAAAAAAAAGTTTATCTATCACAACTTGGGAATGATAAAAAGACTCATGGCCACAGTCTACCCAAAACATAATGACTCCTCTCACAAACTTTTGGCATGATGAACAGCATGCTTTTATCTACTGGCATCACTAATGTTATATGTAAAAAATATTATCCCTGAGTAAAACAGAAAGTCACTAAAATTGTCTTCTAAATCACCACCCCCAACTGTGATCTCACTTAACTTCAGAAAGCTGTCAAAAAAGATGACATTAAGATGTTAAAAACACCCATGTGAGGCAGAGGTTGCAGTGAGCCGAGATCACGCCACTGTACTCTAGCTTGGGTGACAGAGCAAGACTCTGTCTCAAAAAAAAAAAAAAAAAAAAAAAACCCCACAAAAAAACAAAAAAACCACCCATGTTCACTGTAGCATTATTCACCACAGCCAAGAGGTGAAAGCAACCCAAATGTCCACTGACAGATGAATGGAGAAAGAAAATAGGGCACATACATACAGTGGAATATTATACAGCCTTAAATAAGAAGAAGATCATGTCACATGTTGCAACATGGATGAACCTCAAGAATATTGTAGTAAGCTAAATAAGCCAGTAACAAAAGGATAAATATTCTATCATTCTACTCATAGAAAGTATCTAAAGTCATGAAAACCATAGAAACAGAAGAAAGGTGGTTGCCAAGGGCTGGCAGGGAAGGGGAGTTAGTGTTTAATGGCTATAGTTTCAGTTTTACAAGATGAAAAAGTTCTAGAGACCTGCTGCACAACAATGTGAACACACTTAACACTACTGAACTGTACACTTAAAAATATTTAAGATGGCACATTTAATATTATGTATGTATGTGTTTTTTAACCACAAAAACAAGGTGTTAAAAAGAGATTCTAGGGGATACTTGATGAGCATCCTAGGATGTACGAAGGACAAGGTTGTCTCCTCGGAGTTTAAAAGTGATATCAATTTTTCCATTTTTTATACCGGGGCTAGTATTGCTCTCAATAACCATTTTTTAGTGTAAAAATGAATTTGCTATAGAAACTACATGGCTCATGAATGAACAAGAGCCTTATACCGCTACCTTTAGCAATACTGTGTTAGGCAGACAAAATCTCAGCTGCAGCTTTACCCTCAAATACTGGGAATCTGTAACCTTGAGCACCCTTAAGGGAACAAGGGGGTTAAATAGTCAAACACTGTACTATACCATTAATATACAAACATACATCTGGAGAATATAACAATTTGTTTTTAAGAACAATTTGATAATATATATCAAAAGCCTTACAATTTTATAAAAATTTTAGAAATTTCACTTCTGGGAATTTGGCTGAGCAAAATAATTATGTATAATTTGTATTATATATATTATAATTATTGCATAATTATAATTATGTATAATTTTGTGTAATAATTTTTATACCAAAAATTAGCCGGGCGCGGTGGCTCACACCTGTAATCCCAGCACTTTGGGAGGCCGAGACAGACGGATCACAAGGTCAGGAGTTCAAGACCAGCCTGACCAACATGGTAAAACTCCGTCTCTACTAAAAATACAAAAATCTGCCAGGCATGGTGGCAGGCACCTGTAATCCCAGCTACTCAGGAGGCTGAGGCAGAAGAATTGCTTGAACCTGGGAGGCAGAGGTTGCAGTGACCCAAGATCATGTCACTGCATCTAGCCTAAGCAACAGAATGAGACTCCATCTCAAAAAAAAAAAAAAAGAAAAAGAAAATATACCAAAAATTTAAATCTATAATAAATAAATATTACAATCTAAAAAGTTTTACTTCTTTAAATTAATTCTTTTTATAAGTAGGCTTTTCTGACGTTTCAGCTCCCACTCTTGAGGTTACTAAGTGTATGGAAAAACAACCGAAAAATTCTAACATATTTTATAATAGGAAATGACCTAAAAAATAGATGGAATATTGAAAAAGCACCTGTACATGTTCATTAATATATACTGCTATGTGGCAAACTACAGTGTAACTTACCCTCCTTAATGAAGCTTCAGCATTAACTGCATTTTCTGGGTGAACCCACTTAGAAGAAGGCAAACCAAGTCCTGAGTATGCATGTGTTCCATTTGGATACTGCCAAATAATTGGATAAAGTCCAAGCTGATTATATGAAGCAGAAGGATGGGCTTGTCCAAGAAGATGAGGTGACTGGTGCTGTAACAACTGTTGTTGTTGCTGGTGTGCTAGCGCTAAGTGGCTCAAGCTGCTGGCATGAGCACTCTCTAGTCGTGGGTGGCCACCAAGTAAGGAGGCAGTAGGCACTCCAGGTAACACAGTGGGAAGTAAATGAGGGTGATGAACAGCATGGTGTGGACCACTAGTCAGAGGATGAGTGTTAATGGTAGGTAATGGAGTTTGACTAGATGATCCGGCTAGTAAATGGGGTGCAGGAGTTAAGGCAGGATGATGGGTACCTGGATTTAAACAGGTTCTATGAGATGAGGAGTGAAGAGGAAAAGGATGCTGGCTTAGGAAAGGTGAAATATGATTAGCTCCTGTTTCTGACCCAATAAGTGCAGGATCTCTGTAAACTGTAAAATGCTCATTTTTATCAATGATAAGAGGACTCTTTGTAGTTTCTAATGTACTGCTTCGAGTAGGAATTGGATGAAAACTGCATCTTGATAGCTCATGTTCTATCTTATTTGCCAATCTTCTTTCACCAGTAGCTTGGCTGTTCACATAAGTGGCCTTAGACTTTACAGAATCAGGAGAATGAGTTATTTTGGGTTTAACAACTTCAGGTGATGGGCTGGATTTTATCTTGTGAGTATCTACTGAAGTATTAAGTTTAGATTTTATAGTCTCTGGAGGTGGACTTCGCTTATGCAGCTTATCTTCCATGACAGAAACTGCACTTAAAGGAGAAATGTAAGAGACATACTTCTCTTTTTCCATGTTCAAGTGATCATTTCCTGAAGAAGCATTTGTAACACTTGATTGGGTTAGATCCACTTTAACTACATCACTGACCCAGCTCTGGTCAGAATCTTTTTTTGCTGTTTCCAAGAATTTTGCATTTGCAATAGAGTGTTTTGAATCACTAACATTAGGATCCATTTTCTGAAGTGTCTGAAGGCCAAAGGTACTTGAGTTTTCCTGAGCCACCTTTTCTAAATTAGTGTCATTTGTAATATCAATAACACATTTTGGTGTGGGTGGTCTGGATACAAACTTCTCCTTTGGTAGCAATTCCATGGTATGTGTTTTATCCATATTGCATTCCTGAGGAAGTAAATCATTAGAATTATGATCAGAAACTGTGGACTGTTCTGACGAATGAATAATCATATCTTCTTGAAGCTGAGTGTCAACAGACTTCCGCTTCTCTGCTTCTTCATGTTTTTTATCTTCCTGTATTTGATCCCAGGGAGGCTGGCTATTTTTTAGGGTCTCTTCTCCTGCCTTCTCATTATTATGGGGTTTTCCTTCTTCTCCATTTATTTTTGAAGTATTTTTATTTTTCAATTCATTCTCTGGCTTCTGTTCTGAGGAATTATCTATTATTCTCTTATTTGAATTTTCTGAGTCACTGCTCTCAGAAAAGTCTGAAACATTGTCAGTTCGAAGTCTTTTCATATTTAGTTTCTTTTCATCCTCCTCAGGTTTCCTTCTTTTATTCATCAAGTGTTTGTTTTTACCTTTAGGATTTTCTGTAGGATTAAAGAAAGAAGAGTCTTATTTTTCATACTAAATAAGCATATTTTAAAATGTATTTTTGTTTTATTTGTTTTCATTCCCTTAAAAAAAAAAGTGGGTCCTACCTCCTCGTGATATATAATCATATTTTTCCTCCTTCATCTTCTCTTCATCTGGTATACTGCTATCTGAGCCCTTCCTCTTATTTGGACGGATACTTCTTTGTTGCTGTTGCTGGTGTGTATTCTGTTTTGGTACAGCAGCTTGGGAGTTCATTGCTGGTCTGGGACTATTTGCTTGGGCACGTGTATAATGGCTCTAAAAATAACCAATTAACAGTAATTGTTTACTACCTGGTTTCTACTAGCCTAAGGAAAAATATTTTACAGAAATTCATCCCTAATAACATACATACGTGAACAGCGTTGACGTTTTGATTGGCACGAGACCTGCGTCGTGATGTAATGCCAATATTTTCACCTTTTAACAAAGAGTGAACAACATCATCTAGAAAGGTCATTTGAACCATAGAAGGATCGACATTCTGTGGTTCTAGTACCTAATCCATGATACAAAACAAAAACAAAAATTAAATAGAATGAGCTAATCAAATATTTGGTATAATTTCTTTACTCAGTAGAAATGTTTAGAAATCAGCTTGGGATCCCTAATTTATAAGATGCTGTTATAATAATTTGTTTTATTCACTTAAGACAAAATTACCTTTTTAACCTTCTGAAACTCACCATTTCAACTGCTAACCAAGAATTAAAAAGCAAATATATTTACTGCAAGTACATCTTGAAAAACAAGGGTATTAATCAAGAATACAGATGCCAACAATTCTTAAATTACTTTTTATTTTTAAATAGAAAGTAATTTTCAAAAAGCAGTTGTAAAATAAAACTCAGAGGTAGACTTTAGGGAGTAGAAAAAGACAAAAATTGTGCAAATGAATAATTTTAAAAATGTGGTTAAAACTATTTTAACAATTCAAGGCAGTTTTGTGCTTTTCTGAGAGGTAAAAGTTTGTCACTGTTTTAGGGAAAAAATCAAATGCAATGAAACAGTAACACTTACTTAGCATTTTAACTACATTTTAACCAAAGTATTTGAATTGTGTATAAAGGCGCTCTATCAGATAATCTCCACAATACAATCAGGCAGGAAGGTATAAATATCTATTTTTTCTACATAAACAACAGCTTTAAAAATGAGTATTTTTTGTATTAAGTTAAAAAAAAAATTTGAAATCTCAAGACTTTCAGACTGGTACTTAAAACTCCATAGGAGCCGGGCGCGGTGGCTCACGTCTGTAATCCCAGCACTTTGGGAGGCTGAGGTGGGCAGATCACGAGGTCAGGAAATCGAGACCATCCTGGCTAACATGGCGAAACCCCGTATCTACTAAAAATACAAAAAAATAGCCGGGCGTGGTGGCGGGCGCCTGTAGTCACAGCTACTCGGGAGGCTGAGGCAGGAGAATGGTGTGAACCCAGGTGGTGGAGCTTACAGTGAGCCGAGATCATGCCACTGCACTCCAGCCTGGGCGACAGAGCGAGACTCCAGCTCAAAAAACAAAAAACAAAAAACAAACAAAAACTCCATAGGAAACTTGTAATCCTTAAGATTCACCATAAAACTTAATTGAGCATACCAACACTGACATTTGATGTGAGAAGAAATGTACTGTGTGTTTAAGTTTTCACTGATGAAAAGAAATGATTTCGGAAATATTTTTATTACTGGAGGGACAGAAAAACTGAAACTCTGAGAAAGAAAATTTTAGCTCATCTAAGGATTTAAAAAAGACTAATCAATTAAAAGAGTTTAATGCCTCTATTTTAGGAACTGATTTTATCAGTGTTGAAATAAATTGAGCATTGCTGTCTCCCTATGACCTGAAATGACCTCTATGTAATATCAGATACATTTAAACTTACTAGAATTACACGACTAAAAACCCTAGAGATAAAAATTATTTAGTATCAAATTGTTGATGTATTTTGGGGGGCATGGATGATTTGAACTTTTAAAATCTCTATAAAAATATTAGTGGAACTATTTACCTGATCATTCATAACGATCATGGTGCGGGTGAAGAGATCATGATGAGTAATTATGCCAGTAAACCACTGGGTGGCAGAGTCTTGTCTATATACTCTCACTCTGTATCCATTTAAGGAATAAGGACCTTAAAAAAAACACAAGAAACAGAAACATCTTAAATGGAGACATCTTCATTTAATAACTGCCTTTTAGAAGAAACATGAGCTAGTGTATAATAGTAATATATCCAACTATCAGTTTTCAAAAAAATGTTTTAGAAGTAAATATCCTTTCAAATGAATCATTCTGAAGTTACTATATACACTGCACTAGACCCACATACTTCCTGATTCAATAGAAATAAAATACTTTAAGAGAGAAGGAAGGTTTCTAGGATCACGAGTTAATAAGAGAACAGTTCAAAATGCAAAGTTATAGTAGTGTAGAATGCAGTAAGGTTATGAAGCTACTTAGTAAGATTGCAGTAGATGACTACATGGTTGAAACAGAAAGATTAACTTGCAACTTGATGTTTGTTTGAGTCTTCTAGTTGCCAAAACTTTACCATAAACAACTATAAATTTTGATTTGCTATCACAGCCAGAAAAAGTTGCTAAAAGTCTTAAAAAAGAGATTGGCTAAGTGAATGTATACATATAGCACTAAAAATTTTTAACGAAATATGGTACACTTTTGTGCTAAACTCACTTTTTCAAAGGATATTCTTGTATAGATATCCATTAGAAAATAATAAAAAATATTAAACATATTTATCTGCAGATATTCAGATATGCCTAATAAAACAAGTCACTCTACAGAAGAGGATACTGAGATGAAAACGATCTTTAATTCACAGGTATTAAAATGGTATCAAATACTTTAACAAAGAACTGTAAGGGAAAAAACTGCTGTACCTTAATAATTTACAAAGTGCTTTCAAAATTTTCAAGTGCTTATTTAATTCTCTCTCCTAAGTATTGTTAGCCCTTTTACAAAAATCAAGAAAGTGAGAGGTTGACAGATTAGGTAAAATTTTAAGTCAAAGATCTGGGACTGAATTTATTTTTCTGATATTCCTTCTTCTACAGTTGTAACAGATTCAACAATCCTTTGCCAGCTTTAAATATATATATATAAATCAATGAACTGTAGAAAGTATTCCATATGACCTGTAAATTAAATACTTTCATCTAGAGAAAAGTGAAGATGTTGACTGGCTATAATTTAAGGGAGGTGATGCGTAAACACTGTTTAGTAGCCATATCCATTATATGAACTTCAGTCTTTTCTAACTATTGAAGAATAAGACTCCATATTATTTTTTCTAAATAATATAGGACATGCTTATAGAGTAACTCCAAATATGATCAGTTTTCAATTCCCATTAACAAACAGTTTACACTGGTTTGTTCCCACTACTTAACATAGCTTAGAGTCAGCCTCACACAATTCTGCATAGAATGAATAGGGACTATACTGCCCCTTAATCTTTTCTCCTCTAAGGATACAATGCAGAAACAAAATATTATTTTTTAAAAATTTGCCTGGTTTCTTCAACAAATAAATTGCAAGGAAAGGGAAAAAAAGAGCAACAATGGGGATGTACCAAATAATCACAATGTGTGGACCTTTTCTGAATCCCTTGATTTTTAAAAAATAAATCAAACCTGTTAAAATCTTCGACGTTTATAAGACAAATGAAAACTTGAAATACCTAGTATTTTAAATTTAAAAACAATTACTTTTTTCAGAATAATGTTCCAGCATTGTTTTGTTCAAAAAAATGGATAGAATAGGGTGATGTCTGAAATTTGATAGAAGGGGGTATGGATAGCACAGGATCAGCCAAGATTTGATAGTTGTTGGGGCTGGGAGAGAGGTGAATGAAAGTTCACTGAAATATTCTGTTTTTGTATGTGTTTGAAATTCTCCACAGAAAAGTTTAAAGAATATTTAGCCTAGGAAGAATTAAATATGTAGATGATCCACTACTGTACATACCCATATAAAGCAAACAGCTTTGGGATTCTCTCTTGACACTTAATGGCATGGAAGTTGACGGTTGAGATAGATATGGGAATTTAACAACAAAATTCCATTCACAAAGACATTCAACAACAGTTCATGCCATATTGTCTCACTTTCCATTCAATTTCCAAAAAGCTTGTATTTACAATACATGATTTTACTGACAGAAATGGAAATTGCTAAAAATCGTCAAACCCCACTGGTTTGAAGGTCACACGTTGTAACATACTAAACAAAGGAAACAAAAGACTAGTAATTTCTGAAAAAGGTGCACTGAAATAGGCCACTTTTACCAGATACGAAGAACATTCTTCAAAGGAAATCAATTGTGGCTGTGGGCAACCCTCTACTGCAAACAATGCTTCCTTCTCCAGGAAAGACACACCTAAAGAATTCCATAATATGCAGTTTTCTGTCAACAAAACACCTGTGTAGCTGTAATTTCATGACAGGCATTCAGTTCAAATAAAGTTAATACACTTGTGAAATTATCAACTTTCTATCAAAATTATTATCACTCTGCTATTATTTTCCTGGATGTATATAACTCAAAATATTGGACTGGGCCTTCTATTTATATTGCACACAATTGAATAACCAAAAACAAATATGATAAGTTGCCTAGATCCAAAAAAATTTAATGCATAACTTCAAAATAGTTACCTTGCATAAAAATCTCCTGAACCTTTTGTTCCTTTACCCAGACTTTCACTTCCTCATGAAGCTGCGGGTTGTCCCTGAGAACTGGGTTTAGGCTGTCTATGTCGTCCTAGAATTATAGATTAAAAGAAAGGTCCATGTTACGCTCTCCTACCATTAATGTTACCGACTTTCCCTCCTATACGTTCTAAGGACTGAATAAAATTCCTTTGATCTAAATGTATGCAAAAACACAAATTCATGAGTTATAGTTCATTGGCAATTGTGTAACAAAAGAGCATAAGAAATTAATCTGTGGTAAGATTTGACCTTTGACAACAATGTCCTAAAGTCAAAATTTGAAATTAATGTGTTTTCTAACTTTTAAAGTATAGCCTTATTCAAGTCATCTTTTTAAGGGATTCACTATTGGAAGCAATATACAAATGAAATAACATCAGGTCATTTAAAGGTGTTGGCAAAAGAACTGAGGTGAACATTTGAATGACAATAGATACATACACAGATGACTTACTGACCTTCCCATAATACTTAACCTCTAGACTTTGAAACTACTTTTATTCTGTCCTGATTTAAATGTCATCAAATTCAGTTCTACTCACAGTCATCTGACCAGTAATTTTGCTGCTAAAAATTTTATTTCTTGAAACTAGCGCCAAAGCATCCAGACAATTAAAATTACATTATTGATGGTATTACTCTCATAACAGGCTGGATCTAGACATAGAAACAACCAATTCTCTCTCATTGGAGATGTGAATCATACAGTCACGTGATTTCCCACAATTTGCTGGTCTCCCACTGGACTCTGATATTCTGTTCTCTCTCTCTCTCTCTCAAAGTACCTCTGCTGCTCCTGCATTTGAGATCAGCTGCAGGGACACTAGAGTAGCTGAGAAGAATAACAAACCAGCACTGTCAAATGGCAACTATTTTTAAAGTGGACAGGCAGGGCCGGGCGCGGTGGCTCACGCCTGTAATCCCAGCACTTTGGGAGGCTGAGGTGGGTGGATCACAAGGTCAGGAGATCGAGACCATCCTGGCTAACATGGTGAAACCCCATCTCTACTAAAAATACAAAAAAATATTAGCTGGGTGTGGTGGTGGGAGCCTGTAGTCCCAGCTACTGAGGATGCTGAGGCAGGAGAATGGTGTGAACCGGAAGGTGGCACTTGCAATGGGCCGAGATCACACCACTGCACTCCAGCCTGGGCGACAGTGAGACTCCGTCTTAAAAAAAAAAAAAAAGTGGACAGGCAGATCATGGAAACCCGTGAATAGAAAAGAGCTAAACTAAGTGAACTATATCTGATGAATAAAAAACAATTTGGCAACTTTGAAAAGCCAAAAGGTAGCTGAAGTGTAAAAAATAAAAAAGGACCCCTAATCAAGTAGGTCATACTTCACTCTTCTCCAAAGTCTATCCAGGTAAAGTGTTTCCTTCTCATACTGCTTTTTAAGGCACTACTCTGTATTTTTAGAATAGTATTGTGGTAAATATTCTATCTGATATGTACTTAAACATAGTGAAAGCCAACAGGCCAAAGTAAGGGCCTTTAAATTAATTATGTTCCTTGGAAAATACATAGAAGTACTGCTTTACAGCAGAAGAAAATACCAGAATGAAAAACTGTCATACAAATAAGTAGGCAAAATCTGTCATTTTGGGAGAAAGAAATGGGCATTAACATGTCTTTCTTTACTTTGCAAAGAAACTTTCTAGCAATCTCTTTTCTCTGCACCCCCTCAATAATACAGTACACACTTAGAAAGTCCTATCAGACTCTAACCCCCTTAATGCACACCAGCTGACAGTCTAGTCGATAACAAACAGAACATAGGAAACTTTTTGTTTTTGTTTTTTGAGACGGAGTTTTGCTCTTGTTGCCCAGGCTGGAGTGCAATGGCACGATCTCGGCTTACTGCAACCTCCACCTCCCAGGTTCAAGCAATTCTCCTGTCTCAGCCTCCTGAGTAGCTGGGGTTACAGGAGCATGCCATCATGCCTGGCTAATTTTTGTATTTTTAGTAGAGATGGGGTTTCATCATATTGGTTAGGCTGGTCTCAAACTCCTGACCTCAGGTGATCCACCTGCCTCAACCTCCCAAAGTGTTGGTATTACAGGCGTGAGCCACCACATCTGGCCCATAGAAAACTATTTTACAAGGAAAACCATTACTATTTTCAGATATCTCTGACAGCAAGTTCTTTTAAAATTTTTCTCACTTTAAAACTTCCTTACATAGCACTTCCGCCAGGGAGGTCCCCCATCTGCAGTCATGAGTCATTTCAAGTTTATCGATATTGTTATCAACTTGACTGACACCATGTTCAGAGGAATTTATAGGGGGGTTCAAAAGCATCAAGATGATTTACAGGATGTAACAGGGAGAGCTGTCGAGATTGGTGTTAAAAAGTTTATGATTACAGGTGGAAATCTACAAGACAGTAAAGATGCACTGCATTTGGCACAAACAAATCATATGTTTTTCAGTACAGCTGGATGTCATCCTACAAGATGTGGTAAATTTGAAAAGAATAACCCTGATCTTTACTTAAAGGAGTTGCTAAATCTTGATGAAAACAATAAAGGGAAAGTTGTGGCAGTAGGAGAATGTGGACTTGATTTTGACTGACTGCACTTTTGTCCCAAAGATACTCAACTCAAATACTGTGAAAAACAGTTTGAACTGTCAGAACAAACAAAATTACCAATGTTTCTTCATTGTCGAAACTCACATGCTGAATTTTTGGACATAATTAAAAGAAATAGAGATCGGTGTGTAGAGGGAGTGGTGCATTCATTTGATGGTACCAAAGAAGCAGCAGCTGCTTTGATTGACTTGGATCTTTATATAGGATTTAATGGTTGCTCACTGAAAACTGAAACTAATTTGGAAGTTTTGAAGTCAATTCCTAGTGAAAAATTAATGATTGAGACAGATGCACCTTGGTGTGGAGTCAAAAGTACACATGCTGGATCAAAATATATAAAAACTGCATTTCCTACCAAAAAGAAGTGGGAAAGTGGGCACTGCTTAAAAGACAGAAATGAACCCTGCCATATAATTCAAATATTGGAGATAATGTCAGCAGTGAGAGACGAGGATCCACTGGAATCAGCCAATACACTATATAACAATACTATTAAAGTATTTTTTCCTGGAATATAATTGGTATATGTCTTCCACTTTCCATCATGTATGTAAAATTTCATAGTAAAACTTACCGATAGTTTCAGTAAAGAAATTATCTGCAAAAAAAAAAAACCCAAACAAACAAAAACTTCCATACATAACCATCCATATACCTTTTCCATAATATAGGGAATTATAAACTGTTTTTTCTGTGCTGTTTTTTTTTTTTTTTTTCTGAGACACAGTCTCACTCTCCCAGCCCGTAGTGTACTGGGCACGATCTTGACTCACTGGAATCTTCGCCTCCCAAGTTCAAGCGATTCTCCTGCCTCAGCTTCCTGAGTAGCTGGGATTACAGGCGCATACCACCATGCACAACTAATTTTTGTATTTTTAGTAGAGACGGGGTTTCACCATGTTGACCAGGCTGGTCTCAAACTCCTGGACTCAAGCGATCTGCCCACCTTGGCTTCCCAAAGTGCAGGGATTACAGGCATGAGCCATCACGCCTGGCTATAAACTGTTTTAAAGAAGCATTGCCAACACCGTGCAGACAAGTACACCTTATAAAACCAGTTGACTGTGTTGGAATTTTACAACTTATAACTCATTTATTTATATCTTATTTATTCAACAGGTTAAAATAATGGGCTATAAAACCAGTTGCCTATGTTTAAATTTTATAAGTTATAACTACTAGGATATATAATCTATTTCTTCAACATTTATTTATAAATATTTTTTGTTTTGTTTTGTTTTGAGATGGAGTCTCACTCTGTCGCCCAGGCCGGAGTGCAGTGGTGCAATCTCGGTTCACTGCAACCTCCACCTCCCGGGTTCAAGAGATTCTCCTGCCTCAGCCTCCTGAGTACCTGGGATTACAGGTGCCCACCACCAAGCCCGGCTAATTTTTGTATTTTTAGTAGAGACGGGGTTTCGCCATGTTGGTCAGGCTGGTCTCAAACTCCTGACCTCTTGATCCGCCTGCGTCCGCCTCCCAATGGGATTACAGGCATGAGCCTCCGAGCCCAGCCTTATAAATATTTTTTCAACAGGTTAAAATAATGGGCTCTATTTCCAAGATCATTAAACAATATACAAATATTTTTCCAACAATAAACCATTAATTATCTAGCGGAAATAGCATACCATTAAAAACTGTTAAATTGAGTCCCTTTACTGATAATGACTTTATGTAGGTTCAAACTCTGGTCTCTCAATCTCCTCATCTATAAAGCAGAGTTACTAATATTTCCCTCTTTTTCTATCTTAATAAATGTTTTAATAAGATTTTTTCTTATGTACAAAAATTAGCTTTCTTAAAATATCTAATTCTGATTTATGACATTTGAGTGCTGAATGATGTGAACTACCTGGTTAATTAAAACCCACAAAAAGTATCCCAATGCACTGCCTGATTTATGACAGGCATTGTTGTTGAATTCCTCCCCCTCGTCTACATATAGTACTTTGTAAGTTACAGGGATTTCTGTTACATCATCATTCCCATTTTAAAGAGGATTATTAAAGGTTAAATGAGCAAATCTTGAAACAAAGCCAAATAGGTTTTTTATATATATATTTACTGACTTGAATAATTTTGTAAAGGTGCTAAATGTTAGACAGAAGTCAACAAGGCTGACTTACAGATAAGAGAAATTAAGGGTCTGGAATTAAAAACTAGCTATGAATATCCACTATCTTTCACAGAATTTAAAAGGTCTTCAGCTGTGCCTTGAGCTCGTGTGAGATTAAAAATCCACTTAATGGGCCGGGTGCGATGGCTCACACTTATAATCCCAGCACTTTGGGAGGCCGAGGTGGGTGGATCACGAGGTCAGGAGTTCGAGACCATCCTGGCCAACATGGTGAAACCCCATCTCTACTAAAAATACAAAACCTAGCTGGGTGTGGTGGTGGGCGCCTGTAATCCCAGCTACCAGGGAGGCTGAGGCAGGAGAATCGCTTGAACCCAGGAGGCAGAGGTTGCAGTGAGCCGAGATTGCACCACTGCACTCCAGCCTAGAGACAGAGCGAGACTCTGTCTCGAAAAAAAAAGAAAAAAATCCACTTAATGGCACAGTCTTCACATTTCACACTTTAAAGACAGTAACTATAAGTAGTTACCTATATATAGTTCTTATCTTGAATAACTAATACCTATTAATTTTTCAAAAACAAGTCACCTAAGCTAATTGAAGAGACAGGACCCTCTATGAACCTCTCCTCCTATGTAAACTGTATCCTATTTGAGCTACTAGTTATAACCTCCAGCAAACGACAAATGGAAAAAAATCAGTTCACTAAGCATCTGCTTTATTAGAAATGTATACAGAACACAGAAAAAGTTCAAAAAACATCTTAAATGAGGTTTGGGGGTACATCAGTCACTTGTGTGTTGTTCCTCCTCTTGCAAAGATAGACATGAACTCTAATTGAACATTAGTGAGACACCTTAATGTACTGATACACAAAAATAGCTACCATAAGGCCAGGCGCGGTGGCTCACACCTATAATCCCAGCACTTTGGGAGGCCGAGGCAGGTGGATCACCTGAGATTAGGGGTTCGACCTGGCCAACATGGTGAAACCCCGTCTCTACTAAAAATACAAAAATTAGCCAGGTGTAGTGACACACGCTTGTGAATCCCAGCTACTGGGGAGGCTGAGGCTGGAGAATCACTTGAACCCGGGAGGTAGAGGATGCAGTGAGCTGAGATGGCGCCATTGCACTCCAGCCCGGGCAGCAAGAGCGAGACTGCATCTCCAAAAAAAAAAAAAAAGCTAACCTAAAGGTGCATTTACTATGGCAGACACTATGCTGGGTACTTTCCATACAGTATCAATTGTAACAACTTTGTGAGCTGATATACACAGTATGTTCAGAGAGGTTCATGGTTACAAGCAGGAAGTGACAGAGCTGTTATCTGAACTTAGTTCTGTGACTTCCAGGGCTCAGGTTCTTCTCCCCCACCCCCCCCTTCCCTCCACATACACTCTCTCTCATTAGCACAATCAAAAGAAATGAAAGTTTACTATTATTGCCTTTTAAAATTTGACACATTTCTTTATATGTAAGGGGTAAAAGGCAACATTATCTTATAAACTGAGGCTGACTCAAAAGCAAAGAACAACGGGTGGAAGATACCTTTCTATAAACTTCTAACACTGGTTATGTGACATTCCACATATAGAAATAGTCAAATACTCATCAAAGAGAGGAGACTTAGGGTGGCAAACTCATGCAATCTTATAATCAGAAAGTGTAAAAGAGAAGAAACCTCACTTTGGTGATGTACCTTAGTCATGATCTACAAATACCCAAATGCTGTTTTTTTCTAGGTTAACACTGTGCTGAATGACTGCTTGGATGATCAAAATAAAGGTATTTTTTCACGTGTACAGGAGGGGATAATGGGGCCGGGTGCGGTGGCTCACACCTATAATCCCAGCACTTCAGGAGGCCAAGGTGGGAGGATCCCTTGAGTCCAGGAGTTCGAGACCAGCCTGAGCAACATGGCGAGATGCCATTGCTACAAAAAATTTAAATATCAGCCAGGCATGGTGGGGTGCGCACCTGTAGTCCCAACTACTCGGGAGGCTGAGATGGGAGGATCACTTGAGCCCAGGAATTCAAGGCAGCAATAAGCTATAATCGTGCCACTGTACTTCAGCCTGGGCGACAAAGCACAACCCTGTTTCAAAAAAAAAAAAAAAAAAAAAGAGAGAGAGAAGGACATGATGGAGTAAAAGGCTGAAATCAGGCCGGGTGTGGTGGCTCATGCCTGTAATCCCAGCACTTTGGGAAGCCGAGGTGGGTGGATCACCTGAGGTCATGAGTTCAAGACCAGCCTGACCAACATGGTGAAACCAAACCTCATCTCTACTAAAAAATACAAAAAAAATGTATTTAGGTGTAGTGGTGCGCATCTATAATCCCAGCTACTCGGGAGGCTGAGGCAGGAGAATCCCTTGAACCTGGGAGGCAGAAGTTGCAGTGAGCCTAGATTGTGCCACTGCACTCCAGTCTGGGTGGCAGAGTGAGACTCTCAAAGAAAAGGTTAAAATCAGGCTGGAATGTGTATTTTGACAGTAAGACTACTGTACTAACATAATTTTAGGTGATTATGTACTTTCTACTTAATTCGAAAGAAAAAAATAACCATCTAGGTAATATAAAACATAAGCTCAGAACACTAAAATATTCAGATATGCCTAGTTAGGTTTAATGACACCAGTATTATGAAAATGTTAAAAATATACACAACTCATTTCCTAAGATAATAAGGTAGAGTGCTCCTTGCCAGTTCAAGAAATATATTATTTATGTCACACATAGTCTCATTTGACTGCTGACAAAAAACCAACAAAGGGTGGTTAGTTTCTAAGTGACAGAGAAGACTGGCTTAATAACGTAACAGATTTGCTCAAAAGTCTCAACTGATGTCTAGAGTAGCACTTTCATTTTAGGATAAAAGAAATATCACAAAACTGCAGCAGTTTCTCCTCCTTTGGACAATTTCTGATAGATAATGACTGAATGCTCACTTTCAAATTGATACTGATATGTGTGGCTTATTAATGGAATGATTTTCCCCTCTGCTATAAAACCCTTGACCTTTGTGGTAACATCCAGTGTGCTTTCTTAAATTCCATTCCATGACATAAATTTCTCCATAAAAACCATCTTTGATAGTATAAGAGTTACCATAAAAGCAATTATTTTGTATCCTGAACATCAGATTAGGTGATTGAACATGTTTTGCCATACCAGTTTCGCCAGTCATAAATTCATGGTTTAGCAAAACTACAAATAGTTGCTTGTTCTTAGATCCCTGAGATTGCTGGCAACAGTTTTAAAACGTGAATGTTAAGTCCACAAGAGTGACATTAATTTTTACCACACCACATCTTTTTAACTTATACAAGAATCCATTTTGCTAATAAGGATTTGCTGGGACAAGAAATATATAAAGTTTGAAAGTTGCTACAGGGGTGCTCAAAAAGCAAAGCTGTCTATACCACCTGCAGTTAACTAAATGAAGGTACCGCTGAAGGCTTCCATGTATTTTCATGAATTATAATAAGGGCTAGCAAACATTTTTTGTAAATGGCCAGAAAGTTAATATATTAGGCTTTATGGGCCATACCAGTTGTCACAACTACTCAACCCTGCTGTTACAGCAGAAAAGTAGCTAAAAAAATACCATAAAAATACATAAATGAATGAGCATGGCTATGTTCCAATAAATGTTTCTATATTAGCATTCTATGAAATTTGAATTTCATAGAATGTTTAGGTGTTATGACATATTCTTCTTTTTGAGTTTTTTTCAACTGTTTAAAAATCTAAAAGTAACTGGACACAGTGGCTTGTACCTCTAATCCTAGCTACTCAGGAGGCTGAGGTGGGAGGATCCCTTATGCCCAGAAGTTCAAAGCTACAGTGAGGTATGATCACTGTAGTCACTGTACTCCACCCTGGGTGACAGAGGGAGATCCTGTCTCTAAAAAAATTAAAAAGGAAAAGATAAAAACAAGAAGCAGGCTGGATTAGCTTGTAGGTACAGTTTGCCTTTTCCTAATTAAAAACAACAAAACAGAACAACCAGTATGAAGCAAGATTAAAAACTTCTACATCAATGTATCAAATACAATTTTAAATATACTAATGCAATTTGATCTAACTGACTGCAAACTCTTATTTCCACAAATGCTTGAAATATATACAATCAGGAGCACAGGAAATTAAATCAATACCAAATCCTTTTCACCAGTAAAGACAAAAATATCTTAAGGTAAATACATTATTTAAACTTTCACAAGTAAATGAGTTTCCCTGATTTATTCTGGACAATGCTTAGCCTTCCAAATATAACAATATACTTGATTTTAATGTACATAATTTAGGAAAAATTATCTAATTTGCAAGATAAGATTTCCTCCATTAGGTCAATGACTATTACATTCAGAGATTGGAATCATCATCTTCTCTGGGCTCTCAAGTAAAGTAAAAATGAGAATATGCATTAAAAAGTAAGAGATATTATAAAGATAGTCTACCTGATTTATTAAGGACACGATAGATTAATCTCTTAAGCTCTCTATGTAGGTGTGTGTGTGTCTGAGTACATATAAATATAAATAAATACTTTTTTAAAAAAAAGGAAACATATTAAAAGATTTCACATAATTAAAAGCAAGGGGTAATTAAGTCTCCGTATACAAAATTTCATCATTTGATTAGCTGTGGTTAATTCAGACGTCTAGAATCCAGACTATCATTTAAACTAAAGCAATAAAATGTCTATCTTTCCAAAACGTAATTATACATAAAGATTCGGATGGGGCTACTCTGGGCACACTGCCTACAGGGTAGCCCTGCTCCATGAGCAGCAGTTTAAAAAAAAACAAACAAAAAAACAGATTAAGATGGTAGGAAGAAATAGGACAACAATTTATACTATCCATGTAATTATTTTCTCATTCATACAATCAAGAAGATAATATAAAATATGCTTAGTCTTTCTAAATTATTTACATTCTGCAACTAGATGAGACAAATTTAGTTTCTGAATAGAATTGATGAAAGGAGTAAATATAATAAAACTCTATTTTCATTTATTGTAACTGGAAATAGTCTAGAAATGGAAGTGACATTCAGAAAATCAGAATGATGTTTAGATTTATTTTTTTATTGGCTAAAAAAGGATTGTTGTACCAGGGGAAAACAGCAAACACCAACATTTTAATCTGTTATAATTATTACATTTTTGCATTCCAATAATATTCTTTGCATTCGAGTTTTATTTTTATTTAGAAACAAAACAAAGTGATGAATGACTGTGATCCCACACTGATCTAAAGAAAGCAATTTCAGTAAAAGGCTATTTTAAAAAACCCAAAATAGGTTTAGGTTTTTTTCCTAAAAATTAACATACTGGTAAGCATATTCATCAGATATGGAGGCCTAAGTGGAATTGGTAACTTGAAGTGAACCTTAAAGACAATGTCTAGCATGTCCACGGGCAAATCATTAAATTTGGCATTAAGTCTGTCTACACATAAAATGAAAATAAGCTGGGTGCAGTGGCTCATGCCTATAATCCCAGCACTTTGGGAGGCTGAGGTGGGCAGATCACCTGAGATCAGGAGTTCGAGACCAGCCTGGCCAACATGGTGAACCCTGTCTCTATTACAAATACAAGAATTAGTCGAGCATGGTGGCGCTTGCCTGTAATCCCAGCTACTCAGGAGGCTGAGGCAGGAGAATCCGTTGAACCTGGGAGGCAGAGGCTGCAGTGAGCTGAGATCAAGCCACTGCACTCCAGCCTGGGCAACAGAGCAAAGACTCTGTTTCGAAAAAATTCCACCACTTCTTTACCCTGCACTTTTTACAAGTTTTGAATACCATTCATTTTCACAGCATCAACATTTAATCATAAGAATTTAAGAAACATATTAACTTGTATAATATGCAGAAGGCTCCACAAACATAAGAGCTAAATGTTTTGTCCATTTCATAAAATGGTAACTGTAAATACAATTGGAGCTTTAAGTTGCATTCACAATGGTAGTTACTTAAACCCTGGCTCTATTAAAATTACAAAAACTTAGCTGGGTGTGGTGGCACACACTTGTAATCCCAGCTACTTGAGAGGCTGAGGCATGAGAATCACTTGAACCCAGCAAGCAGAAATTGCAGTGAGACAAGATCATGTTACTGTACTCCAGCCTAGGTGACAGAGTGAGACTGTCCCCCCCCCCAAAAAAAATAAATAAAAAATAAAATTTGACCACCACATATTGCCACAAAATTGTCTCCAAATGCTAGTGGGAGAAAGGAGGCTTTCTACCACACAAGGTTAATGCAATGTTATTTCAAAATATTTCTAACATAATTCTGAGTCTGTATTGTCAATTTTGGTGATGTGATTCTGTACAACACATAATATAATAAAATCTAAAAATTACCAGATTTATCATCATTGTTAAGTTTTTAAGTTGTAAGCAGAATTTTAAATTATTATAACTTTTAAGGAACCTCTTGATTCTCTGTATACATTCCAAACATGAATATTTTAGAGCCAAGCACTTGGGACACTATTTACACACCAACACTCCCCCCTCAAGAAAAAACCTTAAACTATGCAAGCAAGATCTTAATGCACACAAATCAGAATTAAGCTGGTAGTACAGGATTCACTCAACTGTGATCCTAAATTTCTGTGATTACTTTGATTTTCTAAATAAGATGGGAAAACTGTCAGTTTAGAGAACAGAACTGACTTCAACGGCAATTAAGCCCAGCTTTTTACAAAGCAAGCTTTAGAAGCAATGACTTACTGCAATTAGCCTGGTGGCCTTAAGAATTTCCTGCCAAACACAATCAAAAACACTGATTAGTTATAGAAATCAATGAGCAAGCCCGAGATCTGTATGGAATCAAATGGTGGCAGGGCCTATACAGGAACTGCAAGTATATAAAACAAGGAAATAGGCCGGGCACAGTGGCTCATGCCTGTAATTCCAGCACTTTGGGAGGCCACGGCGGGCAGATCACTTGAAGTCAGGAGTTCGAGATCAGCCTGAGCAACATGGTGAAACTCCGTCTCTACTAAAAACACATAAATTAGTTGAACATGGTGGCACACACCTGTAATCCTAGCTACTCAGGAGGCTGAGACAGGAGAATCGCTTGAATCCAGAAGGCGGAGGTTGTGGTGCACCAATATTGTGCCATTGTATTCCAGCCTAGGCGACAGAGCGAGACTCCGTCTAAAAAAATATAAAATAAAATAAAACAAGAAAATAGACTATCTCCTTTACTCTTTTTTTCCTCTAGACAGAGTCTCGCTCTTGTCACTCAGGCTGGAGTGCAATGGTGTGATCACAGCTCACTGCAGCCTCCGTCTCCTGGGTTCAAGCAATTCTCCTGCCTCAGCCTCCTGAGTAGCTGGGATTACAGGCACTGCCACCATGCCCAGCTAATTTTTTGTATTTTTAGTAGAGATGAGGTTTCACCATGTTGGCCAGGCTGGTCTTGAATTCCTGACCTCATGTGATCCACCTGCCTCGGCCTCCCAAAGTGTTGGAATTACAGGCGTGAGCCACAGCACCCGGTCTCCTTTACCCTTAAGGGCTTATTTTCATACTGCTTCTTCTAAAGTTTTTTTTTTGTCATAGTCTTAACAATCATCTTCTCAATATATTACTATAATGTGAAGTCATCCCCTTTCTGGAACACGTTCATCTTTTCAAAGTTGTCCTGATTAAAAAACCACTGATCTTTTAAAATTGTTTAAAAGTTTCAGAAAAGAAATTTTATTAAGCCCATGAATGTTAAAAATTTTTTAAAACTGCATCTGGTCCTTTACAATGACAACATAATTTACTTTTATCTATGAAAAGAAATGAAAAATGTAAAACTGATACTGGTTAATAATTCATTTCAGAGAGAATGAGTATAGCTAAAACCTGCAGCTTGATCCAAGAATATTAACTGTTATGAAGGAAAAAAATTCCATAGTCCTAAGAAATCTACCTAGAAGTTTGCTGTTGCTATAAGCAACCCACTGTTATATATCCAGATATTTCAGGGATCTCTCCTTGGAACATCCATTTGGCATTGCTTGCAACTACTTATATCATTAATTACTAAGGAGGAAATGATAAAGTTTAAGAGAAGTATATGTCATGAGAAATTATGAAATGGTAAAAGGGTTCTGAATTTTAAAGTCTCAAGATTTTAACATTTTATGTACAAAGTTCTATGATGTTTCTATGGACTCATGATTTTTCAAATTAAAATATGATTACATGAAATAACATTCCTGTGTCATTTTCATTATTTGGTATATATAAATTCACCATTAAATTAATTTCAAAGTTCATTTTCTGTTTACTTTTAAATTTTTCCTCTGTTCAAATTTTTAGCAAACCACAATTCTTGGGAACTCAAATGTTACTGCAAACTTCATTTAAAGTGAAAAAGAAAACTACAATGCTGTCTAATTCCACTGAATATTTTAAGTTATTCTCTCTCAGTTAATTTTGACATTCTGATCTAGAAAAGTGACTCTGACCTGAAGGCTTTCACAAAAATTATCAATACAAAAACAAACAAGCAAACACACTACAATTTAATGGAATCTCAAGGCTGAAAAGGTTGCCACAATTTTAGTTAATCCTTTATAGTTAAAAATGTGTCCAATTAACCTGCATAGTCTAAAATATGCTCAACTGAGCACCACTGTTTTCAAACTCTTCACAGCATATTAATAACCTGATTTACTTCTTAAGCATATTTCCCTAAGGATAAAAGAGTATAGTCATTTTAACTCTTAGAAAAGCACTGTCTGTAACATTAGCACTGATAAAATTAGACTTAAAAAAAAATTTTAAACTTCATGTCTAACAACACCCAAAAAAACAAATCTCAAATTATAATCACATTAAAACACACCAGGCAAACAAAACAGAATTAATGACAAATACAAGGGTATTTTAATATAATTGTTTTCATTATATTCGTCAGAATTTATGTCCTGGAATTAAAATATCCCCCAAATGAAATCTACTTAAGCAATGGGATACAGCCTTAAAAATATTTTATCTTGGCTCAAATGATCACAAACAGAACCATAAAAACATTCCTTTTACTTTTCCAACTAGAAAGATTTTATATATATATGTATCTCCATATATACATATTATATATATATATATATCCACACACGCGCGTGCACACACACACACACACACACACACACCACCACCAGGATATATAACAGATATTACCAGTAATTTCTTTAGCTGAGTTATGAATAATCTACTTTGCTATGCTTTTATGTATTTTTCTGGAAGTTTTTTATTTTGCAATGACCATGTTTTGCTTTTATAATGAGAAAAAGAAACATTTAAGATGAAAAAGACTGATGCCAACAATTTATTCACAGTAATACTAATTTCCTTTGTTACAAAGTTTCAACAAAAAATGCAATATAATCTGACAGTTAAATATGATAAGCATACTCCATAGAAACCTAGCTAATTTAGAAATTTTGTTGGTAATGATAACAGAGTAAAATGAAAATACTCTTTGCATTCTTTTAAATACTCACATTAAAAGGTGGACTTAATCACTTGAGATCCAGAGTTACGAGAAGTCTAGCATGGGTAACATGACAGACTCTTGTTTAGAGTCTCTTGAAAACAAACAAAATGTAATCACAGCACTTTGGGAGGCTGAGGCAGGTGAAACGCTGAGCCCAGAGTTTGAGACCAGCCTGGGCAACATGGCGAGACCCTGTTTCTACAAGAAATACAAAAATTAGGCAGGTGTTATGGTGCATGCCTGTAGTCCCAGCTACTTGAGAGGCTGAAGTGGGAGGATTGCTTGAGCATGGGAGGTAGAGGCTGCAGTGAGCCACGATCGCACCACTGCACTCCAGCCTCATCAACAGAGAGAAACCTCCTCTTAAAAAAAAAAAAAAAAAAAAAAAAAAAACACCAAAAACAAAAACCTTCCCTATCCTATAAAAAAAAACCTTTTAATATGTTAATACTTAAATTTTTAGATTTGCTAAAAATATCGTTAAAGGCCTATAAAAAGAACGAGTTATTTAATGCAATATTAAGCTGGGCATGGTGGTTCACGCTTGTAATCCTAGCACTTTGGGAGGCCAAGGCGGGAGGATCACTTGAGGTCAGGAGTTCAAGACTAACCTAGGAAACATAGTGAGACCCTGTCTCTATTTAAAATAATAATAATAAAATAAAAAATAACAATGCTATTCTATTAGTACGACATTGATTGTACCAGGTATTACTCAAATGAAATTCTTATAAAACCTTTGCTAGTCATAAAAATAAAAATTTAATTCTGTAATACATTTTTTATGAACTAAGTCATAAAATTCAAATTTAACTTAGCTAGAGGGCATACATTTTCTTTACTTAACAGATGTGGTATACAGAAACATATCACATAGTATGTATCTGATGATTAATGTTCTAGGAAAAAAACAGTAATACAACATACACATTTAAGAAACAGACTTGTAACTTAGAAAGCACCAGGTAAAATAAATTTTGTATTTATTTTAAAAACTTGATGCAGCGTTTCAGATACTGTGCTAGAAGACTAAATGCCTTATTCTATAAGTATTTTGCCAATATAAATAGCAATTTAAGAAAATCAGCCGGGCACGGTGGCTCATGCCTGTAATCCCAGCACTTTGGAAGGCTGAGGCAGGTGGATCGCCTGAGGTCACGAGTTCGAGACCAGCCTGGCCAACACAGTGAAACCCCATCGCTCCTAAAAATACAAAAAATTAGCTGGGTGTGGTGGCAAGCGCCTGTAATCCCAGCTATCAGGGAGGATGAGGCAGGAGAACTGCTTGAACCCGCGAGGCAGAGGTTGCAGTGAGCCGAGGTTGTGCCATTGCACTCCAGCCTGGGCAGCAAGAACAAAACTTGGTCTCAAAAAAAGAAAGAAAGAAAGAAAATCAGCATGAACACAAAACCAAAATTCAGTCAATTCCCTATTATTCAGAAAGATTATTTATCTATTTAACAGTTAAGCATATTTACTTGCCACTGTAAATTAAAAGATTTTTTAAATTGTCACAAGAGAAGCACTTTCACAAAGATTAACCTCATTTAATCCTAACAATACCTCTGCTATTTTGATATTATTAGGTAATTTCTCCAAAATCACACAGCTAGAAGGCAAATCAGCAAAGGTCTGTCTAATGTCAAAGCACTTCCCACATACCCTTTTCCCCATCCATGCGCTTGCATAATCAAAATTTTGCATGCTCTCTGCTAGGTTTTCAATAACTTACCTACATTATTAGGAATATGGTCACATAAAAAGGAAGATGACCCAATTTATCCAATCATTTTATTGTTATTTTTAAAAACAGAAAATGACGTAGCTAAATTAAAACCAGGTTAGAAGAATATGGTATTCCAAGACTAGAAATGGATATCATAAATAGATTATATAATTTATGAAAATCCTCAAGAGTAATTTTGGAATTGGATATACTATCTTAATATACATGTCCTATTACATCAAATCACAACAAACAACTGTGTATCTTGCTTTATCTATTCGGTTACAGCAATATTACATTAACAGCTATTAACTAGCTTTTTTATTAATTAAAAATAACTACTAATAGGGTTTCTTGGTTGATCACCCAACTGAAACCTATCTTTCATAACAATATTCCCTTGAATAAACTTGATCCAGACCTGTAATATTCCTGCATTTTAACTACAATTTGCTAAGTGTCATTGGTATAAGGTCCGCTCCTCTCAGAATAACCAGAGTAAAAAAATCAGATAAATTAAGAAAACATTATAAAACCACTTGAAGAAAAATGTGTTTTCTTCTAAAGCCACATGTTAATATTCTTTGTGATACTTTTAATAATAGTTTTGAACTTTTTATGGCAGTTCAAAAGTCTGGAAGGCAGTTTTTCTTTCAAGCTATTTATTGGCATGACTTTTACACAGTTGAGTCATCATGAGTTTAACCTACTGAGTCACCTGCTTACAGCATCTGCCAACCACAATTTACTAACTGCAGCTTCCTCAAACTTAAACTGAAACAAACTCAGGAAGGCCTGGGAACTGTTTAATATTTTCCAAAGTAGTAACTGAAAATATTCCTCCAGCACAACCCAAGCTTTAAGAAGTAAAAAATTCCTGGGAAGCTGGGGAGGGAGGTCAACAACAAAAAAGAAGTAAAATTATATACTTGTATAAAGTATTCTACTGAAAATTCCTGTGCACAAACTAATACTGAGGCTGGGCATGGTGGCTCATGCCTGTAATACCAGCACTTTGAGAAGCTGAGGCAGGAAGATCATTTGAGGCCAGGTGTTCAAGACCAGCCTGGGAAACAGAGAGACCCTGTCTCTAAATATATATTTAAAAACAACTAATATTGAAATAGTATACATATACATCGTGTCAATGATTGATTCATACAGAACAAACACTGTTTTTGTTTTGTTTTGTTTTGTTTTTTTAAGACATCTTGCTCTTGTCCCCCAGGCTGGAGTGCAATGGCGCAATCTCGGCCCACTGCAACCTCCGCTTCCCAGGTTCAAGTGATTCTCCTGCCTCAGCCTCCCGAGTAGCTGGGATTACAGGTGCCTGCCACCATGCCCAGCTAATTTCTGTATTTTTAGTAGAGACAGGGTTTCACCATGTTGCCCAGGCTGGCCTCAAACTCCTGACCTCCGGTGATCTGCCCGCCTTGGCCTCCCAAAGAGCTGGGATTACAGGCGTGAGCCACTGTGCCTCGCCAAACACTCACTAAAAATTTTTTTTTAATATACAGTGCAATGAATGTAACTTCCAAATTAATACCACATCGAAGTTTTTTGGGCTGATTTTCACTTTTAGCATATAGTGCTATGGAAATGATGAATCTATAAATGAACTATAGTACCATACTTCTATTTTCTCAGAAAGAACGAATACAATCCAGTACAAATTGGAATGATCAGCAAGACTTGCTAGACTTGCCCAGTGACTTAGTCTTTTATGACACCTATTTGAGTCCATCCACTTCCTTCACTGAGGTCTTTGTAGAGCAATTACAAATACAGGTTGTATCCAAAATGCTTGGAGTCAGAAGTGTTTCAGATTTCAGATTTTTAAAAATTCTGTAACATTTGCATTACGCTTAGTAGTTGAGCACACATAATTAGAAAATCTGAAATCCAAAATGCTCCAATGAGCACTTCCTTTGAGTGTTTCAGATTCTGGGGTTTTTCAGATTTTAGATTTTTGGATTAGGGATACTCAACCTGTACATAAGAAATGTGTTAAATTACACAAAAAGAAAAAAAGGCGGCCAGGCACAGTGGCTCATGCCTGTAATCCTAGCACTTTGGGAGACCAAGGTGAGCAGATCACAAGGTCAAAACTTAGAGACCAGCCTGGCCAACACAGTGAAACCCCGTCTCTACTAAAAAAAAAAAAAAAAAAAAAAAAAAAAGCCGGGTATGGAGGCAGGTGCCTGTAATCCCAGCTACTTGGGAGGCTGAGGCATGAGAATCGCTTGAACCTGGGAGGTGGAGGTTGCAGCAAGCCAAGATTGTGCCACTGCACTCCAGCCTGGGTGACAGTGTGAGACTCCATCTCAAAAAAAAAAAAAAAGAAAAAAAGGAAGGAAGCTATAACTAAAATTCCAATGTATCATAATAGAAAAGCACATTAGCCACCTAGAATTTTTAAGGAAGGTATTATCCATAGTACTCTTTACGATGCCTTTCAGCATTTTTTTTTTACTGCTCCTAGAAAGTTTAACGTATTTAGAAAATTTAATTTAAAAAAGGGAAGAGAACATAAACTGAATGAAGCATATTAAATGCTTATTATAGTTTATCTTTAAAAAAGGAGTTTATATAACATAATTTGCTGAAATTCTATTAATTTTGAATAAAAATATTTAGAGTTCCTTCATGAAATAACATACTGAACATAAGGTCTTTAAATTAATACTCATGGTTATCTTTATATTATGATGCAGTTATAATCGATGTAAACTGTAACCTCTATAACAAATTGTTCCAGAAAGACAAAATTTTAGTTGTAACTGTTTTTTAGTTCTTCCATAACCTCATGCTGTCAAGCTGCCAATCTACCATCACCACTTTTTAAAGTGTTGGCTTCTCATATGCTATGGTAAGGGAAACTAGATTTGACAGCTTGTTGGAATTATGTTTGAAATAGTCTAAGTGTGGGACTAGGAGGCTCTCATTACTAAAATTTATTAGGAATATATTTCATTCAACAAGATTTTGAACACCTGGTATCAATTACTGTGCCAAGGCACTGGCAATATATCTAAGACAAAGTTCCTGACCTCAAGGATCTTACAATCCAGTGGAATTGAGACAGACACACAAATACGATACAGATTAAAGTATCTTTGTATCCTCTAGGATACAAAGGTGAGACAAAATGGGTTGGCGGGTGACCTAGTTAGGTGTGTCAGGAAAGGATTTACAGAGAAGGAAATATTTGAGTTGAGACTCAAGAAAAGTATGAAACCAAGGTTTTTGAGTTGGAACTTCAAAACTGCAAGGGCATCTGCCAGATAATAAGAGATCAGAAAAGAAGGTCTTTCAGACAGAGGAAAATTCATACGCAAGAATAGATGGGTGAAACAATATGGAATATAGGGACAAGTACACTGGTATGGATTGAATTAAGGACAGCAGAGTAGGTGAGGAAGAAAACTGAAAGACTGTAGTTTGGAGTGTTCTGTAATAGTCTAGGCGGGTAAGGATGGGAGCCTTACGATAGAGGAGAAGGGACAGATTAAGCAAAGTTAAAGAGGCAGAATTAGTAATTCTGGGAGACTAATATGTAAGGGCAAGAGAGAGACCTAAAACATTCCTACATGTTGATTTTTTTTTTGAGACTTGCGTCTCGCTCTGTCACCCAGGCTGGAGTGCTGTGGCACAATCTTGGCTCACTGCAACCTCCGTTTCCTGGGTTCAAGCAATTCTCCTGCCTCAGCCTCCTGAGTAGCTGGGACTACAGGCATGTGCCACCACACACGGCTAATTTTTGTATTTTTAGTAGAAACGGGGGTTTTGCCATGTTGGCCAGGATGGTCTCAAACTCTTGACCTCAGGTGATCCACCCACCTTGGCCTCCTAAGTGCTGGGATTATAGGCGTGAGCCACCGCTCCTGGCCCTACATGTTGATTTAAGTGACAAACTGGCATAGATGTGATTGATCTCATTAGCTGGGATACAGAATGATCAGGAAGAAAAACGAAATCAAGGTCTGATGGTTGAATGTGAATACAGTAAATAGACAGCAGAAGACATGGGTTTCACCTTTTCAATGATATCTACTCTGAACATTCTATTAAATATCTGCTTCTCCCCTCCCCAATCCTTATTGATCTTACACTGCTTTACATTTTCATTTTGTCATCGCATTTATTACATTGTATATCACACTATATAAGTTACTTATTACACTTATTATCTACCTGGCCTCTCCAGAATTTTAACTCCATGGGGGCAGGAAATTTTGTATGAATACTGCCTGGCACAGAGAAGATGCTTAGTAAACAGTTATTAAATAATGGTAGAGCAGAGAGGTCTGGAGTTTTGGATTCAGAAGACAGGGTTTTAAAAGACAGTGGAAATGTGACACGGCTTAGGGTGAGTAGTGAAATGGAAAAAACCAAAAAGGAACACTACAGAAAATAAGGAGCACTACAAAAAAAAATCACATAAACACTAAATCTTCTACAGAGAGAACAAACATACAGCAAAGACTGATTAAAAAAATAGGAAAACCTGAAGAGAAGTATCAGAGTAGCAACAGGAACAAAGAATTTCCAAAAGGACAGTGATCCAGTGTTAAATGCAAAGGTTCAGTAGGACAGTGATGCACACTTGAATATTAAATGCAGTAACTAAGAGATGATTAGCCATCTTAGCAACATCAGTTTTGTGAAGTGGAGGAAGAAACCAGGCTGCAATAACTGAAGATATTATTGGGAAGCAAGAAAATATAGATATAACGGTTCACATTATAAGAAGTCCAGCTATGAAGGAAAGGAGTAAGATAAGGCCATAACCAGACTGGGTGTGATAACTTTTAGTTTTTTATATTAGAGGGTTGAGTTTATATAATGAAAAGAAAAGCAATGAAAGAAAAATAGGCTTAAGATTTGGTAAACTTAGAAAAGTATCTGTGAAGACAGGTTCTAGAATACAAAAGATATTAGCTTTTTAAAACATAAGGCAGAGAGAGGAACAATTCCAAACGACTACAAAACACAATAAATTGAGTATATGACCAGCGGGATATCTCCTAAGGATAAAAAGAACTGGAACAAAAAAATACACTGTTTTCAGCAATTATACCATTGGTGGTAACCTTAGTATTGTTATTCTAAGTCTAGTGGTTACATAATGTAAGACAAAGCAAATGAGTAAGCCTATGATACTCTTATCATTCCTGGTGTTGCTGAGAAGTGGCGGTATTATAAAACATAAGTACTGTGAATGAGACTCGACTATAGAGCTAGACTGTTTTAATTTATGCACATACACACACACTTAGAAATTTAGGGGCAAAATAATACAGTGTGTGGGATCTGCTTTGAAATACGGATGCTCGACTTATGAAGGGGTTACATCCAGATAAACCCATCCTAAACTGAAAATATTAAGTTGAAAGCTCAGGAACATACTGAATGCTCCTTTTTCACCCTTGTGAAGTCAAAAAGTCCTAAGTCAAACTATCATACATAGGGGAATATCTATGACAGAAGACGAGCAGTAAAGTGAAACAATACTGGCCACAAATCGATAATTGTTAAAGCTGCATGCTACATGGAAGCACATTTTACTATTCTATAACTACATAGGTTTAAAATTATTTATATAAGGGAAAAAGTTTTATCATATTACTTTTCTGCTCAAAATGCTTCAAAGGCTTTCACTCCAAGCTTAATCAGAATAAAAAATAAAGTCTTTATAATAGCCTAAAAAGCCCAATTTAATTTACCCTTATAGCCTTTCTACATCATTTTCTACTAATTTTCACATAGTATGTTATTTTTTCAATCTTCTTGCTTTAGGGCCTATCCATTTTCTGTTACAACTGACACTTCCTGTCACTTTCCAGGCTTTACTTTTCTCCATAGTACTACTGTCTTCTAATATGCTAAACAGTTATTTTGTTTGCCATCTGTCTTTTCCCACAAGAAGGTAAGTTATAGGAGGCAACAAATTTTTGTTTTGTTTTGTTCATGGCTGTACCCTAAATACCTAAAGTAGTACCTGAGATGTAGCAGGTATCTAATACATATTTGTAAAACTGAAGTAGTAGAAGTTAAAACAGACACATCTCTAAGACAAGAGGAAAGCAGGTAAGGAGAGGTACAAAAATAGATATGAGAACAGGAAGCTAACGGGGTTCCTGCTTATAACCTCAATTTCCTTTGTGCAACAGGAGAAAGATCATCTATTAAGAGAAAAGGAGGAAGCTGAGTAAAGTAGTGATAATTTGGAATAATTACTTTAGGAAACAGAAGTTCACAGGGGCATGCGAAAAGAATGCCAAATGATATACTAAGGGCTAGGGTGATACTGGAGACAATACAATGGTACCAAAATACATGGATGTCATTTTCTGTGCAGTATTCAGCATTTAGAGGCTAAGTGGTTGAGAAGAATTTTCTACAGCATAAATGGTATATACATGCACTGTCCCACATACGATTATCTGGGCACTTGAAATGTGACCTGCACGACTGAAGAACTTTTTTAAAATTTAGTTTTATTTAATTTACGTTTAAATAGCCACATATGACTAGTAGCTACCAATAACGGACACAGCAGGTTTAGGATACATGAAAAAAGCAGGCCGGGCGTAGTGGCTCATACCTGTAATCCCAGCACTTTGGGAGGCCAAGGTGGGTGGATCATCTGAGGTCAGGAGTCTGACACCAGCCTGGCCAACATGGTGAAACAAACCCTGTCTCTTCTAAAAATACAAAAATTAGCTGGGCATGGTGGCACATGCCTGCAGTCCCAGCAACTTGAAAGGCTGAGGCAGGAGAATCACTTGAACCCAGGACGCGGAGGTTGCAGTGAAGCGAGACCACGCCACTGCACTCCAGCCTGGGCAACAGAGCGAGACTCTGTCTCAAAAACAAAAACAGATTACTTTTCTAATGAGTCTCTTGAAAGCACACAGAACAGAAACTGAGATTTACCCAAACAGACCTATTTATTTTCTTAACTCTGACCATATATATTCTCCTTATTAAAAAAAATTTAGAGTACAAAGTGTTTTCATATATATTACCTCATAGACAATGGCAATGATATCATACCTATTTTATAGATAAAAATAAAAATTTAAGTGGTTAAGTGGTTATATGCCTTTCATAGCATTTCAGATAGTAAGCAACAAAATTGGGAATGGAGTCCAAGATGGACTGTTGTTCTATTGCCAATTTCTGAGACTTTTAACAGATGTAAACTTTGACTTCTCTCAAAGAGCCAAAATACACTAACATAAATTATATATATATATATATATATAAATATATATATGGCTAGATAGGTATCTTTCAACAAAATCTCAATAGAATTTAGTAACTTATTCTACAATTGTTGTGAGCTGATTCTGGTTCTCTCTATATCTTAAAATTTGATTAATTTGGCCAGGCGTGGTGGCTCACGCCTGTAATCCTAGCACTTTGGGAGGCTGAGGTGGGAGTATCACCTGAGGTCGGGAGCTCGGGACCAGCCTGACCAACATGGAGAAGCCCCATCTCTACCAAAAATACAAAATTAGCCAGGCATGGTGGTGCATGCCTGTAATCCCAGCTACTTGGGAGGCTGAGGCAGAAGAATCGCTTGAACCTGGGAAGCGGAAGTTGCGCTGAGCCGAGATCACGCCATTGCACTCCAGCATGGGCAAGAAGAGCAAAATTCTGTCTCAAAAAAAATTTTTTTTCACTAATTTGTAAGCAACTTCTGATTTTAAATAATATTAGCAATAAATCAGTTCTCGAAGTTCTTGGTACAAAGGCAGAAATACCCACCTTGTACCACCAGCCAAATTAAATTGATAAAAAATACAAGTACAGACTTCCAGTTCCAAAATGACAATGTTTGGGTTCACTCCCCTCAGTAGAAAACAAAAAAGAAATACACAATGCTGAGATTATCACCAATAACATCCCAGACCTCAAATATGAGAGGGAGACAGTCCTGGGGCCACAGAGAAGTGAAAAAACCAGAAGCAGATAATAAGAGAATTGGACTTTCTATTTATTTATTTTGAGAGAGAATCTCACTTTCTATCTGCAGTGCCCCTCCCAGCAATCTGCCCAGGACCACACTTTCCCACCAACTTATGGTTTCTACAACACTGGAAAAAGTAAGATCAAGGTGGACAACCAGCTTCCCTACCACCTGGGGTTTTCTGGCAGGAGATCTATCCCTGCCTCAACTGACAGGAAGCATCAGGAACACCCAAAGGGAGAAATATCCCTGAGGACAGCCAGAAACAAAGGAAGCAGAGAAGGACTACCATCCCCAGTCCTGGAAACTCTGCTCCATAAATTAGACAAAGGAGATGCCATATCAGAGTGGCAGTTCAGCAGCACCATGCTGTGGAGATTAGTTCCACAGGTACCCGAGGCACAAACCCCTAGCTAGTCTTCGCACTACCAGGATATTCTCCACTTTGGGACCACTGCAATTTGGGACTCCTGGCACTCCTGACTGTTTACTAGAACCAAGGCAAATCTGGGCTTAAGATGTCATTTAGTGCCGAAAAGGAGGCAGCAAACTACTGGGGAAAACAAGAAAGGTAAATTATTTAAAAAGTCTAAGCAAAAATATCTAATTAAAGCCAAAACACGCCAGTCAGAGAAGTCTAGAATAACCAATCCTTCAATGCAAAGACATAGACATACATCCAAAAGAAACAACAGCAAACAGGGAATCATGACATACCCAAATAAAGCAAGAAAACAGTGATTGACCCTAACAAGGTGGCACTGTGTGAACTCTTAAATGAAAAATTCAAAACAGCTGTTTTAAGAAAACAGAGTGATCTCCAAGATAACACAGAAAAGCAATTCATAAATTTATCAAAATCAGCCGGGGTGGTGGTGCGCACCTATCGTCCTCAAGAGACTGAGGCTGCAGTGAGCTACAATCACGCCACTGCATTCCACATCACCCTGGGTGACAGAGCAACACTCCTTCTCTTAAAAAAAAAGGGGGGGGGAGGGGGGAGAACAATTAAAAGAAATTAAGGCTGGGTGCGGTGGCTCACGCCTGTAATCCCAGCACTTTGGGAGGCCAAGGCAGCCGGATCACTTGTGGTCAGGAGTTCGAGACCAGCCTGACCAACATGGTGAAACCCCACTTCTACTAAAAATACAAAAAGTAGCTGGGCATGGTGGCAGGTGCCTGTAATCCTAGCTATTCGGGAGGCTGAGGCATGAGAACCTGAACCCAAGAGGTGGAGCTTGCAGTGAGCAGAGATCGTGCCACTGCACTCCAGCCTGGGCAACAGAGTGAGACTCTGTCTCAAAAAAAAAAAAAAAAAAAAAAAAGAGAGATTAAAAAAAATTATGAGAGAAATTTAACAAAGAGATTGAAATAACAATTTTTTAAAACCAAATAAAAACCTTAGAATTGAGAAACATATTTTCTGAGCCAAATATTTCATTAGAGGCTGTATTATTAGTCTGTTTTCACACGGCTGATAAAGATATACCCCAGACTGGGCAATTTACAAAAGAAAAAGATTTAATAGACTTACAGTTCCACATGGCTAGGGAGGCCTCACAATTATGGCAGAAGGCAAGGAGGAGCAAGTCATGTTTCACATGGATAGCAGCAGGCAAAGAGAGGGAGCTTCTGCAGGGGAACTCTTTTTTTTTTTTTTTTTTTTTGAGATGAAGTCTTGCTCTTGTCCCCCAGGCTGGACTGCAGTGGCGGGATCTCAGCTCACTGCAATCTCTGCCTCCCAGGTTCAAGCAATTCTCCTGCCTCAGCCTCCCAAGTAGCTGGGATTACAGGCACCTGCCACCACGCCTGGCTAATTTTTGTATTTTTAGTAGAGAGGAGGTTTCACCATGTTGGCCAGGCTGGTCTCGAACTCTTGACCTCAGGTGATCCTCCTGCCTTGGCCTCCCAAAGTGCTGGGATTACAGGCGTGAGCCACCAGCCCGGCCGGGAACTCCTCTCTTTAAAGCCATCAGATCTCGTGAGACTTATTCACTATCACAAGAACAGACACACTCCAGTGATTCAATCACCTCCCACTGGGACCCTCCCAGGACATGTGGGAACTGTGGGAGTTACAATTCAAGATGAGATTTGGGTGGGGACACATGCAAACATATCAGAGACTTTCAACAACAGAATGAAGAGAGGAAAGAATCAGTGAGCTCAAAGATAGGCTATTTAAGAATCCTGTCAGAGAAGAAAAAAACAACAATGAAAAGAAATGAAGATAACCTAAAAGACATATACAAAATTACCTAAAAAGACCAAATCTAAGAATTATTGGTATTTAAGAGGAAGTGGAGAAACAGCAGAAAGTGGAAAGCAATAATAACAGAAAACTTTTCAAAACTTGAGAAGGAGATAAAATCCAGGTAAAGGAAGGTCAGACATACCAAACAGATGTGACCCAAATAAGACTACCCCAAGGCATATATAATAATCAGACTCTCAAAAGGTCAAAAACGAAGAGAGGATCCTAAAAGAAGCATGAGAAAAGTAAAAACATAGAGATTCAATTTGGCTCCCAACAGACTTCTCAATGGAAATCATACAGGTAAGAAGGGAGGGCGACAACATTTTCAAAGTGATGAAAATAAAAATAAAAAACAAAACAAAACAAAAACACTGACATGCAAGAATACTGTCTCTAGCAAAGCTATACTTCAAATAAAATGGAGAGAGAATTTTTTTTTCCTAAGAAACAAAACCTGAGAGAATTTATCACCACCAGACTCATCTTACAGGAATGTAAGATATAAGTTCTTCAATCAGAAAGAAAAACAAATAATGTACAAAAAAGAAAATATTTAAAAATATAAAAGCTACTGGTAAAATCAAATACACAGACAATACAATGCCATGAAACAAGCCTCAACAAATTCAAAAAAGCGAAAATCATACGGCAAACTGTCTTTTCTGACCACAACAGAATAAACCTAGAAATCAGTAGCAAGGGAAACCTCTGAAAACACACAAATACATGGAAATTAAACAACATGCTCCTGAACAACGAATAGGTCAATAAAGAAACTTAATTAAATTTTTTTTAATTTCTTGAAAAAAATGAAAACCAAACACAAAATCTACGGGATTTGGCAAAAGCGATACTAAGAGGAAAGTTTACAGCAATAAACATCTATATTTAAAAAGTAGACTTCAAATATACAACGCAACAATGCACTCCAAGGAACTACAAAAGAACAAACTAAATCCAAAATTAGTAGTAAGAGGGACATAATAAAAGTGAGAACGGAAATAAACTGAGACAAAAAAAACAAAAACAAAAACAAAAAAACAAAAAACAGAAGAAAATTTTAAAAAAATGAAAAGCTGGATTTTGAAAAGATAGATAAAATCAATAAATATTTAGCTAGACTGAGGAAAAAAAGGAGAAGACCCAAATAAATTAGAAATGGAAAAAAAAGATATAGCTGAGACCTCAGAAATACAAAGACTCATTAGAGACTACTATCAACAACTATACAAGCTAACAAATTGAAAAACCCAGAAAAATGGATAAATTCATGGACACACAACCTACCAAAATTGAACCAGGAAAGAAAAGAAAACCTCAACAAACCAGTAACAAATAATGGAATCAAAGCCTTAATTAAAAATCTCCCAGCCAGGCATGGTGGCTCAAACCTGTAATCCCAACACTTTGAAAGGACAAAGAAGGTGGATCACTTGAGCCCAGGAGTTCAAGACCAGCCTGGCCAACATGGTGAAACCCTGCCTCTACAAAACATACAAAATGTATGGTTGTGCATGCCTGTAGTCCCAGCTACTTGGAGGTTGAGGCAGGAGAATTGCTTGGGCCAGAGAGGCGAAGACTGCAGTGAGCCAAGACTGAGCCACCGCACACCAGCCTGGGTGACAGAGCCAAAAAAAAAAAAAAAAAAAGAAACAAAAACCTTGCATCTTTTCCCATTTCTTTTCCAAAGAAAAGTCCAGGATCTAATGACTTTACTACTGAATTCTATATGAATCATACTCAAATGCATAAAACAAAACAAAACAAAACAAAACAAACAAAGAAGAGGAGGGAATACTTCCAAACTCATTCCTTGAGGCCAGTATTACCCAGACACAACAAAAAAAGGAAACTATAGGCCTGGTACAGTGGCTCATGACTGTAATCCTAGCACTGTGGGAAGCCGAGGTAGTGGATCACTTAAGGTCAGGAGTCTGAGACCAGCCTGGCCAACATGGTGAAACCCTGTCTCTACTAAAAATACAGAAATTAGCTGGGTGTGGTGGCGGGCGCCTGTATCCCAGCCACTCAGGACGCTGAAGCAGTATATTTTACCACAATTAAACATTTTTATTAAAAAATTTAGCAGAAGGCCAGGCACGGTGTTTCACACCTGTAATCCCAGCACTTTGGGAGGCCGAGGCAGGTGGATCACAAGGTCAGGAGATCGAGACCAGCCTGACCAACATGGTGGTCAAGTTGCTAACACAGGGAAGTTTTTCAAACCCCAAAGAAAAAGCAACCAACATGGTGAAACCCTGTCTCTACTAAAAATACAAAAATTAGCTGGGCGTGGTGGCAGGTGCCTGTAAACCCAGCTACCCCGGAAGCCGAGGCAGGAGAATCACTTGAATCCGGGAGGCAGAGGTTGCAGTGAGCTCAGATTGTGCCACTGTACTCCAGCCTGGGCAACAGAATGAGACCTCATCTCAATAGATAGATAAATAAATAAATAAATAAATAAATAAATAAATAAATGACAGGGAATAATGATGGACACTGTTGAATATGTGGGAAAAGGGGAACCTGTACGCTGTTGGTGGAAATGTAAATTAGTAGCGTTATTGTGAAAAACAACATGGAAACTTCTCAGAAAACTAAAAATATAACTATGATCCAGCAGTTCCACTACTGGATATACATCCAAAAGAAATAAAATCAATATATCAAAGAGATAGCTGCATTTCTATGTTTACTGCAGCACTATACACAATAGCCAAAATATGGACTCCACCTAAGTGCTCATCAATGGACGAATGATATAGGAAATGTGGTATACGTACATAATGAATATTGTCCTGGCCATAAAAAGAATGAAAACTTGTTATGTGCCACAACATGGATGGAAGTGGAGGTTATTACGTTAAATGAAATAAGCGAAGGACAGGAAGACAAATGATCACATGTTGTCACTGATATGTGGGAGGTTAACAAGTGGATGCTTGGCCAGGAGTGGTGGCTCACGCCTGTAATCCCAGCACTTTGGGAGGCCAAGGCGGGTGGATCACCTGAGGTCAGGAGTTCAAGACCAGACTGACCAGCATGATAAAACCCTGTCTCTACTAAAAATACAAAAATTAGCTGGACATGGTGGTAAGCGCCTGTAATCCCAGCTACTCAGAAGGCTGAGGCAGGAGAATCGTTTGAACCTGGGAGGCAGAGGTTGCAGTCAGGTGAGGTTGCACCATTGCACTTCAGCCTGGGTGACACAGTGAGACTCCGTCTCAAGAAAAAACAAAACAACAACAACAAAAAGCAGATGCTTAAAGATAGACAGTAGATTGGTGGTTACCAGAGACCTGTTAGGGTTGGGGGAGGGAGGATGAAAAGAGTTTGATTAATGGATATAAATATACAATTCAACAGAATAAATAAGACCTATGGTTTATAGATCAGTAGGGTGACTATACAGCACAACAATCTATTGTGTATTTCCAAATAGGTGGAAGAGAATAATTTGTTTATGGCATAAAGAAAAGATAAATATTGGGCCGGGCACAGTGGATCATGCCTGTAATCCCAGCACTTTGGGAGGCCAAGGCAGGCAGATCACAAGGTCAGGAGTTCCAGACCAGCCTGTCCAATAAGGTGAAACCCCGTCTCTACTAAAAAATACAAAAATTAGCCAGGCGTGGTGGCGTGCGCCTGTAGTCCCAACTACTCGGGAGGCTGAGGCAGGAGAATCGCTTTAATCCGGGAGGCAGAGTTCGCACTGGGCCAAGATTGCACCACTGCATTCTAGCCTGGGCTACAGAGTGAGACTCCATCTTAAAAAAAAAAAAAGAAAAAAGAAAAAGACAAGACAAATATTTAAGGTGTTGGACATCCCAATTACAATGATTTGATCTTTAGAAATTATATAAATGTATTAAATTATCACATGTACCCCCCAATACATGTACATCTATTATGTATTGATAATTTTTCTTTTTTTTTAAGAGACAGGGTTTCCCTCTGTTACCTAGGCTGGTGTGCAATCGCATAATCATAGCTCACTACAGCCCCTTCAACTCCTGGGGCACAAGTGATCCTCCTGCCTCAGTTTTCCAGGTAGCTGAGACTACAGCCACACACCAAAATTAGCCATGCCTGGCTGATTTTATTTTTTTGTAGAAACAGGGTCTTGCTATGTTGCCCAGGCTAGTCTTGAACTCTTGGCCTCAAGTGATCCTCCTGCTTTGGCTCTTAAAGTGGTAGGATTATAGGCTTAAGCCACTGCACCAAGCCAAAAGAATTTTTAAATATAAATACAGATAAGTACGTATATTTATAGACAAGACAAGATGAGGAAAAGATACCTTGGAAGTGATCAAGACTAATAAAAACAAATCAGCAGTTCAACGCTCATTTATAGTGCTGGTAGTGGGTATCACTAATTAACTGCACACTCTTACTTAGCCAGGGTAGAGCCTCACAATGCTTCCCAACACTAACATGCCAAGCAGATGCTACCAACTGATGTAAAATTTCCTGACTGATATATATGCAATAAATATTAAGAAAAATTCTTAACACTAGGTTTTGTTAAACACTGGAAGGAACTGTTAATATGTGATGGAACTTAATGACCTTGAAAAACGATATGGATGTGCGATGAGAGAAACAGTTAGAAACTCATCCTTTGGAGGTGGGTTAGGTATGGTATTTTTGCTTTTATTTTTGTTTTTAAGGGAGAGTATCTCACTCCGTTACCCTGGCTTGAGTGCAGTGGCACAATCATAGCTCACTGCAGCCTCGATCTCCTGGGCTCAAGCAATCCTCCCACCTCAGCCTCCCAAGTAGCTGGGACTACAGGTGCATGGCACCACATGTGGCTAAATTTTTATTTTTATTTTTAGAGACAGGGTCTCGTTATGTTGCCCAGGCTAATATCAAACTCCTAGCCTCAAGTGATCCTCCTGTCTCAGCCTCCCAAAGCACTAGGATTACAAGCATAAGCCACCATAACCAGCCTAGGCATGAGCCACCACAACTAGCCTAGGTATTGCGTTTTTCAAGTCCACATACTGGATGTTTTGGGCCTTTTGGCTTGAAGACTTTACATATACAAAGAGATCTCATATATCGTGTTGTTGATTCATCCTTGTTATACAGAATTCAACATTTACAAAAATGGCTATTCCATAAATGGCAAATGGGAAAAGGGCTGTCAATTGGGAATTAGTTCCATATATTGTACTGGACTCTCAGGCAAAGAACATCTGAAAAAGCACTGGGTATTTTTGTTGTTATTGTGATTTTTTACTAAAATAAATGCATTGCATTTATTTTAAAAATACCTTATTACTTTACACAACTGACAGATACATTGGAATATATTAGTATTCCTATTTAAGTGCAAATGTGAAAGATTCCTCATTTATAATTAACAACTTTTATTAAATAACTAGGTCTAGACAGCTAAGAATACTTGAGTGAAGCAATCTGAAGAAGATATTAGAAGAATTTGATCTGGAATTAGACTGGACTGAAAGGAGATTGTGGACAGCCAGGAGAAAACACCATAGTATCTAAAGACTCAGGAGGAAGCAGAACTATTATAACCATTCAGAAAGGAAAGACAGATACTATACTTTCTCATATTTAGGATGCTGAAAGCACCTGGTATGCCACATAAATACTTTGCTGTCTGTTGCCCACTTCTTCGTCAACTTGGCAAGATTATTTTAAAGGCTTCCACTTGGGTGGCTGAGGTGGGCGGATCACAAGGTCAGGAGTTCAAGACCAGCCTGGCCAACATGGTAAAACCCCGCCTCTACTAAAAATACAAAAATTAGCTGGGCATGGTGGAGTGTGCCTGTAATCCCAACTACTCGGGAGGCTGAAGCAGAAGAATTGTTTGAACCCAGGAGGTGGAGGCTGCAGTTGAGACAAGATCGTGCCACTGCACTCCAGCCTGGGGTGACAGAGCAAGACTCCGTCTCAAAGAAAATAAATAAAGGCTCTCACTTTCCCAATTGTCTTAATCTATACCTATCCCAATGGCTCTAAATAAAGGCTGAAAGGGGATGGGAAATGGCTCAGGGATATCCATTAATGAATGAGAGAACTTGCCAAAGGCATTTTATTTGCTAAGTCAGAGGTACAGATTCCTACTATGCTACAAATGCATGACAAAACTAAGAATCAAATATGAATAACAGCCATGACTGTTAATTTTAAGTGTCAACTTGACTAGGAAATGTTGCCTAGTGGTCTGGTCAAACATCATTCCAGATGTTGCTCTGGAAGTATTTTTAGATGTGATTACCATTTAAACCAGCAGACTCTGAGTAAAGCAGATTACCCCTAACACATGGATAGGTTTAATCCAATCAGTTGAAGGCCTTAAGAAAAAAGACTAAGGTCTCTCAAGGAAAAATGGATTCTGCCTTCATACTGCCTTTCAGACTCAAAGACTGCAGCAGCAAGTCTTGCCTGAACTACTAGCCTGCTGGTCTACCATGTGGAATTTGGACTTGTTAGTCCCCACAATTCCAAGAGCCAATCAATAAAAATCTCCTCTTTCTCAATTTCTATACACAAACATATATACAACCCCACTTGCCACATCCCATACTGGTACTGTATGAGGAGAACCCTAATACAGCACTCTACTGAGAAACACTACTACAGAACCCTAGTCTTCTGAGAAGTAAAGAAAAAGAAACAGGCAACCATAAGATATTCCCCCATCAGCTGATTCTATACTACAAAATACTATGCATACAGCTCTATTTCAGAACTTCTGGCATGTTGCTGTAATATTTATGACCTGAAAGAGAATCAAGTATTTTATCTGTCTTTGAGTTCACATTTAGAGCAAAGTGACTGGCACACAGCAATAAATGAATGCCTATATGTTATAGCTCAGCAATCACAGGATCTTCTTTTTCCTCGAATCTTAAAAACATATGTTTCCTACAAGGGAGGTCTTATGCCTAATAATTTACAAGGCAGGAGTTATACTCAAGACATTGATCTGGTATTTCAGTAAATTTCACCAAAACAGAATAGTACACTTTAATGATTTATCTTAGAGTGAGCAATCATTTGAACAAATTATTCAGCGGTAGAAAAGTGGGGGGAAAAATAAGGTACTGGAAGTAATCAAAACAGTGTGATACTTGCGTAAGGACAGATATATAGACCAAGGGACCAGAATAGAGAGCACAGAAATAAACTGTTACACAAATGGTCAACTGATTTCAAGGGTGGGAAGAGCACTCAATGTGGAAAGGACAACTTTTCAAAAAGTGGTGCTGGGGAAACTGGATATTCACATGCAAAACAATGAAACTGGACCTTTATATTACACCTTTTTTTTTTTTTTGAGACGAAGTCTTGCTCTGTCGCCCAGGCTGTAGTGCACAGGCACGATCTCGGCTCACTGCAACCTCTGCCTCCCGGGCTCAAACGATTCTCCTGCCTCAGACTCCCGAGTAGCTGGGAATACAGGCGCCCGCCACCATGTCCAGCTAATTTTTTTGTATTTTTAGTAGAGATGGGGTTTCACCATGTTGGCTAGGCTGGTTTTGAACTCCTGAACTCAGGTGATCCGCCCACTTCAGCCTCCCCAAGTGCTGGGATTACAGGCGTGAGCCACCGCGCCCGGCCTCATTTTTTAAAAATATGGTGTAATACTGCACCAGGCGCGGTGGTATTTAACCAACCGTGATGTCCTAGTGGCTTAGCTAATTTCTATTCATCCTGATGTAACTCAGGGGTCACCTACTCTAATTCTAACAATACCTCCGCATCCCTACGACCAGAATGAATTCCTTATTCCTCCCTGGTCTCTGCTACTTACTACATTTTGCTTATATTTGTTTTTCTATGTGTGTTTCCCCCATTAAATTCTAGGTTCTTTGAAGGTATTTGTAGTTCTGAACATAACAAACCTGGCCCTTAAATATATGAATTAATGACTCTCAATCCAGATTATTTAATGACTAAGGACCAGTACTGTTTTGTTTTTAGTCTGAAGCCTAGAAAGACTTGAATTTTAGAGACAACTGTTTTGGCAAGAGACTGACAAGGGCTTCATTTTAAAGTATTTTATTTTTGAATTTTAGCTTTGAGCAAATCTAGGTATTCAGAATACCCATATGCACAACCAAAAAAACAAACAAACAAACAAACAAAAAACAGCAAAACAAAACTAGACAGCTGAAAAAAAAGAGACTAGAAAACATCTTAATATGGATTACCTGCCGAGGGAACAAATGAATCTGAAAATAATGCACAGATTTGGAGTGTAGCTTGATGCCAGTGTACGCAAAATCTAGGTGAAATTGTACAGGCAATAAAATTCAGGAAAAACTTAGTCTTTTATTTAGGAAAGATATTAACTATAAGAAAAATAAAGTGCCACACAAAAGAGAATGATATGTAAATAGGAGACACTTCACACTGGATGGCTCACAAAGGCAGGCAGTGTAACAGAAATAATATCTTATACTCTAAAATTTTGAGTTCAGGTTTTTTTTGAGACAAGAGTCTCACTTTGTCACCCAGGCTAGATTGCAATGGCAGGATCTCAGCTCATTGCAGCCTTGACCTCCTGGGCTCAAGCAATCCTCCCATCCCCGCCTCCCAAGTAGTTGGGACTACAGGTGTCCCGCAAAAGTTTTTTTTGTTTTTTGTTTTGTTTTTGGTACTGGTAGAGATGGAGTTTTGCCATGCTGCTCAGGCTGGTCTCGAGCTCCTGAGCTCAAGTGATCTGCCTGCCTGAGCCTCCCAAAGTGCTGAGATTACAGGTGTGTGCCACTATGCAGCATAGCTCCCCCCCTTTTTTTTTTATGAGATAGGGTCTCCCTCTGTCACCCAGGCTCAAGTGCAGTGGCGAGACCATGGCTCACTGTAGCCTCAACCTCCTGGGCTCAAGCGATCCTCCTGCCTTAGCCTCCCCAGTAGCTGGGACTATACACGTGCACCACCATGCCCTGCTAATTTTATTTTTTTGTAGACAGGGGTTCTCCCATGTTACCCAGTCTCAAATGCCTGAGCTCAAGCAATCCTCCCACCTCGGCCTCCCAAAGTGCTAGGATTACAGTTGTGATCCACCATACCCAACACAGGTTCTTTTTTGACTATCACAAGCTGTGTGAACCTAGATGCCAAGTCACAGCTGAGCTAAACCTCACTTTCTCTGCCTACCACAGAAAATTACTACCATATATTCTCTTCCTTATATTTATTTCTTCTTTTCAACGTTTCATTCCCCTATGCCATCTATCTGTAATTTTAGTAGAAAACATAAATATTAGATTTAAAAGGTCTTGTAAAGGAGCGGGGACAGGTAGGTGAATTGATACTGACACACGTAAGTCAAATGAAAACTAGTGTTATGAGAAGCAGTATCTATGAGTTAGCAGAATAAACCCGTCAAAAAAAGGAGATTCTGGAGAGGGTTTAAAGGGAATATGTGACTTGAGTTCCTAACTTTCTAGTTCCCAATTCCAGTCTGAGTAAAGTTCAGCTGTACTTTCTTGAAATGGATGTACCATGACATTGCCTGCTATATCATCACAATACTCACACCCTTTTAAAACTTAATCTACTTTACATCGTTTCTATTTTTGCTTCCTTCTCATCTGTAAGTTAGACTTCTCAAACAGTTGTGTGGATTAATAAATTAATATATATCCTGAAAGCATTACACAAAATAAGAGAATACAATCTATTTTCCTCATAAAGCTAACATTGGAAATAAAATAATGCACATGAAAATATTTTGGGAATGATCAAATTCCCAAAATTAAATTCTAATTCTAGTAAAATATTACTATTATACTGAGGAATAAAACTCTAATTCTGAGATTTTAAATAATATGACATGCTTCAGTAAGATTATGCAATTAAGAAAAAGAATAAATCAATCCTATGATCTTATTTTGATTGGAAAAAAGAAACCAGAAAATCTTTCTCAATGGTAACTAGTGATGGCTTAGAGTCTACAAGCATAATTTCACATACTTTAAATTCATAGCAGCAGCTATGAAAATTTAAAAGGAGACTGGCAGATTTTTCAGCATATGATCACAGCAGATTTGGGACCAGGAAAGAACTACTGCAGTGACTTATAAATGTTTTTAATCTGAATATTGCAGAATAGCTCATACTTGGGCCAAATTTCAGTCAAAATAACATGTTCCTAAACTCCAAGGATACATTTTCAACACATCAAGTTTCGCAACCAATTTTTACAAATGAAGAGCTCCTTTTTTAAATAGCAACAGATATGTACTGGGGTAATTTATGGGACCTTAATAAGCATGTTTCATTACTATTTTTGAAATTATAGCTATATAAAATCATATAGGTAGGTAATAGAATATTTAAATAGAATACAGAGCAAAATTACTGAATATTAAAACATGATATGGCAACTTTATATTAAAAATAATTTTTAAAAAACAAGGAAGTATATTGACTCTGCTTTAGCTGCTGGTTCCTCTTTTCTTGTTGTCCATCCTACTATCGAGGCTTCAGCTTAGCTCTACTATTGCAAGCTGTCACTTTTGACTTGAAATGGAATAAAGCCAAATATTACAAAATAGCTGTTTCCTGTTCTGGCCTCGTCTCCTAGACCACCCCCAGGCTTTGCCTGCCCATGGATGCTCATCCTACCAAGCCAATAATCTACCAGTAGTCAGTTCATAGTTATGTATTTTTAATACTTTTGGCACAGTATATATGCCACAACTGTTCTCATTTTACTGATTTTATGTCAACAAGGCACCTCTAAATTTTAATCAAATGTTAAAATGAAGGCAAAGTGAAATGGAAAAGGGAGATGCATATGAAAAGTCAGGGAGTAACTGGGAATGTGTTCGACGCCTGTCAAAATATAATCCAGAAACAGATATAGAAAAAGAGAGTAGCCAGGCGCAGTGGCTTACACCTGTAATCCGAACACGTTGGGAGGCCGAGGTGGGAGGATTACTTGAGGTTAGGAGTTCGAGAACATCCTGGCCAACACTGGTGAAACCCTGTCTCTACTAAAAACACAAAAAATTAGCCGGGCGTGGTGGCTCGCACCTGTAGTCCCAGCTACTGAGGAGGCTGATGTGGGAGAATCACTTGAACCAGGGAGATGGAGGTTGCAGTGAGCTGAGATCACTCCAGCCTGGGTGACAGAGTGAGACTTCATCTCAAAAAAAAAAAAAAAAAAGAAAGAAAAGGAAAAAGAAAAAGAGAATAGAAAGTGCTGAGTAAGTACCATTAATCTAAATGATCCTGGTTTTCCAATTCTGCAGAACATCTGATTTGCATCTGGCACTCTAACTGAAAAGTTCTTTTAAGATAAACCTAGCTTTAGTTGAATGCCTCTTATCCTAAAGACTAAAATAATTAGGGCTTGATTCGTTTAATGTTGACCAGAGAAGGCTGTTTTTTCACCTTTAACAAGTTCACAGAGCTAGTGTACTCACTGCTACAAAGGTCATTTAGTCTAACTCTTTTATTTAATGCTTAGGGGACTTCTAGACCTTAGTATTATAGCTACAAAGTGTCTTCCCAGAGCCAAACAAAGAAAAATAATTTTGTACCTTATTGAATATCACTTCTACTTTCTGAGAGAAAAATAACTATCAGCAACAAGTAGAGTACATGACTTTCCCTGTGGAAAAAAGGTAAGGGTGTGCTGTAAAGGATACCACCACAGTACAGTTTTGTTGTCATCTTTTCTAATATCATTTTCTTAAAATAATAGTTTAAGAAGTCACAATGAAATCTTACCTACTTATTCTTCATAAAAACTGGGAGAAGAAAAAAACACTACTACAAAAACGTGTTCTATTATACACTGTCTATGGGTTATATTGAGAGTTGAAAAAGTTTGTTTAGCACCAGCTGGAGAAAAAAATGCTAAGAGTTCTAGGGAAGACTAGTAAGAAAGATTGTTAGAAGTAAGCAGCAGATGGTGGCAGAGAAATAGTCAATGAGTGTGTGAATGGTAGGAAGAGAAAGGAGTTTCAAATATCCACGAAAAAGGTTTAAGATACCATTTATGAAAAGGGAAATTTACAATATGTCTCTTATTGAGCAGTTTCTGTACTATAAACTCTTTACTGTATCATTTCATTTAATCTTTCTAACAACCCTGAGGTAGACAGTATTTACAGTTGAGGAAACCATTTATTCAGAGCAGCTGAGACTTTCCCAATGTGAACTAGCTAACAAATGCTAAAGGTAAAATTTGAAACTAAGTTTGCTTGAACTGATGTCAAAATTCATGCTCTTAACCATTATGCTACAATGAATCTCTAAAAGGTTCTAGTGAAGACCCAATCAATTAGCTGCTTCTGATATTTACAATAACCAACATGCCATTGTTACACAGATAATTTTGTTACTCTCCTGAGAACTGTGCTTAGTGATCTTTTCCTCTTTTGTCTGACCCCACACCATGTGTATCCAGCATTAATTCTATTCATAAACTCTCTTCTTTAGCTAAGCTGACATTCTACTGTCCCCTAAAATACTTCAACACCAATTATGCTGTTCCTCCTGGCAAATGTCTGGATTACCATTACCACCGCCACCACCAACCACCCCACCAACCCCACCTCATCCTTTCACTTACTTCTTTAACCATTTCAGTCTTTATTGACTTCTCCTATCTTTGTATTTCGGAAGTTTTTACTTCAGGCTCCTTAAATCCAGTCTACTTCAAGGAAGTCATTTTTTATGTCAGTTCTTATCATAGATTATAAACTTCTTGACAATAAGATAAAGATCATTACTTACAAGACTTTTATCAACTTTAAAAAATCATTAAACAACTAGCAGGGAGCCGTGAAATTGGTAAAAAGTAATGCTAGAGCAGTGACATGATACCACGAAAATGACAAATCTGAAAGGAACTGTAGGACAAAAATAATTACGGAAGTATACTAATAAATACTGTACCAGGTCAAATTCTCATTCACACTATAGAAATGTTACATTTTTAAAACAATCTAAAGTGATCTGTCTGTACTATAAGCTGAAGTGAAGGTAAAGTTTGAAAAAGCAAGTCCCTTCTCCACCATACAAAGCACTGTAACAGGAAGTTCTGTTTACTTCTTTCTGTAAACTACTAGTAATATCATATTACCCTGAGAAATAAATCTGCTTATAAACAAACCTCTATCAACAAGATTTCAAACTTTGTCAGTGGACCACTTATGTCAAATATTTAATTCAACAAATTACAACATTTGTCTAGTAACGACCAAACAACTGGTTAAATTGTTCACCTTGGCTGACTAATGGCTAAAATTTCACCTTATTTGCATTATTCCATCCTGGTTGTGAAGCAATTCCAAATGCCATAGGACAGTAACACAAATTTAGGAGAAAAAAAAAATACATGTCTCTGGTACACTCTACTCCCTAAACTACTGCAAACTTACCCTAGGCAACTGTTTGAGCTATTTTTAGTAAAACAGATGTGTTGAGCAACAATTACCTTAGGGATATTCAGAAACCACAGCCAATAAATTTATATGATCAATGATGAAAGAAATATGGGTTAAAATGGATTCAAACTGGAAAAACTATCATTGAAAGACTACAGAAATAGATAAACAATCTGGCACAGTCCAGACACATTCATTTACTAGACAATGTGTGAGTCTTCTCTGGTTAAGTCTTTAAGCAATCTTTAGTCCAGGTACTAAGAAAATACTCAGGTTTGTTCTACCCATTCCCTTCAACCAGCAATTCACAGCACAACAGTACTGTATTTAGTATTTAGTAAAGTACTGTAGTTCAATGTCCATACTCTACAATGATAGAACTGTAGTATTAACAGTCTTATCTCCAAACTTTATCAGCTCATTATGATACAGAACTTTTTTTTTGAGACAGAGTTTCACTCTTATTGCCCAGGCTGGAGTGCAATGGTGTGATCTCGGCTCACTGCAACCTCCACCTCCTGGGTTCAAGTGATTCTCTTGCCTCAGCCTCCAGAGTAGCTGGGATCCAGAACTTCTAATGGAATCATTCCTTCAGGTCTAGGATTTATGATTCTACCTTATTTTAGGGAAAACACCTCATTACTACAATGAATTTTAATATACTGTAAGATAAACATGCGGTATAATTTTGGACAACCACATTCCGTATCAAATCTCTAACGGTTTTAACTAGTGACCTTTGTTTTATTTCTTTATTACATTTAAAAGCAAAGAGGAATGTGATGCCTAAAAATACTGGACTAACAAGCCAGACCAAGCCAGGTTAGTTGGTATGAATCATGTACAACTTTCAGGTAAGAAATAATCTCTTCCACATTCTCTATGAAGCAACCCCAACCTGAAAACTGTAGGTGTGTGCACGGCCAGTAGCCAAAATCCATGATAAAATGATTTCAAAATCATGCTAAAAGCTAAATATTTCATTTCATTATCAAAATTTTTATGTGAATGTGATCAAAACTGTTATCAAAATTTAATGGAAAGTTTTTTTGAACTTCTATAATCATACTCCAAAGTAAAGCAACAATACCACAGAGATTATAGTAACAACAAAAAAAAAACTATTTTTTTTTGAGATGTAGTCACGCTCTGTTGCCCAGGCTAGAGTGCAGTGGCGCGGTCTCGGCTCACTGAAACCTCTGCCTCCCAGGTTCAAGCGATTCTCCTGCTTCAGCCTCCAAAGTAGCTGGGATTACAGGCGCCCGCCACCACGCCGGTTAATTTTTTTTTGTATTTTTAGTAGAGACTGCATTTCACCATGTTGGCCAGGGTGGTCTCGAACTCCTGACCTCATGATCCGCCCGCTTCGGCTTCTCAAAGTGCTGGGATTACAGGCATGAGCCACCGTGCCTGGCGTAACAAAAAACTATTAAAAGTACCTTTAAGAAGCAATAATTTATTTTCTCCTCCTTCTTCCCAGCTAGCTAAAAAACACAGTAGAATCTGCAGATTTCCCCACTGCTTCCTCTCCCTTTTCCCTTCCCCCCTACTTCAAAGAATGTTAAGTGTAGCCAGGCATGATCAGGAAACCTAAAAGGAGGAAGTAGAAACTTATTTGTGTGCACAGGGAAGGAGAAAGACACTTAACAATATCGAGGCCTGTTGCTTCAGTGGCCTAATTAATATATATCCATTATACTCTCTGAAAATGTTGGTTCAATTTCTCTTTTTAGTCATGTTTCTTTCCAAAATACTAAAAACTATAATATATAATGATTGCATCCTGGAATACCCAACTAAACGTCACCCAAAAATCTGACCAGTGCCGGGCGCAGTGGCTCACAACTGTATTCTCAGTACTTTTGGAGGCCAAGGCGGGGTGGATCATCTGAGGTCAGGAGTTCAAGACCAGCCTGGTCAACATGGCGAAAACCCATCTCTACTGAAAATACAAATATTAGCTGGGAGTGGTGGTGCACACCTGTAATCCCAGTTACTCAGGAGGATGAGGCAGAAGAATTTCTTGAAACCGGGAGGCGGAGGTTGCAGTGAGCTGAGATTGTGCCACAGCACTCCAGCCTGAGCGACAGAAAAAAAAAGAAGAAGAAGAAAAAAAGCTGACCAGGTTAACTAACTTAATACTTGCTATCTGATATTCAATACATTCAAATCATTCAGAGAAAAGAGTGGGCTTCAAACCAATGACTTAAAAGTGAAAGGACTTGTATTAATCCTGACTCATCTGTTTCCTAACCACTACCTTAGTTTATCATTCTGATTTAATGAAGAATAAGGCTGTGCAACTTGTAAAGGAAACTAAAGAAAAACATACTGCTACTGAATAAAATGCTGAGAAATCAAGGATAAAGGTGGCAGACTGGGAATTCCCACTGAAAACATTTAATTAGATTCACAGCAAAGCATCATTTCTGGAAATTTTAAAAACTTACATGTACCTACCACTCTAGACTAAAAAATAATATACACAAAGGCCATTTCCAAAGAGAATTTTCCCCCACCTACTTAAAAAGTTTATAAAGGATAATTAGCATCCATATTAAGAAACTGCCTCATGAAATTTTAAAAAGTGAGAAAGAAATAAGCTCAATTAAAAAGCTTATTCAAGTGTACCCAAACTCCCCTTGACTTACAGAGGGTTACCCTAAGGTTGAGATAGGTCAAGGCACTATTTACAAAATTTATGCCAGTAACAGCTGCCATTTTAAGAAGCTAAGGAATTTAATGTACTGCTTGGACAACTGGTTAGAAAACAATCAATCTGGTATAGAGCCATTGTAATTACACGAACTCTAAATTTTTTTTTCTTCTTTCTAGAACATTTCTGTATTTCATAAGATTTATTTAAATAAATAAATTTAACCATCTTAGGTATCTGTAGTAAATTTTCATTCAAAATAAGATAAATGTCTATCATTTACACATGGGAGAAAATATTTTTATATTTATAACCTGATCTTATTTAAAAACCCTAACTATAAAAAATGCACATAGAAAAGCTCTGCTATAAACCAGCACTTAGTCTAAAATTCGTAAGAAATTCTAAAACTAAGGTATGCTAGATCCCAAATCAAGTGCTCTCATGTTAATTCCTACTGATTTCTTTGAACTCGGAATTCACATTTTTCAGAAACACAATGGTTAAAATGTCAAGTCAATCACTTCACTTCTGGAAGATATGGCATCCTTCTAGGCCAGAGGGTGACTTAGTATATACACTAGCAGAGCAGATTAAATAGCTTACTAACAGAGACAAACATACAATTCACTAAACTGCGTTAAGACTTTAGCTCTTATGCCTCTCAAACTGTTTTAAAAAAAGTTAGGGTACCCCCCCCACTCTCCCCCAGCATATTCTTTCAATCATTGTAATTTTCAAAAACATGTCGAGTTTTAGGCCACCTGGCAAGAGTTTATTTTTAAAAGTAATTTCTACATAACGATTTCACTTCTCTAAACCAAATCCAAGCTGAAACTTGGTTCCAAAAGTGCTAATAATACAACCACAGAATTAAAACATTAAGATTTGGAAGGTTCCTTTGATTTCACCTAGATTCACCTACTCTAACTCCCTCTAACTGACTGGGGGAAATGAAATGATAAGGTCTGTAGTAAACTAAATGGTATTCACAATTAACAAAATAAAACCCCAGGGAAAAGCTCCAACACCTCCACTATTAAATTGGGATTTGCTATGAAATAAATATTATAAACAAAGAACAAAAGCTAACAATACAAAAAAACTAGGTCCTTTAAAGAAACAAGAAAAATCAAGTGGAAAGACAAGAGCACATCTATATAGACTTCAAAACATGAAATAATGTTTACACTAAATGAACTAACATCTCATTTTGGTGGACCTAAGAGAACTATTCTAATTCCCTAAGTATTACAAATCCATGCACAACAAATAACTGCTCATTAACACAAGCTCTTGTTCTCTCCATGGAAATAATAGCTCTACATTTTATTTTTGAAAAACAGTAACAAGTCTGAAATAAAATAGTATTAACTTTTTACTCCATTAGAAAAAATTTAAACTGGTTCACTCATCCTTTCTTTCCATGCAATTACTGTATTATTTTAAAACATCTGAGTAAAAAGAAATCTATAATATATCCATTTAATTCAACCTAAACTCTAAATATACAAATGAAGGCCAGGTGTGGTGGCTCACGCCTGTAATCCCAGCACTTTGGGAGGCCGAGGCGGGCAGACCACTTGAGGTCAGGAGTTCGAGACCAGTCTGGCCAACATTGTGAAACCCCATCTCTATTAAAAATACAAAAATTAGCTGGGCGTGGTGGTGTGTGCCTGTCATCCCAGCTGCTCTGGAGGCTGAGGCAGGAGCATTGCTTGAACCCAGGAGGCGGAAGTTGCAGTGAACCAAGAACGTGCCACTGCATTCCAGCCTGGGTGAAAGAGTGAGACTCCATCACGGAAAAAAAAAAAAAAAAAAATACACATACACACACACACACACACACACACACACACACACACACACACACACACAATTCTGTGAGCTTTACTTATACCTGAAAAAATTAACTGGTAATTTCAACAATCTTAAAAAATATTTAGCTTAATACTTTTGATGAGTTTCTTCACATAATTAAAAGCTAATAGTCAACTGGAAAATGTTTTCCTAATTAAATGTATTTGTATTTAAATTGCAATAATGGAGAACTGAAATTTATATATAAAATCATTCAATTACTGACAATCTAAAAAAATTTCCCCTTTAAAAAAAGAACTATTATGCTAAACTGATAGGTATACATAAACACTAATCTCATTTAATTATATTAATTTACCCAATTCTTAACGTTTAGCATTGAAGACAATTTATACTAATATTTAACCAATTATTTTCTAATAATGATTATTTAGAATGTCAGATACTTTATTTTGTTTACTTCTGTATTCCTTGCAACAGAACACTGCCTGGCTCATAGTAGGTTCTCAGTATATATTGTTAATTGAATTAATAAATCGTTTATCCTATAAGCAAAATCAACTGACTGCATTCATTGGGTTTTTCACACAACTAGAAGTTAGATGAAATGATATTTAAAGAATATTGTTTAAAGAATGTCTGAATATCAATAAAGTTTAATTAACCTTTAATTTTAAAAAGTAATCTAAAATTTCTTACCTGGTAGGGCTGAAAGGCACTATCTTCAGTTAAAAAATCCAGTTGCTTATCTACAAGGAATTCTACTGCAGTGACTGAACTGGGTATATTTCTTTCAACCAGAGGTTTGAAAGTCTGCCAAGAAAAAAAAAATTTCTAATGATAATTTTCTGGGTAGTATCCTGAAATTATGAAGGAACACACACCAATACAATGTATCAATGTCATTATCACTACAGAGTCTTAGGGTACCTAATATTAATTTTCATATTATAAACTAATGCTTTTATCTACACCATAAGGTATCTGTGTTTATTTAAAAGAAACAAACTAGATCTACATGTGATATGGGCATATTTGAGTATACTAAGTCCCAACTGTTTACTTTTAAAAAGGGATGTAATAAAATATGCATGTGTGTAAAAATGTCTGCTTAAAAAGAGAAATTGCTTTTGAAACAGTAAACTGGGTTGTAGAGCTATTTACCCCCACCTTTTTTTTTTAACTGTATTATTTCTTATTAAAGAGAGTAGTTATTATTTCAATGTACACTTTTTGTCTAGCTCATTCACATTAAGCAGGATTTTAAATGATCAGGAAGTATCTGGTCTTTTAACTCCACCCCTTGCACTCCCACCCCCGCCCCTGCACCAAGCACAGATAAAAATCCCGCAGCTTCGGTGAGAGAAGCATGGAGGAAGGGAGTAGAGAGAGTCCGGTAAGAAGTACTACACAAAACTCTACTTTGCAGTCAAGTCCAAATCTCCACTACTTCTTTTAAAAAAAGTCAATCCAAGGTCATTTGATTCCTTTAAGAAGATACCTTTAACATATGAGATTTAACTCGTATCTTGGGTGGGGATGACAGGGACAGAGCCAGGGTAGGAAGAGGAAGGAAACAGGGATACAATGTATAAATTTCTTTATGACTATCACACTCACTTTCAAAGTAGATGAAGATTAAATAAAATACAAGTGTCTTATATTCATGGTACTGTTCTAAAAACTTGAAAATGAAAACAAAATTCCACCATTTTAAAAACACAGCTGCTTTACTATAAAAAAATTTTTTAACTGGAAAAAAGTTCGGAAAACAGAATTAATAATCAACTCAATTTCTAAGTTACCTATATCACATGGAGAAATCTTTCTAGCTACAGGGTAATTTGTGTTAATATTTCCACACAAAACAAAGATTTTGGCATAGACAGTACAAATTACCAGGCATTTCAAAATCATTGTGTTTCCCCTTTCTCTTATTCTGTCTTAAAAAATATATAACATTTTGTTAATAACAATAAACATACTCCAGGGAAAAACTTCAAGATGTTTGGTTTGGAGTGGCTTTTAAGGAGTTAATTTCTATATTTAAGAAATTCCTAAGAGGAATTTCAGGTTGACTCACTGCAATCTGTAACAATGTTTCAAAGTTAAAAATTTAATATTAAATTTAAGCAAGTCTTATTTCTATGCTATCTACATCATGAAGTTACAAATAATATTTTCTTAATTAAAAAACAGGAAAAACTCTCTTATATTCTCACTTATTTTCGATATTTAAGATCAGAAAATCTAGTCACAGTAATATCCTCTCTCCCATATCCTAGGCTAACCTTTTAAGCACTCTATTATTTATCAAAATTACTATTATTTGGGTGAGAAATCACATTTTCAAAATAGAAAATCCTCACATTATTTAGCTATTTCCTTCTACTGTTATCATTTAACACTTTTCAATTACATAAAATCCTATAGGATTTCATAAAATCCTATTTATTATTTTACTTAAGTGACAAAAAGTTTGTAAGAAATTCAAGAGCATTTATTGTATTTAGGCTTTAAAAGTGTCCACCACTACGTGACCAATTGACATGAAATATGTAACATAAACAGGGATATTCGGCTGATCCCTACTGTAAAAAATGTTTTTTCATATTATATCTCTGTCAGTTTAGTTTTTAAGTAAACTAGAAAACACTGGCATCTTCTCAAGAGGACTTTTAATCCTTGAACATTATCAAATGATCTATTTCTTTTCAAACAGTACCATATCAGGTCAACTCATGAAGGTTAACAAAAAGGTCCACAAAAGGTATTATCTAAGTGGCTAAAGATACAATTCAATTAAGTAGGATTTGAAAAAGAAGTAAAGTTCTCCTTCTGGAGTGCCTCTTTCTTACGCAAATAATACAGGTGGCTTGCATTTCCTATGAGACCTAGTCATTTTATAATATGAAAAACATTCTTCTGAAGAGAGCTCTCCTTTTCAAGGTAGGCCAGAGTTCTAAGGGTAAATTTCAACAAGCCGACCAATGATTTAAATTATTCTAAGTTAATTTGAAAAAAGGATTTCTAAGCTAAAAAAATTCTCACGTTTTAAGATGTCTCATTGAAAGCCAAGTAAAATTTGGCTACCAGAAATCTAAGAAAACTAGCTGACAATGATCAAATTTGAATACTCTTACAAGGACATGAGTACTTATAATCATTTACAAGTGGAAGTCCAAAGTATATCATGCTTCTTAAATAGCAAATAAAAAGTGCTGATAAATACTTTTATAGTATTTGTTAAAAGAAATGTTTCAATATTTATTAAATGAGAAACAGTGAATATGTGTGACTGCTCTACTTTAAGGAAAAATGAAAGGCAAACAACATATGAAGTGATATTAAAATACACCCCGGTTTTTTTAACTGGCAAAACAACCATGTTAAGTATTGCTAATTTTTGTATTAGTCTAGTACATTTCAAAGGAACATTATAAGTTTAAAAATAATAAAAAACATATTTAAATAAAAACAAATGGGTCCTACAGCTGGTATGATGAAATTTGTAGTAAATAGTTCATGGGTCTAGGTGCACTGGAATGTAAAGAAACTAGAACTCATGCATAACTAATTCAACACTCTAAAGATATATCATTCTATGAGTAACTTCCACAGCCTAAAGGGAAGCAATGAGCTAACATCTGATGAAAGTCACAGTAGAATATGGCCCTAATCACAAAAGACTATCATTCAAATGCTCTAAAAAGCCTTTGAAAACCAAAATGAAAATTACTAACACTAAATGTTCAGTTGAAACAAAATGCTTTTTCAATTTTATTAGAGTGAGAGTTTTTTTTAAGGTCATTTATCAGTGTTAAACATACTTTTTAAAAATAGTCTACGGCCAAAATAAATATAGTTGAGAGCCTGCATTTCTAGTAGGGCCTACCAAACTATAGGAAGAATGCTTAGAACAACTGTATCCTGTTTGGGGCTCCATGCTGCACCACATTCCATTCACATGAGGAAGACGCGAACAGATGAGCCCTCCCCGAAAAACATTTTTAAAATAAATCAGCTACAGCTCTTAAACACAACTCAGCTGCTCAAACAAACGATGTTAAAGCTCACCATTTCACATTTAACAGGAAATTCAAGGAGCTTATGTCTGCAGTCTTAGTTTCTAACAATCTCCGGTTAACAGTTAACAATTCCAAGTTAAAAAAAAAAACAGGCTTATTAACTGCAAAAATACTAATATAAATCTCACCAAAGGTAAATACTAAAGCAGAAAACAACCTAAGCAACATTTTAGAAGTTAAGATTTAGTCTACCAAAAAAAAAAAAAAAAAGGACTGGAGTGACTTGAAAGAACAAAGTCCAAATTCCCACCCAAGCAGGTCTATTGAAAAACACGATACTGTTAGAAAACAAGTTGGGGGTGGGGAAGGGAATAACCAAAAAAAAACCTTACAAAACAAATACCCCCACTTTCCTTGAAACACTAGTCTGAAAATCCTAATTTGAAGCACTTCTGCCATAATACTTTAAACAATTAAACTCGTTTTTTAACATTTACAGTTATTAAATTACTACAAACACAATAAACCTTTTTAAACAAATGAAAGTTAAAAATTCTTAAAACTAAAAACATTGAGGCCAGATCTTTTATAAAAGGCAGTGACCTTAATTTCTCAGGCTGAGAAGAAAAACCAAATGTAAATTAAGACAAAAGAAAAAGGAAGCAGAAAAATACAAACCGTACTTTGTTCTTGAGAATTTTAAAGTATCTTTAAATCTCAGAAATCCACAACAAGGCTTTAAAGGTCAGTAAGTATTTGCTGAAATTTCTATTTTGTTCTGGAAGAGTATCTAGTGTAAATACTTCTTTAGTCTTCAAAAATCACAGGCAAATGGCTCTCAAACCAAGCATTTCTGAGCTCACTTGCAGCGGCGTCATTGTATAGGAAGAAAAGCCAAGACCACAGAACGAAGCAGGAGCTGTAACCTAACAAGTCTCCAACGAGCAAATGACGATTTTCTGTCTGCTCTGGCTCAGCCCTGGCAGTGATGAGGATTACAACTCGCTCTTTGTCATCAGCACTGTGGTGTTAACGACTAAGAAATCCTGCAGCTGAAGCACTACTGCATCCTCCGATCTGGGTCAGGATAATTTCTCTCGAGGTCGCTTACATAACCAGTAAGATACTCCAAATAAAGAGAACAGCCATCCATCAGCTGGAGAAAGCCTTTCCCACTGTACTCTGTCTGCGTGGAAACACAGTGCAGTAGCTTCCAACAGTGCAGACACCCAAATGAGAACGAGTACTTGGCTTAGGGCACACTGAGAGAAGGGAAGAGGCGGTGCTCTGTAAACTGTAACTAATCCCCCGTCACAGGTGCTGATGGAGTCACTTCCAGCACGAGTCACATTACTAGTGATTACTCATTTGGCTGCGGCCATAGAGACTGGCTCATAATTTTAACAACAGACAAAGACAGACTAGTGGCGAGACTGAAAGCTCAAGTTTACTGTCTCCTTCATAAAGCAAATGCAAATACTAAGTTTTTGCTTTCCAGATTTACCAAGGTGAGAAAGTGCAGAAAAGAAATAACATGTGACTATCTCTCAAGTTGGTAAAAATAAAGCATCAAATATACTTTGTATGTTTTTGGGCACGATTTATTTATTAGTATAACCATTTTGCCTTAAAAATATTAAAAACTTCAAAATAAATCAATTTAAAATATTTTTAGACAATGATCTCAACAATCTCATAGGCATTTTACTAAAAAAAAACTGGTAATATTTATTTTGGTAGATTTGAAAATATTCCTCAACCATTTTCACTCATTACAAAAAACAACTTAACCTAGATAGTTCTAAGATACAATTTGAAAGCATAAAATGCATTTCTCAGATGTGTTATATAATATAGTCTCTTAACATCTATCTAAATTCTAGAGTTCTGCTGTCTGATGTTGTCCAATATGGTAGTTACTAATCATATGTAGCAACTGAGCACCTGAAATGTAGTTAATCTGAATTGAGATGTGTGATGTACAAAATACACATTGAATATAAAAAAAATTAAGAGGTATCTCATGAATAATTTTATTTTGATATGCTAATATTTTGACATATTGGGTTAAATAAAATACTGTAAAATTAATACACCTATGTTAAAATTTTGATGTAAAGACAATTTAAAATCACACATGTAGCTCACATTTTATTTCTACTGGACAAGAATGCTCTAATAGTAAGTTCTCTCTCTATTTTTTGGAGGACGTAGTCTTGCTCTGTTACCCAGGCTGGAGCGCAGTGGCATGATCTCAACTCACTGCAACCTCTGCCTCCTGGGTTCAAGCGATTCTCCTCCCTCAGCCTCCCAAGTAGCTGGCATTACAGGGACGCACCACCAAGCCCAGCTAATTTTTGTATTTTTAGTAGAGACAGGGTCTCACCACATTGGCCAGGCTTGTCTCAAAAACTCCTGACCTCAGGCTATCCACCCGCCTCGGCCTCCCAAAGTACTGGGATTACAGGTGTGAGCCACTGTGTCCAGCCTCTTCTTTTTTTTTTTGAGACAGGATTTTGCTCTGTTGCCCAGGCTAGAGTGCAGTGGCGCGATCTTGGCTCACTGCAATCTCTGGCTCCTGGGCTCGAGCGATCCTCCGACCTCAGCCTGCCATGTAGAAGGGACTACAGGTGGGCATCACCATGCCTAGCTAACTCTTTGTATTTTTTGTAGAGACAGGGTTTCACCATGTTGTCCAGAATGGTCTGGAACTCCTGAACTTAAGCGATCCACCCACTTCAGTTTCCTAAAGTGCTGGGATTTCAGGCATGAGTCACCCTGACAGGCCTTATAGTAATTTCTCGTTTCATAGTGGAGACTTACGTGATGATATGAGACTGACTTTGGCTACTCAATAAATCAAAGAGCAGAGATGGAATGGAATATAAATTTGTGGCTCTATGTAAAACATCAGGTTATGTCTATTAATTTGTCAGTATAATTAAATTTTAACCTTTAGAGCATCCAGCGAAAATTTGTAAGTTTCTGACTTAGAGCAGGAAAGCTGGCCATATACTTAAGTCAACCACGCTTCTGTATTACAATTTAATTGAAATGGTTTCAGTTTTATTGTAGAAATTACATGATGAAAGAGGAATTATATATGGTAACATGCACTGAAACTTTAAAAATACACTTGTAGGTGCAAGAAATATTTAATTTATTTTAAAAAGATGTATGTAAATAGTCTTTTTTTTCTTTTCTTTTTTTTTCTGAGACAGAATCTCACTGTTGCCCAGGCTGGAGTACAGTGGCATGATCTCAGCTCGCTGCAACCTCTGCCCCCGTGGGGATTCAAGCAATTCTCCTGCCTCAGCCTCCAGAGTAGCTGGGACTATAGACACGCGCCACCGTGCCCGGCTAATTTTTGTATTTTCAGTAGAGACAGGGGTGTCATCATGTTGACCAGGCTGGTTTCGGATCCCTGGCCTCAAATGATCCACCGATCTCAGCCTCTCAAAGTGCTGGGATTACAGGCGTGAGCCACCATGCCCGGATGTAAATAGTCTTTTATTATAAATGTATCCCTATGGAGAAATCTCAATTTCAGTAAATCTAAAAATTCATGCTAATTAAAAAAAATTTTTTTGAGATAGAGTTTCGCTCATGTTGCTCAGGCTGGAGTGCAATGGTGTGATCTTGCCTCACTGCAACCACTGCCTCCTGGGTTCAAGCGATTCTCCTGCCTCAGCCTCCTGTATAGCTGGGATTACATGCATGCACCACAACACTTGGCTAATTTTGTATTCATACTGATGTTTTTTAAATACCACATACATAATCCCTTTAAATCTACTCCAGAAGTATCAATTTCATTTCACAGAAATTATCAGGTTAGCTACTGAAAAGAGGCCGGGATCAGTGGTGGGTGGATCACTTGAGGTCAAGAGTTTGAGACCAGCCTGGCCATCATGGCAAACCCCGTTTGTACTAAAAATACAAAAATTAGCCAGGGCATGGTGGCGTACCTGTAGTCTCAGCTACTCTGGAGGCTGAGGCAGGAGAATTGTTTGAACCTGGGAGATGGAGGCTGCAGTGAGCCGAGATCATACCACTGCACTCTGGCCTGGGAGACAGAGCAAGACTCTGTCTCAAAAAAAAAAAAAAAGAACCAAGAAAAACTACCGAAAAGATATTTTCAATTTAGTATATGATGAACTTGCACTTATAAAAAGAATGAAAAAGAGATGGGCAATGATTAGCCTAAGACTGTGAGTAAAGTATGGCTTTATTTTACAGAACATATTGTGTAGAACATGCATGATCCAGAAGGTAACTTTATTTTTTTGAGATGGAGTTTTGCTCTTTTTTGCCCAGGCTGGAGTGCAATGGCACAATCTCGGCTCACTGCAACCTCTGCCTCCTGGGTTCAAGCAATTCTCCTGCCTCAGCCTCCCAAGTAGCTGGGATTACAGGTGCACGCCACCACGCCCAGCTAATTTTGTGTTTTTAGTAGAGACAGGGTTTCACCATGCTGACCAGGCTGGTCTCAAACTCCTGACCTCAGGTGATCCACCCGCCTCGGCCTCCCAAAGTTGCTGGGATTACAGGCATGAGCCACTGCTCCCAGCCAAGGTAACTTTAGAACGAAGTGTTTTTAATAATGTTGTCAAGTGGATATTAAATCGCATATAACCACCCTAATAATTCATTCATAATTAATCAGACATAAAATAAAAAGAATCTATGTAAATAAAAGAACTCACAATGTCATGTTACCAAACCAAAAAAAGCAAATGCTTAATACAGCTTAATATAACAAACTATCAAATTTTAAGTACTTTAGTACATTTCCCCAATTTATTGTACATTAGAAAATTTCACAGGATTTATCTCATAATCTTGCATAAACTCAAGTTTGTCTACACTATATGATATAGACTTAAAAACAGCTATTTTTGCTTCTCAAGTACTTCAGTCCCTTACAGAATCATATAGCACAAAGTACACTTAGCTAAACCATACAATTGCCTCAAAAGTCATACATTCTTAGTAACACAAATGTACTAATTTTTAGTAAAATTAATGTAATTAACAATACTGAAAAACCAAACATTCATTTTTAAAAAGTATTTCACACTACATCATGGTTGAATTAAAATAAGACTGGCTTCTCCACTACTAAAAATACTATAGAATCAATTCTTGATGCAAAGGATGCAGAGTTACAACTAGTTGGTAATAATGAATGCCTTTTAAATATTTAAAATGGGCTTGACATACATATATTTAGAGATTGGGTCTCACTCTGTTGTCCAGGCCAGAGTGCAGTGGAGCTATCAGCTCACTGCAGCCTCAAACTCCTGGGCTCAAGCCATCCTCCTGCCTCAGTCTCCTGAGCAGCTGGGACTACAAGTAAGTGCCACCATATCTGGCTAATATAAATATATTAATGTGACTGGTCTGGTATTAATTGGTCTGGTACTCTGGTAAATTTTTAACACAAACAAAAATAATGAAGTAATGACATAGAGAACCCACTTGGTATCAAGCATAAATTGCTAGCTTTTACTTCAAGTCTCCTTAATGCACTCCTGTTCTTATAACTCATTAGAGAATGGTAGATCCCACCTTTCACACAATTTAGTCCTTTAAATTGATTGTTCTTATGGCTTATACCTTCTTTACTAGACTGAGGTAAAAAGGTGAAAAGTTAATTTTTGTTTCTTTTTGTTGGGAGGTGAGGAGGGGAGTAAAAGGCCTTTTTTGGCTGCTAAACCAGGCTAGGGGAAGAGGAAACTACTCCAGTTACTGCCCAGAAATACACATCTCTAACTTCCTTCCTTTTTAGTTGGTTTCTAGGTTACAAGCTGAATGTATCAACACAGGTCAGAAGGTAAACAGAGGCTAAAAGGAAGGCAACACTGCCTGCCTACCCAAAGAAAATCTGCTCCTTCCAGTAATGTGAGAATCTTATATGTACAATTTTAGGAGTTAAAATAAACAAAGATTTTGGTTCCATTTATCTTGGGCCATGAAAAGAATACATCTCTCATCTTTATACACGTGGAAGCCTAAACAAACCACTGGATTTTAAAAAATTATACAGACTCAAAAACAAAAAAGCAAAAAACTCTGACAAGTTCAATGATCTAGCAATATAAATATTTTTAAAGACATATGGGTGGAAAAAAAGATGAACAACAATCGTAGGAGGAATTCAACTTGACTGGCCTTACAAGAAAGCTGACTATAATTCATTAAAGTATTTTTCAATAAGCCATACTGTAAAATCTATGAAAATACATAAAAATGTAACTCCTACATCATTGTAATGTCCAAAGGATTAAGTTTTTAACAGTAGGTCATACGCAGTGGTTCACGCCTGTAATCCCAGCACTCTGGGAGGCGGAGGCAGGTGGATCACTTGAGCCCACGAGTTTAGATCAGCCTGGGCAACATGGTGAAACCCTGTCTCTACAAAGAATAAATAAAAATAGCCAGGTGTGGTGGCACGCACCTGTGGTCCCAGCTACTCAGGAGGCTGAGGTGGGAGGATCGCTTCAGCCCAGGAGCCAGAGGTTGCAGGGAGCTGAGATTGTGCCACTGCACTCCAGTCTGGGTGACAGAGCGAGACTCAGTCTCAAAAAAAAAAACAAAAAAGTTTTTAACATTAATAACTCCATGCAGATCTTCTAAGCAATGCAAAACTTGTGTATCACAGTTTCAAACCTTCAATAGTCTATGATTTCTACAAGGATTTCTAGTAGATATGGACCTTAAGACTTTTTTAACTCTCCTATCTCCAGCAAACATTGTAGCACATTCATTCAATCAATAGGTATAAAATGGCTTCTATGTGCAAGGCACCATGCTTTGGGCCAGGGTATGCAATAGTGAGGAAAAGACAACCAAATTTTTACCCTAGCAGAGTATTCAGTCTTTTATAAGAGAACGGAATACAGTAATCATACAAATCAAGCAGCAATCATACAAGCAGACATAGTGGCATGCCCCTGGAATCCCAGCTACTTAGAAAGTGAGCTGAGAGGATGGCTTGAGCCCAGGGAGTAGGAGACCAGCCTGGGCAACATTGCAAGATGCTGTCTCTAAAAATATAGGTATTTTTAAAAAAGAAATACAAAATTTAGTCCTATTACTTTAATGTTAGAAATACTCTCATTTTTACAGATAAAAAAATGGACACTCGAGTCTAAGTGACTTTGTTTGTCAAAAATCTTGTTTATAGAAGTGCTAGGACCAGAACTTGGATTTCCTAATTCACAGCTGAATGATTTTTACATCATAAGATGGTGTGAAAGCATTGTATTTATTTTCATGCTGGTTGGCATGGGTGGCAGAGAGCAAAGTGTTTTGCCATCTGCTGAATTAAACTTTAAACTTTGAACGCTGAATGGAGAAAAATGAAGCCTGTCTAGAAGAAACTGCAAAGTCACAAAGTACAAAGGAAAAGAAGTATGACATAAGTTTATGTATTTTTAATTTGCTTTACTGACATACGTCACCTTTCACAAAGGAGAAATAAGCAGGATTAGGAGGAAAAATCAATTCAACATAAAGGGTTTTTAAAGCTATGTTCAGAAAAAGACCATTGGGAAAGATGATAAAACACCAATATTTGGAAGAAAGAAAAGCTTATTTAATTACTTTTATTTCTGTCAAGAAAAAGTGATTTTACTATGGAAAATATGAACTAGAGATTAAAAAAAACTAAAGATTAAATGATATGTAGAGGATCCTTTTTGTTTCCAAAAATAGTTTTCTTAACAAGTAACATAATTATATTTGAGAAAATTTGTAAAATAAATGCATGAAAAAGATCCCATATTCTTATCCTTAGTGAACCCAGCCAGTTAACTATTTAAGTGCACTTTCAGCCCTTTTTTTCCTCACAACCATATTAGTTATCAACATTCAGGATACACGCAAATTTTAAGTTGCTCATTTTATTTAATAATCTTCTCATGTTCTTACATTGCCATCATTTTAACGACTTAAAAAACAGGCATGAGTTTATTAAAGCATTAGTTTTATTATTCATTCTCTTAATGTTGAATGCTAAAGCTGCTTGCAATTTTGTATTATAAACAATACTATGAACGTCTTCATGCTTTTAGTAATTAAAAATCATAGATTAAATTATATGTTAGAATACTAAATTGGTAGGTACAAGCTCAGAGCCATTAACTGGTAGTCTTTGAAAAAAATCATGGCATTGCCAAGACATTAGAGATAGGCAGTTGAGGCCGGGCACGGTGGCTCATACCTGTAATCCCAGCACTTTGGGAGGCCGAGGCGGGCAGATCACAAGGTCAGGAGATCGAGACCATCCTGGCTAAAACGGTGAAACCCCGTCTCTACTAAAAATACAAAAAGTTAGCTGGGCGGGGTGGCGGGTGCCTGTAGTCCCAGCTACTCCGGAGGCTGAAGCAGGAGAATGGCGTGAACCTGGGAGGCGGAACTTCCAGTGAGCCGAGACCCCGCCACTGCACTCCAGCCTGGGAGACAGAGTGAGATTCCGTCTCAAAAAAAAAAAAAAAAAAAGACCAGCCTGGCCAACATGGTGAAACCCCAACTCTACTAAAAATACAAAAATCAGCTGGACATGGTGGCAGGTGCCTGTGATCCCAGCTACTCAGGAGGCTGAGGCAGGCATGGGGATTACAGGTGCCCACCACCACTACGCCCCAGCTAATCTTTGTATTTTTAGTAGGGACAGGGATTCGCCATATTGGCCAGGGTGGTCTCCTGACCTCAGGTGATCCACCCTCCTCAACCTCCCAGTGCTGGGATTACAGACTTGAGCCATGGCACCCTACCAGGAAACCAATTTTAATTACGTATGTAATTAACAGTAGTCCCACAAAATATGAGACTCACTGAAGAGTGAGATATTGAAGCTTATACAGCATCTGAAGCTATGGAAGGAATAGAAGCTTGGGGCTTTTTTTTTTTTTTTTTTGAGAGAGAGTCTCGCTCTGTCGCCCAGGCTGGAGTGCAGTGGCAAGATCTCGGCTCATGAACTCTGCCTCCCGGGTTCATGCCATTCTCCTGCCTCAGCCTCCCGAGTAGCTGGGACTACGGGCACCCACCACCACGCCCAGCTAAGTTTTTGTATTTTTAGTAGAGACAGGGTTTCACCGTGTTAGCCAGGATGGTCTCGATCTCCTGACCTCGTGATCCGCCCGCCTCGGCCTCTCAAAGTGCTGGGATTACAGGCATGAGCCACCGTGCCTGGCCAAAATAGTAATCTCTATTTTTTTATTTTTTTTAATCAATGTTGACCAGGTTGGCCTCGAATGTGTAGCCTCGCCTCCCCGAGTGCCAGGGCAACCGGCCTGAGCCACCGAGACTCCCAGAAGCTTGGGGCTTTTAAGGGTTGGTGTCTACACAAGTTATACAAAATGGAGTGAGAGGAGGAAATACATGATGAATAAAGATAGTCTTGTTATGCAGACTAAAGTCTCTCAGGTAATAACAGTTGTCTGCAGCAGCCCTTTCCCTGATACAGGTAACTTTTACTAAAGTAGATCTCCTTTATAGATGGGTAAATTTCTTTTACAAAAGGGCAGCTTTTCAAAATTACTCCTGTGTCTGCAGATTCTCAGAATAACTAGCTCAAAACATGGCAAAAAAAGATATTTTGGGGATGGTATATTCTGGTCTCTTACCAGAATATTTTGGGTGGGGTATCTTGAGCCAACAATGGATAATCAGTATAATGAAAATTTTTAAAAAACAAATTGACCAAGTAAGAGCAAAATATATTCATTGAGAGTAATTTGCATTTCTTTTTTTTTTTTTTTTTTTTTTTTGAGACAGAGTCTTGCTCTGTCTCCCAGGCTGGAGTGCAATCTTGTGATCTTGGCTCACTGAAACCTCTGCCTCTTGGTTCAAAAGATTCTCCTGCCTCAGCCTCCCGAGTAGCTGGGATTACAGGTGTGCGCCACCACGCCTGTCTAACTTTTCTATTTTTAGTAGAGATGGGGTTTCGCCATGTTGGCCAGGCTGGTCTCCAACTACCTCAGGTTATCTGCCCACCTCGACCTCCCAAAGTGCTGGGATTACAGGCATTAGCCACTGTACCCAGCCTGCATTTTAATAAAAACAAAAGTTATTAGGTTAATAAGATTTGAAACTAAGCTTTAAGGAACTTGACTTAAACAAAACTTTTATCAAGACAACCTACAATAGGTAAGTCAATGAAATACAGGCTGGATGATAATTACATATCTGCAGTGGGTTAAAGAGTACTGATTAATAGGCCAGGCACAGTGGCTCACAGCTGTAATCCCAGCACTTTGGGAAGTTGAGGTAGGCAGATCACTTGAGGTTGGGAGTTTGAGACCAGCCTTACCAACATGGTAAAACCCTGTCTCTACTAAAAATACAACAATTAAAAGAGAATAATAATAATAATAATAATAATAATAAAATTAGCCGGGTGTGGTAGCGCATGCCTGTAGTCCCAGCTACTTGGGAGGCTGAGGCAGGAATCGCTTGAACCCAGGAGGCAAAGGCTGCAGTGAGCTGAGATTACGCCACTGCACTCTGGCCTGGGCGACAGACGAGACTCCATCTCCAAAAAAATCAAAAGCAAGCAAACAAACAAACAAACAAAAAAAAGAGTACTGATTAGTAGTACTGTTGCCGAGCGTGTGATCCCAGCACCTTTAGGAGGCCGAAGTCGGGAGTTCAAGACCAGCCTGACCAACATGGAGAAATCCTGTCTCTACTAAAAATACAAAATTAGTCAGGCATGGTGACACATGCCTGTAATCCCAGCTACTTGGGAAGCTGAGGCAGGAGAATCGCTGGAACCCAGGAGGCAGAGGTTGCGGTGAGCTGATATTGTGCCATTGCACTCCAGCCTGGACAACAAGAGCAAAACTCCCATCTCAAAAAAAAAAAAAAAAAATAGTACTGTTATTAACCTGTGATATGTTATTCATTCATTTCTGGTCTTATATACTCATTATCGCTTGAAAGCTATCTCTATTTTCAAATTAACAAATGACAGAATGGCTGGCTACGCACGGTAGCTCACGCCTGTAATCCCAACACTTTGGGAGGCCGAGGCAGCTGGATCACCTGAGGTCAAGAGTTTTAGACTAGCCTGGCCAACATGGTGAAACCTCATCTCTACTAAAAATACAAAAAATTCTCCGGTGTGTTGGCGGGCGCCTGTAATCCCAGCTACTCAGGAGGCTGAGGCAGGAGAATCGCTTGAACCCACGAGGCAGAGGTTGCAGTGAGCTAAGACGGTGCCATTGCACTCCAGCCTGGGCAAAAGAGCAAAAACGTGGTCTCGAAACAAACAAAACAAATTACATAGTGATTTAAAAATATGTCTTATGATAAAAACAATCATGACCTAGATTTTAAAATGATCAAGAAAATCTGGAATTGTATCCATTGAAACAGAAAAAAAATTTTAAAAAGCTAAAATAAGGATTAACCTTAAATTTTAATAATGAAAAAATTTACCTACATTTAGGTTTAAAAACTCAAACTACTCAAGTAGAATGTACAGAAGCACTAGCTTCCTTGAAATGCATGTGAAAGAGGCCAAGGGCCAGGGGCTCACACCATAATCTCAGCACTTTGGTAGGGAGGCAAAGGTGGGAGGATTGCTTTGAGACAGTGAGACCATCTCTACAACAAAAAAAAATTTTTAAATTAGCTGGGCATGGTGGCATGTGGCTGTAGTCCCAGCTACAAAGGAGGAGCACTTGAGCCCACGAAGTTAAGACTGTAGTGAGCCATGTTTGTGCCACTGTACTACAGTCTAGATGACAAAGCAAGACCCTGCCTCTAAATTAATTAATTAATTTATGTGAAAGAATCCTGAAGGGTTTGAAGACACTAAACCAATACATATTACATATACATTTTTAAATGGGAGTGGGGGGAATCAAAACTTGAATAGGCTGGACACGGTGGCTCACGCCTGTTTTCCCAGCACTTTGGGAGGCCGAAGTGGGTGATCACCTCAGGTCAGGAGCTCAAGACCAGCCTGGCCAACATGGTGAAACCCTGTCTCTACTAAAAATACAAAAACTACCTGGAGTGTGGTGGCACACACCTGTAGTCCCAGCTACTCAGGAGGCTGAGACAGGAGAATCACTTGAACCCGGGAGGCAGAGGTTGCAGTGAGCCGAGGTCATGCCACTGCACTCAAGTCTGGGTGACAGGGCGAGACTTCATATCAATTTAAAAAAAAATTACAGAATAATAAGATCATTTGAAGGAATGCTAAATGTTTTGCCTGGGGAAGAGAAGAGGGGCAAATAATAAATATGTACGATTATTTAAAAAGTTAGTGTAGGCCACACGCGGTTGCTCACGCCTGTAATCCCAGCACTCTGGGAGACTGCGGTGGACGGATCACAAGGTCAAGAGATTGAGACCATCCTGGCCAACATGGTGAAACCCGGTCTCTACTAAAAATACAAAAAAATTAGCTGGGTGTGGTGGAACGCACCTGTAGTCCCAGTTACTCGGGAGGCTGAGGCAGGAGAATAGCTTGAACCCAGGAAGCGGAGGTTGCAGTGGGGCGAGATGGCATCACTGCACTCCAGCCTGGGCGACAAGAGTGAAACTCCATTTCAAAAAAAAAAGATTCTGAATGAAAATTTGTCAAGTCGTCACTATAAGGAATATATTTCTGCCTCTGCCTGGGGATGGTTTATAAAATATTAAAGATTCTTTTCAATTCTAAGATTTTAATATTATCTTGTTCAATCTACTTAGTGTTTAAGAGCAAAGTACAGATAAATGTGATAAACCAAACTCTTCATAAACACTGCTACCACTTGTGTATATATAAAGAAGCATAAAATAAGTACTCCTGAATGTTTCATGTATTATTCACATGAACTGGCAGAATTAAAGGTAAAAAGTAACATCTCCCATTTTAAACTTCATAAAGTAAACCAAGTAGGCTGTCCCGCTTGACAGAAATAAAACGACACAAGATGCTTGTGTGGCATGGGATCCATGGGATCCTTTACCTCTTTTTCTTTTTTTTTTTTTGAGACGGAGTCTTGCTGTGTCGCCCAGGATGGAGTGCAGTGGTGCGATGGGATTTCACCGTGTTAGCCAGCATGGTCTTGATCTCCTGACCTCGTGATTCACCGCCTCCGCCTTCCAAAGTGCTGGGATTACAGGCGTGAGCCACCACACCCGGCCTTTTTTTTTTTTTTTTTGAGATGGAGTCTCGCTCGCTCTGTCGCCCACGCTGAAGTGCAGTGGCACGATCTCGGCTCACTGCAACCTCTGCTTCCCAGGTTCAAGCAATTCTCCCGCCTCAGCCTCCCTAGTAGCTGAGATTACAGGCACACGCCACCATGCCCGGCTAATTTTTCTGTTTTTTTTTTTTGTTTGTTTTTTGTTTTTTTAGTAGAGATGGGGTTTCACCATGTCGGCCAGACTGGTTTTGAACTCCTGACCTTGTGATCTGCCCGTCTCGGCCTCCCAAAGTGCTATGATTACAGGCGTGAGCCACTGCGCCTGGCCTTTTTTTTTTTTTTTTTTTTTTTTTTTTTTGAGACGGAGTCTCACTCTGTGGCCCAGGCTGGAGTGTAGTGGTATGATCTCGGCTCACTGCGACCTCTGCCTCCCGGGTTCAAGCGGTTATCCTGCCTCAGCCTCCAGAGTAGCATGGACAATAGGTGCATGCCACCACACTTGGCTAACTTTTTGTATTTTTAGTAGACATGGAGTTTCACCATGTTAGCCAGGATGGTCTCGATCTCCTGACCTCGTGATCTACCACCTCGGCCTTCCAAAGTGCTGGGATTACAGGCATGAGCCACCATGCCCAGCCAATCCTTTACCTCTTGAGGATAAAAATTAAATATAATTCTGTGGGAATAAGAAATATTATACCATTAAATCAACTCAACCATAAAAGCAATGCTTGTGTTAAAATGTTAATACTCATAAAAATCACAGGAGAAACTGAGGTTAACCTAAAATAAAATGTCCTCAATCTTGAGTCCTGTCAAGCACACCATCCTCAAGGAGTAGGACATATACGTTTGCATATGACTGATTTCCTGACCTTTTTTGGTCAAAAGCTAGTAATATGCCTCTTCCAGTTTTTCCTAATCGTTTCATTGTTTGTCCTCTTAGAAACTTGAATAAGACACCTTTTTTGCACTGGTTTTGTTCATTTCCATCTGGCAAACATCTGTTTCTTGTGCAGTATAAGTCAACAAGGCTCTACAATTATTTCCCCATTACCTCCTTGTTTGTTAAAACTGATGATGTCAGCAACAATCTGGAAGCCAAATTTTTCAATGGACAAATGAGATACACAATTTCCATTAAGTATATGATACGATGCAGTATCTATTTTTGCATATTTAGAAGATTAACATTTAGGTGACAATGATCACCTATGTTAAGTAGTATTTAGATTCAAAACATGGTAAAGTAATAACAAAGTAATCCAAGTTTCTACCATATTTCTTTAAGTATTGGTAACTTATGCCGATATTTTGACAGCAGTGAAATATCAAAGTACTGATATGCAACACAGAAAGACTATACTGAAAGAGAGACCTTTTTCACACAATTAAAGATTGGCACTGAAGTGTTTTCTTTCAATTACAAATTACGATTCATTTAAAAGTTCTTCCCTTTCTAGCATGTTAAGGGGTAACAAAGTTATATTTTTAAAATGTACAGGGAAAACAAATATACTAATCTCCTCTCAGGTCAATAAAATTTCGATAACATTTCTTCTTTAAAAGACCTTCCCCACTAAAACTCTAGGTTTTCTTTTTTTGAGACAGAGTCTTGCTCTATCGCCCAGGCTGGAGTGCAGTGGCGCGATCTCGGCTCACTGCAACCGCCGCCTCCCGGGTTCAAGTGATTCTCCTGCCTCAGCCTCCCAAGTAGCTGGGACTACAGGCGCGTGCCACCACGCCTGACTAATTCTTTGTATTTTTAGTAGAGACAGGGTTTTACCGTGTTAGCCAAGATGGCCTCGGTCTCCTGACCTTGTGATCTGCCTGCCTGGGCCTCCCAAAGTTGCTGGGATTACAGATGTGAGCCACAGCGCCCAGCCCTCTAGGTTTTCTTAATTCAGGTCAGTTTCACTGAAGTCCTGTCCCTCTAAAGGAATAAGACAAGAGTCCCAGATCTAACTGGGAAAGAAAAAAGTTAAGGCCCACTAATGATGTCCAAAAGCCTTACAAGTTCATCCCTGTGGAGACAGGAAAATTTCATAGACTCTTCATAAATAATAAAGATTTCTTCCAGAGTTGCAGTTTCCTACAAAGTTTCAGATAGCCTATAAGCAGTCTGAGCAAATAAACTTCTTTGTAGCAGTGTTTTATAGCTTTGGTAACAATTGCCTTTTCTTTGGGGATCTGAAAGCTTCCCTGTATTAGCAACCTGACCACCTGCTTTCTGAGCCTTTTTTTTTTTTTTTTTGAGACCAAGTCTTGCCCTGTTACCCAGGCTGGAGTGCAATGGCATGATCTTGGCTCACTGTGACCTCCGCTTCCCAAGTTTGAACGATTCTCCTGCCTCAGCCTCCCAAGTAGCTGGGATTACAGGCGCCCGCCACCACACCCAGCTAATTTTTTTTATTTTCAGTAGAGATGGGGTTTCACCATGTTGGTCAGGCTGGTCTTGACTCCTGACCTCAAGTGATGCACCCACCTCGGCCTCCCGAAGGGCTGGGATTACAGGCGTGAGCCACTGCACCTGGCCTTTCTGAGCTTTTTAATAGAACCATTCTTCTTCATTTCAGGAATTCTCAGAATCATTCTTCCTGCTTCCTGTCACATTTAGGTTAAACAATATTTTGTTTTAACTTTGTGCTGTATTCTACTTGGCCTTGGAAAAATGTGGGTATACTTAAAAAGTTACATAATTCAGTGTAAAAAACAAAAAAAAACCATTTAAAGTAGTCATGGAAATATGCATTTTTCTACTCTGACAATAAGAAAAGCAAAATGCTACATAGAGAAGCAATTGTTCATGAACTAGGTTTGTCAAGAGTCAACTTAAAATGTCTGTGTACTTTGCTAGGAAAAAGAGAATTTTCTGTTTTCTTTTCTTCTTTTTTTTTTTGTTTTTTGGGAGGGGGGACGGAGTCTCGCTCTGTCACTCAGGTTGGAGTGCAGTGGCGCAATCTTGGCTCACTGCAACCTCTGCCTCCTAGGTTCAAGCTATTCTCTTGCCTCAGCCTCCTGAGTAACAGGGATACAGGCGCGCACCAACACGCCTGGCTAATTTTTTGTATTTTTAGTAGATATGGGGTTTCACCATGTTGAGCAGGCTGGTCTAGAACTCCTGACCTCAAGTGAACCATCCACCTCATCTTACCAAAGTGCTGGGATTACAGGAGTGAGCCACCCACACCTGACCTGGAGTTTCCTTTATCCTTCTTTTACAGTGGTGAATTAGATTGAGCTTTGTTATGCTTCATTATGTTTATTACTGTCATTCATTCTGAAGAATCCTGAAAGCCTGATGCTGAAGGCTGAGAGTGGTGTTAACCAAGGCCTAGAACCAGTGGTTCTCAAAGGATAACCCTCAACCAGCAGCATCTGCAGAAACACCAACCCTTCATTAACTTCATCCATAGGTTCTTGGGAATAACTTATAATGAAACCAAAACCACAGTCTGATATAAACAAGAGTTAAGTTCCTATGGCATGTTTCTGGTGACAAAAACATCATTAAACTTCGAAATAAGGACTCAAAGCACATTCAATATTTAACATTGAAATAAATGTAAGCTATACATACATTTAAGAAAGATTAATAAAAACAAGCTAATTATTTACCCAATTATTACAGTTCAGAGTTGTGAGTGGCCAGAGCTTATCCTAGAAGCTCACCATTCAAGGCCAGAACCAATCGTGCACAAGATGCCATTCCCTGGCAGGGAAGATTCACACACACACACACACACACACACACACACACACACACACACACACACATTCTCTCTACTCGCTGTCTCTCACACATACACGCCACACATACACACACAATTTACACAAGCAAATTAAATTAGCTTGCACATCTTTGGGATTTGGGAGGAAACCAGGATATCCTGAGCAAACCCACGCAGACATGGAAATAAAGTGCAAACTCCTCACGGACAGTGACCCTACAAGCACCACTGTCACAACCAGTTTGTGACCAAACTGGGCCTACACCATTGATAACAAAATGTCGAGTTATCTCATAGGTATAATGGAGCCCCAAACTGCAAGTCATGTAGCACGCACGACAGAAAAAGCATTAATGACTTAACAACACCTGGAACCAATAATTCCTCTCCTCAGAACCCAGACTGGGACAGGAGCAGAACCTGAATGTCAGAACCTCTTTTGGAAGTGAGGGGTCCATTGGCCGGAAAAGATACAGGGCTAAAATTGGCCTCAACATAACTTACCGTAAATGGCAAAATTTGAAGCCCTCCAATCAGACCCTGCTAAGCCAACATTTCTAAATCCCTTCCCTTGCCCTCTGAGTCCATAAACTTGCCGCAGATCCCAAATCAGAAAGATTTGAGTCTGACTCTTGTCTCCTTCCTAGCCAGTTTTGCCATAAGCCTTTCTTTACTGCCCGGGCAGAGTGGCTGAAGCCTCCAATCCCAGCACTTTGGGAAGCAATCACTTGAGCCCAGAAGTTCAAGACCAGCCTGGGCAACCTGGGGAGATCCCATTTCTACAAAAAATATAAAAATTAGCTGGGTGTGGTGGTGTGTGCCTCTAGTCCCAGCTACTCAGGAGGCTGAGTTGGGAGAATCACCTGAGCCCAGGAGTTTGAGGCTGCAGTGAGCTATGATCACACCACTGCACTCGAGACTGGGCAACACTGTGGGACCCTGTCTCAGAAACAAACAAACGAACAAACAAAACAAAAAAACCTTTCTTTTCTAAAAAGCCAATGCCATAGTTATTGGTTTTCTGTGCACACTGGACAGCAAGCCCATTTGCTTGAGAGCAGCCCCAGCTAGGAATCTATACTTTTTATCATCAATGAAATAACAAAATGACATCATTCAAGGACCTGTTGTAATTAACAATGCATATTCCTGTGCTCCAAACCAGATTTACTGAAATCAGAAATTCTAGAAGTGGGGTCCAGCAATCTGTGCTTTAACAAATTCTTAGGTCATTCTGATACACTATCAAGTTTGAGAATTAGTGGCTTCTAGCAACTGTTCTTAACATTTTGATTTTCGAATCAAAGACCCTTTTAAGAATCTGACGAAAGCTGTAGCTCCAAAAGAAACATGAGACACACACTATTTTGCTCCACAATTTCAGAATTTTCAAGATCACCTGGAGAACATTCTAAGAATACACATATCTAAGCCTTACTCTGTAACTTACACTGAGGGTGGGTCCCAGGAATCCTTAGGTTTAAAAAGCTCTCTGGGTTAGTTCTGAGGTTCAATCACCTTTAGGAACCGTTGCTTCAGCCATTGCGACCGTGAACACGGTTAAGAACACCTGGCCTAGAGTGAATATATCTCAGAGCAGAGCACCTCAGTCCAGAACTTAGACCTTTTCTTAACAGATCAGTTTCCTGGTCACTTTGCTCACTCAACATCCTACTTTCTCAGGAACCACAGGACCTTTAAATAATTTACCAAGAGCTTACATTGGAAAGCTGCCCATCCTCAGTATGTAGCTCTTTGAACCACATAGAGGCCCTTTAAACTTTACCCAATTATACACACCAGGTTTTCAAATACGAAAAATCTAGGGCTAGTAAGAGAATAAGCTCTTTGGTATTTTGCAGAAGATATTTATTTAAAGGTATTCTGGCTTCCTAAAAATATCAAGCAGCTAAATCAGCACCCTGGGAAAGTGGTAATGCTGCCTCCCCAGAATACACAGAAACAGAACGTAAGTAAAAATAGTAAACAGAATAACCTCAAAAGTAGTTTCTTCTTGATGCTTAAAAAAGATGAAGATTCAATCATTGTTGATCTCAACTTTCTATGCATACTAAGAGGAACAAAGAAAAAGTGCCTCAAAAGAAGACACGAGAAACCAGAAGTAAAGTTAATCATTCAACAAAAAATTTATCAGCCCTGGCAACATAGGGAGATCTTGTCTCTACAAAAATTACAAAAATTAGCTGGGCATGGTGGCGCACACCTGTGGTTCCATCTACTTAAGAGGCTAAGTATGTTGCAATACATACAAACCCCACGCCCACAGGTACATATTAGTATAATATGTGGTAAAACCAGCTTGGCAGCTTTTGATGCAAAAAAGGATTAGGAAGTTTTATTCATTCAACAAATATTCATTGGAACATTTAAAGTGTATTAAGCACTGTCTCAGAGATTTTGGGTGATGCAAAGATGAAGCTAAACAGAAACTCAGTAGGAGACAACACTGTTCTGTGGTATGAAGGTTAAAGCTGTCGTTCCACGTATGTGAAGTACCAGTCTCAATACATTGATATCATTTGAAATGAAAATTAAAGACATACCATTCAGAAAGACATTAGAAACATTAGAAAACAAACAAACAAAACAAAGACATTAGAAACATAAGAAAATAAAGCCAAGTGATACGGATAGTGAAGGTCTATCTAGAATCGTTATGTTATGAATGGCTAAAAGAAATAGAAATGTTTAGTCTAAAACCTTCATTATACTTTAATATACACGAAAAATTTCATATATCTTATTCTAGAGCAGAGGATCTCATCCTGAGTTTTCTTAGAAAGCATTTAAGGAGTCTTAGAATACCCTGTAATTATTTGCAAATATTTATAAATATGTGTTCTTTTCCCCTTAAAAGATTAGATTTTCTTTTTCTTTTTTTTTTGAGACAGAGTCTCGCTCTGTTGCGCAAGCTGGAGTGCAATGGTACGGTCTTGGCTCCTTGCAACCTCCACTTCTGGGTTCAAGTGATTCTCCTGCCTCGGCCTCTCAAGTAGCTGGGATTACAGACACCTGTACCACACCTGGCTAATTTTTGTGTTTTCAGTAGAGACGGAGTTTTGCCATGTTGACCAGGCTGGCCTCAATCTCCTGACCTCGTGATCCACCAGCCTCAGCCTCCCAAAGAGCTGCGATTACAGGTGTGAGCCACTGCGCCCAGCTAAATTTTTAAATTTTTTGTAGAGACAGGTTCTCATTTTGTTGCCCAGGCTAATACTGAATTTTCTATCCATGTTTCATTGCAGAGGCAGAACCCACAGACACAGAGGGCCAACTGTATGTACTGAAAAAAAATCCCTGTATAAGTAGATCTATGCAGTTCAAACCTGTATTGTTCAAGAGTCAACTGTACTTGGAATCATATACTATGTAGCCTTTTCAGATTGGCTTCTCTCACTTAGTAAAATGCATTTTTCTCCATGTCTTTTCATAGCTTAATAGCACATTTCTTTTTAGCAGTGGGTAATATTTCAATGTCTGAATGTACCACAGCTTATTTACATATTCACATACTGAAGGACATCTTTGATGCTTCCAAGTTTTAGCAATTATGAATAAAGCTCCTATAAAAAAATCCATGTTTAGGTTTTGGGGTAGATGTGTTTTCAACTCATTTGGGTAAACACCAAGGAATGACTGCTGTATCTTATGGTCTAATCTGTTCATGTCTTTTGCCCATTTTTACGTCAGGTTGTTCATGCTCTTATTGTTGAGTTTTAAGAATTGGTATATTTCAAGGGCTGAATACAGTGGCTCACACCCGTAATCCCAGCACTTTGGGAGGCCAAGGTGTTTGAGACCAGCCTGGCCAACATGGCAAAACCCCATCTCTACTAAAAATAAAAAATTAACTGGACATGGTGGCACATGCCTGTAATCCCAGCTACTTGGGAGGCTGAGGCATAAGAATTGCTTGAACCCGGGAGGCAGAGGTTGCAGTGAGCCAAGATCGCACCACTGCATTCCAGCCTGGGCGACAAAGTGACACTGTCTCATAATAATAATACAATAATAATAATAATAATAATAATAATAATAATAATAATGATAATAATCTGTATATTTTATTTAAGTCTTTTTTCTTAATCCGACATGTCTTTTACAAAGACTTTCTTTACGTTTGCTTTCTCATTCTTTTAATATCCTTAGTTCTTGCAATAAATTGATTTAATAATTCTAGAATCCCAGTATTTTAATATGGGTTATGGGTCTTTTCGTTGCCTGGCCTCTGGGAGACTTTGCCAGTTAGTACACATGGATAATACCATTAAATTAGGGTAGTTTTCTACACAACACTAGTAAAGATCACCTCAGCTATAAAAAATCCAGAACTAGTGAAATTTAAATCATTGTACTTCTACTCAGTTCATTCTTTTCATAGTCATGTAACAAGACTTTCATTTGGTTTATGTGTATACAAATTTAATAAGAGAAACATAAACATTTTTTCTCTTAGAGGACTGGTAAGTTACTTTCTAATGATTCATTTTGCTAGGCACATGATAAAAACTACTTGTGATCTGAAATGAATGAAATAAAAAAATGTAAATTTGTGGATGGAAATATCAACTAAAACAGCAAAAAATAACTTAAACACCTTTGGGAGTATTTGTTTTTTCTAGCAGTGGCAGCAGTGATTTAGCTTATAAATTAAAGTTTCAAGAGCAGTGACTTGCTTTTCATGAATAGTGACAAGCTCTACTTGATTGTTTGCATGTAGTTTAAATTTATGTATTTACAAGTTAAATCCTGTTAAATAAAGCGCCAAGAAAATTTACAAATACCTTAATGCTAAAATAAACAGTATTGTAATCCATATTACTTAAAGTTTCTGGATTACTGGTTGAATCTCATAATTTTTTTAAAACACAGTTTTCAGTGCAGTAGTATATACTATAACAAGATTTTACATAAATATTAGATCACAGATGCCACAAATACTTCTAAATTATGGCATTTTAGAAAGGTCATTCATTATTCAAAAACCTGATTACAGGCAAAAATTCCAAGATGACTGTACCCATGTTACTTATAAAATTTAAATATATAATAAAAGAGTATGAAAATCACAGAAGTTAAAAAAATTTAAAGGAAAGATTAATGAAAGGTGAACAAAATCAAATATTACAATACAGCCTACATCAAATAAGCAATAATAAACAGGACAATTCTTTGAAAATATATAAATTACATGACTGTTTTGGAAAGCACCAAAAGAAGTTTGGGTCAAAATAACCCAAACTTTTATAACTGAAAAAAACAAACCTTAAAGGAAGGTCTAAACTTTTATAACTGAGAAAAGAATCTTAAAGAAAGGTCTAAAAGGCATATATTAGACTTCTAGGGAACTCTGTATATTTCCGAAACTTCTGAAAACACTGAAAAACATTTAAAAGTAAATGGTGGCCAGGCGCGGTGGCTCACACCTATAATTCCAGCACTTTGGGAGGGTAAGGCGGGAGGATCACCTGAGATCAGGAGTTCGAATCCAGCCTGGCCAGCATGGTGAAACCCCGTCCCTATTAAAAATTAGTCAGGCGTGGTGGCGGATGCCTGTAAACCCAGCTACTCAGGAGGCTGAGGCACGAGAATCGCTTGAACCCAGGAGGCGGAGGTTGCAGTGAGCCAAGATCGCACCACTGCACTCCAGCCTGGGCGACAGAGCAAGACTCTGTCTCAAAAATAAATAAATAAAAGTAGATGGTAAAAAGCTTCTGAAGCGATAATATAGGGAAAAGCTACACTGGCAAGACACAAACAAAATAATCCAATAGGACTTTTTTATGTCTAATGTCTATGATTACTCTGAGGTACTTATTTATGGAAAGAGATTAAAATACACACTGTAGCAAAATGCTTGCAATTTTGCTATTACTATAAGTTCATGATATTCAGGATTGGAATTCATGTCACAATAATGAAGAGGACTGGCTGTAGAAATTTAAATTTCTTCATGAAGAAAGTAACGACAAGCTAAAAAAAATCAGTATGAAATCTTTATTTTTTTAAGATAGCAAATATTGAGAAAAAATATTAAGTATATTAGTTGTTTCAAAACATGTCCAAACACTCATAGATATTTAGTAAGAAAAATCTGATTGCAATTACAACTACTTTGTTTCTTTTTAAGAAACAGGGCTTGGGCTGGGCGCAGTGGCTCACATTTCTAATCCCAGCACTTTGAGAGGCCGAGGTGGGCGGATCACGAGGTTAGGAGTTCAAGACCAGCCTGGCTAACACGGTGAAACTCTCTCTCTACTAACAATACAAAAAAAATTAGCTAGGCATGGTGGCACATGCCTATAATCCCAGCTACTTGGGAGGCTGAGGCAGGAGAATCGCTTGAACCCGGGAGGCAGAGGTTGCAGTGAGCTGAGATAGCGCCATTGCACTCCAGCCTGGGAAAAAAGAGTGAAAGTCTGTCTCAGAAAAAAAAAAAAAAAAAAAAAAAGGGCTGGGCGAGGTGGCTCACGCTTGTAATCCCAACACTTTGGGAGGCCAAGGTGGGCGGATCACAAGGTCACGAGATCAAGACCATCCTGGCCAACATGTAAAACCCCGTCTCTACTAAAAATACAAAAAATTAGCCAGGTGTGGTGGCAGGCGACTGTAATCCCAGCTACTTGGGAGGCTGACGCAGGAGAATCGCTTGAACCCGCGAGGCAGAGGTTGCAGTGAGCCGAGATCATGCCACTGCACTACAGCCTGGGCAAAAAGAGTGAAACTCCATCTAAAAAAAAAAAAAAACCGGAAAGAAACGGCTTTGCTAAGTTGCCCAGGCTAGAGTGCAGTGACTATTCACAGGCATGATCACAGTGCACTATGGCCTCAAACTCTTGCCTCAGCCTCCAGAGTAGCTGGGACTACAAGCATATGCCACTGTGCCCAGCTGGAATTACAATTTTGCAATGCTTTTGCTATCCTAGTCTCTATAATAAAGCTGGGTTTACAACTAATCTTTTATTTTAATCTGTCTCTTCATTTCTTTGGGTGGGGGAGGTTGACTGGAAATGGAAAATAAACTATGTATAGACATGAGAAATGTGTGTGTGCATGTCTGTGTGTGTTGTATGTGTGTGTGTATTTGAGACAGGGTCCCACTCTGTTGCCTAGGCTGGAGTGTCATGGCACGATCACAGCTCACTACATTATCAGCCTCTTGGACTCAAGCAATCCTCCCACCTTAGCCTCCTGAATAGCTGGGAACTATAGGCACACGCCACCATATCTGACTAATTTTTTTTAGTTTCTGTAGAGACAGATTTTTTTTTTTTTTTTTTTGCCTAGGCTGGTCTTGAACTCCTGGTCTCAAGTGATTCTCCCACCTCAGCTTCCCATAGTGCTGGGATTACAGATGTGAGCCACTATGCTGGGCCCTAAATTTATATTTCTATTCTGCATTTTAATTTCACTCCCACAGGCTTGTTTTAAAGAATTTTACTAAAATGGCTGGGTGCAGTGGCTCATGCCTGAAATCCCAACACTTTGGGGGGCCAAGGTGGGCAACTGCTTGAGGCCAGGAGTTCAAGACCAGCGTGGCCAACATGGCGAAACCCCGTCTCTAGTAAAAATACAAAAATTAGCTACACATGGTGTTGCATGCCTATAGTCCTAGCTATTCAGGAGGCTGGGGTGGGAGAATTGCTTGAACCCGGGAAGCAGAGGTTGCAACGAGCCGAGATCACGCCACTGCACTCCACCCTGGATGACAGAGCAAGACTCTGTCTCAAAAAAATAAAAATAAAACAGGACAATCATCACATCATACTAATGTTTACAAACATTCTAAAGCCAAATCCACTTCGTCCATAGTCCCTCTTTATTAACAGGATGATATAAAGTCACCTACCATTCTTAATGTCTTCCTTAAAACCACTTCCGGCTGGGTGTGGTGGCTCACGCCTGTAATCCCAGCACTTTGGGAGGCTGAAGTGGGCGGATCGCCTGAGGTCAGGAGTTAGAGACCAGCCTGGCCAACATGGTGAAACCCCTCTCTACAAAAAATACAAAACTTAGCTGGGCGTGGTGGTGCTTGCCTGTAATCCCAGCTACTTGAGAAGCTGAGGCAGGAAAATCACTTGAACTCAGGAGGCAGAGGTTGCAGTGAGCCGAGATCATGCCACTGCACTCCAGCCTAGGCGAGAGTGAGACTTCCTCTCAAAATAAACAAACAAACAAAACAAACAAACCATTGCCTACAACCAACCTAGCCAAGTATTTTCCCCAGGAAGATTACACATTCTAATCCCCATTATCAGAAATAATCACTTCTACTGTTGTTATTCTAGCATCAGTCTCAAAGAATAAATGACTTCCTCGACCTTTTCTTGGTTTGGTGGTCTCAATGCCACCAAACCTTAACTGAAATAAACCATGGTCACTCCATTTTATATTCATCCTTCTTGCCAGCAAATAAACCAACAAATACCTAGAGATAAGTAGTGTGTAGAACCAAACAAATCTTTCTGCTCTCACAGAGCTTTTATTCCAAGAATATATCACTACCTTCCTAGCCATATTCTGATGATCAGACCTCTCCTACTTCTTTTACTTACCACTTACATTCACTGCTACCATTCTCTCAGGTCCATCAAATAAAATATAAATATGTAATATTTGTTTTTCCTTCTTTATCAAAAATACACAATCAACACACTCATTGTCATAAAATAGGGCCTGAAGATAAAATCTTCAGGTCATCCTACTTTTATAATCACATGTGATCTAGCTGTCTAATTCTGCATTCCTTTGAAACTCCTCTCTCAAAGTAATGGCCCAATTATTGATAAATTCAGTCCTCCACCCTCCTCAACACAGAGGCATTCGTATTAATGATAACCTATAAGAGGCTTATTTCTCCTTTGACTTTGAAAATACCATATTCTGATGCTTTCCCTATTTCTCTAATTTTTTTTTTCAATCTTCCCAGATGGCTCCACTTCTTCACAACCCTTAAATGTGGATGTGGCTCAAGATTAAGCCAATCACTTTGAACTCCAACTGATCAACTTATGGCTCTAAGTATTATCTATATGCAGTAAACTGTCACATCTAGGTCCTTTTTCTGACCTTTCCCATGTACTAATTCAGTTCTTTTTAATTTAATTGCCCTTCTTGCATTTAATCTAACTCTTCCAACTGATCCTAAAAGACAAATTTAACTAAATCATTCCCTATTCAAAGCACTTTATTACTACATTTTGCAAGATATCCTAATCATCTTCACCTTGCAGATGAACTCTTCAGCAATTCAACCCTTTCTGCTTTCCAGATTCATAGTTCACTATGGTCATTTTCGTAATTATGCGTATCTCACATCCTTAAACGTCCTCTGTTCTTTTACATTTATTCTCGTCTAATTTAGCTCAAGATGTTTCCCTTTATCTGTTCAGTTCAATCTTTTTTTTTTTTTTAATTTTTTGAGACAGAGTCTCACTCTGTTGCCAAGCTGAAGTGCAGTGGTATCATCTCGGCTCACTGTAACCTCCGCCTCCAGGGTTCAAGCAAATTCTCCTGCCTCGGCCTCCTGAGTAGCTGGGACTACAGGTGTGTGCCGCCACACCCAGCTAATTTTTGTATTTTTGGTAGACACGGGGTTTCACCATGCTGGCCAGGATGGTCTCCATCTCTTGACCTCGTGATCCGCCCGCCTTGGCCTCCCAAAGTGCTGGGATTACAGGCCTGAGCCACTGCACCCTGGTCAATCTTTCCAAGGCCTAGTTCAAACATAGCCTTGTCTATGAATTAATTTCTGTATCTCATCACTCAAAATTAATCCTTTCCTGCTTTATATACCCACTGCTATCTGTTTGGACTTCTACTACCACACAGTAAAAATAGTTTTAACTTGTTATTTATGCATGTATCTGTCTCCACAAAACTTTGGAGTTCTAGGAAGACAAAGATTTCTTCAATTTTGTTTTTGTATTTTCCATAGTATCTAAAAACAAAGGCTATCATTAAATATTTTTAAAGAAGTTCTAAAATTGAGGGTCATTAAGGAAAACACTTTCCACCAGCTCCTAGGAAGTTAATTTTAAAAGGCATTATTGAAAATGTAGAACTAAATTGTTGCAGCCAGTCTACAGTTTTTTATGAGGAAATTATGTAAGAAGAGCCACAACCATCTTAGGTCATCAAATTTAAAAAACAGCAATTAGAAGATAAAGATTCTTTCTGAAGTAGTTAAAAAAAAAAGGAATAGCATTTAGATTTTTTGTTTTGAGTGAGGATCTCTCCGTGTCGTTGGGGCTGGAGTACAGTGGCTTGATCATGGCTCAGTCTCACTGCAGGTGTGAACTCCTCAGATCAAGTGATCCTCCTGCCTTAGCCTCCCTGAGTATCTCAGAACACAGACATGTGCCACTGTGCCCAACTAATTTTTTTTTTTTTTTTGGTAGAGACAGGGTCTCACTCAGGTTGGTTCTGAACTCCTGGCCTGAAGTGATACTCCTGCCTCAGCCTCCTAAAGTGCTCGGCCACCCAAAGTCACAGGTGTGAGCCACCATGCCTAGCCTGCATTTAGAATTCTGAGGGCAACCATAAGTATTAACTGAAAATGTTAAGAAATTACAATTAGTGTTTCAAGCCTATGAGTTCTGTCTTCATTGGCTGCTTTCTTGCTATGATTCTATATAGGCTCACCAGAGAACCTGCTGATCAAGAAAGGGGTCTCTCTCAAGAAGCATTAACTAGATTTTGAATTGTTTTATGAGCAAGTTTCATTTCAAACAGAAAAAGGTACAATTTATTTCCAAATTGTTAGAGACAAAATTTTTTCAACAGTTTAGTCAAGAAAAATCTGGTAGGTACAATTGATTCTTGTTATGCATGGTAGTTACGCTCTGTAAAGCCCCTTTAAACAATGAATTAGTAAATACTGAGCTACTGTTCTTAAGGAAAATACAAGGTAGGCTCCAATGAGCCCCTTGTCACATTTTTGTTAACTGTATTTATCCACAAACATGTTTCATGTGTGTTTCTGCTTAACCACACTATATATATGTATATATATATACATGAATACGTGTATGTATATACATGTACATGTGTATACATATATATATATACACGTATATGTGTGTGTGTGTGTGTGTGTGTGTGTGTGTGTGTGTGTGTGTGTATATATATATTTTTTTTTTTTTCTTAGATGGAGTTTCACTCTTGTTGCCCAGGCTGGAGTGCAATGGCACAATCTTGGCTCACTGCAACCTCCGCCTCCCAGGTTCAAATGATTCTCCTGCCTCAGCCTCCCAAGCTGGGATTACAGGCATGCACCACCACGCCCAGCTAATTTTTTGTATTTTTAGTAGAGACAGGTCTTCACCATGTTGGCCAGGCTGGTCTCAAACTCCTGACCTCAGGTGATCCACCCGTCTCAGCCTCCCAAAGTGCTGGGATTACAGGCATGAGACACCATGCCTGGCTATCTTGTTGATTCATTAATATTGAGATCACGAACAGCAGCACTATTAACTCATGCCTAAATGAAACTTGTCTAACACATGTATTTTCCACAAAAGGCATATCATCACAGCCTTCTTGCCCTTAAAAAACATTAGGCAGTACTCGGCACTACATTTGGGGAGTATTTTAAACAGCAAAATCACTAACCTAAACCAGAAAAACAGAACAATACAAAAAACATGACATTAAATAGACCATTAAAAGGATACTTGTTTACAGTATGAAATCTGAAACAAAAAAGCAGAACATCACCTGTTCAATCTCAGTTGGAAATGTGCGTATAGGTGACAAAAATTTTTCTCCACTCTGCGTAAGTCTATGAATGGTCAAGGAAGTGCCATTTTGGGTTACAAATAATTTTTAGTGAGTAGGCATATTTGCAATTACAGAATCTGCATATAATGAGATCAGCTATATTTTCTACATGCTAGTAAGCCTAGTTATCTAGCTGTAAAAGATAGTCTCTCCTGGTTGACAGTATGAAGTTCTTAAAAGAAAAGGGGGTGGAGGATAGACAATTTTTTTTAATTTAAAGCAAAAATCTCTATTTTACTCGTAAGTTCCCATTTTAAGATTTTCATAAATCAGGTTACACATTTCTTCAAAGTACCTGTTACTATATAATTATTCCCTTCTTGAACCATATGTGTTTCTTTCACCACTTTGAAAGTTTCTCAAAATTAGGAACCAGTCATCTCCTTTGGCATCTTTTCTCATCATCATACCCAGGATCCTGAAAAGTATATGCAGTTTAGTTGTGTCGACAGCGAAGTGTTTATTTAAAAACATTAAATAAACCAGGCGCGGTGGCTCACGCCTGTAATCCTACAAGCCAGGGATGGCCTGAAGCCTGGAGGCCGGGCTGCCAGTTCTGGGTAGAGTCTCCAACCCAGAGAACTTCCTTGATGCCTTTTGGCCAGTCGGATAGTGCTTTTTCCAGGCCCACCCATGGACCAGTCAGCATGCACTTCCTCCATTCTGAGCCTATAAAAACCCCGGGCTCAGCCAGGCTTGGACACTCATCAGGACTACCTGTCTGCAGATAGGAGCTACCTACTTCAGGTCTCCTCTCCGCTGAGAGCTGTTCTATCACTCCTCTCTGTCTTGCTCACCCTCCAGTTGTCCACATAACCTCATTCTTCCTGGATGCAGGACAAGAACTCTGGACCCACCAAATGGCAGGACTGAAAGGAGCTGTAACACATTCCTGGCTGGCTTACTGAGGTGTGGGTGGTAACATGCTCCCAGATTGTGAAAGTGAAGAGTGGTGAACTTTCTGGGGGCCCAGACCTTGGGGTTCCCAAAGCCAGAGCTTCCGTAACACTACAGCCCTCCTGCCCTCCACCAGGTAGCCACCCCATGGGATGGGAAAAAGCAACAGGGCCGGGCCAGCCCAGGAGTTGCCAGCTGGAGCGGGATGGCAGGACTGAAAGAGCTGTAACACAAATGGGCTGAAACTGCCCTCCAGAAACTCACCCCCTCACTCGCCACACTGCAGGTGACGAGAAAGAAAGAAGAGCTGTGGCCCTACTGGGAGCCCAGACCTCAGGGCTCCTCAAGCCAGGGCTGTGACACGCTGTAACACCCTTTTTGGGGGCTCTGCAGATCCTGGCATTTCTAAGCTTTCAGATGATACCACATTCCCTCCATCCACACGCGGGTGCTGCAGCGACAGCTGCTTACGGTACATCTGATCCAGCTGCAGCCTCACAATGGGGCCAGACCTGTGCTGGTGACTGGAACTGCCTGCCCCACTATAGCAGCCAGTATGCCTGGCTGTGCACAGTGATTGGACCCTGTGCTTGCCCGGTCACACACCCCTCACCACTCTGCTCCTGGCTCGCCCTTGATAGGCGTGAGATCCAGGCCAGTAGTGTGAGCCGAGTTCAGCCTGCCAGGCCAAGTAGGCAGAATGAGCCCAGTGGGAATAAGCAAAACTCAAGCACTGGTGCCACTGGCCACAGAATTTCCAGCTGGTGAAGTGACATCTGTGACATAAACAGGACCATGTCTCCTCTGAAAACTGTACCAGAGCCCTTCCTTGCCTCTCCTAGCTTCTGGTGGTCTGCTGGCAACCTTTTGCAATCCTGAGCTTGCAGAAGCATCATGCCGATCCCTGCCAATGTTGACACATGGTGTCTACACTGTGTATCTCTGTATCCATATTCTCTCTTATAAGAACCCTAGATTAAGGGCAACTCTAACGACCTCATCTTAATTTGATTATATCTTCAAAAACCCTATTTCTTAAGGTTATATTCACAAGTACTATATACTACAAGTATTAGGTTTTCAATATATCTTTTTGGGGAAAACATTTCAACCCGTAACATATCTATTTAAGATGTTCTCCCGACATCAGTAAAAGACAGAATGCCACATTCATTCTAATCTTTTTTTTTAGACGGAGTTTTGCTCTTGCCGCCCAGGCTGGAGTGCAATGGTACAACCTCGGCTCACCGCAACCTCCACCTCCCGGGTTCAAGCGATTCTCCTGCCTCAGCCTCCCGAATAGCTGAGAATACAGGTGCCCACCACCACGCCTGGCTTTTTTGTATTTTTAGTAGAGACAAGGTTTCTCCATGTTGGTCAGGCTGGTCTTGAACTTCTGACCTCAGGTGATCCGCCCACCTCAGCCTCCCAAAGTGCTGGGATTACAGGCATGAGCCACCATGCCTGGCCTTCATTCTAATCTTTAAAAAACACTTTAGTCATTAATTTACATATTTAATAAACATTATTACTAAGTCTATATCAAACACCATGTAGAAACTGTATAATATGAAAAGTTTAGAAATAAAGATATATGAAATATCCTTAAACATTATAACTGAATTTTTCTTCTTTTTTTGAGACAGAGTCTTGCTCTGTTGCCCAAGCTGAAGTGCAGTGGTGCAATCTTGGCTCACTGCAACCTTTACCTCCTGGGTTCAAGCGATTCTCGCCCCTCAAGACTCCCAAGCATCTGGGATTACAGGCCTATGCCACCACACCCAGCTAATTTTTCCATTTTTTTTTTTTTTTGTAGAGATGAGGTTTCACCATGTTGGCAAGGCTGGTCTCAAATACCTGGCCTCAAGTGATCTGCCCACCTCAGCCTCCCAAAGTGTTGGGATTACAGGCATGAGCCACTGCACCTGGCCCAGATTTCTTATTATAGTTTCTCAGCAAGACCATTTAAAAATGGTTAATTAACAACAAAACAGAGCTCACCTACGGCACAAACAATAGCACAAATAATAGAGCAAAACAAACATTTCAAATGCCCTACAAATAATGTCAACTTTGATACTGCTGCCCATAGTTTTTGTATAAAAAAACTATTAATTGATAATCTTCTCTTTGGCAAAAACATAAAAACGATTTGAAGATGAACAAACTGGGTTAATTCCTATGAATTCCAAGAAACTCTACAAGAATGCCCTCATCCTTGTGTTCAAATTCATCTCTGAAATTCAGAGATGATTTTGCCTTGGAAAATCATCTCTGCAAGAAATAGTTAAAGCCTTTCAAGGAACCCAGTCTTCTTGAATTTTCAGTTTTTTTTTTTACAGATGATCAGGTCTTTGAATTATGTCACTTATAATGATGATGATGATCCTATACTTATTTCCAACAAATAAGACTGTAGGATAAATTCCTTACAAGTGGAATGTCTGAGTTGATGAGTATGTACAATTAGAACTGCTGATGATCTGTGTTTTCTAGAAAAACAGCTAAGTATACAGCATTAAACAACCACACTACTTGAATGCTGACTCCACTAGGCAGTTATTACATTAAAGTTAATACAATGTTCAACCAAATATTCAAGTTAATACACTCAGGCAGTCTGGTAAGAAAGCCTGATTACAGTACTAGTGAGGCCAAGGTCAAGGACACTATCTCACATGAAGCTCTGTATGCTGGGTTCAGAGTGACAAACTATCCTCCCATAGTAAGTCAGCCTGGTTATCAAAAGCACAATAAGATTAGAGATGAAAATATTTGTACCAAAAGAAAGGGAAGCTATCTTTGTTTGTCTAGATACAAATAAGAGATTTACACATCATCTAAGTTTGCTACTTTAGGAAATGGTATTATTGTTTCAAGAGCTTGAAAAAAGAAAAATGTTCTATCACAGGAAGAATTTTTTTATTCGAACCATCTCCACTATATGAACAAAATCTTTGCTGTTTCTTTGTCTGAATCTTCATATCATGTGAACAGCAGAGAATTACTTTTAGGGTTAAAGTTGAAGGCTAACAGAAATTCATTAAGAAGCCTGGCGTGGTGGCTCACTTCTGAAATCCCAGCATTTTGGGAGGCCAAGGCGGTAGATCTCATGAGGCCAAAGAGTTCAAGACCAGCCTGGCCAGCATGGTGAAACATTGTTTCTACTAAAAGTACAAAAATTAGCTGGATGCTGTGGCATGCACCTGTAGTCCCAGCTACTTGGGAGGCTGAGGGACAAGAATCACTCGAACCCGGGAGAAAGGGGTTGCAGTGAGCCAAGAACACACCACTGCACTCTGGCTTGGGCAACAGATTGAGACTCTGTCTCAAAAAAAAAAAAAGGAATTCATTAAGAGACAACCATCTATAAATGTTGAATATTCAATGTTAAGACCTTGGCATATTTTCTCAGGCTACTGAAGCATATATCCCAGGAAGGGCAATAAAAGAAAATGCATGAGAACCTTTTTTAAGACAGAGTCTGCTCTGTCACCCAGGCTACAGTGCAGTGGCATGACCTTGGCTCACTGAAACCTCTGCCTCCTGGGCTCAAGTGATCCTCCTGCTTCAGCTTCCCCAGTAGCTGGGACTATAGGCATGTACCATCACGCCTGGCTAATTTTTGTTTCTTTGCAGAGATGGGGTTTTGCCATATCGTCCAGACTGGTCTTGAACTCCTGGCCCCAAGCAATCCTCCCACCTTGGCCTACCAAAGTGCTGGGATGACAGGCATGAACCACCACATCCAGCCTCTGAGAATCTTTCTCTCTCACATGCACAGTGTACAAACATTCAAAAATATGAAGAAAAATCCCAATTACCCTTTTACTCTAGGAAGTACACCTAGTTTATCACACAGGCAACAAGTTTTAATGCATTCTTATGTTTTCTTCCAGAGATATGGTATGCATATTCAAGCACACATACATGCACACTTAAGATATAGTTCACAAATAAAACAAATGGCTAATCATTCTCAGCAAACTAACACAGGAACAGAAAACCAAACACCGCGTGTTTTCACTCATAAGTGGGAGTTGAACAATGAGAACACAAGGACACAGGGAAGGAAACATCACAGACCAGGGCCTGTCCGGGGCCTGACAAGGGGAGAGAGAGCATTAGGACAAATACCTAATGCATATGCAGGGATTAAAACCTTGATGACGCAGCAAACCACCATGGCACGTGTATACATACCTATGTAACAAACCGGCACGTTCTGCATATGTATCCCAGAACTTAAAAGTAAAATTAAAAATAAAATAAAACATTTTCACAATGAAGAAAAAACAAACAAATGGCTAAAGAATTCTGTTCTGTCCTACACTTTAAAAAAACTTACTATGACGTGGAAACCAATCCATTTCCTATGAGTACATACAGAACTACTTCATTCTTTTAAATGGCTGGCTGCATTGTATTCCACTGGATAGATGTAAAATAATTTATTAAACTCTTTTTTTCCCTTGAGACAAGGTCTCGCTCTGTTGCCCAGGCTGGAGTGCAGTGGTGGGATCACGGCTAACTGCAGCCTCGAACTCCTGGGCTCAAACAATTCCTCCCACCTAAGCCTCCCAAGTAGCTGGGACTACTGGCATGAGCAACTGCACTCAGTTTATTTAACAGATAGTTAGGCTGTTTCCAGTCTTCTAATACATACAAGAAGAAGCCCTGTACTCAAGTCATCTCCCACAAATGAATAAATGCATGTAGACTGGACAATAAGTTACGAGAAGAAAAATGCCTGAGTAAATGAATATATATAATTAGAAATGCATTCCACAAGCTTTATATCTGTATATACTCATAACCAGCAATGAATGACAGTGGCAGTCTTTCTACACTCTTTTCAAAAACGTGTTCAAAACATTTGATCTTTGCTAATCTGATATTTGAAAAACAGAAAAAAAGTATCCCATTATAGCTTTATCTTGCATGAGAACCATTTATAAGAGGCAAGTTGTATGTTTATCTTCACAGACAGCTAAGACTGAAGAAAAAGTGAAAGACACCTTTACAACATCTTGGAACTATGTTTTTACTTCAATTATGAATAATGTATGAATATAAAAATCTTATGTCAGTATTTAAAATGTTTACCAAGTTGTGACTGTTGCAGTCTGACTACCAGTCCTAGACCCAGACAGTAATTAGTGAAAGCTCTAGCACAAGCTGGACTTAGTAATGAGGCCATTTGTAAGGTCAGGTCTTATTTGGAATTAGCCAAAATTATGGCCTCTTAAAAAGTAGATTCAAGTCACAATCAAATAATAATTACACTTCAGAAACAAACCAACAGTGATAAACATCCACTTCTTCCTAAAGTTTACATACACATATAGAGACTACTTTTTCTGAGACAGAGTCTTACTCTGTTGCCTATCATAGCTCACTGTAACCTCGAACTCTTGGGCTCAAGGGATCCTCCCACCACAGCCTCTCCAGTATCTGGGACTACAGGCACACACCACCACACCCAGCTAGAAACTTTCTCGAAACTCAAAGAAAGTAATAGGAAAAAAATTGTGTTGTAATATTCACTAATTCACTAAGCATGTTTTAATAAAGTTTATTCAATCACTCACTGACTAGTTCTTGAACTAATGATTTAAAACTCTTTGCATCTAAGATCTTTCAACTATTAACCTGACTTTAAAATGCTTGTATGTATTGTGACTCATTGAGGGAAGAGAGGCATTCTTCTAACTTACTGAAAAAGACTCTGCTTGTGCCTTTTTTGTTGATGTTGTTGTTGTTCAGACGGAGTCTCGCTCTGTCGCCCAGGCCGGAGTACAGTGGTGCAACCTTGACTCACTGCAGCCTTTGACTCCCAGGTTCCAGCGATTCCCCTGCTTCAGCCTCACAAGTAGCTGGGATTACAGGCACGCGCCACCACACCCAGCTAATTTTTGTATTTTTAGTAGAGACAGGGTTTCGTCATGTTGGCCAGGCTGGTCTCGAACTCCTAACCTCAGGTGATCTGCCCGCCTTGGCTTCCCAAAGTACTAATATTACAGGCGTGATCCACCATACCCGGCCTGCTTGTGCTTTTAATCAATCCCAGTGCTAAATGACAACCTCACGTATAACGTACATATGTGATTCATATCATGTTATTTCTTGTACTGTTATGTCACTTTGTAAGCACATAGACATTTCATGCATCTAAGATCAATAGCATACAAACTATTTGGATACAGGTTTAAAAAATATATTTTTTATTTCTGTCACAGTAATAGCTCATTGCCCCAGAAAGCCATTAATAATAGCTTGTTATCTTTGCCAAGCAAAAAATAACCAAGATTCTTGTTTATCATTAATATTTCCAGATACTCTAAATTCATACTAAGAGTTTTTCTGATAACAATATAATAGTTTCAGAAGGAATAGTAAGGATATCCCTGAGAAGCCAGTGTCTGTTATGGAACTGATGTTAGAAACAAATACTCTAATGACACTAATCTTACTCTACCTTGAATTACAGTATTAATGGACCTGTCTGAGCAAGGACTTTGCCTTACTTATCTTTGTATTCCTGGCAGTATCTTTCTATCAGAGTATTCTTATAGTTAGTACTATATAAAATATCTTAAATTGTTATGACCTCAAAATGGGACCAAAGACTCAAACTTCAAACTTTTGAAAACCATTAAATATGAATTATAGTTGGTTACTGCCTTAGCCATTATCAGAAATGCAAGCAAAATAACTCATATTGGATATCAGAACGCGTTGGTAACAGAAGTTTGGGCATAAGGCTGTCTCTACTTTTCAGACACAGCCATGCCCAGATTGCTGGCTACATCTGAGAGAATGAGGACTTAAGATTCACAGCCAGGAATTTAAAAAAAACAAAGCAAAACAAAAAACACCAAAAAAACCCAGCTCCCTGTTAAAATTCAAAATGGAAAAGGACTTAAAAAGAAATAAAAGACGTGGGATTTAATTAAACATTCATATTAATAAACTCTTGTTTTTTGGGTTGTCAGGAATAATTCAAAATGTAAGATTACTTTGTCTAAAATGCAAATCAACTTTTAATGTTGGTAGAATCTGTCCCAAGAATAATAATTATGACAATAGTCTGTATAGTAAAAACACTGGGAACTGGGTTGAGGTAGAAAACCTCAATTAAATAAGGCCACAGAAAAGATCAGATGGCAATTGCTTTTACTCTCTTTTAATCTACATGCAAAGTCTAGGAAACTTAAATATAAATGTATATGTATGTGTGTATTTACACACACAGCAAATTGGTAAATAGCCAACTAAAGATTGACTAGGAGGCCAGGCACAGGGGCTCACATCTGTAATTCCAGTACTTGGGGAGGCTGACGCAGGAGGATCACTTGAAGCCAGGAATTTGAGAACACTTAGACAGCAGAGCAAGACCCCATCTCTACCAAAAAAGTATTTTAAAATATAAACCAGGCATGGTGCCATGTGCCTGTAGACCCAGTGACTCGGGAGGCTGAGGTGGGAGGACTCCTTGAGCCCAGGAGTTAAAAGTTGCAGTGAGTGGCTGGGCATGGTGGCTCACACCTGTAATCCCAATACTTTGGGAGGCCGAGGCGGGCGGATCACAAGGTCAGGAGATCGAGACCATCCTCGCCCACATGGTGAAACCCCGTCTCTACTAAAAATAAAACAAATTAGCTGGGTGTGGTGGCACGCGCCTCTAGTCCCAGCTACTCGGGAGGCTGAGGCAGGAGAATCGCTTGAACCCGGAAGGCAGAGGCTGCAGTGAGCCAAGATCATACCACTGCACTCCAGCCTGGCGACGGAGCAAGACTCCACCTCAAAAAAAAAACAAAAAACAAAAAAGGTTGCAGTGAGCTCTAATTGTACCACTACTACACTCCAGCCTGGATGACATGGCAAGACGCTCTGACCCTCTCTCTCTCTCTCTCTCTCTCTCTCTCTCTCTCTGGAGGCAAGGTCTGACCCTCTCTCTCTCTCTCTCTGGAGGCAAGGTTTGTCAGCCTCGACTTCCCAGGCTCAAGAGATCCTCCTACATCAGCCCCCAAGTAGCTGGGACTACGGGCAAGCACCACCATGCTGGCGTGTGTGTGTGTGTGTGTGTGTGTGTGTGTGTGTGTGTGTGTGTGTGTGTGTGTTGAAAGATCTTTCTCAAAGGGATATTGCTATACTTGTATTCAAACTGTATTGTAACGTAAGTAATTTGATTAAAAATCATTTTTCTGATATTTCTTCTGTGTGCAGTGGCACAATCTCGGCTCACTGCAGCCTTGAACTCCTGGGCTCAAGTGATTCTCCCTCCTCAGCCTTCTGAGTAGCTGGGACTATAGGCATGTGCAAACTAATTTTTTTATTTTTTGTAGAGTTGGGGTTTCACATTGTTGCCCACGCTGGAATCAAACTTCTGGGCACAAGCAATCTGCCCACCTTGGCCTCCTAAATACTGGGATTAAAGGTGTGAGCTACTGTGCCCGGTAGAGACCCCATCTCTTAAAAAAAGAAAAGAAAAAGACTTAGTCATTAGTTTATCACGTTTTTTTAATTTTATTTTTTTTTAATTTTCAGAGTGAGTCTTGCTCTGTTGCCCAGGCTGGAGTGCACTGGTGTGATCTCGACTCACTGCAACCTCCGCCTCCCAGGCTCAAGCAGTTCTCCTGCCTCAGCCTCCAGTGTAGCTGGGACTACAGGCGCCTGCTACCACACCGGGCTAATTTTTGTATTTTTAGTAGAGATGGAGTTTTACCATGTTAGCCAGGCTGGTCTCAAACTACTGGCCTCGAATGATCTGCCCGTCTTGGCCTCCCAAAGTACTGGAATTACAGGCGTGAGCCACCGTGCCCAGCCAACAAAGTCTTGACATGACTTTTAGATTAATTTTTGGATCCTATGGTCTCATCAATACAGAGCCTCAAACTCCAGTAACCCACAATTTTGAAGGCTAGAAGTCTAAGATCAAGGTGGTTGTGAGATGAAACCAGATTTATAAAAGAAAAAATGTATGACTGTGACATCACTTAAACAAATTTAATTTTAAAAAGTGTATATATACCTAGGCTTACCTATTTCACATTTTATCTTAAGAGTCTAAATATTTCGAAACTAAAAATATATAAGTACAATGACCTTATTTTTAAGAGTTCCCACTACTGAGCCTGTAGGAAAAATATAAAAATGTTACATATCAATAACCTATTAATAACACCCGATGTATTATTGAGATAACAGACGTTTTCAAAAATTTTCCAAATATTCAAGTAAATACAATGATAAATAAGGTTTATAGGTAGCTTTACTGCCATATGAAACAAAAATATTTATAACATGTTTATAAGGACCAGTATTAAGTCTGGTCAATCATATCCCTCCTTATTTACCAGGGTTAAACGTCCTGGAGTTAACTTCATTTACTTTTTTAAAGATCTTTCTGAAAGGGATATTGCTATGCTTGTACTCGAACTGTACTGTAACGTAAGTAATTTAATTAAAAACCATTTTTCTGATATTACTTCTTAAACATTTATCTCAAAAGAGGTATTTAAAGGCAAAATTTTTTCATTTAGGTATTTTTACAGTGGTTGGTGTCCACAACAAATAATTCTGAGGATTCGTCTAAAATTTCCTAAACTGTCTCTTTAAAAAAAAAAATCTTGCTCCTATTCCAAAAAGCAAGAATGAATGCTGAGATTTACAAAAATAGTTAACAGATTTGCTGAAGCATTTATTTTAAAAACATATATGGAACAACTAGATATTATGCATTTCAGTATATTTCAATGTTTCATCATAAATATCACACATATTAAAAATAAGGCGGACAATTTAAAAGTAGGTTTAGGTTTCCAGGTTAAGATGGCGAATCATATACGTCTATGTAATTTCAGTACCTTGTGAAACCTACTACAAACTACATCAGGAGAAATCTTTAAGAAAAATACCTCATAAGGACAGGGGCAAAGTGGGTAGAAACAGAAAAAGCAACGGCAATTTGATAGAAACCTGAATTCCAGCCTGACAGAGAAGCTGAGAACCAACCCACTGTATGCCATAGAATCTTAAACAGGCATAAGAAATGGTACCACCAGGTAAGACTGGCACTGGGGGCTAAGGAAGTAGAGGGCTAAAAAGCAAAGAGGATTTCAGTGACAGCCATTTAAGAAAAAAAAAATAGATCCTTCAATCCCCTCCATGACTCTGTACTAGGGAGATTCACTGTTTTAGAAGTTTAGTCTCTGCAGAATTTAAAATAGAAGGTCTCAATACAGAGAAAACCCAAGGCCATTTCTGTGCTTCATCATCATATCCAAACCAAAACTGGGAAATCAGGCTGGGCACGGTGGGTCACACCTGTAATCCCAGCACTTCGGGAAGCTGAGGCAGGCGGATCACTTGAGGTCAGGAGTTCGAGACCAACCTGGCCTACACGGTGTAAACCTGTCACTAATAAAAATACAAAAAAAAATTAGCTGGGCATGGTGGCAGATGCCTGTAATACCACCTACTCAGGAGACTGACGCAGAATCATTTGAACCCAGTAGGTGAAGGCTGCAGTGAGCTGAGATTGAGCCACTGCACTCCAGCCTGGACGACAGAGTGAGACTCCATCTCAAAAGAAAAAAAAAAATTGGGAAATTAAATGACTGTATGCATACTAATATCTAACGAACTTCAGCCATTTTCCCCGACTCTGCACCCAGAATTCTTGCAGACAGATCCTTACCATCTATGTAGGAGATGGATTTCTTCCCTGAGGAAAGTAACCAGTCTAGGAGATGATATCTCAAAATTCTAGTATACTGGAGTTTGACCCACAAAATAAGGTTCCCAGATCACCATCAACTAAAGTTCAAAATAGACAAACCCTATCCATCCTAGCCAGTGATTATTTAGTATTTGTGGAAAGCCTCTAAATTTAAAGGGTCCACGAACAAAGACAGAGACAAAAGAATAAGAGCAACATGTAGGAAAAAGAGATTTACACAGACTCTAAAACATTAACAAAACCAAGATTTGTATTACCAGAAAAAGAGTTATTTCGTCTAAGAAACAAAAATAAGCTGCTATAGGAAAAAAAAAAAAACAGTTGGAAGCTTAAAAGGAAACTTAAGGAAACCTCCCAGAAAGAAGAATAAAATGAGAGAAATAGAAATAGGAGAGAAAACTAGAAAGCCAAAAAATAAAATTGAAATGACAACATCCATTTGAGAACAAAAAAAAAAAAAAAAAGAAAGGGAAAACTGTCATCAAAAAGAAAAAAAAACAACAACTAAAGAAAATTTCCCAGGGCTGAAGAATAAGTTGCCAGATTGAAAGGGCCTAACACAACAGATAAAAATAGACACACATAAAGAAATATCACAGTAACATTTCAGAATCTTGGGGAAAAAGAGAAGATTCTATATGCTTTTAGAAAGAAAAAGTGACAAAGGATCAGAAAACAGAATGGCAGAATGGCAGGCTTGGATACTTTTACAATGGTCCATCTTCAGAATAGTAATTTCCAAACTAAAATTCCACACCCGGGGCAAACCATTCAAGAAAGACCAAACAACAACAACAAAAAACCTCAAGCACCATATCTCAAGAAACTACTCAGAATGTACTCCACCAAAACGACAGAGTAAACTAAGAACAGAAGCAAATATTAACACAGTATAAGGAATAAAGTCGCTGGGCACGGGGGCTCATGCCTGTAACCCCAGCACTTTGGGAGGCCAAGGAAGGTGGATCACCTGAGGTCTGGAGTTTGAGACCAGCCTGGCCAACATGGTGAAACCCCATCTCTACTAAAAATGCAAAAAATTAACCAGGCGTGGTGGCAGGCGCCTGTAATCCCAGGTACTCAGGAGGCTGAGGCAGGGGAATCGCTTGAACCGGGGGGGCAGAGGTTGCAGTGAGCCAAGATCGCACCACTGCACTCCAGCCTAAGCAACAAGAGCGAGACTCCATCTCAAAAAAAAAAAAAAAAAAAAAAAAGGAATAAAGCAACCTCTAAGATGATAATAAAGGAAGATCTCAAGTTTATAACTGTATAACAGACCTACATGGTAACCAATCCACATTGAAACATTTTGATTCAAAAATCAGGTAAACAGGCCGGACACAGTGGCTCATGCCTGTAATCCCAGCACTTTGGGAGGCCAAGGCGAGCGGATCACGAGGTCTGGAGTTCGAGACCAGCCTGACCAACATGGTGAAACCCAGTCTCTACTAAAAATTCAAAAATTAGCTGGGTGTGGTGGCGCACGCCTGTAATCTCAGCTACTCAGGAGGCTGAGGCAGAAGAATCACTTGAACCCGAGAGGTGGAGGTTGCCGTGAGCCAAGATCGCGCCATTGCACTCCAGCCTGGGCGACAGAACAAGATTTCGTCTCAAAAAAAAAAGATAATTTATAGTCAAACCATAAGAACATTTAAAAGAGTTCAGCAAGCCTACTGGACAAAAGATCACGTCACAATAATTAGCTGTATTTCTCTATATCAGTATTTACCACCAAATGCAGATTTTACTCATAATAGCAATAACCACTATCAGATCACAGGAATTAATCAACAAAAAATTTGCAAACTTTATAGAAAAAAGCGTAAACCCTATCTAACAGCATAATACAAGACTCCAAACAAATGAGACATAAATACTATATTCATGGACGAAATGATTACAGTAAACAGACATTTTCCCTAAAATAATATATAAATTCAATGCCATTCCAGTGAAAAATCTCAAAGGGGTTCCTTCTTTTATGTATTAAGCTAATCTTGAAAACTGCCAAGAATAGCTAAGATAGAACTTCAAGACAACAAAATGGGAACGCTTGCCTTGCCAGATAGCAAGACTTATAAAGTTACAATATTTAAGACATTGTTCTATTGGTGCAAGACAACCAATTGGAACAGTGGTACAGATTAAATGAATCAGAAACAGTCCTACTCATTAAAAGAAGATGCTACTTAAAGAGGTGGTGTTAGATTACTGTGAAGGATGGGCAGATTACTTAGTAAGTGCTGCTTAGAAACGTAATACACTACATGGGAAAAAATTTCATTCTTCAGAAGATATATGAAATTAACTTGATAAATTGACTATCCTAAAATTTAAAACTTTTATTCACTAAAACTTGCTAATGTGGAAAAATGAGCTGCTGGGAAATGATATATGTGATATAGAACCAATAAGTAATTATCTAAAATATAAAAACAAATCCTACAAATCATTTTTTTTTAAATACAACTTTCTATTGACAATAGGGAAAAATAATGAACAATCACTGAGAAAAGAAAAGGCCTAAATGGTCAACAAATGTAAAAAAAGATGTTTAACTTTATTGGTCATCAAAGAAGGACAAATAAACCCGACATTAAGATACGATTTTATATTTGGGGGATTTACAGCAATTACAAAGACTGAAAATACTAAATGTTGATAAAGATGTTACAAAATAGGAACTTTCAAAAAGAAGTGATGGGAAAATATATGAAGAAAACCACACTGGAGAGATGTATGAGAATGTCTAGTAAATGGGTATGATCTAAACTCAGTAATTCCGGCCGGGTGCAGTGGCTCATGCCTGTAATCCCAGCATCTTGGAAGGCCGAGGCAGGCAGATCACCTGAGGTCTGTAGTTCGAGACCAGCCAGGCCAAAATGATGAAACCCCGGCTCTATTAAAAAAAAAAAAAAAAACAAATTAGCTAAGTGTGGTGATGGGCAGCTGTAATCCCAGCTACTCGGGAGACTGAGGCAGGAGAATCACTTGAATCCAAGAAGTGGAGGTTGCAGTGAGCTGAGATGGCGCCATTGCACTCCATCCTGGGCAACAGAGTGAGACTCTGTCTCAAAAAATAAACAAACAAAATAAATAAACTCAGTAACTCCACTTTCCAAAATATACTCTGTACTAATCCTCACGTGTCCATCATGGAGAAAAGTAAAAAACAATTACTCCAACATTGTGTCTAAAAAGAAAAACCAAGAAACCTAAAAGTTATTAAAAAGAATTATGGATAAATGTATTCTGACGGAATCATATAATTGAAAACCACATGTAAGTTAAAATACATAATCGAAATCATGAAAGCAAGTAAATCATTCTGAAAAAAATACAATTTATACAGTATGTCAGGTTCAGAAACGTGAAACACATTTATGAATACATGTTGTTTATGAATGCCTACACATATAGTATAAAAGCGCAGATGAGAGTAAGAAACAACAAATTTAGACAGTGATTACTGATGGAGAAAGAGGAGAGCTGGATTAAAAAGAAGTACAAGAACACTTTTATTTCAAGTAGAAATGGTCTGGAATAAGTAGGCAAAATGTTAAGATGACAACGCTGCACGGTACATAGTTAGGAATGTATTAGGTTATTCTTAATTTATTATATGCTTTCACTTAATTGTTTCTTCTGATTTTGAGAAAACCTCAATTATATAAAGTTATGTACCTGTCAAAAGCCAAAATAAATTACTTAACAAAATAAAAAGTAAACAAAATTCTTCATAGTAAGTAATACTTCTCCCCAGACATGGATTTATGACTAGTAGCTAAACTTTTTTTTTTTTTTTTTTTTTTGTGTGTGTGAGACGAAGTTTCGCTCTTGTTGCCCAGGCTGGAGTGCAATGGCACGATCTCGGCTCACCACAACCTCCGCCTCCCAGGTTGAAGCGATTCTCCTACCTTAGCCTCCCGAGTAGCTGGGATTACAGGCATGCATCACCACGCCCAGCTAATTTCTGTATTTTTAGTAGAGACAGGGTTTCTCCATGTTGGTCAGCCTGGTCTCTAACTCCTGACCTCAGGTGATCCGCCCACCTTGGCCTCCCCAAGTGCTGGGATTACAGGCATGAGCCACCATGCCCGGTTGACTAGCTAAATATTAAACATATCTGTGTGCTGGTAAGTAAATATTACATGTATCTGTGCATCAAAATCCAAGAAATATGGAGTTAACCTAATAATCTAACCTAAAAAATTACTTTTCCCACTTAACTCCATGAGGAAATCTAAATAAAAATAATTTCTTTCTTACAAGGATTGAACTGAAGGTATCAAAAGTAGAAGTTTTTTATATTTAAAAAGTTGTGAAGTGGAAATCTGAACTAAACAATTTAGTAAAAAGTTTTCCAAATGCCTTGTACTATACTTAACAATACAGTCCACTCCTGAATTTTCTCTCCATAGTATGTTTTATAATTGCTTCTACACAGGCCTTGAAAATTTTTTGCTAAATGTATTCCAAAGTATTTGTCTCTGATTACCTAATATAATTATAAATGGTATTTCCAATTTAATTATACTTAGAATTGATTAGTTCTGTGCCTTTGGATGAGCCACCGTGGCCACCCTAATTTTAGATGTTATTAAACTAGAAGCACACTTTTACATTAAACAATTACTTTCTTAAAACTTTTTTTTTCCATAGGTTTTTGGGGAACAGGTAGCTTTTGGATACATGAGTAAGTTCTTTAGCGGTGATTTGTGGGATTTTGGTGCACTCACTACATGAGCAGCATACACTGAACCCAATTTGTAGTCTTTTATCACTCAATCCCCACCCACCATTTCCCCCGCAAGGCCCCAAAGTCCACTGTATGATTCTTATGCCTTTGCATCCTCACAGCTTAGCTCCCACTTATGAAAGAGAACATACGATGTTTGGTTTTTCATTCCTGAGTTACTTCACTTAGAGTAACAGTCTCCAATCCCATCCAGGTTGTTGTGAATGCCACTAACTCATTCCTTTTTATGGCTGAGTAGTATTCCATTGTGTGTGTAAGAATTTCTTTATCCACTCCTTGATTGATGAGCATTTGTGCCAGTTCCATATTTTTGTAATTCTAAATTGTGCTGCTTTGAACATGACTGTGCAAGTATCTTTTTCATATAATGACTACTTTTCCTCTGGGTAGACACCCAGTAGTGAGACTGCTGGATCCCACTACTGGGTATGGTACTTCTACTTAAAGGAATCTTCACACTGTCCATATTAGTCATACTAGTTTACATTCCCACCAGCGGTGTAAGAATGTTCCCTTTCCATCACATCTGCACCAATATCCATTATTTTTTGACTTTTTAATAATAGCTAATCTGACTGGTGTGAGATGATCTCATGATTTTGATTTGCATTTCCCTGATCATTAGTGATGTTGAGCATTTTTTAATAAGTTTGTTGGCCATCTGCCACTTGTGCATATTCTTTTGAGAATTGTCTATTCATGTCCTTAGCCCACTTTTTGATGGGACTGTTGAACTTTTTGTTTGAGTTCGTTGTAGATTCTGGATATTAGTCCTTTATAGGATGTATACACTGTGAGGATTTTCTCCCACTCAGTGGGTTGCCTGTTTACTCTGTTGTTACTTTTGGCATGCAGAAGCTCTTTAAGTCCCACCTATTTATCTTTGTTTTTGTTGCATTTGCTTTTGGGTTCTTGGTCATGAAGTCTTTGCCTAAGCCAATATCTAGAAGGGTTTTTCCAATGTTATCCTCTAGAATTGTTAGTTTCAGATCTTAGATTTAAGTCTTTGATCTACTTTGAGTTGATTTTTGTATAAGGTGAGAGACGAGGATCCAGTTTCATTCTTCTACATGTGACTTGCCAATTCTCCCAGCACTATTTGTTGAATAGGGTGTTCTTTCCCCACTTCATGTTTTTGTTTGTTTTGTTGAGGATCAGTTGGCTGTAACTATTTGTTAAAAAAAGTTCCTTTAGAATCTTCTGTATTTCTCAGGCAGGGGATGTGGTGGCTCATGCCTATAATCCCAGCACTTTGGGAGGCCAAGGCATGCAGATTGCTTGAGTCCAGGAGTTCAAGACCAGACTGGGCAAAATGAAGAAACTCCATCTCCACTAAAAATGCAAAAGTTAGCCAGCCATAGTGGCACACACCTGTAGTCCCAGCTACTTGGGAGACTGAGGTGGGAGAATCACCTGAGCAAGGGAAGTCGAGGCTACAGCAAGCTGTGATCATGCCACTACAACCAGAGTGAGACCCTGTCACAAACACACACACACAAACTATATTTTCCAAACAATTAATCATTTATGGTAGGCTTCGCTTCTTTGTAAGGATTCAAAGTTTTGTTTTTTTTTTTTTCAACTTTTATTTTATTTTATTTGAGATGCGAGTTTCACTCTATCGCCCAGGCTGGAGTGTAATGGTGCGAGCTCAGCTCACTGCCACCTCCACCACCTGGGTTCAAGCGATTCTCCTGCCTCAGCCACTCAAATAGCTGGGATTATAGGCATGCACCACTACGCCTAGCCAATTTTTGTATTTTTAGTAGAGACAGAGTTTCACCATTTTGGCCAGGCTGGTCTCAAATGTCTGACTTTCAGGTGATCTGCCTGCCTCGGCCTCCCAAAGTGCTGGGATTACAGGCTTGAGTTCACTGTGCCCAGCCTTTTTTGTTTTTTTTTTTTTTTTGAGACAGGGTCTCACTCTGTCACCAGGCTGGAGTGCAGCAGCACGATCTTGGCTCAGTGCAACCTCCGCCTCCTGGATTCAAGAGATTGCCCTGCCTCAGCCTCCCAAGTAGCTGGGATTACAGGTGCGTGCCACCACATGTGGCTAATTTTCAACTTTTATTTTTGATTCATGGAAGTACACTTGCAAGTCTGTTACCTGGGTATAACTATGTTGCTGAAGTTTGGGGTATGAATTATCTCATCACCCAGGTACTGAGCATAGTACCCAACAGTTTTCAACCCTTGTCCCTCTCCTACCTCCCCCATCTAGCAGTCCCTAGTGTGTACTGCTGCCATCTTTATGTCCATGAGTACCAGATATTTAGCTCTTACTTGTAAGTAAGAACATGCAGTATTTGGTTCTCTCTTTTTGTGTTAATTTGTTTAGGGTAACTTTTCATCTATTGTAACATTCCTTCTGCCATAAGAACCTTAACATTTCTTGCAGTTCATGTCTGCTAATGATGAATCCACTCAGTTTTTATTTGCCTGGAAGTTTTTTTCTCTTCACTTTTGAAGGTTATACTTGCTGTAAGAAATTCTGGCCGGGTGCAGTGGCTCATGCCTATAATCCCAGCACTTTGGGAGGCCGAGGCAGCGGGCGGGTCACAAGGTCAGGAGATTGAGATCATCCTGGCCAACATGGTGAAACCCTGTCTCTACTAAAAATACAAAACTTAGATTGGCATGGTGGCATGCACCTGTAGTCCCAGCTACTTGGGAGGCTGAGGAAGGGGAATCACTTGAACCCACGAGGCAGAGGTTGCAGTGACCCAAGATTGCGCCACTGCACTCCAGCCTGGGGACAGAGTGAGACACCGTCTCAAAAAAAAAAAAAAAACACCACGAAAAAAAAAAAGAAGAAATTCTAATGGCTGGGTATGGTGGTTCATGCCTGTAATACAAGCACTTTGGGAGGCTGAGATGGACAGAGTACATGAGCCCAGGAGTTCAAAATAAGCCCTGGCAAAATAGTGAGACCCCTGTCTCCTTAAAAAATAAAAAAATTAGCCAGGCATGATGGTGCACACCTGTAGAGTTCCATCTACTTGGGAGGGTAATGTGGGAGGATCACTTGAGGCTGAGACTATGAAGCTGCAGTGAGCTATGGTTGCACCACTGCACTCCAGCCTGGGCTATAGAGCAAGATCCTGTCTCAAAAGCAAACACGCAAACAAAAATTTGTTGTTTTCATTTAGCACTTCAAACATGTCATTCCACTGCATTTGGCTTGAAAATTTTTTGATTAGTTAGAAGTACGCAGTAATTTTCATATCTGTTTTTCCGAAAGTAATGTGCCTTGATTCATTGGCTGCTTTTGGCATTTTATACTTGTCACTGCTTTTGAGGCATTTGGTTATGATGTGGCTTCTTACGTGTTTTTTGGTTTGTTTTGTGTGTACTTCTCTTGCTTGTAATTTTCTTTTATTCTGTATATAATATTCATACTTTCTGAGACAGAGTTTCGCTCCTCTCCAGGCTGGAGTGCAATGGCATGATCCCTGCTCACTGCAACTTCCGCCTCCTGTGTTCAAGCGATTCTCCTGCCTCAGCCTCCCAAGTAGCTGAGATCCCAGGTGCCCACCATGATGCCCAGTTAATTTTTTTATTTTTAGTAGAGATGGGGTTTCACCATGTTGGCCAAGTTGGTCTTGAACTCCTGACCTCAGGTGATCCGCCCACCTCGGCCTCCCAAAGTGCTGGGATCACAGGCGTGAGCCACCACAGCTGGCCAATATTCATACATTTTTATGTAGTAATGTGGTATTCTGCTACATGCATAGAATTGTATTGATCAAGTTAAGGTATTTAGAGTATCCACCACCTTGAGTATTTATCTTTTTGTTTGTTTGTTTTTTGAGATGGAGTCTTGCTCTGTTGCCCAGGCTGGAGCCCACTGGCAGGATCTTGGCTTGGCTCACTGCAACATCCACCCCCTGGGTTAGAGCAATTCTCATGTCTCAGCCTCCCGAGTAGGTGGGATTACAGGCGCATGCCACTATGGCTGGCTAATTTTTGTATTTTTAGAAGAGACGGGGTTTTGCCATGTTGGCCAGGCTGGTTTTGAATTCCTGACCTCAAGTGATCCACCTACCTCAGCCTCCCAAAAGTGCTGGGATTACAGGCATGAGACACCATGCCCAGTCAGCATTTATCATTTCTATGTGCTAGGAACATTTAAGTCTTCTCTTCTATTTTGAAATATAAAACGCTGGATATGGTGGCTCATGCCTGTAATCCCAGCACTTTGGGAGGCCGAGGTGGGCAGATCCACGAGGTCAGAAGATTGAGACCACTCTGGCCAACATGATGAAACCCCGTTTCTACTAAAAATACAAAATTTAGCTTGGCACAGTGGCGTGTGCCTGTAATCCCAGCTACTTGGGAGGCTGAGGCAGGAGAATCACTTGACTTATTAACTATAGTCATCCTGCTCTGCCATAGAACATTGGAACTTATTTCTTCTATTTGAATGTATGTCTCTACTGATTAATCAACTTCTCTCATCCTCCTAAGCCTACTACACACACACACACACAATCATTCCCATTGTTTGCAATTCTTTAAGATTCTTGACTCTGCATGTTTATAATGTTCTTGCAAATATGAAAACATTTCGTACATTATTTAATCAAATATTTTCACTGGCTGCCTCCTTGTCCTTGCACCCTCCTCCAACACCAGAATGCCAATGGTGCATACATAAATATTTGATATCATTCCAAAGGCCACTGAAATTCTATTCAGTGTGCCCCGTCGCCCCCCATCCCATCTATTCTATCTGTGCTTCATTTTGCATTGTTTCTATTGCTACATTAAAGGTCACTGATCTTTTTTCTTTTCTTTTCGAGACAGGGCCTTGCTCTGTCAACCAGGCTGGAATGCAGTGGCACGATCACGGCTCACTGCCACTCCAACCTCCAAGGCTCAAGTGATCCTCCTGCCTCAGCAGCCTCCCAAGTAGCTGAGAGTATAGCCATGCACCACCACGCTCGTTTTGTTTTGTTTTTGGAGACAGGGTCTGGCTCTATCACCCAGGCTGGAGTGCAGCGGTGCCATCTCGACTCACTACAACCTCTGCCTCAAGTTCAGGTAATTCTGGCATCTCAGGCTCCCAAGTAGCTGGGAATTACAGGTGCCTGCCAACACGCCCAGCTAATTTTTGTTAATTTTTAACTTTTTTGTAGAGATGGTGTCTCCTTATGTTGCCCAGGCTAGTCTTGAACTCCTAGACTCGAGGAATCCTCCTATCCTGGCCTCCCAAAGTGTTGGCATTACATGTTGGGATTACAAGTGTCAGCCACCACCCCCAGCTTGATCTTTTCTTTTCCCATGTCTAATATCTTGAAATCACCATCCAGTGATTTCATTTGTGTTGTTCACCTCTAAATGTTCATTTGAGTCTTTTTTATATTTTACATTTCTCTTATGTTAATGTTTTACTTTAAATCCTTGAGTATACTGAGTATATTATAATCATGCCCTTTTCTGCCATTTCCTTCATTCTGTCATTATTGCATCTGTTTCTGTTGTTTGCTCCTTTAAATATTCTGTTACTGGTCCAAAAATATACGAACTGATAATAACATGTCCAGAACTCTTACGTAAGTTCAACATTCCTGGGACATCAATACTTGTGATTTTCTAAACAAACTGGAATTTAAAAAAAAAAAGTTTCTTTGGCATAGATAATTTGAGAAGTACTGACCTAGACTTTTAGGTTCAGGGTTAATATGGACATATTTTCTCTATACTTTGGTTAGCTTCACTAACCAATGTATTTCATCATCTTCACTTCATTTATCTCTTTCAACGTTTCCTTAAATGGGTCTGCTCATTTCAGTGCCTCATCTAAACTTATTTTTAATATTAAGGTTTGAAAAACCTTCTGGTATCTGTATTCTTGATAAAAATTTTTATTATGGCTTTAATATCTGAATGACAACTTGGTGGGATTTAAAATCTAGGTTCTCTTCAAACCTTAAAAAATGCTCCCAGCACTCTGGGAGGCCAAGGTGGGCGGATCACAAGGCCAGGAGATCGACACCATCCTGACTAACATGGTGAAACACCGTCTCTACTAAAAATACAAAAAATTAGCCGGGTGTGGTGGTGGCCTGTAGTCCCAGCTACTCGGGAGGCTGAGGCAGGAGAATGGCGTGAACCCCGGAGGCGGAGCTTGCAGTGTGCTGAGACTGCGCCACTGCACTCCAGCCTGGGCGACAGAGCGAGACTCCATCTAAAAAAAAAAAAAAAAAAAAAAAGCTAATACATTTTCTGCTTACATTCAAGAGTTACTGCTGAAAAAGTGTGATGCCAATCTAATTCTTCTTCATTTGTTTGTGACTTTTTTTTTTCCCTCATCTCTGCAAGTCTTTAGCATTTTCTTTATCTCTGGCAGTCTTATATTTTAACTTTAACGTATGTTGTGTTTCTTTCTTCTCTCTTGACTCTGAACTCCTTTTAATCTGAAATTTCTCACCTCTCTCTTTTCTCTCTCACTTTAATTCTAGAAAACTATCCCTTTTATCCCTTTAAGTATTTATTCTCCACTTAAAAAAAATTATCTCCCTTCTTAGATTCCTATCTTCTGGATGTCAATACCTTTATTTCTGTATTTGATAGCTGTCAATTTTTCTTTTATATTTGCTATTTCCTTGTCCTTTTATCCCCGTGAAATATTCTCTTTAATCTTCCAATTAACAATTTTGTTCTTCAAATAGATCAATTCTGTTATTCATCTTTTTGTTTGTTTGCTTGTTTTCTCCACGACAGAGTCTCGCTCTGTTGCCCAGGCTGGAATGCAGTGGTGCTATCTTGGCTCACTGCAACCTCCACCTCCAGGTTCAAGCAATTCTCCTGCCTCAGCCTCCTGGGTAGCTGGGATTACAGGCACATGCCACCACACCCAGCTAATTTTTTTGTAGTTTTAGTAGAGACAGGGTTTCACCATGTTGGCCAGGCTGGTTTCAAACTCCTGACCTCAGGTGATCCACCCGCCTCAGCCTCCCAAAGCGCTTGGATTACAGGCATTAGCCACCATGCCTGACTCAACTAATTGTTATATTTTTAGTAGAGATGGTGTTTCACCATGTTGGCCAGGCTGGTCTTGAACTCCTGGCTTCAAGTGATTCGCCTACCTCAGCTTTCCAAAGTGCTGGGATTACAGGAGTGAACCACCATGCCCAGCATATCTTACATTTTGTATTATGTTTTTGATATTGAGTAATTTTTTCTTTTAGATTTTATTTCATATTATCTTCCTCTAATATTTTTAATACATTTATTAGGATAATTTTATATTCATCATTTGTCTAATCTAGTATTTCTACTACTAATGGCATCTGTAATCCAGTATATTATTTTTCTTTCCTTTGAATGTTTTATTTGGTCTGTGTGCTCATTTTCTTCTAGGAAAATACATTTAAGCAATGTATATAGACGATGTCAGCCCACAATCACTGTCAGCCCCATTGAGCTCAAGACATACAGGTGGAAAATACCTAAGGTGGAATATTCCAGGCAGCAGAAAACTACAATCTCTCATCTTTTCTCAAAACAATTCCTTGGGAAAGTAGCTTCACTATTTTTTCACATGTTAAAGCATCTAAATGGAGACTCTTCTTCGACTATTGTGATAACATGAAATATATATTTGTTTTTTGTCTCCATTTCCTGACATACAGCTTCTAAAATCCTTGTAGATACAGGCACTAGGAGAATCTTTTGTTCTAATATTTGTCCTTTGACTCCTGGTTCCTGACACCGAGCTCCTAAATCCCTAGGAATTTCCTAGGTGACAGAAGACTCTTTTGTTCTAATGAGGCAATCTTGGTGGGCTTCTAGATAGCCCCAGGATGGTGCTTGTTACCAAGGGAACCAACCATGTGTTTAGAGAGTTGGAAAGTTCATAGCCCCACCCCAGACCTCCAGGGAGAGGAGAGGGGCTGAATTGAGTTGATCAACAATGGCCAATTATATAATCAATGATGCCTATGTAATGAAGTCTCCATAAAACCCCCTAAAAATAGAGTTTGAATGAGGTTCCAGACTGGTGTACAAGAACACATCCACGTGCCAGGTGGGTGGCACACACAAACTCCACAGGGATGAAAGTTCCTGTTCTCTGGACCCTTCCAGATCCCATCCCATGTATCTTCATCTGGCTATTCATTTGTATCCTTTAAAATATTCTTTGTAATAAATCGGTAAACATAATAAGTAAAGTGTTTCTCTGACCTTTGTGAATTGCTCTAGCAAACTAATTGAACATGAGAAGGAGCTGGTCTATAGCTGATCAGTGAATTTTATAGCTGCTCAGTCAGAAGTATAGGTGACAACCTACTACTTGCGATTGTCATCTGAAGTGGGAGGCAGTCTTGTGAGATTGAGTCCTCAATCAGTGGGATCTGACGCTAGCTGTAGGTAGACAGCGTGAAAAAATAATTCAGTTGGAGGATATCCAGCTCATGTCTGCTGGAGATCTGCTAGGTGTGTAAGAAAATACCCCAACACATCTGGTGTCAGAAGTGTTGTGTTGAGTCGACAGTGGAAAAAACAATTTGGTTTGGTTTTTCCTGCATCTCTTACCAACTATAGCGTATTAGCACTGAGAACTGTCTGGGTAAGAGGTAGGGAAGCAAAAGTTCATTTTTTAAATCCACTCAGAAGGAAAGGGCCTCTGCACTATCCTGAATTGACTCCTCAAAATATCAAAGGTCTGATACTTTACAAGTGTACGCGAGTTAGGCACCTTTGCTTCAAAGGCGTGAAGAGCTTCAATAGTTCCTTTCCTATTTTTTCTTCTGATAGCCAAGAGGATGCCCTCTCTCTTGACCTGGGACAAAGCTTCTCTATTCCACACACCAGTTCAAAACAGCCTTTCTTCCACCAACCTAGGGGATTTCTCACCATTTGCTCAGAACATTTAGTTTTCCCTTCTAACTGCTGAAGCTGACCTTGGGTGAGGAAGCCAAAAGTCACACTTCTTGAATGTCTTTTAAGGAATCTAAACCAGTTCATTCATTGTAATGATGAAATATCTTCTCATCTGAGTATATTAAGAGGATTTTCCCCCAAAGCTTTCAAAACAGTTCCTTGTATTTTCCTGGCTATTCTTTTTTTCCTACATGTTTATTCTCTCTCATGTTGGGAAAGCTCTTTTCAAATGTTGCACATGCCTTGGTTATCAATTTACATAAAAGAGAAAAGAATATTATTAAAATGAGTGGATGTCAGTTTACTGAGGATCTCACCTAAGGACTCTAAATTTTCAGAATTTTTTTCCTCTGGAAAATTCAGATTTCTACAAAGACAAAATCCCCCTCTAAACTCTTAGTTAAAAGGTATATGCCAACCTGCAGTATATTATGAGCGCAAGAGATGGAAAGTGACTTAGGTGGAAGGGACTCAGTACGATGATTTTAAAGCTGCTAAATTGTAAAATACAAAATGCAAGAAATTAAGATAGAATAGGGTTTAACTTTTTACACTTATTTGAATTGTTAAAAAATTTTCTGGCCAGGCACGGTGGCTCACACCTGTACTCCCAGCACTTTGGGAGGCCGAAGAGGGAGAATCACAAGGTCTGGAGTTCAAGACCAGCCTGACCAACATGGTGAAACCCCGTCTCTACTAAAAATACAAAAATTAGTGGCGCGCTCCTGTAGTCCCAGCTACTAGGGAGGCTGAGGCAGGAGAACTGCTTGAACCTGGAAGGCAGAGGTTGCAGTGAGCCAAGATCGCACCACTGGACTCCAGCCTGGGCAACAGAGTGAGATTCCATCTCAAAAAAAAAAAAAAAAAAAAACTTTTTTTTTTTTCCTAAGTTTGTCAAGGCACAGTTGAGGAAAGAACAGAATCTATATCAAATGTTAATATTAATGTAATTAATATATATTGATGTATATTAACAATTGTTTACGTATCTAGTCATAAATACAGAGGCAGAGCTGGGAAAAGTATTTAATATATATAAAAATTTAACATATACATACATAGATCTATATATGAAAATTAGATAATGTTGAACAAAAAGTAGAGAAGAGAGAAAAGGAAAGAACTGCCGCCTTGGGCAAGACCAAAGCAGCACTGGGTAAGAGTATGCGAGACAGTAAAGTCAACAAAGCTGTAATGACAGCTATGATGGACAGGTAGTGCTAAAGCTGAAACACAAGGAAAAGCCTGTTGGCCACAACAAATTAATTAAGCCTAGAAACAACAGTGGTGCCGGGTACAGTGGCTCACACTTGTAATCCTAACACTTCTGGGAGGCCAAGGCAGACAGATCACTTGAGGTCAGGAGTTTGAGTCCATCCTGGCCAACATGGTGAAATCCCACCTCTACTAAAAATACAAAAACTAGGCTTGGTGGCACGCACCTGGAATCCCAGCAACTCGGGAGGGTGAGGCAGAAGAATCACTTGAACCCAGGAGGCTGAGGTTGCAGTGAGCCAAGATCGCGCCACTGTACTCCACCCTGGGTGACAGAGCAAGACTGTTTCAAAAAAAGAAAGGGGGGAAAGAAACAGCACTGGTATTTTCTGAAGCACAAGTTATAAAACAATGTTATCCATTCAAAAACCAGAAGTCATACTGATAAGAGCACAATAAGGCCAGGTACATAAAACTAAAAAAATTCAAGGCATACTTAGATGTGATATAAAATGAGATGGCTAGTACAATGGCCTGCGGGGGCCATCTTGTGCATTCTCTCAATCTTCAAATGTCTTTGTATTAGAGTTCTCCACAAAAACAGGACCAATAGAGTGTGAGCATATTTGTGTGTGTTTCTCTGTGTGTTTGCATATGTGTGTGTGTATACATATATATATATAGGCTCATTATCTCATATGATTATGAAAGCCAAAATCCCATGATCTGCAGCCCACAAGCTGGAGAAACAGGAAAGCCAGTGGTGTGTCTTGGTTCAAGTCTGAAAAATGAAGAACCAGGAGCACCCACATCTGAAAGCAGGAGACAAGGATGTTCCAGCTCAGAAAGAGCCAATTCATCCTTCGTCTGCCTTTTTTTTTTTTTTTTTCTATGTGGGCCCCCAAAGGATGGACAATATCTGCCCAAATGGATAAGGGTGGTCCTTCCCTACTCAGTCTACTAGCTCAAATGCTAATCTCTTCGGAAACACCCTCACAGACACAGTCAGAAATAATATCTTACCAGGATCTGGGTATCCTGTGGCCCAGTCATGCTTACAACATAAAATGAACCATCACAGTCCTCAACCAACACTATCTCGTATATCCTTAAAACAGAGAAACCAAGGTTCAGAAAAGTTACCTACTGTCACAAAAGTAAGTAAACAGCTAAACCAAAAATCAAACTCGTGTCTATCTAAATCAAGAGATCAAACACAAATGCCAACTAAGATTCTGTGGAGGAGATAATAGTACAAAGTTAGGCCCTTGCTCCAAGAAAGTTCCTGCAGACGGAGATCAGATTTATACACATCAAACAATACAAACCCTGTATTATTCTATATTGACTACAACTTATAAACAAAGAAGCCTAGAGGAAAGAAAGATTCAGAATTAAACAGATTCCTTCATTCAATGAATGCTTCTTAAGAACTTGATATGTGACAAGCACTGGTAACCACAAAGTCAAAGCAGTGTGTTAACAAAACTCCTACCTATAGAGCTCATAATCCTGTGTGAGTGTAGAAATGGCAATAAACAAGTAAACGTGTATGTCAGATGGTGATAAGTGATTTAGAGAAAAATAAGCATTTTCGGGAAGAAAAGAGGTTCCAGGGTGGTGGTTTATACTGGGTAGTCACTGCATGTAAGTCTAATCAGAAAACATTTAATAGAAAAGACAGAACTTGAACTAGGCTTTCAGCTAGATTTTGAGTTAAATTGTAAATTGCTGGAGTCATGAAATCCTTAGCTTGCTTCATACAAACCAAACATACATTTTTACTGTCAGCTGGCTATCTACCTAAAGCCATCATAGGTGGCCTTTATTCTCATAAAATGACAAAGATATATATAGTCTAATTCTTAATATTACAAACTCAGATATCTGATTTTGTAAGCATACTGAGACTAGATGTCCTATTAGGGACAAACTTAGTAATCAAGCTCATAGCTACTGATATATAAACCAGAATGCAAATTTATTACTTTAAAATGATAATTATTAGCTGTTAATTAGTGTAGAAAGCATGGGGATTAACAAATAATACAAACTTTTCCTTAGGAAAGCTAAATCAAAATATTACTTGATAAACACAAATGACGTAAAACAGGGGAATAATAAGCCCAAGAATACTAGAATAGGGTTTCTTCTACCTCAGTGTTTTGGTTTTTTGTTTTGTTTTGTTTTGAGACAAGAGTTTGGCTCTGTCACCCAGGATGGAGTGCTGTGAGGAGATCACAGCTCACTGCAGCCTCAATCTCCGCGCTCAATCAATTTTTATCCAGTTCACCCTCTGGAGTAGCTGAGACCACAGGCACACACCACCCACCCAGCTAATTCCTCCGACAGTGTTTAAATAAGCAATGTCAATTTCTGGCTCTTTGGACCTCTCTTTTCTGTATCTAGAGCCTAAAAAGAACTTTCTTCTTTCCTTCTAAACTCAAAAAAGGAGTAAATACAACTGATTAGATATCTAATTACTAAATTCAATTACATTTTGGTGCCGTCTCTCAAATTCCTTAAGTATGTACTTGACATCCAGTTAACTTATAATATAACTGATAAACAGTTAATTTACCCAAAAATATTTCATTTATTCTGGACACAGTTAAACATAATCCTTCTTAGAATAAACTATAAATCTCAGTGAACTACCTTATTTCCAACTTTTTAGGGATCATATACTTGTTTCCATATCCCTCCAATGTCTTAATGCATATATTCTATGTAGATCAACATACTTATATTTATTCCATTTACATATTAACTGCTAAATCCATCATAGCACAGTTGTTTTTGAATTATAAAAAATTATTTTAAATGACAACAGCAATATAATGAAGACAAAGATGCATATGTGAGCATAATATATTTTAGTACAACTAAGAACATCTTTCACGTAATGAAGTATCCACATAGAGGAACAATGAGCAACATGAATAGGTGACAAATAAGAAATGACATTTGTAATTGACGGGGAAGCGTAACAATTTCTGAGAAGTGTAATAACACAGTGAAAGCCGTGTTTAAAGATGATAAAATGGCCAGACGCGGTGGCTCACGCCTGTAATCCCAGCACTTTGGAAGGCCGAGACAGGCGGATCATTTGAGGTCAAGAGTTCAAGACCAGCCCGACCAACATGGTGAAACCCTGTCTCTACTCAAAATACACTGTACTCCAGCTGGGAGACAGAGCGCAATTCCATCTCAAAAATAAATAAATAAATAAATAAATAAATAAATAAATAAATAAATAAAGATAATAAAATATGGTAACAATTTATTACAATGGCAAGAAATCAGTAATGTTATAAGATACTGCCTATAAAGCCTAACATGAAACACTGAAGGTCCACATCAGACTGGTGGAGGCGGAGAGGTGGACAGACATTGGACACTGACACATTACTTAAAATACCAGGAGCTGGGCCAGGCACAGTGGCTCACGCGTGTAATCCCAGCACTTTGGGAGGCCGAGGCAGGCAGATTACCTGAGGTCAGGAGTTCGAGACCAGCCTGACCAACATGGCGAAACCTGGTCTCTACTAAAAATACAAAATCAGCCTAGCGTGGTGGTGGGTGCCTATAATCTCAGCTAATCGGGATGCTGAGGCAGGAGAATTGCTTGAACCCAGGAAGCAGAGGTTGCAGTGAGCCGAGATCGTGCCATTGCACTCCAGCCTGGGCAACAAGAGTGAAACTCTGTCTCAAAACAAAAAACAAACAAAACCAGGGGCTGGGCATGGTGGCTCATGCCTGTAATCCCAGCAGTTTGGGAGACCGAGACAGGAAGATTGCTTGAGTCCAGGAGATTGAGATTAGCCTAGGCAACACAGTGAGACCCCATCTCTACAAAAAATACAAAAATTAGCCCGGTGTGGTGGCATCCACCTGTAGTCCCAGCTACCGAGGAGGCTGAGGTAGGAGAATCGCTTGAGCCCAGGAGGCTGATGCTACAGTGAGCTGTGAATGCACCACTGTACTCCAGCGTGAGCCACAGACTGAGACCTCGCCTCAAAAAAACTAAAACAAAAAACAGGACAGCCTACAATCTGAAAAGGGGCAAGTGTTATGAGAACACAATAATAATAATATCTGGGGCTTAAAAATACGTTTCTATGTAAACATGCTTCACCTTCATTCCAATACTTTGCTTCATCAATGTAAATAAGCCTACACAACTGTGGTTTTATCTGCTGAAATTCAATTTCTAAAAGGGTGAAACAAATAGAGAAAGTTACTTCATTGCCATTATATGTATATTTCCCCCACCCCCAAGTAAAAGCCTTTTAGTGCTGGCAGAAGAATAAATTTGGGCTAGATATACACCTTCCAGTTACAACTAAGGAAGAAGCTCACAAAAGGTAAATGGACTTCCTAAAGCACAAAGTTACGAGAAGATGTAGTGGAAGAATCCAAGTTTCAGATTTTCATTCTGCTGTCAATGCACTTTCAACTAAATTGCTTTTTAAGGATACTGTATCAAGGGTACACAGAAAAAATTTTTTTTTTTTTGAGATGGAGTTTCGCTCTTGTTCCCCAGGCTGGAGGGCAATGGCGCAATCTTGGCTCACTGCAACCTCCACCTCCCAGATTCAAGCGATTCTCCTGCCTCAGCCTCCCGAGTAGCTAGGATTACAGACATGCACCACCACGCCCAGCTAATTTTGTATTTTTTTAGTAGAGACGGGGTTTTTCCATGTTGGTCAGGCTGGTCTTGAACTCCTGACCTCAGGTGATCCACTTGCCTCAGCCTCCCAAAGTACTGGGATTACAGGTGTGAGCCACCATGCCCGGCTGAAATTTTTTAGAAAAGTAGTAAGGCTAGGCGCAGTGGCTCACGCCTGCAATCCCAACACTTTGGGAGGCCAAGCCAGGCGGATCACCTGAGGTCGGGAGTTTGAGGCCAGCCTGGCCAACATGGCAAAACTCCACCTCTACTAAAAATACAAAAATTAGCCAGGCATGGTGGCAAATGCCTGTAATCCCAGCTACTTTGGAGGCTGAGGCAGGAGAATCATTTGAACCCCGAAGTTGGAGGTTACAGTAAGCCGAGATTGTGCCACTGTACTTCAGCCTGAGCAACTAAAGCAAAACTCCATCTCAAAGAAAAAAAAAAAGAAAGAAAAGAAATATATAAAAATGCTATCCAATTTAGCTTGTCACATATATAAAAAATTTGAGAGGATTAGGGGAAAAAGCTGGCAATATGTTGATAACCTTTGATTTTGCATATACTTAAAAAAGAGCTCCCACTGCAAATTCATTACGAATTGAAATACACACATTTCATAAATGAGGTGAATAACATTATATTTATAGACATGTGATGTTTTGTCTGTATTTCCAGTTTTACTGGTGAGCACTTTATCATGGCTGTTTCATATCAGAAGTAATTTTCTGTTCAAACAACTGAAATTTGCAACATACACATACATAAATGCATAAATATGGGAACAACTTTCATCTGAAACTAAATGTTCTCCCTTTTAGACTGTGTATTTTGAGGGTGTACAGACATGTTTTTACATCTTTGTATTCCAACTTAAATACCTGGAACATACTATAATAAATAGCTAATAAGTAGAATTACACAAAAATGTCTAACTCAGTTTAATATGTACTTTAACTTTGCTAAAAAGAGGGCTGTTTTAATTTATTTGGGACATTTATTCTAGTTACTTTTATTAGTAAGTAAATGTACGTTATATTTTAATTGTATTTCACAAGATCTAGGATTACACTATCATTTCCACAGTGGCAGTGGAACTTGTGAAAACACTGTATTCACGCACTGGAAATTATCTTCACTATTAACAGTAAAAAACTGGCCAGGTGCCCTGGTTCATGCCTATAATCCCAGCACTTTGAAAGGCTGAGGTGGGAGAACTGCTTGAGCCCAGGAGTTCAAGACCAGCCTGGGCAACATGGTAAAACCCCGTTTCTACAAAAAATACAAAAATTAGCCAGGCTTGGTGGCATGCGCCTATAATCCCAGCTACTCAGGAGACTGAGGTGGGAGAATGGCTTGAGCCTGGGAGGTTGAAACTGTAGTAAGCCATGATCGAGCCACTGAACTCCAGCCTAGGCAACAGGGAGACCTTATTTCAAAAAAAAAAAAGAAAGAAAGAAAGAAAGAAAAAAGGAAATTAAAGACTAGCATTCATCTTCTCAAAAATTCCTAAAAGGTATTTTGCAGACTGTGAATAAATTTTGTTACTCATTTGTGTGATAGGATAAGCTAGCAACAGGGCCTGAACAATTATTCAGAAACTTGGGTGAATAAACAAAACTATCTCCATCAATTGAAAAAAAAAAAAAAAGGATATGAACTGAAAAAGTCAACTGCGGGGCCAACACAAAAACACTAAAAAAAAAAAAGAAAAAATCTTGTCAGCAACAATACACTAACTTGACAAATACATAAAAACAAATCCACATATGTATATACAAATGGTCTCTGACTTAGAATGGTTCAACTCAGAATTTTTTGACTTTCTGACATTGCAAAAGCAATACACATTCAGTAGAAATCATACTTTGAATTCTAATATTTTCCCAAGCTAGTGATACACCGTTGATACTCTCTTTCAATGTGGGTTAGCAGCAGTAAGCCACAGCTCCCCGTCAGCCACACTATTACAAAGGGTAAACAACAGAAATTCTATAGTTTATTGTGTTGCCTGATGATTTTGCCCAACTATAGGGTAAGTGTCCTGAGCATGTTTTTTTGTTTTGCTTTGTTTTTTGAGACGGAGTCTCGCTCTGTCGCCCAGGCTGGATGCAGTGGTACAATCTAGGCTCACTGCAACCTCCGCCTCCTGGGTTCAAGAGATTCTCGTGTCTCAGCCTCCCGAGTAGCTGGGACTACAGGCATGCGCCACCACGCCCGGCTAATTTTTTATATTTTTAGTAGAGATGGGGTTTCACCATGTTGGCCAGGCTGGTCTCGAACTCCTGACCTCAGGTGATCCACCTGCCCTGACCTCCCAAAGTGCTGGGACTACAGGCGTGAGCCACCACACCCGGCCCTAAGCACGTTTAAAGGTAGGCTACACTAAGCTATGATGTTTGGTAGGTTAAGTGTACTAAATGCATTTTCAATTTAGAATATTTTCACAACTTACAATGGTTTTTAGAATTTAACATAAGTCAAAGAACATCTGTACATGCTTAGTAAGAGAACACATGTAAATAATTCTATTTATGTAAAAGAAGAAAATGGTATCTTTCTAGTTTACCATAATGCTTTACCATTCATGTTCTACTTTTCTAAAAAAATGAAAGTATTATATATTCATGATTTTAAATTTTATTAGAATCCAAAGGTTTATTACATATAAAGAGGCAATGGCAAAAAAGGGAGAGAATCAAAGACAGTAAGAATATATCTACACTTTCTTCCTCTTAATGTTCACATATTTAAAATATTGAAGTTCCTACTCTCCTATTATCATTTTTTCTTTCTCTTCTTAGGATTATTTCTATTGTTTAGCCTACCTATATCTCATTTGTTCTGAAGATACTTCTACCAGATGTTAATGATCCACCCCCTTTTCACAGATAATATTCTAAAATCAAAAGTTAAAACCATTTCTTCTTTAACAGTCCTCCTCTTTGTATTTCTGAAATTTGGCTTCATCTTCAATGCTCCACTAAAATGCCCAGAATAACACAGCACTTACTCCAAAAGACTTATTGTTCTTATTTTTCCTTTCTAAAATAATTTTAGAATCTAATCATCTCACATCTCTGATATAAACTGTTCAAGGTAGGCATTCCTCTAAGGCTCTGCACAGTCGATTACTCTATGACCTGTATACTCCCCACCTACTTACTTGACTTCATTATCTTCAAGTATCAATTTCATTTTGAATTCCAAATTCATAGTAATAATTTGTTTTCTAAAATACGTACTATCAATAGAAAATTTCCAATGCTAGTATCTCCAACATTTAAAATATAATATGCTAAAACAAAGTTTTTTCTCTCCTTCATTTCTTATTATTCTCCTAGACTCTGGTTTCAAACATAACACTTTTTGTGCATGTAATCAGCTCATTTCTGCCTGAGCTTTCTACTTTACCTCTTGCCCTATAAAAATATGTCCAATCCTCTGTTAAAACTCTTAAACCCACTTCTCATTACTTACTTTTTTCCTATCAAATCTCAATTTTACTTACTTCAATATCCTCGTCCTACAAAATTATATGTGAAACTGCACAATTAGAATTACATTTCCAATACATTCGCTTACATGGTTTTTCATTTGCTTGCCCTATTTTTTTCACTTTTAGATTATGAGGTTTTAACTTGCGATCCAAAGATACATTTCAGGGAAGTCCACAAATCCACTGATAGTCTACACAAAACTGTTCGCCTCCATTTGTTTCTAGGGTGATCCAGACGTTTTAACAGAATGTCAGAGAAGTTCAACACTTCAATAAATAAACATATATATTGAGCCAGTCTCGCTCTGTTGCCCAGGCTGGAGTACAGTGGTGCAATCTCAGCTCACTATAACCTCTGCTTCCCAGGTTCAAGTGATTCTCATGCCTCAGCCTCCCAAGAAGCTGGGACCACACCACAGGCATGTGCCACCACGCCCAACTAATTTTTCTGTATTTTTAGTAGAGATGGGGTTTCGCCATACTGGCCGGCCTGGTTTCAAACTCCTGACCCTCAAGTGATCCCTTGCCTCAGCCTCCCAAAGTGCTGGGATTACATACATGAGCCACAGCACCCGACCTTTTAACAACCAACATACCACAGATTACTGTATATTCCCAGGGTATACACATACTACCCATATTCACTACATGCTCAGAAAGTAACTGCCTATTCTTCACTTAAATATTAATATGCGTATCTTAAAAACCAGTTAACTTCTTGCTTTCCACAAAAGACAATAGCCAACATTTTTCTAATATTATACCATTTACCCTAACTAAAAAACAAAACCAAACTCTATATTAACATTGACTAGATGAAGTCTAAGTTAGGCATGACATCAGACTTCTAAGTGGACCTCAAAATATGACTCCCACAAGAAAATGCAGCTTATATAAGTAAAGTAAGAAAAAGGTTCAGCTGGATAAGCCACCATATGTGTCACTAAATTTGATGTCAATTCATGATTTCTAGGAATTCCCCAAAATTTAATATGATGCACCAACTCTATATTGATATAACCAGTAAGATAATTCAGATGCAGACATCTCAAGCACCATATCAAATAATGAAAACACCTAAGTATCACCTGTGTGATGAATACTGGATCCTTATAATAATGGAGGAATAGACTGTAACCTTGGTGCCAGACTCAGTTTAACTAAATCAAGATGGCAAAGAAGGCAGAGAAAGAAATGAATGGGAAAGAGATCTAGTAATAGCTCTGTAACTTACCAATTGTGTGAGTTTAGGCCTCATTTAACCTTCCAGGTTTCTCAATTACAAAACGGAGATATCTTACATGTTACTTAAATGCCTGATAAATAGTATCAATGATGATAATTATCAATTAGATTTCAAAAAGTAATAATCATCTCTATGTTCCATTTATTTTTATAGGTTAAAGAATCACTTTTCAAATGAAAGGAATTCAAAAGAATATGCTAGGTTGAGAGTTACACATATTTGATTTTTCAACTAGCTGTATGAGGTAGAGATTTTTAACTTATGCTGTCTAGGAATACTGATCTATCACGTGAAAGGCTTAGATTCATTGTTTCTATTATCATTTCCAGTTTTAAACCATTATGCTAATTATCAGACCACAATACATACCATGAATAACAACCCATTTCTCAAAAATAAAAAAAGCAAACCTGTATATTCTATCAGCATTGTTTAAGCTTAATTTTTAGCAACAGAAATATTTCCTAAAAGAAAAACACAGTTTTTATAACACTGGCATATTATTTTTCTTTATAATATAGTAAAATATACAAAATTAATAGATTCTTAGCATTTTTCTATCTACAAATGAAAAACTGTTGACCTTTAAAAGGCATGATACAAAATTTTTAAAACAAATCACATAATACAGCTTCTTAAGAAAAACAATATCCATTCTCCTATTTCTTGCGTATGAGAAAGGCAGGGCTGGGTGTGGTGGCTCACACTTGTAATTCCAGCACTTAGGGAGGCCAAGGCAAGAGGAGCCCTTGAACTTAGGAGTTGGAGAACAGCTCAGGCAACAGGGCGCAACCTCCTCTCTACAAAAAATAAGAAAAATTAGCCAGCCATGGTGGCTGTGGTCCCAATGACTTAGGGGACTGGAGCAGGTGAAGGGCTTGGCCTACGAGGTTGAGGCTGCAACGACTGCACTCCAGCCTGGACAATAAAGTGAGACCCTATCTCAAAAAAAAGAAAAAAGAGAGAGAAAGAAAGGCAAAACACTATTACTGACCATAAATGTCTCCCAAAGCATGAATCTGAATAAAATGTTACCATCTTGTGGTAAACTCACTCACTGCTCTGCAAAAACTTCTAATTTAATTGTAATCTACATGACAATTATGAGGCAGAAACCTAGGAGCATTGCCCACATAATTATTCTTCTGTAAAAAAACGAAGAAAAGGCTTCTACACTATCTCTTCATTTGAGCACTTAAAATTGTCAGAGACTTTTACAATCCTTGCAAATGAAACATAAGGGTCATTTCACCTTGATATAATTTCTTAGTTAAATTTTGAATATTTAAATACAATTTTTCCAGCAAAATATCTGTATCTATAGACAGTTTTCTAAATCCAAATACCAAAATGAAAACACAAAGCAGATCAATTAAAAAAAATAATGTATTAGAATCAGAGGCTATTTGGTATACTGATAAAAAGAAAGTAAGTAACAGAAGTGATTCACTGCACTCCTAAATAACCTTCAGAGACTGTACTGACACAAGGCTTGTCACAAAATACATTAGATGCTGACCCAAGAAGAGGTGGTAGACATACTCCATTATTCTTCAGCATGTACCACTTTTTCAGTACTGTTAAATGTGATTAGAATCACAAGTTTTGATGAATAAAGGAGACAGAGGACATGGTTTTTTCTGTTTTCTTCCGAATATAAATTTGTGTTCAATTTTAAATGACTGATGTAACTCTTTTTACATTAGGGAAAAGACATGTAATTTGGATTTCATTTAATAAATCAAATCATACCACCTTAATGTTCATTAAAATACTAATGAACACAGATGAATATGATCTATACTTCTATATGTCAGGAATACACTACAGAGATTTTGGAGTTTTAAAAAATTATCTATTTTGTTGTTAAATCTTGTTCCACCAAATACTTTGGGAGGTCTAGGCAGGTGAATAGCTTGAGCTTAGGAGTTCAAGACCCGCCTGAGCAACATGGTGAAACCCTGTCTCTACAAAAAATTCAAAAATTAGCCAGGCGTGGTGGTATGTGCTATAGTCCCAGCTACTCGGGAGGCTGAGTTGGGAAGATCACCTGAGCCCAAGAGGTGGAGGTTGCAGCGAGCTGAGATTGTGCCAATGCCCCCCAGCCTGGGCAACAGAATGAGACTGTGTCTTTTGAGACACAGACTCAAACTCGCTCTGTCACCCAGGTTGGAGGGGTGGCGTGATCTCAGCTTACTGCAACCTCCACCTCCCGGGTTCAAACGACTCTCAGGCCTCAGCCTCCCAAGTAGTGGGACTACAGGTGCGCATCACCACATCCGGCTAATTTTTGTATTCTTAGTAAAGACAGGGTTTCACCATGTTGGCCAGGCTGTTCTTGAACTCCTGACCTCAGGTGATCCTCCCGCCTCTGCCTCTCAAAGTGCTGGGATTACAGGCGTGAGCCACCATGCCCAGCCAAGACTCTGTCTTTGGAAAAAAATAAAAAAAAAAAAAAATATTGTTCCTAACTAAGGAGTTCCAGTCCTTCACAAAAAAGAACTGACCCAGAAAAATGGAGACACTACCTCACAGGTAATAAGGTCAGACAAAGCAGTCTGACAAAGTGCCTCTGAATGTTGCTATCAGAGATTGTTGTTCCAGGTCAGACACAGCAGTCTGTCAAAGTGCCTCTGAATGTTGTTATCAGAGAATGTTGCTTCAACCTGAACAATGAAAGCTGTAAGACAAACAACCTGGATACCCTGTTTAAAAATGGTGATAATGTAGGCATGGGGGCAAAGCAATGCAAAAAAAGACCTCTGCACTACCATATGTTGAGAATATAAAGAAGTGCTTAATATTCCAGTTAAAAAGCTAAATATTCCATTTAATATTCAGTTAAAAAGAAAATTGATTCCAAATATAATTCCCCTTAAAAGTTGGCATTTTCACTGCAATGTGCAATCTGAACCATCATACTTGTTTTTTTGTTTTGTTATGAGACAAAGTCTTACTCTGACGCCCAGGCTGGAGTGCAGTGGCACAATCCCGGCTCACCGCAAGCTCCGCCTCCAGGGTTCAAGCCATTCTCCTGCCTCAGCCTCCCAAGTAGCTAGGATTACAGGCACCTGCCACTGCAACAGCTAATTTCTGTATTTTTAGTACAGACGGGGTTTCACCATGTTGGCCAGACTGTTCTTGAACTCCTGACATCAAGTGATCTGCCTGCCTCGGCCTCCCGAAGTGTTGAGATTACAGGCATGAACCACGGCGCCTGGCATAATATTTTCCTAAAAAAAAAACACTTTGGCTGGGCACCGTGGCTCACGCCTGTAATCCCAGCACTTTGGGAGGCCAACACAGACAGATCACCTGAGGTCAGGAGTTCAAGAACAGCCTGGGCAACATGGTGAAAACCCATCTCTACTTAAAATACAAAAATTAGCCAGGCGAGGTAGCTTGTGCCTGTAGTCCCAGCTACTCGGGAGGCTGAGGCAGGAGAATCACTTAAACCTCGCAGGCGGAGGCTGCGGTGAGCGGAGATCGCACCACTGCACTCCAGCCTGAGTGACAGAGTGAGACCCTGTCTCAAAAAAAATAAGAAAAAAAGAAAAAAACCACGTCTATGAAACACAAATATCTAATACCACCCTTAAAATTGTATTAACCATGTAATCTCAGCACTTTGGGAGGCCGAAGGCAGGAGGATCACCTGAGGTCAGGAGTTCGAGACCAGCCTGGCCAACATGGTGAATCCCCGTCTCAACCAAAAATACAATTAGCTGGACATGGTGGGATGTGCCTGTAATCCCAGCTACTTGGGAGGCTGACGCAGGAGAACTGCTTGAACCCAGGAGGCAGAGGTTGCAGTGGGCCAAGATTGCACTACTGAACTCCAGCCTGGGCGACAGAGCAAGACTCTGTCTCAAAAAATAATAATAAATAAATAAAACTACTTACCCAGATTTCAATCCTAATAATACATTTAATTTTCCATTAGTTTCCACATCACGATCCCTAAAGCTATTTCCTAGGATACTTTAAAATCTATAGAATAAATAAAAAAGAAGAATGAGATAGTTAATCTAAAAAACAAAGGACAAATATTATAAAGGGTCAGCACTCACCATCTGTCTCAATGACATCATCAAGGTGTTATGGCTGCTTGGTTTCACACAAATCCTATATTAGAAAACCCTGACAATCCGATATCAACTTGTCATTTTCCCTTATAGAAGAATGCAAATAAACAGAGTGTGAGCCAGGAAAAGCTAATTCCTAATTAGTGCCCACTGCATTCAACTCTAGCCCTCTTTTTTTGTTTGTTTTTTAAGACAGAGACTTGCTCTGTTGCCCCTGGAGTGCAGTTGCGTGATTTTGGCTCACTGCAACCTCCGCCTTCTGTGTTCAAGCGATTCTCCTGCCTCAGCCTCCCAAGTAGCTGAGATTACAGGTGCCCGCCACCACAATCAGCTAATTTTTGTATTTTTAGTAGAGAGGGGGTTTCACCATGTTGGCCAGGCTCGTCTCAAGCTCCTGACCTCAGGTGATCCGTCCACCTTGGCCTCCCAAAGTGCTGGGATTACAGGTGTGAGCCACCATGCCTGGCCAACTCTAGCCCTCTTAACTTCCAAGTTAAGAAATGCTTTGTAAAATCATAGAAACTCCACCATTGAGACCGGCACGGGCACCACTGAGACTGGGCACTTGAGACCAGCCTGGTCAATATGGTGAAACCCCATGTCTACTGAAAATATAAAAATTAGCCGGGCGTGGTGGCACACGCCTGTAGTACCAGCTACTCGGGAGGCTGAGGCAGGAGAATTGCTTGAAACTGGGAGGCAAACCTTGCAGTGAGCCGAGGTCTTGCCACTGTACTCTAACCTGGGTGACAGAGTGAGCCTCCGTCAGAAAGAAAGAGAAGGCGGGGGGGGGGGAGGGAGAGAGAGAGGGAAGGAGAAAGAAGAGAAAAGAGAAGGGAGGAGAAGGGAGGGGAAGGGAGGGGAGGGGAGGAGAGGACAAGAAAAGAAAAGAAAAGAAAAGAAAAGAAAAGAAAAGAAAAGAAAAGAAAAGAAAAGAAAAGAAAAGAAAAGAAAAAGAAAAGAAAAAAAATCCGCTATTGTTCCTCACAGTAATCCACTAACAGTGGCAGTCCTGTTCCTTGGGGAAGCCTCATATAGATTACAGATTCCCTCATTCTTCCTACCACTTGAGGAAGAGCAAGCTGATGAGCCAGAAGATGTGTGATCATGCTCTCATGCCCTTTTCTCCCAGAGGTAAGGTATATTTAGTGACATTCTGTTGTTATTACTATAGTAAGAAATCTCTTCGCAAAGTATTTGATAATTTAAAATTGTAAACTAAAACCACTTCATATTCATTGTCTTAATCACCATAAGAATCTCAAGATGAAGATGTGGCAAGTAAAACTATAAGAGGTTAAATAACATACAAGCTCATAATCTTCATAAAGAAAGCTGAGAGTAAAACCCATGTCAGCTGACCACTAACCCAAGTTTTCTTTTCACAGCGGTAAAAGACCAACATAAATAAACAGAAATACTATTTCTAAAGAGTTTATCTGGAGCTCTTTAGAGTAAATCTGAATATCATCAGTTTTAAGAGACAGAGTCTCACTTTGTCACTCAGGCTGGAGTGCACTGGTGCAATCAGATCTCACTGCAGCCTCAAGCTCCTGGGCTCAAGCCATCCTCCTGCCTCAGCCTCCCAAGTAGCTGGGACTACAAATGTGCACCACCATGCCCAGCTTATTTAAAAAATTCTTATAAGATGGAGTTTCACCATGTTGCCCAGGTTGCTCTTGAACTCTTAGCCTCAAGAAATTATTCCATCTCAGCCTCCCAAAGTACTGGGATTACAGGCATGAGCCACCATTCTCAGCCCTTGATTTGGATCTTAATGATTTGTTTTGTTGTTGTTGCCTGGCTGTTTTTGAAACTTTTCAGATAAAATTTAAGTAGGCACCGCTAAGATAGACCTAGATATAGTGGCATCATTTCAAGGAAGCTTAAGGGCTGACTACACATGCTACATTAGCCACTACAAACTTTAAACATTTTGAATAATCAAATATCTTTCTGCTCCTTAGATTTTTTTTTTTTTTTTTTTTTTTTTGAGATAGAGTTTCGCTCTTGTTACCCAGACTTGAGTGCAATGGTGCAATCTCAGCTCACCGCAACCTCTGCCTCCTGGGTTCAAGCGATCCTCCTACCTCAGCCTCCCAAGTAGCTGGGATTACAGGCATGTGCCACCATGCCCAGTTAACTTTCTGTTTTTAGTAGAGACAGGGTTTACTCCATGTTGGTCTGGCTGGTCTTGAACTCTCAACCTCAGGTGATCCACCCGCCTCAGCCTCCCAAAGTGCTGGGATTACAGGTGTCGTGAGCCACTGCACCCAGCCTTTAGTTTAATTCTTCATCTTGTGTAGTATGAAAGATTATTGTTTCACTTTATGAAGATGTGAGAATGAGCAAATATGTTTTCTTCATCCCAAGAGGCCCCTTGTTTATGGTAAAAAAACAAAAAATATATTTCTATTACCATTCTACAAGCTGGTAGATACCACTTTACCACCTGCCTAACAGATCTAGCCAGCCCAACAGGGAGAAGATGGTACTGTATACACCAATGTAAAGGAGCAAAATAAGAGATTCACTGAAGAGACTTGCTGCACTAAGGCAAATACAGACATCTTAGGAAACAGTGCTGTAAGCAATTATATACTAGCTATATCCTGTATTTTTCTTTAAACCATTTCTCATTCTTAGACATAAGATCAAGAAAAGTGAGGGTGACAAAAAAAATAGAGCTTCAACTAAACCTTGAAAAAATAACACTTGCATATACACGGTATGAGAAAATGGTGGAGGAATGAACAAAACACATTGCAGGCTGAGATAATGACTAGAGTAGATGCAAAAACAAGAAATACATTAAGTATATAGGTTGAGGCCAGGTGTGCTGGCTCACGCCTGTAATACCAGCACTTTCAGAGGCAGGGATGGGAGGATCCCTTGAGTCAGGGAGTTCAAGACCAGCCTGGGCAACATAGTGAGACCACCATCTCTAATTTAAAAAAAAAAATTAAATGTAGGCCAGGCGCAGTGGCTCACGCCTATAATCCCAGCACTTTGGGAGGTCAAGGCAGGTGGATCACTTGAGGTCAGGAGTTTAAGACCAGCCTGGACAACATAGTGAAACCACGTCTCTACTAAAAATACAAAAATTAGCCGGATGTGGTCTCACAAACATTTTGTACCAGTAGCTCAGGTTCACTGCGGAGAAGCTGGACTGAATGATGACTGCAAGATTTTTTTACTCCTTGACAACTGTTCTAATTATCCTTCAGCTGAAATTCTCATTACAGGCATGCACCTGTAGTCCCTGTAGTCCCAGCTACTTGAGAGGCTGAGGCAGGAGAAATGCTTGAACCCAGGAGGCGGAGGTTGCAGTGAGCTGAGATAGCGCCACTGCACTCCAGCCTGGGTGACAGAGTGAGACTTCATTTCAATAAATAAATAATAAGTAAATTACACATATATAGGTTGGGCATCCCTAATCTGAAAATCTGATGTCTGAGCACCAAAATGACACCACATGTGGGAATTTCCACACCTGACCTCATGTGACAATTCACAGACAAAATGCAGGCATACAAACACACAGTTTATTCAGCAACCCTGAGGGAAAAAAAGACCCTCTCAGCCCCCTTTAGCTGCAATATATCTTTTCTGAATACGCCCAGATTACCCCACACATGTGTGCACATAAAGTTGGCCAAAATGGCACATACACAGGCAGGACATGACAATGGCAGGCTCCACATGGAGCCAAGACCTATGTGCATTGCTCACTGTGTGTGTGTGGTTTTTTGTTTTTTTACTTATTCTCTGCTCTGTGGTGTAAAGATACTATTGAAAATGTCAAAAAGTCCTTCAGATATTCCTACGGGTAACGGTTATTAAAAAGAGAGAAGGCATTTATGTTTATATCACAGAAAGTCAAGTTGTTAGAGAAACTGGAGAGCAGTGTAACTGTAACATGTCTTACAAAACAGTATGGTGCTGGCATGACCACCATATATTAATATAACGTGAAGAAACAAAAGGATAGGCCAGGCGCAGTGGCTCACCCCTGTAATCCCAGCACTTTGGGAGGCCAAGGCAGGTGGATCATCTGAGGTCAGGAGTTTGAGACTAGCCTGGCCAACATGGTGAAGCTCCATCTCTACTAAAAATACAAAAATTGGCTGGGCGTGGTGGCAGGCACCTGAAATCCCAGCTACTTGGGAGGCTGAGGCAGGAGAATCGCTTGAACCCAGGAGATGGAGGTTGCAGTGAGTTGAAATCGCGCCACTGCACTCCAGCCTGGGCGAAAAGAGCAAGACTCCATCTTAAAAAAAAAGTAGAAGAAACAAAAGACAGTTAGTTACATGCTGAAATTCATAAACAGAAGTTAGTGAGAAATGCTGTACAAAGCTAAAAATGAAGATTTCAACTGTGTATTAAAAGAATGAATCCAACAGTGTCACAGTGAACAAATGCCACTTAATGGTATTCTGATCATGACACAAGCAAATATCCATCCGGATGAGCTGAAAAACTGAAGGGAACTATAAATACTCAATAGGTGGGTTGCACAAATTTATGAAAAGGCACAGCATTGCATTTTTAAAGGTTTATGGTGATAAAGCATCTGCTGATCATGAAGCAGTACAGAAATTCATTGACAAATTTGCCAAGGTCATTGCTTATGAAAATGTGACGCCAGAACAAATCTATAATACTGATGAAACATCAATGTTGTGGCGTTACTGCCCTAGAAAGACACTGACTACAGCTGATGAGACAGCCTCTACAGGCATTAAGGATGCCAAGGACAGAATAACTGTGTTGGGATACGTTAATACAATATGCATACATAAATGTACACTTCCTATGACAGGCAAAAACTTGTGTCCTCCCTGTTTTCGAGGAGTGAATTTCTTACCAGCCCATATTAAGCTAATGAAAAGGAATGGGACATCTTTTTTGAATGGTTTCACAAACATTCTCTACCAGTAGCTCATGTTCACTGCAGAGAAGCTGGACAGAATGATGACTGCAAGATTTTCTTATTCCTTCAACTGTTCTAATTATCCTTCAGCTGAAATTCTCATTAAAAATAATGTTCGTGTCATGTACTTTCCCCCAAATGTGACTTCATTAATTCAGCCATGCGACCAGGGTATCTTTAGATCAATAACGAGTAAATATTAACACACGTTCTTGAACGACATGCTAACAGCAGTAAAACAGAACTGTAGGTGTGGAAGGTTTTCAAAAAAGGTGAAGATGCCACATACGCTGTTGCCAACGCTTTGGACACAGTTACTAATGATGCAGTTATGTGTGCCTGTAACTATATTCAGTGATGATGGTGAACAAATGGTGACTTGTAACTATATTCAGTGATGATGGTGAACAAATGGTGACTTTGAAGAATTCTGTGTGTCAAGTGAGAAAAAAGTTTCCAACCTTCTTACATATGCAAAACAAATTCCATCACTGTCCATCAGTAAGCTAAAGGAAGTAGATAACGAAGACGACTTTGACACTGATAATGATATTCCAATTGTTCATTCATTAACCAATAGTGAAATAGCCAAAATGGTTCTGAGTCAAAGTGATTATAATAAGTGACAATGAAGATGACATTGTTAAACACTGCAGGAAAAAGTGCCTATGCATGACATGGTAAAAATGTGTGATGGGCTTACTGAAGGACTAAAGCATTGTGCATTCATAACAGAACAAGAAATCATGTCAGTTTATAAAATCAAAGAGAGACCTCTAAGACAAAAACCATTGTTAATGAGGCAGATGACACTGGGGAAAACATTTTAAAAAGCCATCTAGCAGAATACCTCCTCATCACTAGAGGACCCACTTCCTGGTCCTCAAATGCTTCTAAGCTTTCTTCTCACCTAAAAGAAATACAATGTACAGTAACCTTTTAATCAAAACACAGCATCAGAGGTGGAGACTGAAAGCCTGTTGTCTGTTCTTGCTGTTAATATCTGATACAGGTATTCTGGTAATGCTACTGTGCTGATTAGTTACAGTGAACACATTATTTCTTCACTGTACTAATGATATTTCATATTTTTACTGTTCAGTAGTTTTGTGTGAATAAATATAAGAAAATGATTACTTATCAATAGCATATAATTTCAGATTCAAAAATGGTGATAACCATGACTGTCCACATGGGTGGCTGCAATAGTGATAATTTTGCTTTCTAATGTACACAACTTTGTTTAATGCACACCATTATTTAAAATATTATTTAAAATTACCTTCAGGTTATGTATATAAGGTGTATACAAAATATAAACAAATTTTGTGTTTAGACTTGGGTCACCTCCCCAAGATATCTCAAGTATATGAAAATATTCTAAAACCTGAAAAAATCCAAAATCCAAAACACTTCCAGCCCCAAGCATTGTGGATAAGGATACTCAACCTGCATTAAAAAAATAACTGATTTTGGCCAGGCACAGTGGCTCGCGTCTGCAATCCCAGAACTTTGGGAGGCCAAGATAGGCAGACCGCTTGAGCTCAGGAATTAAAGACCAGCCTGGACAACATGGCGAAACCCTGTCTCTACAAAAAATTTTTTTAAAAATTGGCTGGGCATGGTGGCACACACCTGTAGTCCCAGCTCCTCGGGAGGCTGAGGCAGGAGAATTGCTTGAGCCCAGAAAGTGGAGGACACAGTGAGCCAAGATCATACCATTACATTTCAGCCTGGGTGACAAGAGTGAAACTCCATCTCAAAAAAAAAACAAAAAAAAAAACAGATTTTAATGTATGCTAACACATGGACTAATGAAGTACATATAGCCTAGGTTGGCTGGTGACTTCATTTGTTTTTCTGGTATCATTAATAAAGCACATACACATACAGACAATATATACATAAAAAGATTTTGTTAATATATATACCTTACATCGCTGCTTCTACTCTAATCATCTTAGCTTGAATGTAAAATATGAAACTAAAGTACAGTCATATGCTGAATAATGACATTTCAGTCAACAACGGACCACATATGAAGGCAGTGCCATAAAATTACAATGGAGCTGAAAAATTCCTATCTGGTGACACTGCACAGCCATTATAACACTGTACTGCAATTATTTTTAAAAAAAATTAATTTAGTGGGCCAGGCGTAATGGCTCACAACTATAATCCCATAACTTTGGGAGGCTGAGGTGGGTAGATCACTGGAGCTCAGCAGTTCAAGACCGGCCTGGGTAATGTGGCAAAACCCTATCTCTACAAAAATTACAAAAATTAGCCAGGTGTGGTGGTGTGTGCCTGTACTCCCAGCTACTTGGGAGGCTGAGGTGGGAGGATCACTTGGGCCTGGGAGGTCAAGCATGCAGTGAGCCAAGACAGCAACACTACACTCCAGCCCGGGCAGCAGATAGAGACCCTGTCTCAAGAAACAAAACCAAACAAAACAAATATAGGATAGCCTAGGTATACAGCATTTATAAAGTCTACGGTAGTGTACAGTAACATTCTAGGCCTTCACATTCTCTTCCCACTCATTCACTGACATGCCTACAGCAACTTCCAGTCTTGCAAGCTCCATTCATGGTAAGTAACCTGTATAGTATTTCCTTTACCTTTTATATCATATTTTTTTGTACCTTTTCTATGTTTAGATACACAAAAACTTACCATTGTGTTACAATTGCCTAAAATATTCAGTACAGTAACATGCTACACAGGTTTGTAGCCTCAGAACAACAGGCCATACCATATAGCCTAAGTATATAGTAGGCAAACCATCTTGGTTTGTGTAAGAACACTCTGTGGTGTTTACACAGCAAAGAAATCACCTAAGGACACATTTCTCAGAATGTATCCCCTCCATTAAGTGATGCATGGCTATTCGTAAAAGAGAACTGAAAAAAACCTTTGTGATCACAGCAATGAGTTCTTAGGTATGACACCAAAATCTGACCCATGAAAGAAATAAAAACATAAACTTCATGATAATTAAGATCTTTTGCTACAGACTGGTAGAAGGCCATGTATCTGAAAGAGGACATACATTCAAAGTTGAAAAGAAACCATTACAACTTAAAAATAAGAAAAACAACAAAAAATGATTTAAACAAGCATGTCTCCAAAAAAAAAATAGACGGTAAAAAAGTTCACCAATAGTATTCAATACCTATTACCACAAGGGGAAAAAAAATTAAATCAATGCTGTACCACTACATATCTAACAGTATGCCTATAAAAAATAAAAGTCAACCCTAGTAATACCAAGTTCTGGTGAGGATGCAGATCAACTGGAACTCTCAAACATTTCAAGTGGGAATTAAACATAGTACAGCTACTCTGGAAAATAGTTTGGCAGCTGCTATTTATAAAATTAAATATATTCTTACCATACAATCCAGCAATACCCCTCCTAGATATCTGCCCAAATAAAATAAAAATGTATGTTCACACAAAAATCTGTATATGTATGTTTTTAGGAGCATGATTCAAAATCACTCAAAAGTAGAATGGGTATCTGTTAGCGGGTGAATGGATAATCTAACTGTGGTATATCCATACAACAGAATACTCATTAATAAAAGGAACAAACTGGCTGGGTGCAGTGGCTAACGCCTGTAATCCCAATACTTTGTGAGGCCGAGGTGGGCGGATCACCTGAGGTCAGGAGTTCAAGACCAGCCTGGCCAACATGGTGAAACCCTGTCTCTACTAAAGATACAAAAATTAGCCGGGCGTGGTGGCAGGCACCTGTAATCCCAGCTACTCGGGAAGCTAAGGAAGGAGAATCGCTTGAACCCAGGAGGCGGGAGGTTGCAGTGAGCCAAGATTGTGCCATTGCACTGCAGCCTGGGGAACAAGAGTGAGACTTTGTCTCAAAAAAAAAAAAAAAAACAAAAAAAAGGAACAAACTACCAATCTATGGAACAGCATAAATGAATCTCAAAATTAATGAATGAAAGAAAGAAGCCAGCTTTGAAAGGTTATATACTTTATCATTACATTTATACAATGATCTGAAAAATGCAGAAACTAGCCAGAGGTTAGGAGTAGGGAGACAACTACAAGGGGGCAGCACAGGAAAATTTTTAAGGTAAGAGAACTATTTTGTATCTTGATTGTGGCAGTGGTTACCTGAGTCTATGAATTTGCCCAAACTCAAAAAATTGTACATGGTAAAATAAATGAATTTTAGTGTACACACATTTTTATAAAACCAGTAATTTTTTTTTCCAGAAATCATACTCAAGTACTAAGTAAAGCACGGTCTTTAACTCAGTACTAATTAAAGGAGACAGGGAAAAAGGTACATACGGAATAAAAGGAAACAGACCCAACTCTTAACCGTGGTTAACTTTAAAAAAAATTAAAGATGATTTATTTTACTCCTTACGACTTTCTGTGTTTTTCACAAATCATGCAGCAGATATTTTTAAATCTTATAATCAGTAAATGGGGTCTCACTATCTTGCCCAGGCTGGAATGCAGTGGTGCAATTATAGAACACTACAGCCTTGAACTCCTGGCCTCAAGAGATTCTCCTAACTTAGTCACCCAAGTAGCTGGGACTACAGCTGTGTGCTACTCTGCCCACTGGGAAATGAATCATTTTTTTAAAGTGTGATTAGATACTACAAGATACAGAGATTTCTCTGAGTAGCTGAGAAGCAACTAAAATAAAGCCATGAAAAGGGGAAACATAAGATAAATGAAGAGGAGGCTCTAAAGCCTATGAGTGACACTAGTTTTGTTAAATCAAAATCTGGCCTGAAACAGCCCTAAAGCATACTTGGGTTCTTATGTATGAACTGCAACCTAACTTATTAGGTAAGCAAATTCTCACTTAGCAATATGCTTCTGTAACAATAGCTAAATCTCAGCCAACCACAGCAGCCATACTTCAACCACTCATGAATAACCAACTGTTCAAACCATGTTCATTTTGCCAAATAAAGCAAATAAACTATAACCAATTCACTTCTGTACCTCATATTTCCATTTTCTATACATCACTTTTCTTTTTCTGTCCGTAAATTCTCTAAGACCATGCAGCAGTACCACAGCCTCTCTGAATCTGCTCTAAGGGCTACCCAATTTGTGAATCATTTTTCCTTGCTCAGTTAAATTGTAAAATTTGTCTGAAAGTTTTTCTTTTAACAGTCTATTGGTCTATCTACTTGGCTACTATTTTTAAGAGACTTATCGTATCATTCAGTGTCATACCATAATTTAGCGCAACTAAAATATCATTTTAAAAGGCAGTTTTAAAGTTCATCTGCTAATGAGTAATACAGTTTTGGGAAAAAGTGAAAGTCCTAAAATTTCAGGACTTAGGTCCCCCTACACCCCCGGCCCTCCATGATACATATTTTCACACCAAAAGTAAAGTTGGCCCCTCAGGGATGACATTTTTAATGAGCTTTTACTATTCTGCAGTATAGAACAAATGAAAAGAATTTTTTTTTTTTTTTTTTTTTGAGACAGAGTCTCACTCTGTCACCCAGGCTGGAGTAGTGTCATGATCTCAGCTCACTGCAACCTCCACCTCCCAAGTTCAAGGAATTCTCCTGTCTCAGCCTCCCAAGTAGCTAAGATTACAGGTACCTGCCACCATGCTTGGCTAATTTTTGTATTTTTGTCAACTCCAACTTTATGCCTCCTTGTAAAAATTTTTCAATAAAGAAATTACGGGCCGGGTGTGGTGGCTCACGCCTGTAATCCCAGCACTTTGGGAGGCCGACGCGGGTGGATCACGAGGTCAGGAGTTCCAGACCAGCCTGCCCAGCATGGTGAAACCCCGACTCTAATAAAAAGACAAAAAAAATTAGCCAGGCATGGTGGCGCACGCCTGTAGTCCCAGCTACTTGGGAGGCTGAGGCAGGAGAATTGTTGAACCCAGCAGGTGGAAGTTGCAGTGAGCCAAGACTGCGCCACTGCACTCCAGCTTGGGCAACAGAGCGAGAGTCCATCTCAAAAAAAAAAAAAAAGAAAGAAAAGAAAAAGAAAAAAAGAAATTACAGGGCAGGCGTAGTGGCTCATGCCTGTAATCCCAGCACTTTGGGAGGCTGAGATGGGTAGATCACCTGAGATCAGGAGTTCAAGACCAGCTTGGCCAACGTGGTGAAACGCCCCCACCCTACTAAAAATACAAAAATCAGCCAGGCGTGGTGTGGGCACCTGTAATCCCAGCTACTCCGGCGGCGGAGGCAGGAGAATCTCTTCAACCCAGGGGGTGGAAGTTGCAGTGAGCTGAGATTGCACCACTGCCCTCCAGCCTAGGCAACAGAGCAAGACTCCATCTCAAAACAAGAGAAATTACCGCTGGGTGCAATAGATCATGCCTATAATCCCAGCATTTTGGAAGGCTAAGGCAGGCAGATCACTTGAGGTCAGGAGTTCGAGATCAGCCTGGACAACATGGTGAAATCCACCTCCACTTACTAAAAATACAAAAATTAGCCAGGTGTGGTGGCGCATGCTTGCAATCCCAGCTACTTGGTGGGAGGATCGCTTGAAACCAGGAGGCAGAGGTTGCAGTGAGCTGGGATCGCGCCATTGTACTCCAGCCTGGGGGACAGAGCGAGACTTCATCTCAAAAAAAAAAAAAAAAAGGCATTCAAATGTCATCAAGACATCAAAAAGTCCTGGCATTTGACCAGGGCAGATATCTTAAGCAGGTATCACTGAGTCAACTCTGAGAATTGATAAAGTCATCTCTCCAATCCATGAGACTATGAAGATATACTGGCTATCTGAACTAAAACTGGCTCTCAGTTTACACCATGACTAACAAGAAAGCTTTACATAATCCAGAGATATGATTCATTTCTACAAATAGTTTACTTGGTTAAATATAATGACATTGGGTCAGGATAGCTTAATCCTAGGTCTGCCATTCACAAACAGTAAATCCATATGCAGGTCGCCTATCTCATGAGTCAAGTCACCTTATCTGCAAAATGGAGATAATAAGGATGTTGTGAAGATTCAGGATGTTGTGATAAATTCATACAAAGGTGACTGATACTGTTTGGATGTCTGTCCTCTCCAAATCTCATATTGAAATTTGATCCCCATTGTTAGAGGTGGGGTCTAATTGGAGGTGTTTGGGTCATGGGGACGTATCCTTTGAATGGCTTGGTGTCCTTTTCAAGATAATGGGTGAGTTCTCACTCTATTAGTTCCCAGGAAAACTGATCACTAAAGAGAGTCTGGGCGGTGGCTCATGCCTGTAATCCCAGCACTTTGGGAGGCCAAGGCGGGTGGATCACCTCAGGTCAGGAGTTTGGGATCAGCCTGGCCAACATGGTGAAACCCCGTCTCTACTAAAAATACAAAAATTAGCCAGGCGTGGTGGCAGGTGCCTGTAATCCTAGCTACTTGGGAGGCAGAGGCAGGAGAATCACTTGAATCCAGAAGTCAGAGGTTGCAGTGAGCTGAGATCACGCCATTGCACTTCAGCCTGGGTGACAGAGTGAGACTCTGTCTCAAAAAAAAAAAAAAAAAAAAAAAAAAGCCTTCCCTCTCCCTATGTGATGCCTGCCCTCCTTTGCCTTCCACTATAAAAGGAAGCTCCCCAAAGCCCTCACCAGAAGCAGATGTTGGCATCATGCTTCTTCTACAGTCTGCACAACCATGAGCCAAAAAAACTTCTTTTCTTTATAAATTACCCAGTCTCAGGTATTCCTTTTACAACAATGCCAAGTGGACTAAGACAGTGTTTTTACACAATGCCTGGTATGGAGCAAAAGTCTGTTAACAGAAGTTATCGATACCAGTTTTGCGTTCTCATACACTCTGTGTCAATGATGTTCAAGATATTGTGCTCTAGCACTTGGGGAGAAGAAAGTAAAAAATATAAATAAGACATAATCAATCCCTGTCCTCAAAGTGCTTATAGAATAGTAGGATAGCCAGGCATGTATTAGCAATAACTGTATCTCAAGGCCTCATGTAAATGTTGAAACTTTTTATAAAAAGCATTAGACTTACAAAGAGGAGTCTCTGATTGCAACCAATGGAATCCTTGAAATGCGGGAACTATATGAGTTACCCTGGATTTTTAGAGATTTAATTAGCAGAAATAGGTGAAAAGGCTTCATAGGTGGGGGAAAAGTATGAATAAAAGAATGGACATGTAAAAACACCTAGTATTTTCCAGAAGCGCTACACAGTTAGGTATAGATAAAATACAGAATTGAGGAAAATAGTGATGAATTTTGTAATACTGTAAATTCACTAAAAGAATAATTGACAGATACCTGACATTACAGATTGATAACTGGTAAAGAGTATCTACATAAATTTTTTAAAACTTTAGGGTTTTTAAAAACTCTTGACATTCTGCCCCATCCTGAAAGCTTGTAACTAAAAAGTAAAGCACTTATTACTTCTATATGACAAGCATCCTACGATGTCATAAAAATTTATACCTATAAAAGAAGACAAAAAGAATAAGATTTTAATATATTATTCACATAAAATGATTTTCTCACTTCTCTATCAATGGAATCTCACAACCAAATACTTTTCTGTAACATCCTTATTACCTCCATTTTGCAGAAAAGGTGACCTGACTCATGAGATAAGTGACTTGTGTGTGGGTTTATTGTTTGTGAGTGGCAGATGTAGGAAAAGCTATTCTCACCCAATATCATTAGATACATACTAAAGGGTTTATGTTTTTTCAGATTTTTAAAATCCTTACCTGATTGATCTATTGTCATGATAATCATACTGCCAATTTTATTGCTGATTAAATACCAACTACTGTTCGAAATAACTTTTTTCATTTTTCAAAGTCAAATAACTTTTGCATAGTAATAGTGCCAAGAAATACTATGAATTCGTTGAAGGATTTTATATAGGTAAACACATTTAAAACTCACAACATTACTATGAAGTTGGTATTATTGTTTTCTCCTTTGTAGAGATATGAAAATAGAATTACAGAGGGAGTTAAGCAGTCACCCATAATTAAACAGCTAGTGAGCTGCAGAACCAACTTTTTTTTTTTTTTTTTTGAGACGGAGTCTCACTCTGTCACCCAGGCTGGAGTGCAGTGGTGCAATCTCAGCTCACTGCAAGCTCTGCCTCCCGGTTTCATGCCATTCTCCTGCCTCAGCCTCCTGAGTAGCTAGGACTACAGGCGCCCGCCACCGTGCCCAGCTAATTTTTTTGTATTTGTTTAGTAGAGACGGGGTTTCACCATGTTAGCCAGGATGGTCTCGATCTCCTGACCTCAAGATCCGCCCACCTTGGCCTCCCAAAGTGCTGGGATTACAGGCGTGAGCCACCGCACCCGGCCCAAAATTTTTATATACATTAAATATTTCTCCCAACTCTGGTGCTGTATTTATGACTAGATATGTAAGCAATCATATTTAATATACATCTATATATATTACATTAACATTTGATATAGATTCTGTTCTTCTCTGAACTGTGCCTTAACAAACAGAAATTTTTCTTTTTTTTTTTTTTTTGAGATGGAGTCTCGCTCTATCACCCAGGCTGGAATGCAGTGGTGAGATCTCGGCCCACTGCAACCTCTGCCTCCCAGGTTCCAGCAATTCTCCTGCCTCAGCCTCCTGAGGAGCTGGGATTACAAGCGCCTGCCACCACGCCCAGCTAATTTTGGTATTTATAGTGGTATTTATATTTGGTATTATTCACAATGTTGGCCAGGCTGGTCTTGAACTCCTGACCTCAGGTGATCCAGCCACCTCGGCCTCCCAAAGTGCTGGGATTAGAGGTGTGAGCCACTGCACCCAGCCTATAACCATTAATACTATAACCAATCATAATCTAACGTGAATAATTCCAATATATGTATTAAATTTGTATAAAACAAGTTTGAGGTCTATTATAATTCCTAGACAACATTAATTTCATTTACTTCAAAACTGGGTCGTATGAAAAAAGCTGGAATGGTATATAGACTTTTCTTCTTTTACCCTGAGAGCATTTGCTGAATGGGGACAAACAAAATCAAGTTTATAGAGCCTTGTGGGGAAACAAAAATAGAACATAAAATCACCCTCTGTTCATGCAAAGAAGACTAACAAGAGACCTACAAAGGGCTAACTACTCATTGGGATAACAGAGTACCAGAAGTAAACCTACCCTAATTCTTTTTACCTTCACAGGTCTGCAAGGAAAGCTAGGTTAGCACCGAGCAAATACGGCTTAAAAAAAAATCCTTGAATGCCGTAACCACAAACCAGTCCCAGTATGAATTCATTCACATCATTTTAGTGATACAAAAAACTTCAAGCTTTCAATTTAATGTAGTCCAAGGCCATCAGTGCCATCTCCCCAGATATACAGCAGACACAACAGCAAATCCTCTCTAGAGAAACCTACCTCCATTCTAGACCTAAATCATTCTCAAAAATCTCCCCTAACCATCTCATCCTAGTAAGGAGGGGCGAGAATAAAAAAATATACACAAGGAAACAAGGTCACATGACTGAGAACCAATGAAGACAGAAAACAAAAAAATTTTAGACATAGGAATTAGCAGATACAGATTAACACAGACTAACTTGAGGTACTTTGTGTTTAACGAAATAAAGGTAAGTTTAGAAATACGTTTAGAAACAAATTAAATGAGCAAGTAAAATTGAAAAAGAACTACACAGAGCTTCTAAAAATAAAAGACTAATAGACATATTTTCAAAAAGCAATGAATTGATAAAAGTTTATTAGATACCAATAAAAAGGATAAGTAAACTGGAAGTCTGGCCAGCCATGGTAGCTCACGCCTGTAATCTCACCCCTTTGGGAGGCCGAGGCAGGTGGATCACTTGAGGCCAGGAGTTAAAAACCAGCATGGCCAAAATGGTGAAACCCCATCTCTACTAAAAATACAAAAATTAGCTGGGCGTGATGACATGCATCTATAATTCCAGCTACTCAGGAGGCTGAGGCATGAGAACCACTTGAACCCAGGAGGTGGAGTTTGCAGTGGGCCAAGATAGAGCCACTGCACTCCAGCTTGGGTGATGGAGTGAGACTCTGTCTCAAAAAAAAAAAAAAAAAAAAAATTTAAACTGGAAGTCAAGTCAGAGGAAATACAGCACAGAGGCAAAGCAATAAAACAGTAAAAATAATATACAGTTGACCGCTGAACAAGAGAGGTTTGAAATGCATAGGTATGCGTAGTTTTTAATAGAACATGGATCAAAAATACAGTGTTCATGGGATGTGAAACCTGTGTATACAGAGGGCTGACTTTTTATGAGTGTGTTCTACGGGGCCAACTTCAGGACTTGAGTATGTGTGGAATTTGGTAAAAGTAGGCTGGTGGTCCTAGAATGCTATTCGGAGTTCCACTAATGGAGGAATGGTATTGTTCACAACACTGAACAAAACCAATCCTGACGACTGTATTCATGGGACATACAGTCTACGAGGAGAGACTGATGGTCATCAAACAACATAAAATATATTACATTTCATGTGTGATAAATGAAGTTAGGAAAATTTATTAAGTACTTTCCTCAATCAAGACCATGGGTGTAGACAGCCCTTTCATGAAGACATAAAGTAATATCTGAACTATGAGTCAAGTTAACTAGGAAAACTTTCTAGGCAGAGAGAACAGTATATGCAATAGAACTAGGCAGAAGAAAATACAGTATTTTTTTGTAAGAACTCAAAGAAACTTACAGCAATAAATTGTGAATAAGATTTGGGAAGGGGTCACGGTAATGATGGTGGTTCATAAGGCTACAAAGGGAAGACCATGCAAGTCTTATAAATGAATATATTTGGTCTATCTACTACTAATGTGAAGATGCTAACAGATTTTATGCAAAGCAGGTGAAACGGTAGATTTTTATTTGGAAATATATTCACAATAATTGACTGCTTCCTTTGGGAACCACAGGTACTTTGGGAATCTTTTTTGTTTTTTGGTTGAGACAGTCTCACTCTATCACCCAGGCTGGAGTGCAGTGGCGTGATCTCGGCTCACTGCAACCTCTTCCTCCCAAGTTCAAGTGATTCTCCTGCCTCAGCCTCCGGAGTAGCTGAGATTACAGGCGCGCACCACCACGCCCAGTTATTTTTAGTAGAGATGGGGTTTAACCATATTGGCCAGGCTGGTCTCGAACTCCTGGCCTCAAGTGATCTGCCCGCCTCAGCCTCCCAAGCGCTGGGATTACAGGTGTGAGCCACCATGCTTGGCCAAGGGAATCCTTGTTTAAATTTATTACTGAGGCTTTTTTTGTCTGTTTGTTTTTGAGATGGAGTCTCGCTTGGTAGCCAGGCTGGAGTGCAGTGGTGCCATCTCAGCTCACTGCAACCTCCGCCTCCCAGGTTCAAGCAATTCTTCTGCCTCAGCCTCCTGGGTAGCTGGAACTACAGGCACACACCACCACACCCAGCTAATTTTTGCATTTTTAGTAAAGACGGGGTTTCACCATGTTGGCCAGGATGGTCTTGATCTGTTGACTTCATGATCTGCCCGCCTTGGCCTCCCAAAGTGCTGGGATTACAGGCATGAGCCACTGCGCCTGGCCCTGAGTTGGTATTTGTATAGTAATCCAGCATTTAACTGCAAAGGTTAAGTACAATATAAATAGTAATCCACAACTTCAACAAATTAAAAAGGTGATCATGAATCAATTGTCCCCACAATTAACAACTCTCTTATCACTAAGAGAAGGGTAGTCACTAGTTTTTAATCTAATGAAATTGTATATTTTTCTTAACCTAAAATTATTCATTTTTATTGTTTGAACATATTGCCTATTTAATTTTTAAGTTTATGAATGTACTGTATTATTTACTGTGTCTAAGTAGCTGAATTTATCTTATTAATCATTTCTTCATTTTAACCAATTTTTCATATTTTTTATTTGTGTAGCTCTCTGGATTTAACAATCTTATCCTTTTTTATTTATTACAACTGAGATGAGCATGCTAAACTTATTTTTACATAAACTTGTATATTTTACTTTTTCTCTAGTTTTAAAAATACCTTTTCTATTTTAATCATCTTTTATATTTACTTTTTTATTATTCAGAGTATTTTCTACCTAAATTTTCTACTGCTTTTTTCTGTTTATATTTATTTTAAAAATTTTAATATATCTGAATTAAAAATAGACAGCAGCTGCGTGTGGTGGCTCATGCCTGTAATCCCAGAACTTTGGGAGGTTGGGGCAGGTGGATTGCTTGAGCTCAGGAATTCAAGAACAGCATGGGCAACATGGTGAGATCCCATATCTACTTTAACAAAAAAAAAAAAAAAAAAAGTCAGGCATGGTGGTGTGCACCTGTGGTCCCAGCTACTTGGGAGGCTGAGGTGGGAGGATCACTGAAGCCTAGGGAGTGGAAGTTGCAGTGAGCCAAGACTGCACTACTGCACTCCAGCCTGGGTGACACAGTGACATCCTGTGTCAGGAAAAGAATAAACAAATAAATAAAGATGGCTTTCAGCACAATGCTGAGTAAGATAGAGATTTTTGTCTTAGAAAAAAAAAAGCAAGTGATTCTCTAATCTCTCTCACTTGTGCTGCCATGTTCCAACTTATCTACTTTTTTTTAAACATTTTGAAATAATCACAGATTCATAAGAAATTGCATTAAAAAACAAAATCAGGGAGGCCCCTGAGGACCCATCACCTGGTTTCAAGATGTTATGCAAAGGTCACATCTTGCATAGTTACAGTATAATTTCAAAACCAAGAAACTGACATTAAGTACAAACCACAAAGCTTATTTCCATTTCACCAGTTTTACATATACTCATTTGTGTGCATATGTGTGCGCATGGCTGTGCAGTTCTATGCAATTTTGTAATGTGCAGATTCATTTAACATCATGACCACAACCATAACAGAGAATTGTTCCATCATCACAAGGATCCCTATTGCCTTCATTTATAAAACTCTTGAAACAGAGCCTAAATTTATTTACATGAGACAGACCAGAAAGCTACTCTTGGAAGAGAAAAAATTGAGCAGTATGTGAAAGAGGGAACAACAGTAAAAAGCTGAGGAGTTGGAAAAGAGAACTTTTCCAGTGACAGCTGTGTGAGAGTTGCTCTTGGTTGGAAAGAAAGATATGCAAAGATGATTTTGTAGAAGTTTTATTCTATGATGTTTTCCCTAGTTACTTATTAAAAAAAAAAAGGTAATGTGTGCTCATGTGCATTTATCTTAGATCATATACAATAATGAGATGGGCGCCCAGTGAGAAAGCAAGCAGGTCCAACTTTATTTGGACTACACAATAATGAGGTTTCAAGGCTAGCTGATTTAAAGCCCAAAGAAACCACAATCGAGCTGAAATAGCAGGCTACTGCATCACTATTTCTCTAAAATAAATTCATCTTGTGTTCCAAAATTACTCATATGTTCTTCAAATAAATTATATTTAAATGAGGACTTCTTGTAGTCCAATGTGAGGAAAAATTAAGCATAAAGACCAATTATATTACATGAAAAATTAAAAGATAGTGTTAGGGTTACACAATCTACATAGCAGCATATGGCAGTGCTACATTACAGTAACAAAAGGGATTGTAAAAGATTTAATCCAGACTCATATGTAACACAACTACCTACATATTACTGACCAATAACTACTTCATCTACTACAAAGTAGAAGACAAACTTTACCTACAAACACAACGTTATGTCTGAATACTAGATATTTTCTGGCATTACTCACTAAAAAGTGGGAGATACAGACACATGAAATACAAATATTTCTAAATCTGTAATGATTTCTTCATCATCAAAGAAAGGACCTCCTTCCTTCACTCTGAAAATGAATTACTTTGAGCTAGTTTACTCCAGACCCTCACTGAAGAACAAAAAAGACCTGAGAAAGCATTCTTTGATTCCTTGAAATCCCTAGTGGACCGGACCCTCAAGGTTAGCACAAGCACCTTCGGGCTTACCAGATTTAGGAGATATTACAATGGTTTGGACTGTTATTTTTCATTGTTCATCCATCTGCCTTTCAACTTTACAATCATAAGATATCAAAATTGCATTTCATTCACAAGGCTGTATATGTATATAAGTTCTCTATTTAGTTTAAAACAACACTTTTGGTAAATATTTATGTTTACCCAGAAAGAAGGAAGCAAAGTGAGGCAGGGAGTAGGAAGGGAAGGCAAGTCTGAGAACATGTAACAATCTGTTAGCTAAGGATACCCCTGGGAAATACAGGAAGAGAAAGAGAGAACATTTTCACTTTTAACTTTATACTATTCACAACTATTCAAACTTCAATATACAGTTGATTCTGACTTTAGCAAGTTAATTAACTACCCTATGCCTGTTTATTCATCTATAAACAAGAATAATAGTGTCTACCTCAAAAGAATAATGTAAAACACTGAGAAAAATATCTGGAACTTGGTATGCCTTCAAAAATGAACTAGTAATAATATATTACTGACATTATATCTTTTTTTTTTTAATGGACTCTCACTCTGTCGCCAGGCTGGAGTGCAGTGGCGCGACCTCAGCTCACCGCAACCTCTGCCTCCTGGGTTCCAGTGATTCTCCTGCCTCAGCCTCCCCAGTAGCTGGGACTATAGATGCGTGCCACCACGCCCATCTATTTTTTCTATTTTTAGTAGAGATGGGATTTCACCATGTTGGCCAGGAATAGTCTCAATCTCTTGACCTCATGGTCACACAAATATATTTTTTCAAATGGTAAATTCAGATGTGTTTGTTTATTTGAGACAGAGTCTCGCTCTGTTGCCCAGGCTGGAGTGCAATGGCACAATACTGGCTCACAGCAACCTACGCCTCCCAGGTTCAAGCGATTCTCCTGACTCAGCTTCCTCAGTAGCTGGGATTACAGGTGTGCGCCACCACACCTGGTTAATTTTTGTATTTTTAGTAGAGACGGGGTTTCACCATGCTGGCCAGGCTAGTCTCGAACTCCCGACCTCAGGTGATCTACCCGCCTCTGCCTCCCAACGTGCTGGGATTACAGGTATGAGCCACCAAGCCCGGCATAAATGTGCTTTAAAAGAGTATCAAAAGATATTTGTATTTATTTTTCATAAAACTCTTCACAATTGCAGTTACCTATTTGTGTCAGACGGCAGAGATTCACAGTATCTACATAATGCTTAGCCAACAGTAAGTATTCAAATATATTTATTGAATGAATGAAATTATCTCCCAACACAGATAGGATGCTGTGTTTAAAATGTCAAAAGACACAGACAGACAGACACACACACACACACACACACACACACACACACACACACAGAGACAAACTCCTTACATAAAAAAGCAAGCACTTTTAGTACCCAAAACAGACTTCCCCTGCCAGCCCCCAAGAACTAAATAAAAAAAAAAAAAACCTCTCAAATTAGAACACATGTAGACGTGGCAACTGTATTTCTGGACAGGAGAAAAATGGAATCAACACCCTTCATATTTAAATGGCTTGCTGTTCTTGGCTGTTTTGAATTACAATAATGAAAAAGTGAAAATCCCAAGTAATTCCAAGTATAACAAAAGAGATGAATAGATATAGGAAATACTTATAATGGAAAGGTCAAGGAATCAAGAAATGATTCCAAACTATCATCTATTTTAGGATACGAAAATTTTTTCACAGATTATAACCAAATAAAACTCACTATGGCTTAAGAAATAGGCAAAACCAGAAAAGTTCTACAACATCATAGAAATCCTGAGAAATCTAAACATTCTGTTAAATTCTAGTAAATGGCAACTAATTGTCATGTTTGGATAAAACAATGAAATATGACATAACAATTTAAGAAATGGGGTAAAAAAAAAAAATCTGAAGATAGATACGGTGGTGTGTACCTGTCGTCCCAGCTACTCACAAGGCAGAGGCCAGGAGTTCTAGTCCAGCCTGGGCAATATAGCAAGATCCTGTCTCTTTAATACGATATAATTAAGATATATCATATATTAGGGTTAGAATAGGGGAAAAACGGAAAAAAGAAAAAATTATGAAAACTCAGTAATATGGTTTTTATTAGGATTTAGATCCTAATAAAATCACAACAAAAACAAGATTTTAAAACAGAAAAAAAGCTGTATAAAAGTTTGAACATATGGCAGTAGAAGAGTGGGGTGGGGTCCCCAGGTAAGTTTCAACGTTAATAGAAGAGAATGCAATACCTCCATAACCCAGGGGCTGTTAAAGGCAGTCTGGAAAGGCGGCCAGTTAAAACTATCTAGTTCAAAATACTACCTTAAGTTCTACAACATACATTCACATTTAAAACAGTTTTGATTAGTAACGATCAGATTGTATCTTGTGGACCCTCCGAAAATGAAGATGACAGAAAATCTAACCATGTTGGACCTTCAAAATAATGACCTCCTTCAATTTCCACCGAAGCATGGTAATTGTGTGAATTTAAGAATATTACTACCAGATAGAAATCCATTTCATATTCTTTGAGCAGCCATACTAATGAAAGGAACACCTGTTATACTAGAATATTTGAGAACCTAAATTCCCATTTAAATTGGAGTTGTTTCATAATCCTAGTAATGTTAATTCTTAGAAAGTAACATTTTGTTTTAGTATCATCTTAGAGATTGCTATTATAATTTCTCACTATTACCTAGCCATTGGTATAACTGGCCTGGGCCATATTCATGGCTACCACCATTTCTACATTCACAACTATTTAACATTTTTCTAAGCTGTTGTGCACATTTATCATGGTAATAACCACATATTATGTTCATACATTTGTTCTGGACGTTTTACAGAGAATTTATCCTACTAACTTTCATTTTCTTAAAACACAGCAGTTTCTTCAAAAGTTAATTTTTGAAAATGTGATCTAATATTTTTATAATGACAAAACATTTTTGTAGAACTGGTTTTATTTCCCTTGTTTCTTTCTGCATTCCACATAATGTGACCAATTTACCTGAATATGACTATCCAATTTCTAACTTCTTATTACATAAAAAATTGAATTTTAATGAATACTTTTCATTACCCATGATAGGAATTTTGTGGTCTCAGTACAAGTTTTAACTTTGTTTTAATCTAGTTGAAATGTTTCTTTTCTAGCTATTGAGTTGGTCGTTTCCTCCTGTTTCATGAAATCATTTTATCAGAGTTACTAATGTCACAGAAATGCTAATCAAAATATAGTTATTGAAGAAAGTACTGAAAGTTGTTATAACTGCTCTTACAATTTAGAATTTAAACTCTTTTTTAAGGATGGCTTGGTATTGTTTCCATATGGTAACCCGGTACTTTTAGATTCAAGAGAATTAAAAAGATTGGATCTGCATATTTTCCTATCAGTCAGTGTAGCATTTAAAAATACCTTTTGTTCCTTAAAAAAAAGGTATGGAAGACCTTATCTTTTCTAAAGATAGCAGACAGAAAACAATAAGGAATACCACAGAGAAATCTTAAAATAGGGAGCAGAATGGCTTGTGTCTGTAATCCCAGCTACTTGAGAGGCTGAGGCAGGAGAATCAATAGAGGCCAACAGTTGAAGACCAGTTTGGGAAACATAGCAAGATCCCCCATCTCTTAAAAAAATTAAAGAAAAAGATTTGCCAGGCATGGTGGTGGTGCATTCTTAGAAGAATGATCCTCTCACCTCAGCCTCCCCAGTAGCCCGCTAAGTCACAGCTACTTGGGAGGCTGAGGTAGAAGCATCACTTGAGCCAAGGAGTTTGAGGTAATAAGGAGCTATAATCATGCCACTGCATTTCAGCCTGAGTGACAGTGAGACCCTGTCTCCGAATAAAAGAAATGAAATCTTAAAATGTACTTTGTTTAAACATGTATTAAGCAGGTATTATATACCTAATCTACTCTGTGGATATGTTTTAATCCAACCTTGTAAGTCTTATTTCCAGCACCTTAATTTTAAAACTTGGCTTGCAATCTTGGTAAGACTAAACTTGCAGTCATGCAGTAATTTCCTAAAAGGATATTTGACAATAGGTATGTTTAATTTAATGAAAATCCAACACAAACATTTTTGTTCATACCAAAATGATTAGAAATCACTAATTAGAATTCTTACCAGATAGGCAGGTAGACAGTTTTTGGATAATGATGGCATGCTTATATTATAAAAAAATTACTGTTAATAAAGATAAATATTACATACCACAAAAGTTACATGTTTCAAATATATTTAAACCTGATTTTAAAAGTATAGTTTCTTTTTTTATTTTTGAGACAGAGTCTCACTCTGTCACCTAGGCTAGAGCACAGTGGTGAGATCTTGGCTCACAGCAACCTCTGCCTCCTGGGATCAAGCGATTCTCCTGCCTCAGCCTCCCAGGTAGCTGGGATTACATGCGTGAGCCACCGAGCCCGGCCTAAAAAGTATAGTTTCCATTAAATACTTTCAATTGTTTTCCATTATCTTCGTCATTACAAATGAACAGTTTCAAATATTAACTTTGGCTGGTAGCTTAAAACTACAATTTTTAAATTTATTTTTGAATAACTAAATTTTCTAATTTTAAACTTAAGTGAGTTATTTTAATGTTTTAAGAAATAAATAACTAGGCCAGGTGCAGTATCTCACATCTGTAATCCCGGCACTTTGGGAGGACAAGCTGGGCACATCACCTGAGGTCAGGAGTTCGAGACCAGCCTGGCCAACATGGCGAAACCCTGTCTCTACTAAAAATACAAAAATTAGCCAGACATGGTGGCGCATGCCCGTAATCCCAGCTACTTGGGAGGCTGAGGCAGAAGAATCATTTGAACCCAGGAGGCGGAGGTTGCAGTGAGCTGAGATTGCGCCATTGCACTCCAGTCTGGACAAAAAGAGCAAGACTCCGTCTCAATAAATAAGTAAGTACATAAACAAATGAACAACTTGATACTTGTATACCTAGAACTTGGTATACATCAAATACTAAAAAGAAAGAAAAGTCAGATAAAAAGCAGAAGTGTCTCTGGGGTTTGACAAATAGTTCAATTGAAAGCAATTAAAATTAAAAATCAGCTTCCTCTCAATTTTATTTACAGCATGTCTTAAGTTAAGGACTCAGTAAGAATAACCTACTCCAGAGGCTGCAGTGAGCTGAGACTGTGCCGCTGGACTCCAGCCTGGGCAACAGAACAATACTGTCTCAACTAAAAAAAAAAAAAAAAAAAAAAAAAAAAGAAAAAGAATATCCTACTCCTCAATTTCATACACTTAAGAAATATGGAAAGCAAAGTCCAAAATTATAGAGCAGAAAAAATTTAAATCTACTTTTAAATGTACTTAATTTTGGAAAACAATTTAAGAGGATATTTAGAATAATGGTTCACTTCCTTTTTTCATGCAACTTCAGAAATACTGGCTTTTTAAAAATCACTAGTTTGGGCCAAGCACAGTGGTTCACACCTGTAATCCCAGCACTTTGGGAGGCCGAGGCGGGTGGATCACCTGAGGTCAGGAGTTCCGAGACCAGCCTGGCCAACATGGCAAAACCCCATTGCTACTAAAAATACAAAAATTGGCCGGGCATAGTGGCACATGTCTGTAATCCCAGCTACTAGGGGTGCTGAGGCAGGAGGATCACTCGAACCTGGGAGGCGGAGGCTACAGTGAGCCAAAATCATGACACTGCACTCCAGCACGCGCAACAGAGTGAGACTGCATCTCTAAAAAAAAAAAAAAAAATCACTAGTTTGAAAGAAGTGTTTACCAATAAAATCAAGAAATTCCTTTTAATTCATAACTAAAGTGTCTTTTATTCATTATCTACTCAACAGCTAATAGTATCAGGTATTCAGCCTCTACTGAATAACTTTAAGTGCACAATTCTTGCCATCAGATAGGCAAAAACTTAGTTGTAAATCACAATAGTTTAAATAGTTCAGTTACACATATATATATTTATTTATATATATATTTATTTATTTTTTAAGACAGGGTCTCACTCTTTTGCCCAAGCTGGGGTGCAGTGGCACAATGACAGCTCACTGCAGCCTTGGCCTCCAAGGCTGAAATGATCCTCCCGCCTCAGCCTCCCAAGTAGCTGGGACTACAGGTGGGCACCACCACACCTGGCTAATTTTTGTATTTTTTAGTACAGGTATGGTTTCACTATGTTACTTGGGCTAGTCTCGAACTCCTGGGCTCAAGCAATCTGCCTGCCTTGGACTCTCAAAATGCTGGGATTACAGGCATGAGCCATCATGCCTGGCCTAGTATATTGTATTTATATATAATTCCTAAAATATGATCAGTGCTTAGAAGACTGAGGATCCCTGACTAAGCATTCATAATTAAGCATGAGGCACTAAAAAGCTATTGAAAAACACTTTGTGAGTGAGAGTGGCTTGGTGAGTATTACTGTAGGGCACTTATTACCAGTATTTATTATTGTTCTTTTCTCAGGGACCTTCACTTTCCCTGAGGTAACAATCCTCTAATCATTTCAGGGGGGACGTAACTGGTTGACATGAAATAAATGGGGCTGAAAGAACCACTTAGAAAAAGGATTTTCATTTAATGCACTTGTCCTATCAGAAATTCTGATGGGCCAAATGTCCTTAAAGCCAGAACCTCTACTGTTCATATTCTTGAGAGAATGTACTGTAAGTGGTGAAGAGGTTAGCTTGCCAACTGTGAGAAGTATGAAGAAAGCACTGGGAGTCTACTTCTCTTCATACAATTCTTTTTTTTTTTTTTTTTTTTTTTCCTGATGGAGTCTCGCTCTGTCGTCCAGGCTGGAGTGCAGCGGTACAATCTTGGCTCACTGCAACCTCTGCCTCCCGGGTTCAAGCAATTCTCTTGCCTCAGCCTCCCGAGTAGCTGGGATTAGAGATGCATGCCGCCATGCCTGGCTAATTTTTTGTTTTTGGTAGAGATGGGGTTTCACAATGTTGCCCAGGCTGGCTGAGAACTCATGAGTTCAGGGAATCCGCCCACCTTGGCCTCCCAAAGTGCTGGGATTACAGGCGTGAGCCACCACGCCTAACCCATACAATTTTTCGATCAATTCCTGCATTATCAGTTCCCACCATCACTTCTACCATGCAAAGCATCTGGGGCTTTGATTTTGAACCTTTCTAAAATCTGCTAGCATTCCCCTCTGATGACATTTAGATTTCAGGTTTTTCTTTTTATGAGACAGGGTCTCACTCTGTCACCCATGCTGGAGTGCAGTGATGGCTCACTGTAATCTCTACTTCCCAGACTCAAGTGATCCTCCCCCTCTGGCCCCAGCCTCTCCCGGGTAGCTGGGACTATAGGTACACGCCACCATGCCTGGCTAATTTTTTTTTTTTTTTTTTTTGAGACAGAGTCTCACTCTGTTGCCCAAGCTGTAGTGCAGTGGCATGATCTCAGCTCACTACAGCCTCCACCTCCCGGGTACAAGCAATTCTCTTGCCTCAGCCTCCTGAGTAGCTGGGATTACAGTAATGCGCCACCATTCTTGGCTAATTTTTGTATATATTTTTTTTTACGTAGAGACTGGGTTTCACCATATTAGCCAGGCTGGTCCTCAACTCCTGACCTTAGGTGATCCGCCCACCTTGGCCTCCCAAAGTGCCGGGATTACAGGTGTGAGCCACTGCGCCCAGACTGTCTGGTTAATTTTTAACTTTTATGTACAGATGAGGACTTACTATGTTGCCCAGGCTGGTCTTCAACTTCTGGGCTCAAGCGGTTCTCCCACCTTGGCCTCCCAAAGTGCTGGGATTGGAGTGGGCAAGGGGTCAAAACAAAAACCTAGTGCTGAGATTACAGGCGTGAAGCCTGGCCCAGTTTTCTTTAATCCTGTTAAATTGGTCACTAATTGACACCCACTCCCTACATTCTAAAAATGTATTTCTATCTTGTGACCATTATCTCTTACTGTTCATCCTTTTTTTGTTGTTGCTATCTTGGTGCGATTTTGGAGGAAGCAAAGATAAGCAGGTTTTTTGTTTGTTTTTTGAGACAGGCTCTCACTCTGTTGTCCAGGCTGGATCACAGCTCACTGCAGCCTCAAACTCTTGGGCTCAAGAAATCCTCCCACCTCAGCCTTCTAAGGAGCTGGGACTACAGGAAGGCACCACTACACCTGGCTAATTTTTTGTATTTTTTGTAGAGATGGGGTTTCACCATATTGCTCAGGCTGGTCTCGAACTCTTGGACTCAAGTGATTTGCCTGCCTCAGCTTCCCTAAGTGCTGGGAGTACAGGCCACCTCACACGTGGCCGAGCACATGTTTTACCAGACAAATTTATCCAAGTCTCACCTAGATCAAACAAAGGGATGAATTACAGGATAATGTGCTAGCTGCTCTCAAATCCCACCATACTACAGCTATAGCAACCTACTTAAAATACAAAATTGATGATTTAATCCAGATAATTTTGGTTCCATGGCTTTCCATTCCCTACAGGAGGAATATTTCCAAAATTCTATTGTAACACAAGACCCTTTATGATTTGATCACCGCTTACTCCACTCCATCACAATTATTCTACCTATGCCAGCTTGGCACAAGACCTTGGGATTTCCCAATCAGGACCTGTTTTCTCATACAACGCCTTCCAACCTTTTTGGATCAGAAAATGCCAATTCAGCATTTAAAATCATAGCAAGCCTCATCCTCCTCTGTATCACTTTTCCTTAGCCAAGCCAGGCACTTCCTCTTCATTTGTCCCATTTTTATAAACTTTTATTCTATAACTGAATGTTTCATTTTCCACTTGTACATCTGTCTCCTTACTCTCTATACCTCCTGAACACAAAAATTTTAGTTTATTCTCATTTATATCTCCAAATCTTAAATTGTCTGATCAGAAGTAAACTAAAATAAAAATTAGGTTGTTTTCCTTTTAAGACTTTTCCTGAAACTAGGTTGATCAAAAAATACAAATGTTTTTCCATGATTATTCTCAGTAAGATTCAGTAATTCAGGCCAGGTGCAGTGGCTCAAGCCTGTAATCTCAGCATTTTGGGAGGCTGAGGCAGGTGGATCACGAGGTCAGGAGTTCAAGATTCAATAATTGGCAAGGTATAAGCTCCACTAGAGGAGAAAAAAAAGTATTATGCTAAAGATGGACTATTTGGGTTCCATTTTCACTCTCAGTTGTGCTACTAATTAAAATGAAAATGTAAACAAATCAATTAACATGATTATCCCAGACCTTTCTTTTCTTACTGGAAAAAAGAGGGCATTAAACTGGATGATGACAATAACACCATAACTACAAGCTTTTATAAAAGTCCTTTATATACAGTGTTAATACAGTGAAAGATCAACCTTATTGAAAGAGGTCTGGCTTCTGCCCTCAGCTACTGGGAAACAATCACTAGGCCTCTGGCATGTCTTGGCTGATACGAGTGTTTTTGTTCGTCTGGGGGCTTTGGCCACTGGACTATCTAAAAATGTGATTTACAATGGGAAGTACCCAGAAGAATTCCATAATGAAATGGGAATGGTCTGTGCAGGAAAATGCTACCAAAGGAACATATCATTATAATGAGCACATAGACCCTACTATATAACAGCACACAGTATGGCTTTGGGCCACAAAGTAATAGCTGTGACCTCCAGAGAAAGGAATAACTAAAGGTAATAGTTTGACATTCTGGAAGCAGCAGGAGACTAAAGGTCAGCCATGTGGGTGGTATGTGATCAAATCCCAATACAAACAATGATCACCAAAGGCTTTGCTGAGATTCCCTGTTTGACAATATTCTGTGAGTACTGTCATACACTGTGATTGAAATGAGCTAATGTTGTCTATGATACCACAGAGAGAGGGCAATCAGAAACTCTACATTTGGACTCCTCCTGGATTCTGCACCCTATGTCTCTCTTCCCTTGGCTGATTTTAATGTGTATCATTTCTACGTAACAAACTATAGCCATGAATATAATGAGTTCTGTGAGTTCTTCTAGCAAATTATCAAACCTGAGGTTGGTTTTGGAATCCCTCAAGCTTGCAGCAATGGTATCGGAAGTGGGCACAAGAATGACATTAACTTGCTGAAGCTGACTCACTGAATGAAGAGAAAGAATGAGGGATGACAAACCTTTGTTTCCTGGATGGTTACAAGGCCACTCATGGTATAAAACTATAGCTGTGCTATAATCATTTAATGGAGGTAAACATTACCAGTGGAATTTACAAATAATAGCTCCAACTACAGCTGTATTACAATCAATTAGTAGAAATAAAAGTTACCAGTGGGACTGAGAAATGATGGATCCAACTCCTGGGTGCCTGGGTCACTGGATACATAAGAAAATGTTACATAAACAATAAATAAAGTTACTATATAATCCCTTGATTATTGTTACCTGGAATAGCGAAACAGAAACGCAAATCCTAATGCTGGGCCAAGCCTGGTTTTTGGCCAGATCCAGTTATAGCCAGTAGTCACAGACCCACTGCCATATGTAAAAGTCTTACCAAAATAACAGGCAATAAAGATTCATAAGACAATGGAGAAAAAGAAAGAGGAGATTCAAGAGACTAGTCCCAGCTGGGTGTAAATCTTTAAACAGTTATTGAGAAATGGGATAAAATATTGAAGCCAAAACAAAGGTCACACTGCAGCACTCTCAGAGGTTGAGTGGACCAATGAGCCCCTGCTGGTCTCCTTCCATTAAAGAGCCCTAAACAAATCTGCTTTATTCACCCTAGTTTTTTTTTGTTTTTGTTTTTGTTTTGTTGTTGTTTGTTTTGAGATAGAGTTTCATTCTTATTGCCCAGGCTGGGGTGCAATGGCATATCAGTTCACCGCAACCTCCACCTTCCAGGTTCGAGCAATTCTCCTGCCTCAGCCTCCCGAGTAGCTAGGATTACAGGCATGCGCCACCATGCCTGGCTAATTTTGTACTTTTAGGAGAGATGGGGTTTCTCCATGTTGGTCGGGCTGGTCTCAAACTCTCAACCTCAGGTGATCTGCCAGCCTCGGCCTCCCAAAGTGCTGGGATTACAGGAGTGAGCTACTGTACCCGGCAATTCACCCTAGTTTGAGGAAACTTTAAAAACTGGAAGGCAAAAATGACTAAGAAAAATCTAACTTCAACTTGCCTAAGCCAATGCTTAGATAAGGCCTGAAGAGAAGACCTAGATTCCTTGCTAGTCCCTAGCTGGGGACCCAGAGTCAAATGCTTTTAAATGGATAAAATAGTTAAGCATAGAGATGTTTCCACGAGAGACCCATGCACAGAACTTACAAATCTGTTGGTGAAGTCCTAACAGGAGCTACAGTTATACTGGAAAGACATAACAACACAAGAGTTTATGGATCAAGGTAAAACTCTGGATTAAAATAAGAATGTCTGAATGTACTTTATGTACAGTAGTGTGTCTCCTTCACCTGAATGCATTATGGAGATATTTATTACGTCTGACTGGCGAATGTTTCCCCTACTTAAACAGAATACATATAAATCTTCCTATCAGGCAATATTTATAGGACATGCTAATTGAAAGCCAGTGAAAATGCCTGAGCCCATCCAAATTAATTTCAAATAGTACAGAATAGAAGCTGGGCAAATTCTTTATACAACAGTCCTGTGTGGAGCACAAGACTGGAGCTTATAGGAAAACCATCAGGATTCTGGACCCAAAAATTTCAATTTGAGGGACAACTAGTTTACTATTGGGCATTAACTGACACTGCTTCTCTGAATCTGAAAACCTGAAATATATATACTGTCCTGGGAAATGTTGGAGAAACATTCTCAGGGGAAAGCAGTACCCAGAAGAGTTCCATAATTAAATTGGAATGCTCTGTGCAGGAAAATGCTACCAAAGAAATACATCATATTCACGAACATGGAGACCTTACTATATAACAGCACATAGGGAAACCAGTCTTAGTACAAGCCTGTGAACTGAGACAAGGTAAGTAGCTTTGTTCTTAAATGACTTGGAACTCAGAAATAACTGAGTAAGGGCCCACTGTAACTATACCTATCCATGATAATATCCAGCATCCAGGTAAGGGTCAATTCTGCTGAGGCGGCATAGCAAATTCCTCTGCAATTCTTACTGATTTGTTCTGTAATAAAACAGCATCACGTTGTGACATAACACACTATGGCATAACAAGTGACACTGTTGCTAAGATTCATTTACCTTATGTAAATAAATCTTTTTTTGTTTTGTTTTGAGACAGAGTCTCGCTCAGCTGCCCTGGCCGGAGTGTAGTCTCATGATCTCAGCTCACTGCAACCTCCACCTCCCAGGTTCAAGCGATTTTCCTGCCTCAGCCTCCCAAGTAGCTGGGACTACAGTAGAGACAGGGTTTAGCCATGTTGGCCAGGCTGGTCTCGAACTCCTGACCTCAGGTGATCTGCCCACCCTCGCCTCCCAAAGTGCTGGGATTATAGGCATGAATCATCACGCCCAGCCCCTTATAGAAATCAATCTTATAATACTGATATTGATCATCTAATGTATCAGGAAATTTAGTTAAAGCCTCCTCAGGGTGTAATAATGATGGAAAATGAATAGCCTAAGGAAGAATTAGTTAACCATCAACTAATTTTTCTTCCTCTTTCTTTCTTTTCTTCTTTCCTTCCTTCCTTTTCTTCCTGTTTTCTTTCTCTTTCTCTCTCTCTTTTCTTCTCCTCTTCTCGTCTCACTCTGTTGCCCAGGAGTGCAATGATGCAATCTCGGCTCACTGCAACCTCTGCCTTCCAGGTTCAAGCAATTCTCGCCTCAGCCTCCCAAGCAGCTGGTATTATGGAAGTGCACCACCACACCTGGCTAATTTTTGTATTTTTAGCGGAGATGGGGTTTCACCATGTTGGCCAGGCTGGTCTCGAACTCCTAACCTCAAGTGATACCCCCCACCTCAGCCTCCCAAAGTGCTGGGATTACAGGCGTTTGCTACCGTGCCCAGCCCATCAACTAATTTCTATGCCAATAGTCCTGCATGAATTTTTCATAAGATACAAAAATAGTGGTAAATCCGGGGGAAAATGAGTAATTAAATTAGTACAAGAAAATGATGTACATAATGGCTTTATAAATTAGATTGACTGTTTATTTAAATGTACACCTATTCAACACTGGCTCCTCCCAATATTAGGCATATTCAAAAAGTTACTACTGCAATGTCTGTCATATAAAACCTAAATGTAGACGTTCAAATATATTCATTTTGCTTTAAGAGTGTAGGCCAAAGGCTAGGGCATAGCCTATACACCAAAGAAGAAAAAGATGCCTGGGCTTCCACCTTGGCAACTGAGAGATGATCTCCAGGGCTCTAGAATATCTTGCTTCTTAGGAGTACCTGCTTGATAGGAGTGTTTTTGTTTGCCTGGAGGCTTTGGCCACTGGACAGTTTAACAATGTGATTTACAATGGGGGCTTTCGACATTCCAGTATCAATTCTGACCTCCAGAAGAAGTGAGAACTAAAGTTATTAGTCTGACCTCCCAGAGGCCAAAGCTACACCTTTCAGCTAGTATGTGATTTTGAGCCCCAGTAAAACTGGAAAATCAAAGACTCAGATGAGTTTCTTCACTGACGAAACTCACATACTGTGGACATAAAAAGATAATGCTGGACATGACTGCACAGGGAGAAGAGTCTGGACTCTACCCTAAACATCTCTTCCCCTGGCTGATTTTAATTCGTATACTTTCTCTGCAATAAACTGTAGGCATGAATGTAACAGCTCTCAATGAGTTATATCAATCTTCCAGTGATTTATCAACCCTGTGGATGGTTTTGGGAATGCCTCAAACTTGAAACTAGTGCCAGAAGTGAGGGTGTTCTTACAGAGGTTTCTCTCAAAGTGTACACCTATCTAAACTCACTGCAGTGCTATACTGAAGTTTTATTTATATACTGTCTTGCTTGATCTTCACTACTCTGTGTGGTAGATATTACTATTATGAACACAGTGAGACATACAGAGTATAAATGACATTAACAGTAAATGGAAGAATCAGGATTTGAACCAAGAAATATGCCACAAAGTCTATGTCCTTAACATATTATGCTACCTTCCTTGATAACTGCTATTTTCCCCCCAATTCTAACGTTCAAGCCATGCAAATCTAGAAGTAAACAAGAAATTCAGACAGACTTAAAACAAGCCTTAAATAATCTTCATTATATTTTACTTTGTTATGGTTTAAGCTGTCATTTTTATTAAGTGTTAATTCTTTGTATATTAAGGACAGTTTTTTAAATGCTGCAATAGCAAAACACAAATAATACCTATCAAAGTATATTAACAGAAACATAAAACAAGTTTACTAAAATAACTCATTTGAAGAAGACTACCTCCAAAATATAAAATACTGAATAACATCATTATATGAAATTTCCAATTTGCTAGGAAATAATAGTTGTTTTTTAGGGAAAAGACAATTTTGGTCAGGCAAAATTCTGCCATAATATAAAATAATGATCTCCATTACTTTATAATATATATATTTTCCGTTGAGACAGGGTCTTGCTCCATTGCCCAGGCTGGAGTGCAATGGCATAATCATAGCTCACCATAGCCTTGTACTCCTGGAGTCAAGCAATCCTCCCACCTCAACCTCCTGAGTAGCTGGGACTACAAGGCTTGCGCCACTACAATAGGCTAATTTTTTTTTTTTTTTGGTAGGGATGAGGGTATAGCTATGCTGCCCTGGCTGGTCTTGAACTCCTGGACTCAAGCAATTCTCCCGCCTCAACCTCCCAAAGTGCTGGGATTATAGGCATGAGCCACTGTCCCTGGTCTATAAGACTTTTTAAATACATAATTCTAGTGCTGATGTAATTAATTTTTTTTACTTAAATTTTCTCTACATTTTCCTAAAGTATGTACAATTATCACTTTTAAAGCTGCATAATATGCCAAAATATTAATTTAACAGCATTCACAAATTGTTGAACATCAAGGTTGTTCCATTTTTCTTTTCCTCTTTAATAAGACTGCAATAAACATCTTTCTTCTAATAACATTAAACCTTTCATTTTTTTAATCTGCAGCTCCCACCACAGTGTCTAATTCGTATGAGGTACGTGACAAACATTAGCTAAACTGAATACACTTTTTAAAAACTGTTTTTCAAGCATCGTTTCCTAAGACTAGAATTAATGAATCAAAGAGTATGAACTTCTTATGGTTCTTATAACATAATACTTTCCAAAAGAATAATGTCATTTTATAATCCACAAGATATGAGTGTGTGAACTCGTTCATTGCAATACATGCCAGTATTAGAGTTTATCATTTAAAAAGCTTAATATTTTATTATGTATAATTTGATCTCTTAAAGTGCTTTACCTTGTAGAGAAATAACAATCCTGAAGTTATATTGTCATTACTTCCATTTCATTATTTAACAAAGTACAAAAAGACATGCAACTGTTTATTCTAATTGTGGAAATTCAATTATAAATATGTAAAAACTCTTTAAATGAACATACTCCAAAGTTTATTTCTGACTTGGAAGGTGGCATATTTTCACATTTTAGTAAAATTTGCTTGAGGCCATAATCTAAACCAACTTTGATAACTGCTGGATATAAAGGTAATCTTGTCCCAAAGAGCAGTGAACTCTATTCTCCTTTGAGGGGGTTTCTTTTGGAACAGATAGTAAGTAAAAAGCACTCTAAGAGAATATTTTAAAATAAATAAATTGCTAAGAGTTTACGTGTTTATGATGTCATCACAATTCCTGGTTGAACCAGAATTGCCTATCTATGAAGGAAAAGCTACATTGAGAAAAAGTAGTCTGAGTTTCCTAAAACTCAATTCAGAAATTCAAGTAAATTATCAAAGATTTGAATATTTAAGTCAATTGTGAGGACTTCTGTTTCTTCCTTTAACATCTTTAAAATAACGCATTTCAGGTAATTTTACATTTTTCCCCTTGGTGATTTCAGGAATCAAATTTGTACCTGATGAGAATTGGCATTATAAGCTTTTTAGTATTTTTTATTATATATTGACATGTTTAAAATTGGTAACTCACAGTTTTACCACAATTGGGTGATTCTGCTTTCCTGTCCTTTGATATTATCATATGTTAATAGTCAGAAAACTTGTGATAACTCCCAGTAGGGTTCTTTTTCACTAGCTGGGTTGCAGCACATTCATCACTTTAAAATAAGAATTTACTTTCTGAGATGGGTAAAGCACTGTGCTAGACTCCAAGGAACCATACATAGATGACTAAGACATGACTCCTGTCCTCAAAGAACTTACAATCTATTAAGGGAAGACAGACATGCAAACAAATAGGTATAATACAAAGCAGAATGTGCTGATTGTTAAAACAGAGGTACAAAACAAAGTTCTATAGGAGCACAGGATGGTTATATAGGAGCACTGGTTGGGGTGATCTGGAAGGCTGGGCCAGCGGAAAAGTAGTAGAAAACTCTGCCCCTTAGAAAACACAGCAGTGTTACAGCCCACCTGGGTTAGGGTCGAAGCCCCACTCCCCACAGAAGGTTTTCCTAAAGGAGATGGAGCCAGGGCCCTAACCCAGTTAGGTAGGTGATTCGTTGATTTCAATTATGAATGCCAACACTTTCTTTCCCTGGTGCCGATAAATGTGCTTTCACAAGTATTTTACTTTATTAAAAAGTAAATAAAATTTAACAATCTATTAAGTAACTTACATGAAGACGCAAGTTACCTCAGCCTACAGCATTAGAATGGCCTCAAGTGGTACTCTGATTGTACAGGACCAAGCAAAAAAAGACACCACTTCAGCATCTTACATGTGGTGCTCCCATAAATGTTTTGCTACTGATATCCTAGAAAGAAAGAGGAACCAGACAATTCCAGAGAAGGAGCCTGGGTATTATACTATTCATATTTTGCTGAAGATGCAATTATGTTAAGTTTTAAAAAATATACTTTAAAATATGTTAATGAGACAACAGGATTTGTTTTTGTCTTGTCATGATCTCAAGAAACAGCAGGTACACTGCCAGTTTCCACTAATTTCTAGGTATAAGAGGTAGACAAGATAACGTAACTGATATGTAATATTAAACAAGTACCACACGAGGAGTGAAACAACTAGAAAGAAGATAATAAATACAAACATGTTTAAATACAAAAGAACATAAAGCAAGTATCATGTGCACAGAAATAGAAACATTAAATTTGTAGAAAATTAAAGACAAAGTATTAGTTTCTACTGTTTCATTCTATTGCCATCTCATATACAGATCCCTCAAATTTCTCAAATCTGTAGATATAGTATTTCATTACGCTGTAGGAATTTTAAAACGCTTAACTTTATAATTGCTGTTTATAGACATCCTTAAAGAAGCCAAATTTTAATGAACAAAAAAGGAAACAATAAAATCTCAGTCATATCAACTGTATATAAATGTTTGCAAAATGCTTATGAAACTTAAATTGACTATTTTCTTAATTATTACAAACAAGCATTCTCACTTCACTTGTTTATTAATTTTTACAATCTCCTAAAACAAAAGAAAAAAGGAAGGAAGGCAAGCACACATAACCTGACTACTGGAATTAATGACAATATCCCATTGCATAGACTTTAAAATAAACATACAATTCAAAAAGACTTACTATCAAACAACTGGCTAAGCAAACTATGAAATATGACAAAAAGGTTATAATATCTGTAATAATATAAAGAAAGCTCATAACAAATATAAAAAACTCAAAACCCTAATAAGTACTAAATAACAATTCACTAAAAATACAAGTTGCTCATAAACATGAAAAAAATTCACCCTATTAAAGGAATGCAAATTGAAACAACGAAATATTATTTTCAAATATCCAATTAGCAGAGAAAGAGTAACATTCAATGCTGCATCCCCTTAGGATGTAAAACTCCTCCTGTTTTGGCCAAATATTTGTGTTTTAAAACAAGATAAACTGCAAATAAATAATTAATGCTTACAAGGGTGTGATGAGTGAGATAAAAACACCCCAACACTGACTGAGGACAATGGCAGTCAGTACAACCTTTACACAATTTGTGAAGAGTGTCAGGAGATAGATTTTTGTGGCTTTCAAGTTCATACCCTGTGATTATTAATTCTACTACTATGAATATACATTTTAAAAAATCAGAGATGCAGACAAAGGCTTGCAATGGTATTTATCCCAGTTGCTTATAATGCTCCCTAGAACTGGAAACTACAATGTCAAACATTAAGGAAATGGGTCATTATAAGATTAAATATTATGCAGCCATTAAAAATGATCCTAAATTACTACTCATGAAGAGAAATGTAGAGGATAGATGTTAGGCAAAAAAGCAGGATCTACAATTTTAATGCAGTGTTAGCTAAAACTATGTTTAAAAGAAGGCAGAGATTTTGTACTTGCTAATTTGCCAAATTCATTTATTAGTTCCAGTAGGCTTTGTTGTGAAGTCTTTATGGTTTTCTAAGTATAAGATTATATCATCTGTGAACAGACACAATTTTACTTCTTTCTTTCCAATTTAAATGCTATTTGTCTTTTTCTGGTCTAATTTCTGGACTATAACTTCAAATACTATGTTGAGTGGACATGGCAAAAGCAGGGATCCCTTGTCTTATTCTTGATCTTAGAGGAAAAGCTTTCAGTCTTTCACCATTGACTAGGATATTACCTAAGCAACAGGATATGAAATCAACACATAAAAATTGGCTTTTTTTTTTTTTTTTTTTTTGAGGCAAGGTCTTGGTTTGTCACCCAGGCTGGAGTGCCCTGGTGCAATCATAGCTCACTGCAGCCTTGAATTTCTGGGCTCAAGGGATCCTCCCACCTCAGCTTCCCAAGTAGCTAGGACTACAGGCTCACGCTGACTAGTTTCTATATAACAATAATGAATAATTTGAAAATGAAATTAACAAATAATTCCATTTGCAAGAGCATCAAAAAAGAATAAATTACCTAGAAGATGAAATAAACAAAACTACAAAACATAACTGAGCAAAATTAAAGAAAACATAAGTAAAAAGACACCCCTGTTCAAAGACTAGAAGACTTAATATTTACACGTGTGTGTGTGTGTGTGTGTGTGTGTAGTTTTAGAGACAGGGTCTCACTCTGTCACCCAGGCTTGAGTGCAATGACACAATCATGGCTCACTGCAGCCATGAACTCCTGGGCTTATGCAATCCTTCAGACTTAGCCTCTCAAGTAGCTGAGACTATAGGCGTGAGCCACCACACTCGGCTTATTTTATTTTATTTTTTTTGCAGAGAAGGGGGCTCGCTGCATTGTTCAGCCTGGTGTTGAGCTCCTGGCCTCAAGCAATCCTCTCGCCTTAGCCTCCCAAAGAGCTGGGATACAGCACCCAGCCCTTAATATTAAGATGTCTACCACCCAGATCCATCTACAGATTCAATTCAATCCCTATCAAAATCCAAGTGACCTTTTTCTGGAGAAAAAGAAAAATCTCTCCTGAAATTCATACAGAATCTCAAGGGACCCTGAATAACCAAAACTATCCTGAGAAAGAAGAAAGTTGACGGAAAAACATTTCCTGATTTCACAATGTACTACAAAGCAACAGTAATCAAAACAGTGAGCTGGTATCAGCATAAGAACATACAGACCAATGGAATGGAATAGAAAGCCCAGAAACAAACCCTTGCATATACAGTCAAAATATTTTCTGTAACAGTGTCAAGACCATTCACTGGGGCAAAGGCAGTCTTTCCAACAAATGGTGCTGGAAAAAGTGGACATCTACACGTAAAAAAAAGCTGGACCCTTACATGATATTCCAAACTTAAAATCAATTAATTCACCAAAATTTGTGATCTAAAACTATACAACTTTTAGAAGAAAACATAAGGGGAAAAGCTTCATGACATGGATTTGGCAATTTTTTTTTAATACAACAACAAAGGCATAAGCAACAAGCGGAAACAGACAAGTTGGGCTTCATCAAAATTTAAAACTTTTGTGCAGCACGGGCCACTGCTAACACAGTAAAAAGGCAACCTGTAAAATGAAAGAAAATGTTACCAAATCATGTATCTAAAAGGGGATTAATATCAAGAATACATAGAGAAATCCTAAAACTTAACACCAAAAAAAACAAATGATCCAATTCAAAAACAGGCAAAGAACTTTATGAATAGATATTTCTCAAAAGACATACAAATGGCCAAGAAGCACATGAAAAGATGCTCAACATCACATTAAGCATTAGAAAAATATAAAACAAAACCACAATGACATGCCATTTCACACCTACTGAGAAAGTAAATACCAAAAAAATGAAAGTAAATGTTGGTGAGGATGTAAAGAAACTGGAACCCTTACACAATGCTGGTGGAAATGAAAAATGGTGCAGCCACTTGGAAAACAGTATGAAAGTGCCTCAAAAAATTAAAAATGCAATTACCATCTGATCCAGCAATTCTACTCCTGGGTATATACCCAAATAGTTGAACACAGAGGCTTGGGCAGATATTTATACAGCCATGTTCATACCAGTATTATTCCCTATAGCCAAAAGCTGGAAGTGACACAACTGTCCATTAATGGGCAAATGGATGAAAAGAACGTGGTGTATAAACACAATGGAATGTTATTTTGCAATAAAAAGGAAGAAAATTGTGACACATGGTTTAACATGCATGAACCCTGAAGACATTGTCAGTGAAATGAGCCCGTTACAAAAGGACAAATACTGTATAATTACATTCATATGAGATACTCAGAGACCGAAAGTAGAATGGTGGGCCAGGAAGACGGGGGAATAAGGAACTGCTCTTTAATGAGTACAGTTTCAGTTTTGCAAGACAGAAAATGTTCTGTGTTTGGATGACAATAGTGGTAACACACAACACGAATGTACTTACTACCAATGACCCGTGTACTCAAAAACAGTTAAAATGGCAAATTTTATGTTAAGTACATTTTACCACAATTAAAAATTTTTATTAAAAAATTTAGCAGAGGGCCGGGCATGGTGACTCATGCCTGTAATCCCAGCACTTTGGGAGGCTGAGGCAGGCAGATCACAAGGTCATGAGTTCAAGACCTGCCTGGCCAATATGTTGAAAAACCCTGTCTCTACTAAAAATATGAAAATTAGCCGGGCATGATGGCAGGCACCTGTAGTCCCAGCTACTCGAGAGGCTGAGGCAGGAGAATTGCTTGAACCCGGGAGGCAGAGGTTGCAGTGAGACGAGATTGCACCACTGCACTCCAGCCTGGGCGACAGAGCAAGACTCCGTCTCAAAAAAAAAAATTTAGCTAGGCATAGTGGCACACATCTGTAGTCCTAGCTACTGGGGAGGCCAAGGTGGGAGGATCTTTTTTGAGCCCAGGAGTTCAAGGCTGCAGTGAGCTGTGATCACACCACTGCACTCCAGCCTGTGTGGAAAAGTGAGATCTTGTCTAAATAAATAAAATAAATAGTATGGCAAAAAAAAAAAAGGAACCAGAGCAATATGTTTCATAAGAAAATATATCAAAAATTATATATATTAGTATATATATAATATATATGAGTTATCTCTTAGTAATAGGACTAAAAAGATAATCCTCTATTACTTTCATACCACAGTGTTTTCCAAATTTTTCATCACTTTTTCTTTTGTATATGATAAAGTTAAAAAGAAAAGGTTGGTGATTGTTTAAGTAGGCCTAATTTCAAGGCTAAGAGGTTTTCAACAGAAACAACTTTGTAAAATTATGACAAAATTATCATTAAACAGTATTTTCCAATAAAAATTCTCTCTAAAATCAGTATTTTATGAATACAACAGAAATTCATCTCAATCTTAATTGCCTTTAAGAAAGGGCAAAAATTGGCTGGGCACGGTGGCTCAGACCTGTAATCCCAGCACTTTGGAGGGCCGAGGCGGGTGGATCACGAGGTCAGGAGATCGAGACCATCCTGGCTAACACGGTGAAACCCAGTCTCTACTGAAAATACAAAAAAATTAACCGGGCGTGGTGGCAGGCGCCTGTAGTCCCAGCTACTCCGGAGGCTGAGGCAGGAGAACTGCGTGAACCCGGGAGGCAGAGCTTGCAGTGAGCCGAGATCATGCCACTGCACTCCAGCCTGGGCAACAGAGTGAGACTCCATCTCAAAAAAACAAAAAGGCAAAGATTTTTCTAAAGCTTTATTAATTTTTTAACTCTGATACTGATGTATAGTTTTTCATATTATTGATGCTACTGCTTCGTGCTTTTGAGAATTCTCATATAAAATTCACCTATACATCTAATTATTCATAATTTCTCATAAATTGTATCCAGTTTTTGGGTTAAGGTCTATAAAATTAAAATCATGCTTTTGGGTTAAGGTCTATAAAAGTTTAAAATGGTTTAAACTTTTTATATGAACAATTCAACATACTCATTAAATATTTTTTAAAACCTACTATGGATAAAATTATCTTCTTTAGTTTGCTATGCAAAATTTTCTATTGAAACTGCAGGTCACAGACAGATATTATTTTCATCTTTCAATATTATATTTTGTTTTTAAAAATGCCACTGATTCCATTCACTCTCTTCCCTCCCTTCCTATCCTGTCTTTTTATTCATATCTCCACTGACTTCTTAAAAAAGAATAATCAAATAAACAGATCTATTAAATTTCTATTCTATACAGAAAAGCATCAGGATTAACTAAAATAGAAAATTTATATGCATTAAAATTATTAGCAAGCAGAAGCTATCCTTGTAATTAGTTAATTTGCAGGCTTAAAAAATTGAAAGGAACTACCCTAACTCATTAGTTATATCAAATACCTGCAATAATGTTTCAGCAGCTTTTAATATATTTCTTTGATAGTAACATAAGAAGAAAACTTTACAAATATTGCAAATTTGTTATATGCTAGATGTTTTGCCAGAAAACAGCAATAACAATAGTTAAATGAATGTGGCTCTTTTCCTAATACAATTTAATGACCTTGTTTACTTCCTGTTTCTTTTCTTAAATAAAACTCTTCAAAGTACCAGAGAATTTACTGAAAATTATTATATTTTCTTAAATGAAACATGTCCTGATAAGTAATTTAATCCATTACCTGAATAATTACACATTAAACATCTATCACCCACAATGATTTACTGATTAACAAACCAAGAAGAATTACTCGTTATTAAATGTTTTAATACAAAGTATGTTCCATCTCCCACTTAACAAAGTTTCATTCAGCAAAGTTGTTCCACGTGGCATACAGTCAACTATCTCTCAGGTCCCTTTAATCCAATTTATATTTTAATTTGATAGAATAAACTTATTCATTAACTACATACGCTGACAGAATACTAACAAAGAGACACCTAAAGTTGTTTTAACAAAATGAAGGCAGTGTTTTAAAATCTCTGCCAGATTCATCAGAGACTCTTCAAAAATATTAATTTATAAATCAGTAAGATGAATCTAAACTTCTATTTAATTCTTAGTCTTAAATTTTCATTTATTCTTTTTTTTTTTGTTAAGAGATGGGGTCTCACTCTGTTACTCAAGCTGGAGTGCAGCAGTGTGACAGTAACTCACATTGACTTGGATTCTTGGGCTCACGTGATCCTCCCACCTCAGCCTCCCAAGTAGCTGGGACCACAGGTATGTGCCACCACATCCAGCTATTTTTTTTTTTTTTTTTTGGTAGAGATGGGGTCTCGCTTTTTTGCCCAGGCTGATCTCCAACTCCTGGCTTCAAGCAATTGTCCTGCTTCAGCCTCTCAAAGTGCTAGTTTTACAGGTGTCAGTCACCAAACCTGGCCTTTGTTTTGTTGTTGTTGTTCTTTGTTTTAAACGAACAAATGAAAATGCTTAATGAAACAGGAATAGATCTTACCAATGCAGGCCACTGAATCTGTTTGCTCTTTGATCCCTGAGTCTGGCTAGGGTCATTCCTTTTGGCCCAGATTAAGTGGTATTCCACCAAGAAAGTTGAAAAATCTTCATAAACTTTAACCCACTCTCGTTTATCCCATTCAAGATCATCAAATTCCACATACACCTATGAAAACAAAAACACAAAATTCAATTAGCAAAATAGAAGAGTGGTATATCTTTTTTTACTAATGCATAATAATTGTACATATTTATGGGGTACATATGATATCGTGATACATGCACACAATGTGTAATGATCAAATCAGGGTAATTAGAATATCCATCACCTCAAATATTTATCATTTGTGTTAGAAACATTTCAAATCCTCTTCTAGCTATTTTGAAAAATACAATAAATTATTGCTAACTATGGTTACCATACTGTGCTATCGAACACTAGCACTTACTCCTTCTATCTAATTGTAGGAAGCAGAAAGGGGAACTCTAGTACACTGTTGGTGGGAATGTAAATTAGTACCTCCAGTATGGAAAACAGTATGGAGGTTCCTCAAAACACTATAAGTAGATCTATCATAGGATCTGGTAATCCCACTGCTGGGTAAATGTCCAAAAGAAAGGAAGGTATATTGAAGAGACAGCTGCACATCAGTGTTTATTGCAACACTATTCCTAAGAGCCACGATAATGAAATCAACCTAAGTATCTGTCAACATATGAATGGGTAAAGAAAATGTGGTATATATACACAATAGAATACAATTAGGCCATAAAAAAGAATGAAATCTTGTCTTTTGCAGCAGTATGAATAGAACTGGAGGTGATTATGTTATATGAAGTAAGCCAGGTACAAAAGACAGATATCACATGTTCACACTCATATGTGGGAGTCAAAAACATGGATCTTGACCCAGCATGGTGGCTCATGCCTGTAATGCCAGCACTTTGGGAGGAGGAGATGGGAGGATCACTTGAGCCCAGGACTTCAAGATCAGCCTTGGCAACATAGTGAGACTCTGACTCTCACAAAAGAGAAAAGTAAAAAACTTAGCTGGACATGGTGGCACATGCCTTTAGTCCCAGCTACTCAGGAAGCTAAGACAGGAGGATCACTTGAGCCCAGGAATTTGAGGCTACAGTGAGCTATGATAGCTACAGTGAGCTATGATCGCACCACTGCACTGCAGCCCAGGTGACAGAATGAGACTCTGTCTATTCAAAAAACAAACAAAAAGTGGATCTCATGGAGGTAGAGGGTAGAATGATGGTTATCAGAGACTAGGATGGGTGAAGGGGGGAGAAGAAAAGAGGTTGGTTAATGAGTATAACAATATTTCAAAATATAAGCCATGAACTTGAATTAGAAAGGACATTAACAAATTCATTCTTTAACTTAACATTTTTCATAAAACCATCATTTAACTTCCCTTAATCAGATTATACCCCTTAGTTATGACAGGGAGATAAACCATAACTATATCAAGTAAAGCAATTTACAGAGTGTTGATCAGTAAAGATTAGCCCATTATCTTCTAAATGTACACTAAATAATGATGTCTGTACTGATGACTCTAGAAGGAGAGGTTAGAAAATGTTTTTAAAGAGTAAATAGTAGCCATACGCGATGGCTCATGCCTGTAATTCCAGCACTTTGGGAAGCTAAGGCGGGTGGATCACCTGAGGTCAGGAGTTCGAGACCATCCTGGCCACAGAGTGAAACACCATCTCTACCAAAAATACAAAAATTAGCTGGGTGTGGTGGCGGGTGCCTGTAGTCCCAGCTACTCAGGAAGCTGAGGCAGGAGAATGGCTTGAATCCAGGAGGCGGAGGTTGCAGTGAGCCAAGATCAGGCCACTGCACACCAGCCTGGGTGATAAGAGCAAAACTCCGTCACACACACACAGAAGAGAGTAAATAGTAAATACTTCATATTTTGCAAACCAGATGGTTTCTGTCATAATTGTTTCCTTCTGTCTCTGTCACAGACAGAGACAACCACAGACAATATGTAAACAATTGAGCTTGACTTTATGCTAATAAAACATTACTTACAAAGGTAGTCAATGGTACAAAGATGGCTCAACATATGACGTTCAATTAATGTAATATACATTAACAGAATAAAGGAAAAAAATCATCTTTAATGATGCAGAAAAAGCATCTGACCAAATTCCATGGCTTTTCATGATTAAAAACATGCAACAAACTAGGAACAGGATGAAAATATCTAAATATAAAAAGGTCTATATGAAAAACCCACTGCTAACATCATACACAACAGTAAAAAATCAAAAGCATTTCCTTTAAGATGGGAACAAGACAAGGATGTTATAATTTGGAAAACTGAAGCTGACTCTATGCTCATAGGACATTCAATCATTCAACCCTTCGCTCCCCTACTTTCATTCTTTTGCGCTGGAAGCAGTCTTCTCATCACTTATATTTTTATCCTAATTCTGCCACCCATCTTCTGCTCCCTTACACCTGAAGAGTTTCCATTTCCACTTATTTGAATCATGGTTGCTCTTTTGGCCTAGCTCAAGTTCTTCCATGATGTTTACATCCCCCAACTTCAACTCCAACTTAGCTTTGAATTTCTACTGCAATTACTTTTTTTATAGCTTACACTGTATTAGTATATAAGCAAATACCGTCCTATATTTTTAAGTGTAATAAAAGTATCTTTAAATTATGCATGTAAACTCACTTAAGGTAGAACTGTTCTTTCATTTATTTTTAGTGCTCACTACAGTGCTGCATACATATAAAGTTTTTAATTAACATTAAAAATCTCCTGACTCTTAGACTCAATCATGGTCTTTAAAAAATAAAAGCAACCTGGTAAAAGGTTAAGTTTGATTTGGTGGTGTTTATACTGCTGCCCACTAGGAAGCTTCTTTAAAAAAAAAAAAAAAAGCTTATCTATTAGAATATCCACTAAAGATATTCATTAAAGCTTATCTATTAGAATGAGGAAAGAGAAATGCACTGGTCAAGGAGTTAACATCTGTTTCTAGTTAACTATCCATACCAAGTCAAGGAAGAAATCCAAGTCAAGGAAGAAGCCAACAAAACAGCTGGCTATTTCTAATAAAACCCATCGTTAAGGGTACCTCCTTGCCTGTAATCCCACCACTTTGGGAGACACAGGTGGGAGGATCACTTAAACTCAGGAGTTCAAGACCAGCTTAGGCAACACAGTAAGACCTTGTCTCTACAAAAAATGAAAAAAATTAGCCAGGCATGGTGGCATGTGCCTATGGTCCCAGAGACTCGGGAGGCTAAAATGGGAGGGTTGCTTCAGCCAGGGAGGTTGAGGCTGCAATGAGCCATGATCACACCACTGCACTGCAGCCTACGTGACAGAGCAAGACCCAGTCTCAAAAAATAAAAATCAAAAACAATGTACACACTTTAACTTAAAAATGTTCTTACTGCCAAAAAACGGTAACAATCATCTGAGCTTTCAGAGAGTTGTAGTATCTTTTTGCCGATAAAGTGCCTTGCCTCAACGTTTTTGGCTGCTGACTGCTCAGGGTGGTGGTAGCTCAAGGTGGGGTGTTTGTGACAATTTCTTAAAATAAGACAACAAAAGTTTGTCACATCTATTAATTCTTCCTTTCATCAAAGATTTCCCTAGGGCATGCAATATTGTTGGCCACTTTACCCACAGCTGAACCTCTTTTGAAACTGGAGTCAATCCTCTCACAAGCTAAGGTTGCATTATCACCAACGGTTAAGTAGTATTCAGTTCTATTTCAAAAAACCATGTTCTTTGCCCATCCATAAGAAACAATGCCTCATCCATTCAAGTTCAACCATGAGATTACAGCAGTTCTCTCACATCTTCAAGCTCTAGTTTTGATTACAAATCTCTTGATATATCTACCACATCTGCAATGACTTCCCCCTTGAAAGTCTTAAACACCTCAATGTTGATATTATGACCTCCTCCCATGAATCATGAATGTTCTTAATGGCATCTAGAATACTGAATCCTTTACAAAAGGTTTTCAGTTTACTTTGCTCAGATCCATCAGAGGAATCACTATCTCTGGCAGCTATAGCTTTACAAAATGTATTTCTTAAATAATAAGACTTGAAAATCAAAATTATTCCTTGATCTATGGGCTGCAGAATGAAAATTGTACTAGCAGGCATGAAAATATTAATCTCCTTGAGAGCTCTTGGGTGACCAGATGCACTGTCAATGAGAAGTAATACTTTGAAAGGAATCTTTTTCTCTGAGTAGTACATCTCAACAGTGGGCTTAAAATATTTAGAAAAACCTACTATAAACAGATGTGTTGTCATCCAGGCTTTGTTGTTCCATTTACAGAGCACCTGCAAAGTAGATTTAAAATAATTCTTAGGGGCCCTAGGATTTATGGAATGGTCAATGAGCAATGACTTCAACAAAAAGTCACCAGTTACTGTAGTCCCTAACAAGAGAGTTGGCCTGTCCATAAGGCTTCTCCATATCAGCAATAACAACGTTTCACTTTCTTATCATCCCTGTGTTTACTGGAGTAGCACTTTTAATTTCCTTCAAAAGCTGTTCCTTGGCAATAACAACTTGTCTAACTGTGTGGTGCTACAGGCCTAGCTTTGTGCTCTGTCTTGGCTTTGACATGCCTTCCTCGCTAAGCTAGCTTTCTGATTTCAAGTTAGAGATGTGTGACTATTCCTTTCACTTGAAAACATACAGGCAACTATAGGATTATTAATTGGATTAATTTCAATATTATTGTGTCTCAAGGAATAGGGAGGTCCGGAGGTTCAAGAAGAGGGAAAGAGACAGGGGAATGGCTGGTTAGTGGAGCAGTCAGAACACACATAGTGTTCTGGATTAAGTTTGCCTTCTTATACGGGTGTGGCTTCTGGTGCCCAAAACAATTACAATGCTAACATCAAAGATCACTGATGACACATCACCATAAGAGATGTAATAGTAATAATAATAAAAGTTTGAAATATCGTGATAATTGAAATGTAACAGACCCATGAAAATATTTTTCCACGTGCAGATGGAAAAATGAAACCGACAGACTTAATAGATGCAAAGTTGTCACAAATCCCATGCCTTCCCTGCCCCCGCCTTTTTTTTTTTTTTTTTTTTTTTTTTTGCTTTTTTTTAAGAGATAGGGTCTTGCTCTATCACCCAGGCTGGAGTATAGTGGTAAGATCATAGCTCCCTGTAGCCTCCAACTCCTAGGCTCAAGCAATCCTCCCACCATGGCCTCCCAAGCATCTGGGACTACAGGTGCATGTTACCATGACCCGGCTAATGTTTCTTTTTTAAATTTATTTTAGACATGGGGTCTTGCTATATTGTTCAGGCTGGTCTCAAACTCCTGGCCTCAAGCAATCCTCTCACCTCAACCTCCCGAGTAACTGGGATTACAGGTGCATGTCATTTCACCTATCATAAAACCTCAAATTTATTTAAAAACATTCAGCATCTGCTAAGTGCAATAAAGCAAACTACGATAAAAAATGTATATTTACTTATATATAGGTTTGTATAACCCAGGATACTCCAGATCCTGATTTGAACAGTATTTTAAGACAATAAAAAGTAGAAAAAAATGAAGAAGAAATATAACAAAAATGTTCAGAGCATATACGGTGAAAACTACAATACACCAAACATGGAAACTTAAGTCTTAAATAGATACACTGTGTTCACAAATGAAAAGATTCACTATTGTAAAGAATAAACTCTCTTTGGATGCAGGCTAACCCTAAAAAATGTGAAACATACACACATACACAGACACACACACACACACACCCCAAAAAGAGTAAGTTATCTCCCAAATCAACAGCCCTGAAGGAAAACACAAGGTACTAGCCGGACCCCACCCTCCCTAGCAGTGGGGTAACTAGGCATTTTCATATGCCCTAAATACAAACTTCACAGACCCCAGAATCTGTACTGTGGGCTACTGCTGCCAGGGTCAACACCCTAGCAAAGTGCACCTGCCCAGTTACCAGTTGCCTGCCTACAGCTGCTCCAACAGAAAGCAACCCACCTTCCCCAGTAGCAGGGCTGCAACATGATGGCTGGAGCCCTCACCTGACCATTCCACTGGTAGTCTGGGGATCATGCCACCCCTGTTGACCACAGCCAGTGCCTGCACAAACAATCAGGGAACCTGAGGACGGGTCTGCTCATCCAAGCTCAGCCCCCTCCAGTATGTAAGCACATTGCTCAGGGTCTGGAGATTACCTTGCTTAGTCTACCACCATTGGTACCTGAGCACTTTTTCCAGGGGCCAGGGTCCATTCAACTGACCACTATCACCAAAGCTGACACCCACCCACATGTGGGCACCTGCAGCAGGCCTGGAGACTGATTTAGTCAGCCTGTCACAACCTCTGCCAACACCAAAGTGAAATGCTTGGGTTCCAGGGGGTTGTCTTGCCACTGCTACTGACATCAACTATGCCACGCCTACCGCCCAGGGCCCAGTAACCTGCCCACTCATTCACCCCACTACTGCCATTCCTGGCACCCAAGCAAGCTGCCTGGAAGCCCAAGAATCGACCTGCACAGACCCACTAACTCTGGTGGCAGCATACGCCACACTGAAGCCCCAAAACAGACATGATCTTCTGACTAACACCAAAGGAGCCCAAAGTGGCCCATGTGGCAACCCATTCCCTAATAAAATGTCACCACAGCTTCCATTAAGAACCACCCACTAAACCACAGAAGAAATCACAGACAACACTGACCCTGTTTAATGCCTAAAAAAATCACATGGAGTCTACACCACTGCATATATCCAGAATCAAAGCAAAAGTGCCCTACCCAACCAACACCACAGATACATCTCTAGGAAAAATTCCTCCCCTATGAAAGGAAATTCAAACTATTGGAAGAAGTGACTGTCAATACCTGATGCATAGATATCAATGTAGAAATAAAAGAAACAAGAAGAAGCAAGAAAATGTGAATCCATGATAATAAATTCAAAGGAACACAGTAATTCTCCAACAACAGATTCCAATCAAAAAGAAATTTATAAAATCTTGGAATTGAAAATATTGATACTAAAGTATTCTGTTACACTGAGACACAAAGAAAATAATACAAAGAAAAGAAAAACAATTCAGGATATGAATGAAAAATTCACCAAAGAGACAGCATAAAAAAGGATGAAACAAATTCGGGACCTGATGTATTCATCGAATCAAACAAAATACATTCAAACCTTCAACAGACTAGATCAAATAGAAGAAAAAAATCTCAGAACTTGACAGACCTTTTGAAATAACCCAGTCAGAAGAAAAAAGAAAAAAAAAATTTTTTTTTTTTTTTTTTTTTTTTGAGACGGAGTCTCGCTCTGTCGCCCAGGCTACAGTGCAGTGGCGTGATCTCAGCTCACTGCCAGCTCCACCTCCTGGGTTCCTGCCATTCTCCTGCCTCAGCCTCCGGAGTAGCTGGGACTACAGGTGCCCACCACCATGCCCGGCTAATTTTTTGTATTTTTAGTAGAGACGGGGTTTCACCGTGTTAGCCAGGATGGTCTTGATCTCCTGACCTTGTGATCTGCCTGTCTCAGCCTCCCAAAGTGCTGGGATTACAGGCGTGAGCCACTGCGCCTGGCCGAAAAAAGAAAATTTAAATTTCCTTAAAGAACGAGCAAATCCTCATCACATATAGGACATCATAAAGCTACCAAATTTTCAAATTTTTTGTGTTTGAGGAGGCAACAAGAAAACTTGAAGGGCTAGAAAGTCTGTTTAACAAAATAATAGATGAAAACTTCGCAAGGCTGGCAAAAAGTTTAGATACTCAGATAAAGCACAAAGATCCCCAAAGGTATATAACTCAAAAATATCTTTTCCAGAGCACCTTATAGTAAAAATGTCACTAAGTCAAAGACAGAGAATTCTTTAAAAAGCAAGACATAACTATCTAGTCACTTATTAATGAACCCCAATCAGACTAACGGCAGTTTCTCTGCACAATCCTTACAGGGCAGAAGACAATGGGATAATAGGTTCAAAAAGCTGAAGGAGAAAAAAAAAAAAGCCGAATATACTATACCAAACAATGTTATCCTTCATAAATGATGGGGAAATAAAGTCTTTCCTAAACAAGTAAAAGCAAGAAAATTCATCATCACTAGACCAAATCTACAAGAAATGCTTAAAGGAGTCTGATGCTGGGAAAATAAAGAATGGTATCTATCATCATGAAAACACACAGAATATAAACCCCAGTGGTAGAGCAAATACAATCAAGGAAGAGAAAAGCCTCAAACGATAGCACTACAGAAAACCACCAAACCACAATGTTAACAAGAAGAGAGAAAGGAACAATGAATACACAAAACAACCAGAAATTAAGTAATAGAATAACAGGAATAAGCCCTCACATGTTAATAATAAAACAGATTAAAGTGTCAGACTAGTTGAAATGATTTAAAATAATGGCACAACTATATGCTGCCCAAAAGAAACTCATCTCCCCTATAAAGGTACATATAAACTGAAAGTAAAGGAATACAAAAGACATTCCATGCAAATAGAAACCAAAAGTGGGGAGAAGTAGCTACAATTAAACAGTCAAAAGCAGTAAAAGGAGACAAGGTAATTATATAACGATAAAAGAGATTGATTCATCAAGAAAATATAACAATTCTAAACATATATGCACCAAACAGCAGAGGACCCAGATGTATAAAGCAAATATTATTAGACCTCAATGGAGACCAGGTGTGCTGGCTTACACCTGTAATCCCAGCACTTTGGGAGGCCAAGGTGGGCAGATCACCTGAGGTCAGGAGTTCAAGACAAGCCTGGCCAACATGGTGAAACCCTATCTCTACTAAAAATACAAAAATTGGTGACATGCCTGTAATCCCAGCTACTCAGGAGGCTGAGGCAGGAGAACCGCTTGAACCTGGAAGGCAGAGGTTACAGTGAGCTGAGATCGTGCCAATACAGTCCAGCCTGGGTGACAAAGTGAGACCCTGTCTCAAAAAAAAAAAAAAAAAGAAAAAGAAAAAAGATCTAAATGGAGAGAAAGAGTACAATAATAATTGGGGTTTCCAACAACCCACTCTTAGCATTAGGGAGATCATCTAGTCATCTAGACAGAATTTTGTTTTTCTTTTTTTTTTCCTTTTTTTTTTTTCCCAAAAACTCACTGCATGCTAACAGACAGAAAATTAGCAAAGAAACATTAGATTTAAACTGCACATTAGACCAAATGGACCTAACAAACATTTATAGAACATTTCATCCCACAGCTAAAGAACACATATTCTTCTCACCAGCAAATGGAAGATTCTCCCAGATAGACCATATTTTTGGACACAAATAGAGTCTCAACAAATTTTTAAAAATTAGAATTGTATCAAACCCTCAGACCACAATGAAATAAAACTAGAAATCAACAAAGAGGAACTTTGGGAAGTGTACGAATACATGGAAAGTGAACAACATGCTCCTAAATGACCACTAGGTCAAGAAAGAAACTAAGGATGAAATCAAATGTAGCTTTACAATAAATAAAAATCAATTCAAAACATACCAAAATCTAGAGAATATTTAATAAAGTAGTGCTAAGATGGAAGTTCATAATTAATACCTATAACCAAAAAGTAACAGAATTTCAAATACAGTGTCAAACCATACATCCCATGAAAACAGAATAGAACACGGCAAGCCCAAAATTAACAGAAGGAAAGAAACAATTAAGATCAAGAAGAAACAAATGCAACAGATACTAACAAAATACAAAGGATCAATGAAATGAAAAACTGTTTTTTGAAGAGATAAACAAAATCAATTAACTGCTTGTTGAGAATAAACAACAAAAAAGGATACCCAAATAAACAAAATCAGAAACGAAAAAAGAGAAATTACAACTGATACCACAGAAATACAAAAGATCATCAGAGACCATTATGAACAACTATACAAAAACAAACTGGAAAACCTTGAAGAAATGGATAAATTCCTGGACACATACAACTACCAAGATTGAATCAGGAAGAAATAGAAAATCTAAACAAACTAATAACAAGTAATGAGGTAAAATTAGTAGTAAAAAATCTCCCAAAAAAGAAGAGTTCAGGATCAGATGGCCCCACTGCAGAACTCTATCAAACTTTGAAACAACTAACACCACTTCTCCTCAAACTAGTCCAAAAAACTGAAGAGGAGGGAATTCTTCCTAATTTATTCTAAGAGGCCAGCATTATATTACCCTAATACCAAAACCAGACAAGAATGCTACAACAACAACAACAACAAAATAAAACTACAGGCCAATATCTCTGATGAACATACATACAAAAATTCTTATCAAAATAGAAAACCAAATTCAACAGCACATCAAAAACATCAAGATCAAGTGAAAATTTTCCCAGGGATGCAAGGATGGTTCAACATATGTAAATCGACAGTCATGAATCATCTTAATAGGCACAGAAGAAGTATTTGATAAAATTCAACATCCCTTCATAATAAAAACTCTCAACATTCTAAGCACAGATGAAAAATACCTCAACATAATAAAGGCCACTTGTGACAAACAACAGCTAGCATAATATTGAATGGGGAAAACTGACAACCTTCCCTTTAAGAACTGGAACAAAACAAAAAAGCCGCCACTCTCTTCACTCCTATCCAACATAATACTGCAAGTCCTAGCCAGAGCAATCAGGCAAAATAAGGAAATAAAGGCATCCAAATTGGGAAAGAAGAAGTCAATGTGTCCCTCTTTGAGAATAATGTGACTGTGTATCTAGGAAAACCTAAAGATCCCACCAAAAACCTCATAGAACTGATCAATTCAGTAAAGTTGCAAGATAAAAAAATCAACAAGCAAAAATCAGTAGCATTTCTATATACCAATAATGCAATAGCTGAGAAACATATCAAGAAGGTGGCCAGGCGTGGTGGCTGATGCCTGTAATCCCAGCACTTTGGGAGGCCGAGGCGGGTGGATCATGAGGTCAGGAGATGGAAACCATCCTGGCTAACACGGTGAAACCCCGTCTCTACTAAAAATACAAAAAATTAGCTGGGCATGGTGGCGGGTGCCTGTAGTCCCAGCCACTTGGGAGGCTGAGGCAGGAGAATGGTGTGAACTCGGGAGGCAGAGCTTGCAGTGAGCCATGATTGCGCCACTGCACTCCAGTCTGGGCGACAGAGTGAGACTCCGTCTCAACAACAACAACAACAACAACAACAACAACAAAAAAGACAATTCCATTTATAATACCTAAAGAAAAAACATCCATGAATAAATGTACCCCAAAAGGGAAAAGATGCCTACAATGAAAACTACAAAACAGATGAATGAAACTGAAGACACAAATAGAAAGACATCCCATGCTCAAAAGAAGAATTAACATCATTAAAATGATCATATTGTCTGAAGCGATACAAAGATTCAATGCAATCCTTATCAAAATACCAACATCATTTTTCACAGAAATAGAGAAAACAATCCTAAAATTCCTATGGAAGTAAAAAAGAGCCTAAGGAGCCAAAGCAATCCTGAGCAAAAAGAACAAAACTGAAGGAATCACACTACACTACCCGACTTTAAAATATATTACAAGCCTACAGTGGCCAAAATAGGATGGTATTGGTTAAATTAAAATCATGTACTAACCAGGCTTTAAACCAAAAGTAAAAGTTGCTAACAGTGTAACATGTATTTAAAACCACTGATTTCTTTCACTGTCGCAATTTCCTCAGTTACAATTTTGCAAACACCGTCTCACAGCCAACAGATTTTTCACTAAGGTTCCAAGAACACACAACACATTATGGAAAAAACAACCATTTTGATAATTGGTATGTGAAAAACTGGATATCCACATGAAATGAAACTGGACCCCTATCTCTCACCGTATACAAAATTCAACTCAGGATGGATTAAAAACTTAAAACATAAGACCCAAACTATAAAACTACTAGAAGAAAACAAAGGGAGAACACTTTAGGACACAGATTTATGCAAAGATTTTATGGCTAAGACCTGAAACTCCAGAGGCGATATAAATAATGATAAATGCGACTATATTAAACTGCACAGTTCTGCACGGCAAAGGAAACAATCAACAGAATGAAGAGACAACCTGTTGAATGGAAGAAAGTATTTGCAAGCTACTCATCGCACAAGTGACTAATAATTCAGAATATATGAGAAACTCAACAGTTTAAAAAAAAATCCCATTAAAAAGTGGGCAAAAGGCCGGGCATGGTGGCTCATGCCTGTAATCCCAGAACTTTAGGAGGCCGAGGTGGGTGGATCATGAGGTCAAGAAATCAAGACCATTCTGGCCAACACGGTGAAACCCCATCTCTACTAAAAATACAAAAATTAGCTGGGCGTGGTGGCATGCACCTGTAATCCCAGCTACTCGGGAGGCTGAAGCAAGAGAACTGCTTGAACACGGGAGGCAGAGGTTGCAGTGAGCCGAGATCACGCCACTGCCCTCTAGCCTGGTGACAGAGCGAGACTTCGTCTCCAAAAAAAAAAAAAAAAAAAAAAGGTGGGCAAAAAAGTACATAAACACACACACACACACACACACACACACACACACACACACACGTGAGCAAAGGACATAAACAGACATTTCTCAAAAGACAACATACAAACAGCCAACACCGTATATGAAAAAAATGAGTCCAGGAGCAGCGGCCCATGCCTGTAATCCAAGCACTTCCAGAGGCCAAGTTAGGGAGATCACCTGCGCCCAGGAGTTTGAGGCCAGCCTGGGCAACATGGTGAAACCCCGTCTCTACAAAAAATACAAAAAATTAGCCGGATGTGGTGGTGGACAACTGTAGTCCCAGCTAATCAGGAGACTGAGGTGGGAGAATCACTTGAGCCTGAGTTGATGAGGCTGAAGTGACCTGTGATCGCACCACTGTACTCCAGCCTGGGCAACAGAGTGAGATCCTGTCTCAAAAGTGAAAAAGAAAATAAAATGCTCAACAACATGAATCATCAGGGAAATGTATATATCTTAACCACAACGAGATCTTACTCGAGTGAGAAAGGCTACTATTAAAAAGACAAAAAATAACAGATGCTGGTGAGGATGTAGAGAAAAGGGTACTCTCATATACTGTTGACGGGAATATAAATTAGTACAGTCATTAGGAAAAACAGTATGGGGACTTCTGAAAACACTAAAAATATAACTACCATATGGTTCATCAATCTCACTACTGGGTATTTATCCAAGGAAAAGATATCAGCACATCAAAGGGATACCTGCACCCCCATTTTATTGCAGCACTATTCACAATACCCAAGATATGGAATCAACCTGTCTATTAACAGATGAATAGGTGAAGAAAATGTAGAATATATACATAATAAAATACCATCAAGATTTTTCTTCATCTACTCAACTATTGGTAGATGAATAAATGGAGAAATGTGGAATTTATATACAAATTTTGTGTACCTTCTAAAATTTACATGGGGGAGGGAAAAGGAAATAGAATTGCTAAATAATTTTGAAAAAGAACAAAGAGTTGCACAGTTCACATTACCTGGTTTGAAGACTGCATATAAAGCTATCGTAAAGGTGCCACGCACAGTGGCTCATGCCTGTAATCCCAGCACTTTCAGAGGCCAAGGCAGGCAGATCACCTGAGGTCGAGAGGAGTTCGAGACCAGTCTGGCCAACATGGCAAAGCCTCGTCTCCATTAAAAATACAAAAAATTAGCAGGGACTGGTAGTGTGCGCACCTGCAGTCCCAGCTACTCAGGAGGCTGATGAAGGACAATCGCTTGAATCCGGGAGGTAGTGGTTATAGTGAGCCGAGACTGCACCACTGAACTCCAGCCAGGGAGACTGAGTGAGACTCCGTCTCCAAAAAAAAAAAAAAAAGGCTACAATAAAGGTATATGGCATCAAAAAAAACTAGACACACAGATGAATAAGAGAATAAAGTCCAGAAACAGATCCAAACAGAACTGACAATTGAATTTTTTTAAAAAATGTGCAAAGGTAATTCAAATGGAAATGGATAGTCTCTTCAACAAATGATACTTCGATAACTGAATGCCTGCAGGGAGAAAGTAAATAAATTCAATCCATACTATATACAAAAATTAGACTGAAATAAATCAGACTTACACGTATAAGGTAAAACTTTGTCCAAGAAAATATAATATTCGTGACCTTGGATTAAGCAAAGAATTCTTAGAAATGAGATCAAAAGCACAATCCATAAAACAAAAAATGTGGGCTGGGCTCAGTGGCTCATGCCTGTAATCCCAGCACTTTGGGAGGCTGAGGCAGATAGATCACCTGAGGTTGGGAGTTCGAGACCAGCCTAACCAACATGGAGAAACCCTGTGTCTACTAATAATACAAAATCAGTCAGGCTTGGTGGCGCATGCCTGCAATCCCAGCTACTTGGGAGGCTGAGGCAGGAGAATCGCTTGAACCTGGGAGGTGGAGGTTGCAGTGAGCGGAGATCACGCCATTGCACTCTAGCCTGGGCAACAAGAGTGAAACTCCATCACAAAAAAAAAAAAAAGTGATGTTAGATGCCATCAAAATTGGAAACGTTTTACTCTGTGAAAATCAATGTTAAAAAAAATGAAAACAAGCCACAGACTGTAAGGAAATACTTACAAATCACGTATTTCACAAAAGACTTGTATCAAGAATATATAAAACACTTTTGAAACTCAATAAAAGAAAATTAATTCAAAAATATGGGCAAAAGATTTGAACATGTACTTCACTAAAGAAGACATACAGGCAGCAAGTAAGCACATCAAAAGATATTAAAAATCATTAATAATTAGAGAAATACAAATAAAGACCACAATGAGCTACTACTACACATCTATTAGAAAGACTAAAATTTTTGGCCAGGTGCAGCGGCTCATGCCTGTAATCCCAGCACTTTGGGAGGCCAAGGCAAGCAGATCAGGAGGTCAGGAGATTGAGACCATCCTGACTAACATGGTGAAACCCCGTCTCTACTAAAAATACAAAAAATTAGCCGGGTGTGGTGGCGGATGCCTGTAGTCCTAGCTACTCAGGAGGCTGAGGCAGGAGAATGGCGTGAACCCAGGAGGCGGAGTTTACAGTGAGCCAAGATCGCGCCACTGAACTCCAGCCTGTGCAACAGAGGGAGACTCTGTCTCAAAAAAAAGAATGACTAAAATTTTTAAAACTGCCCAAAAGAATGGGAAGGATGCAAAGCAACTAACTCTGGATGCTAGTGGGAATGCAAAATGATAAACTACTTAAGAAAAGTAATTCCATACTTAGATATTCACCCATGTGAAATAACCTATATTTACACAAAAACCTGTACATGAATGTTTAAAGCAGTTTTATTTTTAATAGACAAAAGCTGGAAAAAACCCAGATGTCCCCAAAATGAAGTGGGACAAACTGTAGCAGATAATATAATGAAATACTTCTCAGCAATAAACAAACTGTTGATATATGCAACAATAAAGATGAATTTCTAATGTTTTAGTATAATTAAAAGAAGCCTGACTCAACTCTATACACTGTATAATTCTATTCATGCGACACCCAAGAAAAAGACAAGAAAATCTAATGTTCAGAGTTGAGAAAAAAAGACAGATGAAGGTTTCACTACAAAGAAATGGTAGCAAAAGTAATTTTATAGGGGAGTGATTGCACTGTTCTATGTCTTAATCGTCGAAATGGTTACAAGACTGCATTTGTCCTAATTTATAAATTTTTAAAAGTAAGTAAATTTTACTCTAATTAAAAACAAATTAAATGCATAAGTAGAGAATTTATATAAAAAAGTTAAAAAGTGGGAATCAGCATGACTTAAAAAAAACCCATGCCACTCCCTTCTCCCAAAGGCAATGATGATATATATACAGAGAGATTATACTATACATTCTAAATCTCACGTGCCTTTTATGTTAAAGGGTAGAAGAATGAGACAATAATCTCGAACAGAGGCTATATCCTAACACACTGTGGGCCGAAGATTACTGAACTTATACCCCATTATCACAGCACAAATTAGTCCCTGAACAGTATTTCCTAAGAGATAAAAAAGAACAGCCTTGTTAGTTCTCTGACATATTCACCTCCACCTCTCCTTTTTTATTTTTTGCTTTAAAAAGGCAAATATAGGAGTAAAAGTAGGGGTGAGAAAGCAGCTATAGAAACGCTGCCAACTTGAGATTAAAGACATGTGGTGTGCACACAACAAATCAGATGATATACAACGGGCAATGTAGCGAATTTGGTTGAAAGAGAAAGCATTAACAGAATAGTATTCCCTAAATGAAACTGTGGTAAATCTTGGGTCCCAGAAAAGTTTAGGATATGGAATCTTATTTACAAGCTCAGAAACATTCGTTTCCAGGGAAATGTTAGAAAGAATATTTCTATTTTGTAGAGAAGAGAAACTAATAATACAATAGGCACAGAGCATTAGGTATGTCTTGTGATATACTTCCTTAGATTCAGCAAAAAAAAAAAGTATAAAATTTAAAAAAGGAAAGTAACAACTGGTATACAAACTACATCTCAGTTTCATAGAAATTTTCATTTTTTATACCTTCATATCACAGCCACGTTCAAGAAGAACTGGTTTTTGGTTTTTTTTTTTTTTTTTGAGACAGGGTCTCACTCTCGTTGTCTAAGCTGGAGTTAAGTGTCACAATCATGACTGAAGAAAGCTTTTCTAAGACTATTTACATGTATATATTTTTTCAGTAACACTCTATTTTGACAAATTAATGGATTGAATTTTTCCTATCAAACCCTATTAATAATTGTTTTGATCTCTTCATTCTTACTGGATCCACTATAGTGCTTACATTTAATAAATAACCACAGTCTTCAAACAAAAGTAACTATTATTTATTGAACTGATCTTTATTTTATTTTATTTTATTTGAGACAGAGTTTCGCTCTTGTCGCCCAGGCTGGAGTGCAATGGCACAATCTCAGCTCACTACAACCTCCGCCTCCCAGGTTCAAGCAATTCTCCTGCCTCAGCCCCCCGGATAGCTGGGATTACAGGCATGTGCCACCACACCCGGCTTATTTTGTATTTTCAGTAGAGACGGAGTTTCTCCTTGTTGGCCAGGCTGGTCTTGAACTCCTGACCTCAGGTGATCTGTCTGCCTCGGCCTCCCAAAGTGTTGGGATTACAGGTGTGAGCCACTGTGCCTGGCCTATTTATTTTGATCTGACCTTTTTATTTATTGTATTTTTGAACAGGATCTCACTCTTGTCACCCAGGCTGGAGTACAGTGGCACAATCACGGTTCATTGCAGCCTCAAATTCCTGGGCTCAAACAATCCTCCCACCTCAGCTGTCCAAGTAGGTGGGATACAGTCATGTGCCACCACACCCAGGTAAGTTTTTTATTTTTTTCTAGACACAAGGTCCTACTATGTTGCCCAAGCTGGTCTTCAACTCTGAGGCTCAAGCAATCCTCCTGCCTTGGCCTCCCAAAATGTTGGGATTATACAGGCATGAACCACAGTGTCTGGCTTGATCTTTTAACCAATGTTTCATCACCATAAGAGAGTGAAAGTTACAAATAATTAAAGTTCATAAATAATTATTCAGCAATTTAGTCTCTTAATGTGTAACTTTGGAATATCAAAATGCTATTTTGAAAATAACCTAATTGTTCTTTTTAAAATTTTTAACCTTTTGTTACAGAGACAGTAACAGCAGATTTCCAGGTACTCATCATCCAGCTTCAACAATTCTCAACTCATGGCAAACCTTGTGTTAACTGAAAGAAGTATTAATTCTCTAAAACTATCCATTATTTAACAGGCAGTATTCAAGTTTCCCAGGTTGGGTTGTTTGTTTTTCTTGTTTTTACAGTTTGTTCAAGTTAAGATCTAAATAAGGTCCACATATTGCAACTGTTTGATATGACTTTTTTTTTCTTGCTTCCCCAGGTCACCCAACCATATATGACTCTTAAATCTATTATTTATAGGTTCCTCTTGCTTTTTCCCCTTGGTTAAAGAAATAAAGTCATTTCTCCCATACAGCCTTCAATTACCTGTATTTTACTATTCTGTGGCATTTTAAAATATGTTTCTCCATTCTTGTATTTCCAGTAATTGTTTAACTGGAGTATTAATCAAATTCAAGGTTGATAATTAGAAAAGACTACCTCATACATAATACGGTATTCTTCATCAAGAGGCACATATGTGTTGTCTGATTATATTTTTATGTAACAGCAGCCAATGATAATTGTCTAAATCTAGTAATTCACTGAGATTTGCAAATAATGATATTCTAACTATAATTGCTTCATCATTTACTATCTGAAAAAAAATTTTTTTTTTTTTTTTGAGACAGACTCTCACTCTGTCACCCAAGCTGGAGGGCAGTGGCGCAATCTCGGCTCACTGCAACCTCCACCTCCCAGGTTCGAGCGATTCTCATGCCTCAGCCACCTGAGTAACCTGGGATTACAGGCGTGTGCCATCACATCCAGCTAATTTTTGTATTTTTAGTAGAGACAGGGTTTCACCATGTTGGCCAGGCTGGTCTCGAACTCCTAGCCTCAAGTGTGATTCACATGCTTTGGCCTCCCAAAGTGCTGGCATTACACGTGGGAGCCACCGCTCCTGGCCACTGGAATATATTTTAAGTGAGAATTCCCTCATCAAACCTTTCGCTTCTTGGAGGTTGTTTCTAAAAAGAAGAATAAATCCTTGATTTTTATGAGTTTTGAAATCGGTTGGTATCCTGACTTCCCTGAACAGTAAACAATAGATGTTTTTTAGGGAAAGCATCATAAACTTTCCGGATTTAAATAAATGTGATACGTATCAAATCACTGCAGTTGTTATTCTTACTGATGTCAAATTTTCCATCCTTGGTCAGTGAGACAATCTTCAAGGTAGCTCCTAAGTCTTTTAGATACAACCTTAGTAATCTCTTAATAGCTTCTTTGATTCTGGTATTACAAAATATCCCAGGATCATCTTGTCCATTTCCTGCCCCAGACCTGAAATCAACCATATATCCAAGGAACCCTGGTACTTTTCTGCGGGAAACAGTGTTCAGAAACAACAATCAGAGTGCTAGGGGTGCTCATTACTCCTGATTTGGTCACCTTTTCTAGGCCTTTTTACAGTGGTCAGAATTAGTATACTGACACTTTCAAATAAAATTCTACACTGTTTTTCAACCTCCTTGATCTTTTATTTCTCTTATACTGAAAATCTTGTTATGCAACAACATAAACTCATTTACTTTGTCACACAATATATATACAACAGTCTAGAAATAATAATACTAACACTATGATTAAATGGTTTTTATTCCATTCTTTTTGTACAAAGGTATAACCCCCAGGCATATATAATTAAATCACTATGTTAAAAACTCTTAAAATAGTTTCTTCCTATGGTTATGCCACTTAGGCTTCTGTTTCATTTTGCTTTTCCTTTTAGGATTTTTTTTTTTAATGACAAAAACTTCTTTTGGGATTATGTAAAATATTGACATACTTGATTCAAAGTCACATCTAGAAAACAAGGTATATTCGGAGAATTCTAGCTAGTCCTTCTATACCTGTTCCCTATAATAAATTAGTTTTGGGTTAATTCCATTTTTTAAAAAAAAATAAAAGTAGAAACATAGATATACACATGAACACATACTCAAATATATTTACTTAAATAAAAAGCCTACTTTACTCACTGTTCTGTATCTTATTATTTTACTTAACAAAATGTACAGTAGCAATCACAGCTTAAAAGGTATTGTTTTTGATTTTTATACCTACATAATATCCCACTTGGGGCATGAACCATTTTATTCAATCAGAACCCTAACAGATGGATATTTGGGTTGTTTCAATCTTTTGCTACTCTAAATAATGCTGCAATGAATATATCCTTGTGCATATGTCATTTTGTATTTTTGCCATTCTATCTTTAAGGCATACTCCTAAGGTAGGATTTCCTAGATCAAAGATGATGTTGACAAAACCCCATTATAGGAGGTTATACCACTCTGCATTCCAATAAACAACATGTGAGTGTGTCCATTCCTCTCCTCTAGAGTCTCACCAATTGGGTGTGTTGTCCATTGAGGGAAGAGAAGCCAAGTGAGGGACTACCTTATAGGTGAACATTGTTAACTCAGTGTAGTTTGGTTCATTTTTTCCCGCTTATTTTCTAGTTCATTGATTTCTGCTCTTTATTTCCTGCCTTGTTCTTGAGTTTACTTTGTTCTTTTCTGCCTTTCCCCCGGCCCCGAGATGGAGTCCTGCTCTGTCGCTCAAACTGGAGTGCCATGGCACAACCTTGGCTCACTGCAACCTCTGCCTTCCAGGTTCAAGCAATTCTCCTGCCTCAGCCTCCCGAGTAGCTGAGATTACAGATGCAACCACCACACCCGGCTGATTTTTGTACTTTTAGTAGAGACGGGGTTTCACTATGTTTTTCACCATGTTGGCCAGGCTGGTCTCCAACTCCTGACCTTGCAATCCACCCACCTTCGCCTCCCAAAGTGCTGGGATTAAAGGTGTAAGCCACCACATCCAGCCCTTTTTGTTGTTGTTGTTTTTGTTTTGAGGCAAAGTTTCACTTTTGTCACCAGGCTGGAGTGCACTGCAACCTCCGCCTCCCGGGTTCAAGCAGTTCTCCCTTCAGCCTCCTGAGTAGCTGGATTTACAGGTGCCCTCCACCACACCCGGCTAATTTTTGTATTTTTAGTAGAGACGAAGTTTCGCCATGTTGGCCAGGCTGGTCTCAAACTCTTCACCTCAGGTGATTCACCCGCCTCGGCCTCCCAAAGTGCTGGGACTACAGGCGTGAGCCACTGCACCCGGCCTCGTTTCCTCTCTTGCGGTAGAACTTCAGGTCAATTTTTTTTTAACCTCTATTCTTTTCTATTATAAGCATGTGAAGATGCACATTTCTCTCTAATTCCAGTTGAAGATGCACTGGCATATTCTAATTTGCTTTATTTTCATTATAATTCAGTTCAAAAAGACTTAATATTCCTTGTGATTACTTTGGCCAACAGGTTGTCGAAAATTGTTGTGTTTAATGTAAAAATATTTGGGTTTCTTTTTAGATACTGTACTTTTTGTTTTTGCTTGTAGAGCAGGATCTCACGGTATTGCCCAGGCTGGTCTCGAACTCTTGGCTTCATGCAATCCCCCCACCTAGGCCTCTTGTATTGTTACTGATTTCAAATTTAATTCCATTTTGGTCCGAGAATATACCCTTGTATTAATTCTGTCTGTTTCAATGTATTTAGGATTGTTTCATGGCCCAGCATATGGTCTCTCCTGATGAACATACCACCACGTACACTTGAAAAGAGTGTGCATTATGAAGCTTTGGGGATTGTTTTATAAATATCTCCTATATTCTGAATGTTTGTGTCCCCCACTAAAATTCGTATGTGGAAACCTAGTCATCATTGGGATGGTATGAAGAAGTGGGGCGTTCAGGAGTTGACTAACACATGAAAGCAGAGCCTTCATGTATAGAATTAATACCCTAATAAAAGAGGACCCAGCAGGGCACAGTAGCTCACGCCTGTAATCCCAACACTTTGGGAGGCCGAGGCAGGCAGATCACCTGAGGTCGGGAGTTCGAGATCAGCCTGACCAACATGGAGAAACCCCATCTCTACTAAAAATACAAAATTAGCCAGGCGTGGTGGTGCATGCCTGTAATGTCAGCTACTCGGGAAGCTGAGGAAAGAGAATCGCTTGAACCTGGGAGGCAGAGTTTGCAATGAGCCCAGATAGCGCCATTGCACTCCAGCCTGGGCAACAAGAGCAAACTCCGTCTCAAAAAAAAAGAAAAAAAAACAAAAAAAGTGGGCAGGGGATTGTTTTCAAAAGCAAACATACAAAGGGCTAAAAAATGGTCAAAATTCATGAAAAAAATGCTCAATATCACAAATCATCAGAGAAATAAAAAATTAAAACCATAATTTACATATAAAATGAGAAAGTAAGTACATTTACGAAGAATACTTGTAACATTTCGTTAAAATAAACTTTCCACTTTCCCTTTTCTTTTTAAAAATTGTTAGTCCTTTGTGTTGAGTGAATAAATGAAATTGTGACTGTGTAAATGAGCAGAAGCTTAATACCTGATGATATGTAACACTCATCTGAACAGGATGTTTTTAGGAATATCATAATGCCTTATCCCCATTCCCAAAAGCTGTGCAGTCAAGTAGCTGTTTTCTTCATGCCACTTTGGGATAGAAAAATGTGATAATAAACCAACATTTCTGCACTTTAATTCCCTATCATGTTGCACTAAAGTATAAAATAGCCTCCAGAGCCCCAGCTTTAAGCTAGGAAGAGTCCCTGTAACTACAACCATATAATAAACATACTAGAAATTAGACTTCTGTTAGATTCTCACCACTCGATTTACTTTTTAGCAGTTTAATGGGTATATTTTTAAATCTTCCTTTTTGTGTGTGGAATAACATGTTAAAAACCTCAAAAAAGATGTCAAATCATGCCCCTTATTTTAAAATTTAGCATTCCAGGGTACTAGAATAAAATCTAAACTCTTTATGCTAGTTAAGTCCCTGAAGATCTGGTTTCTGCAGACTCCTCTGACCTTGCTAACAACCACTTGTCCCTTACTCTACGGATCAGTATGGTAATCTTCTTCCTATTCCTAAAACATACCAAGCTCATTTTTCCATCACGGTAGAAGGAAAGCATGATTGAAATAATGTTTGAAACCAAAAGAAAGTTAAGGAAAAACTGAGACGGACAGACCACTCTCTGGATCTCTGCTTTTATTTTCTTAAGAGAAAGAGGTTAGTGTCAGCAAGCTGGAAATTTAAGTGTCACCAGGAAAGCCAAGGGATGCCCAAAGCTAGTATAAGTCATCCTACCACTCAAATGTACATTACTTATCCAAACTGTGTAACTTTTTAAAACTTCAGAAACAAACTTCCAAAGTACATTCCAGATAAGTACCAATTTAGTAAGACTGACAATGAATAAAGAGTACTTATAATATTTCTAAAATCTAATAAAGGTGGTACTTAAAATCACTTAAGGTCTTCACATCAGATGATCAAGTTACATAGGTAATACCATATAAGAGCTTGTGAAATGACATATTCAATGTTCTTTGGAATTAGAACCAGAGACATTGAACACAATGTCTTTGAGCCTTAGTTTTCAAGTTAGTCAAAATTAATAGTATTTCAGAGGGCTGTTTTAAGGATTAAGCATGACAACAAAAGGACTTAACAAAGTAACCAACAGACCTTAAGTGCGAACGCTGTTTAAGCATTGGTTTTCCTTTCTTTTTTCCAACTTAAAAGAATGATGTACAGGCCAGGCGCAGTGGCTCACACCTGTAATCCCACCACTTTGGGAGGCCAAGGCAGGCGGATCACAAGGTCAGGAGTTTGAGATCAACCTGGCCAATATGGTGAAACCCCATCTCTACTAAAAAATACAAAAAGGCCGGGCGTGGTGGCTCACGCCTGTAATTCCAGCACTTTGGGAAGCTGAGGCAGGAGAATCATTTGAACCTAGGAGGCGGAGGTTGCAGTGAGCCGAGATTGCGCCACTGCACTCCAGCCTGGGCGATAGAGTGAGACTCTTGTCTCAAAAAAAACAACAACAAAAAACACAAAAATTAGCCTGGTATGGTGGCACGCACCTGTAGTCCCAGCTACTCAGGAGACTGAGGCAGGAGAATCGCTGTAGCTCAGGAGGCAGAGGTTGCAGTGAGCTGAAATTGCACCACTGCACTCCAGCCTGGGCAACAGAGCAAGACTCCATCTCAAAAAAAAAAAGTGAATGATGTACTTCATAAAGACTAGAGAGACAATATTTGGACAGATATTTGTCACCATGATCAAGACTGCACTGTAATGAAACGTTAAAAAGAGTAAGGACACATAAAATGCAGTTATTTAGAGAAACAGCAAATTTGATTTTAGGAAGAACCAACAGATAAATTGGCCAGTCTCATTTCAAAACAAACGAGACCAAAAAAAGCAGAGAGAGAAAAGATATACGACACACTAATATTTTTAATCTTGGCTTTTTATATTCCAGTAGTGGAACCACATGCTAATTTTTTTTTCTTTTTAAACAGATAGGGCCTTGCTATGTTGCCCAGGCAGGCCTTAAACTCCTGAACTCCGGGGGATCCTTGTGCCTCAGCCTCCTGAGTAGCTGAATAACTATAGCTACGTGCTAGCATACCCAGTAAGTATTAAGATATATTTGAGATTTTAACATGAAGAAGTAAAAATTATCTCTTAATATGAAAAAAGAAGAAAAATGAAATTTATGATTGGAATATAGTAACACGTCTGTATAATTTATCTTTTCAAAAACAGATCTGAACAAGAAAGGTTACTGAGTAGCAGAGATGTAAAACATCTAAAATCCATAAAGCCAAGGGTGACAACATAGTAATTAGGGAAGGAGGATAAAGAGAAGCAATTATTAACTTATAAATATGTAACAAAAATTGGTCATATAAAGAATGTTTTAACATTAAATTTTAAAATGAAACAAAAGCAGTACATGGGGTGAAAAGAAATAGCAACTACCTTAACACTTGTTCTAAGTCCATTTTCTGAAGAAATTCAATCCAAAAAGTAGGAGTCTTTGCTATTTACCAGCTGCAATGTTTAAGGATCAACATGATACAATTAGTTCTTGCTCCCAAGGATAACTACAATTATATTTCAAACAGAGTGCAAGGATAAATATGTGAATAGCAATCCTTATAAAAATACTACCATCATATAACTTTTTAAATTTAAGAAGTTTATACAACACATGTATGTACATTCTCTCACTTCATTTTTAGCACCTCAATTCTCTCAATTAAATCCTATAAAGTAGGTATTAAATATGTTTTTCAGATGAGAACTCAAGACCCAAAAAGATTAAGTGATTTATCTGTTACACAGCTAATACATGGGAGAGTCAGAATTCAAACCTGAGTCTACTTTAATACCACATGTAGATTTTTTTTTTTTTTTTTTTTTTGAGATGGAGTCTTGCTCTGTTGTCCATGCTGGAGTACAGTGGCATGATCTCAGCTCACTGCAACCTCTGCCTCCAAAGCTCAAGCGATTCTCATGCCTCAGCCTCCCAAGTAGCTGGGATTACAGGTGTGCGCCACCAAGCTCAGCTAATTTTTTTGTATTTTTAATACAGACGACGTTTCACCACGTTGGCCAGGCTGGTCTCAAACTTCTGGGCTTGAGTGATCCACCCACCTCAGTCTCCCAAAGTGCGGGGATTACAGGCATGAGCCACAGCGCCCAGCCCCACATGTACATTTAAAAGGAAACAGTACTTGACAATATGGATGGGAGACAAAAAAGCAAAAGATGTATTTTTTAATTCTATAGATGTCAATAATTCTAATAAGAAAATGCAGCAGACATTTCCTGTGAAAGTAGTAACTCTAGTAGTAAAAAGTAATATCAATATTTGATTTCTCAGGGCCTGACATACATTAGGAACTTACTGTCAGTGGACTGAATAAATGAAGGGGATGAGTAAAACAATGAGGCTACATAGTTTCTGGTGTCCAATTTTTAAAGGACATATATATAACAGGAGAGAAACAAATATGCATATATACAGATTAATATCATCAATCTTATAAGAACGTTATCAGAACAAACTACATTTTATAAGTAATACAAAGGAAAACCAAACAAGCCCATTGCCTGCATAAATTCAGGAGGCTAAACTAAGAAGAAACAAGAATATTACATGGGAAAGATGGTGTAATATTAACAGATGCAGACAAAATAAACAACTACTCACACCTCCTGCTTTGTATCCATCTTCTCCACTAAGGAGAATTGAATAAAAAACTGGAAAAGGTAGAAGAAACATAGTTAAAAAGTAAATGAAGAGCAAATAAGAAGACAGAGAATATCTAGTCACTTTTAAATTTAGTTTTTTTCTGTGGAGCTTAACTAATCACAGGTCGGAATTAGGCATGTATGCATCTCCAATGTGTGGAAAACAATACTGGAAGAGAACAGTTTCTAATAAGCAATTTTGGACATGAAGAAAAACGTTTCCTAGAAAATATGTATCAAACAATCACAGAAGTTTCAAGTGTAAAAGTTTAATAATCCATCAATATGTGTCCATATCAAAGTCCAGAAGTTTTTATTTGTAAGATGGTTTAAAGGCATAAAAAAAGAAAAAAGGCTACACCAAGAGGTAATTTTATTTCCCTACAAGTGATGTTAAATTTTTATTATCAATAAATTTCTTCTTTTTAGGTAGGCTAGTATAACTAATCCAACACTAGATTTTTTTTTAAGCAAAATAGTATGGGAAAATATCCTGAAAATATTCTTAGGAATAAAATAAAAAAATAAAAACTCAATAATACAGCACAAGCAGGTACTGATAGCTGGAATAAACAACCATAACTTATAATATTAACCAAGAACTAAAGTAAAATTGATAAAATGTCTTCAAATATATTCCACAGGGCTCTATCATTACACTTCAGTCAAGACACTTACAAAAGTCAAATTGTGAAATGAATGTAGGACTCAAAGAATAATAATTAACATGCTGGATGATGAGGATTGTAAGGTTTCAACAGATTGAAAAGATGGGTAAAATAAACTAATTTTAAAATAACAGCAAAACCAGTGGTAGCTAACTTAGTGGAAAAAAAAAGAAGCTTAATCTAAAGCCAAATATTAGGGAAAGCTGATTAATATGCTAAATTACCAAAGATAAGCTATGCCCCAAAGGTTCAAAAATTGAGTAGGGGTAAAGTAGGGCTAACAGGAAGACTGACCATAGTCTACTGAAGCAGCAGCTAGACTCTCAGATTTCTCCCTGACTCTAGCCTAGCAACTGTCTCCTTTCCCATTATGGTACGAAAAAAAGGTTTATTTCTTAGAAAAGGTTATGAAAGGGTCCCTGGACCAAGAAGCATATTAAAACAGGTTGAGGGCAGAGATTACCATTGAAACAGAAGAAGGATTAAGTGAAAGCTGACATAATGAAATATGTCTAGGACTAGACCCTCCTTTCATCCTCAGTCTTCTTTCCTCATAGGGCATAACTCTGAAAGCCAGATAAAGCACTGACAGATTTCTTTGGAAACCTAACCACTTTAAAAAAATCTAAATATACAGACATTAGGTATTCCCCTATGGAAATGAGCAGATCTCAAATAGATAAGATGACATCCAACAAAGTCCACCCACATGCTCAGAGTTTCCAATGTACTTTTTTAGTGTTACTCTATTACATACAAGTAGTCTGAAAGAATTGTCAGGAATTTCATTTGAAGAAAACATTAGACATAAAATACAGAGACTAAAATATACATAGGGAAAAATGACAGGAAGAAAATAGACCAAAGAGAAGAAAACAAAACATTAAAAAAAAAAAGAATATTCTGAATGAGGTAAGAGGAAAATACCATAATCAAAAGCAAAAGGATGCTATCAAAATACAACAATCTGGAGAAACAAACAAAAAAAAAAACAGAAAAAAATCTTTAGCAAATTAAATTATGATAGCAGAAATAAAAAATACAATAGGTTTAGAAAAGGAAGCTGAAAATTTTTCCAAGTAGAACATAAAGGATATAGGAGACAAAGGGAAAAACAGAATCAGTGTGGTTCAATATCCCAACACAAGTTTCAGAAAAGAGAAACGTAACAGAGAAAAAAGAGAATCTTAGAAACAATTCAGAAAAACTTTTCAGAACTAACACTCATAAATTTCAAAACTGAAAAGCAACTCCTCAAAAGCTAAGCACAACAGATAAAAATCACCTGGTGCAGTGGCTCATGCCTGTAATCCCAGCACTATGGGAGGCCGAGGCAGGTGGATCACGAGGTCAGGAGATCAAGACCATCCTGGCTAACACGGTGAAACCCCCTCTCTACTAAAAATACAAAAAATTAGCTGGGCGTGGAGGCGGGCGCCTGTAATCCCAGTTATTCGGAAGGCTGAGGCAGGAGAATCACTTGAACCTGGGAGGCGAAGGTTGCAGTAAGCCGAGATCGCGCCATTGCACTCCAGCCTGGGCCACAGGAGCAAAACTGTCTCAGAAAAAAAAAACAGATAAAAATCAATGTACATCTAGGAAAGTTATTGTGAAATTTCCAAGCAGAGACACAAGAAAAGATCCCACAAGTTTCTTTTATATAAAAGATCAAAAACCAGAACAACATCTGACTTTTTAAAAGCAAATTCAGAATCTGGAAGTCACTGATTAATGCTTCCCAAATTCTGAGGAAAAATCATTTCTAATTTTTCATCTAGAATTCTATATCCAGTCAGGTCTGAGTCAAGTTTGAGAGTAGAATTAAGATATTTTCAGATGAACGGGCCATCAAGTATATCCTAAATGTAGGGTGGTTTTTTTTTTTTTAAAGGAGTAAGATATACTCCATCGATACAAGAGAATAAACTAAGACAAGAAATCCACGAAAAGAATCCAGCAAAAGTGAGTCAAGGAAATCACCAAGATGATAGTCACATAAAATCAAGAGGCCTGGAGGGCCAGTACAGATATAAAGGCCTGAGGAAAGATTTCATAAAGAAGATAAAATTGACAGGATACCTAATATACAAACCTGAATGTACTGAAATGATTTTACGTAACTTAGGGAGTATCTGATTAATCAGTGGCAAGTACATATCATTAATTCCAAAAAAATAGTATTTTCCAAGAAATTAAAAGTCAACATATACTAAGTAGCTAACCAAAAATTGTGTTGACATTTTAGAAATAAAACTTTTAAATGTTTACTTTAATGTTCTCTCTTAAGTCTCATGCAGGTTAATTTCTCAAATTACTAATGTTTAATAAGTACTACCATTTCAAAAGCACAGTCATTACAAACCACTCGTAATTGACATCTTACTACATACATAAAACAACTTCCATACACAGAAAATTCTGGGAGGGATGGAACTGGCAACCAAAATGAGTGACTGAGGCCACAGTCTCAACCAATCAAGGTTTATTAAGCCAGCTTTAGGGCCCATCCAGGAAAAACCAACACATATGTAACTGTTTTTCCAAAGAGATTTTCAGGAGGTTTCCTATTTATGTGTTTCCTTAAAGCGGGGCAGGCATGTAGGAAGAGGGACAGGTAGGCAGTAACGTGAATGGTTAAATTCCTGTGAGATTTTAATTGGTATCTAGTAAAAACTATATTTTACATAATATTAGGTGAATGAAGGAAAAACAGAGTAAAGGAAAAATCAATTCTGCAGACATCTCTGGGTCAGTGGAAGAATGACTATTCTTGTCTCTGTTCTGCATCTGAGAAGGTAAGATTGTAAATGACATTATCAGTGTGGCACAGAACAGACCTTAGTTTTAGGAGCTTCACTTAGATTGTACACCTAAAGTTACAACTGGCATGTATCTGTTTGTGGGAGACCAGCGAAGCATTTGCTTTTCAGTGATCTGTAGGGGAAGTCTTTCATAGATGCCTGAGGTCTTTTACTTTTACATGAGGATCTGGTTAAGGCATAATGTTAGTAACAGCTACTCACTTGAAAGAGTGTGTTGCATGACTCAGACTCCAGGATTAACTTTCCTTTTGCATAAGGAGTCTGGGGGTCCTGGGATTTTTAATTTCCTTTACAGAATCAAGTCTAGGCTGCTCAGCCACACAGTACCTGGCACAGAGGAAGTAATAAATATATATTTGAATAAATGAAAAGATCATATAAGGAAGTGTCTTCTCTAGATGTATTAAAAGATCTCACTGCCCCTTCCTAAATGCCAGGAAGCACTGTCGAATATCTATCACAGAAAACTAACGACAAGCAGACCCTAGGTATTCCTACTTTAAAATATTGTAACCATTTATAAATGACCCCACAATACATACAGTGACATATAACATATTATTTCACCAAGGCACAAATTTAATCACATATATTGCATGGCTTTTGTGTACAGGAAATAGTTGGTGAACTATTCATCCACAGTTCAAAACATCTATGGATTTCTCCTAAATCTCATCTTTTTGTGATCTCTACTTAGTCTAACATGATCTACTATTTCTAAAGTTAACAAAATGTAACAGAAAAGGTTACTGTTAATACTGTGAAGGAAATGAAGAGTGAGTGAGGTGAAAGAAAGTGATAATATCTATAAATGTCAGGACCACTGCTAATACCAAGCTGTCATATGAAGAACTGGAAAAACCTTCCATAAGAATCCAGAGACATAATTATTAATGACAGAGCCAGGACCAGAAATCAGTCCTAACTTCTAAGCAAATAAACTTTCCAGCATACCTTATTACCCTTTCCTTGAGTTAGCATCTTCTTTTTAAAGACAAAAAATATACTGAGCCCAAACCAGTAATTTTATGTATGTTTTTATTATATATTTTATTATAATACTCTATTTTGGTTTTCATAATACCCCACACTACACTAACTGTTCCAAATTACTTCTTTCTAGGCCCAAGAGAACTCCAGAGCTCTAATGGAGAAAAGTAGATAAGAGCCGTATCTTCCAACAGCAAACAATCCTAAGCATTTTCAGGTCTTAAGCACTAATCAACTTTCAGTCAACATTAAAACTACTTTTCACTGTTGAAACCATGGAGAAAGACAAGTAAATCTTGTTACTAATCAGTCTATGTCCCATTTAATGAAGAAGTTTTGGACTTTTGGTCCTCAGAGCAATGAAAGAATAAACTTCTGTTGTTTCCATCCACCAAATTTGTTGTGATGTTATGGCAGCCCTAGGAATCTAATATATTAAGTTTCACAGATATTATACTGAGTGTAAAAAGCCACTGAATGATTCCAGTTATATTAAGTTCAACAACAGGAAAATCTCATCTTTGGTGATAGAACTGAGATCAGTGGAACAGAGGGGCGGTATAGACTGGGTAGAGGTACCAGGTTAACTACAGTGAGTGAGAAACATGGTAGTTACATGAGTAGATACAAATGTGTCACTGATTTTTTTTTTTTTTTTTTTTTTTGAGACGGAGTCTCGCTCTTGTCACCCAGGCTGGAGTAGGTGGCCCAATCTTGGCTCACTGCAACCTCCGCCTCCCGGGGTCAAGCGATTCTCCTGCCTCAGCCTCCTGAATAGCTGGGATTACAGGTGCCCACCACCATGTCCGGCTAATTTTTGTACTTTTAGTAGAAACGAGTTTTCACCATGTTGGTCAGGCTGGTCTCGAACTCCTGACCTCAGGTGATCCGCCTGCCTGGGCCTCCCAGAGTGCTGGGATTACAGGCGTGAGCCACCACACTCGGCCTGATTTTTTTTTTTTTTTTTTTGAGGCGGAGTGTTACTCTGTTGTCCAGGCTGGAGTGCAGTGGCACAACTTTGGCTCACTGTAACCTCCAACTCCTGGGTTCAAGTGATTCTCCTGCCTCAGCCTCCTAAGTAGCTGGGACTACAGGTGCGTGCCACCATGCCCAGCTAAGTTTTTGTATTTTTAGTAGAGACAGGGTTTCACCATGTTAGCCAGTATGGCCTCGATCTCCTGACCTCATGATCCCACCTACCTTGGCCTCCCAAAGTGCTGGGATTACAGGCGTAAGCCACAGCGCCTGGCCCAATTTTTTTTTTTTTTTTTTTTTTTAAATAGAGACAAGATCTTGGCCATGTTGCCCAGACTGCTCTTGAACTCCTGAGAACTCCTGAGCTCCAGCTATTTGCCCACCTCAGCCTCCCAAAGTGCTGGGATTACAGGCTTGAACCACCATGCCCAGCCAAAAATGTGTTTTTTAAAAACATGAAGAGCTATGTACAACTGACCCTGGAACAATTCAGGGGTTGGGACTGAGGACAGCCCGCCCAGTCGAAAAGCTGAATGTAATTTTTGACTCCCCATAAAATTAACTGGTAATAGCCTACTGTTGACCGGAAGTCTTAACAATGACATAAAGTCAATTAACAAATATTTTGTATGTCTATTATATACTGTATTCTTACAGTAAAGTAAGCTAGAGAAGTTATTATGAGCAAGAGAAAATACATTTACAGTACTGTACTTATTGATTCCTAAATTTCTGTTCTATGGTATCATTCGAAGTTTGCGAGATTGCACTAAACAACATTAAAAATTATGCAAGGACTGCGAGAGATCATTTCTTATTGCAATATGGTATTTAGTGGAGAGGTCAACTACTCACATGGAGATGTCAGCATCACACTGAGTTTTAAGCAGACATTCGCAACATTTGAGTTCAACACAGTAAAAACAGGAGGTGGCTAAAAACCTATCACAGCATGTACTAAAGTTAATTTTATGTAGTTATGAGTTAATACTGCATCTTTATGTTTGTTTATATTTCTCTCTACTGTAAATAGTGCCATGTCACGTCTCTGTGTGGGTAAAGTTCTGATATTTTAACTTTTTAAATAGATTTGTGTATATTTTATGGTAGCAAATGATAAAACTAAGATGTACATATATTTTATGCATTTATGACATACCTAACATTTTCTAAATTTTTAAAAATATTTCTAGGCTACATGGTTCATCTATGAGTTTTTTCAAATTGCTGCAAATCTCTAAAATATTTTGCAATATATTTATTTAAAAGTATCTGCATATAAATTGACTCTCAAAGTTCAAACCCACATTGTTCAAGTGTCAACTGCACAGAAGAATAGTGTATACGAGGGATGATATTGATTTAATTAAAATAAATAAGAAAAAGCCGAAACACAAAAATAGAGTATATCAAAACAATACCACAAAGTAGTTGCTAAATAAATTCCTATTGAAAGACTAAGCAGTTCAGTGTTACCTTAAGACAAGCCATTTTAATCAGGCAGACAAAGATATACAACACAATTTATAAATTTTAGAATGGTCTCATCTACAAAAGCGTATGTATATGTGTGTTATCTCTTAAAGAGGTAACAGGAAAAGAGGTCAAAGACAAGCAACCTTCATTATTTTGATGAGACAGAACTGTTTGGACTTTACCTGGTCTGCTGTTGAGTATCAAAAGAGGTTATTACTCTCTTTATGTTTTGCTACCTTAAATATATGGTATTCATGATAAATTTACCTCTGTTAAATAACATTCTTAAAATTTATGACATATTATAGTTTAATATGTGTAGATTTTAAGACAGGTTTTCTGAGCAGAATTACAAAATAGAGACATAATCTCATATTGGAGGAAAATTGTGGGCAACTACTGGGAAGGAGGAAGTCTTAGATTTATTCAGTAAAATAGTTTGCTAAACTTCTTTCTGGTGGGGGAAAGATTCTTCATAGCTATCTTATGCTGCCAGGTAACTTTTCTTCCGTTTAGCTGAGACAAAAAACGGTTATCAAGCGATAAGATAATGAAAAAGTATTTTTTTCCTTGATAAGAAATACTAGAAATCTAAATAAAGCAAATATTTTAACTTTAGGAAGTATTTTAACTTTTCTCCCTGGATTTTTCTGTCAATTCAGATTATAAGCTGAATGAAAGAGTCAAAAATGTTTGTGGTAAAAATTAGAGAATTTCAAAATTGCTAACACTGAAAAATACCAGATAAACCAAAGATAAAAGGTTCCTTGATTCTATTTAAATGTGAAAAAGAACCATAGTGAAGAGTAACTGATACTGAAAGAATGAAAAATACCTACTTTTACAAAGACATTTGGATTTCTTAAAAGTATGCTATCAATACTTTTTTTTTTTTTTTTTTTGACACGGAGTCTTGCACTGTCGACCAGGCTGGAGTGCAGTGGTGCGATCTTGGCTCACTGCAAGCCCCACCTCCTGGGTTCATGCCATTCTCCTGCCTCAGCCTCCCGAGTAGCTGGGACTGCAGGTGTCCGCCAACACGCCCAGCTAATTTTTTGTATTTTTAGTACAGACAGGGTTTTACTGTGTTAACCAGGATGGTCTCGATCTCCTGACCTCGTGATCTGCCTGCCTCGGCCTCCCAAAGTGCTGGGATCACAGGCATGAGCCACGCACCCAGCCAATACTGTGTATTTTCTAGTATTAAACACTAAGAAAACTGAATCTACTAAACATTCTTAGTAAACAGTTTCTCTTTTTTTAACCTTAAAATGTATATTTTAGTCTGTGTATTATATATTCTCATTTAAAAATATCAATTTAGAGATCTCAAGTCTAACCAGAATCACCATAAGGCCAGAGTTTGTTCCCCGTAATTTTCTCAACTCTCATAATGTGAGCACCGTGCTCAAAAGGTAACTGTGATTCCAGTTACTGACATACAAGAAAAATCGAGATGCAAGAAAATCAGCCTATCAAAATATATATTAAAAATTTATTCTGCTCCGGGCACAGTAGATGATGCCTGTAATCCCAACACTTTGGGAGGCTGAGGAGGGTGAATCACTTGAGGTCAGGAATTCAAGACCAGCCTGGCCAACATGGTGAAACTTCATCTTTCTTTGCTAAAAATAACAACAACAACAACAACAAAACTCACCGGTTGTGGTGGCAGGTGCCTGTAGACCCAGCTACTCGGGTGGCTGAGACAGGAGAATCACTTGAACCCAGGAGGCAGAGGCTGCAGTGAGCTGAGATCAGGCCACTGCACTCCAGCCTGGGCGATACAGCAAGACTCTATCTCAAAAAAAAAAAAAAATTATTCCAACACTAGAGAAAAAAAAAAAACTGTCCTGGATGAACTGACAAACAATAGGTTGGTATTCCCAACAAGGCCTTAAAAGTGAACTGAATTTAAGTGCATTTTTGCTTTATGTGCTGTGCCAACTTTGCAATTTAATCCTCTTCAGGATACAACTCCACTGACTCTGGAAGTGACTAAATGTTAACAGTATGACTTTGTGTAAACATATAGTTACTTAGAAAACCCCACTTAAGAATAAAATTTTTCCTTATATAAAATGACTTTACTATTAATATATAATATCACAGGTACTACGTATCAGATATACCTCATTATGATTAAATCTTTAAATTTTAGTGTCATTATTCATTTAAAAGCTGCCAGTTTACTAAATTATATAACCCTTCTCCATCTAATAAAACCTTATCAGAAAGTACCAATATGAAAGATTAACTATTATGTGATATTAATAAACAGTTATCAATTATGCTTCCTTCAAAGCTTTTATATATCAAAATATGAAACTAGTTCTCACTTGTAATATAACTGGTATTACAAACCATTAGTTCAATTCATGTGGATTCAGCAAAACTTTATTATAGGTGTTTGATTTTTAAATTTTAATTTAGCATATTCTTAGAACTACTGATACTGAACATGACCTTTAAAAAAATCTTTTTATTTTTGTAAGGTGATAGGTACACACAGCCAAAACTTTCAATCATAATCCTCTGGAAGAACTAATTCAGTATATAAACCTAAGACATACAAAACAGTTACAAAACTGTAAAATGAAACTATGTAAGATCATGTTCCTTAAATTTTCCTTAAAATCGTCTCATAACCTAACACAATGAAAAACAACTGCAATGCCCTACAGAAAATAAGCACCTGCAGAAAAAGATACAGTCTGGCAACTGCTGATACTATCAATTCATCACTTCATTCTTAAACATTAAGGCAACTCCTTCCCCTTCCTGTACGCTCAATCCATGAAGTTGAAGAAAACAGAGCTTACAGTGTTTTTGCTGAACTCCCACAACTACACAGCTGAACCCCCACAACTACACAGCTGAACCCATTTCATTCTCTAAAGAAATACTGTCCTTCAGAGAAGAGGCTTTAAAGTGGATTCATGCAGTATCCTGCCCTTAGCGAGAAGTTCCAGATAGGATAACTTCTCTGTGATGCATTTAACCCCTATCAAAAAGCCTCTATTAAAAAATAAAAAAGCCAACCAAAGACGATACTTGCGATTAAATAACACTAAAATAAGAGAAACTTATAACAGTGTTTAAATTGTTATACATGATCATGGAAAACATGATCATGGAAAAAATAACACACATCAAACCCTAATAACAATTAACTACATAGCCGAAGACATTTTAAATCTCAAAGTAACACATAATTCACAAAACAATCAGCATTTATCTTAGTTTTTTTTTTTTAATAATAAACATTTAAAAGTCAGCTGAATTGCAATCCGTAATTGCAGGAAAAATCTATCTCATTTTATGCATGTTTTTCAATGTATTCTTAATATTTTAGAGAGCATGTGATATTATAAAAAAATAATTTAAACATTTCTTTGGCATGTTACTAAAGCATGAAAGGCCTGTCAAGTAACAAGGGGAAAACTGTCTTTTTGGCTGATCATGCTGTGCTGGCAATTTCTCAAACATCTGCTAAAGGTCAGATTTCCACTGCATGGAACCAATCAATGGAATTATACAATTCTCCTACCACTTTAAGAAGCTAAACAAAGAACACTATTTTACATAAGTAATGAAATATAACTTAGCTTTGTAATAAATTGTAGCAAAGCCACCCCCTTATCACAGAATTCACACATTTTAAAAATGCTTACAAAATTCTATTTGCTAAATTTTAACCTGTTTACTGTATTCATCAAATATGTATACAAAACTCTAATTTTCCTTTGGTAAAAACTAAACAATTGATTTTTCAATTTCACACTGCAAAAAGTGCTGCATGTTCAAATAAAATTTTAAGGATGATTTTAACAATAAATATTTATCATTTACTAGTCTGAAAACATCTAACAGTGGGTCACTAAGAATACAGAATCACTTTGCAACTAATTCACATTACTAGGTGACTGAGTTTACACAAGAAGTTACATTGTTAAAACTAAACTTGTCACAGGATCATACTGATTTCTCTGTGATCAAAGTCACTGACGGCACCTACTTTGAAAAAATTTTTTACCCAAACCATCTTGAAAATATTTCACAGCCTACAACTCAGGAAACTTGCCCAATTATTTAAACAAGTAATTGAATGCAACCGGTTATCAAAGAATTGGAAGTTAAATATGTTAAGAAGCATGCTCAATGTACATACATAGATGACGTACTACTATATTGGGTTTTTAAAAGCAGAAATTAAATTAAAGCTCAACTTAAAATGCTTTTTCCTTCAAAGTACCACCCTATGTAGTTAAATACTCAAATTGCTACCAAACTTTTAGTATGTATATTATGGCTATAAAGTGATGATAAAGATTTAAAATATGCCCCTTTTTATAAGCCTGCCCAATTACAAATGAACAATTTTAAATTCTGGATTAAAACACTTTGCCCAATGGCCCTCATAAAATTAGTGGGCAAAATCTGAAAAATCAAGTGACTACACAGACTTGTTAAAAAGCTTAATGTTAACATTTTGATAACACAGTAATCTTGTGCCTCATTTAAAAATATGGTGAAACTGACTAGGAAATGGATGGATACAACTGTCTCTGTGATTATGCTATATTCTACAGAAGTTCCATCATATTGTATATGTTAAATATTTCCTTCCAAACAATGAAAAAATAGAGAATTTACTTCTAATGAAACTTGTATTAAGAAAGTTAGGTCCTAAACAATCCACTCCCTTAAGGAACACTGCAAGGCAACTGGAATAAGCCAGTTATTGTCAACAATTAGACTGGTATCATTTTCCTGTGTAACATAGACAAGTTTTTATTTTTCAACGAACTCAACTATTTCAGGTCATAATTTTGCTCTAATAAACCTAATGACTTTATAGAGGCTTAAAACTTAATTCTAAAGAAAGATCAACATTGAGACTGCATTAAATATTTTCCAAAAATATTCTCATCATAGAAAGATAAATAACCTTTAGCTTTTAAGGGGCCTAAATCAAAATCATATTCTGTTTTATTGTGTTACAGCAGTAGCTCAATAATTTAGGTATGCATCAGAACCTAATTGAGGGCTTTTAAAGCAAACTGCTTAGCCATACTACTATAGTTTCTCATTCAGAAGATCTGAGGCAGGATCAGATAATTTGCATTTCAAACAAAATCCCAAGTAATGCCAATGCTACCTGGTCTGGGGACCACACTTTAAAAATTACCATACTATAGAATACTTATAAAATGCATCCTGACAAAATATCTCATCTATCCTGCATACAGTTTTGAAATTAATCTTCCCTTTAACCACATTTAAGAGGCACTAAGTGGTTATTCAGAAATTATCCCATGATTTTCCACTGCCACTAACATCCAAATTTATTATGTCTGGTACTGAAGGTACAACAAATAAAACAATTAGATTTAATCTCAATTTTCCTTTATGGCTCAAAGGAAAGGATACCTTCACAATTTTTTCTTAAAGCCATGCCAAAACCAGTTAATATTTTCTATGCACTTATGTATCAGACATTATCAGGTGCTGAGTTACAAACAATAAAAGGCTTACAGCAGAGAAATACTAAAAATAAATTTAAAAGGCCACCCTACTGAAAGGACAGACATATAAACAAATAATTAAAATATCATGTGGGGGGGGTTTCTGCTTCCCGTATATTTGAGAACAGCATCAAACATTCCCATGACCATTAAAAATCTAGATAAGGGGCCTGGCATGGTGGTTCATGCCTGTAATCCCAGCATTTTGGGAGGCCGAGGCAGGGGATCACGAGGTCAGGAGTTCGAGACCAGCCTGGCCAATATAGTGAAACTCTGTCTGTACCAAAAATACAAAAATTAGCCAGGCATGGTGGCACGCGCCTGTAGCCCCAGCTACTCAGAAGGCTGAGGCAGGAGAATCGCCTGAACCCAGGAGACGGAGGTGGCAGTGAGCCAAGATCACACCACTGCACTCCAACCTGGGCAACAGAGTGAGACTCCATCTCAAAAAAAAAAAAAAAAATCTAGATAAGGACCAGACACAGTGACTCCTGTCTGTAATCCTAGTACTTTGGGAGGCCGAGGAGGGTCAATCACCTGAGGTCAGGAGTTCGAGACCAGCCTGACCAACATGGTGAAACCTCATCTCTACTAAAAAATACAAAAATTAGCTGGGCATGGTGGCAGGCGCCTGTAATTCCAGCTACTCGAGAGTCTGAGGCAGGAGAATGGCTTGAACCCAGGAGGCGGAGGTTGCAGTAAGCCAAGATCACACCATTGCACTCCAGCCTGGGCGACAGAGCAAGACTCTGTCTCGAAAAAAAATATATATATAGATAAGATATACTTTAAGTTTGGGGGTTTTAAGCCATGTACTAATAAAACAGACAAGAACTACTGAGCCAAGACCTGAAAAGGTGAGAAACCCAGGGAGAGAAATAAGCAAAGCACTGTCAGCTACTTTTGTCCTGGGGTTGAAAGGCCAAGAAATAGACTTGGTGGCTTCTACAGAATAGATCTAAAAAAGTCCAAATCTAGGGTTCCAACAAAGGTAAAGACCCTGATTGAGTTAGAATTCAGAAAGGCTATATCCTGGGAGCAAAAGTAACCCAGAATTAAGTCAGTTCCTTTATGGTCTGCAGTCCAGCTTTGAGTAATCAAGGTGGCTTAGAAAATCTCAAATCACACTAAGAAAAGGATAGTTAATCAGACAATCCCTATCACCAGGCACCTGGATGAAAGAAATACAAATCCTCCATGAAATAAAAAAAAAAAAAAAAAAAAAGGCCAGGCGCGGTGGCTCACACCTGTAATCCCAGCACTTTGAGAGGCCAAGGTGGGCAGATCACAAGGTCAGGAGTTTGAGAGCAGCCTGGCCAATATGGTGAAACCCCGTCTCTATTAAAAATACAATAATTAGCCGGGCATGATGGCGCGCGCCTGGAGTCCCAGCTACTCAAGAGGCTGAGGCAGGAGAATTGCTTGAACCCGGGAGGCAGAAGCTGCAGTGAGCCGAGATCACGCCACTGCACTCCAGCCTGGGCAACAGAGGAGACGCTGTCTCAAAAAAAAAAAAATCACCCCAGACATTAAGTTATTTCTACAACTAATTTTTCAAATGAAGGGCCCAGCACACAATCACAGATAAACAAGTACATGAGAAAATAAGGTGACATGAAGAAAAACCAGCAGAATCAATAAACAACAAAATTTGTAAGTATTTCTGTAAAACTAAATGCCAACAAAAGTACCACATATGAAAATTTGTGAACACAGTGTAAGAATAAAGGGGAAAATCTAAAGGCTCAAATGGGTCTTTAAGGCCCATTTAAAGACTAAAAAAGGGCTGGGCATGGGGGCTCACATTCTGTAATCCCAGCAGTTTGGGAGGCAGAGGCAGGTGTAGCATAGATCGCTTGAACTTTGTAGTTCAAGACCAGCCTGGACAACATGGCAAAACCCCGTCTTCACATAAAATACAAAAATTAGCCAGGCATGGTGGCACACGCCTTTAGTCCCAGCTACATGGGGGGTGGGGGGCGCGGGGCAGGGTCTGAGGCAGGAGGATCACTTGAGCCCGGGAATCTGAGGAGGCAATGAGCCATCTTTGCCCCAGCCTGGGTAACAAAACGAGACCCAGTCTCAAAAAAAAAAAAAAAAAAAAAGGAGGCTGGGAAAGAAAGAATTAGTTAAGAACACCTGACAAAATTAGAAAGAGAACTGCAAAACAGACAAACTCTAAGAAAGTAAAAGGAAAGAAAATAAAGAGCAGAGCAGAAAACAACAAAGTACAAAACAAACAAAATCAACAAAGTACAAAACAAACATTGTATAATGGAGACCAAAAAACCAAAACATGCATTTTTGAAAATATTATTGAAACTGATAACTTTCTGGTGAGACTAAAAAAATCCCAACAAGACAAAAAAATGAAAAACACACTGCCGCAGATCTTAGACATTGCTTATAAGATGCAAACTCAGGCCAGGTGTGGTGGCTCACGCTTGTAATCCCAACACAATGGGAGGCCAAGGCAGGTGGATCATCTGAGGTCGGGAGTTCGAGACCAGCCTGACTAACATGGTGAAACCCCATCTCTACTAAAAATACAAAATTAGCCGGGCGTGGTGGCTCATGCCTGTAATCCCAACTACGCGGGAGGCTGAGGCAGGAGAATTGCTTGAATCCGGGAGGCGGAGGTTGAGGTGAGCCGAGATCGCCCCATTGCACTCCAGCCTGGGCAAGAAGAGTGAAACTCCGTCTCAAAAAAAAGATGTAAACTTAAGATGGCAAAACTATATAGAGCAAAGCAAGAAAATTATTGCCATAAAGTTGGCAATTATCTCTAGGTAGAAGAAGAGATTTGTGATGATTGGGAAGTTGAACTGGTGGAGGTTCTGGAGTGCTGGCAATATTCTAGTTCTTGACCTGGGGGATAGTTACACAGGTGCTCTTCAGAATGATTAGTTGAGTTGTACATTTGTACTTTGTGTACTTTTTGTTATTATTTTGAACTGCTGTGCTCCTTCCCCCCAATTAATATATTGAAGTCCTAACCCCTGATGTGTCTGACTATATTTGCAGATAGGACCTTTAAGGAGATAATTAAGAATAAATGAGATCATATGGGTGAGACCCTGAAGTGAAATCTGATTAAGACTGGAGTACTTTTAAGAGGAAGAAATATCAGAGCTTCACTTCCTCTTTGCTTCTCTTACCCTGTCATACACAAGAGAAGGCCATGTGAGGACATGGCAAGAAAGCAGCTTTCTGCAACCCAGGAAGAGAGCCCACACTAGAAACCAACCCTGATGACACTGTGATCTTGAATTTGTGGCCTCCAGAACTGTGAGAAAATTAATTTCTGTTTTTAAGCTACCTGTCTATGATATTTTGCTATAGCAACCCTAGCAAACTAATACAGTCCCGTTTCACTTTTTAAAAGATTAAAAATACAAGGTGTTAAATTTAAAGATAAAAATACAATGAAACATTTTTTGAGATCATAGAAGAGAGAGACACCATTTATTATAAAAACAATGTGTATTTTAAAAGAAGGGGCTGGGCGCAGCGGCTCACACTTGTAAACCCAGCACTTTGGAAGATCGAGGTGGGTGGATCACCTGAGGTTGGTAATTCAAGACCAGCCTGGTCAACATGGTGAAACCCCAGTTCTACTAAAAATACAAAAATCAGCCATGTGTGGTGGTGTGCGCCTGTAATCCCAGCTACTTGGGAGGCTGAGGCAGGAGAATCGCTTGAACCCAGGAGGCGGGGTTGCAGTGAGCCAACTGCACTCCAGCCTGGGCAACAGAGCAGGACTCTGTCTCATGTCTCATTTAAAAATAAAAAAAAGAACACTTGCCATTTGCTCATGTTAATATGGCAAATAATAGATCTATTTTACCTTTTTCACACTTCTGCTTACAAGATTTCCTCCATCTGGAATATCTTATATTTTCTACTCAGCCCAAGCACTTTTCTTCAGAACATTAATTCTAATCATATATATTCAAAGCAGGAGTCTCTACTGTAGACCCACTCAATGAACATTAAACGTACTGGACTTCCAAACTATATGCTACTTTTTGCGTAGAGAGCATGAGGGCAATAATATGCTTCCTGAATTTGATTACCACAAAAATAAATAGTGGAACTTGGGAAAGTTTAAATCATGGGCACAGAAAATATTCAAATGGATGATATAGCCTTTGCCATTCCATACTAACGAGAGGGCAGTTTAGTGAAAAGGTATTCACATGTACTTTTTACAAAAATTGTGATAAGATGTATAATATAAAGTTAATTTAACCATTTTTAAATGTATAATTTAAGGGCACTAAAATAACTTCACACCCTATGCAACTGTCGCCACTGTTACCAAAACTTTTTTTTTTTCTTTTTTTTTTTGAGACTGAGTTTTCGCTCTTGTCACCCAGGCTGGAGTGCAATGGCACGATATCGGCTCACTGCAAACTTTGCCTCCTGGGTTCAAGCAATTCTCCAGCCTCAGCCTCCTGAGTAGCTGGGATTACAAGCATGTGCCACCACACCCAGCTAATTTTTGTATTTTTCATAGAAACGGGGTTTCACCATGTTAGCCAGGCTGTTCTTAAACTCCTGACCTCTGGTGATATGCCCACCTCAGCCTTCCAAACTGCTGGGATTACAGGCGTGAGGCACCGCACCTGGCCCAAAACTTTTTCATCATCCCAAATAGGAACTCTGCATCCATTAAGCAATAACTCCTCATTCTCATCTCCCCCCATCCCCTGGTAATCACTAATTTACTGTCTCTATGAATTTGCCTATTCTAGATTTAAGTGGAATAATATATCTGTCCTTTTGTGTCTGGCTTACTTCACATAGTATAGTGTTTTTAAGGATTATCCATATGTTGTATCATGCCTCAGAACTTCCTTTTTAGGCACCAATGATATTCCACTGTATTATATAGCCACCTCACTTTATTTATCAATTCCTCTGTTGCTGGACATTTGGGTTATTTCTGCCTTTTGTCTATTTTGAATAATGGTACTGGCATACAAGTATCTGTTTGAGTCTTTCAGTTCTTTTGGATAAATATGTAGAATTGAAATTGCTGAGTCATATGGTAATTCCATGTTTAGCTTTTCGAGGAATTGCCAAGCTGCTTTCAACAGTGGCTAAACCATTTTACGTTCCCATCATCAATGTATGAAGGTTCCAATTTCTCCAATCCTCTCCAACACTTGATGTTTTCCAGGTTTTGTATTTTTTAAAAAAATTATAGTCATATTAGTAAGTTTGAATCTCACAGTGGTTTTGATTTACATTTGCGTAAAGATACTGACGATCTTGCCTTATGTTTAATGGCCATTTTCATATCTTTGTAGCAATTTCTATTCAAGCCCTTTTCCCATTTTAAAATTGGGTTGTTTTCCTGTTGTTCAAGTTTTAGAAGTTCTTTATATATTCTGCATATTAAACCATTGTCAGACATATGATTGTGTGTATTTTTTTAATTAAAAAATGGATTTTTAGAGACAAGATCTTACTGTCAGCATTATCGTGGTTCACTGTAACCTCATGGACTGAAGTGACTGAAGGTGTAAACCTCCTGCACCTCAGCCTCCTGAGTAGCAGCTGGGACTACAGGTACAAATCACCATACCCAGCTTTTTTTTTTTTTTTTTAAGTAGAGACAGTGTCTCGCCATATTGCCCACGCTGGTCTTGAACTCCTGATCTCAAGCAATACCCCTGCCATGGCCTCCCAAAGTGATGGGATTACAGGCATGAGCCACTGCACATGGCCTGTATTTTTGAAATGAAAAACAAAATGACACTTCTTCATATAAAACTATTGTTTATATGGAAAAATCAGTGTTGTTTTAAAGTGGCTTGCTCAACATCATCTTTAACTTACACAAAAACCATTATTATTTCTTTTTTTTTTTTTTTTTTTTTCTTTTTGAGACCGGGTCTCATTCTGTTGCCTGTGCTGGAGTACAATGATGCGACTGTGGCTCACTGCAGCCTCGACCTCCTGGGCTCAAGCAATCCTCCTACCTCAGCCTCCCAAGTAGCTGGGATTACAGGTGTGAGCCACCATGCTTGGCCCAAAACCCATTATTTTAAATAATCTGGATCTATCATTCAGACCTGAACATCATGATAAAAGGTATTACAATTTCTTGAGAAAAAAGTATAAACTGCTCAATCAGCAAAAGCAAACTCTCGACACCAGATTTTCTTTACTCAGAGAAATAAAAGTGATGATACATTTGGGGTATTATAAGACCACATTCAAATCTGCAATGGGACATCAAGAAAACTTTTTCAGAACTGAACACAATCAATGAGTAAGTTAGAAATCCTCCCGCCACTATTTCTCATGCTGAAACATTCAACCCTTCAGCTTTTAACTGTGGCCGCTCACCAACTTACCAGCTTGAAAATATCTTTCCATAATTTCTACTCTATTACACATAAACACCTAGAACTACAGGACACAGGCACTAACTACTTAACTGCTATTTCTAATTTTAGAAATTCACCTTATTTTCTGGGAAAAAAATAAAAGTGGAAAAGATGGGAACCCTGAAGTAAAATATAGGTATAAATACAGATAAAATTTTGAACAACTGCAAATAATATATTTCCTTTAAACTGACATGAAGCTATTAATACTATATCCTTAAATTATAAAAAATTTTAAAACTGAATTTTGATATAGTCAGGCATGCAGGGGAGGCCAGAAAGCCAAAATTTTTAGGTGAATTTTAAAACACAGTAAAAAATTCAGTGGTAGTTTAGATCTTATGAGATTAAAAGTCTCTATACAATCTACAAAGAAATAAGGAGTGATGAAACTGCTCCTGTGAATTCTCTAAACCATGTCCAAACTGCATATCACATGACAAATAAAATCTCAGTCAAAACTGAAAAGTCTGGGCGCAGTGGCTCATGTCTCTAATCCCAGGACTTTGGGAGGCCAAGACAGGCAGATCGCTTGAGCCCAGGAGTTCAAGACCAGGGTGGGTAACATGGCGAGATCCCATCTCTACAAAAAATAAAAAAAATTAGCCAGGCATGGTTGTGCACACCTGTATCCCAGCTACTTGGGAGGCTAAGGTGGGAGGACTGCTTAGGCCCAGGAGGAGAAGGTGGCAGTGAGCCAAGATTGCACCACTGCACTCCGGCCTGGGAAACAGAGCAACACCCTGTTTCAAAATAAAAACACAAAAGTTGAAACAATAATTAAACATTTTATATGACCGAATACTCTGCAAATACATTCCCCTCAACGGAAATATATTCTATGTGAGTGTTCTTGAATTTGGAGATATGCAAAGGCCAAGGACACAGCCCTACTGAATGTCAATGTTTACTATGTAAGTTAGGGAAAACACATACACAGGCATAAGTTTAAAAACAAATTTTAAGACATTTTTGTAGGCATTATTTTTCTATATTGTTCTTCTATATTTATTTTTCGGTAAGATGTAAAAGGATGTGACACAATGCATTTAAGAATTTCTTGCCAGGCCTGGTGGCTCACGATTGTAATTCCAGCACTTTGGGAGGCCAAGGCAGAAGAATTGCTTGAGGCCAGAGGTTTGAGACCAGCCTGGGCAATACAGCAACACCCACCCTCTCTCTACAAAAAAATTTAAAAATTAGCCAGGTGTGGTGGTGCATACTGGTAGTCCTCACAGGATCCTTGGGGCCCAGGAGTTCAAGGCTGCAGTGAGCTATGAATACCACTGCACTTAAGTCTGGGCTACAGAGCAAAACCCTATCTATTAAAAAAAAAATTCTTAAACGTAAGAGACTGTATTACTACTACACAGTAAATATAAAAAGACAATGACACTTTGGGAGGCCAAGGCAGGTGGATCACGATGTCAGGAGTTTGAGACTAGCCTGACCAACATGGTGAAACCCCGTCTCTACTGAAAATACAAAAATTAGCTGGGCGTGGTGGTGCGCGCCTGTAATCTCAGCTACCCAGGAGGCTGAGGCAGGAGAATCACCTGAACCCAGGAGGCGGAAGTTGCAGTGAGCCAAGATCGCGCCATTGCACTCCAGCCTGGGAGACTCCGTCTCAAAAAAAAAAGACAATGGAATCATCCCCAACACATACCTTAGCCACAGGTTACTTACTATCCTTATGAAAATCTCATTTCACAAGAAAGAAAATGAAATATATGAAGTTTTTTCCTTTTCACCACTAGTTTTAGAAGTCTTACTCTGAGTATCTAGTGTAAGATAATATTTTCTCCAAAAGAGAAAAAGATAGAAAATTAGTAATGTACTTGGCTTCATGACTCCATTACTGATTTAGCATAGTTAAAAATACACTTTATCATCAAGTATAAAACTAACTAATCAGATGTTTTAACATTCCCTTTGCTTCGATTATTTCCTTAAAAAGCACAGATTTAAAAATAACTTTAAGACATCCTCGTTAAAAATAAGTATCATGGTTTATAATGTGGTTTGTGTATGTAAGTAATGCCGTCCACACTTATAACAGCATTTGCTATACACAACTCTTTTAAGATATATTAAGACAGCGGACAACTCATGGCGGTGGCGGCAGCAGCTGCTTGGGCATGGTGCAGTGGTGACTGAGCTACGAGCCTGGCGGCGGGTGTTCGCCGAGCTCCGGTCCCCGCGTGTCTCCCAGAAGGCGGTGAACACCTGGTCCCAGGAACTCTGGAGCCCACTCCAGCCGGGACGATGGTGAAGTATTTCCTGGGCCAGGGCGTGCTCCAGAGTTCCTGGGACCAAGTGTTCACCGCCTTCTGGCATCAGTACCCAAATCCCTATAGCAAACATGTCTTGACGGAAGACACAGTACACCGGGAGGTGACTGCTGACCAGAAACTGCTGTCCCAGCAACTCCTGACCAAGACCAACAGGATGTCCCACTGGGCCAAGCAACTGTTTCCTGCCAATGTTCTTCATTCAGTGTACATCCTGGAGGACTCTATTGTGGACCCACAGAATCAGACCATGACCACCTTCACCTGGAACATCAACCATGCCCGGCTGATGGTGGTGGAGAAACAGTGTGTTTACTGTATGAACTCTAACAACAGTGGCTGGACCGAAATCCGCAGAGAAGCCTGGGTCTCCTCTAGCTTATTTGGTGTCTCCAGAAGTGTCCAGGAATTTGGTCTTGCCCAGTTCAAAAGCAACGTGACCAAGACTATGAAGGGTTTTGAATATATCTTGGCAAAGATGAAATGCAAGGCCCCTTCTAAAACACTTGTTGAGACAGCCAAGGAAGCCAAGGAGCAGGCAAAGGAGATGGCACTGGCAGCTACAGAGAAGGCAAGGACCTCACCAGCAAGGCAGCCACCTAGAAGCAGCAGCAGCAGCAGTTTGTGTGGCCAGCTCATTGCCACCACAGCATCCCAGACAGTTTGGCTTAGCCCCCTCTGTGCTGTCCACTGTACTTTATCATTAAAAATCAATTTCCAGCCCTAAAAATACACACAACACACATATATATATATTAAGACAGCTGATCAATTACTTTACCAAACATCATAGATTTTATGAAGGAATTCATATGAGAGGAGGGGACTAAAAAAACAAGTCACCTTAAAAACAGGAAAACATTTTTCTTTTCACAGTAAAGAAACTACATCAATCACTTTTTTTAAATAAAATTCTCCTTTGCAAATGTATATACTTAAGTTTGCATACTAAGAATATTCTTTGTAACTGATTTCAATTACACAGTGCCAGTAAAGAACATTTTTCTCTAACTTGCATTAATATTGACAAAAGATCAATTAACGAAATTTTACAAATTATTTCACAAAGATTACAAAAGACTCATTCATTACAAAACATTCACTACTTGAAATGTCAGAACAGTGTTCAACAGGTCAAAGAAATCAACTGAATGTTTCTGTAGTTCTGATCCTTAAAATTCCTTTCTTGATGTAGTAGGAACTAAATTTGCACAGAAGCAGGGCTTTGGAATAGATGAGAAACTTTTCAGTGACTATAAGCAGAAACATATACTGGAACAAAACCATTCTTCAGTTCAAGTTACTATTGATCGTGATTACCTCACCAGTTAGACTATGGAAACAAAACATAAAAGAAAATTAAGAACAATGAAAAAAAGAGAAAAAACAATAAGGGCAAGAAAGTAAAACTCAAAAATGCTAATTGTTCAATACCATGTATCTTAACTTTCCCTTATCCTTGACTTTTATCTAAGTATTTCTGAAATACCCATACTATTATAATAATAATACTCTTATCTAAGTCTCAGAATCTAACAAGAAAAAAATACTCGGTCAAGGTAAGCCAGGTTATGTAGCTACACAAAGAACCATAAAATCTCTGGCTTAAAATAAAATTTACTTCTTCAGGCTGTCCATTCCTTATTGACAGGTCTTTCTTTTGGTGGGGGGGAGGGGCACGGAATTTCACTCTTGTTACCCAGGCTGGAGTGCAATGGCACGATCTCAGCTTACCGTAACCTCTACCTCCCGGGTTCAAGAGAGTCTCCTGCCTCGGCCTCCCGGGTAGCTGGGATTACAAACATGCACAACCACACCTGCCTAATTTTATATTTTTAGTAGAGACAGGGTTTCTTCATGATGGCAGGCTGGTCTCAAACTCCTGACCTCAGGTGATCCACCCACCTCAGCCTCCCAAAGTGCTGGGATTACAGGCATGAGCTACCGAGCCCAGCCTGACAGGTCTTTTTTAACTCAGGGGGAATAGCACCTCAAAATGTTGCCTCAGGATCTGAGAACGGAAGAAGAAAAAAAAAAGACAGCTTTGAAGATCTCATACTGGAACTTAAATACTGCAGCAATATTAGGATGCACAATTTCCTTTCAAACATCTGTTTTTCTCACAACTCATTTATTGGCCAGAATTAGTCACAGCCCCTAACATGAAGGATGAGAACAAAAACTATTTGGCAAACAGCATTAATGACCAACACAGATGCATAAAACGAGTTGCTTTGATACAATGTTACATAGGCTTTGAGATTCAAGGCAAAATTTAAAGTAGCCTGCAGGGAAAATGTTGTGAGCAAAGGTTTTCCTATTCTAAAACATTTGCCAGTTGAGAAAGCAGCACCTTGGCATCTCAAACAAGTATGAATACTCAGCACAATCAAAATAAAAAACCAAAGCAAAAAGAAGAATCATCACTATGCCTCTTATTATAGCACTATATTACTACAAATAAGAAGGTTTATGATTTTAGTATCTCTAACTGAATGCTCCAACAGCATTTAAATTCACCCACTCAATTTCCTCTCAAGACACCATCCATATATATTCAACAAACCTATTCAGAGTTCCTACTGTGAGCTACTTGCTATCCTAGTAATTGTAAACAGGGAAGTAAGCTCTTATCTAAGGACTAAAAACTCTATCCCATTTCTAAATATCCAGATTCAATATTAAGAATAAAAAAATCATGTTTATTTATGCACAACTATTTCTAAAGCCACTTTTTAAAAAAGTTGGTATGGTTCCAAGACAACTCAATGGGGGAAAGAAGAGTCTCTTAAATAGTACTGGGACAACTGGGTTTCCATATACAAAAAATAAAGTTGGGAAATTACTTCACACCATATACAAAACTAACTCAAAACAAATCAGAGACCAATATGTAAGACCCATAACTATCAAACTCTTAGAAGAAAACATATAAGAATATCTTTGTGACATTGAGTTGGGCAATGGTTTCTTAGATGTGACACCAAAAGCACAAGTAACAAAAGAAAACATAAATTGGGCTTCATCAAAATCAAGAGTGAAAAGACAAGCTAAAGAATAGAAGAAAATATTTGCAAATCATTATCTGATAAGGAAGTTGTCTTAACAACATGCTACAACATGAATAAATCTTGAGAGCATTAAGTGAAAGAAAGCTAGATGCAAAAGGGCACAGATTATATGATTTCATTTATATGGAATGTTCACAACAGACATTTCCATAGAGACAAGAGAGTAGATAAGCGGTTGCCAAAGGGCTGGAAGTGGCAGGAAGAGGAACACAAGTGACTGCTAACGGATAGTGAGTTTCTTTTGGGGGTATACTAAAATTAGATAGGGGTCATGGTTGCACAACTCTGTGGTATACTACAAATCAATGAATTTTATAAGGTTTAATTTTATGCTATGTAAATTATATCTCAATAAAACTATCTAATTTATTTATTTTAGAGACAAGAGCTCACTCACTGGAGAGCAGTGGCATGATCACAGGTCACCGCATCCTGGAATTCCTGGGCTCATGAGATCCTCGCACCTCAGCTTCCCGAGTAGCTGGGACTACAAGGTGTTTAACACCATACCGGCTAATTTTTGTTTTGTTTTGTTTCGTTCGATGAAGACGAACTCCTGGGTTCATGCAATCCTCCCACCTCGCTTCCCAAAGTGTTAGGAGTATAGACGTGATCCACTGACTCTGGCAAAACTATTTTTTTAAAAAAGTGACAATGGCTTAACACCTACATTAGATGACAATAAAACCAGTGCAGATGGTCATGAAAAGCAAACAAATTCAGGGATTATAGACTTTATAACCAAGTATATCTACTGGTCTGTGAAAGGAGGAAATGACAGAGTATGAACAATAAAATACTATAACATATATTGACTTACAAACATTAATCACTTCTGCTTTCAAAACATTTGGAGGGCAACCATCTCATTCAAAAAGACCAACTTAATTATTGAGGAAGTTAAGAGAATAAAAGCTAAGGGAAAAAATAAGATTAATGTACAGAAATATGTAAGAATGACATATTGTAGTTTTATGCTTTCAGAAGAGGCACAGTTATGGAAAATGAGGCCAACCTATGGGTATAACAGAAGGCTCCTAAAGTATGGTGGTTTCTGAGGTAGGGACTTCAAGTTGTAAATACAGTATCCATCTACTCCTGCTTTCTTACCAAAAGAACACTGATTTTGCTAGGTGCAATAATGGACTATCCTAAAATTTTTAAGGTTCTGGAAGACAGAGACGATAATATGACGTAATTCTGGTAAATAAGATGTAATATTTGAGATGACTTGGGGTGAGTTTTAGAAAGCTCCTTGACTAGGGGCAAACTAAGGTGATATTGTAACTCAGGGTCCCCAGGTTTTGGGGTATGCACTGTGAAAAAGTACTCACTTGCGGCCGGGCGCAGTGGCGCACGCCTGTAATCCCAGCACTTTGGGAGGCCGAGGCGGGCGGATCACGAGGTCCAGAGATAGAGACCACCCTGGCCAACAAGGTGAAACCCCATCTCTACTAAAAGTACAAAAATTAGCTGGGCATGGTGGTGCATGCCTGTAGTCCCAACTAATCGGGAGGCTGAGGCAGGACAATCGCTTGAACCCAGGGGACAGGGGTTGCGGTGAGCCAAGATGGCGTCACTGCACTCCAGCCTGGCGACAGAGCAAGACTCCGTCTGAAAAGAAAAAGAAAAAGAAAACTCACTTTTGTAACTGTTGCGCCTTGAGTTCTTGTTGTTTCAAGAAGTTCCAGAAAGAAGCTCAGCCCAGTGGTTGGGTCCAGAGATGACTAAACTGGAGATGAACTTCTGGCAAACTCTCCTCACTACCATACTAAAATCCCCACCCAGGAAGTAGTTTATGTGCCATTTTCTATACATCTGATGTATGTAAAAGCATGATAAATGTGCCTGCACTGCCTTTATTCCACCTCTAATACAATGACTCAGCTAACTAGCCCGGGTGTTCACCTTTGTTTGGGGAGGCACTGCCTTTGGGACTATCCCTAGTGTCCTCCTTACTTGGTGCAAGTAATAAAATCCCCCTGTGAAATCATACTTGGTTGTGGTCACTGGACTTGTCATCCACCAAGCAAATGAACCCACCCATTGTGTGTGTGTGACACTATGAGCCTTCTTGCCCTTTTCTGCTTCCTCCTCCTTCCTGCCTGGAGCTGAACTAAGGAAGACAACAACAGTATCAGCTATATTGTAACTGACCATGAGGAAAAGACCAAGAGAACAACAGCCCAGTCTTCAACAGCCCTGGCATCCTTAAATGATCACATCAACTCTGGAATGTCTACTTCTGGACTTAGAAGGAAAACCTTATCTATTTTGTTTAACCACTGTTAATTGGCATTGAGGAAAAAATACCATGAGACAAAAACTTGAAAAGATCAGATACAAGTTCATAATAAAAACACAGAGACCTAGAACAGCCATAAGAAGCATACAACATTGTTGATGTTTATTTTACAGAACTTTTAGATTACACCTAAAAACAGAAATTCACCGACTGAATACCTAAGATGATGATCACAATGCTATGAACATTTCTTAATCTTTCATGACAATTCTAAGACTAACTGAATGATTTCCTTACACAGGAGATCTCAGTAAAGAAAAGGTGATGCTTTCATTAACTGTCCTGAGTTCTTCTCTTCACTGTCAACCTACCATAGGTTATAAACACAAAATAAAAATAATCTGTTTTCCTATATACATGGATCTCAAACAAGGGATTTATTTATTTTATTATTATCATTTTTTTTTTTTGAGACAGAGTTTTGCTCTTGTTGCCCAGGCTGGAGTGCAATGCCGCGATCTGGGCTCACCACAACCTCTGCCTCCCGACCCCAGTTCAAGCGATTCTCCTGCCTCAGCCTCCCGAGTAGCTGGGATTACAGGAAAGCGCTACCATGCCCGGCTAATTCTGTATTTTTAGTAGAGATGGTGTTTCTTCATGTTGGTCAGGCTGGTCTCGAACTCCTAACCTCAGGTGATCCGCTCGCCTTGGCCTCCCAAAGTGCTGGGATTACAGGCTTGTGCCACCGCGCCCGGCCTAAGGGAGTTATTTATTTATTTAGATACTGAGAATTTAAAAAATAGCAGCAATGGCTTAACTGTAACATCAGGAATAACTCATAATTCAATTACGTCATTCACAAACCATGATGATAATATTCATATCTCCTCAATGACAATTTTCAAACTCTACTGGGCAAGAAACAATGTACTCTTTTCTTTTCTTTTCTTTTTTTTTTTTTTTTTGAGACAGGGTCTCGCTTTGATGCTGAGGCTGGAGTGCAAGGGTGAGATCATGGCTCACTGCAGTTTCGACCTCTGGCACTCAAGTGATCCTCCCACCTCAGCCTCCCAAGTAGCTGATACTACACACGTGTACCACCACATGCAGTTAATTATTTTTTGTACATATGGGGTCCCACTATGTTACCCAGGCTGATCTTGAACTCTTGGCCTCAAGCAATCCTCCCACCTCAGTCTCCCAAAGTGCTGGGATTACGGGTCTGAGTCACTGTACCTGGCCCATACGATATAAATTGAGTTCCAAAAAAAAAAAAAAGGGAAAATTAAGCTAACAATTTAGAGAGGGTATGCTGTGACTAAACTAGGAATCATTTCAGTTACAGCTAAATGCTGAAATGCAAACAAAATATTACAGTATAAACGTATCAAGAGAAATCCCAAATCCAGTTTTTATGTTTAATGTCCCAAAATCTAAATTGTCATATAAACCAACAAAACACTTCTACAAGCCAGTATTTTGCAGCTTTGGGGCTAACATCTATTGGGTACCCAACATGTACATTTTATTTAAATTTTAATAACAAAAAGCTAAAATTTAATAAGCAGACTTCTGTTTTCAGTGAGATGAATTAGCAGAGTTGGCATTTATGTTTCTGCCTGAAACAACAAAAAACCTGGAAAAACAGATGAAACAATTAAGATGCAACATACGTTACAAACGGCAATGGACTAGGTTATGGGAAACAAATTATGTAAGCTTTCTGATCACACCAGTTTAACTGACTGAAGTTTCCAAACTATCCTGCAAAGAAGGGGGAAATCACATGGGATTCAGGAGCCTTTGTAAGTCAAGGAGATAAGGCTAGAAAGAAGTCCAGGGAGGCTAAGACTCTGGAGTTCTCAGGACACAATACTAGAGAGGAATAAGCTACCGAGAGAGGAAGATTTCCAGAGGAGGTTCTCTCTAAGCAATGAGATAAAGATTGACCAACCTGGGCCAGGCACAGTGGCTCACGCAGTAAACCCTAGCACTTTGGGAGGCCAAGGCGGGAAGGATCACTTGAGCCCAGGAGTTCAAGATCAGCCTGGGCAACAAAGTCAGAGCGCATCTATTAAGAAAAACAAACAAAAAAAAAAGATTGACCAAGCCTATGTGCTTTTAAGAAGCTACACAAAGGTGGATGAAACAAACTGAAAGAATGAGAGAGTGAAATTCTCTAAGTTCACCTGAGTTTGGAATAGTTCCTGTTCCCAACAGTTGGAGTGATTAACTTCGTAATTTACAGGGCACTGAAAAAACTCACAAAGATTTGTAATGGACAAAAAAATTGCCCTAGAATAATATCTGCTGTAAAATGCCCTCCTCACAACACTTCCTCATACCAATAGCATATCTTTAGAACACCAATTAAAATCTCACATTGTCTGCGAAATAGCCTACACAAAAATGTTGTCTCTACTGAACAATGCGCTCAAGTATTTGCATTTGGAATAAATCATTTCCTGACCTGTAATCTTCTCATATAAATCACCTTTTATCATTCAGCTGAGATTATAACTTGCACTCCTTTACTACAACAGTGCCTTACAGATCAATTTGCTGTTTTCTGTATACATGCCAGTCCAGGATGTAACACACTGCTATTTTAGTGAGGTTCACTTTCACTCCACAAACAAAATCTCCTGCTTGAACAATTTCTAGCTTTGGCTTATTTTTTCCAGAAAAGAAACAGTTGTACTTTTAACAGGCTGAATAATTGAAAAGTGGGAGGGAATGACTGAATAAATCAAATAAGTAGAACAGAGACAAAACTAATATTTAATTTGGAAAGATTATAGTAAACACAGATTGTAACAGCAAATAGTCCAAGAAATGGAAAATGAAAAACTTGGAAAAGAAATTTCTAATTTCTGAGGATTAATATGTATTTCTGAGTTTTAGAATATTCTACCGGCTCACAGTGTCCCACATAGTGACTCCTGAATTCCAGTTGAAAATGACTTAAGAGGGTGACAATGCCGGGCGCAGTGGCTTACATCTGTAATCCCAGCACTTTGGGAGGCTGAGGCGCGTGGACTGGCTGAGGTCAGGAGTTCGACACGAATCTGGCCAACATGGTAAAACACCATCTCTATTAAAAGTACAAAAATTAGCTGGCATGGTGGCATGCGCCTATAATCCCAGCTACGCAGGAGGCTGAGATATGAGAACTGCTAGAACCCAGGAGGCAGAAGTTGCAGTGAGCCAAGATCGCACCACTGCACTCCAACCTGGGAAACAGAGCAAGACGCTGTCTCAAACAAACAAACTAAAAAAGAGTGTGGCAAAATACTTGAGTACCCTCTCTAAATAAATACCCAATATGGTGGAAAGGTTAGATTCTATATTCAAAGAAAGGCAAAACCCTGAGATATTTTTACCTCATAGTTTTATATTCTATCAACAACAGTGCATTGGAAGGCATTAATATCTATGAAAGAGAAAAAAGAAGTGACTTCAATATGCAATATGTAATCACAGGCCTTGAGAGATTATATGAGGAGGGAGGAGGTGTTAAAGAGTATTAAAAATGCATATTTAAGTAGTAGCCGAATTCAACACAAGTTTCTGTTCTGTTTCACAACTGCAAATTTCTGTAAGCTAACCATAAATATTCAGTTGAATACAAGAGGAATAACAATTCTTCAATTACCTTATGTTAATGTAACAGTTTCAAAGGTGCCACAGTGAAGTAAACAATGACTCCAGCTCTTAAATTCCCCAAGTTAAAATCACTCTTAAAATCTCCTTTGAAGCTACTTACTAGCTCTCTTGTATGGTGGTGTAGCTGTTTCCTCTACCATGATTTTCAGACTTCTATCCTCTCATCTCTAAAAATCAGTACCTTGAAATCTGAACAGCACATTATACTAACCTACTACCATCAACCAGTCATCCACCACACTCATGCGTACCCTAAAATGTTATTCATCATGCCATTCAATATTATTTCTGTCCTAGTTTCTGTCCAATAATCATTTCTGGTGATTTCAGTATCCACAGTGATGACTGTTTTAATTGTTCCATTTCTCATTTCTTTGATTTCCTCTTCTTTAATGATTTTGTCCTCAACCTTATCTCAACCACTGACTTACCATGGCATACTCTAGACCAGAGGATCTTTAACTTTACTCAGGCAATATAAACCTATGGATTATCCTTTCAGACATAAGAAATCCTATCTTAGACCCTTATCATGGCCCCAAACAGCAATCCCTCAAAAATCTCGATTTCAAGCATCTTTCTCTCTCTCATGCCACTACCTCCTATTTTTCTTTTTCACATTCAAGTTCCCCTGGACCTAAGATTCACTGATCTCAACACCATTTCATTGCTATTCATCTCTCATTTTCTCACTTTTTTGCTCACCAAATGTAAAATCCTAGGTCTATCATTAGAGTAATTCATTTGCCCATCTCTGAATGCATCTTAGTTTTCCAGCCAAACCCCAATCATCATTAAATCCAACTCTCCACCTACTTTGTTTCTGTATCTAATCAATCAGCTGAACATAGCTGGAGATGAGTGACTGTAGGGAAATGAATGATGAATTCATCAAAGATTAACGATGTCAGTTAAAAAATCATGACCAATGTCAAGTCAGTCCTTGCTGTACATAATTTCCTTATTTCATTCAATCTTTACTCCCCTAGATGACTATTTCATAACTTCTCTTCTCAAATCCTATCAGCTGCTATTTCACTAAAAAGCAGAAGCAATCAGATTTCCACAAGCTCTTACCTCTCTCTCACTACCTAGCTACCTACAGCTATTCTCAAATACAGTATCTCTTTCTTCTCTTCTATTACTAGGGATTAAGTTTATGGTACTATCTAAGGCCAATTCTACTACTACCTAAAGACAGGGTTCTAGTAATTCCTCCTTAGTTGCATCATCAACTTAATCCTATCTCTGAATTGTTTTCATCAACATACAAATATGGTATATTGTCTTCCATTTTACAAAATCTTATCTTCCTCCTAAAGCTCTGCTCCATTTCTCTTTTTCCCAAATGCCTTGTCAATAATCTCTGTCTCCAATCTACTACCTCCAGTTCTCTAGTAAACTCACTTTATCAGGCTTTTGTTCCCACTATTACACTGAAACTGCTGATCAAGGTTACCAATGACTCATTAGCTAAAACTGAATTGTAGATTCTCAGCCTTTATCTTACTTCACTAAGCAGCATTTGACACAACCAGTAATCCCTCCTCTTCGAAACACTTTTTCCACTAAGCTTTCTGAACATCACTTCTGGATTTCATACCTCCCTGTCCCTTCTTTCTCATATATCTAATCTTTAAAAACTGCTCCAGGGTTTAACACTTAGGTATGTTCTATATTCACTCTCTACATCAACTCATTCAGTCTGATAGCTTTAAATGCCATTTATATACTGACTACTCCCAGATTCTCCAGCCTAGACCTCTCCCTTTAACTAACAAACATGATACTTTAAGTAACTGCCTGTCTAAATAAGCATCTCAAATTTAACACATCTAAAAGACAGATTCCCAATCCCCAGTATTATTACCGCTATCACCACCACTCTCCAAAATGTCTGCTCCTCCAGTCAATTCTCATCTGAAAAAAAATGGTAACTCTATGTTTTGCAGGAGCCAAAACCTTAGAACCCATCTTAAACCCTGTCTCTCACATCAGATGCAATTCAGCAACCCACTCTTATCAATTCTGTGTTGGAAATAAATATGAATCTGAGCATTTTTCACCACCTCTACCATTGCTATCACCATGATCTAATGCTACCACAGAATCGTTACAATTGCCTCCTAACCGCTCTCCCTGCATCTGCCTCACCCCACACCCCAAGAGTCTACTATCAACAAAGAAAGTAGAGGGATCCTTTTAAAACCACCTCGTTCATGCCTTCCCATCTCATCCAGAATGAAAGCTTAATCCTTAAAATGTTCTATAAGGTCCTTCACAAACTATCCCCTGCCATCCTGTTCCCCTTCTGATCTTTTCCTTCTCCTCTCCCACTTTTCACTGCTCTCTGACCATACCACATTCACTGCTCCTCAAATACGCTAGGCTCATTCCCAATCTCAGGGGCTGTGTATTTTGCTCTTCCTTAGGCCTGGTACTTACTCCAGACATCTACGTGACTAGCTTCCTTGTTTCCTTCAGGTCTTCACTCAAAAGTCACCTACTCGGAGAGGCATTCTCTGGCTCCCTTATCTAAAATGTCACCTCCGCCCCCTCAACATTCATGCTTTTATTTTCTTTCCTGGTACTTTATCTTACATACCATTCATCATACTCATTTATCTTCTTATCTTTTGTCTCTCCTTCCATAAACTGATTTCCATAAGGGCAGCAATTTGATCCACTTCCTTTCACAACTTTATTCCCAGTGCCTGATATGTACAAGGCATGCAATAAGTATCTGCTGAATGGATAAATCTAGGATTGCCCCCTCATACTTCAATCTTTAACTGCTATCCAACACCTGTCAAAGACTAAATAACACTGATATTTGAAGATGCTTGTGTGAAAACGGTCTTCAAATACCACAGGATAAAGTATTAATGCCCATTAGTACATACTCAAAATTCTATCATTTTATAAAGCTGTATTTTTAGACCTCAGTAGCTTTCTTCTCTGTAGAAACAACAGTAAGTTATTGTGTAATGTTCTGTTCCTGGCTTTCACTGAGAATTATTATTTTTTAACAGCCACATGAAGAACCTCCACGCAAACCACAAAACTATTATAAACATCACTATTAATTACAACATTTAATATTACTTAAAGAGAAATGCGTTCTTTTTAAACTCAGCCAGGAAAAACAATCTCTTAAAAATTTATTTATTTCATTACTTACCAAATATATCCCTGACTCTCAACAACTCCACACAAGTAACAAATTTCAGAATTAAACACTTACCATTTGTTCATACATTTAAGTTGAGGAGGATATTTCTATTGAACCACCTCAGTTTACACGGATGGTTTTTAAGGCCTTATTTCTATTTTATCAATCTTATTCATAGTTATCCTTAACAAAAGTCACCTCAAATTATTTTATTTAGGTAAATAATTGAAAAACAGACCGTATAATTCTCTAATACTATCATATATAAAAACAACATGTAGATCATAAAAAAGTCACTTATATGTCATGAAGTCACTTCACTGACATATATACTGCAGTCCTTCTAGTCTACAGTTTATTTTTTTAAGTAATTTGACATAACAAAGTTAACTAGGAACTTATTTCTCTATCAGCTACAAGGATGACAATACCTACCAATTAGAGAACAGTGCGTATGCAGCAAGGGAATGAGATACAATGATGCCTAAGGTGACAGTGAGATATGAAAGCAACCTTAATCTACAGACAGTGTAAAGACACTGAGAAACATAGGCACATTACAGAAAACTAACCAGGATTACTGATGGATATTTTTTCAGTAACTATTGCCCACTTTGGGAGGCCAAGGTGGGCGGATCACCTGAGGTGAAGAGTTTGAGATCAGCCTGACCAACATAGTGAAACCCCATCTCCACTAAAAATACAAAAATTAGCTAAGCATGGTGGCAGGCGACTTTAATCTCAGCTACTCAGGAGGCTGAGGCAGGAGAATCGCTTGAACCTGGGAGATGGAGGTTGCAGTGAGCCAAGACTGCACCACTGCACTCCAGCTTGGGTGACAAGAGCAACACTCTGTCTCAAAAGAAAAAAAAAAAAAATATATATATATAGAGAGAGAGAGAGAGAGAGAGAGCGCAAGCGTGCGAGCACACGAAGGAGAGTCGATTAAGGAAGTATTACTCAAATCAATAAGAAAATTCTGCAATTTCAGTAAACATCCAGACATTCACATCTGCCTTTATAATACCTCAAATGATTCTAATTACATTGTTTTTCATTCAGAAGTTTCTAATCAACAAAATTCAAACACATTCTCTGAGCATCCACCAAATAATGGTAGCCTTTATAAAAAGTTTCTATGATCTACCTCTTAGAACCCCAGGAGACAACTGAGTCTCAGAAGGAAGAGAACCACCAGACTGTTGCTGGATATTTTAATTCAAAATATCTTCCTTGAAGACTGAGCCTTGAGGTTACTGACCTTTATTACTGTACTGTCTACTGAAGTCTCCCTAACACTAAGTGTGCACAACCAGGTTTAGTAAAAGAAACATAAAACGGCACTGTGGTAACTGCTTCATACAATTTCACTCAATTCATATAACAACCCTTTTAGGTAAAATAGTACCTATCTTATAGATCAAAAAAGCCATGGTTCAGAGAGGTTAAATCATACAAGTTAACAGTTATGAAGACAACCTACTATGAAGTCACTAACACAAACAAGTAGGAGGAAAAGTGCTTGAGGTCAGGGAAAACTTCCTGGAAGAACTGTGCTTTAAAAGGACAGTAGGAATTAACCAGGCACAGAGTAGGTGTAAAGGCAAAGGGATTGTAGGAAAAAGGCACAAACAGAAAAAGGCCGTGTGTAAAACAGTATTGCATATACAAAAGAACTGAAAGCTCTCTTTAATCCATTTATTTAGAAGACTCTCCCTTTTTTACACGGTTTAGACTGAATCTTGACAGTCACTTAATTCTGTAACTCCTAAAGGTGTCCTTGGATTCTATTACTGGGACCTAGTATAACACAAAAGAAAGTGGACTCTGGAGTCATAGGACCTGGGTTCAAATACTAGTTATCAGTTATAATATGCATGAGCTGGAGAAATTCTTCTAGTCTCTTTATTCCTCAGTTTCCAGACCTATAAAATGGAAATAATAGTAGTAATGAACTTACAAAGTTTCCATGGGGACGAAGTAAGCTAATACATATAAAGTGCTCAAGATTAAGACAATACGTAGCACACAGGAAGTACTATATTAATGGGAACTAATACCAATCACTCCTCCCTTCCTCCTGCATTAGATCATAAGTCCTTCTCAAAATTATCTCATTTTGAGTTCCTCAACTTTACTTAACGCCCTCTTCTCAGTTTTCCTTTTCCAAGCATCACCCAGTTTTCAACAAAATCACATCATAATCAGCTGCTGACTTAAAGGGTTAACTCCAACATATGGTGGGAGTGAAAAAAACCCTGACTTTGATCCCTTTGTACTGCCACACTCAACCCTCTTCCTTTGTTTTTATTCTCATTATTCAATCACTTTCAGTTCTCTGGCCTGTTATTCTACGGCTATTATAATCACCTTAATAAATACCTTTGTATTCTGCTCCTCTCAATCCTCTTCTCAATGTTAACAGCGTTAGGTGTTTTTGAAGCATGGGAGACCCAAGTGAATAACATGTACTAGACATTTAAATATTCAAGAATATTTATATAGCACCTGTTATTTGTAAAGCACTGTTCTGTGGACTACACATCTAAGGTATTAAATGTACATACTGATGACTGGTTGAGGTAACTGGTGAGATCTTCAGCAAGAAAATTAGACCTGGTAAAATGATGTACAGACAAGCAACCAAAAATACTGTCCAAAGATTCAGGAAGACTGATCTAATCAAGAGTTGAGTTTTGCCATTACAGGGTAAAGAGTATAGTGAACAAGCCCAGAGTAGGATGTCCTAGACTGCCAGGGAGAAAAAACGCCAACAATTTTTAAACCTGGGTATATATCAATTTGAAATCAGTTATTCTTAATAAATCTAGGATACCAGAGAACTTACAATGCAGTTTAAAGTATATGACACGCACACACAAAATACATTAAGACAATGTTGAATATATATGAAGAAAGTATGTGTATTCATATTTGTTTCAGATTTGACTCAAGAACGATTAAACTTATAAACTTCTAAAAAGAAGAGACTTAGGTCATTATATCATCTGTAACTTCTAGCAATGCAGCAGAATGTTATGTATTTAATGTGCATAAAATAAATGCATTATAATTCAAAATGTAACCAACCAGAAAACGAAGAGAAAGTTTTCAAGATGGCATAAAAATGTGGCAAGTGTTTCTGTTTCCATGCCATACATTTCTTGCCTCCAAGCAAATATTCACATTATTCTCCTCTCTGGAATACAGTCTCTTCATCAAACACAACTCTTACCCATCCTTTATATAATCCAGCTTCTCCATTAAGCCTTCCTGTCATAGAAAGTATAACAATGCCACATTTTCATATTGTTCCTTCTCTTAATATCTACAGCACTTATTACTACATAATCCAATCCTTAAGTATTGAGTTTTTTTTCCTCCTAACACCAAATACATGATGTCTTTTCCAATACCACTTCTCCGACTCTCTGACATCAACTAGGTGCCCTACAATTCAATTCTGACACTACCCAGAGTTAGCATCAGACTCCACAGATTTAAGTCTCACAAGACTGCCATTACTTCATACACCAGTCACAAGCATGGGGTTCCCCAATCCTCTGATTGATCAACTGACCAGCAATAATTGGGGGCTCCCAGGCCCCCTCCTCCAGTTAGGTAATTTGGTGCAATAACTCACAGAACTCAGGAAAGCATTTTCTTACTAGATTATTATTATAAAGGATACAACCCAAGAACCACCAAACAGAAGAAATGCATGGGGTGAGGTAGGAAGTAAGGGAGCTTCCAGCTTCCACACCCTCTCTCAGGGTGTCACCCTCTCAGCTCTCCAAATCCCATCATTTACAGGGTTTTGTTTTTTTTGTTTTGTTTTGCTTTTTCTTCTTTTGACACAGGGTCTGACTCTGTCACCCACGCTGGGATGCAGTGGCAGCATCTTGGCTCACTGCAACCTCTTCTTCCTGAGTCAAGTGATTCTCCAGCCTCAGCCTCCCGAGTAGCTGGGACTACAGGTGTGAGCCACCGCACCCCGCTAATTTTTGTAATGGTTGTAGAAACAGGGTTTTGCTATGTTGCCCAGGCTGGTCTCAAACTCCTGAGCTCAAAGGCACCCACCCAACTTGGCCTCCCAAAGTACTGGGATTACAGGCGTGAGCCACTGCTCCCAGCCTTTTGACAGGTTTTTATAGAGGTCTGGTTACATATGCAAACCTTTTATAGAGGTTTGGTTACATATGCCACTGGTAATTTACTCTATCTCCAGTCACTCCCCACTCCCCAGAGGTTAGGTCATGGAGATGAGAGTGTTCCAAGCTTCTATTCAAGGTCTGGTCTTTTTGGTGACCAGACCATACCCTGAAGTTATCTAGAAGTCCACCAAGGGTTGCCTCATAGAAGAAATGACACTTCTATCACCCCTATCACTCGGGAGAGTCCAAGGGTATCAGAAGCTCTGTGCCAGGAACTGGGAACAAATAACAAACATGTTTCTAAATATACAACTGTATACAGTAGTATGAATCAACCGCTGAATATTCATCAACTCTCTCCACTAGAAGTAGAAATTTCTTGAGAACGGGTTTACTTCTTAAATGCTATGTTAGCCTACAACACTGACCACATACATAATCAATACTTGATATTTATACATTCAAAACATTTACTGAGAGTCAATTCATAACAGTAAGTGACTGAGGAGTTTTCTGATTTCATATATGCATATTACAGAGTTTTATTTTATTGGTTTTACTAGGATTTTTTCAAAATAAAAAGTGATGCATCTCAAAGAATTAAAGATAAATTTCAAAAAATTCTAGGACATTTCTATTTATTTATTTATTTATTTATTTTGAGATAGAGTCTCACTCTGTCACCTAGGCTGGAGTGCAGTGGCACAATCTCGACTCACCGCAACCTCCGCCTCCCAGGTTCAAGAGATTCTCCTGCCTCAGCCTCCCGAGTAGCTAGGATTACAGGCGCATGCCACCACACCCATCTAATTTTTGTATTTTTAGTAGAGACCGGGTTTCACCATGTTGGCCAGGCTGGTCCTGAACTCCTGAACTCAAGTGATCCACCTGCCTCGGCCTCCCAAAGTGCTGGGATTACAGGCGTGCGCCTCCGTACCCGGTGGACATTTCTATTTAATTAATTAAACAAACAATTACTGAATACCTACTATCTTTTTTTTTTTTTTTTTTGGAGACAGAGTTTCACTCTTGCTGCCCGGGCTGGAGTGCAATAACACGATCTCAGCTCACTGCAACCTCCGCCTCCTGAGTTCAAGTGATTCTCCTGCCTCAGCCTCCTGAGAAGCTGGCATTACAGGTGCCCACCACCACGCCCAGCTAATTTTTTTGTGAATACCTACTATCTACTAAGCAATGTTCTCAATGCTGGGAATACAGTTTATCAAAGCTGATAAAAGTCCATTTAATGGAGCAATTTAATTCTAATGCAGAAAAAGAAGTACAATGTTTAGTATGACAGAAATAAGAGACAAGGGCCAGATGCAGTGGCTCCCACCTGTAATCCCATCACTTTGGGAAGCTGAGGTGAAAGGATCGCTTGAGGCCAGGAGTTCAAGACCAGCCTGGGCAACATAGTGATACCCAGTCTCTACAAAAAAACAATTAAAAAAAATTAGCTGGGTGTGGTGGTACACATCTGTAGTCCCAGCTACTTGGGTGGATCACCTGAGCCCAGGAATTTGAGATTGCAGTAAGCTATGACCACGCCATCGTACTCCAACCTGGGTGACAGAACAAGAGCCAGTCTTTAAATGATTTTTATTTTAAAAAAGAAATAAGAGACAAAGCAAGTAGAGTGATATTTGGTGATAGATGATAGAAAATGTTGACAGAGGAGGGAAGAGGTCAATTTTAGATAAGGTAGTCTTCAAAGAAGACCAAAATGAGCAAGCATGTTAACATTTGAACATACTTACCAGAAAGAAGTGATGGAGTCATGTGGGTATCTTTGGGGAAAAAATTCTAGACAGAGAAACAAGTGCAAAGGCCATAAGGGGAGACCAGACCTGACATGTTCAAGGAACAGCAAAAAGGCCAAGTAAGAGGGTAATAGAAGATAATGTCGATGTGGAATGACTGGAAAGCAGGATATCATGTAGAGTCTCTCAGCCCATTATAAGGCCTTCATCTTTTATTCTTAATCAGTTTAGAAGCCTTTGGAGGCATCTGACCATAAAAGTAACATAATCTGACTGTTTGCTATAGGCACTATAGACTTTTATGGGTAAGAACTAGTTAGGAGGCAGTTAGATATCTAGTTACAAGTAACTAGTTAAGTGACTACTAGAAATAGACTCAACAGACTCTTAAGAGGAAAATCTAGGCAAAAGATAATGTAGGTTTGAACTAGTATAATGCTAATAGAAAAAATGACATGTGCTGGGATCTGAATTTTTTTTTTTTTTTTTTTTTTTTTTTTTCCAGACAGAGTCTCACTCTGGTTACCTAGGCTGGAGTGCAGTGGTGTGATCTGGGCTCACTGCAGCCTCAACCTCCCAGGCTCAGGCGATTCTCCCACCTCAGCCTCCCAAGTAGCTGGGTCTACAGGTGCGTGCCACCACGCCTAGCTAATTTTTTGTATTTTTAGTAGACAGAGTTTTGCCATGTTGCCCAGGCTGGTCTTGAACTCCTAGACTCAAGCAATGTACCCGCCTTGGCCTCCCCGAGTGCTGAGATTACAGGCGTTGAGCCACCACGCCCCGCCTGGGATCTGAATATGTTTTATAGATAGAACCAACAAGACTTTCTTGACAGTTTGGATATGGGATGTGAGAGAAAGGAGTCCAGGATGACTGCAAGGGACCTAAACTAGAAGGATGGAGTTGCTATTTACTGGATAATGAAGACTCAAGGCAGAACAGGTTAGTATCAGGAACTCAGCTGCGGACATATTAAGTCTGAGATGCCTATTAGACATCCAAATAGAGACAATGAATAAGCTGTTTCAACAAGAGTCTGAGATTTAGGGGAGAGATCCAAACAAGGACATAGATATAGAAGTCTCCAGCATATAGATGGTATTAAAGGTTATAGGAATAGATGTGACCAAGAACAAGAGCGTAGCTAGAAAAGACGTCCAAGAAATTAGCCCTTAAAGGATTGTAGATATGAGGAAAACCTTCCAAGGAGAGGCAAGAAAGACAGATACGAGAAAAACCAAGTGAGCATAATGTCCTAGGATGCAAAATAAACAAAGTACTTGAAGGAAAAGAAGGTGATTAACCATATTAAATGCTGCTGATAAGCCCAGTAAAATGAAGACTGGAAAATGATGCTTGATTTTAAAAAGACGAGGTAATTTGCAACCTTGATCACTGCAGTTTCCTTGGAGTAATGGGGGCAAAAGCCTTTCTAGAGCAGGTTCAAGTCATAATAGGAGTCAACAAACTGGGGACAATCTGTATAATACCAAGCACTTTACAAGCCAAAGAAGCCAAAGATAGAGACTATTTTCCTTACAAACTAGAGATTCCAGTTTCTCTGGAATCACCAGGAATTTCCTATCTTTGTGACATACTCTGTTATTATATTTATGTTTCAGGTTATTTGTGAGGGATAGGTATAACTCTAAGGACAAAATATCTGTAAGCATTTTATAACCAGGAAAAAAAAAAAAGACAAAACAGTATTTAAATAAAAATTCATCTTCTCAAGAGACTCTTAACAAGAGGAAGGAACAGTAAGTGTTAATAGTCACATTTTTATCAAGCAAGTTTCTCAAGCTTGAACTCATACACAGCCTCCCATAGAGCACATCACATCACAAAAGCACTCAAAGGTTTATAGCTTCCCTGACCTCAATTCAGTTCTTCTCCATGTTCCCACATTATTTCTACAAAGCTTCTCAGACACCTCCTCTTTATCAACATAGTAAAAAGCAGGCTACAGTATCTGGAAAACTTTGGAACAGAGGAAGAAAAAAACTATAATATTAAAAGGTACAAAATGTTAATGCATTTAGATTCCCCTTCATTTTTATTTTTGTCTGTAATAAACTTCAACATATTCTAGACCTCTTTCATTTCCCAATGAACAATTAAGTGACCAGTCAAAATTTCACTAAGCTTATATATTTTCCTTCACATCTGCTGGGTACTCTAACATGAATCATAATATTCCAAATTACTTAGATGGACAGAAATAATAAAGGTAACAGTTTATAACCTGAAGTGATCAAATCTTATTTTCTATGGTTTTGTGGCATCAATATCACAACTAAAAGGAATCAGCAGTATAAGTGCATTGTCCATCTAGTTGCAGTATGTCAACCATAGGGGAAGGTAGGTGGTGAACCCCATCTCTACTAAAAATAAAAAAATCAGCTGGGTATGGTGGCACACACCTGTACTCCCAGCTACTTGGGAGGCTCAGGCAGGAGAATCACTTGAACCCAGGAGGCAAAGGTTGCAGTGAGCTGAGACCACGCCACTGCACTCCAGCCTGGGTGATGGAGCAAGACTCTGTCTCCAAAAATAAAAATAAAAAGAGAGAGAGAAAGAAAAAATTTCCTTGAAACAAAGTCTAATAAAGTATTGTGAAAACCAAGGTTATTGCTTTTGTCCTATGTAAAAATAAAAAAAGACATTAACAGACCATAAATACCTAAAGCGCCTATCCTCTTTTCATCCTTTGTGCATTACTGAATTTAGTAAAACTAAACATTTTCCCAATACATTTTATTTTATTTTAATTTTATTTTATTTGAGATGGAGTCTTGCTCTGTCACCTAGGCTGGAGTGTAGCGGTACAATCTCCCCTCACTGCAACCTCCACCTCCCAGGTTCATGGGATTCTCTTGCCTCAGCCTCTCAAGTAGCTGGGATTACAGATGCATGCCACCATGCCCAGCTCATTTTTGTATTTTTAATAGAGGCGAGGTTTCATCATGTTGGCCAGGCTGCTCTCGAACTCCTGACCTCAAGTGATCCACCTGCCTCGGCCTCCCAAAGTGCTGGAATTACAGGTGTGAGCCTCCACACCCAGCCCTAATACATTTTAAAATATCACAAGTACCTCAGCCAAGAATTCAGAGTATAACCATTTGTTGTTTGAAGTGGATACATTCTGATCTGTTATTTCCTCAACCCTATCAATGTTTAAAAACATTAGAACCTGAAGGAAATACATGAGAAAGTCAGTTTGCTATTCTCCAAATTTTAACCCTTGCTAAAGTATAGTGTTCTAGAGAAATAGAAATAAAGCAGTTCTCTAAAACTTGACAGAGGTGAGAAATCATTTGAAGTCTATTGCAGAGAATTAAAAGAACTCTATAAAAGGTCTACATATATATCATGCTAAACACATTGGGATTGTATTGAATAGATAACAGCATTTTGAAAAAGTAGTGTTTAAGATACTTCAGGAGGTCGGGCGCGGTGGCTCACACCTGTAATCCCAGCACTTTGGAGGCAGAGGTGGGCGAATCACCTGAAGTCAGGAGTTCGAGCCCAGCCTGGCCAACATGGTGAAACCCCTTCTCTACTAAAAATACAAAAATTAGCCAGGTGCGGTGGCGTGTGCCTGTAATTCCAGCTACTCAGGAGGCTGAGACGGGAGAATCACTTGAACCCAGGAGGCAGAGGCTGCAGTGAGCCAAGATCTCACCACTGCACTCCAGCCTTGATGACAGAGCAAGACTCCGTCTCAAAAATAAAATAAAATAAAATAAAATAAAATGTAAAGGATTCTAATATATACTTGCTTTGTATAGTAAATAATCATCACTAAAATGTTTTTAAATCTGTATTTTGAATGAGAAATTTTTTGTTACAGTTTCACTTGAAGATGAACTGGTACACAATCTAAAAGTGAAATTCTGTAAAATAAATATTATATTTCCATTGATCATAATGATAAAACAAAAGACATGATAAGGAAATAACATCTTGAACAGTTTATTAAAACTTTAGGCAAGATTTAAGAAGCTAGTAACATTATTTCACTTTTTCTTTATAACACTTTTCATATATATAAAGTCTACTGTAACTTTATTAAGCCTATGAATGAAAAAAGCTACCAAGCTATTATATGAGCTAAAAATATATACTGGGAAAAGAAAGATCACATTATTTTTATTCCAAAAGTTGTGTCTGAAGAAACAAATGAGTAAAAGATATGTATTAATGATTCAGGCATATATCAATATACATCTAAGTGTCAAAATATATAGTGTCTAAGAATAAGCCTAACAAACACAGGACGTATATGAAGAAAATCATATCCACTGGAGAATATTTAAAAAAATCAAACATGAATAGCTGGAGGGATACTACATGTTATTTGAAGTGCAGACTCAGTAATGAAAAGATATTCATACTTCCTAAATTAGTCTATAAAACTGTACACAATTCCAAGCAAAGTTAGGCCAGGTGTGACGGTTCTTGCCTGTAATCCCAGCATTTTGGGAGGCCGAGGTGGGAAGATCACTTGAGGCCAGTTTGAGACCAGCCTGGGCAACAAAGGGACACTCCATCTTCAAAAAAAATTTAAAAATTAGGCAGGCATGGTGGCACATACCTGTGGACCCAGTAACTTGGGAGGCTGAGATAGGAGGCTCACTTGGGCCCAGGAGGTCCGGGCTACAATGAGCTGTGATTGTGCCACTGCACTCCAGTATGGGTGACAGAGTGAGACCCTGTCTCAAAAAACAAAAAACAAAAAAAGAGGAAAAGAAAAGCAAAATTAGACCAGGGTATTAGTGTGAGAAAGGCAAAGAAACAATGAAAGGCATCACAAAATAATTTTTTTTTTTTAGTTAAATGCAATTAAAGCCAGGTGCAGAGGTACCCATCTGTAGTTCCTGCTAATTGGAAGGCTGTGGCAGGAGGATCATTTGAGGCCAGGGGTGTAAAAAAGGATATTCATACACTGATGTTCACAGCAGCATTATTACCATAGCAGCATTATTACCATTATTACCATGACTCTGCCTGTGAACAGCCATAGGACTACTGCCTGGGTAAAAGAGTGAGATCATGTCTCTTAAAAAGAGAAATTAAAAAAAAATTATATACCATAACTGAGATTTATTGCTGGAATGCGAGGATGGTTCAACACACAAAAGTCAATAAATACAATACATTCACATAATGAAGGGAAAAAAAATTTTATGATCATCTCAATTGATGCAGATAAAGCATGTGACAAAGTCAACATTTTTTCATAAAACACTCTACCAACTAGGAAAAGAAGGAAAATACAGCATAATGAAGGCCAGGTATGAACATTCCACAGCTAACATCATACTCAATGGTGAAACACTAAAAGCTTTTTCTCTAAGATCAAGAGCAAGACAAGGATACCTGCTGTTGCCACTTCTATTCAACGCAGCATTGGACTAGTCAGAAACTTAGATAAGACATTCAAATTGGAAAAGAAGAAGTAAAATTACCTCTGTTCAAATGACATAATTTGTTATGTACAAAACCCTAACAATTTCACACACACACAGAAAAAAAAAAAAAAACTCTTAGAGCTAACAGATTCGGCAATGTTGCAGTATACAAAAATCAACACAGATAAATCAGTTGTGTTTCTATAAATCAACAATGGACAATCTGAAAAGGAAATTATTAAAGCAATTCCATTTACAGTAACATCAAAAAAATAATACGTAAGAAACCAAGGAGACAAATGACTGGTACATATCAAAGGAAATTAAACACACAAATAAATGGAAAGACATCTGTGTTTGTGGATCAGAAAATCCGATATTAAGATATCAGCACTACCCAAAGCCATCTACAGATTCAATACATACAAACCCTATTAATATCCCCATGTTTTCTACAGAAATAGAAAAATCAATTCTGAAATCCACATGGAATCGCAGGGGACCCTTAACAGCCAAAACAATCTTGAAAAAGAACAGAGTTGAATAACTCACACTTCCTGATTTCAAACTTACTACAAACCCACAGTAATCAAAAACGCTGCAGGACTGGGATAAAGACAGCTATACTGTCGGTCCTCTGTACTGCATTCATGAGTTCAACCAATGATAGATCAAAAATATTCAGAAAAAAATTTAAAAAATATGAATTTGAAAAATACAGTATAACAACTATTTACAGAGCATTTACACTGCATTAGGTATTATAAGTACTATATAGCACTGACATTGTATTAGGAATTTTAAGTATTCTAGAGATGACTGAACATATACAGAAAGAAGTATGTAGGTTACATGCAAATACTATGCCACCTTAAGGCTGATAAAGCACTTGACCATCCATGGATTTGGGGGCTCTAATCAATCCCCCACGATACTGAGAGACAACTGTACAGATGAAGACAGAGACCAGAGATAAACCCCTGCATATATGGCCAAATAATTTTTGAAAAAGGTGCCAAAACTATTCAATGGAAAAAGGACAGTCTTTTCAATAAATGGAGCTGAGAAAATGAGATTAACAGATGTAAGAAAATAAAGCTGGACCCTTATTTTACACCATACACAAAAGTCAACTAAAAATGGATAGAAGAACTAAATCAAGAGCTGAAACTATAGAAGACTTAGAAGCAAATGAAGACAGGAAAGCTTCAATAACATTAGATTTGGCAGCAACTTCTGGGAAATGACACCAAAAGCACCAACAACAAAATAAAAGATGGATACATTGAACTACATTAAAATTTATAATTTTCCTATGCATCAAAAGACATTATCAAGAATGTGAAAAGGCAACCCACAGAATAGAGAATATATCTCTAATCATTTAGCTGATAAGGTACTAATAACCAGAATATGTAAAGAACTCCTATAACAAAGCAAAACAAAACAAAACATGCTGAATCAAAACTGGGTGAACAACTTAAAACATTTCTCCAAAGGAGATACACAAATTGTGAACATGCACATGAAAAGATGCTCAAAAATCACTAATCATTGGGAAAATTATCATAATGAAATGCCATTTCACACTCACTAGGATGGCTATTTTCAAACAACACCCAGGAAATAGTAAGTGTTGACTAGGATGTAGAGAAACTGGAATCCATCTTCATTGCTGTTGAGAACATATAATGGTGCAGCCACTGTGGAAAACTGTGCAGTGGTTCCTCACAAAACATAAAATTACCATATGATCCAGCAATTCCAATTCTGGGTACATACCCCAAGGAAGTAAAAAGCAGGGACTTAAATAGATATGCTGATATTCATGGCAGCATTATTCACAATAGCCAAAAGGTAGAAGCAATCCTTCTACCCTTTGGTAGATAAATAAAATGTGGTATATATATGCAATGGAATATTACTCAGCCATAAAAAAGAAGTGAAGTTATGATACTTGCTACAACACAGATAAACCTTGACATTATGCTAAGTTAAAATAAGCCAGACACAAAAGTACAAATATTGTATGATTCCACTTTTATGAAGGACAGGCAAATTCACAGAGACATTAGATAGAGAGTTTCTGTTTGGGATGATAAACTTCTGACAATGGATAGTACTGATAATTTCAAAATATTGTTAATATACTTAATGTTACTAAACTGTACACTTAAAAATGGTTAAAATGAGCTGTGCGTGGCTCACACCTGTAATCCCAGCACTTTGGGAGGCTGAGGCAGGCGGATCACTTGAGGTCAGGAGTTTGAGACTAGCCTGGCAAACAGAGCAAAACCCCATCTCTACCAAAAGTGCAAAAACTGGCCGGGTGTGGTGGCAGGTGCCTGTAACCACAGCTACTCGGGAGGCTGAGGCATGAGAATCGCTTGAACCCAGGAGGCGGAGGGTGCAGTGAGCCGAGATGGCGCCACTGCACTCCAGCCTGGGTGACAGAGCAAGACCCTGTCTCAAACAAACCAAAACAAAAATAGTTAAAATTGTAAGTTTTGTTACATATATTTTACAATAAGAAAAATTTTTTAAAGAATGTCCATTATTGAAAATGAAGAGTAATGAACAGATTTGCTTACCTATTAAGATTCTATAAAACTGCAATCATTAAAACACTCTGATCTTGCGGTACAAGAAACAGAAAGATATATGGAATATAACAGATAGTCCACAAATATTCCTAAAATATAGCAAAAGACACAGACATTTTATATTACTGGAGAAAAAGTGAATGTTTTAAAATATAATTTCAAATTAGAAAGAATTTCTTAAGCTGAAACAAAGGCCTGATGCCAAAGGAAAAATTTTTACTGATCCTTTGCGTCTGTCAAGCAAAGCCATACAGAATAATGTACTATAAGTAGTTAAAAACGGCAAGAGACTAGGAAAAAACTTGCATGTGAAAAAGCAATAGTTTTTTTTTGTTTTTTGTTTTGTTTTGAGATAGAGTCTCGCTCTGTTGCCCAGGTTGAAGGACAGTAGCGCTACTTTGGCTCACTGCAACCTCCGCCTCCTAGGTTCAAGCGATTCTCCTGCCTCAGCCTCCTGAGTAGCTGGAACTACACCCGGCTAATTTTTGTATTTTTAGTAGAGACTGGGTTTCACCATGTTGGCCAGGCTGGTCTTGAACTCCTGACCTCAGGTGATCCGCTCGCCTCAGCCTCCCAGAGTGCTGGGATTACAGGCTTGAGCCACTGCACCCGGCCTCCAATTCTGTTTGTATCATCCCAATTTTTTTCTACTAGTCAGAAAATTACATGTTTTAATTTTTAACTTTTTAATGGTTACTACAGAATAGCTGTATCCAATTGAATAGCCACATCTACACTTTTTGCAATGATGGAAATTTTCTATATTTGTACTATCTGAGACTGTGGATATTAACCATATGTGTCAACCAAGCGTACAAAATGTGATCGGAGCTCTAAAAGGAGAAATTGATTTTTTTTTTTTTTCTTTTTCAGACTGAGTCTCCCTCTGTCACCCAGGCTGGAGTGCAGTGGCATGATCTCAGCTCACTGCAAGCTCCACCACCCTGGTTCAAGATTCTCATGCCTCAGCCTCCAGAGTAGCCGGGATTACAGGCTTGCACCACCACACCCAGCTAATTTTTTTGTTGTTTTTTGAAATGGAATCTCACTCTGTTGCCCAAGCTGGAGTGTAGTGGTACGATCTCAGCTCACGGCAACCTCCACCTCCTGGTTTCAAGCAATTCTCATGTCTCATGCCTCAGCCCCCCTAGTAGCTGGGATTACAGGCCTGCACCACCACACCCAGTTAATTTTTGCATTTTTAGTAGAGACAGGGTTTCACCATGTTGCCCAGGCTGGTCTTGAACTCCTGACCTCAAGTGATCCACCCACCTTGGCCTCCCAAAGTGCTGAGATTACAGGCATGAGCTACTGCACCTAGCCTGATTTTTCATTTTATTGAAGTGCCACACATTAGTGGCTACCATACTGAAAAGCACAGCTCTGTAATTCCCCACATAATGAATATGGCTGACTGTATCCTCATGGTGTAGTTTCACATGTTCCTCTACCTCCATATGTCCTGTAAACTGCTGTCAGAATCTAGAAGCTTCATTATATTCAGGTTCAGTTCTTCTTGGCAAAAATACTTCATAAGTTGAATTGTGTAGTTCCTGTTGTATTGTATCGCAACACCTATAACGTGGTTATTTTCCTTTAGGTTATGCTCAGCTTGATTACATATGCCTGGGAGGAATAAGACTACGTGCATCCGTTCACATCTTTATTTTTAACAAAAAACTCTGGAAGAAAACATAAGAAATTAACAAAAATGGTTATTTAAAAGAGATGCAGATTAAACTAGGCTGATCGGGGCAGGTGTGGGAGTGAGATTATTCAAAATATACTTCTTTATGTTTCTGTGGTACCCAGTCAAAAAAGTTAATAAATTTTAGTACAGATTTTTGTCCTATACTCCATATCTAAGATCACAGTATCTGGGTATGAGGTCTAGAAAAAAACCATTCAAACATGTTTCCTCCACAATTCTGCACGTTAAAGCTTAACCCTATCCACTGGGACACTGGAATACAAGAAATAAAAGGTTGACAATCATGAACTTTAGTCATATTTATTATTAGTTTCTTCTCCTTTAGGTTCCACTGATCATTATACAGTTACATATCTCAATATTATTTTAATCTCTTGCAGGAATATCCTCATGAAGTGATACTTCATAATGACACACTGGATTCTTATTTACCAAGAAACAGCTCTTCATTTGCTATTTCCCTTGTATTAAGCTACCAGATTCAGATTTTTTTTTCAAGAAAAGTTTCTCTCTTTAAAAATGGCTTATTTCCTTCTCTCTGAAAAAAGAACTGTGTAATCTAATTTTCTGGCCTATGAAATCATTATTAAATAAAACTGATAAAATCAGTGGTGTTCTAATTGAAAGGGGTAAGAATGAGAATTCAGTACTCTCAGGTTTCTTGTCTCCTATACCCTCTGGTCACTTAGTTTTCCAAGACACCAAAGAAAGCAATTCAAAAAGGCAGTAGAACCTAGTGAAAAAACACTGAAAATAAATGATATTTTAATTAATCACAATTCTTATTTTGCTCTTAAGACTGAGAAAATCGAGGCAAATTTAATGCAATATTATATTAACTGTAAGCATATTTGCTTTTTTCCTTGTTATACTTAGTAGTTCAAAGGGTCTTAATAATTATTTCTATTATATAACTATGTGTATATGTTTGTATAGTTCAAAACCGTTACGGAAAGGTGAAATACATATAGTCTATATTCATATTCACAACTTACTCTCTTAATTCACATGAACAATGTAAAGTAAAATGGTTTCCCTCAAAATGATTCACTTTGGTATTAAAATATGATCAGAGATTTTGAAAATTATGGCAATAAAATGTTCTAGCGAACAGTGGAAACGCTCTAAAATAGGCTCTACATAGTTTTATCAATGTGATTTTAAAGAAGAAAAAGAACATAGACCAAATAATAGTATAATGTTATTCAACACATTGGAATAGTTCATCAACTTTAAATTCTTATACAAATATTTCTCCTAGTCCTGTATTGCATCAAGATTCCATCTATAGAATCACAATATAGAGAGGAAATAAATTCTGTTAAATATACAGTCATTTTATATTAAATAACACATAATTTTAACCAAACATTAACATACTGCTTCCTTCTTTGATATTCCTCTGAGCCTAAAGATTTTTGAATCTTAAAACTCCTAACTTTAACAGATGGATCAGATGTTTCAGCTCCTAAGTGTCAGTCTTTCACAAGAAATGAATTAGTCACACAGACCTCTTCTAGCTTTGAAAAAATCTGAAATCTATTCTAGGAATGCTGACTATTCCTACTGCCATGTTAACATTTTCTGGCATGTTACATGCAACCTTCTACGTTCAAAATACATAATTTTCATAAGCAATATAGCCACACAGAAAATACTGGAAGAAACCTGAAATAATGAAGAAGCCAAATTCAACTTAAAATTTAACTATTTAGTGATACTAATGTAAATAATTCTACTAAAGAGAATTAGATGAACAGATACCTTCACCAAATGTTTCCAGGGCAACAAAATCTATTCAAGGGATTAGTAAGATAAAAACTTCTCAAAATACTACTAAGACATTATTTGCCTTTTCCATTCATTCTTTCATCAGTGTTCAGAGCAGCAGACTACTTGTGTTTTGTCTGGTAAAACAAAACTATGTCTGCATAGTGCTGACTTATGAAAAACTGCTCTTGTGTTTTAAAAATTTCAGCTTAGTTTTTAATACAGTAAGTATCAATAGATATAACCCAAATAAATCAAGTAAGGAAGGTTTTGAGCAAGTGGTAGTACAAATTGAAAAGAATGGAGACGGGAAAGCAGGTTCCAATTTAAAGGAAGAAATCTGCAGAACTAAGTTAATGCCAACGTTCAAGGTGGAAAAACATTTAAGATGAAGGTGTTTTCAAGCCCAGGTGAAACTTCAAATTAAATCTCAAAATGGCAGCTGGTTTCACATGAAGATAATAAATTATACTTTAAACACTATTTCAAACCCACACACGGGACATTCATGTAAAGCTTCCAAACAGTAGAGACGGTGGATCAAACTGAAAAAAGGCCAAACTTTAATTGCAGATTTGTGAGTAATTATGCAACATAGTACAAGTAAATTCTACAAAGGAAATAACAAGATTAAAACAACAACAACAAACAGTAAGCAAAGGACTGAATTTGAAATACCAAATTAAGAAGATGAAAGGAACTGCAGACAGGAAGGAAGGAGAAATAAAAGTCCAAGAGGACTTAAACCATAGGGCTATAGAAATGAAGAAAGAGAAAGGGCTCAGAAAGAATATATAACATTACAGTTAAAGGGAATTTCGGGTTTTTACTTTGAGAGTCTGTGAATCACAAACCATTGGCAGAAGCAATATGGCAGAGTACAGAGATAACAGATTTGAAATCAGAAATCTGCATTCAAATTCCTGCCCTGACACTTACTGATTGTGTGATTTCAAAAACTCTTTTCAGTTTTTCGTAAGTCAGCAGTATGCATAGTTTTGTTTTGCCAGACAAAACAGTAAACAGATTGTGAGCTGCTGTTTTTCTACTTAGCCATGTATTCTATAATTAAATCAATAGTTCTACAATATAAGATAAATCAACATTTTCATCAATGGGTTTAAGATAATAATTTCGTAAACTAGCTAGAATATAAAATATAAATTCTACACAAAGGGATTTTATCCAATTCGATAATTTCAGACAATGTTTCAACATTAACAATTTAGTAAAGACCAGTTGTAAAACTAAAAGTACGTAATCCCTAAATCTTTCTTTGTCAGATTAAGAATTTTATATCTAATAAAAGTGTGAAGCTGGATGCCATGGCTCACACCTCTAATCCCAACACTTTGGGAGTCTGAAGGCAGGAGGATTGCTTGAGCCCAGATGTTTGAGACCAGCCTGGGCAACACAGTCAGACTCCATCTCTACAAAGAGTAAAAAAAAATTAGCCAGGCATGGTGGCTCATTCCTGTAGTACCAGCTACTTGTAGGGCTGAGGTGGGAGGATCTCTTGAACCCAGAAAGTGACTGCCATGACCTGTAATTATGCCACTGTACTCCGCCTGGGCAACAGAGCGAGACCCTGTCTTTAAAAAAAAAAAAAAGTCTGCTAAAATCCACACTGGAAAAACTATCTGAAATTAGGCAGACATATGATCACTATCAAATCTCCTAACAAATAAAATTAGCAGTATTTGTTGCCATTAAATCTACACCACCAAAAATCGTATTAGTATTCAAATAACAATCCCTCATCCAAACTCTTTCAACATATTTTGGTATTAAAAGTTTATTGGATTTTTATAAAGTTAAATATAGCTTTTTTTTTATTTATTTATTTTTTTTTTGAGGAACAGTCTCACTTTGTCACCCAGGCTAGAGTGCAGTGGCATGATCATGGCTCAATGCAGCCTTGACCTCTCAGGCTCAAGCCATCCTCCCACCTCAGTACCCAAAGGAGCTGGGACCACAGGCACACACCACCACGCCTGGCTACTTTTTGTATTTTCAGTAGACAGGATTTCACCATGTTGCCCAGGCTGGTCTTGAACTCCTGAGCTCAAGTGATCTCCCTGCCTTGGCCTCCCAAAGTGCTGAGATTACAGATGTGAGCCACCGCGCTTGGCCTATAGCATACATTACGGTAGTTGATTATGGTAATATAGTACAAGTCCTTACGTTATGGTAGTTAACTATGGTAATATAGCACAGTTCCTAGGCAACATGTAACATCTCTGAAGGATTTAGAACAGAACCCTAAAAGTGGAGCACATTAATATTTCTCCTATAAGAAATACTCAATTCCTATTAAGCTCTACTTAAAAAATGAGTTTAGTCAATCAGGTTTTGCTTCCAAATGAATCATTAAAAAATGTAGTTGCTACAGCTATTTGAATTTCAGAATTGCAGATAAAGAATAGTGGACCTACAGTTATTTATCTGACCAACACTGACAGAGTATAAACTAGGGTTTATGATATATGTGACCTAAAAAGCCAAGCTTGCCCTCTCTTGCTAATTTCTGAAATATTAACGATGTATCTCTCCTGAAATTTCTATTTAACTGTGAGGAGTTATGGCACACTTCCTAATATAAAAACTCAATGCTATTTCTTATTTGTAAATATTTAGAAAGTTAGATATTTATACTTCATACACATTAAAACAAATTAATTTTTACAAAGCTTTGGGATACACCTGGACACATAAAAGCAGAACATATCACCCTTTTTGAAAATCATCAGAGTTATACAAAAATCAGTATGACAAGACTCTAACGTCTGAACACCAAATAACAAATTTAAAAGTTTCAAGAAAATGCTGCTTTCATTATTCAAAAAGAGTGGAATGAAATATTACCATGTATATCAGTTAACATACTTTTGCTTCCAAGGCAAAGAAAAAGGAACCAAAACAGACTTAAACCTTAAGTAAATTTATTCTCCCAAAATGAAAACTCCATAAGAGAAAAATCCACAGTAGTATGTAGGATTCAGAAAAAGTTTGGTCAGTCACATTTTTTCCTGCTACCGTGTCAATACTATTAACCTCTCTATGTCAGCTTTGCCTTCAAATTGGTTTACCTTAAAGTAGAAAAATGGCTGCAGCAGTTCCAGACTCATACCCACACAATGCTATCCTTGGAATCCCTCCGACTGGATCCATTTATGGCCTGTACCAATCAATGGAGTTCTATTCTGTAAGTTAGCTTAGAAAAATCATGGCCCATCCTGTAGTCAAACCACACAATTGGATAAAAGATAGAATGGATACTGCGGAGGGGAAGGTACACAGTGCCATAAGAGAAACAAAAAATTTACAATTAAGAGTAAATAGTAAGGTCAGGTGTAGGTGGCACACACCTGTAATCCCAGCATTTTGGGAGGCCAAGGTGGGAGGCTCACTTGAGGCCAGGAGTCCAAGACCAGCCTGGGCAACAAAGTGAGACCTCATCTCTACAAAAAAAAATTTAAAAATTAGTTGGGTATAGTGGCACATGCCTGTAGTCCCAGCTATTCAGGAGGTGAGGTGGGAGGATTGCCTGAGTTGAGGAGTTCCAGGCGGCAGTGAGCAATGATCACACCACTGCACTCCAGCCTGGGTAACAGAGCAAGACCCTGTCTCAAAAAAGAGTAAATAGTAATAGAAACTTGAGATGGTTAGTATGAATTAAAATATTCAAGTAACTTATGACATTCCTTTATTATTCCATAAGCATTTATGGACACCTAAGTAAATGCTAGGTACGGTACTAAATATGTGAAGATGACAGAAAATGAATTTTAGACTTAAAGACATTTCTTGTATATAATTTGAAATTGTCTAAAAATAATATATAAAATCTATAAATACAGGAAAATAGCCTGTATGCTTTCAATTACATTGAAATATCTAGTTAACATTTTTACTTTCACATGCAATAATATCCCTATACAAAGACGATAAGGTTTCACATGGTAAAATTTCTATAGTTCAATTATTCTAATGAATGAAAACATTCCCTATTTAAAATTACTGGAACTTACTGAATTCCCTATTTAAAATTATTGGAAATTATTGGAATACCCTATTTAAAATATGTGCCAGAACATATAGATGATGGGTCAAAAGATCATATAAAACAACAGCCCCTTTAATTTTACACAGAAACACAATTAACAACATTTACTGGGCGATCATCACCTTCTTTTAAAACTAGCTAGTGGTAGTAACTGCACGAGTTTATGTCCCACCATTGGGGCAATTTCGTCATTTTCCTATATTCAAGTCTTTACCAGCAATAGCAATAACAAATTCGAGTGTGAAAAATAGTTGGCATACTTACATCAGACATAGAAGTCTTTCTACCTACCAAAAAAACCAATTTTGCTATAGTAAACCTATCAAGATCGTATTGACCAATGAAGTAAAAATCATTCATTCATTCATACATTCAACATTTTGTAAACAGACCAGAAATCAGCATTTTTAATAATGATGCAAGACAATATAAATGTCAGACTGACATAAAGAAACATACAAGGAAATGTAATGCTACCAACTAAATAAGAAACTTAAATGAGAAAACTAAGCAGAAATGTGTAGACCCAAAAACAAAAAGGGGTTTTATTTATATGCGAAATCATAAATCACTTTAAATTTCCTAAACATGAATATTATTCATATTTAAGACAGAAGTTTTGCAAAATAACATCAGCTGATACACATTTCAACAGTTTAAACTCTTCATTCCCAGGATATCCCCTAAATACAAGCAAATTTATGGGTTTGGCCTTTAATACACAGTATGATTTTTTATTGTCCTTTTCTCTATTGAAAAAACCAGACATATTTTATTAAATACTTACACTTTAGACAGAACTGGCTTGAAAACAGAAATACAATCAACCTAAGCATCAAAGAAAGGTAGATAGATGGGTGTATGGATGAATGGATGGATAGATAAGCAAATAAATAAATCACTGAGATCATAAATGGAAGCGAAGTTAAACAAGAGGAGAGTAAATTGATGTCTGCTATTTAATTAATATTACAATATTATTCAAGGAGACAAATATTATGCAACAGTACTTCTCAACTGCCAGTTTTCCTTAAACTATCAATTTTCTAGAAAAATTCCTCAAAAAGTAGAACAGCAGTAATGTCAAAAATGTATCCCAAGACAAAACTCAGTAATGGGGCTAAAAAAGAAACTCAAAATGAAAAAGGTTCACAATGTGCTGTATATATTTCAACTTCTTCAACAACTTGGTCCTCCTGCATAAAAAAGGCTTAGATATTTTGTTAGCAAAGATAATTCCAATACAGATAACCCAAAAGGTTCTCACGCCATATTTTTAAAAGTTGACAAACTATTTGAAATTATCCAACATAACCTAATGAAAACTCTATTAATTAAACTTATTACTTAAAAGATTAGAAAGTAATATCACTATAACCCCTGGCTGAAAAAATAAAATTTTAATCTTACTTTATTTGTATTAAATTATATATGTTCATATTGTACAAGAAATATGTTTGCTACCACGGTGTGGTAAAAAATAATTTAATCCCAAAGATATCCATGTCCTAATCCCAGGAACCTGTAACTGTTACATTACATGGCAAAGGAGAATTAAAGTTTACAAGGAATTATGGTTGTTAATAGATGGCAAGATTATCCTGGATTATGTCAATTGGCCCAAAGTAATCAACAGGGCACTTACAAGTGTAATGGGGAAGCAGGAGAGTTAGAAGGAGATGACTAGGGAAAAACGGTCAGAGAGATACAACTTGGTTGGCTTTTAAGATGGAGGAAGGGGGCCATGAGCCAAGGAATGTGGACAGCTTCTAAAAACTAGAAAAGGAAAGAAAATGGATCTCTCCTAGAATAAACAGTCTTGCCACACTTTGATTTTAGCCCAGCAAGATCCAGGTCTTATTTGTGATCTCCAGAACTACAAAATAATAAGCGTATAACATTTAAACCACCAAGATTACGTTAATTAAACAATTATAGAAATTTAATTCACGTGGCAATTCCTCATACATAAGACCCAAAATAAGAATAACTGATTATCTTTGAGACACAATATTCCCTCAACTACTTTGAAGTTCTTATCATTATCCTTCCAAATCATGTGCCACAGGTTTGTGGCACATGTCCTGCCTGGTGTATCCAGCCAGGACTTCTAGTAGACTTAACAGGTTTTTAATTATACATATTTGTAGCTTTAAAAAAAAAATCACAAACTAGCCTATTCAACATTTTCCATATACTTTCTTTTTACATATTTATTTATTTATTTAGAGACAGGATCTCACTCTGTCGCCCAGGCTAGAGTGCAGTGGCATAATCTTGGCTCACTGCAGTCTCAACCTCACTGAGCTCAGGTGATCCTCCCACCTCAGCCGCCCCAGTAGATGGAACCACAGGCATTGTACTACTATGCCCGGCTAATTTCTGTATTTTTTGTAGGGACAGGGTTTCGCCATGTTGCCCAGGCTAGTCTCAAAACTCCTGCGCTCAAGTATCTTCCCATCTCAGTCTCCCAAAGTGTTGGGTTTACAGGCGTGAGCCACTGTGCCTAGCCTAATTTCATGTAACTTAAAATCTACTCTGCAGTAATCAAAGTCGAACAGGAATATTACATTATGTTAATGCTAAACTGTTCCAAGTTTCGTTTAAGAAATGTGAATGTAAGAAAATCTGGGAATAAATCTAAAATGGTAGATTCTAGGCTAAAAAAACTAAATTAATATTCAAATTTTCAAATAAAGACAGATTAAAAAAACTCATCAAGGGTTCACATAGGTATGGTTCAACATACATTTTTCTTTTTTTGGTAAAATTTAGATATGGTGAAACGCAAAGATAGTATCAATTCAACGAGTTTTGACAAATATATATATCTGTGTAACCAACAATCAGGATAGGAAACATTTCTATCACCTGAAGAAACTCCTATTCTTTCCAGTCAATCTCTACCATCCATAGATAATTTATTTTTTAATATCCAGCTTAATACCTTACTAACATATGCAAACTTAACTCTTTAATCACTTAAATTCCCAACTAAGAGAGCAATTAAGTTATTTATATATACAAATTTTTTTTTTCCTTTTTTACAGATGAGGGGGTCTCACCTATGTTGCCCAGGCTGGACTCTTAATAAGTCCTGGGCTCTAGCAATCCTCTTACCTCAGCCTTTTACACAAACAAAAATAGTTACTGAATTGAACTGCCATAATTTTTAGAACCACTAACATCACCAATACTTTTTAAGGAAGATTATACATTTCTATACGAAAATAACCAGCCAAAACCTTCAAAACTACCTCTATTTTCTGTTAGAAATACCTATCAGCAAAACACACCTATTTTGCGATATCGAGTCAATATTAATACATGCCGCATTAACCATATCATTGACTACAGTGAGGAAAACCCGAGTTTACAAAAACACACTCAGAAACTATTAAAATAGGTAGGTAAAAAATATTAGGTAGATACCTGTACAAATATTACAATGAATTTGGAATTGTAAGCTTTCATGCACACAAAGGGAAAAAAATTTCCTAAATTTGAAGTTTTCATTGAAAAAGTAAATGGCTCAGGGCATTACAAATAAATTTCACAGATTACGTATTCATAAATCAACCTTTGGAAGTCTAGTCCATGTCTTGTCTCTACTCCGCCCCTTACCTTCAAGCTGTCCCTCAGTGAGAATGTACTTGGAACACAACAGAGCATATTACAGCTCAATATCATGCACATACCTACGCTACTCAAAGAAAGCACTGGCAGCGTCACATGTAAGAAACCAAAAAAAAAAAAAGATAATCAATTCTGCATGGCATTTAACATTTTAATTGACAACATTTTTCGTCTTATTTAAAATCGTATAAAACCCAGAAACAGCTTGACTCCAAAGAACTATACCTTTCTAACAAGAAAAGCACATTGGGGACAGAAAGAGAGATTACCCTCCATACCAAAATTTTTCACTTTTATCCTTTACGGTTAGAAAGCCAAGCATCTATTAAGGAGAGGATGAATCCGGGCACAGCCACCACCACGGCCTCTGCCTCTAAAACACATAGGAATCCCCGGACTGTGTGGGAAGGTCTCTTTTCTTTTCTCCCTCCCCTTCAGCAACCTTACAGGATAAGTTTTAAGTCTCGAGCTACAGCACTATGAAGACTTTTCCAAGAAAAGAGATACCAGGGAAGCTGGCCGCCTGTCGCCATGAGTGGTCCGCCCCCTACCCCCACCTGCCCGCGCGGCGCCGGACTCGCGGCTCCGCCTTTCGGGGAGGTCTCCGTGGCCGCCCAGGCGCCACAGCGGGGAGCCGCGGTCGACCCCTCCGGGATGGGGGCCAGGGCAGCCTCCGCGGCTATCCCGGGAGTCCTGCTCCGACACCACCTCCACAGGGGAAGCCGCTCGGAGAGACGCAGGGACCCAGGCAAGGGATGCGGGCAAACGCGCCAAGGGTTCAGCAGAGGGGCGTGACCGCCAGTTGGCCGGGCTGAGCGAGGCGCCAGAGGGAAGCCTGCAAGGTACGTCTGCGAGAGCCGGGTGCGGGCGCGGCAGGGGAAAAGGGGGGCGCTGACTCTCTTACCGCCAGGTCCGGATTGCGGCTGTCCCTGTGTGACACGGCTCGGATGACCCCCGCTCGCCAGCTTCGCCAGCCGCGTCCGCTCTCCCAGCGCTCCGAACGTGCCTCGTCGCCGACCGCCACACACAGGAACCGCTTACCCACCAGCTCTGCCCGCGTCTCTACCGCCATAGCTGTCGCTGCCGAAGCGGCCGCTGCCTCCTCCAGTGCGAGGGAACCGATGAAACCTCACTCCTACCGGCCGCTCATGCTGAGGAGAGCGGACCGGGACACAGCAGCGGACCCGAAAGAGCGCAGACTCGGGACGAACCGGCCGCTCTGCCCCGGACACAGCGACCTCGGGCCCTCCCCGCAAACACTCCTTTGGACTCCCAGATTCGCAGCCTTGTGCTGCAGCGCCACACAAGAAAACTGAAACAAAACCCAACGCGGCCGTCGAAGACCCCGAGGCAGCCCAGCCGCCGCCACCGCGCCGCGGCCAGTACTGCTCCGTCTCCCTCCCCGGGCAGCGGCGGCGCGCAGCGCGTCTCCTTCCGCCGGCGCGGGCGGGGCAGCAGCCGCGGGAGGGTCGGCGGAACCACCGCAGACGGAAAGTAGTGCCCGGCCCTGCGGAGGCGGCAGCGGCCACTGGGTCCGTCCAGATCCAGAGGCGGCGGCGGCGGCGGCAGCGGGAGACGAAAAAATGAAGAGGGCCGCGGGAAAGTAGGCGACAGCTATTCAAAGCTTTTGGGGGTCTACCTTTGTATTCGTTGCTCCCTCAGAGGTGGAGGTGAGGGGAAAGTGAAGTGTAGTGGTTCCACTCTGATCACAAAATAAACTCCTGGGTTGACGCCTCACCCGCGGTTTGATGTTCAGAGCACACAGCGCCCGCCGCCTGAGTTAGCCTGAATTAGCAGTCCCGCAGTAACAGCAGCAGAGCAGGACAACACTTCTACTGAAAACTAAGCCCCAAAGTCACAGCAGAACCAACCGTTCATGACTTCAAGGGAAAACGAGGGGGAAAATGTGATCCTTTCATTCTTCTCATTTGTGGTGATACTAATTACATGTTTAAGCTATTCACAGATTTAAATTCGTCACTGCTTTATTATAAGAACAGCAAATGCTCCGTGGCGGGCCCTTGTCAACGTCCTGAAATTTCACAAACCGTGTCTGCGACAGTCTTAGTACTTTTAGTACTGGTACACAGCTCAAACACACTGGTCAGATAATAAAAGCAGAGAAAATCCCCAGATTCAGTTATTAGAAAATACCATGGAAAGAAAAGGATTTTAGCCAATCACAATTCAAGAAAAAAAATATTTATTTCCCATCCAATTACAATCGGACTCCCTAACCCACACAAAGATCTCTAACTTGGAACAATCACTCTTCTTTGATCAACTTATTTGTTATAAATCAAACCTCCCTACAAATGTCAGTGAGCAGTTCGATTTCAGGCACCCTTTATACTGCTTTTTTATAGGTAGTCCAATATTCTAAATTTCAGTTTCTTGAGATTTTCCTGAACCTCTATTTAAAAAAAAAAAGTTAACAGAGTTTACAGTAGTAATCTGAATGTTTAAAATAACTATAAGGCTTTTATCTGTTTTCTCTAGAACACTCAAGCTGGGCAATTTGAAGTGGAGAAACACAACCACTGCTAATAGGTTAGAAACCAAAATTATAAGGAAGATGGATTTTAATAATCATGGTCAAATTTTGCCAAAGACCAAACATAGAACTGTAATAAATAGGCTGGGCACGGTGCCTCACGCCTGTAATCCCTGCACTTTAGGAGGCAGATCACCTGAGGTCGGGAGTTCGAGACCAGCCTGGCCAACATGATGAAACTAAATGTATTTTTAGTCTCTACTAAAAATACAAAAAATTAGCTGGGCATGGTGGAGCATGCCTGTAATCCCAGCTACTCAGGAGGCAGCAGGAGAATCACTTGAACCTGGGAGCTGGAGGTTGCAGTGAGCCGGGATCGTGCCACTGCACTCCAACCTGGTCAACAAGAGCAAAACTCAGTCCCCCCGAAAACAAACAAACAAACAAAAAACCTGTAATAAATTAAAACAGCAAAACATACCCAAAAATGCATATCGGCAAGTTGAGAGAAAAAATTTTGCTTGGGCAATTTTATTTCCAAGTCCACTTTTTCAGTGTACACTGTATAATACTTAGCAAATTATCTTAAGAATTACAGATGAAGATTTCTAAAATCAGTGTAGATTAAGGAACCAGTAAAGTGACTTGGTGACAATAATTCAACATATGTAAGGATAAAAGAGTAGGGAGATCAACATCCAGATACCAAGTCATCAATGATCTGCTTTGTGACCATGGGCATGATGCAATTGTAAAAATGCAAAAATGCCTGAATCCTAATTTTCAGTGATATCCTAGGAGCAAACGAAAAATACAAATAAAGTCATTTGAGAAAAACATGCAAATTCATCAGTTATTACATAAATCCCACTCACCAAATTACATTCTTAAGAGTATAGGTTGCTAGTTGCCTTATATAAAACTGCCAGCTGTTTTCAATTTTGTAGGCAAACTGCTCTAAATGGGCCCCTGGGAACTCCCACTACATGTTGAATTCCATCCTTTTCAGTCCTCTGAAAAGCATGTAATCCAACAAATCAATCAAAATATTTCATGTATAGAAACAAAGTTTTTCAGGAGGGCATATATCCCCAAAATATTTTTAATCAAGTATCTTAATATTCTTAGAACTCTGGTCCAAATTCTCTTCTACTAATCCCTTGACTACAGCCAATGCCTAGAGTTTACACTAATTTGTGGATATTTTGCTGTTGGAAAAATTTAAAAGTACATTTTTTTAAATGTAGAATAAAAAGTCCTTAAAGATTTTTTGTTTGTTTGCTGGCATTTTTTGCTTCGTTTTGTATTAAGGGGTATTTTTATTATTTTATTTTTGCCAGCAAATCATAACTTTGTAAATAACAAGGAATTTAAAAAATTTTTCAAGTTGGTTTTGAAACTTCAGAATATTTGTTTCTTAACTTGTTTCCTTACATTCTTTACTTCCATAAAGATACTCGGAAACAGAAGAGTAATGGTATTTGTTTTCATTATACAGGTAAAAAGAATGACAGTGAATTACTTAAAATAACTAAGTTTACTTATAGAAGCTGAAAATTAGACATATAAATTAGATTTTCTAGTCTTTCCATCCCCACGTGTAAATATGTCCATTAAATATGCCTATGCACACATCAATTCAAGCAAACCTCCTACATCAAATATCTTAATCTACACCAAAGACTGGGAGATTATTTGATTTTTTCCCTTTTTAGAAGTTCACAAAAATTTATTCATAAAAACAGCTTGGGCTGGATGATGGCATGTGTCTGTTGTCCCAGCTTCTCTGGAGGCTGCAACTGGAGGATCTCTTGAGCCCAGGACTTCTGTTCAGGCTGGGCAACATCACAAGACCCTGTCTCTAAAAAACATTTTTAAAATACAAAAAAAACCCACAAACTATTTTGTTTTTTTAAAAAACTGACTTATAAAGGAAGAAAATGTATTCACTGCAATAAGAACCATAATTATCTACTTAGTTTAGTCTGAATAAGCAAAAGCCTAGTAGTTATAGATTTTTCACTTTTTGACTTGGTATGTAACTGTGGAAAGTGTCAATCATCTGCTCTCATACATACTAATATTTTATGTCACTATACATGTCTACTTTAAATATCACAGATATTATCTAACACAGACAAAAAGTTTAACACATCTTTTTAGCCACCACTTATAGAACACTTACTATGTGTCAGACAGTATACTAAGTACTTTACACACGTAATCTCATTTTGAGGATAAAGAAAATGAGGTTTAGAGAAGTTTAGTAACTTGCCTAAGAATACACATTAAGAAACTGGTTTTCAAAACCAGATCTTGTGATAACAAAGGCTCCCTGCTATTAACTATTATACTAAAAAGTCACTTAAAAGAAACGTGAAGGTCAGTTATCAAGTTGTTTCATCCTTATTTACAGTTTACTCATAATTGCTGTGTTCAGTATTTATTTAGCACTTACTATGTGGGTCACATCCTGCAAGGTTCTGGAGATAGGACCTTTATCCTTGAGAAGCTCACAGTCTATCTGGAAAGATAGACAATAGAAATGCTTTGGTTTATTTAATTAAGGAACTATCAATAGAATTTCATCCAAATTTAATGCATTTTAACAAATATTTTTCAAACCTATTATAACTTGAAGGCTTTTATTAATTGTCAAATGTAAATAATGGACTGCGTTTATGAAGTCTTAGATTATATATATAGATAGGGCTAAGAATCGTGCAAGCCACTATTTAAATGAGGGAAACCAAGAGTTTCAACTGAATTATGCAAGTGGAAGACCAAGAATAAATGGAATATAAATTTATGTTACCATTTTTTTATTAAACCTTAAATAATTTGTATTTGGGGTTTGTATACCCTAAGCACTTATTTAAAATGAATTCCTCAATCACATTTATGATAATGATAAATTAACTCAAATATCAAAATATCACTTCCTCAAGGAAACCATCCCTGATTCTCAGACTATGTAGGATTCCCCAATAACAGATTTTCAAAACATGCCTTATTTGTCTTAGTACTACCACAACTGTATTTACACCATTTATTGTGTAATTGATCATTTATATTTTTTCCCTTTATAGGATATATAAGCTCCATAAGGCATCTTTGTCTTGTTCATAACTATACTCCCAGCAGCTACCAGGCCTTGCTAAGAGATGATAAAACATGTTATAGCATGAATGAATGAATGAATGAATATAGCAAAATGTACCTTTTTCTAAATCTAACTCAACTAAGAGGAACTTAGAATCTCGGACATAAATGAGAGTTCCTGTTCTTCCTACAGGGTTATTCATCACCTTCAAAATAATGTCTTATGTACATTATCTCTTTTCATCATGGAGGTACAATGTTAAGCCTTCGAAAACATGCTTCAGTAGAAAAGCAAGGTTTTTCCTGGGAAAATTTCTAAAGAACAGATACAGAAGGAAGAGTTACAATTCTCAAGAAAAAACATTCATTTCATTACCAAACTACCAATTTAATACAAACCCAAAAATGATCCTATGAGTGTATATCCAAAACACTAGTCTATTCTTAGTCTTCTAAAAAGAACAGTCTCAAATAACATCCTTGATGGAGCCAATATACAAACATAACTTTCTGACTATCTTCTTGATGCCATGGAAGGAGGGAAAGAGAAGAAAAAAAGGAAGATAGAAAAGAAATGAAGGAGGAAGTGAAGCAATCTCTATTGGGCCTTCTAATTGTACTTTCTATCCATCTGTTATCCAGTTTCCAGTTTAAATTCTGGCTGCACAGGAATGTACCACTTCTTTTCAACATTCTCTTCTCTATTAAAAACAAGGTTGATTTTTAATGATAAAAAATTAAAAATTTAGAAAGAATACACAAAGCATCAGAAAATTCCTAATCTGCTGAGTGAGGAACTACAAGAAATAAAGAAATGGAAAGTTGCCATTGAGCACACAGTAAGAGTCTTGCCAGCGTGTCCCACTGCACTTTTTCTCTGTTCATCATCCCTATCATAAACGCTCCAACTATTAACTACCATTAAAATATGCAAGTCTGCACTTTGCAAACAGGTTAGGTTCCAAAAGGGTCGTGTTCTTATTAATCTTACAAGCTTTCACTATTGTTACAAGTTAATAGCAGCAGGGTAAAAGTCTTCTGTTTATATCCATGAAAGTTCATTAAGTAAAGGAGGTTCTAAACTTGTATTAAAACTATAAATGAAGGAAAGCCAATGTAAAATCTAAACTAAAAAGTAATACCAACTCAAAATCTCTGCATGCTAACCATATACTCCATCTATGTTCTTCCTCACCAATGAAGCTAGGTATTATATAATGAAGGAAATTTATAATCAAGAACACACGTAATTCAGCAAGGAGCAAAGTATGCTTTCCTGTCACGTGGTAGGTTCAAACCCCCAAAATGTTAAAGGACTGACAAAAGTAATCTTGCTTAGCAAAACAAATATTGTTAGAAAGACTTCAGCATATGCTATTTCTCAAAGGTCTCAAAGAAGATATACATATGATTAATACTAATATTACTACATACTAATTACTAATATTAATACATACTAATATAATACAAACCAAAGTACTAAATAACAGTTTTTAAACATCATTGTAAAACTGCTTCTTTCCTCTGCTTTCCAAGTTTGGTCATAAAACCATTATATTAAAACAAATAGGTCAGGCATGGTAGCTCTCACCTGTAATCCCAGCACACTGGGAGGCTGAGTGGGGCGGATCACCTGAGGTCGGGAATTTGAGATCAGCCTGACCAATACAGTAAAATGCCTTCTCTACTAAAAATACAAAAATTAGCTGGGCATGGTGGCACATGGCTGTAGTGCCAACTACTCGGGAGGCTAAGGGAGGGGAATCACTTGAACGCGGGAAGCAAGAGACTTCAGTGGGCTGAGATTGCACCACTGCACTGAAGCCTGGGCGACAGAGTGAGACTCAGTCTCAAAACAAACAAACAAACAAACAAACAGTCTATCAAAACTAACTTGAAATGGAAGAATTTTTGCAATGTTCTACATTACAAATAAACTTTTGAATTGACACTTTTTAACCTTATATACCTTCTTCATCTATAATAGATAAAAATCCTATCTCAACTATTATATATTATATATAATAATTTCTTAATAATTTCAACTATTCTAGCTACAAAAATTATCTTAAAAGCAATTGCTTCATTTGCTTTTATATCTAAATTTGCATGGATGCTTCTTTCCCCCACTTGCAATTTCTTTTTTATTTAATTATTTATTTTTTTGAGTCAGAGTCTCCCTGTTGCCCAGGTTGGAGTGCAACGGCGTAATCTCAGCTACTGCAACCTCCACCTCCTGAGTTCAAGCAATTCTCGTGCCTCAGTCTCCCAAGTAGCTGGAATTAAAGGCATGTGCCACCACGCCTGGCTAATTTTTGTATTTTTAGTAGAGACGGGGTTTCACTGTGTTGGCCAGGCTGGTCTCTAACTCCTGACCTCAAGTGATCCACCTGCCTCTGCCTCCCAAAGTGCTGGGATTGCAGGCATGAGCCACTGCGCCCCGCCCTGCAATTTCTTTTTATATTCACAAGTTTTAAAATTTCATATATAGCCAAATATGCTAATATATTTATGTTGCAGCCTTAAGGCATGCTTTAAAAATACTCTATGTAGGTATTCTTTGGTATTTTCTTTTAGGAATTTTATAATTCAATTTTTATTTATTTATTTATTTTTGAGATGGAGTCTTGCTCTGTTGCCAGGCTGGAGTGCAGTGGCGCGATCATAGGATCACCGCAACCGCCTTCTCTCAGGTTCAAGCAATTCTCCTGCCTCAGCCTCCCGAGTAGGTGGGACTACAGGCGAGCGCCACCACGCCCAGCTAATTTTTGTATTTTTAGTAGAGACAGGGTCTCATCATGTTGGCCAGGATGGTCTCGATCTCTTGACCTCATGATCTGCCCTCCTCGGCCTCCCAAAGTGCTGGGATTACGGGCGTAAGCCACTGCCCCCAGCCTAATTCAAATTTTAAATCTGTTAATGTATCCCTTAATTACAAAAGACCTACAGAATAGAGATATAATACTTTCTATAAAACTAATAAAGATGAAAAAAACATTAAGTAGGACAAGGATATGGTAAAACAAATGCTCTGTTGTAGAAGTAATACACATTTGGTTAAAAAAACTTTTTTTTTTGAGACACGGTCTCACTCTGTCATCCAGGCTGGAGTGCAGTGGCACAATCTTGGCTCACTGCAACCTCTGCCTCGGAAGTTCAAGCAGTTCTCCTGCCTCAGCCTCCTGAGTAGCTGGGATTACAGGCACACAGCACCACACCTGGCTAATTTTTGCATTTTTGAGTAGAGACGGGGTTTCACTATGTTGGCCAGGCTAGTCTCGAACTCCTGACCTCAAGTGATCCTCCCACCTTGGCCTCCCAAAGTGCTGGGATTTCAGGCATGAGCCACTGTGCCTGGCCAGGTAAAAAGAACTTCTAGGAATTACAGGTCACTTATTGCATCGAAACTGGACTTGCCTTTACATTCTTAATGTACTTTTACTTTTCCTCAAGATATGAACTTATTGTTGTAAAGCTGAATTTTCTTTCGCTACTTAAATCATTTATGTATATCTGGTAAATTATGACTAAATTTTTGTTAAATTGCATAAAGTAAACTGAAATACATACTTGGGGCCAGGCACAGTGGCTCACACCTGTAATTCCAGCACTTTGGGAGGCCAAGGCGGGCGGATCACCTGAGGTCAGGAGTTTGAGACCAGCCTGGCCAACATGGTGAAACCTCGTCTCTACTAAAAATACAAAAATTAGTTGGGCATGGTGATGGGCACCTGTAATCCCAGCTACTCAGGAGGCTGAGACAGGAGAATCCCTAGATCCCGGGAGGCGAACGTTGCAGTGAGCCGAGATTGCGCTATTGCACTCCAGCCTAGGTGACAAGAGTGAAACTCTGTCTCAAAAAAAAGAAAAGAAAAAAAGAAATAAATACACACTTGGTACACTAAAAAAAATAATAATAATAAATAAATAAATAAATAAATAACTTCTGGGAAGCAATCTGACCATCTTTACTGATAACAGCCTTAAACAAATCATACCATTTGACTCAGTAATTCGACTCCTTGGAAATCACCCTCAGTGAACAGACTAAGGATATAGAAATATGGAAAAAGTATGTTAGATGCTTTGGTCAACTGATTGCTGAGTCTCTCCTCAATCGCTAAAATGAGTGGGAGTGTAAGAGTGCTTATAAAGCGGGCAGCCGTGAAGAAAAGTGTTTTAGGATGAGAGAGATACATACTTGAATCCTGAAGAAAATTTATCAAAGGATGGGGATGAAATAGAAATAAAAACACCTTTTTTTTTTGTTTTTTTTTGAGACAGGGTCTCACTCTTGTCACCCATGCTGGAGTGCAGTGGTACAATCATGGCTCACTGCAGCCTTGACCCACCTCCCGGGCTCAAGCAATCCTCCTGCCTCAGCCTCCCAAGTAGCTGGGACCACCGGCATGTACCACCACGTCCAGCTCATTTTTTATTTTTTTGTAGAGACGACGGTCTCACTATTTTGCTAGGCTTGTCTCAAATTCTGGCGTTACGCAATCCTCTCACCTTAGCCTCCCAAAGTGCTGGGACTGCAGGCATGAGCCACCGTGCTCAGCCCAAAACAATTTGTTAAACAGAGCAAAATAAAATCAAAGAGAAGACTGAAGGTAATGGGGTCAAAAGTTCCAAATTATGTAGTCCAGTCAGCCTACTCTCAAATTATTAAAAAAAAAAAAGAATGAGTAATAATGTAATACGGAAAATGTGACAAATTGTTAAATGAACAAATTACAGCAAATCTAATGAATGCTGATAGAAGTTGGAATAGTGCTTACCCATGGGGGTGGGTAGTATTGACTGTGAAGTGGCATGAAGGTGCTGGAAATGCCCTATATCTTCATCATATAGTGATGGTTAAGCGAGTATAAAATGTAAAGATAAATCATGAAAATTTGCAGATGTTCATGATTCTAAACATAATTATCCTTTCCTTTACAGTTATAATAAATAATTACATCATTATTACTTGCAACATATGTAGAGTCATTATGTCTCTCTCAAATGCTCAGTTCGATTAGGACTGCATTTATGAACCCTGGACAGCTAAGGATACTCCCCATTTTACAATTTTGTTTTATGCTTTTAAAAAAATAATCCATCTGAATACATACTTCCTAGAGGGAATAGAAATAGCCTTCAATTTGGTCTACATTATCACCACTGAAAACTATGTTTTACTTAGTAAGGAAGATCTAATTCCATGAAAATAGTTAGCGCTACCTTAAAAAGTTCGGGTACTTGTCAAAAATGGCTTCCAAATATATTCCTTTTAATACAGGATGTGAAAACACTTCCTAATAAATTCCTGCAAAATTAGATGATACTGTATGTACTTCTGAAGGACAGACAAGAAAGTAACCTAAGACCAAAACAATAGAGGTCTCCTACTACTGGGGAGAAGGAGGATTATCAAGAATAGAGGAAAACAGAGCCTGCCTAAGACTAATACTGGTCTAGAACAAAAGAGAAAGCTCAATTCCTACCACCACAAAGCTAAACAGCATCCAAGGCCCCATGCCCACCACAACAACACAAACTAGCTCCAAGTAACACCTAAGTAAGAGCATTCGACTACTAGAGAAGTAGCAAAAGAACAGAGAGAGACCCTCTCTGAAGTTCAGGTGCGCAGATAAGGCTAACAGGTAAACATGAAGTAAAAACATTGGTCAAAACTTTGCAGCAAATCAATCCCCATCTTAAGTACTAGGTGATAATAGATTTAAAGTTGATAATGGGCTGGTAGCAGTGGCTCACACCTGTAATCCCAGCACTTTGGGAGGCTGAAGTGGGTGGATCATTTAAGGTCAGGAATTTGAGACCAGCCTGGCCAACATGGTGAAACCCTGTATCTACTAAAAATACAAAAAATTAGCCAGGCATGGTGGCAGGTGCCTGTAATCCCAGCTACTCGAGAGGCTGAGGCAGGAGAATTCCTTGAGCCTGGGAGGAAGAGGTTGCAGTGAGCCGAGATTGCACCACCGCACTCCAGCCTGGGCGACAGAATGAGATTTTGTCTAAAAATAAACAAATATATACATATATTTATTTATTATATATATATAAATAATTATATATATAAAGTTGATAATGCACTGAAGGTAATCAGAGCAATAAAAGGCAAATTCTCATCAACTCCAAGCAAGACTAATTCAACCCTCCACGCTAACACCTTAGCAGAACAAGAGTCATGACAAATTCTCAGCATAAATACGATTTACCATAAAATGATGACTGGCATTCAATCAAAAATTATAGGCTGGACAGAGTAGCTCATACCTGTAATCCCCACATTTTGGGAGACAAGAGGATCAGCTGAGGCCAAGAGTTCAAGACCAGCCTGGGCAACACAGTGAGACCCTGTCTCCACAAAAAATTTTTAAAAATTAGCCAGGCCTGGTGGTGTGCACATGCAGCCCAAGCTACTTGGGAGGGAGGCTGAGGCAAGAGGATTGCTTATGTCCAGAAGATCAACGCTGCAGTGAGTCATGATCACACCACTGCACTCCAGCCTGGATGACAGAGCAAAACCTTGTTTCTAAAATAAGTAGACAAACAAAATTTTAAAATTAAATTAAAAACATTTTTTAAAAGACCAGGCATGGTGGCTCACACCTGTAATCCCAGCACTTTGGGAGGGTGAGGCAAGAGGACCACTTGAGGCCAGCAGATCAAAGCTGCAGAAAGAAATCTCTAGACAAGGAAGAGGGGAAAATATGCAAACTAAAAGGAATGAGAGGGGTGACATCACTACAGATTCTACAAATATTAGAAGGATAAAAGAGAAAGTATAAAAAACTTTATACAAAAAATTCATCAATTTACATGAAACAGAAATTGCTAAGAGACACAAACTGTAGACCTCTCTCAAAAAGATATAGACTGAAGATCTAAATAAGTGGAGAGATATACCATGTCCATGCATCAGTATTAATAATATTCTAATAAGACTCAATAAGATTCTAATTCTCTCCAAATTGATCTGCAAATTTAAAGCAATCCCAATCAAAATGATGGTATTAATTTTTTTTTTGACACCGACAAGTTGATTCTAAACCCAAATAAGTTAAGATGAAGAAACTGGAACAGCCAAAACAATTTCAGAATGAAAAAATTGGAAGACTCTTTATATAAAATATGCTATCTTATATTAAGTCTTACTATATAGCTGCAGTAATCAACTCACCATAATGTTGGCAAAAAGATAGATATACATAGATGAACAGAACAAAATAAGAGAGTCCAGAAATAGACCCATACTTATATGGTCAATTGATTTTTCAATAAAGGTAAAAATGCAATTCAACAGAGAAAGGATGATCTCTTCAACAAATGGTGCCGGAACAATTTGTCATCCATATGTCAAAAAAAAAAAAAAAAACAACGAACCTTGACCCATACTTTGCAGCATATACTGAAACTAACTTAAAATGGAGCATAGATCTCAACGTAAAATATAAAGCTAAAAAACTTTCAGAAGAAAACAGGAGGAAACATTTTGTGACACTGGGATAGGCAAAAATTTCTCACCTGCAACACCAAAAGCAAGATTCATAAAACTAAAAATTAAACATAGTTAAAATTAAAAACTTCTGCTCTCCAAAGGTCACAGGGTGAGGTAAAATATTGGCAAAATGCATATCTGATAGAGGATTAATATCTAGAATATTTAAAGAACTTTCAAAACTCAATAATAAAAAAAACAAATTTTTAAAAATTGGGCAAAATATTTCAACAAATACATCACCAAATAAGATATGCAAGTGGCAAATAAGCACAAGAAAAGACACTCAACATCATTAATTATCAGGGAAATGCAAATTAAAACCACAATGAGATACCAAGTGTAAAGGAAGATAAGGAACAATCAGAACTCTCATACAGTGCTGACTGGAAGTGATTGCCACTTTGCAAAAGAGTTTCTAATAAAGTTAAACGTATACTTTTCATATGACCCAGTAAAGGAAGATGAGGAACAATCAGAACTCTCATACAGTGCTGACTGGAAGTGACTGCCACTTTGCAAAAGAGTTTCTAATAAAGTTAAACATATACTTTTCATATGACCCAGCAATCCCACTTTTAGGTATTTACCCAAGTGAAATAAAAACCTATGTTCATAAAAAAACCTACCTCTACACCCAAATGTACATAGCCGCTTTATTTGTAATTGCCAAACACTGCAAACAACCAAAAATGTCCCTCAAATGGGAAACAGGCAAACTATGGAGTGCTACTCAACAATAAATGAAATATTATACATGCAACAATATAGATATGGATGAAGCTCTGCGTTTGGCGAATCCTCAAAACCACCCTCAGAACTCACTAGAGAGACTCATAAAACTCAAAAGAAACATTATACTTTTGCTTACTGTTAATTACACTAAAATGACAACATTAAAATCAGCAAAGGGAAGAGGGGCATAGGAGACAGCAAGCACAAGCTTCCAGTTGTCCTCTCCCGGTGTAGTCATGCAGGCAGGGCTTATTTCTCCCAGCAACAACATATGCACAACATGCAGGAAATACTGGCAACCGGGAAGCTCACCTGAGGCTTAGTATTTAGGGTTTTTACTGGGGCTATTTGCATGGCTGACCTTAGTCTCCAGACCCCCCAGAGGTCAAGCTGATAACCACATGGTGCATACCTACAGTCCTAGCTAGTTGTGAAGCTGAGGCTGGAGGATCACTTGAGCCCAAGTGTTCAAGGTTACAGCGAGCTATGGATCCTGCCACTGCACTCCAACCTCCAACAGAATGAGACCCTGTCTCAAAAACAAATGAACAAAAACCACTAATAAAGAAAACTTTTTGGTCTTAATATAAGCAAGAATTGTTCTATTCCCTAGCAGGTGTTTTGTTTTTATCATATAGACACTGAATTATATCACTGACCCAATTTTCTTTCTATGTAGGCTGTTAGAACATTTTATGCTATACACTTTTTACGTATTATATAATTTTTTCAGCTTTTTGTTTCAAAAATTTTCAAACTTAATGAGAGAGAGAAAAAGAAGAATGAATACCCACATACCCTTCATGCAACAATACCAACAAATTGCCAATCTTATTTCTTCTCTTTTTTTTTTTTTTTGGCTGGAATGTTTTAAAGCAAATCCCAGATGTCGTATCATCTCACCCAGGAATAGTAAAGAAAGTATCATTATCCATTAAAGACTTTTCTTTAAAGTAACCCTACAATACCATTATCACATTTTACAAAATAAGCAATAATTCTTCAGTATCATCTAATAAGTAGTCCATACTCAAATGTCCTCAATTACCTCAAAAATGAAATTTTTGCCATTAGTTTGTGTAAACCAGAAACAAAACAAGAACCACACATTGCATCTGATTGATAAGTCTCTTTAAATCTCATTTAATCTCATTTAAGTCATTTGTCCTGGAGAATTTCCCATATCCTAAATTCAGCTAACTGTTCCCTCATGGTATTAATTTACTATTCTATTCCCCATATTTCCTGTAAAGTGGTAGTAAGATCTAGATCTAGAGACATGATTCAGTTTCAATTTTTTGGCAAAAATAGTCCATAATAGTCCATAGGTGATACATGTACTTTCCTAATCCATTACATTAGGACACACATAATGTCTTGTTGTCCCACTGAGAGTGACACAGAAATAGCAGAACTTCTTAAATTTAATGACATATGAGACCCAGATTTCTACTTTGAAAGATTCAGACAATAATGATCCCAGTAACCAAAAACAGGGAAGAGATTTTTGAGAAGACTAAATATTATCAGTGGATTTCTTTGGGTGATAGATTTGCCAAATATATATTTTTTAATTTGTTCCAGTTTTCTGATTTTCTAAATATGGTACTCTAGAATACCATTACAAAAAAGAATGAATATCTATTACTTTGACAATTTTTTTAAATCTTTAAAGAATTACACTATATAGTTAGTTGTAGTCCAGAGTTTGTCAAATGAGACAACAATGTTCTGTGGCCAATATAAAAGGTTTTGATCCTGTTGGAAAGGGTCCCATTTCACCAAGATGCAAATGACCTACAAAGCCCATCTTTTGCAACCCTGTGCGGGTCTCCTAAATACATTCGATGGGAGCACTAATGAATCCTCCAGAAACAGCCTAAACTATAGTTTGATTTTTTTTTTTTTTTGAGGCAGTCTCATTTTGCTACCCAGGCTTGAGTGCAGTGGTACAATCATAGCTCACTGTACTTCGAACTCCTTGGCTCAGGTGATCCTCCCACACTGGCCTCGCAAAGCACTGGGATCATAAGAATGACACACCACACCTGGCCTAAACTATAGTTTTATAAAGCCAACACAACTCCAGGGACTGGCACCCTAGAATGGCAGCAATGAAAGCTGTGAGCACAATGGTTACAGGACCAACGCATTTAAAGCTTCCTTCAGTGGATGTTATTGACAATTTAAAAGTACTATTGTAAAAAAAAAAAAAAAACTATTATTCATCACAGCCAGTTTGAATGCCTATAGATAGAGGCACCATTTCTGACAGAAAGCACTGTGGATGCAAACTTATTTTTGCTACATTGCTGTTATATCACTCAGTTAAAAAAAAAATGGAAATGGCAAATGAGAAAGCCCAGGACTCTGGCTATAACTACAAAGGAAGAAAAAGTTCCTTTTTGTGACTACCAACAACAGTCCTTTCCTTACTTTCATTCTATATCACAGGATATTAACTTTCTGGAGAAGAAATGGTAAGCATTTTCATCGCCTACCATATAATTCATATTTATATGTAAGAGAAATTATGTTTAACATAACCACATTATAGACTCATCAGAACTAAGTATCATTATTTGTAAATTTTACAAATGCCACTCATGTGTTGACATTATAAAATTAGGCTAATCATATCATAGACTGAATCCTCAAATGTTTTTACTAAATTCAACTTCTACCTGCTGAGAAACTATAAGTATTTTTCTTCAGGAACTAAATAGGATTTCCTTGTATTATAGGTACTGCTAATAAATGAAGTTCTCTTCTTTAGCTGATAAATAGCTGTAGAATGAAATAGTTTTTAAACTTTAGATAAAATTTTCAGATTTGAAAAATAATTGATCCCTTATAGTTTTTTAAAGTTCACTTGGAAATTACGGTGATATTAACAGAATATGACAATATGTACAAACACATTTATTGCAGATACCATATCTACTAGACAGAATATTTATATCTTTAAAATAGTGGACACATTTCCTTTTATGAAAAACTGATTTTTTTTTTTGCTTTTTTTTCCTTTTAAAAATATGAGCAGTAATCACATTGACTAAACAAACAGCCTTTCTTAATTCTGTGGCTTTGAGACTTCACTTAGAAGCTTTATTTAACAAAAGACATTTCTGAATAAACTACAGTCAATTATAGATTATCTAAATGTGGCTTATTAACTGTGTATTTTAAATGTCTTCTCCTGCCACCCAGAACATTTTTGGATCTCTTCCATAACCTCACTTAGTAGATACAAACACTTCTTTCAAAAATAAATTAATCTCCAGTTTATTCAGACCATTTTGAGGACTGAAAGAGGTAAAAATCAGGAGAGAAAACAAACCCCCAAAACAAGGTAGTAAGACACACAGGGAGGAAGAGACAAACAGGAGCTGGAGGAAGTGGAAGAGAGGAGAAGAGAACCTACGGCAGAGAAAGAACTGTAGGTTTCCCTTGGATTAAAGACTCTTCAAAGCTGCATGGAGAGGGAGGGAAATTCCAAGTTTTTGTTCTTTTACATCCTCATCTAGATGTATGACGAACTCACTGTACAGTACATTCCAAAGCTACAAGTACATTTCAAAATTATATGCCTTTCATTTTATTTTTGGCTATATAGTAAGTCCCCACTTAATGTTGTGGATAGGTTCTTGGAAACCGCAACTAAATGAAAGGAGTACAGAAGGTTCTCCAAAGTTGTTTCAATCAACCTCATTTCCTTACGACATTGATGAGGAAAAAAAAATTGGTTTCATTATACATTGTTTCACTTTTTAAGTAGACGTTTCCAAGAACTTACCAAGACATTAAGGACTTAACTATTCACTGATGTGTTCTAGAGACAAGTAAATAATCAGAAAGTACTTAAACATTCTTGGTTAAATGTCAGTATAATATTTTAATAATATTGTGGTTAAGACAGCAAATGAGCCAGGCATGGTGGCTGACACCTGTAATCCCAGCACTTTGGGAAGCTGAGGCAGGCGGATCACCTGAAGTCAGGAGTTCAAGACCAGCCTGGACAACATGGCGAAACCTAGTCTGTACTAAAAATACAAAACTTAGCTGGACACAGTGGCATACACCTGTAGTCCTAGCTACTCAGGAGGCTGAGGCAGGAGAATCGCTTGAACTCAGGAGGCCAAGGTAGCAGTGAGCTGACATCGCGCCACTGCACTCCAGCCTGGGTGATAGAGCAAGACTTCATCTCAAAAAAAAGAAAAAAAAGAGAGAGAGAGAGACCCCAAACTTGAGCTACATTGCCTGACTTCTAATCCTAGCTCCACCATTTACTAGCTGTGTTACCATGCAAATCACTTGATCTCTCTGTGCTTTCTTATCTATGAAATGGGAATAATTCCTATATAAAGAAGCTGCTGTGCGTGGGGATCACATAATGAACACATAATATATGCATAGAACATAGTTGAGCAAAGGAAGCACTCAATTAACTATTGCTAAGAAAGGTCAGTAACAGCCCGTTTGCTTTTTTAAGAAATCAATGAAATGCTTCCTAATTTTTGAAAAATTAAATCTGTAATTACTATGTATGGTTAATCTAATCAATCATGACCATTTTGAAAAATCTCCAAATAACTCTAGTCTAAATAATTATCATCATAAAGGAACTCATCTCAAATTATAACTATAAAATCTAATGTAAAGTAACTATATGTCAATCAAAATAGTCTTTAAAATTGGTCAACTGGATTGTTCATTATTCATCATGAAAACAAGTAATTATCTGAGAAATTTACTAATTTTAGTTCCTCCATGAAAACCAATAGAATTTCAAGAGGATAAAACACCATTGTCAGTTACAGATAAAGTATGATAGATTAAAACAATCCAGACATTTCTACAAAGTATTTACCACAAAACATACCATAACATTAGTTTCCAAGTGAGCGGTTGCATAAGTCTAGATCAGAAAGTCTTAGCCTTCGCACTAGTAACATTTTAGGAAACATAAGTTTTGGAGGGGGAGGCTATCCTCTGTGCATTTTAGGAAGCTGAGCAGCACCCCTGCCTCTGCGCATTAGATTTCAGCAGTACCTACCTCCCCAACTCTCACCCTCCATGTGACAACCAAATGTGTCTCCAGACATTGTCAAATGACAATTGCTCTACTTTGTGAGAAAATTTTTGTTTATAACAAAGTAGCATTATAATAACAACCAACTTTCTCCCATCCCTCCCCCTTTTGCCATTTTTTGAAAACTTCACAAAAAGATGGATTATCTTCCCCAAATGCATTTTAGTATCTTGATTATACTTGCAAATGATATTGCTGCTGGCATCTATTTTATACTTACCTGATTCTCTGCAGAACCCAAAATAATGTAATTCATTTCTCAATAATGTATGTATACATTTTAACTGTGATTCATTTTTAATTTGTCCTTTCTTCATTAGGATTAAAAATTTTAATATCTTAAACCAGACACATTATGTTGCCAATCACTAGCACAGTACTTCAGTAAATGCACTAATACTTCTCAGCATGTCATAACTACTAAGCCTCTAATAAGCATTTAGCATGAATTATATCATTTAGTCCTAACAATAATCTGAATACATATTATCTCTACTTTTTCAGGTGAGGAAACTGAAGCTAAGAAAGAATAACATGCCTAAGTTATGAACATGACTTCACAGTGATAGGAAGTGACAGAACCAGGACTGGATTGCAAGCTTCCAAAGGCAGTGTTTATATTCACTAGCTGGGCATGGTGGCTCACTCCTGTAATCCCAGCACCTTGGGATGGATGGATGGATGGATGGATGGATGGATGGATGGATGGATGGATGGATAGATAGATAGATAGATAGATAGATAGATAGATAAGATAGATAGATAAGACAGACAGATAAAAATAAAAAAATTCACAACACCAGAATGATCCTAAGAACCACCATTTCAAAAACTCATAATGGACTTCGTATTTTTTGAGATCATACTGCTTTCCTCATTGAATAATTTTCAGTATGTAACTTCTAGTGTATGTAACTTTTCCAAATATATCCCTTTTCACGCTATTTATACCCTCCCACTTCAGAGCAAGCACAGCACTTATTTGAACTTCAATAGTGGCCTTTGTGATAGGATAATTTGTAGCTGAACTTGAGATTTTGTTAAAAAAATGGAGTTGAAAACATAAGATCTTGATGATCAAACCAATAAAAGCAGTGACAACCCTACTTTTACTGTCTCTTAACTTAAAAAAAAAGGCAAGAATAGATGTTTTACTGTCTCTTAACTTAAAAAAAATTGGCACTATCCATGCCAATTTATATATCTATCTAAAATTGATTATAATAAGTACTGTACATTTAATTTCTATTGAGCTTTGATTATGAGATATTAATGACATATTTCTGACAATGGCCAGACTCAAATAGAAAATAGAGGGGGGGAATAAAAGGAAGGAAGGAAACACTCACCTTTCCTCAGTTTTCCCGATTCCACTACTGCAAGGCCCTAGAGGCTCCAAAGGACACTAGAGCAAGCTAGGGTTCATGCTGCTCTCCCCTCCCCTAATTCACTGGAGGAGTGAATTAGGATTTGGCATTATGGGTTTAAAAAAAAAAGAAATCCAGAAATAGATGTAAACCCACTAAAGGGATGGTAACAACACTAGCCTCATAAAGATTAAAATAAATAATTTATTTATAAATTAAATTATAAATTTAATTAAATATTTAAAATGATTAAATAAAAAATTCAAAACAACTAGCACAGTGCCAGGCATATAAGTGCAGAGTAAATGCTAAGTGTTCATTGCTTTTTGTTTGTCTGTTTTTGAAATGAAACGCTACTAGAAAAACTTTTAAAACACAGATGAGAGTATCTATGGCTCTTCCTGAAATACTTACTGTGCTCTCCTCTTTCTATACCTATTCTTTCAAAATCCCCTTGCTATCAGGTTGTGCTCAGAGAATGCAAGCCTTTCTTACAGTCTCCATTTCTACCTCACAAGTCTTTATTCAGACAAAACAGCAGCAGGGAGAAAAAAAAGAAAAGAAAGAGAAAAGATCCCCTCTCCCCTTCAATGCTTTGTTTCTTTTTTTCTAAGCATGTGTGACAGTTTGATGTAGAATAATGAGTGACATCGTATCCTAGAAATAAAATTCTCAAAATTAACAAAGAGGTATTAAAAATAAATCCAAATTTACTCCATTTTGAGTTAGGAGAACTCATATTTGGAAAAGCATCACTGTGCATGTTTCATTTCCAGGACTGGGATTTGAAAGCAGTGCCTGGGGACCTTTGGCACAACATCCAGCACAGGGTAATTTTAAATAACAGTGCTATATGAATGAACTAATATTTTCCTTTATCTAACCAGCAATTAAATCTATTAACTTACTTAGTAAATACTTGCAAAGGGCCTACTGTATGCCAGGTACTGTTGCCTTGTACAGGGATCCAAAAGTGAACAGGACATATATGGCCTCTGTTCCCACCAAGTTGACAGCACAGTAGGGACAAGACAAATAAAACGGCCTATATAATTTAGTATCACAAAGTGAGAAGTCCAACAGAAGATATTAAATGGATGGATGGCAGCACACAGAAGGGGCAACTAATCCAGGATTGGGGTCAGGGAAGTAGTCAGAAAATAAGTGATAGACGTGACAAAGCCTGAAGAATGAATGAAAGTCAGCCAAAGACGTGGAGAAGGGGAAAGTAAAGGGCTTCAAGCAATTGTAAAAAAAAAAAAAAAAAAAAAAAAAAAAAAACAAAAAACAGAAAACTTGAGAGAGCATGCCACATGTGAGGAAGTTTGAGAAATTCATTAGAGTATGACTGAAGCTTAGCACGTTTAAGGGACAGCAGGGGCAGGGGAGATTGGGAGACAGAAGAAGCATGGATAGAGCGAGTGCTGAGAGCTGAAGGTGGATATGTTAGCAGGGACCAACTGACCATGACCTGGTAAAAAGCACTTTGTGAAGCTGTATTTTAGACTAAAGGAAACTGAAGGCATTTAAGGACTTTAAGCAAGGAAGCAAAGGAATCAGCATTTAGAATAACTAATCTACCTGTGGCACGGAAAATGGATAGAAATAATTCAGTCTATTGAAATAAGCTTAATTTATCTCTTCCTGTAACTTTAATCCTTCCTCCTCTAATGGTACCTTACTATGGGCAATTAAAAATGTTTATATCTCTCTCATCTAAAAAAACAACAAACCCACCCACTCCCTTAACTGCATATCACCCTGCAGTTACCATTCTGTCTCTTAACTTACAGTACATTTCTTGAAAAGTGAACTGCATGACTTTCTCCAAATAACTCCAAATAACTCTGCATGGCTTACTCCTCACTTTCCTCAGAAATCTACTCTAATATTACCCTAAAATGGGGCTCTCTGAGCACTTTACATAAAATAGCACCACCTTCCACACCTGTGGCATTCCCTACCCCTTATCATCATCAGACACTATGGCCAAGGCGCTACACTAAGTACCTTACATGATTTCTATCATTAACAGTAATGATACGGATGAATAAAGTGAGGCTTAAAAGCTAACTTGCCAAAGGTCACAACATTTGCTAAATGCTGAAGCCAGAACTCAGATTTAGGTAAGTTCATGGTTGGCATCACAAAATTGAAGGAGGACAAAGATAATAGCTTCTATTTTACTTTCTGTTTGAAAAGAAGACAAGGTCATCTGTTAAGAATAAGAGGAAGGTATGATATAGGAAGTCTGAAGAGAATAAAGGAGATCTAAAATAGCCCCATGAAAAATGGGAGAATGGACTAGGAAGTATTAAAGGACTACCAGGCAAAATTAAGGACCCAGTTGAAATTACAAAATATGGATTTATAGTGACAATGACCTGTGTCATTTTTCATCAGGACCAAAGATGAAGGGGCAAGTAAAGCATATAGACAGTGATTCTCAACACAGGAGGGCTGGGGTGAACAATTTTCTCCCCTTGGGACATTTGGCAATGTCTGGAAACAATTTTGTTTGTCACAATCTGCAGGAAAAGAGTTGCTACTGGCATGCAGTGGATAGAGGCTAGGATGCTGCTAAACATCCTATAATGCCAAGGACAGCACTCTAGAACAAAGAATTATTTGGATCCAAAATGTCAATAGTGCTGATGCTGAGAAACACTGACTGATCCAGGTTGGCAGATTTCCTAGGCACATCAATGGGAAGACAAAGGGACAAGAAAGTTAAAAGACACTGATCAGAGTTAAGGTGATAGACCACGAAGGTGGGTAAGGCAAAGATTTAGTATGTGAGAGGCCTGACAGATCAATGAGGGGGACAAAGTGGCCTCTGTGTTTGAAATGTTCAAATGGCTGACATGTCATCAATGAGTGATCACTCTTAGGACATTACTACATTCATCGGGAATAATGTGATAGACTTTGCAGTTTTCAACTCTGAGTGACAGAGAAGAAACTATCGTTTACTGTGAAGTTGTATGAACCAACCAGGATGCTAGTTCACATTTGTTATTTCATTTATTCCTCATGTAATACTTCTAAGAAAGGTATATTATTCCAATTTCATAAATGAAGACACTGCGACACAGAGAGGTGAAAGTTAAGTGTATATGGTCATACGATGTGGATGACAGAGCTGGGATTCACCCCAGAATGAGTGAATCTCCAAATTCACACTTTCTGAACCAAAACGCAGGAGCCATGACTTACAAAAAAATGGGGTGGGAGAAGAGACTGGCCCATATGTTTACAGACATCTGTTTGCACACAAAGTACACACAGCCTCAGTACTTTATAGTCACGGCATAGATTTATGTATGCAAATACCTCTACTTCAAAGGAAGGCCCTCCTAATATGTGCCCTTATTTCAAACAAAGTGGTGATCCATCAGACCAGAAGACTTTAACCATGTGGAGCCTCCCTACAACTGGGAAAATAGTATTTGTAAATATTTTTAAAATATCAATGTTCTAAAGCTACCTTTCTTAGATTAAGACCAGTGTGGGAAAAAAATATGGTGCTTCTTTTTCTTAGGTAAAATATAAAACATACATTAGAGAAAAAGAAAAATCAACAAGGCTTTCCTAACGTTTCTTGAAAAACCATTAAGCCCAGGTTCTTTTCAAAATGAGTTGAAAATGAATGTTAAAAAAAAAAAACTGTACTATATTTAAAGATAACACTACTGACACTACACAGCAGGGACATGCTCTCAGCACTCATTATATCCATTTAATTAAAAAGACAGCAATAAAGAGAAAATAAAAATAGTGTTTTATATGACTTATATACGAGTAAGCTGAGATTAACTCTATCTTTCCCATTATTTGGCAACTGAAGATATGTTATAGTATGGCATAAAACAGCCTAATTTTGCTAAGGGAAATTGATAACCTGCAGTGGGTGTTGAGAGGAGCTTGAGGGTGCTGGTAATGTGCTGTTTCTTATTCTGGGTGCTGTTTATATGAGTGTGTTCAGTTTTTAAAAATTCATTGAGATATATCCTTATCACAGTCATGTGTCACATGACATTTTTTGGTCAATGACAGATGGCATATAGGACGATGGTCCCATAAGATTATGCTGGAGCTGAAAAATTCCTATCACCTCATGATGTCATAGCTGGCATTACATCCTAGCAAAACACATTACTCATATGTTTGTGGTGGTGCTGGGGTAAACAAACCTACTGTGTTGCTAGTCATTTAAAAAGTAAAAAATGAGGCCGGGCGCAGTGGCTCACGCCTGTAATCCCAGCACTTTGGGAGGCTGAGGCAGGCGGATCACCTGAGGTCAGGAGTTTGAGACCTGCCTGGCCAAAATGGCGATACCCTGTCTCTACTAAAAGTACAAAAATTAGCTGGGCATGGTGGCGGGCGCCTGTAATCTCAGCTACTCAGGAGGCTAAGGCAGGAGAATCACTTGAACCCAGGAGGCAGAGGTTGCAGTGAGCCGAGATCGCACTACCGCACTGCAGCCTGGGCAAAATGAGTGAAACTCTGTCTCAAAAATAAATAAATAAATAAATAAATAATATGAGTATAAGCTACAGCAGCAGGAGTCATGGCAGGTCAAGTGTTTAGAAAGCTTCTTCCACTCTTTCACCGAGTACTGGCTGAAAGGAGTGGAGCTGAAACTGTAACTAAAGGACGCATTATGCTTTCAGAAAAATCTCAAGGAAAAGTACTGCAAGCAAGAGGAGTAACTGTTGGATGGGGGTCTAAAAGGAATGAGTGAAGAGATTCAACACTGGGATTACAGGCATGCACTACCACACCTGGCTAATTTTTATATTTTTAATAGAGACATATTTCACCATATTGGCCAGGCTGGTCTTGAACTTCTAACCTCAAGTGATTCACCCACCTCAGTCTCCCAAAGTGCTGGGATTACAGGCGTGAGCCACTGGGTCTGGCCCACTTTTCCAGGTTCTATACCAGGGGTCCCCATCCCCCGGACCATGGACCAGTACCAGTCCATGGCTTGTTAGGAACTGGGCTGCAAAGCAGGAGGTGAGCTGCCTGTGAGGGCGCATTATCTAGCCTGAGCTCTGCCTCCTGTCAAATCAGCAGCTGCATTAGATTCTCACAGGAGGACACTGTGAACTGAGCACACGAAGGATCTAGGTTGCATGTTCCTTATGAGAATCTAATGCCTGATGATCTGGGGTGGAAGAGTTTCATCCCAAAACTATTCACCCACCCCAGTCCTTGGAAACATTGTCTTCCATGAAACTGGCCCCTGGTGCCAAAAAGGCTGGGGACCACTGTTCTACACCTCAGATGTACAAGCTGTCTCCAACCTGAGCCTTGCACATGCTGCTTCCTTTATGGGAATGCACTTTCCCAGACTCTTGACCTACTGAGCTCATTCTCAATTTTTAGGCCTCAGCTCAACTGCCACCTCTTCATGAAGCCCTTCATGGACACCCTCACAGAAAGTGACTCCTCAGTTATTCTTTCTTTCTTGTCCCTCTATTTATTTCCTTCACAGCACTTAGCACAATCTATAATTATTTATTTATTTTATTTTTTTTTTTTGAGACAAAGTCTCACTCTATTGCCAGGCTGGAGTGCAGTGGTGCAATCTTGGCTCCCCGCAACCTCCGCCTCCTAGGTTCAAATGATTCTTCTGCCTCAGCCTGACAAGTAGCTGGGACTACAGATACGCGCCACCATGCCCAGCTTATTTTTGTATTTTTAATAGAGACGGGGTTTCACCATGTTGTTCAGGCTGGTCTCAATCTGTTGACCTCGTGATCCACCCACCTCGGCTTCCCAAAGTGCTGGGATTACAGGCGTGAGCCACCGCACCCAGCCTAATTATTTATTTGCTTGCTTATTAACTGTCTTGTTCACAAGAGTGAATGAAAGCTTCTTGAGGGCAGGAACTCAAGAAGGGCAGGAACTTTGTTTTGTTTAATCACCAACTTCCAATATAAGCATTCAATAAACATCTGTTGAATGCATGAATAAATAAAGGAGGCATTAATAACAATAGTGATGACAAAAATAACAGTTAACATTTACTGAGCACCTACCATGCACGAAGCACGCTAATGAGCAATCTATAGATAGCTCATTTAATCCATGCAACAACTCTATGTGCTAAGTACTAGTTTACTAACCTTAGAAATAAGAAAACTGAGATGACGAATTGTTGTATCTTGCCCTGTGGTCACACAATTTAGTGTGTGGGCAAGATAATCAAGGTAATCTCTTCAAGGTGGCCTAAAAGTTGGCAAAGAATGAAGATGGCAGATGGAGAAAACAGAAATAGTTATTTTACTTAACTTCTCTGCTTCCAACTTTTCTATTACCTTCCTCATCTCATTTTACTATTATAACTTTTCTTTTTCATCACCCCCTCCCCCAGTTATTCTTAACTACTGACTCTTTTCTCCTTGCCACTTGATCTGATTCAAAATAATTTCATGGGGTATCTTAATATTTACATGTAATATTTTAATATAAAACAATTAGTATTCAATAAGATATTACATAAAGACCCACAATTTTATTTTATAGTAAGATGGAATCTGCACCAGTAACTCTTGATCCCCCTTCCTTTCTTGCATAATGACTCGCATAAGGCAGTCAGCTTACTTGTGGACTGTTTTAAATAAAAAGAAAATGAAGAAAAGGAAAATCTTCCTCCTCTTTCCTTTCTATCTCCTAAGAAGGTGGATAAGAGTATAAAATACTACCCAAGCCTATCTTTAAGAGCCCTTCTTTATTGTGTCTGAAAATTTGCTTTGGAGTATGAAATTTTAATTATGCCTTGGTATTGCTCAATTTCATACTGTTATGACACAATCCCTCCTAGTTCTTCCCATAACAGCTTATAGCTACAACCCCCCTCCAGGGAAAAAGCAGGTTTGGGCTCCTCACTCTTTCCAGACAAACAAGGCAACTTTCAGAGAGCTTTCTAAGCAGTTGAATCAGATAGCTACTACAACACTTCTAGTGGAGTCCCAAGAGGAAATTTTCTTGCCAACTTCAGAAACAGCTATTTGTCAGCACAAAACAGAATTCATTCTAAACTAAGAGGGGCAGAGCGGGGGGAATGCAACCTAGCAGAAATTCCTTTTCCTTACAGAGAAACTTTTCCTTTAAACAACATATAGAGTAAATTATAACTTTTTCTTTCTTCTTTCTCTCTCTCTCTTTCGAGACTTTGTCACCCAGGCTGGAGTAAAGCGTGATCTCGGCTCTCTGCACCCTCGACCTCCTGGGCTCAAGGGATCCTCCCGCCTCAGCCCCGGAAGCAGCTGGGACTACAGGCCCATGCCACCATGCCTGGATAATTTTTTGTATTTTTTGTAGAGACAGTGTTTCACCATGTTGCCCAGGCTGGCACTTTTTCTTTCAAAGTCAAGCGGAAACTCCAAATAAAAAGATTCCTTCTGATATGAACAAAGTTTGATGAAATTAATCATGGGAAGAAAAATTTTAGCCTACAATAAAGATTTAAAAGATTATAAAGAAATGGCCAGGCACAGTGACTCACGCCTGTAATCCCAGCACTTTGGGAGGCCAAGGTTGGTGGATCACTTGAGGTCAGGGGTTTAAGACCAGCCTGGCCAACATGACAAAACCCTGTCTCTAATAAAAATACAAAAATTAGCTGGGCGTGGTGGCGTGGTGGCGTGGGCCTGTAGTCACAGCTACTCGGGACTCTGAGGCATGAGAACCACCTGAACCCAGGAGACAGAGGTGGCAGTAAGCCAAGATTGCGAACACTGCACTCCAGCCTGGCTGACAGAGTGAGGCTCTGTCTCAAAACAATATAAAATAAAATAAAATAAAAATAAAAGATTATTTTTAAAAAGCACATTAATAAAAATAATCACTAAAAATATAAGAAAAAGGGAAAAGAAAACAAATTACACTTTTTAATATGCCAATCTCAAAGTGGCAAGTTCAAAGTGTGGATGCAGGTCAAAGCAACTGAACATAATTCAGACAAATAACCCACTACAGTTTTGTCTGAATAACCCCAACATGAACTTAAAGTCTACACTCTTAGCTGTGAGGTACTAACTGAAATATGAGTCTAGATAACTGTCACATATATCTTCAAGGTAAGTATCAGGTGAAAGTGTTAGCTTAAGGGGGAGAAATAGAAGGATGATTTTCAATTGCCTGAATTTCTTTCTTTCTTTCCGTTTCTCTCCTATGTTAACCTTTCCATTATCTTTTTTCAACACCATTCGTAATTCAAGCAAAATCACTGAGTATGGAGACTTAACAAAATAATGTATTCATAGCAAAAAGATATTCCTACAATCTAAATCAACATATATGTAAGAATCACAGGCTATTTTTAAGTAGATGGGAACAAAACTGTTATTTCTTTTTTTTTTTTTTTTTTTTTTTTTTTTTGAGATGGAGTTTCACTCTTGTTGCCCAGGCTGGAGTGCAGTGGCATGATCTAGGCTCACTGAAACCTCCACCTCCTTGGTTCAAGCGATTCTCCTGCCTCTGCCTCATGACTCCTGCCTCCGCCTCATGAGTAGCTGCGATTATAGGCGTCAGCCACCACGCCCTGCTAATTTTTGTATTTTTAATAGAGACAGGGTTTCACCATGTTGTCTAGGCTAGTCTCAAACTCCTGACCTCAGGTGAACCGCCTGACTTGGCCTCCCAAAGTGCTGGGATTACAGGCGTGAGCCACCACCCCCAGCCTAATTCATATTTTTATAATAAAATTTTAAATCTGTTAATTACAGGCGTGAGCCACCACACCCGGCTAATTCCTAATTTTTGAAAGTACATATTATTAGATAATAAATTCAACAGCACCTAAAACAGAAGCATAAATGTTCTCTTTTTGAACATAAATTAATTTAGGGATTAGCCATTTTCACAGAGCAGATGAGTAGCCACTTTACAAATGGAGGGAATAAACTCATATAAAGTTAGAAAGGAACTGGGAAAATAACAAAGCTCTCAAATAACTCTAAGAATGTTTTCTTTCCAATCCAGATCTCTGATCACATTTTTTAAAAAGAAGGAAAAAAATAAAAACAAAGAGAGAGAGAAACCATGGAGTCTTTTCTTCCCGTAGCTGGCAGGAAGTAGGGTATATGATTTCTATGTAGCCTGACTCAGAATACTTTTCAAAGTTTGGAAAGTTGGGCCTGGTGGCTCATGCCTATAATCCCAGCACTTTGGAAGGCCGAGGCGGGCGGATCACCTGAGGTCAGGAGATCGAGACCAGCCTGACCAACACGGAGAAACCCCATCTCTACTAAAAATACAAAAGTTAGCCGGGCAAGGTGGCACATGCCTGTAATCCCAGCTACTTGGGAAGCTGAGGCAGGAGAATCACTTGAACCCGGGAGGCAGAGGTTGCGGTGAGCTGAGATTGCGCCACTGCACTCCAGCCTGGGCAACATAAACGAAACTCCGTCTCAAAAAAAAAAAAAAGTTTGGAAAGTTATTAATCTATAGCAAAGAGTTATAAAGCTTCATTATTAAATAAGTTTCTAGGTTCAAAAAGTGCTGCATATCATTTAAGTTAAAAATGTCATCATATTGTGTATATTAGAAAGCAAAGATATTTAAATTAACTTCTTTTTATATTATGGGAAGAAATTAGAACATGGTAATAAATAAGTAAAAAAAATATTTTTAAGATTTCACTAGCCAATCATGAGTAAAAGTTTTAAATTGTCTTCTTTGATTGTGATTTGGCAGTATCCATAAGAAAAACTTAATGCATATATACTCTTTAAGCAATTTCCCTTTTAGAAATCTTGTCCTATCAAAATACATGGACAAATGCACAAAAGTACACACATAGTAATATTCCTTGCAGTATTGTTATTGTATTATTACTGACAGAGAAAAACCTAAAGAGAAGCAAAATGTACGCTGACAAATATCATAAATTTATTGATGAGGAAACTGAGGCTCACACTGGTCAGGTCACTAATACAGAGAGAAAGGCATACCACAATATGATCTGAATAGGCTCCTCTCAAAAGTACCTTCACTTTATTCCTCAAAGCTGAGGTCAAGTACCTTGAGGAAGCCCTCCTTGATGTCCCACTTCCCTCTGTATGTGAGAAGACCCTCCTATAAGCTTCCATACAAAAGTCAAACAATTTAGTATTTATAATGCTGTACTTTAATTAACAAAGACAGTGACTATGTTTTATATCTATTCCTCCAAGTGCTAAGCACAGTGTTAGCGCATTTTTTTTTTTTAACTTCTTTCTTCATTGAAAAGCTAAGCAACAATGAATGCCTCGGGCACAAAGAATGTGGTCTCTACATACCATTTCTCACTCAAAGGAACCAATGTTCTTTGTGAAAACAGTTGATTCCAGGTCTGGGTCAGGACATATATGAGATAATCCTGGGATTATCTCAAAAAAAAAAGGAAGCTAGCAAAGACTGCTAAGGTAAGATATAGGAGCCAATCTGGAGACTTTCACTGGCCAATGTATCAATAAGGAGACTAACGAACTGAAATATCAAATATTTTTTAAACCCAAGAATTCATAAAAAAAAAAAAAGACTAAAAACAATTCATTCATCAACTTTGGAAGACTCTAAGGAAACAGTTCATTAGTTTGAAAATTGATAGGCTGCGAGTGGTGGCTCACGCCTGTAATCCCAGCACTTTGGGAAGCCGAGGCGGGCAGATCACCTGAGGTCAGGAGTTCGAGACCAGCCTGGCCAACATGGTGAAACCCCCGTCTCTACTAAAAATACAAAAATTACTGGGGTGTGGTGGCAGGCACCTGTAATCCCAGCTACGTGGGAGGCTGAGACAGGTGGGAGGCGGAGGTTGCAGTGAGCCGAGATCGCACCATTGCACTCCAGCCTCAAAAAAAACAACTCCTAACTCAAAAAAAAAAAAAAGAAGAAGAAAATTGAGAAAGGGAAAGAATGAAGCATTTATCCTTCCTTTACTATTTAAAGTATACCTCAGTGTAACAAAAAGTGAGCAGAGGAAAAGTTCTTTATTTCAAAATATTTTAGCAATTAAAGAAGAAATTATATTTTTAAAAAAGGATATCAACATCTTTCAACCCTTAATGGATCTAAGCAATGACCACCAATTGCTACTAACAGACATTATGTTCCTCTGATGGATATACACAATATCACTTGTGAGGCAATTGCACTAAAAAAAAAAAAAATTAAAAAAAAAAAAACCTCAAACCTAAATATGATCAAGCCTCTAAATCCAACCACTCATTTGTAGGAAACATAGGAAAAGAAGAACATGTCAAATGACACCACAGGTATGTAATCAGCAAAATCAAGACTGAGGAAAACTACAGGATAAATAACTTATTTTTTTCAGCCAAAAAAGTACAAGAAAATAAGAGAAAGAGAACAGAGGACAGAGAAGGGGGAGAAGACAGAAGAAACTTTAGAAACTTAAAAAATTTAAGACCAGCATACTATGCAGACTTTATTTTGATCTCAACTTGAACTATTTTTAAAAAGAGAAAAAAAAATAAGATAATTGGGGAAATATAGAAACTACCTAGGGGTAGCTCTCCTCTTCCAAGTCATCCCCCACAATAACACACATAATATGATCTCTGCCTTGTTCCCCACTCTCTTCTTCTTCCAAAGGTCTCTGGTTTATTTCTAAATATTTGCAGACTGTGGGAGAGTCCCTTGAATTCAGAGACATGGAGCTCCACTAACCTCACTCCATGCCACTTGAGTCTTCTTCAGCTTTCCTCCACAAGTTTCATTACTTCTTCTGAGCTGTGATAGCCTCAGTTTCTGTCCCAAATCATTTGTGTCTCCTTCTACAAATGAAGACTATATATGACCCCACCTAATGCCATGTGATTTTCAGTGCCTACCTATAGTCAGTTTATATTTCCCTGCTCAATTCTTAGGTTTGGTCATATCACTTGCCTAGACCAGTGAAATGTGACCAGAAACGTGACATATGTCAGTTCTGAGCAAAGGCTTTAAATGCATGTTTCCACTAGTTCTGTTGCTTTTTCCTTTGGTTATAATAAGAACAAGATGTCCCAAAGAAGGGTGTTTCCTTAGTCTGAATACTGGATGAAAAGAGAGGTAAGACAGAGCCCCAGCCAATTATAACATGTAACATATGAAAGAAACAAACCTTTGTTATTGTACATGTTATCCGAACATGTTAGTGCAGCATAACCTGGCAAAAATACATGAGGATAAAAAGAGAATGAGAGAAATGTTATATTATTCACAGAAGATTTTTTCCAAAAGTAGCACCCAACTTCTTTTCCTTTAGAACTTGATTAATCTTAGTTTACTTAAAAAAAAAACACCCAAAAGAAATGAAAACATATGGCTACAAATATTTGTACATATATGTTCACAGCAGCATTATTCGTAACAGCCAAAAAGTGGAAACAACCCAAATATCCATCAACTGATGATATAAAATGTTTATGTATACAATGGACTATTATTCAGTAATAAAATGAAGTACCAATAAATGCTACAACTTTTTGCAATGTGAAAGAAGCCAGTCACAAAAGACCACATATTATATGATTCCATTTATATGAAATGTCCAGAACAGGCAAATCTATAGAGACAGAAGGATATTAGCGTTTGCCTCAGCCAGATGGGTTGAAGGAAATGGGAAGTGACTGCTAAAAGACAGTTTCTTTCAGGGCTGATGAAGAATTTCAAATTGTGGTAATGGTTGCACAGCTCTGTGAACATGCTAAAAACCATACAACTGTGTACTTTAATTGGGTGAATTACATGGTATGTGAATTATGCCTCAATAAAGCTATTATTTTAAAAGTCTATGAATGAATGGTTTTAGAAAGTTAAGAAAACTGTAAAGGAAGTAACAAGTCAATTTTCTGCTCTAAAGTTGTTCAAGCTTTCTTTGCAAACTGGGAGTAACGACCTCCCTAAAAAACCCTAAGTACCTGGGAAAGTGGAGGCGCAAGTAGCAAACTTTAGAGAAAACATCAGAATAAAAGCTCAGATAAATTTTGCTTGAAAACGGATTCCAAACATAACCTTCAGATGAGGTGGAATAAAAAAATCAAATCCTTCAGAAAACAAAGAAAAGATAATGCAAAAACCTTTGTTAAATGTCAAAGCAACCAATCACTATGAGTTGTGCAGTGAAGTTATACTTCATGGAGAGATGAAGAAGATACCTATCAAAGAGTGATACGGTCTCTGTAATAAAAATATCACGAGCATATACTACAGCAATGAAATCAAGAGTCAGATACTGACAGTTTTTCCTCAATAAGTAAATAACATGACTAAAAAATAGCAAGTCACTGATCTAATGAAAACAAAGAATGGAGACCAAAGGGCAGTAAGTTTGAGGATGGGAGCAAATCATGTAGTCTGCATAAGAAGATGAATTATCAACATGCTGTACAGTTGTAAAAGTGACCATTCTCTGCCTTTAATATTCTATTCTCATCAGCAAGAAACAAGGGGCTTCAGATAAGCTTTACATATTTGAAAACAATCCCTTATCTGATTACTATTAAAATGTTTTATTTTTGCCCCTAGTGAAAAAAAGCTTCTACTTTCACATTTTCCACTTCCAAAACATGTAACATTTTTTAACCTTCCTGAAGAATGTTAAATTATATTTAATTTTGTCTTTCCTTAACTAAACAATGTCATCACTTTAAATATCATTACTATATAGCAAGGCCCTCAGGAGTTAATGAGGTAAAAGTGTGGGGCCCCGACCCTACACCCCCTACCAAAAAACCTGGAAAATGTAGTGCCAAATTATGAAACCTGAATAAAAACAGACTAAAAAGAGATATATCACTCAAGTTTTCTAGGACTCCTATTTTTTTTTTATTGTGGTAAGACCACTTAATATGAGATCTACCTTCTTAACAAATGTTTAAGTATACAGTACAGTGTTATTGTTAACTAACTATAACACAGTGTTACACAGATCTCTAGAACTTGTTTATCTTGCATAACTGAATCTTTACGTCCATTGAGCAACAACTCTCTGAAATTCCACCTCCCATGAGCCCCTGGGAACTACCATTCTACCCTCTGCTACTATGACTTTGATTATTGTAGATTCTTCTTATCACTAAAATCATACAGTATTTGACCTTGTAATTAGCTTATTTCACTGACACAGTGTCCTCAAAGTTCATCCATGTTGTCATACATGACAGTATTTCCTTCTTTTTCTAAGTCTAAATAATATTCCATTGTATGTATATACCACATTTCCTTTATTCATCAATGGGACATCTAGGTTGATTCCACATCTTGGTTATTCTGAATAGTGCTGCAATGAACACAGGAGTGCTAATGTCTCTTCAAGATGCTGATTTCAATTCTTTTGGATAAATACTCAGAAGCAGGATTGCTGGATCATATGGTAGTTCTCTTTTTAATTCTCTGAGGAACCTTCATACTATTTTCCATAGCAGCTGCACCATTTTGCATTCCCAACACCAGTAGGCAGACAAGGGTTCCGATTTCTCCACAGTCTCACACTTGTTATATTTTCTTTTCTGATAATAGCTGTTAGTCTGGCTTTGCCTTTGGTGACCTGCCTTTAGTGGATGCACTAAAAAGTAGACAACAAAACTTCTAAACTTGTGTAAAATGTATAGGCAAGACTGACTAGAGACCAACATACTAATGTAGATCATGGCCTTCGTGTCAAGTGAAAAAAATTTACATTCTAGTCCCCATAGCAAAGATATAATGAAAAACAACAGTTTAGAGAATACTGAAGGGTATCCTTTCAGCCATGTCTGAAAGGCTATACACCCAAATACTAAGAAAAAAAGAAAAATCAAACAATTAAAAAACAAATTCAGAATTGAATCTCATTACCTCAAGCCCTGTTCATTAAGGATTTATAAATTCAAATGTCTGAACTTTATTTTATGCAAATATTTAAAAAGCAAATTTATAAACATACACAATATCAAAGAAGACGTTAAAATATTTCAGAAGAAAATCATTATTGAATAAATCCTTTTGTTTTAGGTGAAGCTATGTACTTTAAAATGCTTTACATGATATTTATAAATCATTTTTACCTATTATAATGCTACTGCCTCAAAAAACTCTACTAACACTTAGTAGTCTACTTTGTACCTAAACATATTCATATTAGGTAGATCAGCCTTGAATTAGTCATATTTTAAGGTCTTACTAGGGGTAAATGTAAATAACAAACTGAGAGGCCTGGCATGTAATTCATGTGTTATTTAGAACAGTCCATAATAAATACATGTTTAACTGTAAGGCCAGGCATGGTCGCTCATGCCTATAATCCCAGCACTGTGGGAGGCCGAGGCGGGAGAACTGCTTGAGCCCAGAAGTTCGAGACCAGCTTGGGTAACATGGTGATACCCCATCTCTACAAAAAAATACAAAAATTGGCCAGGTGTGGTTGTGCACACTTGTAGTCCCAGCCACTTGGGAGGCTGAGATGGGAGGATTGCTTGAGCCCAGGAAGCAGAGGTTGCAATGAGCCAATACCATGCCACCTTATTCCAGCCTGGGCAACAGGGTGAGACCCTGTCTCCAAAGGAAAAAAAAAAAAAAAAGAACTGTGGCAGGGCATGGTGGCTCACGCCTGTAATCCTAGCACTTTGGGAGGCCAAGGTGGGTGGATCACTTGAGGTCAGGAGTTCGAGACCAGCCTGTCCAACATGGCAAAACCCTGTCTCTACTAAAAATACAAAAATCAGCCAAGTCATGGCACACGCCTGTAATCCCAGCTACTTGAGAGGCAGAGGCAGGAGAATCGCTTGGACCTGGGAGGCAGAGGTTGCAGTGAGCTGAGATCGGGCCACTGAGCCTGGGCAACAGAGCAAGACTGTCTCGATGGATGGATGGATGGATGGAAGGATGGATGGATGGATGGATGGATGGATGGATGGATGGATGGATGGATGCACGGATGCATGGATGCACAGATGGATGCATGGATGCACAGATGGATGGATGGATGGATGGATAGATAGATAAATGTATGTTTAACTATAGAAGGTAGCTTGGTTAAAAAACAAAAACAACATAAAACAGTTAATACATTTTTCAAATAATATGTTTTTCCTCTGTATATCACTTTAAAATTATAACACGAACTACTACATTCATATAAGATAGACTTCATAATTCCCAATTCCTATGGATGAGGACACGAAGACATAAAAACTGAGTAAAGTGCCCAAGATTCCCAGTCCTTAAGAGGTATGACCACAGCTTGAACCCAGGCCTCTGGCTCTTGAACCTGCCAGACGCGGTAGCTGAATCAGGACACATGAATGTCCATATTATCAGCTCATTTTAGTGCCATTTTATTCAATGCTATGAATAGAGTTTACAATACTTTAGTTATATGAATTTTAAAGGCATGGAATTTCACAGTCATGTAAATTTTACAGTAGCTACAAAGGTGTTGAAGAAGACAAAGTGATTCATTGAAAAAGACTGTGAAAAAGATACTGATGTTAATCGTGCTTTTATTTCACAGTTAAAAACTTCATTGCTAATTGTGTCACATTTTTCAGCCCTTTCCCCCATACTTTTCAAAGGTACTAACTCTATTATTCTGTCCACATTTTTAAAAATTGTTTTAGTAAGAATAATACCGGCTAGACACGGTGGCTCACGCCTGTAATCCCAGCACTTTGGGAGGCCGAGGAGGGTGATTCACGAGGTCAGGAGATCGAGACCATCCTGGCTAACACAGTGAAACCCCATCTCTACTAAAAATACAAAAATTAGCCAGGCATGGTGGCGGGTGCCTATAGTCCCAGCTACTAGGGAGGCTGAGGCAGGAGAATGGTGTGAACCCAGGAGGCGGTGCTTGCAGTGAGCCAAGGTCGCGCCACTGCACTCCAGCCTGGACAACAGAGTGAGTCTCCATCTCAAAAAAAAAGAACAAAACAAAACAAAAAAAGAATACTACTACTATTTCTGCCACATGATTGCTTTATTAATTCTCCAGCAAAATCATCACCTATGAACAAACTGATAATGGTCCTAAGAAAGAAAAAGAAGGCGAGAAGAAAGGAGGCAGGGACAGGGTAAAGACTTCATTTTGGTATTTAAAATACGGCCAAATTTATCATTTTTCTAAAGGTAGTAAATAAGACTGATAATTTATAAGGGAAATATTTTCCTTCCTGTGTTGAAATAATATGCCAAATGGCTACCAAGGAAATATACTTATTTATGTACATTCATTTCTATATTGATTCCTATTGTGAAACATGTTGCAAGAAAATGGAATGCATGAGAGACAATTAAGGTCAGAATCAGTTTTACAAATTTTGCCAGTTTGCAGATTTCACTTCTATCTCCTTTCTCCCAAGTAAGGTTACCCCTAAAACATCACCAGCAGCTGCACATCAGTAACCCACTTACCACTGAAGTTAAAGCTTGTTTGTGCTCACTGAAACTAGAAAAGCTGTTTTTTGTATAAAATGTTAGCTTTAAAAACCTGCCGGCGGCCAGGCACCGTGGCTCATGCCTGTAATCCCAGCACTTTGGGAGGCCGAGGCAGGTGGATCAAGAGGTCAGGAGTTCAAGACCAGCCTGACCAACATAGTGAAACCCCCGTCTCTAATAAACATACAAAAATTAGCCGGGCATGGTGGCGGGCATCTACAGTCCCAGCTACTCGGGAGGCTGAGGCAGGAGCATGGTGTGAACCCGCGAGGCGGAGCTTGCAGTGAGCCAAGTTGCGCCACTGCACTCCAGCCTGGGTGACAGAGCGAGACTTTGTCTCAAAAAAAAAAAAAAAAAAAAAAACCTGCCAGCTGCCAGCTCTTCAACTCTCCTTCCACCCACAACTGCCAATATAATATATTCTTTGTTCAACTCTGTATTTCTTGGAGCTAAAAGAAAGGGAATCAATTATTTTTATTTTATTTTTTTGATACAGGGTCTCACTCTAACTTGGAATCAATTCTTACGGATAAAAAGATCAAACTTTGAATCCAAAATCTACAAGACTATTCCGAGAAACATGAGCTGCACAGCTGTAGATAACAGCAATAAAAACAGAATAATGGGTAACAATTACTGAGCACATACTATGTATCACCCAATATGCCAAGTGCTTCAAATGATCTTCAAAATAACTCCTGGAAGTAGATACTATTATTATACCCATTTTGCAGATGGGGAAACTGAGTCTTAAAGCTAAATGATCCATGTAAAAAAGCTTAGCCCTTAAGTGACACACAAAGATATATTTAAAGACAAAGGGCCTGAGAAATATGCTTAGGCCTTTAATGACCAAGTTCCAAAAGCTCTCAACCTAAAGGCCACAGGCCATTTTTAATACTTCCAAAATCTAAATGAAACAATCATTTAAATGTGAAATTCCCTAACTAAAATTGTAGGTTTTTTAGGGGTTTTTGGGGGGGCTTTTAGTTCAACTTAGGTCAATTCAGTATAGATACTAATATGTTGCCCTAATTAGAATCTTTTGCTAAAAACTGGGAGACAAATTATTAATAATTAAGCGTTCTGAGCAAAAACATTTTCGTAGTGTGAAATTAATAGTGGAAAAAACAATTTAAGAGATCCTTTCTATGAAAAGTTTGGGAGACAATGGACTAAAAGACCTGCATGATCTATGATGGATCTAACATGTGAGTTTCTGCTAAAGGTTTCTATACCAGTAATGTGCCTGCCCCACCCTTACTCCTGTCCCTTACTCCCTCCCTCTGAATACCACACTCACAACCGACCAGCTGCTTTTTATTCCTACGGGCAAGCCTAATAAACTGAGATTGGCTCTCACCAGCACGAGCTGAAAAAGCTAAAGTTGACTCAACATTATTCTTTGCTGTGAATCCAGAGCAATTTTTCTTCCCATTTATCTGGTTTCTTCCCATTACTTTCAGATTCTCCTGGATACTTGTTGATTAATTTGCCTTTGACAACTTTCGTAGTTCTGCCCCTTCAACTCCTAAAATCTCCTGGTGACTGCTTAGAGTATGATCATTGAGTCTCCATCCTAGCCTCCTCTGGGATGTGGATCATTTTGATAGATTAAGCAGTATCTCCAACCACCAGGGTCCACATGCTTGTGTTTCATGGGCAGTTTTCCCTATTCTGCTTCCTTGCTCATTCCACTTGAGCTGCTACAAGCCACACTCTGCCATGACACCCTTAAACTGATCATTCTGTTATGGCTGATTTTGGTTGAGGTATACTACATAAAATGTTATGGGTGCCCTATGGACAAAAAGTATAATAAACCTAATGTATAAAGTCATTACTTGTTTCTGTACTTTTCTGGCTATAGATAACCACCCAAATTCCTAGAGGATGTTATATAGGAGATATATAGGTACTGAGACTACTACAATAAAACAGGGCAGACAACATTCCTGCTCTAACAGAGCTCACATTCTAATTGGAGGAGGAAACAGAAAACAACAACAGCAGCCAGTGGTTAAGTACAATGCAGAGAACTGCAACAGGATGACCCAGGAGTGATTAGGTGGTTAGGTGAGATTGGGTAATAAATGAAGGAGTCACCACGGAATCTGAATAGCATTAAGAAGCCAATGCAGGTGAGACAGTTGCTCATTCTGAAGCAGGGAACAGCAGAATCAACGACCCTAAGGAAAAAGGAGGCTGACATGTTTACAGAAACAGAAGAAAGGCCAATAGGACTGAAGCTTAGTGGGCCAGGAGGATAATGATAATAAGATGAATTTGGAAAGGCAAGCAGGGACCAGCTCACACAAGGCTTTGTGGGCAAACATGAAATTTAATCCAAGTGCAAGGAAAGCCACTGGAGGGAGTTTTAAGAGGTTCTCTCATTTGTGCACTAAAAAGGCCACTCTGCTTGCTATGCAGATTGAAACAGGTCAATAATAGAAATAGGGGGCCAGACACAGAGGTGGCTCACATCTATAATCCCAGCACACTTGAGGCCAGGAGTTCAACACCACCCCAGGCAACAAAACAAGACCCTGTCTCTACAAAAAATAAAAATAAAATGTTAGCCGAGCTTGGTGGCACAAGCCTGCAGTCCCAGCTACTCGGGAGGCTGAGACAGGATCAACTGAGCCCAGGAGTTTGAGGTGAGCTATGATCATACCACTGTACTCCAGCATGAGTGACACAGCAAGGTCTTATCTCCATTTAAAAAAGCTTCCTCAGCTGGGCACAGTGGCTCACGCCTATAACCCCAGCACTTTGGGAGGCCTAGGCAGGCGGATCACGAGGTCAGGAGATCGAGACCATCCTGGCTAACACGGTGAAACCCCGTCTCTATTAAAAATATTTTTTAAAAAATTAGCTGGGAATGGTGGCGGGCGCCTGTAGTCCCAGCTACTAAGGAGGCTGAGGCAGGAGAATGGCATGAACCAGGGAGGCGGAGCTTGAAGTGAGCCGAGATCGCGCCACTGCACTCCAGCCTGGGTGACAGTAGGAGAGTCCGTCTCAAAAAAAAAAAAAAAAAAGCTTCCTCGAGTGATTTTTAGCAAGGCATACATGTTCCTCCTTAGAACCAGACATAAAAAGAAGGGAGGATGCTAAGTAACACAAAGGAATTTCACGGTAAGATGATTGAAAATTCAAGATTTTAGAGATGGACAAGTATTTTCAGGGTTTCAGCTGAATGGGATTGGAAGCTTCATAGCAGAGCAGAAGTTCACAACTTTAGAGTCTGTTATAATGGCTCTGATTATTTAACCATATAGCTAATTATATATTTAATTATGGTGGGCTTTTAAAAAAATTACTGGGTCCTACCCAGAGATTCTGATTTAGTTGGTCTGGGGTAGGAACTGAGAATGTTTGTTCAAGAAGCATCACAGAAGATTTGAGCATAGGCTGTACAAACAATTTCAAGATAAATAGTGTAGAGTCACTTTTGAGAATGTAAAACAAACAGGGATGCAAATAGAGCTTTTAAACACATACTAGATAGCCCTCCTCCCCCCACAGTACCCACCCCCCATCAACACACACATAACCTGAAACAGGCCTGAGATAAAGTCTTACAGGTGGGATTCAGAATCGAAGCCTGACATCCATGAGAAGGCAAACGTGTACAATTTCTCCCCCTGCCAAAATTTAGTCTTTCTTCTCTCCAATAAGAACTTACTGGTATCCACACATTCTCAACAATACAGCAGTATCCTTCTATTTAATAGCTGCTAATTTGGCAGGTAAGAAAATTTTTATCTGGATTTCTTTAATAATCAGTGAGACCAAAAACACTTTCTTAGTGTGACATGCCAAAATTTATTAACATGTGAGTGTACTCAGTCTTCCTCCTCTACTCATTCTGCCCTTCCTAAAAAGGAAGATTTGCTGGAACTAAGTTGATCAATATAATAAAGGAATAAAGAAGGAAATGTTGATGAGAAGAAACCTTGTTGGTTGGGATTTAGGAAGAAAGCTTTAGAGTTTGACCAGTGAGAAGTTCCTGGGCAGCAGGAAGCAAGGAAAAGAGAAAAGGAACTTGTAAAAAATATTAATGTGGTTATGAATTAAGTTCCCTTTAATACACTCTTTGAAGACAAATAGAATTCCTTTTTAATTCCTTCTGGTTTTAAACTATGCTTCTTGAACAAGCCCCAGTTCTGAACTTGCACCATGTACTTTTCTGAATTAGCTGGGATTATATCCAGGCCATTTTCCTGGCCACCTGGAAAAGCCTAGCTGCTTTTGTAAACTTTCTGCAGATATCCTTTGCATATTTTTTCTTCTGAGACTTATTTTTTAATAAAATTTGTTTCTTAAGACTGTTTTAGGGTCACAGCCAAACTGAGTGGAAAGTACAGAGTTCCCATTTACCGCCTGTCCCTACACAGACACAACCTCCTCCAATATCAACATCCCACAGAAGAATGGTACATTTGTTACCATCAATGAACCTACAGTGACCCAGTATTATCAACCAAAGTCCATAGTTAACATTAGGGTTCACTCTTGATGTTGTGCATTCTACCATCTTTGACATATGTATAATGACATGTATGCACTATTATAGTACTGTACATAATAGTTTCATTGCCCTAAAAACCCTGTTCTCTGATTATTCACCCCTCTCTCCCCTGTAACCCATAATAATGGCTAATCTTTTTACAGTCTCCATGGTTTTTGCCTTTTCTAGATGTCATGCAGTCATAATCATACACTGTGCAGCCTTTTCAGGTTGGCTTCACTTACTAATATGAATTTCAGGTTCCTCCATGTCTCTTCAAGGCCTGATAGCTCATTTTTTTCTAGTGCTAATATTTCATTGTCAAAATGTACCTTAACTCATTTATGCATTTACCTACTAAAAGGCATCTTGGTTATTTCCAAGTTTTGGTGATTATGAATACAGCTGCTATAAACATTTGCGTGCAGGTTTTTGCGTGAACATATTTCAATTCATTTGGGAAAATACGGAGAAGCATGATTGCTGGGTTAAATGGTTAAGAGTATGTTTAGTTTTGTTAGAAACTGCCAAACCGTCTTTAAAAGTGGCTGTGCCAGCCGGGTACGATGGCTCATGCCTGTAATCCCAGCACTTTGGGAGGCTGAGGCGGGGGGATCACCGGAAGTCAGGAGATCGAGACCAGCCTGGCCAACATGGTGAAAGCCTGTCTCTACTAAAAATACAAAAAATTAGCCAGGAGTGGTGGCAGATGCCTGGAATCCTAGCTACTCGGGAGACTGAGGCAGGAGAATCACTTGAACCCGGAAGGTGGAGGTTGTAGTGAGCTGAGATTGCACCACTGCACTCCTGCCTGGGCAACAGAGTAAGACTCTGTCTCAAAAAAAAAAAAAAAAAAACAGTGGCTGTGCCACTTTGCATTCCCACCAGCAATGGATGAGTTCCTATTGTTTCATATGCTAGTCAGCATTTTGTGTCATCGGTGTTCTGAATTTTGGGCATTCTAATAGGTACATGGTGGTATCTCACATTTTAATTTGCATTTTCCTGACAACATATGATGTGGTACATCTTTTCACGTGTTTACCTGCCATCTACAAATCTTCTTTGGTGAGGCGTCTGTTAAGGTCTTTAGCTCATTTTTTAATCAGGTTGTTTATATTCTTACTGTTGACGTTGAAGAATTATTTGTATATTTTAAGTAGTCGTCGTTTATCAAATATATCTTTTGCAAATATTTTCCTCCCAGCCTGTGGCTTGTCCTTTAATTCTCTTCACAGTGTCTTTTGCAGAGAAAAAAAAAATTAACTTTAATGAAATTCCAGCTTATCAAGTCTTATCAATGACTTTCTAGATACTACACCAAAGACACAATCTTGGATTGTAATCTGCCTGGTGTAAGGTCTGTGTCTTGATTGATTTCTTTTGCATGTGAATGTCAGGTTATTCCAACATTATTTTTTGAAAATATTATATCTTTTTTCCATTGTATTGCCTTTATTCCTTTGCCAACGATCATTTGACTATATTTACAAGGGTCTGTGTCTGGGCTCTATTGTGTTCCACTGATCTATTGGTCTATTCTTTCACTAGTGCCATACTGTCTTGATAACTGCAGTCTTACAGTAAGTCTTGAACTTGGGCAGTGTCAATTCTCCAACTTTGTTCTTTTCCCTTAATATTGTGTTGACTGTTCTGGATCTTCTGCCTCTCCATATAAACTTTAGGATCAGTTTCTTGATAGCCACAAAGTAACTTAGTGGGATTTTGACTGTGATTGTATTGAATCTATAGATCAAGTTGGGAAGAACTGACATTCTGATGATGCTGTGTCTTCCTATCCATGAACATAGAATACTTCTATATTTATTTAGTTCTTCTGTTTTCTTTCATCAGTTTTGTAGGTTTCTTTACATAGATCTTGTATATATTTTGTTAGATTTATACCTATAAATTTCATTCTGGGGGTTGCTAATGTAAATGGTATTGTGTTTTTAATTTCAAATTCCACTTGTTCACTGCTGGCAATAAGAGAAAGTGATAGTGGTTTACAAGTTCCAGAAGTAATTTTCTTGATTCTTTTGAATTTTCTTCATAATCTTGTCATCTGTGAACAATGACAGTTTACTTCTTCCTTTTCAATCTATATACCTTTTATTTCCATTTTTTGTCTTACTGCATCAGCTAGAACAGAATGATGCTGAAAAGCAATGATTAGAGGGGACATTCTTGCCTTGTGCTTAATCTTTGCAGGAAAGGTTCCAGTTTCTTAACATCAACTATGATATTAGCTGTAGGGTTTTTTAGATGTTCTTTATCAGGTAAGAAAGTTCCTCTCTCTTCCTAATTTACTGAAAGTCTTCATAATGAATTAGTGTTGGATTTTATCAAATGCTTTTTCTGAATCTATTGACACAACCCTGTGATTTTCCTTCTTTAGCCTGTTAATGTGCTAGATTACACTAACTGATTATCCAATATTAAGCCAGCCTTGCATACCTGGGATAAATCCCACTTGGTTGTGGTATATAATTTTTCATACATTTTTGGATCAAATTTGCTAATTTTGTGGAGGATTTTTGCATTATGTTTGTAAGAGATGTTAGTATGTACTTGGCTTTTCTTGCAATATGTGTTTTTTGAATTAGGATAATGGCAGAATGAATTAAGATGTATTTCCCCTACTTCTGTCTTCTGGAAAAGATTGTGAATAACTGGCTTAAGTTTTTCCTTAAATATTTGGTAGACTCACTAGTGAACCCATCTGGACCTGGTACTTTCTGTTTGGGAAGATTATTAATTGTAGATTCAGCTTCTTTGCTAGATACAGGCCTATTCAGATTGTCTATTTCTTCTTGTGTGACTTTTGGCAGATTGTACCTTTCAAATAACTGGTCCATTTCATCTAGGTTATGAAATTCATAAGCACAGGGTCAGTGATAATATTCCTTTATCATCTTTTTAATGTCAATGGGATCTGTAAAGATGCTGCTCTTTCATTTTTGATATTAGTAATTTGTATCCTTTCTTTTTAGCTGGTCTAGCTAAAAGATTACCTATTTTACTAATCTTATTAAAGAACCAGCTTTTGATTTTATTGATTTTCTCTAGGTGTTTACTGATTTTCATTTCACTGATTCCTGCTCTAACTTTTATTATATTTCTTTTCTTCTACTTACTTTGGATTTGATGTGTTCTTTTTCTGTTTCCTAATGTGGAACTTTAGATTACTGATTTTAGATCTTTTTTTTTTTTTGAGATGGAGTCTCACTCTGTCGCCCAGGCTAGAGTGCAGTGGCGTGATCTCGGCTCACTGCAAGCTCCGCCTCCTAGGTTCACAAAATTCTCCTGCCTCGGCACCCCCAAGTAGCTGGGACTACAGGCACCCACCACCACGCCCGGATAATTTTTTGTATTTTTAGTAGAGAGAGGGTTTCACCATGTTAGCCAGGATGGTCTCAATCTCCTGACCTCGTGATCCACCCCCCTCGGCCTCCCAAAGTGCTGGGACTACAGGCATGAGCCACCGCGCTCGGCCAATTTTGGATCTTTCATCTTTTCTAATAAATGCATTCAATCCAATAAATTCCCCTCTAAGCTCTGGTTTCACTACATCTCACAAATTTTGATAAACTGTATTTTCATTTTGATTTATTTCAAAATATTTTTAAGTGTTTTTGAGATTCCTTCTTTGAACTATGTATTATTTAGAAGTTGTTTAATCTTCCACATATTTTGGGATTTTCTAGCTATCTTTCAGTTACTGGTTTCTATTTAATTTTATTGTGCTTTGAGAACAGATATGGCATGATCTCTAGTTTGTTAAGGTTTGTTTTATGGCCTAGAATGAAGTTTATCTTGGTGAATGTTCCGTGTAAGCTTGAGAAGAATGTGTAATCTGCTGTTATTTGAAGTAGTCTATAGATGTCAATTATACCCAGTTGATTGATACTGCTATCAACTTCAACTATGTCTTTATTGATTTTTTGTCTACTGGAGTTGTCAATTTCTGATACAGGAGTGTTAAAGTGTCCAATTATAATAGTACATTCATATATTTCTCATTGTAGTTCTATCAGTTTTTGCCTCACATATTCTGATGCTTTGTTGTTAGGCATATAGATATTAAGAATTGTTGTATCTTCTTGGATTACTTACCCTTTGTCATTACGTCCTATTTATCCCTGATAACGTACAGTGCTCTGAAGTCTACTATTAATATAGCTACCCTCAGTTTATTTTGGTTAATGTTAGCATGATATATCTTTCTCCATTCCTTTACTTTTAATCTTTGTGTCTTTAAACTTAAAGTGGGTTTCTAGTTGATAACATATAGTTGGGTCTTGCTTTTTAATTCACTCTACTAATCTCTGTCTTTTAATTGGTATATTTAACCACAGTGATTATTGATATAGTCTGGACTAGTATCTATCATATTTATTACAGGTTTCTGTGTGTGGCCCCTGTTCTTTGTTCCTATTTCCGTCTTTTACACTTTTTCTGCCTTTTGTGGTTTTAACTGAGCACATTATATGATTTCATTTTCTCCCTTTTCTTGGCATATTGATTATACAGTTGACCCTTAAACAACATGGGTTTGAACTGCATGGGTCCTCTTATATGCAGATGTCTTTTTACTAAAAGCAGATAGAAAATACAGTATTTGGCTAGGCGTGGTGGCTCACGTCTGTAATCCCAGCACTTTGGGAGGCCAAGGCTGGTGGATCACGAGGTCAGGAGTTTGAGACCAGCCAGGCCAACATGCTGAAATCCCGTCTCTACTAAAAATACAAAAATTAGCCGGGCGCAGTGGCAGGCGCCTGTAATCCCAGTGACTCCGGAGGCTGAGGCAGGAGAATTGAGTTGCTTGAACCAAGGAGGCAGAAGATGCAGTGAGTGCTGAGATCGCACCACTGCACTCCAGCCTGGGTGACAGAGCAAGACTCCATCTCAAAAAAAAAAAAATATATACAGTATTTGTGGGATGTGAAAACTACATATATGTAGCACCAACGTTTTGTATACACAAGTTCAACAGGGCCATCTGCATGACTTGAGTAAGTGAGGATTTTGGTATACTCAAGGAGCCCTGGAACCAATTGCCCATGTATACTGAGGAATAACTGTTCTCATCTTTCCCTTCCTTCTCCTTCCCCTTCTTCTTTTTCAATTTTTACTTCTCTCAGCGGTTTCCCTGGAGTTTGCAATAAACACTTACAACTCATTCAAGTCCACTCTCAAACAATGCTATACCACTTCATAAGCAGTCCAAGTACCTTATAATAACCAAATATTCCTAAATTCACTCTTTCATCTGTTGCATCATTGCTGTCATTCATTTCACTTATACCTAAGTACCATGTATAGATACACACACATATACAAACCCACAGAAGCATAATCGAATACATGGTCACTATTATTATTTTAACAAACTGTTATCTGTCAGATCAATTATGAACAAGGAATATAAAAGTTTTTAAGATTCAAGCTTCTGACCTATATTATTTTCCTTCTCTCTGAACTTTTTTTTTTTACATATTTCTTACAAATCAGATTTGCAATAAATTCCCTCAATTTTTGCTTTAAGTCTTTTATACATATTTCTTACAAATCGGATTTGCAACAAATTCCCTCAATTTTCACTTTGAGTAAGTCTTTATTCTTCCTTTACTTTGGAAGGGTAACACAACATGGCAGGATATAAAATTCTAGGTGGTGGGCTTCTTTCTCTCAACACTAAATATTTCACTATTCTCTTCTTGCTTGCATGATTTCTGAGAAGTTGGATGTAATTTTTATCTTAGTTTCTCTATAGGTAAGGTATTTTTCCTCCCTGGCCTCTTTCAAGATGGTTTCTTTACCTTTGATTTTCTGAAGTTTGAATATGGTGTGGCTAAGTGTAGATTTTTGGCACTTACCATCTTTGGTGCTCTCTGAGCTTCCTGGATCTGTAGTTTGATATCTGACACTCATTTGGGGGAATTCTCAGTTATTACTTAAAATATTGCTTCTGTTCCTTTCTTTTTTTCTGCTGCTTTGGTATTTCCTTATGTATATTTTGCACCTTTGGCAGCTGTCTCACAGTTCTTGCACATTCTGTTCTGAGGGAGTTTTTCTCTGTCATTTTTCTTCTTGCTTTCCAGTTTTGGAAGCTTTTTGTAATATCCTCAAGCTCAGAGATTTTTAAAAGTCCAGTATACTAATGAGCCTATCAATGAAATTCTTCATTTGTTACAATATTTTTTACTATTTTTTATTCTTTCTTAAAATTTCCATCTCTCTGCTTACATTATCCATCTGTTCTTGCATATTGTCTACTTTTTCCTTTAAAGCCTTTTGCATGTTAATCCTATATTTTTTTTAATTCATAGCCTAGAAATAAAGCCACATACCTACAGCCATCTAATCTTTGGCAAAGTCAACAAAAATAAGCAATGGGGAAAGGATTCCCTATTCAATAAATGGTGCTGGGATAGCTGCCAAGCCATTTGCAGGAGAATGAAACTGGATGCCTACCTTTACCATATACAAAAATTAACTCAAGATGGATTTAAGACTTCAATGTAAGACCTCAAACTATAAGAATCCTAGAAGAAAACCTAGGAAACACCACTCTGGGCACTGGCACCTTGGGAAAGACTCTATGACTAAGTCCTCAAAAGCAACTGCAACAAAAACAAAAATTGACAATTGAGATCTAATTAAACTAAAGAGCTTTTGTATAGCAGAAGAAACTATCAAGTTAGAAAACAGACAACCTACAGAATGGGAGAAAGTATTCACAAACCATGTATCTGACAAAGGTTTCATATCCAGAATTGATAATGAACTTAAACAACTGAAGCAAAAAATAGTCCCATTTAGGCCGGGCACGGTGGCTCATGCCTGTAATCCCAGCACTTTGGGAGGCCGAGACAGGCGGATCATGAGGTCAGGAGATCGAGACCATCCTGGCTAACACAGGGAAACCCCGTCTCTACTAAAAATACAAAAAAATTAGCCGGGCGTGTTGGCGGGAGCCTGTAGTCCCAGCTTCTCCGGAGGCTGAGGCAGGAGAATGGCGTGAACCCGGGAGGTGGAGCGTGCAGTGAGCCGAGATCGCGCCACTGCACTCCAGCCTGGGTGGCAGGGCAAGACTCTAGCTCAAAAGATAAAATAAAATAAAATAAAATAAAATAACCCCATTTAAAAATGGGCAAAAACACATGAACAGACACTTCTCAAAAGAAGACATACAAGCAGCCAACAAACATGAAAAAAGAGGCTCAACATCACTAATTATCAGAGAAATGCAAATCAAAATCCCAATGAGTTATCATCTCACATCAGTCAGAGTGGCTATTACTAAAAAGTCAAAAAACAACAGATGTTGGCAAGGCTACAGAGAAAAGGAAACCTTTATACATTATTGATGGGAATGTAAATTACTTCAGCCACTGTGGAAAGCAGTCTGGACATTTCTGAAAGAACTTTAAAAGAACTACCACTCGACCCAGCAATCCCATTACCAGGTATACAACCAAAAGAAAAACCATTGTACCAAAAAGACACATGCACTCACATATTGATCACAGCACTATTCACAATAGCAAACACATGGAATTAACCTAGGTGCCCATCAACAGGATTGGATAAAGAAAATGTAGTACACACACACACCATGGAATACTATGCAGACATAACAAAGAATGAAATCATGTCCTTTTGCAGCAACATGGATGGAGTTGGAGGTCATTATCCTAAGCAAATTAAGGTAGGAACAGAAAACCAAATACTGCATGCCCTAACTTATAAGTGGGAGCTAAACACTGGGTACTCACTGACATAATGATGGCAACAATAGACACTGGAGACTACTAGAGGAGGGAGGGAGGGGGTGGAAGGGATGAAAAACTGTGGGATACTAAGGTCAGTACCTGGGTGACGGGACCATTCAGACCCCAAACCTCAGCATCATGCAACATACCTAGGTAACAGACCACACACATGTACCCCAGAATCTAAAATAAAAGCTTAAAAAAAAAGTAAAAATACGTAAAAAAATTTCTGGTCTGATATTTCCAACATTCCTGCCATATTTAGCTATGGTTCTGATGTTTGGTTTGGTCTCCTCAAACTACAGTTTTTGCCTTTTAGTATGCCTGTAATTTTTTGTTAAAGGTGGACATAATAATACTAAGTATTTTTTTTTTTAAAGCCTACAGTAAACAGGTGTTTTGTAATGCAGTACTAGGGTGATGGGGGAGGAGAAGCATTCTATAGGCCTAGGATTAGGTCTCAGTCCTCTGGTGAGCCCGTGCCTCTAGACTGTGACCTTCCACCAGCATTTCTCAGGTTTTTTCCTCCCTTCAAATGGAACAGGGTGGCTGGAGAGGGCTGAAGTTATTTCCCTTCCCACAACTGGAAGTCTAGAGGGAGGTGGAGTTAGGAATTTCCTTTTCTCCATGTGGAGGGCTAGAGTTGACTGGAGCTGCATTTTTCCCATTCCCCAGTTAGGTTTGGTTCTAAGAGAAATAATTTCTCCTGAGGGCAGGCCTTGTTAAGAACAGAATACCTTGGTGTATTTCAAAATGTTTCACTTCTCCCTTCTCCAGCTGACAGCGTAAGAGGATTTTTCTCAAATATTTACTGTGAGGACCTGGTAGAGCTCCAGGAAGTAAATCTCACAAAACTACGGGGGCTTCCTTAGGACTGGCTCTCCCTGGAGCTTTTAGGTCTCAGACTTGTCCACACTGAGCCTCCAGCAACTCCTCAATTACAGCTCAGATTTTCCTACCCGGGTACTGGTTCCCTCAGGGGTTTCTGATCCTCGGTTTCTGCTTCAGTAGTTGTGATTCTCTGTATCCAGCTGTCTGTCTCTCCAGTTTTGGAGGATGTGGTTTGCCCTGTGACTTCACTTATCTGAGGAATCTAAGAAGTGTTGTCTATTCTTCATTTTGTTCAGTTATTTATTTGTTGTCAGGACCAAGTGGCAATTACTGAGCTCCTTACATGCTACACTGGAAATTGGAAGTCTTCAGAGATTACTTCTTAATAGTTTTTAAGAGTGCTTTGTATATGAAGATATATACCCAAAAATCAGACAAAAAACCCTCTGTCAGGTTTTACAAATTTTTTCCTAGTTTGTCATCTGTCTTTTAATCTTGTTTATATTGGTTTTGGAGGCACAGGAGTTTCAATTCTTGTATACTCAAATCTATGATTATGGTTTCTGATTTTACGACAGAAAGGTCCTCCTGCTATCAAGAATATAATACCTTTATCTATTTTTTTGTACTTTTATGGTACTTTCAGTTTTTCCATTTCCTACCTATCAGAATTTTTTTTCTTCAGTTTTTATTAAATGGCTGGCTGGTTGTCACATCGTTTACTGAATAATTCCATCGTGTTCCAAAAACCATAAAATGCTGTCTTTATCTTAGACTAAATATCTATTAATAATTGGGTATGTTTCTGGACTTTGAGGGAAAAAAAAAAAAAAACCTGGGAACAGAGACTGCCTGTGAAATGAACTGAGTAGCTGGAAACAGGGAAGAAAAAAAGACTAATTTTTCACTGTTCCCTTTTAAATTTATTCCACGTGCTTTGAATTATCACTCAAGACATCAACAGAAATCTGTTGAAATTCTGCTTACTAGACATGATGTCATTATCAAATATTTCAGATTTGGCAAATTATACCACAACCCCATATGCACCTGAATACCTGAAATCATAAGTCTATCTTGAGCTTAAAACCCTGATTTAATCTATTCTATTTTAAATAAATAGTAAAAGTACCTCAATTATCTTAAACTAGATGTTTCTCTGCCACTTAACATGGTCAAACACAAAACCATATTTTACCATGAAGGAAAAACAAAAGCTTCTGTCTAAATCCTTAATTGTTATAGTTAAGGCTACTACTGGAAATGTGTAAGAATCTCAGATAATGTCAATTTCTTACTGTGTGTGCTTCCCAGATCCAGCCATCACAGATGTATTTTACTTTTTGTGTTGTCAGCTAGTCACCATCTTTTTCTACCAATACCTATAGTGAATACTTAATCAGAACCTAATCTTTTTATTCTATTGCTATCTGATCATTGTATTTTCAGTATCATTTCATTATCATTCAATCTCTGAAGCCAAACTGAACCTCTGTTGTAACCATAATTCCATAAGCGACTGCCTGAGAGAAAAGAGGTATCCATCTAGCAGCAGACAGAAAAAGAACAGCTTTCTTCTGTTATGTCAGTCTTCTTAAGATCCTCTCTCTCCCCCTATTTTCTAAACAACTATGAAAGACAGACTCATTTAGTAATTTTAGCCTTTCTCCAAATAAATATATTTTTTAGCCACTGAAAATGCTCTCTTAATAGAAATGCGAAGGTGACCTAGTATTCAGTCTCATTAGCATTCTCATTAATAATTACAGCGATCAGACATTATCTTTGTACCCTCTAATTCTGCTCTCACTACCTGCTCTCCTAGGTACTTTCTTAGTCTCTGTTGCTCTGCTAATAAATGAACTCTTTTAACATGCAGAAGATGCACATTCCACATATCTCCTAGGAAAACTAATATTTAAAAGAGAAACCAATGCTTTTAACAGTCTAATTACCCTTAGATTTTAAAGCCTCTTATTTTTGATCTTCATAACAGTATCATCCCCATATTCAACAGGAAACATACAGTGTGATTTACCAAACATCCTATTACCGGTAGTAGAACTAGGTCTCCTGTGAGAATGTCCTTTGCCCTAAATACATTGCCTTCCTCAGAGAAGAAAAGTGTCTTTGCAGAACACAATGAAGGATGCGCTTTATATAGCACAATGTATGAATATTAGTGATATATGTATAAAATCAAAATTAAGTTCAGTACTTAAAGAAATCATATCTTCTATATAAGAAATGATTTCAAGCACTCCAAGAGACCACACTATAAAAGCTTCTAGGCAGAAGGTACTATATTTCCTTTTCTCCCAGTGCCCCTAGCACCTTATCTTATACAGTGAAGTACTTATCTAATGGCCACTTTTTTTTTTTTTTTTTTTTTTTTGAGACAGAGTCTCACTCTGTCACCCAAGCTGGAGTGCAGTGGTGCAATCTCAGCTCAGTGCAACCTCCGCCTCCCAGGTTCAGGTGATTCTCCTGCCTCAGCCTGCCAAGTAGCTGGGATTACAGGTGTGCACCATCATGCCCAGCTAATTTTTGTATTTTTAGTAGAGATGAGGTCTTGCCACATTGGCCAGGATGGCCTCGAACTCTTGGCCTCAAGTGATCTGCCCTTGTCGGCCTCCCAAAGTGCTGGGATTACAGGCATGAGCCACCGCACCCAGCATAATGGCCACTTATTTCTTAGCAAATCTCAACTATCTGCTAATAAATTTGGCAGATTTCTGTGTATCTGAGACACAGTCCAATACACAGAAATTATAAACACCCTCCACTAAAATCTGGGCACTTTTCATGAGAGACTCTTCTCAGATGAAGTTACTCTTACTTTAGATCAACAGTTCTCAACCACATCAGATTCAATGTGCCCCTTGCATAAAATATTTTCCAACTTCTGCTTTACCACCCTGAAACAAAATAACAATATTCCTACAATTTCAAACAAATCCATATACCCTAAATAAGAGTGGAAAAGAGACATGAAAATGATTTATAATAACATATATTTCGACGTGGGGCAAAACTACACTAGAAGACTTAAAGAAGTAACTAGTAGCTGAATATATCTATGAATGCAGAGCTGTTTGTGATACAATTTTCCAAAACTGTAAACAATTCTTGGTCAAGTTGTGAACAAAACAATCTTCCTTCAATTCACATAACCGTTGCATGTGGAAACAGACTCAGTTAAAATTCAGTCTCAGTTAAAATCATGATGCAAGATGGAGGTTCCAGGCTTTGATAATTACAAATACTACATGAAAGTCAGGCAGATATTCTTAAATCATGCAAGACATGGGGACACTTTGTTCAGGACTGTCCCACACCTCTCTAGCCTTCACTCAACAAATGCAAGTTGTTAGCTCCAATCATTACAACAATCTAAAAAATGCCTTCCAGTTTCCCCTTGGAGGGCAACACCAAGCTGGACCCACCGCCTTAAACACAGTTCCGCTATCTATCCCAGTATAATGTAAACAAGCTTGGGAAGCATGAATTAGATCTCCAGTTCTGTTACCAATGACCTATGTGATCACCCGCCAGTTGAGTTAACTTCTCTAAACCTCACTTTCCATGGTACCAAAAGGGAATAAACGCTATATGGCTTTTTAAGTTGTCAGAATGACTCAATGACACGTGTATAGCACATAGTAGGTGGTTTCCAACCCATGGCCTATTGAGATGTGAAAAAAGGCACTGTTCCAGGTAAATAGAAAGAAAGCAGCAAAAAGTAATCTAAATGTGGAAGAGGCAGAAGATATAATAAGCATACAAAATGAAACTTAACGCACAGCAGTCTAGGGACATTTCAGAGAGCAGCCAGCCATCCTACCTAGGTTGCCTTCAGCAACCCCTGAAGGCATTAATGTACTAGGATTAGCTGAAATAATTAATATTCACAATGATGACCTCCAAAGTAAAAAGGCAAGAAAGACATTTTTAAGAGACTTCCAATGTACGTGGCTGAAATTTTTTAAATCTGATGCCTAAAGAGTGACTGTATTTCACAAACATTATTCAAATTTTTATTGGACGTTTACCCTATCTGAGGCTAGATAGTTGGAAAACACAAAGAAATCTAATACACCATGTCTGTTCTCAAACATTTTACCATTCAGTACATTAGACATGGTAGAGGCAGAATGACACAGATAAGAAATAGAAATTCAAGTAATAAATTATGAGAGCACAGACAAAATTAGGAATAATTGTCCCTGAGGAAAACCAAGGATGTCTTCATGGCACAGGCCACTGAAAAATGAGAGTTCTGATAGGTACAGAATGGGGAGCAAAGTGTTAAGGGAAAAACGAAATCTGGGCAAAAGCACTGAGCATGAAAATACAGGTTGGCTGAAAGAAGAGAGGTAGGGAACGGGTACATTAGGAGTTGGGGGTGAAAGTAGTAAAAGTAAAGGCTGTAAAGCTATTTCAGGACCTTTCATGAAGGGATCTGAATGATATTCAAATTCATTTGAGTTTTATTGAACAAGAGAGTTCGCCAAAAAACTGGTGCTTATGCAGCACACCTGATCCTCAAATAATGCTGAATAATGGCCAAAAATAAAAGATTCAGAGTTAAATGCAAATTATTACTCAAATTCCTGAAATAAAAAGTCTTGACATGAATTAATAAGCGAAAAGAACCTAACCCAAGAGTAGAAAGTAGCTTCTGAGCTTGTTTCTTAAATAATGAAATATTACCCAATTTATTGACTGAGAACTGAAAATAATTTAGGATAATCTGTTGTGTCCTTTGATTGTCTTCCATGCAAGTCAGAGTATTTCCTAAACATATTATTTAGCAGTGCCTCATATCACCCTTGAAAGGCAAGAGACAGACTACAGTATTATTACCCCCTTTTTATCACAGGGAAACTGAGGAACAAGAAGACAAAATTACAGTATGGTCACAAAAGCCATCATATTTTCTAGGACTTTAATTAAAGGCTCCAAGCCTACATTTCATCTTTTATTCTTCGCACCATCTGAATACTAGAATTATCTTTTACTATCGTCTTAACTGGAAAAAATAAAAATATCTAAACTTTAACATCATTTTCTCAATTTGGTACTGTCACAAAAAAAAAAAAAAAACAGTTTTAAAAGTCTGCCCTTGAAATGATATTTGCAAGAACAGCAAGGTGTAAGCAGTAACCCAACCTCCAAAAAATACAGTTGTAAATCTTACAGCTGTAATATAGTTGTAAATCTTAAGACAGGTCAGGAATCCTAGACCCAGCCTTTACTTTGAACATCTGGCAGGCCTCAGGGAAATAATGGAGATTCGTGTCTGTAAACAGTCTTTGCAGATGCTCTGATGAAAAGGTGCCCTAAGAGGCCCAGAACAGTGGTATCACTGCACCCACTACTGCAAACATGAAATCCTCCTCTGTCCCTCCCTGCATTGCACCACGAGACTCGTGGCACACACGGAGGCCTGTGCAAGAACCTCTCGACGATTCCTTTAAAATGTGGTAATATAAGGACGCCTTTGGTGCTGGGCCTCCGTAAACACTGAGGATACCGGATGTGGCCAGGCACACCTCAAAGTCTTGGCTCTCCAAAACCAGGGCCTGGTCGAGAGTTTTATTGGACACCGAGTTCCTGCGAATATCTCACTTTTCACACAGGCACTGCCAATCCCTACCCTCCAGTACCCTTCCTCAGCCTCCTGCCCCACTCTCGCCGCGAGTGTGGGCGTCCCAAAGAGCTAAGGAGGGTAAGGTTGGTTAGAGCGCAGGGGCCAAGGCCGCGGCAGCGAGGCCGTCCAGCGCGGGCTAGGATCCCGCCAGCCCAGCCCTGGAGCCCGGCCGCCTGGCCCCAGCCCTGGCCCGGGCCAACGCGCCGCCGCCACCGCCTATCAGCGGAGCGCAGGGGCGGGGTGCTGTCCGGACTAGGCTGCCGGGCCGGCGGGCGGGGGCGGGCGGGGACGGGCGGGGGACCGACCTCTGCGCAGCCCAGGCCGCCGCGCGCACACACCGGGCCCGGCTCCTGAGGGCGCCAGCGCGGCCCCGGGGAGCGCGAGGAGCCGGCGAAGCGCGCGGCCTGCCGTTGGCGGCCTGGTCCGCAGCGCCCTGCGCCCACCCGCCCCGGACGTGGGGCCCAAGCCCCCGTGAAGATGGTGTCCTGGATGATCTCCAGAGCCGTGGTGTAAGTGCCTCTCACTGCGCCCTGCAGCCGGCGCGAGGCCCAGGGGAGCTGTGGGAAGGGGAAGGAGCCGAGAGGAAAGGGAAGGCCTGGGCCTGGGCGGGGACGGGGTAGCCCGGCCTCGGGCCTGCCGAGGGTCTGGGGGAGCCCTCGGCTTCCTCACCTTGGTCCACGTCGCTGCGGAGCTCCCTGCGACGGCCGAGGGCCTAGCTGCGGCGACTGCGGCTGCGACGGCGGCGGCGGCTGTGGCGCTGCTCGGCTGCGTGCGGTGCGGCGCGGCGCCCCTGCTCCGGCGGCGCTGGGTGGGCAGGCGCTCAGGGCAGGCGGCGCGCGCTCCCCGCTCCTGCTCCCCGCGCAGCGCGGCACCGCCCTGCGGGCCCGGGAGCGGCGCGCCTCGCAGCTGCTCCCTGCGCAGGCTCCGCAGACGCCGAGCGCGGGAGGCTCCGCGATCCTCCCGAGGATGCGACGGCAGTGCCGAGCCTTTGTATCCCGCGGCTGATGCGTTGCGGTGTCTCTCTTGGCGGCTGATTGCCATTCGGTCACGTGTGGTAGGAGGAGAGATTTGTCTAAAAACCGGAGACCGCTCCCAGCCCAGGATCCCTGGGAAGGGTCCTAGTTTTCCCAAGATTTGCAGCTTACCGAGAAAGGTGACACCGGCTGCTCGCCCAGATCCCCGAATTCGGCCCTGTCTCGGCGGAAATATTTGCTAAGTGATTGAAAGGCTGCAGGTGCCTGTTGCCTTTGTTCAAATTATGGGTTCATTTCATTGTTCTCCTACCAACAAGTGCTACAGGTCTGTAAGAAAAAGAAATTCCTTGAGTTGGTGGTGTTAATCGTGTAAATGTATTTGAATACAGTTTAAACTGATTTTCTCTCATCTCCATTTTACCCCTCTCCCCGATTAAAAAAAAAGTCACCAAGTAAACAATGACGTAGTTACAGCTAGGGCCTATGAATTCATTATTCACCTCTGTAGTAGTGTTATCTCAGAAGGTTTCATAAAGGTATATGAAAAAATGTTTATGTGAGGGGGCAGGCTTCTCTGATAAGCTTTAGAATTTAGGAAAAATAACATTACCAGACTTTTTGTTAAAAGGAGCTAGATTTTCTGAGTTTGGGGTTTATTTTGTTTGGAAGTGAATTACTAGCCCTATTTAATCAGATTTGCAGCACAGCATTCAAAATTTTTCATTTGATTAAATCGCAAAGTTTCTAGTTTTAAAGCCTCAGAGCTTCCTGTGTTCCCCTGTACGAAACTAAAAATCAAGATATAAACAAAAGGATACCACAGATGCCTTCAGATTGTTTTTCAGCCTTTTCCTGGCCTCTCTTTTGAGTCTGTCATTTATCTAATTCAGGCATACCTTTCTTGACCTAGTAGATGTCTATCAACTGTTGTGTCCACACCTAGAAAATCAAGTGCCCTATTAAGAAGCTGTACTTTACAAAAAAAAAAAAAAAAGCCTCTGGATTTCTTTGACCAGTTCTTCAGCTGACAGAAAATTGTGAAGCACTTTTAGACTTTTGTTTTTCATAATTGCCAATGAATATGAATGTCTGTTCTAGGTGCTACCTATAACACAAAGGTCAGTAACACGTAGTTGATCATGGGAATTGACAGTTTGGGTGCACAGATATCTGCAGTACAGGTCCAAATGTCAACTCTTGTAAAAGTTACACCCACTCTAATACCCAGTGTTGGACAAGGAAGGGATATCTGGTTGGAGAATCAGAAAAGGCAAGGGAGATTACGTTTCAGATGGGCCTTAAAGAATAGGCCCAGTAGAGTGGCTCACACCTGTAATCCTAGCACTTTGGGAGGCCAAGGAGGGAAGATTGTTTGATCACAAGAGTTAGAGACCAGCCTGGGCAACATAGCGAGACCTTGTCTCCACAAAAAAAGAAAAATTTAATTAGCTAGTCACAGTAGCTCACACCTGTAATCCCAGCTACTCAGGGACTGAGGTAGGAGGATCGCTCAAATTCAGGAGGTCAAGGCTGCAGTGAGCCGTGATCGTGCCACTGCACTCCAGCCTGGGCCACAGAGTGAGACTGTGCCTCAGAAAAAAAACAAAAAAGAATGGACAGAATCTAGGCAGCCAAAGATGAAAAAGGAAAGGATTCCAGATATAGGGACCGGCGTGAGCCAAAGCCCAGAGGAGGAAAAGCCCAGATTAGTTACAGTGGGCGTGAGGGACTCGGGTGGGGAAAAAGCAAGCTGGAAAGGTAGCCTGGGGCCTGTTTTCAAGAAAGAAGGGGTAAATGTTATAAGGCAGCAACAGCTTTGCTTTGGAAGATTCTCTGCCCTTCTGTGAAATGATTGGCAATGGAGACCTGGAAGACAAGGAGACTCCTTAGGAGGCTCCCTAACTGGAGAGAGGGGATTAAAGCCTCTCTCCAGTTAAAGTACTTGAGCTACAGAATGTAAGGTTTGAGGCTAACGACAGGGAGCAATAATGTGAGGAAGAAAATGTCATGAAAAGAAATGTATTTCTCAAGTGTCAGGAACTGTTATTTTGTGAGCCGTGAACACATTAGCACATTAGAAAGCACACTTGTAGAGAATATAAACATCATTCTATTTTTCCTCTTTACTCAGTTTCTCTCTCTAAACATGAAAGAGCAATCACAGGATCTACACAAACTTGGAAACCTTTTTCACACCAGGAGGTAGAATTTACTTGATTCTTTCTAACCCACTGAGACAACCACCTCCTCCTGAGCAAGATCAGACCCTTCTCTCAACATGAACCTCTGGTAGCATGGGCAGGGAACCTCCATAACCAAAGCACCCTGTATGTAGAAGCACTTTGTCCCAAGATCCTGCACTTTAACACCAGAGAAATTAGCCCTGGACACCACTCTTTTTTTTTTCTTTTTTGAGACAGAGTCTCTCTCTGTCGCCCACGCTGGAGTGCGGTGGTGTGATCTCAACTCACTGCAACCTCCACCTCCCAATTCAAGCAATTCTCATGTCTCATGACTCAACCTCCCAAGTAGCTGGGACTATAGGTGCACGCCACCACACCCGGCTAATTTTTTTGTATTTTTAGTAGAGACAGGGTTTCACCATATTGGCCAGGCTGGCCTTGAACTCCTAGCCTCAAGTGATCCGCCCACCTTCCTCGCTAAGTGCTAGAATTACAGCCATGAGCCACCGCACCTGGCCCTGGATACCACTGTTTACAGCTGCGTGGTCTTGGGCAGCATGCTAAACCCTTCTGAGCTTCAGTCTTCTTGCCTTTAAGTCATTATAATAAATACCACATGAAACCGTTGTAAAGAAAATTAGCCGGGCGTGATGGCGCACACCTGTAGTCCTGGCTACTAGGGAAGCTGAGGCACTAGAATCACTTGAACCCTGGAGGCAAAGGTTGCAGTGAGCTGAGATCGTGCCACTGCACTCCAGCCTGGGCAACAGAGCAAGACTCTGTCTCAAAAAAAAAAAAAAGACTGTTGTAAAGATTAAATTAGTTTAACTAAAACGTGGAAGTGTGGTGCTTGGCATTGAGTGTGCACTTAAAACGTAATAGATATATAGATAGCTTTTTTATGAGGGAAGTGAGTAAAATGGTGTAGGAAGAAATATCACTGGATTGTTACCAAGAAACTTGGAATTCAGAACTGGCTTTGGTTACCTTAACCAGCTGAATGACCCTGAGGCAGTCTCTTGCTGATTATAGACCTTGGTTCTATTTCTTAGAAGAGGCAAAGGGACCTGATAACCGCCAAGCTCTTTTGTCCAGCCTTAGCATTCTGTGATGATATGAAAGTATTTTTCCATTACTTACAGTCTGTTCAATCTCAGCTTACTTTAACATCACAGGCAAGATTGACAGATTAGTTACTTTTTTTTTTTTTGAGACGGAGTTTTTCTCTTGGTGTACAGGCTAGAGTGCAGTGGCACAATCTTGGCTTACTGCAATTTCCGCCTCCCGGGTTCAAGCAGTTCTCCTGCCTCAGCCTCCCAAGTGGCTGGGATTACAGACATGTGCTACCATGCCCAGCTAATTTTTGTATTTTTAGTAGAGACGGGGTTTCACCACGTTGGCCAGGCTGGACTTGAACTCCTGACCTCAGGTGATCCTCCCACCTCAGCCTCCCAAAGTGCTGGGATTACAGGCATGAATAGTTACCAATTTTTAAGGGATAGTAGTTTGAGATTACCAATGATGTTCCATTCATATATGATATCCACACCTCACCTTTTGAAACATGACTCTCATAAGTTGAGGGAAATTCCATTTTTTTCCCTAACTTTTCTTAATTTGTTTTTATGATCTAGCATTGTGATTAAGATCAAGATAAAAGCCAGATTGCCAAATTCAACTATTAACTCTGCCATTTATGCGTCATAACCTACCCCATGGGATTAAATACATTACTATATGTAATGTCCATAGTCCAGCATCTGGCACATAGTAAGCATTCAGTAAATGCTAGTAGTAGTTATCAGAAAAAGGAAAAACATGCTCTCCTAAAATCCCAGCATGCTGAATGTTTGAAGTATCTTCAATATACATTTTTTGTTTGAATCACTTTGTGTGTAGGTAACATAATTTTAATTAGAGTATAGTAAAAATGTTATACTAGTCTTTATTATATTGTAAGCATCTTCTATGTTGCTCTGAAATCTTATAAGCATCTTCTATGTTGCTCTGAAATCCTATTTAGTATCTTCTGTTTGATCAGGCCAGTATTATTTTCTTAGCCATTCATCTATTTGTATTTAATTTTACATTTAGATAATTTTTAATATTTCATTATTATAAGTAATGCTGAAATGCAATTATAATGCTATAATGGACATTATATATACTTCTTTTGAAGTACATACTTCTTTGGGATAAAAATACAAGAGGAATATTTCTGAGTCAAACACTGAATATTTTTATGATCATTGATATGAATTGCCAGATTGCTTTCCAAAAGAATATTAATATTTTACATGCTAGCAGCAATGTGTGAGTACTTTCTTTATCACAATGTAGCCAGAATCGGAAGTTTTAATTTTTTAATACTTTACCAATAAATATAACATATCTCATTGTTTTCTTTTGTATTTTATTTATCAGCACAGTTGAATGCTTGTCCAGATTTTTATTAATTATATATATTATGCATACAGTATGTATATACTTTGCCCATTTATCTCTTGGTTACTTGATAATTTACTTGTTTTGTCTGAGCTTTTTACATAATAAAGGAATTAACCTTATGTGATATTTCATGCAAATGTGTTTCTCAATCTAATTTCAGTTTTCTTTTAGATATTTTATTCTTGGTTGCATAGAGAGTTTATAGTTTTAATATAGTTCGCCTTCTTTGTTTTTTATTTTGTGATTTCTTGATCATTTCTAAATGTAAAATTAGATACTACAGATATTTGATAAGTACTACTTTCCTATGTAGAAGTGGATTAATTTGGAGACTTCCTTTTCAATTCTATATATCGATATTTCCCTTTTTTACAATGATAATACATTTTTGTTTTACCTTAGTTTAATTGTCTGGCAGTACTCTTAAAACCCGCAATTATTTTTCTCTGATTCTCTTCATTTATATTGGGTGCTATAATGGATGTCTTCAAAGGCTAAATTATACACCTTAAAAACCATACTTCAGCAGCTTTCCCCCTTCTTTTCAGCTTCATCTCTTTTTTCTTCTCTACTAGATCTTTCTCGACAGCATACCAACATGCTATTACTTCTCCCATCTTAAAAAAAAAAACTCTTTTAATCTACTATACTTTTCATCTTATCACCCCATTTCCCTCTGTCTCTTTAGAGCAAAAATTCCTCAGAAGAATAGTCCAAGCCGGGCACAGTGGCTCTTGCTTGTAATCCCAACACTTTGGGAGGCTGATGCGTATAGATTACCTCAGCTCAGGAGTTCCAGACCAATCCAGGCAACCTGGTGAAACCCCATCTCTACAAAAAATACAAAAAACAAAAAAATTAGCTGGGCGTGGTGGTACATGCCTGTAATCCCGGCTACTGTGGATGCTGAAGTGGGAGAATCACTTGAGCCTGGGATGTTGAGGCTGCAGTGAGCCATGAGCATGCCACTGCACTCCAGCCTGGGCAACAGAGTGAGACCTTGTCTCAAAAAAAAAAGAAAAATAATTTTTTTAAAAAAAGGATAGTCTATACACCATCTTCACTTTCTTTCCTTCAGGGTACTCTGGAACCCATACGTTTGTTTAGACTTTTCTCTCCTTCCACTCCACTGAAATTGCCCTTCTCAGATCAATAGTGACCGCCACTTGGCCAAACTGTTTGATCCTCATCTGACTTATCAGCAGCTTTTGATACAATTGCTCACTTTCTCCTTGAAGTATTTTCTTCACTTGGTTTCCAAGAAACCTTGCTTTTTTTTGTTTTTTTTTTTTTTGTTTTTGTAACTCAACGGCCACTCCCTTCTCAGCCTACCTGGCACATTTCTCCATGTTCCTTGACTTCTTAAAGTTGTTAAAGTTGGCATGTCATGGGGATCAGTCCTTAGACCATTTTCTCTTTTCTATTTGTAGTCCTTTAAGGATTCCCATTAATTTACATCTCCAACCCAGATCTCTCTGCTGAACTCTGTGATCATATTTTCAGCTGCGTTCTTTGCTCCACGTGGAAACATCTGAAAGTCAGACTGAACTTAAGACATCCAAAACTAGGCTCTTGAGCTTCCTTCCCCATCTGGCTCCTCTGGCAGCTTTCCCCCACTCTGTTAATGCCAGCTCCACCTACTAGCAGCTCAGGCCAAAGACCTTGGGATCATACCATCCTTGATTCCTCTCTTTCTCTAGTTCCCTACATTGAATCCGCAAATCTTGTTGACTCTGCTTTCAAAATACATCCTGTACTCACCACCTTTACATACACCATTCTAGTCCAAGCCAGCATCATCTCTGAAATGTGTTGTAGTGGCATAGTGTCCTGTGTCTGCCCTTGTCCCTCCTCAACAGCAGCCAAAATAGTCCTGTTGAAACCCAAGTCAAGTCATGTGACTCGTCTGCTCACAACCCTCAGATGACTTCCTGCCTCACTCAGGAAAGCCAGGTCCTTATGATGGTCTACAAACAGGACATGATCTGGACTTTTTTCCATCTCAAACCTTTGTCTCTACCTGCCCGCTGCCATTATAACTCCAGCCACAGTGATCTCCAACACAGTGGAGATCTGTGATCTCCAGGTAAGACCTGAGAGCCTGGGCACTTGATGGCCCCTGCCTCAGTGCACTTCCCACAGATACCCTCCTGCCTCATTCCCTCGCTTCCTTCAGGTGTTCACTTTCTCAGTGACCCCAGCACTCCTGCTTTCCTTCCCCGCTCCGTTGTCTGTAGTATTTGGTACTTCACTTCTTTAACCTATCATCTGTCCTCTCCAACTAGAAAATAGTCTCCATGAGAGAAGTCTTTTCTCTAATATGTTCATTGCACACAAAAGAAGCTCAATAAATATTTTCCGCAGTAAGAGAATGAAAAAAATGAATGTGAACTATAAATCACAGAACTATTGATAGTAAATATTATGCCTCATGAATTTGGGGACTGCCTTTTTTTCCCTCCTCCAGAGCTTATTTCACAATTAATTTTTCTCATGAAAGCTGCAGTGAATGAATTATTTGGAAAGAGAGACTGAAAGGATCTCAGCATTGAATAAAGTTTTTTTCACTAATGAGCCTCTTTCCAGACACACTTATTCCAGATAGGGAAAAGAGAAAAGGCTCTGCATTTGTACTGTTACTAAAAACAATCTCTTTAAACCTTGGTAACCTAGCTAAAATTGTTCTGGAGATAGATAGGGAAGTAGGATTGGATACCTTAACAAATATAGGAAAGAAAACAGAATAATATGACTGGAAGTGAATGTCATTCTTTTATTTATTTTATTTATTTATTTATTTTAGAGACAGGGTTTCACTCTGTCATCCAGGCTGGAGTACAGTGCAGTGACATGATCCTGGTTCACTGGAGCCTCAAACTCCTGAGCTCAAGCAATCCTCCTACCTCAGCCTCCCAGGTAGCCAGGACTAGAGGCATGCACTACCACACCCAGCTAATTTTTTTATTTTACTTTTGTAGAGATGAGGGTCTTGCCATATTGCCCAGGCTGGTCTCCAACTCCTGGCCTCAAGCATTCCTACCACCTTGGCCTCCCAAAGTGCTGGGATTACAGCTGTGAGCCACTGCCCCGGCCATGAATGTGATTCTTTTTTTTTTTTTGAGACTGAGGAGTTTTGCTCTTGTTGCCCAGGCTGGAGTGCAATGGCGCAATCTCGGCTCAATGCAACCTCCACCTCCTGGGTTCAAGCAATTCTCCTACCTCAGCCTCCCGAGTAGCTGGGATTACAGGTGGCCACCACCATGCCCTGCTAATTTCTGTATTTTTAGTAGAGACAGCGTTTCACCATGTTGGCCAGGCTGGTCTTCAACTCCTGACCTCAGGTGATCCACCTGCCTTGGCCTCCTCAAGTGCTGGGATTACTAGCATGAGCCACTGCGCCCTGATGAATGTCATTTTTATATTCATCTTTGCTATAATATAGCAAGAGAATGTACCATTTGTTAGGGTATATGTTTGTTAAGTTTATGATAGGATTAATGAAAAAATCCTCATTTTTAAATCCTTATGGAAGTTTGAAGGCAGTCACAATTATATGAGTGATATTTTTCTTCCTTTATATGTGCTTTAAATTTTTTAACTGGTTGTAAAATCTCAATGATAGCTAAAATATTTTCTTTCAATTAGGTTAAGGTAGATTTTGTCTTTATTTACCATTTTTTATGAGATCCATTGTGAATAGCTTACATGTTCATGAGTTGTATCTAAGAATAAGATACATTGCTATTAGACAATGAGAAATCAGGTAAATAGGAACAATGATGTTTTCAAGAAAATTAAAAGGTTGACATTTTAAAAATATATGTAGGAAATGCCCTGTAAGAGGTCATCTTTTCTGTCTTCTTTCATTAAGAAAGAAAACACATTCTAAACTATTGGGTCTTGTTTTCACTGCATGGGCTAGAACTTCCAACAAGATTCCTTTATTAGCCTGCATTTCAAAAACAATTTGCTTTTGTCCATTTTTTGTTACTGTTGCTCTGTTAGCTATTTCTTTTTCCACTATATTTTAAACCCTTTTAGGATGGAGATTTTTATATTATGTACTTTAAGTATAGATGAAACTGTTCAAATAAATGGTACATTACAACAATAGTGGCATAAATGGGTATTTTAAATATCTTAAAAGATGTTATTGTTTTGATCATTTCATGGAAAAAGGTTACTGTTGATTCATAACAACATGAACTTATTTTTATGTCATTGATTACACATTTGCACTAAACTAATCCTTTCATACAACTTTTGAGGTAAATGAGAGGTTAAAGATAAAAATTTTTGTTATAAAATTGTTCATGTTTACAAAACTAACTGTTAAGGGTTTATGCATACTTACCCCTATTACTGAAGTAAATTTACCAGTTTCGTTCATGTTGTTATATTTACAGAGGCCACTATGACTGAAAATCAGGCGAGATGGCATACTCACTAAAACACTGTGAACAGGGAAAACAGTAGCAATCAGGATGGAATTATCCAACAGTGGTTAGAGATTATTTTATGTAATGAGCAGACCAGCTAACGTTAGAATGTTATATAGCCATTCATAATTATTTTCAAAGTACTTTTCATTTCATTTGAAGATGTTTTAATATATCACAGTTTCTTAACCTCAGCATTATTCATATTTTTAAGTGGATAATTCTCTGTTGTGGGAGACTCTCCTGTGCATTGTGGGATGTTTAGCAGCATCCACCAGTTGTGACAGCCAAAAATGGCTCCAGATATGGAATTGACATATGTCACCTAGTGGGCAAAACTGCCACTGGTTGGGAACCACTGTGTTAAGTAAAAAGGGAAGAAAAATATATATGGAGAGGGCATGAGGCTAAAAACTGTGCTATCTCATATGGTTATGTGTGGCTATTTAAATGTAAATTAATTAAAAATTAAATTTCTCAATACACTAGCCACATTTCAAGTGCTCAGTAGCTATGTGAATGCTTATCTTATTCTGTGCTACCTTACTGGGCAGCATAAAAATAGAACATTTTTATCATCGCAGAGTTCTGTTGAAGTGATCCTTTACGAGATATAGTCCGCTCAGCATCTCCACCTGAAAATGGCTGTGCTATTTTCTATTTGCTGCTTCTATGTATTTTATGAGAGAAATTCTATAATGATATTTGGAAATTCACAAGTATCTTAGGATAGCTCTGGCTTAAGAATATTCTATATAAAAATACTGTTGCTACTTGTAGAAAAGAAATTACTGTTGCTGATCAATCTGTCACAATCTTTATTATTTCAAAATTCCTATGTTTACAGAGAATTTCTAAAAATTGATGAAAAATACTGATATAGTACACTTTGCAAATATTTTTATACTCACGTATTCTGCACATCAGGTGTTATAATCCATATTTTTTAGCCTGTAAATGAAGTATGACTTACAAGTTATAGTTTTTCCTGGTCTTAGAATTGATTAAGACATTAGGATTAGAATACAGAGCTGAAGGTTATCACTATGTTGCTTTTCCTAACTATTAACAGTGTCATTGACTCTGCAGAATCAAAACTATCAAGGAAATCATAAAAGTAAAAGTCATAGGACAAATCTAAACAAAATAGGTTTATGCTAACCAATAATTCAAAACATAATCTTAGGAAATATTCAGATATATTAATACCGAGAGCATTAACACTTTCAAGTAATGATGTGTTCATTTTAGGAAAGAATTATTCTCACCTATAAATAAAGAAATAAAGTGCTGTAATCCCAGCACTTTGGGAGGCCGAGGTGGGTGGATCATGAGGCCAGGAGATCAAGACCACCCTGGCTAACACGGTGAAACCCTGTCTCTACTAAAAATACAAAAAATTATCCGGGCGTGTTGGCGGGCGCCTGTAATCCCAGCTACTCGAAGGGAGGCAGAATGGCGTGAACCCAGGAGGCGGAGCTCGCAGTGAGCCAAGATCGCGCCACTGCACTCCAGCCTGGGCGATAGAGCGAGACTCCGTCAAAAAAAAAAAAAGAAAAGGAGAAAAAAAAATTCAGGAGTTCCACACCAGCCTGGGCAACATGGTGAAACCCTGTCTCTACAAAAAGTACAAAAATTAGCCGGGCATGATGGCATGCGCCTGCAGTCCCAGCTACTCAGTACTCAGAAGGCTGAGGTGGAAGGATCCCTTGAGCCCAGGAGGTAAAGGCTGCAGTGAGCTAGGATCGTGCCACTGTACTCCAGCCTGGGCGACAGAGCGAGACCCTGTCTCATAAAAAAGAAGAGGAGAAAAAATGTCGAACAAACTAACTGTCTTAGAGTCATCACATGGGGAAGGGGGACAGATTTTTCTGTTATTGTGAATCCAAGGTTAAAGGTAGGTCTTATAAGGAAGCCAGTTTTATTCCATATATTGAGGAAAACTTTATAACGTCTAAAATTGTTCAACTTTGAAACTGCCAACATCATGAGTGCAGTGTGTATACCATCACTAGAGGCATAAAGGCAGGGTAGAACCCTAGTTGAAGATCTTAAACTATACTGCTTGTATGCTTCCTGTGGAGGATCAGATAGAAAATGTGGAATGCACTTTCACCAAAACTGTGAAGTGGGCAAACTGACTCTTGGAGAGGCCCACAGGAACAACAAGCCTAGTCGTTCTTGAGTGTTGACATGAAGAAAGTGCAGATATGGAAATAAAATAGAATATTTGGTGATATTTGCCTAATGGATACCGTTATTGTCATGATCAGTTCTTCACTGGTTTGTGGCTGTGGTCTTTATTTTCTGCTTAGGAAGCTGATCAATCTCACTATTGCTGAACACACTTCCAAGTTGTTCATTCAGTCCTTTTTATTTGCATTATATTTTTGGTTATTAATTTTCATCAACCGTAGTTTTTTTCTGGTTTTCTGAAATATAGGGACTTTCTGTTTTAACTTTGTATACCTAAGTTAATTTTGTAAATAGAAATGATAATGGTTTTAGGATGTTTAATGGATCGTGAGTGAATGAAAGTACTCTTTAAAGATATACCTATATAAGTCCACATGAAAGAGCCTTGGAAGTATGTAAATCTTTTTTTTTTTTTTTGAGACGGAGTCTCGCTCTGTCTCCCAGGCTGGAGTGCAGTGGCGCGATCTCAGCTCACTGCAAGCTCCGCCTCCCGGGTTCAAGCAATTCTCCTACCTCAGCCTCCCAGGTAGATGGGGTTACAGGCGCCCACCACCATGCCAGCTAATTTTTGGTATTATTGGTAGAGACAAGGTTTCACCATGTTGGCCGGGCTGGTCTCAAAGTCCTGACCTCAGGTGATCTGCCCACCTCGGCCTCTCAAAGTGCTGGGATTGCAGACATGACCCACCGCGCTTGCCCTGGAAGTATGTAAATCTTAAAGAACCTGAAAATATTAAGGTGTGAAATAAAGTTATATGAGAAAAATAGTCAGAAAGTTCTGTGTAGAGATATTCTAAAAAAAACCTGATCTTTCCTTGCTAAGTAAAAATGAGAAATTTAAATTGGAAATAAACTTTTTTGTCCACAAAGATTATGCTTATTATGATGAAATAATTCTTAAGAATTTCTAGATGTTATATCTTGAAGTATTATTATTTTTTATTTTTTTTTTGTTTTTTAGAGACAGGGTCTCCCTCTGTTGCTCAGGCTAGAGTGCAGTGGCACAGTCATAGTTCACTGTAACCTCAAATCCCTGGGCTCCAGCGATCTTCCTGCTTCCACCTCCTAAGTAGCTAGAACTATAAGCACACACCACCACATCCAGCTAATTTTTTATATTTTGTAGAGATAGGGCCTTGTTATGTTGCCCAGACTGTTCTTAAACTTCTGGCCTCAAGTGATCCTCCTTCCTTGGTCTCCCAAAGTGATGGAATTACAGGCGTGAGCCACTACAACCAGTTTTGAATATTTTATGTGGTAAATAGGATGCAAATACTGCCTTGTTTCAATTGGTTTCCTATAAGTTTAAGATACAGATGTATTGTCTCTGTGTAAATCTGTACCCAATTGCCTCAGATTTTTGCTGGTGACAAAGTCTTACAGTGCTTTAACTAAAATAGCTCACCTAAAACTAGGATCAGAAAAATATAGGATAGTAAGCCATTTTAAAAGTAATGGTTACAATAGAGACCTTGAGTTCCTGAATGACTGATAAATATAAAGGAAATACTGAAAATGAAATGACCTATAACCCTACAAGTGACACTGCCTAGACACACTTTTTAAGTGTATGATGAGGGCAGGAACTGTATGAGAAAGGAAAGCAGTCAGTTTTTCCTTTGAGGTCTAAAATTATGCTCTCCCACTGCAAAGTATGCCATCACTGTCACTTGGCTTCTCTTTTATTCTTTCCTCACCTTTATCTCTGGGTTTTTCTTTTTCCTTCATTCTCAATAAAAGTAGGAAGAGAATGGTATGGTCTCTGTCATGTGAAGAGAAATAATAATTTTTAAAGATTAGAAATATAATCTATTGTTTCAAAACTAACAGAAGAGAGGAAAGGAGGCTAAAGAGATACAGAAGGCCAAAATAAAGGGGTCAAGTAGGTGAGAGAGACATAAGGGGAAAAAAAGATGGTAGAAATGGGTTCAAATATATCAATAATAACAATAAATATCAACAAATTTTATCTTCCTGTTAAAAGACAGACTAAAATACTGGAAGGAAAAGAACTATAAAGTATAAAACATGATTGAAAGATAAAAGGATATCTGAATAAATGTATAGTTTATGTTAATGGGTCAATATTAATTAATGATTATCAGTTCATCTCCTAAAAAGTCTATAAATTTAATGGAATTCCAACAGGATTTTTATTGTTGTTTTCATGGAACCTGATAGGCTAATTACCTATAAAGTTCATATGAAAGAGCAAAAGCCCCAGAATCAAGAAGACAACTGTGAAGAAAAAGGAATAAAAACTTTCACTATTACATGTCATGATTTATTATAATGTAGGAATTACAACCTTGTAGTATTGTTGCTGTGATTGACAGTAGACTTAATAGAACATGTAACAAATCCAGAAATTAACCCAAGCTTGCAAAGAATCTGATATGACAGTGGTAGAATTCAAAATCAATGGGAAAGTATACCTAACTTAATAAATAGTGTTGTGATAATTGGTTATCTCTCAGAAAAAAAAATTAAAAAATAAAGATCTTTACTACACAGCAGACTCAAAAATAAATCGTAAATGTATTATCTGCCCAAGTGTAAAAAGTACAGCACTTAAACTTTTGGAAGAAAAGGTAGGAGAATATCACAATTTGGTAGAGAAGAATTTTTCAGACCCTACAACAAACCATAGAGGAAGCAACAGATAACATTTGTCTACATGTTTTATAGCCTACCATGTATCTGATGCTCATTCTGCATCAGGCATTATTCTAAGCAGTTTCAAACTAATTTGTTTCTGTTTCACAACCATCTTCATGACACAGGTACTGCTGTTATGTTCATTTCACCAATGAGAAACCTCAGGCTTAGAAATGTGAAATAACTTCCCAAAGTGGTCACACAGCTGCCAAGTAGCAAAGCTATATGGCAGTTGAGCTCCGGACATAGACCTTAATGTGCTATAATTTACACCTGTTATTTTAAATCCTCCTTGTTGAGATAGAATTTATATATAATAATTTCTATGTGTTTCATCAGATGTGTACACTCACATATCATCACCCTATCAAGATTCAGTTATTATCCACAGTGGTGGTTGAATGTCCATTTCTATTACATTCACCATTCCTGATAATAATTTTATCTCTCTCTATGTGAAAAGTATCTAAATTATTTAAAATATCCTCAGGATATAGAATTTTAAAAGCTAATTAGAAACTCATATTGCTGTTTTCTCAATTCCTTTCTAACTTGGGGCAAGGAAGGAGGGTGCAATGGGAGAAGCCAGCACTAGGATTGTTGCCCAGTGAGAGTAAAAAACGTCAACAGTTACATTGCTTAGATAACTAATAAAGTATAATAATCAGAAGATAAAAAGAATTCTTTAAAATCAGTAAGAAAAAAAATTAACCTAAAAAGAAAAGTGGACAAATGAACTGGTATCTCATAGAAGAGGAAACCAATGGCAACTAGACATATAAAAAGATAGACAAAACTCATTAGTTTTCAAGAAAATGTAAATTACAACCACATTGAAATTCCATTTCACACTTACTAGATTGCAAAAATTAAGAAGTCTGAAAATACCAAGTGTTGGCAAAGATGTGTACAGCAACAGGATCCTTTTCATGATGCCAGTAGGAGAGTAAGATGCTGGAACTGCTTTGGAAAACAATTTGGCCCTAACTTATAGTGTTAATCACTCACATACCCTATAACCCAGCAATCCCACAACTAGCTATGTACCATCAAAGAAATTTGGCATATGCATCAAAAGACATTTGCAAGGATATTTATAGGAAAATCCTTAAAGCAAAAGTCTATGAAAAATAATAGTTTACGTGGACAGAAGAATTGGTAAGTAAACATTGGTTTATGTACAAAATGGAATATTATACAACAGGAACTACTACTTAGAAGCCTCAACTTGGATGACCGTTAGGAAAGTTATAGTGTTTGTGTTTTGTTTTTTTTAAAGCAAGCCAGATATGATTACCTATGGTATGATAGCATTTTAAAGGCCCTACCATAGGCAAAACTGAACAATGTATAGTTTAGTAATGTATACATACACACATATATATATTTAGCAAGTCTATTTTTCAGAAAAGACAATAATGATAAATTATAGGATAGGGGTTAGCTCTGAGAGTCTGGGAGAGGAGAGGGATCTGGAACAATGATATTTGATATTCTGCTTCTTAAGTTGGATGCCGGATTCACTGGGCTCATTTTACTGTGTGTGCTTCATAACTTAGAAGTGTGTGTCATATATTCTTTTCCTTTAATCAATGATTACATTAAAAACATGTTTAACACTTGCAGTGAGTCAGGACCAAGATATCTACAGTAACTAAAGGGGCGAGCTTAGAGAAGCAGGGAGCAGGTAGCAACGGAAAGGAGAGGCTGATCCTGTCCCAGCCCATATGCTTCTTCCTGGTGTAGAGGCCAGTTTCAGTGCTGAGCCAGGCCACAGATGGAGGCAGGGAAGGGGCTGCACCTGTCATGATGAGTATGTGAACAGAAGGCCAGAACCTCTATGAAATCGCCAGGCAGGCTGTCTCTTGTCCTTTCTTTTTCTCAAAGCTGGTATGAATCCAAAGAAGAATGTCCAATTTCTTATTTACCCAAGGGATTTTTGAGGTTCTGGAGGTACATACATAGATAGCCACTTAAAAGCTTTCTTCCCCCCCCGACCCCCATTGATTTCTTGTCTATTCAGATAACAGTTGTTTTCTTGTCTATTCATTTGATACATGGGATATTGCTATAAAAAGAAAATGTCTAAAAAATGTGTAAATTAATGTGCCTGCACTATAGCTCCTTCCAGTTTAAGACAGGCCTAAGAGATAGTGTTGATATTGAAATGTAGAATAATATTCTTCACTCCACAGCTTCTGCTTCTTATTTTTCATGATATTTCTTGCCTATTTTGTTAGTTTAGCCTATCAAAAATGTCACATTGCTTGAAACTCCCTAATACCTACATAAGAGTAATTTAAATTTTTGAGTGATATTTCACAGCAATTCCCCATAATTAGTAAGAAAATAACATTAGCCCAGAATCTGGATGGTTCTAAACCTATCAGTGGGAGATAACATCTAATATTAACATTTTATACTTGATGTGCAGCTCTGATTCTTGATGCACACAGAGTGTCATTTATATAAGACGAGGAAAACGGGCCGGGTGCGGTGGCTCACATGTATAATCCTGGCACTTTGGGAGGCCAAGGCGGGCGGATCACCTGATGTCAGGAGTTCAAGATCAGCCTGGCCAACATGGCAAAACCCTGTCTCTACTAAAAATACAAAAATTAGCTGGATGTGGTGGCACGTGCCTGTAATCCCAGATACTCGGGAGGCTGAGGCAGGAGAATCGCTTGAACCCAGGAAGCAGAGGTTGCCGTGAGCCAAGATCAAGCCACTACACTCCAGCCTGGGCGACAGAGCGAGACTCCATCTCAAAAAAATAAATAAATAAATAAAGATGAGGAAAATGAACATTATTAAATGGTGAATTTTCCATGTGTGTTTTCCATGTGGTCAACATTGCTGTGGGGGTGATCTGGCTAAGACATCTGTCACCTACTGATAGCCAGGATTTATTTGGCCTGTGAGACTATCCCCTTGCTTCCTTGTCATTCCATGTGCTGTGCTCACTTGATCAGTAGAGGACATTCACAGCCTCACTGCCCCTCAAGAACATAACCGTGAGACATTAGCTAGTAGATTTGCAGATCTGTTCACAAAGATTTCTAGTTAAAGAATGCAAAGTAACTAAATTTACTAGATTTCACTTCAAAAGTTATCTATACCTATACTGCACTCCTACAGTTGCCCGAAATACCAACAGATTGCCAACTTTAGGTTAAATAACACTTTTTTTTTTTGTATGAAGAATGCTAGTCTACAGATGGGCCCTGAAATCAGTGGCCATTTACTTCTTTTACTCCTAACCAGATTCTTGTTTAACTATAGGTTTATTAGGGTCTTATGTTTTGGTAACATTTAATCTGTCAAACCAATCCTAAAACTTTCTGATAAACAGGCAAAATTTTCTAACCATACTGACCCTTTGAATTTTGTAAGATGGGGTAATTTAAAATTATAGCTTTGAGCCAGAAGAGCAGTTTTATAGCTTTACCAATGTTGGAAATTGATGCTGTCATTTAATTTGAGAAACATGGTTGATAGACCATATATTTTTCATGTAACTTTAAGCTCTTAGAAAATCTTAAGAATCCAGGTACAGTGGTGTGTACCTATGGTCACAGCTACTCAGGAGGCTGAGGTGGGAGTATTTCTTGAGCCTAGCAGTTCGAGATCAGCCTGGGCAACATAGCAAGACCCCATCTCTTTAAAAAAATGTTAAAATTATGTTCACTGTTACTGAACACATGATAAATTAAGATTATCCATTGTCATAGAGACGCTTTGGGTTCTTCATTTAGAATTAGAGCTTACAAAGTATTATACCATATTTAAAAGCTTTAAAAACCCTTTCTCAGACTTCATTGCCAAAGATTCTGATTTAACTGATTTGGGATGGCACCTGGACATACTTTTTTTCTTAAAAAAACTCTCCAGGTGATTGGGTTTGAAAAACATTACACTAGAGGATATGAGAGAAAACCTGGTGATGATTTTTTGAGAAATAGTAGTGTAGTGTCAGGAAACGGTCACAGAGCTGAGCTGCCAAATACTGTTACCATTTTAAAACGCAACAAAAATTGTAAAATATTCTCAGTTCGATTTTCAGTGACTTTATGATATTAAAACAAGAAAATTTGAGTATCTAAAAATTATCTGAAGCTTAACAGTAAGCAACATTAGTGGCCTATAAGGAAGTGATTTTTCTAGACAAACTTGATTGGTCTTTTAAGATTGAATTACAGAAGTATTAGGAGAAAAGAATGTAATAGAGGGACTGTCTGGATTTTATTACAACATTCTCTACAGTACCTCATGAAATTCAACTTGGAAATGCAATTTATATTTCCAGTTAGTATGAGAACAAAGTCTAGCAAACAGCAAAATAACATATTTGTGAGATGGCTGTACAGCACATTTGTAGCAATACACATTTAAGCTGCCTTGAAAAGATCATTTGTAAAATTTGTCAGTGTGGAGCTTTATGTTTGTTTTTAATTAAAATCATTTCATGCCTTTTAATGTATCCACAGTATTAAGACTGTAAACTAGAATGTGTTCTACATCTTGGTTAAAAAATAATATGTAATAAAAATCTGAAAAGGATGGGGAAGGGAGAAGGGAGGAAGGAAGCTTGAGGGCAAATTTTATCTACCATAGCAGAAAGACAGATGCTTTTTAGAATTGGAACACCAGCCTTTCATAATCCTTTTCTTAAAAGATTATGTTGGACCCTGACATTTCTACCGGTTAAGTACAATTTATTTATTCCTTCAGTTTTACTTATCACCTGTTAAATTTAAGCAAAATGTAATTTAAAGGTTTTTTGTTTTGTTTTGTTTTTTTAAATAGACAAGGTCTCACTCTGTCTCCTAGGCTGATGGCAAACTCCTGGTTTCTAGCCATCCTCCCACCTCAGCCTCCCAAAGTGCTGAGACAACAGGCATACACCACCATGCCCAGCTTAAGGATTTTTATTTTAAGTGACATATATTTTTAAGATCCCATTTCTATGTAGTCTATCAATCTTCTTTCTCTACTAATAATATGAAATTAGATAATCAAATGTTATCATTGATTATTTCTGGGCAGTGGATCTAGGGGAGAGTTTTAGATTTCTTTATTCTTTCTGGCAGTGTTTCTATAATAAATATGAATCATCTCTACTAAAAGCATTTATTTTAAGCCATAAAACATGTTACTTTTTAAACAAATAAAATAATTTAAATTGAAGACTAGTTCTAATTCATCTTCCCTCAGAATTATCAATACCTTTATTTTATAGTCTCAATTTTTCATATCAACCATGATTAAAATCTTTAAGTGCTGGCCGTAGAATGGCGTATGTCTACAAAACAAGCTGAAATATTAGCATGTGTCTAACCGTATGACCTTAACCTTTAAAAGTTATTTCTAGGAGGATAGGGGTGTGATTGACTCTTTTCAGATGGTTCATATAGTTCTAGATTTTCCATAGAACCCTAGAATTTGCTTACTAGGTACAATTCATTTTTCTTAAATAATCAGATGAAAATGAGACAGTACAAAAGGATAAAGTTTCCATCTATTCTATATTAGGACAAAAACAAAGTGGTAGCATTTAAACCCAAATAAGCAGTGTATATTAGCTACAGAAGTATAACCATCTACCAGTATACAATTTGCTGAACAGAAATTGATGACCTTTGTTCTAACATACTTATTCTATCCAGAGAAGTTTTTTTTTTGAAGGTTAATAAACTCTCCAGTTATATTAACGAAAGAACTGAGTACTTAGTTTGTTATTTAAAGGTCAACCAGTAGCATTTTACGTGCAGTTTAAATTCTTCAAAATCTGATAATAAAGATATCTCAACAAAGGATAGGCAATATTTCTTTTTTCCATTTAAAGTGGCCCTGCCCGTAGCAATGGGATAAAAGCAATATTAAATTCCTTCTTCCAGCCAACTTTGAAATTGTTTTTATGAAATTATAACAACTTTTAGAATTCACATTTTTCCATTTTTATGCATAAGGTAAAACTTACTAATATTTCTATGTCATATTACTTCTAGTTTACAGAATTGAGAGCTTCATAAAATGCAAAACACATCATTATCCTAATTCATTATCCTAATTAGAGTTGGTATAAGTGACATCACTACTTCTTTTTGTTTTTGTTTTTGTTTTTTTTTTTTGAGACAGAGTCTCACTCTGTTGCCCAGGCTGGGGTGCAGTGGCATGATTTCAGCTCACTGCAACCTCCACCTCCCAGGTTCAAGCGATCCTCCTGCTTCAGCCCCACTAGTAGCTGGGATTACAGGCATGCACACCATGCCTGGCTAATTTTTGTATTTTTAATAGAGACAGGGTTCCCATGCTGGCCAGTTGGTCTCGAACTCCTGACCTCAGGTGATCCACCCGCCTCTGTCTCCCAAAGTGCTGGGATTACAGGCGTGAGCCACCACACCCACCCAACATCACTAATTCTAAGTAGTTGTATGACTTTACTGCATCTCTAAAATGAGGACACATCTGTTCTTCATTAACTCACAGACATTGCTGAAAGGCACAAATGTGATATTCTGTATAAATATCCTTTATATCCTTATGATACAAAGAACTATATTATCTACAAAGAAGTATATTATCTATATAAATTTTGTATCAACTATACAAATACAGCACTATATTACCACTCCTTGTTCCTTTAAAACAATCCATTTGCATTACAGCAAGGCACTAATCAGTATTTCAGACTCGCAACCCTTTTGTAAGAACATTATTAGAATTATAAAGAAATGAAAGATGATGAAAAATAAGCTTCTGGAATTTTTATATTTTGGAGTTTTTTCACATCTTAATATCATGTAGATGCCAATTTGTGGACCTTAAGTAAGGTGACTTTAACAGTTTGACCGTAAGTCTAATAGATTAATAATTCTAACATGTCTAACTTAGGTACGACCTCAGCTCTTTACTATGTCTCTCTGGGCACGTTCAAGGTACAGGATGCCACAGGTATCATCAGAGTAGCATCGTGCAGCCCTGCAGTTCTCTCCTCTAGCTATTCCTCATGCCATATTGCTGCCACGTTTCTCTATGTTTTATTATACCCCAGTGCTCCTCCCCAGCCATTCATCCAGCAGTAATGATTCACCCCTGGCTTTCTGTGACCTCAGGAGTCTGTGTTCACTGCCACCAAGGCCACCTGGAGTTTCTTGCTGCTTTCAGTTATCTAATACTGTGTAACAAACCACCCAATAACTTAGTGACTTAAAATAATAATCATTTTATTATTTCCCACAAATCTGTTCACATGAAAATTCTGTTCTACATTGGTTTTCTTTAATCTTTCTCATGTTTTAATAACATGGAAAACTTGTATTGTTTGGAATTATTTATTTATTTTCTGACACAGGGTCTCGCTGTGTTGCCCAGGCTAAAGTACAGTGGCACAGTCATGACTCACTACAGCCACCATCTCCTGGGCTCAAGCCATCCTTCTGACTCAAACTGCCAAGTAGCTGGGATTACAGACTTGCACCACCATGCCCCATTAAGTTTTTTTTTTTTTTTTTTAGAGACAAGGTCTAACTATTGTGTTTTAAAACCATAAAAGCAAGTCAAAGAACTGTCAGAATATTTAGCAGTTTGTCCATTTCTTTTGTCACATTTTCATTTTCTAGTCTCAACTTACGTAAATTGTGTGTACAGAAGATTCAGTTCTGCCTTCCTATCCACAGTAAAGAAAGGGATTTTTTTCTTTTATTCTTTCTGCAAGTATTTATTGAATACCTACTACGTATCAGGCCTGGGGATGCAGAGCTAAGCATGACACAGTTTCCGTTTTAAAGCAATACCCAACACAGAGACCACAAACGGGAAAGTCAGTGAACATAATATCGTCTGATGACAGTAATACTAGTAATACTTACAAAATGTGTACCGTGTGCCTGGCATTATTATATGGTTTAACTCATTTAATGTTCACAGCAAGATGTGTACTATTATTGTTACGTTTTTAGAGAAAAGCAAACAGACACAGAAAGGTTAACAACTTGCCCAAAGTCACACTGCTACTTCAAGTATGTACAAAATGTTATGAGAACATGGAGAAAGGGTTCCTCACCTAGAGGAGGCAAAGATATTTTCCCAGAGAAAATGAACTTTCAATTTCATCTTTGAAATTATCTTCCTTGTAAAAAGGCCCCAGTCAGAGAGAACAAAATATGCCAAGGCAGAAAAAAATAATATGACTCTCTTCAGAAATCAAGCAGTTCAATATCAGTGGGGCACAGAGATGCAAAAGATAAAACTGGAGAAGTCAAAGGAGTTAGATCAATTTGGTCTAACCTGCATAGCCTATGAGGGGATTTTTCTTTAATGAGAAAGCAAGGAAAGGTTGTTGAAATATTTTAAGTGATGATTGATATTAACAGGGGGTGTAAGGAAAGTGAATGAGGGCAGACAGTTCCCATGAAAAATAAGAAAGGTCAGAATTAAGGCTGAAGTGAGTATTTGGGACATGGGAACAGATATGAAAGAGATTTAGGGGAGGTGGGAGAATTTGACAAAACTTGACGATTGGGTGTGAGGAGGAGGAAGGAATTTCAGATTTCTGGCTTGGATCCTTGAGTGGGAGGTGTCAAACATGAGAGGAAGAAAAGGTTTAGAGAAGGAATGATGAGCTTAAACAACAGCAAGTGTGTTGTTGGGGAAAGGGTGAACAGAGCACTTTAGATAAGGAAGGTACACAGAAGCAGATGGGATGTTAGGGCAATGCTTTCATTTTAATTTGGATACTGGGTTTGCATGTGTTCATTTTGTTGTTAGACTTCATAACTTGCACATATTACATATATTTTCTAGTATGGATAATATGTAGTAAGTTTTTAAAGTAACATTTGGTAAAACTGCTATTGGAAAAAAATACCCTATGTTAAGATTTTGAGAAGACGACCCAATTCTCCCCGTATGTATATGCATTAGGGATTAGTTAAATGTCACCAAAGCAAAGACTATTTGATTTATATAGCTCTTCTTCATATGTTAAAAATGCAAAATACAAAGGAACAGTGATTTCTATGACCAGCAGAAAAAGTTATCATCTGCAACTCTGGGGTATTTATTGTGATTAGATTAATTTCTGTGGCTATCTTATTTTTTAATAAATACAAAGAAGACAGAATTAGCTATTTGAAGCAAATGAAAAACTTTGCTTTTTAAATTGTTTGTGGTGATTATGGGTACTTGTTTCTTTGTTTTAAATTTAATTTTTAAAATTTACATAATATATTTAGACATACATATAACATACAGTGAACAGATTAATGTAATTAGCATACCCATCATCTCAAATGTTTACCATTTATTTGTGCTGGGAATATTCAATATTCTGGTTCTACCTATTTGAAACTGTGTATTACTGTTAACTATAGCCATCCTACAGCGTTATAGAACATTTGAACTTCTTTTTATTTATTTATTTTTTTTGATGGAGTCTCGCTCTGTTGCCAGGCTGGAGTGCAGTGGTGCGGTCTCGGCTCACTGCAACCTCCGCCTCCCAAGTTCAAGTGATTCTTCTGCCTCCGCCTCCCAAATAGCTGGGACTACAGGCACCCGCCACCATGCCCAGCTAATTTTTGCATTTTTAGTAGAGACAGGGTTTCACCACGTTGGCCAGGATGGTCTCGATCTCTTGACCTCGTGATCCACCCACCTCGGCCTCCCAAAGTGCTAGGATTATAGGCATGAGCCACTGCGCCTGGCCAACTTCTGTTTTTTTTTTTTTTTTTTTTTTTTTGAGATGGAGTCTTGCTCTGTTGCCCACGCTGGAGTGCAGTGGCACGATCTCAGCTCACTGCAACCTCTGCCTCCGGGGTTCGAGTGATTCTTACAGGCGTAAGCCACTGCGCCCAGCCTCATCTTCTTTATGGTGTTACATTTCTGTTGAAGGTAAAACATTTTGTTTGGAATCAAATTTTCATTTAGTCTCGGGGTAACTTGCAATTTTAAATAAGGTAGTTGGGGAAAGCCTCTGAGAAGTGGATATTTGAACAGAGTTAAAGGTGAAGGCATTAGCCACACAGATTCTGGGGAAGAGTGTCCCAGGAAGGAAGCCAACCGGGTGTAAACCCTAAGTCAGGTCTGTACTCATCACATGGAGGTCAATGTGGCTGGAGCAGAGTAGTGTGACCAGAGGTGTAGGCCATTGTTAAAGACACTGGAACTGGCTCTGAGTGAGGTGGGAAGCTGTTGGAGGGTTCTGAGCAGAGAAGTGATATTATCAGATTTTGTGTTTTAAAAGCTCTACTACAGAGAACAGCCTGTATCGAAGCAAAGATGGAAGCTTGGAAACGAGTTAAGAGGCTGTATTAATAAACCAGCGAGTAGTGGTGAGTAGTGGGTGGTGACTTGGACCAGGCTGGTAGCAGTGGTCAGATGCTAGATTCATTTTAAAGATAGAACCCATAGGATTGTTTGACAGATTGGCTGTGAATATTCAAAGTGAAGAAACCTCATGAGTTCATGAAGTAGGGAGTAAGTATACCTAGAGAAGAGAAGAAAATGGACAAGTTATTTATAAAATGTATATGGAAATGCAGAGGGCCAAGAATAGTCAAGACAATCTTGAAGTAGAAGAGCAAAGAACAAAATACTGGGATGCCGTATAGATATTAGTAGTGGAATAAGTTACTTATATCAAGATTGATTATAAAGCTACAGTAATTACAACAACATGGTATTGGGTCAAAGATGGACACATAGATCAATAAAAAACACAGAGTCTAGAAAGTGACCCATACATATATAGGCATTTGTCTTATCACAAAGGTAGCACTACACAGCATTGGGGAAAGATGGCTATTCGCAATTATGATTGTATGCCAATTGGATATCCATCACTTGCAGAATCATAGTCACCTATCTCAGACCAAACACAAAAAATAAATTCCAGTTGGATCACAGATAAAAATAAAACAGTAAAGCTTCTCAAAGATAATATAGAAAACTTCTTCGTGACTTTTTTTTTTTTTGAGACAGAGTTTCACTCTTTCACCCAGGCTGGAGTGCAGTGGTGCAATCTCAGCTCACTACAACCTCCGCCTCTCAGTTTCAAGCAATTCTCCTGCCTCAGCCTCCCAAGTAGCTGGGATTACAGGCGCCCGCCACCATGCCCAGCTAATTTTTGTATTTTTAGTAGAGGCGGGGTTTCACCATGTTGGCCAGGCTGATCTCAAACTCCTGACCTCGTGATCTGCCTGCCTCAGCCTCCCAAAGTGCTGGGATTACAGGCGTGAGCCACCATGCCTGGCCAATTCTTCACGACTTTAAGATAACCAAAAACAACCTTAAACATGATACAGAAAAGCATTAATCATGAAAGAAAAGGCTGATAATGACAAATGGGAAAACACTAAAATTAAGCACTTCTCTTCATCAAAGACACCATTGAGAGTGAAAAAAGAAGCCAAAATGGGAGAAAATCACATGTAAATGCAAAAAATGGCTCATATTCAAAATATACAAAGAAAAATGGACAAGATACTTCACACCAAAAAAGGGGTGGGGTGCATGCAAGTAGCCAAGAAACATAGGAAAAGGTGCTCTCACTTCTTTTCCTGGAGTGGTGGCAACATTATGTAATGCTGGACCACATTTCTATCCTCTTTTTATATCTTTGGGGAAAAAACTAGAGATTCCTGGGCCTTTATTTGTACCATCACACCTTTAGGATTGCATAGGAATCAAGATTGTTCAAATTTAGCCTAAAATGTGAATGGTTGTACATTTAAAGAGAATAAAAATGTATTCTTGAAGATGAGATTACTATTTTAAGAAAAGCTCTTCTACCATTTGCATCAGATAATATTGGGCACACTCACACTCATGCATAACCTCTTTATTAAGAGTTGGATGCCTCAGCCTTGCAGCTAAAACCTGTGGAATGGAGAATGAGGTCAGAAAAATACCACTACAAACACTAACAACTCATATTTTAAAAGAAATATCACCAGGGAAGGAGAACACTGAGACAATTCTGTACAAAGAATGCCTATTTTCTTCTAATGCTTCAAAATCTATTTTGACGTTTTTCCCAAGGATGTAACCTAAAGGTAGAGGCTGCCCTGAGTGTCACTTATTGATTGTCATAAGAAGATTTTCATGAGATGGCACTGGGATCCAAGGTAACCAGCCTGTGTTCAGCGGGGACTGGAAGTGATAAGGATAGAAAAGCATCTGTGTTTAGAATGCTCCAATGAGCAATCAGCACTCTCCTGAGATGACCCTTTACTGTTGCTAGGCACTCATTTCTGTTTCTGGAGTGGGTGGCAACATTATGTAATGCTGTACCACATTTCCATTCTCTTTATATATCTTTGGGGAAAGAATTAGAGCTTCCTGAGTTTTTATTTTGTGCTATTAAATCTTTAGAATTGAATAGAAATTGAGATTGTTCAAATTTGGCCTAAAAATTGAATGATGGTACATTTAAAGAAAAAAAAATCTATTCTTGAACATGCAATTACCATTTAAAGAAGAGCTTTTTTACCATAAGCATCAAAGAACATTAGACACTCCCCTGCATAAGCAGTAGTTTAGGTGCTTAATTTACATAATTCACATCAAGTATAGGGAACTCCTATACCTCTGTTTTATTTATCTATTCCCAGAAGTGCCTAATGAGAAACTGATTTTCTTTTATGGATATTTCTGATTGTCCTTTTTTAGAACAAAGCTGCTGAAAATTTAAAGATCAGGTTTTAGGGTTTTATTTTCAGCAAAATGAACAAAAATGTAACTGCGATGGGCCCTCCCATTGAAAAAAAAAATGCTAGCTAAAATATTTATTTAATTACGCTTTCTCAATGCACCAGTCAGGGAAGCCATTCAGACCACGAGTTTTTGTATAAACAAAATGATAATCAAATACTACTTGATAACATGGTCAACCAAAAACTTTAGAACCAATGAATATTGTATAAAGAATATACTACTGTTACATGTAAGTTCTCAGAACTGGAAATGTTTGATGGTGATCTCTTGTAAGAGTCAAAATAAGTGCCCTTTGAGTTTTTTTTTTTTAAATGCACCATTGAGTTTATTAAAAAGTACAGCTTACTCAGAGGCCAGAGGCCAAGAAAGGTAAAGAGAGAACTAAAGCCACCTTTCACCTAAGGACATTTCCTGAAACCTGATAACCTTGACATTTTGGTTTTCATGTTCTCATGGGGCATGTTGGGCAAAAAGCAACACCAAGGACTGACCTAGTGTAGGTAGTCTAATAGCATAAAGCTAGAAACCAAAGAAATAAAGAACTATGTCTCATTTATTCCATAGAAGGCAGAGGTGTGGAGTGGGGAGAGAGATAAAGAAAGAACAGCCAGGTGTGGTGGCTCATGCCTGTAATCCCAACACTTTCGGAGGCCACGGCTGGTGGATGACTTGAGCCCAGGAGTTGGAGACCAGCCTGGATAACATAGTGAGACCCCATCTTTACAAAAAATTTGAAAGTTAGCTAGCCATGGTGGCCCTCGCCTGTCATCCTAGTTGTTCAGGAGGCTGAGGCAGGAGGATCCCTTGAGCCCAGATTTTGAGGCTGCAATAAGCTGTGATGACACCACTGTACTCCAGTTTGGGTGACGTTGTCGAAGGGAATAGAGAGAAAAGCTGCTGATCTAAGTAACTTTGGAAATGATTGGAATCAGTAAGACTGAACTCAAAAAGACTCGTACATGATACTACTGTAGTTGATAAAGTTGTATACCATGAATGTGTATGGTTAGCAATTCTGAAACCACCATATATGTTTACTGGAATTAAACAGTTAAGTAAATGTTTCTCATTGTTGGAATGTTAGGGTACAGATAAGAAAGGGGAGGAAGCTAGAATGATCCACGTGGGGAAGAGGAAAGATGAGGAGGGAAGGAGGCATTCCAGCTAAGAATCATAACCCAGGATTGAAGTTGAAATACAAGAGGCATATTGAGGAAACCATGCTGGAACAGATGGTTTATATAGGGCAGTGCTTTTCAAATTATGTTCTGATGCACTCCCACAGAGGCTGGCCAGCAAGGGGTGAGGAGGCCTGCTAGTGAAGTCTTTAAGTGAGGCAGTGCTGCAGGTGTATTAGAAAGATTTATCTGACAGTGGACACAGAGGAATGTGTTGGGAAGCTGTTCAGTAAATCCGATGAGATGGCGTGAGCCCAAATGTGTTATTGGCCACGAGTTTGAAAATAAAACAAGAGGATGGATGCATGTATTCTCACCAAGGGAGAACCACCAGGACTGGGTTACAGATGGGAGAAATATTATACCATGGGAAGGAGGTATCAAAGCCCCATCCAGTGATAGAAGTGAAGAATCTCATGTTGGATGTAAATCTGATGGTACTAGATTGTTTGGGAATATGGAAGTTAATACTTTGATTGTATCCAAGTTCTAAAGGGAATTACAAAGTGAATTACAATAATTAGCTTGAATATATCAAATATAACTAGATGGCTTACTATGGGATTATATCTAGTGTCAGCAGTGTGGATGAACACACAGCAGACCTGGGAATTCTTATTTACAGCTCAGTTCTTAAGGTTAATTTTCTTAGAAGTCTCTAAATTTCTGAGTTTAGGTAGGGGTGGGGATAAGTTAAATTGAAAAGCCCCAAGTACTAAAAATCCCATATCCAGAGTCTAGGAGTTGGCACTTCTGGTAAGGTAGCATTCACAGGGTAGTATTGTTAAGGATGGCAGAGATTTGGTAAGGATGGAATCCCCAACAGAGGAAGAGTTGGCATTCCTCCTTGGGCCCAATAAGCCACAAACCTAGAGCTCCAGGTTAAGGAAGGATAAGGATGTCAAGGCTAAGGACCTCAGGTAGTATCTACTATCCTCTCCATCAAAAGAAAATAAATAAGCTATAAATGAACTAAAAATATATAGAGATACAGGTATTTGCTTGCTTTCAATGTAGGAAAGTCTTAATGCAAAGTTATTTAATACAAGGGTTCACAGATATACAATATATACACTTCAGCAAAATTCATAAAATCAAAAGGTAACAATAATCTATAAAAATAACAACATATAAAACAGACAATTAACATATAAAACTAACACTAGAATCAACAACACTCCAGTAGTACAAGAATAGCTAGTGTCCAGATCTTGGTTTCAAATACCATTTTCCAATAAAAGGAATAAAGGCTCCTTAGAGACATGTTGATTCTAGGAATGGGCAGGAAATATACATGATGAGCCTGCAGCATCTTGTAGTGCCAGAAAGTAAAGAAAGTGCTCAAACAAAAACAATGTAGGTATGTCGTAGGGACACAGGACATTGAGAAAGATCCCAGTGACCCAAGGAGATCTGGAACAATTTAAGCAGCAAAATAAAGTAGTATTGGATTATACCATCCAAAGCATAAAATAAATATCATGAGTCCATACTCATATAAATAAATGAATACAGGAGAATAGGTAAATCTCTCCTGGAGAAGAATCCATATAATTTATGTAGATACTCTGCCCTCAAGGAAATGGAGCATCACTCCCCACTCCTTAAGGCTGTACATAGTGACTTTCTGCCAAAAAACGTGGTATGTAAATCTGGGGAGGGGCGCCAGTAACTTTACCTAACATATACTACCTCAGCCACATCATCTTTGTGATATTACTCCCAAAAACCCATGACCTGAGTCTAATCTTGAGAAAAATTTCAGACAAATGTCCCTAATTGAGGGACATTCTAAAAAATACTTAAGTAGCACTCCTCAAAACTATCAAGGCTATCAAAACTCAGGCTTGAGAAACTTAGTGAGGAGCTTGGGAAAACATGATGAGTAAACATGATATGGTAAATGGATGGGATCCCAGATGGGATCCTGGAAAAGAAATGAGACCTTAGGAAAAACCAGGAAAATTTGAATAAAGTATGGACTTCAATTAATAACGATATATTATTATTAGTTTCTTAATTGTGGCAAATGTGTCATACCAATGTAAAATTTTAAGAATAAGAGAAATCAGTTGTGGAGTTTATGGGAACTATCTGTACTATCTTCACACTTTTTCTGCAAAACTGTTCTAAAATTAAAATTTTATTTTAAAAGAGTAAGTGGCCAACATTATGGCATTTCTGTCTTAATTATTATATCTCCTAAATAAGGCATTATCTTATATAGTCACAAGACAAATATCACTTAAGAAATACAGCACTGGGGCCGGGCACAGTGGCTCACGCCTGTAATCCCAGCACTTTGGGAGGCCGAGGCAGGTGGATCACGAGGTCAGGAGATCAAGACCATCCTGGCTAACACGGTGAAACCCTGTCTTTACTAAAAATACAAAAAAAAAAAAATTAGCTGGGTGTGGTGGCACATACCTGTAGTTCCAGCTACTCGGGAGGCTGAAGCAGGAGAATGGCATGAATTCAGGAGGCGGAGCCTGCAGTGAGCCGAGATTTTGCCCCTGCACTCCAGCCTGGACCACAGAGCAAGACTCCGTCTCAAAAAAAAAAGAAAGAAATATAACATTGATGAACTATTAATACCTAAAGTAGTTCATATCCAAAATACCCAAGTTGCCCAAGTAGTGCCTTATGTAGCTACCTGGTTATTGTTTTTAATACAGAATCCAATCAAATAGCATTGCATCTTATTGTCATTTCTCTTTTTTCTCCCTAGCAGAACAGTGCCCTCATGATGAGGAATTTTAACACCCCTTCTTTTCAGTTGATAGATGGACTGCCCTTCATTTAATCACTTGTATATGTTTCTTTAGGGAGGAAAAAAGTAGTAAAGTTAGGATTGGTGGAGATTATACCATTTCTCAAGTAGGATCATCCCAGACTGCCTTTGAGTGACGTTTCATTAGACACAGGGGGCTTGCTAGTGCCAAGCAGCCAGTCTGCTGGTTTTGTGCTGTAATTACTGATGTCAGAATTAAATTAGGTGGTAGTGTAGTTCTTGTGGCACATGTTTGTTTCTTTTTCTGTCAGGTTGTCCCAGATAGAAATAAAGTTCCCACCTCTCTGATTTTCTTGTAGTAAGAAAGTACTTAGACATTGTCTTTGTCAGTTGACCATCTCAAGAGAACATGGAGAATACTCACAAATGCTTTTACAATGACTTAATTTTTATGTTCTGGTTGTTACTTCTGTAATGTAACTTCTGTTATTGTTCACTTACTTTACAAAATAAGAAGACCAAACCTTTTTTTAAAGCCCCGTTAATGAAAGACAGTAAACAGGCAGTGTGGCTCTGAGAGGAGGGAGAGCTCACAACATGAAGAGCGAGATTGTTCTAGCTACAGGGAGTGGCATGGGAAAAAATTACTGTGTTGGAGATGCTGGAGGTATTAGAGTGATTTGAATAAATGGAATGAAGGAAGTGGTTTAAGAAATATGAAAATAGAATGTTTTGGTTTCCAAATCATCACAAATTTAATTTTCATTAAAAAGCGATAGCAAGTTCACTGATGTATCCCTAGTGATAGAAAAACACAGTGCCTTGACATGTAGTATGCCGTCAGTGATACCTGTTATTGTTTAATGGAGACTTAAAAGATTGTTTGAAAGCAAAATATTAAATTAACCTGGTGAAGCGTTTTCATGCTCATTGGTGAAGTGCCTGTAGGTGACTGTAGCTTAGACTGTACATTAGGTATGAATGTTCTATGGGAGGGCTTGGCCAGAATTTTATATCTGAGTTCAGTTTAGAGAAGTTCACTTTGTGGTCATGTGATACTGAATGAATTGCACAGAATAGGGTAGAATTTGTGTTTATGGCTTTCCTTACTCATCCTCCTTTAATTTGTAGAGACGGATGTATTTCAGGAGAGGAAATTTTTTGCAATGTTTTCACAATTGTTTGTACATGTTTTTTCTTCACCAGAAGCTTTTTAAAACTTAGATTGGCCGGGGGCGGTGGCTCACGCCTATTTGTAATCCCAGCACTTTGGGAGGCCGAGGCGGTTGGATCACAAGGTCAGGAGATCGAGACCATCCTGGCTAACACGGTAAAACCACGTCTCTACTAAAAATACAAAAAATTAGCTGGGCGTGGTGGCAGGCGCCTGTAGTCCCAGCTACTCAGGAGGCTGAGGCAGGAGAATGGCGTGAACCCGGGAGGCAGAGCTTGCAGTGAGTGGAGATCGCACCACTGCCCTCCAGCCTGGGTGACAGAGCAAGACTCCGTCTCAAAAAAAAAAAAAAACCTTAGATTGCAATTGAACTTTCACGTTATCTTTAAGTCAGTGGGCCTAATGGTAAGTTCAAATTTTACACATCCTGTGCTTAAGGGGCTAAATAAAGTAAACAACTCCTCTGAGTCAAGAGTTACTCAGGAATCAGGAATTGGTCAGATCATGAGTAATCATTTGATAGGAATTAAAGGGTGTGATGATTGTTGATTAAAGACATGCATATTCCTTTATGTAGACTTAGTATACAATCAGAAAATGGGTCTCAGATATTTTTTTTATATGACAGTAGTATGCCTGTGGAATTACAATTGTTTAGAGAACTTCGGAATATTGACATCATCGAACTGTTAATATTGGGGATCTGCTATGAGCTATACATTGTATGAAATACAGGTTTTCTTTGGGGGACAGTTTTTTGGTATAGAGGAAAGAGCACAGGTCTTCAAATTAGAAGTTCTATGTTTTGGCTTTAACACTTGCTATGTGCTTAATTCATAAGATCATTAATCTCTCTAAGCCTTACTTTTATCATCTGTAGAACTAGAACAATAGCACCTACCTCGCCTATGAATTTTCTGTGTGTAATGACAATCAGGATGGAAAAATTGCAGCTGGAAAACTGTGGAGTGCTGTAGATTGTAGGGACCATTGTCTTCTTTCAGCCCTATGAGCCATTCTGTGGTACTCTACCCACAGGATGCTGAGTTACTGGAGTGCTTCAAGGGTTTGTAGCCCTTGATTCTACAGTGTACTCTGTTCCAAGTTCAGCATTCTTCTAAACATTTTTTTGTTGGGGTCTACCACATGGTAGGCCCTTGTGGTTGTAGTGGGGCGTGGCTAGTGGGGAGAGAGTGAGGAGATGAGGAAGTTTGAGTCTGAGTTGCTGTAGCTTGATTTTTTTTCCCCTCTAGTTTCATCTTTACCTTTCCTTTTAGAATAGAAATTATAGGCTCTGGAGTAAAATTAGAAATGTAGCTCCAATTTAGCTAAGTTTAGCTCTAACATGAAAATTCCAAGTTTCATAGCTTTTGATGAGTATTATGAAAAACATAAAGTCTTTCAAAGGAATTTCCACTGTCTTTTTCTCTCCTTCATGGTTTTAAACATGGGGACCTTTGGTTATAGAATTCAGGATTTGGGGCTGTTGTTGTTTTTTTCCCCATGGGTTTGACTCTTTCTCCTTGTATGGAATTTTCATATTTTTCTTTAAGGTTTAGTCACTTAACCATTGTTTTACTAAATGGGAATTCTCTACTGACAGAGATTTTTAGCAACAAATGTATTTTTCTTAAAATTTGTGTAAGACAAAAATTACATATTATTTTGGCAGTGATCATGCATGACCTTTGCTACCTGATGGCTGCCATGGCAGAAAAACTCATGTAGGAAGTTTATCACAGGGAGAATATACACAGGTACCTTGGTTATCAGTAGACTTTGCACTACTTGTAACCATTTAGTCTACTCTTTGTAACTCTCTCTTCTTTTATCATGATGTCTTACATTTATTTTTGCATCTAAGTGAAGGATAGAGCGTGGCAAAAGTCCAGATAACCTATAATGACTTTCACATTACTTTAAAAAATCCAGTTAACCAACGTACTGTACTGACAACATATTGCTTAATCATAATCAGTTTTAATCCAACACCAAACTAAGCATAATATTGTCACACATTGGTTTGTTGAAGATGCAGAATTTAGAAATTCAGATCCTTGAGCCCTACTGCCAAAAATCCTCCTTCCCAGTTGATTATTTTACATAGACAGGTTTGGGAGCTACTGAACCATTTGTAAGGGGCACTTTTCAAATAATTGTCAAGGGTTTAAAATTCATCAGAGGATTCTACAATCAGTGAAAATAAGTTGTCTTAGGAACCTGTTAACTGCATTTATCTCTTTATTTATGAAGTTCCTAAGAAACATTTCCTCTGGGGGAAAAATGCTACCTTGAAAAAAAACCAGAAAACCATTCTTATAAACTATTTCTGGGATTCCTCATTGAGATTAAGATTCTGATTTTATTTTATTATTTATTTATTTATTTGAGACAGAGTCGCTCTGTCACCCACTGCAACAGAGCTCACTGCAACCTCCGCTTCCCAGGTTTAAGCGATTCTCCTGCCTCAGCCTCCCAAGTAGCTGGGATTACAGGCGCGGGCCACCATGCCCGACTAATTTTTTTTTTTGTATCTTTAGTAGAGACAGGGTTTCACCATGTTGGTCAGGCTGGTCTCGAACTCCTGACCTCAAATGATCCGCCCACCTTGGCCTCCCAAAGTGCTGGGATTACAGGCGTGAGCCACCATGCCTGGCCTATGATTCTATTTTTTAAATTCATTACAGTCTATATTAATATTAGAGAACTAATACTCAAACAGAATTTGAGTGAACTATTATAAATGACAGAAAAATTTGCCCTCTCTCTTAATTTTACATGAAATCATTTTTAAAATTGGTGGGGTTTTTGTTTTGTTTTGTTTTGTTTTGTTTTGTTTTCTGTTTGCTTGTTTTTTTTTTTGTTGTTTTGTTTTTTTTTTTTTTTTTTTGAGACGGAGTCTCGCTCTGTCGCCCAGGCTGGAGTGCAGTGGCGGGATCTCGGCTCACTGCAAGCTCCGCCTCCCGGGTTCACGCCATTCTCCTGCCTCAGCCTCCCAAGTAGCTGGGACTACAGGCGCCCGCCACTACGCCCGGCTAATTTTTTGTATTTTTAGTAGAGACGGGGTTTCACCGTTTTAGCCGGGATGGTCTCGATCTCCTGACCTCGTGATCCGCCCGCCTCGGCCTCCCAAAGTGCTGGGATTACAGGCGTGAGCCACCGCGCCCGGCCTTTGCTTGTTTTTTGATCCCAGGGTCAAGCCAGGAAACTTGGTTGTTATAATGGGCTGCCTTTTTGATTTCACTAAATTCTGTGAATTCTCCCTATGTATAGTGTTCCATTGTCCTCCCAATAAAAACATACTATAGTTTCCCTTGGCTAAAACCCATGTAGGCAGTGGTGTGCCGGTAATGCTTGACAACTGAGGGAAAGAGGACTGATTCATACAATTTGCTAATTTCTGTGATGTAAAGTACTGCCTACAATAGCCTAGTTCAAGCTCGCAGCGTGACCTCACTGAATGTGGAGCTGGAAAGAAATGCACACAGCACACTTAGTATTTCTAGTATTTCCACCATACAGATAGAATAGAAGTATATAACTTGAAGAGCATAGTAAAATGTAAAATAATTAGGAATAAATATAATTAGAAAATAATGAGTTTTTGACTATTTCCCTTTGTCTTTAATAAATGTTATATGTATAACTTATCTTACTGTTTGGATACCAAATAAACTGTTTCCATGCTTATCTTTGGGAAATGCCACTGTTTCAAAATGGGAGGTTTTTGCTTAGCGTTTTCTTCCTTATTCTATTGTTTAAATTAATTACCTACGTTAAATTTATCAACAACAAAGAAGAAGCTCTCCAGGTGATTTTGACGTGTTGCAGGGTTGGGGACCAGTCTTTTCTTGGTTTGCCTGGCACCTTAGAGCTGCATTTTGTGCTTAATTACACTGACTACTACATTTTAACTGTTTATGCTCTGTTATGTTCTTTCAAATGATTTGAGAATTTTTTTTCCAAATTGATATGTTAAATTATAAAGAAAAATAACAGAATTGAGACTAGAAAATAGCAATCAAAGAAAATAAAAATTTGGTGAGTACAAATATAAATATGCCAGTTCTGAGGACCACAAGTGTTGATATAGTAGAACAACAGATTTGATTCTGAGTTTCCTGGCAACCCATGGAGGGAAGCAAGGAATAATATAATTCTTTTCAGATGGAAGGAAGGCATCAATTTCTCAAAGAAAGCTAAGCATTGCATTGTACTGAATTTCAGAGTAAATCTCTCATATGAAATTTCATATGTAGGGATACTGACTAATAAAATAGTGCCGTATTTCTCTACTTCTTATGGATTTTATAGAGCAGATTATTATAATATACTTCAAAAAAATCAAGAATGTAGTATGACTTTCCCCCCAAAGGAGACAGGTGTAATAATTTAGGAATATAACCTAGTAATCAAGTTAGAATAACATCACCTAGAGGAATAAAGATTTACAACAATGTTGGCAAAAGATGACAGATAGGTTTACCTAGCTCCTGTCCTTGGTTAGCGTGAGGTTATGGTGCTGTGTTGACAAGAATTCTGAGACCAGGGTCAGCAGAAACAAATGTAGGGAATGCCTAGCAATCTCTGACTTGATCACAAGAAGGAGGAGTAGCACAGTTACCTCTGCATCTTTGCCATCCTTACTTCACATCTTATGTAAATTTCATGGGTTTTAGATGGTATCTCTAGTATAAACTGGATTACTAATGGAGTTTATACTCTTCGATAAGAGGCTGGAGGCCAGGCACAGTGGTTCACACCTGCAATCCCAGCACTTTGGGAGGCCGAGGCAGACAGATTGCTTGAGACCAGGAGTTTGAGCCCAGCCTGGCCAACATGGCAAGACCCCCCTCTCTACAAAAAAATACAAAAATTAGCCAGGCATGGTGGCACTTGAACCCAGGAGGCGGAGGTTGCAGTGAGCCAAGATCATGCCACTGCGTTCCAGCCTGGGCAACAGAGCAAGACTCTGTGTCAAAAAAAATAAAAAATAGTTTTAAAAAAGAGGCTGGAGTGTTGTATTTTGTATTGATTTTTGAGAGTGTATATAGTGTGTGTGTGTGTGAATTGTGACTAATTTATTCTAATGAGCTTGGGACATGTCTTCCATCATTCCAATTTTTGATCCTCTAGTTTATTTTGTTTGTTTAATATTAGCTATCCTATTTTAGTTTACCTCTAGTCTCATTGAGTTGTTTTTAGTCCCTTAGTCTAATAGTACACTGTAATTAATTTTTTTGTTGTTGTTTAGAAGCATGATTCTGAAAGCCATGAAATAAGGGGAATTTGGCTAACTAATTCTTGCATAAGTGTGGTCATATTACATTTAAGTAATATGTAGATTATCAGCAATAAATTATTTGTTATATTTATTTTTAACAAGCTACAATTTAAATTATTTTGTCATATTAGAGAGGGAATTTGTAATCTAAAGAAAATTTCAGGGGAAAGTATAGCTAGTTCAGAAATTAATTATTAACACTACTAACTATGATATTTATGGATTTTTCTCCATTTTAGTAGTGATTTATACACTGCATAATTGTTCTAATCCATACCTTATTACCTTAGAAATACAATTCATTTTTCAAACAGAATGTCTGTTAGCTACTCTTTTACTTTACTTAATTCATCTGTTGACTTTTTTCTTATTTTTTTAAATAGTCCTGAAATGGATATTTTCATACATTCTTGGTAGTAATATGTATAGGTGTTACCCTTCTAAAGAGCACGTTGGCAGAGGACCTTCAAAATTGACCCAGTTATTTCACTTCTAGGAAAATATCATTAGGAAGTAGAGATTTTAAGTGTGAATTCTGGAGTAAGAGTGCCTGGCTTTGAATGCAGCCGACAGACTTACAAATTATATGACCTTGGGTTAGTTTCTTACCTTTTTAAGCCTCAGTCTTTGCATCTGTAAAATTGGTTTTAAAATAACACCCATCTCTAGTTGTTGTTGTGAAAATCAAGTGATATAAGTAAAGTGCTTAACATTGTGGCTCTTATGAAATGTCAATAAATAATTGCTGTTGTTAATAATCATAGAAAGATTGTTCGTAGCATTAGTTAAAATAGAAAACAGGTAGGAAAGGATTTGAATGATTTTCATTTATATAAGGGAATACTATACCATGTAGTTGTTAAATAATATTTTTAAAGAATATTTAAAGACATAAGAAAATGCTGATAATGTAGCATTGAGTGAAACAGAAGGATAAAAATCTCTATATGCTCTAAGGTGTTAATTATGTTTTAAATTATCTTCTAATGATGTTATAAAATATTGTTTTTAAAATGTTAATTATGTTTACAAGTAATGATTCTTAAAAATATAGAAAAAATCTGGAAAAGGGGGCTCACTGTTAATAATTCTTAAAACTAGGTAATAGGTAATGGAGATTTATTATATTCATACTATTCTATTTCTACATATTTTTGTTTTTCATAATACTTTTTAAAAAGAATGACAAGAAGAATAGATTAAAAACAGATTAAATCCTTGATATTAGTGCTTTGTAACCTGTTTAAATGTAAATTAACTCTTGACCAGTTTTGTTATTAAACCATTATTTATACTTTTTAATGGTTTCTTAAAGCATTTGAGAGATGTATATCAGACTTGTTTGGTTAAGGATGAATTGTGTCTGAATATCTGTCTAGAAAATAGCTGTTTTAAGTATTTTCCGTATCTGAAAATGATATGAGGACCATCTCCCACTACTGCATTCCCATAAGTGGTTTTATTTTTCATCTTTTAAAATGGTGCAGATTTTTCAACATAGCCAGCGTTCGTACATTTCCAAAGTCAACTTTACATTAGTCGGGGTGAACAGTATCTTATTTTGACAAAATTTCCCCTCTTTAGACGGAAATGAGGCAAAGAGGAAAGGTGTAACTATTTCTTCTTGTCTCTATAACTGAAACAATATTCAATGTAAGTGAATTTTACTTGTAGCAAATATTCCCTTTATAAGCCCTCCATTTATCTTGTAGGTGGCCCTGTAAAATATACTTTATTTGATTTTACACACTGTGCTCATGCTTTGGCTTTATGCCCAACCTCCCAGGCTGCAGACATCTACAGTAGACCCCAGTGTTAAAGAAAACAAGCCCCTCAAAACCCTAGAAAATATTACAGTTATTAATAATAAATTCTCAGTAATATTCACATTGGAGCAGTAATAAATTATATTAATAGTAGCAGTCCTTAAAAATGGTCCCACTCTTCACTAAAACATTCAATCTTACCCATGTTCCAAATGAAATGATTATTGTTTTCTACTTTCTACTCTTACAAGAAAGAGGTGTTAAGGGTATTCTGTTTATTTGTTTGACTTATTCTCTTTAATACAGAAGTTAAAAAATAAAGGCAAAGCACATATATGTATAGTATCAACTAGCACCAAATCCTTCGTATGTGAGAGAAAATGATCTGCTTTGGAAGCCAGTTACATACATTTAAGAAATATGTCAAGCAATCTAAAATGAATATGTTAAATGGAAAATGACTAGTCCTGACAAATTCTTCTAAAATGCAAAATAGCGGTAATTTAGAAGTTTATGGAGGAAGGGTAGATCTTGAAGAAAAATATGTGTTTTAATTAAGGAAGAAAATAAAGACCGGGAAGAAAGAAGAGGAAGAAAGATAGGGAGGGAGGCAATCCAGGCATGAAGCAGACGCTCCTGGATTGAAGTAGAAATACAAGAGGCATATTGAGGAAACCATGTTGGAACAGATGGTTTATATAAGGCAGTGCTTTTCAAATTATGTTCTGATGCCACCCCCAGAGGGGCTAGCCAGCAAGGGGTGAAGAGGCCCGCTAGTGAAGTCTTTAAGTGAGGCAGTGCTGCAGGTATATTAGAAAAACTGATCTGACAGTGGGCACAGAGGAATGTGTTGGGAAGCTATTCAGTAAGTCCGATGAGATGGCATGAGCCCAGATGTATTACTGGCCACGAGTTTGAAAATAAAACAAGAGAATGGATGCATGTACTCTCACCAAGGGAGAACCACCAGGAGTAGGTTACAGATGGGAAGAATGTTGTACTGGGGGAAGGAGGTATCAAAGCCCCATCAGTGAAAGAAGTGAAGAATCCCACATTGAATGTAAATCTGATGATACTAGATTGTATGAGAATACAGAAGATAATACTTTGATTGTATCCAAGTTCTAAAGGGAAATATAAAGTGAATTAAAATAATTAGCTTGAATATGTAAAACATAACTTTGGGATTATATCTAGTGTCAGCGGTGTGGATGAACACACAGCAGATCTGGGAATTGTGTTCTTGTTTACACTCTAGTTAGTTTTTCCTTAGATGTCTCTAAACTGAAAAGCTCCTGTGCGGTGGAGGAGTGGTGGGGGTGCTAAGTTAAATTGAAAAGCCCCAAGCTTTGTGGCACAGCTAAAAATCCTGTATCCAGAGCCTGGGGGTTGGCAGTTCAGTGAAGTCGCTTTCACAGGTAATATTGTTAAATAAGGCAGAGTTTTTTTTTTTTTTTTTTAGAGACGGAGTCTTACTCTGTCGCCCAGGCTGGAGTGCCAGTGGCACGATCTCGGCTCATTGCAGCCTCCACCTCCCAGGTTCCAGCGATTCTCCTACCTCAGCCTCCTGGGTAGCTGGGATTACAGGCATGCATCACCATGCCTGCTAATTTTTGTATTTTTAGTAGAGACAGGGTTTCCCCACGTTGGCCAAGCTGGTCTCGAACTCCTGACCTCAGGTAATCCATCCCCCTCAACCTCCCAAGGTGCTAGGATTACAGGCATGAGCCACTGCTCCTAGCCTTAAGGCAGAGATTGTTAATGATGTGGCTTCTAGTTGGTAAGTATAAAATCCCCAGCAAGAGAAGCGTATTCTTCCTGTGACTTGTTGACATAAGCCCCAAACCAATGGATAAGGAAGCCACCAGGCATGTACTGCCCTCTGCAGCAATCAATCAATTGGTAAACAAACTAACTATAAATGAACTAAAAATATGGAGAGATGTAAATATTTGCTCCAGTGTAAGAAAGACTTATGTAAATGCAAACACTTATTTACTCTAAAGGTTCACAAATATATATGTGTTATGGGCTGAATTCTGTCTCCCCAAACTTCATATATTGAAGTCCTAACCCCCTGCGCATCAGAATGTGACTACGTTTGGAGTTAAGTTATTTAAAGGTGTGATTAAGTTCAAGTACGGTCTTTAGAGAGGGCCTTAATCCAGTATGATTGGCTTCCTTCTAAGAAGAGATTAGGCCACACACACAAACTGAGGGGCCATTATGTGAGGACACAGCTAGAAGGCTACAAGCCAAGGAAAGAGGCCTCAGAAGACACCAAATCTGCCAACGTTTTGGTCTTGGGCTTCTAGCCTCCAGGACTGTGAGAAAGCAAATTTCTGTAGTTGAAGCCACCCAGTCTGTGGTATTTTGTCAGGGTAGCCCTAGCAAACTAATACAGTATGCATGCATTTCTGTAAAATTTGTAAATTAAAACAAAAGATAATAACCTACAAAAATATTGATTAACATATAAAATAGACAAGGAAGGACCTAGAATCAACAACATTCCAGTAGCAATGAGCACACTTAGCTCCCAGATCTTGGCTTCAAATACTGTTCTCCAATAAAAGGAACTGGGGCTCCTTGGAGAAATAGCTGATTCTAGGAATGGGGCAGGAGATACAGTAGTCCCCCTTTATCAGAGGGGAATATGTTCCAAGATTCCTGGTGGATGCCTGAAACCACGGATAACACCAAAGCCTATATATACTATATTTTTTTAATCTGATAACCAAAACAGCTGCTAAGAATAAGCGACTACAGGGCAGGTAATGTGTACAGCATGGATACACTGAACAAAGGGATGATTTGTTATTTGTAGAGAATAACTCCCCACTCAAGCATGGGCTGTGCATGGTGACTTCTTTCCAAATAATATAGTACTAAAAAGTGGACAAAAAAGAGTAACAGCAAAATCTGACAAAGTCCTACTTCAGCATGGTGGTCAAGATTAACAGCAGTGATAAGTCACGTTGATAGACTGTGTCCTTGATATAATGTGATAAGAATTGCATTTGACCTCTGTGGTTTTCCTCCCGAAAACCCATATCTCACTCTAATCATGATTAGAGTGAATAGAGAAGCATCGTACAACATACTTAACCAGCACTCCTGAAAACTGTCAAGGTGATAAAAAACAAAGTCTGAGAAATTTACAGCCAAAAAAGCTAAGAGAGTAGCTGAGTGTAATGTGCTATCCTAGAATAGAGAAAGGAGACTAGGTAAAAACTAAGGAAACCTAAATAAAGTATAAAGTTTAATTGATAAACAAAAATCAGCACTGGTACATTAATTGTAATAAGTGTACCATGCCAATATAAGATGTTAATAATAGGGGAAACTGGGTATGTAGTATATGGGAACTATCTGTACTATCTTTCCAACTTTTCTGTAAAATATTCTCAAAAAATGGCCATTGAAAACAACAGAAAACAAATAGACAAAGTTATCGTATACTCATCAAAAGGCCAGTAAGCACTTGAAAAAATTTCAAATTTGCTGGTATTCAGAAACACACATTAGGCCAGATGCTGTGGCTTGTGCCTGTAATCCCAGCACTTTGGGAGGCTGAGGCAGGCAGATTGCTTGAGGTCAGGAGTTCGAGACCAGCCTGGGCAACATGGCGAAATCCCATCTCTACTAAAAATACAAAAATTGGCGAGACATGGTAGCACATGCCTGTAATCCCAGGTACTCAGGAGGCTGAGGCATGAGAATCGCTTGAACCTGGGAGACGGAGGCTGCAGTGAGCCGATGTCACACCACTGCACTCCAGTCTGGGCGACGGCGAGACCCTGTCTCAGAAAAAAAAAAAGAAATGCGCATTAAAATAGCTATAAGGTTATTGTTTTTCTTCTGTTTAGCTTGCAATTTTTTTTTTTCCTAACGATGATACCTATGATCAGCAATGTATAGGAATGTAAAATGGATCAGCCTTTCTGGAGGGCATTTTGGTTAATAGATAAAAATGTGTGTACCCCTTGAAGCAGCAACATCACAACCAAGAAGTGAACATCAGTGATGACAAAGTTTTTCACAGTGTTGTGTAGAATAGTAAAACCTCAGAAATTAATCAAAAGGTTGTAAGCATGGAATTGTTTACATAAAGTAAAGGAACGTCAATGTGTGATGCAATGCAGACATTGAGAATAATACTGGCAGGGCATGGTGGCTCATGCCTATAATCCCAGCACTTTGGGAGGCCAAGGCAGGTGGATCACTTGAGGTAAGGAGTTTGAGACCAGCCTGGCCAACATGGCGAACCCTGTCTCTACTAAAAATACAAAAAAAATTAGCCGGGCATAGTGGCACACACCTGTAATCCCAGCTACTCAGGAGCCTGAGGCAGGAGAATTGCTTGTCCCCAGGAGACAGAGGCTGCAGTGAGCTGAGATCGCACCACTACACTCTGGCCTTGGTGGCAGAGCAACACTCCATGTCAATCAATTGGTCAATCAATAAATAAAAATACTGTAGGATAACATTTGAGGACAAAAAACTTCTGTGCCATATTATGTGAAAATATCCATTGTAAACTGTGTATACTGTGTCGTGAGATTTCTGTGTCTATCTTTTCATTATTCATTTGTACATATGTCTTGGACCTGGGATTTGGTGATCTTTACAAATGGCATTAGATTAAGTCCTATTCGTGATTTAAAGTCAATTTGTAAATGCTTAAAGTTATTTTAATGCATATTATAGTTAATGTATCAAGAATTGCCTTACAACTCTGTCATAATTAGAACCCAGTGATTCTAACTAGTGGAGTGAAGGACCAAGTTTTCATTACCACAAATTGTGTACGTGTATGTTTATGTCTTAGGTATACTACACGTGGATAAATAGTGGGATTTGTGTGCAATAAGATATTGCCTGTGATTATCTCTGACTGGCAGGGTTGGAGCAATTTTTATTTTATTATTGGTGATTTCCTACATTTTCTAAATGTTGTTCAAGGAACCACAGAATATTTTTTGCAATGAGATAAAAAGTTTTAGAAGTCAATTTTTTCAAAAAATAAAGTTTTTATTTTCATGAAACTGCTATCTAAATATTTAAATCATCTTTTTTTTTTTTTTTTGAGACAGAGTCTTGCTCTGTCACCCAGGCTGGAGTGCAGTGGCACGATCTTGGCTCACTGCAAGCTCCGTCCCCTGGGTTCACGCCATTCTCCTGCCTCAGCCTCCCCAGCAGCTGGGACTACAGGCACACCCGCCACGCCCGGCTAATTTTTTTGTATTTTTAGTAGAGATGGGGTTTCACTGTGTTAGCCTGGATGGTCTTGATCTCCTGACCTCGTGATCCACCTGCCTCGACCTCCCAAAGTGCTGGGATTACAGGCGTGAGCCACTGCGCCTGGCTAAATTATCTTTTTATTAAAAATATATTTTTACTTTTTCTGAGCGGATTTAATTTACACACAAATTTACAGTTATTTGTTTATTAGGTTAAATTTTTATGAGCTGTTTAAAACATTGTTGTGTTTGAACAGTATTCTCATTTTTTTTACTTTTAGGCTGGTGTTTGGAATGCTTTATCCTGCATATTATTCATACAAAGCTGTGAAAACAAAAAACGTGAAGGAATATGTAAGTATAGTTTTATGAGTGATTAATCTGAGTTTAATATTTTAATGATACACACTGAAAAACTGCTATTCTCTTAGAAACGGCTGGAGTAGTGTTTTGGGTTAAAAGGTGTTATGAATGTGAAGTAACAAAACTAATCTTTTTTAAAATCTTTGAAGATAACCCCAAAGTGGAGTTTCAATAAAAATAAGTGTATGGTTCCCAAGATGAGTAATTGAATAGGTCTTGATTTAGTCTATAAATTCCAGTGTAATAAGGGGTTGGAGAACTTTTGTTTGTTTGACTTGGGGAGGGGAGTTGTGGGGCTTTTTGCCTTATAAATTTATAGGTACATTGAGAATATCTCTCTGGCCTCAAAGCTTTTTTCCTCTTCTGTAGGTGTTTCATCACTTTCTAATCTATATAAATATGCAGATACTCCATCACCACTGACAACTGCAGTCTTTTTTCCTTCTTGAATCAGACTCCATTTGTAATTATTTTGCTTTGATTTGCGATGAGTCCTCAATATTTCTTTGTTTTTAGTTTCCTCTTCCCTATTCCCTAATTTTCTTTTTCTGTCACTAACATTTATTTTTTAGGATTTCTGAAGTTCTCCTCATTTCTCATTTTATTCATACTGTGTAATAGTAAATGGCCTTCCCCACCTATAAATCCTGATATAGTTTAGTATATGTGATGGAGTGAATTTTTAGAGAATAGCAAAAGCATATTGTATTGGTGGTGTTAATCAACAGGATAAGCAGTCAATACTGAGATAACAGCACATCAATAACTATGCCTCTTTTTTTTAAATTGAGGTGACATTCACATAACATAAAATTATCCATTTCAGAGGCATTTGATGCATTCACAATATTATACATATATATAATACAATATAATACAACTCTTTCTAGTTCCAAAATATTTTCGTCACCCCAAATAAAACCCTGTGCCCAAGTTGCTGACAACCACCAACCTGCTGTCTGTATGTATTTACCTATCCTGGATATTTCATATAAATAGAATCATATAATATGTGACCTTTTGTGTCTGGCTCCTTTCACTCAGCATAATGTTTTTAAGGTTCATACGTATCTTAGTATGTATTTCATTTTGAATGTGTTACATTCCTTTTTATGGCTGAGTAACATTCTACTGTATGGATATATGACATTTTGCTTATCCATTCATCTGTTGACAGACATATGAATTGTTCTGTCTTTTGGCTATTATGAATAGTACTGCTACAAACATTCACATACAAGGATTTGTTTGAGCACCTGCGTTTGATTCTTTGGGATATATAGCTGTGGTTCTTTGTAAGGAATCTTGGATGATAGTCTTGTCATCCAATTGGTCAAATGAACAGAGATTAGATCATTATTCTTTATATTTTCAGGGTTTTTGGGGGGTGGGAGGAAGGGACAGACTCTGAAACTTTTATAACTAACTCATTTTATTAAACTTTTACGGTCATTTTTTTCTCTTGTATATAAAACTAACTTCTGAAGTGAAGTATATATTAATATAAGTCAAAATGGTGGAATACATCTGGCAGAGGTAAATAAGTTACATAGTTGGGCTCTCAAATTTTTCTATCCTTTTATTATATGTGTCTTTTGGACCTAGGATTGGTGAAATTAATCTTAAGAGATGGAACCATATTAAGTCCTGGTAATTTAAATTCATTTTATACATGGCTTGAAGGTTCATATTCTAATATAAGTTGGAGTAAATACTTTGCGTATTGTTTTATAGTGCTGGCATACATTAGTTTCTAGATGCCAGCGTGTCTGTTAACAGTGCTTCTCAAGCTGCCTGTGGTACAGGACCACTTTTGTTTTTCGAGTAAGTCATAGACTAATCCTTGTTTGTTTTTTTTTTTTTTTGAGACGGAGTCTTGCTCTGTCACCCAGGCCGGAGTGCACTGGCGCGATCTTGGCTCACTGGAAGCTCTACCTCCCGGGTTCACGCCATTCTCCTGCCTCAGCCTCCCAAGTAGCTGGGACTACAGGCGCCCGCCACCACGCCCTGCTAATTTTTTTGTATTTTTAATACAGATGGGGTTTCACCGTATTAGCCAGGACGGTCTCGATCTCCCAACCTCGTGATCCACCCGCCTCGGCCTCCCAAAGTGCTGGGATTACAGGCGTGAGCCACTGTGCCCTGCCGACTAATACTTTTATAAAATGAAATACTAATCACTAGAAATAAAGAAATGAAAAAAGCCCCTAAACCTGAAATACAACCCAGAATTTTTTTTTTTTTTTTTTTTTTGAGACAGGGTCTTGCTGTTATCACCCAAGCTGGAGTGCAGTGGCACCATCATAGTTCACTGTAGCCTGGACCTCATGGGCTCAAGCGATCCTCCTACCTCAGCCTTCTCAGTAGCTGGGACTACAGCCGTGCACCACCATGCCCAGCTAATTTTTTTTTTTATTATTTTTTATAGAGACAGAGTCTTACTATGTTGTCCAGGTTGATCTTGGACTCCTGGCCTCAGGTTATCCACCTACTTCAGCCTCTCAAAGTACTGGGATTATAGGCATGAGCCACAGTGCCCAACTCCCAAATTTTTTATTGCTATATTCAGTAACATGAAATTACTGTCAAATAATGTACTTTTGCCTATTGTTTTCATTATTGTATTATTAATATACTTACAGTAACACAGTAGTGCTTTTACAGCCTTGTACAATTCCATAGACAACACTCTGCCCTACTGTGTAATATTTTAATTGGAATTCTCTTTTGAAAGATAAAATTAAGAGTTGGCCATCATTTCCAAACACCATGAAAATATGAGTTGAAGAATCTGCTTCTGGCCAGTGCTTAATAAATGGGAACCATTTCCCTATTTGGAATGTTTTTTATATTGTTATTAAATTAGATCTTTTTTTGAGTCTAATTCAATGTACAGTTGAAGTACAGGGTATTATGTCTCTCAACATTGGGCCCATTTCACCTAGAAAGCATTCAAGAAGCCCGGGATATATAATAATTTGGTGTGCTGCTGTGTGTGTGTGTGCATTGTATATATATTTGTGCTTACGGTATTCTCCAATCTTTTCTCCCAAATCTGCTTTTTTTTTTTTAGGAAAAGAAAGCTAAGTACAAATTTTAAATGTTTAGATGAGAAGCTCTAATAACTTGAGAATATTATCAGTAAGCACAGAAATACCATCCCTAAAATAAACGTCAAAGGTAAAGGGATAGCATAAGAAATATAAAAATAGTTAATAAACTGTAATAAAAAATAGGCTTGGCCACGTGCAGTGGCTCACAACTGTAATCTCAACACTTTGGGAGGCCAAGGCAGGTGGATCACTTGAGGCCAGGAGTTTGAGACCAGCCTGGCCAACATGGTGAAACCCCGTCTCTACAAAAAATATAAAAATTAGCCGGGTATGGTGGCATATGCCTGTAGTCCTAGCTACTGGAAAGGCTGAGGTGGGAGAATCACCTGAGCCTGGGAGTCGAGACTACAGTGAGACATGATCCCGCCACTGCACTCCAACCTGGACAACAGAATGAAACCCTGTCTCAAAAAAAATACTAACAATAATAATAAAATAAAAATCAGAAAGATTAATGCATTTATAAATGATGTGCATCAATTCAATTTTGTTAATATTAATTTTTAGAGACTTAAAAACAACAACAAAAAAAGACTTAAAAAAAAGAATTTGTGTGTTTTATTACCCCTGATACAACACTCAGATTTTCATTACTAGATTAAAAATTGGGGATTGATAAGGATGGTCTAACCCTGAAATTTTTATTCAACTTTATAAAGATAATTGCTTCTTGGCATTTTGGCTAAGATCAAGTGTGAAGATAATTTAGGCTATGGAAGATAATCCATCAGCATTCAAACTGATGAGAAAACTATAAACATGATATGTATTGAGATATATGTATATGTGTGTATTTAGTTACATAGTGAGCATACATACAGCTTTGCACAGTTGTTTTCAGAGAATACTCATTAATAAAGCTGGAATTATCTGTACATAATTTTGCAGTAATACCATGTCTCTGGAAAGCATTTCTTTTTATTTAACTTTGATTGTAAGTTTAGGGTTTGTGCAGGTTTGTTAGGTAAATTTGTGTCATGGGGGTGTGTGGTACAGACTCTTTCATCACCCAGGTATTAAGCCTAGTACCCGGAAAAAAGATTTTCTTAACCATCCATTTGAGAAGACCAGAATAATGAGTAATTGAGGAGAAATTAGGGAAGGTAAAAGGCAGGTGGCTGGAGCTGGTTTGATAATTACATGGTAATCAACTCTACTTCACAAATAAAATGAGAACTAAAAGCAAAATAAATGGCCAGGCACTGAAATAAGGACAAGGCATCTGCCTTTGACAGGGAAATGTGTCATCTCTGAAGACCCTCCCAGCAACCATATTGCCTTCCATCAAGGCTGCTAGAGAGGCCTGGTGCAGTGGCTCACACCTGTAATCCCAGCACTTTGGGAGGCTGAAGCAGGCTGATCTCTTGAGCCCAGGAGTTTGACACCAACCTGGGCAACATGGTAAAACCCCATCTCTACAAAAAACACAAAAATTAGCAGGGCATGGTGGTGTGTGCCTGTAGTTCCAGCCACTCAGGAGGCTGAGGTGGGAGGATCACCTGAGCCTGGGAGGTCGAGGCTGCAGTAAGTCCTGATTGCACCACTGCACTCCAGCCTGGATGACAGACAGAGTGAGACCATCGGGTGGGGTAGTGGGATCAGGGGGAGGCTGCTAGAGAGACTAAGTTGAGATGTCACCTTGGAATAGTAATATTTTCCATTTATATGATTTCCTACGAGTTTCAAAGTACTTTTGTTTATTATTGTTTTAATTTGCTACCCTGGATAATTTTTTGAAACAAATTATCACACTCTTATTGGCTTAGAACAACGTAAATTTATTCTCTTACAGTCCTAGAGGTCAGAAACCTAAAATGAGTTCACAGGCCTCACCCCTTCTGGAGGGTTTAGGGGAAAGTCTGTTTCCCTGTCTACTCCAGCTTCTACAGGCTGCCCGCATTCCTTGGTTTATGGCTTTATTCTTCCATCCTCAAACCCAGCAATGTTGGGCTGAGACCTCTTCATGCTGCCATCTCTCTGGTTCTCTCTCTTCTGCCTCCTCTTCCACTTATAAGGACTCTTGTGATTACATTGGGCCCACCTGATTAATCCAGGATAAACTTCCCATTTCAAGGTCAGCTGATTAGCAACCCTAATTTCATCTGCAACCTTATTTCTCCTTTACGGTGTAACCTAACATACTCAGTTTCCAGAGATTAAGACACAGACATCTTTAGGGGAGAGAGGGCATTTTTCTGCCTACTCCAATAATATCTCAGTTGTTCTAACTGCAGTCTTATGAAGTAGGCATAGAAAATATTCCAGTATTACAGGCTTAGAGAAGTGAATTTACCTGGAGTCACATGGATTGTAAAGACAGAATTGGTACCAGATCAGAGATCTTCTGTTTCTAGTATTTTATTCATTCTATTCTACCATGCTACCTTTAGAAACACAGGTGAAGATTCTAGCTTCACGTAAAAGTTGAAACAGCCTTCACAACCAGCCAGTGAATATGCATCTGATTAATTCAAAGCTGGACGTTCGGGGGCCACGGCCATATAGATATTTTCCAAGAAGGACAATCAGGCAGCTTACCAGGGCGGGACCCACCAGCATTGAAATCACATGTGAACAAAGAGGTTCAAAATGAAATAGAAGGTTTTGAAAATTCTGTAAAGTTCCTCCTTTAAAAAAAAATAAAATCCCTTAAATCTTGACAATCTTCTAAGTATTTCCAATCTAATTTCACTCTGACAAAAATTTTGAACATTATTTGCTTGCACCCAGTGCAAGGCTAAGTCCTAAACTTAGCCATCTAATTTAAACCGACTTTTTTTTTTTAATTATACTTTAAGTTCTCGGATACATGTGCGGAACGTGTAGGTTTGTTACATAGATATACATGTGTGACATGGTGGTTTGCACCCATCAACCTGTCACCTAGGTTTTAAGCCCCGCATGCATTAGGTATTTGTCCTAATGCTCTCCCTCTCCTTGCCCCTGACCCTCCAACAGGCCCCAGTATGTGATGTTCCCCTCCCTGTGTCCACGTGTTCTCATTGTTAAACTGACTGTTAACAGTTTTATCAGAACTCTGTCCTCATAAAGTTTTCCTATACAGTAATCCTATCCAAATTTTCTTTGTTTTATACATGGTATTTTCTTAGTAAAATTAACCTTTTTATATTGCCCTGTTATGTTTTTAATAGCACCTTATAGTATCTGATGTTATATTCTTTATTTGAATATGTTTATGTTCCCCACCAGAATAAGCTCCATGGGGAATGTTTTGTTGTTTTATTAATTGCTATATTCCTGTACCTAGAACAGTACCTGCTGCATAATAGGTACTCAATATTTCTTGAATAAATAAATGAGAAAAGTTGACTTTTAAGTAAATATCAAATATTGTGCTTAATAGCTTGTACATTTCTTAAGTGGATTGATCTAGTTTACCAGCTTTGATTCTGCTGGGTTAGGGAGAATACAGTCCAGTCTTAACATTTATCCCAAAACCCAGTTTCTTTGTGGTATTTGGTTATGACCTAAATTTCACTGCTATCTACTTCAAAATTATTTTCAGAAAGCAAACATTTTCGGTTAATTTACTTCTTCCCACCCCCAACTACTACCATTCCCCTTAAGCCTGCAAATGGTAGATTGCACCTGATAAAACAGATGCTGTGCTCAAATCAAAACAAATGGAAAGTACTGTGTATTTTGGCAACCTTCCTTTCTTCCTTTGCCTATTTTTAAAACAGAGCTTTCCTAGGATATAATTTCCTGCATAGTGTGGCTGATATGGCCTACTTAAAGACTTTCAGTCTTGCAGTAATTGAAATGTAAACTTACTGAAGAATTAGTATGGTTTTGCAAATTTTTTCAGGCTCATTCCATCTCATGACTTGAAAATAGAGTGTTTACTTCCAAGTCGTGTGTAATTGCTGTAGCTTTTCTAGGAAACCAGTGTTCTTATTCTAAGAATGTTGGAGAAAGCAGCAATGAAAAGATTGGCTAACAGCACTTACAAATCAAAATCAGACATTTGGTTCTGAGATTTACTGTGAGCAAGAACAAAGAACAGGAAAAGCTGGGAGATTACTCTCTAAAAGGCCTAGAAATGGCCCTCTAAAAGTCTGCTGACTTGGTTTTTGAAAGTGACCTAATTTTCGACTGACTATTTAGGTGATATGAAAATGAACAAATATACCACATGCCAGTTCTACAGATCTTATTGATAATGAAATCTGAAGTTGTCTGCTAACTTTAGAGTGGAAATAGAAGGGGAAAAACATACTAAAGAACTTTTCTTTGTTCTCAAGAAGTGTTTCCTAGGTATCTTTTGATAATTTTGATAAAAAGTATTCATTTCATTTAAAGGTTTTAATAATTTAGAAAGTTTAAAGATTAGCCTACTGATTATGATGGGATTTTTACTGAAAATTAGTTTTGTCAGGCTGCTTGCTTGTCTGTGTATTTTCTATTCTAATTTAGTTTTTATTTTTATCAAAGCTGTATTTACTTATAATGTAAAAAGTCAATTAGTTTTCCAAGGCTTATTATGGAAAACAGTAGTTCCCCAGGCTCCCATCCCTATGTCTAACTCTCTAGAGGCAACTAGTTCAAACTCTTTTATCTGAATCTTTTAGCATTTATTGCCATATTCCAAATAACATACTTATTGTGCTATTTCTTAATTTTTCAGATGGACGTCATGAGTTAACTTCCTTCTACGAAAGATGATTTAGCAGTTACCCAATGCCACTATACACTTGCATATTTCTCTGTTCTTATAGCTTCCCAGAATCATTGCAGTATAATTTGTTTAGCTCAATATTCAATATTTATATTATTTAGACAAAATTAGAAGCAATAGAATATAGAGGTAAAGTGCACAATGTCTGGAAACAGGCTTCCTAGGTTTCATCCTAGCCCTACCCATTACTAGCTCTACCTTTGGACAAGTTATTTAACCTTTCTGTGCCTCAGTTTTCTAATCAGTAAGTAGTAGTAAATAATGAACATATTATTTAATTATATGAATGCACATAAAGCATTTAAATCAGTACCTTAAACATAACAGTACCTGTCATATAATCATTTTCATTATGTAAACACTATTCACAGCTGATCTCCACAGTATCCTGCCATTACCATTCTTTACTCTGGTGTTATTCACTATCTTGTTGTTTCATTTGTGTGGTGTTCTCTGTGTTCTTACTCTGTATCCAGACCCAAACTTTCCTAGAGTTGTGTGCATTTCTTCTCAGTGATGGTTCTTGTTTTGGATTCTCTGATTTCTTAATTACTTAATTTCTTCATTTTGATAAAATGCATCCTTCCTGAGAAGGCTATAATGAGAGGTCAATTTCTTTTTTTTTTTTTTTTTTTTTTTTTTTTGAGACAGAGTCTCGCTCTGTCGCCCAGGCTGGAGTGCAGTGGCACGACTTGGCTCACGGCAACCTCTGCCTCCCGGATTCAAGCAATTCTCCTGCCTCAGTCTCCCAAGTAGCTGAGATTATAGGCATGCGCCACCATGCCTGGCTAATTTTGTATTTTTAGAAGAGATGGGGTTTCACCATATTGGCCAAGCTGGTCTCGAACTCCTGACCTCATGATCTGCCTGCCACGGCCTCCCAAAGTGCTGAGATAACAGGCATTAGCCACCGCACCCAGACCCCAAGAGGTCAGTTTCTTGAGATGCTAGGTTGGAAATCATTTTCTTTCAGAATTTTGAGAGCAATTCTTCATTGTCTTTAACTTCTGGTGTTGCTGTTGAGAAGGCTGAAGCCATTATGATTCTTACCTGTTTTTCTCCCCATTCAGGAAGCTTGTGGGATATTTTCTATTTTCCTGTTGTTTTAAAATTTCATGATGATGTACTTTGTTGCATGAGTCCGTTATAGTCAATTTTGCTAAACCCTCAGGAGTCCCTTTTAATCTGGGAATCCTTTTTCCTTCAGCTCTGAGAAATTTAGTTAAAATTATCTCTTTAATACTGTTCTGTACTCCATTTTCACTGTTGTTCTGTCTGGAATTCTTTTTATTCATTTGTATTTGTAAGGCACTTGGACTGGTTTTCCAATTTTTTTTTTAATCTTTTCCCTTCTCTTTCCCATCTCTTTTTGTTCTACTTTCTGATTGAGTTTCTCAGTTTTATCTTCTAACCCTTCAATGGATCTTTTAATTTCTGCACCTATGTGCTTAGTTCCTGAGAATATGACTGACAGTTTTTTGGACACTTTTTTAATTTATTCTATTTTATTTTATTTTTTGAGGCGGTGTTTTGCTCTTGCTGCCCAGGCTGGAGTGCAGTGGTGCAATCTCGGCTCACCGCAACCTCTGCCTCCCAGGTTCAAGCAATTCTCCTGTCTCAGCCTCCTGAGTAGCTGGGATTACAGGCATGTGCCACCAGGCCCAGCTAATTTTGTATTTTTAGTAGAGAAAGGGTTTCTCCATGTTGGTCAGGCTGGTCTTGAACTACCGACCTCAGGTGATCCGCCTGCCTTGGCCTCCCAAAGTGCTGGGATTACAGGTGTGAGCCACTGTGCCTGGCCGGACATTTTCTTCTTTCTACATAGTCTTTCGTTTGAATTCTGTTTTACATTTGTTTCAGCTTCTGTTTTTCATGTATAATTTCCTCAAATGTTGGATGATCTCGGGTTCTCTGCTCATTTTTTAGGATAATAATGAAAAGCTGCCTGGAGCTCTGTGCCCATGAAAGGGCTTATTGAACGTGATCTTCACTGTAGAGTGATCTGACTAGACTATAGAATATTTTCCTGTGGCTGCCATAAGGACGTACCACAAGCAGTGTGGATTAAAACAACAGAAATGTATTGTCTCACAATTTCTGGAGGCTTGAAGTCCTTAATTTCATAATCAAGATGTTGACTGGGCCACACTCCCTCAGAAACCTGTTGAGGAGAATCATTCCTTGTGAATTCCTAGCTGCTGATTGTTGCCAGCACTTCAGTCTACCTCCACACTCTACCTCCATTGTCACATAGGACTCGCCCCTCATGTCTCTGTGTGTCTATTTTGCCTCTTCATCTTAAAAAGACACCAGTCACATAACTTCATTTAACTACATCTTCAATGACCCTGTTTCCAAATAAGGTCACGTTCTGAGGGATTGGGGTTTAGGACTGTGTGTTAGTCAGCTTGTGTTGCCATAACAAAAACCATGGACTGATTGACTTGAACAACAGGAATTATTTTTTCACAGTTCTGGAGACTGGAAGTCCAAAATCAAGTTGCTGCCAGGGTTGGTTTCCTGTGAGGGCTCTTTTCCTGGCTTGTAAGGCAGCCACCCTCCCATATGTCATCACATGGTCTTTCTGATGTGTGCACATGGAGAGAAATATTCCTCTTTTTCCTTTTCATATAAAGACACCAGCCCTATAGTAGGGCTTCACCCTGTGACCTCATTTAACCTTAATTACCACCATAAAGGCCCTAACTCCAAATATAGACACATTTGAAGTTAGAACTTCAACCTGTGAATTTTGGGAAAACCTAATTCAGTCTAGAGCAGATCTTAACACATCTGTTTTGGGAACACCATTCAACCCATAACAACCATTTCTTGGAAAGTTATCAATGTCTATATCTTTAGGTATTTTCTCTTGTGCCAGTCAGATTCTTCAGAGAAGACTCTTCCATTCTGAAAGGTACTTGTTTACCAGCATCCTACTAGGAGAATAAGGCTTGGGGGCGCTCAACATTCAGTTTATAAACTTTTACTCGATCCCTATTAGCCCCACTCTCAGTTGTGCTGGAGATTTGCAAATCCAGAAACCCTCTGATTCACCCCTTTCCAGAGAATAAACATAAGGGTTTCCCTGGGGAAGGAGGGACATTGACAGGCTTCTGGAATGAGAAGGTATCTTGGAGTCTCTCTCCTCCTTAAGCAGATGTACAGCCATCCTTCCTAACTTTAGCACCCCTGTCCTTTTTGTTTTGTTAGACAGGGTCTTGCTGTGTTGCCCAGGATGGAGTGCAGTGGTGCCATCATAGCTCACTGCAAGCTCCACCTCCTGGGTTCATGCGATCCTCCCTCCTTGGCCTCCCCAGTAGCTGCGACTACAGGCACATGGCACCACATCTGGCTATTTTTCTTTTCTTTTTTCTTTTTTTCTTTTTTTTCCTTTTAAGTAGGAAAAAAAAGCTGTTCTTGAGCTCCCGGGTCCAAGCTATCCATCCACCTGGGCCTCAGAAATTGCCAGGATTGTTAGGCATGAACCACTGCACCCAGCCTCTGTAACCCTTTTGACCAGGAATTTTGCCACCATTTCTTTTGGCGAGCTCTGCAGTGTAGAGTTAAGTTGCTTCTCAGTTTTTCCCCCTGCCAGCTTGCTGTTCAGTTTTCTCAGGTCTCCTAACTCAGTTACTACTCATCCATTTCCTTCCTGGTTCCAAAATTCTTATGTTCTCTTCTATATTCTTCTGAGCTTATGCTGTCTTTAAAAATCACTTTACTGTTGTTTTAATATTTGTAGAGGGAGTGGAACTGAATATGTATATTCAGTTTACCATCTTTACCCAAATTTCCAAATTGACTTTGTGAGTGGGATACTTGCAGTTGAGTTACTCTGTGGTATGTATGTATGTATGTATTTATGTATGTATTTATTTATTTAAAGTCGGAGTCTTGCTCTGTCACCCAGGCTAGAGTGCAATGGTGTGATCTCAGCTCAGTGCAACCTCCACCTCGCAGGTTCAAGCGATTCTCTTGCCTCAGCCTCCCGAGTAGCTGGGATTACAGGCACCTGCCACCACACCCAGCTAATTTTTGTATTTTTAGTAGAGACGGGGTTTCACCATGTTGGCCAGGCTGGTCTCAAACTCCTGACCTCGTGATCCGCCTGCCTCAGCCTCCCAAAGTGCTGGGATTACAGGCGTGGGCCACAGCGCCCACCCGATTTACTCTATAATATTAAGTAAGACTTATTATACCCTTAACATTGGTTTTTAAATGTGTTCACTTAGGAAATAGATTTAAAGTAATATATGGCCGGGCATGGTAGCTCACACCTATATCTCAGCACTTTGGGAGGCCGAGGTGGATGGATCAATCGCTTGAGTCCAGGAGTTTGAGACCAGCCAGGGCAACTTGGTAAAACCCCGTCTCTACCAAAAAAATACAAAAATTATCCAGGTGTGATGGTACACGCCTGTAGTCCCAGCCACTTGAGAGGTTGATGTGGGAGGATCGCTCAAGCATAGCAGTTCAAGGCTTCAGTGAGCCAAGATCATGCCACTGCACTCCACCATGGGCAAGAGAGCAAGACCCTGTCTCGAAACATAAAAATAAAAATAAAGTAATACATACTGTCGTTTTTTCAATGCTTGAAAATAACTTTAACATTTAATTGTAGCTGACATACACTGAATTCATGTGTGCTTACTTAAATTAGGTTATTATTTCTTTATAAACCTAATTTTTCATATGTCATGTTTACTATTTTATATGTAATATATACAGCATATCACTTCACTGGTAAAGTAACTGGTACTGTTATAATCATCAAGTGTTTTATATTCTTCACTATGTGTTTTTTTTTGGGGGGGGGGAGATGGAGTCTCTCTCTGTCACCCAGGCTAGAGTGCAATGGCGCATCTCAGCTCACTGCAACCTCTGTCTCCCTGGTTCAAGCAGTTCTCCTGCCTCAGCCTCCCGAGTAGCTAGGTTTACGGTCACCCACCACCACGCCCAGATAATTTTGTATTCTTAGTAGAGATGGGGTTTCACCATGTTAGCCAGGCTGATCTCAAACTCCTCACCTCAAGTGATCTCCCCACTTCAACCTCCCAAAGTACTGGGATTACAGTCCTGAGCCACCACACCGGGCCCTTCATTGTGTTTTCTAAAAACAATTTCTGATCACCTGGGGATTATTACAACAGATCTAACTTTAGGAAAGTAAGTATTAAATTTGAATAAGATTATATAATAGGGGGATTTAAATTAAATGCCTAACAGAGTTTCATCCAAAATTTTAGAATGTGAATTCAAGGAACTCTTGACCCTTCTGAAGTAAATTGAAAGCATTTCCACAGTGTTCACACTAGGATGTAGCTAGCCAACTCACAGCTGCCTGTCCTCTTTTAGCTTCCAATGAAAATGCTTTGGAAAACATACACATAGAAAAAGAAATTCTCACAGTAATACTTAAACCTAAGAGGCTAAGCAATCAGGCTTTTGCTAAAATCTAGGAAGAATGTTACCAACTGTAGTGCCAATGGAAATGGATTTTTTAAACCATTTTAAATGGGACTGAAACAGTTGTTTCCATTAAAGGAAATGTTGCTAAGAAGTAAGTTGGAGGGAGGCCTAGCCACCCCCACCCTAATCCCTAGTGATGGAATAGTTTAAAACCATAAAAGCTACAATAACCAGAAAACTCAACTGCTACCACCCTCACTGCAGGGAGACCTGAATTCAGAGGCAGCCAGTGTTTGCCTTCCCTTTTTCAGAAAACATAGCCTCACTACTTTGAAGAAAATACCAGTAATTTCCACACAGGAGAAATAATCATTGACTATAAGAGAAATCAACAATGTAGTAATAAACTAATTATAAAAAATTGAAATGATAGTAATATATATCATAATTTATATTCTTGACTATAATAGCTGGTTTTCGTTGTTGTTGTTGTTGTTGTTGTTTTGAGGTGGGGGGGTGGTATTGCTCTGTCGCCCAGGCTGGAGTGCAGTGGTGTGGTCAAACTCACCACAGCCTCAACCTCCTGGGCTTCAGCTATCCTCCAACTTCAGCCTCCTCAGTAGCTGGGACTCCAGATGTGTGCCACCACGCCCATCTAATTTTTGAATTTTTTCTAGAGACGGGGGTCTCACTATGTTGCCTAGGCTGGTCTCAAACTCCTAGATTCAAGTGACCTTCCCACTTCAGCTTCTCAGAGTGCTGGAATTACAGGTGTGAGCCACTGCATCCAGCTATAATAGCTTTAAAAGACTATTTTGAAAAGGAAGGAAGAAAAATCAAAAGAATCTGTAAGAAATGTAGCATGAATAAAGCAATATAAGAGCAAAAAATAAAAACAAAATCAGGTAAATTAGTGTATCTAGGAGTTTCTTTGAATAAGTTTAATAAGATAAACACTTGAAATAACTAAGGTATAGGGTAAGATAGAAAAGGACTGAAAAAAATGAAAAACAAGAAAAGAGTTTAAGCAAGCAGTACTAAATTTAAGTGACATAGAAAATATTAAACTACCTATAATTTTTATTAAAAAATGGGCCAGGCACAATGGCTCATGCCCGTAATCCCAGCACTTTGGGAGGCCAAGGCAGGAGGATCATTTGAGCCCAGCAGACCAGCCTGGGTAACATAGCAAGACCCTACCTCTACAAAAAAAATAAAAATAGCCGGGCATAGAGACATGTGCCTACAGTGCCAGCTGCTTGGGAGACTAAAACAAGAGAATCACCTGAGCCCAGGAGGCTGAGGCTGCAGTGAGCTGGGATTATGCAACTGCACTCCAGCCTGGGGGACAGAGTGAGACCCTGCCTCTAAACAAATTAAAAAGAGTATTTTCTAATAATATCAGATAGACCTATTTTTTCCTTTTCAGCTAAAGATTATATTATTTATGCAATGACATTTCCCCTTTCACACAATACTGGGATCTGTCTTTGGAATACCCAGACATGTACATCATCTTTCCATTATGTAATTTTAAAAATATAGTGCTTTACCAACTACAGCTGTAATAATCAGATTGTCAACCAGATTGCCATCACACCGTGAAAGGTCCTCCTAAAAATATAAAAGCTAGAGCTATTCCTGAAGATTGTAGCTAAATACATAAAATAAAATCACTCTCCAAAACGTCATAACTTTAAAAGCACCCAAAATGTAATGGAAATGTAAAATGATAAAGTTTTTTTGAAAAACTATAAAAAAATTAAAATGCATTGAAATGTATTATACAAATATTTACCTTAAATTTTGTCTCTTGGCTACGTGTGGCAACTCACGCCTGTAATCCCAGCACTTTGGGAGGCTGAGGTAGGAGGATTGCTTGAGCCCAGGAGTTTGAGACTAACCTGGGCAACATAGCAAGACTCTGTCTCTACAGAAAATAAGGAAAAATTAGCTGGGCGTGGTGGCATGTGCCTATAGTCCCAGCTACTCAGGAGGCTGAGGGAGGAAGATCGCTTGAGCCCAAGAGTTCCATGCTGCAGTGAGCTATGATTGTGCCACTGCATTCTAGCCTGGGTGACAGAGCAAGACCCTGTATTTAAAAAAAAAAAAAACTCTTGCTATTAGAAGAGAGTTTTTAAATTGTATTTTTAAAAATTCTTTTATCTGCTCAATTGTTAGCTATGAACAGTGCCTCTGAGAAGTATGCTAAAGGTTCAGCTCCTTTTTTTTTTTTTTAGCTTTTTGGTATTTTTCTTTTAAATGATGATGTGCCCAAACAGTATTATGAAACTAAGGGTACATTTTAAATGTTTACACTGAACAGATTATCTCACAATACCAAGTTTGTCTTTTCTCTAAACCCAAGGCTCTTACATTCTCTTCGGAAATGGCACCACCTTCCTCTAGTTGATATTGTCAGAACATGCACAGCACAGCCTCTCACTGCAGTGCTTCTCAAAATTTAATGATCATGCCAGTCCCCTGGGATTCTGCTAAAATGCAGATTCTGATTTAATAGTTCTGGCCTGAGCTTCAGATTCTGCATTTCCAACAGGCTTCCAGGTGATGCCAGTGCAGCTAGTCTGTAGACCACAGTTCACATCACAAAGATTCTGTGCATGTCCTCAACTCTGGTTACATATCAAAACCACTGGAGGAGCTTGACTTTTAAACATCTGTCTGCCCTCTCTCTGCACCTTGTGATAATGAGGCCTCAGAATCTATATAACTGTTTGTAATCACCACATGATTCCTATCCACAGCCAAGTTGAAAACCACTGATTAAGCAGTATATTATTTTATTGTGGCACTCAGGCAACCCTTCACTACACCTTTACTACACTGTGTGCTTTTAAAAACATATATGTTGATGTAAACGAATAGTTGATTTTAGAAACATCTTATGTAAATTGATTGATTAACAACTTGGAATATATTATAGAAAAATAATATTTTAGTAAAATTAACTATAAGATACAATTAGGGGAGTAAGGCTATTGAGTAGGACTTCCTCCTAGTTTCCATTTTTTGTGGCTGGCTCTAGACCAAATGTCTCCGTCAGTGAAGTGTCCCTTTATAATCACCCACCCTTCTTTCATAGCTTTCTGCAGCCTCTGTGTACCTGTTTCCTTAGGCCTCCACTGTGGCACTCAGGCAGCCCCTCTTTACCCATGTATCCTGTATTCTGTGCTCCGTTACTTGCTGCCCTCCCACTATCTCCCACTCACCTAAATGTGAACTTTCTCTCTGTGTGGTTGATTGCACATGCCTTTGAAGAGAAGTAATTTGATAACACAGGTTTGTTCTCGGTCATGATGGAGATTTTGTCTTCCTGGAGTTTTTTTTCTTTTTTGTTTTGAGATGGAGTCTCGCTCTGCCACCCAGGCTGGAGTGCAGTGGCACGATCTCAGCTCACTGCAACCTCCGCCTCCCGGGTTCACGCCATTCTCCTGCCTCAGCCTCTGCCTCCCAAGTAGCTGGGACTACAGGCGCCCACCACCACACCCAGCTAATTTTTTGTATTTTTAGTAGAGACGGAGTTTCACTGTGTTAGCCAGGATGGTGTTGATCACCTGACCTCATGATCCGCCCACCTCAGCCTCCCAAAGTGCTGGGACTACAGGCGTCAGCCACGGTGCCTGGCCCCCGGAGTTTTTTTTCTATCAGTCTTTGCTTTCTCAGGAAGACCATGTGGTCCTACTATTATAAGGGCCAGTTCTTGACATTTAAATACTTACTGTATGTTTAAAGTATGCTGTCAAACCTACTATAAAGCAACAGTAGTATATAGGGGCTGTTATGTTCCCTAAAGAATGGAATTTTTCATTTACTAAGTCAGCCATAGCCTTGCCAGACACCTAGAGAATGAAGCATCTCTTTTGGTGGCTCGGTTAATGTCCTTTGTGGAAGGAGCCAGATGGAGTCGACTGTGTGAAGTTAGATAAGGCCTAGGTGCCTAAGAAGTGGGACCAAGACCAAGAGAAAGAAGGAAGTAGGATGACAGTTTGGTATGGGAACTAAGATAACCAGTAGGATGGCTGTGTAGTCCAGTCTATATTTGAATAGTCTTTTTTCCCATGCTAAAATCCCGAGAAATTCTGTGTGGTCCTGTTAAAAGGGAACTGTGTCTCTTACAAATGCTTATTATCCCAAATAAATCAATAGAACTTTAAATAATATAAAAAGTGAAGTATGAATTCTCAGCCAGTGTTGATGGAGAGAGTTATTTTGGGACTGAGAAGTCATTCCTTCCTAAATTCTGCTCCTGGGAACAGTTCCCTTAAGCAGTTCCTGATTTTTGCATCTTTAACACTTCTTTTAAATTAATTATCATCTAATTTTTTAACATATCTGTACTTTCCCATCTCTCAAGTTTCTTAGACTCTACTGAGGTCAGGGTTGAGATATATAAGGCTTCTCTGATTCAAGGGCACTGGGGAAGACCAGTGCAATGTTGCGACAGAGGTATCCATTTCTATATACAGTCGGCCCCATTTTAACTCACTGTAACACCAGATACATTTATATAATGTGAGGCTTTCTCCTTCAGAGCAACAGGATATTCTGTGAGGTATTTGGCAGTGATAATTAGAAACTGCAGGTAAACAATGTTGCTGCCAGTTCCGCATCTGAAAGTAGAACTCCCAAGTCATTGGTGTACTGGGGAGGTGCTGACAGTTAAAACCTGCTTAGATGGGCATGGGGGGAGAAGTACCCCAAAGTTGAGGGAGCTCACATCAATCCTAAGCTAACATATTCACCCCCAACACATGCCCCATCTTTTTAAAAAAAAAAAAAAAAAAAACTATTTTCAGCCACAGTCTCTAGTCACTTTGGATTTAACTTCAAATAGCTTTTTTTCAACCATGCCTCTAACTTGGCACAGCTCTGAGAAAAAATCCCGTAACCAAGCCATCTGGGTTGGATAAAACAGGGAGCTTTTCTATTTGATTTCTCACATTTTGTTCCTCTTTGTTTTTAATGATGGAGTGGGGGGGGAATCATTATGAAGTAACCAAATTATTGGATAAGTTAGTGAATCGGGAATAGATCTTTTCAACTCTATACTGTCTCTAAAAAAATCTGTATCAGAGGATCTCTCTGTTGTCTCTGAAATGTGGTGTAGAATGAATGTTTTGGGTGAATTGACTTGAGTGGGTAACAAGTAATGGTCAGAAAATAAAGTTCTCATTGGGTGGTCTGAAATTCAGCAGTGTTTATTTCTTTTTAGACTCAGCAGAGATTTTTTTTTTCCAGTGAAGCATATTTTAACATGTTATGCTCTGGATTTACTTAGTATGGTTTTAAGTGAATCATTAGGCATGTGTGATTTTTCATTTTTTCTTAAAGACCAGCATTAATAGCTTCATAATTCAAAGAGTCTGTAATTAAGAGAGTTTGAAGAGTTGTTTAAACTCTGTTAACTTTGAAAAAATAGGCTATTTTATATGTGATAAACTGCTGCTTGCAGTTCAGAGTTACTTGTTGGGATTGTGTATCAATTCAGACCTTAAAATGTAAGAGTGGAAGCCATCCTCTGTGCTTGCTTTCCAGGCACAGGGTGCTAGGTACTGAGAATATGAAGATGAACAAGGCACTTTTGATCCCTATTTGTTGTTACAGTCAAATGGCAGGGGTGGTTGTTACATAAACCAACCATATGGATATGTTACAAAGGAAAAGTACGGTACACAGAGATTATATATGATCTCTGGAAGGAGTCAGGGTAATTAGGAAAGGCTTTCTTTTGGAAGTAAAGAAATTTTATTTATACAAGGCAGTGAATAATATGTAATGTAATAAAATACTAGTAGTTATATATTAAATCAGACATTGTGCTGGTAATCACCTATTCTTATCCTTCTATGTTATACTAATCCCCCCATGAAAGCTTTGTGGGTGTAGGAAAACCTTGACATCAAGGTTTATGACTATCTCATGTCAAAGGTTTTGTTTGTAGTAGGCCCTAAGTAATGTTTATCAAATTAATATATCACATTTTTTCTTTTTATTATACAAGTGTAAATTATTACAATTATAACATTTAACTTTATCATTGCTATCATAATGTCTCACTGGTCATAGCATAACAAGTTATATAAAGGTATCATTTAAGAAAAATACTTTGAAGTTAATATGCCATTACTGCTATTATCTATGGCTCTTATAAATCTACAGCAGTGTACCTCCAACCATACCATATTTCCTTGTATACTTGGGGCCTGGGTATTGTTCTCAATTTCTGTGATGGAAATCCTGAGGATCATTTTACAATTGCAGCTTACTTTTTGTTTGCTTTATTTGTTTATCCTGGGATCTAAATCAATTTCATAAAAGTTTTCTCTAAGAATGTAAATCATAGAATCTTGTTTTATTGAAAATGTTAAGAGATCATGAAATGAAGCTAACTCTTCATTTGGCATTAGGGTAGGTAAATGCATACCTATTAAATGAAGCATGGTTTTCTTGATAGTAAATTTAGCCTAGGAGTATGTTCATTTTACAGTATTCACTCCAGCTTTAAATATCCTCTAATTCCTTTGAGAGAGTGAAGCTAAGAACTCTATCACATGACCGTCTGGATTTCTGAAATGCTAAGTCTTTATAAAAGCCTTATGGATTTGAGTAATAATAAAGCAAGTGCTGGCTTGTTAAGTAGGCTAATCTGATCCATGCACTATATAAATCAGAATGTAATTTTAAATACTATGACTTTATATCGCAGATGACTCCATATTCTTCAAAAGAACTTGCCTAATTATAAGAGCATATTTCCTTGGAAAATCAATTTCTTTTGATTTTTAAATGACTTTAAGATTCCATTTGAGGATTATTTTACTTATATATTTTTATTTTAAATGAAAATATTCATCACATTTCTTTAGTCACAAAAAATATAGTAGGTAAAGTGCTCCAGTAGTGAAAATGATTGCCATTTCATTGTGACCACTTTCAAGAGAAGTTTATTACCAAATAATTAGAAAAAAAATGGAAATTATAATCTCACTTGTTAAGTTAACCCAGTTCATTCGTTCTTTTTTTAAAAAATTAATTTTTTATGGTAGGGGTAGAGATGGGGTCTTGCTGTGTTGCCCAGGCTGGTCTGGAACTCCTGTGCTCAAGCAATCCTCCCACCTAAACCTCCCAAAGTGCTGGGATTAAAAGCATGAGCCACGACACCCGGCTTATTAATTCTTTTAATAAGTATTTTTGAGCTTCTGTTTTGTGCCAGGTACTGTACAAGGCATTAGATACACTCTTGGCAAAGAAAACAAAGTAAGCAAAATAAAACATCAAACATCTTTGTTTATAGAGTTTTCCTACTGACGTTTATGCATGTTTTTTTTTTTTTTGCATTTTATTCACTGGCCTCCCACTCAGAATATATTTACTTGAAATATTGTGCCTATTTCTAACAAGTTCATTTATCTGATTTCTTGGCCTATTGAAAGTAGAAGAGGATTGCTGCTGAAACCATGTAGACTGAATGCAGATGATAGCTAACAAATTCACACAGACTTCACACTTGCCAAGGGATCACAATAATAATTTAAAATGGTATTCCTCTAGCTCTGCCTCTGTCTGCTGCATGAGAACATCAATCCTTCCTACCCTTCATTTCTTTCCAAAATACTTCCCTGAGGATATCTCAACCACAGTTGCTTAAAATGTGGTCCCCTTCTCCATTTCTCAATCATTGTAGCACTGTCACGACCAGTCCGGGCATTAGCCCTGCCACAGATGGCAGCTAATAGTACTATGACCAGTGCCTAACTAATTCTGGAACCACTGCTGCTGTGGCCTTGCTCTCTCATTATTACAGAGATTAGTGTAACCTCTTATACTGCGGTAGGCTAAGCCGCTATGATCATAGTATGTAACAATAATGCAATGACTGAAGAACTATAGAAATCTATTTCTTTTTCACATAAAAGTCCTGGTTAGGTGCTCATTTCATCAAGAAGTTCTCCCCACACAACTATTAATATTTGAAAACTCAGATTCTACCCATCTTCAACACATAGCTTCCAAGGGTGCTCTGCTCCCTGCCATCCCAGCCAGTAGGAAGGAAGAGCAAGTGGAAGAGACACCCCCACTTCTCAAAAGCCTCACCTCATATTCTTTTGGTGAGAACTCAACAGATTCCTCATCTACCTGCAAAGAGGGGCTGAGGAACCCAGGCCCTGGCTCAGCCATTTTCTAGCCACACTCTGTCATTCTACCTTTTATGGACAGCAGTACATCATATCCATACTTCTCTTGTTTCATTGTCCTAGACTTTTCATACTTGTTTCATTGTCCTAGACCTTTCATTATAGCCCTTGCACCAGCACCCAGAACTGGTGAAGGCACCATTGGTCATAGTCTGTTCCAGGTCTTCCCTAGACAGCTCCCTTTCCCATCCTTAAAAACATCTTTTCTAAACATTTACTGCTGTTGTGAAATCCACTCACCTTCCCACTCATGTCCAGCCTTAACAGCTAATATGCCGCCTACTGCAGAGTAAAGGTAGAGGGCCTAACCCATGAACCCTTCAACTCTCTTCTGGACACAGCCACTCTTTTCTTCCTTTCTATCTGTCCCAGAGGAAGAGGTATCCCTGCTTCTTTCTTGAGCCCACTCTTTTCCCTCTGTGTTCCTAATCTTATTCTTGTCTATCTCATCCAGGATCTTGTTCCATTAAATATTCCTGCTTTCTCATAATTTGAATCTCATTATCTCTCCAGTATAACGTTAAATCCTTGAGAACATAAACATGCTTTCGTGTTGCTTCATGCTATTTTTTATTCCTTCTCCTTAAAAAAAAAAGATATCTTAAAAGATTAATTTATATGTACTCATCATGTTTTTACCTCCTATCTACTTTCTAGCCTTTTGCAGTTCTTACCAAAAGGAACACATTAAGCTATGTGCATTCCCACATTCATTCACCAATCCATCAACATACATTTATTTACACCTTTTATGCCAGGCACAGATGATTCATCAGTGATCAAAATAAAAGTCTTTGTCATCATGGGGTTTACATTCTACTAGGGAAAAAGCAGAGGAAGAGGGGAAAGCAAATATTTGTTAGATGTGCTTATGATATGTGATACATGCTAAAGAGAAAAATAAAGCAGAATAAGGAAGTTAGGATTTTGATATTTTAAAGAGGGTAGTCAGGAAACGCCTCTCTGATAGGAGATATTCGAACACAGACCTGAAGCAAGTGAGCAAGCTCTTCACATGGATAACTGGGGGAAATGCATTTTAGACAAGGAAACAGCATGCAAAAGGCCTCGAGGCAGGAGCATATCAGCACATACCAGGGCCAGTAAAAGAGCAGGTGTGGCTGAAGCAGAACAGAACAGGAGGTGCAGTAGCAGGTGAGGGCAGAGAGATTGCTGGAGCCACGTAGATACACAGGGCTTTCCAGGCTATAGTAAGCAATGATTGGGAACCATGGGAGGGGTTTGAGCAGAGGAATGGCATGATTTGGCTTCTGTTTTAAGTAGGCACCCTGACTGTTGTATGCAGAATAGAGTCAAAAAAATGGAGTGACCAGTTAGGATGCCACTGAAATAATCCAGACAGGAGGTGATGGTCATTTGAGCTGACGAGGTAATGAAAAATGATTTCTATTCTGGGTGTTTCAAAGGGCTAACAGGTTTAGTAGTGCTGGAACCTTCTATTTTCCCCTCCAGTGGAGCTTTTCCTCCACTCTCCATACTTCTCTGCCCGGCTGCTTATGGCCCAGGAGACTGGTCTATACAGGCTGGATCATCTCTGGCCTCCTTTGGGTTTGGCCCATGAGAGGCCCCTGCACAAGATCAGAAGACAGGAAAAGCATGAGGTCACAATATTTGTTCTCCTAGCCCCCTCACTGCCACCACCAGTTAGCTGTGACCGTGGCTCTCACCTGCTTACCATCTTTGGGTTCCAGGAAGCCTTTTCCTCCCCTACCTCCTTCTCACCTAGATATAATACCAGTTCCTGCAGTGGCTTGCTCAGGGGCACGCCACTATACTTTATTGGTGTTCTTGAACCTTGCACACAGATTTATAAATAATCCCTTTAGTAAGCTTTCCTCCAAATATTGGGATTTTGACCCATACTGGGAGCTAGGACGTCTAATGTACTAAGAACAGCAGAACATCTTTTTTTTTTTTTTTTTTTTTTTTTTGGAAACGGAGTCTTGCTCTGTTGCCCATGTTGGAGTATAGTGTCATGATCTCACCTCACTGCAGCTTCCACCTCCTGGGTTCAAGCGATTCTCCTGCCTCAGCCTCCCAAGTAGCTGGGATTACAGACACGCACTACCATGCCCGGCTAATTTTTGTATTTTTAGTAGAGAGGGGGTTTCACCATGTTGGCCAGGCTGGTCTGGAACTCCTGACCTCAAGTGATCCGCCCACCTCAGCCTCCCAAAGTGCCAAGATTACAGGCGTGAGCCACCGCACCTGGCCCAGAACATCTTTTTAAATTAGGGACGGGATCTCATTATATTGCCCAGGCTGGCCTCGAATTCCTGGGCCAAAGCAGTTCTCCACCTCAGCTTCCCATGTAGCTTGAACTACAGGTGCACTCACGCATTTTAAAAATCATGGTTATTTACTTGTTTTTCTGCCCAGTGAAATGTTGAATCCTTGAGAATGGAACTATCATGTTTATGTTTCTATTCCCATGCCATGAGGCAGGTAGGATTTGCTTACAGTTGAATCAGTGAGTGTTATTTTTAATGTTGCCACCTGAGTCCTCAAGAATTGACTAAATTATGTTTTACATGAAAGATTAATGAAAAGGAGGGTATATGTGCATGTGTCCCCATCTTAGTGCTTATAGGTGTAAACTTCACCTTGTTGGATAATTAAGTTCTCTGGGATCAAGGAAATTTTTTTTTTTTCCTTGACTTGTGTATAGTTATCGACTAGGCTACATAGAAGGGAGGTGCAGAATATTCAGGCAATTCCTATGTTATGTGAGCCTCCTATAATACAAGCCCCCTTTCTGAAAATGAACTGTCATCTGGGTTGAAATTGTGCACCACTGGGAATGGGGGACTTGTAGATTGACAAGGGCCAAAGGGACTTTTAAGGAAATATTGGGTATAGCTTTCTCATTATTCATTGTTCTTGTGAAGATATCTAAACAACAGTTTGTTGATTTTACCAATTGTTTCCGAACTGGAAAGAAATACGATTTGTTCTCACTTCCCCGATAATATATTTCTATCAATAAAGTTAGTAACCTTTTTTCCCAGTAGCTTAAAAGGTGATTTGTGATTTATTAAAGTCACTTGATAAATTACTGACTTCTATTTACATATTTTAACAGCAATTCTTTATATTATATTTGGTTACATATGTTTATAAGATAGTGTATTGGTTTCCTTTCAATTTTTTGGTATTAATACTACATTCTGTTATCAATGTTTTTTGTTGATCTAAAGAATATTTCCTTTATCTTCACATACATTTAGGTTTTGTGTTTTTGTTTTTGTTTTTTTTTTTTTTGACCTTGACTTCTTTCTGCTATTTCTTTTGAGCAAAACCTTAAACAGCAGGCTGAATGGCCTTGAGGTGTAGTTTTAATAAAAGCATCACTGAGTAATCATTTGGTATAAACTCCCAACCAAATACATTAATGGAAAAAAAGAAAGCAATATATTTTCAAGGTTAACTTTCTTTATGGTTGCTTCCATGAATAATACATGGTCATTGAATTTATTTAATTTTTGCCTGTATTCAACTATATTTAAGGTTCATATTTCTGATGAGAACAAAAAAAATCATAGGTTCAAGAGACCAAATTGTCAAAGAATTTATTAATTAAAGACAAATTAAAGCCATGGGGTTTGCATATGTAGAACTGTAGTCAATTCACCAGGAAAATGCCTAGAAATACCCTATTGATTAGATAGTTTGCTGTTGGGTATTTAACTAAAAGTTGAAGCCTTTTCTCTCTCTTTTATTTTTGACACTATTAAATATTCTCACAACCTAAACAGATAATTTTTACTTTCTTAGGAAAAAACATATATTTTAAAGCACATATTTATTTTGTGAGTTTTAAAATTAATTTGATGACTTCATCTGAAAATTGAATAAGCACTTAACTGAAGCACAGCTACTTTTGAAATCTTCAGAATGTGCAGCAGCTCTAATTCATTCCACAATTCGTCATTCAGGGAATGTCAGCAAATGGCTACCGTCTGTACAGTCCTTTTGCCTCTACTCAACCCTATTAACAAGTAAATTAAAACAATTTGTGGAGCATTACTTATAGTTGTTATCCCCTTGGAAGATCACAACCATCAACACAGTTGTAAAATAATGAAAACGTGAAATAATGAAAAATAGAAAGTAGTTACTTAAATGCTTTTATTTTTCTGTGAATTTATTAAATTTTCTGTGAAGTGAGCCATATTTCACTTAAGCCTCCACTTTCCTGGGAAAGGAGGTGATAATATGTACACTGAGGTCTCTGTGCTGAGTACTGGAGAGGGAGAGAGCCAGGAAATCCTAGAGAACTGGAGAGACTGGTCTGATGGCAGCCGCTTGTTTAAAAAGCTGCATCCTTTGGGCTTCAAGGTGGACTGTTCCTCCTTCAGCCATTTCCTAGTGCAGTGATCTTGAGCAACTTATTGATTTTGGCCCTTTGTAAAATGAGAGGAGTTCACCATATTACTTATTTTCAAACCCTTCTCATAGAACACAAGGGTTTCTTAGAGTCTCCCCAAGAGTCTAGGGCAGTATAAATGAGAGACTCAGCCAGAACAGTTTCTCTTGTAATGTATTTACAGGGTTTTTTGTTTTTTGTTTTCGGTAAAGGGTTGTTTAGTTTAAAAAAGCATGATGATTCCCCAAATCCCTGCTAGCTTAACAAAAAAGCACACGGTTCAGTTTGTAGTCATTTTTTCCTTCGTTTCTTTTTAGGAGGGAGGCCTATAGTCAGGATTGACTCTAAAAGATAACCTTATGGGCCGGGCGCGGTGGCTCATGCCTGTAATCCCAGCACTTTGGGAGGCTGAGGCAGGCAGATTGTCTGAGGTCAGGAGTTCGAGACCAGTCTGGCCAACATGGTGAAACCCCGTCTCTACTAAAAATACAAAAAAATTAGCCAGGCATGGTGGCGTGCGCCTGTAATCCCAGCTACTCAGGAGGCTGAGGCAGGAGAATTGCTTGAACTAGAAAGGTGGAAGTTGCAGTAAGCCGAGATTGCACCACTGCACTCCACCCTGGGCGACAGAGCAAGACTCTGTCTCAAAAAACAAAAACAAAAACAAAAACCTTATGAATACAGCTGAGAAGTGAAAGTACTAAATTAGTGTTTGGATTTGGAAGGACTGAGGGAATGAACTCATACAAGAGCATCATTTCCTCTTTTAGAAACAGGTAGGGAGGGGCCGGGCGCGGTGGCTCACGCCTGTAATCCCAGCACTTCGGGAGGCCGAGGCGGGTATTCATATTTCACATTACAATTGCTTCAGAAGTTATTCATGGCTATTTTCTATTGGGTTGTTCATGTAAATAGACAATTGAAAAAGCTATTTGAGTTATCATTTTATATTGCCTGCGAAATACCCAAACAAGCATCTGTATTAAAACTAATAGGTCAATTTCCCAGTTATATATAAGGACCTAAATTTTTTTGTCACTCATGAGGTGAGAACAAGGAAAGTGGTAGTCATCCTTGGACCCTACATTGGGCAGTTTCTCACATCTTCTCTCTCTGCCTGGTATAATGGGTTAAGCAATTCCAGAGTCAGGCAACCTGGACAGAAATCCTACCCAAATGACTTCTCTTTTACCTCTCTGTGCCACTGTTTTCTTATCGATGATGGAATTAATTATATTTCCTACTTTGTAAAGGTTGTTACAGGGATTAAATGAATTAATTTATGTTATATGTTTATCAACGTAATTCCTCGCCCCCTGGTTGGCATGGCATTGTGTATTTGCTGTTATTACTACACAGAAAAGCAGAGATTTTAATCGTACGTGAAACTCCAGTGCACTTGAGAGACAAGAAACTCTGTGTACTGAGGTCGATGAAAAAATATAAATTTGGGAGAATTAACTCAGAAAACATTAATCTGGCATGCTTCTATGAGAAGGATAGGTCCCAAGAGAAGGCAGAGTGCCAGGGACCATTCAGCATGCCCTGACTCAGAAGAGATTAAAACGTCCTGAACTACCATTGTGGAATTAGAGTGGAAGAAGGAGAAAGATGTGTGAGAGATTACAGGCTTACATCAGGGGAAGAGGAAGAAGATTAACCTTATGCTGTCCACCTGGGTAACTAGCATTATGGCTGCATCATTAATAGAAGTAAGAAGCCCAGGATTGTTGTTTGCTTTCTGAACAATTTATATATATTGGGAAATAAGGAATATAAAATTTTAAAGACTAATAAAGATTAAATATAGTCTTATACTATATTATTTATGTAACAATTAAATAGCTAAGGCCAGGCATGGTGGCTCATGCCTGCAATCCCAGCATGTTGGGAGGCCGAGACGGACAGATAGCTTGAGCCCAAGGAGTCCGATACCAGCAGGGCAACATGGCAAAACCTCATCTCTACAAAAAAAAAAAAACCAAAAAAAATTTAGCCAAGTGTGGTGGTGCACACCTGTAGTCCCAGCTACTCGGGCAGCTGAGGCAAGAGGATCACTTGCACTGGAAGGTCAAGGCTGCAGTGAGTCATGATCGTAATTGTACCACTGCACTTCAGCGTACCCTGTCTCTACAAAAAATAAAAATAAATAAATAACTTATAGTCTTCATAAAGAAGCAAGTAGATAACGTCTTTTAAAGAACTTTCTTCCAATTAAGAAAAATATTTCCTGTTTTCCCAATTCCTTGATTTAGATTCCTAGATTATATTGTATCAAGTCCCAGAGATTTGTTAATCTTTGCTCCTGCTATCCCAAGACTGTTGATGTAGTAATGTAAAGAACTCAAACATAAAACCTGTTGAAAATTAAACCATCACTTTCTGCGTTTGACCCAACATACTATGTATCCAGAAATACATACATAATATGAAATTATTATGAAATCCAGAAATACATACATACATACATATTATTCAGAGTTGCAAATAATTTTCATCTGTTGTTTCATGAGTATTTTTATTATTTCCAGGTTCGATGGATGATGTACTGGATTGTTTTTGCTCTCTATACTGTGATTGAAACAGTAGCCGATCAAACAGTTGCTTGGTAAGTTTTACTATTGAGAAGGGGCCAGACTACAGACTCATAATCAGGTGTCCTAAGTTCTTATCCTGCTCTTGCTATTAACTGAGTGATTTTCATCAGGTTACCTAATTATCCACCCATTTGTTTTTGTCATCTGCTTTCCCATAGAACACTACTTTCCTTTTAGTCCCCATCAAATAAAGGCAGCTCATTTTCCTCCCCATACGCCGCTCCCTGCTCACCTCCCACACACCTTCCCCCAGTATCTTGGAATAGGGAAAGTTGATTGTCATCATCCTTTTCTGCACTGATGACTTCAGAACATTTTCCTGTATCACTTCCTAAATGACTCCACTTTTGAAGCCCACAGCATCTGGTTTTAGCACCCCTCCCTATCCTATCCTTAAAACTCTCATCTACAAACATTTGAACTGGAAAACGTCAGCACCCACGTGGACACCCACTCAGCACTAGCTTCCTGGCTGCTCTGTTCCAAATAGACGAGGCAAAATTAAAGTGTGTTTATATCCTCAGGGATTTGACATTTTACCAAGGAGCAGTACTTAACTGGACAACTCAAATCTCCCTGTGGTGTATTTCAGTAGTGCATTTCCATCTAAACCCTGCAATCACTTTGAGAACTTCTCCTTTCAAAATATTTTGGTTTACTACCTTGCTGATATCTTCATCTGCCCTTGACGCACAAACCTTCTGTCTAAATTAGCCTAACAATTACTCGTCTTTTTTTTCTTTTTTTTTTTTATACAAGGTCTTGCTCTGTTGCCTAGGCTAGAGTGCAGTGGCACGATCTCGGCTCACTGCAACCTCTACCTCCCGGGTTCAAGCGATTCTCCTGCCTCAGCCTCCCGAGTAGCTGGGATTACAGGCACATGCCACCATGGCCTGGCTAATTTTTGTATTTTTAATAGAGACGGGGTTTCACCATGTTAGCCAGGCTGGTCTCGAACTCCCAACCTCAGGTGATCTGCCTGCCTCGGTCTCCCGAAGTGCTGGGATTGCAGGCATCAGCCATTGCACCCAGCTAAAATGACTCTTTTTTACTTCTTTAACTGGGCTGCTAAATTCAGCTGAAAAAATTAATCAGCTGCTCACATAGGTATCAGCTTGAACCTCATTCTTTTTACTTGCTCCTGGTCAGTGTCTACTTACATTTTGTCTGGGTCTGTTTCAAACCTTTACTATTCTCTCCTTAAGCTGTCTTTCCCATTTTGCTCTTCTCCTGTTCATGTGGCACATTAGGTCCTATTGGATTTGCAAGAAAAAAAATAGAAGTCTTCATACTAAAATATTTTTAACAACCTTCCCTTATTTGCAAACGTCACTGTATCTGTCTTCTGATTTGAAATACTGTAAAAATTTCCCTTCCTGTGCCCCAAAGCTCATTCATTTATCTGTTATATTTTTGGTATAGGGGTTTGGTTGTGGGGGGTCTCTTTGTTTTTAAGTGACAGAGCACAGATCCCCAACCGTGCTACATCGAAGTTTCCAAGTTCTCTTTTTAAGACTTCATTTTTTTCTGATTGCAAATGTAGCCTATATATGTTATTTAAAAATGAACGATGTAGAAAATGTTTAACATGAACAACTGAATCCAGAAACTCCTGTAATTGCAGTGTGGCAGAGACCTCTTTGTTGACTACATAGTAAGTCATCCTCACTGCTCTCTACCTGCCCACCTTGACAGAAGAACTCAAATTTGCTCAGCTATCATTTATCCTAGTGATAAATGGACTACATTTATGTGGTTCTCACAGACAACAAGATACTGAGCCTCTCATTATATATTAGTGAACTTTTGCTGTGGCAAAAAAACAACCATAAAAGTACAGTGGCTTAGAAAAGCAAACTTTTATTTCTTGCTCAAGCTACATGAGGGCAAATGGTTGACTGCATCTTTGCTGGGGTCAGGTCACTTTTGCTGTTGTTTCTGTTGTTGTTTTAGAGACAGGGTCTTGCTCCATTGCCCAAGCTGGAGTGCAATGGCATGATGATAGCTCACCGCACCCTTGAACTCCTGGGCTGAAGCAATCCTCCCAGTTTGGCCTCCCAAAGTGCTGGGATTACAGGCGTGAGCACCTCACCTGGCACCTTAAACCAAGGCTGAAGAAGCAGCTGTTCTCATGCCAGAAGGCAAAAGCTTAAAGCAAGAGTTTGAGGGTAATGGGTAATGGAGTGAGGGAGTCGAAGGGTGTTCTAAAGCTTCTGCTTGCATGTGACATGTATCATGTTCTTTTCTGCTGGCCAAAGCAAGCAAGTCACATGGTTAAAGCCACAGTCATTGGTTGAGGAAGTATACTGGGCCAACGGGGGAGGCCCACTGTAACACTTTGTATTTTCCTTGGAAGTGAACAGTTTAGGTCTGCAGAGTGCTGCAATTCTGGCCAAATGAAATTGGAAGGGATATTTTTTCGGAGTTCTGAAAAAGATGAAGACGTGTGTGTATGGGGTAGACATTGTGCACTTGGAGCATATGAAGTCATTCTCTGATAGGCACAACTATCATATGAGATAGGTCATGTACTTCCATGCCAGTTTGGCTCTGCAGATAGGGTGGCCATACCTTGTGCACTGGATAAATGGTATTAGTGCCTTCTCTTAACTGCTGCATTCAGTTTGGCAGCTTTCCTATGCTTACTACAAAGGAAGATTCTTGTATTAGAATGAGGGGGGAATCTCTCAGGTCACACATTCATGAACTGATCTATAGTTGAAACAAGATTATTCAAACACAGTTGTCTCCTGATCACTGACTTTTACATTCAAAAACTTAGCATAGGCTGGGTGCTGTGGCTCACGCCTGTAATCCCACCACTTTGGGAGGCCGAGGTGGGCGGATCACATGAGGTCAGGAGTTCAAGACCAGGCCTGGACAACATGGTGAAACCCCGCCTCTACTAAAAATATGAAAATTAGCCAGGAGTGGTGACGTGCACCTGTAATCCTAACTACTGGGGAGGCTGAGGCAGGAGAATCACTTGAACCCAGGAGGCGGAGGTTGCAATGAGCCGAGATGGTGCCATTGCACTCAGATGACAAGAGCAAAACTCCATCTCAAAAAAAAAAAAACAAAAAACAGCATAGTGACTGAACTTTTTAAAAGGTGTTTTTGTGATTTCTACAGTGGTTTGTTTTTCACTGGCAGTTTATTTCCAAATGTTTTTCTTATTAGGTTTCCCCTGTACTATGAGCTGAAGATTGCTTTTGTCATATGGCTGCTTTCTCCCTATACCAAAGGAGCAAGTTTAATATATAGAAAATTCCTTCATCCACTTCTTTCTTCAAAGGAAAGGGTAAGATATATAAATTACTTCCGTAAATAATTTTTTAGAAATGCCTAAGCGGAGGCCAGGTGTGGTGGCTCACACCTGTAATCCCAGCACTTTGGGAGGCTGAGGTGGGTGGATCACTGGAGGCCAGGAATATGAGACCAGCCTGGCCAACATGGTGAAACCCCACCTCTACTAAAAATACAAAAAAAAATTAACCAGGTATGGTGGTGCATGCCTGTAACCCCGGTTAGTCAGGAGGCTGAGGCAGGAGAATCGCTTGAACCCAGGAGACGGAGGTTGCAGTGAGCTGAGATCTCACCATTGCACTCCAGCCTGAGTGACAGAATGAGACTCCATCTCAAAAAAAAAAAAAAAAAAAGGCCGGGCACGGTGGCTCACGCCTGTAATCCCAGCACTTTGGGACGCCGAGGTGGGTAGATCACTAGGTCCGGAGATCGAGACCATCCTGGCTAACACGGTGAAACCCTGTCTCTACTAAAAATACAAAAAATTAGCTGGGCGTGGTGGCGGGCACCCATAGTCCCAGCTACTCGGGAGGCTGAGGCAGGAGAATGGCGCGAACCCGGGAGGTGGAGTTTGCAGTGAGCCGAGATTGCACAACTGCACTCCAGCCTGGACAAGAGAGCGAGACTCCATCTCAAAAAAAAAAAAAAAAGAAGCGCCTGGGCTGGGTGCAGTGGCTCATGCCTGTAATCCCAACACTTTGGGAAGCCAAGGTGGGAGGATTGCTTGAGCCCAGGAGTTTGAGACCAGCCTAGGCAATATAGTGAGACCCCGTCTCTACAAAAAAATTAAAAATTATTTGGTCATGGTGGTACACACTTATTGTCCCATGCCACTGCATTCCAGCCTAGGCAAAAGGAAGAGACCCTCTCTCAAAAAAAAGAAAAGAAAAGAAAGAAATGCCTATCAACACATGCTTAATGCTATAAAATTAATGAAACTATTATAGGGAGAATGTTCTAGTTTGGGGCTTATTAACACTATTTTTAAGTAAAACTAACATCTGTGGCTTTTTCCCCCAGGAGATTGATGATTATATTGTACAAGCAAAGGAACGAGGCTATGAAACCATGGTAAACTTTGGACGGCAAGGTTTAAACCTTGCAGCTACTGCTGCTGTTACTGCAGCAGTAAAGGTAATTGTTCATTTACCTTTTTAATCCAATGTCATATTAAGTCAACAAATAAAGGTGGCTTCTTATTTCAAACCATTATAAAATTGTGGCATTTTGCTATATTTATTTTTCTAATACTGGAAAACAAGTAAATAATTTTAAAGATATTTTAATTTTGTGTTTTCCATACTTGATATTTTGAATCTCTTAATTCATCACAAAATGAGGTCGTTAATAAATAATACATACCTGAAAATGTCATTTAGTCATAATTTTCCCACTTAATCACCTTAAAGTAGTTTGAGTAAATCACCTGATGTAAAGATGACCATTGTTTATTTCTCTGTCTTTGGTGTTCTTTCTCTCTCTTTTTTTCTGTCTCTTTGTCAATGGCAATATCTTGGTAGGATTTCTGGCTTACTTCTGCACCTCTACTTCAATCAATTTGAGGTAACCGATTATTCAAAATAAGGCATGAAAAAGTCTGTTCTTAAAACTTGGTACTTAGCCAGTTACTAATGTCATTTGTTGTGTTTGCAAGCCAAGTTATCAAATGAATGTGTTCTGTAAAAATTTGCATTATGGTTTTGGATTTCTTTGCATGTTGTAATTTGTGTGATTTATTTTAAATACTTTAGCATAATTGATTTTGGTGTGTTTGGTATGGAAAGAAAATAGCCTTCTGTGTTCCTTAGTTGCTTCATGTATAAAATGGGGGTAATATACCTGTGAGAATATTTAAAAGCACAGTGCTTGCTTGCATATAGTAGGAGCCCAATAAACATAAATATCATGTGTCTATCTCCATTCAAAATTCAAGTGAAAATTTAAGTTTTTTGCTATTAAATTAAATTGAGATTGAATAGTATTCTGCTTTCAAGTTAGTCTGTTTTAGTTATCTTGAACTAAAACAACTCTATGGAAATAAATATTCCAGTTGAGTGGTGATTTTATATAACTAATAGTGAAGGGATATGAAATGAGGGCACTTTCACTTTTCAGAGAGGTCTTTGACTCAAGTATCAAAATGAATGTAATGAACAAGAAGGAAAATTCAAATTATATACCTAATAGCATTACATTGAGGGTTAAATGGAAGTTTATTAACTATGCAGCACTATACATGTAAGATAACTATATTATTAATGATTATTAATGGTCAGCACTTTAATATAGCATAGTTTTCTTGTTATTTGGCTTTTAAAGGCTTTTTCTTTTATTAGGATAGGTTTATAAATGAATACAGAAATAGCAAAGTTTTCAGCTTAAAGGACTATGTTTTATTTTAGAAGTTCATTTTGTTTTTTATTTCTTGCTTAGTGAAAATGCATTCCTGATTTCCATATCTGCTAAAAAAGATTATCCAGGAGATAATCCAGCCACTGGGAATTCTAAAAAGAGGGAATAGATGCAATTATCAAAGAAATAATACAATAATATTTCCCAGAACTGAAGGATATGAATCTTCAGATTGAAAGGACCCACCAAGTACTTAGCACAATGAATGAAAAGAATGACTGACTCTAAGTGAAGTCATTGGGTATCCCAAAACACCAGTGATAAGGAAAGAATTCATAAAGATTCCAAATATAAAAAGCATGTCACATTTGGCCAGGCACAGTGGCTCACACATGTAATCCCAGCACTTTGGGAGGCCGAGGCAGATGGATCACTTAAGGTCAGGAATTCAGACCAGCCTGGCCAACATGGTGAAACCCCGTCTCTACTAAAAATACAAAGATTAGCTGGGCGTGGTGGGGGGGCGCCTGTAATCCCAGCTACTCGGGAGGCTGAGGCAGGAGAATTGCTTGAACCCGGGAGGCGGAGGCTGCACTGAGCCAAGATCACACCACTATACTCCAGCCTGGGTGACAGAGCGAGACTCCATCTCAAAAAAAAAGCATGTCACATTTAAATGATGTAGAATCAGAATGACATTAAATTTCTAAACAGTGACAGTGAAAGCTTGAAGACAGTAATACCATCCATGATACCATCATGATTTTCACCCTCAAGAACTATTAACAGTCAAGCTCTCAATTGTGTTAGCTTAGAATTAAGAAATTTCTTAATTCTAGGCATGCAGAGTCACAAGATTTACCTACTGGTTATCTTTTGTCCAGGCAGATATGCTCCCCAGAGCTAGGGAATGGTCCACAAAAAAGAAAACCCATGGGATCTGGGAAACAAGTCATTCAGCACAGAAAGGAGATGACAAAAATTCCCAAAGAGAACACCACACAGCAAGTCCAAAGTGCAGCCAGCCAAAACTGGATGTGGTGGATGAAAGGTGCCAGGAGGGATGTCTCTGGTAGACCTACAAAGCCAAGAGGATTTTTCGTGCTGCACAGGGATGATACTAAAACCAGTGAGAGGCTGGGCGTGGTGGCTCACACCTGTAATCCCAGCACTTTGGGAGGCCGAGGTAGGTGGATCACCTGAGGTCAGGAGTTCAAGACCATCCTGGCCAACGTGGTGAAACCCAGTTTCTACTAAAAATTCAAAAAAATTAGCTGGACATGGTGGTGGGCACCTGTAGTCCCAGCTACTCAGGAGGCCAAGACAGGAGAATCGCTTGAACCTGGGAGATGGAGGTTGCAGTGAGCCAAGATCACGCCATTGCACTCCAGCCTAGGTGACAAGAGTGAAACTCCATCTCAAAAAATACTAATAATAAAATAAATAAATAAATAATAAAAAATAAAAGCAGGGACTCTGAGGGCATGCTTCAACCAGATGACACATTGGCTGTAGGCCACTGGTGCCCATGTAGCTGCACATGATCCCTGAGCACCATGAAAAAATACATTGGCGGCAATGTAAAGAGGAAGAGGGTAAGACAATGAAAAAGGAAAAAAAAAGGCATAATCATTAACTCTGGGGAAAAAAGTTACATAAGAAATGAAATAATGGAGTATGACTGCATTTACATTATAATAATGAACACAGACTAAGGATTTAACAACTGTGGTTTTGCCATATTGAGAGTATGGGGGAAAGAGAAGGAAAGTGGAAGAGAACTAAAATCCTCATTTGTTACAGTAGGAAAGTAGAGGGTTTAAAGGAGTTGCATCGGCAGCGGATGAAGAGGAGAAGGAGACTAAGAGCTTGTTGCTTTTTGCTATAAAATTTAGCATTTTTGATTTTGCAAATCAAGTGCATGTATTTATTTACACCCAATGAAGATGCTATCTGAATTTTTCATATTTAAAAGCATCCTTCAACATGGTTCTATGGAGAAAAACTGAAAATTAAATTTCAAGTTGAAAAATTATTTAGAGAACACATTTTAGAATATTGTCTCAAAAAACAAAGAAGCATACAAATCCCATTTTTCCTCCTCACTTTTAACATTTGTGTATAATAATCTATTATTCTCCTATTTTGTGAGACACCATTGTACATATTGTGACTATTTTGTGCAGTACTTGTTTTATTTTGACTTGTGTTTACTACTCCCACGTAGGGCATCAGCAGTCCCCACTCTATTATCTTATCCTCATTCCCTTCCTCATTTATTTTTATCTTACACTTCGCCTCCATTGGTATTTAGCATTCTACATATTATTTATTCAGCATCTGTTTATTTAATGCCTACTGCATAGTAGGTACTGGGAATGTAGCAATGAACAAGATAGATATAGCCCTCACCTGCACAATCTACTGTCTGTCTGGAGCTAATGTCTGTATTAGCTAGGGAATAGCCCACAAAAATTTTATTTCTAACTGAAAATTTTATTTCACCTCTGGTTGATAAGACCCCACCCATGGCTGGGCGCAGTGGCTCACACCTGTAATCCCAGCACTTTGGGAGGCTGAGGCGGGCGGATCACAAGGTCAGGAGATTGAGACCATCCTGGCTAACACAGTGAAACCCCATCTCTACTAAAAATACAAAAAATTAGGTGGGCGTGGTGGTGGGTGCCTGTAGTCCCAGCAACTCGGGAGGCTGAGGCAGGAGAATGGTGTGAACCCAGGAGGCGGAGCTTGCAGTGAGCCGAGATCGCGCCACTGCACTCCAGCCTGGGTGAGAGTGCAAGACTCTGTCTCAAAAAAAAAAAAAAAAAAAAAAGACCCCACCCATTACCCTTCATTATTAAAATAAGCATTATCTCACAGGAATACTTTTCTGTAAAAATGCCACGAAAACAAAAATGTGTCTATTTCATATATCTATTTTTCTGGCTCTCTTGTGATTTATTCTTTTAATTTATACGTTTAACACCTTAAAATCACGTGTTTTAATTTATACGTTAACACCTTAAAATCACGTGTCCACCCCAAAGGCAGTAATATTGATAAAAATCATCTAAGTCACTCCTGCAAAACAAGTAGAAGCCCATATCCCCTAAATGAAATCAGATACTGGATTTGGAACTGTTCCCATTTGTTTGCAATGTTGTGATTCTTTTATCCATAACATCCCTGTATGTAAGGTAACCTTCATTATTCTCATGAGTACCGGAATGTTGGAGACCCCATCCTGGAGTCTATATTATTCACTAGCATATTCATTAAATATGCTGAACATAGCGTAATGTTAACCCTATTTGCCTCAAGTTATACTGTGCTTATTTTAAAGTACATGAAATTAGTTTCATCTCTGCAGATGTCAAACAAGGGCATTGTCATAGAAGAATCACTGAACCAGACACTTCATACTGAAGAGTAAATTGAAACTGAAATAGGAAATAGGTCAGGTTTAAGGAGAAGCTGCAAGAAAGCCAACAGTAAGATCTGAAAATTATTTAACATTTTTACAATATATAGTTTGTTTAAAGTATCTTTCAGGCTTAAAATTCTTGGACTCTTGGTGTGACCTTTGAAGAACGGGTAATAACGCTGACTAGGTTTCCCAGGTTGAACCACCTGAGCATGTTAAAGGTGAAAATAGGAATCTAATCAGAACATTTATTACACCGTAAAGCAATTTTCTGAAAATGTTACTCAGTTCTATGACCTCATTACCAGGCATCTGTTCGCAAGGTCACTGTACAAGTTTATTTTGGCTGAGCAAAGCATAAACATTTGAAGGACCTTCAAGGATTTTGCTGAGGATGTACAGCATTCCATAGCTTTTCACATGAGAAACATAGGTGGTTTCGTGCAGATGAGCAACACTACTGCCAGATGAAGGACAGATGAAGAAAAGTACTGTTAGTTGTATTAACCATGTCTTTGAATTTCTCTGGCAGCCTTTTTTTGGTGAATTTCTTTAGCAGATATAAGAAATCAGTTACCACAGACTTTTGAGCTTTACAGGTAAAATTGTTGAAATCTAATTAACTTTAAATGATCCCGATTAGGTCAAAAATCCGAACATCTTACTGTCTATGACTTTCTGTTTGTGAATGGCTTTGAGGATATACAGCTTAGTATTATACACTTAAAAAAAAAGGGAAGAATGTTTGTCCAGACAATGGAAAAAGAAGGTTGTACTATTTTTCCTAAAATCTAGGGAAGCAGAATGGTATAACAAACATTGAATGCTACAGCAATTGAGTTAATCTGGATTTTTTTTAGTGCTGATTCCACCACAAATTAGCCACGAGATTTTGGGCAAATCATCTGCATTGATCTAAGCATTAATTTTTCTCACTTGTAAAACGAAGAGGTGAAACATGATTTCTAAAACCCCTTATATCTCTAAAACAGTGGTTCTCAACTAGAGGCAATTTTGTGCCCCTACCCTTACCACGGGACATTTTAGGTTGTCACCACTGAGAGGGGGCTGCTACTGGTATCTAGTCGGTAAAGAATGGTCAGGGATGCTGCTTAATATTCTACAAAGCACAGGACGTTCCCCACAACAAAAAATTATCTAACAAAAAATAGCAAGAGTGTTAAGGTTGAGAAACTGCTCTAAAAGTATGATGAGTCAGAAAAAACTAAAAGAATATATAAATATGTATAAGTAGTTTTGGTGGTAGGTTACAAATAATTTTTACTTCCTTTTTAAAATTTTTCTCCATGTTATCAATGTTCTTCAGTAAATACGTATTGCTTTAAACTCACTAAAATATTTTATTCACCTAATGCAAATGCAGTCAATTCCATTCTGGGCTTGATCAGATTAATTGTTAAATGTGCATGGGGAAATGAGATTTCCCTAAAAACTGGGAACTAACCTTATCTGCAATTATAATGTAACATCAGGGATCAACAAGAAATAGAGCTTAGTGGCTATTCTTTACTGAATAGTATAATAAGAATTATTCTGTAAAAGAATGTTTTGTGCTTGTACGATTATAAAGCATTGCTGGTTATATGTTTTTAAATCTGTGATTTAAAATGTGAAGAAAATAAAGGTTTTATACAAAGGTGCTGATAAACAAAATAAGTTCTTATTTAAAACAAAATAACTAATGTTAATGTAGTGTTTAACCAGGAAATGAAGTATTTAAACAAAGACAGCATTATTTGAGTGTAAAGAAATTGGAATTACTCATACATGCAGGGCCCCTTTTTATGGATGCCAACCACGTGCTTGGATACTTGAGTAGACATTCAGATGTCCTAGTGCCCTTGGATGTAAATGAGCTCTGTGTGGAGCCAGTGTGGGGAGCTGCTTCTCAGCTGAAGAATCCCTTCCAGAGCCTGAGTGTGCTAGCTCTGGACCCAGCCCTCCTGCCCAGTCAGCCCCTGCAGTATTCTCAGTTTCTTACAGAGGCATTTGGGCCCACCTAAATCCAAAACCTGAGAATTTAGTGCCAGCTGAAGTTCAGATGGTTCAGAAACAGTTCTGCTCACGATGATCAGTTTCAATGTGTAAAATATTCTACAGAATACTTAATTACCTGGACTTTTACATTCTCATCATAATCTCTGTTACTTTGATTGTTAGGATCAATTTTAACATACACAGAGTACAGACAATTCTGCAGAGAATAGGATCTAAAGTGCTGAAATATGGAATTATCTTGTGAATGGTAATCCCGCCTTTCCTCTTTATTGACTAAGACCGCTGTTTCCATACAGCAGACTAGACTAGAACTTTTCTTTTTCTTTCTTTCTTTTTCTTTCTTTCCTTTCTTTCTTTCTCTCTCTCTGTCTCTCTCTTTCTCCCTCTCTTTGTTTCTTTCTCTCTCTCTCTTTCTTTCTTTGTCTTTCTTTCTTTCTGTCTTTCTTCTTTCCTTTTTTAGAGACAGGGTCTCGCTCTATCACCCAGGCTGGAGTGCAGAGTTGTGATCACAGCTCACTAAGGCCTCAAACTCCTGGCCTCATGTGATCCTCCCACCTTGGCCTCCCAAAGTGTTGGAATTGCAGGCGTGAGCCACTGCACCAGGTCCTTTTCTCATTTTTCTTATACTTTTGTCTTAATATTATATAAATTAAATAGAAGAAAATAGATACACAAAGCATTATTAATTTAAACAAAACCAATCCCTTTTAGCATTGTTATTTACAAGTGACTATAATGTTCTATTTGTGGCCTCAAAAATAGACATTTTTATTTTATTGATGGGAATAAAGCATTAGATACAGGACACATGAGTGAGAAATGGATTGGAAATTCTTATAGTATGCCACATATTGACTAATTTTGTAATATTAAAGACAATATTTTAAAAAAGGAAAAAAGTCACCCATCCCATCTGCCTAAACATTGTACTGTTGTTAGTTTTGCATTTTTCCATGCCTACTTATAGCCATACTGCATACTTGCAATCATATTATGCATGTGCTATAGAATTCTGGGGTAGAGGGAAGATATCTCCACTTACCGTTAATATAGCAAACATAGTTCCTTTATTACTGGACTTTTTGTGCTGAAGATGTAAAAACTGGAAGGAATAAGGTAGTCTTCAGAAGTGATTACTTTGTAATTATACCCATCCTTTAAACTGGTTACATTGGATACATGTAATTTACGTAATGTTTTCAAAGTCCACAATATTGCACCAATTTCTCTCTTATATTAGTTTTATTCTGGATCCATAAAAAATATACAGTGGAAAGTCCAATTTTCCAAGGTAATAATGGCTGTTAAAGTGTTGGAGGTTCTCAAAGAGGGCTCATATTCCCTTTTTGCTTTTCCCTACAGTGCCTGGCTTTCCTGAAAGCCTTGAAGAGGTTGATAATACTTGGGTATTGATAATAGTAGCATTGGTTACTCAAGAGCTAAATTTAAATCCAGCCTTTAGATAGATCACCCAGATACCTCAAGGTTGGGCCTTGCCTTGCTCATGTTTATTCTGAACCTGAAGCAAACCCTTGGTAGGTGGTGTAGTCTATCCATGGAGAAACCTGTGGCCATACCTGTAGTTTGCTGCTGAACCTCTGCAAAAAACCTACAGTGTTTACATTAAAACATGCTGCCATCTATGGAGAAGTCTTTAACAGTCAAGAGTAATGAAAAAGAAGGGACATAAAAAGAGTATTTAGTTTACTTATTACATGCTCAATATCAGTAGCATACCAGGCACACCAGGAGAATAGAAGAAGCCTAAGATTTGTCCCTCTCCTCTAGTGTCTTAAAAGTCTTGCTCTGGAGGCAAAATATACCTATCCCAACAATAGAAGTAACAGTAGTACGTGAGTTCATTTGTGAGGTATATCCCAAGAGATTTGTTGATTATGCTTGTTAAACATACCAAAGTTTGGGGATGATATAATTATAAAGCTAGACTGATTCCATTGTACTTTGAGTCATTTGTATCCTGAAATGTACCTTCTTGAGTGGGAGGGTTTGGGAATTATAGCCAGCCTTGGAAATCGCATGTGAATTGAGTAAAGGGTATCATGGACATGCATGTCATTTGTCATCTGTGTGGCAGTAAATAAAGAAATCAGAAATTGCTGAGAGAAGGCACAGAACTACGAAGATGAAATAAAGAGAATGACATTTCTGAGAAACAAGGCATCCGTTTCAGATGAACACTGGTCACTTCCTCGTAGTATGTCTCTGGAGTCTTCTGTCAACTATCTGTTTGATAAGTAAATGATATCTAATAAGGAGGAAGCAAGTATAATAAATTAATCCATGCCACAAATGTTTTTTAAATGTGTGAAATCCAATTATTTTTATTGAGAATAAAGTCCTTTAATGATTTCGTATCACAATTCAAAAATATGGTAGAAATACGCAGCTCAAGTGGGATATGGAAATGGCATTTGGTTTTGACATAATATATTATTAACCCAAAGTAACTGAATCAAGACTCATAAATTAAGACCTTTCTCTTGAGTGTAAAATATAAGTTAACTGTAATGCCCAAATGTTTGTAGCACCTTTGACTTTGAAATTTAGAGATGAAGCATTATGGATTAGTTTCTCTGGTAACACTGTAACTAGAGGAAATCATAAATTCACATGTGTGAAACGAAGAAATAATAAGTATAAAAAACCCCTTAGAAGAATATTTTTAATCTAGCTATAAATAAGAAGTGACTCATCTATATGCTATGCAAATTTAAAGTAGGTAAATTTAGAATTTTTTTTTCTTTTTTTGCTTTTACAAAGCTTTATACTTTAGGAGGGGAAATGTAGTTATACATGAACAGTTCAGAAAATGCCTCTTTCAGAGCTGCTGTGATGGAAATGTTCTGTGTCTGCACTATCCAATACAGTAGCCACTAGCCACACACAGCTATTGAACATTTGAAAAGTGGCTAGTGCAATTAAAGAACTGAATATTATATTTTATTTAACTTTACTTAATTTCAACTTAAATACCCACCTGTGCCTAGTGTCTGCCATATTGTTAAGGGAAAGGACTTAAAGTCAAATGTAGAGTAGTAGATATGTCTTGCCAGATAGTTAATTCACTAATTGACTATCATTTTGTATTCAAGATTCTTTGGCTCTTACATGTTTCTAACTTGTTCTAGGAAGAGCCGTTACCAGTCCTGACTTAGCTTAGCTTTAAAACAATGTCATGTCTCTTTTACTTTAAAAAGTTGCCCTTGGCCGGGCACGGTGGCTCACGTCTGTAATCCCAGCACTTTGGGAGGCCGAGGCAGGCGGATCACGAGTTCAGGAGATCGAGACCATCCTGGCTAACACAGTGAAACCCCATCTCTACTAAAAATACAAAAAATTAGCCAGGCGTGGTGGTGGGCGCCTGTAGTCCCAGCTACTGGAGGGGCTGAGGCAGGAGAATGGTGTGAACCTGGGAGGCGGAGCTTGCAGTGAGCCGAGATTGCGCCACTGCACTCCAGCTTGGGCGACAAAGCGAGACTCTGTCTCAAAAAAAAAAAAAAAAAGTTGCCCTTGGCCGGGCTTAGTGGCTCACATCTAAAATCTCAGCACTTTGGGAAGGCCAAGGCAGGCAGATCCCCTGAGGTCTGGAGCTCAAGACCAGCCTGGCCAACATGGCGAAACCCCATCTCTGTTAAAAATACAAAAATTAGCTGGATATGGTGGCACATGCCTGTAATCCCAGCTACTCGGGAGACTGAGGCAGGAGAAACGTTTGAACCTGGGAGGTAGAGGTTGCAGTAGCCAAGATCACGCCACTGCATTCCAGCCTGGGCAACGGAGTGAGACTCTGTCTCTAAATAAATAAATAAATAAATATAAATAAATAAAACAAAAAATTAAAAGTTGCCCTAAATATTAAAGTTTAAGCCCCAAAGTGCTAGTTTTAGGAGACATCAACATTATGGATGCTGTTTACTCTGAGGGTAAGCCCATCATACATCTTTTACATTTTAAAATTAAATATGATGCTGAAATGTTGAGGTTGAAATATACTGATGTCTCCAACTTACTTTGAAATGCATGAAAAAATAAAATGAATTCATGGATAGGTAGATGGTAGGTATGTGAGAAAGCAGATACCGCAAAATGTAAACAATATTGGGTGTTCATTGTACAATTCTTTCAGCTTTTCTGAAGTTATCTTAATAAAATGTTCAGGGATAGTTAAATGTAAGCATACTAAATATTTTTTCTTGGACCTATCACTTCTCTGTTAAATAGAGCCAAGGAGCAATAACTGAACGTTTAAGAAGCTTCAGTATGCATGATTTAACAACTATCCAAGGTGATGAGCCTGTGGGACAAAGACCATACCAACCTCTACCAGAAGCAAAAAAGAAAAGTAAACCAGCCCCCAGTGAATCAGCAGGTGTGCTTGTGTGTTTTAATATACGGTTCTTTTACATGGAAACAGGGAGGGGAACAACATACACTGGGGCCTGTCGGGGGGTGGGGCACAAGGAGAGGGAGAGCATTAGGACAAATACCTAATGCATACGGGGCTTAAAACCTAGATGATGGGTTGGTAGATGCAGCAAACCACCATGGCACATGTATACCTGTGTAACAAACCTGCGCATTCTGCACGTGTATCCTGGAACTTCCAGTAAAATTAAAATATATATATATACACGTATATATATGATTATTTCATAATTGGGCTTGTGGATAGTAAAATAATACATGATACATGATAACTATCTGAATTTAGGTAGACAAAATTTACTTCTAAGCTTATATTTTTTACTTTTACATTTAATCATAGTTCTTTTTCTCTGAATTTTCTCTAAATTAGTACTTGCTAGGCCAGGCACAGTGACTCAGGCTGGGCACAGTGGCTCACACCGTTAATCCCAGCACTTTGGGAGGCCGAGGTGGGCGGATCACGAGGTTAGGAGTTCACGACCAGCCTGGCTAACATGGTGAAACTCCGTCTCTACTAACAATACAAAAAAAATTAGCTGGGCGTGGTGGCACACGCCTGTAATCTCAGCTACTTGGGAGGCTGAGGCAGGAGAATTGCTTGAACCTTGGAGGTGGAGGTTGCAGTGAGCTGAGATGGTGCCACTGCACTCCAGCCTGGGCAACAGAGTGAGACTTTATCTCAGGAAAAAAAAAAGATTAGTACTTGCCTTTTGCTGATTCTGGAGATCATCTAGCTAACAAAGTAGCCTCTTTTGCTGCCATGAATTTTAGAAGCTGTAGGTGTGGTTACCAACACCTTCTCACCACCAGCACTAGTTCTAACCTGTAATCAATACTCTTTCTACTCGAACTGTGCACTGACATCTAAGAAGTTTTATAGTTGAACACTCTTTACTGTAAGTGCTGTGGACAAATAAGGATATTGACTCACAGATTAAAAGTTTTAAGCACGTGATAAAAGATGACTCAATTTGAAAATAAGATTACTCCCATGGAAAATGTGTTAAAATTACATATTCTAGTTCAAGAGCTAGCTTGTAGGCATATTCTAGTATAAATTATGAACATGTCATAGTTAATATATTCTAAAACTTTAAAAAACTATCATGATCTTAGAAACATACATATAAATTAGACACGGTTCCTTAGTCATTTTATCACATATAATAAGAAAGTTTTAATTCAAAGGCAAGGCTGAAAACAAAGATTTTCAAGACATTCCTTATTAATGTGTTAAGTCCATAAGGCACAGGGCTATTTTACTTTTTATTAAAAAAAGAAGTTTTCTTTTGAGAGAGATTGAAAATCATCTTTATAATTAAAATCAATTTGAAAAATAAAAATTAAAAAAACTGTTCCTTCTTAAAAAAGGAAAAATATCTCTGCAAAAAAAAATTTTTTTTTTTTTTATTAGCTGAGTATGGTGGTATTCACCGAGCTACTTGGGAGGCAGGTGGGAAAATCACTTGAGCCCAGGAAGTTGAGGCTGCAATGAGCCATGATCACACCACTGCACTCTAGCCTAGGTGACAGAGGAACACCCTTTCTCAGAAAAAAAAAAAGAAAAAGAAAAAGAAAAAATAATGAGCTTTCTTCCAAGAATGAATACCTTTACAAGTTGTGACTATTATCTAAGAGGTAATGATCAAGCATTGGCCATTGATTAAGGTAGTGATGCCTTTGAGAGAGAGGAACCATCAGTCTTAATAGTACATTAATAATGTAAAAGTAGTTCCTAATGTAGACATTTCCTTTTTTATTTTTATTTTTTTGTTTGTTTTTGTTGTTAATTTATTTATTTTGAGACAGGGTCTCACTCTGTCACCCAGGCTGGAGTGCGGTGGTACGATCTTGGCTCACTGCAGCTTTGACCTCCCAGTTTCAAGTGATTCTGTGTCAGCCTTCCGAGAAGCTGGGACTACAGGTGTGCACCACCATGCCCTGCTAATTTTTCCATTTTTTGTAGAGACGGGGCTTCACCATGTTACCCAGACTGGCCTCAAACTCCTGGGCTCAAGCAGTCTGTGTGTCTTGGCCTCCCAGAGTGCTGTGTGGGATTACAGGCATGTGCCACACTGCCTGGCCTTGGCATTTCTTAATATGCATTTAAAATTAGGTGGTCAGTCACAGTGGCTCACACCTGTAATCCCAGAACTTTGGGAGGCCGAGGCAGGCAGATTCCCTGAGGTTAGGAGTTCGAGACCAGCCTGGCCAACATGGCGAAACCCTGTCTCCACCAAAAATACAAAAATTAGCCAGGTGTGGTGGTGTATGCCTGCATTCCCAGCTACCCAGGAGGCTGAGGCAAGAGAATCACTTGAACCCAGGAGGCAAAGGCTGCAGTGAGCCGAGATTGCGCCACTGTAGTCCAGCCTGGGTGACAGAGAGAGACTCCATCTCAAAAAAAAAAAAAATTAGGTATATTGATTTTGATTGGAGTCTGCTACATATATTATATTTTGCTGATTTAGACCAGCTATCTTAGACCAGAGTCCTTTATTAGCAGTTTATTCATAATCATACCCAAGGATTGGCTAAGAATTATATTCTAATTAGGTAAATAAAAACACGTTTATAAATATGAAAATTTGTAATACTATTTTTATGGTACTCACCTATCAATTTTTTTTTTTCTTTTTGAGATGGAGTCTACCTCTGTCACCGAGGCTGGTGTGCAGTGGCACGATCTCGGCTCACTGCAACCTCCGCCTCCCAAGTTCATGCAGTTCTCCTGCCTTAGCCTCCTGAGTATCTGGGATTAAAGGCGTGCACCACCACGCCTGGCTAATTTTTATATTTTTAGTAGAGACGGGGTTTCACCATGTTGGTCAGGCTGGTCTCGACCTCCTGACCTTGTGATCTGCCCACTTCAGCTTCCCAAAGTGCAGGGATTACAGGCGTGAGCCACTGTGCCTGGCCACCTACCAAATTTTATATCTATGACTGAAATATCTTAAAATATTGACCTGCTGTTTAGTTCTTAAATTTCAAATCATGAAATTAAATAAGTTTTATAAAAATATGAAGTATGTGGTAGCAGTATAAGAAAGATATTTGTTCAGTTATGAAAGGTACTTGTTCAGAGTATAAATTCTGCCCAGTTTCCAATTTTTCTACAGAATGGTATGTATTCTGAGCCTTTCTTCCCTAAGGAAAAACTTTCATCAAAACTTTCTCTCTTGACCGTATTTTTAACAAAGCAGTATGGTTCTAGGACCGGAATAGGTGAAGAGAAGTTAAAAATAGATTGTCTAGATAGACACAAACCCAGGTGTACATGGAAATTTATCAAATGAGAAAGACTGTCTTTCAAATTGGTGGAGGAAAGACAGATTATTTAATAAGTGATGCTAGGATAACTGTTAGACTGCTAGAAGGTGGAGTAGAGAATGAAGTTATATCTCTGCCTCAAATCTTAGATTAAAATAAATTCTTAAAAGATTAAGATTTAAGTATAAAAAAATTAAACTATATAATAGGAAGTCCCTGTGAATATTTTTATAATCTTCAGATAGATAAAATTTCTTAAGCATGATATCAAAACCAGAAAACATAATGGAATAGTTTTTGAGATTTTCCTGCATAAAAAATACATAAAACTCTAATACAGGGGGAAAAAAACATAAAAAAGACAAACTACAAACTGTCAGAAATATTCCCATTATATGTTATAGGCAAAGGGTTCAGATTCAACAATCCAGTAACCCTTACAAACCAATTATTGTCAATGCTATCAAAGAATACAACTGTCAAGAAATATATGAAAGAGATTCTCAACCTCAGATAATCAAAAAATAGTAATAATAATAATTTTCGTTTGCCAGATTGGCCAAAAAAAAATGTTTTTAATTAACAGTGCTCTGTGTTGGGAACTGTTTCAGTTATCTAGTTATCTATTGCTGCATAATAAGCCACCCCAAAACAGCAGCTTGAAACAATCATGGTCATTTATTTTGCTCACAGATCTGGGGGTGACTGGACTTGGCAAAGCAGTTCTTGCTCAGGGTCTCCTGCAGCTGTGGTCTGACAGCAGCTGGGCTAGAGTCATAATCTCAAAGAGAGCTCACACATCTGCTGTCTGAGCTGAAAAGAGTCAAGCAGCTGCTGGCTAGAATGGTTGGAGCCTCTCAGCCATCTCCCTCTATGTTCTCTCCATGTGGTCTCTAAGGGTGGTTGGACTTCTTACCTGGCAGCTGAAGGCTCCCAGGCCAGTGTGCCGAGAGAAACTTGCAGAAGTCCTAGAAGCAGCATCACTTCCATCACATATTTTGTGGCGATTTGTTGAGGCAAGTACAAAGGCCTCTGAGATGTTAAGGGAAGGGAAGAGGAGTGTCAGAGAATCTGTAGACATGTTTTAAAACCACACAGCAAGCCTGTTGAGAAATACTCTTAGGCACTTTTTATGAGTTTAAAATGGAATAATCCTTTTGGATGACAATCTGGCAGTAATCATCATAATTTATTCCCTTTAGCTCAGCAAGAAACTTTTAAGAATATGTCATAAGGAAATAATCAGACAAGTGTTCAAAGATGTATTTACAAGAATGTTCATCTCGTTGTTTATAATAACAAATATTGGAATGAACCAAATGCCTAGGAGAAATGATTAAGCAAAAGGTGGTTTATTAGCTGTGAAACATAACAATGTCAGTCTATACTTAATGATATGAAAACATATCCAGATTGTAGGGAAAAAAAATAATAAGTAGATGATGAAATGGATTAATATACCTAATTTTTTAAATGTATATACATAAGAGAAAGTTTGGAAGGGTATTACTAAAATGGTAACAGTGTTTAGCCCTGAGTAGTGAGCTTTTTCGTTTGTTGTTGTTGTTTAAATTAACCTATTAATCTTAAAATCAGAAGTAAATCAGCCATACTCTTCATTTTGAAAAAATAAGGTATTCATTTTCGGGTTTTAAGTTAAACAGAAAATGTTTTTTTTGTTTTTGTTTTTGTTTTTGTTTTTTAATATATTAATGGAGATGGGATATCAGTATGTTGCCCACCTCTGCTTCCCAAAGTGCTAAGATTACAGGCATGAGTCACCAAGCCCAGCCAGAAAATGTATATTTTAATGAAAATATTTGACTTGATTCTAGTGTCTCTTCTCTCTTTGATTCAAGGATTGGTTTAATAAATTGCTAAATTAAACTTTTTTTTTTTTTTTGAGGTGGAGTCTCACTCTGTCGCCCAGGCTGGAGTGCAGTGGCGCGATCTCAGCTCACTGCAGCCTCCACCTCCCAGGTTCAAGCAATTCTCTGCCTCAGCCTCCCGAGTAGCTGGGATTACAGGCACGTGCCACCACACCCAGCTAAGTTTTGTATTTTTAAGTAGAGATGGGGTTTTGCCATATTGGCCAGGCTGGTCTCAAACTACTGGCCTCATGTCATTCACCCACTCAGCCTCCCAAAGTGCTGGGATTACAGGCATGAGCCACCACACCCAGCCTAAACTTGTGGATTTCATTTCCCAATAAATTCTAAATTTGGCTCCTTGCTCTGTCCTCACTCTCTGTGGACTCTGTCATTTCTGACCTGCTATACTACAGTAACCTCCCCACTTACGCTCCCTTCCCTCAGCCTTATCCATTTCTGATTCATTTTCCAAAGCGCAAGAAGAATATTTTACAAAACCCAACTCTAATCATGTTACTCTTCTGCTTAAAACATTTCAATACTCTCCCCGAGCCTCCAGAGGCTTCATTGCTCTCTGACGAAGTCCAAACTAGATAGCATGGTGTATTAACTCCCCAGCCTTGTTCTCCCACTCCATCAAGTGCTAGCCATACAGAATCATGACTCTTTGAGGATTTAGCTTAGCCACCACCTCCTACAAGGCCTTCTCTCATAACCCACCCTTTCCAACCCACCCCATGCTGATTACATTCTCTTACTGTATGCCCTCTGGCACCTTGTCATTAGCTTATAGTATTTATTACAGTATCATAATGCCCATTACCGTCTGTTTCCCCTATTGGACTCTAAATTTTTTGAGGGTAGAAAAAGACAGCTGTGTCTTTTTCATCCTTGTATCCTCATAATTCAGCACACTGCCTCATTCATAATAGAATTTTAAAAATACTTGTGGAGTAATGAATCAATCCATCACTTTTCCTGAAGCTATAATTAGATAGCTAATAAGATTTTTTTTAGCTGGAATTAGGAAAAAAGAAAAGAATAAGATGTATAATCAGCTTTTGAATGAAATTCCAATTCCTAATCATACAAAATGAGAGGCAGTTAAAATAGCAAGGACTGGGTTTGTTGAACTGTGCTCTTATGCTACATTTGTGGCCTTAGAGAAATTGTTTATCACAGTTACTTCCTTTCTGACTTTTTCCTTGATTCCTCATTCTGTTTTACCATATTAGGATCAGGAATACTATATAAGCAAACATCAATAGGAAAAAAAATCTAGAAATGACAACCTAAACCTGAAGCCTGGTTTATTTTTCTCAATTATAAAATAAACATTTTTTAAAAATAAGAATTTGGCAAGTAAAAAAAGAAAAAATGAAAAAATTTAAAATCACCTGAAAGCTCACTTCCATGAGATATAATCCTTTCATTTATGTTTTTCCTTTGTTTGTTTCTATATGTACATTTTTTTTTTCCACACTTAATATTGCTTCAGGAGCTTTTTTCCAGGACCACTGATCCATCCCCTTCCTTGCCACACTGGCCTCCTTGCAGTTCTTCCAAGCAATCCCCAAGCCCTAGCTACTCTCCTCACTGCCTCTGTGCATGCTGTTTCTTCCACCCGGAACACACACACTTCCTTGGACCACTGCAAGAAAACAAAGGATCTTGGCCTAAATAAGGACTGATTCCACTTCCAAATCTCCTCTGACTTCTAGCCTAGAAGTCTAAGAACATAAAATTATACCTGACTAATATACAATGCAAGTTGCTTATGTTATTATGAGAGTAACAAGCTTATTAACAACTCTTTGTAGTTTGCTTAGTGTTTCTCAAATTATTCGTGTCTTAGAAGAGCAGACCAATAAACATGTATTCAATTTTTTTAATATGTATATTTTTTGAAACAGGCTATAATGCAGTGGCATGATCACAGCTCACTGCAGCCTTGACTTCCCAGGCTCAGGTGATCCTCCTACCTCAGCCTTTGGAGGAGCTGGGACTACAGGTGCACAACACCATACCCGGCTAATTTTTGTATTTTTTGTAGAGAAAAGGTTTTACCATGTTGCCCAGGCTGATCTCAAACTCCTAAGCTTAAGCGAACCACCTGCCTTGACCTCCCAAAGTGCTGGCATTACAGGCATGAGCCACCAAAGCCCACCCCAGTTTTATTTTTTATCAGCATGAGCCACCAAAGCCCACCCCAGTTTTATTTTTTATCACATGCACGGAATCTATCCCGTGCCTTCTCCTAAGCCTGGAAATCCTTCTACTCTTTTTTTTTTTTTTTTTTTTTTTTTTTAAAGAGATGGAGTCTTGCTCTGTCACCCAAGCTGGAGTGCAGTGGTGCAATCTCAGCTCACTGCAACCTCCACCTCCTGGGTTCAAGCGATTCTCCTGCCTCAGCCTCCCAAGTAGCTGGGATTACAGACTCCTGCCACCACGCCCAGCTAATTTCTGTGTTTTTAGTAGAGTCGGGTGTTTCACCATGTTGGCCAGGCTGGTCTCGAACTCCTGACCTCAGGTGATCCGCCCACCTTGGCCTCCCGAAGTGCTGGGATTACAGGTGTGAGCCACTGCGCCTGGCTGTAAGTCCTTCCACTTTCTCCTCACCTGACAATTTAAGTATTTATGCTCCTTATGCTCCTTATTTTTATTAAAGGAGAATTTATAACTTCATGGGGATTTCTTTCCTTCTTCTTTTTTTTTTTTTTTTTTTTTTTTTTGAGATGGAGTCTCGCTCTGTCACCCAGGCTGGAGTGCAGTGGCGCGATCTCAGCTCACTGCAAGCTCCGCCTCCCGGATTCATGCCATTCTCCTGCCCCAGCTTCCCGAGTAGCTGGGACTACAGGCGCCTGCCTCCATGCTTGGCTAATTTTTTTTGTATTTTCAGTAGAGACAGGGTTTCACCATGTTAGCCAGGATGGTCTTGATCTCCTGACCTCATGATCCACCCGCCTGGGCCTCCCAAAGTGCTGGGATTACAGGCGTGAGCCACCATGCCCGGCCTCTTCATGGGGATTTCTAATCTCACCCCTTTCTTTATAACCTACTTAGTACTCTGGTTGTCTGAGACTTGGGCCCCTGTCTTGCTGTCTCCAGCATCCTCAGGCAGTGGTTCTCAAAGTGTGGACCACAGACCATGAGCACAAGCATTACCTGGGAACTTGTCAGAAATGCAGATTCTCAGCCCCACCTCAAATCTGCTGAATCAGAAATTCTGGGGTTGTCAGAACTTGTATTAACAGGTTCTCAAGGTAACTCTGACGTGCTCAAGTTTGAGAACCTCAGCTTCAGGGTTGGAAGAGTTTTCGTCCTTGAGGCCAAGCCTCAAGATGCTCTCAGACTTCCTGACTGTGTGGATGTTTGCATATTGGCCCGTAGTAAGTCTTTATAGCTACACATAACAGCCTTCTAGCATACTCGCGTGATCTCTCACTGATCTGCCTGATTCTATTTTCTTTGACTAGTATCTGTCACACAGTCTGTGGTACTTCTAATTACTGCAGCCTACCTGGCTGGGTTTTATCTCAGCAACTGCAATAGCAGCTAACATCCCCATCCTCATCACCTGCCCCCAGTGACCTTATTTTGCCCAAAGTTCTAGCCCCCTGGGGTCTTCCTCAATGCCTTAAGTAAACCCTACCATTCCCAGTCTTGACAAAAGATACGACACATAGAACGGAAAAGCCTTAATTCCTAATTCAAGGCAAAAGTGCAAATGACAGACTAAAACACAAATGCTTGGGTTGAATTCATGAAGAGGAGGAAAGGTGGGAAGAGACTTTTTGCTCTATATCTATTTATATTCTTGAATTTTTTAACAAGATGGTGTGTTACCTACTCAAAAATAAATTATTTTATAATTATTTTTAAAAATGCATAGTAAAAATAAGAATGATCAGGGAAAATTTCCTGGAGGAAATGAGTTATGAGTTTCACCTGGAATAGTGCGAGGCAAAGCTTAATGATAAAGGGCATGGAGCACATTCCAGATGCAAAAAGAGTAACTGGGGGAAATGCAAACCATACAAAGAACTGTACACAGATGGGTCAAAGAGCCGGCGCTGACTGGTGTCCTTTTACCAAAACATGCTGTTTTTGACAACTTGTTTAGGTTATGGAATTCCACTGAAAGACGGAGATGAGAAAACAGATGAAGAAGCAGAGGGGCCATATTCAGATAATGAGATGTTAACACACAAAGGGCTTCGAAGATCGCAAAGCATGAAATCTGTGAAAACCACCAAAGGCCGCAAAGAGGTTGGTTAAGTGTAGAGCTGTTTTCCTAATGATTAGTGAAGGATTTCCCTGCTGTGTTATCATTTAGGATATTAATGATCCATAAATGAAGGATTGGAATGGTAGAACAGCAGTTTGATTTTTTTTTTTTTTTTTTTTTTTTTTAGTTTTTGGGGATAGAGCTTTTTTGCTTTGTCAACCAAATTGGAGTGCAGTGTGGCGTAATCACAGTTCACTCAAACTCCTGGGCTCAAGCAGTCCTCCCACCTCAATCTCCCAAGTAGCTGGAACTACAGGCACATGCCACCGCACCTGGCTAATTTTTTCATTTTTTGTAGAGACAGGGTTTCACCATGTTGCCCAGGCTGGTCTTGAACACCTGGCCTCAAGCAATCCTCTCGCCTCCGCCTCTCGAAGTGCTGGGATTCCAGGCGTGAGCCACCTCACCTGGCCAGCAGTTTATATTTAAAATTCTTTATTCAGATCAATGTATCAGGATATCAGGAAATTTTGAAAATGGTAAACTCTTAATCTTCTGCTATACGTAGAAAATGGCATTCTCATTTAGCAAATCACATAGTTCAAATACCCAGTCCCAGCCCTATGCATAAACAAAGAAAGCAATGAATAAAATTAACCACACAGTTTTGCTTTCAACTAATGCTACATGAAGATTAAATAGTAAACAGTTAACCATAATAACATATTGTCTTTATACCCAGAAAGCAGTGGAGGACTGTGAATGGCCTCTGATCATTATAATCAATGTTCATTGACATTGTACTAAGCAAAACATAAATAATAGGATTAATGTTTTTATGTTATTAGTAATAATCTGTAACATATATCTAAATATTACCAACTACATTTTTTATGAGTTTATAAGTAGTGCTGTCTTATATACATTTATTAAGAGAATTCATTCTTTATATCAAAAAGGTAAAAAAATTACTATGATTATGAACTATTAAATCTGATGTAATTTTTTAAAGTAATCATCTAATTCTTAATAATAAAACATTTCTCTCTTCAGGTGCGGTACGGGTCACTAAAATACAAAGTGAAGAAACGACCACAAGTGTATTTTTAGTCATCTACACGTCAAATATCCCAAGACAGATTATGCTAAATACATCGACTTCATCTTCTAACATGATATATTCAGGATTTACACATTAAAATGATTATTTAAATTGTGGCAGTGATGGGGTTTACTTTCATGAATTTAAATTGTTTTTATTTCTGTAACAATTGCTTCCAAATATTGACTACTAAAGGCAGTTCTGCAAGATGTACTAAATATGTATATTAGAAATTATAGAAAATCATGTTGTCCGTTTTCAAATTCATCAACAGCCTAGAGTGCCTGAGATATAAGATGAAACACAAATCCACAGTATACTTGAAAGGAGCCTTTTTACGGTTCAGGATAAATCAGCCTTTGTGATGTACTGTGTTTACCTCCTTTTGTGTTGTATCTGGTAATTAAATAGGCCTCAGATTCAGCAGTGACATAACAAGGACATAATGTAAGATAATAAAGTAGGTTTTATATATTCTTTAAATTTTTACTTATATAATACTTTCTAGTTTTTCCACCATCAGCTGAAAGTTTTTGAAACAAATATTTGAAAACCAGGTATCCACACATAGCACTTTTATTCCTGACTAGTTTTGCACACTTGAAAATTGTTTACTTATTTTACAACTGTTTTACTGATGCTATCTTTATTGTTTTTGCCGTATTCTGACATGTCAAATCTATGCCTTGAATTATATCATCTCTTTTCCTGTGGGTTTCATTTGTTAAATTCATTGGATTTTAATAATATAAAAGTATAGCTAATTGTTCAGTTTTAACTATTTTTAATTATCTTCTTAACAAATAAGAAGTTGCTTTAAACATTAACCAATTTTCTATATTTAGCTATACAGAGTAATTGAACTTAACATGTTTTTGTCAACACCAATTACATTTTCAGCTTTTAAAAATGGTAGCTTTTGTGAAATAGAATCAGTGACCAGTATAGCACTTAGATCCCTTCTAACTCATATAATTTTTCTCAGCCAATCCATTCACAAGCTTGGCATTGACATGTGCTGCTAGTTTATAAACTGGCATTGACGAAAATCATTTGAATCTCTTCTGGCTGAGATAATTTGCCAATGCAAAATACAGTTGTCATTAATCCTGCACATTAGAAATTATTAGAAACATATTACTTTTTAACTTTAAATCTCAAAGAGATTTTGAGTTATTGAATTCTTAAGGCTTTCTTAGCTTGAACTGATAACTATGCATTATGAACCCTAAGTCAATATATTTTTGGTGGTTTTAGTGATCAGTAATCAAATTTGTACTTATTATGCTTGTTCAGGTAATTTACTTGACTGTTCTATTTGTTTGTCCAAAAGATAAAATGATGAGAGAGATTCGAGAGGTCTTTGATCTGTCTCCCTTTTAAGAAATGAAGCCAGCTGGTAATGTATATTCAGGACTTCCTCAGAGTATTGGCCAAGAACATAATGTTTACACAGGAGTACCTTGGTATAATGCATACATTGTCTCATGATACTAGTCATAAAATATTTTATGGATTATTTCACATTCTTCATATATAACAAGTAAAATTAATTCAGTTTTCTTCTCCCAACGTTTAATTCTGAATAACTCTATCTACTTTACCCTAATTTTTAGCCTCTTAATTTCTGGAAGGACTCTAATTTCTATTCCAAATTTCTATGAATTCTAATTGTAAATTATCGGAACAGAGTTTTATTTATATGACCTGGTACTAGACTTCTTAATATAACTGTTACACTGTCCTTGTCTTTCCTACTCAAAGACAGTATCATCTGAAGTTGCCTAATAAGGTCATGTGAGTCAAGAACTTTATCTGTGGGAGCTGATTTGCACCATTTTACCTTTTTTTTTTTTTTTTTTTTGAGACGGAGTCTTGCTCTGTCACCAGGCTGGAGTGCAGTGGCGCGATCTCGGCTCACTACAACCTCTGCCTCCCGGGTTCGAGCGATTCTCCTGCCTCGGCCTCCCGAGTAACTGGGTCTACAGGCCCGTGCTACCACGCCCAGCTAATTTTTGTCTTTTTAGTAGAGACAGGGTTTAACCATGTTGCCCAGGATGGTCTCCATCTCTTGACCTCGTGATCCGCCCGCCTCGGCCTCCCAAACTTCTGGGATTACAGGCGTGAGCCACCGCACCCAGCCACCATTTTATCTCTCTAAAGTCTGGTCCCAGTATTAAACCTATTCTTTAGTAAACTCATATTACTGTTCTAAATTGAAGAAATTATTTATTACTCTGTACTTCTAGACTCAAAATTCTTTATCAAAGATAGTCTCAAAGAGGTAGTACAAGTCCTGTTTAACTGCACTTTTTCACATTCACAGTGCTTCCTCTGATATCTTTCCTTACATCATTATACACTGTTGATATCATTTTACTCTTCTTTCTCTTCTACATTTCTTAAATTTTGGTTCTTTTCCTGTACATGTGTTTTAGCGGGGCCCTTTTCTTTGAACTTTGTCTAATTAGCCTGTACATTTTTGTTTCTTTTAAGGTAGAACAGATCTTTTTTTGTTTCTCCTTTTAAGTCTACTGGTTTTAAAAGAGGTAAATGTATCCATAGACCACAGTGCCTTGCTTTTTCCTCTGCCAGCACATGGAGCACGGGATTAGATGCACAAACCTATTTAGGGAACTATTTTGGTAGATGTTTGAGTTTATACAGAAATTGCAGCTGGTATTTTATTTTGCTGTACATTTACTCAACTTGTCCATTAGTATTTAACTATTTCCAGAGTTTGTTTAGGAGTAAGAATTGACCCATTCGTTAGTTTACCATATTTTTTCCTGGTATAAAAAGGAGCCAGAAATAAGCCTTATTGCTAAATAATTAATTATGTAAGCCCACCTAGGTCCTGCATAAGATCCCCCTCACATACTTCACAATATATATGTGTGTGTGTGTGTGTGTGTGTGTGTGTGTGTGTGTGTGTGTATTTGGCTAAAAAATTATACTGCCAAAATTACTGATTATAAATACTTGACTACACTGATTGATGGGACAAAATGATTAAAGTATTTTCAGGGATCTTATTCCATATGTCACCACCAAAGATTTCTACAGTGTTATAAAGTATATAAATATTCCAAATTTCTGTGGTTAAATATTTTTTTCTTTTTTTTCCTTTTTTAGAATAACACAGTCTGTGCTTTCCAAAAATGCTTGAACTTTTATGTTGTTAAGAAATATATAATGATATCTTACATTAAGCATGAGTCTAATTTGTATTAATTGGGATGGACTAAATTTTCATTTGATTATCAGGAAAATTAAGGAGTTATATATTTAAAAGCAATTTTCTGTGTTTTCTTCTTTGTAAGTTGACTCATTTGTGAAGCAATTAGGCAAATTTTGAGAAGATCATTGTTATTGTGGTTTGCAGTATATATTTCTTAGTAAATATCACTTAAGATTAAATTTTTCAGAAAGAAAATTATAGCTTTTTTCCCAAAATATTTTTAAGATTTAATCTTTTTGTAGTATGCTACAGATTTAATTATATTAACTCTTTTTTAAGACATTGACCATGACTTAACATTTTGCCTTCTAACACCTTTTAAATCTATGTACTTTAATAGTTAAGAGAAAATAAGTTTGCAGATTTTTAATAATCTGTTTGTAAAAGGCTATCTCTAAGCCTAGTATGTGGGTAATTTTACAGGTGTGTTTTTTGATAACTTTAATATAAAATAAACTCATTTTATTTGTGGCAATTCGCGTTTCTTTTTTTATGCCAGAGTACATATGTTGGATTCCATGAATTGGTATTACTTATTATTATGTGTTGATTAAATATATGCACACACTTAGGATTACAGATCACAGAGCAAATTATGAAAATCATAAACATTCTGGTATGGTCATCCATAGGATTATGAAAAAGAAATACTGAATTGTTAAATTTGGATGTTAGAAAGGAAAGATAGGAAAAACAATGAGTACAGAAATCCTCACCATCAATTTGGATGGGTTAGCTGTCTCAGGCATAAAATGTAACACAAAATTCAGATTTATGTATCCTGGAAATGTTCTGGGGTTCCATCTGTTTTAAAGTTAGACGTCTGTCTGCCTCACATTTAAGCTTTAGAGAGAAATCCTATGTTTTAAGAAGTTTCTTTGTGTTACTTCATTATGACACATAATGCGTGTTAAGGTCTTTCTAGATAGCATTTTAAATGGAATTATTTTCATTTTCATTATGAGGTATATACTTGTAATGATCTAAAGAGGTTAGAAATATAAATAAAAATTCAAAAGAACACAATATATGAACGGCATTTTTTTTCAGTGTTTTAGTCTCCCTTTAAATCGTTCACTGTTCTGAAAAAAGAGATTTACAAAACAAACATCATGTCAGAGGCTGATGAATTGTTCCCTGGGAAAACATTCTACCCCTTTACCTACTCATCAGTATTTTAGTCTTAAAACACTCTCCTTATGGTCTGTCCTTGGTAACGTTTTTTAAACTGCTTTTTATAAGACAATGCTTTGAATTGAAATTTTAAAGCACAGGATTGATAATTGTCTATAAGTGTAAATAACTAAAGGACCATGCTCAACAAAAGCAGGAAAGTCACCATGCGTACTGTTTACCTTACAATCCCAGATTAAGAGAGAAAAAGGCAAGCGTGTTATTTTGGCATTATGTGCAAATCAAATCAGCATCTATTTTTTTTTTAATTCAAAAATATCCACTGATTACCTGCTTCTTATGAGAGCACTGTTAGGTTTCTGCACAATGCTTATATCCAAGTAAAGTAGCATAGAATTAATTTAAGGGAAACAATTCTTGCTCTTAATAAAATGAATTCACCATTACCAACCAAATCAATGTTTGGATTATTTGAGTATTATTTATTCTAGAATTTATTCTTGGCTATTGAATAATTCATGTGGTTCTCTCAGAGCAGTTTTTGTTTTTTAATTATTGGTTCCCTTCCCCTACCTCTTACATCCAATACATTGGTAAATTGTTTTGGCTGTCTTATCTCCAGAATACATCCTGAATCTGACCATCTCACTCTTGAAACCTTACTACATTTTCAGTAGCCTTGCAAATTTTTCAAGGTGACTTTTAACCTTGAGTCCCTTAGGACTGCCACAGTTTCTTATATTTTCAACCGGTGCCTTGGGGAATACTCATAAAAAGAAAGTTGTGAAGGGAGAGAACAGGATCAGATGCTTTTGCACATCAGTCTTGTGTTTTTCTCTTCCAATCACTGTTTAATGCTGAGATTTGGAAAAGATGCGTGAGGAGAGTTAATGAAGCCAGGTTAGAATATCTGGCTGAATTCTAATGTGTTTTGACAGGATGTTAAACTACTGGGAAACATGGGGTATATGTGGGCATTTCCCCCATGGCAATGCTAAGCATAATTTAAGTCACTCTCAATTTGAGGGCTACAATAGATATGGTAGTGCTAAGAGTCAATAGTAAGTACCTGAATTAGTCAAGGTTCTCCAAAGAAAAAGAACAAATAAGATATGTAGAGAAAGATTTATTTCAAGGGATTGACTGGTGATTGTGGACACTGGCAAGTTCAAAATCTACAGGGTGGGCCAATACACCAGAGACCCAAGGAAGAGCTGATGTTTCAAGTACAAAGGTAATTCTGCTGGTAGAATTCTCCCTTCACCGTTGGATGAGGCTCATCCACATTATGGAGAGTAATCTGTTTTACTCAAAGTCTACTGACTTAAACACTAATTACATCTAGAAAATACCTTTACAGCCACATAGACTACTGTTTGATCAAATGCCTGGGTACCATGGCCTAGCCAAATTTGACACATAAAATTAACTATCACAGTATCCTTAAAATTAAATTCCAAAAGCTAGGCGTGGTGGCTCACGCCTGTAATCCTAGCACTTTGGGAGGCCAAGGTGAGTGGGTCACTCGAGGCCAGGAGTTCAATACCAGCCTGGGCAACATGGCAAAACCCCATCTCTATGAAAAAATACAAAAATTAGCTGGGTGTCGTGGCGCATGCCCATATTCCCAGCTAATTGGGGGGCTAAGCTGGGAGGATTGCTTAAACCTTGGGAGGTCAAAGCTGCAGTGAGCTGAGATTGTGCTGCACTCCAGCCTGGGTGACAAAGTGAGACCTTGTCTCAAAAAAAAAAAATTCCAAAAGAAACTCCACTTCAAAATATAAAGTCATAAATTCAGTATGTAGAAATTATAAATATTTTATTAATTTATCTTGTAACGAAAGGGGATGTTGTAGCACGTGATGTATTTGGAAGAAGAATTAATACTTTATAAGGCTTGTGATGCCCCTTACATTCAGTTGTGATAACCAACAGTAGTATATGTTTGTTTTCACACTTTGCGAAGAGGCATCATCCCGATTTTACAAATACGCAGAGACTCACTAGTGACCAACCTGTGACCGGGTGCAGTGGCTCATGCCTGTAATCCCAACACTTTGGGAGGGTGAGGCGGGCGGATCACTTGAGCACAGTTGGAGACCAGCCTGGGCAACATGGCAAAACCCCATCTCTATAAAAAATACAAAAATTAGCTGGACGTGGTGGCTGGCGCACACCTGTAGTCCCAGCTATTTGCGGGGCTGAGGCAAGAGGATCGCTTGAGCCCGGGAAATTGAGGCTACAATGAGCTGTGATTGCACCACCACACTTCAGCCTAGGTGACACAGTGAGATGCTGTCTCAAAAACAAAAACAAAAAACAGTGACCAACCTACGACCCAAGCAACCGCAATGTTTGTGACTTCGGACTCTGTTGTTAATTACGTCACAGTTGGTTGTCTTAGAGATCACAGAATACTTGGAAAGTTAACATGGAAATGATTCCTTCCATACATGTATTATATAATACAAAAGTTTCAGATTATCAGAATGTTAAATGAAGTAAAGTTGTTAAGTCATTGGAAGTTAATGGATTTGGTTTCAAGAGTAGCTTTAGTACAGAGAGAAAGGATGCTTTTAAAGTGAATAGAAAAAAATGAAGACAAATAATTTACTATCAGTTATGGACTAAGACAAACAGGAAGAATCTGAAGAGAGGATGCAGCTGAAACAGGAGGAGTATCCTCTCAGGAAGTGCTTTCCTTCCTTCCTCTCCTTTCCACCAACATTTGTTCCACGGCTTCCTCTCTTCAAACCACACCTTGTAAACCCTTTTATGTGCTCTGTTCACAACAAGAATTTCATGTGCTGTTCCATACTGGGTTTTAACTAATAAAATGCACACACACACACACAAAAGGCTAAATGCCTTTTTACACAGGAGATTAACTTTATTCAGTCTTTAAGCTGAAAGCAAGTACAGTTAGGATATATAGCAGGCGACAGTTTCCATATGTTCTAGGAAAGTGGAGCTGTATTATTTATAGTTTACAACATGTTGTATAAAATTAAAGCTAGCAAGGGGGCTCCCAGGGAGGTAAATTAAACAAAGAAGGGAAGACTTAGAGAACTCTATTTTGCTATAATCAGAGAACATGCCTATAAGAAAGCACTAAAAAAAATAATATTTAACATTAAACAATATGCAAAAGTACTTGGGGTGTTTACAATAGCTTAAATTCTAAAATTAAAAAGGACATTGAAGACTGAGAAGGGGAAAAACACCTTAATTTTGTAATCTTAATAGAAAGAAAAATGTGTCCTAAAAGCAGGAGTAAATAAATGTCATTAAAAAGGTGTATCTTCCAAAGTGCAAAGACACGTTACAAGAAATCAGGTTGCTCTTTGACCCACCAGTCTCAAAGCACATTAGACTGCAGCAAGTAATAATTGCTTCCTCATTTAGATTAGACAATGAGTGCTCTCTGCAAGCTGCTCTCCTCTAAATAGATTGTAGAGAGTAATTGAAACAAGTTATATGGGGAAGTGGAGTGACCGATTCCTCAAAGTGTGGGAGCAGAGCTATGGTAACCTCTTGAGCCTGGCCTTCATCCTGTTCCTATTTAGGGAATCCGCGGGGCAGCCAGTGTTGAGTGCAGTCTGCAGTTCGCCGGCTTTATTGTTCAGACTTGAAGAGAAGGTCACATGCCCTCTTTGACAGAGAGGTTTATGGGCTCTCTCTAATTAGCAGCACCCTCCACCAGACAGACTGTTGGCCACTTTCCAAGAACGGGACTTGGTAGCGGCCACTGATGAAGGAGAAAACAAGGTTATTTACCCTGCGACTGTAATTCTTGGCACAAATTCTCCCTTTACACTCAGACACGTTTTTTCTTTTGTTCCAACTTGCCTTTGGAATCCTGATTAGGGCGTTAAGAGAGGGAAATGCAGCTATATATTTAGTGGTGTAAGCAACCCATATGTTGGCCTTAGATACTTTTGACTATTCTAAGACCTCATACCAAAAGAGAGAAAGAAAAAGGAAAACGAAAAGGGCAGCGTAGTCGAGCGTTGCTTGCAAATGTAACTGCTTAAGCACATGCCCACACACAACTCCAGAAAAGGAAGTTTAATTTGCAACATCTATAAAATAACGACAGTTGTATGGTAGGACACAGAAATCCCAGCGGTAAAGTGTGATTGGGCTTAGCTATTATTGGAGTGTTAAAAGAGTACCGGGAATATATTTGGCTTGTCCTGTTCTGTCAGTTCTGTAGGCCGGTGGATTAAGCTGATAGAAATGCTTTTTGGTTGATTTAAACCAGATGCTCCGACTATTTTTGTCCCGTTTGCAGGCGCAGAAGCTCTGCATAAGGCAATACTGCCCCCCTCGGCCGACCGCCAACTGCAAGGCGTAGGAGACTGCTCTCCACTAGCCACCTCGGCCATAAAACCCTTTCAAGTCCCTATTATTATTCCAGGCACATTCCAAGGGGATTGAGTCACAGAGTTCACTTGGCTTTTCTCCTGCCCTGAACTGCCTGTACCAGGTGGAATACGACTCTCAACTTCAAATATGGAATCCAAAAGCAGTCAAAGAGCGCTTTAGAGCAAGCCCCAGATGCGAACTCTACTGCCACTTCTCCCCCTCCCCCAACTGGGGTTTGCTGGCTGCGCAGCTGTAGTCCCACGCCAGCACTAAGGTCGCCTGGTCGACAAATGAGGGTTTTCTTTGGGGCATCCTGTAGAGCTGTCCTATTTTCTCTACCACTTTGAGAAGCCCCAAGGGCTGCTTGGCGGCGAGGCACAGACTGGGCTGAAAACTTTTCCGTTGGGCAGTGCGTCCCGGAGACCCAGGAGGCCCAGGCCGGGAGCCCAGGGGGCTGGAGGTTCTGCTGGCTTTTAAGTCTGCTAGGAGGGAAAACTCCCAGCCCCTCCCACGCGTCCTCCCAGACTCGCCGGCCGCCTGCCCCGGGCGGGGAACGCGCACATCTGGCGGCCCAGGAGCCACATCTGATGCACTAACCCCCGCACCCAGATGTCCAAGAGGCCGGGGGAGTCAAAGAACGCCAGGGGCGGGGCGACCGCGGCTGCGGCTCCTCCCTCGGGCAGAGGGAGTCCAGATGCGAGGGACGCCCTCCAGAGCCGAGCTGGGCCGGCCGGGCAGCTAGGGTGCTGGGAGGTTGCGGTGCAGGGTGGGTGGGTGCAGTGAGGCTGGAGCCACGCTGGGGGGGCTGGGCTGGCGGGGGGAGGCTGGAGCCGCGCCGGGGAGAGGGAGGCGGCGGTTGGGTGCTGGAGGGCGCTGGTGCCGTGCCAGTGGGCGGTGGCGCCTTACGCCACCCGCCCCACCCCCGTCACCGTGCCCGCCCCACTGCGTGGGATTTTACAACCTAGGTCCCCGGGAGGTGGTGGTGGAGGGAGGGGCGGCGGGGACGTTTCCGGGGCGGGGGAGGGGCGCACTGCTCCAGAACTGGACCGAGGGCGGGGCTCCCCTCTGCTTCTCCCCTCTGTTCCAGCGCTGAGACGCAGGCCTTTCCTGGCGCGAAGCGACTCGCCCCGGAGCTCCCCTGCACCGTCCTGGGTGTCAGGACGCGTCAACCCAGATGACCCGACCCGGAGATCCTGGATCCTCTGCCCTCTTCCCCCTACCAAGTCCTTAACCGGAGAGGGAGGAGCTACCAATGTCCTCCAGACGTTCTCCAAAGCCCGAGCTGCCGGGAGAAGCTTGCTCAAGGCGGGTGCGCCCCTCAGACGTTTGTTTGCACGCAGGGGTTTTGACGTTTCGCTAAGCAACAGCGTTTGCCAGGGAATCAGGGCTGTTTCGAAGAGCTTGCGTCTATTTGATGCTCCCATCTTGAACAAATCGTTTCCATTCGATTTGTTTAACCAAGGCGAGGGCGGACTATGTTGTTACTTAAAAGTTATTCTTCATCCAAGCTGTCCTCAGATTTTCATCTAAGGGTGTCATAACACCCCAGGTCGTTGCGCAAATGTTTTGTGACAATTTAGAAAACCAGAGGGGGGAAATATCCTTAGAGAAAAAATCATAACCAACAAGAAAATTATGTTAAATGATGTTGGTCCTTTTTCATCGGATGGTCCCAGTTGACACATAGTCTTTTACAAAACCAGTGACTATTCACAGTCTTCAATTTATGGCACATCTCCCGGTGGGGGCGAAGTGCATGAATGGGTCCCACCTTATTCACCAGCTGAAACTCTGAACAAGCCTTGGGGTTTCCTCTCCCAAAGACTGCCAGGCTTCACTAAGAATCAAAACAAAACAGGATACTAAATGCCTGCGGTAAGTTTTCAAATATGAGCTCTTCCATTGCTTATTTCTGTGAATTGTGGCAAATTGCATAATGTCTTTTGCCCCTGGTGCTGCTTAGAGACAGGGTCTCACTGTGTTGCGCAGGCTAAAGTACAATGGCACGATCCTAGCTCGTTGCAGCCTCAAACCCCTGGGCTCAGACTATCCTCTGGCCTCAGCCTCCCAACCAGCAAGGGTTACAGTCGCATGCCACCACACCTGGTTAATTTTTTATTTTTGTTTTTTAGAGATAGGGGACTCACTATGTTGCCCAGGCTCGCCTGAAATTCCTAGCCTCAAGCATTCCTCCCAGCTCAGCCTCCCAAAGTGTTGAGATTACAGGCGTGAGCCACCATGCCTGGCAAGCTTCATCATTTCTAAAATGTAACTGTATATTTTAGAGTAGCATAGGAGTGGTGTAAGGGTTAAGGATTAATGATACTGCAAATCAAGTGCTTAACACAAAGTTTAATGCATAGGAAGAACATAATTGTTATTATCAATGTGAGTAGACTGTTTACCACCAAAATGAAAGGTGTGGGCAATGGTAACTGGGTAGCCTCCAGAGATCCTTTTTTAAAAGGAGTATGAGTTTTAATACATTCGTTGAATGAATAAAACCCACAACACTCTAGGCACATCTCCAGTCCTTGCCCTGGCAGGGCTTTCAGTCTAACTAGAGGAAATTGGATGAAATGATAATGATGCATACCTAGTCTTTCGTCATACTGTGAAAGCCTTTTAAAACATGGATTTGACTTCTGGGTTTCCCATTATAACCACTTCCCAAAGAAGATTGTTCGTTCTTTCAGAAAATTTCACTAGGGTGATGATAAGGTATTAACAGATGTATGTTGAAAACATCCTCTTCCTTTTTCTGTGTAGCCCCTTCTTCCTTTGGAATTTTAGAAGAATCTGATCAAGGCAACCTCTGTATTAAGTGAAAATTTGGGAACTCAAAAATATATTAGATGCACAGAAAGTGCAATTCTGAAAAGGTCAGGGCTATTGCGTATAGAGGGGAGCTGCTGAAACTATAGGAGTCTTTTAAATTTTTCAGGCTCAGCTTCCTTTGCTTTAAAGTTAAAGAAGGGTTGGACTAGTTCTTCCTTCCTGCACTCAAACTCTTTGGTTTCAAAGGTAGCTGTGTCCAGGTATTTTCTGTGTATTCCAGAGCCCTGACCAGGAGGGGAAGGACTTTGAGAGGCTTTGGGCTTGACAAAATATCATGACCAAGTGTGGTGGCTCACACCTGAAATCCCAGACTTTGGGAGGCTGAGGCAGGAGGATCGCTTGAGCCCAGGAGTTTGAGACTAGTGTGGGCAACATAGTGAGACCCTGTCTCTTAATAAAAAAAAAAAAAAGGAGAAAGAGAAAAAAAAACCATGGAGTGAAGAGAGGCTAAGGAACTCAGACCAGTACTGAATTATAAAGCAAGGTAAAGTGTCTATAACCAGGTATATATTAACGTATTTCTTTCTTTTTTTTTTTTTTGAGACAAGAGTCGCGCCCTGTCACCAGACTGGAGTGCAGTGGCATGATCTTGGCTCACTGCAACCTCTGCTTCCCAGGTTCAAGTGATTCTCCTGCCTTGGCCTCCTAAGTAGCTGGGACTACAAGGCGCATGCCACCATGCCCAGCTAGTTTTTTGTTTTTTGTTTTTTTGTTTTGTTTTGTTTTGTTTTTTTTAAGTAGAAATGGGGTTTCACTATGTTGGCCAGGATGGTCTCGATCTCTTGACCTCGTGATCCGCCTGCCTCAGCCTCACAAAGTGCTGGGATTACAGACATGAGCCACCACGCCCAGTCGTATTTCTTTCCTTTTTTTTTTTTTTTTTTTTTGAGATAAAGTCTCACTCTGTCACCCAGGCTGGAGAGCAATGGCATGATCTCGGCTCACTGCAACCTCCACCCCCCGAGTTCAAGCAATTTTCCTGCCTCAGCCTCCCGAGTAGCTGGGACTGCAGGCGTGTGCCACCACGCCCAGCTAAATTTTGTATTTTTAGTAGAGACGAGATTTCACCATGTTGGCCAGGCTTGTCTCGAATTCCTGACCTTGTGATCCGCCCGCCTCAGCCTCCTAAAGTGCTGGGATTACAGGTGTGAGCCACGGTGCCCGGCCAACATATTTCAATATATATAGTGGATATATTAATATATACATTGGTATATATATTTTAAAAATAAGAGGTACCTATGTATTTATTTCTGGCTTATCTATAGTATAGATTCTGTATACACACAGATCACCCTGTGAGTCTTCCTAATACCTACAAAACAGGTAGAATTTTCTTCTTTTGTCTATGATCGTGGTCTGAAGGATGACTTTTCAGCAGCAGAAGGGACTGGAATGGAAGGTGTCCATAATTTTGGCTGGAAGAGAGAAGTGTGCCCTCTTGTGGGTCTCCTGTCATGTTCTCAGAAAGTTCCTCAGGATAGAGCTGTGGCCTTTGTGGTCAGGGCTCTAGTCCCATTTTACCTTCAGATGCCTCCTATGCAATTTTTTTCTCATCATCTTCCCTGAGAAATATTTCCCAAATAATAACACAGCTCCCTCATCTCCCTAAATTACCTCCCTCACACTCCACATCCAGTGGATCAGCCCTTCCTCTTAGGTCTAATTTTTTTTAAAACTTTTATAAGTTTAATATTGTCACTGTATGTTTACATATTCATTGGTACAATTTACATCATCTTCTCCATTTTTGCAAAGATAGCATGTACACAAAGATACATATTCAATAACTGAGAAACAAGTGAAACTTCTGATCTATACTTTCAGGTTTGTTCAATCATGATACTTCTGATAAGGATCATGGACATACCAGTTTTACCTCTCCCAGAATGACGTCGCCATTTTATCTTAAGAGTTTACTCTGGGTTTTATTGCAGAATACAAATTCCCTCAATCGCTTTTTTCTTGCAGGTTCCTTTTTCCATAATTTTTTTCTTTTAACCAGCCTTTCACCTCACCCAAAGGCCACAATGAAGTCGAAGAAACCTGTAGATGACAGCTTTCACAGTCTTTCTCTTGTCTTTTCATGTACTGAAGTATGTTAGAGATCTGACTGGCAGCTTCAGGACACTCGGAAGCAAGGGGGACACTCTATTAAGGATCGCTGAAGTATGCCCACATGTCAGGTTTCTCTCAGATGTGGTTAAGTCTGGAAGTGGAGGAAACAACTGGTGTCTAAATATGACTGAAACGTCCAGTGGACAATGCAGAAATAAGAGAGGCATTCTTGACACAGTTTCTGTATGCTGAAGATGCCAAAATATTCAAGAGCCATCGGATTCCTGAAGCTGCTCTCACTGCACCAGCAAAGGCAAAAGCAGCCATCCCTCTCAGCTCTAATTTATGGATATGGATGTATCCCAAACCCCATCCCTTCTTACTACCTCCTGCACTAGCAACTAGTCCAAACCACCATCATTTCTTGCCCAACCTGCTGCAATCACCTCTTAAGTATTTTCCCTGCTTCCACTCCTTCACCGTATATTTCATTCTCCACACAGCAGCCAAAGCGGTTTTTTTAAAAAATACAAATGAAATGTGCTCACTCTACTATTCAAAATCCTTTAGTAGTTTCTTTTCACACTTGGATAAAATCCACACTCCCTCACCACAACCTATATGACTGGACTCTTGCCTAATCTTCTCACCTCATCCTCTATCACTTTCTTCCCTGTTCATTCCTCTCCAGGAACTGGCCTTCTCACTGTTCCTCAGAAATATGAAGCGGACTACTGCTTTAGGGTCTTGCATTTGCTGTTTCCTCTGTTTTCAACCCCCAGACCGTCACATGGCTTTCTCTCTTACCTCACTCAGGTCTCTGCTCAAATGTTGCCTCAGAGAGGACTTCCCTCATCACCACCCCTAATATAAATGAAGCACCGTAGCCGTAGCCGTTCCCTAACCAATTGCCCTACTTTATTCACCTTCACATCTCTTATCAAATATCCTGTTTACCTGTTTACTTGATTATTGTTTGCTTTACCTCTAGAATGCATGTTCTATGAGTGTAGGGACTTGGTCAATCTTGTTCAACAAGGAACTTCCAGTCCAAAACTGTACCTGTCATAGAAAAGGCACCCAATAAATATGCAAATCAAACTACGGTCACTCAGTGACAGAGAAAGAATGAGAACAATTTAAATAGTGTGAGGAAGTGTGTTTACTATTTTGCTCAGTAAATGTATGCACTAGAACAAGTATGAGATGGGAGATGTGAATCTACTTTATCTCTTAGTTCCCCTGTGCTATTCACAGTATGATCAATGTGCCATGCTGGGTGTTTAAAGATGCTGACAGTTTGAACAGCATGGCCCTTACATGCAGAGAAGTTCCGTAATGAGTTTGAGTCCTGGATTCACCACGTTAGTGTCTGACCTTGGGGAAGTTACTTACGCTTTCAATGCCTCAGTTTCTTCATCCATGAAATGAGGCTAATAATAGTACTACCTCTATAGGATTGTTATAAGGATTAAATTAATAATATAAATATCTTAGAACAGTGCCTAGAACATAGTAAGCCATGTCTGAGTATTTTTAAAGCAAACCTATTTGGCTGTACTTGGTTCTCCCCTTTCTTGGGGACTTTATAACTTGAGTACTTATAAGATACTACTCTGCCCAGCACTTTGGGAGGCCGAGGTGGGTGGATCACGAGGTCAGGAGATTCAGACCATCCTGGCTAAAATGATGAAACCCCGTCTCTACTAAAACTACAAAAAAATTAGCCAGGTGTGGTGGCGGGCGCCTGTAGTCCCAGCTACTCGGGAGGCTGAGGCAGGAGAATGGCGTGAACCCAGGAGGCGGAGCTTGCAGTGAGCCAAGATCGCGCCACTGCACTCCAGCCTGGGCGATAGAGCGTGACTCCATCTAAAAAAAAAAAAGATGCTACTCTGAAGTGACTGGCATTGGAATTTTCATCATGCTTTTAGACCAGTAATTTTAGTTTTAGCACCAAGTACAATAATTATTTTATAACCATTGCTAGTCTAGCATTTTTGCTTAGCCATAAATTCCATTTAAGCCAAAATATCCCTAACTTTGCAAAAAACTGTACCTTCAGGGGACACCACCCAATTATAGTTGAAAAAAAGATGTTTCTTCCTTTTTAATTCTGTAGGCTTTTCTTGGCTGGCATTTCCATAACATAATATTGTTATTTGGTAGTTGAGTGTCAGTCAGCTCTACAGAAAAATAAATACCAGTGATCTTGCTAAACCTGTGTACCAAATCATTCCTGAACTAGGGGAGTGGGCCAGATAACCTTTGGAAGGCTTTTTAGCTCTGTTTTTCTGTGGTTTTCGTAAAATGAAAATAGCTCAGAAATTAGAGGTTCTAGATTTAGCACTATGTGAACTGGGCCGGGATGCTTTGTGAATCATGGACAATTGAAATAGTTTAAACTCAGCTTATTTGGAACAGATTAGGTCCATATTCGGGTTGAACAAGAATGAAACCTGTTTGAACTGTGGACAGGCTGTCAGCACCCTTCTAGGCTCAGCTTTTCACTTCTCTTTCTAGGGCCTTGACTCGTTCATATATAACTGTATGAATGCCTCTTTAGAAAGGACTGCAAACACCTCCAACTAGTGTTTGTGAAACCTCCTTGAGGTATTCTACATATGATTCAATAATAAACACCTTCTGCAGTCTTTACCTTAGTTATGGTCCCATAAGTCATGCATTTATTCATCCAGTAAATATTCCCTGAGGGCTTAATATGTGCTAGGAATTGTGCTAGTACTAGCCACTTAGTTGTCCAAGTTAGAAACTAGGAGTTGGGCCAGGCACAGTAGCTCACGCCTGTAATCCCAGCACTTTGGGAGGCCGAGGTGGGAGGATCACCTGAGGTCAGGAGTTCGAGACCAGCCTGGCCAACATGGTGAAACCCCGTCTCTAGTAAAATTACAAAAATTAGCTGGGTGTGGTGGTACATACCTGTAATCCTAGCTACTCGGGAGGCTGAGGCAGGAGAATCGCTTAAACCTGGGAGGCAGAGGCTGCAGTGAGCCAAGATCGTGCCACTGTACTCCAGCCTGGGCAACAGAGTGACTCCGTCTCAAAAAAAAGAAAAGAAAAAAGAAAAGAAAGAAAAAGAAACCTAGGCGTCGTCTTAAATATACCCCCCTCATTCACTCCCCACATTAGGTCAGCCACCAAACTGGTGCCAATACTACCTTCCAAATATCTCTTGAAGTTTTGTTCTCCTCTTCACTCGCTCCTGGTGCCACTATGTTGGTAAAAGTGGTGTAAGCCCAGCTACTGTAGAAAGCAGGGCACAAAGCAGTCTGCTAAGGAGGGGGAAGAGGAGGGGAAGATGGGACACAGTGAGATGCACTGTTATACTGTTTACTGTTGTGCAGTCATACAACAGGTCACTCAGCAGGCATGGGACGTCCCTGGAAGGGTTAACAAGGAAGAACTCCATCTTGGACTATTCCACATGAGAAAAAAGAGTGAGTGTGTCTTCCTGTCTCTCTCCTGGATCCATTTGCCATTGGTGAAGGTTTACCCCATGGAGAGATAAACACCCCTGAATTGGATTGTGTCATCTGGCCGCTTGGCGGCTCTCAGGAAGGCAGATCCCAAGCTCAAGGTGTGGTACTTGTTCCAACTTCAAAAGTAAAGCAACAGGCACTCTGGAGATCTCAGAAAGTACACAAGGTTTGTTTCTCAATATAAACGAAGACCTCAGAGTTTTTTCCTTCAGATTCTTGCAAACGCCTACTAAGAGGACTTTGTACCTCTCACTTACTCCCTTCTAATCCATTCTTTACACTGCACCTACGGTGATCTTTGCCAGACTCAAATCTTTCACTAGCTCTCCTTAAACTCCAGGATACACTCTAAGATCTCTCCTTGCCTGCTTTCCAGTCCTCTTATTAAAGAGAAGTTTTACCAATTGAATCAGATGGTCATTCCTCTCAAGTTCTTTGTTAGCATTTATTGGTTTCTTTTTATTTTTATTTTTGATACAGAGTCTTGCTGTGTCACCCAGGCTGGAGTGCAGTGGCACAATTTCAGCTCACTGCAACTTCTGCCTCCCGGGTTCAAGTGATTATTGTGCCTCAGCCTCCCAAGTAGCTGGTATTACAGGCACACACCACCACACCCGGCTAATTTTTGTATTTTTAGTGGAGATGGGGTTTCGCCATGTTGGCCAGGCTGGTCTTGAACTCCTGACCTCAGGTGATCCTCCCACCTCAACCTCCCATAGTGCTGGGATTATAGGCGTGAGCCACTGCACCCAGCCTATTGGTTTATTATTCAAAAGTAATATACTTACTATAGGAAATTTGGAAAATACAGAAAATATGAAAAAGGAAATAAAAATCACTTTCCTTGAGGAAAAAACTTCTATTAACATTTTGGAATATATCCTGGCCATATTTTTTCTATGAACATATGTACATGTTTTTGAAATCTCAGAGGCATATCTTAAATAAAAATTGTACTTTAACAGTTACTACACTGAAGTTAATACTCAACCAAAAGTGTGTCAAGACCACCCAAATGGTTCAATTTGATAAATGCACTTTACAATAATTTTTTTATTTTTTAATTTTATTTCTTTTCTACTTAAGCATGAAAAAAGGTATGTTTACATTTCAGAAATATAACACATTAAGAAGCCCTCTATAAACATAACCCTTTCCCAATATATTTTACTGCTTTGTTTTAAATACAATTACCTAATAATAAATAAACTTAGATAACAATCTAAAAATCGTAATTGCAACTGTTAACATTTGCTTTGTTATATTGGAAGAGAAAATTTAAAGTTATAATAAACTGTTTGCTACATCATAGCCTAAAACTAGACAAAATTTGTCCTATATTAATTGAGCTTAACAAAAATTGTTTATTTTGTGATTCTATAAATACCAATATAATATTTTTACTCTATTATAAGTAAATTGATGTATTAGCATCACAAATTACTGTTTTCTCCCAGTCAGCCTATGAAATATGAACTTTCCATGGTAGTTGATAAAAATACTGTGTTTAAAAAAAAAAAATCACACGGTCAAGACTAGAATTTGAAAACAATAGCAGGAGCTGATATTTAAAATCACCAAGACCTATTAAAACGACAACAGCATATTTAAACAAAAAAATTAAGCTACTAAATAATGAATGCTTGTATAGTCATAATGAAATTAGAGTAAATCTATATTAATATCATGAAAACACATCAAGTTTCTATTAGAGGAACAGAATCAACACTATCCTAACTTTTCTAAGAATTATTTTGAATATAAAACTTTTAGAGCCAGGCGCGGTGGCTCACGCCTGTAATCCCAGCACTTTTGGGAGGCTGAGGCGGGCGGATCACGAGGTCAGGAGATCGAGACCATCCTGGCTAACACAGTGAAACCCCGTCTCTACTAAAAATACAAAAAAAATTAGCTGGGCGTGATGGTGGGCGCCTGTAGTTCCAGCTACTCGGGAGGCTGAGGCAGGAGAATGGTGTGAACCCGGAAGGCGGAGTTTGCAGTGAGCCGAGATGGCGCCACTGCACTCCAGACTGGGCGAGAGTGAGACTCCGTCTCAAAAAAAAAAAAAAACTTTTAGGGTACAAATGGCGTCATACAAAAAAGACAGTTACGACTCTGATATTGGGACATTAACTTTTTAATAACTGGAAACCCTTGAGAAAATATTAACACATTTATAAATCAAAGACATCTCTTGTGATTTATTACAGAACCACTTAAGGTTCATTAGATAAGCACTCGTTATTTTGTTAATATTAATACAATTAGAAAATATTTGCTGTTGGTCATGTTTTATTTTATACATTATATTATTCTCTTAGGCCTTCAATTAAAGATAATCATAGAAAGCAAAGCATAACATTCTTAATGAAAATACTAAAATTCCAATTATATTCAAATTGCACAGTTATTTTTAAAATCTGTTTTCAGAAGTTTATATATATTCACACATATACATATACATACACATATACACGTATATGTGTGTGTATATACACACACATATATATATATATTTTTTTTGAAACAGGGTTTCACTCAGTCACACAGGCTAGAGTGCAGTGGTGTGATCTCAGCTCACTGCAGCCTCAATCGCCCATGCTCAAGTGATTCTGCCACCTTAGTGTCCCAAGTGGCTGGGACTCCAGGTGTGCACCACCACACCTGGCTAATTTTTGTTTTTTGGTTTTTTTTTTGAGACGGAGTTTCATTCTTGTTGCCCAGGCTGGAGTGCAATGGCATGATCTTGGCTCACCGCAACCTCCACCTCCCAGATTCGAGTGATTCTCCTGCCTCAGCCTCCCGAGTAGCTGAGATTACAGGCATGTGCCACCACACTCAGCTAAATTTGTATTTTTGGTAGAGGCAGGGTTTCTCCATGTTGGTCAGGCTGGTCTCGAACTCCCAACCTCAGTTGATCCACCCACCTCAGCCTCCCAAAGTGCTGGAATTACAGGCGTGAGCCACGGAACCTGGCACACCTGGCTAATTTTTGTAGAGACTGGGTTTCACCATGTTGCCCAAGCTGGTCTTGAACTCCTGACCTCAAGTGATCCGCCATTTTGGCCTCCCAAAGTGCTGGGATTACAAGTGTGAGCCACTGTGCCCAGCCCCAGAGTTTATTTTTTAAAGCAAAATAATCTGATTCATATTAATTACCAGCTAAACTTCATACTTAAAATACTAAGTTCTTTTCATTATAAAAGCAAATTACATATTTTTCCCATGTTCTTATAAAATATGGTTCTGCTGTATGTAATGAATCTAGGTCAGCATTCACAAAGGCTATCTGAAATTCTTTTGACTTTCAGCCCAATGTAAAGTAAAACCTCAGTTATACATAAATAATTCAAAATTAGAACTTATGATGGAAATGTCAACAAGCCATAACTACTAGATTACTAATGAAGGGTTTCACTAAACTTCCCATGAAATATAACAGATGGCAAAATTTGATAGTTTTCAGAAAATTAAAGCTATCAGAGCTATAAATGAGGAATATATTATATACTAAACTTTATCAAGGCCAAAGCATTAAGGCTGTTAAAGTGATTAAGATATGAAGTAAACATCTCTGGAACATATAAACAGACCACAAACCAAAACATATGTCACTTTATATTTGTTTATAACTCTATGTTTTTTAATAATTATTTTTAAGATGAAAACATTTCTGCACTGTGGCATGCAGTGATTTTTTTTCCACCTCCCTGATTACCATGCAGTCTTCAAACCCTCTCTCAGGCTGGCATTCTTTCATCAAGATTTCTCTCTGAAGTCAACTTGTCATATTTTCAGCAGGCTTTAGTGCTTTGGAGCCTTGCAAAGTTCTTTCCTCTTCTTCCTAACCCAAGCTTCTGCCCTATCCTCAGTTTCCTGTCCTCCCCCTGGCTGGAATAAAGGGACGGCATGCTTTAGTTTCTGCATTGCCTGTTAAACACCAGTCGCACACAAGGTATGGAGCACTGGGCTTGTGTATCTGGACTCCTTTCTGCTAATGCTTGGCCATTGCTTCTAACCGTACTGCGCTAATGGAGTGTCTCTTCTCTTACAACTTGTTGACTCTGCCTACTTCCAGAGAATCCAGCCACTAACCCCAAGGTTCTCAGTCTTGCCCGAACCTATCTGGATTGATTCCTTCCTTCCTTCCTTCCTTCCTTCCTTCCTTCCTTCCTTCCTTCCTTCCTTCCTTCCTTCCTTCCTTCCTTCCTTCCTTCTTTCCCTCCTTCCCTCCCTCCTTCCTTCCTTCCTTTTTTTTTTTTGTCAGAGTTTCACTCTTGTTGCCCAGGCTGGAGTGCAATGGGGCAATCTTGGCTCACTGCAACCTCCGCCTCCCGGGTTCAAGCATTCTCCTGCCTCAGCCTCCTCAGTAGCTGGGATTACAGGCATGTGCCACCACGCCCAGCTAATTTTTTTTTTTATTTTTAGTAGAGACAGGGTTTCTCGGTGTTGGTCAGGCTGGTCTCGAACTCCCGACCTCAGGTGATCTGCCCGCCTCGGCCTCCCAAGGTGCTGGGATTACAGGCGTGAGCCACCATGCCCAGCCTATCTGGATTTCTATCATTTCCCCACATGGATTTCTACCACCAACAGGGGTAAGGTGTAGACACCAGCATCTGAACTCCTTTCTCTAATCTATCGTCTTATCTCTCCTATTCTCTCCCTAAACTGAAAATTTCCCTACACTTTCCTTTTTTAACTAGAAGGCTGTTCCTACATTGTCTCCTACTTCTGTGCAAGGTGGCATTTGCCCTTTCTCTTCCCTGGGGCCATAATGGTAGAATGGTGGCAGAGAAGCACAATTTATGGGAGGAATAAAAAACACATCATTCTGGATTTTTTAGATAGTTTTCATTATGCTATGATAAACAGTATCTAATGTTGCTGATAACATTACAGCACTTCCTTGTCTGTTACCTCCCTATCATCGTGTTACAACATGATGGTTGAGTTTCCAGAAAACAGACGCTGAGATGATGGAAATTTGCACACTAGAAGTTCCTGGGAGCGAGCGTTCTCAGGAACAGTGTCTATGAGGGAGGGAAAGAAACAAGACTGGGCAGAGGGAGTGGTAGGACTGTTATGTCAAAGGGCTCAGAAGGAGCTCTGGACTGAGATAGCCCATCTCAGAAGGAGCTCTGGACTGAGATCGTTTTCATATTTTCCCCAGATTGAGGCAAGAGGGCCTGCCCTTCATAGCCCTGCACTGGATATGGGCCTCTTACTGGGAAGGGCCTGTGACATTGGCCTTCAGCTGCAAGTAATTCTCTAGGAGGATTAAGCTGAGAACCCTTAGCTGAAAACCCCAGGTAGCTGGAGAATGAGTGTCGCAGTCCTGAAGGGGGACCTAGGGGACACAACACAGAATCCACTGTACATTACCAAAAGTGAAGTTAACTTCCTGCCTGTCATTGCATTTTATGCACGGGGACCCGGGGCTCAGGGAGATTAACTAATTAGATCAAGGTTCCAGATCAAATACCTGATGTATGTATTTTATGTCATTTGGCCTTCCAAATAATTTGATCAGGTGTAGCTTAATAACTTTCTTTTAAAGACAAGGCTACTGAGATTCAAAAAGCTTAAATGATTTCTGCAGGTCTTCAAGGCCAGCCAGTGGTGGAGGTAAGATCCATATCTGCCAATTGCACGTCTGTGCTTTTTGTATCTCACACACTGAGTTGATGTTGCCTAAATCGCTTGGATTAAATAAATTTTAGGACTGGAAGAGACCTCAGAAAACAGTGCAACCCACTTACTATTCAAAGAAATAAAGTAACTTGGTAAATTGTTCAAGGAAATGAGGCTGCTAATAACCTCTGTGCCTCAGTTTTCTTATCAGTTAAAATGGGATGAGCCACCCACCTACAGAGGGATTTTAAGACTCAAATGAGATGGCCGGGTGCGGTGGCTCACGCCTGTAATCCCAGCACTTTGGGAGGCCAAGTCGGGTGGAATCACGACGTCAGGAGTTCAAGACCAGCCTGGCGAAGATGGTGAAACCCCGCCTCTACTAAAAATACAAAAAATTAGCCAGGCGTGGTGGCGGGCGCCTGTAATCCCAGCTGCTCCTGAGGCTGAGGCAGAGAATTGCTTGAACCTGGAGGGACAGAGATTGTAGCACTGCACTCCAGCCTGGGTGACAGAGCAAGACTCTGTCGCAAAAAAAAAAAAAAAAAGACTCAAATGAGATAATAGATGCAACATAAACTTGAAACTTATTAAAATGGTACAGGATGGTCAGTATTTTGCCATTTAGATACGGAGTAAGAAGGACTTCCAACTGTTAACAACAGCAGTGTCAGGCTTGTACACTACAGTGTCACATTTTAAGTTTTGGGGGTGCTTGCACAGAAAATGTTTTTGACTTAATAAATGATTTTATTAAATTCAATTTCCTATGAAAGGTGAACAAGTTTCCATGGGATTTGTGGGGAACACAAAACTTGCTTTCTGAAAAGTTTGGATTAGCAGTTAGAGCCTAAGAGGCTTTTGCTGTGAATAATTCTGACTGATACTCAGAATTCATAATCACGTAACTTCCTATTCTCAGATAAATAAAATAACACAGCTCAGTCTGCTTTGGTGTAAAGGAAACACCGAAGTTCCTTCCTCTGAACTTTGGAACTGTTTGTGACATAAAAACAAAAGGTCCAAAATACTTTTGTCCTTTCCTTTGTCATGCAGGCTGAGTTCCTAAAACATCATAATTTAACAAAGTTAAAGTATTTGCTTTCTTTTTCTACCAACATCACAACTTCTGCTGTATTGAGTCCTTAGCACAGAGTTTGGGTTTTAAGAGAATCTACAGATTAGTTGTTTGGATGTTTCTCTTATGGAAAACTCATGAGTAAATTTATATTCCATGCTTTTAACATCACAAAATAGAAAGCTCTAGTCAATTTGTTGTTCATAACACCACCACCACTGCCACTATCTTTTCAAAGGATGAATTAGTCATCTTTGTTGCATGACAAATCACCCCAAACTTAAAACAATAATAATTCTCTTTCACAGTTTCTCTGGGTCAGGAGTATGGAGCAGTTTGGATGGGTGTTGTGGTTGGGGGTCTCTTGCGAGGTTGTAGTCAGATGTCAGCTGAAGCCTTTTGAATGCTTGACTGAGGCTGGAGGAACCACGGTCAAGGGGGCTCACTCACTTGGCTGTTAGGATGGTGCTGGCTGTTGGTGGAAGATCTCTGTTCCTTTCCACATGAATTCTCCAGGGCTGCTTGAGTGTCCCCAGAGTACCGCAACTGGCTTCACCCAGGGTGAGCAATCCAAGACAAGATGGAAGCTGCAATGCCCTTATGGGCTAGCCTTAGAAGCTACCCATTGGTAACTCTATTGGTAGTTCAGAGCAGCTCTCAGCCCTGATTCATTGAAGGAGGAGACTACACAAAGAGATAAATACAAGGAGATGAGGATCATTAGGGACTAACTTGAAGGAGGAGGAGTAGGCTGATGTGTGAATTTTACTCATTTCAGTGTTCATGAATCAAGTATGTACAGTGAGAGAGATCTGACAGCACTCCCTGCCTTCCCCCGAAGGAGGAGAAATGTCATGAAGCTAAGAGAGACTCAACATGGAAAATCCAAACCCTCCGAGGACATTTACATAGCATGCAGAGGGCTGAATGGTCCATCTGGGTGCCTCTTCATCCTCTGAAACCAGGCAGATCAACTCTCGGAATCCTGAGCCATGTTCCCAAATGGTTCTGTGATTTAAAGGCAAGTAGGCGCAGCCAGAAATAGGAAATACCATGTCCCATGCACTCGTGGGAGAAACTCTTCCCTCTTACTTCATATCTCAACTCTGCCAGAGTCATCATGCTATGAGTGTATCTTTTTTGGTTTCTTAGACAAAGTCTCACTCTGTCACCTGGGCCAGAGTGCAATGGTGCAATCATAGCTCACTGCAGCCTCGAACTCCTGGGCTCAAGTAATCCTCACACCTCAGCCTCCTGAGTAGCTGGGAATACAGATGCATGTCACTTAGCCTGGCTAATTTTTTTTTTTATTTTTTGTAGAGACAGGGTCTCGCTTTGTTGCCCAGGCTGATGTCAAACTCCTGGGCTCAAGCGATCCTCCCACCTCAGCCTCCCAAAGTGCTGGGATTACAGACATCAGATACCACGTCTGGCCCTAAAGGACTATTTAAAAACTACAGTAAAATTTTTTTATCCAGGTCAGTGGATAAATATAGAAGCCTACAAACGGCGGGTGGGGAGGGCAGGGGGAAAGCATATTCAGCAACTCTGAAGCATTCTCTGATTTGGATCATCTTTAGTAACAACTGTAATGACCTTTCTTGACACTCAAGGTGGGAAATACAAAATTCAGAGGGAAAAATGTAAAAGCAATCCTATAAATCATTTAGTGTGAATTTGGTTTAAATTTATTCAACGTCAGAGAAGTTTCATTATTAATATAGTCAAAAGAGTATGTCCTAGCTTCAGATCTTTTCTGTTTATAAAGAATATTCCTCATATTCCTATTTGTAAGAAAAATGTAATCTCAAATTGTATGCATAATCTTTCCAGATTCAACCATCAGTAACTTTTTTGGAATGCCCAATAAAGATCGAAATAAGAAAGGCCTGAGAAAATTATATTTTGCCAGAAACATTTAGGTTCCTCTCTCACTTACTATACATGTCATTTCCTCTGTAACATGGACATACTTGGTGAACTTTTCATGACTCATACAACTTTCTTCATGGTCAAGATGACCTGGTCCTACACCTCTCAAAGTAATAAGCATAAACTGATAAGACCCTTAGTCTTTTAAAAAAAGAATACACCATTTATGTTTGACTAAAGATGTACATTTATTATTATTTTTATGTGGCTTCTTTATTTGTCATGCATACTACGGATTGATTCCACCCTTAGCCCTCACCCCACCAATGGTTTCTATCACCTAGGGAATTGAGGTTTGACTTCTTTAAAAGGTTGATGCCCTGCAAAATGTATCCACATATGTCTTCTCACTATATACACTGCTAACTGTAGGGCAATAAAAATTATTATGAATATGTAATATGTAAACTATAATTAAATATACTTCAATTTTTCAAGATCACAGATTTGCATTACAAGTGATCACAACTAAACACAATATATCTAGATGCCCATTTACAAGTCCACATGACAGTACAAGTAAAAAGATGATGTAGACGTTGGTGGCATTCTGCTTAGGGTTCTTTGGTTCAAACTGGGAAGGAGGTGAATTCTCTCCAATACCCACACCTCAGGTGTTCAGTGACATGGTACTGTCTGCTGGCTTCCTGGGATACTGAACTGCCTGTTGAATGGAAAATTGAATGAAGAGAACTCCAAGGGTAGTTCATTAAAAAAAAATTTTTTTTTCCATAGGTTTTTGGGGAACAGGTGGTAATTGGTTCCATTAGTAAGTTATTTAGTGGTGATTTGCAAGATTTTGGTGCACCCATCACCTGAGCAGTATACGCTGAACCCGATTTGTAGTCTTTTATCCCTCACTCCCTTCTCACCCTTTCCCCCTGAGTCCCCAAAGTCTGTTGTGTTATTCTTATGCCTTTGCATCTTCATGGCTTAGCTCCCTCCTATGAGTGAGAACATACGATGTTTGGTTTTCCATTCCTGAGTTACTTCACTTAGGTTAGTAGTCTCCAATTCCATCCAGGTTGCTGCAAATGCCATTAATTCATTCCTTTTTATGGCTGAATAGTATTCTATTGTGTATATATACCACAGTTTCTTTGTCCACTCATTTATTGATGGGCATTTGGGTTGGTTCCACATTTTTACAACTGCGAATTGTTCTTCTATAAACATGCATGTGCAAGTATCTTTTTCATATAATGACTTATTTTCCTTTGGGTAGATATATCCAGGGGCAGTTCATTTCTTTCCTTCCTTCCTTTCTTCTTTCTTTCTTTCTTTTTTGAGACGGAGTTTTGCTCTTGTTGCCCAGGCTGGAGTGTAATGGCATGATCTCAGCTCACTGCAACCTCTCCCTCCTGGGTTCAAGTGATTTTCCTGCCTCAGCCTCCAGAGTAGCTGGGATTACAGGCATGTGCCACCATGCCCGGCTAATTTTGTATTTTTAGTAGAGACAGGGTTTCTCCATGCTGGTCAGGCTGGTCTCGAACTCCCGACCTCAGGTGATTCGGCCTCCCAAAGTGCTGGGATTACAGGCATGAGCCACCACACCCAGCTATCCAGGGGTAGTTCATTTCTAAATGAGGACCCCAGTTAGCAGACTTTTGCATCATTCAGGTAGAGATTATAGTGGCCTAGATTAGCATGGCGGTGGTAATGGTGGTGATAATGGTGGTAGAGATGGAGAAGAGTGCAAGAACTTGGGATAGAGTTTGGAGTAGTATGGATAAAATGTTCTGATGAAGGCTGGGCGTGGTGGCTCATGCCTGTAATCCTGGCACTTTGGGAGGCTGAGGTGGGCAGATCACAAGATCAGGAGATCAAGATCATCCTGGCTAACACAGTGAAACCCCATCTCTACTAAAAATACAAAAAATGAGCCAGGTGTGGTGCCACGCGCCTGTAGTCCCAGCATTTTGGGAGGCTAAGGAGGGTGGATCACAAGGTCAGGAGTTTGAGACCAGCCCTGGCCAATATGGTGAATCCCCATCTCTACAAAAAAAAAAAAAAAAAAAAAAAAAAAAAAAAAAAAAAAAAAATTAGTGGGGCATGGTGGTGCATGCCTGTATTCCCAGCTGCTCAGGAGGCTGAGGGAGGAGAATCGCTTGAACCAGGGAGGAGGAGGTTGCAGTGAGCTGAGATCATGCCACTGCACTCCAGCCTGGGTGACAGAGCAAGAGTCTGTCTCAAAAAAAAAAAAAAAAAGTTTTGATGAATTAGATCTAGGGGTTGAGGAAAAGAAGGAATCAAGGACATTCTTTAGGCTATATGCCTAAGCTGCTAGGTGAGTAGCGAGTGGAGAGGAGGCCGGGTGTGGTGGCTCATGCCTGTAATTCCAGCACTTTGGGGGGCCGAGGCGGGCAGATCACCTGAAGTCGGGAGTTTGGGACCAGCCTGACCAACATGGAGAAACTCTGTCTCTATTAAAAACACAAAATTAGCCGGGCCTGGTGGCGCTTGCCTGTAATCCCAGCTTCCCGGGAGGCTGAGGCAGGTGAATTGCTTGAACCTAGGGGGCAGAGGTTGCCATGAGCCGAGGTCGCGCCATTGCACTCCAGTCTGGGCAACTAAGAGTGAAACTCCATCTCAAAAAAAAAAAAAAAAAAAAAAAAAAAAAGTGAAAGGAACAGACTTTGAGTATTAGAGAGGTGGATATTAGAGTTATGTTTTAGACACAACATATTTAGGATACCTATTAGCCATCAAACTGAAGATAGAGATTAGAGTTAGAATTTGGGGCTGAAGGGTCACATATATTGAGCATGTAGACCTCTCAGCACACACTCAGATCCTTTGATAAGATGCACCCCCATAGGTGTACCTTCACATTCACCAATACTCCTGCCCCACCCTCCCAAAGTGTCGGGATTACAGGCATGAGCCACTGCATCCAGCTATGCCAGTTTCAAAAGACTCTGTGATGTTGTCTAGAACTACTTCCAGATATGTTATGAAATCCCAAAACAAGCTAACAAGATTTTAAAAAGAAACCTAGGCTGGACACAGTGGCTCACACCTGTAATCTTAGCACTTTGGGAGGCTGAGGTGGTAGGATTGCTTGAGGCCAGGAGTTCAAGACCAACTTGGCCACCATAGCGAGACTCTGTCTCAAAAAATTAGTTAATTAATTAATAAATAAGTAAATATGAAAAAAGAGGCCTTCCAATTAATTTGATTTCACTTTAATCTTGGAGCCTTTAACACACTCTTGGAAGGAGGAAGGGCATCTTTAACTCAAATAATAATATTGTTTAAATAGGTTTGGGCATCACAGAGCCATGGGGTAAAATGGTAGAAACCCCATTTACTGTTCTTGACCTTAAATGAAACTATTGTGAGATTTAAAGGAAGGACCAAAGAATCAAAGGGCTAGGTTTCTTCTAGCCCTAGTTCCGCCACTTTCCCACTGGGTAACCTATATATACTACAAGTCCCTGACTATCTCTGAGTTTCCTTTTGTCTTCAAAATGGAAAAGACACCACTGACCTCCCATAGTTGCTTTGAGACTTAAGAGAGATAATGAATGTGAGTGCACCCTGTGAATGCACAAACATAAAACATTTTTAAAACCTTTGTGAAAGGATGTGTGTTTTGGGATAGGTGCTACCTGTTAAATAAAATATTTTACTACATTTTAAGAATAAATATATACTTGAAAATATCCTTTTTGCCTTTACATTTTAAATTGAGCATTAATAGAGGAACTCTTTGGAATAGAATTATAGAGGGGAAACGATCTAAAAATCATGGATCATGGAAAAGTGACTTTTTAGGACAGATTAATTTATTAAAGAATATATGAAATGTATATACTAAATGATAATTTATTGGACAAAGATGAAAAGTATTCTCAAAATGAAAATCAAAGGAGTCCGAGCATTCTGTGAATTGATAAATCTTAGAGTGTCTTATTAAATGACAGGAAAGCCAACAACCATATACTTTATATTGGCCTGTTTTTTTGGTTTGTTTTTTGTTTGTTTGTTTGTTTTTTGTTTTTTGTTTTTTTTAGATGGAATCTCACTCTGTCACTAGGTTGGACTGCAGTGGTGTGATCTCGGCTCACGGCAACCTCCGCCTCCCGAGTTCAAGCAATTCTCCTGCCTCAGCCTCCGAGTAGCTGGGACTACAGGTGCACGCCACCAAGCCCGGATAATTTTTGTATTTTTAGTAGAGACAGGGTTTCACCATGTTGGCCAGGATGGTCTTTATCTGTTGACATCGTGATCTGCCTGCCTTGGCCTCCCAAAGTGCTGGGATTACAGGCGTGAGCCACCACGCCTGGCCGGGATTTTTTTTATTTTTTTTATTTTTTTTATTTTTTTTATGATATGGGTAAGACAGTCTGAAAACAATGTGAGTACTTTCATCAACTAATGCAGGTAATGAACTTGACTTAATGTAAGTAAAGTGGCTCAGTGGCCACACTTCCAGGTCTTCTTGCTCTCTGTAGCTTTTGCTCTGCTTTAGACAACACAGTGCCTTTGCTCACAGACTGGCCCAAACCAGTTTTTATTTCTTCCCACTGGTGCACCTTTTTCCCATTCCAGCATCAGTTCATGTGTGTGTGATATGTTATTAGAGGTGTGGTTTATGCTGACAGACAATATAAACTGATAAAATTTATCAAAGAACTCATGTTCCCAACCTTGCATCTATACAGATTAGTGAATTGATTTAAGTTAAAGATAAAATGTTGGATGAACACATCTACACAGATTGGTGCATTGATTTAAGATAAAATGTTGGATGTATATGCCATTTTAAAACATGACCCTTTACTTTAAGTGAATTATTTTTGGTAATTGAGCAACTCCCGGTCCTGATTGTGTCAATAATGAAGGCTGCTCCAGCCTGGGCAACACAGTGAGACCCTGTCTCTACAAATTATTTATTTTTATTTATTTATTTATTTTTTGAGACGGAGTCTTGCTCTGTCGCCCAGGCTGGAGTGCAGTGGCACGATCTCGGCTCACTGCAAGCTCCGCCTCCCGGGTTCACGCCATTCTCCTGCCTCAGCCTCCCGAGTAGCTGGGACTACAGACGCCTGCCACCACGCCCAGCCAATTTTTGTATTCTTTAGTAGAGATGGGGTTTCTCCATGTTGGTCAGGCTGGTCTTGAACTCCCGACCTCAGGTGATCCACCTGCCTTGGCCTCCCAAGTGCTGGGATTACAGGTGTAAGCCACTGCACCTGGCCTACAAAAATTTTTAAAAATGAGCCAGGCATTGTGGGCATGCCTGTAGTCTCAGCTACTTTGGCGGCTGAGGCACGAGGGTTGCTTGAGCCCAAGAGGTTGAGGCTGCAGCGAGCCGTGTTTGTGCCACTGAACTCCAGCCTGGGTGACAGAGCAAGATCCTGTCTCAAAAAAAAAAAAAAAAAAAAAAGAATACTGCCATCTGTTTCCCCAGACGGCAGATCTAGGACTGATGATTTGAATCACAGACAGATGCTGGCTCAGTGTAAATTTCTGATGGTCAGAGCTGTCCAAAAAATACTTCCTTGGTTGATAATCCTGAGGTCAGGAGGTTTTTGTCAGAGGCAGATAGATATTTGTTAGGGATGTTCATTCATCTACTCACCTATTCATTGACCTATTCATCAGAAGTGTATTGAGCACCAACTATATCCTCAATATATAGTTGATACAATGGGGCATTCCGTGGTGTGATTTACAAGGGGATACAAATTCATGGAGCTTAGTCTAGAAGACAGAGGTTTGGATGATGGTAGGGAAGAGGCAAAGAAGAGCCTGAACACAATGTCCTGTTTTACTCCTCAGAGTATTATAGGGTTTCACCTGGGAGCTTGTTAGAAGTACAGAATTTCTGGTTCCACCTGAATCAAAATCTACATTTCTAACAAAATCTCAGGGTGGTTTTGTGTTTTAAAAACACTGTTCTAGGTTTCTTTCTAAACCCAATATTACATTTTTCTGTGACTCTATATCCTTCCATGCCAATAATGAAAGATCCTGGAAGAAGTAAGTGGCTTTATGAGGCTTACAGCTGTGGAGTGTCTTCTCAACAAGGGGCCAGATTCTCAAGAAGTCACCTCAGTTTAGACCTAAGTTTCCAGGCCAGTCTAGAAAAAGTCTTAAGATACTTAATGTCTTTTTCCTAGATTATTCTATTGGCAGCCTCGGTGCTACATCTCTAGTTTCCCTTCACTAGTCCAGCATCTGCCTAACTTTTAGATTCCACAAATAGTTAACAATTAAATCAAGCAAGAAGGAAAATCTTATTTACACCTGAGTCAATTTCAATCTCTCAGATATTTTTTCACATATTGTAGGAAACCTCGATTTTCCTTAAACATAAAATCAACTACACACACACACACACACACACACACACACACACCCCAGAATGTGGCCTCTTCTGCTGGAACATCTCTGATTTCTGCCATTAGGATAAATAATTTTAGCAAGGACTTTTGTGATCCGCCCCTACACCAATTCCTGGAGCCCCCTCATCCCATCTAAAGCAGGTGGCCTATTATTCTCTCTCAAAGTTGTATGTTTAATTCCTTCCTGGTACTTCATTAATCATCTCGGTGATTTTCTTGGGTTTTTTTTGTTTGTTTGTTTTTTCTTAACTTGTTTACTGTCTCTTTTTTCCTACTGGGTTGTATGTCTGTGAGGGCAGAGACCCTGCCTTATTTTCCATAGCACAGTGCCTAGCACTCAGTAGCCTTAAAATAAATATTTGTTGAATGAATTAATTAATATAGTAAAGTCATTTTTTTTACTTGAAAGTTTTACTTGCCTCATGTGAAGTTATGGACAATTACAATTCACAGGAATTTTTCACAGAAATAACATAGAATGGCTTCAAACTTTGATTGCTAAAGGTAATTGAGGAAAAGAATGAAGATGATACATTTTCTTTTTTAGGGCTGGAATATCTGTTTTGTCAACTGTAATTACTTACAGTTATGCTGCAGTGTAGCTTTTTCCTCTTAAGTAGATGACATCGTCTTATTACAATCTTTTTTTTTTTTAAATCTCTAACAGTGTTGTTAATCAAACACAAGACCCATAAAGTGAATTTGGGGTCATCTTGTCCTTTACTGGTTTCCTGATTGGGAGGCTCACCCTTGGCTTATGATCACATCCATTTGGCAGAAAGTCAGCTTATTTGACAGGTAAGGACATCAATATGTCTCTTTTCTTGGTAGAATTGATCCCCCTTCACCAGAAATACAGTATAAATGGATGTGATGTGTCAAACCTGCAGATGCTGTTTTTCCTAATTCCCTCAATGCTCCCCTAGCTCATGTCTGAGGAATTGAATGAATAACATAGGGGAGGTTAGCGCCCAATATGACATCAGCTCAATAAGCTGATCAGCCTGAAGCTGAACTTGGCTGGCAGAGCTTGTTTTCCTTCCCCTGCTTCACTAAGTTATAGGTTTTACAGGAATAAGGATGTTGTCTTCTTCCTTTGCAATTTTGCAAACATATATGCCAACTGCCTAACTGATTGATAATATTACTAACTATATACTTATGAAGTGGTTTGGACTTTATGGAAGACTATTTTAGGTAATATAAATTCTTTAGGATGCAAACACAATTTTCTTAACCCAAAAGACAAAAATTCCCATCTTCTTCGTTGAGAAACACTAAGTAATGCATGATAATTACAACCAATAAGATATTGCTGAGTGCATAGTCTATGCTAGGCATTGCTCTAAATAATTCAGTATAGTCTCTTTTCCTACCATAGCACGCCAGCCATTGAAATGTATATAGAAGAACTAATGTAGTGAATGGGCCGTGTTAAATAATTTTATTGTTTGTTTATTAACACATTTAACAGAGAAGTCTGGCTTCACCTTCCTTTTCTTTACTTCTTAGGGTTGGAAACAATGCCATGTGAGCAGAAGAGAAATTGCTTTCATCCCTTTTTCTACCTGATGGTCTTATATTATGATATGGTTTGGCTGTGCGCCCACCCAAATCTCATCTTGAATTGTAGTTCCCATAATCCCCGTATGTCATGGGTGAGACCTCATGGGAGGTAAATAAATTATGGAAGTGGTTCCCCCATGCTGTTCTCATGATAGTGAGTGAGTTCTCATGAGATCTGAATGGTTTTATAAGTGGTTTTTCCCCGCTTTGCTCTGCACTTCTCTCTCCTGCCACCATGTGAAGAAGGATGTGTTTGCTTCCCCTTCTGCCCTGATTGTAAGTTTCTGGAGGCCTCCCAAGCCATGCGGAACTGTGAGTCAATGAAACCTCTTTCCTTTATAAATTACCCAGTCTCAGGCCAGGCACAGTGGCTCACGCCTGTAATCCCAGCACTTGGGGAGGCTGAGGTGGGCGGATTGCCTGAGGTCAGGAGTTCGAGACCAGTCTGGCTAACATGGTGAAATCCCGTCTCTACTAAAAATACAGAATTAGCCAGGCATGATGGCGTGTGCCTGTAATGCCAGATACTTGGGAGGCTGAGGCAGGGGAATTGCTTGAACCAGGGAGGTGGAGGTTGCAGTGGGCCAAGGTCACGCCACTGTACTCCAGTCTGGGCGACAGAGCAAGACTCCATCTCAAAAATAAATAAATAAATAAATAAATAAATAAATAAATAACCTAGTCTCTGGTATTTCTTCATAGCAGTTTGAGAATGGACTAATACATATTATAATATCCTTATTTTCCTGATGAAGAAGTTGAGGTTCAGAGAAGTTAAGGTCCCATGGGTAGTAAATGTTTAAGTCAGGCTTATATGGTAATTTATCTAATTCCAGAGTCCATGGTCTTGACAAATATACTATAAACTGCCTCTAATGTTTATTAAAGTTTATAATAATTGGCAGTGGCTTTTTAAATTATTTTTGAAGAGTTACCTTTACATTTAAAAAAAATAAAATCAAGGTAATATTTAAAAGAATGTTAAGACAAGAATCTGGAAACATGAGTTCTAACCAGAACCTATCATGAATGAGGGGAAACCTGGAAATTACTTAACTTCTATTCTCAATTAGGTATCCATATAAAAATTTTATTATTTTATTCCAAGGCTCTTATAAACAACTTTACAGAAAAATTAAAAAGTTATCTAGTGGTTCATCTGTACCTTGTCTCTACACATATATTTTTAAAATTTGTTGTAATCACTGTATCAGTGCTATTTTGTGATTGCTTTGTAATTTTTATTTTCTAAATTATGAAAGCCAGAGAATAGTGATTTAGAATAAATTATCATAAAAAAGAACTAATCTAGATAAACAGTGCTATGGCCTGAATTTTTGTGTCCATCCAAAATTTAACCCCCAAGGTGATGGCATTAGGAGGTGGGGCCTTGGGAGGAAATTGGGACATGAGAGCAGGGCCCTCATGAATGGGATTTGTGCCTTTATAAGACACCCCACAGAGCTCCCTTGCTCCTTCCACCATGTGAGGACTCAGCAAAAGATGGCCATCTATAAACCAAGCAGGCCCTCCCCAGGCACAGAATCTACCAGCTCCTTCATCTAAGGCTTCCCAGCCTCTAGACTATGAGAAATAAATTTCTATTGTTTATAAACCACTCCATTTACAGTACTTTATAATAGTAACCCAAACAGACTAAGACGGGAATTTTTAATTCGACTGCACATTAGAAACACCTGGATGGGGATGGTGGGGGTGAGTGGGGGTAATTTTGAAAAAATACGGTCTTTGGCCAGGCACAGTGGCTTATGCCTGTAATCCCAGCACTTTGGGAGGCTGAGGCTGGTGGATCACTTGAGGCCAGGAGCTCGAGACCAGCCTGGCTAACATGGTGAAAGCCCATCTCTACTAAAAATACAAAAATTAAATGGGCTTGGTGGCGTGTGCCTGTAATCCCAGCTACTTGGGAGGCTGAGGTGGGAGAATTGCTTGAACCCAGGAGGCGGAGGCTGCAGTGAGCTGAGATTGTTCCACTGTACTCCAGCCTGGGCGACAGAGCAAGACTCTGTCTCAAAACAGACAAACAAAAAAATGGTCTTGGAGCAATAAACCAATTTTATCAGAATCTCAGGAGTGGGGACTGGACATCAATATTTTTAAAATGCCCCTCTCTCCCATTATTTTAATATGTAGCTGAAGTTTATATTATAGTTATATACTGCAAGTACTTTTGCTCCAGCCTAATAACTGGTCATCTAGAATAGATCATTGTTTATTGCATTATGATCTCTGATAACTGCTCAACTGCCTTCTCAAAAGTCAACTAACTCAGTAATACAGGAGTCTAATGTACCATCAATTATTAATCCCAAACAATACTTCCTTATTCTAATAGTACAAGTTAGGTTCAAAATACTTCTTGTTCAATAACAATTTCAAGTCAGCCATTATAGTTTGTTTAATGGCTATATTAATCTCTGAGTCCTTAATAATTATAGAAGTAGAATGGTTCCCTGAGTACTAGATATTTGTAATGTGAAAGGAAGATAAGGAGCATCTGGCAGTCTGAAAAAAAGTTGGGGTAATCCCAGCACTTTGGGAGGCTGAGGTGGGTGGATCACCTGAGGTCAGGAGTTCAAGACCAGCCAGACTAACAAGGTGAAACCCATCTCTACTAAAAATACAAAAATTAGCTGGGCATGGTGGCAGGTGCCTGTAGTCCCAACTACTCGGGAGGCTGAGACAGGAGAATCGCTTGAACCCGGGAGGTGGGGGTTGCAGTGAGCTGAGATCGCACTACTGCACTCCAGCCTGGGTGATGGAGCAAGACTCTGTCTCAAAAAACAAACAAACAAAAAAGGTGTGGGTTGAGGGTTTGAGTTTTGAAGCTCCCTTTTGAATTCTACGTTGGTTTATTTTGAAATCTTTATTTTAAAAGTAAAACAATGACATAACTTTACGTTTTTTCTCCCAAATTCTTCAGTTCCTAAATGTCAGAAGTTACCTCCACAGTGAAATGGGACCCAGAGATTTTCATTAATTAATCTCCAGGAAATTCAGCAGTAAAACTTAAATTTATATTCAATGATATGGAAACTCTCCTATCACCAGAGGACTTTGAAAGCCATGGTGAATGAGATCCACTTCTAGATCAGGACACAAAGGAGACTCAGCTGTTTGGATGGCTGATTAAAGGAATCATCTGAAATTCCACAGTCATAACATTGGAAAACAGACATGGTTGTAACTTATTTATTTACTTAACCATCTGATCTCAGGCACGAGAGGAAAGAACATTATTATATAATTCACAAATGGGCCTGCAGTTCATTGCACCTGATATATTCGAAAGGCTTATTTGGGCCCATCCTGCTGCCCAAGAAGGCCCACTCTCTGGTCAGAGTGCAGTCATTGGCCATGGCGCCACTGATAGAGGTCAATCTGAGAACCATCTAGGGAATGAGGACCAGGGAAAAGGCTCCCCTAACCCTCCATCTGGTGTGAACTGCCTGCCAGAACACATGGAGAACCCTCCCTCTGGGAGCTGCAGCACTCGAGCAGCAGCAAGGAAAGAAAAAGCCAGGTGTAGCCAGTGTTGCTTAAGGTCTTTCTGCTTGTTTATCACCTTTGGCCTCTTATTTGTAACCCTACTGTGGATAATAGAATTAAATGTAAATAGACACATGCTCTCTTTAGAGAAGAGGTGGTGTCCTCCAACCATTCCTCCTCTTATGTAGATATACTGTGTATCTTTTTGGCTCTGTGCTCCCATCATTTCATTTTTATTTGCCTGTGTTGAGACCTGGTTCCTGGATTTCAAAGTGCTGTCATGAGAGACAGCAAAAGAAAAGACTCCTCATAGGTCAGGATCCTGCTGAAAGAGGGCACTTATGTAATCCGATGGTCTTTTTGGTGGTCACTTTTATTCTCCACTTCAATCTGAAGTAGCCTTTGATGAGAAAGCTGCTGAAAAGCAGGAGAGTGAAAAACCATTTCTAAAACTATGAGGGTACTTTTGTTCTATGTGAAAAGTCTTCACTGAAGGTTAAGGGAGGTCCGAAAAGGCTGAGGAGGAGACCTCCACATTGGAAGTTATGATGGCAATGGCCATTGCTGATTTTGTTGAATTCACTTATTGTAATATACCGTACTGAATCCATACTCATCTACCTATGGCTGGTAAGATAATGTGATTATCCTTCCCATATTCAGAGGGACTGAACCTGATCTTTTATAATGAATAGATACACAAGTCTTGTGCTATATTCCTAATCTAAAGACTTCTAAATATATTCATTCACAGAACTGTTTTTGTTTCATGGATCAGATTTACTTTATATTTCTTTTTTTTTTTTTTTGAGATGGAGTTTCGCTCTTTCACCCAGGCTGGAGTGCAGTGGCATGATCTCGGCTCACTACAACCTCTGCCTCCTGGGTTCAAGCGATTCTCTTGCCTCAGCCTCCCGAGTAGCTGGGACTACTGGTGTGCACCACCACACCTGGCTAATTTTTGTATTTTTGGTAGATATGAGGTTTCACCATGTTGGCCAGGATGGTCTTGATCTCTTGACCTCGTGATCTGCCTGCCTTGGCCTCCCAAAGTGCTGGGATTACAGACATGAGCCACTGTGCCCAGCCTATATTTCTTTTTTAATAGCATACATTTTCCTGCTTTTCTAAAATTATGCACATATATTTATTGTATACTTTTTAAAAGGTAATAAAGGCCAATTTCCTCTACTTGGTGACCTTTATCCTTCAGCACTCATCTCAAGCACTGTCTCCTTTCCAAAGCCTTTGTCATACTCCATAAAGCAGAGTTTGATACTTTCACCTCTAGATGCCCATACAAATGTTTCATTACTCTCTACCACACAAAATTATGTTGCATTATAATTGTCTGTGTACATCTATTTCCTCCACTGGACTGTGAACTCCTTGAGAACAAGGCATATGAATTGTTCATCATTATATTAACAAAAACCTAAACCCAGCACTGGCAAAAAATAGAAGCTCAATAAATGCTAGTTTCTGGGATGAACAGACTGGTTACTGGCAAGAGTGAAAATTAGAATCATAATGTTTTAGAGCTGGGAGAGATTATTGACAATCTAATTCATTCCCTGCATAGCTTTTCATCTAGGTTTCAGCTAGTTAGTACTTCATCTGGGTTTAAAATACAAATCTTAGGAATTCTGGCAAGATGGTAGTAGTAGTGAAATAGTTCTTTAGTTCTTAAATGCCCCATAACCACACCCCTCTCCCATAAAAATAAAACTAGGATAGCTAAGCCAAAGCCTATTGACAAACTCAAAACAAGCGAAGTGAAAAAGTACTGCCATCAACCCCGAAGTATAAGCAGATAGGGACAAAATACCAGTAATAAGACCTGTATAGTATCAGCATTTACATGGGAAGCACTGGGCATCTGACAGATCCAAGCAAAGTAGAATCTCAAAATGACCATTAGATAGAGAGATACTCACTGGAAAGCATAGTTGGCCAACTTGAGAAAAGCAGCTTAACCTGAGAGGAGTTTGTACAAACTCCAATTTGTGGGTAAGTAGAAGGACAATACAGTGATAAGTTCTGAAAGGGATGGAGTAGTCTTGGCCTTGTGAACTCTTGAAATTGACCAGCAGGGCCCGGCGTGGTGGTTCAGGCCTGTAATCCTAGGACTTTGGGAGGCCGAGGTGGGCGGATCATTTGGGGTCAGGAGTTCAAGACCAGCCTGGACAACATGGTGAAACCTTGCCTCTACTAAAAATACAAAAACTAGCCGGGTATGGTGGTGGGCACCTGTAATCCCAGCTACTTGGGAGGCTGAAGCAAGAGAATCACTTGAACCCAGGAGATGGAGGTTGCAGTGAGCCGAGATCATGCCACTGTACTCCAGCCTGGGCGACAAAGTGAGACTCTGTCTCAAAAAATAAACAAACAAACGAACAACAACAACAAAAAAAAAAAAAAAAAAGAAAGAAAGAAATTAACCAGCAGAAGCTTCCTTTCAAGACAAAGTTCCATATTGAGGAAGAACTGCTGGGAGTAGACCAAACTGAGCAGGACAGACAGCCCAGGGAGGGGCAAAGGAAAAAGATTCAGATAGAAGTGAGGGAGAAGAACAGAGCCAGGAGATAAGAAGTCAAAATTGTGAGCAAAGAAGAGAGAGCAGAGATCACATAGTAAGTATTTTAAGCTTTGAGACCTACATGGTCTTTGTCACAATGACTCAACTCTCCCATTTTATCATAAAAGTGGCCACAGATAATATGTAAACAAATAATCACGACTATATTTCTTTTTTTTTTTTTTCTTTGAGACGGAGTCTTGCTCTGTCTCCTAGGCTGAAGTGTAGTGGCGTGATCTTGGCTTACTGCAACCTCTGTCTCCTGAGTCCAAACAATTCTCCTGCCTCAGCCTCCTGAGTAGCTGGGATTACAGGCGTGTGCCACCACGCCTGGCTAGTTTTTGTATTTTTGTAGAGACGGGGTTTCACCACGTTGGCCAGGCTGGTCTTGAACTCCTGACCTCAGGTCATCCACCCGCATCAGCCTCCCAAAGTGCTGGAATTACAGGCGTGACCCACCACGCCCGGCCCTCAGGATTGTATTTCAATAAGACTTAGAAAAGCAGATGATGAGCTGAATTTAGTCCATGAGCCATGGTTTGCTAACACTGCTCTAGAGTCATGAGGTAGAAAAGCTATTCTGACCCACCCTTCCTTCCTAAAAGTTCAGTCTGCCTTCACCTAAAAATCAGCAACAGAAAAACATAGATTTGAATTCTGTACAAACTTTTTATCATAAAAAGATAATGAGGAACAAAGTAATTTTCTTACAGATGAGAGCACACCAAATAAACATGCCCACAAAGCAGGTAAAAGAGGTGAGTGAATATTTCAAAATGACTTTTTAAATTCAGGAAAAAATTAAAATATGTGAAATAATTACACAGATTAGAATTAGAATAACTTAAGAGTGAGCTGACCAAACTCAGGAAGGATTAAAACATCAAGAAGAGGCCGGGCGTGGTGACTCACACCTGTAATGCCAGCACTTTGGGAGGCTGATGCAGGCGGATCATGAGGTCAGGATTTCGAGACCAGCCTGGCCAATATGGTGAAACCCCATCTCTACTAATAAATAAATAAAAAATAAAAAAAAATTACAAATAATAGCTGGGCATGCCGGGCACAGTGGCTCATGCCTGTAATCCCAGCACTTTGGGAGGCTGAGACGGGCAGATCACCTGAGGTTGGGAGTTCGAGACCAGCCTGACCAACATGGACAAACCCTGTCTCTACTAAAAATACAAAATTAGCTGGACATGGTGGCGCATGCCTGCAATCCCAGCTACTTGGGAGGCTGAGGCAGGAGAGTCACTTGAATCCAGGAGGTGGAGGTTGCAGTGAGCCAAGATCGCACCGCTGCACTCCAGCCTGGGCAACAGAATGAGACTTTGTCTCAAAAATAAAATAAAATAAAATAAAAATAAAAAAATAATTTTGCTAATGAAGCCCAAACTTTGAAAGAATGTAAGTACAAATAAATATCAAAAAATTAGAGAGGAGGAAAAATTTAAAAATAGAAGGAAGAGATAAAAAAGATGAGAGAAAGAAACAGATATAGAGGAAGGGCAAAAATGATCTAATATACTTACAGGAAGTTTCCCTGAAAAAGAAACTTTAAGCAATTGAACATATCCAGGAGATTTTATATTCATATACAGATACATAAACAGATTATATTAAAATATGATTAGCTTTAAGGATCAGGGATAGAAGCAAGACCATGCTTGAAAATATCTAGTTTTATACGTTTGATGTTGAGAACCATGAAACATTTTATATAATTATAAAACAAAATTAAGTTTTACAAATTATTTCCTTAAAATCAAAAATAAAATAAGTAATCAAAAGGCGTATCTAATTGGTCTCATAATCACACAGAGAGGAGCTATTCCAAATGACTTTATAAAATAGTAATCTTTTGGACATTAATAATGGACTGTGCCCTGAGGACAAAAAGATCTTCAAATCAGAAAAATCACTAAGTCATTTATAGAGTCATGGTGTTGGTGAAAGTGTTGGTATTATTCTGAGACTGTTAGCTGTGCACTGTAAGATAAAGCAACTGAGTATGTGACTTTTTTTTTTTTTTTTTTTGAGATGGAGTCTAGCTCTGTCACCCAGGCTGGAGTGCAGTGGCATGATCTCGGCTCTCACTGCAGCCTCCACCTCCTGGGCTCAAGTGATTCTCCTACCTTAGCCTCCCAAGTAGCTGGAACTACAGGTGTTTGCCACCATGCCCAGCTAATGTTTTGTATTTTTAGTCGAGACGGGGTTTTGCCATGTTGGCCAGGCTGGTCATGAACTCCTGACCTCAGGTGATCTGCTTGCCTCGGCCTCCCAAAGTGCTGGGATTACAGGTGTGAGCCACCACACCTGGCCATTTATGTGATCTTTTGAGTCTGTCATTCTTGATGTTATTAAGAACTGAGATTCTGAGCATGGAAGGAAAGGAGATACAACCTTTCTTATATTACTGTTGTATCACCTTTCTTATATTACTTATATTATCTCCTTTCTTATATTACCTTTCTTATATTACTGTTGTATCTTCTTTCCTTCCATGCTCAGAATCTCACTTCTCAATAACATCAAGAATGACAGACTCAAAAGATCACATAACTGGCCAGGCGTAATGGCTTACACCTGTAATAACAGCACTTTGGGAGGCTGAGGTGGGCAGATCACCTGAAGTCAGGTGTTTGAGACCATCCTGGCCAACATGGTGAAACCCCATCTCTACTAAAAATACAAAATTTAGCCAGGCATGGTGGCGCACGCCTGTAATCCCAGCTACTCGGGAGGCTGAGGCAGGAGAATCATTTGAAACCAGGATGTGGAGGTTGCAGTGAGCTGAGATCGCGCCACTTCACTCCAGCCTGGGTGAAAGACGAAACTCCATCTCAAAAATAAATAAATAAATAAAAGAAAGAAAGGTTAATTAAAAACCCTATGGTTATTGTGACAGTTAATTTTACGTGTCAACTGAGTGACAGGGTGCCCAGATATTTGGCCAAACATTATTCTGGGTGTTTCTGTGAGGGTTTTTTTTTTAATGAGATTAACATTAAAATCAGTAGACTGAGTAAATCAGCTTGCCTTCCTTAATGTGAGTGGGTCTCATCCAGTTAGTTGAAGGCCAGAACAAAAAGGTAGACCCTTCCCTGAATAATAGAGAATTCTTCCTGCCTGGCATACTTTGAACTAGGACATCGGCTTTTTTCCTGCCTTCTGATTGGAACTGCATCTTTGGCTCTCCTAGGTCTGTAGCGTGCAGACTCACCCTGCAGATCTTGGAACTTGCCTGCCTCCATAATCACATCTTCCAATTTCTTTCTTTTTTTTTTTTTTTGGAGACAGAACCTTATTTTGTCGCCTAGACTGCAGTGCAGTAGCACGATGTCGGCTCACTGCAACCTCTGCCTCCTGGGTTCAAGAGATTCTCGTGCTTCAGCCTCCCAAGTAGCTGGGATTACAGGCATGTGCCGCCATGCCTGGCTAATTTTTGTATTTTAATAGAGACAGAGTTTCTCCATGTTGGCGAGGCTGGTCTCGGGTCTCAAACTCCTGGCCTCAAGTGATCACCTGCCTCGGCCTCCTAAAGTGTTAGGATTACAGGCGTGAGCCACCACTCCCGGCCTAAATCTAAATTTATAAAAATCTAAATGTATAGGTTCGACATTAAGAACCATGAAAAATGTTATATAATTATAAAACAAAATCACTTTTTAAAAAATTTTTCCCTAAAATAAAAAATAAAATAAATCAAAATGTGTATCTAATTGGTCTCATGATCACACGGAGAGGAACTATTCCATGTCACTTTATAATCTAGTAATCTTTTATATATTATAATGAATGTACCCTAAGGACAAATATACACACACACATACACACACACATACACACACCTCTATAAACATACATTCTATTGATTCCGTTTCTCTAGAGTCATAAATTTGAATTTAAAGTAAACAGTATGAAGTAGTAACATTTTACTACATCCTACTGGGATTGTTGGGAGGGGCGGGGGGAGGGGCGGGGGGAGGTGGGGGCCAGTCCTTGCTCCGAGAGCTTCCAAGATGGCGGCGGGCCGCTTCCAAAATGGGATGGTGGCAAGCCTCTTGTTCTCTGACCTGGGGTTCTTGGCCTCGCAGATTCCAAGGAATGAAATCTTGGGCCATGCGGTGAGTGTTATAGCTCTATTAGAAGCCGTGGGTCACGGAAGAGAACCGTGGAACCTAGCAACTAGTGTTCAGCTTGATTAGGATGAACCTGGGCACTTAGCCATGCAGGAACAGTGGCAAACCTCTAGCCTGATCTGGAGCGGCAATGGGTGCCTCACTGGATCAGGAGCGCAGCGGACACCCTGCGGGATCCAGAGGGGTGGAAGTCAGTGGCAGGTCTGTGACGGCAGCGAACAGCAGTGGTGGATGGCGAGCAAAAGCTCAGCTCCTGCAGTAACAAACACCGTGAGCAGAAGAGTGTGCAGTGGCAAGATTTAATAGAGTGAAAACAGAGCTCCCATACAAAGGGAGGGGACCCAAAGAGGGTAGCGGTTGCCAGCTGGAATGCCTGGGTTTATATCCTGATCATTGTCCCTCCCGCTGTGCTCTCAGGCTATAGATGATTGGCTATTTCTTTACCTCCTGTTTTTGCCTAATTAGCATTTTAGTGAGCTCTCTTTACTAGCTGATTGGTCGGGTGTGAGCTAAGTTGCAAGCCCCGTGTTTAAAGGTGAATGCAGTCACCTTCCTAGCTAGGCTTAGGGATTCTTAGTCGGCCTAGGAAATCCGGCTAGTCCAGTCTCTCAGGATGATTTGAGTATCAGTAAAGATGATAACTACAATAGATTGAAACATACAAAATATGTTTAACTCTGTTAGTTCATAATGTTACTAAAACACAACAACGGCTCGTTGTTCATCATGGTAGGGTACTAGAAAACCAACTTATTATTTGGAAAGCTGTTAATAAAAAGGAAGATGTAAGCATTTATCCTGCCTTTGCTTTTGAACTGTACTCCTGGGAGCTATATAGCAGGCAAGGGGAACTTTCTTTTTATTCTAGCTGATAAAAGAAAGACTAATAGAATTATAATGTCACCATTTCACAATCCTTAACAAATTAATGCATTTAGAAATTAAGCACCAACATCTGCTGACATAATACAACAAGAGATAAACAGACATTAGGGCCTCCTGATGAAATCACACCACATCCATCAAGTACCCTCGCCAAAGACAACCAAATCTGAATCCCTTCAAACGTCTTAGATTCAGTTACCAATTTAAGAACAGAGACTTGAAGAATGTGCTAAAGAATACCACAAAGTTGCTATCAGCAAAAGCCAGTATGTTTCTAGAGGACATATGACCTGCTCCTTCAACAAATAAATTACACAGGAAAAAAAGAGGGCCAGGCGCGGTGGTGTGATCCTGTAGTCCCAGTTTCTCAGGAGTCTGAGGTGGGAGGATTGCTTGAGCCCAGGAGTTCAAGAATGCAGTTAGCCATGATTGCACCACTTCACTTCAGCCTGGGTGACAGAGTGTGAGATCTTGTCTCAAAAAAGGAAAAAAAAAAAAAAAAAAAAGGAAAGAAAAAAAAGAAGAGATGGAGGGAAAGCCCAGAAATTTAGAAAGAACTAAGAAACGTGATGAATCACAACAAGTAGACTTTACTTGGATCTTGATTCAAACAAATTTAAAAATTATTATATTTGCTGGCTGCGATGGCTCATGCCTGTAATCCCAGTACTTTGGGAGGCCGAAGTGGGAGGACTGCTTGAGCCCAGGAGTTCGAGACCAGCCTGAGCAACATAGTAAGACTTTGTCTCTACAAAAACAAAATTAAAAATTAGCCAGGTGTGGTAGCATGTACATGTAGTTCCAGCTACTTGGGAAACTGAGATAGGAGGAAGGCTTGGGCCCAGGAGGTTGAGGCTGTAGTAAGCCATGATCACATCACTGCACTCCAGCCTGGGTGACAGAGTGAAATCTTATCTCAAAAAAAAATTATATTTATGAGCCAGTTGGAATTTTGAACAATAGATATTTGATGGCATTAAGTAATTATTATCAAATGTTTTAGATATAATAATGGTATTATGGGTTTTTTTTTGAGATTCATCTTTTAGAGGTATATCCTGAAATATTTATGGAGGAAATGATATGGTATGATGTGTGGTATTTGCCTTAAAATTATATAGGATAAAAAAATTCAGTGGAATATAGATAAAATGAGATAGGTTATAAGTAAGATTCTTGAAGCTGAGAGATGGGTCAAAAGGGTTCATTGAAAGTTTCCGTTACATAAAGTTGGTTATTTTTGAAAAACAATCTCTGACTCTTAGTGCAGAACTCTTTCCACCACTCCGTTAAATTGGTCATGGAAAACAGCAACCAAAATTCCAGAATTTTCTACTTTTTTATTTTAATGGGGTTCCCAAAACAAGGGACAAAGGCAGTGGTTAAAATGCTGGTACTGGGAGTTCATGAACTCTTTTTTCTCATCTGACTTTGCCAAGGACTTCCTATGTGGTCTTTAGCAAGATCAGATTTTTTTGTCTTGATTTGGTCACTCTCCAAAAGTGGTTAGAGGTCGAAATGCACATTATGACTTAGAACGCAGCAGTTCTAGCCAAGGAGGGCTCTGCTATTTGCATGAAGATGACTCACTACTCTATCTTAGGAAAAAAATATATCAGCTTTTAAATAACTATCAATACAATGCATTAGATGACAAATGTAAAATGAAAATCTTCATAGAGAAAAAATAAAAATGCTTTATATGAAAGGCTGTTATAGACCAAAGCTTTGTAAGTAACCATATAATTGACTCAAAATAGTAGGACTGTTTTTCACTTTAATGTAAGATCTCATGGTTGGGGGTCTCTACAACTACTTTTTTCATGGTTTTCTTGTTTTTTATATGAAAGATAATATTAATATTTTCTACACTGGTTCTAATCTATGGTTTACATTAATTTCTTGTATAAAGGGCTGCTCACACTTAGATTTTGAGTTTTCAATACCAATACCCTTGCAAACAAATGAAAAGCAATAATCATTTGATGGTAAGACATATGTGCTGTTTTTACTTGTCTTGCCCCAGAAATAAATGAGGTGGTAAAGTAAATGGAATCAACTTTCTCTTTTACCCACCTGGCATCAATTGTTTCTAACTCCAAGCATCTAGCTGAAGATGATTTGTCAGCCAAAGAGGTTGAGGGTTATCCCAGAATTCTCAGTTGCTTATATCACAACTAGACAATACCCTTCTCTGCAGAGGTCCAGTCTCCATACTAATCCTCTACCATATATTTGGACAGATACACTTTCTCAACCACAAACATATGCCTACTCTAATTTTCTTTCTCATATCTGCAAGTTATTTTGCCCAAGATATATATTTTCATCTGTTTCACATTTAGATAGCCTCCCTCAGTGTAAGCTTTAAAATGCTGTCATGGCTTTCGGAAGATTATTACAAGTAAAAGAAAAGTACATGCCAGATAATTATAAATCAGAACTTTTACATACCAGATAGGAGGAAGAAGAGAAAGGGAAGGAGAGGAGTGAAAGCAAAATGCACACATCAGAAAGTTTTGAAACATCTGCAACTCACAAAAATTAATGGTGAATAACATTGTTTGGAATTCCTTGTCCTAGAATATCAAGATAAAATGCTGGTATCTGAACAGAATGCACACAAGATCCTGAGCACATTCAACTAAGCCACACTTAGACCTCTGATGTTGACCTTAGCCCCATATCATGTAGGGCATGATGTTATACTTCCAAAGATAGCTCACTTTCTTTTCTTTTCTTTCTTTTTTTTTTTTGAGACAGAGTCTTGCTCTGTTGCCCAGGCTGGAGTGCAGTGGCGCAATCTCGGCTTACTGCAAGCTCCACCTTCTGGGCTCACACCATTCTCCTGCCTCAGCCTCCCGAGTAGCTGGGACTACAGGCGCCCACCACCACGCCCAGCTAATTTTTTCTATTTTTAGTAGAGACGGGGTTTCACCATGTTAGCCAGGATGGTCTCGATCTCCTGACCTTGTGATCCGCCTGCCTCGGCCTCCCAAAGTGCTGGGATTACAGGCCTGAGCCACCGTGCCGGGCAGATAGCTCACTTTCTGATCATATGTTTGAAGAGCTCACAGGGGCTTGTGCATTTTGCAGCTAATAAATGTTTCCAGTTAAGCAAAATGATTTCTTCTGCAACTGTGAAATAACTTTTTAGGGTTAGACAGTTGACATTTTGGAGATAGTCCTCCATATACATATACATTCTGCTTTCTTTCCATATTCTTACTTTCCAGCCCAAGATTCATAGTCTTAATTTTGTTTGGATATCTGAATTTCTTCTCGGTGTTTAACCCACAGATGCCCATTAATTTTTGTGAGTTGTGGATGTCACAAAACTTTGTGATGCATCCATTTTGCTTTCACTCCTCCCTCCTGTAATGTGTGTAATAGCTCTGTTTTCTAATTGTCTGGTAGGTACTTTTCTCTCTATTCTAAAAAAGTTTCTAATAGCCGTGACAGTGTTTCTTACAGTTTGTCTGCCCTCCTTCCACACCCCACCTCCCATAATCTCAGCAAAAAGGGTTCAGGATTCACCAGCTGTTCCCTCTCTGCCCAGCCCAGCCTGTTTAAGGAGCAGCACTTGCAGCATGTGCCGAAGAAGTCCAAAGGCCCTCATCTGCTCCACCTGACCATTTCCAAAACTCAACCTCAGAAACTGGGCGCTTCTTTATCCCCACCATTGTCAATTCATTGAATACCTACCTACAAGTTCTGTTGTCCTTGAAGCTACTCTGTGTTTAGCCAGTCCTTCCCAAACCCAGTTTTTCAGGATCTCAGAATCAACCTAGTTTATATGCTCTTAAATCTTCCTCCTCCAGAAAAGTCCCCCATTTAACCTAAATGCACGGTCTTGACTTTACCAAATGCCTTCTCGTGGTAGGGCAGGTTCTACTTGGTGACCAGGACCATGCAGGGCATTCTCCCAGGGCCTAAACCCAACCCAGATCTCGGACTTTCCCTAGATTCTGGCACAAGTCAAAAACAGAATCCCAAAGCTGAGAATGCATAGAATTACCTAGGGGTTACTTGTTAAACAGCAGATTCCTGGCCCGGCACGGTGGCTCATGCCTGTAATCCCAGCACTTTGGGAGGCTGAGGCGGGTGGATCACAAGGTCAGGAGTTCAAGACCAGCCTGGCCAAGATGGTGAAACCCCGTCTCTACTAAAAATACAAAAAACTAGCCAGGCGTGGTGGTGGGCACCTGTAATCCCAGCTACTCAGGAGGCTGAGGCAGAGAATTGCTTGAACCCAGGAGGCGGAGATTGCAGTGAGGCGAGATCACGCCACTGCCCTCCAGCCTAGGTGACAGAGCAAGACTCCATCTCAAAAAAAAATGCAGATTCCTGGAACCTCCTTCAGAGATTCTAATCCGTAAAATCTTGGTTGGATCCTAGAAATCTGTATTTCTCTGAAGCCCCTCAGATATATCTGTTCCCAGTGATACAAGGACCATACTTTGAAAAATGCAGATGGTGTGATGTCAATTATCAAGTGACATATTTAAGATGCCTGAGGGAAAAGCCACTTTGCATGAAAACAAAGTCAATTAAAATAGCTTTATGACAGGTTAGCTTTGCCATAAGACATTATCAGGATTTTGATGCTCCCTCCTTTGTTCGTGGCTGTCCAAACCTCCCTCCCTCTTTGGCTCCTGGCCTTGGTTTGGGACCTCTGAGCTGGGGCTCATGCCTTTTGTTATGTATCCTTAGCTTTGCCTCTCGACCTCGATTATGCTAGGAAATCACGTTGTGCTAGGAAAACCTCCAGAATTCCAGGTCACTAATATGCGTATGTGGAAATTACTCCCATATCCGGCTCCTTCCCCTTCCTCTTTCAGGCACAAATGACACAGCACTTGTCAACTGCCTGTGCTTGGAAGGAGCCGTGGGATTAATCCTGGCTAATGAAACATGAGCAGAAGTGACATGTGTGGGATTCCCTTTAGTTTCTCTTCTTCCACCTCCGCTTCCTGGCCACGTATTCCAGATGGTGCAGCGATGAGCTGGTGGAGCCTTCATCAGCCCAAGTCCTTCAGAGACTATGTGGAGCAATATTTGCTGATTTACCTGGAACATGTAGTGTGAGCAAGAAAGAAACTGTGCTGGATGAATCCACTGAGATTTAGGGGTAGTTTGCTATCACAGAAAACCAAAGTCTATTCTGACTAATATGCATTGGTAATGTACTTTAATGGAGTTTCCCCAAAACCACCTCTATCCTTGCTTATTTAGTTGATGGCTGCTGACAGTCTTAAATAATTCAGTATATGGTGAGGCAGGCAATGTAATAAATTCTCTTTATTTAGTGGTAATGGTTGGAGGAGCACCTAATAAATGTACTTAAGTAGATACATCTTTAGTTTGAGACAGATATATTCAGCGGAATCTCTTCCTGACCAATTAGACTGTGAGCTCTTTGAATCTGACTAACACAGAGCTGATGGATTATTGAGCATTTATCTTTTAATAAATCTCAACCAGATTTGGGATCCAGCAGTCATCACTTGCACTAACTCTAACCTGTGCTGAATTTTCCACATTTCTTCTGGATAGTCTCTGTTGTGTAGACACATAACCTTAGTGTATCTTGTAAGTTCAGAAAAACATTAGGATCTGTCCTGATAAAACACCTTAAAATGACTGAGTCACATTTTTTTTCATTTAACTCTGCTAGATGTGGCATGAAAGCAGGGGGCAGTCACAGACCTGCAGAGCCTTTTAAGTTTCACTCCTGTGGATTTGTATTCTGTGTGTCCTCCTTAAAAGCTTTCATTGCCCATACAAGGCGAGCTAGGTTGTCTGATTGTCCTTGTTTTACCTTTGCAAATGCTTCAATTGTGCAGCTGGAAGAATGGCCTCTGAACAGATTCTTCTGGAGTGATCATCTGATTCCTGGCCCAGAGCAAGATGCAAACTGGCAATTTTCTTTTGTTGTCTCTACCCCCTCCTCTGTCTCCATCCCCCAACTCCAAATCGTTAGTTGCATTTGAAAGTTGTTTTTTCTTCCTTTTTTTTCTTTCCTCCCTAGTTGTATGCACTCCTAGTCTGGCTGACTTTCTGGGCTCTGATCCAGCTTAGTTTAACATTGTTTATGCCTTTCAGAGCCTTCTTGGGAGATTGGTGCTTTAATTAAGAACATATTGATTTTAGACACTAGAAAATGTCATCTGACCCAAAATATCTCTCCATGTTAAACCTCCTCAACAGTTTTCTCACTGAACCATAATCACTCCCTAAAAATAATCACAGTCTATTTTGAGCATATTTACACTTTTGAATGTAGCTTTGCTTATAGCACTCAATCAACACATTTAGTACACCTTGGCTAAAATATTCTCCTCACCATAGTTTTCTAGTTTTTTTCCTTTTCCTACATTTTAGTTCATTTTTATCTCCAAGAAATCTTTAGTTCAATAGCCACTAAAGACACATCTAAGATTAAAAGGGGACAATTACCTTGGAATATAATAGTTGTTTTTAATAACTTGTCATACTTTAAATCTTAACCTATCTCAAGACAATTTGAATTTCATGCTAACTAATTATCTGGCAAGCTCCTGATTTGTGACCTATCAGTGTCACCCTTCACAAATATCTTTTCCTTCTTAATATTTCCTTCCTTAGTATTTTAAAATAGGTAATTCTAATTCCAATATCAAAATGGGAAAAATATATGAATGATCAGGTAATTGACTAAATAAGGCAAACAAAGAAAAACGTATTGTCTTGGTTTGGGTTCCCTAGCCCAGACAGAGATCCTGAGACAAGGATTCAAGTTCAAGTTGTTTACTTGGGAGATGATCCTAGAAAACACTGACAGGAAGTGGGGAAGTGAAATAGGGAAAGGAAGGAAGCCAGCAAAGGGTACCTCAAGCCATTTCCTTTGTGGGCAACTGGGATTCAGTCCTGCCAGGGAGCTCTGGGAGACAGTGTAAAACATTCCCCAGAGTTACCGCACCTAACAAGCGGGATATTTACCCCTCAACAGGGTGCCACTGGGCACCTATACCTCAACTTGGTTGCTCCTTGGAGTGTTAATTCTCTGGCACTTCCTGCTACTCTTGCACAGCTTCTTCCTGCTGTTAAACCAAAGAAACACTCTCAGCAGTCACAGTGATCTGGACAGGAGACAGGGAAATGCTGGAAAGAAGAGGGCAGTTCCCTGGCAAATGCCCCTCCCTCAAGCCTGGAAACCTGCGGCCCTAAATGGGAACAGGCATTCCTGTTTTTGCACCCAAAAGTTGACTTTTGGCCCACCACACCCCCTATCATGTACCCATACCCCAAACCCCTGGCTCCACAAGGAGACGAACAGAAGAGCAGAAGAATGGCAGCACGGCATGACAGAAGAGAAGGAGCGTCTGAATGCCGAGAAGATTTTGGCTGGGGACATTTGGAGAGGAGGTGGGCCACTGGACAGCCAACCTCCAGAAGAAGATCATCTTTCCAGTTCATTCTGCTTCTAGCTCCCCATCCATCCTGCTGAGAGCCATCTCCACCACTCAATAAAATCCCCGCATTCATCCTTCAAGTCCATGTGCCACCGGATTCTTCCTGGACTCCGGACAATCACCTGGGTACCAAGAGGGCACTGACCTGGTTAACACTTAAGTCATCCACGAACAGCAAGGCTAAAGGAGCGCACCATGACACACGCCCACTTGGGCTTTGGGAGTCACAGGCTTCCACCCCTGGACACTGCTGTGGGGCCAGAGCCCAGGGGCGCTTGCCCTGGCTCCCGTACCTGCCCATATGCGTGCCGCCTCTCCCATAAGGGGTTTGAGCACACACAGTGGAGCCACACCTCTGTTGCACATCCTGTGTTGGGGGAGTCAGGAACTTTCCTGTTTCAACAGGTCCTCTGAGTAAGCAGCCAGTGGCTACAGAGGTGGAAGCTGGAGGATATGGAAGGCCTCACAGTGCCTGCTATTCCTATTAAAAGATGATCAGTCTCACTAGTAATCAAATACATGCATATTAAAATAACAATGAAATATTATTTTTGACATATTTTGACATAATTTCGACATATTAGAATGGAAAAGATTTTCTTTCCAAAGAGGAGAATGTTGGAAAACTGGCACTTATATACTACTGGCAAGAGTAAAAGTACAATCTTTCTGTAAAGGCAATTTGGAATGTGAATCAAAAGCCTTAAAATTGTGCTTCTCTTTGATCCAGAAAGTCTGCTTCTAAGAATGTATTCTGAGAGGATAATTAGGCCAGTCTGCAGTGTTCACTGAATCATGTTAAAAAAGACAAATAACTATAAAAATATAAATGTCTAATAGTAAGTGATTGGTTAATCCCTCATTCATCCATCTAATCCATCCATCCAGTAGAATATAATGCAGGCATTTAAGCTGATTCAGCAGAAGTGATTACCTGGAAATATTTTCACAATATACTGATAAGTGGAAACATCAAATGCTCTATTTTGTTTAAATATATATGAGTGTGTTATGCATATGTGAAAAATTCTGGAAAGACAAAAACCAAAATGCTAAAGGCAGCTATTGCTGATCAGTAGAAATACAGGTATTTAAAAATTGTTTTGATAGCTTTTTGTAATTTCAGAGCTATTTATAATAGTGTTAAAGAAAGCATATATAGTTTATGAGGTTTCTATATAAAGGCCACTTAGGATGCAATAAATGTTACATTAAAAATGTCAGGCTGTGCGTGGTGGCTCACACCTGTAATCCCAACACTTTGGGAGGCTGAGGTGGGTAGATTGCTTGAGGCCAGGAGTTTGAGGCCAGCCTGGGTAATATGGCGAGACCCTGTCTCTACAAAAAAATAACAGTTAGCCAGGCATGCTGGCTAATTTGTGGTCCCAGCTACTCCAAAGGCTGAGGTAGAAGGATTACCTGAGCCTGAGAGGTCGAGGCTGCAGGGAGCCATGATCATGCCACTGCATTCTAGCCTGGGTGACAGAGTGAGACCCTGTTTAAAAAAAAAAAAATTATTTGTATAAAATAAATGTAGAATGATAATTTACTTGTGAAAGTCACCCCTATAAACTGAAAGCATAAGATACACATCATCTCATCTTAAATAAATGCTTTTGTTAAATGAAAATCACTTGATTCTTTTCTAGAAAAATGCCACTTAGCATTATCCCTTTTCCCTATACAGAAATATGGGTCATCATAACTTTGTCTTGAGTAAAGTTATAGCTCATGTAATTTTGCAGTTTGGAGGAAAAACTTATAGCGGGAAACAAAAATGGAAGTAGATTGTGTTTAAAACTTTCGTTGTATATCCTGTAGTTAGAAACATGATATAGCAACCGAAACATGTTTTCTCAGAAGATCAAAAAGACGTAGAAGTAATGATCAAAATTTTATGACTCTTTATGGTCTAAAATCACGGTTTTATACCTTATCCAATTTGTTTCTCACCAAAAACTCTTTGGGGTTACGTTATTACTATCCCTATATCACAGGTGAAATCTCTGAGGGCTAAGTTTTAAATAATTTTTTTCTACCTTAGCTAAAAAAGCTTCTGTCTTAGGAATCAGAGATTTTTCTGATTCTTAAGCTCATTTCTTTTCCCTTTCAATACTGGGCATGAGATTTGGAGTCACACGGCTTGGCCCTTGTCCCAGGCTCTCTTAGCTGGGTTATGCATGAGCCCAAGTTCCCTTATGGGTAAAATAAGGATAATAATATATACAGATTAGGGCAGTTGTTCCCAAACTGTAGAATGCATATGATTCACTTGGAGAGCCTGTTAAAGCACAAATTCCTGGGCTCCATCTCCAAGATTTCTGAACCAGTAGGTCTGGAATGGAATCTGAGAATGTGTGTTTCTTACAAGTTATCCGGTCATGCTAATGCTGCTGGTCTAAGGACAATACTTTGAGAACCAGTGGCCTAGGGTATATTAACTTTTGCTTCTACTGAGAGGTTTGTTTGTTTGTTTTTTTAATCTGTCCATGGCATTCAAATCACAATTTGGATTATAAATTGTTCATATATTTTCTGTGGCTGTAGATTTTTTTTATGTCTTTTTTTTTTCTTTTTTTTTTGAGACAGAGTCTCATCTGTTGTCCAGGATGGAATGCAGTGGCACAAACACAGCTGAACCTCCTGGGCTCAAAGGATCACCCCGCCTCAGCCTCCTAAGTAGCTGGGACCACAGGTGCATGTCACCATGCCCAGCTAATTTTCTTTTTTAAAAAATCTTTTGTAGAGATAGGGTCTCACCATGTTGCTCAGGCTGGCCTCAAACTCCTGGGCTGAAGCAATCCTCCTACCTTAGCCTCCCAAGGTGCTGGGATTACAAGCATGAGCCACTACACCTGGCCTTTTAATGTCATTTTTAACTGTTTCAGACTTTCCCCAAAATAAGTCTTTGCTATGTTGTGCTTTTATGTTGGAATTATGAATAATATCACTAATATGAAAATTATTTGGGGGTACGAATAGTGTTTATAGTTACCATTGTTGATAATAAAAAAAAGTAAGCTAAAGACTTTGATTTGTCTTCAGAAATGAAGAAAATAATGTGTGAGGTACCCACCCCAAATTGCACACTGTATCACTCAGGACTGCTGCTTATCAGCCTCTCTCCATCATAAAGCCTCAGGTGGAAGTTTCATTGTCAGGGAAACAGAGAAGAAATAAAGCAGAGTGACCGGAATATGCACTGCTTATTTCTTCCTTTATTTTTTTCCAGCTACCCCTGGAACTTGAAAGTAATTGGACAATCTTCCCATTCTGGAAGAAATCTTCATATTTGGGTTGTAGATCACAGACTCTCCAACAGAGAAGTGGGCCTAAGTCAGAAAATTGTACTATGTGTGGGCTGGGCGCAGTGGCTTACAACTGTAATCCCAGCACTTTGGGAGGCAGAGGCAGGAGGATTGCTTGAGTCCAGGAGTTCAAGATCAGCCTGGGCAACATGGTGAAAGCTCATCTCCACAAAAAAATACAAAAGTTAGCCAGGCGTAGTGGCATGTACCTGTAATCCCAGCTATATGGGAGGCTGAGATGAGAGGATCACTTGAGCCCGGGAGGTGGAGGTTGCAGTGAGCCGAGATGGCGTCACTGCACTCCAGCCTGGGTAACAAAATGAGATCCTATCTCAAAAAAACAACAAAGAAAAGAAAATTGTACTACTTGTATGATAGTGATATGATACCCTCTGCCTATGAATCCCATGGCTCAACACAGAACTTGTTTTTGTTTGTCCTAAGTGCAGGTTGCTCAAGTTTCTAAAGAGAATATCCTAGCATGTTAAAAACAAAGCGATTTTTTAATTTGTCCTTACAATTCATTAACTTTGTGTCTTGTTAGCCTTTACCTTTTTAAGATGAAGGGTGCTAAATCTTTTCATATTTTTAAACATGAAAATAAACAATCGGCTGCTATTCACAGTCCTAAAATGTGCTAAATGAGTTTTCAACCAAGTAGATATAAAAATCTTAAGATTGATATTATTTGCCTGTGGAGACAGTTGTTCTTAGTGATAGAAGATGAAACTGACTGTTGAGGTTCAATGGTTGGCCCCAGGCCCCAAAAGCTTTCAAAATTAGATCAAGGACCAGAAACTTCTGATGCTTAGTCTTTTACTTTGAAAGAGAAGCAGAAGAGAACATCTGGAACCTTAGGGAGATTTATGTATTCTTTCTCGACAATGGGGTCCATTTATTAGCTAATATACTTTCTCTATTTCTAATCATGGAGACCATTTAGCTATTTGAGCTTTCCAATACTTCATTTTTACAATGCCATGTGTTCTTTGTTTAGCTTGTTTGAAATAGCTTAGGAAGGGGATTTCATGTCTTGTAGCTATCTAATTTAGAATTGCCCTTTCATTTCTACCAGTAATTTTTAGTATAATACATTAATCAAAGTTGTCTCATTTATTTCCTCTTGTTATTTCTTTCTTTTCACATGACTTTTTTCTTTGCCTACCTCTTGCACAAAGAGCCAAATAAAAGCCCACAAAAAACATTCAATGTGCACTAATTAAAATAATAAAAATGTTAGGACAATATGTTATTTATTTCTAGGCTTTCTGTACTAAAAATAATAATACCTTGAAATTTTTTTTTTTTTTTTTTTTGAGATGGAGTCTCGCTCTGTTGCCCAGGCTGGAGTGCAGTGGCTCGATCTTGGCTCACTGCAAGCTCTGCCTCCCAGGTTCACACCATTCTCCTGCCTCAGCCTCCCGAGTAGCTGGGACTACAGGCACCTGCCACCACGCCTGGCTAATTTTTTGTATTTTTTTAGTAGAGATGGGGTTTCACTGTGTTAGCCAGGATGGTTTCGATCTCCTGACCTTGTGATCCACCCGCCTCGGCCTCCTAAAGTGCTGGGATTACAGGCGTGAGCCACCACGCCCGGCCAATACCTTGAATTTATGCTGTAACTCAAGGCACTGTTGCAGATATTTATCTTTCTATTATTTTCAGGAGGGAGAAATATTTATTACAGTCCTGATTTTGTAGGTGGAGAATGAATGATTTGTCCAGAGTTTCAGAGTTAGAGTGGTGGAGGTGAGACAAAAGGATTTTGTAAGGATTTACTAAGATGAGGATTTCTTGATGCTCATCTTAGTATTCTTTGTAGTATATTTTGTTGCTGTAATTGCAAGAAGATGCTTTTATAACATAATAATAGACATTTCAAAGAAACATTGGTCCTAGTACTGGTTGTAGATTATGTTTTATTCTTTGCAGAAGCTTTATGTAGGTTTTTTTCCAACAATTTCAAATGAATTTTGGTTGTCTATTTAGATTTACTTAGAAAATTACAGATGGCATGGAATTCTGTGCAGTGGTAGGTTATAGCATCATGACCAGCCTACCCTGGCAGATGTGTCAAATAACCTCTGGAGTGTTTTCCTTCCTACTTCTTTTTAGGTTATTGAAATATTCATATGGAGTAAACTAAAGCTCACCATGTGAGTTTTTCCTACGGGTGGCTGTTGTCTTTTAAAAACAAGGAGTTATGAGGAAGGTTTGAACATGGCTTATTGTGGATAGTCAGTCACAATTACATTCAAAGCACAGAAAAATGTGGTCCAAGTCAATAACTTTCCTACTCATGATCCTGTCCTACCACAGGGCCTATGAATTTCAATCATAATTTCTTTGGAACAAGACATCTATTGCTCAAACGTTATCCACTAAGGATGATGGATAAAAATAATAGTTAAGATTTTTGTATTAATGTATCATATTACATTTCATCTCATGGGTGAGCTCTGTGGTTGAGAAGGTTGAATAAAATGAGATCTACAATCAAGAGGCTTACGTAGCTAAGAAACAGTGTGAACTCACAGGGCACCTGGTAGTTTAGAAGGTGGGAAGGAAAACAAAAGTCAGGCACAAGTCACAGACAAACACTCCCATGGTAGCCCACCCTGCCTGAGTCCCAGAAGGTCAAACAATCTGTGATATGAGAAATGTGTCTAATAGAAGCTAGCATGAAAAGTTAAAGTATAATTTTTTTTTCAACCTAACAGAAGCTGGTAGATTGTAACTAATTTTATTTTGAAGCAAGTATAGTCTCTTAGTCTTTGTCATCGTGATGTATAAGAACATCAAATAGTCGATGATGAGGCTGGGCATGGTGGCACATTCCTGTAATCCTAGCACTTTGGGAGGCTAAGGCAGGGGGATCACGTGAGGCCAGGAGTTCCAGACCAGCCTGGGCAGCATCAAGAGACCTAGTCTCTTAAAAGAAAAAGTCAATGGTGAAATATGAAACAATATAAGGCATAGAAAATGGTGTTTTGATTAGAATGGATACTTGTAAGTAAACTTTGGTAAAACAGAGTCCCATTCTCCTCACCCCCACCTCAGTGAAGCGTCTTTTGCTCTACCTGAAGAGCATACATGTAGCTGCTTTAATTCAGTTCAATTCAATTCATTTCAAACATTTTGGGGATGTTCACTTTGTGCTTGCTTCAGAGATAGGAAGCAAGAGCTATTGGCCAAACATGGAAGAGAAGCCCAGTGTCTCCTAAAGCAGATGGTAACTTGAAAGACTATGAGCAACCTCTTCCAGAGAGAGACACAATGTATAGGGATAACATTTCTTTGGTTTTCTCTAGTTTGTAAAGAAAATATTGCCAGTGTTTGCTACCTTGGTAGTGTACATGAAAATAGTTTTAAAAAGAACAAGATAAATGTATAGTCAATAAACATGAGAAAAGATGCTCAACATTATTATCATCAGGAAAACACAAATGTAAGTAACAAAAAGATCACTACTCATCCACTAGAATGGTGAAAATTAAAAACACTGATAATACTGTGTTGGTGAGGATGTGGGGCAACTGCAATGCTCATGTATTTATCATATAACTAAGCCAATTCTACTGCAAGACTTACACTTGAATGATCCTAGCAGCTTTATTCATGATAGCCCAAACTGTAAACAACCCAAATGTTTATCATTGAATGAATGATATGGATGAAAAAATTTGGAACATCTTCACTCAATGGAAAACTAATCAGTAATAAAAATTAATTATTGATGCATGCAAAAATGGATGAATATTAAAAAAGATAAAATTGGGCTAATAAAGTTAGACCAAAAGAGTATATATTGTGTGATTCTATCGGTCTAAAGTAACAAGTACAGTCAAGTAATGTCAAGAAGCAGATGATTGGTTTCCTGGGGCTGGAAAATGGGGGTTGTTGGGGGATTGACTGCAAAAGACAGCAAGGGAATTTCTTTTTCTTTTCTTTCTTTCTTTTTTTAATTATATCTTAAGTTCTGGAATACATGTGCAGAACATGCAGGCTTGTTACATAGGTATACATGTGCCATAGTGGTTAGTTGCACCCATCAACCCGTCATCTACATTAGGTATTTCTCCTAATGCTCCCCTAGCCCCCCAACCCGCCGACAGGCCCCGGTGTGTGATGTTCCCCTCCCTGTGTCTATGTGTTCTCATTATTCAACTCCCACTTAGGAGTGAGAACATGTGGTGTTTGGTTTTCTGTTCCTGTATTAATTTGCCAAGAATGATGGTTTCCAGCTTCATCTGTGTCCCTGCAAAGGACATGAACTCATCCTTTTTTGTGGCTGCATAGTATTCCATGGTGTATATGTACCACATTTTCTTTATCTAGTCTATCATTGGTAGGAATTTCTTGAGTGATGGAAATATTGTATATCTCCAGTGGAATGGAGGGTATATGAGTATGTGCATTTGTCTCATCAACCTATACACAGAAAATGGTGCATATTGTATAAAAATTATACCTCAATCAAGTTGATTTAAAAAGAAAAATATCCATGTGTTTATTATGATTTGTGCACTAAAATTATTTCTCAAGATATCTCTTTCATAGAGGTTCCAAATTGGCCTCAACATAGTGCCAGGCAGAAAACTAGGTAACATTTTACAGTTTAACGAAAAGTAGGCCACTGATGCTGGGAGGAGCTGCTCTAACAATCTAACAAATGAGGCGATTCCCAGTCAGGCACTGGTTAAGGGTGATGGCTGGATTTAGGATGTCTGGATTTGCATCTAGCTCACCATCTGCCGGCTGAGTGACCTTGAGAAAGTTACTTAATTTCTCTAAGCATCCATTTTCTCATGTAAAAAATAGGGATAACAATGGTCTCAATGTTCCTGTGTGTACAAAGATTAAACTAGACAGCCTATGTGAAGAGCTCAGGGTATATAAAATTCTTCATCTATATGAGCTATTATTTCTGATTTCATCTCTCACAAGAACACGGAGATACAGAGGAGAAAGAACACAGGAAGGAGAAGTGTATGCAGCTTTATGCATCTGTTTATTCCTTGGTTTCCATTTTTCCTTCATGCTGAATGGAAGGCTCTTGTGAAAGGAATGTTGTCTTCCATTCCCAGAAGAATGGAAACTGGGGACGCTGTACTGAACCCGAGAGACTAGACTAAGGGAAGTGCAGGGCTGAGCTGTACTGCATTCCCAACTTGTCCTAATGATTTTGAGAAGCAGAAGAATTTAATGGCAGGCAGCTGATTTGCATCCATTTACCTGTCTTCACTGTGGCAGGTAATTCTGGGCCACGTCAGGCACAGGTAAATATAAAGCCCCACGGAAATATTATCTCATGCTCACATTTAAAATCACAAATCAAAAAATAAAATAAAATCACAAATCAAGGATCTGTGAATCATCTTGCAATCTGGTTACTTCACATTCTAGCATTATATTTAATGTCAAACTATCCAATATTTAAGATCCTTTATCACAATCAGTAGAGAATGGTGTGTGTTTGAGGGTAGTGTTGCTGCTGCTAAGTTAAAGAATGTGTCTGAGGAATGGAACTTTCCCTCCATTTGTCCTATCTGCTTCTTACTCAAGTATTTACAAATTTGGTTTAGATTTCTGAAGTCAAGTAAATAAATGAATTTTATAAAGTTTTTCTGTGAAAAAAAAAGAATAACAAGTGAAAACATTCTGGAAGACTCACTTATTCAGAAATACTTTATCAGTAGCTCAGCGGTGTGTGTGTGTGTGTGTGTGTGTGTGTGTGTTTATTGGACATTTTTATGGAGTTATTTGGCAGAGTTTGAAAACTCTGAGATATGAAAACTATCTGATCATTTTCTTTGCTTTGACAAATTCTGCCTGAGTCCCCTGTTCTTGAAGTCTTCAAATGAATGCATAATTATCTATAAGCTATTGCACACATTGGTTTGCAAAGGAGAAAAGGCAGGGAGTCAACTTTGCTTAAATGGAATGAATGTTCGTGATTGAATCCTTGTTGGTGTGTGTGCTTCCTGAATCCCTTAGAAGGCTGTGTTCCTAAGACAACATGGAAAATCAGAGGGGATGTTGCAACACATCACCCAAGGGAATGGAAATGTAAGTCTGAGTATAAAATTGAAGACGTCCATCTGTAGGAACAGTGAGTAACTCAGTGAGTGCCCTAAACCAAATGAAACCCAGGTCTTCCTTGGCGTACAGTCATCTGATCTCTATCTCTCTGGCTAAGTGATAATGTGAAGGAGGAGGCCTGAGCTAGCCCAGATTAATCAAGCATGAGAAACTGATTAATATTTTCTTATTTGTCACTTACTTCAGAATAGATTTTTCACATAAAAATATCTGGTTGGATAACTGTTTCAAGTAATATGTGTAAATTTAGTTTTTCTTGCTTGGGGTGTGATTGCTGAGACCTCTAAGAAATGTGAATGTTGGCCGGGAGTGGTGGTTTCACGCCTGTAATCCCAGCACTGTGGGAGGCTAAGGCAGGCAGATCATTTGAGGTTAGGAGTTCAAGACCAGCCTGGCCAACATGGTGAAACCCTGTCTCTACTAAAAATACAAAGAAATGAGCTGAGCATGGTGGTGCGTGCCTGTAATCCCAGCTACTGGGGAGGCTGAGGTATGAGAATCACTTGAACTCAGGAGGCAGAGGTTGCAGTTAGCTGAGATTGCGCCACTACACTCCAGCCTGGGTGACAGAGTGAGACCTTGTCTCCAAAAAAAAAAAAAAAAAAAAGGAAATGCAAATGTTGTTAGTAGAGAAAAACCTAAATTAAATAAGAATTGAATATATAGGGAAACCGTTTAGTCAACTATGAAAAAAACGCTAGCTCCTGGCTTTGGACCTGTAACAAAAAAACTTTAACCCACAATCAGGAGATTCTGCAGATAATTTTAGTTCTGCTACTAACGTTTATGAATAAATTGTGTCAACTCTCTGAACAGTTTCCTTTTCTTGAAAATAAGAAGGAGAGTGTTGGACTTTGTGGTCTCAAACTCTATGATTCTGCCCTGTCTAAACATAGATGAAGTTTTCAAGATCTCTATCTATGGGGAGGCAGGATGATGCCTTCATAACTTTACTGTGGTTTCTCAATCTTTTCATTAACTAATTATGTCATATTTAAGCTCTACAAAAGATGTAAGCAATTAAACTGTAGTTATATGGTTATATAAACTGTCAGGTAAAGATACACGGATATAATTTCAATTCTTCCTGCACTCCCACTTCAGCTACACATAGAGGAATCTTTAATTAAAGGCATAAACCTAAGGCAACAAGAAGACTGTGGTTGCCTCCCCAACCGAACAGTAGGAACCTACCTAGAAATCACACAAAACAGACGCTTGATTTTTCGTGTAACACCTAGGCTTAGTTTGTGTTTTGTTGCACATGCCAATGGGAATCCACAGCAGCAGCATTTTAGAAGCTGGAAAGCCGATGCAGTAGTGGGTACTGACTCAGTAAACCTGAGAATGCCAAATCCTAAACTGACGCTGTGAAGATGAGAACCAACTGGATTTATGCCACACAACCCTGAAAAGCCTCAAAATAGGTGGCGTCAGGGCTGCAGGAGTAGAAGGGAAGTGAGGCTAAAAGAGGACTAAGTCCCGGCCTGGTGGCTCATACCTGTAATCCTAACACTTTGGGAGGCCGAGGCAGGCGGACTACCTGAGTTCAGGAGTTCGAGACCAGCCTGGGCAACACGGTGAAACCCCATCTCTACTAAAATACAAAAAATTAGCTGGGCGTGGTGGCAGGTCCCTGTAGTCCCAGCTACTTGGGAGGCTGAGGCAGGAGAATTGCTTGAACCCAGGAGGCGGAGGTTGCAGTGAGCCAAGATCATGCCACTGCATTCTAGCCTGGGTGACAGAGCAAGACTCCGTCTCCAAAAAAAAAAAGAGGACTAGCAGTAGTGGCTCAGTGGCTCACACCTGTAACCCCAGCACTTTGGGAGGCTGAGGCTAGCAGAATACTTGAACCCAGGAATTTGAGATCAGTCTGGGCAACAAAGTGAAACCCTGTCTCTACTAAATAAATAAATAAATAAATAAATAAATAAATAAATAAAGCCAAGCATGGTGGCATGCACCCATAGTCCCTGCTACTCGTGAAGCTGAGCTGGGAAGATTGCTTGAGCCCAGGAGGTCCAGGCTGCAGTGAGCCGTGTTCGTGCTACTGCACTCTATAGCCTGGGTGACAGAGTGAGACCCTATCTCAAATAAGTAAATAAGTAAAATAAATAAAGAGGATTGGTTGAGAGCTAAAGTGGATTGGTAAGAAGCATGCAGATCCCTAGGCTCCCCTGGCACTGCATACCCTAGGAGAGAACCTCATTACCACCACAACTGAAGGCTGCATGCTGGTTTTTTGCAGATGGTAAACAAGAGCCTCTGATCTGGAGGAAACCAGACACAATCGATTGAGAGCATGAATACCATACATAAAAGAAGGCGATTAAATAAATGTATGTATTGATTGTTGAATCCCCTTAACTCTCTCCTCCCACTTAGCTCCCCAAATACTGGCAGCTGAAAAAAATGAGTGAATGAAGAAGGAGGAAGCCAGGGGAGACAAAGAAACAGGATACACAACACAGGGGAAAGATGAAAAGGACTCCCCAGGATGGTGGTGAAGAGAGTTGCTAGGATGACAACTGTGCATCAAGCTTAAAACCCAGATTGGAGCGTGTGAACCAAGAGATATATATGGCATCATCTTTTTGAACTAAAAATGGCTGCGTGAACCTGGCCCAGTGTTTATCTGTACTTGGCTTTCCTGGGTCACATGTAGATGAAGTACCGATCTCTTCTCCTTCTTGGGTCAGCTGAGGACAGTCATTCCCTCCATAGGGATGTTCTGCTCGGACCTGTTCCTGAGAGCTGGAGGTTGGTCAAGGTAAGAATAGAAGTAGGAAATATGAGGAAGATTCCTGCCTGTTGTCTAGCACCTGGCCTATACTGTCCTCTGCCAAATGTCCCAGTTGTGGTGAGCCCAGTGTTTCTCAGAACTCGCTCATTCCCTGGTCCACCGACTCCTCCAGAAGGTTTTGGTAAACTGTCAGTCAAGATAAAGTCAGACGATGAGCCAGAATCATAGTCTTTTTCTGTAAATTCCTCTTTTCCACTTAACATTATTTTAATGAAATTTATCCATGTTTATATATTTAGGTCCAGTTCATTGATTTTCTCAGCCATATAGTATTCTATTGTTTGACTACACTGCAACTTACAAATCTTCCTTTTGTTGGTTGTACTTTTAGGTTGCTTTTTTTTTTACGTTATGAGCAGGCAAGGCTTTTAGGAATATCTTTCCACATATCTCCCCGTGAACATGTAATATTCTCTCTGGTATTTACTTAGAGGGGTACTGCTGGATTATAACATTTGTTCCTAACAATGAATATTTCCAAATTTTCCTAAGTACCTTTTACCAATTTTTACTCCCACCAGCAATGTATAAAAGCTTCTGGTGCTCTGCATTCTCACGAATACCTGGTCTTGCCAGACTTTAATTGAAGTTTGCTAGTTAAATGTGTGTAAAATGTTTCCTCATTGTTATTTTCATTTATATGTGACCAATGAGATTGAACTTTTTTTAATGTCTATTAGCCATTATATGTCGTATTATATGACTTGCCTATTCATATTTTTGGTACACTTTTCTATTTTGTTATTCAATGTTTTTCTCTAGATTTGAGAAAGTTATATATTATATATTCAAAATTTATATATTTTGAATTATAATCCTTTATTGGTTATAGTGTTGCAGATATCTTGTCCCAGAGTATTGCCGTCTCCTTGATTTTTATTATAGTGTCTTATTTTGGGTAAACTTTTAAAAAATTAAAATATAATAGACATAAATGGGGGTAGAAATCTTAAGGGTATAGTTCTATAAATGTTTACAAATGAATCTACCTATGTAAAAATATTATGTGCCTTTTGATGATTTGTTTTGTTTTGTTTTGTTTTGTTTTGAGATTGAGTCTTGCTATTTTGCCCAGGCTGGACTTCAACTCCTGGGCTCAAGTGATCCTCTTGCTTCAGTCCCAAGTAGTTGGGATTACAGGTGTGCACCACCATGCTCAGCTCTTTTGATGCATTTTTAACAATGTAGTTGAATGAAAGAAACTTTCCATTTATGGTTTGTGAGTTTGTGTTTTGTTTAAGAAATTCTCCTTTATCCTAATGTCATAGACATGTTCTCTTACTTCTAAACACTTTAAATAGTTTTGGTTTTATTTCACTTCATGGATATGGAATGGGTATATGTGTGTGTGTGCATGTGCACATGTGCATACAATTTGAAGTAGTGATCCAGTTTTTTAATACGGATTTTATTCAAGTGCTATTTATTGGCCATCATTACCCTCTGATCTACAAATCACCACTTTCATGCATCAAGATTCCATATGTGTGTGGGTCTAATTTCTGGCCACTCTATTGTGTTCCATGGATCTCCTTGTCTGGCTTTGTGCTGTGAGGGAGAAAAAGATATTCCAGGAATATCGGCCCAATAAGCTGATTTTTTTTTGTTCTTGAGAACTGAACTAGATTATCATTTTTTTTTTCCTTTTAAAGTCTTCTCAGATCTTGTCAAAGATTCCAGGAATATCTTTTTCTCACCTATCAAAAAGTTCATTGTTGTGACACCTATAATAAAAAACAGATTAACAAGAGAAAAGCGTACACATTTATTTAATATAAGTTTTACAGAATTGTCTTTGGAAATGAAGCCCCCCGCCCCCACTGCCCACTGCCCAACCAAAGAAACCAGAGAAACCTGTGTATTTTTATGCTTAGGTTTGATGAAGAGTGGTCAGTCTTGCAGAAGTCTGATTGGACAAAAGGGGTATGATCTAATGGTAATAAACTGGGAGGAACTTAGCAAAGCCTGTCCAGATCCTTCTTGGCGACTTTGTGTCTTCAAGGGTAAAGACAGTTCTTTTCTCTGGGTATAGGGGAGGATACTTCTGGAATGAAGGTTTTATGAGCTACTTCAAGAGAGAAGGGTGAGGGAAAGGTGAGAATGACCTTCCTGCTTCTGCTGTTTCCTCAAAGGTCAAGGTGCCACATTTTAAGGTAGAATGTTCTGAACCCATCACTGCTAATACCCATGGCCTTAGTCGCTGTAACTTCATCATAAAATTTGATACTGGGTAGAGCAAAATTTGTTCCCTGTTTTGTGCCATAAATTCTCAATTGTGCACAGAAGCATGAAATCATTCAAATGGTTCTATGAACTCAGGTCAATGAAGGAGAAAACGTACCCGATTTGTAGTCACAGCGTCTAGCCCAGTTCTGGCCTATCTGGTTATGTGACTTTGAGCAGGTCATTCTTCTGTCTGGGCCTCAGCTTTGTTGTCTTAAAACATGTAAATCTGAATGGTTCCGTAGGGTCCCTTCCAACTCAGAAAATCCTGACTCTATCATACCAATTTCGTCTTATTTCTAACAATCTACCCCTATTGCCCAATAAGCCAATTTTTTTTTGTTCTTGAGAACTGAACTAGATTATCATTTTTGTTTCCTTTCAAAGTCTTCTCAGATCTTGTCAAATATCTTAAGTTCAGAAGAGAAACAACTGTCATTGATTTTTCATAAATGTCTCATCTATTTTGTTCGTACTTTCTAAAACAATTTGATTAACACAGAGATTTTAGTTGATCTCATTGGGACTGTAAAAATACCTCTTCCTCTTTCAGAATGGATTATTTCAAGAAGTGATTTAAATGAAAATCAGCATGTAGTTTTATCAGTCAGTTTCAACTAGACTTAGTAGAAGAAACGTTCCCATCCTTATAAAGCAAATGAGTTCTCTAGTGAAATGCTATAACTAGCATGCTTTAGGTTAAGAACTTTTTTTGGCCAGGCACGGTGGCTCACACCTGTAATCCCAGCACTTTGGGAGGCTGAGGCAGGCGGATCACAACATGAGGAGTTTGAGACCAGCCTGGCCAACTTGATGAAACCCCATCTCCACTAAAAAAATACAAAATTTAGCCTGGCGTGGTGGCGTGCGCTTGTAATCCCAGCTACTTGGGAGGCTGAGGCAGGAGAATTGCTTGAACCCGGGAGGCGGAGGTTGCAGTGAGCCAAGATTGCACCACTGCTCTCCAGCCTGGGCAAAAGAGCAAGACTCCATCTCAAAAAAAAAAAAAAAAAAAAGAATCATTCTCATTCATTTACATTTACAAAATGAATACTTAATTGGAGGGTCGGTATAATTATTTACACTACTGAAGGCTTAATTTTTTTTTAAAATGAGGATTCACTATGGAGTTCATTTAAAATATTATTTATTATATTGTTGAAAGTATGGCAAGACAGGTATGATGAAGTTAGGATTTTCTGAGTTGGAAAGGTCTTATGGGGCCAGTCAAATCTACATGTTTTAAGATGAGAAAGCTAAGGCCCAGAAAGGAGAGTGACTTATCCAAGGATTTAATTTAGAAGACTTTTCTGCCCAGAAATCTTTTCTGTGTGAAAAGTTGAAATTTATCTATGTGTTTTTGTTCATAATGTTAAATTACAATGTTATATACATTGAAGGGCAAAACTAGGTTTTGTAAAGTCTGAAGTAATTCAAGGGGTCCCTTTTGAAAAAAAAGGACCCCAAATTACAAATATAAAATTAAGTATAAAATAAAAAATATATGTATATATTTAGAATAGAAAAAATAGGCTGGGCGCAGTGGCTCACACCTGTAATCCCAGCACTTCGAGAGGCTAAGGTGGGGGATCACCTGAGGTCAGGAGTTCAAGACCAGCCTGGCCAACAGGGTGAAACCCTGTCTCTACAAAAATTAGCAAAAATTAGCCAGGCACGATGGTGGGTGTCCATAATCCCAGCTACTCGGGAGGCTGAGGCAGGAGAATCGCTTGAACCAGGGAGGTGGAGGTTGCAGTGAGCCAAGATTGCACCATTGCACTTTAGCCTGGGCGACAGAGTGAGACTCCGTCTCAAAAAAAAAAAAAAAAAAAAAAAAGAATAGAAAAAATTTCACAACATATTATGAAGATTTAGAATTCTGGTCCCTTTCTTCTGAGTTCTTTTTAGGCAATTTATCAGAAACACATATAGTAATGTTTCCAAGCACAGTCTGTCTTCCTCTCCCCACCTAGAATACTCTATAACTCCCAACAACTTCCAGAACTCATGGCTTCATTAGCTTTAAGGTAAATCTGCCTCTGCACACATCATACACATTATTTCACTAATTTTAAGAGTGATCAACAAAGTGAGAATCTGTGTAATGCAGAAAATAAAGAAATCTGTATTTCATTTTTATATCATAACTAAAAACTAAACTCACATTTGTTATAATGTATAATGGAACATATAGACGTTAGCTAAAAATAAGTATGAAGAAAAATGATACCTTTTATTCATTGTCAGTTATATACCAAATTTCAGATTTTAGATGAGGAAACAAAGTCTCATAAAAGTTAAGCAGCCTGTCCAAGGGGACCCAGGTATTTGCATTCTATTACCCCTACCTCCCACCAATGGTTCCAAAAATGACTCTTTTCAGTGCCTAGTGCAGAAGGTTCACAATGACAAATGAGGCCCCAGGGGTGAGCTCAGAAGCACAGAGCAGCTCCCCCAAAACACCAGCCTCATATCCCTTAGGAGATTTCCTAACAAAAATAGCAGACCCCACAGGTGGTTGAAGGTAGAGTTTGGGTAATTCCCCAGCATTTTAGTTATAAATACATTGTATAATGGCAGCCTGCTATGTACCTGTGTGCACTGATGCCACTGTATTTCCTCTTGGCTTGCGATTTTATCCTTTTTTATCAGCTAGTAGAATATAGTAACATATTCGGAACTTTGATTTCTAAGATCTAGCACACTGGATTATCTGAAGCCACATCAATGCCCATTTTCAATACCTGTGTGATGAAATTTATTTAATTTAAAAAGATTGCGTCTTATAAGCCTGGTGAGTATGTTGAGTGATCCAGAGTATGCTCAGAGTGGAGAAAACTAGTCCTGGTCCTGTCCCTATTAGTTATGTCCTGAAATTTGATGATTTTTCTCCTTTGGCTGCAAGCTACAAAATTCTTAACTCCTTGCAATGTAGGATCTTTGGCTATGAAATGAAAGTGTTACACCTAGGACTCTGAAACAGTCCGTGACTTTTATTTTATTTTATTTTATTTTTACAGAGGACTAATATATGGGAATGTTTATCCCAGTATTATTCATAGCGGTGGTAGGGGTGCTGGTGGTGGAAGTAGCCTAGTGAACCATACCAGGAGAATGGCTAGGTAATTTGTGTTGGATGGTTACCATGGGGTGTCATTCAACTATTAGAAGCACCAAACTGGATGCACATATTGCAAAGTAGACAGATCTTAAAAACATATGATATAGTGAAAGAAATAGGAACAATTGGTTCTATGGTACAATGTCATTAACATAAATTTAGAACATGCATTTTAACACAAAGTAACAGTATGCACTTCACAAGGATAACTGGTTATTTAAATACATATATCAAAGACATCAAGTGCTACAGTTGGGGCTGGAGATAAAGGAAGAAAGGGGATGGTGATGAAAAGAAGGACCTTGCATGAACCAATAAATATAGGGTGCCATAAAATAAAAGATATGATTAATTCCATCCTGTGCACTTGAGGTTAAAATTTCTTTCTTTCTTTCTTTTTCCTTCCTTCCTTCCTTCCTTCCTTCCTTCCTTCCTTCCTTCCTTCCTTCCTTTCTTTCTTTCGACTGAGTCTCACTCTGTCACCAGGCTGGAGTGCAGTGGGGCAATCTCGGCTCACTGAAACCTCCACCTCCCAGGTTCAAGCAATTCTCCTGCCTCAGCCTCCTGAGTAGCTGGGACTACAGGCATGTGCCACCATGCCCAGCTAATTTTTGTATTTTTAGTAGAAACAGGGTTTCACCATGTTGGCCAGGATGGTCTCGATCTCTTGACCTCATGATCCGCCTGCCTGGGCCTCCCAAAGTGCTGGAATTACAGGTGTGAGCCACTGCACCTGGCCCGAGGTTAAAATTTCAAAGTTGCTTGATCACTCAAGAATGACCATGGGCCAGGCGTGGTGGTGTATGCCTGTAATCAAAGCACTTTGGGAGGTTGAGGCAGGCGAATCACTTGAATCCAGGAGTTCAAGACCAGTCTGGGCAATGTGTCCAAACTGTCTCTACAAAAAATACAAAAATTAGCCAGGTGTGGTGGCACGAGTGCCTGTAGTCCCAGCTACTTGGGAGGCTGAGGTAGGAGGATCTCTTGAGCCTGGGAGATCGAGGCTGCAGTGAGCTGTGATTGTGACACTGTACTTCAGCCTGGGTGACAGAGCGAGAACCTGTCTCAAAAAAAAAAATGGCTATGATTTTGTATTGAGTCAAAATGAAAAATGTAGACTGAGAATAGTATGAAATATAAACCAAGAAATATATCAAGTATAAAACAATTTTTAAAAATTGATACAATAAGAGGAGGCAGATTTCATATCACTTCAACATTACTGATAAAATGGCTGGGCACAGTGGCTCACGCCTGTAATCCCAGCACTTTGGGAGGCTGAGGTGGGCAGATTGCTTGAGGCCAGGAGTTCAAGACCAACCTGGTAAACATGGTGAAACCCCGTCTCTACTAAAAATACAAAAATTAGCCAGGCTGTGGTGGCATATGCCTGTAATCCCAGCTACTTGGGAGGCTGAGGCATGAGAATCGCTTGAACCCAGGAGGTGGAGGTTGCAGCGAGTGGAGATTGCACCACTGCACTCCAGCCTGGGCGACAGAGCGAGACTCCATCTCAAAAAAAAATAAGAATAAAAATAAAATAAAAATTACTGATAAAATAAAGAGACATAAATTTAAGGAAGCAATTAGAACATATGTGTTAGAACCAGTTCCTCAATTCATATGTGTGAACATGGGTCACATTTGAGTCTTGAAGAGCTTACAGGAAATCCACATGTGATAATAATGAAAGGTTAAATGTTCTCAGCATTGAACACTCACTAGCTTCATCATTTCTGTAGTCTTTCCTTCCTCCAGCCAGATTATTTTTGGCTTTACTTTCTCTGGCCAGGACTGGGCTTCCTCTTCCTTTGGCTGTTGTCTTGGCTGCACATTATTGATATTTCTTTTAAAGAAGTAAATAATTCCTTCTTTGGCCACACACAATATAAACTCAATCTCTCTCTCCCTCTCTCTCTTTCTCTCTCTCTCTCCCTCTCTTTCTATCTCTCTCTCCCTCTCTCTTACACACACACACACACGCACACACACACACACACAGAGAGCTACTCCTAAAACTTCAAATAAAGCCAACCCTACAATTAGTGGTTTAGGAATGAAATTTCATACAGGGGTAAAAAGGGTGGTGTAAATCTGATGATATGAACAAAATGTTCCAGAGAATTTCAAGTAGTTATTTACTCCATAAATAAAGAGATGGCAAGAGCCGAACTTTTTTCATATTCTTTATCAATTCTCTACTTCCATAGCCCAAATCTAAGCATTTAAATTATATTACTATATAGGGTGGATTTAATATTTTATCTGATAATCATAAATCTCATTACAAGGAAGGGATTGAGTTTTAAGCAACTTTTTCTGTGACTACAACTTAATTATTTTTCTTCTTTGGTTGTGAGATTTTTGCCTTGATGTTTAGAGACTGAAAAGATACCTGAAAATGTGGAAGCAACTTTGGAACTGGGTAACAGGCAGAGGTTGCAACAGTTTGGAGGGCTCAGAAGAAGATAGGAAAGTGTGGGAAAGTTTGGAACTTCTTAGAGACTTGTTGAATGGCTTGCCCAAAATGCTGATAGTGATAAGGACAATAAAGTCCAGGCTGAAGTGACTCAGATGGAGATGAGGAACTTGTCGGGAACTGGAGCAAAGGTGCCTCTTGTTATGTTTTAGCAGAGAGACTGGTGGCATTTTGCCCCTGCCCTAGAGATCTACAGAACTTTGAACTTGAGAGAGATGATTTAGGGTATCTAGTGGAAGAAATTTCTAAGCAGCAAAGCATTCAAGATATGACTTGGGTGCTGTTAAAGGCATTCAGTTTTATAAGGGAAGCAGAACATAAAAGTTCAGAAAATTTGCAGCCAGACAATTCAATAGAAAAGAAAATCCCATTTTCTGAGGCAATATTTAAGCCAGCTGCAGAAATTTGCATAAGTAATGAGGAGGTGAATGTTAATCCCCAAGACAATGGGGAAAATGTATCCAGGCTATGTCAGAGGTCTTCATGACAGCCCCTCCCATCACAGGCCCAGAGGCCTAGGAGGAAAAAGTTATTTTGTGGGCCAGGCCCAGAGTCCCCATGCTGTATGCAGCCTAGGGACTTGGTGCTCTGCATCCCAGCCACTCCAGCCATGGCTGAAAGGGGCCAATGTAGAGCTCAAGCCATGGCTTCAGAGGGTGCAAGCCTCAAGCCTTGGCAGCTTCCACATGATGTTGGGCCTGCCAGTGCACAGAAGTCAAGAATTAGGGTTTGGGAACCTCTGCCTAGATTTCAGAGGATGTGTGGAAACACCTCGATGTCCAGGAAGAAGTTTGCTGAAGAGGCAGGGCCCTCATGGAGAACCTCTGCTAGGGCAGTGCAGAAGAGAAATGTGGGGTTGGAGCCAACACAGAGTCCCTCCTGGGGCACTGCCTAGTGGAGCTGTAAGAAGAGGACCACTGTCCTCCAGACCCTAGAATAGTAGATCCACTGACAGCTTGCACCATGTGTCTGGAAAAGCCACAGACACTCAGTGCCAACCCATGAAAGCAGCCGGGAGGGAGGCTGTACTCTGCAAAGCCACAAGGGCAGAGCTGCACAAGGCCATGGGAACCCACCTCTTGCATCAGCATGACCTGGATGTGAGACATGGAGTCAAGGGAGATCATTTTGGAGCTTTAAGATTTGACTGCCCCGCCGGATTTTGGACTTGCGTGGGCCCTGTAGCCTTTTTGTTTTGGCCAATTTCTCCCAGTTGGAATAGCTGTATTTACCCAATGCCTGTACCCCCATTGTATCTAGGAAGTAACTAACTTGCTTTTGATTTTACAGACTCATAGGCGGAAGGGACTTGCCTTGTCTCAGATGAGACATTGGACTGTGGACTCTTGAGTTAATGCTGAAATGAGTTAAGACTTTGGGGGACTGTGGGGAAGGCATGATTAGTTTTGAAATGTAAGGATATGAGATTTGGGAGGGGCCAGGGATGGAATAATATGGTTTGACTCTGTCCCCACCCAAATCTCATCTTGAATTGTAACTCCCACAATTCCCACATGTCATGGGAGGAACCCAGTGGGAGGTGATTGAATTTTGGGGGTGAGTCTTTCTTGTGCTGTTATCATGGTAGTGAATGAGTCTCACAAGATCTGATGGTTTTAAAAATGGGAGTTTCCCTGCACAAGCTCTCTTTTTGCCTGCTGCCACCCACTTAACATGTGACTTGCTCCTTCTTGCCTTCTGCCATGATTGTGAGGCTTACCCAGCTACATGGAACTATGAGTTCGCCATTAAACCTCTTGCCTTTGTAAATTGCCCAGTTTTGGGTATGTCTTTATCAGCAGCATGAGAACAAACTGATACAGTAAGCAAATTTCAATATAGAAGTCCAAGATAATGTTTGTTGCTTAGAATGGAAAAAAAATTGAACTATAAAATTGCTATTTTTACTTATCTTTTATTAATAGGGAATGAGAAGTCAATCAGGTCACTGGACTTTCCAGTTATCCCAAAGGCCACATATTAATAATGTTATTACACTACTATGACATTAGTAGTATTGACATCATTACCTTGGAAGAAGATACTTTTTATTTCCTGGCATTATTGAACAGAATATGTTGGTATCCCTTCTCCCATTTATTGATGGCAGTCATCATGAATAGTGAATGGTAACCGGCCTTCATGCTGTAAGGGTTGTCAGGTGAGGCAGCCTGGCCTGGTAGTGCAGCAAACAGACTCTGGAACTAGACCACCTGGGTTGAATCCTGGCTCTGCCAGTAATGCGTGGTATGGTCTTGGGCAAGTTATTTAGCCTCTTTGTACTTTAGACAGTTATTTTTTATTTTTTGAGACAGGGCTTTGCTCTGTCACCAGGCTGGAGTGCAGTGGCCTGATCTTGGCTCACTGCAGCCTCCACTTCCTGGGTTCAAGCAATTCTCCTGCCTCAGCCTCTCAAGTAGCTGGGATTACAGGCACACCCCACCACTCTTGGCTAATTTTTGTATTTTTAGTAGAGACAGGGTTTCGCCATGCTGGCCAGGCTGGTCTCGAACTCCTGACCTCAAGTGATCTGCCTGCCTTGGCCTCCCAAAGTGCTGGGATTACAGGTGTGAGTCACTGCACCCGGCCTGTACTTTATACAGTTATTTATAAAGACTAAATGATGTAGTTTTTGTAAAACAACAATAACAACAACAAAACCACCTGACATATAGTAAACATTTTGTGTCAATTAAATACAAATAAAAGTAATGCACTTCAGCAAGTGTAATTGAAGTATATATATAAATGACCATAGGGTGGCTTTTATTTTAACTTATGTTGATTTCTTTTAATACTTTTTCTGCCTTCTCTTTTCTGTTGGCTGCCAGTTCAGTACATTTCTAGTACTTAGCCTCACGGTTTTGTTGTTGTTGTTGTTGTTTTTGAGAAGGAGTCTCATTCTGTGGCACAGGCTGGAGTGCAGTGGTGCAATATCGGCTCATTGCAACCTCCATCTCCCTGGGTCAAACGATGCTCGTGCCTCAGCCTTCCAAGTAGCTGGGACTACAGGCGTGCACCACCATGCCTGGCTAATTTTTGTATTTTTTGTAGGGACAGACAGGGGTTTCGCTATGTTGCTCAGGCTGCTCTTGAACTCCTGACCTCAAGTGATCCACACACCTCGATCTCCCAAAGTGCTAGAATTACAGACATGAGCTACTGCACCCAGCCGTAGCCTCACATTTTAATTAAGCTACTGTTTCTATTTTGTGATGGCCTGGGTAATGAGAAAATCAATTATTTGAGTCATGTCTAAATTTGAATTGAATAGTTTGAAGATCTTTCTTATGAATCATGCATATGTTCTTTAGTCCTTGGATGAGGAGGCTTCTATCTGGCTTGATCAAAAATTTCCTCTTCTTCCAATCTTTAATTATGTTCTAAATAACTAAGGTCAATTGCTAACTGCTCTCTAGGTAACAGGGTTTATCACATCTTTTATTCTGTAAAGACATTCTGCATTGAGTATCACAGTTCCCTGTCCTTTCCTCCCCATTTATACAAATGCTTCCATGCAGCAGAAATCATTCTGGGATAGTATGGAATATGTTGGGCTAAGAGGAAGAGAAACAGCTATCATAGTGGATAATGGCTAGATGATCCTCTCTGTATTCGGCTCTCTGTGCTGACTGCAGAGAACTGCCATAAAGTTCTGCTCACTTCTGAACTGGCAATGCTTCCTAAGTATTTTTTAACCTAATCTGCATCTTTTCTACATGAAAGGAGGTGCTGGACTCCAATTGTGATGTGTGAAACAAGACAAGCTGTTAAAAACTCATAGAAATTGGCCGGGCGCAGTGGCTCACGCCTATAATCGTAGCACTCTGGGAGGCCGAGACGGGAAGATCACCTGAGGTCAGGAGTTCGACACCAGCCTGGCCAACATGGTGAAACCCTGTCTCTGCTAAAAATACAAAAATTAGCCTGATGTGGTCGAGTGCGTCTGTACTCCCAGTTCCTCGGGAGGCTGAGACAGGAGACTCGCTTGAACCCAGGAGGCAGAGGTTGCAGTGAGCTGAGATTGCACCCCAGCACCCCAGCCTGGGTGACAGAGCAAGACTCCGTCTCAAAACAAACAAACAAAAACTCATAGAAATCATCACCAGGTTGACTCCACTCCACTCCTTTCCACTTTTCCCCTTAAAAATGTCCAATAACCAGAAAACAAACAAATCGTTCTTTTGAAATTATTCTCCTTGGCCTTGTAGCTAATGGAAAAACTGAGCTTCAGAGAAATCTTGAAGGTAGCCAAGGAGAACTTAATTTAAGTCACAGTTATAAAATTTTAAGCTGAAAGAGTTCATAAGGATTACTTAGTCCGGTCTCCATGTTTTCAGGTGAGGAAACTGAGACTGGGAAAAGTGAATTGACCTGATTTAAAAAAATCACAAAGCCAGAACTTGATATTTTCAGTGCTGATGAGGGTACAATTTTTTTGTATTTCTAAGATGGAAGGTCCATGCTCCCTGAGTGCGGAGACCATCTTATCGCCTCTGCCTCAGCAACAATACCTCTGCCTTGGCCACAATACTTACTGCGGGCTTGGAGACATGTTGTAAATTGCACCAGTTTGTTGTCTCTCAGTTGCAAGTGATTAAAAGACAGACAAACAAACAACAACCTCAAGAAAAGCCCAGCAGACATTCATTTAAGGAAAAGGAAAAATGTAAATGGAGTAATTATGTAATTGAGAAATCTAGAAGGTTTGGTTTCAGGCATCCCACGGTCCAACAGCCCAAATAACATCAACAGAGCATGATTTCTCTGTCATGGATCTGTTCCACTCTCCTATTCTCGGATAGGTTCTTCCCTCATAGTTAAAAGATGGTTGCAAGCTGCTCTAGGCTCTGTATCCTCTAAGATTTAAGTCCAGTAAAAAAGAACCAATATCTCCTTCCCAGAAATCCCAGAAGTAGACTCACATCATCCTGTTGGCTCTGATTGAGACCGTGGTGCCATCCACAAAGCAATCACCGGGGCCAGGAGAAATGCGATACATTGATTGACTTCAGCCTGAGTCACATATAGTGAGAATGAGTACACAAATGATCTGAAAAAAGTTAATACACATATGTTATTTATGATTTGCTAACAAATACTTTTACAGCACTTATTCTGTCAGCTTGTTCTAAGAACTTTATAAATATTAACTCATTTAATCATCTTAACAACTCATTGAGATAGGTACTATTGTTATCCCCATTTTGGAAACGAGAAAACCAAGCCAAAGAGAGGTTATGCAATGTGCCCAAGGTCACACAGCTTGTAAGCAGCAGAGTAGCCACAATTCTAACACAGCCAGTCTTGCTCCTGAATACCTGCTTCTTCACTGCCTGAACCAAGTCATTTAATCCTCTCTCTTTCCATCTTCTTAACTACAACAGTTTACTAAAGCAGGGACTATGATTTTTCTTCTTGTGAGGAGGCTGGTTAACAGAAAGGGGAAGTGCTTTACGAAGGTGCACTGGCAGGGCCTGAGGTAAGGGGCTGATCTTGCTCTGCATGAGTAACAATTCATTCACCGTGTCCTGGGCTTCCTTTGCAAAGATGCTTTTTGGACCCCTCTTGTAGATGTGTTCATATGCACATCATATTGCTAATTCCTGAAATGGAGAAGATTTGCCAATAAACTTCTTGGAGATGGATAACTTCTTAAATGTCAAATGAAACACTGAGCCATTAAATTGTGCTGTTTAAAATGTCAGGGAAAACCATTAGTTTTGCAGATGGAGCTTCAGTGTGGTCTGGCTTCAGGCCTGTGAAATGACTCCTGTCTTGGAGAAGAATCCTTCTTTTCTTATTTTGAAATGTTGTTATCGTTTTGTCCAGAGAGTGGTTTAAGAAGCAGTGCTGGTCTCTGAGCCCAATGTAGCAATGGGGAAATAGTGTAATTCCTCCTGTCTCCTCCAAGGCGCTTCCACTCTATACTACCCTGCTCTTCCCAAAGTCTCCATGGACAGCTAGCAACTGTCCTGCTCTCTTCCTGGCTTCCTTCTTCCCCTCACCCCAGTTGCAAACCTCTGGGTCCTTCAGAATCCATTTCCAGTTGTGTTATTTTAAGCTGTTTTCCTGCACAGCACAGCAGAGGCTGGTAAAGTAGAAGTTATACTTCAAGAGAATATCAGAGCTGAGTGATTTTGAGGGGAACAGCCCTCAGGCAAGTACCAACGAATGACCAGTGCCAGTGGCGAGTTAGACCCTTGAGGCCTTGGGTCTATTTCTCCACACCTGTCACTTTCATCCAGGTATTGTCAGGTGATTAGGAGCCTGAAGCAAATCACCAAAAAGTAACCTGAAGTTTGAGTGCTACGTGTGGAAGTGGAGAGGAGAGGGTCTACTAACTTCCCTTGTAGAAGGAGAACTTGGAGAGGAGGAGTTAGCACTGCCTCTATGTGTTGGTGAAGCTCCAGCTTTATAAAGCACAATTTTAGTACAGTGAGCTCCTCCTCTTCCTCACTTCCTTGTTCATCATGACCCAGCTTGACCATCTCAGAATTGTTAGGTTGTAGGAGATGACCCCCAATATGTTTCTATATCTGAAATTATATGGTATGGCTTACCACATAATTTACAAAAAACAACATTAATTTGGGGGGAGATGGATAACTGTTTTGATAGCATAGGAGACCACTATCTTGGATCTCACCAAGACTCGATATGAGTATATTATTTTACAAATTCTAGATAGTCCCATTTATAAAGAACTCTGAATAGGGTGAGCAATGGGGCAGGGCATAGAGCCAAAAGCAGTGAACTGCTTGTCAAAAGGCTCAGTTTTTCCAACTCTAAAACCATCCAGCTGGGTAATGTTGAACAAATCAAAATCTTTCTTATCTTTTTTTCCCCTCTCTGGTGAAAAGAGGAAATAAACTAGATAATTTTTAAGATCTGCTTCCTGCTTGAAGAATCAAAGTTGTGTCTATGAAATCAGATTAAAACCATTAACAATTATTTTTTATGTCTGCAGTCTTAGAAAATTTAAATAAATATTTGTCCCTAGGTAACAGACAAGAAAACTGAGATACAGAGAGATTTATATGCCACCTAACATCAAAACCTAGAGCCCTTCTGAGAGATCATATTCCCTTGTACGATACTTGGTCAGTGAGTCACTAACCTCCATCACACAGGCCAGGCTGGCTCTTGCAGTCCCGGGAGTAACACAGTAATGTCAGTGGGTATGAATAGTTTGAGTCTCAGATCACTCAGCTGGGAGATGATATTTAGAACGATGGCTCAAAAACAATTCTGACCAAGCAAAGCATTAGTCAGCTTGGGAAAAACTTTATGGGTTGGGAAGAACTTCTCAGGGAGGGAGAAGTAACAGTATATTCTATTCATCCCAGGAGGACCATTGCCATAAATCCGTGAGGAAAGGATTTGTTTTGGACCTACACAGAGAAAAGGGAGGCAGTAAGGAAAAGCAAGCTGGATTGGGAGTTAGAAGACTATTTCTAGTTTAACTCTGCCAAATACTTAGCACAGGGCAAACTAGATACCCTTTCTGGCCTTCATTTCTTTATCTCTAAGATGGAAAGATAAGACTAGATGATCTCCAAACTTCTTTAAGCTCTGACATCTACTGGATTTCTTCCAAAAGCACAAACTGTTTCCTGTGCCACAGAGGTCATTCAGAGGCTTCTCCTTATTTTTCAAAATGAATCCTAAACAATTAGAGTGATTTCTCTTCTCATGGTTCCCGTCACCCCTCCTCTGTGTTCTCTTGAGCTTATGAATACCTCCCTATAAGTAGCCTCATCACAGCCTACTTTGTATTATAAAGAATATTATGTTTTCCTGTTGTGGGCTTTTGGCAAACAGTAACCAAGTAATTAATTTTAGGCTCTTCTAAAGCATGTAGTGAATGCTGCCTTCCCCTTTGTTTATTAGAATTGCATATTCAGGAAATTACAAGTCTATGATTGCTCAATATTTCAAGTATTACTGTTTCTCAGATTTTCAGTGCAAATGATTGAATAATTATTCCCTGTGTAACTTTCATGATACTATGCAAATACAGAACTCCTTTGCTTATGTGTACAATTATTGGTTCATAATTTTTTTATTAAGAGAGTAGCAATTTATATATGTATATGATTATGTGTTTGTATATATAAATATAGATATAGATATAGATATAGATATAGATATAGATATCTTTTTTCTCCTGTACCAGTATATATTTCCTTGGCTTCAATAATTGGCATTTTTTTTTTTTTGAGATGGAGTCTCGCACTGTCACCCAGGCTGGAGTGCAGTGGCACAATCTTGGCTCAATGCAACCTCTGCCTCCTGGGTTCAAGCAATTCTCCTGCCTCAGCCTCCCAAGGTAGCTGAGATTACAGGTGCCCACCACCACACCTGGCTAATTTTTGTATTTTTAGTAGAGACAAGGTTTCCCCATGTTGGCCAGGCTGGTCTTGAACTCCTGACATCAAGTGTTCCACCTGCCTTGGCCTCCCAAAGTGCTGGGATTACAGGTATGAGCCACCGCACCTCGCCGGCAATTTTTATATAATGTTTTTCATTTTTATGCTGGAGCCCACCTCACTTTTTCCAAGTCCTTCTTACATGTTGCTCATTATAAGGCCCTTATGAAGAATTTGAAAGTGGAAAGTGTTCTTCCAGGTCATCTCTGATCTAACCCCTTATTTTATGTTGAGAAAACAAAGGCCCAGAGAGTTTAAAATGTCACTGCCGGTCATAGCCAAGGGTGAGCTAGAACTGATGCGTCTCAATTTCCAGCCCAATGACTGTTTCTCTGCTATAGCACAGTAATATTTATGGACATATCACATAAAACATATCTATTTATATAAGTATAAGCATAAGAATATTTATGTTTGGTTTACATTCTCTTACAGAAAGGTAGAGAAATTCAGGTATATATTTTTTCTCTTGAATGTCTTAGAGATTTGCATCTTTATGAATATTATTCATTGGTTGAAGAAAACATTGCTAAGTAAGTAGAAGATATGTATCCTGTTTCTTTAGAAGCCTATTTCATGCTGTGCCAAGGGGATAGAGTACAAGTGCTGGTTAATAATTTATAGTATATATTCATCTCCATTCCTCTTTGACTAAAATATTAATTCCCCATTGATCATCATTATTTGCTTTTTGCCCAGGCAATATGCAATGTGCAGAGAGTTTGATGAAAGGGTTATTTCCTAATCTCATCATGCCCCCTGTGCTCTGCCAGTAATTTACTGACTTTATTTACTTGTGGTAATGAGCACACCACGTAGAGTGTGCCAGCTGCTGGGATTGTCCTGGGTGCCTTCTTTCTAAGGCAGGATGATGTAAAAAGCACAGATGTTTTTCTAATTTAGCATCTGCAGCATGTGCTTGCATTTATATTACATTTTTCATGGAACAATGCAGGTGAATATATAATATAAAAAACCACACTGGGTGCAGTGGTGTGCGCCTGTAGTCCCAGCTACTCAGGAGGGTGAAGCCCAAGGATCCTTTGAGCCCAGATGCTTGAGACCAGTGTCTACAACATAGCAAAACCCCATCTCTAAAAAAATAAAAATAAAAAATCTCAGCTTGATTTAATAAAATGAGTTTATTTAAAATATCTCGAGAAGTGTTTGGAGGGTGTATGTGTATTTAGGCTTGTTTAAAAAAACAACAGGTCCTGGAAGATGGGGCATAGAACATTTGGTTTAATGGCTTAGAAATTGTATAATTCTAGAATTTGTATAATTTTTGTATATATAGATATTTTTGTATATATGCTTACACTGTGTGTACTATATATATATATATATAATTTGTGTAATTTTTCATAATTTATAATCCAGGCAACAGAAGAAATCTAGTATGTAAGCCATCCTTTACTATATATGCTAAAGGAGAGAGGCTTTTTATATTTGAATTGGTAACAAGGAAGTCAATCTGCAAATCATTCTTTGTTTATGTGAAGTGCAGTTTTCAACTTGTATTTGTCTAAGAATATCTGCCTTTCCAAAATGTGAGCATTTCCACTAGACTGTGAAGCCATGGGGGTAACTGATGAAGGAGGAACTAGCTCTTGTCCCACTTCCTCTTTGGGCTACTAGTTCATTCCCTTTCTATGCCTTGCTGAGTTGGGAATTGATTGCATCATCCTCACACCAGTAGACCTATGGGCTAGCTCCTCTCGCCCCTTCTCTTTCTGACTTTCATCTCTGCCTTCCTCTTTTTAAAAAATATAAACATTTCTGCTTTCATCTTCTCCCACTACCTCTTTAAAACCTTCTGCTAATATAAATGAACTCAAGAACTGCAAGAGCTCTTGGCACACTGAGTTTATGGGCTGCACCGCATGTCCATCACATACTCGTATTTTTTTCATAGTTGAGCCAATGGTATGACAACCATGGGGTGTTTGGTTGCTTATAACACACTTCAAGGACAGTGGATTCATATTACGATTGCTCTTGCTCAGATGGTGGCCCAGTTCTTCCTGAGGTAAATCTGTTTGAAGAGTCATCTAAGCAATTCCTGCATATTGGGGGCGAGGAGGAGACAGTCTTTGTGTTCTAGGCTCGAATATCGTAACTGCCCTACTTGGCAAGTCACCATTTAATATATCAATTCTTCATGTATATATGTATCAATTAGGATCTAGCAAAGAAATCAGAAACCACTTTAAGTATTTACAAGAGAAGAAATTCAATTTGGGTACAGGAATTGTTTACACAGGTGCTGGAGAAGCTGGAAGCCAAACGGGTTTATCAACAGAAAAAGAAGTGAAAGAGGTAAGGCCCCAGGAGCCAGGGTCAGCTGGCAGTGGCTAGAACCACGGCAGGCCTGCCCAGCAGGAGCTGAAGCCAGAGAAGGGACCTGTCTGTCACCTGAGAAACCATCCAAGGTGGAGGAGCTGTGGCTTCAGGCTTCTTCCCACTCCTCATCTCCTCTACACTCCCAAGCCTGCGCCTCACATTGCCCAATCACAGAGGGCAGCCAGTGACACTGGAGCTCAGGAAAGGCAACCTGTTGAGGTCAGCTCCTCGTTGAAGAACATATAGATCGGAGCTGGATGGTCAGTGAGGCGGGAGGGGAGGCATAGGAAATGGAAAGGAGAAGAATGGGTCATATTGTGAAGAGGCTCAAGACACACATAAAAGTCACCATCTGACCCTGAGTCTCTTGATCCCCATTACTGGTGAAATCTGAGTGCAGGTTTAGGAATCCAAGTGGGCAAGGATCACGAATCTGAAGGTTTTCCAGAGGCTCCCTGTGGTTCTTGGAGTACCTGTTTAAGCTCCCTTCTCTTTAGGACTTTCTGGTTTTTCTCCTCTTGCCAACTGCCTACACCACTACTTCCTTGTTTAAACTTTCCCTGCCATCACTGGTCAGAATTATATGGGTTTACCAGGGAAAACCTGAAACCTTCTTCAGCTAGCTCACAGCCTTGGTTGAAGGTTAGATTAATCAAGTCAAGGATGTTGATGTCTTCACAAGTGTTGCTTAAGCCTTAGAGGTGGGATCAGGTCTTCTTCAAACACCTGCACAGGAAATGATCCCTGAGTGCTATGCTGGGCTTTTTGCTCCACTGTCAAGCGCTCATCACATACCACCAAATATTTTAATTATGTGTTTAATGTCTTTGCAATTCTACTAAAATGTAGATTTCTTGAGGATAAAGCCTGTACCCTATGGAACTTTACATCCCAGAACACTGTGCTACTCAAATATTAGGTATTGAAGTTTTTGATCAATCGAGAGGTAGAGATCCATCAAACAGAAAAGATAAGCTCTAATCTCTGTGGTTTTGGGTAAATTAGTCTAAAGTCTCTGAGCCTTATTTTAATGATTTTTAAGATAGGATTTTAAAGCATTCTTCTGTGACCTGTTGTTTCAAGTACAACACAAGTAACTAGAGGGCAAGGACAATATCTTATGTTTTTATGTAGAGCATCTAGCACATTGTCCTGCACAAATAAGATGCTCAGTACATGTTTAGTGAGGAGCGCAAATAAGATGCTCAGTACATGTTTAGTGAAGAAAAATTGAAAACAAGATTGGCCAACCTGCAATGTGGATAAGCCTTTTTTTTTTTTTTTTTTTTTTTTTTGAGACAGAGTCTCACTCAGTTGACCAGGCTGGTGAAGTGCAGTGGTGCGATCTTGGCTCACTGCAACCTCCACCTCCTGGGTTCAAGCGATTCTCCTGCCTCGGCCTCCTGAGTAGCTGGGATTAGAGGCACATGCCACCACGCCTGGCTAATTTTTGTATTTTTAGTAGAGATGGGATTCACCATGTTGGCCAGGCTGGTCTTGAACTCCTGACCTCAGGTTGTCCACCCACCTCGGCCTCCCAAAATGCTGGGATTACTGGTGTGAGCCACCACACCCAGCTGGATAAGCTTTTAAAATTTTTACATTCTTTAAAATTTTTCTATTTCTGGCCAGGTGCAGTGACTCATGCCTGTAATCCCAGGACTTTGAGAGGCCGAGGCGGACGAATCACCTGAGGTCGGGAGTTCAAGACCAGTCTGACCAACCTGGAGAAACCCCGTCTCTACTAAAAATACAAAATTAGCCAGGTGTGGTGGTGCGTGCTTGTAATTTCAGCTACTCAGGAAGCTGAGGCAGGATAATCACTTGAACCCAGGAGGCAGAGGTCACGGTGAGCCAAGATGGCGCCACTGCACTCCAGCCTGGGCAACAAGAGTGAAACTCCGTCTCAAAAAAAATTTTTTTTTTCTATTTCTGTTTATTATATTTAAACAGTAAGAGTAACTTAGGAATCTACTTATCAGGGATTGCAAACTCAAATGCCTACCAGAATCAAGTAAGTAATGTGAAATGGACCTGGTTAAGACAAAAGGGAATATAGTTGGCTCTCCATATTCTCGGGTTCTGCATCCACAGATTCAAGCAACCATAGATTGAAAATAACTCAGAAAAAAACCTCCATTAAAAAAAGATACAACAAAAAAATTTATACACATTTAAAAATACAATATAACAAATATTTACATTGCATTTATATTAAATACTACAAGTAATCTACAGGTAAAGTATGCGAAGGATGTGTGTAGGTTATATGAAAATACTACACTATTTTAAATAAGGGACTTGAGCAGCTATGGACTTTGGTATCCACAAAGGCCCTGGAACTAATCCCCCATGGTCGCCAAGGAGAGACCGTAGTGGGGGCTGTGGTGAACTGGAGATTATTGAAAAGAACATTAAATGTCCTCACTAAAGGGAGCAGCAGATATTCTGTCCTAATCAATTACTGTCATATGGGAGAATGGCTCCAATGTTGTCAGAACTTAAGGATATGTATTTTTTAATATTTATTTATTTATTTTGAGATGGAGTCTTGCTCTGTGGCACAGGCTGGAGTGCAGTGGCGCCATCTCAGCTCACTGCAACCTCCACCTCCTGGGTTCAAGCGATTCTCCTGCCTCAGCCTCCCGAGTAGCTGGGATTACAGGCGCCCACCATCACGCCTGGCTAATTTTTGTATTTTTAATAGAGACGGGGTTTCACCATGTTGGCCAGGCTGGTCTGGAACTTCTGACCTCAGGTTATCTGCCCACCTTGGCCTCCCAAAGTGATGGGATTACAGGTGTGAGCCAGCGTGCCTGGCTTGAACTTAAGAATATGTATAAAATTTCTCTGCGTTTGTGGCTAGATTAGCCAGTTAGGAGATTCTGCTAGTATCAATGCACGCATTAAAAAATAATCCCTTGTATATTCCCAGGTGTTAATGTTAACATTTCTTATAAAGGCACTCATTTAAGATGCTTTGGAAATTAAGACATGGTTTTGGAACTTTAATTTTTCCCGTCTTCCTTTCCAGTTTTAACTGGAATACTTTATTAGTGCAGCTCTCTGTTGCATTCAGTTTACTTGCGGAGGTGGCATAACCATAAGGCAAAAAAGAGAGCTGTTAGCTATTGCTGTGCTTTGACTTTTTATTGATGAAAGCACTAACTGGGTAGTTGTTTTTTTTCAGATTATTTTCTACAACGATTATTATATAAGTAATGATAGGCTTTCAATCAATTATCTAAAAATTGCTTACATGTAGAGACTACAAAGATTATGGATATGCTAATGTTTAGATGTGGTTAGCTCAGATAAGTGCAACACACTGTTGGCAAGGCTGGGCTTGAGTTCTTGTGGCAAAACAACCAGTTAATTTCAGACACAGAAATCCTCTGTGTACCAGCAGAGAGTAATGGCTCAAGCAGAGCCACTTGAGTTTCATAAGACCTACTCCAATTTGCTGTTGATTTGATCTTGAGGGGAGCTAATAAAGGTAGTAAATGAGTCATTTTCCAGCATGATATAACTAGAATTGGTTCTTGGCCCAGAAAGATGTGAGTCAGTTTAGTCCTGACTCAGTTCCCAGTATGATGCACAGTGACTCATTTCCCTATGTGATGTCATGTTTGTTCCTTATAAGATTTGACCTCCTCATTGTTTTGTTGTATTTTTTTAAAAGAAGAAAAGGAGAGTGTTGTAGAATAAGATGAAATACTCCAAGGAATATAGAATCAGACTAATAAATAAAGCCTTGATATTCTCACAATGAGCCTGAAGGAATAATTAAACTTTAAACACCTATATTGTTGTTCCCATCTATTTAGATTATTAATTTCCAAACAGCCTAGCTATTAGGCAACATTTGATTGAAAACATTGCACGTGTAAAAGGAAAAAGAATTGCTATCACAACAATTCAATTATTTGGTAGATACATTTATAAAAGACAGCTGCATTTGAAAAAGTTGACAATAGATGGTCAGATTAAAGAGGACACATGAATGGATCTTTCTAGAAAGATACATTCATTTATACACAGAAGGTAACCAACAATGGAATGTTTCTTATGAAAACCGCATTTTCAAAATATGTAGAATTTTAAAATATACTGTGTAAAAATGGCTTTGTCAACTGTGAATGCAGTTCAGTGTTCATGGCTTGTGTTGGCGATTAAGTTTGGAGGCTGAGGAGAAAAGCAACTAAAGCATCTCCGACATTGTTTGGTGAAATGTATTAACTTTGGTGACCTCCTCAAGGCAGACCAATCTCATCCTCAGTAGGTAACTATACCGATAAAGTCAAAGCTATGTAAGTTAAGGTTTGTTTTAATGGCAAGCAATAGAAACCCCTTTTAACTAACATAAGCCAAAAAGGGAATATTGGATGGTTGAATAAAAGGAGGTGCATAATAACTAAGCCTCAGAGCACTTTGGGGGCCCCTCATTAGGTACTTCTAGACCTTCTATGGTTCTGTTGACTGCTAACCCTGCTCCAACAACCTTCTGTATCTGTTTCTCATAATTTACGTTTCAAATTCCCAGAGGATGATCCACTAATTGGCCTCACTCAGTAGGTGCATCTCCCTTTGGGACAATCATCCCTGACTGAGGGGCTAGCTGCACGATTCCCTCTGGAGAACCGTTATGAGCAGCACATCCCAACTTGTGTCTGTACAGAGACTGTTTTGTTCTCCAACTTCCTTCTCTTCCAGCCCCAGTCATAACACTGTTTTCATCTATCCTGTAGATGAGTGCATTCAAAGTTCTATGTTTACAGAGGTCACCGGGGGATCTCGTTAAAGTGCAGATTCTCATCCAGTAGACTTGGGGCACTACCTGAGATTCTGTATTTATAGTAAATTACCAGGTGATGCCAACAATGCTGGTTCTGGAACTGCGTTTTCAGGAGCAAGCCTGTATTAGGTGTTCTTGATGCCAAACTAGTATCTATTCTCTCCTCCCCCTTTCCTGGTAGCAGAGAAGTCTTTATCTAAGGATCCACTTCCATCCCTATACAGTCCATGTGCTTTGGGGGAAATTAAACACACTCCTAGCGCTCGTGATGGGTACCAATTGCTTTAAGCTAATCAGTCATTCAAGGTGATTTCAATGTCCCAGAACCTGAAACAGTGGCTAATATGTAGTAGGTATTCCATAAATATTTGTTCAATGAATATATGAGTTGATGTGAGCATAAATGTGTGAATTAAGGGCCAGGCGTGGTGGCTTACACCTGTAATCACACAACTTTGGGAGGTCGAGGTGGGCAGATCACTTGACCTCAGGAGTTCGAGACCAACCTGGGCAACATGGTGAAACCTTGTCTCTACAAAAAATACAAAGATTAGCCAGGCATTGTGGCGGGTGACTGTGGTCCCAGCTACTTGGGAGGCCGAGGTGGGAGGATTGCTTGAGTCTGGGAGGTGGAGGTTACTGTGAGCTGAGATCGTACTACTGCACTCCAGCCTGGGTGACAGAGTAAGAACCTGTCTCAAAACAACAACAACAACAACAACAAATATGTCAATTAAACTTACTCGATTTAGGTGAATCTCAGGACACTGGCTGGAATGCTGGTCTAGAAGCCCTCTTTGCCATCAGATGTAACTATTAGAGACTTGATTGTGACTGTCAGCATTTCTACAACCATTGGGAGAGTCAGCCTTAAAAAAAGGCTGACACGGCTGGGCGCAGTGGCTTAACGCCTGTAATCCCAGCACTTTGGGAGGCCAAGGCCGGTGGATCACGAGGTCAGGAGTCCAAGACCAGCCTGGGCAAGATGGTGAAACCCCGTCTCTACTAAAAATACAAAAATTAGCCAGGTGTGGTGGAGGGTGCCTGTAATCCCAGCTACTAGGGAGGCTGAGGCAGAGAATTACTTGAACCCAGGAGGTGGAGGTTGCAGCGAGCCGAGATCATGCCACTGCACTATAGCCTGGGCAACAGAGTAAGACTCCATCTCAAAAAAAAAAAAAAAAGGAAAAAGCTGACATGGCTGGGCGCCGTGGCTCACGCCTGTAATCCCAGCACATTGGGAGGCTGCAGCAGGCGGATCACCTGCGGTAAGGAGTTCGAGACAGCCTGGCTGACATGGCGAAACCCCATCTCTACTAAAAATACAAGAAAAATTAGCCGGGTGTGGTGGCGGGCACCTGTAATCCCATCTACTTGGGAGGCTGAGGCAGGAGAATCACTTGAATCCAGGAGGTGGAGGTTGCAGTGAGCTGAGATAGTGCCATTGCACTCCAGCCTGGGCAACAAGAGCGAAACTCCATCTCAAAAAAAAAAAAAAAAAAAAGAAAAAGAAAAATGCTGACACTAGTGAAGGTAGGACAGAGAGAGAGAAATGGGCCATTGATAGCATCATTAAAACACTGGATTAACTACTCTATGCCCACCCTAACAATTATGTGAAACAATAAATTCCCTTCAATTTTAAAGCCAGTTTTAGTTGGATTTTCTGTTACAACACAAAGAGTCTTAATCAACAATGGGGAAATGACTTATTCCATTCCTAGGCCATCCCACTTTGGTACAATGTGGGTTCCTTCATAGTCACCCTGGTCAGAAAACACCAGGATCAGAAGGCGTTCCAAAATACCCCTTGGTATGAATTTAGAAACAGGCTTTATTGTAGAAACATACAAAGCAAGTGTCAGCAGGCAAAAGAGTCATCTACAATCTCCCAGCCTTTCATGAATCCAAGAAAATGAATCTTTTAGAATATGGCAAGTTATGTTTTAGGGGAAGGACTCTACCTCCTTATTGCTTTCCATGTGGAGAGAGGATCAGAACAACTTATCAGTGGGGATGGAAATAGGTACTGGGGCACCAGGCAGTCTGAGTTATGTGTTAGATGTTCTGAGAAGTTGTCTGGGAAAGCCAGCTTTCCAGTTCTGGAGATTTGAGGACTGTGGAGAGTGGTAGCTCATATGAGTAGGGTGGGAAAGAAACTGCCAGTTCTGTGGGAAGCTAAATTTAGGGCAGCCCACCCCACTGGGAGAAGGGGGGAAGCCCCTGTTCCACTTGGCTTGTCCAAGCCACCCCAAGTGACCTCCCAGAGTCCCTTTTAGACAACTTTGCTTGTCATACACCAAACTAAACCCTTGACCCAGCCAGTTGCTTAAAATCCTTCATCTGCTTCACCACTGCCTTCAGGGTAAAGTCCAAGGAGTTGGTTGTCCGAGAGTCACCATCTGGCCCAACCCAACTATTTGGTCTTTCCGTGTCACCCTCCACCTTATACTGTAAACTCCAACTGTCCTGGATGACCTGCTGTGCTCCAAGCATTTCATGTAACAAAAGCTTTCAGTGTCTGGAAGACTTTTGCACCATGCGTCTTCCTGGAATGTATCTTGCTGAGCACTCTGTCCCCCAAATTTTGTCATGATCAAAGCCTGCTCATCATCTGTTTCAGCTCCACTGTTTCTCTCTCTGGAAAACATTCCCAGATCTTTAATCCCCATACCCTGCATAATTAATCATTGCTTCCTCAGAGTTCCCATGGCACTTGGTTCACACTGCTAGCATGCACTTATCACCTTGTTAAGCAACACATCCACGGCCTCCCCTAGATTACCAGTTTCCTGAGCACAGAGACCTTGTCTTACTTGTCTTTACAGCTTAAGCCGTACTGGGCTGCTCTCCATGGGACTGAGCCTGCTGGCCGCACTGTGGCATCCTGCCCTTTATTCTGTATTAGGGAGCATACCTTACGGCCAAGGCTTACTGAGCAGTTGTACAGGCCTTTCCCTGGTGATAAGAGAATCTGAAGAGGACTAGGTACACCTTGTCAAAATGCTGGAATTTGTATCCAGGTTGGAGAGTGCCTAACACATTTGGGAAGAAACAAAATTGGGGTAAGAAGCAGCCCGATTTTTTAAAATAAGTTCTTAAAGGGTCAGTGGGACCGAATGCCTTGAGGAATAGCTACTGATACAGAAGATGACCTAGTTTGTAAAAAGAACAGCATAATATTTTAAATAAAGGTTTTCCTCCTTTTGACCTTTTTCCAGTATGACTGTATTGCTGTTAACTTTATTACTGAAGCTTAATGCCCACGATACCAGGAAGCACTTCTAGAAACAGCTGTGAATGTGGCCATTCATGGGTTTTGCCCCCACCATCAGGGCATGTGGGGAGGGATTTCTGTTTCCGCTGCCATGGTGCCTGTGTTTTTCCTGTGAGTACTAATGAAAGGCCCTTAAATTAGACCACACAGAGTTAAGGGAAATTGTTTATTCCTTCATTTTCATCATACCAAGGAACTTCAGAGATTTGGATCTATACACTTTGACCTCTAAGGAGTTTTAGAACAAAGGTGTGATGTCCAGAAAGATAAGAATCAGCAGGTCACATGGCTTTTCTGAAGGTTTATTCAGTCATCCCAGGACATCTAAAGGCAGGCAGATGCCAAAGTACACACGGGGCATTGGGTGTGAGCCTGATGAGAGCAGAGACCGGGAGGCCTAATGGAGGGGCTGGCACAGTGACAGTCTTCAGGACTAGTCTGGCCTGTGCAGCAGCTGCACATGTTCCTGGGATCAGAGCCAGCTGGTGGCTCATGGCAGTGGTTTCTGGGTCCTGGCTCCACCCCAAGACAGGCTCGAGCTCCTTAGCCCTGACCTGGCAATAGCTTTGTTCTGGCTTCACACTGAAGTTTGGCTGCTGAGCCAGAAGGTGAAGGCAGAACCTTGCACTGTCACCCATGCCCTCCTTCCAGCCTGATACACGGGCTGCCCCAGGCAGGGCCAGGGACCAGTGGGAAAAACCAGTCCTCCGGGGTGAAACTTCCATCATCCTCAAAACTTTTGTAGTGGTCTTGCCCTCTTTGGGTCTTCTGGGGGCACTTCAGTGTTGCTATCTGTGCATAAGGCCTCAGGTTAAAGTAGATGTCATATGGGATGGAGCAGAAATCTGGCAGGAGATGCCCTGGCTGTAACAATCCAGAAACATTCAGAGATGACTCTGAGACTGGATTTCAAAACTGGCTTTGGTTTTGCAAGAAATGCCACCCCAGATCTGGTTCTCCAAAATACAGTATCAGGAAACCCACAAAATAAGATGGATTTTAATCTCTATTAGAACATTTCCCAAACATTCCAAATAAAACATCACTAGTGACACTATTGGATATTGATGCTTTCAGTCTTTCCTCAAGTGTGGATAAAGCATCTTCAGAACATTTTAGTAGCTTTATTGATTGGAACAGGCAATCTAAGTAAAAGCAAAGTGCTTGCTATGCAAATAAAGCTTCTAGACAAGACTCCAGTCTCCCTCTGGCAGCAGCTTGCCATCCCAAACCCCTCCCATCTGGGACTCTGAAATCTGCTTTTAAAATACAGTCTGTATTTGCATGTCCCAACACCCCCCTCCTTGTTTTAGTCTAATTCTCCCAGGTTGAGAGAAACACAATAAAGGAAATTTTGTTGTTGTTGTTTTCAGTGCTTCCTTTTCACAGACTCTTTTTTTGGAAACCGCAACCTCGGATCCCAGCAGAGCTTCCTGGGGACTTGAAGAACATCAATCAGTTTCGCAGCTGGAGGCCGAGGCTTTCCTCAGGGAAGACTTTTTACATAAAACAGATTGTACTTTGTCCTTGCCAGGGCAGACAAAGATTTAAATTAAATATGCAGAAAGCTCCAGTTGGCTGCCTGCCACAGCCTGGGAGAGGGGGAAGGGAGATTGTGTCCCCACTCTCCTTCCTTTCTCTCTAGTTGTTTCTTTTTCCCATTTCTGTTATTACAGTGATAGGAGCCAGCAGTTAAGAGACTTGGGCTTTAAGCTGGGATTTTCTGTAAATTCACTGTGTGATGTGATACAAGTCACTCAGCCTCTGGGACCTCAGTTTCCTCTTCTACAATGAAGAGTTTGAATGAGATGATCTTTGAAAGTCTTTTCCGTATTTAACCTTCCAAGTTATCTCCAAACTCAGATGCATGCTTTTCCAGCAAATACCCTAAGCCTCATCTATGAGTAATGCATCCTCACTGTTCCTGGGGTGACTGGAAGGACCTGGCCTGTTTTCCCATACACCTCACGGGCCAAGCAGTCACGTTATAAGGGAGGGAGGCCCAGTAAAACATGGTAAGTGGCAACTGACTTTGTATCTCAGTTTTAGGGAGTATAAGAGAATGGTGGGGATTGTGGCAAACTGAAGAGAAAGAGTCTTCCCAAAAAGGGGCATCCTCTACCCAAGTTGACTCAAGTCAGTTGTTGCCACTGGGAATGTGGGTCACTGGGACAGCCAGTTCTTCGTGTGGTGTTTTTTTTTTTTTTTTTTTTTTTTTGAGATGGAGTCTCACTCTTTCTCCCAGGCTAGAGTGCACTGGTGCGATCTCGGCTCACTGCAACCTCCGCCTCCTGGGTTCAAGCTATTCTCCTGCCTCAGTCTCCCAAGTAACTGGTATTATAGGCATGCGCCACCATGCCTGGCTACTTTTTTGCATTTTTAGTAGAGATGGGGTTTCACCATGTTAGCCAGGCTGGTCTCGAAATCCCGACCTCAAGTGATCCACCCACCTCAGCTTCCCAGAGTGCTGGGATTACAGGCATGAGCCACCGTGCCTGGCCCAGTTCTTTTTTATAGTGTGAAAGTGCTAAACTTTTAAATATTGGCAATGAATTAAGAAAAACTCTGTGTGCTTCACAAAATAGATAAATAGATCTGTGGGCTGAATTCATCTTGAAGATTAGTTTGCCAGGTCTTCGTGGACCTTAAGAAGATAAGGTCTTCTCTGTCTCAGAACTGTTGAGAAAACCTATGTGTTTAAAAGTGTGTTGTAAGCTGCAGCAAAGTACTAGAGACATAAAAAGCAGAACCTTAATAGGTTGTTCATCATATTTTTCAATATAGAAATTTTACACTGGAGGGTAGGTTTCAGGAAGATAACTTGATCCCTAATCAACTTCCAAATCAAGTCATGGCTGGGGAGTTAATGATTCTGTTCTTTTGTTCATTAAAAATAATTTATAATTTCTACCTCCATATTAAAAATTGATTTCATGCTATTAGCCTTGTGGGAAAAGCAGGCTATAATATAATATATATTTAAACTTCATATTTCTATATTCTGTGGTAAGTGCAGCCTTTTATGTTATGATTAACATATTAAATGAAAGTATCATTTTAGTATAAAATTGAATATGGAAAATTGATATGAGTAATATACATTTTAGTCAATATTTCTGCCATTTGAATTCACAAGGATATAATGTATATCTTCTACAATACTATAATAATTGCAAAAAAAGTATGCAAAGTACAAAAGCAACATGACAGAAGTTCTATTTTCTTTATACTAAAGTATTAAACCTTATCTGCAGAAAGACAGAAAGAGGAACAGAGAGAGAGAGAATCAAATGAAAGTTGAATTTAGTCTTTTAAAACATACATGGTAGCTGAGCGTGGTGGCTCACACCTGTAATTCCAGCACTTTGGGAGGCCGAGGTGGGCAGATCACAAGGTCAGGAGATCGAGACCATCCTGGCTAACATGGTGAAACCCTGTCTCTTCTAAAAATACAAAAAATTGGCCGGGCGTGGTGGCAGGAGCTTGTAGTCCCAGCTACTTGGGAGGCTGAGGCAGGAGAATGGCTTGAACCCGAGAGGCAGAGCTTGCAGTGAGCCGAGATCCGGCCACTGCACTCCAGCCTGGGCGATAGAGCGAGACTCTGTCTCAAAAACAACAACAACAACAACAACAAATACATAGTAGTAGCTAGATTACTTTTGTTTTTTTAACTGTATAAGAAATACAAATTTTAATTTCGGGAATGTGTATGATATATACTGCAGTTTTTAATTTATTTAAGTGATGTGCAAGTAATAGGCACAGGTGATAATTTAGGAAACAAGATAAAGTGAATCCCATATTGAAATGCCATAATTTCAGAGTAAAATAATGGAAATAGTACTTAAATATAAAGCTTTTGCTTTTACATGGATAGATAACAATTCTGTTTTCAATTTTTTTCATGATCTTAGCAACTTAAGACATAAATATTTCATTTCTTTATCCTTTTTTCTAGAGTTTGTCTCATTTTCTTCCCTTGTATTTAAGCTTTTTATCTTTTTGCCTCATGTATATAGTCTCATAGATTTGATCGATTAATGTATAGTTTCTGATGATGGAGTTTAGAACATGCTGCCTCAACATAGAGCATCTTGGCATTTGAGAAAACAAAAGCAGGAAGGACTCTGACCTTCTCCCTTTCTTCTCCTTTGAAGCAGGTCATAAAAGAATTCTCTGACTTTCCTCTGAAGCAGATCATAGTATTGTCATGTGAGAAGTGTCCACCCTATACCCCGAGGAAAGGAGTATCCTTACCTCTGAAGACACAGAAACACAAAGAATCTAAACAAACAGTTCTTGCTAAGTTCTCCCAGTTTATTCTCAATAGGTCATACCCCCTTTGCCCAATCGTCGTACTTCATGGCTATCCACTTCCTCATCAAACTTAGCATAAAAATACACAGGTTTCCCTTTTCTTTGAGTCTTTCTTTCTGAAGCCTCCTGTGGCATATAAAACTTATATTAAATACATTCATGTGCTTTTCTCTTGTTAATCTGTCTTTTGTAGGTACCTCAGCCATGAAGCTAGCAATAGGTGAGGGAAAGAAATCTTTCCTTTCTAAAACTAACTTATAATTTTAAAACACATTTTATGCTTTTAAGCTTTCACTTTAGAATACGTTGAAGGGCGCATGTATATAGTTTTCCTATGAGCAAGGCAAAGTGTGAAGAAATCTTTACCAAGTCAGATGGCATAGGCACAATCAGAATGGACACTGCCATGGTCTAGACAAACACCAGCTGTAAACAACTGTTTCAGACTTATGTTTCTCAACAAGTTGCAACTGTGCAATTATGATCACTAGAATAATTACAGTATGGGAAGTACTAAAACATTTTGGTTATTGTATCAGTCAGGATAATTAACCATTAGCTGCCGCAATAGATCAACTCTGAAATCTCAGGGGCTTTATACAACAAAAATTGATTTCTTGCTCACATAAAATGATGTAGTCAGCAGGGATTCCCCTCTACCCAGAGACCCCATGCCTCTCCATCTGTGTCTAATGCTGCCATATTAACACTTGGTTTCCAAAGTCACTGCACAAGAGACAGGAGAGCTGGAGGAGGTCCCTGGCTCTCAGTGACCTTGACTTGGAAGCGACATTTGATGCTTCTGCTTACCTTTCACCGGCCAGAGCTAGATATATGGCTCTAACCTCACTGCAAGGGAGGATAGAAAATGTAGGAGAGCATCAATTATTTTGTGAGTTTGCAGGCACAGCCCTGGTGATGATTTCTATCTCACATCATGAATTTATTTAACTCAAGGCAACTTGCAACCTTTGCTGCTGACTCACGGCCTGATTCCATGACTTCTTTGCATCTCCTTCTCTTACGGCTCTATCATACCATATTCTTCAATCTATTTCTGGTTCAGATGCTCAAGAGAGACAATTTGATTGCCTTGTTTATTTATTAACATAGTCTCATTTGGACAGAGCTTTTTATTCAGACAGAGTCTCACTTTGTCACCCAGGCGGGAGTGCAGTCGTGCAGTTGTGCAGTCACAGCTCACTGCAGCCTTGGCATCCTGGGTTCATGCTATCCTCCTGCCTCGGCGCCGCCCCCCCCCCGCCCCCAAGTAGCTGGGACTACGGGCACATGCCATCATGCCCAGCTAATTTCTTTCCTATTTGTAGTAGAAATGGAGTTTCACCATATTGTTCAGGCTGATCTCAAACTCCTGAGCTCAAGCAATCTGCCCGCCTCAGCCTCCCAAAGTGCTGGGGTTACAGGCATGAGCCACCATATCTGGCCAGAGCTTTTGTTTTAAATCATATGATAAACACTGGCCAGCTAAATTTCAGGCACCCCCTGCCCCCAATGCCCAGAGTTGTATCTAAGATTCGAGTGGTGTATGTAGCATTAAGGCATTGGAAAAAATACAGTCTTACCCTGTATGTACCCTGTATATATCCACCTTGGCCTTCATGTGACACTGAGCATAGCAGAGATCACCACTTATCTGCAGATATCCATGTACTCTTTCTTTGGTCAAAGAACTACCTTATTTTTACCTAGGCACAGGCTGCCCACTTCCCAGCCTCTCTGAAGTGAGGTGTGGACATGTGTCTAAGGCTGGCAGGTCGGCAGCAAGTGGGAACGGCGTACCTCCTCCTGGCTCAGGCCCTTAAATGGCATCTCTGAACCCTCAGCTTTGCACATCCCTTTTTCTCTTTCTCCCAGGCTGGAATGAGGATGTGGTGATGATGAGTTGGCTTTGTTTCCGTGAGGGCACAAGGATAGCATTCTGTGGGGTGGCAAAGTAACAAGATGAAAGGAACCTGGGCTCCTGGGTGATCTGGTGGTGCAGAGCAGCTCTAGCCCCCTGACCAGTATTACCTTGAACTTGTATGTGGATAGAAATGAGCATTCTATCTTGTTTAAGGCTCAGTTATGTTGGTCTCTTTGAAAACAGCTAAACTGATATCCTAAAGGATACTCCCATTTTCTAGGGGGGGTCCCTGCCGTACCCTCCTTTGTTTCTGATGGTCCAGCCTCTTCTGGTCTGTGGCTTCTGAGAGCTTTGCTTGTGCCGCGTTCTGCATGTTGGCGATATTCGAATGCTTCTTCGCCAGCTGCACTGTGAGAAACTCTGGTCTATGCTCATCTTGCATTTCTGGCACCATTCTCTGCCACCACACCACTCTGTGGCTTTGGAACTTTGTGAAGCTCTTAGCGGACCATCTGCCTAGACATGTCATACAGATTTTCCTTCCACTTCTGCACAAGCCAGATGTGGGGAACTAGAGAGTCCTATAGCTCCCAGATTCCACCCAAAGGGGAGCAGGATACTCAGCTCTAGAATCCCCAAACGTGTTTGGACATTTTATTATTCCTCCCTGTGACCCCAAATATAGGGCTCAGCTTAAGATAAAAGTAGGTTAGACCCAGGGTCCCTTTTCAGAAGCCCACTGGTGTCTTCACTTTTCTTTCAAATCTCTCCATTCTGCTCTATCAGATAAATCTTCTGAGTCTTGGGAGCAGAGGAAGCTCTGTCCTAACAGGGCAGGTTTCCTTCTACACCTTTTATCTCATTTCTGGGGCCTAAGCTTTAGGAAGATTCTGTTTTCTGGATTATGTTGTATCCTCCCTTCTCTGAGGCAATTAAGGCAGAACCTCATGAAGTGATAAACAGAATGCAGTAAATGGACAGAAGTGTCTGTTAATACTTTAGAATTTCACCTGCCATTTAACTAGCAGCCAATATTGTCAAATACTTGTCTTTTAGGAGTTTCTTCAGTCAATAAATCAGCCTGGTTTGTCATGGTGCAGTGGACAGGTCACTGGCTTGTGATTTGGAAGGTTTGTGTTCTACTCCTAGTTTACTCGTCGTTTTTGGAAGCAGACCCTCTATGTCAATAGCAAAGGGCAATTCCAAGTGGTAGTGTTCGTCTGTTTTTATCTGTGGACTTTGATTCTGCTGATTGTGTGACATTGGGAAATTGACCTAGATTTCATGCTTCAGTTTTTACTGTATATTTCCATAGCATGCTCTATCTCAGACTCAGGGAACTTATGTGAAGTGATAATAATGGTTAATATTTAAATAGAATCTCTAAAGAAAAAGTATTGTTTCTAGTACTTTATGTGTATGAATTCATTTGTGACTCATTCATAAGGTAGATCATGAGGTATAATCTAAAGTAGGGCTAGGATTTAAGCTTACACAGTCTGGTTCTAGGTCTGTGCTATTAATTATTAAGCCAGACAACCTCTTATAATAGGGAATAATTTGAAGGAGAGAAATGAAAAATGCCCTGCAATTATTCGAGTACTTTCCTAGTCTTATTTATAAATACCAATCTTTCAAAAGTAAACTGGGCCTCAATTCTGCTGAAACCATCTCAAATTTCAGATGAGGAATAGCTGAATGGATGCTAATACTGCAGTGATTACAATTATTAAACTATTCATTTTTATAAAATGAATAATGAATACACTTTAACCCACCTCCTTTCAAAAATGGTTTCAGGTCACAGATCAGTATAAGCAACTCAATTTTAATTCCAGCTTAGAAATAATAATTCAAAAATAGTATTTACTAAGTAATTAAGTAAGGGTTCTTTTAATTTTTTCGCCTTATGCTCATTAAATTATTTTAACCCTGGCCAGACTAATTGAAATTTAACTGCATGATAAAACTTTACCGCCATCTAGTGTCAGTCAGGAGCATTGCAGGAGTGTTGCTTTTTGAATCTGTTTTGGTAGCTACCTGCCGTATCTATGGCAATATTAAGCGGCACTCCCAGGTGGCACTCTTTGACTCCTATACCAGCGACCTTTGATTTTATAGATTATTCCAATAATTTGAGTTCAGAGGAACTAATTTCATGGCATTTCTTATTTCTAAATCCTGGTTTATTTTATGAGTGTGCTCTCAGGGGAATATAAGAATCTTTCATCCAAGTCAGGGATAGTTTCTAAATTCTCTGAATGTCCTCACCCCTAAGAGCTCTTGTTACTTTAGCTTCAAGATGGTAAACGTGGGGGAAAACTTTGTGCTATATATTTAAATTATTATGAGTTTTTTTTGTATATCAAGTATTTATGTGTACACTATAATAGTTATCTACTGCTGTGGGATAAATCGCCTCAAAATGTAGCAGCTTAAACAGCAAAAATTTATCTCACACTATTTCTGAGGGTCAGGAAGCAGAGAGTGGTTTAGCTGGGTGGTTCTGGCTAAGGGTATCTCGCAAGGTAAGTCAAGTGTGAGATGAAGCTGCAGTCATCTCAAAGCTCAACTGGAGCTGGAGAATCTGCTTCCAGACTCACCCGTGTTAGCAGGTTTTGGTTTCTTGCTTGCTGTCGGCTAGAAGCTCAGTTCCTTGACATGTGGGACTCTTCACAGGACGTGCTTCCCCTAGAGCAAGAGGAGAGGGGAAGAGAGTGAGAGACAGAGAGGAAGCCACAGTCTTTTAAAATAATCTAATCTTACTCTCATATGTTATTGATCAACCAAACCAGCCCTGGTCCCCTTGTGTGGCAGAGAATTACAGAAGCTTGTGAATAACAGTAGGTGGGGATCCTTGGGGCCATCTTGAAGGCTGGTGACTACACCCACCATCAAGCTTTATTAAATAGTAATGTTTTGCCTGATTTGGGTAACTGCTTCATAACATGAGTTTAGCCCAAGGCTAAATTCTGAGAGGTACAAATGGGAAACAACTTTTTCTCCCTTGGTTGCTTTCAACCATACTATGCTAAATCTCCCTTCTGTGCTCTGTAACTTCAATCTCTGGTAGATTTCATAGCTTTTGGCTCACATTCAGCTGTAACAAGAGTCCTTGTTTGTTTGTTTCTTATTTTTAATACATGGTTTCTTATTTTTAATACATGGTTTCACTCTGTTGCCTCACTGCAGCCTTAACCTCCTGGGCTCAAGTGATCCTCAATCTCAGTCTCCGGAGCAACTGGGACTACAGGAATATGCACCATACCTGGCTAATTGTGTGTGTGTGTGTGTGTGTGTGTGTGTGTGTGTGTGTGTGTGTGTGTATTTGGTACACATGAGGTCCCACTATGTTGCCCAGGCTGGTCTTGAATTCCTGGGCTCCTGCCTGGGCCTCCCAAAGTGCTGAGATTGCAGGCATGAGCCACTGTGCCTAGCCCCTGTTTTCAGGTATTAAAAATGTTAGTCTGGGCTGGGCATGGTGGGTCACGCCTGTAACTCCACTACTTTGGGAGGCTGAGTGGGAGGATCACTTGAGGCCAGGAGTTTGAGACCAGCCTGAGCAACCTAGCAAGACCCTGTCTGTATTAAAAAAAAAAATTAGCTGGGTGTGATGGTGCATGCCTATAGTCCCAGCTACTTAGGAGGCTGAGGTGGGAGGATCACTTGAGCTCAGGAGATTGAGGTTACAATGAGCTATGAGTGCACCACTGTCCTCCAGCCTGGGTGACAGAGTGAGACCCTGTATTAAAAAAACAAAACAAAACAACGCCCTCCCCAGCCAAAAAAAAACTTAGTCCAATCTCATATATAGCTTGAATCTTCTCTCCTTAACTCTTCTTACTTCTGACTCTGAGGAAGGAGAGCATGACTGTTCTTTCAGTGTTTTTCTGACTATTTCTCATCTCTTTCCTGCTTTCTAATTCCTCTAGTATAGAATCCAGCATGCAGATCAGAGAAAGAGGAGCAAAGTGTCACTGTACTTAGCTGGTATTGTATGTGATTCTCTCATGGATAATACTGGCTGGGACTCATTCCCTCTGTTAATCTGAGAATTCACATAGAGCTTCTCCAGGGCACCCTGTGGGGATGCAGGGGGTTCCTCCTATTCTGGTCATTCTCCAGTTGCTTCTGAAAATCTTCTCTCAGCTTTTGCCCCACATGTTCTGGGCTTCACTCTACACAGCTTCTTCCTGCTGGGGACCCCTGGCTTCAGGCAGTAGTTCTTTTGGTCAGGGTCTGTTCCAGATGATGCATGTCTTGCTACTCTCTTCAGGTTCCCTTGGTCAATGGGAAAACACTGTCCATCCTTTTCCTCCCTAAAGCTTAACCATCTAATCAGCCCTCTCTCCCACCCTGTAATTGCATGCTGCTCCAGCCAGTCTCTTGCCTTCAGCGTTCTTGAGATGGATGGAAACCAGGCAAAGATGCCAGCAAATGCCTGTGGATGCTCTTTGGCTCTCCTAAGAACACTTGTTGTTCTCTATGGTCTGGAAGCAGCACCAGGGCCTGTGATGTCAGGGCTCTGTAAACATCCAGCCAGGAAGTGAGATACAAATCTTTCTCGTAGGCATTTCTGGTCCCTGTGACTGATTTGCTTGGACTCCTTCACTTGGCTTAGCAGTAGGGAGGGAGGGAAAAAGCCAAAGCTTTTCTAGTTCTAAAAATGCCTTTCAAAGCACCTCATAGGCCGGGCAGAGAGACGCACGCCTGGAATCCCAGCACTTTGGGAGGCCAAGGTGGGTGGATCACCGGAGATCAGGAGTTTGAGACCAGCCTGGCCAACATGGTGAAACCCTGTGTCTACTAAAAATAAAAAATTAGCCAGGTGTGGAGGTAGGCACCTGTAATCCCAGCTACTCGGGAGGCTGAGGCAGGAGAATCACTTGAACCCAGGAGGCGGAGGTTGCAGTGAGCCAAGATCGTGCCACTGCACTCTAGCCTGGGCAACAGAGCGAGACTGTGTCTCAAAAACAACAAAAAACAAAAAACAAAGCACCCCATAATGAATGTATAGCCTTCTCTTAAATTGGCTGAAGGTAATTAATGAAGTTTTATTTATTTATTTTTATTTATTTATTATTGCCTGTCTTTTGGCATTTTCTCCACATCCTCACCAACACTTGTTATTTTCTGTGTTTCGTTTTGAAGTTTGGTATTTTAAGGATGAGCTTGGGCATTTTAAAATAAAATTCTGCAGAAATGTACCTAGTGGGTCTCTTTGGCTTCAGGGTCTTAGCTGAATTTCAAAGATAATAAGAGAAGGCCATTCTCTCTGTTCTTAATCATGTTAGGATACAAGAAGATAGCCGTCTGCAAACCAGGATGCAGGCTGTCATCAGACACCAGATCTGCCAGCACCTTAGTTTTAGACTTCTCAGCCTTCAGAATAACTGTCTATAAGGGAACACTTGAATTCATCGGAGAAGAGATGATAAGTGCCAGAAGTAATTGAGGAGAGGGTTCGAGGCAGCTTGCTCAGCTGAGAGCTGACTGAGAGCTGAGAGGTTTCTGGCCTTGGGGAAACAGTGAGAGAGAAATCCCCAGAGCTCCAAAATGGGTTTTTACGATCTTGGCTATGGGAGGAACCCCTGACCCACTGGGGCCTCATGCCTGACATACGGAGCTGCCTAAAGATTGCACAGGAATCTTGCTCCAGAAAGGGAACCCACACAGAATCCCACGGGCATCTGAGCCTGGAGCAGTCTCAGCTGGGAGCCACTTTGAGAGCCCAGATACCAGGGATCTACAGACACAGCTGCAGCTGCTCCAAGGAGGAAGAGGCAAGACTGGGCGCTCCCATGCACCCTCGGGAAGGTGCTTGCCACTCTGCTATAAGCTGCTGTGGAGACTGAGACACGAGTGAACTGCCCTCCCCCATGCTGCCAGCCTGGGCAGGGATTGACAGGGAATCCAGGCCATTCTACGCCTATCTAGGACAATACCCACTGCCCTGTAATGAGCTGCTGTGAGACTGAGACGTGATCACACTGCACTCCCCACAGCTTCTTGCCCATACTGCTTGCCTGGGTGGTGCACGCCCTCTCTGGCTCCTGGTCCAAGGCGACATTTTGAGAGTTTAACATGGGGCTGCACCTCACCCTCGGCCTGAGCTTGGGCAACCATAGCTGCAGCCACTGCCTGCCAAAGAGGCCCCACCCTCTCCTATCACAAGCCCACAGCTAGTACCATTTTGAGAGTTTAGAGACATTGTTTGGCAACCTGGCAGCAGTGGCCACAGCAGGCATCGTAGTCTCAGGTCAGAGATTGGAGCACTTGCTCTGGAATGGGAGATGGGACTCCATAGCCAGCACTGAGCAGCAAGTATCAAGAGTGCCCCAGCAGTAGGTGCTGGAGTTAGGCTCTCTCCTGTCGCAGGACTGCAGTGGGAGGAGAGTTGCTGAAGCCAAGGTTTCTCCCAGGTGGTGAGACTTGCAGCCAGGGACAGCTTTGTGACCTGGAACTGGTCTGTGCATGTCATTGCTGGGTGCCCCGGTTTGCTCCCTTGGTCACTTGGGAGACGGTGCGCCACAAGCATTGAGGAGCAGGAGGGTGACGAACCCCACTCCCCAAGAGATCTAACCCTCAGCACGGACTGACTCTATGGGAGGGGAAAGTACAGCCTCCCCAAAGCCCCCCTTGGGCCAAAGGAAATGTGAGTGTGGTGCCAGCCACTGAAGGTGGCACCACTGAAGCCTGGGAATGGACGTGGAGAAGGGGTTCTCTCTGTCATCCCTGGCCCCTCTCAGTGCATTGTCACTGAGGCCTGGGGAGTGTGGGCTGAAAGAGTTCATTTATTGGGTTTCTCCAATGGCTTCACCCCCACTGAAGGCGAATATGCATTGGGGGAGGACGCTTTTCACTCTTCTCCATTGCTTTCACCCCTACCCCTACCTGTTGGCTGTTACTCTTATATGTCACCTACTGGCCTGCAGTCTGAACTACACCACCAAACAAAATTAGATTGCTACAACAAGCAACATCTGAGATAACCACTGTTAAACCTATCTGCAACCAAGGAACTTGTACAGAGCCTTGGTATCATGAAAGCACTCAGAAATGAAGCCAATCAGGCATACACAATATACACTACAGTTATACCCCCTCAGAGGAAAAAATAATAAAAAAACAAGAAGCCCTATCTAAACAATAGGAATTTTTTTTTTTTAAAAAAAGAGGTGTCAGCTCTCTCATATGAGAAGAAACCAGCATGAGAACTCCAGAAATACAAAAAGCCAGTGTTGTATCACCTCCAAAGGATCCTGCTAGCTCTTAAGCAATGGGTCCTAAGAATGAAATGTTTGAAATGACAAATATAGAACTTAGAATATAGATGGCAAAGAAACTCAACAAGATCCAAGAAAAAGTTGAAATCCAACACAAAGAGGCCAGAAAAACAATCCAAGATTTGAAAGATGACACAGCTATGTTAAGAAAGAACCAAACAGAACTTCTGGAATTGAAAAATTCACTACAGGGATTTCAAAATATAGTCAGAAGTCTTAACAATAGACTAGACCAAGTAGAAGAAAGAATTTCAGACTTCAAAGACTGGTCCTTTGAATCAACCCAGTCAAGACAAAAATAAAGAAAAAAGAATAAAAAAAAAACCAAAGACTTCGAGACATATGGAATAATGTAAAGTGACCAGATCTATGACTTATTGGCATTCCTGAGAGAAGAAGAGAAAGTAAGCAACTTGGCAAACATCTTTGAAGATATAATTCAGGAAAGTTTCCCCAATCTTGCTAGAGGTTGACATGCTGATACAAGAAATCCAGAGGACTCCTTTGAGACACTATATAAGATGACTATTTGTAAGGCACATAGTCATCAGACTATCCAAGGACAATGTAAAAGAAAAAATCTTAAAGGCAGCTAGAGAAACAGGTCATATTACCTATAAAGAGAAACCCATTAGACTAACAGGAGACTTCTCAGCAGAAACCTTACAAACAGAAGAAATTGAGAGCCCATTTTTGGCATTCTTAAAGAAATCCCAACCAATTTCATATCCTGCCAAACTCAGGTCATAAACAAAGGAAAAATAAAGTTTTTTTCCCAAACAAGAAGTTGCTAAGGGAATTCATCACTACCAGACTGGACCTATGAGAGATGCTCAAGGGAGATCTAAACATAGACATGAAAGAATGATACTTACTACCATAAAAGCACATGCAAGCACATAGCCCATGGATGCTACGGAGCAACTACACAATGAAGACTATAAAGCAACTAGCTAAGAACACTATGACAGGAACAAAACCTCACATAATATTAACCTTTAATGTAAACAGCCAGAATGTTCCACAGAAGACATAGTCACAAATTGGATTAAAAAAGACTCAAACTTCTGCTGCCTTCAAGAGACTTCTTTCACATGCAATGACAACCATAGGCTCAAAGTAAAGGGATGAGCCTTTAATGAAAATGGAAGACAAAAAAAGAGCAGTGGTTGCTATTTACATATTAGATAAAATATACTTTAATCCAACAGCAGTACAAAAGGACAAGGAAAGGTATTACATAATGATAAAGGGTTCAATTCAACAAGAAGACTTAACTAGCCTAAATATATACATACCCAACATTGGAGCATCCAGATTGATAAAACAATTACTTCTAGACCTAAGAAAAGACTTGGATAGCCACACACTAATAGTGGGGGGCTTCAACACCCCACTGACATCAATAGACAGATCATCAAGGTAGACAATTAACAGAGGAATTTTTGGCTTAAATTTGACATTTGACCAATTGGACCTAATAGACATCTGCAGGATACTTCACCCAACAACCACAGAATATACATTCTCATCTCCACATAGAACATACTCTAAGACTGACCACATGCTTGGTCATAAAGTAAGTCTAGATAAATTAAAAAAACATTGACGTCATAACCAGCATATTTTTGAACTACAGTAAAATAAAAATAGAAATCAATACCAGGAGTAACTCTCAAAACCACACAAACACATGGAAACTAAATAATTTGCTCCCGAATAATTTTTGGGCAAACAACTAAATCAAGGATGAAATAGAAAAATTATTAGAAACAAATGAAAACAGAGACACAACATACCGAAATCTCTGGGATACAGCAAAAGCAGTGTTAAGTGGAAAGTTTATAGAGCAAAATGCCTACATCAAGAAGACAGAAAGATTCCAAATTAACAAGCTAACCTTGCACCCTTGAAGGAACTAGACAAACAAAAATGAGCTAAACTGAAAGGTAGCAGAAGAAAAGAAATAACTAAAATTAGAGCAGAACTAACTGAAATTGAGACCCCCCAAAAACATACAAAGGTCCAGGGAAATAAAACGTTGGTTCTTTGAAGGGATAAACAAGAGTGATAGACTGCTAGCTAGATTAACAAAGAAAAACAGAGAGAAGATCCAGATAAGCACAATCAGAAATGACAAAGATCACATTATAACAGATCCCACAGAAGTACAAAAGATAATCAGAGACAATTGCGAACATCTCTAGGCACACAAATTAGAAAATCTAGAGGGAATAGATAAATTCCTGGAAATATGCAACTTCCCCAGATTGAACGAGGAAGAAACAGAAATCCTGAACAGACCAATACTGAGTTCTGAAATAGAATCGTAATAAAAAAACCTACCAGCCAAAAAAAAAGCCTGGAACCAGATGGATTCACAGCCGAACTCTATCAGCTGTACAAAGTAGAGCTGATCTCAATCCTACTGAAACTATTCCAAAACATCAAGGAGAGACTTCTCCCTAATTCATTCCACAAAGCCAGCATCATCATCAGATTTTTGTATCACAAAATGATTTTGATACAATTTTGATACAAAATCATTTTGTGATACAAAAATGTCACAAGGATACCCCCCCAAAAAAAACCAAAAAACAAAAAACTATAGGCTAATATCCCTGATGGACATAGATGCAAAAATCCTTGACAAAATACTAACAAACCAAATCCAGCAGCACATCAAAATGTGAATTCACAGTGATCAAGTGGGCTTTATTTCTATGATGTAAGGATGGTTTAATACATGCAAATTAGTAAATGTGATTTACTACACAAACAGAATTAAAAACAAAAAACATATAATTAATAGATTCAGAAAAAGCATTTGATAAAATCCATCATCCCTTCATGATTACAAATTCTCAACAAACTAGGCATTGAAGGAACATACATCAAAATAGGAGCCATCTATAACAACCCACAGCCAACATCGTATTGAACAGGCAAAAGTCAGAAGCATTCCCTCTAAGACCTGGAATCAGACGAGGATCTCTACTCTCACCACTCTTATTCAACATAATACTGAATGTCCTAGCTAGATCAATCAGGCAAGAGAAAGAAATAGAAAACATCCAAATAGGAAACAAAGAAGTCAGTCAAATTATCTCTCTTCACTAATGATAAGATTTTTTTTTTTTTTTTTTGAGATGGAGTTTCGCTTCAGTTGCCCAGGCTGGAGTCCTGTGGCACGATCTCAGCTCACTGCAACCTCTGTCTCCCGGGTTCAAGTAATTCTCCTGCCTCACCCTCCAGAGTAGCTGGGATTACAGGTGCCTGCCACCATGGTGGCTAATTTTTGTGTTTTTAGTAGAGACGGGGTTTCACCATGTTGTCCAGGCTAGTCAAGTCCTGACCTCAGGTGATCTGCCCGCCTTGGCCTCCCAAAGTGCTGGAATTACAGGCGTGAGCCACTGCGCCCGGCCATGATAATATTCTATACTTAGAAAACCCTAAAGATTCCACAAAAGACTCCTAGATCTGATGAGCAACTTCAGCAAAGTCTCAGGATACAAAATCAATGCACGAAAACAGTAGCATTTCTATACACCAATAACGGTCCAGCTGAGAACAAAATAAAAAAAACAGTCCCATTTACAATAGACACACAAAAAAATAATATACTTAGGAATACATCTAACGAAGGAGGTAAAATATCTCTACAAGGAGAACTACAATACACTGCTGAAATTAACCATACATGACACAAACAAATGTAATAGCATTCCATACTCATGGATTGGAAGAATCAATATTGTTAACATTGCCATACTGCCCAAAGCAATCTGCAGATTCAACACTATTCCTATCAAACTACTAATGTCATTTTTCACAGGATTAGAAAAAACTATTCTAAAATTCATATGGAACCAAAAAAAAGAGCCCGAATAGCCAGGGCAATCCGAGGCAAAAAGAATACAGCTGGAAACATCTCCTTACTCAACTTCAAACTATACTGCAAGTCTATCCTAACTGAAACAACATGATACTGGTATTAAAAACAGACACAGGCCGGGCACAGTGGCTCACGCCTGTAATCCCAGCACTTTGGGAGGCTGAGGCGGGCAGATCACCTGAGGTCAGGAGTTTGAAACCAGCCTGGTCAACATGGTGAAACCCTGTCTCTACTAAAAACACAAAAATTAGCCAGGTGTGGTGGTGGATGCCTGTAATCCCAGCTACTCAGGGAGGCTGAGGCACGAGAATCGCTTGATCCCAGGAAGCAGAGTTTGCAGTGAGCCGAGATCGTGCCACTGCACTCCAGCCTGGGCGATAGAGTGAGACTCCATCTCAAAACAAAACAAAACAACAACAACCAAAACCAAACAGACACATAGACCAATGGAACAGAATAGCGGACTCAGAAATAAAGTCGCACACCTACAACCATCTGATGTTTGACAAAGTTGATGAAAATATGCAATGGAGAAAGGACTTCTTATTCAATAAGTGGTGCTAGGATAACTGGTTATCCATATGCCAGAGAATGAACCTGGACCCCTTCCTATCACCATATACAAATATTAACTCAAGATGGATCAAAGATTTAAATGTTAAGACCTCAAGCCATAACAATACTAGAAGAAAACCTAGGAAATACTGTTCTAGACGTTGGTCTAGGCAAATAATTTATGATTAAGTCCTTAAAAGCAAATTTAACAAAAACAAAAATTGACAGTTGAGACCTAATTAAATTAAAGAGCTCCTGTACAGCAAAATAAACTACCAACAGAGTAAACAGACAACCTACAGAATGGGAGAAAATATTTGCAAACTAACCATCTAACAAAGGTCTAATATCCAGAATCTATGAGGAACTTAAGCAAATCAACAAACAAAAACCAAATAGCCCCATTAAAAAGTGGGCAAACAACATGAACAGACACTTCCCAAAAGAAGACATACAAGCAGCCAATGAGTATATGAAAAAATACCCATTATCACTAAACATCAGAGAAATGCACATCAAAGCCACAATGAGACATCATCTCACACTAGTCAGAATGGCTATCATTAAAAAGTCAAAAAACAACATACTGGTAAGTTTGCAGAGAAAAGGAAGTGCTAATACACTTGGTAGGAATGCAGATTGAGCCTCTGTGAAAAGCAGTTTGGAGATTTCCCAAAGAAATAAAAATGGAATTACCATTCAACCCAGCATCTCATTACTGGGTATATGCCCAAAGGAATATAGACCATTATACTAAAAAGACTCATATATTCATCACAGTGCTATGCTCAATAGCAAAGACATGGAGTCAACCTAGGTACCTATCAGTGGTGGACTGGATAAAGAAAATGTGGTTCATATACACCATGGAATACTACACAACCATAAAAAGGAATAAAATAATGTTCTTTGCAGCAACATAGATGCAGCTGATGGCCATTATCCTAAGCAGATTAAAATAGAAACAGAAAACCAAAAATATCACATGTTCTTACATACAAGTGGGAGCTAAACACTGGGCACACATGGACACAAAGGTGGGAACAATAGACACTGGGAATTCGAGAAGGCGAGAGGCGAGGGCAAGGACTGAAAAACTACCTATTGGGTACTATATTCTCTAATTGGGCAATCAGTTCTTTAGAAGCCCAAACCTCAGCACCATCCAATATACCCTTGTATTGAACCTGCACTCATGTCCCCTGAATCTAAAGTAAAAGAGAAAATACCTTTTAACATACTATTAAATTTCAGTCAATTAAAAACTAAAAAATTGGCCAGGTGCAGTGGCTCACGCCTGTAATTCTAGCACTTTGGGAGGATGAGGCAGGTGGATCATGAGGTCAGGAGTTCAAGACCAGCCTGGGTAAGATGGTGAAACCCTGTCTCTACTAAAAATACAAAAATTAGCCAGGCGTGGGTGCCTGTAATGCCAGCTACTTGGGAGGCTGAGGGAGAGAATTGCTTGAACCTGGGAGGCGGAGGTTGCGGTGAGCTGAGATTGCACCACTGGACTCCAGCCTGGGCAACAGAGTGAGACTCCATCTCAAAAAAATAAATAAATAAATAAATTTAGAAGTTTACAGATTTATTTGAAGTTCCTGTGTACTATTTCTCAATTCCATTCTTCTTCTTATCTATTCAGAGTAATTGTTATATTGAATTTTGTGTTTTTCAATGTCATGGATATTTAAATGCTGTTACATATATGTATCTCTCTACAAAGGATATACTGTATAAATTCTTTTAAGCTATATGGAAATGGTATTTTACCACACACGTCACTCTGGAACTTGCTTGCTTGGCTCAGTATTATGGTTTTTTTTTTTTTTGGACATTTATCCATGTTAAAACCTGAATTTCTAGTTATTCATTTTAACCAGTGTATAGGATTTAATTTTATAAATATGATATGCTTTATTTGAAAATTTCCCCTCTTGGACATTTAAATGATTTTCTTTCCTTCTTCTTTTTTTTGCAACTGCAAATGATACAATAATGAACACCCTTGTACTTGTCTCCTTATAGATTGTAATATATCTACTTAAAAGAGGTATAGAAATATTGCTGGCTTGAAAGATATGCTCATTTACATCTTTACTAGATGTCAGATTTCCCACTCACGTTATTTTATATTAGCACAAGCAAATCCAAATTTTCAACAACACTTAGTGTAGTAGAATTCAATATATATATTTTTTCCAATTATCTTATCCTAGTTTTAAGTTGTATTTGCACTTTCATGGCTGTAAGTGTGAGTGAGCTTCTTTTCATATATTCTTTGGCCATTTGAGTTTCCTATTCTGTGAATTACCTCTACATAAATCTTGCCAACGTTTCTGTTATTCTGTTTTTTCCCCCTCATCGATTTCTAAGACTTTTTTTTTCATGTGCACACATTGCAAATACTTTACCACAGTGTGTGATTTGTCTTTTAGCTTTGTTTATTGTGTTTTGTATAACAAGCTTTTATATAAATACAGTCATATTTATCCATCTTTTCCTTTTGATTTGTGCCTTTGAAAAATATCTTCCCCAACCTGAAGATCAGAGCCATATTATTTTACATTTCTTCCTAAAGGTTAAAGGATTTTCTTTTTAGACTTGGGTCTTTAATCTATCTTTAATTTATTTTTATGTGTGGTAAGAAGAAGGAATCTTCACTCCTTTTTGTATGTTTGGATAAAGCAATTGTTCCAGTACTGTTTACAAAATAATCTATATTTCCTCCACTGATTTATAATGAAATCTTTGTCATATATCAAATTTTTATGTATGCATAAGTCTCTATCTGGGTTTTCTATTCTGTTTATTGCTCTATTTTTCTATTCCCCAGTCAATACCAGTCTTAATTGCTATAGAGTTTTAGTAAGTCATAATATATAGTAGAATAAATCTCTCCTCCTTTTCTGCATCGTCTTCTTTTCTCTCCAAAATTGACTTGGCTGCTCTTTGTCCATTACATGTCCATATACATTTTAAAATCAGGCTCATAGGCCGGGCGCAGTGGCTCAAGCCTGTAATCCCAGCACTTTGGGAGGCCGAGACGGGCGAATCACGAGGTCAGGAGTTTAAGACCAGCCTGGCCAACATGGTGAAGCCCCGTCTCTACTAAAAATACAAAAAATTAGCTGGGTGTAGTGGCGGATGCCCGTAATCCCAGCTACTCGGGAGGCTGAGGTAGGAGAATCGCTTGAACCTGGGAGGCAGAGGTTGCAGTGAGCTGAGATCGCACCACTGCACTTCAGCCTGGGCTACAGAGCAAGACTCCGTTTCAAAAAAAAAAAATCGGCTTATAAGATCTTAAAACACAGCTGTCAAAATTTTTATTGAGATTGTATTGTATTTATAGATTAGTTGGGGAAAATTACATCTTTTTAAAATTGAGTTTTTCTGTTTATGAATATGACTCTCCATTTACTCTGATCTTCTATATCTTTTGGGGTAGGTTATGGCTGGGCCACTCAGGAATCCTTTCAGCCTGAAAACTCCTAAGCTATGGAGAAGTCCTTTCGTCAAGTTGAAATCCCCAGTCTCTATGGCATAGTTAGAAATTCTAAACATAAAATTTAGACATTAGGGCTGCATGTGGCAATTCCACACTCATCATTTTGTAATAAAGGTTGAACTAGACATTAATGATGCAGCCTTCAGGGGTTTTAGAGAATAAAAGTCCAGATACTATGAGATTCAGTACTTCTTGTTCTGGAGGAAACTTGGGAGTCTCTGCTGGTCACATAATTCCATCAACCTAGGGAAGGCTACTGTGAAAAATAAAGAAGGCATCAGAAATCCATATCTTCTCTCTTTCTCTCTCTAAATATATATATCTATAGATCTATATCTACAGATCTATAGATATCTATATACCTTTCCTTGTTAGATACCTTTTATTCTTTCCCCAGGTAAATCGTTTCTTCCCCTGTAGTTACTCTGAGTATTTGATTTTTTGCTGACCTAACTCACCTACAGTTGGTCTACAGAAATCATGGAAGTGACACGTGTCTGTATTTGGGCCTGAGTGTTAAAGGGGTGGCTAAGGACTGCATAAGTAGTAGCTGCAGTAATTCGTGTGAGATCTCAAAGGGGAAGGTGAGTCTTGGGAAACAAGTGTTGACTTTCTCAACTTTTAAAATCAAGTTCCTGATGTCAGCTAAGATTTGGTCAATCTTTATTTTCTGTAGTTTCTATTATGAAAACAAATGGCATGCCCTCCCTATCCCCATATAATATTAAACTATAATATGAAAAAACTTTATACTCACCCATCTGGAGATAATGACACATTTTTGCTCCCTGTCATTTGTGAATGACTGAGTGGAAATGAGGTCTAGCTGCCTCTTCCCCTATGGGGTCTCAGTATTATTGGTCCACCAATAATATTACTAATATTACTAATATTGGTGGATCAGATATTTATTTTATTAAGAAAGGTGATTTTCCTTTCAGATGACAGAAAGAACACAAGATTCCTTTCTCATCTTTTCCTCACACTTGTATTTTTAAAAATATGACATGTATTGTGCACACGTGTGCTTATTACATAATCACTGAGGATATTTTAGAAGTCTGGAAAAGCAGAAATAAAAAGTTACCCAGAAGCCTATAACTTAGAAGTAACTCTTAATATTTTGGTACATTTTAATATGTAGAAATTGTTTAAAAGTTGTATATTTACTACATACTGTTTTGGCCTACATTTTCACTAGTAATATAATTTGAATATTTCATATACCAACAAATATTTTTAATAAAACATGTTTTTAAGTGTCAATTCTAGCATCTGTGGATTTAAGAATATCTTAGCCCTCTTCCCCCAGTTGCACTGAAGATTGATGGAGAGGACTGAGTGATACGTGTCTTTATTCATTTCTTTCTTCTTCTTCTTTTTTTTTTTTTGAAGCAGGATCTTGCTCTGTTTCCTGGTCTGCAGTGCAGTGACATGATTAGTTCACTGAAGCCTTGAACTCCTGGGGTCCAGCCATCCTCCCCACTCAGCCTCCCAAGGAGCTGGGAATATAGGCATGCACTACCATGCCCAGGAATTTTTTAAAAATTTAATTTAATTTAATTTTTTTTTTTTGAGACGGAGTTTCACTCTTGTTGCCCAGGCGGGAGTGCAATGGCGTGATCTCGGCTCACCGCAACCTCCTCCTCCCAGGTTCAAGCGATTCTCCTGCCTCAGCCTCCCAAATAGCTGGTATTATAGGCATGCGCCACCATGCCTGGCTAATTTTGTATTTTTAGTAGAGACGGGGTTTCTCCATGTTGGTCAGGCTGGTCTCGAACTCCCGACCTCAGGTGATCCGCCCACCTCGGCCTCCCAAAGTGCTGGGATTGCAGCCATGAGCCACTGTGCCGGTTCCTAATTTTAATTTTTATAGAGACCGGGTCTTGCTATGTTGCCCAGACTGGTCTCAAACTTCTGGCCTCAAGCAATCATCCTGCCTCAGCCTCTCAAAGTGCTGGAATTATAAGTGGGAGCTACCACACGTGTCTGCACTTATTTAAATTGTCAGTTATGTTTCAGGAACATTGCTAAGATCTAGGGTTACAAAGCTGAGTCAGAGGTTTCTCTGTCTTCATTCTCATCTCCATAGGCCCAGAGGTTATTGATAGAGACAGGTATGTTAGCAGATAAGTAATAAAGCACTAGGGAAACACAGAGGAAGGAGAAACTACCCTGTTTTATTGCTATTGAATTCCTTCTATGTGAAAGGCATCACATTTTACGCACTCTCAAGAAAGGGAAAACATTTAGGATGGAGAGTCTCCAGGTGTCATCACCCTCAACAGAAAAAATTGGAAATGCCAAACAGTTATATTCTCAGTGTAAATGTAAGTGAGAAAAAAACCCTCTGTGCATAGAAGTTCAGGAAGAAACTTTGGATGGTTCAACCTGGCCCTGGGTGGAGGGCATGTAAATCTCTCCTGAAAATTGGAAACACACATAGGTTCTCATGCTGTTTGTGATCTGAATTTACCAAAGCGGCTCAACAAACTTCAAGGAGATAATTTAATTTAAAGTGGTCTCAGTTTGGTATGGACCCATGTGACAGGCAGAAGCAAATTCAAATCCTCTTTAGAAAAACTTGACTTCGATCCAAGCTGACAACAACTAACAAGACTTCATGGGCTCTAACCGCATCTCACTTTCAGTGATACTAAAATATGAAAAAAATATGCAACATAGAAATCAAGAGATACAATTACTGCCTGGGGAAGAACAGATCAATGTGCCTTAAAATTAAGCCTCTAGGCTTAAAAAACTATATCTAGGTAGAAAACAAAAGAAGGAGACAGCATTGATGGAAGCAAATGCAAACTATAGACGAGGAGTTCTTCATTCACTCTCTGTCCACACTAGAAGTGCAGGAGCAGTGCCCTTTGCAAAAGTTCATACTCTCACATGTCCCAGTGGCCTCATGGCTAGCTCAAGCTTCTTGAAATTCAGGGCTAAATGTTGCTTACCACAGTGTTCCAGTTCCTAGCATAGTGCTTGGTATAGAGCATATCCATTTATCTGTTCAAGCTGCCATACCGAGATACCACAGATTGGGTGGCTTAAACAACAGAAATCTATTTTCTCACAGTTCTGGAGGCTAGAAGCCCAATATCAAGGTACCAGCGAGGTTGGTTTCTGGTGAGGCCTCTTTTCCTGACTTGCAGACAACCATCCACATTCTCACTGGGTCCTCATGTGGTGGAGAGTGAGAGAGGTTTGTGGCTTTTCTTTTTCTTATAAGGACATCAGTCTAATCAGATTAGGCCCCCACCCTCACAACCTCATTTCACCTTAATTACCTCCTTAAAGGCCCCATTTTCAAATAAAGTCACCCTAAGGGTTAGGGCTTCAATGTATACATTGTTTTTGTTGGGGAGGACACAATTCACTCATACAGCATGTCTTCAATAGATATATGTTACAATAATATCACTTTTATTTCATGAGTGCCCCTATTTCTGATGGTCATATTCCCTTCACATCATATAGAGCTGATCGTTTAGGTTGACTTGTGCCTCTGAATTTGGCTTTTTCTTTCCTTTGTGGATCCGTTCTGAAGAAATTGATATCCCTGGCCTTCTAGGTATTCTGAAGTCCAGGGATCTTTTATAATTATGGACATTGCTATAGCTTGGATATGGTTTGTTTGTCCCTACCAAATCTTATTGAAATTTGATCCTAGTATTGAAGGTGGGGTCTAATGGGAAGTGTTCCGGTTTTGGGGGCAGATCCCTTATGAATAGATATGCCCTTCCTGGGGTGTGTGTGAGTGACTTCTCAGGCTATTAGTTCCTGTGTGAAAGCTGGTTGTTAAAAACAGCCTGGCACCTCTCATATCCCTGCTTCCTTTCCTGCTATGTAATCTCTGCACATATCATCTCTCCTTTGCCTTCTGCCATGAGTGGAAGCAGTGTGAGACCCTAACCAGATGCAGATGCTGGCATCATGCTTCTTGTACAGTCTGCAGAACTGTGAGCCAACTAAATCTCTCTTAGTAAATTACCCAGCCTCAGGTGTTCCTTTAAAGCAACACAAAATAGACTAAGACAGATATATACAATATACCTGCCAGAACAGCTAAAATGAATAGACAGAAAATACCAAGTGGTGGTGAGGATGTGAAGCAGCTGGAGTCCTCATACACTGTTGGTGGGAGTATAAGCTGGTACAACCATCTGGCAAACTCCTTGACAGCATGTCAAAGCTAAATATATGCATACCCCATGCTATATATACATATGACCCAGATAGTCTACTCCTAGGTATTTATCCAACAGAAATTCATCCATATGTTCACCAAAGACACAGACAAAAATATTCGGAGCAGCACTATTCATAATAGCACTAAATGAGAAACTGCCTAAATGCCCATCAAAAATAGGTGAATATCCTGTCATTTGTGACAACATGGATGAACCTGGAGGACATTATATTAAAAAGAAATAAGCCAGGAACAGAAAGACAAACACCGCATGATTTCATTCATACATGTGATCTAAAAAAGTTGATCTCATAGACATAGAGTGTAGAATAGTGGTTACCAGAAGCTGGGGTGGTTAGAAGAAAGGGGGGTTTGGGAGATGTGATACCAGTCATAATCCTAAAAGGCACACAATCCTAAATGTCATAATCCTGACTGTTGAAATCTCAAAAGGTCAAAATCCCTAAAGTGTAAAATTTGTAACATCCCCAAATTCCAAAATTCACAATCTTGAAATATAAAATCCTGAATGTTGAAATCCTGAAAGCTGAATTCTGGGGAAGGGATTAGTGCATTTTTGGTTGCAAGCAAGGTAGTTGTAACATGTTAGTTGTATCATGTTAGAGGAAATATTACCTTGTCATTGTCTTTATTTGGAAATTAAGTATAATTTAAGGAGATGCTTATAGGTGCCAAGTTGACAAGGGGTGGACTTGTGGACTTAATTTTAGATGTCATCTTGACTAGATTGAAGAATACCTAGAAACCTGGTAACACATTATTTTGGGTATGTCTGTAAGGGTGTTTTCAGAGGAGATGTATGTGTGAGTCAGAGTGGACTAGCTGAGGAAGATCGCTCCTGAATGTTGGCAGGCACCATCCAACTGGCCAGGGGCCCTGAGAGAACAAGTGCAGAAGGCAAATTGGTCTCTCCCTGAGGGCTGGAATAGACTTTTCTTCTGGGGCCTTAGACAGCTGAACTCTAGGCCCTTTGATCTTTGGACTGCAGGATTTACACCAGTGGCCCCCCAGAGTGTGAGGCCTTGGACTCAGAGTTACACAATTGGCTTTCCTGGTGCTGAGGCCTTTGGACCTGAACTGAGTCATGCTATCGGCATCCTATGGTCTGCAGCTTGCAGATGGCCTATCATGGACTTCTCAGCCACCATAATCATGTAAGCTAGTTCCCAAAGCCCTTAATAAATACCCTCATATATCACATATATATATATATATGATATACCAGTATATTCTATTAGTTCTGTCTCTCTGGAGAACCTTGACTAATGCAGATTTGTTATTGGGGAAGCTGAATATCATTCCCTCTTATTGTATTCTTGACAATGCAGTGAAAGAGATCTGTGAAATTGTTCCCTCATAAATAGGCTGTGATAAGTTAAGTGTGTAAAGCTAATCAATAGTGAAAGATAAAAGTTTAAAAACTAATCATTATTGGTGCTGAGAAAGCAGAAACATCACTTAATTGCAAGGATTAAATAATAATCAGACTTTCAAATGGACAATATATACTTTCAAAATTTGTAGAATGCAACCACTCTCCAAACACAAGTGCAGTGAGTATTTTAAAGATCATAGAGTAATTGAAAATGCAGGCTAAAAACACGAGAAATCTCCCCTGCCAAGTTATTCAGTCATGTGCAACTTCTGCCCCTTCACACACAGCACCAATTTGCTATACTATGTATTTCATCTTCACATTATTTCCAATACTGGAAGTAAAAATTGTGCAAAGACTTTTATAGTGTTCTAGTTTGCTTTATGCATTTTTGTTTTTTACAAATTTGACTCCGCAAAAGTGCATTATCATGATGTTAACTTTGTGTGTAAGAATTGTGCATATACATAAAAATGTTGACTTTCTCAGTAAATAAAAATACATACTTTTTGTACATCTGCATTTGTGAATGGTAAATTTCTCAAGATCTCAGCTTTGCAGTGATAGCATATGCGGTGCTGACCCATTGAAGTTTTAGATTGATATTGTCAAAAAACATAGGTTGTCTGTCATGGTATTTCAAATGATTGCAGTTATAAAGCTGAGTACACACAATTACTGACTATAGTGATATGCATTGATACATTTCACTTTTTGACCCATTTCTTTAGAAATATGATTTGTCTGCTCATGACTGTTACAGTCATGTGACTGTCACTGGTATACCTGTGTTTATACTTGCAAGATATATATGTTATTTTTGTGTTATTAATATAGTATGTAAAGTGGCCTATGAAGTGTTCTGTCATTTTTTTTTTTTTTTTTGAGAGGGAGTTTCACTCTTGTTGCCCAGGCTGGAGTGCAGTGACACAATCTTGGCTCACTGTAACCTCCACCTCCTGGGTTCAAATTATTTTCTTGTTTCATCAGCCTCCCAAGTACCTGGGATTACAGGTGTACGCCACTATGCCTGGCTAATTTTTTTTGTATTTTTAGTAGAAATAGGGTTTTACCATGTTGGTCAGGCTGGCCCTGAACTCCTGACCTCAAGTTATCCATCCACCTTGGCCTCCCAAAGTGTTGGGATTACAGGTGTGAACCACCGTGCCTGGCCCTGTAATGTTTTTATGTTTCTCAAATAAATAATAAATCTCCTTTTAAAAAGATAAGTAAATATTTTAAAAAGAATTAAAAAAAACTACTTTTCCCAGAATTAGATTTTCTGGATTTTCATCTTTTGGTATTTCAACTTTTGGGATTATGGTGTTTGGGATTGTGTCTCTCAGGATTATGGCCCCAACCCAGAGAAATGTTCATCAAAAAAATATAGATGAATAAATCAGTTTGTGGTATTTCATTCAGTGACATCTGTATTAGTCCCTTCTTACACTGCTGTAAAGAAATACTTGGCTGGGTGCAGTGGTTCACGCCTGTAATCCTAGCACTTTGGGAGGCCAAGGCAGGTGGATCTCTTGAGCCTAGGAGTTCAAGACCAGCCTGGGCAACATAGCAAAAACCGATCTCTACTAAAATACAAAAATTAGCCAGACATGGTGTGAGTGCCTGTAGCCCCAGCTACTCAGGAGACTGAGGTGGGAGGATCACCTAAGCGTGTGGAGGCTGAGGGTGTAGTGAGCTGTGACTGTGCCACTGAACTACAGCCTGGGTGACAGAGTGAGACCTTGTCTCAAAAAACAAAACAAAACAAAACAAAAACCCTGAGACTGAGTAACTTATAAAGAAAAGAGGTTTAATTGGCCCACAGTTCTGCAGGCTGCACAGGAAGTATAGCGGCTTTTGTTTCTGGGGAAGCCTCAGGAAACTTACAATTATGGCGGAAGGCAAAGGGGAAGCAGGCACATCTTATATGGCTGGAGCAGGAGGAAGAGAGAGAGGGAGAAGGTGCTACATACTTTTAAACAACCAGATCTCACCCGAACTCACTATTGCCATGACAGCACCAAGGGGGATGGTGTTAAACCGTGAGAAACTGTTCCCATGATCCAATGACGTCCCATCAGGCCCCACCTCCAACATTGGGGATTACAAGTTGACATAAGATTTGGGTGGGAACAGATCCAAACCATATCAACACCCTACACACCAATGAAAAGGAATGATCTACATCTATCTGCAACCATATGGATGAATCTTCTAAATATATGTTAAATGAAAGAGGAATGTACAGATACCAGTGGGTGGTGAGAACTGTCCACCCCAGGTGTAGGCAATGAGTGTGCATTGGCTGTAGAAAATTTAAAAATAATTATAAAACTGACTAAAATTAGTTTCTCTTCTTTTTTTTTTCTTTTTTGAGACAAGGTCTTGCTCTGTCACCCAGGCTGGAGTGCAGTGGTACAGTGGCGTGATCTTGGCTCACTGCAACCTCTGCCTCCCGGGGTCAAGTGATCCTCCCACCTGCAGCCTCCTGATTAGCTGGGACTATAGGCAGAAGCCACCACATCTGGCTAATTTTTGTATTTTTAGTAGAGACAGGGTTTCACCACGTTGCCCAGGCTGGTCTCAAACTCCTGAACTAAAGCAATGCAATCTGCCTGTGCTGGCCTCCTAAAGTGCTGGGATTACAGGTGTGAGCCACTGTGCCCAGTAATTTTTCTTCTTTTTGAATTCCATGTGCTATTGATTCAATGAGTAATAAAATATTTCTTCCTGCTGGGGCAGAGCACCCCTTCCCATTCCCGACCCCTACCCCATCACTGGAGTGAAAGAAGCTTGCCATAATAGTGTACATACTATGGCCGGGTATGGTGGCTCACACCTGTAATCCCTGCACTTTGGGAGGCCAAGATGGGTGGATCACGAGGTCAAGAGATCGAGACCATCGTGGCCGACATGGTTAAACCCCGTCTCTACTAAAAATACAAAAATTAGCTGGGTGTGGTGGCATGTGCCTGTAGTCTCAGCTACCCAGGAGGCTGAGGCAGGAGAATTGCTTGAACCCGGGAGGCGGAGGTTGCAGTGAGCTGAAAAAGCGCCACTGCACTCCAGCCTGGCAACAGAGTGAGACTCCGTCTCAAAAAAAAAAAAAAATTGTTTACATACTACATGATTCCATTTTAAAGTACAAAACCAGGCAAAACTAATCTATGCTGTTAGCATTCAGGATAGCTTTTTAAGTCTTTGAGATGGTGACTAGAATGAAGCATGAAGGCATTCTAGAAGCTGGAAATGCCCTGGATATTGGTTATAAGGGTGTGTTAAATGTGTTAAAATTCACTGAACTGTACCCTTATGATCTGTGCACTTCTTGTATGTTATATTCCAACAAAAATTTTTTTTTTTTTTGAGAAGGAGTCTGGCTCTGTTGCCCAGGCTGGAGTGCAATGGCACAATCTCGGCTACTGCAACCTCTGCCTCCCGGGTTCAAGCGATTCTCCTGCCTCAGCCTCCCGAGTAGAGCAGCTGGGATTACAGGCGTATGCCACCATGCCTGGCTAATTTTTGTATTTTTAGTAGAGATGGGGTTTCACCTTGTTGGCCAGGCTGGTCTTGAACTCCTGACCCCAAGTGGTGTGCCCAGCCTGGCCTCCCAAAGTGTTGGGATTACAGGCATGAGCCACTGCTCCTGGCCCCAATATAAAGTTTTTAAGAAAGTTATAACACATTAAAAAATTTAGATATACTTAAGAATTACAGTTTTGCCCAGGAATGTATTTCTGGCTTGATTTTAGAAAAAAAAAAAATACTTCTGTCTGCCTCAATGGAAATTTCCATCATAATTGCTTCTAACCAATAGTTTGAGAATCAATCCCTAAAAGTTCAGCACAGGCAGTTATTGAGTGCCTGCCATGTGGGAGAAATACTGAGCATCATGGTTTGATGGTAAGAAAGAAGGGCCATCTCTTAAAGCTGACTTAAAGCAGTTAAAATGCTTGGGACTTAATTACATGAAACTAGGCATTTACCTTTAAACACAGATGGCAGATAACCTGCAATTCTCTTTTGCTATTTCTGCGGAGTGTGAATTCCTTTTGAGGTCACTAACTTTGCAGGAGAGGGACAGAGCTTGAGCTGGGAAGAATGAAGGTAGGTGGGTGGAGCAGATGAAGACCAAAGGAAGAAGCTGAGAAAAAGGCCAGAGAGAGGAAAAAGGTCATTGCTCCTTCTATCCCCATCAACCAGAGTGGATAAAGGGATAAAATAGAAACAAACCATCATTCATCATCACTGAATAAGAGAAAGGACATCTCTTCACTTCAACAAAAAGTATTTTTTTTTTGTTAACTGAGGGTGTTAACTGAGGATAAAGGACTCTTCTTTAAATTGAGTAAGTTTAACTTTATGAAAAAGCCACTTTTTAAATACTTTTTTTGGTATTTTTCTGTGAATTGGTAAAAAAAAAAATTCATCACTGACTGATGTTGAGAGGGACCACTGTTCTAGTCCAGAGATTGGCTTTTTCCATAAAGGGTAAGAAAATAAATGTCTTAAGCTTTGGGGGCCATGTTTTCTGTTGCAACTACTCAATTCTGCCATTGTAGCATGAAAGCAGCTATGGAAAATATGCAAATGAATGAGAATGGCTGTGTTCCACTAAAACCTTATTTGAAGACACTAAAGTTGCTATGACTGAGCAAAATTCAACAAAATTGAGATCCAAAAATTTATACAAAAGATCAATGAAAGGAAAAGTTGGTTATTTGAAAGGATAAACAAGATTGATAGACCACTACCTAGATTAACAAAGAAAAAAGGAGAGATGTTCCAAATAAGCACAATTAGAAATGACAAATGTGACATTACCACTGATCTCACAGAAATAAAGATTATCAAGACCATTATGAACATTTATGCACACAAACTAAAAAATCTAGAGGAAATAGATAAAGTCCTGGAAACACACGACTTCTCAAGATTGAATCAGAATTAATTAAACCCTGAACACACCAATAATAATATTGAATCAGTAATAAAAAACTACCAACCAAAAAAAGCCTTGAACCAGATGGATTCACAGCCAAATTTTGTCAGATGTACAAAAAAGAACTGGTACCAATCCAACTATTACAAAATATCAAGGAAGAGAGACTCCTCCCTAACACATTCTGCATAAACAGCATCATCCTGATACAAAAATTTCACAAAGACACAATAAAAAAAGAAAACTACAGGCAAATATTCCTGATGAACACAGACACAAAAATCCTCAACAAAATACTTGTAAAGAGAATTCAGCAGCACATCAAAAAGTTAGTTCACCATGATGAAGTAGGCTTCATTCCCGGGATGCAAGGTTGACTGAACACACATAAATCAATAAATGTGATTCACCACATAAACAGAATTAAAACCATATGATCAGATGCAGAAAAAACATTTGGTAAAATCCAACATCACTTCATGATAAAAACCCTCAACAAACAAGGCATTACAGGAAATTACCTCGAAATAATAAGAGCTATCCATGACAACCCAGAGCCAACATCATATTGAACAGGAAAAAGTTGGAAGCGTTTCTCCAAGAACTGAAACAAACAAGGATACTTGCTCTCACCACTTCTATTCAATGTAATACTGGAAGTCCTAGCTAGAGCAGCAATCAGGCAAGAGAAAGAAATAAAAGTCATCCAAATAGGGAAAGAGGAAGTCAAATTATCTCTCTTCACTGATGAAATGATTCTATACCTAGAAAACCCTGAGGACTCTGTGAAGTCTCCTAGAACTGATAAATGACATCAGTAAAGTTTCAGGATACAAAAAACCATGTACGAAAACCGGTAGCATTTCTATACACCAATAACATTCAAACTGAGAGCCAAATTAAGAATACAATCTCATTTACAATAGTTAAACACAAAAATACCTAGGAGTACATCTAACAAAGGAGATAAAAGATTTCTATAAGGAGAACTACAAAACACCGCTGAAAGAAATCATAGATGACATGAACAAATGAATAAACATTCCATGCTCATGGGTTGGAAAAATCAATATTGTTAACATGGCCATACTACCCAAAGCAATCTACAGATTAAATACTATTCATATCAAACTACCAGTCATTTTTCTTTCTTTCTTTTTTTTTTTGAGACAGAGTCTTGCTCTGTTGCCCAGGCTGGAGTGCAGTGGTGTGATCTTGGCCTACTGCAACCTCTGCCTCCAGGGTTCAAGGCATTCCCCTGCCTCAGTCTCCCATGTATCTGGAATTACAGACACACACCACCACGCCTGGCTGATTTTTATATTTTTTAAGTAGAGATGGGGTTTTGCCATGTTTGCCAGGCTGGTCCCAAACTCCTGACCTCAAGCAGTCCGCCTACCTCGGCCTCCCAAAGGTGTGAGCCACTGCACCCAGCCTCATTTTTCACAGGATTAGAAAAACTATCTGAAAATGTATATGCAACCAAAAACGAGCCTGAATAGCCAGGGCAATCCTAAACAAAAAGAATAAAGTTGGAGGCATCACCTTACCCAACTTCAAACTATACTACAAGGCTTTAGTAACCAAAACAGCATAATAAAAGCAGTCATAGATGAATGGAACAGAATAGAGAACTCAGAAATAAAGTTGCACACCTATAACCATCTGATGATCAACAAAGTTGACAAAAATAAGCAATGGAGAAAGGACTCCTTATTCAATAAATGGTGCTGAGATAACTGGCTATCCATATGCCAGAGAATGAACCTGGACCCCTTGCTATCAGCGTATATAAAAATTAACTCAAGATGGATCAAATATTTAAATGTAAGACCTCAAACTATAAATATCCTAGAATAAAACCTAGGAAATACCCTTTTCGACATCAGCTTTGGCAAATAATTTATGACTAAGTCCTCAAAAGCAATTGCAACAAAAACAGAAATTGACAGTTGGACCTAATTAAACTAAAGAGTTTCTCCATAGCAAAATAAACTACCAACAAATTAAACAGACAACCTATAGAATAGGAGAAAATATGCACAAACTATGCATCCTGCAGAGGTCTAATATCCAGAATCTATAAGGAAATTAAACAAATCAACGAGAAAAAACCAAATAACCCCATTAAAAAATGAGCAAAGGACATGAACGGACACTTCTCAAAAGAAGACATACAAGCAGCCAAAAACATAAGAAAAAATGCTCATCATCACTAATCATCAGAGCAATGCAATCCAAACCCACGAGATACTATCTCACACTTGTCAGGATTGCTAATATTAAAAAGTCAAAAAACGACAGGCGTGGTGGCTTACATCTGTAATCCCAGCACCTTGAGAGGCCGAGGCGGGTGGATCACGAGGTCAGGAGTTCAAGACCAGCCTGGCCAAGATGGTGAAACCCCGTCTCTACTAAAAATACAAAAATTAGCCAGGTGTGGTGGTGGGTGCCTGTAATCCCAGCTACTCGGGAGGCTGAGGCAGAGAATTGTTTGAACTCGGGAGACGGAGGTTTGCAGTGAGCTGAGATTGCGCTACTATACTCCAGCCTGGGCAACAGAGTGAGACGCCGTTTCAAAAAAAAAAGTAAAAAAATAATAGATGTTGGCAAGGATACAGAGAAAAGGAAATGCTTATTTACTGTTAGAATGTAAATTAGTTCAGCCACTGTGGAAAGCACTTTGAAGATTTCTCAAGGAACTAAAAACAGGCTGAACATAGTGGCTTATGCCTGTAATTCCAGCATCTCGAGAGGCTGAGGCAGGAGGCTTGCTTGAGCCCAGGAGTTCAAGATTAGCCTGGGGAAGATGGCGGGAACCCATCTCTACAAAAAATTAAAAAATTAGCTGGGTGCTGGTAGCATGTGTCTGTGATTTGACTATTTGGGAGGCTGAGGCAGGAGGATCCCTTGAACTCAGGAATTCAAGGTGGCAGTGAGCTATGACTGCATCACTGCATTCCAGCCTGGGTGACAGAGTGAGACCCTGTCTCTAAAAAAAGAGAGAAAAAAAGAACAAAAACAGAGCTACCATTTGAGCCGTTTGATCTCAATACTGAGTATATACCCAAAAGAAAATAAACTGTCCTACCAAAAAGGAACATACATTCATTGCAGCACTATTCACAATAACAAAGACAGGGAATCAACCTAGGTGCCTATCGACAATGGATTGGGTAAGGAAAATGTGGTACATATATACCACAGAATACTATGTAGCCATAAAAAAGAATGAAATCAGTCATGTCCTTTGCAGCAACATGGAAGCAGCTGGAGGCCATTATCCTAAGTGAATGAATGCAGAAGCAGAAAGCCAAATATTGCACATTCTTACTTATAGGTGGGAGTTAAACATTGGGTGCTCATGGACTTGAATATGGGAAGTGGGGATTGGGGACTACAAGATGGGTGAAGGAAGGAGTGGGGCAAGGACTGAAAAACTACCTATTGGGTACTATGCTCACTACCTGGGTGACAGTTTCAATTGTACCCCAAACCTCAGCAACAGGAAATATACTCTGATTAACAGACCTGCACATGTACCCCTTGAATCTAAAATAAAAGTTGAAAAAAGAGATTAAACAAATTCATATGATTTATTGGGTCACAAAATGTTATTCTTGTTTTGATCCCCCCACCCCAAACATTTAAAAAGGTAAAAATCAAAAACAAGAAATGGGGAAACGATTCCCTATTTAATAAATGGTGCTGGGAAAACTGGCTAGCCATATGCAGAAAGCTGAAACTGGATCGCTTCCTTACACCTTACACAAAAATTAATTCAAGATGGATTAAAGACTTACATGTTAGACCTAAAACCATAAAAACCCTAGAAGGAAACTTAGGCAATACCATTCAGGACATAGGCATGGGCAAGGACTTCATGTCTAAAACACCAAAAGCAATGGCAACAAAAGCCAAAATTGACAAATGGGATCTAATTAAACTCAAGAGCTTCTGCACAGCAAAAGAAACTACATCAGAGTGAACAGATAACCTACATAATGGGAGAAAATTTTTGCAATCTACTCATCTGACAAAGGGCTACTATCCAGAATCTACAATGAACTCAAACAAATTTACAAGAAAAAAACAACCCCATCAAAAAGTGGGCGAAGGATATGAACAGACACTTCTCAAAAGAAGACATTTATGCAGCCAAAAGACACATGAAAAAATGCTCATCATCACTGGCCATCAGAGAAATGCAAATCAAAACCACAATGAGATACCATCTCACACGAGTTAGAATGGCCATCATTAAAAAGTCAGGAAACAACAGGTGCTGGAGAGGATGTGGAGAAATAGGAACATTTTACACTGTTGGTGGGACTGTAAACTAGTTCAACCATTGTGGAAGTCAGTGTGGTGATTCCTCAGGGACCTAGAACTAGAAATACCATTTGACCCAGCCATCCCATTACTGGGTATATACCCAAAGGATTATAAATCATGCTGCTATAAAGAAACATGCACATGTATGTTTATTGCAGCACTATTCACAACAGCAAAGACTTGGAACCAACCCAAATGTCCAACAATGATAGACTGAATTAAGAAAATGTAGCACATATACACCGTGAAATACTATGCAGCCATAAAAAATGATGACTTCATGTGCTTTGTAGGGACATGGATGAAGCTGGAAACCATCATTTTCAGCAAACTATTGCAAGGACAAAAAACCAGACACCGCATGTTCTCACTCATAGGTGGGAATTGAACAATGAGAACACATGGACACAGGAAGGGGAACATCACACACCGGGGCCTGTTGTGGAGTTGGGGGAGGGGAGAGGGATAGCATTTGGAGATATACCTAATGTTAAATGACAAGTTACTGGGTGCAGCACACCAACATGGCACATGTATACATATGTAACTAACCTGCACGTTGTGCACATGTACCCTAAAACTTAAAATATAATAATAAAAAAAAGGTAAAAATCATTCTTAACAGATTGCAAAAGCAAACTGTACAGAAACAGGTGGTGGGCAGGGTTTGTTCCACAGGCCACAGTTTGAGTTCCATGGCTTTCTTTATTCTGCCATCTCCACCTTTTCTCAAGCAGTTTTCATTGCATATCCTGGCCTCCTGGCCCCCTCGCATGCTTCTGTCTCTTTCTCTTCTTTATTTTTATTATTTATTTATTTATTTATTTTGAGACAGAGTCTTGTTCTGTTTCCCAGGCTGGAGTGCAGTGGCGCAATCTCTGCTCACTGCAAGCTCTGCCTCTCTGGTTCAAGCGATTCTCCTGCTTTAGCCTTCCGAGTAGTTGGGTTACTGGCGCCCCCCACCATGCCCGGCTAATTTTTGTAGTTTTAGTAGAGACGAGGTTTCACCATGTTGGCCAGGCTGGTCTTGAACTCCTGACCTCAAGTGATCCATCCCCCCAAAGTATTGGGATTACAGGCGTGAGCCATTGCAGCTGGCCTCTTTCTCTTCTTTAAAAGATCTACTCTCATCTCCTCACTGAGTTTTGCCCAAACATTCTAGGTAGATCTCCTTCCCATGATGACTTATGGTAGCTCTGCCCTTTGTTAGCTGAGAGACCTTCGGCAATTGCTTCTCACCTGGAAGATGGGGATAATACTGGTACCGACCTCAAGGTATTGTGTGTATATGTGTATTACATGAGATAATGCATGCAAAGCACTTAGCACAGTACCAGACTTACTTTAAGTGCTCACTAATGTTATTTAAGGTAGTGAATATTATTTAAGTGCTTTGCAATAGTTTTGCTTGTTCATTTAAAGCTTCCTCTGATATTTTTCTTATGTTCTCACAACACCAATAGCCTAGGGCTCTACTTAAAGCAGGTGCTACAAATATTGACATCAAAAATTAGTTAAATTTAAGAAAATCAGCCTGGATGTGGTAGCTGATGCCTGTAATCCCAGAACTTTGGGAGGCCAAGGAGGGAGGATTGCCTGATCCCAGGAGTTCAGGACCAGCCTGGGCAATATCTCAAAAAAAGAAAGAAAAATTAAAAATTTCCACAAGCAGTTATATGGGAGGCAGGAACTGTAGCAGCCGCCAGGTTGTACCAAGTGCTGAAACTGATAGGGCAGAGTTGTAAGGCAGTTTCAAGCTCTCAATTTAGTGCTTCTTCACAGCCCTATTCTTTTAAGTATTTGTCCAAGATCTCTTCAGTAGGGGAAAGATTAAACACTCTTTGTGGGAGAGGCAGAGCCACCCACTCAGACTCTTGTCTGTTATCAAGAGTACTTCCACTCTGGCCTCAAACTTGTTCAACTTTCCCAACAAATCAAATTTAGACGTGAACTAGACTTGCTCTGCTTAACAGGCAGTTTAGTGACCACTTGCTTCTACCTTTACACACTCACATGGAATCTTACTAGTCCATTTTCACACTGCTATAAAGATATACCCAAGACTAGGTAATTTATAAAGGAAATAGATTTAATTGACTCACAATTCTGTCTAGGTGGGGAGGCCTCAGGAAACTTACAATCATGGCAGAAGGGGAAGTTGGCACATCTTACATGGTGGCAGGTGAGAGAGAGGAGCAAAGGAGGAACTTCCAAATGCTTATAAAACCATCAGATCTTGTGAGAACTCACTATCATAAGAACAGCATGGGGGAAACTGCCCCCATGATCCAATTACCTGCCTCCCTTGACATGTGGGGATTATAATTCGAGATGAGATTTGGGTGGGGACACACAGCCAAACCATATCAATCTCCAAGTGACTTACTAATGTATTCCTTCCCACCACAAGACATGCTCTTCATGCAAGGAATTTCAGTAAACACAGCCCTATTCTCTTATCTGGTTACATTTCTTGTGATATCTTAGTGCTCACCTCCCTCCTAACCCCACTCAGTTTGTAGAAATCAGGTTGCTAGTAGGTTTTGACAAAAGGAGAATAAAAGTCTTATCCCCTTGGGGAGGGCAATGCAGAGAGTCTGTCTCAGATTTGGTCCCCTGGTCTGGCCTATGGAGAGAGGGATGGCAAGCAGAGATGAAGGTGTTTCAGAAGGCGCTCTGTGAGATATGTGATAAACTGCCATTTGGATGTTAATGAGGGACACTGGGTGGAGTGAGAGAGGCCTTTCCCCATCTGTGTCATTCTCTCTGTGGCTTCAGTGTTTGACAACTTGGAGGGTGGGCAACAAATGTGCCACTTTCAGGGGAAAGGACTGACAGTGGGCTTCAGAGGTGTGGCAAGGTGTCTTTGTGCAATTTTGCAGGTGAAGAAGACTCGGCCAATAAGCCTTACCCAGGAGTTTGTCCAGTGGCAATGCAACAAGGTAGCACGGCCTAGAAACTATTGGGGTGGAGGGTGTGTGGATATTAGGAACACGGGGCTTTGGTGTCAGGTGCTCTACCGCTTACTAAAACCCTTGGACTATTTCTTCATCTAGAAAACAGAGATAATGGGCCGGGCACGGTGGCTCACACCTGTAATCCCAGCACTTTGGGAGGCCGAGGCCGGTGGATCACTTGAGGTCAGGAGTTCGAGACCAGCCTGGCCAACATGGTGAAACTCCGTCTCTACTAAAAACACAAAAAATTACCTGGGCGTGGTGGCAGGCACCTGTAATCCCAGCTACTCCGGAGGCCAAGGCAGGAGAGTTGCTTGAACCTGGGAGGCAGAGGTTGCAGTGAGCTGAGATGGTGCCATTGCACTCCAGCCTGGGCAACAACAAGAGTGAAACTCCAACTCAAAAAAAAAAAAAAAAAAGAAAGAAAATAGATATAATGATAATACCTATGTAGGACAGTTGAAAAGATTAAGTAAGATAATACATGTAAAGCATGTGGCAAGTGATATTAAAATATCAGAAAGCAACATGGGTCAGTAACATATGACATATTCCTGGCAATGTGACCCCACTGGAATCTATAAAGAGTGGCCTGGCATTTAGACACATGAGTCACATATGTTTCCATGTGCCTTGAGTTGCCATGAAATTAAGTGATTTTTTTTTTTGTCCCTTAAAAACCACATCCTTTTAATAGAAAACTACAGCAAATACCATGCAATATGTGAAAAGGACCACTTATTTATTATCACTACATGTCAGAAACCATCTGGACCATTTTCTTGCAGCAGATGTTTGCCAAATTAACTTTGGAAACAGAATTCATGTAGGGTATTTCTGTTAGCACAATGAATGTAAGTAGGACAAATGCAGATACATTTTTCAAAACAATATTAAGCCTTATTACAGTCAGGTAAAAAAACCATGGTGACTGCACACATTCTTATAATTTGCTCAGAGAGCTCAGGAAGTGTCAATAAACTATCTCTTAATTTAAAAGAGATTAATTTAGAAATGATATGAAATGCAAAAGATTTAAAACCTTGACCATGAAAGCTTAAAAACATTTAATTCATATTGTTCATGGTAATGAGGCAGGAGAATGGGGAATTAGGGTAGCCAAGGGCTGGGGCATAAGCAAGAGAACAGCAGGTGCAGCCAGTTCTAGGCAAGATTGGGCAGCACACAGGCCTCATCTTCACCCCTGTGATAAGACGGAAGTCTCCACTTCAGCCTCTGATTGGTCGCAGGCCAATCCTTTATAGGATATCACCAATTGGAGGCCCCTAAAGGGCACTTAGGGGTGTTACCAAATTCTTTTGGCTTTATACAAATCCTGGGGAGCCTTGCAACAGAAGAGGCTCTCCAGCCGCTTGCTTGAGCTCGCTCCCATTTTGTAATTGTACTTCCGCCTCTTCATAAATCTGTGCCTTCGTTACTCTGTTCTTTATTGCTTTGTTTGCCTTTTGTTGCTTTGTTCCTTTGTTGCTTCGTTCCCTTGTTGCTTCATTCTCTTTTTGCTTTGTTTGTGCGTTTTGTTCAAATTTTTGTTCAACACACCAAGAACCTGGACAACTCACAGTTAAGACCTTCCATCTGGTAAAAGTGATGGTAATTGTTAAGACATATGTTCTATTTATTTATTTATTTGTTTATTTATTTTTGAGACAAGGTCTCACTCTGTTGCCCGGGCTTTTGTAGTGGCACAATCATAGCTCACTACAGCCTCGATCTCCCTGGCTTAATCAATCCTTCTGCCTCAGCCTCCCAAGTAGCTGGGACAACAGGTGTGTACCCCCATGCCTGGCTACTTTTTAAATTTTTTATAGAGATGGGGTCTCACTATGTTGCCTAGTCTGGTCTCCAACTCCTGTGCTAAGTGATCCTCCTGCCTTGGCCTCCCAAAATGCTGGGATTACAGGCCTGAGCCACTGCGTCCAGCCTGCTGATTGTTAAAGAGTATTTTATTCTCTTTCATTCACAGATGTACTGTGTTAGGGACTGGGAAATAAAAAAATCTATTGAGAATTAGCTTCTGCCCTCAGGGATCTTTTAGTCTCATAGAGAAACAGGTAAACAAATATAGACAGTGTTATCCAGGGCTAAGATTCAGGTATGCCTCAGATCCTAGGGAAGCCCCCCAAAAACAACCATAACAACCAGACCAATGGGTATAAACATATGATTTGATAGAAGTAAGACCTGTTTTTGATAGATCAGTAGGGTGACTATAGTTTACAACAACCTATTGTACATTTCAAATAGCTAGGAGAGGCTAGGCATGGTGGCTCATGCCTGTAATCCCGGCACTTTGGGAGGCCGAGGTGGGCGGATCACTTGAGGTCAGGAGTTTGAGATGAGCCTGACCAACACGGTGAAACTCTGCTTCTACTAAAAATACAAAAATTAGCTGGGTGTGGTGGTGCATGCCTGTAATCCCAGCTACTCGGGAGGCTGAGGCAGGAGAATTGCTTGAACCCGGAGGTGGAGATTGCAGTGAGCCGAGATTGAGCCACTGCACTCCAGCCTGGGTGACAGAGAGAGACTCCATCTCAAAAAACAAAACAAAACAAAAAAAAACACCTCCCCCCACCCCCGACAAAAAACAAAACAAAACAAAAAAAAAACAAAACCCAAATAGCTAGGAGAGAATAATTCAAGTCTCTAGCTTAAAGACAAATATTTAAGGTGATTAATATCCCAACTACACTGATGAGATCTTCACTGTACATCTGTTATGCATCAATAAAAAAATTGTTTAAAAGATTGAAATTCCCCAGGCCTCCCTCAAAAAACCAGACCAAGGGCCAGGGAATACTTCTTGAAGGACGTGAAATTTGAGAGACAGGGAAAGTTTGCAGAGCAAAAGCAAGCAGGAAGTGGGGGTAGGGGAGTAAGATCATCAGCAACTTGTCAATTTTTGTAATCACCACAGTACAATAAGATAATTATGACTGTAATATCTAATAATTAAAAATTTTCAATCGCTAATATTTTCAACAGGCTTATTTTAAAATCCAATATTTGCCTTCTGTAGAGTCAGAATTCTGGAACATAAAAGGATGTTTACCATCTTTTTAGTCTATTTCCAATATGAAAAACCTTTAAAAAATACCAAGGTAATACATATTTAATATAGAACATTTAGATAAGCAAAAGAAGGAAAAAATTCACCTTTAATCCTATTCTAAACTGTCATGAATATTTTGTAACTAAATTCTTGCAAATGCTCATGATTATTTCCTTGAACTAGATTAGGATAAACTCCAAGATGAGAATGCAAATTTAAAGAAAATGATTATTTTAAGGGCTTTGACTAATGTTAACAAAGACGGAAAGATTGTGTTCATATTTGAAAGCCTAAGCTCTGGAGTAGATTGCCGAGTTTTTGTTGCTACTGTCCACCATTACTAATTCTCGCCATTTGGCAGATCCTGTATCTTTCTAGAAGCTTTTGCTTCTTTATTGACCAGTGGAGAATCTCAGCTTTGGCTCATCATCTATCATGCCTGTACCATGGAGTGGCCATTAGGATTACAATGGATAATCTCTGTAAAGAATTTATTACAGTGCTAACACACATTAAGCATTCAGTAAAGTTCAACTATTATTACTATTACTGTTGTTATTATCACATTCTTCCTAGCAATACAGAAAAATGCCCATTTTGCTCTGCCTTTGATAATAGTGGCAAAAAAAGCATTTCTAGCTTGATAGATGAAAATGGTGCTTGCTTTAATTTGCAATTCTTTATTAACCCACAACCCCCTTCTTAAAAAAAAAAAGATGAAGGGCTCAAGGACACCCAACAAATTATTAGAAGAATTAAAACTAGCACCCCGATTGCCTGATTTATAGACCATTGCTCTTGCTAGTTCATTGCTCAGCCTTGAAAGGCAATATAGCTCATTTGTCTAATGTGGCCCCTGAAGTCAGCCAGCCTGGGTTCAAATCTCAGCCCTTACTACTTTCCAGCTCTGTGATCTTGGACCTTTCCTTCCTGCAAAGAGAGAGTTAGTAACTTCTCTGGGCCCTAGTTTCTTGCTTTATAAAACAAAGATACTGAAATTAAAGGTCATTCTAAGTATTAAATTAGTTAATTCATATTAAGTGCTTAGAACAGGGACTAGCAAGTATGAAGTGCTCATGGGGCTCTAGCCTGTTGGATGTGCCACCCTCCTGGATCACACTGACTTTCTTATAAGGCATTTGCCTGCTCATATAGCTCAACTGCCTTTAACACTGGAGTTGGGAGAGTAGTTTGGGAACTGGTGTGGACTTCTCCCAAAGTTAGGCAGCTGTAATGAAATAGAATGCATAGCTGATCACAAGGTCTTTGCCTGGAAGGCAGGTTCAGAGTGACATGATTAATTTATTTCACAGAAGCTTCCATATTTATGAACATTCAGAGACAGGAACAACACACAGAACCAGAGCAAAAGCACACTCACTCCACCCATTCCCAGCAATCTGCTGTTCCTTAGGTTTACCCACATATTGACTTAAAAGTCTTTCAGGGGCCAGGCGCGGTGGCTCACACCTGTAATCCCAGTACTCTGGGAGGCTGAGGCAGGCAGATCACTTAAGGTCAGGAGTTCGAGACCACCCTGGCCAACATGGCAAAATCCCATCTCTACTAAAAATAAAAAAATTAGCTTGGCATGGTGGCAGGATCACACCTGTAATCCCAGCTACTTGGGAGGCTGAGGCAGGAGAATTGTTTGAACCCCGGAAATGGAGGTTGCAGTGAGCCAATCGTGCCACTGCACTCCAGCCTGGGTGACAGAGCAAGACTCCATCTCAAAAACAAACAAACAAACAAACAACAAAAAAAAAGTCTTTCAGAACCTAACCTGTCTACAAGTAGAAAAACTTGTTAAATCCCAGAGTGGAATCAGTTATAGAATCTAGCTGGGATTTTTCTTTGTCCTAACCATAGTCTTTTAAAAACAGTGTCTATTTACAGAGACAAATACTGGAACCTGGTTCTTATTGTGACTGCTTGTGTTTCAAATCAAAGACATTTTAGAATCATAAGGAAAAAGTTGCAAAGACAAATTTTTAAATAACCATGGATGTCCAATTTCACTAAAAATAAAATCTCTATTTTAAAAATAAAGAAGATAACATAACCTTCCTTAAAGATGCTGATATAGCCATTAGTCTGACAAATATGCATTACATCTAAATGCTGAATATTGTGCAACTTAACTTTTGCCATTTCACATATTTCTGAGAGAATTACAGACAATTATCAGTTATTTGTTTTTAAGATAAAAATATTAACCCTATTCTTTAAAAAAATCTTTTATAATTGAAATTATCTAAAACACCAATGATTCTAATCAATATGCAGGCATTTTGCAAGCAAGTATTTATAGCAAAAATGTTCATTTAAAAAAATGTTTGAGTAGAAAAAGTCCAGGAGCAAAAAAATAAACTTCCATTCTCACAGTATGGAAGTATTGAAAGTGAAAATCCATCAGAAAAATAGGTTGATGGCTTGGTCCACCCATACCCATACTGACAGTAAATAAGTGAATTTAAAATGAAGATGAGAAACCTTTGTGCAGAGGTAGGAGGTTAATTATCAGTGAAACATTGTAAAGCAATCTTTCAGAAATCACTGGGGCTAGACACAGTGGCTCATGCCTGTAATCCCAACACTTTGGGAGGCTGAGGCAGGAGGATCTCTTGAACCCAGGAGTTCAAGACGATCCTGGGCAACAAAGCAAGATCCAGTCTGTACAAAAAATTAAAAAAATTAGTCAGTCATGGTGACATATACCTGTAGTTCCAGTTACTCAGGAGGCTGAGGTGGGAGGATTGCTTGAGCCCAGGAGTTCAAGGTTTCAGTGAGCTATGGTCATGCCATTGCACTCCAGGCTGGGTGGCAGCGTGAGACCCTGTCTCAAAAAAAAAAAAATCCTTGGACACTTTACTAAGCTCTGACATCAGTATTAGTCACCAAGATAAAGTGTGTGCTGTAGAGTGACATGATGGCATTGTTTTATAGGCAGAGTGCTTAGAAAACACCCAAAGTAGAGGTCTTTAAGGGAGGGCACTGTCTAATTGATTGCTCAGATATGTTGCCACATTTAGAAATACATTAGCCAGTATAACTCGTTTTCAGTTATTTCTGATTTTCCTTTTGTTGGGGTTGAATTCAAATCAGGAATAAATGAAAATAAGTTATTAAATTAAATTTCATATAAGAGAGCACTAGTATTTTACATAAACAATGTGACAAACTAATCCAATTACAAGGATCATCAGAGAAATTTTTTAAAGTATGGATTGTTTTCATAATTATGTCACGTCTCTTCTTAAGCTCTTCACCTTACTTTTTATATATCTGGTATTAATATTCCTACCTTAAATCATTTTTGATTAACATTTGTTTTATACTTTATATCTTTTTCCTACTTTTTATTTTCAACCTTTGAGATAAATATTATATAGCTGGGTTTTATTTTTTCATCTAATTCAAGGGCTTGGAAATCCTTCCTTTCTTTCTTTCTCCTCTTCTCTTCTCTACTCTTCTTTTCTCTTGTCTTCTCTTCTTTTCTTTCTTCTTTTTAAGGGACAGGGTCTCTATCACCCAAGCTGGACTGCAATGGCCTGATCAAAATTCACTGTAGCCCCGATTTCCTGTGCTCAAGTGATCCACCCACCTGAGCCCCTGGAGTAGCTAGAACTACAGGGGGATGCCATGCCACCACACTAGCTAATGTTTGTATTTTTTGTAGACAGAGGTCTCCCTTTGTTGCCATCCTCCCACTTTGGCCTCCCAAAGTGCTGGGATTACAAGAGTGGGCCACTGTGCCAGGCTTGGAAACTGTTTCTTATCCACCAAAATCTATTTTTCTATTCTTCTACAGTAATAAAGTTGTAACTGGGCTGTTGCTATCCAATAAGGAGCTACATTTCCCGGCCTCCCCTTGCAGCTTGGATTCTAAGTTGTTGCCAGTGAAATGTGAGTAGATGTGATATCTGCATTTGCTGGCTTTGCTTGTATGCCTTTTGAGTCAGAACTTAGATATGCCTTTTCCTATCTTCAAGTATGCAGATGAGGACAACACTGTGAAGGATTGTAGACAAGTGATATGGAAAGAAGTTGGATCTCTGGATGGACTGGGGAACAGAGTTGCCCATTGATTTAGAGCATTGACTTCTGCTATATTATATTCTTTAAGACATTAGATTATTGTTGGATCTTTTTATTTTTTATTTGAGACAAGATCTCACTTCATCACCTAGACTGGAGTGGAGTGGTGCAGTCATGGCTCACTGCATCCTCCACACTTTGGGCTCAGGTGATCCTCTCACTTCAGCCTTCCAAGTAGCTGGGACTACAGACACAAACCACCATGTCCAGCTAATTAAAAAAATTTTTTTTTTGCAGAGACAGCGTCTCCCTACGTCACCCAGGCTGGGTCTTTTTGTTATAGTAAACTTATCTTGCCCCGTGGCACTTACCATATAACATATTCTACACAGGATTTTCATCTATTTTATTCTGTTTCCTATTGATTTGTATCTATTAGATTAAAAGCCCCTTGAAGAAAGAGGACATGACTTCTACTTTTGTACACCATGTTAGTGCTGAGCATATTTTCTCTTTGAACAATTATTTTCTGAGCCCCTAGTGGGTGCCAGGAAATGTACTAGGAAGTAGGCGCATAGTGGGGAACAAACAGAAAAGTTTCCCACTCTTTAGTATTGCGGGGAGCTGGACATCAAACAAACAGAATAAATATGTAATTATGATAAAGAAAAGTACAGGGCATTCTGAGACCTAATTTATATTGGGAGCTCAGAAAGACTTCTCTGAGGAAGTGATTTTTCAGTTGAGACTTGATGGCTGAATAAGAGTTAGGTGAAGAGTGGAAGGGAAGACCACTGCAGACACGGAACAGCGTAGGCTAAAATCAGCGGCAAAGACCGTGGTGCGTTCACAGAACTAAGTGAAGGTCAGTTAGGTTGAGTGTGGTGAGTGAAGTGGAAACTGGGGTGAAATGAGCCTGGAGGAGTTGTCAGAGGCCCAAAGATACAGTGTCTTGAAAGATTTGATATCTCATTCCAGTCTTGGCAGCCACTGAGGGATTTTGATTTAGTTTGCACTTAAAAACATTTCTCTGGATTCCGGGCGAAGGACTGATTATAAGGGAGAGAGAATGGGAATAAACCGATAACCGGAAGCGCCTTGGCAAGAAATGACTGGCCTGGAACGGGGTGGTAGCCATGGGGAGAGAGGGAAGAGGAGGGACTCAAGATGTAGTCTGGAGGTGGAAGTAGCAGGACTTGGAAACACCATGTCTGGAGGAGGGGTGGTGGAGGAGGGGAAGGTGGCAACAAATCATTCTTAAACTGATTTATTCATTTCTTTCACCCACTTAAATGGAGGAGGAAAACGGTCTCATGGATCTTTCTTCTGTGATTTTCTTTGAGTAAACACCTACCCTATAGCCACCTAAACCTGGCTGTCCCACCTGAAGTATTCCATTCTGCATTCTATCTTGGGCTAGTGGAATTTTCCTTTCCAATTGGATTGTTAGATTGTGCGAGGGAGAGAACTGTGTTGCTTTCATCTCCTGTCCTACATAGCACCTAGCATGGTGCTTTGCACAAAGCAGATGCTGAAAATCATTTCTGAAATACATTTCTTTTGAGTGCTTTGTAAGAAATATATTTTTCTTCAGCTGCACAAGAAAAATTTTATTTTCCTTTAATCTTTCAGTTTTTAGCCCACTGGTAAACTGCAGTGCATTTGGGATATTGGTTATACATTCAAGTGAATTTTTCCTTTCCTCTTTGATTTTAGTGCATAGTAGAATCAAGTTGTTGGACCAGTAAAAAGCCCAGTGCCTCATCCAAGTCTGGTATTCATATCTGTGAGGCGAGAACTACTGACGAGCACACTGAAACATTTTGCACATGTGTTTTTCTCTTTTGCCTCTGTGGTAAGGCATTTTCCTAGCTGTGCTTTGGATTTTTCCCATTCCAGTTTTGAAATTTCCACATGGGATTTAGCCACTTGGTGAACTGCTCCCAGATCCCCTGCATACTATCAGAGTCAGCTTCAGCCATAAGATTCTTGGTATTTTTCTGGTTCTTTGAGCCTGTCTTCACTGTCCCACCTCACTGGCTTCATTGCCTTTATTCTTTCCCAATATTTCATGGTTGTAACCTGTGAACTTTTTCTTTCAACAGTTCTCTATCCTCAGGAAAGCACTCTGTCTTGTCTGTTCCATGGTTTTTGATTTTGACTCTGTTGCTAGCCAGCTGCGACAGTTGCCACTTGAACCAGTGTGGGCTATTTTTCTTTAGCTGTGTCTGTTTCTCGTCTTCCTCTGCCTTGACATTGTTTCAGACATAGTTTTTAATTCAACAGAGTTTTTCTCGTAATTCTTAGATGCTGATTCCAGTCTGTCTCTTTAAAATAAAGCCAATTTTGTCCATTTCTTTATTTTTTCTATTTGGCAATGTTGAGATTGCCACTGCTCTTGACAGCTGCTATTCAGTATGTCATTACTCAGCCTTGGAAGTAATTTTAGAATGTCTTGTGCCCCTGACTCTGGAACACTGTGTCCCAAGGGTGGTGCATCCGAAGGATGTGGGGATGACCTGAAGAAGAATCTGTGACATTTGTACAGTGCCTTACAAGTTACAGGGGACCTTTAAGTATGTGATCTTGCTTAGTGCTTACAATAAGCATATGAGGGTGGCAGGGCATTATAATGCCTGTTGTAAAGTCAAGGAACTTGAGATCATAAAGTTAAGTATTTTCCCAAAGTTGCCCAGCTAGAAGGTGATGGAGAAAGGTTTGAACATATGTCCCACCAGTGCTCTTCATGCTATAGAATTCTGTCTTTTTAATATCATTTCAATTTCAGGCTGGGAAGGACACTGTAGGTTGCAGGAGCAATTGGATCCAGGAACTCAAACAATGTTGTCAGGGCCTAGTCTTTCTTCTCGTTTGGCTCTGCCTTCCTCTGAGTTGATTTTTCTTTTATCCAGGCTCTTCCCTTGCAGGGCAGTGTGGCTTCTAACAGCTCTAGGACAATAACCTTCAATTCAGAGGAAAGGAGAACATGCCCCTTCTGGCAGGAGTACAGAACTTGCTTCTCATTGTCTCCAATTGGGTTATATGTTTGCCTCTGAACCAATCACTGTGGTCAGAGGCTTGGGTGCTCTGATTGGGCAGGCCTGAGGCATATGACCTCTAGAGAGCCACAGGGGTAATCAACCAGGCTTAAATTCCATGGCAGGAGAATCGGGGAAAAGTGGTTTCCCAGAAGAAAATCGAGAACAAAAGTAATGCTTGTTGGGGAGACAAAGACCTGAGATGCCCTCTGTGCTGGATATTTCTCATTTGCCCCTCAGATCTACTCACCACCCATCTCTGCGCCTCGGGAGTCTAACTCATGTATATTACGTTGATAAGCTTTCTTTCCCTCAAGCTTCCAATTGAATTTGGCCAATGGAGAACTCTGGCAGATTAGAGTCAAGCAGATGTGTGAGGGAGGGGTGTTTATTCCACCAGCCCCTTTCCAGAAAGGGCCCTACCTGTAAATAAAGTTCACAGTGCCCACCAGGCAACCCTCTTGACACAGTTTGTGCCATCTCCAGGTGCTGCTGCTTTCTTTGCTTTTTCAAGACAGAATGGTAACACCCCTGGGGTTTGGCACAATCCCTTTTAGTTTTTCTACACTCTGCTCACACTTTTATAAAAGATCCCCTTATTAAACTCAAGTTCCCAAATAGGAGTGCATCATCTAACTCCTGCCACGACCTGAATGATATACCCTTTATAAGCAGAGAAGTAAAAGTCACATTCATGTCAAGTGAAAAATGATTTGGTTCATCTGGGGGCGTTAGCTCAAGAGTTGAGAAGATTTAGGTGAGGCATGTTGACTGTATTCAAAATCAATGCAAAGGGTGGCCACAGGGAAGAGGGAGCAGCATGGTTTTGTGTGGCTTCTTTCAAATCAGAGTTGTTAGGTTTCCAACAAATAGTGCTGTCTAAAAATGAAGCAAGCTGCCCAAAAGGTAATGAGTTCACCATCACTGAAGGTATTCAGCTGGACATCTTTAGTGACATCCACCTGTTAAGGGTTTTTGTGAAGGGGATTCCTTCATCAGATCGTAGGTGAATTAAATTACCTTGAGAGTCCCTTCTTAGAGTTCTATTCATGCAGAAATATTTTTCATTTCCTCTGGCCCATTGCTTTCTCACTGCCTGGCAGACATTTGATGTTGGAACCAGAGGCTATGGGTGCATCTGCTGAGGCCTGGAGACTTTGTATTGTTTGCACTGATTTCCTAGGTCTTCTGGTTCCTCTCCTCCCCCAACACCCTCTGGTGTGAGGGTCATAAATCAGAAGTGGTGAACTGTTCTTTGGTATCTTGTCAGTGGCATGTTGGGTGCATTAAAAGACTTCATGTGCCCCTTTGCCTACATAGACTGGCAAATGTCCCCAGGTAGAAGCTATAGGGAGCAATCTAATGGTGCTCATTACTAAATGTCACAAAGAACTAAACTGCTACTCCCAGAGAAGTAAAATTACATTAGCAACCAGAAATTGCTGAACTTTAACCATTGAGATGAACAGAAAAATTTGTGACATGACATTGCTATTCTTTTTATTATATATGTTTTTCCATTTAAGAAATTGAATTTAAAAAGCCTTCTAGAGTTTTATAGGCTCAATTACGAGCTTCCTTTCCTAATCCTAATTTATTCAGAAGGAATCAAACTCCTTAGAGACAAATTCTCCTACCCTGCAGGGTTTTCTGGACCTACTGTATCTGGGTATAAGTGACAGACAGTGATTTGGCCAACTTACTTTAAAAAAGAATTGACAGGACTGAAGAAAAATCTGAAGACGCAGGCTTGGAATGGGCAATTTGCAGAGCAGTAGAAGCCAAGCATCTTGGAAGGGGATGGCTGGAGGTATAAAGCAGCTCTAATGAAATTTCTGTCTATGAGTCACTCTACTCAAAATGTGAAATTGTGAGGAAGGAGTCCTAACGGGCTCTTTGAGTCTCAAGCCTATCTTTGGTTGGGGAAAGGGCGGGGCACCTTGACTGAGGGTCCGACCAAACCTACACACAGTGGGAGAGGTAATATCCCTGAATACTGGAAAAATGGAAACCACTGCCCACACACCAACTCTTAACGGCAGCCAGGAAATTACCACATGAAAATAAAGATTGAAGCAGGTAATATGGTAGTTCTGAGGCAGGATAGCCTATCCTAGAAAAGTTGATTATGGTTAATGTGGAAAAAGTACTGACACATAGACATGTATTGGAGAAATATTCATTGAGAGAAGCATTAGTTGAAAGGATTAAGATTCTACTGTTCCTCTCAGAGTGGTTTTAGGATTGTCTATGGTGTAATGAGATATTTGCCAGCCCAATGTGGGTCTCGGACAGGAGCTGACAAGCTTTTTCTGTAAGGGCCACATAGTAAATATTTTAGGTTTTGTAGACCATATAGTCTCTGTTGCAACTACTCAACTCTGCCATTGTAGTGTGAAAGTGTCAGACAATATGTAAACAAACGGGGGTGGCTGTGGCCCAATAAAACTTTATTTACAAAAACAGGTGGTGGTGAGGTATGACCCATGGCTGTACCTTGCTGAGCCTTGGTTTAGGGAGATACTTTATTGCTATGGTAGTTTGGTGGAGCCCAGTCAAGGCAGCAATTGTAGGCTCAATGTGAGTCATCAGTTTGCTCAGCAGCTGAGTCTGAGCACATTGGTGATGGGCCCTGGAAGACATGTCTAAAACAGAAAGAAAGCACATGGTAGTTGACCTGGGATTTCCGAGTTCATCCTGGTCCAACTGCTCAGTGATTGAGGGCTGCTAGAGCTCCCAGAGCCTCAGTTTCCTCATCTTTAAAGTGGAGAATATAATTAGAATGCCCCTTATGTTTGTTGTTTATGAGAAATAGACAGCATGGAGCTTAATACGTAGTACTTAGAGCACACACTTTGTTCCTTCTCTTTCCTCCCTTCCTAAAGTCACATAGAAAGCATACATTGCTTCAATAGGTCTTCATTGAAAGATCACTGACATTTCATTCAACTTGGGAAATGTTTGAAAAAAGCCAATGCCGTGTTTTTGAAGATTCTCAGGAGCACAGAATGATGAAAAAGAGGGTGAAGGAGTGGCCTTAGAAGGATGAGGAAAATACCTTGTCTCCCTGTCTTCCCTATCTTCTTTACGTTTCTCTCCAACCGTGGCCTCTTCTCTGGACAGACTCCCTTTGAGGTATGGGCAGTTCTGAGGCATATTCACAAGCAGGAGTTCCTGTGGAGGGAACTCTAAATCAGGCCCTTGGGGTAACAGGTTGGGAATGTAAAAGTATTCAGCCCAGAATGTGATACTGTCTTTGATGCAGGGTAGGCAGGCCCCAAAGTGGAGTTTAGCCCACTGGGTTCTTGGCTTTGTCCAAGAAAGAACTCAAGGGCAAGCCAGAGGTAGAAGGAAACAGCTTTATCGAAGAGACAGTGTTACAGCTCTATGACTGCTCCTGCAGAGCAGGGCTACTGAGTAGGCAGAAAGTAGCAGCTCAGGGCAGTTTTGTAGTCATATTTATACCCACTTTTAATTGCATGCAGATTAAGGGGCAGTTTATGCAGAAATGTCTAGGGAAGATGTAGTAATCATTGGGTCCTTGCCATGGAAAGGGACGGTAACTCCCGGGTGTTGCCATAGCGACATGACACACTGGTGGGCATGATTGAAAGCTGCCTTGCCACCTCCCCCCCAACCCTGCCCTGTTTTAGCTAGTCCTCAATCTGGTCCAGTGTCTTGGCCCCACCCCTGGAGTCAATCCCACCTCCTACCTCATCTTCACATGTCTGAAGGGCTAAGCATATGAAATTGGCGAGACTTCTGCTGAATGGCCCCACAGGATGGAGGTAGGCATGGAAGCCATAAGCCATCCAAAAATGACATGGACAGCATGGGGAAGGGATGAGTTTCCTGTTGCTAGGGATAGTCAAGCAGATGGTTTCTAGGATGTTGGAGAGGGAATAAAGTCTTAATAGGAGTCAGGCTCTTATGACTCATGAATCCCTTTTGAGTTTGTGGAAGTTCAGAAGAGACAGGTCAGGGCATGAGGTGTTCCTGAAGATCAGTTACCCAAACATATCAGCAGTAGTCTACTCCTGACTGGGAACAGATTCTTCTCTACAATTGGAGAATGCCCCATTTTGGGGAAAGGTAATGATAGGTAACATTTATTGAGCTTTTCCAATGTGCCAGGAACTCATTTGTGTACTTTAAATGTTTTCTTTTTTTTTTTTTTTTTTTCTCACAATGGCTTTAAGAGGTTGGTGCTCATTGTTGTGTTCATTTTACGGATGAGTAAACTGAGGTCCAGGGAGGTTAAATACCATGCCTAAGACTGCGCAGATAATAGGCGATGCCGAGATCTGAAAATTAAATATTCAAATTCCAGAGCCCACACTGTTAATCTGAATTTTATTCAAAATTAAATAATTAGGAGAGAGAGGCCTTTTTGGCATAACATTGTGGTATATTGGTACAATTTAATAAGAAAATTGTATTTCAGGAACTAAAAGTTTGAAAATTTAATGAAGGCAAATAACCCTTTTTAGCAAAATTAAATAACGATGTGTTAGGTTCTGGCATTCAGTTTGTGGTAATCCTCTCAGAGCAAGAAGCTTTTGGTTTAGTTCTGGCTGTGACTGCCACTTACTTGCGTTATAATCTTGAATTCAGACACCTTTAGGGTCTCTACTCCTGGCCCCATTTTCTGAGGTGGCCCCACAAAGAAGTGACCCATGCTGGTGTGGACTAAGCTCTGATTTTTTTTATCTTGCCCAAATTCCTTTCTAAGGTGTCTGGGGAGTCATGCCCTACAAGCCATAAATTCTCATCAGATGGGTTTTATTTTACCCTATATATCGTGACTTACTTTCCAACCTGACTCTGGCATAACAAGGGAAAAAATAAAAATGTTTTACCCCAAAATATATTTCCTTGCCATACCTTGAAATTGCCCTGCAAAGTCTTTTGTGGGAAAAATCCACATTCTGTAGGGAATCCTCTTTCCCCTTTGTTTTCCTTCCTTCCTTTTCAGATCCAGGAGATAATCAACTAAGAGGCAGGTACCCTTTTAAGTCTGATAGGAAACATTTTTCAACCTGCTCTCTGTAAAGTCTGCTGAGAGCTTCCTCTGCACAATAAAACTTAGTCTCCACATCTTTCATCTCAACCTGAACATTTCCTTCGATCCCAGGTCTTCAGATAACCAGTTATCAACCAGAAAGAGTTTAAATTTATCTATAGCCTGGAAGCCCCCGCTTTGAGTTGCCCCACCTTTCTGAACGAAACCAATGTATTTCTTAAATGTATTTGATTGACGTCTCAGGCCTCCCTAAAATATATAAAACCAAGCTGTGCCCAGACCACCTTGGGCACGTGTTCTCAGGACCTCCTGAGGGCTGTGTCATGGCCATGGTCACTCATGTTTGGCTCAGAATAAGTCTCTTAAAATGTTTTATGAAGTTTGACTCTTCTCGTCAACACTGGTTACTGGTGTAGGGAGGAGGGGAAGAAAGGAATGTGCCTGCAAGTTCAAAAGGACTCCCAGAGCATACATGCAGCTGAGAAAGAGAAAATGTTATTTTGACAGCTGGCCTTAGGAGAAGTGGTCTTTGTTTAAGTCCTTGAGTACAGAAAGCAAGGGCTGGAAGAAATGATCTAGAAGACAGGCCTCTGGGTTAGGAGATCAGGCCGTTTGGTTTGACTCTTAAAGGATGTGGTGGCCCCTGTTGACATTCAGGTTGCACTCTTCAGTCACCCATTTCTTCACCCAGGACCAAAGCAGAGTGTACTCCTTACTTTGCTGACTTATTAGACACAATGGGCTGCATATTTGGGACTTTTCCATTTATGGTTGCTCTAGAGATGTTAATTTTAACCTGATTTTCCTTGGCTGTGAGTGCTGCAAAGCTGAAGAGGGGGTGGCAGACACTGACTTGACAGGCCTGGAAACATTTTAGTTATGTGATTCAAGAGAAAAAAAAAATACCGTAAAACCACAGAGAACACAGTTGGAGCTTCCATCACGGAAAGCACAGTCCCCAACCAACCCCTTGTTGCTAGTCCAGCTCTGCCATGTGATGTTGGGAAAGGCATTTCATCTCTCTGAGTCTTGGTTTTTCCATCTGCAAAATAAGGGTGTTTAGACTGAATGATCTCTCCAGTCAACCCTTCCTGCTGTAAATTCTATCATTCTTCAGTATTTCTTTTTCGGTATTGAGGGATTTGGTTTTTTATTCTTTTCTATTTTTACAGAAGATAACTCATACAAGGAGAAGCGTGGTGGTGACATGATCCTGGAAAAAAAATCAATGTATTTTCTGAATCTTTTTTTCCCATATAAATTCTATATTTCTGTGTGTTTCTTGCTCCCCCTTCTGTCCAAACTTTGGTTTACTCTGAATATTTTCACATTTTGAAGGTCATTGTACAGACTTGGAGCTTTACTGTTTGGAACCTTTGCCATTATTGTCATTGCTGATATTTCCTGTTTCACTTTTAAAAATTGAGTTGGAATTCACATAACTAGAAAATTAGCCATTTCAAGTGTACAATTCAGTGACATTTAGCACGTCCAGAGTATTGTGGAACTAACAGCTCTATCTAGTTCCAAAATATTTTCCTCATCCCAAAGTGAAACCCTGTACCCATTAATCAGCTACTCCCTACTCTCTTTTCCTTTCAGTTCTGGCAACCATCATTCTGGTATCTGTATTTATAGATTTATCTTTTCTGATATTTCATGTGAATGAAATCATACAAAATGTGACCTCGTGTGTCTGGTTTCCTTCACTTAGCATTGTGTTCTTGAGGTTCATCACGTTGTAGCATGTGTCAATACTTCATTCGTTTTAATGGCTAAATAATTTTCCATTTCATTATATGTGCATATCACATTGTCTATCCATTCATCTGTTGATGGATATTTGGCTTCCACCTTTGGCTATCATGAATAGTGCTGAGGTGAACATTCATATACTTGTACTTGTTTTCAATTCTTTTGGGTATATACCTAGGAGTGCAATTGCTTAGTTATATGGTAATTCTATGTTTAACTTCTTGAGAAACTGCCCAACTATTTTCCACAGTGGCTGCACCGTTTTGTATTCCCACCAATGTGTGAGAGTTCCAGTTTCTCCACATCTTTGTCAACTCTTGTGATTTTCCATTTTCTCCTTTTGCTTATAGTCATCCTAGTGGGTATGAAATGATATCTCATTGTGGTTTTGATATTTACCTTTAGGAGGTCACAGGTTATCTTTCCTACTCCCACCACCTCAGCCCAGCACAAGAGCAGATAGATACCAGGCAAATCCTTTGGTAAAATTCATTTGAACCACCAATCTGATCTTATTCCCCTGTTTTATATACCTGGGCCTTACTTTCATGCTTGTGTCAATCCTGTTCCCAGGATACAGTTCTGTGCCTTTATGTGAAAATGTCTTACTGACCTTTTGCTCATTTTATTTTTTTGAGACCAAGTCTTGATCTAATGCCCAGGCTGGGATGAAGTGGCACACTCATGGCTCACTGAAGCCTTGACCTCCCAGGCTCAAGTGATCCTTTTGCTTCAGTTCCCCAAGTAGCTGGGACTACAGGCATGTACCACCATGTCCAGCTCATTTTTGTATTCTTTATAGAGACGAGGTTTCACCATGTTGCCCAGGCTGGTCTTGAACTCTTGAGCTCAAGGAATCCGCCTGCCGCGGCCTCCCAAAGTGTTAGGATTACAGGCATAAGCCATTGTGCCCAGCCCTTTGGCTCCTTCTTAACAGATAATAGACATTTTTCTTTTTTTTCTCATATACAGAAACAGGTTATGAAATACAAGAATAAAGGGGGAAATATTTTGGTTTCAGTGAATATGCACTGTAAGACACTGATTCTTCCTTCTACGGTAGGTTCTAGATGGGGTTGTTAATTACTCTTGGTCTTGTGTGGAGTTGGTTGTGTCAACTGCATTTTCCTGGACAGGCCACACCTGAAGGGCCATGCCACCTGCTTCAGCCAGTGCTCTCTTCAGGGGACCTTGAAGCTAGTTTTTGTGTCACAGTTAAAGGGTAGTCTTTGTTCTCACTCTCCTGAGGAGCTTCTATTTCTGCAGGGGATGCATTTGGATTTCTAACTGCAGTGGTATCATCTCCAGGAAACCACACTTAGGTGGTTCATCTGGCTCAGAGAGAGGTGAACTCCAGATTTCAGTGTGACATAGTCAGCAAAATCTAGCAGGCTGGCATATGGCTGAGGCCAGCAGGGGTTAGTTGTTTTTGCCATCTAGCTGACCCTTCTTATCAAGAATTTCTTCTCTTTCCTCACACACCATTCCTCTTGCTAAGAGGTCAAGCCAAAGTCAAAATTTTGTAAGGACAGTCCAGTTTTCAAAAATTTAGGGGTGATGTTTCTCTAGCTTCTGTGAATAATAAGATTTACCCACCTTCTATTACAAAATTAAGCATCAAGGAGTTAAGAAAAAGTACCTAAAACTCAGAAATGAGACAGAAAGATTGGTAATATGTTCTTTTATGATCATATGGGAGCATAGTTTAGCAGACCTGTCCAAAGAGTTTTTAATTATCCAGGCAGGAGAATAAAGTTTGTTTAGCCCACTCATTACCATTAATTAGTTTCCAGATTTAATGAAGTTACACGTTAACATGTAGATTTTTCAAATCATTTCTATTTAGTGGAAAAAACCCCAAAGTTATGGTTTATTGCCTTGTATGTCATTAGCCAGTTTTGTATCTAACCTAGTAATCTTGCTCTAACATTGTTCCAAATACTTATGAAAACCTACATCCTCAAAATGCTCTTTGAAGAAGCTTTGTCATCTTGTTGGTTTCCTCATTAATTAATGAATTAAATAACATCCTTGACTCATGTTCATTTTATATTTGTATGAGAATCATGTTTTTAACTTTTTGAGAATTTTACTTTGACAAGGGTTTCAGATGTTTCTGGTAGACACCCAGGGAGGATGGGATTGAATCAAAGATAGCATAAATGCAGGGATTATGTCCTATGGGGACTGATGTTATCTGCTTTGCTAGACAAGATAGTCATGGATCCATTTGGTGGTTTCAGTTGAACACTGAAGGTTCCCTGGGATATTGGCCCTTACTGTAGGTCTATGATTTTATGGTATTTCGAAGCCTTGCCTTCATTTTCAATGTTAATTCTGCCCAATGTCTGATAGCTTTGGGCCTCCACCTCTGGCTTCTCTGTTCTCTTCCAGCTCTTCAGCGTCTGACGTTCACAACCCAAACGCCCAGCTGGTGAATCTATTCACTCCTGACTTCTTCTAGTCTTCCTTTCTTGTGTGAGACTTCTGTACTTACAGGTTCTACAGGCTGGATTTTTGGCGCCCCCTTCATAACCTGTTGAAACTCCTTCTTCCTGCTGCCTACCTGTGAGGCACACATCTGATCTGCCTGGAGAAGAAACTCTGGGGCAGAATTTTTCGCAAGAGCGACTAGTGGGATCTTGGGTAGACTTGGCTTTAGACTGAATTGACTCTTTCTAGTGTGTTTGAGGGCAAGTGAGCCTGTGTGCTCAATTATATCGTCTTTACTTTAAAATCCACTTCCTGTCATCAGTTCCTCAGGCTGTTTAATCTCCTGGTCACTCATCAGCACTTGAGCTATTCTTCTCTCTATCTTTATCTCTTCCCACAGTTCAAAGCAGAATGTTCTAGGAGGTGGGCTCACTTTGATAATTCTCCTTCTTCTCCTACCCATCAGAGAGCCTTCCTCCTCCAGATGAGCCTTTCCTGTCTTGGGTTGAGGAAAGATTGTTTTAATTTATCGGTCTTCATTCTTGTTTTTCTATTCCCCTCTAGTCTATAATGGCTTCTTCTCTAAGGTATCATTTTTTCCTGGTGTCTGGGATTCCATGGTAGGTGAAGGCTGAACAGCTGAGAGGCTGGCCCCACTTCTAGAGGCCCTGTTCCCTGAGGCAGGCTCAGCTTTCCCCTCTAGCCAGATACCTATGTTGGCATCCCTCTGGGAGGATACCAGTGACCCCTAATATTGTATGTTTTTGGGTCAGAGTTTACATATGTCCTGCTCTGCCCTGACCTTAGTAGGGGCTGAAGGAAGTTAGAACTTACTTCTATTTCTCAGGTTATCAGGTCCTTTTTTAATAGGCTTGTCAGAGGGAATAGAGCACTGTCTTTATGCCTCTCCAGTAGTACCACTTTTCACTCTGCTCTGGGGTGTAATCATTTTTTTTTTTTTTTTTTTGGTTAGATTGGGTCTCTCTCTGTTGCCCCAGCTGGAGTGCAGTGGCGTGATCATGGCTCACTACTCACTGCAGTCTTGAACTCCTGGCCTCAAGCAATCCTCCCATCTCAGCCTTCTGAGTAGCTGGGACTACAGCAGTATGCCACCACACCTGGCTAATTTAAAATTTTTTTAGAGACAGGGTCTTGCCGTGTTGCTCAGGCTGATCTCAAACTCTCGGCCTCAAGTGATCCTTCCACCTCAGCCTCCTAAAACCCTGGGATTATAGGCTCATGCTTGGCCTGGGGTGTGATCATTGTGAGCTTTATAGATCCCCTACAGTGCCTAGAATAGTTGCCAAGAGATGTTGCTTGATATGTGTTTGTTGAATAAATGAATGAATCAAATCAGTGGGATTCATTTTGACCCTTGGGTTCCACTTTGGTTCAGGCCCTGATTGGTCCAAATATTGTTTTTCCAAATATCTAGCTTTGCAGTCTTCATTATTTAAAATGTTATAAGAATATATATTTAAGAAATATCATGTAAAATATTGATGCTGGTATAGTGGAGACCCATTAAAACCTGGGGTCTTTCTATTTTTAAAATTCTGCAAAACATAAGTCTCATCTGTACTGAGAGAATTCCAGCTAAAACATGGCAGGTCTATGAGGCACATGTCAGTCCAGGACTGTGCTAACAATCCAGCCAGGATTTGTGGTTGGTTGTGTCAGTAGAAAGATGTCAACTGTGGAGTTTGATGTTGCTCTACATACTAACAGCAAATTAATGTTATTAAAATGTTTGGTTACTAAATACAAAAAAGACTTCCTTGCATAGACTGACTGTACACTGAGAGCCAGAGCTTTCTTTCTTGACTTAGACCTTAAAAAGATTATTTTAATTTGTAGGACTTCTTTCTTGCCTTAGACCTTAAAAAGATTATTTTAATTTGTAGGACTTCTTTCTTGCCTTTCTACTCCTCTCAATTCTTTTTTCAAGCTGTTGTTGATGCAATCTAGATTTTCCCAAATGGGACAACTTGAAACAGAAGTGAATTCATTCTTAAATGAATGTATGAGGAGAGAGAACAGCTCAGGAATGTATTTTGGTGATTAGCCATCAAGCCAGGAGAAAGGGTGGCAGTTGGCTGGAACTCACCCGTATCCAGTCTGCATTCATTTTGCATCCTTCTTTATACATATGTCACTCTCCTCTTTTAATGGAGAAAAAACCCAAGTAAACATTGTTAAGCACATTTTGGAAAAGGGTTTAGTCTTAAAATAATATTGTGCACAGTATGCATGCAAGAGAATTTGAAATTTTTGGAAGTGAAATTAGACAGGCTCAAATCCTTTGTGGACTGAAGTGATGTGTAGAAATAAGTGTAACAGAGATCAGAGTATCTCTAACTATCCTAGAGTGTGGGACATAAGAGAGAATAACCTTGGAGGGATTGAATGAATGTCATTTATGAGAAGTTTATGAAACTTTGCACCTTTTAATTTGGGAACTGACGTTTTGGAAAAGAGAAGCAAAAAGATGTCATCAAAAGAAAAGACAGAACAAAATGTGACTTATAGTATGTTAAAGAGACCTCAGTGGTTATTTTGTCCAATCTTTTTATTTCACACAAAGGAAACTGGTGTTCAGGGAGGTTGAGTGACTTGCCCAAGGTCACCCAGACACTTAATGGCATATCCTGGAATTGAATCTAATTTCCTCTTTAATAAACCAGTATTCCTGTGGTGTTATGACTCCTGTGGTCCCTGTTTACCTAATGTGGAGCACGTGAAGCTTTTGAGAGAATGCAAAATGCTCCAATTGAGCACACAGAGACCTATGGAGCAATTTAAAATCCCATGACCCTGCTTTGTAATTGTGGAGTTTGCAGCTCATTTTATTTAATGTATGCTAGTCTCTAGTGGATAGTTTTCTGGCAGACTTCTGTATTTAATTTTTTGTATCATTCCTTTGGAGAGGATTGCAGACTCCCAAGGACATTGCAGGTACCCCTAATAGGACTTTGCTGTAATTAATGTTTTGGGGCTGTATTCTTCATTCATACCCACACAAAAGGAAGACACTTTAATTTCACTATTCCACTGTTTAGTAGCTGAGAATTTGGACATTTTATTATCCTGTCACATGTCTTTGTGAATGTGTTTCTAGCTGGTAAACATGGTTATTTTTACTTCTTTTTGAAAGTTTTTTTAAAAAGCATTTTGCTTCTTTTTAAAAAACTTTGTTCATGCCTCCTCTGGATTTACCAATCTTTGCTGGCCATTTGTTGCTTGATTTTTTTTTTCCTACCTTTTTGTCTAACTAGACAGTTTCTCATCTTCCCAATGCCATGAGCTTTTCTCAACTTTACTATTTGGTTTTGAATGGACAAGGATCTAGTTTTCTATATAACTTTATTACCTCTTGGAGGCAATTAAAAATTGTGGCAAGATATACTTATCATACAATTTACTATTTTAATCACTTTTATGTGTACAATTCAGTGACATTGATTTATTCACAATGTTGTGGAACCATCATTTCATTAATCATTTCCAGAACTTTTCATCATCTCAAACAGAAACTCGGTTCCTATTAAATTATAACTCCCCATTCCCTCCCCCTATTTAACCTTCATTTAACTTTCTGTCTCTATGATTTTCACTATTCTAGGTACTTCACATAGGTGGAGTCATACAACATTTTTTCTTTTGTGTCCGGTTTATTCCACTTAACACAATGTTTTCAATGTTTGGCCATGTTATAGTGTATTTCAGAATTTTATTCTTTTTTAAGGCTAAATAATACTTGATTGTATGTATATATGGTGTTTTGTTTTTCCATGCATCTATTGGTAGACATTTAAGTTTTTTCTACCTTTTGGCCATTGTGAATAATGCCACTATGAACGTTGGCATACGCATTTGAGTTGCGGCTTTTGTATACCTAGAAGTGGAATTGCTAGGTCATATGATCATTCTATTTTAACTTTTTGAGGAATTGTCAAACTGTTTTCCACCCCTGCACTGTTTTACATTCCCACCAGCAATGCACAAGGGTTCCAATTTCTCCACATCTTTACTTATACTTGTTATTTTCCACTTTTTTGGTAATTGCCATACCAGTATGTGTGGAGTGGTATGTCATGGTAAAGTTTTGATTGGCATTTCTCTAATGACTAGTGATATTGAGCATAATTTCACGTGCTTATTGGCCATTTGTACATCTCCTTTGGAGAAATGTCTGTTCAAGTCCTTTGCTCATTTTGAATGATTGGGTTATGGTGTTTTTGTTGTTGTTGAGTTCTAGGAGTTCTTTACAAATTCTTTTTTTTCTTTTTTTGAGACAGAGTTTTGCTCTGTCACCCAGGCTAGAGTGCAGTGGCGGTATCTTGGCTCACTGCAAGCTCTGCCTCCCGGGTTCATGCCATTCTCCTGCCTCAGCCTCCCGAGTAGCTGGGACTACAGGCGCCCACCACCATGCCTGGCTAATTTTTTTGTATTTTTAGTAGAGACGGGGTTTCACTGTGTTAACCAGGATGGTCTCGATCTCCTGACCTCGTGATCCATCTGCCTCAGCCTCCTAAAGTGCTGGGCTTACAGGCGTGAGCCACCACGCCCGGCTACACATTATTGATATTAATTCCTTATCAGATACAGGATTTGCACATTTTTTTTCTTTCTCTGAGTTGTTTTTACCTTTTTTTTTTTTTTTTTTTTTTTTAGAGATGGGGTCTGGCTATGTTGTCCAGGCTGGAATGCAGTGGCTATTCACAGGTGTGGCTGGAATGCAGTGGTTATTCACAGGTGTGGTCACAGTTCACTGTGACATTAAACTTCAAGGTTGAAGTGATCCTTCTGTCTCAGCCTCCCAAATACCTGAAATGACAGGTGCATGCCACCATGCTCAGCTAATTTTTTAAACTCTTTTTTATAGTATCCTTGTGATTCATGAAAGTTTTAAATTTTGACAAAGTCTGATTTGTTTTTTTCTTTTGTGGCTTGTGCAAGGCTTAATGCATTTTGAGTTTCAGGTAGGACGGTGACTCTCTTAGAACTGTGAGGTGTCATACAGTCAGTGACAATAATGCCTCTGCCTCTAGTGCTGTAATCATTAGCCATGGATATTCTGAATTCTTTTCACCGTGGGTAGGGCCTCTTACCTGCCCACTCTAGGGAGGTTTCTTAAAATCTGGTAGAAGGCAGTTGTGCTATTCTCAGATCAGTAGCCCAGTTATGCCGCTGTGCAGATCAGGGGCCACATGCCCCAATCTGACAAGCCAAGTGGGAAATATCAAAGTGTGAATTTTGCAGAGTGTAAAATTGGATTAGGGAGTCAACTGCAGTGGGTAGCTAGCTTCCCAAACTCTGCGGCCTGATTGCCCACATCTAAATCCTGGCTGGGCTATTTATCACTTGTAGGACTTCAGGCAAATTATTCAATTATCTCTGCCTCAGTTTTCTCTTAGGTAATATGGGGATAGGGTTGTGAAAGCAACTCATGAGTTAATGCATATAAAATGCTTGAAATAGTGCTCGGCATATCGCAAGTCCTCAACAAATGTTCTCTAGAGGATTAAATGGATTCAAATATGCAAAGTACTCAGAACAGTACCTGCTGCAGTCAGTATTATTCCCAGCTCATGACATTCAAATGCAAAGTTCTAAAAAAGTTCTAAAGAAACAGAGTGCAGACCAAACAACATATTTCTATGGGCCAAATTCAGTTCGGGGACTGCCAGTTTGCAATGCTTGAACTAAAACCAGAGAACTTTGTCAAGCCTCCCACTCAGAATTTGCTTCTAAGTGTGCTTCCTCTGGCTTTAGTGGAACCTTGGACCTTGATCCCACATCTTCCTCCTCCTCCTCCTCCTTCTCACATCTCCATTTGAAGATTCTTGAAAACCAAGAGTCTGAGAAACCATTGGCTGTTTCCGTGTATTGGTTTCACAAAGCTTTTTGTTTTTTTTCTTTACCTATGCTGTGTCTTCAAGGAATGATCATTTGTGCTTTTTTAAGTTTAATTGCTGAGGTCAGGAGTTCGAGACCAGCCTGGCCAACATGGTGAAAACCTGTCTGTACTAAAACTACAAATATTAGCCAGGCATGGAGATGCCTGTAATCCCAGCTAGTAGGGAGGGTGAGGCAGGAGAATCACTTGAATCTGGGAATGGAGGTTGCAGTGAGCCGAGATTGTGCCAATGCACTCCAGCCTAGGTAACAGTGGGAGACTATCTCAAACAACAACAACAACAACAACAAATACATTGTCATAATTGATCAAATAGACCTGAATTTTAAAAAGCATGTTTATAAAATTCATTCATTCATTCAAAACACATATACTGTGACAGGCACCAAAAATGTAGAGATGAAGAGATATGATTCCAACCTTCCAGGAGTGAAGAGTCTGGTGTCATATAGATACCCTTTCAGTCTGAATTCAGGAGAACATTTGAGGATGGCTAAATTAATAGCCAGTAGTTATTAACCACTGTCTGTTTCAAATGAAGGAAGCACAACTCAGTCAGGTAGCACTGGAATTAGAGGTTAAAACATCCTTGGGATCGTTGGGACTCTGTCTTCTGTGTTTCTCAAGCCTGCTTGGTTTCCCTTTGCTTCATTCTCAGTGGTGAATACTTGTTCTCTAAGTGGTGGCAAGATGGGCTCCAGCAGCTACTGGTGTCCATGCTCCTTCAAGCTTGTGAACCCAGAGTCCCTCCATCACCACATTTCCAGTCTCTTGGTGGGACCTGGATTTGGACCTGTTTTATATGTGTGTCTGCTTCTTGCACCAATCCCTGTATTGGGTGCCATGACTATTTTCATGCGAGGTCTGGGTCGTGTGTCCATTTTCATGACCCCACCTAAGGAATGAATTTATGTATACAAATTCACAGATGCCTGCCTCGAGCACTTTCCATTAATGAGTAGAAAGATACATTTAAGGGAGGCTGAGGTAGGTGGATGGCTTGAGTCCAGGAGTTTGAGACTAGCCTGGGCAATGTGGTAAAACACCACCTCTACCAAAAAAAGAAAAAAAAAAACAACAAAAGTTAGCCAGACATGGTGGCACATGCCCATAGTCCCAGCTACTGGGGGTGCTGAGGTGGGAGGATTGCTTGAGTCCTGGGAAGTCAAAGGTACAGTGAGCCAAGATGGTGCCACTGCACTCTAGCCTAGGCCACAAAATGAAACCCTGTCTCACAAAACAAAACAAAACAAAAGATACATTTAAAAACTTGAGGATGCAGTGTTTTTCCAAAATCTCCATGCTAATTTAAAAGTATACTTCCTCAAGTTTACCCACTGGTCTTCAATTCTATAGAACTTGTTCTAGATAAAGTTAATGGTAATCAGGAGGCTTTTTTTGTTTTTGTTTTTGTTTTTGTTTGTTTGTTTTGAGACAGCCTTTTTCTGATGCCGAGGCTAGAGTGCAATGGCGTGATCTCGGCTCACTGCAACCTCCGCCTCACGAGGCTTTTTTTTTTTTTTTTAAATTATACTTTAAGTTCTAGGGTACCTGTGCACAATGTGCAGGTTTTTTACATATGTATGCATGTGCCAATGTTGGTGTGCTGCACCCGTTAACTCGTCATTTACATTAAGTATATCTCCTAATGCTATGCCTCCCCCCACCTCCACCCCACGACAGGCCCCGGTGTGTGATGTTCCCCACCCTGTGTCCAAGTGTTCTCATTGTTCAGTTCCCACCTATGAGTGACAACATGTGGTGTTTGGTTTTCTGTCCTTGCGATAGTTTGCTCAGAATGATGGTTTCCAGCTTCATCCGTGTCCTGACAAAGGACATGAACTCATCCTTTTTTTATGGCTGCATAGTATTCCATGGTGTATATATGTCATGAGGCATTTTTTTAAGGTGCTAGCATGGTGACATGAAAGCCAGGGTCTGCCATGAGCTCTAGTACTGGGTTCTCCAACCCTTGGGTCACGGACTGGTATCAGTCCATTTGTTGTTAGAAACTGGGCTGCAGAGCAGGAGGTGAGCAGCAGGCGAGCAAATGAAGCTTCATCTGTATTTACAGCCACTCCCCATCATTTGCCTGAGCTCCACCTCCTGTCAGATTAGTAGTGCATTAGATTCTCATAGGAGTGCGAACGCTATTGTGAATGGTGCATGCGAGGGATCTAGGTTGTACAATCCTTATAAGAATCTAATGCCTGATGATCTGTCACTGTCTCTCATCACCCCCAGATGGGACCATCTAGTTGCAGAGAAACAAGCTCAGGGTTCCCACTGGTTCTACATTATGGTGAGTTGTATAATTATTTCATTATATATTATAATGTAACAATAATAGAAATCTAGTGTATAATAAATGTAATGCGCTTAAATCATCCCAAAGCCATCCCACCCCCACCCCATTATGGAAAAACTGTCTTCCACAAAACTGGTCTCTGGTGCCAAAAAGGTTGGGGATTCTTGCTGGGGTAGCCCAGCCTTTGAGGTGAGGTCAACTCATGGACTGGATCTCTGGATTGGTTTTCCCATACCGCTGGACTCACTCACTCATTGAGATGGGCCCATTGTGCGATAACAATGACCACATGTTGAGCATAATCTGATAGGAGAGTAGTAGGTAATTTCATGAGATTTGTGTTTTCACCAACCATTGTGATACAAAGTCTGTGATACTTATATTGTCATAAAGCAAATATGACTATCATTCACATTTTATGTAGCTTTTCTCATGTATTATCATATTTCACATTCAATCATTTGAGACAGTTAGAAAAATGAAAATGGTTTTAGAGTTTTTATTCTAACTATAAAAATGATAAGTGCTCATTGTAAATGATTCAAAAAATATAGAGAAGTATAAAAAAGAAAAAAAAGCGCTCCAAATTCTGTCATCCAGGGATAAATACTGTTAACATTTTGATGAATATCTTGGATATTTTTCTATGCCTATATATCTGTCAAAAAAAAAAAAACAAGAATGAATGCTGCCTTTGCCCCAGCGCCTTTGGAGTCTTTTAAAATTCTCACATGAGGCTGGGTGGGGTGGCTGACGCCTATAACCCCAGCACTTTGGGAGGCCGAGGCAGGTGGATCACCTGAGGTCAGGAGTTCGAGATCAGCCTGGCCAGCATGGCAAAACCCCTGTCGCTACTAAAAATACAAAAATTAGTCAGACATGGTGGCGCACAGCTGTAGTCCCAGCTACTTAGGAGGCTGAGGCAGGAGAATCCCTTGAACCCAGGAGGCAGAGGTTGCAGTTAGCCAAGATCGCACCATTGCACTCCAGCCTGGGCAACAGAGTGAGACTCTGCCTCAAAAAAAAAAAAAAAAAAATTCTCACATGGCCTGTTGAACATTTTCCATATTGACCTAATGAAATAATGAAAACGTATTTTTCTATGACTTATCTATCTGCATATTTTTCCCTTTAAAAACTGCTGTTGGATTTACTTATCAGTCTGGTTTTTGAATTTCTTAATTTCTGTTTTTTTCTACATTAAGCCCTTCTTTTTCTTTAGGCTTTTGTGGTTCTTTTTCTAACATCTTGATTAAATTCTTAGTTATACATCATGGGAATGTAAATCGAATCCTGTTTTCTGACCCTCCTTTTACCACCAAAAGAAACTCCAGAGTTTATACTAAATAAACAGCTTTCTGTTTTGTTAACTCTTATCTTGGCGTAAAAAGACAATGGGAGAAGCTGGAGACCTTTCCACACAGCGGCTGTCACAGATGGTATTGCCATTTACTTTTGTTTTGGAAGCTAGAGGCAAATAACCATAGCATCTGGGATGAGATCAGTTAAACTTCTGGAGGGAAGAAGAGAATTAGAGGTTTTTTTTGCTATATGAAGATATAACAGTCCATTCTAAATGTCTTCACTGAAGGAAATGTTACTCTCTGCATAAACCCAGGGGTTTGGGCTCACCCAGCAGGCTTAGCATTTAGTATGGATTGGGGACCAAAGGGCCTGAGTTTGGTGATTTCTCTGACCTATTAAAACAAGAAGTTTCTGGGAATCACATTTCCCCTGTTGATTTACTTAGTGTGGCCAGCCTACTTAAACTTCGGTCTCACAATCCCCAGGGATATGGTTTGGCTGTGTCCCCACCCAAATTTCATCTTGAATTGTAGTTCCCATAATCCTCATCTGTCATGCAAGGGACCTGGTGGGAGGTAATTGAATCATGGGGGTGGTTACCCTCATGCTGTTCTCATGATAGTGAGTGAGTTCTCACAAGATCTGATGGTTTCATAGGGGGCCTTTCCCCCTTAGAGGGGCACTTCTCTCTCCTGTCGCCATGTGAAGAAGGATGTGTTTGCTTCCCCTTCTGCCATGATTGTAAATTTCCTGAGGCCTCTCCAACCATGCGGAACTGTGAGTCAATTAAACCTCTTTTCTTTATAAATTACCCAGATTCAGGCAGTTCTTTATAGCAGTGTGAGAATGGACTAATACACCCAGCATAAAATCTGCCCTTCTAGGACAAACAAAAACTCAGGCTCTAAAGTAAAATAGAATTTATGCTCAGCCATTTATGCTGTGACCTTGGCCAAAACTCCTACCTCTTTGAGCCTTAGTTTCTTCTCCCAGGATGTAACAATAATGTAAGAATTAAGTTGCTTAATGAGTGTAATATTAGAGTGATTTTAAAAATATTTAGTGGGGTCATTGACCAGTCAGAAGAGGCACAGATCATAACATTGGAGGGAGTACTCAGAGGCTCCTTTCCGTGCTTTCAGTTCCTCAGGGCAGGGGACACAAGGGGTTCTAGTAAAGGAGCTCAGATGACCAGGGCACTAGGGGCTCCCTAAAGATGCTCAGGGCTTCAATTATTTGCTAATGTGTATGACAGCATTTCGATATTTTAATAGTCAGCATTTTGGTTTGGAGGAAAGGGCATAGCACAGTGTCTGGCACATAGTAAGTACTCAATAAATGTAAGTTACAGTTCCTGTTATTATTTTAAAAGTTGAATATTATTTTTATTGTTTTGATGATGACTGTATGTATTCCCACCCATACGCTTTTGCTTTCACTGTTATGTGCCTGAAGTATATGGGTATAAATAAGAAATGCAGTCCAGCACAGCTGCTTTTTGTCGGTGGTATGTCCTATGCAGTTTTATGTTTCTATCATGATCCTCCTTAACCTTATTTTAGCTCTTGCCCTAAGGATCACTTTCCTCCTTGACAAGTATCATGTTTATCAATCCATGAGCATGATTCAGTATCTCTGATGTCCTCAGCACTGTTAGCTTGCTCAGTCTGGGCCCTAAAACACCTCTTTGATGGCTTTCCTCATTTGTTCCAAAGCCTTCAATGAATTCCTTATCCTAATTTCCAACCCCATCTTCTGGTTCTCTTTTCCACACTCCATGTTCCAGACTAATGCGACTATTTGTCACTCTTCCCCAAGCACACTAGGTAAGTTCCTTTCTGCCTTCTATTTTGTCCATATGGCATATCCTCCCCTCTGTCTTCACCAGCCTTGCTGCCCCATGTTTCCTGAGAATGCCATTAGAATTTCTGATCTTTGCTCATGCTGGACCCTCTGTAGAATACTTTTCTCCCTTGCCTCTGTGTTTATTTCTTCCCTTCCTATGACTACCCCTAGCCTTGTGACTACATCCTCCATATAATTTTCCTGGCTCTTGTGATTTGCATTGTTAATTTGATACCTTACATTGCCTTGTGTATAGTTTTGCATCTTTAAAAATTTATGTTCTATATAATTGCAGCAATTGGATCAGAGGCTCCTGGGGGAAGTTTTGTATCTATACATTCAAGCATCCAGAGTAAGTAGTCAGTAAATATTTGTGGATGGTAATGATGATGAGGCCACTGCTAGTTCTGATTAGGGGTATTACATATCCAGTGCAAGAAGGCAGGGGAGATTTTGGAGTGATGGACAGAATGGATAAGATGAAAAGAATGTGGAGAGCAAGGAGGCCAGTGAAGATTCTGTGGAAGTAATTTATGCCAGGATGAAGATAATAGCAGTGGGAATGGGGAGGATAGAATAAATCTGAGAGATATCTAAAGAACACCAGGATTACAGGGCAGATTTAGTCCAAGAATGACAGAGTAGAGCCAGAAATAAGTTTTGAGGTCTCTTATCTGTAGAGAATCAAAAGAATGGTAGATAACTGAGGAGAATGTAGATGCAGAGACGGTTTTGCTTTGCACATATTGAATTTGAGAGGACTCATGATCACATAAGAGGTGAAGATATAGAGGTAAGAGTTGTAAAGATAAGGTCATTAAGGGAAAGAATCAATAGAAGGACTATGAAAAAAGAAAGATAAAGCTGGGTATGGTGGCTTACGCCTGTAATCCCAGCACTTTGGGAGGCTGAGGTGGGAGGATCGCTTGAGCTCAGGGGTTTGAGACAGCCTGGGAAACACAGTGAAACCCCATCCCTACTAAAAGCACAAAAATTAGCTGGGTGTGGTGGCATGCTCCTTTAGTCCCAGCTACTCTGAAGGCTGAGGCAGGAAGATTGCTTGAGTCTGGGAAGCAGAATGAAAATGACTTCCCTGGTTTCAAGAAATTCTTTTAGTAGAAGCTTCTGATTTAGAATCAAAGAGGACTAAGATTAAACATTTCATTATCTTTTGAAACTCTGGAAGACAGATCTTTGGACATACCATGATTCCAACAACGTAGCACAGAGCAGACGAGTTTGTATTAATGAGGTGGCGAAGAGTAGTCATTATGGACTGGGCTCTGCACACCCCAGTTTGAATCAAGATCCATTGCTTACTAGTTTCATGAAACTAGGCATGTAGTAGTTCAACTTATTTTGAGCCTGTTTATCTGTACAATGGGCCCAATAATGGTATAATCCTTGTGATGACTGAATGAGATCATCTATGTTAAGTGCTAACTACAGAGCTCAGTGAATTTAGTGTCATCATTATAGTCAAGAAAGAATCAATGACATAAACCTGCTGGTAGTTCCTGGGGTCAGAAACTCATTGATGCAACGTTATTTAATTGTTCTTTGAGTTCCTCCATTACTAGCTATCAGGAATGCCAGATTTAGCAAATAAAAATACAGGATACCCAGTTAAATTTGAATTTCAGGTAAGCAATCAATATTTTTTAGTGTAAATATTCCTAAATATTGCATGGGACATACTTATACTAAAACATTTTGTTGCTTTTCTGAAATTGAAATTCAGCTGGGAATTCTGTATTTTGTCTGGCAACCCTAATAGCCTAGTAGCTGTGTGACCTTAGGCAAGTTACTTAATTTTTCTGTGCCTCACTTTCTTCATATGTTAAATGGGTTATTGAAAATACTTGGAACCATGATTGGATCTGCTCTACGTATTATAATAATTGTTACCATTCAGTTGGGGCTGTGTCTGGTTAATGTGAGTTGCTGGTGGTAATTCATGTCTATTATGATTCAAGAGAAATTTTAAAAATTATGTTTCACTGTTATTGCATTTAGCATTTCATTTGAAATTGTCTTTAAAAATGCAACCTCAAACTAAAATAAAAAGAGACTCCATTCTTATAATAGCTCCTTTTGGCTTTAATGGTTTTTACTCTCCCATAAATTCTTATGACAGGATTGATAACCATCAAGGAAAATTCAATCCTGACTCTGTATTTCTGCAATTTTCCTTACTGGAGCAGTGCTGAGCTGGAGATGAAACTGAAATGAAATTGCCATTTCCTCCTTTGTCTGAAGAGTTTTTTTATTACTTTCAAACCAGTTCAAAACTGTTTCTCAAATATAGGTGTTTGGCACCGAGAATGTTTTAGATGAGGGACTATGAATCTGAGGTGTAATTGCAGCTCTGACAGGGGAGATGTTTCTGTATTAATTTAACCCATACACTGTATTTCAAATTTGTCAGAGGTTAGTATTTGCCATCATTGTTTCCCCCATCAGATTCTTTACTAAAGTTATTGACTTTACAAGTCTTCAGTCTGAGAAAGTAGCTCAACTAAAATTATGTCTCCTTCACTTGAAGTGTCTAACTATGTTTTGTGCAGCTATAACAATACCATACACTGGGTAATTTATAATGAACATAAATGTTTGGGCTCACAATTCTGGAGGCTGTGAAGTTCCATATTAGGGCCCTTCTTGTTGTCACATGGTGGAAGGTAGGAGGAGAGACAGAGAGAGAGCAAAAGGGGGTGGAACTCACTTGTTGATAACAAATTTACTTTCTTAATAATGAACCCACTCCCACAATAAGGGAATTAATCCATTTCTCATGGCCCAATCACCTCTCAAAGGTCCCACCTCCTAAATGTTATAATGGCAATCAAATTTCAACATGAGTTTTGGAAGGGACATTCAAACCATAGCATGAAGTATCTCTCCAACTCCTCATCCTCACAAAATGACACCAAAGTTTTATGTATCTTTTCAAATTCAAGTTCCACTTCCTGATGCCCTCTCAGAGTACTGCCAGAATTAATCTTTATAAGAACATTTATCATCCTCTGTCTTCAGATGCTGGTGTGAGGGAGGCAAATACAATCTGTAACTCATTTTTAAATTCCTCATGATGCTTTCATTGCAGATAGTAGACAGCTCAATAGAAATTTGTGGCATCGAGCTGAAAAGATCTGAGCACTCGATAGGACTTCAGTGTCACTACACACAATGCGTACTTTAACAATATTTAAAAACATTCACCTTTGCAAACCAACCTGAGTTGCTTTCCCTAAAATAGATGAAATTCAAATATGAAAAAATAGACATTAGAAAATGTTCATCAGCATTATAATGTTTAGATTTTCAATTTCCATTGATAAAGTAGGTTGGATGAGGCATGAAGAATTCACAGTGGACATAGGAAATAAGTAGTGTGATGGAAATTATCTGTGTTAGACAGAGAATTCCATTTTCCCCCCAAGAAGGGAAGGATGTTATCTATAGTGTGGATAAGGGCTGGTCTTAAGACTTCAAACCAATATTAAAAGGTTGGCTTTTGGCCGGGCGCGGTGGCTCACGCCTGTAATCCCAGCACTTTGGGAGGCCGAGACGGGCGGATCACGAGGTCAGGAGATCGAGACCATCCTGGCTGACGTGGTGAAACCCCGTCTCTACTAAAAATACAAAAATTAGCCGGGCATGGTGGCGCGCGCCTGTAGTCCCAGCTACTCGGGAGGCTGAGGCAGGAGAATGGCGTGAACCCGGGAGGCGGAGCTTGCAGTGAGTCGAGATCGCGTCACTGCGCTCCAGCCTGGGCGACAGAGTGAAACTCCGTCTCAAAAAAAAAAAAAAAAAAAAAAAAAAGGTTGGCTTTTTCAGCTGTGTTGGTTGTTCTCTTATTTCCCCCCTTGCTTTGTCTCTTCCATCCATTCTCTGCTCTGCCTGCTCTGTGCCCAAGAAGCTGATCTTTTCTTACCATGTCTTCCTTGTTTACCTGCTGGCTGTCTTCCAGGTGGGTTTGGCCAACAGCAGGACAGGAGAAAGATGTTGGGATGTTGTTTCCCTGTTTTTACCCTACATCACTGGCAACAGCTGGGTCCCTCAACAGTGATGGCATCTGCTGGGTGCCTTCTCCATAGCTGGTTCAGCTCTCCCAAGTCTTATGGGTGGTGACAGTTTCTCACTATTTCTAGCCTGTGGTGGCTTACCATCCCTTGTTTCCTAAATCCTGCTCTCACCTCAATGACAAGTCCTTTTATTAATCTTTCGCTTTTTTAAATTTAAAACATCTGGAGTAAATTTTTGTTGTTGCCAAGATGTCAATGGTCACAGCATCCAAAGCAAAGACTTAAAAAGTTAAAGCCTTCTAAGCAAAGGCTTAAAATCTTCGCTTAATAAGCCTTCCTAAGATACCTACAATGCTCTAAACCCTGCCTTAGGAGCTAGTGACAGAGGCAGTACAGAGAAGAAAAACGCCTGTTCTCTGCTCTTAAGTTAAACACAGGCTAGTGCTGTAGTCTCTAAAGAGATCTTTAGATACTGGGAAGAAACTGTCTATATACAATAAAGTAAATAAGTTTATTATATGTATTAATAATAATCTGTAGAACAGAGAACAATTCTGACAGGTTGTGGGTAGTTCCCCAGCACAGAGGTGTTGAGAGCATGGTGTCTTCATTTTCATTTGCTTTTTTTTAAAAAAAATTTTTTTAAAAATTTTACTTTAATTTTATTTTAAGTTCTGGGATACATGTGCAGAATGTGCTGGTTTATTACATAGGTATACACGTGCCATTGTGGTTTGCTGCACCCATCAACCTGTCATCTACATTAGGTATTTCTCCTAATGCTATCCCTCCCCAACCCCCACTCCCCGGCAACAGGCCCCAGTGTGTGATGTTCCCTTCCCTGTGTGTGTCCATGTGTTCTCATTGTTCAACCCCCATTTATGAGTGAGAACATGCGGTGTTTGGTTTTCTGTTCCTGTGTTAGTTTGCTGAGAATGATGGTTTCCAGCTTCATCCATGTCCCTGCAAAGGACATGAACTCATCCATTTTATGGCTGCATAGTGTTCCATGTTGTATATGTGCCACATTTTCTTTATCCAGTCTATCATTGATGGGCATTTGGGTTGGTTCCAAGTCTTTGCTATTGTGAACAGTGCTGCAATAAACATACACGTGCATGTGTCTTTATAGCAGCATGATTTATAATCCTTTGGGTATATACCCAGTAATGGGATTGCTGGGTCAAATGGTATTTCTGGTTCTAGATCCTTGAGGAATCGCCACACTGTCTTCCACAATGGTTGAACTAATTTACACTCCCACCAACAGTGTAAAAGTGTTCCTATTTCTCCACATCCTCTCCAGCATCTGTTGTTTCCTGACTCTTTAAAGGTTGCCATTCTAACTGGCATGAGATGGTATCTCATTGTGGTTTTGATTTGCATTTCTCTAATGACTAAGGATGATGAGCTTTTTTCCATATGCATAAATGTCTTCTTTTGAGAAGTGTCTGTTCATATCCTTCGCCCACTTTTTGATGGAGTTGTTTGCTTTTTTCTTGTAAATTTGTTTAAGTTCCTTGTAGATTCTCGATATTAGCCCTTTGTCAGATTTTGGAATATGGTACCTAATTGCATTATTTTTTTTGTTGGCTACAAATCATCAAAAGGGTTAGCATTATAAAAACAATATCTTTAAATGTAACGAGGTAAGGAGTGACTTTGAACACTTTTTCTAAGATAGATTTTTTTTTTTGTTATAACAACTTAAAATAAAAACTTAAGATTAAAAATGAACCTTAATGATATTGGGCATTTTTCTTTTATGAAGGAGACAAATGCTCCAAATTTGCTTCTTTTTATTGAAAGAAGACAAGTGTTTATCAAGTACACTCTTTTCAGAAGATTAAAAAAATTAAACATGCTTAATTAATCTGTACCTTCAAGTTAAAAGTTATTCTAAATAATTAGAAAATAACTGCTTTGTAAAACAAAACAAAAACAAAAGCAACCCCCCTGCCCCCACAAACTCATGTTACAAAAAGAGCATTTTGAAAAAGGATATTTAAAAATGTTTTCAGGCAGAGCAAGGAGGCAGAATAGAAGCCTACACCATTTATCCCCCCTGCAGGAACACCAAATTTTAACAACTAACTACACACAGAAAAGCATCATCATAAGAACCCAAAATCAGGTGAGCAATCACATTACCTGCATTTAACTTCATATGGCTGAAAGAGGCATTGAAGAGGTCAGGAGGGACAGTCTTAAATTGCCGATGCCACCTCTCCCCTGTCCCCTAGCAGAGGCCATGTGGTGCAGAGAGCCTGTGCACTCGGAGGGAGAGCACAGTGACTGGGGGTTTACATTGAACTCAGTGCTATCATGTAAGAGCAGAGAATAGAGTCATGCTTGATTCAGCCAGCAGCTGCACATGGAGAGAACATTTGGAACAGATGTAGCCAAAGAGAAATTGCCCATCCCAGCAGTCAGAACCTGAGTTTCTTGGCAAAGCCTGTCATTGCAAGCCAAAGGGCTCTGGGGTCCTAGGTAAACTTGAGAGGCAGTGTAGGACACAAAGACTGCAATTGCTGGGCAACTTTCAGTGTTTGGCTGGGCTCGGAGCCAGAGGACTGTTCCAAGTGCACAGGCTTTCTGCACCACATGGCCTCTGCTAGGGGACAGGGGAGAGGTGGCATTGGCAATTCAAGGCTGTCTCTCCTGACCTCTTCAATATCTCTTTCAGCCAGGAGAGCAGGATTTATGGTGGTGTGTGACCTAGGGTGACACCAGACTTCAAACTATACTACAAGGCTACAGTAACCAAAACAGATGGTACTGGTACCAAAACAGAGATATAGACCAATGGAACAGAACAGAGCCCTCAGAAATAATACCACACATCTACAACCATCTGATCTTTGACAAACCTGATAAAAACAAGAAATGGGGAAAGGATTCCCTATTTAATAAATGGTGCTGGGAAAACTGGCTAGCCATATGTAGAAAGCTGAAACTGGATCCCTTCCTTACACCTTATACAAAAATTAATTCAAGATGGATTAAAGACTTAAATGTTAGACCTAAAACCATGAAAACTCTAGAAGAAAACCTAGGCAATACCATTCAGGACATAGGCATGGGCAAGGACTTCATGACTAAAACACCAAAAGCAATGGCAACAAAAGCCAAAATTGACAAATGGGATCTAATTAAACTCAAGAGCTTCTGCACAGCAAAAGAAACTGCCATCAGAGTGAACAGGCAACCTACAGAATGGGAGAAAATTTTTGCAGTCTACCCATCTGACAAAGGGCTAATATCCAGAATCTGTAAAGAACTTAAACAAATTTACAAGAAAAAAATCAAACAACCCCATCAAAAAGTGGGCAAAGGATATGAACAGACACTTCTCAAAAGAAGACATTTATGCAGCCAAAAGACACATGAAGAAATGCTCATCATCACTGGCCATCAGAGAGATGCAAATCAAAACCACAATGAGATACCATCTCACACGAGTTAGAATGGCGATCATTAAAAAGTCAGGAAACAACAGGTGCTGGAGAGGATGTGGAGAAATAGGAACACTTTTACACTGTTGGTGGGACTGTAACCTAGTTCAACCATTGTGGAAGACAGTGTGGCGATTCCTCAAGGATCTAGAACCAGAAATACCATTTGACCCAGCCATCCCATTACTGGGTATATACCCAAAGGATTATAAATCATGCTGCTATAAAGACACATGCACATGTATGTTTATTGCGGCACTATTCACAATAGCAAAGACTTGGAACCAACCCAAATGTCCATCAATGATAGACTGGATTAAGAAAATGTGGCACATATATATACCATGGAATACCATGCAGCCATAAAAAAGGATGAGTTCATGTCCTTTGTAGGGACATGGATGAAGCTGGAAACCATCTTTCTCAGCAAACTATCACAAGGACAGAAAACCAGACACTACATGTTCTCACTCATAGGTGGGAATTGAACAATGAGAACACTTGGACACAGGGTGGGGAACATCACACACCGGGGCCTGTCATGGGACGGGGGGAGTGGGGAGGGATAGCATTAGGAGAAATACCTAATGTAAATGACGAGTTAATGGGTGCAGCACACCAACATGGCACATGTATACATATGTAACAAACCTGCATGTTGTGTACATGTACCCTAGAACTTAAAGTATAATAATAAAATAAATAAATAAATAAAAAAGAAAATTAAAAAACTGTTTTTGAAAGTATGTACTTTTATTCAACTCACTGGTAAACACTGTTGATACTATAAAATAAAATAAAAAAGAAAAAGATATTAATGATCAATAAATCATCTAAAAGTACAAAACTCACTGGTAATAGTAAGTACACAGAAAAATACAGATTATTACAACACTGTAACTGTGATGTGTAAACTACTCTTATCTTAAATAGAAAGACTAAATGATGAACCAATAAAAAATAATAACTACAACAACTTCTTAAGACATAGATTGTTAAATGAGGGAGATGAAGTTAAACTATAGTTTTTATTAGTTTTTTTGCTTGTTTATTTGTTTATGCAAGCAATGTTAAGTTGTTATCTGCTTAAAACAATGGATTATAAAATAGTATTTGCAAGCCTCATGGTAACTTCAAATAAAAAAAAAGTACAGCAAATACACAAAAACAAAAAGCAATAAATTAAATCATACCACCAGAGGAAATCACCTTTACTAAAAGGAAGACAAGAAGGAAGGAAAGAAGGAAGAGAAGACTAAAACAACCAGAAAACAAATAACAAAATGGCAGAAGTAAGTCTCTATTATCAATAGTAACACTGAAGGTAAATGAACTAAGTTCTCCAATAAAAAGACATAGAAAGACTGAATGAATGAAAAACATGACCCACTGATCTGTGGTCCATGAGAAACACGCTTCACCTATAAAGGTATACATACATGGAAAATAAAAGGATGGAAAAACATACTACATGCCAATGGAAACCAAAAAAGAGCAGAAGTAGCTATACTTATATCAGATACAATAGATTTCAAGACAAAAACTGTAAGAAGAAACAAAGATGGCCGCTGTATAATGATAAAGGAGTCAATTACCTAAGAGGATATGATTATAAATATATATTCAGCCAATACAGGAGCACCCAGATACAAAAAGCAAATATTATTAGAGCTAAAGAGAGAGAGATAGACCTCAATACAATAATAGCTGGAGACTTCAAAACTCCACTTTCAGCATTGGACAGATGTTCCAGAGAGAAAATCACCAACGAAACATTGGACTTCATCTGCACTATAGACCAAATGGACTTAATAGGTATTTACAGAACATTTCCTCCAACAGATGAAGAACACACATTCTTCTCCTCAGCACATGGATCATTTTCAAGAACAGACCATGTGTTAGGCCACAAAACAAGTGTTAAAACATTCAAAAAATTAAAATAATATCAAGCATAGTCTCTGACCACAATGGAATAAAATTAGAAGTTAATAACAAAAGGAATGTTGGAAACTATACAATTAAATGGAAATTGAATGATAAGCACCTGAATGACCAGTGGGTCAATGAAGAAATTAAGGAGAAAATTGAAAAATTTATTGAAACAAATGATAATGGAAATACAGCATATCAAAACATATAAGATACAGTGAAAACAGTACTAGAAGGGAAATTCATTAGCTATAAGTATCTACCTCAAAAAAAGAAGAAAAACTTCAAATAAATAACTTAATGATGCATCTTAAAAAACTAGAAAAGCAAGAAATTAGTAGAAGAAAAGAAGTAATAAAGATCAGAGCAGAAATAAATGAAATTGAAAGGAAGAAAACAATACACAAGATAAATGAAATAAAAAGTTGGTTTTTTGAAAAGATAAACCAAATTGATAAACCTTTAGCCAGACTAAGAAAAAAATAAAGACCCAAATAAATAAAATGAGAGATGAGAATGAAGACATTGCAAGTGTTTACTGCAGAAATTCAAAGATCATTAGTGGATATTATGAACAACTATGTGCCAATGACTTAGAAAATCTAGAAGAAATGGATAAATTGCTACACATATAAAACCCAGTGAGATTGAACCATGAAGAAATCCAAAACCTGAATGGACCAATAACAAGTAATAAGTTCAAAGCCATAATAAAAAGTCTGCCAGTAAAGAAAAGACTATGACCCTATCACCTAACTGATGAATTCTAAAAACATTAAAGAACTAATACCAATATTACTCAAACTACTGCAAAAAATAGGAGGAGGGAACACTTCCAAACTCATTCTACTAGGCCAGTATTACCCTGATACCAAAACCAGACAAAGACACATTAAAAAAAAGAAAACTACAGGACAATATTACTGATGAATATTAATATGGATGCAAAAATTCTCAACCGAATACTCACAAACTAAGCTCAACAGAACATTAAAAAGATTATTCATCATGACCAAGTGGGATTTATCCCCAGGATGCAAGGATAGCTCAATATGCACAAATCAATCAATGTAATCAATGTGATACATCATATCAGCAGAATGAAAGATGAAAACCATATGTTTATTTCAATCAATGCTGAAAAAGCATTTGATAATATTCAACATCTATTCATGATAAAAATCCTCAAAAAACTGGGTATTGAAGGAACACACCTCCACATAATAAAAGCCACCCATGCAACAGACCTAAAGTTGTATCATACTGAATAGAGAAAAACTGAAAGCTTTTCCTCTAAGATCCGAAACATGACAAGGATGACCACTTTTGCCACTGTTATTCAACATAGTACTGAAAGTCTTAGCTAGAGAAATCAGACAAGAGAAAGAAATAAATGACACCCAAACTGGATGAAAGGAAGGCAGGTTATCCTTGTTTGCAGATGACATGATCTTATATTTGGAAAAGCCTAAAGACTCCACCAGAAAACTATTAGAACTGGTAAATAAATTCAGTAAAGTTGCAGGATACAAAATCAACATACAAAAATCAGAAGCGTTTCTATATGTCAACAGTGAACAATCTGAAAAAGAAATCAAGAAAGTAATTCCATTACGACAGCCACAAATAAAATTAAATACCAAGGAATTAAGTTAACCAAAGAAGTGAAAGATCTCTGTGATAAAAATTATAAAATACTGTTGAAAGAAATCGAAGAGGATACCAAAAAATGGAATGATATTCCATGTTCCTGGATTGGAAGAATCTATATTAAAGTGTTCATGCTACTAAAAGCAATCTACAGATTCAATGCAATCCCTATCAAAATGCCAATGACATTCCTCATAGAAATAGAAAACAAAAATCCTAAAACTTATATGGAACCACAAAAGGCCCAGTACTTCTACTAGATCTGCTAAGTGGATCTAGCATGTGATAGCCAAAGCCATCCTAAACAAAAAGGGTAAAACTAGAGGAAGCACATTACCTGACTTTAAATTATACTACAGAGCTATGGTAATCAAAACAGCATGGTTTTGGATAAACCAGATGCATTGATCAATGGAATAGAATAGAGAACTTGGAAACAAATCCACACACCTACAGTGAACTCATTTTTGACAAAAGTGCCAAGAACACACTGGAGAAAAGATAGTCTTTTCAATAAATGGTGCTGGGAAAACTGGATACCCATGTGCAAAATAATAAAACTTGATTCCTCTCTCTCACCATATACCAAAATGAAATAAAAATAGATTAAAGATTTAAATTTAAGACCTCAAACTATGAAACTACTACAAGAAAACATTGGGGAAACTCCAGGACACTGGTCTGGGCAAAGATTTCTTGAGTAATACTCTACAAGCACAGGCAACCAAAGCAAAACTGGACAAATGGGATCACATCAAGTTAAGAAGCTTCTGCACAGCAAAGGAAACAATCAGCAAAGTGAAGAGACAACCCACAGAATGGGAGAAAATATTTGCAAACTACCCATCTGACAAGGGAGTAATAACTAGAATATATAAGAAGCTTGAATAATGCTATAGGAAAAAAATCTAATTACCTGATTTTAAAAATGGGCAAGAGATTTGAATAGACATTTCTCAAAAGAAGACATACAAAAGGAAAACAGGCATGTGAAAAGGTGCTCAATCATTCATCATCAGATAAATGCAAATCAAAACTGTAATGAGGTATCATCTCACTCCTGTTAAAATGGCTTTTACCTAAAAGACAGTCAGTAACAAATGCTGGTGAGGATATGGAGAAAAGGGAACTGTCATACACTGTTGCTAGGAATGTAAATTAGTACTATCACTATGGAGAACAGTTTGGATGTTCCTCAAAAAATGAAAAATAGAGCTTGACACAATCCAGCAATCCCACTGCTGGCTGTATACGTATAAGAAAGGAAATCAGTATATTGAAAAGATATTTGCACTCCCATGTCTGTTGCAGCTCTGTTCACAATAGCCAAGATTTGGAAGCAATCTAAGTGTTCATTAACAGATGACTGGATAAAGAAAATGTGATACTTATACATAACAGAGTACTATTCAGCCATAAGAAAGAATGAGATTCTGTCATTTGCAACAACATGGATGGAACTGGAGGTCATTATGTTAAATGAAATTAGCCAGGCACAGGAAGACAAATATCACATGTTCTCCTAATTTGTGGTATCTAAAATTTAAAACAATTAAACTCATGGAGACAGTAAAAGGATGGTTACCAGAGGCTGGGAATGGTAGTTGGAGGGGTGGGTGGGAGGTGGAGATGGTTAGTGGGTACAAAAAAACATAGAAAGAATGAATGAGGTCTAGTATATGATAGCACAACAGGGTGACTATAGTCATAATGTTAGTTGTACATTCTAAAATAACTAAAAGAGTATAATTGGATTGTTTGTAACACAAAGGAAAAATCTTTAAAGGGATTGATACCCTATTTTCTATCCCCTGTATCAAAATATCTCATGTATTCCATAAATATATACATGTACTATGTATGCACAAAGTTAAAAATTAAGAATGAAAAAATACATTCATCATAATGTAACTTTGTTGCCAAAATTAATGTAGTGATTTTTACCTATTAAAAATTCTCATATTTGCACTCTTAAACTTGGAAACAAAATTTTCTAACCTGTGAACTAATCTTTTAAATGAATAATTTCAGAAAGTGTTAAGCCCATTTGTTAAAAATGAATATTGTGCCTTTTTCTAATTAGTTTGGAGATGACAGAGAGACATCAGAAAGATGAAAATTTTCTAGAAAAATTTTAAAGTATTATTTTTCATGTTTGACATGTGGAATTAAACATTGAGTACGACAATTCAGTAAGTATGCCAGTTACGCATTCCTTCCATTTGGCTTTGAGTTTTTGTGATGTATTTTTTCCAGCTATGTAAGATATTATACCAACTACTATTGAAATTAACTGTATCTGGAACCAGAGCATCCACTTGCTCCATTACTAAATATTTTGTCAAGAGTTTCAATAATGAAGCATACACAATCTCACTATTCTTACTAAATAATAAACAATATGAAACATTTTGTTGTTTGGTTTAATGATGTAATTATTAAATAAGACAAAAGCACACACATTAACCTAGGCCTACGCAGGGTCAGGATCATCAATATCACCTCCATATCTCGTCCCACTGGAAGGTCTCCAGGGACAATAATACACAGGGAGATGTCATCTCCTGTGATAACAATGTCTCCTTCTGGGGCACCTCCCCCCAGGGACCTGCCTGTGGCTGTCATGCATCACATAATGGCATTTCAGTTGACAGACCCCCATATACAATAATGGTCCTATACGATTATAATGGGGCTGAAAAATTCTTATCGCCTATGATGTCATAGCCGTAATAGCTGTAATGACATTGAAGTACAATGCATTACTCGTGTTTATGATGATGCTAGTGTAAACAAACCTACTGTGCTGCCAGTTTTTATACTTTTTATACAATTTTTATAATTTTAAATAAAGTATAGCATACACATTTATGTATAGTACTTAATACTTTATAATGATAATAATAAACTATGTTACTGGTTCATGTATGCACTACACTACACTTTTTATTATTTTATTTTATTATTTATTATATATTATTTATTTATTTTGAGATGAAGTCCTGCTCTGTCGCCCAGGCTGGAGTGTAGTGGTGCAATCTTGGCTCACTGCAACCTCTGCCTCCCGGGTTCAAGCAATTTTCTTGCCTCAGCCTCCCGAGTAGTTGGGATTACAGGCACACACCATCATGGCTGGTTAGTTTTTTTATATTTTTAGTAGAGACAGGGGTTTCACCATGTTGGCCAGGCTGGTCTCTAACTCCTGGCCTCAGGTGATCTGCCTGCCTCAGCCTCCCAAAGTGCTGGGATTACAGGCATGAGCCACTGTGCCCGGCCATCGTTATTTTAAAGTGTATGCCTTTTACTTATAAAAGAAAGTTAAATTGTAAAACGGTCTCAGGCAGGTCCTTTGGGGGAGGTGACCCAGGAGGAGACATTGTTATCACAGGAGATGACAGCTCCATGTGTATTCTTGTCCCTGGAGACCTTCCCAGTGGGACGAGACATGGAGGTGATATTGATCCTGACCCTGTGTAGGCCTAGGCTGATGTGTGTGTTTTTGTCTTATTTTTTTAACAAAAAAGTTTAAAAAGTAAAAAAAAAATTGAAGTTATAAAAAGCTTATAGAATAAGGATAGAAAGAAAATATTTTTACAGCTGTACAATGTGTTTGTGCTTCAGTTATGTGTTATTACAAAAGAGCAACAAAAGTAAAAAGTTTATAAAGTAAAAACGTTATAGTAAGCTAAGGTTAACTTATGATTGAAGAAACATATTTTAAAAATAACTTCAGCAAAGTCTTAATTATAAGTGTTTCTGAAGTCTACAATAAGTTCAGTAATGTCCTAGGCCCTCACATTCACTTACCAGTCACTCACTGACTCACCCAGAGCAGCTTCCAGTCCTGCAAGTTCCTTTTTTTTTTGAGATGGAGTCTCACTCTGTCACCCAGGTTGGAGTGCAGTGGCATGATCTCGGCTCATTGCAACCTCTGCCTCCTGGGTTCAAGTGATTCTCCTGCTTCAGCCTCCTGAGTAGCTGGGATTACAGGCACGTGCCACCACGCTTGACTAATTTTTGTATTTTTAGTAGAGATGGGGTTTCACCATGTTGGTCAGGCTGGTCTCGAACTCCTGACCTCGTGATCTGGGCATCTCAGCCTCCCAAGGTGCTGGGATTACAGGCATGAGCCACCGTGCCCGGCCCTGCAAGTTCCTTTTATGATAAATGCCCTATGCAGGTGTTCCATTTAAAAAATATTTTATACTGTATTTTTGCTGTACCTTTTCTATGTTTGTTAGGTATGCTTAGTAGATATGTTTAGATACATAAATACAATTGCCTACAGTATTCAGTACACTAGCATGCTGTATAGGTTTATAGTCTTGGAGCCATAGAATACTATACCATGTAGCCTAGGTGTGCAGTAGGCTCTATCATTGAGGTTTGTATAAGTATACTCTAGGATGTTTGTACAATATTTGAATTGCCTAATGACACATTTCTCAGAGCATTGCTCCATGAGACATTACTGTATTTTTAAATAATCACTAATTTAAATTAAGTTACTAGTAGAAAACAATTTTGCCACTATTAAATAAAAGAAAGTTTATTTGAAACATATTGCTTGTGATATCTTTTTAATATTTCCTTTTTATGTATATGTTTTTTCTTCCTACAGTAGAATAGTACAGTCAATATCTGAAAATGGATGTTTATTTTGGGTTGTATTAAAAGGTTTATTTAGTGACTTGGATAAATGATTTGGTCAAGAGTAAGAGTTTGGAACATAAAGATATAAGAGAGGTCTAGAAGTGATGTGGGACCACAGATGACAAAATGATTAATTTCCTACAGGGGTTAAGGGGGCTGCACAGACGGAGTGACATCCCAACCTTGTTTTCAAAGAGCTAGACCAGAGACAGGGTGGAGAGATCATTTTGAGCTGAGCCACAGAGACCAGGGTGGAGGAGATGAAGATTTACTTATTCTTTGAGGCTCAGTTTCCTCTTTTGTAAAATGATGTCTGTAAAACTTTTTTTTTTTTTAAGGAGTCCACTCTGTCGCCCAGGCTGGAGTGCAGTGGCGCGATCTCAGCTCACTGCAACCTCTGGCTCCGAGGTTCAAGCGAGTCTCCTGCTTCAGCCTTGATGTCTGTAAAATCTATCTTGAAGAAAGGTGGAAATGTTGGGGAGATTAGAAAAATAGTACTGTCACCCCACAGGTGCTCAAGAAACGATAGTGCTGCATAATTTTTTGTGACAGGATGGCTCTTTGTTCTATGAGGCACAAGGCAGGCATGACAAGTGTGAGACACCCTTGGGAGTCAAAAAATATTTTAGGGAGGGCTGAGTTTACTGGATCAGTTTACCATTGTGAAATAAAAGTCCTTGGACTCCAACAGGGTTTGGAGTCCCTCTCTCTGAGTGTTTTTTAAGGCATGGATTATTCTGTCTTGACCACATTTCTAATCTAGTAACCACAGCCTCATCTCCACTTCTTCCTGCTTTGAATTTTGTCCTCCAAGGGCCACTTAAATGAGAAGCCTGTCCCACTCACCTTGTCTAGCATTCAGTGTGTATCTCATGCCACCTCTCTGCACTGACCTAATCCATGTTGACCATTTTCTGTGTTTCAGAAGATGGACTCAGCTTAGTACCTGGCACATAACAATAATCCCAAAGACCTTGATGCTCAGAGATGCCTGGGCTAACTTATTTATCTTCAGGCCACTGTCTTCACAATTATATAACCACAGGGGAGAAAGCCAAGAGCATTGTTACAGGATCTCTGGGTTGTAATGTGATAGGCGTCCTTTCAACATGGCATCTATGGAGCCATAGATGTTGTGCTGGAAGGAGCTTGGAAGTTCATTGAGCCTAGCCTTGTTGTTTCAGTAATAAAAAAAAACTGAGGCAGAAGTGGGTAGAAGAAATATCTAGAAGTAGAAGCCAGGTCTCCTGGTTCCCAGGACAGGGTCCTTTATATCCTATCCCCTCTAGGCTGTAATATATAGCAACGGTAAAATACAGACTCAACTTTCTCGGTCTTACAAGTGGCAGGCTGTTGCTGGCCTCAAGTGGTGAATCCACTGATAGGGAAAAATAAGAATTTTGTAAACTCTCAGAAAGTTCGTCTTTGTAATAACAGTCCCCTAAACTCTGTTGTTCTTGGAAGTACAACAAAGTCCAGGCTGAGACCATGGAACTGGACTCAAGTCAGGATTTATGTCACACAGTCTATGTATTTCCCACTCAGTGCCAATTATTCATTCCTCCCATTCAAACGAAAATAAATAATAAAACCACAGACAGCGAGCAGTGTGAAAAAAGCCTTGACTGAGAGTGGGAAAGCTATGACCATCCTGTGAAAACATTTACTTCCTGGAGAGAGATCCAGCAGTACTGTGTGTTCCTTCCGGGGGTGGGGCTGGAGGCTGCCTGACGTGATGGGAACTTAAATGTAAAAGAGGTAGCTGTGTCGTATCTTCTTTGTTGAGAAGATAAAAGTTCATTCACTGGGAAAAACAGCCGCAGCTCCTTTTTTGTTTGTTTGTTTCTTCTTCAACTTTTATTTTAAGTTCAGGGGGAAATGTACAGGATGTGCAGGTTTATTACATAGGTAAACGTGTGCCGTTGTGGTTTGCTGCACAGATCATCCCATCACCTAGTAAGCCCGTCATCCAGCAACCATTAGCTGTTCTTCCTGATGCTCTCCCCCGCTTCCCCCTCTGACAGACCTCAGCATATGTGTTGTTTCCTGCTATGTGTCCATGTGTTCTCATTATTCAGCTCCCACTTATAAGTGAGAACATGCAGTGTTCCTTCTAAGGTGGTATTTCCAACACGTAGAATGCTCAGGGAGGGAAAGTCAGAGTTGGATGCATACTATAGAAGGGTTGCAATCTATTCCGATACCTCTTCCCAAGCCTAGTTCCTGGGCTACTGAATTTTTATTTAAGATCCTTGAAGGCAGTGATATGAGATGGAAAGAAATCCTAGGCCTTCCACTGCCACGTGCTAGCTGAGTGACCCTGGGCATGTGATTGAAGAGGACTGAGCTGGCATCCTCACTTGTGAAAATGGGATAGCAAGGTCTTCCTTATAGGACTTTGGTGAGAACTAAATGTGACAAAGTATGGAAAAATGCATAATGCTAGAAACATAGTGAGCAGTCAATAATAATGATGAAATATTTCACTTTTAGAGGATGATACAGTGGACACCACTGTAACTCTCAACTCTCAGCATAATTCAACTCTCAGCATAATTAAGAAAACATAAAGCCCTGATTGCATTTCTCTTTCCCTGGCAGGTAAGCACAGTCCTGTGTCCTGTATTGGTACCTACATTCCCATGGATGTCTTTATACTTTTACTAAAAATGATATAAAGAATACTGTTTGGATGTTTTTAAATATGATAACATGCTCTATATATTGTTCCAAAGCTGCATTTTTTTTGCTTCAGAATTAGGTTTGTGAGGTTCATACTTGTTGATCTGTATAGCTCTAATTCATTTCATTTTCAGAACTTACTTGCTCATTCTCCTGATGGATATTTACGTTGTTTCAAGTTTTTTCCTACTACAATTAATGCTACAATCACGGTAGTTTTTGTGTGCCGTTTTTTTCTCATTTGTAAAAGAAAATCAAACCTCTGTGATGTACTGCCTGTATCATAATATCCCGTACAATGACATTTTTAGAGCATTTTCCAGTTTATAAAATGCCTTTCCATTCATTGTAGCCTACTACAGGTGGAGACCAGATTCATACTGAGGTTTTCTGGGTCTCAAACCAAGAATCATTATGCTGTGACAAGCTCTTTATAAACTCTGAAGATTTTCACCAATATAAAATGGCATCATCATTGCTAGAAATTAACTGTTGCAATAGCTTAAAGCCCACTTATTCTGTCTGCTTATCTTTTAAACAGGGTTTCAGATTCCACAGCTGAAGTTTCCCAAACCAAAATCTTGCAAAACAAATTCAATTTTCAATTTTCCTCTCTGAGGTAGAAAACATCCCCTTGCAATAACCTTGGCATTTGCTGCCTGGTCAATGTGGCTTTTTAGTGAGTTTCTCTATAATCAAGGTTTCCATGGATTTTTTAAAGTTGAGCTTTTCCAACTATTAAATTAATACAAGATTGTTATTAAAGATTTGGAAACTGTGAATACAGCCAGAAGAAACGCTTATTCAGAAACACGCACTGTTATCATTTTGGCACATTTCTTTTCAATTTTTTTCAACATATTGTTTATATAGTTGGGATCGTGCTGTTGATCCAGTTTTGTGCCTTGCATTTTCCACTTAACATTATAAGTAAGCTTTCCCTCTGTGGACTTTTAGTGGCCAAAATTTACCCAGAAAGGAAGTCTGTGTCTCCAAGGAATCCCATTCTCAGAAAGGAAAAAAATTCTGTTCCTCTGAAGTTATGGGAAAAATGCTTCTTTGATGGTTTAGTCTTTCCTTGGGTAACTCTTTATTAAACGTGTCAGTAAACTTCTGTTTTCTGTCCTAGTTTGGTTTCCATAAAGATAGTAGCAAGAGTTAAAAAAAAGTGTGTACAATGTGTGTTTTCATATATACAACAATATATTTATATGTACATATGTGTGTGTGCATACTAATGGCATATATAGTTAAATGTTTGTGTTTAAACACATACATGCTCACATACAGAGACTCACACCCCTTTAGAGGGAGTTGTAATAAGACAGATGAAAAGTTCCACATTACTATTATTTTACTCTGTCAAAGCATTAACTTGACTTTATGCTGACTCTATGCTATTATCTTAATCTTGGGATTCTCCCAGGAAGGGGGTGAAATAATTATCAGTGACAGTTTGTAGTTCAAGTTAATTTGTTGGAGGAACTAATTATCCATTCCAGGTGTTCTCCATCAGTGTAACAAGACAACCTGTAACGATCAACTGTTTCGTTTATGATGAAGCTAATTAAAACTAATTAAACAGATTTCAGTTTACAATACAATGAATTACAAGTAATTAAGGTACATTAGGTTTGTAGTATGCATAGAAGAACAACCTTTGAAACTAGAATCTAGTTTCCTCAGATCTGCTGAACATGTTTGTAATATAAGCAGAGATCAAGCCAAGAAACCTGCAAGGAAATTAAAAAAGAAATGATTCGTCAACTTTTAAAAAACATGGACTGTTGCTTAATATTTTAATTCATAAAGTATGTAAGGGGATGGATTTCCCTAGGCAAGGTACAACCTACAGAGGAACCAATTAGCTGTGAAGTTATAGCGATGATTTTTTTGTAAATGTTGAAATATATTTTTGAGAGCCATAGTGTATAACATGGAAAGATAATCTCAAATTTATCTGAATTTACCACGGCCTCTTTTTCTTTCTCTAGAATATGTGACAACTTCTTGCCTTATTGCCACACCTTATGTGACACCTTATTGCCACAGTGGGGATGAAAAACGTCTCTTGGTTCCAGTCTGGGATTCTGTGCAGTCCTCTGACAGACCGGTCCAGCATAGAATCATTCTCCTTGCCAAGGTTCCTGGGTGACCAGCCCAGCCCATCTCTGGGCTGTTTTACAGGGAGGAGTTGGGAGGCACAACCATTGTTACTTTCTGACCCAGAGTGACTAGGCTTGTTTGATTAAAGAGAAGTAACATTGGTAGTTATTCCATTTGTTAGAATAGGTGACTCTTGCAAGAGGCAATGAGAGCCTGGATTAAGTAAGTGTCTATGAAAGTGGAGAGGTGAGGAGATGGGTGAGATATACGTTTGAAAAATAGAAAGGATTTGGCGGCATTTAGATGTGAGTTGTATTAGACATGTCCTGTACAGCACTTCAAATCCTATTGGCCTCATCTATTACTCCATCCAGAGCCATAGCACTGGCTACTTTCGGGTTTCCGGCAACTTTATGCAGTTTCACCTGGACAACCCTTTCAGGCTGGAACCAAGAGCTGCTGACTTCCTGCCCTGGGGTTTCTGTGCCCTTGAGGACCTTCTTGGCTCTCAGTATTAATAGCAGGGGAGTACTGGGGGAGTTAAGGCCCTTTGGAGGCAACTTTTGACCCATGGTGCTGGAAGCTGATAGACACATAACTTCCTCCTCTTCCTGGTGGAGAGTGCTGAGACACATTTCAGATGGTGATTGGGCAGCCAGTAGTCTGTGGTGGTGGCCAACTTGATGCGACATCCTTGTAGTGGTTTTCACTCCTTTCCTGTTTCACTTTCCCATTTCTCACTTCTGGCCACTGGAATTCCACTACCAAGCTACCTGAATGTAAGCCATCGTCTTTGGCTCTGCTTTTGGAATAACGCAGGCTAAGATATGTTAGGTTTGGGTGTATGGGAGGATAGTGGGCCTATGAAGAAGGAATGGAAAGCCATGGATGAGAGGCCTGCTCATGAGTTCAGTTTGGGTTACAGTGAGTTTGGGGCAGCCAATGGGACTTCTGGTCACAGTCCAGTTACCATATCAATGACATTGCTAGCCAGAGCTCTCTTGAGATTAGAAAACTCAGGTTTTTTAGCTCCTAGCTTTAGCTCCTGACTCATGCAAACATGGGTCTTCAGTCGCTTTTATTTCTCCAGGGATAGCAATCTGTATTAGTTATCTGTTGTTGCATAACACATTACCCCAAAACATAGAAGCTTAAAACAACAAAAACTTTTGGTCTCCCAAAGTTTCTGAGGATTAGAAATTCAGGAGGTTTAGCTAGGTGGTTCTGGCTCAGGATCACTCATGAAGTTGCTGTCAAGCTGTTGGCTGGGGCTGCTGCATATGGAAAATTGACTTGGGCTGGGAGGCCTTCTTCTAGCTCTCTCATGTTACTATTCCCAGGAAGATTTGGTTCCTCACCACATGGGCCTTTCCACAGTGCTTTTCACAACATAACTTTCCACAGGGCTAGTGAGCTGGGAGACAGATCTATTGAGAAAGAGAGCAACCACGACGGAAGCCATCATCTTCTCCAAGCTAATCTTAAAAGTGACATATGGCTCATGCCTCTAATCCCAGCACTTTGGGAAACCAAGGCGGGTGGATTGCTTGAGCTCAGGAGTTCGAGACCAGCCTGGGCAACACGGTAAAACCCTGTCTCTACAAAAAATTAGCCAGGCATGGTAGCAGGCGCCTGTAGTCCCACCTACTCGGGATGCTGAGACAGGAGGATCACTTGAGCCCGGGAGGCCAAGGTTGCAGTAAGTTGAGATCGTGCCCCTGCACTCCAGCCTGGATGACAGAGCAAGACCCTGTCTCAAACAAACAGACAAACAAACAACAAAAAAGTGATACACTATTACTTATACCACTTGTTATTGACCACACAGAACAATCTTTGTACATCTTGGGAGGGGGACTACTCATGGACGTGGATAGTGGGAAGCAGGGATCATTGGGGTCCATCTGGGAGCATGGGAACCACACAGTCTTCATTTTTTAAAAAAATAGGTATTTATTTTAGTATACAAATAAAATATGCACATAGTAAAAAAATCAACACTATGGAAGAATTTATATGATGTCCTAATCCCAAGTCCAATCCTCATAAATAATCACAATTACTTGTGTATCTGTTTTGTATTTTCACAGTATTTAACAACTGTGTTTAATAGCTGTAAATAGTGTACTTTAACCTGTCAGATATTTTGTTCACTCATATACCTCACATTTATATTACCCTTCTACCTCCCAAATGTGTTAGTTTTGTAATTATTTTTAATTTCCCTGCTTGTTGCCTTGATAGTTTATTTGCTTAAACATCTATTTTTGATCCATCATATATAAACAGTACCTTTGACTCCATTACATAAGATGAAAAACTTAGCAATATTCATTCTCCCTCCTCTCCTCACTTTTGACTTCTGTCAGCTACATTATTCTTTCAATCTTTTTTTTTTTTTTTTTTAGTTGAAATGGGGTCTTACTCTGTAACTCAGGCTGGAGTGTAGTGGCCCAATCATAGGGCACTGTAACCTCTAACTCTTGGGCTCAAGTGATCCTCCCACTTCAGCCTCCTGAGTAGCTGAGACTACAGGCACGTGCCACCACACCCAGCTCTCCTCTTATCTTATTGAGGTTAATACTATTTACATTTATATAGGTATACTTGATTTTTATTTTTTGACTGCAGATTGACTCTAAAATTTCAAAGCCATGAAACACTTAACACATTTGTATTTGCAGTAAATGCCTACTATCAAACCAAACAGTTGAACCAATAATAAAGGCACGCAAAAAGAAAATGTTAAGGGAAATGGATATCTTTTTTCTTTTTTTTAAACGCCAATAGATTGCTCAAAATGCATCACATTTTACTTTGCATCATGTTTGCAGAATGGTTTTCTTTTATACTATTTTATTTTTCCTGGCATTTCTAATTGTCTTTCTTTTTCTGTTTTATATAAAGGATGTAATGTCTTCATTTTATCTCTAGGAACTTTGTAGTTCTTAATTATACATTTGTGTAATGGAATTCTCCTTCAGCCTAATTACATCCTTTACAGGATTCTGACTTACTGTTCTAATCTGGAGTAATTTATTTTCCACCCTGATGCACAGTGTTTCTTCAGTAGTTCTTTTGGGTTAGCTCATTCTACTTGTTTATTTTCACATTTATTTAGTATTGTTTTTAATAATTAATTTTTAATTTTTGTGGGTCCATAGTAGGTGTGTAATTAATGGGTTACATGAGGTGTTTTGATACAGGCACGCAATGCATAATAATCACATCATGAGAACTAGGGTATCCATCCCCACGAGTATTTATCCTTTGTATTACAAACAATTCAGTTATTCTCTTTTTGTTATTTTAGAATGTACAATTAAATTATTATTGACTAGTCACCCTGTTATGCTATCAAATACTAGGTTTTATTTGTTTATTCTATTTTTGTACCCATTAAGCAGCCTCACTTCCCCAACAACCCCTCACTACCCTTCCCAGCCTCTGGTAACCACCCTTCTCCCCTCTATCACCACAGGTTCAATTGTTTTGATTTTTAGACCCCACGAATAAGTGAGAACCTGCAATGTTTGTCTTTCTGTGCCTGGCTTATTTCGCTTAACACAATAGTCTCCATTTTCATCCATGTTGTTGCAAATGACTGAATCTCATTCTTTTTTATGGCCGAATAGTACTCCATTGTGTATATGTACCACATTTTCTTTATCTATTCATCTGTCGATGAACACTTAAGTTGCTTCCAAATCTTGGTTATTGTGAAAAGAGCTGCAACAAACATGGGAGTGTAGATACTCCTTTGATATACTGATTCTCTTTCTTTTGGGGATATTCCCAGCAGTGGGATTGCTGGATCATATGGAAATTCTATTTTTAGTTTCTTGAGAAATCCTTCATGATTCTCTATAGTAGTTGTAGTAATTTACATTCCCAGGAACAGCGTATGAGGCTTCCTTTTTCTCCACATCCAGCGTTTGTTATTGTCTGTCTTTTGGATATAAGCCATTTTAACTTGAGTGAGATTATGTGTCATGGCAATTTGAATTTACATTTCTCTGATGATCAATGATATTGCACAACTTTTCATAAGTCTGTTTGCCATTTATATGTCTTCTTTTAAGAAATGTCTATTCAAATCCTTTGCCCATTTTAAAAATTGAATTTTTTCTGTAGAGTTATTTGAGCTCCTCATATATTCCAGTTATTATTCCCTTGTCAGATGGATAGTTTGTAAATATTTTCTCCCATTCTGTGGGTTCCCTCTTCCCTTTGTTGATAGTTTCCTTTGCTGTGCAGAAGCTTTTTAACTTGATGTAATCTCATTTGTCCAGTTTTGCTTTGGTTGCCCGTGCTTGTGGGATATTATTCCAGAATCTTTGCTCAAACCAATGTCCTAGAGAATTTCCTCAATGTTTTCTTGTAGCAGTTTCATAGTTTGAGGCCTTAGATTTAAGTCTTTAATCCATTTTGATTTGATTTTTGTATATGGTGAGAGACAGGGATCAAGTTTCATTCTTTTGCATATGGATATCCAGTTTTCCCAGCACCATATATTGAAGAGACTATCTTTTTCCCAGTTTATGTTCTTGGCACCTTTGTAAAAAATGAGTTCACTGTAGGTGTGTGGATTTATTTCTGGGTTCTCTATTATGTTATATTGGACTATGTGTCTACTTTTATGCCAGTACCATGCTGTTTTAGTTACTATAGCTCTGCAGTATAATTTGAAGTCAGGTAATGTGATTCCTCATTTTGTTCTTTTTGTTTAGGATAGCTTTGGATATTCTGGGTTATTTTGTGGTTGCATATATATTTTAAGATTTTTTTTCTATTACTGTGGAGAATGTCATTGGTATTTTGATAGGTATTGCATTGAATCTGTAGATTGCTTCGAGTAATATGGACATTTTAACAATACAGATTCTTCCAATCCAGGAACATAGAATACCTTTCCATTTTTTGGTGTCCTCTTTAAGTTCTTTCATCAGTGTTTTATAATTTTCATCATAAAGATCTTTCACTTCTTTGGTTATGTTAATTCCTAGGTATTTAATTTTATTTGTGGCTATTGTAAATGGGATTACTTTCCTGATTCTTTTCAGATTGTTCACTGTTGGCATATAGAAACACTACCGATTTTTGTATGTCGATTTTTTATCCTGCAACTTTACTGAATTTATTAGTTCTAATAGTTTTTTGATGGAGTCTTTAGGTTTTTCCAAATACAAGATCGTATCATCTGCAAACAAGGATAATTTGCCTTCTTTTTTTCCAATTTGATTGCCCTTTATTTCTTTGTCTTGTCTGATTGGTCTAACTAGGACTTGCAGTACTATGCTGAATAACAGTGGTGAAAGTGATCATCCTTGTCATGTTCAGATCTTAGAGGAAAGGCTTTCAGTTTTTCTCTATTCAATATGATACTAGCTGTGGGTTTGTTGTATATGGCTTTTATCATTTGGAGGTGTGTTCCTTTGAAATCCAGCTCTTTTAGGATTTTTATCATGAAGGGATGTTGAATATTATCAAATGCTTTTTCAGCATCAATTGAAAGTAATCATATTTTTTTGTCTATCAGTCTGTTGATATGCTGTGTCACATTGATTGATTTGCATATGTTGACCTATCCTTGCATCCCAGGGATAAATCCCACTTGGTCATGATGAATGATCTTTTTAATGTATTGTTGAATTTGGATTGCTAATATTTTGTTGAGAATTTTTGCATCAGTATTTATTAGTGATATTGTCCTATTGTTTTCTGTTTTTGATGTGTCTTTTATTTTATTTTATTTTATTGGCTTTTATTTTAGTGGGAGACATTTTATTATGGCTTTGATGTTGTTACTTGTTGTTAGTCTGTTCAGGTTTTGGAGTTCTTCATGGTTCAATCTTGATAATTAATAATGAGGTTATTAATTAATAATGGGGTTGCATGTGTCTAGGAATTTGTCCAGCTCATCTAAGTTTTCCAATTTATGGGCATATACTTGCTAATAGTAGCCACTTATGATGCTTTGGATTTTTGTGGTATCAGTTGTAATGTCTCCTTTTTCATTTCTGATTTTATTTATTTGGATCTTCTCTCTTTTCCTTAGTCTGGCTAACAGTTTATCTATTTTGTTTAACTTTTAAAAAAGCAAACATTTTATTTCATTGATCTTTTGTACTTTTTTCATTTCAATTTCATTTATTTCTGCTCTGATCTTTGTTACTATTTTTTATGTCTTGTTTTCTTTTATTAAACTTTTATTTTAGGTTCATGGGTATATGTGCAGGTTTGTTATATAAATAAGCCTATATCGTGGGGGTTTGTTTTACGGATTATTTCATCACCCAGCTACTAGATCTGTTGCCAGATAGATTTTTTTTTCTGATCCTCTCCCTCCTGCCACCCTCCATCCTCAAGTAGGCCCCAGTGTCAGTTGTTCCCCTCTTTGTGTCCACATGTTCTCATTTAGCTCCCACTTGTAAGTAGAACACTTAGTATTTCATTTTCTGTTTCTGCATTAGTTTGCTGAGCATAATGACCTTCTGCTCCATTTATCTTCCTGCAAAGGATATAATCTCATATAATCTCATTCTTTTTTTTTTTTTTTTTTTTTGAGACGGAGTCTTGCTCTGTCACCCAGGCTGGAGTGCAGTGGCACGATCTCGGCTCACTGCAACCTCTGCCGCCTGGATTCAAGCGATTCTCCTGCCTCAGCCTCCTGAGTAGCTGGGATTACAGGCACGTGCCACCATACCTGGCTAATTTTTGCATTTTTAGTAGAGATAGGGTTTCACCATGTTGGTCAGGCTGGTCTCAAATTCCTGACCTTGTGATCCACCCACCTCAGCCTCCCAAAGTGCTGGGATTACAGGCGTGAGCCACTGTGCCTGGCCAATCTCATTCTTTTTTAATGGCCATATAGTATTTCATGTTGTTTATGTACCACATTTTCTTTATCCAGTCTGCCATTGATGGGATTTAGGTTGATTCCATGCATTCCTACTGTGAATAGTGCTGCAATGAACACATGCAAAGGCATGTGTCTCTATGGTAGAATAACTTATATTCCTTTGGGTATATATGCAGCAATGAGATTGCTGGGTCAAATGGTAGTTCTGTTTTTAGGTCTTTGAGGAATCTTCACACTGCTTTCCACAATGGTTGAACAAATTTACACTCCCACCAACAATGTACAAGCATTACCTTTTCTCTGTCAACTTGCCAACATCTATTATTTTTTTGACTTTTTATAATAGCCCTTTGGTGTGAGATGGTGTCTCACTGGGGTTTTGATGCGCATTTCTCTAATAATCAGTGATATTGAATTTTTTTCATGTGCTTGTTGGCTACATGTATATCTTATTTTGAAAAGTGTCTTTTAATGTCCTTTGCCCACTTTTTAATGGGGTTGTCTGTTTTTTTATTTGTAAATTTGTTTCAGTTCCTTACAGAGGCTCGATGTTAGACCTTTGTCAACGAATAGTTTGCAAATATTTTCTCTCATTCTGTAGATTGTCTATTTAATCTATTGATAGTTTATTTTGCTGTACAGAAGCTCTTTAGTTTAATTAGATCCCATTTGTCAACGTTTGTTTTTGTGCAATTGCTTTTGGTGTCTCTGTCATGAAATATTTACTTGTTCCTATGGTCCAGAATAGTATTGTCTAGGTGGTTTTCCAGGGCTTTAATAGTTTTGGGTTTTACATTTAAGTCTTTAATCCATCTTGGGTGGATTTTTGTATATGGTGTAAGGAAGGGGTCCAGTTTCAATCTTCTACATATGGCTAGCCAGTTATCCTAGCACCATTTATTGAACAAGGAGTCCTTTCCCCATTGTTTGTTTTTGCAAGCTTTGTTGAAGACCAGATGGTTGTAGGTGTGTGGTCTTATTTCTGGGATCTTTATTCTATTCCATTGTCTATGTGTCTGTTACGAGTACTATACTGTTTTTGTTATGGTAGCCCTGTAGTATAGTTTGAAGTTGGGTAACATGATGCCTCCAGCTTTGTTGTTTTGATTAAGATTGCCTTGGCTATTTGAGCTATTTTTTGGTTCCATATGAATTTTAAAGTAGTTTTTTCTACTTCTGTGAAGAATGTGGTTGATAATGTGATAGAAGTAGCATTGTATCTGTAAATTGCTTTGGGCAGTATAGCCATTTTAATGATATTGATTCTTCCTATCCATGAGCATGGAATGTTTTTCCATTTGTTTGTGTCATCTCTGACTTCTTGAGCAGTGTTTTATAATTCTCCTTGTAGAGATCTTTCATTTCCCCAGTAAGCTGTAGTCCTAGGTGCTTTATTCTTTTTTTTTTTTATTTTTATTTTTATTTTTTTTATTGATCATTCTTGGGTGTTTCTCGCAGAGGGGGATTTGGCAGGGTCATAGGACAATAGTGGAGGGAAGGTTGGCAGATAAACAAGTGAACAAAGGTCTCTGGTTTTCCTAGGCAGAGGACCCTGCGGCCTTCTGCAGTGTTTGTGTCCCTGGGTACTTGAGATTAGGGAGTGGTGATGATTCTTAACGAGCATGCTGCCTTCAAGCATCTGTTTAACAAAGCACATTTTGCACCGCCCTTAATCCATTTAACCCTGAGTGGACACAGCACATGTTTCAGAGAGCACAGGGTTGGGGGTAAGGTCGATCAACAGGATCCCAAGGCAGTAAGAATTTATCTTAGTACAGAACAAAATGAAAAGTCTCCCATGTCTACTTCTTTCTGCACAGACATGGCAACCATCCGATTTCTCAATCTTTTCCCCACCTTTCCCCCCTTTCTATCCCACATAACGGCCATTGTCATCGCGGACCGTTCTCAATGAGCCCCCCACCTCCCTCCCGGACGGGGGGGCTGGCCCGGCAGAGGGGCTCCTCACTTCCCAGTAGGGGCGGCTGGGCAGAGGCACCCCTCACCTCCCGGACGGGGCGGCTGGCCGGGCGGGGGGCTGACCCCACCTCCCTCCCAGACGGGGTGGCTGGCCGGGCGGGGGGCTGACCCCCCCACCTCCCTCCCGGACGTGGGGCTGACCCCCCCACCTCCCTCCCGGACGGGGCGGCTGGCCGGGTTGGGGGCTGACTCCCCCACCTCCCTCCTGGACGGGGTGGCTGGCCAGGCAGAGGGGCTCCTCACTTCCCAGACGGGGCGGCTGCCGGGCAGAGGGACTCCTCGCTTTCAGCGGGGCGGCTGCCGGGCGGAGGGGCTCCTCCTTTCAGATGGGGCGGATGCTGGGCGGAGGGTCTCCTCCTTTCAGACGGGGTGGTTGTAGGCAGAGGGTCTCCTCCTTTCAGCGGGGCGGCTGGGCAGAGACGCCCCTCACCTCCCAGATGGGGTCGCGGCCAGGCAGAGGCGCTCCTCACATCCCAGACGGGGCGGCAGGGCAGAGGCGCTCCCCACATCTCAGACGATGGGCGGCCGGGCAGAGACGCTCCTCACTTCCCAGATGGGATGGCTGCCGGGAAGAGGCGCTCCTCACTTCCTAGATGGGATGGCGGCCGGGCAGAGACGCTCCTCACTTTCCAGACTGGGCAGCCAGGCAGAGGGGCTCCTCACATCCCAGACGATGGGCGGCCAGGCAGAGACGTTCCTCACTTCCCAGACGGGGTGGTGGCCGGGCAGAGGCTGCAATCTCGGCAGTTTGGGAGGCCAAGGCAGGCGGCTGGGAGATGGAGGTTGTAGCGAGCTGAGATCACGCCACTGCACTCCAGCCTGGGCACCATTGAGCACTGAGTGAACCAGACTCCGTCTGCAATCCCGGCACCTCGGGAGGCCAAGGCTGGCGGATCACTCGCGGTTAGGAGCTGGAGACCAGCCCGGCCAACACAGCGAAACCCTGTCTCCACCAAAAAAGTACGAAAACCAGTCAGGCGTGGTGGCACGCGCCTGCAATCGCAGGCACTCGGCAGGCTGAGGCAGGAGAATCAGGCAGGGAGGTTGCAGTGAGCCCAGATGGCAGCAGTACAGTCCAGCTTCGGCTCGGCATCAGAGGGAGACCGTGGAAAGAGAGGGAGAGGGAGACCGAGAGGGAGAGGGGAGAGGGGAGAGGGGAGAGGGAAGGGAGAGGCAAGGCAGAGCGCAGAGGCAGAGCGCTTTATTCTTTTTTTGGCAATTGTGAATGGGATTGCCTTCATGATTTGGCTTTTAGCCTGGCTGTTGTTGGTGTGTAGGAATGCCAGTAATTTTTTTACATTGATTTTGTATCCTGAAACTTTGCTGAAGTTGTATATCAGCTGAAAGGAGTTTTTGGGCCAAGACTATGGCATTTTTTGGTATTGAATCATATCATTTGTGAAGAGAGAGACTTTGACTTCCTCTCTTCCTATCTGGATGCTCTTTATTTCTTTCTCTTGCCTGATTGCTCTGGCCAGGACATCCAATACTAAGTTGAATAGGGTGGTGACAGAGGGCATTCTTGTTCTGTGATGGTTTTCAAGGGGAATTCTTCCAGTTTTTGCCTATTCAACATGATGCTGGCTATGGGTTTGTCATAGATGGCTCTTATTATTTTGAGGTATGTTCCTTCAATACCTAGTTTACTGAGAGTTTTTAACACAAAGTGGTGTTGAATTTTAGCAAAGGCCTTTTCTGCATCTATTGAGATAATTGTGTGGTTTTTGTCTTTAGTTCTGTTTATGTGATGAATCACATTTATTGATTTGTTTATGTTGAACCAACCTTGCATACCAGGGATAAAGCCTACTTGATTGTGGTGGATTAGTTTTTGATGTGTTGCTGAATTTGGTTTGCCAGTATTTTGTTGAGGATTTTTGCATCAACGTTCATCAAGGATATTAGCCTGAAGTTTTCTTTTTTTGCTGTGTCTCTGCCATGTTTTGGTATCAGGATGATGCTGGCCTTATAGAATGAGCTAGGGAGGAGTCATTTCTTCTCAATTTTTTGGAATAGTTTCAGTGGGAATGGTACCAGCTCGTCCCTGTATATCTGGTAGAATTTGTCTGTGAATCCATCTGGTCCTGGACTTTTTTTGGTTTGTAGGCTATTTGTTACTGATTCAATTCAGAACTCATTATTGGTCTGTTCAGGGAATCAATTTCTTCCTGGCTCAGTCTTAGAAGAGTGTATGTGTCCAGGAATTTATTCATCTCTTTTAGATTTTCTAGTTTGTGTGCAAAGACGTGTTCATAGTAGTCTCTGATGATTGTATTTCTGTGGTGTCAGTGGTAACATTGCCTTTGTCATTTCTCATTGCGTTTATTTGGATCTGCTCTCTTTTCTTCTTTCTTAGTCTAGCTAATGGCCTATTTATCTTATTAATTTGTTTGAAAAAAAAAACAACTTCTTGACTTGTTGATCTTTTGAATTTATTTTTGTGTCTAAATCTCCTTCAGTTCAGCTCTGATTTTGATTATTTCTTGTCTTTCTGCTAGTTTTGGGGTTGATTTGCTCTTGGTTCTCTAGTTGTTTTCGTTGTGATGTTAGGTTGTTAATTTGAGATCTTTGTGAGTTTTTGGTGTGGGCATTTAGTGCTGTAGATTTCCCTTTTAACAGTGCTTTAGCTGTGCCCCAGAGATTCTGGTATGTTGTATCTTTGTTCTCATTAGTTTCAAAGAGCTTCTTGATTTCTGCCTTAATTTCATTATTTACCTGAAAGTCATTCAGGTGCAGGTTGTATAATTTCCATGTAATTGTATGGTTTTGAGCAATTTTTTCAGTCTGATTTTTTATTTTTATTGTGCTGGGGTCTGAAAGTGTGTTTGGCATAATTTCAGTTCTTTTGTATTTGCTGAGGATTTTTTTTTATGTCTGATTGTGTGGTCAATTTTTGACTATGTGCCATGTGGCGATGATAGAAATGTATATTCTGTTGTTTTTGGGTGGAGAGTTCTGTAGAGGTCTATCAGATCCATTTGGTTCAATGTTGAATTTAGGTCCTGAATATCTTTGTTGATTTCCTGCCTCATTGATTTGTCTCATTGTTAGTCAGTGGTGTGTTGAGGTCTCCCATTATTATTGTGTGGGAGTCTAAGTCTCTTTGTAGGTCTCTAAGAACTTGCTTTATGAATCTGAGTGCTCTTGTGTTTGGTGCCTATATATTTAGGATGGTTAGGTCTTCTTATTGAATTGAACTCTATACCATTATGTAATGCCCTTCTTTGTCTTTTTTTATTTTTGTTGGTTTAAAGTCTATTTTGTCTGAAATTAGGATTGCAAACCCTGCTTCTTTTTCTGATTTCCATTTGCTTGGTAGATTTTTCTCCATCCTTTCATATTGAGCTTATGGGTGTCATTGACTGTGAGATGGATTCTTTTGAAGACAGCATACCTTGGGTCTTGCTTTTTTATACAGCTTGTTACTCTGTGCTTTTGAAATGGTGTATTTAGCCTATTAACATTCAAGATTAGTATTGATATGTGTGGATTTGGTCCTGTAATTGTGTTGTTAGCTAGTTATTATGCTGGCTTGTATGGTTGCTTTATAGTGTAACTGGTGTGTGTACTTAAGTGTGTTTTTTTAGTGGCTGGTAATGGTCTTGCCTTTCCATATTTAGCACTCCTTTCAATGTCTCTTGTAAGGCAGGTCTGGTGGTAACAAACTCCCTCAGCATTTGCTTCTTTGAAAAAAAAAATTTCTCCTTTGCTGAGGAAGCTTAGTTTGGCTGGATATAAAATCCTTGGTTGAATTTTTTTTTCTTTAAGAATATTGAATATAGGCCCCTAATCTCTTCTGGCTTGTATGGTTTATACTGAGAGGGCTGTTTTTAGCTCAGTGGGGTTCCCTTTGTAGGTGACCTGCCTTTTCTCTCTAGCTGCCTTTAACATTCTTTCCTTCATTTTGACCTTGGAAAATATGATGATTACGTGTCTTGGGGAGGATCTTCTTGTGTTGAATCTTTCAGAGACTGTGTATTTCCTGAAGTTGAATGTTTGTCTGTCTTGAAAGGCTGGGAAAATTTTTATGGATAATATCCTGAAATATGTTTCCCAAGTTGTTTGCTTTCTTTCCATCCCTCTCAGGGATGCCAATGGCTAAGGCTATGGAACAGCAAAGATGGTGGCCTGTCCTTCTCCCTGGGAGCTCCAACCCAGGGAGGCTCAGAACCACTGCCAGTTGGAAAACACTGGCAAGGGTGGCTGGTGACCCCAGTCTGAAGGTCCTGTTCAGTAAGGAGAAGTGGGGTCAGGGACCCAGGTAAAAAAGCAGTCTGTCTGCTTTTTTGTAGGGCAGCTGCACTGAAGGCAACAATGGCTAAGGCTGTGCAACAGCAAAGATGGCAGCCCACACTCCCTCTGGGAGTTCCATCTCAGGGAGGTGTAATGCTGCTAATAGCAAAGATGGTGGCCCACCTCTCCCTCTTGGAGTTCCATCTCAAGGAGGTGTAATGCTTCTACCAGTGGCTGGCTAGAGTTCCAAGCCAGTGGTTCTTATTCTGCAAAATGTCATCGAAGTGGGACCTACAGACTGTTGCTGCTCAGCCCCCTGGATTCAGCCCCTTTCTTATAGGTATGTACAGGAGTCTAACTCCCTGCTTTGGAGTTGCAGCTACTTTTGCTGGGAAGTCCAGGTATCAAAAACTTCCAGCGGCTGCTCTGCTGAAACTCCACATTGCTCTGCATGTCAGACCGCAGGCCCAGGTAGAGTGGGTTCACGAGGGGATCTCTTGACTTGAGGGTTGCAAAGAACCGTGGGAGAAGCATGGGTCCCCAGGGTTGCTAACTCATTCACTGTTTTTCTGGGCAGGGGAGGCTCCTGGCTCTGTGTCACTCCTGGGTGGGCAGTTGTCCTGCCTTGCTTTTCTCTGTTCTCCATGGGTTGAGTTGTTTTCTTGGTGAATCCCAATGTGTGTTCCTGATGTTTCAGTTGAAGATGCTATATTTACTCACCCTCTATATTTTTCTCCCTGAAAGTGGTGCACACTAGTTGCTTCTTGTTGGCTATCATGGTCAGGCTCCTATTGTTTTTTTTCTTCTGCTAATTTTAGGTTCGATTTGCTCTTGCTGTTCTAATCCTTTAAGATGCATTGTTAGGTTGTTTAGTTGATTTTTTGTCTTTTTTGATGTAGGTACTAATAGTTATAAACTTTCCTCCTAGTACTACTTTCACGGTATCCCATAGGTTTGGTATGTTGTGTTTCATTAAGTTTCAAAATTTTTTTCAATGTCTTTCTTAATTTCTTCATTGGGCCAGTGGTCATGCAGGTGCATGTTGTATAATTTCCATGTATTTGTATTGTTTCCAAAATTCCTCCTGTTATTAATTTTTAGTTTTATTCCATTGTGGTCAGAAAAGATGCTTGATAGTATTTTAGTTTTTTGGAATGTTTTAAGACTTGTTTTGTGACCTAATATATGGTCTATTCTTGACAATAATCCATGTGCTTAGGAAAAGAATGTGTATTCTGCAGCCCTTTGATGAAATATTCTATATATATCTATTAGATCCATTTGTTCCACAGTGCAGATTAAGTCTGATGTTTCTTTGTTGGTTTTGTCTGGAAAATTTGTCTAATGCTAAAAGTGGGGTGTTGAAGTCTCCAGCGATTATTGTATTGGAGTCTATCTCTCTTTTTGCTTTATGTATCTGGGTGCTCCAGTGTTGGCTGCATATGTATTTAAAATTGTTAAATCCTCTTGCTGAACTTATCTCTTTATCGTTATATGGTGACTTTCTTTGTCTCTTCTTATATTTTTCGTCTTAAAATCTATTTTTTGTGATATAAGTATAGCTACTCCTGCTCTTTTTTGGTTTCCATTGGCATGGAATATCATTTTCCATCCCTTTAGTTTCGGTTTTTCAGTTTACGTATATCTTTATAGGTGAAGTATTTCTTGTAGGCAACAGATCAACAGACATTTTTTTAAATGTAGTAAATTTATATGTCTTTTTTTTTTTTCGAGACAGAGTTTCACTTCATCACTCAGGCTGGAGTGCAGTTTCACAGTCTCAGCTCATTGCAACCTCTACTTTCCAGGTTCAAGCAATTCTCCTGCTTCAGCCTCTTGAGTAGCTGGGATTACGGGCATGCACTACCATGCTTGGCTAACGTCTGTATTTTTAGTAGACACAGGGTTTCACCATGTTGGCCAGGTAGGTCTTGAACTCCTGACCTCAAGTGATCTGCCCGCCTCGGCCTCCCAAAGTGCTGGGATTACAGGCATGAGCCATGGTACCTGGCTGATAGTTGTTAAATTGGTGTTCTTATTTGGGCAGGGGATGATTAGTGGAGCCATCTTGCTCTGCCCCTTTTCTATTCTCACTTTTAGATCTTCTTTTGTGTTTTGTTATAATGTCCTCACATGGATATTTTTTGAATGGGTTCATAGAAGGGAGACTTTGAGTATGAGTTCTTGCATGTCCGGAAGTGTCTAATTTGTACTCAAATTTGATGGATAGTTTAGTATAGAATTATAGGTTCAGAATAATTTTCCTTAGAACTTCAGCTTGATTTCTTATTGTCTTCTGGCATCTAGTGTTTCTGATAGGCAGTCTGATACCAATGGATTCTCATTCTTTGAAGGTAACCCTTTAATAGACATCTGTACAATTCTTTTTATGCCTTTATCATTTTAATCTTTGGTGTGTCTGGGTGTGGGTCTTTCATTTATGAACCCTGTGGCTCCTGGTGGGCCTTTTTAATCTTAAGACTAGACCTCTCCTTCAGTGCAGCCTCCATGGGTATCTGTTCTCTCATCTGTTACTCTTGTTATCCAGATGTGGACCTTATGGATTGATCCTTCATATCTTTACTCTATTTCAGTATTTTTTCTTTGAATTCTGGAAAATAGCCCCGACTATATCTTTCAGGTTAGGTGCAGTTTTTTTGGTATAAATTTGTGGGGTACAAGTACAATTTTGTTACATGCATGGATTACACTGTGGTCAAATCAGGGCTTTTAGGGTAGTCATCACCTAAATAATGTAAACTGTACCCAGGTGCATTTTTAACAGAATTGAATAACCTCAATTCCTCTATTGAATTTGTTGTTCTCTGATTGCTTTTTTTTTTCCGGAAGCCTGTTTGTATGTGTGTATGTGTCCTAATTTCTCTGTGGATGCCCATTAGCATTAAAACTGTTTTTTTTTTCCTTGTATTACTTCTGTGCCTTTCAGGATTGATTGTTCTGTTGGTTCACAGTGGTCTTTCTCATTTATCTTCTCAGCCTTCATTCTATCTCTAGACCTAATGCATACATAATGTGCTCTCCCAGCCTAGTGTTTTAGTGCATTTAGACAGAAGTTGTTCAGATATCCAGCAGGGTGGCATGGCTGAAGCCATCTTTCTGTATACTCAGGGGAAGGGAGTGACCTAACGGCATGGCATTTAACTCTGGCAGCCTAACCCTTTGTAGAGAAGAACTATTCTGTTTTACAATGGGAATCTGTTGGCCTAGACTTCTTTCGTAGAAGGAGTTGGGAATCTATATTTATGGAGACAATGGGATTTAGCTACTGTTTCATTAAGAATAGCAGTCATTTATTGAGCACTCCCAGAGACATATGTTGTCTCTTTCTTTCGAACAGCTCTGAAAAGTCATTACTATTTCTCTATTTTATAAAGACATGGGCTTAGAGAGTTAAGGTAACTCTTTCAGAGTCACCTAGTCAGTACATTCAAAACTAGAATTTGAACCTTGGGATTTTGGAGGCTCCAAGCCATTGCTTCTAAAGGGCTTCTCTCTATGGCTTGACTAAAGATGAATAAATACCACAACGCTTCACAAAGTCTCAATTTTTAAAAACTGTTTTCTCAACTCTGCAAAAAGAATGTTTTCAAAAGTAGCATTTGGCATAATTCTCATCTTTCCTCATGTACTAAACTATTTTAAGAGACCAAGACCTGTTGTTTACTGGGAGAAAAGCTGGTATAGAATTTTGAAGGCCTCTCTTGGAAATAGAAGGATCTGATATCTGGTGGAGGGAAAGAGGAATTTTTTTTTTTTTGGAAATGGGACTGAAGTTCGAGTGTATCTAAGGGAAAGGGAACTATAGTTAATGAATTAGTGAAAAATACTGCATGAGTATTACTTAAAGTGAAACTTAGACAATTTGGGTAACAAAAGATCCTTATCAAAATCTGCAAGGTTTAATCAGATACTATAATATGTGGGGTCATAAGCCAAGGGGTTTAGGGGTTTATGAAATATAGGTCTGTGGGAGAAATGAGTAACCTATTTATCAACTGAAATTCTTATTTTGGACAGCTATCCCAGCATGATGTGTGCTAGCAAAACAAAACAAAAACAAAAATCAAACTAACAAAAATGGGGTGTTTATGGAAATAAAGGGTTAAATAAATTATGATACACACATTAAATGGAATCTCTTGTGCCCACACTCTACTGTCACTTCCACAGGCTACTGATATTTCTCTCTGGGCAATAGGGCCCATGCATTTGCACCAACAGAAGCCCTGCCATCAATACTTTGGCTTTACTCTTCATTTTATTATACTATTTGCAAGCCCATTTCTCCTAGAATCCTCCCATAAATTCCCATTTCTGAAGCTCTCTATTGCTAAACTTGGCTCGCACTCCCCCTACCGGCAGACCCAACTGTTATTCCCAAGTACTGTAGATTTCATCATTGCCAAAACTACATGATGTTTGTTAAGTACCAGAAAAAAATTTGTCTTTAATTTGATATTCTGTTGGGACAGCCAGAGGACAGTCGAGGATAAAAAGGAAGATTTTTATTAATAGTCATTCTACCTGCAGAAAACCCTCCCTAGATGATGATTTCCTGTATATGTGAGTTTGTTTCATAATTACTCAGGACAACAATGCCCTTGACAGCCAACCAAATTAAAATGCATACCCAGAGCTATAATTTTTTTAGCTCTAATTAACCAATTCTGTTTCCTTAAATGTAAATGACCTCTCTTCCTATTTTGAGATTTACTATTTAAGGTTTACTCAGTACACATTTTAAAGTAGATTAAAAAACAAATCTATTTAAATCTGTTTCAAAGATAAATGCCTGCTACAAGTCTTGTCTTCAGATACTACTCAATAGATTCATGTGTGCCTGAGGCATTATGTGGTGTTGGGGAGTAGGCAGAGTTTTAATTTCTACTATATATCCTCTTCTCTCTCTCAACTGTTTGAGTCAATGGTGGTGAGTGCATTTGCAGACAGCAACTCTCCCCTTCCCCAGGACTGGACACAGAGAAGGCAAATGTTCCTTTCATAGATCCCCTTTCCCTAAAGAGCACAAAGCCCCATGTTTTCAAAAAAGAAACAGCTGAAAACTAAAATAACAGAACATAGCTAGCATCCTTTTGTCACTATTTGGGTGTGTGATTGTTCTATTCTTGATGTTTTCTGTAGAGTTTGACTATTAAGTAAAAGATTTTCTTTGGAAAAAGTACAAGATATGTTGCATGTCATTGTCCCCAACATTTTGTCCTGTCTCAAGCAATATGATTTCTTACTTGAATTTTGGTTTTCTATGTAATAAAATGTGTAAGTAAATAAAAATAATGTAAAACTTACCTTTGCCCCAGAATACAGGTGACTAAAAAGCAATATTTCATAAAAATAAATGCAGTAGTAAAACTTGGTTAGAAATCATGCTTTTCTTTTTATCTTTTCTTGTAAAATTGATTGAGACTTTTGCTACAACAAAGAGCCAAATAATTAAGCCCAAATAAGCATTTGCTAATAAAGTTTTTTTAAAAGGCTCAAAAATATTAATTTTAATTTTATTAATATTAATTAATAAAAGTAAAACTCAGCCAACAATATGACTTCCATGTAGCATTTCTGCTTAGCAAGGTAAGGTGTGCCGAGGATAAATACTTAGAAAAACTGTAGCCCAAAGAAAAGTTTTTTCAGGTAGAAGGAATTCCACCAGAGGCAAGGATGCAATCTTTGTCTGTGATCAAAAAGCATGATTATAAGTCATGCGTGGTGGCTCATGCCTGTAATCCCAGCACTTTGGGAGGCCAACGCAGGTGGATCACCTGAGGTCAGGAGTTCAAGACCAGCCTGGCCAACACTGCAAAACCTCGTCTGTACTAATACTTGGGTATGGTGGCACACACCTGTGATCTCAGTTACTCAGGAAGCTGAGGCAGGAGAATCGCTTGAACCTGGGAGGCAGAGGTTGTAGTGAGCCAAATTCGCACCACTGCACTCCAGCCTGGGCAACAGTGTGAGACTCCCTCTTCCAAAAAAAAAAAAAAAAAAGCAAGAATTATTATAGAACAGACTCCCCTCTTTCTACACAGAAATTGATAATTCAGAAGAATTTCGAATTACTAAGAAAAACTTAAGGCCAATAGACTCAAGGATGGGGAAAAGGTAGATGCTTAACTAAATTCCTTTACTTGGGTCATTTGGAGGTCAGGATGAATTGATTTGTTATATTTGTCTTTAAACCCTGCCTCTTTCTGCTTCTCACATTGCCTTACATTTTCTGTCCTTGTGCTTTGTGTGGCTGCTGAGAATGAATGTGTTTAGTTGATAATTTGACTAAATGATTCTTTCTTGAACATTATTAATCAACAATGCCAGGTTTCTTGGTACAAGGACTTAACCTACCAAGATCCTCGTTGAACTCTTTGAAAGGCAGGCTGTCATGGTTGTTGAAGGTGATTGAAGAAGAAAACCTGGCCATCAGAAATGCTCCAGTGTGGTATGCAAGAAATATAAAGAACTAACTAGTAGGAGTAGAAATAGTAGAATGAACTAAGGCACAGGTCAACTTGTTACGCTGATTAAGTGTGAAGTACATTGCTTTTTTTTCTTTCTAGCATTTGTGTTTTGGAGGAATTGTTCCTCCTCCACTCTATGTCATTCTGGTGGGACGGCCAATCATGGGACTTCAACCATGACCTTTAAGGAGTGGGATAGGTGGTAGGCACTTCGCCCAAACTAGGCCAATCAACATCGTCTTTTGGAAGTTTGAAACTTTAGGGTTTATCCTCAGCTAGAAGATGTATGGAGTGGGTCATCTGGTGGTTGGAGCCAAAAGCAACCGTCCCTGAATTTCTGCTCTACAAGTGTCTGCAGTGACCCTGCCTCCTGTCCTTCCTGTGGCTGTGGTGTTTGGTTATTCCTTTACAACTCTGAACTACCCCAGAATGTTTCCAATAAACCTCTCTTTCTTATTTAATATAGCAAGATCAAGACCATCGTTTATCATTTAAAAACCCAACGGATACTTTCAGGTATAACAGCAGTTTCTGGAAGAAATTAAATTTATTGCCGAAGAGAGAAGGAAACTAAGCAGTACTGTGCTTCTAAATTGTCAGCAGTTGATCTACAGGCCTGCGCTTGGCATTCTGCCATCTTCGGTTCCATATCATGTTGTCTTTGCAGCTCCAGAGCTCAGTCATTGTGATTAGAGGCTAGTAAGGCAGTGAGGGGTAGCACAGTGTTTCACAAAATATATTCTGAGAAACATTAAATGCTTGAAAAACTCTGTAAACAAACAAACAGCAAGTCACCTTGTATGTGCTTTTTGGAGATTTACAGTGCTCATAAACATAGCAAAGACTCCGATGAGTTGTGTGGGAAAGAAAATTGTTTAACTTTAACCCACCATTTTCAAAACCTTTTGACTGTAGAACCCTTATCTCACAGAATGCCTCTTAATATCTCTTGGGATGAGGACTTTGTGAAACACATTTGGGGAAACACGGGAGTGCAGGAATTGGAAAACCCAGGTTTTGGATATTTAAATGTAATACCTATTTGGCAGAGTGTCAACAAATAAATGTTACTTTATTGTCTTATTTGCCAAAATAGTATTTCATGTTTAATTATATGATTAAAAAATAATTTGTGGTATTTTACTACAAAGACATCCCATGTTCATGGATTGGAAGAATTAATATGTTAAAATATCAATATTACTCAAAGAGATCTACAGATTCAATGCAATTTCTATCAAAATTTCATTAACATTTTTAATATAAATAGAAAAAAATCCTAAAATCTGTATGGATCCGCAAAAGACCCTGAGTAGCCAAAGCAATTGAGCAAAAATAAGAAAGCTGGAGACATCACACTACTTGATGTCCAAATATACTTTGAAGCTATAGTAATCAAAATAGTATGGCATATAAACAATATAGACCAATTTCATATAGACCAGTAGAGGAGAATGGAGAGCCCAGAAATAAATACACACATTTATTGCCAATTGATCTTCAACAAAGGTGTCAGGAATACACAATGGGGAAAGGATAGTCTTTTTCCATAACAGTGTTGGGATAACTAAATATCATAATGCAAAAGAATGAAATTGGACTCTTATCTCAAACCATATCCAAGAATCAACTTAAAATGGATTAAAGACTTAGGCATACTGTAGAAAAAAGCTTTTTGACATTGGTCTGTGCAGTACATTTTTGGATATGACCACAAAAGCACAGGCAGCAAAATCAAAAATAGACAAATGCCATTGCATCAAACTAAAAAGCATCTGCACAGCAAAAGAAGCAATAAACAAAATGAAAAGGCTACCTATAGAATAGGAGAACATATTTGTAAGCCATATATCTGATCAGGGTTAATATCCAAAATATATAAGGAACACAAAAAACTCAATAGGCATTTCCCAAAAGAAGATATGTAAATTACCAATAAGTGTGTGAAAAAGTGCTCAATATCACTAATTATCAGGGAAATGCAAATTAAAACCGCGATGAGTTATCATCTCATACCTGTAAGGATGGCTATTATCAAAAAAATGAAAAATAAGTGTTGATGAGGATGTGGAGAAAAGGGAACTCTCATACACTGTTGATGGAGATGTAAGTTAATACAGTCATGGAAAACAGTATAGAGGTTCCTCAAGAAATGAAAAATAGAACTACCACATGATCCAGCAATCCCACTACTGGGTATATATTCCAAGGAAATGAAATCAATGTGTTGAAGAGATATCTGCGCTCCCATGTTCATTGTAGCATTAGCCAAGATATGGAGTCAACCTAAGTGTCCATTGATGGATGGATGGGTAAAGAAAATGTGACACACACACACACACACACACACACACACACACACACACACAGGAATACTATTTAGCCATAAAAGAGAAGAAAATCCTGTCAATTGTGACAGCATGAATGAACCTGGAAGCCATCGCTAAGTGAAATAAGCCAAGAACAGAGACATACTGCATGATCTCGCTTATATGTGCAACCTAAAAAGTTGAACACATGGAGTTACAGAGTGGAATGGTAGTTGCCAGGAGCTGGGGTAGGGGTGGAATGGGGAGATGATGGTTAAAGGATACAAAGTTTCAGTTATGCAAAATGAATAAGTTCCGGAGATCTAATGTACAGCACGGTAATTATAGTTAATACTGTATTGTACACTTGAGATCTGTTGAGAGTAGATTTTAAGTGTTTTTACCACACACAGTCACAAAAGGTAGTTATGTGAGGTGATGGATATGTTAATTAGCTTGATTGTGGTAATCATTTCACAAAGTATGTGTATATCAAAACATCACATTGTACATCTTTAATATATGTAATTTTTATTTTTATTTGTTAATTATACTTCAATCTGAATAAAGAATAATGAGATCCTTTCTTACGAAAACAATATATTCTTGTGAAGCATTTTTTTCAAGGATTTGAGAATTGTGATTTGAAATTATCAATTTTTGTACCATTGCAATTAAAATTTTTTTATTTTGACTTTAATTTCTATAGGAAATAAATCTATATAAGATAATGATTAAACATCAGGTTAGAAGGACTCAAGATTTCCCATGTATTTATTTTAGTTTGGTCATATTGGTGACATCAAAGCTGAAAGAGAGGGTGAGAGGGAGGGAGAGAGAGAAAGAAGGAGAGAGAGAGAGAGAGAATAGTAGTTAGAAATACAGTTGTTGACTCACCACATGGGAAAAGCTGCATCAGAGAGTTACCAGAACCCACAGTTGGCTTTGTTTGAGTGAAAAATAACTTTTATGTGTTTAAGCCTGTGAGATTTTGGATTAATATGTCACTGAAGCATCACTTTGCCTAATATGACTAATGCAGGTGGCATTGGTAATTGTAGTCATTACAGATAATACAAGAAAGCCAGTAAAGAAATAGTTAACCCTTATTGAGCATTTATTCTCCAGGCTTCATGATATGTACTTTCATGAATTATCTTGTTCAACCTTCACAGCAACCCACTTAATAAATGAGGATGCTGAGGCACAGAGAAATTTAATAACTCTCCCAGGGTCACAGACTTCATAAAGTTTAGAGTTGGCATTCAAACCTACATTTGATCTGATAACAAAGCTCAATGACTTTCTGACTATAGAGTAATTTAGTTTATTCACATAATTATAACTTTCTAAGAATGTAAAAGTGAACTTGGTTCTAAGGTATCAAGTGTAATATTTTTTAGAGGAGCATGGTGGATTTTGGCTTCTTGGAAATTTCTTGGTATTTAATGAAAACATTCTGTATTTCCTTTGATGCAAAAGGGGAAATTTTTGGTTCATGTGACCCGCTTTGTTTTTATATTACCCATATGTTGGGCACAGACTAGAGTTAGAGCAAAGTCCTCTTAGGATTTAGGAATGTTGATGTGATTAGTATGTCATGATTTAACGGTGGTGACAGCAAAGAACAAAACAGGCTAATAAATTAAGTTTCATTTGTATGTCTTCTGGGAAAGACAGTTTGTCAGGTTAAGTAAGATTCAGCCAGGCGCAGTGGCTAACGCCTGATATGCCAGCACTTTGGGAGGCCGAGGTGGGTGGATCACTTGAGATCAGGAGTTCAAGACCAGCCTGGCCAACATGGCAAAACCCCATTTCTATTAAAAATACAAAAATTAGCCGGGCATGGTGGTGCATGCCTGTAGTTCCAGCTATGTGGGAGGCTGAGGCAGGAGAATTGCTTGAACCTGGGAGGCTGAGGTTGCTGTGAGCGGAGATCATGCCACTGCACTCCAGCCTGGGTGACAAAGTGAGATTCTATCTCAAAAAAAAAAAAAAAAAAAAGATTAAGTAAGATTCTGTCCTTTGGTTGCCCATGAAGTTAGGAACTGAGCCTGGCTCTTCACTACAAGGATCAAATTCCTAAGTTCTGGCCTCACTCATCCATCATTTCTTTGACTCCTTAGGGAGCCATAATTTTAAAGAAGATAAAATCTATTACTTTAAACATTTATTCTTGATAGTAAAAATCCAACCAAGACCTTAATTAATTAACTAGTAAATTAATCAATTAATTTACTATACCTCATTAAAGATACTAGTTGGTAGGGGTTGCTTTTGGGACATTTCATTATATTTTTGTTTTAGAAATATAAGAAATACTGATTCTTCAGGGCTCCCGAAGAAGTGGCTGATTCTAGCCTGGGGGCAGTAAAAATGCTAAGTGAAATGGGACATCTTGTTGGGCAAGAAAGTCAGGGAAATGCTCAAAGACTGATGGGGATGTGTCAAAAGAATATTCAAGGCAATATGACAATCCTCTTATTGACCACAATGGGGGACTATTTAAACATAAGAAAGAATAATGACTATGACTAATTGAAGAGAAGAGAGGGAGGACTTACTTGCTACTATTGCAGATGCTATTATAGTAATGTTTTACTCTAAAATTGACCATCAGAAGTGTATTATTCCATTCTCACGCTGCTATAAAGAAATACCTGAGACTGGATAATTTATAAAGAAAAGAGGTTTAATTGACTCACAGTTCCTTGTGGCTGAGGAAGCCTCAGGAAACTTACAATTATGGTGGAAGGTGAAGCAGAAGCAGGTACCTTGTTTACAGTGAACAGGAAGGAGAAGTGAGTGCAAGCAGGGGAAATGCCAGACATTTATAAAACCATCAGATCTCGTGAGAACTCACTATCACGAGAACAGCCTGGGGGAAACTCCCTCCATGATCCAGTCACTTCCCACCAGGTCCCTCCATGACACATGGGATTATGAGGGTTGCAATTCAAGATGAGATTTGGGTGGGGACACAGCCAAACCATATCAAGAAGGGAAATATTAAGTATTTGCCCTGCCTTTTTAGGAGGACCAAGAATTCTTTCAGCTACAGAGAGAAAGCTCCCCTTTAAGGGAGAATGCCAGCTCATACATTTGACATGGTTGCAAATAGAAAGTCACTGTTTTGCAGCCTTAAAAAATACTTTTTTAGTGTCAAGAATCATCAATGGATGCTAAAACCTTTAAGTGAAAAAGTTTGTCAAACAAGATATTCACATAATACAAAGGTCTCAACCCACATTCATACTCACTGCTAAGGGAAAAATGTAATTTTAAAATAGAAGCATCTTGTGGTCTCCATCTTTACTGAGTGATCAAAATTCTCATCACTAAGAATAGGACAATCTGATATATTTCTCCTGATGTGACAAAATACAAAGTATACAACATCATGCATGCAATATTTTAATAAAAAATGTTTAACTAGAATCTAACCATGCTTCTAGTCCTGACCTAACTTCTAATTTACAGAAAAAAAGATGATATAAAATGAGTTCAATGATATTGCTAGAAAGTGTTCAAATTCAGAATATAGAACATTCTATAAGACAGTGAGTCTGGGTTTTTTCCTCCAAAAAAGTCAATGTCTTAAAAAAGAAATTAAAAAAGACTAGAGACATAACAGAATAGACTGCATGAACTTTGATTAGATCTTCATTTTAACAAAAGGTTTTGTTTCAACAAAAGCTATAACATGATCTTTGGGTAATTATGAATGCTTTCAAGAATTATTGTTACTTTTCTTGAACATAATATGGTACTGTGGTTATGTAGGAGAATGTTTTTTCTTTTAAGAGATGTAGGCTGAAGTTTTTAGGCATGATGGGTAGAGTCATGATGTCTCTAAATGGTTCAGTAAAAACAACATATATATATATATATATATATATATACATATATATATATATATATATATATATAACAGAAAAAAGAAACCTGGCAAATTACTAACAATTGTGGAATCTAGGTTTTCTAGTACTATATATATATATATATATTTTTTTTTTTTTCTTTCTTTCTTTCTTTTTTTTTTTTTTGAGATGAAGTCTCACTCTGTCACCCAGGCTGGATTGCAGCGGCAAGACCTCGGCTCACTACAACCTCCGTCTCCCGGGTTCAAACAATTCTCCTGTCTTAGCTTCCTAAGTAGCTGGGACTACAGGCACTCGCCACCATGCCCGGCTAATTTTTGTATTTTCAGTAGAGATGGGGTTTCACCACATTGGTCAGGCTGGTCTCGAACTCCTGACCTCAGGTGATCTCCCTGCCTTTGCCTCCCAAAGTGCTGGGATTACAGGCTTGAGCCACCGTGCCTGGCCAATAGTTTTAAATATTTTGTTTTGATTATGTTTAAGGAATCCTGACCTTTATAAAGATCTTAACTTAAGGAGCAATTCATTCTAGAAGCAGTGTAATCCAGGTTAAGACCTTGGTCTAGGTTCAAATTCTGACTCCTCTATTTTTTTTTGCCATCAAATTCCTTAAACATTCTCAGCCTCAGTTTCCATATCTGTAAAATAGGGACAGTAATAATACCTACCTCAGGGGGAGATTGAGTTAACTAAGATAAAATATGTAAAGTGTTTAGAACAGTGCCTGGCACATAGCATATGCTAAATGAGTATTCATTATTGTTATTTTCATAATTATGGTCTAGGCTGGTTCCACTAACCACCAGGGAGCTAGGGAGCTGTCATACCAGTCCCAGGCTTTTTCACTCTGCACATTTTCCCACCTGAGTGCCCTTTGCTTTGGATCTTTGTTATAGCTGAGCTGCTATCTGATACGGTAAGTCATCTCAGAGGCTATTGTGAAACCAAGAATGATTGAGAAATCACAAGTTGGGAGATTGAAATCTGTAGATGAGAGAGAAGCAGGAATCTCACCTGCTGTGCTAAGGGAAGCTCCATGATCCTCTGCCCTATGAGGCTTCAGACCCACATGAAGGGACTAGGTGAGAGCTAAGGGAGCATCCCGATTGCAAAGGTCACAGCTGGCTCTGGCAATCTTCTCTGAGAAACAGCCCTGAAAAAGGGACAGTGCACCTAATGGATAGCTGACTGAAGGATGCAGGTAGAACTGCCTTAGTCCGCTTGCATTGCCATCAAGGAATGTCTGTGGCTGGGCAATTTGTAAGGAAAAGAAATTTATTTGGCTTACAGTTCTATAGGCTGTAGAAGCAGCATGGTGCCAGCATCTGCATCTGGGAAGGAACTCAGGCTGCTTCCACTCATGGCAGAAGGTGAAGGGGAGCAGACATCATGTGGTGAGAGAGAAAGCAAGAGAGAGAGAGAGAGAGAAAGAGAGAGAGAAGGGAGGTGCCAGGCTCTTTTAAACAATCAGCTCTTGTGGATCTAATGGAATGAGAACTCATTAATTACTGTGGGAATGGCACCAAGCTATTCAGGAGGGATCGGTCTGCATGACCCAAACACCTTCCACCAGGCCCCACTTCCAACATTGTGGATCAAATTTCAACATGAGATTTGGAGGGAACGAATATCCAAACTATAGCAGAACCCCAGAGGCTTGGAGGATCACAGGGCAGTCCGGACAGGGCACTCAGGGAGAAAGAATCATTTACACAGTAAACTCCCAGTGTCAGGATGGCTTGGACCCCTTGTGGTTTGTTTGCCTGTCGACTTCCCTGTGTGAAATTCAGAAAGCACCTTATCAAGCAGCCTCTGAGGAAGTGCACCTCTCCTGTTCTCTTTCTGGGGCATTTTAAGACCCTCATTCTAATGCTGTCCCGATGAATGTTCATTGGAAATATACTTGAGGTAGTACTAGTTAATAATGAAACTTTTTAGTCTTTCTTAAGTAATTTGAGAAACCTGCATATAGAGGAGGAGAGGTGTACAGGAGTTTCTGTCTCAAGAACAATTTTATGCTTCAAAAAAGCGTTTTTTAAAAATCATGGTTTAGCATTGAATGCAGCTTCAATTTTCTCTTGTAAGATCATGCCAAAGATAGGCTTTATAATTCAAATTTTCACTTAATGCAAATTTTTCTGGGACAGAGAGAAAATACCTAAATTAAGAGAGAGCCATGTTAATCCTTATTTTAAGTTTTTCACTAGTATAGTTGGTGATATGACAAAGCCTGAAGGCCAAATAGATTGTGTGTGAACTTGGGTAAATTGTTTAGACTCTGTGAGGCTCAGTTTCTCCACACATCAAAGCATGCGGCCAGGCACGGTGGCCCACGCCTGTAATCCCAGCACTTTGGAAGGCTGAGGCAGGCAGATCACTTGAGGTCAGGAGTTTGAGACAGGCCTGGCCAACATGATGAAACCCCGTCTCTTCTAAAAATACAAAAATTAGCCAGGCATAGTGGCGGGTGCCTGTAATCCCAGCTACTCAGTAGGCTGAAGCATGGGAATCATTTGAACCTGGGAGGCAGAGGTTGCGGTGAGCTGAGATCATGCCATTGCACTCCAGCCTGGGCAATAGAGTGAGATTCTGTCTCAAAAACAACAACAACAACAACAACAAGAAAACAAAAACAAAAAACTGTGCATGTGGTGATGTGAACATTCATAGAGCTGCTACAGTGTCTGTTCAAGCCTTTTTTTTCCTCCTAAAAATTCCTCTCTTCTATACTGTAGCTTGCCCAGTGGAAAGGGTTGACTTTATTTATGCCACCGGCTATGCTGTCCAGCTCCCATGTTAGTATTTCAACATGTATCATTTATGTCAGAAAGGATCATCACTTAGGACGTACCAAATTTCCACCAGAATTCTAGGTCCTTGCTGGAATACACAAGTGGCATGCTGGCTCTTAAGAAACCAACAATCTGACAAGGAAAAGAAAACCTCTGAGAGCATCATGCTTCTACTTTTTCCCCATAAATCTATCTATATTGTATGTGTCGGATAAGGATCTTTCAGGAAGGCTTAGAGAGAGGGACAGACTCTGTTTCTTTTTTTTCTCTGCCTCTTTATTCCTTTCTATTTCTTGTCTCTATCTGTGTTTGAATCCCTGTGTTGCATTTCCAGTAATATTCCCCTTTTGAAACATTTGTTCATTTCCATAAAGTTGTTCTGAAACTGTGAGACTTTCAGTTCCTATTTTATATAAGCTGCAGCCAGTATTCATATAAGTTTCCAGTCACTCCTGAAGGAGATAATTTAAAAAAAAAAGTACCTGGAAGCTGGGAAAAGAAAAGGGAAGTAAACCAGGTGGCAAAGCAGGAGCAGGAGTTTTTGCAGTGCAGCCTTGGGGAAGAGCCAGGAGGGCAAGCCAAGTTACACTTGAGTCAGAGAGGTGCTCCTACCTGTGAGTGGAGGGAGGGGAACTGCTGGAGACAGGGCTTGGGGTCCTGTGACCTTCTGGTATGCTTCCAGCTTGAAACTATCACCTGGAGTGTGAAGGTTGTATGATCTAGAGCATGGGTGGGAAATCTGAGAAACACCAATTCAATTATAGGAAAAGCTAAATAATTTATCTATAAGGTGTACTCAAAGATTCTTTATTATTCAGAAGTGGAAGCTGGTCTTCTACTCAATACCAGCTTCCTCATCGTCCTTACTGGCAAAATCTCTTTGATGGGGAAGGCAATGTGCCAACTAAAAACTGCATTACCCAGCCTTTTTTGCAGATGTGGTGGACATGTGACTAATTTTGGCCAATGGATATAGGTTGAAGTCACTGAATGGGAGCTTCATGGAAAGTACCTTTAAAAGGGGGCTAACTCAGCCTGCAAGCCCCTCTTCCCTTTCCTGTTTTCCATCTGAAATTGAATTGTGGTGGTTGGATTTGTAATGGCCATTTTGCAGCCATGGTGCAAACCATGGTAGGGCTGTGAGGCTAGAAGACATGTACTAAGGATGGTGGAGAAGAAAGATATGAGGCTGGGATGCTGATGGTGCCACAAAGCTACTGTATCAGTGTTAAAGAAAAAAATTCTGTCACTTGTTAATAAGGTGAGGAAGACTTTATTGAAGACTATTGTAATAGGAGTTGACTCTATTGCAATAGGGGAGAGAGATCAGTCTCAACTCTATATGAATAAAATACAATAAAGACAAGTGGGGGCTGGGTGTGGTGGCTCATGCCTGTAATCCTAGTACTTTGGGAGGTCAAGGTGGTTGGATCACTTGAACCCAGGAATTTGAGACTAGCTTGGGCAATGTGCAAAACCCCATCTCTACAAACAAAACAAAACAACAAAAAACAAGTGGGGATTTATAGCTAATGAGCAGAATGAGGGAGTCAGTGGCTGAAAAATTACTAGGAGTAATGTTTAAGGGTAGGGGGTAGATATTTGGTTAACTGACTTAATATTCTTGCTGAAGGCAGGCCAGGGTGATCACATATCAAGGATGGGGGAGTCTCTCTAAACAAACTTAGCAGTATTCTTGCTAAGACTGGGCAATGCAGGCCTGGCAAGTACAGGATCAGGTTCAAAGTTAAGGCCTAGTTGAGAAGAGGGCCCAGGGGAGTCTGACTGAAGTTTGGTGAAGGAGACAGTCTTTGTCATCAGCCAGTGAATGCTTTCCTCTTTACATTTTTTCCCCCTTAATCTCTGAGGGCATCTTGAGACCTGGGAAGGTTAGGAACCCCCAGTTCTGAGTCATAAAATCATGCAGGCATTTAACTTTGAATCAAGGCACCAAACACTGAAAAAGTTAACTTTTTTCCTTCAAATTAGAATGGTTTCTGTTTTTTCAGGTTAGAAAAAACAATGATACTTGTTATAAAAAGAAATTTAAATGAAACTAAAATGCACAAAATTATAAGGGAGAATATCTTCTAATTCCACCCTCCATAGTAGCCCCTGCTGACTTGGTTTTAGTATTTTTCAAATTTTCCCCTTTTTTATATATACACATATAAGATATAAAATAATTTTAAAAATTCTTCATGACAGGCATGTTTTCTACAAAACAAAATTAATTTCTTTTTGCATCTTGCATCTTGGGAAAGACACTGTTATTGAAAAAAGATTGTAACAATAAATAAATAAGATAAACTGTATAGTAACTATTATTACTATTAAAATATGTATAAAGTGTTGATAATCTTATTTCCCTGAGTATTTTAAACCTAAGTTCCTCACTGTTAGCAGATAACCTGGCCTGTTCTTCCACTGGGAAATAGAGGTCACCAGTGGAAACACTTTCAAGTTGTTCCTGCCCTCCCATCTGCCCACAACCATACCACGTCATACCTCCTTCCATTTGGAATCAAAAGATATGTGCCCTCCACCCTCACACTGATCTCTTCCTCCCATTGCCTCTAGAAATTGCATCATTCATTATTCTGTCATTCCTCGATCTTCACTTTCTCCTTCTCTATTAGCTCTTTTTCCATTCCACGTATAAAAATATTCAACTCTCCTTTGTCTGAAGATATGTACAAAGATTTTTTCCTGCCTTTGCGTCCATGGTAACTACTGTTGTTTCTCCTTTGTATCACAGCATCATACTTAAGAGTGTGGTCTATATTTGCAGTCTTCTTTTCTTCACTTTCCGTAGAACTCTAGCTTGTGTCTCCACTATGCAGATGATTTCCTACATGATTCATTCAGTAGATATTTTCTGGTTTTTATTTCTGCAGCATCTGGTTTTGTTGGTTGCTCTCTCCTTCTTAAGGTGTTCTCTCTTTGTATTCACAACACCACATACTTTTATCTTTTACTTCTATACCCATCTCTTTAGGGTATTCTCAGGTTCTATGTTTTTAATCCTCATTTCATGTCAGCACCAGAATTTTTATATAGGAATGGCTTCCTGACTTGGAAAAAGGAAGATGATGGGTGAGTGGGTAGATGGGTCGAAGCCGTGTTTGCAAACATTTTGGCAAGCGATTGTCCTGTGAAAGACTAGGGTTATGGATCAATGAGAGTAAGGTAGGCCAAAGAGTCTTACCCTTAGTTGCACACCTAACCTTTCACAATTGACCAATCATAAGCTGATGACAGCTAAACGTCTAGAAAAGCAATTATATACCCAAGACTGAAAGAGTTAATATGTGATAATAGGCACATATATTGAGCTAACTGCAAAATTAACAGAACACAGTATTTCTCCCAAGGTCTCATTGCAGCTGTAAAATGCTTTAACATCCCCTTTCTTTTGAGTGATTATTGCTTTTTTAGCAATGACTCTTAAGCTCCTCTCCGTTCCTTCTGCCTTCTGAACAAAGACTACTGATATACCCAGTATACTATTGCCTTCACTTCATGACAGCTTTCAGTTCCAGTGAAGATCCCCATTTCTCCTAGTCTCTCTTAAAAATCATCAAGGAAAAGCCCTAACCCTGCAGAGTTTCTTCCTATACCTCGATCTAGATGCCCCAAGATTTCTCATGGTGTGCGTTCTCCCTTGTTACAGCAAGTTGAATACACCTAACATTGTTGAATTACTTTTGTGTTCCTGGTAATCTTTACTGGATTAGCTTTATTGCTATAACTCTCATATAACTCTCATTCATAATTCATATTCCAACTACCTAGTAAAGCAGTAGGCTTGAATAAAACACGTCCAAAATTGAACTCATCATTTTCTCCTCTAAGTTTCCTTGCTTCTTCTTTCTCTTCTCTTGGCTAATGGGCCTATTATCCATCTTTTTTTTTTTTTTTTTTTTTTTTTTTTTTTTTTTTTTTTTTTTTGAGACAGAGTCTTGCTCTGTCATCCAAGCTAGAGTGCAGTGGTGTGATCTCGGTTCATTGCAACCTCTGCCTCCCGGGTTCAAGCAATTCTCCTGCCTCAGCCTCCTGAGTAGCTGGGATTACAGGCACCCATCACCAAGCCTGGCTAATTTTTGTAGTTTTAGAAGAGACAGGGTTTCACCATGTTGGCCAGGTGGCTCACGCCTGTAATCCCAGCACTTTGCCAGGCTGAGGTGGGCGGATCACCTGAGGTCAGGAGTTTGAGAACATCTAGTTTTTTTAAGCCAAACATTTGGAAATCATTCTGACCGCTTTCTCTTCTTCATTTCATTTATCACCAAGTTCTGTTAATTATATCACTTAGATATGTCTCAAACATATTTCTTATTCATCCTCATCATTCATGAGGAGATTCGCTCCTCATCAGCATGAGATTAGGTCTTTATCAGTTTACACCTAAACTTTCCTCCTTTGGTAAGAACTAGGATTCTGTTATTCTATATGAATAGTTTTTATTAAATACATACAACAGTCATTACACTCTCTCTGTATGTGGATTAAAATACTCCCACTTTATGTTGAAGGCTAGTGTCTTATAGATATCAGTTACACAAGGAAGAAATGTAACTCTCAAATTAGAATCAAACAAAGATGAAATGCCTTAGTGGGTGGCACAGTGGAAATGTGGCTCACTTGTTCTTACCCATGAAGATGTTGAAGTTTGGCAGGAGTGGTGGGTTGAAATTTTTTATTTTTTATTTTTTGAGATGCAGTCTCACTCTGTTGCCCAGGCTGGAGTGCAGTGGTGCGATCATGGCTCACCATAAACTCCGCCTGCTAGGTTCAAGTGATTCTCCTGCCTCAGCCTCCCGAGTAACTGGTACTACAGGCACATGCCACCATGCCCGGCTAATTTTTGTATTTTTAGTAGAGATGGGGTTTCATTTTGTTGGCCAGGCTGGTCTCAAACTCCTGACCTCGTGATCCACCCACCTTGGCCTCCCAAAGTGCTGGGATTACAGCCACAGCCACTGTGCCTGTATTTTTTTTTTTTTTTTTTTTTTTTTTTTGCTAAGTCAAGAAGTGGAGTTGCATAACACTTCTTTGATTTCCAAGGCAGGTATCTCAGATGGTGTATGTGGTAGAACAGCACCTGTGAGACCCAGGAGCAAATCTTCTAGGGAAGTATTTGAAACCTGAAAGTGACATGCCCAACAGACCATGATTCCAGTCTTTCAACATTCTTCATGTTGAATTCCCTTTTATTACACCTTAGAATAAAGTTAGTTTATCTTCAAAGGCTCACTTAGGGTATAAGGAAGAGTTCGTATCTATTCCAGAGCCAGTCTATAAAAGGGATCTCAGTACCAGGAGTGGGTGTGGCGGGGGAGAAAGAAAGGGACCACCAAGCACCACTGGTTTAGCCTTAGGCGATTTTATTCTAGAGCTAAATCTTGGAGAGTTTGGAGTGAAGAGATTTAGGACTCTGTGATTGAAATCTTTCAATGAGCCCCTTCATTTTTGATTAGGATAAAGCAAGTCCTAGCCTACCTTATAAGGACTTTCATGTCCTACCTCAAGTGTATTTTTACCATTCCATTCTTCCAGACTCTCTTCATACATACACATGTGCATGCACACACACACACACACACACACACACACACTTGCGACATCTAAAAAATACTGAGGTTCCATAAGAGCATATTTCTTTCTCTCTCTCTGCCTAATTTTTCACAGTTTTACTGTGGTTACTTTTGTTTTCTCTCAGGAACTTTCCTCAGTGTGGTGGGAAACATGGCTACTTACTGATAGCTCAAGAGCGTTGCACTTGATAACGTCTCTTCTCAGAAAGGGACTGACTTTCCACTTTCAGTTAGAGAAGTCAGGGCAGTGTCTGGGTTGGTTTGGGTTGGGTGGGGTGCCTACTCTGGATCAATCAACTCTGCCAAGGGGTTGTGGAATAAAGCAGAACATGGCAGCACCCAGCATTATCCAGATGTTGGTAGGAGGTTACTAGTCCCAAAAAAGAGCAGGATTCTGGATAGGCAATAATTTGGGTTCTCTATTCTCATCTGCTCTGTGAGATAAGACTGTGTTTTCTTTGACTTGTACCCTCAAAACCTAGCATGGGGCCTGGTATAATGTGAGGAGCCAACACATACTTGTTGAATAGAATGATGTATCTACTAGGTGCTTTTGACAATGAGCATTCTCATTCAGAAAAAGAGGAACTCTCTGCATTGAGGACCAGAGACAAGTGAGAAGTGCAGGAAAGAGCTTCAATTATTGTTCTGAAATAGAAGTGGCCACCACCTCTTTGGGGGGACAGGGAGAAGGTAGGTTCATGTAGGGCGATTCCTTTCTGTGGCCAGCCATACACACTGGATTATAAATTAGAGGGCTCTTCACAGTTTAGATTATCTCTTTAGCTTCAGTTTTCCAATTATATCAGGTCAACTGGTAGTTGATTACTGATCTATTTTTTTGTATCCCATGAAACATCTATACTTTTATTCTCCATCATCTGCCTCCAGGGCACATTCTTAATTGCTTTCTTAGCCTTTACATGGCCATTGTTTAGTAAGTACTACACTATAGCAAGGCACCACCCATCTTGCTATGGTATACTTCTCATACTTCGATTTTTAAAATACTGTGGTAAATACTAAGTTTGGAAAGCAGACCATATAGGTGTGTTTCTATCTTGCAAGACCTAAAAGGTTAATTTCAAGTTAGTTAGACATTTTCTTTTCTCATTAATGAGTTCAGTCCTTTTTAAAACCAATGAACTTTTCATATTTCTTCATTTCTGTGGGTTCATGCTGAGTTAAAAGAGATTTCATGCCACCATCCATTCAACCATTTTACTTTTTCATTTTTATTTAATGTAGCCAAAAAAGCACAGAATTTTTCAATCATGAAAACCTAAAACATCAAAGGATATTTGATATTCATGGTTTGAATTTCATGATTTTAGGGGCAACTCTTCCCTAATGAAATGCTCCAGAATGGGCTCCCTGAAAATGCTGCAATGGAACCATTTCTGTAAAGATTCAAACAGCTGTCTGTTCCATTTGTGAATTTGTATTCAGTATTTTAATTTAATATTTAAAAGATGGTTTGGGGGTATTATCATCTATGAATGTTTATTGTTGCTGGAAAGAATGCTGAGAACTTTCTGATCAGAATTACCAAATATGTAATGAAATCAGTTCCCTCTAGGAAATGGCTCCCAGAGGCCATCACTTGAGATGAAAAAACACAAAAACCATGGGTGAAAGTGTTTTCCAGAAATCCTTTTTTTTTTTTTTTTTTTTGAGACAGGGTCTTGCTCTGTCTCCCAGGCTGCAGCGCAGTGGCATGATCATGGCTCACTGCAACCTTCACCTCCTAGGCTCAAGTGATTCCCCTGCTTCAGCCTCCGAAATGTCTGGGATCACAGGTCCATGCCACCAGGCCTGGCTAATTTTATTTATTTTTATTTTTATTTATTTATTTATTTTTTTTTGAGAACAGAGTCTTGCTCGGTCGCCCAGGCTGGAGTGCAGTGGCGTGATGTCGGCTCACTGCAAGCTCTGCCTCCCAGGTTCACACCATTCTCCTGCCTCAGCCTCCCGAGTAGCTGGGACTACAGGCGCCCGCCACCACGCCCAGCTACTTTTTTGTATTTTTAGTAGAGACAGAGTTTCACCGTGTTAGCCAGGATGGTCTCAATCTCCTGACCTTGTGATCTGCCCGCCTTGGCCTCCCAAAGTGCTGGGATTACAGGCGTGAACCAAATTTTATTTGGTAAATTCACGCCCAGCTGCAAATTTTATTTATTTATTTTTGTAGAGATGGGGTCTCGCTCTGTTGCCTATGCTGGTCTTAAATTCCTGAGCTCATCTTCTGCCTTGACCTCCCAAAGTGTTGAGCTTATAGGCATGAGCCACCACATCTGGGCCAGAAATGCTTTTAGCTAGGAGAATAAACAGAGAAAGACCATGTCTCTACCTTTTGTGCTGGACTGCCTGTTGTCAGGTTGCAATCAGCTCCATCTCTATGGATGGTCTCTTTAGCAGGGCAGAGAAGTGAAGTTCCCAGAATTTTCTTCTCTCTTCTCACTTGAAGCTAAATTAGATTCTGCCAGTGAGAGGAAACTAAAAGGTGGTGGAGGAGAGGCCATTACTCCCTCAGGAATCTCTGAGGTCAGACGAAAATGTGAAGTTGGAGGAAACTTATTAGTGAGCTTCTTGTAACGCATTCAAGTCCGTGCTATAGGCTGAAGTTTTCAGCAATGAGCTTCCTGAGTTTTACTCCCCCAGCTTTTCCAGCTGCCTCTAATTCCTTGTATTAAATTCTCCATGCTTGGATGCATCTAGTGGCTTCTGTTTTTCAGACTTGATCTTGACTGATACACCCATCATGTTAGTTATCTCAGTTTGTTGAATATCAGGCTTGTCCACCTCTCTAACATTTGTCCACATGGGTGTTAGAATTCTCCAGAATGGTGGCAGAACTTAGAGGAGATTCAAGAGCGAATATCTAAGGTTGCTGATGAAAGTGGGAGGATGAACAGGAAACTGGAAGATGGCAGCTTGAGGAGGACCAGGGTAGTGTGAGGCTGTACAGAAAATATTTTGTTTCTGTATGGTTAGGGCTTTCTGAGCACGAAAACCTGGCATATGGGTCAAAGGACAAGTGTTAGTATTTAAAGGGTGATTAGATAGTGAGAGACCAACCTGAGAGGTTTACCTTCCTGAAGGCAAGTGATATGGTTTGGCTGTGTCCTTCCCCAAATCTCATCTTGACCTGTAGCTCCTACAATTCCCATATGTCATGGGAGGGACCCGATGGGAGGTAATTGAATCATGGGGGCAGGTCTTTCCCATACTGTTCTCATGGTAGTGAATAAGTCTCATGAGATATGATGGTTTTATAAAGGGACGTTCCCCTGCACAAATTCTCTCTTCCCTACTGCCATATAAGACATGCCTTTTGCCTTCCACTGTGATTGTGAGGCCTCCCCAGCCACATGGAACTGTGAGGCATTAAACCTCTTTTCCTTTATACATTACCCAGTTGGGGTATGTCTTTACCAGCAGCATGAAACTGGACTAACACAGTTAAGTGTTTCCATTTTAGAAGAGGGATGAAACTCAGCACCACAGAGACATTCCAGGGGTTGTGAATTGAAGATGCTTGTCTTCCTCCTGGAGATGTTTATTGACATTATGAAGGATAAGAACTTGGGATCCTTCCATTCTTTTTCCAAGGAGAATTTGTTTATATTAGGGAGAAAAAGTTTCTCTCTAGTCAAGCACTCTCCCTTTCTCAGGCGGGGAGAGGAGACAGCTGTCTTCCTAGATAAGCTCCAGAAAACTCATGCCACCTTTCAGGATAAATGAGTAAACACAGATACTAAAAACTTATCAGCTGCTGGAATCAGATGGTTTGAACCTCAGGGGTGGTGGTGGGAGGCTGTGAAGTAGAAATGAGAATGGCCTGGAGAATGCCGTTAGGAGGTTGCTGAGCTGATCACCAACTCCAAGGACTCTGGAGCATGATGGGGAGGAAGCAAGAGAAGCAGAAATTTTGTGCAAGCACATTTATCTCCACTGGAAGAAATCTTTAAATTGTTTAGGAAAGTTTTACACTGGATAATAGGCTCCAGGCTTCAAGTGGAATTTAGGCACATATTTACAGGAAGGCAGTTTGCACAATGGTAATGATGATTCAATTTGGATTAGAAATGCAACTCTGCCAACCATTTATTTGGGCAATGTTTATTGAACATCTGTTATCTACAGGGGTATTCTACTAGGCACTGAGCTGAGGGATGATGTCTGCTCTCAAGGAGTTTACAGTCAAGTGTACAAACAGAATATAAGCAAACAAAAGAGAACATATACTTACAAACTATGCTAAGTGCCATGAAGGAAAAGAATAAGGAATTGTAAGAGAAAATAGAGATGACCAACTTTAGTTTGGGTGGCCAAGGAAGGCTCCTGGAGAAGATAACAAATGAACTAACATCTGAAGGATATGAAGGAGCTGGCCACATGAAAAGTGGGAGCATGAGCTTCCCAGACAGAGCAACTAGTACTTACCAGCTGGATATGAAATGGAACTCCTCAGAGGTGAAGCACTTAACAATTGTGGGCTTTTCTGCACTGATTTCTTATTGGCTCTCTTTCTTCATCTGTGTGAAGGGGACAAATGGCACCTTCCTCCCAGGTAGGAAGCCCTGTTCTCTAAGAGAGGCTGGTGAAGAACGGCTGCAAGCTGATAGAAATGACTGCCTTCTTCCAGCTTCATGATCCAGACAAACTCTGTTTCTTATCTGAAGGCAAGTGAACATCGCATCTGAGAAGGGACTATACTGTCAGGAAAGCTCGTTTGCAGGTAAGGAAAAGTGACCGCACATGAGTCCTATAACCATCCAAGACTATGACTTCTCTTGACACCTTTCTCTGTTAGAAGGAAATTGTGAGAATAGAATTTTCAGTCTTAATGCAAATACAAATGCGCGCACGAGAGAGAGAGAGAGAGACAGAATTTCTGGAAGTGAGAAGTTTTCCTCTGGGTCTCGCACCATGCAGATGACCATCAATTTTGCCTATGCCTAAGACTGCTTTGACTTGGACTTATAGGGATATCTGGTGTTCAGGCAAGCACAGTCTGGAAAGACTTGGGATGGGAGAGAGGGAACTAGAAATGATAGCAGAGGGATGAAGTTATGAAACCTTCTTTCTCTCTGTATTTATTTCTAGAACTCTTCCACGCAAGAGAGTACCGTGAATGCATTTCTCTTCTTCACAACGAAGCAGATGTGAAGTGGGATTGCAGAATCTAGCAATTCATTTTAAGAGACTAGATAATGTTGGAATCGGGGAATTTCTGCTATCGTGTATGTAAATGAATTGGGAAGCCATTTGGGATTCTTAATGGCTTCTCTACTGTGGTACTACAGGCTGTACCTTATCAGAGATGTGTGTCCCTGGGCAGTCTATTTGTTTCCTGTTTTGCTTAGATAAGTAATGTTCCTAATGATCATGATAGGATCCATAAATCTAACTTTAAAAAGATGAGACTCTGGCTATTATGATTTCATTGCTGATGGGTTATTTTGATGGAGAAGGAACTCTCAGAGGGACTGGGAAGTAATATTGCTCCTCTGGCTAAAATCATTCATTTACGGAATGCTTATGTAAAGGAAAGACAAAGAGACTTACTAGACGAAAACCTCACATTCTCTTTGGCAGTTTTCTCCTTTGCTTCCTCCCTTTATCTTGTCCTGAGTTCTTGGAAATAAAAAAAAAATCACCTCTGAAATTATAATTTGCTTCCCAGAATTTAAGCCTTTAAACATTTTCCCATCTTCACAATAGGAAAGAGAACTTGTCCCCTTCTATGTTCATTCTGTCTTGGTTATCTGCCATTATCAACAGAACTCAGAGAAGACTAGATTGGAAGTCAGGTTTTGTGTGAATCAGAGCCTATCACCAGCCTCAACTCAGTCTTAATATTTTATGGGTCTTGGTGGATACTTACTCCCATTTCCCTTCGAGACATAATCAATATCTCCTTCCTCTGTGCTTCCATTGAACTTAGTCTATAATTAATAAAGTGAATATTTACTAAATCTTAACCATATGCCACTAGTGTAATAGTCATTGGATATATCATGATGAGCAAGAGAGTCTCTCTCTCTCTCTCTCTCTGTCTCTCTCATAGTCTAGTGGTGGATACTATAGAACATTTCTTTCTTTTTCTCTTTCAGCTTATATTCTAGTGAAGGAGACAGATAAAGCAAGATGAACAATTATTATAAATGATGACATGTTCCATAGCAGAGGAAGTACAGCGGAGTTTTTGTAGCACACAACAGAGACAAATAACCTAATCTGGGGAGTCATAAAAGGAAGTGATGTTTAAATTGAAGCTCAAAAAAATAAAAAGGTGGTGTTAGAATAAGGAAGAGGATGCACATGTCAGGCACAGAGAATAGCTTGAGGGAAAGGATCAGCAGCAGATGTATAAGTGAAGTGATTGTGTACACAAGTTAGAGATCTCATATGTTAATCTGTGGTAGAGTGGACCCTAATGCTGCAAGAAAGAACATGAGGAGCTATGTTGGAGCTCTGCACCTCTTTCTGCTTTGCCTGTCCTTGTGGCCTTGAAATTAGTGATGCTTGACATTGAGTAAGATATCTGATTCTTGTGAGTCTGATTTGACAATCGAATTATGGAAGCCATGAAAATGCACCACTCGGATCTCCTGCTACAGGGAGCAGAATTGACTGACAGCCTCAGCTGTACCCCTTCTGAATCCACTACTGTGTTCACATCAAGGCCATACATTTCCAGTTGGCTCCCAGCCAATGACTGAGGATGGTGGGGCTACTAATGCAGGCTATTCCTACAGGATGCATGGCTTCTCTTGTGGGCAACTTTTGTTCAGGTAATGTCTGTCAGCCTAGTTGAGACTTCCATAGGACTGCACTGCAGTCTGAGAATTTTCTAGCTAATCTCCTCCTGCCCCTTTCACAGATATCAGACCTGCATCATGGTCCGAAGGCACTTCTTTTTACTAGGTAAGACAGCTAAGGGAGAAGGGAACATAAAATGAATAGAGAAGGAGAGCAAGGATGAGTGTCTGTTGTGGCACTGAGATTAACTACAGTGGTGGCAACCATAATTCATCTTTCTAACCTGCCTCTTAAGTTTCCCTTCTGGGAGGGAGGCCTTGGGAACCACAGAGGAGCTGCTCCTCAAACCTGCATAGAGAAATAGATCTGTGAGGTATAATCTGTGGAATTTGATGGTCATGAAAATGAACCAACTGTATCTCCTGCTGTAGGAAGCACAGTTGACTGATGGCCCCATTGTTCCACCTCTGATCCACAACTGAGTTTACACCATGGCCACATATGCCCTGGACTGCTCCCAGACAGTCACTGGGCCCTGAGAAGCTACTGGTACAGACTCATCTCTGTGGGATATGGGACTCCTCTAATGGGAGACTTTGGGCTCAAGGACTCCCCAAAAGCCTGGTGGTCACTTTAAATTTTCTTGCAGCCTGAAACTCTTCCTACCCAATCCTATTTCCTTCTCCTTATCCTTTCATAGGTGTCAGGCATACATTGCAGTCTGAAATCTCTTCCTGCCTACTTTTGGTTCGTCTCATTTTTTCTTGACAGTCAATAAATCTCTTGCACCTTGTAATGGTTAATTTTATGTATCAATTTGATTGAGCTAAGGGCTATCCAGATAGCTGGTAAAACACGATTTCTGGAAGTGTCTGTGAGGGTATTTCTTGAAGAGGTTAGCATTTGAATTGGTAGACTGAACAAAGAAGATTGCCCTCATTAGTGTGGATGGGCATCATCCAATCCATCGGTAGAGGAAGGGTGAATTCACTCTTTCTTCTTCCCCAGCTTGGACATCCATTTTCTCTTGTCCTTAGACATGGATGATCCTGGTTCCTGAGCCTTTGGACTTGGACTGGGAGTTATACCATTGGCTCCTCTGGTTCTCAGGCCTTTGGACTCAGACTGAATTGTATCATCAGCTTTCCTGGTACTCCAGCTTGCAGATGGAAGATCATGGGATTTTTCTGCCTCCTTAATCATGTGAACCAGTTCTTATAATAGATATCCTTTTATCCATATCTATATGGAAATCTATATATTCTGTTGCTTCTGTTTCTCTGGAGAATCCTGACTAGTACAGACATCCACTCTCATCTTAGATCTTCTCTGAGGGCCTGAACTAGCAGAGATCAACATGTCTGTAGAACTAAAAGGAACAGGGACAATATAATGAAAAGTGGAAATGGGAGTGGAGAGGGTCAAGAGGCCAAATGGTGAAGGTCTTTATCTGCCATATAAAGTCATTTGGATGTCATTCTCAGGTTAGTGGGCAGCCACAGAAAGATTTTAACCAGAGGAATGGCAGGTTTTATTTTTATTTATTTATTTATTTATTTTTGAGATGAAGTTTTGCTCTTGTTGCCCAGGCTGGAGTGCAATGGTATAATCTTGGCTAACTGCAACCTCTGCCTCCCAGGTTCAAGCGATTCTCCTGCCTCAGCCTCTCGCATAGCTGGGATTATAGGTGCCCACCACCATGCCCGGCTAATTTTTTGTATTTTTAGAAGAGACAGGATTTCACCATGTTGGCCAGGCTGGTCTCAAACTCCAGACCTCAGGTGGTCCACCCTCCTTGGCCTCCCAAAGTGATATGATTACAGGCGTGAGCCATCATGCTCGGCCTGAGTGATAGGTTTTAGAAAAATTACTCTGATCACAGGGTGGAGAATGAATTGAAAGGGAGCAGAACTGGGTGTGTGTGTTGGAGTCACCCTAACTAGCAGTGATGGTAGCCTGGATGGTAGGTAATTATGTTAATTCTGCCTGTTTGGGGAGGTTGAAAACAATCTGAAGGCCACAACTCAGTTTTACTGGTCTTGCTGGCCTAGCATAGTGGTAGCTACTAAACAAATGTGTGTGGAGAATGGTTAATGTTTTTTTTCTTTAGAAATAAAAAAAAATTAAATATATTAAATCTTTTTATGTGTATGTTAGCCTAAAATCAATTGCTCTTCTCATACTGAGGTGTCATCCTAAGCTGCGAGGCATTTTAGTAAATTTGTGATCTCTATTCTTTGCAATTCTGATTAACTTTCCCACAGGATATACACCATTTGTTGCTGGTTCTGTGGGAAAAATGTTAACTATTATTTTCCATCTTAAAAGTCAATTCCAGTTTCATTCTGTCAGATATTTCCAGAAGCCATTTATTTGTATATTCAGCCATTCTTTTTTATCTTAATGGCAAGAGAAATGCTAAAATGGAAAGAAGGATCCTAATAATAGATACCTTTGAATACTTACACAAACACAATGATGGGGTTTTACATTATATTGTCTTTACTCTTTGCAAGTCTGAAAGCAAGGCTAGCTTCATAGGTGTGCAAACTGTGCATTTGAACAGGGTCTCTGGCTTACAAAGGCTGCATGCTTGGTTTAGTGCTCAGCTGCTGACATCATGAGTTATTTTTGAACAAGGGGCCTCAAGTTTTTCATTTTGTACTGGGGCCCACAAATTATATAGTCAGTCCCATCTCTAAGATAGGTATTACTATTCTTAATTTATAGATCATGAATTCAAGCTCAGAGAATTTAAATAAGTTGCCGGAGGACACACAGCTGATAAATAACAGAGGAAGCATTTGTCTTCAAAGCCTATGCTTTTTCCAATATACTTGTATCTATCCTTATGTGACCTGCCTATAATGGATGTGAGATTAGGCTAACAAAATAATAGTAATAAGCTTTCTCATGTTAGTTCATTTCCTCCTAGTGGTAACACAATGAGGTAGAAACACAGAGACTTTTGAGTCCAGATACTGTGTTTTTCATTACATGTGCCACTTATAGATTCTACATCACAAAATTTAGGACTTACTTTTCATAGGACGAGGAATGATGGAATTCAAAAGAACCTGAGAGGCTTCTGTATCTTCTGGTAAGTGGTCATCTAAGCTACGCTAGTAACACAGTTGTTCTTTACTGTGGCTAAACTTGGAATCACCTAGAAGATACTGCCACTTATATAGATCTCATCTAGCCTAGCAGTCTGGGCTGAGAACCACTGTAGTCACATATTCCAAGGTGAGGAGTCCCTTTTTACACGACAGTCTGTAGACTTCATAATATATCTTTTTTCTCTTTCTGAAAGTTGGGGCTTTTGTTCAACTTGATTCCTCAGATACTTCTTATTTTCTCTGTGGTATTTCAAAGATTTTCATCTGAGCTTCCATAATAACCTCTAAGACTTCTTTCAATATCTGGGGTGTAGGAGGGACAGAGCAAGATGACCAAATAGAAGGCTGTACTGATCATTCCCCTAGAAAGGACACAGATTGAACAACTATCTAAACACAAAAAAATACCTTCATAAGAACCAAAAACCAGGTGAGCACTCACAGTACCTGGTTTTAACTTCATATTGCTGAAAGAGGCATTGAGGAAGGTAGGAAAGAGTCTTGAATTGCCAACACCACCCCTCTCCCACCCCTCAGCAGCAGCTGTGTGGTACAGAGAGAGAATCTGTGCATTTGGGAGAGGGTGGGTGCGGCAAATGCATTGAACTCAGTGCTGCCCTGCCATAGCAGCAAGCAAAGCTGGGCTCAACTCAGCTGATGCCTGTTTACAGAGGGAGTATTAAAATCAACCTCACCAGGGGGGAAAATTGTGCATCCCAGTGGTTAGAACTTGAGTTCTGGCAAGCCTCACCACCATGGGCTTAAGTACTGTGGGGCTCTAAATAAATTTGAAATGCAGTCTAGGCCACAAGGACTAGAACTCCTAGGTAAGTCTGATGGTGAGTCCTAGGTGAGTCTGATAGTGAGTCTGATGGACTTGGGAGGCACGTGACCTGTTGGGAACAGGCCCCTCAAAATCTGCGCATAAACTGGCCCCAAAACTGGCCATAAACAAAATCTCTGCAGCACTGTGACATGTTCATGATGGCCATAACGCCCATGCTGGAAGGTTGTGGGTTTACCAGAATGAAGGCAAGGAACACCTGGCCCACCCAGGGCAGAAAACCGCTTAAAGGCATTCCTAAACCACAAACAATAGCATGAGCGATCTGTGCCTTAAGGACATGCTCCTGCTGCAGATAACTAGCCCAACCCATCCCTTTATTTCGGCTCATCCCTTGGTTTCCCATAAGGGATACTTTTAGTTAATCTAATATCTATAGAAACAATGCTAATGACTGGCTTGCTGTTAATAAATATGTGGGTAAATCTCTGTTGGAGGCTCTCAGCTCTGAAGGCTGTGAGACCTCTGATTTCCCACTTCACACTTCTGTATTTCTGTGTGTGTCTTTAATTACTCTAGTGCCACTGGGTTAGGGTCTCCCCGACTGAGCTGGTCTTGGCAAGTGGCGCCCATATGTGGGGGCTCAAATCCAGGTCAAAGGGTCGCTGGAGTGACAGTCGGAGAATGTGGAACTAGCTGGAGGACACCTGAGTACTCTTAAAGCAATCCCTGTGGTGAGTAAGAAGGGAAGCTTGGAAGCATCAGGGTAACAATGGGACAGGTATGGGGTCTGGTTCGTTTCACCTTGGAACTTTTTCACACTGATAACAAGGAGGAACAAGAGTATAGTGAAGTATCAGAAGAGGTTACAGAGCAGGTTTATTTGCCAGCTAAAGCTAAAGCAGCAAAGGAGGGAGAGGTTCATCCCTACCCTTCTGCACCCCCTCCTTATTATTTTGAAGAAAAAAGACCCTCCGGATCTTTCTTTTCCAGAGGACACTGGGCAAAAAGTAGTTGCCCCAGTGACTGTTCGAGCAGTGCCTTGAGTGACTGCTCTTAGTTCTATTCAGGCAGGAATTCAGCAAGCTAGACGAGAGGGTGATTTAGAGGCTTGGCAGTTCCCTGTTAGAATACACCCCCCAGATCAACAGGGAAATATTATAGCTACATTTGAGCCTTTTCCTTTTAAATTACTCAAAGAATTTAAACAAGCTATTAATCAGTATGGACCAGGTTCTCCTTTTGTAATGGGACTGTTAAAGAATGTTGCTGTTTCCAGTCGGATGATTCCTACTGACTGGGATGCTCTTACTCGAGCTTGTCTAACTCCTGCTCTGTTCTTACAATTTAAAACTTGGTGGGCAGATGAAGCTTACATTCAGGCTGCTCGCAACACCCAGGCCCAACCTCAAATTAATATAACTGCAGACCAACTTTTGGGGATTGGCGGCTGGGCTGGTTTAGCTGCACAAGTGGTCATGCAGGATGATGCCATAGAGCAGTTTAGAGGAGTGTGCATTAGAGCTTGGGAAAAAATCACTTCAACAGGAGAACAATACCCTTCCTTTAGTGCTATAAAACAGGGACCAAAAGAACCATACATGGATTTTATAGCTCAGTTACAGGAATCTCTTAAAAAGGTGATTGCAGATTCGGCTGCTCAGGATATAGTGTTGCAGTTATTAGCTTTCGGCAATGCTAACCCCGATTGCCAGGCAGCTCTGCAACCTATCAGTGGGAAAGCACATTTAGTTGATTATATCAAGGCCTGCAATGATATCAGAGGTAGTCTGCATAAGGCTACTCTGCTAGCACAGGCAATGGCAGGACTGAGAGTGGATAAAGGAAATACTCCATTTCCTGGAGCTTGTTTTAACTGTGGGAAGCATGGTCATACTAAAAAAGAATGTAGAAAAAATCAGCAAGTCAAGCTGCCAGATAGGGGAAAAAAGAAAACTGCTGAGCCTGAAATATGTCCAAAATATAAAAAAGGAAAACACTGGGCTAATCAGTGTCACTCTAAGTTTGATAAAGATGGGAACCCGATTTCGGGAAACGCTATGAGGGGCCCGTCCCGGGCCCCATTCCAAACCAGGGCATTTCCAGCTCAGGCCATTCCCTCATGCCTATACAATGTCTGTCCCCCACCAAAGCCGGTAGTGCCACAGTAGATTTATGCTGCACAAAAGCTGTGAGCCTTCTGCCTGGGGAACCCCCACAAAAGGTCCCAACAGGAGTCTGTGGACCCTTGCCAGCAGGGATGATAGGATTAGTTCTAGACAGGTCTAGTTTAAATGTAAAAGGGGTACAAATACATACAGGAGTCATTGATTCAGATTACAATGGGGAAATTGAAATTGTTATATCTACTTTTGTTCCCTGGAAAGCAGAGCCACAAGAGTGCATAGCACAGCTCCTGATTGTGCCGTATGTGGAAATGGGGAAAAGTGAAATTAAATGAACATGAGGATTTGGAAGCACAGATAAATAAGGCAAAGCAGCTTATTGGGTGAATCAAATTACTGATAAACGTCCTACCTGTGAAATAACTATTCAGGGAAAGAAATTTAAAGGTTTGGTAGATACAGGAGCAGACATTTCAATCATTTCTCTACAGCACTGGCCGTCCGCTTGGCCAATTCAACCCACTCAATTTAACATACTTGGAGTTGGTAAAGCCCCTGAAGTAAATCAAAGTAGTTATATTTTGCATTGTGAAGGGCCCGATGGACAACCTGGGACTATTCAACCAATTATAACTTCTGTACCTATAAATTTATGGGAGAGAGATTTATTACAACAATGGAGAGCACAAGTTCCAATTCCAGAACAATTATATAGCCCTCAAAGTCAACATATGATGCATGAAATGGGGTATGTCCCTGGTATGGGACTAGAAAAAAGTTTGCAAGATTTGAAAGAACCACTTCAAGTGAACAGACAAAGTTCCCGCCAAAGATTAGGATATAATTTTTGATAGTGGCCATTGCTAAGCCTCCAGAACCTATACCTTTAAAATGGTTAACAGATAAGCCAATTTGGATAGAACAATGGCCGCTAAGTAAACAGAAACTGGAAGCTTTAGAGAAATTAGTTACTGAACAATTAGGAAATGGGCACATAGCTCCAACATTTTCCCCTTGGAATTCTCCAGTTTTTGTAATTAAGAAAAAATCAGGTAAATGGAGAATGTTAACTGACTTAAGAGCCATCAATTCAGTTATACAACCTATGGGAGCATTACAGCCAGGATTGCCTTCTTCTGCTATAATTCCAAAAAATTGGCCTTTAATAGTCATAGATTTAAAAGACTGTTTCTTTACTATCCCCTTAGCTGAGCAAGACTGTGAACGGTTTGCATTTACAATTCCTGCGGTAAACAACCTGCAGACTGCTAAGTGTTTTCATTGTTTTACAAATGGATCTAGTAATGGTAAAGCTTCTTACTCTGGATCAAAAGGTAAAGTTTTTCAGATGCCTTATACTTCAGCTCAAAAAGTGGAGCTTGTAGCTGTAATTGAGGTATTGACTGCTTTTAATATACCTATTAATGTGATTTCTGATTCTTCACATGTGGTTCATTCCACACATTTAATTGAAAATGCTCAGTTATGATTTCATACAGATGAACAACTGATGACTTTATTTACCCAATTGCAAACAGCAGTTAGGAGTAGAATGCACCCTTTTTACATCACTCACATTAGGGCTCATACACCTCTTCCAGGACCTTCGACTGAAGGGAATCAAATGGCTGATCACCTAGTTGCTAATGCAATAGCTAATGCTAGACATTTTCACAATTTAACCCATATTAATGCCTCTGGTCTCAAACGCAGATACAGCATTACCTGGAAAGAAGCTAAAGCTATTATCTGGTGATGCCCAACTTGCCAAATGGTATATTCCTCATCTTTTACAGGAGGAGTTAATCCTCGAGGATTGGAACCTAATTCTCTTTGGCAAATGGATGTCACACATGTTCCCTCATTTGGGAGACTAGCTTATGTACATGTATGTGTGGACACCTTTTCTCACTTTGGGCTACATGTCAATCAGGAGAGTCTTCTGCCTGTATTATACGTCACCTTTTGCAGTGTTTTGCAGTGATGGGCATTCCAGCTTCTATTAAAACAGATAATGCCCCAGGCTATACTAGCCAAGCTCTAGCTACATTTTTCTCTATGTGGAATACTAAACACATTACTGGTATCCCATACAATTCTCAAGGAGAAGCCATAGTTGAAAGAATGAATTTCTCCCTAAAACAGCAGTTGCAAAAGCAGGGGTGGGGGGCGCGGAAATAGAGAATGTGGAACACCGCAGATGCAACTGAATCTAGCATTTTTTTTTCTATTTTTTTCTTTTTCTTTTATTCTTTATTGTTATACTTTAAGTTCTAGGGTACATGTGCACAACGTGCAGGTTTGTTACATATGTATACATGTGCCATGTTGGTGTGCTGCACCCATTAACTCGTCATTTACATTAGGCATATCTCCTAATGCTATCCCTCCCCACTCCCCCCACCCCATGACAGGCCCTGGTGTGTGATGTTCCCCTTCCTGTGTCCAAGTGTTCTCATTGTTCAATTCCCACCTATGAGTGAGAACATGTGGTGTTTGGTTTTCCATCCTTGTGATAGTTTGCTGAGAATGATGGTTTCCAGCCTCATCCATGTCCTTACAAAGGACAAGAACTCATCCTTTTTATGGCTGCATAGTATTCCATGGTATATATGTGCCACATTTTCTTAATCCAGTCTATCATTGATGGACATTTGGGTTGGTTCCAAGAGTTTGCTGTTGTGAATAGTGCCGCAATAAACATATGTTACATGTGTCTTTATAGCAGCATGATTTATAATCCTTTGGGTGTATACCCAGTAATGGGATGGCTGGGTCAAATGGTATTTCTAGTTCCAGATCCTTGAGGAATCGCCACACTGTCTTCCACAATGTTTGAACTAGTTTGAAGTCCCACCAACAGTGTAAAAGTGTTCCTATTTCTCCACATCCTCTCCAGCACCTGTTGTTTCCTGACTTTTTATGATTGCCATTCTAACTGGTGTGAGATGGTATCTCATTGTGGTTTTGATTTGCATTTCTCTGATGGCCAGTGATGATGAGCATTTTTTCATGTGTCTGTTGGCTGCATAAATGTCTTCTTTTGAGAAGTGTCTGTTCATATCCTTCACCCACTTTTTGATGGGGTTGTTTGTTTTTTTCTTGTAAATTTGTTTGAGTTCATTGTAGATTCTGGATATTAGCCCTTTGTCAGATGAGTAGAATGCAAAAATTTTCTCCTATTCTGTAGGTCACCTGTTCACTCTGATGGTAGTTTCTTTTGCTGTGCAGAAGCTTTTGAGTTTAATTAGATCCCATTTGTCAATTTTGGCTTTTGTTGCCATTGCTTTTGGTGTTTTAGACATGAAGTCCTTGCCCATGCCTGTGTCCTGAAAGGTATTGCCTAGGTTTTCTTCTAGGGTATTTATGGTTTTAGGTCTAACATTTAAGTCTTTAATCCATCTTGAATTAATTTTTGTATAAGGTGTAAGGAAGGGATCCAGTTTCAGCTTTCTACATATGGCTAACTGGTTTTCCCAGCACCATTTATTAAATAGGGAATCCTTTCCCCATTTCTTGTTTTTGTCAGGTTTGTCAAAGATTAGATGGTTGTAGATATGCAGCATTATTTCTGAGGGCTCTGTTCTGTTCCATTGGTCTATATCTCTGTTTTGGTAACAGTACCATGCTGTTTTGGTTACTGTAGCCTTGTAGTATAGTTTGAAGTCAGGTAGTGTGATGCCTCCATCTTTGTTCTTTTGGCTTAGGATTGACTTGGCAACGTGGGCTCTTTTTTGGTTCCATATGAACTTTAAAGTAGTTTTTTCCAATTCTGTGAAGAAAATCATTGGTAGCTTGATGGGGATGGTATTGAATCTATAAATTACCTTGGGCAGTATGGCCATTTTCACGATATTGATTCTTCCTATCCATGAGCATGGAATGTTCCTCCATTTGTTTGTGTCCTCTTCTGTTTCATTGAGCAGTGGTTTGTAGTTCTCCTTAAAAAGTTCCTTCACATCCCTTGTAAGTTGGATTCCTAGGTATTTTATTCTCTTTGAAGCAATTGTGAATGGGAGTTCACTCATTATTTGGCTCTCTGTTTGTCTGTTATTGGTGTATAAGAATGCTTGTGATTTTTGTACATTGATTTTGTATCCTGAGACTTTGCTGAAGTTGCCTATCAGCTTAAGGAGATTTTGGGCTAAGATGATGGGATTTTTCTAAACATACAATCCTGTCATCTGCAAACAGGGACAATTTGACTTCCTCTTTTCCTAATTGAATGCCCTTTATTTCTTTCTCCTGCCTGATTGCCCTGGCCAGAACTTCCAACACTATGTTGAATAGGAGTGGTGAGAGAGGGCATCCCTGTCTTGTGCCAGTTTTCAAAGGGAATGCTTCTAGTTTTTGCCCATTCAGTATGATATTGGCTCTGGGTTTGTCATAAATAGCTCTTATTATTTTGAGATATGTCCCATCAATACCTAATTTATTGAGAGTTTTTAGCATGAAGGGCTGTTAAATTTTGTCAAAGGCCTTTTCTGAATCTATTGAGATAACCATGTGGTTTTTGTCTTTAGTTCTGTTTATATGCTGGATTACATTTATTGATTTGTGTATGTTGAACCAGCCTTGCATCCCAGGGATGAAGCCCACTTGATCATGGTGGATAAGCTTTTTGATGTGCTGCTGGATTTGGTTTGCCAGTATTTTATTGAGGATTTTTGCATCGATGTTCGTCAGGGATATTGGTCTAAAATTCTCTTTTTTTGTTGTGTCTCTGCCAGGCTTTGGTATCAGGATGATGCCGGCCTCATAAAATGAGTTAGGGAGGATTCCCTCTTTTTCTATTGATTGGAATAGTTTCAGAAGGAATGGTACCAGCTCTTCCTTGTACCTTTGGTGGAATTCGGCTGTGAATCCGTCTGGTCCTGGACTTTTTTTTGGTTGGTAGGCTATTAATTATTGCCTCAATTTCAGAGCCTGTTATTGGTCTATTTAGGGATGCAACTTCTTCCTGGTTTAGTCTTGGGAGGGTGTATGTGTCCAGGAATTTATCCATTTCTTCTAAATTTTCTAGTTTATTTGCGTAGAGGTATTTATAGTATTCTCTGATGGTAGCTTGTATTTCTGTGGGATCAGTGGTGATAACCCCTTTATCATTTTTTATTGCATCTATTTGATTCTTCTTGTTTTTTTTCTTTATTAGTCTTGCTAACAGTCTATGAATTTTGTTGATCTTTTCAGAAAACCAGCTCCTGGATTCATTGATTTTTTGAAGGTTTTTTTGTGTCTCTGTCTCCTTCAGTTCTGCTCTGATCTTAGTTATTTCTTGCCTTCTGCTAGCTTTTGAATGTGTTTGCTCTTGCTTCTCTAGTTCTTTTAATTGTGATGTTAGGGTGTCAATTTTAGATCCTTCCTGCTTTCTCTTGCAGGCATTTACTGCTATAAATTTCCCTCTACACACTGCTTTAAATGTGTCCCAGAGATTCTGGTATGTTGTGTCTTTGTTCTCGTTGGTTTCAAAGAACATCTTTATTTCTGCCTTCATTTCGTTATGTACCCAGTAGTCATTCAGGAGCAGGTTGTTCATTTTCCATGTAGTTGAGCAGTTTTGAGTGAGTTTCTTAATCCTGAGTTCTAGTTTGATTGCACTGTGGTCTGAGAGACAGTTTGTTATAATTTCTGTTCTTTTAAATTTGCTGAGGAGTGGTTTACTTCCAAGTATGTGGTCAATTTTGGAATAGGTGCGGTGTGGTGCTGAAAAGAATGTATATTCTGTTGATTTGGGGTGGAGAGTTCTGTAGATGTCTATTAGATCTGCTTGGTGCAGAGCTGAGTTCAATTCCTGGATATCCTTGTTAACTTTCTGTCTTGCAGATATGTCTAAAGTTGACAGTTTGGTATTAAAGTCTCCCATTATTATTGTGTGGGAGTTTAAGTCTCTTTGTAGGTCTCTAAGGACTTGCTTTATGAATCTGGGTGCTCCTGTATTGGGTGCATATATATTTAGGATAGTTAGCTCTTCTTGATGAATTGATCCCTTTACCATTATGTAATGGCTTTCTTTGTCTCTTTTGATCTTTGTTGGTTTAAAGTCTGTTTTATCAGAGACTAGGATTGCAACCCCTGCCTATTTTTGTTTTCCATTTGTTTGGTAGATCTTCCTCCATTCCTTTATTTTGAGGCTATGTGTGTCTCTGCACATGAGATGGGTCTCCTGAATACAGCACACTGATGGGTCTTGACTCTTTATCCAATTTGCCAGTCTGTGTCTTTTAATTGGAGCATTTAGCCCATTTACATTTAAGGTTAATATTGTTATGTGTGAATTTGATCCTGTTATCATAATGTTAGCTGGTTATTTTGGTTGTTAGTTGATGCAGCTTCTTCCTAGCATCGATGGTCTTTACAATTTGGCATGTTTTTGCAGTGGCTGGTATGGGTTGTTCCTTTCCATGTTTAGTGCTTCCTTCAGGAGCTCTTTTAGGGCGGCCTGATGGTGACAAAATCTCTCAGCATTTGCTTGTCTGTAAAGGATTTTATTTCTCCTTCACTTATGAAGCTTAGTTTGGCTGGAAATGAAATTCTGGGTTGAAAATTCTTTTGTTTAACAATGTTGAATACTAGCCCCCACTCTCTTCTGGCTTGTAGAGTTTCTGCCAAGAGATCCACGTTAGTCTGATGGGCTTCCCTTTGTGGGTAAGCTGACCTTTGTCTCTGGCTGCCCTTAACATTTTTTCCTTCATTTCAACTTTCATGAATCTGACAATTATGTGTCTTGGAGTTACTCTTCTCGAGGAGTATCTTTGTGGTATTCTCTGTATTTCCTGAATTTGAATGTCGGCCTGCCTTGCTAGATTGGGGAAGTTCTTCTGGATAATATCCTGCAGAGTGTTTCCCAACTTGGTTCCATTCTCCCCATCATTTTCAGGTGCACCAATCAGATGTAGATTTGGTCTTTTCACATAGTTCCATATTTCTTGGAGGCTTTGTTCATTTCTTTTTACTCTTTTTTCTCTAAACTTCTCTTCTCACTTGATTTCATTCATTTGATCTTCAATCACTGATACCCTTTCTTCCAGTTGATCTAATTGGCTACTAAGCTTGTGCATGCATTACGTAGTTCTTGTGCCATGGTTTTCAGCTCCGTCAGTTCATTTAAGGACTTCTCTACACTGGTTTTCTAGTTAGCCATTCATCTAATCTTTTTTCAAGGTTTTTAGCTTCTTTGCGATGGGTTCGTACTTCCTCCTTTAGCTTGGAGAAGTTTAATCATCTGAAGCCTTCTTCTCTCAACTTGTCAAAGTCATATTCTCCATCCAGCTTTTTTCCATTGCTGTTGAGGAGCTGCGTTCCTTTGGAGGAGGAGAGGCGCTCTGATTTTTAGAATTTTCAGTTTTTCTGCTCTGTTTTGTCCCCATCTTTGTGGTTTTTATCTAGCTTTGATCTTTGATGATGGTGACATACAGATGGGGATTTGATGTGGATGTCCTTTCTGTTTGTTAGTTTTCCTTCTAACAGTCAGGACCCTCAGCTGCAGGTCTGTTGGAGTTTGCTGGAGGTCCACTACAGATCCTGTTTGCCTGGGTATCATCAGTGGAGGCTGCAGAACAGCGAATATTGCTGAACAGCAAATGTTGCTGCCTGATCGTTCCTCTGGAAGCTTCATCTCAGGGGGGTACCTGGCCTTGTGGGGTGTCAGTCTGCCCCTACTGGGGGTGCCTCCCAGTTATGCTACTTGGGGGTCAGGGACCCACTTGAGGAGGTAGTCTGTCTGTTCTCAGATCTCCAACTCCATGCTGGGAGAACCACTACTCTCTTCAAAGCTGACAGACAGGGACATTTAAGTCTGCAGAAGTTTCTGCTGCCTTTTGTTCGGCTATGCCCTGCCCTCAGAGGTGGAGTCTACAGAGGCAGGCAGGCCTCCTTGAGCTGTGGTGGTCTCCACCCAGTTCAAGCATCCTGGTCGCTTTGTTTACCTCTCAACCCTCAGCAATGGTGGGCGTCCCTCCCACAGCCTCACTGCCACCTTGCAGTTTGATCTCAGACTGCTGTGCTACCCATGAGCGAGGCTGTGTGGGCATGGGACCCTCCAAGCCAGGTGCAGGATATAATCTCCTGGTCTGCTGTTTGCTAAGACTGTTGGAAAAGCACAGTATTAGGGTGGGAGTGACCCGATTTTCCAGGTGCTGTCTGTCACAGCTTCCCTCGGCTAGGAAAGGGAATTGCCTGACCCCTCGCATTTCCCGGGTGAGGCGATGCCTCACCCTGCTTCAGTTCACGCTCGGTGGGCTGCACCTACTGTCCTGCAACCACTGTCTGACAAGCCCCAGTGAGATGAACCCGGTACCTCAGTTGGAAATGCAGAAATCACCTGTCTTCTGCGTTGCTTACACCGGGAGCTGTAGACTGGAGCTGTTCCTATTCCACCATCTTGGAATCGCCTCCCCCTAGAAGTTGTGTTTATAATGTACTTATATAACAGCCACATATAGTGCTCAGGTACAAACATTTTTAAAAAACTCTCTCTTTCTCTATTCTTTCTAGACCCAAAATGGCCACACTCCAATTGTTTCCAATTAGACCTGTTTTAAGCCCATGTTACACGGAAACAAGGGAGTGAGTTCCCTCACCTTAATATCTGCTTGGTGACGACGTTGTGCCTGATGGGCAGTTGGGCACCAAGGGGGTCTGGTCGTCATCTGAGAGTGACACATCTATAGTATCTGAAAATGTAGAGACACTTGCCTCTGTATTTGGTGTGCTGCTGGAAAAGAAAAAAAATACATATCACATGGTTGCACAGATTTTCTTTTACATGTAGTTGGCTGATAATGGTGAAATTTTAGTAGAGTCTGGATCATCTAAAAAATGTATTCAGAAAGTTCATCCATTCACTGTGGACTTCTAGCAGGAGAGCTTAATTCTGTAGAAATTTCAAGCAAAATGACTTATTGGTGAAGCAAAATTACTATCTCATTTGTTCTTATTTTAATGGAATTAAGATTAGATTTGCACTCTACTTAAAGTTAAGTAGTTTTGCTGGTGTATGTCTTCAAGTTTAAGAAAAATATTAGATAAAATCTTATGTCTTCAAGTGAAACTCTCTTCAACTTGTGTCTGAAGTAACTGTGCTTAAAAAAATGTGTTGGATGACAGTTGTGATGGATTAGACCTGGCAACAAGACAGAAATTGGTACCACATTTGATAGAGAGTAGATGAATCATGTTAGGGTTAATATCCTGACAGCAAAACACTCGCATTTAAACTTCTGAATGGATATAGATGGTTCAGTCTATTCAGACATCCTGGCAAGAGTGAATTTAGGATCTTGGTAGGATGTTGGTTTGTGAGAGGCATAATTTTTCAGGAAGTAATCGCAAAGCTGGGTGTTGACAGCTTTGAGTTCAAATTTCAGACTCTCTGTAATATCACATAAATCATTCAATTCCTCTGTGGATCTATTTTACTACCTGTAAAATATGATTCACTATGTTTCTTTCATACATATCTCATTGTAGTTCTCATTCAAATACTCTACTTCATATTTTAACAATTAGGAAATAATTAAAAATATTTCTTGCCAAATCATAGTTATTTATGGGCACATAATTTTTTTTCCTTGAAAATTCTTTACTCTCTGTACCTGTTAGAAAAGTGAGAAAGTCTTAGACCAATTAGATACTGGAAACAATGTGAAGCATGAGTTCAGTGTAGCCATAAACCAATTTCCATTACAGGAATCAGACATTAGTATTGTTATTCACTTGGCTCTGATCATTTTGTGAGCAAGGGGAAAATCTGACTTTTGCACAAAGTCCTTTTACTCTGTGGGTTTATAATTTTGGCCGACAAATGGAGAGGTAAATTGATGATGACTTGCCAGCTAAGAATACTGTGTACTGTCTACCACCATAAGGAGCCAGAATTTTGTCATTTAGCATGATATCTTTTTAGCTTTCCTTACCCAGATTTCCAGCAAAAAAGCAAATTCCTGTATTTCTCAATGAAAAAGCCTTTTAAAAGGTAAGGAGAGTCCATTGTTAGCCCTGGCTGTTCCTGGGGTTAATGTTGATAAGACTGTATTAAACTGTCATCAAGGCTGGCTTCAGGCGTAATGGGAAGACTCTCCCATCATCAGCAAGCATTGATTCCTCATGGACTAGGTGTATTAGTCCATTTTCAGCTGCTGACAAAGACATACTCGAGACTGGGTAATTTATAAAGGAAAGAAGTTTAATTTACTCATGGTTCTGCAGGGCTGGGGAGGCCTCAGGAAACTTGCAATGATGGTGGAAGAAGAAGCAAGCATGTCCTTCTTCACATGGCTGCAGGAAGGAGAAGAATGAGTGAGGAAAAGCCTCTTATAAAACCATCAGATCTTGTGAGAGCTCTCTCACTATTACAAGAACAGCATATGGGAACTGCCCCCATGATCCAATTACCTCCCACCGGGTCCCTCCCAACACACATAGGGATTATGAGAACTACAATTCAAAATGAGATTTGTGTAGGGACACAGCCAAACCATATCACTAGGTTAGGATTGTGAAGCCAGGGAGTGGGGCAGTGAAGTATTTAAGGCCTTCTGGGGAAACAGCACAGCATAGCACTGTGGTTAAGGGACAATACTTTGGGAGCCAGATAGGTCTGGAAGGAAATCCTAGCTCAGTACTCAGTATATATGCAACTTTGGACAAATGACTTAACTTTTTTAGTCTAAATGAGCTCATCTGTAAAATACGAGCATTATTGCCTACCTTGTAGGTCTGTTGTAAAGATTACATGAGATAGTGTTTGCCAAATATTTGGCAATGTCAAGACCTGGGGTGTGGCATGTGCTCATCCTTCTCAGACAGCCCTCCCATTGGTCTTTCCCTTTCTGGTCCCATTTGTAAATAAATATTAAAAATTCTTGGTGTCTGTTGCTTTAAAAAAGCATTTTGGATTGCCATTTACATTTTTAATGTAATCAAATTTAATTTCCCTTTACCTCTGTATGTAGCCGGCGTTATAACTTGGATTTAGATACAATATATGCTACAACTTAGTCATTTCTGGAAGATGAGGTAGGGGCCCCTTGGGAGTCAATTGCATGAGATCTTGAGTTAGACTTCATCCAAAAAGAAGTTGGAAATGAGATGGTCAGGTTTACTTCAAGGGCAGCGCTGGGGGCAGAGGAGAGGGCTGATCACTATGTTAGTCCCTCAGGCTTGATGCTGTGTTACTTAATACACTTTAAGCAACATGGGCACTTATTAGTAGGATATATGGTGTCCCATGTGTGTATTTCAGGTGGTACTGTGAAGCCAGCCACTCTGTTGTCAAGGAGGCTTGTTTATTTGATTGTCCTTACCTGAATCAGCTACACGTCTTTCATGAACTCCAGGATACCTGTCTCTGGAGATAAGAACAGCTGTGTTCAGTCAAGATCAGGCATCAAAACAGACCCATAGTTACTGGCAGAACAGCCTCATCAGACTTTGGGGAGATGAATCTTTATAAACAGCCATGAAATTACTTGATGCAATTGGCCCTTTCAAACACTGCTCTTTACCCATTGGCTGTTACCATTGGTGCCATACATGTAAGCAGTCACTAGAGTATCCTCAGCCATTCAGCTGAATATGTTCCCAGCATCATTCTGCTGTCAGTCAACTGGGAGACCAATATAGTATTGGTCTCTTATGGCAACAGCAGGTGTGTGTGTGTGCATGTGTGTGTGTGTGTGTGTGTGTGTGTGTGTGTAGTCATGTGTAGATGGCAAGTATTAAGTACAACATGGCTCTCTGATCAATGTAGCCCATTCTTTTTTTTTTTTTTTTAAGAATCTGGCCACTTATATTTATTCATAGGAAATTAAATTCCCTGTATGTTGGGCAGCTGGAATTTTATTACTTTCAGGAGGAACAATAAATGTTTTTAAACATCAGTTTATACAAAGCATCTAAAGTCTCCTCCAACATATTCTGTTCATCACCGGAGGTCCTGGCTCTATGAAGAATGATCAAACTTGGTAAACAGTTTCTCTAAATAGAATGTGTGAAATAATTATCTGTGGTTCTTGACGTATACAGAATAGGAAGGAGTAAATTACATATAGAATTTGGAGCTAGAAATCCTCCTATGAAATTCAGATTAATGATTGGTTTTATACTTAGCGTCCCTCTTCCAGGAGATTAATAAAGCAGGGCTGATTCTATACATTTAATAACTATTTACCTGGTGTGATTTGGGAGGCATAAAAATTATCTGCCTCAATATAGTTTTTTTTTACCCAAATGATAATATCTATCTCTAAGATTCATCCTTTTAGGTTAAATATTGCCTCCTTACCTAGTTCTCTTTGTTGGAAGTAGATAATTCATAATGCTACTTATATTTTGGTGTTAATTTCTTTATTCAGTATACCTCTCTCTCTCATAAGAAGATGGGTGTGTGCGTGTGTGTGTGTTTATGTGTTTGACTGTACTAGTCACAGGGTTATGGCTATGGACTACTGTATACCTAGAGAGAGGGCTGGAGGTTGGCTGGGTAGGAAGCATTTGTAAGACATACTTTTAAATTTTGCACAAGGCATTATCTTAGGACTTATTTTGGGGTTATAGCCTTAGAATTCTTGATATAGAGAATTTCTTTTTCTCAGTGATCGTATTTTACATCACAGGTAATGATTCCCATCGACCTAGCTGTTATCATATGCCCGCCCCAGGGCCAATCACAGTGATCATGAGTTTAAAGACATGGGATTGGTCAATTTAGGCCACACGCCTCAGATACCTGAAAGCAGGGGTTGGTGGTGTATTGTACTTGGCAGCCTCATCAGAACCATGTGGAGTAAGGGAAGAGAGTTTTCCAAAGGCAGATGGGGTTGCTATCTGTGCTAGAAAAGGAAAAGGCATGGCAAAACACAAATGACACTAACCACTGGACTCTTCTGACTCAAAATCATCTCCACTCAGAATTTTATTGTGTAAAATAATTCATTCTAACCAGAAGGGTGTGGTGAGTGAGTGAAGGCTAGATGTTTGGAATATGTGCACCCCTGGGGAAGGGGTGATTCTGAAACTCTGCCTCTCTGTGCTTGAGATGAAATAAATCAATACAAAATAGAAGCAGTTGGCCACATGACACTAACACATAAACATGGATCATTTGTAAATGTGCTAATGATGAGACCAAGACGTTTTACACTTCTGCGTCAAAGGGGTGTCTTCTAGACTTGGCCTTTCAATAGAGAAATATCACCTCTAAGGAGGTGACAATTGTGATTGGCAGCCTCACAGGGGTGGGGGAGCAAAAAACTTAGATATTACAATGGTTTGTGGCTTCCCAAAGCTACAGTGCATAAACATATATGCAATATCATGGGGAGGACAATTTAAAAAAATACCTAAAAGAGGTCTTTAGGGGACAATAATGGAAAAAAAAGGTTGAGACACATTGTTCTATATCTAAGCAAGTTGACTTATCTTAGGAAGATGTGAACTAGAATGAAATGATGTTATGAAACTTGTGATCAGAGACACAGCGAGACTGGTGAAAACACAATTGGGATTGGAACCCAGGCACCTCCTAACTCTGTGGAAATGGACAAGTAGCTTAATCTCTCTGCATCTCAGTTTCCTAATAGTGACCTTTTGCAGTCAATCCTTCCCCCAACTACTGGCCTCAGGCAACTATTGATCTGCCTTCTGTCACTGGTTTCCTAGGATTTCATGTAAATAGAATGATACAATATGTGTTCCTTGTCTTGTGTCTGACTTCTTTTGTTCATCATATTTTTGAGATTCATTAATGTTGTTGTAATGTATCAGTATTTCATTCATTTTTATTGCTAATTTGTGTTTTACTCATCAGCTGATGGGCATTTGGATTATTTAGTTTGGGGCTATTAAGGATAATGCTACTATGAACATTTATGTGCAAGGCTTTGTGTGGACATTACTTTCCAAACTTTTTTTTTTTTTTTTGACAGAGTCTTGCTCTGTTGCCCAGGGTGGAGTGCAGTGGCGTGATCTCGGCTCACTGCAACGTCCACCTCCCAAGTTCAAGCAATTCTCTTGTCTCAGCCTCCTGAGTAGCTGGGACTACAGGCGCCCACCACCATGCCTGACAAATTTTTGTATTTTCAGTAGAGACGGGGTTTCACCATGTTGGCCAGGCTGGCCTTGAACTCCTGACCTCAAGTGATCTGCCCACCTCGGCCTCCGAAAGTGCTGGGATTACAGGTGTGAGCCACTGTGCCCAGCCCCAAACTTTTTTTATACTTGGTTCTTGCTACCAGATGCCATTGGATACCAGATATTCTATTTAGTTAATACATACATAAACTGTACATTGTGCAAAACAAACAAAAGACAAAATGCAGGGAAGAAAAAATACAAATGAGTAAACTGGATAAAATTCTTTTTGAAATGCTGCAGATTTTATAAATATTTATTGCTAGAAATAGCATATTTAAAAAATACTTGGAGTGTGAAAAAGTATGTGAAATAGAGACACCCCCAAATGTACAAACTTATCATACTAGTGGTATAATTTTGCAAAACTAATGCATAACTATGTAAAATACAAAATTAGGTTCAAAGTATTTTGGGAAACACTGGCTATAGAAAAAACTTAATTCATAACGCTTAATTCATAATTTTTGGCAGAAAAAATATCCTTAAGCAAATAGGTTTCAGGTAAACAAATTTTAGGCAAATTCACTTTAGGCAAATTTCACTGTCAATGGAATAGCATTTGTGATTAATTAAACATGTATGGCAAAAGGAGAGGTCAAACCTGGGGTGATTCTTAGGTTTTTCTTAAGGACTACCAGGCAGATAGAGGTATCATTCATGGAGACGAGAAATTTAGGAAGGGAAGGAGGATTTGTGGTGACATTGGGAGGGGAGAAAATGAGTTCAGGTTTATTTGTGTTGAGTTAGAGCTTCTTGGGAGGCATCTGGGTCAAGGTGTCCAGTAGGTATAAGATTTATGGAATACAGCAAAAATCTGGCTTGGAGATACCTAAAATTAGGGCTTCATATGGGAGAAAGCCACAGCACACAGGTGTTTAGACACATGGAGACACATCGGGAGAATTGTTGGGGTTGGAGGAGCTCTGTAGGAGACACTTATTCCAATGCAAGAGATTATGAGGCTTTCCTGTCGATTTTGCCTGAGTTTCTCCAAGTAAAGCTCCTCTGGATGTTCCAGGGCACCAGACATACCCACAGTCCTTACACCTCGGGGACTCATGGCTTTGGCTTACAGGGGGTGGGTGATTCTATGAACAACATGGATTCGTTCCAGGGGTTAATATGTGTTGGAAGCTACAAAGAAAAACTGAAAATATGGACTCTCTGAAAACGATATTAGGGAATAAATGTCACTGCTTTGAGCTCCTTGCACAGTGTGTAACATAAAAAGTGAGGGGGAGAGTGTGGCAGATGCCTTTGGTGCCCATGCCACCTCCCCACTGCCCATTTCTAGTTTCAGCTGGAGCTGTGGCAGATGGTTCTGGTGAACTGAGGCTCACTTTGTGTATCTTTCTGATGTCTCTCTTAGGGTATTCTCTGGCTTTGTAGAAGCCCTCTTGACTTATATGCACCTGCAGCCCAGAAATCCAGGAGAGCCAATGCTCTTGGGAGCAACCTTCAATCAGTAGGTATTGGGAGCCAGTGGCTAAATACTCCAGATACTAGTCCTGCAGGTGGGCAGCATTGGAGCCATCCTGTATGCTTTGTGGGGGCCCTGGTTGAACCATGCCCTGTTTCTTCCAATGGTACTTGGATAACACATCTTTATATTTTCTTTTCCTCTTTTCTTGTCTCACTTTATCATTCATTCACTCCAGATTCCTGCATCACTTCTCGTATAAGTCATCTGCACCCAAGTGCTTGCCCCAGGCTCTGCTTTTGGGGGAACTTACTCTAAGACAACTAGCTTTGCCCACTCTTCAACAGAACACGGTCTGCTCGAGTGCTTCCTGCTGGCCTTGGCTGCAGGAAGACACTGTGGTGTCTGGCAGAAACAGCAGGGGGCCCAATGGATGCAGCAACACCCAAACAATGGGAGCCAGGAGGTGAAGGTGAAGGCAGGAACTGAGTTTGGTACATGGTAACTATGGGGCAGTGGGCTGAATGTGTCCATGAGACAACCCCAGGGGACTCTAGAAGTACTTGGTAGCGACTTGGCTGCACACTGGGATTCTGCATTGTCAGGAATGGGTAACAGCCAGTGAAACCCTAGTTATGCGCAAGATTTGGAACTGTCAGAGTATGTGTGGTTGTTTAAGCAATTTTTACTGTTTAAGCATTGTTTACTAATGACAGTAAGTAAAAATTTCCTAGGAATAGCCCATTGGTTCTCAACCTTTGGTGCACATCAGAATCACCTAAGGAACTTATTCAAAGTACAGATGTCCCCGAAGTGCAATCTCTAGGAATGTAGCCATCTCTATTGTATATTTTGGAAAAATTCCTCAGCTGATAATGATGCCCAATAAAACTTGAGGACCTCTGTGCAAAGTGAAACAAAAACAAGGGCAGAGGTAGAAGTCCGAGGAGGCATTAACATGTAAGAAGTAGACAGAGAAAGATGTCTGCGAATGAAGGTATGAGGGAGCAGTCAGAAAGGAGGCGGGGAGCGTCTCGAACAGGGGAAGTAAGGCTCATGACGGGAAGACTGAAAAAGATGTTGGTAGAGGCAGTTTCAGGGAAACAGTGGGGGACTAAGGAATGAACTGAAGAGGAAAAGTACGAGAGTGTACTATACCATGTTCACACAGCTCACAGATCAAATTCTGTCTTCCACCAAATCGCAGCCACTCCGTAGAATAGCACATACAGTGGTACACATATAACCTAGGGTTAGTACAGCTCCCCCTCCACCCTCAGCACCAGGGAGACTGTGGCTATGCCACCTCTAGAAAAGTACCCGTGAGAATCTCTAACAGATAACAATCTCCAAGAAATTAAGAAGGAAAAGACCCTTAAAATAATTAAGCATTTCGGAACAGTGGACTCAAAGAAAGGGATTGTATTTTGATGTTTTGAAATGCAAGTTGTCTCAATGGCACGCTTTCCCCTCTTGGACGGCGTGCAGACTGTCAATCCCCGGCGTCACGCCCTCTGGAAGGCTGCAGAGCCGAGAAGGGAGGAGAAGCCCCTTTCGGGGAAATCTCCTCGGCCACATTTGTCTTGCACTGTGGCAGTGCATCCTCTAGATGGCGATAAATCTCCAAAGAACGCCAAGCCTTTCCTCCTGGCTATAGGTCCCTTGGCAAATTGCTTTCTTAGTAGAGAAAAATGAGAGGCATTTCTTCAGAATTGACTGGAAGCTGCTGAGAAAGCTCTTCCTTGCCTCTTAGTTTTTGAAAGGCGTTTGAAACAGTGGCAAGGGTCTAGCGATTGGAATATTGAAATCTAATCAAGGAAGGAGCTGCTGCATTTCTCAGTATCCTGGAGCTGGGGCCTGGCAGTAATGATGGTGGGTGGTAAAGAGCTCCCTAGACAGACTTCCCTGCTTTGCAGAAACAGCCTCTCCCCCAGGCTGTAACACCTGTGGGTTCTTACCTTTCTCAACAGGGGCATGTCTGTTCATTTTCCATAGGGTAGCTAATGCTAATATGAAACAATTTTTTTTGTTGTTGTTTTGCATTTATCCACCAGGTGCCACTATGTGCCAAGAGCTTTAGAAATCTCATTCAATCCTCTCAAGTAGGTTCTAGTATTTTTCCCTTATTTAAACAAAGGAAATACTTGGCCAAAGTCACTATGGCTGCATTTTGATTCTAGAGCTTAGGTTCTTAATCACACTGCTATAGTACCTCAAGGACAATGCCTCAAAACACTCAAACCTCTGGAAAAGGATCTCTGATGGGTCAGGGATCAGTAAAATGTCTCTCAGGAGACTGGCCTAGAACATGAGACGATGAGGTGTCCAGGGGCTCAGGTTTTCTGAAAGGAGCATGAAGGCACCCTGGAGAGGGTAAAAGAGTTCAGAAGAGAACTGAGGTGTGTGTGAGCCAAGGATGGGATGACTGTTCTTCCCAGAGCTGCCAGCGGCCAGCCCCACCTGTGATTTGGGACTGGACTATTAACCAATAAATGGCCTCAGATTTTTAGTTTGATAGTCAGTGACTTTCTTGGAAACCAGTCAGCCAAATGACCTGTTCAAAGCAGTCAGCAAGTGCACATTTGATCTGGAAATGGGATTGGCAGTCATTGGCGTATTGTGTCTCTGGGTGGGGGCAGCTTTGGTTTCTGACTGTCAGAGAAAGATTCCACCTGACACATGAACCAGCAGGGCTTGGGGTAGGCTTGGTGCAGATGTCTCTATGGTGAACTTCTTACAGGGAGTCACCAGGAGGAATGTTCAGGTTCTTTTTTGGAAATGCAGTTAGTGGCATTGAAGTCACTTTTCTTGCCCTTTCCCCAGTTTGCCTTTAGCATGACTAAAAACATTTAAAGATGACCATTTGTTGATTATGTGCTTGCTATGTGTCTGGCCCTATAATGAGCCATTTATGTGCACTATCCCATCCACCTCTTACATAACCCTATGAGGTAAATTTTATTATCTCCATTCTAGAGGTGAGAAAACTGAGACTTAGTGTGGTCAAGTAACTTACTCAAAGACACACAGGAAGTAAGTGGCAGAACCCTGGTCTCTTTATTCTGAGACCTTCCTCTTACCTACTTTGTTAGGCAGAATCTTCTTTCTCTGCCTAAAATCAGGCTCATTGGCAAAGGCAGAAGCAGAGATGTACAATGATTACTGGAACTCACAAGTCACAGGCTCCTCCGTGCCTCCCCAGAGCAGACAAGATTCAGTCTGAAAGGAAGTCAGTGAGATGTAAAGGAAGGTCTTGGAAACATAGAACTGTCAGACCTGAGGAATAACGTTTCTGCTCCCTGGCTGTGGCTGTGGGAGACACATATGCAAGCCAGGAGGCAGGCCCTGCACTTCTTGAATGAAATTCTGAGGTTGAGTTTGGTTGCCTGCTTCTAGTCTTTTGTCTGGCTATGTGGCTATTATTAACTCTATTAGTACCGCAGTCAACTGGCTGTATTTAACAGTAACATTAATACTGATGGGCACCTTGATGGCAGCCGAGGATTACAGTTGACGGGGCAGCTCTATCCTGGTGATCAAATGGGATGCTTGATGTTGCAGCCACATTTGCCTCCCCTACCTCGAATACTCGAGTGCTTTTACTATATTATCAACATCCATCCTAAAAATGCTGTCAATAGCTAGCTATTTTCCCTTTCCCTCAAGGATCCTGAAATGCTTTGCACATGTTCTTCCTACTGAAAGATAGAAGCCTGGTGTTACAGTTTATCCCCATTTACAAGATGGATATCCTTAAAAGCAAATTGGAAGCTGAGCTGTGTCTCTGCACAATGGCTTCCTTTCATATACCGTGTTTCTCTCCAGAGATATAAGAATATACAGAAATACAAACCTTATTTATGAAAACATAGAGGAAAACATTTGAACGTTCACTTTTATCAGCACTGCATTTTCTTACTTAGCATTAATCCTTTGGCTCATTTTTATTCTTTAATAGAAACACATATCCATGTTAACAAAGAAAGAAAATTAAAACCTTGTCAATCAAAAATTATTTGATTATGTTAATGGTTTTATTTAATGTCTTTTTCTGCCTCTTAGTGTGATTTCTCTTCTCCATATACTTTTAAGAAAAAATTATGTTTCTTCAGCATATCAACTAACATTTATTAAGCTCTTCCTATGCATATGGCACTATTCAAGGCTCTGTATGGGACATAGGTTTGTGTGCCTTTTTCTTCCATAAAAGAGCTTACAATTTAGCTGGGAAGAAACCTGTCTATCCACATTTATGTCAATATAGAGTTACTGCCTCTATTGTTAGTTATGACAAATAAGAGGCACAGATATGTCTTCTAGGACTTCATAGGAAGGAGATGTCGCTGTGAGTGGGCTGTTCAGAGATGAGTTCTGGGAAGTAGTGATCATTCATTCATCCATTCCACAAATACTTGTTGTGCCGGCCACTTGGCAGCTTGCTGGGGCTACGATGATGGATCAGAAAAGCTCCTTGAGAAACTCATGATAGCAGGGAAACAGATGAATAAATAGCTGATTATAATCTAGGCCACGATGACTGGAAAAGGCTGAGCAGTTTGTGCAAAGTTTGGCCTAGGGGGAGATAATGGAGGCAAGTGGGGCTAAAACCCAGTCTCCATCCCCTCTTCCAGGGCAGACATGAGAACTACAGGGACTTTTGTCACAGAGGGGGAGCCTCTTTGCAAATCCTGCCAAGGCATCGTATATATCAGTGGCTGCCCCGAGTGTGATTAATTTTTTTTCTATTTAAAAATTTACATACAATAAAATTCATTTTTTTAAGTGTATAGTTCTGTGAGTTTTGGTAAATGCATAGAGTCATATAACTATCACACATCATGATATAGAATAGTTCCATTGTTCCTCTAAAAAAATTTCCTCTACCTCTTTGTGGTTAAGCCTGCCCTCTTCCCCAGTGCCTGGAAACCACCAATCTGTTCTCCAGTTCTATAGTTGTCTTTTCCAGAATGTCATATAAATGGAGCCATACAGAGTATATAGCCTTTTGGGTCTGCCCTCTTACATAGCATAGTGTATTTGCGATTCATCCATGTTGTTGCATGTATTGATTATTTGTTTCTTTTTATTGATGAGTAGTTTTCCATTGAATGGATGTGCCACAGTTTGTTTATCCATTCCCAGCTTGAGGGATATTCTGGTTGTTTCCAGTTTTTGGTGATGTAGCTGCTATAAACATTTACATATTATTTTCTGTGTGAACACAGGTTTTCATTTCATTTGGGTAATTATCCAGGAGCGAGGTTGCTGGGTTGTATGGTAAGTGTATATTTAGTTTCATAAGAAGCTACTTAGAGATAAAATAAATCTAAGATGAAACAACTTCCACTCTTTTATAGTAGTTATGCCAGTTTGCATTCCTACCAGCAATGTATGAGAATTCCAGTTGCTCTGTATCCTTGTCAGCACTTGATATTCTTCTTTTTTAATTTAGCCATTCTATTAGTGATGTAATAGTATCATTGTGGTTTCAATTTGTTTTTCACTAATGACTAGTTATATTGAATGTATTTCACAGGCTTATTTGCCATCTATATATCTTCCGGGTAATGTACCTGTTGAAATCTTTCCCCATTAAAAAAAACTAGATTTGCTTGATGTGGTTGAGTTTTGAGAATTATTCTTTTTTTTTATTTTCCCAGACAGGGTCTCACTCTGTCTCCCAGGCTGGAGTGTAGTGGCACCATCATAGCTCACTGCAGCTTGAACTCCTGGGTTCAAACCATCCTCCTTCTTCATGAGAATTCTTTATATATTCTCAATACAAATCCTTTGTCAGATGTGAAATTTACAATTATTTTCTCCCAGTTTGTCCTTTCTAGCTATGTCTTTCTCAGAGCAAAAACTTAAAAATTTAATAAACCCAACTTACCAATTTTTAAATTTTTCTTTTCTTTCTTTCTTTTTTTTTTGAGATGGAATCTCGCTCTGTTGCCCAGGCTGGAGTGCAGTGACATGATCTCGGCTCACTGCAACCTCTGCCTCCTGGGTTCAAGCAATTCTCCTGCCTCAGCCTCCCGAGTAGCTGGGATTACAGGCATGTGCCACCACGCCCAGCTAATTTTGGTATTTTTAGTAGAGACAGGGTTTCGCCATGTTGGCCACACTGGTCTCAGACTCCTGGCCTCAAGTGATCTGCCCACCTTGGCCTCCCAAAGTGCTGGGATTATAGGCGTAAGCAAGTAATTTTTAAATTTTATTGATTGCAATTTTGTTGTTATATCTAAGAACTGTGTCTAACTCAAAGTTACAAAGATTTTTCTTCGAGAAATTTTACAATTTTAGGTTTATATTTAGGTCTGTTATCCATTTTGAGTTAATTTTTGTATATGGTACAAGATGTGGATTGAAGCACTTTTTTTTGTACATATGGATATCCAACTGTTCCAGCATTATTTGTTGAAAAGACTCTCTTCATTAAACTGCTTTTGCTTTTTTTAAAAAATCAATTGGTCATGTTTATGTGGGTCTCTTTCTGGGTTTTCTATTTTGTTCCATTGATCTAAGTGTCTCCCCTTTCTCCATTGTGAGTGTGGTAGATCTTAAGTCAGGAAGAGACACCGAGTGAGAGGGGAGCATTTGGGAGAGGACATGGGAAGGCGAGGAAGGGCTGGAGACTTTCCAGGCAACATAACCTTTAAGCCGAGATCTGTGTTGGGTAAGAGTGAGAGGAAAGAGGATGGGCAGGTATCATAGGTCACTTAAGCCTTAGGAACGTTCTGGGCAAACGCTGGAGGGCAAGAGGGAAGTGGGTGGGGGCAACGGTATGGTTCACAGTGTGGTTGGAGCAGAGTATAAGAGTCAGGTTGGAGGCCGGGCGCGGTGGCTCACGCCTGTAATCCCAGCACTTTGGGAGGCCGAGGCGGGCGGATCACGAGGTTAGGAAATCGAGACTATCCTGGCTGACAAGGTGAAACCCCGTCTCTACTAAAAAATACAAAAAATTAGCTGGGCGTGGTGAAGGACGCCTCTAGTCCCAGCTACTCGGGAGGCCGAGGCAGGAGAATGGCGTGAACCCGGGAGGCGGAGCTTGCAGTGAGCCGAGATTGCGCCACTGCACTCCAGCCTGGACTACAGAGTGAGACTCCGTCTCAAAAAACAAACAAACAAACAAAAAAAGAAAAAACAAAAAAGAGTCAGGTTGGAGACGACTCAAGTCAGGGTCAGGTCAAGAGAGGTGTCGATTTGATCCCAAGGGTAGAGTGGATGTATTCATTTCAGAGGAGGGCGTTTAAGCAGGTCAGCAGGATGAGTGAAAACACCACATTCAGAAGTTCTCTGCTGTCATTCGATCAGTGCATCTTCCCTAGCTCTAAAAGAGGGAGTCTGGCTTCTCAAAAACAGCAGACCCCAGGCCCAGCTGCCCAACCATTTCCCGGAGGGAGCAGCCCTCTCAGCCCAGGAGTTGGAACCTGCTCTTCATTTTTCCCTCTTGCCTTGGCTGTGTAGCAAGGCCTTGGTGAATCGCAGTGCACTGCCTGGCGTGGAGCAGCAGATGGCAGCAAAACCAAGGCTCTTGGAGCAGAAGCAGCACAGTTCACGGCCTTCAATCCAGAGCAGCTTTAATATTGCAGCAATTTGGATGTCTGCATAAAAGCAGACTTGTTTTTTTTTCTCTCCACTTCTGGCTCCTGGAAATAATATTCTCTTAACCTTTTGGAATTAAACCAGCCAAATAGAGTGTAACATGTTTCTTAATCATTTGGGCCACCTTCTCCTTTCTGAATGGATGTTGGTTTCAGTGGGAATGTTTTCTGTGGTTGTGGATCATTGAGAAGATGGTGCTGATTTGCTCTGGTAAGCTGAAGGAACAACCAGGCACGTGGCATGAAGTGAAATAAGGACAAATGCAAGAGACATCCTGGAGACAGGCAACTGAGGACAAAGAAAGTCTGTGGGGAAAGGGTGGTGAACCAGGTGCCCACCTGCCAGCATTATTGCTGAGGCACATCTCAGCCAGGTAAGCCTCTTCCTCAGAAAATTCTCCTCTCCCACTGATCCCACTTCCAGAATTTCTTTGTGGACCAGGATGAAGATTTTCAGACTTCAAGTGTTACTTTCTTGGGGAGCTGGAGCACTCCCTCCCTCCCCTGGTACCCTACTAGACCAGGTGACACACTCACTCAGTTCAGTGCAACTTGCCTTCATGGTACTTTTCACAGTGTGTAATTATATGACTGTGGGACAATACAATTGGTGTCTCTATCCTCTACTAGACGGTAAACCCCATGAAGGCAGGAATCGTTTTTGCTTTGCCTATTTCTGTATCCGATAGGTCTGGCATAGTTGCTGGCATAACTATGACACAATTATCTGTTGAGTAATTCCATGATTATATAAGCAGAAGAGGATATATAATAGAGAGGCAGAGAGCCAGATTGATCTGGGTGGAAATCTGGTGTTATTCTTATTAGTCTGTTTTCATGCTGCTGATAAAGACATACCCAAAACTGGGAACAAAAAGAGGTTTAATTGGACTTACAGTTCCACATGGCTGGGGAGGCCTCAGAATCATAGTGGGAGACAAAAAGCACTTCTTACATGGTGGTGGCAAGGGAAAATGAGGAAGAAGCAAAAGCGGAAACCCATGATAAACCCATCAGATCTTGTGAGATTTATTCACTATCATGGGAAAGATCAGCCTCCATGATTCAATTACCTCCCTCTGGGTCCCTCCCACAACACGTGGGAATTCTGGGAGATACAATTCAAGTTGAGATTTGGGTGGGGACACAGCCAAACCATATCACTGTTACTCATCCACTGCATGTACTGGGTATGTTGCTCCAAATTTCAGTTTTCTCATCTGTAAAATAGAAACAATGGTACCTATCTTGCAGGCTGGTTATGAGTATACAATGAAATTATCTGTGTTAAGTATTTAGCCCAGTACTTGAAAGTAAGTGCCTGTACATGATAGTTACTTTAATTTTTACGATAGAGCCTTCATATGCAATTTGCCCAAGGAAACAGCATTGGTCTGATTTCAAAAGGAGATGAACTGACTAACGTGAGAGCTTGTTTCATACAGTTTTGAATGGAGAGAGGAAGAGAGAGTTGTTGGAGGTATGGTGTTGCTGCTGTTGCTGCTGAAATGAGTGACTTGAAAGTCCCAAAAGTGTTAAGATGTTCTGCACTAAGGTGTGTGGGAAAAGACTGCTCCAAGTCACAATAAATAATAAGCTGACTAGGTGAGGCCATATCCTCGTTTAAAAAAAGAAATACAGTGGGATTGTTGACATGGGTGTCAAGAATGTAAGGCTGAGCAAAGCAATTAGACATTGAAATTCCACCAAGACAGTGTTAAAAGAATTGTGTTCAGTTCTGCACTCCACACTGGAAGAGTAGTGAGATTAAAGGAAGCCGCCACAGAGAAGGGTGAGTACTGATGTTCCCTTCCCAAAAAATGCTTTCAAGCTGTTACATGCATGCTTTATATTACTTAAAAAAGCAGAGCTTTTGAAAGTGCTTTTAAATATTTGGGAAATTTATTCATAATAGCCAAAAAGTAGAAACAAGCCAAATGTCCATCACTTGATGAATGGATAAACAAAGATTGTTATATCCGTATAATGGTATACCATTCAGGCATTAAAAAAATGAAGTTATAATACGTGCTATAACATTGATGGACCTTGAAAACATTATGCAAAGTGAAATAAGCCAGACACAAGTATTGTGTGATTCCACTTATATGAGGTACCTACAGTAGTCACATTAGTAGAGAGAAAAAGTAGAATGGTGGTTGCCTAAGGCTGAGGGAAGGATAGGGTGGGGAATAGTGTTTGACTACTAATGGGTACAAGTTTTATTTTGGGGTGATGGAAATGTTGTAAAGTGAGATTGTGGTGATTTTACAAGTCCATGAACATACAGGAAACCACTGAAGTGTAATTTAAATGAATAAATTTTATGATATGTGAATTATATCTCAATAAAGATGTTAAAAATATTAGGGAGCGATCAGAGATTCATAACCCAGGCTGCATATTACAATATTTGGAGAGGCTAAAAAAATATCACTTCCCAGGATCCCACTGCAACCACTGAGATCTGAATATCTGAGGGGTGAGGCATAGCCCTGGGCATTTGTGAAGCCAGGATTGAGAGACTCTGCACCGGTTGATTGAGGGATTAGATTTTAACTTTTCTGCCCCTTAAGAACTCACTGAATAGGCACATGATTTTGTTGTTTTAATGATATAAGGCTGCATGTTCAAAATAATTTTCCTTAGCTTTTCTTGGAGGCAGAACAGTGGCTGAACTGTATGGTCTTACTAGGAACTTTCCCATTTTAGGATTTTATAATTACATTTATCTTTTGCAAATGTCATTAAAAGATACAAATATTTGTTCTGAGTAATGCCTGATGCTTTAGTGCAACCAGAAACATTCTATTCGTTTATTTTTCTTATTTTTTCCCACTGGCTTTCTTAAGGTATAACTGACAAATAAAATAATGTGTATTTAAGATATACAATACGATGATTTGATATACATTTATATAATAAAATGATTACCATGTTCAAACTAATTACTACATTCATCACCTCACAGTTACCATTTTTTTGGTGGTGATAACACTTAAGATCTACTCTCAGCAAATTGCAAGTATACAATACAGTCATATTGACTGTAGTCACAGTGTTGTACATTAGATTCCCAGAACTTCATCTTATAAATGAAAGTTTGTACACTTTGACCAACATCTCTTCATTCTGCCCTCTGCACCATGCTTCCCTGCACTACTGGCAGTCACCATTCTGTCTTTTTTTAAAAATTTTTATTTTAGATTTGGGGGTACATGTGAAGGTTTGTTACGTAGGTAAATATGTGTCATGGGGGTTTGTTGTACATATTATTTCATCACCTGGGTACTAAGCCCAGTACCCAATAGTTACTTTTCCGCTCCTCTCCCTCCTCCCACCTTCCCCCCTCAAGTAGAACCCAGTGTCTGTTGTTTCCTTCTTTGTATTCATAAATTCTTATCATTTAGCTCCCACTTATAAGTGAGAACATGTGGTATTTGGTTTTCTGTTCCTGTATCACTTTGCTAAGGGTAATAGCCTCCAGCTCCATTCATGTTCCCACAAAATACACAATCTCATTCCTTTTTATGCTGTATTCCATGGTGTATATGTACCACATTTTCTTTATCCGATCTGTCATTTTTGGTCATTTAGGTTGATTCCACATCTTTGTTATTGTGAACGGTGCTGCAATGAACATTCACGTGCATGTATCTTTATGGTAGAGTGATTTATATTCACCTGGTATATACAAACTAATGGGATTGCTGGGTTGAATATTTCTGCTTTTAGCTCTTTGAGGAACCTTCATATTGCTTTCCACAATGGTTGAACTAATTTACACTCCCACCCACAGTGTATAAGTGTTCCCTTTTCTCTGCAACCTCAGCAGCATCTGTTATTTTCTGACTTTTTAGTAATAGCTGTTCTGACTGGTGTGAGATGGTATATCATTGTGGTTTTGATTTGCATTTCTATAATGATCAATCACCATTATATTCTTTGCTTCTATGACTTTAGCTTTTTCAGATTCCACATATAAGTGAGACAATGCAGTATCTTTCTGTACCTGGCTTATTTCACATAGCATAATGTCATCCAGTTTCATCCATGTTGTCACAAATGACAGGATTTCTTGTTTTTTTTATGACTCTGAAGTATTTCATTGTGCATGTACTACATTTCATATATCTGTTCATCTGTTGACAGATATTTAAGTTGATTCCATATCTTGGTGATTGTGAATAAAGCTGCAATGAACATGGAGGTGCAGATATCTCTCTGACATATTGATTTCATTTCTTTTGGATATACAGTTACGCACCACTTAATGATGTTTCAGTCAACTATAGACTATAAACATGGTGGTGGTCCCTTAAGATCTTAATATCATATTTTTACTGTATCTTTTCTATGTTTAGATATGTTCAGATACACAAATACCATTGTGTTACAGTTGCTTACGGTATTTGGTACAGTAACATGCTGTAGAGGTTTGGAGCCTAGAAGCAACAGGCTATACCATAAAGCCTAGGTGTGTAGTATGTTATACCACTTAGATTTGTGGAAGTGTACTCTATGATGTTGGCACAATGACAAAATTGCCTAATGATGAATTTCTCAGAATGTTTCTCTGTTGTTAAGTGACACATGACTGTATACCCAGAAGTGGGATTACTGGATCATATGGTTGTTATATTTTTAATTGTTTGAAGAACCTCCATACTATTTCCTATAATGGTTGTATCAATGTACATTCCCCTCAACAATGTACAAGGGTTTCCTTTTCTCAACACTCTTGCCAACATTTATCATTTGTCTTTTTGATAACAGCTATCTTAATAGGTGTGACACAATGTCCCATTGTAGTTTTGAATTGTATTTCCTTGATGATTAGGGATATTGAGCACCTTTCCATATCCCTGTTGGCCATTTGTATATCTTTGGAAAAATGTCTATTCAGATGCTTCCACTTTTTTTTTTCTCTTGGGTTGTTTGAGTTTCTTGTATGTTTTGGATATTTATCCCTTATCCCTTGCAGATATATGATTTGCAAATATTTCCTCCAATTCCACAGGTTGACTTTTCATTTTGTTGCTTGTTCCTTTGCTGTATAGAAGCTTTTTAGTTTGATGCAGTCTTATTTGTTCATTTTTGCTTTAGTTGCTTGTGCTTTTGGTGTTATAGCAAAAAAAAAAAAAAATCATTGCCAAGACCATTGTCGAGGAACTTTCTCTCAACATTTTCTTCTAGGAGTTTTATAGTTTCAGTTCCTACAGTTAAGTCTTTAATCCATTTTGAGGTAATTTTTTTGGTGGATCATATGTCAGTTTTATTTTTAATTTTTTCAGCAAAAAGGGTGTACAAAAAGGGCCCAATTTCATTCTTTTGCATGAGGATTTCAGTTTTCCCAGCATCATTTATTAAAGAGACTATCTTTTTCTTGGCCAGGAGTGGTGGCTCACGCCTACAACCCCAGCACTTTGGGAGGCTGAGGCGGGCGGATCATTTCAAGTCAGGAGTTTGAGACCAGCCTGGCCAACATGGTGAAAGCCCATCTCTATTAAAAATACAAAAATTAGCTGGGCATGGTGGTGCATGCCTGTAATCGCTGCTACTTGGGAGGCTGAGGCAGGAGAATCGCTTGAACCTGGGAGGCGGAAGTTGCAGTGAGCCAAGATCACACCACTAGCACTCCAGCCTGGGTGACAAGAGCGAAACTCCATCTCAAAAAAAAAAAAAAAGACTATCTTTTCCTAATTGTGTGTTCTTGATGCCTTTGTCAAAGATTAGTTGTATATGCATGGGATTATTTCTAGGCTCTTTATTCTCTTCCACTGACAAGCTGTGGACTTGTCATATACGGATTTTATTATGTTGAAGTAAATTTTTTCCCCATTTAATTGAGATTTTATCAGGAAAGGATGTTGAATTTGGTCAAGTGCTTTTTCTGCATTTATTGAGATAATTGTGATTTTTATCCTTCATTCTGATTCTGTTAATGTGGTGTATTATGTTTATTGTTTTGCATATGCTGAACCATCCTTGCATCCCAATTAATGTCTGTTTTTATGACAGTACCATACTGTTTTGATTACTATAGCTTTGTATTATAGTTTAAAATCAAGAAGTGTGATACCTCTACCTTTTTCTTCTTACCTTCTTACTCAAGATTATTTTGGCTATTTGGGGTCTTTTGTGGTTCCATACAAATTTTTGGGTTTTAAAAAACGTTTTTTGTAAAAAATGCTCTTGGAAGTTGAAGAGGTATTGCGTTGAATTTCTAAATTGTTTTGGGTACTGTGGATATTTTAAGAATATAATTCTTCAAATCTATGAACACTAGATATCTTTCCATTTGTTTGTATCTTTTTGGCTTTCTTTTATTGATGTTTTAGGCTGCTTAGTGTACAGATCTTTCACCTCCTCAGTTAAATTTATTCATAAGTGTTTATTTTTTGGTATCTATTATAAATGGGATTGTTTTCCTAATTTATTTTTTTGGAGCGTGTATAGAAACACAACTGATTTTTGTATGTTACGTTTGTATTCTGCAACTATACTGAAGTCATGTATTATTTATAACAGTTTTCACGGTGGTCTTTAGGATTTTATATAAATAAAATTATGCCATCTGCAAACAGAGAGTATTTAACTTTTTCCTTTCTGATTTGAATGACTTTTATTTCTTTTAATTCTTAATTTTCTGGGCTAGTAATTCCAGTATTACGTTGAACAGAGGTGGTGAGAATGGGCATCCTTGTCTTTTTCCTGATCTTAGAGGAAAACTTTCATCTTTTCACCGCTGAGTATAATATTACTTGTGAACTTGTGCTATGGCCTTTATTATGTTGATGTACATTGTTTCTCTATTTAATTGAGAATTTTTATCAGGCAAGGATGTTGAATTTTGTCAAATGCTTTTTCTACATTTGTTGAGATAGTAGTGATTTTTATCCTTCATTCTGCTAATATGGTGTATCATATTTATTGATCAGCATACAATGAACCATCCTTGCATCCAGGGATAAATCCAGCTTGATCATGCTGTATAATTCTTTTAATGTTCTGTTGAATTGGTTTGCTGGTGTTTTGTTGAGAATTTTTGCATCTATATTCATCAGGAATATTGACCTGCCATTTCCTTTTTTTGTAGTGTCCTTGTCTGGCTTTGGTATGAGGGTAATGCTGGCTTTGTAATATAAATATGGAAGTGTTCTTTTCTTTCAATTTTTAAGAAGAGTTTGAGAAGGATTGAAATTAATTCTTTAAATGTTTGGTAAAATTCACCCAGGAAGTCATCTAGTCCTGGGCTTTTCTCCATTGGGATGTTTTTGATCAGTGCTTCAATCTTCTTACTCACTATTAGTCTATTCAGATGTTCTGTTTCTTTATTATTTGGTCTTGGTAGGTTGTCTGTTTCTAGGGATTTATTCATTCTTCTAGGTTATACAATTTATTGGATAGTAGTCTCTTATGATCCTTTGTATTTCTATGGTATCAGTTGTAACGTATCCTTTTAAATTTATGCTTTTATTTGTTTGAGTCCTCTCTCTTTGTTTCTGGGTTAGTTTAGTTAAAGGTTTGCCAGTTTTGTTTCTTTTCAAAAAACGAACTCTTAGAAAACTAACTCAGTTTTGTTGATACTTTTCAATTGTCTTTCTAGTCTCTATTTCATGTATTCTTTCTCTAATCTTTATTGTTTCCTTCCTTATGCTAACTTTGGGCTTAGCTTGTTCTAGGTTTTTCTGGTTCCTTGAGGTGTAGTGCTAGGTTGTTTATTTGAGATTTTTTTTTCTTAATGTAGTATTTATCAATGTAAACTTCCCTCTTAGAACTGCTTTTTGTGCTTCCCATAAGATTTGGAATGCTGTTTCTATTTTTGCCTCAAAATACTTTTTAATTTTCCTTTTGATTTCTTTATTGACACATTGGTTGTTAATGAATGTGTTATTTTCCACATACTTATGAATTTCAAATATTCTTCCTGATATTGATTTTTAATTTTATACCAGGTGGTTAGAAAAAATACTTAATGTAATTTGAGTCTTCTTAAATTTGTTGACTTGTTTTGTGGCCTAGCATATGATCTATCCTGAAGAATGTTCTATATGTGCTTGAGAAGAATGTATATTTTACTGCTGTGGGTGGAATGTTCTCTATGTCTATTAGGTCCACCTGGCCTATAGTGCTATTCAAGTCTTCTATTTCCTTATTGATTTTCTGTCTGGATGATCTACTCATTGTTGAAAGTATTATTCTATTCCCTTCTATTCTCCCTATTCTAGTATTATTATATTCCCTTCTATTTCTCCCTTCAGTTCTGTTAATATTTGCTTTATATATTTAGGTGTTCCAATGTTTGGTGCATATATATTTACAATTGTTATATTCTCTTGATGAAATTAATGTCTTTATTATTATATAGTGACCTTATTTGTCTCTTGTGACAGATTTTGACTAAAAGTCTATTTTGTCTGAGGTAAGTATAATTAATCTTGCTCTCCCTTGGTTATCATTTGTGTGGGATATCTTTTTCCATCCCTTCACTTTCAGCCTCTGTGTGTCCTTAAAGTCTCCTCTAGGCAGCATATTATTGTATCTTGTTTTGTTGTTGCATTCAGCCACTCTGTGTCTTTTGGCTGGAGAATGTAGTTCATTTACATTTAAAGTAATTATTGCTAGGTAAGGATTTACTATTATGATTTTATTAATTGTTCTCTGTTTTGTAGTTACTTTTATCCTCTTTCTGTCTTCCTTTGTAATTTGTTGATTTTTTAGTGACATGCTTTGATTCCTTTCTCTTTCTCTTTTGTATCTAATAGAGGTTTTTCTTTGTGGTTACCATGAGGCTTACGTAAAACATCTTAGAATTATAACAGTCTATTTTAGGCTGATAACAACCTCAATTGCATATAAAAACTCTACACTTTTACTTTCCCCTCTACTACCTTTTAGGCTATTTCAGTAAAACTTTACATCTTTTTATATAGTGTATCCATAAATAAATTATTATACCTATAGTTATTTTGAATACTTTTGTCTTTCAACCTTTACACTAGAGTTAAAAGTGATTTATGCACCACCATTACTGTATTCTGAATTTGACTATATATTTACCTTTACCAGCGAGTTTTATGCATTCATATGTTTTTATGTTGTTACTTAGGATCCTTTTGTTTCAACTTGAAGAATTCCCTTTAGTGTTTTTTTGTAAGACAAGTCTGGTGGTGATAAACTGCTTCAGCTTCTGTTTGTCTGGGAAAGTCTTTTATCTTTTATCTCTCTTTCATTTCTTAAGGACAGCTTTGCCAGGTGTAGTATTATTGGTTGGCAGTTTTTTCCTTTTAACACTTTGAATATATTAAACTACTTCCTCTTGGCTCCTTGCAGGTCCCATGGTGGATGGTGCTGGTAGCAGAACCAGGGCCAAATTGGGCTGTAACCAAGTCCACAGGGGGATGGGGCTGTTTCTGGGTCTGTAGCTGGGGCCATGGTCAATGAGCATACCACCTGGGCATAGACCTGCATTCTCAAAATGCCCTCCTCAGTATTACAGCCTCCTACCTGGATCCCAAAGCTCCCATAAAGGTACTTTTGTCTGTTGATAGCTGACAAATTAATGTTTCTGTGAGGAGATATGAGCAAGGACCTCATATTCTGCCACCTTGCTGACATTACTCCCTCTGTTCATTTAAATTTACTTAATAGAGGTAATGACATGGGTACTAACATGAGAATTTTCATGCCAAAATCATACTTTCTATTTAGACAATTTAAAATCGTTAATACTTTAATGAAACAAACTTTTGTTTCATTATTGTTTTCATCATTATCACCATGATCCAAAGCAATTAATTGTCTGTTTATTTTCCACACTGGCAGGAGCAAGTCACACCTGTCCTTTTAGGCGAACCACTGCCTTTCCTGAAGAATGGTAATAAAAGTCCCTGTTAAAGTCTTCATGAAACCCAACCAGGACTTTTTTTTTTTTTTCCAAGTCATAGTCTCTCTCTTTCGCCCAGGTTGGAGTACAGTGGCACAATCTTGGCTCACTGCAGCCTCTGCCTCCTGGGTTCAAGTGATTCTCAGTGCCTCAGCTTCCTGAGTAGCTGGGACTACAGGCACATGCCACCATGCCTGGCTAGTTTTTGTATTTTGGTAGACACAGGGTTTTGCCATGTTGGCCAGGCTGGTCTCTAACTCCAGGCCTCAAGTAATCCAAATGCCTCAGCCTCCCAAAGTGTTGGGATTACAGGGGTGAGCCACCGCATCTGGCCCAGAACTTTAAAAAATTGCAGTAACTTTTTAAAGAATGGAGGGGTCGGCTGGGTGCAGTGGCTCACGCCTGTAATCCCAGCACTTTGGGAGGCCAAGTCGGGTGGATTGCCTCAGCTCAGGAATTCAAGACCAGCCTGGGCAACACGGTGAAACCCCGTCTCTACTAAAATACAAAAAATTAGCTAGGTGTAGAAGTGGGCACCTGTAGTTCCAGTTACTAGGGAGGCTGAGGCAGGGAGAATCGATTGAACCCAGGAGGCCAGAAGTTGCAGTAAGCCCCAGATCATACCACTGGACTCCAGCCTGAGCTACAGAGTGAGACTATCTCAAAAAAAAAAAAAAAAAAGAAAAAGAAAAAAAAGAATAGAGGGGTAGAGGGTCACCAATATCTTGAATTTTGTAGTGCAAAAAAAGTGTTGGAAAGTTTCAATATAAACACATTAGAATAGAAAATGTTATCATATTAAATTGAATTTTGGAGGGGCAACTCTGGTAGCATGAAAGGAGGAAGAAGAAATAAATTTATATTTATTGAGCTTCTACTGTGACTCAGATTCAAAGCTTAATGCTTTTTATAGAGCATATCATTTTATTCCAGCCCCAATAACCTTGGTAGGGAAGCACTGTCTTTTTGTTTGTTTTCAGATGAAGAAATGAGGCCAGGGGAGCCACTTAATTTGCCCTAAGTCTCAAGCTTGTAGGTGGAGGTCCTGAGATGTGGTCCCGCAGATGTAACTCTGCCGTCCTGTCATTCTGAAGACAGGCCAGATTGTGTTTTATAGCTTTGTATAGGAAAAAGCACTAAACATTAGATGACCCTAACTTCAAATTCTCTGTGGTCTTGAGTAAGTCATAACCTTTGCATCCCATTCTCCTAAGATATGAAGGTGAATGTATTTGTCTCATGGGATCGTTAAGAGGCAAATGAGTTAACGTAGGTAAAAGTCCTCAGCATCTTAATTGGCATCGCACAGGTGGGACATTACAAAGGTCAGTCTAGTAGCTTAGAGTGAATGTGGCGTAGCTGAAGTGGAAAAAGTGGCCCATCTTGGTAAAATCCCCAGCCTCACTCTAATCTTCTTTGAATTCCCTCTGAATGAGGGACAGGCATGAAAGCCCAGGTTGAAAAAAGCTCCCAGTTGGTTCTGTCTGCCTGGGTACGTATTTTGGTTTTCAAAGGAATTATTTTCCTGGCTTGAGTTCTTTCAGAAATCCATTAATTTATAAATCAATAGAAATATATCCAGCACCTGCTTTGTGCTAAGTGCCCTGGGGAATATATCTGCCTGCAAGGAACTTAATGTATAGTTGCAGGGGGCAAAGCAAACAAATGCAGAACAACAGCAGTACCAAAGAGATGCTATTCATATTTAAAAAATACATAGTAAAAATTCTAAAGTACTGAAGGTAGAAAGTAAGTTCCTCTCCCACCCCTACCCTTCTTGCCCTGGTTCTCTTTCCCTCTAATCAGTTTCTTAGTGCTCTCTGAGAGATTCTTTCTATATAAAGGCATATACGTACATATAGCACCTTTCCTTTTGCCAAAATACCAAACGAGACATACTATAATACTCTCCTGTGCTTTGCTTTTTAAAATTCATAAAATATCTCAGATATTGTGCTGTATCAGTACATATTGATCTCCCTCATTCTAATGGAATTCTTTTGTATGAATATAGCACGCTTTATTTAATAGCCCCTTTATCAATGGTCTTTTAGGTTGTTTCTAGGCTTTTGCTACCTGAACAATGCTGCAATAAATTCTCCTGACAAAGAGCTATAATTAAGGGCTAAATTGTGTGGCTCAGACTGTAAGTGATTCTGATTTCACAGTATGGGTGCTAATGGCATTTTGGGTGAGACAGTTTTGGTTGTGCAGAACTGTCTTGCCCACTGCATGATTTTTAGGTTCCCTGCCAAAGTTCCAGCATGCTCTCATTGTGACAACCAAAAAAGCCAGTCCCGGTCCCCCCAGCTCCCATCTCCAAGTGTTCTCTAGGGGGATGATATTACCAAGATTGGGAATTGCTGCAAGCATAGTGAGTTAGAGTTGGAAGCCGTCTGGGGAAAAGGGCAGTCTGAGCGTGCTATGATTTCAGTGTTTGTGTCCCCTTCAAAATTCATGTTGAAACACAACCCCAGTGCAACAATATTAAGAGGTGAGGCCTTTAGGTGGTGATTAGGTCACGAGGGCTTCACCCTCAAGGATAGGATTAGCACTTCTAAAAGGACATGAGGAAATGAATTCGCCTCCTTTTGCCCCTCTGTCCCTTCCATCATGTGAGAACACAGCAACATATTGGAAGCAAAGAGCAGCCCTCACCAAACACTGAGCCTGCCAGTGCATTGATTTTGGACCTTCTAGTGTTCAGAATATGAGAAATAAATTTCTATTGTTTACAAATTACTCAGCTTATGGTATTTTGTTATAGTAGCACAAAAGCCCTAAGACAGAGCAGGACTTGAGGATTTGTACAGGCTTGGGGACACAGCCTGCTAAGGATGAGAGTTAGTCATCTTATTGGGGGATTTCCCTTGTCTTGGTGCCTACTTTTTTACTCCCAGAGAGATGACATAGTGTTTGTGAAGCCAATTGGCCTGGCAAGTAGTCCTTAGGTTTTAATGTGGGTCCTAGAAAGAGCTGGGACCTTGCTTCAGCTTCTTTGCCCAGCCTGCCATGTTGGCCCTGGGTTTGCCTTTGGTCACAGGTGTGGAGGTGCTGGCCTGGTGACTCTGTTCACTAGTAGAATGAAGAAGGCCATTAACACTGGATGGACCACTGATAGGCCTTGGGACAAATTATGCAATGCTTGAATTTTCACTCTACCGTTTCTGTGCCAGTGAATCATAAATTCCTAGAAAGTTAAAGCTGAAGGGAAATTTTTAGATCATCTAGCCCCTCTCAATTAGAAGAGAGGGAGTCAGGATAATGTGCTTTAGAAGGTAAAATGTCATAAAAGAGCCTGCAAGTAAGGGGTACTATGGACTAGGGGATAAGAGTAGAGATGACTGAGTATGATGGACTTCATGCCAAGGGAAAAATGATCTAAATCAGTGGCTTACAAACTGGATTTTATATCAGTATTGGAAAAGTAATATAAGGAAGAAATGCAGATTTCTAGGCCCCACCCCAGCCAGAACAAATTAGAATTCTAGGACTAGGATCTGGGAATCTGTATTTTTTTTTTTTTAATTGAGACGGAGTCTCGTTCTTTCGTCCAGGCTGGACTGCAGTGGCGCTATCTCGGCTCACTGCAAGCTCCGCCTCCCAGGTTCACGCAATTCTCCTGCCTCAGCCTCCTGAGTAGCTGGAACTACAGGCGCCCGCCACCGTGCCCGGCTAATTTTTTTTTTTTTTTGTATTTTTAACAGATATGCGTTTTCACCATGTTAGCCAGGATGGTCTTGATCTCCTGACCTCGTGATTTGCCCGCCTCGACCTCCCAAAGTGCTCGGGAATCTGTATTTTTACTATGATCCTCAGGTGATCTTTGTGCCTAGTAGTGGCCTGACAATGAATCTTAGGAAACTCTGATTTAAATAGACTCAATCAAATAATTTCCATATCACAAATATGAGTGTCAGAGGAGCCTGGGCTGCTCCTTTGCTGGATATCTGTACTCTGGGCAAAGGGAGAGAGCAGATAATATGCCGGGTGGTTAATTATGTTGGCATTTATTCATTCTGAAATGTTTACAAATGTAATTAGAAGCCAGATTAGGTATGATGCTCACTGACCTTTAAGGAGAGCTTGGCATCAAACAACCAAAAAAAAAAAAAAAAAAAAGAAAAAAAGAGGAAATGCCTATATCAAAGGTTAATCAGAGCAAAACACAGCATGATTAGCTGGGAATCTCTAGCTTGCAAAAAGAAGGATTTTATTTGGTATTAAGAATTAAGAATTAGGAAATGGAAGATCATTTCTTCTGAGTCATTGTTTTTCTGGGTTTGGAATGACTCTTCCCAGACCTGAGCCTTTCCCGGCTGGCCTAACAATTTTCTGCCTGACATTGTTGGGAAGATATTTTCAATGGTAAATTTAGAGCTCTTGCTCCATGTGGTTACATAATCAAACTGGATCACTGACTATTCTTACCTCATCTTCCAGAGACTGTATGGAACCCTACCTTCCTTCAGATGATGGCAAATCCTCCCGGGTCCTATAGAACGGTTCTCTCTCTTGCCTTTAGGTTCTTCTCCCCAGCTAGGGTTCACAGGGTTACTTTCCTGACAATCAGGTGAAGCTGACTATGTGACCTCAGGTAAGTCTCCCAACTCTACCTCACCTTTGCCCTTCCGATCCATTTTCTACCCTGCTCTGCACCCTGGCAGGCTGCCTGCTGTAGACTATATCATTGGGGCTTCTTTGCTAGCTGACTTCCTGCTGGCAGAGGAAGCAGGATTAACCAGCAGGAAGTCCCTGACAGGGGGTGCTAAGGTCTGGCCTAGTCTTTCCTTGCCAGGTCCCTAGGTTGTTCCCATGGCTACAACTCCCACTGCGCAGCCGCACTGCTGCGGCTGGGGGCCCTCGCTGGGCTCCCGTGGCGCTATTGCCTCCCTTTGCACCTTCCGGTCTGCGTGTTGTGATGGCTCCCTCTGATGGCAGTCGCTGGATGCTTCATCCACGTGTAGTGGTTTTCTTTCCTCTGCACACCTCTCAGTACATACTCCAGCTGGGACAATCTTTTCAGATGAACACCCTGTTTTTATCCCAGTCTGATAAATTTTTCTTGAAAAGAGGTCAAACAGGAAAGCAAACCTTCCTCTGCCTGTCTCAGTGCAATCATGAAGATCACGCAAGATAGTCCCTGTTGGAGTGTGTGTGCTTCAGCAGTGCAGAGCATTCAAAGGTAGGGTGGCATAATAGTTACTGCTCTGGTGATTATTATTAAGGTCTGAGACATCTTTATAACCTTAAAGCATTTTGGACAGCTTTCAATATTTGGTATTTGCACAGTAAATACTAGTTGATTAATTCAGGGAGCCGGAAGTAGGGAGTACTGACAAGTACATCTACCTACTTTCAAGTGTACAGACTCTGTTTCTGGAAGTTACAAGAGAGTCTGGTTTTATTTTCTTTGTTATTAATGAAAATTCCTCCCAGATTCTGGGAACAGGTTGATATACAACCCTAGTTTTCAGTTACATCAGTTTTCATTTATGTCTGGGTTCCACAAGTATTTTGTGGAGTTGGTGGAAGTTATGTTAGGGTTTACTGGCAAGATTTCAATTTAACCTGGGAAACCTTGAATACATAAGTTTTTAAATCGCTGCACATATAAGTCATAGTTTATTTAACCATTGCCTCATTGTTAGAGAATTAGATTATTTCCAGTTTTGCTCTGATAAAGCAATAGAGTGATCATCTTTGCACTCACAGTAGTCCGCACATCATTCAGCAGCGCCATCACTGCTTAGGTCAGAGGCTGGTGGACACAGCAGTAAACAAGGCAAAGCTGTGCTCTTGTGAGTTTATATTCTAGATGGAGAGACAGATAATAAACAAACACAATGAATACATGGGGTAAAGCAGGGTAGGGGTGGTAGGGAAGAGAGGCAATGGGAGTTGCTATCTCAAAAAGGGTAATCACAGAAGCCCTTCTGATATGGAAACATTTGGGTAGAGATCTGAATGACATGAGGAAGCAAGCCAAATATCTGGGGGAAAGGCATTCTTGGCAGAGGGAACAGCCTTTGCAAAGGCCTGGAGACAGGAATGTGCTTAACATGTTTGAGGAACAGCAAGGAGGTCAACGGAACTGGAGTGGAATGAGTAAGGGGGATAGCAGTAAGAAGTGAATTAGAGGGACAAGTGGGGGCAAAATCTTCAAGGATCTTATAGGCCAATATAAAGACTCTGACTGGTCCTTATAGTGATAGAAGACCTTGGTGGGTTTGAAGTAGGAGAGTGACATGAGGAGACTTTCATTTTAAAAGGCTCTCTTTGGCTGCTATATGAAAATGTTCTGGTGCGGGCTAGGGTAGAGTGAGGGTGGCCAGGTGGGAGGCTTTGGGGATAATTCAGGGAGAGATGAGGGTAGCTTGGACCAGAGTTGTCAAAATGAATGTCATGAGAAATGATTGGATTCTGGGTATATTTCAAAGGCAGAGGTGGCTGATTTTAATTATGGATTGGATGCAGGATATGAATGATGAGAGTTGAGGATGACTTGGGTTTTGCCCTGCATAATGCCTGTTGAGGGATAAATAAACAAATGTTTAGTCAGGGCAGTGGTTCTTAAGTTGAGGCGACTTTGCTGTCTAGGGGACATTTGGCAATGTATAGAGATAGTTATGTTTTTTACCCTGGGGTGGGAGATGTGAGCTACAGACTTCTAGTGGGCAGAGGCCACAGACGCTGCTAAACCTCCTACAGTGCACAGCACAGTTCCCTTAACAAAGAATGATCCAGCCCCAAGTGTTGATAATGCTGAGGATGAGAAACCTAGAGTTAGGGAGATCACTACATTTTTTTTTTCTCAGACTCCTTCTTCTCTTGGCTTTGTTCTCTTCTCCACCCCACATGGGTTTCTTTGTTGCTTCTTGTACACTTTAAGAAATGGCTGGCCCAGCTCTTCCCTCTACCCTCCACCAAACGTGACCTTTAAGCTCCCACATCCAAATTCAACTCACTATATATAGTCTCTTTGTTCCAATTCCACATTTTCGGGAGAGAGACATTGATTATCCCAGGTGCTCCTTCCGCTTCAATCCAGTGTGTCAGAGGGCGGGTTCCATGGGCTCTTGTCTGCTTAAAAAAGACTGCAGGAAAGATAGTCTGGGAAGGAATGCGGGTCACATGAGAAAATTAACTGGAGCGTCTGTTGTATGAACTTGGAGAATTCAACCTACAGATTTGACTCCTGGGGGTTCTGCTTAGCCCACAGAATTGTTCAGGTGTCTGTTCATTCATCCTAGTCCTTTTAAATTATAGGAAAAGGAAACCGTATGTGAGGAAAGATGGCTAAAGATCTCCTGGGCAGTATTCAGAATCTGAGTTCCTACTGAGCTGGACATAAGGAGAAAGCTGCTTGCTGTGTTTTTCCTTTCCACTTCTAATTGAATTTGAATCCAGCATATCTTTGGAGGAAGTCATTTAAAGCAACAAACGCTCATAACTAGTGACTGGCATGAAAAATAATAGTGGGACAAGAGAGCGAGCATGGAATGCAATGTGCATGTATTGTGACATATGGCTCTCCTTTTGCGTTTCCACTGACTGTATTATCCAGGCAGGAAGTTGCTTTCAGAGAGAAAGCGGAATTCTGCAGATGGTAGCATAGTGGAATCATTGTCAGAAAGAGGAGAGATTATATCAGACTTATACTGAATCAAATGTTCATTTAAGAATTAGCCTGAGATCATTTTTCCATGCAGTAATGAGCATTTTAGTATTTCCAGCCTGCTGTTCCACATGACTAGTGCACAAAGGGATGTCTCCGAGGACCTCCAAATAGGGCTAATGCAAATTGTCATAGGAACAGACTGATGATGGTAAGGAGAGAGGTAGCCTGCTCAGGCACGGGGAAATGCCGGTGTGCTCCTGGCATGGGCAAAGCAGGAGACCTGGTGACCAGAATATCTCCTTTACTCTTTCTGTCTATTGAAAGTACCTGCGTTTCTCAGACCATTGAGGTGAAGTTTTCAAAGTACCTGCAGACAAGCAGTTATCAACTAATAATTAAGGCATAAGAGGCTACTTGCATTTTTAAAAAACAGGTTTATTGAGATGTAATTCACATACAATTCACCCATTTAAAGTGTATAGTTCAATGGTTTTTAGAGTATTCACAGAGTTGTGCATCTATCATCATAATCGATTTTAGAACAGTTTCATTACTCTCAAAAGAAAACCCATACCCATTTCTCCCAAAATGCCAGCCCTAGGCAACTACTAATTTACTTTCTGTTTCTATGCATCTGCCTATTCTAGAAATTTCATATAAATGGAATCATGCAATCTATGGTCTTTTGTTTCTGGCTTCTTTTAGTGTAATGTTTTCAAGGTTTACCTATGTCATAGCATGTATCAATACTTCATTTTTTTAATGGCTGAATAATATTCATTATATGGATATATCACATTTTGTTTATCCATTCATCAGCTGACAGACATTGGGATTGTTTTCATTTCTTGGCTATTATGAATAATGCTGCTATAAATGTTTGTGTACAGGCCATTCATATTTTAGCATTAATTAGTCAACTCAAAAGTCAACTGCTCTAGGAAGTCTGCCATGATCTGCCCTCCTCCTTCTTTCCCCTTTGTCCCTGTTCCATTTAATTACTCTCCCTTCTCTCAGTATCTTGTATGTCTGTTATTAATACTTACTCTCTAGGGTCATGGTTTATTTATTGTCTCACCTGTCACCTCTGTGAAAGCAAGAGTTATGTCTTATTTTATCCCTAGCTCCTATTAATATTAAGTTTACAACTAGTTCTATTTCTCAACAAATTGCTGAATTTACATATATGGCCTTTGACAATGAGTATTTATATTTCACTCTTTAAGGAATTTCAGGCTCTCAGTTCAGCCTGAAAATTCCACATATTTTTCTTTAGTTTCCCACTTATCTGTCACTCCCTTGGTCCTTTTTGGTATGGCTGGGATCCCAAGGTGGCTGGAATCTGTCTGTCCTGGTCATTCATGGTGAACCAGAGGGAGGCACCAAGGGGCTTCAGAAAAGTCAGATTTAAAAAAACTTTACTTTGAAAATGTTAATCTTTTTGCATCTTACCTTTTATTTTTCCTTTTTGAGCTTTAAAGGGAGGGAAACACCCATTGGGGTGCTCCATGGGGGTGTTGATTCAGGGGAGCATTGGGGTAGGTGGAGGAGAATCCTCATAAACGTGTGGGGCTACAGGCCGAGGAGAGGCTTCTTGGACTTGGCAAAAGACGACATTACTGTTAACGACACAGTTGGGGCTTCTCTTGAGCATCTGCTCAGCTGGAGCTACCATCTTTTGCATATTTTACAGGGAATTCTCAGAGCTTCCTTTTGGTCTCCAGGCCTCTGTGTGGTTGACATAGCTTTTGAAGCTGCTGCAGCCCTTCACAGCCAAAGGACAAATGTCATGTCATCAGGCTGGCTCCTGAGCTGCCATGGCTGGGGCTGCCATTCCTTGCTCTTAGGTTGGCTATGTCCCTCAATACTCTTGTTGCCACCATTGCTTACCATCTCAGAGCAACCTTCTGTTTTGAGATTGCTAATTTGCTGGCTTGTAGCCTCACTAGAATCTCTGGTTTTAGAAAATCAAGACCTTGTTTCAGTTCTGTATTCACAGTGCCAAGCACAGTGCTTGGGACTTTGTAGGTTCTCAGAGACTGTTTTTGAGTGGGTCACTTCTTGGCATTCTTTAGGGTCTGGTGGGGAGGTAGATCCAAGAGAGAGGGGTTCTCCAGGTGTGGGAAACAAGCACCTATGAGCATAGAATGAGACTGGAGACATTGGCACATTTTTGCTTAGAGAAAGCCAATCTTGGAATTTAAACTTTTGTTCTGGCAAGCTTGTCTAAATGACCTTTTATTTCCTGTAGACGGATGGTATCTCTCTATCTACTCATGGGGTGCTAGACCTTTGCATAGGGCTTCTGGAATGGTTTCCAGCTCTGAACTTTTAGAAAAGGCACGTGACTCCAGAATTATCTGCCTTTCTTGATCTGGAATTGCCTCAGCTTGCTGAAGACATCTTAAAGGACCTGTTTGTTTCCACCCTAAAAATAAATTCCTGGGCATGTGTATGTAGCATTTGGTACATTTTCCAAGAGCTTTTAGAGAATTTTTTCATGGGACCCACACAGCCCCATGAGGCTGGGGCCATGACTTATCCTTCTATCATTTGGAATGCTGACATGAGGCTGCCTACCTGGAAGACCTCTGGTTTCAGGGAGAATGTGGCAAGGATTTGCTTTTACTGTTTTTACAAAAAAGGCAATGAGGATGAAAGAGGTAATGGCTATTTAGAGGCAAATACAGGTTTTCTTTGTCTCTTTCACCATACATTTCTAATCATCTTTTGATAATTAATTTGTGTTGATGGCACATGACTGCTTTAGATAGTTGGTATATTTTGTTAATAAATTCATTTCTATCTTTCCTCTGGGCTCACTGTTTGGGTTTCCCTTGCCTTTCCATTCTTTTGCCTGTGTTTTGAGAATGAGCAGCCACGTCATCAAATCAGTGGGGTATCCCCACAAAACAAAACAAAGCACCCAAAATAACAAGGGCGATGTGTATCTGCAGGTTTGGAGAGAATCCAACCATAGTGGTGCTCACATACCAAATAAAATGAAATTCCAAGGCGCAGAAGCCCCATCCTTGTATTGTATAGCAGCACCGAGGGACATTTTCAGCACATAGGACACAAGGGATGACTAACATGGATTTCACTCTCTCCTTCAAGTACTTACAAGTGATATTCACTCTGCAGTTAATCAAGTGCTACTTGACAGATTGTGCCATCTTTTCTGATGTATGCTTATTTTCATTGTCTCCAAAGACTGTGAGCTCTGAGAGGTCATGTCTTCCACATCTATGCAGTTCTCACAGTGCCTCCCACACACTGAAACCCAATGAAGAACTGATTTTGGACATTTGGATCAACTGGATATTTTCATTGGAATATCCCATCTTTAGTTCAAATTCAGTATGAGTTACCTTACTCCCCTCTTTGTTCAAAAACAGTTTAAGTGAGCTTACATGTCATGTAACAAGATAACACAAATTAGAGATGGGTGGGGAAAAATAAGAAAAACAAGAATAGGGCCATAGAGTGGATTCCCCAGAGGTACACATGCTGCAGGAGGACCACAGATTTGGCTTTACAGGACTAACTAAGATTAGTTACACAGTTCATTGTCTGTATAATAAAAGCCATCCAGCTTCTCAGAAGTAGAACAATCACTGGACCTCAAGAGCCTAAAGAAGTTTCTTGAAGGATGTCCATAAGATTCACAGCTCTCCTCTGGCCTGGGCTATCCAAGAGGTAGATTTTAGAGTATAGAGAGGAATGAATGGACTACACAGCTTCCAACCAATCCTTCCTGATTTTTATTTCTCCCATATGAGCTTTTGCTCAAATGCAGTTTATTTTTAAGAGAACATACCCTTCTTTATCTCGCCCTAACTATTCCTTCTGCTTCCCTTTTTCTGAAAGAAAACAATAACCACACAGCCACATAAGTCTGTATGACCATGGTTGTATAGGACTTCTTTGCTCATTTGTTTCCATATCCAATCAGTCATCAAAATCTGTTCCTTTCTTCCTTTCTCTTCTTCTCCCACTGTCCCTTCCTCCTCCTCTCCTACCCTCCCTTCCTCCTCCTCTCTTTCCTTCCTTTCTTTTTCCTTCTGTCTTTCTCTTCCTTCCTCCTTCCCTTCTCCCATCACTTCCTTCTTTCCTTCATGACTTACTGTATACCAGGAGCTGGGCTAAACAGAAAGGCATGATTTTATGTAACAGTCAGCAAGGAGACTGTCCAATCAGAAATTATATCAGCTTTAGCACAGGAGCAAGGTCCTCAAAGCCTTCGCTTGCGCTAGGCGTAAACTCTTCAGTTCCTGGATTTGGAAGAGGCATTGTTTCAGGGAGTTCCAGGAGGGCTAAGGTGGTGGGGCATGCACGGGGTTGGGTGGGTCATGGTTTCAGGAAAGGGGTGCTTTCAATATTCACAAGTAATGAAGTGTTTCAGTATTTTAACAGCTGGTAGAGCTGCATTGGCAGATGTTGGCTGCATATCAGTCCTGAGTAAATGGAGTCACAAAGATAACTCAGCTGTGGTTCCTACCCTGGAGGATACTGTAGTTCACCATCTTCAGAATGTGTTTAAAACCATCCTTTCCTCTCCCTGTTTGTTGCTACGATTGTATTTTAGACACTCACTATCTCAGGCTTCACTGATTATAATTATTTCTTAATGGGTCTGCTGGATTTTAATTTTTTTCTTCTCTTATTTTCCCTCTTTCCAATGTTTCATGTATGTACTGTCAGAGAAAATTCCCCCAAATATTGCATTGACCATGCTATATTACTTCTAATCCAAAACCATCAATGGCCTTTCTCTCTTCTTCAGATTGATATTTGAACTCTTTACCTGGGCATCTGAGTCCCTCAATTTTGTACCTGCACCGTTTCATCAAGTGATATGGTGTCACCGAAGAAGGATAAGCCGTGGTCCCCCCTGTTCTTAAGTACTTACAATGGGTGATGTGGTATGGAAGAGATGTTTGTAATGATTGTTATACAGTAAAAGCAAATGGGGGAAACAAATAGGTGATGGTGGTGTGTGGGGTGATGCAGGCTGATGGTGCTGGCAGGGACAGTGAGGAAATAGTCTCTTTGAGTATGATTTCTCTTGACAAGCTGACAACAATCAATTCCTAGTCCAAAGGCTCTGATTTCTAGGTGGTTGAGCCTGGGATGGATAAAGGAGGTTTGTCAACCTCAAAATGAAATTTGTTATTCTTTCTGGGGTGCAAACCGAGGATATGAAAGCTTTTCAAAGTGTACAAACTCTGAGTAAATTCCAAGCCGGGTTAGTGCAAATGACTTTGAAACTCATCATATTCTACCAGCTCCCTCAGAAAGTGAACTGTCAGCTATGAATTGTTGTATGGCATCCTGAGCTGGACTGGATTCACAGGATGAGTCTGCGGGAGAAGTGTTTGGAGTTCTTTCTCTGAGCTGCTCTTTAGGAGAAAGCTTGGCTCAGTAAAACCTAAGCTTAGACCAAGAGAGATTGTTCCTACCTCCCATGTACTGAGACCCGCTTTACATGGCTACTACAAGTTAGGCATTTTGCTCATATTTTCATACATGCTCTCATTTAATCTTCACTATTATCTTGTAAGGTAGATGTTATATTGAAACCCAAAGACTAATTTATCTGAGATCTCCCCTTGTCTAAATCCTAGAGTCAGGATTGTAGGATTACCAGAATCTGTGCTCTTTCCACTCTCATTGTCTTTCTAGAGCTAATGCTTTTTAGAAGTGTTGGAAAGGCAGGGATTATACTTTTACATGCACATTGGGAATGAGACTTTAAAGCCTCTAAATCCCACTGCTATTCCCCCTTATTGATAAGGGCAGATAAATGTCCATCTACCCTGGGAAATAAGGATACCCTCCTTCTTAGGCAGAAGTTCCCTTATTTCATGGTTGAGTGACCTCAGCAAGACCATCTCAGTCCTTCAGTCATATGCCTCTATATTCACTTCAGTGCCTTTTTTGGTTTTTGGCAGTAAAGTTCCTTTCAGACAGAGCATTATGCTCTTACTTGCCAATATCCCCACCATTATCTCTGGCTTGCTTTAATCATTTATGCTGCTGCTGTTTGGAATTTGATTTGAGTTGTTGTGAGGTTTAAATAGGATCATCCATGTAAAGTGCTTAGTACAGTCACTGGCACATTGTAAGAGCTAATAAATGGCAGCTACCACAGTGGTTTTCACTGAGCAGAGAGTACCTCATAATCACAAGGTAAGCCCTCACTCTGGACTACTTCTTCAGATGAGCGTGGTTAGTTGACAAGACTTGGAGGAGATGAGGCACAGGTCAGATAAGGTTTTAAACAGGCATGGTAGTCAGGAAGGGCCTTACAAGTGTGATGATCTGCCCCAGAGGATTTCCTGAGCATTCAGATGGACTCATTAAGACACAGTTTAGCATATTTTGGCCCACATCCCAAATGTGGCCTACTGCCTATTTCTCCATAACCTGTGAGTTAATAATTTTTTTTACAGTTTTAAATGGTTGAAAAAATTCTAAAAAAGAATAATATTTGTGACACATGAAAATTGTATGAAATTCAAATTTCACATTCCAAAAGTAAAGTTTTATTGGTACACAGCCATGCCTATTTGTTTATGTATTGTCAACGGCTGCCTTCACTCTGAGTGAAGTGAAGAGTGGTGTAGTAGTGACAAGAGACTATATGGCCTGCAAAGTTGAACATATTTACTCTCTGGCCCTTTATAGAAAGGTTTACTCCAGTGTAAGGTAGAGTGATTTAAGAAAGGGAGATAAGTGAACACTTAAACATATATAACTCAGTTTACAAAGCTTCCAAGGAGAGGCCCTGCTCACTTGGGCCATGAAATTAGATTCTGTCTAGTTTCAGTTCAGTTCAGTAAATAATTACTCAATGCTTCCTATATGACAGAAATATTCTCTGCCCATAGAAACCTCACAATATTATAAATTCATAGACTTGTAGGAAGGAATGCAGAACCACTGAGGTTTAAGTTTAAATCCTGGCTCCATCGTTTACGAGTTGTATGTGCTGCTGGATTTCTTCTGTTTGCCTCTCTAGATCTACCTTCTGTCTTCGATACCCTGTTCTGGGACTGCGGAGGCTGACTCATGGATTTCACTGATGAGCTGTCTTGCTACTCAGGTTCCAGGTGGATTTGGCTGATGGAAGGAGGAGAGGGAATCAAGATAGTTTTTTTTCCAGTTCTCTCCTTACCTATTCGTTGTGGTTGGCTGCATGCCTCTACTAAATGCCACAGCTCCTGATGGAAGGCCTTTCCCATACAGCTACTCTCTCTTCTGGGTACTGGTAACTACTCCCTCCTCTTTCCCTTGGGTTTAGAGTTGTAATAGGCTCTGATAACAATAGTTTTAGGCTGTTACAATAGCTCTTGTTGGTTTTCAAACATCATTCCAGCATTTATAAACAGTTTGAATGAGCTTCGGTTTCCTCATCTGTAAAATTAGGATACCATGTGAGTCGTGATCACAGCACATATAAGCTCCTAGCACAGTGTCTGGGCATGCAATAAGGGCTCAGTAAGTGCTATTTACTTTCTGCTTTTCTTGAGAGCTTATAATTTCTTAAGAGGAACAAGTCGAATGGCTGCAGAAAAGTTTAAACCAAATTAAGGCAGTGATTTAGGGATTATTAGGAAAGGACACATTTGGGAAATAATTTGTAGGTGTTGTAAGCAATGCTTGCAGAGTCTGGGTATATGGGATAAGAGAGAGGGAGGAATCAGGGACAAATTTGATTTTTCTGCGTGTGTTATTGTGTGGACAGTAGGGAGAGAAAATGCAGGGGAATTTTCATATTAGAGAAGAAGATGAGTTTCATCAGAACAAGTAGAATTTGAAATGCCTGTGAGATGACCAGGTGACAGTGTTAGGCAGGTGGTTGGCTGGGTGGCACTGGAGAAGGGTCTGGGTAGGCAAGGAACATTTGAGAATCATCATTATACTAAGAAATAGATAAGAAAGTAGAAGAGGCTGCTGTGTGTCATAGGTTTGGTGGGATGACAGATGCCCTAATGGTAAAAGGACTAGACTGGAAGTCAAGTGATTTTACTTCTTTTTTTTTATTTTAATTTTTAATTTTATTTTTTTATAGCGACACGATCTCATTCTCTCACCCAGGCTGGAGTGCAGTGGTACCATCAGAGCTCACTGCAGCCTCAAACTCATTGGCTCAAGTGATCCTCCCGCCACTCCCAAGTAGCTGGGACTACAGGTGCATGCCACTGCACCCAGCTAATTTTAGTATTTTTTTTGTAGGGATGGACTCTCATTATGTTGCCCAGGCTGGTCTTGAACTCCTGGCTTCAAGCCATCCTCCCGCATCAACTTCCCAATGTGCCTAAGATTATAGGCGTGAGCCATTGTGCCCAGCTGGTTTTATTTCTTGATCTGGTTTGCCAGTCACTGGCTGTTTAACCTTGGAGATTACTTAGTTGCACTGACAATCTGTTTTCTCCAGCAAATGTAAAATGAGAAGGCTGGACTATGTAATATCTATTATGCTATAGAACTTGCAATCTAATTGGGAGGCAAATCATGGAATAACTAGAGATTACTGATAGTATTATCAAGTTCTTTCTGAAGGAAAGCCCCCAGAGACCCATGATCTTCCTAATCAATGGCTCTTGTTTAGTGAGAAGGCAGCACACAAAAACTAAGACTCAGTTTCATGGAATAATGATAACAACAACAACAACAATGGCAATATTTATTGTGAGTGCTTATTGTGTACCAGGCACTCTTCATGGGTTTTACATCTATTAATATTTAATCTTTGCAATAACCTTATGAAGTAGAGACTATTAGGAACCTCCATTTTACAAAAAATGAGAGCATAAAAAGGTCAAATATCCCACTCAAAGTCATAAAGGACGTAAGGATTGAAACTCAAGCTGCTTGGTTCCTGAGCCCAAGTATTTAATCACAGACTGTCTGCTCACAGGGAAAACTGTGAGCTCTGGGGAAATAAGAGGCAGAGGCATACACATTGGAACTAGTAATGTTTTTAGATTTACCATGATTTTAAGAGAGGCATGGTCAGGAAGCAAACTCAGTTATGATTATACTTACCAGTTGTAGGAATCTTAGTTGCTGGCTAATATTTTCACTATACTTGCAGGTAGTATAACAGATATCCCTTTAATTGGTACATTTTGGTAACAACTAAAAAAATTACATATTAACGCATATATAATATGTACTAACATATATTAATATATGCAGATTCAACCTTTTGCGCACCTTCATCCCTCCTCCTCCTCCTACCCCAAGAATCACTTTTTCTGAATTGTGCTTGGCTATGTTACCATCATCTACAATGAAGGTAGGCGAAAGACAGATGACTCTTATCCTTGTGAGTCTTGTAAGGGTATTACTGAGGTCATTGCTTGTTTACTTTCTATAAAGTCTCTCTTATAAGGACTCTACAGGTGAAATTCCCTTGTGGTCTTGTTAATATTAATTGTACTTCTTACACCAACCATTTTAGATATTTTTATTAGAGACCCGTTAGTGAAATAAATGACCAAGTTGTTCCTTTCACAGTGGGCTCTTGAAAACATAAGAGGCAAATCTGTGGCCTATGGTAGTGTCTGTGCTTATGCAGTTTTAGCTTTACTTCTGGTCCCAGTTTGTGATCCTTTGTTTGCTTTTCTTTCCTTTTCCACCTGCTTTTCTTTTGTAGCATCTTGTTGTAGTTTATGGAACCAGGCAGAATTTAAATCAATATCTGTGTGCATGTAACCCCACCCGCATATTCACGAAATGCATATCCACGGTGCATTTTGGACTCTCTCTCCAGAAGGCTGGCTTGCCAACACAGGGACTATTAAGGTTCTATAACAACTCAACATACTTGCTGATAACAAGGAGGTCATCAAAAAGAAACTGATTATTAGGAGGATTATCACAACCATCAATTTACAATTCCTTTGGTGAGTGTTGGTTGCACTTAATGACTCACTGAAGATCAAGTCACACTCCCTTTCAGCAGTAATGTGAGCCTAATAAGCATTAGTGTGATGAGGGCAATGAGTAAACAATCATCTTTGTGATGATTACAATTTGGTCTAGGCAGGAGGGAAAATATTCCTGACTGGGCTTGCTTGACTGTGACAGGAAATGGAGAGGCAGAAGCTGGTAGAGGAAAGGAGAGGGCTGGAGGGGTTAAAAAATGTCAAGGAAATGAGCTTAAGAGACTTGGAGTTGGGGTAGGGCAGAGAGTGTGTGTGGAGGATTAAAGGAAGTCACAGGGAGCTTGATTCAGAGTGGGAGTGAGAGAAGCAGCACACTGGTGTATGTAAGAGCATGGCTCAGATTACTGGCTCCATTGCTTACTGTGTGACCTTGGGCAAGTCACTTGACCTCTGTGTCTCAATTTCCTCAATTGGAAAAGCAGAATAAAGAAGCACCTACCCCATAGAGTTGGTGAGGAATTAAATGGGGATAATTCATGTAAAGTGCTCTGATCAGTGCTTGGTGCATTTATGGGTATTCAATAATTGGTAGTACTTATGCTGCTGCTGTTACACTGTAGAATAGAGAATGCAAAGGTTCTTATCTCAGGCTTCTGAGGTTCTAGGAGCCATCTTATGGAAATGTAATTCTGGGAGCCATCTTATGTTATTTAAGCAACATACAGACTTATAACTTGTATTATGTATTATATGCCACATATTTTGTCAGTCATTTCATTTATACTGTGTTCTTACAATCTCATCTCCCCGTGTATTTCTGCACATCAACATATAAGCCTGGACACATAGTAGATGCTTAGTAAGGACTCATTGAGTTGAATTGAGGGGTGTACTTAATAAATAATATTTTGGAATAATGTAGACATTTGTGAGCTGGAAATTGCAAATGAAAATATTATCATGAAAATACCACTAATAATATTAAGCATAAGATTATATAGGGTTTTTGCCTTTTCTCAACTTTTCCATAAACACATTAGTCCTCATAAGCCCAGTGAGGTGGACAACATGCTACCATCAGCCCCATTTTACAGATGAGGAAATGTGTGTGTCAGTGAGGTTCAATCTTGAGCTTAGATGCCGCAGCCAATAGGCGATGGAGCTGGAGTCAGAATTCAGGTCTTTGGACACCTCCATCAAATAAATGGTTATTCATACTGTTTGGAGTCAGGAAACCTGGGATCTGTCATTAACTACTTAGGAATCTGTGTGGAGTTTCTCTTCTTAACCTGTAATGTGAAGGAGTTTACAAACTCAAATTTTTACAGGGTCAGGTACGTGCGAACTGCAGGTGGATGCAGAGATAGAGGAGTGGGGACAACTGTGAGTAACTGCAGATCGCTGCCCTACCTGAAGGGGGCAGCTGCTGGTCAGCTCAGAGGTGCCTGGTGTGCAGGAAATGAAGGCCCCCACATGGACAACACTAACAAGTTTTTCAAGAAAAGCCCTAAATTTGGCTTTTTATATGAATTTCTCAATTTTAAGTATTGATAACTAATTCAAATGAAAAGCAAACATACACATTACAAGGGCCAAATTAAAAAATATGTGGGCCAAATCAGGCCCAAATTACCAGATTGCACCCTCTATATGAGATTATTTTCAAGGGCCCTTTCAGCTCTAAGAGGCAATGAAAAAGACCCAGTAGCTTCCTGCTGAAAGGCAAGAAATTATTTATCTCCACTCATGGTCAAAACTCATCATCTCTTTTTCCATCAGAGAATATTCCTTGGTACCAGGGGGTGATGCCACCCCAAGCCTCCCAAGTTCTCACTTGTGCAGAGGAGCTGGAATTACCATGCTACACTGCAGTGAGTGACAGATGTAGATGCAGGGGGAGAGAAAAGCAGACCTTGGTTTAATTATGTAAATCTATGGCTACGCTTTAATAAAGCAGTGCAATAAAACTGTCTTAACTGCCAAGTTTGGGAAATAGGATGAGCGAGGTTTTCATTCCCGGTACTATATTTGGGAAGAAAAAAAATAAGAAGAAAAATGCAGAAGCGCTGATTCATCTCTGAAACCCTTCAGAAGCATGTCAGAGATTCCTGTGCTTCTTGCCCCTGCCAAACGACATTTGCAGTGACAACTGGTGCCGAAACCCTAGCAGCCCACACAGAACTCCTTGGGAAAGGAGAAAGCTGAAGTTTCAAGGTTGATGTTTTCTAATGAGATCTCAGACAGTTGAGCTTTCTAGTATTACCTGCCAACTCTTCCTCAAACTAGTCAGCCTTCTCTTTGCCTTACAACCCTGCTTCTGCTGCTTTTTGCTAGAATGTGACAAAAGGTGACCTGGGCTTGCCATTTTTTTTTGAAGGAAAATTTGTATTATTTTAATTATTTTTATGTACAGAAAACTCAACAGTGTACATTTAACCCAGTTTAGTGGCAAGTTCTTTAGCCTTTGCCTTTTCGAGCTTGGCGATACGAGCCACGGACTTAGGACCCAGGACGTTGCTGCCCCAGTGACAGCGGATCTCATCGTATCTGTATCTGTCGTTGTAATTGGTCCTGATAGCTTCCACCAGCTTAGCCAAAGTGTCTTTGTCTTCCGAGTTCACCTGTGTGAAGCCGACAGTGGTGCAGGTCTTCCTGTGGACTAGACGTCCCAGTCTTGCCTTCCCCTTGATAATGCAGTAAGGGACCCCCATTTTACGACACAGGGCAGGCAAGAAGACAACCAGCTCGATGGGATCCACATCGTGTGCAATCACCACCAGCTGAGCTTTCTTGTTCTCCACCAAGGTGGCGATGGTGTTAACTCCTGCTCGAAGGACAGGTGGTCTCTTGGTGGGGGCGTCCCCTTTGCCAGCAGCTTTCTTCTCGGCCTGGGCCAACAGCCTTCTTCTCTTGCTTTGTCTCTGGTCTGTACTTGTGGGCCAGCTTAAGCAGCTGAGTAGCTGTTTGGCGGTCCAGGGCCTGGGTGAACTGGTTAATCGCAGGAGGCACTTTCAGCCCCTTATAGAGGATGGCTCTCTGCCGCTGCAACCTGATATAGCAGGGCCATTTCACAAAGCGGGTGAAGTGTCTTTTGGGCTGGATGTCCTGTCCAATGCCAAAATTCTTAGGCCGTTTCTCAAACAGGGGATTCACCACTTTCTTAGCCTCCTGCTTCTTCATGACAGCAGGGGCCGGAACCACCTTCTTTCCCTTGGCCTTCTTTCCTTTCGGCATCTTGGGCGGCGGGAGGAGAGTGGGCTTGCCATTTTTGAAAGCTGGTGATAGCGGGCTTGTGAATGTGGTGGCAGGTATTTCTTTCCCCATCAGGTGGTGGGGGCTGGAGTGCTGTTCTCCGTGTTTTAACTATCCAAATACGTGCTTGTTTGTTTTGATTTCAGTATTTTTAAAAAAACTCCATTTTCATATTATAGGACTAGGATTTTCATGGCCAGGACTCTATTGGTCATGAGCAGCAGATGCCCACCCTAAAGAGCTAAGCCACAAGTGCCCATAGGAGTGGAATTCCCAGAGCAGATGCTTTGTACTTTATGGACATCCAGTTCTATTACCAGGTTAGAGCTTTTGCCAATAAAGAAAACTGAAAGGGCAACCACTCTCTCATTTCTTCAACAAATAAACAAACAACTTGCATGGAAAAAGAGACAGGGAGCATGAGAGAGAGAGAGAGAGAGAGAGAAACTGTAAATTAAAACAGTGTTCTGGGCCACATGAATCAATGAAAGGTTTAGGAACCTTATTTGCATTCTAAATTAAACAAACTATTAAGAATTTACATGTCAGTTAGGGAACAATGAGGGAATATTAAGGAATTATTATTATTATTATTATTTTAGATAGAGTCTTGCTCTGTCACCCAGGCTGGAGTACAGTGGCGTGATCATGGCTCACTGCAGCCTTGATCTCCTGGGCCCAAACAATCCTTTTTCTTTAGCCTTCCAAGTAGTTGGGACTATAGGCATGTGCCACCACACCTGGCAGATTTTTAGTTGTTTTTTTTTATAGATACATGGTCTCCCTACGTTGCCCAGGCTGGTCTCCAGTTCCTGGGCTCATGGGATCCTCCTGACTTGGCCTCCCAAAGTGCTGGAATTACAGGCGTGAGCCACCGTGCCCAGCCTAAAGTTTTTACAGGTGATAATAATATTGTGGTTCTGTTTTTAAAAAGTCTTTATCTTTTAGAGATACGTGCTAAAATATTTATGGATAAAGTAATGTAATGTCTGGAATTAAAGTAATCTGTGGATGGAAGAGTGCAGTGGTGAGGTAGAGCCAGGTTGTACTTGTTGGAAATAATTGATTGTCAGAATTTCAGGAATTTTGTGAGCTGGTGGTAAAGAGTCATTATTAAAAATTAAATTCTATGAACTTACACTTAAAAAAATTTTAAGAAGCTAATAAATACTCAAAACTTACTGCTTGCTAGTTATTTTACTACAATTACTATGATCTGTGCTCCTGAAATTATTGCATTGATTATATCTATGTGGTGAAAATACTATATAACTGTGCTTCTGCACATCTCTTTCCAATCCTCCGTTGGCAACATCATGCTGGTAACTTGAAGTCAGCCACAGAAATCTACAAATCAGGGATTTCTCCAGGGAGAGCTGATGGTTTTGCATTTACCACCGCACTGCTGGAGGAGTAGGAGGGGTTCGAATAAAACAAAATAGCTTATGAGTTGATAATTGTCTTGAAGCAGAGTGAAAGGAACATGGGGGCTCATTACGTTATTCTCTCTACTTTTACATATGTTAAACTTGTCTATACTGAAAAGTTTAAAGAAATGTGCTGGTTCAGGCATTCTCTTGGATAGATAAGTGTTGCAGTATTAAGGATTCAGACAGGTAAGGAAGACCCTGTGGTGCAAAGGAAAAAGCAATGATCCTAAGGGCAGGGGATGTGGATTCCTTGACTAGCTTTGCTCCTGATGAGCTGTGGGACTTGAGGAAGTCAGTTAGGATCTCTGTGTCCCATAATTCCTGATACACAGTTTGCCCTTAATAATAGTTTGTGGCATTCATGACAATCAGGTAAGTGCAAGGATGAGTTAAAAGTACAGGTGAGATTGTGGAGACATAATAAAGGGTTGCCAAACAAGAGAATTATTCTTCACAACTTATTTCCCATTTATTCTAGATGAAAACTCTGAGTCATTAAATATCTCCCTGAAACTTTTTCTTTAGAGTAATTTTATCTTCTTGGCTCATGGTGATGGATCTTGCTGGGGAGAGAATTACTTCAGATTAGGGAAATACCTGGAGCATAGAAGTTAAAAGTACAGGCTGCCAAAAAGTGGAAATAATCCAAATGTCCATCTCCTGATGAATGGATACACACAATATGGTATATCCATATAATGGAATACTATTTGGCCGTGAAAGGGAATGAAGTACTGATGCATGCTGCAGCATGGATGAACCTTGAAAACCTCCTGCTAAAGGAAATAAGCCAGTCCCAAAAGGCCATATTATATGATTTCGTTTATATGAAATGTTCAGAATAGGCTAATCTATAGAGACAGAAAGTAGATTAGCAGTTCCCGGGCCCTAAGGAATGGGGAATTGGGAGATGACAGCTAAGGGATAAGGTCTTTCTTTCTGGGGTGATGAAAATATCCTAAAATTGATTGTGGTGATGGTTACAAAACTCTATGAATATACTAAGACCAAGGCCAGGCATGGTGGCTCACGCTTGTAATCCCAGCACTTTGGGAGGCCAAGGTGGGCGGATCACCTGAGGTCAGGAGTTTGAGACCAGCCTGGCCAACATGGTGAAACCCCATCTCTATTAAAAATACAAAAAAATTAGCCGGGCATGGTGGCGCAAGCCTTTAATCCCAGCTACTTGGGAGACTGAGGCCTGAGAATCGCTTAAACCCAGGAGGCGGAGGTTGCAGTGAGCCAAGATCGTGCCACTGCACTGCAGCCTGGGGGACAGAGTGAGACTCTGTCTGAAAAAACAAAACAAAATATGTATTTATATATACATACACTAAGACCATAGAATTGTATATTTAAAATGGGTGAATTATATGGTATGTGAATTATATCTCAATAAAGTTGTCAAAAAAGGTGTAAGCTGCCTGGGTTCAAATCCTTGTTTAATTTGCTTATCAGCTGGGGGACACATGACAAGTTTCCTTAACATTCCTCTGCTTATTTTCTCATCTATAAAATGGGGATAAAGGTGATGCTTACCTCATTGGATTTTTATGAAGATTAAATTTAATCCTTATGTAGAAAACATAAAAATGCTTATAGTGTGGCCTATACATGGAAAGAGGGCAAGTAATGTTAGCTACTATCATATTCTTGTTACAGGGGAAGAATTGTGGAAAAGAGGGGGAAAGAGTCTGCTGATGGTTTTTTGTTTTTTTTTTTTTTTGAGACCGAACCTCTGTCTTCTGGGTTCAAGTGATTCTCCTGCCTCAGCCTTCCTGAGTAGCTGGGATTACAGGCATGCGCCACCACGCCCATATAATTTTGTATTTTTAGTAGAGATGGGGTCTCTCCATGTTGCTCAGGCTGGTTTTGAACTCCCGACCTCAGATGATCCGCCCACCTTGGCCTCCCAAAATTCTGGGATTACAGGTGTGAGCTACGGTGCCCGGCCTTTTTTTTTTTTTTTTTTTTTTTTCTCTATCTAATCGTGGCCTGGGGAAGCAAAAATGTAATGAAAGAACTTCAGGTAATACCAGTGTAGTGAATTATAGAGTGACCTCCAAAAGATGTCCTAACCCCTGAAACCTGTGAATATAACCATATTTGTAAAAACGGTCTTTGCATATGTAAGTAAGAATCTTGAGGTGAGATCATCCTGAATAATCCCAATGGGAGTTAAATTCAATAACAGGTGCCCTTATAAGAGGAAGGCAGAAGGAGATTAGATACATAGAGAAGAAACCCATGTGAAGATGTTGGCAGAGACTGGAGTTATGCAGCCCAAACCAAGAAATGCCTGCAGCCAGCAGCAGTGGAGGAGGCAAGGAGGGGTTCTCCCCTAGTGCCTTCAGAGGGAGTGCAGCCTGCTGATACCTTGATTTGGGACCTCTGGCCTCCACATTGTGGGAGTTGAATTTGTATATTTTTTTAAAAAAACAATAAATTTTATTGTGTATATTCAAGGTTTACAATGACATGATGTTACGGGATACATATAGATAGTAAAATGGTTACTCAATAGCAGAAAAACAAATAACTGCTCTGAATTCCACCTTAACCCCACAGAAGGAGAACTCTTTGGAGACACTCTCTCCACTGCCTTGAGGATCAATTCAGAGAGAACTCACACATCGTTCTCTGTGTATTGCCAATCTAATCAATAGGCAGTCACAACAAAGAAGATTGATAGAGATTGGGATGGATAACTGGTGTGAACGTTGAGGGGAAGGTTTGGTTGAATCAAATAAGTTAGACTCTCTTCTTTTCCCCCCTTAATCATGTTAGATTCCATGTCTTAGGGGAAGCATCACTTTTATTGGCCATTAAGAGGGAAAGGTTTTATGATCAAATTGCAGATGTAATTGTTAAGCTAAATTAAATTGTCAGGAGCTCAAAGAAGGCTTCTCTGTTGATTGGAGCTCAGTTCACTCAACAAGCAGTGTATACTTTTGTGATGTTGTCCAGATAACTGACATGGCCTGTATGGAGGAGGTTAGCCCTCACTTTGGTTTTTTAAAACCTTTGGAGGAGAGGCTGAGTGTCAGGCTATATCTTATTTATTTTGACTCATGGTTTGCAGGGAAACTATTATTGCAGAGTTTTTCTGGTCTTGGACAACCATTGTTTCATTAAGTGGCTTCTGAGATCTGGACACCAAGGGGTTAGATGAGCTGTCAGAAATTTCATACTAGCAGAAAATAGAAAGCTCTTATTGTTTTATTTATTTTTTATTGCTAAATTCCATTACACATTGGTAACAACTCTCAGGGCAGAGCATTTCAAGGTTTTATTGTGCTCCCTTAATTGTCAGCCAACTGATCTTTGGTGCTAACCCTTCTTGTTGCTCGCAAGTTAGTGTTTGTCATTCCTGGGAGAGGTTCTGTTATTTTCAAATTGAGCTTTCTGAATCCTGCTTTTTTACTTTTCTTTTTCAATTTTTTTTTGACCTGCAACAATACATATCACCTTTTCCTTCCACAGACCATATTCGAATTTATAGCATTGTGACAGAGGAAATAATTGCTTTATCTCTTTGCCTATTAAGTAGAACATCTCAGTTTAAAGTACTTCACATCTGTATTTTCATCATACTTGATCCTATTATAATGTGTGACATTCCTAGAGGGACTTACGGTGGGCTCTGGCCCCACTTTGAAGCCAGTGCTGCCTATCTGGTTGGCCTTCCCTGGACTCATTCATATGCTGTGGGCAAGCGGAATCTCTCAGGTTAAGTACTTCTTTTTAAAAATACAGGAGGGTTCTTTGAGCTTGGACCTTATACAAAAGCTGAAATAGTTGAGAATGACTGTATAAAATGAACTTACATTAAAATTTATAATTATGAGAGCTAGAATCTATATGGAAGCTAAGACTCCTTGTCCCTTATGATCTACATAAAGTGTGGTTCAAAGCCGCATTCCAAGTGCTCTGGAAAAATATATCCCATCTTTCAGAGTTCTCTAATTCCTAGGTGCTTTTATTATTTCAGGCACTTTTGTCTCTGGCTTTCTGCCTCTACAGGATTCCTATTCTTTTTTGGGGGGTTTGATGCTTGTCTCTTTTCTCTGACCCAGATGTGAGACTTCCTTACTTTCTCTCTCTCTGTCACACACACACACATACACACACACCACCTGCACAATCTATTTACTCAAGGTCTTTGCATGTGGCAGCTTTTACTGAAGGTTTGGGGAGACAAGGGAAGGGTTTTGTTGAGATCTATGAAAACAATCCCAGATTGTGTATTAGACATTATTAGCCCTTAAAAGTTCTCTAGCGTTTTGGTCATATTATTTCTCTAGCCATCTTTTTCTTTTCCTCTCACTCTCTCCCTATGACATATGCAAATGTCTTGAGACATTTTTTGGTTGTTGAAACTGGGGGTGGGAGGACTGGTGTCTAGCAGGTTGAGGCCACAGATGCTGCTAAACATCCTAGAACGCACAGGACGGCCTCCACAACAAAGAATGGTCAGGCCAATGTGTCAGTAGTGGTGACATATTTCTTCTATCTTGCTTCCTTAACTCTCTTTTCTTCTCTCTTTATGAATTACTGTTTATTTCTAATGCAGAACACTTTATCAATCACACTTGTTGCTTTGTCTCTTTGGCTCACTTCACACTATCGATATATTGACCTGACCATGCTTTGTTGTGGAGGCTGTCCTGTGCATTCTAGGATGTTTAGCAGCATCCTTGGCCTCAACCTACTAGGCACCAGTCCTCCTACCCCCAGTTTCAACAATCAAAAAATGTTTCAAGACATTGGCCTATGTCCTGGAGAGGGAGTCGGGAGGAAAAGCGATTCCAAACAACAGTTCCTGCTCTCAGGATTGCATCTTTCACCTTTGTGCATTGTTCTAAATAAAAGCACTGCCTGTTCCTGAAAGGAAATCTAGGACCAGGTGTTAGGGTTCTTTTTTTTTAATGCTCCTGCGTAAGTAATACTTACTGAAGAACACTGTATGCCAGGAACTGAGCTAAGCATTTTATATACATTATATCATCTAAGCACATGCAGTTATCAAGTTATTTTAAGTGTCAACATATACACACATATATTCTTAACTATGTGCATTATACATGCATGCATGTACATATATATGTATGCATACATACAAATATATGTTGTCAAATGTTCTCAAATCCTCTGGTCTTGTGATAGAATGGTTTAAGTGATTTATAAATAAACCCCATCCCAAGTACCATGTGGGGTGTGCCAGTGCCTTCCCTGGGATAGCAGGTTTGCTGAGGCAGGTTTCCATTTCCTTGTCAGTCCCCGGGGCTGCCTGCCTGTCTGTGGTTACCTGCTCTAGTCTGTGCTTCTGGATCCTGCACTCACTGACCTCTCTGTTTTGCTCCAGGCTGGACGCTACCCCTTCCCATCTTTGTCCTTAATTTCTGAAAGCACAATCAACACAAATCTGTTGTGAATAGTAAGCCTTTTTTTTTTTTAGGGTTTGCGGATAATGGAAAAGAAACACAGCCCAGGGTAGGGAACAACTTAAAGTCCTTTTCCTTGTCTTGTTATTTCTCTAAAAATTTACCCTTCTTTGTTGAAGATGTTGAATTAACTTAAAGTTGAATATCAAACACTGATTTTAAAATGTCTCTTGTGCATTCCTTTGGGAATTTCTCACTGGCTGCTATAGGGGAAAAATAACCCCTGTAGTTTCTTAGTTGGAACAGACTCCTGTGACAAAAGGCAGATTAACAAGAGAAAAATAAACAGAAGTTTATTAACATGTATATTTCATATATACATGGGAGACACCCAGAGAATGAGTAATTCTCAAAGAAGTGGCTTTGAATTCCAGCCAATTTAACATCTTCAACAAAGAAGAGTAAATTTTTAGAGAAGTGACAAGACAAAGAAAAAGGACTTTGAATCTCTAAGGACAGCATCGTGAGGGAAGGCAGGTGAAGGTTAGTTAGTAAAGCTTGTTAATATAGATTCCTCTGGTATCACGTCCAGATGATGTGTCCAAAGTAGTTTTCAATGGTTAACCTTTGTTCTCCCTGGTAGAGGAGGGGTGCACAGGATACCTTTTGGGATTGTAAATCTTTGTCCTGCTTTTACGCAAATGGAAGGCAGAAAGCTTTTCTGTATCTGCTTCTTCTTAATTGCTGTCAGCTCAGCAATCCTTCATATTTTGGAGTGGCATATTCTGGTCCTGCGGGTTCTGCCATGTTATTGGCCTCCTTTCTTCATCCTCCTCCTTTTTCCCACCTTCCAGCCTCACTCTGTAAGTCACACATCTCCAGCATTCTTTGTCGTCCCTGACTCCTGCTGGTCCACACAGAGCACACTGAATGGGTTTCTTAATCCTATCAGAGCCCATATTCTAATTGTAGACAATAATGGCTGTTTTGTCTTTGACTATCTGATAGCAGACTTTAGAATACGGTGTTTTCATTCCCCATGTTTTTGTCGCTTTAGCTGTTTCTTCCTAGTGTCTTTCTTCCACTGCAGGAATCCAGCATGAAAACACTGGAACTGGAGGAGGTGGAGCTGGGAAGTGCATGCCTGCAAGGTGTTTCTTGATGATATAGTTTAGCCACCACTGCAGGACCACAAGCCAGAGGTTAAAGGAATCTTTAGACCCTTTTGGTTTTGGTGAAAAGAAAACAACGTTAGAAAGTCTTGCTTCATATGTCAACAAACAATTATTCTGTTGTTTTTTTCCTATTACAGTATCAGGCACTCTGGCAGATACAGTGGAATATTTGCTCTTTAAACATTCATTCTGATTCTCAATAATCTTGGGAGATAAATAGATCAAATCATAGTACCATAACTTTACAGAACGAAGAAGAAACAGCAGAAAATAAAATGTCCTGCAGTATCCACCATTTTAATTCCTCCTTCCTCCACACTCCCCCATCACTTTTTGCTTTTTCCTCATTGAGCCGCATATTTAATTTTACTTATAGTTAATTTTTTACAGCTTATAGATGAGGAAACATTCCTAGGACAATAAAGCAATTTGACTAAAAAGAGGTAATAGAATAAGGAAAGACATTTACAAAGTATGTGAAAGCTTTTTCAGTTATAATTCCTAATATCCTCCTGTAATATTTGAGGAAGACCCTTGACAATCAGATTAGGTTTAGATGTGGATTTAACAAGCATTTAATTCAGCACTGATGATGAGCCAGGTACTTGGAAGTGCCTGTTAAAGGGATGAATGAATTGTGCCATATTCCTCATGAGTTCCTTAGGAGCTAGTATTTTTCTAGATATGAAGGCAAAGTTCAGAGAAGGGGAGTGACTTGCCCAAGGTCACAACAGCTAGTAATCAGCAGAAGCAGGATTCAAATGTGGATGATTGACTCCAAACCCTAAACTCCTTGGTATACTGCCACATCATTTGCTTCCTACATCAATTAATTAAGGAAGTGCTTGCCTCACAGACATTTGTTAAAAGGATTTTACTAATAATGCTGTTGCAAAGACAGAGCCCATTTAGCTGTATTCCTGGTAACGCACACCTGTCTGATGGAATCCAGTTGGGGATTTTAGAAAGAAACATAATCTACAGGAGAACTTGCATGTGTGTGGCCTGAAAGCTGAATAACTTCTGTGGTAGCCAGCATCCAGGATGGTCCCCAATAATCCCCCACTCCTGGAATTCACACCCTTGTGCAGTCACCTCATATTAGCATATGGTAGAAGAGATGGTATATCCTTTCCAAAATGAGGCTATACAAAAGTCTGCAGCTTTGTCTTGAACACTCTTTCAGGGCTTGAGCTGGAGGAGGTCTCATAAGGGCCACCTTACATTTTCTCCTAGGCACCTCACCCTCATCTGTCCCTGCTTCATGCCCTGTCTCGAATCTCTAAGTCTGGGGGAGGTTGGTTGCCATGTTGTGAACAGCCTCATGAACAGGACTATGTGGCTGGGAACTCAGGCCTCTGGTCAGTGAGAAACAGAGGCATGGCAGAAACTATGTGAGTGAACTTGGAAGTAAAATCTTCAGCCCCAGTTGGGCCTTCAGATGACTGCAGCCTCGTGAGACTCCCTGAGCCAGAACTACCTAGCTAAGCTGCTTTCAGATTCCTGACACAACAGCTGGGCTCTTGCTAGCCTTCTTCTAAACTCACCATCAGGTCCATCTTTGTACATCAAGGGGTGTTTACTAGTCACTCCTCATTTTTTCTTTTCTCTCTTTAAGGAGCAGTTATAATTTTACATAATAATAGCTTTTTTCTTTTATCCTGATTTGGTAGGAACCTGTGAATACCCCAGATGTACAGAGTGAATGAAAGCACCTGCTACTTAAGCTTTCTATTTCTTTCCCGAATGAAACTCATCAACATCCTGCACAATCCCTTTGGGTGCAGCAAGCAGATTTGTGAGTGTTGATGGTGATGTGTGCCTGATGGTGTCTGACAGGGCATGGTACCAGCCCAGCAGTAGCAGCACCAGGAGAGCCCAGGGCTGCAGATGGGGCCCCAGTTCTGATCCCTTCTCTGTGCTCAACCAGCTCTGTGACTTTTATCAAGTCCTGCTACCTTTCTGCCTCATTTTTTATCTGTAATAGGGAAATGAGATCATTATGAGGATGGACTGAGATAATAAATGGGACAATGCATTGAAAAGTACAAAGGGTAATACAAATGCTATGTAGTATTAATTAGGGTTCTAGGTATTATGACTGTGTTAAATAACCCATTACGTGATAGACAGCTTTAAGTGGAAATAAGGGCCTTCCCCCCAACACAGGTGAATATACTTTACAAAGTGGGAATGATTCCTCATCCTCAGTCAGGTCCTGATGGATGTGCCCATTCATGCATTCATTCACTCAAGAAATCTTTACCATGTGCCCACAATGTGTTAGGCACTGTTCTAGGCTCTTGAGACACCTAAGTGAACACAACACATGAAGACCCTTGCCCACCCAGAGCCTTCTCTGATGGGTGTGCGGGGCAGGCCTGAGATGGCTGTGCTTCGAGCCAAGGGAGAGTGGCTGAAAGCTGGAGTTAGCAGTCTGAGGTTGGACCTCCAAATCCATATAGGCTTTGTGCTGGAAGAGGGAGCTCCGTGCAAAGGAGAGACAATTAGTGCAGGTGTTCAAGGGGACCTGAAGGAGTCAAAGTCTGGAGGAATTCCTGAGCCAAAGGAAAAAGTGACTGTTACAGTCACATTTTTGGGAAATTCAAAATCTCTTCAGGGAAGAGGGTCTTGGTAAAAGAAAGAAATGTGGCAAAGGGAGAGGGACATGGGAGATGTTGATCAAAGGGTAGAAGTTTCAGTTACACAAGACCATGAATGAGTTCTGGAGCCCTAAGGTACAGCAATGTGACTATAGTTAACAATAATGTACTGTACTGCAATTTGCTAAGAGGATAGATCTTAAGCATTTCTTACCACAATCAATCAATATGCGGTAATGAGTATTTCAGTTAGCTCTTAATAGTGATTATTTTACCATGTATGCATATATCAAAACAACCAGTTGTTTACCTTAAATATATACAATTTTTATTTGCCAATCATTCCTGAATAAAGTCAAAAAAGAGAGAAAGAAAATGAGTAGTCAACCCTCCCCCCACCACCTGATGATGAGTTGAGGAGTAGGCCCAGCCAAAACTGGATTGCTTTGCAACCCAGAATAAGAAGAAACAGGAGTTTCCTGAGGAGGACCAGTTCAGCAGGAGGGGTAGGTCACCTAGGGCGAAGATGAATGTGAGGCTGAATGGTGAACTTGGGCTGCAGAGTTAAGAGCCTGTTTGATCAGGCTAAGGATTTAGAACATTGTTTTTCATGCAATGGGGATTGTGGATAATTTAGAGTAGAGGAATGATATAATCTGAGCAGATTCATCTGGCAGCAGGGTGTTGAATCAACTGGAAGGAGAAGAGGTGAAGAGATCATGTTGGAAGGAAAAATAATTTATGATTCTTTTTGTTATGGACTGAATTTGCCCCCCTCCTTCCAAATTAACATACCAAATTTCAATTCCCTGCATCTCTGAATGTGATTGCATTTAGAGAAAGGGTCTTAAAAGGGGGCAATTAAATTAAAATGAGGTTGGTCAGGTGGGGCCCTAATTCAATAAAACTGGTATCTTTATAGGAGGGAGGGAGGTGCATGCACAGAAGAGTGACCAAGAGAAGAGGAAGCAAGACTGTAATCTTGGACTTCCAACTTCCAGAACTGTGAGACAACAAATTTCTGTTGTTTAAGCAAGCCGGCTGTGGTGTTTGGTTATGCCAGCCTTAGCAAAGGAATCCAGATTCCTCCCTTTTCAGAGGAGCATGGGTTTCCTTTCCTGTAATGTGAAGCAGTTCCTAATCCTAACTATGCATTAAAACTCCCCTGGAAAATGTTTTTAAAGATACTGATTCTTAGGATCCACCCATGAGTCATTTAATCAGAATCTCAGAGTTAATTTTCTGGACATCATTCATCTTTAAAGAAACATTCCCAAATGGTTCTGATGTGTAGACATACTTGAGAGCCATGGCTTTAAGACAATGGACAAAGCAAGTCAGATTCTTATGTGTTATTGCCATATCTTCACAAAAATTTAAAAGGGAAAAATATCCTGGCTGCAGGCTTGATAAATAAGATTTTAATCCTTAACTAGATGGTAGTGAACTCTCTTAAAGTAGAAGAAAATGCTTGATAGAAACATAAGGTGGCACTTGATGCAGGTCATTTGGTTTGTGGAGGGTGTAGACTGGAGCATGTGGTTAATGTGAAAGCTCTGTAGCCAGATCTTCCTGTTTGGCGCGCTTTCCAGCCAGGGTTAAACCCTGTTCAACCTTACTAGCTGTGTGACTGATTGTAAGTTACTTAATTTCACTTTGCCACAGTTTACTTCTGACACATGGTAAATATTCAATTAATGTTTGATATGGTTTGGCTTTGTGTCCCCATCCAAATCTCATCTTGACTTGTAATCCCAGGTGTTGAGGGAGGAACCTGGTGGAAGGTGATTGGATCATGGGAGAATAGTTTCCCCCATGCTATTCTCATGACAGTGAGTGAGTTCTCATGAGATCTGATGGTTTTATAAGTGTTTGGCAAGTTCCTCCTTCATTGGCTTCTCTCTCCTGCTTCCATGTGAAAAAGGTCCTTGCTTCCCTTTTCCCTGCTGCCATGATTGTAAGTTTCTTGAGGCCTCCCCAAGCCATGCAGAACTGTGAGTCAATTAAACCTCTTTCCTTTATGAATTACCCAGTCTCAGGTAGTCTCTTTACAGCAGTGTGAGAACAGACTAATACAATGTTAGCTTTTATTAGTGATCCTGAAAATATCAATGCAAACCCAAAGATCATGATGTGCTTGTTTGGTCACTAATGATTAGTTTTCTAGTTAGTTAAGCTAATGTTATGATTGATCAACAGACATCCAACTGGTTCAGAATACACCTCCAGGCCCCTTCTGTGGATTTTCCTGGAGGTTTGGGGTTTTATCAGAATTTTGGGGATTATCTTAGTACATCAGAAGGAAGCTCAAAGTGATCTAATAAAAATCAGTTTCAAATGGTTTCAGAATTTACAGGTATATTACATATAAATATTTCTCAGGGAGTTATGGGTTACTATCAGGGTGAATTACTGGGGAAATTTTCAGAAATGACTCTTTCATGTCCTCTAATCTGAAGGGCCTTCTGAGCTAAAGGAATCAAAATTTTCTGTCCATTCTTCTCTTATTTAACCCATGGGGGGATTTGGGGATCTTTCTGGAGCATAGTAATGAGAGTTCTATGGTTTAGTGCACCTTTCTTCTCTGTGCCCTACTTGGATCCCAGATGGAGTTTAGGTAAATTCTTCTGTCTTCGAAGCACAAGATACTTTGATGAAAGAACAGATCACCATCATTGGCAATTATTTCCTCTCAGCAAATGGTTTTTGCTGTTTTGAGCTATTGAACTTGGAATTCTGTGTCTTGCCATAGGAGTCACCTCTTTTAAAGTCTTTTATTTAAATGGTTGGTTTATCTGCAAGATATGACTAGGCTTATTCCCTTTATCCTAGTGTCTAATGAAATCGGAAAATTCCTTTCTGGTTCCTAAGAAGGAGATACAAATCAGTGTGGGCTAGAATGGGCTGGGCCTAGTGTAAAATCCTGAGGCCACCCTGGTAGCATGGGGTGGAGAATTTTTCTTCCCTTAAGTGGCTGGACTGTGAGCATTTGGAAGGCAGAGACTGGACTTCATAGGCTTTGTATTTCCACAGTGCCTAGCATGGGTGTCTGCACTTGGCAAATGACCAATAGATATGTGTTTCCTCAAAAAACTGCTTGGTTTGGATGTTTGACCTGCCATAGTTATTTCAGATACAGTAGAGAAGACTGAGGGCTATTTTTTAGGCCCTTCTTTCTGTGCCAGAGGTAGAAATATTTAGGGGATGAGCCAATCATCAAAGAGGAAGCTGAGTCCAACTCCTTGTTCAAAGACTTCTTGATTAGAATAAGAATAGTAGAATAATTCCCCAAAAGAATAGTGGAAGGGGACCAAATAGCAGACATGCTCTTCTAATTAGAGCTTTTAGGCCAGGAAGACCCCAAAAGTTGTCACACTGCCTGCTTCTTGCAACCAGACCAGACTAGATTTATGACATCTGAGATACATAATATCTGATTGCATCTGTTTACATTAGGTCCTTCTTTGCCTTAATCTATGAGTTTGTCTGTGTACTAAATCATGAAAGCTTTCTGTGTGCTTTTCAATGAAAGCATTTGACTTCCTTCCAAAGGGAAGCACGTAATGAGTAGACACATTCCTCTTTCCCCTAAACCCAGCTGAGCCACTTACATTTACCTCCCTTTTCTTTCTTTCCCTCACTATGACTCCTCTCCTTTCCTTTTTCTGTTTCTAAAATAGACCATCAAAGTTTAATTGCTCAGTACCTTGCTAAGTGTTTGAATTCTCTTGAGGGCACTTATGTGTTTCCAAAAACAGGACTGAATCTGATCTGGATGAGTTTCAAGCAAGTAGATGTTGTGGTTTGGCAGGAAATAAGGGAAGCCTTTTATTTGAAGGTTTCAGGATGGCATCACTGTCAGATCAGCAAATTTGAATAGCTCTGAAGCACTGGGGAATGGGCAATGTCTTGCTGATAACATGGGTAATATTTCAGAATAGGTGATAATTACTAAAGTGTTTTGAATTTCTAAAGAACTTAAAAATTACTCTATAGGGCATTCAGTAGGAAAAAAAGCCGAAGAACTATGGGAGCTGTGTTAGAAAAGTAAGGGTAATGGAAAAATAAGACAATTTCAGATAATATTGCTACGATTACCACCATGACCATCACCAACAGCACTAGCACCACCACTGCCACCACTACCACTGCCACTACTAGCTAAAAGTTATGGGGTACTTCCTACGTTCCAGACACTATGCTAACTGCTTTACATTGATTCTCTCACTTTATGTGAATCATCTCACATCAATCTTATGAGGTACGTACTACTATTCTTCTTATTCTACACTTGAGGAAGCAGATGTTAGCGAATTAAATAATTTGCTTTTGGATCTCCAGCTACAACATTCTGGAGCTGAAACTTAAAGCTGTGTTTATTTGCACAAAGCTCATATTCTTAACTGATATGCTATATAAATATAGCCCCTATAGATATATATGTTGATTCAATGTTGGAAATTATGTTGATTAGATAAGGTCACTTTCCTTAGTATTATGAGCATATGTGGTGTGCACATGTATGTGTATTTGAGTGCACTGTGCTGGTGACAAGGTAAGTTATAGAAATAGACAAAACTATTAACCTGAGCTTGGGAAGGCAAGCTCCAGCAGTGGGGATTAAGGATGCCTCTCCCTCTTCTCCTGAGAATGAATCATAAATGTGGTGTCCTTAAATCAGAATAATTGAGACCGAGAGGGAGGATGTTAGAGGGCTGAAGACATTTGATTCAAGGAAAGTGGTTCTGGCATTGGTCCTTGATTGGAGCAAGATGTTTAGTTAGATTGTGGCCATGTAGTAAGTGACAAGATGCTTCTCACCATATGGAGGCCAGAAACAAGAAGGGAAGAAGTTCAAGCAAGGTGCCTGCAGGCACTGCCAGCCAAACTGGAGCCAAAGGCAAGTTATCATGGTGGCCCTCTGAGCAGTTTTGTTTTTAACTGCATGAATTATTTTGTTTGTATTTTCTATTAATATATTTATATTCTGTTTATTTTCACCTTTTCTATCTTCCTTCAAGAAAAATTATTTTTGAAAAATGCCAATTTGTTTCAGTTCTGCTGAGAAAGAGAAAAAGTATAGGTGCAGTAAGAATCCAGTTGGGGAGGCACTGAATTCATAGAGACTGGAGTAGTGGTATTAGGAGATAAAGGGGGAAGGGGGGAATTTCCAGGGAAAGGTAGCAGGAATCGCTGATGTAGCCACTCCTCTGCCATTGAATTTCCTCTACAGAGGTCTACATTGTTAGGCTTTTGGAGGATTTTTGTTTGATTTCCTTTAGGCATGAGTCTTTAACAGAAAAGAAATTTTAAGGTTAAATGGATCACTTTATGTAATAAAGAATAAAGAAAATGAAGATAAATTAAGTTGCTAAAAGAAAAACTGTAACATGAATTTTATAAAAAATAAACTTCGTTTCTGTAAATCAGTGATTTTTAACTTCTCTGTTTTGAGATTTGTTATGAGGTACGTTATAAATAATCTGTCACCAATAATAAAGGAAAGAAATTTGCAAATATCTTATTGATATTTTTAGTGTAAATTAGAGTAGAATTAAGGTTATATCAGTCAGGATGGGATAGACTTTGTGTGGGAACAAACAATCCCTGAGATCTTGGTTGCCTAAAACAGTGAAGTTTTATCTTGTTTATACTGTGTGTCTATTGTGGGTAATCTGGGGGCTCTTCTCAGGTTATTCACACTCAGGGATAAAAATTGATGAAACCTTATATGGAATGTCTCCAGTCACTGCGGTCAGCAGAAGGAAGCAGGCAAATCCCTCATTGGCTCTTGAAGGTTGAAGGAGACACATATCACTACTGTTCACATTTTGTTGGCCAAAATAAGACATACAAACTTGCCTAACAAGGAGCAAGAAGGGGAAGTGTGATCCTCCATGAAGAGAAGGAGAAGAATTAGAATATTGAGCAATAGCCTGATGACTAGATTAGAGGTTAATTCCTTTACTGCTGTGAATCTTACCCCTTTGTGTTCTGCGATGGCCATCATAAGGTGGAGGTGAGGCTCCCATGCAGGAATTGTGCCTAATCCATAAATCATCAGACTATTGTCAAAGCCGGCGGTGGGGTCTGCATATGAATATTACCCTTCATGTCTGCCCTGGGGACTAAGATTTTGAACTCCTGCCTCAGATAAGGAGAGGGGGCCCAGCTGTACTCTCCAACTGCTGTGGTTTGGAAGATCCCTGCCTGAGTCATTCAGTGGGAGAGAAGAGAGGACAGGAGGACCTCCCATCACAGAGCTTCTGGGAGCCCCTGACAGCTGGGAGAACTGACGTACACTTCTAGTAGCAATATTCCAAACTTTTCCCTTAAGGATTTTCCAAGCCTCATCCTCACCTACGCAGCTAGAATCTGGTGCTTGCATATCTAACCTTGTGATAAACTTTCTATCTCCACTCTTTCTTAACAGTTAACATTTACTGAATGCTTGTCGTGTGCCAGCAGCTACTGTTTTAAGCACTTGATATGTATTACTAATTATTATTTAATCCTCATAACAACTTGGGGAGGTGGATATTGTTATTATCCCCATTTTACAACTAGGCACAGAGAGATCGAGGAATGTCCTAGTAAGTAGGACAATCCTATTAGGCTGGGATCAATCCCAGGCCATCTGGCTTCAGAGCCCACTGCATGGCCTTTTGACTACTAGCAGATATTATATTTGGAGGAAATGAGCTTTATTGGAATGTGGATATGAACAATGAAATGCTCAATGATGCCAATAGCAACTCACAGAGATTCTTAAAGACTAAAATCCTCACAATCTTATACTCTCTATTGAAATCAATAGGATAAAACTGATGCAGGTGTATGCATGGTCCAGCAGACACTTTCATCTTCTAAAGAGCCAAGGCAGAGCAAATTTACATGACCGAGTGTTAATAGAGCCTTTGTCATGACCAGCAGGTGACCAATTTCCAAAGGCCTAAATTCATTATCTTGTGCACACAGGGCAAAGCTTATAGGCTTCTGTAGGATATCATTATTGGAAAAGCAAACTTAAACATTTCTTAAAGCAAAACAGGACTGCCTAGAAAAAGAGTGTTACAGTCATGAAGTAATCATGTCTCTTTCTCTTTCCCCATGGCCCCTCTGCGTATGTATATAAACAAACAAATGTGTGGAGAACTTATGCATTGGTGTGCTGGTAAGTGTTCAACAACTGGTTCTTGGTTATCTGTGGGGGAAAAAGCCTATTTATAGTGGTTGCCAATTTCTATGACGTGAATATTCCCACCACTGCCAATATCAAGTTACCAATGTGATATCACTGAATGCAGAATTGGAAAGAGATGCTAAGAATTGGCTCTCATGAGCCAGTATGTACTGGCTTCAGTCCACCAATGACATTAAGTGGGAGAGAAAAGATACTCCATAGCTCAGAGTTGCAAAAAAAAAAAAAAAAAAAAGTAAGATTTGAGACAGCTTAACTGAAATGAATACACCATCATATCAAACTTTTAAGTTAGAGCTGTATTAATTATTTTTATTCTAGAATTAGTGAGACAGACGGTGTACTTTGGGTTATTCTCTGGGAAATGTGAGAGCTATCACCTTCAAGAATTAAAACTCTGAAAGAGAGAGAGACTAGGATGTGAGACCCTGGGAGTCAGGAGGGCTGAATGCTGCCTGTGGTCTGCTGCTGAGTAGCTGTGATCTGGGGCATGTTATTTATCTAAAAGTGTATACATTCTTTTAGAGTCTTCTGGTGCCGACAGTCTGTGGTTTTAAGTCCAGTTAAAGAGGATGGTGAGAAGAAGAGCCTAAGGTATATCAATAGCAAGGTGGCAGAAAATGGAAAAACAGGAAGAAAAAAAGACTGAGTGGGGGTACTGCGAAAGAGAGATGAAATTGAGAGAAAGACAAAGAAAAGGCCTAACATTTATTGAGAATATACTATGGGCTACTGGTTATGAGATCATGAGTGATTATGAAACTACAATTATGTGATTACAAATCACTTTCTCTTTTTTATTTTTATTGTTTTATTTTAAATGAGTTCCTGCGTTGGCTGGGAAACGAACCCGAGAAGCACTTTATTTATTCTATCTAACTCAATTTCCATACCAACCTCATGAGACAGTGGTTATTTTCTCTATTTTACAGATGAAGAAAATTAGTCTATAGTACAATTATTCACCCTAAGTTCCACTGCTAGTGAGTGGCTAACCTGGAGTTCCAAACGAGGTCTGCACTTCCGTAAATCCTGTGTTCTTTGCACCATGCAGTGCTGCCTAAATGAGCAGGAGGTTTGAGAGGAATGTTAGATTAAAATTACTCCCAGGGAGGCATTTGGACTATGATTCTTATGAATTATCCTTTGACAAGTTTGTTGATCTTCACTGCTCTTTATCTGCTCAAATCTTTAAGTCTTAAAAGGTTTCCATCTGAATAGGATGATTTAAACAGTCCAGGAAGGCAAACATTATTTCTTGGGATGATGCATCCATCCCAGGAACAATAGAATCCTGGGGTTGGGCAGCTTTGGCTCTGGGCTGAAGGTTGCCCTTTGGATCTCTCTGAGGCAAAAGTAGCAGAAAGTAGGTATCGGCTGGGCCTGGGTTAAACATCAAGTACAGAATTTACAGAAGAGTAAAGAGAGGAAGAGGGAAAAGGAGAGAGAGAGGGAGACAGGGATGTTGATGCAATGGGCAGATTTTGTTGCCCAGTAAAGATTACATCATCAGAAGACTGATTCTCAGTCTCTGAGTCTGGCTTAAAATCAAAAGTTAAATCAGACATCTGCTTTAATGAGTAAGAAAATATTGATTAAAAGGGCCAGACTCCCTCAGCTCCCCGCTCTGGATTCTTGCTGTGTTGACAGCACAAATCGATATCCTCTTGTGAAGGTTTAAGCTCTGATTTGTGAAATAAGAACTGTACCAGGTCCAATAAGAACTGCCATCCAGCAGGGAAACTGCAGTGGGCACTGGCTCAAGGCAAGCACATTTACCATTCAGGCTGCTTTTATTCAGGGAGTGAAGCCCTGGGTCAGGGCTCCGGGGAGCTTCACAAATGACCTCCTGCTGCAGACTGAGCAGGAGGGCGTCGGATTCCATGCATGCACTACCTTTATTGCATTATATTTGCATGTATACAAATGTCCCTATATTATATTGAGTGAGAGCCATGAAGTGGAATTACAGGCAGCACCCTGAGTGTATTTGCTGCTGAGATGCTTGTATGACACAGCCCTGTCCTGCATTTTCCTTTCTGTAGGGAGGTCCTAAAGCTGAATGAATCTGTCCTGGTAATAGATATGTACACACCTCCTTTGTTCTTACCCACTAAATGGAAGGTTAAATATTTTCTGAGGCTGAAGAATGAACACACATTTAAAGTCAAACAGACCTGTCTCCACCCCCACCCCCCGACTAACTGTGTGACTGGGAGGAAATCATTTAACCTTGTTGAGGCTGTTTTCTTGATTGATATGTAGACAATTTCTGCTTCCTAGGATTGTTGTGGGATTTGATGAGATCTTGCAAAGAGGATATTTAGGGGAGTGCCTGGTATATAGTAAGCACTCCATACGCTGAGCACTATAATAATCCCAATAATTCTCTTAGGTTACTAATGACCTTATTTACATAAATGTCACAGCAGTAGTAGAGGTCTGAATAAAAGGAGAGTAAGCATTACTCTATCCAAATGACTTTTATTTCTCATCCATGTTTCATTTCTGGCTTCCTCAGCCAAGACAGCCATTAACTAGCTTGGGGAGGGTTACATGTCTGTTCATTTCCTATCACCAAAAGTGGAAAATAGAGTCACAGATGTCAGCTCTACATTGGCCATGTGACTTTGGGGTCAGACAGATGCTTGTGCTCTCTGGGATTTAGTTCCCTTATCTTTTTTTTTTTTTTGAGACGGAATTTCACTCTTGTTGTCCAGGCTGGAGTGCAGTGGGGCGATCTCAGCTCACTGCAAACTCCACCTCCCGGGTTCAAGTGATTTTCCTGCCTCAGCCTCCCGAGTAGCTTGGATTACAGGTGCACACCACCACAGCCAGCTAGTTTTTGTATTTTTAGTAGAGACAGGGTTTCACCATATTGTCCAGGCTGGTCTTGAACTCCTGACCTCGTGACTCGCCTGCCTTGGCCTCCCGAAGTGCTGGGATTACAGGCATGAGCCACCGCACATGGCCTAGTTTCCTTATCTTTAAAGAGAGGGTGCAGTAATAGGGAATTTGACATCCCTAAGGCCCGTGTGTGGGGATATTTCTGGATGGTTCTATGTTCTGTTTCCTGGCACTGTATCTTTTCCTCTTAACATCTGTCTGTGACTTGAAGATCTTCTCTGCTTTTTCAACAACTTTTTGTTCCTCCAGGCTGGAGCCTTCCCTGACAGTTGCTGCCTGTTTCTTTCTGTCTTCTTGGATTCCACTATTTGGCACTCACTGACGACTTCTGTGGTCTTGAATCACGGAGTGATTATTCTTCTGTCTGATGTTCCTTGGTCACCACTCTTTGGGTGTTCTTCCCCAAATTTTGCTTTTTACTCATTTTGGGGGTTAAATGACCCTAAACGGTACCTCTGTCAATGGGGACAAATAGGGTGTTTTGCAGATGTTCAAACCAGATTGTTCCTCTAAGCTGCTTCACTGATCATTCACATTTTGGATGCGAATGATCAGTGAAGACCAGAGGAATAAATTTCTCAGATGACAGCATTAGGAACAGGTGTTCTTAAAAACAAACAAGCAAGCAAACATAGGGCCACTGTGGATTACTTAAGTGATTGAGTCTGTCTCTTAGTTTTGGTAGCTAGAAAGCTGAGAGCCAGATTTTGTGGTTCATTTCTAGCAAGATTCTGTGTCAGGCATTTTACGTCTTACTCTTTACCCTGAGTTTATTCTACTTTTCCTCAATTTATTTTTCCCTCATTCAAATTTCTTGTATTCATTAAAAAAACCCTGTTATGTTTTTGAAATTTATGCCATGCCTTTTTAAAATGGTGAGAGCTAAATCAATGGATACATTCTGTGCATTTTGCGTAGCTGAGTGCTTGACTCAATTTCAGGGAAAAGCTGTCAGAGAAGGCTTCCTGGAGGAGGTTCCTTAGGATGCATATACATCAGCTATTGTGCAGTTGAGTCAAACATGAAATCCCCAAAGCGGCATGGAATTTGAGATCAGAAGGTGTATGGAGAAAAATGAAATATAGAAAATCTTACAAGATATTTATATTAGGGTGGGAGACATTTGCCATATAATATAAACTAATCGTGGGAGTGAAATTACATTATATGTCCACATTCAATAGGAGGAGGTGACACATTCTTTCTACCACAGATAATGAATGTAAATTAGTATCAGATTTTGCCTCAATCAGCAGTAAGAACTTCCTGTATGCTTCTGACCCTTCCTTGGCCAACATTGCTGTGTTATGATCACAGGGTACCCACCTCGAGTGAGAAGCACAGCTGGATTTCTATTCACCAGTTCTGTGATCTTAAACTCTATGATCTTCTTAACTCTGACTTTGACCTTAAGATCTAGCCAATCCATTGAGATTTGTCTTACTCTCTAGAATCAGCTCATTGCCTATTCTCATCTGGGGGACCTATCTTATCCCCAGTTGTCACTGACACTCTTTCTACCTGCTACCCCTAAATGGTCCTTGAATCCTATCCTGGACCATACCATTTTCTTCTGCTGCTCATTCTCTAACACAAAGGCAATGGATGCATTTTAGTAATGGATCTTTGAGGAGATTTAAAAAAATTAGGACTCAAAGGGATAATGTTATGATATAGGTTGATGGACATGGTTAACCATTTTGTCAGGGCCTTATCAGTGTCCTTTAAAGATTTCAAGGTGGGTTTCGAGATACAAAATCCACTTAGAAAGCTTCCTTTCTTACTAAGATCAGCAGAAGGATCTTTACGTGCCAGAGGTTTCTTTGCTTCCAGTGACTGCCTTTAGAAACCATGAGTGCTCTTTCACCACCTAGACCTGTTAGGGCACCAGGATACTACACAGTCATTGCAAGCCTTTCCTAATCCTAACCCCACAAAACCCAGCTTTAGAGGAAGAGAGGTTGTGAGCATCACTTACTAAGGGGATGGTGAATCAAGTCATCAAACTAGAAGCATTTTTTATTTTTATTATTTATTTATTTATTTATTTATTTATTTATTTATTTATTGAGACGGAGTCTCGCTCTGTTGCCCAGGCTGGAGTGCAGTGGTGTGATCTCTGCTCACTGCAAGCTCTGCCTCCTGGGTTCACGTCATTCTCCTGCCTCAGCCTCCCGAGTAGCTGGGACTACAGGCGCCCGCCACCACACCTGGATAATTTTTTGTATTTTTAGTAGAGACGAGATTTCATCCTGTTAGCCAGGATGGACTCGATCTCCTGACCTGGTGATTCGCCCTCCTCGGCCTCCCAAAGTGCTGTGATTACAGGTGTGAGCCACCGTGCCCGGCCCTAGAAGCATTTTTTAATAAACAAAATCTTGCTTTCAAAATAATGCAAATCCTTTAATAGTGGCACTTTTCATCTTGGCCCTCTTTTGCCTCAAGTTCATGGAAACTTCTAGATCCCACCATAACCTCCCCCGAAATTTATAAACTGCTGGTCAGGTGGTGCTATTTTCCAGACCTGAGAGTACATGAGGAATTTAGCTAACAACAGTCCCACAATATCTGAGGACAGAGAACTGGTTAGAGGTCATATATTCCAGCAGACCTATTACAGCATTTTATTAGTCGGGTTTCTCAGAGAAATAGAACAAATTGTGTGTGTGTGTGTGCGTGTGTGTGTCTGTGTGTGTGTGTGTGTGTGTTATAAGGACTTGGCTCATGCAATTATGGAGGCTAAGACCCACCATCTGTTGCCTGCAAACTGGAGACCCAGGAAAGCTAATGTGTAATTCAGCCTGAGTCTGAAAATCTGAAAACCAGGTGTAAATCCCAGTCCAGGGGCAAGAGAAGACCAATGTCCCAGCTCAAGCAGACAGGCAGGAAGTAGAAAGGAGTGAATCCCTTCTTCTTTCACCTTTTGTTCTATTCAGGCCCTCAATAGGTGGGATGTCTACCTCCAGAGCCCACTCACTAACACTGATGCTTAGAGGCTATCAGTCTTGGTTCTTACAATCATTCTTTTTTTGGTTATGTATTCCATTATTATTTTTAATTGACACATAATAATTATATTTATGGGGTATAGTGTGATATTTTGATACATGTACACACTATCTAGGGGTCAAATCAGGGTAATTAGCATATTCTTTGCCCCAAATATTTATTATGTTTTTGTGCTGAGAGCATTCAAAATCCTCTTTTAGCTACTTGAAAAATATACGATAAATTGTTCTTAGTGATAGTCATCTCACAGTGCTATGGAACACTAGAGCTTATTCCTCCTCTCTAGCTATAATTTTGTATCTGATGGCTAACCTCTCCCTATTCTCCAACCTCCCTTCCCTTCCCAGCCTCTAGTAAGGATGATTCTACTTTATACTTCTATGTAATAAACTTTTTCAGCTTCTACATAGGAGTGAGAATATTTGGTATTTGTCTTTCTGTATTATTTCACCTAATATAATGCCACCCCCTCCCCAAGGCTCTTCTATGTTGCTGTGAGCTACAGGATTTCATTATTTTTTATGGCTGAATAGTATTTCATTTCATTGTGTATATATGCCACATTTTCTTTATCCATTCATTTGTTGATAGATACTTAGTTTGATTCCATATCTTGGCTATTGAGTACAGTACTGCGGTAAACATGGTAGTGCAAATATCTCTTCAACATACTGAATTTTTTTTTTTATATATAGACCCAGTAGTGGGATTGCTGGGCCATATGGTAGTTCTACTTTGAGTTTTTTGAGAAGCCTCCATACTGTTATCCACAATGACTGTACTAACTCACATTTCCATCAATAGTGTATAAGAGTTTTCCTTTCTTTGCATTCTCACCAGCCTTTGGTTTTTGTTTTTGTTTTTTTGATAATAGCCATTCTAACTGGGATGAGATGACATCTCACTGTGCTTTTGATGCGCTTTTCTCTGATTAGTGGTGGTGAGCATTTTTTTCATATATCTTTTGGCCATTTGTATGTCTTCTTTTGAAAAATGGCTATTCAGAACATGTGCCCATAAAAATATTTAAAGAGATTTATTCTAAGCCAATATGAGTGACCATGGCCCAGGATATATATTTGGGGATCTGTTACTGGAGAATTATTGTGTTCTTTTTCAGGTGTCTTTTTTCTTGCTTTTTAAATGTTTCTTGTGTCCCGACATTGATATCTGTGCATCTATTAGGACAGTTGCCTCTTCCAATTTTACAGAGAAGCTTTCATTGGGAAAGACTTTCCTGTAGGTGTGACCTGTAGTATTGGTTGAGTAGAGTGCTTTGGCTCTGGTTCTGAATGGTGCAGTAGTGTACTTTTTGTGTGATTTCTTTGGCTATAATGAATGTCAGAAGTGTCTGCAAGTGCCTCAGTGGCCTAGAATGAGAGTGTTTTTGGAGGCAGTGGCATGGCTTTGCCAGGAACAAGGGATACCAGGTGAGCCCATCCTTAGGTCGTCAGGGTGTGTGCATGTTGGTTTCTGCAGTGTTGGGGGTGACTTCCCCTCTGTGCTGGAGTGTCTGTTTCTTGGGGCCCTGGGTACTTTGTTGGCTCAAGTGCTGGAGTTATAGTTGTACCATTGAGTCTAGGTGGGGTCATGGTATTGCAGCCTTTGTTGGGGCATGATGAGGTGATGACAAGGCCCTAGGAATGTGAAGTTGCAAGATTGTTGGACCCCGGGGAAGGATGTACTTTAGCATTGTCTCTGTTCTCAAAATGGCATTGAGTAACTGGGGTCCCAAGGACTCAGAGATGGGGGCCTCACATGGGTTCCTTTTCTGGATCAATGCAGCCATGTGGACTCTAGGCATGGGGACTGTTGGGGATATCCCACTTACCTTTTCACTGCAATGGGGAGTCCTCGCCTCTGACCAATTTTTGGCTGGGTGCTTTGCTTTCCTCTCTATGCTGCAACCCCAGGTTTCTGTGTTTCAGAAGGCTTATATCACTTCCTTGCTGAATTTCAGTGTTCTCCCTAAGACATTCTACTTGAAGTGAGTTTATTTAGTTGTTGTTTTAGTCATTCTTTTTGGAGAAAATTTGTGTTGGGCACCTGTACAGCTATGGATCTTATAAGAATTCTTATTAAGATGTAATGAAATAATAAAATTTTTGAGATCTGCTTCATGTTAATCCAAAGTGGTGGGAAAAACTGGGTGGATAAAGGTAAAATAAACTTGATCACATGATTCTTAGTAAACTGGGAGATGGGTAAATGGAGGTCATGATATTCTCTTTATTTTTGTATAGGTTTGAAATTTTACGTAATATAAGAAAGTGTGGTGAATAGATATATACTTATATGTTTTAAGTTAAAATCAACTTTTAAGGTTTGACAAATAAAAAGGAGTTTCAGATATTTATGTATGACCTTTGTGACACTCCATGCCTTTAGTCTAAGGACCGCAGCTAGAATCTTGCCCTCAGCAGAGAACAATGAGGCACGATATTGGTTTCCAGTCACCTTTCTTGTATTTTCTCTTAAAGATGATGACCACACTTGCCTTTTTCAAATATCGTGGCATTTCTTCTGTTTCCATATATGTAGATAGTCACACAGCCTCTGCCCTTTCTATTTGAAAATCTCAGCAGGTTTTTCTGTTTCTCACAGTTTGGCAATGGTGCTTCGAAGGAACGCACAAAACACCCTAAAAGATTCGGAGCAGATAGCAGTGGGGCATTGAATGAGATGGATTTAAAGAGCTAAGACAGTCAGTGGCTGTTATTTAGAGACCAGAAACAAATGTGAAAGTGGGAATTGAAAAAGAAGGAAGCAGAGACATTAGTAAAGCTGTTTAACGGGAAAAAAAGCCCAAAGTACATCGTAAAGGATAAAAATGTGGGCATTTATATCTTCATTAAGGAATTTATTAATTAGAGTTGAGTTGTTAACTAGTTTATAGTTCCCTGGGACTAGGACAAGCCTCTGAGAGGAGCCCAGGCAGAGAGCAGTCAGCCTGGATAATTATCATGGCTTGCCATGGGGCTTTCCTCCAGCCCGGTAAACAACTTAATATCTGGCAGGTAGATGAACAGGCCTGGGATGCGCTACCCATCAGGCAAGACTAATTCCCAGGCAGGAATCCTGGCCAGTTGCCAAAGTAGGCTCCTCCCTTCTTTTATTGGAAGTGAGAGAAGAGCTGAGTAGTCTTACTTGGCAATGGCCCAGGACCTCCATCTTCTCCTTTCCTGCTGTGTGCAATGATCATTCCCAGATCCAAGGTGCTCATATTGATTCTGTGCCTCTAGGCCAAGATGATACACCAGGCACCATGCTGCCCGGTCTATAACAGCAAAGAGTATTGTATGGTGTTTATGACAGTTAGAGGGGAGCCTCCGGCTCTGATCCACTTCTTTGTTTCTTACTTTTAGCTCTGTCTTCCACTGATGATCCCTTACTTACCCATTGGGCTTGATAATTTTATTTATTTTCATTGGCTCCTGAGTCTTCAGTCTTCCCTTAAGGAGGAGAAAGAACAGACCAGTAGTGGCCATGATGGTGATGTCAATGTGGAATGCTGCTAGGTAAAAAAATATAAGAGAAAGGTGAGAGCATGCTTGGAAATGGCAAGTTTATGTCCTACCTAAAGACAGTCAAATTACAGTTTCTAAATAATCCCTGGCCTGGGCAAATAAAATGTATCAGAGAATGGATTTGTTCTGTCGGTCTGCAGTTTGGAACTGCTGGCACTGACTGCCGTTCTTGGGACCCATTCCATGTTTTTGTGGGAGTGTTATTTGGGCTTACTCAGTCCTCAGGAGAGGGTATGAGTGGGACATCTGTGTTCATGTCTAGGTAGGGAGTGTCCTCCGATGAAGGTACACAGATTATCTACTCTCATCCTCATCCTGATAAATGCCAAGTGCCTGTGTGAGACAGTGCCTTTTCGGCCATATCAGCCTAATCTTTAATGGCAAAGAAAGAGAACCATAATTTTAGTGCCTAATCCCTGTCCCCTCCCTACACTTGTACTTACTCTCCCCTGGTTCTGAGTTTCTCCTCTTTGTCTGTGTAAGGTCTGCTGCTTTGGTACCTCCTGGTCTCTGGTAAGTGGTTAAATACACTAATCTACACAAAGGTGCTAATGGCTTAAAGTTGTACTAATTCCAGGAATTATTTCTGTGGCTCATGGAAGGGTTAAGGCTTCATCCAAAGGAATCCTCTTTAATAGATTTCCACATATTTTAGCACAAGGGAAGTGAAGATATTTTGGGAACATTGTAGAAGTCATGTAGTGAATTCTTTTGATTGCCTTACTCAATTTACATTTTACTATCCTCTATGAAGAGGTTAAAAAGCTACAAATTACATTTCCAACACCTTTTTATAAACAGGACTCTGGATATAAAATAGATTGTTCCAATTAGATGTTTTTGTTTTAAGATATACAAGGTGGGAGGGAGGTAGAAGCCCTTTTCCTGCTTCCTTTTTCTGTTTTTATTCATAAGCAAGGATGGGGGAATGTGAGTTGTTTGGCATCAGCATTCCAGTGTCTAATCTCCAGCTTCCCAAGTATTGAGAGGCCATCATGGCAGCAGTGTCATCTTGATTCTGCTCTCTAATTCTTGGGCTCCAGCTACACATGGGTATAATTTTGCATTTATGTCTCCAGCGGCAGCCTCAGAGGTGGGCCAGTTTTCTATTGTTTTGGCAGTCATTCCTGGAGGCCCATCTTAGAACATGTTCCTTTAGCCCTTCCATTAATTTTGTAAACTCCAAAATTCCCTGCAGTAAATCTTTTCCTGCTGAAAATACTTAGAGCTCTTTCTGTTTTCTGTATTGAACCTTAATGAATGTAGATCCTTCAAATGGTTAATATCATACTTAACTCCTGAAGTTAATTCTACTTCTTAAGTTTGAAGATGAAAAATAAGGGCACCTTTCACAGAGAAGACCATGCCAGTGTGGAAATGGAGTGCCACAAACCGTGGCATTGACTTGAGTCTGGCTCAGTAATCTAATAATTTACTAGACCAGATGTTCCCTGCTATGAATGTCACTAATGTCTCACAGAAGGTTTAGGTCACTGCAGATTGTACTGGCAACCAGGGCTTTTTTTTTTTTTTTTTTTAAACAGCTCTCTTGGTGCTACAGGTAGGGCTTTTTGGCAAGCAGATGAAGGTAGCCTAAATAGGTGATTGGTATGTATGTTTGTCATTGCCCTGACCTTCCTTAGTTGTTAAGATAGATCAGTGAGTAATGTAGTCATCTTTTCTAGTGGGAAATACACTTTTGTATGGGAATGATTGAACTGATAATGCAAGGTGAAAGTGTTGTTTTGTGTCAAAATATTCATTTCTCCCATAACTGTTGAGTAAACGTAGCCATTAGTGTATGCATACAATTTCCCTTAATCCTCAGAGCATTCAAGCAGCAGGTAGACACTCCCTGCTGAGAAACATATTTGAGTGAGATGAGCATTTTTAAAAGGCGCATGAAAGTATTCACCATCTGGGGAGGCCAGAATCATTCTCCCGTGTTCAGCATGAATTCAGGTGACTTCGGGAAATGGGGAGCAGTGATGTTGCTCTCAATTTTTGCTGCCTACTGATTTCAGCTTTCCTTGTAGCAGCTGGAACTGAAGAATCTCCTGAGCAAACAGTAGCTTAAAGGCGGAACATCTTGGAAAGTGGGAGATGACTCTGAAGTCTTTCAGACAAGGGATGTTCATAGGTAGCATCAGTTCTTATACCAGAGGCATCATTCTTTCTAAGATGGCCCTGTAACCTTTTTCAGTTTTCTGTAGAAATTGCTTTTTACATGTTTGGTTGCTACATAGCAAAATGGCCTTGCCTAATACAGAGAAAACATCCCACTCACTCTATACCTTTTTATTTATTTCATTTAAGTAACACTTAAGTAAATGATGATTACTATGTACCAAATATTAACTCAATTCTTATAACATTCTTTTGAGGTGGGTACTATTATTTCTCCCATTTTTTAGATGGTAAAACCAAGGGACAGAGTGATCAAGTAACTTGTCCATGGGCACACAGCTAGTAAAGCAGGATTCAAAACCATATTGTGGCTGCAGAGTCCCTGATCTGAACCACTGTGCCATAGACTGCTCACCTTGCCTTCATCTCAGAGAGCTTGCCTTGTTGCCTTCTCTTTAAGTCCAGGGCTGCTGCATATTGTACAGATTGTTTACTAGCTGAGGAGGCCCAGTCAAGGGATGTGGGAGCTGAAGTCTAGCTTGTCTTCAGTTTACCAAACTCTGTGTTCTGGTACGCTGCTACTACCCAGAGACAGAGGAGTCTTTATCCAATTTGGACATAGGCCCTGTATGGGATAGCAGTGGCTCATACATTCTAAGGCTCCCTCCTCTACCTTCATACTGGATCCTACCCCTTCCTGTCTCTTCTAATGCCTTGGGGCTTCCTTGACTTCTCAAGTGTGGACAAAAATTTGACCTGATGAATAACATGAAACTGTACCTCTTGATATCAGTTCATTGTCTGCATAAAAGCCTTTAGGATACTTTGAAGCAGTTTTAGCGTCTCTTGCCTATACCACAGAACTAATATTTAAACTCTTTCAGTATCTTATAGCCTTTTTCTGAGAATCTTTAGAAGTGTGGTAGGTCCCTCTTAATTATAAAACTGCTCAAAAATGAAAAGCAAAGTCACCAAAAAGTTAAATTGAAGTATTCATTAAATCATGGAACCCAAATGCCTTTTATAGAATTGTTTGGGAATAGGGAAAGTATGTTTAAGTTGGATTTTAGGGTATCTGGAGAGCTTTTCCCTCTAATCTAAGGGGTTGATAACGTCAGAAGGAGCTGGGAAAGGACTGTGGTGCTGACTGTGAGGTGGTGGCTGTTGGTATGACCTGGTCATCTGCTATGTTCACAGGCTGTGTTCACAGGCTGAAACACCTTTTCTGATTGGCCTCCTAACTCTGCTTTTGCCAACCTCCAATTCATTCCTAACACACACAGCCAGGCTAATCTTCATGGAATGCAAATGTGATCCTGATACTCCTTAAAATCCTTGAATGCCTTCTAATTGCTATTAGTATAAGATTCTTAACATGGCCTGGCCCCTGTCTAGTTCTCATTTGCATATTGACCTGTTCTCCTCCTTTTCACAGTGCTTTAGACCCTCTGGTCTCCTTTTAATTAGTTCTAATGTCCTAAGCTGTCTCCCATTATAGTTTCTTCATATGTGTTTTTTTTAATTTACCTAAAATGTTTTATTTCTCCTCACCTGGTTAACTGCCACACATCCTTTGATCATTAACTTACACGTGACTTTCTTAGGAAAAAATATTAATGTACTGAAAGCATCATGTAGGTGTCCTTGATAGCATCAATTATAGATGAAAATAAAGTGTTTAACACTTCTCTTCCTGGGTAGACTGTAGCCTCTGTTAGTCAGGGGCCATGTTTGCCTTAGTTTTTTCTTCTGGTACCTAAGTATTGAATAAGTATTTGATGAATGAATCAATGGGTGAATAAACTCATTAATGAACTAAGAAGATTTAACTTCCATATGTGACTGTTTTCTTTCCCCACCTAGATTTCACATTTCATGAAGGCAGGAGCCATATCTGTACTCATTTTCATAGGCCCTGAACTGATTAGCCCAGAGCTTTGCAAATGGTGTGCCTCAGTAAAGATTTGCTGGTTAACTAATTAATCTGCCAAGCTCAGATGAATTAGTTAAGGTATGGAAAAATAAGGAAAAGGTCAGGATGAAATAAATATACTGGATCATTCTGATGAAAGAGTGCAGTCTGGTGTTTCAAAGTACAGTGAATGCTGGTCTCTGCTTATGTGCGATGATCAGTTAGTAGATTGTGCCCCATGTTGAACCCTCTATTTTCAACCTGATTGATTGTTTAACTGCTGACTTTTGTCTCCACTAACATGGAGCATAGGTAAAAGTCTTTGACCTGGGTTAGTAATAGCTGCTAATTGTATTTACTCTTTTGTTTCTGAGAGTAACTGGAATTTTTTCCCTCTATTTGTTGATATGCCAAGGACTGTGTTTAATAGGTAGCTGATTAAACAGGTTGTGAAGAAGAAAACAAGATGTCTCCGGTTTTATCTTTTAATTTATTGATTTTGGATAGGGACTACTTTTCATGGCTACAGATCATACATGTTTTCTGCACAATTATCCATATCCAATTCTTCCTGTTGGAAGAGGGTAGGACAGAGTCCTGAGCCTCTTGTTCAGAGGGCACAATCAATCCTCCTATGCCTATTGATTCTGACCTAAATTTGTATTTTCTTTTCTGTCTTTTTTTCTTCCTTTCTACATTAAAATCTGCCCATGCTTGGAAGAAAGACAGAAGAGCTGCAAAACAATTGGAATGGATTTTGCATTTTGTCTTGCTCTATCTGAATTATCATCATCGTCCTCATTTTCATCATCATCCTGTAGTCCCTCCCATCTTGTAGCATATTACAATTCCAAAGCCCTTTCACGTATGTTTACCTCACATGCTTTCCCCCTTGGCCTCAGTTGTTGCTCAATTTATAGCTCAGGAATCTTGGGCTCCCAGAGGTAAAGTGACTTAGGTAAGGTTATATGGCTAGAGAGTGAGTAAAATTGTATATATTTGCCAGGAATCTTCTGATTAAAAGGAATAAAAATCAAATTTCAGTGAGCTGCAAGCTTAATACAAAAAGAGTATATTGAAAAGAGTTTGGAGTTGTTTACAGAATGAAAGAAAGACATACAGAAGCCAGGTCAACTTTTGGAACCGGAGCCAAAAAACTTGAAGCCTACGGGAATTTCTCACACCTTCTCATGTCTGCCAATTTTGGGGTGTTGATATCATTGAGTCAAACTTCCCCAGGTAGTAGGGACATGGTTATCAGTGGGGCTGCCATGTATGGTGTGCAGTGTACAAGTGTGTTCCATCCAAGTGTCACAAATCATACCACACTCAAAGATTTGTATGTTTATTATGATACATTTCCAGCAGATGGCACTCAAGTGTTTTTTCTAACAAAAACACTTTGAGGAAGAGGCACATTTTTCTGTTTTGCACAAAGACTCCTTAAGGGGCACTGGGGATGCTGCTTTCCAACAGTTCTGAGGTTACATTCTTCCTGGTTATAACAAATGAGAAAGATAAACCTTCCCCAGAAGCTCCAGCAGAACGAACCTAGAAAATAACTCTGATGGACCTGGCTTGGGTCCTACCTTGGACCAATTTCTGTGTCTGAAGTGAGGCCCCAGACATCATAATCCACACACACTTTTAGTTTCATATATAAAATTCTGACGGCTGCCTACAAAATGCAGTAGATCCATGTGTAATGACAAGTATAATCCCCCTTCTTCAAGACAGCTGTCCCAAACTATCACCCAACTACTGCATCCATTACCAGGTGCAAGGTCTTGGGTGATATGCATGCTATGGTTTGACTGTGTACCTTTCAAAGTTCAGGTGTTGTCAATGTGATGGTATTAAAAGGCGAGGCCTTTAAGAGGTGATTAGATCAGGAGGGCTCCTCCCCTCATAAATTGGATTCAGATCCTCATAAAAGAGGTTTCACACAGCGTTCTGAGGAGCTTGCCCTCTGTCTTCTACCATGTGAAGACACAGCATTTCTTCCCTTTCGAGGATGCAGCAATGAGACACCATCTTGGAAACAGAGGCCAAACTCTCACCAGATGATAACCAGCTGCTGCCTTGACCTTGGACTTCTCAGTCTCCGGAACTGTGAGAAACAAATTTCTATTGTTTATAAATTACCTAGTCTGTGGTATTTTGTTATTGTAGCACAAATGAACTAAGACAATGCCTCTCAGTCAGGTCAGATATAGCCGCTGGAGATTCTGAAATCTATGGGTGTTGGGGCTAACTTAACTGTTTCTAACCCATCCAAGATACAACAATACAGGAAAAACAGAATAGCTACACTCCAGGGAATATGTCATAGTCCACTCAATAGGACTGTATGCCATATTCATTTTTTAACTCTCTGTCATTTTTACTCTCTTTACTTTTAGGTCTTTGGCATTCTTTTTTTTTTTATTTTTTAGAGACAAGATGTGGCTCTATCGCCTAGGTTGGGGTGCAGTGGCATGTTCTCATCACACGGCAACCTCTGCCTCCTGTGCTCATGCCATCCTCTCATCTCAGCCTCCCAAGTAGCTGGGACTGCAGGCACGCACCACCATGCCGGGGTAATTTTTGTATTTTTTGTAGAGACGGGGTTTCTCCATGTTGGTCAGGCTGGTCTTGAACCCCTGAGCTCAAGCAATTCACCCATCTTGACCTCCCAAACTGCCCGACCATTTGCCCAATGGCCATTCAGCCTTTTGGCATTCTTTTCCTTGATTGTTTCCCTCCATGGCCACAATAGGTAGAGGGGCTGCCTATGGAGGGTAATATTCTTTGAGAAGCCCCTTTGCTATCTTTGTAGTTACAGCGACCCAGGGGTTTACCTTAGAGATTGAATGCTTAAAGGCTTCTAATTTAGGAATTTCTCCAGCAAAATATCTCTTTTAAAGAGCTAGTTTGATTTCAATGTTTAATTCATTATGATGGGCTCTATTGATTTATAGCCAACCAGAAATCTTATTGAGTCATAATATTTGACTCTGGACCTTGCCTTTGAAGGTTTTGTTTTTTAGAAACAAACCTATAGGACTTTGCCTGTCCTTCCATGGCCTCTCTAATAACTTCTTCCTTGGCCCCTGCCTCAGGGCAACTGAAGCAATAGGCTGAAATAAATCAGAGCTCATCTGCAATCAGGCTTCTGTCTACATCCCAATCATTTGTGCCTTATGATGAAAAAACTTACTATTCTTCCTTAGGAAGAGGTGCACAGCAGGAATTGTTTGGGAGAAGCCTGGGTGACCTGCCTTTCCCATTTCTGAGTTATTCCTTACTATCCCCTCTCCTTATCAGTGCAGTGACTTTACTGTGGGGCAAAGGGTTCATCTTTGATGGTTTTGCAGGCAGCATGGCTGTCTGACCCTCAGCGGCTTTGGATCACTAGCCAAAGGCAGAAAGTGCCTCTGTTTTAACAACACCACATATCTATTTATTTTCTCCTATCTGCTTTAAGAAATGCCAATTTGGATTGAGACTTATTTTCATCTTGAAGGATCTTACTGAAGGCCATAAGAACTATCCAGCATGTCCTTATTTTTAAAATATTTTTATACCAAACCACCAAAATGTTATCATGGTCTGTCTGCAAAGATATAACAGGTAATGGTTAACACCTGCTTTGTTTTCCTTTAAGGAGGACTCTGCCTTCCCAGCTGGGAATGGAGGGATCTTGCATTCACCTCTACCTTATATCAACTAAGCCTATCCTAATTCTAAGAGTCTGCCATTTGCATTGCCCTACTTCTGGGTATTAATTTCTCTATTAGCCAGTCATTCTTGTGTTGCTAGTGACAGTGACTCAATTGTAACTAGCATAAGAGTAATTATTGGAAAGACCCTGGGTAACTTACACAAGACTTACAGGGAGAGGTGGCTCTGGAAAGGTCTATGACTGGAACTTGGGATTTGGGAATTGACTATTTCCTATTCCAGATCCTCTCTGGATGCTGGCTTCATTTGCTCTGACTCCTCCACATGGCTGCAGAAAGCTCTGGGTTACATCCTTATACCTCACAACCAAAGAAAAAAGAGGGATTCTTCTCTTCCTGCTCCATGAGGAAAATGCTGGAGAAGGGCTCTGATAAGCCTGGCTTGGATCAGTCATTGGACCTGAGGGGTGGGGTCCTGTAATTGGTTCAGCCTGGGCCTCCTGCCTTCCCTTTAAGCCCCAGCTGGGGAGAGCTTGTGGACAGGCAGAAGGAAGCTACCACCCTAGGTACCTACTCACTAGGCTCTCAGCACAGAGCTCTGCCACCCCACCTTGCTGCCTTTGATATCGCTTAACCGACTTGCCGGCTTATTTTTCAGGTACTGAGAATTCTAATATCCTCTGTGTACTGTGATGATAGTTGCTGAATTCCTGGCTAGCATCATGTTTGTTCTTATGGGTGGTCAAAAATAAATACTCTGGTAGTTTTGAAACCATACCAGAGGAACCAAGGATGTCCTTTTAATAGCAAAAATAAAAACCGTTATCCGTTATCCTCAAAGACAACCAACTTTTCTTTAAAATTACTGCCCCCCCCCCCTTTTTTTTTTCTGATGCCATCCTTCTGGCTTTGGGAGAACAGTCACGTTCTGCCCAGATTATGCTTTTGATGAATGTGGTCTCTGGATATTCAGCTGGGACGGTGATCTACAGAGACAGCAATTGAAATGGCCAATCACAGGAGCCGCCAAATCACGCCTGAGTGCAGGTGTGTGATTAACAGCAGGTGCTGGAGATGTCAGAGCTGGCAAATTGGAGTCTTCCTTTCTCCTCACCTTAGTGATGCTTTAGATTTCCTTGGAACTGAAATTTCTGCAGGAAGACAAACTTTGTCACAAACAGCTGCTCACTGGATACTTAAAATAGGCTGCTTTGCGGTGGGAGTCACTTTTTAAAGGCATATCACCTTTCTAGCTTGACTGTGAATCCCTTGGGTCCTTGGGACCAAGGACCTGAGTTTATATTTCTTTATATACCCACTCTTCCTAGAGGAGTTTTGTGTATGCAGAAGGTGTTTAGCCAGGGTTGGAGGGTTATTATGAAGGCAAGTCAAGAGGTGGAATGTTGGCACCATTGGCTTTAGAAAGTGGATAGAAAAGTCTCCCTAGTCTCAGGTGAATGGAAAATTATGACTATGGAATAAGCATTGATCTAGGAGCCAGTAGGTATCTGGGTTCTGGTTCTATTTTGAATTCTGACTAAGTTTTTGAACAAGAATAGTTGTTAAACATTTGAATGAGTGACTATTATGTGCTAGGAGCTGGGAGTAACAGTGCACCTGACAGACATTTCCATGAAGCTTTTATTTTAGTGGGAGAACACAGAATGCAAACAAGATGCTAAGCAAGATAATTATAGATAATCAGATATCCCATGAAGGAAGAGGGACATGACAGAGAGTAACTGAGGACACCTTTTAGGATAGGGAAGAAAGGGGTAAGATTGAATGAGAGTTAGGAATGTAGCCTCAGGATAAAACAGAGCTGAGTTTGAACCTCAACCTCTTCCACTTAGCAGCTGTGTGTCCTAAGCAACATTATGTAATTCCTCTGAGTCTCAATCTTATCTAAAAAATGGGGCTATGCACTTACTTATAAAGTTGATATAAAGGTTAAACTTTAAAATACATAGAAAATTAATAGTAAGGACTTACTATGATGTATTTTGGCCAGTTTCCTCTGGGTTGTGACAAAATGGTTTTGAATGCCTTTTCTAGTTCTAAATTTCTGATTTTTGCGGCCCAATTTTCTTTTTCTTTAAAAATAAATAAGAAAAGGAAAAAAAAAAAACAACCCTTCTGATTACTTTCCAAGTTCCAAAGGCTTTCAGTGAAACAGAAGATGCGTAATTGTCATTTCTACTTAACTATGCAATCTTCTGAGCTGAGTGTCTTTAAATAGGAAGAAGCAGCCATAAATCTTGCAAAGTTCAAAATCCATTACCTAGGGATATGGTTAATGTCTCCCAACTTGAAGTGTAATTATCTTTTTAAGAACAGAGCTGGCTAAAGAAAGCTTTGGTAGGTTTTTTTAAGAAAATTCCAAAGCAGCCATTAAATCAACAGTTATTCTAATTTAATTCATTGCATGTGGTCCCAGGTGTGGGTGTGACAAACCAAAGGATTTGTGGGATGAACAATCAGATTTTCCATCTCTCTACATTAACATGTGAGCAGAAGAGAATGAATGCCTTCTTACAACCAATAATTAAAGGACCCTGAGGCACACATCACCCTCATCAGTGGCAGGGCTAAAATTCCTAGTCCCAGTGGGCTGCAAGGCAGGCCATTGAAACTCTAGACAAAGAGGCAGACACCATGTGTTCTATTCCTGAACTTGCTACTTTCCTACTGTGTGAAACTGCATCCCATATCTCTAGCCTCTTGTAAATATTTTAGGCATCCTATATCTACAGATGTTATTTATGAAAAAATTCCACATAAGCTGAAATCTCTACCTTATAAAGCCTCTTCTTTCATTTCAAAGCATTATGCCAGAAGACCTTTGCTTACATGTTTATAGAAGGGAGAACTTGCAAAAGAACTAATCTCACCTATCAGTATACTTCAGCTGGAAGTTAAGGGTGCCAAACACTCTTTGCTACTCCTGTATTTGAATGGTTGCCAGCTAAGAACAGACAATCTGAGACATACGGGTTTGAAATGAAGCTTTATTAGCTGTCCAATAACTGCCCTTCCTCCATATAGTCTTGATGCAGTTGACTTAACTCTGTTGAAGGATATAACTTAGACCAGAAGCCCAAATGGAGCTTCCTACTCCTCCTACCCTCAACAAATTCAGGGCAGCTGGATGCAGATTGTGGCTGGTGTGATTTATCCACTTACCCAGTTACTGGCATGGAAGCTGGGGAATGTCAGATCTCACTGGCAAGGACAGTTCCTGGTGGGCCAACTGCATAGTGACAAAAAGGAAAGGAGAAGGAAGTGTTCCTGGACCAAACCAAGGGTAGGGCTGCTCATTCTCTTGGCCCAATAACGAGATGCAGATGAACTGGGGAAGAAGACAGTTTTTATTTCTGTAACTGGTTACAGGGAGAAGGCCTGGAAATTATTGCCAGACCAACTCAAAATTACAAAGTTTTCCAGAGCTTATATACCTTCTAAGCTATATGTCTACGTGTAAGTGTGCATTCATCTAAAGACATAAGTTATTAACTTCTTCTGATCTATAACTAAGGTCTGAGTCCTGAAGACCTTCCTCTGAAGCCTCAGTAAATTTACTCAATCTAAATGGGTCCAGGTGCCATGGGTGATTACCCTTATCTTGTCTCCTATTAAATCATGGAGGTTTGGGGAGTTCCTTCAGATCCCCAGTAAACTTGTTTGTGGGGGCCTGGAGTTTCTTCAGACCCTGAATAAAACTTGTTTAATCCTAAATGGGTCCTGTTAAGAATTCCTTCGTTATCTTATCATGCTTCAAGGCCCAGGCAAAATTTTTGGTGGGCTTTTGTTACACTCCAGCCTTTATATGAGGGTGCTGGCTCTACCAGCTTTTAATATTTTACCTAACCACTCAGTCAGCGCTGAAACAGTTGTCATGGAGGCCTGCTTGGTCAGTTGTTAGTGAGACCTGGCCTGCCACAGAAGTGCTGTCATGAGAGAGATAGGGAGATAGGGTGGGGGTGGGGTGAGGAGAAAGAGAGAGAATTTCCTGCTCCTGCTTCAGAGCCACCTACCAGTCTAAGGAGTTTCTGATGGAAGAGAGATCCCATGTCTCTGCCTATAGGAAGAGTTAGCTCTTTAAAAACTGTCCATTTTCCTTCTCCCTCTCAGTTGACTTTTCTTTCTAGGTGTTTATACCTTCATTTAGTCCAAGTTCCTAGGTGCCCCACACTCTGGTTTCTCCCTGGATTTGTCCTCTTGGGTTGTCTCACTCTGCATGTACTTTCTCACTCCCCACTAATGCACCTGCCCCATGATCTACTTCCTCAGCCTTCTATTTAATCTCAAAACTAGTTTCTTCTCTAATGTTATCCCATGACCAAACATGAACATTTGTCTTTTCATGGTAATCTTTGAAGCGTTAACACAGAGTTGTGATTTATATGAGAATTTCAGGTTTTGAGGTAGGCAAGTGGGGAAATGTTTTATTCATAGAAAATTTCTCTGCCCCTCTACTGGGCGTGGTGGCTCATGTCGGTAATCCCAGCACTTTGGGAGGCTGATGTGGGAGGATAGGTTGAGCACCAGGAGCTCAAGACAAGCCATGCTGGGCAACATGGCTAAGCCACATCTCTACAAAAAAATACAAAAATTAGCTGGCATGATGGTATGTGCCTATACTAGTTACTTGGGAGGCTGAGGCAGGAGGATCACCTGAAACCAGGATGGTTAAGGCTGCAGTGAGCTGTGATGGTGCCACTGCACTCCATCCTGGGTGACAGAGTGAGACTCTGTCTAAAAATAAATAAATATGACAATTTCTCTGTCCCTCAAATCGTGGAGAAAAGGCAACAGCCTGGTCTGCTTATACACAAAATTGGCCTGGCCATGCTTGTCTCCCATGGCTAGATTTTATCATTTCCTGGACCTCTGATAAGGTGAATCAAATTGGCTTCAAAGTCCTTCAAGGAAGAAGAGGAAAACTCTTCTCAATCTGACAGTGTCCAATTTAGTATGAGAAGGAGTGAAGGATATTTGGTGTAAAGAAGAGAAACTATCGGGAGGCATGCTATTTGTTTTCATATCTGAAAAGGTGCTATTTGGAGAGGGTTTATTCTTTTATATCCAAAGAGTATGAGTTAAAGAGGGGCAGATTTGGGAGCTTTACGTAGGCTGGCTTGCGGACATGGAAAGCTCTTCATCCGGGGAATAGGTTGCCTTAGCTTCTGACCTTGAAGATGCTGAAGCAGAGGCTAAGTGACTACCTGCCACAATGCTGCAGGATGCCTCCTGTGTGTTGAATAAGGTTTGACTGATGACTTCTAAGCCTTCCTTCCCATGCTGAGATTTAATGGCCCTCTGTGTCCTCTCTTCTCTGCTAGTTGTCTCTACTGCTCAAGGTCTGGAGGAGCATTTGAAGAAAATGACTAAAGCTTCAGACTTCCACAGTTGCCAGATTTCTTAGCTTAGTTAAAGGCAAAACATCTCCAGGAGGCCTTGGCTGTGAGATGGTATAAAAAGCTTTAAAAAAAAAAAACAACCTGGTGAACCAAGGGATATTGCCCTAATTTTGGAATTATGCCTTAAGATTTGCAGAATTTTCAGAAAATTTGTCAGCCGGCATCATAGTCTGACTGTTTCTATTAACTATAGTCTTCTAGTTCTTAATACCTGTGGTTCAATTTTTATGCAAACTTTTAACAACTGCTGTATATATAGGGAGATACACATGTGTAAAGTGTACAGCTTGATGAAGTCCAACAAATTGAACACAGTTGTGTAATCTCCATGAAGATAAAAATATGAGATTATACCTCAAAAGCCCCTCCTTCTGACGTGTATTTTTTCCCAGTCTTTTTATCCCACCATGTTCTCCCCAAAGGTGACAACATTCTGATTTCTAGCATTAAAGGTAAATTTTGCCTGTTTTTGAACTTTATATATCCACGCCAGCAGCATATGTGCCTTCCAGTTGCTCTACATTATTATTTATTAATTTTTTTAGAGGTGAGTGTCTTGCTATGTTTCCCAGGCTGGTCTCGAACTCCTCGCCTCAAGCAATCCTCCTGCCTCAGCCTCCCAGAGTGCTGGGATTACAGGTGTGAACCACTGTGCCCAGCCAGCTTGGCATTCCTTACAGCACTTGATATTACTAGGTCTTTTTTGCTTAAGCCATTTTGGTGTTGTGTAGCAATCATAGCAGTTTTTAAATTTGCATTTCCCTGATGACTAATGAAGCTGAATGCCTTCATCAGTGTTTGTTGGTTATTCAGATATCTTCATTTAAAAAGTGCCTGTTCATGGCTTTTGCTCAACTATCTACTGGATTGTCTAACATGTAAATAAACATTCTTAATGTATGTTGAATATGAGTTCTTCGTTGGCTAGATATTTCGTAAATATTTTTCTATTTTTCATTTCACTTTTTTGATGGTATATTTTAACAAAACCTTTTTTTTTGTATTTAAGTTATTTTTCTTTTTTTTTTAATTATACTTTAAGTTTTAGGGTACATGTGCACAACGTGCAGGTTAGTTACATATGTATACATGTGCCATGTTGGTGTGCTGCACCCATTAACTCGTCATTTAACATTAGGTCTATCTCCTAATGCTATCCCTCCCCACTCCCCCCACCCAACAACAGGCCCCGGTATGTGATGTTCCCCTTCCTGTGTCCATGTGTTCTCATTGTTCAATTCCCACCTATGAGTTAGAACATGCGGTGTTTGGTTTTTTGTCCTTGCAATAGTTTGCTGAAAATGATGGTTTCCAGCTTCATCCATGTCCCTACAAAGGACATGAACTCATCATTTTTTTTATGGCTGCATAGTATTCCATGGCGTATATGTGCCACATTTTCTTAATCCAGTCTATCATTGTTGGACATTTGGGTTGGTTCCAAGTCTTTGCTATTGTGAATAGTGCCACAATAAACATATGTGTGCATGTGTCTTTATAGCAGAATGATTTATAATTCTTTGGATATATACCCAGTAATGGGATTGCTGGGTCAAATGGTATTTCTGGTTCTAGATCCCTGAGGAATCGCCACACTGACTTCCATAATGGTTGAACTGGTTTACAGTCCCACCAACAGTGTAAAAGTGTTCCTATTTCTCCACATCCTCTCCAGCACCTGTGGTTTCCTGACTTTTTAATGATTGCCATTCTAACTGGTGGGAGATGGTATCTCATTGTGGTTTTGATTTGCATTTCTCTGATGGCCAGTGATGATGAGCATTTTTTCATGTGTCTTTTGGCTGCATAAATGTCTTCTTTTGAGAAGTGTCTGTTCATATCCTTTGCCCACTTGTTGATGGGGTTGTTTGTTTTTTTCTTGTAAATTTGTTTGAGTTCATTGTAGATTCGGGATAGTAGCCCTTTGTCAGATGAGTAGATTGCAAAATTTTCCTCCCATTCTGTAGGTCGCCTCTTCCCTCTGACGGTAGTTTCTTTTGCTGTGCAGAAGCTCTTTAGTTTAATTAGATCCCATTTGTCAATTTTGGCTTTTGTTGCCATTGCTTTTGGTGTTTTAGACATGAAGTCCTTGCCCATGCCTATGTCCTGAATGGTATTGCCTAGGTTTTCTTCTAGGATTTTTATGGTTTTAGGTCTAACATTTAAGTCTTTAATCCATCTTGAATTAATTTTTGTATAAGGTGTAAGGAAGGGATCCAGTTTCAGCTTTCTACATATGGCTAGCCAGTTTTCCCAGCACCATTTATTAAATAGGGAATCCTTTCCCCATTGCTTGTTTTTCTCAGGTTTGTCAAAGATCAGATGGTTGTAGATATGCGGCATTATTTCTGAGGGCTCTGTTCTGTTCCATTGGTCTATATCTCTGTTTTGGTACCAGTACCATGCTGTTCTGGTTACTGTAGCCTTGTAGTATAGTTTGAAGTCAGGTAGCATGATGCCTCCAGCTTTGTTCTTTTGGCTTAGGATTGACTTGGCAATGTGGGCTCTTTTTTGGTTCCATATGACCTTTAAAGTAGTTTTTTCCAATTCTGTGAAGAAAGTCATTGGTAGCTTGATGGGGATGGCATTGAATCTATAAATTACCTTGGGTAATATGGCCATTTTCACGATATTGATTCTTCCTACCCATGAGCATGGAATGTTCTTCCATTTGTTTGTATCCTCTTTTATTTCATTGAGCAGTGGTTTGTACTTCTCCTTGAAGCAGTCCTTCACATCCCTTGTAAGTTGGATTCCTAGGTATTTTATTCTCTTTGAAGCAATTGTGAATGGGAGTTCACTCATGATTTGGCTCTCTGTTTGTCTGCTATTGGTGTGAAAGAATGCTTGTGATTTTTGCACATTGATTTTGTATCCTGAGACTTTGCTGAAGTTGCCTATCAGCTTAAGGAGATTTTGGGCTGAGACGATGGGATTTTCTAGATGTGCAATCATGTCATCTGCAAACAGGGACAATTTGACTTCATCTTTTCCTAATTGAATACCCTTTATTTCCTTCTCCTGCCTGATTGCCCTGGCCAGAACCTCCAACACTATATTGAATAGGAGTGATGAGAGAGGGCATCCCTGTCTTGTGCCAGTTTTCAAAGGGAATGCTTCCAGTTTTTGTCCATTCAGTATGATATTGGCTGTGGGTTTGTCATAGATAGCTCTTATTATTTTGAGATACATCCCATCAATACAATACCTAATTTATTGAGAGTTTTTAGCATGAAGGTTGTTGAATTTTGTCAAAGGCCTTTTCTGCATCTATTGAGATAATCATGTGGTTTTTGTCGTTGGTTCTGTTTATATGCTGGATTACATTTATTGATTTTCATGTGTTGAACCAGCCTTGCATCCCAGGGATGAAGCCCGCTTGATTGTGGTGGATAAGCTTCTTGATGTGCTGCTGGATTCAGTTTGCCAGTATTTTATTGAGGATTTTTCCATCGATGTTCATCAGGGATATTGGTCTAAAATTCTCTTTTTTTGTTATGTGACTGCCAGACTTTGGTATCAGGATGATGCTGGCCTCATAAAATGAGTTAGGGAGGATTCCCTCTTTTTCTATTGATTGGAATAGTTTCAGAAGGAATGGTACCAGCTCCTCCTTGTCCCTGTGGTAGAATTCGGATGTGAATCCATCTGGTCCTGGTCTTTTTTTGGTTGGTAGGCTGTTAATTATTGCCTCAATTTCAGAGCCTGTTATTGGTCTATTCAGAGATTCAACTTCTTCCTGGTTTAGTCTTGGGAGGGTGTATGTGTTGAGGAATTTATCCATTTCTTCCAGATTTTCTAGTTTATTTGCAGGGAGGTGTTTATAGTATTCTCTGATGCTAGTTTGTATTTCTGTGGGATCGGTGGTGATATCCCCTTTATCATTTTTTATAGCGTCTATCTATTTGATTCTTTTCTCTTCTTTATTAGTCTTGCTAGCGGTCTATCAATTTTGTTGATCTTTTCAAAAAACCAGCTCCTGGATTCATTGATTTTTTTTGAAGGGTTTTTTGTGTCTCTATTTCCTTCAGTTCTGCTCTGATCTTAGTTATTTCTTGCCTTCTGCTAGCTTTTGAATGTGTTTGCTCTTGCTTCTCTAGTTCTTTTAATTGTGATGTTAGGGTATCAGTTTTAGATCTTTCCTTCTTTCTCTTGTGGGCATTTAGTGCTATAAATTTCCCTCTACACACTGCTTTAAATGTGTCCCAGAGATTCTGGTATGTTGTGTCTTTGTTCTCGTTGGTTTCAAAGAACATCTTTATTTCTGCCTTCATTTCGTTATGTACCCAGTAGTCATTCCGGAGCCGGTTGTTCAGTTTCCATGTAGTTGAGCAGTTTTGAGTGAGTTTCTTAATCCTGAGTTCTAGTTTGATTGCACCGTGGTCTGAGAGACAGTTTGTTGTAATTTCTGTTCTTTTACATTTGCTGAGGAGTGGTTTACTTCCAACTATGTGGTCAATTTTGGAATAGGTGTGGTGTGGTGCTGAAAAGAATATATAATCTGTTGATTTGGGGTGGAGAGTTCTGTAGATGTCTATTAGGTCCACTTGGTGCAGAGCTGAGTTCAGTTCCTGGATATCCTTGTTAACTTTCTGTCTTGTTGATCTAATGTTGACAGTGGGGTGTTAAAGTCTCCCATTATTATTGTGTGGGAGTCTAAGTCTCTTTATAGGTCACTAAGGACTTGCTTTATGAATCTGGATGCTCCTGTATTGGGTGCATATATATTTAGGATAATTAGCCCTTCTTGTTGAATTGATCCCTTTACCATTATGTGATGGCCTTTTTTGTCTGTTTTGATCTTTGTTGGTTTAAAGACTGTTTTATCAGAGACTAGGATAGCAACCCCTGCCTTTTTTTGTGTTCCATTTGTTTGGTAGATCTTCCTCCATCCCTTTATTTTGACCCTATGTGTGTCTCTGCACGTGAAATGGGTCTCCTGAATACAGCACACTGATGGGTCTTGACTCTTTATCCAATTTGCCAGTCTGTATCTTTTAATTGGAGCATTTAGCCCATTTACATTTAAGGTTGATATTGTTATATGTGAATTTGATCCTGTCATTATGATGTTAGCTGGTTATTTTGCTTGTTAGTTGATGCAGTTTCTTCCTAGCCTTGATGGTCTTTACAATTTGGCATGTTTTTTCAGTGGCTGGTACCGGTTGTTCCTTTCCATGTTTAGTGCTTCCTTCAGGAGCTCTTTTAGGGCAGGCCTGGTGGTGACAAAATCTCTCAGCATTTGCTTGTCTGTAAAGGATTTTATTTCTCCTTCACTTATGAAGCTTAGTTTGGCTGGAAATGAAATTCTGGGTTGAAAATTCTTTTCTTTAAGAATGTTGAATTTTGGCCCCCACTCTCTTCTGGCTTGTAGAGTTTCTGCCAAGAGATCAACTGTTAGTCTGATGGGCTTCCCTTTGTGGGTGAGCCGACCTTTCTCTCTGGCTGCCCTTAACATTTTTTCCTTCATTTCAACTTTGGTGAATCTGACAATTATGTGTTTTGGAGTTGCTCTTCTCGAGGAATATCTTTGTGGCATTCTCTGTATTTCCTGAATTTGAATGTTGGCCTGCCTTGCTAGACTGGGGAAGTTCTCCTGGATAATATCCTGCAGAGTGTTTTCCAACTTGGTTCCATTCTCCCCGTCACTTTCAGGTACACCAATCGGATGTAGATTTGGTCTTTTCACATAGTCCCATATTTCTTGGAGGCTTTGTTCATTTCTTTTTATTCTTTTTTCTCTAATCTTCTCTTCTCGTTTCATTTCATTCATTTGATCTTCCATCACTGATACCCTTTCTTCCAGTTCATCGAATCGGCTACTGAGGCTTGTGCATTCGTCATGTAGTTCTCGTGCCTTGGTTTTCAGCTCCATCAGGTCCTTTAAGGACTTCTCTGCATTGGTTATTCTAGTTAGCCATTCGTCTAATTTTCTTTCAAGGTTTTTAACTCCTTTGCCATGGGTTTGAACTTCCTCCTTTATCTCGGAGTAGTTTGTTCATCTGAAGCCTTCTTCTCTCAACTAATCAAAGTCATTCTCCATCCAGCTTTGTTCTGTTGCTGGTGAGAAGCTGCATTCCTTTGGAGGAGGAGAGGCGCTCTGATTTTTAGAGTTTCCAGTTTTCCTGCTCTGTTTTTTCCTCATCTTTGTGGTTTTATCTACCTTTGGTCTTTGATGATGGTGACGTACCGATGGGGTTTTGGTGTGGATGTCCTTTCTGTTTGTTAGTTTTCCTTCTAACAGACAGGACCCTCAGCTGCAGGTCTGTTGGAGTTTGCTGGAGGTCCACTCTAGACCATGTTTGCCTGGGTATCAGCAGCGGAGGCTGCAGAACAGCAGATATTGGTGAACAGCAAATGTTGCTGCCTGATCATTCCTCTGGAAGTTTTGTCTCAGAGCAGTACCCGGCCGTGTGAGGTGTCAGTCTGCCCCTAATAGGGGGTGCCTCCCAGTTTGGATGCTCAGGGCTCAGGGACCCACTTGAGGAGGCCGTCTGTCTGTTCTCAGATCTCCAGCTGCGTGCTGGGAGAACCACTACTTTCTTCAAAGCTGTCAGACAGGGACATTTAAGTCTGCAGAGGATTCTGCTGCCTTTGGTTTGGCTATGCCCTGCCCCCAGAGGTGGAGTCTACAGAGGCAGGCAGGCCTCCTTGAGTTGCGGTGGGCTCCACCTAGTTTGAGCTTCCTGGCTGCTTTGTTTACATACTCAAGACTTGGCAATGGCGGGGGCCCCTCCCCCAGCCTCGCTGCCGCCTTGCAGTTTGATCTCAGACTGCTGTGCTAGCAATGAGCGTAGCTCCGTGGGCGTAGGACCCTCCAAGCCAGGCGCGGGATATAATCTCCTGGTGTGCCATTTGCTAAGACTGTTGGAGAAGCGCAGTATTAGGGTGGGAGTGACCCGATTTTCCAGGTGCTGTCTGTCACCCCTTTCTTTGACTAGGAAAGGGAATTCCCTGACCCCTTGCGCTTCCCGGATGAGGCGATGCCTCGCCCTGCTTTGGCTCACGCTCGGTGCGCTGCACCCACTGTCCTGCACCCACTTTCCAACACTACCCAGTGAGATGAACCCGGTGCCTCAGTTGGAAATGCAGAAATCACCCATCTTCTGCGTCTCTCACACTGGGAGCTGTAGACTGGAGGTGTTCCTATTCCTAGTTATTTTCCTTAACGTAGTCTAATTATGAGTCATTTTCTTTAAATGCTTTTTGTATACTATTTCTGAGATCTATTCCCTAACCTCCAGGTTATGAAGTTATTTCATCTAGAATCTCTGTTGTTTTAACTTTTATATTTAGATCTAAAATTAACCTGACATTAATTTTTTGTCTATGGCATGAGGTAGGGGTGAGGGTTTCTTCCCCCTCTCATAAGAATATCCAATTTACTCAGCACCATTACTGAAAATAAACTCCTCTACCCACTGCTGTGCAGTGCCACCCTTGACATAAATTAATTCTCCATAAAACCGTGGGCCGGTTTCTCGACTTTCTCTTCTGCTCCAGTGGTCTATTTGTCTATTCTGTTTTAATTACTAAAGATTTAAAAATCTTGATATCTGGGTAGTGTAAATCCTCCCATTTTGATCTTCCTCTTCAAATTTGTCTTGGCTATCGTTGCTCTTTTGCATTTCCACATACAATTTTGAGTCACAGAAAAAGAAAGAAAGAAAAAAATTTTTGAATCAGTTCTCAATTTAAAAATAAAATAAAAAACACCCTGCTGGGATCTGGAGACAACTGACTTCTTATACCAGTATCTCTTTCAATCAGTGTTTTATAGGCTTCTATGTAGAAGTCTTGTACATCTTTTGTTAGATTTATTCCTACGTGTTTAAGTTTTTAAGATGCAGGTATAATGGCGTTTAAAACATTGTTTTCTATTTATTTGCTAGTACATAGAATAATTACCTTTTTTTTGGCCTTTTATCTAGGAAACTTGCCAAATTCACTAATGAATTTCAATGCATTATCTGTAAATTTTTTTTTATTTTCTACTCACACATTAGTGTATCTGCAATCAGTGACAGCAGTTTTCTTCTTGTCTTTCAATCCTTCTGCCTTTTTTTTCTTTATTGCACTGAATAGAATCCCTAGTACAGTGTTTTGTCTACTTGGTTTTCAAAAGCAACTTCCAACTTGCCAAACCTTCTTCGCCTGAATTGGATAGCTGCATATTTGTGTGAATCCTTTTTGTGCTCTTCTAATATATGAGGTAGAATAGGTCATTTTATGTATCATCATTTCATTGGTAGAGAAGCACAGACCCAGTGAAATGGAGAGAGCCCTCTGGGGTCAAAGAATAGGTGGGTGCAGAGCTGACCATGCACAGCAACAGTCCTAATTCTCTAAGTGGTGCTACACTAAGGCTGAGACACTGTCCCTGGTAAGCCTGATAGTTTTTCTTGCTTTTTAGTTATTAAATAACAATCTTAACTATAAATCCTAGGATAGGCCATCTGCAAGCCGGAGAACCAGGGAAGCTGGTAGCATGGCTCAGTCCAAGTCTAAAGGCCTCAGAACCAGGGAAGCCAAAGCTGAAGAACCAAGAGCTGGGGATGGAGTGTGGGGGGACTGTAATAATCTTATAGCAACATTAAGTGTATATTTGAAAAGAAAAAGAAAGACACATATAATTTTGTCATCAAGGAGTTGTCTCTCTTTTCATTTTAGTATGTTTCCGTCTGTCTTTACTATATGATATGCTTGTTAAATTGATATGCTTTAGAAGTAATAACCCTTTTAGACAAGCTGAGAGCAACAGAAATGTAACAGATGTGGGATTTATTAGAAAAATCTTAAATTCTGTTTTTCTTTGGAAAATCATAGTGGTGGTAGCTATTGGACTATTCAGAGACTTCTTTCTATTTTGATGCAGTGGTTGTGGTGTAAATTATTTTATCTTGATTTTACTCTGGGGCTTTTAGAATTAGATTTTGCTGGAGTTGGCTTTGATTTAACACTTGTATGCATTACAGGTATTAGAAAAAAATCCCATTCTTTCAAAAGTCTTTGGAGTACCAGCAAACTAATTAAAGCTACCCAGCTAAGTAAATCCATTTTCGATTATCAGTAACACGGTGAGTTTTTTTTTTTAAACATAAAGTTTGCTAGTTACCTGAGTTAAAAAAAAAAAAAAAAAACCCAATCTACCATACAAACTGTTTGGTGTTCACTCAAAGTATGTCCTTAGATTTAGAAATGTTTCAGTATTTTTTTAATTGCAAAAACCATGAATTAGCTCAGATGGCTAGAATAAGTGACTAAAGGGTGACATAAATTTGAATGGTAGGTAGACAACTAATTGGTTTTCTGTGTTTCACGACCTCACAGTCACATGAATGGATCTGTCGGTAGTTACTGAATGCCTAGCATTGTCGCATAGAAATGTTTAATGTGATTTTATGTTCCTTAGTGATTAATCAAGCAAAAGTGTGGATGGGTCATTGCATCTTCAAGTTTAGGGAAAACATTTTAATGCTTGCCACACTGGATGGTTCAGTAGTGACACTCATATGTAAAGGGCCAGGAAATAATTGTTCCAGTTTGTGCTTTGTCACCAATTAAAAAGTAGGGCAAAAGCTTTCTGATCCTAGGTTTACTAATCTATAAAATGTGGTTAATAATACCCACCCTGCTTATCTTTCAGGTTTGAGGTGAAGGCCAAAATAGAAATTGTAAGTAAACATGCTTTTGATCACAATTCTAATGGTAGACATAGTTTTGGTCTTCTTTTATGTTTTTATATATATTTGGTGACCTAGGTGTTCAATTGAATACTTGAAGGTGGCATTCACCTATACTGATAAATTAGTGAATAGGTCAGAAACTAAGTACAGGTATATCTTGGCAATATCATGGGTTCAGTTCTAGACCACTAAAATAAAGCAAATATTGCAATAAAGTGAGTCACACACATTGTTTTTATATTCCCAGGGCATATAAAAGTTACATTTGTTCTATACTGTAATCCACTAAGTGTGCAATATCATTATTTATAAAAATGCAAATACCTTAATTAGTAATACTTTACTGCTAAAAAATGCTAATGATCACTTGAGCCTTCAGCGAGTCATAATCTTCTTATTGGTGAAAGGTGTTGCCTCCACGTTAATGGCTGCTGACTGATCAGGGTGATGTTGCTGAAGATTGGCGTGGCTGTGGCGATTTCTTAAAATAAGACAACAGTAAAATTTACCACATTGATTGACTCTTTTCATGAAAGATTTCTCTGTAACATGTGATCCTGTTGGATAACGTTTTATTGGAGTAAATTCTCTCAAACTCTGCTGCTTGTTTATCAATTAAATTTATGTAATATTCTAAATGCCTTTTTTACTATTCTAAATCCTTTGTTTTCATTTCAACAATGTTCAAAGCATCTTTATCAGGAGTAATTTCCATCTTAAGAAACCACTTTCTTTGCTCATCCATAAGAAGCAAGTCCTCATCCATTCAAGTTTTATCATGAGATTGCAACAATTTAGTCACATTTTCAGGCTGTACTTCTAATTCTAGTTCTCCTACTATTTCTGCTACATCTGTGGTTATCTTCTCTACTGAAGTCTTAGACCACTCAGTCGTCCATGAGAATTGGAATCAACTTCTAAACTCTTATTAGTATTGATATTTTGACTTCCTCCCATGAATTATAAATGTTCTTAATGGTATCTAGAAGGTGAATCTTTTCATGAAGATTTTCAATTAACTTTGCCCAGATTTATTAGAGGAATCAGTATCCAAGGCAGCTATAGCATTACAAAATGTATTTCCAGGATGGGTGCAGTGGCTCATGCCTGTAATCCCAGCCCTTTGGGAGGCTAGGAAGGGTGAATCACTTGAGGTCAGGAGTTCATGACCAGCCTGGCCAACATGGTGAAACCTCATGTCTACTAAAAATACAAAAATTAGCTGGGTGTGGTGGTGGGCACCTGTAATCCCAGCTACTTGGGAGGCTGAGGCAGGAGAATTCTTGAACCCAGGAGGCGGAGGTTGCAGTGAGCTGAGATTGTGGCACTGTTATCCAGACTGGGAGACAGAGGGAGACTCTGCCTCGAAAAAAAACCCAAACAAAACAAAACAAAACAAAAGACCCAAAAACCAAAATGGCTTTCCTAAATACTAAGACTTGAAAGTTAGAATTACTCTTTGATCCATGGCAGAATTAATGTTGTGTTAGGCATGAAAACATTAATGTCCTTGCATATCTCCATCAGAGCTCTTGGGTGACCAGATGCATTGTCAATGAATAGTAATATTTTGAAGGGATTTTCTTTTTCCTGAGCAGTAGGTCTCAACAGTGGGCTTAAGATATTCAGTACACCACGCTGTGAATACATGTCCTATTATTATCTAGGCTTTGTTGTCCCACTTATAGAGCTTAGGCAGGAAAGAGTTAACATAATTTTTAAGGACCCTGGAAATTTCAGAATGGTCAATGAGCATTGGCTCCAATTTAATGTTACCAGCTGCATTGGCCCCTAGTTAGAGAGTCAGGCTTGTTGTTTGAAACTTTGGAGTTAGGCACTGACTTCTTTTCTCCAGTTATAAAAGTCCTAGGTATCTTCTTCCAATATAGGACTGTTTCGTCTACATTGAAAATGTGTTGTTTAGTGTAGCCACATTCATCAGTTATCTTAGCCAGATCTTCTGGATAACTTGTTACAGCCTCTGCATCAGCACTTCCTGCTTCACCTTGCACTTTTAAGTTCTGGAAATGGCTTCATTAACCCACTTCTAGTAGCTTCAAACTTTTCTCCTGCAGCTTCCTCACCTCTCTCAGCCTTCATACAACTGAAGAGAGTTAGGGTCTTACTCTGGGTTAGTCTTTGACTGAAGGAAGTGTTGTGGCTGTTTTTATCTTCTATCCAGACAACTAAAACTTTCTCCATATCAAACAATGCTGTTTCACTTTCTTATCATTTGTGCATTCACTGGAGTAGCCCTTTTAATTTTCTTCAAGAACTTTTCCTTTACATTTACAACTTGGCTGTTAGGCCAAAACCTAGGCCTCTTATGCCAATCTTAGCTTTTGACATGCCTTTCTCACTAAACTTAAACATAGAAAGCTTTTGATTTAAAGTGAGAGAAGGCAACTCTTCTTTTCACTTGAACACTTAACTGGCCCAAATTCAATATTGTTGTGTCTTGGGATGGTTTGGATCATAATCCCAAAAGACACGATCTTGAAAGCCATAATCTCAAATGTGAAATCTCTAAAGATTAAAATCCCTAATGTCTAAAATCCTCAAAATTACAATCTCAAGCTTAACAGCCCAAATGTTAAAATCCTGAAAGCTGAATTCTTTGGAAGGGATTAATGTGCTTTCAGTTGTATGCAGGATAGTTACGTCATGTTAGTTGCACCATGTTAAGTAGAACTATCACCTTGTTTTTATCTTTATTTGCATTTGGCAGAAAATTCAGATGAGTGGATTAGCCATAATATGGTGATGACAAAAACCTCAGTTTAAAAATGCATCATTCCTCCTGGCTAATGACGTTCCAGGAGATTTTAACGCATTGAAGGCACATTTGCCTGAAGAAGTCAGAGATGTTACTGACTGGTTCAAAAATAATCATGTGCATGGTATGATAAAAAGACACACTTTTTAAAGAATTAGAAATAGAAGAATTTCAAAAAGAGCAGTACTTCATAGAAAATGATTGTGAAAATATTATCTGAGACAGCCATGTCCTGAAAGATAAAAAGCAGCTATTCTTCATGATGTAAGACTTCAAAATATAATGATTGTGAAAGTCAGTCAGCTCTTATTAACTATTTCCTTGCAATTGCCCATAATCTATAGTACATTTTTTCCATACGTTGAATTTTCTTTTAAGTTTTTTGTTTTTCTTTTTCTTTTAAATGTTTTTTGCACTATTTTAAATTGTCAGCATTATTATTTTACAATTTGCTATGCTATGTGTTTTGTTTTTGCATTATTTCAATACTGGAGGTATAAACTATATAGAGAGTTTTAGAGAGTTCCAGTTTTATGCATTTTTTTGGCAAATTTGACTCCATGAAAGTGATCTATCACAATTTTGAATTTGTGTGTAAGCACTGTGTTTGTGCGTGTAAAAAACGTTGAAACTTCCTCAGCAAATGAAGAGATATCCTTTTTGTACGCCTGCATTTGTGAAAGATAACATTTTTTAAGATCCTGGCTCTCTGGGTGACTGCATATATGGGGGTGACCCACAGTGGTTGTTGACTGATTTCATCAAAAGACAGGTTGTTCATCATGGTATGATCGCATTTACAAAGCTAGGTACGCACAATTGCCAACCAGAGTAATAGGCATTTATATATTTCCCTTTGACCTATTTCTTTATGAACACAATTTATCTATTCATAACTGTTATACCCATGTGATTGTCATTGGTATACCTGAGTGTTTAAACTTACAAAAATATGTATACTATTGTCTATTTTATTGTGTAAAGTGGCCCATGTTCTGTTGTGTTTTTATTTTTCTCAAATAAATCCTCCTTTAAAATGTAAGTAAATATATAGAGTTGTGCAACCTTCACCACGATCAACTTTAGAATATTTTCATCACTGCAAATGGAAGCCCCATTCCCATTTGTGATTATTCCCCATTCCTCCTCAACCTCCCTTTCCTGATCTCTCCCTACTGTCAGCCCTAGGCCATGACAATTGCTAATCTACTCTTTGTCTCTTTAGAGTTGTCTGTTTTGGACATTCCATGTAAATATGTATATGTGGTCTTTTGCGACTGGCTTCTTTTATGCATCACAAGTTCAAGGTTCATCCATGTTTTAGCATGTATCATCAGTATTTCATTCGTTTTTTTTTAATTGCCAAATACTATTTGGCTTGTCTCCATTTTTGGCTATTGTGAATAATGACATTTCAACATTACTATGTAAGCTTTCTTATGGATATATGTTATCATTTGAGTATGTACCTAGGAATGGAACCACTGGATCATATGGTAAGTCTGTTGAACACTGTGAGGAACTGCCAGTTTTCCTATGTGGGTGTACCATTTTACATTCTCACCAGCAGTGTATGAGAGTGTTCCAATTTCTCCACATCTTAGCCAAGTTTTGCTATTATCTTTTTCATTTAAGCCATCCTAATGGGTGTGAGGTGGCATGTCATTGTGATTTTGATTTGCATTTCCTCAATGACCAGTGATGTTGAACATCTTTTCATATGTTTGTTGGTCATTTGCAGATTTTCTTTGGACTTTCATACTAGTTTCAAAGTCAGTCTGAATTAGATTTTTCTGTCACTTGCATCATGGATCCTATCTGATTCAGGTGGCATGTTTCACCTCTGCGAAGAGTTTCAGTGCTATCTCTTAGATATCCTTTAATAAACTTTAAATATAACATTTATACAGAGAAGCATATAAGCCATAAGTCGATTGCTTATTATATTTTCACAGGAACAAGGCTTGTAAACATTGCTCAGATCAAGAAACAAAACATACAAGCATTTTTGGAAGCCCCCTCATACTTCTTGTTACTCTCCTGCTAAATTATTAACATCATAGATTGGTTTTGCCCATTTTTAAACTTTATATAAATGGAATCATACAGTATATACTCTTTTGCATTGGCTTCTTTCATTCAGCACTATGTCTGTGACATTCATTCATCCTGTTGTGTTTAGCAGTAGTTTGTGCTTTTATACTACTGTGGTGTAGTACTCCAATGAATGAATATACCACAATTTATGCATTCTATTATTTCCACTTTTTAAATATTACAAATAATACTGCTATGGACAATGGTGTACATGTGTTTTGAAATACTTCCAATACCATGTAGAATTTCAGTGACATCTACTAGAAGCTCTATTGTTAGCCTTTCACATTTAGATCTACAATTCTCCTGTAGCTTTGTAGATCTTTAGTAGATTTATTGCTAGCTATTGTTGGTTATTGGTTCTACTATAAGCCCTCAAGAGGATTTACTTTCGTGACTAGCAGGCAGTTAGGATGAGGAGGTTTACCTTACTTTAGTCTGGAATTGATCTAAATCTGAGCCAAACTTTATTCTTTTTGAGGGTTTGGTGGCTCCTGTTACCTAAATTCCTGGAGTATTGCCCTTCAGAAATCCCAAATGAAAGCCTGAGTGTTTATTAGGAACCCTCCTCTTTGGTAGGTCCTGAAAAAATTCGGATTTTTCTCTGCAGCCCCTGAGACTGCTGAAAGCTCTGCTCAGCTCCTATACCTGCTAGCCATGACTTTCTGCTTAGTGGCTCACATGCTGCCTGGGCATCAGCAGATGTGTCAGGGGAGTGTAACATCAGGCTCACTTCTCAACACTTCTTTCTCTCTGGGATCTTAGACCCAGATCTTGGCTTCGTGGTAATGTTCCGTCAAACAATAAAAAAAATGTATACAGCTTTTCTAGGTGTTATAAGCAGGAAGGTTAGTCTGATACTAGCTTATCTGCCATAGCCTGAAGTGGAAGTAGGTAGCAGAATGCTGTTAAATGTCTAACAACTGTCTCTCGGTGGGGTGTTGGTGGGGTGGTGGCGCACTGGGAGGCTTTAATTTGTAGCATTTGCTGATTAATGGTGGAAATCTTCTCACCATGAACAATTTTGAGCAGCCAATGTGACATCATTGAACATGGAATTGAGAAAAGAAATGTATAGTTGGCTCTCGTGAGCTGAGACGTACTCCAAGACATCTGAGTTGAAGTCCATTCCATCTGGCTGGTTCTATACTTCCAGTGCAAGTGAAGGGAGCTGTTTATTCTATACCATCAATATCCCCATATCTAGGTATTGAGGGCCATAACCTCTGCCTGGGTGTTTGTCTAGGGGGGCAGTTTATTAGTCGATGGGGTCGTGGGAAAGGTAGAGCTCTGTGTCTGGGATTTACATTTGGAAGTGAAAGAAGGGTCATACAGATTCAGAAGGGGGAGGGAAACAGAAGCATGCAGAAGTCTGGAGTAATAAGTCAGAAACCCTAGTAATAATTATAATAAATATTAAACAAGGGATACAACTTTTACCTGTCAAATTGGAAAAAATTTCAAAAATATTGGGTACAAAATTTCACAAAGAAGACTGTAGAGATCTCTAAACTGTTAAACACTGTTGTGGGGAGGAAAATTGTGCTTTCACAAGTAAATCCTAAAAAAGGAATCAAACACAAAGAAAAAAGAAAATGTAAAAATATGATCCCACTTAAAAATGAAAAAAGGGGAATGGTGGAATAAATTTGTAGTGATTAAAAATGATGTTTTTGCCTGTAATCCTGGCACTTTGGGAGGCCGAGGAGGGCAGATCACAAGGTTAGGAGATCGAGACCATCCTGGCCAACATGGTGAAACCCCGTCTCTACTAAAAATACAAAAAATTAGCTGGGCATGGTGGCACACACCTGTAGTCCCAGCTACTCGGGAGGCTGAGGTAGGAGAATTGCTTCAACCTGGGAGGTAGAGTTTGCAGTGAGCCGAGATTGAGCCACTGCACTTCAGCCTGGGCAACAGAGCGAGACTCCATCTCAAGAAAAAGAATATGTTTTTGAAGAATTTTAAAGATGTTAATGTTGGTGTAAAATAAAAAAAACAGTGTTTGCATTTTATTAAACTTTCCAAAAATAAAAAATGTGTATTTATAGAGAAAGGAAAGACAATAGATTTTTAAAAAGTATTATTATCTTTGGTAGTAAGATTATGAGTAAATTTTGTTGTCTTCTTTTTACTTTTTACTCATACTTCTAAATGAGCTTGTGTTACCTTTATGTTCTCAAAATAAAGCCAGTAAATATAACAGTGGGAAAAAAATAATACATTCTTAGTAGGAAAGGGATATTTTCTGCTTGAGATTAATAACTGGATTAATTTAACTAGGAGAATCTCATACAAATCAAATGCTAATCTGTTTGCAAATAGGCTGCTTATATTTTTTTCTGTCTCCAAGTCTGAATTTTCTTCTGGTGCTGATATGGTTTGGCTGTGTCCCCACCCAAATCTCATCTTGAATTGCACTCCCATAAATCCCATGTGTTATGGGAGGGACCTGGTGAGAGATAATTTGAATCATGGGGGCGGTTTCCCTCATACTGTACTCGCGGTAGTAAATAAGTCTCATGAGATTGGATGGTTTCATCAGGGGTTTCTGCTTTTGCATTTTACTCATTTTCTCTTGCCACCACCATGTAAGAAGTACCTTTCACCTCCCTCCACAATTCTGAGGCCTTCCCAGCCATGTGGAACTGTAAGTCCAATTAAACCTCTTTTTCTTCCCAGTCTCAGGTATGTCTTTATCAGCAGCATGAAAATAGACTAATACAGATGCCATATAAAAATTAGGAGATAAAAGAGGAAGTCAAATTGTCCCTGCTTGCAGATGACATGATTGTATATCTAGAAAACCCCATCATCTCAGCCCAAAATCTCCCTAAGCTGATAAGCAACTTCAGCAAAGTCTCAGGATACAAAATCAATGTGCAAAAATCACAAGCATTCTTATACACCAATCACAGACAAACAGAGAGCCAAATCATGAGTGAACTCCCATTCACAATTGCTTCAAAGAGAATAAAATACCTAGGAATCCAACTTACAAGGGATGTGAAGGACCTCTTCAAGGAGAACTACAAACCACTGCTCAACGAAATAAAAGAGGATACAAACAAATGGAAGAACATTCCATGCTCATGGGTAGGAAGAATCAATATCGTGAAAATGTCCATATTGCCCAAGGTAATTTATAGATTCAATGCCATCCCCATCAAGCTACCAATGACTTTCTTCACAGAATTGGAAAAAACTACTTTAAAGGTCATATGGAACCAAAAAAGAGCCCGCATCGCCAAGTCAATCCTAAGCCAAAAGAACAAAGCTGGAGGCATCATGCTACCTGACTTCAAACTATACTACAAGGCTACAGTAACCAGAACAGCATGGTACTGGTACCAAAACAGAGATATAGACCAATGGAACAGAACAGAGCCCTCAGAAATAATGCCGCATATCTACAACCATCTGATCTTTGACAAACCTGAGAAAAACAAGCAATGGGGAAAGGATTCCCTATTTAATAAATGGTGCTGGGAAAACTGGCTAGCCATATGTAGAAAGCTGAAACTGGATCCCTTCCTTACACCTTATACAAAAATTAATTCAAGATGGATTAAAGAGTTACATGTTAGACCTAAAACCATAAAAATCCTAGAAGAAAACCTAGGCAATACCATTCAGGACATAGGCATGGGCAAGGACTTCATATCTAAAACACCAAAAGCAATGGCAACAAAAGCCAAAATTGACAAATGGGATCTAATTAAACTAAAGAGCTTCTGCACAGCAAAAGAAACTACCATCAGAGTGAAGAGGCGACCTACAGAATGGGAGAAAATTTTTGCAATCTACTCATCTGACAAAGGGCTAATATCCAGAATCTACAATGAACTCAAACAAATTTACAAGAAAAAAACAACCCCATCAACAAGTGGGCAAAGGATATGAACAGACACTTCTCAAAAGAAGACATTTATGCAGCCAAAAGACACATGAAAAAATGCTCATCATCACTGGCCATCAGAGAAATGCAAATCAAAACCACAATGAGATACCATCTCCCACCAGTTAGAATGGCGATCATTAAAAAGTCAGGAAACAACAGGTGCTGGAGAGGATGTGGAGAAATAGGAACACTTTTACACTGTTGGTGGGACTGTAAACTAGTTCAACCATTGTGGAAGTCAGTGTGGTGATTCCTCAGGGATCTAGAACTAGAAATACCATTTGACCCAGCAATCCCATTACTGGGTATATACCCAAAGGACTATAAATCATTCTGCTATAAAGACACATGCACACGTATGTTTATTGTGGCACTACTCGCAATAGCAAAGACTTGGAACCAACCCAAATGTCCAACAATGATAGACTGTATTAAGAAAATGTGGCACATATATGCCATGGAATACTATGCAGCCATAAAAAATGATGAGTTCATGTCCTTTGTAGGGACATGGATGAAGCTGGAAACCATCATTCTCAGCAAACTATCACAAGGACAAAAAACCAAACACCGCATGTTCTCACTCGCAGGTGGGAATTGAACAATGAGAACACATGGACACAGGAAGGGGAACATCACACACTGGGGACTGTTGTGGGGTGGGGGGAGCGGGGAGGGATAGCATTAGGAGATATACCTAATGCTAAATGACAAGTTAATGGGTGCAGCACACCAACATGGCACATGTATACATATATAACAAACCTGCACATTGTGCACATGTACCCTAAAACTTAAAGTATAATAATAATAATAAATAAATAAATATATATATATATATATATATATATATATATATTAGGAGATAAATGTTAGACACCAAACAGAGGAAAGAAAGACAGTTCATGGGTTCAGAGAACAGCAAAAAGGCATTTAACAACTAAGTTATTATAAACTTTGTCACTTTAATAGATGTTTGAACTTCCTCAAGTTTCCATGGAACTGTGACACCTGGTCCTGCAGAAAGCTACCTTCTGGTCTTGCACTAACTATCATGGGCCCTGAGCAATCAAGATTTTCAAAAAGACAGACAACCTGCTGTGTATTCTTGAGGGAGTATGTCTCTCTTTCTCCAGGCTCTGGGCAGACTTGCCAGACTTTATTTTCCCCATTTTCTAGTTATTTTTCTTCCCTAGTGATTGTAGGGTAGAAATCACTTAAATTTCCAGAGACTTCTTTAACTGATCAGCAAGTTTCCCATTTGCTAAGTAACATTCTCTTCCGGATTCTCAGGAATTAAAAGCTAATATGTCAAAGCAAAACTCAGTGAAACTTACTGATTTTTTTTTCCTTTAGCACCAAGAAAAGGGCTGTGGACTTAGAGATGTAAAATAAATATTTTTTTTGGTATTAAATGGTTGCTATTAAAACAAAAATAAATGTTTTTGGTACATATGCATACACACAGATATACCTATATGTATATATATTTCATTAGTTTTCTAAATGAGCTTGTGTTACCTTTATGTTCTCAAAAAAAAAAGCCAATAAACATGACAGTGGGGAAAAATTAATCCATTCTTATGTGTAGGCAACGAATATTTTGCACTTGAGATTAATTATCCGGTTACGTTAACTAGAAGAATCTCATTCAAATTATGCCATTCAAATATATATATAAAAATATGTGTAACTGTATATGTTTTAAAATATATGTATATTTAAATATGTGTATATGTATATGTATATAGGTATATGTATTTAAATATATGTATATATTTAAATATATGTATATTTAAATGTATATGTATGTATTTAAATATGTCTATAAATTTACATATGCTTATATACATATATACATTTATTCACATGTATTTATATATGTGTATATACATGTGAACAAATATACATATGTTTATATACAGGTATATGTACATGTATATATTTACGTACATGTATATGTATATAAATCTCAAATAGATGCATATACATATAAGTATACATATTTTTGAGTATGTTTCAAAATAAGAATTCATGTTCATTTTTTGTTTCACATGATAATTAATCAATTGTTCTGGCATACCTTAATGAGCTGTCCATGTTTTCAAAAACTGATTTGCATCATCCCTCTGACATATATCAGATTTTCATATATGCATATTAATATTATTCCCTCTTCTCTCAATTAGCTCCTTCTGGAATGCTGATGGACATGTTGGGCTTACTCTATCCTTTGTGTCTCTTTAATCTCTTAACTTCCTAACTATAGCCATATTAAAATAATTATTTTTTATTATATCCAATAATTCTAGTATCTTAAATCTTAGCTGGTCATATTGCAAATTTGTGTTTTCTGCTATATCTCAATCGTGATAGCCTATTTCCTCATGTGCTTAGTGATTTTTAAAAATTATAATATGACCTTTAGAACTTTACCTGTGGGAATTACTTGAAGTTTGAGTGTAAAGTGGATTTTTCCAGAAAGAAGTTGGTTTTGCGTTTTCCAGGGACCTGGCCAGGCTTGTTTCTAACATTTGTAATGAGTACAGCATTTGCAAGAGTACAGATGGAATTCACATACCATATGTCTAAGTTTTTAAAAGTAATAAATTAAGCCAAAAACTGTTAAATGCAATGTTTTATCCTCCTACCTTGATAAATATACCTTCATAATGATGACACCTAAAAGTATTTGAAAACATATAATTTTTTAGGTGACTGGAAGTTGTCAAAATATCAGAGATTAGTGAATTTCATTATTATTATGCATATCTAGGTGTTCTCTTGAGGGGCCAAAGTTTGTATGAGTAAATAAATGCTGTTTTATTTGTTTATATTCACTCTATAAAATCTATTTTTAATCTTTCATTTCAAAACAATTACTTATTACAAAGTTTTCTTTCAGAATATTCAAAATTATCTATTAAAATTAGAAGGCAACATATAATTTATATGATGAATGTAAACTTTTAAAGAAAAATGTAAGTGAAACTTAGCATTTATCTTTAAAAATATAAGTATTAAATGTTTTCTGAAAATACAACTCACAGTTCTAGCATTCTGTGTCCTAGTTGCAAATGTAAACTGTTGTTACCATGATTTTTAGTGGTTGTATACAGACCTACATATATACAAATATAAAAGAAATATGAATTGTTAAGTATTGCAGATGTTCCTCCTCTGCCATCTGCAGTTATCACAAATGCTGTACTAATTTGTGAAGCAATGTAGAAAACCTTGAATTGGAACCTGAAGAGAAATAGAAATGTAGATGCTGGGCACTGTGGAGATGGGATAATTTTTTTAATGCAAAAAATCCACTGGATATGTGTTTTCTGGGAAGAGGAATTTGACAAAATTGTCTTTTTAAAAATTTAACAACATCTGTAGCTAAATCCCCCTAGACTCCAAAATGGTGTTAGTCTTTGACACCACTGGCAGTGGCAAAATCCACAGACCTTCCTGGAAATGAAACACAGCTGCCTTTTGTTTCCAGGACACAGAGCAAGGGATATGGAGAAACATTTCCCCGGGACCTGAATGTTGTTAGACATGATGACAGATGTGTAGGATTATGAGTTGAACCATGTCAACACTGAGCACTACCTCCCAAGTGACAGAGGCATCCATGTGTGGTTTAGTAATTCTTTTATATGTGTATAGGTGACATGTGGGGGCATTATCAGTTCAGGACCATTTTAGCCAAAATTATTGGCTTGGATGTTTTAGATAGAATGAAGTCCAACTGCAAGTCTATGGAAGAAGAGGTTTTTGAGAATTCTCAAGAAATAAACTTCTGTCTACTGTCATTCCAACCCAGAGCCAAGGCCTATGTAGGCATGTATCTTCATCGTCATCTGTGCCAGATTCGTTATTTATTTCTGATTTACTCATTGAACGTGTCATGTTTTAGAAATCCCATGTTTGTGTGGGAATTTGCAAGCTGAGTCTTGTCTTCTGCCTCAGCACACATAATCTATTAAAATTGAGGCTCTGAGCCAATAGGGATAGGCAGATATTCCAGAGAAAACGGCAGATTCAGTTCTCCCTTAGCCAAGTAAATTTATGCCTTCTAACCATTTCTATTCTCTGAGAAATTCCCTTGCCACATCACCAGCTCAGTCATTCAGTAAAAGGTTTTTTTTAAATGTTTTATCCAGTATTTTTAGATTTAAATGGTGGAGTTTCTAATCTACCACACTGCTAGAAATAAAATCCAGTGTTTACTGCTTATAGAACATTTTAATACGTTAGTTTAATGAATTCTTCTAGCAATCAAAAGGTAGCTACTCTTCCCAATTCACAGGTAAATTGCTGAGGCTCAGATGTTTGGTGACTTCCTATAGTGATATGATTTCATGTGTCAAACAGTAGTAAGGGTTAGGACCCAAGAGAAAATTGAATAAGAAATTCAACTTGGGAAGATAGAGAGGGAGGAAATGTGCAGGAGCTCAGGAGTTCCATGGGGGAAGCATGTGGTGTAGTGGATGGAGAAAAAATTTCTAGAGTCAGGTGCATTTGAGTTTGAATTCAAGTTTGATGTTTGTGCAACTTGGAACATTACTTCATCAATGAGCCTCAGCTATTTTAGCTGTAACATGGGATGAATAGTCCCCTCTTAATTAATACATTCAGATATAACATATATACTTAAAGATAGAACAGAAACATTCGTAATTAAATAGTGACTAATTACAAACATTTTGACAATCCAAAAGAGTGGTAACATTTCAAACTCAAGAGAAGGCACTTTGTTTTTGATAAATATCTTGATGAGCATCTTTTAGTATGAAAGGAAAAGCTCTAGTCTTCACTTGTAGGAAATTTTCTGAAAAGAGAGAATAAAAGTCTAAAAAGGGTTGAAGTGTGCAAGACAATAGAGAGAGCAGTTTATCCATGAGTAACTCTGGAGTGAAGAGTTAAGGGATCTAAGACCTGGTAAGGAGAAACTGAGGAGAACAGGAAGCTCCAGGAATAAGCAAGATGATGAAAGGAACTATCCAAGAGTTTTAGGATAGTGATGTCTAACATTTAACTTTCAGCTAGTGCCTATATTGTATGATGCTGTCATTTCCTACCATGACTCTAAGCCTTTAATAAAAGTCTGGTTTCCATAAAAGACTGGTGGTAATGTTTTCTGTGGGAATTGAGGGAATTAACAGCAAAGCCTAGCATGCAATGAAGTGGTGCAGAAAGAGGACATAATGTCCACCACATTGGAGAGCAATCCATGGCAATAATGACAATAGGAATTACAGCAGTTGATATTATGTGCTGACACTATACATTATGCAGATTAAAAAATATTCTTAAAGCAACCCTTGGAAGGAACAGGTATTGACTCCTTCACAAAAGGAGACTGAAAGTGTTTCAATAAGTATGTAAGAAGTGCTCAATATTATTAGTTATCAGGAAAATGAATATTGAAACCACAGTGAGATACCACTACACATTCACCAGAATAAAGTTTAAAAGTTGTCTGTCATTTCAAATGTAAGTAGGAATGTGGAACACCTAGAACTCTTCTATCCTATGCAGATTTGAACTCAATCATATAAACAATTATGTTAACTATAATTGGACTAAACAACTCTTTTAATGGATAAATTCCTGGAAACACACAACCTCCCAAGATTGAATCAAAAAGAAATGAAAACCCTAAACAGACCAATATGGAGTTCTGAAATTAAATCAGTAATAAAAAAACCTATCAACCAATAAAAGGCCCATAATAACAGATGGATTCATAGTTGAATTCTACCAGAGGTACAAAGAAGAGCTGGTACCAATCCTACTGAAACTATTTCAAAAAAAAATAGAGGAGGAGGAACTCCTCCCTAACTCATTCTACAAAGCCAGCATTACCCTGATGCCAAAACCTGGCAAACACACAACGAAAAAAGAAAACTATAAGCCAATATCCCTGATTAACATAGACACAAAAATCCTCAACAGGATACTAGCAAACCAAATACAGCAGCACATCAAAAAGTTAATTCATCACAATCAAGTAGGCTTCATTCCTGGGATGCAAGGTTGGTTCAACATACACAAATCAACAAATGTTATTCACCACATAGACAGAATTAAACACATATGGTCATCTCAATAGATGCAGGAAAAGCATTTGATAAGATCCAGCATTTCTTCATGATAGAAACCCTCAGCAAACTAGGCATCAAAGGACTATACCTCAAATAAGAGCCATCTATGACAAACCCACAACCAACATCACGATGAACAGCCAAAAGCTAGAAGCATTCTCCTTGAGAACTAGAACAAGACAAGAATGCCCACTCTCACCGTTCCTTTTCAATATAGTACTGGAAGTCCTTACCAGAGCAATCAGGCAAGAGACAGAAATAAAAGGCATCCAAATAGGAAGAGGGGAATTCAAACTGTCTTCATGGATGATATGATTTGATACCTATAAAACCCTAAAGACTCCATCAAAAGGCTCCTGGAACTGGTAAATGACTTTAGTAAAGTTTAAGGATACAAAATGAACATAATGAAAAACAGTAGCATTTGTATACACCAATAATGTTCAAGCTGAGAGCCAAATCAGGAACATAATCCCTTTTACAATAGCCACACACACAAAAATATCTAGGAATACATCTAACTAAGGAGGTGAAAAATGTCTACAAGGAGAACTACAAAGCATTGCATAGATGACGCAAATGGAAAAATGGCCCATGCTCATGGATTGGAAGAATCAATATTCTTAAAATGGGCATACTACCCAAAGCAATCTGCAGATTCAATGCTCTTCCTATCAAACTACTAATATAGTTTTTTTCCAGAGTTAGTAAAAACTATTCTAAAGTTCAGATGGAACCAAAAAAGATCCCAAATAGCCAAAGCAATCCTATGCAAAAAGAACAAAGTGGAGGCATCACATTACCCAACTTCAAATTATACTACAAAGCTATGGTAACCAAAACTACATGGTACTGGTACAAAAACAGACACATAGACCAGTGGAACAGAATGAAGAACCCAGATATAAAGCTGCACACCTACAGCTATCTGGTCTTTGACAAAGTTGACAAAAATAAGCTATGGGTAAAGTACTGCCTAGTCAATAAATGATGCTGGGATAACTGGCCAGCTATATGCAGAAGAAGGAAACTTGGACCCCTACCTTTCACCATATAAAAGTTAATATGGATTAAAGATTTAAATATAAGACCTCAAACTGTAAGAATCCTAGAAGAAAACCTGGGAAACACCATTATCAGCATTGGCCTTGGGAAAGAATTTATGACTAAGTCTTCAAAAGCAATTGTAACAAAACAAAAAATTGATAATTGGGACCTAATTAAAAGGCTTCTGCACAGTAAAACAAACTATCATCAGAGTAAACAGGCAACCTCTGCAATGGGAGAAAATATTTGCTAACTATGTAGCCAATAAAGACCTAATATGCAGATTCTATAAGGAACTTAAACATTTCAACAGGCAAAAACCAAATAACCCCACTAAAAGTGGGCAAAGGAAATGAATAGACATTTCTCAAAAGAAAACACACAAGTGGCCAACAAACATATGAAAAAACCTCATCTCACATCACTCAGAATGGCTATTATTAAGGAGTCAAAAAATAACAGATGATGGTGAGGTTGTGGAGAAAAAGGAGCACTTACACACTGTTGGTAAGATTTTAACCATTGTGGAAGACAGTGTGGCAATTCCTCAAAGATCTGAAGATGGAAACACCATTTGACTCAGCAATCTCATTACTGGGTATGTATCCAAAGGAAAATAAAAAAGAGACATCCATTTGTATGTTCATCAGAGCACTATTCACAATTCCGAAGACATGGAATAAACTTAGGTGTCCATCAACGGTTGATTGGATAAAGAACATTTAGTATGTGTACCCCAGGAACTATTATGCAGCCATAAAAAAGAATAAAATTATGGATGCAGCTGGAAGCCATTATCCTAAGCGAATTAATGCAGGGACAGAAAACCAAATAGCACATGTTCTAATTTATAAGTAGGAGATAAACTCTGGGTACACATGGACGTGAAGATGGCAGTAATAGACATTGGGGAACACAACGGGGAGAAAGGGAGGAGGAACAAGGTGTATTAGTCCATTTTCATGCTACTGACAAAGACATACCTGAGACTGGGTAATTCATAAAAAAAAAAAAGAGGTGTAGTGGACTCACTTTCCATGTGGCTGGGGAGGCCTCACAATCATGGTGGAAGGCAAAAGGCATGTCTTACATGGCAGCAGACGGGAGAATGAAAACCAACCAAAAGGGGTTTCCCCTTATAAAACCATCAGATCTCATGAGACTTACTCACTACCACGAGAACAGTATGGGGGAAACCGCCCCGATGATTCAATTATCTCCCACCAGGTCCCTCCCACAACACTTGGGAATCATGGGAGCTACAATTCAAGATGAGATTTGGGTGGGGACATAGCCAAACCATATCACAAGGGTTGAAAAAGTATTGAGTACTATGGTCACTATTTGGATGATGGGATCATTTGTGTCTCAAACCTCAGCATCATGCAACATACCCATATAACAAACCTGCACATATATCCCGAGTCTAAAATAAAAGTTGAAAGTATTTTAAAAATCCATTTAAAGGGCAGAGGTTGATTAATTGGATGAAAAAAGCAAGACCCAACTATGCAATCTAAATGAGGTACTCTCTAAATATAAAAACATAGATTTGTTGAAAATGAAATGATAGAAAAAGATACCATGCAAGTACTAGATAGCTAGGGTGACCAACCATCCATTTTGTTCAGGACTGAGGGATTCTCCAGACGTGAGATTTTCATTGCTTAAAGCAGGATATTCTTTGGTGAACCAGGATGCTAGTCACTCTAAAGATAATGAAGATGGTATGGATAAATTAATATCAGACAAATCAGACTTGAAGACAAGAATTACTACTGGCTATAAAAAGAAACATGTCCCAATAGTAAAAAGGTCAATTTATTTGGAAGAGATAAACTTCTTAAAAGTTTATGCACTTAGCTGACCTTCAAAATACATGAGGCAAAAACTGACCAAACTAAGGCAATAAGTAGACATATTACAATCATAGTAGGGGATTTTAATATCTCTTTCTCATCCATTATTAAAGCAAGTAGCTAACAAACAAGAGTATAGAAGGCGTAAGTTGATCTAATTGAGATTTGGAAATACTATCCTCAAGAATAGCTGAACGTAATTTCTCAAGTACATATGGAATGTTGATGAAGATACGACTAAGCTGAACAAAAAAAAAGTATTAAAAATTTCAAAGGATTGGAAACTTAAAATTGGCCCTGGTGGAATTAAATTAGAAATCAATGGCAATTAAGGTATCTTGAAAATCTTCATATTTGGAAATTAAGCAAAACACACTTTTACATAAACAATTGGTCAAAGAGAAAATGACAAGAAAAATGAGAAAATATCTTGAACTAAGTAAAACACAGCAAATAAAAATTTGTGGGATACAGCTAAAGTAGTGCTTAAGGGAATATTGTAGCTTTATTTTATTAAAAAGCAAGAGAAATGTAAAAGTCAGTAATTTAAGTTTCCATACAATAGAAAAAACTAGATGAGCATGTTAAATCCAAAGCAAGTAGCAATAAGGAAAGAATAGAAGAAAATACACAATAGAGAAAATGACAAAGCTAAAAGTTGTGTGTTTTTTATTTTCCAAACAAAATAAAACTGGTAATCTCTAGCAAGACTGATCTTCCTATTTGGAATGACAAGAGGGAACTCAAATTACTAATATCAGGCATAAAAATGGGGAGCATCATGATATATCTTCCAGAAATTTAAGGATAGTAAAGGACTACAGAAATCTTCCCAGGAAGAGAACTGCAAATCCACATAGGTTTCCTGGTGAATTCTGTCAAACGCATAAGGACGCTATTGTATCTTACCAGTGTTAGATGAATTTTTTCAGAAAATAGCACAGAGACAACTTTTCCTAAGTCAATCTAGAGTCCAGTAAGTGCTAATACCAAAATCTAACAATAAAAGAAAATTACAGATTAATATCCCTCATGGGCATAGCCATAAAAATCTTTAACAAGATTTTAGCAAATAAAATCCATCAAAATGTGTGATGTAATATAACCAAGTGGAGTTTGTGTCTGGAATTCAAAGTTGATTTAACATTTAAAAATTAATCAGTGTAATTCACCATATTAAGAGAATAAGGGAGAAAAGCCAAATATCTCCACAGCTGTGAAAAAAAATGGACAAAATTTAACACCCCTTTCAAAAAAATCTCTCAGAAAAGTAGGAACTGGTGGGAATTTCCTTAATGTGATAAAGAGCTTCCACAAAAACCCTAACTATGCTGCATAGTGAATACTTTCCCCTTAAGATAGGGAACGGGAAAAGGATATTCATTTTCTCCACTTGTGTTCAACATTTTTCTGGAGGTCCTTGTAAATGTAGAAGTTAGGGAAAAGGAATAAAAGGCATACCAATTAAAAAGGAGGGAGTAAAACTGTCATTACTTATAGGAAACGTGTATGTAAAAAAATCCTAAGGAATCCACAAAGAAACTATCAGAAGTGGAAAGTGAACTTAGCAAGTTCCCAATATATAAGGTCAATACGTAAAAAGCTATTGTATTTTCTTTTCTTTTCTTTTCTTTTTGGAGACAAGAGTCTTGCTCTGTCGCCCAGGCTGGAGTACAGTGGCGCGATCTCGGCTCTCTGCAAGCTCCGCCTCCCAGGTTCACGCCATTCTCCTGCCTCAGCCTCCCGAGTAGCTGGGACTACAGGTGCCCGCCACCACACCCGGCTAATTTTTTGTATTTTTCTATCTATGTCCTTTACGTGTCAGCTGATGAAACTCTGGGATCTGGCCTTTGCAGGGTGGCCAAGAGAAGCGCACTTGACTCCAGGCACTCGCGAGGTTCCTAGAGAAGGTGGCATCCCCATCTCTGACCCTAGCTCTGAAGCATGGGGTGGAGGTGTGGGGATAAACTGGTGTCGTCTGTGGTGGCAACTCGAAAGGAACAGTCAAGTCTAGGGTAGTTGCGCCTGTGCTGCTTGGGGTCCCTGCCCCACCGTAGCACATACTCTGCTGCAATCCTGGAACCCTAGGCGTTCTAGATGCCGCACGAGATCCAAAGTCCCTTGTCTCCTGCCCTTCCCCCTCTTACTGGACCCTCCTTGCATGCAAGCCACCTCCATTCAGTCAGGAAATGGGGTGCTCTCGCGCTCTGGCTTTGAGCATGTTCTGCCTCTCAGTGACTCCGGGAAAAGGACCAGAGGACACACGGGAACTGATTTCCCAAGCTGCCGCCCCGTACCAGGCGCTGAGGGGTTCGCAGGCCCTGTGGGTCCGGGCCTCCGCAGTGGCAGTCCTCAACAGTCCCCAACAGCGTGGGACCCACCTGAGCCCAAACTCCTGCCTCAGAGGCAGGAGGTCCCGAAGCGCTCGACAGGACGCCGGGTGGGCGGCTAAGATTGCCCTCTGGCGCCCTTCGCTGGTGCGCCCTTTCTTTGCCACGTGCTCCAGTGACTGTCGCCAGCACCGCGTGGGATAGCGCCGCCTGCGAGCAGAGTCGATAGCTAGGCGATCTCTGCGCCTAGCAACTACAACAGAGCTCAAACGGCTCCTCACAGGCAACTCACTGGCAGCTTCGCCCACTGGTCCCTGCGCCGCCCTTCCCCCGCCCCCGCCACTCCGCCTGGCCAGATCGCTCGGTTCCCTGCAGCTCTCCTGGGCCCTGTTCGCGGGTTGTTCTATGAGCATTGCGAGCTTTTGCCTCTGTGCAGCAGCAGGCTCAGCCCTCCGTTCTGAGCAGTGTCTGGGGGGGACACTCTGTGTTCCAATGGGCCACTTCGAAGAATCAGGCCACCCGGGAACAATAAACATCCCTCTTCCTGGGAGCAAAGAGACCATCCTCCGTTTGCCACCTTAGCCGCTAGTCGTCCCTTGAGGCTGGTGCCATCAATCACTGGGTAGATCCTTGTCCAAAGGAGACTGAGTGAAGGGCCCTAGGAGAGGACAGGAAAGAAACAGCGAAGGAAGAGGACACCAACTAGTGAGCAACGGTGGCAGGATCAGAGAAGAGGCCCCGTGGCAGCAGGGGTGAATCATCAGCATACAGTGGCAGTAGGAGCACTAAGCCATCAGCATCTAGGCCTATGGAGGCCACTGGACTGTTGTCTTTTTTCCGGTGCAGTCGAGGGTCTCTGTCTTGAGACCTCCAATCTGGGCTCCCAGAAGACGGCTTGAGTAAAGACAGCCCAGACGTCTTCAAAGAGCTCATCCTGCTCCCCCCTGCTCAAGAGGCTGACAGAGACAGTGCTTGATGAAGGCCGTCGGAGAGCTCTCCACTCACTGATGTTGGAGGAGACTAGCAGGGAAAAAAGCTTCCAGACACCATTTAGATGCTTGTCAAGGAGAAATTCTTCACCCACATCTGCCAGCTGTAGGCCTCGTTGATGGAAAATTTCAATGTTGCTGCTGCCGCCACTGCTACTGTTGTGGGATGGAGGTGAGCTGCCTTCCTCCCCTCCTCAGCTTCCTTGTCTAGTCATTAGAGAAGACCTAAGCTTAGAGAAGAAAGCTGAGTGTCAATGGCTCAATAACATATCGGAAGTTAAGACTGAAGCCACCATGGACTGCAGTGTCACTCAGCCTGTGGGTTCTATTGCTCTGCCTGCTGTAGGGAATGAAAACATCCTGCCCCTGGTCACTTTCACCTTGTGGGTCTTGCGTGTTAAAACATTCCCAGTTGCAAACTTAGCTGACCAGTCTGCCAGGGCCCCAGTCCTGTCTGCCCTTCTATCTTCTCACACTCCAGAGACTGACTGTAGAATGAGATGCACATTCCTCTCCTGATTCTCCATTTGCTGTTTGTGCTGACTGTCTTTCTCCTTTTAGGTTCAAGCTCATTTTGGGGGTTCCACTTAGTAATAAGAACAGAGGACCTGCATTCCCATCCCTCAGTCATAGCTGGAGTGTCTTCTACTACTGTCCTCCTCACACCTGCCAGCACCTTGATTTTCTCCTAGCTTGCCTCCTGCAGAATAGAGTCACCTATGGACTCTCCAGTGGATTCATGGATACCCTCCCCCAGTCACCTCCGCCAGTACTCAGCCTTCTCCCACCAGCCTATCACTGCTTCTGCAGTCATGTCCTCCATTGCAACCAGCACGTCTGCACGGTTGAACTCTTAGCTACTTTGAACTTTGATGTCACTGGCATGGACATCACTCCCCCTTCTCAAGCTTTCTTCCTGAGTTCTCCTTCAGGCTCCAGAGAGAACATCTTCCCATTTTCCATGGAGCTCCCTGGTTCTGAGAACATGTCACCCAGGAGCAGCATTACCTCAGCCTGTTCCCACCAGTTTGTCTGCACAGTTGGTCAGTGGCCCAAATGCAACTTTCAAAGTTATTGTGGCCCAAGAGCCACTGTTTAGCCCACATTTGAGCCCCTTCTGGGCTGAAGCTTGCAGCTACCAGCTTTGGTAACTTATTGACATCAGACAGCCCCAGTAAGAGCTTCAGACTTAACCTCCACTGCAGCCCAGCCACTCACTGACAGCATCAATAAGCTTCGTGGGTTTTACATCCTTATTTTCCCTTTGGCATCCCTTTCAGCACCCAGCTGCCCTTTGGATGCACCTCAGACATTTTGCCTGTTGGTACAGCCACTACTTCTAGCTTTAGAGCCCCCACCAGAATGCTAGCCCTGGGGCTAGTAGTTCACTGCTTGCCAAGACTACTGCAGGCCCATTTGTGTTTATGGAATCTGCAGCCCCAGTGGGGAGCAGCAGCTTTAGGGTGAGTGTGGCTGCCCTAGGCCCAAGATCCATGTCTAGACCACTCAGCTTTGGTGAGGAACCAAGGGGGTCACCCAGTTCCAGAACTCATTTTGAGAGAGGCTTAAATCTGAGCACAATGGTCCTGATGGCTCACAGCATCCTTGTTGCAAATGTAGACCCCACTTTATTTTTTATTTATTTTTTATTTTTTGAGACAGAGTCTCGCTCTGTTGCCCAGGCTGGAGTGCAGTGGCGTGAACTTGGCTCACTGTGCAACCTCTGCCTCCTGGATTCAAGCAATTCTCCTACCTCAGCCTCTGCAGTAGCTGGTACTACAGGCACACGCTGCCACGCCTGGCTAATTTTTTGTATTTTTAGTAGAGACAGGGTTTCACCGTGTTGTCCAGGCTGCAGACCGCACTTTTATGGAGAGCCAATTGATCTTGGGAGACAGTTTTCTTCCTGTCTGTAGTCAGAGCACTGGTCTCCTGGTTGAGAGCATATCTGTTACTACTGGAGGAGTCAGCCCCAATGAGAAGAAATTACACTTTTTGTGTGTGTGGTCATATCACATGGACCCACCGTGCCAGAGCACATCTGGTACAGTTGGAGTGGCCAGAACCACACCTGTGCTTGAGGGTCCTTTTCTGTCTGCTTCTACCTTTCTTCAGAGCACCTGGGGCCCACTTGGCCACAGCATATTTGTTGTAGTCACTGGGGCCAGCACTATTTCCGTGCTTGGAGATACCTCTACTCATATTTACAGTCATAGCGCCTGGGACACACCTGACCAGAGCATCCGTAGCAGCACAGGGCCAGCCCCATATCTGTGCTTAGGCCCACGCATTTCCATTTACAGTGAGACCACGTGGCCCCCTGCTGGATAAAGTTCAGATGGCACAGTGAGAGGAGCCAGCCACACTGTGTTGGGAGACTCTTTTGTGCATATGGTCAGTGTAACTGAGGCCCACTTATTCAGAGCAATCCTGTTACTACTGGATGAGCCAGCACTACTGAGAGAAGAAATAGGTGTTCCCAGGCTCCAGAGTGAGGCTGCCTCCCATTTGTCCAGGCACATTTCAGTATGGAGCGCATATCTCCTGCAAAGGCCCCAGCCTCCACCAGCCCACTTGCATTTATGATCAGCAGCCCCACCACAACTTTCAATCTTCCCTTGGGCTGAGAGCCATCACTCATCCACATTTGGGATCTCTAGTGGGCAGTGGCAGGAGCCACTCTCCCCAGTGCCTCTGCTTTTTCTGGCCTACCTATCACTGCCTCTGTAGTTGCCTCTATGCCTGTAGTCAGCACCTCAGCAGAGTCCACATCCAATCCTACCTCTGACTCTGATGAAATTGATATGGATACTAAGCTCCTTCCCCAGGCTGTCATCTCTGGTCTCCCTGGTCTCCAGCGAATACTTCCCATTTTCCACGGAGCTCTCTGGTTCAGATAATATGCTACTCAGAGGCAGCATTGGCACAGTTGGTTAGTGGCCCTAATGCAACTTGCAAAATCATTTTGACCCCCTGTGTATATTTCAGGTCCCTGATGGGCTGCAGCCTGGAGCTACCAGCTTTGTTGGCTCTTTCCCTTTTGGAAACCAGGAAGCCTCAGCACAAGCTCCTGATTTAACCTCTGCCACATCCTAACCACCAGATGGCAGCACAACTCAATCAGCTTCATGGATTTGACGTCTCCATTTTCTACCTTTGACATCCCTGTCATCACCCAGCTGGCTTGTGGTTGCACCTCAGGCATTTTCTTAGTTGGTACAGCTACTAATTCTGGCTTTAGAGTCTGCACCAGGACTTGGGGGCAATAGTTCACTGTTTGCCAACCCTACTGCAGACCCATTTGTGTTTATGGAATCTGTGGCCTCTATGGGTTGCAGTAGCTTTAGGATGAGTGTGGCTGCCTTAGTCCAAGATCCATATCTAGACCACTCAGCTTTGGTGCAGGACTGAGCAGACACTGGTTTCCTGAGCTGAGACACCTAGACCTGAGTACCAGGTTCTTGCTGGCCTAGAGCAATCTGGTCCATCTCTACAAAGAGCAAATCTGGGAGATACTTTCTTTCATGTCTATAATCAGAGCCAGCTGGGTGAATGCACATCTGTTACTATTGGAGGAGTCAGTCCCATGGAGAAGAATCAAGGTCCAGGCAACAGTTTTGTTCCTTCTTGTGGTCAGATTAGCTGAGACCCGTCATGCCAGAGCATATCTCTTACAGTCACAGGGGCCAGCACTACACCTGTGTTGGGCTTTTCTTTTCCCAACTTCCGTCAGAGCTCCTAGGGTCCCCCTGGCCAGAGCACACTTGTTGCAGTGGGAGAGATCAGCACCCCTCTCATGCTTGGAGATACTTTCCTTCATGCCTACAATCAGAGCACCTGAGGCGTGCCTGATCAGAGTTCATCTTTAGGAATAGCAGCAGCTAGTGCATACCTGTGCTTGCAGGTCCTTATGTTCTCACATACAATCAGAGCACCTGGAGCCCATGTGGTTAAAGTCCAGATGGTACAATGGGAAGGGACATCATGGAACTTGTTTTTGGAAATGCCTCTCTTCCTACTATCATTCTGAGCTCCTGGGGTACTCATTACACATAACACTTCTGTTACAGTCAGAGGGGACAAGGCTGTACATGATTCAGGAGACATTTCTGCTTTGGTCTGAGTCAGAATACCTGGTCACCTAGCCATGGTACCCCATTTGACTTTTGAGGAGACAGCACTACTGAGAAAATACCTGTGCTTGGAGACACTTTTGCTCCTACCTTTGGTTAGAATACTTCCAATTCTGATGTGATCACTGCAAACATCAGCCTTGCCTTTGGGACACTTTCATTAGCAGCAGGGATTGTGGCAAATGGAAATGTGGTGCCATCCACCCTTTGCCTTCTCCTAGTGCAATTAAGAAACACAAGCTTTCTTTGAAAATGGCAGGCTGCAGTGACCACTGTCCCCCGTGAATAGCCATCACTCTGATGGAAAGAGGCTCAGTTTTATGGAGTTATGTCAAACAAATTTAACCCTCTGTCTGTCTTCTAACAGCAAGCTGCAGGACCAGCACCTTGGGGTGGTATATATGTCTGTCAGAGGGTGTGGGGCAAATGAGGCTGGTCAGAAGTTCACATACTTGACTTGAAAATTTCCACTGTAGAGAGTAGAAGAGGGCTCTGCACACATCATCGACTAAGCCATACCTGGCTTTGCCTAAATAGCCTGGCAATCTGAAGCCCTGGGCCAGTTTTCCTCTTGTCTTGTAACTAGCAGTTTACCCTCTGCTCCTACAGCTGCCCCATTCTCTTTAATCATTTGTCTCAGTGGGCCCTTATCTTTCTTTCCCAGATTATATAGATAGATAAACAGATGGATGGGGAGATAGATAGATAAAGCCTTGTTCTTCCTAATTCATGTGTCTTTGCTCTTTGACTCAATGTTGGAGGAAGAATTAACTTGCATGAATGGTGATATATTGAGCCAGACTTAACTGTGCAGTTTTCTGTGGCCAGTGAATAGAAGTGGAAGTGCCCATACTTTATGAGTTTACATGCTGTTGTTTGAAGTTGGCATTTTTGAATATAAGCAATGGCAACCCAGGAGGACATGAGGTCCAGAGGATGGAGAGACCGGCGTCTTGCTCTTGCCTCCTCCCTCCTGGCTACTCTCCCATCACTCTGACCTCCCTGCAGGCAAGATCATCCCTGAGGCATATTTGGAAATCACACTTTACAATTTTCATCATTTAACAATGTTTGTGTGTGTGTGTGTGTGTGTGTGTGTGTGTGTGTGTGTGTATTTGACAAAAAAATGTAGACTTAGGGCAACGTCTGAGTTCATTCGGGCTTCTATAACAAAATACCAGAGACTGGCTAATTTTAAACCACAGGAATTTATTTCTCACAGTTACGGAGACTGGGAAGTTCAAGATCAAGGTGCTGGTAGGTTCTGTGTCTGGTGGAGACCCACTCCTCAGAGATGGTGCCACCTAGGTGTCCTCACATGGCAGAAAGAACAGAAAGGCAAAAGAAAAGTAAACACTGTGTCCTCAGGTGGCAGAAGAGTGAAAGAGCAAGGTCTTTTATAAGAGCTCTAATCCCATTCATAAGAACCTAACCTATAATCACCTCCTAAAGGTCCCACCTCTTAATGCCATCACATTGGTGATTGCTCTTTAACATACGAATTTTGGGGGATACATTCAGACTACAGCTGCCAGTTATCTCCACACATTCATACTCAGAAAGGATGGGCCTGGCATCTGGGCTCATGGCCTGGAAGAACAAAGAAAGGAAGAGCTTCCACCTGCTCTGTAATGATTGAAAATGTTAATATAACACATATTACAGTTGTATCATGCTGCTTAAAAAAATCAGGAAATATCCTTTCTTCAGGGAAGTATCTAGACAGGATCTATTTAGAAAAATAACCAGTCTGGCTCTAATGCTACTAAAATGCCAAATCTTAAGAATTATAATTTCACTTAAATCTGGCTGACCTTACAGACCTGCTGTGTCTCCATTAGACTTAGTTGCTGATGGTGCAATCTTCTCTAAGTCATGTCATAACAGGAGAACCTACATAAGATGAGAAGACAGAAAAGTACAAGCATTTCCCTCAGCTCCATACATTTGATTTTATTTCACATTTATTCATTATGACTCTACAGTAGACTCTGCGCTAGGCCCTAGAGATATAAAGTTGAAAGATGTCTCTTTTCCAGATGAATTTACAACGTGTTAGGGAGGACAGAGGAATAGACCAAAAATACAAGTGGAAAGGTCAGTATTAGGGCAGTGGGAGTGACTAACAACATAAAACTAAGTCTCGGGTAGAAGAAACTTGAGTTGTGTCTTAAGGAAGAGGAAGCAGCCAGGTGGAAAAGGGCTATTTCCAGGTTAAGGAGACAGTATGTAAAAGTCCGGGAGAGATATGAGATCTTGAGCCAGTGTGATATGATTTGGATGTTTGTCCCTAACATGGTTTGGCTGTGTCCCCATTCAAATATCAACTTGAATTATATCTCCCAGAATTCCCATGTGTTGTGGGAAGGACCTAGGAAAAGTAATTGAATCATGGGGGCCGGTCTTTCCCATGCTATTTTCATGATAGTGAATAAGTCTCATGAGATCTGATGGGTTTATCAGGGGTTTCTGCTTTTGCTTCTTCCTCATTTTCTCTTACCATCGTCATGTAAGAAGTGCCTTTCGCTTCCTGTCATGATTCTGAGGCCTCCCCAGTCATGTGGAACTGTAAGTCCAATTAGACCTCTTTTTCTTCCCAGTCTCAGGTACGTCTTTATCAGCAGTGTGAAAACAGACTAACACAGTAAATTGGTACCAGTTGAGTGGGGCCTTGCTGAAAAGATACCTGAAAATGTGGAAGCGACTTTGGAACTGGGTAACAGGCAGAGGCTGGAACAGCTTGGAGATCTCAGAAGAAGACAGGAAAATACAAGAAAGTTTGGAACCTCCTAGAGACTTGTTGAATGGTTTTGAGAAAAATGCTGATAGTGATATGAACAATAAGGTCCAGGCTGAGGTGGTCTCAGTTGAGGATGAGGAACTTGTTGGGAACTGGAGCAAAGGTGACTCTTATTATCTTTTACCAGAGACTGGTGACATTTTGCCATTACCCTAGAGATTTGTGGAACTTTGAACTTGAGAGAGATGATTTAGGGTATCTGGTGGAAGAAATTTCTAAGCAGCAAAGCATTAAAGAGGTGACTTGGATGCTGTTAAAAGCATTCCATTTTAAAAGGGAAGCAGAACATAAATGTTCAGAAAATTTGCAGCTTGATGATGCAGTAGAAAAGAAAAAACCATTTTTATTTTATTTAATTTTTTTTATTATACTTTAAGTTTTGGGGTACATGTGCAGAACGGGCAATTTTGTTACATAGGTATACATGTGCCATGGTGGTTTGCTGCACCCATCAACCCATGACCTACATTAGGTATTTCTTCTAATGCTATCCCTCCCCTGGTCCCCCACCCCCGATGGGCCCAGTGTGTGATGTTACCCTCCCTGTGTCCATGTGTTCTCATTGTTCAACTCCCACTTATGAGTGAAAACATGCAGTTTGCTGAGAATGATGGTTCCCAGCTTCATCCATGTCCCTGCAAAGGACATGAACTCATCATTTTTTATGGCTGCCTAGGATTCCATGGTGTATATGTGCCACATTTTCTGTATCCAGTCTATGATTGATGGACATTTGGATTGGTTCCAAGCCTTTGCTATTGTGACTAGTGCCACAATAAACATACATGTACATGTGCCTTTATAGTAGCATGGTTTATAATCCTTTGGGTATATACCCAGTAATGGGATTGCTGGGTCAACTGGTATTTCTAGTTCTATATCCTTGAGGAATCACCACTCTGTCTTCCACACTGGTTGAACTAATTTACACTCCCATCAACAGTGTAAAAGTGTTCCTATTTCTCCACATCCTCTCCAGCACCTGTTGTTTCCTGACTTTTTAATGATCACTATTCTAACTGGCATGAGATGGTATCTCATTGCGGTTTTGATTTGCATTTCTCGAATGACCAGTGATGATGAGCTTTTTTTCATGTTTGTTGGCTGCATAAATGTCTTCTTTTGAGAAGTGTCTGTTCATATCCTTTGCCCACTTTTTGATGGGGTTGTTTTTTTTTTTCTTTAAATTTGTTTAAGTTCCTTGTAGATTCTGGATATTAGCCCTTTGTCAGATGGATAGATTGCAAAAATTTTCTCCCATTCTGTAGGTTGCCTGTTCACTCTGATGATAGTTTCTTTTGCTGTGCAGAAGTTCTTGAGTTTAATTAGATCCCATTTGTCAATTTTGGCTTTTGTTGCCATTGCTTTTGGTGTTTTAGGCATGAAGTCTTTGCCCATGCCTATGTCCTGAATGGTATTGCCTAGGTTTTCTTCTAGGGTTTTTATGGTTTTAGGTCTTATGTTTAAGTTTTTAATCCATCTTGAGTTAATTTTTGTATAAGGTGTAAGGAAGGGGTCCACTTTCAGTTTTCTCCATATGGCTAGCTAGTTTTCCCAACTCCATTTATTAAATAGGCAATCCTTTCCCTGTTGCTTGTTTTTGTCAGGTTTGTCAAAGATCAGATGGTTGTAGATGTGTGGTGTTATTTCTGAGGCCTCTGTAAACCCATTTTTTAAGGAGAAATTCAAGACGTGAGCAGAAATTTGCATAAGTAGCAAGGTGCCTAATGTTAACCCCAAGACCATGGGGAACATGTCTCCAGGCCATGTCAATAACCTTCATGGCAGCCCCTCCCATCACAGGCCCAGACGCCCAGTAGGAAGAAGTTGTATTGTGGGCCGGGCCCAGGGTCCTCGTGCTGTGTGCAGCCTAGGGACTTGGTGCCCTGTGTCCCAGCTGCTCCGGCCATGACTGAAAGGGGCCAACGTAGAGCTTGGGCTGTGGCTTCAGAGGGTGGAAGTCCCAAGCCTTGACAGCTTCCACATGGTGTTGAGCCTGTGGGTGCACAGGTCAAGAATTGAGGTTTGGGAACCTCCACCTAGATTTCAGATGTATAGAAATGCCTGGGTGCCCAGGCAAAAGTTTGCTGCAGGGGTGGGGCCCTCATGGAGAACCTCTGCTAGGGCAGTATGGAAGGAAAATGTGGGGTCAGAGCTCCCACACAGAGTCCCTACTGGGGCACTGCCTAGTGGAGCGGTGAGAAAAGGGCCACTGTCCTCCAGACTCCAGAATGGTAGATTCACTGACAGCTTGCACCATGCATCTGGAAAAGCCACAGACACTCAATGCCAGCCCCTGAAAGCAGCCAGGAGGGAGCCTGTACCTTGCAAAGCTACAGGGTCAGAGCTGCCCAAGACCAAGGGAACCTACCTCTTGCATCTGCACGACCTGGATGTGAGACCTGGAGTCAAAGGAGATCATTTCGGAGCTTTAAAATTTGACTGCCCTGCTGGATTTTGGACTTGCACGGGCCCTGTAACCCCTTTGTTTTGGCCAATTTATCCCATTTTGTATGGCCGTATTTACCCAATACCTGTACCCCCATTGTATCTAGGAAGTAACTAGCTTGTTTTTGATTGTACAGGCTCATAGGCAGAAGGGACTTGCCTTTTCTCAGATGAGACTTTGGACTGTGGACTTTTGGGTTAATGCTGAAATGAGTTAAGACTTTGGGGGACTGTTGGGAAGGCATGATTGGTTTTGAAATGTGAGGACATGAGATTTGGGAGGGGCCAGGGGCAGAATGATATGGTTTGGCTGTGTCCCCATTCAAATCTCAACTTGAATTTTATCTCCCAGGATTCCCACATGTTGTGGGAGGGACCTTGGGGGAGGTAATTGAATCATGGGGGCTGGTCTTTCCCGTGCTATTTTCATGATAGTGAATAAGTCTCATGAGACCTGATGGGTTTATCAGGGGTTCCTGCTTTTGCTTCTTCCTCATATTCTCTTGCTGCCACCATGTAGGAAGTACTTTTGCCTCTAGCCATGATTCTGAGGCCTCCCCAGCCATGTGGAACTGTAAGTCCAATTAAACCTCTTTTTCTTCCCAGTCTTGGGTGCTGAGACCAGCTTAGTTGGGGAGACCCTAACCCAGCTGCGCTAGAGTAATTAAAGACACACACACAGAAATATAGAGGTGTGAAGTGGGAAATCAGGAGTCTCACAGCCTTCAGAGCTGAGAACCCTGAACAGAGATTTACCCATGTGTTTATTAACAGCAAACCAGTCATTAGCATTGTTTCTATAGATATTAAATTAACTAAAAGTATCCCTTATGGGAAATGAAGGGATGGGCCAAATTAAAGGAATAGGTTGGGCTAGTTACCTGCAGCAGGAGCATGTCCTTAAGGCACAGATTGCTCATGCTATTGTTTGTGGCTTAAGAATGCCTTTAAGCAGTTTTCCACCCTGGGTGCACCAGGTGTTCTTTGCCCTCATTCATGTAAACCCACAATCTTCCAGCTTGGGCATTAGGGCAGTTATGAACATGTTACAGTGCTGCAGAGATTTTGTTTATGGCCAGTTTTTGGGCCAGTTTATGGCCAGATTTTGGGGGGCCTGCTCCCAACACTTGGGTATGTCTTTATCAGCAGCATGAAAACAGACTAATACAGTCCCCTCCAAATCTCATATTGAAATGTGTTCCCCAATGTTGGAGGTGGGGACTGGTGGGAGATGTTTGGGTCATGGGGGCAGATTCTTCATGAATGGCTTGGTGCTGTCCTTGTGATAATGAGTGAGTTTTCACTCTATCAGTTCACGTGAGAGCCGGTTCTTTAAAAGAGCATGGTACCTCCTCTCCTCTCTCTTGCTTCCTTCTCTCTTGCTCCTGTTCTTACCATGTGACATGTCTGCTCCCACTTCACCTTCCACCATAACTGTAAGCTTCCTGAGGCCTCATCAGAAGCCAGGCGGATGCTGGTGCCATCCTTGTACAGCCTGCAGCCAAACAAATCTATTTTCTTTATAAATTACCCAGTCTCAGGTATTTCTTTATAGCAATGCAAAATGGATGAATATACAGTGGGACCCCTGGCAAATAGTTATGTGTAGTTGATCAGTGAATCTGGTCTGGGAGGTACAGCTGCAGAGCTCAGCCAGGACAGATCGTGGACAAACGTATATACTGTTAGAGTAGGTAATTAGGCAGACATGAGCATGGCAGGAGAGGCCCCCCAACCCCACTCGCAGGAATGTCTGATGACCATCAGGCAATGGTCAGGCAGTTGTTAAACTGTGTCTCTGATATGATAATTGGTCACAGCTGGCACCTGGGGACAATAGCCTCCCAATAGATAGAAAACACCTGGAGCTGGTGATCAGAAGCTTCCTGATAAGATCTCAGAAGTTGGGCAAGCAGGCTCAAGCATGTGCACTGAGAAGCAAAATGGCTGATGTCTGACCTTCCTCCAGGGGCATTTGACCAGTAAAGGGAAGTTGGCCCTAGAAAGCATGCGCACAACATCAGTAAATGCGCTATGCATGTGGCCACCCTCTCTAATGCTGACTGACATTGCTTATGAGGCATTTGAGCAACAGCCTGCTCCAAGGGAAGAATCAAGGGAAGGGAAAAGAAAACCCCAGAACCATGCCAATTTACAAATCCCAAAGTCAGTGGCTAAATGGGGTACTTGGATCTCTCAAGTTGCCTGCTTGGCCCTCTTCCAAGGGTAATTTGCTTCCTTTTGCTCCTGCTCTAGAACATTTTAATAAACTCTCACTCCTACTCTTAAACTTGTCTCAGTCTCTCCCTGTGCCTTAAACCTACTTCACTCCTCAGCCAAATTCTTTCCTCTGAGAAGGCAAGGATCAAATCTGCTGCAGATCTGTATGGGTTGATGGCTGGTAACATATTTTGTTGCCATGACTTGGATACATTCTCAAGAGGTAAGATGTCTCTACACCTTGCCTTCTTCAGCTGGAGGCATTCAACCCCTGTATGTGGTTTCCTTCACCCCTTTTACTCTCTTGCTTACTGACCACTCCCAGAACATTTCCTCTTAGCTGCAATAGCTCTGCTCCCCACAGCTGATCTCTCAGCTCACTCTGAAAGGCTTGCAGGGGTGGGAAGGACCTTAGAGTCTGCACTGAGTAGACCTGAGACACTAATGGCCCTCCTGGACAGGAGGCTTACGAGAGTGGTAGGGCTAAAGCCTAAGGCCATGTAATGTCTGGGGTTTCCTCTGATTCTTCAACTAAAACAGGCTCTTTCCCAAAAAGCGGCACTGCCCATTCTCCTGTTTTCTCTGTGTGTATTCTGAAATGGCCTTGCACACCCGCTGGACCATCTGCATTGGGAGCAAGTCTGCCTTTTCTCTGCTTTCACTTTGCATGCTGTGCGACTTCCTTCTCTACCTTAACACACACTCCATTTGTTGTTCCTGTGCCCATGGCTCTTGCTGGGTTTGCCTGGCAACCAAGACATGGGCTCCATTGTGGATATCCCATGGGATTTATACTTGGTTTTACTCTTCCAGCTCAGATGACCTTCAGCCCTTCCCCTGTCTGTTGGCTCATTGTCAGGACAGACACTAATTGGAACCCTGGCTCTGCCAGCTCCTTGTGACTTACCATATGCTTTTTGTCCCTGTTATACTCCAGGGTCAGGTTTTTTGGTGGTTTTTGAAGCTATTTGTCTACCTGCATAGGACTTCACTTTATGGCCCTTTAAGGACACCACCTATCCGCTTTTTTGAGTTATCACCTTTTTGAAGGAAGGAGAATTCTTCCTTTGTCATCTGTGAGCCCTTATCCCAGGCTACAAGTTCTCCAGAGGTTCCTCTTTTATGTCGAGAAGGCAAATAAACATTGCCCTCCAAATCTAAGGGCTGCTGTTTTTGCGAGCATATAGAGTCTTTCCATGAGCATCCCTCTGGCTTCCTCCTGCTTCCTCTGGTAGCAGAGGGATTGTTCTATCTGTTTAAGCATTTGTTCTGCATGTTATCCCAGAAGACAACCCCAAATAAAAATTTTCCTCCTCTTCTCTAATCACTTCTACATCTTTCTCAATATGCATCAGGACTTTCAAGATTATATTTGAAGGGGGGGCCGTCCAGCCCCCTTGTGGCAGTTGGCTGAAAAACAGACTTCTCATCTACTTAAAGAACATGGGAAATGGGAATATGAGAAAAGAGATGATCATTTTATTGCTAGAATGCTCGAATAAGAGTCACTATAAGGTCCTGGAGACAAGGATATAGGCTACCCCAAGGCCACAGGTGCAAGAGACCAGAGTACCTATAGAGCAGAGATGAAGGCTAGTCCCAGGCTATAGGTGCAAAACAGATTACCACTAGAATACAGATGAAGGTTGGTCCCAGAAATAGGATGGGACCAGGGTTAGGGGTACCTGGTAAGCACCAGTCCTTTCAAGAACCCCTAAGATGAATGGGGGGCACTGTGTTCACTCCAGTTTGTGATAGGCACAGGATTAAGGGAACAAGGAGGGGGATGCCGCCTTCTTCTCTTTTCTCTCTGTTCTCTCTTCAAAAATGGCTAATCACACCTCCTTAAAACAAGGTGGGACCAAGGTTAGGGGTACCTGATAAGCAGCGGTTCATCTGGAACCCCTAGGATGAATGGGGATACCCTGTTCACTCTGGTCTGCCATAAGTCCAGGAAAAAGATAGTAGGGAAACTAGAGGGGACACCTTCTTTCCCTCTTGTCTCCTCTGTTCGCTCTTCGCAGATAGGTAATTGTGTCTCCATACCATAGGACACATCCCTTGATGCATCCTCAAAAACCGGGAAAAGCTTCACACTGCCCCTGCCGCCACACAAGCTTAAAATAAAAAACTGGTGTTCCTTTGTAATACTGTTTAGCCTAAAAATGAATTGGGAGAAAATTACAAAAGTCAGCCTTAGAACCCAGAGCCCATATGCAGGAAATCCTCAAGTTAGCATCCTGAGTGTTTTATAACCAAGAGCAGAATAAGGAGGACAGGGTTAAGGAGAAGGAGAAATGTAGGGACAAAAGTGAGGTTCAACTATTGGCTGCTTTACAAGCTCTCCAGGTCCCTCCAGGTTGCCCTTAGGACACTACTCCAGAGAACTGCCATTGATGCAGAAAACCAGGCCACTGGAAGGTAAAATGCCTCAATGGGCTAAGTGGAAAAAAGCTCCACAAGGCCTGTCCCCTCTACCACAAGCTCAGCCACTGGAAAAAGGACTGTCCTGAGAGTCAGAAATGCCCACAGGCCAGACTTCAATCCAATAAAGGCCTTGAGTTGAAGGGGTTCTCCATTCTGATCAAAAGGAACAAATCCAAGGGCAACTCTAGAGGCTACAAATAAAATTATAAATTTCCCTCTTGTGTTCAAGAGCTGCCTACTTAGTGCTAATCTTCTCTGAGCAACTCTTTCAAATACTGTCGGGTAATAGGGGCAAATGGCATGCCCTCCCTCCAAAGAAAAAAGATTTACATCCCTTTATATTATTTAAGGGATCAATTACCATTCTTCCAGCAGTCCCTGTTAATGTCTAAATACGCCCAACCCCTTTTGGCAAAAATATACTTTTCAAGATGGGTGCCTGCTTAATATTTGCCCAACCTCTGAATTCATCTTTCCCGCTAATAACCCTATTTCTTCTGGGAAAGCTACCTAAATCTTTAACCAATAACTTCAATCTGGACAGTCCTACTTCAGGGGTATAGAAATAGCCCAATCTTATTCAGAAAAGCCCTAACAAGAAATCTAATTGAGCAATCTCTTGAGGGATGATAACTTCTACAGTATATAGATAACCTCCCCACCTGCTCCCCCTTCACAGGACTCACACAGCAACATGTAGTACAAACCATAACTTCCTAACAGTAGGAAAATGGCTTTTGTCTAATTCAAAGGTTATGAAAGTAGAGGTATTTTTGGTAAGGAAAGTTATAAAGAAAAGAAATTTTATATGAGAAAGGATCTTGCATGGCAAATTCTTGTCCAAAAGCAAAATGACTGGTTTAAAAAAGAGGGATGTTTAGGACAAGTCAGAAAGTCCGAGCATGTTGTAGATGGTCTGTATAAGTCATGAGAAGATTTGTGAAAGGGAATTTATGAAAGAAATGCTGTATGATTTTAAAGGTTATTAGGGCTACTAAATACTTTAAGGTCATAAACTGCTACTGTGACTCTTAATAACTGTACAGCTTGCCTACTTTAAAGTCATTAAAGTCTATGTAAAACCTGGGGACATATGGAGTTAGCTATGACCCTTACCTATGCTGGAAAGAGTCAGAATTTTATTTCATTTTGACATCTTTACTTGTCTTAAGACGTGAGGAGTCACTATATTTGTGACCAGTTAGTTCACCAATGCCTCCCCACTAATTGGACTGGAACTTGTACCATAGGCTATGTATCCCTGGACATCTTCATAGCCCCTGGCAATCTCTCTCTTCCAGTACCAATCTATGGGCATTACATCTTGCCCAAGATGAAGAGGGCCATGAAATTAAGTCCCCTTCTCACGGGACTTAGCATTATAGCTGATACACCAGAATTGTTGGAGTCACACAAGCCTTGACCTATAGCCAACTCTCAGTGGAAGTAGCCAACAATATTATACCATGGTTAAAACCTCAACAGCCATGCAAGAACAAATGGACTTTTTATCAGCTGTAGTCCTCCAAAATTGCCGAGAGCTAGATATGTTAATGGCAGAACAGGGAGGAATTTGTTTAGCCTTAGATGAAAAATGTTGCTTTGGGGTCGGCCAATTGGGAAAAGTACAAGACAACATCAGACAACTCATAAATTGACCCTCCTGTTTACGAGAATGAGCCTCTCAGGGTTGGTTAGATTGGGATGGAACCTGGTAATGATTCTTCTGGGTTCTTCCATTTTTAGGCCCACTTGTTAGTCTCCTACTTTTGCTCCTTTTTGGTCCATGTCTTCTAAATCTAATACCCAATTTGTCTCCTCTTGTCTTCAGGCCATCAAGCTCCAGATGATCCTCAGTGAGGGATACCGCTCTCTCAGTATTCAAGAGTCACCCTTCCACAGAGAAGCCCTAGACTGCCCATCAGTGGAATATGAGAGAGGTAAAATCCTGCCCCTGTCTCCTTCTGACCTGGCTGGATACCATTTTCACCAACAGATTCACCCACACAGTCACCCTGCCTTGACAGCTAGCAAGAGGCCAAGACACACAGAACAACGACTACCACCCCTCTGACAGCAGGAAGCAGTTACAGAAGACTGACCTTTGTCCATTTTCCCAAAGAATTGGGTCTTGGACTCTTGGGGGCAGGAATGTTAGAGTAGGTAGTTAGGCAGATGTGAGGAAGGCAGGGGAGGACCCCCCACCCCAGGAATGTCAGGCGACCATCACGTGATGTCAGGTGGTTTTTAAACTGTCTCTCTGAAATGATAATTGGTTGCAGCTGGCTCCAGGGTAAGACAGTCTCCCAGTAGACAGAAAACACCTAGAGCTGGTGATCAGCAACTTCCCAATAAGATCTCAGAAGCTGGGCAAGTGGGCTGAAGCATGTGAACTAAGAAGCAAAATGACTGATGTATGATGTTCCCCTGGGGGTGTTTGCCCCCAGAGAGTATGTGCCCAATCTTAGTAAATGCACTGTACATGTGGTCACCCTCCCAAATGCTGACCGACATTGCACATGCAGTAGTTGAGCAACAGACTGCCCCAAGGGAAGATTCAATGGAGGAGAAAAGAAAACCCCAGAGCCATGTCAATGTATAAAACCCCAAGTCAAAGGCTGAACTAGACACTTGGACCTCTTAAGTTGCCTGCTTGGCCCTCTTCCAAGTGTACTTTGCTTCCTTTTGCTCCTGCTCTAAAACATTTTAGTAAACTCTCACTCCTGCCCTGAAACTTGCCTTGGTCTCTCCCTCTGACTTAATCCTACTTGTGCCCCTCAGCCAAATTCTTTCCTCCAAGGAGGCAAGTATCAAGTTTGCTGAAGACCCGTACAGATTCACCACTGGTAACAATACCATGATGGGGCATTTGTTCATTATCCTGAAAGTAAGGGGAGTCGTGAAAGAATTGTAAGCCAACAAAGGACAAGATTATATGTAGATTTTAGCAACATGCTGGTGGCTGCATGAGGAGCAAGAATTAAATGGGAGCCAGAACAGAGGCAAAGAGGCTTGTGGGAAACTGCAGTGAACCAAGCAAAGATGAGGCAATGAGCTCCTGGTCTTCAGGAGCTGACAGTGAGATGGCAAGGAGGTCATAGTAGAGGAAGGTGACATAGGTAACTGTAATGAGACCAGGCCTATTCTAGTAATCTTGTGTGGGTAAGGTGGACATGGGTAGTTTGGGCAAAAATACGGTAAGTTCAGTGTTAATAGTGTGAGGTACCTGTGGAAGATCTGGGTAATATTCAGAAGGAAGTTCATTTACTCATTGTTTAACACATTATTGAATATCTGGGATGTGCTAAGGACCACTCTGTGGTAGTAGAATCAATCACAAAAAGGTAAAAATCCCTGCCTTTATAGAGCTTATATTCCATTTGGAGGGGAGGAAATAAAAAAAGAAATATAATAAATAAGTGATGTCGTAGATTAGCAGGTAACAAATGCTATGGAGCCGGTAACAAGAGCAGTACATGGGGATTGGGATGGGAGTAGGGAAAAGCACAGGTTTCAATTTAAACAGGGTGGGCAATGCAAGGCTTCCTGAGATGGTGAGATTTGAGCCAAGTTCAGAAGGAGGTAATCAAGTGAGCCACACAGGTGTTGGAGGGAAAAGCATTTCAGGTATCAGGAGTAACCACTGCAAAGCCCATAGGAAGAACAGCTGGTGTTCTCAGGAGCAGTTAATGGGTCTGGGATGGGGTCAGCAAGTGGGAGAGTGGAAGTAAAGGGGACAGAATGGGCAGGGGGCACCTAGGTCAGGTAGGGCCTTTGAGGCTGCTTTAAGACGGTTGCTTTTTACTGGAGATGGGAATGTTTGGAGAGTTTATGGCAAAGGATGACATGATCTGATGTAAGTTTTAACAGGATTATTCTAATTTGCTGGGGTGATAAGCAGGGAAACCAGTCAGGAGGCTAAGGCAGGAGTCCAAATTATGGGTCATGATGACTTTGACACAGTGAAAGTGGTATAGCTGGTAAGCTGTGGTTAGATTTTGTGCATATTTAGAAATATTTGCCATTAGATTGAATGACAGGAACATGCGTAGGTGAAAAAGAGGAGTCCATGGAGTTGCCATCCTTGGCTAGAGAAAGACTTTGGCATTATCAATGCTTACTTGGTTATTGGAACCATGGAGGCAGATGGTTGAGGGAGAGTTCATAGAAGGGAAAAAAGAATGCAAAGTTGGGAGATAACAGACTCCTCAATACATGTAGTTGAGGTCTTGGCTGTATGTCTGCAGGAAATGCTAAGATCCTCAACTCAAGCCATCTCAAAAATGAATTTCAGATACTAGCTATTAAAAACAAAATTATGATGGGTTAGAAAAAAGTGTAAGAGATGCTGTTTATAATCTTAGAATACAAAGGATTTCTTAAAATTAAAAAAATCATGAAACTTACTCTAAGAAATGACTCCATTGAAATTAGAAACCTTTTATTTAAAAATTATAAATAAGATTAAAAGACAGAAGACAGACTTCAAACTTCTTTTCATCCTTTTGTCCTATACTAGAATGTTCACAGCAGCTTTATTCATGATAGGCACAACTTGGAAATATCTCAGGTGTCCATCTATGAGACAATGAAAACCAACTGTGGTGCAATCACATTACTCAGGTAATAAAGGGAACGAATCTTGAGAACAGGCAACAACAGAGAGGATCACACAACTTCACACTCAGTGGAAGAACCCTTACACAGAGGGGGTGAATCCTGTATATTCCCATGTACAGGAAATTCTAGAGCTGCCAGCACTAACCTGAAGTGCAGATACTCTCTGCAGGGTTAGGGAGGGGAGATGGGAGGATGGCCTGAACCCAGACGTGCAGCCAAGGGGGGCCAGGTCAGCCCATCCCAAAGCAATCTTCCCCCAGGGTTTCCCTGTTTTCTCCCCATGCTCCAGATTTAGCACATCATTTAGCACATAATGGGTGAAATGACCAGTGTAATTCAACAATGCCCAATGAATAATAAACAGAAGTGCTGGGTGACATTTTGGTCAGCGGGATCTCAGGCATGTGCATTTCTCTACTGCAAACAACTGAGGTTGGCTGATATGGGGAGGAGGGAGCAAATGGCAAACTGGAGTTCTGGACCTCTGCCTCTTTCCTTCTCCTTTAAGTGCTATTTATAGTTTTTACTTAACTTTTTTTTTTTTTTTAACTTAACTTGCTAACATGGGCCAATATATAAGAAAGTGTTTAAGCAAGATAAAACGCAAAGTACATTTTAGATATACTGTACTCACTGTGGCAGTAGAATTCTAAGATGGTCCCCAAGATTCCTGCTCCTTGATATAGATACCCTGTATCATCTCTCTCCCCTTAAGGATAGGCACGACCTGTGAATATGATGAATATCACTCCTGGTGATTATGCTCGTCTTTATGGGGAAAGGAAGATTATCCTATTATCCATGGTGGGCCTGGCCTGATAGGTGAGTCCTTAAAAGGGACAGAAACAGAGCAGGCACTAGAACTTTCAGTGGAGGGGACCACATGGATAGGACCTTAGGGTGGCCTTTGGGAGCTGAAAGCAGCCCCCAACTGACATCCAGCCAGAAGATGTGGCCTCAGTTCTACAACTGCAAGAATCAAAATTCTGTCATCAATCTGAGTGAGTCTGGGAACACTCTGAGCTCCACATGAGACTGATGCCCCAGCTAACACCATGATGTTAGCTTTGTGAGGCCCTAAGCAGCTCAGCTCCACTTGCCTGGACTTCTAACTCATGAAACCATGAGATAATACATAAATGTTTTAAGACACTTAGTTTGTGGCAACTTGTTAGGTAGCAATTGAAAACTAATATATTCACATGTCTGGTACCTTAGGTAGAAACTGGAATGTTTTTCTATTCAGGAACTGTTTCTAGAAGTGAGGCAGGAGGGTAGCAGGGAGGGCAGTGCTTAAGCCAGACTCTTTGGAAACCGAACCACAGAGAAATGTGGAAGGGGCCTGGGAAGGACGCTCCCTGAGGTGAGCCAAGTGGCCAATTTGTACTTGCACCATCATGTATACTTTTCTTGGGGCGTGGTCTCCTGTTGTTCTTTATTCCAAGGAGAGGGGATGGTGTGCGGGGTATGTTGGGCTTGCCACTTTGAATCAGAGACACCTAAATTTAGACACGGCCGTAGAGGACTCACAGCTCTTCCTGCAGATGATCCTTCAGACTCAGCTTTCATCTGCCCAGCAAGGACAGCTGTGGCTTTGTGAGATGCCCTGCTCCATTCTTGGGCAGCCTGAGTGGTTTAGGACAGGGCTTTTAAAAACGGGGTATTATCTTCTCTTGACAATCTCCCTTTGCCCCATTTAAACATATTTTCCTCCTTCAAGTATTCTGCCTCTGAAAGGGGTTTTCAGAGCTCCCAGCCTCCTCCTTGGAGTCCCCATAGAAACTCTGTGTCACACAGTGATGCTCTGTGTAGGCTAGCTGTCAACATGGCTCAATGCCATCTTCCCTCATTTAGCATGATTAATATGAATTTGTGGTTAATTATGAAGTTAGTTATGTTAGTTAATTCAAATATTCTGGCAAGCTTTAGTAAGCTCCTGTATGAGCCTAGAATTTTGCAAGGGTGCAGGGTATGAAAATAAAATGGCAGGACCCTGACCCTTTACCACCAGAGCTTAAAATTTAGTTGGAGAAATGGCCTGCAAACAACTAATAAAAGGTCATATGGTGACTATGTAATAAGCATGAAGTAACAGCTTCCAGGAAATTTCAAGCACTGTGTGATCGATATTCTTCCTTTCTCTTCATTTATACCCAAATGGCATGAAGGGTGCTTTTGAGAATGCTCACATTTTCGGAGGAGATTGTAGAGTATGCCCCTCCCACTGGTGGCCACAGTACCATTTGCTGCAGCAGAGACTTCAGCAGATAGCAGTCCCAATGTTATTTCCTTGTTCAGATGCTGGAGAGGCCTCGAATGCAAGGAAGGGACTAGATCTCTTGTGAAAGTACATGGAGTAGGATCCGCCTGAAGTCCACTTGAAGATTCTTCTCTTGGTCTGTTCATTAAGAAAAAAGAATTTGTAGACCAACTATCAAATAAAAGGAGAAGGAAATGTATACTTAAACAGAAAACTATACTTACACCTTTGGTTTGGAAATTTTGATTAATATTTATTGTCATGAGTTTGAGCCCTAACAGGCTCTTCTAAATAAGGAGAGAGGCAAGTTTTCATCAGATGACCTAAAGCAAGAAATACGCACAGAAAGAGCAAGCTCTCCTATGGAGAACTCGGGAGCCCCACACTCCATAAGTGAGCAGGTGAGAGTGTGGCCCTTGAGAATGCCACTGGCGCCCCTCTGAGAGGCAGCCACCCTCACTGTCCACTGTCCACTGCCCAAGGCTCTTCAGTCTTTCACTGGGACACTGAGCAACACCATCAGAGAGCCTAGTGAGGGGAAGTGCTGTTGAGAAATTGAGGGGAGCGAGGCTACATGGATCCTGCATTTGCTCTGGAATATTCAAGGAGTCCTGCACAGCACAGTTGCTGGTGCAGCAGGAGGTCAGAACATCCTTTTTTTCCCCCATCCTGGGAGTTGGTGCCTTTGGGATTCTGTGGGTAAATGTGCTATTTGGATTTCTAAAAGAGGCTCCCCTTCAAATTCTAAAAGCTTTGGATGAGCCTCATAAAACCTACATTCACCTCTGGATTCTAGCTGCTGGTGATACCTATAAGGTCATGCTTTCAAGGTAATTAACACTACTATGGGGAGCCCTGCATTTCTTTGGGGCAGCCTGGAAGAAGAGAGAAACAAGTAGGAAGCTGCCCTTTAGAAATCCCTGCATTCATATGGCAAGAGTGCCCAGGTCTCTTTTTATCCATTTTTAGGATGGATGGGGGACCAGAGAGGAAGATTGAGTCTCCAGGCACCAGAGAGAGGGTGGTAGAAGGTAGATGAGCAAAGCTTTGACCACCACTTTTGCCTAGTGATGGAGGGCTTTTGGGTAGGAAGGTATCTCAGGCAACTGGTAAGCAGAAATTTTCCTTTCTCTTCTGTCACTTAAGAAATTGTGTATTAAGCTATTTATTTTTTTCATTGTAAAATATGTGCCATATATGGAAAACTTAGAAAATAAAGAAAGAAAAATTACTGTTCCTACCACTTTGACGTAATATATGTTAATATTTTGGTGCATTTCCTTCAACTGTCTTTTCCTCTATGTGTTTTCAATAGTTATCATCAATTCACATATGTATTTTAATACTTAATATTATTAATAATAATTTTCTATATAATTACTTTCCGTAAGGACTGTTTTATTGGTTGTCAAATAGTCTAACTGGTTTATACCATAATATATTTAACCAAGTGCTTGTTATTAATCTAGGCAGTGTATCAAACTTAGTGGTATAAAAGAACAACCATTTTGCTATTGTTATACATTCTGTGGGTCAGGAATTTGGGCTGTATGATTCTTACGTTCTTGCTCTCATCTGAATCACTCATCTGGCCAAAGGGCTGGTCTGGAGGATCTAAATAGGCTTTACTCACAAACCCAGTGACTTGCTGAGGATGAGGTGGACATGACATGTCAACTGAAGTGCCTTCACATCATCTCTCCAGTATGGCAGCTCAGTGTAGCTGGGCTTCCAGCTTGGCAATTAGCTCTTGAGCATTCTCAGAGGGGGCATAAGGAGAGTGAAGGTTTCAAAACAGCCAGTCAGAAGCCAAAAGGACTTTTATGACCTAGACTCGTAAATTACATCACATCCATTTTACCTTTCTGTGATTGTAGAAGCAGTCACAGGCCCGCCTAGATCAATGGAAGAGGGGAAGAATAGACCTTAACTCTTCATAGGAAAAGTGTCAGAGAAATTCAGTGGCACTTTTAAACACCATCCCCAAGGTGTAGATCTGAACTGCCCAATAAGGTATCCACTAGTCACACATGGCTATTTATATTTAAAATAATTAAAGGTAAATGTGATAAAATGAAAAATTCGGATAAGTCTCACTAACCATATTTCAAGAGCTCAAGTACCACACATGGCTAGTGACTATGATCTTGGACAGTACAGCTATAGAATATTTTCATCATTGCAGAACATTCTGTTGGACAGCTCCGGGAGACATTGTTCAATCCACTCAGAATGAGTATGCCTTTCCCTCAGATGGTAGGTTCTAAGAATAATGCCTCACTAAAACTAGCCAGGAAGTTTTGGATAATGGCTGGGTTTGCGTCTTGGGCAGGAAATAAGGAAGATAAGACAGAAAAACCATGTTATAACTTACAACAACCTATCATGACATTTGTGTCATGTCCAAAGGGCAAAAGAGCCAACTGAAAGATGCTCTCATTTCCCACATGGGAGACAATTTGAGCACTGAAATATTAATAATTGCAAAGTATTAACAGCATCAAATATGTCCTTATTCAAAAACAGACATGGGGAGGGCAAGATGGCTGACTAGACGAAGCCAGATGGAACTGCTCCCATGGAAGAGACAGAGATGACTGGCAGGCTCCTAACAGATCTGCAGAGAGAAGGCACTGAAAGTGCACAGAGGAAAAACACAGAAGCTGGGCTGAAGTGTGAGGTAGCTGGGAACCCTGCATGGAGATACCATGCACCAGGACTCATTCCTAGCCCCCAAGGGCTCTGGGGGAATGGGTGAATTGAACTGTCAAGGAACAACCTGCTCTTGCCACAGGCCTGTGGAACCCTGGCAGAAGGAGACCCCTTGACCACCACAGACATTAGAGTTGGCAAGGAGAGCTGCTTAGAGAAGTGATAGAGGCAGCAAGCTGGCTGATGTAGATCCTTGAGGGTTTGTTGTAAGAGCATCTACAGTGGAGCATGGCTGGGGCAGCCATCCTCCTAGGCTCGACTTGCTTCCATAGGAGACTTTAGCCCTAGGGGAACTGTCAGACTTGAACTCTGCAGGGTAGCCTTTTCTATCAGATGGGACCACTTCAACCTGAGCACCCCCTTGTCTGTTGGCCTCTCCCAAGGCCCCAGCCTGGCTATGTCTGCCTGCAGGACAGACTGAGGTGCTCTGGGAGCCTGCACTAATAGCGTCTGTGTTGGTAGACTATGCCTGACTAGCACCCTGCTCCAGCAGGGGGTTCCCATGGCCATGCACCAGCCATACTACAACAGCTTCCCCTGGGACCCACAACAACACCCCACGTTGCTTTGCTGGTGCATCTGTGTGGGCAGGTTTGGCTTTTCTTGCTCCACCAATGCATGGGAGTGCAGTCTGCCTCCCTTCCCCCTACTAATTGCTATTGCAGATGGAGCCTTTGTAGGCACAGAGCCAGCCAGCCTCACCCCTGCCAGCACCCTGCCCTTGCACTAACACTGTGCAGAGAACAGTGGATCCTCCCTACCCTGAGTGACCACTCTTGCTTTCAAGGCAAAAATAAGGTACCCTGACTTGCTCCTGCTAGTGCCCTGCCCCCAAGCCAACACTACCTCCAGCATGACCATGCACACAGTTGCCAGCAGGGACCCCCACTGCTCCCACCCCCCTGCCCAGCTGTGTTGCCTCTCCCACTGTAGTAAACACCTGCAGGGAGGCAGGCAATCTGACACCCACTAGCACTCTTCTGCTAGGAGATGGATCTCACTACAAAATGCTTTGGCTGACACCATGCATCAGAGTGTAGTGACCAGTGGTCTGGGAGCAACTTGGCCCCCACAGCACAGTGGATTCCTAACCTTGTGTTCTCTGCTGCCAGAGAACAAAGTTGGGGCCCAATATAAGTCCTCCAGAGTTGGAGGATGCTGTCCAGGGGTTGGGAGCTGAGCATTGGCCCCCTAAAGTCTTCCAGAAATGAAGCCAGTTAGCTGAATCCACCTTATACTACAATCAAACCCTCAAGGTCACTAAATACTATAAAAGGAAAAAAAACCCATCCAAAAGGTCAGAAACCTCAAAGATTGAAGGGAGATAAGCCCACAAAGATGAGAAAGAATCAGTGCAAGAACCCTGAAAACTCAAAAAGCCAGAGTGCCTTCTTTCCTCCAAATGACCACATCATCTCTCCAGAAAGAGTTCTGAACTGGGTCTGAGACGGCAGAAATAACAGAAATAGAATTCTGAATATGGATAGGAACAAAGATAATTGCACTACAGGAGTACATCAAAACCCAATCCAAGGAAGTGAAAAATCATTATAAAACAATACAGGAGCTGACAGACAAAACAGCCAGTATAGAAAAGAACATAACCAACCTGGTAGAGCTAAAAAACACACTACGAGAATTTCATAATCCAATTGCAAGTATTAATAGCAGAATAGACTAAGCAGAGGAAAGAATCTCAGAGCTTGAAGGATGCCTTTCTAAGATGAGACAGTCAGATAAGAATAGAGAAAAAAGAATGAAAAGGAATGAACAAAACCTCCAAGAAATATGGGATTATGGAAAGAGACCAAATCTACTACTCATTGGTGTTCCTGAAAGAGATGGGGAGAATGGAACCAACTTGGAAAATATATTTCAGGGTATCATCCAAGAGAACTTCCCCAAACTAGCTAGGCGGGCCAATATTTAAATTCAGGAAATGCAGAGAACCCCAGTAAGATAATTCACAAGAAGATCATCCCCAAGACAGATAATCACTGGATTCTCCAAGGTCAAAAGGAAATAAAAAATATTAAAGGCAGCCAGAGAGAAAGGTCAGGCCACCTCAAAGCAAGGCCCATCAGACTAACAGTAGGCCTCTCAGCAGAAACCCTACAGGCCATAAAGGATTAGAGGCCAATATTAAACATTCTTAAAGAAAAGAATTTCCAACCCAGACTTTCATATCTAGCCAAACTAAGCTTCATAAGCAAAGGAGAAATAAGATCCTTTTCAGACAAGAAAATGCTGAGGGAGTTTATTACCACCAGACCTGCCTTGCAAGAGCTACTAAAGGATGCACTAAATATTGAAAAGAAAGACTGTTACCAGTCACTACAAAAACACACTGAAGTACACAGACCAGTGACACTATAAAGCAACCACATAAACAAGTCTTCAAATAACTAGCTAATATCATGATGACAAGATCAAATCCACACACATCAATACTAACCCTGAAAGTAAATGGGCTAAATGACTGAATTGAAAGACACAGAGTGGCAATCTGGATAAAGAACCAGGACCCATTGGTATGCTGTCTTCAAGAGACCCATCTCACATGCAGTGACACATATAGGCTCAATATAAAGAGATGGAGAAAAATCTACCAAGCAAATGGAAAACAGAAAAAATCAGGGGTTGCAATCCTAATTTCAGACAAAACAAACTTTAAACCAACAAAGATCAAAAAAGACAAAGAAGGGCACTGCATAATGGTAAAGGGTTCAATTCAATAAGAATATCTAACTATCCTAGATATATATTCACCCAACACAACAGCACCCAGATTCATAAAGCAAGTTCTTAGAGATCTTCAAAAAGACTTAGACTCCCACACAATAATAGTGGGAGATGTTAACACCCCACTGACAACATTAGACGGATCATTGAGACAGGAAGTTAAAAAACATATTCAGGAACGGACCTCAGCATTGAACCAAATAGATCTGACAGACATCTACAGAACTCTCCACCCCAAAACAACAGAATTTACATTCTTGTCATCATCACATGGCACATACTCTAAAACTGATGATATAATCAGAAATAAAACATTCTTCAGCAAATTCAAAAGAACTGAAATCATAACAAACAACCTCTCAGATCACAGTACAATCAAATTAGAAATCCAGACTAAGGAATTCACTCAAAACTACACAGCTACATGGAAATTGAATAACCTGGTCATGAATGGCTTTTGGGTAAAAAGTGAAATTAAGGCATAAATCAAGAAGACCTTTGAAACTAATGAAAAGAAAGATACAACATACCATAATCTCCGGGACACAGCTAAGGCAGGTTAATACGGAAATTTATAGCACTAAATGCCCACATCAAAAAGTTAGAAAGATCTCAAGTTAACAACCTAACATTATAACTAAAAGAACTAGAGAACCAAGAACAAATGAATCGCAAAGCTAGCAGAAGACAAGGAATAACTAAATCAGAGCTGAGCTGAAGGAGGTTGAGATGTGAAAAACCATTCAAAAGATCAACAACTCCAGGAGCTGTTTTTTTGAAAAAAAATTAATAAAATATATAGACTACTAGCTAGACTAATAAAGAAGAATAAAGAAGATTCAAATGAACACAATCAGAAACAACAAGGGGGATATTATCACTGACCCCACAGAAATACAAACAACCATCAGAAAATATCATGAACATTTCTATGCACATAAACTAGAATATCTAAAAGAAATGGATAAATTCCTGGACACATACACCCTCTCAAGACTAAACCAGGAAGCAATTGAATCCTTAAACCGACCAATAATGATCTCTGAAATAGGGGCAGTAATAAATAACCTACCAACCAAAAAAAAAGCAGAAGGCCAGATGGATTAATAGCTGAACTCTACTGGATGCACAAAGAGCTGGTGCTATTCCTACTGAAACTACTCCAAAAAATTGGGAGGAGGAACTCCTCCCTAACTCATTGTATGAGGCCAGCATCATCCTTATACCAAAACCTGGCAGAGACACAACAAAAAAGAAAACTTCAGGCCAATATTCTTGATGAAAATCAATGCAAAAATCCTCAACAAAATACTGGCAAACTGAATCCAGCAGCACATCCAAAAGCTTATCAACCATGATCAAGTAGGTTTTATGCATGGATGCAAGCTTGGTTCAACATATGCAAACCAATAAATGTGATTCATCACGTAAACAGAATTATAGACAAAAACCACATTATCTAAATAGATGTAGAAAAGGCTTTCAATAAAACTCAACACCCCTTCATGTTAAAAACTCTCAATAAACTAGGTATTGAAGGAACATACCTCAAAATAACAAGAGCCATCTATGACAAACTCACAGCTAACATCATACTTAATGGGCAAAAGCTGGAAGAATTCTCCTTGAAAGCCGACACAAGACGAGGCTGCCCTTTCTCACCACTCCTTTTCAACATAGTATTGGAAGTCCTGATTACAGTAATCAGACAAGAGAGAGAAATAAAGGGAACCTAAATAGAAAGAGAGGAAATTAGACTATTCCTGAGCTTTTTGGCTGAGACCGTGGGGTTTCCCAGATAGAGGATCGCAACCCAGCAATCTCATTACTGGGTATATACCCAGAGGAATATAAATTGTTCTATTAGAAAGACACATGGATGTGTATGTTCATTGCAGCACTATGCACATAGTAAAGACATGGATTCAACCTAAATGCCCTATGGCAGACTGGATAAAGAAAATATGGTACATATACACCATGGAATACTGTGCAGCCATAAAAAAGAATGGGATCATATCCTTCACAGGGATATGGATGGAGCTAGAGGCCATTACCCTTAACAAACTAATACAGAAACAGAAAACCAAATACTGCATATTCTCACTTATAAGTGGGAGCTAAATGATGAGAACATATGGATATCTAGAGTGGAACAACATACACTGGGGCCTATTATAGTGTAGAGGGTGGGAGGAGGAAGAGGATGAGGAAAAATAACTGATGGGTACTAGGCTTAATACCTGGGCAAGGAAATAATCTGTACAACAAACCCTCATGACACAAGTTTACCTATATAACAAACCTGCATGTATACCCCTGAACTCAAAATAAAAGTTAAATTTTAAAAAACCAAAAAACCAAAAACCAAAACAAAAACAGACATGTAAGAAGAAAGCACCAAACACTTATCCTGTCCTTCCTGAACAGACTTAATTTTAGGGACACTGAAGAGTTGATAAGGGAAAAATGTATTTAGTAAATGCCAGCTAATAATTGCAGAAGGAATGCCAGAGTTAGAAATAGACAGCTTTTACTACTTTTAACAAAATAATATATCTAGTTAATGATCATTAATGGCCAATAACATGATTTGGTAAAATGTTGGTAAGAAAGAAATGTTTAATGGATAAAGAAGGCTGACAATATTTGAACTGAAGGATTAATTTTAAGAGCACAGAGAAACAACAGGACTGAACGTGCTTTCTAAAGTGATAAAATAAAAACCACACAGCAACTGTGAATTGCCCTTCCCAAACCAGAACCTGATTCTAATAAAGCCTCAACATTTATTTCTGTTTTTACAGGAATATAGGGATAGTGGAATGTGTTAAACAGCAATTGATTGCAATATGACAAATATAGAATGTGGGGAATTCTAATTTCTTCAATAAACAAATGAAAATAAAAGGAGGAAAGAGGAACTTATAGAGTAAAAAATAAGAAATGTATGACATATTCCAACTAAAAATGGGTACATTGGGCCAAGTGTGGTGGCTCATGCCTGTAATCCCAGCACTTTGGGAGGCCGAGGTGGGTGGATCACTTGAGGTCAGGAGTTCGAGACCAGCCTGGCCAACATGGTGAAACCTAGTCTCTACGAAAAATACAAAAATTAGCTGGGCATGGTGGCTCACGCCTGTAATCCCAGCTACTTAGGACACTGAGGCATGAGAATCATTTGAACCTGGGAGGCAGAGTTTGCAGTGAGCTGAGATTGCGCCATTGCACTCCAGCCTGGGCAACAAGAGTGAAACTCCATCTCAAAAATAAATAAATAAATAAATAAATAAATAAATAAATAAATAAATAAATAAATAAAATAACAGTGGGTACATTGTTTAGATCTAAATTCAAATGCACCAATTGTAAAAGCCAACATTTTCTTACACAATTAGAAACATTTGAGCACTGACTTTATACTTGATATTAAATAATTGATATATTTATGTGTGTTAAAGATATTTTAATTAACTTAGTAAAGGAGTTCATAATCTTCAATGATTTACGCTTAAGAATTTGTAGATGAAATATCTTTCTAGAATTTGTAAAAAATGTTTAAAAATTAGTAGGTATATAGAGGGTGAAGAAATTGAGAAAACCAGGGTATCAAAACACATTTTGATAACTATATGTTGAAAATAGATGATGGATTCTTGGTTCTTCATTGTGTTTTTCTCTTTCATTTTGTATGCCTCAAAATTTCAATGATAAAGCATTAAAATATGATTTTATGTCAATTACTTAAATGTTAAGATTTTCTTGTTACCATAATTTTATGTGTTTTTCAGGGCAATATACTTTGTACATTTGTTGGTAACCTTTTATTTTCTGATACCGTTTTAAAAACTTTTTTACTTCTGTTGCAATTCTCACTTCGTATTTCAAAGGCAAGCCATATAATTTGAAATGACTCTCCTAACAGGAAAATTACATGATAAAGTAAGTTCTGTGTGGCATCTGCCCTGACCTAAACAAATAGGATGCTGCTTCTAAGCTTCCTATCAATTACTGACATGTATTATCAAATTATTATTTTTTATAGTGAGGAGTCTGATTGTATATGAAATATTCAATTTAAACAGGGACACATGGCTGGGGACAGTGGCTCACGCCTGTAATCCCAGCACTTCAGAAAGCCGAGGTGAGAGGATCACTTGAGCTCAGGAGTTCAAGGCTGCAGTGAGCCATGGTTGGGCCACTGCACTCCAGCCTGGGTGACAGAGTGAGACCCTGTTGCTAAAAATTAAATAAATAAATAAAAGGGGCACACAATATAAAGTGATAAAACTGTGGAACAACCAAAGAGGTCTGCATTTGGTATTTCATATGTGCTGATGGTTGTGCTAAGCACTTTGTGTGCATGAATGCTGAAGTACTGGGTAGGAATTCTCTGTATAGGTAGCGGGTCTGGAATGCAGAAAAAGTGGGCTGGGGAGGCCCCATGGCTCAGATGAGTCAATTGGGACCCCCATAGCAGGTGGATGGCCTGAGTACTGTGCTCTCCTCTGTGCTGACCTCACCCAGAGCCTTCTGCACACTTGGCTGACAGATGTCAGCAGGAGTCTCCTCCCTCAAGTGCTATTTAACTACCTGCTTTCTCTTTTGTCTCTTCTCCTTCCCTCTTTTCTCTAAGTTTTAGTAGTGGGAAGTGGAAGACAGACCAATAAAACCCTCCAGTAAAAATGCTAAGTTACAAGCATTTGTTCCTAACTAGCCTTGGGCAAAACTCTCCGTAACAGCAGAGTAACTTAATTAGTAAATTGGACTTCCATTCAAAACATATACAGGGATCTACAGACACTAGGTAAATTCAATTTTCTCCTGATCTATTGTTTCCTGGGGGCTGTTATAAAGAAAGTGTCACTGCCCAAGTGAGAGACTTGTTTTGGGTTCCTACTTCAGGCAGAGAGAGATCCATGGGCCAAAGGAGCAGGACTCTTTCTGATTGCCTGTGCTGACCTTGCAGGGAGAATGCAGCCACCAGAGAGGTCCCAGACCTCTAAGGGCAGAGAGTAAAAATGACAATGTCACTGAGTGGCAGTGCATCCTGCAGAGAAGTTAGGTAGAGCCTTGAACAGGGCCCAGGCCACAGGGTCTTAAAGATTGTGCTTGGTCAAGCACTACATCTGATCAGTAATAAATAGTAGGTAAGAAGGAGGCATCTTCTGCACCAGACTCATAGAAGAGGGTCCAGACTAGACCAGAAAATCTCATCATTAAAAAAAATTATTTTAAGTTCCAGGATATATGTGCAGGATGTGCAGGTTTGTTGCATAGGTAAATGTGTGCCATGATGGTTTGCGGCATCTATCAACCCATCATGTAGGTATTAAGTTCCACATGCCTTAATTTTCTTGCCTCAGTTTGCTGAGGATAATGGCTTCCAGCTCCATTCATGTCTTTGAAAAAGACATGATCTCATTCCTTTTTATGGCAGCATAGTATTCCATGGTGTATATGTACCATATTTTCTTTATCTAGTCTATCATTAACAGGCATTTGGGTTGATTCCATGTCTTTGCTATTGTGAATAGTGCTGCAAGTATTCACATATGTGTGCATGTATCTTTATAATAGAACAATTTATATTCCCTTGGGTATAAACCCAGTAATGAGATTGCTGGGTCAAATGGTATTTCTGGTTCTAGGTCTTTGAGGAATTGCCACACTGTTTTCCACAATAGTTGAACTAATTTATATTCCCACCAGCAGTGTAAAAGTATTCCTATTTCTCCACAGCCTTGCCAGCATCCGTTGTTTCTTGACTTTTTAATAATCACCATTCTGACTGGCATGAGATGGCATCTCATGGTGGTTTTGATTTGCATTTCTCTAATGATCAGTGATGTTGAGGTTTTTTTCATATGTTTGTTGGCCACATAAATATCTTCTTTTGAGAACTGACTGTTCTTGTCCTTTGCCCATTTTTTAATGGGGTTGTTTTTTTCTTGTAAATTCCTTGTAGATTCTGGATATTAGACCTTTGTCAGATGGATAGATTGCAAGTATTTTCTCCCATTCTGTAGGCTGTCTGTTGACTCTGATGATAATTTCTTTTGCTTTGCAGAAACTTATCGGGGGAACCAGCCCCCAATATTTCAACGTAGGTTCTTTTCTATTTTCCCTAAGTGTCAGCCGGTCTGAGAAATAAAGAGAAAGAGTACAAAAGAAATACATTTTACACCTGGGTCTCCGGGGGTGATATCACGTGTTGGCAGGTTCCATGATGCCCCTGAGCCGCAAAACCAGCAAGTTTTTATTAGGGATTTCAAAAGGGGAGGGGTGTATAAATAGGGAGTGGGTCACAGAGATCACATACTTCAAAAGGCAATAAAATATCACAAGGCAAATGGGGGCAGAGCAAGGTCTCAAGGCCAGGATGAAATTAGAATTACTAATGAGGCTCCATGTCCTACTGTGCACACATTGTCATTGATAAACATCTTAACAGGAAACAGGGTTCGAGAGCAGACAACCAGTCTAACTAGAATTCACCAGGCTGGAATGTCCTAATCCTAGAAAGCCTGAGGGTGCTGCAGGAGACCAGGGCGTATTTCATCCCTTATGTTCAACTGCATAAGACAGACACTCCTAGAGCGGCCATTTAGAGTTCTCCCCCTGGGAATGCATTCTTTTCCCAGGGCTGTTCCTTGGTGAGAAAAAGAATTCAGCGATATTTCTCCTATTCGCTTTTGCAAGAAAAGAAATATGACTCTGTTCTGCCCAGCCCCGCAGGCAGTCAGACCTGACGGTTATCTCCCTTGGTCCCTGAAAATCGCTGTTATCCTGTTCTTTTAGGATGCCCAGATTTCATATTGTTCAAACACACATGTTTTACAAACAATTTATACAGATAATGCAATCATCACAGGGTCCTGAGGCGACATGCATCCTCAGTTTACGAAGATGACGGGATTAAGAGATTAAAGTAAAGACAGGCATAGGAAATTATAAGAGTATTGACTGGGGAAGTGATAAATGTCCATGAAATCATCACAACATATGTTCAGAGATTGCAGTAAAGACAGGCATAAGAAATTATAAAAGTATTAATTTGGGGAACTAATAAATGTCCATGAAATCTTCACAATTTATGTTCTTCTGCCATGGCTTCAGCTGGTCCCTCCATTCAGGGTCCCTGACTTCCTGCAGCAGAAACTCTTTAGTTTAATTATATCTCATTTGTCAATTTTTGCTTTTGTTGCAATTGCTTTTGATGTTCTCGTCATGAAATCTTTGCCTGTGCCTATGATGTGAATGGTATTGCCTAGGTTTTCTTCTAAGATTTTTATAGTTTTTGGGAAAATCTCATCTTTATATTCCCCAAGAAGAACCAGGGACTGATACAATCCACTCTCTGTGGCTTATATATACAGGGTGTCAAAAAAATGTTAGTTTAATTTTAAGCTTTAAGAACTTCAAAATTACAAAAAATTACATTTCTTATATACTTACTGAGATTTGTAAGGTTAAAATAATAAATTGTTAAGTTTTTTTCAAGCTTTATTCAAGGTGACAAATATTAACTGAAGCAAAACATTGAAATAAAATCTTTATTTTTTAAAATTCACAAAACTATATAAACATATAAGAAAGTTAAATAATTTAACTTTTAAATGATGTTTTTTGTAGGCTTGTAGCATTTATACTTCGAAAGTTATTAAGCTTAAAACTTGACTAAGACTTTGGGGACATCCTGTTATTACAGATCACTGGATAGATGCTTGTATAGGATTCATACAGTGTATGTATAATACTACAATATGTACATACATTTATTCAATGTACATATTTTCAATATTTATTGGCCATTTACAAACTATGTGCCAGGCATTGTTATAGGCACTGGGAATACAATAATGAACAAAATAAACAAAAATCCCTTTTCCCATAAAATTTATATATTTTTCTAATATATTAATAGTCATGTTGCTTGATGAATGAGATACATTCTGAGAAATGCATCCTTTGGTGACTTAATTGTGCAAACATCATAGAGTGTACTTACGCAAACCTAGATAGTACAGAGATTTTCATTTGTATATATTTTTTCATATGGAAAACCAAATGTCCCAGCACCATTACTGGATATCAATCATTTCCCCTACTTGATCTGCAATGCCAGTATCAAGTGCCATATATCAGGTTTCTATACATGCTCCGTTGTAATCTTACGGGACCACCATTGTATATGTAGTCTGTCAGTGACTGAAACATGGTTATGCAGTGCATAACATACATTCCTTATTTTGAAGTTTGGGTTCAATCATTATCAATAAATGCTTTAGAAATCTTCATAAAGTTCAAGAATAAGAGACTAGATTTTTTTTTCTTTGGATATAATTTCTTTAAAAGTATTATTATTTCACCTTAGAAAGAGGAAACATGAAGATCATAGGATAATAGGATTTGGGTTTATTCTGTTTGGGTACATTTAGGACCACAAACTCCTACAGACTGCACAGCAATCCTACTACATCTACTAGTCAACTCACTCTATTTCACACCTCTCTCTCCTCAAATGACCAGGATTCCTCAGCCAGCCCATTTTATTTTACAGAGAAAAAAAGAAGCAATCTGAGGAGAACTTCTGTATCTTCCCATATGAAACCTTCTAATCAGTCTGTATTTTTACCTATATACCCTGCTTCCTGACCCCGTCACCCCAATCCGGATGCCCAGTGGGTTGCTGACTAAATTTAACCCTGCTACCTGTACACTGGAGGCCACACCTCTTTGGGATACTAAGGATATTGTTTCTAAAATTTCTTCCCTTTCTTCTGTATCATCAACTTTTTCCTCTGTACTGGGTCTTTCCCATTAGCATACACACACTGTAATTTCTTCTATTAAAAAGAAAAAAGCTTCATTGACTTCAGTTTCCTCTCTAGCTGTTGCCCAATTTCTTGGTTCCCATTTACAGTAAATCTCAGGAGACTTGTCTCTACCAATTATTTACACTTTCCCCCCTTCTCTCTTGAACCCTCTCAAACCAGGCTTTTGTGCATCATCACTCCCCTTAAAAAACTTAATTCAGGGCCCAAGTCCAGGAGTACCACATAGCTAAATACAATGGTCAGTTCCCAGGTCCACCCTTGGTTTCTTAGCAGCATTTGCTCCATGGATTCACACCCTCCTTGAAGAAATCTCTTCTTTACTTGGCTTCCAGAACACCACATTGACTGACTCCTTCCTCTCAGTCTACTTTCTTGGCTTTTTCTCACCTTGCTCAAAATGGTGGAGCACTAGGTTGGATCCTTAGACCTTTGCTCTTCTCACCCTACTCACATCGTATGCCCATGGATCTAAGTCCTGTTCTTATCAGATGGCTTAAATTTGCATTTCAGCTCCAGTCTCTCTCTTCAACTCTAGACTGGCTAACAGCCACCTTCACATGTACTCTTGAATGTTCAGTTGACATTTCAAACCCAATATGTTCATGTCCTCTGCCATCCCTATACCTGCTCTCTTCACTGTCTCTATAGGAGTAAATTGGAGGACTATTACCAGACCAAATACCTTGTAGGCTTTTTATTTTTTATTTTAAGATTTGACCACTTTTTAACCTCTCCAATGCTACTACACTGTCCACTCTAGTCCTTGTTTACCCTCGTCCACTCCTGGACTACTACATGAGCCTCCTAAGTAGCTTCCTTGCTTCTAACTTGCCACTCCATGGAGCTTCTCCATTCAGCAGTCAGAATGATCCTTCTAAAAAATTAAGTTTAATCTTGCCACTCCTCTGTTCAAACTACCCAGATGGCTTCTTACAATAGCTGGAATATATATATGTATATGTAATCCTGTGCTGCAAGGCCTTTCCTGATCTAGTCCCTGCTTATGTCTCTTGCCTTGTTTCTCACCACTCTTTCCGTTACTGCCTTCTGGACTGCTTAGTTAGCCTGCATCACTGTGTGAGCCAATTCTCCTAATAAATCCTGACCCCCTCCCTCTATTCTATTGGTTCTGTTTTTCTGGAGAACCATGACTAATATGCTAAGTAAGACAAAGTAGTTCAAACAATAGGGAATAATTCCCTCCTTCTTATGTAGCAACCTGAGTGTGTGTGAGTGTGAGTTTGTGTGTGTGTGAGTGTGTGTGTTATAAAGGAAGAAAGGGGAAGTGGTGGCACACAGAAAGGATGGGTGAATAAAGAGTAGAACTCTGCTTTTAATGACAAAAGAGTTTGAGGAAATGTCTACAATCTGAAGGACATGCTATAATTATGCATGCTGTTTTATTGGATACTTCACTGAAACTGAGCTCAACTCATGGCTTCCTTTTTGTAGATGCTACTGGGCAGGCCAGCTGGGGTCAAGACAGGTGTCAAGAGAAGTCACTCATATTGCATCAATTATGAGTTACATCTATCTTGGCACAATCCATCAGATGACATTGTCTTGGGACAAAGGTTTGTCCATGGTGTTGATGGGCAGTTAGTGCCATAACCTCTTTCCTTTCCTCAGCGTCTTTAATAAATAACCCTTAACTTTATGGTCTAAGTGTTTCCTGCCTTTTGGGTGTATTAGGAAGGGTAGAGGTTAACTGTCTCATCCTATCTTTATGTGTTGAGTTAATCCAGGGCATACTGAGTTGTTCCTAAAATAAATAGATTGTATTTAATGATTAGAGGTCTTAGGATTCCATTTCAATAAGGCAGATTTCAAAGGAGTCCCTTACTTCTGTTCTCCTTACTTCCTCCTCTTAGCACAAGGTCAGTCTCTTTTTGCTATTCCTGTAAAGTTGAATTCAACCATTGAAATGATAGAGAATTCATGGACTGGCCAATTCTATCCAGGCCACTAAAGGAGAGTTTTCATGGGCTCTGGGAAGCATTTGGCTTTCTCTGCAGGCAACTCTGGAGAGAAAATTGGGGTTAAAGAGGAATCTTCCTTGTCTGTGAAAGAAGTTCTATATTTTAAAAAATTTATACAAATAATCTACTTGGCTGACAGAATTAATCATAAGGGGATTTAGTGAAGAGTGCTCAAGTTTTAGTTCAACTAAAAAGTACCCACTGTCCAATGGAGAGTTGAGCAAATCTGCTCCCTGCATTCTTTCATCAATTGACATCATAACTTTTTAATGGGTTTATTTTTGTCAAGCAGAGAAGCATAGAAATCCACTCTATTTTACTTGTCTCCAGCAGAGTGCATTTAGTAGAGCTCAGTGGTATGGTTTTGAAATTTTGAGAGGGGTGGGGAAGTGCTGAACGTTAATAAACATGAAGGTCAAGAAACCCAGAGTACAGAGGGTTTTGTTATTCTTTCAACATTTGTCACCAGATGCTTGTTTCAAATAAGTCTGGCTTTGAGAAATGGTTTTAAAGACTTGCTTAGATGTGACAGCTGCAAGAGTCCCTCGTGAACTCTGAAATGGCAATCTCAGCCCAGCTGCTCCTGTTTAGGGCTATCCAGAATGAAAATGCTATTAGCAACAGATTCATTTCTCCCCCTCTAATGGCTTTGATAAACATTGAGTGCCAAAGAAGAGAGTGAGTTTCTTGTATTTTTCCTCCTGTCTGGGTTTAACAATAGTCCTGCATTCTTGACTACCAAGGGTATGCAAAAGTATAATAAACATGGTAATGAGGAGCACTGCAGTGAACAAGCAAGCAGTAAGTACATGAAGGCTCTCAGTTTGTGGAGGGCTGAATTCCTGTGACTGCCTTGCAAGACAGACTCTGTGGAGGACGGGAAGAGAGGGCAATACACCGAATTAACTCATTTCGTTAAAATTCACACAGGAATTTGACTGCACATCTCATACATGTTGAGGCATACTTGGAGAATTTCCTTGAGGTAACTGACTGGTGTGAGGAGTGGTGCAGTTACTTTTAATAAAATTAAGTTTGATGCACTTCTTTGTGGATAGACTGTCTCATCACTTAGATTGTCAACATATTGAAGGCACGAGTCGTGGTTTATTGTGTTTTGTATCGTTCATAAATTCTAACATCATGTCATGTACCTCAATTTCTAAATTAATTTTCTTTTTGTTGAGTGACACATTGGGAAGTTACAGAACTTGGTACCAACTAAAAGGAAAACCATGTGAGGATGTGGGAGTGGGAACAGGGGTGGGGGGAGTGGCTACTTACTACCCACCAATGCCATATTTTGCCTGTGTGTACTTTGGTGTAGCGTCCAAGCAGGGACCCCAGGGGTAGTTTCTTGCTACCTGCACCCCTATCTTTCAAAATCCTACTTATCCTTCACTGTCCAGCTCAAATATCACCACCTCTAAGGAGCTGGGCCAAAATCCTCAGTTGAAATTAATTTTCTTCTCTCTATTCCTACGGCAGGGTTTCCAAACCTCAGCACTATTGCCGTCTTGTACCAGATAATTCTTCTTTTCTTTGGGGGGAGTGTCCTGTGCATTGTGTGATGTTCAGCAGCATTCCTAGTCTCTACCTTCTGGAAGCTAGCAGCACTTCTGCTGTCTCCAAATATTGCCAAATGTCCCCTGGGGATCAAAATTGCCCTTGGTTGAGAATCACTGTTCTATAGCAGTGCTATAGTCTGCATGTTTATGTCCCTCCCAAATTTATATGTTGAAATCTTTACTTCCAAGGTGATGCTATTAGGATAGTGAATCTTTGGGAAGTGATAAGGTCATGGGGGAAGAGCTCTCATGATTAGGATTAGTGCTTTCATAGAAGAGGCCCAAGAGAGAACGCTCCTTCTGTCCGCCATGTGGGATTAGAGGGAGAAGACCATTGTCTATGAACCAGGAAGCAGGCCCTTACCAACACCAACTCTGCTGGTGACTTGATCGTGGACTTTCCAGCCTCCAGAACTGTGGGAAAACATTTCCATTGTTTATAAGCCACCCAGTCTAAGATAGTTTGTTATAGCAGCCAAAAAGACCTAAGTCAAGCAGTTTCTTTGGATAGTCCTTACAGCAGTTGTCACATGTTCCTTTTTGTTAGTATATATACTTTCCTGTTAGATTTTAACCTCTTTGGGTGTAGAAAGCAACCTATAGTTTTTAATTTTGGTGAGGTCTCAGCATCACACTCTTAGCACATTTTTTTTTTATTGCTTGCATAACAATTTACCACAAATTTAGTGGTTTAAACAACACCCATTTATTAGCCCACAGTTCTGTAGGTCAGAAGTCTGGATCAGCTTGGCTAGGTTTTCTGCTCAGAGTCTCACAAGCTGTTGGCCAAAATGGGCTCTTACCTGGAGGCTCAGGGGAAGAATAGCCTTCCATGCTCATTCACGTTGACAGAATCCAGTTCCTTGCAGGTGTATGTCTAAGTTCCTTGCTGGCTGTCAGGTGGAGACACTCACTGCTCCCAGAAGCCATCTGTATTTCTTTTCATGTGTGCATGTCAAAATCGCCTAGTGCTTAAAATCCCTGACTTCCCCTTGTGGCTGCTCTTTTGCTACCACCCAGAGAAAGTTCTCTGCTTTTAAAGACTCCTGTGATTAGATTACCTCACCCAGATAATCTCTTCTCCTCAGGTCAGCTATGCCATATAACATGACAGATTCACAGGAGAGATATCCTATCACATTCACAAAGTTCCAAAGATTAGGTTTATTCCTTCTGTAATTGAGGTTTTTGGAGAGCAGGGTAGGTCTCTCAAACAGGTCCAAAATGGCTTGAAAGAGCAAGAAAAGGAGACTGGCTCAGAGTTCTTATTGTGGTTAGGAGGTGGAGCCCATGCAAGGGTTCCTGCATGGGAGGAGGGACTAGCATGGTTTCAGTCTCTTTTGGCACACCTGGGCTTTCTTATTGGCTTACTCAGATGTCCTGGTCCATTTCAGCTGCTGTAACAAAGCGTCATAGGCTGGATGGCTTATAAGCAACAGAAATATATTTCTTGCAGCTCTGGTGATTGGAAGTCCAAGCTCAGCATGCCAGCATGATCAGTTCTGATGAGGGCTCTCTTCCTGGTTCATGACTGCCAACTTGTAACAGTATCATTATATGCAGAATAGGAGTTAGTAAGCTCTATGTCCTCTTCTTATAAGAGCACTAATTCCATTCATGAGGGCTCCACCCTCATAACCTAATTATGCCCCAAATACTCCACCTTCTAATATCATCACATTGGGATTAGGGTTTCAACAGATAAATATTGTGGGGAATCAACACTGAGTCCATTGTACCAGATGTGGAGCAGAAGGCAGTGAGGGAGGGGTGAAGCTTAAAAGCTATCATTAGTCAAACATCCAAAAAATGGAGTCAGACTCCTTGGAACATAACTGGTCATTTTATAAGGCACTGAACAGAAATTGTTTTTCAGACTTTTTTTTGTTTTTTGAGACAGAGTCTTACTCTACCCCAGGCTGGATTGCAGTGGTGCGATCTCAGCTCACTGCAACCTCCGCTTCCCAGGTTCAAGCAATTCTCCTGCCTCAGCCTCTCGAGTAGCTGGGATTATAGGCGTCTGCCACTGTGCCTGGCTAATTTTTGTATTTTTAGTAGAGACAGGGTTTCACCATCTTGGCCAGGCTGGTTTTGAACTCCTGACCTTGCCTCGGCCTCCCAAAGTGCCGGGATTACAGGCATGAGCCACCGCACCCGGCCAGACTTTTATTTTTATTTATTTTATTTTATTATTATTATACTTTAAGTTTTAGGGTACATGTGCACAATGTGCAGGTTTGTTACATATGTATACGTGTGCCATGTTGGTGTGCTGCACCCATTAACTCGTCATTTAGCATTAGGTATATCTCCTAATGCTATCCCTCCCCCCTTCCCCCACCCCACAACAGTCCCCGGAGTGTGATGTTCCCCTTCCTGTGTCCATGTGTTCTCATTGTTCAGTTCCCACCTACGAGTGAGAACATGCGGTGTTTGGTTTTTTGTCCTTTTGATAGTTTGCTGAGAATGATGGTTTCCAGTGTCACCCATGTCCCTACAAAGGACATGAACTCATCATTTTTTATGGCTGCATAGTATTCCATGGTGTATATGTGCCACATTTTCTTAATCCAGTCTATCATTGTTGGACATTTGGGTTGGTTCCAAGTCTTTGCTATTGTGAATAATGCCGCAATAAACATACGTGTGCATGTGTCTTTATAGCAGCATGATTTATAATCCTTTGGGTATATACCCAGTAATGGGATGGCTGGGTCAAATGGTATTTCTAGTTCTAGATCCCTGAGGAATCACCACACTGACTTCCACAATGGTTGAACTAGTTTACAGTCACACCAACAGTGTAAAAGTGTTCCTATTTCTCCACATCCTCTCTAGCACCTGTTGTTTCCTGACTTTTTAATGATTGCCATTCTAACTGGTGTGAGATGGTATCTCATTGTGGTTTTGATTTGCATTTCTCTGATGGCCAGTGATGATGAGCATTTTTTCATGTGTTTTTTGGCTGCATAAGTGTCTTCTTTGAGAAGTGTCTGTTCATGTCCTTCACCCACTTTTTGATGGGGTTGTTTTTTTCTTGTAAATTTGTTTGAGTTCATCGTAGATGTTTGTTTTTTTCTTGTAAATTTGTTTGAGTTCATTGTAGATTCTGGATATTAGCCCTTTGTCAGATGAGTAGCTTGCGAAAATTTTCTCCCATTTTGTAGGTTGCCTGTTCACTCGGATGGTAGTTTCTTTTGCTGTGCAGAAGCTCTTTAGTTTAATTAGATCCCATTTGTCAATTTTGGCTTTTGTTGCCATTGCTTTTGGTGTTTTAGACATGAAGTCCTTGCCCATGCCTATGTCCTGAATGATATTGCATAGGTTTTCTTCTAGGGTTTTATGGTTTTAGGTCTAACATGTAAGTCTTTAATCCATCTTGAATTCATTTTTGTATAAGGTGTAAGGAAGGGATCCAGTTTCAGCTTTTTACATATGGCTAGCCAGTTTTCCCAGCACCATTTATTAAATAGGGAATCCTTTCCCCATTGCTTGTTTTTCTCAGGTTTGTCAAATATCAGATAGTTGTAGATATGCAGCGTTATTTCTGAGGGCTCTGTTCTGTTCCATTGATCTATATCTCTGTTTTGGTACCAATACCATGCTGTTTTGGTTACTGTAGCCTTGTAAGATACTTTGAAGTCAGGTAGTGTGATGCCTCCAGCTTTGTTCATTTGGCTTAGGATTGACTTGGCGATGCAGGCTCTTTTTTCGTTCCATATGAACTTTAAAGTAGTTTTTTCCAATTCTGTGAAGAATGTCATTGGTAGCTTGATGGGGATGGCATTTTATCTATAAATTACCTTGGGCAATATGGCCATTTTCACGATATTGATTCTTCCTACCCATGAGCATGGAATGTTCTTCCATTTGTTTGTATCCTCTTTTATTTCCTTGAGCAGTGGTTTGTAGTTCTCCTTGAAGAGGTCCTTCACATCCCTTGTAAGTTGGATTCCTAGGTATTTTATTCTCTTTGAAGCAATTGTGAATGGGAGTTCACTCATGATTTGGCTCTCTGTTTGTCTGTTATTGGTGTATAAGAATGCTTGTGATTTTTGCGCATTGATTTTGTATCCTGAGACTTTGCTGAAGTTGCTTATCAGCTTAAGGAGATTTTGGGCTGAGACAATGGGGTTTTCTAGATATACAGTCATGTCATCTGTAAACAGGGACAATTTGACTTCCTCTCTTCCTAATTGAATACCCTTTATTTCCTTCTCCTGCCTGATTGCCCTGGCCAGAACTTCCAACACTATGTTGAATAGGAGTGGTGAGAGAGGGCATCCCTGTCTTGTGCCAGTTTTCACAGGGAATGTTTCCAGTTTTTGCCCATTCAGTATGATATTGGCTGTGGGTTTGTCATAGATAGCTCTTATTATTTTGAGATACGTCCCATCAATACCTAATTTATTGAGAGTTTTTAGCAGGAAGGGTTGTTGAATTTTGTCAAAGGCCTTTTCTGCATCTATTGAGATAATCGTGGTTTTTGTCTTTGGTTCTGTTTATATGCTGGATTACATTTATTGATTTTCGTATGTTGAACCAGCCTTGCATCCCAGGGATGAAGCCCACTTGACTGTGGTGGATAAGCTTTTTGATGTGCTGCTGGATTCAGTTTGCCAGTATTTTATTGAGGATTTTTGCATCGATGTTCATCAAGGATATTGGTCTAAAATTCTCTTTTTTTGGTGTGTCTCTGCCCAGCTTTGGTATCAGGATGATGCTGGCCTCATAAAATGAGTTAGGGAGGATTCCCTCTTTTTCTATTGATTGGAATAGTTTCAGAAGGAATGGTACCAGTTCCTCCTTGTACCTCTGGTAGAATTCGGCTGTGAATCCATCTGGTCCTGGACTTTTTTTGTTTGGTAAGCTATTGATTATTGCCACAATTCCAGAGCCTGTTATTGGTCTATTCAGAGATTCAACTTCTTCCTGGTTTAATCTTGGGAGGGTGTATGTGTTGAGGAATTTATCCATTTCTTCTAGATTTTCTAGTTTATTTGTGTAGAGGTGTTTGTAGTATTCTCTGATGGTAGTTTGTATTTCTGTGGGATCGGTGGTGATATCCCCTTTATCATTTTTTATTGCATCTATTTGATTCTTCTCTCTTTTCTTCTTTATTAGTCTTGCTAGCGGTCTATCAATTTTGTTGATCCTTTCAAAAAACCAGCTCCTGGATTCACTAATTTTTTGAAGAGTTTTTTGTGTCTCTATTTCCTTCATTTCTGCTCTGATTTTAGTTATTTCATGCCTTCTGCTAGCTTTTGAATGTGTTTGCTCTTGCTTTTCTAGTTCTTTTAATTGTGATGTTAGGGTGTCAATTTTGGATCTTTCGTGCTTTCTCTTGTGGGCATTTAGTGCTATAAATTTCCCTCTACACACTGCTTTGAATGTGTCCCAGAGATTCTGGTATGTTGTGTCTTTGTTCTCGTTGGTTTCAAAGAACATCTTTATTTCTGCCTTCATTTCGTTATGTACCCAGTAGTCATTCAGGAGCAGGTTGTTCAGTTTCCATATAGTTGAGCGGTTTTGAGTGAGTTTCTTGTCCTGAGTTCTAGTTTGATTGCACTGTGGTCTGAGAGACAGTTTGTTATAATTTCTGTTCTTTTACATTTGCTGAGGAGTGCTTTACTTCCAACTATGTGGTAAATTTTGGAATAGGTGTGGTGTGGTGCTAAAAAAAATGTATATTCTGTTGATTTGGGGTGGAGAGTTCTGTAGATGTCTATTAGGTCTGCTTGGTGCAGAGCTGAATTCAATTCCTGGGTATCCTTGTTAACTTTCTGTCTCGTTGATCTGTCTAATGTTGACAGTGGGGTGTTAAAGTCTCCCATTATTATTGTGTGGGAGTCTAAGTCTCTTTGTAGGTCACTAAGGACTTCCTTTATGAATCTGGGTGGTCCTGTATTGGGTGCATATATATTTAGGATAGTTAGCTCTTCTTGTTGAATTGATCCCTTTACCATTATGTAATGGCCTTCTTTGTCTCTTTTGATCTTTGTTGGTTTAAAGTGTGTTTTATCAGAGACTAGGATTGCAACCCCCGCCTTTTTTTGTTTTCCATTTGCTTGGTAGATCTTCCTCCATCCCTTTATTTTAAGCCTATGTGTGTCTCTGCACGTGAGATGGGTTTCCTGAATACAGCACACTGATGGGTCTTGACTCTATCCAATTTGCCAGTCTGTATCTTTTAATTGGAGCATTTAGCCCATTTACATTTATAGTTAATATTGTTATGTGTGTATTTGGTCCTGTCATTATGATGTTAGCTGGTTATTTTGCTTGTTAGTTGATGCAGTTTCTTCCTAGCCTTGATGGTCTTTACATTTTGGCATGTTTTTTCAGTGGCTGGTACCGGTTGTTCCTTTCCATGTTTAGTGCTTCCTTCAGGAGCTCTTTTAGGGCAGGTCTGGTGGTGACAAAATCTCTCAGCATTTGCTTGTCTGTAAAGTATTTTATTTCTCCTTCACTTGTGAAGCTTAGTTTGGCTGGATATGAAATTCTGGGTTGAAAATTCTTTTCTTTAAGAATGTTGAATATTGGCCCCCACTCTCTTCTGGCTTGTAGAGTTTCTGCCAAGAGATCAACTGTTAGTCTGATGGGCTTCCCTTTGTGGGTGAGCCGACCTTTCTCTCTGGCTGCCCTTAACATTTTTTCCTTCATTTCAACTTTGGTGCATCTGACAATTATGTGTCTTGGAGTTGCTCTTCTCGAGGAGTATCTTTGTGGCGTTCTCTGTATTTCCTGAAACTGAATGTTGGCCTGCCTTGCTAGATTGGGGAAGTTCTCCTGGATAATATCCTGCAGAGTGTTTTCCAACTTGGTTCCATTCTCCCTGTCATTTGCAGGTACACCAATCCGACGTAGATTTGGTCTTTTCACATAGTCCCATATTTCTTGGAGGCTTTGTTCATTTCTTTTTATTCTTTTTTCTCTAAAATTCTCTTCTTGCTTCAATTCATTCATTTCATCTTCCATCACCAAGACCCTTTCTTCCAGTTGATCGCATCGGCTCCTGAGGCTTCTGCATTCGTCACATAGTTCTCGAGCCTTGGCTTTCAGCTCCATCAGCTCCTTTAAGGACTTCTCTGCATTGGTTATTCTAGTTATCCATTCGTCTAATTTTTTTTCAAAGTTTTTAACTTCTTTGCCATTGGTGTGAATTTCCTCCTGTAGCTTGGAGTAGTTTGATCGTCTGAAGCCTTCTTCTCTCAGCTCATCAAAGTCATTTTCCGTCCAGCTTTGTTCCGTTGCTGGTGAAGAGCTGCGTTCCTTTGGAGGAGGAGAGGTGCTCTGCTTTTTAGAGTTTCCAGTTTTTCTGCTCTGTTTTTTCCCTGTCTTTGTGGTTTTATCTACTTTTGGTCTTTGATGATGGTGACGTACAGAAGGGGTCTTGGTGCAGATGTCGTTTCTGTTTGTTAGTTTTCCTTCTAACAGAAGGACCCTCAGCTGCAGGTCTGTTGGAGTTTGCTAGAGGTCCACTCCAGATCCTGTTTGCCTGGGAATCAGCAGCGGTGGCTGCACAACAGCGGTGGCTGTAGAACAGCAGATCTTGGTGAACCACAAATGCTGCTGCCTGATCGTTCCTCTGGAAGTTTTGTCTCAGAGGAGTACCCGGCCGTGTGAGGTGTCAGTCTGCCCCTACTGGGGGGTGCCTCCCAGTTAGGCTGCTCTGGGGTCAAGGACCCACTTGAGGAGGCAGTCTGCCCGTTCTCAGATCTCCATCTGTGTGCTGGGAGAACCTCTACTCTCTTCAAAGCTGTCAGACAGGGACATTTAAGTCTGCAGAGGTTACTGCTGTCTTTTTGTTTGTCTGTTCCCTGCCCCCAGAGGTGGAGCCTACAGAGGCAGGCAGGCCTCCTTGAGCTGTGGTGGGCTCCACCACCCAGTTCGAGCTTCCAGGCTGCTTTGTTTACCTAATCAAGCCTGGGCAATGGCAGGCGCCCCTCCCCCAGCCTTGTTGCCGCCGTGCAGTTTGATCTCAGACTGCTGTGCTAGCAATCAGCGAGACTCCGTGGGAGTAGGACCCTCCGAGCCAGGTGCGGGATATAATCTCCTGGTGTGCCGTTTTTTAAGCCCATTGGAAAAGTGCAGTATTAGGGTGGGAGTGACCCTATTTTCCAGGTGCTGTCTGTCACCCCTTTCTTTGACTAGGAAAAAGGGAACTCCCTGACCCCTTGCACTTCCCGAGTGAGGCAATGCCTCGCCCTGCTTCGGCTCACGCCCGGTGCGCTGCACCCACTGTCTTGCACCCACTGTCTGGCACTCCCTAGTGAAATGAACCTGGGTACCTCAGATGGAAATGCAGAAATCACCTGTCTTCTGTGTTGCTCACGCTGGGAGCTGTAGACTGGAGCTGTTCCTATTTGGCCATCTTGGCTACACCCCCAGCGGCCAGACTTTTAAATGACAAAGTCAACTATGTGTCTTTTTCAATCAAGTCCTTTTCATTTGTTTCCTTAGTATATTCTTAAGTAATAATGAGCTATTACTCCAGTTATCAGGTGTTTTCCTTTTGTTTTTAGTTTGGACTGTAGTGAACTCAGGGCTCCCCCTTCCTCCATTTTAAGCTAGTGAAAGAACAGAGGTCTGGCAACAGTTGGTATCCATAGTCACAGTGTGGTCACTGCCTCCAACTAGTGAGATGGCTGGAGCTTCTCTTTTATAAGTGATTGATGGCGGTGACACCCAATTTCTGCTTTTACTGGGGACATTGAGAGATGGGCTTCCTGTAATCACTAATGGAAATATTACAGGTAGCAACTATGCATAGTTTATCTGAAAGAAACGATATATTTTGTTTGGCTTTTTTTTTGCTTCAATTTCATTATTAATGTCTTAAATTAGTTTTAGGGATGAAATGATCAAGGTCTTGTGGTACCATGCTCTAAAAACACAAGTGACAATTGCATCCATTTCTCCTCAGATAAAGGAGGGAGCGTCACATGGGAAATAGTCAAGAACTGCCTCCAATTTGCAGCTCAGGATTTCCAAGAGTCCTCCTGGCACAAAGTATGAAGAGCAGACTCAAAATTAAAAATGGTCTTGATAATTGGATGATGGACAGAAGCCAACAAGTATGTAGTGGGATATTAGGAAAAACTTCTCAAGGGACCTATGGAATGATTTGTCTTTTAATGAGAATAGAGGATACTAATCTTATAAAAGCTTTTCCTTCAAAAGAGTGTTACCTTTTCACTTAAATATGTCTTTATGTCTACAATGAGGGAAGACAGACCACTTATAACAGTGCCATGCTTGAAGTTCCTTTTGTTTTGGAGTTGGAATTCTGTGTGCAAGCACAATTGAATTGTGTGTAGGCAATGAGGATTCTCATCCAAAGAGATTGTGTGTGCGTGTGTGTGTTTGTGTGTATGAGTGTGTGGTGCTTGGTTGGTTGATATAAACCTGGATCCAAAGGTGGCCTACTCTAAATTAAGTTGACATGCCAGAACTTCTTGGATATACTAGAGATCATTGGTCCTTAAAGTGTGGCCCAGAAACCCCTGAGAGTCCCTAAATCCATTTCAGAGGCTCTGTAAGTTCAAAGTGATTTTTATAATAATACTAAGATATTATTTTCCTTTGCACTGTGTTGTTATTTGCACTGATAGCTCAACAAAAGTGGTGGGTAAATGTCTAGCTGCTTAACATGAATCAAAGCAGTAGCTCCAAACTGTACTTGTGATCACTGTATTTTTCATTCCCATGCTCTTGTAGTTTTTTTTTTTTAAAGCCAGTTTTACTTAAGAATGCTCTTAAAAAAAAAAGAATGCTCTTAATAAAACAGTAAAAAATTAATTTTATCAAATATCAAGCCTTGAGTTTCTGACTTTTGGCTTCAGACATAAGTACAAGAGATTTACAGAGACTGTTTAGCTCTCACAATTGTGAAAGTAAAATCCTAGTAATAGATCTCTTATCTTATGTATCATTTCTAGTGGTTCAGTTTCTCTGATGGAACCCTGAGTGATACAAATCTTAAAGAGGGAGCTTGATAGTTATCTTCAAATATTTTCATGGTTATTTTTTGGCCAAAAAAGCAATTTTATTTTGTGTTGATTCAAAGTTTAGAATGCAGTTCCCACAGTAGAGTGAGAGACAGGGTGGTCTTTGGACTTGGAGATGGACTAATTTGGTTTAGATTCCAGCTTTGCCAGTCACTTGCAGCTTTAGTTTTCTTATGTGTAAAATGGGGATAGTAATTGTACCCATTTCATAGTAAAGAGAATTAAATGGGTTAATATATGGAAGGTACTTTAAATAGTGCCTGTCATAAACTAAGCACTATTAAAGGTTCTGTTAAAATTCTTAAAAGTTACAGGGAAATAGATTTTGCCTCTTTAGGAATTTTTAAATCATTATAGCTGTTCAATAAAGTACAGTTGATCCTTAAACAACATGAGGGTTTGGGTGCTGACTCCCTGCAGAGTCAAAATCCATGTATAACTTTTGACTCCCTAAAAACTTAACTACTAATATCCTACTGTTGACCGAAAGCCTTATTGATAACATAAGCAGTCAATTAACATATTTTGTATGTTATATATATTATGACTGTATTCTTACAATAAAGTAAGCAAGAGAAAAGAAAATATTACTAAAAATCATAAAGAAGAGAAAATATATTTACTATTCATTAAGTGGAAGTGGATTATTGTAAAGATCTTCAGCCTCACGGTCTTCATGTTGAGTAGGCTGAGAAGGAGGAGGAAGAGGAGGGGTTGGTTTTGCTGTCTTGGGTGACAGAGGCAGAGGTGGTGGAGGTGGAAGGGGATGTAGGAGAGGTAAGCACACTCGGTGTAACTTTTATTGAAAAATATCAGAGTATACGTGGACCTTGCAGTTCAAACCCATGTTGTTCAAGGGTCAGCTGTAGTGCAATGCCTTGCAAAGAACAAAGCCTCCCTTGACTCTCACCAGGGAGGCAAGACGGAAAAGAAATATGACTTTTTAGTACAAAGACTTAATTCAGCCATTTGTTAGTTGTGTCATCACAGCAAGTCATTTAATCTCTCAAAATCTCCATGTCATCATCTACAATATAATTTAAGGGAAACAACATGATTAAAGGTGCTTTATTATCTACAAAGTGACCTACAAATGTCAGTCCTTGTTATTTCCCTGAAATCTTTGAAGCAGAATCTGGTTGAGCTTCTCTTTGTCAATGACACCAGAGAAAGGATTCTTGTATTGAAGAGACGTTTGGACTAGGTAATCCCTGTGGCTTTCTCCAGCTCTGAGAGTCTATGAACTGTTTCTCAAGTAGCCTGCCTGTTGAGGTTTGTGATCATACTAAAGGAATTAATAAGGGAAATTTAAATATATATATATATATATTATTTTTTTTTTGCCAGAGGGAATGAGATAAAGCTGTACTAAATAAGGAAATTAAATCAAGCAATCAGTTTGGAAGGTTGGCTCTTTCCACATATTATTGTCCCAATTTTAGTTGTGGTTGTTATTTGTTATTTGCGGAGGTCCTGCTTCATTTGAATTACAGCCAGTTCTACTTGAAAGTGTGCAATTCCATCTTCCATACTAAGGTTTAGGATAATTTGACTTTCTCGTTTTCTTTCTCAGAGCCTCAGATTGTTATGGTTAAAAATAAAGTATTTATCTTCAGTTTAGAAATCTAATAAAACTTTGACAGGAATATGAAATGGTATAAAGCATCTCTTCAACAAATCCATCTCAATAACACTTTCTGACAATCAAAAAACCTTCAGGGCCACCCCTTAATGACTTCTAAAGTCTTAACGGATTTCTACTAAGGATGCGAGAATGACTGAAAATGGGTTTTAAAGTAGTGCTAACTTGTTTCTTTTAAAATCCCTCTCTGATTTGGGTTTTGAAAAGGGTTTGAGATATGCGTCCATTAAAATGTAGACTGATGAAGTGATTACGATAATGAGAGCATTACTTGCCTCTGGTTTGGAATTACTAGAGAACTGCTCCAAGGTAAAAGTTTTGTAAAGAAAAAAAAGTGTTTCTGAGAGACTTAGAGTCAAGCTGCAGAGGAAAGATGGTAGCTAGAAATCTACCTTCTAAGACCTGGGTGATTGTCTACAATGATGTGAGGCCTTGGGTATCCTAAGGTAGATCTAACCGAAAGTGGGCAAGTTTAAAAGATGCAATGTTTCTTAATGCCTGGTCACACTGTAAGAGTTAACTAGGGTAGATTTTCAAGATCATGAATTGCCAGACCTCTGTCTTCAAGATTCTGATTTAAAAGATCTGGAATATAGACTAGAAATTTTATAAAATGTATATGAATATAAATTTCCAGGTGATTCTGATGATTGGCAATGTGTATAAACCATTGGAATGATGTACTCCTCAGGATCTTAGGTTTACATAGAAAAGAATGCAATTTTCAGAGTTAATTTTAAGAACTGAGTTGTTGTGGGTGATCTTGATGCATTTGAATCTTGATTGCTAGTCTTGAGGGTCTTAGGGAAGTAAGAACTAGTTGTCAACTCTGACTGATAATTAATTGTAAACTGAAGGGAATTCAGAAAATGGGTAAGTTTCTGAGAGTTAGTTACATTTTTCTGGGTCCCCGTGATTATAGAGAACAGTCTTCTGTCCACATTTGATAGACAGAACTAAATGTAACTTAAACATGTACCTTCTGATTTGCTGAGGTATGGGAACACTGTTAGGAAAATAGGCCCAGATTTTTGATCCAAGGTTGTCTTATAAAATCTTATTTAATATTTTCATCATATAAAACTGTATTGTTGGGAGGCTGAGGTGGGTGGATCACAAGGTCAGGGGTTCGAGACCAGCCTGACCAACATGGTGAAACCCCGTCTCTACTAAAAATACAAAAATTAGCTGGGCATGGTGGTGGGTGCCTGTAATCCCAGCTACTCAGGAGGCTGAGGCAGGAGAATTGCTTGAACCCGGGAGGTGGAGGTTGCAGTGAGCCGAGATTGCCCCACTGCACTCCAGCCTGGGCGACAGAGCGAGACTCCGTCTCAAAAAAAACCCAAAAAAACTGTATTGTATTTATTGGTGTTTGGCGTTTGGGTCTTGGGTTTGGTATGCAACAAAACTTAATAGGTGTTTAATACATATTTGTTGAATGAATGAATTAATTAATGAAATATAACTTGTGTTCGCACTCAATGTACCATAGGTTCACTCTGCTTTATCAAATCTATGATCCTAATTTATTATAAATCATTTTTGTAAATACAATATTTACAAGTAATTTAAAAACCTTAAATGTGTTCAGAGAATTTATTGTTAAAGGTTATCTGGCAATAAATTCTTCCTGAAGGGAAACAGTTTCATGCAATGGAAATGACATTTTCTAATACACCTATAGGGCAAGAAATACATTTTGAGTATTTATTTTCTTAAAAGATAAAGGATATACTTTAGAGATTTGAATGTAACTCTTCAGGTAATATTGGCATAGGTTAGTAGGAGAAGCTGCAGTTGCTAATGGGTCACAGTAGTTTAGAGTGAAGAACAGAAAATAGGAAGCTTGGAAGATAACGTAAGAGAAAAGTATCTTAGCATTCTGCTTCTAAAGTTCTCTGATGCCGGGCTTAAATCTTGAGTCCCTTAGTTTTCTGGGGTAGAAGCTATTAGTGCTTACCCATATCTGCCTTTTTTTCTACTGGCCTCACAGTGGGAGCCCATTTCCCACTCTGCCCTGCAATTAGGTGTGGTGGTGACAGGGTTGAGTTCTGGCCAATAGGATGTGAGTGGAAGCTGTGTGCATCAGTCTAAGCCTTTTGGCTTAGAACAGGTGTCGTCTTTGGCCTGACCCAGCGTAACTTCTGCTGAGAATGGCCCCATTCCCTTCCTCCATCTGCAAGCTGCATGCAGGGCATCAGGCAGAAGACTCCAAGGCTCCTTCCATCTTGTGATCCTGCCATTCCCTAGAGTCTCAGACGTGAAATGTGAGATAAACCTCTACTGTGAAAGCCATTGAATTATTGGGATTTTTCATTACTGTGGTAAGCTTAGCCTGGCTTACATAGTTTCTAAGCACAAGGACAAAAATATGAAATTGGGTCCCTTTAGAAATTCACAGAGGTAGTATGCAACAGTGGTTTAACACAGGCATGAGCTTTGAAAACATAAGGAGTTTACTAAAGTCAAGTCTACTATCATCTCTATTGTGTAGCTATGTAGCTTAGGGTCAGTTACTTACCTTCTTTAGGCCTCAGTTTCTTCATCTCTAAAATGGAGATAATTTAAAAAAAAGACATCCATGTTGCCAATAAACATATGGAAAAATGCTCAACATCACTAATCATCAGAGAAGTGCAAATCAAAACTACAATGAGATACCATCTCATACCAGTCAGAATGGCAATTATTAAAAACTTAAAAAAACAAAAATAAAAACAGGTGCTGGCAAGGCCGTGGAGAAATGGGAATGCTTACATACTGCTGGTGGGAATGTAAATTAGTTCAGCCACCATGGAAAGCAGTTTGGAGATTTCTTAAAGAACTTAGAATAGAGCTACCATTTAACCCACCAATCCCATTATTGGATATATTCCCAAAGGAAAAGAAATCTGTCTATCAAAAAGAAACATGCATTCATATGTTCCTCAAAGCACTATTTATAATAGCAAAGACATGAAATCAAGCTAGGTGCCCATCAACAGTGGATTTGATAAAGAAAAGGTGACACATATATACCATGGAACACTACGCAGCCATAAAAAAGAACAAAATCATGTCCTTTGCAGCAACGTGGATGCAGCTGGAGGCCATCATCCTAAGCAAATTAATGCAGAAACAGAAAACCAAACACCATGTGTTCTCACTTGTAAGTGGGAGCTAAACATTGGATACACATAGACATAAAGATGCAAACTACCAGAGTGGGGATGAAGGAAGGGGAGCAGGGGTTGGAAAACTACCTATTGGGTACTATTCTCACTACCTGAGTGACGCAGGATCAATCATATTACACACCTCAGCATCATGCAATAGACCAATGTAACAAACCTGCTCATGTTCCGCCGAATCTAAAATAAAAGTTGAAATGAAAAATAAATAAAACGGAATTTTTTTGTGTGTGTGAGATGGAGTCTCTGTCACCCAAGCTGGAGTGCAGTGGCACGATCTCCACTCAATGCAACCTAAAATGGAGGTATTTATAGTACTCCCTCAAAGGATCATTGTGAGAATTGAATGAAACTATTAATAAAGTTAGCTATTATTATTAGAAATGACAATAACTACATTTTAATTTATTCAAGTGCATTTTGTAAGTGCTTCCTACGTCAGGGCAAGGAATTTGGAAAGGATAGAAAGAGTAGCAGGACCCATTTTTGCCTTCAAAGAGTCCCCAGTCTAGGAAGATAATTGGAGGACAAACCAATAATTACAGTATATGAATGGTGTTGTGAGTCTGTAAGCTTTTAAATCTGATGATTTAAAAGATAATATATTCATATGCTAAAGATATGCATCAGTAGGTGGAGATAGAAAATATTCTTTTCAATATGTATATATATAAATAATTTAAAAATATTTTTAAATTTAAATTTAAGGATTTTTTTTTTTTCAAACTGGCAATGAATTTACCAGCCAGGCTGCTTTTCTGGAAGTCAATTAGCCCTTCAACGAATGCTAAAAGTGAAGGTTTGGTCATTTCAGGGCAATATTTGGAGCCTTGTAGACAACTTCAGATGATTAATTTATTCTAACAGTGAATAAGAGAGGTGTGCTGCAGTGTGTCCTCAAGGCTGACTTTTTAGTGATAATTTTACTCCGTCAATTACCTCTTTTTCTCTCTGTCAATTTCATCCCCACCAAGCCATCACAGTACACAGAGGATAACGCAGGTGGGTGATAAAATATAGGGTTTGGGAATCTATCCATGCCTTTTCAGGCTCTGGGAATTTCACCATGAAAAGGGATTGGCACAATGAAACACGAATTCAACGTCCATTTAAGCATTTTTGAGCTTGTGTGAGCTTTAGAATTGAAGAGAAATCCCTGAGGATGCTTATGCAAGAGCCTAGTAAATGTTTTTTTCTTGACATATAAACAAATATTTTTTCTAGCTATTCGTTTCCAGGCACTGTGCTAGGAGCTTTAGGCTTAAAGATAAGTAAACAGGAGCCAAAGTTTTATGGAAAATTTTTTATTCAAATATTTCAAATTTTGTAAGTGCTGCAATCAATAAATATTCTAATTGTCATGGTTCCACTGAAGCCTTGTCTATGTGATGCTGTGATCAGGAGAGAGGCTCGAGGTTGTGGCGGCTCAGCTGCTGCTTCAAAGGAGTATGGGAGTTTGTGGATGGAGAAGAGAGTGGTGAGCTTTGCAGGCAGTGAAGACAGGATGTGCTGGTACAGGACTCTTTAATTGTCATGACTTCTTGATTTTCTGGGGTATCTTAAAAGAGACTTTGGCTCAAAGATCTGGGAAATTTTATTAAACTTGCGACATCTACCAGACCAAGAAGTTAGACAGAGCTGCTAAACCTAACTTTCACAAATATTCCCTGAACCCCCATATGATTATTTTCTCAATCTAGCCTCCTCCCATTACTATCACAACTCTCCTAATGAAACAAGCAGGAGGAGAAGTTTCTGACATTTCCTTCTCCAGAGGCCTTGTCTTCTTTGCTAGTTTATGATTTATAATTGTACATCAAAGTGCTCTGAATATCCCAAGTTACCTAAAATTAACATATCAGTTCACTGGGTTTGATACTATTGGAGAGATGGGGAAATATTCTCAAGCAATTGGTTGAAATCAAGGACATAAAAAGAAAGGCATTATGCAAATATTTGGTTATTAAGATTTTCTGCCTAGAGGGGATAAAGTCAGATAATGGGAAATAAATGAGATCAAAAGTTTCCTCTATGTTTTAATATTAACTTTCTTTAAGAGTAGTATTTGGCCTCTTTAGCATCATATCTTTATCAAGACAAAGGAACAGAAGCATAAGAAAGCACTGAGTGCTTTGGGGTGATATGCGGATATGGAGTATCGGGAGTGGACGTGAGGTAGGGGTGGGAGGGTGGAGTGGAAGAGTGAGGCCAATGAAGTAGACGAGTTTGACTATGGAGCACTTTGCTTATCATATGGGGCTTTTCTAATATGAGTAATAATCTGTTCCCAAACATCTAGTGAAGGTAATAACTTTAAAAATATACCTTTCAAGTTACAAGACAATTTCCCATTCATTATCTCCCATGATCATTACAGCAATTTGGAGGTGGACTGGTGCCTGCCCTAGGTCACACAACAGAGACTGAGATGCGTCTTTCTGAAGGCATGTTCTCTCATTTACTTGCTGAGAACAATTGGGATGACAGACCGTGAATAACTTGTTATCTTTGGGCATTGAGATTATAATGGATAATCTGGTTGGTAATCAGATTTTTTTAACTTGATGAAACTTAATTCTGGGATTACTGCATCTGACTTGAAGAATTTAGGCCACTAACTTCAGTGGGACTATGTTTCTGCTTGACTGGGGCTTTGATGGCTTATTGCCTGGGCATTGCAGTTTCTGGGCACCTCAGATATTAATTGAGGGAGAACCCAATGACTCTGGCTCTACAGGAATTTTTTTTAAATTTTATTTATTTATTTATTTATTTTGGAGACAGAGCCTTGCTCTGTCGCCCAGGCTGGAGTGCAGTGATACAATCTTGGCTCACTGCAACCTCTGCCCCCTGGGTTCCAGCAATTCTCCTGCCTCAGCCTCCCGAGTAGCTGCGATTACAGGCACCCGCCACCACGCCCGACTGATTTTTGTATTTTTAGTAGAGACCGGGTTGCACCATCTTAAGACAGGCTGGTCTTAAACTCCTGACCTCAGGCAGTCTGCCCACTGCGGCCTCCCAAAGTGCTGGGATTACAAGTGTGAACCACCGCATCTGGCCTGGCTCTACAGGACTTTTTAAAGAACCTCTATCCCCAAGTCGCATATGAATGGTCAGTCTGGGGGGATTCCATGGACTTCAATTATTCTTTACTAAATCCTCCCAGGGGGAGGCCTTATTCATTTTTTCCTTAGTCTTTTTCTTTGTGGTTTTATAAATTTCCAGTCTATGAACTTTAAGTTGGAGAACTGAGCTGAAAAAGAATGCTTAGATCTGATTCTCATTTTTTAGCACTACAATAAACTATTTGTTCTAAAATAGCTTTATTTTCTAAGTCTTATTCTTCCAACAGGATTGTAAGTTACTGGAGGGCAAGGACCTTTCTTCTAGATCCTTTGTTTTTCACATATTACTTTTGACCCTTCTAGCCTTTATATCCTGATTTTAGAAAGGCTCAAATAAAATCTTGCATCATGTGGAAACGGCAGAATCGGGTAGTTAAGAGCCTAGCTCTGGAGGAAGATGGCCTGGCTTTTAAAATTACAACTTCATCACTTACTAGCAGCATCATTGTAAGGAAATTATGTAACTCTTTGAGTTACATGTATATATATCAAAGAGTTTTATATATATATGTATAGTTGTGGGATTAAATTAGATACTGCACTTGGCACAGTGCTTGACACATAATGATCAGTAAATGTTGGTGGATCATCATAAACAATCATTGTCTTTGTTTTGTGCTTCTATCACAGAATACCACAGATTGGGAAATTTATAAAGAATATAAGTTTATTTTCTCACAATTCTGGAGGCTGGGAATCCAAGCTTAAGGTGTTATAGGACTGTCTACTTAGTTTGGCTAAAAATGGGGTCCTCGTCAGATGACCATGAAAATTTAGGCTCGCAGACACTTTGAAGGGTGAGAAGGGCAGGGTTTATTGGGTGAAAAGGAAAGAAAGGGAAACAGGGACTGTCCGCAAAGCCAGAGTCCTGCTAGGTGCCCTTCCCACCTCGAAGATTAAATTCCAGGTTCCATCAGGAAGAGGAGGGGCACGAACTTCCCAAGGCTCCACCCCAGCGTGCACTCCTCCCAGTGCGCAGGCCAGTTGGAGTTTCTCTGGGGACCCCTTATCACCTGGCTGTCTCAAAGGTATTGGCATCTGAGGTCTGGTGAGGGCCTTGTGGCTGCATTCTTATACGGCAAAAGTTGGAAGGGCAAGAGAGAGTTAATGCACTCCTGTAAGCCCTTTTTATATGAACGTCAGCCCATTTAAGGGGGTGGAGACCTCAAGTTCTAAACACCTTCCAAAAGGTCCCACCTCCAAACATCATGACATTGGGATTAAGTTTCCAACACATGAATTTTGAGGGACACATTTAGACCATAGTGGTCATCATCTTTTTATAATCTTCATCATTCTTTTCCCTGGGGATGGTTGATGATAATGCAGTTAGGTACCTCTATAACTTCTTAATTAATTTTGATTATTTTCAGCCTGGAAAGAAGTTCTTGGTAATGTGTCACAGGGCTCCAATGGCTTTATACAGTTTAGATAAATTTAGAAGGCATCATTAGTCAGTTAAGGATGACCACAAATGTAGGAAGATCAGAAAATATAGAGCAGATAGATTCTAAGTTTGAAATGATGAGCTAAGACGGCAAGGCTACATTTACAGAGACAAGTATGTAGAAGTGTATTCAAGTTAAAGGTCAAACATACAAAAATAAAATGGAATATATACAGCACTGGACAGACCTGGCTGAATAGAAGTTAGTGGGAAAAGATCTTGGGAATTTTGTTGATCAGAAGCTGAGCCTGAACTGCTGGTGTAGGGCTTTTATTTAGAGAACAATACCAACTTAGACTACATTAATCAGAGTGTAGTGTTCAGGTCAAGGGAGGTAACTGTCCTGTGGTCTATCATGCCAGTATGAGCACACCTTGAAATATTATGTTGAGGTTCAGGTGCTTTTGCAATCATCTTTTTGCCATTTTTATTAAAGGTTTGAGCTTTTTAAAATTAGCTCTGAATAAAAGTAATCAGAAGGGGTGCAGATTTGTTAAATGAGCCAACACCACTCATCATTTTGTAGCTGATAACTCTGGTGATCAATTATAATTTAGAGGGAACTTTTTTTTATGCCTTTCTCAAGAGAGAGTCTTACTTTGGGTTTGACCTGAAAAGCCAGTTATGTCACTTTATTTTCTGCTTAAGCATTAGGCCAAGTTTCTTTTTGACCTTTTCATTCTCATTGTGTATTACCTCTCCTCTATTTTTCTCTTGCCTCCTCTGCCACTCAGTACCGCATCTCTCTTCTGTGCTTCCTCTCATTATGTGTTCTCACTGTGCCTGCTACTTTAGCTCTTAATTTGATGCCTTTTTATGATCCCCATCCTCTCCACTCTCTCTATTTAGGGGTTCCCTTTTCACTGCAGCTGGTTAGATAATTTTACCTAGGATTTTCATAGCTTAATGATGACTCATATAATTGTATACTTTTCAGATTGTACATTAAAAAAATACAGTGACAGTCAGTGATCTTGCCAAAAGGAAACTAATGGCAAAACTTTTGGAATTTAGAGCAGGCTGGTGCAGGGGGGATGTCTTTTATTAGGGCCCCATCATCAGGGACAGTGCCTGGTGATTGTGGTAGATGAAACAGACAGAGTGGCATTTCAGTACCCACAAAGTTCCTTTTTGGGTAGGGCAGAGGGCTTGACAAGGGGTATTAGAAGTTCATTGAGCAATGAGGGGCCAGGATAGAAAATTGGGGTTGTTGAGGTTATTTGGCTCTGCTTTTATTCTTAGACCAGAAAGTTCTGTTGACATCTGGACTTGATCTCATTTAGCTGGGGGGTGGGAAGGGGGGTTCTTCTGGAGGCAATGACTGGACCTCATTTCCCAGTTCACTGATGGTGACTAATTCCGGCCATGCCAGAGAGAAAGAGGAACAGTATTAGGCAAGTGGAACTTTTAGAGACAATTAAGTCAGACAGTTTAAGCTGCAACTTAAATGAGTTGGAGAGTACTTATTATTCCGTGCATGTTCACGCCTTAACTGACCTGTGGCCATCTCACTTCACAGCCATATGATTCTCATTCTCTTCTCTAGTGAGGGAACCTGGGAGACCCATGTTGCTTTTTTTTTTTTTTTCTGCAGAGCTTATACATTTCTCTTGGATATCTTCCATGACTCTTTTTTTTTTTTTTTTTTTTTTTTGGGCCAGAAATTATGTCAGTTATATTACGGGGGGTGATTTATGTAAAAGATGTTAATGACTTAAATGGAAGAAATTTTAATAGAGATACTAACGCAGTTGTAATTACTTTAGTTATTGCAAAGCAAAATGTAGCAAGACAACGACTTGAAGTATTAACCAGTGCATTTTCACAGCTGCATGTCTTTCTTATTCTTTAGGGAAGGGAGGCCACAGAAAGAATGATTGTAAGAAAAAGGAGTCATTTCTTGCTCTTGAGTTTCAAAATATAGTTTTGGAACCCAAGGCAGAGATAATAGTGAGAGAAAGGCACAAGAGACCAATCAAATATTCGCCCTGCCCTGGAGAGGGGCCTAGGAGAGCTGAGGGAAAGTCAGGGGACCCTAGGAGTCCTCAAGGCTGGGAGAAGGGAAGGAAGACTGAAATTTGGTGTGAGAGGTATGGCCAGGAACCAGGCGGGGAACACAGATGTCAGCCTCAGTGGAGGCACAGTAGAAGGTTAATGACATCCTGGGACTCAGCTGATGAGTTACAGCTCAGGGATGGCAGTGTGGATGGATGACACTCAAAGCCCAGACACCTCAAACGTCCTGACACTGTGTAATCTCCTCTGTCCCCAGCCTGCACCAGATGCAACTCCTATAGAAGAGGGAAATCCTGAACTGACTGAGCGAACTCTCAGAATTGACCATGATTCACATTTTTACCCTTGACGGAAAAAGGATTCAAGGAACACATTACATTTCTGTTTTAGAAAAATAAAGTTGTATTTTTGCATACCTGAATTTGTTCTCCTGACTGTAAATGCTTTAGGAAAAGGCACTGGAGGTGAGTTATTGACTGAATGGGCTGTTTCCAGGTTGGAAAAAGAGCGCTGAAATGCAAGTCAGGAAATTCAGAATTTAGTGTTGGCTTTGCTACTGCTTGACCTTGGGCACAAATCTTTCTCCTCTGGGCTTCTCTGTCTCCATTTATGCGACTGGCCTGGACTGGGGCTTCCTAGCCTAGTGGCAAAAGTCTCTTGGAGGGCCTGAGGAGTTTTTCTAAGGCATCTGCATCTACATATGAACCAATCATTGCTGTAGATGAAATAAGTAATATGCCTTTGTCCACAAGTACCACAAATTTTAAAAATGTTTGTAGATCTATTGTGGTCAATAAATGTGATTAATTCATTTAAAAGCACCACTGGTTGGTTGTGGTGGCTCACGCCTGTAATCCCAGCACTTTGGGAGGCCAAGGTGGGCGGATCACGAGGTCAGGAGTTTGAGACCAGCCTGGCCAACATGGTGAAACCCCGTCTCTACTAAAAATACAAAAGTTAGCTGGGCATGGTGGCATGCCTGTAATCCCAGCTACTCAGGAGGCTGAGGCAGGAGAATTGCTTGAGCCTGGGGAGGCAGAGATTGCAGTGAGCCGAGATTGCACCGTTGCATTCCAGCGTGGGTGACAGAGTGGAGCTCTGTCTCAGGAAAAAAAAAAAAAAGAAAGCACCACTACATTTTGATTCTAGTTTATAATTCTTCTCAATTGAGCAAAATAAAAATTGTAACTGCTATTTAGACATTGTAGAGGAATCCTTCTAGTCCAAATTTTAGTCTAAAATGTGGTTTCTGTGGGACTAGAGGATTCCTAAAGAACCATTCTAAGCCTCACTGGCCACAATCCTAAAATAGAGTTTATGTTCATTAGGGATCAATAATTACTGATACATAATTATGCTAGAAATGGTTGATTCTCACACTCTGACAGTGGTACTAATTGATTTATCTCAGAAATATAAAGAATCAATAATAGAGGAGATGTTTTAATCACTGCATCCAAATAATCTTTTCTCTGATACTAAAAGTCACCCTCCATCTATCTCTAGAAGGGTGTAATGGTAAAAACTTAGGTTCAAATGTTGCTCCTTCTGCCTATTTGTTGTGTGTCCTAGATGAGTTAACTAACCTTTCTGAGCTGGATTACTACTATTCCTTAAAATGAAGATAAAAGTACTCATTACAAAGGGATGTTGTGAAGATAAAATGAGATAAACTGTGAGCCCATTATGTGGTCTGGCATAAGGAAAATAGTCAAAAATGTTTGTTCCCCTTAAAGCCTTTTGGAAAGCTTATTTAATGTAAAGGTATAAAAAGGCAAAATAAATTAACACTGGCTTAAATATAAAAACGTATAATTTAAACATTGAATAAGCAGCAATTAAAGCACATGTTCACTTGCCACCTCGTCCAGGGCTGGTTTGGAATCATCCCATTCACTCCACGTAATGAGCAATGCGGCTTGACCGCCTGGAAAGCAATTCGGCACCGGGTCCTGTCTCTCTAAATCTCGGAAGAGCTTTCACCTGTTTTCGTCCCAAGTCTTGTCTTTCTTTCTGAGCAAGTACTGAGAGTGTATTGTTCAGCAGCCCCCATTCAAGTGCTGCCAGGAATGAGATCGTGGAGGTGCCCTCTATTGTGAGGTCTTGAAGTAGAACTTGAATGGAGAGAATGTGTTTTCAAAATAATTTAGTTTGAATGCATTTTCACTTTGGTGGGGAGAGGAAGCACAGATGGCTGAATCAGGACATGTGCCAGTTCTTTCCTCACACCAGGCATCCAGTGAATGCAGGCTGTGGGAAAATGAGCTTTAGGGGAAGGAGGAAGTGTAAAAGAACCCAGAAAGTGCTTGCATGATGTGGTCCCTGGTCCACCATTAAAAACAGCTGTGTGGGGGAGTCAAGGGGCTTTGCTAAGAGATTAGGCTGGCTTCGGAAATATTTGCTGCATTGCAGACCCCGAATAATAGAGAAAATTGATCTCTATTAGTGCCTTCAGGAACTGTTCTATTGGAGAGAGTGGCTTGGATGGGAACAACAAGTGGTTGGGAGACCAGATCCCTCCCCCCAGCAAGAAGCTTGCCAGGATGTAGGTTTCCCAGGCTCACCTGCTATCCTCCTCCAGCTCTGCCAAGCCGCCGAGTTCCTGCCTGGATGTCACTCCCTGAAGCTGTCAGGAAAGTTGTTTCACATTTCCTGATCCTCTGATTTGCGGATCCCAAAGCAGCAGCTTCTTTGCTTCCAACTGCTTCATTTACTCCTTCCCAAACACTGCTGCCTGCACTCCAACTGAGTTACTGAAGTTCTTTCAGCTTCCAGGGAGCAGACAGGCTCGGGTTGTCTGAGGTTATGGGAGTTATTGTGGGGATACATGAGCGGGAGGATAGAAGACAGAAAGCCTTTCAGTAGCCAAATAGTCAGCCTCAAGGAACAGAGCAGATGTTTCTCACTCAACGGTAGCGCTCCGTGCCTGGGTTAGTTTGCTAGGGCTGTTTTAACCATGTATCATAAACTGGGGATGTAACAGACATTTATTGTCTCTCAGTTCTGCAGGCTAGAAGTCTGAGATCAAAGTGTCAATGGGGTTGCTTCCTTCTGAGGATTGTGAAAGAGAGAATTTGCTCTGTGGCCCTCCGCTAGCTTCTGGTAGTTTGCTGGCAATTTGGGGGGTTCCTTGGCTTATAGATGCATCACCCCAATCTTTGCCTTCATCTTAACAGGGCGTTCTTCCTGTGAGCACACTGTCTCCAAATTTCCCCTTTTTATAAGGATACCAGTCACACTGACTGTTGGACACTATTATGGGTTGAATTTTGCCACCTCAAAATCCATATGTTGAAGTCCTAAACCCCACTACTTTGCAGTGTGGCCTTATTTGGCTATAGGATCTTCACAAAGGTAATCAAGTTTAAATCCACTTTTATTCTTGTCCCCCGAGACTCAGTCATAGCCCTGAATAAGCATATCCTTCCTCAGTCTCTCTAGGGATTGTAGCTTTCCTGCTACTGAGTGTCTTCTGTTTCCACTCTTCTCTGTGACTTGTGGTTTCTGCTGTTTTATGACCTCCGCATGTTGAGTTTTCTCTGTGTGCCTTTGGCTTCCATATCACTCTCTTGATTTCTGACTCTTGGAAGTATTGAAGCTCCTTGAGAATGTCATTGGTTTAGTCGCTTCCTGTCCAGCATAGAGCATCCTGCCCGGCAAGGCTGTCCTGTCAGGCTACTCCCGAGGCCTGCTGGTTTTTGGCAGGTGGCTTGGCTCAGGCACCAACCTCTTGACCAATCAGCCTTGGCCGTGATAGTGGGTCTCACAGAACACAGTATGGTGACCTTGGCAGAAATCATTTCCCATGGCTGCTTTTCTCAGAAGGAGGCTACGGACATGTGGACGTGCTCAGCTTTCAAAGTGGCTGTGTGACTGGCACTGTGCAAAGCCCTGGAGTTCAGTGGAAAAGCTGTAGTTCCTTCTGTGTACAGTTTTTGCTTAGGTGTGTTTGTTGCTTGGCCCATGTAATGCAGGACTCCCTGGCCTGGGCAGATCTCATTTCATGATTCTCCTCACTTTGAGAAGCTCCTAACAGAGCCATCACGATTTTTTGAGTCTACTGGTGTGTTTAAAAATTTAAAAATGACTAAAGCAGCTTACAGTTATGGCAGTATAAATGTTTACATATAATTGCTTTTAACTCCTTTGGCTATTCATAAAAGAATTACAGTATTTATAAAACTATTACTCATATGCACTTCAGTAAGGGGACACAAGCTTACAGGGTTGTAGGATGACTGTCTTTATTCTGTCTGCCAGAGGATATTGTGACCATATGTGTGTAGGTTTATTTGGGGATACCATCAAATGGCTTAAGTTCAGGACCTTTGTGAATGTGACTCCAAACCAAATGGTGCTTCTATCTACTCCAAATTTGCTCCCCTTTCATTCCTTGAAAGGATTTGAGGCCAGAGGTACAGGCTCTTCAAGGATTTCATTAAACTTATGTGATTCTGTATGTTCTCATTTCAAAACCCAGTTAAATTACATAAGTTAGGTGGCCTACATTCCTTTAAAAACTCCCTTTGACTTGATAGGGATGAGTAAGCAACATTCCGTGCCTAACACTGTGCGAGGGTTCCCCAGAGAACACGAAACTAATCAAGGTGTAGGATGTTGCTTCTACGAAGTTCCCAGTTGGTATAACTCATTGGTCATAATCACCTTGTGTTGTGTGAGCTTTTTTTGTTTTTTCTCAGCTGTGGGTTGTAGGCATTTGAGTGGTACTGCCCACAGCCTGCACCTTGCTGGCCCTCCTCCATGTGTACTGATTCTAGAATTCCTCCTCGACTTGTGGCTTTTATGGTTTCCACGTGCCTTTCAATAATGCCGGCTGTTTTCCCCTCCTGCTGCTCTGCTGGTGTTGCCTAAGGTGCATGTGGCCTCCGCGAACCGTGAAGGCTTTTAAAGAAACTTTTACTTTCATAATGTACTTTTTAGTGTTTTCAATTTCACAGGCCCATTGCTGTTTGGGAAGCAAATGATTTATGAGGAGTTTCCAGAGAATTGATTTCTTGAGATCTGGGTGATCCTTGGCAACGGGATAGGGTTTTTCTGCCTAGTTACTGCAGGGTAAAAACAGAAGAAAACAAATTGAAAGGCCTGACTTGAGAGAAGTTTTATTTATCTGGCTTTGACAGATCAAATAAAATCAGTGAAATTTAGTTATTTTATTTTTGGATTCTTGGAATTCACCCAGATACTCCTGATTGAAGAAAAGGATGTTTTTTGTTTGTTTTTGGAACAGTCACTTTTCTGTATCAGAGAAAATTTGAAGCTGAAAAGCTTTATCTGTCCTTTGTCATCTTTGTGTTATTTAAAGGATTGGATTTTTTTTCTATTTTTTAAAAAATGAGTTATTACTGCAAATTCTAGAAATTTAGGATGGGCAATTTATTTTATTTTTTAAAAAGTTTATAATTGACATAACTGTACATATTTATGGGGTACAACATGTTTCAATAGTTGTATACATTGTGAACTGATTAAATCAGAGTAATTAGCATATCTATCACCTCAAACATTATGTCTTTGAGATGAGAACACTCATAAACCCCTCTTCTAGCTTTTTTATTTTTAAGACAAAGTCTCACTCTGTCACCCAGGCTGGAGTGCAGTGGGGCAATCTCGGCTCACTGCAACCTCTGCCTCCTGGGTTCCAGAGATTCTCATGCCTCAGCCTCCTGAGTAGCTAGGATTACAGGCGTCTGCCACCATGCTGGGCTAATTTTTGTGTTTTTAGTAGAGACGGGGTTTCACCATGTTGGCCAGGCTGGTCTCAAACTCCTGACCTCAGGTGATCCACCTGCCTTGGCCCCCCAAAGTGGGATTACAGCTTCTAGCTATTTTAAAATATACAATATGGCATTGTTTAGTCATCCTGCTTTGCAGTAGACCACCAGAATGCATTCCTCCTAACTCACTGTAGTCTCTCATCATCTCCTCACTCACCACTCTCCATCCTTTGGTAACCACTATTCTACTCTCTACTTCTATGAGAACAATGTTTTAGATTCCACATATGAGTGAGATCATGAGATATTTGTCTTTCTGTGGCTAGTTATTTCACTTAATGTAATGTCCTCCAGGTTCATCCATGTTGCCACAAATGACAGGATTTTATTCTTTTTTATGGCTGAATGGTATTTCATTGTGTATATGCACACTATATTTTCTTTATCGATTCAGGTATTGATAGATATTTAAGTTGATTCCATATTTTGGCAATTGTGAATAGTGCTGCAATGAACATGGGAATGTACATATCTCTTCTACATACTGATTTCATTTCCTTTGGATATACACCCAGCAGTGGGATTGCTAGATCATATGTTAGTTTTATTTTTAGCTTTTTGAGGAACCACCATACTGGTTTCCGTAATGGCTGTGCTAATTTGCATTCTCACCAGCAGTGTGTAAGGGTTCCCATTTCTCCACATCTTTGTCAACACTTATCTTTTGATTTTTTGATAGTAGCCACTCTGACTGGAGTGAGGTGATGTCTCACTGCAGTTTTGATTTGCATTTCCCTGATGAGTGATGTTGGGCACCTGTTCATATAGCACCCGGTGCCTTATTTTGTACATTTGGTGAGGTCTTGGTTCCCTGAATATTATTATTGATACTTGTGGGCATGTGACAAGTCTGTGTGTCGAAAGACTAGGTATTTATTCCAGTCTTCAAAGACTGACGTTGTCCCCGTCCTTCCAGAGCCTCTAAGCCTTCTGTTACCGTCTCTGAACCTCTTTCACTGCTGCTGTTTCAGCACTAGATGGCACCCTAAGCCCACGTTTGCCACAAGTCCGTGGTTTGTGTGTTGCCACATTTTCAGCACTAGAGGGCGCGCTGAGCCCAGGTGTGCCTGTGACCTTGTTTCCGAGGGACCTAAAAAGCTTCGGTGAGTTTCCGCCTTAGGCTGGGGCAGGTCCAGATGCTCCATTCCGGCGCTGCAGAGTTCTGCCTAGCTCTGGGCTTCACTTTGGTGGGTCCAGCACTGGGCTCCAAGGCAACGTCTTGAGGCTACTTCTCTCTCCTTTCCCTAAGCAGACGCTGCCTCTCTTTGTGCCCGGCGGCCTGGGGTTGGGGGAGGGATGGGACGGCAGCGCCGTGGCCACCACAGCTGACCGACGCTGGGCCACACCCGGAGTCCGCAGCTTCCGAGACCAGCCCAGCACAGGGCTACTCCCCAGGCTCACGCGGCTGTGGCCTGCCTGCCACCGAGGCAGCTGGCGCCGAGGCGGCCCAGAGCACGAGGCCGCCACACCGGGCCGCGGGTCCCCCAAGCGACTCCGTCCGCAGGCTCCAGCCTGGGGTTATCTGGTTCTGCCACACGGAGGAAACCAGCCAATGTCGGATTTCACAGTGGCTCGTGGGGGCCAGTGCTGAGTTCCAAGACAAAGTCCTGCACTGAGCGCTTTCCCCTTCCCCAGCGGACGGAGTCGCTCTCTGCACTGTGCTGCCCAGCTTTGGGGGCGGGATGGTGGAGGCAGCAACGTGGCCACCAAGGCTGACCTTAAGGGGGATCGCACCCACAGTGCACGGCTGGGGCCGGCATATCCCCGGCCTGCCTGCCTCTAGTTCACGTGTGGCCGAAGCCCCTGGAGACGCCCTCAGCCGTGCAGGCCGGACATGAGCCCATCCCACCAGGACCAAGGCCTGGCACCCGGGAGGGTCCAGACGATCCATCTGCGGGCCCTGGCCTGGGATGGGGACCTGGAGTTCTGCCCGGTACCAGGCTCCACGTCAAAATCCTGCACTCACTCCACTCTCCCTCCTTGAAGCAAGCAATGCCTCTCTCCAAGCTTCCAGGCTTGGAATTAGGGGAAGGGTGAAGCAGGCAGTGAGACTCTGTCCTTCCTAGCCTCTTCAATGTGTCTTTTCTTATTATTGTGCTAAAACCAGGCACTGAGAGCTCTTACCTGATTTCCTTAGCTCTTGTGAAGGTACCTTCCCACATGGGTACGTGTTCAAAAGGATGTTTCTATGGGAAATGATCACTGGAGTATTCTTTTTGGCCACCTTGCTCCACCCCCAATTTTTGAAGACTCTTGGACTATTACAGCCAAAAGGGAGCTTCAAAATCACTTTCTTTGGTTTCTAGCTTTTTCCTTATGAGAGATAGCCATTGCTACCCAGAACTCTGTGATTGGAAAGCTTTAAGTCTATCAAAAAATCGTTGGACAAATTAACCAAATGCATGCAGAGTTGCTGATCTAACTTGTTACCAAGAAGAATAGCTTAACAGAAAGAAACTTTTTCTAGTGGGCTTGTAAGGGTTGATGACAAAAAAAACTAGAAAGTTTTAAATTATTATTTAATGAATTACTTTCAAAATTCAGAAAATATCAACGACCCCTATACCTCCAGCATCCCCAGTTTTATGAACCACTAATAGAGTTTGTTCAACCATTATAGGGGATAAAATTGAGGTCTCAGAAATACTAAATAATGTTAGCAAATGTCACGTAGCGCTTTTCTTTTCAAAATCAATTGGAGTGATGTCATTAATATGCAGTAATTATAGCTCTTGTAGCCTTTCAGTTGGGGTGTAGCCCAGAGTTTGCACGATTTATATTGAACTGTCAAAAAAAGTAAGCCTGAGTCTTTCTCTCAGTCTCTCTCTCTCCCCCACCACGCCCTCCCACCCTTTTTCTCACCTCTTATCTCTTATATTCTATCATTTTAATGCCATTGTATGTATTTATATTTTAGCTTCATATTGACATCCTCCCAGTGACAGAGGAGTACAGGAAATGATGCAGGTGCAAGGTGCTTACAGTCCAGAGGAAAGGGTGTGAAGCAAGAATGAGAAAGCCTGAGGGAACCATGCAGATATCCTGTGAGTCTTTCTCTGGGGCTGTGTGGCCTAACATCCCCAGGTTTCTTGGGCCTCTGCTTCATCCCTTTCTCCCTGCAGACTCTCTCCCCTTGCTTCCAGTGCAGTGAAAAAGGTGGTTGTCCTTCAGGTCAGGTGCTCTACACAGAATGATCAGAGCTTTGGTATCAACTCCTTATTCATAAGAGAGAAAATCTGATTTGCCTTCTTGGGTCAGGTGGCGGGATGTGTTCCTGGGAAAGTCTCAGAGGAGGGGAATTGTGGATCCTTCTTCCTTCCAAGGTGTCTGTGTCATGGGTTTAGTGCTCTACAGTTCACAGAGTGCTTTTCCAGACATTAAGTACTCTGATTTTCACTACAAGCTTGAGAGTGGATTTTACTAGTGCACTCGTTGTACACAGGAGGAAACTGAGGGTTACAGGGATTAGAGAGTGTACTAGTTTTTTAGGGCTGCAGTAACAAAGTGTTATAAACAGAGTAGCTTAAAACAAAAGAAATTTATTGTCTGTCAGTTCCAGAAGTCCTAAATCAAAGTATCAATAGAATAGGTTCCTTTTAAGGTCCCTGAGGGCAAATCTGTTCCAGGCCCCTCTCCTTCTGGTGGTGGCTGGCCATCCTTGGCATTCCCTGGTTTGTAGCTGCGTCACCCCAATCTTGCCTCTGTCTTTATTTGGTGTTCTTCCTTCCTGTGTCTCTGTCCAGATTTCCCTCATCTTATAAGGATACTAGTCATATTGTATTAAGGGCCCGCCTTAGCCTAGTAAGACTTCGTAACTTAACTAACTACATTTACAAAGATCTCATTTCCAAATAATGTTTTCACATTCTGAAGAACTATGAGTGAGAACTTTAACCTGTCTTTCTGGGGGAACACAATTCAGTACATAATGGATAGTTTGCTCAAACTTTGGACTCAAACTCAGAACTCCTGAGTTTTCAATGGGAATCATTCTTTCCCTGGTTGATTGGGCAATATTAAAGCAGAAAACTACCATGGCTAATTAGCTGTCTACTATTTGTTGTTGAATCAAGCACTTATTCAAAATAAACAAAGCCACTGGCTACTTCATCACTTACATACTTAATCTTATACGATGTGAGGGCAGGAGTTTGGAAAGAAACAATTTTTGGTCAAACAGATAGTTCTATCTTTGATTAAGAAAAATAAAATGTTAAAAGTGTAAAAGTAAATCTTTATATGAGGATTGATACAATAAATATATTGGATGGTATTGCTGAATGGTTTCTATAAAGTGCCTTGATAATTTACTTTGAGCTTATTACAGTTTTCCTTGGCCCACCTGTAGGCTTAACACTGGATGCTTAAAAAGAAAACAAATCCAAAAGTATTTTTCCTTCTTCGGTGGCTAGCTATCCTGAGGGGAGGAAACTATGTCCTCATGCCTGCAGCTAACCATTGGAAATTACTTAAAACCCTTCACCAAACCTTTCACTTAGGTATTGATAACACCCATCAGATGGCCAAATCATTATTTACTGGACGAGGCCTTTTCAAAACTGTCAAGCAGATAGTCAGGGCCTGTGAAGTGTGCCAAAGAAATAATCCCCTGCACTGCAGGCTATACATTTAAATCCCTGTATCTTTAACCTCCTTGTTAAGTTTGTCTCTTCCAGAATCAAAGTTGTAAAACTACAAATTGTTCTTCAAATGAAGCCCCAGATGCAGTCCATGACTAAGATCCACCGCGGACCCCTGGACAGGCCTGCTAGCCCATGTTCCGATGCTAGTGACATCGAAGGCACCCCTCCCGAGGAAATCTCAACTGCACGACCCCTACTATGCGCCAGTTCAGCAGGAAACAGTTAGAGTGGTTGTCGGCCAACCTTCCCAACAGCACTTGGGTTTTCCTGTCGAGAGGGGGAACTGAGAGACATGACTAGCTGGATTTCCTAGGCCGACTAAGAATCCCTAAGCCTAGCTGGGGAGGTGACCGCATCCACCTTTAAACACGGGGCTTGCAACTTAGCTCACACCCAACCAATCAGGTAGTAAAGAGAGTTCACTAAAATGCTGATTAGGCAAAAACAGAAGGTAAATAAATAGCCAATCATCTATCACCTGAGAGCACAGGGCGGGGGACAATGATCGGGATATAAATCCAGGCATTCGAGCAGGCAACGGCAACCCCCTTTGGGTCCCCTCCCATTTTATGGAAGCTCTGTTTTCACTCTATTAAATCTTGCAACTGCAAAAAAAAAAAAAAAAAAACCAGATCCAGATTCATTTTATGAGGCCAGAAAACAAAACAAATCCTCTAATTATTAGCACAGGTCAAAAGGAAAAAATGGAAGTGGCACTAGTTGCTGAGTTCTCTCTTCTTCTGCAGTAGGTCCCAGAATAGAAATTATTATTTTTCTATGATGGGCCAGGGCTAGAGTGACCATATAATTTATCATCCAAACTGGGAGGCCTTAGAAAATCAAAGAGGTGATTAAAAATCATTAAAATTATGTTCTCCAAAATTATTTGCTGACCATCAAATTGTTTTATTTTGTTGGTGAATTTATATAACCAATCCATTCAATAGCTATTTAAAAAATCTATTAAAAAATAAATAACATATCTATGAATTGTAAAGCAAAATAAAAACTTAATATTCAAATATCTGAATATTTAAAAACAATACAAGCAGTATAATTCTTCCTGGTATATATTCATATATGTTGATCAGATTCTTAGCTATGTTTTCTCTAGTACTGTGTCACTGGAATTTTTCTGAAGAATTTTTTTAAATATAGTCTTATTCTTAAGACTATTTTAAACAAATTGCCTTTCATCTTCTTTAAAGTTGTGTCTTATGGTAATAAGTTGGCAATTGTTGCTTTTTTCAATTGCTCTTCTTGGTAGAGTATAATATTTTCCATCAATAAAATAAAATGATTTCTCTACAGATGCTAAGGTGCTTGGTAAAACAATAGCAAATGCAACTAAATGGTGTACACTTTCACTGCTTTTTTGGTATTTAAATGTGTAGGAAGTTTAGCCTAAATATTTTTAATTTTACAGGTACTTTTGCTAGTATTTTACTGAGAATTTTCACATCTATGTTCATCAATGATATTGGCCTGTGGTTTTCTTTTTTGTTATATCTGTCTGGTTTCACTATTACATTGGTACTGACCTCATAAAATGAATCTGGAAGTATTCCCTGCTCTTCAATTATTTTTTGCATAGTTTGAATAGAATTGGTATTAGTTCTCTTTAACATTCCATAGAATGCAATAGTGAAACCATAGGTCCTGAGCCTTTCTTTGATGGGAGACATTTTATTATGGCTTGGTTCCATTAGTTGTTATTGGTTTGTTGAGATTTTCTATTTCTCCCTGGTTCAATCTCAGTAGGCTGTTGTATCCAGGAATTTATCCATTTCTTCTAGTAGGGAATACTTCCAGATTCATTTTATGAGGCCAATACTAACCTAATAGTGAAACCAGACAAAGATATAACAAAAAAGAAAACTACAGGCCAATATCATTGGTGAACATAGATGTAAAAATTCTCAGCAAAATACTAGCAAACCAAATTCAACAGCATATTAAGAAGACCATTCACCATGATCAAATGGCACTCATCCCAGAGATGCAAGAGTGGTTAAATGTATGCAAATCTATAAACGTGATAAATCACATTAACAGAATCAAGAACATAAATTGCATTCAATACAATTCAAAATCCTTTATGATAAAACCCTTATTAAAATGGATATAGAAGGAACGTACTTCAAAATAGTAAAGTATATGTGACAAACCTATAGCTGACATTGTACCTTACAGGGAAAAATTGAAGGGCTTTTCTCTAAGGACTGGAACAAGACAAAGATGCCCATGTTCACAACTGTTATTTAACATAATACTGGAAGTTCTGGCCAGAGCAATTAATCAAGGGAAATAAATAAAGGGCATCTAAGTTGGAAATGAAGAAGTCAAATTAGCCTTGTTTACAGATAGCATGATCTTATATTTGGAAAAACCTAAAGACTCACCAAAAAACTATTAGAACTGATAAATTTAGTAAAATTGCAGAATACAAAATCAACACACAAAAATTAGTAGCATTTATATATGCCAATAACAAACAATCTGAAAAAATTAGAGAAAGCAACCCCATTTACAATAGCTACAAAGAATATGAAACACTTGGAAATCAATATAACTAAAGAAGTGAAAGATCTATACAAGGAAAACTATAAAACTCTAATAAAAGGAATTGAAAGAAAGCAGTTGAAGAGGACACAAAAACTGGAAAGATATTCAATGTTCAGGGATTGGAAGAATTAATAGTGTTAAAAGGCCAAAATTACCCAAGGCAATTTAAAGATTCACTGTAATCCCTATCAAAATACCAATGACATTCTTCACACAAATAGAAAAAAATCCTAAAATTTATATAAAACCACAAAAGTTCCCAAATAGCTAAAGCAATCCTGAGCAAAAAGAACAAAGTTGGAAGCATCACAATACCTGACTTGAAAATTTACTACAAAGCTATAATAAGCAAAACAGCATGACACTGGCATAAAAACAGATGCATATTTCAGTGGAACACGATAGAGAACCCATAAATAAGTCCATGCATTTATAGCAAATTTATCCTCAACAGTGGTGCTAAGAACATACAATGGGGAAAGGACAGTCATTTCAATAAATGGGAAAACTGGATAACTATATGCAGAGGAATGAAACTAGACCTTATCTCTCACAACATTCAATTCAAAATGAATTAATGAATTGAAGACTTAAATCTAAGACCTGAATATATGAAACTAGTAGAAGGAAACATTGGGAAGCACTTTAGGACACTAGTCTAGGCAAAGACTTTTATTTTCTCTAAGACAGAACTCAAAGGCACAGGCAACCAAAGCAAAAATAGACAAATGGGGTTATAACAAGCTAAAAAGCTTCTGCACAGCAAAGGAAACAATCAACAAACTGAAGAGACAACCTACAGAATGAGAGAAAATATGTGCAAACTGTCCGTCTGACAAGGAATTAGTAACCAGAATATATAAGGAGCTCAAACAACTTAGTGGCAAAAACAAATAATCCGATTTAAAAATGGGCAAAAGATCTGAACAAACACTTCTCAAAAGAAGCCATACAAGTGGCCAAAAGGTTAACAAAAAAAATACTCAATATAACTACTCATCAGAGAAATGCAAATCAATACCATGATGAGATATTATCTCACCCCAGTTAAGATGGCTTGTATCAAAAAGTCAGAGAATAACAGATGCTGGTGAGGATGTGCAGAAAGGGGACACTCATGTACTGTTGATGGAAATGTAAATTAGTACAGCCACTATGGAGAACAGCGCGGAGATTCTTTGAAAAACTGAAAATAGAACTACCATATGACCCAGCAATCTCACTACTAGGTATACACTAAAAGAAGGAAAATCAATATATCAAAGAGACATCTGCACTCCCATGTTCATTGTGGTACTATTCATAATATCCATAATATGAAATCAACCTAAGTGCCCAAAAATGAATGAATGGATAAAGAAAATGTGGTGTATACACACAACAGAATGTTATTGAGTCTTAAAAAGAATGAAATCATGTCATTTGCAGCAACATAGACGAAACTGGAAGCTATTATATTAAGTGCAATAAGCCAAGCACAGAAAAACAGGTATCACATGATTTCATATATGGGAGGTAAAAAAGTGAACCTCATGAAGATAGCAAGTAGAATGGTAGTTATCAGAGGATGGGAAAGATAGTGGGGAGAGGAAGAGGAAGGGAAAAGAAAAGAATATAAATTTAAAAATAAATAAATAAAAAATTTCAAAAAAGAAAAAACCCATCCCATTTACAATAGCATAAAAATTACTTAGGAATAAGTTTAATGAAGGAGGTAAAAGACCAACACACTGAAAACTGTAAAACATTGATGAAAGAAATTGAAGACACAAAAATAAAAAGGTATTCTATGTTCATGAATTAAAAGAATTAATGTTGTTCAACTGGCCATATTACTCAAAGTGATCTACAGATTCAATGAAATTCTTATTAAAATTTCAATGGCATTTTTTACAGAAATAGAAAAAAAATTCCTAAAATTTGTATGGAACTACAAAAGACCCCAAATAGCCAAAGCAATCTTGAGCAAAAAGAACAAAGCTAGAGGCATCAACTATCTGATGTCAAAATATACCACAAAGCTACAGTAAGCAAAAACAGCATAGCACTGGTATAAAAAAAAGACAAATAGAAAAATGGAGATGGACAGGAAGCCTAGAAATAAATCCATGCATTTGCAGCCGACTGATCTTCAACAAAATTGCTCTGAACACACAATTGGGAAAGGACAATCCTTTAAATAAATGGTGTTGTGACAACTGGATATCCACATGCAGAAGAATGAAATTGGACCCTTATCTCACAACATATACAAAAATTAGCTCAACATCAATTAAAGACTTAAATTTAAGGCCTGAAACTCTAAAACTGCTACAAGAAAAACGTAGGATAAAAGCTCCATGACATTGGTCTGGGCAATAATTTTTTGAGTGTGACCCCAAATGCACAGGCAACAAAAGCAAAGATAGACAAATTGGAATATGTCAAACTAAAAAGCTTCTGCACAGTAAAGGAGACAATAAAGGGAGTGAAGAGACAACCTCCAAACTGGGAGGAAATATTTGCAAATCATATTTCTTATAAGGGGTTAACATCAAAAATATATAAGGAACTCAAGCAACTCAATAGCAAGAAAACAAATAATCCAATTTTAAAAATGGGCAAAGGATCTGAAGAGACAGTGCTCAAAAGAAGACATACAGATGGCCAACAGGTTTAAGAAAAAGTGCTCAACCTCACTAATTATCAGGGAAATGCAAATTAAAACCACAATGAGATATCACCTCACATAAGTTAGAATGACTATTATCAAAAAGACAAAAGATAACAAATATTGGTGAGGATGTGGAGAAAAAGAAATCCTTATGCACTGTTGGTGAGAATTTAAATTAGTATGGCAATTATAGAAAACAGTGTGGAGGTTCTTCAAAATTTAAAAATAGAACTACCATATAATCTAGCAGTTTTACTACTGGGTGTATATCCTCTACAACAGGACTGCTTAGTCTCAATTTTTATGTGTATTTTTTTATATGTCCAAGCTGTAATATCTCACATTTGCCATTGAGCCCTCCCTCTCCACACCTTGCACCTTTGTGTAGCTTGCAGATTTTAGCACAGGTCATGGGGCCTGTCCACCCACTGGCCGAGAGGTGCCAGTAGTAGCATTAGATGCTTCTCCCCCTACAACTGTGGCTGCAACAAGGTATTAGTCTCTGGGTGCTAGTGGCAGAGCACACTTTGTGTTATCAGTAGGCACTCTGCCACTGTTCCACAAAGGGACTGTCTGCAAAGGGTCAGAAAATTAAATGAGTTATCACTGTCATCTGTCAGATCTAACCAAGTATTAAAGTGACTATGAGTTTTAAAAATCTATCTCTTTAATTATTGAGATTTCCTCATGCATGAGAGTGAGAATTCTGCTCCACTGCACATGTGTCTCACACAGTATACCAGACCATGGCAGAAGCTGGAAGTACAAAGTGGAAATCTATCAAATGTATTTCTCCTTTTCCAAAAATACAACTATTAAGAATGATACTTTTGTTATTACAAGATGAAAACTGGTACAAATTTCAAACCAGACAGGAAATAGGCATAAACTAGAAAATGTCCCAGGGAAATGGGCATACGGTCTGTATCAGTCCATTCTCATGCAGCTATGAAGAAATACCCGAGATTGGGTAATTTATAAAAGAAGGAGGTTTTAATTGACTCACAGTTCCTCAGGACTGAGGAGGCCTCAGGAAACTTATAATCATGGTGGAAGGGGAAGCAAACATACCCTTCTTTACATGGTGACAGCAAGGAGAAGTGCTGAGTGAAGGTGGGGAAAAGCACTTTATAAAACCATCAGATCTCATGAGAACTCACTCATATAATGAGAATAGCATGGAGGTAACCACTCCCATGATTCAATTACCTCCCACCAGGTCCCACCCATGACATGTGGGGATTATAGGAACTATAATTCGGGATGAGATTTGGGTAGAGACACAGCCAAACCATATCATTCTGCCCCGGCCCTTCCCAAATCTCATGTCCTCACATTTCAAAACACAATCATGCCTTTCCAACAGTCCCCCAAAGTCTCAACTCATTTCAGCATTAACCCAAAAGTCCAAGTCCAAGGTCTCATCTGAGAGAAGGCATGTCCCTTCCACCTATGAGACTGCAAAATCAAAACCAAGTTAGTTACTTCCTAGATACAAAGTGGGTACAGGCACTGGACAAATAAACCCATTCCAAATGGGAGAAATTGGCCAAAACAATGGGGCCACAGGCCCCATGCAAGTCTGAAATCCAATAGGGCAGTCATTAAACCTTAAAATGATCTCCTTTGATGCCATGTCTCACATCCAGGTCATGCTGATACAAGAGGTGGGCTCCCATGGCCTTGAGCAGCTCTACCCCTGTGGCGTTGCAGGGTACAGCCCCCCTTCCTGCTGCTTTCATGGGCTGGCATTGAGTGCCTATGACTTTTCCAGGTGCATGGTGCAAGCTGTGGGTAGATTACCATTCTGAGGTCTGGAGGATGGTGGCCCTCTTCTCACAGCTCCACTAGGCAGTGCCTTAGTGGGGACTCTGTTTGGAGGCTCTTATCCCATGTTTCCCTTCCACACTGCCCTAGCAGAGGTTCTCCATGAGGGCTCTGCCCCTGCAAGATACTTCTGCCTGGATGTCCAGGTGTTTCCATACATCCTCTGAAATCTAGGCAGAGGTTCCTGAATCTCAATTCTTGTCTACTGTGCACCCACAGGACCAACACCACATGGAAGCTGCCGAGGCTTGGGGCTTGCACCCTCTGAAGCAGGGGCCTGAGCCGTACCTTGCCCCCTTTTAGCCTTGGCTGGAGCTGAAGCAGCTGGGACACAGGGCTTTGTATCCCAAGGCTGCACAGAACAGGGGGGCCCTGGGCACGATCCACAAAAGCATTTTTCCTTTTGAGACCTCCAGGCCTGTGATGGGAGGGACTGCCGTGAAGGTCTCTGACATGGCCTGGAGACATTTTTTCCATTGTCTTGGTGATTAACATTCAGCCCCTTGTTACTCATGCCAATTTCTGCAGTGGGCTTGAATTTCTCCCCAGAAAATAGTTTTTATTTTCTGTTGCATTGTGAGGCTGCAAATTTTCCAAACTTTTATGCTCTGTTTCCTCTTGAACACTTTGCCACTTAGAAATTTCTTACACCAGATACCCTAAATCATCTCTCTCAAGGTCAAAGTTTCACAGATCTCCAGGGCAGGGGCAAAATGCCTCCAGTCTCTGCTAAACCATAGCAAGAGTGACATTTACTCCAGTTTCTGACAAGTTCCTTATCTCCATCTGAGACCACCTCAGCCTGGACTTCATTGTCCATATCACTATCAGCATTTTGGTCAAAGCCATTCAGCAAGTCTCTAGGAAGTTCCAGACTTTCCCACATCTTCCTGTCTTCTGAGCCCTCCAAGTCTCTACGAAGTTCCAAACTTGCCCACATTTTCCTATCTTCCTCTGAGCCCTCCAAACTGTTCCAACCTCTGCCTGTTACCCAGTTCCAAAGTTGTTTCCACATCTTTGGGTATCTTTATAGTAGCACCCCACTCTCTGGGGTACCAATTTACCATCACATGGTCACACTAGATATAGCAGACATGATGTTAATGGCTCCTAACATGGCTGTGCAAGCTCCTGTCTTAATTTGGGCCTGGGTCTTGGTAGTAGAGTTGTACTCAGGTCACCACTACCCTAATAGGATAAATGAAAACCTACACAGAAGCCCCATTCTGTGACTTTATGTGAGACTATTTATAGTCGCTCCCAATCAGTAGTGTGCTGGTAAATGTTTACCAGCTGATGTGGTTGGTGGTGGTGGTGGTGATGCATGGGACAAGGGGGAAGAAGGGTAGCCCTGTGTAGTGTCTGCTGATTTCTGTGGGGTAAATACTCTTGCTGTGATTGATATCAAGCTACCAACTTGACAGTCATCAAACTTGGAGTTGGGAATTTATGTGCACAATTGGCCAGTGGACCGCTGACAAGCCTCTCCCCAAATATCTGTCTAATGAAGCTGAATATGCTTCTTGCTGGCCAGTCTCTCTGCCCCAAAACAGATAACACTAGAAATAAGAATTTTTTTCTCACTGTGATTTATTTCCTCTAAGACTCAGTCAGTCATGGTGCAGTGTGGGTTTAGCTGTCTTTAGCTCAACTACTTTATCTTAGGAAGAAATTAAATAAAGTATTCTCTTCTACTTTTTGACCATTACACACCATTTATGTTCACAATATATACAGAGGCAAAATATACCACCTAAAGCATAACTCTAGTATCTGTGATCTTCTGCCCCAGATCAACACCAAGGGAGGAAAAACCACCTGCAGATGAAGATTCCTTTTTCACATCCAGTCTTCCAAAATTATATGACAAAAACCTTTATGGAATATTCTATACAAGTTTAAAGGCAAAGTATTTAAACCAGAGAACACTTAATTAAGTTGTTATGTTCTAGATACCACAGGGAAAATTTTATTGACTTGAAGAATCTCAAGTAATAAACCCTTGATATATGTGGGTTTGCTTTTGCATGTGAAAATAGAAAACTTATATTTTATGCATCAGTTACAGATATTGTTCTGCAACATTTCCTCTTAAAACAGGATGTGCCGTATGCTAATTTGCCGTGAATATTTCAGTATCATTTGGCAAAAGGAGCAGAGATATGACCCATGTCAGAAATACACCTCAACTTTGGGGTTGCCACATTCTTCATTGGTTTCTTTAATTACAGATTTATGAAGTGAGACCATTCTCAGCAGAACAGCAATTGAATACACCAATCAGAAAGGAGATGCTCATAGCAACCATGGAACACTGAAAATAAATAAATAGATAAAAAGCTACCAGCACCAAAACAAAGAAGGCTTCATGGTTTTATCCTATGGAGCTGTGACAAGTTGCTATTCTATCTGAAAAACTGATGGAAACTGAAATCAGCAAAAGTGAGCTGGTTATAAAACACCAGCAGACATTTATTGATGGGTGTTACTGGGACACACTCAGTCATGAAGAGAATAGAAATGCATCAAAGTCCTACTCCAGGAATTTTTCCTGACCTTTGCTATTTAGGAATTGCCCAACCTCTGTTGTAGGTGTTCATTTATCTTTCCCATTCTCAAGTTAGTTTTATAGCACTCTTTTTTGGGGTATATAATGTAGTACCCTTTATGTGTATAAGGGAGACTTCTGACAGCTTCATATATACAAGAGATCCTTCCATGGAGAAATGATTTATTGTAATGGTCTTTATGTTGTTAGAGCTAGAACTGAGACTATGTTTTTGATCTACTTTGTAGCTTTATTCTGTGAAGAGAATTCTTTCTTCAAATGTCAGAAATCTTTGCTGTCAGCAAGACCTACCCCTCCCCAGATTTAATTTTTCTTCAGTGTATTCTATGAGAAGGAGAGAAATAGGCTCATTTTTAATGTCCCTTCCACTCCCCCACCCCCCCCCCCATTGAATAGTTGCCATTTTTCACTCTTGGATGGGCAGGAAGGGGTCAAGTATTTGTAATTCCTTTTTCCTGGGAGCATCACCACTTTCAGGGTAATAGTAGTGATTTTAATGGGATAGGGGAGTGCACTCTTCTTAATCTATAGAGCCTCATGGCCATTTTAGAGGCAATGTAACAGGTGATTACTAACTCAGAGGTACCATTTTCCTGTACCTGGAAGGTCACTTTTGCAATACAACAGCATCAAAGTGCTTAAAGGGAAGTTAAGGGAAGTGTTGAATATGTAACAGATGGGATTCAGAAACTCAAGTAAGCTTCATCTGAAGCACAAAGATTTATAAACTCTGTTTAGTTTTCCAGCTCTTCCAGATGATACTGCAGAGGAACAGAGTGGGGGCTACAGTGAGAGAGGGACCAAGATTTCAGGGAATATATGTGGAAGTAGAGGCTGACTTCTGAATGTGTTTAGTTTCTTGCAGCTGGTTTTGCTAAATCAGCTTCCTTAAGTTGACTGATAGAGCTCATTGCATGAAGCTTCAAAGACGTCTTTTTTTTTTTCTGCAGCAGAATATCCTAAAGGAAGTTCAACTCAATTGCCTTCCTTTGAAAAGACACTGAACCAAATGATTGTTCAATGGTCCTGGAAAGAAATATTTTTTTTCATTTGAAGTTTCTACTTTAGCCTTAAAACCTAGGTTGACAGTATAAGGAATTGCCTACCCTCCTTACTTTCTCCCTGGCTGAGTTATACGGAGTCATTAGGTGCTCATTAGACTAACACAAAGGCAGATAGCACCAGCTATGGAATCCATGACTCATTTAAAAATTTCATCAGTTCTCTTTAGCTTTCTGTGTAAGTTGCAATCTTTCTTGTGGCAGGTGGCCTGAAACTCTAAAATATTAGGCATTAAAACTCAGGACTTAAAATCATTAAAGCTTTTTTTTATTTTAAAAAAACAGATATTCTCTGATATGAGCAGGTAACCAACTTCTCATCTTTGGCATTCACCATCACCCTCCTTAGGATATGATTGATACCAGTGATTTTACTAAGACTTTTGAACCATATTGCCAGGTAGGTATTACTCTCTTCTTGCAAGTGTGGAAGCTGAGGGTTGAAGAGTCAGTAAGCAATGGAGCCGAGATTCAGAAGCCTATACTTGACACCAGACTACCTCCCAATGATGAACATGAGAAGTTAAAGCTATGGACCCTGTGAATGTGAGAAGATGACAGGATTGCTGGCCCATATACCCACAGGGGAACCTGGTCAGAGGATCCCATGTCTAGTGGAGGAATAAAATGGCCATTTATTTCCACCTTGGCTATTTAACTTACTCTGTAGTTCTGGGGCCACAACTATCCCTAGGGGCAGGTGAGAACTAATAAAATGTGAGCTTGCAGCTGTACCCCATATACTTTTGTCCTAAAGGTCACTTTTCTCTTATGCTATTGTATATGGGTTCTACATCTCTTCCTCCCAAAGCTATGGCAAAAGGAAGGCCTCTGTGGTTGCATGTACTCTCTTCAGAAAAGAGCATATACCTCAATTCACAAATCCTGGATGTTATTTTATGATTTCTAATTTAAGCAAATACCTTTTACTGGAAAAGACTATTGGAAGTAAGAAAAATAAAAACCTTCTAAGAAAAATTTCAAATAATATAGGACAAAATAGAAAACAAAGGAAATAAGATATTCAATATGTTAAAAATAAAGACCTTTGGTTATATCATCATGTGATGAAAACTTTAATTGACTTGCCTTGGGGGTTAGGGGCCTATTTCACACATCATTCCACCACTTAAAGGGTACAGAATATTCTAGACTTTTCCCCCCATAAACTCCTTTTAGTCCATCCTATTCCCTTTTGGTTTTTCTGATTTGGGGATTTACAGCTAATGAATATCAATTGCCATTTGTAGATGTGGCAGATGTGATTATAATATACTCCGTGAATTAGTTCCAATTGTTTTGTTTAAAAAGCCAATTATGATTCTGGAAACTGATTGGAGAGGAGAAAAGTAAAAGATTCACAATAAATTATGGCATACCCCCATTTGGGAAAAGGTGTCTGGTGGTAAGCCACAGGGGAGAGGTTTAGTTAACATTTTCATTAATAATCAGGGAGAAGTAGTAAATAGCACGTAAATAAAGCAGGCAGATCCATCCAAGTGGGCTGGTGCTAATGAAAGAGGAAGCAATGGAAATGGACGTTTTGCAGCTTTTACATTAAGGCAGATAGGAAGCATGTGGGAATATGCTAACTCTATCCTGATATAATATTTGATTGGTGCAAATTTTTTTTTTTTTGAGACAGAGTCCGACTCCATCACCCAAGCTAGAGTGCAGTGGTGCAATCTTGGCTCACTGCAATCTCCGCCTCCAGGGTTCAAATTCTTTTCTTGCCTCAGCCTCCCGAGTAGCTGAGATTACAGGCATACATCACCATGCCCGGTTAATTTTTTTTGTATTTTTAGTAGAGGCGGGGTTTTGCCATGTTGGCCAGGCTGGTCTCAAACTCCTGACCTCAGGTGATCCGCCCTTCTCGGCCGCCCAAAATGCTGGGATTACAGGTACGAGCCAACACGCCCGGCTGATTGGTGCAAAATTAATTGCAGTTTTGCCATTACTTTAAATGCCATTAAAAGTAGTAACCTAACCTAATACTAATTTTCTCTTTCCCAGAACAGCTATCTAATGTTGTCACTTACATCACCATTTCCTCAGTCACCCAGCTCAAATCCTGGAAGTTATCTTTAATTATTTTCATTTATTTATATTCTAAAACTAAATAACACTTATTTCACATTTACTATATGAAAGACACTATGCTAAACAGTTTGCATGTATTATCTCATTTAATCCTCAGAAAAATTCTTTGACGTAAGTTTTGGTTATTTACATTTTGCAGATGAGAAAACAAGAGGTTTTGAGGCATTTGATAACTTGGCCAAGACCTGATAGTTAATATAAACTAGTTCTCTGTATACTTAGTGTGTGTCACCACACGTAGCAGATTCTTCCTTGGTATGTGCTCTTTCAATCTTTTATTATTCTCCATTGGCTCATCACCCGCTGCAGTCATTTCGTAACTTCTATTCCTATCATGAGTCTATCTCAGCAGTGTGCATTGGCCATATGGCAAAAACTACTTCAACTGTGTAAGTCCTGTAACTCCCATGATCAAAAAGATGTACTTACTCCCCAGTGTTTACATACCACAACTAATTATAGTCCTGTAACTTTTAAATAGTGTTTCTCTATTTATTATCAACTTGTTCTAGAAAAGATTAGTCTTTTTAACATAAATAATGTCAAGATAAAACTAAGTACAAAATACATAAGTGAAAAAATGAACACAGAAGAAACTGATCATACGAAAAAAACACTCGTAAAGGCAGAAATGAAATTAGGGTACAAAAATTTATAAGACCCTGAATGTTTACCACCAAATGCAGGGTGGCTTTCATACATTTGTGTGAAGAATTGACACTCCGTTTGTAGCATCATTCTTAAGGATGATAATGGAAAGAGAGAGCTGACTCTGATACAATCTGTGATGCTTGCTTCTAGGGTAGAGAAGCCCCATTCAGCACCACAAGGTTCTGATTATAGATTCATTTGCTGAGAAATTTTGCATGTAGGTTAACATACCTATTTTCAAAATAAAATCTAGAGGAAATCTATTTATCTGTTTTTGGATGCCTCTGGTAGGGTTGCATTGGATGTACTAAAAGTATTGGAATTCCTTATTCTCCAAAATAGGTCAAGTAAATATCTGATAATTAATCAAAGATACAGCATATCTGACAGTAAGCCTTAATGTGGGAAAGCAAATCAAGATCGAAGGGAAGAATTCAAAGGCCACTTTGAATTAGTGGGTTCAACAAGTCACACTAAATTTAATACTTTGTCAAATATTTCCCACAGTATTTGGGAGTTCTTTCTAGGGAGGTGCTTCCCTGTCATTACCTACTTGCTTGTGGAATATTTTTGACATGTTTTTCCCTAAATTCAGGGATGTTTTGCCCTTTTCTCTCCCATTTTCTGATCCCATTCATTCTTTCTGCCTATCATCTTTGCTATATATTCCTATTTTTTAGCTTTCTTACATCTCCATGAATTTTTTTAAAAAGTCCCCTTCTCTCATGACGATACAACAATAATTGCAGAGCCTCATGTATAACCCAGACAGATCAAGGTAACAGGAATCTATGGGTTCGAGAGAATTAAGTGAGCCTACTATGTGGAAAACTAGAGCCCTGGAAAGCATTACTTCCTAGGTTTTTCTATCTCTCCAGGTGACAATGTTCTGAGATTTCTAAATAGGACTGGGAGGTCCCTGGGGATAGTGGGGTGTGGGGAATTCTGGAGTCTGGAGGGCAGCCTACAGGTACAGTGAAAGGTGAGCAGAAAGTCTCCGGCCTCCCCTGTGTATGGAGTCAGCACCCCTTTGGCCTTACTTCTTACCAGTTGTTGTAAAAATAAAAATTTTAAGTACAAAAAATTATAAGGGGAGAAGAGGAAGAAGAGAGAACACATTTTCATTTTATGAAGAAAGGTAGATATTTAGAAGAAAGTCTAACTTAAAAAAATTGAGTCAGATAGAAAAAAGAAAGTGAATAAAGAGGAATAGAAAAAAAAGAGAATTAAACCCCAAATAAAGGTTAATGGCTTAACATTAAAAAATAAATAAAAGGAAGAAGTGGATGAGATTTAGAATAAATGAGAGGAGGCCAGAGGGCAATGAGATAAAAGGTTAAAACCGTGACCGTAAAAGAGATAAAAGATTAAGATATATTGGAAGAGGATGGGAAGTGAAAAGTATAAAAGTTGATGGGATTAAAAATTAAGTGCAGGAAATAACTAACATGCCAAAAGTGAAAGAGCATAAAGATGAAATGGATTTCAGTAAAATAACTCAAAAGAAAATGGAAACAAATAGCATGAATATTAGACAACTAGATGAGCTGAAAGAGGTATGTTGTGTGAGGGCAGCTGCTTTCTGCAGTTGCAAGTCCACAGCAAAAGGGGCAGCCCTGTCATGGGACTGGGAGCCATGTGGCTCCCTCAGTTCTCTGCAATTCATCACAGCCTCTCACACCTTTGTCTCTAGAGCCAGAGCCTTCAGACCAAGACAATCGAACATCCCTGGATATCTGAGATAGCCAGCCTTTCTTCTGGAGAGCTTCCCAGGTGAGCCTGCAGAACATATCTGAAATATTTCCTGGCCTGTTTATTTAAAATTTTGAAATATGTAAAATTCATCAGAAGTTCTTTCTTTTCTAAGATGCCTTTCTCCTCTCCTTCAGCTTACATAGAAACACCCATGAGCTGTGAAATTTTCTACTTGTCATGTGTTTTGATATTCGCTGATAGTTTTATTTGTGTATTTCCAAGTTCTTCCTAAAACGCGAAAGCATGAAGAGGGGAGACAGCGGTCTCTTAGACCATTGTCTTAGTTTAAATGTCAAATTCATGGTGTTACAAGATTTCATGCTACCACGGCTAAGAGAATTTTATAATTGTCAACCCGTTCCCCTGCCCACTCATTCTCTGCCTGCAAAGGCATATCTTTCTTTCTGTAGGAGAGTTCTCCTTTGTCAAATAGACTTCTCCCATGACGGGTGGAATTTGCTTACATTAAAAAGATCGGCTCAAGTTGAACCAAAGTATCTTAGTCATACTCCTAATTTTTTAAGACAGGGAATCTGATTAACCCATCTTGACTGAAGGTAAGGGAAGCAAAGCAGTGTTGAACTGAGCAGTGGAAGAGCTTGGGAGGGTGTGAAGGTTATAGCGAGACATTCTGCAGAGTAGCTGCAAGATTTGATGGAAATGGATTGAAGAGAGGAGGGATTTTTATAGATGGTACTGTGGACCATGTATTTGAATTCCCTTTGTGCTTTTTGAGAAATGCAATCAAAGATTTCAGTCTGAAGTTATATTTGGTTGCTGGGTTGTGTTTCTGTGAATAGGAAACTATTCTAAGAGTGAAACACCTGGATCTTGGTTTTATCAAGGCTACAATAATGATTCCAAATACGTAAAAGCGAATTTTGTGAAGTGCAACATATAATAAAATGATTTTGGAAATGCAATGTGATAGAAATTATGATGGAATGTTAAAAAGGAAGGAATAAGCTCCAAGCAAAAATTGAATTTTCTTCTTCCACCTTTATTTCATTCTTTTTGAGAAAGTACTATGTACAATGTAAAGTGTTGTAGGGGATGCAAAAGATGAATAAAGACATTCTCATTTGCTTATAATTTAATGGGAGAGATAATATATCTAGCAGCAATGAAAAACAAGGAATGAGGAGATAATTGTCAAAAGAAATATTTGTTCAGAGTTATATGGATTTTTCTGAAATAAGATATGACAGTGACCTGAATGGGTAAGAAGGCTTCAAGAGGAGGTCTGAATGTTTGAGAGTCAGTAGGATTAATGGTTGTTGGGGTTGGAATTGGCATAAGCAGTAAGGCAGAGGAAAGAGATCAGCAAAGTTATAGTAGAAAACGCTTACATGTGGCGACTCTTTGGAGAAGAGCAGCAAATGGGCACTTTAGAATGAAGAATTAGGTTCAAGAAGGCAAATGGTCAGTTTTCCAGAAAGAGTTATATGAGCTGGATAATGAATGATCTTAAATGTCAGGATAAGAAATTTGTACCTGCTGCCATTGGGAGACTTTTGGGAGTCTTTGAAGGCTTTGATCTGGGGAGTGACATAATTTAAGTTATGCTTTGATATAGCACTAGACAAAAGGAAGGACTATAAAGAACAGTAACAAGAAGTAGCTGAAGAATGGGGGCAATTGTGTTAAAATGGCAGGCAGGTTACCCACATCTACTTCCTCCTAACAGAATTCCTTTGAGACAATACAGAGGGAATGCTTTCATAAAAGCAATGGAAAACAAGGAAGGGTGATATGGGTGGAGCAGGGCATAAACTTTTTAGATATTTCTAAAAGATATAAAGCAGAGTGGTTGGCTAGATAGAAAAAGGGAGACCAGAGGAACCAACAGCCCAAAATATAAGCAGAAGTTAGGAATGCTATCAAGGTAGGAAAAATTGGGGGACAGTCACACAGGTCTGAATCAGAGCTGGGTCAAGGTGGGTTGATCAGGTTCTCTTGTCTAGAAATTTGGAAGTGAGACTTAGAAATTTCAGTTTAGGCTGGGCGCGGTGGCTCATGCCTGTAATCCCAGCACTTTGGGAGGCTGAGGTGGGTGGATCACCTGAAGTCAGGAGTTCGAGACCAGCCTGGCCAACGTGGCAAAACCCTGTCTCTACCAAAAATACAAAAATTAGCTGGGCATGGTGGTGCATGCCTGTAATCCCAGCTACTTGGGAGACTGAGGCAGGAGAATTGCTTGAATCTGGGAGGCGGAGGTTGCAGTGAGCTGAGATTGTGCCACTGCACTCCAGCCTGGGCGACAGAGCGAAGTTGTTTTCTGTTGAAGTTGTTTTCTGTTACTTGCATCTGAATCTTCATCTATGTATGAGTTCTAAGCAAAAGGTGAGAGTTTTTCAAGGAAGTGGATGAGAAATAACAGTTATTTGTTTTTGAAGGGGGTTGTTGAGAATTGAAGGGCATTATCCCTTGTTTGATATTGCATTGAGAGATGTCAGAAACTAAGGCAACTTCAAAAGCAATTCATTTCACCAATCATAGGTCAAATTAATATTGTCTGACTGCAGTGAAAGGAACAAAGCCTGCTGGAAAGCAGTCTGTGACATATTAATTAATATCAGCTTGTTGACTAATAGTATGAGGTGAATTCCAGTTCGATAGAACCGTAACCTTAATCAGTCCCTGGAAAATTTTCTCTGGCAAAATTTCTCTGGCTTTATATATTGTTGTTTGTTATATTATTTCTTAAAATTGAAAATGGGTTCAATATTCCCTTTCCATCACTTGAATTCACTGTACCTCCTACCTAGCTCTGGTTTCTTTCTTTGTATACCATTGTGGTATCAAGTAACTTCCAATATTTGAATATCCAAAGTACATTCTTCAGACTGCCTTATTCGCCCTGAAATAGCACAAATATTCTTTGTCAAACTATGTCCTCTGGTTTTTCATTTGAATTATAGTCTTGTAGTAAATTCTCCTTTGTGCCAGGCAGAACAATTTTACCCTCTACCGAGCTCTAATTTTTCATTTCAGCCCATTTTCTGGAGAGAACTGGGGTCACTGGTTAATGCTGGTTTTAAAACAGCTTTTCATGCCACAGGCCTTGAACATCCCTGGCTGTGGAAAAACTTGTGAGGGTGGTTTATGTGTTTGTTTTCAGAGTCCCTTTCTCATTGCCTCCTTCCTTCCCCTTTTTTTTATTTCCCACCTCCCAGCTTTCCTGCATGTATCCAGACAGCTTCCTGTCTTCCCAGGGCACTTCTGTGTGGGAGAACTGCTCCCTTTACATTGCCTTTTACTCCATGAGTGTTCAGGCTCCATACCTCTGTCAAAAACATTTCTGTTTCATGTCTACACACATTTTTAGCCATCAATGACTGAAAATATCTTAGAATATTATGCTGCTGGAAAACCAGTGTACTTCCAACAAGAGTCTTTAGAGTGACTTGTGAGAATTTCAGGACTGATGATAGGATGGTCAATGTGTGGACGGTGTAATGGAGTCAGTCTTTGGTTCAATCTGTGACCTTCTCTTTGCGAACTGAGCTTTCTCCCAAATGTCTGCACTGTATCCTAGGAGTGGGCCCTGGCTGCTTGTCATGGGCTCACCTGCTGCCATGCTTTTGCTGATTACACAGAGTGGGCAACTGAGTCAACCTGCTCCTTTATCATGTGAAGTTGAAGGTGGAAGGGTGGCCATATTTGCCAAGTGACTGAAAGGATGAGAACACCAGTCTGAAGGGAGATGATGCAATGACTGAGTGGAGAAGGGCAGAATGAAGGCAGCAGTGGAGGCCTGGTGGGTTTACCTCCTCCTCAGGCCTTCCTGGGTTCAGCCTCACCCTCCAGCCAGTGTGATATACTTGAAAATGGCAAGCAGGGATTTGGGTGATGGCAATCCTCAACTTCAGAATTACTCTTCACCTACCTGTTCTAACCATAAGACTTGTTGATGACCCTGCTTCTGGCGATATTGTGTGGGGTAAATCCTTTAAAGAAGAATTCTGTTTATATTGGTTAGAAATATAATGGCCTATATTAAGTCCAACAGAGCTTAAAGGTAAAAAAAATAATAATGGCTTATAACTGCTTATGAGAAAGAGAGAGAACAGAGTTGGCTAAAAATTTACAGTGTGTGGGTTGGGGACCGAGATAGCGTCCTGAGAGAAATGTTGCCTGTAAAATGAAGTAAAAATCCAGTATGGACAGGAGAAATTTTCATCTGGGAATAATGTGTGGTTTCAGCTGTAATAAATACATCTCTTCTATTGGGTTCCCTGTTTTGTCTATTGGGTTCCCTGGAAGTTTCCCTGTTTTGTCTATGAGCAGCCTAGTTTGGCCTGGTTCCCCATGCAGACACTAACTTTTTTTTTTTTTTTTCAAAATATACATCTTAATACGAAGAAGGTTGGGGAGCTTGGACCCAGAATAATGGCTGATATTTATTGAGGGCTTACTATATGCTTTGCATTCATTATCTTATTTAAAGTTCACCAAAGCCCTATAAGATGGATGCCCTTGTTATCCCCATTTCACAGATAAAAGTAAGGAGTCCACAGGTTAAATAATTTGCACAAGTCACATACCTTGTAGCTATGGAGCTGGGTCGCAAACTCAGGTCGTGTGGCTATAGATGCCAGGTACCATGCTTTCAGCTGCTACTCTATAATATGCTTCCCCTACTGAGAAGATCTATCTGCTGGGAAGCACTGCAGCCTAGAAGGAGAAAAGGGTGCCACATTAGAATATTATGCTGCTAGAAAACCAATGTACTTTTTTTTTTTTTTTTTGAGACAGAGTCTTGCTCTGTTGCCCAGGCTGGAGTGCGGTGGCACTATCTCCACTCACTGTAACCTCCACCTCCCAGGGTCAAGCGATTCTCTGGCCTCAGCCTCCCAAGTAGCTGGGATTACAGGCATCCACCATCATGCCCAGCTAATTTTTGTACAGAGGGGGTTTCACCATGTTGGCCAGGCTGGTCTTGAACTCCTGACCTCAGGTAATCCGCCCTGCTTGGCCTCCCAAAGTGCTGCGATTACATGCATGAGCCACTGCACCCGGCCCCAATGTACTTTTAATAAGAGTCTTTAAAGTGACTTGTGGGAATTTCAGTCCTGATAATAGGATAGTCAATGTAATGGACAATGTAATGGATTCATTACATCGGGGATATCACTAGTCTCCTGCCTCCACTGCTTCACTCACATAGTTGATCTCTCTAGGCAACTGGCTTACTACCTAGAGACTAGGCTATGTTGAAATTTACACAAAAGATACTGTACAAGCATTAAGCAATGAAAACCAACCGATCTTTCCTCATCCTTGGCAAGGGGGTTCCCTTACTTCTACCCCTGTCAAATAGGCCATTGATAATCAAGGTTGTGTTACTTAGTGTCAGGAAGTACAACTAAAGCAGTATTTCTCTCTCTCTCTCTCTGGGTTTTATCCTGGGAAAAAGAAAATACTTTTTATTATTGAGTCTTTTATTGATGATCCTTAGTCCTTAAGGGCAGAACTTCTCAGAGATAATATATGGTCACTATTTAGGATTTGTGAAATATATACCTGTAGGGCCCAGCCCTACGGGGCTTAGCAAGTGTTCTCCCTGTGTGTGGAGATGAGAGATTGTAATAAATAAAGACACAAGACAAAGAGATAAAGAGAAAGCAGCTGGGCCCAGGGGACCACTACCATCAAGACGCGGAGACCGGTAGTGGCCCCGAACGGCTGGGCGCGCTGATATTTAATGCATACAAGACAAGGGGGGGGCAGGGTAAGGAGGGTGGACCTTCGAAGTGATTGATAAGGTGAAGCAAGTCACGTGATCATAGGACAGGGGGCCCTTCCCTTTTAGGTAGCCGAAGCAGAGAGAGAAGGCAGCATATGTCAGCATTTTCTTCTATGCACTTACAAGAAAGATCAAAGACTTTAAGACTTTCACTATTTCTTCTACTGCTATCTACTACGAACTTCAAAGAGGAACCAGGAGTACGGGAGAAACATGAAAGTGGACAAGGAGCGTGACCATTGAAGCACAGCACCACAGGGAGGAGTTTAGGCCTCTGGATGACTGCAGACAGGCCTGGATAGTATCCCGCCTTCCACAAGAAGCTGGTGGAGCAGAGTGTTCCCTGACTCCTCCAAGGAAAGGAGACTCCCTTTCGCGGTCTGCTAAGTAATGGGTGGCCTCCCAGACACTGGCATTACCACTTGACCAAAGAGCCCTCAAGCGGCCCTTATATGGGTGTGACAGAGGGCTCACCTCTTGCCTTCTAAGTCACTTCTCACAATGTCGCTTCAGTACCTGACCTTATACCCACCGGTTATTCCTAGGTCATATTAGTAATGCAACAAAGAGTAATATTAAAAGCTAATGATTAATAATGTTTATAATAATGATTGATAATTGTCCATGATCATCTCTATATCTAATTTGTATTATGACTATTCTTATTTTAACTATTTTCTTTATTATACTGAAACAGTTTGTGCCTTCAGTCTCTTGCCTCGGCACCTAGGTACATAAGCACTTTCGTGCACATATACCCACATGTTATCTCGTTGTTTCTTAATCTTGCTGCCTATTTCTGTTTGTTGCTACCAAAAATTCCAAAATAATAGGGTTCAGGAGGGAGAATTTGGAGCTGAATGTTGGACAGGGGGAATTATTTCTATCCCTCAGATTAGGTGGTTTATCAGGGAGAGGGCTGCTGGAGGCCGATGCAGTTTTGAAAATGGGCAACAAGACATTTCTCAGTCCTGAATCAAAATAAAGCCACAAAAGATCTTCCCATAGAGGGTAAAGGGATTACATCTTTCATATGGGATTTGACATTGTATTTTCTACTTTTTTCTCCCCCTGTGCATGTTGGGAGTGTGACTGATCCATGAAAACTTTTCCAGTCCTGGCTTTCATGATTTTTTTTCCCCTTTCAGAAAAAAATAGTTATTATAAAAGAAGCACAACTCCTCTAGCCTCTCCAAAATAGAATAATGACATTTTCATAGCAAGCGATTGTGGGAGGAAGTGCGGGGATGTTGCACTGGCTGAAATCCAGTGGTTTTTAAAGAACCAGAGAAAGGTCATTCACCTCTTAAAAAGTGACAGTTGTGAAAACAAGCCAATTTTGGAATTTGTCATCGTGCGTTAACAGCATACCCTTTTGTAGTTACTGATATCTGTCAGGGTAAATGCCAGCAATAAAGAGCTTGCTTGCAGGCTTTGCTGAGGAGGTAGAAGTCTTGTATTTTAGGCCTGTACACATTTCTTTGGCTTGTTGGAAGCAGAAGTGGTTGAAAGAGCTTTGGCCTGGGACTTCTGATGCTTTATTTATCCTGGCTGTGACACTGAGGAGCTTCTTGACACTGTGGTTCACAAATCTCTCTGGTTCTCAAGTCCCTTCATCTGTAATGTGAATGAGAGTTAAAAAAGATTAACTCTAAGATCCTTTCTTGCTCAAAAATTCAGTAATTCTAAGATCTGGATAAATGCCAGAAAACACAATGGTCTCTGTATCAATACTTTATTTTTTCTCCAGGAAATAATTGGTTCCTTAAAAGACCTTGCCTAGGGTGGATGGACAGTTTGCCAGTTGCATTTTGGAAGAAAAGCTTCTATTTAGCAGCACTTTCTCTAAACCTTCCTTGACTTGCGTTAAGAGAGACCCTGGTGTGGCCAGATCTGTATCTTTGCACCTTGCCTCCTAAGCCCGAGTCCTCATGACCTAACTTAATATTTGAGCCAATTGCTCAGAGTTGCTCCCTTTGGTGTATCTGTGCCTGGATCTCAGTCCTAAAAATGACATTTTGTTGTTCAGGATGATTAATATTAAAATTGAAGCTTTTGAAAGTACAAAACAAACTAAGACACCATGGAGTCTGTGATGGTCAGTTTTATATGTCAGTTACGCAATCAAACACTAATGAGGGGTTGCTGTGAAGGTATTTTGTAGATGTGATTAATGTTCATTATCAGGTGACTTTAAGTACAGGGAATTATCCTGGGTAATGTGAGTGGGCCCAATTCAATCAGGTGGAAGGTCTTAATGGCAGAACTGCAGTTTCCTGGAAGAGGAAGAAATTTCATGTGTGACTGTAGCTTCAGCCTATGTTCAAGAGTTCCAGCCTATCTTTCTTGGTGGCCTGCTCTAAGCATTTTGGTCTTGCCTAGCCTAGCCCACAATTGTATAAGCCAATGACTTGCAATAATCCCTTAATATCTATCTCCTACTGGTTCTGTGTCTCTGGTAGAATTTTGGCAGATGCAGACCTCAAGTCCTGCATTTTATAGAGAAACTGGGGTTCAGTCCCCAGAGTTCGTTGATGGGACAGCCAGGTGCCCTGACTTTCAGGTCTATAAACTTCTCACAGAACCATATTTCTACTGCCTAGAATCCAGTCCTCAGTGTGGACACCAGGGCATAGATTTAATACATGATGGAGTCATGCCTCCTCACCCTGTGCTTCCAAATGGGTTCACTATGTCTTGGTAGATGGGTTCACCATTTTTCAATGTCTTCTGTGTTGAATGTCCTGGTGGAAATGCAAACATAGTGCCCAGGAACATTACAACCCATGGGACTTTAGCAAGAAAATCTAGTGCTCAGATTTTGTGGAAAGTTACTTAGCAAGATGTTGAGGGATACTGGAATCTTAGAAGAGCAATCCAGCTGCATCTGTGAGCCATGACAAAAGTGTTATAAGGCTGCAAAGATACTTCTTGTCCATGCTTTTCCTTGGAAAAGTAAAGCTCTTGTGTAGTTGCTCTTAATTTTTTTTTAGAATTGACTGAGAGGCCTTGGAGAATCTAATGCAGATGTAGTGGGTGGCTGTTCCATGCATTATAGAATGTTCAGCAGCATTCCTGGCCTCTACTCCCTACTAGAAGCCAGTAGCATTCTCTTAGCCGAGACAACCAAAAGTGTATCTAGGCATTGTCAAATAGCTCTGGAGGGCAAAATCACATCTGATTAAGAAACACTGACCTAAGAGAAGCCAGAAAATTGCACATATGAAGAAAATTTTGCGTATGATTTAAGGGTGTTCCTAGACCTCCCTAAAACCATCCACAGGGACCCCAGGTTAAGAACCTTTGTTATTCTAGGTTCAACTGTCTTTTCTATATTGCTATTTGGAATATTTGTATTGAATTGTCATGTGTATACATTTTGTCTACTAGCTGGAATGGAAGTTCTTTGAACAGAAGAGAGCATGTCAAATATTGTTTTAGTATATTGTTTGCATCATAATAGCTCTCAGTAAACACTGATTGACTGATTGAAAAAACAGTGGAGGCTCCCAGGACATACTTCCTTCCCTGGGAAGCAGTATTGGTTCAGAGCATCTACTGCCCCAACCCTCCCAGCCCCATCAGAGAGACAGTAGCTTTGCTCCTAGTAAAGAGCTATGTTAACTTTGGATAAAGTTGCATAAACCCTCTAAGTCTCAGGTCTCATCTCTAAAATGTGGAAATCATAGAGTTGTCATGGGCATAAAAATAGGTAGTTATGTAAAGCATTTGGCACACAAAATGTCCTATAAATATTAGCCATTACTATTGTTCCTTTCACTCTGCTAGCGCAGTCCCTGGTTGACATGGTGGTCACACAGGTTTGGGAGGACCTGGGATGTCTCAAGGCAGTGAGGAAGGCTGCAGAGGGGTTTGTTGCTATGTAAGTGTGTTGGGGGTGGGCAGGGTATGAGTTCCCAGCTGAGGTTGAATTTAGAACTCACCCACCTAGGATGATGGTTTCGTTTGGTTCCACAGTCTTCAGTGCCTCTGTCTGCAAAGGTGGTCCTTTGGGGCAGAGGATACAGCTGGCCTCTGAACCTCCCTCACATGGTCCAGAGGGGCTATGATTACTAATATGCATTGGTTTCTCAGGGCATCTTAGCAGCAGGAAACAAAGCTTGCATATTTTTGGGAGCAGGAAGTAAACAGCGTACCTTCCCCTGCAGGGTAATTAGAAAAGCAAAGAGTTTGTGCTGGGAAATAAGGTAGGGAGCCAGTTGTTCAGAAAATACTCAAAACAGCCACTTGACAGGGGTCCCCTGGAGGACCCTTGAGGTGTGTGGAACTGGGGCAGTTCAGGTGGAAAAATTCCCCTTCCTCCTTGGAAAAGGGGTAACCTTAAGACAAAATGTTCTAAGCAGCTCTTGGTTCCTTCTGCCAGAGCTGCTCAGAGATGAGCTCCCTGCCCAATTAAGCAGCCTCTATGGAGATTGCTTTCATCAAGCCTTGTTAAGAGGGAAAATAACAGAATGTGCTCACTACTTTCAAATTTACTTTGAAGCTTGCATTTATCTGCCAGAGGGAAATGTTCATCTTTCCTGTGAGCTGGTGGGTGAGCCCTGGAATTAATAGGTGATGTTTCCATAAATACGGCTCAGTTCAGCACTACCATTATACCTTTTTATTGCTAGGGATTAATGAACAGGAAAAGGAAGACTCTTTGTAGGGCATAAAGACATAGAGAGGTGTTTGGTAAGAAAACTCTCAGATCTCATCCAGAGTTTGAAGACTCAGGGCTTTGCATGCTGCTTTTCAACCACCATTCAGTCATTGGAAACAGGTGACAGAGTCAGCCAACTGCTGCACTAAACACCCTTGAGCATCGCTTTTTTAATGTAGACTTGTCCCTCAAATTCTTTATTGGCTCTCCAATAGCAATACATGATTGGTATTATATACTAACCATTACCTTATATGCTATTAAATTATTTCTTATTATTCTTCTATATTTCTTCTTTTTTAAATTTCCATTTTTATTTTAGATTCAGGGGGTACATGTGCAGGTTTGTGACAAGGGTATATTCTGTGGTGCTGAGGTTTGGACTTCTACTGATCCTGTTACCCAGGCGGTGAGCATAGTACCTAATAGGAAGTTTTTCAGCCTTCAACCCCCTCCTCCTCTCCCTCCTTTTGGAGTCCCAGGTGTCTATTCTTCCCATCTTTATGTCCATGTGAACCCAAGATTTAGCCTCCACTTATAAGTGAGAACATGTGATATTTGGTTTTCTGTTTCTGTGTTAGCTCATTTGGGATAACAACCTCCAGCTGCATTCATGTCGCTGTAGAGGACAGGATTTCATTTTTCTATGGCTGCATAATATTCCATGGTATACAAGTATCAAATTTTCTTTATCCAGTCCACCACTGGTGGGCACCTAGGTTGATTCCGTGTCTTTGGTATTTGAATAGTGCTGCAACGAGCATACTAGCACATGTGTCTTTTTGGTAGGATGATGTATATTCCCAGGAATGAGATTGCTGAGTCGAATAGTAGTTCTATTTTTATTTCTTCAAGAAATCTCCAAACTGCATTCCACAGGGGCTGAACTAATTTGCATTCCCACCAACAGTGTATAAGTGTTCTCTTTTCTCCACAACCTCGCCAACGTCTGGTTTTTTTTTTTTTTTTTTGGCTCTTTCATAATAGCCATTCTGACTGGTGTGAGATGATATCTCATTGTGCTTTTGATTTGCATTTCTCTGATGATTAGTTATGTGGAGCATTTTTTCATACATTTATTGGCTGCTTGTGTGTCTTCTTTTGAAAAGTGTCTGATCATCTCCTCTGCCCACTTTTTATTAGGATTGTTTGTTTTATTCTTGTTGATTCATTTAAGTTCCTTGTAAATTCTAGATATTTGTCCTTTGTTGGATGCATAATTGGTAAATATTTTCTTCCATTCTGTAGGTTGTCTATTTACTCTGCTGAAAGTCTCTTTTGCTGTGCAGAAGCTCTTCTGTTTAATTAAGTCCTGTTTGTCTACTTTTGATTTTTTTGCATTTGCTTTTGGGGGTCTTCATCATAAATTATTTGCCTAGGCCAATGTCTAGAGGAGTATTTTCTGGGCTTTCTTCTGTAATTTTTATAGTTTGAAGTCTTACATTTAAGTCTTTAATTCATCTTGAGTTAATTTTTGTATATGGTGAGAAGTAGGAGTCCAGTTTCATTCTTCTGCATATGGTTAGCCAGTTTTCCCAGCACAATTTGTTGAATAGAGTGTCCTTTTCCCATTGCTTATTTTTGTCAACTTTGTTGAAGATGAGTTGGTTGTAGATGTGCGTCTTTATTCCTGGGTTCTCTATAGTGTTCCATTTGTCTATGTGTCTGTTTTTCTACTAGTACCATGCAGTTTCGGTTACTACAGCCTTGTAGTATAATTTGAAGCCCGGTAATGTTATGCCTCTGGCTTTGTTCTTTTTGCTTGGGATTGCTTTGCTTAGCCTAGATTTCAGGATTGCTCACAATCTAGCCTCATGCTACCTCATCAACAACTAATTGTAGAATGATTGATAAATGAGATAATCTATTTAACATACTTAAGCATAGTATCTAGGACACGGTGGAAAATCATTAGAGTTTATCAATATTATGTTTATTTGCAAAAGCCATTTGTTTTGTCTGCTCAGCATCCATTCACTATTCTTCTTCTTGTCATAGTATGCCTACCTTAAATAATCTCCCTTTTCCAGTCATGTTCATGTATTATGAGGAAATTGGCCAGTCATAGTGCCTCATCTCCCTGGCCACAGAGCTTGAATTAGAAATGGATATGTGACTTAAACTGGGCAAAGAAGAAATCCTTCCTGCCGTTTTTCAAACAGGAGCTGGAAGCAAAGCTCCTTAGCTTTTCGTTTTTTCTCTGGACATATTGTTCAGATATAAGCCCAGAGCATCTGTGGCCATATTTTTATCTCATGGGGACAGGTGACCAAGAGAGAAAAGTCAAAGAATAGGAAAACACCTAAAGATGGGTATATAATTTTTATATAAATATAGATGAAAATATGAAGAAAGGGGAAAATATTAAAATCCCTGGCTCTAGTAGTTTTTAAGTCCATCCATATCTGTAAGTTTCATCGTATTGGACATGTGAGCCTATAACTATTTGCTTTTGTGTTTAACTAATTTAAAGTGGCTTTTAACATCTTGGTGGCTACTTGGAATATAAGGAAAGCACAGCTCCACCCTTAAGGAATTCTATTTCTTGTGGTAAATAGAAACATGAATATCACAAGTAGTCATGGTTTCACTAGCAAAAGTGTGTCCTGGACAGTGGCATGCATCGTGAAAGCCACTCTCCTAACATGTCCCCCTTGTCTAGCCTCCTAGTTTCTAGTTTGTGATGGCTCAAGAGTTGTCTGGGGTCTGAGCATATGATTACAAGGAGTATCAGTGAGAGTTTCTTTTGCTCTGTTCCTGTGCTGCCTGGAATTCCCTGTGGCTTATGACATTTCAATAAGTGATGATGGTTCTGCAGATAGTGCAGGGCTTTCTTCCTGAGAGTGAGAGTGTCTGAGTCTCCCTCAAAAGGGACTCCATAAAGAGGACTCTTTACTTAAAGTCCGTAGACTTTGTGTGGAGATGTCCATGAATGGGCTTAAGGATAGGTAATGTTACACATCATTTCTAGGGCACATGATTTTTTTGGGAGTGGTTGGAGAGAGAGAATCTATAGCCTTTGTCAGGTTCTCAAAAAGGTCCTTCAGCCAAAAAAAAAATGCTCCACAGGGAGGTCTTGTAGAAGAATTTCCAAAATAAAAAGTGACTGCAAAGAGGAATGCAAAAAGAATCTTCATGTGTCTTGGATCTCTGGAGCAAATGGGGAATTTTTCTGGTGTCACATAGTGACAACCCAGGTGGCTGAGAGTCACAAAGACATGTATGGTGTCTCTTCAAAAGGAATCTCCCAGGACATTCAACCAAGGACCTCTGCCAATTTCAAGAGGTAGAGGAAGATCATCCTTAGATTTCCAGTTAGGTGATAATGGGGTAAAATACCAATAGTTGATCGTCTTTCTGCTTGGAATGACCTCCTGATATTCACATGACTTTCTCACTTCCTTTAGGGCTCTACGAAGTTGTTCCCCTTTATTACTGAGAGACTTTGTGTCACTATACTATTTAAAATGGCACAATCAACATCTCTACCCTGAAATTTGTTATTTCCTTATCTAGCTTTATTATCTTCTAGTATATATCATGCATTAAGACACCATTTATTCACTTATGTAGCTTAGTCACATATTTATTTACATTTAGCAGAATGTAAGGTCCATGAGAAAACGAACTATGCCTTGTTTATATGCTGTATCTCCAGCATTGAGAACAATTCCAGGCACAAAGTGTCTGTTGAATGAATGAATAAAAGAATGTCTTCTCTGTGTTCTTCTACCTAAGTATTAATTCTTCTCTTTCCTTCTTGTAAAGATAGCCTAGTATGAAAATTAAAAGCACAGACTCTAGTGCCAGATAGCTTGGATTAAATCCCAGCTTTGCCCTGAAAATATCTTTATTGATAACAGTTACAATGATAAATGAGATGAAGAAGATTTACTTGTCTTGAGAGAGGCATGAAGACAGCTGAATCTCTTCTACCTAATTCTACAGAAACAGAGGGTCTATCATGAGTCATGAATAGACCTTGGGTTCTACTCTCAGCTCTGCCACATGCTAGCTGGCAAAACTTGGTCAGATTACTTGACTTCTCATGCCTTAATTTTTTCATCTTTCAAACAGTGCTCCACTCATACTACCTGTGAGAGAATGTGTTAAAACACTTAGCACAATGCTAAAGCATGAATTAGTGCTTGGTGAATGTTAGGAGTTATTGGGATACATAGTAAGTGCTCAGCAAAAGTTAAATGTTATCATGCAGTCTCTTCTGACCACTCTAGTATTTTTCCATGCTCTTCTTATGATTTATATCTGATCCACACTTTAGCTGTATTGATCTCTGTGTGTGTGTGGTGTGTAATATTTTCTCAACTAGATTAAATTCCTTAAAAGCTCATACTTTTGACCTTCAGAGGGCACAGCCTAACATTGAGCACATAATCCTCTTAGCTTATGGTGAATGTTTGGAATAGGGCATCCTGTCCTCCCTGGTCTGTTATTTTCTCTGTTCTTTTCATTTTAAGGAAAGGAATCTCTCTTAAAACACACTCATCCTCTTCCCTTATCTCTCAGAGACAGGCTCTGTGCATATATGGGGCTCCAGTTATGTCAAATGTCTGCCTCTTGCTTGCTGATACCTTACATGAGGAAGTACCTAATCCACCTATTGATTTCTTCTTGACTCAGGACCCATCTAAATGGCTCTGGAGTAAACAGCTTATTTCTTTTTGGATGGAGGAATGTCACTACAACCTTGCGTGAAGCCTGACCTCTTTCTTCCTTGATTTTTCCATCTATAAAATCGAGATTATAAAAGACTCTAGGTAAATTTATAGGAAGCCTGGGAAAATTTCTACCAATACTTCTGTCTGTGGCATCATGTGAAAGAGAGTCTAATTCTCAATATTAGAAAATTGGAGCATTGCTGCCAGTCTACTTCAGTGGTTGCTTTCACTTCTGGTTTAGTTTGCTTGAAATATATCAATAACTGGAGATTTCCAGGTGGAAATCCCATAGAATTTCAGGCCAAAAACTATTTTTTGGGAGGTCAGGTGCTTGAGAAAATTCTGTTTCTTAATATCTCTGCTCAAATGTCACATCTTTAGGCAGCCCTCCCTGACCTTACAATTAAGGACACTTTCCCCATTACACACACTCACAGAGCCCTGTAGCTTTACTTCAAAGTCCTTATCAGAGTTTGGAAATAGTTATTGATCTGTGTGGTTATCTGGTTAATGTCTGTTTTCCCCGCTACACTGCAAGATCCCCAAGGCCAGGAATGACTTTGCTCAACAGTGTCTGGTACACAGTAGTAACTCATGAAAGTTTTCTTCAATAGCGAATCAATGAAGAGAAATGCTCTGTTGGTGAGGAAATAGAAAAGAACCTGATTCTTTTCAAACCAGGAAAGGCCTGATGGTTTTACTCTGTGCTTCCTTGGAAGGCCTGTCTTCTCATTTTTAATCAGGAAGACAGGCTGGCAAATAACTATCGAATGCAGCTGGTCTGAAACTCACGGAAACAACGTCTTGCTGACACATGTCTGTAGGCTCTTGGTAATGCCTAAGTCCATGCATTAAACCTCATAAATAGTGTCTGATGAGAAAAGTAGTGATTTGGATCAAAATGGGAGAGGAGTCAGAGGGCAGTTCCAGAACGTGATGGAAATCATGTAGCTCTTCCTTTAGGACTGCTGAGTCTAGATGGGCTGCAATGTGGGTCATTACTAAAAAAAAAAAAATTTCACTGTTGGGCAATCATAAACATCCATGGTGTCCAGAGAAACAGGCGTCTCTTTTTCTCATTGAGTCCCTTTTAGTCTTTGCAAATTCTGGGAGTCGCATCTCACACATATCCGACTCCTTTTCTTTTCTTACATACTTTCGATTAGTCAGCTTCTTCCAGGGGCCCAGCACTTTTCTGGATAGCTCCAAGCCCCCTTGAGGCTCTGAGTGTTTCCTCACTTGATTTTCAAGGACCCCTAGAGGCCTCGAATGAGTGCGGCTGTGGCAACTTCAATTTCCTTAGAGTGGAGAAACTTTAAGACCCAAAAGCCTCCCTTTTGCTGATTTAGACTCTGTTTATAACATAATTTTGGTGAAATATTCTGCAAGCAAATCTTTCTCTTTGTTCTTCCTACCAGCTGGAGGATATGTACATAGAGTACCATTTCCCAAGTCATGTGTTACGGAACATCAGTTTCAGGAGGTATTTACTTACTCACTCACCAATATGCATTTAGTTAATATCTACCATGTGGCAGATACTGTGCTATTTGGAAATAAAAGGCTAGGAAAAAAAACAAATCTGGGCCCTGCCTTCAGGGAACTCAGTGTCTAGTCAGGAGACAACTATTACTATAGTAATCAAGTAAGTATAAAATTTAAATGTGAGATAACTTTCATAAGAGAAAAGTTTACATACAGTGCTATGAAAGCATATAGTCAATAATAGGAGTTGGGAAGTTTTTTCTGCAGAGGACCAGACAGTTAATATTTTTGGCTTTGCAAGCCAAATGGTCTGGTCCAACTACAAAACTCTGCTGTTGTAGTGTGTCAAAGTAGTTCATGGACAACATGTAAACAAATGATCGTGGTTATGTTCCAATAAAACTTTATAGATACTGAAATTTGAATCTTGTGTAATTTTTACATGTTACAAAATTTTTCATTTGATTTTTTTTCAACCGCTTAAAGATGCAGAAACCATTCTTAGCTTGTGGGCTATGCAAAACAGGCAGCTGGATGGATGAGGCCCCTGGGCCATAGTTTGTTAATCTTTGTTCTAGGGGGCTAAGGAAGGGCTTTCCTGAGGAAGAGGTGTTTGATATGAGATCTGAATGTGAGTGGGAGAACTGAGTAGTGTGGGGACAGTGGTGGTGGGGGGAGAACTGGGTAGGGTGGGGACAGTGGTGGGTGGGAGAACTGGGTAGGGTGTGGGGACAGTGGTGGTGGGGGGAGAACTGGGTAGGGTGTGGGGACAGTGGTGGTGGGGGGAGAACTGGGTAGGGTGGGGACAGTAGTGCTGATGATACCATGAACCCCACAAATATCTACACTTACTATGTACCCCCCAAAATTAAAAATAAATAAAACAGAAAAACAAGAAAAAAGGACCACTCTAGTATGTTAACATCATGTTGCAAATAAAAGGGAATCTTTGGTGATATAAGGAAAACAACAACACTTTAAACATTCTGAGAAATTCCTGTAGCAGAAGAAATAGATTTTGCTTAAATCAATGTTTCCTAAACCGATTTGTCCAATAAAATCATTGTTAGGCTGAAGACCTACTAACATGGAGGGAACACATTTTTGGAAATGCACGTCTAGGGAGTTTTTGGCTGTAAAAGAATTCCAGAATATACTTCACACTTCTGTTCCAGAAATTTAGCCATGAAAATGACCCTAGTTCATGTAGCATTTTCATGTGGGTATTTCTGAGAATTTGTGTCTCTTTATTGAGGGATCTTTTAGGCTAGAATTTGACACCACTGTTTTTGCAGTAGCTTATGTGTGGACTTGCCCCGGGGGCAAGGGGACAAACTGAATGGCTCTCAGAGGACCCCATCTGGCATTTAATGATGCCATTATGGTTGTAAGAGAATTGAATGTATTTTACCAAATGCTCCGTGGGGAAAATAATAACAGCAAATATTTAGCTGATGATGACATACAGCTCCTCTGGAGAGCTGTGAGAACCTATTGATTCTCACTTCATAAAATGCTTATTTGAAAACTCTAATATCTGTGAGAGTTTTCCATGTGCTGTTCCACTAATGTGGTTTTTCCCAGAGCACCCAAGTAAAAAGTGGAAAATATTTTGTCCTACGTCTCCATATCCCCAAATATCTAGAAGTTTTGAGTTGATTAGACTAGATGTTTGGATAGTAGGTTGAATTTTCCACCATTTGTCCAGTTATTTTGGCTCTAAGTGTTCCAGCATAAATGTGTACATGAATTATTTGTTGTCATGTTTTTAATGCAGGGCAGTGTCCTCCATCTCATTCTTTTAAAACCTCTCTTTTACAATGGTCAGAGAAAAATGTGATAAGCACTTTTTGATTAGCACTTTTCAAACTATGCTTACCTCTGGGTCTGGGATTACTTTTTTGTGGCAGGCACACATTGAGATGCAGAGCATATTGGGATAAGTCTTAGGAGGATGCTTGTCTAGGAAGTCAGTTGACATACCATGAGATGAAAAACTTAAGAGAAATGTTCATGGCTAGAGCCAAGTAACTGCGTTTCCTCTGTTTTCTGTCTCAGTGTCTTTCTCTTTTGTCTGTCTCTTTTTAGTTGTCACGCCTCAGCCTTGGATCAAAACAAGAGAGAAATAAATACACGATTAGAGTCTTTGCTCCTTTGTACAGTGCTGTTGCTGAGGTAGATAAATGATCTGGGTGTTTCTGTGGTATTTTTCCATTATACTTGTAGAGGAAGCAGTGTTTATTATACATCAGAATCATTTGCTGTAAATGGTGTATTTACCTCAGTTCCTTTAGTTGAGCTTAAATTCTCAGTTAGCCTCCATGTAAATCTTGCTTAAAACCATACAACATTAAAGCTGAAGGGGTCTTACCAGTGGTCAGGCTGGGATTTCTCATTTCAGAAGAGGAAACTGAGATACTGAGGTAATGGCAGAGTCCAGGCTGACTCCTATCCTGACTTCTACTCTGTGTCTCTTTCTGGTCCAGCTTCTGTTTGATACCCAGTAGCAGCAATTCTCTGACATATGATTGATCTCCTCTTTCAATTTAATGTAGGCAGTGACCCTATAATACTTAATCTTGAGAAGTAAGAGGGTCTACCTTTCAACAGAATAAAACAAGGATGTCTTCCTTCCATATAGAAGGATAAATGTGTCTGTTTTTATGGGAAGCAGAAACAGGACATGCCATTTGACTAAGTGGAGAGAAGAGGGTGTGGGTGGGGATGGGGAGTATTTTATAACAGCCAGATATATAGAGTCTCATAAACAAACTGAGCACAAGTAATAAAGGAACTGCTCTTGTTCCCCACATATACATGGCCGGAGGGAAGGGTAACCAGTAAGGGATTTATGTGGACTGGTTACTGAGCTTCTTTATGGGCTTCTTTATGGGGCATCTGTCTGTGTAAGGCAAAGCAGCAGCAGGTGGGATTAAGACAGTTGGAAAGAAACAGCTGAGTTTGAGCTCTTTAGTTTTTAAAATTTTAATCTGAGAAGAGGGTAAAGCACTTATTTTCTATGAGCTTTTGCTCATGGAATCAGCTTTAGTTTGAGGGAGTTGGTGCTCATTGATCACAAAGCATGTGGAAGCATAGTTTCATATGGCTCTGTGGCAGAAACTTTAGGTGTGGGATGGGTAAAACAACCCCTGTCTCCAGATTGTTTAAATTGACTGGCAATTATAGAACATGGACCTATGTGTAGGGTTGCCAGATGAAATACAGGTAAATTCAAATTTCAGATAAACAGTAAATAATTTTTAGTATAAGCATGTTTCAAATATTGCATAGGGCATGTTAGGGGTTCTGTATTTTTATTTACTCATGGATGGGTACCTGGAAGCTTATCATAAGGCCCAAAGACTTTATTGGGATCAGAACTAGAATGAATCTTTGAGATCATTCCAATCCCTCTATCTCAGATAAAAGAACTTGGGTTTAAAGAAGATAAGTGAGTTGCCCTGGTTCACACAGCTGGCAATGGCTGAGCTTGGCCTTCAGCCCATTTTTTATCTAATTCTTATCTAATTCTTGGTATAATGCAGCACACTGATTTCATTGGTAGATGAGCACCATGGACTGGTATGTTTGAGAAAGCTCCAGGAGGGAAGTGGGACTTCAGTAGAATTTTGAATGGAAGTGGAATGGTTGGGGAAGGCATTCCAGTGGAAGACAAGCATAAGCAAAGGGGCAAAGGCGAGACTGAATTTTTTGTTCAAGGAAGGAAGGAATGAAAAAGATGTTACTGTGGAACATAGATCAGTCATTGGACCAATGGATTCATGCCAAGAGAAATAAAAGAAGGGAATATTGAAGAGATAGTTTAGATAGGAGTTAGATTTTGTAGCACCTTTACAAGTTTTAAAGATTTCAACTTCATTTAGAATGGCATAGAAAGGAGATGTGAAAGGTTTTTGCATGGACAAGTCAGTTCTATGTCAGTGACCAAAACAATTTTGAAAGACAGAGAGAGAGAGATGTTTCAAGAATTTGAATAATTTTTCTTTATAGTCTCTAGGGTTACTTTACCACTCAGCTAAGATGATCACTGGCACATTCTTCACTTCTTCTAGTGAGGAAGAATAGCGATATCTCAATTTCCTTTAGAAAATGAACTAATGGTGGGGCCAGTGGGAATTTCCCTACTTTGATTATAATCACAATTCTGGTGTGGGTGGCTACAAGTGAAGACTTCTGCCCATGTGGTATGTGTGTGTGTCTGTGTGTGCACCGAGTAAAATAACCACCTGAAGCATGATCCAAGGAACATGTATAAATCCTTTACATGAAAGAATTATTTGACTTCAGTGCCAAAGGAGTAACTTGATGATTAGTCTGATGAATAAGTGTGATCACACCTGAAATTCTTGGAGTAAGGATATTGATGAGGAGAAATTAGAGTTAATGGATAAGGTTTGAGAGGTCCATTGGTAGGACCCATATAAAAAAGCCAGTAACTCTTGGGCAAGACAGGTCAACTTAGTGGCTAAGAAATAGGCCCTCTGCACTTGTAGCTGGCAGTTCATTAAACTTGTGAGAGTAGGAGGATCTCTAGAAAAAAGTCAAACTAATATCCTTTCTGACCCAGTCCCTAAAGGATCCAAGGCTAGTCAACCTTTAGGGCTAGCATGAGGAGTAGACTGACCTGAGGAACAGGGAAAAGCCCCCTTTTAACGTACCCTCAAATGTCTCCCTGAAGACTGGCTGAAGGGATAAAAATTATTTGGATGAGATAAGCATTGATTATTTTATCAAAGTTAAAAGACTTGATAATGACAGATATGTCTAGGAGATATGACTAAGAAGTATGAATTGTCACAGAAGTTTAAGCAGAGATGGCAGATCCTTGCTTGTCTGGGAAGAGAACGTTGGACTCGGTATCTGGCAATGGAGCAGGGGGTGCCGGTGAAGATCAGTGGGACCTGGGCATGAAGTCTGGAACTGCCAAGTCTGATAACATCACAATTTTCCTGTTGTGGACTCTGTTTCCATCATTGTCATGTGGTAATCAAGCAGTACATGTTATCTATTTCAAATTCTGTTCAACTCTACAGAAACTATGCTCAGTAGTTAAATTTTGCATGGCCAAATAAACTGCATTCTCTGTGGAAGAGTCCTGTAGGTATGGGGTGGTGAAGGCAGAGGCCCTACTGGGAACTAGGGATGTGAAGGGGTTCACACAATGAACAAATTGCAGCTGATGCTCTACTCTAGAAAATAGGTGCCTTTTCTTAATGTTAGTGCTGATACTAAAGGATAAACATAAGATACCCCATTGCTGAGAAATGTCCCAAATTGAACTCCTGAGATTTGGCATCTGCACGTAATTACTTAGGGCACATAATTCTTTTATGGGTGCTCACTTAGTAAAGCATTTACATTTACATTCACAGCTCATTAGGTTGCTTGTGAATTTGATTTGAACATTTTAAGTGGGATTGTTTTTAATCTGTGGAGGCACCATAAACCCACAGTCACGCTCAACTGCTGCAGACTGTTAGAAGGAAAAACATAACTAGTTTGTTTTGCTTCCTGGGAGGAGTTTTATAAGGTGAGGGTGGACCCGAACATAGATAATATAAGGGGAATGTTTTTCCTTTTATCTTTGTAAGCCCAAGGCTTATGGAGCTATTGTGATCAAAAGTAAAGTTACTTGAAACTCTGATGGAGAAAGAACAAAATTAAATGTGACTTTTGAATTGTTATAAAAAATCATAAAATAGCAGATCTTTCAACCAGATGTTTAATTTTAAAATAGTAAACACTGCAGACTTTCTAGAGACTGTCAATGGTTTGAAAAACCAATTCAGTCTCTTCCCTTGGGCTCTTGCACCGCTTGGTAATGAGCACTGTTGGTCTTTAGCAAGGCAGTCGCTACGAGCAGTACATTCGGAAGTGTACCATCTAATGAATTTTTTTTTTGTAGGAAAACAGAATACATTTGCAATTTACTCATGGTGTCAGGTGTTCTTTAGCTGTGCACTTTGGGGTTTGAGTTAAGTGCCTGCAGTTTTCCTTTTTCATGGGAAAACTACAAAATAAAAGATTTCCTGTTGTTCCATGTTTGATGAAGGCAGCTCTTCTCTGAGTGTCTGCAGGTACATTTGATTTCAAATTCAAGTGTAATCTTAAGGAGACTTTCCCTGCCTTGATACTTTAGTGTGGGTCTTGGTACTATGGCCTGTACATGGAACAGATGTAAATTGTGCTCTGATTTTCAACATATGGTAGAAAAGACCAGTTAATCCCATGCAATTTTGGAAATTATTTGTTAGATTTGATTAGTGCCTGTGTGGATAATCAGATGGGGTTGTGGGGGTGGAGTATGGAGACAAATGCTCTCCAGAGCTTCTTATCTCAAAACTGTACTTTTCCAACAATTTTAACTAAGGTAACTTACTGATATCATGATCATTAAGAAAGTGACAAAAAGGCATTGGAAAAAGCAGTGTTAACACAAAGGTCCGCCTGCTTTTTACTGGACTGAAACATCAGAGGTCAGACCATGCAACTTGGAGAGAAGAAGTAAAACATGAAGTGCCTTTTGCTGTCCTCTTTCCCCACCAGCCCTAGTGCAGGCCCCAGCCTCCGTCCAGGCCTGCCCTATGGAGAGTCCTCAGCTGTGTTGCTCTCACGCTCCCCCTCTCATTTTGCCGGTCATTCCTTTGCCTCCTGTGTCTCCACGTAATCCTCTGATAATTCTGTTTTTTAGCCTTTCCACCTTGGGAACTCTCTCAGGCAGCCCTTGTGATTTCCTCCCTGTGGGAGTAGCTACTGTCCAGCCATCCTGTGGAAGACTAGAGGTGTCCACAGGCTTTGGAACTTCCAAGAACGCTATCAAGAGATCACAGCTGAGATGTGTCCCCATTTATTGCAGGTCATTTTTCCCCCTACAAATGCAGCTACTTCAATACGGGATTTTTAATGTTAGAGACCTCCAAGTTTCTGGAAACATTAAAGTTACAATTCCTATTTCAGTTAGACTCTAAATTGTAGAAATTAACCATCTTCTAAGGGACATGTGGAAGGAACGCGTGAGTTTAGCTGCAGCTAATGGTGGACTTCACACCATACACTGCGCTACTCTACGGGGTGCATTCCCAAGACTCACTGTTTATTTCTCTTTTTTGTTGAAACATGAGTCTCACCATATTGCCCAGGCTGGTCTCAAACTCCTGGCCTCAAGTGATCCTCTTGTCTTGGCCTCCCAAAGTGCTGGGATTACAGGCATGAGCTGCTGTGTCTGGACAAAACTCAGTTGTTAATGGTGCCCCTTGGAGCTGTATTATGTGGCAGTCCTAGGAGTCTTGGCAGGTGAATTTGCTAAATGTCTCATTTAATAAATGCTGAGCATTTTGAGGGCAGGCCCCATATTTCTCATAAGGTTTAGCATAATACCTTGCATAAAGCATATGTTTATTAACTGTTGATTGAAAGAATGAATTTGGATCTGTTTCAGGCAGGAAAAGTACAATAAAGAAAAGAATACATAAAGGCAAAGGAGGATGGCAATTGTGCTTTGTTTTTTTCCTACACAGCATTTGGAACCAGAAGACCTAGATTCAAACCACAGCTCTAATATTTACTAGTTGTGTGCCCTCTTTGAGCCTGAATTTCCTTAATTGTCAAATAAATATAATAACAACTGAGCTTCTTCCCTCAGAGGGTGGTTGTGAGACTCAAATGACATAATAATTGTGTAATAATTGCCTTAGGAGGGTACTTTTCCAGCTCAAAATGACCCCCTTGACTGTTGGCCCTAGCTCCCCATTCTAGGAATGAGTCTCTGAGTCAATTTGTATAATGTGACCCAACACCTACTTGAAAATAAGGGATTGGATCAGTGTTGAGTGCTTGACCCAAGCTGGACCACACAGTATCCCTGACCTGCAAATTTGGAAATGCACCTGACACAGTCAGTCTCCCTTGTCTGAAATTGTAACCGGGGAACTTATGACTTGAAGACAGCCATCTTCTCCCAGCCACGTTAACAACTGAGTAGCAGAAAATATTGGCCTTCTAAAAAATAAGAAACACATATGTAAAAAGAACCAGAAAGTAAAAATGATGAACAACTGTTCTCTGGGTTACAGAGACCCTGCTGCATCTTTGCCTTGACACTCTTGTATCCTTACAATAAATTTCCATTTTATGCCTAAGTCAACTCAAGTTGGTTTTTGCTTTTCTGTTCAATCAAAGCATTAAAGGATTTTTGTGATGCATTTTCTAATATAATAATTTTCCCCCATAGATATAAGTACAGCCTGAGAGCACTTCTGCTTCACAGGAGAAGATCTCTGTCTTTTAAAATTAATAAGAAATAATGGTCCTTTTCTGACAGTTTTGATCCAAAGCCTACAATTTCTACCTATGCCACTGTCTTTTAAAATTCTCTCTTAAGGTAACCAGCATCCGAAACCCCAGCTGCTGTCTCCATGGTGATCAGGATACCCCCTGTGGTAAGTACCTTGTGAGGGCCACACAATATCCATGGCCGCAGATGTATGTGATATGCTGAATTATTGGCATGGGGAAGTGTCAGGAAGCAAGGCCACTGAGGCTTCTTTTTATGCAATTAATGATGTTCATTTCTGCCTATCTTTTGCCCATGCAGCAGAGCAAGGTGCAGAAAGCCACTACAGAAAATTAGCCATAATTTAGGTAATATCTCAAATGCCCCGTCAGTTACTTGATTATGTGATTGAAAGGAACATTTCATTTGGAGATTTGCAATTTTCTGGTGCTACTGGCATTACACAATTACGTTTCCTGTCATTTATCACATTGTGGAATACCAAGACAAATTCCTCTCTCCTTACATTTATCATACTACTGGGGCATATAGAGACAGATTTAGCCAATTGCTTTATACCAATTGATGCCCCCCGTTAGCTGGGGACATTCAGCAGCTTTTCTGTTTGAAGATCTCTTGAACATATTCTGCACTGAGAGGATTGTTTCCCCAATTACTTCGAAATTGAGATTTTCCCCTTAACCACAGCATTGCCTTCCAAAAGGAGGAGCTGAGGCCTATCCGCCTTTTGCGGCAGGTGTGCCGTGTGAACAGAGAATGACAATGTTGCAAAGGGACTTCCTTCTCCTTGGGAATCTGGGAGCAACAGTGCCAAAATGGGGCATTCAGGCATAAGGGTAGATGAGAGCTTTCAAAATGTTTGAGTCCTGACTTGCCATGGTCAGATTTAAAGCTGTGAAAAAACAGCATTTAAACAAAAGTAACTTAAATATTTAATTTAGAAAGCAGGTAAAGAGCTTGTGGGGCCTTACACACATGAAATTCTCTGCAGGCAGTTAGGTTCCCTTTCACTCATGGACTAACCTAGATTTTCCTTTCCTCTATAAAGATGGTATTGGAGATAATTCCATCCCTGACCCTTGATATAACTGAGGTTTTCAAGTAGTTTGTAAGTAGCTGGTTCCTGCATCAGAAGCTTGTGTTTGCCAAGAATATGCACATTCCTGAGCCCCAGCCTAAGCTTTGGAACCAAAGTACCTGGGGCCTGAGGAATCTGCATTTCAAACAAGTGCTAGGGGTAGTTTTGATAGGCACACTAAACCAGTTGTTTGCATCCCTGGATGCTCATTAGAATAACTCAGAGAGATTTGGAAGCTTCTAATACTCTGGCTGCACCTCAGACCCATTAAATCAGGGCCCTTGAGACTTAGGTGTCAGATGCTTTTACAGCTCAAGCTCTCCAGGCGACTGCAGTGTGCAGCCAAGATTGAGCACCCGTCACTGAACTGTGGGAGAATCACTACAAGGAAGCAGAACTCCTGGATGTCAGTACTCCCTTAGAAGATTCCAGGATGTGTGCCTTAAGGCCAGTTGGCAATTGCCTCAGAGTCTTCAGTGAAACAGGGGCCAGGGTAAATCTTAACTCTCTGAGGACTTGGGGTTGCCTGTTGCTTTAAGGTCTCTTTAATATTAAGATCTCTGTTTCTAATCAAGCCAGGTTCAGGCTTTAACCCCCTGTGGGACCTAGTTTTCCCTGACCCTGACCAGGCCTCAGGAAGGAGACTCAGAGGGTGCAGGAATCAGTGAACCATCCCCTTTCTTCCCACAGTCGCCCTATCACATTATCCGTTTTGGTGTTTAGACATTTATTAGGATCTGAGTTGATCTTATTTGCTTATTTATCTGGGTATTATCTCTCTCCCTTCTATAGCATAAGCTTGATGAGGGTAGGAGTTGTGTATGCCTTCTGCCCAGAATAGTGCGTGGCACGTAGTTGATACTCAACTGATGTTTGTTGAATGAACACAAATACTGAAAAAATAATTTAGATTATGGACCTTACAAGTATGAGGTAAGCAGCTAAAGGACACAAGAGTTCTGCCTGGAATTTGATCTGGGCAAGGAAATTAGCTTGGCTTTTACATAAGTTGATCAATACCATCCTCTTCCTTAGCTGCCACGATTCTCTTCTGCTGTTTCCCATGTAGTCAATAAGATGACTTGAAGATTTACCTTCAGAAGAGCGCTGCTTATTAATTAAGGCCTGCTACTTGATTCTCTTGGGCCTATCTTGAATCCATTGAGATCTAGGTCATAGGAGTCAGGGCTTGCACTCAGAGTCAACTTCTCTTCCTCCTGGAACTCAAGATCATGTGTTTGCTCTGGGGTTTTAAGAGTCATGGAGCAAATTTAAGCATGCAGCAGTAAGGGCAGAGATCTAATTCTACTTTTGTTTCCAGAAAACAACTGGGCTCACAAAAGATCAACAACTGTCCAAAAAGTCTCTCTGGCTTAATGCTGAAGGGCCTCAAATGTGAGCCATGTAAGAACAGCTGATATTTAATTTATAGGACTTGATTGCTTTTAAAACAGGTATTAATGTATTGCAAAGCTAAGTAAACTGTCACTTGAGACTTCAGTGAACAAGCTCCATTTAAAGAATAGCGGTCATTTTTGCCATAAAGTTGTAGTAAATTGCTTTAGGGAAGAGCTGTAAAATATCCTGTCTTTCTAAGGACCTTTGTATTCACAGAGGATGTTGGGAACCTGTGACAGGTGGGGACGAGGAGGAGGCCAGGACATGGTGTACAGGGTCTAGGGGACCCACTGGGCTATAGAAGTGGCCCCAAAGAAAGAGGCTGCTGGTCAAAATCATAATGTCTAAATCGGTAGCACACCAAGACTGATCTGGGCCCTTGTGAAAATCAGAGGCCTGATTTGGGGTTGGGGAGTACTGTGGCATCACTGGTAATATTTGTGGTCTGATGACTGCTGCTCCAATTTCTTGAGCAGATGGGGCTACTCAGGACCAAGTTTTTGAGAGTTGGAGAAGAAGCCAAGACAATGAGCGTCAGGGCAGGGGTGATGGTAAGGAGAGACTGTAGCTCTGTAACCATGCAACTCTCCTATACCTAGGGCTGTTTGGGCTTAGGAACGTAGAGGAATTCTACACTACCTCTGCTGGTGAGGCAAGGACACCTCTGTTATTGCCAGGCTGTCTTCTCAGTAGCCTAAGAGTAAGGGCATTTGAACCTTCTAGCAGCAGGATATCTGTATCTCAAGCAGAGATAAGTCAGGATGGATGACTGCTGCTGTGTGCCATTCTAAATCTGAGAGTCCTTTCATGATCACATTGGTGTACCCCTAAGGCCCATGGCACTGGTGCAGAGTCTGAAGATCTAAGATTTTTATGGAGACATCTGGGGGGATGACATTGGACAAGCAGATGACTTCCCTGAGCCTCAGAATTTTTTTCAATGAAGTTGATCTTGGGTTAGGAGGAAAGTCAGTTCCTACAATATTCAAAATATATGTTAAATAAAGACAAATTATTATCTTTTTTATTGTTGCCATTGCCTTTAGGTACTTTGCTATGTTAAAATATGATTTAAATGTGGGCCGGATGCAGTGGCTCATGCCTGTAATTCCAGCACTTTGGGAGGCTGAGGCAGGCAGATCACGTGAGGTCGGGAGTTCGAGACCAGCCTGACCAACATGGAGGAACCCTGTCTCTACTAAAAATACAAAATGGGACAGGTGTGGTGGCGCATGCCCGTAATCCAAGCTACTCGGGAGGCTGAGGCAGGAGAATCACTTGAACCCCGGAGGCGGAGGCGGTGAGCCGAGATCATGCCATTGCACTCCAGCCTGGGGAACAAGAGTGAAACTCCTTCTCAGAAAAAAAAAAAAAAAAGTGAATGCTTTGCTCAGTGTTGTACATTTCTGTGCCTCCTCTTTTTATCTCCAGTTAGCCACATTCTATGTTTTCAGGCCTGGGTCAAACCAGAATGCCAAATGAAGATCTCAGGACAAGCACGTAATTGTTGATATCTGCTCTTAGGACTTGTCCAGTCTCTGATCAGTCATTTGCCTTTTTATTCATTCAGTAAACTCTTACTATGTCTCAATTACTGTGCTAGACATTGGACATGTAGAGATGAAAGACAGTGCTTACCATCAAACAGCTTGCAAGATTGTATGCAGTATGTTGGGGGGAGTTGGGAGAGTTTAAAAAATTATTCTTTTAGATATTTGTTTGGAATTGATTCTACAGAATAATAGCAAGTCTTATACATTTCCAAGTCTTCTCATATAAATGATCTCATTTAATTTTCTCATCACTGAACACATCTAAGAGGAAGATACTAGGAGCTGTATTTACACGTGGTGGAAATGAAGGCTCACAAATATAAAGTGAATTGCTCAAGGTTACATAGTTAGTGAGTGGTAGGGTGAGGAATCACACTCTGGACTCCTAATTCCAGGTATGATGCACTTGTAGCACATGGTGGCAGCCCCAGGGCTCAGCTGTCAAATGCAACCATCTACACACACACACACACACACACACACACACACACACACACACACACACACACACACACACACAGAGTCTTAAAGTTACTGATGTGAATATTTAATGGGTGACCATTACTGAGGGTTGAGTGGAGAAGTTGTTAGCAAAACATTCTGCACATTTTGCCAGCCAGCATTCTAAGAGATCCTTTCTGGAGCTGAGGATAACAGATCTGGGTTTCTATTCCCTGCTGAGAGGGGCATCCAGTGGCAGCAGCTGGGGCTGGTCCAGTGCTCAGTCTGGCTTCCTGGCCAGGGGATACGGGAGTCAAGGTCTTCAGCAACAGATCTTAGAACTGTTGCCAGAAGTGAAGTATGAACTTCCTCTCTCTGAAGAATATTGCCTGCCAGGGAGGTAAAAGTAATTACTTGTCCTTGCTAATTGAATTCTGAACTTTAAAGTAGAGGTTCTGACTTAGGTTAACATGACACGGGCCAATTTAAAATTTTAACTTAAAGGAAAAAAATGGCAATGAACCTTAGTACTTGGAATGTGGCAGATTGAGTTTCTCAGGGCTGGAGCCAATTTTCACAACTTCTGCAGGTGCTGGCCTCCTGCAGAAGTCTTCAGCATGCCCTGCTTGTAACCTTGGCTAATGCAAAAGAGTTACCTGACTGAAAAGCAGGAAATTATTTCAGTCAATTTCATTCCATAGGCTTTTTCTCCCTGAACTTCTCGTGCTTAGTTTAAAGTGGTTTTTATTTTTTTTATTTACTATCTTTGGATACCAATTTTAATAGGTAAAATCCATGGATTGCTTACTATTTGTTGGGGGCAGTTCTAAAAAAAGAAGTGTATAGGCACTATTTTCACCATTGAGCAGCTGAGTTATCTGAGGCACAGAGAGGTTAAGTAATTTGCCCAAAGCCACAGATAGGAAGGTGGCAGGGCCAGGATTTGGACTCACGCAATCTGGCTCTGGAGTGTTCATGTTGAGCCTCTCAGGGTATGCCCAGTTTGGAGATACCATGTGACCTCTCCTACCAAGGATGTGCAGTTTAAACCAGTTGGCCTGGGCCAGTCTGGACTCCAGTTTTTTGAAAGCTTAATGATGAGAGGCTGGAAAGTGCCTGGCCTGACTTTGGCAGGTAACCTCCTAGTCTGGGAATCACACGTCCTGCCCAGGATGTCCTTTAAGATATAACCCAGAAATAACCATCTTTGGGAAGGAATTGGTATCAGACTTATGTGTGATTGTCTCACAGGTATTTTAATCAACTTACTGTTGCTTTTGTCTCATATGTCTTGGTGGAGGTAGGAAGGCCCAGGGGAAGATTGGACTTCCTGCTAATTTAGAAACTGGAATTCCAGAATATTTTCTATGATTGATGTAAGGATGATGCTGTTTATTTCCCAAGCTAACAATAAGTAGACATGCTGGGCACATAAGTCTTTCTCTTATTGGAGTAATTTGGGCGTGGCAGAAGTAGACTGATACAGGTGGCATAGTCACCAAGTTGGAATTCACTGGCAATTGTAGGAATTGCTGTGACTTAGTTTGCATGAAACCTGCTGTCAGAGGGTTAAGAATCTTGGAGTGAAGAATACTTCTTGCAACAAGAGAGTTTCTCTGTGAAAATACTCTCTCTCTCTCTCTCTCTTTTTTTTTTTTCAGATGAAGTCTTGCTCTGTCGCCCAGACTAGATTGCAGTGATGTGTTCTCGGCTCACTGCAACCTCCGCTACCTGGGTTTAAGCGACTCTCCTGCCTCAGCTTCCAGAGTAGCTGGGACTACAGGTGAAAATACACTCTTCAGGAGGAATTATTTTTTGGTACTACCTTACCTTTTGATAACATTTAAAACATTATTATCATTATTATTTTAAAAAATGAACCTTGGTTGTAAAGCTCTGAGTGAGTGCTCGTTGTTGCCAGTTGAGGGAAGCATTTGGGAAAGCAAATAATTAATTTCTTGGGGCTTCTATTTCCTATCTGTAAAATGGTGGTAATAATATCCACCTCATGAATTATTGGAGTGTTCAACTGCAGTCTGATCTTCAACTGAAAAACATCTTTCTCCACAATTAGAATATTGCAACATTTTCATCCTAGACGGAAAGAAGCCTTTGTCATTTGATTTCATTTGCAACATCTCCATGCTCTTAGGTACTGTCTCTTTACCCAGACAATCCAAACTGGTTTAGTTAGACATAAAGATGTCTCTGAAGGCCATGGGACCATTAATGCAAAGGCTTAATTAAATGACAAGTTCAATTCCAACATTACTGATTTACTTGCTGTGGGAAAAGTGCCAAACCTAGAGTCAGTTTAATTGAACTTAAGTGATACCCCGTTTATTCACCACCTACCAAACGGCACTCTGTGTGTGTGTATGCATGCACACACACATGCACACACGTGCACATGCATGCATAAGTATACATACTGTAAAAATGATACAAATACAGCATATCAATACATACATAGATCAACTGAGAGCATAATTTTCGTGCATGCTTCTAGAACTTTATACCACTGTTTCCACCTCAAACTGTGGGTGGCAGCAGAGACTTGGGAAGTATCTTCTGTGCAACTCAGATGACTTTCCGGGGCTACTAATGGCAAGGAAATGATAGCACTAAGTGATGAGAAAGTTGGATCTTCATTTTTGAACTACAATTGACATTCCTTTATCATTTCCCATCTCATTCTTGTGGTCAAAGATGGTAAAAGATGCCTGTGATCTGGGACCCTCACTGACATGTTGTCTTTTAAACAGGCTTTTCATTATTTTAGGCCGATTACTTTCTCTCTTATTGGAGATTGCAGGCACTCCTAAGAAATCCTTTTTTTTGGCTGATGCTGCTGTCTTGCATACATCTGACCAGTGTGGCTTTCGGCTTCCTTTGGACCCCAAAGTGCTTCCTAAAGCTAATGGTGGACTATTATATTGAACTTGGCCTAACCCTTCAGTCTTTTGTGCACAGGTCTATCCTCCTGACACGGGCAATGGCCAAGGTTGTCCCAGCTCAGAGGATCAGTGAACTCCTGTGACTTTGTTTCCTCCTGAGAAGGACAGGCACACCAGCCTTTGACTTGGCCTCTAGTTCCTGGCTGAACGTGAAAGAGGCACACTGGATGTGAAAACCCACTTTCCCTCCTCTAAGTATTCCTCCTTGAGGCACAGGAGAGCAGGGGATGCCTTTGTGGATTCAGAAAAGATTGGCAAAAATGAAAAGTGGTGCCAACTACTGCTGATGGGGATGGGGGGAAGTATATACTCTCATACACTATGGGAAACATCTAATGATGTCAAAAATTATACAGACCCTTAACCCACTCCCAAGATATCATGCCACAAAAGGAAAATAACCAGATACTAAGAATACATGTTAAAAAAAGAAAAAGAAAGCAAACATCAATAAATAGGAAAACAGCTTTATAGACTATAGTTAATTCAATCTATGAAGTATCATTCAGGCATTAAAAAAGAATGAGCCGGGCCATATTGTTGTCTTAGAAGACATTTTGAAAGCTGTTATTAAATGACAATAGTAAGATGTAGAGAAACATGTAATAGTCACCTTTATAAAATAAATAGGCACAAAATCTATACATGTCTTATATTTAATACTTTCCCTCTATGTTTTAACTCTCTGCAAATCAAATTCATCTTACAAACAATGGTCTTATAATCACTGTCAGCATCAAAATCAAGTTCTTCTAGAGAGGATTTGTGTTTGCTTCTATGGGTCACCTGCAGAAGGTCTTACTAAACTGAGGCCACTTTAAATTAAATTCTATTGGTGAGGATTTCCTTTTTTGAGAATCTCTTTGGTTGTGTGAATTCATACCCCAAGTCTGTGTGATGATTAGCTTCTGATCAAATTCTCAGGAGAGAATTTGTTTTCTTCTTTCTCCCGTTGTCAAGGTAGAGGAACGAAATCTTCCTTGTTGTTCTTTATGAAGAGCTTACTTCCTGTTTAACCTGACTCTGAGATAGAGCTCTTTCCTTTCCTGCCTTTAAGTTAGGGGCTTCTATTAGACTCCTTTGTTTGGATAATTTCTCTTTCTCAGTGGCATATAACAAAATTGTGCATCTTGTAATTAATGATATTTATGTATTTGTGTCGTAGGACCATGATGAAAAGTGCAGAGGAGTACATATCTAGTTGTTAACATGAGATACCTGAATAGTGGTGGGGTGAAGGAGATGATAGAAAAAGGGAGGGACAAAGATTTAAAAAAACAGAAAGACTGAACAGAAGAGAAGAAGGGTTGTATACCACTTCATATATGCTCTGATCCTATTTATGTGAAATTGTTTCTCTCTGACTGTGTACATTTATAACAGAATTAGAATAAAAGGTAAATAATTTAGTCTGTATTGTAAGATTGCTTATGCTCTATTGTTTGGTGAAAAAAAGCAAGTCGTATATTAAAAGTATGAGACTATTTAGGGAAAATCCAATGACTAAATTCTTCTCTCTATATACATGCTTGAGTACATTTAGATGAATGAGTCTAAAGGTATGAAGTGACACATACCAACCTATTAATTCTATGCCATTTGGGACAAGGGGTGAGAGTTAGATGGAGTGGAGGTGGTTGCGGTGGTGCTGGGAGATGATTAGCTCTTTATAGAACTCTGCATGGTTTCACCTTGTAAACATGTACAGACTGCTTTCATAATTTGAAAAGCCTCACAATGAATAAAAAAATCCAAGTTACTCATGTGACATAATTTGATGCATCCTTCCCTTCCCAGTATAAGAGGTTTAAAAAGACTGCTTAAAAACAGGCTGACAATGTCTCCCGGATGGAGAGAGAATTTTTCTAAAAAACCAAGTGAGTCATCATAAGCTGATTCAAAGATTCACAATTTCCTTGGTATTTATTATGCCTAAATTTTCCACATCAGGTTGGGTTATACATAGTTATATCTTTAATAACTACACATAGTTAAGAATGTCTTTATTGATTGTTTTGCTCTTTATTTCCCCAGATGCAATTCTTTCTTTTGGTTCTATGTATGTTTCCATGGAAGTATTATAGACATTTCTAGGTCTGAGACAGCCAAGGGAAGGACGAATAAAGGCTTATGGGTAACCATAATGAACATTCAAATCATTTTATTTGAGCTGCCACCAGCCAAACCCTTTTTCTCCTTTTCTATCTGTCTCTCTCCTTCCCTTCCTCAAATATTTATTAAGCAATTATTATGACACAGATACTGCACTAGATCCTGGAGATACAAGACTGAGGCTGGAGTTCCTGTGGCTGTGTTTAAGGGTGAGGGTAGAGGACTCAACTCTCTCCTTTGTGGCCTCATTAACATTTCCTTCTGTAGCCAAGGCACTGTGGTCTATTCTCCTTGGCCAAGCCAAGCTGCTGCTTCTCCCACTTCTGCAGCTGGGGTCCTATTGGTGAGAACTACTCACTACCCTCTGGCAGTGGCTCTGATTGCTGTTTTCAGTTGTTTCAGCTGTAAATCCATCATGCCACCTGTGGGGTGGGTGGCTGGGGCTGCCTTGTGCTGTAGAGCTGGACCTTCACAGCATCTCTATCTCTTTGCCTGGACCCATCCAGTTTGTACCTCACTTTCTAGGGGATCAGGGTATTTCCTATTCACATGCTGGAGAGTCTCTTCCCAGCTCCACAAAACAGTGCTGGTCTCTTCACTTGTGTTGCCTTGCATGCAAATCCATGATCTTTTCCCCCTTAAGCTCTCATTTTAAATATCTATATTTAAAATTAAAAATTTATGTCCATGCCTTTTTTGCTGTAGAACATTATTGATGTGCCTTATTAGCAGGCCAGCTGATAGGGGCTCCATTTTTTTCTTTGCTAATTGACTTCCTAGGTCAGGAGGAAAGCTTGAGGATTAGTGAAATTTGCTCTCAGAGGACATTCTCTTGCCTTCAGAAGCCTCTGGCTTGTCTTTAGTTGACACTGCTTTTAAAATTTTTTTATTTTGTCAGAGAACAATACTTCTGTGTGATTCCAATTTTCTCTGTTTTTAAATTTTAGTTTCTATAATTCATTAATTCATTCAACTATTATATTTTGAACATACTGTGAAAAGTACAATGGTAGAAAGAGGATGAAGGTAAAAGAGTGGCAATATATGTCCTTGGCCCTGGCTTCTCTGAGCTTAAAATTTATGCACCTCAACAGGACAAGTGATCACAGAAGGTTATATGTGAATAAGTGAAAAAGTGAACGAGGTGGCCATTGCTGATGGAGCTCAGAGCATAAGGAAACATCCTTTTGGTTAGAAGATTCAGGAAAGGCCCCAGGAAAGAGAAGAGACTTGAATTTGGCCTTGCAGGATAGAAGGATAGATTTGGATTCTAGGCTATTTTCAATGCTAAATATTTCTAATAATATCTGTGACTTTTATCTAAAAATTCTGAGAAGAGATCAATTCTGGGAATTTATCTGAGAAGAGAAATTCCAGAGTAGCTATTTCTTCCGGAAACTCACCATTACTAGTCCCTAGAACTCATGTGCTATTTTCAGGTGGGTTGCAAGAGCCCTGGGTTTAGCTTGAATGGATGCTCTATGTTCTGTGAAAAGTTTCATCATTTTGGGGCAGGAGCAATGATTCTGTAAGGGTACCAAGTAGCTAAACAGAGAGCTTGGGCTGATGTTCAAGTTGAGGCTATATTTCCATCTGTCCATGCTTCCCTTCCAGCATGTTAGCTATGGTTTGTAAATTAAACCCACATCTAGAAAAAATGGAAGCACTATGTATTTTCCAGCCAGGAGTGATGTCGACGATGCCTTCTATGGAATTCCAAAGACAGTATTTCTAATGAGGTGGTAGAAGAGAAGGGTATTGGCATGGTAATGTGAAGGGACAAGAAAATAAAAGACGCAAGGGGAGAGGAAGGAGGAATACAAACTCTTCTGGGAGAAAGTGTGTATTATTTTCCTCTTTCTAGGTCTATGACAGAATTTATCATAGTCTTAGAGAGAATATCCTTCTTGAATAATGTTCTTTAATGTACTTCTTGTATTTCTTAGAAAAAGCATTATAATCTCATTGAGCATTTATTCCCAGTTGGAGACTGCAGATTTATGTCTGCATCTCAGGCTCACCCTTGGGTATGTACTCATGATACAAAAGTGGATGGATATCTGTATTATGTAAATTGTGATTTCTTCTTCTTTGTGATGTCTTTCTTTCTGCTGTGTGCATACAGTTGAATTCATATAAGTAAATCTGTATCTGATGCATTTCCACGGTAATCAATGACAAGGTGATTGTTTCAAGTTTGGTGGGGGGAGTCACTGACTCCTTTGAGAATTTGTGGAAAACTGTCTATCTTTCCTGGAAAAAAATGTACCTATTCATCTACATAAAAAATATGGCCTATTATTTCAGGGCATCCATAGCCTATTTGTAGACGCCTGGGCACAGATTGCCATCATGTCAAAAGAGGGAAAGCTTTCTCCCATTTGGCTCACAGAGAGCTGAGGGAGCAGATAGAGTTCGTCAGCAATGAGAGATGCTAAAGCTGTGGAGAAATGGGGGTTAAAATGCATTGGCAGCTCCAAAGGCCTGAGGAGAGGCATGGTGCCAGGGACCACAAATTCCTGAAGAACCTGAACTCCAGGAAACCTGGACAGGAATGTTATAGTACTGACCCAATTTCTGCAACCAAAACCAAACCAAAACAAAGGCTGTTTTAGTCTGTTGTCCACCAAGTTCCTGCTTTACAGCTACAAGTTTATTGCCTCTGACTTTTGAGGGACGGAAGACCGTGCAGGAATTTTCCAGCACTTGGACCAGATCAAAATAAACAGAAGGAGTGAGTCGTTACCTGAGCACCAATAATGCTGGGTGAAGCCTGAGCCAAAGATTTCTCAGGCTGCAATCTGGGTCCTTGGTATGAGTGGTTTCACCTTGAGCCCAGGTATCATCCCATCATAATCGTTAAGAGAGTCAGAACCATTTCTTATCTATCCGTTGTTTTTTGTTTTGTTTATAAGATTAAAAACGTGTGTTCTTTATTTAATTAAACTACAAGATAAGAAGTGTCGAAGTTGCGCAAGAAAGAATATCTCATTCCAAAAGAAAATTGCCAGCCATGCATATCTCCAAGAGGAGAGAAAGAGAAGAAATTAACCCTGGGCCAATTTGAACATTTTAAGAGTAAGTATCCAGTGGTAATATCCTTCTAGAAAGCTATTCAAGCCTAGTGTCATTTAGCATTAAATAATATAATCAACTTCCATTTTTCTGGTTAAGAGTCTTCGAACTATGGCCTACAGGCCAAATCTGGCTTGCAGTTGAGTAGCTGTCACACAGCCATATGGACCACGAAGACGAAGATATTAACTATCTGGTCTTTTATGGAAAAAGTTCTTCAACTCTTGTTTCAGCTGATGAAGCAAATTTCTAACATTTTGGCTTTTCATATAAGGGGAGACTATACTGGTTAGGCCAATGCAAATGTTGTCTGCTTGATAGTTTTATTCTCTTCATAAAATTATAAGCTGCCATTCTTGTTGTATATAACAGTTTCTTGGAGGCTGTGTTAGTCTGAGTACGTAACATTAAGTCTGATCATTGTTGGAACACTGTTTCTGAGCATGCAGTTGAGGGTAAGATTAGGGCCTGAAATTAATTCAGCAATTCCATTGCCTCTCCTTGGTGACTGTAATGGTTTGAATATGGGTTGTCCCCTATGAAACTCATGTTGAAATTTTATTCCCAATATAAGGGTGTTGAGAGGTGGTGGGACCTTTAAGAGGTGTTTGGGTTGTGAAGATGAGCAGGTATTAATGCCTCTCAGGGCTGGATTAATTCTCATGGAACTGGATTAATCACTGCATGCAAGAGTGTTTTGTTGTAAAGCAGAGGCTTCCCTGTAGGTTTTGTCTCTTTTGCACATGCTCCCTTACCCTCTGCTTTTCTGTCATGTTATGATGCAGTATGAAAGCCCTCACCAGAAGCTTCCACCATGCTCTTGGACTTCCAACCCTCCAAAACTGAGCCAAATAAACTTCTGTTCTCTATAGATTACCCAGCCTCAGGTATTCTGTTATAGCAACAGAAAACAGACCAAGACAGTGACGCATGGGAGGGAGGGCCACCTGGCATTCTCTGGATGGTTGTTCTTGCATCTCTGGGAACTGATGGCCTTTCCCCGTAAAGGTCTACAGCTCCATTTCAACGTTTCAACTACTTGCTTTAGCAATTTAGAACAGGTTGAAGAGTCTGAATTGATATATTTAGCTCTCTCCTTTTTAAATAGTCTCTCTCCTTTCTTTCAAAAATATTTAAATGTAGCCAGTGTCTTTTGTAGTCATACAAATCAGTGCTAGATTAGAAAAGTCCAATAGATCTGGGATTCTCCCAGTGAGGCTTGCAATTACTCTTCAACTCATTCAGCCCTGTGTTTCCCCAAACTACCTCCATTGGCTTAGAGTAGATTTGAGGACATATGTTCCTTTGATCACAATTAAATGAAGTGACTATGGGATATTTACATGGAGCTTTAAAAAATTTATGTACATAACACTAATGGCATCTAATAGTTTACTTACTGCATTTTAAAATTTGAGCACTGTATTATTCATAGCTGGTCAGAAATCCATAATGCATGAACCTCCTCCAGTGCACTCTTGCTTGTATGCATGTTTGACTCTCCAATTTCCTGAGGTTGTCCCTGGGAAATGCTGACACCCATTGCATACATAAACACTTCCTGATCACATGGCCTTTCTGTGGGTGGATGGCTTTTTTCTGAGGATCTCAAAACAGTTTGCAGTCATGATCCCATCAGTTTCTGTAAAATTCTGAATAGTATGTTAGAGACGGATGCTGTCACCTGGACTTTACAGCTCAGGGGATGGAGACACAGATCATTTAAATGGGAAACATCAAGTGCATGGCCTTTCAGCACAGTGGGACAGAGAATGAAATATTCCCAGCACTAGATCAATCAATCAGCCAATCAGTATTTATTGAGTGCATATCCTTGGCTCAGCATGGGGCTAGTTGCTATGCTAGACTATTTTATGTCTTGCTTATATGATTTGGGTCTTCTGCCATCTTGAAAAAAATATTATCTGTCAGTGAATTTTCTTAAATATAAGCTGTAAATTGGGAGGGAATAAGCAGGAAAGAATTATGAGATGAGAAAAGTATGTGGGTGGGAATAGAGAGTCACGTTTGGAAGGCAAGTATCCTCCGAATGTGATGATATTGAAGATTTCTTATTCTATTTCTAAGACAATTTTCAAGGCAATGAATAAAGCACGGCAATGTTCCAGCATTAACATTAGTTAGTTAAGTACACTTCTGTTATCTCTCATCCAGTTGATTTTCTGGCTAAGCCTACCTATGAATACCTAAACCATGACCACCACTCACCACAGTATTTGTGTGTGTGTGTGTGTGTATGTGTGTATGTGTGTGTGAGACACAGTCTCGATGTGTCGCCCAGGCTAGAGTGCAGTGGCACAATCTCAGCTCACTGCAACTGCCGCTTCCTGGGTCAAATGATTCTCCTACCTCAGCCTCCTGAGTAGCTGGGACTACAGGTACATGTCACCATGCTGGCTAATTTTTGTATTTTTAATAGAGATGGGGGTTTCACCATGTTGGCTGGGCTGGTCTCAAACTCCTGACCTGAGGCGATCTTCCCATTTTGTTCTCCCAAATTTCTGGGATTACAGGTGTGAGCCACTGTGCCCAGCCACAGTATTGATTAGACAATATTTTTGTGCATTTTAAATGCAGCTAGAAATTAAACAATTTAAAGTTGATGCTTTTGAAAAGATGATAAATCATGAACCAAAAGTATCCTGATATAATGTCATTTCACCTCTACCATCTTAATAAGGATACTTTATTTTTTATTTTATTATTGTTATTTTTTGTTATGGAGTCTTGCTCTGTCACCTAGGCTGGAGTGCAGTGGCTCGATCTCGACTCACTACAAGCTCTACCTCCCAGGTTCATGCCATTCTCCTGCCTCAGCCTCCCGAGTAGCTGGGACTACAGGCACCCGCCACCATGCCCGGCTAATTTTTTGTATTTTTATTAGAGACGGGGTTTCACCATGTTAGCCAGGATGGTCTCGATCTCCTGACCTCATGACCCGCCCGCCTTGGCCTCCCAAAGTGCTGGGATTACAGGCGTGAGCCACCATGCCTGGCCAAGGATACTTTATTTTTTAAATTTTCATGGGGACAGGAATTCATTCTGTCACTTAGGTTGGAATATAGTGACATGATCATAGCTCACTGAAGCCTCAAACTCTGGGGCCTGAGTTATACTCCTGCCTCTTAGCCTCCCGAGTAGCTAGGACTATAGGCACATGCCATCACACCTGGCTAATTAAAAAAACAAAACAAAACAAACTTTTTTGTAGAGATGGGGTCTTGCTATGTTGTACAGGCTGGGCTATAACTCTGGCCTCATGTGACCCTCCTCCCTTGGCCTCCCAATCCCTTCTGGGATTATAGGCATGAGCTACCATGCCCAGTCTAAACAAGGATAGTTTAGAGAACAGCATACAAATGAAGCCCAGGAGAAGGACTTAAATCATATAATTGTGTGACTACTAAAGAATTATCTAAGATACTCATCTATTTTTATAAACTAGAAACTGAAAAACAGAGACATGAAGTATCTTGGCCCAGACACACCGCTAGGTAGAGGCAGACTATGATTAGAAATCCAAGTATATGGACTTTAAGTCTGGGTCTCTTTCCGCTTACCTCAGACTTTCATCCTTAGTAGAGGATGCAGAGCAATCAAATTGATGTCCCCACCCCTGTTAATTGGTTAATTAGTACAAGTTTTGGGAAATCATCTTCTTGGAGAGAATCATGAATTTCTCTTAGTCACATAGATGTTCTTTATTCAGTAGCATAAATGTTCTCAGAGACTATGTTTTGAGCTTGAGAGAGAGCCAAAATTCCCTGCTGCCAAATTCTCCAAAAAATCCTTACAGGCATTAACTGGAACCTGGGTTGCTGCATTAGTAGGTGATAGCAACTGCTTAATGAGGTGACCCTGTACAGTGTGATAATAGAGAGCTTCGTTGGGAACCTTATCTCCTCAGGAGCTCACCCACTCTCAAGACAAATGCAAAGGGCACAGTGGGCAGTCAAAGAGGCAGGGTGAATTAGTGTCAAGGAACATCTTTAATTCATGGGAGTCATACATCAGAGGGAACTGAGCATGGCTTAGTTTTGTCATAGGAATACAATGAGAAGCCCTGGAAAGTTGGCACTTTGTCAAAATGCCGTTTATGAGTTCTGCAGTACATACTCTTCACTTGATGCAAAACTGGCTGGTTCACTTGGAAGTTGTTTATGAACTTCAGTGGGTACACATCTATGGAAACTCCTTCCAATGAGGTAGGTACATGGTTAGGTAGCGTAGCATTTCTTCTTTTTCAGGGGAGAAAACAAGAGATTGATTTTTAAATTCCCCAAACTGTAGGAGCAACTATAGGGAGAATGGCTATTTTTGAACTGGAGGTCTCCCAACATTTAGTGCAAAGGACTTGTACAGATCAATAGTGGTGAAAGTCCTTCCAGCTGGTCGACTGGCAGTTCCTGAACCATCCCCACCCTTGTCAGGTGGTGGCCTGGATGTCAGTATATAGATACACTGAAGTATGTTTCAAGGGGCACCCCCACTCCCAGCTCAGTAACTCACAGCCAAGGCTTGGAGTGGGGCCTCAGAGAGACATGGACTTCACTGCTGGTTCCACCATTCATGTGTCTGCACCCATTTTCCTCCTTTCTGAAATGGTAGTAATAATACCTTTATTACAGAGCTGCTATGAGGAGGAAGTAAATATGAATCTATGTCAATGTGCCTGGTGCAGAGGAGTACTCTCCCATGCTAAGTCCACTCCCTTTCAGATCATTAATGGTGAAGTCCTAGTATCAATGGTCACCTTTTGTGTCTGCAGTAGTAAGAGGTCAGCTGCTAGTCAAAACCTCATACAGTTTATTTGGCATTAATAGCCCCATTTCCTCACATGTAAATTGGAGGCACAGTGGAATTTGTACCATATAGGTGTTATAACTATATGGACTTCGCAGGGAGAGAAGAAGGAAGAGAGGAGGATAGAGAGAATCTAAGTAGTGTGAATGGCTTCATTCACATTCCACTCAGTGAGCATAAACCATGAAGTCAGCATGACATGGGAGGTATGAATGTGATGTTACTCCAGTGGATCTCCATTGCTTCAATTGCTGCATCCTATATAGGGTGTAAGTAGTCCACATAAGCTGTATGATTCTGGTACAGAATTTTATGTATGTGGGCATAAAATGTGCACGCATATATTTTCCCAATAACATGGCTCCTTAACACAACCAACTCTCTGATTGGATGTTTCATCAAAGAAACAGCCCCCTCTTCTAATACTGTATCACGCTTATTGAAAGATGGTATTATACTGGTCTTTAACAAACTGTCTTTTTGAAGGGTGTTTTCCAAGATAATTTTGATGATGGGTAATGTCTGTCTTTTCTTCTGACATTAGCACATATTTCCCAGTGAGAAAGCTCTGCTGTAAATCCTCCAAGCCAACCAGGGTTATTGTGGGGATCAGGTGAGATAATAGTTATGAAAGAGCTGTGCAAAGGGTAAGGCTGCAGACTGATGCAAGATGCTGTTGTTAGTAATGACTTCTGATTATAACTTTTCTTCAGGCTTTGGGTATATGGATCAAAGTGGAATATTTTGCTTTTATTTTCGTGGACTTGATTTTTCAGCCAAAGCTATCAGAATACTCAGTGAAAAGGATTATGAAAGATGTTTAGGGAAAATGGCCCCCTTGCCTTCAGGTGGGCCAATTAAACAATTGGGATTAGAGACAGCTGTGAAGCATTCTGATTAAAGGCCTAGGATAGAGACTGAAAATTTAGCATTTTCAATTAGCTCCACAGGTGCATCTGACATCAGAAAAGTCAGAAAGAAAGGGAATAAAATGTGTGTGTGTGTGTTTCAATAAGAATCAAAAGGAGAAAATAAACTCCTGAGAAGTCCTTTTATCGTTAATGTCTCATACTAATTCTAGTGCAGAAATGCAATGTTTGAGGCGGACAGTGTTTTTTCAGATGATTTTTCTCAAGGCCTAGGATTTATTACTCATTTACAAATTTCTAGGTCTTAGAGATTGTAGATACTAGTAAGGAGCTTACCCCTACCCTGAAAAAGGAGGGAGTAGAAAGGTTATCTCTATCTAGAGACAGTGAGAGCTCCCCTAGGGAAGCTGTGGTTTCTGTTTGAAGGATGAAGACCATACGGGGTGTAAGGAAAATGGCTGAGCTGCAGCCAAGCAGGCATAGGGCAGCAGGCATAGGCCGAGGTAAACAGCCTAGATGACTCAGTGGGATTGGGGCACAAGTGCACAGTCCCATGTCTTATACAATCATCGCCATGCAGACATAACATAGAGAAGCTCACCAGCTGGCTCTCAGCCACTATTGTTTGTGTGGTGTATAAATGTAACAGTGACACTGTGAAGGAGCTGCTGAATAAAGCCATGTCTCATTTACCTGCTGTCTCTCGTGTGCTCTTCCAGCTCCCTGCCCCACATCCACCCACTCCCCTCGGACCTTAGCTGGGGCTGGACCTCAACCCTGAGCATGACATGGGACAATCTGAAGAAAAGGACCCAAAGGAACACATAACCCGAACTTGCATCACTGCTCCCTTATTTGAAAAATATCAGAAAATTGTTATTTGCTAATTTTGGAATTTTTGGGGGTAATTCCAAAGTTCTCTACAGATGAATGCAAAACAAAACAGCAACAGCTCTTTTTCAGAGATGAGCAGGCTAGTGAGAAAAGTGATTATTTGGATTTGGATGGTTTTGGAATTTTCTTATTTTTTTTTGTATGAACCTTGTCCTAAATCTTCAGAACTCTGTAAGTTCTGAAGTTCTAATATTTAACCATTGCAGGTCAGTTTTAGGGGTTGGTAGTTTTTAAGGAGTTCAGATAAATTCTGGTCACTAAGTTGAGCTTCTAAGGGTTTAGATCTATTGCTATTGAAAGCTGTTTGTTATCTATGACTCCTCCTTGGTGTAATTCTCTCCTGGATAATTTCTTTCTTGGAAAGAAAATGGATTTTCAAAGAATAAGGTTTGAGCCTCATAGAGATTTTTGTTGGTTTTCAACAATGTTGGCTTAGGAAAAGCCAAACCAAAACCAAAACACAACTTCTAGGAAGCAGGTACTGTATTTTGGGGTCATTGTGGAACTGAGCTGAATGAAAGGAGGGTATCCATCATGGAAATGGTAATTATAGAGAACTGAAGCCACATTGTGAGGTAAGGGGAATACAAGTAGCAAATATGAACCAGAAACCAAACCAGGGTGAGAACCAGTGTCAGAAACAAAGGCCAAACCAGAGTCAGTGAAACCAGGGTTCTGGGATGGTTTAGGGCTCATGAGTCCTCTCTAATGAGCTTCATAGAAAGACAGAGCTTGGTCCACATCCTGGCTCTTCTACTTGCTGTGTGCATATGATTGAGTTACTTAACCTCTCTGATCCTCAAAAGCCTTATCTATCAATTATGTTAATTAATAATTAGCATGCATGAGAGATCTGCTGGTATAATTAATATTCATGTTAATATTATTACCATGTGGTCCTCTGCCTCTCCTAATAGGCGACATTGGCCAGTTGTCTTGGGCATGTGGGTGAGGCCAGCCTGAGAGACAGACATGAATCAACTGGTCACTCTCCTCTTGTTAGAACTGGTTCTCTCACAGGTGACTACTCTACGTCGTCAGTCAAACCCTGGCAGGATCCTTCACATTAGTGAAGCTTGCATGACTGCTCCATTTGACTTTGTCTCCTCTGCATCAACACGAGCTTGATTTTCTCATTAGTGGAGCATTTGCTTAGGAATTATTTTCCAGAGGAATTTAGTTACTAATCCCCGTTGTGATAGCAAAATCAACAAGGAGCCCCTTGAGTCAGTCAGGGTCTCAGCAGGAAACAGATGGCACACTCAAATTGGATAATTTATAGAGTTTAATAAAGAAATTATTTGGGAAAGTAGGGCCAAAATGTAGAGAAGCTACTATGGGTAGTGCAGAAGCTGAGGGCTAGACACTGCCATGTACTCTTCCCATTCGTATCCAGAGAAGAGGGGAGGCGGAGAGGTTGTCAGTATCTAAGAGTTTGTCAGTATCTAGAGGCAGCGAGCACTCCCCTGGAGGAGCTGTGGTCTCTGTTTGAAGGATGCAGACCATCTGAGGCAACCTGCCAAAAAGAAACTGAGGGAACACAGAACTCAGCCTTGCCTTCTTGCCTCCCTGTGGTCTCCTGATTGTTCTGCCCTTTGGCCAAACCCAGTGGAAAGGCAGAGAGCAAAGGAAATTTTGATGATGATTTGGTCTATTCAGGTCAGCCTCCTGGGGCACACATCAGAGTGGGGAAGGGTGCTGAGTGCAGCTAGGGAGGCAAAGAGAAGATCCTCTGTTCACCCTCTTAGAGGCCCTCTGCTGCCAAGTGTCGTCACGGTAATTATGTTGGGGTCTATTAAGTGATGTGTGCATGATATATTTTTTTGTTTGTTTGTTTGGTTTTTGTTTTTGTTTGTTTTTTGAGACAGAGTCTCACTTTTTCACCCAGGCTGGAGTGCAATGACACAATCTCTACTCACTGCAACCTCCACCTCCTGGGCTCAAGCGATTCTCCTGTCTCAGCCTCCCTAGTAGCTGGGATTATAGGTGCCCACCACCACACCCAGCTAATTTTTGTATTTTTAGTAGAGACAGGGTTTCACCATGTTGGCCAGGCTGGTCTCGAACTCCTGACCTCAAGTGACTCGCCTGCCTAGGCCTCCCAAAGTGCTGAGATTACAGGTGTGAGCTACCGTGTCTGGCCGTGTGCGTGACATGTATTACAAAAATAAATTTACTGAATCCTGAATCACCCCACAGAACTTGATGGCACTAATTTAGAGTCATGCAGTTCTGCATTCTACTCTGGTTCTACCACTTATTATCTCTTTTACACTCTTACCAAATCACTTAAATTCTCTCAGCCTCAATTTCTTCACCTGTAAAATGGGAGTAATGAGACTTCCATGATAGAGTTATCACTGAATTCAGTGAAATAACAGAAATGAAAATATATCCAAATATCCATACTGTGTACACACACTATAGAAGATTATACAGAGAGACTGGGTTTTGGTCCTTCTATTGTCAAAGAACTATGTTGCATTCTGGGTGAAAAATTGCAATTCCAGTGAGCAAAAACTAAGACAGTTGGAAATCTATGTGGTGTTCTACTAAAATATGACTTTGGTTCTCACTGGGGAGCCTAAAACTTTCATTTGATGTTAAGATAGCATATTAATTTATACCTATGGAAGCCTTGTATGACATTTCCAAATCTGTCTGTAAGATAATGGCTCTAAATGGTTTATGACTTTTAAAAAATCTAATAAATATAGTAACTTTGTACCTCAGTGTAATGAAAAAAAGAGATGTTTTGGGATATATCATTTCTCATTGAAATGCATTACTGTTTCCCACCAGCATAAATCTTAGAGCTGGAGCTCTTCTGTCAGCCCATTTCTTAAAGGAGAGTCCCTGAATGAACAGACTACATGAGGCTGTTCTCCACTGGCCCTTCCAGCCCTGGCAGGTCAGAGCACAGCTAAGACTAGAGTCAAATGGCCGAGGCTTAGGGCATTTTGAGGAGACATCACACAGATGCATTTTCCCTACAGTACTTAACCTCCTACACTCTTCTCCCACACAGCAATCCATTCAACTCTGCCTCCCTTCCCCCAAGTGTGTTCCTAATTGCCTGTGATGTTATTAAATAAAACACGTGAAGCTGGATTTTTCAAAAAGGAGTTTCTTTCATACAAAAGTCTAAAAATGAAGCCACAGATGAATCCCAAATCGGGGATTATACATACTCAGAGAATGGTAAGGGGAGTACCAAGGGAGAACAGGACACCATGTAGGAGACAAGAAGAGGAGCAGTTAAAATGTAGGTACTGCTAAGACCCTGATCCAAGGGAAAAAGTGCTTCAGGGAACTTAGCTTATTTGGCTGCTAGAGCAGAAGCTGGGCTCAGCTCAAATGCCTAGACCCCTTTAGTGCATTGTTCAACAGCAAAGTTCTCAATCTTTAGAATTTTTTTTTCTTGTACCTTGACCGGCATCTTATCTAACATTTACATGCTCCGTACTTTCCACAAACATAACCTAGATTTTATGCCAGTTCCCACTGCATTGCATCCTTTTCTCTTCCCAAGCTGGAATGCAAAGGAAAAGGCATGCCATTATAGGGATAACCATAATTCTGTTCCAACATATATAAATATTAACAAGTGGGCATGAGCATCCAAAAATATGTTGGTTTTATCTCAAAACTATATCCAGACTCTAACCACTTGTCTCCACCTCTACAGCAATCACTTTGGCCAGAGCCATGACTCTATCTCACTTGGGTTATTGCAAGAGCCTCCTAACTAGTCTCCCTGCTGCTCCTCCCTTTTGTCCCTCTAGTTTATTCTAAACACAACAGCCACAGTGGTCCTTTGAAAATGCAAGTCAGACCATATTACTCCTCTGTGCAAAACTTGTGCCAATTATCCATGTCATTCAGAGTAAAAGCCATAACCTTACAAAGATTTATGAAGTCTTCTGTGATCCAGCCTCTTGATAGTCTCATCTCCTACCACTCTCCCATTCACTGTGCTCCAGCCATCCTAGTCTCCTTCCTGTTCTTCAGTTAAGAATACTCTCACCTTAGGGCCTTTGCACCAGCTCTTCCTCCTGACTGGAAAAACTCTTCTCCCATGTGTTTGGAGAGGTAAATTCCTCACCTCCATCAGGTCTTTAATTATCACTTTTCCCTCCAGGCCTACCCTGGCCATTCCATTTAAAACAGCAACACAGTCCATCCCTGCACCCCAATTCCTGATCCTTATCATCTTGTTTGCTTCCCTTCCCCTAGCATAGCACATATCATTTACCATACTACACATTTAAAAAATTTATTGTGCTTATTTTCTCATAGTGTAAGCTCCATGAGGGCAAGAGTTTTTGCTTGTTTGGCTCATGATTTATTTCAAGCACAAAAAACATGACAAACAATGAATACATATTATTGCTTGAAAAGCATGTTCTAATTTATTCAGCAAGCATAAACTGAGTATCTACTCTGTGCTTGGTATTGTTCTAGATGCTGAGGCAAAAAGATGAACAAAGTCAGATACAATTTCTGTTCTCAGCTAGGTTAGAGCCTGTTGATGAATCCGAAACATTAACCCAAAAACAGTGGTGAGTGCTCCACTTAATTTTTGTGCTCTTAGTTAATTAAGTGACCTGTGAATCGTAGATTCTGAATAAGAGGAGACATCAATCAAGTATTACTGCTGTCAAATAAAAAATAATACAAGTTTGGATATAAGTAAATGTCTTAGTCTGTTCCTGCTGCTATAACACAAAACCTCAGATGAAGTAATTTCAAACAATAGAAGTTTGTTTTTTAGTTCTAGAGGCTGGGAAGTTCAAGATCAAGGTACTGGTAGATTTGGTGCCTGGTGAGGCTCTCTATTTCAACGATGGCACCTTGTAGCAAGTCTTGAGTTTTTCAGAGAGGAGGAAGAGCTAAGACTGTGACTCTGAAAAGAAGAAGGCGGGGTCTTAAAATGTAACAAACTGTTCAGATATCACAATAAGGGAAAAGATAAGGCAGGAAATGTTTGTGGTCAGACACATGGGGTGGGTTGTGGGCCTAAGATGGATCTGAGGAGTTACAGAGAGGGAGTCCTGGGCCCAGTTGACCTAGCTTAAAGTCATGTCAAGCATAAAGTCTGATGAGCCTTGTCCATGTTCACAAGCAAAAGTTAAGGTTTAAATATAAGGAAGTTGATGGCTTTTGCTTCCTTTCTTAATATAGTTGCTCCCTTCGGGGTCATATTTGCTGCTGTCTTAAGAGTGATGTATTAAGGTAATCAGAAACAGTGAAAATACTAGTTTGCATTTATTACTGTTGACCATTAGGCTAACATAGCAAAGTCCCTTTAAACCTGTCAATGGATCTCATATGTACACTGTGTACTAGGTTGTGTGCATAGTGATAGGCATATACATCTTCACTGCACCAGAGAAATAAAAGGCAGTCCAGAGAATTCAGCAGTGGAATTGGATTTTGGCAACCATTATGGGAATCCTTTAGCTTTTCAAAATGGCCTCAGTGTTTGCCAACCAATAATGCTTTACGCTTGTAACAAACTTTATGCTTTTAACTAAACATTGTTACCAGTGCTGTGGTGCCAGATCCCTGCTGTTAAGTTTGTTTTATTGAGAGGTATACTATGCATATAAACACTGTAGGTGAAAGATGAGAAAACACCAATTAATATCAAAATGAATCTGCTCAATGAACTATAAAACTGACAGTTCATTTGGAGCCCATTAAGACTACTGTAACCTGCTACCAAAGAACTGCATTTTTATAGTGAAAAATAATTCTCACAGGAGGCTTTCAACTAAACCACAGTATCTTAGATTTTATTTGAGAAAGTCAGTAGCTGTTCCCAACTTTAATCACACATGCTTTGGCCTCCTATAAGTACATCTGGCATTTAGGCTGTGAAATACCCTATGGGGCCTTGAATTCTCTGAGTTAATGATAAATTCACTGAAATGTGTAGCAGCTTTTAAAATAAGTCCATAAAAAATGTGTCTACATTCTGAGTCATATAGTTGTTCTAGCTGGCAGAGTATTGGGTAGGCAGGGAGAAAAACAGAGACAAGGTCGGGGCAGGAATGAGAGGTGACATTAAGTGTTCCTATTATGGCCCTGTCACTTCCTGGGATTCCTGTGTTGCAGACATCATGACCTTTACACCCACCACAGGCTTGTGATGGGACAGGGTCCCCATTTGGTAGATAAAGAAACAGAGACTCAGAGAAGTTAATTAACCTCCCCTAGTCACACAACTAGAAGAGGTAAGATACAGATGGGAACCGAGGTTTGTCTGACTTGGGTCCAAGCCTGTCTTATTTCACCAATTCCAGCTTCAAGGGTGTCTACTGTTTAGTGTATGATCTTAAGCAAATCACACGGTTGCTTTGGTTTTCTGTTCTCTCTGTTGTAAAATGGAGATAATACCACGGATACCATCTGCTTCACAAGGGTGATGTTAAATTAAATCTATGTGAAAGCACACTGAAAAAACGTTAAGAGCTTTCCAAATAGAAGTCATTGTTGTTATGGAATTGAATGCAATTAGTGTGTTTTTTTTCACCTGCCTGGAATATATTCGCTGTTGTCTTTTTGGTTCAGAAACACCACTATAGATGGACTCTTGGAGGAACACTGCTAGTCACAAAACATTTAACACGAGCTCAGGAACTCGCCCTAAACACAGGAACAGGACAGAGAGACTCTACATGCTTGTTGGATGCATGAAAAGTATGATATCTCTATGGTCCACTAATTGAACCTACTTCCAAATTAACAGAATTAATGTTTAAGGTAATTTTTTCTTCTTTTTTCTTTCATTTCATGGGGGGAGGTGGTATTTATGATCTTTCAGAAATTACTTGACCCCTCTGAACTTGTGTTTCCTTATTGGTAGGATAATAATAACGCTATCTACCTGAGAGTGCTTATCTATTCATTTATTCCACAAATGTGCTGAATGCCTACTATACATTGGGCATTGTTTTAGATGCTGGGGAATACAGCAATGAACAAGACAGACAAAAACCCCTACTCACTTACGTCCTAGTGATTGATAAAGATAATACATAAATAAGAAAAATAAGTAGAATATAGAGTATGGTAGATGGTGGTAAGTGTGAGGAAGAAAATTAAGCAGGAAGGGGAAATGATTTATTTGGGTGTGGTTTGCACTCTTAGACATGCTTGCTGAGAAGCTGCTATGGTTTGAATGCATGTGTCCCTCCAAAATCCACATGTTGAAACTTAAGGGCGTTAATCCTATTCACAAGGGCTGAGCCCTTTTGACCTAATCACTTCCCAAAGACCCCACTTTCTGATATCAGCAGTGGTATTTATGGACTGTTTATAAATGACCCAGTCTAAGGTATTTTGTGATAGGAATAGACTAGGTATTTTGTTAGTAGAAACAGGCTAAGACAGGAGGCCTCACAGGAACGTGGAAAGTGGTAATTAGTAATGACTAAAGTAACTGAGACAGGGAATCGTGTGGCTATCTGGAGATAAAAGCATGCCTCATGTGTTGTGTGTGAGTGTAGTGTGTATGGGGGAATCACAATGGAAATAACAATATCGTTCATAGCAGGTACTCAATACTTGTTTGCGAACTATGAAGAAACAAAAAATATGATGTGTCCACAGATTCTGTAACGGGAAATATGAATCCGGAAAGAAGGGCTTTACAAATAAAAATGCAAAGCAAAAAATGAAAGCACCATTCACCTTAAACTGGCAACACTGAGCGTGTGAAGAAATCTTGGTGAAATTTTTATCGATCAGTTGCCAACAGCCAGCCCAGCCCTTATGCATGCCTGAAGACTTCTACTGACTTAGTTATTGTTCATTTGCATACTAGAATTCAACATGGCCTTGGGTAAATTTTATGAACTGCAGCTCCATCAGAAGTAGCAAGGGGAGATAGCTTTTAAGCTTGATGTCAAAGAGGACACGGATCCCTCTCTCAGCCCTTCCTTTGTAGTTGCCTCTATAATAGGGTATTGAGCTTAACGAACCATTGATCTGACCAGCTCTAGCATTCTATGATTCTTTTCAGTGACCTAGGATGACTTTTTACTGGACTCTGAGATAGCAAATAGGTTTTAGCTCTTGTTCCAACTCTGGTTAGTTGGTAGTGACTGACGGGAGTACAGTCGTGATAAATGCTAAGCCCTATTTGGGCTCATCAGGAAAGACGGCTGTGATTAATTAGCAATGTCTGCCATGGTGGTAGAGATGGTTGCTCACATTTTCCTACCCTATACATCTCCATGTACGCTGTATGAGAAACTGAGCCAAAACATGGGAAACAAAGCCTTTTGCTACAGGCTAATGTTTAAAGACCAAACTCCCCTAGATGTGAAATAACAGAGGTGTATGTATTATGACTTGATAGGAAGACTCTTCAAGGAGAAACTGAAAGTCCATCTGACATTTGCAAAGCATCAGAGATTTGTGAATGAACTCTGGTTATGTTAGAAATAGACAGTAAAGTAATGGGAAATGAAGATAGATCAAGCTTTGATTTATTTGGCCATTTGATACCACCTTTGACAACTTTGTCTAATGAAATGTGAAAAAAGTGCAGAGCACTAGAGCATAACAGAGTCTCATTTCTAAGTCATAGTGCCCAGCCGACCAAGGGAAGCTGAGCCCTAGGCATAGAATGACTGCTTTAATTCCAGGCTGCCACTCTCCTCTGCTTGACATTTGACAGTGTACTTAAAAGTGCTCCTAAGCACATCAAGGGAAATGAATAAGTAAATAATTGGTTGCCCCTTTAAAAATAGAAAATATCAGGCTAGGGTTTAATTAACTGCCATAAATTATTCTCAAGCTAACTGTTCAGAGAAGAGCCACTTTTACCCTTTGCCTCCGATGAAGGAATATGGTTTAGGTTATTTACAGTTTCACTTTCTAAAGAGGAAGTATGAGGTAGTGAGTTTCCCATCACTGAGAATACTAAGGGATAATTTTCTGTACTACTCTGTTGGAGGTTAGACTAGAAAACTATTGCTAACCTATCTCCAAAGATGCTTTTCTTGAAGCCATTCATGAAAATGTGTTTTGGGCAAGGCTTAGCAAAATGAATAGAGCAGTCATTCTTTTCTATTTTTGAAAAATGTTACCCATTTCTGTATAAACCCATTATTCATGTGAGGATAAATAAGGCTCATCGTGTGGAAATAATGGGGATCCAGGAGAGAATAGTCTAGCTCAGAAAATGTTTATTAACACGGACTATGTGTAAGGCATGGATGGGGCCAGACTCCATGGAAACTGTGATATTAACATCAACGTCATCAAACCTAATGAAGGATGACGTGGCAGATTTGCAAATAATTATCATGTAGGCAGCAGGTGATAGGAGATTTAGAATACAAATAAACTACGGTGGGTAGATAAAAGAGAGAGGTATTAATTCTACAAAAACTAAGAGTGATAGATGACAAGGAGGACAGTCAAGGAAGGTTTCCTAAAAGAAAAGACATTTGAACTGAGATTTCACGAATAGGAGGAGGCTTTTACAAGTACAGGTAGGGAAAGGACAGCTTATGCCCAGGGGACTGTGATGACCACGGATCAGAGTTTGAAAAGCAGCGGATATTGTGTGGGAGATGAGACTGGTTTGGGGAGCATCATATAGAGAGACTTAAATACCAGGCAGAGGTGACTGAAATTCTTTCACAGGACTGACAGTTTTTGAGGCAGGAAGCAGCTAAATGGAACTATGCCAGCAATGTGGGAAATGTATGTGGTAGTGATTTGGGGGAAGGTGGCAGACTGGTATCTGGCTCCAAGCTACTCCAATAGCTCATGAAAACTGTAATCTGACCTGGACTAGATTTGCTGAGAAGAGGTAGTTTTCATGGATATAGGAATAGAAAGGATAGTTTTAGCCGTGTGTCTGGGTACTCAGAATGTAAGCAGAGTTGGCCTAGAGAAAGGCAAGGTTTTATTCTCAGGTTGTAAATGAGCCCTGAGGCCTTAGTATTAATTTAAGTCCTAGGCTGGGAAATGTTTAAGGAATACCTGAGGTTCTGGAGGTGAGCTAGCTGCTCTTGCCCACAACAAGTTAAGTCCTGACATCTCAGCAATTCCCAGTCTTCTTGCTAAACCCATGGCAAGATGTGACTGGTTATGGCTGGTTCTGTACAAGGCACATGATGGTGATTTGTATTATGGGGTTGATTAAAAGCTATCATCGTGGGGTGTGTGTGTGTGTGTGTGTGTGTGTGTGTGTGTGTATAAGTAAGTGGGGGAATCCAAGAGTAGACCTATTTGTTGGTAAATTTGGGACTTCTGTTGAGGACTAAAATGATGTCAAAGAGTCTTCCAATAATCCAGAATCCCAGTATTTGCCCTGTTCTGTAAACATCAGGAAGCTCCTGGGGTGGGAGTCAGCGGGGCTGAAGTTCCAGGCATCAGGGACATCATTGTGACAGAGAAAGAGAATAGTGCTTGGTTACTTTTTTTCTTTTTAAATCTTTCCTCTTTTGTCTACCCTAGAATAATTCACTAATGTATGTTAACTCCACCATTTGTTACCTGGGTTCCCCCAGCCAGCTTGCATCTAGACTTGCTGGATAGGTTTCACATCTGCCACCTTCACGGCAAAATTGACCTCCACCAACTCTGCAAAACTCACAGGCTAAAAAAGAAAGGAAGAAGCTGGTACCTGGATGGTGGGTGCCAGAGAAGAGGAAACACTGGGTTTGAAAGGTAGCCTGGAGAGCAAGATGGGAGGGGTGGGTACAAAGAAATATGTCACAGGCATTTGGAGAGGGGTGGAGAGAGCTGGATAACTGGGAGAAGCTTTTCCTAGAAAGTCCAAATTAGTACCAGGAGATTACAGTGACAAGGATAAGTCACACACTCAATGGGAGGTCAAGCTCTGGGAGATGTAATAGCCGTTATTCTGGTGAGAACAAAGAATCATCCCTACATTTGTAGAAATTATGGGGTTATGTCCTAGGCAGCTTATCAAGACAAGAACCAGATCAGAGGTTGGCTTGTTGCTGAATAATAACTTGCTTTGCACTTCACAAATTCATACAGTGGTAATGCTGGGAGGGATGCTAGCATCTTCTAGTCCAGCATCCTTATTAGGCAGGTGAGGGCAGCCTGGCTCAGTCAGTAAGTGGTGAGGTGAAGAGTACTGGAATTCTTGTCTTTTCACAGAATCATCCATAACCTGTTCTACTGTTCACATTTTCTGGGTCATTGTGGAAAACCTAGATTATAACTCTGCTAAATCATAATAACTCATTATTGACCCTTGTGATTTTCTCTTTTCTCACCTTTTCTGTCTGCTTCCTAGAATAGTTGTAATGGTCCAATACGAAGGATGATGTGTATGAAAGTCAGATTCCAAACTACTGAGCACATACAAACCCATATTGGCATGCCAATGATTGCTCATAGAGACTTAAAGTTGGAAGTGCCTTAGAGCATGTCTCATCTGATCTCACAGATTGAAAAGGAACCTGAGACCCAGATAACTGAGAAGCATTTCCCAAGACACATTTAGTGACTTATGGGCTGGTGCCTTAACTCCCTTTTCAAAGTTGGCTTGGTAGAAATTAGCTTCTAGTAAAGAGTGGCAGAGCTGCCCTAGAGCCCAGGTGCCCTGACTCCCAGCCCTGTGTAATTTTTCTCAACAGGTTAAGGGTGTCCTCTCAGTGTTGAGTCTGCAAAGGTTTCTAGGAATGGAGACTCAGCTCCATCTAAAAAATGCCACTTTGTTCTTTATTTGTTCACCTGGATGCATAGGGAGCGGGTCTCCATTTTCTGACTGGAGCTCCTGTGTTACAGGGGCTCAGACGAACATGATGGGTTTTTCTGTGGGGGGAAGAGGCTGGCTCTAGAGGGCAGACTTGAGTTGTTTTGACTTGGATACAAAAGCATTTTCAAAATCTAATCATAAGCAGCAGGAGGAAAACCCATCTAATCATTTGCCTCTATGTCTTTTTATTCATAAATCAGTTGGATCAATAACTATTTAAAATGTGAAAGCCTTTATTTGGCATGCTACCCAAAGAGAAAAGAGAATATTATAACTTTTTTTGAGGAAAAGTAGAATGATTTTTAAATTCAAAAAAAGGGCAAGCATGAAAATCTGGCTTCTGGCCCTATTCTGGGGATCTGGCAATACCATCATGGCGTGTGGAGTTGTGCACTAATTAAAGTGTCTTACTGATGACTTGTTTGGATTCCAGGACAGGCACCAGATGTCACTCAGCCCACAGCATGGAGAGTTACTCTTAATTACAACTTGAAGTTGCCCTAGTTGGCGGTAATTTTTCCCCCTTCAGTTGAATAAGTTAATTCACACTGAAAAGTCTATTTTTTAAAATCTTGATATCTTCCTTCTTCTAACAAAAGAAGGTATTTCATTACAGTACTGACCACTTCTTAAGGGTTACCCCAAAAAGTTAACCCAGGCTAAAATGAGAATTTCCATCAAACAGGAGCTTTATTACACATGTCTTTTGGGCTGTCTCTGTGCTCTTTCCCACAGTCCCCACACTTGTGTCATGAGTGACTGCCAAGGCATTTTCTTCAGAATGTGTCCAACTGCCTCATCCAATTGTCAGAGGCGTTTGAACCAGAGCAACTCCATCTTGAATAGGGGCTAGGTAATATGAGACTGACACCTGCTGAACTGCATTCTCAGGTTAGGCATTCTTAGTCACAGGATGTTTACAGCTAAGGGAACAAGTTAATAATGTTTACTGAACAGACCCAGGACTTAACAGACCCAGGAAATGTCCTGATGTCCCAATACCTTAAGAACAAAAGCATTCTTAGAGTTTCACTTTAAAGATAATAATACAGATTCTTGTGGAAGACAGTAGTTACACAAAGATTAGCAATCCTTTGTTAAAAGCCCTTGTAGTAGAACACATCTCCCCTATGATTTTTTGTTTTGTTATCTTGTGTATAAACAATTATTGTACCTAACGTGGATGTATTCTTCCTCTTGCTTTCGGGAATGTCCAGCTCTGCCTATGGAGTAGCCACTCTTTTATTCCTCTACTTTCTTAATAAACTTGCTTTTGCTTTACTCTGTAGACTTGCCCCGAATTATTTCTTGTGTGAAATCCAAGAACCCCCTCTTGGGGTCTTGATCAGGACCCCTTTTGGGTAACAAAATTTTGCCCTGACCCTATGCCTATCTCCACTGATCGGTACTGGAGAAAGACAGCTGTTTTTGGCCAATCATAATCTGGCTTGAATTCAGTAACTCTGATTGCTCTTGCCCATGAGCATAAATGAGAAGACAAAGCTTTAAGCTTTGGTCAAAGCTGACCTCACTCTATTTCCGAGACCTACAGATGCTGCTTCTAGTAGAGACAACATGGCTTTTATAAGTGATTCAGACGACTAGGCACTGCAGTGCTCAGATTCTATAAGGACCTAATTACCTAGTCTGCTCTAACGAGGCTAATCCTTCCTGGGACCTCAGTACTGAGCCCATGATATTGTTTGGGCCTTTAGTATTACCTGGACGGATTTTTTAACTTGTGTTTTAGAGGTATAAAAGTTAATAGAGTTAGAAGAGAAGAAAAAAACAACATGGGAGTAACTTTATTTAGATGTACTGAACTGTTTTTTTTAGCCTATCCACAGTCAATATTAAGTATAATATACTGATATCACTTTTTGTGTTAGTCTAGCATAAACCAATAATACCTTATCAGTAGGAAATTGACTTTTAAAATCTTTAAAAGCCGGGCACTGGTTTTAATCTTGTTATTTCTTACCAGTTCCGTGAAGTTGAAAATATATAGATTTTGTGCTTAGAAATATTTGCGCTTCAGTTTTTTAATCTGAAAAATGGGATAAATAATATATCCCTTAAAAGGTGACTGTGAGGATTAAAGAAGAAAGCCTAGCTCATGGTAACAATATCAGCTGTCATCACTGCCATTATTATTGTCTTTAACACCCTCGTCTATATTTATTCTTCAATATTCTAGTGCTTGAGCACTACTGAGGTCTTCATTCCAATGGTAATTTTATTTGGGAACAAACAAAAAAAAGTTTGTTCTAAAGACTTGCTGACAACTGGTCCAAAGTCCCTTGATTTAACCCAGTGTTTCTCAGCGTGTGGTCCTCAGATCAGATGGCATTGGTGGTATCACCTGGAACTTATTCAAAATGGAAATTATCACCCCATCGCAGCCTACTGAATTAGAAACTCTGGGGACTTGGTAGAAATGCCAATTATTAGGCCCTGCCCCACACAGACTGAATCAGAAACTCCGGGATAGGCCCAGGGTTTTAACAGTCCCTGTGGTGGTTCTGATGAATGCTAAAATTTGAGAAGCACAGCTCTAAACTGAATTCATCAACTGTAGTTGATCTTTCTACTATTATATATTTGATGATTCTAAATATATTGCACAAATATGTGCAAGACAGCCACCTCTCTAAAATAAAACGGGTACCATCTTGCAGAAGTCACCTCATGATTCCCAGAAGTCGTCTCACTCTAGGAAAAGAAGACCTTGCAGTCAGAATGCCTCTCATGACTCAAATACTCTTCAGTTGGCGGCACTTCCCCTGCCTCTAGTCTAGTACACTGCCACACTAACTATGAATATTTCAGCAAAACAAAAAGGAGAAAGACATTAACAATCACAGCAATAAACCCCAAGACATTCCTGGCCCTGGGCTATGATTCAGAGATCAAAGTCTTTGTTTAAGATCCCAGCTTACAATTATTTCATTACCCATGATTTCAGGGTTATATTGTCTTATTATGACACCTTTGAAGTTGAGATCCTACTTGAAGCCCCAAGAGATGTGGCCATAATAATTTAAAAACTGAAAATGCCTATGATTATCTGTAACTCATGGAGTAGTTTTTCTGCTCTGGTGGGTACATTCTTCTTTGAACATCTGTTCCAAACTTTTGCAGTTCACCTTTAAAACATCTCAAATCCCTGGGTTTTGGGAAAAATGATTAATAGCTTCTATTGATTTTCAAAAGTTAGGAAACACAGTGGCATAAAGCCATGAATAGGAAACTTAAAATTTCCATTACACATTCACTTTTTAAAGGGTATTTGGAAATGACTTTCTAGGGGGAATGTCAGTGAGTTTCTAAATATTAAAAATCTTTTCATTTGATGCTTAAAGGTGACAAATGCTTGCATTTATATTTCTGTTCTTGCTTTCTGTGACACAGAACAACCTCTTCTGAATGTAACCAAGCCAGATAAGTTATTCAGAAGAATCTTTCAACTTTCATACTTGTACAATAGTTGGACTAAAGGGACCATATGCATGCATATTTGTTCATTATATGCATTATGTGTCTTTGTAAGCATATCTGTAAATGGTATCTTTCCACACATAGCCCTCTAATTTTTTGTAGTACTCCTGGGGGAATGGTAGAGCCTCTATTTTCAAAGGAAGGAAACAGGGCCTGCACTGCTTAGCAATGCTACAGATCAGGTACATGTTTGCAACTAGAACCTAAGTCTTCCAGTATCCTTGAAGTAATATAATTTCTGTGGGAATCCTGTGTTCTCTGAATTGTGGATTTGTTCTTAAAGAGTGATTTTCACACTTGCTTCTGTATGATCCCAGGGTTTTCATGGGTCTTGGAAAAATTTTGCTAACTTCCAGGCTTGCAATGTGTACCACTCTGTTAAGTATGCCTTTCGATCCCACACTCATGTTGTGTGGCCTTGGTATTTGTTTTTTTATATTTTCCTTAGAAGGCTTTTAATTCTTTCTCAACTAGAGCCTGGAGCAAACTGCAAACATTCTGTCATCTTTTGGTCTTTTGGGTGGAATTTTTCAAATACCTGTTCTACAGATTGAATCGTGTTCTGAGGGTTCTTACTTTATGCAGAGATGTCTTTCCACCTCCCTGCCTCAAGCAGTTTAAAACCATAGTGTAATGAGCTGAATGATGGCCCCAAAGATTTATCTGTGTCCTAATCCTTGGAACTTGTAAATGTTACCTTATTTGGAAAAAGGGCATTTGCAGAGGTGATTAAAAATCTTGAGATGGGGGAGAGGAGCCAAGATGGCTGAATAGGAACAGCTCTGGTCTACAGCTCCCAGCTTGAGCAACGCAGAAGACGGGTGATTTCTGCATTTCCATCTGAGGTACCAGGCTCATCTCACTAGGGAGTGCCAGACAGTGGGCGCAGGTCAGTGGGTGCGCGCACCATGCGCAAGCCAAAGCAGGGCGAGGCATTGCCTCACTCGGGAAGCACAGGGGGTCAGGGAGTTCCCTTTCCTAGTAAAAGAAAGGGGTGACAGAGGGCACCTGGGAGATCGGGTCACTCCCACCCGAATACTGCGCTTTTCCGAAGGGCTTATAAAAACGGTGCACCAAGAGATTGTGTCCCGCACCTGGCTCGGAGGGTCCTACGTCCACGGAGTCTCGCTGATTGCTAGCACAGCAGTCTGAGATCAAACTGCAAGGCGGCAGCGAGGCTGGGGGAGGGGCGCCCGCCATTGCCCAGGCTTGCTTAGGTAAACAAAGCAGCCAGGAAGCTGGAACTGGGTGGAGCCCAGCACAGCCCAAGGAGGCCTGCCTGCTTCTGTAGGCTCCACCTCTGGGGGCAGGGCACAGACAAACAAAAAGACAGCAGTAACCTCTGCAGACTTAAGTGTCCCTGTCTGACAGCTTTGAAGAGAGCAGTGGTTCTCCCAGCACGCAGCTGGAGATCTGAGGATGGGCAGACTGCCTCCTCAAGTGGGTCCCTGACCCCTGACCCCTGAGCAGCCTAACTGGGAGGCACCCCCTAGCAGGGGCAGACTGACACCTCACACGGCCAGGTATTCCAACAGACCTGCAGCTGAGGGTCCTGTCTGTTAGAAGGAAAACTAACAAACAGAAAGGACATCCACACCAAAAACCCATCTGTACATCACCATCATCAAAGACCAAAAGTAGATAAAACCACAAAGATGGGGAAAATACAGAGCAGAAAAACTGGAAACTCTGAAAAGCAGAGCGCCTCTCCTCCTCCAAAGGAATGCAGTTCCTCACCAGCAATGGAACAAACCTGGACGGAGAATGACTTTGACGAGCTGAGAGAAGAAGGCTTCAGAGGATCAAATTACTCTGAGCTACGGGAGGACATTCAAACCAAAGGCAAAGAAGTTGAAAACTTTGAAAAAGATTTAGAAGAATGTATAACTAGAATAACCAATACAGAGAAGTGCTTAAAGGAGCGGATGGAGCTGAAAACCAAGGCTCGAGAACTACGTGAAGAATGCAGAAGCCTCAGGAGCCGATGTGATCAACTGGAAGAAAGGGTATCAGCGATGGAAGATGAAATGAATGAAATGAAGCGAGAAGGGAAGTTTAGAGAAAAAAGAATAAAAAGAAACGAGCAAAGCTTCTAAGAAATATGGCACTATGTGAAAAGACCAAATCTACGTCTGATTGGCGTACCTGAAAGTGACGGGGAGAATGGAACCAAGTTGGAAAACACTCTGCAGGATATTATCCAGGAGAACTTCCCCAATCTAGCAAGGCAGGCCAACGTTCAGATTCAGGAAATACAGAGAATGCCACAAAGATACTCCTCGAGAAGAGCAACTCCAAGACACATAATTGTCAGATTCACCAAAGTTGAAATGAAGGAAAAAATGTTAAGGGCAGCCAGAGAGAAAGGTTGGCTCACCCCCAAAGGGAAGCCCATCAGACTAACAGCAGATCTCTCGGCAGAAACTCTACAAGCCAGAAGAGAGTGGGGGCCAATATTCAACATTCTAAAAGAAAAGAATTTTCAACCCAGAATTTCATATCCAGCCAAACTAAGCTTCATAAGTGAAGGAGAAATAAAATACTTTACAGACAAGCAAATGCTGAGAGATTTTGTCACCACCAGGCCTGCCCTAAAAGAGCTCCTGAAGGCAGCGCTAAACATGGAAAGGAAAAACTGGTACCAGCCACTGCAAAATCATGCCAAAATTTAAAGACCATCGAGACTAGGTAGAAACTGCATCAACTAACGAGCAAAATAACCAGCTAACATCATCATGACAGGATCAAATTCACACATAACAATATTAACTTTAAATGTAAATGGACTAAATGCTCCAATTAAAAGACACAGACTGGCAAATTGGATAAAGAGTCAAGACCCATCAGTGTGCTGTATTCAGGAAACCCATCTCACGGGCAGAGACACACATAGGCTCAAAATAAAGGGATGGAGGAAGATCTACCAAGCAAATGGAAAACAAAAAAAGGCAGGGGTTGCAATCCTAGTCTCTGATAAAACAGACTTTAAACCAACAAAGATCAAAAGAGACAAAGAAGGCCATTACATAATAGTAAAGGGATCAATTCAACAAGAAGAGCTAACTATCCTAAATATATATGCACCCAATACAGGAGCACCTAGATTCATAAAGCAAGTCCTGAGTGACCTACAAAGAGACTTAGACTCCCACACATTAATAATGGGAGACTTTAACAACCCACTGTCAACATTAGACTGATCAACGAGACAGAAAGTCAACAAGGATACCCAGGAATTGAACTCAGCTCTGCACCAAGCAGACCTAATAGACATCTACAGAACTCTCCACCCCAAATCAACAGAATATACATTTTTTTTCAGCACCACACCACACCTATTCCAAAATTTACCACATAGTTGGAAGTAAAGCTCTCCTCAGCAAATGTAAAAGAACAGAAATTATAACAAACTGTCTCTCAGACCACAGTGCAATCAAACTAGAACTGAGGATTAAGAATCTCACTCAAAACTGCTCAACTACATGGAAACTGAACAACCTGCTCCTGAATGACTACTGGGTAGATAACGAAATGAAGGCAGAAATAAAGATGTTCTTTGAAACCAGCAAGAACAAAGACACAACATATCAGAATCTCTGGGACGCATTCAAAGCAGTGTGTAGAGGGAAATTTATAGCACTAAATGCCCACAAGAGAAAGCAGGAAAGATCCAAAATTGACACCGTAACATCACAATTAAAAGAACTAGAAAAGCAAGAGCAAACACATTCAAAAGCTAGCAGAAGGCAAGAAATAACTAAAATCAGAGAAGAAATGAAAGAAATAGAGACACAAAAAACCCTTCAAAAAATTAATGAATCCAGGAGCTGGTTTTTTGAAAGGATCAACAAAATAGATAGACCACTAGCAAGACTAATAAAGAAAAAAAGAGAGAAGAATCAAATAGACGCCATAAAAAATGATAAAGGGGATATCACCACCGATCCCACAGAAATACAAATTACCATCAGAGAATACTACAAACATCTCTATGCAAATAAACTAGAAAATCTAGAAGAAATGGATAAATTCCTCGACACATACACTCTCCCAAGACTAAACCAGGAAGAAGTTGAATCTCTGAATAGACCAATAACAGGATCTGAAATTGTGGCAATAATCAATAGCTTACCAACCAAAAAGAGTCCAGGACCAGATGGATTCACAGCCGAATTCTACCAGAGGTACAAGGAGGAACTGGTACCATTCCTTCTGAAACTATTCCAATCAATAGAAAAAGAGGGAATCCTCCCTAACTCATTTTATGAGGCCAGCATCATCCTGATACCAAAGCTGGGCAGAGACACAACCAAAAAAGAGAATTTTAGACCAATATCCTTGATGAACATTGATGCAAAAATCCTCAATAAAATACTGGCAAACCGAATCCAGCAGTACATCAAAAAGCTTATTCACCATGATCAAGTGGGCTTCATCCCTGGGATGCAAGGCTGGTTCAACATACGCAAATCAATAAATGTAATCCAGCATATAAACAGAACCAAAGACAAAAACCACATGATTATCTCAATAGATGTAGAAAAGGCCTTTGACAAAATTCAACAACCCTTCATGCTAAAAACTCTCAATAAATTAGGTATTGATGGGATGTATTTCAAAATAATAGGAGCTATCTATGACAAACCCACAGCCAATATCATACTGAATGGGCAAAAACTGGAAACCTTCCCTTTGAAAACTGGCACGAGACAGGGATGCCCTCTCTCACCACTCCTGTTCAACATAGTGTTGGAAGTTCTGGCCAGGGCAATCAGGCAGGAGAAGGAAATAAAGGGTATTCAATTAGGAAAAGAGGAAGTCAAATTGTCTCTGTTTGCAGATGACATGATTGTATATCTAGAAAACCCCATTGTCTCAGCCCAAAATCTCCTTAAGCTGATAAGCAACTTCAGCAAAGTCTCAGGATACAAAATCAATGTACAAAAATCACAAGCATTCTTATACACCAACAACAGACAAACAGAGAGCCAAATCATGAGTGAACTCCCATTCACAATTGCTTCAAAGAGAATAAAATAACTAGGAATCCAACTTACAAGGGATGTGAAGCACCTCTTCAAGGAGAACTACAAACCACTGCTCAAGGAAATAAAAGAGGATACAAACAAATGGAAGAACATTCCATGCTCATGGGTAGGAAGAATCAATATCGTGAAAATGGCCATACTGCCCAAGGTAATTTACAGATTCAATGCCATCCCCATCAAGCTACCAATGACTTTCTTCACAGAATTGGAAAAAACGACTTTAAAGTTCATATGGAACCAAAAAAGAGCCTGCATCACCAAGTCAATCCTAAGCCAAATGAACAAAGCTGGAGGCATCACACTACCTGACTTCAAACTATCTTACAAGGCTACAGTAACCAAAACAGCATGGTACTGGTACCAAAATAGAGATATAGATCAATGGAACAGAACAGAGCCCTCAGAAATAACGCCACATATCTACAACTATCTGATATTTGACAAACCTGAGAAAAACAAGCAATGGGGAAAGGATTCCCTATTTAATAAATGGTGCTGGGAAAACTGGCTAGCCATATGTAGAAAGCTGAAACTGGATCCCTTCCTTACACCTTATACAAAAATCAATTCAAGATGGATTAAAGACTTAAACATTCTACCTAAAACCATAAAAACCCTAGAAGAAAACCTAGGCATTACCATTCAGGACATAGACATGGGCAAGGACTTCATGTCTAAAACACCAAAAGCAATGGCAACAAAAGCCAAAATTGACAAATGGGATCTAATTAAACTAAAGAGCTTCTGCACAGCAAAAGAAACTACCATCAGAGTGAACAGGCAACCTACAAAATGGGAGAAAATTTTCACAACCTACTCATCTGACAAAGGGCTAATATCCAGAATCTACAATGAACTCAAACAAATTTACAAGAAAAAAACAAACAACCCCATCAAAAAGTGGGCAAAGGACATAAACAGACACTTCTCAAAAGAAGACATCTATGCAGCCAAAAAACACATGAAAAAATGTTCATCATCACTGGCCATCAGAGAAATGCAAATCAAAACCACAATGAGATACCATCTCACACCAGTTAGAATGGCAATCATTAAAAAGTCAGGAAACAACAGGTGCTGGAGAGGATGTGGAGAAATAGGAACACTTTTACACTGTTGGTGGGACTGTAAACTAGTTCAACCACTGTGGAAGTTAGTGTGGTGATTCCTCAGGGACCTAGAACTGGAAATACCATTTGACCCAGCCATCCCATTACTGGGTATATACCCAAAGGACTATAAACCATGCTGCTATAAGGACACGTGCATGCACATGTTTACTGCAGCATTATTCACAATGGCAAAGACTTGGAACCAACCCAAATGTCCAACAATGATAGACTGGATTAAGAAAATGTGGCACATATACACCATGGAATACTATGCAGCCATAAAAAATGATGAGTTCAGGTCCTTTGTAGGGACATGGGTGAAACTGGAAATCATCATTCTCAGTAAACTATCGCAAGAACAAAAAACCAAACACCGCATATTCTCACTCATAGGTGGGAATTGAACAATGAGAACACATGGACACAAGAAGGGGAACATCACACTCTGGGGACTGTTGTGGGGTGGGGGGAGGGGGGAGGGATAGCATTGGGAGATATACCTAATGCTAGATTACGAGTTAGTGGGTGCAGTGCACCAGCATGGCACATGTATACATATGTAACTAACCTGCACATTGTGCACATGTACCCTAAAACTTAAAGCATAATAATAATAAATAATAAATAAAAATAAAAACAAACAAAAATCTTGAGATGATGTGGTCATCTTAAATCATTTGGTAGGCCCTAAATCAATGGACAGGTGTCTATATATCCTTTTAAGATAGAATCAGAGGGAGATTTGAGACAGACTGAAAAGTGGAAGGCTTAGATACTCAGAGGAGAAGGCAATATGAAGAGGAGGCAAAGATTAGCGTGGTCTACAAGCCAAGGAACACCTGCAGGCACCAGAAGTTGCAAAAGGCTAAGAATAAATTCTCTCTTAGAGCCTCCAGAGAGAGTGAGGCTTGGCTGACACCTTGATTTTTGGACTTGTAGCTTCTAGAACTGTAAGGTAATATGTATCTGTTGTTTTAAGCTACCAAATTCATGGTATTTTGTCACAGCAGCCACAGGAGACTAATACATATGGATGCAGCCTCCTCTTTATGTTTAAGACCCCACCCCTCAGCCCTTAGAGCTCCTATTCAGGCATAATGTCACTTTTCCCACCTTTCAGTTTAATTCTAGGAGTGCCATTTACCTAGAATAAAATCTCCCTGGAATTGAGCAACCTGCTGCCCTTCCACTCTGGATTTATGTTTCCCCTAGTTTCAACAAACAAAAAAATTTTTAGTTTTGTTTTGCATTCAGTTATGTGCTTAAGATAATTTTTGTTATATTTTATCCAGAATTTCTATGGCCATTTGTGATGAGTAACTGATTTTCATTAAATCAGTCTGCTAGTTTTTTGGAATGAGATGTCCCCTTAAATATTTTTTTGAAGGAGACTATTTAGAAGCCCATATGATTATTGTGTGAACATATAACTATTCCTGTATATGTCTTTGACTATTTGATATTTCTTAACTAACTTAAAAGTGACAGTGAAATCTCTTAGTAGTCTTGATTTCCAAAGGAAATGTGACTTGACATTTCCTCTGTGATGTGAAGAAGAAATAGTGTTAGCAAGGTGGTCCATTAATTATGCTGGTATCTTAATTCCACAGCATTCAAGGGCAGTGAAGTGGAAATCATAATCGTTTTGATAAAAGCTTAAATTAGAGTTATGTCACGAAGGTGGGGATGGACTAGCTGAAAAGTCAGCAGGAGAGAAGAGAGGAGTTGCAAAACAAATGAGATGATTTAAAGTGTATAAACTACAGCCAGATCCTTTGACTATTTTCTGCAGAGTTAATTCAAAGGTGCCAAGAAAGTCTCTTTTTATCTGAAAGTTTTTATTCTGGCTTGTTCAGTCAGTGTTTTCATTCTTTTATTTGCAATAAGACCTAAATTACAGTTATACTGGAGAAAAGTTGACTCAATGACAGTATAATTCACACTAAGGTGATTATGACTGTTATCATAGAGCTTCAGGTGCCTGAAATAGGGGTGGGGAAGTGAGCCAATATAAATGCTGCTTTGCAGTGTCCTGATTTCTGTTCTTGGATTTTCCTTAATGTATTCATTATTTATTGCTGAGTGCTAAATTGGCCAAAATGTCATTGCTTAAAACAGCAACACTTTTAAAATCTCATTGTTTCTGTGAGTCATGAATCTGGTCACAGCTTAATTGGGTCTTTGGCTTCATAGTCTCTCTCAGATGGCTGTAATCAAGGTGTTTACCCAGGTTCTGTGGTCTCATGTGAAGGCTCAATAGGGGAAGAATCTGTTTTTAAGCTCACTCACATAGTTGTTGGCAGAATTCAGTTTACTTGAGGGCTGTTGGACTGAAGGCCTCAGTTCCTCACTGGCTCGTTGGCTGGAAGTCACCATTTGTCCCTTGCTAAGTGGCTCTTTTCATCAGGGAAAGTATGTAAGAACAGCTGGAGAGAGAATGTCAGCATGGTGGAAGTCTCAGCCTTTTATAACTTAATCTCAGAAATGACATTACATCACTTTTGCCATATTCTTTTTATTATTAGAAACAAGTCACTAGGTCCAGTCCACATTCAATGAAAGGTGATTACACAGGGTGTGCATATTAGGAAGTAAGAATCACTGGGCACCGTTTTAGAACACTGACTACTATGAATATTGAGTGGTACTCTCTTAGAGAGCAACAACATTGTCTAATTCATCTTTGTGTTGTCACAGAACCCGGGCATATTAAAATATCCATAATAGAAAAAAATGGCTGATTATTGCCTTAATGCTATCTTTTTTTATACTGAGACTAGTTCATTCATACCTCACTGGACACCATTTCTCAGTGTCCTTTGCTAATTTCTCCTCCTATTTTGGATCTCTATAAATTGGAATGTCCTTGGGCATAGGATTCTGATCTCTACTTCTCACTGCTTTGATAATCTCATCTACTTTTAGGCACTAAATACCATTAATGACTCCCAGATAGATATATCCTGCCCTGACTTTGCATCTGGACCACAAAACTTATTCATTTACTTTTTTCAGTTCTTTGCTTAATATCTCTTATTGGAAAGGTCTTCCATGATCACAATGTCCAAAACAAAATAACACCTCTACCCTGATACTGTCACTCTCTTTCTCCTTAACCTTTATTTTTCTTCAAGGTGCTTTTCATTGGTATCTATCTATCTATCTATCTATCTATCTATCTATCTATCTATCCATCCACCTATCTACCTACCTACCTACCTACCTACCTATCTACCTACCTACCTATTCACTAGAAATAAGCTCCATGAGAGTTAGGACATTGCTCACCATTATATCCTCACTGCTTAAAATATTGTCTAGCACAAAGTAGGCTCTCAATAAATATTTATTGAATGAATGAATGGTAAAATATTGTAGCTATTGTTGGTTGTCTTTTCAGGTAATAATATAAACTTCTTATCTAATTGTAGACAGAGTGAGTAAAAGGGCATACAGGCATCTATTGGAGGTACAGGATAGCTGGGATAAAGAGGGAAAGGAACAGGATTGAGAATTCTATGGACAGAAGGAAAAGCTGTTGGCTTTTGTAGTTGAGATTCTTGGTTGTCATCTACTGCAGAAACTGAGTTTGCAGACAAGAGCTACTTTCTCCTGGGCTGGAGTTGCAGGACAACTGTAGGGAATGGAGACACTGACTAGAGGTGGAAGCAGTTTGGAATAAAGTTAAAATTGCTCACAACCACGTATCCAGAAGTGGATCTGGGCCAGGACACATTTGAATTTAGGAATGTAGGAAATGAGTATCTGGAACTCAGAACTTTCCAAATAAGACTTGTTTTCTTCAAAGCTGGATAGATATGGTCTCTATATATCTGTTTACCTATGATATTGTGTTTGCAGAGTCTGCAATATGTATATAATTACCACTGCTTTCTGAAACCTGAATCTCCATTTCTCATACAGCACTTACCACACTTTACATTACATTACACTGATATACCATATTTTATATATATATATATAGCTAATGCAATAACTAAACTATTTCCTGAATGCTTCTGATTTAAATTCCCTTATTGACAAATCAGTTTCTCTCTTCTTATCCCATCCATTATTAAGTTCCCAAGGAAAGGAAAGGAAAATTACGTCTTGGGAAAAAGGGGAATATAATGTTAAAAATGTCCTATCAGACAGAATGATGGAAGAAAAGCTAGCTTATTTCATCCTGGTCTTGGAAGAAGTGCAAAGACATTAGGGATGGGGCAGTGAGGTCAGATATAGGTCCTGATTTATCTTTTTCAGGTTGGAACCCTTAGGTGTAAGGGGCCTGGTGGGGAGGCTAGAAGCATCCAAAAGGGATTTATGCAATGGGAATGAGCTATTGGCACACTTCCCAGCTTCAGGGAAGCCTGTTACTGGCCATGTTCAACACGCCTTGGAGGTGGCAGAACACCACTGGCAGGGGTACGGGCTATATAGATGAGCCCAAGCTGAGGCTCCTGGATCCCTGCAGCTTGTGAAGAGCATGCAAGGGAACAAAAAGCCCACACGCCCTGCTTAGAGAGTTTCTTGTTTCAGCAAGAAATGCTTGCTGAAACAGCAGAGGCCTAGAGTTGGAACAAAGAGGCTATAGGTGGGCACATTTCATGGCTAGAGGAAAAGGATAGGAACAAGGACTCTACAGGTGAATAGGTGCCACTACAATGTGCAGATGGTCAGAAGGGTCTAATTATGTCTCAGTGATCCAGGAGGCAGGGTAGACCAGTACTCTGAAACAGAGACTAGCAATGATCTGAAGGACATGGGAAAAATCTGAGGCCACCACCTCTCATCTGCCTCCCTGAAGACACATGAGCCCCACACCCTGTACTATGTAGGGGAGGAGAAGTGCACCTAATATTGAAGCATTTGCTTGAAAGAGAACAAGTCATCTAAAGAGACAAATTAAACCTGAAGAGATCCATACACTCTAAATTATCAAGTTTATTGGGTTTTTTTTTCATGTTATCCAGATGGGTGGGAGACTTGTGGGAGTCATCAATTCAGTCAGAGAAAGTAAAGAATCTCTATTGTCTTTGGATATCTGAGTGTAATTTGTGTTACGTGTGTAATCATGCTTACTTATGAATATGTCTTATCTCCTAGTTCCTTCTTGTAGCATCCCACCTCTCAGAACAGAAGCTCCTGAGGGTAATAAAGGTAGAATATGGCTAGCACACTTTTCTGTATGTACCTGAAGCATTTTACATTAACCATCTCATTCAATCATCCCACTGTGTGATGTGGTTGTTTTCTGATTTCACAGACCAAGACATGAGGCTAGGAGGGTGAAGTAACTTTCTGAGTCACACAGATAATCATTTTCAGAGCCAGAATTAAAATCAAGATTCTGTCAAATTCAAGATATTCTTGCTCATTTTTGCATCTTCTCTCATGTCTGTACCATTTTTGCATTTTGCACCCTGCCTGTAGGTAGAGGACATTATGTTCAACTGGAAATAAGTTGGTAGCAACAAAGTGCTATAAGCAAGGAAGAGGAGAATGTAGAAGAATTCCAAGGGGTCTCATATTCTTCTGTGATATCAGTGAAGCAGAAGTGAAGAGGTACAAGTCCTCAGATAACATTCTGTAAATTGTGTCTGAACAAACTCTGCCTCCTGCCATCTGACCTTTTCTCACTTCCCATCAGCCAGTCAGGGTGTGTGGTCCTGAGTCTATTTAAATGCCCAGTGGCTAAGAAGTCATATTAACATGACAACTTTTTTTTATTCCTTTCAAGTAAAGCATTAGCACATATCCTGATGGCTCTAGAGTTCAGAACAAAGATATTTGATCTGTGTGAGCTGTAATATCGTCCTGGCAAATCGCAGAGCAAGGGAGAACCTATGATATTTTGTCGATTATTACCAAATGCCAAAATGGGAAGAGAGGATCATTTCTAATAAAAGAATTGACTGTGCAATTTATATCAAGGCACATCCAATTAATACCTAATCCTTAAATGTATGTAATTGGATTTACATATTCACATTTTTGCAATTAGGAGTTGGTATTTAAATGGCATGCCTCCCATTTCCCATTTTCTTTATCACAAAACCCTAGAGGGGCTTTTTGTTGTAGAATTACAGAATCAAGGCAAATACCTTAGCCTGATAACCTCTAATCATGTGAAAAGAAAGGCTTTAGTTCACACAGACCTGTTAGAAGTGTAGAAATATTCATGGTTGATTTAAATGATATTCAGCACTGACATTCACAATTTATGTTTCACAATGCTCATTTATAATTGCAATCGGTTTCCTTTTAATTTATAATGTCGGAAATACTTAGGCATAAAGGTTAAGTTCTTCTCTTTAGAATCTTAGGAGTGAATAAAATTCTTCCTTTAAAGCACTTTATGATGGAGAGTGCTGTAACTGTTTGACCACCAAGATACCATTAAGTAAATTACAGATACCTGGGTATCATTTAGTTCAGTGAAGCAGAAATTTACCCTAGGTGTCTGAAAGAACTGAAGTTTGACTGCTAATTTATTCAAACTGCAGGTGATGTGCTCTGTGGTAAGATATTCCAGAAATAGGTCAAACAAATTTGTAGTAATGCCATGTTAATAAGCTCATAATGAAGGATTTAGATTGATACTGTACACTTTCACCCTTGAAAAAGCATGCGTGATTCAGATTATACAACAAGCCACTGAGTTGGAGAGCATCCTTGGTTGAATCTCCCTCTAAGGATCACCTGAATGCTTAGAGATTGAGGAAGACTTACCCAGAAATTAAAACATACATATTGTAAGAGGCAAGATTCTAAAAGAGTACCAATATCTCATACTGGAGAGCACGAGGGAATGTGAACAATCTCTTACAGTTGGGGACTATGTATCAAAAGCCTTAAGAAGGTGCTTTCTCTTTGACACAGAACATTCCACTTAGAGAAAATTATCAGAAGCAATTATCTATTATTGCTTCCTTCTATAATTTATAGATTTATAATCTATAAATTAAAGATAATTTTACTAGACTATTTATAGCAGTCAGCAAACTGTCCAAAATCCCCAGTAATAGAGGATTTATTAAATATGTTAAATTAGAAAAATGGAATCCATGTAGTAACGGAAAATGATGATGTAGCCACATAAAATAGATTCATAAGATACTTTTAATTGAAAATCATTTAAATAGTGTATACAATGGTACATGTCACATTTGTAGAATACATATACTTACATATAGATGGATAGATAGATAGTCCAGGATGGTAAACTGAAGATTGACAGTGGCTGTCATTTTGGGGAGATAGGAGTATTTGTGATTTTCCCCTTTATTTTATAATTTGTCTATATAAACAACCCTTATGAAGGTAAACTATGAAATGGACATGGTATTATATCATAGCAAATCTTATGTTATGTGAGAAGGATGTGCTATTTTCTACAATAATTTTTGAGAAGTGCAGCTACATGTTGTTAAAACATATATTGTGTTTTAACAACATGTTTTATATTAAATGTTTTCATGATTTTTCTCTTGCTTTTCTACAGAATAGAGAGCTGGAGTTTTATCTTATTTAAAAAGTTGTTTTGTAGTTGAATAGAATACATTCTCTGTTAATTCTGTACTATTTGTTCTGAATGACAGTTTAATTTTGACAACGATGTATTATTTTGCCACCCCGGTAACAATTATTGATGGATATGATTAGCAGGCTGGCCGTTTTAGTTTTAAAATGCCTCTGAGACATTTCCTTTTGGTTTTATGAAAGGGCATTGCATCAATGACTACAACAAAATTAATAATTCAGAGCTTCAAATGACCAATTCATACAGATAAATCTGTTGGTGTCTTGTTTTGCTGATAATATAAGTTTTCACGAGTTGCTTTTCTATCAACTGACAAAAATGCTAATCGTTTTAGTATCTATATGGTACAACCTTACTTATTTTATTCAGATGATGTAAAATCAATTTAATTATGCCCCTCAGAAGAATTCTGAAAATGGTATTTGTTCAGTATATGCTAATGCAAAACATTTGAATTTGAATTCTAACTTACTTTTAAACGCAGTATTCTATTATAGAAGACCTTGATTTTTCTCTTACTTTTTCTGTAGAAAAGAAAGCTGGAGTTTTATCTTATTTAAAGAGTTGTTTTGTGGTTGAAATACATGAGATCGTTTCACTGGTTTGAATTGAAAAAATTTTGCTTTTCTTCTAGAGAACAAAGGTAGTCTTACTGGTATCTTCCCCAACCTAAAAACATATCATTCACTTTAAAACTGCTGTTCAGCTGAGTAACAGCGACCTTGCCTTTAGGTTATGTTTTCTTTCTTGCTAAAGTGAGAAATGCTGCTAATTGAATCTAACCTGAAAACCAGCACTTAGAATCTGTACTTTAATTACTGACACCACAGTGTAGGGTACCAACCTGGCTTGGCCAATTTTATTACTTGTTCTGTCAAGTTCTGTAGAAGCCACAGAAGAATGAATAATCTCTTTTTCTATCTTTGAATGAGGTGCCAAAATAATACACTCTAGAAATACCAGAAGGAAGATACAAATATATTTTATTTATTTACAGCATATACTCCAACAATAAGCAAGAATGGACTGGAGGCAGCTTATGATAAAAATACAGATATAAAGTTTACTCAGGACAGTAAAGAATGATCAAGAGAAAATCAGAAGCCATAAGGAAGAAAGGTAGAACAAAGACTGAGATAATTCCCTAAATTAAATATTGTATTTGTCTGTATCTTTCTAACATTCAATATCAAAAAAAAAAAAAAGCATGACAAGTTCACGATCAAAGAGAAAGATTGTGAATTTTCAGAAGACAGAAACTTTTTCTTGTAGCTAAATCTAGGAAACATTTATAGATTGTGGATCCATATTTAAAGGAGTTTGAATAGTATAGGTGGCCCAATTCAAATGCTACCTTCTTCATGAAGTCTTTTCATTCCTCTCTTCTCTTTTTCCAGTTATACTTGTTTTCTTTTTCTCCTTTGTTTTCCTATGGCACTTTGTTGGTAGCAGTCTTAAAGCATTTATAACATATTACCTTATTGTTATTTGTGATTGCATTTTGTCATCCTATTAGACTGTGATTTATCCTTTTATCCCCTGCAGTGCCTTTGTTCATAAAAGTAACATTTTTATGTGCTTTTATCACATGGCAGGCATGGGGCAACGCTTTTATGTACTTTGCTTTATTTTATCCCCACAATCCCCTCTGAGGCCATAATCTCCACAATACTGTTATTGTCTTTGTTTTACCAATAAGCAAACTATAGTTTGAAGATACAGGAACTAATATGCCCCAAATGTCACATCTGGTAACTGGCAGATTAGAACCCATGTCTGATTGATTACAAAGGGATTGTTTTTAACCACTATGTCCAATTTTGGGCAATGTTCTGCCAGTGTTTTTTTAAATTTAAATTTTTGTTTTTATATATTTTTTAACAGAAATATTCTGTCGAAATATTCTGAATGTAGATTAAAAAATTATATTTTTCCTTCCTGACCCTCAAATTAAGGGATTGAGGGAGGCGTTTGTATGAAGTACTTTGGATGGAGGGGTTTGGATGAAGAAGTCAGGATGGCAACCCATCCTGTATTAACCCCATACATCCTGGTTTTTGGAACTCGTTAGAAAGCCTTGAAATGCAGAAATCAGGGTCATTCTTTCATATTAGTCAGGTTATTGTTTGCTTCAGTAACAAACAACCCTGAAATCTTACTGATTACAACAAAGGTTTACTTCATGCTCATTTTGAATGTCTGTCGCAAGTCGGCTGTGATTCTGCTTATTGTTGTCATCATTCTTCTACTCTTGCTGATAGGGAAGCCCTGTTTGGGTTATTGACAGCCCATTGCCAAGGGAAATAAGACATGGCAAACATGAGCTGGCTCTAAAAGTTCTTACTTGGAATTGACATGTATCACTTCTGCCTACATTTCACTGGCCCATGAAGGTCATGTTGACATTGTTGGGTTCAACAAAGTGGAGATGTACAAACTTCCTGCAAGAGGGGGCAACATAAATCAATTAATGTCAAATTTAATGTCACCAGAACAAGGATGCATTCCAAAAGGGAGGTAGATTCCAGGGAGGGGTGGCAAGTATTTTTCACAATCCACCACATTTTTCATTGCCTGGCTATGAAACATCTAGTTATTCTAGCTTAAGGTTTTGTTACAAATAGTGACAAAGCCATGACCATTCTGACTGGGAGAAGGTAGGACCTAAAATAAAGTAATAAATGTTAGTTACACTAATGAGGGTGAAAGAATAAGCTGAGGTCATTTTTTATTATTTCTCCATGGAGAAACAATGTACAAGGTCTGTACATTGGAGTAAGTCAGACTCGGGTTCAAATCCCAACTTTACCTTAGACTTACCTGTGAGACCTTGGGCAAGTCTCTGAGCCTATTTTCTCAGATAATTGCAACTGCCCTTAATAACTAGCAACAATTAATATTACAATATTTTTCCCAATAAATAATTATCACACCTCTTGTTATAATTTAGCTTATTTCTTTGTGCTCAGTACTCGGATATATCACATGGTAGCTTTTTACATATTTAGAAAGTGTTATTAAGTCCTTACCTCCTGCCCTTACCTTCCCAGGTTTTTCAAACCATAACACATTAACCTGTTTTCCTTCACAGACCATGAACCCTAATTATTATACTCACTTACCTGTACATTTCTTATTCTTTCAACAAGTAGACCAAAGGCAAGCCTAACATACCTAGGCAGATATGAGGAATATTAAATACAGTAGGGAGATTGCCTTCTTGCTCTGAGGCTGATATGTAAGTGTATCAGATTTCATTAACCATATTGTGCTGCTGAATTATTATTCTTTCAATGTGCCGGTTAACTCAAGGTGGGAGGGAGCAAAAGTGAACAGAGCAGCCAAGAGCTAGAAATTACCTCCTTATTGGCAATCTCCTTCTCCCCAGGGCAGGAGTCCTCTGTGCCATTTATTCTGTGTTGAAACCAATTTGCTTCTTGTTCCCCCTTCAAGAAGCAACAAAGGCCTAAAACAGCGGCTATTGCCTGATAACCTGGAGATTTGCCTGTCTTGCTTGGTAAAATCTCCTCTTTGTAGATTATTGATGCATTTCATAACGAGAGTCACACATTGACTTTTCAGTGAGATAGATGTTATCTAGAACCAGTTCTGCTTTGATTGAAACAACCTAATTCCAATGGATAAGAAATGGTATATCTTAATGCCAGTGGATTATACATTGTAATAAGGAACATTTGTTTATTCTGATATACATCACTATGTTTATTGGGCAGATGGAAAAAATAATGCACCTGGAAGCAGACCATTTCTTTTATTGGCTGAATAAATGAATGAGATTGTGCTTCTGGGCTTGCTTTGATATCTGGGGTCACTAGGCTTACAATTTAAGATTGGGAGGGGGAGGTGGGAGGGACAAATTAGCTCAAAGATTTTGCAGACCAGTGAGCTAGGGAAATTGGGCAAAACTAAAAATCTAAGTGGAAAAGAACAACAAGGAACCATCCCATGTCTGACTGAGCATCAGATATAGGCAAGGTGATGTTTTAGTGTCCATCTTTTATGTGGATTTTCTGTCTATAGAGAGTGGGAATAAGGAATTCCCTCTGGGGAAGCAGGAGCAGTTGGTAACTTTGGTTTATGAATTGTCTTTGGGCTGGTTTCTGGAAGCCACAGAATTGGCAAATTCTACTGTTTACATGGCAGGCACTAAAATTGCCTTTTCAAGAAGACCCCATTGGTAAGATGCTCCTTATCTCTTAGAAAGGTTTCAACTGTTTGAGGCTTCTTAGTAGTTACCAAAGTGATCATTGGGTAGTGGGGAAACCTTTGACAAGTTTTCTAAAAGGCTGCAAAGTGTGAATGAAAATAGACACACTTAATGTTTGTGAGCTAATTGATTTAGTTGGTTTAACTAGTAGTTCCAAGCTCAGCTGAAATTTGAAGCTTTAAAAAAATTCGGTTACCAAGACCCCATCTGGGACCCAAAGAATCAGAAATTCTGGGACTGAAATGAGTTGAAATTTGTATTTAAAAACTTCCTGGGTAATGCTGACATAGAATTTTTATAGAAAGTTTGGGAACCACTGGGTTAGAGCATGTGGCTACTGAAGTTTGCTCTGCTTACTGATCACTTTATTATGCATAGAGAAAAAACCAGCAAATCAGCATATGATACTCCAATGAAATGGTTTTCTATGTATGGATGAACACCAGTTACAACTAAAAGCAAAAGCACTCTAAAAGCAAATAGATAGTTTTTGATCTTTGATTTATATTGGGGAAAATAATTATTTGTGAGCAGGGCATTTTGGTTTAGTTGGAAATATTATTGAATGTCAGTGATCTGCCAGGCACTGTGCTAGTTTCTGTGGCATATAAACGTAACATTTGATTTTTCTTTTTTTATAGAGTTTACCATTCAGTGAGTATTTTGAGAAGGTCTAATTATGCTTTTGGAATATTATGAAGGTGGTGAGGTGATGAAGTCAAGACCAATTCTCCTTGCATAGAATAGGAAAAATTGCCTTATTTGGGTGAGTGAAAGGAAAAGGGATCAAAAATACATTTGCTAACATACTTATGGTAGACAATGTTGATACCCTAAGCCAGGACCTACTCATCCCTTCCCCTTTGTCATCCTCCCATTACAGGGCCTGGAGAGGTGGATCCCAGTATCCTTTGCTGCTGAATGTAGCCATGTGACCCAGTTCCAGCCAGAGAGAATTAAAGATAACTTTTCTGAAAGTTTCTGGGAAAGAGCTTTCTTTTCTAGGTCAGAAATAAGTACATTAATTGCCCTCCACTCCCACTGCCTCATGCTTCTTACCTTTGGGGATATGCTACTTAGAGGTGGTGTGGCTATCTTGCTGCCATGAGAAAATATTAAGAGAACACCAGAATCACCAACTCAGACTTGACACTTAGGTCACTGAATGGGGGGTCCCAAATTGCCTACTTTCTCTGGAAGAAAAATGAATCTTCTATTGCTTAAGGCAGTATTTGTTGGATATTTTCACTTGCAGTCAAGAGAATTCCTAACAGATAGAGTACAATGCAGGGCATCTTTCAACTGTTGGCTTTATTTTAACTTTCAAGGTTTTAGAAAAGAAGTCTTTAACTTCCTTTTCTGACGCAGAATATAGAAAAAGATAGCATCGTAGTGGAATGAGTTGTTTTTGCCTGTTCAATTTTCATTTTTGTTTCTTGGTGATATTATCCTGATTGTCTTGGGAGGTGCCCCTTGCCCATCCACAGTCCTTAGGGTTTAGTGGTGCTGACCCTGCTCCTGACAACAGGATTGGCTATGAGTCTTGGGCTTGAGACATCAGAATATTGCACCCCTGTGATATTGTGACTGGTTCATGGATGGGATGGAGAAACAGAGTAGAGATAGGATGTGGATGGGAATGGTCAAGCCCTTTGACTGAGAAATGCCTGAAACCTGGTTTAAATCAAGAGGTTAGTATATGAGCAGATATTTTAATAGCAAGAGTAGTTTGAGTTAAATTTCTGACACTAGCAACTAAAATAGAGCTAGTCACTACAGACACAGCATTTTCATTATCAATGGTGTCTGTATTGGAATAGCCTAAGAGAGGCTGGCCACACATCAGGGATGCTGTAAAGGGAATTCCAGTTTTCAGTAGAAAGTTAAAGTAAATGACCACTAACATCTCTTTAAAGTCTCAAACTATATAATACTATAAAATCTTGGGCCTGTAGGGACATTATGACAATGAAAGGAGTGTGGTACCTTAAGGGATGATGCTTTTGCATAGAATATGCCTAATAAATGCCAGATGAATTGAAGGGAATGTGGGGATTTTGGCATCATGGAAATAGCACCAAGACTATTAGGCTAGAAATATAGATTCTGATCCCATTTCAGAATTGGATCTTATTTTAGACCCTGGCTAGCTAAATTGATCTGAGCAAGTCCTTAACCATTGGTGACTCAGTAAACTCATTTGTAAAATGGGAATATAATTTCATGGTACAGGAAACCTTGGGAGAAGAGAAATGGAGTGGCAGAGGAACAATGTTTATCATGGATCTACTATGGATCACGCATTGTGCTAGATGCTTTACTTTTAATTATTTTATTTAGTTGTCACAACAATGAAATGAAGACCATGTTGTCATGTCAATTTTTTAGATGAAATGATGGAAATTTAGGTGAGCTGATTAAATTTACCAGAAGTTATACAGTCAATGAATGGATTAAATATTTAAATATTTGATGCTATTTAAAGATCAAAGGCTGAGTTCATATTTACCATACCAAATTAGTTCAAACCCTTTATTTTACAGACATGCATATAAGCCTAAACAATGAATGGGTGACAAATCTGGTACTAGCCCTCATGTTTCCAGCCTCTGATATACCCTGCCAATGGTCTGCATTGCCTGTCTCATTAGAATTATTGTTTGAAATCAGACAATAGCTAGGAAAGTGATTTGAAGGGTGTAATGTGCTATACAACATTATTTGGAACCCTGAGCTTGAAAGCTCTCAGTTCTCTTTCTCTTTTTTTTCTCTCCTTCATTAGTCTTTGCTTCTCTCTGTGGGCTTTTTTTTCCTCCTTTCAGACTGGTTATCTCAACAGAATGGCACTATTACAGTAAATCTTGGACTTAAATCATCTCAACTTTCCCCCGGAAGAATTGGCTTAAATGAATTTAGAGGCTTATTTGCCTCACATGTCAAGAACTACAGATAGAGGCAACTGCTAGAGTTGACTTGGTAGCTTTAACATGCCAAGAAAGCATTTCAGTGGTTCATTCCTAAATTTGTTTAAGCTGGTGATGGTTTTTTTTGATACTTGAAGGTGAAATGATATTGCAGCTGATTCAAGTTGAACAACTGAAGGACAACTGAAGTCATTGTTCCAGGGCTGGGCAATTGTCTTACATCAGGTTAGACAGAGGCCTTCCCTGGGAATATTTGAAAGTGAACTGGTAAAGAAAAATTTTCCTTCCTATCACATGGCTACCCCTAACTGCAAGAGAGGTTAACAAATTAGCATTTAGCTTTCCAGGCTTGAGGGCAGAAGAAGATGTTGTAGCTATTATTAATACCTACTATTATGCAGTTCTCCTCTACTTCCAGGAACACTTCCTTACTCCATGAAGTTAAGTGTGGTCATGTGGGTAGTTTTTCCCAACATGGCATATGTAACATGTGTCATTTTCAAGCCAAAGCATTCAGGATCCATTGTGTGGGTCTCTATGCTCCCTTCCACACCACAGCAAGCACAGAAACGAAGCTTACTACGAGGGCGCTGCCAAACTGAAGCAGCCTCTATCACTGAGCCCTAGTATGGGAGACAGCTGTGCTGGAGAGTTGCCTGGCCTTCTAGTGGACTTGCATAGGTGGGAAATAAAGCTCTTTTAAAAAAAATCATTAAAATTCGAGGTTGTTATCACAGCATAACTTCGCCTATCCTGAGTAATAGAGAAAGCAAAGGAAAGGAAAATGGGGTTGGAAATAAGAATTGTGTGAGCCAACTTGCAGCATCTGCCAAAGGTGAGTCATGAGATTCTTAATTAAACCACATGTTAGAGTGAAGTGGAGGTGGAGGAATGGGTAAAAGAGACAGGACTACAAAGATATTGCTGTGAGCCTAGTTACTACTATACACTTGGGTCTATGGCAATTGTCAAATGAATTCTCCTTTACATCCATTAAGAAAATATTAAGCATCATTCCATGTACTTTTTAGGTACTGCAGACATCATGGTCAATAAGGTAGATATGGCCCTTGCTTTCATAGATTTTCCAGCAGGGAATCCTGCTAGTGTCTCAAAAATGGAAAGTGCTGTTGGAACCTGTAACAGATGGATTCATAATAGGCTATGAGATCAGGGAATGCTTTCTAGAGGAAAAGGTATTTAAATTGAAGCCCAATAAATGAGAATGTATTAGCTAGTTTCATAGACAGTAATGGGAGATTTCTCTAGGTAGAGAAAATAGTAAGGGCTCAGCCCCAACTGAGAAACTTCATGGCATATGCAGGAACCATGGGCAGACTCGTAGGGACAGAACATAGAAAATTCAGGGAAAAGAATGATGCTTCTAGGTCAGTTGTAGTATTTGATTCATTTGGATATTTTCGTCACCTTATTACTCATTCATTAGGTTTCCTACTCCTAAACTCTATGTTTAGTTTCCCCTTTCCCTGGTAAATCCATAAGAACCTAGGTGCACACACTTTCCTTTGTCCTGCTGCTCAGAATGTATTTAACCCTAAGCTACTTGCCAATTTCCTCACTATAACCCTTCTACCTCCTTTTCCGTTCTTTATTTTCCTCTTGAACTAGCACAATAGTCTGTACAGGTCCTTGAGTGACATCCCCTCTGGTGAATCCAACTACAAATTCATGCTCCTTTCTGAGAAATTCCAGTCCATTGAGGTTTTATTCAGGGGATCCTGTGGAGCCTGCTAGGAATAGCTCTTACTATCTGTGTTGCTGAATGATTATTGGCTGTCCCTGTTTGTTTTTTTGGCTAGATCCCTTAATCTTTCCAACTTCACTGTGTTGAATCCATAGTCCTGGATGGCTGTATTCTTTCAACCCTTTTCTCACACTGCCAAATTTAATAACATCACCTGGCAGAGCCAAACTGCCTCTGAGGTTGTTTGGGTTTCTTTCATTTCATAGCACATTACTGGTTCTGTTTGTCTGATTTCTTGTGGAGAATTTAATACCAGCTCTAATCTGAATTTTGCAAATAAAATTGACTGAATTCAAATTGCTTGTGTGTAACAAATACCATCACCCTGCTAAATTGCTATTTACACCAGTAAATATAAACTCAGACGCCTTTGGTTAGGCTGAGTGCAATAATTTTAGAACCCTCACCTGACACATAAACTAGAGAACTGAAATTGAAAAGCAAAACTATGAGCTGAGTGAGACAAACACTAATAAGCAACTCTTCAGACTCCCTCTACTTCACCTCACAGATCTAAGTAAGAAAACAGCCAATAATATATTACTGACATTTTCTACATAGCATTTCATGGATTGATTTGGCTAATTGATTGACACATAATCGGCTTGTTTGAAGAGAAGCAGTGGCACGCAATTGGATCATAGTCTCTGTTTCACGAGGGGATGGAGAGAATTAGAAAGTTCAGTTCAGAAAGAAAAAGAGCCAGAGTCCAAATGTTATACTCACAGAATAAAAGTTTCATTTGGAAAATGACATATAATGAAGTCCCAAGCCTTGTGTCTAGTTGCAAGAGATCTTAAGATGGAAGGCCTATTTTCAGCAGTACTTCCACCATTTGATCATGTTAATATTATCAGAGAAGGACATTCTGAAGTCTTCATTATTTGGTCTAATTATTGAAGAAAGTTTTCACTCTGCTTACCAAAAAAGTATTACTTTTTGGGGAGGTACTCCTTATTTTGAAACAGTGGTTTTCAAACTCATTTCCATGAACTCCAAATGCCTTTCATTGCCCCCAGTGCCCCTCCCATTGTTTAAAACATTTTTAAAGGAAGCCTCATATGTTCAGCTAGTAAAGGATGCTCTGCTGGAGTGGGGTGATAGGTCCAGGAACCCCACTTACACAGTCTCCTTGCCCTTCTGTTCCCGTGGTGGCTTCTAAAGGGTTCCCTGGCACCCCCAACATATTGGGAAGCACAGTTTGAAAACTACATTTTAAAAAAAGAAGAATACAAACAATTATCTCTTGTAATTAATAGGAGCTTCCTTTCTTGTAGTTTGGGTAGATTATCTGTGTTTTGAATCTCCACCACTGGCTAGAATGCTAAAAATGTATTTTGGACTTCCTGGACAATGTGTTTTAGTGATATTGGAACATAAGTTGGATTTCAGTATTATGTCTTGCTCTTCAAGGGCTGGTCAAGTTCTCCTGAGACATGTTTACCAGAAAGAGCCAAAGGCAGAGTAGCAGTTAAAACATGACATATTGAAAACCAAAGAAAACTCAAAGCAGCAAATGTCAAGGTATTGACTGAGTCTTGAAATCCATGTGTATGTCTTTTATCTAAATTTTGAAAATAAAGTAAAGGAAAAGAAGAACAAAATTTCCCAAAACCTTTAAGTTTTTCCCCTAGTATCAATCAAGGCTATTTTTACCCGAGTATTAAAGAATTCAAAATACTAGCAAGTTTCCAAGTGTCCAAGATGTAAACTGGGTTCTCATTTTGTATAATAACCTGAATCCACCCCCACTTAAAAAATATAAATAGAATTCTTCAATGTGTATCATTGGTAGAGATCTTGTCCTATGTTGGGTTGTGGGGAGGGCTGTATTAAAAGTCTGGAGAAATAATGCAGGACTATACTTTTAATTTCTCTCTTGCATTTTTCCTTCTCTCAAAACATAAGCAGAGCTGTTTGGAGGATGATATTAGGTGAATAGGCCTTTTTTTTTTCTTTTGAAACCTAAGATACCCCTGGGTATTTATTATCCCACTGTACCAGAACCTTGATATCATGGTAAGAAAGGTCTCTTGACTTTATGACTTCATTAACTTAAAGCCTAATGAAGTGGATTAATATGTTTGGCAACTATTATGTTTTGTTAAGCACTAAACACAGAAGCATCAAAATCCTATTTAGCTTTATAAGTAATGGCATAGCTGTTCTTTTTCCCAGGTGCAAACCTATGATTATCTTTTAAACGTTCCATCTCAGAAAATATTCTAGTTTGGTAAATTTCTTTCTTTTTTGGTGCTGGGAAGATTTTCAGCAGTCTTAGAAGGCTAATCAACTTTCTCTGCATGAATGAACTTAATCTTCTTACATTTTAAGCTTATTCCATTCTAGGAAAAATCTGTGTTTCCTATCTACCTCCCATTTGAACCTGTAAGAAAGTTATGACCTTGCTAACACAAAAAGTTTTTCTCAAGGTGAGTGTTTTTAGTGAATTAAGTAAAAGAATGTGAGACGATAAAAACAAATTTGTATTCTGGTTCATTCATTCAACAGTATTTATTGAACACCTTTTATATACATGATCATGTGTTAAGTACAACAAAGCATTAAGATGTAAGACCTATTTTCAAGGGCATTTTATACCAACAGATAATTTATTAAAACCTTTCCTTTCCCACTGTCTTGGTCTGTTTGTGCTGCTATAACAAAATACCACAGTCTGGGTCCTTTATAAAGAATAGAAATTTATTTTCTCACAGGTTTGGAGGCTGGGAAGTCCAAGATCAAGGCGCAGGCAGATGCTGTGCCTGTAAAAGTCTTGTTTCTCATAGATGGTGGTGTCTAGGTGTCCTCACATGGTGTAAAGGATGAAAGGGCAAAAGGTGACAAAGGCTGTGTTCTCACATGGTGGAAGAGCAGAAGTGCAAAAATAGCCTAAAATGACTCCCTTCAGCCCTTTCATAAGGCGTGAATCCACTCTTAAGGGCTCTGCTTAATCACTTCCCAAAAGGCCCTGCTTCTTATTACCACCACGATGGGGATTAAGTCTCAACACATGGATTCTGGGGGACATTCAGATGATAGCATCAATTATGCACATGTGTTTTTAGTTAAGCATAGGAGATATTTAATGGAATTCTGGATTAAATGGCTTAGCTATTATGATTAATCTTAAATTATTGCAAGATATTACCTTGCTGCTTCAAATGTTTTCCTGCTGTTTAAGTAAGAATCAATTTATGGACCTGATGACTCCTAATGCCAGAGAATGAAATACACTGGCTACAAGGCGGATATTTGACAGGTTTGACTTTCATGGTCATGTGGATAGTTACAGTTGTGTTTATTTTGATTGGTAAATGCCCCTGCCATCTGGAAGTTACATATTTTGAATATTACCCCTGACTCTGTATCATATTACTTGGATCAGGAGAGGCACAGGATTTATTTGAAAGGCTGTTGGGCCACTATTAATATAAAGCAATACTGTTTTATTTTAAGAAATTTCCTTTTAGAAGAATTTAGGGCAGCCATAATTTTTGAATATCAAGAAGATACATAAAATCTCACATTGTGAAAAAAAATAAACTGGGAAATTTTCCTTTCTACTATTTTCTTTGTCAGATTATTCTAAGAATTGATTTACTCTGTGTTGTCAGTAAAACCTCTCTCTTTATGCTCTCAGTTTCCATCTGTTCCTTTTTCATCAGCTTTTCTCACTCTGTTCTAGTAGGAAGGAAATTGAATTGGAAAACAAGAATATTTGCCTCTCTGGGCCTCAGTTTCTTCATCTATAGAATGAGTATGAATCTTACAGTTATGAATTTATAGAATGAAAACTCAGTCTTTGAAAGATTATAGTTTCATCTTCCTTTTACAATAAGACTACTTTTTATCTCATGCCTAATACTACTTGGCTGAGTAAATTTAATCCTGGCACTTGAGTACTTCCATCTTTTGACTATCACTTCATGGTTATGAACAAACAATTGAGTTTTAGCTCTCCTCCTCTTCTCCCCAGAATTCGTGGCAAGAAAGGTGTGCTTATGTGCATTTAAGCATGATGAGGAGTGGCAGGAGAATAGAACTGCTTCTGGATTTGGTGTTAGCTGATTGTGTCTATCCCTGTTCACCAGCCTTCAGACACTTCTGTACCAGATTTCCACAGCCTTGGGCTGTCTCCACTTCGATTCTCAGTCCACTCTGGTATCTGTGTCCATTTGGTTCTCATCTTGACTATGAGGTCTCTTTGGTTCCACTCACACTCTTGGCTCCCTCTGTGGACACAGAAAGGTTTTGCCAAGCTACTGTTCATGGCTAGAATTTAAGCTTCAGCTTTTTCCTCCAATATTTTATTATAGAACATTTCCAACAAACCAAAAAGTTACAAGGATTTTACGCTGAACATATATACTTACCACTTTGATTTTATAGTTAACATTTTGCTATACTTGCTTTGTCAAATATCCATTCATTTCTTTGTCCCTCTGTGGTAGGCAGAATATTGGCCCACCCAATGATGTCCATGTCCTAATTTCTGGAAGCTGTAAATATGCTTCCTAACATGACAAAAGATACTTTATAGATGTGATGACCTTAAGGACTTTGAGATGGGAAGATTATCCTGTATTATTCCTTTGGATTCACTGTAATCATAAAGATCCTTAAAAGAGTCGGAGTAAGCGAGACGGCAGTGGCAGGAGAGTCAGAGGTTTGAAGATGCTGTGCTACTGACTTTGCAGATGGAGGAAGGAGTCATGAACCAAAGAATGTGGGCAGCCTCTAGAAGCTGGAAGAGGTACAGAAATGAATTGCCCCTGAACCTCCAGAAGGGACACAGCCCTGCCCACACCTTGATTACTCTCTAAGTGAAATTCATTTCAGACTTCTGATCTCCACAACAGTTAAATAATAACTTGGTATTTATTTAAACCACTCAATTTGTGGTAATTTCTTATAGCAGCAATAGGAAATTAACACATTTTCTATCCATCCATTCATCAGTTCATCTTTTAAAAATTTTATATATAATACATTTGAAAGTAAGTTGCAGGTACCAGGACACTTCTCCTCTCAGGATTTTAGTACATCTGTCATCAATGAGTTCTGTTTTTGTTGATATATCTTTTCTCTTGAGGTAAATTAATATACAATTAAATGAACAAATGTTTAGTGTACTTTTTCATAAATTCCAAGAAAACACTTAAATCTCTGCAGCCAAAAACTCCAACAGAGATAGGGAATCTAACCATCAGCCCATGAAGTTCCTTCTGTCCCCTCCCAGTAAACCCAAACTCCTCATCCCAGTAACCACTGTTCTTACTTTCTGCCTCTTTTATATAAATGGAACTGTGTAGTATGTATTCTTTTGTGTAAAGCTTCTTTCTTGCAGCATATTTTTGAGGTTCATCCATGTTCTTGCATTTATCAGTAGTTTGTTCCTTTTCATTGCTGAGCAGTATTATATTACATGAATATATCACATTTTCTTATCCATTTTCCAGTTGGTGGACACCTAGGTTGTTTCCAGGTTGCAGTTATTATGAATACAGATGATATGCACATTCTTGTACAGTTTTTTTGTGGACATATGGTCTCATTTTCTTACCTAAATATTTAGGAGAGAAACTTACAAGCAATAGTTTTGTTTTATAAGCAACTACTAGAACTTTTTCTAACATGGTTGTGCAATTTTACTTAGTTGCTGTACATTTTAATCAACATTTGATGTTGGCAGTCCTTTTAATTTTAGCTATTGTGTATTGCATTTCATTGATGATTAATAATGTTTGCCAGGCTTTGGCTGTTGAAAAGCCCAGCTTCTGGTAAATGTAACATTTTGTCTATTTTGAAATTCAAGTGGCTCTTTTATCCTTATACAAGGGTGGAGTTATGTGGTACTATACAAAAAAAATGATGACAGTGAGGTCCAAGGGAATCAGTCCTTAGTTAATAGCTCTGAGTTCTTTTCTACTAAAAATATCTATTCTCCCCAACTCAGGCGCATTGTAGGGAGGAAATAAGATGATGATTGAAATAAGAGCTATTATTATTTCAATCTTACTAAAATAAGGGGTAAGATTTTTTTCTTTTGGAAAATATCTCAAACATATACTGTGTTACCACTTCTTGATCTTGACTTGGGAAGCATTTTAGTTACTCTAAATGGAGAAAGAAAGGAAAACAATCAATATAAAAGAGCATTAGCTGGTTAAAACTGTTAACTTTTTAAAAGTAAAATTTAGAAGCATGTCAGAACAGCTTAACTGAAGGAGACAATGTTAGCATGTTCTACAGAGATCAATGTATTGTTCAGATTTGGGGTGCCTGCATATTTATCAAAATCCTCTAAGACTCCAACTTTTGAAGGAATACACTAGTTTTAGATTTCAATCACTTAACTGAGACCTCATTCAAACGAGGGAACAGTTTTCTTATATTGTCAGTACTGAACACATGGTTTCTTCTTTTTCTTTTTTTATTCTCTTTGTATCTAGATTTGTCATGACCCTTCTGTACTACAGAAACTCAGCTCCAGGCAAAGTTTTACAGCACAAAGTGCTCACAAACCAATTCTATCTCCTGCCAAAGTGAAGAAAAATCTGATTTTTAGAGAGAAAAATATCTGTATCTATCTCCCTAGAGGGAGAATAATGCATTAGAAAGAATAGAAAGATGTTATGTTTCCTCTCCTTCTCTGACCCCCTCCTGTTTTTGTCTCAGCTTCTCTTTGGACTCAACAGGGCTTTTTCCTTAAACAACAAACACTCTGTATCCAAAAGGCCAGCCTCCAGCTTCTGGGTTTAAAGAAATATTTCACATGTGGAGGCAATAGGGGAGCCAGTATTGTAATCTTTTCTAAAATGCTTAAAGGAAAATGAACCATGCAGACCAGGAGAGTTTTTACCATGATTTCAAATCATTAGATCCCACTGCTCTTCTTTGAGGCCTATGGTCTCACTTCTTCGGTAGCGATTTGAAAGTTTTTGGTTAACTTTACGAATGCTCTCTGAGAACTCTGTGTAATGTGGGCCAATACTACAGTTTAGCTCATGAAATACATATCCTATTTTTAGTGTCTTCTGTCACTTTCTGAAAATTTCTTCTCAGCTAAAAAATTCTGACTTTTGATCAATAGTGCATTTCTTAACCTTTCGGTCTTGACTTATTCCTGCGTTGTGCATACTTAATTGGGTTGGGTTTGTATATGTGTGTGTGGGGTTGAGGGTGGGGTAGCAGCTGGAAAGATATAAGCTTTTCTCTTTCAATTATTTTCAGGCTATTAAAGATGAGTGAGTGAGCCATTTAAAATTTTCAAGAGGGAAGACCTATTAAAAATAAGTGACCTTGTGCTTAAGCCAATTGATTAAAATTTTAAAATTGGGTACTGAGTATCAATGCTAAATATTCTCCTTACAGTTTGAGAGCCTTCTGCCAGACAAATGCATTGTACGATAGTCTGGTTTTTCTGGAATGAAATGCCCAATTGAAGCCAAATTAGAAATATCAAAATGTAAAACTTCTGAGAATTCAATAATTTTGTTATTAATGTGAAATCACAAACTAAAGTTGTACAGATGCTCTACAGATGCATGTTGGTAAATCAATAGATAAAATAGTATGAGTGATTTCTGAATTAAAAAATCTCTGCATTGAAGTAGTAGTTGTTCTATCATGTTTTTTATTTGACTCCTTATATGAAGTATCAAAAATAATGTATTATCTTAAAAGTGCAGACCATATATTCTGTATTTTCTGACATTGTTCTAATTTCAACTATTCTGTTTAGTCTTCCCAATAGGTAAACTAGGATTTATTGGATTATGACATAGATGGTATATTGTGTTCAACTGAAAGAAAAAAATGAAAATAGGATAAATAAATTGCTTTCTTAACTTTCAACTGTAAATCAAAATGCATGGGTCAAAGCAGAGAGATGCAGTCTCCTTACAATGACTTTTTGGCCAAAGGGACACTAAATTATTATTTGATTATTGGTATTAATGTGTAGTGAGAAACTCTTTATAAACTCAGTGTTTGCAGCTAATACAAAGCATTGTTTTCCTGTAAGTATACTTGCCTTCTGGTTTTTGAGCTGCTGTTCTCCCAAAGGATAAAAATTTAATTTCAATCAGTTCAGGTATCTACCTCCATTTCTTTCCCTAGGGAGATAGCGACAAGGTCCAGGGCCCCTTTGAGGACAGACTAGCATTTAATATCTCATGGATGAACACTCTGACTTCCCTCCTCAGACCTGAAAATGTCTCTAGTGTCTGGGACAGGAAACCTTGTTCTTATAGATTTACTTTCTGCCCAATCCACTACTGTCTTGGTAGGATTCATCCCTCCCCTCACAGAGCCTAGCTTATTGAAACTCAGTCAAAAAGACTCCTTTTCTCTGGCCTTCTGCACTGTCATCCTTTTGCCAGGGGCAGTGACTACAGCATGCCTAACTTCCTGAATGGGGGAGACCTTAGGGATGCCAGAAAATATTCGGGGGAAAATTCACTTGTTAAATCACCTTGCAATTTGTATAGAGAATGTGTCAGCAGGTTGCTATGGGAGTGGTGTGGAGATGGCAGAGGTGGGAAGTACAGGTGCCTGGGTCTGCGCATGGACAGACTGCCTAGGACAAAGACAAAAAACACATATGGAACCCCTTCTGCGACCTCAGCAGTTATAGCTTTAAAAAATATTTTTTATCTTACATTTTTAAATTTGTATTTTCTTCTTAATTGGTAAATAACAATGATACATATTTATGAGTACAAAGTGATGGTTTGATACATGTATATATTGTGGAATGATGAAATCAGAGTAATTAGCATATCCATCACCTTAAATATTTATCATTTCTTTGTGGTGAAAACTTTAAAATCTTCTGTTTTAGCTATTTTGAAATATACATTATTATTAACTCTCACCTTGATGTGCAATAGAACACCAGCAGTTACTCCTCCTGTCTAACTGGAACTTTGCACTCATTCGCCAATGTCTCCTTTTCCCCTACACCCTCTGCCCACCAGCCTCTGGTAACCACCATTGTACTCTCTATTTCTGTGAGTCAGACTTTATCATAGGGATAGATGCAACATCCTATCTGAACCTGCTGCTATTAACCATTTAAAGCACAGAACTAACTTCTTCTCTTCTGGTTTTACCGTCACAAGCTACCTTCAGACAACTTCACTTTCCACATGACTTGCATTCAGGGAGAGTGAGCTGGTTAGAACTATGTAAGTATTTACCCCAAAAGATGAATACTGTTTTTATTTTAAATGAATATATTGTTTTTCTACTTTATATTAACACCCTCCCTTAGCACTCATATATTTCATGTTTTTGATTTCCTCTGCCTATCCTTAATCTTCTGGGCTAAAAAATGATTCAGGAGCCTATACATGCAATCCTATAGAGCACCAGGTGGAGAAAACACTAGTGTGGCTACTGTATTGATTCCTTGTGCAAGTAAAGGGCAGTTCAGGGATTTTCTTAAGTCCTTTTTGTATTTATATCACTGCAATCTTCTTGAACTTTCCTTCACTGGCTTTAGATCATAACTCCTCACTCAGGACTTCATCCCCTTATTATCTTTCCTTCAAACTTTCTGGAGATTTCCAACCGTCTCATATGAATTTATTAGTCATCCAATCAGTTACGACATGGCATTATATCAAACTGCTTCTCTTGCCAGGTACATTCACTCGATACAGGCAAACCTTGGAAATATTGCAGGTTTAGTTCCAGACCACCATAGTAAAATGAATATCACAATAAAGCAAGTCACACAAATATTTTGGTTTCCCAGTGAATATAAAAGTTATGTTTACATTGTATTATAGTCTATTAAGTGTACAATAGCATTATGTTTAAAAATGTATGTGCCCAGCTGGGCGCAGTGGTTCATGCCTGTAATCCCAGCACTTTGAGAGCCTGAGGCAGGCAGATCACGAGGTCAGGAGTTCGAGACCAGCCTGTTCGCTATGGTGAAGCCCCGTCTCTACTAAAAAATACAAAAGTTAGCCGGGTGTGGTGGCTCACGCCTGTAGTCCCAGCTACTCGGGAGTCTGAGGCAGGAGAACTGCTTGAACCCAGGAGGTGGAGGTTGCAGTGAGCCAAGATTGTGCCAATGCACTCCAGCCTGGGCGACAGACTAAAATTCCATCTCAAAAAAAAAAAAAAAAGTATGTGCCCTAATTAAAAACTACTTTCCTCCTAACACATGTTAACAACCATCTGAATCTTCAGTGAGTCATCATCTTTTTGCTGGTGGGGGTTCTTGCCTTGATGTTGATGGCTACTGACTAATCAAGGCTGTGGCAGCTGAAGGTTGGGGTGGCTGTGGCAATTTCTTAAAATAAGACAATAATGAAGTCAATTACATGTATTGACTCTTCCTTTCTTGAAAGATTTCTCTGTACTGTTGGAAAGCATTTTATACACAGTTGAACTTTCAAAATTGGAGTCAATCCTCTCAAACCCTGCTGCTGCTTTATCAACTAAGTTTATGTAATACTCTAAATCTTTTGTTATCATTTTAACAATATTCACAGCATCTTCACCAAGAGTAGATTCTATCTCAGGAAACTTTCTCATCCATGAGAAGCCACTCTTTATCTTTTCAAGTTTTAGCATGAGATTGCAATGCAGCAATCAGTTATATCTTCAGGCTCCACTTCCATTTCTAGTTCTTTTGCTATTTCTACTACATTGGCAGTTACTTTCTGGACTGAAGTCTTGAAACAGTCATCCATGAGGATTGGAATCAACTTCTTCTAAACTCTTGTTAACGTTGATATTTTCACCTCCTCCCATGAATCACGAATGTTTTTAATAGCAGCTAGAGTGATGAATCCTTTCCAGAAAGTTTTTAATTTACATTGCCCACATATATTAGAGGAATCATTATCCAAGGCAGCTATCATCTTAGGAAATGCATTTCTTAAATAATAAAACTTGAAAGTAAAAATTACTCCTTGATTTATGGGATGCAGAATGGATGCTGTGTTAGCAGGGATGAAAAAATATTAATCTCCCTGTATATCTCCATCAGAGCTCTTGGGTGACCAGGTGCATTGTCAATGAACAGTAATATTTTGAAGGGAATCTTTTTTTCTGAGCAGTAGGTCTCAACATTGGGCTTAAAATAGTAAACCATGCTATAAACAGTTGTGCTTCCACCTAGGCTTTGTTGTTCCATTTATAGAAGGAAACAGTAGATTTGAGGTAATTCTCAAGAGCCCTAGGGTTTTCAGAATAGCAAATAAGCATTGGCTTCAAATAAAGTCACCAGCTGCTTTAGCCCCTAATAAAAGCTTGTCCTTTGAAGCACTGAAGCCAGGCATTGGCCTGTCCTCTCTAACTATGGAAGTCCTAGATGGCAACTTCCTCCAATATAAGGCTTTTTAATCTACATTAAAAAGCTATTGCTCAGTATAGCTTCCTTCATCAGTGATCTTAGCTAGATCTCCTGGATAACTCACTGCAGCTTCTCCACTAGCACTTGCTTTTTCACCTTGCACTGTACATTATGGAGACAGCTTGTTTTCTTAAACCTCATGAACCAATGTCTGCTAGCTTCAAACTTTTCTTCTTCAGCTTCCTCATCTCTCAGCCTTGGTAGAACTGAAAAGAGTTAGGACCTTGCTCTGGATTAGACTTTGGCTTATAATAATTTTGTGGCTGGTTTGATCTATTATTCAGATCACTGAAGCTTTCTTCTTATTAGGAATAAGGCTGTTTCACTTATCATTCCTGTGTTTACTGTAGTAGTGTATTTAATTCCCTTCATGAACTTTTCCTTTGCATTGGCAACTTGGCTCACTGGTGCAAGAGGCCTAGTTTTCAGTATATCTTGGCTTTAAACATACCTACTTCACTAAGCTTAATCATTTCTGGCTTCTGATTTAAAGTAAGATACATGTGACTCTTCCTTTCATTTGAACACCTAGAGGTTATTGCAGAGTTATTAATTGACCTAATTTAAATATTTTTGTATCTCAAATAATAGAAGGCCTGAGGAGAGGGAGAGAGAAAGAGAAAGAGGAATGACCAGCTGGTGAAGCAGTTCAAACATACAACATGGATTGACTAAATTTGCAGTCTTATTTGGGAAATGTTCGTGGTGTCCCAAAACAATTACAATAGTAACATCAAAGATCACTGATCACAGATCACCATAACAGATAGAACAATAATGAAGAAAGTTTGAAATATTGCAATAATTACCAAAATGTGACACAGAGACATGAAGTGAGGGCATGCTGTTGCAAAAATGGTGCTGATAGACTTGCTTGACATGGTTGCCATAGATCTTCAATTTGTAAAAAAAAAAAAATAATAATAATTGCAAGATCTGTGAAGTGCAACAAAGTGAAGCTCAATAAAACGAGGTGTGTCTGTACATTATTTCTCTCTTAATTTACATAAAACTGATCTCTATTATTAATGCTAGCTAATGGTTTTGTAGTGCTTATTATAAACTAGGCAATGTGTTAAGCACTCATGAACACCAATTAATTTGCTTCTCATAAAAGCCCTATGTTATGGGTTGAATAGTGTCTCCCCCAAAAAGATACGGTGAAGTCCCAAGCCTTCGTAACTCATAATGTGACCTTATTTGGAAACTGGGTCTTTACAGAGGTAATCAAGTTAAAATGAAGTCATTAGTTAAAATGAAGGATGGTCCCTAATCCAGTATGACTGGCATCCTTATAAAAAAGGCAAATTGGACATAGGGACAAACATGCACAGAGAAGATGATGTGTAGAGACAGAAACACAAGGAGAATACCATGTGAGGATGAAAGCAGAGATTGGATCAATACATCGACAAGGTGACGATTGCCAGAAAACCACCAGGAGCTAGGAGAGAGGCATGAAACAGTTCTTACTTAAAGCCCTCTGAAGGAACCAGTGCTGCCAACACCTTGATCTTGGACTTCCAGCCTCTAGAATTGTGAAACAATAAGTTTCTGTTGTTTAAGCCATCCCGTTTTTGGTATTTTGTATAACATCCCTAGGAAACTAATACACTCTATGAGAGAGGCCCTATTATTGTTCCCATTTTGCAGCTGATGAGACTGAGGCACTGAGGAATTAAGGGAATTACTTACTTTGGTAAGTGACTCAAACCCAGGCACTCTGGCTGTAGTGCTTGTGCTCTTCTCTATTTTACTAAATTGCCTCTTGTCTTTTCTAGTTAAGAACCATTCCTTTCTTAGCACTTTTTGCAATCTTTTCACTGCCTTTGCTAGGTCTTGTTGCACATGTTACTTCCTCTGTAGTCTTCCCCTGGGTACTCTGGCCTTGACTTGCCCAGAGCTGCACTGTGTTCTGTGGGGCAGGCAAGAGATAGCCTCCTTCTGTGCTGTATCCCACTCTCTCAGAGGCCTCTGGAAGTCTTTAGGGAAGTACCTCCTTAGGATTTTAATTATAGTTTTTGTTCCCAAGAATCTGGACACAAATCAGTAGGGAGGGGGCATAGAACAAGGACAAATATGAGTACTGGCTGATATTAAAGTCTTTATTTCTCCTCACCCTGCTGAATGAAACTGTAACTGGGTCATGTACATATATGTATATCATATATGCATATGTGTACTTGGAGAAGGACACACACAGAAAAATACACAGTAGATTGTTGAAAAAGAGATGTTAATGACAGAATGACAAGAAGAGCAAGTTATTAATGATACAGACATTTTATTGGGATTTCTGTACATTTATTTAAATTAGGAGAGTATAGTCACAGAAGTATGTGAAAAGACAGTCACTAAAATGCTAATGGTGATAACTGAAGGGTCATAGGATTTCAGGTGAATTTCTTCTTTCTGAATTTCTGGGAGATATAATTGTTTCTTCTCATAATAACATTGGTGGATCCCGTAAAGAGCACAAAAATGATAAAGACAGTATTGTTTCCTTTTTATTGGATTCATAAATTGAATGGACCACAAGATTTCTGAATCTTCTCCACATTCTTTCTATAAAATATGATGTTTCTTTTTCTTTAAGAACATCTTGAAGATCAGAAAGGTGATGCACAGGATAAGTGCTTAGAGAAGACTTGAAGAGGTGATATTAAATGAATGAGCACACGAAGAAAAAGTCACATGATTAGGCTCTCTCCTTGTCATTTGGACAAGCTGAGTGACTCTGACATAGAGCAAGAACCTTCCTTCCCCAGCCCGTTCATTTCTGCTTGGCCATATGGATCATAATGACTGAGGCAGTCTGTTCAGGAACCTCTGCCCATGTTACTGGGCAACACACACTAGTCTCACAGAAAACGACTACTGGCAGGTTGTCATCAAAATAATAAGCCCATAGTCCAAAGGGAATAAAGTTGGCACTCTTAATAAACAGTTATAGTATTGTTTTATACACTGCAGCCTCTAGTATCTAAAAACCATCATGTAAATATTCTCCCATTTGGTATGAAGAGGTAGAGCATTCCCCATTTCTATCTGTCTTTCAAGGTCAGTGAATTTTGTAGAATTCTTTGCCAAGTAGCTGCTGTGATATGAATAAATTTATGTGAAAATGAACTCAGCCAGCTAGTTATTGAACAAGACTTTTTTAATGGAATGTACTGACAGGAAAGAAGAAAAGGCAAACATAAAGGGTGAATAATAACCTAATGAAAAGAACTATTTTTTTTTCTTCAGTTCAGGGGAAACAGTAATCTATTTTTTAAAGACAAACTTTCAAAAGTCAAAAGGGAAGGAAGATGGAACTTCAACTCCATTGAGATGAAGGAAATAAGTAAGGCATTTCCAAGGAGAAAGAATTATCTGCATGGACATAAGACAGAAGTAAATATTTGCATGGTTTAATTTTTTTTTTCAGATACACAAGGGCATGAACAGTGGTGCAACCCAAATAACGTACAAGACAGGTTTAACTGAAATCTTCCTGAGTTGTCTTCCATACCTCTTTTAGTTGCAATAAAAATAAGTTTTTAAAAAATGCTGAAATTTTAAGGAAAATAAGTAGTTGTGCTTCAGGTGGATCATAAGGAGAAGAATACAAGCCACATAGTTATAGAGCCAGCCCCTGTTCCATCTAGTTTCTTCCAAAACCAAAGATGATAAATGCCAATATGTCAAACTAGAAATTACGTTGAATCTGTTTCACTAAATAGAACTTGGGTTTTGTAAGACTGGTGCAAGAATCTCTCTGATCCTTGATTCAGAGTTAAAAATATACTCCACGATGTATGAGCTGACTAGCTGCTTGCATTCCTGTGGGCTCCTCTGCCTCAGGGCTTTGTACTTCCTCATTGTCTTCCCTATCTGCCTTGTATATTCCCAGATGGGAAACTTAGTGCCTCCTCTCTCTCTCTTTCTCTCTCTCTCTCTCTCTCTGTCTCTCAGACACACACACACACACACACACACACACACACACACACACTCACCCCACTCATAGATGTAGCATACTTTAGCAAAAGTGTGGTGGGGCTTACGAAGATGGTGTTTGTGAGGCAGAAAACAGTAACTTCAGCATGAACCTTAGGCACTCATGTTTCAAAATGCCTTTGACCATCCCCAACAAGTGTGTTTCTCCTGGTTCCTTGCTCCACTTAGTTGAGGTTTATTTGTTCACATTCTTCTCATTTGCCTGCAGGCCTAGGAACTCCCCTGCTTGGATCACCCCTTCAGATTCTTTTCCCTCTTTTAGATAGAGGCATTCGGTACTCCTCAACTTCTGTTCCTGATGGCTCCTCCCGGGAAATTTCACCTAAACTCAACCTCATGAGCTACAGAAGAAATGGTCCTTTAATTTAGTGCCTTCCAATTTAGAAAGTGAGAGTGGCTGTACATCCAAAGGTAAGATTTCTTCACTACACGTTATTTTAGTTTGCTATGTTTCACGTCAAGATGAGCTATCCAATAGCAATAGGAAGGCCATTGCTTAACAGGACTGTGGGTCCTCCTATTTCTACAGCTTTGAGGAGACTGAACAGCCATCTTCTCCACCTTCCATTTTCTTGGAAAAACACCGTTTGAAGCAGGTATCTTGGGTTCATGGAAAAGGTTAAGTGTGAGAGATAGGAGGAGATGAAAAGTGAAGAGACTGACCCATTCTCTATTATTTTCTGACTGAAAGCTGTGCTTACTACATATTTTAATTACTGTTATTTATCGCTGCTCTTAAATTTCTATGGATAAATTACATTAAATTTACTTTTACTTTACTAATGTAACAGATTTATTCTTTGGAGCTATGTAAGCCCTCCATGAGAAAAATCACGCCTCCTTAACAATGACAAAATTGGAAAAGCTAAAGAAAGGAAGGCAAGAGAAACATTTTAGATTTCTCTTTCTAGTTAGCAATGGGTCAAGTGAAAAGGGAATTACTCAAAATGTTTCACTGGAGAGGTGGGAACAATGTACTTTATAGACCATTGTTTATGACCATTCTGTGTTAAAATTGCATCAATAGGCCAAGCCCCATCATGGAGATTTAGCAGATGTTTGCTCATTTTTTCCCTATTCTAAATCAGAAATAATTTCCCCAGGCTAGACTGCCTGGATAGATGTGTGTAACATGAAAGTGCTTTCCCAGTAGGTGTTATTCATCAGTTTGGGGGATTCATATCCCAAATTTTGACAGGCGCTGAACTTCCAGGAATTAAGTCACAGACCACTCTTTTGGCATGATAATGCTGGATGTACTACTGTTTTCTGAGTGTTTTCTTCAAGAATCAGTTTCCAAGTATTTTTTGAGTAGGATGTGAATTCACTTTTTGGACTAGATTGTTGGACCTCAGAAATAAATTCCAGTTCCAAATCCTGTTCATTTGAATGTTAATCTCTAGACAAGCGTTCAGTTTTCCAAAGTTGCTGTTCTTTGCACTTTCAAGGGAAGCAGGGCAGAAATTCACTTGGGTTGTATTACTAAAGGCCCATCTTTAGGGTCAACAGCACCGAAGAAATAAAACCATCTTCATAAAACCCTCTCCTGAAGTTTGTCAATTGGTACCATCATCTTGATGTCATAACTTATTTCAAGATTTCCTGGACTTCTTAAAAATCAGAAGTCCTTAGCATTAAAGAACTGAATATATTTTATAAAGGGCTTCCCTTCTAGATTATTGAAGTTTAAACCATCATTTTTATTGTAGAGGCTTTTCTCAAATTTCTGAAGGTCTTGGCTTTCTGTTAATATTTAGGGATGTGGCACTGAGATAGCGATTAGGAGTGCTATGGGCATGACAGTGGCTTCTCAACTGATAAACATAATAATACAATCAGGATTGGGTAGGAGTTTTATTTTTTATGAGGCTACTCCAGATGCCATTACCTATAGTTCTTTTCGTTGGAACAGAGGAATCTCTGGAGCAATATCTTCCAATTTCTTGACTGAGGAGTATATGTTTGCCTTCCAGAGCTCTAGGACCTAAGCTGGGAGAAGGTAGCTGGAGTTGGGTAGACTCGGGGTTTGGTTTGTAGATAGTCAGGCAATCCTCTTTATTTCCAATGTAGTTCTTTACTACCATCTTATCTGTGGCTAAGATCCCTTAGTTTATAGCTCCAGAGTCTCTCTAATTCAACTTACTCAACTTATTCCATCTTCTGCTGGAGTTTGTGGAGTGTTCCTATTCCTTAAACATAAAAGAGTTATTTCTATTTTGTATTTTTATTCATTCTTTGTCTCTTTGTTGCTTCAACTCCTAGTTTAGATGTAACAGGATTTGGGACACACACACACACACACACACACACACACACTCCTTTATATAATACTTTGTAACTTGGAATCATTTTTTATCTTATTTATCATTTCCACTGAAATTTAGAGAATCCTTGTTTTTGATTAACTGTTCATGTCTCAGTTTCCTTCTCAATAAAATTGAATCTGATTGCTAAAGTCCTTTCCAAATGGAAAGTTTTGTGAGAGGTGATAGGAAGCAGGATAAAAGGTCAGATAGACACTGGAGTTAGACTCCCTGATTCTTACCACTGTTTCACCATTGCATAATCAGAGTTGTCTGGTTGCAAGCCACAGAGACTGGGCTCTAAGCAAAAAAGCCAACTATAGGGAGGATAATGAACAGAATCAATGTTAAAGCTGGAAAACTAGTGTCAGGAAATGCGTAGAAAACCAAGAGGGCCTTGGCAGTGGAGAACACAGCCAAAGTCATATCTCAGGAATTACCTGATAAGGAAACTGCTGCTTCTGGTGCTGTTGCCACTGGACATTTGCCACCAGCACACTCTTAATGTTGCTGCCACTGCCAGTGTGAAGAATTTCCTAACTCTCCCTCCATCTTTGTGATTGGTTGTGCCCATGCCCTTAATTCTCCCTCCCTCTGTGATTGGTTGTGCCCATGCCCTTAAGTCTCAAGGGGTAGGAAGAGGACATTTATGTCCCCATTTGTGTAGTCAAGGTTCTTCAGAAAAACAGAACCAATAGGTTATTTTAGTTTCCCACTTTATTTTATCTTATGGAATTGGCTCATGTGATTGTAGGGGCTGGCAAGTCTGAAGTCTGTAGGGCAGGCCAGCAGGCTGGTAATTCAGGTTAGAGTTGATGTTGCAGTTTTGTCTAAATTCCACAGGGCAGGCCAGGCAGGCTGGAAACTCAGGCAGGGTTTCTTTGTTGCAGTCCCGAGGCCAGGCTCCTTCTTCTTTGAAAAATCTCACTGGTTGCTCTTAAGACTTCTAACTGATTAGATGACATTCAACCACAATAAGGAGAGTAATCTGCTTTAGTCAAAGCCTACTGATTAAAATGTTAATTACATCTAAAAAACACCTTCACAGTGACATCTAGATGAGTTTTTGACCGAATAACTAGGCATCAAAGCTGATCCAAGTTGACATATGAAATTAGCTGTTACAACATTCCGTGTCCATAACAAGGTCCCTCTGCAAACATTTCCTAATTTTAAGATGCTGGGTAGGAAGATAAAAAATTATAACTGCCCACTACAGCTGCTTTACTGTATAATCTTGGCCAAGGTACTTCTCTTTATGCTTTAGATTCCAATTCTATAAAATAGGGATAATAACTCATATAGTTGTTGTGAAGATTAAGAGATTAAAAAAATACATAGAACATCTTGAAAAGTGCTTAGAACAAGGTAAATGCTCAGTCAAGTAAGATGCTGTAACTTCTTGTCTAAATACCACCATAAGTTATTTGTCACAACACATGTATTATACCTCCCACAATGTAGGGTACGTAAGGATGAAATACCTGAATCTGATGGAGGGAGGTGTGATCTGCATTCCTAATCGAAGGCCCACACACAAACAATGACACTAATAGATGTAATTTACTAAGCTCTCATTACCTGCAGGCACTATGTCAGATGCTCCACATATATTCACTCACTATAATTTGACTCACATAATAATCCAGTGAGGTTCATGATGCCTCATTTTGTAGAAGAGAACACAGAGCTTTAGAAAAAACTGTATCATGCTCAGAATCATGCAACTAACCCTTTGCAGAGCCTGCATAAAAAATGTGATTTTAAAATTAATTTTAATTTTAAATGTTGGCCTCTCAACTACTCCTCTGTGCTGTCTCTACTTTATAGTCCAGATGGAAGGGTCTACTCACTAGACCCGGCTACTTTTCCTGCTTCAGTGGCTTGAATTTTTTTTTTTTTTTTTTTTTGAGATGGAGTCTCGCTCTGTTGCCAGGCTGGAGTGCAGTGGCGTGATCTCAGCTCACTGCAACCTCTGCCATCCGAGTTCAAGCGATTCTCCTCCCTCAGCCTCCCTAGTAGATAGGACTACAGGCGTGTGCCACCACGCCCAGCTAATTTTTGTATTTTTAGTAGAGACAGGGTTTCACCATGTTGGCCAGGATAGTCTTGATCTCTTGATCTTGTGATCCGCCCGCCTCGGCCTCCCAAAGTGCTGGGATTACAGGCTTGAGGCACTGCGCCTGACCTTGAATGTTACCTCAGCTTCATTGGTCTGGAAAATGAGAATTCTGAGGTCTCCCTTAAACATCAGATTCAGGACGCTAATCCCTAGCAAGGGAGATCCTTGTCCTTTTTTGGATGTTTGTTAGGCTTTTTTTAGAGGGAGCTCTGCCTCAACTTCCTTCTTAAAAAATGATTAATGCAAATTTCTTGGGTTGTTTTTGGTCCACTCATGAGTGTAGAAAAGAGAGAATATAGAATTAAAAAAAAATCTTCTTTTATATAATTAAAAATATCTTAACATTAATTAAAATTCATTTCAGAGAAATGAAATTAAACTATTTTAAGCTACTTGAATAAATTTAGGGTGCCATGGAAATTAGTCTATATTTATAAAAGAAATTGTTAACTTTTGAATATTACTTTAAAAACTTATGAATGTTTGCTAGGCTGAACACTTCTATCTATTATAGAAAGACAAAGATTAAAAATCATATGCAAGCCTTTCATTGTGGACAAAAACATCTAAGGGCTAAGAGTATCTGAAAACATTAAATGTAGGAATTTAGCCCGTTTTCCTGAGATAATTTGAATTTTAAACATTTTATTCTAGAAGTTAGGTCTACAACCAATTGAATTGGAGAACAAAGTGATTTTGGAGGCTGGTGTAGGGTCAGACCTGTATATCTTAACTTTTAGTGTTCATTCAAATTACTTGGGGATATTTTCCAAATGCAGATCCTGATTCAGTAGCTTTGAGGTGAGCTTTGAAAGCCTATAGTTCTAATAAGCTCCCAAGTGAGGCTGATACTGCTATCCACATACCAAACTTTTAAAATAAAGGGCTGACCACCAATTTTGGTGGATGTCACAGCTCAGAAGCCAAACACCACCCATTAATCAGAGTACTTCATCATTTATTGTTCATAGTCATGTATAGCCATTATGATATTGTACCTTGGCAGCCAATAGCTAGAGATGGCTTCTAAGTTAATCAGAGACAATTCTATCTAGATCTCTGGAGGTGAGGCAGTGGAAAGAAATTGGTATCTATTGTTCATCAGAGCTAGTCTTCCTAGAACTTAACAGTAAATATCTCATTTCATTCCTGGAGCAATTCTATGTGAAGCATACACTAGAGCCTCCTTATACATTTGAGGAAGTGAAGCCTCAAAGTAAGTAACTTGTCATGGCTAGTAAGTGGTAGAGTCAGAGTTTGAACCTTGGTCTGTCTGACATGACAGCCCATGCTTTCTCCAATATACTATGTGCCAGTCACGTGGGACAGCTTTAATGCTATTACGTTTTCTTTTGACATCATTGGCTATTTTTTACTTTTAAAGTGTTTATTTTAAAAAAAGCCAAATCCAATTTTAAAAATCTACACAAAATTTTTCATTAAACTTCCTTTTACATCCTGTTTGCCCATTTTATTCTGTATGTCAAAATTGTTCTCTACCCTGCAAAGGCCTTGATGCTTTGTGCTGAGCTGACTGACAAAGACTTATGATTAAAAAACTGATCTTAAAACTAGCCTGTTCCTCTTTCTACAAAGCCCCAACCTTTGATCTTCTCTCAGGAGCAATTTCCAATCAGCCCTTTTTTCAAAGATTGTAAATGTTTGGTATTCATTCCCTACCTGGGCCCTCTCCCTCTCCCTAGAAGGAGAGGTTGGGACCTTCAATTCCCCATTGTCATTATTGTTCTATTGGAAGTCTTAGTGTAGGATTTGGTTTTCTACAGTGAAGGTGAAATTAAATATAGCAAACCTCATGCTCTGCTGTGTTTGCACACTTTAAAATAAGTGAGGTTTTGGGTAATTACCTAGTTCACTTGATCTATGGAAATGATACCAGATGAATTTAGCACTTAAAAAATTGTTTTTGTTTGCCCCTCTTTACCCAGACATTGGTAGCATAATTCAAAATAGCCGGCTAATTGCAAAATTATAATTTCACCTTAGGATACAAACTTGAAAAAATCTGGTGGTCTATAATAAAAAGAAGAATGAGCAAATTAGCTCATTTTAGATTCATTTTTACTGTTTAACTTTTCCTTAAGAGCAAGCTAAAATGTAAAATCAATACTATTAGGGCTAGTGTGGTTGAATAAGGTAGAAACTTTGGAGCCCATCTTCTCATCCTTCTAACTTTGGACGTATTCTCTTGAGGTCCCTAAAAAATTCTCACAGCTCTGATTGATGAGATTAACTTAGTCATTTTTCTCTCAGGAATATTTATTTTAACTGAAATATCTGATCTTTGAAAAAATAATTAGTATCCATGAATAACTGTTTGAATTTTTTGTGAATGTTTGAAATTCCTTATCTAGTATTTTATTCAGGAACTAAGATTAACCCCGTTTTACTTCCTAAAATGAAGCTATAGGGTCTTGAGTTAATGGAAATTTTAAAAAGGAAGGATAGAAAGACATATGTGTTTTGACATTGCTTGTTGTTCTTTCTTGCTGAGGCCTCTACTCAGTACTAGGTGCCTAGCTGTGGCTTACCCAATCTAGGAGACATATGTCAAATGACTAAATATATGCCTTTCAAGACTGCACACAACAATCACCTGCAAAGCTACCACAGCTGAGACCTATTGAGGAGAAAGGACTATGGTCTTCATGGTTGTCATTTTAGAAGGATCTGGAGTTGATTGTAATAATAGTCGCAATTGAGAATTACTGAACAAAACCATTGAAAATTGGTCATTTTATTCTGGTCATCTTTGTAATGGATTTAGGTTCTCAACAAATTACTAACCTGGATTATTTTTTGAGAGACTGATTCTAAATCAGAATTGGTTGTTTTTTTGTTCTAAATACATATGGCATGGGACTTACCCGATCTTCTTTAAATTCAATAATATTAAAAACAATAGCTATAATTTTTCGAACAACTACTTTGGGTAGGTATAATCATCATCAACATAATCATCATCAGTGCCAAGATTGACAAAGCACTTGCTAAGATGTGTACATTTAGTTCTCACAAGACACTATGATGTAAGCATATAATCTCCCCTTTTCACACATAAGAAAACTGAGTCATAGAAAGGTCAATATTACTCCTGCAAGGCTACATGGAAAATATGTGTAGAGTTCTGGCTGCATATGAGTATTAAATATATACCCTTATTTTACAAATGAAGAGACTAAGGCTGTAAATAGTTAAGTAGACAATATTAGATGCTGGAAAGCAACCTAAAGTCAAGCCAAAATAATGTTTATTCAGTGTACATAAAATAACATTTTTCTCTTATCTCCTGTGAGGGCTTGAAGAACTACACCCAAATAGAATTCTTCCTAAACAAATGCTATTTTGAAAAGAAACAAGCTAGTAAATACTGTGAGTTTAAAAGATTATATATACCAAAGTAATTGAAATGCATGGATATGGGTTTGGGGATTATGGAGAAGACTAGCATGGATATCAGTTCATATCCCCTGCTTTAAATTTTACATCCAGCTTTATTTTAAATGTATAAGTATGTTAAGCCATATAATTCCCTGGATTATTTACATTCTAGTCAGGGTGACTATTGAAGGGTAGTGTAATTACAAAGTACAATTTCCAAGCTGAATGAAATTGCTTGTTGTGTAATAGGTCTGACCTCTGAAAATGTCAAAAACAAATACTAGTAGGTCATGGTTAGAGGTAAAATATACGCAGCCCTCCTGGTTAGTATATGAAATGAAGGGTGGTCTCTGAATTGATTGAACCATTTTCTTCTGCTGTTTGTCAGACTCAGAGAAAACATTTAAATTTGAAGTACATTTTCCTTTCCAATTTTCTTTTTTATTTCTCAGCATAGTATTAGAAATTGGCTACTGGTCCATCACGTTCAAGACTGCACAATGAGCAACTCTTTGGGTGGAGAATGAAACATAGCTAATTACTAAAGTTCAATGTGTGAGATTTTGTTGGCTGTCTGAGCAGACAGCAGTATCTCCCCAGTTCTGTATCAGCAACTCTAATGTGCCAGGCTCTTCTTCTCTGCCCCATTCTGACATCTACCTCTCTTTTTCCTTTTTTTGAGACAGGGTCTCATTCTGTCACCCACATCGGAGTGGAGTGGCATGATCACAGCTCACTGCAGCCTTCACCTCCAGGGCATAAGCGATCCTCCCACCTCGCCACCTCAGACCCTCTAGTAACTGGAACCACAGGCACATACCACAACACCCGGCTAATTTTTAAATTTTTTTTTTTTTTTTTGTAGAAACAGGGTCTCCCTATGTTGCCCAGGCTGCTCTTGAACTCCTCAGCTCAAGCAATCCTCCTGCTTTGGCCTCCCAAAATGCTGGGATGACAGGTGTCAGCCACCATGCCTGGTCTTTAACTCCCATTACTTAGTTCAACTTCATGAGATGATTCAGTAAATGATGGGCAGGTGGCAGAGGTACATAAGATAGTGTTAGGTATTATAGGCAAAATATGAGCACAGAGCATGCAATTACAAGCAAAAGCTAGCAATAATTCCCATTTCCTTGCTAATATTTTCTCATATGAAATGAATTGTTGTATACAATCAGTGCTTAGCTGGTCCTCTTCCATGTGATCATCACTTTCTAGAATATAAGTGTCTAAATTTATGCTGAAATGAGAAGAGCTTAATTTTTTCCAAATTCATTTTCATTCTGACATCAATCTACAGTTACATTTCTGTTTGCTCCTCTATCATCTAATTCCAGTCACTTCTACTGGAGGGAAAGGGGGAGGATTTCACAACCTAAATTCTTAAATCAGTTGTTCTGGTTATCTACTGCTTCATAACAAACTATACATGTGATATTTATTATATCTCATGATTTCCTGAGTCAGTAATTTTGGCAGGACTCAGTTAAGCTGTCCATTTTTGTTTGTTCTCAATTAATAAAGGAATTAACTTCTCTTTAGTTTATGGGATACATTCTTGACTATAAGAGACTAGAATACAAGATGAATACCCTGCATATGAAGATTATTTTAGGAACCATAGTCTGAAATGGAGTATATAATAAAAGACAGGGAAAGGAATCCTTGACCTGTAAACCCCAAGGCCTAATTCTTAGTATACAGGAACTTCTCAAATTCTCTCTTTTTTTAAGTTGTGGTAAAATACACGTAACATATAATTTGTCACCTTAATCATTTTTAACTGTACAGTTTAGTAGTGTTAAGTACATTCACATTGTTGCACAACCAGTCTTCAGAACTCTTTTCATCTTGCAAAACTAAACTCTATGCTCATTAAACAATAAATGCTCATTCTCCCCTCACCTTCAAGCTCTTGGTAACCACCATTCTGTTTTCTATCTCTACAAATTTGACTACTGTAGGTACCTTATATAGGTGGAGTCATATAGTATGTGTCTTTCTTTGGCTGGCTTATTTCTCTTAGCATATTATCCTCAAGTGTCATTCATGTTGTAGCATGTGTAAAAATTTTCCTCCTTTTTTAAGGCTGAATAATATTCCATTGTATGTGCATACCACATTTCGTTTATCCATTCATCTGTTGGTGGACACTTATGTTGCTTTCACCTTTTGGCTATTGTGAATAATAGCTGTACAAATATGTCTTTGAAACTCTGCTTTCAATTCTTTTGGATATATGTCCAGAAGTAGAGCTGCTGGATCATATGGTAACTCTATTTTTATTCTTTTGAGGAGTTGCCATACTGCTTTCCATAGCAGCTGTACCATTTTATATTTACATTTCTATCAGTAGTGTATAAGTGTTCCAATTTCTCCACATCCTTGTCAAAACTCATTCTTTTCTTTTTAAATATTAGCCACTATGGGGAAGGTGAGGTAGTATTTCATTGTAATTTTTTTATTTTGTGATTTCCCTAATGATTGGTGGTGCCGAGCATCCCTTCGTACGCTTTTTGGTCATTTGTATATCTTCTTTGAAGAAATGTCTATTCAAGTGATTTGCCCATTTTCTAATTAGGCTGTTTTTATTTTTGTTGTTGAGATGTAGGAGTTCTTTATGGATGTGGATATGAACCGCTTGTCAGGTATATGATCTGAAAGTATTTTCTCCCATTCTGTAGGCTGCCTTTTCTCTGTTGATTTTATCCTTTGATGCACATCAATGTTAAATTTTGGCATAGTCCGACTTATCTATTTTTACTTTTGTGGTCTATGCTTTTAGTATCATATTTAAGAAATTATCACCAAATCCAATCCCATATGTTTTCTTCTAAGAGTTTTATAGTTTTACTCTTAGGTTTGTAATCCATTTTGGGTTTTTTGTATACACAGCTTAAGGTAAGGGTTCAACTTCATTCTTTTGCATATGGATATTCGCTTTTCCCAGTATCATTTATTGAAGAGAATATCCATTGAATGGTCTTGGTACTCTTGTCAAAAATCATTTGACTGTACATGTGAGGGTTTATTTCTGGGTTCTTGATTCTATTTTCATTGGTCTATATGTCTGTCTTTATACCAGTACCACATTGTTTTGACTACTGAAGCTTTGTAATAAGTTTTGAAATCAGGAATTATGACATTCAATTTTGTTATGCTTTTTCAAGATTGTTTGGCTATTTGAGGTCCGTTGAGGTTCCATATGAATTTTAGGATAAATTTTTCTATTTCTACCAAAAGCCACTACTGGGATCTTGATAGGGATTGCATTAAATTTATAGATTGTTTTGGGTAGCATTGACATCTTAAATATATTGTCTTCCAATTCATGAACACAGGACATCTTTCCATTTATTTGTGTCAAATTCTTTCTTTTTTAAACTGTAAAATAAGACCAGTCACAAGTTTATTCTGTAATTTTTCTATAACAGGCATTCAATTCTGTAGAAAATTGCAAACATTTATTTTTAATATTTACATTTGGGTCTGTAAACAAAGCTGGTAAAAAAAATCCTAAGAATTTCCATACATATTTATAAAAATTTCAAGAATATGATCCTTATCACTTCTGAAAAGTATGCATTTTTTAAATTCTAAAAGCCAGTAAATGTAGAAGTTGAAGGGGACGAGAAAAACACTGTTAACAGATTATCTGAATTTTCCTCTTCCCAAATATCTAAAACATTGCATATACCACTCTTTTCTGTATAGCTTGTGAAACCCAAAAATTCTGATTTCTCTTCACTAGTCTGAAACAAGTCTGGTAAAGACTGTACCGGTGATCTACAAATTCTGTTTTCTTCTTGTGTAATAAATTCAGTTCTTTTATCAAATTCAGCATTTGGTTCCAGATTTTCTTTTCTATTTTGTCCTAATAATATTTTCACTTTTCGATGTATTTTACCAGAAGGTAAACTATCCATATTCTTGATGTCACATTCATTGGGTTCCTCAGGAGGAGTATGTGATGGAGCCTTTGCCTGAACAGTTAGGTGCTCTTGTGAACTGTTTATTGTTATCAGACCAGAATCATGAGTAAATATTGAATGAAGGTCCTTTTCCTTGAGATCCTTTGCTGGAAAAAGCACAGGATCTGACTTTTGTTTTGGTTGAGATGCACTATTATCTGTACAGAAATCAGAAACATGAACAGATGCCTGTATGTTACATTTATAGTTATCTATCCTTAGTTCTTGTAAGTCATTTTCACTTAATGTGTGTTCGGAAATGTCAAGAATGCATTCCTGTTTGTTTTTATGTAGAGGTAGCTGTGTAAAATTCTGTCTTATGTCATCTTCAGCTGTACTTAACATGGAACATTTATTACTCATTTTCTTGTTAAGCCCTCTCAAGTCATTTGAAGGGTGGGGGATGGGCTCTGAAATAAACAGAAGTTTTTTTCAGTTTCCTGGGTCTCTTTATACAGGAAATTCTGCTCTATCACCGTTATATCATCTTCCCGGCAATCTTTCTGAGAAATATGTTGCAATTCCACTTTTTCCTTTCGTTCAGTCTTTTTCAGGACACTTGCAGAAACAGGAGAAAGGGATCCAACACTGTATTTTATTAGTTTCTAGATCTTCATATTTCTGCAAGCAACATTCACAATATCCTTTTTTCTTCTTCTCTTTCAACTGGAGTTGAATTGAGTTTCCACCATACTTATCGCCATCTGTTTGGATTCTTAGTTTAACCTGAGTTTGCTTTTGCATACTAGATGGCTTGTCTACATCAAATGGACTGCAGGGCTTCTGAATAGAATAATTTATAAAAGGCATATTGGTCAGCTGAAGATAAAATGGCCTATAAAGTTGGCTCATATCTTCCACCTTTACAAAAGGCTTTTTGAGTCTTCCTGTTCTTGTTTTTTGTGCACCACTACCAACTCTTTTGCCCCCATCTCTTACTGAAGTACTTGATTTCTTGAGTGAATGCAACTTTTTTCTTTTGTTCAATGTAGTATCTAATGTCATCAATATGAAGAATTTTTACTCCCCATGACAAGGCATTTGATAATATACTATATGAAGGAATAAAATCATGGTCCTTGATAGCTTTTTCAACTAATAATTTTCCTCTGCTTAAACACACTGTGTCTGGTGACTTAAATGAACTTCCATCATGGCTGGGATGAGGTGAAGTGGTTTCTGCAGTATTTGCAGATTCTGGACTTGGTACAGGAGAAATTCGACCCAAGGTTTGTGCAAATTTAGCTTCCTTTTTATTTGAAATAAGATAACTGATATCTTTGCTGAGAAATTCTTCAACTCGCCCTCCCAGATCCTTAATGTCCTTTTGCAGTTTTTCAGATATGGTGACAGAAGGTAAGTCAAGGTAAAATACTTTTCCCCAAAGTGGCTTATATTTGGATTTTTCTGGCCTGTTATCAGTTTTCAGAGATTTCAAAGATGGTCTGTTTTTTTCATTTTTGACTTGGATTCCACCCTGGAAATGTCCTTTACTGTGGATCCTCACGGCTCCAGAGTTCATGGCAGTCGCCCGGCACCTACATGCTGGGTCCGGAGAAAGGGTCGCGCCGGGCAGCCGCGAAAGCAAGGCTTCCCCACGTCTGTTGACAGGACGGCCGCCTCTCTACTTCCGCTGGCTACGGCCTCTACGCAGTAGAGGTACCGCGTCTGTGGGTCGGGTTTCCGGGGCCGGATCCGGCTCCAAGGCACGGAGGAGGAAGGCGCAAATCACAAACGAGGGGGCTGCAGCGGTTGAAGATTTGAAAATGCGTCACGCGGCCGCGGCCGCATACGCGCGCCGTCAAATTCTTAACATAAACAAAAAAACTTTGCTATTTTATATAAGAAAGAAATTCAATGGTTTAGATTTTCTGCCTTAGCATAAAGCAATATTTGCAGTACTAAAATTAAATAGATCTCCCAATCTTACTCTAGGGTTAAAACGAAAATATTGCACATCAAACTTTATTTAAATAATATCCCCCATTGGCAACTTTTGAAATGTATAAACATCTCTTCCTGGCAAGTGAGCGTTATCTATATCCTTGTCATTTTCCATGTCTCCAGAAATATCTGTGAGTGAACATTCTGAGATTTATCTTGATATATTCATAAGTTCATATAAGACTCCAAACTCTTTGAGAAAAAGAACAATATCCTTTTTCTTAATACTTTCCCTCCTCATACGCAAATATTTCTTGGTTACTGGAACCAAGGGGACAAACAAAATTAGTTGCCAACTACCTAATCATATCAACAGTTTAACTCTTAGCAAACATTATCTAATTGTTTTACTGGATCGTTAAAAATCTACACCCAGATACAACAGAGGGGTTTAATCTTGTCTCAAGCTCTGTTTCAGGGAAAAATCCTAAGTAAGCACTTCAGCATTACTAAGAAGAATTCAGCAACTCTAAGAAGCATTACTTCTTATTTTGGGGAGCACTAACCCCTTATTATCATTCACCAGCTCTGGCTCATAGTCTGAAGGCAAAGAGGTTTTTGCCTCAGTAGCATTTGCTAATCTCTACTCAACAATGACTGCTGCAAGTTGCGCTTTGGCCTTGATGGAGTTATTTTTAAGTGCTCAAACTATTTTCTTTACTTTGAAATAATGTAAGAACTATTATAAGAATGAAAATCATTTAAATACTTTTAAAATATGATTTTTCATGGCAGACGCATGAGCTCTTTTGTGCTATTATGGACATAATCGGTACTAGCATATTAAAAGGTGAATGAAGTAAACGAGAGGTTTCAGATGAAAAAGTAAGCTCTCTAACAAATGTGCTGTACTTTATCATAAATTAATAATAGGAAGAAACAATAAAACAAACTCAACTTCTTCCAGATTAGTTATATGCTAGAAATTCTTTAGAGACTAAATTTTTGCTGGTATTATATTTCTGTTTTCTCACTGTATCATGCAGTACAATCAGGAAATACATGGAAGTTTTGAGTCCTTTATGGAAGGATCAACCCTCTTTTCTTTGTATACAAACTTGAGGTAGCAAAATGGCACTAATGGTTTTCATGATGAAGACATTTTTATGGTTTTACTGGATAATTAATAAAATACATAAATGGCGCCAGGGAAATGCTAATCTGTTTTCCATTGCCACGAGATGCCCCGTCTTAGAAACTTGATTTTTCAGACACGTTCTACTCAATTAGAATAGGTTTGCCATCTTAACATAACTATTCCCTAAATCATATTACAAGATTATCGAAGTTCAATGTCTGTACAAAAGTGGCTCCAGCTAAGCTTTCATGCTAAGTAAATGTAAAATGCCATCATTTTAAATTTGATCCAGTAGATTATCATAAAATACAGACTCCAGAATAGTAGTGTGTTTTGCTGATTTCTCTAATTTGTTTAGTTTTCCTCTAGGGGCACTCATATACTTCTAAGGAATGGCAGACCTTGAAATTCTAGGTCTTCCTGTAAATAATGAAAGGAAGGGAATGTGGGAAGAAAAGCAACCAAGGGAAGGATACAGAAGTAACTAATTAAATGAGGGGCTTGTCCTGGGTAGAATGGAATTAAAGAACAGAGGTGTGCTCACCACCTATGGAAAACCAGCCACAGCCAATTTAAAGGTCTTTTTTTTTTTTTACCACTACAATGAATACTCCAAGCCCTTCCTTTAGTCCCATAACTATGGTGTATACATTTACTTGCAATAGCATGTCAGGGAGCTGTGGAAATGGGCCAAGATCATGAAGGGTCTAACACAGAAAAGCAGATTTTTAAAATTTCAAGTTCTAGCCCCAGTGGCTTTATAGAGACGCGTGCAATATTGTGTTGAAAAGAATCCTGAAGTAATGTTCCAGACTCACCACAAATGAGTCCTATGACTGGTTAACAACATCTGCAAGGTGAAGGAGAATGAAGAGATGTTATGCATGAGGTATTTGTTATCCTTGGTTACGGGTACCATGTTACGAGTTTCTCCAGATCAATAATACAGTACCAAGGGAGAATATGCCCTAAAAGAGCAAAGTTCATTGAGGATGTACATTTGATTCTGTCCTTTTCTGTGGAATTTTAATATATCTCTCCCCAGTATGCTTCAACATTTGCCAAGAGTCTTAGGGATGTTGAAATAAAATTTACATATTTAATTTTCAATCCATGAGGTTAAAAATGCATTTATTTATTCCTAAAAAATGACTTGGTTTCATTTTCTCTCCTAGAAATAGTGAAAAAATAGCCTTAAAAAATTAAGCACAACCACCCTGCTTTATGCATATTCACAAGTCCATCCAGTACAAAGTGCACAGTATGAATGATTTTACTGTTTTTTTTTTTAAAGGATGAATCCTAATTTACACATAATTAAATCTAATGACTTTTAATCACAATCCTCCAAAATATCAAAGAATTGCCTGCACCTTGAAGGTTCTTGAACTTTTTTGGAATTGCCCTTTTAAAAAAGATCATGGGGCGGCTGCTAGAAGGTTTTCTTCTCGATTTACAACTCAGGCATAGATTTAAGGAGAGTGTAATTACCAGATACAATCCCTAAACAGAATTGAATTGCTTCCTGGATGCCAACCTTGTTGCAGACTGACCTTCAAAGGGAACAAAACAACACTGCAGCTCTGTGTCCTTGTTAGATTTTAGCAGGATAGAAAACTTTTTTTCCCTAGGCAAAAATGAGACAAGGAAAGCTGTTGTTACTTATCCTTTGAGAATTTTTATCTGCTTGGTCAGAGGACAAGAAATCCCAGTTATCATTGTCATTCCTTAAAAACAAAACAAAACTTATTAAAAGAGCAATTCTGAAAGATCTACAATAAATCACTTGCTCTGAAAATTGAACCAACCCAACAGTCTCTAAATCAACCACCTACTTGTTCTTCCCTGAAGAAAACAAAAATCAGTTATTGTCCATGAGGCCGCGGTGGGAGACGGACCATGGAAAACCCTAAGTTAGGAAATAGGATCTCATCTCCCAGGTTAGTTCATATTCTGGAAATAATCAAGTTGAATTTCTCTACTTTACTGTGCAAAAGAAGATTTCTTCACTGGCAGGTTTTCTTTTTCTCCTCTCCAATCATTATGTATAGTAAGTATTAGGTTGTTATACCCTTTCTTTTTCTCTGGAAATAAAGCATTTTGCTATGTTCAACATTCTCATTAGTGTTTGGATAATTAGTTGGTGGGGTGGGAAAAAATTCTACAAATATCATTTGGCTGGTAGAATTTGCAGGCCAGAGCTTTTTACTGCCTACACATATACACATACATACAAATGTGCATGCGTGTACCTGCATGCACACAAACACACACATTCATATGCTGGTATGCATGTGTGCACACATACTCTTTCTCTCCATTCCTTCATATCATACAAAACAGCCAAATAAAATCCAATAACTATTATTAGCCAGGCTTCTAATTACTGTTCTGAGGCGGAAAATGAGGGCAGGTAAGGCATTTGTAGCAATCAGAATAGAGAATGCTAGTTCATCTTTCCTTTCTTAATTGTAACCATCCCTGCATGTCTCTCTCACCCACACACTCACCACCACTACGCCTCCATACCGTTCTACACGTATTTAATAAAAGTATTTCACCGTGTTCTTTGGCAATAATTATTTTCACTCCCTTATACAAACACACTAAAAAAATACACTCGTAAAAGCTTTTTCTTTTTAAATCTTGCAGTGCGTGTGACAAAGTGTGAGGCATCTGACAGGCAGCCAGCCACCTGTGAAGATCGTTTTTAAACAGATGGTGCACAGCAAATTAGTTCAAATGTAGACATCACAATATAAACCTGGAAAATATTCACGGATGTGGATTATGATAATCCCATGACCCAGACCCATTGGTCAGTTGATTCTGGTTAGAATGAAAGACTTTGTCTGCTGAGAGTTTAAAAAAATATAAACTAGCAGCTTTGTATTTTGGGAATGAAAAATTGCTCTTATGCAATTTTTCATAAGATTATGAAGGAGTCTTTCCTACATATTTCAAACACCTCATTCTTTCTGGCACTTGCATTTTTTTCCATTGGCAACCAGATATTCCTTACCGACCTCTGTAACAGATTAATGAAGACTCTTCACATCCTGGCTTCTGCCTGCCTTTCCCATTCTCCCCTTTCCCCTCTTGGTCCTTAGCAGGTCACGCTCTACTAGTATTGATCCGTTCTCCAGATGGTCTGCACTTGTTTTTATCTTCTCCTGGGCCTTCATAGATGCAGCTTGATTTCTAGGATATCTTTTCTGCCTTCCTTAAGTGTAAAATTCCTATTTACCCATCTAAGTGCTCCTTGTGTGTCACCCCTCTGTGAAGATTCTCTGAATACATGATCGCAGAGTAAAGAACTTCTCCCTCCCCATAATCCCTGTTCCACAGTATCAACATTATTCTTACACCCACCTCCTTCCCTACACTGTGAGCTCAGAGAGGGAAGCATCTGCTTCTTATTATCTCTCCTTCTCAGCACCTGGTCTGGTGTCTGGCATATATTCAATGGTCAGTAAACATTTGTTGAACAAAATTAGAAATGGTTACATATCTGTCCTGAGATTGTAAGTTTCTTGCAGGTCAGGACCATGTTTTATTCAGTTCTCTTTAATATGAACCAGCAAAGTCACTTTCATGTAAGTACCTAATTAATGTCACTGCACCTATTTGTAAGGGAGTGGGAAAACATAGCACCAGGAGTCAAGAGAATAGAGTTCTAGTCCTTTCCCTGCTAACAATTCATTAGGCAAGTTAGGATAAGTAATATAGCTTTTCTGAACATCAGTGTCCTTTTATGAAAAATGGAGAATAATCATACATTTCCTATTTCCATTACAGGCCACTAATGAGAATCAAACACATTTTCTAGATTGGGAAGTGCTTTGTGAAGCAAGAGGCAGGATAGTATAGTGAGGATGAGCTCACACTCTTGAGTCAAATGGGCTCTGTTACCTCTTGGTTGTGTGACCTTGGGTACAGTATTTTACCGCAACACCTGGGGTTGGTCTAGGTCTTGCTGCTCCCAGCACAGAACGCCAATCACTGAAACAATGTGTATTTCCAGGGCTGATGGTTTTATTTGGGTGCTGCAGACAAGGAGATGGGAGGTCAGTCTCAAATCCATCTCCCTTACTGACTCAAATTAGGCGTTTATATAACAGAAATTTAAGTACATGTAGGAAAATGGGAACTAGGGAGGGGTAAGGAAGATGAGTTGGTCAACAAGAAGCAGTTAGTTGGTTAGGCAATCATCATGGGTGAAAGGCCTGACTCCTCATTGTCCAGATGCAGTGATCTGGTAAGTTTCAGTTCCTTGATACTATCTGGGAGGCCTGATGTTTGGTTTCCAGAGAAAGGGATTCAGATAGGACAATGGTAAATTTCTCAAGCTTTAAGATTGGGAGGATGAATTTCTATGTTTATTCAAAAGAAACAATAAACATCAGTTATATGGAATAATTAGGCTGGTTTCAATTAGTTTATATCTCTGAGTCTCAGTTTCCCATCTGTAAAATAGAGATAATGATAGGGTCTACCTCATGAAGTTGCTATGGAGTTTAAATAATTTGTGTGAAGCATTTAGTGCCTTAACAACAAATAGTAAGTCCTAACAGATGATAGTTTTTTTAAAAAATGACAGTTTAACAATTTATATAAGTGCAGGATGTTATTATTACTCACTGATGAATTATTCTTCAACTTTAAGACAAGTAAAAGGAGAGTCACTCAGATGGAAAAGAGAATACCATACTCTCCCTTCCCCTTGCATGACCTATCCTCCAGCCAGTTCCTGTGACTGTGTTGTCACAAGCAAGAGAGTCCACAGCAGATAATAATAGGTTCCCTTTCCACAGGGATGCAAACAGTATGGACAGCATACAGACTTCAGCCTTATCAAATGTTTTATCTGACCCTCAGACATTCCCCCACTTAGAAGTGGGATTACTGTGATAGACAGGAAAAGTACACATATCTAGGCAATTCCTAGGGATAGACAGGTCTATTCCCTTTTCAATTTGCTGTTGCTTGCCATCACTGGTCCCAGACAACTGCCTCAGGCAGCTCTGACTTATGACTTTTCTAGGACTCTTTCTACCTTCCCCAAGCTTGGATACAGCTTTCCTTTATTAATCCAAAGCAAAGTTAACATTTTTAAATCTCAAGACTTGAGCATAAGATAAGCCAGTTGCAACAAGAAAATGTGAAATTGAATGTGAAATTCACTAAACATGTATTTGCCGTGACACTTTATGAGTCCTGTATTAACTACCTCTATCCTTAGCCCTGGATTAGGAGCCAAGCCTCACTTCTCCCCTACAGATAGGAGACCTTGTGATCATGTCACCACTATTTTTTGGAGTTTAGACTCCTGTTTCCCTGGGATGCATTAGAATACCAACTTCCATACCATTTCAGAAAGCACATTCATCACCATCTGTAGGGTAGGGCCTCTGTAATGTTTAGCAATACATTCTCCAAAATTGGAATCACTCAGTCTTAAAGATTTCCTTGTACGAAACACTATACTAAATGTGTATTTTGAAAAAAAGGCTCAGTGAGAGCACAATTTTACCAAAGATACCCCCACTTTATGTTTCTAGGCAAAATATACATCTGCATGCCTAAAAAGGGTCACTCAAAGTTGCCCCTTCTACAATTAAGGGAGGGACTTAAACTAAGGCTGAATTCTAGCTTACCTCAAGTAGACACTGCCTATGCCCACTATACCCTCCTTGCCACTTTATAATCTTCCACTTTGAAATAAAGATTTAGACTCCATCTACAGGAACAGGAAAAGCTACTAGAGCATTCAATGAGAAGTTTGTCCTTCCTTCATTTTATTAGGAGAACAAAATTTTACTACCAAGAACTAGGAACAGTGTCAAGAAACAACTAAACCTGTCATCTAATTATGAGCAGGAAGACCAACACAGTTAAATTATTATCTAATTTTTTGGTTCTTATTTGGAAATTATTTTAAATAGTCCTTAGAGATTTAAACAATTCCCAAGAAATGTTTTCAAACACTCTTGCCATTTTAATACACCCATTGTGACCAAAAGTGAATAAACGCATACTTTTCCCTGATATTCTGGAGAATGTTCCAAACAAGACACATTGGGAAAGCAAATAAAGGTGTCTGCCAATAAAAATCGTTGCTTCCCAAAGAGTCTTCACATATCAGGAGATAGCCCTGATGCTAACATTTTTATCAGGGAAAGATGAAAAAATAGTGTAAGATGTTAATTCCCAGTGGAAGAAAATGAACTCTGGATTCAGATGCAGGTGAGGCTTGGGTTCAAATCCCAGGTCTGCTGCTTATTAGCTGCATGAACTTGAGGAAATTATTTAACCTCTTATTGCCTCAAATAACTTCTGTTTAAAATGGAGATAATGGGAGTAAATGCGTCATAGAGTTGCAATGAGATTTCAGATTGTCCAAGTAAATAAAGATGGTGCACATGCTGTCATGGTGTCCAGCATGAAGCTCAATGCTCAGTGTGCCTTAGCTATTATTGACATCATTATTGCTGCTGCTGTTATTAGGATAAGAAAAAAAAATCTAGCCCAAAAGAAAAGAAACTTATTCCTATGACTAGTAAAATACTCCTTCTTTCCAAGATCCTTGCAAGTCTAGTTGCACTTAAATATTATGTGGGTGCAATGTCCTAGAATGGGGTAACAACAGTCTTTGCTTCAGAGGAACTTGCCTTCTTCCGAGAATGCTGAAAAAAACAAAACAACACAAAACAAAAACAGCCATCTGTTCTAAATCTTTTGGATTTGATTCATACTACCTTGTGGGTCTCTTCTTTAAAATTCCACTTTGTGTTTTTTTATGCCCTTTGAAGTTCATATAAAATCAATATGTAGAAATCAGCTTTATACATATTAAATTTCTACAAAACACTTCTGTTTGGAATTCAAGTCTCACAAAGCACTGATCCATGCTTTTTATCATGCTTTTTATTACTATTAGAATAAATGGATGCTGTGCTTGATTATACTTGTTGAGTAGTGGGTAAAAGACCATGAAATATCCAAATAATCCAGGAATGGCTGCCTTGAAGTCCCCTGGGAAGAAGAGGGATTGCTTGCTAAGAGTCTTTAAAGAACAACAAGTGCTAAGAAATTTGTTTTGACCCATTAAATTTATATTGGCTTCATAGCTTTCAGGCTTCTCTCACTATCTGCCTTTGCTGCTATCTAAAAGCTGCAATATGGAAATGATCAAGTTTTTGTTCATATGTTAACTGGGTTAGATGATTAAAGTAAGATCAAACTAGATACTAGGTGGTTCCATCCTGGCTCTTGCATTGCTACTTGTTCAACTCAGCTTATGACGAGTATTCTTTCATTGATGAGAACAAACCCCAGAGAAATAGGAGTCACCTTAGCGAAGAAGTCTTAGAGATTCAAGAGAGACCCCTACTTAAGCTCTAAGTAAGTGAGACGTCTCAAAGGTATCCTCATCCTTGGTATTAGCATGCCCCTACAGCACAGCAATGACATCCTAGAGAAGAAGGCTGCTGGAAGAATGCAGTTGCAGATACAAAGAAGTAAATAATGGCCAGGCTTCCTGAGGTGAGCTGTAAATCATAGCAGGGCTGTGCTAGGGAGGAGGTGGGGCGAAGAGGGTAGACATTAAGTCTAATATGGGCATAAATGGTTGAAGTTTTTAAATGGACTGTATAACTGGGCCACATGCTCCCAATATGTTAGCCAGTGGTATACTGCATGAACCGTTGCATTTTACTGCTGTGTAACATTGCAAAAGGCAGCTCTTGGGGCCCTGGTTGCAGACGGTGGGTGGATGGCCGAATGCTTTCCAGGCAGCAGTGCCAGGTTTGGAAGAATCAAAAGGAAGGTTCATCAACCATTGAGATCCTTTAAATTTACAATCACAAACTCTCACAGAAACAAAATTAAAATCAACTAGAGAAACTAGATAAGTACATTTCTTTTCACTGACTGGGGCCTAATTTCCCTTAGGTAGGCACACAGGCCCATAACCAGAGTGAGTGGATGTTATCTCCTACAAAACAAAAATTTAAGTAATTTTTGTAATTTTAAGTAATTTAAGTAATTTTTTTTTTCAATAAAAGATTTTTTTTTGGTGCTGAAATTTTAACTGAGGGTCCTTGGTAAATTTCTTGCTTTGGAAAATGCATTAATACCTTTTGTTCATCTTACAGAGAACTCTGCCTTTCATGAAAGCTCATCCAAGGTAAAATAAAGTTCAGGAAATTGGAAAAATGAGAAACAACCAGTAAGAGAGTTAATTTTGGAGACGAAATATGTATAAAAGTTAGGGTGAAGAATAGACATAAAAATACATATATTTTCAAATTTGCCATAGTTTTTTAAATTTTTTGTTTTGAGCTCAGAAATTATAGTTCGGTCACAAAATGGTCAAGCCTACTCCATTCTTACCATTTCAGTTTCAATGGACTTGCCCTTGCAGCCAATTCCAGGGGTTCCTTAAGCCACTGGGTATGTCCTATCTCCTAGCCACAGTGACAGAGGAAGAGACTCAATTCAGGCTAAATGGTAAAAAAAAAAAAAAAAAAAAAAAAAGTTTGCTGGAAATTCTGTGAAAGGAACGCTCTCTCCTCATCTGTATCTCCTGCTGGAGTTGCTTGTTCTACAGGTCTTAAACTGCCCCCTGAATGGGATCCAGCCGTGAGAATAAAGCTGATCCACATAAAGACCCAGAGCTGAGAGCTGGACATAAACTTTTATTTTTGGTCTTTCCTTTTTCTTCTTTTATTTTTAACTTAACTACATACCCTGAACGGTTTGTTTGACTCATCTGAATCTCATGTTGAAATGTGATCCCTGATGTTCGAGGTGGGGCTTAATGGGAGGTGTTTGGGTCTTGGGTGCAGATCCATCTTGAGTAGATGAATGCCTTCCCTGGGATGGGGGTGTGAATGAATTCTTACTCTATTAGATCCCAGGAGAGCTGGTTGTTAAAAGAGCCTGGCACCTCCCCTCTCTTGCTTCCCCTCTTGCTGTGTGATTTCTGCACATGCTGGCTCCCTTTCACCCTGTGTAATGAGTAGAAGTGGCCTGACAATCTCACTAGAAGCTGAGGAGATGCAAATGCCATGCTTCTTGTACAGCCTGAAGAATAATGAGCCAAATAAACTCTTTTTCTTTATAAATTACCCAGCCTCAGGTATTCTTTTATAGCAATACAAACAAACTAAGACACTGGTCATGGGGATAGGCCATGGGATTAAACTTGCTCATTGTTATTTTCAGTGCTATTACTGTCACTATACCTAACTATTTGAATGCATTCACTATTCATTATTAGGGAAGCAATGCAGTTTTAAACCCTTAATTCCATTCTACCTACTTCTAAAAAGAACTGTTAGATTCTCTAATCAGTCCTCAGAAATTATTCATTAAAGCATCAAGTTTACCCTTCCCAAATTATATATGAAGAAACTGGGCATTCAGGTCTTTGCCCTGAAACACTGGAGAAATAAATGGCTAAGAGGAGAATATAGTTTTTCCCTTAAGTACTGTATCTATACATTTCCAGACAAATCAAATAATTGGGAAAGATCAAGTGATAAAAACAAGCTATATTTGGGCCGGGCATGGTGGCTCATGCCTGTAATCTCAGCACTTTGGGAGGCCAAGGCAGGTGGATCACGTGAGGTCAGGAGTTTGAGACTAGCCTGACCAACATGGTGAAACCCTGTCTTTACTAAAAATACAAAAATTAGCCAGGCTTGGTGGCGAATGCCTGTAATCCCAGCTACTCGGGAGGCTGAGGCAGGAGAATTGCTTGAACCCGGGAGGCAGAGGTTAGTGAGCTGAAATCGTGCCATTGCACTTTATCCTGGGCAGCACAAACAAAACTCTGTCTCAAAAAAAAAAACCCAAAAAAAACCAAAAAAACAAAAAAACCCAAGCTATAGTTGGTTAGATAGGTTAGATAGACTTCATGATAAAAGAAGTGTTTGGTTATTTTCTATTCTTGGGCTGTATATTCTTATGGAAAACTGAATAACAAAGTTATTCAGCTCTGTATAATTCCACCTTATACCTTTATAAAATCTAACTCCCTTAGTAATTCTAGTACATTCTATCACTGAAGAAATGGCCAAAGGCAGCTGTAGAAATTAAAGTTTGCTAACACTTAGTCGAACTGACATTAAAACAGCTTTATTTAGTTCTTTCATAACTTTCATGACCTTATAGACATCTATAAATTGAAATAAATAACTTATCTCTTGTCCCCAACATGATATTTACAAGCTTTGAAATATCAAGTCAAAACTTATATGCACATTTTACATTTCAATTATATTTTCATTAGATTTTCTAGGGCTTGCTATTTGGAAAATAATTATAAATCTCCTTGTGACTTTGCTAAAGTACATTGAAATTGTAGTCATACAAAAAATACAAAAGGCTCACTGATACAGTGTTCTTAAATATCTCATTTAACTTGGAAGCACCTCATAAACACACACTTTTTAATGTGCTCTTTTTCTAAGATTTTAAAAATTTTCAATTGACATTATATCAAATATGCCTGCTTGCATATTTATATCCTTTTTGTATCTGATATAAGCAATTCAAGAAAATGTTTAACTAACATTTTTTTCAGATCACAAAGTTTTAGAAAATCTGGAAATCTTCATTAAAAAATTAAACTCTGTCTTGTTACTAAAACAATTTTTATTTTCAGCAGGAAACATACCAGGGCACAGTTACATTGATGGATAAGACAAGTAGAAAGTCATTAAAAATTTTTAAATTTTAAGATAATTTCTATATTCTAGAGAGAAACAGAAATGTTTTCTGGGAAAGGTCTGTGTTTTTGTTGTGTGGTATGTGACATGACCTCTATAAGCATCAAAGACTAATGAAAAAATAAAACACAGGAAAAACATTTACTCATTTATGTAATAAAGGATATCAATAACTCCAGTGTTTGTGAAGGTACAGGGAAGAAGGCACATTATTGGTGAGAATGGGGTTGTTATAATCTTTTAAAAATTTAAAATGCACATATCTTTTGACCCATAAATTCAACTTTTAGGAATTTATTTTATAACTATAGGAATAGGTAAGGATGAGAATGTTTTCTATAAAAAGTATGTGAGAAGATCTGAATGTCCAGTTTAAGAAGAATGGTGGAATAAATCACAGGTTGGCAATACTAGGAACTACTACATTGATATTAAAAAGAATGAATTTAATCTATACATATTGACCTTGAAAGTTGTTATGATATTTTAAGTGAAAAAAGTGAGCTGAAAATTAATATGCATGGTACTCTCTTTTTATTGATCAAAAATGAAAACCATCCGATGTAAATGTATAGGCTTGTCTATGTTTATTTATGAGCATTGAGAAAGATGTAGAAGGATGGTGTTGGTCATCTCACAGTCACGAGATTGAAGATGGGAGAAGGAGATTAATTATAACTTTTGCATACACCTCTATATTATTTGACCTATTGCAATAAATCTGTATCACTTTTGAAATAAAGAGTGAAAACAAATAAATGAGTGGGCAGCAAAGACTATATGAATGATCTAAGTTGTAATTTTGTTTCATACAAATATCAGTCTTCTAAGAACGTATACAACTTTGAGTCTCTATAATTATTACAAAGTAAAATGGTTTAGGACTGCCCAGTGACCAAAAATGGAATTAATACCTATGACTCCAGACGTTTCCAGATGTCTGGATGCTTACCTCGACATAGCTGAGATATTCAGCTAGTTGGTGGAATACAACACAATGTCCACCATCCTGTGGCATCATGTAGTGTAAAAACAGAAACCTGATCTCTCTAGTAATTTGGGCTTTTAACTGAGCGGTACTGATATGACCAAAATAGTGAGCATAATTAACTGTATTATGATGAACAAAGACATTATGGGTTGAATTGTGTATCCTTCCTCAGAAAAAGATATATTGAAGATAGCTTGAAGTACCTGTGAATGTGACCTCATTTGGAAATACTAGCTGCAGGCTGGTACATCTACAAATTTGCAGATATAATCAAGTTAAGATAAAGCCCTTAGGCTGCGCCCTGACCTAATATGACTGGTGGCCTTATAAGGAGAAATTTGGACACAGGCAGAGACATACAGGGAGAACTTCATATGAAGATGGAGGCAGAGGAGCCAAGAAACACCAAGGATTGCAGGTGAAGCCAGAAGCTGAGAAAGGTAGGAAACAGATTTTTCCCTAGAGCTCTCAAGAGACAACAGAACTGAGGGACAATAAATTTATTTTTTTCAGTCACTCAGTTTGGGGTAATTTGTAATGAAAGCCCTAGGAACCTAATTCAAAACCCAGAAATAATCCCAGAGAGAAGATAAAAAGGGAAGAAAAAGTAAGTGTGACCAACCAGAACCCCTCCATAGCCCAAACTTCATGACTAGTTAGTCAAATATTATTCTTAATTTATTTTAAGAATATGTGCAGGGGGGAGAAAGAGTGAGAGACAGAGAGAGAGAGAGAGAGGCAGAAATGAGACAAAGCTACTTAAAAATACATCAATACATCAGCATTTAATTATGTGTAATATAATACTGGGTAACATTTTGAGAATAATATTCAAAATTTCTATAAGATGTAGGTTTACAAAAACTTTAGTAAGAACTAAATTGATTGGCAGTTTTTCACAATTACGTGATGTTTGATTATCCCATCTTGCTTGCGTCCAAATATCTGGTCACATTGTCTGACGATGAGAGAGAGCATTTCTATTTGGGAAGGCAATAAAATGATGAGTTATAGAGTGGCAAGGGGAAAAGTTGTGAGTGTGGTGGTTGTCAAATGGGTGGGGTATGGGCCCTCAGTATAGTTTTAGAGGGACATAGGATTTTCCTGAAAGTAACTCTTGCTGCTTACAAATATTAGCTTTGTGTTTTAGTTACCAAAGCAGAAATGCATATATTCTAGAATATTATTGTAATCCTCATCTACAAATGTATTGCTGTTTTTTGTTTGTTAGTTTGAGTGCTTCAAAGCCAGGGTAATAACTGCTTTCTCTTGACAGCACTTCTGAAACTTAAGTGAACTATTAATTTAGTAATGAAATGATCATAATTGTATAAATATGGGGTTGGGAATAGCAGTGGCTTTTATCAAGCTGTAATCAGGTTACTTGTTAAAGTGGTTCACAGGAGGATGTTACGGAAGGATGCAGGCTGGTGCCACCTGTGCAAATAACCTCATACTTCATGAACCACTCTTGGTGCCTAAAGTAGAAAAGCCAGTCCATGAACATAAGCAGAAGGACCATGTGTCAGTGACAGTAAATTCTACTGAGTGGAGGGGAAAAGTAGAATTTTGATGTTATCTGATAGGCCAACTTGGTAGTGGCAGCTCTGTCCTTGTTCAATTAGAGACTAAAGTAGACTGCCCACGAGAGATACATTTGTAGTCTCCAACTCTGTGAATACAGAATTGTTTGTATGCACTACTTGATTTCTTCTAAGTCATGTTTCTCCCTAAAGTCACATGTCAAATAGGCATAGCTTCACATCACAAATAAACCAAAACAACTTAAAGAATATTTTAGGAGCACTATCACTCAGGTGAATAGGAGTAGGCAATCACAGAGTTTTTGTGTGATGTACTTGGTGAGCTTAAGGGGCCAAAAAAAAAAAAAATCTGGAAAAGAGACTGTTACTCCTTTAATCTTTAGTCACTTCCAATTTCTTTTGTTTGCTACTGTTTTTTAAAGGATAGCTGATACCCACCGTATCTTTTTCCTCATCATCCTCTTATCACTTAAATCTGGCTATTGTTCCTACTGCTCTAGTCAAATTTATTTTGTGAGAGGCCAAAATACTGCTTAGTTGCTCAATCCTATGATCTCTTCTAATCTTCATTTCCCTGACTTTTATAATTCCATTTGGTATTATTCATTGCCAATTTCTCAGTTTTTCTGTACTTTTAGCTCCCACAAAACGAACGAATATCAGTCTTTTCTAGCCTTTCCTCATTATTGTTCTTTCTCCTCCAAGTCCAAATGTAGCGTCCCCCAAAATGGTCCTTAGCTCGGTGTCTGCTGGAGACACATGTGAAGTAGTGGAAAATAATTGGCCTACAGTTAAAGGAGTTTAAATTCTGGCTTTGAAACTTACAATTGCAGAGAGAAAGAAAGAGAGAGAATTTAAATAGTGTTCCCAGTGTGAGCAATGATTCTGTTATTCCTTTAGTTGAATGTGTGCACAGCCGTCTTCCTCAAACTGAACATCTGTCAGTGCTAAGTATGGTCCCAGTGTTTAAATGGTCAAGAGGTACTTTTTGTTTTTTTAAATTAAAATGTGATCCCTAAACTTCTTCATCTGGGGTTCTAGTAAAGGAACAGCAAACAGCTCCAGGCCGGTAGAATGACTGCCTGAGTTAACTGAAGGCCAGTACTGTACTGTCTTAATAGAGAGTTTAGGGCCCTCAAGAGTGTTTTCAACTCTACAAAATATTCATTGACTTTAACATTTAACCCCTTGCATAAGAGGAAATGCATTGACCTTGAGTGATTTACTCAGTGTCCCTGAAGCTTGACATGCGAATGTCCTGCACACAGTTACAGTCAGTTATAATGCTCCCTTAAAAAATACTGCAAAACATTCTGATGATCTGAAGAAATATTTTTTTGGTAACCATGTAAATGGTTTTGAATTTTAGTATTTTAATGATATTTTAAATTTGCAAAAAATTTCAAAATAATACAATGAATTCTCATTTTTCCCTTTATATTCTTTGATTAACCTTTTACTATATTTGCTTTATCTCTCATTTTCTACACTTGCAGATTTATATGTACATATATATACATAAATACATATATATGAAATATATTGTACACCTTTCTTCCCATTTCAATATTCAGTGATTTTTTCATGAATAGCTTGAAATCAGCCATGGTGGGAGAATTTATACAACAGAAATAAGCAAATTGATATGGTTTGGCTCTGCATCCCCACCCAAATCTCATCTTGTAGCTCTCATAATTCCTACGTGTTGTGAGAGGGACCCGGTGGGAGATAATTGACTTATGGTGGTGGGTCTTTCCCATGCTGTTCTCATGATAGTGAATAAGTCTCATGAGATCGGATGGTTTTAAAAAAACACAAGTTTCCCTGGACAAGGTCTCTTCTCTTGTCTGCCGCCATGTTAGATGTGCCTCTCTTTGCCTTTTGCCATGATTGTGAGGCCTCCCCAGCCATGTGGAACTGTAAGTCCATTAAATCTCTTTTTCTTCACAGTCTCGGGTATGTCTTTATCAACAGTGTGACAACAGACTAATATGTAAAGACTACAAACCAAGGCTTTTCTTTATTAACCTGTTTTCTGGAGAGCTAGTTTATCAGCATGTCATTGCTTTTAACACTAAATATTTTGTGCCCCAAGAGTGAATACATTCTCTTACATAACTACAGTAAAAAGAGCAACATAAAAAAATTAACACTGAGATAATGCTGTTAAGTAATGCAAGTTGATATGAAACTTCGTCCATGGTTCCAATGAAGTTCTTTATAGTTATTCTCCTTCCTGATTCATTGTGTAGAATGTCCTTTGACTTCAGTTTGCCTGATGTTTTCCTGTTATGCTTTGTTTGGCGGGAATATAATTTAAGGGAGAACATGTCCTCAGTGCATGAAATCAGGAAACAAGGAGTTAACTTTGATCACTTGGTAAAGGGAATCTCCACCAGGTTTCTTCACTGTAAAGTTAACTATGTTTCCATTTGTAATTAATCATTTACTTATGGGATGGTACTATCATTTAAAATTTGATACAACATAAAACATTGCAGTGCATGAACTAAGAGATATAAATAATGAATAAGAAATTACAAATTTTTATAAAACTAAACGTTTTATTTATTCTGAAACCGTTTCAATGCTATAGGTTGTTGTTGTTGTGAAAACAGAAAGTTAAAAAGTGAAAATACAAGCTATGAGCAGCATGTTCTGGAAAGAGTTTTCATGTTGTAATCAAAGGCCTCTACTTGTGAGGTGCTTATGTGTGCAAAAAGAGAAGAGAGAGAACCATGGTAGCATGGTGGGGAGGGAGGTGGCGGAGATATGCCTACTCCTTACTGTACCCCAGTCCACTCTTAAGTTGCCGCTGCTGCCAATGCCCCAAGAGGGTCTCTGAACCTCAGTTAGCTCATCTATAAAACTCAGATACCAGTTATGTCCTCCTGGAGAGAGTGGGGGAAGTGAAATTAAAGAGTGATGGTTTACTAAATGCCAGGTATGTGCCAAATACTCTGCATATGGTATGTCATTATCCTCCTACAAAGAAGTTACTATTATTACTCTCATTTTACAGATGGAAAAAGTGAGGAAAAGGTTTGAGATGAGAAATGTTACGTAATTTGCCAAACTTAGTAAATGATAGAGCCAGAATTTAAACCAAAGGAGTCTCACTCCAGAATACATGCCTTTTCTACTATCCTCTTGCTCGATTGTCCTCAAGATACGAATTCTCTTCCACTAATTTCATTTTACACACATGCTAAGTACAGAATAGTAGACAGGCATGTATCAGAGTTCAAGAGACAGGGCCATATTAAGACTTCTTGAGGCCCATTTATTGGGACACCAGTTTTTTGGTGTCCTTGCTGGACACCGAAACTAATTTTTGGGGGTGTAAAGAGGACAGTAGGATGTGATAAATGGGCCTCAAGAAGTCTTAATATGGCCCTGTCCCTTGAACTTGAACTCTGATACATCACTTTATTTATATCTTTATTGTCTAGAGCAGGGTTTCTCAATCTTGCACTATTGACATTCTGGCCAGATAATTCCTTGTTGTGGAGAGCTGTCTTGTGCATTATAAGATGTTCAGCAGCATCTCCGGCTTCTACCCACTAGATGCCAGTGGCATCCACCCTGCAGTTGTGACAACCAAAAATGTCTTCTGATATTGCCAAATGTTCCTAGAGGGAAAAATCAACCCCACTGAGACACTGCCCTGAGGCATTGCTGGCTGTACTTTTTGGAGTACTCAACACTTTTGGCAGCTAAGTGGCTGTACCCTTGGTGGCTGTGTGATCCTACCCTAGTCACAGCCACTGGACCTAATTTCCTTTGCAATTAAATGACCTATATTTTCTGAATATGATATGCATTTGTAATGTGGACTAAAATGAAAGGGCCATTCTAAAGTTTTAGTTCTTCCTCTCCAATTGTTTGAAAAGTAAACTCTCTTTGCTTATTGGAAATGTCCTGGGACTAGAGTTCAATCGCAAGGCTTAGCTGTAATCCCTGCTCTACCTCAGGGCCCTGCTTTGAGCCTCAGTTGTTGCAGCCTTAAGAGCACTGTCCTAAATCAGAAGTCACAAATACAATGATGACAGGGCTAGGCAGGTAAGAAACGTAAAATCAGCTTGTGTAACACATCAGGAAATACTGATGTCAACAGAGAACCAAAGTACAGGCCCTGGCTAGAGGCTTTTGAATCACACCTTTAAAACACAAAGGTATATCTGAGCCAAATATGGCCTGTGGACAGTGGAAATGTGGTGTATAGAAATGCTACTGATTTTTGTATATTAATTTTGTATCCTGCAACTTTATTAAATTCTTTAATCAGTTCTAAAAAATTTTTGGTGGAGTCTTTTGGTTTTTCTATATATGAGATTGTGTTGTATGCAAAAAGGGATTATTTGACTTCTTTTCCAATTTGGATGCCATTTATTTCTTCCTGTTGATTCATTGCTCTGGCTAGGACTTCCAGTATGGTGTTCAATAGAAGTGGTGAAAGTAACCTCTTTGGCTTATGCCAGTTCTTAGAGGAAAGGCTTTCATCTTTTCCTCATTCAGTATAATGTTAGCTGTGGTTTGTCATTTATGGCCTTTATTATGTTGAGGTATTTTCCTTCTATGACTAATTTGTTGAGTTGTTATTATGAAGTGATGTTGAATTTTATCAAAACTTTTTCTGTGTCTACTGAGATGATCATATGGTTTTTGTCCTTTGTTCTGTTGATGTGATGTATCACATTTATTGATTTGCCCTTGGACTAAATTTGTTGCCTGGACTAAAATGATCCCTAAGATCTATTTCAGCTACAGAATCACTTCTTTCTGCTAGCTGAAATACTCTTTAGTATTTTTCCCTATGGAGACTTTCTAAGCTTATAGATACCCAATCTGAAAAGATCCAGAAAGCTTCTACATTTATTTATAAATTCTAGTAAAGAGAATGAAAGTTAAAAAATTCGTTCATTTCTTTGAGCAACTGAATAGCTTTTGTTATAGCCTCATGTGTGGTGAGACTGTTTTGTTCCATCAATTAAAAGATGTCAATGAAAATAACTCATATATTCATTCATTCATTTCATCAACAGATGTTTATTTAGCATCTATTCTTTACCACTTTAACTGTGTTGGTTTAATGTTTTTTACAGGATTGCTAGTCACATGGAAGGAAAATAACTTGTTCATTGTAAAACTAAATAGCTTGTTTCAATTTTGTGCATGCAGTTTCTTTTTTCCCAACAAGCTCTGCACTATCATCAAGAATCAAATACAAATATTCATATTTGGTGAAAAAAGCAAAGAGGAGAGATCTGTAGCATTCTCCATATAGGCGTTCACTGGAGAATGATTCCCGACTGTGCCAATATGGAAACCCAAGAGTTAATTTCAGAAAGCACTTAAAATCTGATATGAGAAATTTCTCTCTATAAAAAAGAACAATATCCTGAGGCAGGCAATTATCTACTGAAATGAAAACAGAAAGTCAAGCCATAGGATAACAGCTGAAACCTTAAAGAACAGAAATATTTATCAGTGGTAATTTAAAAATAAGATACATAAAATTAATTTCAAGGTCCTCTAGGATTTTCTTTCCATTTATTTCTCTTTCTGTCAGAAATTTGCCAGTCTGAGTTGTGGGCAATTTTATAAGTGGTACAGAAAATAAGAGCTCTTCCTTTCTCCACAATTACCAGGGAAAATTGAGAGATACTCTTTAATGGAAGCCTAGATATATTTATGCTGATGTGCACATACTTTCTGGAATGACCGTCCTTTCTGAATGCTAAAACCTAAAGAGTAAAGGGATAAGGAAGCTGTGACTAATCGTATGTAATTGCCATAAATTGGAGCTGCACACCAGTGTAGCAGAAATAATTACTTCTGGGGAGTTTATCACCAGCAATTTTAAATCCAAGGGGACACCAATGAGGTCAGTTTTCTGTGTACAAACACAATGGCTGGTAACCAGAGTTAATGACCATTTGATGGCTACCGGATAAGGCCTGGCAGAGGTTGGAAACACTATTTCAATTCAGAAATTCTTTGAACTACAGCTGTGCAAGGGTCCTTAGAGATCATGTAATTTAACCTCTTAATAGTATAGAAAAGAAAGCCCAGGTTTTGAGTGTTTAAATTACTTGGACAAGACATGCAGCTTGGTCTCCTCTCTTTTTCCTAGTGTTCTTTGTGCTTCTTCAGGTTGCTTCTCAGGATGACCAATTGCCTCTTAAGGCAGATTCACAGTTGGAATTCAGAACCTAATTTGTTACTGACATCAGTCTGGCATTCATAATGTTAAGGGTGATGGTGAACCCAAATCCTTCCCATGTCAGTCGTCTGACTGTAAATTCGTGGGGTTGCACCCCTAACCAAGGCATTCACTTTGTGGACTAGATTTTAAACATTTCCTGTGGTGGAGACAGAAGGCTGATATTTATAATAAGATGTGATTTTTCTGTCTCAAATACGTTCAAATCGTAGCCTTTGGAATTTCTGAAGATTCTTATTTTACATTTTTCTATTTACTAAGTGCTGTGAAATTTCCCAGGCTGATCATGGGACTCAGTGGGGCCTGAGGACAGTTATTTTGTTCATCTCGTCTCTAAGAATCAAAGGTAACCCCCTGAGTGGCACTCAAAGCATTGTGGCCCTCTGAGACTATTGGTTTTTGATAAGGTTTATCAAGAATATCCATAAAACAGCATCTAGGAGACTCAAAACATGCTTATAAAAATGGGGAGTCTTATAAAAAAGATAAGAAGATAACATGTGGCAGGGTCTGGTGGCTCACACCTGTAATCTCAGCTACTCAGGAGGCTGAGATGGGAGAATTGCTTGAGGCCAGGAGTTTGAGGTTACAGTAAGCTATGATTGCATCATTGCACTTCAGCCCCTATGCAACAGAGTCAGATCCTGTCTCTAAAAAACCCAATAAATATAAGTTTAAAATAATTTTCAAAAAGACAGCAAGTGGATAGAAAAAAATAAGGATGGGATCATTAAGTAGAAGAGACAGAGAACATCTGTCACACACACACCTATGTGCTGGCTGGCCATGGGTAGCCACATATTTGGGTCTAAGAGTTCAAGCCAAGTTGAAAAGAGAAAACTGGGTGTTTGCATGATTCACAAAATCTGTAATATATAAAGTCCATAAAATATATATATGGGTTCTATGATAGTGTCCTGGACGACATTCTTATGATACATGTGCTGACAAAATTTTCTTTAAAAATGATTCCTTAATAGAGATAGATATTCTCTTCCCAAGAAATAATCCGTGCAAATCAGCTCTACTGGCAAGAGTGGTAGTTTAGGAGGCTGGGGAATATAATTCAGTCTGGGTACCTCTTCCTTTGCCAGTCTGGCTGAATGCCTGGATAATGGTAGGTTATCCCATGGGCAAACTAATAGAGAGTGTAAGGCACCAACAAATTATGTGTCTGTTGAATAAAAATTGGGTAATTTCTAGTGAAATTATTCAATCAAAAATCAAGAAAAAGTAGGTTTATATTTTCACCATTTGTTTATGTTTTCTGTAATTTTGAAGAATGGCTTATTTCAATTTGCATATATCAGAAGAAAGCACTGTCGTCTTCTCAGTTTTTATGGGCATTAACCTGGCCTCGATTCAGGGGCATATCTTATACTATTTAGAGAAATGAAACATTCTTGCTCTTCAAGCAATTGTGCTAAATGTTTTTCCTCTTGGTAACGTTTTGATTAATACTAAGTGGCCCTGAGCTTGAGATCGTGTTTCCTGGAAAGTTCCAGGAGTGTAGGTATCATCAGACTTCAGAGCTTGGTACAGAACAGGTGAAAAGAAGCCTTTTTTTCCACCCCCCATGACCCATCACTTTTCCCAGGAAGCCAGAGGAAGCCTCAAAAATGGCTTACATTCTTTTCAGACGCTGTTTTTCTGACTCTACCCTATAGTCCAGATGGGTACATTCTTTAGGCCCTCAAGTGTTACTGAATAGAGCAGATGCACTGTTATTTGGCATCAAAAAATTGCATGGCATGTGTAACTGCCTTACCATGTAATAGCCAAAATATAGCCATATAGCACCCATGGAACCCAATAGTAACACCTAGCAGTGATGTCCATTGCTTAGTACTAGTTATATTAATGGGACAAAAGATAGGCAACACACTTAATGAACAGATAAAGAATATCTGAGAATAATAAATTACATTATTATCAGAGCTGGAAAGAATTAAGCTGGGAAGGTCTCCTGAAAGATGTATGTCTTTATATGTGATATAAATCATTCTACTATAAAGACACATGCACACATATGTTTATTGTGGCACTGTTCACAATAGCAAAGATTTGGAACCAACCCAAATGCCCATCAATGTTAGACTGGATAAAGAAAATGTAGCACATATACACCATGGAATACTATGCAGCCATAAAAAAGGATGAGTTCATGTCCTTTGCAGGGACATGGATAAAGCTGGAAACCATCATTCTCAGCAAACTAACACAGGAACAGAAAACCAAACACCACATGTTCTCGCTCATAAGTGGGAGTCGAACAATGAGAACACATGGACACAGGGAGGGGAACATCACACACCGGGGCCTGTCGGGGGGTGAAGGGCAGGGGGAGGGATAGCATTAGGAGAAATACCTAATGTAGATGACAGGTTGATGGGTGCAGCAAACCACCATGGCACGTGTATACCTATGCAACAAACCTGCATGTTCTGCACGTGTATCCCAGACCTTAAAGTATAATAAAACAAACAAAAAATGTGATATTACATACAGCACGACTAAATGTAGGTCAGATGTCCATGAATTCTTCTCCTCCCCTGAATTTTAAAATGTAGACATACAGGGGCCGGGCACGGTGGCTCATGCCTGTAATCCCAGCACTTTGGGAGGCCGAGGCGGGTGGATCATGAGGTCAGGAGATCGAGACTATCCTGGCTAACATGGTGAAACCCCGTCTCTACTAAAAATACAAAAAATTAGCTGGGCGTGGCGGTGGGCGCCTGTAGTCCCAGCTACTCGGGAGGCTGAGGCAGGAGAATGGCTTGAACCCGAGAGGCGGAGCTTGCAGTGAGCTGAGATCGCGCCACTGCACTCCAGCCTGGGCGCAGAGCGAGACTCCGTCTCAAAAACAAACAACAACAACAGCAACAACAAAAAATGTAGACATACATAATGCTAACACCAAACTAAAGCACAATATCTGCGTTGACATTTTATGGATGTCTGTTTATAACTGTGCCCTCATCATGCATAATAATCATGTTACAAAAACCTGTTTGAGAGAAAAATTAAAATATTAACTCATTTTTTATAATTAATGGGAGTTTCAATTTAGTTTCGCAAGTCACTCATTATTTTAAATTTAACTTCAGTTCTCAGCTAAGGATGAAGTACCTTAAACAGTTATTTGGGAATAGTTTACTTCAGAGAAGCTACCTGGAACATGTCCACAGAGATGGAAAATGTTTTCTCAGCAGAGAACTTTATATTTGTGATTCCAAAACAAAAGGCGGCATCATTTACCAGAATACAGCATGGTATAAAGCAGACAAGTACACTAAAAGTTTTCATTAGCACTGAAATTAGTTGCATAAAGTTGATGTCACTTGTTGTCTTCGGTGACTTTAATTCCTGCTGCCTAAGTTAAATCAGTATGGCAGAAGAGCACATATCCTTGGTCATTTGTTGGAACAAAAAAAAGATTAAAAACCACACACACAACTGAGTGGTTAATTTGTTGCTATTTTGTCAAGTCAATTAAGTTGAAAATATTCCATTGTTGGGGAATGACCTGTTTGCCGATTTGAAGGTGACCCTAGACAGCAGAGCAAGAGCGACTTCCGTGGTGCAGCTCCGTGGGTCATTTTATATTTAGCGCTGTAATTGGCTTTTCTTCTTTCCCTTTATAAATTGTATGAAATTTGGGACGACTCAGGCTGCTGACTCCTTTGCAGGCTGGCTTCATAGATCAGAAATTTCTACTTAGGAGTGAAAATATATCTGTGCTCAGCTCATTATATTTGCTTATAGGGTCAGCCTTATCCATGGGGCAAGCTGGAAGCCACTGATGGTGTGATTAAAGAGCAAAAAGAAAGCTCCCTCATCCAGGGAGGCAGCAAGAACATGGTCTTTGTGTGACATTGTGCTGTTAAAAACAACAACAACAACACAAAAACAGAAAAACCCTTTGAACCTCATTTTCCTCATCTTTTAAATGGGGGTAAAGATTCCTAATTTTAGGGTCATTTGACAATAAAATAAATCAAATGAGTGCTTTATATAAAGTGGTGATCAATAAAGACTAATGGTTATATCCAAATAATTATCATCCCTACTAACCCATGGCCAGTCCTAGAAAGGACCAAAATGCCTCTGGGGAAGTGTTTCACATTGAGCCTTGAGCATCAGTCTTTGACTACTTTATGTGAATTCATTTATATAGTCCTTTCAACTCACCAGCAGAGAGTAGAACCCAAGGGTGACATCACTGTCCTGGTGTGTCCGGAATTGGTGGGTTCTTGGTCTCACTGACTTCAAGAAAGAAGCCGCGTACCCTCGCGGTGGGTGTTACAGTTCTTAAAGGCAGCGTGTCCGGAGTTTGTTCCTTCTGATGTTAGGATGTGTTTGGAGTTTCTTCCTTCTGGTGGGTTTCTGGTCTCGCTGGCTCAGAAGTGAAGCTGCAGACTTTCACGAGTGCAGACCCAAAGAGTGAGCAGCAGCAAGATTTATTGCGAAGAGCAAAGAACAAAGCCTCCACAGCGTGGAAGGGGACCCTGGTTGCCACTGCCGGCTGGGGCAGCCTGCGTTTATTCCCTTATCTGGCTCCACCCACATCCTGCTGATTGGTCCATTTTGCAGAGTGCTGACTGGTCTGTTTTACAGAGAGCTGATTGGTATATTTACAATTCCTTAGCTAGACATAAAGGTTATCCAAGTCCCCACTAGATTAGCTAGACACAGAGGACTGATTGGTGCATTTACAAACCTTGAGCTAGACACAGGGTGCTGTTTGCTGCATTTACAAACCTTGAGCTAGACACAGAGTACTGATTGGTGTATTTATAATCCCTTAGCTAGACATAAAGGTTCTCCAAGTCATCACCAGACTCAAGAGCCCAGCTGGCTTCACCTAGTGGATCCCACACCGGGCCGCAGGTGGAGCTGCCCGCCAGTCCTGTGCCCTGCGCCGGCACTCCTCAGCCCTTGGGCGGTAGATGGGACCACGCGCAGCGGAGCAGGGGGCGGTGCTTGTCTGGGAGGTTCCAGCCGCGCAGGAGCCCACGGCGGGAAGAGGGGAAGCTCAGGCATGGCAGGCTGCAGGTCCCGAGCCCTGCCCTGCGGGGAGGCAGCTGGGGCCCAGCGAAAATTCGAACGGAGCGCCGGCGGGCCGGCACTGCTGGGGGACCCTGCGCACCCTCCGCAGCTGCTGGCCCGGGTGCTGAGCCCCTCACTGCCCGGGCCGGTGGCGCCCGCCAGCCGCTCCGAATGCAGGGCCTCGGAGCCCACGCCCACCGGAACTCGCGCTGGCCCGCGAGCGCCGCGCGCAGCCCCGGTTCCCGCCCGCGCCTCTCCCTCCCCACCTCCCTGCAAGCAGACGGAGCCGGTTCCGACCTCAGCCAGCCCAGAGAGAGGCTCCCATAGTGCAGCGGCGGGCTGAAGGGCTCGTCAAGCATGGCCAGAGTGGGCACCGAGGCCGAGGAGGCGCCGAGAGCGAGGGAGGGCAGCCAGCACGCTGTCACCTCTCACTGGGACACAGTTCAGAGCCTAGCCCTGTGGTAACACTTCTTGATAACAAAGAACAGAATCATAGGAGAGAGGAGCACCAGGGGTTGACAGAAGCAGCCTTTGAATCAGGAAGCATCAGGACTACAAGTGGGAGGGCAGAATCCACCTCCCTCAATATGCTGAAGCAGAGAAAACTCCAGAGAACGGCCAGGGCATCCTGGGATTACAAGCAGCAGAGGGCAGTGTAGATGCAAAGGAGGAACCAGGTAAGTTAAGGCACTAGTTCCTGTGGCCTGGAGTTGGTTGGCCTGTTGAGGACTAGCTACTTCCTAGGCAATGACCTAAGAGGCAGCAGTTGCTCTTGGTCTTTAAAAGATCTCGTCTTTGTAGCACAGAACAACCTAAGCCTCGAGGCCAGCTAACTGAAGTCAGGATTTATTATGGAGAGAAAGTGCAAGGCACTGCCGCCTGCAAAGGGCAGGGGGCCCAGCCAGGTGCTAAGAGCAGTAGCAGGTGTTTTGTAAAGAGAATCCCCTCCCTTTTCACAAATGGTGGAACACCGACTTTGTCCATGAACTTGTTATTCAGTTTCCAGAAATTATATCCAGGTTAGAATGCCACTTCCATCATATTCTGTAAGCTAGAAATGATTCAAGCAATTCAGGGGAAGTCACACATTATTTTATTATTTGTTTACTCAAATTGAGGGTCCTTCTCCATGTCTCCATTTATAAAATTAAGAATTGATTGAAGTTGTTGAGCTTTGATAACTTTTGGACTTCACGCAATGATTTGATTAGTAAAGAATGTGATTTGATGCAGGGACCTCAGTAATAAGTAATGGGAGGTGGTTATAGTCCACATTCTTCTAGGAATCTATCCTACGGAAGGCTGGTCCAAGTGGTGGGTCCAGATATCAATCCACACTTATTATTGATTAAAGAGGCAAACAACAATTAGAAGCCAAAGTGAACAGATTGGCCATCTCAGATTTCAAAATGTTAGGCATTCTTATAGCCTAAAATGTGTGATTATATGTGTGTGTTCATATGGATCAGACTTTTTCTGCAAGCTCTTTGTGGTCAGGTGCTGTGTCATCTTTGACTATTTTAGCATTAAATAGAGTGGTGGCACATAATCACCAATTAGCAAATGTTTGTAGTATTAATTATTTATACTCTACAAGTAGTAAAAGTGAACATGCAGACATAATGTTTATTATTTTAATTTCACAAAAATACTGCAAAGTAGGCACTATTACTATGATCTCGTTACAGTCAAAGAAACTGAGGCAGAGAGAGGTCGCATAACTTGTTCAAGATTGCACAGTTATAGGCAGATGTGGGATTTCAGCCTAGGCTAAAGTTTCTGTGTTTTAATCACTGCCATGATATACAGATAACAGAATTTGATGTTACAGCAATGATGAATTGGTCTGAAGGGGACTCCTGTAGTAGTCAAAGACAGGAAGTTTATGAGAATCCATACAAATGAAAATAAGTTTCTGGCTGTCTATCATTTTCTCTTGTAAAAACATGTAGATGTCAGACATGGTTCAATTTAAAACATAACCTATGCGTCAATCACAAAATCATTTTGGTAGCTCTGGGGTGGCACATCAAAAATAGATAATAGGTAGTCAGCCTCCAGAGCAGCTAAAATTGAGGTGCAATGATAGTCTTTGAGGCTGCTGATACACACTCACATGGCATGTATGAAGTGACTTTGAGGCCATTACATTCTGGCCACAAAGCTAACTGATCTATGTGCTTGTGTCATTTAATCATCACCAAAAAATCAAGAAGTCAATGCCATTACCTTTCTTTTTAAATGGGGAAATTTGGGCTCAGAGAAATTAAATAACTTGCCCAAGGTCACAGAGTTAGTGAGTAATATAGCTTGGATTCAATCGTAGTTCAATTTGACTTTAAAGTTCAAGCTTTTAATACCATTACACACACACACACACACACACACACACACACACGCATAAATGTAGGTGGAATTTATTTGGTAAAAGGTTCCAGTTTAGGAAGAAATGGAATAGTAAGAGAGGAAAAGGAAGCAAGGCATAGAAGCTCGTTGTTTTTGATAAGTGAGACCTAGTAGAAACCAGTGTTCCAAATGGCAGTGTTTGTTGGAGACCTTGCTGCTTATCACAGGTGCAAGTTTCTTCAGTTTTCTGAAGTCTGAATAGCAGCAAGAGTTTATTTCAGAGTGGTGAGTGATGAGCAGACCACCTAGCACACAGGGAGGTTTGCAACAGGTAAGCAGGAAGTGGGACTGTGGTAAGAAACTGACAGAAGGCATTGCTGAGGAGCCGAGGCCAGCAAAGTCACCTTGTGTGCCCACTGCCCTGAGCCTGTGATTTTCTTGGGTAAAGTAAGCTGGCTGGAGAATTGGTCTCTCAAACTAGCAAGGACAGGAAATTTGACCATCTCTGAAGGATAGACAAGGGAGCATTGAGAAGGATTATAGAAAGAGTGAGTCTTTACATCTACTAGAACGTTCTCTTGTTATGAAGAGGATGGAATTCTAAGAAGGTTTTGTTGTCTGAGTGATATGATATTGAATATGGACAAAGAATGTTTGTATGTTTGTGGTCTGAGTATTTCCAAGGAGGCCACAGATTTGACCCTAGTCACCTTTACAGCCTTCGAGCACTCCTCAATTTTAGCCAGATTGGGCATTCATTATTTCTTAAGCACATCTGAAGTCTCCCACCTTTAAAGTGTGTTCAATTCAATCCAGTTTAGTACTTACTGAGTATCGACTATGTGCTTGACACTGTTCTAGGGGCTTTGGTTGATCCAGCTTGTTTATGAGATTTATTGCTTACTAAAAAGACAGATAGGTAAACCAATTATTTCACTCTAAGTGCTAAGCACTAAGAAGTTTGTACTGGGATCTATGAGACGACAGAGAAGGGTCACTTAACCCACCACTGTACTCCCTCATTTATGGTAAGAAGGCATGGAAGAAGGCCTATCCTATCACTTCAAGGAGATCATTTTGACATGCATAGGGTTTTTCTAAAAAGGAGGTAGAATAGTAAAAATAACGTATGTGCTGGGCACAGTGCTATATGATTTATATGCACTGCATCATTTAACCATCCCCCAAAATCAAAAAGCAAGAAGTAAACATCACTATCTTTTTCAGATGGAAAAACTGAGATTCAGAGAAGTTAAATAACAAGCCCAAGGTCACAGCATTAGTAAGTCAAAAAGCCTGGATTTAAATCTAGTTCTGACTTTAAAGCTCGAGTCCTTAGACACTGTTACACACACACACACACACACACACAGACACACACACACACGTATGTGAAATTTACTTGGCTTGAGGTTTCTGTCTGGCACTTTTTAATAAGTTTCGGAAGAAGTGGAATAGTAGAACAGGAAGAGGAAGCAGAGCATAGAGGGAAGTAATTTTTGATGACAGGTGAGACCTGGTAGACGTAGTTCACTTTAAGATTCTAAATTAAACTCAAGTGTCATTTTTAAGGTGGTCAGCGAGGATATGGCCTGAGGCAGGGGAGACTATATGATAACTTTTGTTAGTGGCTTGCAGTTCTTACACCCAAGGAGCCAAAACTTCTAGAACCAGTTCAGTGCTCTGGGCTCCAGGAGGCTGATGGAATATAAGTGGCCTCAGCCTTCTGGCTCTCAGACAAAGGGGTGACACAGTAGTGTTTCAATAACTGTTTTTTTTTGTGGGTGTGTGTGAATATCTCCTCCTTCACAGAAAGGGAGAATGTGGTTTAATATTGAAGGGTAAGGTCTAAACTTGGATCTGGACACAATTTATTAAAGCTCCATTACTTCAAAACAACTGTCCAAAAATTGTCACTATCCTGTATGCAGGTAGAGATTTGGTCTATTCAGAAACTAAAAGGTCTTTTTTCAGGCAAGATTGTTCCAACTAACCTAATCTAGGAAAATACTTTACCTAGGCAACTGAAGACCAAGCAATTATCTTGAGTTTATGTACATAGAAATGTATACAAACTGTGTATATACTGCACTACTGAGGGAAAGCTAGCGAATGATTATGACATATCTATGATCCTTTGCAATGGGCACCATTACAAAACATCACAGAGTGCTTACTTCAGAGATATAGCCTTTCTGTTTAATTTCCAGGGTACTTTTTTATTTTTGGTGTTAGGTGCTGGTCTTGGTGATGAAAATATGACTCAATAATGCTGGGAAGTAAATTCAGATAATACTTTATGGTGCATTGATGTACATTATCTCATTAAACCAATTGTGAGAATTTGAAAGGGCATGCATGTTTTGTTCTATTTTAAAATTAGGAAAGGAGTGACTTTTCAGTGTTTTTTAATTGTCACCTGTGTTCTGGGTCTTGTCATCCTTCCCTTCAATTTCCAAATTCATAAAAGTTTAATGATAATGCCTTTTCTCTCCACTGTGTTGGATTCCTTCACCATTTAAAATCAGGAGACTGATTTAAAACTAATTGATAAAAATCAAAATATGCAAATCTAACTTATTAATCAGAACTAAGAATTTAGAATCCTTAATTTCAATTCAGTTTCCTATCGCTCTTCACTTTCTTTGTCTCTGTTTTTCCCACAATAATAAAGTAGGTTGCACCAAAATAATAGTTTTCCAAGTCCTATAGTTGTAAGTCATAAAACATTATGACCAAACCACAGTATTTATGTGGAGTGATAAAGTACCATCTGAATGTCATGTTTCTCTTCATCTAAATATTTAACTGGCCAACCAATTTAAAAGAAACTTAAAACCGTGGGACCACATTATGGCAACAGTCTCTTATGTGGAACTTTATGATAGCTGTGTCTACACAGAACCTATGTCTAACATGTTTGAATAGGCAATTTTATTCCCCAACAATATACTAGAAGCGTAAACATTTATAATGGAAAAATACATATGCTTATGAGAAATGTGTGTTTACACTAGAAACATTGCAATTAGTGGATCCAGCACTCAAGCTTCTGACAAGTTTGTGGACTTCCTGAGTGCAGCTTAGGGTTTTACATTCTACGCCTTCTTCTAGCTATCACCATATTTTTCATTTTATCTTTATTGTCAAGCTTTTTGAAAGAGAAATAGAAACTAAGTATTTATACTGCCTCATTTTCCATTAACTCCTCAGTGAATTACCATCTGGCTGTTATTCCATCCATCTTCTTGCCAAAGTTATATGTGAACTCTTAGATGGCAATGCCAAAAGGATACTGTTGAGGTCTTGTACTTCTGATGTTGCTGCAGTTGTTGACACTACTTATATGTCAGTTTGAAACTGTCTTTTTCTTTGGTATATATAGTGCTTTTCTCTCTTGATTTCTCATCTTCTTGTCTGGATGCTGTAGTGTAATCTCATTTTTGAGCATACCCTTTAAAAGTTTATGACACAAGAGAGTCTATTCTGACCTTTACTTTTCTCACTTTATTCACATTCTTATCTATTCTAGTGCTTTCAGTGTTTACCCCTCTGTATTTGATGACTCCAAAATTTCTACATAGTTTTATGTCTTTATCCTAGACTTCTCTCTTAGATCACAGATTCATATAACTAGTTGATTACTGAAAAACTTCACATAAATATCCCATTCACTCATCCTTATGTCAATCTGCTCATTCATTTACCGTAGCTTTTTGTATGTCCCACAAGCATACATTAACATTAAAACCAAACCCCTCATTTTGCCCCTGCAATAGCATCTATTTATTCTTCGTTTTCTATCTGATGCCTGGAAATGTTCTCTGCTTAGTTATACAAATTAAAAAAACCTGGTAACGTACTTGATTTAATGGTAAACTGTGCTCTCTAAAGGGGGATCCCTGGCCTTGGTAGTTTTGAAATCTTTCCAGGTGTTTCTAATGTATATCCAGGGTTGAAAGCTCTTCTGTAGATTAGTGCGTCACCAATTTTGATGTGCACAAGAATTACCTGGGGATCTTGGTAAAGTGCAAATTCTGACAAGGCAGGTCTGGGTTGTGGCCTGAGGTTCTGCATTTCTAATAAGCTCCCAGATGATGACAGATGCTGTTGGTTTGTGGAAAAACTTTGACTATTAAGACTTTAGGTGATTCCGTGATAATATCATCGGTTTACCTGTCCTCTCTTAGGGTTTGTTTGGTGGAATATCTGGAGGATTTCAAAGAGGATGTGGATTATTTCACCCGTGCTTTTAGCAGTGCACCTTTTTGGTGAATTAGGTATTAACTAAGCCTTTCTCTTTTCTGAATAGCATATTTTAATCTCTCATTCTGAATTAAAAATGTACCAGGGACTTTGGCTATGGGATTTCAAGAGCTGCTTAAAGTACCATCATTCTGTACATAGAATAATCATTTAGGTCTTGTCTTTCCATCTCCAGCCTAAACTCATACCTCTTGTCCTTTGAGCCATTCTCCCTTTGAAGCTGGACCATTTATATATCAATATATGTATCATCAACTCACAGGGCTCTGTGCTTTTATACATGCTTTTCCTTTGCCTGGAATATTTTCCTTTACATATGACTTATCTTTCATATTGCAGCTCAGATATCATTTTATTTTGAGTCACATATTATTCATGTGCTCCCATAATGCCCTTTATTATTTCTATCAAAGACACTTACTATTGCTTTGTAGTTTTCAGTTTACTTGCTTATCTCTTAATTAACTGTGAAGCTCCTGAAGAGAGTACCCTAGAACTTTAGTGCCTAACATGATGCCTGGCACATTGAGAGATTCAATACTTTCTGTGGAATAAATTGCAGCTATTGATTGAAATTTAAGATGATAAATTAATTTACATATTTATTAATCAAGCTCTAGAGCTTGATGCATCTCTAGATATTTATCCTGCCATACTCCAGTCAGATTAGGCAGCAACATTGGAGTAAATGAGCATTAAACATGAATACAGCAATATAATTTCAATCATTTCTATTGGTCTGTGCCTTGATGGTTCATAGGTCATCAACTCAAGAGTTGATGAGCTTGTTTCCTGGTCTGTTTAAATTCTTAAATATTTTGAGGTTCCTTGTGTTATATATAAAGTTTCAGTGCCAAAAAATAAATAGCACTTGAATATAAAATTTTCTTGTTAATTTTCAGCAAGGCAAGGTACTTCTATAGAAGGTTGCACCCTTAAAGATGGAACAATGGTGAGCGCACACTTGGACAAGAGAGGGAAAGGGGTTCTTATCCCTGACATGTGTGGCCCCTGCTGCTGCTGCTGACCCTATTGGCTAGGGTTAGACTGCACAGGCTAAACTAATTCCGACTGGCTAATTTAAAGAGAGTGACGGGGTGAGTGGTTTGGCGGGAAAAGTGGTTATGACAGAGCAGGTAATCTGGATGAGTCAGGGTGGAGTAGGTAATCTGAATGAGTCAGGGTGGAGCAGGTAATTCGAATGAGTCAGGGTGGATAAGGTAATCAGAATCAGTCAGGGTGGAGCAGGTGATTGAAATGAGTCAGCGGGGAGCAGGTAATCGAAAAAGGTTGCTTTATGAGGAAGTTAAGTTTAAAAGTAGAAGGTAAAGAATTGAACATGCTGACATATTGATTCTTTGAAGAGAAACCATCATTCTCGGCAAACTATTGCAAGGACAAAAAACTAAACACCGCATGTTCTCACTCATAGGTGGGAATTGAACAATGAGAACACATGGACACGGGAAGGGGAACATCACATGGACACAGGAAGGGGAACACTGGGGCCTGTTGTGGGGTGGGGGAAGTGGGGAGGGATAGCATTAGGAAATATACCTAATGTTAAATGACGAGTTAATGGGTGCAGCACACCAACATGGCACATGTATGTATATGTAACAAACCTGCATGTTGTGTGTGCACTTGTACCCTAAAACTTAAAGTATAATAAAAAAAAAAAAGAAAATTAGACCAGTGGAAAAAAAAAGAAATTTAGAACTCCTATCTAATACCTGGTAGACAAAAGTCTATAGCAAAAATATAGGAACTTTGGTGTTTTCCAAGAAAAGAAGACTTAAACCACGAGCTTTTATTTTAAAGATTATTGTTTCTTTACCAACACGGCAGTACCCAATGTCTGCCTGAGGAATAAGAAATGGATTCATTCATGATGATTAATGGAGCCTCAGCTCCTGTCTTTATCCCAGGGATGTCCTCAGTCACGACATCTGGCTCTCGACACTCAGCCTGATGTCATTGATCTTGGCCTGAGAGGCTCATCACATTTCACACACTGCAGGCCACCATTAGCTTGAATAATTAAGAGTTGGTTAAGTCTTACCCTTCCAAGATTCTGTCACGAACTTTAACAGTTTGGAGAGAATTTAAGTAATTTGGATAACTGCATAAACTCTTTATTGAGATTAACTAGATTAGACTCTAAACAAAGATGTTTTTAAAAACAGAAGATTCACAGGCAAACAAGTTTTTTTTCTTGGAAAACAAAATATCATAGATAAACTTGTACCTAATGTTAATTTATCTTATTCAAGAAATCTACAAGTGAAATAGATTTCTAACTTCTATTCCCTTCCATCACCATGAGCTATTGACAGTATAATAGCCGTCATTTAATATTATCAAAATCAATACCTTCAAACAAAAGAGACTGTTAGCTAAAAGCCTAATGCAAAGGAATGATCCATTGAGAGTGACACTTCATTTGTTTGGGTTAAATTTAATTGGTTGAATAAAAGTAAAATTCATCTGATCTTTTGTTCATTTAAAAAATTGAACCATTTCATTGGTGACTTAGACATGTCTTATCAGGTTCAGAATAGAACACAATTTTAAAAGTTTAAAATTTCACTTAAATACAACCAAACAGTTTTCTAAATATTCAAGAAAGTAAATGGTGCTACGTCACTTCACATGCTCTAAAATCTGTTGTATCCCAGACTAAAACTTCTATCCTCTTTTGAGCCAGTTCTTACCAAGAAAATGGCTGTGAACACCCTCTTCTCTGTTATGACTATAAAGTCCCATGAGGATAGGTCCTCAGACATTTTTGTTCAAAGCTCTGTTCCATTTCAAGAAGAAAGCTTGGCATATATCAGATACTCAATAACCATTAGATGAGAGCTATGAGAGTGCCTCCTACTTCCCTACTCCAGGATGATGTATAAGTGTGCGTTGTCAGTGAACTATTTAAGAGCTCCAGTTTCCCACATAGAACCAGTTCATTGATTTACTAATATGAAGCAGAAAGAGCTCCACTTTCTTTTCTGTCTAGTCTAGTGAAAAGCTAAATTAGGAAGAGCTGTATTTTCAGCTCACCACAATAATGGTCCCTTTTTTGCTTCATATGCATGACTTTCCCAATCCCTTAGGGTAAAAGTTCCAAATTATACCATGGCTTCCAAATTTTTCCGGAAGTTGTCTACATAACTCTCCAGCCACATCCTATTCCAGTTTTTCCTGTGTGCTCTGTGGTTCTGCCAAACAAGTCTTCTTTTATCCACTAAAGTTTTTATTTCTCTAGATATTCCATTTGGTTCTTCTAAAAATATTCTCCATTTCCTTTCTCACTCTGTTCATGTTTTTTTAATCCTTGAACATATTTCTAATAGCTGTTTTAACACCCTCGTCTTCCAATTCCATTATCTTTATTATTTTCTAGTCTGTTTCTATGGACTGCTTTTTCTCCTGGTTGTGTGTCATATGTTCCAACATCTTTGTACTTTTTGATTGGATGCCGTACATTGTAAATTTTATGTTGTTGAGTGTCTGGATTTTGTTGCCTTCCTTTATGGAATTTTCAACTTTGTTTTGTTCTGTTAGGCAGTCTATTTGTGGTCCCATTTGATTCTTTTCAGGTTTATTTGAAGCTTTATTAGGAGAGATCTAGAGTAACTGTTATCTAGGGCTAGTTTAGCCCAACTACTAAGGTGGACCAGACATACTGGTTCTATTTCTGTTCTTCAAGCATATTCTTATATGCTTCCCCACCGCTGTCTCTGTCATATTTTGACCTCTTTGACTCTAAGTTAGCTTTCTGTTGTTATATACCTCTATCATACCTTAAACTTCCCCTTCTGAAATTAAATGTGTAATTACATATTTAATGACTGTCATTCTTACTAGACTGTAAACTCCATGACAGCAGGAGACATTATGAATGGGCAGCTGTCATTTCACACCAAACAAATGAGACATATTTCAGGACTATGCAGAGATAATTTTCCTTTTGAGGACTTGGTCAATGAAAAGATGAGTCTCTCAGCTTCCACCTACAAGGATGGAGATAGTAGAGAAGCCATTTATTTCCTCTGCTAATAATTCCTTTTCCTCCCACACACTTCCAAAATGTCTGTTTTCACATATACTGTAGAATAAGCAGTGATTTCATCTGATTCCATCCTCCTGGCCATGACTGGCCAGACTGGGGATGGACAAGTGACATAAGGTAAGTCAATTATATTCTTTATTTTAGAGATACTAGTTAGGTTGGTTTTTTTTTTGTTTTGTTTTTTTCCTTGAAGCAGAACTATCCTTTCAGTGGTACTGAGCCATTGAGCATCAGGCTCAGTAGAAATCTGGGCTGTCTGGCAGAACACCATGCCCAGATAGATGAGTTGTTGATGCCAATAAGGCCCAGAATGGGTTGGTAGCTGGGTATAGTGGAGACAGGCAGGCCAAGTGTATGAGCAGACAATATAAAAAGATACATGTACATTGTGATTGATACTAGGTAGTTCTTGCCATAAGGCACCACGTTCAGTGAAGAGTTCATGGGAGGACTTCAGTCCTCAGGGTTATTGGTTATATTAGTTTCCTAGGGCTGCCATAACAAATTACAACAAACTTGGTGATTTAAAATAACAGAAATTTATTTTCTTAGAGTCATGGAGGCCAGATGTCTGAAGTCAAGGTGCCAACAGGGCTGGTTCCTTCTGGAGGTTCTATTCCTCTGCTCTGTGACTCTCTCCTAGCTTCTGGTGGCTGCTGGCAATTCTTGGCATGCCTTGGTGTATAGATATATCCCTTCAATTTTTGTCTCTGTCTTCACATCACCTTTTTCTTCTGTATCTCTGAGTGTTTCAAATCTTTCTCTCCCTTTTCTTTTAAGGACACCAGTTATTAGATTAGGGCCCACTCTAAATTCAGGATGATCTCATCTCAGGATCCTTAATTACGTCTACAAGGACACTAATTTCAAATAAGGTCACATTCACAGGTATGAGGTGGTTAGGACATAGGCATATCTGTTTTGGCATGTTATTTAACCCATTATTTTGGTAAAAGCAGAACTAAGTCCTAGGTTAGAAAAACAAGTGATCTATTTAAGGCAGCAAGTCATAGCTCAGGTATAGAAAAAGAAAACAGGAGTCTAATTTCAGGAACTCAAAATCAAGGTTAGAATAGGACCAGGATCAGTAGTACATGGAATGGAAGCTTAGTTACTAGTTGAGTAAGGCTCTTTCTATTCCAATAGATTAAAAACAGACTGTTAAATAGCCTGGGATATTGGTAAATTCACCAGCTGCAACAGCAGGGATGGTATTTGGGCCACAATAACAATAACTACTAAGCGCAGTAATCTGGGAGCTATAGACTCTGTAAAACAAAACAGACAGAATCTTAAAACAAACAAACAAACAAACAAACAGAAAAACACAAGTTAATTTGCTCACAGTTTACTCAGTGGCATGCACAGAAATTCTAACCAGCTCTTCGAGTTTCCTCCTTTGTGTATTCCACAAATAACTTTCTGCAAGTAACAGGAATTCTTACTTTCTTTTTTGCTCCAACCCCAAATATAAGAAAATTAGTCTCATCCTAGATTATGAAAAAAATGGAAAAATAGCTTGATTAAACCTTAATAATTTTTACCAATTCCCTTTTAAATTTCCTTATTGTGTGAATGATTTAAAAAATGCTTTAATACACAGTAAAAATATTTTATCAAAAATGTCATCAATTCCTTATTTTATCAGGCAGAACTTTCCTGAACACTAAGCTTTTTATTCCATTTTTAGAAAATTTCTTAGGCAATGATGTCCCACTTTTGACGATATTAAAATATGCTCTAACATGTTCAGAAACATATGTCTTGTTATTCCAAATCTGGCCTTTTTCCTTACTGTTTCCCAAAAATGGGAAAAGAAAAGTTGATGAAATTGAACAGCTTGATTTTTCTGTGAATGAGTAGAGCAGTTTGGAAAAGATAGGAGCATTAGAGATTATCTGAAGTCAAGGGCTAAGGGGTCAGAGGCCTAATTGGAGTTGTAAAAATCACTTTTTTTCAGAATATAATGACATTTTTCTGCCCTTCTGGATCCAAATAGTGTGTAACTTGGCATACCATGTCTGTTCAAATGACAGCAACTCGCTGTCCTTTAAGAACAAATACATCTTCTCAGCTGTAAGTAATGGTTTTTTCATTGGTTTGGTGTTTGATGAGCCAAGGCCTTTGGAATCAGTGCACACAGAATGCAGTTATGGCTGGGGTTTTTGGCCAGGTTCCCCACTGTCTCAGAAAATGACCAGCTGTCTTTTGAGGTGGCTTAAAGAAACAGCTCTCTGATGACTCAGCCGGAGGTTAACAACTCTAATAAGTGCTACATCCGATTGGGTTCTTTGGTGTCATCAGTGGCCTTGAGTCCAGAGAAGATAGAGGCTTTGAAACCCTGACACAAAATCAAACAGTCACCTTCTCACCCCCAGTCAGTTCATAAGAAAAGAACTGAAAAAATGGGCATTTCACAGAAGCCCTTACATAGAGCTTGCATCTTTTTTATTTTCTCTCTTACTAGATACTTTAGAAAGCTTTTGGAAAATACATTTAATCTATTTCAAAGGTCACAGCAACAAAGTTCTCTGCTCCATTCCTATGTCCATGCTTTGTCAGGCTTTAAAACTTCAATCTTTGTGGGGTTTTTTTTGACATCAACTGTAACAGGAGTGAATGAAAATTACTGGTGTTCAAGGCTGCAGATGAAACAGAACAGGCTTTTTCTCTGTATGTATTAGGGTGTCTGGAAATAGAGTTCTCATATTTTATGAATCAAAAATCAGTTCCGTTGCCTGACAAATATGAATAACCTCATGGGGATAATGAGTCAAAATATTTGAAATCAAGAATATTTTGGATAATCTGAGATGTGCTTTCTGTACATACAAAGTCTTGACTTAATTCGAATTTAGTGAAAGCTAAATGAGAACTCATATGTGTTTAAGTTCATAGCCTGGGTAGACTATTACTGTGTGTTATTGCTTGCTTTCCTTCTCATCAGTCTCTGCAAGAAGTTAAGAATATATAATAAAAGACAGCTTTCACAGGTACCACATTTTCCTAGCCAACCATTAATAATGAGGAAACACAATGCTTGTTTGTTAATCAAATGTGATGAGCAGATTAATGAAAAACACGTTCCAAGTTCACCTAAGTAATGATCTTGCCTCTATCTCTTAAGTCACCAGGGATGGTGTGACAATCACGTGGCTTAGGCTATTCAGTGATATGAATTTACTTAATTTGCTGTATTTCTTTCCTAGGGAAACTATGCAGACAATGCTTTTCATTTCAAATACGTGTCAGGTTTTTCAAAATCCCAACGTTATTGTAAGGGTGAGAAACAGAAATTGAGAGACAGGGAGTTAGTGAATATCCTTAGCCCATCAGACTGAAGAGACAGCTAAAAGCAGTGAGGTTATGTGGTTGGCCTATGCTTGTTATTGGGTTAGAAAAAATTGGATCTGCTTTGCTTTTGGTCAAATAAAAACAACACCAATACTAATAATGTAGGCTAAGTGCTTTTTGTGAATTATTGTAATCAATTCTTGCAGTAATCCTATGAACTAGATTCATAAATAACATTATGAATAAATAAATCTGGAGATGACACTATAGATTTAAGGCAGTGAAGCTGAGGATGAGAGATGTTAAGTAACTCCTGCATGGCCTTACAACTAATAAGTGGTAGAAACAGGATTTGAAGTTCAACAGCTTGTTCAAGTTCTCTGAGTCCCTGCCATCCTTAGGCCACCATTTCTTAATAACCCATGTTAGGGGTGCAAACAATTATAGCCTTTCTATAAGAGATTTTTGTCATAGTGTTGATTCACTAGATAGCAAGAATTGTGTTTTATTTTCCATTATGCAAAGTTCTTTGCACATAGAAGGAACTTAATGCATGTTAGCAGAATGAATTTACTTTTTAAATCTAGTTTTAACACTTATTCCAATTGTGTGCTTAGAAAAATATGGCACACAAAAGCAAAATGCGTGCATGAACTAGATGGAGTTAGATCCACTAACTTTGTTTCTAGACCCGGGGAGGAGAGTGTAGAAAACCTGCTGCCAATTGTTAGTCTCAGCAAATGAGAAGGTCGGGACATTTCTAAATGTGGATCAGCAGAGTAGATGAAGAGTGCCATATGGCCAAGAGAAAGGCCAAATGCCTTCAAGTATTAGTAACCTTCCACAGCTTCCAGTGTGGACAAGAGGACACAATAAACATTGTTCTTGGCTGTAAGAAATATCTCAGGACAAACAATCCTCTAAGAAATTTTTGAACCCAAGCAATCTAATTGTGCTAGTAAAATGTGCCTTCAGGCAGAATTAGAGGTAAAGTCAGTTAGTTTATTTATTGTCATCTCAGAGGCAAGTACATTTTTACTTTCACAATAAACTCACTATCAAAACTCACATGAAAACTTGGGATTCATCAGTAGCTCTGATGTTTGTCAAAAAATCTGGATCAAATTCTATCCACTAATCTCTCTCTTTCTGGCTCTAAAAACATGTCACATGGTGGCCTGCTATGGACATGATATGCCCTGTGTTAGATGAAGCAGTAATCAAAGAACTTGAGTTACATTTTCTCATCGGCCTAGTGAAAAGACAGCCTTCTTCTCTTAAAGATACAAAATTAACCTTTAAGTCATTTTTTTCCATCAGCACTTTGGTAAATTTCCTGTTCCAAGGGAATTTTAAAAAGTTGGTGTTGGCAGCTCTGAGGAATTAAGTAGAGAACATTACAAACTCAGGTTGAGAGAATTGAATGACTTCCTCTTGGCATTTCAGTGTCAGATTTGCTTTTTATCTGCCAAGGAGGTCTAGCAGGCTTGCCAGTGGATTCTTTCTTACAGGGGTCTAACATGAGCTTTACTGCCCAGTCCAATTACAGCATGACTATAAAGAAGTCTCTGTTTTCCAGTGAACAATAAATAGAAATATAGCATCCATATCTTTTGACTAGGAAATAGTGACAGCTGGCAAGGTATTTGAGGGGGTAATGGGGCAATTTTTGTTAAATATCAAGACTGTCTTGTAAAATCCACAATGTGTTGTCATTATATTCGTTAACGTTCAGAGACAAATATTGATCTACCTTGCCTATAGCATCACCAACAATAATAATAATCATAATTTCTAACACTACTGAAAATTTACTGTACACCAAATATAAATCCATTTGTTCCTTACAGTAATACTAGGAAATAGATCCTATTATTATCATCCACATTTGGCAGATGGGGAAACTGAAATACTGAGGGGTTAAGAATCTTTACCAAGTTCACACAGCTAGTCAGTGGCCAAGTTAGAATTTTAACCTAAGAAGTTTAGACGGAGAAAATATGCTCTTAACCATTATGCTAGATTGCCTGTATTTACTGGAGAACCAGGACATGAAAACAGAACTCTGAATAATAATCATTATAATAAACATTTATTTAGCACTATAGTGTGCAAGATACTGTACTTTTTTTTAAAAAAAAACTATTCTTAAATAGACATTTTATTTAGGAATAGTTTTAGATTTACAGGGAGGTTGCAAAGAATTACAGGCAAGTTGCTAATCTGCTCACGTTATACACATTTTTGTATTTAATCCCCTCAATAATCCTATGAGGTAGGTAATATTATTATCCCCATTTTACAGATGGAAAAACTGAGGCACATAAAATATAAGTCACTGGCCTCATGTCAGTCAGCATGTAAGTAATATGGCTGGGGTTCAAACCCAGGTGAGGCTAGTCATTCAAACCGAAGTCTCTTAATTTATATTTGTTGATGCTGAAGCAATATTTTGAAAAATGGACATCAATTACTGGATTCTTAAATTCAATAAAAAAGAATTTTCTTTATATTGGCCACATCTAATCCAAAGCAACCTCTAAAATTTTTCTTCTGTAAATTAGAAATCCTCCAACATCAAGTACAATGGCTAAATACAAAAAACTATATAAATAAAATCAAATTAGTTGTTCAAGAAAGACCAACTGGGTCACTGTCTTCCTCATCATTCCCTTTTCCAGTAACCCCCAAAACTTCAAAAAGGAGGAATAAATATAGTACATAGTGACAAATGATTTACAACCCATAGATATGTTTTTCAGGGAGATAAACTTACAAGTTCATACTTACTGGAATTTCTTTAATTTTTTTTCATATCTTGATTGTTTCTACATAGTCTGTTACTTTCCCAGTTGATTAGAGCTAAATATCAAGTATATTGGCATTTTTTGTGATGATTTACATTTCTGTTGAGGACAACCTGTATAAAACAGCGATCATGTCCCTGATATATACGAGCCTAGCAAATTATAGCTGTGTGTGTATTCATTTCCAAAGATAATAAATATTGCTACTCCAATACTTCTATCTTTAAAAAATGAAACTTAGGAACTTTTACACTGGCAAACATAGCTGATGATCATCTAACAAAGCATACCAATCACTTCTCTCATTAATCACAGTATATTAACATTATAGACTTCTATCAGGGGCTAAATTAGGAGGTAACTATTGTTTGAAAAGTGGGAATAGTACTAACTTTGAGAATTTTGGATATTAAGCTTCTTGGTACATCCAGAAGTAGACACTTTGCAACATATGAACATACCCACAACTTTTTCAGCCTAAGTAACCAGACCAATAATATGATGCTATCTCCTATATTTTCTTTCAAACTGTAACCTGATGACAATAGACAAGTGTGGAATGCCATACTTATGTGCAGTTGTTAAAATTCACTGGGTGATGCTGTCAGAGGCTAGGCGTTAAGGAGATCGGTATGGACATTTAGGTAACCCTAGCATGTGGATCATTACAGCAGAATTAAATAATGTTAGAGCTGTAAAAGACCCTTCTGTTTAATTCTGCTGCCACTTATGATTGATGAAAAATTAAAGTGCAGAGAAATTAATCAACCTGCCTTAAAACTCTCAGGAAGTAAGTGGCAAAATCAAGACTAGAACTCATATCAATGGATTCAGTTTAAAGAAATCTGCCTCAATTGGAAGGATAGAAGACTCTGACTCTGAAGGTACAAGCTTTCCCTCAGGATTTAATACTGAATCTAATCAATTCCTTTATCTTAGTTCATCAAAAGTGCAGCAAAGATGCAAGCCCTATACACGGGCTTTCCCATACCACCTGGAATATGTTGAGACTATGAATTAAGCAAGATGTAGATGAAAAATACTGAAATTAAATCATGAAAAAGACCTGGTACATGTAGATTCTTCCATTAGCAGTATGACTTTGGGAAAGCTTTAAAATTTCTCTGGTCTTTCATATTCTTATATTTCAGAGATTGAGTTAAAATTAAATTTTATATGCAGTAAGACTACTTTGATGACTAAAACACAGTTTCTTTGCCTTTGGTTGAAGTTATAGCAATATTCAGAAAGATAACCTTGGCAACCTCATACTACTAGAAAGTTCTGATTAGAATTCATATCCAAAAAATAAATTATAGAGAAAGGATGATTCTAAGAACTCATCTTAATTTATCTTCATACTAATGGTATAATACACTATTTTGTAACTGAGAAAACTGAGTCCCTGAAAGGTAAGGAAGTTGTTTGAAGTCCTATTGCTACTAAGGCACAGAGCAAGAATTCAAAATGTTTTTGCAGGACTCCAAAGCCACATATGTTTGTGTGAGCAAAAAACAGGCCCAGTTGGCAAATAAAAATCACAAAGAAATCACGGTATACAATGACTCAAAATCACAAAAGTCAGAGTCATCCAGTGTTATTTAGTGCTTGCTCAAACCCAATAGCCTTTGAGAACATCTCTTTATCACAGCAGGATGGGATGATTGTTTTTCAAAATGATGGCCTTGAATCATCAGTAAAGAGTAAATTCCATTCTGTATATTCTATTTAAGAAAGATCATAAAGTTCCAAATCAAATGTTTTAAATGTACAGCTTATCAGAAAAGCACAATTATATTGAATGACTCATTACCAGAATGTTCTGGGTCAGAATACTACTAAAATATTTTTATTCAGAAAACCTAAAAGTTATTTCCATAAAAGTATTCCTGCAGTTAGTTTGGAGAGGAATTTAATGGACTGTGCTTCTTTATTTATTTATTTATTTATTTATTTGCAGGTGACAAGGTTATATTTGAGGCTTAATCAATGGTCCAGTCATCCAAAATGCTACATCCTGCTTTTTCTTCCTGTACCTATTCACAGTTTATGAGCTGTGTTAGACCTTTAGAGTGGATGGCTCAGTGAGCAGTTTGTCAGAGAGAAGTGGGTGTTGTGTTGTTTTTTCTTTAAGTTTAGTGGAATAATGGTCGTTATTTAAAGCTAAGAATCAAGTTCTATCCAAATTGCCTAAATAATTTTTATTTTGCCATCCCTCCAAAGAATTTATTGGTGCATCTAAATGTGTTTGGTATAGATTTTCATTAGTACATTAAAAGAAAATGTGAAAACATCTTTCTAGGATGCTGATAAATTAGAGCCCTGCAGTTAGTTCTCATTGAATCCCTACTAAAAATAATAGAAAGTAAATTATAGTGCTCCTAGAATTTCATCCTAGTGCAAAACAGCAGCCTATTTTGCTGTATATCTACAAACCTGGTGGTATAATTTCCAGTGTATCCAGCTAATTAGGCAACCTTTGTGTTTAAATCTTTCAAACCTCTTTCATTACATTTGATGGTTTTTGAGAAAACAGCTGGAAATTTCTGTCAATGAAAACAGATTTTGTTTTAGTATTTGTAATTTCTTTTTTATCTCTGCATGCCAGTAGGATGTGCTGCAAATCATTTTAAAGACCTATACAAGCTGGACATATTGACATTAAAATAAAAGCAGAACCTTTTGCTTGCAGATATTAAAGTATTAAATATTAAAATTGATTTACTGGCAGGTTTAGCACAAAAGACAGCTGAAATAAGCTATGAGAATGAATGTAAATTGGGTTATATTGTTTGTGGTTTGAGCTGAATGAGGTAAAAATATTTTTACTTCATAACAATAAAACAAAAATAAATGTTGATATTAATTGTCCTAAATACTCAGTAAAGGAAAGATGTGACCATTTACTAAAATTAATGCAAATAAAATTCACAACATCTCTGTGGGTCTGTCCTTCATGCAGAATTGAGGAAAATATTAACCATCATTCAGGACAAAGACTGAGAAGTATCTGTCCCATGTGGGTTTAGAAGTCAATCATTTAATCAGTTCAGGAGATAAAAAGATTCCTAGACAAAGTTTGAACTGCTGTAGAGATTCTCTTCTTTTAAACAGGAGGAAACAGCAGATTGTTTGGAGATTCAGAATGAACCAAAGAAAGGGAAGAGAAGTAACTACTAAGAATCAAGTGCTTAATGTATACCAGACACTGCTCAATATGTTTAATACATAATATAATGGAGTTCTCCCAATCCACCTTGGCAAAATTATTATCACCCCTATTCAAAACACTATTGTTATAAGCCTTGCTTTTACCCTTACCATCCAATCTCATCTTGTTCCATTCTTCATTCACCTTCTACACTCCAGGTATATCAGCCTCCTTTTGTTCCCTGGAACACTAGAAAATCCTCTCTTCCTTAGGGGCATTGTACCTATCATTCCCTCTGCCTTTAACACCCCTAACCCCTCAACCACTACCAATAACTCCATGCTTCAATGGCTAGTGTCTTCCATTTTTAAGTTCTTGCAATATTTTATTTTGGAAACAGAACAAAGAGCTTCTGTAATATCATGGCTTAACAATATGAAAGCTTCTATATTTTTTTAAGTGAGAGCCGAAAGGTTGGTGATCCAGGTTTGGTAGGCAGCTCAGTGATTCTCACACACAGCTTCTATATCTAGGTCCGATTCCCAGTGTACGCTATGTCTCAACTAGTTGGCAAGTGGAAAAGATCAAGAGAATGCATGTCCAATTGCATTAAGAACAATACCTAGAAATAGCACCAGTCACTTCTGCTTATATCCCATTGACTACAGTTTAGTCACTTGGCTATACCTAGCTGCCAGGGAAACTGAGAAATAGAATATTTAGCTTGGGAGCCATGGCCCTAGTTAAGACCACATTAAAATAAAAAAGAAGGTGATCAATGACTACAAGGCAACTAATGGGGGCTTGGCTTAGATGTCATCTTTGGAGAAACGCCTTCTTTGACTACCCCATCTGAATAAATCTCTTATATTAGTTACATATATTTTTTGTCACTGAATCTTGCTTATTTTCTTTATAGTAGTTATCATTTTTTGACTTTATATTAGTGAAGTTATACATTTTATAAAAGTTTCAAAAATTATTGTCTTCCTTTTTCTCCTTAAACTCCTTGAAAGTAGCACTATGTTTGTTTTTGTTTTCTATTATATCCTTCATGCCTATATGTGTGGCACATTTGATATTATGAAAGTTATATTTGACATAATAAAGATTGTTGAATGAGTGAACAGAAATTCAAACAAATCTCTAGACAGCTAACACCTCAAATGAGGTGAATTTACTGGTTGAAAATGTAGCAATTTATGGGGAAAATAACAAAATTAACTGTGAAAGGACCTTACAATACCCCTAGTGCAGTATTTTGTAAAGTGTTGGTCAACTATCCACTAGTGGGTTATAAAATCCCTTTATTGTATCATATTAGCATTTAGAAAGAAGAGAAATAGAACAGAATAACCAGCATGAAGAAAAGAAATAGAATAGAACAGAATAATAGACTAAAAGAGAATAGAATAAAAAAATCAGAGGACATTGTACATGGTTAGGGTTGGCATTATTTCATAAAACTTAAGTCTCTGATACATACATATGTGTGTGTATATCTATTGTCTGTCTCAGAAATTGTGTGTGTGTGTGTGTGTGTGTGTGAGAATATGTATACATTCTGGGTCACAAGGTAAAATGTAATTCTAACTGTAAATGATGTAAAAAAAAGATATTTGAAAGCCACTGCCTAGTGCACTTAGAAGAAATAGGCTCAAAGGCAAGACAGATACGGGAGGAAAAAGGTTGATCCTTATAGAGCTTAATGTGACCTGTCTTACAGGCTAACAAAATGACATCAAATGGTGACTCGTCTCTTCACCAATTCCATGATTTTCAGTTGCATCTTTTCCAACAATACACTATCAAAGTGTGTTTCAAAGAAGAGAAGAGTGTGTGTTTCAAAGCATCGTTTTATCTTATCAATCACAGTGGGCTATTATCTTCAAGTATGAAAACTTCAAAAATAACTTTGAATTATTGAGAGCATCTTTTTATTTTTGAAATTCAGATATACCTATGGAACTCACATACTTGCTGCAGTGATTGGTCCTTGATCAGTGGTCTTTTCTAATGTGCCCACCTGTGAGGATCCCATGTTGTATTTAGAACAAAGATTAGTTGTCTTCTTTGAGCTCTTTGCATGAATGCAATTTTGCTCCATTTTGACTTCCTGTAATTGCTAGTAGATCTTTTTTTCCTTTTTCACTTCCTTTCTTGCTAGAGGAATCTGAAATAAAATTAGTATTAAGCTATTGACCTTATTAAAATTTTAGTCTTGTATTTTACTTTTCATTTAAAATCAGTACAGTGATTTTCTTCTTGCTTCATCAATTTTCACCAGATTTACCAACTCCCAAGCGATTGGACAATATCAGAGCCAGAGGTAAGAGTGACTGTTCTCTAAGCAAATAGCTTAGTTACAACCTAATCTGCTGCTCCACACATACAAACACCTTTTAAACCAGTGTGAATCATGTCTGCCATATGCAGGAAATAAAAAAAAAGTGAAAATGGCAAAACATTTTTTCCTTTAAAAACAGTTTCATTCACTGTTCTACTGAGCAAGGATTGATCCTTTGTAGTTACTGACCTATTGGAACCCTGAAATATCTATCCAGGCTCTTTTAAGTGGATGTTACTCCTCCTCACTTACCTACTCTGCATAAGTAAAAGGCCACTTTGTGGGCTCCATTGGAATTCAGCCAGACCACTAACAACTTGTAGACTCCTCCTTGCTTTCAGGTTTACCAGATCTTCATCTCTGTTTCCGTCTCAGTTTTGCTCAAAACCTCTTCCAATATTGGCAGCTAAACATAGTGTCTACTATGATTTGGGCATTATGCTAAACTCTTTACTTGCATCCTCTAATATAACCTTTCCCAAAACCCAGTGAGGTAGTTAGGTGATTTGATTATCTACAGTGGCATGACAAATAACTTCAAAACAGAATGCTTTAAAACAACAGACATCATTTGTTATCTCTCAGGTTTCTGTGGTTCGAGTAGTTGGAAGTGCCTGCGCTGAGCAACTATGGTTTAGGTTCTCACATGAAGTTGCAGTCTGTGCCTGAGGCTACTGTCGCCTTCCAGGTTTCTTCACCCTTACTGTCGTGGTGCCTAGACTTAAGCAGCTGAGATTTCTCAGGTATAGCTCTCTCTCTTTACATAATCTCCCCACATGTTCTCCCCATCATTGTAGCTTTGGGATGGCTTCATTTCAAGGCACATGCCTCGAGAGAGAGAATTAGATGAAAGCTGTTTTATCTTTTCTAACTTAACCTTGGAAGTCATGCAGTGTCATTTCAGCCCCCTTCAATTTTTTAAATAAGCAAGCCATTAAGGCCAGTCTATATTTAGAAGGAAGGAGATTAGACTCCACCTTTTATGGAAGGAATGTCAGGGAATTTATGGACAATACACATAATTTCACTTAATTTTCATAGCAATTATGAATGAGTGTTAGCCAACTTTTTAAAAGTTCTATTCGTGATTATCTAACCTTGGTGAGGAAGTAAAAGGTTAAGTAAGTTTCATCCCATGTATGAAAAGCCTTGTTTTATAGACATTTTTTCTTTTATCATAATAAATCTTAAAAATTTTGAAATATGCCTACAGAAGAGCACATAAGACATACATGTATTATATAACTTGAAGAATTGTAAAATAAATATTTGTGTACAAATATTTTCGGCACCCGAGATCCCCTTTGGGTCTTTCTTCTTGGTAATCACCCACACTGTTCTCTCTAGTGTAACTGATACTAAGACTTTTGTTGTGATATTAACTTGCTTTTCAAAATAATTTTAATATTTAGTTATATAATCCTTAATTTTTTATTTTAACTTTGCCTGTTTATAAACTTTATGTGAAATAAGCCAATGTTTGTGTCTTTCTTCCATTGCTCATTTGTGTGATTTAGCCAAGTTGGTCACATGTAACTGTACTATAGTTCATTTTACTTTATTTGCTATGTAGTATTCTGTCAAAAGAATACACCAAAATTTTATTTACTAATTTTTATACATGTCTCTTGGTGCACATGCACAAATGTTTCTATAGGGAATGTTTCTAGGAGTGGAAATGCTTAAATATGCTTGTGCATATCTTTGCAAAATGTCAAACTGCTTTGCAAAGTGGTGGTATTAATTTGCATTTCTACCAGTGGTATATGAGATCTATTGCTCTAGATTCTTGCAGACATTTGGCATTGTCAGACTTTTACATAATTCCAATGTGTTGGGTGTATACCATTTTCTCATTGTGTTTGCATTGTGCATTTATTTGATTACTAATAAAATTGATTGCCTTTTTATTTATTTAATGGTAATTTATACTTTGTGCATTGCTTATTAAAGTTTTTTGTCTGTATTTCTACTGGACTTAGGTTTTTCTTATTGATATGTTGGAAATCTTTATGTATTCTAAATACTAGCTCTTTTCAAGTTTTATATGTTACACGTCTCTTCTCTGCCCATATTTTTTGCCTTATCATTAATTCTCTTTATGTTGTATTTGATAAAGAATGATATTCTTAATTTTAAATATAGTGAAATTTATTTCCCTGTTTCTTTATGATTAGTTTTTTTTTTTTTTGGTGTTGTTTATAAAAGCTTTCTTACTATGAGGCCTTAAAATATTCTTCTACAATATTATAATTAAAATAATTATAATTTTCACTTTTTCATTTGTATGGGTAATGAACATGGAATTTATTTTTTGTAGGTAGTGTGAGAATAATCTCTAAAGTTATTTTTTAACAATATGGATATTTTATTGTCTTAGCATCATTCATTGAAGACTATCCTTTTCTAAGTACTCTACAATGACAATGGCTATAAATCAACTGTCTGATCAAGATCTGTATCTCGGATTTTTATACTGCTTTTCTACACCATTATTTCTTTTTAAACTAATAATTTTTTATTTCTATTTTTAATTTTTTTAGAGGCAAGGTCTTGCTTTGTTGCCCAGGCTTAAGTGCAGTGACTCACTGAGCTTACTGCAGCCTTGACATCCTAAGCTAAAGTGGTTTCAAGCGATCCTCCTGCCTCAGCCTCCCAAGTAGCTAGGACTACATGCTTACACCACCACACCCAGCTATTTAAAACAAAATTATTTCTTATAGAGATGAGGGCCTTTCTATGTTGCCCAGGCTGGTCTTGAACTCCTGGCCTCAGGCAATCCTCCCATCTTGGCATCCTAAAGTAATGGGATTACACACATGAGCCACCATACATGGCCTCATTGTTTTAAATTGATATATAAATATTATATATATTTATCATGTATAACATAGCATTTTGAAACATTTTGTAAACATTGTGGAATAATTAAATATAATTAATCAACATATGCATTATTAAGCACACTTATCTTTTTTCGTGGTGAGAATATTTTGTATCTACACTCAGCAATTTTCAAGAATAAAATACATTGTTTATTAATAATAGACACCATGTTGTGCAATAGATCTCTTAAACTTATTGTATCTAACTGAAATTTTATATCCTTTGACCAGCATCTTCCCTACTCCCTCACCTATGCTGCAGCTTCTGATAACCACCATTTTATTCTTTGCTTCCATATGTTCAACTTTTTTCAGATTCCACAAATAAGTAAGAAAATGTGATATTCTCCTTTATCTGCTGGGCTTATTTCAATAATACAATGTCCTTCAGGTTCTTTTTGTTGTCACAAATGACAGAATTTCCTTGTTTTTTTTTTAAGGCTGAATACATAAACTTGTAGGTTGATTCCGTATCTTGGCTATTGTGAATAATGTTGCAATGAACATGGGGATACTGATATCTCTTTAACATAATTATTTTATTTCCTTTGTATATATTCCCAGAAGTGGAATTTCTGGATTACAAGGTGTTTATATTTTCAATTTTTCAAGGAACTTCTGTACTGTTTTCCATAATGGCTATACTAGTTTAGGTTCCCAATAACAGCGTCTGCATCATTGTCCTAATTACTATAACATTATACTATGATTAAAATCTGGTAGATATAGCCAACCCATTTTGTTCCTTTTCAGGTATGTCTAAGCTATTTTTTGTTCATTTTATTTCCGCATGAATTATAGAATTTGCTTATCAAGTTTTATAATTTAACCTGCTAAGATTCTGTTTGTGCTGTATTGAATCTATAAATGAAAAATTGGGATACATTGAATAGAGTACCTAAGAGAGATCACTGGATTTCAACAGAGAAGTAACAGGAATTCTCTGAGGCACAGAAGGAAAGGAAAATGAAGCAACCAGCCCATCCCAGATTGGCTCAGAGCCAGGAGGATATCCCGATTGCAGGGAAAAGGTAAGCAAGAAATCCTGAATAATCCACATTCCCACCATGGATGCCTGCAATCCACTCAGCCCTCGCAGGACCTGAGCCTAGTATAAAGAGCTATCTGGAGTCCATGCAGCTATATTATTCTAGGGGAAATTCACACTGGGTCCTACTCACCCACAAGAGCCAAGCTGCTGCAGCCTGCAATGCCATATTGAGAGCCCAGCCCCCACCAGACTACATCCTGCACTGAAGATCAATAGCCCCTGCATTTCCATTTCCCTGGAGCTGCACTAACATCCCCCCACATCTACCCCAAGGACTGCAGCATTACAACACCAACTGGACCCAGTGGTGCAGCCATGTCTCCAGCACTCTAGCCCACACACCCCAGAGAAAAGGCAATCCAGAACATGAGAGAGGCTACCCCAAGGACAAAGGAAGTGAAAGCATGTACTCCCCAAAGCTTGAGAGCCATCTTCCTGGCACTGCAAACATTCACAACAATCCTGCCCCCTCCAGCAATGGGGCCTCCACACACCTGTGTGTACCTTCAGGGGGCCTGAGAACTGGCTAGCACATGCATGCCATCAGAGAACCTAAAGACCAGCCTTCCCTGTCCACTGCTGCCAACATTCATGCACACCATCCAGGGGCCAGATAATTGGTTCACCCCCACCTGCCATAACCCACTGCCTTCACTGCAGCTAGTGGCCATGGGAACTGTCCAGAGGCCTGAGGATTGGTCTACCCCATGTCCCATTACTGGTGCCATTGCATGCTGTCTGAGGCCCTGGGAACCATTCTGCCCAGCCTGTCGCCACCAACACTGGTGCCTGTGCATGCCATCTGGGAGCCTAAGGGCCAGCCTGGATAAGCGCTACTGCCACCACTGCTGGTGCCTGTGTACACCACCTTGAGGCCTGAGAACTGGAATATCTGACCACCTGCTGACACCACTGGTGTCTGCATGTGCCACCCGGGTACCCAAGGATCAGTCTGCCTGATGCTCCCATATAGCAAAGCCTCACTGCAGCCTTCACTCCCATCTAGAATCAAAGCCAAAGCACCCTATTCAACCAACACTATAGATAAACCTAAAGAAAAAAACCCTTCCCCCAAAAAATTCAATCCATATAATTGGAAGAAATGACTATTACACCAGATGGACAGATAGCAACATAAGGATAAAAGAAACACAAGAAAGAAAGTAAACATGACACTTCCAAAAGAACACAATAATTCTTCAGTAACAGATGCCAAAGGAAAAAAATTTCTATGGAATGGCTGAAGAGGAATTCAAAATAATGGTCTTAAGGAAATTCAGCAAGATATAAGAGAACACAGACAGATAATATGAAGAAATCAGGATAACCTCCTAGATGAAAATTTCAACAGAGATTTTATAGAAAAGAACCAAACAGAAATCTAAAACTGAAGATTTCAATTAATGAAATGAAAAATACAATCAAGAGCTTCAACAATGGACTAGATCAAACAGAAGAAAGAATTTCCGAACCTGAAGACAGATTTTCTGAAATAACCCAGTCAGACAAAAAAAGAAAAAAAAAAGAATAAAAAATAATAAAGAAAATGTACGTGACATACAGGATACCATGAATCGAACAAATATTCAAATTTTTGGAGTTTCAGAAGAAGAAGAGATAGGAAAGGGCATAGAAAAACCATTTAATAATACAGTAGCTGAAAATTTCCCAGTATGTGTGAGAGATATAGACATCTAGATACAGAAAGCTCAAAGATGTTTAAATTAATTCAATCCAAAAAGGCCTCCCTTAAGGCATGTTATAGTTAAACTCACAAAAGCCAAAGAAAAAGAGAGACTTCTAAAAACAACAAAAGAAAAAATATCAAGTCATATATAAGGGAATCTCCATCAGACTAATAGCAGATTTCTCAGTAGAAGTCTTATAGGCCAGAAGAGAGTAGAATGATATCATCTAAGTGCTGAAAGAAAAAAACAAAAAACTGTCAAGCAAGAATACTATATCCAGCATGCCTATCCTTTAGAAATGAAGAGGAAATAAAGTCTTGCCAAGACAAGAAAAAAACAGAGAAAATTTATCACCGCTAGTCTGGCTATACAAGAAATGCTTAAGGGAGTTCTACTTTTGGAAGCAAAAGGATAATGTTTACCATCATGAAAATATACAAAACTCACTGCTAGAGCAGATATAAAAGTGAGAAAGAGAAAGTAATCAAGCATTATCATTACAGTAAAACAAGCAATTCATAAAGGTAAACAATGAAAGAATGAAAAAGACAAAGGATAAACAAAACAATCAGAAAACAACAAAATAATAAGAGTAAGTCTTCACCTTTTTATAACAACCTGGAATGTAAACACTTTAAATTCTCTAATTAATATTTATAGACTGGCTGAATGGATTTTTTAAAAAAAATAAATATATGCTATCTACAAAAAACTCCCTTCATCTATAAAGACAACCATAGACTGAAATGGAAAGGATAAAAACAAAAAATCTGCAGCAATAGAAACCAAAAGCTAGCAGAAGTAGCTATACTTATATCAGACAAAATAGACTTTAAGTCAAAATACATGAAAAAAGAAAAAGAGGGTCATTATAATGACAAATGGATCAAATCAGCAAGGGGATATAACAATGGTAAATATATATTCACCAAACTTTGGAGTACCAAGGTATATAAAGCAAATGTTATTGCAGCTAAAGAGAAAGATGGGGCCCTAATATAATAATCAAAGACTTCAACACCACACTTTCAGCACTGTACAGATCATTTAAAAAGAAAACCAATAAATAAACATTGAAATTAACCTTTAGTGTGAGCCAAATGGATTTAACAGATATTTATAGAAAATTCCATTCAACAGCTCTGGAATACACATTTTTCTCATCAGCACATAGAACATGTTAGACCAAAAAACAAATCTCACCTTATTAAAAAAAATCAAAATTAAGTATCTTCTCAGATCACAATGAAATAAAACTAGAAATCAATAACGAGAAAATTTGGAAACTATACAAATACGTAGAAATTAAACAGCATGTTCCTGAACAACCACTGAGTCAATGAATAAACTAAAAAGAAAACGAAGAGTTTTTTGAAACAAATGAAAATCAAAACACAGCATTTCAAAACCTATGGGATAAAGCAAAAGCAGTGCTAAGAGAGAAGTTTATAGTAAAAAATTCCTACATCAAAAGAGTACAAATATTTCTTTTTTTAATACTATACTTTAAGTTCTGGGATACATGTGCAGAACATGCAGGTTTATTTCATAGGTATACATGTGCCGTGGTGGTTTGCTGCACTCCTCAACCTGTCATCTACATTAGGTATTTCTCCTAATGCTATCCCTTCCCTTTCCCCCCACTCCCCAGTAGGCCCCAGTGTGTGATGTTCCCCTCCCTGTGTCCGTGTGTTCTCATTGTTCAACTCCCACTTATGAGTGAGAACATGCAGTGTTTGGTTTTCTGTTTCTGTGTTAGTTTGCTGAGAATGATGGTTTCCAGCTTCATCTACATCGCTGCAAATGACATAAACTCATTCTTTTTTATGGCTGCATAGTATTCCATGGTGTATATGTGCCACATTTTCTTTATTCAGTCTATCATCGATGGACATTTGGGTTGGTTACAAGTCTTTGCTATTGTGAATAGTGCTGCAATAAACATATGTGTGCATGTGTCTTTATAGTAGAATGATTTTTAGTCCTTTGGAGATATACCCAGTAATGGGATTGCTGGGTCAAATGGTATTTCTAGTTCTAGATCCTTGAGAAGTCACCACACTGTCTTCCACAATGGTTGAACTAATTTACACTCCCACCAGTAGTGTGAAAGCGTTCCTATTTCTCCACATCGTCTTCAGCATCTGTTGTTTCCTGACTTTTTAATGATCGCCATTCTAACTGGCATGAGATGGTATCTCATTGTCGTTTTTATTTGCATTTCTCCAACGACCAGTGATGATGAGATGTTTTTCATATGTTTGTTGGCCGCATAAATGTCTTCTTTTGAAAAGTGTTTTTTTCGTATCCTTCACCCACTTTCTGATGGGGTTGTTTTTTTCTTGTAATTTGCTTAAGTTCCTTGTAGATTCTGGATATTAGACCTTTGTCAGATGGATAGATTGCAACAATTTTTTCCTATTCTGTAGGTTCCCTGTTCACTCTGATGATAGTTTCTTTGGCTGTGCAGAAGCTCTTTAGTTTAGTTAGATCCCATTTGTCTATTTTGTCTTTTGTTGCAATTGCTTTTGGTGTTTTAGTCATGAAGTCTTTGCCCATGCCTATGTCCTGAATAGTATTGCCTAGGTTTTCTTCTAGAGTTTTCATGGTTTTAGATCTTACATCTAAGTCTTTAATCTATCTTGATTTAATTTTTGTATAAGGTATATGGAAGTGGTCCAGTTTCAGTTTTCTGCATATGGCTAGCCAGTTTTCCCAGCTTGGTCCAGAGCTGAGTTCAGGTCCTATATATCCTTGTTAATTTTCTGTCTCATTGATCTGTCTAATATTGACAGTGGGGTGTCAAAGTCTCCCACTATTATTCTGTGGGAGTCTTACATCTCTAAGAACTTGCTTTATGAATCTGGCCACTCCTGTACTGGGTGCATATATATTTAGGATACTTAGCTCTTCTTGTTGCATTGATCCCTTTACCATTATGTAATGCCTTTCTTTGTATTTTTTGATCTTTGTTGGTTTAAAGTCTGTTTTATCAGAGACTAGGATTGCAACCTGTGCTTTTTTTTGCTTTCCATTTGCAACGCAAATATTCCTCCAGCCCTTTATTTTGAGCATATGTGTATCTTTGCACCTGAGATGGGTCACCTGAATACAGCACACTGATGGGTCTTGACTCTTTATCCAGTTTGCCAGTCTATGTCTTTTAATTGGGGCATTTAACCCATTTACATTTAAGGTTAATATTGTTATGTGTGAATTTGATCCTGTCATTATGATGCTAGCTGGTTATTTTGTCATTAGTTTATGCAGTTTCTTCATAGTGTCAATGGTCTTTACATTTTGGTATATTTTTGCAGTGGCTGGTGCCAGTTTTTTCTTTCAATATTTAGTGCTTCTTTCAGGAGCTCTTGTAAGGTAGGCCTGGTGGTGACAAAATCTCCCAGCATTTGCTTATCTGTAAAATATTTTATTTCTCCTTCATTTACAGAGCTTAGTTTGGTTGGATATGAAATTCTGGGTTGAAAATTCTTTTAAGAATGTTGAATATTGGCCCCCACTCTCTTCTGGCTTGTAGGGTTTCTGCAGAGAGATCTGCTGTTAGTTTGATGGGCTTCCCTTTGTGGGTAAACCAACCGTTCTCTCTGGATGCCCTTAACATTTTTCCTTCATTTCAACCTTGGTGAATCTGATGATTATGTGTCTTGGGGTTGCTCTTCTTGAGGAGTATCTTCGTGGTGTTCTCTATATTTCCTGAATTTGAATGTTGGCCTGTCTTGCTAGGCTGGGGAAGTTCTTCTGGATAATATCCTGAAGGATATTTCCAACTTGGTTCCATTCTCTCCATCACTTTCAGGTACACCAATCAAATGTAGGTTTGGTCTTTTCACATAGTCCCATATTTTTTGGAGGCTTTGTTCATTCCTTTTCATTCTTTTTTCTCTAATCTTGTCTTCATGCTTTGTTTCATTAAGGTGATCTTCAATCTCTGATATCCTTTCTTCCACTTGATAGATTCAGCTATTGATACTTGTGTATGCTTCACAAAGTTCTTGTGCTGTGTTTTTCAGCTCCATCAGGTCATTTATGCTCTTCTCTAAACTGGTTATTCTAGTTAGCAGTTCTTATAACCTTTGATCAATGTTCTTAGCTTCCTTGCATTGGGTTAGACCATGCTCCATTAGCTCAGAGGAGTTTGTTATTACCCACCTTCTGAAGCCTACTTCTGTCAATTCGTCAAACTCATTCTCCATCCAGTTTTGTTCCCTTGCTAGTAAGGAGTTGTGATCCTTTGGAGGATAAGAGGCATTCTGGTTTTTGGAATTTTCAGCCTTTTTGTGCTGTTTTCTCCTCATCTTCTTGGATTTATCTACCTTTGGTCTTCGATGTTGTTGATGTTGATGCTATTGCTTTCTGTTTGTTAGTTTTTCTTCTAACAGTCAGGCCCCTCTTTTGCAGTTCTGCTGGAATTTGGTGGAGGTCCACTCCAGATCCTGTTTGCCTGGGTATCACCAGTGGAGGCTGCAGAACAGCAAAGATTGCTGCCTGCTCCTTCCTCTGGAAACTTTGTCCCAGAGGGGCACCTGCCAGATGCCAACCAGAGCTCTCCTGTATGAGTTGTCTGTCGACCCCTGCTGGGAGGTGTCTCCCATCAGGAGGCATGGGGTTCGGGGACCCATTTGAGGAGGCAGTCTGTCTCTTAGCAGAGCTCAAGCGCTGTGCTTGGAGATCTGCTGCTCTCTTCAGAGCCGGCAGGCAGGAACATTAAGTCTGCTGAAGCTGCGCCCACAGCCACCCTTTCCCCCAGGTGCTGTGTCCCAGGGAGATGGGAGTTTTATTTATGAGCCCCTGACTGGAGCTGCTGCCTTTCTTTCAGAGATGCCCTGCCCAGAGAGGAAGAATCTAGAGAGGCAGTCTGGCTACAGTGGCTTTGCTGAGCTGTGGTGGGCTCCACCCAGTCCAAACTTCCCAGCAGCTTTGTTTACACTGTGAGGGGAAAACCACCTACTCAAGCCTTAGTAATGGAAGACACCCCTCCCCACAGCAAGCTTGAGCATCCCAGGTCGACCTTAGACTGTTGTGCTGGCAGCGAGAATTTCAAGCCAGTGGATCTTAGCTTGTTGGGCTCTGTGGGGGTGGGAGCCACAGAGGAAGAGCACTTGGCTCCCTGGTTCAGCCCCCTTTCCAGCAGAGTGAATGATTCTGTCTTGCTGGCATTCCAGGTGCCACTGGGGTACAAAAAAAAAAAAAAAAACTCCTGCTGCTAGCTCTGTGTCTGCTCAGACAGCTGCCCAGTTTTGTGTTTGAAACCCAGGGCCTTGGTCTGTAGGCACCCGAGGCAATCTCCTGGTCTCCAGGTTGTGAAGACTGTGGGAAAAGAGTAGTATGTGGGACGGTTAGCACTGTCCCTCACAGCACAGTCCCTCATGGCTTCCCTTGGCTAGGGAAGGGAGTTACCCGATCCCTTTCATTTCTTGGGTGAGGCGACCCATCCTCATCCTCTGTGGGCTGCACCCACTGTTGAATCAGTTCCAATGAGTTGAACCGGGTACCTCAGTTAGAAATCCAGAAATCACCCGCCTTCTGCATTGGTCTCACTGAGAGCTAAAGACCAGAGCTGTTCCTATTCAGTAATTTTGCCCGGTAATCCCCCGAGTAGAAAGATTTCAAATCAACAACCTAACGGTGCACCTCAAAGGCCTAGAAAAGCAAGATCAAACCAGCCCAAAGTAGTAGAAGAAAAGAAATAATAAAGATCAGAGAAAAACTAAACGAAACAGAGATTAAAAAGTGCAAGGGATCTATGAAATGAAAAGTTACCTTTTTTAAAAAAGGTAACAAAATTAATAGTCTGCTAGCTAGACTACCCAAGGGGAAAAAAGGGAAGACTCCAATAAATAAAACCAGGAATTAAAGAGACATTAAAATTGAAACCATAGAAATACAAAGAATCATCAGAAACTATTGTGAACAACTATACAATAACAAATTGGAAAACTAGTTGAAATGAATAAATTTCTGGACACATAGTCCCTCCTAAGATTGAACCAGGAAGAAATAGAAAACTTGAACAGATTAATAATGAGTAACATGATTGAATCAGTAATAAAGAGACCCAAGTAAAACAAAGCCCAGGACTGGATGACTTTATTGCTGAAACTTTTAATGAAGAACTAATACCAATTTTTGTCAGACTATTTCAAAAATTTTAAGAGGAGGGAATTCTTCCTAAGTCATTCCATGAGGCCAGAATATCCCTGATAGCAAATTAGACAAGGACACAACAATAACAACAAACTACGGGCTAAGTCCGTGATTGATGCAAAACCAAACAGTCTCAACAAAAATTCTAGTAAACCAAATCCAACAACATGTCAAAAAGATAACACATCATAATCAAGTGGGATTTATCCCAGGGGAGCAAGGATAATTTAACATGTACAAATCAATAAATGTGATACAACACATCAACAGAACGAAGTACACAAACCGTATCGTTATCTCAATAGTTGCAGAAAAAGCATTTGTTGAAATTCCTCATCCCTTTATAAAAACTATTGGAAATTAGGCATAGAAGGCACATATCTCAACATAATAAAGCTCATATATTACAAACTCCATAGAAGGCACATATTGCAACACAATAAAGCTCATATATTACAAACCTCATAGAAGGCACATATCTCAAAATAATAAAGTTCGCATATTACAAACCCACAGCTAACGTCATATTGAATGAGGAAAAACTGAAAGCCTTTCTTCTCCGAACTGGAATTAAGAATGCCTGTTTTCATCACTCCTATTCAACATAGTACTGGAAGTCCTAGCCAGAGCAATCAGGCAGAAGAAAGAAAAGACATCCATATGAGTAAAGAGGAAGTTAAATTGTCCGTTTTTTTCAGATGACATAAATTTAGTCTAGAAAATCCTAAAGACCCCACCAAAAAACTCTTAGAACTGATAACAAAATTTGGTAAAGTTGGACAATAAAATATCAGCATACAGAAATCAGTAGTGTTCTGATCGTAGAAATCAATATGCAGAAGAAGAAAACTAGACTCCTATCTCTACCATATGCAAAAATAAACTCAAGTTGGATTAAAGACTTAAACGTAAGACCTAAGACTATAAAATTATTAGAAGAAAACAGGAGAATTGATTTAGGACATTGGCCTAGGCAAAGATTTCATGGCTAAGATTTCAAAAGCAATGGCAATACAAACAAAAATAGACAAATGGGACTGTATTAAACTAAAAAGCTTCTGCACTGCAAAGTACACAATCGAGAGAGTAAAGAGACAACCTGGAGAACAGGAGAAAATATTTCCAAGCTATTTATTTGAAAAGGGAGTAATATCCAGGGTATATACAGAGAATTTAAATAACTGACCAGCAAAACACAAACAATCCAATTAAAAATTGGGCAAAGAATCTGAATAGCATTTCTCAAAAGAAAATATACAAGCGGACAAAAATATATGAAAAAAATGGTCAATGTTACTAATCATCAGTGAAATGTAAATCAAAACCACAGTGAAATATCATCTTACCCTAGTTAGAATGACTATTATTATGAGACAAAAAATAAATGCTGACGAAGGTGCAGAAAAAGGAAACCCTTTTTTTTGTCGTTGTTTTTTGTTTTTGAGATGGAGTCTCACTCTGTTGCCCGGGCTGGAATGCAGTGGTGCTCACTGCAACCTCCACCTCCTGGGTTCAACTGATTTTCCTGCCTCAGCCTCTTGAGTAGCTGGGACTACAGGCACCCGCCACTCTTATACACTATTGGTGGGAATGTAAATTAGTACAGCTATTATGGAAATCACTATGGAGAGTTCTCAAAGCTAAAAATTGAACTATCATATGATCCAACAATTTCACAACTGGATATTTACCCAAAAGAATATAAATCAGTATATCAAAGGGATACTTGTTCCCTCATGTTTATTGTAGCACTATTCACAATAGCTAAGATATTGAATCAACCTAAGTGTTCATCCACAGACAAATGAATAAAGAAAATATGGTATATATACATAATGGAATACTATTCAGTCATAAAAAGTTGAAATCCTGCCATTCGTTGCAACCTGAATAAGACTAGAGGATATTTATGTTAAGTAAAATAAGTCCGGCATAGAAAGATAAATTCCACGTTCTCACTCATATGTGGAAGTTAAAAAAAAATTGGAGGTAATGGAACCAGAGAGTAGAAAAGTGGCTATTAGAAACTGGGAAGGATAGTTGGGAGGGATGGTTGGTATGGGATACGAAATTACAGCTAAATAGGTGAAATGAGTTTCTGTGTTCTGCAGCACTGTAGAATGAATATGATTAACAGTAATTTATTGCTTATTTTCAAAAGAGAAGAAGAGAGGATTTTGAATATTCTCAACACAAAGAAATGATAAATTTTTGAGGTGATGGATATGCTAATTACCCTGATTTGATCTTTACATATTATATACATATATGGCAATATTACTGTGTATCTTACTGTTGTCATCTTTAGTTTACAATTATTACATAACTAAAAATAAAGGGAAAAAAATTCTGGAACAGTTGTCAGTTTTACAATAGTGAAACTTCAAATTCATGAACATGATATTTCATTTTTCTTGGTCTTTGACTGTATCTCTCCAAAGTTTTATGAGTCTTTCACCTTGTTTTTATACATATTTTGTTAAACTACTCCTACTATATATATATTTTGAGACTAATTCACTCTTTAAAATTTTCATGTTCTAGTTGTTGATAGAAATAAATGCAATTGTTTTATATTCATTTGGTTTGATATATATTTCTGTGGAGATATCCTTTATTATTTATTATAAGAATATTTTGTTGTTCTCACTCAGCACAGTTATAATAGCTGTTTTATAGTCTTTATCTGATAATTTTTAACACCTGGGTTACTTTGAGGCCGGCATCTGCTGACTGATTTTCTCTTGAGATTATGTTACATTTTATTCGCTCTTCAAGTGATTTTGTTGTATACAATTGACATTGTGAATGTTGTTGTGGAGATTCTGGATTTTGTTACATTGCTGTGAAAACTTAAATGTTTTAGCAGACGTTATAGACTGAACTGCTCCTCCACTCCCAATTTATATGTTGAAGTCCCAACTGTCCCCACATCACAATGTGATTCTATTTGGAGATGGAGTCTTTAAAGAGGGAATTCAGTCAAAATGAGGTCTTCATGGTGTGCCATTATCCATTATAATTTATGCCTTTATAAGAATAGAAAATTTAGACATAGACATAAACAGGAAAGACCAGGTGAAGATACAGGGAGAAGATGGCTATTTACAAACCGTGGAGAGAGGCCTCAGAAGATACTCATCCTTTTAACATCTTGATCTCAGACTTCTGGCTTCTAGAATTGTGAGAAAGTAAATTTCTATTATTTGAGCCACCCAGTCTGTGAAACTTTGTTATGGTAGCCTTAACAAATCATACAGCATATAATTAACTTGGCTAGATTCAAAATGCAAATGATCATGCCTTTGGTGGGTAGTAGCTCAGATCTCAATTCAATTCTTTAAACCTGAGTTGTTAAGAGGCTTTCAGGTTATGTGCATGAACAAGTGTTTGAGAGGTCAGCCAGGCATCTTAACAGTTTAAACATAAAATTTTGGGTTATATTTCTGTGAATTTCTCTCTTCTAGGGTATGTCCCTCACTCTCTGGTGGTCCTGGGTCCCCTAGGTTTCTTTTCCTGGTTACTCTGATTAGGAACATGGTGAGCTTTCCATTGGGGTTTTAGCTACCCTAAAGGAAAAACCACATGAAAAATTGGAACCAATTTATGCTAATCACTTGCTCCAATTTTTGATTCTTTCCAAACTGCCTCTTTTTTAATCTCTAGAGGCTTCCTGTAGTTGGTTTTTGTATTTTGCTCTAAGTTTATAGCTGTTATTTGCAAGATCATCAATTTGTTAGGCCCTCTTTTCTTCATACTGGAATTGAGACTTGCATTGGGTTTTGAATATTAATTTTGAATCTAATTGTCTTTCTAAATTCTCTTACTAATCTCAGATAATTTATCTCTAAATTTAATTTGTTTTTTTGTCCCTTTAGAAAAAATAGGAGGTAGAAGCTTATTAATGTTCAAGTTTCAGATAGTAAGGATGTTTTGCTTATAATGCACATAACTGATCAAAAATAATTTTGTATTAGCTTATGTGATTTTGCCAAAGGAATGTTCTAATGTATTCAATTTGTTTTCTTAATCAAGATCATGTAGTTTAGCCAATGGTATGCAGGTGCTTAAACTTTCATATGGGTCTTAGGAGAATGCCAATAAAAAATATTGCTTCATATTTTTTATTTAACAGCCTTAGGAGAAAAAGACCAGTGAGGTGTGATGTGTGTGAGTGAGTGTGTGTGTGTGTGTGTGTGTGTGTGTGTGTGTGTGTTTCAGTGGCTAATATTAAGTCCTGATCACCAAAGAGCTTTATGTTTTGGTATTATTTCCATTCCATTTGGATAATTTTCTGAGACCCAACACTATTTCTTTTTTAAACATTTATTTATTCATTTGTTTACTTATTTATTTAGAGACAAGTCTCACTTTATCACCCAGGCTGGAGTGCAGTGGAGTGATCATTTCTCACTGTAGCCTCAAACTCCTGGACTCAAGCAATCCTCCTGCCTCAGTCTCCTGAGTAGCCGGGACTACAGGCACTTGTCACCATGCCTGGCTCTAACATTATTTCTTTACTTTCCTTAGGTCTGTAATAAAGCCCTCACCGTGGCATCCTAGGTCAGGAGAACCATTTATCAACACATGCTTTAAAAACATATCAATCCTGAGGAACAACACTGACAGGTTTATATACCGCTACTCTGGAGATACAAAGAGTGCAAAAGGTATCAGGGCTGATAGTCTTCTCAAGCCCTCTCTGCTCTCTCAGCTAGCTAAGATTATTATAAATTCAGTATTAGGAAAGTGGTTTTGGCCACTATAGAAAAGAGTGATGAAGAAGGGTTATTCTATACCTAAGGGCAGATAATTATCAATATTTGTATCATGTACATAAGATTTAAGACAAGCAGAAAAAGTCAAGCTGCATTGGTTATGGTACCAAGAGCAATCTCAAGGGTGCTGTTGTTGCTTTGGCAGTGGCTGCTCTAATCAGTGAATCCTTTTATCATGGGCACCTCAAGGTTGGATGCTTTTGGAACTGCAGTAAAAATCTTATCTAAGCCTCTTACCTAGGAAGACTTCAAGGGGAAAGGTGTTCTTTTCATCTACCCAGAAGCCTTTGGAGTCTATCCTTTGGAGAAATATCTGATGTTTAATGGAGATATATATCCTAGGTTCCTCACTGAGTAAGATCTAAGAGCAAAAAATCTCAGTTTAAGAAGGAAACCCCTTTGAAATTAAAATTTTCATCTTCAATTAGAATACAAACTTCATGGAGGAGAGGATTTTCTATTTGTTCACTGTTGTATTTCCAGTGTTCACAGCAAATATTGGTTGTATAAATTTGAACAAATCTGCCACATCGTTTACAGTTGTCTAGCATTTACAAGTGTTTGAACCAGATACTAGGCCCAACTCCGCTGTTGGAGTCATGTAGTTCCCCAGACTGAATTTCAAAGCAGTCACAGTGACCTTGAGTAGACATCACTCAAGAGTGGGCACATCAATAGAGCCAGATGGGAACATGGGTCAGAAACTAGTCAAAGAGGCCTGACAAAAGATTTGGTAATAGAAAGAAAATGTATTTGCTAATTTTTATTGTCCTCATTTTCTGATCCAGTTAAATTGATAACTTCATTACAGCAAACCCATGGCCTCTGACTCTAGCACTTATAATGAGAAATAGAAAAAAAATGTTCATCATTCGCCCCCCAGCAAGTCAGTCCAAATCATTAAACTAGAGTTCATATAGCAGAGGTTGCCAATATGGGGGAAAGAGACAGGATTTACACTCAGAGAAAAAGTCTACTGAGAGGCAAAGAATGAATACTTTGATTTTTTAAATTTATCTTTTATTTTTAAAAAGTGCTTTAAACTGCATATATAGTATGAGAATAATTAGCAATTTAAAGATTCCAATTATACAGATATATACCAAAGAAAGTGTGAGTTTTTATACTTCTAGGCCATTCTTATTTTTGTTGAGCTGAGGACGATGCTCAGTGTATGGACTGAGTCACAGCAGGAACTGGGAGACTTTTGCTTCCATTTCTCATCTTCCAAAGCACAGTCACCAACCCAGCCAATCAGAGTCAGTTGGCTTTAAATGGAACATGCCAGGGAATCACTTCAGTTATTTGTTGAAAGAAAAAAGAAAAGGTGAGATCTGCCAGATGCAGATTTAGGGAGGGAACTCAAGACAAGGGCTATGACCAGCAGTTTTACCAGTGCCAGTCGCACACTTTAAATCTACTTTCTTGGGCCCACAGAAGGATGCACCATCTGATACCTAGCTATGGGTTTTAACAAATTATACCTGCTAAGTTCAGTTCCTTCTAGTGCACTACCACAATATAAATGCAATGGGCCCTAAAATCATTTACTCTTTAAACATGTATTTTATATTTTGATATGTGAACAAAGTTCAGTTACCTAATGCTGGTAACAGCTCACCTGTGAGTTTACCACGCAAACATGGTGCATTAAAGTAGGGTAGTTTCCCAGAATTAAAAGGCCTCATTGAATCTCTATTTTCTGCCAAATCTAAAATTCTTTGCTTGATTTCAATACCTTCTATTATCTGGCTCCTTGTCCACCCTCATGTCGACTATTTCCTCTAGTTTGATGGTCATTTTCTAACTATCCTAGGAATATGCTAAGATCAGTCCTTTTCCCTCTGTCTCTTTCCCCCAAAATTCTGTCACCTTCCCCCGATCTGCTTGAACCCAACATTTCCTCCTACATATATCTATACTATGGCATATCTTATAGAAAGATTTAAAAATGGGATGCAGCTATGCGTCCTGGTGAGGAAACATGATAAAGGCATACCATGAATAAAAAGAGAATTGTAGTAGAGGTAAAATATGGTATGTATACATTGTAAGGAAAAAAGGCAGAAGAGTAGAAACCATATTTTTAACAGTAGTTATTTCTGAAGCATGTGATCTTGAGGACAAAGTTTACCTTTCCTTGTATTTATGTATTTCTTGAATCTTTAAGTTGTATCTATTACTTTTGTGATCAAAATAAATGCTTGTTAAAAAATAACTCAAAAATTGCATTTTCTTCACAAATATTTCCTTGAGAACTATAATCCTTTTTGACAGACTTCTTCTAAAATCCTATTGAACTTGTACTGTATACCTCTAAGATTCTGTATAAAGTCTTCTATTAGTTATTTTATTTGTGTGTAGGTCTTGGCTCCTTCCTTCAAGTTGCACACAGTCTAACTTGGAACAGATTCATGATAATTCTAAAGTTCTTAGAGATTGATTAAACACATTGCAGAATCTCAGAAAAATACATAATGATTGATTTAATCACAGAGAGAATACCATTGGACTGTAGATGTAAAAATCAACATGTATTTGTTCTGACTTCTTAGCTGGCATTGGAGGGACATTCTTTAAGTGGAGGGACAGTAATGAGGCATCACAGAAGACTAAGAAGTGAGGAGAAGTGAGAGGGAATGGAAAGGATATATAGTCTCTGAGCTCTTGCTTGGCAAATATGAGTTTTCTATTGGGAGTAGGGTTACTGGCACATGGCATTTTTAATTATCACAACATCATTGAGGCAGATGGAGCAGAGAAAGTGTTTTGTGTTAGTAGATATCTTTCTAACCTCCACTGTGGCTGGGAAGGAATGAGAAAGAAAATCTGTCTTGAGGAAAGGCCTCACATCCTCAGGCAATGCCCACTCATAGGCTCATTGACCTTTTAAGTCTGTAGACTTCCTTGCTTCATCTGAAATATATATGCTTATTAACAAATTCCTATCCCTCTCTCCCAGTCCTTTCATCCTGCCTGGCTAATGTGAGATCCAGTCTAGCTAGGGTCTGTAACTTCTGAGTTTATAGTCCATGGGCTACTTCCACCCCAAAATTCACTCATAGTAATTCTTTTTTCTGAAGCCATTGACCTCAGAACCTGAGTGAAAACCAGCATTATAGTATACCAGAAACAAGCAAAGGTTTGTATAGACTTGTAATTTTGTACACAATTTGTAGGAGAATAGATATTGAGTAAGGATATGAGAGAATCTGAGGTCACGGTTAAAAAGTCAGCTCAAGGACAGGCTATGTTGGAAGCCTCGACTCCCTCTAAAGTTTTACGCATTGAAAGAGAGGAGGTGGTTATTTTAACACCTAGGTCAGGTAGACTTCCTCCTGACATAATTGCTATTAATCAGAAACAATCATCACTTGTCCTGTGCTCTTAGAAGTCTTATTCCCCCAGGAAGTTGGACAATACATTTTTTCTCAAAGACTCATAGTGAAAACTTCCTTTTCATAAAATCCCGGAGACTCCATTAACATAGGTGGTCCTGTCTCAAAAGTCAAAGATCCTCTTCGTTTTTTTGCTTGTTCCTTTTATATTGCTCCTTATACACTGGATTTTTTGTGGTAAAACTTGATCTTCCAAGCTCCTGCAAGTTCTGAGTCCTCCCACTTGGATATCTCTCATTTAGGCCCATTGAACCATCATTGAATTGTGTGAGTGGGTTAAGGGTCCTCAGCTCAGCAAAATATGTTGGGCAAGGGTCTGACATACCTTTTCCCCCCATTATTTCTTTGAGAGAATATCAGACCACTCTCTTCCCTCTTCCCACAGTAATGGTTCTGTTTGGCATAGAGACCTTTAAACACTCGGATGTGGGAGGGAAATAGAGAATAAATAACTTGAGAATTATCCTGTATAGGCAAGGATCAGAAAAAAAAATATTTGTAGCTGGGTAGGAGTTTGGGGGTTTCTTGATTGCACTCATGCTTTAAAAGGCTGAACTGTCAGTATGGATGAGCAGGACTGAGAAAATCAAAAGTATTGCAAAAGGCATGAATGAGCAAGTAACAGAATACCTAAGGAGGCTTCAGAATTCCCTTTTAGTTTCCTATTAGCCATTTTCATATGTTTCAAGCCACTCTCGATCAACCTTGTATGTCTGTTTGGCCAGTGTATCAGGTGAGTTAGTATTTGTAAGTCTGCTGTCAGTTGCAAAGTCTCTTGTCAAAGGAATGCAGGGATGGAGGCTGCTATTTGATGAATGGTTTCACTCATCTTCAGCCTGGTTTATTGGTTCATGATTTGATCTGCAGACCCACAATTAGTTTAAGAAAAGATTAATCATTGCTATGTAGAAACCTAGTTTCAGACTGATAATACCCTTCTCTTATAGTTTTGAAACTGTAGGGAACTTCAAAAAATGACATGGAATATTTCTTCAGTGTTTGCCTCTTGAGCTGGGTGTCTTGAGATATTTTATATAATTGATCATATTTTCAAGCAAAAAAATAAATTCAACTTTTTCTGTTTGAGCTTCTTTTCAAGTGAATCACAACTGACAGTATTGTCAGTTATCTCACTTTTCACTGTGGATTTTACTTTTTTAGATCTTGCCACTTTTTAGAAAGTATTTGAATTTTTTGACATATACTAGTTTTACTAGCAGATTTTTATCTTTTTTTTTTTTAAATCACCATTCCCTGTCTCATTTGCTCCTTGTTACCTCCTGTGCTTAACATTGTCTTTTTGTTGTTTCTTTCTGCATCTTGGATAATTGAATCTCATTATCTCTAGGACTTGCATTTTCCCTCAATTTTTTTGAGAAAAAAATAATAATTTAGGTAAGGTAAGGCCATCATTTTGGATCAAATACAAAACATTTCTTTGAAAGACAAAACTAACTACCTTTAAAAGCTAGCCTTAAAAACTTCAAATTGGAATGCTGTTGCCGGAAGTCAGGGACACTGAATGGAGGGACTGGCTGGAGCCACAGCAGAGGAACATAAATTGTAAAGATTTCATTTTAATATGGACACATATCAGTTCCCAAAATTAATACTTTTATAATTTCTTATGCCTGTCTTTACTGCAATCTCTGAACATAAATTGTGAAGATTTCATGGACATTTATCAGCTCCCAAATAATACTCTTATAATTTCTTACGCCTCTCTTACTTTAATCTCTTAATCCTCTTATCTTCTTAAGCTGAGGATGTACGTCACCTCATGACCACTATAATTGTGTTAACTATACAAATTGATTATAAAACGTGTGTTTGAACAATGTGAAATCAGTGCACCTTGAAAAAGAACAGAATAACAGCGATTTTCAGGGAACAAGGGAAGACAATCATAGGGTCTGACTGCCTGGGGGTTGGGCAGAATAGAGCCACATTTTTCTTCTTTTAGAGAGCTTATAAATGGACGTGCAAGTAGGCAAGATACCACTAAATTCTTTTCCTGTCAAGAAATATTAATAATTAATACCCTGGTGAAGGAATGCATTCCTGGGGGGAGGTCTATAAATGGCCGCTGGTGAATTTGAGGTCAGACCGGTTCTCTGCTCTCAAACCCTGTTTTCTGTTGTTTAAGATGTTTATCAAGACAATACATGCACAGCTGAACATAGACCCTTATCAGGAGTTTTTGATTTCGCCCTTTGCCTTGTGATCTTTGCTTTGCCCTTTGCCTTGTGATCTTTATTGGCCTCAGAAGCATGTGATCTTTGTTCTCCTTTTTGCCCTTTGAAGCATGTGATCTTTGTGACCTACTCCCTGTTCGTACACCCCCTCCCCTTTTGAAGTCCTTAATAAAAACCTGCTGGTTTTGTGGCTCAGGTAGGCATCACAGTCCTACCGATATGTGATGTCACCCCTGGAGGCCCAGCTGTAAAATTCCTCTCTTTGTACTCTTTCTCTTTCTCAGCCGGCTGACACTTAGGGAAAATAGAAAGAACCTACATTGAAATATTGGGGGCGGGTTCCCCCAGTAGAATTCCTGGTTTAAAGGTGAGGTTATTTTTATTGTACAACTTTGGCCTAGTCTTAGAGTATTTAATAATAAAATTAACATCTGTGGAAACCTGAGATTTAGGGTAGTGTTATCACAAAACTCTGATGTTATTGAATAAAAATGCAAATTAGATTTTTTGAAGTTTTTTTAAAGTTGTTATTTTCCCATTCAATTTTATTAGCTTTCAGCTTCAATCTCTAATTCAGCCTCTAGATTGGGGGTCATAAGGATCTTTAAGGCTACTTACACAGGTTTTCTATGAAAAGGATTGTCAACACTATGGAAGAGAACCCTGAAAGAGAGAACCTCCTGAAAGTCTGGAAGGATTACATCATTGAAAATACCATTGTTGTTATAGAAAAAGCCATGAAAGCCATTAAGCCTGGAACGATAAATTCATACTGGAGAAAACTGTGTCCAAATGTGCATGAATTCACAGGATTTATGACAGAGTTAATCAAGGGAATAATGGAAAAGGTTGTGAATATGGGCAAAAAGATAGGTTGTGAAGTGCATCAAGATGTAGATCTTGAAGCAATTCAAGAGCTAATAGACATCATGCCAGAGGAGTTAACAGAGGATAATGATGAAAATGATTGCTTCCAAATCAGTGCTAGATGATAAGGAAGAAGACATAAAAGAAGCAGTGCTAGAAAACAAATTGACATTAGACAGTTTGGCAAAAGAGTTCTGATTATTCAAGACTGCTTCTGATTTCTTTCATGACATGGTCTTTTCTATGATACAGGCACTGAAACTAAAGCAAATGGTAGAAGAAGGATTGGTACCATATAGAAACATTTTTAGGTAAATGAAAAAGCAAAAAAGTCAGACAGAAATTATCATTTATTTCTGTAAAGTTACACCAAGTGTGCCTGCTTCTCCTGCCTCCTCTTCCACCTCTTACCCTTCTTATGCTTCTGCTACCCCTAAAACAGCAAGGCCAACTCCTCCTTTCCTTCCTTCTCCTCAGCCTACTCAGGGTGAAGAGGATGAGGATGAAGACCTTTATAATAATTCACTTCCACTTAATGAATAGCACATGTATTTTCTCTTTTTTATGATTTTCTTAATAACATTTTCTTTTTTCTAGCTTACTTTACTATAAGAATACAGTGTATACTATAAGAATAACAAGTACATGTAATGTACAAAATACTTGTTCATGCTATTGGTAAGACTTCTGGTGACTAGTAGGGTGTTAGTAGTTAAGTTTTGGGTTAAAAGTTGTATGTGGATTTGACTACATGAGAGGTCGGTGTCCCAATCCCCTACATGTTCAAGGGTCACTGTATTACTTTGTGTGAGTCTCCCACAACATATTTACTCATTCTCCTATTGATGTACAGTCGGATTGACTCTGGTTAAGGGGTTTTGTAAGTAGTATTGTTGTGAACATTCTTGTTCATGTCTTTTGTTGGACATATGCACTTACATATTAGGAGTGGAATTGCTAAGCAATAGGCTATTTTCCAAATATACAATCTCATAAGCTAGGTATGAGAGCTGTATTTGCTTCACAGCCTTTCTATTATAACACTAGGTCTTTTTAGTATTCATAATGTTAGCCATAATGGTATGGATGTGTGTGTAGTTAGTTGTATTTTGTTGTGATTCTTATTTTCATTTCCCTGATGACTAATATATTTTCCAGATAAAATATATATATTGTTCATGTGCATAATCATTTTTTCATGGGTGCTTATTCACGTATTTTAACCATTTTATTGGATTTTTTTGATTTGTAAATTTATTCATATATTCTAAATATAACACTATTAGAATATGTGTATTGAAAACATTATCTACCACTATGCAGTTTGTATTTTCAGTCTTTTTGGTCTTTTTGATGAATAAAGTTCTTATTTTAATGTGTCTAAGTTTATTAATGTATACATTTGTGGTTCGTGCTCTTTGTGTTCTGTTCAAGAGACAGTAACCTAACTCAAATTATGAAGATATTCTTTTATAAGTTTTACATTTGTATCTATATACATATAAATCTAGTTGATTTTTATAATAGTGTGATTAGAGGGCCAAATTTCATTTTGTCCACTTAGATATCCAGTTGACCAAGTATTATATTTCACTGCTCTTTAGTATCAGCTTAAAGGGACCACGTATACTGTTGGCCTATTTCTAACCTCTAATTTGTTACATTGGTTTATTTGTATTTCCTTGGGCCAATGCAACACTGAAAAACATTTACATTTCAAGCTATACTTGCTATACTTGCAGTTTCTTTTCCTTTCTATTTTTTGAGAGGAAGTCTTGCTCTGTTGCCCAGGTCATAGTGCAGTGGTGCAATCTTGGCTCACTGCAACCCCCACCTCCAGGTTCAAGGGATTCTCGTGCCTCAGCCTCCCCAGTAGCTGGGATTACAGGCATGCGCCACCACGCTTGGCTAATTTTTGTATTTTTAATAGAGATGGGGTTTCATCATATTGGCCAGGCTGGTCTGGAGCTCCTGATCTCATGATCCACCCGCCTCGGCCTCCCAAAGTGCTGGGATTACAGGCATGAGCCACCGCACACGGCCACTTGTAGTTTCAAAAGAAGCCTTTGGTAATGCAAGGCCCATAATTTTGCTCTTATTCTTCAAGCTTGAATTGGCTATTCTTTTGCATTTTCTTTTTCTTTTCTTTTTTTTTTTTTTTTTTTTTTTTTGAGACGGAGTGTCGTTCTGTCGCCAGGCTGGAGTGCAGTGGCGCCATCTCGGCTCACTGCAACTTCCGACTCCCTGGTTCAAGTGATTCTCCTGCCTCAGCCTTCCACGTAGCTGGGATTACAGGCACGTGCCACCACGCCCATCTAATTTTTGTATTTTTAGTAGAGACGGGGTGTCACCATGTTGTCCAGGATGGTCTCCATCTCCTTACCTCGTGATCCACCTGCCTCGGCCTCCCAAAGTGCTGGGATAACAGGCATGAGCCACGGTGCCCGGCCTGCATTTTCTTATAGATTTTAGAATCGGCATATATATTTTTATAAAAATTACTTGTTGGGGTTTTGATTGGTTTTACCATTGCAAGTAGGACAATTTTTAGAAAGTTGGCATTTTATAATAATAGGCTTTCTTATTCTTCCATTTAATAAAACTTAGTATTTCTCTGAACAGTGAATGTAATTTTCTCTGAAGAGGTCTTGTACATAATTTCATTAGATTTACTGTTAGGTAATTTGGTATTTTTTGATGCTGTTGCAAATGGAGTCTTTTTCTGTTTCATGTTTTAATTGCTTTGATGACATATAAAAACGCAATTACTTTTTATTGGATTAAGCCATGTGAAATTGATGACAGTCAACATTTTTTGACCTACAAAAAAAAAAAAGAGGCAATTTTATTTGGTTCACCTTACACCTTACATTGGCCTTTTATCTAATGGCATCACTGATTCTAATAGTTTGTAGTTTACTTTTGATTAATAAGGTTTTTATTTTTACATATATAATCATGTCTTCTGTGAAAAATGGAACTTACTTTTCTTCTTTTTGAAAATGTGTGCATCTTTCTTTTTCTTGTTTTATGTACTGACTATGACTTTCTTTTTATTGTCTGTTTTTGAGATGGGAGTCTCACTATGTTGTCCAAACTCCTGGGCTCAAGTGCTTCAGCCTCCTGAGTAGCTGGGATTACAAGGAATGTGCTGTCATGCCTTGCTTGACTTTCTAAACATTACTATATAATGGACTTCTTCATGTTGTTCCTGATTTTAGTTGGGAAGCATTCAGTATTTTACCATGAGGTTGATATTACTCTTATATTTTTGGTAAATATACACAATCAGCTTGAGACATTCCCTTTTTTCCTCCTAGTTTGCAGAGGAGAATTTATTCAATGCTTTACCTACATCTACTAATAAGGATATATGATTTTCTCGCATTATGTTGTTAACATAGTGACTTAAATTAATTACATTTTTTCATGTTAAAAAATGATTTTATGGAATAAATGCAGAAATAAATTTGTAGTGATATATTATCCTTTTTATATATCACTACATTTTATTTACCATTATTTTGTTTATAAATTTCACATCTATGTTTATAAGAGACTGGACTATTTGTAGTTTTCTTTGCTTATCTTGTCCTCATCAGGTTTTAATATCAATAATATAATGACCTTATAAAACCAGTTGGGGTATGTGTCCCATTTATATATTCACTAGAAGCAGAATTCTTAAATGTTTTGAATTCACTAGTGATATTTCTTTGTGGATTTAAAAATTAAATTACCAGTTTTAATTTCTGTAATGGGTGTTGGACTATTCTTATTTTCTATTGAATATCTGATTTCGTAAATTGTGTTTTTATAATATTTTCCCATTTCAGCAAAACTTTAACATTTGTGACAAAGTTTCTTACAATATTAACTATAGATTTTTTCACATATGTAGTTTTATAGTGGTTTCTTTTTTAATCCTGATTTTTGTTAGTTTTGGCATTCTTTGTTATGTTTTTTTCTTGATCAGCTTTGCTAGAGGTGAATCAATTTTCTTAGTGTTTTCTAACAACGAATTTTTGGCTTTGTGAATTTTTCTCTGTTGTATGTTTGTTTTACATTTCATTATTTTCTGCTTTTAAAATTTATTTTACTTCATTTTGGGTTCATTTTAGTTACTGTTTTTTCCTGGCTCCTTGAAATGGATATTTTGCTCATAGATTTTAAGCTTTTCTCTTTCTAGTAAATACATCTAAGGCTATATATTTCTCTCTAAGCACTGTTTTAGATGGATTCAACATGTTTGATATATTGTACATTCATTATCCTTGACTTTGAAATATTTTCCATTTTGATTTCTGCATTATTAAATTATGAGTTATTTTAAATTAAATGCTTATGTTGAGAATATCCTTATTTTTATTTAATTTATTTTAATTGAAAAATAAAAGTTATACATATTTATGGTATACAAAATATAATTATTTGTATATGTATATATTGTAGAATAATTAAATCAAGCTAATTAACATATATATAACCTAATGCTTTTTTGTGGTGAGGACATTTAAAATAGAATCTCTTAGTAATTTGTATGTATACAATTTATTATTATTAACTATAGTCATCATACTGTACAATAGATCTGCAGAAAGTATTCTTTCTGTCTGACTGTAGCTTTGTACCTTTTGACCAACATCTTCCCATCCATCTCTCTACCTCTCCCAGCCACTGGTAACCACCATTTTAATTTTACTCTTTGCTTCTAAAAGTTTGACATTTTTAAATTCCACATGAACACTAATCATCAGAAAAATGCGAATTAAAATCACAATAATACATCACCTCACACCTATTAGAACTGCTATTATCAAAAAGTCAAAGGAAAAACTGTTGGCAAGAATGTGGAGCAAAGGAAATCCTTGTACACTGCTAGTGGGAATGTAAATTAGTACAGCTATCATAGAAAACAGTATGGAGGTTCCTCAAAAACTGAAAAAAAATGGAACTACCATATATTCCAGCAACCTCACTTGTGAATATATATTCAAAGAAAAAGAAAAAGTATGTTGAAGAGATATCTGCACTCTCATGTTCATTGTAGCATTATTCACAGTGGTCAACATATGGACTCAACTAAGTGTCCATCAGAGAATGAGTACATTTGGAAAATGTGTTATACCATTCAGCCATAAAAAGTACATAAATTCTCTCATTTGTGACAACATAGATGAACCTGGAGGACATGCTAAGTGAAATCATCTGGGCACAGAAAAAAAATTACTGCATGACATCCTTCTTAAAAAAAAGGTTTCATACTTAAATTCTTCCAGGTCAGATAATATAGTCTACATAATTTCATTCCTTTGAAATTTGTTAGAAATTATATTTTATAGTCTGCCATGTGGCCAATTTTGGTAAAATTTCTATGAGTATTGAAGAGAGGGTTTATTCTGTTTTTTATTGACATGATAATCAATACATGTAAATTAGGTCAAGCTTGTTAATCTTTATGCACAGAACATCTACGTTTTTCCTTTATTTATTACTTCTTTTTACCAATTACTGTGGGAGAAATACTAAAATATTTTGCAATTGTATATTTGTCTACTTCTCCCTTTAGTTATGTCTCATTTTGCTTGATATGTTTTGCAGTTGTATTATTTGCTGCATACAAATTTAGAATAATTATATTTTGCAGATAATCATTAAATCACATGACAACTCTCAGTCTTTATCCCTAGTGATGCTTCTTACTTTAAAATATAGTCTCTTTGATATGCATATAGCCACACTAGTTTTCTTTCAGTTAGTGCTTATTCATTATATTCTTTTACATTTATTTTTTACTTTTAAACTTTCTCTTATATTTAAGGTATGTCTATGTAAGCCAAATATTATTGAGGCACATTTATGTATTCAGTTTGACAATCTTTTTCTTGTAATTGATGTACTTATTCCATTTAACTTTAATAAAATTATTTATACATTTGGTTTACTATCCGTTATCTTAGTTTTGACTTCTATTTCAACAATTTATATTATGTACCTGTATTAGTCCATTTTCATACTGCTATGAAGAAATACTCAAGACTGGGTAATTTATAAAGAAAATGAGTTAATGAACTCACAGTTCCACATGGCCTCACAATCACGGCAGAAGGCAAAGGAGGAGCAAAGGCACATCGTACATGGCGGCAGGCAAGAGAGCACATGCAGGGGAACTGCCCTTTATAAAACCATCAGATCTCATGAGACTTGAGACTTATTCACTATCACAAGAACAGCCTGGGAAAAACCCACCTCCGTGATTCAATCACCTCCCACTGGGTCCCTCCCACAGCACATGGGGATTATAGGAGCTACAATTCAAGATGAGATTTGGGTGAGGGCACAGCCAAACCATATCATTCCACCCCAGTCCCTCCCAAATCTCATGTCTTCACAATTCAAAACACAATCATGCCCTTCCAACAGTCCCCCAAAGTCTTAACTCATTCCACCATTAACTCAAAAGTCTAAGTCCAAAGTCTCATCTGAGATAAGGCAAGTTCCTTCTGCCTATGAGCCTGTAAAATCAAAAGCAAGTTACTTCCTTCCTAGATACAATGGAGGTACAGGAATTAGGTAAATACATCCATTCCAAGTGGGAGAAATAGGCCAAAACCAAGGGGCTACAGGCCCCCATGCAAGCCTGAAATCCAATAGGGCAGTCATTAAACCTTAAAGTTAGAAAATGATCTCTTTTGACTCCATGTCTCACATCCAGGTCACGCTGATGCAAGAGGTGGGCTCCCATGTCCTTCGGCAACTCCCAGCCTCTCTGGGAGAGCCACTCCTGTGGCTTTTCAGGATACAACTCCACTTCTTGCTGCTTTCACAGGCTGGCATTGAGTGTCTGCAGCTTTTCCAGGTGCACAGTGCAAGCTATTGGTGGATCTACCACTCTGGGGTCTGGAGGGTAGTGGCCCTCTTCTTACAGCTCCAGTAGGCAGTGCTCCAGTGGGGACTCTGTGTGAGGGCTCCAACCCCACATTTCCCTTCTGCACTGCCATAGCAGAAGTTTGCCATGGGGGCTCTGCTCCTGTAGCACACCTCTGCCTGGACATCCAGGCATTTACATACATCCTGTGAAATCTAGGCAGAGGTTCTCCAACCTTAATTCTTGACTTCTGTGCACCCACAGGCTCAACACCATGTGGAAGCTGCCAAGACTTGGGGCTTGCACCTTCTGAAGCCATGGGCCAGAGAGGCGGGGATGCAGGGCACCAAGTCCCAAGGCTGCACACAGCAGCCCCTTCCCCACCCCTGGACTCAGCCAGGAAACCATTTTTCCCTCTTAGGACTCTGGGCTTGTGATGGAAGGGGCTGCTGCGAAAGTCTCTGACATGTCCTGGAGACATTTTCCCCATCGTCTTGGGGATTATCATTTGGCTCCTCGTTACTTATGCAAATTTCTGCAGCTGGCTTGAATTTCTCCCCAAACAATGGGTTTTTCTATTGTATTGCATTGTCAGGCTACAAATTTTTCAAACTTTTATTCTTTGCTTCTTTTGAAACTTTGCCCCTTAGAAATTTCTTCCACCATACACCCTAAATCAAATCATCTCTCTCAAGTTCAAAGTTCCACAGATCTCTAGGGCAGGGGCAAAATTCCACCAGTCTCTTTGCATAGAAAGAGTGATCTTCACTCCAGTTCCCAAAAAGTTCCTCATCTCCATCTGAGACCACCTCAGCCTGGACATTATTGTCCATATCACTATCAGCATTTTGGTCAAAGCCATTCAACAAGTTTCTAGGAAGTTCCAAAGTTTCCCACATTTTTCTATCTTCTTCTGAGCCCCGCAAACCATTCCAACCTTTGCCTGTTACTGAATTATAAAGTTGCTTCCACATTTTTGGGTATCTTTACAGCAGCACCCCACTCTACTGGTGCCAATAGTAGATTGATATTGGTATTGGTATTAGTCCATTTTCATATTGCTATGAAAAAATACCTAGGACTGAGTAATTTATTTAAAAAAGAGGGTTAATGGACTCACAGTTCCACATGGCTAGGGAGGCCTCACAATCGTGGAAGGTGAAGGAGGAGCAAAGGCATGAAGGAGGAGCAGGCAAGAGAGCATGTGCAAGGGAACTCCTCTTTATGAAACCATCAAATCTCATGAGATTTATTTACTCTCATGAGAACAGCATGAAAAAAGCCCACCCCGATGATTCGATTACCTCCCACTGGGTCCCTCCCACAACATGTGGGGATTATGGGAGCTACAATTGAAGATAAGATTTGGGTGGGGCACTGCCAAACCATATCAATACCCTTTTCTAAATTTTCTTACCTACTTTTAGAAAAATCATGTGTTTTTAAAAAGTATTTCAATATTCCCTTCTGTTAGCTGGTAAGTTTCTTTTTTGTTATCATTTTTGTTATTACTCTGGAGATTACAACATTAATCTTTGACTTATCAGAGGCTAATAAAAAATCAGCACTTTTATTACTTTTCAGATAATGCTGAATCCGTATAATATTTTAATTTAATTTACTTCCTCCTTCCTTTTGTGTTATCACTGTCATGAATTTTATTTCTATGCATATTTTAACCCTTGAAAATATTATTTGTTTTGATTTTCTCTGAATTTCTACTTTTCTTTATTATCTTTCTTCTGCCTGAAGAAATTTATCGAGTATTTCTTCAACGTGGGTCTACTGATAATAGATTCTGTCCTTTTGTATTTTTATGAACCTTCCATTTTAAGAGACATGTTTCCTGAATCCAGAATTCTACTTTTGCTGATATATTTTCTCAGTATGTTAAAAAAATGCCATTCCATAGTTTTCTGGCTTTCATTATTTCTGTAATAATCGTTAATACTGTTGCTACTTTGAAATTAATCTGTCTTTTCTTGTCTTGCTTTTGAGATTTTCTCTTTGCTTTTGGTGTATAGCAGTTTTACTATAATATACCCTTACTCTAGTATGGTCTTTGTGTTTTCCTACTTAAGATTTGTGGCACTTCTTGAGTAAGTGGCTTGATAAACTTTTTCAGTTTTGAAATATTCTTAGCTGTTGTTTCTTCAAACTTGGCTTTTGTCCACTTCTTTCTCTTCCTTCCTTCACTGCATTTCATGTGTCTTCTTCACTCTTTTATGTATTTTCCACCAATTTTTTTCTCTGCTTCAGTTTGTATAATTTTTATGATCTTTAACTTCATTAATCTTCTATAATCTGTGCTGAATTTGGTTACACTCCTCTTGAGTTCTTTTTCTGTTTGTTTGTTAGTTTGTTTGTTTTTTGAGACGGAATCTCACTCCATCGCCCAGGCTGGAGTGCAGTGGCCCTATCTCGGCTCACTGCAAACTCCGCCTCGTGGGTTTAAGCAATTCTCCTGCCTCAGCCTCCCGAGTAGCTGGGATTACAGGTGTGTACCATCATGCCCAGCTAATTTTTGTATTTTTAGTAGAGACGAAGTTTCACCACATTGTCCAAGCTGGTCTTGAACTCCTGACCTCAAATGATCGACCTGCCTCAGCCTCTCAAAGTGCTGGGATGATAGGCATGAGTCACCATACCTAGTTCTTCTTGAGTTCTTAATTCCAGTTATTGAAGTTTCTACATCTAAAATTTGCAACTACTTCAGCCTCTAATTTTCTGTGAAATTCTTCATCTTATGATATATGTTTTTGACTATTAGTCATAGTTATTTTAAAGTCTATGTCTGACAACTTGAAAATTTGGATCACCTGGATCTGTTTCTGTTGATCAAGAGATCATTTTTCCCTTGATCTTATTTGTTGGAATATCAGCTAATTTTTGGTTGAATCTTTCACACTACATATAATTGAATAAAGAAGCCCTGGGTGGTGGTATGTACATCAAGAAAGGGTTCACCCCATCTCTTGACAGGCATGAAGGGTAGAGCAGATCACCTCATTCTAATTACAGCCTGAGAAGACCTTGATCAGGCCTGCAGTTGAAGTTATAGTTTATATCCAGCTTGTTCTTTCCTTCGGGTCATTTTCACTCTTGGTATATAGTCCTCCAAGTGTCCGGACTGTGAGCCTGAGGAATTTCCTGGGCCCTTCTTTGTTGGCAGCACTGAACTCCACTTTTTACTTCTATGCACCATTAGGCTTTGTCTTATGTATCATGAGACTACTAAGATTTTACTCTGTTTTTCAGCTATTTCTTATTGGCCTTTTAGCCTCTTGGCCTGCACAGCTTAGGTATTTAGCAAATGCACTATGGGAGACGCTATTGCTTGTTGGTCTTACTTCTTTGAACCTTTATTCTTTAGGGATCTTGGCTTCTTAAGTTCTGCCTGAATCAGCACCCTAAACTGCAATTTTTGTCCCTTCAACTTTAAAAGACTTCTGAAGTCTCTGATGATTTCATAGTAGCCACTCTCTTCTTGGATTCTCAGTCTCTTCTCTTAACAAAGAAAATACATATGTCATAAGAAGAGAAACTGAACTCAGAACATTGGGTTTATCTTATTGAATTTCTTCTCTCCTGAATTCTGACTTATCAAATTTTCATTTTCTCAGCAGCAATCCAATTCCTTCAAACAATTTACTTTTATATTTGAGCTGAATTTTCATATTGTTCTTAAAAGGAGTGTTGGTCTGCTACATCCAGCATAATCAAAAATGAAAATCAGATCAGGTGCAGTGGCTCATGCCTGAAATCCCAGCAATTTGGGAGGCTTAGGTGGGCAGATCACTTGAGGTCAGGAGTTCAAGACCAGCCTGGCTAACATGGCGAGTCCTCATCTCCAGTAAAAATACAAAAATTAGCCAGGCATGGTGGTAGGCGCCTGTAATCCCAGGTACGTGGGAGGCTGAGGCATGAGAATCACTTGAACCCGGGAGGTGGAGGTTGCAGTGAGCCAGGATCTCACCACTGCACTCCAGCCTGGGTGAAGAAGCGAGATGTCATCTCAAAAAGAGAGAAAAGGAAAAAAAGAAAAGAAAAGAGAAAAGGAAAGGAAATAAAAGAAATCAGTGCTCACTTTTTTCCTTTAGAATCTATCTAGTTTAATTGATTTTAATTGATATATAATTTACATGCAATTAAATATATAATCTTAAGTGTACAGATCCACAGATTGACAGATCAACTTTTTACTCTGTAACAGAGCACTGTTATTTTATTTTACTGGTGAAATGCCTCAGTTTAGCTCCTGCAAACTCAGTTTTTTACAGAAGCATATTTTTTGCTTCATCACTTTTATATAACTGTAAAATATTGTTTTACCTAGAAGCACATGAACCGATTGGTCCTTGTTTTAAGGAGTTTACAACCTGGATGGAGGATTAAGGTTTATAGACATAAGTAAATCTTTTGGAACTCATTTTATCTTACTGATTACATTACCCAGGTATTAACTTTCTTTCTTGGACAGCCAGGATAGTGTAATGAAAAAAGCAAAGGCTGAGAAGATTAAACTGACATGGGATTTTGTCTTGTGCCTAACATTTTAAACTGTTCCTAGGGCAAGACAAGTAATGTCAGTTACCCTCAGTTTTTCTACTATACAATTTGAATAATACCTAGACTGCAAGTTCATTGTGAAATTGAGATAATGTGTGTAAGGGCCTATTGCAGTGTCTGCCGCATGCTAAGTGATGCATTAATATTAGCCGTTACTCATTTTATTCTCTACTTGGCATTTTTCTCATCAGCTAATATCTGTTGCTTTGCTTCTTCTTCCAACCACCCTGCCTCTCTCTTTTTTCTTTTCCATGATTAAGTTTTCACAGGTGGTTTTCATTCCCTCACTATCTCACCCATGCCCACATGCATGGAAGACAGTAGCATATTATTGACTACTAATATTAGCCATCATTCTCCTCCTATCAATTTCTGTGAGTTGCTTGGACACAATTTGTGTTGCACATATATAAAAGTGGACTGTGGAGGAGTGTGTTGAGGGCAGATAGGCGCCCTTTGATTGGAGAAATTGTCTCCAGTCATCAAGAACAGTGTCTTTTTTACAGAGTGTTAATTCTCCATTTTCCTCCATCCCGAGCCTCTGAGGTTTTAAACTAGGGCATCTAGCATCTTGTCTTTTTCTTTCTAGTGGAGGCTCTGGTCAAACTTTCTCTGTCTGAGTTCATTCCTGGAGGGTTTGGGGGTTGTTGTAAGACATGCGTTTTTAATTTGGTAAAATTAAGTCTCTTCGGTTAAATCTACTGTGAAATTAAAACCCTGACTCAAACCTGACATTCAATAGATTCCCTTGGGAAGTGTCCTGATTTTATGTGAACTCAAATGGCCACAGTAAGCCTAAGGTCCATTTCAAATTTTTCAGGTTCAGCTGCCTGATGGGAGATGGAAGATTGTTGCAGAGACACAAATACCTTTCCAGGTGTGGACAGAGCAGGCTGAGGGAGATACTCAGAGTAATGTGGGGATAGTCTCTCTTTGTACCTTATTTTAGGGTCCTTTTTTATATAGCTATTGTGTTAGTGACTGGTTACTGAGCTATGTGTGCAATGATTCTTTTACCACTATACCTTTTTCTGCTTAATGGTATTACAGTATTAATGATAGTATTAATAGAAGTGGCATTGAGTCCTTTTAATTTTTCATTTTGGATGCAAGATCATCCATCTAGTGTGAACCACTAGTTAATTACATTTGGTCTGATGTTCTTGGCTGTCTCTAGGTACAGAAGTTTAGTATGCTTAAGGAGATGCTTAATTGGTATTACTTGATTAAGACTGCATTTTCCAGGTAATTTGTTTAAATAAACAGAAGGTTATTTGATTTCCTGCCTTTATAAAATTAAGGCTAAATTTTAAATTCTTGAAAACTTTAAGACAATGTGTGTTGTGTGTGTGTTTTAAGGCACAGTTCTCTTAATTTCTTAATCAGTAGATTTATTGCAATGTGAAATAAAGAGTATATCTCGGTGGTATCAAGACCTGTACCAATATTTTGTTTTTAAGGGTCCTTATTCCTTACCCCTCTTGAGGGTGGAGTTGGAAGCCTTGCATTTATCCTCTCAGGATTTTCCTTGGGACAAAATTACCATAAAAATATGCGTTTAGACTATTGACTTCTTTTAGAAACATTTAATTTTAGAATACTTTTAGGTTCAAAAAAATTATACAGAGAATTCTCATTTTCCTTGTATTTGGTTTCGTCTAGTATTAATATCTTACATTAGCATAGTACGTTTGTCACAATTAATGAATGCTATTAATATATTATTATTAAATGCAGTCCATACTTTATTAAGAATTCTTTAGTTTTCCCTTAATGTCTTTTTTTTTAAATTCCAGATTCCATCAAGGATAACATGTTACATTTAGTTGTCATTTTCCTTAGGTTCCTCTTGGCTGTGACAATTTCAGACCATTGACTTTGAGAGTTATGAATGTCTTCTTCCACTTGTGAGATGATACCCAACATTTTCTCTGGCTCTTTCTCTTTACTTGGTCCTTAGATTTCAGCTTTCAGTTTACCACGCACACACTCTCTCTCTCTGTCCATTCTCCTCTCTTCTCCATTTTCCCTTCTCTCTGTATCAAGTTCTGGCCATATAGAATGAAGATTGCCCTTTATTCTTTCACTGAGGTTTTGTTTGTTCTTCTTACCTGCTCATTTGAGAACTTATCTCCTGTGGTTTTTAGATTTTTTTCTTTTGAGCTCTGACTTGCGTTAGTGTTTTCCTGCATGAACGTTTTCTAAGCTAAAGCTTAAGAAACCTCTACTGATATATGTATTTTTCATTGTAGACAGCTTCTTCATGTGTTCTCCTGATTTAATCATTAGTTTGGATCCGGAACAGACACATATTTGCTTTGTGAATTTAAATGATTAAACTCTCTAAATGGACATTTTCTTATAACAACTACCTCTTGGGATCCCTGCGAGGAGTAAAAAGATTTTGCTTCGAACCGTAATGGCACGGTGCTTGTATGGGGTTCCTTTTGTCCTCCATTCCTCCCTTCTGCTCTATAAGGTTGACTAATGGAACTAACAAATAAAAAGATGTTTGGACTTAACACATGCTTCTGACTATTTTGATTTTCACTGATGATGGAGTTTTTGTTAGAAGTGGACTAATTTAATTACTTTATGGAAAACAAAGGACATGAAAATACCAATACTATGGTTTTAAAAGTATAAAATGCCAAATGAGAATAGCCTATCGTTTACTCAGAGATCCTTCTAAAATTACTGCCTTAAAATGGTTTAGTGGGTTAGTCTGGAACAAAAACTCAGACTCAGAAGAAATCAGACTACAAAAAATTAGATTTTAATTAAAGTAGAAAAAATGATTATATGTTATTGCAACGATAGAGCAAGAGATAGAGAGATTTAACCTGTTTTAATGTATTGTGATCCTTCCATACAGTAGTGCAAGGTCTGTTTTAAAAGAATTATAGCAAATGGAACCAAAAACATGATTTTGGTTCTATCAAATCTCTCTGAATCATAGCTCCACTTCCAACTGAAGCAGATTTGGACTTTAGGAAATTAATAATTCATCTCACCATCACTTTCATTTTTCATCCTCTGCCTTCATCCAGTTGTGTTAACTCTGCTAAAACCACACAAGGTTGCCTAATCTCCTATCCTATCTCTTCTCCCCACTGAGAATAGTGAAGAAACTTAAAAAAATTTTTAAACTTTGACACTATTTGGCCTCTAATTGATTAAGCATTAGAGCCCAACCGCTCTTTGAGGAGCAGTGTCTATTGCTATCCTTCAGTCACTTCACTTAATACATTTTTCCCTGTGCAAGTGGCTGACACTCATGCTTTGATTTGATACAGCTTATGGATGATCACTCTTTCAATGAGAGCCGCTTAGTGAAATATGCACACTTACCAAAATTAAAAATGCATGCCTTACAATTACCTAGACGAGATGGGGATATACTGCTACATAGTTAAAATCTATGGAGGGGAAAAGAAAGGGGGATGAATTTGTTATTTTGCCCTCTTGGGGATTTCTTCCACATTTTGCCATCAATGTGCCTTCAATGAAATTCTGTCCAATACCTATAATACAAGTCACAGTATGATTTCATCTCTTGAAGTCCTTGCTGTCCTTTTCCTTTCTTGGGAGAGACATTAACTTTTTAAACATATCCAAAAAACTTTTTGCTTTTCAAATATCCCAGCATCCCTCTAAGAGGGTGAGATGCTTCCCTTTTGCTGTTCATTTGGAATCTAAGTGAGGCCCCAGTAATTCCCATTTCCTTGGAAATTGAGCTGAATCCTGTCTTTAATCAGAAACAGAGATAAAAAGAAATTTTTAAAAAATAATTTTTAGATTTATATTCATGGCATTTAGAAGTTTATTTTGACATTTATTTCCTTTTAGTTTGTCTAAACATGACTGACTCTGCTAATAGTTTTAATTATAATTTCCACTAATTGAAAACTTACTATAGGTTGTATGTGCACCATCTAATTTAACTCTCACAAAAATCTTATAAAGTAGATACTATTATTATCTTGATATTAATGAAAAACCTGAGGATCAAATAGGTTAAATATGCTTTGCAGGCTCCCGCAACAGTGAGCTTGAAAATTTGAATTGAGATTTCTCTGAGTCATAGCTTCCTTTCTTCTACTTTTCTGTTTCTATCATCTCTGTCTCTATCTCTATCTCTATCAAGATTAGACTTTAGAGTTCCTGGGCATTATCCACCCAGAGAAAAAAGACATTCCCTGATTTAATCCAATGGAGGGGAATGAATTCAAATGCCATCTTTATCAGTGCCTTATTGGCTCAAAGAGGAAGTGAGAAAAAACAAAAAAGCCAATATTTAAAAGCATAGCAAACATTAGTAACTTTAGGAAGCAAAAGAATTAGACAGGATTAATTAAAAGGAGCTGGTTGAGGTTCTGAGCAAACAGCACGGACCTGCTGATGTGGCATTTAACACTTGTATTATATGACAGGTGGCTCAAGTTCAGGAGACACAGGGTGTAGTCCACTAAGAAAAAAAGAAAAAGTTTAGAAACAAAACTTAATCACAGTTTTAAATGATTGTGCTGTTTGAACTTGTTAGATTTATTTTGTTACATATTCCATTAGATTTGCTTGGTTTATCACATGGACACAGGAAGGGGGGTGGGGGAGGGGGGAGGGATAGCATTAGGAGATACACCTAATGTTAAATGACCAGTTAATGGGTGCAGCACACCAACATGGCACATGTATACATATGTAACAAACCTGCACGTTGTGCACATGTAGCCTAAAACTTAAAGTATATATATATAAAAAAAGATTTGCTTTGTTATATTTTTTGAAAGTAAATCTACGTCATCTTTGGAATTTTTTTTATCCTTAGGAATTAATTGTAAGTGTGTAGGGTAGAACATTGCTTGTTTGTTTGGTTTATTTTGTCTGCTGGGCTTTCGACTCTTAGGCGATTCTAACTTCTGTGCTAGCATAGTAAGTGCTAAGTCTGGACTGGTTCAAATGTCATCTTTCCATTCTCCCGCTGAAGGAAATCATGGTCTCTGGCACTGCTGACAAAGATTTATCAGGCCCCTGTGTTTTTTTTGGAGCTGGAGTCTCTCTCTGTCACCCAGGCTGGAGTGCAGTGGCCCAATCTCGGCTCACTGCAACCTCAGCCTTGAGGGTTCAAGCGATTCTCCTGCCTCAGCCTCCCGAGTAGCTGGGGCTACAGGCATGCGCCACCACGCCTGGCTAATTTTTGTATTTTTAGTAGAAATGGGGTTTGACCATATTGGCCAGGCTGGTCTCGAACTCCTGACCTCGTGATCTGCCTGCCTCACCCTTCCAAAGTGCTGGGATTACAGGCATGAGCCACGGTGCCCAACCTATCAGGTCTCTGTTTTTGTATCTCTTTAGGTGAGAAATTATAGGCAGTCTAGACTCAAACATATCTGGGCTCCAAACTCAGTTCCCCTGCATGTACAATTTATGATTGGGAAATTCAACTCCCCATATGCAACATGTGGATTAAAATAATAAGAATAAAAAATAATAGGCCGGGCGCGGTGGCTCACGTCTGTAATCCCAGCACTTTGGGAGGCCAAGGCAGGTGGATCACGAGGTCAACAGATTGAGACCATCCATGCCAACATGGTGAAATGCTGTCTCTACTAAAAATATGAAAATTAGCTGGGCATGGTGGCGCGTGCCTGTAGTCCGAGCTACTCAGGGGGCTGAGGCAGGAGGATTGCTTGAACCCTGGAGGCAGAGGTTGCAGTGAGCCAAGATCACACCACTGCACTCCAACCTGGCGACAGAGCAAGACTCCATCTCAAAATAATAATAATAATAATAATAATAATAATAATAATAATAATAAAAGTATCTACTGCATAGGGATGTGTGTGCTTATGTGTGTGAAATTGGATAATGTACGTAAGGCAACTTTCAATAACCTGAATATTGCCCTATTCAGGGTATGTGAGCTCTGCTGCCTTTTAGGTGTTATCATGTCATTTTTATGCTGAGCTATAATCTTTATCTTTTATCCACTGGTAAACATTTCATCTGAGTTTATTTTAAAATGAGATTCCTACAAATTAAGAAAAAAAACTTTTCTTACTATATTGTGCTTCCCTGTGGATGTGCTTCTGCCCATGGTTTTGGCTTATAAACATCCTGATGTTGTCATACTCTGTCGATTGGCTTTACCTACCCTGGATGTTTGAGCAGTAGATTTGATAAGTGAACATCCTATATCTGCTTTGTTCAACTGTTTTGCCAGTGATAAAATTTTGCAGCAATCCACTTGCAATTTCCTCCTAGAGGACACAGGGTTATACACACTTAATTCCTAGCCCTGAGCTCCCATTTCTCTAACTGATCAACTGGATTCTATTAAACAAAAATTGGATCATCTCCTATATATTGCTACTGTGCTAATATTATGGAAGTTATATGAACAGGGAAGATAGGAGACCTATCCTTTTAAGCTACAATATGGTAGAGATATAAAATAAGAAACCAATTCAGCATAAAGTATAAAATGAAAAGTTCCACAAAAGGGCAAAAAATGTGTTACAAAGGTTTCAGAGGAAAAGGAAGATATCTAGCATGTAAGAATAAGGAAAGAAATTCATAAGGTATATGTAATGCTAAACTTCCAAGATAACATTTTTCAAATAACTGCATGATGAAAGTGAAAAAAATTAAATGCATTATCATTAGAAAAGGTGTGGAAAAATACTTACCTTCATATGCTCTTGTCGTTAAGAGTACATTATTACTTTTGGGACATAATCTGTCTGTAGTTTATTAGATTTTAAATGTGCATGTTATTTGAACCAGAATTCACTTCTGGGAATTGATTAAAAAAAAAACTCAATAAGTTATAAAAATTTAAATACAAAGATGTTTATTTCAGCATTGTTTCTAATTGTTAAAAAAGGGGGTGAACTGAATGCTGATCTAGGGGAATGGTAGAATAAGCTAAGGATCATCTATATTACAGTATGTGAGATAATTGTTAATATGTGTGAAGTGGATCTCTATAAATTGCAGTGAAAGCATATGCATGTAAATTATATAAGAAAACCTAGTTGCAGAATATGTATTTATATATTATGTATCATGTGTATCACATGATCTGTTTAAAAGCCAAACTATTTACCAAATATTTATCTTTGTGTAACTATTTTTTATATAAGATAAAAAGCAATTATAGAAAGAAGTATACTAAATTATTCCCTTAGGTTGAAAGAACTAGAGAATGAAAAGAAAATCTGTTATAAAAAGAATATAATATCTTAGTGATTCAAATAATTGGCAATGAAATATGTAGATATGTATGTATTATGCATATTTTATTATGCATATTATATTATGCATATTATATACATATCTACATATTTCATTGCCAATTATTTGATTGCTATATATATATATATATATATATGTCATTTAGTGAAGAGGAAAAAGAATGAGTAGGTTGTTAGTAATCGAAGATGGTTTGGGCATCAGGAATGAGGAGCTGGCTATTGGTATGATTCCTGGGTAGAGACTCAGAGACCAGCAGTGGTGCAGAGGTGCAGGCCTGAGTAATGCATGGGTGGGACAAAGTCTGTGAAGGTAAAAGGGACAGATTGCAGGTAGCATGAACAGCTTGTATTTCCTTTGTTAGCTGAGTATTTCCTTTGGGTAGAAAGTGAAACTATTTGAACAGGGGAACTCTAGCTGTGCTTTTAGGGGCTTTTTCCAGCCCTATGTTTAGGGTGGATTGTACAGGGCAGAGCCTTTTAAAGTGGGAGAGGTATCAAGAAGCTATTTGCAGTGGTCTAGGCAAGAGATGAAGACCTGTACTAGAGGGCTGGCAGTGGTTTGGGAAGAGAAAAATGAGAGGGATATGTTGGAGGAAGATTGCACAGAGTTGTCAACTTACTGATGTGGATGGTTAGGGAGAAGGAGTAGGAGGAGTAGTCAATGGTGATTGAGAGAATCATGATATCCTTGGCAGAGAGAGGGGTCTGAAGGTGGTTTGGAGATTAAAGGTGATGTGCATGATTTATAGCAGAGTGAGGGACTAGTTGGCAACCAAAAATTTCTACTCAGATTGAGTCTGGAGTTATGATTTTATGAAATGTTGCTGATGGCAGTTTGGAAGGAATGAATGTAATTTACCAAAAAGAGATGGCAGAGAGAGAAAAGAAAAGGGACAGAAGATAAGACATTGATGGTTACACTTTGAGTCAGAAGAATTAAGGGAGCCACTGAGAAGGTGTACACAGAGCTGCTGGAGGGCAACCAGAACAGCTTGACAGATGGAGTCCAAGCTGGCGAGGCTGGAGTGAGGCCTTTGGAATTGATTTCTATGAAGAAATTATGTGAGGCTGTATCACATTTTGCTAAAATCAGTGTACTTTTATTCTATTTTACTGAAGTAGCTTTTTTTTAGTGGATTGAGGCAACCACCATTGGTGGATGCTAAAACCATTAAGCAAAAGGTGTAAGAGAAACTTTATAAGGAATGGGGCGCTTAAGCCCCCAGATCAATTCCAGCATCACTAAAAGTGCTGCCTCTGACATGTTGTTTCTTCTGATGGGATGTAGCAAGAAGTATATGGGTAACCTATGAAGTATTCTAGCCGAAAGAAAAAAAAATAGTTTGAACCAGAATCAATCGAGTCTTCAGATCTACCATATTTTACAGGAAACCCAGCAGGTAGAGGAATAAGTTAAAATAATAACACAGGAAGTAATCAGTCAAATGCAGAATCTGAGATACTTTACAGGCTAAATGACCCAGTTCTACCAACATATAATTGGCAGAAAGAAAAGAGGAAAGGTTATTATGGAGTAAAAAATACTAAAATAATAAGAACTTGTTACCCATTACCTCCTACCCACCCTCTGCAAAAAGCCATGAGTGAGAGTATAAGTTGACTCAGAGCATAATTGACCATACCTGTTCCCCACGCCTCCCCCTTCAGATCCATCACTCAGCCACTAAACTGTGGTGTTTTTGTTGCTTAAATGTCTCTCAATCAGTCCATTCTGCTCCAATAACATTGCATCCCTCATGGTCTGAGCTGCCATTCTCTCTTGCCTGGACTGTTATCGTATTATAATTGGTTTTCTTCTGTCTGCCTTGTTTCCCTCTCTGGTTCCCATATTGTAGCCTGAATAAGCTTTAGAAATGCAAATCTGGTCATGTGATATTCCTGCTTAAATCGCCTCGTTGGAGAAAGACCCAGATCTATCCCATGACCTGTTAGGTCTCGCTGACCCAGGCCCTGCCTGACTCCCACTGCCCTGCATTTCCTGCCAAAGCTGGCACTTATGGTTCTTGGATTGGCTGTAGACTTCTCCCCTTCAGAGCCTTTTAACGTGTGGTTCCCAGTCTGGGGGACAATTTTCTAAACACACATACACACACACACACACACACTGGCTAACTCTGCTTCAGGAAAATTCTCCCTTGAGGGCCTATCATCTAGGTCATGGTCTCCTTTTTTCTCAGCCTCTTGTGTTTTTTCTTCACAGCATTTATCAAAATTTATAATTACATAGTTTTATTATAGGCCAACTTCTGTTGATTGGCTTCAGGCTGAGAAAAAGGAGGTCATGACTTAGAGGAGAAGGATATAAGCTCCCTGAGAGCAAATGATGTGTGTGAGTTTTGTTGAGCACTGTTAACTCCAGTGTCTAGCACAACATCTGCCACGTTATGGTCTATAAGACATAGTTATTAAATGAATGGCTGATCATTATGGAATCTTATGGACACTATGTGTATTAGTCATAGTTCTCTAGAGGGACAGAACTAATAGTATAGATGTATATATAAAGGGGAGTTTATTAAGGAGTATTGACTCATAGGATTACAATGTGAGGTCCCAAATTAGGCCATCTATAAGCTAAAGAGCTAGGAAGCCAGTTCAAATCCCAAAACCTCAAAAGTAGGGAAGCCAACAGTGTAGCCTTCAGTCTGTGGTTGAAGGTCCAAGAGTCCCAAAGCTGAAGAACTTGGAGTCCGATTTTTGAAGGCAGGAAGCATCCAGCACGGGAGAAAGATGGAGGCCAGAAGACTCAGCCAGTCTAGCCATTCCTTGTTCTTCTGCCTGCTTTTTATTCTGGCCGTGCTGGCAGCTGATTAGATTGTGCCCACCCAGATTGAGGGTAGGTCTGCCTTTCCCAGTTAACTGACTCAAATGTCAATCTCCTTTGGCAACACCCTCCCAGAGCCACGAAGGAACAATACTTTGCATCCTTCAATCCAATCAAGTTGGCACTCAATATTAACCATCACACTATGGCACTGTCAGTGCAGATTCACACAACTGTCTTCTATTCACATTGGCTTCATGTTCCTTCTCCCAGTATCCCCACCCCTTTTTGTTAGTTTAATGTGTGCTCAGAAAGAGCTCTCAAAATGTCAGTTCTTGGGGTACCTTTTATGTGGCATTGAGATTTTTAATGCATATAGTCAGATTTTATTTCCAATCTTTCTTCAGGAGTTATTCAATTCTCTTTGTGCATCCTTGAGTGAAGATGTCCTAATTCTTCTTTTTCATGTTTTTAAATCTGCTTTCCTAAAGTCTTCAGCTTATACCTGACTCTGCCTGGTATTTTCTTCCTGTCTGTCACAGATTCCAGAATAATATAGTCAGTTTGGCTCAGGTGTCCTGGGGTTTCCACATGTCCAAGTAGTTCTTTCTTTGTAGTCAGGAATAAGGCTAGAATAGCTCCTTTATTAGTGCTTTCTCTGCTTATGTGTTAAAGTGTCTGCAAGGAAGGGAAAGTATGAAAAATTGGACTTTCTTTCAGGATACACAGACCTAGATGTGATTTGTGGGAATTTACTCAACTTCTCTAATCTTCAGGGGTGTTTTTTAACTATAAAATGAGACCATATTTATAATGTGCAATTGTTTTGAATAATTAACAAAATAACATGTGGAATATCACATTAGAAACTCAATAATTTGTTGTTGATTTAAAAGCTATTGTTAGCCTTTCCCATTTGATGATATTCAAGAACAACTGATTAATTCTAAATAATTTAAATAAGGTAAGACTTTTTCAAAAGATGAATGCTTGTATTTTGCCCATAAGGCACAGGTGAAATTCTTGATGATGCCACTTTAATTCCAAACCAGTATTGGCATAGGAAACAGTAAGAGCCATGCTTAAAATGGATTCATTAGTTGTATTTCTAAAGCCTTTTGGCTTTGTCTAGATACTTACAAATAACCCTTCAACAATGCAGGGGTTGGGGCACTCACTGCCTGTGAAGTTGAAAATCCACAGATAACTATTTTTCTTTTACTTTTTCTTTTTTTGAGATGGAGTCTCACTCTGTAGCCCTGGCTGGAGTGCAGTGGCACCATCTCGGCTCACTGCAACCTCTGCCTTCTGGGTTCAAGTGATTCTTGTGTCTCAGCCTTCCAAGTAGCTGGGATTACAGGCACCTGCCACCACGCCCAGCTAATTTTTGTATTTTTAGTAGAGACAGGGTTTCACCATGTTGGCCAGGCTGGTCTCAAACTCCAGACCTCAAGTAATCCACCCACCTTGGCCTCCCAAAGTGCTGGGATTACAGACGTGAGCCACTGTCCTGGCTAAAAATCCACAGATAACTCTTGACTCCCCCAAAACTTAATTACTAATACCCTACTGCTGACTAGAAGCCTTCCTGATAATATAAACAGTCAATTAATACATATTTGTGTATGTGTTAAATACTGAATTCTTACAATAAAGTAAGCTAGAGAAAAGAAAATGTTATTAAGAAAATCATAAGGAAGAGAAATATATTTACTATTCATTAAGTGGAGGTTGATTATTATGAAGTCATCTTCACTCTGAGTACTGCCTGAGGAGGAGGAAGAGGAGGAGTTGGTCTTGCTGTCTGAGGAATGGCAGAAGAGGAAGAAAATCTGCATATGAATGGATCCATGCAGTTCAAACCTGTGTTGTTAAAGGGCCAACTCTCATTTTAAAAACTTTGAGAAATGAAACCAGGAGCTGGAATATAATTTTCCTTGTTTGCCCCAAAGCAAACACCACCATATTGAAATTTTGGGAAGGGTCCTTCAAGCTGTAGGAAGTGTAAAAAGCTACTTCTGTCCCTGAATGTTCCACAGAAACTGAACCCTGAGGATATTATTTTCCCCTAGGGTTACAATAAAGATGCAACCCCCTTCCTTTCTTACTCTTATGTATATCCATATCTGTCGGAGTCTGGAGAAACTGCCTGACAATTCAACAGCTTTTCTGTGCAGAATAATACTTGAGCCCTTGACTTTTCTGATAAAGAAAAAAGTGAAATTTGATTGTTTAGCATACTTCATGAAATGTGTCCCGAAGACATATCATTATTGAATTTGTGTAAATAATAAACACATTTATAGAACTAACTAATGCCAAACAGAGGAAGAATAAAGAGAGAGAAGAGATAGAGTAGGATACTTGCATTGAAAATGAGGGCTAAAATAAAGAGAATGTGAAAAGACAAGTCAAGTGAAAGAACTATTTGGGAGTGTTCCAATAGGGATGGTTTTTTGACATGTGGTGGGAAGGTTTTCAGAGGAGAACTGGCAGATGATGCATACTGAAGAAGCAAAATCACTAGAAGAAATAGGCACACTCAGGGTTTAGGGAGTAGAGCAAATATATGAGGTGTATTAAAATTAGGAAGTGCCATGTGAAGCTTCTGCCTGCGATGAGTGGATTATCAAATGCAATCTGTTATCCCACCCAGAGACAGCCTATAAAGTTCCTTAGCCAGGGAATATATACTTTTAATCAGTCACACAAAACAATTTTCCTCGTGTATCTAGTAATAAAAAGCTTTGTCATTGTGATGGATGAGAAGAGTACAGTGTATGTAACACTTTAGAATATTGGGAAACTTTTACATGCCATTTACTAACGACTCATTTTCTTATAGGTTCCCCATAGAAATGGACATAGTTCTGCTAAATTTCTAGATGAGAAGGACGCTATATTTTCCCAAGAGAGAATTTTAATATGGGCTAGATGTAGCTTAGTCATGGCATTGTGTCTTAACTTTGTGGAGGTATATCTAGGAAGTTTGTGTGTGTGTGTGTGTGTGTGTGTGTGTGTGTGTGTGTGTGCGCAAATTCCAAAGGTCTTCAAGTCTCCAACACTTAGGTTTGATATTGAGGGTGAGCCCTGTAGTCTCCTTCTCCCTGCTTCCTAATGTGGAAAGGAACAGTATAGGAGGAATCTGAGAACAGAACTTCCACAGAAAATATCAACTAAAATCAGTACTGTCTTACTGTCTTATATTTTCCAGTCTTCTACCTACCCCTCTCCTTCTATTCCGATACAAATATTAAAGGTAAAACCATATTAATGGAATGTTTGCCTGATCGGAACAAGTTTTCTACTTCATTGGCTAATCTTTGAGAAACTTTTCTTTCACTGGGAAATTTTGTATGCCCAGCTGCTTTATGGTTTTTAGGTGAAATAATCCTTGACAGACAAATATCAACTATTTTGAGAGAAACTTGAAAATTAGACTCTTTTTCTGGACCAATGCCAACCTTAGTTGAGACTATAGTCCGCCGAAGCTGAATTTTAATAAAATGCATTGTGTTTAGGTGCTGTTATAGAGTGAGAATTTGCCTCCTCCCAAAATTTATATGTTGAAAACTAATCCCTGATGTGATGGTATTTGAAGGCGGAGCCATTTAGAGGTGATTAGGTCATAAAGGTGAAGCCCTTATGGATGGGAATAGCTCCCTTATAAAATAAGTCCCAGGGAGCTCCTTCGCCTCTTCTGCCATGTGAGGACCCAGCAAGAAGGCGGCCATTTGTGAATCAGAGACCAGGCCCTCACCAGATGCTAAATCCGCTGGCCCCTTTGTGTTGGACTTTCAAACCTCCAGAACTGTGAGAAATAGATTTCTTTTGTTATAAGCCCCCAAGTCTATGGTATTCTGTTATAACAGCCTGAATGGACTGAGACAGGTGCCAAACTATACTGGCAGCTATTTGGATTCATTGATGTGACAGGGAAGACTATTTTCCAGTCTTCCTTGAAAATCCACAGATAACCTACAGTTTGGTTTTTATTTATGGAGTGAAATATGCTTCTTTCTCTACTATTTAATTTTTTTAAAGTAATTTCCAATCATCAGTTCAAAATTCCTAATAAGAGCCTTCCTTAGTGGAGCAGAACAGCAATGAGGTTGAGTCTGGGAGTCAAGCACACCAGGATTTGAGACTACTTCCTTTCCATACCACAGCTAGCTATGTGGACTTGTACAAATTATTTCACTTCTTTGAGCCCAGGTTTTCCCATGTGTAAAATGGGGATGATGATAAGGATGTCTACTTGTTAGGATTGTTATAAGAATTAAATTAGATACAAAGACACTAACCATAGTACCTGGTGTGTAGTGATCACCATATATATTAGCTGTGTATTACTATTATTATTATCATTGTTGCTATCGTTGTTGTTATTGCTTGGCTATCAAATGCCTATTCAGTATCTTTAGTGCTGCATTTTTTTTCAGTATTTTTGCATCTTGCAAAAATGCGCTATTATAACATTTTTGTTTGTAGAGGGGGCCATTCTGTCAATGGAAGTAAAATAAATCATTTGGCTCTGATCATGAACTTTTCTCCTTCTAAATTAAAATAAGACAAACGAGTATGACAGGTTGAGGAATTGACCTCATTTAGATTTTATCATTCCTGGTAAGAATGATTCAGTGTGCTTTATTGCTCATCAGACCACCCAAGGAGACCACCATGACTAGTCGCAATGACAGGTGCCTATCACAGTTGAAACATTGTACTGAAGGCACTGTCAAAGAAGCACACAGTGAAGTCACTGAAGGTGTGGGCTTTGGTGTCAGAGAGACTCAGTCCTGATTTGCCCCTCACAGGTGGTGTGGTCTTGGGCAAGTTGCCAAACTTCTTTGACTTCAGTTTTAATATCTTAAGAGTGGGGATGATAACAGAAGATACTGCACAAGACTTTTTTGAGGAGTTAGAGAGATAGTTTGTATGAAGCACTTAGTAGAATGATGGACATATGGTAAGTGCTCAGTGCATGGTACCAATCAAATCAATAGCAATAACAACAGCAGCAACAATGATGGTGGATCAGAGGAAAGAGAGGTGATGTTAGAGGAGCTGAAATTTGGATTAGACATTCAGGTAGGATTGGAATGATGTAGAAGGAAAGAAAGGGTGCCACAGACATGATGGAGACTGAAGCTAGAATTCGTAAAGTAGAAGAAAGGCAGTAGTAGAAGTTTCCAGTAGAAGGTAATATTCTTATATTTATGATAACTTTATATGCTAGGCTTAGGGGTAAACTTTAATGTTTAAGTTCAGTTTAAACTTTAACCATAAAGATCATCATTCCTGAACCCCATCTCTTGGTTTTCTGAATCCATACATTTGAGGTAGGCTATACGGATCTGCATTTTTTTTTTTCTTGAGACAGAGTTTCACTTCTGTCACCCAGGCTGGAGTGCAGTGGAACGATCTCAGTTCACTGCAACCTCTGCCTCTCAGGTTCAAATGATTCTCCCACCTCAGCCTCCCGAGCAGTTGGCACTACTGGCTATGGCTAATTTTTGTAATTTTTGTGAAGACAGTGTTTCACCATGTTGCCTGGGCTGGTCTTGAACTCCTGAGCCCAAGTGATCCACCCTCCTCGGCCTCTCAAAGTGCTAAGATTACAGGTGTGAGTCACCATAACTGGCCTGGGATCTGCTTTTTTAAAAGGCCCTGGAATGTTCTATTGAAGATGGGTGCAGATAGTTTATAGTTCACAATTTAAGGAACACTGCATTAAGAAATGGTAGATTGTTGTGCCAAAGGAGGGGAGAAATTGGCTTCATAATTATGAGCTCTGCCTCACAGATCCTCTTAAATCTGTATCCTTGGTCTGAAGGACATTTTAAGGAATAGGTATGGTACCAAATTACAAGAAATCCAAATGAGGACTATCCTATACAAACACATTTGCAGCTGTAAGTGCTAACAAATAGGGTTTACCTGAGGGAGAAATTTGAATGTCAGGATTAAAATCTCTGCTTAAATGTTGTTGCCAAGGTACAGTCACAATTAATATATGGTTTTTAATACCTCAAATAATTTGAAGTCTAGTGAGTTGATTACATATGATTATGAGTAAGGAGCACTATGCTAGACCTCGGATTAGAATTTTTGGGTTTGAATTCTGGTTCAACAACCCGTGAGCTCTAAGCTGAAGCAGCTGATCTAACCATCATCAGCCTCAGCTTCCTCATGTGTCAGAGGAAAGCAAGAATTCATGCTGTGTGCAAGGGTCTCACAGAGGAATTGTGAAGAATAGTACTAAAGTATGATTATAAAGCTCTGCATGCATTTAAAACAATGAAATTCCTTTAGTGCCATGAAAAAGGAACAAAATATAGTGAGGGCTCAAAGTGAAGAGGAAACCAAACCTGGAACTGGGGACAGGAAATAACAACATCTTTATGGAGACAGCAGCATCTGAGTGGGTCTTAGAGAGTGGATCCCATGTGATAGGAGTTGATGGGATGGTATGAAGGGGAGCATTCAAGGTGGTGGGGGGAACAATATGAGCAAACAGTTGAAACCCCAAATATGTAGGGACCTTGGAGGTTATTGGGGTGGGTTTTTAGCTCTAATGGAATATCAGGTAAAAGTTTGGGGGAAATAGGAAAGGTCCTAAGATTCTGATTTCAATGAATAATGAATGAGGTACATACTGCTGTTACCACTCACACTCTACGTGCATTTCCTCCCCCTCACCGTGTTTGTTGGCATATGAGATTCCTTCTTTCAACCACATACACCATTAAAGATAAGACCATTAATTTATTTGAGCATAGCTTTTTCCTTGATAGTGTGAAAAATAAGTACACTACAGCAGTGGGTGCTGTCATATGTAGGGTGACCACTTGTCCTAGTTTGCTAGGGTCTGAGGGGTTTCTTGGGACATGGGACTTTCAGTGTTAAAACTGAGACAGTCAGTTGCAGGCAAACTTGCATCGTTGGTCAGCTTAATACCCACACACAACACATGTCCAAAAACCCTTTATTGAGTACAGTAGGATAATTGCTATTGAAAATTTGGTTCTGATTATACAGTGTAGCATTTGATTTTGGAAGATTTTGTGTATCAGGTCAAGGAGATTCTATTTAATTCTGTAGGAACCATGGTGCATGATGCCTCTAAATGTTTTTAAACTTGGGAGTGATGTCATTACAGCTATGTGCTAAAATATTGATTTGGCAGCAATGTGTATGGTCAAATTGTAGTAAGAGAGAGAAAATCCCCTTAGATTTTGTGTAAGTCTCCTGGAAAATCCCAGATGACATAATTACTGAGGCAGGCAGAGTGATCTTTTTGGAGAGGCCAAGAAAATTGCTTTAATATGCTATTGTCCAATTGTCAAATTTGGGTATTTTGTATAAGAAGAGTTACAATACTGAAGAAGTAAGATGATTAATTTGGATAGGGCATTTTGGAGAAGAAAATAGAGGAAGAAATATATTTTATGCTACTAATGGAAATCAATCTTGCCTCTTATTGATGTCTCTGCTGCAAAACGGTTGTTATTTTGCAAAAATCCGGATAACAAGTTAAAATGATTTTCTACTCTTCAGGTTGATTTTTCCCCAGAAGTAGACCATAAGACGAGGTTGTGAATGCAAGTACTTTATTTGGCAGGTGATTCCAGCAGGGGAAGTGAGCAAAAGAAAAGAGTGAAGCCCAGACAGATAACATCAAACAGGTTACTGCTGTGGGTATATAGAGCTCAATGCTTCTGGGAACACTGAACATCAATACAGCACATGCCTTGGAGTTATCCTATGTGAATGGCAAGGAAGCTAATGTGTTTAACCTCAATTCCCCTTGGTTATTGGCTGATAAATGTTCCCCAAAGTATTAACTCCATTCAGTGCCCAAGATGCCTCACAAATTTGGTGCACATTGTCATGAAATTCAACTGCAACCACTAGCATCTCTTTAGCTGAGGTGTTCCTCTGCTCAAGTGGTTTGCAGGAAGTTTCAGGAAATTAAAGCCTTCGCTCCTCCCAGAAGCAGCCCAGCTCCTTGACCCCTATGTGAGATAGCTCCAGGGCATGCGTGCTACTTCATTTCCCAGCACTCTCCTGGAGAATTAAGTTCAAGTTCCCTGAAGTGGCAACTTGCTTGAATAACACGTCTTCATAGACTCCATTCCTGTTCTCTTGTCTCTCACTCCCTGTCTTTTACCTTTGCTTGGTAGGGTCACTTCCAACATTAACCATCTGTAGCAGAATCCTTGCTCAGAACCTACTCCTAGGGACCCCAAGCTAAGACAGATAAAGCGTTACTTTTCATTTTTTAATCTAAATAAAAAGTTAGTTTTTGAAACTGGTTATAAGATAATATTTCATCCATGTTTTTAGGGGCAGTTGTTAAGCACAGAACCAAAAATCATTTGCTGGGGATTGTTTTGGGTAGAGTCTGCCTGGGGGAAGCTGGGATGTGCTGATGGTTTCACACCGCATTGCTAAGCCTGGCCTCTACTATTTCATTGTAATGACGGCCACCTCCCAAGTGGGGGCAGTGAACGAAAGAAACATATACATTCAAATATAAAAATGATTTCATAGTTTATAACAGGCAGTTAATAGTAAGGCATCCCAATTTATTCTTGTTTTATACAAAAAATAATTCAGATCTTAAAATCTGAAGATGAAAAATTTGTGCTTTAAAGAGAATTATGAAGCTCTGGAGGTTGTATAACTACCTCATCACTCACCCGCTTAATGACTATAGTTACGATTTCCAAAAGAAAATATATATCCAATTATTTCACTGACTGTTAAAGAACATAGTAGACTACAAAAGAGCTTGTTTGGGGTGGGAAAATGTCAATGTACAATGGAAAAGAACAAATTATAGTTACCAGGTCCTCACTCTATGTTTTAATATTAATATGTTGCTATGTTTTTGGGACACATTGTTTCAGAAAATTTGTCTCAGGTTTCCATATTTTATGAGATGATTTCATTAGCTATGGAATGTCTATTTTTGTTACTGCTACGGGGAGCTCAAGAACTTCAAATCATAATTGAAATATTCCATTGATGTGGTTGCTTAGCAACAAACTTTTATATAAGTAGACTAATCATTTTACTTACAGTTTTGTTACTTTAAACTTTTTGACTTATTTTCAGCAGATCACCTCACTGTGAAATGTGTTTTTTCCTTCACAGCTTTAAATGCATATTTGTATCTGAGATGAATGTTTCATAGACCATAGCCAAAATTTGACTTCCTTTGAATGATCTCTATGAACAAGGTTGACTTGGGATCGTTGGAATTAAGGAAAATTTTGTGACTAGCAGGACTGTTTTTTTTTTAAATTCCAAAAACAACCTAAATAATGCTAGGGTTGTTAAGAGCAGCAATTAACTTCGTTGTCTTCGTTGTCAATTCAAAATGACAGGCCATGGATCCCACATGTGCTTTCTTGCCACCTCCTCCTCATTGTCTGAGCCTATCCACTCCCAATCACTCTCTGTCAGGAAAAAATAACTCTCAAATACTCACCATACTAACAATTATTTTCTTGGCAAGTTTCTAACAGTGTAATCGCAGAGTTTTTATACCTTATTTTTTTTAATCAGTGTGTAATTATTTTCATGTAGGTTTACAAGGAGCTGTGGGGGGTGGTTAGTGGACAGTGTATGAGCTCTGGAGTCATATGGGCTTGCTATAATGTTTACTCATTGGGTAACCTTAACTAAGTTAGTTAATGCCTCTGAGTCTTAGCTTCATCATTTACACAGGGCCATAGAAATACATCTTATAGGCAGGGCACAGTGGCTCACGCCTGTAATCCCAGCACTTTGGGAAGCCGAGACGGGCGGATCACTTGAAGTCAGGAGTTTGAGACAGGCCAAGATGACAGAACCCCATCTCTACTAAAAATACAAAAATTAGTCGGGTGTGGTGGCACATGCCTGTGATTCCAGCTACTCGGGAGGCTGAGGCAGGAGAATCACTTGAACCCGGGAGGCGGAGGTTGTAGTGAGCCGAGATGGTGCCACTGCACTCTGGTCTGGGTGATAGAGTGAGACTCTGTCTCAAAAACAAAAACAAAAAACAAACAAAAAACACAAAAAAGACAAAATACATCTTATAGAGCTATTGTGAGAATTAAGGATGATATACAAGGAATGCCATTTCTAGATGTAGGTGCTCAAGAAAGGGTAGGAGTGAAAACATGGCTAAAGTGTTGCTGAGATTATCTAGTTCAAGCTCCTGATAGACTGTTGTCCTGTGGACCAAACATGACCTATGGATAAATCCATTGTTGTTATACTTGCATTTACTGGTCAGTGTATCTTTCCCTACAAATACTTCCTAAACTATTACTCACTGTTGGTCACCACAATGTGTTTGGTAGGATACAATTTTGTGTAAGATAACATTCCCTGCTCTAGTGTGGGTGCCTAGTTTTGGAGTAGACAGAGATATTAAAGAATAAATTTAGCCACAAAAATAGTGTTACATATAATTTTTCAATAAAGGGGAGATGAGGAATATTCCTAGAAATAAATATTTACTCTCTTTGATATAGGAGACAGCATAAATTTTTATTCATTTAATTTATAGCTGCTTGGATGTATATGGTTGTATCACATAGGAAGTTTGTATTTGCACCAAATTCTTAAAGATTCTACTCACTTCACTCAATCCACATCATTCCTTTGTCTCCTAAACTGTTCTATTCAGTTCCATGGAAGTAAAATAACTCAGATATTGTTTAATCACATTGAAGGCTCTCTGTAAACATGCCTATTGTCCACTGCTGTGGTGGAAAAAGCTTTGTAGCAAAGAATCTTGGTTTGATACACCTTCTATTACTATTTATGAGGGCTCTGACAAGCCACTAACAATCCAATTGGGCCTGATTTTTTTCTTTGATCAAAGGGGTATAATAATACTCTCAATGTTGAAGGGAAAAGTAAAGGAGATAATGTGACAAAAATGCTGAGCACCATGCTAGGTAAAGAGCAGATGATTACTTATGTCCTCTGTCATATATTCATCACATTACAGACTTATATTGAGAAGTTAGTATATGCTAGGTGTCATTTTGGTTGTAGAAATAAGGAAAGCATATATTCTGTCCTTGACAAACCTATACATTAATAATGGAAGAACAGCATGTAAAAAAACAAATAATAGTAACAATACACACTATTTTTTAAAGCAGAATCTTATGGAGAAAGCAAGAAGAGGACCACATACTTCATGGCAGAGTCTGGAAAGGGCTCAAGAAAGAGAACATTGGGACTGCATATTAGAGGAGAAGCAGGAGCTTGCCATCTAAATAAAGGGATAAATGGGAAGGATTTGAATGATTGAAATTCAGAAGAGAAATACTAGGATTTCATACTCCATATTTCAATTTTTGAATGAAAACCTGTGCATTATTTTTTAACAGATTGTCCTTGTGAAAGGACAAATGAGATATTTAGTATCCACTTATTAGCCCTGAAATCACACACTTTTAGGCATGGAACTCTATTCCAAGCATTGCTGGGAATGAGGTATTTGATAATATTATGTCAAGAGCATCACATTTATTACCTCCAGGAAATTACAGTGTCAGAGCTGTAGACTTAATGCAGCTAATGTCTACAGAAAGTAAAAAATAATCATCAAATCCATGAATTAGGCACTTTTTATATTTCAATAATAATTTGTTTCAAGTCAGATACTCTGCTGTGTTTAAAGGCATTAATGGCCATAGCAAATTAAACTAGATTTAATTTTCTCTAACAGATATGAATTTCAGACATCTTTATCTTGTGGAGAAACTCAGACTCCATCCTTACTCTTAAGTGCTGATGCAGACTTAAAAATCTTATTTAGTAGAAAGTTATTATCTACAGTTTTCTATGATTCTACCCCTGACTCATGAATTGCTAAGGCACTGTTTTCTAATATTTACAACTGACTGCTGATTTTGGTGCTTCTCCTGTATGTGGGAGTAGCTGATCAGGGGAAACTATGGTAGTTTGACTATTGCTTTTGTGTTTAAGATGTTAATTTATCTTCTTGGTTAATGTTATCCCAATTCCTGTGCCTGAACTAACACATTTATTATTTATAGCACCCTTATATTTACATCAAATTACTACCCACATGATGGTTTTTCATTAGGAAGCTTTAGCTTAAGATATAAATTTATCTTTTTCTAGTAGAGTTATTATATAATGCAAATGTTTAAGAAGGGTTTAAGTCTCATGAATGGATGACCTTAGTGTCAGAGATGTTGCTATTATGATCTGGTTTGCTGCAGAACTGAGACTGGGAGGCAGTAACATATTTCACGTTGTTTGGGGACTTACCCAGCTCTGGTGACAATGAGCTATGCGGGGAAGCCCCTTGATTTTCCATTTGCCAATGCTCCTAAGACAATATTTCAGAAAGAGCCTTGTTGAAAATTATCAACATATGTCATGTCTTGCAATTTTATGGTGCATAACTTCCCACAATGAATATCCCAGTAGATCACTTTGGTTCTATGCTCTGATATGTGTAGTACTTCCAGAAATCTACTGGTGTAAGACCATTTTGCCAATTGATCCTTTGGTGTTATTTTTTAGTTGATTCTGTTCCTGTTACCTGGAGAACCTAAATTTCTGTCTGAAATCATCCTTAGTGTTTGCAAAGAAAACCCCTCTTTGGAGTTCTATCACTGTCTGCTCTTCTTTTTTTAATTGACAAACAAAATTGTATAAATTTATTGTGTAGAACATGATGTTTTTATATATGTATATGTTGTGGAATGGTTAAATCAAGCTAACTAGAATATGCATTACCTCATCTACTTATGGTTTTTTTTTTTTGTGGTAAGAACACTTAAAATCTACTCTGTTAGCAATTTTTAAGTATATAATACTTTGTTATTAACTACAGTCATCATGATATGTAAAAGATCTCTTGAATTTATTCCTCCTATCTAACTGACATTTTGTATCCTTTGACCAATATCTCCCCAGTCTCCCAGACTCTGGTAACTACCATTCTAAACTCTGCTTCTAGGAGATTGACTTTACTCTTCTGCACATACTCACAATTCCAAAAAGGTAGGGGAAATGATGTCCATTTCTCTTTAGCTGTTCCTTTTTCTCAATCTTAGATTATGGTCACCACCACTGTCCCTATCTGCACCCCCATCCCAAGTGAAGTTACTGTTTTCTGTAGCTCTTCCTGGGGGTTCTATCCTGATATAAGACCAAAAACAAGATAAACAAAGGTGATAACTGATGTCAGGATGGTAAATTATAGGTAATCTTTCCTAAGTTCCTTAACATTGTTATTACTTCTATAAAAAGAAACAGAAACAAAAACATAAAACACACACACACACACACACACACACACACACACACACACAACTCGACACGTCTTGAATTTTCTGCAATACAGTAGGGTGATTAAAGGCAGAGGATTTGAAGTCTGGTTCAAGGTGGAGTCCTAAATATGCTTACTTACTAGTCCTGTGATCTTGGGAATCTCTATGGTCCTCAGTTTTATCATTTTTCCAGAGCAGATGGAAGAATCAAATAAGATTAACACAGTGACTGGTTAAAACCTAGGTATTGGTTAATGGTAGATATTAACCTAATAATATTTCTCTGGTTGACTTGATATGCTTGGCATATACACAGATTACATTTCAAAAATCCAAAAGGTTTTGAATTCTGAAATACACATGATCTCAAGGATTTCTTAAGAAAGCCTAAAATATGGCATCCATGCTGTTATTTCTTTTATTTTACTCAGAAGTTGCTCATTATTCATAATATGGCCCAGGATGCAAACAAAACAAAACAAAACAAACAAACAAAAAAACAAAAAAACCCTTCTGTGGTTTACCCATGGTCTATTCTTGTATGAGATATTCTTCTCTGGCACAGTTTTCCCTCACAGAGACCCTGAGGGTATTTGAAGTAAGAATGATCCCCCACTACACTTTTGCTGGCATTCATGTCGTAGGATTTTCACACAAATCCCTTAACAGAACAAAATAGAATTGTCATGAGTACAAAAAGTGACTTGTTCATGCTGCCAAAATTCTGATTTTTCAGTGTCCTTTGCTTCACTCGTGGTAATTGAAAAGACAGAGTGTTTCCTGGTTTCCTTTCTGTACTGGCTTTTGCTGGGGAATCTTACGAATCAGGATTCTTGAACATGGGTATCACTTCCATTGCTTTCAGCAGTCACAGACAATTGGTGTAATTTCAGCTGCCTTAAAACATGCCATGAAAACCAAATTTCCTTTCTTTTCTCTAGTTGCTGTTTTTCTCTCCTTCACCGCCTTCTCTGGGTCTTTCTCTTATATGTGTTGTTTCTGGTCTCCTTGGAAATACTTTATTCCACTCATATGAACACTTCCTTCTCCCTGGCTCCTTCTGTGTCACATGCTGTCCACCCTTTTTTTTTAATTTTAATTTTTCTTTCTTTCTTTCTTTTTTTTTTTTTTTAAAGACAGGGTCTTGCTCTGTCACCCAGGCTGGAGTGCACTGGGTGATATGATCACAGCAAACTGAAGCCTCAAACTCCTGGGATCAAGCGATCCTTCTGCCTCAGTGTCCTTAATAGCTAAAACTGCAGGGGCATGCTACTGTGCACAGCTAACTTTTTTAAATTTTTGTAGAGACGGGTTCTCACTATGTTGCCCAGGCTGGTCTTGAACTCCTGGGCTCAAGAAATCCTGTCTTGGCCTCCCAAAGTGCTGGGATTACAGGCCTGAGCCACTGCATCTGGGCTACCTTTGTTGTTAATGCTATCACTAAGTAGTTACCTTGCCATGTTTTTCTTTTCCCCACCTTTATTGAGGTATGATTGACAAATAAAAATTGCATATATTTAAGATGTCCAATGTGATGTTTTGATATACATATACATTGTGAGATGATAACCAGAATCAAGCTAATTAACATATTCATCACTTCACATAGTTACTATTTTGGAGAGTGTTGAGAATACTTCAGGTCCACTCTGTTGGCTAATTTCAAGTAGACAATACATCATTACTAACTATATTTATCATCCTGTACATTAGGTCCCCAGAACTTATGGTATCTTGTAACTGAAAGTTTGTACCTTACCATGTTTTCATATGTGTCATGTGTATGGTTAAAAAGTCATTGTCTCCAGTCATATAACCCTAATGGGAAGATGCATTAGTTATCTATTGCTGCATAACAAATTACTCCAATATTTAGTGACTTAAAATAATAAACCTTGTTGAGTGGTGCTGATTCAGGCTCTCTCATGAGGTTGCAGTCAAGATGTCAAGTGGGTCTGCGGTCGTTCGAAGGCTTGGCTGAGGCTGGAGTGTCTGCTCCAAGCTCACTCATGTGGCTATTGGTCAGAGGCCCCAGTTCCTCCCCTTATGGGCCTGTCTGTGTGAGCTCCTTTGGCTTCCCCACAGCATGGCAACTGGGTTGAAAGGCCAAGCATTCTGAGTGACAGCACCAAACACGAGCCATGTTGTATTTTACAAGCTATCCTTGCAAGCTGCACAACATCATGTCTATCACATTCTTTTGGTTCAAGGGGATAGAAGGCAGTCTGAATTTTAATGAGGAGTGGCAAGGTTCTGGAAGAGAATGTGGAAATATAAAAATATTGCTGTTGCAAAACTTTTAGAAACTATTATCTGCTACACTGAATTTTCTAAATCATAGAGTACTCAGACCAGATAAGATCTCTAGAGATTCATCTAGGCCAGGACTGGAGCTAGAGAGGAGGACAGAGTGGAGTAAAGACCAGTATGTAGCTTTTGATCAGCCTCTATGACATAAAGGTAAACAGTTTGGGCTTTTTTTCCAGTTGCATTTTAGCTACCATCTTTCTTGAATTCATTCCCATTTGATTAGGCTGGATGAAGACATAGTAATTCAAAGTCAAGAATTGTATCTTGCTACTTGGTTTTCTTACTTCCCTGACCTGATTTCTCAGGGAGATAATTAGAAGTTCAATGTTGAGCTCATCATTCTTTATTACTCAGCTGGACTGGCCCAAAATTTACCTTCAAAAGTGATTTTTGCTGGATAAAGTGATGATTGGAAATGAATGATATGAGATCACACCATATTATTTTTTCCAAATTCTGATTTCTAAGTATTTGCAGAATAGAAGTTCATTACAGAAATGATGTTTATAAATAATATATTACATATAATATAACGTATAATTATATTACATATAAATAATGTATAATTATATTACATATAAATCTATCACAAATGTGATACTTAAAAAAAATTATTGAGAGAAATAGCCCCTCTCTAATCTTACTCTTTTCCCCTCAACTTAGAGCTAGATGCAAAGTGTCTTTTAATCAATTCTGTCATGAAATGAAAAGCTCTCTCTTGGGATCATTGGGGTTCTGTGCTTTCAGTGTGCCTGATTAAGCAGAATTCTAGAAGAAGAGGTTTGATTTTTATGTAGAGGACAAGGCAAGTGAAGGACTAGAAAGACTCCATATCCCTGTCCTATTAATCAACCTGTCTCATTAGGCTGTCTATATTGCTAGTAATTAATCCTGTCCTTGATTGACAAAAGCTGCACTATCACTTCTTTATACATTTTTTGCTACCCATCAGATACTTCATTCAAAACTCGCAGTAATTTATTCTGTGCATAAGTAATTCACTTTTGTATAAAGCATCCCATAACAAGTTACCAATAACCACTTGGGTTTTAAGCTATAGCAGGAATGTGTGTAGCAAGTTAATGTATATATTATTATATATATTAATATTATATGTAACATATTATATATATACACATTATTTCTGTAATGAACTATTCTGCAAATACTTAGAAATCAGAATTTGGAAAAAATAATATGATGTGATCTCATATCATTCATTTCCAATCATCACTTTATCCAGCAAAAATCACTTTTGAAGGTAAATTTTGGGCCAGTCCAGCTGAGTAATAAAGAATGATGAGTTCAACATTGAACTTCTAATTATCTCCCTGAGAAATGAGGTCAGGGAAGTAAGAAAACCAAGTAGGAAGATACAATTCTTGACTTTGAATTACCATGTCTTCATTCAGCCTGGTATATATATTATAGTATATATTTATATACAATATAATATAATATAATTAATATAATATAATATAATATAATATAATATAATATAATATAATATAATATAACCAGGAAGAAAAACAAATGGGAGGATGAAAGGGAAGATCCCCTCATACAGGAATATTGAAAACTTAACCATTTAGAAACTTACTTTTTTTTTTTTTGAGACGGAATCTGGCTCTGTCACCAGGCTGGAGTGCAGTGCTGCAATCTTGGCTCACTGCAACCTCTGCCTCCCGGGTTCAAGTGATTCTCTTGCCTCAGTCTCCTGAGTAGCTGGCACTACAGGCACAGGCCACCATGCCTAGTTAATTTTTGTATTTTTTGTAGAGATGGGGTTTCACCATGTTGGCCAGGATGGTCTTGATCTCTTGACCTTGTGATCTGCCTGCCTTGGCCTCCCAAAGTGCTGGGATTACAGACATGAGCCACTGTGCCTGGCCGCTAATTTTTTACTAAAGAATACCTAAAAATGTGGTTAAAAAGTCACTCTCCTGAGAGGTTCATTACTTTGGAACATCACTTTCTGTGGCTTGTGTATAATTGCTATTGTTTGATATTGAACCATTTCTCTGCTGCAGCCTGCTCTGCAAAGGCTGTCTTCATATTCCTGTCTTTCAAGGGCCCTATGGAAATGAAACCGCCCTCAATCTTGTGAAACCGGATCTTCACTCAATTCCTGGATCCACCTTCCTTTTGTCCCTTTCAGGATAGTTTCTTCTTTCCATTTCATAGGGTATGTTCTGTGCTTTAGCCCACATTATCTTTTTCTTTATTCTTTGGAGCAATGCAACATTTATTGAGTATATGCTATGCACCATGACTGACAGAGATGAAAGAAACTGTCTCTGCTCAAGAAACTAACATGGTTGGGATAATAAGCTTTCTCTTGAAGATGCAAGTATCTATGTTTGGGTTATAGAAGAATCAGTTTTTCAAATATTATACATGGTCTTAATCCCATTACTTTCTATATTATCATCATCATGATCATGATCATCATCATCATCACACCCACACCTTACAATTCTATGCTACTTTCAGAATTCTGAAAGAAGACTTTTTCCTATTATCTCATTTGATTCTATGCCAGTCGTTTGTTCTATATTTTCCTTTCTATATTATAGATTAATAAACTAAAACTTATAAAGTACCTCACAAAATTGTAACCTGAAAAGTATATTCTGGAGCTGAGATTAGAATCCATATTCCCTGATGCTTATCTATGTCCTCTTTCCACTAAGCCACACTTTTTCACTTAATGATTATCTAAGATCAATGCATTAAAATGGAGGAAATTGGTACTGGATAAAGGAGGAAATAATTTTGGATCTTGGCACAACATTAGAGATTCCAACAGTTCTGAGTGGAGGGTTCTGTGTTGTTTATGACTGTGTAAGGACAATGGTATCTGGTGGTACAGAATTCAGGTAACAGGGTCAACTTTATCTATTAAAAATGTTTCTTAGGATCAAGCCTGTGACTCAAAGGCAAGAAGGAAAGCTTTCTCATTTCTACCTCTTTTTATTTTTTAACTTAACTGTAATGTTTTCTGCTCCTAGATACTCAATCTTAAGGCCACCACTCTCTGTAGTTCTAATTTTCTTTTATATATAGGTTAAATAAACCCTTGTAGAACAATACAAGAACACAAACGCCATGTGTAATCTTGCTCCTAAGAAAAAATTCATTTTGAGTTTTCAATGATCCATTCTCAAGGGGAATTTTCTCTCTTTCCTTGGTAAACAGATCTTGTTCTTAATTTATGACTCAACTTACACATTCGAGGCAGACTTTTGAAAAAATTTCTTTGTTTGCTGATTGGATTCTTAACTTCTGATATTCTGTCTTTTATTGTGGTTCTCCCCCGTAACAGAAAGTTTTAGGCATACGAAGTAATTATGGTGGGGCTACCAGTGCTCTCCACCAAGTGTTTCAGGTTTTCTCCTTGCCCACATTTCAACACTGCACTTCTATGCTCCTTTGAAGTTTGCTGTGATCACATGATTTATTTAGAACAATAAAATAGGAACTTAAAATACTCAACAAAAAAACCCACAAATAATCCCATTAAAAAGTGGACAAAATAGACTTTACCACTACATAATATATGCATGTAAGAAACCTGCACTTATACCCCCAAATATATAAAAATTAAAAAAATAAATTAAATAAAACATTATGCTAAGTGAAAGAAGCCAGTCGCAAAGGACCATATTGTATAATTTTTTATATGAAATGTTTGGAATAGGCAGATCTATAGAGACAAAAAATAGATTACTGATTGCCTAAGGATAAAAGGATGGGAGAATTGGCGGGGACAACAATTAAGAATTGGAAGGGAGGGTAATAAAAATGGCCTAAAATTGCCTGTGGTGATGGATACATAATTCTTAATATTTTTAAAGCCATTAAATTGTATACTTTAAAGGGGTGAATTGTATGGTATGTGAATTATATCTCAATAAAGTTATTTTTTTAAAAATGGGTAAAGGACATGAATAGACTTTTTTTCAAAAGAAGACATACAAATGGCCAATAAGCACATGAAAATAAGCTCACCATTAATCATCAGAGAAATGCAAATTAAAACCACAGTGAAATATCATTTTATACCACTCAGAATGGCTTTTATTAAAAAGACAAAAAATAACAGATGTTGGTAAGGATGTGGAGGAAAGGGAACTCTTATACACTGTTGGTGGGAATGTAGATTAGTACAATCTCTACTTAAAATAGTATGGAGATTTCTCAAAGAATTAAAAATAGAATTACTATTTTTATTTGATCCAGCAATCCCACTGATGGGTACGTATCTAAAGGAAAATAAATCATTATACTGAAAACATAACAGCAGCTCTATGCTTATAGCAGCCCTATTCACAATAGCAAAGATATGGAATCAACTTGTGTCCATCATGAATGATTGGATAAAGAAAAATGTATATCATTATTTATGACACAATAGAAGACTATTTATTCATAAATAAGAATGAAATCATGTCTTTTTCAGCAGCATGGGTAGAACTGGAGGCCATTGTTCTAAGTGAAACAAGTCAGGCACAGAGACAAATACCACGTGTTCTCATTCATAAGTGGGTATTAAATAAGACGTACACATGAACATAGCGTGTGGAATGATAGACAGTGGAGGGAGTGGAAGGGTGAGAGGGTAGGAGGGGAGTGGATGATGAGAAATTACTGAATGGGTACAATATATGTTACTTGGGTGATGGATGCACTAAAAGCCCTAACTTCACCATCATGCAATCTATGGATGCAACAAAATTCCACTTGTATCTTATGAATATAAATAAACAGATAAGTAAATAAGAAAAAAAAGAAGTCGTGAGTTCTGGGTAGAAGTCTCGAGAGTTCATCTCTGATTCTTCATGCTGTGTTGCTCTATCAGTCTGACCAACAAAGCTCTGGCTTGATGGCTGCTCCATCAGCCCCCACTGCCAATGTGCAATGGACATGCAACATGAAGAACAGCTCTTGCTGTGTTAAGCCACTGACATGTTTAATGTATTTCTTACTACAACATAAGACAGCTTCTATGTCTTACCTAAACTCTAAAATCAACTAAAGAAGCAATGCTGTATGGTCAGTTAAAAATAGGCAGGAGAGGCTGGGCGTGGTGGCTCACACCTGTAATCCCAGCACTTTGGGAGGCCGAGGTGGGCAGATCACCTGAGGTCAGGAGTTCGAGACTAGCCTGGCCAACATGGTGAAACCCTGTCTCTGCTAAAAATACAAAAATTAGCTGGGTGTGGTGGCACACACCTGTAATCTCAGCTACTCAGGAGGCCGAAGCAAGAGAATCGCTTGAACCTGGGAAGCAGAGGTTGCAGTGAGCTGAGATTGTGCCACTACACTCCAGCCTAGGTGACAGAGTGAGACTCTGTCTCAAAAAAAAAAAAAAAAAGGGCAGGAGAAAGGACGACTGCCTTGCTATTTTGTTGTGTATCAATCAACATGAACACAGATGTGAATGTTTCCCTTTAAAATAATAGTGTGAGAGTGCTTCATTTTGTTTGCAATTTGAAGATATTGTGTCAATTCACCAAACTGCCCTTTCTAGAGACTTTAAAAATTGACTTCCTACAGGGCTCTAATCTCTGTACTGTTAAATACTGGTGTGCTGACTTGGAGTATAGGTAACACTGTGTAATCATAGAGAGTTATACTAAGGAATTCCTATCACCCTTCACCTTCCCTCCTTTATTTTTGCTCCTATTTTCTGACCACGCAAACATAAAAGGCAGTAATTAGATCACAGAAAGGAAATGTTGATTAATCACCACAGTTAAAGATTCATGACTTCTACATGAATATTAGCCACATCCAATTCCAGTGATTTAAAAGGAGAAAACTCTGTCATTGTCAATCATCAAATGTCAAATGTCTAAAATTACTTGATGTTATGAGTTTTTGAGTTTAATGGGAATCTTTCACCTTTCCTTTAACCTCTATTTTGAGAAGAAGCAATAAAAAAAATTTAAAAATGAGGACTATATTTACATTGTGGCTTTGCCATTTTCTAGATTTTTTTTACTTTGGACAAATTATTTAAACTCTTTGAACCTCAGTGTTCTCATCTGTGCAGATGATGCTCACTTCAGAGAAGATGACGCACATACAACACATTAAACCTAGTGCCGCCACATAGCAGACATGAAAATCACTGTTTCCTTTTTCTTTTCTTCAGCTCAATATTTATTTTGTTATTATTTAGATTACATTTTAGAGTAAAAAGATCAAAAAAAGTCAAACTATAATGACTATTGATTTTATATTGTTAATATATTTTATACTAATATATATTTAAAATTTCTTTTACATTTCCAGATTTCAGACTGTGCCAATCTTTTGAGCACAAGGAAAGTAGCAAACACCACCAAAGCAAATTAAATGTAAAAGGATAAATTGTTTTCCATGCAAAAGTATAATATCAGATAAATGCAAAGTTTTTTTTCCTGTAAGACCCCTTTGTTTTATAACAATTATTCATAAGGCTGTATGCAATACTGGCAGAGTAATGAGTCCATTTCTGTGGAAATATACTCATTTCTATTCAGCATGCTGTTCCCAAAGGAATTATGAATTGCTTTCCTAGTTTGAAAATACAATTCATGAATCTCAAGGAAAACACATATAAGGAATCAATAACTAACAGTTTACCTTTAGATATCTAGACAACTGATAAAATGGTTTGAAAAAAAACTTAAAAATGAAATAAAAATGAAAATGGAAATTACTGTTATCTGTGGCTATCACTGAAATTCCCACAGTCTCTTAGTAAGAAACCCTTCCTGGGATGGAGATAAAAGTGAAGCTTGGGAGGTTGCAGTGGGAATCTGGACAACCATTGTGAAGCTGCTATTGACCATTCAGGTGTATAGTCTTTGTCTTCTGACCAGTCTCATGTTTTCATGGGAAATTAATGACAGGAGTAATTCAGGGGGACCAAAAGGGGAATGCCGCTGATTCTGGAGTATTATGTGCAGCCCCAGGGTTTGCAATCTGTTGGCCTGTAGACAGGTTGCACTTCTCAGACTTGTATACATTTTCTCTCTAACTTCTCACTGACTCAATCACTCCTTGTCTTGCACACCATTGCTACTACACTCACTTAGACTATTTGGCTCAAGGATGGGATATTTGAGTTGAAAACCCATCTTCTCCTCTCCTCTTCTGTTACAGTGGAGGAAATGTCTCTCTTCCTATGGATGCCCAGCCTCTGCCCTTGTCTTCTGGACCCCACCTCCTTTCTACCACACAAGGCAAGTACTTTGTTCCTGCAGTTATGCCCTCTTTCTCCTGCTTCATCAATCTCTCATCCTCTATTGGATATTTTCCATCAGCATAAAGACATGTTTTCTGTCATCCCATCTCCATTAAAACAATGCCCATTTGTCCCTTGGCCCCGAATCCTGCTTCTGTCTGTGTTTCATTTGGGTGCTTAGCGGCTCCTGCTGGATACTGGGCAGCCCCTGCCAGGAAATTACACAGATGTTGGCATGAATGACACATAGGCATTAATAAGAGATGAAAGAAAGTGTATTGTTTATACAATAAACAGAAAAAGGATTCTCCACAGAGAAGGGCTCTTGCCCAGTCTGAAGTGAAGCAAGGTAAAGCAAGGTGAATGGCTTGGCTGGTATTGGTCAGATGGAGGCTGGAGTGGTGTGTGATGGGGACCTGCCTGTTGCCTGAGGTTTGTGTGCTTTGAACTTTCCCACCAGCACCACGAGAGTGAGCCCATGGCTTTTTCTCCCCTTGCCCAGAGGCGGGTGGGGTGTGAAAGTGATTGGGGCTGAAAGCATCGAAAGTGGAGTTTGTCTCTTTGTTCCATAGCCTTTTGCTCTTCCCTTCAATATCAAACTTCTCTACAAAGCCTCCATTTTATTTTTTTACCACTACTTACTTTTTAACTCATTTCCATTTAGCATTTTCTTTCCAATATTACACCAAATGCATTCTTGTCCAAGTCACATAGGCCTCCATGTCACCAAATCTAATATCCAGTTTTCTGTTCTCATCTTACTAGACCACCCAGCAGTCTTTGACATATCAGATGACATTATTCTTCTTGATACATTCTCTTCTGTTTTGGTGACACCACACTCTCCAGTTTTCCTCCTATTTCCCTGGTTGTTCTTCTCAGTCACCTTCACTTGATACACTTCTGTCTCTGATCTGAAAATTTGGGAGACATTTAGGACTCTGCCCTCTTTTCTCTTTTATGTCGACCCCAGTGCCACAGCAGATATTGCTGCTATCTGTGGCTTTAAAGATCTATACGTTGTGAAACTTTATGTCTCCATATAGATATTTCATATGATTTCCAGGTTTAAAATCCAGGCTAATTCAAATTTCTGTTTGGACATCTCATAGACATCTGAAGCTTAAAATTCCTCAAGGAAAGTTTGATTTCCCTTCCAAAATATGTTCCTCCTATAATCTTCTCTATTTCAGTAAATGAGATCATTAAGCTTCCACAACCAAAGCTAGAAACCTAAAATCATCATGGATTTCTTCCATTCCCTCACCTCCCACACACAGTCCATCAGCACATTTCATTTTCAACCCCAAAATATAGCTCATCTTGCTTACTCTGTCTAGGGTAAGCCATCACCTTCCCTAAGCCATCATCACTCCTTTCCAGGTCTACTATGGTGGCTTCCTAACTCCTCTCCTCATTGCCACTTATTCCCCTCCAATACAGCTCCTCAGAGTAATCCGAGTGATATTTAAGAAATAAATCAGGTCACACCATTCTCCTGCTTAAACTTCTGTATTGGCTTATAGATGCACTCAGAGGAAATTCCAACTCCTCATCATGTCACACACAGTGTCCTCAGTGTAGCTGACAATTGATTAGCTAATTAGGCTGCACTATACACTATTCCAAATGCTTTCCAGGCATTAATGTATTTAACATTCACACCAACTTTGTGATCTAAATACTATTATTACTCTACTTTGTTGCAGAGGAAATGAACCCCGGATATGTTAAGTAACCTGCCTAAGGGGACACAACCTAAAAACAGTGGAGCCAGTATTCAAATCAAGTCCACCTGGCTCCAGAGCTCACCTTCTAACCACTACATTTTACTGTTTCTCATGAGCAAAGGCATGGATGAAGAAATGGGAATGATTATTCAGAGAGGCATGAAATAAATGACCATTCAACTATTCCCAAATTAACCTGGAGAAGCAAAGTCTCAGCATCACAGGCCAAGACTAAGAACTTTGGCTACTCTCCTGGTTGTGGACCTGGGTTTAGCTTGAATGGTAATTGCCTTCTTTTCTTTCAACCCAAGCACACTGTCAGCATGGCAACCATGGATTTCAGCCTGAGAGTGTCGTGCTGCTTGCAGATGGCAGGAGAGGGCAGCAATGCCAAAATGAGACAGAGTGCATTGCAATATGCTACATCATTGCCATGGGCACTTAACAGAATTGAATTCACCTTCCTTGTCAAGGTATAAGGTATTGCCACTGTCCCCCAGCAACAATGTTTTGGCACACCTGCCAATTTCTGTCTTCTGTGACTAATCAATTTCACAGGTCATTCTGATTGGTCCTAAAATAGCAGATCACCAAATCTATCTGCAAAACATTGATATTGAGACCTGCTGTGTGCAAGACAACCTGTGGGACGTAGATTGAATGAGGCCCGTTTCATGCCCTTAAGGCATGAGAAAGAGACACAGGCTTTCACTAAATATGGTCAAAGTCAGTATGTTAGAATGTTATAAAAAGTGTGCAAAATGCTGTCAGAGCACAGAGGAGGAATGGATTAATTCCACAAGAATAAATGGGAAGGCTTAATGAAGTAGGTGATGGGCATTTATTAATTTAACAAATATATATTGAGTGCCTACTATATTTTGGGCTCTAAATGGGAGCCTCATCAATATTTCACTACATTAATTAAATTAATTCATATAGAAAATAAGAGATAATTCCTTGACTGCTCAAGTGCTTCCTAAGATATGAAAAATTTTGACCAGTTTAGTAATTTGTCTTCTTTACAATGCCCACCTGTCTTGGCGGGGGAGAAGAGAAATAAGAGAGGAAGATCCAATTATTTCTGCTTTGTTTTGAAGCGAGATGTCCAGGAACACGCTGTTTTCAATCATCAGGTACTAAGACTGCCAGTGTACATGTAATATTCTGGAAATCATGCTGGACCATGAAATAGTGATTGTTATAGGAAAATCATCCTGTACACCTGCAGAAAAACATTTTGAAAATAGTCTCTTTTGATTGTTCTGTTTTAAATTTTTTCTTATTAGATGGCTAACTTGCTTTTCCTCCAAGGTCCTTTCAGTACATTCCATAATTACATAGTACCTTTGTGTAGTTGAGATGAGAAATATCTGCTATGACATGCTCTTGAACTAGACGTAATAGTTATTCTGGGAAGAAGTCAGGAGACACAAAAGGAAATAACTGCAAAGACAGTAGGTTGCATGAACAAAGCAACCTGAAGCTGATGTGTGACACAGTTAGAACACCATTCAAATCAAGTTCCTGACCTTTAGTACATATCTAGTTTTTTTTATAGGCTTTTGGATTTTGCTTTGGGGGAGAGGAGATACAGGGAGGAAGTTTGAGGAAAAGAATCTTATAAATGCTGTTTTTTGAAGGTGAAGCCATGGTCGGCACTGTTGCCCCCATTCATCATTTCTAGGTCCACTATTTCATGAGAGTTCCAGATAGTGATGTTGATTCAGCTCATCTGGCTGGCAAGGAGTTCCCTCCCTCCCTCATTGGCCTCAAAGGTGTATGCTTGGGCACGTGGTTTGGTATAGTTTAGTAACTTTTCAGAAATCTAAACTCTCTAGACTTTGCACTCCTCCTTCTGTATGTAAATATATTTAGCTCCCACCTCTCACACCTGAATATCTGTGGGATGGTCAGGAATCAAAACACAACACCACCACCAACAACAAAATGTAATTTTGAATGCTACGCATTGGTACAGAACACTTGTGATTCAGAGAGATCTGACTTTCAATCTCTATTAGTGCCTTAATGGGTAGTATGAACTTGGGAAAGTTGCTTAGTATCTCTAAGCCTCAGTTTCTTTACATGCACATCGAGAGACAAGTAAGACCTTATGGTGTTAAGAAGATCAAATGAGATAATTTATGTAGAAGAGTGCTTGGCACATGGTCAGCACTTTGCTCAGCAGAGGGTGAAATGTAGTGACTCTGAGCCCTAGGGTCACAATTAATCCTGATCATTTCTGCTGATGGTACTGATTAGCCAGCTGAGTGGGGATAGTGACATCATGTAATGCCACTCAGATCCCCCTTAAAGAACTAGGCATTTATTCCTAAGAGATTGGCAGTGTTGGCCGCTGATAGCTCAAGACTGCATTCCTTTCTGGGAATTGCCCTCTACTGATGGGTGCTCCCTTCCCAGGGACAGCCCACATTCAATGACTGGTTGCTGTTGGGCGATACAAAGATCTGGCCCCTTTACTTCAATGACAGACACCCCTGAAGGGCTTCCCAGCTTTAGAGCTTCCTGAGTGATTGGCAAAGGCCACAGTTGCAACTGTGTCCCAGTTTGGCTTCTGTCTCTGTTTGGTCTTGATTTCCTTGCTCCCTCATAGTAGTTCCTGAGAACATATCCCATTAAAACTCCTTCAGGCACATCTCAGGACCCTAGAGTCTCTTTCCTCAGGAGCCCAAGGAAGATAGGGGGGATCTCTGTTCGCCCATACCACTCATGGTGCATCTTTTTTGAAGGAAGGGGAACAAAGTACCACAGGTGAAGCTTCCCAGACTCCTGAAAGTCTACGGTGCTAACAACAGTTCTCAGACCAAAAACCAGATGACTGTTTTGGTGGTGTCATCAAGAGGGTTCTTTCCTTTTCTCTCTAAAATTTCCAGGCTTCTCCAAGCTTTTCTGTATTTTTTGTTCACGTAGTCTGATTCAACCCAGACTAATTAAATTCTTTACTTCGTCTACCCTGGTGAGCAGGGTTAAGAGTTGAAGAGAAGACAACTGCTCCTGACATGAAGTCCACACACTCCTCTCTCTCACTGCTTTTTAAGAGGAAGTGACAGACACTTTACCAGGGCAGCATGAAGAGAACCGAATGAGGAATAGAATGTGAGTTTCAGAAAAGACTGCCTGTCAATCAGACTGTGATTTTGAAGTGACTTAGGTATTACCTAGCAAGGCCATGATAGATTTTTGAAAGTCACAGAAGCAAGCTCACATTTTGTTAGAGCTATAACTAGCTTGAAACGATGCCAGATTGCCCAAAGTTAGCTAACTTCTAGGCTGCACCCAAGACTTCTAGCTTAGGAAGATTTCCTTGTTAAGTGAGCAGGTTTAGATCAATCGTATAAACAAGCCTTGTCCAATGCTTACTCACCACATGCAAGACACTTCTTGTCATTTGGGGTCTATAAAGGATGATCCCTGCCTCTGACAAGATTAGGGTTTGGCTGGGATCATAAGAGATATTGCATAAAAACTTCAATCAATGACATTAAATGTTCTGAAGGCAATTCTAAAATCATGATGGTTTTCAAATCATATGCTAGGAAGGCCACCATCACCATTTACTGCCTGTGGCACACACCTATATAAGGTGAGCAGATTTCTTGGTATGCCAGCCAGCTCAGCTGAGTATTCTTACTCCCAAAAGCAGAAAGCTAGGTTTTTTGTTTGCTTATATTCTTGAATATCCAAATATGTATCTGAGACAATTAAGGGCAGAGTGACTGTAGTGTTCTAGTCAGTGTCTGGTTTGATTTAAAAAATGTCCAGCAACTAAGAACCTCAAATGTCAGGGAAAAAAGTTTGTTTTCACATAGCAATATTTCCTTTGGTAATCTGCCATGCAAATAGTCAGCAACTATTGGACTCTTAAATCTTCCCAAGTGTTATGTGTTACAGAAAATAGAAAAGTTATTAAATGTAGGCATATAGGGAAATGTGAATCACAAAATTGAATCAACTAGAATTAAAAGCTTCATATTTTATATGATTTATATTGAGATTAGCATCTTAAAAAATAAATTTATTAAAAGAATAAAACAGTGAGTAAAGTCATCTTCAGGCATTAGAAGGTCTCCTTAGCTTTCAGAATATAGTCTGCCTCCAGAAGCATTCCTAATCATGCAGGAATGGATTATAAATCTTGTATGGAATTGGGGCCATGTTGACTAACCAAATAGAAACATTTTTTAAAGAAAAATATTTTAGGCTGGGCATGGTGGCTCACACCTGTAATCCCAGCACTTTGGGAGGCTGAGGTGTGTGGATCACCTGAGGTCAGGAGTTCAAGACCAGCCTGGCAAACATGGTGAAACCCCATCTCTACTAAAAATACAAAAAATAGCTGGGCGTGGTGGTGGATTCCTGCAATCCCAGCTACTCAGGAGGCTGAGGTGGGAGAATTGCTTGAACTCGGGAGGTGGAGGCTGCAGTGAGCCGAGATTGTGCCACTGCACTCCTGGCCAAAGAATGAGACTCTGTATAAAAAATACATATATACATATATTTTATATTACAGTGTTTTAACAGCTCATTGCTGTTCATTTGAAGCAGGATTTCTTCTTGTAAAGTAAAACTTTATCTCAAATCCCAATTTACAAAACAGGAAAAAAAATCATGCTTTGGTAAAATACATTTTCTAAAATTTACTTCATAAAATGCATTTGAATATCCTAATTGTAGCTTCTTTGATAACCACAAACATTTAATTCAGTACCTAAATTTTTATTTATCTGTGTTAGCTTCACAATATGGAGAAAATTGACATTCAAACAGATTAGGTGAATACAACCTTTTTAAAACACCATGCAATCACAGTGTACTTTTCAAGTAGGTATGAGAAGAGATGTTATATTTAGAGGTTTCTCACAAAACCTTTTAACTGTGCAATAAGCATTAACATATTGGTTTTCTCTAATGTACTATAATTTGGGATTGATGTGTGTATGTTGTTGCAATAGTTTTTTTTAAATAGATTTGCTTTTTAGAACAGTTTTAGGTTCACAGCCAAGTTGAGAGGAAGGTACAGAAATCCCATATATCCCTTGATCCCACACATGCATAGCCTCCACCATTATCAACAGTCCCCACCAGAGTTGTACATTTACTGCAATTGTTGAATCTACATTGACACTTCATAATCCCCTAAAGCCCACAGTTTACATTAGGGTTTACTGCTGGTATTGTACATTTTATGGGTTTGAATAAATGCATAATGGCATGTATTCACCATTATACTCTCATACGGAGTATTTTCACTGCCTTCAAAATCCTCTGCACTCTGCCTGTTCACTCCTTCCTTGCCTCTAATCCTTGTCAATCACTAATCTTTGTACTGTTTGTGTAGCTTTACTGGAATGTCATATAGTTGGTATTATAGATTATTTAGGCTTTTCAGATTGCCTTCTTTCACTCAGTAATGTGCATTTATGTTTCCTTCATGTTTTTGCATGGCTTGATAACTCATTTTTTTAAAAATTTATTTTTTGAGACAGAGTCTCCCTCTGTCGGCCAGGCTGGAGTGCAGTGGTGTGATCTCAGCTCACTGCAACCTCACCTCCCAGGTTCAGGTGATTCTCCTGCCTCAGCCTCCCAAGTAGCTGGGATTACAGGCATGTGCCACCACACCTGGCTAATTTTTGTATTTTTAGTAGAGACAAGTTTTCACCATGTTGGCCAGGCTAGTCTCGAACTCCTGACCTCAGGTGATCTGCCCACCTTGGCCTCCCAAAGTGCTCAGATTACAGGCGTAATCAGTTACAACCACCATGCCCAGCCAACTCATTTATTTTTAATGCTGAATAATATTCTATTATCTGGATATACTCCAGTTTATTTATCTATTCATCTTCTAAAGGACATCGTGGTTGCTTCCAAGTTTTAACAACTAGGATTAAAGCTGCTATAAACATCTGTGTGCAGATTTTGTGTGGATATGTTTTCAACTCCTTGGGAAAATACGAAGAAAATGAGATTGCTGGATTGTATGGTAAGAGTATATTTAGTTTTGTAAGAAACTGCCAAACTCTATTTTGTAATGGTTTTTAAAATTAGTTTAAAAACAAAAATATAAGATTTCAATGACATATTTATAGATTTCTGAAACACTTCTTTCAAGGATAGGCAAATCTCTGCTATAGTGCATAATAAAAATCAAAGCAGTAAGAATGTGGAGCAACAGAAACTCTCATTTATTCCTGGTGGGAATGCAAAATAGTAGTCACTTTGCAAGACAGTTTGGCAAAAAATAAAAATTAAAAAAATCAAAACACTGCTACCTACCCCAAGAGACTGAATTAAGGAACATATAAAAATATGATGGTTAGATGTAAATTAGACCTTTTGTCAATGATAGTTCTTATTTTATTTATTTAAAAAATCTGACTCTACAAGTTACTTTCAGTGTCATCTGGGACCATTTATTTAACCTTTATAAAATGTATTTTTCCCATTTGTAAATTGAAAGTAACAGATACATAATGAATTTTCATGAGAAGAGTAAATTAATATATGATATATACTCTCTCCTTTCTTCCTTTCAATTGTAGACTATTATTAATATTATTATTATTAATGGAATTATAAACTCTATTAACTATCTGTATCATCCTTCCCCTGCTCCACACAGTGAGCAAGAAAAAAATTTATTTGTAATGAAAGTCTTTACAGAAGCATCTCAAAGGGGAACACAGTATATTCTATTGTGTTTCTTACATTTTATCCTGAACATTTATATCTAAATCATTAAAATTTAATTAAATTAATAAAAAATTTTTAAAATGAAAATTGGATCACCTTTAAGAGAAAGACATGAAACTCAAAAGGCTGTGTTTACAGCTCCCTGCAGGTCTTCTAAGTGTAGATGGCATACAATAGTCTCTGAAAACAAACCCCTTAACCTGGGACGCCCCAGAAGTTCTTTACCCATTATATACAAGGTAAAAGTCTGGCAGTTATATTTGACTTTTCTTTTTTTCACTCTCATATCAGTCAGTTGCCAAGTCCTGGCAATGTTCCTGCTTAATCCCAGCATCTACTACCTAGTTAGGCTTTTATTATGTCCTTCCTGGATTAAACTAATAACCTCCAATTCCATGCTTGCCACCTTCCACTAATCTGAATGAGTACCACCCTCTTTCTGAACACAAGTCGATGCCTCAGGTGTTGCCTATGGAGTGAAGTCCAAGCTTCCAGAATTTGGCCCCTGCATCTTCTCAGGCTTATTTTTCACTGTTCTTCACATCAAATTTATTCCTGTTCAACACTGAACTGCTTATAGTTCTGGTACACATCACAGGGTTTCATTTTTATGTCCTTGAATTTCTTCCTTCCTTCATCTAGATAACCCAGCTCAGGCATAAGTTATTTCCAGAACTTCTTTTCTGAGTGCTATCCCCTCTCCCTACTCAACCTCTTTCAAAATTAATTTAGGTACACCTTCTCTAGGTCCTATACATCCCTATTCATTTCTTATCATCTTACCTAGGATAGGACATTGGGATACTCTCTGTTTAGGTGTCGGTATCCGTCTGTCAACTCCTTGAAGAAAAAGCAAGTGTCTGATTGACTCAGTGTCCAGCATTCTTTTTGGTCCCTAGGGGACAGAGAAAAATGTGTGTTTCACTCGTAAGATAAATGAAAGCATGGGTTGCCAATAGTCCCACTCTTTCTCAGTGTAATCAAGAGTTAGTCAATAATGTATTACATCTACCGGCACTTGAGGCTTGCTGATTGCTGATTTTTAAGCACAAACTATTCAGCTTTTCTTTTGCCCTGAGGTTTGTCTTTATAGGACCTGCACAAAAAACAAATTTGGGTAATCACACTCATCCTTTATAGTAGTGGAAGTTTCTGTTTATTGGAACTAAACAATTATGGATGTCTGCATGTGTCCCTGTGCCCCAGTAGGTGGCCTAGTTAATGGGGAAAGCATAAAGTTTAATTGATGGGAATAGTCCATTGTATAATTTGACTTCTTCAGCCAGAATTTTATTGGCAAGCTCAGTAGGACACCCAAGGCCGACCATATCTTTACATTCCTGAACATATACTGAGGACTTCTTGAGACTATGGAAATGTACCAGTATAATTGTGGGAGATGAGTGCATAGGAGATTTACATGAAAGAGGGATTTAAAAGCATCCTGTTATTCTCCTACCAAACATTGGTGAATCTGGATACTGTAAGCCTCTGATTATACTATAATAGGAGTATATATGAACTGAAAAAGGTCAAAAAATGACAACTCAGATTCCTCTAGAAATGAAAAGGTTTGGAATAGGTTTGCTTTCCAAGCCAAACAAAACCCATGACTAAGAAATGCTGTCTATGGTTCAAGGAAATGGTTGAAAATAGACATATTTTCTTCTTCTTCTTTTTTTTTTTTTTTTGAGACGGATTCTCACTCTCTTTCCCAGGTTGGAGTGCAGTGGCGCGATCTCGGCTCACTGCAACTTCCACCTCCCGGGTTCAAGCAATTCTCTGCCTCAGCCCCCCAAGTAGCTGGGATTACAGGCGCGTGCCACCATGCCCAGCTAAGTTTTGTATTTTTCGTAGAGATGGGGTTTCACCACCTTGGCCAGAATGGTCTTAACCTCCTGACCTCGTGATCCACCCACCTTGGCCTCCCAAAGTGCTGGGATTACAGGCGTGAGCCACTGCGCCCAGCCATGTATTTTCTTTTTAGTACCTATTACTATGTAATGTACTATATAATTTACTTTTTATCTTGTTTATATCTGTTTCCTCCTCTGCAATGGAAGCTCCATGAAGGTAAGGGTTTTGTTCTGCCTCATATGCTCCAGTATCCCCAATGCTTAGAATAGTGTGGGTAAAATGATAATTCCTCAATAAATATGTTCTGAATGAATTATTTAATAGGTTAGTAAGATACATTAAAGTGATAGCAAATACTATCGAGAATTGCATAATGGAGAACAGTTAATTCCACATTCTGTGATGGCTGTGGTAGTATCACTATTCCCTTTCAAAGTAATTAATTCATTTTACATCTGGAACTTAAGATAATTATCAAATTTGGAAATATTTGAAATAAATTTAAGTATTTGCTGAGCAAAAATACTGAACCAGGCACTGTACCATTGTACTTTTAGATTCTTCTTATTTCAGTATCACCCTCAGCCTGGAATTGTTCTATTATATATTATCATATCTCCATGAAGATAAGCATTTCCATTTTAAATATTGTAGGCAAGATTTGCTTAAACTATGAATTGAAAATATAATGGAAACTATTTACTAAATCTGAAATCGACTCATATTTCCTTTTTTTCTCAAGCCTCAAATAAAATAAGCAGCTATTGCACTTACATTTACAAAAAACAAAAACACCTAGCAAATTAGTTTAACTAGCAATATCACAATATTCTCAATAGAATTGTTTAATTTATTGAAAGATTTTATTGGAGAAGGAACTTGTCTAGTTAGGTAATTAATGTAGACCAACATCCTTTTAAGTATTAATTTCCTTAAAGTATATTTCTTTCTTTTTCTATATGATCCTTTTCTATTTTTGAAAGGCTCAAAGTACTATTGTTTCATGTTATACAGATACATGAAACCTGAGTCTGTAATAATGATTAATCAAGGGAAAAAAGATGTTACAATATATTATTGTGCATTAAAGAATTTTAAGGTGCCAGCTCCTTGGGAGGCTGAGGCAGGAGAATTGCTTGAACCCGGGAGGTGGAGGTTGCAGTGAGCCGAGATCATGCCACTGCACTCTAGCCTGGGTGACAGAGCAAGACTCCGTCTCGGAAAAAAAAAAAAAGAAGAATTTTAGGGTTAACTGAACATAATTACTTTATTCTCTGTGCTTATTTTCTAAACTGCCCAAATAATTACAAAACTTTTCATAGAATTTCAGTGAAAGAAGAAACTATGAAGGCCGTTTAACAGATATGAAATCTGAGGCCCAGAAAGCACTTGGCTTAAAAATATAGAATTAATCACTGCCAAAGCTCAGATCATAAGAAAGATGCCAGATTTGAAAGATTATATATTAACAAATAGAACATCACTGGAAATAAACATTCAGGAAAAAAAATCTAACTTATTTAAATAGACGGCTTGAATTTAACAGTGTACCAGCATCATTTTCGGCAAAACCAAATTACTTGGCTAAAATAATCCCTTTAGCTTCATTAAATTCTAAAAAGCACAAGTAGTTAATATGTGTTAATTGCTGTTCAGTAAGTAAATATTGTTAAATATTACTAGAAATATATTTTAAGGAAATTAATACTTCAAAGGATGTTGGTCTATACTGATACCTTACTAGATAAGTTTCTTCTCCAATAACATCTTTCATTAAATTAAACAGTGATTCTATTGAGAATATTGCGATATTGCTGGTTAAACTGATTTGCTAGGTGTTTTTGTTTGTTGTGTATCTGAATGTGATAGCTGATTATTTATTCAGGGCTTGAAGGAAAAAAAGGGTTTTCCCTTCAATTTTCATTTGGGAAGAAATACCTTTAAAGGAAGAAAGGAAAAGTGTAATGTAATAATATCGTTGTTCTGGGTCAAATGGACTCAATACGTGGGCTACAATATATTTCTAACTATACATGCAGAATGCTTCAATTGTCTTGTTGCACAGAGAAGAAAACAAATTTTGCATTATAAACTATGTCTACTGTTTTTGCCCACTTTCTTTTTTTATGCATATATTCATTTTGTGATAGAATCAAATAGTCAACACTATTTGCAGATGGAACAATCATTTTTTTCTTTTCAAAACCAAAAGTAAAAATCCATTTAGCTTTGCTCCCATTAAGCTTATGGAGGCAAACTAATTTTCCTTTTTTTTCTACAATTGTACTGATCAAACACATGCTGTAGTATATAAAAGAGTTATTATTAACATATGTAAAACAACATCAACAATCCAAATGGACTATAGTAAGTATGGTGACTGTGAATAATGGCAATTATGAGAATCCATATGCAATTATTTACATTCCTTCAAAAATTGTATAACATGAGTATATTTGATACATTATTTTAAAATCTTGGATTAAGAGTCGGGTGGCTCATGTCTGTAATTCCAGCACTTTGGGAGGCCAAGGCAAGCTGATCATTTGAGCCCAGGAGGTTGAGATGAGCCTGGGCAACGTGGTGTAACCCCATCTCTACAAAATGTACAAAATTTAGCCAGGCATGGAGGCACGCCTCCAGTCCCATCTACTCGGGAGGGTGAGGTGGGAGGATTGCTTGAGCTTGGGAGGTCAAGGCTTCAGTGAGCCATGAATGTACCACTGCACTCCAGCCTGGGCAACAGCGTGAGACCCTGTCTGGAAATAAATAAATAAATAAATAAATAAATAAAACAGGTTTATGTAAAGTAAAAACTCAAAGCTCCCCCATTATACTTCTCCACACAAGTTTACTCCTCAGCCAGAATATGCTAATAACCTTGGGCTATACGGTTTTGATAAAGGTATTTTCAGACCACTTTTTATTCATTTATATGCATGTATTTATATATTTGGAGGTTCGTACAATGCTGAATATACATACCATGCATATTAATGAGCACAAATATTTTCTTTTTGTGTTGTTCTTACTCTTGGTTTTTTACTTGAAAATGTCTTGGAGATATTTTTATACATCATTATGTATAGGTTCTCCAGGTTCTTTTACTGGCTCATGCTTGTTCATTGAATGCAATTTATGTAGTTTCTAAATATATTTTAAGGATTTCCTTTTTTCTTTCTTCTTGATTTTATGAAACAATGGATGAATTTTCATGACTTTTATTTCCTTTCTATGAATCCAGTTTATGATGTCTGTAACAAGACTATTGAACTTAAAGAAAACTGTATAGGAGATACCTTGCATAAGCTGTTATTTCATGAATTGCGAATTTAGAAAAGTCTCATTTTTCAGTACAGATGAATAACACTTTGTAGAGTTCATATTATTAGGAGTTGTTGAGTAGAGCCCTGGCTGATTTGATTGCCTACCAAATCAGGTTTAAAAGCTTATTAAGTGATTACTGGATTTGAAAGCCTATCAAATAATCATCATACTTTCTGATTATTATTAATATATATTTATCTGAAAATTTCTAAAAATATAGGAAACATGGTGATTTCACCACTCAGACATAACTTATGTTATCCTTTTGGTGCATTTTCCCAAAATTGTTCTGTAGGTATATATCGTTGTAGACATATACGCTCAGCTTCTAAAACTAGGCCTCCTGAGTTCACATTCTAGCTCTGCTACTTGTTAGTTATGTGTTTTTGAGTAACTACCATACCGTTCTAAACCTCACTTTCTTCACCTGTAGGATGGGGAGAATAATATAACCTATCTCATACAGTTGTGAGAATCTAATGAAACAAATACATTCAAATAACTAGTAATGAATAAATACATTCGAATACTAACATCTAGCATGTGTTCCATAAATAAATTATTACATAAATAATTTGGATCATACTGCATATAATTTGGTACATTTTTTTCTCATTTAATATGTCCTGAACATTTCTCCAGGTGATTAGTAGTCTTCTTGATTGTTAATTATTTTTAATGACTAAATGGTATACCAGCACGTGAATGTATATTTCATATAACAATCCATTGTTATTGGACAATTCAATAAGTTAAAAGTTTTATGCTGTTAAAATAACAAACATTTGTAGATAGTTTTGTATTATATTCTATATATAAAATTCTCTAAAATGAATGGCCAAGGCCAATAATGTGTGCCACATCTTAAGGCTTTTATACCTGTTGTCAAACTGAACAAAGGTTTGATGGATTTTAAAATTCTTTCAGTGACTTTAAATAAAACAATTATATTTGCTCCTGATTTATTTCTTATTAGATAAACATCTTGGATTAGCAGTGTAAGACAATAATGGTCTTTGATTAAATCGGTGGAATAGATGATGTAACATAAGAACTTATGCATCCAAATAAATGTTACTTTTCAAAATAATTATCTTAGAGAGAATATGCATTTGTTAGACCCATGAGTTTATTTATCAAAAATTTTTTGAAATTATTCTTTGGAAATTGCATAAATATATGGACTTTTTATATTATGGTGTATTATGATTTTCTATTACAAAGTATAATTGAACTTTATCTCTTTTTTCATTAAAGTTGACTTAATTATTTGCAATGTTTCTTATTCAATATCCAACTTCTTACTTATCAATCAGAATCTTTTTTATTTTTTTTTTCAGTTGGCATGATGACAACGTATTTGGCCCTGGCAATAGATTATGGCTGGTACAAACCAGTTCTCAGGATATCTTACAACTAGAGGCAGCCTTAAGACCCTGTTTTGTCGAGAATACCTACTTGGAAGTCTAGTCAAAAGGTATTTATTAAGGTTTTTGCTTTCCTGGTTAAAGGAGATGGTTGTAGCTACCCATCCTTTCTTGTTCTTCACCCTTCTTTTTGCCTTGAATGGAGTCAGGGTAGTTGGGACTGCAAAAGTCATTTTGTGACTAGAGAGATCACCTTAACCTCACTGAGCTTCTGAGTCAAGTCAATAACTGTGTATCTCCAGACTTTTTATTGTATGAAGGGAAAAAGAGTTCTATTTATTTATGCAACTAATGACTTTTACTTGACTTGAAGGCATTCCTGAACATAAACACTGCTACTTTTGCAACTGCTTTTGAGACATATTTATAGAGTTCATCAAAATTAATTGTTCTAGAAGGATTTATGAGTTCATTAAAAAATGGTTAGTTTTTAAAGGCCTAAGTCAAAGAAATTACAGAATTATTGTTGGAAACAACTTTAGAAATTGTTGAATTCAGTTGTTCTCAGTGGAATTCAGTTGTTCTCAGTGGTGGATTTTCATGACAATTATTGTTGGAATTTTAGAGAAATGCACATGTCTGGGCCTCATGCCCAGGCATTGTGGTTCAGTGGATCTCAGGTGGACTCCAGGTATCTTTATTTTTTAAAACTACAGGGTGATTCTAAGTTACTGATCTATATTAGTAATCTTTCTCAAACAATGAACTGTGGACTAACCTGAAATATGTGTATCTAGCAACAGATTAGAATTATTCAGCCTAGATAGACGAAGTAACTTTATGCAACCGTATTATTAGAAAAACTTAAGATGCTGGTAAGCATGGGAAGAAAACAGTCATTGTAAATCAAAGTTAACTATGGATGATTTTCTTTCTAGAAAATAAAAATAAGAGGTTTGATATTATTATTTTAACTGTCTCATATTCCATGAGAATTTCACCTTTCGTTCCACTGCTCAACATTGTTTAGATTTCCAGAATTGACTGAGATTTAGTCCAATGGTGTAGATCTACCTTGTTTGAAAGATTAGGCTAGGTTAATGAATGAAGGCAGCTTGGAGGGGCTGTTGGCAGAATGTGGTGCTAGTCGTCATTGTGCCCTTTCCATTCCCAACTTCTCTACTACGAGAAAGTGAATTTGCTATGGAAACTGGTAAAAGCACAGTCTGATTGCTTTTATTTCAGTTATATGTGCAATTACTTTATAAATTCTTCCAGACCTCAGTTGACAAGTCAATCAGGTTTCTATTTATTATGTAGTCTCAAATGATTTGAATAAGTTATTATTTAATAAATACCCATTATCCACAATGAGCTCTAGTAATTTTTAGAGATAGAAGGCAAATGTTCAGAAATAGTTATTATTTCTAGGCCTAAAAGAATAACTTTTCTTAAATCTCAAATTATGACTTATTAAAGATAAGTTAAACCACTCTCTCGAGCTCTTTCAACTCCAATTTAGCCATTTTCCATTTAAACTAGGATAGTCTTATTTTGTTAATTGTTAGCTCATTCTAGAAAATGTATTTTATATGCATAAATGTTCAAATATACAAATATATACATGTACATTACATATGTCTATATAAATATGCATAATGTATATGTGTATATAGTGAAGTTATGTTTATTCATGTATATGTAATTGTATATATACAGTATATAAGTATGTATGTATATACAGACACACACATTTATTCTAAAGTATATTACATGGTCTCCTAGAAGTATATAGAGAAAATATTTTTGAAGATTTTTTCTATTTTCTCCTATCCCTTCTGCATAAACAAGATCCTGGGCTGCCTGTAGAATTTAAGATATGCTTTAGGGAGTGCTAAATATAAAGAATGCATCCTATGTAAATGGGTCTTAGTAGCTGTGGTTATCTAGGGCATTGGATATATTGTCCTTTTGATTTTATTCTAGGCAGAAATTGGCAGAGAAGACCTAGCGTTCAAGGGTTCTAGACTTCTCTTGGCTATATTATTGTTTGAACCATTTCCAGGCCAGTAGCCTGGGGCTTTAGGGGCTTAGGCAGAGTTTGCTGAGGTATAAGGCAGCAAGTGCTGTTAGCTGCCTGAACAGAGAAGCAGTGTTGTGTTTTGTTGAAGAGCATAGTCTTCAGAGTTTAATTGCAGCTTTCCCATTTGCAAGCTGTGAGCCTGGCCAAGCTATGTGAGATCTCTAAACTTCACACTTGTTATCTCCAAAATTTTTTTTTAAAAAAGGATAAGGATTAAATGTGATAACTCTTGTAACAGCACACAGTGTTAGCTATCGCTGGGCCTAGAATGCAGTAAATGCCCAGCCACTGTTAATTGCCAAATTAATAAAAACTTTTTCATGTATATGGGACAAAAAAGGTAAGTCTTAAATTAACTTGCATAGCATTGGAAATTAGCTAGCTCACATAACACAAAAGTCATATTTTCAAGTTTTCAGATAGCTTAGTCTTGGCTAGATGCATGTTTTCAGGAAACAGAGTAAGCTCAGTGTCTTTCATCTCTCAATTATACTTCTACTTTTGCGTCATTTTCAGGTAGGTTTTCTCTGTTATTTACAAAGGTGACCCCTAGTAGCTTCTACTTACATGGTCCTAACAGCAGAGATCTCAGAAGGAGAGAGTGTATCTTTCCCAATAGTTCCAAAAAAGTCTCAAAGAAGGTTCTCATTGGCTCAGCTTGGATCATGTGCCACTTATTTATCCAATCAATCTAATCACTTGGGCCAAGGTTTGTATTGCTCTGATTAGATATGCGAGATTACATATCCACCCCAGAGGTGGAGATGAGAACTTGTAATTGTCTCTGTGTGTGTTGGGGGTGCAGTAAACATTATCTGAAACTCATAGACTGAGGGTAGAAATGAACTTGTTTTCCCAAAGACAAATGGGAGTTCTGTTCTGCAGCAAGGGGCAAGGAATGTTGGATATGGTAAAAGAAAATCAATAATGACCAGAATATAATCCTCCCAAACTACACGTCTACTCTATATGTAATTCTAGCCATATTTTCTTGCTTTTTTTTATAGCATGAACTCATATTTATTATTAATTTTTCTTTATGAATTGATTCTCCTCCCACTGTTCAGAATGTTTCATGACTTCAGGGATTGAATTTATGTTATTCACTGCTATCACACCGCCTGAGTCTGTAATAGTGTTCTTTTATTTTTAGTTTAATAAATGCTGAATAAATTTTAAAAATACAGATGATGCACTCTGTTTTTGTTATTCAGTGTGACATGCTAGCAAGGAGGTCATCTTCAAATTCCCTCCTTTCTTAAAAGAAAACACATTTTTTCCTACCTTTACTAAGAAATTCTTGTCACCATTGTTATGTTTTCTATGGCTATAATTAAGCCAAGATTTTTATACCATAATTCCTTTAGCCATAATTTCACAGCCTCAGACATGTCAAATTCCACTGCAAACACATGGGCACAGTTTTCTAACTGGTCATTTGCAAACTGTTATTATGAGCTTAGAATAGATTGCTGAATTATCTGAGTCTTTGTCATCAAAGATAATGTCTTAGTCTGTTTGTGCTGCTACAACAAAATACCTGAGACTGCGTAATTCAAAAAGAACAGAAATTTATTTTCTCACAGTTCTGGAAACTGAGAAGTCGAAGATCAAAGTGCTTGCAGATTTGGTTGTCTGGTGAGTGCTGATCTCTTGTTTCCTCACACAGCAGGAGGGCAGGGAACAAGCAAGCAAGCTAGCTGGATGCTGCATGAAGCCTCTTTCATAAGAGCCTTAACCCCCTTAATGATGGAGGAGCCTTCATGGCCTAATTAGTTTTCTTTCTTTCTCTTTCTTTCTTTCTCTTTCTTTCTTTCTTTCTTTCTTTCTTTCTTTCTTTCTTTCTTTCTTTCTTTCTTTCTTTCTCTCTCTTTATTTCTTTCCCTCTTTCTCTTTCTTTCTTCTTTTTTTTAAGAAAGCAATAGATTATTCAGTAAATACATGGAGAACATCAGAATTCAAAAACCATATTTAATCTAAGAATCTGTGAACAAAATTAAAGCACGTTACCTGCTGAAGTTCAGAGTAGCAAGAATTCACATATCTATTAGCCATCTGTGGAAATCTCCCCAGAAAGTTACACCTTGAAAGAATATACAGTTAATGTAGCTGAGTCCAGGTTACCTACTCAAGTTCATCTAAAACAGCAGTGAATTCCAAAAGTAAGATAAGCATGATCTAATTAATTGTAACATGTTCTACATGAAATGATGATGTAATGACAAACACTTTTTGTGCCTGATAAGCCTCTTAATAAAGAAGAGGTAGATGGTTATTCTACTCTTTTATCTATGGAAGAGAAAAACCAATCATAGATATTCTGGTTATAACACAGAATACTTTGGTGGGAATGGTGCACTGGTCTATTAATCCTTTCTTACACTGCTGATAAGAAATATCTGATGTTGGGTAATTTATAAAGGAAAGAGATTCAATGGACTTACGGTTCCACATGGCTGGGGAGGACTCACAATCATGGCAGAAAGTGAAGGAGGAGCAAAGTCATGTCTTACGTGGTGGCAGGCAAGACAGCATGTGCAGGGGAACTGGTCTTAATAAAACCATCAGATCTCATGAGACTTATTCACTAGCACGAGAACAGCACAGGAAAAACCGGCCCCCATCATTCAATTACCTCCCACCAGCGGAACTACAACTCAAGATGAGTTTTGGGTGGGGACACAGCCAAACTATATCAACTGGGTACCCCAGTTTGACTCTACAGCTCCTTTGTTGTGTTTCTGTACCTGTGATTACTATTACCTCTGATCGTGACAACAATGAAAATCATTCTGATGATGACATCTCATTTTCTTGAGCACTAAAGGACTCTGCTAATCATTTGAAATTCATGGTCTCATTTAATGCTTGAAATAAAGTATAAATTGGCACATTTATTTTTTTCCTGTTATTCTTATGAAGGAGAGAGGTTTTGAGAAGTTAGGTCAGTTGCCCAAGATTGTGCAGCCAATGAGTGGTATAGGTGAGACTCCAGTCCAGGTCTGTTTCACTATAGAGTTAAGAGGCTCATAACCACTATCAGCCCTTCTGATGGTTATTTTGATGTCTTTGAAATGATCAATCTACAGTTAAATCTATAAAAGCATCATGTAGAGAACTAAACCCAGGACCCATTATCAGCCAACCAAAGCACAGACAGTTCACAAGACCCACTGTGGAATAGCCAGTTGTGTTTCCCCTCACAGCTTTAACCACACTACTCTGCCATTCACTAACTCTAGTTTGTCTAAGGTAAGCACTGGAGATTGCCTTAATACTGCTTATGTGAATCTTTAAAATCCTATTATTGGTTTCTGAAGGCTTTCATCCATCACCCCCTTGTGATGAATCTCTAACAAGGCGTTTGCCCCTCCTTTCACTTTCAGATTCCCTCATCCTCAATAAATTTCTCTGTGAAGCCACAATTAATCTTGAGTAGCACATTAACCTTGTTCATATCAAAGTAACCCTGCAGGTTTTGCAATTTTACATGCGATTAGAGACAGGTACCTCACACACTGCAAGTCTCCTTTCACCACGGGCAGCAGGGTAAGGATGAACTTTCTGATCTCTGCTCCCATTTATCTCTGTTCCCCAGTCAGCTTGGCTATCTACAAGGCCCTGCTAGCCTCCCAGCTTTTACACAACTCTGGCTCATCTGTCTGCATTTTTCTCTCTTATCCACTTATCATCTGATGAAAGTCCCTTTGTATCTTTCCATTTTCTTAAATGCCATTGCTCAATAAATTAGTTTGAATTAAACATTCAAACTTTTCAGGCTATATAGAAAATTTAAACCTTATATTTAACTGATTTTTAAAAAAATACCCGCTTAATGTCTGAGTGACTGGATTCCCCTTCAGAGAGCATTGACTGTTTGCATTCAGAAACTCAGCTAATAACTCATACTCACTATGTCTCCAAAGGTAAGAAGGTTGATTAGTTCATCAAGATTCCACTGGAGACAGCCCCTTCTGCCGTCTAGTTATCTGGTGACAGTCAGTGATAAGCGGAGACAGCCATGCTTAGGCTCAGAGCAAAAAGCTTTTTACATAGTGTGATCAGAAGGTGACATGACCCCCCTTATCACCCATCTATATTTCACTTGCTCATCTGCTTTGGAACTTAACATTCCAACCATTTTAATAATATTTCAAATTTACACATTAAAGGCCTTTTTAAAATATAATTAAGTCACATGAGAAGGGTCACCTTTCTAGACGTTAATGTCTATTAACATAAAATTAAGGATTAGTTTTGAGTCACTTTAATGACTCAAGAAGGGCAAGAAGAGAATAATAGAGTGATATGATAAACTTAGATGTGATGAGGTGTTGGGAATGTTTTACATCAGGTGGCTGCACATGGAGGGCAGGTTTGGATGGGGCATTGCAGTGAAAGGTTCAGGAGAATCAGAGTGAAGGATGAAGTTTGTCAACATAAATGAGTTGGGGGCGGAGGAATTATCCTACAAAGGTTGAAGTGGACAAAGAGTCTGGGAAAATGCTAAACTATATATGTCTATTTTAAAATTTTTTCAGTGGCTCACAGTTATTTTAAAATGGATAATTTGAACTTAATACTTGTTTCTTCTTTTCTTATAACAGAAATTATAGCAAAGAGCAAAGCAAAGGCATTGCCATATCTGATGAAATTGGTCTGCCAATATTTGTTTCTCATAGTTTCCTAACTGAAGCTCCAGATTTAAAGAAACCGGAAAGATGTACATGCCTCAAATGGAAAATTTTCAAGTTCCTTTATGGAGAGTGGCATTAAGCAGGTCCTTTAGATTCAGTTAACTAGCATGTTTCACTAGTTTAAAGCCTCATAAAATATAGGTGAGATGAAAAGAGTATGATGTGTGGAATTTACAATGCAAAGAAGTACTTTTTAAACACAACATTGAACACTTAAAGGTAAAATCATCAAATAGAGTGTAATCATGGAGGAAAAGGAAGGATAGCCAATCTGCCTATGAGTTCAACACCAGTAGATTCAGTACCTTAAACTGATTATTAGTCCCTAAGTGAGAAACAGTTAAAAAGACCAAATGGCCAAGCATGGGAACATAAAACTCCTATTGCAGAAAGGTGAGTTTTGAAAATTAGACAAAAAGGTGGAAGCTATTATTATGGAAAAGAAAAATCTGTAGAGCAAAGATCACCAAGGATGACAGTGTCTGGGAAACCAATAGCAACAACTCTATTTTCTGAGGGTGGCAGACTCAAAGGGCTCTAGCAATAATTAAAGAGAAGAATGAGACAGAACCTGGTGGCCAAGAAACAAACACACAAACAAAAAAAAGGGCTGAGCAACCAGAGATAACCTGAGGGAAATCTACATCAACAGAGAATCTTAAAAAAAAAAAAAAAAAAAGGAGGTATGGGGGTTTGGAATTACTGTTTTTGGTGAAATCAGTTAGAATACCACTATGGAATAATTGCTTGAGAAAGAACAAATTTCTTTAAAGAACAAATAATGGGACAGGGGCTTATTCTCACAAGATACTAGAATCATAGTCTTTGTGAATCTCTTGGACTCTCCTGGGACTTTGTTCTAGTTCTGGAGTCATAGGGGATGTTTCCAAATAGGCAGTCATGGGAGAGTAAGATAAACCTGTTTTATTTTTTAAACCACCTTTAAAATTAAGCCATTTAGTGGATTATCCTTGATAGAGGTAAAGAACAATTGGAAAACAATGAAAAAAGCCAGGAAAAAAATGGTTAGGGAAAGAGGTGGTCATATGAAAAGAAAAAAAAAAAAAAAAGGAGAAGGAACATAATATAAGAGGAAACAAACCTAAGTGTTTTTTTTTTTTTCTGAAGACTTTATGAGGTGCCTGGTACTGTAATAGCTCTTTTATAGTCTTTAACTCTTTTTATCATTTCAAAAAGTATTCCCATTTTACAGATAAAAATGAGGCACAGATCTAGGTATTACATAGCACACATAGCTGCTTGTATCCGTAATCAAGGTTGATCTCTGTGACTGTAACTACCATACTTTTCTACGACAGGTTTCATAGATTTGGATTTAGAAGACCTGGATTCAGTCTTACAGTCTTGCCCTGTCACATATCAGCTATGATGCTACTTTTTTTTTTTTTTTTTTTTGAGATGGAGTCTTGCTCTGTCACCCAGGCTGGAGTGCAGTGGCATGATCTTGGCTCACTGCCTCAGCCTCCGAGTAGCTCCGAGTAGCTCTGAGTAGCTGGAATTACAGGAATGCGTCACCATCCCTGGCTAATGTTTGTATTTTTAGTGGAGACGGGGTTTCACCGTGTTGGCCAGGGTGTTCTTCAACTCCTGAACTCAAGTGATCCATCTGTCTTGGCCTCCCAAAACGCTGGGATTACAGATGTGAGCCACCACGCCTGGCCTGATGTTAAATTAATGCAACTATTTGTTTATTTATTAAGTGCTTACTATGTGCCAGTGGCGCTTCTAGATGCCTAGGAATCAGCAATGGATCAAACAGAGAACAATTCCTACTTTTATACAGCACATATTCTAGTGGGGGTGGGGGCTTGTGGGGGGACCTCAGATGAGTGAATACACTTCTCTCAATTTGTCTCATTACCTCTAAAATGAGACATTTATAATGTGTCATTCACAAGATCTGTTTCCATGACTGAACTTCACAGCTATAAACTGTGATACGCTTTACAAATACTATTCTCTGATCATCTAGAACATGCCTGGCATGCAGTGGTGCTCAGTAACTGCTGCATGAGAGGACAGCAAAGAGGAGAGCAAGGGAGGCAGGGGAGGGGCACAGACAGTAGGTGGGAGTGATGCCTGTAGGTGTCCTTCAGGGCTTCTGGTTACAGATGACCCAGTCATATTTCAAGGCAGAAGCAGAGTAGAATATTGGCAGGGATGGATCGTTTCAGTTCAATCCCAGGGAATGTATTACTTGAAAAAATAAAATTACAGTCTACGCAGCTTACAAAGCAAATAGTTTATATTTGGAGTTGGAATGGCAGGATTGATGTAGGGATCAGTAAAGCAACATCTAGGAAGGAATCTCATGGATAGGACTGAGACATTGACACTCATGGAGCCATGTGTTAATAGTACAATGGATGTTAGAGTTCGTTCCAATTCCCCTGGACTTCTGCCCTCCCCACCTTTTAAGAAAAAAAAATGTAATTCTGGCATGGTTGTCCATAAAATACCAATGAGGCTTAAGATGGCATCAAATCTCAGGCCTAGACTTGGCATCTCCCACTCTGTCCATGACAGGACATTACCTCTACTTTCCTTCAGATATTTCTGGCTCATTCAGGTCCCAAGAGTGGTGGGGCTGGTGTTTAATGGGTGTCTGTCATCTTGCAAACATGCGTGAGTCTATGCTTATTCCCCTCTATGTAGTGAGACTCGTGTAGGGATAACAGTCATTTGAACTGATTGAAGTATTCAGATGTGCCAGATTTCCTAAAGTCAGAGATGAGATCTCAGAGAGCCACACATACAGACACACACATACCCACAACTTAAGGCAAGGTATGTCCACACAACAGAAATGAGAGACACTGCAGTGTTAGAATTTGTTTTGGAATCCCAGGTACCAAACAGAAATGGAATTAAACTTTGTGCAGGGATTAAAACTTTATTTTCACGTAGTAGCACTTACACTAGGTACTTTTTACTCCTTCTGAGCCACGCTGCTTACTTAAAGGGTGCTGTGAATAGTGGTTGCTCTACAGTCTCCTGACTAACTGTGTCTTTCCTGCCAGTTTACTTAGTGGTAAACATCACAACGTCTCCATGTCCATTTACAGAGCATATGAAACAAAGGAACAGAGGAGGAGTTTGTGTGATAGTGATCTTTTTGTGATTCCAAATGCCATGTTCTTACTCTACTTCATCTTTCCGTCATGTCTTTATTTGGACCAGGCAGTAGCATTTCTGTCAAACCAGCTGGCTTCAGGGCAGGTAAAAACGTTCTGACATTCTCTGAAGGGGCTTGACTTATAAAGGCAGTACTTGCAGCTGTTTCTGTTTGAAGAACTTTTGAACAATTTGAAAATCATCAACTATTTAAAATGTAGCAAAAACCACTTCATCCAAACTACAGTAACAATTTGGTGACAGCAACATACTCTGTCATGACTCTGCTCCCAAGTCTACTAGAAGTAAATGGAAGGCTCTATCTTCTGACTTGAGAAAGACTGCTATTTATAGAGCATTTATTTATGTCTGAAGCACATTTAAATATAAATTGCAATACTTAATGCCTAGTTTTATGACATGTCATTTACAATCCATTAATATGTTATTGCATGAATTGTATAAGAAACAGATTTATAGACCTCAATTATGGTATTAATAAGGGATGATGGAATCTCACTGAAGATGTATTTCCCTTCAGTTTTTACAGAACTTTATTGTTACAGCATGATGTGAACTAGATTCTTAATGTTTTATTGTAAGAGGACTGGAAACAAGTGTTCTGATAGGCAGAAGGCATAAGAAAAGCATTCATATTCTCTCACTAAAGATTATTGCTTTAAAATCAATGAGGAAAAAATAGGCATATATTGGGTTTTGACAATAGAATATTTTAAATCAAGTTGGAAACTAAGTTTGATTTGATCTCATGATGTATAGTAGTAATCTATTTCTAAAGTGTTTTTTTTTTTAGATAAGAGCCCCAACTATTCACTGAAAGTGGCAGTTCACTTATTTGGGGTCACAGGCTTAAGTGTATTTTGATTATATAAATTTAGAAGAAATTTCAAGGTAACGTCTTCAACTTTTATTTACAAAGGGTATGAGGACGGGTCAATGAGTATGAAATGGGCTGTATACTTGGATTACCAAGCACAGTGCTTTCCAATGTCACAACAATTAGTTAGAGAATTAATAATTAGAAATAAAATGATGCAAAAGACAGAGGACCCAGCGATAAGAGGGTTGAGGTTTCAGAAATAATTCAGGGCTCAATAAAGTGGCACCTGACATAGAACGTATAAACTGTGCACCTAGGGGCTTAGGGCCCAGGGAGTGGAGCACAAAGTTGGCAAACATCCAGGAGGCAGGGAAACTACTGTCAACTTGCTCTGGGTAGGTGAAAGAGAAGGGACTCAGGTGACTGACATTGGAAATAGAAATGTGGAAACACCTTAAGCTTTCTGAGTAAAAAAAGAATGCTCTTCCAGTAACAAACATGAACAATGTTAAACATAATGCTATTTTTAGCAGTAAGGTTACTTAATCTAGATTTTCTGCTAATGCAGTGTCAAGAAACTTAGCTGGCAGAATGGGAGACAATAACTTGTCTGGGATATGATCTAGTTGGCATCCATGTGTCCCAGGTGGAAATTACAAGTAGGTTTCAAAGCTTCAAGGACTCATTGAGCATTAGGAGCGATCTGGTGCCGACTTTTTCCCTGGAAGCATCCAGGGAAACAGAACAGCTCTACAATCACTGTTTCTGCACAGACAGTAGCACGTAGAGGTCATAAAGCCATCTGGCTCTCTTGCCTATGTAAGAGCTATGCGTGGGAGAACTCAAAGGACTGATTTCACTGCTGACATATGAGAATTTCAGTCCATTTAAAATAATTGGCTATAATTTCTATATTGTGATTTGCAACTAGTGGTTAAGGAATCGTCTCCTTTCCCTATATTTGCAAATGGTGTGCATTAATTACAGTCTTATTTCTTTGCTTAAGAGAATCAGACTGGCTTATAGCAACAGAGTCATTTATATTTTCTTCATACCATTTATTAACACAAGGAGTGTCTCTATTGCTATTTTCAGTTATCACTTCCTTTTGCTAAGAGCATTATCAGTTTTATCTGTCATTATTTTTGTTTCTATCATATTTCCAAGATGCTGATGACAGTATGTCATTATCAACTAAGAGGTTTGTAGCATTTAACTCTTTATATGCAACGCACAGTATAACTGATCTGTATAGTAAATTAAAATTATGTAGATAATAATGAAATTTACCCTTGTAAGGAACTTTAAAAATCATTTGTTTAAAATGGAAATCCTTATTTTAAATAGAAGATGAAAGCCTGCAGAAACGAAATGACTTGGCGAACATCGTACAGTGAATTAATGGCAGTTCTAGGATTAAAATTCAATAGTATGTGTATTTGGTACATATTATGAAATAAACATTATTCTAAGGCTTTACCTATACTAACTAACATAATTCCCATAATTATTGCATGTAGTAGGGCTACTATTATCCTCATCATAAAGATGAGGTAACCAAAAGTAATCTCAAAATCATCCAGCTGGTGACTAGTAGAGCAAGGAGTAGGAACCAAGGATTCTGTCCCCAGGGTTGTCATATCTTAATCTCAGAGATTCTGATTTCAAGTCCAATGTCCTATATACTTAGAAGCTCATTATTTAGAATATGTTTATGGTCTTGTTTATTTATAAAAACACAGGAAAATGTTTTTGTAACAACCTGAAGGGGATAGAGACTAAGTAGTATCCAATTTTATAGATGAGCAAATTAGAGACAGAAATAACACGTCTAGTTTAGCTTATGAACTGGTGGCAAAACAGAGCAAAACTCTTTTATTTACTTATTGCTTAAGTGTTCAGAGCAAATGACTAGTTGGCTTTAATCCTAATGTCAACCCCACCGAATTTCTGGCATCTATTCTCTTTCTTCCTCAGTTTCCTCAAACCAGGGCTCACCTTCCTGCACAGAGATAGTGTTTCTGCAGTTAAGTCACCCAGCTCCCTCTACACTGCCCACAATAACATAGGGTTTAGCATTAAATCAGTCAGGGTCATTCATCTGCTCATCAGGATCCTAATTTGCAGTCTGAGCAACTTTGCTGTTCATGGGACTTAGAGTCAAGCTAGTGTTTCTACTGCACTCTCACAGATTCCAAGATCTACACCTTATCATCCTGTGTTGGGCATGGAATATTCACATTTCTAAACTCAAGCAGTCATCTACGCCATAGTCCACAGAGAGGATCGGTCAGGGTCCCTGGTTCTGATGGCCTCTTTCTAATCTGCATAGAATCTTACATGCAAGGCAAGCCCTATGTTGTTCTCCTCTATTCTAACATTCAAAGATAAGAAGAGCATGAGATCATGTATGCTACATAAAGACTGTAGCACTGTAAGGATGAGCCAGCAATGTAATCATAATTGTTATTTTAGTTACTTTTAGGGACTGAAAATGACTTTAGAGGACCAGAGCTGGCTCTAGAGTAACCTTCTATCTTTTGCCTTAAATTACAGTGGTACCTCAAGCACTTTCCATTGTCTTTGGGACAATTTTGTTTTCAAATTGAAAATAAAATAAAGCTACTTTATATTAAGGTAAAGATGCCCTTTAAAGTATATTAATATTTTAACAAAATATATTTTAATATAAATAAATGACTTTTTGGAGGGTAACAATATCAGCAGTTTGTATTTGAGTGTGGGAGACATTTTGTGGAGGGTAAGATGTTTTCAGATCCCCTAATGCTACATTTAATCAGAAATAACCACTTACTAATAAATAATTCCATTCTTGAAGAATAGCCTCTGCATTGTTTGCCTTTTTCCTCTTTCTGTTCCTTTTTATAAAGACAAAAGATATTACCTGAAAAAAAGGACCTTTACATTGCGTATTTACTCTCTGCCCTAGTTATCCTATCTAGAAGAAGTGTGATCTACAAATCCAAGGCTGAGTGAGCCAATATTAAGCTCCACTGGTTTTTTCAACCTCATGACTAGAGGACATAAAAGCGAAAGAGATGCCAACATTTTCACAAAAGTGACAGCACAACAGAGAACTATCACGTGTGGCAGAGGAAACAGATGAGCAAACCATGAAAAACCCATAATTCATCTATGGTCCAAATGGGAGCAGAAGATACCCAGGTGGAAGTAGGGAAGTATGAGAATGTAGGAGCAGTGTTAGACACAAATGGCATTGGAAATTATTTGAAAGCCTGCAAATGGCCACATGACAGTAGTCATGTGTCCATTTGTGTGGATTTCCAAGCACTACAAATCATGATATCTCTATGTTCTATCCAACATCTTGTTAGAAATACGACACTACTATTAGCTGCTTCTGGTAACCAGGTCTCCATTACTATATATATATAGTATATATATTCTAGAGAAGAACATAATTATATTATATAAAAATTTTCCTTCCTACTGCACTCTGTTAAGCCTTTGTTGAATGCCTGTCTTAGTAACACTGAGTGTTTAGGTTGGAGAAAATCCTGGGACCATGTGCCATATGTCACAGTGACCTCCCTCCCAATATCATGAGTTGATGTTGCAACATTCTAGAGAAGAACATAATTTTGTTTCTCTCTCTCTCTCTCTATATATATATGTGTATATATAAACTATTTATATATTTAAATATTTATATATTAATATATATTTAAATATATATGTCTATATAAATATAAATATATATTTATATATAAATATAAATATATAAACAGTCATGGTGGTCAAGCCAGGGCTTTTAGGGTATCTATTACCCAAATGATGTACCTTGTACCCATTAAGTAATTTCTCATGTTACTAGCTTGAGTAAATTTTTATACTCTCAAAAACTCATATTTCTACCTGAGTAAAATGGGGTTACTAACAGGAGTACTTATCCCAAAGAGTAATATGTGATGTAATGTCATAATACATGTAAAATAGCACATTTTCTGGCACATAATTTGTGTTTCATAAATGTTATTTACTTTGCTATGACTACATTGATTAATGGAGATACCAAAAAGTGAAATAATTTCCCTCCAGTTATTTCTAGTTAACAGTGGAATTGAGACTAAAATCTAATCTTTATGCCTCACCAACTCCTCTTTCTGCTCCTCCTGGGAGTTGTGTTTTGAGAATAAAATATTTCCTTCCTACTGCAGTGGCAGCTCACCCTCCTGTTTCAACTCAGAAGTCCTTCTCCATTACCACCCCTGTCAAGTGAGGAGCTGCTGTTTCTCCTACTAATGAGCAGAGCAGGTCAGTGGTATTGATAGTATCTACTTCCTCAGGGAATCAGTGGGTCATCCATCACCATTAGTGCTTCCCCGGGGGCCTCCAAGATGTTATGAGGTGTTGTTACAGGTAAAAGAGATTCAGTGCTGCTAGACAAGCAGGGAGCCTGACAGAGCATGTGAAGGTCCAATGGGAGCAGAACTGGGAAGTGGGTTTTTACTGCTGCTCATAGGCAGGCTTCTGCTAATGGAAAAAGGACCCTAAACAATAGTAGGATTAGTCCTTCACACTTGTTTGGTTATAGCTGCCTTCCTTCTTAAACACCCTTCAAACAGCTGATTTTTGATTGGTCAAATCATATATATATATATATGCGCAGAAATCCTATCAAATCAATGAACCAAGGTACCCAGAGAAAATCACTCTGTTAAGCCTTTGCTGAATACCTATCTTAGTAACACTGAGTGTTTGGGTTGGAGCAAATCCTGGGGCCATGTGCCATATGTCACAATGATCTCCCTCGCAATATCATGATTTGATGTTGCAACATTCAAGAGAAGAACATAATTTTGTCAATAAATATGTATTGAATTTCTGATCAAGATAGAACATCATCATTTTAATTGGAGAATAATCATTATCCGTTTAGATTGGGAGTTTAAAATTCAACATAAAAAATTAGGTCTTGGGCTGGTATATTATTAGGATTTTTCCTAATTATTTTAAGGAGGTAAAGACTTAAAGCCTGAACTCAAAGGTTTGTTTTGAGTCAAAGTTAACTCTTTTGGGGGGAGTTAGCTCCTAAAATATTCATGATGAAATATGAGTATAGTAAGTACTTAAGCAAGAAAAATATAGTTTCATGGTTGAAAAGCTCTTTGCAGTAGTTAAATATGCATTTGCATCAAACCCAAGTAAACTCATACTATAGTAATTATGAAGCATTGGAATGGTACTCAGAATATGTTCAGACTCAGGTAAGCTTCAGAAGAGTGATCTCTCTCCCAGAAGTGATTATGTAATGATAATTTTCTAAAAATAATTTGAAGTTGAATTAACCTAAACCTTAATTTTCTGTATATTTAGAGGAAAGATACACACCCCGAATTATAATGGCAGAGGGGCTGTGTGCAGTAAATCTTATGAGTTTACTCTTCACTTCATTGACTGAGGGAGATATCTTGAATGGGAATATTGGAATGCATTTGTAAAATTAAAGCCTGTGACCCCACTGGTCTATTCTTACCTTTTGTCTTTCCCAACTGAATCTCCTCTTTCTTAAACCTAACAGACCTTAGGTCGTCCACTATTGTATTTCTTTGGACCATTAGGTTTAGCAAACCTGATTTTAAAAATTGTTTTATGTTTCATACTGACTTTTCAAACATGCAGGCTAAAAGTAAAAATTCTGTCAGCAGTGCAAACATATCCAAATATCTAGGGATTTTATACTGGGAAGGCAGGATAGCTAAGAGCTGACAGCATTTTATAGTTTCCATGGGTTTAAAAATATTACCCTGTAGTGTTTCCCCAGTCCTTGAAAATCATCGAAACGAATTAAAGATTTTTTTTACTTCATTTTATTTAAGAATTTTTTGGCCATATCTATTTTACCATGAAAATTATGAAACTGATCAGGTGAATAGTGTGAGTCTGACACTAATTTAATTACACCAGAATTGTTGCCAGCCAAAATCATGGACATTAATATTATGAGATGCACCAGGCAATTCATCAGAAAAGAAATTTGGGAAACTGTCTGGGTCTTTGTAACTGCTAGAATCCAGGGAGATCCAAGACTGGGGTCACAGAAGGTGAATAGAGATGATTTGTTAGTACAGATATAAACAGAATGTTCCCCCTGCACCCCGCCCCTGTAGGGCCATGAGAATCAGGGTCCTGCTTCCAAGTTGAAGAGCCCTTTAATCACTTCAGGCAGGTGATTATCTCCTTAAAAGTTCCCATGGAAAAAGATATCCCAATTTCCCTTTATAGACTGAATGTTGCTATAAAGGAATGTCAATGCTGGGAATTAAGATTTTTGCAAACTGAAAGTGTGGATTTCTCTTCTTTGATCATCTGGTTTGCTTTAATTCTACTAAATGTCAGGCACTGTTTTGAATACTTGGGATAAAGTGGAACAAAGGGGATAAGATACTTGCATATAAACTTCTATTCTAATGGAATAAAAGAGATAGTAAATACCATAAACAACATAATTCTAAATGCTATGAAGTAAAATGGTGGATTGATGGGGACAGAGATGCTTTAGAGAATTTGATTAGGTATGGCTCTGTTTGGGGGCTGATACATACCTGAATGGAGAGAAGATTAAATGGACAAAATGATATGGTGTATTGGAAAGAATTCCAGACATGTGATATTGGATTAGCTTCTGTGGATGCCGTTTTCTGGTTCTATTAGCCAGCATATGTTTTTGGTAATAGATTATCTGCTAATCAAATTTCATGTCTGCCCAAGGTGAGTGCTTCTGAACTGAATTGCCTGACATTTCTGGAGGGATATGGGAATCCTGGTGAACTCTCTGTAGTAAAGATCTCAGAGAACAGCTTGATAGAGGAAGCAGGCCTGGCTTCTCATCCATGATCAATGTTCTACCTACAGCAAATAATACTTTCACAATCAGGCAGTCTAATGCTCGAAGGCCATATGAAGTTACCGGTATAGACTAAGCAACTTGGATTTCCAAGGATGTGCTTATTTAACCCAACTAGGCTGTGGTTGACAATCTGATGATAGGCTACCTCCCTTTGGACCTATATAGTGTTCGACTGTTATACTCCTTTTTTCTAAACCACCCACAGTCAGAAAGGGACAGATGGCAATCTCATTTCTTTGCTGAAGCTGGTAACATGGTAAAGATGATAGACATTCACTAGAGGTATAATACAGGCTTGGGTCCTGGCACACAGGGCATCGGAGCCCTAAGATCAGGCTTCTCCATCTAGAGCGAGTGAGAAACTGGTCACCAGGTTGATTTGGCGTGTGGGATAAAGCGCCTTCAAGGAGTATATTTCTGTACCACAGGTACATTCCACTAACTGAGGCTCACTAATTCCACCTGACAGTCTCGTTCTTATTATGGCCTTTTAAAGATGCTTTTTCTATGTTCCATGGGAATTAAGTCTGAAAGATAAAAATAATGATTTGAAGAAAAACAAAAGAAGGAGGGGCTCAACTGATGCTAAATGCTGCCTCTTCTTCATTGAGAGGGTAAATGCTTAAGAGAAATCCTGTAATTAAGAAATCTATTTTAGTTTGTTTTACCAGCCAGCCCTAAGCTTAGTTGCCTATGTAAACGTTTTTTCCCTCTCACAGAACACCTATTAGTATCTTGTTGAAAACAAACAGTTTAGAATTTGTTTCAGAGAGAACATTTAAAGGGAAGCATAGTGGAAACCTGACAGTGATGAGAATAGACTTTTGTTTAGAAGAAGGCAGAGCAAACGTACTGATATTGAAATGGTTTTATCAATGCTTTAATAAGATATTTTCTTACATAGGAGTAGAACTGAGATTAGGAAAGAAACTCTCTTCTATGCAAACCTCTGGTAAGGCCATTTCAGAACGTTTGCTCAGAGTCTCAGAATGACCATGTAATCTTATTAGAATAAAGTGTGCAATTAGAAGCTTATAATTACTAAATCTTTCTCAAGTTTCTTAATTTTAGTGCCAGAATTTGATGACAGGATGGGGTCTCAAAGGAACAGAAACTGCTTTTAGCTTGCTGCTGCTGTATTGGAAAATCAATTCATCCTTAATGGCTTGCAAGTGATTTTGACTTCTAGAATGCTTCAAATTTAGACTTCTAATTTGGAAACTTTATACTAATTTGGAAATCTTTCTACTAGGTGGCAACACAGGAAACTGCTCTCCTTTAATTGCAAGGCTAACCGATTCCTATTCTTTTTGGTTTGACTTCCCACGTGAAAATGTGCAATTGGGGAGTAGATAGTCAGACTATGATTCAGACTTCTGCAGCCTCCAGCCTCTGCTCTTTTATCTTGTCTTTGTCATTGCTGTCTTGATGTACTTTAAAGCGTGGCTCTGAAATTGGTCCCTGTCATTTGCTGTTATCTGTGTGTTCTGAACAGTTACTCTGATAGTCGCCTAGATGCCATTGATCAAAGCCTGTCTGGCCTTCAATATGATTACATTAAGATTGATATTCATCTTAATGAAGAGTAGATCTTAGGGCCACGGGTAGAACTATTTCTTTTTCAGTCTCTTCGTCTCAAGATATGACTTATGAATTTTTTTGCCATTGGGTAAAAGCAGTTAGTGGCTGAAGAGATTGGTAAAACTAGGGTGACAGCAGAAAGTCTAGGAGGTTAAAATGAATTGCTCCCCATTCACTCAGATTTCAAAACTTGAAGTAGCAGTGTAAAAATATTTAGATCTTCTTAAGCCCCATTTTATCTTTAGCTCAAGTTTCTGCATTTAGCACCTAGGATTAGAGAAGAATAAAACAATATGCAATTACCACATGCAAGTCTTTATGAAGATCTGGTAATACTCTGGAAGGCAGATATGAAAAAGCAAATGGCAGTAATTTTTCCACACTGTTATTTTGATATTTGATATTTACTAATGTAAAATTTCTCACTTCATATTGATGATCTGTCATTATCCAGTTGTAAAGATTTTTGTAAACAGGAAACTGATTTATGTCAGCCCTTCTGCTATCATCTCTTTCTCTTGTTTATTGCTGTCATTCAAAATTACCTTCAGATTGAAAAGGGTCTATTCTGTTTTCTTGCTTTTATTTTCCTGGTCACTTGAAATCTCTACTTTCATACTCTCTGGTTTAAGGATAACAGATTCTTTGATTTTTGTTAAATGACTCTGAGGCTCAAACTTGGAATTTTTCATAGAAGAGTGGCCCTCCCTTCTGAGTTAAAGATTGTGGATCCTGAATGCCTCAGGGGGCTCCTTATGACAGCTCCAAACTTTTTTCATATCTTATGAAAATCAGAAAGATATCCAAGGATAGCTGGGCCCAAAGGAATGAGAAATTAGATTGAGTCATTAGTTCACCATCCAGCCAATAAGTTCTCTTCTCTGAGTTCCTTTAACATCTCTCTTCTTACTGTTTCTAAAGCACTGGTGCCCAGTGAAGGTCCATGGGTTATTTCTGAAAGGTCATAAAGAACTCTCTGGAGACCTGAAAGCATTGAGGGCTCATACAGCACCATATTGTCTTTGCTAAGAATTTCTAAACACTTGAGAACTATTGCGTTATTTTATTAGTATCTTCTGTTAAGTGTTTTTTTTTTTCTTAACTAAAATGTGCTTTCGTTTGTTGCTCCAGAGTGGCTGAGGGACAATTTAAGAAACATTTTTGTGACTCTCACTCTTTCCTTTACTGTAAAGATTCTGTTCAGGATGTGGGCCGTTACACTGCACAATTACCTGCACAGGGAATCCGAGGAGATATTTTTGTCTGACTTCATCTTCCACAATTATGGTGGGTCTTGTGAGCAACTGGACAGTTTCCATCTTATAGATAATGGGAATTGTGTAACTGACATGGCATTTCCATTTTATAGTTGTCTATGGAAAAGCCCAGGGTCAAACTTATGGCTTTTCATAGCATTTGTGTTGGTTTTGCAACATGCATTTTTAAAATTAAACTTATTTCAAACTAATTTTTACACATTTATTCCTGTTTTGTGTTCTTTTAAAATTTCCATTATGTTATCTTGTCTCATTCATGTAAGGAGTCTTAAATTCTTTCTGGAACAATATGAGAGTAAACTACTCTACATTCCTGTTCTCCTCTAGTTCAGCATTCATTGTAGTGGAGATTCATTATATTCAGCTATTTTTTTTCCTTTCATCTTCCACCAGTTAGCTGGGTCCCTTAGTACCCAGTCTTTAATCTTTCCCTGCATTGCTCATCATTTTTGAAGCTATACCATTATTAGTATTATTATCATCACTCTAGTTTTCAAGGTCTAATACTAGCAAGAACATAGGATATATTTCCACTAAAAACTGTTCCTGTTCAAAAGAACATGGATAAATATAACTCTTAAGTAAACAAGTGGAATTGCTTTATAACTTTTACAGAGTGAAAAACCATCATGAATACCATGCCTTTTCAGGGATACAAGGACAAATAACATAAAACAGACTGTGTTTTGCAAGTATAAATGGCAATGCTCCTCTTACTGATTATTAGATGTCAGCAAAACCAGTTGACTTTATTAAGCCCATCTGAATGCATACTTTAAAGTGCTGGAGTTAGGTTTATAAAATTGCACTCTGAGTACTAATATGCCAAGCAATTTATTACAGTGTGTCATGATGTACATCTTTACCTGAAGTTTAAACAAAAAAAACAAACAAACCTCTCAGCTTCACACTGGGATTGATTTTTATGCCAAGAATGTTATTCCCAGGTTCTTTAGCTGACAATGGCCAAACAGGCAACAAGACGATAGGGGTGATGTTGGGGGTGCATTTAGACATTGGAGTCAGGGTAGCCCTGACCATTAAGTAAACCTGTGGGTGAAATGAGTTTTCTGTATCCTTTTCTCTTTATGACAGTTGTTAGAGTTATCTTGTTCTTTCTTTTTTTTTTTATTCTTGTTCTTTCAAAGCAGATGTGTCATTCAAAGAGTGAGTGAGCCGCAGAAAATGCAGTAGCAATGAACTCCAAGATGTAATGAGAATTTGATAAATAGAAATAGCTGATTTTGTTATTACATTAGGTGCCTAGTTTTCCAAGCTAGAAGTCTTCAATTATTCTTTATTTTTCCACCTCATTCTCAACCTACAATCACTGTTAAACACTATCCATTTTGCCTCTTTACATCTCTTAGCTTCTCTGACCTAACAGTCTCTCCCTTCAGGAAATATATTCAAATTGTAGCTCTGTGCTTTGCTTCCATTCCCCACTGTAATCCAGGTGCCTCTCTGGCCAAGCAACTGCTGGGGCTAACAGTAATTGAGTCTTGGCCTCAGGAAATCCAGCCAGGGATAGCTGGAACTGTTTTTTCCTTCATGGGGCAAAGTCAGACAGCTCCAAGAATAGGATCTGAATGTAACAGATCTTAGACCCTTGACAGAAAGTTAATATCGGCTTCATGTGAACTTGTCTGGCTTTTATAGTCCTCAAGAAATCTAGGGGATAGAAGAAAATAGGGGAAATGCTCCTTGATCTTGGTAATGCATTTTTGGATAGGACACCAAAAGCAGAGGCAACCTAAGCAAAAATAAACAAGAAAGACACAGCAAAGGAAACAATCAACAAAATGAAAAGGCACCTTATGGATTGGGTAAAAATACTTGCAATCCATATATCTGAGGAGGTTAATATCCAAAATATATAAGAAACACACATAACTCAATAGCAAAACAAACAAAACTAATTTTAAAACGGATGAAAAACTGAATGGACATTTTTCCAAAGAAGGCATACAAATTGCCAAAAGATGTGAGGAAGATACTCAGCATCACTAATGATCAGGGAAATGCAAATAAAAACACAGTGAGATATCACCTCACACCTGCTAGAATGGCTACTATCAAAAAGACAAGAGACAACAAGTGAGGGTGTGAAGAAAAGAAAATCCTTGTACACTGTGGGTAGGAATGTAAATTGATGCAGCTATTATGAAAAACAGTATAAATATTCCTCAAAAAAATTACAAATAGAACTATCACATGACCCAGCAATTTCTCTTCTACGTGGGTACCCAAAGGAAATGGAATCAGCACCTCATAGAGATATCTCAACCTTCATGTTCATTGCATCACTATTCACAATAGCCAAGATATGGAAACAACCTAGAGGTCCATTCATCAACAGATGAATGGTCAAGGAAATTGTGAGACACACACACACACACACACACACACACACACACACATTATAATAGAATATTGGTCAGCCTTAACAAAGAAGGAGATTCTACCATTTGCAACAACATGGACAAACCTGGAGGACACTATGTTAAGTGAAACAAGCCAGACACAGAAAAAAAATATGACATGATATTTCTTATAGGTAGAATCTAAAACAAATAGACTACATAGAAAAATAAAATAGAATTGTGGTTACCAGAAATGGGGGTAGGGGCAGGTGGGTGAGTAAATGGGGAGATGTAGGTCAAAGGTACAAAATTGCAGTTATGTAGGATGAATAAGTCTGGCACTCAAATGTGTGGTACGAGGACTATAATTAACAAAATTGTATTACATATTGGTAATTGGCTAAGAAAATAGATTTTATGGGCTCTTAGTATTGAAAAAAGGTACTATATGAGACATGGATATGTTAATTGGCTTGACTGTAATAATCATTTCACGATGCCCTCATGATGAATAGATACTTGAGTTGCACATTAAGAGAATGCAGTAAGTTCTGGGCAAATTGATGAGAAAATATACATACCCGGGCATTAGGTTGGTAAAATTCTGAATTCTGGGAATACAGAGAAACTTCTTAAGCTTACATACAGTAAATATCTATGGTGATGTAAACATTTTTATTTTTCTGCACAGTTAGGTCCTTTTGAAACAAATTTTATCAAAACTTAGGACCTGGGCTGAAAGACCAGCCTGGAAGTTAATTTTTGACTTACTAGATAGAAGTTTAGAGATATTTACTTCTGCTGAAGTAAATGGTATATATTTACATTTCAAGGGAGATCAGATCCGGAACACGGGAGAAATCCATAGGTTGTAAAGCTGTTGAGTCTAGTTTTACCTTTCCCTTGGAGAGATTTACTTATATTCCAGAGGGGTAGAGTAAGAACTCAGGGTCCTTCCCATTGCTTTCCCAAGGAAACAGTTTCCAAAGGGAAGGATAGACAGCTGCCCCTTTCTCTTAGGTAAATGTAAAAACTTTCAACATTCTTCACCTATAATACAGACACTGTATATGTAAAAGTGGCATTAATTCTCATTGCATTCCTCCGAAAGGGATACATTGGGGCACAGGGGAACTGGCACATTATTTGATGAGTAAATAATCTGCTGAGGTCTAGAAACCTCCTGTCTGCATTCAGGAAACTATCAGCAGCAATAGGCATTAAAATTTAATAGTATCAACAACGAAAAATACAGTTGACCCTTGAACAATGCAGGGACTAGGGGAGCAGTTCCCCCACACAGTCAAAAATCCATTTATAATTTTTAACTCCCCCAAATCTTAACTACTGATAGCCTACTGTTAACCAGAAGCCTTACTCATAACCATCAACATAACCAGTCGATAAACACATATTTTGTATATGTATTTATGTAACTGTATTTTTACAATAAAGTAATCTAGAGAAAATGTTAGTAAGAAAATCATAAGGAAGAGAAAACATATTTACTACTCAGTAAGTGAAAGTGGATCATCATAGAAATCTTCATCCTCATCTTGTTCATGTTGAGTAGGCTGAAGAGCAGGAGGAACAGGACAAGTTGTTCTTGCTGTCTCAAGAGTGGCATCGGCAGAAGAAGTGGAAGAGGTGGAAAGGAGGTAGCAGAGACAGGCACACTTGGTATAACTTTTATTGAAAAAAAATCTGCATATATGTGGACCCGCGCAATCGAAATCTGTGTTGTTCAAGGGTCAACTTAATTCAACTGGCTTCGGATTTTTTATCAGAAACACTGGAAGCCAGAAGATGATAGAATAACTTTTTTTTTTTTAATCTCAAGAACCTATTATCCAGGAATGTATGATTCACTTTTAAGAGTGTAGAAAACTATTTAAAATATATATGATTTGAGAAAACATATAATTAATTTGCCCTATCAGAGGAAAATATTCAAAGAGAGCTTAATTTTTATAAAAATGCACAAATTAAAACAGCAACTTCAAGATAGAGGAAGAGTAAGTGTGCAGAAAGTAAGTGATAACAACAATATTTTCAATAAACATGCACATATAATAAATAATATCTAACTTGATAAAGCTGTACAATTTGTGATATAAATGTTAAGTAAGGATTCTTGACATAGAAAAGAATTCTTGACATAGAAAAGACACACTGCAAGGGCAATTCTATAACTATATTAAAAGTGTAAGTGACTTCAGAAAAATCCAGGAGTTGAACAAAAGGGGAAATGAAGGATGTAAAAGTGTTAAAAATTCCTCAGGCACAGATGGGGTAAGAGGTTCAGAGATGGAGAGAATGTAGGTATTCTAAAAGTCTCATCTTAAAGTGGTAGGTTAAGCTGAGAAATCTAGAGCTTCTTAGTAGAGGACATGGCCAGTGTCCTGTTTTCAGAGAACAGTTAACAACAACAAAAAAAGGTATATGGTGCATGGAGCAAGGTAAGAAACCATAAATAAGATGTAACACTATGCTAGAATTACAACCTGACAGAGAAAAAAGCTGGAGTGAATAGTTCCTTGAATGAATAACACCCTGATCAAACAAAAAGCAAAAACGAAGAACAAAAAAGTAAAACGATATGTTAACATATGATAAAAATAATCAAATATACAAGTAATTATACTAAAACTTAATGTGCTAAATTCTGATATTAAAAAGCATTTTGGAAAGTTAAATTAAAAAATAAGATAAATATGTAGCAACTGAATCAAAAAAAGTTGATCAAATCAAAAATAAAAAGATAAAACAAGTAAGCAAGATGCAGTTTTAATGTAAAAATGCAAAGAATGGAATATACTACATCTGCCATTACACTAAATGTGAACGTTCTAAATTATTTTATTAAAAGAACATTCTGTCAGATTGGCTTGAAAGGTAAAACTGGAATAGAAATTAATTGGAGTGAATAGCAACTTAATTAAGTCAAATTAAAAAGATAAAAAGATTGAAGTAGATAATAAACATAAAGATATATAGAAAATAGTCAAACATGTCATAAGTACACTAAATCAGATGAACTGAATTTTTTCATTAAAATATATACTCTGACTTTTTAAGAAAAACAGTTATATGCTATTTACAAAAAGTTAAAGCAAAATTATACAAAAAGTAAAAGTAAAGAATAAACAAAGATAAAGATAAATGGATAGAGAAGATGTGGTGTATATATACACAATGGAATACTATTCAGCTATGAAAAAGAAGGACATTCTGTCAATTGAGACAACATGGATGAACCCATAGGACATTATGTTAAATGAAATAATCCAGGCGTGGAAAGAAAAACATTGCATGATCTTATTTATTTGTGGAATCTAAAAGAGTTGAGCTCCTAGAAGCAGAAAAGTAAAATGGCGGTTACCAGGGGCTATAGATAAAAAGTGGAGTTGAAGAGATCTTATTTAAAAGACACAAAGTTTTATTAGATAGAAGAAATAAGTTCAAAAGCTCTATTGACTATAGCTGATAACAATGTATTGTGTTCTGGGAAATTGTAATGAGAGTAGATTTTAAGTGTTTTCATCACAAAAAGTGATAAGTTTGTGAGTTAATACATGCATTAGTTAGCTTAATTAAGCCATTGTACAATGTGTATATATTTCAAAACATGTCGTATATGATAAATAAATATAATTTTTGTCAATTAAAAAATTAATTTTAAAAAGAAAAAAGAATAGATAAAAGAGACTGCAAAGAAGGGGCAACATAACTATAACATAAGGCTGAAACTTCAAAACATGTTAAAGAGAGACACTTTATAATGAGAAAAGGTGCAAATTATGAAAAAGGTAAACTCATGGTAAATCTGCATGGATTAAGCAACATAAAAGCTAAATCCAAAAAAAAAAAAAAAAACCATTAAACGTATAAGGAGAGCTTGTTAAAGATATTGCTATAATAAAACACTTCAATATATCACTTTCAGAATTGGGAAGATTCTGTAGAAATAGAAGTGTAAAGCCTATGGGACGTGAAAACCTCAGTCAATAAACTAACTTTAATAGGTATATGTATAGAATCATATTGCCTCTTAACAGAAAAAGAGCTCAACAAATTTTAAAAAGTAGGAATTTTGTAGACCATATTCTTGTTCATAGTCCAATAAAATTGAAAATAAGTAATGTAAAGGCGAACATAAAAAGCATAACTACTTGGAAATTAAGGAGAGCATTTCAATATGACCTTCGGATCAAGGAGAAAGTTAAAACTTAACTTACAAACTGCTTAGAAAGTAGTAAGTCAAATACTTCATGGTAAAACCTATAAGCACCAAAACGACTATTCTCTGATGAATACTTGTCATCTTAAGTGTCTAATTTTTAAAGAAGAAAGAAATAACAAAGGAACTTAGTTCTAATCTAATGAAATTACATAAAATGGTTAACAAAAGGAAACAAGACAATAAAAAAGAATGACATTTTTAAAGATAAAATATCAAGGTAAAAAATATAAAATAATCTTTTCAAATAGTTGAAAAGATGAATTCTACTGCTTTTTTAATTTGTATTTTTTAGAAAAGCAATAAAAAACAAAACCTTTTGGAGCTTGTCCAAGAAAAAGAGAAGGGAGTAAAAATATACATATGAAGATAGAAATAAGAAATGAGATATAATCATTGTTATTGAGAAAGATTAAAAGAATAGAAAGAAAATGTTATTACAACTCTGACAACAAATTTAAAAATCTAAAAGAAATGTTTCTAGAAAAATTGGTTATCAGGTCTAGGGAAAAATAGGCTGTTAACCTATACCATACGCAAAATCAGTTAGCCTGTGCACACATCTCAAATTTAAAATATTTAGAAAAAAATATTGTTATCACTTAAGGAGTGGGAAAAGATGTCTTAAACGATGAAAAAACAGCAAACTTTAAAGAAAAAGATTGACCTATTACAAATTTTTTTTTAGGAAAAAAATTGACCTATTACAAAATTTAAAATTTTGCTTAATTTAAAGACATTGTGGGCTGGGTGGGATGGCTCATACCTGTAATCCCAGCGCTTTGGGAGGCTGAGGTGGGTGGATCACTTGAGGTCAGGAGTTTGAGACTAGCATGGCCAAATTTTGAAACCCCATCTCTACTGAAAAAAAATGCAAAAAATATTAGTGGCATTACATGTCTGTAATCCGAGGTACTTGGGAGGCTGAGGCAGGAGAATCACTTGAATGAAGGAGAATCGCTTGAACCCAGGAGGCGGAGATTGCAGTGAGCCGAGATGGCGCCAGTGCACTCCAGCCTGGGTGACATCTCAAAATAAATAAATAAATAAATAAATAAATAAATAAATAAAGACATTGTGACAAAGCACCCAAATACAAACCACAGATTTATGTTAACTTTTACAAAATTAACATCCTCAATAAAAAACTCCTAAAAATCAGTATGAAAACACAATCACACAATGACAAAACAAATCCCATTTCTTTGATATACTTTCTGGCTTCCTGGATGATATTGGATAATATCTCTAAGTATCATTGCCTCTAGCTAAAAATGAGAATGGCAATAAATCTCAGTGGCTTAACAAACACAGGTTTTTATCTTGTTCATACTATGTACTCTTCTCTGATTAGTAGCAGGAGGCTCTGCATATCCCAGTCACTAAGGATCCAGGATGACAGAATATCTATTTTAGCAGGTGCTTCCATTGTGGCTAAGAATGAGCACGGGGCAGGGGCAGGGTGTGAGGGAAGGGTTGGGCTAGGGAGGGGATTGGTGGTCTCACACTGTCATGTATTATGTTCCAACTCGAACTCGAAAGTGACACATTCCCCTTTCTGCATTGACCAGGGCTAGTTACACACAAATGGATGGGAAGTGTAGTACTTTCTGGGGCTTAAACAAGAGGGCAGTTGGCAGTTGGGTATGGGTGCCCATGAGAAGTTTCTACCAAAGCTTTCATGAAGATTAAATAAGAAGAAGTGCTGAATAGTTTCTTTACTGTGCTTCGTTCTGCAGTTTTTCATTATTGTCCTGCCTGTACAGTGACATCGTACCTATATTCTTTCATGAAATTAATCTCATGTTTTGTTAGAAGTATTACTCTAAAAGATAGCTTTGCTTATGTCATTCCCTTGCACTAAATACTGTTGAATCCCAATGCCTAACTAAGAAAGTTCTCACTACTTGGTATGACATTCTAGACGTTTCACAGTCTAGTACATAGGTACAGATAGGGAATATCTGCTATTCATAGCTGCCTCAACTTTCTTGGCAGCCAATCCACATACTAACAATTTATACTGTGGATTCTGTCTCCATAAATATAATTCCAAACAGCCTACCTTTCCCTGTTTCCCATCCAGCCAGTTTGAAGGCATATAGACCTGGGTTTCTGATTCTGATCAGATATACTGAGAAGAGGCAATAGTTTGGAAATGATTTATGGGGATTTTTCCCCATTTCCATGGGAAGAATCAGAAACAATGTTGTTCCAACATTGGCAGTTTGCTTTTAGGAGATGTTCCTGAAAGTTTTTCCTAGAGACAAACCTATTTTACAAACACCCTATAGGCCAGTGAGTTAATATTCCATAACAAATCCATTTTAACCCAGACTAGGTAGAATGGATTCTGTGAATGGCAACTAAGAATCCTGATGAATGAGCTGCATTTTCAGCATTATCTCCTGATGATCTTCCTCCTGAGTCTTGTATTTATAGGTAGTGGTTATTGGTCTAATTCAAGAGAAAGTCATATTTTAAAAAAAGCACATTTATGTTTTCCCCTTTGGAAGATTGAAAGAAATCATAAGATTAAGAATTTTATTCCTTGCAATTTAGAGTTCAGCAGGTTCATCAGATCCTAGTTGTAAGATCATTTGTGAAATAATTTTTTGAATAAACATCACTGGAACAAACATTACTGAGCATGGAGTAATGTAGTAATTGGAAAAATTTCATTCTTTTTTTAACTTTTATTTTTGGTTTTGGGGTATATGTGTAGGTTTTTTATACAGGTAAACTTGCGTCACAGGGGTTTGTTGTACACATTATTCCATCACCCAGCTACTAAGCCTAGTACCCAGTAGTTATTTTTTCTGCTCCTTTTCCTTCTTCCACTCTCCACCCTCAAGGAGAGCCCAGTGTCTGTTGTTCCCTTCATTGTGTTCATGAGCTCTCATCATTTAGCTCCCTCTTATAAGTGGGAATATGCGGTATTTGGTTTTCTGTTCCTGCTTAAGTTTGCCAAGGATAATGGCCTCTAGCTCCATCCATGTTCCCACAAAAGATTTCATTCTAACAGAAGTTCTGAATGCTGAGGAACACAGATTGGCCTGGGTTTGGGGGCCATGATCTTGGTTACACCTCCAGGGGTGTTAGAGTATACAGGAAGATCACATGATTGAGCTCAGGCAAAGCATGAAAGCACAGGTCACCTGAGGCAGAAAATCTGTGTGCTGTGCAATGTTGTCTATCCCTTCTACTGCACCAAATTATGAGCCAAGTCCCTACTCACTCATGAGTATGATTCAGTTCTTGTGGCAAATATCCATATAACTGAGGTCCATGTGCAAATTAGTATGGTCACTGAACAGAGACTACATGCACTGGGATGGACCAGAAACTGAGGGACCATTGTGAAGAAAGAGCAGAGTGTCCTGAAAAAGCAAGGAAGGTCTTGGATTCACATAGGCTGTGGAATTTGTTTCAAGTTTACCTAAGTTTTTGAGGGCTGGAATCCTCTAGATACATTTGAGTTGTGGCCTTGCCTTCAAAGAAATCTTAGTCAAGTGCAGAGACAGATGGTAAGTAATTCACAACAAAATGTAGATGCTATAGGGGAGAGAAGGCCAAAGTGCTCAGGAAGTAGAAAGGAAGAAGTGGGAGGGCCAGGGAAGGTCTCACTGGGGTAGTGACACTTGAGCTGGGTTTGGGATATAGTATTTAAAGAGAAATTAAATCATATACTTCTACTTGCGTAAGTTTAATTTTCCCTTATAATATTTTGAAAAGTGGATGATACAAAAGTATGTAATAATTTTTACAAACAATTGAAAGATATTTTGAGCAGGTAAGAATCCGTCATTTTCTTTATGGAATTTATAATCTAATGTGGAAGCCGAGGAATTATATAAATGAGTATAACTGTGTAAAAATAAAGACAGAACTTTTAAGTACCTTGGAAGAGAAAAAATGAGAGTTTAGAAATGGAATTGCTATTTTTATTTTATGAAGAATACTGTTTCTAATTTCTGGGCTCTCTTACAGCATCTTTGAGTGCTGAGCTCTGTCTGACTTCTTGACTTTTCCTCTGGGGATAGGACATTACCCCTCTGGCTTTCTTATCTGTGAGAAGATCTGAAGCTAGAGGAAGGGGAATGGAAAGGGAATGATTAATGCTTTTGTTGTTGTTTCTGGTTAGACCAGTTTAAATTTGCCTTTTGGAACTGTGTGATTTAGTCTCTGACGATTTCTAAATTTTTGTATCTTCCTATGAAAAGAAATTCTTTCATCTATGTGTGCCTCAAGAATCATCTTTTCCACTCTCAATTTTAGAATTTAGATTTAAAATATACTAAAATATAGTTTAACACATAAACCCAAGGTCTTCATCATATACCATAGGTTCCAGATCAGTACTTTTCCAACTTTAACAGGCATTTGGATTGCTTGATAAAGCACAGATTCAATTTTGTTAGGTCAGGAATGGGACTTCAGCCTGTATTTCTTAAGCTCCTTGGTGAAGTGAATGTTGCTGGTCTGTGAACTACACTTAGAGTAGCAAGACATTAGATGACTTTCTGTATGGGTAAAAAAGGCCAGACCAAGATTTTAGAACGTGCCCTGAGATTTTAGGGCAGAATCTTTGTTCCTCTATTTTTTCTCTACTCATCTTTATAAACTGTGAAGTTATACAATTAAACAAAAATTCCCTTTAGATAAAATCTAAAGGCAGAGAGAGAGTTATTCATTTCAGGAGCTCTATCTGTATACCTATTTTTAGTTGTCCTGGTGTTCTAGGGGTCTTTGTTGAAGCAAACAAAATCCAATCATCTCAGAGATGTTTAAGAGCCCTTTAATTGATATTAGATTACTGCAGTATCCATGGGAGTTGTGATACGTATGTACCACAAATCTCAGAAACAGTCACTTCAAGTAAGACTTACATAAGAAAGAGAAAAATCCCCCTTCCTAACTGCACAAATTCCAACTTCAACACATTATATAAGAGAAGAATATTATATGTTGATGGAGGTGGTGGGAGGACAATTTTATGAGTAAGAAGGAAAATCAGCTTGTCCCTGTGAGACTGCCATCAGGTGGAAAAATTTGTCCTGGAGTATCTTCTTCTACTTACTTCTTGTTAGCACTCACCGCATTTTGCTGCCCATTTTGTAGTCAGGGTCTTCTCCTATGTCCAGCATCAATTGGTTGAAAACATACCCACAATTACGTAGATTCTCCATGCCACTCATTCAGCCAGCCATCTATTTATTGGGTTCCAAATATGTTCCAGGCAACATGATAAGCAACTGTCTGTCACCAAAACAGACTCTTCTCACTAGTGTTTACAGTCTAGTTGGTGAGACAGAGCTTAAAAATCTTAGCATAAACATTTGATCACAATTGCGATCAACTTTTTATTTTCTCTTCTCTTGTATTTATTACAGTAACTGCTTTGGGTGAGTTTCTTAGAAGGGAATTTGGTAAGGGGAAGAGAAGTCTCTTTGTAAGCTAAGACAAATACTAATAATCTAAGCTGTTTCACTGAACATCTTTGAAGATGGGTTGATTTTGTAATAAAGGTTATTGTAGAATCACTGAGCCCTGAGTTTTCCTTCCATGAAACAATGCCTCAGGCAGAACAAGTGAGTCACTGTTGGCATCCTGACCATGATAACCTTGGTGGTGGCTCTCAGGCGCACTTGATCTCTTTAATTTATAGCCCAAGTCCTATCTTCTGTCAACTTGTGCTTTGTACGTCTGACCGATCCCTCCGAAATTCCTCTCCTGAGCCTTCCCCAAAGAGGAGGTGGCACATCCACATGTTATTCTACTCTTAGTTACTATTGACTTCATTTGCATATGGTGTTCTTATGATTAATATTATGGAGGGCCTTGGTCGGGTATGGCACCTTTACAGTTCAGTCTAGGCTGAACTTTGTGCTTCACTGGCTATTTGTCCTTGGACAACTCAAAGTGTCAAAAATGCAAAAGTCTTTTCCTTAGTTTGTCTGTTTTTCTCAGTGTCTACTATAAATTCACCATTTCAGTTAATTTTTTGTATATAATTTAACTTCACAATCCAGAAGTTTCTTAACATCTCCTTATTAATCCTATTCTCCCATATACAAATGTGCTATCATGTGCTATCAGAGGGACATTTAAATGGAGATGTGATAATTAGCATAAGCTGACTGACCAACGCAGTGGTCGGCAGGGAAAGGGGACTGCCCATATTTTCCCAAAGGTGGGAAGGAAAACATTCCATTGAGGAACTCAGAGAACAATAGTTGTGACCGGAGCACAGAGAACCAGGGGCATTTGGGCTGACATGGGCAGAACAGGCAAGTGAGATCATGAGGTCTCATTAAGCACTTTAAAATTTGTCCCCCTTATAAGCAATGTAAAGACATTAAAGGGCTTAAGACATTTAAGAGTGTAAGGGGGGATTATGTGGAGAAATATTTTTGAATATGTACAGTAGTGGGGGATGTTGTGCCATATTGAATTCGCATTTCAAATTAGGGAAAAGCTGAAGTTCTCAGAGACACAGCGAGTGCAGGTTATGATCTGATGGCCATCACTACAATGGTTTTTACATTGTCTAATCATAGAGAAGATTGTACATGGTGCAATCATGCAGAGAACCAATTCTGATTGAAGCCATCATAACTGAGGAGGATTTGCACGAAGATTCAATGGTTCCTTACGTAGCACATCCTTCCCTGAGATAGTTTGGGTGGGGGAAAACAAGAAGTCACTTAAAGTGATGGTGGAGACCAAGGCAAGGAAAAGGAGAAGGGGGCTTCACCTACTTCAGCATACTGGTGACAACTGGACAGTCTTTCCCTTTATGTGGAAAACTACATGAAAGGAAGATCATGGCGAACCAGATGCACTTACTAAGCACCCACCATGAGAAAGCACACACATATATGGCTTGGCAGCAAGGAGCATTTAGTGCACGATAGTTTGATAGATGAAACATAAAAAGAAGCCCATTACTTACTGAACACATGCTGTTTGGTGACTGCAGGGGGAGTATTCATCTTGTTGTTTTATCTCAGGATTCATGCCTTTTGGGCCTTGCTTATGTCCCACAAATTGAGACAAAGTGACTGTCTCTTGATGATGTCCTTCCTTTCTCATTCACGTCACCTTACCAGTCGAGTTGGAAACCACCAATCTCCTTCTGTGAGAGGGTGATATATATTACCTATATATTATATTCATAGATTGGTTTCCTTTCCAAAATCAACCCTGTACTCTTTGTATTTTGTAAAGCAAATAAAGGAGATTCGTTCTAGCCTGACATACTTTATGTGTTTGTATTCTGAGGAATCAATTACTTTGTTACTAATACTTCATTTATTAGATAAGCTGGCATGGGCCATAAGGTCTTCAGAAGAGCTCTCCCTCATTACCAGTGCTCTGACTGGGTCAGTGAGAAAGCGCCCTATAGACATGGCTTATGCCCTTCAGATACCCGAGGGATATATGGTTAGAAAAAGGGTTCTAAATATCAAGGATAATCTTGAATGCTTTTTAACTACTTTCTGATTACAGAATGCTAAGCAGTCAGTAAAATTGCCACATTAAAAAAGAAAAAGAAAAATTGCTATCTTTCTGAAACCACTATTTGAGTGTAGTCTTATTGATTTGTGATTTCAAGGAGGACCTGGCCTGGTTTATTTCCAAGGATGAAAACTATAAACCCTCAGTCAATGTTGCCAGAGGAAGCATCTCAAAGACCAAAGCAAGGACACTTGAGGAATGAATCTACTACCAAGGCACTGTCATTCCCCAAGTGTAATGTAACCATGGCGGTTTGAGAAAGTCAGACAAATGAATCCTGGGAATGAACAAATCAGGGAGACTCACTCATGTGCATGTGCTCACTCACATGCTTGTGCACACATACAGCTTTTGTCCTGTAGATATCTAAGATGGAGCAACAAGGTTGCTTTTCATTCTAGTACCAGTGTGTCATTGTAATCAAGAAAACTGCTTCTGTTACTTAAGCTGAGGAGAAATTGGACAGATGTCTGGTCTAAGAGAAAAAGAGTCAGAGTGTATGATTCCCTTGAAATCTTGCAGTTTTGATGACACTGTAATCTTTGTCTATGACTTACATTTGACGACCCCATGATATCCATCATGTTGCGATGGCTGCAGAGTATTAGAGTGTCCCAGGTTCTTTATAACTGAGTGTACCACCTCTCCTTGCTTATCAGCAGTTGAAAGAATAATTACATCACTTGAGCAGTGAATAAGCAAGCGGTCATGGAAACTTTGAAAGGGCAGTTTCCATTTCTATAAAGATAGATCCCCAAATTGGTGAAGTTACTGTTGTCAGGGACTGGAGATCCATGGCCTTTGAATTTTCGTTTTTAGCTGCTCTCTATGAATATAGATTCTAAGTTATTGACAAATGTGCAGCAATGACAGGAAGAGAAGATCTCAATGAGAGCTTGATAATGCTAAGTCTATACAAGCTGGGTCTCCACTTTCCTCATAAGTATTTTAGTTCTCTTGTAGTTAGCAACTTTTTAGTTGTATGCAATATCCCTCTAATGTATTTGGGATAAATCTCTTTGCTTCTGAAAAATTGATAAAGAGGAAAAATTAGCTGTCGGGGGGTAATGGAATAAATAAAGAAAAAAACCTGGGACACCAAAAGAAAGCAAGCCTGGTTGCATCTAATATGTATAAATTATATCACATAGAAAGACTGCGTGTTACAACTAACTCTCTTTGATTCCTGGAGTTTATCACATCATTTGTGTATGCCATGATTAATACATTTGGAGAATTGGCGGATGTTCATTTGAATAGCAGTGAACCTTGACTATAAACGTATTTTAAACAACTAAAAAATTCATAATGAGATCTAAAAAAATTGCATGAAAGGAAGATTATTACTATCAACTTCATTAATATTGTTTTCTTTTTTAAACCTAAAGATAAAAATAAAGCAATATGAAAATCATACACCATCTCTCAGGATTACCTTTTGTTCCCCCAGAAAATTAATTTGCAACTGATTGAATTAAAATGGAAAGGCCCCTAGAAAATAGGCTTTTGTGGTAAAATAAGAGATGAAAACCTTACAGGGAGAAAATACATATCTACTAATACCTTTTATTCTTGTTTTCCAAAGCACACTGAAAGTTGATAATAAAACAAAAATTTTGCATATATTTTAAAATAAAATCACTCAACTCTTCAGTTTGTATCTTAGCTACGGATGAATACTATTATATTTTGGTAGACAATATATACAATCAGTGTATATATGTGTGTATATGAGTGCGTGTGTGTGTGTGTATAATCAATAAATGTTATTTCAGTAAATTTTCTTGAGCATCTCTCTAGAAATTTTTCTGGGGTATATTCTGTTGTAATATAGAATAGGTGAGTATATTTTGCATAATAATTGTCATCCACTTCAGTTTGTCATCTAGAAGAGAAGATAAATGTAGTCTCAGATAATAGGAATGAGTGGATGAAAGGGGCTGAATATGAGAGAAGAATTGATCATGTTATAGTGACCAGCTTCAAATTTCCGAACTGAAATAATATTATGAGTGAACTGTTTTAAATCCCACCCAGTGATGTTGAAAATAGTAATTTTTTGCAGTAGTATTTTTTTTTAGTAGTAATTTTTTGTAGAGATGAGATCTCGCCATCTTGCCCAGGCTGATCTTGAACTTTTGGGCTCAAGTGATCCTCCCACCTCTACCCCCCAAAGTGCTGGATTTACAGTCGTGAGCCACTGTGCCTGGCCCAGAGAATTTCTTTGTGGTCAAGACAGAAAGGCAAGGAAAGATTCTTCCCTTGGGAAGAAAAAAGAACATGTGAAAGGAAGGCAGGAGACTGTCAGAGAGAGAGAGAGAGAGAGAGAGAGAGAGAGAGAGAGATTCTGTTTTCTGAGGCTTGCATCTGAGGCCTGAAGCACTGTAATATTAAAAGAAGGGCTATGAAGTTATGAGCCAGGAACCATGGACAAATCTGTACACACACAGGCGCGCGCACGCACACACACACACACACACACACGCACACACACACATATACATATATATGTATGTATGTATATACATACATATATGACGGTACTGGTCCTAAAGTTTTTGAAGCAGGGAAGTATTTCTTCCAATGCAGTGGATGTGTGGAGAAGGAAAAAGCCCACATTTACCCAAATATTGATTCTAAATTTTTAAAAATCTGTTTCTGTAACTGATGTTATAATTAACTTCTAAATTAGGGCCAAAGATGAGAAAAGCAAGACAACATTAATACTGAACAGTTGGTTGATGTTACATCTTTCAAAGAACCAATAGAATGTTGACTTATTAGCGGGGCTTAGGGAGATGCATCATTCTACAAAGTACTAATAACACCTGGTTTTTCCAAGTACTAATTGCTGAGACTAAGAATTCTCACTGATGGGTGAGGTGATAAAAATATTTTGATGTTAGTGAAGTTTGGAATTTAGCCATGACTTGGGCATGCCAACCAGCTTTCCTAAATGTGGAATCTCAGTTAAGACTTGAAGATGTTTCAACGACTTGTGAAATTAAGGTTTGGACAACTGTCTATCAAATTTTGAACAGTTCTCTAGGTGAATTTTGGTTGTGTGAATCAAGACCGAACTCCGATTTGAATTGCATAGTGTAAGTTTCATATTGTTATGACCAAGGTTCTTGACCAATGATAATTAGGTTTGTACACTTTGCAGATGCGTTTTGCTATTGTTGTGGTTTTTTTAACCATGAATTGATGATCAGGGTTGACCAGGTACATATTTTGCAGCAAGCTCAGTATGCCTCATGATCTCTCAGCAGAGCTGGCAAGCTCAAAATTTTACAGCTTCTCCACTAGCAATAAATGTGGACAAAGTATAATTCCACAGAGCCACAGAAGGTTGCTTTTTACATGAGGAACATTGATTGCTTACTGTGATGGATGCCTTCACAATTTCAGTTCTCTTCTTTCCATGATACTGTTTCTTGATCATGTCATGTTCAAACAGGAAATAATTTCAAACCCTCCATGGAGTCAAATATATATCTGAAGATGGTTTTTCTTCCTTAAAATCCCTGAATCAAAATTTGACTCTAGGTAAAATTTATAATGAAGTTAAAGTTTTAACTCAGGAGTGGGCAAACCATGGTCTCTGGACCAAATCTAGCCTTTGTATAGCCTGCAGACCAAGAATGAGTTCACATTTTCAATAGTTGAAAAAAATCAAAAGAATAATAATATTTTGTGACATGCAAATGTTTTTTGAAATTCAAATTTTAGTGTCCATAAATAAAGTTTTATTGGAACACAGACATAGTCATTTACATGTTGTCTATGGCTGCTTTCACATTGCAGTGGCAGAGCTGAGTAGATCTGACAGAGACCATATGGCTTGCAAAGCTTAAAATGTGTACTATCTGTTTCTTTACACCAGAAGTATGCTCACCTTATTCTAATTTAATCACTTCTTACTATGATAAGAGAAAAATAGTAAGTTTTTTTAAGGTGAAGTAGAATCAAATGAGAACATGTAAAGTCTACTGTGATTATAATACTATATATAAGAACTTGGCTAGTTTAGCAAAACTGTAATAACTATAGGTAGATAAAAATAAATATGCATTATCTACCATGAAGATAATTACCATTACCTAATGAAGCAATCAATTCATTGATTATTCCTAGCATTTTTCTCTTTGATTATTTCCTAGCATTTCTTAGGGGGCATAGATTGCTCCCTCACTGTACAAGAAACATTTGATGAATGACACCTGGTTGGCTGAGAAAATGAACGCACCTCTGAAGAGAGCTTGCAAGAGAAACTGAAAATAAGAGATAATTTCCTTAGTAAAGAAAGGAAGCAGAAAACTTATTTTCTCCCTTATCTATTCACCAGCCCGGACTTCACCTTGATAATGTGCTTGTAATTAATCTCTTTCTACAGACTATCGTGGGTTTAATTCATTCTCCATGACTCTTCTTTATATCAGAATCATTACATTTGTTTATAATTTATAGACTCTAATTTTTGCTTCCTAGATAAATGGTATGGTTCTTCCTGACCTTTATATGTTCCATAAATGCTTTTCGAATCACTCAATCACAGTATCTACAAGGGGTAAAGTAACTACTTAACAGTGGCAGCAGGATGTTCTCTGAATGAAAATTCCATCTCTCCCCAGCAGTGTGGTAGAATGAAAACAGCATCATTCTCTTCTTTGGGACAATTGAATTCTAGCTCTATCTCTTTCACTGATGTGCTGTGTGTCCTGGGCATATCATTTTACTTTTTCAGGTTTAAATTTCTTTGTCTATAAAATGAAGAGATAAACCTAAATCAGTGTTTTCATGTATTTTAAAATAATATAACCACTTTTATATGAATTTTCATGAACTATATATATATATATATACATAGTTATTATGTTAGTATAAATTTATATTGTAAGCCTAAATTTATAACATTTACTTTCACTGTCAAAAATTAAAAATAAAATTACAAATGAATACAGTAGTGGTCCCTGAAGTGCTCAGATGTGATTCAAGTACACAGTTGAGTGTATATTTTCATGTACAGCTTTAAAAATAATTAAAGTATGTTTCAATATATTTAACAGACATTGTTGGGATCAAGTCTTTGCAGAAGCCCAAAGCATCTCTGTTGACTTTCTAAAGCCTTCTGTAGACGTCATCTAGACATTCCCTTTGAAAGACAACATGTTTTCAGACACTTCTGCAAGGAGTGATTTCAGAAGATTAGAGTATTATTGCTTTCAGGGTTCCCTCTTTAAGTGCAATAATGTACTAGAAAAGGGTCTTGAATGTCACTTCATCCACTCTCCTGACTTTTCTAATTCTCTCTCTTTTGATGATATTGCTACATGTTTAGCATTATGCTGGGGGCTGGGGATAAAATGGTGAGCAAGGCGCACTCTGGTTTGAAGGGCCTAATGGACTTCCTCTTCCAAAACTGTTACTTCTCTTGTGTTTTTGATTTCACTTAATTCCACTACCTAGTCACACTAGCTGGAAAACTGGAGATCATTTTATACTCCTTTCTCTTCTTTACCCCTATGCAGAACCAAATCCTATTTTCTAATTAATTTTCTTCATTTTTACTATAACTGCTCAATTTTATTTTATTTATTTATTTATTTTTTGAGACAGAGTTTTGCTCTTGTTGTCCAGGCTGGAGTGCAGTGGCACGATCTCGGCTCACTGCAACCTCCACCTCCTGGGTTCAAGCAATTCTCCTGCCTCAGCCTCCTGAGTAGCTGGGATTACAGGTGCCTGCCACCATGCCTGTTTAATTTTTTGTATTTTTAGTAGAGACGGGGTTTCATCATGTTGGCCAGGCTGGTCTTGAACTCCTGATCTCAGGTGATCCACCGGCCTCATCCTCCCAAAGTTCTGGGATTACAGGCATGAGCCACTGTGCCTGGCCCCATAACTGCTCTATTTCAGAGCTTCATTAGTGTTTATTTCGAACTATGGAAAAAGTCTGTGATTCATCTTGTTTCCTTCTGTTTTGTTCTCTTCCACATTGTTGGCAGAATGATCAATATAAAATCTAAATAGCTAAACCCTTCAAAGGGTGCCTAATATACATAAAATAAAGTCTATATTTTTTTACCATGATTTAACAGAGCTACTCCAAGACACCATCCTAGTTCTGGAATCTCTGTGACTTGGTGGAGTCTGTGTGTTAACTGTATCACAGACAAACCTTCGCTTAACACTGCTTTCCTCATCCCTTGTAGATACTGCTTCCAATGAGCACTCTCTCAAAAACCTCCATAATACCTCTCCTTCTCCAGGTGAGTCTGTTTTCTGAAAACTCTGATCTGTGACAATAATCTACTGGGGGAGAAAGAGAGGTACTCCACTATACAACATTAACTCCCAGTAAAAATAAGATATGGCTTTCAATTAATCACAAATTATACAAGTATATTATTTTACAGTCTCATTTTAAAAAAGAAATATTATAGAGAAGGTTAAAGGCCCTTTGACTGATACCCTGACTTCTTTTTCAATCATGGATGCGCACACATCCATGTTTAGTTTTAGAGATTAGCTATTATTGTCTTGTGTTTTTTCTTATTAATATAAAGGAAATTTTTTAATATGAAATGTTTGGCAATTTTCTTTTACTCAATTTTAGGTGTTTGAACTCCATCTATATCCATATCTACATATCTGCCACATTCTTTTTGGCTGCTATGTGAAAATACCAGAAAGAATTATATTTTAAATGAACGATAGGCAATTTATATGTACATAGACTTTCTTATGCTAGCAAGTATTTATTGCTTGTGAGACAGTGTTCTAGGTACTGAATACACAGCGGTAAACATGAAAGATGAAGATTTTATTTCATTCTTGCAAATTATGTGTATCGACTTATCTGTGAGCAGTATTTAACAGAATTTCCCAAGGCACCTGGTTTAAATGTGATTTTACAAAATCAGCATGTCCCCATTCAGCTCCTTGTAAACTTTCAAAAGATCAATATTGAGAAACAAAAATCAGAACTACTTTTGACAAAACTAAAAATCAAGTGAAACTCTAGACACCAAAATATATGAAATGGATTTGAAAAGCGATGGAGATAGAAGAGATCAGCCGAAATGCAGGACAAAGCAGAGAAACATAGTGCAGTAGCTTTCAGAAAGAGCCAATAGGATCACAGTTTTACACTGAGTGGTGCACCTGGATATCCATAGCTTAAATCCCATGAACGCTACAGAGAGAGCAAATGGCGCACCAGCCGGTTGCAGAAGCTTTCTTTTATACAGCTTGGTTCCAAGAAGGGTAGCTCCCAGATGATGATGAAGATCTCTCCACAATGAGGCTACCCTTGGTTATAAAGGAGAGTCTTCTAGAGAGATAACTGACCATTCATTCACATCCTGAGGGCTGTTATCCCTGTAGTGGTGTTCATTCAATTAGAAAATGTGTTCACGATTTGCTCCTGATTTTAGCTGAAGTGATCAGTGTCACCATTTTGGTCCTGGAGGGCACTCATGTTAATCTCAATAAAGTGGTCAGAGTAAGAAGAGATGAAAAGAATTATTAGAAGCTTCCTCCTTGTGAGCCCAGGAGGAGTCTGTGCAATTGCTAATACATCCCTGAATTAATGCTTCCTGCCAGGTGGCAAGGTCAACACAGAAAATTGAGGAGAAAGCCATCTGGCATTTTAAGGTTGGTTTATGGGATTTATTGAGCTGTTTGTTTCTAGGACCTTAGGGGGCAAGATATTTCAGGTTAGCCTCACCCTGTGGTTTGGAGTCCTGTGATGCCAGCCTCAATTAATTGCTGTAAGAGACACTTCTAAATGATTTGGTCCCAGACACTTTTGGTCAGATTAGACTGGTTGATAGAGGATACTCATGGAAAAATTCTCCAGAAGCCACAATGGTGTAGAGATGAGTGGTAGATATTGATGGTGAATAATCCTCCATGGAGCTCTCGTGTTTCTATATGTCTTGCAAGCAGAGGACTGACTGTCCTTTTTTCTAAACTGCTGTTTTAAGAGTTTTTGTACAATGTATGACCTGAGAAGAAAAAGACAGTGTCTCCCTCTGGAGCAAAAGGTGGCATGCTTGCTATACAATGTAACAAGATGATGTCTCCTTCCAGAGCAAAGGGTACTGAAGCTTATGGCTCATTATAAAATATTACATTTTTCTATGCTCAGGGATCCTGTCTTATAAAGCAAACTACTATTTGTGCAAGTGTCATCTGGCCCTCTTTGAATAGCCTTGTGAGAATGGGATCTCAGTTTTCTAGTGCAAAAATGCTGATACTGGCCACTATTACTGTTGTGTGCATTAAATAGTCCTTTGTTTCTAACACTGGAGTCTCATGTTTTCTACTAGCATCCATGAAACATGGCAGGCTAATGTTTTGCTTGCGAATAGGGTGAAATCTCAGACCATTCAGGGTCCCTTACAACAGTCTGGCTCTATGGTGACAAAGCAAGGAAGTATCTGCATCGCAGAAGACTCTTATGGAATACATTTATAATCACAAATTTATGTATTAGAAAAAATATGTTGATTAAATTGGTTAGTGGAGGAGACAGTGGAGGGCAGAGGTAAAAGAAAGAAATTTTATTGCTCACATAAAGATATGAATGAATATGATCTAGAGAAATGGAAGATTAAGAGTATTATTTCAAGTAACAAAAGGTGATCATTAGAGCAAAAACACAAACCTTCTCATACATGAAAAGAAATAAATGCAAAAACAAGCAAACAGACCAAAAAGTAAAAGTAGTTTTTAGATTTGTAAAAGATGTCAACTATACCTCAATAAAGCTGGAAAAAATAAAACTATAAAGGATGAAAAATGTAAGATTATATAGGTGCACAATCACTATCCGAAGTCCTTTGGCTCCATTATATTTTGGGCTTTAGAACTGTTCATATTTCGGAAGCACAAAATGGTGTAGACAACATATACTTTAAACACCTGTGGTGAGGTCTGGAGCAGCACTTTATAATATTTTTGTAGCCAAACATTTTGTTTTTAAAGAAAGTAGGCTAAACAAATATTATAATTAGCCTCATAACATTTCAGGTTAGGTTTTGCCATCAAATTAGTTAAATAAATACTATCAATTTTTAAAGACTTTTGGATTTCAGAGTTGTGGATAAGAAAATTTGGACCTCTGTAACACATTAAGACCAGTTTTATCTGTCATATAAAAAATACAAATGGACTATTAAAATAAAGTGACATTCATATTAGATCACAAAACAAAGCCCAAGTCTATGCCTTACAACAAGAAATAAAATAACTTTAAGAAGTAATTAAAGAAATTCATGTAAAAAGATCTGTGTTTCCTACATGTTCTGCAATTTGGACTTAGATTCTCTAACTCAAGAGTTTTTTAGTGAATAAATTGTTTTGTTTTTAAGTTATGTCTTTTTGTCTTTTAGTTTGCTTTTCCTAAGGCATTTGAAAATAAAATATATTTCTCCAGTACCGAATTTGATATAAAACTATGTCATATATGCCTATCATATATATCAATTACAGATTATTTCAGTTATATATATTAGATATTCTTTTCAGTAATGATATTTGGCTCTTTTAGAATCTTATTTTCTTAATTGACTTGATTGTTAATGTACTGAGATGGATGAATTCCGGTATTCCACTAATAGTGTTTTGGATTTCTTATTTCCTTAGTAAAATGGTGCATATTTATACCAGTTATGTATACATTGTGAACTGTACACTTTGTTTATTATACAGTGTAATTTTCATTTAACTTAAGGATTTTTGACCTAAATCAACCTTAGCTAACATTAACATAATAATATTTGCTTAATTTTTTGGTAAGCCTTTGCCCATCTTTTGAAGTTAATTTGATCTTTCCACCTCTGTTGCAGAGTGGCTCACTCTAGTTTCACTTCATCTTTTTTGTTGGGCTGTCCTAAGAGTGTCAAGAAGAAACAGCATCCAGAAACATGTTTTTTTCTACCATTTCTCCTGAAGCAAAAGCCTTCATCAGCCTCTGGTCATTTCACTAAGGAACAACAGGCAACAGTTGCATCAAATGTTTAAAGAGAATCACCAACTCTGTCCAGCTGCAATGCTGGACTCCTCAAATAGCCCATAGCCCTGCCTTCTTCACCCCTCTCATTTTGTTATCTTTTTTTTTTTTTACTTGCAAAACCCTAAATCCAGGTAACAAATCCTATACATATTAGAGTTATCTGGGGCTCCATGAAACAAAATCCCAACTAAACATATTATTCCTTACCTAAACAAGAGGAGTCTATTTTGCATATTTTTCTTCCAAGCATGTTTATTCTCCAAATATATACTTTTTGTTCCTGTAACAAAAGTCTGCATGGAGACAGCCCAGGTTTGGGACTCTAGCTTCACAATGCCATCCGTTTCCTGGGCTTTCTGCTTTCCTCTCTGCCATCATTGGCAGAGCCGTCCGTCCTCACGCTGCCACCTCAGTGTCACAATGGCTGTTCCATTTTCAGCAACAGACATTCTTTCTTTGTGAGATTATAGAAACTTTGGTTATCTCTCCCACCCACTCTATGTTAAAAACAAGAAAAGCCAATAAAAAACTAACATTTTCTGATGTGCCATGTACTATGACAGGGACTTCGCATAAATTATAATATTTTATACTTAACAAAAGAAAGGCATTGTGAAAGAAATTTCTTTGCCTGAGAAAGAAAAAGAAAAGAAAAGCATTGCTGGTCTTGTTTCCTATTTGGTGAAGTATACACATTTTATTATTTCCTGAAAAACAGTTCTTGTCTTTTTCCATTTTTTTTTTATTAGAATAGCTAATAGTTAATATAGTTTATGAGACCATTTGGGTTTATTTGTTCTATTTTTTTATTACCTAATTTATAAATTATGCTTTTATTTTTGTTCTTTATGCTTTTTTCTGTTTTACTTTGTTGCTCTCTATCTAACATTTTAAGTTGAATATTTATGTCATTTACTATCATTTTTCTTGTCTTTTACTATAAATATTTAAGACTGTAAATTTTCTCTGAGCAACGCTTGGGATAATTGAAGAAGTTCTGACAGGGAAGGTAGTATTTGCATTATCTACAATGGGTAGTACTGTAGTTATGTTAGAAAAAAAAAGAAAACCTTTCTCAAAAAATTCAAACAGGCTTTTGATCATATCATGAAGGTCAAGCAGTATTAAATAGCCAACCCTACTTGTAAGGAGCATCTAAGAAGACAAGGCTTTTAGCAAGAAACATGGCTAAATACAGGTGTAAGGAAATATGGCCAGGTCCTGAAGGCAAAAGTAAAAATGGATATTGAGTTGGAAGTTGGTGGTGTCTGCCACATTCCATCCCCGCCAAAGGGCTGGGACATATAAGAAGCACATGTCAACATTCATGGAACTGAATGGAAGTCCTGAAGGATGATTCCTAAGGCCATGCTTGCATTGAGGAGGAGTAATCAGAGGATAGCTTCAGGCCATTGATGACCCAGTGACAAGATAAGTTTATGAAGAAACACATTCTATAGCTTCACTTGTCTTCACGAGTTAGAAAATGAGGAACTTGCAGAGTGGGCAAACCAGGTTGGGGTGTGGAATACCCAGTAGCCTGAACAAGGAGTAACTCCAAAAAGCAAGGAGCAGAAGTGACAGCTCAGTCAAAGAAAAGAATCTGTGTTAAAGTACAAACATCTTCATGGCTCCTGCCTTCCCTCTAATAGCAGTGGGCTCTCCTCAGAATCAGAATTGGTGCAGTCACATTTCCTGAAAGATAGTGTAGAAGGGATGCTTTGCTTAGCATCTCCCCAAATCCTCACCGCTTATTTTTCCCAGCTCTTTTTGGTTATAGTTTAGCTGAGGACACTGCTTGCTGCAGCCTGCTCTCCATTCTATGCTGGAATCTACCATCTTCCTGCAGTGGCTCCAGTTAAACCCTGCTCCTGTGTCTCAGCATGTTTATACTATGCTGCTATGGTGGTCATATAAGCAATGTCAGTCTATTTGGACCGTCCCTTGGTAACAATGAAAGCACAGTATAAACAACTGAGTTGGTTAAAAATGGACTGGGTTGAGAATCCTAGTGCCAGGACCCTTATAGTTGTACAGGCTTGAGCTGATAAGGACTTCTCATCCTACTACATCTCCTCCTACTGTCTTACTAGAGAGTTACTTAGGAATGTAATGCATTGCGATTTAAGAGATAATTTCCTAAATCTTCCAGATAAGATACTGCCTATATACTTTGCCTATAATTTCATCTAGATCTGGCTTTTTAAAATTTGTTTTTTTGTGTGTGTATGTGTGTGTGTTTTTTTTAAGAATAAACAGTACATTGTCATTTTTGCATTTGATCCTTCCTCCTGGATCCTTCCTCAATCCAATCATATTAAAATACTTCTTATTCTCCAAGTGCACCATTTTCTTTAACCAAATGACCTTTGCTGATATACTTTCGTATGCTTTTGATATCTTCAGCTAGCTTAATAGTCTTTAGCTAGCTAATGTATATTAGCTATTCATACCAGTTATGAATTCAGGTGAATTATGCCCTTTGTTTATTATGCAGTGTCATTTTAGTCTAACTGAAATATTTTGGCATAAAAAATCTTAATTATGTTAAGATCTTTATGCCTGTCTCACTTTTTGGTAATCTAAAGAAAGACAGATACCAGAGCCTGGTTTCTTTAGTATGAAACAATTTGTTATGTTTAGAGTCAAATTTTAAAAATCATGTCTTTGACAATTTTCAGGAGTTTAATATGTGTCTACACTGTTTGCCTTAGTTTGCAGTTGTGTCACTGTGAATAATTGACTTTGCTGATTAACATCAATGTCAAATTTTTTTTGTAAAGGTATTGTCATATCTTCACTTGTTACCTTTTAAGGCTTTATTACAAGTGTCCTTGAAAAAACACATTTTAAGTGTCAAACTGTCATTTTTAAATTTTAATAATTATAACAATTCATATTCTTATTCTGCACGTATGCAAGTTATATAAAACATTTACCAAATTTACCAGAAATGTTTGTCCATTAAAACTATTATTAAGTTTGTGAATTCCAATGTTTTTTAGAAAGTGAAGTAATTACGTCTATCCTTAGTGAGGTATATTCAAGGAATAATAAACCCTAAGGCTGGTTTTGATGTCCTAGTCCTAAGAAGTAGTCTTCCCTATGGAAGAATGAGAGAAAGGGAGAAGAGAAAAGAAAGGGAAAATGGTAAGAACCTTGAGGCACTGGTCGATACTTTATCCTTGTGTTCCTAATACTTAATACAGTAGCTGACATATACACAGTAACCAAAATGTTTTTTGAATTAATGAATTTAGTTCTGGCTCAGAACCTTTATTTATTCTGCTTATTTAATTCTCACCAAAATCATTTATTTTATTTACATTTCTGGTTTGGGTAAGAACTTAAGGTGAAATGGTGGATGGTTTGAATAACAAAATATCATAACCAAACTTTTCTTACCCTTTTTGTTTCTTTTGGAGACATTTCACTGCTTAGAAACATAAACTTGAATGAGCAAAATTATAAACTTTTTTGAAAGGTCAAAGAAACCTAGATTTTAGAGACTATGGTATCTCTGCATTTGTTTGATTGATTGATTTGATTGATAGACAAATTGATTGATAATAGTAAAGAAAGAAAAAAAGCTATATTTTTAAAGACTTGTGTTTCCCAGTGAATTTTTCTCTTTATCATCCTTTAGATCTGGGAAGGTATTAAGTTGACTCCAGAAAAATTGGCTGTATTAAAGATTAAGGTGAATTTTTGTGACTTAAGATTTACATATATAAGTAAATATATATTTGTAAATTATAGTTGTCTTTATATTGATATATATTTATATATATATTTGATTCAAAACATAGTCATTGTCTCATCAACTTCAGAGACTATGCAGATTGTTGGGAGCTCAGGCTCAATGGCATTGAGTTTTGCTATCACATAGTGAGGTCATGGTAAATGGCCAAAAAAGCTACACCAGGGAAATTCTATGGTAATAAAGTGGTCTCAATGTCCTTTCTCCCAAAATATAAGTGAGTTCCAAAAACTTTCTGCAAAGGCTATTTTCTTCCTTAAAAACTAAAAATGAAAAATTTTACCCTTGCAGAGGCTCTTCAACTTCCAGTCAGAGCCATATAACTATTTGAATCTCGTTATTATAAGTAGAAAATAAATGGTATGTATTAGCTAGCTGAAGACTTATTAAGCCAATTGATGACATCAGAAGCATAGGAAAGAGCATTAGCAAAGGTCATTTGTGTAAAATAATAATGGTGCACATAGAGAATGAGAAGTATTTTAATATGACCAGAACGTAGAAGGGGTCCAAGAAGAAGGATCCAATTTAACAATGACAATGTATTGTTTCCTCTTTTTAAAAAACAGAATAACAAAAAATGAACAAATACACAAAATCCAGATCTAGATGAAATTTTAGGCAAAATTTGCAGGCAGTACCTTATCTGAGATAAGAGATAATTTAGGAAATTATGTCTTAAATCACAGTGCATTACTTACTTAAGTAGATCTCTGGTAAGACAGTAGGAGGAGATGTAATGAGGTGAGAAGTCCTTATCAGCTCAAGCATGTATGACTGTGAGGGTCCTGGGATTAGGATTCTCAACCCAGTCAATTTTTAACCAACTCAGTTGTTTATACCATGCTTTCATTGTTACAAAGGGACTGTGCAAACAGACTGACATTGTTTGTATGACCACCACAGCAGCATAGCATAAAAAGTGCTGAGAAACAGCAGCAGGGGATAACTGGAGCCACTGTAGGAAGACAGCAGATTCGAGCACAGAATGGAGAGCAGGCTGCAGCAAGCAGTGTCCTTAAAGCTAAAGTATAACCAGAGAGAGCTGGGCAAAGTAAGCGGTGAGGATTTGGAGAGATGCTAAGCAAAGCGTCCCTTCTGCACTATCTTTCAGGAAATGTGGCTGCACTAGTTCTGATTCTGAGGAGAGCCCGCTGCTATTAGAGGGAAGGCAGGAGCCATGAAGATGTTCGTACTTTAACACATATTCTTTTCCTTAACTGAGCTGTCACTTCTGCTCATTGCTTTTTGGAGTTACTCCTTGTTCATGCTACTGGGTATTCCACACCCCAACCTGGTTTGCCCACTTCACAGATTCCTCATTTTATAACTCATGAAAACAGGTGAAGCTATAGAATGTGTTTCTTCATAAACTTATCTTGTCACTGGGTCATCAATGGCCTGAAATTATCCTCTGATCATTCGTCCTCAGTGCAAGCATGGCCTTGGGAATCTTCCTTCAGGACTTCCATTCAGCTCCATAAATGCTGACATGTGCTTCTCTCATATCCCAGCCCTGTGGCGGTGGTGGAGAGTGGCCTATACTGTAAGTGCAAACCCAATAGCCATTGTCCTTTTGTCTGAATGACAAAGCCCGTATTTTGTTTGGGGCAGCAATGTTTCTTGTAAAATGCATTGTCTTCCTAGAGATTTCTTACAAATAGGGCTGGCCATTTGACCTTTAAGGTAAGATCAAATACCTGCTTGAATTTTCTGAGAAAGGTTTTTTTCTCCTAGTACAATTACAGTACTGTCCCTTCCTTCTCCCCCTTTCTTCTTGCTGGAAATGGCACAGCTATCATTACAATGAGGTGGCAGCATGAAGACAGAAGACTCTGCTAATGATGGGAAAGCAGAAAGCAGATCGCCTGGGACACTAACCATATTGTGAAACCAGAGCTCAACCCCTGGACCATCAACATGCAGATCTCTTGTTACATGAGCAAAAATATATGTCTGAAGGATAAATATGTTCAAAATAGGCTTTCAAATAGACACTCATGTCCTTCTGTAAACATCATGGTAGAGCAAGTAAATCACAAACTTTTCTTTCTATACCCTCAAGACATGTGGCTTAGTAAAAATGTCTTCATTTTGGAGAATAATTTTCAAAATCTAATGATAATAATTCCCCTTTAAAAATTCTCAAATAAAACACAACGGTAATATGCAAAACTCATTTTACATAAAAATAGGTAAGTAACTGTAAAAAAATACTTTTGATAACAGACAGGTTAAATTAATTTAAAAATCAAATTTGTTGAGAAAAAGATTTAATATTGATTCTTTTATTTTTCTGACACCTCTGGACTGTGGTGTTGTAAGTGTTAGTGTCCTGCTTTTTTCTAACTTACTGCAAGATCTGTCAAACTAGCTAAAGATATGCTTTAGGCATTGCTAAGACATATATGAGAAAAACCATTTTATGTTTTTTAAAAAACATGGTAATGAATAACAATTATATATCAACATTGAGCAGAATTGTCCACAAAAACTTAGATTTTCATTTTGTACACCTGGTTTAGTAGTAATTTTTGCAAACACTCTCCCTGTTCTCTCTCACTTAGCCATCAATAAATCTTATGACAAAAACAATATTACTGACAATGTAGGGTCTTCATTTCTCAGATGATTCTGGGCCAGAGTGGGTATCAATTTTAATTCACTGTTTTCAGAGCAGCTACAGTAGAATGTATTAGATTAACAGGCATAAATAAATCTTAATTTTGTTGAGATTTATACCTGCCACACAATAAATACAGATAAATATTTCTTATCCAACAAGTTGCATCGATTTGGCTTTTACTAAAGTTAAATGTTAGCCTGAAATTAAATTTGTGGTGACAGAGTAAATGTAATCTGAGATAATGACAGTATAGGTCAGCACATGGCTAGTGGAGACAGCATGGAAAGGAAGAGAATTCTGATAGCCAATAGATTGTTTGCTCAAGTAGATGATAATTCAAAATGTACATGCATTCATGGAGTTGGAAAAGCAGGAACTCTTTTTAGACTCAGAAAATCGTGTAGCTTTAAGAATTAAAATGTTAGCTAGCATTTTCAATTTATCATGCAACACTGGCCTTTGGAATCAGTAGGATGATTTATCACTCATCATATAATTGGAACTAAATTTTAAAGCCATGTTACTAAGAAATTGTGGTTGCATTTTTGAAAGAGAGCTAAGGGAATGTCCCATGGGGACATTCACAGATGGGAAATATAGGCAGATATGGGGAAATTTTTTTTTCAGTTTACCTTTTGTACATTTTGCATTTTGTATCATGATGTCATGTGCATGTAACACCCATTCAAGTAAATAGTGGAAAATAGACAAAAATAAAATAAAATAAATGAATGCTTCTTGTTTAGAATGAAATGCTAACATTAATTTCAATGTTTATGAAGATTTTTACGATGACAGCTCTTGCTCTGTAGTCAGTATGTATTCTTTGTTCTCCTTATTGTATTATTCAAACTCCTTTACACTCAACATTTCTTTGGGTACAGTGACTTTTGTCTTCACCATTCTTTGACTTCTTTAGGAGATTTCACATTGTATTGCCTATAGACAGCATCCATTAAGTATCTGAAAAATAACTGAGAAACATAAACTTCTCAATTTGTCATCACTAGCATTTTAGTGTGGAGCCAAAGTCAATTGCAGCATAGTGGGGCTGGTAGATGGGTAAGGCCAACAGTCATCTGATGGATGCTGACTATTTAACAGTTAAGAATTCCAGATAGGGGGTGAAGGAAGGCATGGTTTATGCTGGTTAAAAGAAGTTAGAAAATCCAAAAGCTAGGTCATCAAGGTTGATGACATAAATAGATGTTGAAAATTTGTAACACTCAGGAGTTTGACTGGGTTGTTAGTGGAAGGGACAGCATTAAAGACCAGAAAAAATGAATTTGGATCTTGAAGGAGAGGCTGTTCTGATATCCTGAGATGTCTCCTGACATCTTACTTTTAGCTGAAGTAATAGATTATGTATAGCTCTGCACTGGTGAGAAAATTCATTAGAACTGACTGAAGAAGTAGTGAAATGGAAGAATCATAGGATTATAAAATGAAAGAATATCTGGACTGTAAGGGACCTTAAAGATGACTTAACTCTAGTCTTTCTCATTTTACTGATGAGCAAACTGAGACCAAGGGAGGTTTAGTAGCCTAGGAATGTAGAGGCTATGTGAAGACTAGATTTTCAGGTGCCAAATGGCTCATCGTTTTCAGTAACCCATTATCCTTTCCATTTTTCTGACAATCAGCCATGACCAGGAAGAATTTTTCCTTGAATCATTAAGGAGTACAGAATAGCAACAGCAGGAGCGTGAGGGTGATAATCTTAGGAAGACCTCTTTTGGACTGAGCTGCTTAAGAGTGTGTCTGGTTTCCACACCAGGTGAAAGTGAGTTGACATTATTAAAAACTAGGAAGTTGTAATGCCAAAAAGATTCAGGATAATAACACCCAAATAATTATCTCAAGTGTTCAGGAGCAATGCCTAAAATGAAAGAATCTTACAAACTTCTTTGGTAGCCATCTATTAGAATGCATTATAGGATATTAACTCAAAAAATAAAACAGTGAAAAAAATTTCATCACAGAATCATATGTCAGATGTGCATGATTCAGAGTAACTGACTATAAGGTTATCTGTTGGTTTTATTTTTCTACTTTTATTCTTCCTGAATCAACTCATTGGCTATTTGAATTTGCAAAGTTGAAAGGTTATATTGTTCATTACTGTGAGCAATAATGTTGCATAAAAGTGGTCATTCAAAAGGAATGGGGGTATTTATGAGCACATGACTCTATTATATTAATCCCTACATGAAATGATTCATTTCTGCATGTATTCATATTTAACCTTGCAGAGAAATCTGTCATTGTTAGAAGGAAATGTGACTTGAATTACTATGCTCTCCCTGATAGACTCCACTCTGGGAGGCCCTTGGGTGGACTCAGCCTTAAACTTCACCTCTACAAAGCTCAGTCGGTCTGACTGCACGAAGCCAATTGTGTATAGAGTAGCAGTCTCCAGCTACCTCTAGGAAATGACTATCAAGAATAAAGCAAGAGCCAGAAGCCAGCTAGGTTTTTCTGAAAGGCTAGATAATAAAAGTGAAGCATTGGATATTATCAAGATAAGTGTGGAGAATGTGTAAGCAAGAACGACCAAGAGAACCTCATTGCTGCAGTTTCCTTTCCCAATTTCCTGGAGGGAGGTCTGGGCTGAGTGGAAACCAAAAATCTATCAACAGAACGTCATCAGTCAGTTGAAGGCTAATGTCTATAGAAATGCTGATCTTCAACTTTAGGCCATCCATTGTAATACAGGAACCAGATGAACTTTTACAAGACAACACTGCAATCGCATAGCTATCCTCTCAAGACTTTCAGCCTGGGGTTAACACAGTTGAAATATTTGAGATGAACTGCAAGGAAAAATTAATCTATTCAAATCTTCTATGCTTACATTTCTACTATTGTAAGATGTTAGGACTCTGACTTGCCTTTTTTCTTAGTTGATTTGCACACTAGAATGGATTATAAATACTGTAATAATTGCAGAAGGTTATTTCACTGACTCTACTGCAGCAGAACAGCCTAAGGTAGCACCATATACACTCACGTTCCAGTGGAGATGAATAACTTGTACATTGAGTAGAGGAAAAAAGCAAACACTTCAATTTCCGCTGCTTATAAGACATTGGAAAGGCTTGGCATTTTAAGCAATCTTTCTGTGTTTAACTCTATTTATTCCTAAGGAAGACTCAACAAGAAATTTTAACCACCTCAGAGGATGCTTTTATGTGAGGTAAGTGATGCTCTCTAAGAGGCAAGTGTTTTCCATCCACAGAGTATTATATGGCCCCCTGAATTTGTTTCTTACACACACAGCATTTACAGCATTTACCACAGTATCACTCCACTTGGCAACTATTTTTAGTTTAATAAAATAATGGGCATTATTTTGGGGTGTCCCCAGAAGAAAAATTATTCTTATTACTCAGAGCAGATTTCAATCATTAAAAATTCTGCTTAAAGATTCCCCTTATTTCTACTAGCAGTCTTCTTATCAAAGATACTATTTCAATTTTTATTCTGAAATAGTGGCATTAGGATGTGTAGGGAGAATTAAGTAGAAACACTGGTATCCCAGGAAACAACCACTGTTACTCTGAAAATAATAATAATAAGCCCCTGTTATATCCCAACAGCAGGCCAAAATCTTAGTTATATTATTTCTGTTTCTTAAAATGAGTTTTTGAGAAAAACCTTCAAAATTCCTTTATAAAGATGAGCAGAACAAGATAGATTTAGTAGCCCAGCTTGTCAAGTGAATGGTTCACAACTGAAATTCAAGAATGTCTGATTTCAAAGCTACTCCTGTTATGCTACCTCATACTTATGCCAACAGTAACATTATGTTGCAGGAACTTTTCCTTAGTTCAGCTAAAGACAGGATTCTTTGTCCCACAGCCATGAAAATTCAGACTCACAGACAATTTGAATGGTGGGTAAGACAAAGTTTTATTGGATGAAAAAGGAAGAGAAGGGGAAAACCGGTACTCTTGCTAGGCCAGAGTCCCTGCTAGAGTGCATCCCTACTGGCCATTTGAATCCCAGGTTCCACACAGGAAGAGGAGGGGCAATGTTCCTTCCCACTGCAAAGAGAGTGAACTTCCTGAGGTTCCACTCCAGCGCACAGGCCAGTTGGAGTTTTTCCGGGGACCCCCTCCCACCTGTCTGTCTCAATTACAGACATGTTAAAAGTTTAGGAACCTTATAAAAAATTTGGTCTATCTCATTTGCTCTTTCCTCCCTCCCATACCCGATTTAAATAAATAGAAATAAATTAATTGATGTTTATGGAGACTATAGAACAGTGGTTGACATAGAATACAGTAAATGTTCAGTAGATAATTGTTATCATTTTATTGCTTTGAATATCTTATAGAGAAATAAATACAACTTTACACACCAAATAATGAAGGATATTAAATCCAATTAGTACATACAATTTTGGAGATACCTCTGGAGAGGAAAAATAAAAGGTTCAGAATAGTCGTCTAACTTTCAGTAGTATGTTTCATAGACACAGCTGACTAGCTGTGAAATACTGCCATTTCCACTTAATTTTGTTCACTCGTTAATTCAATCCTCCACTTTATTTGATCAGATCTGGAACCAAATCATTCGTATTCATTTTACATTGTGTTTTTGCAGTGTCTCTTGATCGCTTTCACATGCTAATACTGGCTAATTCAATTGGGATTTATTGAGGCAGCCCTTGAAAATTAACCACCTAATTTCTCATGCACAACATAAAAACAGACCTATTTTTCTTCACTTGTCTTTTTGAAGAATATATATTAACATAAAATAAGAGGTCGTCTTTTTGGTGCAAAGCACAATGCTCATGGTGTTAGTAGACAGGTTTTAGAGAAAAAACTTTTGTATGAGTTGGTGGTCCAATATGGGAATGCAGATTTGACTTATTGAAATATATGTATTTTCTGTAGGAGAAATTTTGGCTAGAATAAAGTTGTTCAAGAGAGTCAAGAAAGTTGATCATTTGACTAATATTTGATATCCTAATATTATGAATGTTGCATTTGCTTAGTTGTATTGGTAACATGGTAAGAATAGAAATTATCAGTGACTTTACAAAGCTTAATGTATGTGGCTATTAGCCCATAATGAGCACCTTCTCTGGTTTTAAAAAAAATCAATCAGTAAATCAATGATTTCAATTTATTGGTCATCTGCCTTTATTTAATCATATTGGAATCTAGTTGTCCTTAAAGGAACAAAACTATGAGCTCCTTCTCTTTCCACTAATCTTACAGTATGTAGAATTTTAGTTATGCAAGCCTGTATCTCTCTTTCCATGGAACACATGCAGAAATTTCCTATTAGAGCCAGTGAATTCCTTTCCACCCCACCTACATAGTGCATTCAGGTAGTTTCTGATTAGGGCATGATTACATGCTCCCTATATCCCAGCAAAAGTCAAAGAATCTCTAAAAAGCAATTTTACCTCATCAGGTACTGGGAAACAAAATGGTATGATGGTCAAAAGTGAAGACTCTGAAGTCTGATTATTGAGTATGTATTCTGAATTTGTCACTTCTTAGCTGTATGACTTTTTTGTAAATTATCTAATCTCTTGAAGCCTCTCTTTTCTTATCTGTAAAATGGTGCTCACAATGGCAACTGGCCAGGCATGGTGACTCACACCTGTAATCCCAGCACTTTGGGAGGCCTAGGTGGGCGGATTGCTTGAGTGCAGGAGTTTGAGACCAGCCTGGGCAACATGGTGAAACCTCATCTCTACCTAAAATACAAAAAATCAGCAGGGCTTGGTGGCATGTGTCTGTGGTCCCAGCTATCCCCGAGGCTGGGGTGGGAGGATCTCTTGAGCCTGAAAGGTGGAAGTTGCAGTGAGCCAAGATTGTACCACTGCATTCCAGCCTGGGTGACAGAGTGAGACCCCTGTATGAAAAAAAAAAAAAAGACAACTGTTTCATAGATTTGGTGTTAGGATGAAATAATCTGATAGATGTGAAGTGCTTAGGATAGTTCTTGGCATATCATAAATGTTTAATGAATATTAGCTATAATAATAAATTCACCTTGTTATTATTAATTTTATTTAGGTGGCCACAGTAAAGTCCCCTTTGTCTATAGTTTCATTAATTCTTCATTCCTCTTCTGGGCTATTCAGGTGGAAAATAAAGACAGCATTTCCTCTTTTTCCTTTTGTAAATCAAATGAAGTGGGAAACAAACCAGCAAAAACCAGAAATATACAGTCCAGCTTCAGTTAAACTAGAAAAAAATCCCTCAAATCCAAAATTACAAAATAAATAGATGAGTTATCAAAAGCAAGGAAAATAGAAATTGAAGAGGAAGTTGAGAGGGGAGTCAGATTTCTAAGAAATCAATAGCATGGACTCGTCTAAAGTTAGTTGCAGTCACACTCTAAAGTAGTAACCCAGCTGGCAACTGTGAGTTTGGCTGCATGGATTAGTAGACCGAGTTTGTGTTTCAAACATAGAGGCCATGGGGCTCAATTACAAAGATAAGGTAGTGGAAGTTATCTGTCAATAAAGCAGGTGTTGGAAAGACATTACACTGTGAGAAGCCCTGAAGCTGCCATTCTTAATCGTATATGGAAAATAAAGAGCTTAAAAGGGCTCATAGGCACTGGGCCATAAAGAAAATTTCTGCTATCTTGAAACATAATCTTGGCATTTCTACAACATGAACGTAGAACAAATATGATCTAAGAAAAATTCCTTTCAGTGATGATGAATATGAAAAAAGCTGCCAATACAAAATACATAAAAGATACAGAAGAAGAAAGAAATGACAGCAAAAGCAAATGGCAGAATAATAACACAGGAAAAATCATTCCATAGAGTACATAAAAATTATGACTAAATATTTTGTTATGAATTTAAAAAAATTATGTAGCAATCACCATTTTTTAGCAAGAGCTAAAAAATATATACAAGAACTTTGGGTTAAGACAGCAAGATGAGAAAAAGAGATGAAATATGATTTGGTCTTGCTTATGAAAGTAGTAAAAAATCAGAAATGAAGGCAAAATTGGAAAGTGTACAAGAGTGAATGGAAACTACTTAGAGTAGAGTAAGAAATGAAGGAGAGAGAACCAAAAAATAAGTTAAAAGTACAAAAAAATAGATAAAGATAAAATTAGGCAAAGGATATCCAAGTACCAAAAGTTAGGGGTTCAAAGTAAAAAATGATATAATGGAAGAAAAAAACATTTATAGATATAAGGCAAGAATGTTATGGGAAGTCAGGGACCCCGAACAGAGGGACTGGCTGGAGCTGAGGCAGGAAAACATAAATCGTGAAGATTTCATGGACATTTATCAGTTCCTAAAATTAATACTTTAATAATTTCTTACACCTGTCTTTACTGCAGTCTCTGAACATAAACTGTGAAGATTTCATGGACATTTATCACTTCCCCAATCAGTACTCTTATAATTTCTTATGTCTGTCTTTACTTTCATCTCTTAATCATGTTATCTTCTTAAGCTGAAAATGTACGTCACCTCAGGACCACTATTGTACAAATGGATTGTAAAACGTGTGTTTGAACAATATGAAATCAGTGCACGCTGAAAAAGAACAGAATAACAGCGATTTTCGGGGAACAAGGGAAGATAACCATAAGGTCTGACTGCCTGCAGGGTCGGGCAGAATAGAGCCATATTTTTCTTCTCGCAGAAAGCCTATAGACAGATGTGCAAGTAGGAGAAATATCGCTGAATTCTTTTCCCAGCAAGGAACAACCCTGGGGAAGGAATGCATTCCTGGGGGTAGGTCTGTAGACAGCCACTCTGGGAGTGTCTGTTTTATGCAGTTGAGATAAGGACTGAAATATACCTTGGTCTCCTGCAGGACCCTCAGGCTTACTAGGATTGGGAAATTCCAGCCTGGTAAATTCTAGTCAGACCGGTTCTCTGCTCGCAAACCCCGTTTCCTGTTAAGATGTTTATCAAGACAATGCATGCACAGCGGGACATAGACCCTCATCAGTAATTCTAATTTTGTCTTGCCTTGTGATCTTTACTGCCCTCTGAAGCATGTGATCTTTGTGACTTTCTCCCTGTTCGTACACCCCCTCCCCTTTTAAAATCCCTAATAAAAACTTGCTGGTTTTGCGGCTCGGGGTCATTATCATGGTCCTACCAATATGTGATGACAGCCCCGGAGGCCCAGCTGTAAAATTTCTCTCTTTGTACTCTTTCTTTTTATTTCTCAGACCAGCTGACACTTAAGGAAAATAGAAAGGACCCACGTTGAAATATTGGGGGCTGGTTCCGCTGATACAGGAAAACTTTCTAGAAATAAATAAAGACTCAATTATACAGATTTAAAGGGCACCCTAAATCCAAAGAAGCGTTGATAAGAGTGGTTAAAAGTGAAGCAAAGTCTATGAAGCCCTCACAAAAGGAAGTCTAATCTATTAATTTTACCCTCCAGCAAAATGTTGTTCAAGGGTAAAGTCACTTACATTATTTAATGTGTAAAACTCAGGATATGGTGGGTCTTTGAGCAATTCTTGAAGAAGGTATAGAGAACAAACCATATTCAGCCAATACTTTAAAGTAAAAATTACAGACAAGTAAAAACAAAAAATTAGAAAAGAAAATAATGGTTCCAATAAATTTAAAACATAAATTTCTATCACGGATTATAAGTCCTGGCATGTGAAATGATATAAGTAATACAAGTTTGGAGAGGAAAAGAAAGAGACAATAGCAAGTAGTTAAAAAATACTGATTTTCCATATTCCCAATGCCCCAGATTAAAAAGATGATAAATTAAATAATGGTGCTATAAGACTATTTAAGGTACAGTTAATAAAAATAGTATCATTACAAACTCAGAGAATGTTTGGAGGGGAAAGAATAAAAGAAGAGAGGGTAAGTAAGGTTATGGATGTTCATATCTTTTATACCAAGGGATCAGAAGAAATAATTTAAAACTCCATCAAATAATAGAGATATGAGGACATGTAGTAAAAAAAATCAAAATAAACATCAAAGTAGTACAATGGGCTGGGTGCAGTGGCTCACGCCTGTAATCCCAGCATTTTGGGAGGCCAAGGCAGGAGGATCACTTGAGGTTAGGAGTTCAAGACCAGCCTGGCCAATATTGTGAAACACCATCTCTACTGAAAATACAAAACATTGGCTGGGCATGGTGGTGCACCTGCAATCCTAGCTACTTGGGAAGCTGAGACATAAGAATCACTTGAATTCAGGAGGCAGAGGTTGCAGTGAGATTAGATCACATCACTGTACTCCAGCCTGGGTAATGGAGTGAGACTCTCTGTCTCAAACAAAAAAAAAAATTGTACCCACAAACCAAAGTGTTTGATGGAAGACAATGAGAGAGGATAAGGAGCTGAAGGCACATATTAATTTCATTATTGCTCACAACAGAGTTAATAGTTATAAAATAGATAATTTAGAGCATTATGTAAACATATAAATCTAAATACTATAATGAAAAAATGCAAGCTTTACAGTTAGCAGAAGAAATTCAAACCAAAGTAAAGAAAACAAATACTAAGCATAAAGCCATTAAACTAGAAAATATGACAGCATTAAGGCCAATATGTCTGTCTTATCAAAGAATTTAAATAGCTATTCTCACCAATTAAAAGAAAATTTCAGATTGTACCAAAAAAAAAACCCCAAATAGATTCTGTATATAAGAGATACTCATTAATAAACTGACTCAAAAATTGTTTCTTTTGACCCAGAAAAGTTAAAAAGAGTGACCAAAACAAGACAAATACAAATAACTTAAATACAGATACAAATTTTCATATCAGACAAGATTGGTTTCAGTACAGAAACATAAAATGAGATGAAGAAGGAAATGTCATAATAATAAAGAGTGCAATTCACAAAGATTTGGCAGTTATTACAAATGTTACACAAACCTACATAGTACAGTCTGCTATACACCTACAAACAGCTAGTCTACAAACCTATACATCATGTTACTATATTGAATATTTTAGGCAATTCTAACACAGTGGTAAGTATTTATGTATCTAAACATATCTAAAAATATAAAAGGTGAAATAAAAATGCAGTATTATAATATTATGAGATCACCATTGTATATGTGGTCTGTCATTGACTGAAAAGTTGACTGCAATGTTACGTGGTACATGATTTTATACTTGTGTAAAGAAAGTTTTAACCTAGTAACAAAAATATCTCTTCCATCTTTTTTCATGTACACAAATAACTTTCATAAAAATGTTATTAAAATATATGAAATACATCTTAATGAATCTCAAAATTGAGGAATAGTAAAAAGTTTTAAGATTATAATGCAGTAAACTCAAAATTAGATTAAACACACTAAAGAATAACTCTTCCTACCACCTAGAAAAAGAATAAATGAAATTAAAAATTTGTCTCTTAAAGTCATAAATCAAAAAGGAAGTCATTTCTCCCCCACTTCCCAACCTTCACCCTCCCCTCTCCACTCCTGCACTCCTTCCATTTACATCTTTAATTATCTACTCTAGGCTATATTTTCACTCAAACCTTGGGAACTTTTCTTAGGGAAAAGTGCAGCCCATTCCTTTGTCCGTTCTCTAGAGTTCATTGTCTATATAAAGGTTCTTGTGTAAAAAACACAGCGAAGAGTTTCTTAGGTCCCTATAGCTGGAAGGCAGAAGACACACTGTAGGGAGTTGGAGAGTGGCTCAGAAAAGCACCTGAAACTTGTATCCGAGCAGAAAAATCTTCCCAGTTATGTTGGGAGTGTTTTACCCCAACATACAAGTGGGTGAGGCCATTGCAAAACAGTGTACAACTTCTGGAGTACTGCAAGTCCTTGTGGCCCTTATTCCAGCTAGTTCTAATCACAGATTTTGACTCTTGGATTCCTCAGTGGGTCTGACTTGCCTAACTTCTGGTCTTTTTTTTAAAAAAAAAATCCTGGCTTTGTTCTTCTTTTCAGTGGACTCGTGTTCTAACTCTGAGTTCCCAGCCACCAAAATTGAGGCCTCTCAAACACTCACTTCAAGTGGGCACCAGGTTTAGCGGGTGGGGAATAGGTTTTTGAGTCTCCTGGTTTTCTTATCAAGCTGTAGTATCTTACCCTCTCCTATTATATTTAAATTTCACTTATTTGTGATACTTTCAAAATAAACCTTTAATATTTAAATCCACCAGTTATGTATTTAAGATTGGCCAAAGTCAAAAGTAAGAGTGAAAGTAAGTTTCCCTTTGCTTCATATCACACTTTCCAGACATCTTTTACTCACCACTTCTCACACCGAGGTAGGCATTAATCTTCTAATGTTCAAGTTGAGTACACAGAAGGAACAAGGCAAATACTTGACCAGGGAATAAATGAACTTTCTCTTTCAGTCTTAGGTTGACTTATTGTAAGCCAATCAAAATCTGCTATGAGCTCCTGTCAAGTTTGAGAGAAGGTTGACAAATGTATACACATGCACAATGATTGGTAGAGTTTCTGTTCACTACTCTTATGCTTCTACTCCTTTCTTTGTTTTCATTTTGTTTTTTGCTTGTAACCTTCCTTACATTAAACAGAATGTTTCTTTTTCTTTTTTTTTTTTTTGAGACAGAGTCTTACTCCGTCCCTCAGGCTGGAGTGCTGTGGCATAATCTCAGCTTACTGCAACCTCTGCCTCCCATGTTCAAGCGATTCTTGTGTCTCAGCCTCCCAAGTAGCTGGGATTACAGGCACATACCACCATGCCCTGCTAATTTGTTTGTATTTTTAGTAGAGACGGAGTTTTGCCATGTTGGCCAGGCTGGTCTCGAACTCCTAACCTCAGGTGATCTGCCTGCCTCGGCCTCCCAATGTGCCAGGATTACGGGCATGAGCCACCATGCCCGGCCTGGAAATTAGGTATTAAATGGTATAATAGTTACAATCTCTGTAACACTCTTGTTCTTCACCTCATGACTCTTCCTCAGAAAATGCTACTAATGCATAAGGCTTTGTCCTCTGCCTTGTTCCTTTTAGGTTTCCAAGTCAAAGCTCCCAATTTCTTTAACTGTTAGGTAGTAAATTTATTTCTGACAGTCCATCTCTTGGACTTGCTGATAGCATCCCAAATTAGAAATCACTGCAGTTTCCCTTTAATTTGATTATTTGCTATTTTTTAGACAATGGGTGTTCAGATGGGTGGAAATAGATTGATTCCTTAGAGACAGATTGACGTTTTGATCCCTGTGATCTAAGTCTCAATGGAACTTGCCTGGCAAAACAATTGATTTCAAGTAATAGCAGTCACAGAGGAAGAAAAACCGACAAAGGTCTCTCTGTTTTGACTGAATAGTGTCCAATCAGGTGACATTGTGGGCAAGCAGGTGAAAACTTCAATGCTCTTACCCCTCCTGCTTTCTTTCAAGTGACAGTTTCTCAGCCAGACTGTCATGCTTTCAAAACCAGCAGTAAAGAGAAGTTTCACCTGGTATTTTCTTTTTTTTCTTTTCTTTTCTTTTTTTTTTTTTTTGAGATGGAGTCTCGCTCTGTCGCCCAGGCTGGAGTGCAGTGGCGCGATCTCGACTCACCGCAAGCTCCGCCTCCCGGGTTCACTCCATTCTCCTGCCTCAGCCTCCTGAGTAGCTGGGACTACAGGCGCCAGCTACCACGCCCGGCTAAGTTTTTTTTTTTTTTTTTGTATTTTTTAGTAGAGACGGGGTTTCACTGTGTTAGCCAGGATGGTCTCGATCTCCTGACCTCATGATCCGCCTGCCTCGGCCTCCCAAAGTGCTGGGATTACAGGCGTGAGCCACCGTGCCCGGCCTCACCTGGTATTTTCTAAACTTAAAATTGATTTCCTTATTTAATGGTTGCTATTGTACTTATTAGAGATCTAAAATTGTCAGTTTGCTTTGTCATGGCAATTGCTGACTTAGGCAATAAGGAAATGTAAATTCCTTCCTGTGTTAATGAATTCGTTGGTAGGAAAGCTGGTTGAAAGACATATGGGGAAAAAATGTACTAGACATTTAAATGTTAAAGCAGTGTTTTCTACATTGATTTTAAAGAACACTGTCTTAGACCAATTTCTATTGCTGTAACTAAATACCATAGACTGGATAATTTACAAATAAAGGCAATTTATTTCTTAGAATTCTGGAGAGTGGGAAGTTCGAAAGCACAGCACCAGCATTTTGTGAGCACTTTTATGCTGTATTGTCCAGCGGCGGAAGAGCAGAAGGGCAAGTGAGCACTTGTGAAAGAGTGAGGACCAAGGATGGGAGTTACTTTTATAACAAGTTCCTCTGGCAATAGCTAAGCTGCTCCTACAAAAACTGCATTAATCCACTCAACATGACTCAATCAACTCTAATTAGGTTTCACCTTCCAACACTGGGGATTAAGGAGATTAAGTTTCCAACATGTGAACTTTTGGGAGGATACATTCAAACCATAGCAAACACCAAAGTCAGCACTCTCCTGTTGAAAAATAGTTTTAGTGGTCAAATGTTTCAGAGAAACAAAGTTAAACAGGCTTCTTTTCTTTGGGGCTTCTCTGAGCTCATAATATGATAATGTGCACTATGAATTACCAAGAAGCAAGCTATTATGAAATAGTTTTTTCTAATATTTAACTGCAGTACTTTTGTGTTTCAAAGAGTATCCTCTAACTCCACTGGGAATTAGTGTTTTCATAGACCTATGGACTAAAAAATGCTACATTAAGGACATGCCTGGACTTCAAAAATGTAAATGTCACTGAACTCCTACAACACTGGGTATGAGGAATCAGAAGCAGTAAGTCCAGGGTTTACTAACAATACTTCCCCTAGGCTAGTGTTAAAGGGTTCTTTCTCTATTCTGTTCTTTGTGCCTATGCAGGAAGTCAGAGAGAGACAATACTTGGTAACACAGGAAGGATTTGAGTAGTATACATGCTGGTTAAAAGAAAATTTAATGAATAAACTTGTGAAACTCTTTCTGAAAGTAAGACTATAGTACATTTTTACAAAAACTAAGTATTATTCCCAGTAGTACTGAGTGCCCATTATATTGCTATTCTTTGTTTTCCAAGTCATGTTTCCAATAGTTGTCCATGTTGCCTGAAAAACATTTTGCAAACTTAAGTGATTCATATGATTTAAATTTGTTTATAGGTAGGTCAAGACATGAATGACATCAAGAAGTGTGGTACTGATTCTTTAGTTAGCAACTAGATGAAATTTCAATGCCAGGTTTGTGTTTACTTTTGTTTGTATAATAAAATGTAATAAGATTTAATTACATTTTCAAAAAATTAAATGTGAAACTTGGATTTTTTCAATGATTTTTATTTAAAATTTTAATATTCATTGATTATAATTTATACTTTGCCTTTTAATGTGAAGGATAGTTTTGAATATTTTACAAAATGAAATATAAAAATACAAATCACAAAAATAATTTTAATTTAAATTTATAGTATTATAAATATATATTCAAATTTTGTAGACTTAGGACACATTTATATTTTTTAATTCTTTAGATTATTATTGTCAATAACACAAATTATGTGAGAATCTCAGTTATGACAGCTTCATTAGTGGTTTTGTTGATCTGAAAGAAAATATAAATTTTATGGAATAAATATGTAATCATACGGTTGGCCCATCAATAGAACACTAAGTCACACATATTACCATTAATTAATTAATAATATTCTATCATTTTTATTCATATAACAAGCATAGATTTATGCATGTATATGTGAATCTATGTATGTATATACGTGTCTATATTCTAATTCTGTCATTATGAATATATATTTGTTCAAGTAGAAGGATCAGAAAGATTTTATTCAATAGTTTTTAAAACTTGATTTATGACTTTTAAATATATAGGCCCATGTGGTACATGGGCCTCTATTTGTTCTCCTGTCCTATACTGCAAGTGTCAGTGGTGAGCTTGGCTACCATGACTCCTGATACAGACTGAACATTCCTAATCCAAAAATCCAAAATCCAAAATTCTAAAAAATCTGAAACATTTGGAGCCACTGACATTATGCCACAAGTGGAAAGTTCCACACATGACCTCATGTAACAGGTCACACAGTCAAAACAAAGGCGTACAACATAGTTAAGTGTCCAGGAGAAAAATTATCCTCCCAGACCTCTTTAGCTGTAATATATCTTTTCTGGATATTCCCAGATTCCCCCATGCAAGTATACCCACAAAGGGTAATAAAATTCCATGTGTGCAGGCTAGACACACCACTAACGGCAGTCATGAATAAAATACAGTAACCTTTTAACTAAAACACAGCATCATAGGTGGAAACTGAAATCCTGCCATTGCTTGCTGTTACTATTGCTTACCAGCAGATACAGGTATTCTGGTTGCTTAGTTACCCCAAACACATTATTTTTTCACTGCATTAATGGTATGTCTTTTTTTTTTTTTTTTTTTTTTTACTGTTAAGGACTTGCGTGTGGATAAGTGTAAGAAAATAATTGCTTATTGGTAGCATATGAATTCAGAGTCAGGAATGATAGCAATGCCAAACAACCACAAATTGTCCACATGGTGGCTGAGATGGTGAAATCTTTGCCTTCTGATGGTTCAATGTACACAAACATTCTTTCATTTACAAATATAAAATTACCTTTAGTCTATGTGTACAAAGTATACAGGAAAATCTCCCCCAAAAATATGAAATCTGAGACACTTCTAGTCCCAAGCATTTTGGATAAGGGATATTCAATCTGCATTTGCCAGCACTGTAAGGGTTATCTTGTGAAGATATGGCAGCATTTCTTCCAAACAGTAACATCTTTCTCTCAAAGACTCTGTACTTCTGTCCAGCTGCCCCTCTTCCATGTATAGAGTGGAGAGAGAATCATTCATATAACCACTGACATAGAACTTCGTTGATTCTACTGACCTCATTTCCAAGAGCTCATGTAGTCATTTCAAGGGATAATAAGAAAAGATGAGTAACTGTTGGTTTTCAGTAATCTGCACCTTGGAGCATAAAACAGAAGTTCAGTCCGGAACTGACAAGCAGTTCTGAATAGACAAGCAATATGGACACACAGTAGAGCATTCTGATCAGATGAGAACGTGTCCCTCAGCTTCCTTTGCAAGGTAAAATGGAGGACTTGTGTCAGAATTTACTGTTTAACCTTTATAGTTCTCTGAAAGTAAGGAATGTGTTGTGAATCTTATACAATGTAGACTGAGTGTTCAGTACCTGATTATTATAACTGTATCCTATTATTATAATTATTATTATAATTTCTGATTCCCAGGATGAGGAAACTAAGGCAAGAAATTCCTATAATAGAATGCTGTCTTAACCTTTTATTTATGTATTTATTTATTTATTATGTGATCTGGTAAACTTTGATTCAATGGTCTTTTCTCAACTGTGCTTTAAGTGAAGGGATACAAAGTCTATTTTTTGAAACAAAACTTATATGCATGAAACACAGATTTAAATGATAAGAGATGCCTGACGTGGTGGCTCACGTCTGTAACCCCCAGCACTTTGGGAGGCCGAGGCGGGCGGATCACTTGAGGTCAGGAGTTCGAGACCAGCCTGGCAAACATGGTGAAACCCCGTCTCTACTAAAAATACAAAAATTAGCTGGGCATGGTGGCGGCCACCTGTAGTCCCAGCTACTCGGGAGGCTGAGGCAGGAGAATGGCTTGAACCCAGTAGGTGGAGGTTGCAGTGAGCTGAGATGGCGCCATTGCACTCCAGCCTGGGTGACAGAGCGAGAATCCATCTCAAAAAAAAAAAAAAAATTGTTGATGTATATAAACACTCATTTACCTACCACCAAATGATATAACTTCTTCATAACCCTCAAAATGTATTTTTGTCCCGCTCCAGAAAAACCCCACCTTCCATAGGCAACCACTATTTTGATATCTATGATTATATGCCAGTTTTGCCAGTTTTTGAATTTTATATAAGTAGAACCATATAGTATGTAGTACCTTGTGTTGGGTGGTTTTTTTCGGGTGGTGATTTATGTATTCCTTTGTTGATGTTCGTTAGTATAGTTTCTAGTTTTTGCAGTTGTGAAAAAAGAAGCTCCGAACATTTATGTCTAAGTGTTGTTTTTGGATATATATTTTTTCTCTTTGGTAAATACTAAGGAATAGAATTTCTAGATCACATGTAAGTGTAATTTACCTTTGCAAGAAACTGTGAGTTTTTCAAAGTGATTTTATAGTTTTATGCTCACAGCAGGAATGTATGAGGGTTCCAGTTACTTCCCCTCTTTGATGACACTTACTATCATCATTCTTTTTAATTTTAGCAATTACAGATTCAATTTGTTAAACTTTTCAATGATTTGATACATGTGAGTTTAATATTTTTATGAGGTATAAGGTCTTTGGAAGGGATATGTGTTATATGATATTAAGGATTTGTCTGCAATTAAAATTATATTACCTTTCTTCTCTACTTAAAATCCTTTAATGTTTGCCATTTGTTTTCAATCTAAGATCAAACTTCCCATGATGGATACATTTCTTTTTATTTTAGTCCCTGAGTCCTTCTACCCCATCCCTGCTGCCCAGCTTCAACCCCATGAGGCCTTCTGGACATGGCAGTGTCTATCTTGTTAATTACTAAGCCTTAGTGCTTAGCACTCTCATTAAGTATTTATTGACTGGCTGACTAACTTAGTAAGATGAGATAGGTTCACACAAGTTCACACAGTTAAAAAGTATGGGAACTTAGACATTTAATTCAAGTCTCTCTAATGCCAAAATCTAGCTAGTTAACTTTTAACAGAGTGAATGGTCATTTAAGGTTTATTTAACAGACCTTTGAACTTCAGTCATCATCAAGATTGCTAGGAAGTCCTCAGACACTTCAGAATAATAGCAAGACTCTGAACCAATACTTGTTTTATTCAGGTGGGAAGGAAGGTATTTCTGCAGTTTGTTTACAGCTTTATTATTCAGTGTGGTTAAAATATATTTTATTTCATTATCTTCTGAAGAATGTCAAAAGTAGTATTTTATTCACTTCTAAACCTTACGTAATGGGGCTGTAATTTTGTAATGTTTATAGTCTGTGAAAGAAAAAAATGTTACATTAAAATGCTTCCTCCTTGTTTTTAAAGATTGCAACCCTGTCTGAGCTTTCTTATGTGTTCCTCTTGGGCATATTTTAAACTACATGATGTATATTATATTTATAATATTATTTAGCCTTTTCAGGAAATAAAGAAATAAAGCTATTTTCAGAGGGAATTCAACAAACACAGCACATTCTACTGAGACCAATTATTCCAGCTTTGTAGAGTAATAATATAATCTAATAAGACATAGTTACCCACATTTGAAATAGCTCCAGAATTTTCTGTTGAATAGCTGTCTGCTTTTTTATTTGCTTTTCCCTATCTCTGATCACATGCAAAATTACAGAATAATCAATTGTTTGGAAGAAAAAGGAGGGATGAGAATATTGACTGGAGATAAATTATTTTTCTGTGTTTGTAATTACTTTCTCTTGCTAAGTCTAGTTTACATGTTCATGATGGAAAAACCAAGAGTCTTTATTTTGAATCTGTGTTATTTTAAATGTTGTATAGTTACCACTGGCTTTCTATATCCAATTAAAACTACAACTAAGTAAAACAAGAGCTCAGTGTTAGAAGAAACTTCAAGGTCACCTTCAAGTATACAGATTTCTGTAGAGAGGATGCTCATCAGAAATACCTGAGCAGCCTCCTGATCTACAGAATGAGAATCACCAGGTCTCAGTTATTAATACATGATTTGAAAGAAAAGCACTCCAGGTATTCTGATTTGAATCCTTAGTTACAAACCATTGATGAAGCCCAGTTTCCCATATGATGTTCAAATCATCCAAGCGGTTTCCTGAGAACAGGGAGCTCTTTACCTTTAGACACTGCCCTTTTCCTTTTTGAACAGCTATGTCTACTAGTACTTCCTTAGAGACAGCTGAAATCTGCCTCTCTTTAGATTGTACCAGTCATCTGTGATCTGACAGGGATGCCACCAAATAGAAAAATACAACTTCTTTTTAAATTTCAGTCAGTCTCCAGATTTGCATCCATGATTCCAGGTGTGAAGTGACCATCTAACAGAGCCATTATTTCCCTCATTTAAAAAATGTTATTTATCAATGCAGATTAATGTGAACAAAGGCAAATAATAGTCTCACCAGAAGTAGGTCCAGTGGTGAGAAGGGCCATATAACCCAGAAGAACCCATGGTATTAGAGGTTTCTGTGGTGAAGAAAGGTGTTGTGTGAGGTTTATGGCAAGCCCCAGTCAACAGTCTGTAGTGGAAAGTTACATTTTCAATAATAATTCCTGGCATGCTACTAGGCAGTGGTGGAGATGGACTCTAGTGCTACTAGGCACTGGTGGAGTTGGACTCTAGTGCTACTAGGCACTGGTGGAGTTGGACTCTAGTGCTACTAGGCACTGGTGGAGTTGGACTCTAGTGCTACTAGGCACTGGTGGAGTTGGACTCTAGTGCTACTAGGCACTGGTGGAGTTGGACTCTAGTGCTACTAGGCACTGGTGGAGTTGGACTCTAGTGCTACTAGGCACTGGTGGAGTTGGACTCTAGTGCTACTAGGCACTGGTGGAGTTGGACTCTAGTGCTACTAGGCACTGGTGGAGTTGGACTCTAGTGCTACTAGGCACTGGTGGAGTTGGACTCTAGTGCTACTAGGCACTGGTGGAGTTGGACTTTAGTGATACTAGCCACTGGTGGAGTTGGACTCTAGTGCTACTAGGCACAGGTGGAGTTGGACTCTAGTGATACTAGGCACTGGTAGAGTTGACTGTGGAACACCATGTGATAGAAATATCCATTATAAAATGGATTCTGTCAGACTCACTATTTCAAAAGGTTTAGTAGACCTAGGATCAATCCATAGTAAGATGGAACTGGTCCATCCAGTATTGAGCAAAAGAAGGGCTATGGGCAAAAATAAGCTGTACAAGCAGGTGGCCAGACCCTCCTTGCTCTGATGCCTTTCTTCCAGCCCACACCTGTGGCTGAATTAGCTATTACTGTGATGATTACATAGCGGTGATTTATGTATTCATTATTTTTGAAACACTTATAAGTTGTCATTCTGTTATTCTTCTGTAATGAAGAACTTTCTCTTCTCTGCCATTTATTTATCCATATACTTATTTATATTGGTGCAAACTTATGGATTTCTATTTTATTCAATGATTTCTAATTACTTACTGTCATCATTTTCATGCTCAAATTGGCCCAGATTAGGCCAGTAGGAGCAACTTCAAGATAGCTCCTATGTTTTTTTGATACACTCTCATTATTCTCTGTGTAAGAGAATAATGGTCTGGCACCACAAGATGTCTGAGGTTCATCTTCTACTGTCTTTAAATCGAACTCGGAAAAAGTCATTTCTTTAAGAAGCTCCAGTTTCTTTTAGTGGAGGATGACTATTAGAAGCCAAGATCTGACTACTTGGTGTATTCACTACCTTTTCTAAATACATATGTGTATAAGAACATGTACACTCAAAAACCATGACTTCATATTAAAGCCTCCAATTTTAGTCCAAAGTCTTCCTACCCTTTCTCTTTCCATGTTTGTAAATACATTCTTTAACAGTGAAAAACCTAGTTCTCATTATGCACCACATTTGTTTAATCAATTTATTATTTGCCCAATAAATTGCTCACTCAACTTTGGCAACTGACTCTTCTGTCTGCCATTTAATCCCTCCCACTACCCAATAGTGCCCAGGCACCTCACATCCTTGATTGCCAGTGGACACACTGAAAACATGTCTTCAGAAGCCTCCATGCCCTTCTTCTTTAGTGTTTTGTGTTCTTGAGCACCGTAACAAATACTACTGGTGACCCTTCCCTCCCTTCCCTACCTTCCAACTCCTTTATACCAGGAAGGGAAGGGAATTGTTCATTCTATCTTTTTGTTCTACTTCCTGGGAATTTTACCAAATTTGTCTTCCAAACTGTCTATTAAAATATTCAGATGTTTATATATACATACACACAGAGTCAAATACAAATATCTACATATACACAAAAATATCTTCGAATACACATTCATATTATTTGTATTTGAAGAGAAAAGCTTGAAAAATATATTTTTTCTTTCATTCCTTTGAAAGTTTTTAAATTTTAAAATGAAATTTTAAATAATTTTAGAAGAGTTCCAAAAAGAGTACACCAAGTTCCTGTATACCTTTCATCCAGTTTATTCCATTAATATTTTACATAAATGTCATACAACTATTCACAAAAAGATACTAATATTTTTCACTTTTTAAAAAAGTAGAATTTGGCCAGGCACGGTGGCTCACGCCTGTAATCCCAGCACTTTGGGAGACCAAGGCAGGTGGATCATGAGGTCAGGAGTTCAAGACCAGCCTGACCAATATCGTGAAACCCCATCTCTACTAAAATTACAAAAATTAGCCGGGCGTGGTGGCATGCACCTGTTATCCCAGCTACTTAGGAGGCTGAGGCAAGAGAGTCGCTTGAACCCGTGAGGCAGAGGTTGCAGTGAGCTGAGATCACGACATTGCACTCCAGCCTTGGTGACAGAGGAAGACTCCATCTCAAAAAAAAATAGCGTTCTATTCTTGTTCAATGTGTACAATCTCACCTATCTCAGAGGATGTTAGTTCTAATTATTTTAAAATGTTTTTCTGTTCCCTGCTTCTTCTGTATCTTGGTCCTTCCTCCCATTCTCTCTCCCTCCCTCCCTTCCTTCTTTCTTTCCCTTCCTTTTTTACCTCCCTCCCTTTCTCCACATTATAAGGTAGCTGCTACATTCCAGGTGAAGATGCACACTTTTAGTTTTTGTACATTCATGTTTTAGTCATGCTTCTTCTCTCTATTGTATGACTCTCCATCTTTTTAATGTAATTGATAACCAGTTAAGTCCAATTTCCTCCATGATGCTCTTTTTATTGTTCCAGCTTAAGAGTGATTACTTTCTCCATTCTTCTGAACTCCTTACATCAACTTCAAGTCTTGGTTATTTTATGCATCTCTTCCCTGATAGGGTAGAGGTCCCTTGACTGTAAGGTTCAATTAATCTATATGTCATCACAGAGCACCTAGATTAAAAGCAGACATATGGTATTATTATCTACCTGACTATATTTTTATCTCTCCTCACATATTTCAGACTTGGGACTTTGTAATCTGAAAGTAAGTTATTATACCTATTCCTAGGGAAATGTACTTTAGTCATATTTGTTTATTTTTAGAATTTTATTGCCTTTGTAGCACACTTGAGTCTTTGAGACCCACTAATAGACTAAAAATGTTCTATGTTTAGCAATTTACTATTGCCTAAGCATTAATGCATTTTCTATGATCAGAAGATTTCCTTAGTCATAGTAAATGTAATTCAGTCTTTCTTTTGGGTAACTTTAACAATATATAATCTGAAAAGGACTCCTATTGGAACTTTTTTATGAGTTGTAAACTCCTAGGGATGAAGACTAATAAACTAGTGAGGTTTCTGTCAGAGGCAATACTAGTTTATCTGTATTCTTCTCTTTTATATGTTCTTTTCATTTCTTTCTGTCAAGAGTTCCTTTTCTAGAACACTGGAATTATTATTATGATATATTTTAATCCTATGCTTTTGCCTACCATTTCCATTAAGTCTCTTTAAATCTAGGTCTGTGGAGGGAAAAAAAAACATTTACTTGCTACATCTCAAGATTCTCCTGGGGTAATAACTTTGTCTGAAGTTTAGCAAGCCTATGAATTATTAGCCTTAAAAACCTACCTTATTTTATGGGGCTCTTGTTCTTTCTCTTTAGCTGACAACAGCCTTCAGTGGAACTCTTCAGGGTAATAAGTAATTACATTATTTCGGATTACTCTGCTGATTTGTTATTATTAATATCTACTGATGAGAGAACTTGAGCAGTAAGTGTTAGGAGACAGCCACAGACATGTCTACATGTCACAAAACACTGAATCATATCAATTGTAAGTAAAATCAAATAAAAACATATTTTAGTCCTTTTTCTTTCCTTGCGTACTTCTTCCGACCTCCTTTTGTCACATGTCTATCCAACACTTCACGGAAATTTGGCCACAGAGAAGTTTAGCATGTAACACTGCAACCTGATACCTGAATGTCTACAGACTTCATTTTAAATGTTGTCTCTAGAAGCTCTGACCTTCTTTACACATTCCTTTCCTCCTTTCCTCTGGTTTCTAATGGAAAAGAACAAAAGGTCCAAATTGTTTTAAAATTAATTTTATTGGATAATTTAAACAGCCCCTTCAGTAATACTGAAGTCGTCAAGGAAAAGGGCAAATTTCAATCTCCCAGATTTCTCAGGTTTCTACCCCGCTTCCTGGACATTCTCTAATAAAGTATGTGTATTTGTGTGTTTGTAGGAGAGGGGGCAGCATGAGGAGGTAAGAGTTTATACAAACTCATGATAAACAGGGAGAGTCGAGGTCTTCAGCCATAGTATTGTTGGCTCCTGTAGCCTCAAGGACAGTGTCTTTTGTCTGTTTGATGGCTACTTGCCTTGGTGGCTACATGCTTATCTGAGTTTATTAGTGATCTGGATTTTGTCCACTTGGACAGGACCTGATGTTCCTCCCTTGAGGAACATCTCTTCTTATTCCCCTCAGCACTATAGAACCCTGTGAGGTCCGATGTGACTTGTGTTTATTCCTATCTGGGTGATCTGCTCTACTTCCTTCACTAGGGAGGCATCTCTATGGAAACTCCCCAGTAATCGCTTTATTCCTTCAGAGCTCAGTCTATGCTGCCCAGAAACCAACAGTGACTGAGTGAACTAACTCCCAGGGCTGACCAACTATACATTAATGTCACCGTGGGGTAACAGTAGCCAGTCACAAACAGAAAGAGCTCCCTCTGCCCTCCCTCTTAGGTACCTCACATACCTCCTTTCTCTCTAAGGCAGAGGCTCCAACAGGGAAAGTAGGAGAAATAATTACTCACTCTTCTTTCTTCCAATTTTCTCTTCTTTTGCTTGCTTCTGTACTCTAGTGCTAGGAAAACCGTGGGCTTTTCTTTTGCTTATGCTACATCCTATCCTTATTCAAACATGGATCACTAGAAGGGGAATATCCTGTATGCTAGAAGTGCGCTTTATGATCTGAGTCATTCATGCTTATTTGCTGTTATGATAAATGGGGATGGTTGGTGGAAGGATAAAGAAATATAGAAAATTCTTTTTGTAGACAGTAAGTTTACATGCCAAAGTCTGAATATTATCTTGCTCTTTTACATTGCATTTTATTTGCAATAGAATCCAATCTTTCCAAAAGCAAATGATTGTCTCCAATGGTCTAGAAAAGGCAAAAGACAAAAATCACATTTAAACTTTCTAAATATTACTCCTCTAATGGAAGAAATAGGTTTGGGCATTGTATTCAGGTAGCTTAATGTCTACTCCTTATTTATACAAAATAGTTGCTTGATTTACTGAATATTTCACTTTTAAATTAGCTGTTTTTGTTAGCCCTACAGAATCTCCTTGTGATTCCTCCACTGTATACCATCTCCATTCTAAGCTTTTCCACATCTCACCAGAGACTAGTGGCATGGGAATACTATAATAGTAAGAACAGCCTCTGAATGTCATTTCAGATCTAATTTAATAGGATATGGATAATTTGTATGCCATGGTACATCCCCATGCCTGGAGCTAATCTGTATTGAGAGATGAATAATACAAATATCACTTGATTCTTATAATTTATGTAGTATAATATTGTCTTTTTTAAATCTAGAATAGTGGATGCACATAATAAATATTCAATAATACTTGTTGCCATTTTTACTTGATTTCTTACTTGATAATTACTTATCATTTCAAATTAAGACATAATTAAGTGCTGATTAGTTACTAGAGTTTCTAAATATTGATGAATTTTTCATTCTGTATTCTATATTACTTCCCTGAACTTGTTGGGAAGACCTCAGTAACAATGCTTTTTAAAAAGTGTTTTGATAGACCCAGTGATAGGAATACACTTATTAATTTCAGCCTTACTTAGAGATAATTCTTCAAAATTTTAGATTTTTATCTTTTTAAATCTTTGAAATATAGTAAAGAGAGGGCATAATTATTTCATCTTTCACTCTCTACTCAAAACCTCTTATTATTTGACTTCACAATTATTAGTCATCACTTTACACAAATACCTTCCTTAAAAGTTACCCATGACAACTTTATTAAGAAATTCAATTTTCTCTGTGTAGGATAGAGAAAATTTCTCTTTTCAGTCTCTACCCTTCATGCTCCTATTTAACGTGTTACAGTGTGGACCATTCTTTTTCCTGACTCTACTGTCTGAATTACCTAATACTATATAGTTTTTTTATGACTTTCTTTTGTGTTTTCTTTTTTTTTTTCCTTTGGTAAGTTTTATTTGCTTATTCACCTCACTCCTATCCTGCCCATTAATGATGAAGACATTCTTTTTTTTTTTTTTTTTTTTTTTTTTGAGATGGAGTCTCTCTCTGTTGCCCCGGCTGTAGTGCAGTGGCATGAGCTCGGCTCACTGCAACCTCTGCCTCCCGAGTTCACACCATTCTTCTGCCTCAGCCTCCTGAGTAGCTGGGATTACAGGCACCCACCACTGCACCTGGCTAATTTTTGTATTTTTAGTAGAGATGGGGTTTCACATGTTGGCCAGGATGGCCTCGATCTCCTGACCTCGTGATACACCCGGCTCAGCCTCCCAAAGTGCTGGGATTACAGTCATGAGCCACCATGCCTGGCCGGCATTCTTTAATATTTCTTCTGCAATATAGATTTTAAATTCCTTTTTTTCATTTTTGTGGTAGCCAGTTTCCAAAGATATACTGCCACCCCAGTGAACCACACCTTCTGGTACTCACACAGGCCCACTGCTTGAATTGGAGCTGGACCTGTGATGTGTTAATAACCAATAGAATATGGCAGAGGAGGCACTGGGAAAATTCTGAGGCAAGGTCAGATAGACCTTGTAGCTTCCACCTTGAAGCCTTGCCTGTGCTACCACTTAAGATGCCCACTACCATGAAATGCCTATGACTGAGAGGCCACTTGAAGGTACTGTGGATGACGGTGCCAGATGAGCACAGCCATCCAATGTAGATGAAGCACCCTTGGGTCTTACAGATAAGTCCATCTGTCAGCTGAAAACTGTTCTATGAATGCCATGTGGAGCAGAGGTATGGCCCAGCAAAGCCTTGGCTGAATTCTTGACCTATAAAGTCATGAGATATAATAACCTAAAATGGTTCTTGTTTAAACCCAATAACTTTTAGGGTAGTTTGTTATGTAACAGTTTTGCCCACTTCTATTACTTCATTGATATCTCTCTAAGGTGAAAACTCAGAACTGGCTGTGTTGTTTTGCCTGATCACTATTGTAGTTGGACTTTAAATTCTATTCCATTGATCTATTTCTCCATTTCTGTACCAATGCCACACTATTTTAATTATAAAAGCTTTATGATATGTTTTATATCCATACTTGGTAAGGTAAACCATTTCATTCCCCTTCTCCAGCCACAGTTTTCTAGTTTCTATTGAACATTCATACACATAGTTAAAAGATGATAAGAACATCATCTCAAATAATTGGAGAAATTACTTAAAAAACTAGACAATTATTTGGGAAAATATATCTTACACCATACTAAGTGAATTACTGATGATTCAGAAATATAAAAATTGAAACTATCCAAGAAATAAAAGAAACATGAGTGCATTTCTGGGTATAAAAGAAGTTTCCTTGTCCATGATTTAAAATGAAAGACAAGGAAAAAATCAGCAAGTTGGCAAAATAATGCAAAACAAAACAAATCATGATAAATAAAGTGAAAAGACAAATGACAGATTGCAAGAAAAATATTTACAACATATCTCACAGATAAAGGGTAATCTCTCTTATTAGATACAAGTCTCTTAAAATCAATGAAAAAGAAAAAAAACCACAAAAAACAGAAAACAAGAACCTGATAGAAAAATGGACAAAAGTCATTTAACAGACATTCCCACAGACTTAGTATACAAATAGCCATTAAACACGTAAAAGATGCTCAACATTACTCACAAGTTAAAATTTAAGAATATACTGCAATACCATTTCTCATGCATAAAATTCACAAACAAATTGAAAGCTTGTGCTATTTGGTAGAGCTTTGAGGAAGAAAGACTTTTTTGCACATTGCTGGAAGAGGGCAACATTTTTCAACACCTGCTATGTACAAGAGACTTGTATATAATTAGAGGGTACCCTTTATCTGTTATATATGTTGCAAACCTATTACCTCTTATCTCCAAATCTGCCTTTGCTGCTCTGCTTACCAAACTGGAACTGGATCTAGTGAACATTTCTCCTTTGTCAACTGGCATGATATTAAGATTCACAAGCAGAGGGCACTAGAAAGAGATGGTAGGAGGGAGATTTCCTGCAAGGTTTCACTGTGCTGTCCTTTTTCTAGCTTCTGTGATGCCTGGCTGGTATGTGGGACACCCAGTGGAGCTCAGCTCCAGAGTTCCAGTAGCATCCACACAGGTAGCTTCCAGTTGAGTGTCACAGGGACCCCTGCTGGTTTCTCAGAAACTTCAACATGCCCCATTGAGAGATAATTCCTGGTGGCCTCCTGGCAAGCAATTATTTCAGCTTCCCAGCTTGTTCAACAGCAAATATTTCCTTTCTTCCACAAGAGCCCCCCACCAAGTTTCTTTTGTCATAGTCAATGGTTTACTGTTTGCCAACTTTGGCCTGAAGCACCTCAGCAAAATTCTCTGCCATCAAGTGGGACATAGCCACTGCCTCTCCAGTGGTTTAAATCTCTGCCTCTTCATGGGAGGGTGTCTCTCTCACATTTCTTCTTCCTTTGTTACTCTGTTTCAGTTGCAGGGATAGTAGTTATTCCCTATAGCTGATATTCCTCTATTCTTTAGAATTTTTCTTTATCCCTTAGGAGCCAACCACCTGTCACTCTAGTTACCAATTACCAGTTAATAACTTTATATTAAATGTTCTATGTTCAAGTTGCTGTGTGATTTTGGTCTCCTGCATAGATTGTGACTGATGAAACTACCATTTGACTTCACAATTCTGCTTCTCTCTCTCTCTCTTTTTTTTTTTTTCTGTTGAGACGGAGTCTCGCTCTGTCACCCAGGCTGGAATGCAGTGGCATGATCTTGGCTTGCTGCAGTCTCCACCTTCTAGGTTCAAGCGATTCTCCTGCCTAACCCTCCCAGATACCTGGGATTACAGGCATGAGCCACCACACCTGGCTAATTTTTGTATTTTTAGTAGAAATGGGGTTTCGCCATGTTGGCCAGGCTGGTCTCAAACTCCTGACCTCAGGTGATACACCCGCCTCGGACTCAGTGCTAGGATTACAGGCGTGAGCCACTACACCCAGCCAATTCTGTTTCTTTGAATGTATAAACAAAATATATATAAAGATTTTACAGTATCATATGGTGAACTTTAGAAACGTTGTCCATGTTCCCTTATGGAACACTGATAAGACAATACTGGAAGTTTTGAAATGGGCTTCCTGTGACTGAATTTGGGACATTATGAGCATCCAAAAATGAATTTTATTAATGGATTATAAACCATTGACACAGACAATAATCCATAAGACCATAATTTAAAATAATAAACTATATGTGGTGGAAACATTCTTTACAAAAGAATATCAGTTAAGAATTATAGAAATTGTTATAGGATTTTAAAAATCACCATTTTATTTTATTTATTTATGTATTTATTTTAATGAGACAGGGTCTCACCACGTTGCCCGGGCTGGTTTTGAACTCATGGGCTCAAGCAATCTGCCCACCTCGGCCTCCCAAAGTGCCGGGATTACAGGCATGAGCCACCAAACCTGGCCAAAAATCACCATTTAAAAATGAATAATAAGTTAAAAATTGATTCAGGCATGCATCATTAATGGTCACTTTAGCAACCCTTTGTAAAAGGTTGTTGGGGGTGGGATAGTCATGTAATCTCAAGTATCAACCCAAAGACTGTTAAATACAAACAGAGAGAATTACCTCTAAAATCAGGAAAAAAGGCAAACTTTTTGTAAACCAAGTTACCAAATTCAGCATTATTAGAAGCCAGAGAAACTATTATGTGACTTAATGTAATGCAATGGGAAGTACAACCTCACCAATGCAGTATTCTTGCCAGCAACATTTAACCTGAATCTTCTCATGAAGAAACAGTCAGACACATCTATATCATGTGGACTGTCCTTCCTGACAACTGGCATGTATTCTTTAAAAATGTCAATAGCTTGAAAGGAAAAATCTGAAAAGGTGCATGTAGTGAGGGAGAGAATGAGGAGGAGAACTCTTCTAGATTAAAGGAAACCAAAGAGACATGATAACTAAATGTATGTGGATCTTTCATTGATTTATCATTTGGCTTTTGTGGCATAACAACCAAGTATGGAGTCTCAGTGACATACAATGATAAGCACTTATTTTGCTCATGGATGTGGGGATTGGCTGGGGTGTCTCTGCTACCATACGGTTATTTCAGAGCACAATTTCTATGCTAGGAAAGCTCTTTTTTTTTTTCTTTTTTTTGAGGCAGGGTCTTGCTCTGTTGCCCAGGCTGGAGTGCAGTGACATGATCATGGGCATACTGCAGCCTTAACCTCCTAGGTACAAGGGATCCTCCCACCTCAACCTCTCAAGTAGCTGGAACTACAGGCAAGCACAATCATGCACAGATAATTTTGTTTTGTTTTGTTTTGTTTGTAGAGGTGAGGGCTCACTATGTTGCCCAGCCTAGTCTTGAACTCCTGGACTCAAGGGACTGCCTGCCTAGGGCCAACACACCCTGCAGGAAGCTCTTTTCATGGAACTATGGAAAGAAACACACAAGCCAGCACATTTGAAAGCCTTCTAACAGTTCACTGGTTGGAGAGAGTCACATGGCTGGAGCCAAATCCAAGAGAAGGGAGAGTGAATAGTTTTGGATATTTATCTAAGGTACCAAAATTGGATCCTGGATCAAAATTTAAAAAATAGTTGCATGAGCTTTATGTTTAAAGACTGCATATAAGATAGTATTTTCTGTAAGTTTTATATTTTATGGGTATGATACAGTTATTTTGGTTATTTGGGAGAATATCCTAATTCTTAGTAGATAAACATCGAAGTTGTGAGGAGTGAAATGAATGTCATTATTGCTAAAAGTTACTTTCAAATAGTTTAGCAATAACATCAAAGTATACTTGTATGTATATATACTTATATGTATGTATACTTATATATATGTAATACACTTATATGTATGTATCATCTGTGTGCTACAGACTGAAAGTGTCCTCCCAAATTTATATGTTGAAATCCTAGCCCCCAATGCTATAATATTGTAAGTGAGGCCTTTGATAGGTAATTTGGTCATGAGAGCAGAGCCCTCATGAATAAGATTAGTGCCCTGAAGAGCTCCCTCACCCCTCCCACCATGAAAGGACACAGCAAGACAATGGCCATCTATGAATCAGGAAGTGGCCCCTCACCAGACACTAATTCTGCTGAGAATTTGACCTTGGGCTTCCCATTCTCCAGAACTATGAGAAATAAATTTCTGGTGGTTATAAGTTACCCAGTCTCTAGTACTCTATTATAACATATCAAATGGACTAAGACTCTCTATCTGCCTATCCATGTATCTATGTATCTATCTATCATCTATCATCAAATGGAAATGTGGCACATATTAACAGTTGATAGATATAAGTGAAGGGTACATGTGTACACCTCTTTTACATGTTTTTGTATGGTTGAAATTTTTGAAAAAAAGAAAATGTGTTTATGTTTGTTTGTTTTTCATCTACTGTTTGTGGGTGTGGGAGAAGTGTGGCCACAGAACCAGAAGTCTTGAAGAAAGTTTGTTTTTCTGACAGTCTAGGGCAAAGCTTATTTTCCCACGTGAATAAGAGTGTCCAGTCTTCAGAGAGCATTAGATTCCCATAGAGAAACAGACCGGCCACCCATGGTTCCTTTGGAAGGTTGCACAGCATTATTGGTTCCAGGAAAGCTTAGGGGGATTGCATTAATGGCCTGAATTACACTCACTCTGGGGTAAGGAACTGTCTGTGTCTCACGTATGCCTGAGAGAATCTGAAAACCAAGAGTCCTCACAACATCTTTAATTTATGGATCTCAGTTTGACAATTTGCTGCTAGTCCACTTAATAATTTCAGCACTTGCCATTTCACCATTTTCCCAGTTACTTCATCAGCTTCATATAGAGTAAGAGAAAAAATGTATTACAAACAATTTGAGGATACTCAGTAATTTGAGGAGGGAGTACAAAGTGGAAGATCCGAAATGTTGGCTCACATTGATGGAAAACTAGTTAAATGTATATAAAATAACATGAAAAAAATAGAAAAAAAGTGCAATTTTTTTAATGGTGGTGAATGAGCTGATTTTGAAATTTCTATGATAGAAAAAAAGGCTGGGAATAGCCAAGATAATTTTTAAAAAGAATAAGAGGATTTGACCCATTAGGTATCAAATGTGTGGTAAGCAGGATACTGGAGAATAGTCTCCACTGGCAAATGACTAATGGACCTGACTAAAGAGCACTGAAATAGACTGAAATACATATAAAAATTAGATATATAAAGGAGGTTGAATTGTAGGTTAGAAAGAAAAATTCTTGCACTGCCATAAAGAAATACCCGAGACTGAGTAATTTAAATAAAAGAGATTTAATTGACTCATAGTTCTGCAGGCTGTACAGCATCTGCTTCTGGGGAGTCCTCAGGGAGTGTCCAATCATGGCAGAAGGCAAAGGGAGAGCAGATACATCACATGGCAAGAGCAGGACCAAGAGAGAGAGTGGAGAGATGCCACTTTCGAATGACCAGATCTCATGAGAACTCACTCACTATTGCGAGGACAGTACCAAGTGGACGGTGTGAAAATATTCATGAGAAATCTGCCCCATGATTCAATCACCTCCCACCAGTTCCAACCTCCAACACTGGGGATTACATTTCATGAGATTTGGGTGGGGACACACATCCAGACTGTGTCATTCTGACCTTGGTACTGCCAAAATCTTGTGTCCTTCTAACATTTCAAAATACAATCATGCCTTCCAAATAATCCCTCAGTCTTAACTCATTCCAGTGTTAACTCAAAAGCCCAAAGTCCAATGTCTGAAGTCTCATCTGAGACAAGGCAAGTTCTTTTCACCTATGAGCCTGTAAAAGCAAAAACTAGTTAATTACTTTCAAGATACAGTGGGGGTACAAGCATCAGGTAAATATTCCCATTTCAAAAGTGATAAATCAGCCAAAAGAAAGGTGTTACAGGCCCCATGCACGTCCAAAACCCAGCAGGGCAGTTACTGAATCTTAAAGCTCCAAAATAATCTCCTTTGACTCCATGTCCCACATCCAGGGCACATTGATGCAATCTTGTGGGCTTCTAAGGCCTTGGGCAGCTCCACCCCTGTGGCTTTGCATGGTTCTGTCCCCAGGGCTGGCCTCAAGGCCTGGAGTTGAATGCTTGTGGCTTTTTCATGCACAAGGTGCAAGCTGCTGGTGGTTCTACCATTCTGGGGTCTGGAGGAGGTTGGTGGCCTTCTTCTCATAGCTCCACTAGGCAGTGCTCCAGTGGGGGCTCTGTGTTGGGGTTCCAACCCCACATTCTCCCTCTGTACTGCCCTAGTAGAGGTACTCTGTGAGGGCTTTGCCCCTGCAGCAGGCATCTGCCTGGACACTCAGGCTTTTCTATACATCCTGTGAAATCTAGGTGGCGGCTCCCAAGCCTCAACTCTTGCACTTTGTGTACCTTCAGGCTTAGTACCACATAGAAGCCACTGAGGCTTACAGCTTGTATCCTCTGAAGCAGTGGCCTGAGCTGTACCTGGGCCCTTTTAAGCCACAGCTAGAGCTGAAGTTTCCAGGAAGCAGGGAGCAGTGTCTTGAGGCTGCACAGGGCCCTGGGCTTGGCTCACAAAACCATTCTGTCTTTCTAGGCCTCAGAGCCTGTGATGGGAGGGGCTGCATCTTAGATAGCTGAAATGACTTTGAGGCCCTTTTCCCATTGTCTTGGCTATCAGCACTTGTCTTCTTTTTAGTTATGCAAATTTCTCTAGCAAGTGGTTGCTCAGCAGCCCACTTGAATTCCTCTCCTAAACACAGGCTTTTCTTTCCTACCACAAGGCCAGGCTGCACATTTTCCAAGCTTTTATGCTCTATTTCCCTTTTAAATATAAGTTCCAGTATATTTCTTTGGTTCTGCATCTGAGTGTAGGCTGTTAGAAGCAGCCACACCACTTCTTGAACACTGCTGCTTAGAAATTTATTCTGCCAGATATCCCAGGTCATCACTCTCAAGCTCAAACTTGCACAGTTCTTAGGACATGGGCACAATACAGCCAAGTTCTTTGCTAAGGCATAATGCTTGTGACCTTTGCTCCAGGTCCCAATAAGTTGCTCATTTCCAACTGAGACTTCAGTAGCCTAGATTTCACTGTCCATATCACTATCATCATTTTGGTCACAACTATTTAACCAGTCTCTAAGAAGTTTCAAATTTTCCCTCATTTTCCTGTTTTCTTCTGAGCACTTTATACTCTTCCAATCTCTGCCTGTTACCCAGTTAAGAAGTTGCTTCCACATTTTCAGGTATCTTTATAGCAATGCCCCTATCCTCAGTACCAATTATCTGTACTAGTCTGTTCTTACACTGCTATAAAGAAATACCTGAGGCTGGGTAATTTATAAGAAAAGAGATTTAATTGGTCCATGATTCTTCAGGCTGTACAGGAAGCATAGTGGCATCTGCTTCTGGGGAAGCCTCAGGGAGCTTCCAAACATGGCATAAGGCAAAAAGAAAGCAGGCACATCATATAACGAAAATAGGAAAAGAGAGAGAGGAGAAAGGTGCCACACGCTTTGAAATGACCAGATTTCATGAGAACTCACTATTGCAAGGACAGCATCAAGGGGATGGTGCTAACTATTCGTAAGAAATCTGCCCCATGATCTAATCATCTCCTGTTAGATGGGACCTCCAACGTTGAGGATTACATTTCGATATGAGATTTGGGTGGTGACACACATCCAAATTATATCAAGAGACTATATAAAAATTATGCGGAGACACTTTGTTATCTACAAGTGAAGAATAAAACTTAAAGGAGTTTTCTACTGCATGCCATACAGAAAAATAAAACTTTGCTAAAGACATAAATATAAAAAGCAAAATTAAAAACTCTTAAAATGTAGGAGCAAATCTTTATGATCTTGAATAGGAAAAGAATTCTTAACATCAAATCCTGTAAATAAAACATGGTAAAATTAATAAATTCAATTACAATAAAAATTTCTTTCTTTTTGTTTTCTTGAGACAAGGTCTCGCTCTGTCACCCAGACTAGAATGCAATGGTGCAGTCATGGCTAACTGCAGTTTCTATCTTCTGGGCTCATGCCATACTCCCACCTCAGTTTCCCAAGTAGCTGGTACTACAGATGTGGACAACCATGCCTGGCTAAGTTTTTAAAAATTATTTACTCTTTGTAGGGATGGGGTACCACTATGTTGCCCAGGCTGGTCTCGAACTCCTGACTACAGTGGTCTTCCCGCCCTTGGCTCCCAAAGTGCTTGAATTACAGATGTGAGCCACTGGGCCCAGCCTGACAGTCAAAACTTCTTTGCCTCAAGTGAGACCATTAAAAACTGAAAAGATATGCCACACTCTAGGATAAGATAATTATAAGGTTTAATCTGCAAATAATTAGTGCCCACAATATTTAAAGAATCCTGCATTTTAATATGAGAAATATGAAGAGGTAATTCTTGGCTAATAAGGTAAAGATATAAACAAAAGGCAAAATAACATCACAGTGAGATATTATTTCATGTACTTCATTTTTATAAAAATTTTAAAAAGTTGGTTTCATTACTAAGTACTGTCTAAGATGTAGCTTGCTTACAACTCTTAACATGGAGGGTGTTACCAACCTGGTGTACAGGAGCTGGAGAGCCAGTCTTTAAGGGCATTCATCAAGATATCCCCATCCCATATATCAAGGACCCAAGTTTCTCTGACCAGGACTTGAAATAACAGACCTGCATTAGCACTCAACCATATTTAAAGGTTTGTAACTCTAAATATTAAATTTCCAGTTTTTTTGTCTTTAGCTGTTTCTACTCTTCCAAGATAGGGAATAAGGGGCTCTTTGTAAGTTACATTAATAGATCCTCTAGCCTGCATACTTTCAATTAGTTGTTAATGGCACAAAGTTTTCATTATCTGTCTGTAGGGCATCTATATAGTTAGTGATAATTAGCCAATTCCACAGTACTTATATGCACTGATTCTGTTACTTCTCAAATGCCAGTGGACCAGCCAGGGTGGTCTCCTACACTACAATACTTTCCCAACTCACCACTGATGAAAGTTTAAACAATTGGTTCACTATCTTGTGCCATGTGCCCCACATACCATACAGTTATTATTGCCAGTCAAACACAGAACAATCCAGTCTAAAAACCCCATTGCACTGCCTGCTTCCTCATAATATGCCTGCTACCAACTGTACTAGTTGGGTGCTTTAGGCATCAAATTGAGTTAGGATTATGAGTTTATTGGAGAGTAATATTTCTAAATGATAAAAGGGAAAGGATCAGGATTGAGCAGAGAAAGACTTCATACCGTGATGCTTATCTGACAGTCTGGGACAACCCAGAGGAAATTCCCATTAGTGGAATTGGCTTTGGCAAGGATGGTCTGGCTCTGGTAACCTTACTCCGTTCAGTCATTCCTTGTAGACTGACCAGGAAGAGTGAGACCTCAGATCAAAAGATGATGTAGGTCCTGAAGGTGCCACCAGCTACAGGCTATCAGTTAACTGTAGTCCTTACAGTTGAATGACAAGTTACTTCTTAAAGGAAGATCTCAGTGGTAAACCTCTCTTGTTGCCAAGTCCTGAAGGGAAATGAATGCTTTTATGTTCACCACAAGACAGATGTTAGGTTAACCATCTTAAACTGCAGATATTCAACTATTTCTGGCCCCCCAAACTCCAGTATTTATGGTTCATCAATCCAATACTAAAATATTTATATTTAAATTATACATAATAGCTCCAAACTAAAACTAATCCAGATATCCATCAACAGTGAATGGCTTTGCAATGCATATTATATTCATGCAATTTATGCTGCACTGCGCTGATGACTTATGCAGATAGTACGATGTACAATATAGATGAATTCTATACTGCAACGTAATGTTGAAGAAAAAAGCCAAATACAGAAGAGTACACATTGTATGGCTTCATTTATGTAAAGTTTAAAAGCACATAAAATTAACTAAACATGGAGGCTACTGTAGAGCTGGAAATTTTCTATATCTTGTTCTACATACTGGCCTATACATGCATATAAACAAGTAAAAATTTATTGCACTGAAGACTTAAGATCTGTATATGTTTATATATATATATATACACACACATATATACATATGGAAATATAAAATATGTATACAAACATATATACATATGGAAATATATAAAGGGTATTACTGCAGTGTGTTTGTAGTAAAAAATATAGAAACTATATGGTATATTCATATGATGCAATATTATATGGCAGTGAAATACAGAAACTAAAACCAACTTATAAACCTTAAATGATGACTTTAAAAACTACCTTTTGAAGTAATGTTTGTCATATTTCCATTTATGAAAAATTTCAAAATGATTCCAAATCAGATATGCTGTTTATAAATAGTAAAACATAAAATATATGGCATAGAAAATAGATATCAAAATCATGACAATTGTTTCTAGGAAAGGAGCAAAAAGATTGAAACTAGAAAAGGGAATAAGGCGTACTTTAACTATGTTAATAATATAATGCCTTTTATTGAAGAGACGGTCCTTTTCCCATTGTGTGTTCTTGGCATCTTTGTCAAAAAAAACAATTGACCATAAATGCATGGGTTCATTTCTGGGCTCTTTATTCTGTTCCAAATGGCTAATAGATGTAAGAAAAAAATGCTCACTATCACTAATCATTAGGGCAATACAAATTAAAACCACAATAAGATAGCATTCCACATCTGTTAGTGACTATTCAAAAGATAAAATGTAACAGTTGTTGGTGAGGATGTGGAGAAAAGATAACTGTTGTACACTGTTGGTGGAAATGTAAATTAGCACAGCCATTATGGAAAACTGTATGGAGGTTCCTTGAAAAAATAAAAATAGAATTACCATATAATTTAGTAATTCCACTTCTAAGTATATAGCTAAAGGAAATGAAATCAGTTATGGCAAAGAGATATCTGCACTCTCATGTTCATTGCAGCACTATTCGCAATAGCCAAATTATGGAAACAACCTAAATGTCTGTCAGTGAATGAATGGATAGAGAAAATGTGATATATATATACAATGGAATATTATTCACCCTTAAAAAAGAAGGAAATTCTATCATTTGCAATAATGTGGATTAAACTGGAGAATATTATGCTAAGTGAAATAAGCCAGACACAGAAAGGCAAATACCACATTTTCATACATATGTTAAATTTAAAACAATCAAACTCGTAGAAGCAGAGTGTAGAAAAATGATTACCAGAGGCTGGAGGCTGGGAGGAGTGAGGAGATGTTGATCAAAAGGTATAAAGTTTCAGTTAAAAAGCAGAGTAAATTTTTTGAGATTTGTTGCACAGCAAAGTGACTGCAGTTAACACTAATGTATTACATACATATATCATAGCATCACTTTGTACCCCATAAATATAGATGAATATAATTTTTTTTTTTTGAGACAGAGTCTCATTCTGTCACACAGGCTGGAGTGCAGTGGCGCAATCTCAGCTCACTGCAACCTTCACCTCTAGGTTCAAAAGATTCTCCTGCCTCAGCCTCCTGAGTAGCTGGGATTACAGGCATGTGCCATCACATTAGCACGTTAGCTTGGCTAATTTTTGCATTTTTAGTAGAGATGGGATTTTGCCATGTTGGCCAGGTTGGTCTCAAACTCCTGGCTTCAGGTAATCTGCCTGTCTCAGCCTCCCAAAGTGCTGGGATTAAAGGCATGAGCTGCTGTAATTTTTAATTTATAAAAAATGCAGCAGAATTGCTGCAGCTTCACTTCCACTTTCCAAAACTTGTGAGTATTTTCTTATGGCCAGTCTTTATCTAGAATCTAATGGGGAAGAGAATACTAGGATATGCGTGTCCAGTTTAGCTAAGGTGACAGAGGAAAAAGCCACTACGCACACATCAGTATTTGTTATGTTATCCTTTGTACTTCTGGGGATTTAAATTGTTTCAAACTAGAAAAAAGGTCTGTGGTAGTAGGCAACAACTTAATAGGAGAGAATGGGGTTTTAAATTTTTCTTTTTATTTATATTCATTTTCTGATTAAAAACACACACACATGTCTTTTGTAGACTGAAAGCTCATTAGGAATAGTATCATAATTTTAAAAGAACCTCACTATTGTATCTCTAGTATCTTATATAACTCTCAATACATATTAGTTAAATAATAATAAAAGAAAAAATTATCAAGTATCTATTACTTGCCTAGTTCCTACTTCGAAGAATCAGGTTCTGACCATTTTCAGACATTCTTCTAGTAGATACAAAATGAATATTGGTGTTAACTGTTTTGAAAGAATCCAATTAATACTGCAAATTCCAGAGCCTTTCTGTCTGTCTTGGGCTAAGCCACATATAACCAGAGATCTACTGATCTCTGACTTTCTTATATATGTCTGATTCCTCTTTAAAAAATTATCATGTGGGCCTGCCTTATAGCACTATCAAATTGTTTGGTTTCTTTTTCTCGGCTTTCATGAGCAGCGTCATGCCAAGAAGTTTTTTTTTAATGATGTTAGTGGATTATCTGAGCCTTGGCAGGCAATTGTAGACCAAGCAAAGACAGATAGAGGTACAGAAGATGTGTAGCTCGGTAAGTTCTGTGCCTCCTCTCAGAAAATTTGGTCACTTTCCATATATGAGAATGTACTCCATACTTTGTGAATAGCTGGAGTCAAGTTCTGTGATCGAGTATTAAGGAACTGAGGTGTAAAATGACTTCTCACAGCCACATTCCTTAACATATTTCACCTCTATTGATACAGAGTTTGCAATACATTTTGTTAAGTAGAGGAGCTCTGAATATATTGAGTTTTTCTACACAGAGATGAACATGTATTGATTTTTATTAGCTTGCAAGTTTTTCATCATATTATTTAGTCTAGAGGCCAGGAGATCTTATTGATTTGATTCTTTAGTCCTCACAATGGTTCTACAGTTGATTTTTTTTTAAGTTCTCAAATGGCTATTTAGTGTCCTCGCTTCTACCAAGGTGAACTGTTTTTCAAAAACTCCAAACATGGGAAACCCACTAAATGTGGTTTCTTTGTAGAAAGTTAAAAAACAAACAAAAAAAGGTGTCTGAGGTTTTTGCCATAAATAAAACGGCATTGTGCAAGTGTTATAAGGAAGAAAGAAAAACACAAATAATCAATATTTACTCTACAAATTGAAATTGATATTAATTGAAAGGAATTTTAGAGAGATGTCTATTTAGAGATGGGATCTTGCTCTGTTGCCCAGGCTGGAGTGCAGTGGCATGATCATAACTCACTGCAGCCTGAAACTCTTAGGCTAAAGCCATCCTCCTGCCTCAGCCTTCTGAGTAGCTGAGATTACAGGTCCACCAAGTGCAGCTAATTTTTTAATTTTAATTTTAATCAATTAATTAATTTTTTAGAGACCTGATCTCACTGCATCCTTCATACGGTAGCACAATGGCACAATCACAGCTCACTGCAACCTGGAACTCCTGGGCCTCCTGCTTTGGAGTTCCTCTTTAGCACTCCTGAGAACTCCTGCCTCGGCCTCTTGAGTAGCTGAGACTACAGGCATGTGCAATTATGCCCAGCTTATGGGGTCTCGCCATGTTGCCTAGGCTTCTCTCAAACTCCTGGACTCAAATGATACTCCCACCTCAGTGTCCAGAGTAGCTTGGATTACAGAAATGAGCCACCACACCAGGCTTAGAGAGAAGTTGAGACTTTACCCCTAATCGTATATGCAGTGTATGATATGTTGGGCTGTGATAGATTATTCCCTGCCACCCCCACGCCTGGGATAATTTATTTGTAATTACTTTAAGAACCTTGTTCATGGTCAAGGCGTGGTCAAAATAGAAGACAAATATGTTAAAGTCCTTATCTTTTATGTTTAAAAAGCACATTTGCAATGTAAATCAGGAAAATATTTCAAAGAAGCTATCAGGCAGTTTTTTGTTTGTTTGTTTTGACTTATTCCTTTCTCCCTATGAGATAAAAGACCCTTGGTCCTAGGGAGGAGAGAAGAGTCTAGAAAGAAGTGTTAGATGGTGTGTGGGAGCTCTGTGCCCTGCCCCTCATTCCAGCCTGATCCAGATCTTGATAGTAGATGTGTGAAAATTTAGGAATCCCTGAGATGTGTAAGGCCTAGGGAAAAGTGAACCTCATAGAACCTCATCATGCTGCCACAGAGAACAGAAATAGTGATGCAGTATGTCTTGGCAAGAGGAGGTTGAAGACTTCCCAGACTGTGATGGGAGGCATCAAAAAGTGCCTATAGGTCCTTAAGATCATATGGATGTTAGCTGAGAGAAAGAAGCCCCTGAGCAGGCAAGGGGCTGGTGGCCAGGCTATGACAACTAGGGCAGCTTAATTGATCCATCCCATCAGGGATGGGATGATGACATAGCTACATCCTAATAGATTACTAGCATAGTGTAGAGCATGCTTAAGTGTCAGATGGAAAACAAAAAAACAAACAAAAGAAAACGGTCATTTGAATCAAGAGGCAAGCAAGAACCAAAAGAAAGATGACTCCTTCCTGCTGGGGAAATATAATTAAAAGCAAATATTCTGACCCAGAAAACCTCTGCACAAAGGTAGTTTAGAAAGAAAACAGTTTTTGTTTTTGAATAGGCATGAAACCAGAATGTGATCCACATTGCAGGCAATCTGCTAAGATATTGCAAAGATGAAAAGAAATCTCACTCTTTTATGTAGCCAAGCAGATACAACCCATTACATACATATTTTCAAGATAAACAATAACTAGTCTTCAAGTAAGAGGACTTGACAGCACCATTTGCCACACATAGTTCATCCTAAATTTATCTGGTAATTGGAGTGAACATCTGTGTTAGATAACTGGCTTTATACAAAAGACAATGCACTTTCCATAACTTTATGACAGAAAGTAGTTTTGCAACTTGGAGCTAGGTGCCTAGAGAAATTAGGTGCCTACCCTCTCATAGAAACTTGAAGATGGGATGCTGTATCACTTGATATTTACATTTTTAGGGGTTGGCTCCTAGATCCTTGAGAAAGACATTTCTGGGTTGCAAAACTGGCAAAAGAGATTTATAAAAAGATTTACATACATTTATATATTACAAGTTTATAAAGGAATTTATGCTCAAAGAAAAGGAAGGGGGATGTCTCTTACTTTTTTTTTTTTTTTTTTTTTTTTTGAGACGGAGTCTTGAACTGCCATTGGGGCTGGAGTGCAATGGTGCGATCTCGGCTTACTGAAACCTCCACCTCCCGGGTTTAAGTGATTCTCATGCCTCAGCCTCCCAAGTAACTGGGATTACAGGTGCCTGCCACCATGCCCGGCTAATTTTTGTATTTTTAGTAGAGACGGGGTTTCACTATGTTGGCCAGGCTGGTTTCAAACTCCTGACTTCGTGATCCGCCTGCCTCAGCCTCCCAAAGTGCTGGGATTACAGGTGTGAGCCACCATGCCCTGCCGTCTCCTACCTTGTAAGAGGAAAAATTAAGCCTCTTATTTTAAATTTTTTTTGTTCATATATACCACTGATGACCCTGCAGCATTTAACCTTCTGAAGTTTAAGTCTCCTCAGCATCAACTTTAGGATGAAGAAGAGACAGGGAGAAAAATCATGAATTTCATTCTTGAGGTATTGCTGAATTTGACTAAGGTTACTTGGAAACTAGGCAAATGAGACCGGAGACAGACATTAGATTCAACCTCAAGTTGTGCCTGGTGACTTGACTTTGCCTCCATCTTATACGGAGTTACATAGGTATGCTTCATTCCTTAAGCCTAGAATCAGGTGGGCAGGGCTGGGGTGGCCAGCAGGAGAAAGTTCATCTGCTCCTGGGCAATACCTGCACTTTCTCTGTATATTACAATATGCAAAAGGTTGGAAAACACCAGCTTATTTCCTTTGTCTCTAGGATGTGCAATGTCACTTGGCAAGTTTAGAAATTATGGTATTCAGAGGTTACTACAGTGTTGGAATAGTAGGTTGTGATCTGAGAGACCAAAATAGATGCCTACTTAACAACTAAGACAAGTCCAAATGTTAAAGAAACAAAGTTATGGGTGAAAGTTTCAGGGCCTGGCTGGTGTAGCAAATTCCTAAATTCCTGTGGCTAAGCTCCCTAACAACAGGAGATATCAGGTCCAACTCTGATTGGACAGATGACTGGCCTTCTATTCTTTTCTGATAAGCGATTGCACACCTTAGGCCAGTTTCAGCCAGCCTAAAGAGGCTGCACACAAATTGTCTTTGTGTCCTATAGTTCACCTTTTGACATAAACAGTCAAATTCCCCCTCATTTTAATGCTATAACCCTGCCCTAAAGTGAACATAGAATATATGTTACATACTTGTATACCCAATTTTCATGCACTCAGCTCCTCTTGTAAATCTGTATAGCTTTTCCCTAAACCTGCTGGGTATGTATGATGCAAGCCCTGTGAGGCATAAAACACAACCTGTCCTTCCATTCTTTGGAGAACACCTTCAATTTATGCTGGAGACTTTCTCTTTCTGGCTTGTAAAATGATATCACCAACAAAGCTCTCCTTTCTACTATTTAGCCATCCTGTCGTCTTTAGGATGACAAGGTGCTCACTTACTATTGCAGTGTGAATGAATACAAAGATGAACAACCATTGTACATGTATGGAAGATTTGATGGAGAGAGTACATCTTTGCGGGGAACAGGTAGGTGTGTACACAGTGTGTTGCAGGCTGGAATTGCCCAAAAGTTTGAAGGCATTAGTTTATATTCTACTCAGGGTGATCATTTAGAGAATCAGTTTGCAGAGAGATAAACTAATCAGTATTTTTCAAATGTCATAAGGTCCCTTGTTTATCCCTCACAATAGAAACATAAAGTGGTGGCTGGAGATTTGAGAGTCTTATGACCACTTTGTGTATCTGGATCTGATATTTTATTTACTGTTAGCATCTTGATCCCCAAAGCTCTCCTTTTTTATTCATCATGGTCAATTGGCTGTGACAGAGTATAGAAATTTTATAGAGCTATCGTTGGTGCAAGGTACATAGTCTGAAATGATCAAGGCTAGATTTTGATTTTAGAATATATGATTAAAAATGTCTTTCAAAGTTAGAAATGATGAAAGCTATTATTATTGGCATTTTAAGTGTTTCCTAGTGCCCATTTATTCCCACATTCAACAATTTTACTGAATACCTCTCATATGGCAAAGACTGTTACAGACACTAGGAATAACATGATGAGCCAGACATGTTACTTGCCTTCAATGAGCTCATAGCTTTGTAGGTGAAAAAGACCTGTAAATAGATACATTATCATGCAACAGGCAGATAAATATAGGAATATCAAGTAGGAAGGCAGTAGTTAACTTTGCTAAATGTTTGAGAAAAATGAAGAAGATCTGGAGTGCTTCCCATTCCCTGAATGCTTAGGCTATTACATTCTACTTTGTCTGGTGAGTCATAGGTCCCAGTAGAAAAGAAGGCAGAAGAGCTTTGAAATTTGAAGAATTCAGGCTGTTCCTTTTTGACTTCCCTCATTAGCCATATAGTTTTAACAATTCATTCAATTAGTACTTTTGAGCAAAGGCATGTCAGTTATTTGCATAAACAGACAATCCCTCTAGCAATATATAAAATGCCACTGTCAGATTTTTATTATCTCTGTGTTGTCTTGAGCAGTATTGTAATTAAATCTAATTAAATAGATTTATGGTTTGGAACACTAATGGTCATGAATAAATACAGGTCCCCTGAAGCTATTTGCTCAATTTGTGTTTTATGTCTTTTAACTTGCTTCAAATATACATATTCAACTTACGCCTCTATTTATTTATTTATTTGTTTGTTTGTTTAAGGGAGGGAAGTCGAACTTGGAACTATATGCTCCTTCGGTAGAAGATTCGATTTTCTTAGAATTGCCCTTTGGTGCCCTTATCCTGCTACTTGTTTTGAATGGGGGACTTGTTGTTACGTAGCTTATTACAAAAGAAAATAGCAATATATTTTCTAGGCGAAAAGAAACATTTTGCAAAATAAGAAAAAACAAATAGTTAATTTAGAGTTAGATTATACTTAAAAAGGCAGTGAAACAGATAAAAGAAATACAAATGGCCAATAAACAATTCAAAAAACCTTATTTAACTTCACTAGTAATCAAAGAAATGCAGATTCAAACTGTTATCGGCAGCAAATGTATAGGGGTCGGCAACAACCTCAATTCTTGCCTTCTCAGAAGAATTTGACTCAGGGGCATAAGGGAGAAGGAGAGACCCAGGCAAGTTTTAGAGCAGGAGTGAAAGTTTACTAAAAAGCTTTACAACAGGAATGAAAGAAAGTAAAGAAAGAAAGAAGAGGGCCAAGCAGACGTCTTGCTTCTGGTGTCTTGCGTCTGTCCCTTCACCCTGATTCTTCCCTTGGGCATGGGCTGTCCACAGGCACAGGGGCCTGCTGGTATTTGGGAGGGGAGCATGCGCAGTGTGTTTACTGGAGTTGTACATATACTCACTTCAGCCGTTCTTTGCTTTACCAGTCAAAAGTCCCTAGGAGGTCATATGCCAGTTAAATGCTAACAATTTGCCTCTTTTTGTTTGTTTGTTTGAGACGGAGTCTCGCTCTATCATCAGGTTGGAGTGCAGTGGCGTGATCTCGGCTCACTGCAACCTCTGCCTCCCAGGTTCAAGCAATTCTCTTGTCTCAGCCTCCCTAGTAGCTGGGATTACAGGCGTGCGCCACCACGCCCAGCTAATTTTTGTATTTTTAGTAGAGACGGGGTTTCACCATGTTGGCCAGGATAGTCTCGATCTCTTGACCTCGTGATCCACCCCCCTCGGCCTCCCAAAGTGCTGGGATTACAGGCGTGAGCCACCGCGCCCGGCCCCGTTTTGCCTCTTAATGTGCGTGCTGGAGCCCACTCGCCCACCTCCTGAGATCTTATTGGGAAATTGCTGATCCCTAGTTTCAGGTTTTTCCTATCTACTGAGAGAATGTCTTTCCCTGGTGCAGGTTGGATTAGTTATTATTTTAGAGAGACAGTTAATAACCGCCTGACCATCATCTGATGGTCACCTGAAATTCCTGGTTGGGGAGGGGAGTCCTCTCCTGTCCTGTTCATGCCTGCCTAGCTACCTACTATAACAAAACAATAATCACATGGCATATTTGACTATTAAGAAGAAAAAATTTATATATCCAAAGTTTGGCAATTATGAGGTGAAACAATAGACTGTTGGTAGCAGTTACATTATTAGGCTGGAAACCATTATTATATAATAATAACATAATTAACCATAATAATTAATAACGTAATTATTATGTAATAATCAAGATAATTATTATATAATAATCAATATTATAATAATTATTAATAATAAACAATTATCTGGAAAACAATTGGTGATTAAATATTAATTATTATACATTATTAATTATTGTTAATACTAATTTATTATTTCCTGGAAAACAATTATTGGTAATAATTATAAAGAGACATGGGCATTCATATTCTTTAACTTAATAATTCCCTTTTAGGCACCTAGTTTAAGTTGTATGTCAAAATTAAGGAAAAAATCTAATATATAAAAATGATCATCATAGTATTTATTTATGTATTTAATAAAGACTTTACTTTTTAAAGCAGTTTTAGCTTGACAGCACAATTGAGAGGAAAGTACACAGTGTTCCCATATACCCCTGTCCCCACACATGCATCGCCTCCCCCATTATCAACATCCTCAGCAGAAAGGTGTATGTGTTACAATTGGTGAGCCTGCATTGATGCATCATAATCACCTAAGGTCTGTAGTTTACACTGGGGTTTACTACTGTACTACTAGTGTACTACTGTTTTACTAGTGTACTATACTGTTGTACATCCTATGGGTTTGGAAACACGTATATGAACATGATAGTATTACGTAGAGTATTTTACTGCCCTAAAAATCCTCTGTGCTCTGCCTATTCAATCCTCCAATGCCCCACTCTCCTACTGCAACCCCTGGCAACACTGATATTTTTATTGTCTTGGTAGTTTTGGCTTTTCCAGAATGTTATATAGTTGAACTCATATAGCATGTAGCCTTTTCTAATTGGCTTCTTTCATTTAGTGACATGCATTTAAGTTCCCTTCATATCTTTTCATGACTTGATAACTCTCCTTTTCTGCACTGAATAATATTCCATTGACAATATGTAACACAGTTTACTTATCTACTGAAGGACATTATAGTTACTTCCAAGTTTTGAAAATTATGAATCAAGCTGCTGTAGACATTCATGTGTAGGTTTTTGTGTGGATATTAGTTTTCAACTCCTTTGGATAGTTATCAAGGAGTGAGATTGTTGGAAATTATGGGAAGAGTATGCCAAACTGTCCTCCAAAGTGGCTGTACTGTTTGTATTTCCCCCAGCAATGAATGGTAGTTTCTGTTGCTCCACATCCTCTTCAGCATTTAGTATTGTCAGTGTTCTGAATTTTGGCCATTCTAATAGGTGTGTAGTGGTATCTCATTACTGTTTTAATTTACACTTCCTGAAAGACATATGGTGTGGAGCTTCTTTTCAGATGCTTATTTGCCATCTTTATATTGTCTATGGAGAGCTATCTTTAAAGTCTTTGGCCTATTTTTTAAATCTGGTTGTTTTTCACAGTGTTATTTTTAATACCATTTAACTGTACAGCAATAGGATAAGCTTTTATATATTTTTTTCCTAGAGGAAGTATGTTATTTTATTTTTTAAATTTTTGTTTAAATAGGTGTTTGGAGAACAGATGGCATTCAGTTACATGGATAAGTTCTTTAGTGCTGATTTCTGAGATTTTGGTGTACCCACCACCCTAGCAGTATACACTATACCCGAAGTGTAGTCTTTTATTCCTCACCCCTCCACCCTTTCCCCCAAGTCTCCAAAGTCCATTGTGTAACTCTTAAGTCTTTGCCCTCATAGTTTAGCTCCCACTTATGAATGAAAACATATGATATTTGGTTTTCCATTTCTGCATCACTTCACTTAGAATAATGGTCTCCAATTTTATCTAGGTTGCTGTGAATGCCATTATTTTGTTCCTGTTTATGACTGAGCAGTATTCTGTGGCATATGCATATATATATATAAAACATGTATTTTATATATATATAATTTTTTTCGTTATTCACTCGTTGATTGATGGACATTTGGGCTGGTTCCATATTTTTGCAATTGCAAATTGTGCTGTTATAAACATGTGTGTGCAAGTATCTTTTTCATATGACTTCTTTTCCTCTGGGTAGATACCTACTAGTGGGATTACTGGATCAAGTGGTAGATCTACTTTGAGTTCTTTAAGGAATCTCCACACTGTTTTCCATAGTGGTTGCACTAGTTTACATTCCCACCATCAGTGTAAAAGTGTTTCGTTTTTACCACATCCATGCAAGCATCTATTATTTTTCAATTATGGCCATTCTTGCAGGAGTAAGGTGGTATTGCATTGTGGTTTTGATCTTCATTTCCCTGATAATTAGTGATGTTGAGCATTTTATTATATGCTTGTTGGCAATTTGTATATCTTCTTTTGAGAATTGTCTATTCATGTCCTTAGCCCACTTTTTGATTGGATTGCTTTTTTCTTGCTGATGTGTTTGAGTGTCTCATAGATTCTGAATGTTACTTTTCTGTTGCATGCATAGTTTGCAAAGATTTTCTCCTACTCTGTGGGTTGTCTGTTTGCTCTGCTGATTATTTCTTTTGCTATGCAGAAGCTTTTTAGTTTAATGAAGTCCCATCTATTTATCTCTGTTTTTATTGCATTTGCTTTTGGGTTCTTGATTGTGAAGTCTTTGCCTAAGCCAATGCCTGCAAGGGTTTTTCTGATGTTATCTTCTAGAGTTGTTATGGTTTCAGGTGTTATACTTAAGTCTTTTATTCATCTTGAGTTGATTTTTGTATAGGGTGAGAGATGAGGATCCAGTTTCATTCTTCTACATGTGGCTTGACAATTATCCCAGCACCATTTGTTGAATAGGGTGGCTTTTTCCCACTTTATGTTTCTGTTTGCTTTGTCGAAGATCAGTTGGCTGTAAGTATTTGGCTTTATTTCTGGGTTCTCTATTCTGTTCCATTGGTCTATTTTTATACCAATACCATGCTGTTTTGGTGACTACAACCTTATAGCATAGTTTGAAGTTAGATAATGTGATGCCTCCATATTTGTTCTTTTTGCTTAGTCTTGCTTTGGATATGAGGACTCTTTTTTGGTTCCATATGATTTTTAGGACAAGCTTTTAAATTAGTGATGGTACATAAATAATTTTAGAATGTTATGATACCATAAAGTTATCTATTAATTTCATCAGTATCTTTTAAATGCTCATGTGCCAGACAGTGTGAAAGGTCTTGGAAGTAAAGTTTTCGAAGACTGATGAAAGAGACATAGTGGCTTGGAGCACAGATTATGGAGCTTGCCTGGGTTCCGGTCTGGTTCTGCCACTTCCTGGCACATGATTTACTTTTTGTGCCATGGTTTCTTTATCTAGTATAATGGTATTACAAAGGAACCTACTTCATGTTTGTGAAGCTTAAATGAATTTGTATATTTAAAGTACTTACAGCCATTCCTGACATTTAGCAACTGCTATGTAATTGTTATTGTTATTCATTTTTATTATTGCTATTATTATGGCAAGTGAGAAAATACTTGACAATAGGAGTTGGATTTTTGTGAACCACCTCACTCAAAGCCAAAGCATCTATAATATTTGAATGGAGAGACATCGAAAAGAATAGAAGAAAACCTTTTCTGAAGGAGTATTGATAATACAGATTGTGTCAATATGAATTTTAATCCACAAAATTTAGGAATACAGGAAACATAATTTTTCTTTATTTTAAAAATAATCGAACTTAATCATACCTGGAGTTCTGATTCCACTGAGGGCAGACATAACCTTTGCCAATTGAGTGATTGCTTGCTTATTTTATAGTTTATCTTAGAACTATTGTCATAGATAATTCAGATGTTCTTGAAGTCATCCAGAGTTTTTCTCCTTTTTCTTTTTTAATCTCTATGGCTGCCCCATGTTTTAGGGGGAAGTTATGAAGTATCAGTTCATCATGGGATGCTGTATCATTCTGGCTTTTCATTCTTGTTGGTGTTAGCTGCTGAATCCTGTTTCTTACTAGCTTTAGTTAATGAGTATTTTTTTTCCCAGAAGATGTTCTAGGATAACACATTTTCTTCTGTCTCTGGTGGTCATTTTACTTTCTCTATTTCCTTCCTTGCTCCAGCACTCTTTCAGGTCTTCTCTCTCTTTCTCTAACTCTCTTATTCTTTCTCTCATTCTTTCTTTCTCTCCGGCTTTCTGGTGTCATCTTACAATCAAGAAAAAATTTTGAATACTTCACCATATTACCTGGGTCATCAGGGGGTTCTTGGGAGCTGTCTCAGGTCCTCTTAGCATGGATATGCCATGCATGTCCTATACAAATGTGGTCACACCATGTTAGAATTTGGTGAGGAATTTCTATAAGGCCTTTAGCCTGGTGGGGTTTCACTCAGGAATTTTGTAAGGTCTCCTCTGCTATAACAATTCCAAATACATCCAGGCTTCTGTGGCCCTGCTCCTTGGGACTCAGGACATGTTTGCAGGGAAGGAAAAAATAAGTGCTTTTTAAAAGTACTAAAACTTTATCTCTCAGACTTTAATAATTCCCACTTCTGATAATGATCCCCATGTCTGAAAATAACCAGTGCCCTGCTTGCTGAAGTTCTGTCTAATGAAATGCACTAATTTTTCTGTCTTGTGGATGTAGTTTCTTTTCCCAGGAAGTTATTTGCTATCTACTGAGCTAAATGGTCAGTTTAAATGACTTCCTTGGAGGTACTTTAGATAATATTTTTCATGGCGCCTTGGGGAAAGGAGCTGTTTCTTATAATTCAGTTCTGAAAGCAACCAGATCCCCTGGATTTTGACATTTTAAATATTGTGAAGAGCAGTATTAAAAAAAAAAAACTCATGTTGTATATGAGGTTTATATTGACTATAGTTTTTCTATATATATACTGTTACTATGGTAACTATGGTAACCTATGGTAGCTAAACAGTTGAATAGGTAGAAACATGGGAAAGGTGTCATAATCAGTGCCAGTAAAACTGTCAGAAAAAAATTTGTTTCTTTACTTGAGTTAACTAAGATTTATGACTTTTTAAATTTTAGTTTTCTGTTGAAGATTATCTTCATTTCGCTTGTAGTTGTATTTCATTGGTATCTTGGTAGTGTTTGCAGCCCATATTGTTGAATTGAATATTTATTTGGGTTCTAGTTTTATAGGACCAGCCAAAGAAAATGTGCAAAAATGTGTTCAAAGCACATTCTTTGGAAGAAATAAATACATTATCTGAGAGAAATATGTTTTATTAATTTATAGTAAGATTCAAAGTTAGCAATTTTTTTTTCATAGAGATGGGGTAACACTATGTTGTCCAGGCTGGTCTCAAACTTCTTGGCTCAAGCCATCCTCCAACCTTGGCCTCCCAAAGCACTGGAGTGATAGACCTGAGCCACTGTGCCCAGCTGCAAAGTTAACAATTTTTTCCTAGGAAAACTTTGTGTTGTTTTGCTTTAATCTTGTTCAATTAAAAAAAAACTATATATTGAATTACTTTCATATAATGAGGATGTTTAAATAAAAGTGTTGTCCTTCTGATAAGTCATACTTTACTTAGATTAGTTACAATTGAATAAACATAAAAATAATCTATATAGAACATATGCCACTGTTGGCTTCTAGAATTTATAAATATACTTGAAGTTTAAATTATGGCTATGTATTGAAGGTACTTCATGATTATGTCACTTTTAAATTATTTTTAATATTACAATGTTGCCCATAAGCTTGAAATCATAGGCAAATATACATACATAATGCCATCGATGCCATCTTCAAGCTATAAAAGTAAAATTAATATGATCTTTCTCTTTAGATTTTATGGACATCCTGGATAATTGCTGAGGAGCTTACTGGGGTTCTGCTTTCTCTGTTTAGTATCTTAAATAGACTTATGATGATAGAAAAATCCTCACTGTTACTAACATGTTTTTATGTAGTTATGCTTGTCCTTTTTTTTTTTTTTTTTGATACAGAACCATAGACCACTGTTGACATACATATAGGCATGTCTCCACTTACAGCAGATATTGTAAATGGATGGACCACACAATGTGTTAAACTGGGAAGATGTATTAAAGAAACCCAAATTTCTGACTTCTCCAAAAGACTTCTATAATCTGGTAACCTAGGCTCACATTCCTTCATTGGAGCATTGATCTAGAGCCATGAAAGAACTGCTACTTTTAGGAGAATTTCTGTAGTCTTTGCCATTTCCTGTCACTTCTCTCAACCTTACTCTCACAGAGGACCTCTGAAGGCCTGTAGGTTGGAATCTTGAATTTAATGAAAGCATCAACACATATTTCACACTATCGGTTCTTTCATAGCTCAGAAATTCTCAATATGGAAATACCTTCTGACAAGAGGACCAATAAGATAGGAACTGAATAAACTTGGCCTCTCAAAAGTCCATTCAGGATGGACTAAGCATGCAGTGAAAACTGAAGCATCCTGTGAAGTGTTCAGATGGTTCCAAATAGTCACATAATAAAGATGAACCCATACTAAGCAACCATAAATGCTACATAAACTCAATTTTTCACAACAGGCAGGAGGTAGTTATTATGTCCATTTTATAAATAAGGCTCAGAGAAGTTAAGGCCAAAGTTATGAATCAAGTAAGTGGCAGAGCTTGTTCTCAAGCCTAGTTTAGTTTGGTTGCAAAGATTGAGTGCCTGTGTTATATTTATGTAGGCAAATATTGACATTATTGAAATATCTATTTCTGTTCTTAACTAGGAGGTCAAATACTCTGTATAAAAGAGTTTGAATGCAAGTTGTGTGTGTGTGTGTGTGTGTGTGTGTGTCTAAATCAGTATGTACATTTTTCTGAAAAAAGCTATAGTTTTCCTTGGATTCTCAAAAGGGAGCAGTGACCCAGAAAAAGCCTAAGAAATATGAATAATTGCATAATGTAGACACTTCTTAGAATTAGAAAAATTTACTAAATTGGCACTAGGAACAAAATATCTGCTTCTGATGTAATCTATTTGCCCAGCATAGATGAATCCTTCAGAGTCCCTTTTTCCCCACCAGTGAATATAAGATTTGATCATTCTCAGTCTTCAACTACCTCATTTTTAAAAAATGAATAAAACCCCACAACTTTCTTTTTGATTAATGACATTGAGAACATTTCCACTGTGTAAGGAAAGGTCCATTTATAAGTGATAAAACATCAGGGTAAGAATTCTATAAATTCGCTTTCATTAAAATGCCATTATTCCTCTTCCTTTTCCTTTTTTTCTTCTCCTATCTTTTTTTTTTCTTCTTGAGCATTTCAGTCCAAAAGCAATTAGGAGAGGCACAGCAGGGTGGATCTCCACACCTGGGAGGATTATAGGGGCCCTGAACAGGGTAAGGAGAGTGTCCATGTCGGTAGGTGGTGGCCCAGTGTAGGATGCTGAAAAATGTGCAGAGGGAAGAGAGATATCTGTGTAGGTAGGAAGGCAGCCCAGTGGTGAGGATGTCAGAACTCATGTAAGGTGTCAGGGTGCTACAGGTTGAGTGAGGTGAGCAGGGTGTCCTGGTGAAGGGCTGCTGCCTGGCCCAGGATGTACAGTCCAGGCTGGGGGAAGAGGACTTCCTTGCAGATGGTTGCCTAGCCCAAGGTGTCAGTACCTTAGTTGGGTGAAAAAGGAACCCCTTTGGGGGTCAAAGTCTTAGAACAATGAGGTCACCCACAGGAAGGAAAGCTGCCATGCACTATTGAAACAAGAGAAAGGTGCAAAGAATGTCCCTAGAGTAGGGAAGCCTGGAGTGGGGTATCAGAGTCTCAGTAGGTTGAGGAGGGCATTTGTGTAAATGGGCAGCCCAGTGTGAAGTGTTGGAGCCCTGAGCCAAGTAATACCTTGAGTGGGGTGATGAGGGCATTCACACAAGGAAGAGTTCGTGGCAACTATGGGAGCTGAGTTACATAAAGGGTGGGTGAAACCAGTAAATATATAAGGATAATCAGAGCAAATTTCTCAGTGTTGGAAAACAGAGTTACAAATATGGAAAGGGAGAAAACTAGAATACATTCTGGTGTTGAATTAGAATTACAGTATCAATGTGAACTTGTGTTTTCAATGTACGTACATAGAAATCGAAAGACGTTTACATGTAAGTGTTTTTATGTGAGTATATTTGTGTGTGTGTGTGTGTGTGTGTGTGTGTGTGTGTATTCTAGCTATATTCCCCATTTCTGTCCAATGAGAGAGTCTAGTAGCAACAACACAAGAGCAATGAACAAGCCTAGCTCCTCAGATCTTGTCCTCTAAAGACTATGACAGAAAGAATCAAGACTCTTTGAAGAACAGCTAATTCCAGACTAGGGCAAGAAAAATACAAGCCTAGCTTGGAACATCCTATTGTCAAAGAAAATAAAGAAATGCTCAAAATGTGCTGGGAAATCATAGCCATGTTTAAGGGGTTCCCCTTGGTTAATCCAGAACAATTTGTGAATTAATTAAAGATAATAATGAATCATATATCTTAAATAAAATTGGGATCCATGAGTTCATATGGTCACAAATAAAGTAAAATAATTCATTTTGATGAGGCATATAATATTAACACAATCTCAAAATCCTTCCCCACCAAACACTTACTAATTACAAAGGAATAACTTTATAGTGGGAAAACCTGAGATGCTGCTTTCATCCAGTTTACATCCTCAGTAATGTGACAAGTCAAAACCACATAGGGCCTGATATGATGCACAGGGGAGAACACATGAGAGATGCAGTGTTGGCCACAGGCCCAGTCCACAGCTCACAGTCAGGTGGAAGAGACCCACGATCATAATATGGTAACTTGGTAATGTCTGTAAATATAAATAACTGCTAACCCGGGGTGAGTCAGAAAAATCTCAAAAAATAGGGGACTTCTGTGACACTCCTGGCAAAGATGAATAACCTGTGTCTAACCATGAAGAAAAGGCTGACGAACCCTAATTGAGGACATTTTACCAAATAACTGTCCTTTAGTTTCACAATTTCAAGATCATGAGTGTCAATGAATATCAAGGAAATACAAGAGGAAGAAATTTCTCTTTTCTTATGTCCCAGTAGCAGCTCAGGAAGCAATGACCAAAAAAAAAAAAAAAAAAATTCATTCATCTTATCTAAAAAAAAGTGATATGGGAACATAATGACTTAAACCCTTTCACACAGCATTTCATTGCTGAAATTTTCAAAGCATATATCTCCTTTAAAAGTACATAACTTTTCATAGGACATTTCCAAGGGACATAGTTAACCCTCAGAAGAAAAACTATAACTAATACATAAAAGAGAAACAAACTTATTCACCTTTACTAGTAATCAAATAAATGAAACTTAGGACAATGAATATCATTGTTGTCTGTCATACTGACAAAATACAGACAAAACAGTTAGCATTTGTTGTTGGCAAAAATGAGAAGAAATGAACACTATTTTTGTTTTTTTTTTTTTGTTTTTTTTTTTTTCGAGATGGAGTCTCGCTCTGTCGCCCAGGCTGGAGTGCAGTGGTGCTATCTCGGCTCACTGCAAGCTCCACCTCCTGGGTTCACACCATTCTCCTGCCTCAGCCTCCCCAGTAGCTGGGACTACAGGTGCCCGCCACCACGCCTGGCTAATTTTTTTGTATTTTTAGTAGAGACAGGGTTTCACCGTGTCAGCCAGGATGGTCTTGATCTCCTGACCTTGTGATCCATCAGCCGTGGCCTCCCAAAGTGCTGGGATTACAGGTGTGAGCCACCACGCCTGGCCGAAATGAACACTATTATATCTTACTAAAGAGTGTTTACACTGACTGGACTTTTCTGAAGAAGAATTAGTCAGTATGGCTCAAAAACTTCTTACAAAAGCATATGTACCCTGACTGAGCGATTCTAATGGGAATTTATGTTATGTAATTAAAATTATATGCAAAGATGTTGCCATACTAATACTTATTGGAATGTCACTTCTATTTGCAAAATCCCAAATTAATGACAATAATGTATTGTTTACATAATAAACACAAGTATTAAAAATGATGGTGTGGAAATATGTATATTTATAAAAAGATGTTCATGGCCCAATACTAAATGGAAAAAGTAGGTCATAATATGAACCCATTTTTTGTTAAAATACATATTTATACAAACAAGTAAATGTATAGAAAAGAATCTGAAAAAACATCTCCAAAATATAATTGTGGTTAACTTGGCATTAAGACTATAGTGATTTTTAAGTTTTTCTCATTCTTTTTGTTTACCTGTATTTTTAAAATTATGCATGAAGAATGTAGTACTTAGGCAATTAAAGTTTTTTAAAGCTCTATTAACTCATATGTATCAGATATTGAATGTCATGACTTGGTAGGTTTTAAATAATTTTTGTCATGTTATTGGTGTACATTTTCCCTTAGAGTCAACAGAACCCAATGTTATATTAGTTTTCCTTTCACATTCTCTTGCTCAACTTAGAAAGCCTGTAACTTTCTTAAAGAAAAGCATTCAGCTTGTCTCAAGGCATTTCCATAAGTTGATTTAATCACGTCAAACCTGTCAGAAACACTTAAGGAGCTGCATTTGTTTATTGCAGCCACATGGTGTTCAAGAAAAGTGAAGTCAAAATAGAATGAAAGAAAGCAAATGCCCAAGATAGACAAACATGCCAATGTGCCAACATAAAACAGTTCCTGTGGTGACTTGGGAATGCAAGGAAATTAAACAAATTCCCAAGGGAGTGAAAAGTAAAGCAGAGATTCATGGTAGAGTGGCTCTATAGAAAATTAAAAAAAATCAGTTTCCATAATTATTGTCAACAATGAACTTCTATAAATTTTAGTTTTTTAAAAAACTATTCCTTTTACTTCGAAGTTTAGCTTCAATGTCCCTTATTTTTTGAGATTTTTCTGAATCACCCCAGGTTTGCAGTTATTTATATTTATAGACATTACCAAGTTATATTATGATCATGGGTCTCTCCCACCAGACTGTGAGCTGTGGACAGGGACTGTGGCCAACACTGTATCTCTCATTCTGTTTATAGCTGCAGTGCTTGGCATGGTCCCTATGGTTCAGAGCAAGCATTTAGAAAATGTTTTTGAGTGAAAATGCTAAACTCATTACAAAATGTTAAAATGTTTTGACTGAAGAATCTGCAAATCACCTATTATCGATTTAACTACCCATACACACACATGTATGTGTGCTTTGTTTGGTGAAACCCCCTTTTTTAATTAACAGAAATGAGGTGTTGTTACGTTGCCCAGGCTGGTCTTGAACTCCCGGCCTCAAACGATCCTCCCACCTCAGCCTCCCAAAGTGCTGGGATTACAGACATGAGCCACTGTGCCCAGCTGGAAAAATCTTTTATGTGATATTTTGTGAGCCAAATTTGTACTTCATTTCCAACTTGGAAATATTGATAGAAGTTTGCCAACTGGTATTCAAAGAAAGAAAAAAAAAGAAAGAGGAAGGAAGGAGGGAGGAAGGGAGGGAATAAAAAGAGAGAAAGAAAGTGAAAAGAAAGAATAAGAGAGAGAGAGGAAGGAAAGAAGGTAAGAAAGGAAACACAGATTCTTATTTTCCGCAATCAGCAATTTCAATCAGCAATTTCACACATATTGCCCCTGAAACTTTACACTATCCTTTGTGTTTCCTTTCCTTTTTTCTGCTCTGGAAGATGGACATTTTGCACAGTTCACCAAAGCCTCAAAACTCTAGAGTAGAAGCCCAGAGACCATATGACATCTGGAAACATAGGCATCACAAGGGAAGATAATGTACATTTCAAGGAAGCATATTATTCAAAAGGGCAAATTGTTTTCTATTCCTGCTCAGACTTGACATTCCTGAGTCTTCTAATCACATGGCTTTTGATACCCAGACTCATTATGTCAACCATCGCCCTGGTTTGTGTTGCTAAGAAATTTCTCAAATTCTAGTAAGAATAGGATGATTCAGTATTATTTGAATTCTGTTCAATTTGTACCTTCATTATAGCTTTGACTCACTTTTGATGAAGTACATTTAGCATTTTTCATTTATATGTCAACTAAATTTCCTTCTTTTAAGCCCATTTGACTTGAGTTTGTGTCTTTTGCAACAGGAAGGATATAACAAAGTTATACTATCTAGCTGCTAATTAGCTGTGTGCCTCTTGGAAGTCACAGTCACGAAACAGATAGGCGTCTCAGTTTTCCATATATAATATAAAATGGTTGAACTAGATGGATGAATTTCATACTTTGGTTTAGGGTATACCTTCTTCTCAAAGGGAATCTTATACTGTATGTCATGCTAGTAGGTAAAACAGATAAAATAAAATGCCTTTACTGAATCAACTGGATTTATAGAAGCCTGCCCACGTGTCAATAGTTCACAACTTAAAATCACTGGATGGGCCGGGTGTGGTGGCTCACGCCTGTAATCCCAGCACTTTGGGAGGCCCGGGGCGGGGAGCTGATCACAAGGTCAGGAGTTCGAGACCAGCCTGGCCAGCATGGTGAAACCCCGTCTCTACTAAAAATACAAAAAATTAGCCGGGCATGTTGGCGCACACCTGTAGTCCCAGCTACTCAGGAGGCCGAGGCAGGAGAATCTCTTGAACCCATGAGGCGGAGGTTGCAGTAAGCCGAGATCAAGCCATTGCACTCCAGCCTGGGCGACAGAGCAAGACTCTGTCTAAAACAAGCAAACAAACAAACAATAAATTAATTAATTAAATAAAATCACTGGATGGTGTATTAGTCAGAGTTGTCTAGAGGGACAGAACAAACAGGATATATGTATGTATGAAAGGGAGTTTATTAAGGAGAATTGACTCACAGGATCACAAGATGAAGTCCCATGATAGGCTGTCTGCAAGCTGAGGTACAAGAGGCCAGTAGTGGCTCAGTCTGAGTCCCAAAGCCTCAAAAGTAGGGAAGTCGACAGTGCAGCTTTCAGTCTGTGGCCGCAGGCCTGAGAGTCCCTGGCAAACCACTGGTGTTAAGTCCAAGAGTCCAAAGGCCAAAGAATCTGGAGTCTGATGTTCAAGGGCGGGAAGTATCCAGCATGGGAGAAAGATGAAAGCTGGAAGACTCAGCAAGCCAGCTTATTCCACCTTCTTCGCCCTGCTTTTTCTAGCTGCCTTGGTAGCCAATTGGATAGTGCCCACCCACATTGAGGATGGGTCTTCCTCTCCTAGTCCACTGGCTCAAATGTTAATCCCCTCTGGCAGCACCCTCACAGACACACCCAGAAACAATACTTTGCATCCTTTAAGCCAATCAAATTGACAATATTAACCATCACAAATGGTATGGCCTTTAATATCTTTTCCAACGCTAATTTTCTATAATTCTGATTTTATGAGGTTTTATTAATATCCAGGTGAATGTTTCAGAATTAAGTTTGTAAAGCTTAAGCAGATGATTTAGCTAATGAGGGGATGGTGAAATAGCCACTGGTACAAGGACATTCTGGAGTTGGGAATATGTTTTTAAGTAAAACCCCGCTAATGTACCAGCAGCAGGACCAGAATATACAGTCTTGGTTGTAGTTATTAATTGTGTTTCATTTATAAAACATGATTGGCTGAGCAGGGAAATACCTGACATGTCCATTATTTTGTGTGTGGTTGATTGGTTTTACCAAGAGTTCTGATTGAAATGGTTGGGGACCAGTTCTTTCACCTTGCATGAAAGCAAGACCTTCATTTCTAAAATGGATTAAACCAATATGCTGAGTGATCCATTTGTTCTTTTCACATTGTATTTGGATTTCATTACTGGAGAAGTCAAAAGGCCATTTTCATTTTGGACTCTGGAAGGGTCATTTGTTACTCATGTTTTTATTTCCCTGTTCTTAGTTTTGATGATGAGGAAGAAAAAAGAGAATGGTAGTAGTGTTTGATTAGTCTCACCATGAATTTATTATTTTCTGACTATGCCTGCTGGGCTTTAGACTCTAATTGTATCTGTCAACATGGTAAAAATCATTTTGGATTAAGACCGCAGTAGACTGTTTAAGACTGCCATTTCAGAGAAGGAAACTAAGTCTTTGGAAACCTTTCTAAAGCTTAAGACATCAGAAGTCCCATGAAGGACCATAGACACAGTTTAGTAAAGAAAATAATTACTCGCATAGAAAAGTAAAAAAGAGAAGAAACAATTTCCATGACTTATTATGTTTATGGATTAACCTTGGCCACAGCTCTAAAAGTGATAATAATAAAAATAGTGATAATGATTTTAATAACTCAGAAGTTTCATCTACCTAGGCTATCATATTGACTATTTTGATTTCAAATAATGGCAGCAGCATTTTGTTCCAAGAAAATAAATTAAGTTAATCTTTCTGCTACGTGTAAACAGTCTTTATTTGTTTAAATCCCACTCTTAAAATACCACACCTAGTACAACTATAGAAAAGTACTTTATAGAAGCTTCTGGTTATTAATATTCAGAGTGGTTTTTGCTCAAAAACTTAACACTAAAGTACTTAAAAACTGTAAAAAAAAAAGTTTAGGAAAAAAATAAGCACAGTGGCAGACAGCTGAGTGAAGCCAAAGGATTCTAAAAATGCTTGCTAGAAAACAAAATGTGTAAGAACAGTACAGCTAATCTTCTCCAGGTTTATTCTTGGAACCAGAACAAAACTACCTAAAAAAGAACAATACAGTAAACTTCTTTTTACATATTGCTTAATTTCAAAACCAGAAAGATTCAAAAGAATATTTATAGTAACTAACAATCTTCTCTTAACTTGTCTATTTTCACCTATCTTTTAACCAAGTTGAGAAAATGTAGTCATTGCTTCTGAAAAGATACTTTTCTTCTTCCTACCCCGCTCGGTACAAAAGCAAAACTGTTATGGTGTTTTCTTGACTTGAAAAGTGCTCTTTTATTTTTACAACTTATACTAATATTCTAAGGCCAATATTTAAAATAGATATAAGAATTTTGTAATTTTCCATCTGTGATAAATGTATGTCATTTTGCATATTTAATATTATAAAATAAAACATCTTTAAATGTCATGAAAAATATTTTGTTAGTAGCCAGTTTGCTCATCTTTGTACATTTTATACCTTAAAAAAATTTGCCACGGGATATTACATGTTAACCTATCATGAAATACATGTTGCTTCATGAAAACACTTCAAAAGCACTCCTTTGGTTTTGCCTTATGGTGAAATACAAAATAGACTTATGGAGAGGATATATGTATGATATATTTTATTATTCTATATATGATATATTCCTAGTAAACAAACATGTAATATATGCATATTATATACCAAACATTGATCTAGAGTCTGGAAATAAAACAGTGAACTAAACAGACAAATGTTCTTTTCCCAATAGAACTTATATCCTGGCAGAGGACACAGAAAACAAGCAAACAAGTAAAACACATAGTATGTCAGAGGAAGAGGAAGGTAAGGGCTATGGAGAGGAAAAGCAAACACAGTGGTCAAAATTATAAGAGCAAAGTGTGGGAATTGCCATATAAAATGGAATGGTCAAGGAAGGCCTTGTTGGTATGCAGGCTAAGAGAGAAAAACATTCCTATGTGCGTGATTATTGTCTTGTCTCCTCTATGACACCAAAAGCTCCAAAAAAAGCAGTGTTCTATCTGTTTTTATGTACTGCAAAATTTTCAAGGTCTGTCACAGTAACAGAAATAGAAGTGCTTAGAATTTGTGTAATGGATGAAAATAACCTCATATAATAAAGTCTAGAATACCCACCTGTGGAAAAAAAGGGCATTAAGAAACACAAAGAACAAAAATAATCTACAGGAAGAGTTAATGTAATAAATAAATAGTTAACAAATATTACAGATCGAAGTCATTGCAAGAATTTTCAGCAAACTGAAGGGAAGCCTCTCTAGTCAAGCATATTATTTAATGTAACAAAAAATTAATGAGGTGTTTTCAGAATAGAATTTCCTAAACTGTGTTATATAGAACACTGTCTTAGACCATTTTGTGTTGCCATAAGAAATAGCTGAGACTGGGCCGGGGCAGTGGCTCAAGCCTGTAATCCCAGCACTTTGGGAGGCCGAGGCAGGCAGATCACAAGGTCAGCAGATCAAGAGCATCCTGGCTAACATGGTGAAACCCCGTCTCTACTAAAAAATAAAAAAAAAAATTAGCTGGGCGTGGTGGTGGGCACCTGTAGTCCCAGCTACAGGAGGCTGAGGCAGGAGAATGGCGTGAACCTGGGAGGCGGAGCTTGCAGTGAGCCGAGATCGCACCACTACATTCCAGCCTGGGTGACAGAGCGAGACTCCGTCTAAAAAAAAAAAAAAAAAGAAAAGAAATAGCTGAGACTGGGTAATTTATAAAGAAAATAACTTTATTTTGCTCACAGTTCTGGAGGCTGGCAAATCCAAGATCAGGCAGCCTATTTGGTGAGGTCTCATGCTTCTTTAACTTGTGACAGAAAGCTTAAAGGGAAGCAGGCACGTGCAAAGACCAAATTATGCGAAGGAAAAATTCTCTTGTGGTCACTAACATAGCTCCATGAGGGTGAAAACTCTTTTCCACCAGAAGGCATTAATCTATTCATGAGGGATCTGCTCCCACGACCCAAACACCTCCCAGTAGGCCCCACCTCCCAACCCTGTCACATTGGAATCAAATTTCAACATGAGTTTTGGTGAGGATAAAACTCATCCAAACCATAGAAAACACTTAGACTTTGTGATATTCCATTAAAACATATTTTCTTTAACTATCAACTCAATATTAGCAGGTTCTGAGTCCATCATTGACATAACTGGAGTCACTAAATCTAGGACAGTGTTCTTCACATAGCAAACTCTGGATGAATATTTGTCAAACAAGGAAAAAAGAGTAAATTAGTTTCTTTACTGTAAAGCTACTCAGAAACTTATAATACACATTGTAAATTTCCAAATGGAGAATAGCATTGTAAATTCCCAAATGGAGAATAATATTGTATATTTCCAAATGGAGAATGAAGAATTTTTATATTACATCTTTTTCTATTGCATGTGAAAGAAAGTCAGTCAACTATGCTTAGACAAAAGAGGAATCTTTTGGCTCACAAGTAAAAAGTTCAGTAATAATTTTGGATTTAGGCTTGGTTTAATGTAAACATGTGTTTAATAACTCATGTAATTTTATTCAGGCTCTCTCTCTCTCGATTTATTTGTTATGGTCTGTTGCTTACAGATGTTTTCTGAATGATGACCATTGACAAGTTTTGGCTTATTTCATTCACAGTTATTCCAGTAGGAAAGAAAATGTCTTTCTTGCTTACTTGTCAAAGAAAACAAATCTTAAAATTAGCCTTGATTGTCCTGGCTATGAGTGTGTACTAATTCTTAAATCAATCACTATGATAGAGAATGTGTTAAATTTTTTGGTCAGGTCTAGATCCCATGCTGCCCTTCGACACTGGGAGCAGGGTAGTTCTTCAAACAAAAATGAGTACTCTTACCCAAAAAGGAAGAAATCAATGCTGGATGCAAAACACAATCATGCATTAAAATCTGATCATATCACTATTGTGCTTTCTAAATTAAAATCTAACCATATTATACCATGTTTCATTTCATTTTTTTGATAATTACCCACTTTTAAAATCAGAGTTTCTCACACTAAGCATCCACAGAAAATTGCAATTCCTCTGTTTATGAAGTAAAAAGAATATTCCTGAGAGATGAACCATTAGCATTCCCAGCAATGCTGAAGGTGGTGGAGGATCTGAGCAGTGTTGCACAGCCTCCACTATTAGGCAGGTGTCTATATGTATATGTATGTTTGTGTGTATATATATATGTGTGTGTGTGTGTGTATGTTTGCATGTGTGTGCCTGTGTGTGTATCTGGATATGCATGTGTGTTGTGGGGTGGGGGGAGCATTTTGTTCTACTCTATTTTCATTCTGTTTTCAGGTGAGGACCATAGGCCAGGTGGACAAGAATAAAGAATCAATAATGGCTATTGGCTGCAGAAGTGCCCTTCCTTCCTTCCTTCCTTCCCTCTCTTTTTCCCTCACTCCCTTCTTTCCTTCCCTCCCTCCCTCCCTCCCTTCCTTCCTTCCTTTTTTTCCCTGCTGAGAGATCATGAGCATTAAATAAACTAATTACATGTAAAGCCCTTAGAACAGCATGAATCACATAGTAAGTGTTTCATAAATGTTAATGATGATGATAATGATTATTCATCTAATGCATTTCATTCTTCTTGCGTGTTTCATAGAGTGGCTTCTAAAGCTTTTTGTTTAAAAATGTCAGCTTCTAATATAGTTCCAGTGCTATTTAAATGCATGTGTCATTGATATTAAACTGCTAGGGAAACTTTTTGAAAGTCCACACTGAGAAAAATGCAGCAGAAGGCAATGAACACAACAAAGCATCATATACTTATGGGCCAGTCTTTCTTGTATACTTTCTTCTCTCTGCCTAGAATGGCACTTTCTCCACATTCTTTTTCTTGTTTCCTTGAAGACCAGCTCAAATACCAGCCTACTACAGAGGTAAACTGCTTTATATTTGCCTCTGTAGCATCTTAACATGACTGGATTATATCTCTAACACTCTTGTGATCATTTGTATATTTTGCATATGTTGCTTCCTTCACTAGTGTGCATGTGTGCACTCACATATATTTTTGATCATATGAATATGTGTATATATATACATCTATGACCAAAAATATATAATGTATTCAATAATGTCATGATTAAGTGGTATATTTAATGGAATCTCATATATGTTCGGAGAATATGAATTAAGTAAAAGATAATTAGAAAGATTAAAATCTGTCATCAATAATATATGATGCTTTCAAAAGTCATAAAACCTGGCTGAGTTATCTGTTCTTTTGCATTATCTGTATTACTCTTCTCCCCTATTCATGAAATAACCTGGAGTGACTTTAATTATACAGGAGTGTATTACATTCTTCTATGTACACATACTTTAAAAGTTTACAAAAGATTCTCCTATAAGGAATATTATATGGATATGGTTCCTGCTTTTTAGGGTTGTCTTATCATTTTAAAGTGCCATAATTGGAGTAGTCACAGAAAATAAAATTTGTCATAAAAGCAGGTGATAAAACACACTATAAATATGTATATTTATATTTTTATATGTGTATATATACATACATGATGATGATACTTCATTGGGATAAATGATGTGATTAAAAAGATCAAAGTTTTAGAAAATACTGATAATATTTTCTCTATAAAAACTTAATTTATCTTTGAAATTGTCTTGACACTGTCTACTTTTCTCTATTTCCACTGATGCTGCATATTCAAATGCTTATTTTTTTTATTCTGCACACTGCCACAGCCTTTTCTACCTTGTTATCCCCACTGGATAATTCATCCTTCACTCTGCTGCAAATGACATTTTAAAATAGACACAAGGTCCAGCTATGATGGAGTAAATTGGACTTGCTTTCCACTGTAAACAACTAGAAAATTGCACAAAATATGTAATAAAACATGTTTTCAGACACCGGGCACTAGGCAGCATAGGACTGCCATCCTGATGGAGGGGAAACAAATAAGATTGCCCTAGATTTCAACTGGAGGTACTTTCCAGAGAGTGGTATAGTAAGACGAATCAAAAGCAAAGCACTAAGTTTTTTATTTATATTTAATTCAAAAGATAACAAAGTCTGAGGAGGTTAAGGAAGAAGTAAATTGTAGGGCAGAATAATAGAGAAGAAACTCTAAATAGGAATGTTGCAGAAACCCACGTGGGATTTCCTACAGTCATTACTGTATATCAAACTGCATATGCAACAGGTGAAACTTTGTGAAGCTGAGCAGGAAACAACTTTGGAAATGAAAGTTTAAAAATTACCAGAACCCGCAAGGGCTGTGGGATTTTTGAGTTCAAGTCATTTAAAATGGAGAAAATTTGACCATCTGGTGCATTCAGTAGAGCTCAAATGAGGGTCATAGTTAAGCAGTATGGTTGAACATGCTCCAGTGAAGATGAAAAACAAGGCTTTAAAAGGGTTAATCTTACCCTTAAGAAAGTTAACTGTCTACCATAAAAAAGGCATCTAACACTTTTTTAAAAAAGAAAAAATAACTCAACACTCAATATTGTAAGATTCACAATAACTAGCATCCAATAAAAATATTAAACAATAGAAGATTTGATTTATAATGAGAAAAATAAATCAATAAAAATAAATAAATCAATCAAAAAATAAATCAATAAAAATAGTTCCAGAAATAACAGAGATAATAGAACTGGAATGTGAAAGATGTAAGTTAGCTGCTATATGTATTCTAAATATGCTCAGGGATTTGAAGAAAACATGAACATAATGAGAAAAGAAATGAAAGATGTAAAAAAAATGAGACTTGTCAAGACAAAATATTTATTATTTAAAAATGAAAAATTCATGATTAAACTATAAGAAGATGAGGTACTGCAAAACACACACACACACACACACACACACACACACACACACACACACACAAAAACAACAATAAAAGATCTGTTAACTTTAATCAATACAGTAGTAAAACCACCCAAACTGAAGTATAAGGAGAGGCAGAAATAAACATGAACAGATCTTCAGTGACCTGTATGACAATATTAAGCAGTATAACATAGTATAAGTGGGGATACATTAAACTATTTGAAATAATAATGACCGAAAATTTCCTAATTTGATGAAAACAATAAACCCATATATCCAAGGAGTCATATGAACCTGATGTATAATAGTATAAACCCGAAGACAAACTTCTAGACACATCACAATTAAAATTTCTGAAAACAATGCCTTTTGTTGCCTTAAACACAATGGACAGATTTTGTAGAGAAGAAACAGAAAAATGATCACAGATTTCCCTCAGAAACTATGCTAGCCAGTTAATAATGGGATAAGAAAATGAAATATCTAAAATCTACACAATTAACCCAAAAGAAATAAAAACATGAGAAAGCGAGAGACACAGTACAATGGGACATGTAGCAAGTAATAACAAGATGGTAGATTTGAACTCAAACATATCAATAATTAATTAAAATGTTAATGGTTTAAACACTCTAATTAGAAGGCAGAAATAACACGATTGGATGAAAAAGCAATATCCAATTACATGCTGTTTACAAGAAACCCACTTTAATATAAAGATACAAATAAGTAAAATAAATGGGTGGAAATGATATACCCTACAAGTACTTAAAAAAACTGTAAAGATTGTATTATGATTAGACAAAGTTCCCTGCTATTCACTGGGAAATTTTATCATGAATCAGTGCAGTTTTTCACCAAGGGCTTTTTCTATACCTAAATATGGCCAGTTGATCTCAAACCAAAATGTCAAGGTAGTTCAAAGAGAAAGTTAGAGTTCTCAACAAATATTGTTAGTAGAACTAGATATTCATATAGAAAAGAATAAACATTTTCCCTTACTTTATGCCATATACAAATTCAAAATGAATCATAGATAAAAATATAAAAGTTAAAATGTTAAAGTCTTTTTAGGAAAACATAAAAGAAATTATGAAGGGTGAGGTGCCTTGTTCTAATCTGGTGAAAATAAAAGTCTAGTCTCCTCATTTGGCTTTTTCTGTTGTGGATGGAGGTGGGGCCATTGTTTCTTGTTGTGGTGTCTCTGTTGCTTTGGCAGGCTTTTTGGAAGACGTCAGTTTGCACGCATTGGCTTTCTGAGTTGTTAGTTCTACCAACACCCTGTCTAGCATTTATGAGGCAAAAAGAAAATCCAAGGATCTTATCACTGTATTGTTTCTCACATCCTGCACTCCCTAGTCAGTCTGATTTCTTCTTTCCATCTTTCACAGTCTTTTCATATTTGTTTTATTTATAATAGTCTGACTTTTTGGCTGTGTTCAGTAAAACAAATATGAAAAAATTATGTCCACAACATCTTCCTAGAAGTAGACTTCCCACAGATAATATTTTAGTATTTGTGTTCTTTTCTGTAGCCAAAGTTTATAATTTTAAACTGTTATTTATATATTTACATATCTAAGTAAATTCAGTGCCTGTCACTGGTTCTTATGTCCTAGATTCTTCCATTGTTTAGTTGTTTATATTTCTTTCAACAGGTAGTATTTGCATTTTTCCACTAAGGTTGATGAGCACACTATTTTGGAGGCTTATGTGTATTGCAAATGAATAATTTCTTTATATTTGAAGTGTAGTTTTACTCATTATACAGCCCTCAAATGACATTTCCTTTCCTTCAGAACTCTGTAGACTTGTTTCATTTGTAAATATTCCTCTGGAATCATTTAAAACTAGTTTGATTTTCTTCGTTCTGTCTAACTTGTGTTTCTATCTGGGTGCTAATAGCATTCTTTTATATATTATTTTTCAACATCACTTTGATGTCTTTGTGTTGATCGTTTTGTTTCAAATTTTCTTAAGACTTAATGTGCTATTTCAGTCTAAAGTTCCAAGTCTTTTTAAAATTCAAGTAAGTTCCTTGTCTTTTCAAAGTCCCTATCCTTCATGTTCCTATATTTCCTGTCAAATTTTTTCTTTTTCTCCAGGAATACTGGTCATGCATACGTTTGATCTCCTTAGGTATTTCATACCTATCTTATTCTTTTAATTCTTTTAATTTTTTTGTTATTTACTTTCAGACTTCATATTTTTTTCCAAGCCTGTCTTTCATCCCCTGACAATATTTTTGCAATATATATGAATTTTTTGACTTTAAATTATTTGTCATATTTTTTATCTCCTACTTTTGTCTAATGTCTTCTTTTTTCAATAAATATGTTGTTTGACTTTTGTTTATAATCAATGATTTTAACTTTTATAATTTACAGAAAATTTATCCAAATTATCTCATGTTTCCTCCATTTCCTTTTAAGGCAGATATTCCTCATGTGTACTTTTTTTTAGTTCTTTCAAATTATTAAATCAAGGAAGGCTTTTCTTCCTGAATAATTCTATGGGGGAGGATATAGGGAAGTGCTGTCTAGATATTAGAATGTTAGAATCAGGTGTGTGGTATAGTATAATAATTCTATGGGGGAGGATATAGGGAAGTGCTGTCTAGATATTAGAATGTTAGAATCAGGTGTGTGGTATAGTATACCCTCTTATATGTCTGTTATGACTTAAGTCCTGGTAGTTAAACTCAGTCTTTGACTTACAACAGTTAAGTCAGGACCACAGTGAAGAATGAAGACTCCGGTAAGCTGGGTATCACCACATTTTTCTCTGTCTTTCTCCTCTCTTTACTTATAGCAATCCCCCACAGATGTTTAATGTGTGATGATAATCTAGAAACATCAGAAAATAATATTTATATATAATTGCCATTTACAACTTGAAACATAAAAATTGAGAAACTCAGTTGAATTGAAATTGAAATTCAATTGAATAGTCATGTGTTTCAGGATATTTCAGAATTTGGAAACATAAAGACAGATACCTGGGTGCCTGCTAAAATTTTCATCTGAATATTATATCAACTAGAGTGTGTGGTTCAATAATCTATTATTTTTCTTAAGAATATATTAAAACTACATTCTTACAAATATATTCTTCATGTTAGGAATAAGAAGTCAATGTCCTTAAATGTGGGCACTTTGATTAGTATTCTTTTCAGGGTAGTTGAAGAAAATGTATTTATAGCAATTATTATAAGACATAAAAACTATATCTTATTTAGTTTAATCAGCTAGACCCAAGCTTATAAATTTTGTAAAGAGAGGTCATTTTCTCTGCAAGAAATTGAGTCATTCATCAGAGCGGGAGAGGCAGTTCCCATAATATCTGTTAGATTTGTTCAGCTACTAGTTGTTTAAAAAATATAACATCAAGAAATATATCTAACAAACTGTAATATTGTGATTGAAACCACTGAGTTTCTGTTCAATTTGTCTTCCCTGAATACTAGCCTCACTTTTCACAGGTGTAGTCTCCACGCAGTCATGTTTCATCTGACTTTAGTTTAGTTATCAAGAGTGAAAACCCGATCAAACTTGGCCCAAACAAATGTGCATTCTCAGGATTCTGCAATCAATTTAATATAGATGTGAAAGCTGAGGAGCAGCGATACAGCTATATACTTTCATGTACAAAGCAGAGCTACAGAGAGACCAGAGATGAGAGGAGGAGAAAAAACATCCCCTGGATTCTTACACTGTTCTTGGCTCCTTTTCTTTTCTGAAGCCCAGACACAGTCTAGACAGGTTACTTGAGTCCAGTATGTCTTTATAATAGGAATATATTTCCTTATAATTGCCTTGTAGAAAATAAACCTCATACTTTTCTCTCTATTTTCTTTTTGCCTCCTCCTCCTCCTTCTCCTCTTTCTTCTTTGAACAAGCGGGGGTTGGTTCTGTTATTTTCAACCTGCATCCTAATTAATATAATGTCCACGCATTTTTAAAAAATATAAAATGAACTTGTTACTTTTGCTAAGCAAGGAAATAACAATTAAAAGCATTATAAAACAGTTTTGAGATTTGCATTTGAGAGTTTCTCTTTGATAAGAACAGATCTGGGCAGGGAAGAGTAGAAAAATATAACGTAATTATTTTTTACAAGCACAGAGAAGTGTTTTGCTTATCTAAGTCAGAACCAGCCATTCCAATGGCTTGTATGATTTAAATAAATTCATTATTTAAAGTAATACTGGGTAATGTGTCATAAGTCCATTTGTTATGCTTTTGGATGTTTTATAATATCAGTTCTCTCCTCTACCCTCTACCCTTTAACACCAAGATTACTGAAGTTCCTTAAAACCATACTTGGGGGGCCCTCGACTACTCTTTTATGTTGGAACAGAGAGAAGACTTTTCCATTTTTATGGAGGTAAAGAACCATTTTGGTTTTATTCTATTTTCCTCAGATGTTCAGAAATCTATAAGATTTCCTCGAGGGTATTCACATTTACCAGTAAGAATGTGAAATCCTCAGGGGAAATCTTCTTAATAAGACTCGTTTGATATCAGACCTGAAATCCTCCCTTAAGAATTTCTTCTCAGAGAGACTGGACAAAAAATTTTTGTACTTTTCCATGGATTGAGCCATCGCAATTTTTTTTCCTATAGTGGGGAGTGTTAATTTATATTATTTTTCTCTAAGTAGTTAAACATTAGTTTTAGTATCTTTTCCCATTGACTATCAATGCCTCCATTTGTATACAGCAAATTATTATATGCACTGGATCTAATTTATTCTGTTGTATTTTTCTCTCTGTACATTGCAATGCCAGTAGCCATCATAATTCTTTGATGAGTCCCAGTATTGATCCCAGCAGTTATCACCTTTTTGAGTAGCTGACAAGAACGTCTTCCATGTGCTCTTTTTGCAGTGTTATTCATTTCAGTGTCTTTCTAGGAAGAGTTTGAAGTTCAGGGGTGACACTTTATAACATACTCTAGTCACCTTCTACTTGTTCATTTGTATGGGGTAACTTGACTCTTGTTTACACAAATATTTGGTGATGTCTCATTAGTCACGAAACTATACTTGGAATACAATATCATTGATAATCAGACTTCTCTTTTAACTTTTAATTAACAATATCCAGCACATATATTATGACACTTCCATTACCGAAAACTTCATACATTCTTTTGATTCTGCAGTCCCTTAATCAGACTGCCAATTACCTTTACCTGACATGTTTCCCTTCAGTAAGCTAGAATGTATGTCTGAATTATATGTGAATTCTGTCACTTCAGATTTATTCCCTTTTTCACCTGAATAGTATGTCTTTTGATAATGTTGAGTCTTCATCTCTTCTTATTTTCGTAAAGGAATTTCTATGTTAGGCTTTTTAGTTAAGGTTTTTCCTCCTAGGCTACCTCTATTTCTGTCACTTAACTTCTTGTCTCAAGCAATATGGCTACTGATTTTTTTCTCCTTTAGTCCAGACTATCGTTTAAAAAAATCTCAGTATTCTATGTTGTGGAGATACGTTTTTACTGACTGTATTAGTGCTGGGTAATTTCTATTTTTTAGTAGCAACAATAACAACAACAAAGAACAAAAAAAAACCTGAAAAAAAAAAGCCTTTCTACTTTTTAGGCCACATTAATCTCCAGTTGCCTCTGGTAAATATTTAACTGGTTAAATTGTCATAGAAAAGTGTTATTATTTTAATATTAGAATGAGAGAACATTTAGTATTCTCAACCTTCAGTATAGAGAGGCAGAATGCTGCCTTAAACAAGCTTTATTTCGGATTGTCCATGTTACAAATGATACCAGTATATATGTAAAGGCTCAATTAATTTTTGCTAAATAAATGCATGAATGAATATATTTTGAAAACCATCTGTGATTAATATTTAAAGAAACTGATTAATGCGTTGATTAAAAATACCTGTAACTGGTTTATAGGACCAACTTATAGAGAATTATATTGTATGTTGAAGTCTTCAAAATTGGTATTTTTGTTTTTGAACATTTGGTTTGTTTAAACATGTCAGAAAAGAACTAAGTTTCTTGTTTAGTTTTCCTCTAATTTTTGAATGAGCTGATTTTGTGATGTCATAGCAATTTCCTTTGCATACCTCAGTTGTGCTAGATGATGTTAGATGCAGGCACACTGTATATGAGGTTGGATGGGTTGTGCACTACACAGCTCCATGGGCGCCATGCAGCTATACTCTATGTGAATACCTCCTCCCACGTGGAAGTGTTCAGTACACAACCAGCATGGTGGTAGATAGTAACCCTGGCCAGAAGCTTAATCAATGGAGGATTTTAAGCCATGAAAATAGAGAGGTAGTCATTGACATCGCTTAATGATCATAAACTGTTTTAAATTCATAAATGAATGCTTTGTTTGGATTTTCTATTTCCAATTTCAACTAACTTTGCTGTGTGCTCCTGAGAGCAAGTGGTTTTGATAGAAACAGACTGCCACATAGAAAATTCATACACTTTGGTTCCCTGGGAAACCAGGCCAAGAATAGTTTTCTTTGCACATCCTGGTTTCCTCTAATGAGGGCCAGTATAAGAATGTGAGTGTCAACAGTGTAACCCATAAATCCCAAGGAATCATTATTTTATGAAACTTTTAATGAACCCTACAGATACTCAGATTAGAAAGCACTTCAGATATTTGCCTCAATTGAATAATTTCTGAGGTCTTTCCTCTCTCTCTGTGTGTATCCCATATGATTATTTATATGTATCCGACAAAAAAAAAAAAGCTTGAATGACAAATGGTATAGAGGCTTTGGGCAGCTACCAGGGATTTAAAAAAAAAGTTTTCTTGAGCTAGATGTGATTGTGTGTGCCTGTAATCCCAGCTGGTCAGGAGGCTGAGGCAGGAGGATTGCTGGAGTCCAGGAGTTCGGCACTGGCCTGGGCAATATAACAAGACCCTGCCTCAAAAAAAAAGTTTCGTAAGATATGGAGACTGAAGACTATCTAGTTAAAGCAAATTTTTTAAATGCTTAACAAAACAAGTTAATTGTTTCTATACTGCCTGTAATTGGCATTACAAGGCCTGCAGCATTCAATTCCCTTGTTTGAAAGCCTTTCACTGTATTTATATATTATTTATTCATTTGTTTACATTTTTTTCACAGATGACAAGCACTGCTTGGATAGTGAGCATTTGTTTATTATTCAGTAAGAATAGTTTTCAAAGAAAAATTTTCAAATGTAATACATAGTAAGTTGCAGTTTTCTTCGTGAACTTTGGAGAATGCATTGTGCTTACTAAAACTTTTCTATATATTATGAATCTCATTTTAATATGTCTTTCATACATTGTCTTACTTTAAGAGGATATATATTTGCAAAGTGTGTATGAGCCACAGATATTTGTTGAGGGGTCCATATGCATGGGCAGTGGGAAGATGGGATTTGGTGCCCAGAGATTCCCCATTCAGGACCTTGGCTATTCTGTAGAGTAAAGTAACTTGCATTACACACATAATTTATGTTTGTGATTAAAAATGCAGGTTCTGTTATAATATAAAAGCATTATGGGAAAGCTAAGGCATATTATAATTCGCTACCTACAATGCGAACAATTTCCAGCATAGTAATAGTAGCACTTATGTCTGGCTAGAGCTGGACACAGAGCAATTCAGCATTATCTGTGTAACTGCTTATTGACCATATTGCTTTCATGTTTTTTTTTTTTTTTTTTTTTTGCCCCAGAGCTGCTGGATTTAAATACTATAGAAAGGCAGATTGTGTAAGCCAAATAATGTTCAGCCTGGGAAAGTAAGAACAAAGCATAAGCTGTTCCTAGGCCATTGTGGCCATAGGCCACAATGTAAAAGAATTTTGTCAGAATTCTAATGCTACTGGAGGAAAGGGGCAAAGATGCATAGATAACATAAAATATTAAAGGTGAGGACTTCTGATATTTAAAGACAGTGATAGCCAGTTAGGTCCATGTTTCCCAAAGTTTGTTTCCTCCAAAACCAATAGAGAACAACAAGAAAAGAAAAATAAAGTTACAAAAAACTCAATTTGCAGAACTTCAATACAGCGAATTCCCAAACTTTAATCAGATAGTAAGTAAAACAGAAAAAATTACCAAATCCCAGTGAATGATCTTACTGTCCTTACCACCCTTTCCCTTCCCCAAGACTTTGTGGCAAGCAAAGGTAGATTCAGAAAAACTGTGAGGAATGGAGAAAGAATCAAATAAACAGGTATAAACTTGTCCTAAAAACCACTGTCAGAAAGATTAAGTACAATCTAATTCTGAAAATACAAAAAAAGTGTTCTGATATATCAGAACATAAACCATAGGGAAGACACTTAAAATGCATGCAATGTTTGAAATTTGTAGCTTCTGAGGGGGAAAAATGCAAAAATGAATGCAAGTAAATACAACTTTTTTTAATCAGTTAGGTGATAAATGGTAAAAGGAAAAAAAAAGATGAATATTTCAGGGTCCTACGAAACAAGAGGGCCCAAAAGCCCCAAAGAACATACAATCGCATCCCCACCATCAAATCAAAAGAACAGAAATCAGCTAGTGTCTGCATTTAGTTATGATGACAGAAGAGGGTGCCATAAAACTAGTCATTTTAGAAAATACCCCAATAGCACAAAAATGAAGAGAAAAAATATGAACAGATTCATACAGTTTTTATTTTAAAATCAGAAAATGAGATTCAACACAACAGAGGAAAATGCCCTCTCCACATAAACAACCACAAATGAAAAAAAAAATGGCGAAAACAAAACTAAATGAAAAACAAACCACAAACTGAATTGAATATATCACAAGCATTTGAGAATATGAAAAACTACCATGAATCAGAAATTAAAATCCTAGCACAGAAATGAATACAATAAGAAATAAATGAAGAGTTGTTTGAACTTAAGGAAACAAGGGAAGACAATGGCAAAATTATATCAGTAATAAATTATAATATCCAATGTTTTCAAGAGGGAATATAATAAAAATAAAATAGAAGGCATGGAAGAAAGCATAAAGTAATCAAGAAAATGAATATGAGCGAACAAAAATGTAAGAAGGATCAGAGAGAAAATAGAGGAAGTGAAAGATAGCCTAAGAAAGAAAAACATTCCTTCTCTGAAAAGGAAAAACAAAATAATGGGACAGTACTAATATTTAAAACTATAACCCGGGAAAACTTTCTAACACTACTACCAGTCCCAAAGGTAAATATTAAAAAGGCTGCCTGAGGGCCAGGCACGGTGGCTTTTGCCTGTAATCCCAGCACTTTGGGAAACTGAGGCGGGCAGATCACCTGAGGTTAGGAGTTCAAGACCAGCCTGGCCAACATGGTGAAACTCTGTTTCTATGAAAAAAATACAAAAATTAGCTGGGTGTGGTGGTGCAGGCCTGTAATCCCAGCTGCTCAGGAAGCTGAACGAGGAGAATCGCTTAAACCTGGGAGGCAAAGGTTGCAGTGAGCTGGGATTGCGCCACTGCACTCCAGACACAGTAACACTCCTCAGAAAACTACAACAACAACAATAAATAAATAAATAAAAAGGCTGCTTGGGTATTTGGAAAAATTTACCCAAAATGATGAACTCAAAGACATACTCTTGTAAAAATTTTGATTAAAAAAAAATCTTCAAAGCCCCAGGCCAAAAGATAAACTATCATATAGAGGTACAAAAATTAGAGTGGTATCTGGCTTTATAAATATTATATATATCATATATATAAAATGTATAATAAAGATGGAAGTAACTGGCAGAGTACCATAGACTGTTTGTGTCTTCTTAAAATTCCATATGTTGAAATACTAACCTTCAGTGTGATGGTATTAGGTGCCTTTAGGAGGTAGATTGTGAGGGTGGAGCTCTCATGAATGGGATTAGTGCCCTTATAAAAGAGAACCCAGAGAGCTCCTTCACGCTTTCTGCCATGTGAGGACAGAGAACAGCTATCTATAAACCAGGAAGCAGTTCCTCACCAGACATTGAATCTGCTAGCATTTTGATCTTAAACGTCTTAGAATCTAGGACTATGAGCAAAAAATATTTGTTGTTTAATCCATCCAGACTATGGTAATTTGTTATAGCAGCCCAAATGGGCTAAGAGAAAGACTAATGTACAAATGTTTTATTTTTTAGAAAATTTGTGACATTTACTCATATACAATGTCACAAAAATAGTAAGTTCCATAAATAGCAATATTATAAACAATAATCTCATATTACAATGAAATAAAATTCTAAATTATTAACAAAACAAAATACAAAGTCTCTTGCATCTGGAAATTTCAATTAATAAATGTTTGGTTGAAGTGAAAATATAAGCTGAAATTACAAAATTTCTTTAAAAAATGAAAAAATATGACATATCAGAAATATGATTGAAGTAGTGGTATGAGAAAAATACATTTCATTAAATAATTTTTTCAGTAAAAATAAAATATGAAAATGAATGATTTAATTATTCAGCTAAAAAATTGAGGAAAGAAATAACAAAGTTACTAAAAGCTTAAGAAAAGCAGAATTTAGTGAGATAAAGAAAAGAAAAAAGTGATAGACCTAATTAACAAGTCAAAAATCTGTTTTGTAATTAGCAAAATGGATAAATTGCTAAATGACTTGACCAAGAAAAATGAAGAATGAAAAATTATACAAAGGAGAGATGACAAGGGAGAAACAGACATTGAAACAAAAGAAAGGTTTTTTTTTTTTTAAATTGTTATATGCTTCTTTGAAGGCTTGAATGAAAATAAATTTGAAAATCTTAATGAGATTGATTATTTTCTAAAACAGTGCAGATTATTAAAGTTGACCCCATTGACCTGGAACTCCTGGCCTTGAGCAATCCTCCCACCTTGGCCTCTTAAAGCCTCTTAAAGGACTACACGCATGAGCCAGCTGTGAGCCTATTGAAATCAAAGCTCAAATAGTCTAATTTCCATAGAAGTAAGGATAATTATTAAAACCCTGCCACTCTCCCCTCAATTAAAAAGTACTAGACCAGGTAGGATTTAAAGAAGAATTCTATAAATCTATCAAAGACAAAATGGCCTCAATACACTATACATTGTTCCAGATCACTGAAAATGGATGAAAACTTATTTCCTTTTATGGACAAATGTAAGTAACATTGATATTTAAGCTGATAAGAACAGTACAAAAAGTAAACCAGTATCAATTCTGAATATCAATATAAACATATGATAACCTTAAGAAATGGAGTCCAGTGCCACATTAAGAAAATAATACATCGCAGACAAGTGTTTTTCATTCCAGAAATACAAACGTGGTTAAATATTAGGCAACCTATTAAGAGCATATACTATATTAATACATCTAAAAATCATATGATTATTGTTATGGTCTGAATATTTGTGTTCCCTCCAGAATCATATGTTGAAATCCTATAACCGAAGACAATGATATTAGGAGGTGGGGCTTTGGGGAGGTTATTAGATCATGAGAACAAAGTCCTCATGAATGGGATTGGTGCCTTATGAAATAGGCCTAAGGTAGCTGGTTTGCCTCTTCCACCATATAATGGTACAGCTAGAAGGAGCTATCTATGAATAAGAAATCAAGATCTCACTAGACACCAAATCTGCCAGGATCTTGGTCTTGGACTTTCCAGCTTCCAGCTCTATTAGAAAATTTCTGTTGTTTATAAGCCACTCAGTTTATTGTATTTAGCTATAGCAGCCTGAACAGACTAAGACATGTATCTTCATAGTTGCTTACAAAAAGCCTTCAACAAAATTCAAAGCCACTTCCTGCTAAAAAATATTCAAGAAAATAGTGATTATGGGCACTTTTTAAAGATGATAATATATGTGTGTACACATATATGTGTATATGTGTGTACACATATATGTGTATATGTGTGTACACATATATGTGTATATGTGTGTACACATATATGTGTATATGTGTGTACACATATATGTGTATATGTGTGTACACATATATGTGTATATGTGTGTACACATATATGTGTATATGTGTGTACACATATATGTGTATATGTGTGTGTATATATAAAATATACAAATATACATTTATATAAACATATACTATATATCTTTGTCATAAAACTGGTATTTTATGTAATGAAAATGTATACTAGGCATTTTCACTAAGTTCAAGAAAGATGCAAATATGTCCACAATCTCTGATAGTATTTAACATTATACTACTTTTATATAAGAGAAATTCATGGAGGCATAAGTATGGGTAAAGAGAAATAGGAACATCTCTACTTTCACCTGATAGGATAGACTCCTGGAAAACCCTGGAGAATCAATGCTAAAAATAATGTAAACAATAAAATAATTCAGTTAGATGGCATAATATCAAATTTACATACAGAAATCAATAAGCCTATGCTATAGTTCGAATGTGTTCCCTGAAAAATTCAGGTATTGCCAATATGATAGAATTAAGAGGTAGGGCCTTTAAGAAGGGATTAGGCCATGAGAGCTTTTCCCTTGTAAATGGGATTAGTTGCCTTTATAAAAGAGCTTGATGAGGGAAGCTTGTCCCTTTTGCACTTCTGCCCTCTGCCATGTGAGGGCACAACATTCCTCACCTCTAAAGGATGCAGCATTACAGCGGCATCTTGGAAGCAGAGAGCAGCTCTCACCAGACACTGAATCTTCCAGCACCTTGACCTTGGACCTCCCAGTCTCTAAAACTGAAAAAAAATTTCTGTTGTTTATAAATTACTCAGTCTATGGTATTGTGTTACAGCAGCACAGATGGCTAAGATGCCCTATTTAAAAGGTATTACCTTTACTAAAAATAAAAAAACAAAAAACATAAAACAAAATGTTTAAAGCCCTCTTAAAAGCCAAAAAGTAGACTTGAATAAATGGAATGACATGCACAGTTCCTGGCTAGACCAACCCAGTATTATAAAGATGTCATTTCTATCAAAGTTGTGTTTATAAATTTAACACCCAATAAAAATACAAAGAAGCTTTTTATGAAGTTAGACAAAGTAACATTAAATAGAAATTTAAATATGAAAAAGCGACATGCAAAAATAGATAAGAAAACACTATGAAAGAAACACTATGAGAAGGTTTAGCCCTACTAGGAATTTAAGCTCATTATTAAGGCACAGCAACTAAATCAGGTGGTACTTGTGGATGAAGAGACAAAAAAGCCTGTTTTTTTTGTTTTGTGAAATATATTTAACGTCTTGAAATAGACCCAAATGCCTATGAAAACGTAGTAAATGATAAAAGCGGCATCTCTTGTCACTGGGACAATGATGGGCTATTGACTTAATGGTGGTGGGAAAATGGATAGCCACTGGAAGATGACATAGTTAGATCTATTTCTCACACCATTCACAGGAAGGAACTTAAAAAGTTTCAGAGATCTAAATGCAAAACATGTAATTGTACAACTACTGAAAGAAAACATGAGTAACTTGTTTTTTAACTCTCATCTAGGGAAAGACCATCTCACAATTCAGAGGCAATAAAAGGAAAGATTGATGAATTTGACTACATAACTATAAAATATTTTCATGGCAGAAAAAGTAGAAAATTGCCAAAAGATAACTGACAAACGTGCTGAAAATATTCAACGTAATCTAGAAAAATGGCTAATATACTAATATATAAAGAACTCTTTAAAATTGAGGAGACAAAAATCTGAAAACCTGCTGAAAAATGAAAAAAGATATTACCAGACATTTCTTAAAATATATTTCTATAAAAATGTGCAAAGTGAAATACAAAGAGTAACCAGAAACTAATGAGGTTGGTTAATTACAGGGGATGTGTAGAAACAGTGTGGAAATATTGGGCAAATAAGAATGAGGCAGAAGAGATGAGGGAGAAGTGACATTTCTATGAATACATATTTTTATAATAGTTTTGATGCTTTAAACCATGGTGATCCTTCACATATCCCAAAATATAAACAATTAAAATTAACCAGAATTTTAACAGGGGGGAAACTGAAGATGAAATATGAAGCGTAACAAATCAAATCAATTACAAATTAATAGCATTACCACAGTAAAGACTGTGCGAAGAAAATAACCTTAAGTCGGTTTGGAAAACAGCATTTTGACTATATACTTTTTAGGTTAAAGACCAAAAGAGCTGCACACAAATATAATACTCTAGTTAGTAAACTTGTTTCTCATAGAACTGTAGATAACAATTATGAAAGTACTTTATATGTATATCAGGACTGAAGAAATAAGCACCTATATGGTAAATAATTAGAGCTGAATTCTCACTCAAAGAAAGGACTTAGAAATAAGTAAAAAGGGAAGACGAACCCACCTACTCTCTCTTCCTCTCATATAAATAATCTACCTATTTATCCACACTCTATAAACACATGCACACTAAATGACTCTTAGATGTATATGTTTTCATATGTGTGTGTACATTTATGTACACATATGTATAATTTTATAGGTTTCCATATAGAGGGATATGTAATATTTGAACATATTGTATATATACATACATTTTTATATGTATATATGTATATATAATACATGTGCATATAAATCTATGTATATATACATATATATATGTACATTAACTCCATCAACTGAGTAGACTGGGAAACAATGACAACCCAGTACCAGGAAAATTGTTGAATGAAATTTTACCATGTGCTAGTAATAGCACAGAAATGATCCCAAAATATTTTGTTGTGCTAGAAAACAAAGTGCTCAAAAAATGATGGGAGACTGTTGAAAGGACATAGAAATTTACAAGAAAGACTTCCAAAGGCCAAATCTGAGACACTTTGAGAAAAATAAATTAGAGTGATATAACCCATAGACTAAAATAATTATCTATATATCCGTAAGAGTCTAAATAATAATTAGATAAATAAATAGAAAAGAAGGGATAAATTTTCTTTATTTTCTTTATGGTAGAATTCTAACTAGTTAAAGTAAAAGGAATCTGTCTATTTCCATCAAAAATCGAAAATCACCCTTTGGTAAACATCACAATAATAATCGTTGCAGGCAAAAATCACAGATGCATGCTAAAATTAATGAACAAAATTATGAACAGAAACAGAGTATTTACATGTTCCCAGAGTAACTTTTCCCAAGGTGCTTATTGATTCCAAGAAAAAGTGATATCTTTATAGTGAAGAAAGCTTGTAGACACTGCTTTAATAAAGTGGTAATTTTACAATCATCAGTAATAAATAATATCCTCATCCTGTACCTCCTGATATGATGTGTTGTAAGGGGACACAATATCCTTTCTGCAAATAATACTTTTGTTGTGTTCTTGCCAAAAAATGAATTAATAAAAAAATTCAAACTACAAAACTCTGTTTTTTATAAAATAACAGTACTCCTCAAATGTCAAGGTAATGAAAGATAAAGACTGAGGAACTGTCCTCTGTTGGAACTAGGGAGACATGACAACTGACTTTGTTATGGGATTCTGGATTAGATCACAGACCAGTAAAATGCCATTAGTGAAACAATTGATAAAATGTGAGTCATCTTTAGGCTAGTTAGCAGTATTCCTTCTATGTTAATGTCTTGGTTTAAATAACTCTATACTATGTCTAGATAAACTGATCTTAGGGGAAGCTGCATGATGGGTATACTAAAACTGAAGCATTTGTATAACTCTAAAATTATTTCAAAATCAAAAAATTAAAATTAAATACTACAGATTCTTCAAATAATTTATGAGGCTAATCCTTGGTGATGGGGGGAGGGCACAATTTTGTAAGCTAATACTTCTTACCTCACCTAACCAGAGAGAACACAGTGACTAGACCGAAGATCACAATTGATTCTCTTAACCCATGTTTAATGAACTCTCCTTAATATTACTAGAAAGATCTATTTATATTCTCAATTCTCTGAGGATAATAAATAAGTAGTAGAGGAGATCTAAAAACATTATGAAATGAATGCAATATAATGAATAATTATGCTACTCTCTTCCATGTCCAAAATGGAGGCGCCACACCAGACTGGAGAATTTATTTATGAAAAAGATATTTAAAGTCATCCTTACGTTATGCATAAGGCAATAGCACTCCATGCCCATGAGGACTTTTATGTCATGATAAAGACCTTCACAGTACTACTTGGGATGTAGAGCTACTCACTGGAAATGAGGTAGGCATTTTTCCTACTTGGAACAAGGATTCACTGAGGCCTTTTGACAAGAAAGCACCCCTTTGGGGTCCTTTGGACCTCAGTGCCTTGACAAGAAGGGGGAAATCACTGTGGGTTTAGACAGAATAAATAACCCAAGTATAGGTGGTAGGACTTGTTTTGCATAATGATGGCTAAGACAAAAGGTCACTCCAGATTTAACCTGCCTTTGATAAAAAATGTCTAAATATGAGATTATGAACTAAAAGAGCTACCAGCTTGGAGAACTGGAGTGTGACATTAGCAGCGTAGGGAAGAAAAAATAATCTTTTCAATTGTCTGAAGATCTCATCTGTAGGCTCAGGAGTGAGCAGAGTCTTGCTTCCTGTTTGTCACCAAAAACCATAGAGAAGAAAAAGTAATTTCTTTTCATTACATTTTGCAAAATTCATGACTAAGATTCCTGTAACAAAAGACAGATTAACAAGAGAAAAGCATACACATTTATTTAATATATGTTTTATATGACCCAGAAGCCTTCAGAAATGAAGACCGAAAGAAATGGGAAGATCTGTGTATTTTTATGGACAGTCACGCAGAAGTATGATTGGAGGACAAAAGGGTACAATCTAATGTTAATTAATTAGGAGGGGTGGATTTAGCAAGATCTTCAGATTTAGCGCAAGGTCCTCAGATTTAGCAAGGTCTTCAGAAGTAAAACAAACAAACAAACAAAAAAAACTTCTTCAGAGTTATTTTTGATGTCCCTGTATGACATTCCTTTCCTTTGGGTAAAGGGCACATGGAACTCTTCAGGGGAGAAGTGAAAGAGAATGTCAGAGAGAGACCTTCCTAGGTTTTCTGGCCTGCTTCCAGAGAGCATGGTGGGAGAAGGTCAGAGAGACCTTCCTGCTTCTGCTGTTTTCTCAAATGCTAAGGTGCCATATTTGGGGGATAGCATGTCCTGAACTCTGACAGCAGCAGTTGAATCTACAAAGACATCACATTAGCAGTGTGCATGTGGCCCTCTGAATGCATAGATCAAATTTTCAGTAGTTTGACAAGTATTAGTCCTTCTCTGTAGTTTGAGGGGACTGAAACTACAGTTGGTTTTGTAAACTGAACAAATCTCTTTGGACCTGAGTCAACAACTTAGGTTCTTAGATAATTTAGATGAATGCATCTCAGAAGGGAGAAACTGGGAGGCCGAGGCAGGTGGATCACGATGCCTGGAGATCGAGACCATCCTGGCTAACACGGTGAAACCCCATCTCTACTAAAAATATGAAAAATTAGCTGGGCGTGATGGCATGCGCCTGTAGTCCCAGCTACTGGGGAGGCTGAGGCAGGAGAATGGCGTGAACCCAGGAGGCGGAGGTTGCAGTGAGCCGAGATCGTGCCATTGCACTCCAGCCTGGGCAACAGAGTGAGAATCTGTCTTAAAAAAAAAAGAAAAAGAAAAAGGGAGGGAGGGGAGAAACTGGTATTTCTTCAAATATTGACAGATTTGTATTTGAATAACTAACTGGAAAAATAAGAATTGTATCAATATTTTCAGGCTTCCTAAAGCAAGTCACAGCAGAACCACATAGGTTGAATTGTATAGTGTATGTAGCGGTTTGTGCAATCCTTTATTCTCTGAGTGATGTGCTTAGATAAGGGTTGCTAGGTTAATATTTCTAGACTAGCTCTGATCCTGAAATCTACTTTTTCCTCTCTTGAGTCTTTGGAACCAATGTGTACCTTTGTCACGCTGATCCACAAAGGAAGTGATTGATTGGTTCCTAAAATCTGTGAAGAAATCAACAATAAACTTTCGTTAAAAAATTCTACAAAGTTCACTCTATGTGGCTGAACTGGGCTTTAAGAACTCAGTTTCTTTTTTTTAAAATTTTATTATTATTATACTTTAAGTTTTAGGGTACATGTGCACAATGTGCAGGTTTGTTACATATGTATACATCTGCCATGTTGGTGTGCTGCACCCGTTAACTCGTCATTTAGCATTAGGTATATCTCCTAATGCTATCCCTCCCCCCTCCCCCCACCGCACAACAGTCCCTGGTGTGTGATGTTCCCCTTCCTGTGTCTATGTGTTCTTATTGTTCAATTCCCACCTATGAGTGAGAACATACGGTGTTTGGTTTTTTGTCCTTGTGATAGTTTGCTGAGAATGATGGTTTCCAGTTTCATCCATGTCCCTATAAAGGACATGAACTCATCATTTTTTATGGCTGCATAGTATTCCATGGTGTATATGTGCCACATTTTCTTAATCCAGTCTATCGTTGTTGGACATTTAGGTTGGTTCCAAGTCTTTGCTATTGTGAATAGTGCTGCTATAAACATACATGTGCATGTGTCTTTATAGCAGCATGATTTATAAACCTTTGGGTATATACCCAGTAATGGGATGGCTGGGTCAAATGGTATTTCTAGTTCTAGATCCCTGAGGAATCACCACACTGTCTTCCACAATGGTTGAACTAGTTTACAGTCCCACCAACAGTGTAAAAGTGTTCCTATTTCTCCACATCCTCTCCAGCACCTGTCGTTTTCTGACTTTTTAATGATCGCCATTCTAACTGGTGTGAGATGGTATCTCATTGTGGTTTTGATTTGCATTTCTCTGATGGCCAGTGATGATGAGCATTTTTTCATGTCTCTTTTGACTGCATAAATGTCTTCTTTTGAGAAGTGTCTGTTCCTATCCTTCACCCACTTGTTGATGGAGTTGTTTGTTTTTTTCTTGTAAATTTGTTTGTGTTCACCATAGATTCTGGATATTAGCCCTTTGTCAGATGAGTAGGTTGCAAAATTTTTCTCCCATTCTGTAGGTTGCATGTTCACTCTGATGGTAGTTTCTTTTGCTGTGCAGAAGCTCTTGAGTTTAATTAGATCCCATTTGTCAATTTTGGCTTTTGTTGCCATTGCTTTTGGTGTTTTAGACATGAAGTCCTTGCCCATGCCTATATCCTGAATGGTATTGCCTAGGTTTTTATGGTTTTGGGTCTAACATTTAAGTCTTTAATCCATCTTGAATTAATTTTTGTATAAGGTGTAAGGAAGGGATCCAGTTTCAGCTTTCTACATATGGCTAGCCAGTTTTCCCAACATCATTTATTAAATAGGGAATCCTTTCCCCATTGCTTGTTTTTGACAGGTTTGTCAAAGATCAGATGGTTGTAGATATGCAGCATTATTTCTGAGGGCTCTGTTCTGTTCCATTGATCTATATCTCTGTTTTGGTACCAGTACCATGCTGTTTTGGTTACTGTAGCCTTGTAGTATAGTTTGAAGTCAGGTAGCGTGATGCCTACAGCTTTGTTCTTTTGGCTTAGGATTGACTTGGCAATGAGGGCTCTTTTTTGGTTCCATATGAACTTGAAAGTAGTTTTTTCCAATTCTGTGAAGAAAGTCATTGGTAGCTTGATGGGGATGGCATTGAATCTATAAATTACCTTGGGCAGTATGGCCATTTTCACGATATTGATTATTGCTACCCATGAGCATGGGTAGCAAGAATCAATATGAGCATGGTTCTTTTATTTGTTTGTATCCTCTTTTATTTCCTTGAGCAGTGGTTTGTAGTTCTCCTTGAAGAGGTCTTTCACATCCCTTGTAAGTTGGATTCCTAGGTATTTTATTCTCTTTGAAGCAATTGTGAATGGGAGTTCACTCATGATTTGGCTCTCTGTTTGTCTGTTATTGGTGTATAAGAATGCTTGTGATTTTTGTACATTGATTTTGTAACCTGAGACTTTGCTGAAGTTGCTTATCAGCTTGAGGAGATTTTGGGCTGAGACGATGGGGTGTTCTAGATATACAATCTTGTCATCTGCAAACAGGGAGAATTTGACTTCCTCTTTTACTAATTGAATACCCTTTGTTTCCTTCTCCTGGCTGATTGCCCTGGCCAGAACTTCCAACACTATGTTGAATAGGAGTGGCGAGAGAGGGCATCCCTGTCTTGTGCCCGTTTTCAAAGGAAATGCTTCCAGTTTTTGCCCATTCATTGTGATATTGGCTGTGGGTTTGTCATAGATAGCTCTTATTATTTTTGAGATACGTCCCATCAATACCTAATTTATTGAGAGTTTTTAGCATGAAGCGTTGTTGAATTTTGTCAAAGGCCTTTTCTGCATCTATTGAGATAATCATGTGGTTTTTGTCTTTGGTTCTGTTTATATGCTGGATTACATTTATTGATTTGCATATGTTGAACCAGCCTTGCATCCCAGGGATGAAGCCCTCTTGATCATGGTGGATAAGCTTTTTGATGTGCTGCTGGATTTGGATTGCCAGTATTTTATTGAGGATTTTTACATCAATGTTCATCAAGGATATTGGTCTAAAATTCTCTTTTTTGGTTGTGTCTTTGCCAGTCTTTGGTATCAGGATGATGCTGGCCTCATAAAATGAGTTAGGGAGGATTCCCTCTTTTTCTATTGATTGGAATAGTTTCAGAAGGAATGGTACCAGCTCCTCTTTGAATCTCTGGTAGAATTCGGATGTGAATCCATCTGGTCCTGGACTTTTTTTGGTTGGTAACCTGTTGATTGTTGCCTCAATTTCAGAGCCTGTCATTGGTCTATTCAGAGATTCAACTTCTTCCTGGTTTAGTCTTGGGAGGATGTATGTGTCGAGGAATTTATCAGTTTCTTCTAGATTTTCTAGTTTATTTGTGTAGAGGTGTTTGTAGTATTCTCTGATGGTAGTATTCTCTGTTGTATTTTTGTGGGATCGGTGGTGATATCCCCTTTGTCATTTTTTATTGCGTCTATTTGATTCTTCTCTCTTTTCTTCTTTATTAGTCTTGCTAGCGGTCTATCAATTTTGTTGATCTTTTCAAAAAACCATCTCCTGGATTCACTAATTTTTTGAAGGGTTTTTTATGTCTCTATTTCCTTCAGTTCTGCTCTGATCTTAGTTATTTCATGCCTTCTGCTAGCTTTTGAATGTGTTTGCTCTTGCTTTTCTAGTTCTTTTAATTGTGATGTTAGGGTGTCAATTTTAGATCTTTCCGCTTTCTCTTGTGGGTATTTAGTGCTATAAATTTCCCTCTACACACTGCTTTGATTGTGTCCCAGAGATTCTGGTATGGTGTGTCTTTGTTCTCGTTGGTTTCAAAGAACATCTTTGTTTCTGCCTTCATTTCATTATTTACCCAGTAGTCATTCAGGAGCAGGTTGTTCAGTTTCCATGTAGTTAAGCAGTTTTGAGTGAGTTTCTTAATCCTGAGTTCTAGTTTGATTGCACTGTGGTCTGAGAGACAGTTTGTTGTAATTTCTGTTCTTTTACATTTGCTGAGGAGTGCTTGACTTCCAACTCTGTGGTCAATTTTGGAATAGGTGTGGTGTGGTGCTGAAAAGAATGTATAGTCTGTTGATTTGGGGTGGAGAGTTCTGTAGATGTCTATTAGGTCCGCTTGGTGCAGAGCTGAGTTCAATTCCTGGGTATCCTTGTTAACTTTCTGTCTCGTTGATCTGTCTAATGTTGACAGTGGGGTGTTAAAGTCTCCCATTATTATTGTGTGGGAGTCTAAGTCTCTTTGTAGGTCACTAAGGACTTGCTTTATGAATCTGGGTGCTCCTGTATTGGGTGCATATATATTTAGGATAGTTAGCTCTTCTTGTTGAATTGATCCCTTTACCATTATGTAATGGCCTTCTTTGTCTCTTTTGATCTTTGTTGGTTTAAAGTCTGTTTTATCAGAGACTAGGATTGCAACCCCTGCCTTTTTTTGTTTTCCATTTGCTCGGTAGATCTTCCTCCATCCCTTTATTTTGAGCCTATATGTGTCTCTGCACGTGAGATGGGTTTCCTGAATACAGCACACTGATGGGTCTTGACTTTTTATCCAATTTGCCAGTCTGTGTCTTTTAATTGGAGCATTTAGCCCATTTACATTTGAGGTTAATATTGTTATGTGTGAATTTGATCCTGTCATTATGATGTTAGCTGGTTATTTTGCTCGTTAGTTGATGCAGTGTCTTCCTAGCCTTGATGGTCTTTACAATTTGGCATGTTTTTTCAGTGGCTGGTACCGGTTGTTCCTTTCCATGTTTAGTGCTTCCTTCAGGAGGTCTTTTAGGGCAGGCCTGGTGGTGACAAAATCTCTCAGCATTTGCTTGTCTGTAAAGGATTTTATTTCTCCTTCACTTATGAAGCTTAGTTTGGCTGGATATGAAATTCTGGGTTGAAAATTCTTTTCTTTAAGAATGTTGAATATCGGTCCCCACTCTCTTCTGGCTTATAGAGTTTCTGCCAAGAGATCCGCTGTTAGTCTGATGGGCTTCCCTTTGTGGGTAACCCGACCTTTCTCTCTGGCTGCCCTTAACATTTTTTCCTTCATTTCAACTTTGGTGAATCTGACAATTATGTGTCTTGGAGTTGCTCTTCTCGAGGAGTATCTTTGTGGCGTTCTCTGTATTTCCTGAATCTGAATGTTGCCCTGCCTTGCTAGATTAGGGAAGTTCTCCTGGATATCCTGCAGAGTGTTTTCCAACTTGGTTCCATTCTCCCTGTCACTTTCAGGTACACCAATCAGATGCAGATTTGGTCTTTTCACATAGTCCCATATTTCTTGGAGGCTTTGTTCGTTTCTTTTTATTCTTTTTTCTCTAAACTTCTCTTCTTGCTTCATTTCGTTCATTTCTTCTTCCATCACCAAGACCCTTTCTTCCAGTTGATTGCATCGGCTACTGAGGCTTCTGCATTCGTCATGTAGCTCTCATGCCTTGGTTTTCAGCTCCATCAGGTCCTTGAAGGACTTCTCTGCATTGGTTATTCTAGTTATCCATTCGTCTAATTTTTTTTCAAAGCTTTTAACTTCTTTGCCATTGGTTCGAATTTCTTCCTGTATCTCAGAGTAGTTTGATCGTCTGGAGACTTCTTCTCTCAACTTGTCAAAGTCATTCTCTGTCCAGCTTTGTTCTGTTGCTGGTGAGGAGCTGCGTTCCTTTGGAGGAGGAGAGGTGCTCTGATTTTTAGAGTTTCCAGTTTTTCTGCTCTGTTTTTTCCCATCTTTGTGGTTTTATCTACCTTTGGTCTTTGATGATGGTGACGTACAGATGGGTTTTTGGTGTGGATGTCCTTTCTGTTTGTTAGTTTTCCTTCTAACAGACAGGACCCTCAGCTGCAGGTCTGTTGGAGTTTTCTAGAGGTCCACTCCAGACCCTGTTTGCCTGGGTATCAGCAGCGGTGGCTGCAGAACAGTGTATATTGGTGAACCGCAAATGCTGCTGCCTGATCGTTCCTCTGGAAATTTTGTCTCAGAGGAGTACCTGGCCGTGTGAGGTGTCAGTCCACCCCTGCTGGGGGGTGCCTCCCAGTTAGGCTACTCGGGGGTCAGGGACCCACTTGAGGAGGCAGTCTGCCCGTTCTCAGATCTCCAGCTGCGTGCTGGGAGAACCACTACTCTCTTCAAAGCTGTCAGAGAGGGACATTTAAGTCTGCAGAGGTTACTGTTGTCTTTTTGTTTGTCTGTGCCCTGCCCCCAGAGGTGGAGCCTAAAGTGGCAGGCAGGCCTCCTTGAGCTGCAGTGGGCTCCACCCAGTTCGAGCTTCCCTGCCGCTTTGTTTACCTAATCAAACAAGTAACTTGGCATTGGCGGGCACCCCTCCTCCAGCCTCGCTGCCACCTTGCAGTTTGATCTCGGACTGCTGTGCTAGCAATGAGCGAGACTCTGTGGGCGTAGGACCCTCCGAGCCATGTGCGCGATATAATCTCCTGGTGTGCCGTTTTTTAAGCCTGTTGGAAAAGCGCAGTATTAGCGTGGGAGTGACCCGATTTTCCAGATGCCCACTGTCACCCCTTTCTTTGACTAGGAAAGGGAATTCCCTGACCCCTTGTGCTTCCCGGGTGAGGCAATGCCTCGCCCTGCTTTGGCTCACGCATGGTGCGCTGCACCCACTGTCCTGCACCTACGGTCTGGCTCTCCCCATTGAGATGAACCCGGTACCTCAGTTGGAAATGCAGAAATCTCCCATCTTCTGCGACGCTCACGCTGAGAGCTGTAGACCAGAGCTGTTCCTATTCTGCCATCTTGGCTCCTCCCCCAAGAAATCAGTTTCTATCAAGGTCATTAATATGTGTCTGTTTCTAAATATTTTCCACATATTCAAGCAATGTCAAACAGTGGAGGAAAAATCATGTCTATACAAAATACAATGTTGTCTCCCCAGGTACTTTCTGAGAGAGTAAGGAGGTATTCTGTGAGAGACTGAATGTCTTGAGTGTTGCCTGGAGTACTCTTACTCAGTATATGTTAAAAAGAACACAGTCTTTAGAGTCAGAAAGAACTGGATTTGAATCTCATCTTTATTACTTAGTAGCTTTGTGACTTTGGGAAAGTTAATTAGCCTCTCTGAACCTCAGTTTTCTAAACTGTAAAATAAGGATAATTATATTTCTCTCACAGGATTGCTGTGAATATTAAATAATAAAATGTGTGTGTGATGGGCAGAATAATTGTCCTCCCAAGATGTGCATAATCCCTGGAACCTGTGAAAATGTTGGGTTACATAGCAAAAAGAAATTAAAGTTGCAGATGAAATTAATATTTCTAATCAGCTGACCTTAAAATGAAGAAACTATCCTAAATTAGGCAGGCTCAATGTAATCACAAAAGTCTTTAAATATGGAAGAAACAGGCAGCTTGAGAAAGACTTGACAAGTCACTGATGCTTTTGAAGATGGAAACAAACCAAGGAATGTGGGTAGCTTCAACAGTTTAGCAAGCAAGGAAACAGATTTTTCTGTTGAACCTCCAGAAGAAATGCGGGTCAGCCAACGCCATTATTTTAACCCAGTGAGACATATTTTGAACTTCTGACCTCCAGAACTGTAAGATAATAGATTTGTGGTGTTTCAGGCCACCTAGTTTATGGTAACTCATTACAGCAGCAATAGGAAACCAAAACACAGTAAGTGCTTGGTAAATAGAAAACACTATATTTTACTTTTATTTTTGAGCTACTTCTCTCAAAGCTTTTGGGTGATCTTCTATTTCACCCTTTAGCAAATACTTCTCTTGCAATATCTGGCCTAGGATACAGCTTAGCCTGGCTACCTGAATTGAGATTTTTCTATTATCATTTGCACAAAGGGAAAGATGCATAAACTCAACTTCACTTTGGCTAGGGTATCTCAAACTTTTTTTGGTGAAGCGCTAGATAGTATATTTTGGGCCTTGTAGTTCATATGATGTCTGTCTGAAGTACTCATCTCTGCAGGTGTAGCCAGATAGTAGCCATAGGCAATATACAACTGAATGATTGTACCTCTGTTCTAATTAAACTTTATTTACAAAAGCAGGCAGTGGGCCAGATTTAATCTATAATATGGATTATAGATTTGCTGACCCATGATTTGTGCTGTTTCTTATTTATTTATTTATTTTGAGATGGAGTTTCGCTCTTGTTGCCTAGCCTGGAGTACAATGGTGCAATCTCGGCTCACTGCAACCTCTGCCTCCCGGGTTCAAGCAATTCTCCTGCCTCAGCCTCCTGAGTAGCTGGGATTACAGGTGCCCACAACCACACCTGGCTAATTGTTTTAGCGGAGACAGGATTTCACCATATTGGTCAGGCTGGTCTCAAACTCCTGACTTCAGGTGATCCACCTGCCTTGGCCTCCCAAAGTGCTGGGATTACGGGCGTGAGCTACTACACCCGAGCTTTGCTGTTTCTCTTACCTCACCTTTACAAAATATAATACTTCAAAGGTTAAAGTGAGGAATAGAGCTGAATCACATTCTCTCCATAAAATCTTTCAGAAGATTTTACTTTGTTTGTTGTAGCTATTACATCTGTGAGTTGAAAATCCTAATAAGACCAATGACTACAGTAACTAAAATAGAAATAGTCATCATGTAGTCATTATACTGTAGAGGACAACAGAGAATGGCTTTTGTATATTCTGAAACCCTGCCTTGGCCATTAGGCTCTATGGATTATTTACCTCTGTAGGCATAGATGCCTGTACTTTAAAATGAATCACCATTTATCATACATTTGCTAATTTGAAATCCTGACAGTGCAATCTTCTGATTTTTAAAACTGTAAAAGGCTCTGAATGACCATCTGAAAAAAAGAGTATGATTAGAAGTTCATTTACAAGATCTTAATTTATTTTCTTCGTATTGAGCACTCTCGATATTTCTGTACCCCTTTGCTTTTTTGTCTGTGAGCCATTTCCATATGCTGTGTCATTTGCTTTGAAATGTGACAAAGTGATCTGAGCTCAGGATCCTGCTGCAGGGGGAGGTATTATTGATTTCTTGGAGAGTAGCAAAGAGACTTGCAATGTCACTGTTAAACTTGGCTGGCAGATCACAGCAGCTTGTGACATCTAACTTACTATAATGAAATCATGGGGTTCTCTGGCCCTTGGGCCTAGAGGGGAGGTGAAAGGTCAGGAAAGTGAGAATCCTGTGCAGCCAGGTGTGAAGGGCAGTTCCTTCACACAGTTCCATCTCTTTCTGAAAAGAAATTAGCTGAATTCACCTGCTCCAAGTCAACCAGATGGTCTTCTAAGCAAATGAAAAAATATAAATGTCTGATCATCACTGTGCTGGTTGAAATTTAATTGCTTGATCAGAAAACCTTATTTCTGGTTGCATTTTGAAGCCCTACAGATTGTTCTAATTTCACAGCTAGGAATATATTAAAGAGAGAAAATTTTCTTTATGCTTGAGAATGCTTTTAACCATCTTTTCAATTAGCTGTTAAGTCTCTTCTTTCAATAATCTTCGTTAAGCCATATAACACTTTGAGAGGTTTTGAAGTCTGTTAAACTCAGTTCCTGCTTAACTGATATGCTTCAATAACTCTTTTATTTTCATATTGTGCATGACTTGTACAAGGAAGAAACAAAAGAAAAACAAACAAGTTGATAACGGGATTTTCTTTAGTCTCAGTGACTCTTAGTGTTCCTTCTAGCATCGAATACACATTCAGTTCGATAGCTAATGTTGCCCACATTCTTTCTGAATGGCCTGTGACCTCTGTTTCCTCAGATATATAATGCGTGGTATAAATTTTGATAAGGAATAAGGAGCTTTTTAGCATTACATTATGGTTCCATGTTATATTCCTATACCTGAGAAACTGGTGTCTAATTGGGTCTTTGAGGCACAAAATGATTGCTGGATCATTTAGGACAAGTTGAATAGAATTAAGCATATGTTTTCATACTACAGGCAGTGGTTCATAAATGCAGAAAAATGGTATGGTCATTCAGAAGAGTGCTAGTATAGATGTTCATAAAAATTTCATTCTATTTTAAACATTGTCATTTTGTCTTCATTTAGAAACTATGACCCTCTTAATTGTCTGTATTTCAGTTTCTTTATCTTTGAAATGGGACTGGTAATACAACAGCCATTCTTGAGTACCTACTTGTCCACAGAAGAAGGCAATTTTACATGTGTTATCTACTTACTCCTGTGGGGAGATATTATCCTCACAGTCTGCAAATAAGAGCACTGAGGCAGAAAGTAGATGATTTTTGCAAAGTCTTTACAGCTGACAAAGGTAACAATTTGGATTTAAATCCAGATCTTCCAGCTCTAAGCAAAATTTTCTTATTACTGAGTCTCAACTGCTTCCCACAGGGTTTGTTCAAGAAGCAAATTGTAGAGCAAAAAGTATGTTCTGTAAACATGAGGTAAGATTATTAATTATTTATTTTGACAACCATTAATTCTTATGTGGTTACGCTTTTTAAAATCCACATATTGTAATTCACACTATAATCACAGATGTCTACCTCTTCTTTAGATCAAAATACTGAGAATTATGAAAAGTGCATTAACGAATGACCACACTTAATCCTCCCCTACAAACCTATCAGGTAGGCATGAGTAATCCTCATCTTACATTTGAAAAATCTGAACAACTTGGATTTGAATTCCAAAACTGAATTTCATTTTTAAAAAAATTTTCTCCTTTGAAAACTACATATTAGGCTTGCTTAAAAACTGAAAATAAACCAAGAAGTCTTGGTTATTTATTAATTTTTTTAATTGTTTTTCCAATATTCCACAACAACCTATCTCAGATGAAAAGGAGGTTGGAACAGGCAGAGGGAAGAGCTCATTTCTGACTTTTTGTTGTTAAAGCAAGAGATTTGTTGCCACAGATTGGATGGGTCTGGGCTGCTCTCTAGGCACTCAGGTAAATTAGAAGAGAAGACACACTCTCCATGGAATTTTGAGGTGGATCGTTGCTGTGAAGCTGTTCTCTCCTGGGTGATCTGTTTGAAGATTTTGTCTCACTTTGGAGTGGTTATGATGGGCCCACTGCAAGGAGTAGCAGTCTTCTGTTCAGCAACTTACATGTAACATTTTTGCCTCATGCTTTTACTTGCCATTATTTTAGTTGGTTCACATGTACATGTATATGAATGTATGTAGGTGTGTAATTATATATATTTCTATTAGAATATGTAGGATTTTTGTCGTTAATATAACTTCTTATTTTATATGATTTACACATAAAAATCTATAATCATGAACAATAACCCTACCTCAGTTTTGGTAGAATAATCCTACCTCAGCTAGAATTGAAGCAGTCATTAGGAAGTATGTACAGATGAATTAAAAGGAGCTCTTTCCACAGAGGACTCTCCCTTTTTCACAGGGAAGGTCAGAGGGAATAAGTGATTTTCCTAAACATCACAAAAAATAAAGGATTAGCAAACTTCCATTTCCTACTGTGGCAAACTAAGTAATTTACACCAATATTCCACTGACCACTGATACAACACCTGGGAATGATATGAAAACATCTGTTAAAATGCATTAAGTTGCTAATAACAGAGCGAAGAATGATCAGGCCAGGATGTGTGAGGGAGAGAAGCCTGGGTCGGTTAACCCATGTTTCAGGACTGCTTTTCTTCTACGGGAGAAAGGTGTTTGTTGATTCCTGAGTGAGCAGTAGAGAGACTGTGATGCTGAGGATATCCTTTCCATGCGAGGGAAAATGGATTTCAGTCCCAGGCCCTACAATGCTGTGCCCAGTGCTAAGTGTGAACTGGTATTTAAAAGTCCCTGCAAGAGATTGTACCCAGGCTGGGCGCAGTGGTTCATGCCTATAATCCCAGCACTTTGGGAGGCTGAGGTGGACAGATCACTTGAGGCCAGGAGTTCGAGACCAGCCTGGCCAACATGGCTAAACCTCGTCCCTACTAAAATACAAAAGTTAGCTAGGCGTGGTGGTGCATGTCTGTAATCCTAGCTACTCAGGAGGCTGAAGCATGAGAATCCCTTGAACCTGGAGGCAAAGTCGCACCCCTGCATTCCAGCTTGGGTGACAGAGCAAGACTCTGTCTCAAAAAAAAAAAAAAAAAAAGAGAGAGAGAGAGAGACTGTACCTTACTTTAATAACATCTCAATCTCTAAAATCGAGTTAAGGTAATCTTTGAGTGATATTACCCCCAGGTACCTGGCAGAAGGAAAATCATATCTTCTTGGGTGAAGATAATATTATCCTGGTCTCTCTCTTTTTTTATTCTTTGCAATTTTATGCAACATGTCTAATAAAATGTTCAGTAAAAAATGAAAATAATGACACAAATGAGGAAGGCAATGTGAATAAAGAAGAGCTAAGAAATAAAAATGACAAGGGTTCCATATATTGGTATTATCTGATATAAAATAATAAATATATTCAAGGAGATAAGATTGAGAAAATTTACAAAGCATTTTAAACTGTGAAAAAATGCAAGTAGAAATTAAAAAATTAAAAAGTATAATAATCCAATGGTTGGTTTAAAGGCATATAGGATATAGCTGATGAGAGAATTAGTGAACTGAAACCTAGACCAGAAGAAAATATGCAGACGTAACAGACAAATGAAATGTTGAAAAATGTTCAGTGTAAATGTAAGAATCATCGAGGATACACCGACAATGCTAATATGCACCAGTGGGTGTCCCAGTATAAGAGGAACAATGGAATGTCACAGAAGTAACATTTGAAGAGATGATAACTAAGTATTTATCACAGTTTCAAGAAGTTTTATAAATAATAAGGATGATAAAAAGAATTCTTCACTAAATCACATCAAACCTTTGTCAATAAGCCTCAGAAAAATAAAGAGAAAAAATTTTAAAACATCTAAAGAAAAATGATAAATTAACTGCAAAGGAGTAACAATTAGATTGACATCTGAATTATCAATAGAAACAATGAGAAAACAAAATTATCGTTCATTTTTACTCATTAGCATAGATGTAAAAATACTAAATAAAAGATACCCAAACTAGTCCAATAATATTGCAAAAGTATGCTATTCATAACCATGTTGGCTTTATTCTAGAATGAAAAATTATTTAAGATTGATTTAAATAATCTGTGATTTACTTTATATACAGAATAAAGGAGAAAAAAATAGCCTGATTATTTTAATAGAGGTAGAAAAGTATCTGAAAAACTTTAAAATATATTTAATTATATGTAAAGGAAATTGCTTATTTGTATGTGAAATCTTAACCATCTGGAAAAACAAGGAGCATTTCCTAATCTACACCCACTCCCAAAAAAGGCTTTTAAAGCAACCTACAGGAAACAACTTACATGTTGGTAAAACCACAAAAGTTTTCCTTTTTTTTTTTTATAAGACTTGTGTAAGGGAAAGATGACAGCTATACCATTTCTATTTCCATTTAGCATTGTTCTGGAGGATTTAGACAGGATGATAAACAAGGAGAAAAAAAGAGAAATGTATAAGAATTAGAAAACAGAAATAATCCATCATTATTCTCAGATGACATATTTTGTACCTGGAAAACCCAAAACAATTCACAAATCAATTACGTGATTTAATGAGTAGCTTTACAGGTTTTGTGGATGTAAGATCAATATATATTTCTACTTACCAATAATAATAACAAGACAATATAATTTTAAAAAGATATCACCTACAGTAGTATTAAAAAATCAAATCTTGAGGAATAAATAAAATAACTGTACTGAACCCTATACAGAAAATAGAAAATATTGAGAGGAATTTGAAAAACTCCTACATAAACAGAATAATGAACAATGTTCACACATTAGGAAAAGATTCAGTATTGTCAGCCTGTCAATATTCCCCAATAGTTTCAATGCAATTCATATCAAATTATGAGTATTTTTTAAATTGTGTGTTTGTATGTAACTTTACATGTTAATTGTAAAACTTATATGGAAATGGAACAAAAGCAAAAACTAGTTAAGACACACCTATGAAGAACAAGTGAGAAAGATTTGCTTTACAAGATAACAGGCATTTTAAATACATAGTGATTTAAAGAGTATGGTATTTTTACAAGGATAGACTACTGGATTGATAGAATAGAAATGAGAGCTCAGAAAGAGCCCTAAGTGTATTTTGAAACTTGCCTCATAAAAAAGTTGGTACTAAAGAGCTCTGGGGACAAAACAGGCCTTTTGATATTTGAACATATAAGAAATAAAATGTAATTTGACTCCTGTTTCACAATATACAAGAAAAAAAGTCAATCCTAGGATTGCAAACTTAAATGTGCAAAATAAAACAATAAATCCTCAAGAAGATAATACAGGTATGACTTGGGATAGAAAAGGCAAAAGCTTTAATATAAAAAGATTGACAGGCCACACCTGTAATCCCTGCACTTTGGGAGACTGAGGCAGGTGGATCACTTGAGGTCAAGAGTTCAAGACCAGCCTGGCCAACATGATGAAACCCCATCTCTACTGAAAATACAAAAATTAGCTGGATGTGTTGGCATTTACCTGTAATCACAGCTCCCCTGGAGGCTGAGGCAGGAGAATTGCTTGAACCTGGGAAGCGGAGGTTGCAGTGAGCTGAGATCATGCCATTGCACTCTAGCCTGGGTGACAGAGTGAGACTCCATCTCAAAAACAAAAAAAAAAATTGATAAAGATGACTTTATAAAATTAACAGCTTTATAAAGGGTGGAAGAGATATTTATAGCACATATAAACAGAAAAGAGGTCTTATTCATATTATAAAATATGTCTTACAAGCCAACATGGAAAAAAAAATTAGCAAACTCAGCAAAAGAGCAGGCATTTAATAGAAAACAATATTCAAATGTCCAGTAGGAGAGAAAATGGTTCAACTATAGCAATTACCAGGGGTATGCTAATTAAAACAACAATTAGATACCTTTATTACACATGGGATTAACTAAAATGAAAAAGATTGACATTTCCAAGTGTGGACAACGATGTAGAACCACTGGAAGTTTGTATGCTGCTGGTCACTGACTGTATGACCTGAAAAGTCAAGTTGAATTGGGATGGGGAAAGGGGCTGGAGGAGAAGTCTTCAAGACAGAACGCACTGGGCACACACATCTAAAGACTGACAAAGATACTCAGAGAGTAATATATGCTATTTTGCTTCCATCCTTTCCCTTCTCTCTCAAATCTCACGCAAGTTCCTCTTTTGGCTAACTCTAAGCCAGCGCCAGACAGAAAAATTTTCTGGGAAACAGTTCTCAGCTTAACAAACTTGACAATAAAATGGGCAAACAAAGGATGAAAGATAGTTTCACAGAGTTAAAAACACATGCTTTGGAATCAAGCAATACTAGATTTCAATTGTAATATAGTCTTTTACAATTCATGTGATCTTAGTCAAGTTAGCTAATCCCTCAGAGGCTTGGTTTCCATGCCCATAAAATAAGGAAAATCATATATGTCTCACAGACTTGTTTAAAGGTTAAGTATTATAATGCATATATATGAGAAATATATATGTATACATTATACATATATGTATAATGTATGACAGTGCCTGGTTCATAGTGAGTTTTAATAAATGGTTCCCTTTAACAATACTACTGCTGATAACTTGCAAAGAGACTGGTACTAGAATTTCCTGAGGAGCTTTTAAAATAAACTGATACAGACTCTGTCCATCAACATTGTAATTTATTTGATAAATTTCCCTGTCAATAATGGGATTCATTGAGTCAGGATACTCCACCTTATAAAATGCCTCAGTCATAGACTAAATCAAACTCTTTATTTGCTTTCTCTGGACCAGCACAATTCAGTGTACAAGTTTTGTTCCAGTCATCTTTCTAGAGGGTACACCTTAGAGTTCATTGGGTTTATAAGTCATCCTGATGACTTTGAGTGACAACATGAGAAATCCTTGAAAAGGACATTAGAAAATATCTTCATTTTAATTAACAATATTTTGGGAAGCTGGTATTGCAGAATATTAAACTCATTTATTTTCTTCAGATTCCTGCCAGTTGTAGCTTCAGTGGATGACCTTTTAATGACCTTTGTACCAAATGGGGGCATGGGATGAATAAGAGAAATTCTTACTGTGACTCCCTCCTCACTGAATACAGAAGGAAATAATGTTATTCCAACCCGAAATGTAAATGTGAGATACTGTGGTGAATTAATTCACGGGTATGCTGAATGCAATATGACTGAAAAGAAGTGAAAATTTGCTTCTTAGAATTCAATGGGAAGGCAACTACTAATCTTCAAGTTGTAGATGAGTTCCTTTTCGTTGGCAGGCACTCTTTAATGCTTTAAAAGTTTAATATTCTCTGAAGAGGAGTTAAATGCATTTTTAAGTGCCATTTGTTGTGTGTTCTGGGAAAGTGAAGTAGAAATGGGAACATGAGGGTCATAGTGCATTGCTACCGAAAATGAACTCCATTTTACCTCTACTTCACAGTATTCATATATTTTTAATATAATGAGTTCATCCATATTTTAAGATTTAAGATTTTACCTTTCAGGTCTGCCTTGCCTTTCTCTGGTGAGTAGGCTGCTTAGTTTTTTTGCTTTTTGTGGGGCTTTTTGTTTTTGCTTTTTTTTTTTTTTCCTTTTGTGAATTTGTGTACTGGCTGGCAGTTCAACTGATAGAGTTTTAAGATCGCCCTGCTAAACTCAAGCTTACGGTTTCTTTGAACTAAATTGGTGGTATGAATGAATAAGAGAAAAGTGAAGAAAGACACAGGTATTAAAATATTATGGTTGGGGACAAGTGGCACCGTGAAAGCTGGAATAAAGCTGAGAAATGAGCAATTTGGGGAAGTATTCTGAATTTTGCTCTACATAGTGGGAAAAATCCAGTTTATGTGTTTGTCGAGATTTAGATAAAATCATTTTTTTGAGGTTCTTCATCCACAGTTACAGGGTTTGAAGTGATTTTTCTTCCCTTCACTTTCTCCTCAAATTTTGGCAATAATTAATGAATACATCAAGTATTTATTGAGTGCCTAAAATGTGCTGTAGGCAACAGTGAAAATGCACAGTCCATGTTCTCCCGGGGATTACTATGAACTCATCTTTCCCATTACGGATATCTACTGTTGGCAAAGTCATCATCCACCACAGGCTCTTTGCAGGCTGCTATCTTTCTTTCAGATACATGCCTTTTGCCCCTGAGCCCAAATGGAGGAAAAAGGAGAAACCTTGTACCAATTCCTCATTCACTAGACTCTCAAATATTTCCCAGCCATTGTCTGTAGACATAGTAATGGAAAATTTAAAAAATATCAAGTATTAAAAACAATTTATATTAGGCACTCTCCTAGTTATTTGCATATGTCATTTCGCTTGATCCTGACAATATGCTATGTTGCTTTTGGGGATCTTGAGTGATCCTACTTAATCAGCTTCCTCAGGACGACTTCTCTCCTTTGGTCAAATTTACCTCATAGATGAGTCTTAAACACCGTCTAATGTTCAAGTGGTTTATTCTGGCGGCATTCTTAGAAGACAAATAACAGGAGCAGGCTGGTGGCAGGGGCCAGATTCAGTCAGTGTCAGGTGACCTCCTGACTGGGGATCTCCATCTAGAGACCATTCTTAGAGTTTGGGGAATTATTCCGCCTTTCTTCTACTTGTACTCAGTGCACATGAGTTACTAGGTGTTTCTTTCATAAAGGGAGTTCAAGCTATATTTGTAAGGGTAAGCTTTGAATTAAGTTTTGTGAGTTGCATCTATGATGAAGTAGTCTTGTCTCTTGGAAATCCCCAGGCCAGGGTTGGAAACTGCCAGGTCAGGGTGCACTACATGGCATAGTGTCAGCCCTACAAGATGTCTGAGTGGAATTTATGGCTATCATTAACCCTATAGTCACTATATGTCTCTTATAATATACTATATTGTAGGGAACAGGCCTCCAAATCTGGCCATAAACTGGCCCCAAAATTGTCCATAAACAAAATCTCTGCAGCACTGTGACATGTTCGTGATGGCCATGATGCCCACGCTGGAAGGTTGTCGGTTTACTGGAATGAGGGCAAGCATCACCTGGCCCACCCAGGGTGGAAAACTGCTTAAGGTGTTCCTAAACCACAAACAATAGCATGAGCGATCTGTGCCATAAGGACATGTTCCTGCTGCAGGTAACTAGCCAAAGCCCATACCTTTGTTTCCCATAAAGGAATGCTTTTAGTTAATCTATAATCTATAGAAACAATACTTATCACTGGCTTGCTGTCAATAAATATGTGGGTAAAACTCTGTTCGTGGCTCTCAGCTCTGAAGGCTGTCAGACCCCTAATTTCCTACTCCACACTCTATACTTCGGTGTGTGTGCCTTTAATTTCTGTAGTGTCACTGGGTTAGGGTCTCCACAACTGAGCTGGTCTCGGCACAATATACTATAGAGACCATTATTTTGCTCATTTTTCTTTGATTAAAAAAAAAGTCTTAAAGCGTGTTAAAAAGAGAGTTTTAAAGCCCTTGTTTAAGGTCACTTGATAAGTAGATGGCTCAACTAGGATTCTAATCCAATTAAAAAAAACAGCTCTTAACCCTTTTCACAAATAAGATAAATGATATTTCTCATACATTTTTGTACTTTTGTTTTTAAAATGTGTGCATAGATACTATGATAAATTAAATAACAATTAATTTAAAGAGATTGAATGATTTCATAGTAACTTTACTTTGATTATACTTCCTTTTGTAAGAAAGCAGCTATTCTGATGTGTGGGATGGCACTCAAAATTATTTGATATTTAGGCCAGATGCAATAGCTTACACCTATAATCCCAGCACTTTGGGAGGCTGAATTGGGAGGATTGCTTGAGGCCAGAAGTTCAACACCAGCCTGGGTAATATAGTAAGAATCTGTCTCTACAAAAAATACAAAATAGCCAGGCATGATGTTGTGTGCCTATAGTCTTAACTACTTGAGAGCATTAGGTGGGAGGATCTCTTGAGTCCAGGAGGTTGAGGTTACAGTTACTCATGATTGTGCCACTGTATTCCAGCCTAGGTGACAGAGTGAGGCCCTGTCTCAAAAAAAAAAAAAAGTATTTAAAATTGGCCTTTATACTAAAAAATAGATATATGTTGTCAAATACTCTATTATACTCTAAGCTTCTTAAGGGCAAAGGGAATGACCTTGTTCAGCTTTGTGTTCCTAGTGCTTAGCTGTGTCTGTCACTTAGGAGGGCAAGAATTTTGTATTAAATGTAAGTGTATAGGTAAATAAATTCTATTGCTAATAAAGTAGGTGGTCCAAATATCTAACATAAAATAAGAGCTCCATAATAATTGTGTGGTATTTGTGGAATAATTTTGCATCAGAAAGACAGAGGTAGAGAGGTGACCATACAGTCATTGCTTCATGCAAAGGGAGAAACTTGGAGTCTACCGAGAGCATGATGCTGATGGCAGTAGGAGAGGAATTACTCACCATCTGAACTCACTTGCTGACTGTGGGACACTCAATCAGACTCTGCATCACTGAGTCCTTTTTTCTTTTGAAACTTCCACATTCATTTATGTCATGTAAATATATGAATACAGTCTAATGAGTATGTGTTTGGAAATGCAATGTGCAGAAAATATTGAGGTAGTAGACAAAAGAGAATGTGGGAGACAAATGTCAGAACCAAACAAAAAGGCTGGGAAAGTTAAAAAGGGCAAATGCTTTTTTGCATATTCTTCCTACTTTGTTGACTTAAAACTGATGTCCAAAAGACTTGTTTGGAAAGAATAAAATAATTTAATCCATCATTAAAATTTAACTGTTTGTTTGATGTTAGTGTGCATTTGTTTTCCTGAATCCTGTAGCTAGATGTAGTTAATTAAATTTCATACATGAAACTTGAAAAAACATATATATATATATTCTGTGCTATATCTAGAGAGAGCATATTGAGTATTGGGATCCCAAAAGAATTAATTACTTGTTTTTCTACCTTGTAATTACACCAATGAAGGATACCAATGAAGGATACTGAATATTTTCAAGATATGGAATTTTTATGTTTCTTTGTTTTTATTTTTCTCTTTATAGTTTTTCATTGATTTTAATTAGACAGCCTTCTGTTTATGAGAGAGTAGAGGAAATTTAATATCCCCAAATTAAAGAAAACAAAAGAGAGAAAAACATTTAGCAAAATTAGTTCCTTGAATTGTATTTTGCATTCTAGCTTGAAGTTTTCCTTTTTTTCCTTGAGACAGATTTGATATAGAAAAAGTGCACCCCAGGAGAGTGCTCTAAGCTTCCATAGCTCTTGTCTGAGGTGAATGGTGTTTCATTAATTTCACGTGCAATCTTCTTATGTGACAGTATAATTATAATATTATACAGCTTAGCTAGATGGCTTGAAATGATGTGCCAGCACAACCCCAGAAATGAAGGGTCATGCAGGGTACGAGGAGTCTTCAAGATTTCATTTTGAAAACTAAGTACTCGTGGCAAGGGACAAAATTGCTGTGTACTTCTGTATTTGAGGTGACTTCCATTGCTTACAAGGTACCTTCCAGTTTGGTGTAATGTCTCTAATTTTTTGAAATGCCAATCACTTCAATGTATGCCTCTTTTTGCTTAGGTAAGAACCTAGGAAAACTGTACTGATGACAGATAGGAAAGAAGAAACACTTCATGCTTTGCTATGAGATGAGAGTAATGTAGTTCTGGATGTTAGACATCCACTCAAAATAAATTGGAGACTCTTGGGGTGAGAGGTGGGCAAAACCTTTGTCTATTGAAAAGCATGAAAAGCATCTTTCTTTAGTTCATCATGGAGAGCACATTGATATACAAAACTCTCAAGAAGGCTTTATTTGTCTATTTCACTGTTATCCATTTGAATCTATCCACATCCATTAATTACCTAGCATATTAGACCTCCCATTGCTTTTAATGGAGATTACAGGTAAATGAGAACCATAGCATCATATGTACTCTCAGTGCAGTAGAAATCAAATTTCTTATTCCCTGGTATATGCTATATAGGTCTTATCTTCAGGCAGAGTTCATTCCCGCCCCCTCCCCTCCCCCCTCCCCCATCCCCCCTCCCCCCTCCCCCTCCCCCCTGCCAGCATAGTAGTAGGGAAAGGAGAATTGGAGAATTCAGTCAAGAAGCCCAGGAATGGGAAACCAGAGCTCAGCCTGTTGTTTACAGCTTGGTACTATGGATTGCTTGGTTTGTTTTTCTCCAGAATGCTGAAACAACCAGTAAGTTGAGGGAAAAAATTCAAATCAATAGTTCAACATTATTGAGATATAATATATTTGATGATTTATTTTATTTTTTCAGTTGGTTACATGAGGAAAATAGTCACAGGATCTGGATGGTACATTGTAGCGAAAATGAGTTGGACAAATAAGTCATTTGTTGCGTCACTATGAATAATTGCTTTGGAGTCTTTGGACATAAATTTATTCATTTATAATATAATGATGGACTATATAGTTATATAAAGTACCTCTAAGTCCTGGAATTTGTTGATTCCTGGGTTTCCATATCTCCCATATTAGAATTAGTGTGCTGTGCGAGGCTAAGAGATGGGTGAACATTTTTCTTCTTATTTAGTTTATAAATTCTCAGGATGAAAACTTTTAAAAATAATAAGTACTTCTTGCATAAACTTCCAAAGGAAGTGCAAAATTTATGAGCTTTCAAGAAGTTCATGTCTTAATCTTTTCCATCAACATATTCAAAAGTAATGACATACTTAACTGTCACATGTTACTCTGAAAGGGATGGGATTAAAGGCATGAGCCACGGTGCCTGGCCCAAAAGCAGAATTCTGCAGTCAACTTTCTTTCTTTTCTTTTCTTTTTTTTTGAGACAGAGTCTTGCTCTTTTGCCAGGCTGGAGTGCAATGGCACGATCTTGGCTCACTGCAACCTCCACCTCCTGGATTCAAGCAATTCTCCTGCCTCAGCCTCCTGAGTAGCTGGGACTACAGATGTGCACCACCACACCCAGCTAATTTTTTTACTTTTAGTAGAGACTGAGTTTCACCATATGGTCCAGGATTTTCTCGATCGCTTGACCTTGTGATCTGCCTGCCTCGGGCTCCCAAAGTGCTGGGATTACAGGCGTGAGCCACCGTGCCCGGCCAACTCTGCAGTCGACTTTCTTTGCTAGTATTTTTAAGTTCTTAATTCCACTGTAAAGGAAAATAATAAAGAATGCATCAATTATGTATATGTGGTCTATAAAAAGACAATTTTAATCTTCAATTATAAGTCACAGATATAAAGAATCCTTGCCTCATTATCAAAAGATTGGTGAATGAATATGCATTTACATGTTTTAGATGTAAACAAATTAATTTCTACATACATTCATTTCTATGATTTCCTGCTTTAATCAATTTTTTACTGACCATATACCTGCTTTAATAATGTCAGAAGTTTTTATTCTATTTTTTAAATATTCTATTTTTAAATATTCATGTGTTTTAAAAATATGGATAATTCAATCTTTGTGTTAAATTTTGCATTAAATTCTGATCAAACAACCTTGTATTCTAAGTATTTTTCTATATTATTACAAGCCTTAGGATGATATTCAAAATATTTAACAACCAGTTTGACAGGGGCCAAACCAGCTAAAATAGACTAATGCATCCTTAAGGATGCTTAGAAGGAAAAACACGCCCCACCCAACACACACACAGTTCATAATTCATGAGGATCTAAGTGTTTTAGGGATGCAGTTTTAAAATGTTACTTATGCATTGAACAGCAATCAAGAGCATTTTGGTGCATTCTGGAAGATTATCAATTTCAAAATACTAAGTTCTTTCAGAAGCAGAATTTTCAGATAATCCTCTGGGTTGGCATGAGGTACATTTTGGCATAATGCCAGCATTAGTGCTTTCAAAAGTGAATATATTTAGTTTCACAAAAAATTTAAGCACAGAAGCAGGAATATTAAGTCATATGAATAATGTTCCTTGGATTTTAGGGAAAAATAATATTGCTTTTACTTCATTTTTCTTATTCTTCAAAGTCAAATAAATGTGAGGTATGAAGAATTACTTGGAGAATTTTGGAAAGTGTAGCTGCTTAATGCATGAACCTAGATTTTAGAATATAATTAAATTGAAATAAAGTGAAGAGATTTATTTGTATCACTCACACTTGCTATGCTTTAAATAGTTTCTGAAGCAAATAATTCAGTAAATAAACAAGTGAGGAGGCAGGCAAGCAGGCAAGAAGGCTAGTCAATACTGGGTAATAAATATTATCTTCCTCTCTTCATCTCTTCCTTCTTTTGTCATGAGGAATAAATTTCCTATTCAGAAGCATAAAAGAAAGTGATTAGCATGCATGTTTGTTGCAAAATTATTAATATCAGAGAAAAATAAAACAATCTTCAAGTCTAAGAATAGTGCTGTGATGAAGTAAAATATAGCCTGTTTGAAAAGTGATTCAGTTATTAAAATAATGACTCTGTGTGTATTGATATGCACCTGTTCACTCAGGTTGTGTATAACTGACCTAAATTCTAATTGGCCATTAGTCTATTTTAGCTGGTTGGGCCCCTGTCAAACTGGTTGTTAAATATTTTGAATATCATCCTAAGGCTTGTAATAATATAGAAAAATACTTAGAATACAAGGTTGTTTGATCAGAATTTAATGCAATATTTAACATAAAGATTGAATTATCCATATTTTTAAAACACATGAATATTTAAAAACAGAATATTTAAAAATAGAATAAAAACTTCTGACATTATTAAAGCAGGTATATGGTCAGTAAAAAATTGATTAAAGCAGGAAATCATAGAAATGAATGTATGTAGGAATTAATTTGTTTACATCTAAAACATGTAAATGCATACTCATTCACCAATCTTTTGATAATGAGGCAAGGATTCTTTATATCTGTGACTTATAATTGAAGATTAAAATTGTCTTTTTATAGACCACATATACATAATTGATGCATTCTTTATTATTTTCCTTTACAGTGGAATTAAGAACTTAAAAATACTAGCAAAGAAAGTCGACTGCAGAGTTGGCCGGGCACGGTGGCTCACGCCTGTAATCCCAGCACTTTGGGAGGCTGAGGCAGGCGAATCACAAGGTCAAGTGATCGAGACCATCCTGGACAGTATGGTGAAACCCAGTCTCTACTAAAAATACAAAAATTAGCTGGGTGTGGTGGTGCACATCTGTAGTCCCAGCTACTCAGGAGGCTGAGGCAAGAGAATTGCTTGAACCCGGGAGGTGGAGGTTTCAGTGAGCCGAGATTGTGCCACTGCACTCCAGCCTGGCAAAAGAGCAAGACTCTCTGCCTCAAAAAAAAAAAAAAAAAAAGAAAAAGAAAAGAAAAGAAAGAAAGTTGACTGCAGAATTCTGCTTTTGGGCCAGGCACCGTGGCTCATGCCTTTAATCCCAGCCCTTTTGGAGGCCAAGGTGGGTGGATCACTTGAACTCAGGAGTTTGAGACCAGTCTGGGCAACATAGTGAGACTCTGCCTCTACAATAATACAAAAAGTAGCTGGGTGTGGTGGCATGCACCTATTGTCCCAGCTACTTGAGAGCCTGAGGTGGGAGGATCACTGGAGCCCAGACGGGTGAGGCTGCAGTGAGAGATCACGTCACTGCACTCCAGCCTGGGTAAGAGAGCAAGACCCTGCCTCAAAAAAAAAAAAAAAAAAAAAAAAAAAAAAGAAGAATGCAGTTTTTGTAATTTTTTTTTCCAAATCATTTGTTACCATACTTAATTTTACTGAATTTTTTTAGTGATTTATATTTATTGAGACTTTGCAAAGGATTCAGCTTAATTTTCATAGAAATAACAACTACCTTTTATGCCCATACTTCATAAATTTATATACTTATTACATTATATGATAAATTATTTATTTCATTTACATTACTATGTATATACAAACACAAGCACAACTACTATCATAAAATTTGAGAATGATGAAATAATTTTCGTGTTTACACTGAAATATCTGTAAGTAATAAAATGTGCTGTCAATTTATCTAAATTCTATTCATTGCTTCTATTAATAGTCTAAAATTCTGAAAACCAACAAATTGTGAGCTAGCTGGGCACCACTGAAAAATTACCTTAATCTTTTTTCTTCATTTATGAGTCCAGGGAATCCCACTGCAATTGCTGCAACATAGTTTGAATGACTTTTTTTTTTTTTTTTTTTTTAGCAAGCAACAGGGTCAGATTTGGCTATATCATGTCAGCACTTCCAAATCCTCAGGAATAGGAAGCCTCCTAAGATCTGATGACAAGGAGGCTGAGATTAAAGGGGCTATTATTGCTCCTAGCTGGAATAAGCATTTTCTCATCCTGAGGATTCTAAAACACTAACAAAAAGATTCTAGAAACATTGTTTAATCAATATAGATAACGAAGAGATATTCATGGTTTCTATGATACTTAAGACAGATCCCACTGCCAAATAAAATCTTAGAATATTTTACATCATAATGGCTTTCCCTTCACATGGGAATCAGGAAATGTTTTCAGCTAAGACCGAGTTGTGAAGAAATATTTTCATAAAGATTTTACTCGTGAAAAGCTTTTTGAATGCACTTGCATCAATTCAATTCCATCTTCCAACTCAACAATGTGTCCATGTCTACCCTCAGGGCATAGGGAAAGAAGGGGAAAGGGAAAGATTATTCTCTGTTTGAAAAACGAAACAAAATAAAAACACCACCCAAAACAACAACAACAAGAAACAAACATCACAACAGCAAAGCAAACAACAAATCCTTTTTTGACCTCACATTCTACTCGAGTCCTGATCTTAATTTTTAGCCTTCCTTTACAGCAAACTGCCTAGAGAGAGTTGTTAATGTTTGCTTTTTCTGATTCATTTTCTCCTATTTTCTTTTGAATCCTTCTTAAAACTAATTTCTCCTCAAATAGTTTGCTGAAACTGTTCCTGTTGTCAATAATTACCTCCACATTGCTAAATCCAGTGGTGAATTCAGTCCACATATCCCTTGACCTATTGGCAGCATTTGATTCAGTTATCATGCCTTCTCCTTGGATATACATGCTTTCACCTGGCTTCTGTGACACAGTGAAACCTTTAGTTTAATGTCTCTGTCATCAGCCACCTTATAAATTTACTTTCTTTGTTCTCCAACTCTTAAATGTTAGAGTATACCAGGGAACAATTCTCCTTGCACCTATAACTCCCGTATATCTTACAATTCTCAAGGTTTTACATATCATTGATATGCTGTTGATGCCTAAATTTGTATATCTAGCCTATACCTCTCCCCTAAAATCCAGAGTTGGATATCTAATTTCTTATTAAAAACTTGGATGTCTAATAGAAATCCCAAAATCAACATGTCCCAAATTGAACTCTTGATCTTTCCTCCAAACTTTTCATCAGCCTTCCCATCTAAGAAAATGATTATACTTTCTTCTTGTTGCTCAAATCAATAATTTTGGACCTAACCACAATTTAAGTATATCCTGTATCTTATCTGTTCACAAGCCTTGTCACCTCTGCCTTTAGAATATAACCAGAACTCAAACATGTTTCATCGCTTCCCCTGCTCACCAACCTGCCCTTTACCTGGGCTTTTGCCAATAATCTCTTAACCTCGTCTCCCTGCCTCCATTCTTCTATCCTAAAGTCCATCCACAGAGATGCTATAGTGGTTCCTTTAAATGACACATTAGATATTGATAGTCTTCTGCTTGAAATGTCTAGTGGCTCCCCAACTCCTGTAAAGTAAAAGCCATGGCTCTGAGAAGACCCTGCAAGAGCAAAAGAAAGGCTCTGCTCCCTCTCAGACTCAGCCTGACCACATGGCTCCAACCAAGCTATCCTTACTCATCTCTGACCAGAACAAACATAATGCCTTGGGTGTTTTGCACTGGCTGGTCCCTCAGCCTGGAATACTTTGCTTCATTTTATGCACGTGAATAACTTTTTCACATTTTCAGGTTTTGCTCAAATAGTATTTTAACACTGAGGCCTTCACTGTCTATCTTGTTTAAAATAGCAATCCCTCCCTCCCCAACGTAACATAACAGGACATAAAGGACAGCCTCCCTTTCACCATACCTATATTTAAGGGAAGCGTGGCCAGTAAATTTGAAGTGACTGGTTTAGGGAGAGTGCAGCAGAAAGAGGCTTCTTCCCCTCAGCAACTCTACAGTCATCTTGTTGCACTTGAATCATCACAAAATCCTCATCACTGAAATTTCACTTAGTCAACTTGTGGTGTATTTGACCAGTGGCCATTAGAATTCAGAAAATGTAGTTCCAGGCATCAATAATACATGTTGATCTTTCCAAAACTAAGTTTTAGATCGTTATTGACCATTTATATTTTTGAAAATAAATTTAGAGGCAATTAGGGATACTAATAACTACCATTATTGGGAACCGTTTATGAGCTGGAGGATATTTTGCATAAGTGCTTTAAATATATTATCTATTTAATCTTTTCACCAACACTTCAGTGTAGATATTATTATATCAGTTTCTAAGGTGAGAAAGCTGAAGCTTGGAGGGTTAAGAAACTTGCTCTATAGTACACTTGGTAAGTGGCAGGTCCTTTCAACAGCCAGCTATGTGTTCTTCCTGTTCATTGTATCTTTCATATAAAAGAACAATGAAGAGCAATGGATGTGGGGAACACAGTATTTCAAACTGAGTGAAGCAGTTCACGTTTCAAATCTCAAAGGAAATGTTCACATATTTTGGAAATAAAATATTTCCATTTGTATTTTTGCTGTTGGAAAGACATAAATGGTAATATCTAGTGAAATAAAACAAAATAAAGACATAAATAACACTTCCTACCCTACTCCTGCATGTTTTGCAAGCATGACAGACAGATTTATAAGACACATGTCTGAACCTTGAGAAATCACGTACTGGTAAACCCATGACAATAATCATGAGTCACTCTATTAGTCCATTCTTACACTGCTATGAAGAAATACTTGTGACTGGGTAATTTATAAAGGAAAGAGGTTCAATTAACTCACAGTTCCACATGGCTGGAGAGGCCTCAGAAAACTTGCAATCATGGTGGAAGGCAAAGGGGAAGCCAGGCACTTCTTCACAAGTCAGCAGGAAGGAGAAGTGCTGAGTGAAGGAAGAAGAGCTCCTTAAGAAACCATGAGATTTCATGAGAAGTCATGAACTATCACAAGAACAGTGTGGGGAAAACCACCCCCATGCTTCAATTATCTCCACTTGGTCCCTCCCTTGAAATATGGGGATTATGGAGATTACATTTCAAGATGAGATTTGGGTGAGAACACAAAGCCTACCCATATCATTCTGCCTCTGGCCCCTCCCAAATGTCATGCCCCTTTCACATTTCAAAACCAATTATGCCTTCCCAACACTCCCCCAAAGTAGTCGCATCTGAAACAAGGCAAGTTTCTTCTGCCTAAAAGCCTGTAAAATCAAAAGCAAATTAGTTGCTTCCTAGATACAATGGGGTTACAGGCACTGGGTTAATACGCCCATTCCACATGGGAGAAAATAAAGGGGCTACAGGACCCATGCAAGTGCGAAATCCAGCAGGGCAGTCAAATCTTAAAGTTCTGAAATGATCTCCTTTGACTCCATGTCACCAGGTCATGCTGATGAAAGAAGTGGGTCCCAGTGGTCTTGGGAAGCTCCACTCCTGTGTCTTTGCAGGGTACAGCCTGCCTCCTAGCCATTTTCATGGGCTGGCATTGTCTGTGGCTTTTCCAGCTGTGCAGTGCAAGCTGTTGGTGGATCTACCATTCTGGGGTCTGGAGGACAGTGGCCCTCTTCACACAACTCCACTAGGCAGTGCCCCAGTGGGGACTCTGTTTGGAGGCCCTGACCCCACATTTTCCTTCCTCACTGCCCTAGCAGTGGTTCTCCATGAGGGCTCCACCCCTGCAGCAAACTTCTGCCTGGGCATCCAAGCATTTAAATACATCCTCCGAAATCTAGGCAGAGGTTCCGAAACCTCATTTCTTAACTTCTGGGAACCTAAAGGCTCAACACTACATAGAAGCTGCCAAGACTTGGGGCTTGCACTCTCTGAAGCAATGGTCCAAGCTGTACCTTGCCCCCTTTTATCCATGGCTGGAGCTGAAGCAACTGGGGCAGGGCACCATGTCCTGAGGCTGCATAGAGCCAGCGGGCCCTGGGCCCATCTCATGAAGTCAGTTTTCCCGTCTAAGCCTCCAGACCTGTGATTGGAGGGGCTGCTGTGAAGGTCTCTGAGGTGCTCTGGAGACATTTTCCTAATTGTCTTGGTGATTAACATTCAGCTCCTGTTACTTATGCAAATTTCTGCAGCAGGCTTGAATTTCTCCTCAGAAAATGGGTTTTTCTTTTTTACTGTATTGTCAGGCTGCAAATTTTCCAAACTTTTATGCTCTGTTTCCTCTTGAATGCTTTGCTGCTTAGAAATTTCTTCCACCAGATACTCTAAACCATCTCTCTCATGTTTAAAGTTCCACATATCTCTAAGGCAGGGGAAAATTGCTGCCAGTCTCTTTGCTAAAGCAAAGTCACCTCTGCTCTAGTTCCCAAGAAGTACCTCATCTCCATTTGAGACCACCTCAGCCTGGACTTCATTGTCCATATAACTATCAGCATTTTTGTCAAAACCATTCAACAAGTGTCTAGGAAGTTCCACACTTTCCCACATCTTCCTGTCTTCTTCTGAGCCTTCCAAACTGTTTCACCCAGTTCCAAAGCCACTTCCACATTTTTGGGTATCTTTACAGCAGCACCCCACTGCTGATAACAATTTACTGTATTAGTTTATTCTCACACTGCTATGAAGAAATCCCCAAGACTGGGTAATTTATAAATGAAAGAGGCTTAATTGACTCACAGTTCCATATGGCTGGGGAGGTCTCAGGAAATTTACAGTCATGACAGAAGGTAAAGGGAAAGCAAGGCACCTTCTTCACAAAATGGCAGGAAGGAGAAGTGCTGAGTGAAGGGGGGAAAACCCCTTATAAAACCATCAGATCTCATGAGAACTCACCAACTATCATGAGAACATACGGGGGAAACTGACCCCATGATTCAATTATCTCCACCTGGTCTCTCCATGGACAGGAGGGGATTATGGGGATTTCAATTCAAGATGAGATTTGGGCATGGACACAAAGCCTAACCACATCAGTCACCTTCTATTTATCTCCAATTCCCTGTTTACATACGGATCTGATTCATTTACAGGCATATGACATATACATGAATATTTTTATCACCTTCTGCTATTTTTAGCTTTATGATCTACATGATGGAAAAGTACAAGAGATTTTTTCTTTTTTTAATCAAATTATTCAGGGATTTTGTCCAGGATGAGTGCTTCTCAATGTATGTTCATTGCTCTGAATATTTAGAGGCAAGAAGGTACTTCATTGGTTATTATATTAGATGAAAAAGATAATCACAAGGCAAGATTACAAGGTGATCTATCAAAATCACCAAAACTTGATAGAGCTTCTAGCAATGCAGGAGACAGAAGCACATTTTTTTTAACTGCTGTGTCCAAGAGCATAGTTTATGCATCCAAATACAATTTCACAAAATAGTCATATGCAGGAAATGAGAGGAGAAAAAAATCTGAATAAAAAGAATACTGGTTGCAAAAGAGATCTCTGGAATGCAGCATGCTCATAATGATGGCTATATGACAATTGCAGTCACTATAAAACGTTACAGCAGAAAACTGTTATTTTCAAAAAAAGCAAAATGCAGTGATTCAATATTGTGAAATATAGGAGTTGCTTTTAGCAGAGGGATAATTTTCTGCCTCTTCAGATCCTGGTGGTACAGTACAGGAAGAAAGCGTGTATGGATGCCATGCAACAGATGTCAGTGCAAACATACTGAGATGAGAGAGAGAGCCAGTTTAATTAATCCTAGAAAAATTCCCTGAACAGATACTTAATATAGTTTTGTTCTGTATATCTTTATCAATGTATGAAAAGGTATGATAATAATTTGGATAAAGTAGGCTTACCATCTTGAAAGTAGTGTGAAACTGCTATCATTTCATTCAGTTTAATTAACCCAATGCTATAACAGGGCAGTTGAGTTTGCTAGAACAGAAACAGTGGAGTCAGACAGGTCTAAGTTCTACTCTTGAATGGAGAACATTGTTCATTGCTTGATTCTTCAGTATTTCAATCAGTAGAGCACAATAGGGTTGTTGTGAGAATTAGAAGATAAAATATGTTTAAAAAATGGTTAATATATTGCCTCCCACATAACAGAACTCAAGGAAATTGAGAAATTATAATCAGTTGTATTTTTATTGGCTTCCCTATCATTTCCCTTTTTTTCTTTATTGCTTTCATTTTTTTTTTAAGTAAGAGGATATTTTGCTTACAAATTATCAGTTGCCTTTATTTATGGCAGGTAAAACATTAAATCTCCTTTGGAAGAATGCAAGTTGAGAAATATTTATTAGTTATGCCAATGCATTCTGCAGAAAGAATGCAACTGTGTATTTCTTTGGCCTAACAGAGATTGTTTCTCTCTCCCTGTGACCTTTGCAGGGTTCAGATCTGAAATCAGTGAGAAAAAAGTGAACAAATTTGTAGTAGAATTAGGGGACCCTCTGTGAAAAAAACACTCTTGACACTTTTATTTAGAAGAATAAGCTTCAACAAAAAAGCTGTAACTTTGCAAAATTCCTCTACGTAAATATAAGGAAAGAATGGTTGATTTGAATCACAAAAAGAGTGGTCTCCTTTTCTTTCCAGCAATGATAGCAGCAATTGCAATCGGGAACGGGAAAGTTTTTTGGTTCTTCCTTGATGAGGCCTTTGTGTCCATGACTTGCCTCTTGCACTGAGTTATTATGTGGGCATCCAGAACTACCCAGGTATGTAGAGGGAAAGGGGGAGAGAAATAAGAAGGAATTTTTAAATGGTGTATTGGAGGATTATATTTATACTGACAAATATTAAAAGAGATGTGATCTTATCTTGAATCCTCATAGTAAATCAGAATATATACAGACATATACAAACAAACACATACATATTTCATGCATATTCATATGTAAGTTATTACATCATGATTATTGTTACTACTATTATACCTGTAATTTTGGGGCACAAATCCAGATATTATGGAGTATGCCAAAATGAAATAGATGTATCCTAAACACAAGGAGTTTATGGTGAATTAGGTGAAATAGACATGTTTACAAATGACTTAGTATTTGTGTTGAAGCTATTGAGTGAGGCTGTGGAAAATACCAGTATTTCTACAAACGGAAATAGTTGAGAAGGCATTCTTAGTGGGCAGTATAGGATTATCTTAGGCAGAATGGGAAGTTCAAAAATCAGCTGGGATCATGGTGGACAGGAGGCAGGACTAGATTGCAGCTCTCACTTGGATGGACAGAGCAGTGTGTGGAGGCTTGCACTGTGAACTTTTTGCTCCAGAATGACTCAGGAATAAGTCAGGAAAGCTGAGAGGACCCAGAGACGCTCTGAAGGAAGCAGATTGCTCCTGCAGGACCTGGGAGACACCCCAAATACTGGGTCCTTGGGGAAGGCTGCCAGAGTCACTGGGAAAAGGCCACAGGGAGAAGGGACCTTTGTAACAATTTGAATTGATCAAGAAGTCTCCTGGTCAGAACTTGGGGGAGGGTGTGAATTGGGTGTGCAGACTCCACAGGCAGGGGAGGTACAAAAGCCCTATTGTTTTTGCAGCTGGGAGGCAGGTAGCCTGGGGCAAGTTTTCAGCCCTGCCTGCCTACTGCCTGGAAATAGACTCAATGCTGTTGATGGGGTGCACAGTGGGAGTGAGACTGGACTTTTGGATTGCATGTGAACCGGGTGAGGCCTGTGACTGCCGGCTTTCCCTCACTTCCCTGACAATCTGCATGACACAGTAAAGGCAGCCATAATCCTCCTAGGAACATAACTCTATTGACCCAGAAACCACACTCGTATCCCCCACAGCAGCCACAGCAAGACCTGCCCAAGGAGAGTCTGAGCTCAGACATGCCTAGCCCTACCCCCACCTAATGGTCCATTCCTACCCACCCTGGTAGCTGAAGGCAAAGGACATATACTGTTGGGAGTTTTAGGGCCCTGCCCACCACCTGATCCTCTCTGTACTTCCACAGCTGATATGCTCTTGAAAGTGCCACCTCCTAGAAGGAGGCTAACCAGTAAAAAAATAGTGCATTAAACAACAAAAGCTAAGAACCCTCATGGAGTCCATTTCACCCTCTTGCCAGTTCCACTGGAGCAGGTGCTGATATCCATGGCTGAGAGACCCACAGACAGTTTACATCACAGGACTCTGCAGACAACTCCCAGTACCAGCCTATAGCCTGATAGACTTGCTGGGTGGCTAGATCCAGGAAAGAGATAACAATCACCATAGCTTGGCTCTCAGGAAGCTACATCCCTAGGAAAAGGGAGAGAGTACTACATCAAGGGAACACCCTGCGGGACAAAAAAATCTGAACAACAGCCTTGAGCACTAGACCTTCCTTCTGACAGAGACTACCGCAATGGGAAGGAACCAGAAAACCAACTCTGTTAATATAACCGAACAAGGTTCTTTAATGCCCCCAGAAAATCACACCAACTCACCAGCAATGGATCCAAACCAAAAAGAAATCCCTGATTTACCTGAAAAAGAATTCAGAAGGTCAGTTATTAAGCTCATCAGGGAGGCATCAGAGAAAGGCAAGCCCAATTTAAGGAAGTCAAAAAAATGACCAAAGAAATGAGGGGAGAAATTTTCAATGAAATAAATAGCATAAATAAACAATTTAAAAACTTCAGGAAACAATGGACACACTTATAGAAATGCAAAACGTCTGGTAAGTCTCAGCAATAGAAAAAAATAAGCAGAAGAAAGAAATTCAGAGCTCGAAGACAAGGTTTTCAAATTAACCCAATTCAACAAAGACAAAGATAAGAGAACAAAAAAAATGAACAAAGCCTCCAAGAAGTCTGGGATTATGTTAAACGACCATACCTAAGAATAATTTGTGTTCCTGAGGAAGAAGAGAAATCTAAAAGTTTGGAAAACATATTTGGGGGAATAATCGAGAAAAACTTCCTCAGCCTTGCTAGAGACCTAGACAGAAGCTCAAAGAACCCCTGGGAAATTCATTGCAAAAAGAAAATCACCTAGGCACATAGTCTTCAGGTTATCTAAAGTTCAGACAAAGGGAAGACTCTTAAGAGCTGTGAGGCAAAAGCACCAGGTAACCTATAGAGGAAACCTATCAGATTAACAGCAGATTTCTCAGCAGAAACCCTGCAAGCTAGAAGGGATTGGAGCCCTATCTTCAGCCTCTTTAAACAAAAGAATTATTGCCAAGAATTTTGTATCCAGTGAAACTAAGCTGGATAAAGGAAGGAAAGATACAGTCTTTTTTAGACAAACAAATGCTGAGAGAATTCACCACTACCAAGCCAACACTACAAGCACTGCTAAAAGGAGCTCTAAATCTTGAAACAAATTCTGGAAACGTGTCAGAACAGAACCTCTTTAAAGAATAAATCTCACAGGACCTATAAAACAAAAATACAATTAAAAAAAAAGAAAGGTATACAGGCAACAAATAGCATGATGAATGGAATGATCTCAATACTAACATTGAATGTAAATGGCCTAAATGCTCCACTTAGAAGATACTGAATTGCAGAATGGATAAGAATTCACCAACCAACTATCTGCTGTCTTCAAGAGACTCACCTATCACATAAGGACTTACAGAAACTTAAGGTAATGGGGTGGAAAAAGACATTCAATGCAAATGAACACCAAAAGCAAACAGGAGTAGCTATTCTTATATCAGACAAAACTTTAAAGCAACAGCAGTTTTAAAAAAGAAAAACAGGGACATCATATAATGATAAAAGGACTTGTACAACAGGAAAATATCACAATCCTAAATATATATGCAACTAACACTGGAGCTACCAAATTTATAAAATAATTACTAATAGACCTAAGAATTGAGATAGACAGCAACATAATAATAGTGAGGGACTTCAATACTCTACTGACGGCACTAGACAGGTCACCAAGACAGCAAGTCAACAAAGAAACAATGGATTTAAACTATACCCTGGGCCAGCTGTGGTGGCTCATGCCTGTAATCCCAGCACTTTGGAAAGCAGAGGCAAGTGGATCACCTGAGGTCAGGAGTTCAAGACCAGCCTGGCTAACATGGTGAAACCCCATCACTACTAAAAATGCAAAAATTAGTGGGATGTGGTGGCAGGCACCTGTAATCCTGGCTACTCAGGAAGCTGAGGCAGGAGAATGGCTTGAACCTGGGAGGCAGAGATTGCAGTGAGCTGAGGTTGCACCACTGCACTCCAGCATGAGCAACAGAGTGAGACTCTATCTCGAAACAAACAGACAAACACCTATACCCTGGAACAAATGGATTTAACAGATATTGATATTTACAGAACATTCTACCTAACAACTGCAGAATATACATTTTATTTATCAGTGAAAGGAACTTTCTCCAAGATAGATAATATGATAGGCTACAAAACAAGCCTCAATAAATTTAAGAATATTGAAATTATATCAAGCATTGTCTCAGACCACAGTGGAATAAAATTGGAAATCAACTCCAAAAGGAACCTTCAATACCATGCAAATACATGGACATTAAATAAACTGCTCCTCAGTGATCATTGAGTCAAAAATGAAATCATGATGGACATTAAAAATTTTTTCAAACTGAAGGACAATAGTTACACAACCTATCAAAACCTCTGGGATACAGTAAAGATGATGCAAAAAGGAAAGTTCATAGCCCTAAAGTCCTATGTCAAAAAGTCTGGAAGAGCACAAACAAACAATCTAAGGTCACATCTCAAGGAACTAGAGGAACAAGAAGAAATGAGACCCAAATCCAGCAGAAGAAAAGAAATAACTAACACCACAGCAGAACTAAATGAAATTGAAACAAACAAAAAAAGATAAATGAAACAAAAAGCTGATTTTTTGAGAGGATAAATAAAATTGATAGACCATTAGCAAGATTAACCAAGAGGAGAGAAAATCCAAATAAGCTCAATTAGAAACAAAATAGGAGATATTACATCTGACACCACAGAAATACAAAGGATCATTGAAGGTTACTATGAACACATTTACACACATAAACTAGAAAGCTTAGAGGAGATGGATAAATTCCTGGAAAGATACAACCCTCCTAGCTTAAATCAGGAAGAATTAGATACCCTGAACAGACCAATAACAAGCAGCGAGATTGAAATGGTAATAAAATATTACCAACAACAAAAAAGTCCAGGACCAGAAGAATTCACAGCAGAATTCTACCAGACATTCAAAGAATTGCTACCATTCCTATTGACACTATTCCACAAGATAGAGAAAGAGGCAATCCTCCCTAAATCATTCTGTGAAGCCAGTATCACCCTAATACCAAAACCAGGAAGAACATAAACAAAAAAGAAAACTACAGACCAATATCCCTGATGAACCTAGATGCAAAAATTCTTAATACCAGCTAACCAAATCTAACAACATATCAAAAAGATAATCCACTATGATCAAGTGGGTTTCATACCAGGGATGCAGGGATGGTATAACATACACAAGTCAATAAATGTAATAAACCACATAAATAGAATTAAAAACAAAAATTACATGATAATCTCAATAGATGCAGAAAAAGCATTCAACAAAATCCAGCATTCCTTTAAAACTCTCAGCAAAATTGGCATACAAGGGACATACCTCAATGTAATAAAAGTCATCTATGACAGACCCACAGCCAACATTATACTGAATGGGGAAAAGGTGAAAGCATTCCCTCTGAGAACTGGAACAAGACAAAGATGCCCACTCTGACCAGTTCTCTTCAACATAGTACTGGAAGTTCTAGCCAGAGGAATCAGACAAGAGAAAGAAAGAAAGGGCATCCAAATTGGTAAAGAGGAAGTCAAATTATTGCTGTTTGCTGATGGTATGATTGTTTACCTAGAAAGGTCTAAAGACTCCTCCAGAAAGCTCCTAGAACTGATAAAATAATTCAGCAAAGTTACCTGATACAAAATTAATGTACACAGATCAGTAGCTCTTCTATACACCAACAGCGACCAAACTGAGAATCAAATCAAGAACTCAACCCTGTTTACAATAGCTGCAAAAAATACAAAATAAAATAAAATATTTAGGAATATATCTAACCAAGGAAGTAAAAGACCTCTACAAGGAAAACTACAAAACACTGCTGAAGGAAATCATAGACAACACAAATGGAAACACATTCCATGCACATAGATGGGCAAAATCAATATTGTGAAAATGACAATAGTGCCAAAAATAATCTACAAATTCAGTGCAATTCCCATCAAAATACCACCATAATTCTTCACGGAACTAGAAAAAAAATCCTAAAATTCATATGGAACAAAAAAGGAGCTCGCATTGCCAAAGCAAGACTAAGCAAAAAGAACAAATCTGGAGGCATCACATTATCTGGTTTCAAACTATACTATAAGGCCATAGTCATCAAAACAGCATGGTTCTGGTATAAAAATAGGCACATAGACTAATGGAACAGAATGGAGAACCCAGAAATAAAGCCAAATACTTATAGCCAACTGACCTTCAACAAAGCAAACAAAAACGTAAAGTGGGGAAAGGACGCCCTATTCAACAAATGGTGCTGTGATAATTAGCTAGCCACATGTAGAAGAATGAAACTGGATCCTACTCTCTCTCCATATGCAAAAATTAACTCAAGATGGATGAAGGACTGAAACTACAAAAATTCTAGAAGATAACATTGGAAAAACCCTTTTGCACATTGGCTTGGGCAAGAATTTCATGACCAAGAACTCAAAACCAAATGCAATGGAAACAAAGATAAATATCTATCACTTATTTAAAGAGCTCTTGCACGACAAAAGGAACAGTCAGCAGAGTAAACAGACAATCCACAGAGTGGGAGAAAATCTTCACATTCTATATATCTGACATTCTATATATCCAGAATCTACAATGAACTCAAACAAATTGGCAAGAAAAAAACAGTCTCATCAAAAGTGGGCTAAGGACATGAATAGACAATTCTCAAAAGAGGATATACAAAGGCCAATAAACATATGAAAAAATGCTTAACATCACTAGTGATCAGGGAAATGCAAATCAAAACCACAATGCGCTGCAAGAATGGCCATAATAAAAAGATAATAAAATAATAGATGTTGGCGTGGATGCAGTGAACAGGGAACACTTCTGTACTGCTGGTGGGAATGTAAACTAGTACAACCACTATGGAAAACAGTGTGGAGATTTTTTTTTAAAGAACTGAAAGTAAAACTACCATTTGATCCAGCCATTCCACTATTGGGTATCTATCCAGAGGAAAAGAAATCATTATATGAAAAAGATACTTGTGCATGCATGTTTATAGCAGCACAATTCGTAATTTTAAAAACGTGGAACCAACCCAAATGCTCATCAATGAATGAGTGGATAAATAAATTGTGGTATATATATACAATGAAATACTACTCAGCCATAAAAGGGAATTAATTAATGGCATTCACGGCGACCTGGATAAGATTGGACACTATTATTCTAAGTGAAGTTTCAGGAATGGAAAACCAAACATTGTATGTTCTCACTCATAAGTGGTAGCTAAGCTATGAAAATGCAAAGGCATAAGAATAACACAATGGACTTTGGGGACTCAGGGGGAAAGGGTGGGAGAGGGGTGAAGGCTAAAAGACTACAAATTGTGTGCAGTGTATACTGCTTAGGTGATGGGTGCACCAAAATCTCATAATCAGCACTAAGGAACTTACTCATGTAACCAAACACCACCTTTTCCCCAATAACCTATGGGAAAAAAATTTTTAAATCAATTGGGAGAACAGTGAAGAGTTGGATGTGGCTGGTGCATGGGTGAATTCATCAGGGGTTAAGGCTGGCGAGATAATCTGTAGCCAGATCTTAGAGGGCTTTGGGCACTTGGGATTTTACTGTTGATGATAGTGTGTGAGCTGGGAGTGCCATGATCTGAACTGTGCCTTAGGACAGTTATTCTGTCAGTCAATGTGCAAGGACTGAAGAATAAGGGCAGGGGAGTGATTGACAGGAGTTTTAGCAGCCTTCAGTCTATGATTTGCCCAGTTCACATGTCTCCATAGTGCTTTAAAAAACTAGAACTCAAAATGTGTCTCTTTAGTATATAAAAGTATCATTATGTCCTGGGCTGTGCTAGAGTTTTAGGGCCTAGAATTCGATGACCTTGTTTAAACGTCAATGGGTATAGGGGAGGATACTGCTGGAGGGGAGTGTATAACTTCCTATTTCCCAGACATCATTTCAAGCTTATGGGTAAGGACTATGGATCATTTAGTTTGCAGGTCTCCTAACAAAGGAAACTGCTATCCAGAAATTAAATGAAGATATAAAAGCAGCTTTCTAATTTTCACACTTGGCAGCCTAGCTATAGAATATGACTGATTTGATTTAAAATATTTAATTCATTTAATATAAAATCCATTGTGGTTAGAAATACAAAAAGAGGGGTTCTAGTGGAAGATTGAGATTTTAAGTACTACACTAAGAGCAGAAATTTAACTACCTTTCTGTTTTCCAATAAAATGAAACTTTTAATCCCATAATAATGGTTTTTCTGTTCATTTAACTTTAAATATTTTCCATGCCATGGATATGGATCACTTTTATATCCCTTTGGGTTCCCAGACCTCTTACAGAGGCCAGAAATAAGCAGATGATAAAGGTTAGTTTTCAATGCCTTTTGAGTGGAATCTAAAGCGTCTCCTCCCAATATTATGGAGAGATTTGAGGGAATACTTTTCCTGTATCATCCACCAATGGTCATGATCACTCAGGGCCTCTAGGCCTTATCCCAGTCACTACATCATATAGTATGATAAAAACAACAGCTATACAGAAAAACTGCTCTTGATGACTGAAGTCATGGCCACCAACGACACTGAATTTCCTTCAAGGTATAGGATGCAGTTAAAAGCCCCATTCACTGGTCATTACATCCTTATGACATGTTTTGTGTGTGTGTGTGTGTGTGTGTGTGTGTGTGTGTGTGTGTGTGGTGTGTGTAATCATATAGTATTAAATCCATTAAGTACTGTCAAAAGCTTAGACATATAAGCTTTCAAATGTTCATTACTAATGTATTAGTTAGCTACTGCTAAGTAATGAATTACCCTACCACTTAGAAGTTTCTAACAGCAGTAATTTATTATTGATCACAAGTCATATGGTCAGCTCGGTGGTTTTACAGATTTGAGCTGGGCATGGCAGGGCTCTCTTATGGGTCTGTAGTAAACTGTGAGTTTGCTAGTTGGCTTTAGTGATCTTACTTAGCTGGGTTCTCTCACATGTATGGGGCCTCAGCCTGAGACATCTGTGCCAACTTGACCCTCCCACACAATGTCATATTCTAAGAAGCTAGGTCAAGAAAATTCTAATGGCAAAGGTAGAGGAGGAAAAGAGCATAGAAGCCCACAAGATCTCTTTAGGCTTAGCTTTGGAAAAGATACATTATTCTTTCTGCACATTCTACTAGGCAAAGCAATTTAAAGGATAATCCACACTCAAGGAGAAAATAGACCACCCTTCAGGATGGGAGGAGTTGCAAAAGCACATTGCAAAGGATGTGCATACAGGACAGGCGGAAGGAATTGGTGTCATTCCTGCAATTAATCTACCACATCTAATCAAGAAAATTATGAAATCAAAGATAACAAATGTTTATAAATGTCTACCAATCAAGTATCCTGTCCACTGTAGTACTACTACATTAAATATTAATAAAGCTCTCTTTGCATTTGAAACTATCTCATGAGTTAGATATTTTCACAGTACAAAAATTTCTGGAAATAGATGATGCTTGTGAATTATAGTGTGGTTGCCATGAGAATATATCTTGTAAACTCTCATCTACAGTCAGTGTAGTTAACCAAAGCCTTCAGCTGCTGTGATTTGAAAGCATTTGCATTGAAGCCATGGATTGCTCCAAATCAATGACTGAGCAAGACAGACAGAGAAAAGCAAACCTGTTTCTGGGAGATATGGCTGACTTTGTCTCAGGAACTCCCTAATAGCTTTGCCAAAATTTCCTTCCTCCATATCATAGTCTAGGAGGTTTCCACCCCCTTTCTCTCCCTCTCTTTTTCAGAGTCAGCCTTGCATCATGACCTGATGCCTCTCACCCTCTCCAGGTGACTGCTGCCTACCTCCCTTTTTCAGAGTCAGCCTTGCATCATGACCTGATGCCTCTCACCCTCTCCAGGTGACTGCTGCCTCCCTCCCTTTTTCATTTTTCTTCACACAGGTGTTTTCCCTAATAAATTCCTTGCCCACTTAATCCTGTCTTGACATCCACAATGGACTTCTCAGAGAACTTTCACTAAGGCACACCATAAATTCAGAAAATTGTAGTAAAGACTCGCAAGTTTTCTTCACAGGTCTGTGGAGAGATAGACATAGACATACCCATCTCTGTATGTGTCTCTGTCATTATATCTATCTCCTTATATCTATCTGTATCTGGAATGGTAGGGTGTGTGAAATATACGTATGTTTCTTGTTCTGTTGGGTGTAATTTCTAAAAAAGAGTTATTAACACCTGTAAAGTCTGTATTATTCAGTTTTCACACTGCTATAAAAAACTACCTGAAACTAGGTAATTTATAAAGAAAACAGGTTTAATTGACTCACAGTTCCACATGGCTGGCTGGGGAGGCCTCAGGAAACTTACAGTCATGGAGGAAAGTGAGAGAGAAGGAAGGCACGTCTTACATGACAGCAGGAGGAGAGAGAGAGGTGTAGGGGGAAACGCCAAACACTTTTAAAGCATCAGATCCCATGAGAACTCACTATCAGGAGAAGGGCATGGGGGAAACTAGCCCCATGATCCAATCATCTCCCAGCAGATCCCTCCCTTGACATGTGGGGATTACAATTTGAGATGAGATTAGGGTGGGGACACAGAGCCAAACCATATCAAGATCTTAAAATGATCTGACTGTGCACAATGGGAAGAATGAAGTAATGTCATTTACTAAATTCCTACTGTTTTCTTGACTCACTTCTATATGTAAAATATCCAGAAACTAGTATATGCCTATTTTTCTTTGTTATAATGATTTTCCAACATTTTAGAACAGTTAGGCTTTTCTTTTTCCTGTGATTTGTACACTGGTGCTTCTGTTATTGTTATTGTCTTTCTGCTGACTATCACTCATGTACTGATGTGACAGCTGTGTAATTCACCAAACTGTTGGCAGGCCTTAACAATCCAATAAAGCAATACTGCCTAATTGGTCCTGGTCATAAAACCTTTAGGGAGACTGTTGGAAAACTAGCTGTGATTGACTGGAATGAGAGAAAATGTTCAACCTGTTGAACATTGGCTAAGGCTATTTGTAATAATAAATGCATGTGTGTGTATAAATTTGAATGTATAAATGTGTGTATATCCAGACACATATTTATATTATGTACACATGCCTCTGTTAAATTCTGAATATTTCAACAACTTTTTGTTAACACAGGGTCCTTGACTGGGTAATAGTGGTCCTCTTTAGACATTGCTAATTTCATTGCACAAAGAGAATGAAAGTTGTCTCTATGTGAAAAGTGGAAAAAAAAGATCCTGAGAGTTCTTTAAATTGGAATGTTTTGGTAAAAGTTTTATTGAGATATAATTTATATACCAGGCAATTCACTCATTTAAAGTGTTCAGTTTTATGGCTCTTAATACATTTATAGAGTTGTGCATCCATTACAATTAATTTTAGAACATTTTTATCAGCTCAAAGAGAAACACCAAATCCATTAGCTGTCACCCCTTTTCCCTATACATCCATCCCCATAGCATTAAGTGACCACTAATCTACTATGGATCTACTTATTCTGAACGTTTCATACAAGTGAAATCATTACAGTATTTACAATATTTATTCCATTGCAATTGGCTTCTTCACTTAACATAATGTTTTCAAGATTCATCCTGTTGTAGCATGTATCAATACTTTCTTATTATCGCTGAATGATATTTCATTGTATGGATATACCACATTTCATTTATCCTTTCATTGACTGATGAACATTTGTGTTATTTCTACTTTTTGTCTATTATGAATAATGCTGCCCTGAATATTCATGTATAATTTTTTGTGTGCAGACAGAGCTTTTCATTTTCTTAGGTATATACTCAGAGTGGAATTCCTGAATCAGGTTGTAACTCTATGTTTAACTCTTACAGAAAATGCTGGACTATTTTGTAAAGTGGCTGCACTGTTTTACATTCCTACTATCAGTGTGTGAGGTTCCAGTTTCTCCACATTCATATTAACACTTTTATTATCTTTTTCATTCTATTAATCTTAGTGAGTGTAAAGTGGTATCTTATGGTGCTTTTGATTTGCATTTCCCCGATGAAAAATACCTTACTCTGTTTAGGCTACTGTAACAAAATGCTACAGGATGGGTAATTTATAATCAACAGAAACTTATTTCTCATAGTTCTGGAGTCTGGGAATTCCAATATCAAGGTTCTGGCAGATTTGATGTGTGGTAAGAGCTTGCTGTCTGCTTCCAAGATGCATCCTCACCTGGTAGAAGGAGGAAAAGGGCCAAAAAGGCTTCCTCACGTCCTTTTATAAGGCCACTTACCTCATTCATGAAGACAGTGTCCTCATGATCTAACCACCTTCTAAAGGCCTCGTTTTCTGATATGGTTTGGCTGTGTCCCCATCCAAATCTCATCTTGAATTTATTTCCCATAATTCCCATGTGTTGTGGGAGGGGCCCGGTAGGAGATAACCGAATCATGGGGGCAGCTTCCTCCATATTGTTCTCATGGTAGTGAATAAGTCTCACAAGATCTGATGGTTTTATAAGGGGCTTCCCCTTTCTCTTGGCTCTCATTCTCTCTTGCCTGACACCATATAAGACATGTCTTTCACTTTCTGCCATAATTGTGAGGCCTCCCCAGTATGTGGAACCGTAAGTTCATTAAACATCTTTTTCTTTATAAATTACCCAGTCTCGGATATGTCTTTATTAGCAGTGTGAGGACAGACTAATACACGTCCTAATATGATTGCATTGGAGATTAAGTTTCAACATGAAATTTGGAGAGACACTGCATTCAAACCAAAGCAGATAACAATGTTGAAGATTTTTTCATGTACTTATTAGCCATTTGCATATATTCTTTGGAGAAATATATTCAGATCCTTTGCCAATTTTAAAAATTGTATTATTTGACATTTTATCATTGAGTTTTAATTGTTCTTTTTATAGTGTAAACACATCACTTTCTTGATGATACTCTTTGAAGCACAAAGATTTTTAATATTGATGAGAATGAATTCATCTATTTTATGCTTATATTTTTGTTATGAGACTGCAGCTTTTCAGAGGACCAATCCACATATTTCATCCACATTGGAAATGGGTAGGTTTTCTCACACTTAGCAGTGCCATTATACATAGTAGCTCCCTGGCATGGTGTGTTAAGAACTCTGGAGACTATTCCAGACTTACTGGGAAGCAGAGTAATGTTTTTTCAAGGAAGAGGAACTGATTGTGTTATGTACCCTTTAGCTTATGTTCACATGAGTGTTGATTTGTAAATAATAATAATAATAAACTGGGTGTGGCGGCTAATATCTATAATTCTAGCACTTTGGGAGGCTATGGAGGGAGGATTGCTTGGGCCCAAAAGTTTGAGACCAGTCTAAGCAACATAGCAAGACCTCAATCGCTACAAAAAATGTTTTTAAAAAATCTGGGCATGGTGACACATGCCTGTGGTCCTAACTACTCAGGAGACTGAAGTGGAAGGATTGTTTGAGCCTGGAATTTCAAGGCTGCAATGAGCCATGATCATACCACTGCACTCCAGCCTGGGTCACAGACATTGTCTTAAAAATAAATAAATAAAAATAATTGTAAAATTAATAATTCTAAGTATAAATAATTAATAATATTTTCCCTGAATTGCCAAGAAGAAAAGTAATGGCATGTAGTTTGAACAGTTTTGATGAGGAGAAAAATGAATCTGGTGGACTTTCTTCCTTTATTTTTTCTTTTCAGTCCTGCCTTCTGCTTAATTGTATTTATTCATTTACTCAGAAAATATTTATAAGGATGTTCCAGACACCTATGATGTATTAAACAAGAAAAACTTGAGCCCACATGTAGCATACATTAATCAATGATTAATTTTTTTTTAATCTCCACCTCTCTTGCACTTTTGGCCTTCTGCCTTTCATTGTCCTTGACCCCTGGATGCTGAACAGTGCTTCTAGAATGAAGATCTTAAAGCTGCGTGGTCATACTCCCATGCATTGACCCAAACTTATTACTAGGCAAGAAGGCAAAACCTACCACTCCTGACCAGCATCTGATAAAGATAAAACAGAAGTTGAGTATGGTGAACAACAATGCCCCAAGGTATTTTCTCAGACTAAATGGAGTACAAGTAGAGAATCCAAATGCTAAGAGTTAGTTATCAGACAATATTTTCAACCCACCACAGACTCTGGTTTGTCGAAACCATGATTGCAGCTATTCTCAAACTCATTCTAACCTTGAAACAGAGCAAAAGAGACTAAGTATGGGCAAAAGATGAATGAGTGCTTTCTGAAGCTCTTTCCAGATTTATACAAGTTAATATCTGATAATTTTTTAAATGGAATTTTAAAATGACCAAATAAAAGTAAAATTGCCTCATGACAAATCTTATTTTTCAAAATCCTTTTTATAAACTTACAATCAATAAATACTAGTGTTTTCAAGAACTAAGATAACCTGTTTACGTTATGGGTTAAAACCATTTGTATTCAAATCAGAACATACATCTTGACTAGATCTATTTCTAAAAATATCTGATCTCATAAGACTGTGAGACATGACCTTATACAAGTAACCAAATCAAGTAATTTTAGAAATTTCTAACTCAGTCTGAAGTTTGACAATGAATATTGCATTTAAAGTTTTTCTATACTTAAAATATTCCAGACTTTAATTCATTACTCATTAATAAACCATTTCTTTTTAGCAATGGATTTCAGCACTATCTACATTTTACTAAATCATCAGATAGAAAGTAAAAATTCACCCAATTACCTGGAAACTTTCCTTCTTTCTTTTTTGAAACAGTCATTTTGATATATCACACACAGAGATTAACCATAGATTTTCCTTGGAATGAAAACATTTAGATTGTGATGATACTACCTTAGTAGCTCTTATAAAACTACACCAATTTTTTTATTTTTATTTTTTTCTTTCCACTGGAGATAATAAGATGAGACATAGCTGAACGTTTCATTTTAAATTGTCTGGGTAGCCACAAACTAATAGGCAGATACATGGATACTTGATAGCTTCTATTTGTAATTTACACTTTTACCTACAGGCAGAAGGCTGTACTAGAAAATTGGAGAAGGAAAAGAAGCATTTTTTTTTTCAGCTACTTTTATCATCAGACTAATAGAGAGCTTTTCCCCCTTGTAATGTACTTTCCAGTATTATATCTGATCCCTCCAGGATTCTGTTTGACATATGGAATTAAAAATAAGGTAATAACAAGCCAAGTGCTTGGGAAGATTATTTCTTTTCATTTCTTGCTATTTCATGAGAACATTGAGAATATGTTTTTGATCAAGAGCCAGAGTTATATTTCCTATATTTGTATATGTATCTGAGCCTAATAGCCCCTGAGTAGCTCCTTTGGCAAATTCATATGCATGCAGAAGTGCATGAGGCTTCAGAGGAAATGAACTCACTGTATCTATTTTTTAGAAAAGATGATAAAACACTATTAGAATTTGTCATCCTGGCTTGGATTTTCTTAGTTATTGTTGCAAGTAAAACTCAGCCTTCATCACAATTAAGCATACAATGTGAAGTACTTTTCTAACCTTTAATTGACCTAAACACAATTTTGTTGTTAGTGGTGATGGGCAAAAAAATGGGGAGGGCAATAGCCTAGGTTTTCAATGTCAAAAGGAATTTTCAGGAGTTTAAATTGGTGCCAGGTAAACCACAGAAAAATATTTCTAGTTCATTGAAAATTTTGGATTGATTTTTTTTTTTGGTTTGATGACTAGTTTATAAATTCCCGATAAACCTTTGTTTAATAAATGCTACTTGGTATCAAGTAAAAAACCAAAAAAGCTGTCGTTAGGATTCCAACACCTGGGTTCTAGATCTAGTTCAACCATGAATTAGCAAGTCAGGAATGTTTTCTGGGCCTGAGACTTCAAATCTATAAATTGAAGAGTGAGAAATAAAAGAAGTAAGATTAAGGGATCTGTCAAATTCCTCTAGCTGGAAATTTCTACATTAGCATACTTTTTTTTTTCTAAAATTGCCTTTATCATATTATTTCTTTCTTCTAGCTTCCTATATTTATTAGGATATTTCTGAGTTATGCTGAGATTGTTTTAAATTTTCATTCCAATGTATTAAATTTTACAAGAAAATTAATATAACAAATATAATTTTATTGTAAAGTATTATAACTCTAAATCACAACTATACTTCTCTTTTAAATTCTCTACCCTTAACGTGTCTTGGGGGTTCCTCTTTCTGCCAAGGACATTTGACTACGGATAAAACATTTTAAATTGATAAACCCTGACTAGAAAATGGAGAAGTGACCAGAGACATTCAGGTGGGTCACATTGTCAAAAAAAAGGAATCCATTTGTCCTGTCAATTGATGCCCCTTGGGCTTTTGCAAGACTGGGTTCAGAGTCAGGTGTGATACTATTGATATACTATCAGTTCCCCTCCTCTGTACCTCCACCCCCCCGCCGCCCCCCAGCAGAGCGGTGAGAGCAAGGCCATTGTGCAAAGGCAGATCTTTGGAAACGAAGAGAGAGGCTTGGATTATTTACCAAAATGACATTCTCAGCTTCTAAAACACTGACAGCTGGGTGATTTAGTTTCCCCTTTGGAATTGTTGCCTTCCCTCTCAATAGTCTCTCATCATTCTCCCCCAGCTTTCTCTCCCTAGCACAGATGGTAGTTCCAAAGATGTTCACCTAAGGAAAGAACCCTGGTGCTGTAAAAATAAACAAGACTGTTTCCCCTCTGGGTTTCTATCACTAATACAACCGTTCCCACTGTCTTGTCCTGTTTTTAAAAGGTGAAGAACAGTCAAGGGAATAGTGATGATAGAAAAAGTCAATGAATAAGGGATATTGTGAATATAGAAGTTTTTATGTGCCAGAGATGAGAACTTTTCTTCTTGCTTTTAAATACAAGTTTAACTTTTCAATTTTAAGATTTTCTTCTTTGAAACATACCAACACACCCACACACCCTCCCACATACTCACACATTATTTAAAAGGCATCTTTAGGACTGAAAGCACTTTATTTTAAATCTATTGACATTATTTTTCTCAAAGAAAGTTAATAGTACTCAATACATTTTTTTCTTTTGTGCTTGTTTTTAACTTTACTTATTTATCATGATTGTCAGTGAATCATAGAGAATATGAAGCAGTCCCCTAAATGTCCGATAAAGAGTAAACATTATTGGTAGGTTTTTATATCCCTTCATAAAGATTACAGATTTCAAAGGTATTTTGTAGTGTACTTTAAAATAATGAAGGGACAATTAAAAACAAACACACAAATAAAATTATTGCAGGATTGATAGGGCCTAATTCTGTTTCTTCCACACATTTATTTTAGAGAGAATGGGAGAAGAAATGGGCACATTTGTGTTATCACAACACATGGAGGAGGTTCCAACAGGGAGGTTAGGATCAAGGGACCATCGTCATGTTCAGAGTTTCAGGGTGCATGAATAGTAGGGAGAATTCAACAGTAAGGATAGAACAAAGGACCCCCTCTTGGCTAAAGGTAGTTAATTTGACTAATATGCCTAATCCAAAAACCATTACTAATAATGAAAAAATCTTTTTTTTAAAAAAATCACGTCTATTCTTTTATATTTGAAGAAGTTTTAAATTTTTATTTATTTTCCTCATGGTTGCTGGGAAATAGAGTGTATGGTAGAAATAAGATCTTTTAGACTGAGATGAAAGCTGTACTCTAGTTGTGTAAGGAATTTTGGGCATGTCATTTTTTACTTCTCTGTGTCTTATTTTCTGGACTAATAAAACTAGATGAAAATACTTGTGTTGCTTACTTCACAGAGATGATGTGCAATAATGGATGTCAAATTCCTTTGTGAGTTATAAAATTCAATATACATGTGTGGTGTTATTAGTGCTGATTGGTTAGAACATCTTTATCTGTCTCCAGGTTGTAATATTTTAAGTCTCTTGAAGGCCATAAAGCAAGATTGCTTTTAATCACAGCATCAATACAATTCATAATGACAATTTTCCCATAATGCTGTGGTGAGAATTGTACATAAAGCTATTGGAAACCTCACAGGGCCCTAGAGGTTTAGCATTAGTAAGAGATCATTTGACTCAAGATTCTCTGACTCATTAGATTTACTTTAAACTAGAAAATTGTAAGAAAACTAGATTTGGTCAAGAAAACTAGATTTCAGCCACTTTTCACTTCTAACATATTCCTATGATAATGGGAATGTTTACTTAGTTCTCTCCAGTCTTTATTTACCACTTGCAAGCATCCTGCTAATGTAGATAGCAAAATTAATTGGTGAATATGCCAGTTGAAAAAAAATTGTGTATATGTATAGTCATTTCTTGATATCTGCATGGGGTGAGGCATGGTGGAAAGGATTAGTTCCAGGATGTGTGCAAATACCAATAAGCAAGCCCTTGATATAAAACAGTGTAGTATTTGTATACAACCTATACATGTCCTCCCAAATACTTTGTCATCTCTAGATTACTTATAATACCTAATACAATGTAAATGCCTGTAAATGCTACAGAAATTATTATACTGCATTGGTTTTTATTTGTATTATTATTCTTTCTTTATATTTTTGATCCTTTGTTGTTTGAATTCATGAATGTGGAATCTGTGAAAATGGAGGGCTGACTATATGCCTTCAAGAAAGGAAGAAGTAGTTTGATATGTTATATGTCATATTATAATATCTGAGTTAAATTTCCATCCGAAGCCCTTTTGAAAGCATTGTCGTACTTGGTGATTGTATCTTTGAAAGACTTACCATATATTTTTTAAGGTATAGCCTTACTTGTTACTTAAGACTTTCAGAGAGCAAACCCACTGTGGAAGGAAGGGAGGAAGGAAGAAAGCAAACTACTAATTTTTACTGAAACACTTCTATGCTCCAGGATGTTGCATATGATGGGGAATTTAGTCTTAATGCTGTGAGATAAAGTTTTCTTGTTTACATTTTACAGATGAGAAAACTAATGTATAGAAAAATTAAATTAGTTGACAGGGCCATATCACTAACAGTGGCAGAGACAGTATTACAATGAAAGTTTATTAAAGCAGTATGCTTTTTATACATGCTGATGGGACTGATACATGTAATAGGCACTAGTTACAGATTACCTAACATGACTAATCTTTACACAGATGTCTTATGAGTGAGAAAATGTTTTAAGTGCACTATGTATGTTAATTCATTTGATTCTTTCCACAACCCTATGTTTTAGATAGTATTACCAGTCAGATTTACCGATGAGGCAACTAAGCACAGATGAATCAACTAACTTGCAGAAGATTACTCAGCTAGAAAATATTAGGGCTGGAATTCAAATCCTTGTAGTGTGACTCCAGAGTTCACATTCTGGTAAGATGCTTATCCTTCTATATGCTAATTTTTAATCTCCAGGGAAACTCTATAAAATACATCTTGTCTCGATTTTTTCAAATGAGGAATCCAAAGGTTCAGTAGCCTTTAAAGCTGGCATACAGTCCAGTTTTACTCTCTCCTGTCTGGAGGTGTTCCAATACATCTTTCAGCTGTATTGAGTATGAAGTGAGGGCTAGATAACACTAAATATTGGTCTGATTTTTTCCAGTGCAATTCTAAAAGAAAAGAAAATCTAGACTTGTTCATGCTTTATACTTCTAAGGCTTTTTATGAAGTGGCAGAAAATTTGAGACAAATGCAGTGATATGATCATGCTGGTTATGAATGTAGGATTCAGACACAAACAGAACTGGGCTTTCTGTCTTGCTTTCTACCTATTGGTTGTTTATTCTTTGACAGTTACTTAAACTTTCTTAGCCTCTATTTGTTCAACAATACATGAGAAATCATGATAGTGTCTATGTCATAGGGTTTTGAGTGACATTTAAATGAGTTACTACTAATAAATTACTTTGCCTAGTACCCATACATTGCAATCATTTAACAACTTTCATTAAAAAGGTGTAAAAAACTAAAATGGCCCCAAACTAGTCACATCTTATCAGTGTGTTGGTGTCAATTCAACCATGCACTCACTTACTCACTCACTTATTCAACATTTATTGTGCATTGCTATGTTCCAGAATTTAGTTCTTCAAAGATAATGAGAATATAGACTCTGAACTTCAGCAATTCCTTATCTCCTAAGTAGAGCATTCCAAAAAGTGTGTACTTCACAACCCTAATTCTTCCAAATATTCCACAGAGAAGTGTTTTATGAACAAATAAATTTGGGCATGTTTCTGTATAGTGTCTCCTTATTGAAGATTCGCAGCATGCATTGAATATAAAGGCTCTGAGAAGACTGGCATTAGAATGAGCTGTTAACTGTTTAACTTAACACTTTTCCAGCGCAACTAAGCTAAACAAATGGCATCTTTTCTGGAATGGGTCCACATGGTGGCTACTGATATGGTGAAGGAATTTTTCTCAATGTCCAACTATATAGGCCATAAAAATAGTAAAAAAAAAAAGTAGTTCATGTTTATGTCCTAAAGATAGCTGTACACATTCACTGTCTTGTCTCAGGTTTATGTCAACTACTCTTGTCACAACATAGTCCAAGGAGACCTTGATCCCCTTTGGGACAAGCAATCTGGTTTTGCTGAAGTAATAACTGTGAGTGAGGGAACTCTAGAATGGTTGATAAGGGAGATGATAAATATCAGTTTCAGCCTCAAAATGGTTGTTAATTGCGTATTTTTGTATTGAGACTTTTCAAAATTTGCATCTGATCACTTGCCTCTGTGATGGACTGCAGTAGAGCAGAGCTTATTGGTATAAGGTGTGAACTTTATCAGGCATTTTGCATTTCCTGTTTCACAGCTTCTCAATTCATCTTTTTATTCCAGGCTCTGCAATAACCAGCTGCATGAGTATGTAGCCATTAATACCTTGCCACATCTGCACCATGAATCTGTTTCTTGCTGCTCCAGTACTTGTCTGCTACTGTGTCAGACACTTGTAGTAGCTCACTCAGCCAATCTAATGCATGCATACTTGAAATTGCAATGAATTTAACACCCTCAGGTGTTAAACTATCAATTGAGAAAGGAGAATTCATGTACAAATATGACTCTCTTTCATGTCATGGTTGAAACATTCTGAGGATATTCTACACCTTTTTTTAAGAGGTACTAGGGACTAAGCACAGTGATAAACAGTTGATTAACATACCCTCAAGTTGGCTTTCCTTCCTTACCTGTTCCACTCTTAGTCTCTTCTTAATTTCCTGAAATACTTTTTAAAATAAGCTGTTTAACCAGGTGCAGTGGCATGCCTATAATCCCAGTGCTTTGGGGGATCAAGGCAAGAGGATAGCTTGAGGCCAGGAGTTCAAGGTTACAGTGAGCTGTGATCACGCTATTGCACTCCACTCCAGCTTGGATGGCAGAGCAAGAGCCTGTCTGAATAAATAAATATAAAATAAAGTAAATTATCTGCATACAAGTCTGCTTAATGGGGTAAACTAAGGTAAAACATAGGTTTATTTGGTGTATGAGAAATGTGCAAGTGCAGTGCAATGAAGAAGTAAATGAGGCTAGATTAACCAAATATAAATACTGTATTAGTTCATTCTCACACTGCTATGAAGACATACCTGAGACTGGGTAATTTATGAAGGAGAGAGGTTTAATTGACTCACATTTCTGCAGGCTGTATAGGAAGCATGGCTAGGAGCCCTCAGGAAACATAATTATGGCAGAAGGTGAAGGGCAAGAAAGCACATCTTATCACGGAAAAAGAGGAGAGAGGGAGAGAGTGAGTGAAAGAGGACATGCTACATACTTTTAAACAACCAGATCTTGCAGGCCGGGTGTGGTGGCTCACGCCTGTAATCCTGGCACTTTGGGAGGCCTCGTGGATCACGAGGTCAAGAGATCAATACCATCCTGGCCAACATGGTGAAACTCCATCTCTACTAAAAATACAAAAATTAGCTGGGAGTGGTGGTGCGCACCTGTAGTCCCAGCTACTCGGCTGGGCAGGAGGCTGAGGCAGGAGAGTCACTTGAACTTGGGAGGTGGAGCTTGCAGAGAGCCAAGATCGCACCACTGCACTCCAGCCTGGCGACAGAGTGAGACTCTGTCACAAAACAACAACAACAACAAAAAAGCAAAAGACCAACCAGATCTTGTGAAAACTCCATCATGAGAACAGCAAGGGAGGAGTCCGCCCCCATGATTCAATCACCTCCCACCAGGCCCTCCTTCAACATGTGGGGATTACAATTCAACATGAGATTTGAGTGGGGACACAGAGCCAAACCATATCACTTATGTATGTAAAAAACTTGATCCCACACAGAAAACCAATTTTATTTGGATTATATTGCTAAATAAGAATGGTGGAACAATAACTATTTTAGAAAATAAGGTAGTATCTAAGAAGTTGCCATAGATAATTTCTTTTTTTTTCTCTTTTTTTTTTGAGATGGAGTCTCGCTCTGTTGCCCAGGCTGGAGTGCAGTGGCGCGATCTCAGCTCACTGCAAGCTCCCCCTCCCGGTTTCATGCCATTCTCCTGCCTCAGCCTCCTGAGGAGCTGGGACTACAAGCGCCCGCCACCACGCCCGGCTAATTTTTTATATTTTTAGTAGAGACAGGGTTTCACCGTGTTAGCCAGGATGGTCTCGATCTCCTAACCTTGTGATCCGCCCGCCTCGGCCTCCCAAAGTGCTGGGATTACAGGCGTGAGCCACCGTGCCCAGCGGGATAGGTAATTTCTTAATAGAACACAAAAAGCACTGAAATAAGAAGATGAATACTGTTCATGGGGCTTCATTTACCTTCTCCTTGATTTATTCAAAAACAATAAACAGAATGAAAGAAAGTCACAGAATTTGAGAAAATATTTGTAATGCATATATCTGAGAAGAAACCTATAACCAGACTATATAAAGAACTCCTGGTTGGGTGCAGTGGCTCATGCTTGTAATTCTAGCACTTTGGGAGGCCGAGGTGGGCGGATCACCTGAGATCAGGAGTTTGAGACCAGGCTGGCCAACATGGCGAGACCCCATCTCTACTAAAAATACAAAAATTAGCCTGGTGTGGTGGTGCATGCCTGTAATCCCAACTACTTGGGAGGCTGGGGCACTAGAATCACTTGAACCTGGGAGGCAGAGGTTGTGGTGAGCCAAAATTGTGCCATTGCACTCCAGCCTGGGTGACAGAGCAAGACTCTGTCTTAAATAAATAAATAAACATAAAAATAAATGAATAAATAAAGAACTCCTACAAACTAGTAAAAGAAAGACAGACAACTCAAATTTTTAAATGGACAAAGACTTATATAGGCACTTTACAACCAGGTTGGGCTTTGAGTCCTATTAAACTGCAAATATGCTTAAAACTGTTACACTTTTATAAATAATTAATTTCTTAGCGTGAATAATTGTAAACAAGTATAGGGGACATTACAGGAGTTCAGCTAAGAAATGGGCACCTAGGAAGAATAAAGGTAGAAAAATATGGAAGGTTAAAGGACTATTTTTGTGCTTCAAAGTTTGCTAATAAACATTTAGGTATCTTTTGAAAGAGCAGTAAATATTTATGCTTGCTTGATGGTTGGGTTGATTGGAGGTGAATGGAAGGAAGAGTCTTTAAGTAGATTATGATTCTCTGGCACATTGTTAAAATATTTGCAACTTGTTTAGATTATTTATTTACTTTATTTAATAATCATTTAATAAGCACATAATATAACCAGGCACTTCACTAGGTGCTAGGAATAACGTGGTAAAAAAACAGACATGATTTACGTTCTCATGAAGCTTACAGATGGGTGGGATGGACAGATACGTTAACACACATTTGCAATATAATTTGATGAGTAATGTTATAGGGGAAATGTGGAGGTATCTAGGCCCTAAGACTCCTAATTGAATCTGTGTACTTTTTAACACCTTTGACATAAATTCTTACAGTCCTCATATTTTCTGAGTTATTGTTGCTGCCAATTTGCCTCATCTGAGAGACTGTCCCATTTTACTTAGCTGAACTTGAGCTTGACTCTAATAAAAGGCAATCAAATCAGTATGCAGTCGTATCTGGGTATCTATGGGGGACTGGTTTCAGGACCCATCCCTCCCCTGACCCATTCTAGGGGATGCTCAAGTCCCCCTATATAAAATGGTGTAGTATTTACGTATACCCCATGCACATTCTTCCATATACTTCAAATCATCACTAGATTACTTATAATACAGAGTACAATGTAAATGCTATGTTAATAGTTGTTATAATGTATTGATTTTTAAAATTTGTATTATTTTAACTGTTGTTATTTTTAATTGTTTTTTTTCCTGAATATTTTTGATCTGCAGTTAGTTGAACCCATGAAGGCAGAACCTACAGATAGTGGAGGGCCAGCTGTATAAAATTTCACATTTTAAGCCGTCTAATAGTTCTAGCAGAAATATTTACTATATTTTTAAAGAGAGAGAAGGTGGTAGACTATTTTGTATAAATTATGAGAAAGAAGTAGAATATTGGAAATTAAAACTGAAGAAAAAAGGGATAGAGAAGAAAAAACATTTTTATTGTAAATATATGCTAATATGTACTCAGTTAAGAGAAAAATGGCTGTATTCACATAGGAAAGAGCTAACCAAGGTATGAATCAGTGCTCAGAATAAAAAATGACAGGCCAAATGGCATGCAATTTATTCTGATTAAATTCAGAAAAATGTTTCTGCAAGTGAAACCATTGGATTATAACATACTTTTCTTCAAGAAAGGCTGGTCTTAACAAGACTTTAAAGATGTGATAGTTTGATGCGTTTAAATAGATCAGTTCACCCATGGCAAATGTGTTATTTTCCACAACTGCAAAGATGATGATTTCAGGGGTAGAAAGGCAGGGAGGTATAAACCGTGAGCGTTATGTTCATAAAGTGGAAGTAGAGAAAACACTCTCCAGCCTCCAAACTCTCTCATCCCTGCTCATAACCCAGAACATACAAAAGGAGAACTGTTTTTGACCATGTCAAGAATGATCAGTTACACTGCCAAACAATCCACAATTAATCTTTTGGTTAGTAGACAGTATCCTTTGAACGAATCTCTCATGCACAAGACAAAGACACCTGAAGGAGGGAAATTTCATGGAGTTAGGAGTTTAGTCATTAATGGTTAAGTAAAAAACCCTATTCTCAAGCCAGAAACCACCTCAAGGAAAGATTCTGCCATGAAAGTAATTGTAAAACCAATGAACATGCAGTTCTCCTTTATTTTATCTTTAAATTCTTACCTTATTTTTTGAAAGAGTTTTCAATTTACAGAAAATGTGAGTAAATAACATAGGGAGTTTCTTATATCTGCCCCCAACCTCAACAGTTTTACCAATTTTTAACATCTTACATTAGTGTGGTATATGTGTTATATTAATGAACCAATATTGATACATAATTGTTAACTAAATCCACAGTTTACATTAAGGCTCACTATTTGTGTTTTACAGTTCTATGAGTTTTGAAAAATGCAAATTACTATGTTTCCCCCATTATATTAGACAGAACAGTTTTACCACCCTAAAAATTCCCCCATACCACACCTATTCCTCCCTCCTTCCTCTGCCTGCCTCTGACCCTCCAACCTCTTAACTACCAACAACTACTGGTCTTTTGCTGTCTCCAGTTTTGTCCTTTTCTAGAATGTCATGTAATTGGAATCATATATTATTTAGTCTTCTAAGACTGACCTCTTTTACTTAGTAATATGCATTTAATATTTTTCCATGTCTTTTTGTGTCTTAATAGCTCATTTCTGTTTATCACTGAATAATATTTTACCGTATAGATGTATCCTGGTTGTTTATTCATTTACCTATTGGAGGACATTTTGGTTGGTTCCAGTTTTTTGGTCATTATGAATAAACTTGATATAAGCATTCATGTGCAGGTTCTTGCATGCACATAATTTTTCAACACAATTAGGTAAATACCTAGAAGCATGATAGCTAAATCATATGAAAAGACTATGTTAAGCTTTGTAAGAAACTGCCAAATTTTCTTCCAAAGTGGCTGTATCATTTTGCATTCCTACCAGCAATGAATGATGCTTCACTTCCTTTCCAGTAAATATTGTCAGGTTTTCAAAAAATAAAATTTAGCTGTTCTAACAGGTATGCATTTGTATCTTGCTGTTGCTTCATTTTGCAATTCTGTAGTAACATATAATGTGAAACATCTTTTCATATACTATTTTTAATTTGTATATCTTTTTTGATGAAGTGTCTAGATCTTTGGCCCCTTTTTAACTGAGTTGCTTATTTTCTAGTTGCACTTTAAGTGTTCTTTGCATATATTTTTAAAATTTAATCAATTGATTAATTTCATTGATACATATTAGATATACATTTTTCAGGGGGCATGTGATAATTATTTGATATAGTCCTATGATAAAATTAGGATAATTGGGATACCATTACCTTAAATATTTATGTTTTATTTATGCTAGCAACATTCAAATTATTTTTTTCTAGCTCTTTGGAAATGAACAATCAATTAATGTGAATCAGTCACCTTACTAAACTATCAAACAACAAGACTTGTTCCTTTAATATAAGTGTATAGTTGTATCTATTAGTAAGCCTCCTCCTCCACCTTAGCATTCTCAGCCTGCCTCTAGTAACCACCAGTCTACTTTCTATCTTCTTGAGGTCCACTCTTTGAGCTCTCACATGTAAGTGAGAATACGCAGTATTTGTCTTTCTGTGTTTGGCTTGTTTCACATAGCATAATATTCTCCAGTTCCATCCATGTTGCTGCAAATTACAGGACTTCATTCTTTTTTATGGCTGAATAATATTCCACTGTGTATATACATAATATTTCATTTATTTATTTTATTTATTTTTTTGAGACAGTCTGGCTCCGTCTCCCAGGCTGAGTGCAATGGCGCAATCTCTGCTCACTGCAACCTCTGCCTCCCGGGTTCAAGCGATTCTCCTGCTTCAGCCTCCCAAGTAGCTGGGATTACAGGGGCCTGCCACCACAACCAGCTAATTTTTTTGTATTTTTAGTAGAGACAGGGTTTCGCCGTGTTGCTCAGCCTGGTCTCTAACTCCTGATCTCAGGTGATCCACCTGCCTTGGCCTCCCAAAGTGCTGGGATTACAAGTGTGAGCCACCACCCCTGCCCCCGCCCCCTTTATCCATTTATTTACGCATTTATTTATTTTATTGTTATTGTTATTATTTTCTGGGTCGGGGTCTCACTCTGTCACCCAGGCTGAGTGCAGTGTCTAAATCATGGCTTACTGCAGCCTCAACCTGTCAGGCTCAAGTGATCCTCCTGCCTCAGCCTCCTAAGTAGCTGGAACTACACGCATGTACTACCATGCCTGGCTCATTTTTGATTTTTTGTAAGGATGAGTTTTTTTTTGTTGTTTGTTTTGTTTTGAGACAGAGTCTCACTCTGTCACCCAGGCTGGAGCGCAGTGGCGTGATCTCGGCTCACTGCAACCTCTGCCTCCTGGACTTAGGCGATTCTCCTGCCTCAGCCTCCCGAGTGTCTGGGATTACAGGCGCTAGCCACCACACCTGGCTAATTTTGTATTTTTTTTAGTAGAGATGGGGTTTCTCCATGTTGGTCAGGCTGGTCTCAAACTCCTGACCTCAGGTGATCCACCTGACTCAGCCTCCCAAAGTGCTGGGATTACAGGCATAAGCCACCACACCTGGACAGGTTGAGGTCTTTTTATATTGCCCAGGCTGGCCGTGAACTCTTGGACACAACTGATCCTCTGACCTTGACCTCCCAAAGTGCTGGGATTATAGGTGTGAACCACCACACCTTGCTTTCTTTTTCCATTTATCCTTTGACAGGCACTTAGGTTGATTCCATATTTTGACTATTGTCAATAATGCCACAATAAATACAGGTGTAGATATCTGTTCAATATATTGATTTCCTTTCTTTTGGATATATACTCTGTAGTGGAATTGCTGGACCATATGGTGGTTCTATTTTTTAGTTTTTAGAGAAAGCTCCATGCTGTTCTCCATAGTGGATATACTAATTTGCATTCCCACAAACATTGAACAAATGTTCCTTTTCTTCACATTCTTGCCAGCATCTGTTATTCTCTGTTTTCATAATAGCCATTCTAACTGGGATGATAATATCTCATTGTGGTTTTGATTTGCATTTCTGTGATGATCAATGATGTTGACTACCTTTTCATGCACCTGTTTTCCATTTGTGTATCTTCTTTTGAGAAATGTCTGTTCAGATCTCTGGCCCATTTTAAAATCAGATTATTGAGTTGTTTGAGCTCCTTGTGTATTCTGGTTATTAATCTCTTACCAGATGATGAGTTTGCAAATATTTTCTCCCATTTTCTGGACTGCCTCTTCACTTTGTTAATTGTTTCTTTTGCTGTGCAGAAGTTTTTAGCTTGATTTAATCCCATTTGTCTAGTTTTGCTTTGGTTGCTTGTGCTTTAGAAGTCTTACACAAAAAACTCTTTGTCCAGACTTATATCCTGGAGCATTTTCCCGATGTTTTCTTCTAGTACTTTCATAGTTTAAGGTCTTTGATTTGCATCTCCAGTCCATTTTTATTTGATGAGAGATAGGGATGTAGTTTCATCCTTCTGGGGTTATCTAGTTTGCCAAGTACCATTTATGGAATAAACTGTTCTTTCTCCATCATATGTTCTTGGTGCATTTGTCAGAAATGAGTTGGCTATAAATATGTGGATTTATACCTGGGTTCTCTATTTTATCCCATTGGTCTCATGCCTGTTTTAACGCTAGTATCATGCTGATTTGGTTACTATAGATTTGTGGTATATTTCGAAGTCAGGTAGTGTGATGCTTCCAGCTTTGTTCTTTTAGCTCAGGATGGCTTTGGCTACTTGGGGTCATTTGTAGTTCCATATACATTTTAGAATTTGTTTCCTATTTCTGTGAAGAACATCACTGATATTTTGATAGGGATTGCACTGAATCTGTAAATTGCTTTGGGTAGTAATATTAATTCTTTCAATTCATGAGCATGGAATATCCTTCAATTTTTTTGTGTGTCCTTTTCAATTTCTTTCGTCAGTGTTCTTGCTTTTCCTTGTATAGATTTTTCATACCTTTGGTTAAGTTCATTCTCATTTCATATCTTTGGTAAAGTTCATTCCCAAGAATCAACTTTGCAATAAGTACAAAGAATATTGATTCTTTGTAAAAAAGGGATTGCTTTCTTGATGTTCTTTTCAGATTGTTCACTGTTAGCATGTATAAATGATACTGATTTTTGTGTGTCAATTTTGTATCCTGTAACTTTACTGAATTAATTTATCACTTATAACAGTTTTACAGTGGACTCTAGGTTTTCCAAACTATAAGACCATGTCATCTGGGTACATACCTTTCATTTATTTATTTATTTATTTATTTATTTATTTATTTAATATATTCCTTTCCAATTTGAATGCACTTTATTTCTTTCTCTTGCTTAATTGCCCTGACCAGGACTTCCAGTATTTTGTTGAACAAAACTGGTGAAAATGGGCTTCCTTGTCTTGTTCCAGATTTTAGAGGATATTTAATTGTTTTTAGTCTCTTCTGACTGTGTATTTTTAGATAGTCCGTATTCAACTCATGTATTCTTTCTTCTGCTTGATCTATTCTGCTGTTGAGAGATTCTGATGCTTTCTTCAGTATGTCAATTGAATTTCTTAGCTCCGGAGTTTCTGCTTGATTTTTATTAATTATTTCATTGTCTTTGTTAAATTTATCTGATAGGATTCTGAATTCCTTCTCTGTGTTATCTTGGATTTCATTGAACTTCCTCAACACAGGTATTTTAAACTTTGTGTGAAAGGTCACATATCTCTGTCATTCTTGGATTGGTTACTGGTGTCTTATTTAGTTCAGTTGGTGAGGTAATGTATTATTGGATGGTTTCGATACTTATGGATGATCATGTCTGGGCATTGAAGAGTTCGGTATTTAGGTATTTACTGTAATCTTCACAGTCTGAGCTTGTTTGTATCCATCCTTCTTGGGAATGCTTTCCAGGTATTTGTGGCGACTTGAGTGTTGTGATGTAAATTTTTGGTGACTGCAGTCATATGTGCATTAGGGGACACCCCAAACCCAATAATCCTTCAGTTTTTGCAGGCTACTTCACAGTAACTTAACATACTTTCTTATGGAGTAGTACCAATTCCTCTCTCTTATCTCTTATAATCTTGATTGTCATTTATTTCACTTATCAATACACTGAACTCACCCAATACATTGTTGCTATTATTATTTTAAATAAATATATATTAGATCAATTAAAAATAATAAAAATGATTTTATTTTACCTGTACTTACTCCTTCCTTAATGTTTTTTTTTCTTTATGTAAATCTAAGTTTATATATATATATATATACCGAGGCATGGGTGGAAGCACAAACCACCCGGCGAGGCAGAGCAGGGGTCGGGGCCCCTGGCCACCCCGTGCCACGCATGTTCGGGGTCCTGGGGTCCCTGGGGTCTGGGGTTCTTTTATTTTGAAAAACTTCTTTTAACATTTCTCGTAAAGCATGTCTACTGATGATAAATTCACTGTTTCAATTTGTGTGAGAAAGTTGTTGCTTCCCTTCATGTGTAAATGATAATTTTATTAGATAAGGAATTCTAGGTTGGTGATATTTTTGTTTAAATAGGGTATATATTTTAGTCTCTTCCTGCTTGAGTATCTGGTAAGAAATGCAACGTAATTCTTAACCTTATTCATCTGTAGATAAGGTATTTGCTTCTCTGACTTCCTGCAAGATTTCTTATTTGTCTTCAGTTTTATACAATTTGAACACCATAGGCCTAGGTATAGTTTTTTTGATATGCATTTTGTTTGTTATTCCCTGAGCTCCCTGGATATGTGGTTTGGTTTCTGTCATCAATTTTGGAAAATTCTTAGCCATTATTATTCACATATTTATTCAGCATCTTTCTTTCTTCTCCTTCTGGAATTCTAATTATACTATTGTTATGCTTTTTACAATTATCCTACAGTTCTTGGATATCTGTTCAGTTTTTATAACATTCTTTCTTTCACATGGCATTTCTGTTGTCAAAGTTTCTAGTGACATATCTTTAATGTCACTTATTCTTTTCTTGGCTGTGTTCAGTCTACTGATGAGCCTATTAGAGGCATTGTTCATTTGTATCATGTTTTTTTTTTTTTAATTCTTAGCATTCTCTATTGATCTATTCCTAGAGTTTCCATCTTTTTGCCTACTTTGATCTGTTCTTGCATGTTGCCTTATTTTTCAATTTTAATCTTTCACATTACTTACAGTTATTTTAATTTTTCTATCTGATAATTTCAAAATATGTTTCATATATGAATCTGGTTCTGATCCTTGCTTCATCTTTCATGCTCTATTTTTTAAATTTCTTTTTAACAAGGCTTGTAATTTTTTGTTTTAAGCCAAATGTAATATGTTGGGTAATAGGAACTGAGATAATAAGAATTCATGTGAGATTTTATGTTAGTGTCCTGAAATGAATGGCTGCTTCCCTCTTCAAATTTATATGTTGAAGCCCTTTTCCCCAGTGTGATGGCATTTAGAGGTGAGCCTTTGGGAGGTAATTCAGTTTAGATGGGATCATAAGGGTGGAGTCATCATGATGGGATTAATGATCTTATAAAAAAAGGAAGAAACATGAGAGCTCTTAATCTTTCATTGTGCACTTATCAAAAAAGGACCACATGAGGACATAAGAAGATGGCCCATCTGCAAATGAAAAAGAGGGCCCTCATCAGACATTGAATCTGTTGGCACCTTGGTGTCTGCAGACTTCCTAGCCTGCAGAACTGAGAAATAAATGTCTGTTGTTTAGGCCACCTCATCTATGATATTTGCTGTAGCAGACTGAATGTAATAGTTATATTACATCTAGCTGAGAGTTGGGCTTTGTTTAATGTTTGTTGTAGCTGTAGTTGCCAGAAGTTTCAGTTTCTTCTGAATTTTTCTTCCTCTTTTGTCTTTGGGCTTCCCTAAGAACTCTTTCTTAAATAGAGTCTGTGCCTTATAGCTCTCACAGTTGTAATTCAGTTATTTTCCTGGTGTCCTGGTGATATGGTGCTAAATTATTGGGTAATAAAAGTGTTCTATAATCTTATAATTAAATCTCAGCTTTCTTAGTTGGCCTGAGTCCCTGGGTTATGACTTCAGATATTTGTATTAGACTTTTTTCTTGTCTTACCTTGACAAGAGGCAGGAAGGTCTCTGGATTTGATTAGCTGCCTTTCCTTTAGGTTACATAAGGCTCTGGTAATGCAGTTTTCCTTAGAATGCAGGTGAACATATTTTGGAACATCTGGGCCTATTTCGAAATGGCTAATTTTTCCTTCTCTTTGCCTGCGAACAGAGGGAACTTTTTACTCGATATTCTCTGTGAGAATTTGGTGGGGGTTGGAAATAAAACACATGAAATTGTAGGTTTGCTCCTAAGAGTGACTCCCCCAAGAGTTTTTAACTCTTAAACTTATCTACCCACAGCATCCAATAATAGATCAAAATTACTATTCAAGTGTTCCTACCAGTTTCTTGTTCCATCAGCTTCTGCTTCAGTTAAACTGAAAATTCGTGTTCTCCATATTCCCGTTTCTCTAGATTTCATAATAATCATTTTTGCTGTGACCTCAGTTCTCTGATGACTTAAGAAAGGTCACTGATTTTAAGCTAGTCCACTTTTTTCTTGCTGTGAGAATGGGAGCGTTCAGCGCTTTGCAATGGTGCAGATGAAATGAGATGTCTGCTTCGTGGCTTTTTATCTGAAAGTCGCCTGTGCCTTAGGGTCTGAACATGCACTCCTCTTGAGTTCATTCATTTTAATTGTAGTAATTTGTAATTATTACTCTGGAGGTGTAGAAATCTCCTGGAGGACTTTGTATTGTTATGGTGTTTCTTAGCACACTACGTTATTCTGTCTCTGGATTCAGATTGGAATTGAAAACATGATGACCTGTCAAGCTTTTTATATTATTATACAATAGAAAACAACATCATTGTGTGTGTTTCTAAGCAATATGAGTAAAGTTTAGAAATTTGTTTTACACATTAGGCTGTCTTACCTTTAGAAATATATCTATAATTTAAATATATAGAATTCTATGTTTGACATTAATTTAATGTGTTAATCATGCTTTTCTAATTTTGAATTTGATTATAAGAAAGGTTATGCCATTTTAAAATTCTGAATTCACCATAGCATTTGAGACAACCTGGGTTTGTTGTTTTGATAAATATTATGCATGTAAAAATTCTGTGATGACTAAAAGCCAATATAGTACCAGAGGAAAAAAGAGGAGACTGATCAGTAGTACTATGCTAATAGGTGTTTGTAAAAGTTAGATTTTATGGAAAAACATATTTGGTAAATACATATTTAGTTGATATATTCAGATGTGTTTACCACAGAAATTCTTTTAGCCTTACTAATTATGTGTATATTCTTAACCTCTAAAAAAGATGAAAAAGCATTTTTCAGTAGAATTACTATTAGACAGTGTTTCAGAGAACACATATTGGCAAACTCTGCAACAGATAATTATTTTCAGATAGAGTATGTTAAGGTTCATTAATTGCTCTTATGTGGCAGAAAGACTTTCTTTATAGTTGGCAACTGGCTTCCTGCAATGATGGACAACCACATTGCTATAGCAACAAGGAAGCAAGATGTTTCCAACCAGGGATGCTTCTTTTCATGTAGAAAACCTTGTCACCTGGTTTCTCAAACTGAATTTTTCAGTGGTAGAAAATACACTTAGAAAATATAACTGAAAAGAAAAACACCTTAATTTTATTGAACAAAAGGACATTAGTTTGAAAACTCTGCATTGCGGGCAGTATAGATTATCAATGTTGTGCAAGTTAACCATTACCATAATTTTATATTATAATACAATGACTTAGGTATACTGTATACAAATAATTTAGAAAAGTTTTTTGTTGGCATTCCTCCAAGTTTTCTCTTTAAGTTAAAAATGTATTTAATTTGGAAGAAAAAAGCATGTATGTTAATTTCATAATAAGAATGTAAGCAGAAAAGCCAAATGACTGAAGTAGAGTATTTGAGTGGCGTACAGAAATTTAGTACCTTCCAACACCATTAATTAAATAAAACAGCAAAAGAATGAAATATGATGCTAAGATAAGAAGATGAGCTAAATGCCATTGATCTTTCTCTTGCTCTAAACCAATCTTTAAAGAGAAGCTATATAAGTTTGTATAAATAACTTGAAAAGCAATACTCAATATCTCCCCCTATTTGTGTGTTAAAATTCTAATTATAAGTGGCTTAGCTTATAAGTAAATAGCTGCATATTCTTTGATAATGACCCTTTTTTCCTAACCTCAAAGGACCTATGCAATAGGATTGGGTTATTTTTGTGTGGTATATGAAATATCCATTATTAATTTAAGAGCATTTCATAAACATCACCATTATTTCAACATCTTTTGTGTGTAATTATCCTAAGGCCACAGGCTACAATAGGAGAAGAGAGAAAAATAAAGATTATCAAAATTGATCTACATGCTAAGTTGAAATCTAGAAGGAAAAAATGAAAGGGAAAGAAAAATAAGAATTCCAATTTCTTGTGGAGCATGAAATATCTCATAAATATGTGAACTTGTGGCTGGGCGTGGTGGCTCCCGCCTGTAATCCCAGCACTTTGGGAGGCCGAGGCGGGTGGATCCTGGCCAACACGGTGAAACCCAGTCTCTACTAAAAATACAAAAAAAAAAAAAAAAAAGAACTTGTGAGTGTCATTGAGGTTAATGTGGTACTTAAATAATAAGCATTTTTCATGGAGCAAGCCAATGAAATTAAGTAATTTTTTTTTTTTTGTCTTGCTCAAGACCAAGAAATGAGAATGGTGAAAAAGTATGGTTTGTTTCACATAGATTGGAAACTGGCAAAAAAGCTTAAAGAAGAAAAAGCATCCAAAGTGCTCTTTAATTTAATCATCACTGATGCAATATCTATTATGTTCCAAAATCTGTGGGTAGCAAGAAATAAAATGCAGCTCTTGCCCTTCATGAATTGATGATCTGGTTGGGGAGAGGTGTAAACAAATGATAACAGTACAAAAAAATGTATGCAGAGTGTCAAGTCTTTATGGACATTGGAAAAATGTCTCAGGGGAATAGCTTGAGCTTGTGTTCTGTTAAGCCTTAAAATGCAGAAGCATGGGTGAATGTATGGCCTTCATTTGAGCATGACATAGGGAAACAATGTCATCAGGGAAAAGCAAGACAGAATTTGGAATTCTGTTGGTCATGACCTTACTTACAGTGTTGAATGAAACTCCTGCAATTTTTTGTATGGGACTTTCTGTACATTTGAATTTGTCATGTTTTTCCCTAAAAAGGGAAGCGAAGGTCAATCTGACAAATTTAAGGCTCAGCTACTAAATATATTTTGTATGTATGGTGCAGGACAGTTCCACTGCTGTCAGTATAACACAAGTAGAAAAATGTTTTAAGTTTTAGTGTTACTAAAATAATCTTCCTAAAACAGATAAAGTAATTGGACTAATAGCAATTGGACCACCTCGCTTGACACTGATTCTTCAGGGAAACCGAGTTAATGAGTAACGAAGTCCCACAGAGCACATATTACTGAAATTCACCCTGACCCCTCTTAAGTTCCACCGTAAAAACATACCAATCAACCATAAGTGGATCCCAACCCTTTAATATCACATTTCAATCATATTTATTATAATACTGTGTCTAGAACATTACATCATCTGGAAAGAGCCTTTCTTTTGGAATTCTAAGCAAATTTTCTGAAAGCCATTCTGATGATCCTGACCTAATTCAAATGCTTAACTTTGACCAAGCAACCTACTCTCTGTGATGGCTTGCACTAATTGGCTTTCACTAGGCCCATGTGTCCAATTTTCTAGTCAGAGGGTAGACTTATTTGAGGAATAACATGAATCCAACAGTTGGGCTAATTGGAAAGAGAAAATGGATCCTGGGGAGGCTTTCAGTAGTCTGTATTAGGAAGTTTAGAGGCCTTGTATTTTAGATTGGTGCAAAAGTAATTGCGGTTTTTGGCATTGAAAGTGAAAACTTTTGCCTTTGAAAGTTTTTACTTTCAATGGCAATTACATTTTTTCTCTCTCTCTCTGATTATCTCTCTCTTATTATCTAGGCTGATTTCACCTAGATAATAAGAGCTGTTTTGTCATGAACGTTTTTTTCATCTAATATTAGCCTTGCTTTATTAAATACCTCTTGTAGAGTTTCATACATAACTAAATATTGGGAAACTGAATTTCATGTTTTGAAAAAAAAGAAAAGATAAGAAAGAAAAGAAAAAGAAAAGATGAGAAAAGGAAAGAAAAAAGGAAAAGAAAAGAGAAAAGAAAAAAGAAAAGAAAAAAATAGATTTGGCTTCAGACAGAGCCTTTTATTGGCTGTTTCCTTTTTCCATGGCAGGAGAGGAATCGAAAGAGGAAGGAGAGACACAGGGAGGCATAGGGGTGGGAGAAAATGTTCTCAAAACAAATTATTGAAAAACAAAGAAAGACTGTTTTGTGCTAACACTTATTTAGACTTTGTGAGCTCTACAATCGTGTGTTGACTTTCTTCCAGACGAATTTGGCAGAATCAAAGAAGGGTTTTTCCAAAATTCTGCCAACTTAAGTAAAAGTACCATTTTTTTATGTAACAAACATTACTCATCTACTCCATTTAGTGTTTAGTGAAAAATGAGTAAGGATTTTATTGAACAAGGGGTTATAGGAATTTTAAAATATAGGTTAATTTTCTTACTTATTTTCGAAATCATGTGACTTGAAAAACATAGTTAGCAAATGCATTTACCGATGTCAAAGAACTATTCAATTATTTGCATACTGTTTAGGAGGAATAATTGCTGTTTATGTGGAACCATGGCACCATAAAATTCTGGTGTCAACTTTAGTGTTTTCAAATTAGAGAGACAATATTAGTATATTTATTAAAGATGAGGTAATTAAACCTAGAAAAGTCATTTATCTTATGGATTCCTAAACAGAATATAATGAGGAAAAATATCAATAGTATGTTGATAATGCTATTTAGTTGGGTTTCCAATAGACTTGCTAACCCAATATGTAGTTGTTTAATTATGGGAGAATTTACCAAGAGGTATGTGTTTTGGTGTGTTTATTCTGATAATTTGAGATTTCAAATCAACAAACTGTTTAGACCTAGAGGATAAGACATTATTATTCCTTTTCAAATGCTTCCTCTAAGTTTTTCCTGGTTTCACTCTCCTGCCTTCTGTCAATATCTGGTTGATATTGAGAAAATGCCACCTTGTTTTCTTCCTTACCTTTTAGAGACACAGATGCTGAAAGAGTCACAAAGTATTTGTGAAATGGGCAATCTAATTAACTAGCAAGCATGGATGTTACTTATGTTTTCTAAAATTTAGAAGAAATTGACAATTCAAAGATAATTTTACTGAAAATAAATACAGAGAATTAAAAAATGTATCTAGAGGAATCTATACTAAAATATTAATAGTACTTATATCTACCTAGGTGATGGGAATATAAATCACATTCATTTCTCTCCTTTTAATTTTTAATCTATATTTTCTTATACTCCTATTCTACACATGATCTTTGTCTAACAATAAACATTAAATAAAGAATAAAAAAACCAGGGGTTTGCATGTCATAAATACATAATTAATACAATTTCCTTAAATAATTTATTGTGTAATTCATGTGATTTGTGTGTGTGTGTGTGACACACACACAGCAAGACAGAGAATTTTGCTCTGTCACCCAGGCTGTAGTGCAATGGCATGATCTTGGCTCACTGCAGCCTCCACCTCCTGGGTTCAAGTGATTCTCCTGCCTCAGCCTCCCGAGTAGCTGGGAATTACAGGCACGTGCCACCACGCTTGGCTAATATTTTGTATTTTTAGTAGAGATGGGGTTTCACCATGTTGGCCAGGATGGTTTCAAACTCCTGGCCTCAAGTGATCTGCCTCCGTTGGCTTCCCAAAGTGCTAGGATTACAAGTGTGAGCCACCGCGTGCGATCTCTAACTGGGGAAGGGAGGAGACTAGAGAAAAGGATTAGTTGGTCGGCATGAGGAGTCATTTTCAGATGCACTGTCACTTAAAATGAAACAAAAACTAGCAGGATAGAAACATAGTAAGAAAGGTAGAAGATAGCATACTTCCTTTTGCAAATCTCTTAGCTACTCTAAGTTAATTTTTTTGTATAGTACCGGCATTGGTAAGAGCTAACACATTATCTCTTACAAACAATAAATTATTTAAAATTGGCCTTTACAACATTATTGTGATGAAGCAGATTCATTGTTTTATTTATTGCCCCAAATATTCACTGTAAAGCAACAAATTTTCTAAACTTTTTGGGCTCAATGATTTTTACAAGTCCTTTCATACATTTATTCAATTTGAGACTCAGATTACAAGTTAGATAACGAGCTGTTCTGTGTGATCAACAATGATTATTGGCTGCTGTGTCTTCAGAGTTTTGCCACATAACACACACTTGGAAAAGAATCTATTATAGTTCTGAATCAAAACCACTTCCAGGACAGTCTCCACAAGGTGACATTAATTGAGTGAATTCATCACTCTACAAATATGCAGGTTTGGTCATTCCTTACAGTGAGTGGCCCAAAATGGGCTTTACTCAGATGTCAACTTACATATAAAACAAAGTGAATTTATTACTTGACTGTTAAAAACATAACTGTCACTTGGAGTAGAGGTTAATCAGGGCATGACCAGTGCTTTCCCTCCTTGTAGCTGCTTTCATTTTCCTACTTTTGACAGGAACATAATATAAGAAATACTGTTTTTAAAAAAGTTAATATGAAAATAGTGGAAGGGCAATGATAGTCACTGCTATCAAAATTGCTTTAGTGTGAAGGGTAAAACAAGGAGTAGTAGAGACTGTGTGTAAACCAACACAGGGAGCAGCCCAATGCTCAGTTCTAGTCAATTCTTGTAAGACATAGACTCCATATTTCCAGATAATCCAATTTTATAAAAGAATCTGTCAATGTGAAATTGGATGAAACTTCAAATTATTTATGTCTTATCAGATTCTCCTTCAAAGGTTTTTTACAATTTGTTTTTTGTTTTATTTTTAGTTGTTGATACTGTGAAAATCGACACGGTAAATTCAGAATAAAAGAGGAAACATCCCACCTTTAGGCCACTGATTTTCAACCACTAATGCTGCATTTTCTTCATTATCACCAGAATCCAGTCTGCTTGCCCAGACACCTCCCTATGTGGGCATGGCTAGGATGGGCACCCATATTTGCTTCTGCCACTTTACCTCTCATATTTTCAAGGAAGACGCACCCACCATGCCTTCTAATACAGTCTTTTTTAGATGCCTTAATGTATTCAAAAGTTATATCAAGTCTTTCAATCTAGGAAGCTATTTTGTTTGAGGTACGATAGTCTGACTGAAATTCATTCATTCAACTTATGATCATTTTATAGTTTATTTCTTTGAAGAGAATTTATTTATAACCTTCCTTTTTGCCAGAAACAAGAGACACAAGAGACACTGAATTTTTAGTGCATGTCTACAGGTTTAATCTTTAATCTTATCTCTGACTCTCACACTTCCTACCCTCCTATAATACAATATAATATAAATAACCTTGGGGTATCCATTTATTAGGTTAACTGATAATATAAGAGGCTCCCCCCACCTCTCTCTCCCTCTCTCCATATTGATAAAGACATAGATATTGTCAGGCCTCTGAGCCCAAGCTAAGCCATCATATCCCCAGTGACCTGCATGTATACATCCAGATGGCCTGAAGCAAGTGAAGAATCACAAAAGAAGTGAAAATGGCCGGTTCCTGCCTTAACTAATGACATTACCTTGTGAAATTCCTTCTCCTGGCTCAGAAGCTCCCCCACTGAGCACCTTATGACCCCCCCACCCCTGCCCACCAGAGAACAACAACCCCCTTTGACTGTAATTTTCCACTACCTACCCAAATCCTATAAAACGGCCCCACCCCTGTCTCCTTTCCCAGACTCTCTTTTCGGACTCAGCCAGCCTGCACCCAGGTGATTAGAAAGCTGTATTGCTCACACAAAGCCTGTTTGTTGGTCTCTTCACACGGATGCATGTGATAGATATACAAAGCATTTTTATAGTCACATTTTGGTGCTCAACTAAGGCTCCCTGATTACACCTCTGCCATATGGATAGTAAGTCACTTAAGCTTGTAGAGGAGTATATTTAATTCTCCTTTTTGATTCTATAATTTTTAACTATAGAATCTCAGTTTAGCCTATAGGTTTTCTACCATGAAAGGCATTTCTACCCCTACTGTAGGGTAGGAATGAGTTTCCCAATCAAATTATTAAAAGTTAGATTAACTCTTGGTGATTTTTGCTTAGATTTTAAAACTCTTATTATTGCCTGCAGCTCACAATCACAGATACAATTGTGATAAAAACTGTAGTGTACATAGTTCGTGTTATGAGCGTAATGGAAAGGGCAGAGGAGAGCACCCCATAAGGGTCACATTTAGAAAGAAATAGATTCTGTGAAAAGTAGAATCATATACTATGCTCAATTTACTATTTTAAATGATTAAAGTTTAAATAATATTCAACAAATACATTCCACAGTTCCATATATAAAATTTGCAAGATTTACAGTTATATATTTATCTTGTTTGGGTGGAGGTCTATGAAACATATAAACTTCAGATCAGATTTTCACAAGCTGTTGTTTTTGGCAGCTCCACCTCCCTCATCCCACCACATTTGCGTTAAGCAAGAACAAATCAGACCTTCGATTTTTACTGTTGAGATGGCAGCATCCAAAATTTGAGGTAGCTGAATTTGATGATAATTTAGGGTTGATTAAACCATTCCTATGAATTGCTTCTTTTCTTGGCAAGTGTTTACAGTGTTCAAGCTTGAGCTCTATTTACAGCAACCCCATTTCACAAGATGCATTATTTGAAGGGGGGCTGTGGGCTGTGTGCATTTTTGGAACTGACTTTTAGAGTGTTCCTACTCCAACCACACATTTGTGTGGTATTTGTGAATTCAGTGCTTGTGCTTAGCATTTGATAAGGTGCAGGGAGATTGGTCTGAAGTGGTCTCAGTGCTAAGGCCAGAGAATCTGCTGAAAATTCTTACATGATGAAAACCCTGGCTTGCTAGCAACTGATATTTCCCTCCATCCCAGGGAATAGCACTTCTTATCTTTGTTCCGTTGTGGTTTCTTATCTTATCCTGGCAGAAATAAGAGACTACCTTCCTGTGAATGAAGGCCTCAGACTGTGAAATTTGCTGTATTTGAAATCCTAGACTTGCTTTGGAGTCATAATGGATTCCAACTGGTCAATATCAGCAAGGTAGTGCTGTCTTTAAATAGCAGGTCCAGGTCAAGGATGCATAACAAGAAGTGTAGAATGTAGAATGGTATGGTAGGCATACATTTTTCCCATCATTTTCATTTATTCGTGGGTCATTTATTAAATAAGAGACTTTAACAACCCCTTGCTGCTTGACAGAAAGCATGCAGGCTCACAAATCTGGCAAAAAACACACAAAACCCTCTTCAGATCCAGTTTAGATGTAAACATAAGACCTCTGAAAAAAAGTTGCTACGACTAAATATTTTAATATATTCTAAATCTGACTCCAAAATAATTGCAACAAGAGAAATGTAAGTTAGAAAATAAGAGTTTTACATTTAAAAAAATCATTAAGGAAAATTGTAGAAACCCCAGTTTAGGAAGTCTTTAAATTTAGATTTTATTGTAGGTTTTAACGCTGATCTTATCTCCAGTAATAAGTGACCTTGCAATAACTTTGTTCAATAAGTTGTACTTTTTTTTGAAGTGTTTTCAATAAATGTAATCATATATCTCAGTGTCCAGATGAATCATCTGTTTTTTAACTTGGATAATTTCTGTTCCTACTTTCGTTTTATACAGTTTTTTTTTTTTTTTTGAGACGGAGTCTCGCTCTGTCGCCCAGGCTGGAGTGCAGTGGCGGGATCTCGGCTCACTGCAAGCTCCGCCTCCCGGGTTCACGCCATTCTCCTGCCTCAGCCTCCCAAGTAGCTGGGACTACAGGCGCCCGCCACTACGCCCGGCTAATTTTTTGTATTTTTAGTAGAGACGGGGTTTCACCGTTTTAGCCGGGATGGTCTCGATCTCCTGACCTCGTGATCCGCCCGCCTCGGCCTCCCAAAGTGCTGGGATTACAGGCGTGAGCCACCGCGCCCGGCCCGTTTTATACAGTTTTAAAGGGTATATGTATTTGTTGAAATATCATTCTTCTCTTTCTTAGTTGCTTGTTTTGAAGAATTTACAGAAACACTTCTGTAGTGGGAAGAATGCTAAGCAGCTAATGAAAATGCTAATTAACTATAAACAAACAAAAATAATGGTAAACCATAATTTTACAACCAAACAACATCTAAAGCCAACTAATTTCCATGAACAGAAATTATTTCAGCATGTGGTCAAGGAAAATTCAAGTTTCCTGGCAAATTCAAAGAAACAACTAATATGTTGATAATGTGGTTGTCTAAAACCTTTGATTGATAAGCTAACAAAAAATTATATTAAATGTTATCAAAGCTATATTATTTAGTATAGCATTCTCTGGTTTCATTTTAACTGGTTATTTTACCATAACACTTTCACCTAATTATACTCTGACTATCATACAAGTTTCCAGGATGCTGAAAAATATAAAAATAATAACCTAAAAAATGAAGATAAAAAAACAAACATCTTAATTTAAATGATCTATTTGGAACAAGAAAGTTCTTTTGCTTATGAAAAGTCATAAATTTTAATTTCCTAAAATTTATGTTAGGATAAAAGAAATATGCTGCAAATTATGGTAATACACATAAGTCCATTTTGGGCAGGTTTGTTAAATTAAACAAGCATTTTCTATACTCATTATATCATTGGTTTAAATTACACTTTATGAAGAAATATTATTTAAAGTATATTTATAGGTCGGAGTAAGGACAAAATTAAAATTTCATACATTTTTGGTTAACTTTGATCCTTTGAATATTTGCACTTATTAAAATTATTTTTTACATTTTTGTCAACTCCTATAAAACTTCTCTGTTATCTATGTAGATTTAGAGATAACTTTGCATACCAGGATGGGTTGTTCTCCCTGAGGAAAGTTTTTATCAAATATTTTTCTAGAAAAATGTGTCTATAAAGACAACTTTAGGAGACAGGAGGAAAAGGCTGATTTCTGGATGCTTATCTAAAGATTGAACAGACTGTAACTTTTGTGATGCCTTTCTTATTTACCCTTGTGTCTCAAGAACCTAGGAGAACAACTTATACCAATTCATTAAATATTTTATTGACTGAACCAAAAATGAGAGTGCTAACAGACTTTTTATGTACTCACTTATTCAAGAAATAACTACTGGGCAAGGCCAACGTGCCAGACATTGGACTAGATACTGTGTACATTCTTAAATTTGCTTTGCTGGAAGTTTTATCACGAATCTTTGGACTTTAAAAACCTTCTCAGGCTATGGATCTAAGCCAAGAATTGATCATAATATTTCACCTTCAGCACCCATACATTTCATTAAATTATTTTCTTCTCGAGGTTTCCAAAATATCACAAGTTTCCCTCCCTGTGTCCATGTGTTCTCATTGTTCAACTCCTACTTATAAGTGAGAACATGCAGTGTTTGGTTTTCTGTTCATGTGTTAGTTTGCTGAGAATGATGGGCCTGTCGTGGGGTTGGGGCAGGGGTTGGGGAGGGATAGCATTAGGAGAAATACCTAATGTAGGTGACAGGTTGATGGGTGCAGCGACTTAAGCAGCAAAGGTCAGGAAGTGACCTTTCTTTAAGGTTATTTTATCTGCAAGTAAGACCAGACCATTTTTCTGAAGGTTTTGTAAGCATTGGCTTCATCGAATCAAACATAGGCCTTTAAAAGTGTCTGGTTATAGAAGCATCATTTGACCCAGCGATCCCATTACTGGGTATATACCCAAAGGATTATAAATCATTCTACTATATAGACACATGTACATGTATGTTTATTGCAGCACTCTTCACAATAGCAAAGACTTGGAACCAACCCAAATGCCCATCAATGATAGACTGGATAAAGAGAATGTGGCACATATACACCATGGAATACTATGCAGCCATAAAAAGGATGAGTTCATGTCCTTTGCAGGGACATGGATGAAGCTGGAAACCATCATTCTCAGCAAACTAACACAGGAACAGAAAACCAAACACTGCATGTTCTCGCTCACAAGTGGGAGTTGAACAATGAGAACACATGGACACAGGGAGGGGACCGTCATACACCGGGGCCTGTCAGGGGGTCGGGGGCTAGGGGAGGGATAGCATTAGGAGAAATACCTAATGTAGATGATGGGTTGATGGGTGCAGCAAACAACCATGGCACGTGTATACCTATGCAACTAGCCTGCATGTTCTGCACATGTATCCCAGAACTTAAAGTATATTAAAAAAAGTGTCTGGTTATAATTAATTCAATGAGCATCATTCTCAAATATGACATTCCAGGCAAAGACTTGGTCACATAACCAATGTTTCCATGTGTGCTCTTTAAAAGGAGGACAGGTTCTTATTGAACCCATGCATATAACTATGCTGCCAAGAAAATAAGAATACTTAACTCTGAAAAGATCAGACAGGGAGATAAAGATACATATTTCATTTCCTTTAACAAAAGCATAATCCATTAAATCGTTATGAGGTATAGCTAAAGATACAGATAGATGATATCACTGGAGAAAAGAGAGTTTCTTATATCCCCAAAAGAGAATTATAACACAACAATATTTCAAACAAAAACCAGAATTATTTCTCATCAGTTCATTCAGTCCTGTGTAATTAATTATTGTTCCACTTGATTATGGGTTATCAGTCTCATGAACCCATCTGCTTTTCGGCTAGAAATCTGGAAGTCCTGACTCAGTGCACTGGTATGATGTTAAAGTTTTTAAAGCAATACTATAATATCAGAAGATGGTACCCAAGAGAACTTGGCATAGTCATGGGGCTCTGAGACCATCCTTTATTACAGTCAAAACATTCTGGCTTGTAGCTAGCACTTTTAGAGAAGCATCAAAATTAAACAAAAACACTTTCTGTAGATGACAAAACTTAAAATAACTGTGGTTAATTTATTGCTGATAATTTTCAAGAGGTAAAGACCTGATAAGAGTTAACTATGAAAATCATGCAATTGACAAAGAACTGTGTTTTCTGTGGCAGGCAAAGAAAATCAATAAAAACAGTTGATAAAATATCTTAAAATATAATATTTAACCCTGTTTTTAAAGAAGACTTGATGTAGCATCTAATTTATAAAAATTGGTACATAATCTTTACAAAGAAAAAAACCCTTCAGATATAATCTATGATAATTCTGAGACTTAGTATAACATGAATATACCAAACATATAGAGTGTACCGAGGATATATCAAGATTTTCAATTAAAGAGATGTAACAGTTCTGGAGTAGGTCCTGAACATCTGCATATTAATAAAACCCCATAAGTAAGTGATGTGAATGCCCTTTTGCAAACCACCAGGCTAGAAGATGCTAGATACAAATTAAAGAGGTAAAGTTGTAACAAAGTTAAACTTTAAAAAATATCTGTAATTATGGCCAATAGCACTATACTCATTATCTACTATTAGGCAAAGCAATACCAGGACTCTAAAACATATCTTTGACAGCTAATACACTGAAAAATATCCAGGGACTTTCCATACAGCACCTAATTCCTGAAATATGTATAACCATTTGCCTGTATGAATTTAACCCAGGGAAGGTTAAGTATCCCTTCTGATTTGGCAGTGGTTCCCACACAACTCAGCAGTAGTAACATATCAAATGGGTCTACTTATCTAGCATCTCTCTTTTTAGAAAGTAAGAGAAAACAATTCTTTGTGGTTTTCCAGAAGGCCTCTGGGAAATCTTGAAGTCAGCTTTAGGTGCAAAAGATGTCATTTAGAATTCAATTTTAGGAAAGCAGAACATCAGAAGTTCTTAGGAGAGTTGAATACTTGATTAAGATAAAATCATGGGTCACTGGGAAATAATAGTTGGCACCTATTTAATCTAAGTAACAATAAAAGATTTTAGAAAGAAACATTGGAGGTAATATTGTAAAAATCTTAGCCCTTTCAAGATTGAGAAAACTTTTATTAAATAATCAAGGGCATGATAAAATCAACATACAACAGACGGAATAATTTTGATAATACACAGAATCCCTGCCTTCTAGGCAGATTACTCAGAAGATAAAGAAAAACTGTTTCCAACAAAAACTTTTTATTGACCAATACTCCAAAAAATGTGAAAAACCAAAAAATCTTAAGAAGCACATTATTTTTGAAAACATAATAGATAAACCCATTAAACCTTAGCCAGCTTTGACCATAGCAAATAAGATTCTCTTTCCAAAAACCTTCTACAACTTTCTATATCCGTTCAAGTTTTGTCCTACACTTTCCTCTTTGTCATTCCAGAGCAATTGGTCATTTTTCTTTAGGACAAAACTATGATCTTTTTTTCTCTTAACAAAAGCACATTCTTCATACTTTGCATACAAAGTTTTACCTTTACTGCCACTATTGTTTCCTGGTACAACACATATATCGATTATAATTTTTAACCAAAGTAACTTCTCTTTCACAGTTAAAACTAGGAAATGATTAATTGTACCTTGCCTGTCACACACCAGTATTTTTCAGCAGACCAGCAGAGTTCATGAAAACTAATAGCTTACTACAGCCATTTTCATTTCTTATAGTACAACAAAGTGACAAAAGTGAACATGTTCACAGACCCAAATATACATAGTCTCTCTGTATCATATACAAATAAGAGACAAAAGTACTGAACTTAAAATTATGCTTAGGAAATAATACTTCAGCATTCTTTTACTGATAATCTAGTTATCTAATGTATATCCATTAATTAAGTAAATTTAGTATTAGTTCAATGTTTTAAATTACCTAAAAATCTTAGAGACTACCGAGGCGGGAGGATAACGAAGTCAGGAGTTTGAGACCAGCCTGGCCAACATGGTTAAACCTCGTCTCTACTAAAAATACGAAAATTAGCCAGGCGTGGTGGCAGGCACCTGTAGTCTCAGCTACTCGGGAGGCTGAGGCAGGAAAATAGCTTGAATCCAGGAGGCAGAGGTTGCAGTGAGCCGAGATTGCACCACTGCACTCCAGCCTGGGTGACAGAGCGAGACTCTGTCTCAAAAAAAGAAAAAAAATCAAAAAACAAAAAACAAAAAACTCACATACTACAAAATACAGTTTCTATTGAAATAAAGTTTGTCAAAATAATGATTCAATTTGGTTAAACAAATATTTAAATTTTTTCTGTCACATTAAACATTTGGCAAATAAAACAGGCTAGCTTATTTGATTAGTAAGCCTATATAAGTCTAGGAAGAACCACACAAACGTAATAAAAGCATAAGCTCGTGTTATAGTTAATGCTAAAGACACAGCTGATTTTTTTTTTTTTTTTTTTTTTTGAGACGGTGTTTCGCTCTGTCGCCAGGCTGGAGTGTGGCGGCACGATCTTGGCTCACTGCAACCTCCGCCTCCAGAGTTCGAGCAATTCTCCTGCCTCAGCCTCCCGAGTAGCTGGGGCTACAGGCATGTGCCACCATGCCCAGCTAATATTTGTATTTTTAGTAGAGACAAGGTTTCACTAGGTTGGCCAGGATGGTCTCGATCTCTTGACCTCGTGATCTGCCCACCTCAGACTCCCGAAGTGCTGGGATTAGAGGCGTGAGCTGCCATGCCCAGCAGACAGCTGTTTTTAGTAAACCAATAAGATTAAACTTGTCTGTTTTGCAAAGATTTACCTCAATTACATGAGCTTGAATTCTTAAGGCATTTGAATTAGTTTTTATATGATTTATATAGCACATTGAAAGTATTTAATATTTAAATCCTAATGTTTGCAAATTTTAGGAATATTTAGCTTATATAAGCATTTTCTTAAGCCAGTCAGAACAAAGCTTCTTTAAGAGATTTTATAATCTCGTTTGGTAATGCCACACAGAGGTAGAAAAATATTCCATACTCACAGACATATAAAAGTAGAGTTGGCCCTTAGTATCCATGGGTTCCACATCTGAAGATTTAATCAACCTGATTAAAAATAATTTAAAAAATTTGAGTACTGAACATGTACAAATTTATTTTCCTTGTCATTATTCCCTAAACAATACAACACTTCATATGGTGTTTACATTGTATTGGGTATTATAAATAATCTAGAGATGATTTAAAGTATACAGAAGGATATGTGCAGGTTAGATGCAAATACTAGGCCATTTTATATCAGAGACTTGAGCATCTGTAGATTTTGGTATCCATGAGAGGTCCCGGAAGCAATGCCCCACAGATACAGAATGACTGTACACAGAGAGGTTATAGCTTTAATTATTGACTTTTGGTCCTGGGGTAAGAGTAAATACATAATTACAAAATTTGCCAGTCCTTATTAAAGAGATAGTCTCTTCTTAGTGTATATGAATTCTTAATTGATTTGAGCTCAAAATATACAAACAGACAAACATAAAAGTCTAGCAAACCAGACACTTTGTTATGTTTCACCCAAAGAAGAGAAGGTCTCTATGAACCACTTACTCATTTATAGAAATCATCGAATGGTCAGACCATAAAACCAAAAGAAGCCACCACCAAAAATTTAGTCAGTACTCAAAGGAATCAAAATCCTTACTGTGCTGCAGAGGGACAAGAGTCCAGAACAGAGGACCAGGAGAGAGACTCATTGTTGGGTCTTTAGATCACCAGTCAGGAAAGGATCAGAGGGCCCTCTAAGGGGCTTCATTACCTAGGAGGAAATGAGGACCCAAAGGTGAGGTCTGATCCTATCAGTGGTGTGGCACCAAATTGTCCAAGACACAATGCACCAGACAACTAAGGAGATGACTTTACATAGGTTATTGCAGGATCCAAAGATTAGAGTTTCTCAACAGACTGGTTTTTCCTTAGACTTTTGAGGGGAGGAGCAAACAAGTTGCAGATGGAGTGATTTACAGCTGCAGTAGTTTTGCAAGTAGGAGAAGTTTCTGTCAGTTATCTGAATAGTGTTTCTATGATTAGCTAGTGCATTAGTTTCCTATTACTGTTGTAACATATTACCATAAATTTAACGTATTAAAACAATACACATTTGTTATTTTGCAGTTCTGAAGGTCAGAAATCTGAAAAACATCTCACTGGGCTGAGATCAAGGTGTTGGCAGGTCTGTATTCCTTTTGGAGGCTCTAGGAAATAGTCCATTTACTTCTCTTTTTCAGCTTCTAGTGGCCACCTGCCTTCCTTGGATCACGGCCCAGTTCCTCCATATTTGAAGCCAGCAATGTCAGGCCACCTCTCTAGTTCCTCTTTTTTTTCACTCTGACTTCTACATTTAAGGATTTTTGTGATTATATACACCTTGGTAATCTAGAATAATCTCACTATTTTAGGGTTATCTGATTAGCAACCTTTTCTCCATTTGAAAAATAATTCCCCTTTGTATGTAAGCTTACATAGTCACAGATTTTAGGAATTAGGATGTGGACATATTTAGCGGGTCATTATTTTGCCTACCACATTTAGTTTCAGGGGGATAAACAGTCCTCATGTCAGCTAATCAGTTAAAGAGGAGGATGTAGGAAGGCCTGTTAACACGTTGAAACAAAGGGGAGAGGGTTATGCTTGGTCTTGTCACAAGTAAACAAGGGAGACATCCACACATCTTACCAATCACAAGGAAGAAAGAACATTGTCTTAGTTAAGTTGTATAACCAAGGATGATTCTTCGTGTTAAACCACTTCTTAAGACACAAAACAGTAGGTTTTTAAAAAATTGTTACTGTTTTCTGGGAGCTCAGGGCTTCGTTTTTTTAAAATAGAAAAAAGAGTAAAATGTAGTAAGAAAAATTAAGAGGCAAATTAAGAAGCAGGAGCAACATAAAGATGCTGGGGCTAAGGCTTTAGACCCAGACCACTGGAATTTGAATTTGTGCTCTCCTACTTGCAAAAATTGTATAATCACGGGCAAGAGACTTAAACATTATACGCCTTAAACTCCTTATCTTTAAAGTGAATATGAAGTATCTGCTTCATAGCATGGTTGAGAGGATTATGAGATTATATATGTAAAATGCTTGTTACAGTGCCAGAAAGATAGTCAAATGTTCAGTTAATGTTATCTATTGTTAATTGATTAATGAATCACTCCAGTGAAATGTCATTGGGTAAGAAAAAAATGTGATGTATATTATGCTGAAAGATTTTTCAGTTTTTAATAGTTGTCAAGTTTTCATGAGTCTGGGTATATGATGGAATAAATAACTTTTTGTCTTTCTCCTCCCTCCACTTTCTTTTTATTTCTTGAGATGCATTCTTGCTCTGTCACCCACCTCAGCCTCCTGAGTATCTGGGATTACAGGCATATGCCACCACGCCTGGCTAATTTTTGTATTTTTTAGTAGACATGGGGTTACGCCATGTTGGCCAGGATGGTCTTGAACTCTTGACCTCAGGTGATCTGCCTGCCTCAGCCTCCCAAAATGCTGGGATTACAGATGTGAGCCACTGTGCCCGGCCCCTCCACTTTTAATAATGCTCCTCACAATAAAGCCCAATCACTGAGATAAGCTTAATTTGTTTTTGATACTTGAATCTTGGAAGATTCTATGTAATACATTGGCATAGTAGCCAAATTGCCAAGACTATATTAAGATTAGGAACTGGCAAGATAGAGGATTAGTTATCTGATGAGGGGCCTAGAATGTTCTTGAACTGGATCAGCTACACAGGAACCTTGATGCTGAGTTCCCCATTAGATTTGTCTTGCAGAGATTAACATCTTCTAGTAGATAAAATTCATTCACATTACTTTCATATGAAAGTAATGTACAGTTGACTGGTGAACAGCACAGGGGCTAGGGGTGCCAACACCCCTGCAAAGTCAAAAATCCATGTATAACTTTTGACTCCCCTAAAACTTAACTACTAGTAGCTTATGTTGACCAGAAGCCTTCCTGATAAAATAAACAGTCGATGAACACATATTTTGTATGTTATATGCTGTATTCCTACAATAAAGTAAGCTAGAGGAAAGAAAATGTTATTAAGAGAATCATAGGAAGAGAATATACATTTACAGTACTGTACTGAATCTCTTGATACCATAGGTTTACATCTTCTGTTTAAAAGATGAGTTAATTGTCTCCTTGAAATTGTACACAACCACGGCTGCAGACTTCAATCTATGGTACATATCAAACAATTCAATTTTTTCTTGTAGCATCGTGACTTTTCTCTGCTTCTTGATAGCCCGTCTAGGATCATTGGTGGCACTTCATTTGGGTTCCATGGTATTGTTGAAACTTTATGGTATTCCACCAAAAACAATGAATAATATCGAAGAACTGGGAGAGATCACTTTTTACTTCAACATGCAATTTACTGGACAGATGGACTGCTCACTGGGAAATTAGTGTCACATGGTGTTCTAAGTGGATCTTGCAACACTTGAGCTCCCACAGTAGCAACAGGAGGTGGCTATGAAATTATTACACTAGTACAGTATGTACTACAGTTGACTTAATGCAGTTACAGTTTAATACTGAATCTACATTTGTTTACATTTCTCTCAACAGCAAATGTCATCATGTATTATCTGTTTTTGTATGCATGAATTTTGATAAATTTTAACTTTTTATAATAATTTTTGTATATTTTATGGTAATAAATGATAAAGTACACTAGTATCTACCTACATTGCATGCATTCACGGCATATCTAACATTTTCTGATTTTTTTTTTATATTTCTAGGGTGCACAGTTTGTCTGTAAGTTTTTTCAAATTGTTGCAGGTCTCCAAAAGTTTTTTTCAATATATTTATTGCAAAAATCCACAGAAAAGTGGACCTGTGCAATTCAAACTTGTGTTGTTCAGGGGCCAACTATAACTGCTTTAACTGGTTGCATTTTTATCAATTTTCTGTAACTTAACTTCTATGTATATAGAGCTAGCTGTAAACTAGCCTAAGTGAATCACAAATCTCATCAGATGTTCCTACCCCCTCCCCAAATAGGATCAGGTAATTCCCAGAATGTCTGCTAGATGATGCTGAATCATCTCTTTTTCCTGTTCCCAAGTCTTGGACAATTTTCCCAACAACTTATAAACAAGTCAGAATTCAGCAATACGGTGTGCAGAGAGAAATCAGGCAGGGTCTTGCAAGTGAATATGGAGAGTCCATTATGAATGATTCAGGACGCACTTCAGGACCAAACTACCCCAAAGGTGATCCCAAACATACTTATTTGAAAATATTGGTTGCTTTGATTCCAAACAAAGTCCATTTTTTGAGCTCATGGCATATTTGAGTTTTTATGTACTTCTATTTTTTTCATTTAACGTTATTTCTTTGACATTTTAAGTAAAATGCATTGTCAGCACATATCCTGAATGATGCTTGGGCCATAAGGTTTCTGTGTCTGAGTCATTTTAGATTCTGCTCTTCTTTCCCATCATAATATTTGTTTGCTAAAATGTTTCAGATTCTTACTTACCTTAATTGTTTCAGGCAACTAAACAAAAGATCTAAAATATTTTTAAAAAGCTTGAATGCATTTCAAAACAATTGACAGTAGAGAGAAGAGTCAGCAAAAGTGGGGCCATCCACATAACTGCCTGACCACAGTGTTTAAGAAGATATTTTTCCTTCTAATTATAGAAATTAAAAAACAAATGCTAGGTAAATTGAAAAAAATATAAAGCTGTCTGTGAATATGCATGCTTATCTAAATTTATACACAATAAGGCAAGACTGACTTTCAAAAGTCAGAAAAATTATGTGGTAGTTTCTCTACTTTAAAGGAAGGTAGGCTTGGGCCCAAGGACTGCAAAGCAGAGATAAGGAACTGCCAAAGAATTCAGAATGAGTCTCTCTCCTGGGTGGTCAGTGGTAAAGCTTCATGTTCATGTGCATATCATGAAATCAATTTTTTCCACTTTTTATTTTTTTTTTTAGAAATTTTTCTTTTATAAGAGAAGCAACATGCCACGTAACTACTTAGATCATGGAAAATAGTAAAAGAGAATAAAGAATAATTCGCACTTTAATCATTATCAGTTCAGCTTATATTTCTGTTCAGAAACTTCTGCTCCTCGGATTTTGATATCCTTTACTCTGGGATCTAGATGTATTTAGCAAACGTTTTGTGGCTATTTAAATTATTTCGTGTACATACAGTTGATCCATAAACAACAGGGGTTTGAGTTGTACTGGTCTACTTATATGGGGCTATTTTTCAACCAAATGGGATTGAAAATACGACATTTGTGGGATGTGAAATCTGAGGATACAAAGGGCCAACTTTTTGTATATGCGGGTTTTGCAGGGCTGACTGTGGGACCTGAGTATGTGCCGATTTTGGTATATGTTGTGGGGGACAGGGAGTCCTGGAACCAATCCCCCACATATACCAAGGGATGACTGTAGTTTTTTTTCTTTGCCCATCTCTGAGATCCTTTCTGTTTTAACATCACAAAATTAAAGATCCATTTGTTTTATAATCTGACCTTGTTTCAGCTCAAAAGGATCTTATAGCCCATGTACTTATTAAAATATGATTATTACTACCATGAGCATTAAAAATAGCTCTATCTTTTCAAAAAAGAAAAATGTGATAGTGTCAGACATAGGCAGTGGGCAAGGTAGTGTCAGTCTGGTTGAATGTGTGTGTGTGTGTGTGTGGAACAGAGGGATGGGGATGAAACTTGATGGGAAAGGAGTCATTCTGGGTTAAGCAATTTCTAGAAGCTATCATTTTTTTTGATGAAATACAAAATGTCTTATGGGGAAAACAGAAGTGGATGTGCAGTAAAATGACTTTTTACAGGCTGCAAACCAACCATTTAAGTTAATACATCAGTTTGCGTTTCCCTGAAGATATTCTAAATACAAATCAGATATGAAAGGGGGTCCAGTTCATTGGCCACAGATGCTCAAAGGAAACCATTGTCACCTCCCTGTAGCCTAGCTGAGACAGAACTTTCCATTACAACTTCTCTTTTCCTAGAGAAAGATCTTTTTCATGCATACTTTTGTTACTTCAACAAAGCTATTGCCCTTCCAGGGTTTCAGTTCCAGCTCTCTCATCTTGCATGGTCCCCTGAAAGCTCTGGGTTACTGAGCTAGCTAGTTCCTTCAAGGCAGCTTTTTCAGCTCATCTTCTACTCTGGTTTGCATCTTCTTCCTTGAATTTTGCTCTTTAAGTCTTTTCCTCACTTTCTTATGAGCTCAATGTTTGCTGTATTTTATGCAGCATTTCTTGGTGATCCTTAGTGTGAGGATTTTCAGGAACTTAATCTACCACACTGTCAGAAATGAAACTGAATGAGTACCTTTCAATCATTATCTTATTCTCTACTCAGCAACACTAGATACAGTTGATGTTCTACCAAAAAGAAAAGGAAAAACAACAAGAAAAAAAGTCGATCTCTCTATTTCTGAGATTGCATGCTTTCCTAATTTCTTTCTATCTACCTGACTTCTCAATTTCACTTTTCTTTACTGGCTCTTTCTCGTTTCTCAAATCTTAATATTGGCCTCCTTTCTCCATCTAGACATATTTTCTAGTTTATCTCATTTGCAAGGAGGATTTTATATAACATCTAGATGGGACTTTTCCGACATTTATTTCTATTCCTAATCTCTCTTTTCATCTCCAGGCACATAGATTAAGCTGTGTATGTGACATTTCCTTTTGGAGGTCTCTAAGACATCTCTCAGCCCCCCTGCCTTCTCTCTTATTGTTACTGCCAGTATTTCCCATCTCAAGAAAAAACATTTCCATCTACCTGATTTTTCATTTTGTAAAGCTGGGAGTAATCCTTGACATTTCTCTCTCCTACCTCCCACTTCAATTCATCAACACCTCTGATCAGCTCTAACTCTAACAAATATATCTAGTCTCTCTCCACGTCTTTCTTAACTCCACTGCCACAGTTTTGGACCAATCCACAATGATCTACCAGATTCCTGGGTCAGTCTTCGTATGTGTTTCACAGTTTCCATTATTTTTCTGTCTGACAGTGTTTACATATTTAATTTTGTTCTGAGTAAAGTACTGTATACTTCAAAATTTTCTAATGTGTGATAATCTAATATGGTTATGTTCTAAATGTCATTATAATTTTGATCATATGTATAAAGAAGGAATTGTTTAAAGAAATTTTTAAATTTCTAAATCACAGTTTTAAATATAAAATTAATATATTTTACAGAGGGGAATTCAAATATTTACATATTTGTATATGTAAATATTTGTGATATATGTGAAGATATATGTGAAGATATTTCCAGTTTTACTCTGGAAAATGAGTCCAGAGTAATTCCTTCTACCCAAAAGACAAACATTTCCAACAGACTTTTAAAAGTATGTTTTCACAAACATGCACAATTTTATAATTTGTAGTTTTTGTTTAAAAATATAGTGGCCTTCTACATCATTCTTTTCAATTCTACTTCATAGCTTTTCGGTTAGAGAACATGTCATAATATTTCTACTCTTTGTTTCCATTAAATGTGAAGAACAACAGTAGGGAGAGTAACAGATGTTTTTGGTTGGCTGGTTGGAGCTGTGCCTTATTGAGATTGATCCGATAGTGGTTCAAACTGGACTGGAAGAAAGACTGAGCAGAAAACCCCATTAGAACACGAATACAGGAAAGACCAATGCAGAAGAGACAGAGAGTCCCAGTGGGAATAGAACAAAGTATCTGAAGTGTGAGTTGTAATTAGTGACTGTATGTGTGAGGGTGGGAGGCAAATGATGCTGTGAGAGGGAGAGGGCAAAGGTGATTTCAGATGTAGGGAGATGTTACCACTAAGAAAATATTCACGGGTTACAAGAAGAAGCAGGGTTGAGGCAGGAGATGATGCAGTAAAAAGTCATGCTGTGCTCTTCCTGGCCTCTCTTTCCCAGTGGAAATGAGTTAAGAAGTGGAGTGTATCTTGTAGTATACTCTATGAGACATACAGTGTCTATCGGATTAGTGATGGCCATAAGGCTCACCCAAACATCTCACAGGGCTAACGCTAAGTGTTACTTAGCAATATGATGCAACCTGGCCCAAGGGTTTCCAACCCTGGCACAGAGATTTCCAGGAGACAAGATTACCTTAGTACTAATGAACTCTCATAAACCTTAAAGCAAAGCTTATCCTTAACAAAAATAGCTTGAACTCCTTTTATGAAAGAAACCCCTGGTAATTGACCCAGACTGACTACAGGTATAAGAAAGGGGGAAGAATCCCCCAAACTCAGAGAATAGTCTCTTATCAGGTTGTCATCTGGCACCGACTGTATCTGACCCATGCTACCGGCCTGCTCTGGCTGTTATCTTTTAAAAACATTGCCAGAATAAACTACCTGAACTTCAGATGCTGTCTAAGACTCATCTTTGAAGCAAATCAACACTGAAGGGGAAAAGTTACCCCTGGAAAAACAGATCACCTAGGACCACCCAAGTGCCTCAAACACAGTGTCATAATTTGTAGGGCAATGTTTCAGTGAATAAATCATATGTCAATGAAGTTTCCTTATACATTTAAAACAGAGTAGATAAAAGGCATAACAACTCACCAATTGAGAATTAGGTTACACATTCCCTTTGAAATATTTTATAAATATCAACTTCCTTCCCTGTGTTTCTTAGCATACATGCTTTCTAAAATCACAATGCTGAAAATCACTGTGGTTAATTTAACCAGGACCCATTCTGAATAAAAGTGTGGACTGTAATGTTATAAGGTCACCTAAAATTATACTCAGAGAAAATAATTTCACTTAATAACATACATACTTGAAATACTTAATTACGTACTGATTTAAACACATTTAATGCAGTAACTGTAGTTTATAATTACATGTGGTAATAAATGTGAAGAAGGAAAAGATCATAATTATTTTCTTCATGAAATCATTCAGCAACCTGTTGAGACTTAAAAATCCTTAGATGTGTAGAAATAGAATGGGGTACTGTTAATAAACCTGGGTATAATTTATCCTATTTCTGTATTGTTTCACAAGGAGTAAATTCTGCACTGTTGACATGGAATATATGATAAGTATGTAGTTATATTTAAAATAGACATACATATACATATATTATGTAGAAAAATGAAAATATAATTACCTAAATTTTGTAATAATGATTTATCCCAGCAATTACTCTGCATGGAAGAGAGAATGGCACATTGCAATACCACTGATCCTGAGCTCATAAATATTGAGGTGACGTCCTGAGACTTTATAAATAAGAAAGACATTCTCTATCTCTTTCATCCCATAATATATAATTTCAGTCTCCCATTTAGATATCTGAAGTGATTACATTATCTCATTCTTTCTAAAGTCTACATTGTTCTCAATATATTGATTTTATATACTATATACTTTACATACACTACAAGCTAAATATATACTGTAGATTCTCATTACAAGTTAACTTAGAAATGGCTTAACTCCACCATTTTATGTAACTCACAACACTGTAGGCATCAAGGCAATCAAAACCTAGAATTAAAAGTGAGAGGAGTAAAAACCCTTCAGGCAAGCAGGAATGTTGTAAAATTTTCACCTGTTCCTTATACATTGCTTGGCCTTTCTTAGTTGTCAGAAAGGCAGAATAGTATAAATGGCTAGGACTGTGTCTATAGACTCTTATTTTGTTCCTTAGAAATTTTGGCTCCTGAAAGCTCATATACAAAATGATAACTTTCAAGACTGGAAGCATAAAATCATTCATAGTGCGTCTGTGCACAATCTAAGTGACATTTAAGGTACCTTTGCTTTGTGTGCTGGGTTTAGAGCTCTGCCTTCATGAAGGACAGATGCCACTGTACTTTTTGACAACTTTTCTCTCAGAAAGTGGAGATCAAAGGGCAGTCTACCTCCCCTCACACTCTTTGCCCTGTAGGGTCAGTTTAAAGAATTTCCCAAATGTGTTCCTCTACCTGAAAGGCAGATTCTGCTGTCAGCAGGTGCTTCTTAGCTCCTGACCTTAGGATGTGGGTTGGAGGCTCTCTATTCAATTTTCCTGCCTTTTTTTGTCCTGGCGCTTCTCTTTACCTTATTTTCCACTATTGACCCAAGTGGAATATTGCCTGAGGCATAAGTGGTATTGGAATTTTTATGCTTAGGGCCATAATAGGAAGCTTTAAAGTTGTAACTAGGTGATTAAACATAAAATAATTTAAAGCAAGCACATAAGTGTACAGTGCAATTTTAATTTAGCAATTCCCTCCCTTTTTCTAACCTCAAATAGGTATAAATTTTACTCAGAAGAAAAACAAATGTTTGCTTGAACCTGCTGAGTTTCTGCAGCTCCCTTCCTGGGCATCCATCTCTTTCCTTTATAGCAGAACTTCTAGAGTAACTGAGAGTTTTCTGTTATGGCAAAGTAGGGAACAGACCCACACAGGTTCTAAAGTTAGAGCAATTGGGTTTAACACTCATCTGCAGCTGAGTAAGGGAATTTGGGTAACCCCCTTAATCTTTCTGTTCCTCATTTTTATCTGCCAAATGGAGACTATCAGGACAACTTCCATACGGATTTATTTTTTAGCAGCTTTGTTGAGCTTTATAATAAACATAGAACTAACTGCACATATGTAAAACTACAATTTGATAATTTTGGGCATATGTATATGTGCCTAAAACCATTACTACTTGACAGAGTCTTGCCTCTTCACAGGTTTTATGAATAAAGTACATAAAGCCCTGAGAAGAGTCTTATAAAGTGTTAAAAATAGTAGTTATAGTTATATTCATTTTTATTCGTCAACACCTCTAAGATTTCCCTTCAATTCTACTGGAATTATTCCTGCAAATGTTATCCATGACCACCTTGCCAAATCCAATGACATTTCTCTGTTTTTATTCTCCTAGAAATTTCTGCTCTATTAAAGGTTTCTATGAAGAATTCATCATGGAATTAATATTATAAATACCTAACAGTTTTGGAGTGAAGATTACAACCAATCACTGTGACTACTGAGAATGACATAAAATATTAAGCAGAAAAATTAATTAATTACTGAACAATGCGAGCATCTGAGATGTGCTAGATACTGGGGATAAAAAGACAAGCAGACCTAGTCCCTGCCTGCTAGCAATTCTGAACAATAAATGAGAAAAATACATTTAAGTACACATTAATGTAATATAACAAAGGTTATAGTAGATTTATAGGTAAAATAATGGAAGCATTCAAAAAATGGGTCATTATGCCTTGGAGAGTCAAGAAGTCTCCATGGAAGAATGGATATTTAAGCCAGTTCATTAAGGGTGAGTAAAAGTTCATCACGTGGATAAGTTAGCAAGTTCAATTAGCAGAAAAATAATTAGCCAAGGTATAAGTGTGTTGGAATGCTGCTGGGAGTTTGTTGTAGTTTAAGGGATAGAACATGTGAAGTAGCCTGGAGATGAGGTTAAAAGACTGGGTTGCGACCAGAATTTAATAGCTGTGTGGGCCATTCAAAGTATTTTGAGGGTTTCTTTCTGTAAGTCCTAGGAAGTTATTGAAGGTTCTGAAGCAAAGGCATACCGTGAGTGGCTTTGTGTTTGAAAAGTATGCTATTGATGCCATGCAGAAGAGAAACTGGGGGTTGGAGAAAATAGGGTGGAGGTAGGTGAACAGTTACGCCACTGCTATGGCTGATTGTTCAATCTTTTGATAAAATGAGACTGAATTAAAGCATAGGTTGTGGGTAGACAAGTGGGGCAAAAGTATAGCAGAGGTTGAGTCAATAAGATTTAAAGAGAGGGTGAGGAATTTAAGGCATGGGAGAAGATGAAGATGATTTTGAATCTCATTTGGAAATTTGAATTGATGGTAATGTTATTCACCAAAATATGAAAATCAGTGCTACAGTTGATTCACAGAAGTAATAATTAATTATATCATGAAATACATTCATATTATTCATAACCTATATACTGTATATTTTAAGAAATATTTGCAGAGATGAAATTTTGCTGTTTTTGTGTGTTGCAAAATTTAAGAACATCAGCAAAATAGATTTGCTTTATAATATAGCCTCCCATATTTTTCCTAGTGCAAGAAATTTAAATAAATTACACCTTGGTAATATCTTTTTATTTTTAAAATTAGGCATCATTAATACTGAAACACTGTCCTTATGGTTCAAACTCTGCCCTCATCTTATTGGTGAGGCTCATCTTACAAAAATACTGCTGTGCCCACTCCTTAGACTTGCCATGTATTAACTCTACAACAGACTTTGCCTTTGGCTGTCATGCTTGAATTTTCTGTTCCTTTCCTCAAGGCCGTGTGCCTTGACTCTGTATGTTCTGTGACAACAACGTTCATTGATGTCTTGATATTGTGTCAGGTTTTATCAAGAACAAAGGAAAGGCAATGCATGGACTCAACTTCCCTTTGACGTTGCTGTGCTGACTTTACCACATGCTTCTTAACTGGTGACAGTAATAACTGAGGGAGTGGAGGGGTAGTGCTAGGGAGCAGAATGTTCCCTGTCAGAATTCTGCCACGAGTTTAACCTGTGACCTTAAGAGAACTGTTTTGCCTGATCCTCAATTTCATTATCTGTTTTTTTTTTGAAAACATCTCTGCTCTCTCTAAAACTCTAATCTCTAAAGGTCTGGATGGATTGAATTTCTATTTGTTTTGTTTCCAACTGCTTCTAGAACACTGCGTTTAAAAATATCTCAGTTAAGGCCGGGCGCGGTGGCTCACGCCTGTAATCCCAGCACTCTGGGAGGCCGAGGAGGATGGATCACGAGGTCAGGAGATTGAAACTATCCTGGCTAACATGGTGAAACCCCGTCTCTACTAAAAATACAAAAAAATTAGCTGGGCATGGTGGCGGGTGCCTGTAGTCCCAGCTACTAAGGAGGCTGAGGCAGGAGAATGGCGTGAACCCGGGAGGCAGAGGTTGCAGTGAGCCGAGATGGCGCCACTGTACTCCAGCCTGGGCGACAGAGCGAGACTCCGTCTCACAAAACAAAAACAAAAACAAAACAAAAAACTCAGTTAAAAGGCACTATTAGGAGAGAACTAATGATTTGATTGATACACAAGATATTTTGAACAAATTATTGGAATATATGATATTGTTTGAGTTTGTGTCCCTGCCAAAAATCTCATGTTGAATTGCAATCCCCAGTGTTGGAGGGGGGCCTGGTGGAAGCTGATTGAATCCTGGGGGCAGATTTCCCCCTTAGTGCTGTTCTCCGGATAGTGAGTTATCTTGAGATCTGGGTGTTTGAAAGTGGCCCCCTCCCACCCCGCCTTCCTCCTGCTCCAGCCATGTAAGATGTGCCTGCTTATCCTTAGCCTTCCGCCCTTATTTTAAGTTTCCTGAGGGCTCCACAAAAGCAGAAGCCACTATGCTTCCTGTACAGCCTGCAAAATCATGAGCCAATTAAAGCTCTTTTCTTTATAAATTACCCACTTTCAGGTATTTCGTTACAGCAGTGCCAGAATGGACTAATACAACTACGTTTAGAATTTGTAGTAAAAATAAGACTCTTTCATGTGAAGATGAAGATTCATCATGAGCCCAGACTGCTGCATAAAGGGCAACTGGAAGCTGAGCCGTAACAGCCATGTCATTTTGATAGTGTCCAATTAGGCAAGAGCTGTAGAGCTCATCAGAGGGTAATTTGAAGCAGATGCCTGCATTAAGACACAGATGTGGGACATTTTTCAATAGCAATGAAACGTGTATGGTACAGGATAGCTGATGGCTTCATCATCATTTTTCTTTCCATGGAATTACAGTGGTAAAATGCACTAACATTCAGCTGTTAGGCTCTTGTTCTCCAAACAGCAGGCTGTCCTCCAGGTAGGCCTACCTTCAGAGCTGAGGTCATTACATTTTGATTTATTCAATCCTCGTGTCCTTTTCACAATCTGATATCTCATATCCCAGATGTGGAAGTAACAATAAATTTCTGAGTGTAGTACCCAGAGTTTTACCATATAGAACCAGAAACAGATGGGCAACATTGATAACCTGGGAATCCTGTCTGGCAAAACAGTGCTCTCTCATTGCTATTGCTGAGAGTTTAAGTGGATAATTTCTGAGCATCAAATGTCAGTACATCTTAAAGCTGGGCTTAGTAGATCTAACACTTCTCTTTTCACACACACAGATTTGTTTTCTGGTCTTTGTTCTAGTTACTTTGAACAGGAAACTGAAGCTTCACAGTTTCTTCCATGTGAATAGTAGCATTCTTTTTGGATGCTGAACTTTGGAAATATTTCTAAATCATTTCTATCTCCCTAAATGTCTGTCTTTTCACAACCAAACCGAGTGTATGAATGGTACGTGTGTGCTAGATTATGAATTTGGTGAAGGCAGTAAATGTTAGTGTTAGCAGCAGTATAATAAACGTTAATGTGTGCACAACAATTGAATATAATTTCAAAAACAGGATATAATCTATTTAAAGTTCTCTGAGAAAGTTGATTTCTGATGGAGAGGATTGGAAGAGTTGGCCAGGTGGAGAGAGTTTTTTCAGATGAGTTACATCACAGCAAGGGTTCATAGACAGGATTTAACCTAATTTGTTGGAAAGTTCTGAATTCAAGGGAGAGAAATTGTTGAAGTAGGGTAAGAGATCAGAGTAAAGAGAAAGGAGATGTCATCTTTATTTAATGGAGAACTGTAGAAATCAGACAAAAAATAACTTACAGTTTCATCAATAGCGGAGTGGCATACTGAAAGCATTGCAGAGTGATGAAGATCACAGCCTAGGATTCTGAGAGACTAGGGTACAAATCTTGGTGCTGTGACTTCATTGCGGTAAGACCACATGCAATTGACCTGATGTCTCTCAGTCTTAGTTTCCTTATCTGTAAAATGGATACAATGTCAAGTAGCAATGACTTGGATCTGCAGTGGGAATTAAGTCTGATTATGCGTCTAAAGTACTTGGTAAATCCTGGCCCAGAGAAAGGATTCAATATATGTTAGTAATAATTCTTATTGTCTGGCAGCCAGAGGCTGATTGTATTGGACTGGACAGAATGACCTTCTTTCTGAGCCTTTTCAAGGTTTTCCAAATTAAATAGGCTCTGATTCATTTCATGATGTTTATTGCCTTTCCTTAAACTTTAAGGTGTTCTTTTTGTATTGAGAGGGCTCCAATTACCGACAGTAGAATCAAGGTGATTACTAAAGCTGTTGAAGGCACTTTCTCTCTCGTGTGTGTGTGTGTATGTGTGTGTGTGTGTGTGTGTGTGTGTGTGTGTATCTGGTTGAAATGATCCATGATGTTCATTCTCTTGGGAAGGCAATTGGCTTTTTAGCATCAGTATTACAAAGTGATCTCATATACAAGTTATCCAGTATAACCAGACTCTTTTGAAACATTATTTATTTGCAATGGGAGAATGGGTTTCCATTTTATATCTCAGCTGCTGCTGATTTTTCCCCAGGTAACTTATCCTGAGGTGTATGTGTTAAATCTCATCTCATTATATCTGCCAGTCTCCCCGAGCTTGTCATTTGGCAATGCAGTCATCTCTCCTGTTTACTTTTCTCTTGTTTAGAATTATATGCACATTTCATTGATGTTAGATTTAAATCACCTGATGCTTCAAAGTGATGGTTTATGTCGAACCCACTCTTAGGCAAATTCTAAGGCTATGCCAATGATTGATGCAGATGACTGTCAAACTCTTTTCATGGATTCAGTCCTTCTTATGCATGGCAAGCTTTCCAGATAAAACCAATATACTTTTTAATACATTTCTGAAAACAAAATTCACTCATTTATTATTTCGTTTATTCATCATTAGTTCATTATGTATTGTAAAGCAAGCAATTTGCTAGGTCCTGCAAATTCCTCCCATCAAATGCTAAAATTTTAGTGAGGGAGAAAAGCCTGTAGCAAATAATTCTAATACAGCATGGTAATTATTACAACAGAGGCATAAAGACATGCTGTACCAAGCCAGGGTGGGCAGAAATTAACTTTTGAGTTATATTTTGAGTTGGGCTTTAAAGACCTAAAAAGAAGAGGAAAATTTATTTTCATAGTCCGTAGTGATATATATTTAACATTGTATATTTAATAATAAATATAATTTCTTAATACATACAAATACATACCCAAACCAGTATATTTCAGCTGCACACACACACGTGCGCATTGTGGTTGAGTGAATTTTCTTTTCCCAATATATCAGGACTTATTTATACACAAGCTTGTCTTAGGATATACAGAAGCTAAGTGATAAATTATACAGTCCACAGCACTAGTCTCCATCTAGAATTTGCACCTTGTTTTCAGTTATCACTTATTCATTAAAGACCCTCCCTCCTTCCTGTATTTGCAACATTACACTTATATGGGCACAATAGGAAAAGCCACTGCTTTCTCATTGTAGCTTCTCTTCTTGGTATGAGGCCAGATGTTTCCTGAACCTTTTTCCTATGCCTTTTGGACTTTGACTGCCTCTTTAGGGTCCAATCACTGTTTTCCTCTAGCTCTTCTATTTGGACCACCTTCTAAGGTCTTCTCACAAAGTGGCTTCTTATCTCAGCACAGAAAGCAGAAGCAGAGGTTCTATTACTGTACTTTTTATAAGATGGTAAGGGAGTTTAACCTCCAGTCTGCTGAGGCTCTGTTGGGACCTAAGCTGTCTCTATGTAGACAGATGTCTCAATTATTACAGTATTAAATTACTAATTGGAAAATCAGCTTGCTTTTAAATAACACTAACAGATTTTTTAAAAATCACATGTATAACAACGTTTAAGAACTATCCAAAGACATTATAAAGATCTGGAGGTGGAGTTGACAAATTTTTTATGGATTCAATGGGCAGTATGTGAGGAAACGAAGAAATCAACATCAGCCCCTTGGTTGCTGGCCTGACCAATTGAGTGGTGGGTGTTAATGTTAACAGAGGTGGTAAAGATGGAGGGAAAAGGCTTTTTGATGGAGAAGGGTGAAATCAAAAGCTTTCTTTCAGATATGTTAATTCGAGGTATCCAATAGATATCCAAAAAGTGATGTTAGATATTGCTCTCTGTCTCTGTCTCTCCCTCTGTCTCTCCTCTCCCTCTTTCATCTCCTTCCTTGACAAATCAAAACATTATTACACTATGCTGGCAAAAACATTAGCTTTAGAGATTAAATCCTGGCTGTCAGTCTCTATTTATGCGATCTAGCACATTTATTTAACCTCTCACAGACTTGGTTTCTTTAGATACAAAATAGAAATAAAAATGCATTATTCATGGGCTTGTTTATGATAATTAAATGACAATTAGATGAACTAAATTATGTTAAGTACCTGGTACATAGAATATGTTTAATATTAATGCCCTCCTGACCACCATCCTCCCTCTTCTATGTATCTTTGTAGAAAGATAAATGAAATTTGGGCATAATATCAGATATTCTGTATTCCTCTTCCAATACAAAACTAGAGCTTCTTGAAATACTCAGGTTTAGAAGAAGAAGGTAATGGCATTGACACTCTACAGCTGTGGTATTCATGAAAATTGGAAAAACAAATTAGTATTATGTATTGGAGACATTATTTTATAATAAATCTAGTACTTTTCTCCCAAATAAGCATGGTAGCTTGAAGTATTAGGCCATGTAAGCCCTAAAGAAACAATTTTAGCCTGCTGACTGCCTAGCCTGAACAAATAATGATCACTTAACAAATAGACTAATTTGTGGTCCTGAAAGAAGTATTTGCTCCGAGGAAAGGGGTACTAGAATCACAGGCAAATAAATACACATTGCATCAGGTCCTATTTTCAACATCTATTCCAGGACTATGAACTACAGCCATGGTTATTATCTAATATTAGAGAACAACTTATTGATGATTTTAATTATCCAAGGGGTAATTGAGAAATGGATGGCATAATATATAACAGGAACCCAAGAGATGTTTTTTTCATTTGTGTATTTCACTCACATTATCATTTAGACATTAATGATTTCATCTTATGAACTTAAAACTTTTAATAAGTGGACATTATTTTCATAGCTTTATGGTCAAAACACAGTTTCTAAATTATGCCTGTATAGTGGAACAAAAGTGATGAACTCTTCTTATTTTAAATGAAATGTGTTTTAAAGGGATTAGAATTAAATTATCACTTTTAAGATAATATCAGTTTAGGGGGTTGGCAGGTAGGAGAGTACCAGGTTATTAAAAAATAATTTGAGCTTGTAACTGCCATTATATGAGATACTTCTCTAATGGATGTCCAAAATACACAAGGGAGAGTGGTGAGTGAAGTTTTAATATGTTGATGCCTCAAACGTTTAATCTAGTTTGGCCATAACCAAAGGCTTTAGGAAGCCAGGATTATTTGGAGTGGAATTAATAGGTGAGCAGACTTTAAAAAATGAGAAATTTTAAATTATATTATAAAATTGCTAATGGTATGTGGTTGGTATAGAAAATTTGAAAAAAAAGAAAACAAACCATAAACCTTTATACTGAACAAAATAAAACATTGTCTATAATTCCATCATCTTGGAAAGCTCACTGATAACATTTAAACACATTTATTTTGAATAAAACTTTCCCTTATATATGAATAGAAAATGTATTTTTGTATAATTGTAAACTGTATTACATGTCCAATTTAAAAAATTATTCTAAAATAATGTGTCATTAATATTATTGTTAAATAGTTTTGTAATACATTTTGAAAAATTGAGCAATGTGCTGCCAGATAGACTGGTATCCCATAATTTAATAATCTCCTTATCAAAAACTTAAGGTCTTGTGTTTTTATTTTTTATTTTTCAATTTTAATTTTTATTTTTTTTTTGAGATGGAGTCTCGCTCTGTGGCCCAGGCTGGAGTGCAGTGGTGTGATCGCGGGTCACTGCAAGCTCTGCCTCCCAGGTTCACGCCATTCTCCTGCCTCAGCCTCCTGAGTAGCTGGGACTACAGGTGCCGCCACCATGCCCAGCTAACTTTTTTGTATTTTTAGTAGAGACGGGTTTTCACCGTGTTAGCCAGGATGATCTCGATCTTCTGACCTCGTGATCCGCCCGCCTCGGCCTCCCAAAGTGCTGGGATTACAAGCGTGAGCCACTGTGCCTGGCTAGGTCTTGTGTTTAAATGATAATATGTTGTGGTGGTGTGTAAGATTTCTAATTTTTTTAAATTAATTATTTATTTATTTCTTTATGGTAGAGATGAAGTCTCTCTATGTTGCCTAGGCTGGTCGTGAACTCCTGGGCTTATGTGATCCTCCTGCTTTGGCCTCCCAAACTGCTGGGATTATAGGTGTGAGCCACGACACCCAGGCACAAGATTTCTAATTTTAGAAATGGGCCTAGAGTGGAAACAGTTGAGGTAACTACAACTGTTTTTAAAATTGTGGAAATGAGAATGTTCAGTGTATATTTAAGAAGCAACTAATAGATTTGTTTGGGCTGTGATATGTAAGCTTTTGTAGGAATTATTGCTCCTGGGTTGGGGGAGATCCAATGAACCTTACATTTTAGGTTCAGGTGTTTAGAGTCTGGGGAGGCACTGCAGTCTGTGCATAGCGCTGAGACATATTCAGAGCAATGATTCAGGACAATTCCCCTGAAAGGAGAGTGTGGGCGTAGATTGGAAGGGGAATCATGAGGGGGAAGAGACAAGAGAGAAGGTTATTTTAACAGTGAAATGCAAGATAATGAGGGTTGGAACCTGGGTGATGGCTGTAGGAAGGGAAAGAAAAAGACAGAGAGAAAGGTTCCTTAGCATTTGCTATAGTGTTCTTTGCTTAATGCAAATTAAATACATTTGGGGGGGATACTCAGCATGGATATTACTAGCCATTTTCTTACTGAGTGCTGCTAAAACTAGAAAGTGCAATGTAATGGCACTGCTAAAATGAAACTGTTTTCCTTTAATAATGCTGCAGTCTCATTACATGAAATAAACCAATGTCATTACAGTTCCAATAGTTTAGAATGACCTGCTGAAGTTTTTTTTCTTGTTTTTTTATTTTTCCACATTTCAAAGACTGTTTGATAGACCTGGGGTTTTAAATAATCTGTACTGTTGTTTCTGTATAAATAATAGATCAATTGTTTGCAGTTGATGTTTTGCTAGTTCTGTTTTCCTGTCTAATGAATGCCTGAGTGTTTCCGGGCATGTGGTGATTTAAATTGTTTATTAAGATGGGTGAAATCATTGAATGTTGTTCTGTTTGTTTTACTAATAATGCTTATCAAAAATTGTTTCTAGAACCACAGTTGTTTAAGAGAAGAAAAGTATAATAATATTGTGGGAGAAGGCCTGGGGTTAGATTCAAGAATGTCATATTTAAGGCTAACTCTGCCACCATTCCTTCTTAGGCAAGGCACTTAACCTCCCTGTCCTAAGTTTCTGTACCTCTAAAGCGCCTTGTACTACTAGTTCAGAACCATAGCTGTCACTGTGGTGCTACTCTTACTGTTACTGTTACCGGTGGCAGAGACCCGAATCACCCTGAGTAACCAGCGGCAGATTCGTACCAGTCGGCAGCAACTTAAATTCTTGCCTTCTCGGAAGAAAGAATTTGACTGAGGTGCATAAAGCAGAAAAAGAGACCGAGGTGAGTTGCAAAGCAGGAGTAAAAGTTTATTAGAAAGGCTTTAGAGCAGGAAAGAACCCTTGGAAGAAATCCAAGTGAGTGCCTGAAAGTCAAAGAGAGAAAAGAGAGGCCTTTAACCTTGATCCTGGGACTTCATAGGCTCTCCTCTTTCCCATGATTCCTCCCTTAGGGTGGGCTTTCTGCATGCACGATGCTCTCCTTACCCTTGGGAATTGAGCACGCTCGGTGTGTGTAGGGAGTTGCATGCATGCCCATGCCCGTCTGAGGCTTTCTTCCTTTTTCTGGTGGAGTGTACCGGGAAGATCATACTTTGCCATTTTGTCTCTTAATGTGCATGCCCAGGAAGTTGCTTCTTTCTGGGCCCTGCCTTTAATTAACACTTTAATGTTAACAGGTGTGGACCATCAGGAAATGGCCGCTCCCTGGTGCCAGCTGCCAGTTGATCACTTTTAGAGAGGCAATGTGATAATTTGCCTAAACATCACCAGACATTTCTAGTGGGTTGGGGAGAAGAGCCCTCTCCTGCCCCGCTGATGACTAACTACCTGTAACATTACTACTAATTATGTACCTCCCACCCCCTTTTATTTGGTGGCCAGATACATTCCTTTGAGGGACTTTACGTGTATTACTTTCAACCTCTATGTCAACCTCATAAGATAGGAAAAATTATTTCTATTTTATTGATGAGAAGACCAAAGTGCAGAGAAATTAAGCAGCTTTCTCAAGGAAAGTGGTGGTTCTGGAAGTTAAACCCATGTCTGTCCACATTGCCTTGGTAAAACTCTAAAAGGAGTAAGTTGAACCTGCTCTGCAACCAAAGAGCTAAGAGGAGCTAAACCTTATGGAGTTCAGAGCAGAGGAGCAGAAACCCTTTTCCCCTTTGATTTTGCAGGTGGGAAAAGACAGCCTGATCTTCATGGTATCTGGGCTGTGGTGTTTCTAGCTTTTATACCAAGTCTTCAGATCTTTTGGATCCGATTCTCTATATTTACATTCCTTATTAACATTCACTCTTAAAGATGGAAATGAGAATTTGGGACTTCATAAATGCTAGTAAATTACACAAATTCTGAATGTGATTTCTTCCCATGGTACTATTTTAACATAGGTGACCTCTAATTTGCCGGAGTACCAGGCTAGACTGTATGTTTCCCAAACAGAGGCATCCTGTTTGTCTTGATTTCTGTTTTATCCCTCAATAAGTATTTCCTGAATAAATAACTTAATAAATACAGAATATAGACTCTTGAGCTGGTCATTTGATTAATATGTTTGGTTAAACCTAAACAATTTTGCTATGAAACTATTCTTCTCCAAACTGAAATAGAAATGCATCAAAGAGGGAAACAGCTAAAAAAATTTGAAATGCAATCCAATTTTTATTAGTGTTTTATAGAAATGGGCTTAAAATGCTGTTAGGCAAATGTATATTACAAACAATAGACAAGAAATTAAGTTTTGATTCTTAAAGTTTTAAATACCTAAACACATCTGTAGATGTAGCTGTGGGGACACTTTTATGAGACAAGAATATTTGTGCAGTAAAATTAAACATTCTTGTAAAGAAGTATTTTTTTTGTGTATAAGACTATATATAATTTCACAATTCAGGTGGCATTTGAATAATTACCTTTGAAAAGTAAAATAAACAACTTTTTAAAGATTCAGGACCAAAATTTGAATGAAAGAAGTGAGAGAATCTTCTAACATCTATTTATTTTCCCCTTTTTAATCCTAATTTTCCTGCACTTCCTTTTCATGATTTTAAAAAATCAACCGTTTAGTTGAAATTCATTGATAATTTAGTTCTTTTTCCAGTTTAGAGTACAATTAAAAACCGTTCTTGGTGTAATCCAAGGCACCGCTTTAATAAATATATAATCACTGCATCATGAAGCCAGAGTAGCAATGCGATCTCTGAACTTAAAATGACACAGAAAATTGAGTTTATTGATATGTAAGTCTAGAGGAAACCCTAAGTAATTTTGTAGGAATAGTTTAGCTTTTAAGAAATCTCTCTTTGCTGAAATTTCAAGTAGTGTAATACTTATACAGGTAATTTCAGGTTAAATTAATGCTGTTTCAGGTATAGCAGGTAAAATATGTTCTTAATACATGTTTATTCAATAAATGAGGTCTTTGAGTCTGATTTGAAACTCTCAATCTTAAAGGCATCTTTCGTTGTTGTCTTAAGGCGAAGTTCTTTGGCTGAACAATTCTAAGTTATCTGTTTTATTCTTCTCATCCTGACTCAGCTGAGATCGTGGATATAATGCTGTTCTCACAAAGCTGCCCCTTGTTCCTCTGTGAAAAGCAGTGGGAACCCCTCCAAGGAGACAGAGGGCATTACTGTTCCCTAAGGAGAAAGACGACCGATCAGCCCTGGTCAAATCTTTGCCACACAACTTTAGTTGCTTGCTTAGATGTTTGCCTCTTTGATGGCAATATGAAAATGACTATATGAAACATGACTTTTTTCTCACAAAGCTGGTGCACAAAGCTCTACCACTCATCTCAGCTGGACTCAGTGCACAGGGGCTATAGTACACAGGACTAGCTACAGAGACATTTGAACTTTAAAAAAAGTTCTTTTTCAGGGAGAGTAAATTGGCCTTCTTGATATGTGCATAAGCACAATCAATCATATCAGCCTGGCTGGTTGCTTTTTTTTTTCCTTCTTTTTTTATTTTTGGTTGCTCATTTTTGATCTCTGAATCGCCCACCCTTTGCATTTAAATTAAGGTAATGCAGGATTTAGCAGCTTCCTAGATACAGATTGTTTGAAAGACCATAGATCGACAACAAAAGTAACACTTGGAAATTAAATTTGTGAGGGCATCAGAAGAGGAAGGATTTAGGTGGAGTACAATTTCACTTCTTTGTAGGCTAGTCAATTAAAATATCATATGATGGCTTCAGTATACTTTGGTCAACTTGCCTAAAAAGTCTGAATCTATAGTTCATCTTATTTCCTTAATCTAAAATTATAAACACACTGATGACACAAGCTTCCATTTAACTTTACCATTTCTGTCTCATACCATATCTAGCAGCTATTTCCTATGCTATTTTGCCACTATGGTGGGTACCTTCCATTTGTCCCTCCAGCTTCGCAATCCCATTTTCTCTACTCTACTATGTACTCTGTGGGCACCTGACTTTAATGGACTGCCTCAACGTGCTTGCTTGATGCTAGGTGGATTTGGACAATGGAAGGCATAAGCATGAGAGTAAAGGGTGGGAGGGCAGTAGAGTTGAGATCTATATTTCCTGTCTCCCTCTGATTGACCAAGGTTTGGATTTGGCTGCTTTCTTCCATGAAGGCGATAAGTTCTGTCAGACAGCTCTATCTCCATATGGATCTCTCCAGGTATTACTAAGTGTTAACTGTTGAGTAGATGGAAGTGAAATCTGGGAAGAAAAATTCAGTATTAACTATTGCCAGGTATGGACTTCTCGTGGTTTGATAGGTCTAAGCCTGTCTTAGAGGATAATTATATTCTTGGAAATACATATTGCTGGGTCCAGTCTGGCTTGAGAAAGGGAGGGCCACTTTACTGTCAGGCCAATTTATGCAGGAGGATATAACCTACCCTGCAGAGAAGGGAGACAGAGAAACATATATGGAACAAATCCCTACCAGAATTACTCCTGCTCTTGGACAGAGTGAGTGGTTAAAGATGGGATCATAATCCATTGTCTCAATATGTGGCCACTCTGGAACTATTTTCCACTGTGCTCAAAATGTTTACTATAAAAACATTATTGTTATTATCAAAACATTATTGTGTATTTGTTTCGTAGGGTCCTAGGGATGCCACACAAATTACCACAAACTTGGTGGCTTAAAACAAGAGATTTATTATCTCACAGCTCTGGGGACTAGAAATCCAAAAGCAGTGTGTCAGTAGGGCCATGAGGCCTCTGAAGGCTCTAGGAAAGAATTCTTCCTTACCACTTCCTGGCTGCTGAAGGCTTCTAGCAATCCTTGGTCTTCCTTGGCTTATAGCTGCATCATTTCAACCTCTGCCTCTGCCTCTGTCTTCACATGGTCATCTTGTCTAGGTATCTCTGTATGTCTTCTCCTCTTCTTATAATGACCCTAGTCACTGGATTTAGGGTAAACTCTAAATTAGCATGACCTCACTCTAACTTAACTAATTAGATTTGCAAGGGCCCTGTTTCCAAATAAGTTCACATTCTGAGGTTCTAAGAGGACATGAATTAAATAGGAACACAATTTAACCTGGTGCAGGTCACTACCCACAGAAGAACTGACCAAGAAGAGAGAGATCTATCCAATCAATTGCATCAGCGAACACATTGCCTTTTTTCCTCAGGTGAGTTTGAGATAGGCTTTCATCAAATATGTCTCCATCCATGCCTTCAACATAGTTTCTTATTCACTTAATAAAATTTTGACAATTTAAAAATGTGTGTGTATGTAAGCACAAACAATTACGTTGGTGGAATTGTAAATTGGTACAGCTATTATGAAGAACACTGTTGAGGTTCCTTGAAAACTAAAAATAGAACTACCATATGATCTAGCAATCCCAATTCTGAGTATGCATCCCCCCTTCAAAAAAAATGAAATCTGTATCTCAAAGAGATCTGCGCTTCCTTGTTCATTACAGCCGCATTCATAGCAGCCAAAATACAGAAACAATCTGTCTGTCGACAAATGAATGGACAAAAAAACAAATGTGTGTGTGTATATATATATGTGTGTGTGTATGCAGTATGTGTATACATTTATATACACACACATACAGTCATGCTCCATATAATGATGTTTCATTCAAGAACAGACTGCATATATGACAGTGGTCCTGTAGATTATAGTACTTGATAAAAATAACAACTATGTTACTAGCTTATAAATTTAATATAGTATAATTTTATTGTTATTTTAGAATATACTCCTACTTATGAAAAACAAACTGTAAAACAGCTTTAGGCAGGTCCTTCAGGAGGTATTCCCCAGAAGAAGGCATTGTGATCATAGGAAATGGCAGCTCCGTGAGTGTTAGTGTCCCTGAAGACCTCCCAGTGGGACAAGATATGGAGGTAGAAGACAGCAATGTTGATGACCCTGACCCTGGGTAGGCCTAGATTCATTGTTTGTGTCTTCATTTTTAGTAAAAAATTTAAAAAGTAAAAAAAAAAAAAAATAGAAGGAAGCTTATAGAATAAGGATATAAAGAAAGAAAACAATATTTTTGTACAGCTGTACAATGTATGCTTTAAGCTATGTGTTATTACAAAAGATTCAAAAAGTTACAAAAAATTAAAAAGTTTATAAAGTAAACAAGTTACAAGAACCTAAGGTTAATTTATTATTGAAGAAAAATAACATTAAAAAATTGGGTGTAGCCTAAGTGTACAGTTTCTATAAAGTCTACAGTAGTGTATAGTAAAGTCCTAGGCCTCCACATTCACTGAGCACTCACTCACTGACTCACCAAGCACAACTTCTGGTCCTGCAAGCTCCATTCATGGTAAGTGCCTTATGCAGGTGTTCCATTTATAATCTTTTATACTGTATTTTTACTTTACCTATCCTATGTTTAATATGTGTAGATACACGAACACTTACCATTGTGTTACAATTCTCTGCTGTATTCAGTACAGTAACATGCTGTATATGTTCGTAGCCAAGGAGCAATATGCTATACAATGTAGCCTATGTGTGTAGTAGGCTATACCATTTAGGTTGTTGTGATTACACTCTGTAATGTACATATAAAGATGATATTGCCTAACATTCCATTTCTCAGAACATATTCCTATAGTTAAGTGACACAAAACTACACACACAATGGAGTATTTTCAGAGCTAAAAGAGAAATATGCCACAACATAGATGAACTTGGAAAACATTACACTAAATCCAATAAGCCAGACACAGAGAAACAAATACTGCATGGTCTCACTTATATACGGACTCTAAAGAGCTCAAACTTATAGGCAGAGTATAAAGGTGGTTGCTGGGAGCAGGGGTGTGAAGAAAATGGAGGATTTTGGTCAAAGGGTACAAAATTTCAGTTATAAGATAAGTAAGTTCTGGAGATCTAATGTACAACATGGTAACTAAATAATAATGTATTGTATACCAGGGCTTTGCTAAGAGAGTAGCATTTAAGTTTTTTCACTACACATGCACAAATGCTAACTATGTGAGGTGATGAGTATACTAATAAGCTTGATTGTGGCAATCACTTCACAATGTATGTGTATATCAAAACATCACTTTGTACACCTTAAATAGATACAATATTCATTTGTCAGCGGTATCTCAATAAAACTGGAAAAAAATAGTTTGATGTGTATATGTGGGGTCCTTCTCAATTCCTACTATAAATGTATACTTTCTAATTTCACACCTATGTTTGAAATTCATAGTGATCCAGATCCATTTCCAGATATAAAATTAATATCCTGAACAATAAATTTACTAAAATAGGAATCGATTTCTTTTATACCTGATTTTTTTTTATCTTGCTCCAGGTAATCGCTAGTGTAGTATCATGCATTGGAATAGAAATTATTCAATATGGAACAGATTAATCTGATCCTCTAGGATTCAACCAAAAAGACTTGATGAGAGGAAACTTTTGTTACAGGGAAATAAGATTTGAAGTGAAAGCAAGTAAGAAATAAATCTGCTGTCTTTCTCTAGGCTGTCTGTCTCCAGGCATTTAATAAATATTAATTATTTTTTTATTCCTTTTTAAGTCCAAAGCAACAATAATGGACTTCTAAACATATTTGTTTCTTATTAAGTATACAGGATTTAATGCTACTAAATTCACTTGATAGTCTTTAATGCTTCAACTTTGCTGAAATTCAAGCTATATACAATTGTTGAATTTTCTAAAATGTAGCCTTTTATTACAAATTGTAAATTTTAATTTTTTGTGATTTAGCTTTTGTACACTAAAAATAAATGCAATCTGTGTACTTATTAGAAAAATTATGCTTACATTCAAAAGCCTAATGTATTTTATCAATATAAGTATTAAAGATGACTATGCCTCAGCTCTGTACTTTGATTCCTTTGTTTACAGCATCTTAACAAAAATAAAAAATAAAATTAAAAAAATCATAACTTTGCCCCAAAAACATAGTGTTATCAAAAGAAATGTTACCAAAGAGTAATTACTGTGTTCCAGTCATGATGTTAGGTATATCCTACGCATTATCTTATTTAGTTCTCCCAGCAATAAAATGATTTATTATTCAGATTCTTATAGATGAGGCTATTGAAACTCAGAGTCAGAAAGGTTAAAAATTGGAATGTGCACAGCTAAAATGTGTGAGGATTGAGATCTGACATATGCTTTTTTTTGACAACAAGGCCTTCAATTGTAATTATTGTGCTACCGGTTTATTAAGATGATAAAATTGGTATTTCAGAAAGGAGAATGTATTGAGAATATGCAGGACGAATTAAAGATAGACAACCCTTGGCAGTAAGAATTGTGAATTGGTATTTTTGGTTTTTAAACCATGATTCACATCACTGAACTGTTGATTTGATAGGTGGCTCAGCATTTAGTCAAGAAAAGCAAAAATATACAGTACTTCTATGACTCCTTAGCAAAAATCAAATAACCCAATTATAAATGAGCAAAAGATCCAAATAAAAATCTCTCTAATGAAGATATGGAAATGGCTAAGGGTATTGAAATGATCCCAAACATCACTAATCATCAGGGAAGTGCAAGTCAAAACCACAGAAATTACCTCAAACCTGTTAGAATGGCCATCAAAAATAGAAAATGTTAGAAAGGCTGTGGAGAGAAGGGAAACCTTGTACATAGTTTGTGGGGACTGTAAATTGGTACAGCCACAATGAAAAACAGTATGGAGTTTCTCAAAAAATTAAAACTACAACTGTATATGACCCAGTAATCCCACCTTTTATGCATACGCAAAAGAATTGCAATGAAGATCTTGAAGAGATATCTGCACTCCCTTGTTAATTGCAGCATCATTCACAACTGCCAAGATATAGAAACAACCCAACTGCCTATTGAAAGATGAATAAACAAACACACTGTTGCACATATATATATATGCACACACATATGTACACATTAACTTATTTGTCAGCTTTTAAAAATAAGGAAATCCTGCCATTTGCTATAGTATAGATGAATTTGGAAGACAATATGTTAAGTGAAATAAGCCTGACACAGAATGACAAATAACACATGACTGACTTGAATGATGACTACCAGTAGCTGGGAAGAAGGGGAATCTGAGAAGTATTAATCGAATAATATATAGTATCACTTATGCAAGTTGAATGAATCCTAGAAATCTAATAGGCCAGGTGTGGTGACTCACATCTGTAATCCCAGCACTTTGGGAGGTCAAGGTGGACAGATCACTTGAGGTCAGGAGTTTGAGACCAGCCTAGCCAACGTGGTGAAACCCCATCTCTACTAAAAATACAAAAATTAGCCAGGTGTGGTGGCAGGCACCTGTCATCCCAGCTACTCTGGAGGCTGAGGCAGGAGAATCACTTGAACCTGGGAGGTAGAGGTTGCAGTGAGCCAAGATTGTGCAACTGCACTGCACTTCAGCCTGGGTGACAGAGTGAGACTCCATCTCAAAAAAAAAAAAAAAAAAGAAAAGAAAAGAAATCTAATGTACATCGTAGCACACACACACAGTTAACAATATTGGATTGTATCCTGTAAACCAAAAATAAAATTCTAAGGCATCTTCTAACGATCTTAATGAACTCATTCTTCTTGGCCAGGGCACTCCAAAGTTAACCTGAAAGGCTGATTCAGGCCATGGTGGGAAGTCAGGGAGGGATTGGACATGCCTCATTATGCTCTCTTCCCTTTTGGAATTCAGGAAAAGCCACCAGCATTTAACATCAATACAGACCTTAAGTCTGATAAGAAACATTGAAAATCTATTCTCTCTGAAGCCTGCTTCCTGGAGGCTTCATCTGGATGATAAAAATTTGGTCTCCACAACTTCTTATAGTAACCCAGACATTCCTTTTTATTGATGATAACTCTTTCAATCAATTGCCAATCAGAAAATTTTTAAATCTACCTATATCCTGGAAGCACCCCTGTACCCCTTCAAGTTATCCCACATTTCTGGGCCAAACCAATGTATATATTAAACGTATTTCATTGATGTCTCATGTCTCCCTAAAATGTATAAAACCAAGCTGTGCCCAGACCACCTTGGGCACATGTTCTCAGGGCTTCCTGAGGGCTGTGTCACAGGCCACGGACCCTCATATTTGGTTCAGAATAAATCTCTTCAAATATTTTACAGAGATTTGACTCTTTTGTCAATCATGCTTAAAAATGTAAGAGGCTAGATTTTATGTTAAATGTTCTTATCAGGAAAAAAGGGAGAGAGGAACTTTGAGAGGTGATGGTTAAGTTTTTGGTATTGTATATGGTGGTGGTTTCACCATGTATACTTATCTTCAAACACATCAAGAGGTATACACTAAATATGTATTTTTTTGCATGTCAATCACACCTCATTAGAAAAAATAAGGTATCACAGACTGGAAAAAAGAAATAATACTATTAAAAAAAAAGAAAAGCAACAGGGGCTTAATACTGTTGAATAAGATAAACATATAACTTCTACGTGTGCATATTCTGCAATGTGGTTGTGCACCTTGTGCTAAGTAATCTAGCTCATATGTTCTGTATAAAATTGTAGCATGTAGGTCATTTTTATAAAAAATGTAAGTACACAGAATGATATAAAATTGATCATTGCAGCAAAGAATCTAAAAGACCAAATTTAATATGCTTGTTATTACTCAAGATTTTTAAGCAGATATTTTTTCACACTATACTAAATATAGTACTTTAGTAAATTAAAGTTTATTTGCAATTTACAAATGCTTTCTTTGCATCTTTGTTTTCTCTTTCCATTGCTAATTTATACTTGAATGTGCTACCACCTTTAATGGGCTTAAAATAATTATTAACTATTTTTTCATGTTGTGGTTATGTAGCTGGAAAGCCTCATTCACTTGGAGGTCTAAAGCAAGAAAACTTTTGACACATTTTTTTTGAGCATACATATATTTTTTGCTAATGCTGTTAGTTTGGGTAAGAGAATTAATTAAATCTCAATTACATATTTTATATATGTTTAAATTAAATATTTTAACTGCTCTATTGCAGACATGTACTGATGTGAGAAACTAAATTATATTTATAGTCTCCTGCCAAGTGTTTGGTGGTATTAACATGCAACAAAGAAAAGGGAAAAACAAACAGCAGAAAACGAACATCAGAAAATCACTCTACATGATGCTTAAATACAGAGGGCAAGCAACCCAAGAGAAAACACCACTTCCTAATTGCATTTCTTTTTCTCCTTCTCTACGGCCAGCCAGTGCTGTCCCTTCCCTGAGACTCCACATAAAGCATTTTTATTAGAGATAGTGATATTCAGTCAACATAATGATGCCGTCAGTTTGGCCAAATACCAAAATCAATGCCCTAGCTATTTGTCTAGCATCTGTGCTGCTGAAGACAGGGCTTTCTGTTGACTCCATAAATTAAAGATCAAGTAGCAACAAGGAAGGCTGGAGAAGCTGATTCCCAGGGAAGCAATGAAGCAAAGGTAGAGTTTGTTTGCCTTTTTTTACTGCTGCTGTAGTAGTGAAAGATTTCTGAAGAATCATCATTCATTTCCTTTGTGCCAAATCCATTCAGAGCCGGTGCTCTCATGACCAAGTATGACCATTTGCTAATAAATAAGTGGTCAGTCCATTCTAAGTGCCTCTTGCATGGTGTTTTGGTATATTGTAGCATATTATTTGGGTGATTCGTTGCCATTACTTTTGTATTTTGTTAATAGCTTCTTCTATGATAATGTTCTTGTGACCGTGATCCATGTTGGACACCACATGACATTAACAATGCTATGAAGATGTGCTGATTTCCTATTGTGTACCAGGTGCCTATTTTGTATTATTTAATTCAATTCTTGCGGTTGCACAGGCGTTGTTTTCCACATTATTTTTAAGTTGAGAGTGTTGAAGCTCAGAGAGCTACTCACCTGTAAATAGAGAACTGGAAGTCAAATGCAGGTCTTCATAGTGCCAAAACTGTGGTTTTCCCATTGCACGGTCCTGACACTTGAAATATTTGTTTTATGTACTGATGCAAATTATGTGTATATTTTTCAGTGCTAAACTAGTGAACAAGAAGTACACAAAGGCTGCATCATGGAGATAATGTCTCTTAGGTTTGATAAAGTAATACACTGTTTCTGTAGCTCCACAGCCACCATGAATTTGAAGGAGTAAAATCTATTTGGAAAATTGTTTGCCATTCTCATTCACTTTTTCTTTAGTTTGGAGATTCCGGGAATAAGCCCATTAAACTTTGTATTTCTTGATGGCAGGAACTATATTTTATTTATTATTGCATTTTCAGAGCCTAATATGGTGACTGACAGGAACATTGAAAAAGGTCAATAAATATATGAGGGTAAATAAATGAATATCTCATACTTATTGGGCCTCTTGACTTTAGCATCCCCCTACTGGTTCATTTTGACTGTGAAGGTGGAAAGGAGAGATGGTCTTGAATAAGGATTGTTTTCAGCTGTGCTGGATCTCACACGCTAACTCCGATGAGTCAGTAGGGGCTTCCTAGAGAACTTCATGAGATGGATTTGATATCTATATCCATGTTTTTAAAAACTGCATTGATAGATTAGTAAGATCTGCTTCACTGAATCACTGTTAGTTGAAGATATTAATTTATCATCTCTGCTTACATCTGTGGACAATACGAGGTAACAGATAGAAATGGGATATTTTAGAAATTCTGAAGATACCTCTGGTAATTTCTCAGAAAATGAATTACTATGACACATTTTCCTATTCTGAACAATGAAATTAATATTGCCAGAAAAATATATTCAGTATCAACATTTCTACCTGGTGGCAAAACAGGCCAGAATAGTCTATTCATTGTCCTGATTCCTTTTAGTGCTTTAAATATGTAGAATCTGTTTCTAGACCTTTTGCAGTCCCTGGGTGATTATGGCTGTGGAGTAATAATGCATCATTAGTATGCTATGGTTAGCTCATCTGATGTGTTACTTGAAAGATCCAGGGAAGAACAGCCCCATAAGCAGATTGGCTTTAATTATTAGAGGGAAAGGTACACTAGTGCCAAGGTGTTCCTGTTGGCACCAACATTGATATTTCACAAAATTTTAATTTGCATTCTTAATTTTGAGTCTCTTATTCAGTTCAGCATTTGGCAATGCCCCTGTTATTTGCATATACTCTCCTTGGGGCAAATCTTATATTCATCATGATCCTGTATCTGTTTTTCAACCTTCCCTTCTCCCTTGGTATTTTCATTCTATTGCACAATAAATTTAATCTGAGTTCTGTCCATCCTTGGAAACCACTTGCCCTTCAGAAGCCAGACCCTTCCTCTGTGCCACAGTGTAGAAGTGTAAAATGTAGCAAAGAAAAATGTTTTTCTCTTAACACTCCTTACCAAGTGTAGGTGCTAATGCCATTTGTTCATGTTTTAGTTTCAAATTGTTTCCAGAAGAAATCAAAGCTTTTTCTCATCTACTGAGTTAATCTGAACAGAAAATGAAAAGAAATGAATTGTATAAAAGAAATTAAACCTGGACGCAGTGGCTCACTCCTGTAATCCCAGGACTTTGGGAAGCAGAGACAGGAGGATTATTTGAGGCAAGGAGTTTGAGGCTGCAGCGACCTATGATCACCTCACTATCCTCTAGCCTGGGTGAGAAAGTGAGACCTCATGTCAAAAAGAAAATAAAAGAGAATGAAATTAAAGAAAAATTGAAGTTGCTAAAGCTGGAAAGGACCATCAAATTCAAGTAAAACTTTCCTATACTGGATGATTATAGTTGTAAAATTAATACATTGAAATTACAGAAAGTCCACCATATTCTCATTACTTATCATCATATTTAATTCTTCCATTCCTATATTTATTTTCAAGCAGGTTTATTATGGCACAGTTTTAAAATGTATTTGTAAACATACTCAGGGCAGGGAAAGCAGAGTTAAAGGGGAGGAGAGGGAAAGGGAGGAACGTTTATTTTCTTTTTTGATATATAATCAAATTTATTTTTTATTTGTGGATGAAAAGCCTCTAAGCTCGGGACAAGGTTAAAGGAATGACCATCACTCATGATAACCAAGGCAGGATTAATGAGTAAGACAAGATGATTGAGCCTTTCCAAGAAAAATACAATGTATTTTCTGTAGCATGAGATCAGACCAAGAGGAAGAGACTGAAAGAATCTGTAATAGACAATGCTCTAAACTTGAATTTGACTTACTAGTTAGAATTAATTACTAAGAATGAAAAGAGAGCACTTTAAACTGGAAATGGGCTGAGTTACCTTTAGAGGAAAATTGCTTTTGCAACATGCTTTTGCAATAGCTTCATAGATACTTTTTTCATCAATATCTGAATTTATTGCATAGTGTGATGCTGAAGACAGCTTGTAATATGGAAGAAAGACTCCATTTGTTACTGTCACACTGAGCAGCTAGACATGGTTAAATTACTTGAAAGTAATTTTAACACCTTTTCCTCAAACACTTGAGGAAAGAAGACATTAATCAAACTGCTTAGAAAGAAAGGCACTATATAAATTGAGGATTTTAAAAAGGAGTATTTTCTTTTTAAAATGTGGAAGTATTATTTTGTTTTTCATACAAATGTTAATGAGCTGTTTTAAATATTTTATGTGATAAACTCAGCATCTTTTTGTGATATTTGAAATGGCATCTTCATGGAAATTTTAGGAATGCTTAATTATAGGATGTGGAGTATAGTGCATGCTATGCCAATAGAATATTGTTTATTGCAGGCATACAAAATATATGTCAGTTGAAAGAATTTCCTAACTACAAAATAAACCTCAACTCTCATCTGGCGGGCAAGAGAGTTTGTGTTTTAGCATTTTCCCACCAATGTTATTTTTAGCCACTTCCAAAGAGTTTTCAATACCAGCAGTTGGGCAAGAAGTCAAAAGTACTTCTCTTTTTTAAAAAAAATAATGATTTTAATCAAAGATGTGTAAAAAGAATATCAAAAATATATAAGTAAATTAGGCAGGAGGAAGTATATGTGAAGGGTTAGGGTAAAGAAGGTTGATTACAGCGGGAGAGAAACAGTATCTTTGAATACTTCTTTTCCTGGAATAAAAACAGCTTTTCAGTGTTTATTCCAGGGAAAAACCGGCAGTGGGAGAAGAAAGGGCCCTGGTGATTAACAAGGCTGCCTCTCACTGAGCCCTGGGCTCATTGACCAAAATGCAATTTCCACATACAACTTATTTTTTAAAGGTCAGTTGGGTACCAGCAGCAAATAGCCAAGAGCAGGTTGCTGTCTTGTCAGAGGAAGAGAGAAGTCCCTGCATTCCTTGAGGAGAATTTAAGAATTGCTCTTCTCACCTTGTTTTGTGTAAGGCAAATAGAAAGTAATATTTTGATCATTTGTCATATAGCCCCAGTTTCAGACACTTAAAGTGCCCTCCTTTTGCCTACCCAGGAAATTCCAGCTCTTTTTGTAAGTTCCAGAACCACCTCCCATTGACTTCATAATTGCAACTTGAATAGGAAACCAACCTCTCAAGTGCTGTTCTCATTCATTTATTATTCATTTTCTTCAGGCTTTTTCTTTCTTTTTCTTTTTAATTCAAAAATTCTTTGTTCCTGGGTCCACAGTGGTGAACACCTTCCCCTTCTGGAGCTCACCATGTTCAATATCATTTTCCATCTCTGGGATCCCTTTTCTATCTCCTTCTTCTGTGCTGCCAAGTTCATCCAAGTCAGTCATGTTCTTCATAAATGTCTCTTCCTCATTTTGTTAGTTTTTCCACATCCACATGTTTTTTGCTCTTTCTGTTTGTTTTATTTCTCTACTTGCAGTTTACTTTAATTTATAGTCACATATTGCTATGTGAGGGTCCCTGGAGATCCCTCAGGTCTGGTTGCCCTACTAAGTACATTTCAATTTTTAATTTTTTTAATTTTTTTTTTTTTAGAGACAGATCACCCAGGCTGGAGTGCAGTGGCATGATCTCGGCTCACTGCAGCCTCCATCTCTTGTGTTCAGCAATTCTCATGTCTCAGCCTCCCAAGTAGCTGGGACTACTGGCATGCACCACCATGCATGGCTAATTTTTGTATTTTTAATAGAGACTGAGTTTCACCATGTTGGCCAGGCTGATCTTGAACTCTTGACCTCAAATGATCTGCCCGCCTAGGCCTCCCAAAGTGCTGGAATTACAGGCATGAGCCACCTTGCCCGGCCTCAAAAGTTTTGAGGCTCAGATTACAGTGTGCAATTCCAGCTCCTTGTGCTGTCAGCATCTAGATCAACACTTCGCTTGCAGTGTGGGAAGAGTAAATGTACCACAGACTCCAACACCAGCAGGATCCTTATTCCTTCCTAAAAGTTCCTCTATATGACCTTTCTCAGCTTTTTATCCCAGCCTTCCAACCCCAGATATTTTAAACCTTAAATTTTTTTTGTTTCCTGTAACTTCCCTCACTCTCTGCAGACAATCCCTTTTCTTGCTTCATAAGGAAATGAAAGCTACAAGTGAGAAATTCTCTCCCTCTCTTAGCTCCAACAAACTTATCTCCATCCTTACACTTTTTAAACCTTTCATCCCAGGAAGGAAGGATTGGCATGTCTTCTTGGAAGATGTCAATCTTCCTGCTCAAGACAAATTCTACTACTTGCGATCTTGGTTCCAAACTCTCCAGCCTTTTTGAGGACATGTCTTCATGAATTTTCTCATTATTGTCTTGGGTCATCAGCTTCATTACACAATAACTTTCCTTTTGGTGTAGAAATGTGCATGTTTCCCCAATCTTAATAAGTAATCAAACTTTATCTATTTTATATTCTTTGTAGTCATCTTCTAGAAATCTTTCTCTTCACCTGCTATTTTCACTTGCGCTTCTCTTGTCACTCTCACCTTTTATTGTAATCTGGGTCTATTTAACCACTGCATGACATCTACACATTACATTGACTCCACTGTAACCTACACAATAGTCTATCTCCACACTCTGTTGACACTTCTTTCACCAGGGGCACCTTCTAGTTGCTAAAAGCATAAAAGATTGTCTCAGCTTGGTTTTCCTGTAGTAATTAACTCTGTTAACAATTCTTTTCTTGAGGGTGCTCTTATGTTAATCTATTAAGACCCCTTGTTTTCTAGGTTTTAACTCTTACCTCTCTGCCCATTTTTTACCTCATTCTTCTTTGAATGTTCATCTTCTTTTTCTATTCCATCTCTGTTGACAGTTCTATTTTTGGAAAATTTTCTGTACTTTATTCTCTCCTGTAATTTCCAACAATAGCCTTTGCTGCCCATTACAATGTCCAAATCTCCAATATGCTCGTTCTGTAAATTTTAGACCCATATAGTCAATTGCTCCTGTATCACTCCACTTGCATATATCACGAGCATCTGAGTATGTCTCCAACAAAATTCATTCTGTTTTCTACCACACAGCTGTTCTTCCCTATTTCAGTTAGTGACATTACCTATTTGGCCCAGCCAGAAAATGAGGAGTCAGTCTTTACTGTTTCACCCTCTCTTTTACAACCTGCATCCAACTGATCAATGAGTTCTGAGCATTCATCTTCTTAGTAGCTCTAGAATTTGTCTTTTCTCTTCCCTCCTCTGTGACATTATTTAACTAAGACTCTCTTTATTAGGAATTACCTAATTACTTAAGCAGCCTTCTTTGTCAGTAGTTCTCAATCTTGTTTATACACCATAATTAGTTAGGAAAAATTCAAAATTCCTGATGCCCAGGCCACACTCCAAACCATTACATTAGAATGTATAGAGATGGAATTCAAGCATACCAAGGTGGAATTAAGGTGGAAAACCAATGTTCTAAGCAGCCCCTCTACTTCCATACTCTTATGACTGTTGTAATGTTGTTAGAATGTTCTTTCTATAAAGCTAATTGTGCTATCCTTATCTTAAGACAATTTAATAGCTACCCATTACCTTCAGGTAAGAACTAAATTTCTCAGCATAACTTTAGTGTCTTGTGTTTCTCATCAACTCATTTATTGATTTTTAATAGATGTTACTTGCACATGATAAATAATTTAAAAGGTGCAAAAGAATGTACCTTGGGAGTGTGGGGGAAACCTTCGCTTGTGCCCTTATCTCAACCCCCGGACTCTCATCCCACCTTCACAGGCACCCACTATTCCCAGTACCCTTCACCATATATTAAATGTGTGTGTGTGTATATATATATAATATATATACATGTAATATATATTATATATATACATGTAATATATAATATATATACATGTAATATATATAATATATATGCATGTAATATATATAATATATATGCATGTAATATATATAATATATATGCATGTAATATATATAATATATATGCATGTAATATATATAATATATATGCATGTAATATATATAATATATATGCATGTAATATATATATAATATATATGCATGTAATATATATAATATATATGCATGTAATATATATAATATATATGCATGTAATATATATAATATATATGCATGTAATATATATAATATGTATGCATGTAATATATATAATATGTATGCATGTAATATATATAATATGTATGCATGTAATATATATAATATGTATGCATGTAATATATAATATGTATGCATGTAATATATATAATATGTATGCATGTAATATATATAATATGTATGCATGTAATATAGAATATGTATGCATGTAATATATATAATATATATGCATGTAATATATATAATATATATGCATGTAATATATATAACATATATGCATGTAATATATAATATATATGCATGTAATATATAATATATATAATATATATGCATGTAATATATATAATATATATGCATGTAATATATAATATATAATATATAATATATATAATATATATTGTAATATATTATATATATTACATGTTACAATATAATATAATATAATACAATATAATTATATATATTATATTGTAACATGTAATATATATAACATGTAATATATATATAATATTAATATTAATATATTAATATTATATGGATAACAGGAAAGAAAAAGCCTCCCAGGCATCTAATTACAACTGATACATTCTACCTTAGCCTTGAATGTCATGAGCAGCAGAGAGAGAAGACATTGAGCAAATGCTTTCTTGCTTGAAGAGCTGCTCTGACCTGTGAATAGCCACTCTAGGAAGAATACACAGTCAAATTTGTATCTGTACACCAAAGAAAACATAGTTAACTTTTTGAGCCTTGCTTTCTCAACCTGACTACATTCTAATAGAAACCAGACTGAAAATTTTAAACAAGAGAGTTTGTTTAAAGTGCTATTGTTTTCATGTTACCATATAAAGACTAGGCCTAGGGGAATAATGGCAAAGTGGTTGAATTTATTTTCCCATGAGTCTGTAATAAAATGTAGTTATTATGTCTGTGTTATAGAACTAACTTTATAAGCAATTATGAAAATAAAGTATATCATTTGTGAGGAAAATATTTTTAAGCCTTCCACATGTTAATATTCTCATGTAGAGAAATGCTTGCTTAGGGATTCTTAAAACAAAATTAGCCCTAATTAATATTTTATTACATTTCAATTGTTGCTGTGTGTGCGAAAATACCCTCTCCATGTGTTAAACCTATACAGGTAAAAAAAGCACTATGGATGGATTTCTCAGTATTTGTAACGAATATCCTTTTTTCTTTCTTTCTTTTTTTTTTTTTTTTTTTGGTCAAAGTGCCTGTGAGGGTAAGAGATCTTAGGATTTCGGGTGGGGTGGGGGGATAAAAAGTCAGATCTGATGTACCAGCTATCTCTACAAAGAGTGAGATTATAAAGTTATTCTCTGAGTCTTAGTTGAGACTCATTTTTTTTCTCTTTAGGATTAACTGGGTTTCCACTCAATTTAACACTCTTTCCTAAATGACCATTTTACACTTTTCATAAGAGAAGCACAGACCTTTAATATCATTTCACTATTGAAACGTTCAGGAATTTTCTTCATGAAGTTGCAGTCTCTGTAGTGTATAGAGCATAATACATAACTTGTTTTCCTCCTTCTTAAGCCAAATTTTATTTTTTGGAAGACAAAAAAGTGCTCGCTATTGGGTGTTTGTTATTCTATTCTTCCTCCATGTACTTCTTTAATGTGTGCCTTTCTTGGTTTAGATAACAGCTTTTCTCTCACTCGATATTCTTTACTCATGTTGCAGGGTCATAAAATTCACTCATACTACACCTCACATGTGCAGGGAAATTGTAGTTCCCTAGACTCCCATTGGCTGGTTAGAGGGAAATTATATTTTAGTTATATTTGCTTGAAAAGTTGGTGAGACTGAGAAGTGTTAATAGTCTCTAATGTATCACATATTCTAAGAATAATAAAAACCTCCACACTGTCTCCCAATTTCTTTCTCTTTCACAGTTTATTTTACCAGCTGGGGATAGCAACGTGGCTCATGGGACCTCGTGGTAGGGGCATGGGTCACAGCGGGCAGGTGTGCTGTGCCCTGTCTCTCCCTGTTTCTTGTAAATTCTGTTCTCCTTAACACACCAAGTGTCGTTGGTTTTCATGAAGAGTCTCACTGGCACTGCAGGCTTCTCTAAGGGCAGAGACCCTTTGGCTCTGACTGGGTGTTATGTCCTTTGGTCCAAACTTAATTTGTTTTCAGAATATTTGGGGGTGTCCCTTGATTCCTTGGTCCACATTAATTATCTTTAAGGTCCCCCAATTCTGGGACCACCTAGTCCCCCGAAGTTCAGTATCTTTGTTGCTTTCACTCTGCTGAACGAACATGAAGATATTTTCTATGGCTGAGAGCCCTCTAAACTGAGTTCTACCTCCCCAGTTACAAAAAGTGTTCATTACTTCATGCTCCAAGCACCTCGTCAGCGTGCTGCAGAGGGGAAATTCTGGCTCTGAGCTTCTTGCTACTCACAAGTCTTGCATAGCTATGTTTTCTCCCTAGGCTTGGTAATTTATTCCTTTTTCTAGTAGATCCAACCTCGTTTTCCTCCAACACATCCCTCTCGTCTGCTGTCTTCATCTTAATGACTTCTACATGCAAACTGGTTCTTGACATCTCTGTTTCTATATTAGGCTTTTAAAATGTAACTTGAACAAAAAACAACTCTTAATTAATTCTCCCCAACTCCCAACTTTTTCCCAGGTGGCCTGTTCTCCTTCCCTATCCACCCTCAACCCTCAACCAGAATTGCTCATGCCAAAACCCAAGAATTATCTTGTTTCTTTTTTGCCCTCTTCTTTCAATCCTGCTCATATTCAGTATTTCACCAAGTATTGACAGTTTTACCTCTAAAACCTCATTCTATTTCTCCCACCTCCACTATTACTTTTCATCTTGTTCTAAGTCACCACACTGTCTTGTCTCAATTACTCAGATTGCTCTCTTTTCCCTCACTGGCCCTGTGCATAGTGGAGAGTGGCACAAATCAGTTCATGTTTCTCCCTTACCTATTGTACTCAGGAAAATAATCCCACGTTTTTTTCCCTGGCCAACTTGACCCTTTATGGTCTTGTTCCTTTGTGTCTTCATCTTAAGTCACTCCACTCCTTGCCTTTTATGTTTCAAAGGCACTGAGCATTTTTCTGTTCTTCAAACACACTAGCTCATTCTTGACTCAGTAACTTTGCACTAGGTATTCCCTCCTCCAGGTAAGCTATTTCCCACATTTGGCATGAAGAATTGACTCCATCTTGTAACTTAAAAACCAGCTCCAACATTACCATCTTCTAGAGGGTTTCTCTAATCAATTAAACTAACGTGGCCACATGGTCATTGGCAATGACTTTAAAAAATGTTTATTCTCTGCATAGCATTCAGAATTGTGATGGTTAATATTGAGTGCCAACTTGATTGGATTGAAGGATGCAAAGCATTGTTCCTGTGTGTGCCTGTGAGGGTATTGCCAATGGAGATTAACATTTGAGTCAGTGGACTAGGAGAGGCAGACCCACCCTCAATCTGGGTAGGCACCATCTAATCAGCTGCCAGCGCAGCCAGGATAAAAGCAGGCAGAGGAACATGGAAGGAGTAGACTGCCTAAGTCTTCTGGCCTCCATCTTTCTCCCATGCTGGATATTTCCTGTCCTCGAGTTCTTCAGCTTTTGAACTCTTAGACCTACACCAGTGGTTTGCCAGGGGCTGTCGGGCCTTTGACCGCAGACTGAAAGCTGCACTGTTAGCTGCCCCACTTTTGAGATCTGGGGTCTAGGACTGGCTTCCTTGCTTCTCAGCTGCAGACAGCATATTGTGGGACTTCACCTTGTGATCGTGGAGTCAATACTCCTTAATAAACTACCTTTCATGTACACATCTATTCTATTAGTCCTGTCCCTCTAGAGAACCCTGACTAATACAAGCATCCTCTTACATTCTTCAGAGTATTGGTTTATCTGTCCCATGTATTCTATCTTCCACTCCTATTCTATTCTAGACTGGCCATGGTTCTTAGCAGGAACTCAAAAAACATTGGTGAAAAGAGTAAATTAGTGAATGGATGAATACGGGCTTTCACTAGAGAGTTCCTTCAAACAGTTTGTCCTCTGGTACCTAAAATTCCCTTGAGGTTAAGTCCTGTCTACCATTTTTGGAGGGGAAGGAAGGGAAAATATGGCACCAATGGATATCGGAATGTTTTATGTCCTCTATGTTATAACTATATTTAAATAGATGAAAGAAGATGAAACCATGTGACTTTCACATTCTTAAAGCTCAATGACCATAAGCAAATCCCTGAACACCTCTGATTCTTATTTTTCCTCATATTTATAACTTGAGTAATAAATCCTGCCTCATAGAGGAGTTTTAGGCGTCAAATGAAATTGTACACCTGAAAGTACTTTATAAAGTGTTTAAAATCAAAGCTAACCTTTGCAACATATTACATCATGTCCTTGCAAGAGTGGGCTACAATAGTTAAAAGATATAGACGCCAAAGACCTATTTTAGGGTGACCAACTATATTGGTCATGGTTCTTCAGAGAAACAGAACAAATAGGAGATATATATATATCTCCATGTGAAGGACCAGAGTCTGTTTCATATGGAAAGGAGAGTCATACAACAGAGTGTGTCTGTGGACAAGATTCAGATAATAAGTGTGTGTGTGTGTGTGTGTGTGTGTGTGTGTGTATTCTTACATTGTTCTCTGTATTTCCAGAGAACAGAAAATAAAAGTAGTAATCAAAATTAGGAAGATTTCAGTTCAATCTGTGGGAGTAATTTCTAACATTATTTTTCAATAATGAAATGGAATACTGTGTGCTTCTCCTGCATTTAGTGAGGACTGTGTGCCAGACACCCTACTAGGTCATGAGAATATAGAAATGAGAGGAATGGTCTCTGCCTGACCACATCTCTTTAATCCACCTGACTCATCATTCCTATTTCCACCATGTCAGCATAAAGCACAATTATCTTTCATTCACCACCTGGACTACCCTTCTACCTAGATTCTGTACATGCAGTGAACCAAGACAGTCTTCACACAGCAGCTATAATGATGTATTTAAAGTGTTAATCTGATCCTTTCACTTCGCTGTTTGATCCTTTTAATTGATGGCATGCATTGCTATTAAAGTCGAGTAAAATAGAGAGGATAGACATGATCGGAATTTCTCTGGCTTTTTTGTACCTTGTAGCCTCATCTTTCTTTGTTGCTCCTACTCATCGGATCCTTAGACACTCAGGCCCTTGTTCAGTCCCTCATATGCCACTAACAATTGTCCTTTCTCAGGACTTTTGCATAGCCTTTGTCCACCGTCAGAAATGCTCTCACCACTGCTTCAGCTCATTGTCTGTCCTAGTCACAAATCAAATTAGTGCCAACTTAAATGTCACTGCCCATAGATATTGGGGAGACACTGGGAGAGTTTGCTTATAATGCATTCTCACAATAGGCTGAGCTTCTCCTTTGTAGCACTGATTTTGACTGTAATTTAATAACTATTTTTGTAATTGTTCAGTTAAAACCAATGACATACTTTAACTGAAGCATGAACTCTAAGCTTCATGAGCGCATCAGTCCTATCTGTCTTTCTTATCTTATGCTGTGTGTTTCTGTACCCCTGTCTCCTGCATAATTCTTGGCACATATTATGCATTCAGTAAATATTTGTTAAATAGCAAATGAATAAATTAATGAATGAATAATAGTCAAAGGATAAATCCTAGGAGCTCAGACTGTATTAGGGAAACTTCATGCAAAAATTGTATGCAAAAATGTTAATACATGACTCTATTTCCTATTAAGCACCACTAAGGAAGGTAAGACAGTTATTATCATGAACTGACAGGAGAAAACTGAAACCCATAAAGGTTAAAGTATTGAGTTCAGGATCACACAAAAACAAGACTACAGCCTCTGTTAGAATGCAGATTTTTCTATTTCCAACCTTATGCTTTTCCCTTTGCTTTTTGGAAGAGAAAAGAAGCAAAAGAAAAGCAAACAAATGAACAAAGAACCTTGGGCAACTCTTTGATTGTAGATACACATGAGGTAGTGACCAGGCTACAAATATTTCCATCTACTACACCTAACAATTTGAGAGCTGCTCTTCTAGAAAAAGTGCCTACTGAGATGTGAGTGCTCGTAAGAGGTCATGTACAAATCTGTGAATGAAATATTATTATCCTTGATACTGACAGCAGGTCTCTCTCTCTACGGTGTGCATGAAATCAGCAAAAACAGGCAATTATCAAACTCACTTGCAAATCTTTAAAGGAGAAATATCTCATGTTTAACTATTCTCCAAATACAGAGGAACAAAATTTCCGGTGGACCAATGAATCCACACATTTTTTCACATTCTCCAAAAGATTTTGATTATCAGTTTGAGGATTTATTGTATTCACTCATCTGATCATCACAATTGTGTGACTTAAGTTTAGATGCTAAATAAGAAATAGGAAGTGATTTGTCCAAGGTAGTACAACTTGTCAATAATGCAGCAATGACCCCAAACTCAAGTCATCTGACCCCTAGCAGCTGACGTATTTCTTTATGACATATCTGGTGATTTTGAAAAGCACTGTTTCTTGCAAAGAAGGACCTTGAAGAAATTTTAATGGGGGTAACTCCAAAAGACAGGCGTTATTTGGGCTAAAATATTCAGTCAAGGCCTGCGATGTGTTAGAAGTTAGTTTAGGAAACCTCCAAAGCAGTGGTCCTCAAACTCCAACATGGGCAAGATTCACTTGGGATCTCGCCACTGGAAATTTTGATTAGTAGGACCTTAGGAATCTGCACCTTTAAAAGTCCCAGAGGTGCTTCTCATGTACACAGTCAGGCTTTGGTGAATACTGCTTGAAATTGCCTTCCAGCCTCAGATGCTGTGGTTATTATCCCTAGAGCATTGGTTCTCAGCCCTTACTGCACATTATAACCACTTGAAGAATGAAAAAAAAATGCTATTGAGGCCACATGCTAAGCAATTCTGATTTAATTTATCTGGGATGAGAACTACTTAACAGTATTTTGGAAAAGACTTTTAGGTGATTCAAATGTGAAGCATAGGCTTTGGAAGATAGATCGATTGTTGGAACCACATGTAGGAGCATTGACTCTAGATTAAGACAGGAGGTAAACTGAAGAAATTTAAATTGCCTTTCTGCTTCCTAGGCATAAACAAAATAATAAAGTATTTTACAAAGGATAATAAAGTACTCCACGGCAACAATGTGGTAACAGTTACGTCGTTGAAGATTAACATATAATCCCCTACTTAAGAGATATTTTTAAATTAATTATGAAGGCCACTTGTAAGAGATGTGAAGAAGCATGCCAACACTTTGGATTAAACAACTAAGACTAAGGAAAACTGATTTGCAGTTTTCAAAACAGCAACAATTATGTCCATGTGATTGCATTCATAAAAGTTATTAATTAGGCTGATTATATTTTAATTAAAAAACATAGAGAAATGTAGTTGTATAACTGTTGGGGGATAAGATTATTCTTCATGCTATAGATGCCAATAATAGCAATAGCAACCACACACACAAGAAAGCAAACCCTTAATTTCAAAACACATGTCATCCAATCAGTTCAATTCTTAATATTAAAATGAACTGCTGAAATTCAGTTTCTTGTTGCTTATTTAGGTTTAGTTGGAAAAAAATTCATCTTTCCCAAATTCATACAGAAGTTGCTTAAGAGACAATGATTCCTTCTAGAATTTGGTGCCTCTTACAGTTGCTGTCTAAAAGTATAAGCATTTCTTTTCTTTTTTTTTTTTTTTAACTTTAAGTTCTGGGATACATGTGCTAAATGTGCAGGTTTGTTTCATGGGTATACATGTGCTGTGGTGGTTTGCTGCATGTATCAGCCCATCATCTAGGTTTTAAGCCCTGCATGCCTTAGATATTTGTCCTAATGCTCTCCCTCACCTTTCCTCTCACCCACTGATAGGCCCCAGTGTGTGATGTTTCCCTGTGTCCATGTGTTCTCATTGTTCAACTCCCACTTATGAGTGAGAACATGCAGTGTTTGGTTTTCTGTTTCTGTGCTGGTTTGCTGAGTATGATGGTTTTCGGCTTCATCCCTGTCCCTGCAAAGGATATGAACTCATTCTTTTTTATAGCTGCATAATATTCCATGGCATATATGTGCCACATTTTCTTTAGTCTATCATTGATGGGCATTTGGATTGGTTCCAAGTCTTTGCTATTGTGAATAGTGCTGCAATAAACATACGTGTGCATGTGTCTTTATAACAGAATGATTTATAATCCTTTGGGTATATACCCAGTAATGGACTTGTTGGGTCAAATGGTATTTCTACTTCTAGATCTTTAAGGAATCGCTACACTGTCTTCCACAATGGTTGAACTAATTTACACTCACACTAACAGTGTAAAAGCATTCCTATTTCTCTACATCCTCTTCAGCATCTGTTGTTTCCTGACTTTTTAATGATCGTCATTCTAACTGGCATGAGATCTCACTGTGGTTTTGATTTGCATTTCTCTAATGACTAGCGATGATGAGCTTTTTTTCAAATGTTTGTTGGCTGCATAAATGTCTTCTTTTGAGAAGTGTCTGTTCATATCCTTTGCCCACTTTTTGATGGGGTTGTTTTTTTTCTTATAAACTTGTTTAACATCCTTGTAGATTCTGGATATTAGAACTTTGTCAGATGGATAGATTGCAAAAATTTTCTTCCATTCTATAGGTTTCCTGCTCCACTATGAGGATAGTTTCTTTTGCTGAGAAGAAGCTCTTTAGTTTAATTAGATCCCATTTGTCAATTGTGGCTTTTGTTGCAATTGCTTTTGTTGCAATTGTGGTGTTTTAGTCATGAAGTCTTTGCCCATGCCTTTGTCCTGAATGGTATTGCCTAGGTCTTCTTCTAGGGTTTTTATGGTCTTCCGTTTTACTTTTAAATCTTTAATCCATCTTGAGTTAATTTTTGTATAAGGTGTAATGAAGGGGTCCAGTTTCTCTTTTCTGCATTTTGCTGGCCAGTTTTCTCAGCACCATTTATTAAATAGGGAATCCTTTCCCCATTGATTGTTTTTGTTAGTTTTGTTGAAGATCAGATGATTGTAGATATGTGGTGCTATTTCTGTGGCCTCTATTCTGTTCTATCAGTCTATATATCTGTTTTGGTACCAGTACCATGCTATGTTGGTTACTGTGGTCTTGTAGTATCATTTGAAGTCAGGTAGCCTGATGCCTCCAGCTTTGTTCTTTTTGCTTAGGATTGTCTTGGCTATATGGGCTCTTTTTTAGTTCCATATGATATTTAAAGTAGTTTTTTCTAGTTCTGTGAAGAAAGTCAATGGTAGCTTGATGGGATAGCATTGAATCTATGAACTACTTTGGGCAGTATGGGCATTTTCATGATATTGATTCTTCCTATCCATGAGCATGGACTGTTTTTCCATTTGTTTGTGTCCTCTCTTATTTCCTTGAGCAGTGTTTTGTAGTTCTCCTTGAAGAGGTCTACATGCCTTGTAAGTTGTATTCCTAGGTATTTAATTTTCTTTGTAGCAATTGTGAGTGGGAGTTCACTCATGATTTGGTTCTCTGCTTGTCTATTATTGTTGTATAGGAATGCTTATTTTTGCACATTGATTTTGCATCCTGAGACTTTGCTGAAGTTGCTTATCAGATTAAGGGGTTTTGGGGCTGAGATGATGGGGTGTTGTAAGTATACAATCACGTCATCTGCAAACAGGGACAGTTGGACTTCCTTTCTTCCTATCTGAATACATTTATTTCTTTCTCCTGCCTGATTGCCCTGGCCAGAACTTCCAATACTATGTTGAAAAGGAGTGATGAGAGAGGGCATCCTTGTCTTGTGCTGGTTTTCAAGGGGAATGCATCCAGCTTTTGCCCATTCAGTATGATACTGACTGTGGGTTTGTCATAAATAGTTCTTGTTATTTTGAGATATATTCCATAAATACCTAGTTTATTGAGAGTTTTTAGCATGAAGTGGTGTTGAATTTTATTGAAGGCCTTTATTGCATCTATTGAGATAATCATGTGGTTTTTGTCATTGGTTCTGTTTATGTGACGGTTTATGTTTATTGATTTATGTGTGTTGGACCAGCCTTGCATCTCAGGGATGAAGCTGACTTGATCATGTTGTATAAGATGTTTGATGTGCTACTCAATTAAGTTTACCAGTATTTTATTGAGGGTTTTCGCATTGATGTTCATCAGGGATATTGGCCTAAACTTTTCTTTTTTCATTGTGTCTCTGCCAGGTTTTGGAATCAGGATGATGCCGGCCTCATAAAATGAGTTAGGGAGGGCCAGGCATGGTGGCTCACACCTGTTGTCCCAGCACTTTGGGAGGCCGAGGCAGGTGGATCACCTGAGATCAGGAGTTCAAGACCAGCCTGGTCAACATGGCGAAACCCTGTCTCTACTAAAAATACAAAAAGTTAGATGGGTGTTGTGGTGCCCGCCTGTAATCCCAGCTACTTGGGAGGCTGAGGCAGGAGAATCGCTTAAACTCGGGAGGCAGAGGTTGCAGCGAGCCGAGATCATGTTGTTGCACTCCAGCCTGGGCAACAGAGTGAGACTCCATCTCAAAAAAAAAAAAAAAAGAGTTAGGAGTCTCTCTTTCTCTATATTTTGGAACAGTTTCAGAGGGAATGGTACCAGCTCCTCTTTGTAACTCTGGTAGAATTTGGCTGTGAACCTGTCTGGTCCTGGGCTTTTTTTTCGTTGGTGGGCTATTAATTACTGCCTTGATTTCAGAACTTGTTATTGGTCTATTCAGGGATTCAACTTCTTCCTGGTTTAGTCTTGGGAGGGTGTATATGTCCAGGAATTTATCCATTTCTTCTAGATTTTCTAGATTATTTGCATAGAGCTATTTATGGTATTCTCTGGTGGTAGTTTTCATTTTTGTGGAATCAGTGGTGATATACCCTTTATCATTTTTTATTGTGTCTATTTGATTCTTCTCTCTTTTATTCTTTATTAGTGTGGCTAGTGGTATATCTATTTTGTTAATTTTTTCAAAAAACCAGCTCTTGAATTTATTGATTTTTGAAGTGTTTTTCATATCTCTATCTCCTTCAGTTCTGCTCTGACCTTAGTTATTTCTTGTCTTCCATTAGCTTTTGAATTTGTTTGCTCTTGCTTCTCTAGTTCCCTTTATTGTGATGTTAGGGTGTCAATTTTAGATCTTTCTTGCTTTCTGATGTGGGCATTTAGAGCTATAAATTTTCCTATTACCACTGCTTTAGATGTGGCCCAGAGATTCTGGTACATTGTGTCTTTGTTCTCATTGGTTTCAAAGAACTTCATTATTTCTGCCTTAATTTTGATTTTCACCCAGTAGTCATTCAGGAGCAGGTTGTTCAGTTTCCATGTAGTTTCCATGTAGTTGTGCAGTTTTGAGTGAGTTACTCAATCCTAAGTTCTAATTTGATTGCACTGTGGTCTGAGAGACTGTTTGTTATGATTTTCATTCTTTTGCATTTGCTGAGGAGTGTTTTACTTCCAATTATGTGATCTATTTTAGAATAAATGCTCTGTGGTGCTGAGAAGAATGTATATTCTGTTGATTTGGAGTGGAGAGTTCGGTAGATATTTATTAGGTCTGCTTGGTCTGGAGCTGAGTTCAAGTCCTGAATATTTTTGTTAATTTTCTGTCTCGATCTGTCTAATATTGACAGTGGGGTGTTAACGTCTCCCACTATTGTGGTGTGGGAGCCTAAATCTCTTTGTAGGTCTTTAAGAACTCATTTTATGAATCTGGGTGCTCCTGTATGGGTGCATATACATTTAGGATAGTTAGCTCTTCTTGTTGCATTGATCCCTTTACCATTATGTAATGCTGTTCTATGTTTTTTTTGATCTTCGTTGGTTCAAAGTCTGTTTTATCAGAGACTAGGATTGCAACCCCTGCTTTTTTCTGCTTTCCATTTGCTTGGTAAATATTCCTTCATTCTTTATTTTGAGCCTATGTGTGTCTTTGCACGTGAGATGGGTCTTCTAAATACAACATACAGATGGGTCTTGACTCTTTATCCAAATTGCTGTCTGTGTCTTTTAATAGGGGCATTTAGCCCATTTACATTTAAGGTTAATACTGTTATTGTGAATTTGATCCTGTCATTATGATGGTAGCTGATTATTTTGCATGTTAGTTAATACACTTTCTTCATAGTTTTGTTGGTCTTTAAGTTTTGGTGTGTTTTTGCAGTGGTTGCTACTGGTTTTTCCTTTTCATATTTACTGACTCCTTCAGGAGCTCTTGTAAGGCATGTCTGGTGGTGCAAAATCCCTCAGTATTTGCTAGTCTGGAAATGATTTTATTTCTCCTTCACCAGTGAAGCTTAATTTGGCTGGATATAAAATTCTGGGTTGAAAATTCATTTCTTTAAGAATGTTGAATATTGGCCCCCACTCTCTTTTGCCTTGTAGGATTTCTGCAGAGACATCTGTTGTTAGTCTGATGGGCTTCTCTTTTTAGGTAACCTGAACTTTCTTTCTGGCTGCCCTTAACATTTTTTTCTCTGTTTCATCCTTGGAGAATCTGACAATTATGCGTCTTGGGGTTGCTCTTCTCAAGGAGTATCTTTGTGGTATTTTCTGTATTTCCTGAATTTGAATGTTGTCTTGTCTTGCTAGATTGGGGAAGTTCTCATGGATAATATCTTGAAGTGTGTTTTCCAACTTGATTCCATTCTCTCTGTCACTTTCAGGAACCCCAATCAATCATAGATTTGGTCTTTTCACATAGTCCCATATTTCTTGGAGGCTTTATTTGTTCCTTTTCATTCTTTTTTCTCTAATCTTGTCTTCCTACCTTATTTCAGTAAGTTTGTCTTCAATCTCTGATATCCTTTCTTCCGCTTGATCAGCTGGACTATTGATACTTGTGTATGCTTCATGAAGTTCTCGTGCTGTGTTTTTCAGCTCCATCAGGTCATTTATGTTTTTCTCTAAACTGGTTATTCTAGTTAGCAGTTTCTGTAACCTTTTATCGAGGTTCTTAGCTTCTTTGCATTGGGTTGGAAACATGCTCCTTTAGCTTAGGGGAGTTTGTTATTACCCACCTTCTGAAGCCTAATTCTGTCAATTCATCAACCTCATTTTCTGTCCAGTTTTATGTCCTTTCTGGAGTGGAGTTGTGATCATTTGGAGGAGAAGAGGCATTCTGGTTTTTGGAATTTTCAGCATTTTTGCGCTGGTTTTTGCTCATCTTCATGGATTTATCTACCTTTGATCTTTGATGCAGATGGCTTTTGGATTGGGTTTTTGTGGGAGGTCCTTTTTTGTCGATGTTGATGTTATTGCTTTCTGTTTGTTATTTTTCCTTCTAACAGGCCTTTCTTCTGCAGGTCTGCGGCAGTTTGCTGGAGGTCCACTCTAGAACCTTTTCCCTGGGTATCACCAGCGGAGGCTGTAAAACAGCAAAGATTTCTGCCTGCTCTTTCCTCTGGAAGGTTCATCTTAGAGGGACACTGGCCTGATGCCAGCTGGAACTCCCCTGTATGAGGTGTCTGTCAACCCCTGTTGGGAGGTCTCTCCCAGTCAGGAGGCATGGGGGTCAGGGATCCACTTGAGAAGGCAGTCTATCCCTTAGCAGAGCTTGAGCGCTGTGCTGGGAGAAACCTTCTCAGGATCCGCTGCTCTCTTCAGAGCTGGCAGGCAGGAACATTTAAGTCCTCTGAAGCTGTGCCCACAGCCACCCCTTCCCCCAGGTGCTCTGTCCCAGGGAGATGGGAGTTTTTTCTATAAGCACCTGACTGGGGCTGCTGTCTTTCTTTCAGAGATGGAAAGTGAAGAGGAATCTAGAGGGGCAGTCTGGCCACAGCCACTTTGCCACATTGTGTTGAGTTTTGCCTAGTCTGAACTTTCAGGCCTCCTTAGCACTGTCAGGGGAAAACTGCCTCCTCAAGCCTCAGTAATGGCAGTCGCTTCTCTTCCCATCAAGCTCGACCATCCCAGATCGACTTCCGACTGCTGTGTTGGCAGCGAGAATGCCAAGCCAGTGGTTCTTCGCTTGCTGGGCTCTGTGGGAGTGAAACCCAATGAGCGAGACCACTTGGCACCCTGGCTTCATCCCCCTTTCCAGGGGTGTGAACGGTTCTGTCTCGCTGGGTTTCCAGGTGCTATTGAAGTATGAAAACAACAACAACAACAAAACAACAACAACAACAAACAACAACAACAACAACAACTCCTGCAGCTAGCTTGGTGTCTGCCCAAACATCCAACCAGCTTTTGTGCTTGAAACCCAGGTCCCCGGTGGTGTAGGCACACAAGGGAATCTCCCAGTCTGTGGATTGCAAAAACCATGGGAAAAGCATAGCATCTGGGCTGGATAGCACAGTCCCTTATGGCTTCCTCTGGCTGGGAAAGGGGCCCTCTGCTTTTTGCACTTCCCAGGTTAGGCGACACCCCTCCCTACTTCTGCTCACCCTCCATCGGCTCCACCCACTGCCTAACTAGTTCCAATGAGATGGACAGGGTACCTCAGTTGGAAATACAGAAATCATCCACCTTCTGTGTTGGTCTCTCTGAGAGCTGCAAACTGCAGCTGTTCCTATTCGGCCATCTTGCCAGAATTGAGCTTCTTTTTTTTTAGGTGGTATCTCTCTGTGTTGCCCAGGCTGAAGTGCAGTGGTGCCATTTTGGCTCACTGCAACCTCTGCCTCCCAGGCTCAAACAATTCTCCTGCTTCAGCCTCCCAAATAGCTGGGATTACAGGAACGCCACCATGCCCAGCTAATTTTTGTATTTTTAGTAGAGATGGGGTTTTACCATGTTGTCCAGGTTGGTCTCGAGCTCCTGAACTCAGTTGATCCTCTTATCTTGACCTTCCAAAGTGCTGGAATTACAGGTGTGAGCCACAGTGCCCAGCCAAGTATAAGCATTTCTAAGGTGTACTATGGAATAGAAACTACACAAGATTTAAAGCAGTTAGATATTACTACCAATGAGTTTACAGAAGAGCTGGAGCAACATACTTCACACATAGAAAAATAATCAAGAGCACAGCACCCTCAAAATCAGTAACACTGAAAGTCTTAGTCATGGACATCTTGATTAAGGTTTCTTATGAAAACATAGAGAACATAATAACACCCCTCCTGACTCCTTTTATAAAAAAAATAGCATAAGTTATGTGTTTGTGAACACCTTGTAAGTTATAATTAACTCAATCTAAATATGTTCTGTGAAAGGTTAGTTGGAGGTCAACTAGATCGGGAAAACAATATATATTTTATTCCCATCTTTGGGATTCACAATTTTCCTGAGAAATGCAACAGTCAAAAAACTTGTTCAGCTTTGTTTAACCTGTTTCCAAAATGGATTCATCCTTGACTTTAATGTTTGTCAATATACAGAAATAGGGTTCTTCAGAATAATCTGGATAAGTTGACACTTAGAAATCTGTAGGATCTTTGATTAAAAAAGAATAAAATCTTTAGACAAATTAAATTTAAATGTTTTTATTGGAGCAAAGAATGCTTCATGAATTTCACATCTCCCTGAATAAGAAGAGCTCTTCAGAGATCTCTGCCCTGAAGTGTGAGCAGTGAGCTTTTATAGGGTGGATGCAGAAGCAAAGTAAAGAAACTATTTTATTGGCTACAGCTAGGCATCTGCCTTATTTGGACATGGTGTAATAAGTTGGCTACCTTTGATTGGTTGAAACCCAGAAACTGTGATTGGCAGAAACTTGGCTGTTTGTTATACTCTTACTTTAGGTTTTGGTTTATTTGCATATTAAGTTAGGTTGCAGTTTGATACATAGGGACTCAAGGTATGGAGAGGACAACCTCAGGCAACTTTAACTTAATTTAATATCATATAAGAAAATATGAAAATATCAACAGAAAATGGAGGGCAAGTCCTGTATATTAGATTGACTAGAGATAGCTTAAAGAGGGTGTCGATCTTGAAGTATATTAATTATGTAATACTAAAACTATTTACTCAGTAGTTATAAATATTTTACCAAGTATATACAAGATGGAAGAAGGCTTTAGGCATTGTGGGGTTAGAGGAATTAATCTCAATAAATTTAGCATCTAGAACGTGAGATGAAACATAAATATAATACAAAGTGGCAAGGAGAAAATGTGCTAAAATCTTACAATACAGTGGGAAATCACTTGGTGGAATTCCAGGAGTAGAGTTGCATGTATACATAGGAAATATCAATTTATCCACTAAACTGCCCTGGTAATATTTACTTTACATTAAGCCTACTACTTTTTTCTTTCAATTAGATGTATTAGTTTATCAAACTATGTATGGGACAGTAAGTTTTGGTAATCAACTCTATTGCACAAGCATGTTCTATATTTGAAGTACATTCTTATCCGCAGTATCCAATTTCAGAAAAGCACTTGGGAATATCTATGGAAGATCTGTTTCCCACATTTACAATTATTATTATTGAGATATTAGAATATTACAGCTATTAGTTATTAAATTTTAAGTGATTAAAGCATGTTTCCTTATTTGCTCAGATAACTCTACTTTCTTCATGTATTAATATAATTTCAATTAATTGAATGCATCTAAGATTAAAATATAATAAAACGGATATAAAAATCCGTTACATTATAACGGATGTTATAATATAACATCCGTTGTGTGTCTAGAAAATTAGTTTAAAGTAACTTCTTTGGAACACATTTTAGAAGTTAAAATAGTCAGTTGAATCCATGTCTCACACTCAGTACACTCCTCCAAGCTCTCTGTATCTATTTTTATTCTTAATATCTAATTTTAGGTCTACTTCACAGTAGACAATTACAGATGGAAGCAATTTCTAAATTTTTAAACATGGTAAAAATTACCATTATCATTATTATTATTATTATATCTTATTATACTCTTACAGAAAGCCCTTACTGGGAGATTGCATGATTTTTCCTAACCTTTAAACCAGCAGATCTTTCATCTTCCTTTAAAAGTCAAGTCACTGAGAACAACAATCTTTATCTATAAAATGTCAATCGGATTGATAGTTGTAGCTCCAGATGCCATTCTTCAGAACTTATTGATCTCCTTGCTGTGCAGGCTGCTGAGTGAATGAGTGCTGGAGCCATGAAGTCAGGACATCTGGGTTCCCACCACAGATACTGATATGGTTTGGCTGTGTCCCCACCCAAATCTCAGCTTGAATTCCCATGTGTTGTGAAAGGGACCTGGTGGGAGATAATTGAATCATGGGGGCAGGTCTTTCCCATGCTGTTCTCATGATAGTGAATACGTCTTCTAAGATCTAATGGTTTTAAAAAGAGGAGTTCTCCTGCGCGAGTCTTTTTGCCTGCTGCCATCCATTTAAGATGTGACTTGTTCCTTCTTGCCTTCCGTGTGATTGTGAAGCTTCCCCAGCCACATGGAACTGTAAGTCCAATTAAACCCCTTTTGTTTTGTAAGTTGCCCAGTCTCGAGTATGTCTTTATCAGCAGCGTGAAAACAGGCTAATATAGATACTATGTGAGGTCTAGAATAACAGTTGCACCTGATTAAATTTCTGATTATTCACCCTGAGTCTCCAAGATATGTTCCCCTTCCACACTGACCAAAGTGGAAAGTTAAAAAAGGACATAATAACATAATCTCATATTTTTAAAGCAAAATGGTGATAGTAATCTGTGTTCTTCATAATTGTGGTATTGCTTTAGTGTTATTTTTGATAGGAAACAAAGAAAAATCCAAGGACTTCAACTTGGATATTTGTGCTGCAATAGCCTGTTGAGGTAATGCCAACTGCTATTATAGATACATGTGAAAAATCTTACAACTTTACACCGTAAGTTTTCATTTCTCACTCATGGCACACTCTAGTATGGGTATTAGTAATCACATGGCTTTTTCTAAGAAACTCTAGGACCTGGGCTTTTTCCTCTGTGTGACCTCACTTCCTGTTAGTCTCTCAATTCAGTAGGCATTTGGGGAAAGAGAGTAGAAGACTGTGTCAGAGGATTTTATGACTCAGGACTTGAAATAGAATATTCATATTTTCTTGGCCAAAACTCAGTCACATGATCAAAATTATCTGTAAGAGAAACACAATCCAGCTCTGTACTCAGGGATTAAAGTGAAATTCAAACTAGAAAAATTACCTATGATAGATTTGGTGCACAGAAATCTTAAATTTCAACTGGCATCAATGTTAGCACAGAAATATTTCAAAAGTTCCTGAAATATCTGGGTTGGGACCTTTCTCTTCCCAAGTAAAAATGAGTCTTGCTATATAGCTATAGGTCCTTTTGAGAAATACAGAACAGAGATTCATCAAATGTCTGCATTTTTAGTATGTCGTAGCAATTCCTGCATTCCTCCTCAACTTACCTGTCATTTAATGAGCCCTTGGTCTATAAGCTGACTTAGGTCAAAGACTTTGATGAAGGTCTATTGTGGTGCAACCTGCTGCCCAGATCTGGGTGTATGAGAATATAACCATTTCAGTCCTACTGACCCATTGTCAATCCACTATAGCTGAAGATCCCTGTGAGGGACAGCATTCCATGCTGGTCTTGTTGCTTATTACAGTAGTTATGCCCATTTTATTTCTGGTGATCAAGTGAATCTTTTTTATCTCCAACACTTTTGGGTCCTTCTCACTGAAATTAAGAAAATATTTCAAAATCAGCATTTCCCTCTGTAATTTCTGAACCACAATTGGCCATCACCTAAGTACTTTATAATTTCTTTTTTCTTTTTTTTTTTTTTGAGACGGAGTTTCACTCTTGTTGCCCAGGTTGGAGTGCAATGGCATGATCTCAGCTCATTGCAACCTCTGCCTCCTGGGTTCAAGCAAGTCTCCTGCCTCAGCCTCCTGAGTAGCTGGGATTAGAGGCATGTGCCACCACGACGGGCTAATTTTGTATTTTTAGTAGAGAGGGAGTTTCTCCATGTTAGTCAGGCTGGTCTCGAACTCCAGACCTCAGGTGATCTGCCCATCTTGGCCTCTCAAAGTGCTGGGATTACAGGCGTGAGCCACCGAGCCCGGCCAGTACTTTATAATTTCTAAAGTACTAATGAGGATCTGATGTAGAACAATGTGATTGTAGTTAGAAATATTGCATTGTATACTTGAAATTTGCTAAGATGATAGATATTAAGTGTTCTCACCGCAAAAAGAAAAGAAAATGGTAACTATGTAAGGTGGTGGATATCTTAATTAGCTTGATTGCAGTGAATATTATACAATGCATAGATATCAAATTGTACACCATAAATACATATAAATTTTAATTGCCAACTATCCTTCTATAAAACTCAAATAATTTTTTTAATAAAAAAGTACTGAAAATGGTTTTCTTTCGGGGGGAATGATTGAATATGTATGTGATGGGTATTTCTTTTTTTATTTGAAAGTCATATATTTGACAAGGGACTTTATCCAGAATATAAAAAGGACACTAACAACACAATAGTAAAAGGAGAAATAACCCAATTAAAAATCAGACAGAGATTTGAATAGACATTTCTTAAAAAAGGACAATAAATGACTAATAAGCTCATGAAAACATGTTCAACATCTTTAGTCATTAGGGAACTAGAAATCAAAGCCACATTTAGGCAATATGGATAGTCCCCAAATTATGGTATTTCTTTCATTTCATAATTTTTCAATCTTACTATGAGTGTATTGGGACAAAACACTATTGCTAGTCAAGAAGTTTCTTACAATTTACTATGAGGTTACAGTTTCTACTGAATATGTATGGAATTTGCACCTTCATAAAGTCAAGAAATGTTGAACCATTTTAAGTTGGGGACTATGTGTGCTGCCAGCATTAAATGCATTTAACAATATTTTCTTCTTATGATGGATTTGTGGTGAGGTAACCCCATTGCAAGTTGAGAAGTGTCTGTATTTCACACTCACTAGAATGACTGTAATATAAAAGAGCATGACAAGTGTTGGTGAGGACATGGAAACATTGGAACATTCTTACATTGCTAGCGGGAGTGTGAAATGGTGCAACCACATTGGAAAACAGTTTGTCAGTTTCTCAAAAAGCCAAACATAAAGTTGTCATATGACCCAGCAATTCCATTCCTAGGTATCCTCCCAAAATAAATAACATATATTCACACAAACGTATTTTCATTTGTGTGAATGTTGGTAGCAACAGTATTCATAGTAATCAAAAGGTGAAAAGAACCCAAACGAACATCAGCTGATGATGGAATAAGCAAAATGCAGTATGTCTGTACAATGGAGTAATATTTGGCCACCAAAATGAGCAAAGCACTGAAATATGCTACAACACAGGACCTTGAAAACGAAGCTAAGTAAAAGAAGCCAGTCATAAAGGACCACATGTTACACAATTCCATTTCTTGGCAATGTCCAGCATAGGTAAATCTCTAGAGATAGAATGTAGATTAGTGATTGCCTAGGCCTGGAGGAAGTGGCTGTTAATAGGTACAAGGTTCCTTTTTGGGATGATAAAAATGTTCTAAAATTAGAATACAGTGATGTTTGCACAACTTTGTAAATATACTTAACTATTACATTGTACACTTTAAACAAGTGAACTTAGTGATATATAAACTACACCACTACAAAGTTGTTAAAGCACATTATTTGTCTTGATTACTGAGTGTTTTTGTGCCCAAAACCCCCCTTCTCCCACCTTAAATTTTGTCCTTGGGGAAAGTGCTTCACTTGCTTCATGTCCTTGGTTCAGGCCTGGGGAGTTAGGCTCCATTGTGTTTACTGCAGGGAACCTTTGAAAGGTTTTCAGCAGGGTATGATCAGGTTTGCCTTTGAGACATCTGGCTTGGGCTGCAGTATAGAGGATAGTCAGAGATGGGCAGTGACTGAGGCAGGAATGCTGCTGAGAGGTCATTCTGAGAGCTTCTCTCATAATGAACATGGCATGAAGGTGGCTGGATAGAAGGAGAAATGGACAGAGCTTACACTGGGAGGGAAAAGTCTGGGGCACTTCTTAGGCTTCTGGGCTGGGTGACTTGGTGAATCTCAGTACAACTGACAAGGGCACAAGAGACGATGATTACAGTTTTGAACCTGGTTGAGACTTAGCTGCTTGTGGGGCACACAGAAGATTATAAGCCACCATTTCTTTAGTAATTGTCACCCCCTGCTTAAACATTGTATGGCAATCTTCCGATCTTAAAATAAACTCCAGTCTCCCTGCTTTGGCCTGCCAGATCCTGTGCTGGAGCTCTGCCAACCTCTCCAGCTCCATCTCATCCTGTCTCTCTCTCTCTCTTTCTCCATCAACTCAGCCACTCAGGCTCCCTTTTTGGAACCATGCCAAGGAATGTATCTCTGGACCTCAGTACAAGCTCTTTCTTCTACCTGGCATCTTCTCTCAGCTCTTTTAAGGCTGGCTCCTATTGTTTTTAGCATCTCATTAGACTGTTGTATTTTAGTGAGGCCCCTAAAAAGGTCATCTGTACTTACTATTGATGTCATAACTCTGTGCGTTAGTTTTCTATTGCTGCTATGACAAATTACTACAAACTTGGTGGCTGAAAACAATACGAATTTAGTCAGGTGCAGTGGCTCATGCCTGTCATCCCAGTGATTTGGCAGGCTGAGGCAGGAGGATCATTTGAGCCTAGGAGTTTGAGACTAGCCTGGGTGGCAGAGTAAAACCCTTGTCTCCAAAAAAATAAAAAACTTAGCCTGGGATGCTGAGGCAGAGGGATCACTTGGGCTCAGGAGTTCGAGGCTGCAGTGAGCTATGATTGCCTCACTGTACTCCTGCCTGGGCGACAGAGAGAGACATGCTGGGTATTTCTGAGGTGGTGAAACATTCTGTTTCTTGTTCTGGGTGGTGATTACATCACTATATTCTGTTTGGGTTCACCTAGTCTTCATTGTCTCCACCAATTTCTAATGCCTTTATAAGTAATCACTTTGAAATGAGTTCAGCAAATTTTTTTTAGCTGTCCAGTGGAGCATTGACCTGTTGTGACCTAGAAAAAGAAAGAGAAGCCCATTCCAATCATTTTTGGTGTATGTGTAGGTATATATATTTTTTCTTTTCTTTTTTGTTTAGGATTCTTGGTTGAAAATAGAAGAAATAGACTTTGGATAAATTAAGTGTAAAGGAAATGCGTTGGAAGTGTGATAACTCACAGCATCAGGTGAATGGCTGAAATTGGGTTTGGGCAGTAAACTTGGCAGGTAAGGTATTGCCAACACTCCCACAGGATCATTCTTCTTAGCAGGGTGCTACCACCAGATGGACACTTGCCACTGTCTCCTCTGGCATAGCCATCTCTGGACCCCTTACCCCCACATAGTGGGGGACTCTGCTGTGTTTAGGCTGTAAGCCTCAGGCCAGTGGAACTTTCATTTCTTTTCTGCTCTCATGAGCAAAATTCTAATTGGATCTCTAATGATGCGTCCCCTCCTCAAGGGATGGATGCCTTGTTGGGAGCCTCTGGTCTGCTGTGTCCCACATTCTACATGCCAGAGTGGAGAAAGGCCTTAACTATTCAACATGTATAAGTGCTGATGTCATTTCTATTAGGTTCCTGTCTGTTTATTTCATGTCACTGTCACACAATGTTTTTGAGTATCGTTCCCCTGACTAAATTTTTCCTGTATCTATATAGATTTTATTATACAATTTTGTATCACACTGTGCTTTTTAGGAATGTTTATTTCACATTACAGTACCATTGGTCACATTATAATTATTCTGTCCCCTGTGTTCTCAGAGTCCTCACACATAGCATTGATTAAGTTCTCAAAAAGCAGAAATTGAGATATAGTTGGGGTGCAACGTGTTTTTAGGGACCAACCCTTTGGAAAAGAAGGAGGAGGAAGCAGAAATGGGCCAAGGAGGAAGCGAAACTGTAGTGCAAGTTCAACGAAGCTTTAGAAGGGAAGCTGGGAAAGTATTGCTTATTAGTGTGTCCCCAGGAGCTGAAATGGCCAGGTCTTTATAGCCCTGCTTTACTCAGTCAAAAGATCTGGTTGTGGTGGTGGTGGCAGCAGTGGCCCATCTGGAGTGGCCCCTGCTAAGACGCCAGCTGCAGCCAGGAGGTGCAGCCGGGGCTGCAAGCTCCACAGAGCCAGTGGAAGTTGGGAATAGGCGGGAGCCTTACCCTGTTCCGAGTTGGTGGGGGGTGGGGAGGAGGGAGCCACACCCTCCCTGGTGCAGCTGCAGCTGCCCAGCTGTGGCTGTGGACCCAGACATCTCTGAACTCTTGGGGTCCCCGGGAAGTCCCCTGCCCCAACAAGTCTCAGAAGAAGTGGTTTCTTCCGTTGCCTGGCCTTTCCCTGCTCCCAGCACCCACTCTGATTTCGGAGCAAAGTTGAGGCCGAGTCCGGGTGTTGTCACAACCTGACCAGGTGTGTGTGCACTCGGGATGGCGCCCATATGCCACCCCCTGCTGTCTCGGTCTCCTCCAGACATTGGGCACTGACGAGCACGGGAGGGAGGCTCAAGGGGTGCTAAGGCTGGCTCTGCATGGGCCTGTAGGCACCCCTCTGCAGAAACAGCTTGGGCACTATGGACAATATGACTGATGGTGGCAGGAGGCATACAGGCTCCTGGGTGGAAAGAGGTGGGTTCCCAGTGAAGCCCCACCTTCAAGCCAGAGATGGCCTGAAGCCTGGAGGCCAGGCTGTCAGTTCCAGGTGGAGTCCCTGCCCAGAATAAGAACTTAAGGTGCCTTTTCTGGGCCGGCCCATGACTGCCCATGGACCATCAGCATGCACTTCCTCCCTTCCGAAGCCCATAACAATTCCTGACTCAGCCAGATTCACAGAGACATTGGGACTACCAGCTGTGGGAAGGACCTACCCAGTCCAGGTCTCCTCTCCACTGAGAGCTGAACACTTGTTGGGAATACCTGCCTGCAGAAAGGAGCTCCCCATTCCGGGTCTCCTGAGAGCTGTTCTGCTGCTCAGTGAAGGTCTTCTCCATCTTGCTCACCCTCCAGACGTCCATGTACCTCAGCCTTTCAGGACACAAGACTGGGAAGACTTGGGACCCACAGAATAGTGGGACTGAAAGAGCTGTAACACAAACGAGGCTGAAACACACCCCCCCCAACCAATTCACCACATTGCAGGTGAAGAGGAGAGAAGAGCTGTGGCCTTTTGGGGAGTCCAGACCTAGGGGCTCCCCAAGCCAGGGCTGTGACACCCTCTTTGGGGCTCTGTGGTTTCTGGCATCTCCAAGCTTCTGGGTGTCACCATGTTCACCTCATCCAGAGGCAGGTGCTTACAGTAGGAACCGCATGCAGTACATCTGGTCCAGGAGGAGCCTCACACAGAGCTGGCAGCTGCATTGGCACCTGGAGCTGCTCGGGCCACCATAGCAGCTGGCATGTCTGGCTGTGTGCAGTGGCCTGACCCCATGCTTGCTCACCCACACACCCCTTGCAGCTCCACACCTGGCTTGCCCTTGGCAGGTATGGGATCCAGACCAGTAGCATAAGCTGAGCACAACCTGCCAAGCAATACTCAGGCAGAAGGCATCACCAGCCACAGAGATTTATGCCTGGCAAAGTGACACCCCAAGGATCCTGTGACATTGGGAAGGGCGTGGGCTTGGGCAAGGTGGCTGTCTGCAGTTGAGGCACATCCCAAAGGAGTTGACAATGGGGCTGCCTGACAACCACAGTCCCTACAGTTGAGCGCTAAGGCCTTTCTTGAAGAGGAATATTGCTGAAATATATCATGATACAGACATTTATCTCTTCATCTCATTGTATCTTTTACATTGCTTTAAAAAACTTATTTTTTAAATAATTGTAGACATGCAATATACTACAAAATTGTACAGAAAGAGCCTTGATTGACTTCACTTGCCTTCTCCTGAGGTTACTATCTTATATAACTCCCATACAATGATCAAAATCATGGTCTAAAACACGAAAAGCAATGGCAACAAAAACCAAAATTGACAAATGGGGTCTAATTAAACTAAAGAGCTTCCACACAGCAAAAGAAACTACCATCAGAGTTAACAGGCACCCTACAGAATGGGAGAAAATTTTTGCAATCTACCCATCTGATAAATGGCTAATATCCAGAATTTACAAAGAACTTAAACAAATTTACAAGAAAAAATCAAACAACCCCATCAAAAAGTGGGCCAAGGATATGAACAGACACTTCTCAAAAGAAGACATTTATGGAGCCAACAGACACATGAAAAAATACTCATCATCACTGGCCATCAGAGAAATGCAAATCAAAACCACAATGAGATACCATCTCACACCAGTTAGAATGGCGATCATTAAAAAGTCAGGAAACAACAGGTGCTGGAGAGGATGTTGAGAAATAGGAACACTTTTACACTCTTGGTGGGACTGTAAACTAGTTCAACTATTGTGGAAGACAGTGTGGTGATTCTTCAAGGATCTAGAACTAGAAATACCATTTGACCCAGCCATCCCATTACTGGGTATATACCAAAAGGATTATAAGTTATGCTGCTATAAAGACACTTGCACATGTATGTTTATTGCGGCACTATTCACAATAGCAGCAAAGACTTGGAACCAACACAAATGTTCATCGATGATAGACTGGATTAAGAAAATGTGGCACATTTACACCATGGAATACTATGCAGCCATAAAAAGGATGAGTTCATGTCCTTTGTAGGGACATGGATGAAACTGGAAACCATCATTCTCGGCAAACTATCACAAGGACAGAAAACCAAACACCGCATGTCCTCACTCATAGGTGGGAATTGAACAATGAGAACACGTGGACACAGGATGGGGAACATCACACAGCAGGGCCTGTCGTGGGGTGAGAGGAGGGGGGAGAGATAGCATTAGGAGAAATACCTAATGTAAATGACGAGTTAACGGGTGCAACACACTAACATGGCACATGTATACATATGTAACAAACCTGCATGTTGTGCACAGGTACCCTAGAACTTAAAGTATAATAAAAAAAAATCATGGTATTAACAATGACATAATACTATGAACTAGGCTACATGTCTTTGCCAAATTTCATTGCTTGTTCCACTAATATATTTTTGCTAGAACAAACTTAATTCAAGATTCCATCTTGTGTTTATTCGTTATGAATTATGTTTCTTTTTTACATGTACGTACTTCTGTGTGAGATCCTTAATGGTGAGTACTCCTTACTTAAAGTGTTTGGCATATATAATTATTAGGCGAATAATTGTGAAATAAATAAGCCCTGCAAGCTTTTCAAGGGCAAGTCTTTATTTAAACTTAATTCTTAGTACTATACCCACAATTGGTATTCAGTTTGTTTAGTAATTCATTTAGGAATGAATGACATTGAAATTTGAAGTATATACATTGGGTACATCTAATGGGATAAGTAATACAAATTGAGCAAAAAAGTAGCCAGTTTCTTAAAACAACTTTTTAAAGCCACTATGTTTGAAATAAGTAGAGAGCATAAATATAAGAGATAATAAAGCAAAACATAAGAAATACCTTAGGGAGATAATTTTGAGTTTTATTTTGAAATGTGTAATTGGCATGGGATTAATAGAGAAGAGAGGGAAGTGAGTTTTGGAGAGGATGTATAAAGCCACAGAAGTACAAGACCAACATATGAGCACAAAATATGATAGTCCAGAAAAGAGGATATTTCTTTCTTTTTTGAAATCAGGCAGATAAAATTTATTAAAGACCCTCATCCAAATAAACAAGTAAGGCTTTTGAATGATAAATGTCTTTTCTGATCTCATGTGAATTTTGTATGATTGATAGAAGTTTGCTTTTTGCTTTATTTCATCCACTTGTCCATCTATTCATTCATACATATATATATATATATTTTTTTTCTTTTTTTTTGAGACAGAGTTTCTGCAGTCTTGCCTCACTGCAGCCTCCACCTCTCAGGCTCAAGAAATTCTTATGCCTCAGCCTCCCGAGTAGCTGGGATTATCGGTGTACATCACCATGCCCAGATAATTTTTGTATTTTAATAGAGACGGGTTTCTCCATGTTGGCCAGGTTGGTCTCAAACTCCTGGTCTCAAGTGATCCACCCACCTCAGCTTCCCAAAGTACTGGGATTACAGGCGTGAGCCATCGTGGCTGGCCTCATTCCTACTTTTGATATCTCAGAAGTCTGTAATCATACAAACTAATTGCCTACTGGGAGAAGGCAGGTGGATTTGGAAATAATAATTCAGAGTGAAATGCAGATTTTCTTTTTAGTCATGTGGCTACCATAAAATATCATACAAGTCATTTAAAAAATCTCCAGTTTGAAGCACAATGTACCTGGTTAATCAGTGTAATAGAGGGATAGTAATTGCATTCTTCAGTTATTGATTTATAGAATATATTCATGATGCCAGTTGTCTTCTGAAGAGGGTGAACAATTGTCAACTACCCTCTTTTTATTCCAAATGCATAGTAATATATTTATTTTTTCATTGGAAGACACAATTTGTTACCCGGCTAAGTGAATATTTTTTGATAACTCAAAATCTTGAATTTGGTTGCAAGTGACTGGAAAGCTTTGCTTTTTCTGGTGTGTGATGGCTCTAATAGAGTGAGATTTTAACTTAAGCTTGGCATTATCTTGGGTGAAAGGAATTAGCACCCTTAATGGAGCTACTTTCCTTCTCCTGAGACATTAATTCTCCTTCAAATGATCAGTTGAGAAGGCAGCCTTTAAGGACTAACTGGCATAATATTCAATGTTTTGTTTTTTACCTGAAAACCAACTAGTTGAAAGCCAACTGCATAGCCGGTAAAAAACAGCCAGATAATGTTAGAATGTTTATTGAACTTAAAATATTAGATCAATATTTCTTCATTTTTTAATAATGAAAACACTTTTGGTACTAGAAGACCCCTTGAACAACATGATTTTTTAAAATGATAATATTTATGAGGAGAATTTAGATGTATATGAAGTTGTGTTACAGCTCTGTTTGCTTACATTAAAAATTGGCAAACCTGTTTGATTTGGGAAGAAGTGTTCTCAGTCACAAGTATCAGTTGTGTGGCCTTTTTACTTAACCATCCATATTTAGTCAGCTGTTAAAATGTATAAACCAAACTCCTCATTATCGCTTGCAACACTGCTCCCTCCTTTCTACATTCTGTGTCTCTATTAATGGCATCATAATCTGTGCAGTTGCTCAGATCAAACTCACAGTGTTGGTTATTTGCATGTGGGGTCACACTGGAAAATTTGTACACTGCACTTGTATCTTCCCTGGCATTTATCACTCTGAAATTTAACGCTTTGTTTAAGAGATGTTTCCCATAGAAGGTAGCATGTCTGCTTCTTAATTCTAGATCTTAGACCATTTTCTGGCATGAAATAGGCAATACATATCTGAGGAATAATTGCAGGATTAAATGAGTGAATAATTTATTTCTGTCTCATATCTAATTAGCCTCCAGGAGCTATTGGTTTTACTTTTGAAATATCTCTCTTATTTTAAGTTCTGTGGTACATGTGTAGGATGTGCAGGTTTGTTCCATAGGTAAATGTGTGCCATGATGATTTGCTGCACCTATCAGCCCATCACCTAGGTATTAAGCTCAGCATGCATTAGCTATTTCCTGATGCTCTCCCTCCCCGCTCCCCCCACCACAGATCCCACTGTATGTTGTTCCTTTTCCTGTGTCTATGTGTTCATATTGTTTAGCTCTCACTTATAAGTGAGAGCATGCGGTGTTTGGTTTTCTGTTCCTGTGTTAGTTTGCTGAGGATAATGGCTTCCAGCACCGTCCATGTCCCTGCGAAGAACATGATCTCATTCTTTTTTATGGCTGCATAGTATTCCATGGTGTGTACGTATCACATTTTCTTTATCCAGTCTATCATTGATGGACATTTAGGTTGATTCCATGTCTTTGCTATTGTTAATAGTGCTGCAATGAACATACACATGCACGTATCTTTATAATAGAATAATTTATATTCCTTTGGGTATATACTCAGTAAAAGGATTGCTGGGTCAAATGGTATTTCTAGTTCTAGGTCTTTGAGGAATCACCACACTGCCTTCCACAATGTTTCAACTAATTTACATTCCCACCAACAGTGTGAAAGCATTTCTAATTCTTCGTAGCCCCACCAGCATCTGCTGTTTCTTGACTTTTTAATAACTGTCATTCTGACTGGCATGACATAATATCTTATTGTGGTTTTGATTTGCATTTCTCTAATGACCAGTGATGTTGAGCTTATTTTCATATGTTTGTTGGCCACATGCATGACTTCCTTTGAGAAGTGTCTGTTTATGTCCTTTGCCCACTTTTTAATGGGGTCATTTGTTTTTTTCATTTAAATTTGTTTAAGCTCCTTGTAGATGCTGGATATTAGACCTTTGTCAGATGAATAGATTTCAGAAATTTTCTCCCATTTTATAGGTTGTTTTTTTCTCTGATGGTAGTTTCTTTTGCTGTGCAGAAGCTCTTTAAATTACATTCCATTTGTCAATTGTGGCTTCTGTTGCAATTGCTTTTGATGTTTCTGTCATAAAATATTTGCCTGTGCCTATGTCCTGAATGCTATTGCCTACATTGTCTTCTAGGGTTTTTATAGTCTTGGGTTTTACTTTTAAGTCTTTAATCCATCTTGAGTTAATTTTTGTATAAGGTATAAGGAAGGGGTCCAGTTTCTGTTTTCTGCATATGGCTGTCCAGTTTTCCCAGCACCATTTATTAAATAGGAAAGCCTTTCGCCATTTCTTGTTTTTGTCATGTTTGTCTAAGATCAGATGGTTGTAGGTGTGTGGTGTTATTTCTGAGGCCTCTATTCTGTTCCATTGGTCTATGTGTCTGTTTTTGTGTCAGTACCATGCTGTTTTGTTACTGTAGCCTTGTAGTATAGTTTGCAGCCAGGTAGCGTGATGCCTCCAGCTTTGTTCTTTTTGCTTAGGATTGTCTTGGCTATATGAGCTATTTTTTGGTTCCTCATGAATTTTTCAAATAGTTCTTTTTAATTCTGTGGAGAATGTCAATGGTAGTTTAATGGGAATAGCATTGGATCTATCAATTACTTTGGGCACTATGGCCATTTTCATGATACTGATTTTTTCTTTCCATGAACATGGAATGTTTTTCCATTTGTTTGTGTCCTCTTGAATTTCCTTGAGCAGTGGTTTGTAGTTCTCCTTGAAGCGGTCCTTCTCTTTCTTCATTAGCTGTTTTCCTAGGTATTTTATTTTCTTTGTAGCAATTGTGAATGGGAATTTATTCATGATTTTGATCTCCGCTTGTCTGTTATTGGTGTGTAGGAATGCTTGTAAGTTTTGCACATTGATTTTGTATCCTGAGACTTTGCTGAAGTTGCTTATCAGCTTAAAAAGCTTTTGGGCTGAGATGATGGGGTTTTCTAGATATAAGATCATGTCATCTGCAAATAGAGACACTTTGACTTCCTCTTTTCCTCTATGAGTACCCTTTATTTCTTTCTCTTGCCTGATTGCCCTGGCCATAGCTTCCAATACTACGTTGAATAGGAGTGGTGAGAGAGGACATCCTTGTCTTGTGCCAGTTTTCAAAGGGAATGCTCCCAGCATTTGCACATTCAGTATGATATTGTCTGTGGATTTGTCATAAATGACTCATTATTTTGAGTTATGTTCCTTCGATACCTAGTTTATTGAGAATTTTTAACATGAAGGAATGCTGGAGTTTATTGAAGGCCTTTTCTACATCTAGTGAGATAATCATGTGTTTTTTGTCTTTAGTTCTGTTTATGTGATGAATTATGTTTATTGATTTGCATAAGTTAAGCCAGCCTTTCATCCGGGAATGAAGCTGACTTGATCATGGTGGATAAGCTTTTTGATGTGCTGCCGGATTTGATTTGCCAGTATTTTATTGAGGATTTTTTACATAGATATTCATCAGAGATACTGGCCCAAAGCTTTCTTATTTTGTTGTATCTGTGCTAGGTTTTGGTATGAGGATGATGCTGGCCTCCTAAAATGAGTTAGGGAGGAGTCCCTCCTTTTTAATTGTTTGGAATAGTTTCAGAAGAAATGGTACCAGTTCCTCTTTGTACCTCTGGTAGAATTCAGCTGTAAATCCATCTGGTCCTGGGCTTTTTTTGGTTGGTAGGCTATTTATTACTGCCTCAATTTCAGAACTCGTTATTGGTTTATTCAGGGATTCAACTTCTTCCTGGTCACGCATAGGCTCAAAATAAAGGGATGGAAGAAAATTTACTAAGCAAATGGAAAGCAGAAGAAATCAGAAGTTGCAGTCCTAGTTTCTGATAATACAGACTTTAAACCAACAAAGACAAAAAAAGACAAAGAAGGGCATTACTAATGGTAAAAGATTAAATTCAACAAGAAGTGCTAACTACCCTAAATATATATGCATCCAATGGAGGAGCACCCAGATTCATATAACGAGTTCTTAGTCGCAGTTCTCTACAAAGAGACTCAGACTCCCACACAATAATAGTGGGAGACTTTAACACCCCACTGTCAGTATTAGACAGATCATCGAGACAGAAAATTAGCAAGGATATTCAGGACTTGAACTCAGCTCTGCACCAAGTGATATCTACAGAACTTTCCACCCCAAAACAATGGAATATACATTCTTCTCAGTGCCACATGGTACTTACTCTAAAATTGATCACAGAATTGGAAAGAAAACACTCCAGCAAATGCAAAATAACTGAAGTCATAACAAACAGTCTCTCAGACCACAGCACAGTGGTTTCTTAATTCAAAATTAAGAAACTCACTCAAAACCACACAACTATATGGAAATTGAACAACCTGCTCCTGATTGACACCTGGGTAAATAATGAAATTAAGGCAGAAATCTAGAAGTTCTTTGGAACTAATGAGAACAAAGAGGCAATGTACTAGAATCTCTGGCACACAACTAAACCACTGTTAGGAGGGAAATTTATAGTACTAAATGCCCACATCAAAAAGCTAGAAAGATCTCAAATTGACATCCTAACATCACAACTAAAATAACTAGAAAAAGAAGAGCAAACAAATCCCAAAGCTAGCAGAAGACAAGAAATAACCAAGATCAGTGTAGAACTGAAGGAGACAGGGACACAAACAACCCTTCAGAAAATCAACAAATCCAGGAGCTGTTTTTCTGAAAAAAAAAAAAAATTGATAAAATAGATAGCCTGCGTGCTAGACTAATAAAGAGGAAAAGAGGGAAGAATCAAATAGACAATAAAAAAGTGATAAATGGGATATCACCAGTGACCCCACAGAAATATAAACAACCATCAGAGAATACTATAAACTCCTTCATCAGTTTTTTAATGCTATCAGATAATAAATCAACAGTTAAGAAAAATTTTTTGTAGATAAGAAATACAGTATTATCCTTCCATATTTCATTTTTTATTTTACAACGTCCAAGTTGTTACTATACAGAGAATTTTTATTTTATTTTAGAGTATAGCAGATAACTCTTTAAATAATTGGTATGATTGTTCAGTCAATTTAACTTTTTTTTTAATTCTTCACTATTCATTCTAGTTTTTGCAGCACCTATAGAATCTATATCCTACTTTTTTATCAGTCAAGTAGGGGATCTTAGGCAATGATACTTTTGATAGAATAGGGATTGATTGTGAAATTATGAAAGAGGTTTGACTCTCCTGTATAAGATTACAAATCTATGAGGGAAAAGCTTAATATTTTTTTTTACCATTATTTTCTTTCACACCAGTTTCTGGCATATAATACCTACTTTATAAATATTTGTTGCATGCATACATGAATAAATGAATGAATTAAATAAGAGTTTATTATTTCACTCTTTTGCTTCAATGGACTTGTGTATTGATGTTGAGCTAGGCATGCCAGCATAACCCTCATAGTTAATTGAATGTTTCCAAAATGTTTAGGAGATGGGCATTGATTGATTTTATAGCTAAGCTATGGAGCTATGGTACAGAGGGCACTAAGAAATCTCTTGGAAAATGCCAATTGCAAAACTTGGAAGCCTGTCTTCATGGAGTTACCGATCCAGGAGTAGAATTACTGAAAAGCCAGATAGACTGATAGTGGCCAGGCAACCTGGATATAGGGGCATATTATCGTCAGGTTTGCGTCCATGAGTGTCCATAACAGAACTTTAGGCCAGACATTATGTTTACATTTTTATTATCATCATATTTTTCTATATACTGCCTTCATTTCTACATTGAGGTCCTGCTAGTTTCCAGTAGTTTGTACTAAATTATTTGTTGTGATAAATTTGGTCAATTGCTGAGCCAGTTTTAAAACCCTTATCAAGTCACTTTTTTTCCTAGTGGAGATATTCCTAATGCCTTATTAATTATATGGTGTAGCTTTTGATCCATGTTAATAATAACAGCATGAGTGATAGTGGCTTGCATTTCTGAGCGCTTACTGTATACACCAGATGCTGCTCTAAATATTTTAACATATTAGTTTTCATCTTCATAATGACTCTATAATCAGCTAGTGTTACAATTTTGATTTAAGCTATTAGGAAACTAAGGGGGAGAGAGGTTAATTGGTTTGCCGAAGTTTTCACAGTTAGTAAATATTGAAGCCAAGCATTAACCCCAGGAAGCATGGTTCAGGGTCAATGTGCTTACTCACTGTTACAACTGCGTATTTGTTATAACATAGGCTTATTGAGATTTGAAAAGAGTGAGAACTTAAGATGCAAATTATGGCTAAATAAAGAAAAGTTTATTAAAGTGATAGTGTTGAGCTAGAAAGAAGAACGTAACTGATACATTGAAGGGCTTTCTAAAATAAGAAATATGAGAAACTATATGCGTTTATTCTCAACCCATATTGAACATGTACTGTATTTCAATCACTGTCCTTGGTGCTGAAATCATATTTCTAACATTGGATAAATTTGTGTAAATGCAATAATCAAGTTTTATATATATTATATTACATATATTTTTTTTGAGACAAAGCCTAGCTTTGTCACCCAGAATGGAGTGCAGTGGCACAATCTTGGCTCACTGCCACCTCCACCTTCCAGACTCAAACTATCTTCCCAGGTCAGCTTCCTGAGTAACTGGGAATACAGACATGCACCACCATACCCAGCTAAGTTTGGTATTTTTTTTAGAGACAGAGTTTTGCCATGTTGACCATGCTGATCTCAAACTCTGGAGCTCAAGCAATTTGCCTGCCTTGGCCTCCCAAAGTGTTGGGAGTAGAGACTGAGCCACCCTGCTTGGCCTAAAATACATTTTATTGAAAAAATTATTAATCTTCCTGGACAAAATTTTTATAACAAATTTTCTTATGCATGATACGGTTTCAGTTTGAAGACGTAGAACACCTCTTCATGGTGGCCATGGATTTGTGCTACTCAAGTGTCTTCATGATAGCCTGCCATGAAGAGAACAGTTCATTAATAGTCTTTATTCATAGCACTTTTGGATCTTCCAGCATTCTCGCCAATGATTTGCATTCAGTGGGTTGCTCCAAGCCAAGGACTGTGCATGGAGTTATAAGTACCAAGCCACTCTACCAAAGGACAGACGATGCTTGGGAATTCCTTTTCAGTTTGGCCGAGACTTCCTCAGACCTGCATTTCAGTCTGAAACTTTTATACCTCATTTTTCCCTCTCTCCTTTCACAGGTTTTAAAGCTGAATCTTGGTGGGGAGGCTGCTTTTGTCTGCTCCCTCTCTCCTTTAGCTTTTTGGGGCATATCCCTCAATAAATATTAAGGATTTCTGAACCCATTGTGATGTCTGTTTCTCAAAGGCATGACTGCCATGCTATATGAATTCAGAGTCTTTTGCACCAAGAATTTCATGATCTTTTATGCATACTCTTTATGTGCCACTTAATTCAATCAGAATTCCAATAGAGTATTTGACTGTATAAGATTATTCACCAGGCAAGGCCTGAGTACAGGGGCACATTATCATCAGACATTCACGGGGACATTACTTCCTTCAACATTCTCTTTCAAGACAGGAAAGTGCCATACATAACAAAGAAGAAAGTGCCTTTAAACAAGCCTTTTTAATTTTTTACTTTCTTTTGACGCTAAGGGTTTGCCCAGAGATAGTCATAAAAAATTGCAAATATTTCAATTAAATTTATAAAAATATGATTTTCTTCCAAGCATAGCATACATTTAATCTTAATATTAAGCATTAAAATGACAAAAACCACATTACAGAAAATCAGAGTACCACTTGTCTGTCTTCATGATTACAGATTTCTGTCCTTTCACTGTTTCCTTTTTTAAAAAGACCATATTCACCCTCAGCACTTCCTATTTATGTGCCTCACCCATAGCCTAATTAAAAACTGATGGAAAAGCACACCTGCAGAGCGTCACCATCCCTCTGTGGCTCTTAACCCTCTGTTTCATCTGTTTTGTTATAGGATGCAAAACACAAAACTCCGGCAACCTACAGATGACACAAATAATCACTCTAAAATAAATTTCATGTCATTTTATTTTTTTAATTAGCAAGGATTTTTTTCAGCGAATTATTATTGCTCAACTGTGTTTAAGAAGTAGATGCAACTTGTAACGAATCACATTCTTCTAATTTCCTAGTTTTTCCCACTAACTAACAAATCATAAAAGACCTTATCAAGTCTCACTAGCTATTTTGGGCCTTCAGGACTTCTGGTTATTCTTACCAGGATTGATTTCTCTTAGAAGTATAATCTTCATAAATCCAGACAGAAGAATGTTAGCAGTCTTTGTTTTGCAGAATTGTATGGGATTTTATTGATAAATAGCATTCAAGATGCCACAGGAAGTTGAGAGAGAGAAGAAATTGAAACCTGATTCTGTGAAAAAGTCTTATGAGAAAGACTTCATAAGTTCCAAGTTTATATTAATTTCCTAAGCCTCCTCACCAGTATAACATGGGGGTCACCCACATCTGTAAGAATATGAAAGACTGGGCCACGCATGATGGATGATGGCTATAGGCATTTTGAAAGGATGAGGTGGGAAGATCACTTGAGGCCAGGAGTTTGAGATCAGCCTTGGCAACATAGTGAGACTTTGTCTCTACAAAAAATTAAAAACAAAATTAGCTGGGTGTGGTGGTGCAGGCCTGTAGTTCCAGGTACTTGGAAGGCTGAGGTGGGAGGATTGCTTAAGCCCAGAAGTTCAAGGCTGCAGTGAGCTGTGATCATGCCATTTAACTTCAGCCTGGCAGCCTGGGCCGCAGAGCGAGATCATGCCTCTGAAAGAACAAACAAACAAACAAACAGAAACATGCGGGACTAAAGACAGATAGAGGAAGAGAAAGAGGCTATTCAAACAAGGACAAAACCGCTTATATCACAATACTGGCCGATCATCTTGTTATTTTCACAGTGTTCTATTTTTGCAGATCTCAGTGTATCTAACTTTTGCATACCAGAGGGTCATAAAAAATAATAGGCAAGAAAGATACATAAAATCCTTGGCAAAATCATTAAACAACCAGCTAGAATATTAGAAGAATTAAAAACAATCTAGAGCAGGTGTTGTCATACTATGACTTGCAGACCAAATCTAACCTGCCACCTGTTTCTGTTAAAAAAATGTTATTGGAACACAGACATGCCCATTTATTTCTGTATTACTGGTACATATGTATTACTTTCACCCTAATGCAGAAGAGTTGAATAGTCGCAACAGAGATCATCTGGCCCTCAAAGCCTAAAGTATTTACTACCTGGCCCTTTAGGGGAAAAGTTTGTTGATCCCTAAAGACATATCTAAGAATGCAATTCAATCATGGCAGGAGAAAGTTTTCCTGACTAATGAGAAATGTATTCAATTAATACCCCATCACCAATGTGAATATAAACAATATCCTTGATTATGTCTGAATAACATATGTAGTGTTTGTTTCTTTAAGAAAATGTTTATGTAATGTTCATGCAATTTTCAGACTTCTAAGATAAAATAATTTAAATTATCTGGATTATAAACAGGAAACAGTACATATCACTTTTAGTTACGATAATGCAACAAACTCCAAAAAAAAAAATCTTTTGCCAAGACTTATATAATTGAGACTTTCTGTTTCATAAGCTTGGTGAACAAAGGTTCACTGATTACTGTGGCCTTTTCTCAGAGCGACATGAGCAAAGACAACTAACTTTTCATGTCTCTGCCACTTTCTCTGCTTTGATAGACTCTGTTAGTCAAGTGAACTGAAAATGATGATGTAATAATATGTTTCTGCTCTGTTAATAAAACTGAAAATTTGCACGTCTGCAGCTTTATTGATATTTCCTTTTTTGTTTGCTTTACAATTTTCATTTAAAAGAAAAACAAAACAAAATTATATATACCAAAACCCAACTTACCATTTCTCTTAGCCCTCCCTATATCCTTTAAAGTTGGTGTTTATCACTCTAATGTATTTGTAACACTATATTCTATTGCTTTTTGTGTTTTCAATTTTACATTAATAAAATCATACTGAGAACACGCTTGCCACTGGATTTTCTAATGAATATTGTTTTTAGTATTTACCTTTGTTAATATATTTAAATCTAATTCATTCATTTTATCCTGAACTGAAGTAGCCTATGCCAAGAATAGAAATTGTTTTAAGAACTTTAGAAATATTAAAACTTTTATTTTGATTAATTTAATGTTGATAAACCTCTTTATGTCCAAGCCACTGCATCTAGTCATTCTACTGAGAAAGTATTAGTTTGTTCCACTTATTTATTATTTATACAAATGGGCACAGTGAATATCTTTATACATCACTTTGTTGTACACTTTCTTTGTACATCACTTTCTTGTAAAGAAAATAAGAGTTTCTTTAGTATACTCACTTGTAGAGTGTGTGCTCTTTAAAATGACTGAGTATCACCAAATTACTCTCTCAAGTTGTTGTCCCATCAGCATGGTCGTTCTCAAAAATTTGCATTTTTCTCATTGTTAAAAGAAATAGTTTTTAGTATTGTCCAATTATTTCCTTTTATGTGAATTGTCCCTTTATAAACTTTTTCTCTGTTTTTCTGTTGTGTTGTCTCTTTTCAGCTGATGAAAGAAACTCTTCAAAAATTCTCTACATTACTGTCACTTATTTATTTATATGGACTTATGTAGAAATGTAGACATTTGACCATTTAAAAACTGCATAATAATCAATATTGTTCAACCTAAGAACCACACATATCTTCTCCAGTCTATGAATTATCTAGTAACTTTTTATGTGAGACAACTACGTTTAAGCATAGGATGATAGGTCAAGTGTTGAGTGAAGGCGCTTATGAATAAACCCTCTAATTACCAAAGCTCTATGTCAAGGGAAACCTCCTAATTGTGGTGCAGAAAGAAAAAGTTCAAACAGAGTATGGTGGCCCTGAGCTGAGAAGGCAGAGATCAGAATCTTGACAGGTAAAGCAGCTGAAATTTGCAATCACTAGAAAGCAGCTGAACAATGAGGATAGAGGGAGAGAGGATGAAGCAGAAGTCTGCATGGAGGCTCTCTACAAGGCCTTGGCTGTGGGTAGTATTATGGTTTCTCCAGAGAATATTGTGTGAAATTATCAGCTGCTCTTGGGTTGAGAGGAGAACAAAATAAATAGAAGTCAATCAATGTGGTAGCAGACATTTGAGTTCCAGCACAGCCTGAGTGGAGAGACCTTGTTAACACGTGGATATTTAATTGACATGGCAGAAGGATCACGCCTTTGACATAAGGCCCACATTATATAATAAGGCCTACTTTAGACTTCCCTAAATCTTAAAACATAGCCAAACCAAAATATATGAGATAGTAAGAACTAGGAGTTTGAATACTCACAAGTTAGAGGAGGTAAATCCATCCTAACACTACATAAATCTAAGCCCATATATGTTTAAAAAGTTCAGTCAATAGTTGCCTAGGGAAGAAAAATCAACACTATGCAGAGAAAGATAACAGAATTCAGAATCTATATATCAATTATAATATCCAAAATATAATAAAAATACCGTTTCTCCAAATAAATATGAAATTTTGACTCATAGCCAAAAAAATATAGCGAGGGAATAGAAACACACTCCAAGATGGCTCAGATGTGAGATTTAGGAGACAAATCTTAGAACAGTATAAGTGCATTCGAGGACTTCAAGAAAAATATGGTCTCAATGAGTAACTATATAAAGAACCTCAGCAGAGAAATAGAAATTAAAAATGCAACAAAATGGAAATACTAAACAAGTGATGCAAGAACTGCAGTGGAAAGTTTACAGTAGGCTTAATAGTAGCTAGATTTTTTTTTAAATGGAAAGTTAAATATAAATCAAAAGGCAGTATTCATTAAGATAACTGGATTGTATAACTCATCAGTTAATTCAATCAGAAGAGTGTAGAATAAAATTTGAAAACAAAACAAATGAAAGCAAAATAGGGCCATATTGACATATGAGCCCTATTATACCAATAATTGCATTAGATATATATGGACTAAACATTCCAATTTTAAGTCAGAAATTGTCAGGCAATTAAAAGACAAAGCACAACTATCAGAGATGTAATCAAGATGTGCTTTAAATATAGAGGTGAAAGTAAGAGGAAAAAAAGATATACCATGCAAACACTAAACAAAAGAAAGGAGATATGGCTGTATTAATATCAGCCAAGGTAGGCTTCAAGACAAGAAATGCTATCAGAGGGTATTTCACTTGCTAAAGAAACAATTTATCAAAAAGACCTAAGACGCCTAGATGTAAATGTAAAAGCTCTATAACAATATATGTAAAACAAAACATCTATGACAACTCTCCAATGAGAGAAAAAGAGACAAATTAATTATCAGGGTTGAGAATTTTAAGCCACTCTTCTCAGTATTTGGTAAAATGAGTAAGCAAAAAATCAGTAAGGATCTGATCAAAACTGTCAACCAAGCTCACTTAATTTTTCATACCACTGGATATAAAAACTACAGAATATGTATTCAAGTGCATATGGAATATTTATCAAGATAGACCATATGTTGGGCTATAGCACAAATCTTAATGTATTTCAAATGATATAAATACAGCAGAGTAGTTCTCTGAAAAGAATGGAATTACATTAAAGATAAAAAATCTAGAACATTCCCCAGTATTTGGAATTATGTAACCTACTCTTATTAAAAGTTACAGGGTAAGAAAATTAGAAAATATTTTCAGCTCAAAGTATTTTCAGCTTGACATATCTTAACACGAGTTTTTAATGAAACACAAGTTCATAAAAAACTTGTGTTAAGATATGTCAAGCTCTCTGAAAATAATAAAATTAAATTAGAAACAAAAAGACTAGACAGTTCCAACATTTGAAAATTATATAACCTACTTGTTTGATTTCAGATGAAGCATTATTGAGATTTATTTAGAGACATAATTTATACAAGTTTCTGCCCAAGGCTTATCTTTGGAGGAAACAGAATAACATCTGTTTATGCATACTCAGAAGAAAGCTCCTTGCTCAACTTTAAAGTTATTTGGTTATAAATGGTAAGATGAAATATTTCCATACACTGTACATATGTATATATATTTGTAATAATGTTTTTAAACATTGTTCAGGTAAAATAATGGTGACAGCTTTGTATTAAGGATACATTTCTAAGTCTGAGAAATAAATTTTAATCAGTATTTTTAAAATGAATATTTCCTTTTAAAATAAACAGTGCTTTTACTGAAACTGACTCTCTCTGTCTCCAAGCCAAGGCAATTTGAAACAATCTGTTTGATAAGTGTCTTCAGTAGAAGAACCCAATTTCCTGACTATGTTGGCTTTCAATGAATAAAAAAAGTCTCAAAGAAAAGATGATATATTTCTGAAATAGAATAAAAGTAACAAAGAAAAGTTGAATCAATTACTGTAGAAATTCTTAGCAAATTTTCAAAAGTAAATTCTTTATAATTAAGTTTTCGAATAGATGCAATACCCAATTTATCCTCTTCCTTTCAAGGGCATGTACTTTTTCTCAAACCTGCTATGAATGTATATAGCTGGGATGATTCATTTTGTTAACCCGAGGTAAACATAGTCACATTTTATAACTTTTCTCTCAAGATCTAACCTGCCCATACTAATAAGGAGTCCAGTCTTTCTCTTTTGTATCTATTCCAAGTCTGAAATTCCGGAATGTTCAAGAATCAAGGAACTTTACTCAATCTATCTATTTTATCAATCAATCAATCAAATTGCAATTTTGATATTAATGATATTGATAAGTACTATAATTTTTTCAAAAGGGAGGGTAATACTTATCCTAGTGAGTATAGGTTGTAACTAGGTATTTTATATTGTAAAATACAGTTTAACCAGTGTGCTGATGAATATACACTTCTAATAAACCGAATGCATTTGGTGAATTTGTCTTCCTGAAAATTTCCCAGAGCAGAGAGCATTTAATTTCATTTATTTGTTCATTCAGTCATTTTTTTCAGTTTAGTCATGCACCCATGCCAAATAACAGGGATTACATGTCTACTGATGACTGAGAACTCAGTTTTACATGACACTTGAAAATTAAAATGATCCTAAAATATATAACATAAAAATCTATCAACTTAACAAGATGTGTAAGAGTTCCAGTTATTAGTATGAGTAATATATTGGAAATATAAAGTTATCTATACTAACAATGCATTTTTTCTTCTTTCTTTTTACTTATCTATTTCTTTCTATTTTATAGACCTTGATCTCTAATTTAATGAACATGTAACAAAAAGCATCTCACTTATGGCAGATCAAGATTTTTTAAAGTTTTATAAATTCATTTGTTGTGATGGTTAATTTTATGTGTTAATTTGATGTGCCATGGGGTGCCCAGATTAAGCACTATTTATTTATTTATTTTCTGAGACAGAGTCTTGCTGTGTTGCCCAGGTTGGAGTGCAGTGGCGCCATCTCGGCTCACTGCAACCTCCACCTCCCTGGTTCAAGCCATTCTCCTGCCTCAGCCTCTGGAGTAGATGGAATGACAGGCACCTGCCACCACATCTGACTAATATTTGTATTTTTAGTAGAGATGGGGTTTCACCATTGTCGGCCGGGCTGGTCCCAAACTCTTAAGCATTATTTCTGGATATCTTTGTGAGAGTGTTTCTGAGTGAGATTAGCATTTGAATCAGTTAGCTGAACAAAGTAGATTGTCCTTCCCAAGGTAGGTGGACATCACCCAATCTGTTAAAGACCTGAATAGAAAAAAAAGAAGAGAGAAATTTACTTTTTTACTTCTGGCCTATCTGCTTGAGCTGGGACATTGGTCTTTTTTTGCCCTTAGAATGTAATTTGCACCATTGGTTCTTCTAAGAGCTAATGCATGCTCAAGAGTATGTTCTCAGGCCATTAGACTCAGACTGAAATTATACCACCAGCTCTCTTGGGTCTTCAGCTTATGGAGGGCAGTTCACAGAACTTCTCAGCCTCCATAGTCATGTAAGCCAATGCCTTATAATAAATCTCTCTCTCTGTCTGTACATATATCTATTCATATATAGTATATAATTTTACATAGTTCTTAATATGTATTCTGTATCCTATTTGTTCTATTTTTCTGGAGAATTCTGACTAATCCACTAAGCATATATTATTAAAAGAAATACTTTCTGGAATAACCAATGTCCAAAACAGCTAAGTGGAAATTCCCTAGTTAATGCAACTTGCAACTCAGTTGACATTTGGTAAAACTAAGAAGTAGTGAAAATGTTGTCTTCTATCACTATCAGTAATGTGCAGTCCATAAGAATGATACTTAGCTCTAGGGCTTTAGAACTGACAGTCATTTCTTTGATAATAGAAGTTTTAAAATGTACCAGTTCTACAAAGGTAAGTTTATTTAGATGAATTTTTTTTTTTTTACTGTAGATATTGGGACTTAATGAGACATGAATTATAAAATTGAAAACAGTTTAAAATCTCTACTTACAATTCATTCAGCCTATTGAAATTACAGTATTCCTGCTGGGATAGTTATTAAGGTATTGTTTTTCAGCTCTGAACTCACCTTCCATTTGCTTTATGATTCTGCTCCTGGGATTCTGAAAACTATATTCTTCCTTTGCTGTTAAAGTATTCCAATAGGGTACAATGGAGAGAAAATAAGAAGCAGGAGGTACGAAAAAAAAGTGCTGCTTCCATTTTTTTTTTTTTCTTATTAGAGTCATCTCAGTAAAGGACCTTCCTATAAACAACAGCAATTTGTTCTAGTGTTTATTTTTTCCCTCTGCTACTTCCAGATTCAGCCTTTGGAGGGTACCAGCAGCAGTCAGGCGGCGACCTCTTCAGAACCTGAGGCTCAGGTCCAGGCCCTCACCTTCACACTTCTAGCTTCTGATAACACCCGATTCCTCCTTTATTGCCCCAGCCTTAGGAGATGGAGCTGCTTTGTGCAATTCCTATTTATGACTAAAACTTTGTACGCATAGATTTCACAGGTAAAAGAGATTGTGATAACAATACTTGTTATCATTTATCTTTTTGATAATAGCCATCTGAATAGGTGTGATATCTTGTTATGGTTTTGAATTGCATTTCCCTGATAATAGTTATGATAAGCACTTACTGGCCATTTTTATATCTTGGCAAAAATGTTTATTTAGGTCCTTTGCCCACTTTAAAATTGGGTTATTTTATTTTATTTTTATTTTTACTCTTCAGTTGTTTGAGTTCTTTGTATATTTTGGATATTAACCAACATATGCTGGTTTACAAATATTTTCTTCCATTCCATGGGTTGTTTCTTCATTGTGTTGATTGTTTTCTTTGTTGTGCAGAGGATGATTTTTGGTTTGACACTATCCAATTTCTGTAGTTTTGCTTTTGTTGCCTGTGCTTTTGGGGTCATATCCAAAAATTATTTCCCAGAACAATGTCAAGGAGTTTTTCTCTTACTGTCTTCTTCTATTCATTTTATAGTTTCAAGTCTTATGTTTAAGTCTATAATCCGTTTTGAGTTGACTTTAGCATATTGAGTGAAATAAGGGTCCAACTGCAGTCATTTGCATGTGGATATTCAGTTTTCTCAAAATCATTTATTAAAGAGAATATCCTTTCCCCATTGTGTATTCTTGGAACTCATGTCAAACATAAGATGACTGTGAATGTCTGAATTTGTTTTTGGGCTTTCTATTCTGTTTCATTAATCTATTTGTTAATTTTAAGCCAGTACCTTACTCTTTTGATTACTGTAGCCTTGTAATATATATTGTGAAATCAGAAAATTTGGTGCCTCCAGCTTTGTCCTGCTTGCTCAATATTATTTTAGATGTTCATGTCCTTTTGCGGTTCCATATAAATTTTAGGGTCTTTGTTTTTTATTCCTCTGAAAAATACAATTTGGATTTTTTATAGGGATTTCATTGAATCTTTAAATTGCTTTGTGTAGTGTGGACAGTTTAGCAATATTAGGTATTCTAATCCATAAACACAGGACATCTTTCCACTTGTGTCTTTTCAATTTCTTTCACCAGTGTTTTATAGTTTTCAGTGTACAGATTTTTTTTCTTCTTGGTTAAATTTATTCCTAATTATTTTATTTTTATGCTATACCACAAGGGATTGTTTTATTGATTTATTTTTCAGACAGTTTGCTGTTAGTGTAACTAAATACTGTAAATTAGGTTCACTATGCAATAATTACCAAGTTGTCTGAGTCTGGTAAGGCAGAACGTCCACAGGCAACAAGTTACATGAAGATTTGACTTAGTTTGGATGTCTGGGGCAGCCAGGAGAAGAGCAGCTTCCTGCAGCCGTCCCTGCTATGCAAGGCTTGAAGACGGTGCAAAATTCATGCACCTTCTATAATAAGGTCATTTCAATGTAACCCCTTTATAGTGGCGATTTATATCAAATATAAATTAAAATTTTAGAATTAAAATATATGACTTTAAGATTTTTTTTTTTCCTTTTGAGACAGCATCTCACTCCCTGGCCCAGGCTGGAGTGCAGTGGCATGATCTCCGCTCACTACAACTGCTACTTCCCGGGTTCAAATGATTCTCCTGCCTCAGGCTCTCAAGTAGCTGGACTACAGGCGGGCGCCACCATGCCCCGCTAGTTTTTGTATTTTTAGTAGAGACGGGGTTTCGCCATGTTGGCCAGGCTGGTCTCTAACTCCTGGCCTTAAGTGATCCACCCGCCCCGGCCTCCCAAAGTGCTGGGATTACAGGAGTGAGCTACCGCACCCGGCCGACTTTAAGATTTTAAAGACTCTAGGAAGACATTTTATCCTTAATTTTCTCTGTACATAACTACACTGATCAGGGAATCACGAATATCAAGTACTTCTATTAAAATTTTGCAAATAGCTTTAAGAGTTCTGATTATAAAGGAAAATCAAAATCATATTATGAACCGTGTTTTACCTAAGGGGTCAGCATTCAAAACAAATATTAGAATTTCTACTGGGCTAAGGGTTTTAATTTATCCTATTGCTATCTTGTTATAAACTTATTTGAAAAACAGATCAACACAGACATTTAAAGAGAAATCTATTTTCTAGAGAATATTTCCATTCACTCTGAAATAGCAGCTTAGCATTTATAGCTGACAGTGCTATTTATCAGTGTACTGTGGTGTTTAGTAAAAATGATAGGTATGCAGAATGCTTTTCTATCTCATAAGAGGCAATTGTGATGTATCTATATGTAGGTTATTCAGTCTTACTACCATGTATTCTTTCTGAGAATACAATGAAATGAAAGAATCTGTAATTTTTAAGTGGTGTAATAAGGCTAAAGGTTACTGGATTAATAGAAAATTGTTCATTGCCATCTCCTTGCAAAGAACTTCCTGACCAGATTGGTCAGTCTGTTAAATCCTTTCATAGCTTGTTTAATTTCTTTTTGCGCAGTATTAAATACAGGCTTTATTAATTATTTATTGTTTCTTCCATCTTACCAGGATACAAGCTTTATGAAGTCAGGGACTTTGTTTTGTTCATCATTGTGTCCTGGCACAGTGCCTAACACATTTTAAATACTGAAAACCAATTTTTTTAATTTTCATAGATTGAGGGGTACAAGTGCAGTTGTGTTACATAGATACATTGCATAGTGATGTAGTCTAGGCTTTTATTGTATCTATTACCCAAATAGAGTACCTTGTACCCAATAGGTAGTATTTCAACCCTCCCTCCCTCCCGCACCCCCCCTTTTGGAGTCCCCAATGTCTATTATTTCAATCTGTATATCTGTATGTACCTATTATTTAGCTCCCACTTATAAGTGGAAGTATGTGGCTTCAAAAACAGTTCTATTTTTAGATTAATGAATAAAATTTATGTTTCCATTTTATCTCCAGGACTGGCTTATTAGTTATACTTTCTTGGGTTTACATTATACATCGTTAACTTATCTCGGTTTAACTTTAAATATTACATTAGTTGACTTTAGTTGACTTACTGTATAAGGAGAAAATTCCATCTTCTCTATTATATTCTTTACATTATTATTGTCATATATTTTAGTTTTATATGTTAAAAGACTCATAACACATTATATTTGCTTTAAACAGTTAATTATATTTTAGATTAGTATAGATAAGAAAAATATATTTTATATTACCGTCATTTTTATTATTTCTGGTGCTTTTTATTTCTTTGTGTTATCCAAAGTTCTATCCAGTATCATATTTCTTCTGTCTGAAAAATTTCTTCTACCATTTATTGTACTTCAGATCTGTAGGCAATAATTTTTCTCTGTTTTTCTTTGTCTTTCATTTTTCAAATATACTTTGCTAGTTATAGAATTCTGGTTGAAAGCTTTTTTTCTTCCAATACTTTAAAAATATTGATACTTTTTATTGTGGCTTGAATATTTTCTGAAAAGAAATCTTACGTAATTTTTGTCTTTCTTGGTTTCTCTGTATATATCTTTTTTCTGTAGCTGCCTTAGGGAGTCCTCCTTTTCTTTTATTCTTAGCAGTTTTGTTACGCTATATCTAGGTTTTTGTTTTTCCTTTTACTATTTATTCTGTTTGGGGTTTCTTGAGCTTCTTTCATCTGTGGTTCTTGGTCCTTTTTAAATTTTGATGGATTCTCAACCATCACCTCTTCAAATATGTCATTGTTGCCGTTCTTTCATCTCTTCTGGGACTCCAGTGAAACATACCTTAAATTGTTTGATATTGTCCCTCAGCTCTTGAATGTTGTTATACTTCTTTTCTTTACTTTTTCTCTTTGTGTTTCAGTTTAAGGAATTTCAATGGACTTATCTTCAAGTTCACCAATTCTTTTCTCAGCTGAGTCTACTCTGCTAATATAACCATTGAGGTCATTCTTCATTGCTGATATGGTATAGATATTTTCAACTTAGCATGGACTGAGATCACTCAATCACCTGTATTTACATGGCTGCTGTACTGAAAAGTCTAATAAAGCTTTACTGATACATTTTGCAGCTTATTTCATTTCCATTTGGCTTTGCTTTTTATCTGATCTCTCCTAATTCAGTAATAAAGCACAATTTTCTTTACAGCCTGATGATTGGGATCCCCATAGAGAAAGTAGAACCTACCAGGTCTATTACAGGATAGGCCTGGAAGTGGCAGTGCATCACTTCTGCTATAGTTTACTAATAAAGTCAAGTGACGAGGCCAGCCTAGAAAGTAAAGGTGACTCTTGCAACAAAAATAAAATTGGCTTACTCCTCTGGTGAGAAGGTCTTTGGAAGAATGTCCATCATTACTCCTGAATTTGCTTCCAGCAACATTCTGGAGTCATTGTATTTGAAGAAGTGGTCAACAGAGTAATCAATGAGCTTCAACTGTGGTAGAAAAATAGACACTGTCATATTCTGTAATTTTGTTTAGAATATAATTAGACCGACCCATTTAGCAGTCTGAGACTTCTCAGCAGCCTATTTGTAAGTAATTTATAACTTGCCTACCAACTCACTCAATTTTTATTAGGACTAATTTAAAGCCCTTATGGTGTTCTATAGGCTTTTAAGTCTATTTCAGAGCTTGAAAGTTTAATGCTTTAATTTGATACATTATCACCTTAAATTCTATATGTACAATGCACATTTTGATACTCACAACATATCTAAAAGTATGAGGAGAAACAATACTCTAAAAGTTGACTCATGTAAGGAGTCTGTGCCTATCTACATTCGTGTCAAACTCTGATCATAATCAAAATTTATATTGTTTTGCTTTTTTTTTCCCGACTGTGTTCAAAACAGATGTTCACCATTTGCTCTCAGATGGATGGAGACCACTGTGATAATGTTGCTAGGTAATGTTGCAGATGTTTCAAGAGGAATCCTTAAAACTAGATATTCACTTATGATGATAGAACATGCAATTTTACATGTGATGGTATTAGAAAATTAAACTGTATGTGGATCTATAAACAAGATTTTTAATGCAAAAAAACGAAGTGTTATTTCTCTCATGCAACAATTATTTCCTAAATCTATTTAGCATCTTTTAGTGATTGCTTAGGCTATGACTCAATAAATCTCCAGATTATATTGATAATAATCTTAAAGTTATTTTGTTTTATTTCATTTTATTTGTTTTCATAAGGCTTGCATTACCTAAATGTCATCAAATTAGTTCAAATTGCACCTTCAATGAAAAAGATAACTGGGTACATTGGTGTGCTAGCTGGTAGGTTCTCACATTTTAAAAGGACATAAAGTTATGCCTGTCTAAAAGCTGAGTACATGACCCATCAGATATTCCCTTTGATTATTATATTTTTTACCTTTTGTTAAGAGCTTGTTTTGATATTCAACAATGTCTTGCACATAATGTGCTCAGTACATGTCAATGAAGTGATTGTTTAAGAAAGAAAATACTATATTTTGTTACAGTTACATATTTTGAAATAAAGTGTTAATATCTCTGGCAACAGGATTACATAAATCCATTGGATAGTAACCATCTCATGTAAGAGATTTTTTTTCCTTAGATTAACTATCAATGCAACCTTATGATCATTGTTAGAATTCTTGAATTTTTTTCATAGCTGTGTAACCAAACACCTCTTTTCCTGACTATCACTTGGCACAGGTTAGAAAGGTGAGGGAGGGGAAGAACGATGAGGGAAAGAATGTTAGAAATTATTAAGAAATTATCTTCTAAGATAATTCTAAGATTCTACAATTCTAAAAACTTTAAAACAAAATGACTATTAACTGGTGCCACAGATGAGACTTACCAGTATCAGCTTATTATATTTTATTTTGGTTTCCATTATAACGTAATATATTATATTTTAATATATTTTAAGTAAAATAATACTATTTTATATTATAATAATAATAAACCATATAAATTTGTGCTTTTACTGTTATAATACTGAATTTTTTGAAGGTTTGACATTGGATTTAAATTCAAGAATAATGTATATACCACTGTATATTACTTTTTAAATTGAAGCATAATTGTAATTGACATGGGAAAGAGATGATGCTTTCACTTTCTAGCTAACATCAAGTTGATTGCATGTGGATATTTTCCAAAACAGCATTTCTCACCCTAAAATTTCAGGAGTTGGGAAAGTGAGGCTTATCGTATTTCATGTAGAAATGCTGAAAAAAGAAAACTGGTTGATCTATGAAAAAATCTTTGTCATCAGATTGTTTTGTTGAAATGCCATTTCAGAGTTTAGATTTTTGATCCTTTCTCCTGTCTTTAGCCACATATATATGCAAATGAAAGGAACATAAAACCATTTATCTTACTGTTTTCCAATATCAAAATGCAAACTGTTACTTTGAGTCCATCCACGTTTCTTTTTCAGCTGCCTTAATCTTTCATGAAATTTAAATGGAAAAGCTTCATCTTGAACAATATAGTGTGAGTTTGCATTATTCAAAATTAATTTATATTTCAAAAATTTCTATACATAAACTAGTGCTTGAATTTGTTATCGAAAGTTTCATTTTCAAAATTAAATAGTGGACTTAATGTAAACAATCTAATAAAGGCTGGAAACAAATTTACCTGCAGAGGTGTGCAGTTAAAAGGACTTCTGTCATTCTATTTCTGAAAATAACTGTTTGCTGTGTAGGTCAGGTGGCATTGAATTTATAAACTGCATTGAAGAAAATGCAGAGGATAGGCCAAGACATTGCTATGGATAAAAATCAGCCACCCTAACCAGGGACGACAAAGGGTTTTACCATAACAGTAACAAATCAGTGTATCTCTGCTTCTGACTTGGCAGTCCCCATAATTGCCCTCTCAAGGCATATCTCCAGTATGATCTGCAAGCTGGTCCTGTGGGAATCAATATGGTATCCACAATTTGTCTACTGTCTTGACCTGGTAAGCTACCTATATCCACAGCTATACGGTCCAAAAATCGCTGCCAGTGCTGGTTGCTGGAGGCCACTGACTTCTGGCTTATGGTTACTGATGCCTGTTGCTGGGTGTGCTAATGTACAGGCCAAGGATGCTGTACTTCGTGCCCTGAACTGCTTAAAACAACAATACCGTCCAATGTTGAGAGATTTTTGTGTCTCATTGCTGAAGCCACTGGCACTTAATACTGCTGTCACCTTGACTTTTCAAATTTCCAATTTATTAGTTCAGACATAGTTTTTGAGTCATAACTCTGTTGCCTGAGGATTCAGGCATGAGTCCACGAAGCTTGTATCAGAGGATAGACTAAATGAATGGCACTGCTAGTGTTCAACATCTCCCCTCCCTTTGGACACAAGCCAGTTTTATTTTGCACCAACTTTCACCTTTTGACTCTCTTTTCTCATGGGGTGAGATTTTTTTATAGTGGTCTCCATCATAACTTATGAAAACTGAACATTGAAAAACGCAATCTCGGGTCACCTGAAAATAGTACGACCTATCTGAGCTGTAGTGAGAAAATTAGGCACTAGTTTTAATTAACATCATACTAACAGAGATTAAATAAATACAATATTTTCAATACAGTTTTACTTTTTTCCCTATTTTATATTGGGGAGAATATTGGGTGAAGAAGAGGAAGACAGTATTTTACTGTACCAATTGTATTAATCTTCTCTTGGCCCCCAATTATTTTATACTGTAAAAAAGGAGAAGACTTTCTCTGGAGATGTGAATAGAGTCTTAGGAGAAGACTTTCTCTGGAGATGTGAATAGACATTGTTGCTGATGCACATCTATTCTGACCTACTTGTAGTAGTTTATATACTAGTAGTATATTTGCTAAGAAATGAAAAAAGGCATGTATATTAGCCAGAATTCTCCAGAGAAACAGAACCAATGGATAATAAATCTCTCTATATAAATAGATACGTATGTATATATGTGTATATGTATGTATATGTGTACACATATATGTACACATATGTACACATATATATACACACATATTATATTTACTTATTATAAGGAATTGGCTCCCATGATTATGGAAGCTGAGAAGTTCCAAGAAAGGTAGTGGCAAGCTGAAGACCTAGGAGAGTGAGTGGTATAGCTCTAGTTCAAGGCCAAAGGTCTGAGACCAAGGAGAGTCAATGGTCTAAATTCTAGTCTAAGTTTATGAGAAGACCCATGTTCCAGTTCAACAGCCAGGCAGGTGAATGAAGTTCCATCTTATTCAGCCTTTTTATTCTATTCAGATCCTCAACTGATTAGGTGAAATCCCACATTAGGGAGGGCCATTTGCTTTACTCAAGTCTATCAATTCAAATGTTAATCTCATCTAGAAATATCCTCAAAGACATACTCCGAATCCTGTTTGACCAAGTATCGGGGCACCCTATGCCCAGTCAAATTGACACGAAAAATTAACCCCCACAACCAGGATCTGTGTCAGTTTGTATAAGCATTGGTGACAATCTGCTAAACACAGAACTGCCTGAGATTTTTTTTTCCACAAGAGTGAATATAGAATTCACTTTTTATAAGAGGCTACTCTTTTGTTTGAGAAAGAAAACAACTCCATTGGACCTCTTAGTTAGATGAAAGTAATGCCTTGATCTTACTCTGAAATAGAGAACAGTTTAAAAATTTTCCTCCTTATGGGTAGGGTGGCACTTCTAGCAAGATGCTAACTAGGGGAAGAATTCTTTCTTCCTTTATGCAAAGCAATAATTTGGATGGATGGGCTTTGAAAATATTATGCTAAGTGAAAGAAGCCAGAAACAAATGGAATGATTCCATTTATATGAATTATCCAGAATAGGCAAATCCATAGATGAGAAAATCCATTAATTGTTGTTAGGGGCTCTGGGAAATATGGATTCTTTCTGATGTGATAAAAATGTGATAGAACTAGATATTGGTAATTGTTACAAAAAGTCACTGGATTTTACACTTTAAGATGGATAAAATGATAAAATTTACATTATGTTCATTTTGCTACAATAAAGGCCAACAAACAAAATTTTAAAACCAATGAGTTAAGAGTCTAGAACCCTGGGCTGTTAGTGTCAAAAGGATTTATTCCTCATAATGGGAAGTAAACCAGCATCTAAATGATGGTGGGGAGAAGTTGGTGCTTAGGCAAGAGAAATCAAGCAGGTGACCCCATATGAAGGGATTTGGCAAGTTGGCTCCATCAGAAGTGATATCAAGGACTTCAGATTTCTATGCATAACAAACTTCTCCAAAACTCAGCATGTTAAAACAATAAGTTATCATTTCTTATGATTCTGTATGTTAATTGGGTTGTTCTTCTGCTCCAGGAGGTATGGCTGGGATCACTTATCCAGTTGTCCTCTTCTGGGGGATGGGTGGAACTAAAAGTTCAGGGAGGGCTCATTCACACTCTGAAGGTTTGGTGCTTCCTGCTAGCCAGGGCTCCTCAACTTTCCTTCATGTGCCCTCTCTCTCCTTATGACTCATCTTCCAGGGCTTCTCTAAGGGATGTCACTTTGTAGTAGAATAACCTGATTTTATGATGACATGGTGACTGAGTTCTAAAAAAGTAGAAGTTAAAAGTCACTTGAAAATTAGGCCCCAAACAGATACAATATCATTTCCATAAAATTTTATTGATCAAAGCGCTTCGTTTGGTCAGTTCATATTCAAAGGGTGGGGAATTTAACTCTGTATATTCATTGCAGGAACAGAGTGCTCCTATAAACAGAGAAAGTTTCATGGCCATTTTTGAATAATATCTACCATGAACATCTACCTTTATATTTTCCTTCTTAGCTTTTTAATTTTATCTCCAATCCTTAGGTACAGTAATTTAACATTATGAAGGTTTTTTTGTTGCCTGTGTTCCAATGAATTAAGAAATTTGTCAATGTCCATTCTGCATGGAAGGAGAAAAAGGAAAATGGCCGGGTTATGTCACAGTGACTAAGGGAGGTCCTTCAAGAAATGGAAAGGCTGTCTGGGGTAAAATGGCTGGGGAAGGTAGTAAGTGAGAAACAAAATAGTTTTGTGGAGCAAGCAAGTATTTTGTAGGGATTCTCAGAAACAAGAAGGGGAGCATATTGAAAGACTTCCCTCAGTAATTCATAATTGAAGCTCATACTAAATTTGGGGTTCTCAAATAAGAAAAATGACTCCATAAGACTGGACAATGTAGAATCATATATGTTACATATGGACATCAAATAAAGCATCTACATCCATTTTATCTGGATATTGGAAAAGAGGTACACAGCAACCAAAAGGGCAGATGTCTCCAATGGAGTCATGAAGTCCATGAAGTATCAAACATATAGCTCTAATATCATATTCACAAGGTAACTGCCCTTGTAAAACATTAAGAGTGATTTCTTAAATATAAAACAGTGTGATAATTTAAGAAGGAATTATGATCAAGAACAGATGTTCGGTTAAATATTTGAGTCAATAATATTATTGTCCTTCGTTGCATGTCCATCAGCACAAAAATATTTTAATTACTTTCAATTATAGGCTTCTAGATATATTACTTATAAAAGCATTTTAAAATTTGCCTTGGTCTACTTTCACCATTGCTATTGAAAAACAGAGTGGCATATTTCAGAGCTAAGATAAATTAATACAATGAAATATTATTTTAGGGATATCTGAACCCAATATGCAAATGGGATTCTAGAGAAATGGCAAATAAATAATTTGACTTCCTATGTTATCATTTAAGTGCCATTAATTTCTAAAAGGCAGAATAATTTGGTGTTAAAAGTAATATGGTCATCATCTGTATATAATAAGCAAAAACACTTTGCTTATTATTACAAGGGAATATATATTACAAGTTGGTAAGTAACATGGGCTCTTTATAGCACATGTTTTTCTTATTGGAAAAGGATTATATGGTAATATTTTAAATTAAGAATGAAAGGCTGGGTTTAGTGGCTCACGCCTATAATTCCAGTGCTTTGGGAGGCCTAGGTGGGAGGATCACTTGAGGCCAGGAGTTTGAGACAAGCCTAGGCAACATAGCCAGACTTTATCTCTAAAAAAAAAACCCCAAAATTATCTAGACATGGTGGTATATGCCTGTAGTCCCAACTACTTGGTACACTGAGGTAGGAGAATTGCTTGAGCCCAGGAGGTTGAGGCTGCACTGAGCCATAATTGTGCCACTGCACTCCGGCCTGGGAAAGAGAGTGAGACTCTGTATCCCAAGCAAAAAAGAATGAAAATTTACTTTATGAACAGACCTCTACTGAAGGAAAAACTATCTCCTGGATTCAAGCTATATTAAGCATTAATTAGTGGTATCATCCCTGTAGCACCTGAACAACACCTCAGAACAGATAGTAGTGGCCATGAGACTGGAGCGGTGAGCTGGCATCCTCTTTTGTGCCTTGTATTACCCCTTTAGTTGATGGATTGAAGGGAGGCTTCCAGATTAGTGAGGGAGAACTTGGGGGGAGTGGGAGATGAGGGAGTGGGGCGGTGGCTGTTGATCAACTGGAATGCAGATCTTTACATATTTTAATAATATGCATATTTATGTGATAGAAACATGTTTGCAATTCAGTCTTGACTTTTTTTTTTCCTATTTTTAAAAAAAACTGTATTTCTTAAGCACCTAGGTTGAAGTTTGCTAGCAAAGAGAAATATCTAGTTTCTCGTCTCAAAAACATTAATAGCTACCTAAAGAAAAGCAGCTAAAATGTCTAGAAAGCCAAATAAATTTTATATTTAGGTATAAATTGTTTGGAGAAGATTGTAAGTGTTATGTAAATTAAAGAAGGGAGACTCCTCTGTGGCCAGGAGTAATTGAGGAATAGAAAATTTACTGCGAAGTAATTGGAATTTGGATTTGAGGGGTGGACAGGGGATAAAATAGGCATGGAAAAGGATGTAGATAGAACATTCCTCAGGTAACGAGAACAGATAAGCAAAGGAAAGGGATGCCCATTCCTCCCTTGAGCACAAGGGCAGATTGTAGACAGGCCTGTGTAGGTGCTAATGGCTCGTGTGTATGCCATGTTGACATGTTAGATTGATGTCAGGGATATTTTGATAATGTTGAGTAGCAAATCAATTCACTTTTTAATTCTTCTTTTTTTTCAATTATCAAGTAATATGTACAACACATTTGCTAATTTTCATTCTATGTCTTAGCCACATTTCTTGCAGATTCCAAGCCCCATAGAAAAAGATCCCCTGGGTCAAAATAGCCTTGTTAAAATGGACACCAGAGTTCAACTCTGAAAAACTGGACTCTAAAATAGTTACACTTGAAAGGCTAAAGTTAGCAGTTCAGGCCTAGAATTAATTTTTAAAGTCCACTCCTGGGTCAAGTGCAGTACCTATTAAGAAAGACAGCACAAGAGGGAGAAGCTATCTATTTGTATCCCTTTTTGTGTTTCTCTAGAAGGAACAGTAACTCATGTGAGGCAAAATCAAGCAAACGTCTTAATTTTGCTATCCAAGACTCTAACTTGGAACTACAGAGTATTGAGGTGTGTGTCCTCTGACAAGTGATAGCTTAATAGGCTATATTTTTGAGATTAAAAAACATACCAAAATATAGCCGATAGATAAAAATAGGTGAAAACATATAGATTTTTATTTAGTTTCTCACAACATCATACCTATGATAACCAATATTAAAACAGGAGTTGTCTGCTCTTAAGAGTTTATGTTCATCTTTTCTATATTTTTAATCTTTATGCAAGAGGTGAGCCAATCTTATGAATAAAGGTTACATGTTGAAACTTAGCAAAATAATTTTCTGAATACAAGCATATACTATCAAAAATGATGAAATGTAAACAAAGATGTGCTCAGATTATTTCTCCCTCACAATTACATGTCTACAGTGCTTTCTTGCTAGGCATGTCTGAGTTTTAAGAAAGATATGCAAAATATTTTACAAATCATGGGTACCCACCTAAACAAAAGAGATCCAGCATAAAAAGGTATGCGACTACACTGATGCAAAACAACTGATTATTAGGTCCTTATATTTTCTCTCTAAATAACATGTGACAGCAGTCACAGTCTATACACTACACCATTTGCAACTTCTTTTTATCCGGCTTAATGATATCATGTATAATCCTTAGGAAAGAAAATAATTATTATCTTCGAGGATTAAGTTAGAAAATCAAGGAAGCATAAGAATTTTCCCTCCCTCCCTCCCTCCCTTCCTGCCTTCCTTCCTTCTTTCCTTCCTTCCTTCATTCCTTCCTTCCTTCTTTCCTTCCTTCCTTCCGTCTTCCTTCCTTCCTCTTTCTTTGTTTTCATTTAAAGTCTAGGAATCACCTTTATAATCATCCAATGCAGTTATTTTAGCACTTCTTTTTTAGCCTTGAAAATTTTTCAAAACTCATTTTTTTCCTGGAACTCCAGTGTATAAAAGAGAGAACTTCAGAGTTATTCTGGCTAGAGAAGGCAAGCATTGGGAGTTCCTGGGACTTCATTCACTCTACCTGCCACTCTATAATGGGTGACAGGAGGAAATACTCAAAACTTTTGGGATCTAGTAAAAAGTCCTCATTTTATGTATGATAAAACTGAAGTCCAGAGTAGAAAAACTTTCTCAAGTGCAATATTATATAGTACTGTTTTGTGTAATGTATCAGATTGTATTATAGGATAAAAAGAAATTAATTTTATAAATAACAATCTGATATTTTTTGGCTAGAGAGTTTACCACAGTTTAATTATATGAGTACTGACACTTGGAAATCTTTGATATATTACAATAGTATAAATAGAAGCATTAAATCAGTATGGGAATAATACTTTTTAAGACATATGAAGATAGAGATGGGGTAAGGAGAGGAAGTTGCAGCATGTTTAGGTTCTGCCAACCATAATAGTGGGATGAGCCACACAGTGAGCTAGAATTTGATTAATGGAGCAGAGCATCTATGTTTCACAACAATCACTTCATGGGCATCATGATAATGACACTATAGTAAAGCAACCTAAATGCAATGATATCAAATTCAAATGAAAGAAATACAACAAGTAAGAAACTAAACATGATCTTGTGAAATTCCATTTGATTTTTGACAGCTGAATTGAAGTTTAAGAAGTGTTTCAGTGGCAGATAAAAGTTAAAACTGTGGAGAAAATGGCTTGCATAGGAAATTAAAAAGATATTTTGAGCTTCTGTGCCTGAGATTTTCTTGAACAAGGAATCAGTTTGTCTTCTCTCCTACTGGTGTTGTCTTCAAAATTTAATCTATTTTTCCTAGGAATATTTCCAGGAATAAATCAAGATTTGGACCTATGTATTATTTCTAGGAAAATTTCCTGAAATAAAGACTTGAAACTACATATTCTTCCTGGCAAAACTGTCCTGCGATGGCCAACATTGGGACTTATTCTAGTGAATCTTTTGGTCTTGAAATGAAATTTTTTTAAAAGTATTTTCACTATGCAGAAGAAAAAAAAACAGAAAAAATATCAGGTCACTTCCACGGGAGAGAAAAACATATTGATGTCAAACTCTTTGACAAGGATGTTTTATGCTGTAAGACAAAGGACTAATATATGTAGGATACTCAAGGAAGGAAAATGTGAGCCAAATGTTTTCTATTCAGGCAAAAATGATTTTCAGTATCAAAGCTGTGGGCTAACACGAACATGCAAGAACTCAGGACATATTGTTCCCGTGCAACCTACCAGATAATATATTTTAGATAACCAAAGTCACTGGAAAGACATTGGCATAGTATGAGTGGTGAGCCCTGAATACATATATGACTATAGAACTAGTACTAAAGAATAAGCATGAGAGGGATGGTAGAGTTGTGATGGTTATACACTATGCAGATTTAGTAAAATTATTAAAGTGGGAGAAAGAGAGAAAAAAATTGTCTTAACTACAAGATAAGCCATAAATGGAAAAGACAAACTAAAACAGATGATATTGTGAAAGGGTAAAACATGAAACTATCATTAGATATAACTGAGGCCAAACTCATCAGTCATGTCAAAAACACACATGGCTTAATTTATCAAAACAAAGAAAATAATTTTCAGATTGGCTAACAGAACAAAATATAGTAGTATGACATATAATAGGACTGTGAAACATAAAGTGACTCAGAAAAGTTAAAAACAAGAAAGTGAATATGATTCTACTGAGTAGGAGCAATTGAGAAGAAAGCAAGGTTTGCAATCTAGAATCCAGATGACTGACAAAGTGGGAGTTAATTTTTCTTTTAAAAAAAAAGCAGTAAGGGAAGCAACACATAGTACTTTTCTTTGCTAAAGACTTACAGTCAGTTTAAAGATTTAACATAGTGAACATTTTTATAAAGTAAAAACTGCAAGGGATGTAAGGAAAAATAGAAACTGTTTCAGACTGGGTTAACCAAGAAATGCATTCTGAGACAATGATATGAAGTCAATTGGGAGATAATCCGACAAAGCATGTGTACAGTAGGAGAAAGGTGATACAGGAAAAGTTAAGGAAGCCAGGAAAGGATGTCTAATCAGTGATTTTTGCTGCAGGCCACGGAAACCTATCCTTGCTAGGAATTCTGGAAGACAATATAGAACAGAGCTCAGAGTTAGACCACAGCAGGGGCAGGACACCCAGGAAACATTTTCTCCAACTTATATCTGGTATTGGCCTGAGGGCTTTTCTAGTGTCATCAACTGTCTCATAAAGGCGGAAAAACTTCAAGCAGAAAGTCACGAGAACACCGCTGATATACACATAAGACAGTGGGTAGTAAAGAAACATAGCCAGAACAATATTAGTAATGTGATGCTACTCTATGTCCATGAGTATCATATGGACAAAACAATTCAAATTGAATATGATTGAAGTATGAGTCTTAAATACATACACATGTCTGTACATATATATCTATGTTTATAAATACTATACATGTATATCTCTATCATATATAAATATAAAACTGAAGAACAGAAGACATGACAATTGACCATAAAGACACTGAGGTTGCAAAGAGATTTCAGTGAATTCACATCCAAAGATGAGAAGTAATATAAACATTGATAATACAAATACTGTCTCTGTAAATAGAATAAAATTAGAAATGAATTAGTTTAAAAACCATGACCTTTACCAATTTTACTGCCTTAAAAAAGCATATAAAAATATTTGAACAAATGATGGCAAATCATGTTCATGAATTGAAAGAATATCTTAACAAATTTAATTATTCTCTAAATGTTGATATATAAACTTAATGTAATGCCAAGTACAATTCCAACAGAAGTTTTTTTCTTAGTTGTTGAGAATTAGTTTTAAATGACTCATGATTATATAAAAATCAATTAATAGCCGTACATAGAAAAAGTATGTGAATCTTAAAAATAATGGTAAAGTTTCTGCTATTAGAAAAAGTATCTCACTGATGAGTATTAGACTATATACAAATATGGCCAGGCGCAGTAGCTCACACCTGTAATCCCAGAACTTTGGGAGGCTGAGGAGAGTGGATCACGAGGTCAGGAGTTCAAGACCAGCCTGGCCAAGATGGTGAAACCCCATCTCTACTAAAAATACAAAAATTAGCTGGGCGTGGTGGCAGGTGCTTATCATCCCAGTTACTCGGGAGGCTGAGGCACGAGAATCATTTGAACCTGGGGTGTGGAGGTTGCAGTGAGCTGAGATGGCGCCACTGCACTCCAGCCTGGGCGACAGAGTGAGACACTGTTTCAAAAAAAAAAAAAAAAAAGAATATATACAAATAAGTCAGTAACATGGAATAGAGAAAACAGATTCTGGTAGATTTGAGAATGTAGAATTTTATATATTTATATTTGAGAATATATATATACATCAATAACAAATTTAGTGTATGAGAAAAGTAATATTTCATTTCAGTGGAGGCAACGTAATTTAATAAATGTAGCTGTCACAACTCCATCTAAAAGAAAATAAAATTTTCATGTAACTACATGTATTAATTTGTGATGGCTGCCATAAAAAAGTTTCACAAACCGGGTGGCTTAAACAGAAATTTATTGTTCCACAGTTCTTGTGCCTAGAGGTCTGAGATCAGGATGTTGGTTGGTTCTTTCTGAGGGCTGAGAGGAAAAACCAGTTCCAGGCCTCTCTCCTAGCTTCTGATATTTTTGGGCTATCTGTAGCACGCTTTGGCTTGTGGATGCATCACCCCCACCTCTTCATGTTCACGTGCATTCTCTCTTGTGCACTTGTCTGTCTCTTCACAGGCCATTCTTTTGTAGGATCCACCCTACGAAAATATGACCCCTTTTGAACTTAACTAATTACATCTGCAACAATCCTGTTTCCAAATAGGATCACATCCAGAGAGCGCAGGAGTTAGAACTTCAACATATAAATTTTGGGGGGACGTAATTCCAACCGTAGTTCAAACACTGTATATTCAAATTTCAATTGTACTAAATATAAACAGCTGAATAGAAAACAAGCAAATATTTTGAAAAGAGAACTATTACAAGGTTAAGTGTTCACATTACCAATAAATACATGATTAAGACCTGTCCTTCCTAGTAATTAGGAAAAGGATTATTAAAGTATTATAACATTTTGACATATACACTACACATATTTCATTGGTAGAAGGAAAAATAAAGTAGATAACGTTGACTGGCAAGGATGTGGAAAACGGAGTGTTCTCAAACATAGTAGAAAAATGAGTTTTACAGCATATAAAAAGTCACCTAATGACTTCCTTTATCATTTTATGTGCCTATCTTCTAATAATGCCATCCCTGCAAATCTATTTCTAGAAGTAAAAGAACTGACATATATCAACATATGCAATTGGATGTTGATGTCTTTGACTGTAGTAGCAAAAAAGTAGGTAAAATGATTATTTTGTAATAAGAATATGCTTAAATATTTTGTAGTTTATTTATATCATGGTATATTTAAGTCATTATAATGAATGAAATAAATCAATAATAGATGGCTTGGAGACAGAGTTACAGGAGAAAACAAGATGCAGAGAGCTACAGTATAAAATAATATTTTTGTAAAACAATTGAAACTATATAACTTTTATGTTTAAATTCACCTTAATATATAGAGATATGGTATATTACAATGAAACCTATTAACCTTCTTCATTTCTTTATAAGAATACAAAGTAACATATAAATGAAAGAGTACGAAATTGTGAATATTGAATATGTAAGGTGGACAAAGGCTAGATGAGGATGGGCTGAGGGTAGGAGACAGATAAGAATAAGAAGCAGCAAAAAGAGGAGAAAGAGGAAAAGGAAATCAGCTTTATTATTACAGATGAAACTTTATGAAAGTGCATGACTTTTTAACTATGAATTCAACAGTAAAGCCCTTGAAACTAGAAATAGACAGATAAGTAGATTTTTTTTTTTCCCTAGAGAAAGGGACTGGTTCTGTCTCCCAGGCTAGAGTACAGTGGCATGATCATAGTTCATTGTAACTATGAATTTACATAGTTACATAGGTTTGCTCAAGCAAACCTCCCTGGCTAATTTTTTTTTAATTTTCAGTTCTGTAGAGATGGGGTCTTGGCTATGTTACTCAGGCTGGTCTCAAACTCCTGGCCTCAAGCAATCCTCCCGCCTTGGCCTCCCAGTGCACTGGGATTATAGGCATGAGCCACCACAGCCGGCCCCAAGTAGAGTTTAATCTAACACTGTAACTTTCCCTTACCCATGCTCCCTAAGATTTTTTTTTACCCAAGACCTTAAGGAAGTACAACTGAAAACAGATATGAAGATAGCTTGTATATAATATATTTTAAATTGTTGTGCTGCACCTTGCTGTCGACTCAGCATCACCTCACCATAATAATCTAAGGCTGAGAACCATGGTTCCCAGAATCCCTTTTTCTATGAGGGAATTAGCATTTGTCAATAAGAGGAACTTGTATGAGAGTTGAGGGAGAAAGAGTGGAGCCATCATTCTCAGGAGGCTGTGTGGATCAGATACAGTTTAATACAGTGGCTGCATTAAACCATTTACAGACCAAATGAGTAAAGTGGCTTCTCCTTTCCTGACAGATTTCTGGCTGATAGAGTTATATATGAATAGAGAGTTATCATACAGAAAAGAAAGTTAAATTAAAATAATAGCCATAATAGAAGAAACCACTAATTGAGCAGTAAGCTCAGAGTCACAGAAGCAGCCATCCCAGAGTGAAGCAATAAGGGTGTGCTGCATTGTCTGGAAAGAATTCATATTTTAAAAATCAGCTAAATTGCGTTCCACTTTTTATTATCATAAGACCCACATTTCTATACCGTGTCAGGGATAAAATAATCCTCCCTGCAGGGTGGGACTCTCCCAATGCCCACTGTTCTTGGTCCATCACTGGAATAATAACAATTAATGCATCAAAACACGTACATGCAATGTATCCCAAAAGATATAGAAGCATCTTGGCAGGTGGAACTTGACTGTAAATTGTTTCAATTGAGCTATAATATCTACATAAAACATGCATCAATTAGAAGTGGTTATTAAGGGTTTGTCAGCAATGGGAACTTAGAAAAAGACTAGACATAATGACAGTATCTGTGTTCAGGGGTCCTAATTTTTGGACTGTTTTCTCTTTTTTTTGGTGACAAGGTTGAATTTAGTGAGGAAGTAGATTCATTAGGATTTCAGCAAATGAAGTTTCATTATGAGTGATAGACTATCTAGATTGTGAGAGGAATGGTGAGGTGATTTTAGCATAATGTCAATATATATTCTATTCATCTTACTCTCCTTATTTCATGCTCCACTAGAAACCTACTGATTGGATCTATCTGCCCAAGTAAATTTGCCTAAATGTAGAGAAGACACTGATCATGCACACTTAGAATATTCTTGGACTTGAGGAAGTAATTTCTTATTGTAAATGTAAAACAAAAAAAAAACAGTCTTGGTTTCATTTTAGTGAAAATCACTCACCTGGGTTTGATTATCTCTAAAAATTTTAAGAGCAAAGGTGTGGAAATTCAGCAACGTAGCCTTACTTTTAAAAACGTTTTTGCTAGTTTTTGCAGAAAATACCATTCAAGCTAGAAACTAAGCTTGCCAATTATTAATTCTGAACACCTTCTCTTACATTGGGTGACTATATATTATCCTGACAAGTGCTGTGGAAAAAAATGATTATTGTTAATTTATACCTTGAAATGCAGTTGAGTATTTGCCAAATAATGAGAAAAATGACCAGGTATGTTTTTGGATGGTGGGGAGGAGAGAATTCCGAATACTTGATTACATGCACTTGCTTCTTTAGATTCTTTTAAATTAAAGGCCATACGTGGTTTATTTGGCAGGTTTGGCACAATCTTCCGAGTCAACCACCATCTTTGCTGCTGGTTTCAGTGAAGAAAGGAATATAAGTGCAAAGGACCATTAACTGTTTTCATGTCTTCCGTCACTACAAATGATGAGGAATTCATTTGAGCATACCAAATTTTAGAATCTAAATAGTCTGACCTGTTCCAAGAAGAATTTTCAGCAGGCTTCCTTTTCAGATTTTCTTTGTCTAGATTTTAGTACTAAAAGTGTTTTTTTTCCCCTCCCTTTTTGTAGTTTAGAATCTATTTGTGGGAGTTGTAAAGGAAAAGAGACTCAACCAAACTAGCTAGCAAAGTGATTTTTGTCATAAGAATACAAAAAGAATTCATAGGAATAACCTTTGAATGTTAACTGCAGAGAGATAAGACTCACCGGAATGGAATTTATACAGCCCGATCACCTCTCCCTTATGTTTCTTCTTCTTTTCCAGTTTCTGCTGTCTAATGACTGGCTTCTTATCTCTGCTTTTAAGAGACTGCATGGGCTCTGAAGCTGTTAGATGAAATTAAATGAAAATGATATTTTTAAGCTCAAAAACAGAGAGATATTGTCAATATCATAGCATCCAACTATATGTGAGGCTTAAGATAAAAACCCTCGTGTAAGTGATCTTGAGCAATCTGTGTCCCAGTTTCTTTAGCTGTAAATCAGTCTAATAACAGAACTTAACTAATTTGGTTACTTTATGGGTTATATGAATTTTGATATATTTAAAGTACCAAGAACAGTTTTTGAAAAAATAGGCACCACACAGTGTTTGCTTTTATTACATCTGTTACTTGATTTCTCTTTAGTACTGGACATGAATTTTACCCGGTCAAGGCTTTTACTACAGTTTATCCCTTTTTTTCTTTCTTTTTATATTTATTTATTTATTTGTTTATTTGAGACGGAGTGTCACTCTGTCACCCAGGCTGGAGTGCAGTGGTGCGATCTTGGCTCACTGCAACCTCTGCCTCCTGGGTTCAAGCAATTCTCCTGCCTCAGCCTCCTTTGTAGCTGGGATTACAAGCACATGCCACCAATCCCAGCTAATTTTTTGTATTTTTAGTAGAGATGGGGTTTCACCATGTTAGCCAGGCTGGTCTTGAACTCCTGACCTCAGATGATCCATCTGCCTCACCCTCCCAAAGTGCTGCGAGTACAGGCGTAAGCCACCATGACTGGCCCTTTTTTCTCCATTCTATTACTATTGGCTCTCTTTTTTTCCATTTTCTTCACTTTTCTCCTTACTTGTTTCTCCTAACTTTCTCACTTCCAGCCTTAGCTAAGCTTCCTGAAGGTCTATGGATTTGCTGACCTTCATCCATTGACCATCACTTGTATTGGTTACTGGTAGAGGTGGAGGTGGAAATAAAAGGGGTAAGACAGTAGCAAGCATGGTCATCAAGATAGTAGGTTATGTCAGTGAGCAATTCTCTCAGTAGGGAGAAGTTAAAAGTTGACAGTATCTATCAAAGGATGTGCATTAATAGAATGAATATCATTTATTTATAGAGGTTGTATGGTTTTAAAAACATACAGGGGTACCTCTGCTTCTAAGAAGGTAGTGTAGATTTACTTTTTCCTATTCCCCCCACTAAGTATAACAAATTATTTTATATTTTATATACAATAATTGTATATGTGTGTATATACATATATACACACAATTGTACATATGTATATATATTAAACAAATACAAGATTTTGAAAGATGGAGAGAAAAGAGCAGGCTAGCTAGGGGCCTCAGGACCAAAGGAATAACATAGTGGAGTTCCCTGGGTTTTCTTCTTGCCAGCTAACATAGCCCAGCCTGGATACTAGAGACAAAAACTGGAAATGTCAGCAAATGTGAATAAAAACATAAAATGACAAAGACTCCTCTTTCTAGCCAAGGGACCATGAAAGTAGCAATCAGCAAGACAGAAACTTTTTAGACTAAAACCATTCTACTACAATCACATACCACAGAAAAAGCTGCTGCAACACACCACCATCAATAGCAAAGGCCAAGTAGAGCCCATGTAGCTACCCTTGCCAGACTGTCACAAAGCAGCCAAACCACTGTGCTGAAAGATGTCAGAAAAATCCAACTGGAAGCTGGCTCATAAACCCCCACTAGATTGTAGGGAGCCTCCCCTCCCTCACTGTGGTGTCTGTAGAGACCACATGCAGAGCCAGAAATTCTATGCCCATACTTCCAGCAATGATGTGTTCTTCTCTCTCCCTGCCAGGGAGGTGTCAGATGGGATGCCTAGTGGAGTCAGATTGTTCACCACCATTCAGTGGTGATAATGCCACCACCCCCATAATATCAGTGGAGGTCACGTGGGGGAACAGTAATGAAGCAACCCTCCTCCTAGCTAGGGAGAAACTGAATGAAGCCCTAATGGATAGCCTGAACCCTCACCTTTAACCAGCAGTAGGAGCCCTTCTCTGCCTAACTGTTAATGGAGGCCAGCTGCTGAACTCGGACTTTCATCTCTACTTGGCAGTAACAACATGGGAATCTCTGCTTCTGTGGTTATATTGCCTGCTTCTCTTGCATAGTCAAGTGTCCTTTTGCCTCTCTTTTACAAGGATATTTGTGATTATATTTGGGTTTACCTGGATAATCCAGGATAATCCCCTTATTTCAAAATCCTTGACCTAATTACATGTGGAAAGACTTGTGTGTGTGTATGTGTGTGTGTGTGTGTGTCATATAAGGTGTTATTTGTAGGTCCCATCGTTAGGATGTAGTTATCTTTTGGATCCATTATATAGCCTACCACAGATGCTAACACAGAGAAGATACAGGTGTTAGAATTATTTAGCAAAGATTTTAAAGCAACCATAATAAAAATGCTTCAATAAGCAATTAAGAGCATGTTTGAAGCATGAAAAAATAGACAGTCTCAGAAAAGAAATAGAAAACCTCAGCAAAGAAATAGAATATATAAATAAGAGCCAAATGGAAATTTTCGAACTAAATTATACAATAACTAAAATAAAAAAAAAAGTCAATGGGACAGATCAACATAAAATGAAGACAGAAGAATCAAAAGTTAGAATAATGTAAATTATCATTATCTAATCTGAGCAATAAGGAGAAAATGGACTAAAAATATAAATGAGCAGAATCTCAGGAACATGTGGAACTAAAAAAAAAACACATTAAATTCATAATATTGAGTCCAAAAGGAGAGGAGAAAAGGGATGAGGTTAAAAATATAAATATGAACATCTCCCAAATTTGGCAAAAATCATAAACCTATGGATTCAAAAAGCTAATCATAGACTAATCAGCATAAACCCAAAGAAATCCACACCAAGACACGGCGTAGTGAATCTTTTGAAAACTAATGTGAGAAAAAAATCTTAAAAGCAGCAAAAGCAAAAGATCACCATACTTATAGGGAAAATTTTTAAGTAACAGTGGATTTCTCATAAGAAACTGTAAAGCCCGGAAAGTAATATGACATTTTGTTGTTTTGTTTAGATTTATTTTTATTTTCACTTAATTTATGCAGAATTTATTTCTAGACCCTAAATTTATGTTTCTTCAGTTTCTTCTGGGATGTCTTTCTCTTCTGTACAACCTGCTTTACTGGTTTGGAAACAATTTATTCTTTTTAGTAAAAATCATCTCAATGTAGCAAAGTTAGCTAATGTATGAGTTAATTGAACTGTAAAGTCAGTAAGTATGGTGGTATCTTGAGTGCTTTGTTCAGCTGGATATCTTTGACTAGATAATCTATGTCTAAATTCAGCTAACCCTTAAATTCACTATTAATTTGTGCATTTTTAAGCATGTGTAGCAACAATTCAGCACTCTTTTTAAGCCATCGACCTTGTGTCCAACTGTATTGTTTGACTTGGGTAAGCCCAACAACTCCACTGCTGTAATGATAAAATAATATGCATTTCTTCTGTAAAGGGACGTCTTTCAGATTCACAATGATATTTTGAATATGCGTACTCTTGATGGTCTGGACAGTTTTAGTTATTCTTAAAGTGAATGTGAAGATTTGAACTTCTAGATTTGTGGAATTTTGTAAAATTTTCAGGACAAATGAATAACAAACCATTTTTCAGAGGTCATCTCAGATTGTTTATTGGAAGAGAACATTGTTTTTCAAGTGCTGAAATTAAAAACAACCGTCAACCCGGAATTTTACATCCAGTGACATTATTCTGCAGTAATATAAGGAAAGTAAAGACATTCACAGATGAAGGAAAACTAAGAGAATTTGTTACCAGCTACCTACCCCAAAAGAACACTAATAGAAATCTTCTAAATAGAAAGGAAATGACAGTAGAAGAAATTATGGGGATATCAGAAAAGAAGAAAGAACATGGAAGAAGAAAAACTATGGTTAGTAAATTAAACTTTCTTTTCCTCTTAAATTTTCTAAGTGCTGTTTGATGGTTTAAGTAATATTATAATACTGTCTGATGCCTAATGTGTTTTTAATGTATGTAGAAGAAATGTTTAATAATCATATTATAAATGGGAGAGGGTAAAGGGACATAAACAAAGATGGTTTCTATAATATTCTTCATTTGAATTAGTAAAATTGGACACCAGTACATTTCGGTAAATTATGTCTTGTGGTAGGCAGAATAATGGCCTCCAAAGATGTTTATGTCCTTATTCTCATACTTTTTGAATATGGTAGCTTACATGACAAAGGAAATAGAGGTAGCTGATGAAATTAAGGTTGCTCATCAGCTTACCTTAACATAGGAAGATTATTTTGGATTATCCCATGGACCAAAAAACAAAAACAAAACAAAACAAAATCCAAAAAACGAAACAAAGAATGTGAAAGAAGAAGGCAGAAAGGAAGGTCAGAATGACATGACTTAAAAAGGACTTCATCTGTTATTTCTGGCTTTGAAGGTGAGGGAATGGCACCATGAGTCAAGGAATGCAGGTGTGCTTTAGAAAAGAGGATGACAAGAAAACAGGTTATATTTAGTGTCTCTAGAAGGGAGTACAGCCTGGCTAACCTTTATTTTTATCCAGTGTAGCCTGTGTCAGACTTCTGAGCTGTAAACTTCTAAGATAATAAATTTGCTTTGCCTGAAGCCACTAAGTTTATGTTAATTCATTACGGCACCAGCGAAACACTAATTCAACTGCCAATCTAATTTATATGTTTAGGAAAAACATATATCAAATGTAACCAAACACACTATCAAAAACTGATTAAAAAATCAGAAACAATGGAAGGCAAAAGACAATGAAAGAACACCTCTAAAAGTGGTAAAAGAAAAACAAAACACTGTCAATTCAGGTTTGTAAATCCAGTAAAAATATATTTCAAAAAAAAAATAAGGCAAGACAACATACAGATAAATGAAAGCTGAGAAATTTGTGTGTGGGACCTGCACTGCAAAAAAAAAAAAAAAAAAAAAAAAAAAATAGCTAAAGGAATATTCAGGGACTAAAAAAAAAAAAAAATTGTATGAGATCTGTAGGAAGAAATGAAGATCACCAGAATTGATACTTATGATAAATATGTAAGACCATTTGTTTCTTCCTTTAATTTTTTTAAATTTTCTTTTTCTTTTTATTTTTATTTTTTGAGATGGAGTCTCGCTCTGTCGCCCAGGATGGAGTGCAGTGGCGCAATCTGGGCTCACTGCAACCTCCACCTCCCAGGTTCAAGCAATTCTCTTGCCTCAGCCTCCTGAATAGCTGGGACTACAGGCACCCATCTCCATGCCTGGCTAATTTTTGTATTTTTAGTAGAGATGGGGTTTCACCATATTGGCCAGGCTGGTCTCGAAATCTCGACCTTGTGATCTGCCCACCTCGGCCTCCCAAAGTGCTGGGATTACAGGCGTGAGCCACCGCGCCTGGCCTTTTTAAATTTCTTTAAAAGGCAAACTACTATTTGAATAAAAAATAACATTCCAGTGTTAAGTTTATAACATATGCAGATATGAAACATTTTTAAAAACATACAGGCATCTGAGAGTGGGAAAATAGAATTTTACTGTTGTAAATTTTTTATGTTCTACATAAAGAAGTAAAAGATTGAGTAGAATGTGACAAATTATCATAGATATATACTATAAACATTAAACAATGATATGCCAATACATATTCTATGTAAAATATTATATGATGAACTTCTTATGCCAATATATTTGACAAGTTAGGTGAAATTGAAAAAAGTTCCTTTAAAAACCACTATTTAATACTGTAAGAAGAAGAAACAAAGTCAAAGTAGTCCTTTAATGAATTAATAATTTAAAAATTTCCCCAGATGGTTTAAATCATAAATTCCTATTAAGCGTTTAATGATGAAATAGTACCAAAGTTACATAACTCTTTCAAAACACAAAGGAGAAGGGAATTATTTCCCAACATATTTTATAAAACTACCATAACCTTCATATCATGACACTGATGTCATAACCCTGATATAAAAAAATTTGACAAAAACATTACAAAAATAAAATAGAGGCACATAAAGGCAAAAATACTCAACAAAAATATAACAAATTAATTCCCACAGTGAACAGAAAATATACCATGTTCAAGTAGGATCTATGTCAGCAATTCAAAGTTAATCACTAGAAAACATTCAGTGTAATTAAATATATTCACAGACTAAAGGGAAAACATTTTAAATATCCCAATAGAGGCATTAAAGTCAGTATAACATATCAATTAATGATATACATTTCAGCAATATAAAAATGAAAGGGAATTTCCTCTATTCCTGATAGAGGACTTATGCAAAAATTTCATCATATTCAGCACTGAAACAGTAAATACTTTTCCTCCAATATCGGAACCAAGATTAAAAAAAGTTTGTTCTCATCACTTATATTTAATAATGTTCTGGAGTTCCTAGTAATAAGCCAGAATAAAAATAAAAGAAAAAGAAAAGAATCACATAAAAAAGAAAATGTAAATATTTGCAATTATGTGATTATATATATAAAAAAATCCTAAGAAATTTATAGGAGATTCTAAAACCAATAAGTGGAATTAGCAAGATCATAGAATACCAGGTACATAACACAATATTTTATTCTAGCAAATAAAAGTTTAATACTGTCTCTGAAAATATTTAAAAAACACAAAATAAATATTATCAATAATAATAAAGAATTAACAAAGATACATTCATAATGCCAAATGATTTTTAAGAGAAATTAAATAAGAACTAAATAACTTGAGTATGTATTATATATATATTTAATGAATTGGTAGACCAATTGTTTTATGTACCTGGTATTATTCTAAGTTATTACTTCATGGTGATGGCTAAAATTCCAAGAGCTTAGAATATCAAACGTTGGCAAGAACAAGAAGTAACTGGACCTCTATCTAGCACATAGTTGATGAGAGTGGAAAGTTATACAACCACTTTGAAAAATGATTTGGCAGATTCTCATAGAGTTAAATATGAATCTATTCTGTGACTCAGTAATTTCACACTTAGGTATCTACCCAAAAGCAATAAAAACTTATGTCCACAGATAGACTTGTATATGGTTTAGCAGTTTTATTCATCATGGTTCCAAACTAGAAACAACCCAGATGTCTATCAGTAAGAAAATGAATTTAAAAAACACTGTGGTATATTTATACAATGAAATATTGCACGCCAATTAAAAGTAAAAAAGGAACTACTGATTCACGCAACTTGCATCAATTTCAAAAACATTATGTAATATATGTGAGAGAAACAAAGACAAGCTACAGACTACATACTCTTTGACTAAATTTACATAAAGTTTGAAACAGGTAAAACTGATTTCTGATAAAAATCTGATCAATGGTTGCCTGTGACTGAAACAGGTCAGGAAAGAGCTTTCTGCGTGATGGAAATATTTTCAACTTAACTATGGTATTGATTTCACTGGTACATATCTGTATACTTTAATCAAAGCTCATAGAATTTTATGCTTTGGATTGTACGAACAATTAATCTTAATAAAACAATAATGAAAATAAGGTTTTATAACATTGCATAACTTTGGTTTTTATATAAGAAATTTAAAAGAACTTAGGAATTGTTCATTCTTCTCTTCAACCTTTCAACCAGATGCACTCACATTTATAGCACACATGTAATATATACCCACATACATAAAAATTTTACAGATTCGGATTTGGATACTAAGGGAAATTAAAGGACTTTTCTGAGTTCATTGAGCTAGTGATAGAGTTAGGATAAGACTCAGGCTTCTAGCTTCTACCCATTCCACTGTATTTGGTTCTCTCTTCACAGTATCATACACCATATATAAAACACTGCACATCCTTTTTCATATATTGTAAATAATGAAAACAAGACACAACAAAAATATTAAGGAGAGCCTATAAACCCCTGGATTAGTAACTATTTCAATCTTGATTACGTTGCTTTAAAAAAATCTGTAACATGCTTTTTTATCCTAGGTTTCAAGGATCTGTAGGTTGTTTATGAGTGGACTTTGGAAGGTTTACAAATCTTTTGAAATTGTATGCTAACTTCTGTGTTCATGTAGTATGCTCATTTTTCTGATCAGTAACTCCCACTGATTCTCATAGATTCATTCACTCCTCCCTCAAGAAATATCACTGAAAAATTAAGGATTATTTCCCATTTAAAAAGTAAATGTAAATGAACTTTGAACTTTTGTATAAACATGGAGTGATAATGCACCCCAAGCAAGAGTCCAAAAGATGAAACTACAAAAAATATATACATATAATTGACTATGTGACATTTAAAACAAAAAATATACTCAGAAAAACTTGAAGGAAAAAGTAAAACATAAATAAAACATAGTAATCAATGAGTTGACAATTTTTATAACATATTTTTAGAACAGTGCCTGTTATAGTGAGAACTATATTTATTATTATGTATGCAAGATAAAGTTATTATTTGAAAAATTAATAGTATAAAACATTCTTATAATATATTGGGTTAAAAATAACCCTAGAATTATAAAAGTGCATATCTCAAGGAAACTACCAAGATGTTAGTCATTGGGTTGTAAAATTACTAATTATTTTTGTTTTTATTTTCATCCTTTCCTGTATAGGCTATCTTTCATAGAAATAGTCTCATAAATCAGCAAAATGAAAAGCATCCAAACAGAAAAATTGAGCAAAGCATATGAATATACATTTGAAGAGAAGGAAATGCAAATTATAAAACATATGAAAATATCTTCTTCATCACCAGTAATCAAAATGATAGCAATTTAAACCACAGCAAGATACTCGTTTTCATGTCTCTGATTATTTACATTGAGTATCTAGCTTTTAACCGTACATTCAGAAGAATGCTATACAATGTTAAAGATATAAAAAAAGTGTTGCCGCTGGAAGACATTTTACATTTAAAGTAATTTAAATGCTTTTTTTAAATCTCTCTTATCTGAAGACTATTAATTGTATGAAATTGAATGGTATTGTTTTGATCTGGCACTAATTTATATTAATAAAATGAAAAAATTAATTGTAATGGCGATTAATCTTATCACATGCCATATATATATATATAATTTTTTTTTCTCCTGCAGCTATTTGAGAAATAAGTTGTTTGGAATAAAAATTAAGCATTGCAGCGTCAAGGAACAATTGTGGCTACCCAGAAAAGTATAGAAAATCAAAAGTCTGTCTAGTATGAGATTTTAAGGTTGGTGTTGCAACAATTCAAGCCGAATCAAGCTAAAAAGAAAAAATAAATAAAGCCAACAAGAAAACGTCTGAGCGATAAAGTAAATATAGTAAGGCCTATAATTGAGCAGCTGCAGTTCTCAAGAATTATGTTAAATTTCTTTGCCTGTGCTTTTAAATTTAATCCTCAAAGTATTCATGAATTAAAGAGACTAATATTCTGTATTATAAATTGTGGAATTGAACACTGGAGAATAAAATTACTTACTCAGGGTCGTTTAGTTACTGACGGGCAGAATCTCAAATCAATGCAGGTCGACTCGTTCTGCTAAAAAGTACGAAATGCTATATATCCGAAGATATCTTTAGCAAGAAATAAACACAAAAATACAAGCACTGTGAGTTGCAGCATCTTTTAAAATAGAGAACAGTATAATTGTACATGAGATGCATATCCCAAATTTCTCAAGCCTTAACAGCTGGTGGAAATGAGCAAGGTTCAGGAACCAACCATCAAACTGTACTTTGAACCTAAAGACTTGTTCAACTTTCTGTGAACTACTTGTTTCCATTGATTTTTTTCTTCTTATTGATTTGTTTTCCCTCAGGGCCCTGAAAATGGATGTGAATTGAAGTTCACTCAGCCTATGAGAGTAGATTAGAGTTACTGGAATTGCAAATGTGGACAGAGTTTAATTTCCCATCCAAAACCCCCCAGGGCATTTTAGCTGCCATGTAAGCCAGCTCATTACAATATAACACTGAGAAAGCATGGTTCTTTTTCTAGAACTGGATTACATATGCACAATGAAAAGTTACAACATGTTATAATGGTTTTGCGTTCTTTGTTACCAAAATAAAAATTGACAAAGTTTTTAAAATTTTAGACATCATTTTTATAAATTATAAAACATTGATACTGAGAAAACTGGATAGCTCTAACATTAGGGCATTTAAATTACTGGAGAAGTAAAGATGCCAATTGGCAGACCACAGTCATCCTGTAGCCATGGTTTAGTCGAATTACGACTTTTGCATGGAATACTTGATTATCAGCATAAGCAGGCAAAGGTCAGCCTTTAAATGGCTTTTCCTCCTTCTAAACATATTTTCGAGTTTATATAGTCCATCATTAGAGCCCATGATATATAAGAGATAAATCGCTCTTGAGAGTGAATTAAGAGACCTATATTGTAGTTTATTTTATGTCCAGCTGATTTGACATTAGACAGTTCACACGATCATTGCCTCCAGTTTTCTCAACGACAAAGGTCTGGAAATTTGGACACTCCTTACCTTTCAAATCTCATCTCCAGCTAGTCTTACTAACTTTTGGTTGCACAGAAATATTTTCAGCTTCAAATATTCTTCCAAACTTTTTCTTGCCTAAAACCTTTGCACACATTGTTGAGGTGTCTATTCGAAATGCTTTTCCCTAAGTTCTTTACATTGCTGATGACTTCTTGTCATAGTTTTGATTAAATGAGCTCCCTTCAAAGAGGTCTTTGTGTTGAACTCATCTATGTAGGTCCCTCCCTTCTGCCTCATTCCTAGAATTCTGTATTTTAAGATTTTGTAGGACATTAATTTATTTATTTTTATTATATGCTTATTTGCTTACATCACTATACATTTGTTTACCCCTTTATTCCCTTTCTCTGCCAACAAAACTAAATTTTCACAGGACAGGATCTAAGATCTTATGTGTGTGGACACACATACTGTGCTCCCTCTAGAATTTCTCTTTATGAAGCAATGGCTTCAGAGAGGGCTGTTCAGGCAGTATGAATGCAGAACTCAAGTCTAAACCCTCAATATCATGTCCTTTGGCTACCATCCAACTTGTTTCCTCATTTATTTATTTGTCTTTTTGACAATATTTTGCCAAGTTACACAGTCCTATCTGAATTTATAATTTACTAGGTATTTATTTATTTATTTATTTATTTATTTATTTATTTATTTTGCTACTAGTAAACCCTGATTTTTTACTGCCTCCAATACAATACAGTCCTGCATCACATAATGACCATGTGGTCAATGATGGACCACATATGTGATAGTGGTCCCATAACATTATAACAGAGTTGGAAAATTCCTACTGATAGGGACAGGAGGCAGGGAACTTCTTAGCAGAAGAGGTGGGTCCCTGGCAATGGCCTCACCCTTAAGCTGAAAAGCCTGATATGGTGGCACAAATTGGGAACTAACATCCCTGTTTTCCTGCTTGAATGTTACCTTTTCCAAAACCACCCATGGCCTGCCCTGCCCCCAATCCTATGCCCATAAAAACCCCAGGCTCAGCTGGCAGTGTGAGGAGAAGCAGGCGGACATTAGAGACTATGCTTGGATGTTGAAGAGAAGCGGCTTGACTTCAGAGGGACAGCTTGATGGTATAGCTTTGGAGATGAGTTTGGCCAGGGATGGCCAGTCTCCAGGGGAAGATGACCTTCCTGCTCCATCCACTTTTCAGCTCTCCTTCCCACTGAGAGACAATTTCATCGGCAATAAAATCCCCTACATTTGTCATCTGCAATTCGTTCATGCGACCTCATTCCTCCTGGATGCCAGACAAGAACTTGTGTGCCACGAGTGTGGGTGCAAAAAGCTGTCACACTGACTCTCCACTGAGCTGTTAACACTTAAGCCATCCATGGATGGTAAACTAAAAGGACACTGTAACACTTCTTCTGGGGCTTCAGGGGTTGCAGGCACCCTTTTCTAGATGCTGCTGCAAGGCTAGCATGGAGTTTGCTGTTGGCTGCGCCCAAAGGTGCTTGCCCCAGCTTCTGCACCTGCTCACCTGAGCACCCCCTCCTGTGAGGGGTGGAGCAGCGATTGATTGGAGTTTTCCCCTGCTGGCATCCAAGCACTCCAGTTCCTGCCAGCAAAGGGATCAGGGAAATATCCTGCTTCACTATTGCCTTATAACAACACTATTGCCTAGAGATCACAATGACATAGCCATCATAAAGTCGTGGCACAACACATTATTCATGTGTTTGTGGTGATGCTGGTGTAAACAAACTTACTGTGTTGCCAGTCATATAAGTATAGTACATACAGTTATGTACAGTACAAATACTTGACAATGATAACAAACAACTATGTGACTGCCTTTGTATTTACTAAACTATGCTTTTAATAATTAGAGTGTACTTCTTATAAAAAGAAAAGTTAACTGTAAAACAGCCTCAGGCAGGTTTTTCAAGGGGTATTGCAGAAAAAGGAGTTATTATCACAGGAGAGGACAACTCCATGCCTGTTATTGCCCCTGAAGAACTTTCAGTGGGACAAGATGTGGAGGTGAAAGATAATGATACTGATGACCCTGACCCTGTGAAAGCCTAGGCTAAGGTGCGTTTATGTCTTAGTTTTTAACAAAAAAGTTTACAAATTTTAAAAGAAATAGAAAAAAGCTTATAAATAAGGATATTAAGAAAGAAAATATTTTTGTTAACTGTACAATGTATTTGTGGTGTAAATTGTTACTACAAAGGAGTCAAAAAGTTTAAAAAATTAAAAAGATTCTAATATAAAAAAGAGTAAGCTAAGGTTAATTTATTATTAAAAAAAGGAAAACATTGTTTTTACAAATTTAGCTTGCTCTAAATATTTATATAGTCTACAGTAGTGTATAGCAATGTTCTTGGTCTTCACATTCACTCACCACTCACTCACTGACTCACCCAGAGCAATTTCAAGTCTTGCACACTTCATTCAGTCAGTGCCCTAAACAAGTATAACGTTTTTATCTTCAAGACCATATTTTTACTGTACCTTTTCATGTTTAGATATGTCTGTTACACCAACACTTGCCATTGTGTTACAGTTGCTTATATTATCCAGGACAGTAACATGCTGCACAGCTTTGTTACCTAGGAGTAATAGGCTATACCATATGGCCTAGGTGTGTAGTAGGCTATATGACCTATATTTGTGTAAGTACACTCTATATTGTTCACACAACAATGAAAGCACCTAATAACACATTTCTCAGAATGTATTACTGTGGTTAAGCAACACATGATTGTACTTTGTTTTTATGATCAACATTTTACTTATCACTAAAAAATATTTGTTGAATTAATAACTAATCAATGAATGAGACAATAGAAAAAGATGATTTCTGTTTTCCAATTCTAATTCTTTTTTTTCTTGCTTGTTTTTTTTTTTTCTTCTTTTTAAGTAGCCGGGTGTGCTGGCACACATCTGTCATCCCAGCTACTCAGGAAGCTGAGGTGGGAGGATCACTTGAGCCTGAGTGTTTGGGGCTGCAGTGAGCCAGGATTGCGCCAAAGCACTCCAGCCTTGGTGACAAAGAAAGAACCTGTCTCAACAAAACAAAACAAAAGAAAACACACAAGCAATTAAAGAAAAAAGAGAGATGAAAAATACTTTTAAATGATCTCCTTGTTTCTTACCACCCAGACCACGAGTAATCATCTCCCTAACTGCCTAACTTTTATGTAAACCAGATTAGTAAATTGAACCCACCAGCTTTATTAGTATTCATTAACTTATCTGTAGGCTATATATTTTTCTTCTATTTGGAATTATAAGGCGTGTGTTGACTTGAGACTCTGCCCTTCAATAACTCAACCATCTTGGTAAGTAATTCTTTTTCTTGAAAGCTCCAATTTCATTATTTATAAGTAAGGGATTAAACTCTTCACTTCATGGCTATTTTTAGGACTAAGTGAAAGAGTTTGGGTGAAGAAACCTAACACAGTGCTTAAGATGCAGTGTTACATTTGCTCTTTTAGTATTGTATCCTCTAAGTTATTTTCTCTTTCATAAACAATGCTTTTTTAGCTCTTTAAGTTTCTCCCCGGTAGTTTATTATTCATTCCTATGTGAGCAATATTCAAATATTGCTTTATTCTATTCCTTGTACATTTTCCTTTATGATGGTGTCCTAGTAGAGATGAGATTATATAAAGTCACTTATAAAAGATAGCTTTAAAACCATTTACATTTAAGCCTTCTTTATTCTGGATAACTTCATCATCCTGGTTCGACTAAAATGGAAAATATTGTTTCCCTCTATCCTGTTTGGTGTATGTTATTTTTGTGCATAGATTTAGGGGGAAAAACAAGTATGATGAAAAGAGAGAAGAAACAGAGCAAGTGCTGGCCACAGAACTATTTTGAGAGTCCTAGTACATCAGGAAGAAATATGCATTTAAAATAGATGTGTTCTCATTCCTTAGTGAGCAGCTTCCTAACAAGCTAACCCACTCCATGACAATCTTCATATTAATTTCATTTGGCTACATTCAACACATTTGACCTGTAAACACTAGATTATCATAAAAGAAGCTTATCTTGTATCAGAATGTTTTTTGGTTTTCCTAATATTAACCCAGTTGGTTATAAAATTAATTTTTGTAATCATGAAAAACACCATTCTGAATTTTCTAATGTGTGAAAAAATAATTGTGTACTTTTAAGAAGAGAATGATTTTATACTCTGAATTGATGAAATGCGTCACGGAAGAGGTTCTTTCCAACAACCTGCTGCAATTTTTCATACTTAAGTAGTTATTTTTAGGATTAAGAAAAAGGTGCATGTTTTAAGAATAGCTGCTCAGGAAGTAATATCTTCAGTTGTATGCAATAAAACTGAGATTTTGAAATGAAGGATTTTTGTCTTTTATTCTGACAGATTTTAGGGTTTTTTTTTAAATAAAACCATCAGTCATCAGTAGTAGGTTGTATTATAAATCTGTTTCCTAAAGTAGTTTGGAAAACAGAAGTTAACTTTCACAATAATGAGGATATTACGTTTTACCTAGGCTGTGCTATTCCTACTAATACTAACAGAAGTTGTATTTGGGCAGCAGCAGAATTTCATATTTATATATTTACATATATTAACTATGATGATAGTTACAAATGAATGTTTAGACAGGTATTTTGGAGAAAACAGATGAAATATGTTTGGCACACAACAATGTAATCTTTATATAAAATGATTTATCTTTTTGGATCCAATCTAATGTTCAGACTCTGTAATACTTGATTTACAAATTAAAACTCTCTTTAAAAAATGATTCTGCAGCCACATACAAAGAATAGTAAGTCATTTTATTGCCTTTGGCCATGATTATTTGAATGCATTTTCTATTAAAACTGTGCTGGCATTTTCATCATATACACTCAAATAATGTAACTTATTTTTATTTTTCTTTCAATAGTTGTGGCTGTTTAAGAAATAGGAAATTTATAAAGCTGACTCAGACAAAAATAGTGTGTATTGATTATAAATAGATTTGAATATAAAGAGTTATGATGAATTTTTTAAGCTAATGTTTTAAATTTGTGGAGGTTAACTATATTCAGTCAACAGAAATAAAGCTATTTGTTTGCAAATTAACGTACCCCAATGTGCTGCAGGGTAAGGTCAAGTTCTACTAATATTTAATTTTTAAAACATATTTGAGGGAAGTACTCCATTAAACCATTTGCAATTATTTAAAAACTACTGTGTTATAAATTGCTCATGATAAATGAAATGCTCTTAAGACAATTGGAAAGGAGTAAAGGGTTACAGTTTTAATTAAAGAGTAATCCTTATTATTGTAGGCAAAACAATTTTTGGTGTGACATTGAGGTTAGGGATAAATTGCGGCACTGACTGTGAGTCAGTGATTTGGTTGTCAAGGTAATTCTCCAGATTGGAGAAAGGCACCCAGTGATGTTACATAGAGAAACACAGCAATTGCTCCCTATATTCTAGAAATAAGGCTTGGTGATTTAAGTTGAACTTGCAGATGATCAAACTATTACTTCTGGTAATTAGAAAGTATTATTTACAACGAAAAGGCATATGTTTAATTTTAAGGCATATTTTTACTTTTTAATAAAATCTCTGAGAAGTATCAGATTTTACTGTTTATATCAAGTGCAAAGAGCTCATTTACATGCGTGTTTATTTTTTTGACATTCAAGCATAAATAGTAGAATAGTTTTGCTTATAGACAGAAATTCCTGCAGTCCATCAATCCATCAAGCAGTAAGGGACAAATGTTGAAATTTAGGGGCTGGGCGTGGCGGCTCGCACCTGTAATCCCAGCACTTTGGGAAGCCAAGGTGGGCGGATCATTTGAGGTCAGAAGTCCCAGACTAGGCTGGCCAACATAGTGAAACCCGGTCTGCACTGAATATACAAAAATTAGCTGGGCATGGTGATGCACCTGTAGTCCCAGCTACTCTGAGGCTGAGGCAGGAGAATCGCTTGAACCCAGGAGATGGAGATCACAGTGAACCGAGAACACGCCGCTGCGCTCCAGCCTGGGTGAGACTCCATCTCAAAAAAAAAAAAAAAAAAAAAGAAAGAAAATAGAAAGAAATTAGCGTGTGTGGTGTGCGTGTTTAACAATAGGGCCTTTATTTTTAACATAAAAGTAATTTATCAAAGGTACAAAGAATAATACAATGTGCACTTGAGTTCTTCCATTGCCATTAGAAAATAAACATTATTAGCTTCAAACCTGCTATGAACCCTTCCATTTTCCCTCATAGAGATTATTGACATAATCCTTTTATAGTCCTCATATTTCACTTCATTTTAGTTTTACTATATGTAACATTCATAATAAGCTATATTATTTGTTTTTATATTTTTATTTTTATCTGTGTTTTTTTTTCTGAGAATTACTTTTTTGCTCAACATTGCATTTCTGAGATATATCCATGCTGATTTGATAACTAAGTTCAGTGTATTTACTTCTGAATAATGGGAGAATTTGTTAACTTTCCTTTGAAATCTCATGCGTATAAAACAATACATTTTGGTTTTGTTTCCGTTTTTCTAACTTCTGCCTAGTTTGAGTCTCTATTCACTTTTTATTGGTTATTTCTTCATCCTCTATGAAAAGCCTGTGTTTGTTGTGGCTCATTTATCTAATGGATTGCTTCTGTTTTCCTTTTTGATTTTAAGTCTTTATATGTTCTAGCCCTCAAGCCATATTTGATCATTTACTTTGTTACATGCTTTTTTCATACACAGAATTTTTAATTTAAAATGATCCTAATAGAAGTATTCAGTTATAGCATTAGGTACATGAAAATGTGGAAATTGCATTTTACTTTTAGTAGTCTGTGCAGGATATTATGCCAAACTCCCAATTAGTTTCTGTGGCTGTGTATATTTATTTGATAGGCTAAATATATCAGAAATTACATCATCCAGATCAAAGACACTTGGGAAAACTTTAATATTGAGTAAAGTTTGCTATGTCATGCTTGTTATAGGTGTTTTGTGAATGATTTTTTTATTATTAGGTGAAGGAAATTTTTTTCTATTTTTACTTTGTAGGACATTTTTAAGAAATGGATGTTGGGTTATGTTAAGTACTTTTCTACATCTATAGAGATGATCATATTTTTAAAAAGTTTTTTAGTCTGTCAAGGTAGAGAGTAATATTGGCAAGTTTTCAAATCTTAAATCAACCTTACATTCTTGGTTTACATCACATCCTTGTATATATATTGGCCATGATATATTATCTTGTTTATATGTTGTTGAATTTAATTTGCTAAAATTTTGTTGCAATTTTTATATCCTAGTTAATGAGGGACATCGTGCTATAGTTTTATTTTCTTATAATACCTTTGTTTGCCTTTGGTATCAGGGTTATAATGGTAACCGCATAGAATAACTTGGGAAGTACTCTTTCTCTTTTCAATTTTGGGGAAGCAATTGAATTATTTCTTCCATAACTATTTATATAAATCCCCCTCAAAAACCATCTGAAGTTAGAATTTTCTCTGTGAACAACTGTTTAAACTACAACTACAATTTATTTAATAAATATTGGGCTATTCGGGTTATCTTTTTCTTCCTGAATGAGCTTTGGTAGTTTGCGGCTTTTGAGGAATTTGTTTATTTCATCTAAGCTATCAAATTTATTGGCATAAATTTGCTTATAATATTTTCATGTTACCCTTTTAAGATTCATAGAATCTATAGTGGTGTCCCTTCTCTCATTCCTGATATTTATGTTCTGTTCCATTTAAGTAAGAGGAAATTATTCCATAAGAATCTCTTAATTTACAATAACTTCAAAATGAAATTTAACAGCATATGTGGCTCAAAGTGCAAGAATTTGCAGCTGGAATCATGGCTGAGGAGAGTGAAGACAGAACACGGAGTATCATAACTTAGAGCACAGATCCAGTGAAAACTTTATTTTCCCTCAGAAATTTTACCAGTGAAATTTTTCCTAGGCAAATTAGAAAAGCTCATGTAGGAGGGACAAAAAGCAGAGTGATAATCTTGATAATAAATTTTGTTCAAAAATATTCAAGATCCTTTAATCAAGAAACACTAATGGCCTGTGACTGTGTGTGTGTGTGTGTGTGTGTGTACTTTTAATAAATTTTGCTGCATAAAACTATAAAGCCAAACAAAATGAATTATTTTGATCCTGGCATTTAGTGTCTTTGTTCTATATAGATCACAATTCTGTGTCACCAATAGTACATCTCTCTACTTTTACATGAGAGTAGGAATAATATTTCTGTACAAAATTGAGATTGCAAATCAACTTGTATTCTAAATTCATGTGAGAGGTATACATTAGAGTACAACAGAGTAAGATAAATACCTGGCATTCACTGGGGCTGGAGTTAGAGATCAGCACATAGCCCAACAGCATTTGATTGAATGAAAAGCTTTACTGAGCTTCAAGTCTACAATAAACTGTGATATTGTGTTCACTGATCATCAGTGGGTAGCTTACAGAAAAATGATGATAGTAAAATTATCACTTGTGCTTTAACATGGAGTATAATTATACTATAAACAAGGAATTTAAACAGAGCTAGGGCATTAAATAAACTTTTTTCCCCTTGCCTCATGTGGGGAGACACTGCCCAGAATTTTTTATGTGTCACTGAAGTATTGTTACAAATGGGATTTTAAAAAATAAAATGCTTTTGGACATGCAAAATGATTAATAGAGATTAACTCTGTTTAACTCTGTACAGTGAACATTAGCATACAATTATCTATTTGAGCCCCTGCTTTCAATGTTTTGGGTATATAAATAGGAGTGGAGTTTCTGGGGCATAGGGTAATTTTATGTTTAGGTTTCTGATGAACCGCCCAACTATTTTCCACAATGGTTGCATTATCTTACATTCTCATGAGATGGAGCACTGCTGTGCTAGGGAATGGTTGGGGAGAGGGTACGTACAACACAATGCTTTGTTATCATTTGGTTCCAACAGTTTCTGCTTGTTTTTCATTGTTTCTATGGGGAACGAGAAATTGGAGCAGCCCATGCTTCCACTTTGCTGATGTCACTGTCAAATTCCTTGGTTTACTTGATACATTTAAAACTCCTTTTCTTCACCTAGGGTGATTTAACTACTTTGCCCTCTCTGTTTTCTTGCTACAGCTTTCGTACTGCTACATATTATTCATTTAATCAGGTATTTAATTTCCTTTTGATTGTGAACTCCTTGGGGCCAAAGATTGTATCTTACTCTTCCTCTTTACAGTTTCTTGATATTTGTTTAAATGATTTTTTTAAAATTTATTTGTTTATTTAAAGAAAGGATCTTGCTCTGTCATTCAGGCTGGTGTGAAGTGGCATGATCATAGCTCACTGTAACCTCAAACTCCTGGCTTCAAGTGATCCTCCCTCCTTGGCCTCTCAAAGTGCTTAAATTATAGGCTGCTTAATTGAATTAGTTATACTTCTCTTGTTATTTGTGAAAAAAATGAATTGAACTAAAATATTTGGGAACAAATAGAAACTGTTTTAGATGGAAATAGTTCTATTTAGCTCCATTCTAAACTGTAGTCCAAGGAAAGAAAATGAGATCACATTAGGAAAGTCATGTTTTAAGCTTTAAAGCATTAACAGATCCTTGCTCAGGAGAGGCAGCTTGGTTGTCAAGGGAAGAAAACTAAGTTTGCTTTTAGGATACTTGGGAAACTATAAACCCATACAATTGCACCTGCCAATTAAAAAAAAATTAAAATAAAGTAAAACCACTGGTTCTACTCTTGTCTTCAAAAGTCCATGACCTCTGGCCTTCAAGTGTGTTTGTTTGTTTATTTTAACTTTAAAATTAAGAGATTACACTAGAAATCCCTTGGTTATATAGCATAAAAAGACACGTGGGGGAAATGATATACCATAAAAAGACGTGGGAAAAATATTAACTACATCATAATCTGATACAAAGTGAAAATTTTATTTGCACATAGTATTATTTAAAACATGAATAATATATATATCTTATAGAAGACTGTCTAAAGATCATAGGTAAACTTGTGCTGAAATGCAGCTAAGTGTATTTTTAATAATTTTTAAGTGTATAATTTGGTGGCATTAAGTGTAATTGTGTCATAGGTACATAGATAATTGTGTCTAAGTGTCACTGTATCATTGGTATGTAGATAATTGTGTCTCCTTAATTATCAAGGATTCTTTCCTTTTGCTAAATTGGATTTTATTTGTACTTGGTGCTCATTTCCCACAAATTTTCCTTTATCTCAGAAATGGTCAAATATTAGTTCAATTATTTCCTGTGAAATTAGCCCTGAGAGCAGGTAGAGGTTCCAGAAAATTGGAAATCAGTGGTTTAATTCCTCTAGGTCATGTAACTTCCCTGCAGCCGTGTGAAAGACTGAGGGTTTAAAATTGATCAGACAAACAAATGAACAAGCAAACACACTTTGAACTATGCCTTTCCAGTGAATTCCCTACTAGCCCTGAAGAATAACTACAATACATTTTCATTTCAAAAGATTCTCTTGGTTGCCATAACTTTGACATTTGTTACTCAGTATATAAAATATATTTTATTATTCCCCTATTAAAACATGAAAATTAATATGTCACTATCTCCAGCTAGAGTTTCCTCATTTGCAAATTGGAAGGTTTGGCTATATCATTTCCATGATCCTATTTATATTTAATGTACTATAACTATCATTTTAATTTGCTGTTTTACTCATTTTAGATTATTATTAATTATAACATATCTATCAAATTTCACAGAATTCTAATGAGATATTTTATATGAAAGCACTTTGATTAGTTATACTAAAAAGGTACGGTTATACTTTTCATTTTAAGAAGTTCGAAGTAGAGTAAAACACAAGATCAAGAGACTCAATTTGAACCCGACATGCCCATTTCATGATTTACTTGAAAGTAGATGTGGTGAATTTGGGTCAGGTAGGATACATGTGTGTTTATTTGTAAACATGTATGTTTACAGTGTTTTAAACATATGAAGATTTTGCACACATATCTAGATTTTTAAAAATATGGCAACTTTCAACTTATATTTAGTGAAAATCAGCTGAAGCGGGGGACCAACTGCTTTTTGGTGGGACTCTCACTGACTAGTTTCCCAGAGTTTGCATCATTCTCTACTGAGACCTAAAATCACTCTACCTGGTATCCTGTCTGCTGCAGAATTCTAAGCATGCAAGCCTTGTTTTAAAGATATTAACCTGGATTAGAGAAACGTGGACAGCTCGCCATATCCTATTCCTTTCACCTATATACGATAGAAAAGATAAAATATTTCAAAACTACCTTTTAAATATTTGTATTTGCTGCTCAAAAATCGAAACACCATATTAATATTGAAGGATAAATAACTAAATATAGAGATGTGTTCTATTGCCACTTGTGCATATCTGTGTGTATATTGATGTGTATGGATGTGGATACAGAATGCTGGTAAAAGGTTGAAAGATGAAAAAGAATGAAATCTTAACATGGTAAGAAGTTCTTTATCCAAATCTCCTGATGGCTTCTGAAGACAGGAATTTGGCATTTGCTCATACATTTCTGTTACTAACACAATGTACAAAGAGCTATATTGTAGAAGGTGCTCCTTTTTGGAAAAATGATGAGTCTTATTGTGTGACTGAAATTAATTTTTTTCTTTTTTTCAATGTATCTGCTTAAAACAGTTACAGAATTGCTTATGCAATCAAGATGCTGATGGTTTGTTAGCTTTCAAAAGATAAACTGTGTTTGAAATAACTATTTCCCAATTATGTTATTGAAGTTGAGCACATTTTAGTTCCTCCTACTCTTTCCATTTTTCTCTTAATTAAAGATATGCCTACTTCCTTTTACAAATCTATATTGAGTAGTCTGTGAATACAAACTGTGAACATTAACTCTTTGATTCTTTCCTAGTGGAACACTAGGAAATCAGGAATCAGAAATATCCTGTAAGAACACTAGGAAATCAGGAATCAGAAATATCCTGTAAGAATAATCAAAGGTCTCACTGTGAACAGAATTATTTTAAGTTGTTCAAGCTACGTAATCAACTTTAACAGTTGATTATATTTATGAGAACTTATATTTCATTTAAGATCCGCATGTTCATATGGACGGTTAAGAACAATATTGATAAGTCCACAATTCATGCATTGCATAGTTTCTTATTTTTATATATTTTAAATGCATTCTAAATACTAAAGACATATTCGTCACCCAAGTAGATGCAAGATTATCCTTCCGAGCATAATAAAAGCACAAAAAAGTATTTTGAGAAATGTATTTTAAATCAATGAATTTTTCTTTTTTTCAGAAGACAGGTTTCATGGGCATAGAAATTCTATCATCTCCCCTGTCATTTCATCTCCAATGCCTGGCACATAGTATTTGCTTAAAAAGTATATTTGTAGGCCGGGCGTGGTGGCTCACGCCTGTAATCCCAGCACTTTGGGAGGCCGAGGCGGGTGGATCACGAGGTCAGGAGATCGAGACCATCCTGGCTAACACAGTGAAACCCCGTCTCTACTAAAAATACAAACAATTAGCCCGGCGTGGTGGTGGGCGCCTGTAGTCCCAGCTACTCGGGAGGCTGAGGCAGGAGAATGGCGTGAACCCGGGAGGCGGAACTTACAGTGAGCCGGGATTGTGCCACTGCACTCCGGCCTGGGCAACAGAGCGAGACTCTGTCTCAAAATATATATATATATTTGTAAACACTTGTTAATATGAAACCAGTCAATATATAAAAGCATGTTCCTTTTTTTTTTCCTTTTCATATGTCCTTGTATAGCTGGAGATTTTTTAAAAGCCAATTTAATACATTTCCATTTGAAATCGCAAACTGAGAAAACATAACCAATTTATATGTCAAAAAGTAAATATAGCATAATATAGAGAGAATTTTTATGAATTAATTGAATGAAAAGATGCAAGTGAGTAATAAACATGACAAAACAGGTCTGAAAAAAGATAGATAACTATGTTATGCCGTACTGGGTGACCTTCTAGTTAGGCATGTGTAAAGCTCCATCTTTTATAAGACCTTATTAATTCTTCCTTTGAGAATATAGATTGTTAAAACACAGAAGTTTGGACTTCAATTGCAAAATAGAATAACTTCTTTATTTGAACTTCCAGAGAGTGTAACTTGCAATTTCTTGCCAGTTAATATGTATCACAATCTGGCTGGTGAGCAATAATATATATGGAGGATTTTCTGATTGATAATCTATCCTGTCTATTGATACTCTCTTTTTCTTTGATTAAACAATAAATTTATGCCATTCATCTATTCAACAAATATTTCTTACTAAATATTTATTAAATACTAAGCATTTACTAAAGGAATAGTAAATGTTACATACTGAAAGTAAAACAGGTAAATCAAGCTTAACTGTTTTGAGAGTATTGAGACACATAATTGAGCAAATTTTGGGTTTTAATGAAAAAACATACACTCAATTAAATGAAACTAAAATACGTGCTCAGCTAAAACAAACTGGTGTTTCAGGTAAAATTTCTTGGGAAGTATGTCATCTAAAGAAGTAGATCGCCAAAGAATGACAGAGAAAAGTGTTTGAGAAAAGGAAACAATATCAACAAAGGTCTGGAGTGAAATATGTTTGACAAACTGAAAATTCAGCATTTTTTCACAATTTTATTTGTAACTAGAAATCATTTATTACACGAGTATTATAGGCATATCTTGTTTTATTCTGTGCCACTTTATTGTGCTTCACAGATATTAAGGGTTTTTTTTTTTTTTTTTCTGAGGTGGAGTTTCACTCTTGTTGCCCAGGCTGGAGTGCAATGGCACGATCTCGGCTCACTGGAACCTCCGCCTCCTGGGTTCAAGTGATTCTCCTGCCTCAGCCTCCCAAGTAGCTGGGATTACAGGCACGTGCCACCACACTCAGCTAATTTTTGTGTTTTTAGTAGAGATGGGGTTTTGTCATGTTGGGCAGGCTGGTCTCGAACTCCTAACCTCAGGTGATTCACCCGCCTTGGCCTCCCAAAGTGCTGGGATTACAGTCGTGAGCCATCATGCACGGCTTTTTTTGTTCTTTTCTTTTTTTTTTTTTCCACAAATTGTGGGTTCGCGGAAACCCTAAGTCAGGCATGTCTATCATCACCGTTTTTCCAGCAGTACGTGCTCACTTTGTGTCTCTGTGTGACATTGTGATAATTCTCACAATAATGTAAACTTTTTCATTATTGTTATATCTGTTATGGTGATCTTTCATATTACACTTGTAACTGTTTTGGGGTGCTATGAACCATGCCCATATAAGATGGCAAACGTAATTGATGAATGTTGTATGTGGTCGGTTTTTTTGTTTGTTTGTTTGTTGTTTTGAGGCAGAGTCTTGCTCTGTTGCCCAGACTCCTGGGGTACAGTGGCATGATCTCAGTTTACTGCAACCTCCACCTCCCTGGTTCAACTGATTCTCCTGCCTCAGCCTCCTGAGTAGGTGGGATTACAGGTGTGTGCCAGCACACCTAGCTAATTTTTTCATATTTTTAGTAGAGACAGGGTTTCACCATATTGGCCAGACTGGTCTCGAATTCCTGACTTCAAGTGATCCATCCACCTCAGCCTCCCACCCAGGCGTGAACCACCGTGCCTGGCCAAATGTTGCATGTGTTCTTACTGCTCCACTTTTCAGTACCCCCATAATTGTCCCTCTCCTTGGGCCTCCATATTCCCTGAGACACAACAATGTTGAAATTAGGTGAATTAATAACCCTACAATGGCATTTAAGAGTTCAAGTGAAAAAAAAAAAAAAGCTAGGCGCCTCTCACTTTAAATCAAAAGCTTGAAATGATTAAGTTTTGTGTGGAACTAAGACAGACTGAAAGCTAAGTCTCTTGTACCAAACAGCCAAGTTTCGAATGCAAAGGGAAAGTTCTTGAAGGAAATTAGAAGCGCTACTCGAGTGAACATACAAATGATTAGAAAGCAATACAGCCTTATTGCTGATATGGAGAAGGTTTTAGTGAACATTCAGAGGAGTTTGGAAGAAGTCGCTGACAATCTTCATGGATGACTTTGAGGGATTCAAGACTTCAGTGGAAGAACTAACTGCATATGTGGTAGAAATGGCAGGAGAACTAGAGTTCGAAGTGGAGCTGGAAGATGTGACTGAATTGCTGCCATATTATAATAAAACTTGAATGAATAAGGAATTGCTTCTTATGGATGAGCAAAGAAAATGGTTTCTTGAAATGGAATCTACCCCTGGTAAAGATGCTGTGAACATTGTTGAAATGACAACAAAATATTATAATATCACATAAACTGAGTTGATAAAGCAGCAACATGGTTTGAGTGGATTGACTCCAATTTTGAAAGAAGTTCTTCTGTGGGTAAAATGCTGTCAACCAGTATCACATGCTGCAGATAAATCTTTTGTGAAAGGAATAGACAATTGATGCAACAAACTTTATTGTTTTCTTCTTTAAAGAAATTGCTGGCCGGGCATGGTGGCTCACACCTGTAATCCCAGCACTTTCGGAGGCCAGCGTGGGCAGATCACCTGAGGTCAGGAATTCGAAACCAGCCTGGCCAACATGGCCAAATCCCGTCTCTACTAAAAATACAAAAATTAGCTGGGTGTGACAGGCCGGGCGTGGTGGCTCACACCTGTAATCCCAGCACTTTGGGAGGCCAAGGTGGGCGGATCACGAGGTCAGGAGATGGAGACCATCCTGGCTAACATGGTGAAACCCCGTCTCTACTAAAAATACAAAAAAATTAGCCGGGCATGGTGGCAGGAGCCTGTAGTCCCACCTACTCGGGAGGCTGAGGCAGGAGAATGGCTTGAACCTGGGAGGCAGAGCTGGCAGTGAGCCGAGATCGCGCCACTGCACTCCAGCCTGGGAGACAGAGCAAGACTCCATCTCAACAACAACAACAACAACAACAACAACAACAACAAAAATAAAATAAAATAAATTAGCTGGGTGTGGTGGTGCATGCCTGTAGTCCCAGCTATTTGGGAGGCTGAGGAAGGAGAATAATTTGAACCCAGGGAACGGAGGTTGCAGTGAGCCAAGATCACACCACTGCACTCCAACCTGGGTGACAGAGAGAGACTCTGTCTCAAAAAAAAAAAAAAAAAAGAAAAGAAACTGCCACAGCCACCCCAGTGTTCAACAATCATGTCTTGATTAGTCAGCAGCCATTAACATCAAGGCAAGACCTTCCACCAGCAAAAGATGATGACTTGCTGAAGCTCAGATAATTTTCATACTTCAGATATTGAATTTTTAATCCTAGAGCTCCATTTTTTTCTTTAATTTCTATCTCTATCCCCAAATTACCTGTCTTTACCCATTATATCTACAATTTCCTGTACATTCTTTAAAATATATACTATTATTATTTAAATATCTCATGGCAATTCTAAGATCTAAATTATCTAATACTTTATTTTTACTGACTATATTTTTTATTTAGAATACAATTTCCTGTTTATTCGTGCCGAATAATATTTGACTTCATATTAAACAATGTGCATGGTACTTTAAATAGAGTTTGGACCCATGATCTCTCTGTGAAGAGCACAGAGTTTGTTTTAGTAAGGAGTAAAATTAGTGGTGGATCACCTTCATTTTGTAGAATTTTTAAGCATTATCAATACCATACATGTATGCTTAATCCAGGAACGTGATGCTTACTTCTAGCTTTGGGTTCTTCTTTGTTTTCAGTGAAAGGCCTACTGTGTTTATTAGATCTCCTTAACTTAGTGGGATTTGATCTCAAACTTTATCACCCAAATGCTAGATAACTACCAAAATCTGCTCAGTTCTTGCAGCCTTCATGGTGAGTTTTGATGGAGTTTTGGGGGTCTTCCCACTGTGTTTTCAGTTCAGCATCAGCTGAGAATATTAAAAGAATATGTGGATTTTAGGATTTCTCTCCTTGCAGTTTTTTCTTTTCCTTAAAATCAGCATACATTTTCTGCCTCATGGAAGTCTTGAGCTCTGATCTTTCACAACTTAGGCCAGCAGAACTTCTGTTTTCTGCTTGTGCCTTATCTCCCATGCAGTACACAAACTAAAGCATGCCCCAGGATAAAAGCTGGATTTATACAGATCTCACCGAATTTATTTCTTTTTTCATAAGGTTGTTTCCTCACAAGGTTCTGTCCACTTTCGGCTGTTCTCTAATGCCTTCCAACAGTTTCATTTTTAAAAATATTGCTTTCCTAGACTTTATAAATATTTTTGGCAAGAGGGTTTGTGTGATACATGTTACTCTTCCTTCACTGAAATCCATCTGTGGGTAACGGGCTAAGAAAAACTTTTCCTTTCTGCATGATAATATGAGCTTTAGTTAGGTTTCTAGATCTCTTTCCCTAGAAACCTAAAATGGAAGAACATGTTATTAACAACATTGGTTAAAATTAAAATGATCACAGATTGGCAAATAGCATTTATACTGAGAGAGACTCTAAGTGAACAACAAGTGACTTACTGCAGCACTATACTGTTGGGCTTCCCTAAGGGTGATGATTCTTGTAACTGGGCGTGTGCTCCCAGGACCCCCATAAGTTATGCCTATGGGTTGTTACAATAAATTGTTTCCTGTGGAGAATGAGACTTTTAAGCCAGGCTGCCTCTTGAACTTGACAAATGTGAGTTTTTCTCACTTCGGAACTATCTCTGTGGGGCTGTGTGGACTGCTGTATGGATTGCTGTGAGGTCCACTCTTCTTGATAGAGAATGCTCAACACTGCCCACCCGAGAAGCTGCATGTCCTGTCCTGAATCCTCTTAAGTGAATCTGATGCCAACTAGACCCATTCTTTTTTGTGAATGAATGTGAAACTGAACCTAAAAAGATCTCCAGGTCTGCATTGCACCCATTCTCCTATACTGTTTTAAAATTGATTTTAAATGCTTGTGTATGACCATATACAGCATTTGAAATTGTGAAGATCAGAATCCTAAAATTATTATGTGTGTTTTAAATTTGAAAGCTATTTTCATTTTTATCTTTTTGTTTTGTTTTCACTACACATAGTGAAAACAAATAAATAATTGCTATAGTCATCCAAATGTGGCATTTATATAGGATTTTTAGATGAATATCTCTTTAGATAAGTGCCATATTCTTCACTATAAAATGTCATATTAAACATGCCCCTGTTCTATGAGAATATTTATGTGGAGAGTATTTATATAGATGCAAACATAACATGACTTCTATTTTTTCTAAGAAATAATTTTAGGAAAAAAATCTCTCTTATGCTTTGATATAAATACACTTCTATTTATTTCTTGGCATAATTAGAAAGTGTTTATTTTTTCCAGGAAATGAGAGGTTTATTAAAAGATAATCACATTATTCACTAAAAAGAATATATATTTGACTTTTCAAAAGTAAATTTAAAAATTCCTTTTATACATCTATAAACATCTGTGGAAACTTCAACTCCATTTTCTGTTCTATAGTCTCTGGCATACACCACAAATATGAAATAGCTTCACTCAAATGTACATTTTAATCTGCAATCTAAAATATTAATGTACAAAGACAAGGTGGAAGGTTAGTTACAGTGACTTTGTTTCAGACTTCTGATAATACGAAAATGTGCAGACATTAAACTCATTTATAGTTTGTATTCATAATTAAGATTGTAAGAATTTTATTTAACTCTCTTCAGTGTTTTTCCTGATATGGAGAGGTTTGGGTCATACTATATCTTTAGACACATGTGAGCTTCTGGGGCTGAATGGAAAATAAACTTGCTTGCTTAGAGTAGGAGGATGGGCAGGCAAAAAGAAGTTACAGCAATTTCTATTGGCTTACCAATGCTATTCATATATTGTTTTTATTATCTAGTTGGTTTGGGGTGAGTGGATGCTAGAGCACCTAGAAAAGGTCAGCTAATATAGTAAGTGACAACTGTTATTTTAAAAATTGTGTTGTGAAAATAGTCTAACTGTATTGATCATTCAGCTGCAGCGATGGCCATCCAGTGGACCATAAAGAAAAGTGTGTCATATTAAGGGGCGAGGCTTTAGATTTGGGCAGCATTGGTATTGGACAGAGCACTTCATTAAGTATTTGAAAAGAGAATGTTTTCATGGGAAGAGATTTTGTGTCTAGTGATGTTTTGAGTTAGTCATGCGATGTGATTTTCTCAGACAGTGATGCTACATGCAGTATTAAGTATTGAGGCAATGATAAAGACAAATCGGCCATAATCCTCACCACTGAGTGGTTTGCTATTGAAGGAGATACATGCACAAATGAACAAGGCATTTTTAGAGCACAACTGTGGAGTTGATTACTTCTACTTAATAGGAAGTCTTCTGAGAGGAGGTGGAATCCAGGGTTTATTAATGAAAGATCAGGCAAATAATTCACATGAATTCTAAGCATCATTCCAAGATATACCTGAAAATCTCATACAGCTGTTACTGAGAAGAAAATCTTTTACAACAGACAACACTTTTAACCCCCATAAAGATCTTTGTAAAGAAAGAAACTCCTTCAGGTATTCATTTTTTCAGCAAATATTTGGTCAACTAATATGTGCCAGGGACTACTATAAGTGTTGGAGATTTAGTGGAGAACATGGTAAGCACTCTGTCCTCATGCAACTTATATTCTAATGGGAGAGACAGGTGATAATTGGCAAGAAAAAAATGAATCATGATAAAATTCCAGATTCTGATGAATAAAATGAGTAAGAGAAGGCAGGGTAAATAGTTGAGGTCTACTTTAGCTAGAATAATCAGGGAACCCCCTTGGAAGAGAAGTCATTTGTAAATGAGCCTGAATCAGATGAGGAGACAGTCAAGTGAGGTCATGGGAAAGAGTGTTCCAAGTAGTGTGAACAACACATTTAAGGGTGTACTTACACTGCCTGACTTTCTACTTTTGTGCTGATAGTTTTGAACTTTTAACTTTGGAATCAATTAACCTTAAAACTTTAGATACTTCTTCTAAAAAGTTTTTTCCTAAGGCTTCTTTTCTTTTGGACTGGCAGCTCTTATACAAACAAAGTCATTTCTCTTTTGCACTAATTATCCTCTGTCTCTTAATCACTGACTAATTACCTCTATTTGAAACAGATTTTTTCAGTGTTCATGAAGAAGTCAGTGGGAGTGCTGTATGAATTAAATGTGCTGTTTCTTAGAGCATAACATAGCAACAGAAGAATTCAAGAAATGTCTGGCTTTCTTTTGTCCAAACTCAGCTATTTTGACAATTTTGCATATTATTATTCATTTCTGACTGATTCCACATTGAAACCACTAGAATAATTACATTAAAATAATTCACCTTATTTTGAAGCATGAATTTAATATTGTTTTTAAACCTAAAGGTGGTTATCTGTGATTTTCACAAGTTAGAGAACCAACAAGCTAGGAAATAAGAGATCATATCTATATTATAGGAAAATAAATGGGACTTTGTGAAAGTGTTTTTTTTTCTTATTAGAGGGAGGAATTGAACATTGAAAGTTATACTTTTCAATAATTATATTGTTTATATTTAATCATAGATTTTTTAAAATGTTCGAAGTAAATATGTGAATGTTTTAGATAAACAGATACTTAGCCTATAAATAATTAAAATATGTATCTGTAAGGACTGCTATTCTAACAAAATATTAAATCAAATATAAGTAAGACACATAGCCATAGTCCTAATCATAAAATTATGAAACCAAAATGTATGAGTGGGAAAATATATGGAATCATCTAATAAAAATGTTTTCAATATAATGATTTCTTTACCTAATTTTCTCCTACCTTACCAGTCCGAAAAGACATTTTGGATTCCTCAAAGTGTCTAGGTCAGATCAAGGCTGAAATTCTAATAGGTTGATCTGTGCGGTTATTTAATACCATCCATAAATCCTTTGTGTGTTCAAGGAGACAGGCTAACAATACTACTTCAGAAACTGAAAACTGCTTAAATTAGATGGGAGGTTCAGGAGTTGTTAGAACAGCTACCCTGTTACATTCCCAGAAGTCTTATAGGATGTTTCCTGAACATTGTTCACATTGGCAATTCATTTGTAAAAATATGTTTTGTTTGTTTTATAGAGGTGGGGTCTCACTATGTTGCCCAGGCTGGTCTCGAACTTCTGAGCTCAAGCCATCCACCTGTCTCAGTGTCCCAAAGTGCAGGAATTACAGATGTGAGCCACTGTGCCTGGCCAAAATCTCTTTTTGATGGAAGAGAAATCTCAGAGGAGAGCCCTGGTAAGAGAGGCAATTGGAATTTAAAAGCCAATTGCCTCAAGTAAGGAAAACAGTATGACAGACTGGGTCAGGCTCAGCATCATTGCGTGGAAGGTGCTGTCAACACAGGGCAAGAAATTGTGCTCAACTATGCCCTCCCTGGCCACTCCAGTAATCACATGATTGAATATGCTCTTGTGCAAGCTGTAAGCCATTTCTATTTTGGGGAAAGGAGAAGTTTCAAGTATAGAGGAACACATTCTGTCATTAAAAGCTCTGCCTGTTGGAAACGCTATTGGCACTAAACAATAGAAAAATTAGACGAACAAGAAATGAATTAGTCTCAAACAATAAGGAGTCTAGAGTTACATAGTCCAAGACTAATGCAATGGCTCATTGATATGTTTAGGAAGCCAGGATCTTTCCATCTTTTTTGTACTTCATCCTAAGAATATATAATTTTGTTTTTATGCTTTTGGTCTCATGGTAGCAACAAGACCATTGTACCTCCTGAATCTCATCTAATTTCAAACAAAAAGAATGAAGAAGAGAAAAAAAGCTGAAGGCTGAATTCTTTCCTGAAAGCTCCACCCACTGGGGATGGATTGCAATTTTCTTGTAATCTTTCTTTCCTTAAAGCTCCACCCATTGGAAATTTCAAAGTACATCTATAGGCTCTGAACAGGGTCATTTGGTCACAGGAACACCCTTAGCGATAAAGGAGTATTTGGTGTTCAGTTTAGTTGTGTATTTTCCTGTTCTGTTATTAAGGAAAAAATTGAGAAAGGATTTTGGATAAGCATTGAGTGATATTTTTTGAAATGTGACCAGAAGCTCTACAGTTCTACAGTTCTTTGACAAAGCCAACTTGAGACACAGAAGGAAAGGCATTCCCCCACTGACTGAAGAGAGGTGTATTCAGGCTCAATGCTTTAGAGGAGTCATCAGCAGTATAGGTAATGGCAGTGGCCCAAGGGTTGTGATGATTAGCAGAGGTCCAGAGGTCCCAGACTGCAGTCAGACCAGAGATTGACCTTGGGTAATACAGTGACAATGAACAGTAGAGTCAAAAGGGGGCGTTGACAGTGGACATCAGGGCAGAGAGACAGCAAAGTGGAAGCTAATAACTCATTGGATGCGTGATCTTCTTCCATACTCACTCAGGTGTTCCAGAATAAAATCATGCTAACTCAGGTTTCAGAGACTTGTGGGGGTGTAGAGTGAACATTCTCTTTTTTGAGAATTTTTAAGAATATCTTAAGAAGTAGATTCTAGGCAAACACTTGTCTTTTAGCTAGTTGAGTGAAAGAAGGCTTGATGTGCTGATATCTGAGGTATTGCTAGAAATGTGGCATATTTGTATTAATTTACAGGTTGATCCTAGGACATTCTATTTCATATAAAATAATAAATTATTTTATTAATTTAACAACTTTGTGTTTTGTTACTTTGCCTTTAATCTTTCATCAGTAATTTTTCCTTCATATCAAAGATGCTGATATTTTTCATATATAACAGTTATATTCCTAGCGAAGTAAACAAAACTAATATAATTAAAAAGAGATAAAGAGCCAAGCTCACTACTGTTACCATTAGCTAATATTTGTTGAGCAATTACCATATTCTCTGTATCTTGATAAACACTTTATATGTATTTTTATTTGATCCTTGGAACAACCCTGAGAAGTGTGTTTTATTAGTAACATTGCTTTACAGAGGTAAAAACTTAAGTTTTGAGAGACTAAGTAATATGCCACAGCTATGACTCTGCCAAAATATGGACTTTGTATTTGAACCTAGGCATTCTGGTCCTGGTTAACTGCCTCCTAATATGGATGGTTAGCAATATGACTGTAAGTAAGACTTTTCTCCTACCGCTAATACCAGTGCCACATCTCCAGCAATTTGTAGCACAGGGCTGTTTGATTCTATTTCTTTGCAATTCTCTAACTCAGAGTCATTACTAGGCTCTCCATAAGCATAGCATTTTATTTTCTCCTCAACAGCTTATTACTGCTATTTAAAATTTTTATTAACTTGGTTAACACAACATCAAGCCATACCATTTCCTATATTTGACTTACTGGTGTTTACAGCCAGGATAATTACTCAGAAGCAATATGGCTGGATTAAAAATATTTTGCTGAGTTTGAAAGTCAGTGTTTCATGTATAATATATACACTGTAACAGTATCTTTTAAAATAATTTTTTGCTTCGATTGCTACTGAGTTATGAGGGTTTTCTTCATTTTCTTTTTATTAAAAAATAACTTGAACAAATATAAGGAGGACATTAAGTACTGCCTCAATGTAACTGTTATTGGCATGTTGGTTTTAGGACTTTTTTAAATATATGGAAGGGATGGGCATTTCATGCATAATAATGTAATACAAAAAATCAGAGTTTCATTATTGGGACTTGATGTATGTATCTTTTGTCTGAAATCCCTATTTCTTCCTAGGCCTAAGTCACACACAGAGGCAGTTTTGTGAAATGCATTGTGCTTATGATATATGTGAAGCAGCTAGCACAGTGGATGAGCTAGCAAGTGCTGGGGAGAGAGATCGCCTTCCTTTAATGACTGTTCAGCTTTTAATGGTGGTGTCACCTTGGACAAGTTTTGTAACCTCTTGTGTCTTCAACTGAGTTATTTGTAAAATAGGGATAAAAATAGTAACTACCGAAAGGGTTATTGCAAAAGTTAAATTATTTAATCAATGTAGGACATTTGGAGGAATGTTAGGTACAAAAGCTATGCAATAAATTCTACCTATTATTATACCAAGAAAACCCAATTTTGATCTTATAAAAACGGTTAACCTTTCTGCCTGTTGGGCCTTCCTGAGTGCATATCATAAATCAGGAAGAAATGATAGCCTTCGTGCTCCATACTGGCCTGTATTTCACCATGTATCCTTATGTTTTTCTTCAACTTAATTATTTAGGTAGAATGATACTTATAATCCAAAGTTCTCAAGATCTTGCCTGATATGTGCTTGGATTGCATTACAATAAAAGCATAATGTGTTGAATCAAGATAAAGAAAAAGGTCTCTCAAAGGCAAATTAGATGAAGAGAGTTCAAGAATCTTGACTACAATCCTTAGGTATGGTTCACCTAATCTAAATATCCATCTTGGAGGAATTCTTTAAGCTGTTACTTTCTGAGATAAAAAGATTGGATCCACACTCTGGAAAGTTAATATTGTATTGTGACTATGATTACAAGTGACAGAAGTCAATATAAGCTAAGCTGAAGGAAAAAAATAAATTATGTAGCATTGTTTGTTATATGAATATATCATCTTGCAGAACCAAAATTTGGCAGGAATGTACCTGGTCCTCACCAGAGACTACTAGGAGGAAGCAGGCAGCTTTCAGGAATTTAAGACACTCTCTCTCTTACTCTCAACTTGTGTTCTGCCCATCTACATCAGCTTAATTCTCCTTCCTCAGCAGACCAGCTTTCTCTGGATCGCTGGTCTGCTGGTGGGAGGACCCACAACAGAGAGGATAGATGATTACCCATGGTTTACAAATTTGCACACTATGTTCTGTACACATAGTGTAACTGTAATTCTGTCTCTTACCTTAATTCCAGGTTCCCAGATGAAGCATTCTGATTGGCACAGCTTGGTCAGAAGCCCACTGAGGAGGTCAAGGGACAGGGCCATAGTAGAGAGAAAAAAAAGTTAAGGCAGTTGTTTCAAATTAAATGAATGGCTCAACAAATTATATAAAAGTGATCTACTACACATATGCAAAACATTATAAAAATTTACCACCAGGTTTTGATACAATAATCTAATGGACCTTCTCATGATGGAATGGTGGAATATTTTAGCTTAAAAGAGCTAAGAAAATATCTTGAGTCAGTCTGGATTTTTTGACATTATTCAAGCTTTGCTTATTTCCTGTTTGCCTTGGGCTCCTCTTATTTTTTGCTGGGTTTTTTTTTTTTTTTTACATCAGGGCTCCTATGGTACAATTTGCAGGAAATTAATATTTTTTGTATACATGTTTGTTCAAATTTATTTTAAATACCATGTCTTTATCAACAATAATGCTATGGAGATTTTGCTCTAATCAAATTGACAAAATGCCCACCAGTAGTTACTTATCTGTAATATTTACAGCTCTCTCCAACTTCTTAATGTCATTCTGAATTCCTGATTTAAACAAAATCTATTTGTATGACTCCGCTTCTTCCGCCTGTATCTTGACTCTTAATGTTCTTTGGCAGCTCTTTCTGAATTGAGCCTATGCTTCTACTAAAGGAAAAGTATTTGAAAATGTTTTGAGAAAAAGAACAGCTGCTCTTTCGTGTCTGTAGCAGTCAGGATACAGGCGAGAAGGAGATGACACACTCAAACTAGGTAACTGAAGGCAAATAAAGGTATTATTTACACTGGAAGATGACAACCAGGAATGGTGCAGCATCTGATGGCAAAGAGGGTCAATATCACTTACAGGCTTGAAGTCAAAAGAGGAAGGAAGAGTTAGTGGAACCTGGAGAGAAAGCTCTATGAAGACCCCAGTGACCTGAGAGGAAGGGAGCCAGGGAATAAACAGAACTTTGCTCCCCTCCTGCACTATGATCTTCTGCTAGCACTATGATTTGATCCAATGGAACCCAGGTGGCAGGTGAGTCAGTTGATGCAGTTCATAGAGGCTGACGTTTGTTCAGGGGACAAAACAGTGGAGAAGGGGCAAAGGATCTGGAGGAGCAAGTGAAATATTTCCAGTCCAGGATTGAAATGTAAAACCACGTGCACTCTTTTCCTTGTCATTTCTTCCCCCACAATATCTAAATTGTCAGAAACAGAAATCATGTTGTATTTAATACGTTACCTACACAAACAGATATTAGCCTCATTTGATAAGTTTTATATACTACAAATGGTAATTATTACTTGATTATGTTGACTTTAGGCATCTGAATCTTCACATCTGAATGTAGATACATTACCTGGAAAGATCCTTTAACTTTAGGATACATGCAGTTGGCAAAACATGATGCTAAACCCACATTGTGTGCTCTTTGATAGGCACATAGTGTCATAACTTTGTGTCTCTAAAGTGAGGGCTCTGTGAATGGTCTCTTCTGCTTCAGCCCTGATTTTGCTCAGTCAACATTCTTTGATGAGGTAATAGCAGGATCATTGATAATATTCTTTTTTTAAAAAAATTTTATTATACTTTAAGTTTTAGGGTACACGTGCACAATGTGCAGGTTTGTTACATATGTATACATGTGCCATGTTGGTGTGCTGCACCCATTAACTCGTCATTTAGCATTAGGTATATCTCCTAATGCTATCCCTCCCCCCTCCCCCCACCCCACAACAGTCCCCTGAGTGTGATGTTCCCCTTCCTGTGTCCATGTGTTTTCACTGTTCAATTCCCACCTATGAGTGAAAACATTGATAATATTCTTGCTTCTCCCTAGTGGGAAGATTCAGTTTCTTTTTGGAGTTTAAGCTGAAAACAAATCTACATTACGCAGCACCATGAAACTTTTTGTGTAGTGTAGAAGGGTGTTGCTATTTAATCAATTCAAGCCCATAGTGTTTCTATATAATGCTATGAAATATCCATCCCCTGCTCTCTCCATCTTAACCAATTAAGGAGTTCACCGGAGGTCCTATTTAATCAGTTATGCTGAACACTATCGGAGCTATGCAAGCTCTTGCAACAGAGCATAAATTCAGGTAGGCAAGGAGATGCATTTTCAGGAGTGTTCTGGTGTTTATTTCTTTGGTTTATTATGGGTCACGACCTGCAGTTATGACCATATTATCACAATAAGAATAATTTCAGGGGCCCCAACAGGGGGGTAGATAGTTGGGAATCTCCAGGAATTATGAATAGCATATTCTATTCTGCAGTCTTCTGTTATTTTGTTATTAATTGGTGGTTACTGACTTCCTATTGTTAGAAGAAACTCATGCTATATGCTGGTCTTGTTCTCTTAAGAAGAAAGTGAGTGGACTCTTCATCATAAGATCACAGTTCCATTTTTCATGAGCTGCTGGCTACATAAATTATTTTGGGATGTTTCCCATGACAGGCACATTTAGTGAATTAATCACATACAAAGGAAAGAAGTAACCTGCAATATTTTTCATAGATATGTAAGATAAAACAGAGAGAAGGTACGGAGATTTCTCCTGTACTCTGTGCCCCCATACATGTCCAGTCTTTGCTATTCGTTACATCCCTCACCAGAATAGTACATTTGCTACAATCGATGAACCTACACTGACTCATCATTATTATCCAAAGTCCATAGTTTACCTTAGGGTTCATTGTTGATGGTGTGTATTCTATGGATTTGGATAGATGTATCGTTTTATATATATATGTATGATAAATACGTAATATATAATATAACATATTAATAATATATAATATATGTATTATAATACATACCATGATATTATTTAGAGTAGGTTTACTGCCCTAAAAACTCTCTGTGCTCCACCTGTGCATTCTCTCACCCCCAATCAGCTGGCAATCACTAATCTTTTTACTCTTTCCATAGTTGTTGCCTTTTCCAGAACGTTACATAGTTGGGGTCATACATACTTTTCACACACAAAACACAAAAAACACTAATCAAAAATTGAAACATTCTTACATTGGACTTCACCACCACCGAGAGCAACCCCTTTCTGATTTCTATCAGTCTGTATTTCTTTTTGTTTTAAATATATATGTAAGTTAATTATATGGTATATATTGTCTAGTGTCTGGCTTTTTTTGTTTAAATGTCTATGAAATTTATCTGTATTATCATGTGGCATGCATCTGCCACAACATCTTTTGATACATTCTCCTATTGATGGACATTTGAGTTATTTCCAGTTTGAAGCTATTGTGCCCATATTTATTTGTTTGTTAGTATTTTTGCTGTTGAATTGCAAGAATTATTAATATATTCAGTATACAACTGCTTTTTCAGACATATGTAAAGAGAATATTTTTCCCACTATGTAGTTTTTACATATTGTTTTAATGTGGTTTCTTGAGAAAAAGAGTTTTTAAAGTGAAGTCAAATGTATAGATTGTAAAAATTTTTGATTAGTGTTTTTGTATTTGTTCAAATAAATCTTTAGGTCAGAATACTTTATTTTCCTCATAGTCCATAAAGCTTGTGGTGAGTTACAGTATTTTATTTGCTATCAGTTATTTATTTCTTCTGTCTTTTTTGTAATATGATAAATCTCTCTAGAGGTCTATGAATTCTATTAGGTTTATCAAAAACACTACTATTACTTCCATTGATTTTTCTCCATTATTTATCTATTTCTTTGAGTAATGAAATAATTCACTTCTATCTTTATTACTTCCTTTCTCCTACTGACTTTGGTTTTAATTTGCTTTTCTCTAGTTTCTTAGGGTGGGAGTTTAGATGGTAAATTTTTACCTCTTTTGTGGTTTCCAAGTATCTGAACTATAAGTATTTTCAAGCTATATATGTTCCTTTAAGAAATATGTTCACTGTGTTCTCCACATTTTGTTGCATTTTATAATTCTTCAATTAATATGTTTTCCAATTTCTCACATGAATTCTTCTTTTATCCATGAGTTATTTGGAAGGCTGTGCTTTATTTTCCAAATAGTTGGAATGTCTACATATCTTATTGTTATTGATATCTAATTTAATACAGTTGTGATCAGAGAATATACTCTCTATGATTTCAATTTTTTGATAATTATTGATACCTTTTATAGCTGAATATATACTTTACTTCGGAAAATATTTATGAGCACTTGAAAGAAGTATGCATTATGCAGTTAGTGGTGTGTAGTGATCTGCAAAGACAATTAGGTCTTTTAGGGCTAACTCTTCTTTATTTGTACCGATTTTAAAAAATCAATTTCTCCTATCCATTACTGAAAGATATGTGCTATAATCTCTAACTATAAATGTAGAGTTTTCTACTTCTTTTAATTCAGTCAATTCTTGTATATTTTGAATTTCTGTTAGGGCATAGACATTTAGTCTTGCCATTTGTTCTTGATAGATTAATTCTAGTGTTATTATATGACACATCTTTCCATGTCTATGTCTTTAAGTCTATTTTGTCTTACATTAATGTAGCTAAGCCAGTTTTCTTCTACTTAATCTTTGTATTGCATAGGTTTTTCTGCCTTAATTTTTTAACGCATCAATGTCTAAATTCAAAGTGTCCTTATTTTAAAACATGCTTTCTAATACTTCAAGCACACTTTAAACACACAGTTGGCTACTCTTAGATTTTAATTGAAAAGTTTGCTCCATTTACATTCAGTATAATAATTAATGTATTGGGTTCAAGTCTCCCAACTTGGTATTGATTGCATATTTATCGTATTTGTTTTGTTCATCTGTTCAGGTATTCTGTTATTTTCTTCGGTAAATTAAATATTATGAATATATTACTTTATATTCTATATTGATATTTTAACTAAACTTCTTTGTGTTATTTTTTCAGTAGTTGCTTCTGTCTTTAAGTTAGAGCATTAAATATTATTATACTACTGAATAGACATTTTAGAAACTTAGGGTAGCATGATTTTATTTACTCTCTTGCTCTATTCCTTCTTACAGAATTGGAGACCCACCTAGTGCTATTTTTTTCTTCAGACTAAGATTTTTTTGTTTTGTTTCGTTTTGTTTTAGTATTTCTTTAGTACAGGTATATGAAGATGCATTCTCTCAACTTTTTTCATTCTAAGGTTGTCTTTATGTTGCTTTAATTTTTGAAAGATATATTCAATGGATGTAACATTTTAGATTGAAACTTTCTTTTCTCTAGCATTTTGAAGATTTATTTGTATTGCCTTGCCTTCTTGCCTCCATTATTTTAGTTAAGAAAGTCATCATGCATAATACTTTGCCCTTGTGGATAGTGTGCCATTGTCCTCTGGGTGCTTTTAATGTTTACATTTTATCTTTGGTTTTTGGTGTTTTCATTATAATGTGCTTAGGTGTGCTTTTGTTTGTTGCTGTTTTTGGTGGGGCGTGTGGGGTCGCTATGTTACCCAGGCTGGAGTGCAGTGGCTTTTCACACCTGTGATCATAGCCACTGCATCCTCAAACTCCTGGCCTCAAGTGATTCTCCCATGTCAGCCTTTCCAGTAAAGTGTAGTTTTCTTTTTATTTGCTCTGATTGAGGTTAAATAAGATTCTTGGATTTGAGGATTATCAGTGTTTTTAAGTTGGGAATTAGCTCTTCAAATATTTCTGCCACACCCTCTTTTTAATTTAGGTATTTTAATTAAAATGTTAGATTATTTGAATTTGTACTACAAATCTCAAATCTGTATTTGGTACAACAAAAAAATAGATGACAATGGAGACTAAGATACATTATTTTTACCTTTAGAAAGTCAGACTGCTAAACTGGGAGCAAAAAAAAAAAGATGATCTGTAGTTTGCTGGTTTTTTGAAGTTTAAGTTTGATTTATTTCAACACTGGCTTCAAATGTTTTGAAAATGGGATCAGGACTTTCTGATACAGGCTTTAGGTTCTAAGCACTGCTGTGATTTCAGAGATCTGCTTGTGCTTCACAGAAAAACTGCCAATTTTTGGAACTGTGGGGTATCTCTCCATGCATTGTAACTCAGCATCCAGGTTTTTTATTTGCTGAGATGTTCTCTTTGCTCTCCCATCTTGTTCCCTATGTTCCATGCCTCAGACTTCTCTTTAGCACTGTTGTGACTTCGTCTAAATTGAGCAGGTAGTGGCCCTGTAGCTTGTAAAAGCCTCGAATGCCTTTGTCTTGGCTCACATCCCCTAACCTCTCAGTCTTTGTAGTTGAAAGCCTGAATTTTTTCAAGGAGTTTCACTCTTACCTGCTGTGGGCCTCCCAAAATTGAGTGCTCAGAATGCCTTTAATGAATATTCTTGAACTCTCCTCTCCTGTAACCCCTTGCTTCTGAGGGGTGCTTGTGCTTGGTGGAACCTCCATGTACTCTGGAGGAGTGTCTCTTGGTTATCAATCTTAGCCCTCATTTTTAAAAACAGTTTTACTGACATATGAGTGAAATGTATGTGACATACACTAAAACAAACATCTTTAAAGTATGTAATTTGGTAAGCTTTGATATATGTATACAGTACCACAACCATCACCATCACTACCACCACCAAGACAATGAACATTCTGTTACTCCCAACAGTTTCCTTGTACCCCTTGGTATTTCCTACCTTGTGCCTTTTCTTTCTCCACTATCCCTGTGTCCAAACAACTACTGATCTACTGTTTTTATGCATCACTATAGATTAGCTTATATTTTGTAAAAATTTATGTACATGAAATTACACAATATGTACTCTTTTTATTTCATGGAATCTGGCCTCTCACTCAATAAAATTGTTTTAAGATTTATTCATGTTATTCCATATATAAATAGTATTTTAATTTTAATTGTGATTAGTATTCATTTTATCCATTAAGCTGCTGCTAGACATTCTGTTTTTTTCCAGCTTTTGGTTACCACAATAAATCTGCTCTGAATATTTTTTTCTAGACATACTGTCATTTTATTGGGTGTATATATAGGACTGGAATGTCTGAGTCATTTGGTGTGTGCATGTTTACCTTTTTAGGAAAGTTCTAAATTATTTTCCAAATTGGTTGTACCATTACATTTCTACCGTCAGTGTATGAGAGTCCCTGTTCCTTCACATCCCCAACAACATGTTGTATTGTTGGTCTTTTTAATTTTAGTTAATCTAATGGTTAGTTAAGGTAGTTATATCTCATTGTGGTTTCAATTTGCATTTCTCAGAAGACTAATGATGTTGAACATATTTTCACATGCTTATTTGCTACCTTTTTATTTTACTTGGTAATTTATCTTTTGTACATTTTATTATTGTACTGTTCATTTCTTTTTTTTTTTTTTTTTTTGGGACGGAGTCTTGCTCTGTCGCCCAGGCTGGAGTGCAGTGGCGTGATCTTGGCTCACTGCAAGCTCTGCCTCCTGGGTTCACGCCATTCTCCTGCCTCAGCCTCCCGAGTAGCTGGGACTACAGGCTCCTGCCACCATGCCTGGCTAATTTTTTGTATTTTTTAGTAGAGACGGGGTTTCACCGTGTTAGCCATGATGATCTCGATCTCCTGACCTCGTGATCCGCCTGCCTCGGCTGTGGTGTTCATTTCTTATTGCTAGGTTTTGAGAGTCATATATTCTGAAAAACAGTAATTTAGCAGGTAAGTGATTTGAAAACATTTTCTTCAGATGTATGCCTTATTTTTTTATTTTCTTAAGAGTGTATAGCAAAGACTTGGAACCAACCCAAATGTCCAACAATGATAGACTGGATTAAGAAAATGTGGCACATATACACCATGGAATACTATTCAGCCATAAAAAATGATGAGTTCATGTCCTTTGTAGGGACATGGATGAAATTGGAAATCATCATTCTCAGTAAACTATCGCAAGAACAAAAAACCAAACACCGCATATTCTCACTCATAGGTGGGAATTGAACGATGAGATCACATGGACACAGGAAGGGGAATATCACACTCTGGGGACTGTGGTGGGGTGGGGGGAAGGGGGAGGGATAGCATTGGGAGATATACCTAATGCTAGATGACGAGTTAGTGGGTGCAGCGCACCAGCATGGCACATGTATACATATGTAACTAACCTGCACAATGTGCACATGTACCCTAAAACTTAAAGTATAATAATAAAAAAATAAAAATAAAAAAATTTTAAAAAAAAGAGCAGAAGTTCTTAGTTTTGATGAAGTTCAATGCTTCTGTTTTTTTCTTTATGGATTGTACTTTTCTTGTCATATACAAGACATCTTGACTTATCCTAACGTCACAATGATTTTCTTATTTTCTTTTAGAAATTTTATAGTTTGGGGCACTACATTTAGATTGATGATTGATTTTTAATTAACTTTTGTGTCTGGCATGAGATGTGCATTAAAATTTATATTTTAAGAAGGATATTTAATTCTTCCGCTACCATATGTTGAAAAGACAACCCTTTCACCCTTCGGTTGCCTTCATACCTATATCGAAGATTATTTGACCATATATGCATGGATCTATCATGGGGCTCTCTATTCTGTTCCATTTATTTACTTCTCTACTTTTAGACCAAACCACACTGAGTTGATTACTGTAGCTTAATAAAATCTTGAAATTGAGTGATTTAAGTCTTCCAACTTTGTTTTTTTGGTTTGGTTTTCTTGAAAGGCTGTTTTGGCTATTCAGATATCTTGGCATTTCCATATGAATTTTAGAATTAGCTTCTTAATTCTGAGAAAAAAACAAATAAACAAAAAACCCTATGAGAATGTTGAATGGCATTTCATTGTAATCATTTTTTGGAGAACTACATCTAAGCAACATTGAGCATTATGATCCATGAATACATTATCGCACTCATTTTCTTTAAGTCTCCTTTAATTTTTCTTGGAAATATTCCCTAATTTTCAGTATACAAGTCTTGCAAATTGTATCAGATTTAACTTTATATATTATTTCTTTATTTGTTTACATTATTTTTATTTAATTGTGGCCCTACTGTAAATGGTAATATTTTCCACATTTTATTTCCAATTGTTGATTGTCAGTATACACACATATAGTTGATTTTCATATTTTTATCTTACGTCTTCCCAGCTTGCAAAACTCACTGAATATTTTGTATAGCTTTTTTTTGTAGATTCTTAAGAGTTTTCTAAGCATGATAATGTTGTATGACAATAAATTTGGTTTTTACTTCTTTGAATCTCAGTGACTTTATTGCTTTTTCTTGGGTTATGGCTTCGTTTAGGAGATTCTTTGCCATGTTGAATAGAAGTGGTAGGGGTGGATACTCTTACCTGGTACTTAACTATAGGGGAAGACTTCAGTCATTCCCATTGGGACGTTAGCTATTGTATTAGTCCATTTTCATGCTGCTGCTAAAGACATACCTGAGATTGAGCAATTTATAAAAGAAAGAGGTTTAATTGAAGTACAGTTCACGTGGCTGGGGAAGTCACACAATCATGGTGGAAGGTAAGGAGGAGCAAGTCGCATCTTATGTGGATGGTGACAGGCAAAGAATGAAAGAGCTGGTGCAGGGGACTGTCTCTTTTTAAAACCATCAGATCTCATGAGACTTATTCACTATCACAAGAACAGCAGGGGAAAGACTTGCCCCTGTGATTCAATTATCTCCCACCAGATCCCTCCTGCAACACATGGGAGGGAATTCAAGATGAGATTTGGGTGGGGACACAGCCAAACCATATCAGCTATAAATTTTGTCATAATGTACTTTTCCCAGGTCAGAAACATTTCCTTTACTCCAGTTTGTTCAAACTTTTTATCTTGAAATAAGATTAAATATTGGTCACATTTTTTCTTCATCTATGAGATGATTAAATTATTTTTCTTCTTTAGTCTATTGATATTACAGATTATTTTATTGAATGCTTTTCTTTTATTGATGTTCATTTATACTTTTGATATTTTAATTAATTAATTAATTGATTTTTAAAAATTGATACATAATAGCTGTACATATTTTCATGGTCTATGTGATAATTTGATGCATTCATATAAATAATAAAATTAGGGTGACTGGGAAATATATCACCTTAAATATTCACCATTTCCTTATGTTATGGACATTCGAATTATTCTCTTCTAGCTATTTTGAAATGTACAATCAATTAATGTTAACTGTGGTCATTCAACTAATCTAATGAACACCCAGTCTTATCTATTTTATATGTATATTTGAAGCCATTAAGCCTCTCTGTACCTACCTCCCCACTTCCCATGCTAGCCTCCTATAACCACCAATTACTCTGTATCTTCATGACATATGGTTTTTTAGCCTCCAGATACAAGTGAGAACATGTGGTATTTGTTGCACTTAGCATAATGACCTTCACTTCCATCCATCTAGCTGCAAATGAGAGGATTTCATTCCTTTTATGGCTGAATAATATTTCATTGTGTATATATACCACATTTTCTTTTATCCATTAATCCACTGATGGATACTTAGTTTGATTCCATTTTGTCTATTGTGAATGATGCTACAATAAACATGAAAGTGCAGCTATCTCTTCGATATATGGATTTCCTTTTTTTCTTTTTTTGGATACATACCCAGTAGTGGAATAGCTGGATCACATGGTAGTTCTATTTTTAGTTTATTGAGGAACCATCATACTGTTTTCCCTAGTGGCTGTACTAACATTCCCACCAATCATATACTAGGCTTTCCCTTTCTCCATATTTAAGCCAGCATCCATTATTCCTTGTGTTTTTGATAAAAGAAATTCTAACTGGATTGAGATAATGTTTGATTGTGGGTTTGATTTGCATTTCTCTGATAATAAGTGATGTTGAGCATTTTTATCTGTTAGCAATTTGCATGTCTTCTTTTGAGAAATGTCTATTCATGTATTTTGCCCTTTGTTAAATCAGATTTTTTGTTTGTTTTGCTATTGAGTCATTTGAGCTCCTTATATCTGGTGGTTATTAATCCCATGTCAAATGGATAGTTTGTAACTATTTTCTCCCATTTTACAGGTTGTCTCTTCACTTTGTTGATTGTTTCTTTTCCTTTGCAGAAACTTTTTAGTTCAATGTGATCCCATTTGTCTATTTTTGCATTGATTGCCTGTGCTCTTGAGGTCTTATGCAAAATAATTTTGCTCAGATCAGTGTCCTGAAGTATTTTTGCAACATTTTCTTCTAGTAGTTTTATAGTTTTGAGTCATTTGTTTAGAACTTAAATCCACTTTGAGTTAATTTTTGCATATAGTTAGAGACAAGGGTCTGGTTTCATTTTTCTGCAGGTGATTATGCAGTTTTTCAAGCACCATTTATAAAGTGACTGTCCTCATTGTGTGTTCTTGGTAACTTTATCAAAAATGACTTGGCTGTAAATGCTTGGATTTATGTCTGGATCCTCAATTATGTTCCATTGATCTATGTGTCTATTTTTATGCCAGTACCATGCTGATTTGGTTGCTATAGCATTGTGATATATGTTGAAGTCAGGTAGTCCGATACTTCTAGCTTTGTTTTGCTCAGAATTGTTCTGGCTATTTGGGGCCTTTAGCATTTCTTTATAAATTTTAAAGTTGTTTTTCTACTTCTGTGAAGAATGTCATGGTATTTTGCAAGGATTGCATTGAATCTGTAAATTTCTTTAAATATTATTGTCATATTCCATACAATATTAATTATTTTAATCCATGAGCATGGAATATATTTCTGATTTTTTTGTCCCTTTCAATTTCTCTGATAAGAGAAATTGAAGTTTTCTAGTTTTTCTGGTATAAATCTTTTACATCTTTGAATACATTGATTCATAGGAAGTTTATATTTTTTCTAGCTATTGTAAATGGGGTTAGTTTTTTTTTAGACTTTTTGCTGTTGATATATGTAAGTGTGACTGATTTTTGTATGTTGACTTTGTATCCTGCAACATTGCTACATCCATTTATCAGTTCTAACTTTTTTTGGTGGAAACTTTAAGTTTTTCAAAATGTAAGATCATGTTGTCTGTATACAAAGTTGATCAGATATCTTCTTTTCTAATTTAGATGGCCTTTATTTCTTTTCCTTATGTAATTTCTCTGTCCAGTACTTCCAGTATTTTGCTGAATAAAAGTGGTGAAGAGTTGGGCATCTTTGTCTTGTTGAGGATCTTGGAAGAAAGACTTTCAGTTTGTCCCCCATTCAGTATGATGTTGGCTATGGATTTGTTATTTATGGCCTTTATTGTTATTATTATTATTATTTTGAGATAGGGTCTTGGTCTGCCACCCTGGCTGGAGTGCAATGGTGTGATCATGGCTCACTGCAGCCTTGACCTTCCAGGCTTAAGTGATCCTCCTGTCTCAGCCTCCTGAGTAGCTGGGACAACAGATGTTTGCCACCACAAAGTTTTTGTAAAGATGAGGCTTCAGTATGTTGCTCAGGCTGGTGTCAAACTCATAAGCTCAAGCAATTCTCCCACTTCGGCCTCCCAAAGTGTTATAATTGCAGGTAAGAGCCACTGCACCTGGCCTGGCCTTTACTATTTCGAAGTATGTTTCTTATATACCCAGTTTGTTGAGAGTTGTTTCCACAAAGGAACATTGAATTTTACCAAACACATTCTCAGTGACTATTGAAATGATCATATGTTTTTTGTTCTTAATTATGTTAATGTGATATGTTACATTTATTAATTTGCATATGGTGAATATCCTTGCATTTCTGGGAAGAAACCACTTGATCACGGTGAGTAATCTTTTTAATTCAGTTGTTGAATTCAGTTGGCCAGATTTGCTGAGGATTTTTGTATCTATGTTTATCAATGATATTGGCCTTGCCCTTATCTGGTTTTGGTATAAGGGTAATGCTGACCTCAAGGAATTAGTTTAACAGTATTACGTCTCTTCAATTATTTTGAAGAGTAGACTTGGTATTATTAGTTCTTCTTTAAATGTTTAACACAATTTAGCACTGAAGAAATCAGGTCTGGGATTTTCTTTGGTGGAATACTTTTTACAACTTCAATCTTGATACTCATCATTGCTTCACTGAGGTTTTCCATTTCTTCATGGCTTAATCTTGGTAGGTTGTATGTGTCCAAGAATTTATCCATGTCTTGTAGGTATTCAAATTTGTTGGTATATAGTTGTTCATAATAGTCTCTAATGACCCTTTGTATTTCTGTGGTCTCAGTTATGTCCCCTTTTTTGTGTCTGAATCTATTTGAGTCTTCTCCTTTCAGTTTCTTAGTCCATCTAAAGGCTTGTCAATTTTGTTTCTCTTTACAAAAAACCTTTTCATTTCATTGATTTTCTGTATTTTTTTATTGTCATGTATTTCTGCTTTGATCTTCATTAATTTTGTATGTCTTACAGGCAATCTATTTTTTTCATTCTTTTTTTCTCCACTGACTGTGTAATTTTAAATAGCCTGTCTGCAAGCACACTAATTCTTTCATCTCTTCATCAATTTTGCTATTGAGAACCTCCAATGAATTTTTCAGTTTAGCAAATGTATTTCTAAGTTGCAAGAATTTTTTTTTAAATTTCAATTGTTTTGTTAAATTTCTCTGATAAAGCTTCTAGATTGCTTTTCTGTTACCTTGGAGATCTCTGAGTTTCATTTACAACCGCTATTTTGAATTCTTGGTTAGAGTCCTCATGTATTGCCATCTCATTAGGGTCAGTCACTGGTTTCTTGTTTTGTTCATTGTAAGAGGTCATAGTTCCATGTTTGTTGCCATTTCTTGTGGATGTACATCTATGCCTTTGCATTAAAGAATTCATTATTTATGCCAATTGTCTATGTTTGACTTTTTTTTTATTGGATATGTTTTCTTAGAAGTTATTTGTAATTTAACTTTTGAATTTCTTACATTTTTTCCCACTAGGCCACTGTCTTCTTTTGGTATTATACAGCACCTTAAGCCAAGGTTTGCCTCCACTCTAGGAACCAATCAGAGTGGTGGGAAGTTCACAAATGGGATATCCCAGCCGTGTGGAAAGGCTTTCTAGGGATTTGTGCCCAGGGGATCTGTGGCACATACCTCTTATAGCATATTGCTGCTGAACGGCCACTCTAATTTGGCATCTCCTTTGGCCAAGGTACAGGGCAGAGTTTCCATGGCTGGGGATAGCAGTCCCACCTCTCCTCTTTGTTTCTGACCATTGTCAGGGATATATTTGCCTTTAGGCACTTATGATGCTTCCTGATTGGAGGAAGGGGCATCATGGATATGTAAATCTGATTCTCTTACCATCTCCTCAGAGCTTTTAATTTCTCTGTAGCTCTGGAAACTGACTTCCTCATATTTGAGTTTTGGGATATTGCTGGTGATAATCCCAGCACTGTATATTTGTTTTCTGTTTTCTCATGCTGGGGAGAGGTGAAACCAGCTTGGATCTATGCTGCCATTTTGGAACCAAAAGTCTCCATTGATTGATCTTCAGGTTTTTAACCAACCTTTATTGCTGGAAAAACCCTGTTTTGTCATAAAGTAATATATTTAGATGCTTTTGATTTCCACTTGTTAGCATTTCATTGAGAAATTTTACGTTTATTCAGGAGGTGTATGATCTGTTGTTTTATTTTTTCTCAGTGTCTTTGTCTAGTTTTGATATTGTGTTAATTGTGGTCACATAACATTAGTAGGGAGTATTTATTTTATTTCAATATTCTGTACTCTATTGTGTAGAATTGGTGTTGTTTCTCCCTTAAATATTTGGTAGAATTTGTCAGGGAAGTTATTCTTCTAAAGTTTTCATAGTGGGAGAATTTTCACTTACAAATTCTATTTCTTTCTGGGTTATCTAGTTCTCTAGAGGTATTTAATTTTTTTCTCATTTTAATATTTTTTGACTCATTGCAAGAAATTCCATTATGGTGTGTCTTGCGTGATTTTCTTCATATTACTTATACTTGAGGTTAATTGACCTGCTTGGGTATATGGGTTCATAGTTTTCATCAAATTTGAAAAAATTTAGCTCATTATTACTTGAAAGATTATTTGTCTCTCTCTTTTTTGCTCTTCAGTTGGTCAAATATTATGTCACTTGAAAATTTTGTCCCACAGTACATTAAAGAGTTGTTTATTTTAAAATTTTTTCTCTGTTTTGTTTTTAGGTGGTTTCATTTGCTATGTCTTCGGATAGCAAGGGATTTTGATAGATGGCATTACTATTCACTAACATGAATAAAATAGGGAACTCAGTATGTAAGGTTCTCAACTGTTTCAATCTCTTCAAGAGTGAATGACTGACTATACATTTACTTCTGCTAGGCCCAATTCCATTAGTTCATTTAAATTTAATGATCAGAAAAGAGGTTATCACATGAAGGGCCTATTCATTCAACAATTATTTATTGAATGCTATTGTATTTGATGCATTACACAGGTGATTCATGATACACAAAAACGTGTAATGCATTGTCCTTGTTCTCTAGAAACATATATTTTAGAAGAGATTAAAACAAGATTGCTAAAAATGTTTCAAAATTGTCTAACACTTTGGTGTTAGTTGTCAATTGTGAATTTAAGGAATTTTACTCCTATGATTAGGTTATATTACGTAGCAGAGCTGACATTGACATGGGGAGATTACCCAAGTGAGGCTGACTTAAATCACAGGAACCTTTTAAAAGCAGATTGTTTCCTCCAGCTGGTAAAAGACGATGAATCAGAGTGATTAGAAGAGTGAGATGGATCCACATGGGAGTTCTCTTACCTGATATCAAGGGGGCTATGGTAACAAGGACCTGGGTACATCCTTGAAGATCTGAGAGCGTTCCTGATTAATAGCCAGCAACAAAGTAGAAACTTTAGCCCTAAAAATGCAAGGGAGTAAATTTTACCAATAACATAAATGAGCTTGAAAATGGATCCTAAGCTCCAGATGACACCTTGATTACAGTCTGAGCAGAGAAGCCAACAACACTGTTGTGGAATTCTGACCTATAGAACTGTGATTTATAAGTGGGTGTTGTTTTGAGCTACTAAATTTATGGCACTTTTTAATGTTGTTATGGAAAACTATGCAAGCAGTATATAATAAATGTCATATGAAACTAGGACTACAATTGCACAGGGAAAAAAGATGACATGTCTGGCACTAATTGGGGACGGCTTTAGAGTTTATATGAAAGTTAGTAGATATTTAAAATTTGCAGTGGATTATAAAACATAAATCAGGCCAGGCGCGGTGGCTCATGCCTGTAATCCCAGCACTTTGGGAGGCTGAGGCAGGTGGATCACAGGTCAGGAGATTGAGACCATCCTGGCTAACATGGTGAAACTCCATCTTTACTAAAAATACAAAAAATTAGCTGGGCATGGTGGCAGGTGCCTGTAGTCCCAGCTACTTGGGAGGCTGAGGCAGGAGAACGGTGTGAACCTGGGAGGCAGAGTTTGCAGTGAGCCGAGATTGCGCTACTGCACTCCAGCCTGGGCGACAGAGCGAGACTCCATCACACACACACACACAAAACATAAATAGTAAAATTTTGGCAATTGGGTTAGCATAGTAACAGAACCAGAAAAATTAAAAAAAAACATTTTTGTTAGCTAGACCAAATTGTTCACAAAACTTACCAGTGAGTAAGACTTAGGATTAAGTTTCTTAAAGTATATCCTAGGGCGAGTTGTGCTAGAGTTGCTTAAAATATTTGCTAAAGTGTAGATTCTGGTGACTCTCACCAGACCAATTTAATGAGAATTTCTGATTCTGGATTTTTAAAAATATCTGTGTGTAATTCGTATGCTTACTAAAATTTATTTAAGATTAGCAACCTGAAGTATCAGGATGTGAAGTTTGGAAATATTTTTCTTTTTAAGTGTATTCTTTTCTGTTTAAGATTTGTTTTCTTTTTCCATTTATTTTCTTTTATTAATATATAATATTTTACATATATATGGGAGTACAGGTGAGTGTTTGCTACATGAATAGAATGTGTGATGATCAATTCAGGGTATCTGCTGTATCCACAACCTGAGTATTTTTACCAGTTTTTTTTTTTTTTTTTTTTTTGAGACAGAATCTTACTGTGTCACCCAGACTAGAGTGCAATGGCATGATCACAGCTAACTGCAGCCTCAACTTCCTAGGCTCAGTTGATTCTCCCACTTCAGCCTCCCAGGTAGCTGGGACTACGGACATGCATCATCTCGCCTGGCTAATTTTTTGTAAAGACAGGGTTTTGCCATGTTGCCCAGGCTGGTCTTGAACTCCTGAGCTCAAGCGATTCTCCCACCTTGGCTTCCCAAAGTGCTGGGATTACAGGCGTGAGCCACCATGCCCAGCTGAGTATTTACCATTCCCATGTTTTGGTATCATTTTAAGTCCTTTCTTCTAGTTACTTTGAAATATAGTAAATATTTCTGCTAAGTATAGTCACCTCAGTCTTCTATCAAACATTAGAGCTTATTTCTTCTATCTACAACTTCTTTTTGTTAGTGTAAGAGTTGATGTGATCAAACAACATTTTAAAAGTTTATTCCAATGATTAGATTTCAGACAGTTGGAAGAAGACAATGAACTAGTGAAAAATATAGGCTTCTGTAATAATAAAGTGAATGAAGTTTAGAACAGTGTAAACAAGATAATGTCCTAGTCTGGGTGCAATGGCTCATGCCTGTAATCCCAACACTTTGGGAGGCTGAGGTAGAAAGATCACCTGAAGCCAGGAGTTTGATACCAACCAGGGCTACAAAATAAGACCCTGTCTCTACAAAAAATAATTTAAAACTTAGCTGAGTGTTGTGGCATGCACATCTAGTCATGGTGGCTCAGGAGGCTGAGGCAGGAGGATCACTTGAGTCCAGGAGTTCAAGGCTGTAGTGAGTTGTGATTGCACCACCGCACTCCAGCCTCGATGACAGAGTGAGACCCTGTCTGTTAAAAAATAATAATAATAATAGATAATGGGATAGGAGTGTAAAGAAAGACAGGATGCTTCTTAGCAAAGTTACAAAAAATATTAATAGGTCTTTGTCGCAAATATATGTTTGCCTATGAGCTGAGAAGAGAAAATGAAAAAGTGAAAATAAGATTTCTCAAGGTACAACTTTGATGCAGTTCAGGTCAAACTTAGGTAAGATTTTGTTGTAGAGTTTGGGAAATAACCATTGTGGCAAGGCTGGAATGCAAATCGATTTTTTGCTGTTACAGAAACAGTAAATGAATTTATGGGATTTTATTTTAATTTAGTTAGCTTTTTATGAGGAGAATTGATCTTTGAGTTAATAATTCTGTTTCCATTGTATGCTTGTATTTATTAACCCTGATAACCCTGAAATTATTATCCATCTAGTATTTTCTTGGTGTTACCTTCAGAGTTGGAATTCATATGATATATATTGATTAACTGACAAATACACTTAGTATGACTTAAATTATAGATGGCATCAGTGATCATTTTCACACTAATTATTTGAGAGAAATATCTCTTAGCTTAAGATCAACACTTAAGCAGTATTGTCGTACATCGATAGAGTGCTAATGATAAAGTTTGTCTTCTATTTGCTTTTATTTAGTTACGTAACTGGAAAAATAGATGGGGGAATTGTGAGTAAAATTAAAAGTATTCATCTGTCATACTAATAGGTTAAGGTATAAATTAACTAGAATTTCAGTGTAATGCATTTCTACTGTTTCATGTAAATTTTTAAATGTTACTTCCTACAACTTTAAGGAGAAACTTTCTCTTACTGCATCACTGCCTCCTAATTAATATAGAAATATATTTTGTTATTTTGGACCCAACTGGTCAGCCACCACTGTGCTTTGATCTAAATCCTGCACCCCAGGAACCTGATTGAAACAGAGTTTCTCTTGCTTCCAAGTGAGATGCATGTCCCAGATGTTTACAGCGTCTAAGAAGCCAAAAAAAAAAAAAAAAAAAATCCAAAGAAAGAGAAAAAGAAGAATAAAGCTTTTATCTGACCAGGCTAGCAGAGAAAAAGCTTCAGAAGCAGGCAGGAAGTCATAATGGCCTGGTGCTGAAGATTCAATCGGAATATTTACAAGGCTAATCTTCAGAAGCTTAGGGAGTATGAAAAAAATCTCCTGTGCACATGCAGACTATTTCAGAGAAAACATTTGCAGTTTCACTGAATCAGTCTCCTAATCAAATTACTGTATCACTGAAGTATATACACGTGTGATGTTTATTCAATCAGCTTTAATATTAATGGCCTCTATAAAGAGCTGCATGATATAGAAATTGGTAACAGAGTAAATCCATTGATAAATGTTGGTAAATCATACCAGGCACAGTGGCTCACACTGTAATCCCAGCACTTTGGGAGGCTTAGGCAGAAGGATAATTAGAGCCTGGGAGTTCAAGACCAGCCTGGGCAACTTGGTGAGACCCTGTCTCTACAAAAAAAATTATCAGAGCTTGGCGTGCACACCGGTAGTCCCAGCTACTCAGGAGGCTGTGGCGGGAGGATCACTTGAGCCCTGGAGGTTAAGGCTTCAGTGAGCCATGTTTGCACAACTGCACTCCAGCCTGGGTGACAGACTGACATTCTGCCTCTAAAAAAGAAGAAAACTTCACATTTACACACACACAAAAATCAGGGCTTATTATATTCAGCACTGAAGATATTCTGTGAAACATTATTTTACAAGTTGATAGGATTACCTGATTAATTTCATGTAATTTTTTTACTTTTATTTTTCAACTTTCTAGCAAAATCTGTCCTCTTTTTTATTTTATTTTATTCATTTTTTTAAAGAGATGGGGTCCTGCTTTGTCACGCAGGTTGAAGTGAAGTGGCGAGATCATAGCTCAGTGCAGCCTTGGACTCTGGGCTCAAGCAATCCTCCTGCCTCAGCCTCTCAAAGTGAGAGGATTTACAACAGCCATGAGCCCCCACGCCCAGCTCTCTCTTTTTAATCCTTTCCTTGTCCTTTTACCAAAACCACCTTAATGTTTTGTCAGTTTTTCTCCGGACTATTGCCTACTATTATTCTTTACCTGGATTTCTTCAATACCTTCCAACATATCTTGCCTTGACTGCTTCCTCCTGACTATAAAGTATTCTCTTCAAAGGAAATATTAGAGCATGGCATTCTTTGCTTCTGACTTTTCAATAGATTCCCATATCCATTGAGATAAAAAATACAATACAGAATCATTGCATTTTCTTATAAGGAAACTGGTGAATCTCTTCTGAACACTGTTCTTGCATGTTATACCAAACCTTCATTGTCCATTCTCAGTCCAAGTCAGCATTGTTTGTTAGAATCCTTATACTTCACCCTGCCAGTGGTCTATCAATGTCCCATATGGCCTGGAATCCTGCAGTTTTCATTCTGACCTCATTCTTCTCTCATCCCCCCAAACACACACATACACACATACACCTAGTTCTATACTATTCATGCATATTTCATATACCAGGTCCAATGCTCCTATCACAATTAACCTTCACCAATTCTTCCAAACTAAGTCAGATCCCAATATGCTGTGTTTATAGTATTCTGTCTTCTGAGTCTTATTACAGTTTTTACACTCTACATTTGTTATCTGATTAATTTTTGTCTGTTCTTCCAGGAAGAGTATATCCCATGTAGATGGAGAAGATACTTGCTTTTCCTAATACTTAATTAGCAGCTTGTAACACAAGGTCTAGCGTAAGTAATAGTTCATAGATTAATATATAAGTAATTAATTCTGGCAATGGATTACTTTTCAGTTATGTGAGTTAGATTTGTCTTAATAAAACAAATGAATTAATGAAAAGTATATACATATAAATAAATATAGGTAATATAATGTTGCCCTACTTTTTAGATTTTATTTTGTCTTTACTGATCTATGAAGCAATTCATTATTTCTGCATTTCTATATTCCAAAATGGAATGAAATTGCTATACTTTCTTTACAAAGTTTCTTATTTGCATCATGATACACCAGGTTTATTCAACTTTCTATAAGAAATATGAAGGCATGAATTTTTCATTTTTTGATAGTCCTAATACACTTGGGAGTACATGTTCTGCAAAAGGATGAAAAAGAAAATGTAATTTGGAAAGAGAAAAAAAGGAAGAAAGTGATCAGAAATAATGGTCTTTCTCTGTTGCATTTCCTGGGAATATAGGTTGTAATGGCATTTCGGGAAACTTAGTCTAAAGCAACTGCCTCATTTTACAGATGAAATTATGGAATACAAATTTTAAGTGCCAAGTTTATCCAGTTAAATAGTGCAGAAAGTAACTTTAAGGTTTAATGCTTTTTTCACTCTACCAATTAAACAACCTGAAAAAATTAGTAAAAGCACACAAATAGCAAAGACCTAATCCATGAATGAATTCCTCTATGGTAACGAAATTAATGAATTCCAGAGAAATTGTCCGTTTCATACCTCATCACTGAAAAGGCCTTGGTTTTATAATATAAGTAACAATACTATAACGAAGAGTTCATCAACCTGTAATTTCTTAGGTGCATTTCAATAAGTCATTATACATTCTTGGGGCTTCATCTTTCTTTTCAAACATTTAGAGTTAATTAATGTACATAAACTAACATTCTGTTCACTACTGAATTGATTTCAAAAAACCTGAGGCTTTTTCTCCACACTATAATGGAAACAAAATGAGGATAGTTGTTTTTAGCCATTAACATCTTTACCTGGTTACGCTAGTAATGGGTACCCAAAGTTATGGCTACAATGGAGCATAGATTGAGCCTCAATTATTGAAAATCAATTTTTATGCTTGGAAAAACAATGATCAAAAGTAAACCCCTTCACATATGAGAAACCAGGTGATATGCTGTCATATTTTGAGTAAGAATACTTGGCAATACAGAAAAGGTAGCTAAGGAACCTGTCAACATAGATTTAGCACCTCCTCTCAACAGCTTAGTAGCCTGTAATTCAAAGAGTAAATAAACTGCTCTCTCATATATACACTTTTGTGAGCTCTTACGCTAAGGACTTTAGCTAGATTCTTTAAAACAGATGCCCGTAATTCCAGGACTTTGGGAGGCCAAGGCGGGCGGATCACCTGAGGTCAGGAGTTCGAGACCAGCCTGGCTAACATGGTGAAACCCCGTCTCTACTAAAAGTACCAAAGTTAGCCAGGCGTGGTGGTGGTCACCTGTAATCCCAGCTACTCAGGAGGCTGAGGCAGGAGAATTGGTTGAACCCAGGAGGCGGAGGTTGCAGAGAGCAGAGATCGTGCCACTGTACTCCAGCCTGGGCGAAAAGAACGAGACTCTGTCTCAAAAAAAAAAAAAAAAAAAAGAATTGAAAGTACACACTATAAGCATACAAAGACTTAATTCATGCTTTTTGGGTTAATGTTTGTATAAATTGATTCTTTCAGAAAGAGAAAATTTCCTAAATGTTGATGGATTAATTTGCCATTATTGATATGTTTACAAGTAATAACTTTTATTGAATATTAACTATTAGGCACTGCAGAAAACATTAGTTCTTACCATAAGATTACATGGTAATAAACACTCTTATTTTTCTACTGTATAATGAGGAGACTGTGTGATGGCAGAGGTCTCAGGTGGCCCCCAACTTATCCTGATAGTATAAAGACACTGAATATTGCTTGGGACAGAGAATATGATGGATTTTACTCCTGTGATTAGGTTATATTATATAATACACCAGACTTTAAGATAGAGAGATTATCTAAATCCTTCAACTATTGCTGTTATGAAAAAGTTTCTATTCTCATCACCATTTCTTTTGAAATATTTAGATTATTTAACCTCTCTGCATTGCAAACCTACTGTGTTAGGTATTGCCACATATGCAGTAGGATAAATACAAAAGATTGCCAATCACAGAGCTATTATTATTAGTGTACTGTAACACTTAACACAACAAATAATTTTATGTGTTGAGCCTCTCCAAGAAGCCTGAATAATTTCACTAATATCTCAAATTTTCCTCTTTGAACTTTTGTTGAACTCCTTACTTTCCTAGAAATTTAACAATTGTAGTAGAGATATATTTAATGATTAAGTCATCCAGTGTGATTGCTACCTTATGCATTTTTCACTTTTTATTTATTTATTTGCTTTAAATTTCCATAGGCTTTTGGGGAACAGGTGATGTTTGGTTACATGAATGGGTACACGGTACACTGCTGCGGTGATGGGTGCACCAAAATCTCAGAAATCACTACTAAAGTACTTATTAATGTGTTGTCTTTTATCCTTCACCACACCCCACCATTTCCCCCAAGTCCCCAAAATCGAAAGTATTATTGTTATGCCTTTGCGTCCTCATAGCTTAGCTCCCACATATGAGTAAGAACATACAATGTTTGGTTTTCCATTCCTGAACTACTTCACTGAGAATAATATTCTACAATTCCATCCAGGTTGCTGCGAATGCCATTATTTTGTTCCTTTGTATGGTGTATTCCATGGTGTATGTATGTATGCGTATATGTATACGCATACATACATATATACATGTACGTGTATATGTACCAAATTTTCTTTGTCCATTTGCTGATTGATGAGCATTTGAGCTGGTTCCATATTTTTGTAGTTGCAAATTGTGCTGCTATAAACATGCATGTGCAAGTATATTTTTTTGTAGAATTACTTCTTTTCCTCTGGGTAGATACCTAGTAGTGGGATTGCTGCATAAAACAGCAGATCTACTCTTAGTTCTTTAAGGAATCTTTGCACTGTTTTCCATATGGCTGTACTAGTTTACATTTCCACCAACAGTGTAAAAGTGTTACCTTTTCACTGCATTCACGCCAACATCTATTATTTTCTGATTTTTTTTATTATGCCCATTCTTGCAGGAGTGAGATGGTATCGCATTGTGGTTTTGATTTGCATTTCCCTGATAATTAGTGAGGTTGAGCATTTTGCCATATGCTTGTTGGCCATTTGTATATCTTCTTTTGAGGATTGTCTATTCATGTCCTTAGCCCGCTTTTGGATGGAATTGTTTATTTTTTTCTTGCTGATTTGTTTGAGTTCTTTGCAGATTCCTTTGTCAGATGAAAAAACTGTGAAGATTTTCTCCCGCTCTATGGGTTGTCCATTAATTCTGCTGATTATTTCTTTTGCCATGCAGAAGCTTTTTAGTTTAATTAAGTCCCATCTATTTATCTTTGTTTCTGTTGTGTTTGCTTTTGGGCTCTTAATCACGAAGTCTTTGCCTAAGCCAGTGTCTAGAATGGTTTTCCAGTATTATCTCCTAGAATCTTTATAGTTTCAAGTCTTATATTTAAGTCTTTGATCCATCTTGAGTTGATTTTTTATGGGGTGAAAGAGGAGGATCCAGTTTCATTCTTCTACATGTGGCTAGCCAATTATCCCAGCACCGTTTGTTGAATAGAGTGTCCTTTCACCACTTTATGTTTTTGTTTGCTTTGTCGAAGAGCAGTTGGCTGTAAGTATTTGGGTTTATTTCTGGGTCCTCTGTTCTGTTTCATTGGTCTATGTGCCTATTTTTATATCAGTACCATGCTGTTTTGGTAACTATGGCTTAGGGCATAGTTTGAAGTTGGGTAATGTGATACTTCCAGATTTGTCCTTTTTGCTTAGTCTTGCTTTGGCTATGTGGGCTCTTTTTTGGTTCCATATGAATTTTAGGATTATTTTTTCTAGTTCTGTGAAGAATGATGGTAGTATTTTGGTAGGAATTATATTGAATTTTTAGGTTGCTTTTGCAGTATGGTCATTTTTGCAACATTGATTCTACCCATTCATGAGCATGGGATGTGTTTCCATTTGTTTGTGTCATCTATGATTTATTTCAGCAGTGTTTTGTAGTTTTCCTTGCAGAGGTCTTTCATGTCCTTGGTTAGGTATATTCCTAAGTATTTTATTTTATTTTATTTGCAGCTATTGTGAAAGGGGTTGAGTTTTTCTGATTCTCAGCTTGGTCACTGTTGGTGTATAGCAGAGCTACTGATTTGGGTACCTTAATTTTGTATCCAGAAACTTTTCTGAATTCATTTACCAATTTTAGGAGCTTTTTAGATAAGTCTTTAGGGTTTTCTAGGTATACTGTCATACCATCAACAAATAGCAACAGGTTGACTTCCTCGTTACAGATTTGGATGCCCTTTATTTCCTTGTCTTGTCTGATTGCTTTGGCTAGGAATTCCAGTACTGTCTTAAATAGAAGTAGTGAAAGTGGGCATTCTTGTCTTGTTCCTGTTCTCAGGGGGAATGCTTTCCACTTTTCCCCATTCAGTATTATGGGTTTGTCATAGATGGCTTTTATTACCTTAAGGTATATCTCTTTAATCTGATTTTGCTGAGGGTTTTAATCATAAAAGGATACTGGATTTTGTAAAATGCTTTTTCTGCATCTATTGAGATGATCATGTGATTTTTGTTTTTAATTGTTTATGGAGTTTATCACATTTATTGACTTACATACGTTAAATGATCCCTGAATCCCTGGAATGAAACCCGCTTGATCGTGTGGAATTTTTTTTTTTTTTTTTTTTTTTTTGATGTGCTGTTGGATTTGGTCAGCTAGTATTTTCTTGAGGATTTTTACATCTATGTTCATCAGGGATATTGGTCTATAGTTTTCTTTTTTTGTTATGTTCTTTTCTGGTTTTGGTATTAGGGTGATACTGGGTTCATAGAATGATTTAGGAAGGATTCCCCCTTCTTATGATCTTTTGGAATAGTGTCAATATAATTGGTACCAATACTTCTTTGAATATCTGATAGAATTCAGCTGTGAATCTGTCTGATCCTGGACTTTTTTTTTGTTGGCAGTTTTTTTTTTATTACCATTTCAATCTTGCTGCTTGTTATTGTCTATTCAGAAATTCTGTACCTTCCTGATTTAATCTAGGAGAGTTGTATATTTCCAGGAATTTATTAATCTCCTCTAGGTTTTTCTGTTTATGCATGTAAAGGTGTTTATAGTAGCCTTGAATAATCTTGTGCATTTCTGTAGTATCAGTTGTAATATCTCCTATTTCATTTCTAATTAATCTTATTTGGATCTTATTTCATTTCCGATTGATCTTATTTAGCTCTTCTCCTCTTCTTGGTTAATCTCACTACTGGTCTATCAATTCTATTTATCTTTTCAAAGAGGCAGATTTTTGTTTCATTTATCTTTTGTATTGTTTTTTGTTGTTGTTGTTTCAATTTCATTTAGTTTTGCTCTGGTCTTCATTATTTCTTTACTTCTGCTGGGTTTGGGATTGGTTTGTTCTTATTTCTCTAGCTCTAGAGGTGTGACCTTAGATTGTCCATCTGTATTCTTTTAGACTTTTTGATGTAGGCATTTAATGCTATTATTAAAAGAAATTAAATTTTGGGACCCCAAACTCATTTGGCCAAAGAGAAAAGTCAAGCTGGGAACTGGTTCACACAAATCTGCCTCCCTTTTAGGTTTCTAAATAAGATGACTCCAAGATGAAAAGCAACATGCCTCCCCGATATGTTGCCCACAAGGAAATGCCTGGTGAGCTTTAAAACTTCACCTTGACGATGCAAATTGATAGCTTATCTTTACAGGTGCAGTCACTCTAGCCCGCCAGACACAAATGTATATCTGATTGTTCCCCTACCCCATTTTGTCTGGGTTATCTTATGTAAAATGCAGATTCTCCACATTTTTCCTCTGCTCCTTTTGTTTATATGAAAACTGTATGCTTCTCAATATACCATCTTTTCCCCTTTAAATTTGGAGCCCTCAAAATCATCTTCGGAGAAAGGCATAGAATTGTCTCCCAGGGGTGTCCTTAATTTTGGCAAATAAATTTCCTAAAATGATTGAGGCTTTTCTTGTCATTTTCCTAGATTGACGCTATGAACTTTTCTCTTAGCAACGCTTTTCCTGTATCCCAGATGTTTTGATAAATTGTGTCACTATTACCGTTCAGTTCAAAGAATTTTTTTTTTTTTTGAGACAGAGTATTGCCCTGTCGCCCAGGCTGGAGTGCAGTGGCACAATTTCAGTTCACCACAACCTCCGCCTCCCAGGTTCAAGTAATTCTCGTGCCTCAGCCTCCCAAGTAGATGGAACTACAGGCATGCACCACCACGCCAGGCTAATTTTTGTATTTTTAGTAGAGATGAGGTTTCACTATGTTGGCCGGGCTGGTCTCGAATTCCTGAGCTCAGGTTATCTGCCCAGCTCAGCCTACAAAAGCGCTGGGATTTCATGCATGAGCCACCGCACCCATCCCAGTTCAAATAATTTTTAAATTATCATCTTGATTTCATTGCTGACCCAACAATCATTCAGGAGCAGGTTACTTAACTTCATGTATTTACATGATTTTGAGTGTTCCTTTTGGAGTTGATTACCAATTTTATTCCACTGTGGTCTGAGAGAGTACTTGATATAATTTCTATTTTCTTAAATGTACTGAGACCAGTTTTGTGGTTTATTATATGGTCTATCTTGGAGAATGTTCCATGTGCTGATGAATAGAATGTATGTTCTATAGTTGTTGGGTAAAATGTTCTGTAAATATCAGTTAAGTCCATTTGTTGTACTGTATAGTTTAAGTCCATTGTTTCTTTTTTGACTTTCTGTCATGATGACCTGTCTAGTGCTGTCAGTGGAGTGGTATTAAAGTCCTCCACTATTATTGTGTTGCCATCTATGTCATTTCTTAGATCTAGTAGTAATTGTTTTATAAATTTGGGAACTTCAGTGTTAGATGCCTATATATTTAGAATTGTGATATTTTTCTGTTGGACAAGTCTTTTTATCATTATATAATGTCCCTCTTTGTCTTTTTTAAACAGATGTAGCTTTAAAGTTTGTTTTGTCTGACAAGAATAGCTACTCCTGCTCGCTTTCGGTGTCCATTTGCATGGAATATCTTTTTCCACCCTTTACCTTAAGTTTATGTGAATCCTTATGTGTTAAGTTAGTCTCCTGAAGACAGCAAAAATTTGCTTGGTGAATTCTTATCCATCCTGCCATTCTGTATCTTTTAAGTGGAGCATATAGGCCGTTTACATGCAATGTTCGTATTAAGATGTGAGGTACTATTCTATTCATCATGCTATTTGTTGCCTGAATACCTTGTTTTTTTTTTTTCATTGTGCTATGTCTCATAGGTCCTGTAAGATTTATGGTTTAAGGATGTTCTATTTTGGTGTATTTTGAGGATTTGTTTCAAGAATTAGAGCTCCTTTTAGCAGTTGTTGTAGTCCTGGCTTGGTAGTGGTGAATTCTCTCAGCATTTGTTTGTCTGGAAAAGACCGTATCTTTTCTTCATTTATGAAACTTGGAGTCACTGGTTACAAAATTCTTGGCTGATAATTGTTTTGTTTAAGGAGGCTACATGTAAGACTCCAATCCCTTCTAGCTTATAGGGTTTCTGCTAAGAAATCTGCTGTTAATCTGATAGGTTTTCCTTTATAGGTTACCTGATGCTTTTGCCCTCACATAGCTCTTAAGATTCTTTCCTTCATCTTGATTTCAGATAATCTGATGAGTATGTGCCTAGGTGAGGATCTTTTTGTGATGAATTTCCAGGTATATTTTGAGCTTCTTATATTTGGATGTCTAGATATTTAGCAAGGCTGGGGAAGCTTTCCTCAATTATTCCCTCAAATATGTTTCCAAAGTTTTGGACTTCTCTTCTTCCTCTGGAACACCAATTATTCTTAGGTTTGGACATTTAACATAGTCCCAAACTTCTTGAAGCCTTTGCTCATTTAAAAAATTTTTTTTTCTTTGTCTTTGATGGATTAAGTTAATTTGAAAGCCTTGTCTTAAAGCCCTGAACTTCTTTCTTCTGCTTGTTCAATTCTATTGCCGAGACTTGCTAGTGCATTTTGCATTTCTCTAAGTGTGTCCTTGATTTCCAGAAGTTGTGATTGTTTTTTATTTATGCTCCCTATTTCACTGAAGAATTTTTCTTTCATATCCTTTATCATGTTTTGGATTTCTTTAAGTTGGACTTTACCTTTTTCTGGTTTCTCCTTGACTAGGTTAATAATTGACCTTCTGAGTTCTTTTTCTGGCAATTGAGAGATTTCATCTTGATTTGGACCCATTGCTGGTGAGCTGGTATAATCTTTTGGGATGTTAAAGAACCTTGTTTTGTCATATTACCAGAATTGTCTTTTTGGCTCCTTCTTATTTGCTTAGACTATGTCAGAGGGAAGATCTGGGTTCAAGGGCAGCTGTTCAGATTCTTTTGTCCCATAGGGTGCTCCCTTGATGTGGTGTTCTCCCCCTTCCTCTAGGAATGTGGCTTCCTGAGAGCAAAACTTTAGTAATTGTTTTTGCTCTTCTGGGTCTCGCCACCCAGCAGAGCTACCAGTGGAGGTACCAGCTCCAGGCTGGTACTGGGGAGTGTCTGCAAAGAGTCCTGTTATGTGATCCGTCTTCAGGTCTTACAGCCATGGATACCTGCACCTGCTCTGGTGGAGACAGCAGAAGTAAAGTGGACTCTTTAAAGGTCCTTGGTTGTGTTTTTGTATAGTGCACTGGTTTCGTGTTGGTTGGTCTCCAGCCAGGAGCTGGCACTTTCAAGAGTGTATCAACTGCAATCCTATAGGGAGGATTCTGACATGCACTAGGATTCTCAGGTGGTGGGCAGGGCCATAGAGTCCCCAAGAGATTATGACCTTTGTCTTCAGCTACCAGGGCAGGTAGCAAAAGACCACCAGGTGTCGGAAGGGATAGGCGTGTTTGAGCTCTGCTTCTCATTGGGTGGGGCTTGCTGCTGCTGCTGTGGAGGATGGGGTGTTGTTCCTAGTCCAATGGAGCTATGTTCCCAGGGGATTATGGCTGCCTCTGCTGAGTCATACAGGTCACCAGGGAAGTGGGGGAAAGCCAGCAGTCACTGGCCTCACTAGATTCCTATGCAACCAACATTCCTAAAGGCCGGTCTCACTCCCACCATGACCTGTCAACAGCATCAAGTCTATTTCCAGGCAGCCTGTGACCAGGGCTGAGAACTTGCTCTGGACCATGAGCCTCCCTATTGAGAAAGCAAGCCAACTCAGTTTTTTGGCCACTTGGGGAGCCTGCAGTGGTGATCCATTTCATTCAAAGGGTCTGTAGATTCTCTCAGCTTTCCTGGTATGTTCCTGTGGTAGTTCTTGTAGCCAAAGTTTACAATGTAAGACTCCACACACTGCTCTGTCCTTCCAAGTGGGAGCTGCAAGCCAGTCCTGCCTCCTATTCTCCATCTTTATCTGGAGTCCTACTTCATGCATTTTTCATCAGATACAAATGTTACTCATGGGATAACTAGATTGATGGTATTCCCATAGATTATGGTGAAATTACTTAAGAATTGTTGGCTAATACTGAATATTGCCAAATGGCTGTGGGAAATCTAAAGAGGACAAAATAAAATATATGCATATCTATGAATGTTCTCTGTCAAAAGATAAAATGAACAAACAAAATAAAATAAATAAGAATAATTAGCAACTTTGAAATTTTTGCTTTGCAGAAGGGAGGAATAGCCTGGCTATCACGTGAGGAGATTCATGAATATAATGACAATATTAAAATGAGGAATTCTTAACATTTTATATCTTCCTTGAATAAGAACACAAAGAAAAGCTATCTATGTAATTAAAATGTAATCAAACCCTCCCAACTATTATATAAAATAGGTTAAAGAATACTTGGAATATTTAAGCATACGCAAATTTAAAAAGCGGGATACTCATAGGAAGAAAATCAATAAATTGAGGTAGTCATTTGTAATTGTTTTTGAAAAATTGTGCAGGATTGAAGAAATAGTATAAACTTAATTAATTTATTTATTTATTTATTTTAGCCATTTTAGGTGGTAGGAAGTGATAGCCCATTGTGATTTTGACTTTTTATTTTTAAATTTTTTTGAGACAGAGTCTTGCTCTGTCACCCAGGCTGGAGTGCAGTGGTATGATCTTGGCTTACTGCAACCTCCACCTCCCAGGTGATTCTCCTGCTTCAGCCTCCTGAGTAGCTGGGATTACAAGTATGTGCCATCACGCCCTGCTAATTTTTGTATTTTTAGTAGAGATGGGGTTTTGCCATGTTGGCCAGGCTGGTCTTGAACTCCAGACCTCAAGTAATCCACTTGCCTCAGCCTCCCAGAGTGCTGGGATTACAGGCCTGAGCCACCACGCCTGGTCAGAAATAGTATAAACTTTAAATAAAGGGTATCACTGATCCCATAAAGGTACAAACTGCAATAAAATTATCCTATTTTTTCTGGTAGCAAATGGTCATTAAACACAATTTATGAAACTTACGAAAAAATATTTACAAATACAGTAAAAACTTTTTAAATATTGTATAGGATTATTTAAAGTATACAGTCATGTGTCACTGATGGGGATGCACTCTGAGAAATGCATATTTCTGAGAAATGCATCATTAACCACTTTTGGCTTTTTTAAACTTTAAAACATCAATTAAAAATGTATTAGGCAATTTTGTTTTGTAAATATCATAGAATGTACTTACACAACTCTAGATGATATAGCCTACTACACTCCTAGGCTATATGATATAGCCTATTGCTCCTAGGTTACAAACCTATACAGCATGTTACTGTACTGAATGCTGTAGGCAATTTTAACACAATGGTAAGTATTTATGTATCTAAACATATGTAAACATGGAAAAGGTACAGTGAAAATATGGGATGATAACTTAATGGCACCACCACTGAATATGCAGTGTGTTGACTAAAATGTCATTATACATGTATACATGACAGTATATCCATTTTGTGAGTTAATCATGTCACATTTGATTTTTAACTTTAGTCATATCCAATTAAGAAGACAACATTTGGCATATGATTCAGCTGATAAATTGATTGAATACAATTATAATGATATCAATATGATGTCTATAAATTAATGTCTATTTGGATCACCTGTATAATTTTCTCATTCATTAAGTGTTAACTAAATGATTTAAGATGTCTAAATTTCTTATGTTTATATAATAATTATTTTTATCACCAAAATATTACTAATGGAAAATAAAAACAAATATCTTGTTCAATTTTACGTATATGGCACTTTTACCTGAGACAATAACTAATAGTATGTTAAATTTGACCAGTGTCTGTTTAAGCAGAGTAAAATTCACTTATCCAAAGATCTTAACAAATACTGACCATGAGAATAAAATCTTTTAATTTCTTTTTCTTTTCTTTTTTTTTTTTTTTTGAGATGGAGTCTCACTCTGTTGCCCAGGCTGGAGTGCAGTGGCACAATCTCTGCTTACTGCAAATTCTGCCTCTCAGGTTCAAGCAATTCCTGCCTCAGCCTCCCAAGTAGCAGGGATTACAGGTGCCCACCACCATGCCTGGCTAATTTCTGTATTTTTTAGTGGAGTCGGGGTTTTGCCACGTTGGCCAGGCTGGTCTTGAACTCGTGACCCCAAGTGATCCACCCACTTCAGCCTCCCAAAGGGTTGGGATTACAGCTGTGAGCCACCGCACCCGGCCTAATTTCTTAAACCCACTTTTTCAGCATTTGGAATCTTGGGTTTTGGGTGGATGCCTTCAAAAAAACATTCATATCGGTTTTTGATACTAGGTAATATATTTCCTCTCTCCTTTCTTCCTCCCTTCCTGCTATCCTTTCTGTTTCTTTCCTTTTTTTTTCTGTTTGTAATATTTATGCACTTTTATATCTTCTAACTAGATTAAAGCAAAATAGTCACTGAACTCTTTAGATGGTGGCAAAGAACATATTCTGTGAGACTGAAACCCTCTTATCCTTAATTTTTGTAAAAATTTTTATTTATTTTAAAGTAAATAAATGGATTCTACTTTGTACTTTGTGTATTTCTAGAAGGCGTCATTCATTTTCCATTAATGTATTTTCTTTCTTGATTAAAAAAAATGACTTGGACTTCTGCTCCAACATGATTTCTAAAGGAGATTTAAGAAAATATAATACATGATTTTATAGAAAACTATAAAATACGTTCATAGTTTATTGCTGTAAGAAAAGAAATACATCACAAACTGAATATTTTTACTATGATATGTGCATACATAAATATATAAACTATATGCATACTATTTATAGAAAATATACAGTATGTATGGTATATAGAGCATATATAATATATACATGGTTATAAGACAATTCAAACATAATATCTGACAAAAGCATGAATAAAAATTTTTTTTAAAAATCCATTTACAAGTACAAAAAATATACAAGGAAAAAGAAAAAGACATTGAAGATTTAAGATCAAAATTTTTACCTTGATTGTCTCTATATAGTGATCATCTTCTTTTACTTTCAATTTATTACTTTTTCAAATTTTTTAAGGTTTCTAAACAGTGAATTATTCATATTTTTAAAAAGATTAAAGTAAAAGAAATATTTATGAATTTTGTAAGAAAAATCCAACCTTTTCAAAGAAAGAGTATATAATATTTATAATTTAATACCTCAGATCTCAATTAAATAAAAGACCTGTATCATCCTTCTTCCTGACTCTAAATACTTATTAACATTTCAAAAGTTTGCCTTAACTTTTGAGAAGTTGGATCAAACTATCATTAATATAGAACTTTTCTTGAAACCAATCAAAAGTACTTCTATTGTTTCTTATAATATTGTCATAACTAAAATTTTTCCAATTTTAATAGCATGTAATGTACATACAATAAAATTAATTTTTTTTAGTATGTGGTACTTGGTAGTCAGTCCCTTTCCTCATTCTGTCCCTGTTAATCACTGACCTATTTTATTTTCCTATAGTTTTGGCTTTTATAGAATGTCATGTAAATGTAATTATAAAGTATGCAGCATTTTGAGTCTGCTTTCTTTTATTAAACATAATTTTTTGAGGTCAATCTATGTTATTGTCTATATCAGTACTTCATTACTTTTTCTTTAAGTTTAGTGTTTCAGTGTATGGTTTCCAGTTTATTTATTCATTCCCAAAATGAGGAACATCTGGGTTGTTTTCAGTCTTTTGTGATTATGAGGAAGGCCACTATAAATATCTGTGTGCAGGTTTGTGTGCGAACTATGCTTTCATTTCACTGGAGTAAATATCCAAGACTGAGAGTGATGTGGCTTTGGGTAGGTAAATTCCGAACTGTTTTCTAAAGTTGCCATGCAATTTTTAAAAAATTTTCACCAACACTTCATGAGAGTTGCAATTGCTCTGCATTCTCACCAGCTCTCAGTATTATGTTTTCTCATTTTATTATCTTTTAATATAAATTTTTCAGAGACGATGTCTCACTATGTTGCCTAGGCTGGTCTTAAACTCTTGGGCTCAAGTGATCCTCCTACCTCAGTCTCCGAAGGTGCTAGGATTACAGACACGCAACACCACACAGCCTCATTCTTAGCATAAACAATTCTAATAGTGATATTTTACTGATTTTTAAGTTGTATTTTCCCAATGACTAATGATATTGATCACGTATTTGAAATTTAAAACCTGAATAAAAATATTTTGAGCATGTCATTGATTTTCATTTTAGATATTTATTCATTTTCTGCACTTTTTCTTCTATTTCTGCTCATTCAGGAAGGCAAATGTTGTGCTTTATTTCCTCAGAGAAAGTGTTTGATTGGACTGTAAGCAGAAGGCACTTTAGAAACTTACCGGCTTGTTTTCCCCAAACCAAAGCCTTTTGAGACGATATGGTTTGTCTGTGTCCCCCCGCAAATCTCATCTTGAATCGTAGTTCCCATAATCCTCATGTGTTGTGGGAGGGACCAGGTGGAGATAATTGAATCACGGGGCGGTTTCCCCCATACTGTTCTTGTGATAGTGAGTGAGTTCTCACAAGATCTGATGGTTTTATAAGGGCCCTCCCCCTTCACTCGTTTCTCATTCTGTCTCCTGCTGCCCTGTGAAGAGATGCCTTCTGCCATGATTGTAAGTTTCCTGATGCCTCCCCAGCCATATGGAGCTGTGAGTCAATCAAACCTCTTTTCTTTATAAATTACCCAGTCTTGGGTATTTCTTCATAGCAGCATGAGAATGGACTAAAACAGACGTATGGAGTTTGACAAAGAAAAGTATTTCTTCTACATGGGTGGATTCCCCCAGAATAGGTAGAAGAAAGTTTTCTGGTTTCCTGAATAATGAAAACTTGATTACTTTTCCTGAAAACATCCAAAGATGCTTGACTGAGAGAGAGCTGCTTCCATCATGTATTTAGAAAGGTGGGTCTAAAAGTGCTAGGGTTCTTAACCTTGTAAAAGATTCCAGTTTCCCTGGTGTGGCAAGGCAGCTTTGGAGCTGCTAGACCTGAAGGCACAATTTTAATGTGAAGCAGTATTTCTTAGCTGTGACCCGATGACATGTGTGTGCATAGATTAATAAGAAAAAGCAGGTCCCTTCTCAAATACTTGATACTCTTTGAGATTCCAGAACCTTGACAAGACCCAGTGAGTCTAAGGAGTGACTGTGCTTCACGTAAGAATCTGGTTGATTTTCCATTAATATGGAGGTAAAAAGCTAAGCTTGTTTATAAAAAATAAAGCAATCTCATATTTTCCTCTCATGAGTTTCTCTATTGCAATTCATAAAGCCAAAAAGTGTGCCAGTAACTACATTATTTTTATTTTAGCCAGTGGTCTCATTTTTTCTTCCTCAAAGAGAAATTTGATGAGGATAATCACATTTTGTCTTCTTTGGAAAAATGGCAAATGCAGCTGCAACAACATGACCCAGTCAAGCACGGATTTTTTAGAAATTGTACTTAGCATTGGTTTATTTAGCATAGTCTTAAGTAAATCTCTGTGTGTCAGATTTGAAATTGTCAGAAATGTTCACAAGAGAAAGTGAAGGCCAGAGTTTTAAAGTGGTAACTTCTGTTGTTTATTATACATTTCAAAACCAGTTGTTAATTATCAAATATGAATGTTTTAGATAAGTATTGTTTATTGAAGAATGCACTTTTTGAAAATCATATAACTGTTATGACAGTGTAAATGTTTATTTCACTCTGATGAAATCAGAAATCATGCTTTCTTTTTTAAATAAAGATGTCTAAAATATTCTATTTATGCCAAGCAATTATCTTTAGTTAAGTATTTAATCCATATTTGAATAATAAAATTTTTATTGAAATATACACAAAATTTTGAAGAACACTTTGCATCCTAACCTTTCATATTACCTTACTGTTTAATAAACTATTATTTTTAAATGAAAACTTTAGAAAATAAAGAATAATATATTTGATAAGTATAGAAAATATTCCTATATATAAATTGGATTTTACTAATAATTTATTACTCACCCATTCTAATTTTTACATCAATGTAACCTTTGATGTGATGATAGATATGTGTACAATATTTTCACACATGATATTGTTTTTCTTTCTTGTACATTAACATACATAATTAAAGTTTTTACTATAAATGGCAAGTTGAGTGGTCAAAGTTGATCTCTATTTGACATAAATTTTACTTAGGCACAATAAACACTAAAATGAAAGACAGTATATGAATTTGAATAGTTTTTCATTTCAGTAGTAAATACTTTATTGGAGCTTTCAACTGCTAGTTTATAGGCAGTTATCAGACCTGCCACGTAAGAACAATGTGAAGAACTTGTTAAAATAAAAGATGTTTGCTCCCTATATGTAGTGGTTGTGATTCAGTAGGTCTGGTGTTAAATCTAGGAATCCATATTTTAATAACTCTTCAGAGTTTTCAAACTCTTCAAATGGTGTTGATAAATGGCCTGTGTTTACTTTTTACCCTGTACTTGTAAGGAACACTTTAACCCAATCAGTTTTCCAAAGTTGGTAGTAAATGGTATCTACTTTGGGGAAAAACCTGAACAAAATAAACTATACTTTTTGACAGGAAAAATAGGATCAACTTCCTCCTTTTTACTTTTTATGAAAGATCAAGCTTCCGTTTAGCTACTTGCTGGAAATTAGTTTCCTGAAAAGTTCTCTTCATTGCTTCTGAGAGTTTCACAGGTTTTGTTGCATGTGTCCTACTGAACAAGTCATTTGGTGTTTCTTTTCAGGCTCTCCTTTCCTAACCATGTCATAGTGATTGCTTCAGAAGGGTCACTGACTGACATTGATGTCTCATGGTGACCCTATGCAGGAGTCTCTGCCTTTATGGTTTTATATTAGTGCTTGTGGTTCACACAGCTCTCTAGAAGACCCTACACTGCTGTACTAGTCTCTGGCTGCCCCTATATCGCACCACTTCTGTGTGCCTATAGCTGCCTTCTCTTCACTGTGAATCAGTAGAAGCTTGGAGAAGTTGCTCACCTACCCCTACATCTCTCCAGATGGCCAAGAGCAGAAATCCTACTCACATCAGAATTGCTGCAGGTCTCTCTCAGAGATCACTCAAAAGCATACCGGAGTGATCTTCTTCTGAAGAACATTAATCTTTAAGATATGAATTCCTTTAGACAAAGCCCTGGAATTTGACCTTGTATATATCCCAAGTCTTAGTTAATCAGTCATGGTGATTATCCAATAATCCAGTAATAAGGTGAAAAATACGCTAAATAGTATAACAATATTTTAGTGCAAATGATTTTAATATAGGAAAATGAATAAAGACTCTCAAGGAGAGAGATTTCAGATATATACAAATGTATATATTAAAAACCAGAAAGAAATTATTAAAATAGTGTGAATGAATGCATTAGCTGAGAAATTGCCATCACAAATGATAAAGACAAATCCCTCTTAAAGACAATGGAAGAAGCCTGGTTTGTGATTTAAAACACATGGATGTCAGAAGACAAACAGGACTGTCTAAAATACTCATGAATATAATTTTCTTTATGGACTTGCTTCTGCTGGAGAATGTGGGTAGGGCAGTTGTCACAGATGCCAGATGTCAGCCTTTTGCTGTTGGCCCCATTTGCATTGACACCTACGGTTACATGGTACAGGAGCAGCTATCATTTGTAATGCATAATACTTCTTGTCTGCATAGGCTGTCTTGAAGTCGCAGGAAGCCCTGTGTAGTTCCCCCTAAGTCAAGTTTTATTCCTTCCATACAATGTATGTATTCACTCTTAACAGAAGTTCCCACCAAAGAATACATTAAAATGGCTGTGGCCAGCTGGTGAATAATTAGTTTCAGAGTATTACACTTGGTTGGTTGACTCCCTTTGTCTTTCTCGTTATGTTTTGACTTTTGTTAGAAAAGCTAAAGATAATGAGATCCACAGAAGTTGCACCACCTGTCATCTTTAGGCTAAGCCTTACTGACAGAAGAGCTGAATATTAAAACATTGAGAAAAAATGTTAGTGGGAAGAAAATTGGAAGATTTTGTGGTGATGATAAATTATATACAGTGCCTTCCTATACCCAAATGATTTAGTCTATGAGCCAGAGTTCCATTTCAGCATATCTATTGGAAAGATGATAGTGTAAATATGGGGTCAGTCTCAATTGTGTGAAGAATTGGAAAGAAAATAACAGATGGGTAGTTATTTTAAGTGAAGTAGAACTAAAAGTAATACAAAATCCTTCTAAAGGCCAGAAATAAACCTTTAAATGCTGCTCTTATTTTTATGTTAGCAAGTAGCCCCAATTTACCTTCTATTTGGTGCTTTTATAATATTTAAACAGTACAACAATTATTCTTCTTAATCTTTTAGAAAACGATTGAGCAATTATTTAATTTACCACAGCTTTGTAAACATTTTTAAAAAGATACAAACAAATTACAGAATGAGTAAAGAGCTCACAATAATATGTTTCAGGAAAGTTAAAAACATGATATCTTGGAGGGAAAAATTCAAGGACAAAAATCATTGATGTTCTTATATTATTTCACATATGCATGTTGCAGAAGTCATAGAGACCCTTTAAATAATATTCTTGGATTATTTGTTTGCCTCCAGCCATCTTCAATTGTCAACCTTTTCCTCAAACAGTAGTGCATTGAAAACTTTTATTTTTAAAGAAAATTTGAAAGTGTTAACTGATTAAACTAATTTTCTACTTGAGGATAATCCATGAAGCTAAAATAATACTGCTTTGATTGATTGCAAAAGAAAAATAAGACAATTGAATATTTTGTCTTTTTTCTAGATCAAACATCAAACTGCCAAAGACAGAAAATTATTTACTGATGTACATTATTTGACAAACTATTCAAAGGTACCTTTGATAGTATTTATTTCTTTAATCTACTTTTTTATGTTCAAACAAATGTGTGCTTATGAATCTTAATGTTCCACATTCACTTATGTTTAAAAAAAGCTTATGATTAAAAGGTAATAGGGCATAGTCATCAGAATCCTGGGCTTTGGGTTGGACCTCAGATCTAATTTTGTCATACCACTCACTAACATGAGTTTCAGAGTAACTCATATAATCTTTCCAAACCTATTTTTCTTATCTATAAAATGGCAGTGTTCTGAGATTTGCATTGGATATCAAAGTTAAAGCACATAACTTTACAAATATTTGCAAATGTTATTAAACATATACAGAAAATACTAATATGTGTAAATAGTAAGCATTAGATTAGTTAGATATTAGAATAGTGTTTACTATTTTTATTCAATAATTATATGTTTCATGATGAAAGAAACACATCATCTGTCTGGACAAAAAATACTTTGATGGGCAGAAATGACATTTGAAATAGTTCTTTAAAAGTGTCTGAGCCTGGGCTGCTACAGAAAATACTATGGACTAGGTGACTTAAACAATAAACATTTATTTTTCACAGTCCAGGGTTTGGGAAGTCTGAAATCAGGGTGCCAGCATGATTAGGTTCTTGGCAAAAACTCTATTTCTGGTTTACCCATCAAACTGGGTCATTTTTGACTGTGAAAGAGTGAGCTATTAAAATTTATATCAGAATTGTTTAGGACAGACAATATGCTCTCATCAGTTAGAATGCAATGTTTTGATACAAACTGCTAACTATATGGTTGTCTAAAATAGATATCTTTATCTTGGATAACTCTTCCAAGATAAAGTCATGTTTTTTCCAGAGTTTATAGGATATTTGTCCTAGGAGTCTGACAGATATGTATAGATTTGTAAAACCAAACCTAAAACTCTTTATTTACTTCACTTCTACTCCCACACTAGGATAAACTAGCTCTTCTTCTTTTATTTTCGATTTCAGGAATGACCCCACTATTTATGCAGTTTTAAGCAGAGAAGGAGAGTCTCCAGGAACTATACGAATTAATCAACTTGAGCAATCAGCCTGTTTTACAGCCTCCTGCCTTGGAGACTACTTTTTCCAAAACTCTATGTGGGATGTGGTCACCTAGTTGGTTGGAACCAGCTCCTGACAGACCCCAGCAACTGACAGATGAACCTGAGTGAACTTTCCTCATTATCATGCTAAAGTCTCCATCCCGAAAGGAACTATAGCTTCATTACCAGAACATGCAACCTTTGTGCTGGCATAAAGGCTCACTGCGTCTAAAGCAACTGGGACCCGTCCCGTACATGTGATGATGCACACTCTCCTCTCTCCATAGCGCCATAAACTCTCTCAGGGAGACACTGCTTTGAGGAATGCTTCCTTACTTGTGCTAAGTAATAAAACTCCTATTGATTAAAATTTACATTCTTGTGGATTCGTTTGTTACTGGACAAGTGAGTGAATTCATTTTTTTTCAGGTTAGTCATCAAAATAAACTTTGTGGATATGATTGTACATTACTTATTCTTTTATTCTCATACCTCCATTTATATTCATGTTCTGTTAATTCTACATTCCTAAAGAATTAAACTTTCTCTTCCAAAAGATCTATTATGGCCTTTATACAATGTCTTTATAATTTTCTATGAGAACTATTGAAGTAGCTGCCTAATTAATATCTCCGTCTTAGGTTTGTAACCTTTTTGTTCATTTTCTAGTCTTCTATCAAAGTAATCTTTCTCAAATATAAATCTGGTCATATTTGTTCCATGCTTACATCTCTTTGATTACTTCCCATTATCTACTAAAAAATGTTCAAATGTCTGGCTCGAGAAACATGATCTTCTTGATGATTTTGCTGGCTTTTTCATCTTCATTTTCTACTTGTGACCCCTTGAATCCAACAAACCAGTTATAATAAAGCATGCTTTTCTTCATCATTTGCTACCTTTTCATGGAATATCTTATCCTTTGCCCTCCATTTCCCTTATATCTTCTCTTTGTAGATCAAGTTCAAGCAATATGTTCTCTGTGAAGTTTTTCCTGACTAGTCCTAATGCAACTACCTCTCAAAGTTATGTTAATAGCAGACCTTCCCTTTACATAACTCCATGCTATACAGACCTCTCTTATATTACCTACAGTATATTTCCATGTTTTTTTATCTTGCTAGCCTGTAAGACCTCTAAGGCTATTACTCATTTTTGTAATATCAAAAGTACAAGTTATATATGGTATGTAATGAGTGATTAAAACATTTGTTGAACGATTTTACATGTGTGTCTAAAATGCAGCGTTGGTTCCTGGACATTTCGAATACTCAATTGAACATTTTCTAGCTTATAGGCATAATTTAGTAAGTATAAGGCTATATAATTCAATGTATTAGTAAACTAGTCATCATTGTGAGCAATCATATATTTGTTCATCAAATACTTACTAAGCATCTACTATTGTATTTTGCAGGTACCACATTATATTTGCATAATTTATATTTAAAAAGTGCATAGTCTTCACTCTTAGAAAGTATGGGATATGACTAACTTAATGATTCTATTTTCATGCCATATGTGATAAAATGAAGCATAGGGTGTTGTATGTGTATATAAGTAGAACATCCAAATTAAACTGGGTGAATCTTGAGTTAAATGTTGAAGGAGTTAGATAGATGAAGAAGGGGAGATAAAACTACAATACCTTATGAATGTGTTTGGAGAAAGTATATTCCATACCTTTTAAGCCTATATACCAAATATACCGATATGCATTTTAAGTGAAAACAAGAACAATTCCATTTTACAACATTTTTAATTCATGATCTTATGAGACTTAGTAGAGTTTCATGTAAGCCAATGAAGCCCAATGTACAATCCATGTAAAAATGATATCCATTCTGCTTAAGGAACTACTAGCCAGAAGTAAATCACTTTTCAGTATAGTCTGCTTTGGATAGTTAACAGGTGAAAGTATGGATTCTCCTCAGAATTGATTAACTGATTACTATTTTCAGGAAGAAGAAGCAATAAAAGTAGTACATAAAAGATAAATATGCCTGTCAGAAAAACAAAAAGAAACCAAGTCAAGGTGTTATCTTTAGCCTCTCCCTAATCAGAAAATGACAGGACATGCAAAAAGGTCTGTCTCCCTTTATTGGGTATTGTATTTTTCCACATATTGAGAGTAATCTGAGCTACTCAGCGATGAAACAGGGTTTTATGTCTGGGATAGGATGCTTTTTATAAAAACTGGTCCAAAATCTAATCTGTTACCTTATTCCCAGAATTTTATAGCTGGTTGAGATTTTAACAGTCTTGTCATTTCTCAATGTAATTTCCCAAACATGCCTAGTCATAAAAAATTATCTGGGTTACTCATTAAAGTTACCATTACAAGATGTCTTCTCTGGAGTTTAAGTAATCAGATTTGGGGTGGTGCCCAGAAGTTTATATTTTTAAAATAACCTAGGTAAGTGTTTCCCAAATTGATGAAATTATCTTGGAATCTTGTTAGTTATGCAAATACTCAGGAACCATGAGACTCATTAGATCAGAACCTGCAGGGAAGGGCCTGTAAAATTGTATGTTTAACAAGCTTCCTAGATGTATCTAATCATCAGGGAAGCTTGGGCAACACTGATTAGTTTAATCACCTTATTTTATAAGCTGAGTAAATTGACAAGTTTAGGGTAACACAGTGAGGAAGCTGGAAAAAATGACATTTTTTTAATGAGGTAGATATTTTGATTTTCATGATTTTTTGTGGGAAAGAAAGAAAAACTTAAGCATTCAAGGCTTGCCAGAATAAAGAAACTAGAAAATAATAGACTGAGAAATTGTCCCCATCTTTTCTGATCTTCTATGACTTATTCTTTCATAATATAGCTTCCCATGACTTTACAGGCATATGTTACAAAAATTTTGTTACTGTTGATGCAATGTTAAGGTAGTATTGAATTACTATTAAAGCAGTATTGAATTACTATTAAAGCAACATTAATGCAATACTGAATTATTATAATACTCTCACTACCAACCAATGATAAGATTCTTGAGTGGGAGATAAAGGAGGTAGAATCAGAACTAGCAGGCTGGAAATTGTGCATAGGAATCCTGTTAGCATGTGTTGGAAAGGTAGAAGGAAAATAGATTCTCTCGTGTTTTGACCTCTGCCTATAAAGTGCATTTCTTTCTACATTTTGCACCATTTTCCACTCTTCATTCAACACTTACTAATTCATTTTCTAGTTAGGAGATGTGGCCAATGTAGTTGTTCAGAGTTGGAGACATTCTTTGAGCCACTTTTCATGATTGTATTTCTGTAAGGAATGAGCTGCAAATGTGGGGCTTGATATCTCTTCCAGCTCTCTTGGCCTGTTGCTAATTGGTAAATTAGACCTGATATTCTGCCCCAGAAACACAGACTTTTTAGTCTAAAAGGAAGGATCAGGATAACTTCCTAAGTAGTTTTATCCGCACCAGAGCTACTCAACTGGGTCATATATACATCCTATGCAAGGGTATGCAGATAAAGCCATATATTTGATGTATACTATAATTTTCTATAAGTGCATTGCAGGAAAAATTTGTGTTTGAATATACCCAGTGATAGAATAGTATTGCTTCAAGAGATTGCAATTCATTTTTTAGAGAGCTTTGATTGTTAAAAAAAAAAAAGATGTCTTTCTGTAACACGCTAATATCTGCCTTGGCTTCTAAATTGGGTACTAGTTTTATTCTCTGGAACTTCTGTCAATTATATCCCTCCAGTTATTAAAGTTACTGAAGCTATTAAATTGTAGCCCTCCTCACATCTTACTCCAATCCTCATAACACCCTTCAATGGATTACTTATCTCAAGTTTTAATTCCAGACAAGTATACACAGAGAGATGAAGAGATTTTTTAATTTTATTATAGTTTTTAAATGCTAGATTTAATTCTAAAACCCAGGCTAAAGTTCTGTTCATTGAAATATGGCTAAGCTTATTTTTCTATAGATTTTTCTCTTGGGATTAAACAAATGTGCCTTAAAAGACTAAATTAAATATATACATATTAAAATGTTAAATAGTCTGACATGGCTATCAAAGACAAATGGTTGTTGGCTCGCTCTACATATATATAAATTTAAAATATATATACCTATATAATCGTATATTATAATATATAAAGCATACACTTGTCTACATACTATCTACTATAGTATATAGTATATACTTTACACTAAACTATATACACTGTATACACACATGAAGTATTTAGATATTGATATATACACACACACACATACATATATAGAAGCAGTGTAAATTGGGGAAAATGGGAAAAAGTAATATGGTCACCATATGGCTCGGTTATTCAAGTAAGAATATTAACAGTTAAACATGTATATCTATGTTTATGGTTTTATGGAAGTATTAAATATCAAACAAAAGGCCATATCTATCTATTAGTGAAGATGAGACATGCTGTGGTAGTTTTTCCTTGATACTTTTTAACTTCATAAAGACAAGCATATCCGTTCAGAACTTATCAAAAGTGATATCGTTAGCCACATAGAATTTCTAGCAGATGAAAGAAGTCAGAGAAGAAACAAATAAATGGAAAAATATTCCTTGCTCATGGATTGAAAGAATCAATAACGTTAAAATGGCTATAATATCCAAAGCAATGAACAGATTCAGCGCTATCCCTATCAAAATACCAATGTCAGTTTTCACAGAATTAGAAATATCTATTCTAAAATTTATTTGGAACCAAAAAATAGCCTGAATAGCCAGAACAATCGTAAACAAACAAAAAACACAAAGCTGGAGGCATCACATTTCCTGATTTGAAATTATACTATAATGCTATACTACCCAAAACAGCCTGGTATTGGAGCAAAAACAGGTATGTACCAGTGGAACAGAATAGAGAACCCAAAAACAAAGCTGCACATCTACAATCATCTGATCTTTGACAAAAATAAGCAGTGAGGAAAGGACCCCCTATTCAATAAATGGTGCTGGGATAACTGGCTAGCCATATGCAAAAGAATGAAACTGGGCCCCTACCCCTCACCATATATAAAAACTAACTCAAGATGGGTTAAAGATTTAAATGAAAGACTTCATACTAATAAGAAAAGTCCTAGAAGAAAACCTAGAAAATACCCTTCTCCACCTAGGCTTTGGCAAAGTATTTATGGCTAAGTCCCCAAAAGAAATTGCAACAAAACCAAAAATTGGCAAGTAGGACCTAATGAAACTAAAGAGATTCTGCACAGGAAAAAACAAAACAAAACAAAAAACAAAACACACAAACAAAAAAACACAGTAAACAGAGAGCCTACAGAATGGGAATAAATATTCACAAACTGCAACCAACAGGTCTGATACCCAGAATCTACAAGGAACTTAAAGAAATAGACAAACAAAAAATCCAATTAAACGATGGGCAAAGGATATGAATAGATATTTCTCAAAACACACAAGCAACCAACAAACATGAAAAAATTCTCAATATCACTAATCATCAGGGAAACGCACATCAAAACCACAGGGAGATACTATCTCACACCAATCAGAACAGCTATTATTAAAAAGTCAAAAAATAACAGATGCTGGTGAGGCTGAGGACAGAAAGAAACACTTACACGCTGTTGGTGGGAATGCAAACTAGTTCAGCCACTGTGGAAAGCAGTTTGGATAATTTAAAATGGAACTATCATCCAACCCAGCAACCCCACTACTGGCTATATACCCTAAGGAAAGTAATTCATTCTATCAAAAAGACACATGCACTCGTATGTTCATTGCAGCACTATTCACAATAAAAAAGGCATGAAATCAACCTAGGTGCCCGTCAACACTGGGTTTGATTTAAAAAATATGCTTCATATACACCATGGAATACTAAGCAGCCATTATAAAAAAAAAAAAACAAAATTATGTCCGTTGCAGCAACGTGGATGGAGCTGGAGGCTCCTAAGCCTCCTAAGTGAGGCTTATCCTAGGTAAACTAACGCAAGAACAGAAAACCAAATACTGCATATTCTTACTTATAAATGGGAGCTAAACATTAAATACACATGAATGTAAATATGAGTACAATAAATACTGGGGACTACTAGACAGAGGAGGATGGGAGTAGGGCATGGGCTAAAGAACTGCCTTTGGGTACTATGCTAGCTGCCTGGGTGATGGGATCACTGGGACCCTAAGCCTCAGCGTCATGCAATATACTGCACACTTACCCCTTAATCTGTAATAAAAGTTGAAATTATAAAAGAAAGAATTTCTAGCATATACAGAAAGTAGATGCCCTATCATTGCTTTATTCATTTCTAAAAAATAAATTTGGTATCTCCTCTGAATGAGAGAACATTCATTATCTATTTTTGCTTGAATTACTAATGTCCTCTGTTCATTTTTCTTCACCACTTCTATCTTATTCCAAGTAATTTTTACCAGACTTGAAGCCCCTACTATAATCCCATAGGCACAGGATCTGTGTCTATGTATAAGGCAGCTTTAAACTTTCCAGAGAGGAGTCAATAAAATGTTTATTTGGTTAACAACTTAAATATTAAAACATTTCGGATATCGATGGGATTGTTAAATTTCTATTCTATTTATAACATTCAATTGATAAAATTAGTTATTAATATTCAAGCATACATAATATAAAGTAATATATTAATTTATGACACTATTGTGTTGCAGTCCTGTATTTCATGAATAGGTTTGTTCAACCAATTTACAAAACTAATGTGTACCATTTCATTCTTGTATTACTATAAAGGAATACCTAAGGCTGGATAATTTACAGAGAAAAGAGGTTGGCTTACTGTTCTGCAGGCTGTACAAGCATGGCACCAACATCTGCTCAGCTTCTGGTGAGGAACTCAGGAGCTTACAAGAAGTGGGAATAGGCATGTCACGTGATAAGAGTGGGAACAACAAGGTGGGGGCGAGGAGGGAGGTCTCAGACTTTTAAACAACCAGATCTACAGTGAACTGAATGAGAACTCACTTATCACCAAAGTCATAGTGCAAAACCATTCATGAGAGATCCACCCCATGATTCAGTTACCTCCCACAAGACCCCACCTCCAACACTGGGAATCACATTTCAACGTGAGATTTGGAGGGGACAAACATCCAAACAAAATCACAGTGCTTTCAAAGTTCATGTACATTGGAGTCTCTGAAAATTTGACCTCAAGGCACAGAAATATATTTGTATTACTATGTACAGTTTTTGTCATTTCTTTTATAGGTTTCTATTTATACCCCATAATAGATAACCACTTATTTCACTGCTTCTTAAAATAAGCAGTTGATCTACAAAAAACACTATGCCTGCAATTGTGAAATACCTCTGAAATAATGAGTAAATCTGTGTTTAATTTATTTTTCTTTTTAAAAACCGGTGTGTTTGATGACCTTTTAATTATCCCAAATTCACTTTGTTTGAAGGTATATCTCTCTCAAGCAGTACTTTGATGTTCAAAATTAAGTAGTTCAAAAGGAGCTTTGTAATTCTACAGAGTTTTAAGAAGTCATACATATGTAACTTTCTCAGGGGTGATTCTGAGAAGAAACCTCCTTAAAAGTGGACATATTTTATTTTACTATTATAACAAATTAGCCTAGTGATTTCAGAATTGTAATTTTATTTATCATAGCTTTAATATATGAAGAATATTACATGTAATATGTGAGACAAGATGGTAGTACTTATTTCTCAGTAAAACATACTAGTGTCCAATATTCTTATTTTTGATGTCTCTGACAATCATTAACCTCTTTTTATAGAGTTCTGTATATTCAGAAAAATTATTCCTGGCATTATTTTGTTCATTTACACGTATTCGTGAATATTATTATTTTATAAGCGTAGAGTTTTTTCCATTAGTCTCTTATTCTTTATTTCACCTTTTAGATATTCTATAGTTTAAAACTGTTGGTATAAACTTACATAACATGATTGACATCCTTATCACTATTCTTAAGTTGGGTAGTAACACCCCAAAACCCTGTGGATGTTCTTTTATATTACCAACTATTGTTATCCTCCCTTATCTTGTATATGGGTATTTTCTTTGGAACAATAAAAATATTTTATTGTCAGTATCTAGAATTAGCCCAAAAGAATTAATAGGCTCTGATTTCATTTCAGATAATGTCTCTCAATGACAAAATTATGAAGTGATTTTTTTAACTGCAGCTCCTTCTGTTGAATTACTGTTATTTAGAAAATTTATACTGACTTACGATTTTTTAACATAGTTAAAACTAAGTTTTCTGGTGCTTACATGCAGAGATATGTCTTACCTGGACTCACAAGTAGAAAGAAATGCCAATGGAATAAATTTGTAGCAGAGGAGAAAATTGGAATATATAAAAACATCATAGGGCACATGTAAACATGCATACACAGTTCACTACTGGCAGTTAAGGTATTTCAGTGTCTTCTGTTTTTTCTTTTAATTTAGAAAGCATTTCAATTTTTTTTGTCTAGTGTAATTACAATTCTGTGTGTGTGTGTGTGATTGCTACTATGTTACTTAAGGAATATTTCGAGCATTTATTAAACAATAAGAAAATAATATTTTGACATAAAAATTAAAAATATTATTTTCAATTTTCCTTTTTCAGTCTTTGTCAATTAGACAAGTTTATGTAGAACTTAATCTCAAAATTATTCTATTTGCTAGAAAACACACAATGCACTTTCACATATTGGGCTGGAGAGGTGACTTTATAAGACCGAGGTTTAAGAATATGGAATTTTGGAATTAAGAGATTTAAAATTCAATCCCTTTATTTTAAAGAAAAAAAATTCTAAGCCATAGAAAGGTGAAGAGAATTGTTCACTTCTAGTGAAGGTTATATAGTGATTAAGGCTTAAGCTCTGTTTCAGAGAAGGACTGAATTTAATGACACTGGGGAAAAAAAAATATTTCAGAGGCAGGGAAGCCTCTGAGCAAAGGGCGATGAGTATAATGTTTTTTGCTGGTGCCAATGGGGATAACTATAGGTAAAGGTTATAGGAAAGAGACTTTGAAAGTAAGCCAAATAATTTGTATAATTACAGCACACACACAAAAAACTTAATATAAATTGGTGTAGACTGGGAAAATATCATTTGGGGGCCCCCTTCCTTTGAAGTCTAGAAAATATTGCCTTTTAACACCACCCCTTACTCCTGCCTATTTATTGCTATGGGGAAGCCCAGAGTTCACAAAGTTCTAATATGCAGAGTCTACAAAGAACTTACACAAATTTACAAGAAAAAAGTTGGCTAAGAACACGAAAAGACACTTTTCAAAAAAAGTCACACATATGGTCAACAAACATGAAAAAAAGCTCAACGTCAAAACAAAATCAGAATGAAATAGCATCTCATGCCAGTCAGAATGGCGATTATTTAAAAAGTCAAAAATCAACAGATGCTGGTGAGGTTGTGGAGAAAAAGGAATGCTTTTACATTGTTGGTGGGAGTGTAAATTAGTTCAACTATTTTGGAAGACAGTGTGGCGATTCCTCAAAGATCTAGAGGCAGAAATACCATTTGACCCAGCAATCACATTACTGTATATACCCCAAGTAATATAAATCATTCTATTATAAAGATACATGCACATGTATGGTCAATGTAGCACTATTCACAATAGCAAAGACATGGAATCAACCCAAATGCCCATCGGTGATACACTGAATAAAGAAAATGTGGTACATATATGCCATGGAATACTATGCAGCCATAAAAAGGAATTAGATCATGTTCTTTCCAGAAACATGGATGGAGCTGGAAGCCGTTATCCTCAGCAAACTAACACAGGAACAGAAAACCAGAGACAGTGTGTTCTCACTTATAAGGGGGAGCTGAATGATGAGAACACATGGACACGTGGTGGGGAAACCACACACACTGGGGCCTGTCAGGGAGGGTGTCAGGGGAAGGGAGAGCATCAGAAAGATACAGCTAATGCATGCTGGGTATAATATCTGGGTGATGGTATGATCTGTGCTGCAAACCACCATGGCACACATTTACCTACGTAACAAACCTGCACATCCTGCACATGTACCCCTGAGCTTACCGTAAAAATTGAAGGAAAAAAAACACAACAAAACAAAACAAAAACCAAACAAAACAAACCAAAAAAGAAACATATTCCTAGTACCTGGCATACAGTACTTGGAAGCTAAGAGGTGCTAAATAAATAGTTACAATTTTTTTTTCTTCATGATGCAATCTACGCCATCTTCTTTGTTTTCTATTTCCTTAATTTCTCTTTTACCTTATAAGCCCTTTCTTCTTGTTTCTTTTATTTTATCATGTTTCAAACTTATCGGGTTTAATATTTAATCAATTTATCTTTCAATCCAAAAAAAATTTCTAATAAAGTCATGTAAGGTAAAAAAGAATTTCTGCACATTCCTTAACAGCTGAACTTCATGTAATTATTTCTGACTCTGAAATTTAGATTCCTTTTGAATGTGTTTGGGCTACAGTTTGCCTTGTTCTTCTCAGGGTATCTCTTAGTATGGTTATTTTCTCAATTTCCACATACCCATAGACACACATGTAGACATCATGCACATGTACATCAAATTCTCACATGTATGTCAATTTACGTATTATTGTATTATTTACTGCAAAACGACCAGGTTTTATAAGTAGTTCTGCATCTTGAAAATTTCCCTAAATAATCTACAAGAAAAGCATTTTGTTGTCAGTAAACACCAAGCCACTTCATTAAAAATATATAGCTCAATTTATTTGCTGGGATTCCATTGTTGGGCGAGGGCTTTCCTTTGTATTTACGTGTCTGAGTCTAATAGCATTCTTGCTTTTTCTTTTTCCTTAGCAAACTTGTCATTGTGTCTTTAAGGTATTTAGCAATGTGATGCTTATTCAAAGAGACCATTGTATATTTTGACAACACGATGTCTTCTGGAAAATTTGCACTAATCTTTTACCACACCAAATGCATATGAATATGAATGCCCATTTACATACTTCATTGATGGAATAGAGTATCATCTAATCTCTTAGATAAAAAATAATATGTAATTATTTGGCCATTTGTATTTCTTTTTCTATATACTATTCCTCGTGTTCTTTGCCTGTTACTTAATTTGTTTATGTGTTTCTAATTAATTTTTATCCATTTTTGCAAATTAGAAATGTAACCCTATCTCTGTAATATTATTTAGAAATGTTTTTCCGGCCGGGCGCCGTGGCTAATGCCTGTAGTCCCAGCACTTTGGGAGGCCGAGGCGGGTGGATCACGAGGTCAGGAGATCGAGACCATCCTGGCTAACGCAGTGAAACCCCGTCTCTACTAAAAATACAAAAAGTTAGCCGGGCATGGTGGCTGGCGCCTGTAGTCCCAGCTACTTGGGAGGCTGAGGCAGGAGAATGGCGTGAACCCGGGAGGCGGAGCTCGCAGTGAGCCAAGATCGCGCCACTGCACTCCAGCCTGGGTGACAGAGCCAGACTCCGTCTCAAAAAAAAAAAAAAAAAAAAAAAAAAAAAAAAAAAAAAAAAAAAAAATGTTTTTCCAATCTAGCTCTTACATTTAGGTCCACTTCAAGTTATCTGGTGCAACCATTACTTGTTTTTAATCTAGTTGATTTCTCATTGGCTGACAGTGATAATGTACATTTTACTACTATTTGTTTCCTGTTATATTAAGTTATTCTTGCACTTCTGGAACTTTTGATTTATGAATTGTATTGATTACATTTTCTGATGTTTATATATTTATGACAGTTATACACATTATGGAACGAATCTTTTTTGCTATAAAGTGAAACATTTTGTGTAGTTTACACAAATTAAGGTATGATATTAATATTATAACTATCTAAAATCTGTTAATATTTGTCTGGAAAGTCTCTTTCCAGGATTTATTTTCCTCAGCCACCTGAGTTTATTTTTTCTCAGTCACCTGTTCTATTCATGTCTCTTATAGCAAATAGATGCATTTTATTTTCTTTTTGTTTAGATTTCTTTTTTCAAATATCTGTTACTCCATTAGGTAAGAATATTTAATACTTTTTTTATTGTTGTAGCTTATATCAGGTGATAATTCTATTCCTGTAAAAGACAACTATGTGAGGTGATGAATATGTTAATTAGCTTAATTGTGGTAATCATTTCCACAATGTGTGTATATATCAAAACATCATATTTCACACCATAAATATATACAATTTCTGTCAACTATATCTCAATAAAACTGCAAAAAATGTTTAACGAAAATTAAAAATCATTATTTGGTTAATATACTTATGACTTTAAATTATATAGTTAAATCTGTTTCTTGGTTATCCACCTTCATCTTAAGAGGGAGGATTAATGTTTCATGGTTGTGGGAGAGAGGTTTGCTCTGACTTTGCTGTCAAATGTGATGGGGGAACTGGTACAGGACTTGAATCACTCATAGGTGCTTATGTACAATAACAAGCAGAAGTAAACTTAAAATTAAGTCAAAAATGGAGAACATAGAATCTGGATTTCCTTCCCAGTATTCATCCCACCTCCTTCATTTCCTCATACCTGCTGCCTTCCTAACAGATCTCTGTTTTATACAACTATATACCTTTGCTCCACACAGCAATATGACCCTGGGGATGCTGTGTCTGAACTCAGACACTGACCTTCTTATTCTATCTATGTCAGTCAGCAAATGCTATTACTTCCGATGGCAGCTATTAGTCTAATAGTGAGTAGGGAGATATGTCACTTCAATTTCATTGCAAGGAAGGAATAATGTTTCATAGTTGTGGGAGTGGTTTACTCTAACTTTAATGTCAAACGTGAAGGGGGACAAGGTACATGATTTGGATCACTTCTAGGTGCTTACTTATGAAAATAAGCAGAGGGTAAGTCAATGCTGACAATCATAGAACAAAGTCAAAAAGGTCTCGGGTCTTTGATGACATCATTGAGGTACAGATTGCTCACTGTATGGATGTCTCACTAACTGAAATTGTAGCTATGTGAGACGGTGAGTATCACAGTTGTTTAATCCAGTTTAGATAAGACTTTGTGAAAGTCAATACAAGCCTATTAGGATTAAATTATATTTATTTACATTATGCCTTTACCTTTACCTCACCATTTATATTACATTTTAATTTTTACATTATCAAATGTAAAACTTCAAATCTCAATGTGTTTCTTATTTCTCATAATTGTTTAACATACCTTTTCTTCCACGTGGACTTGATGCATATTCCTTGACTTTCTGCTGAGATTCCCCTTTTCATTTGGCTAAAGAAGTTGTTTCCTTGAGTGATTTTTTTTTGATATGAAGAAATGCCTATAATTGCTATACTTCTGAGAATCTATGCCACCTTTATATTTGAACAGGTATTTATCAGAAAATTTCTGTTTTCATCAGCACTAGATACTCATTCGTTCACTGTCTTCTGGAGCGCCTTTGGGCTTCAAAGTTTCCTCAAAAACAGCAACATCCCTCAAACAGATGCGACTTGAATTCTCATCCTCTTTCCTCTGTTCCAGTGGGACCTCCCATTTTCTGAAAGAAGAAGGAAATATGCATGAAAGTTCTGTTGGTGCTTATGTTAAGTAAGAGCTGACAGGTTAAGGATGTTTACCAGGAACCCTCAGCATGCCTCTTTTTCTGCTTCCCACTTGCCTTAGTTACTTTCTCATTAGTTTTCAGTGTGGCTACATTTCTCTTTAGCATTGAGGAAAATGAGTTCTGGGTGTTAATGGTCCTTCTGTTTTTCATCTCCTGCTGTCTTCTATGCAGGGAATTCCCAATGTATCAAACATTAGCATTTTACTTATTATTATTTTTTATAATGGGGCTTCTTGTTACGTTAAAATTCCAGTTTGTTCTCCTAGGGCCGCACTTTGCATGGTTTTTCAAGAAAGAAATTACTGGTCAAGTTTCCAGGATTTGCATATTCTACATTTTAGGTTTCTTAATGAAAAAATTATATAGTGCTGTGTTGAGCTGTAGGACGTAGTGCTTTGTCAATCCCAGAAAATCTCAGAAAACTATTTTATTTACTTAATAACAAATTATCTTTTAACCTTGATTCTTTTTAAAAATCCTTTTTAATATTTTATTTTGAAATCAGTTTACATTTTCAATAAACGCAAAAATTGTTCAAAGAGCTCCTTTATAGTCTTCATTCAATTATTAACATTTCTGAATCATCTGAGAGTAAGTTGCCGATGTGATGTTCCTTATTACTTCACAGGTCAGCATGTACTTCCTAAAGACGACGACACTCTTCTGTATAACCACAGCACAATCTCAACTCAGGAAAATAACACTGATGTTTTGGAATCTATCTAATCCATAAAATCTATTGAAATTATAGTGATTATGCCATTCATGTCATTTATAGGTTTGAATTCCACTCAAGATCACCTGTTGCACTTAGTTGTCTCCTCTCTTTAGTCTCTTTCAGTCTGGAACAATCTTTACTTTCATAATTTTGGCATTTTTGAAAAGTACAAGTCAGTTATTTGGACTTTCCCTCAATTTTCATTTGTCTGATGTTTCCTTATGACTTATACATTTATGCATAAGAAGTGATGCGGTATTCTTCTCAGTATATGGTATCAGGAGAAAACACAAGGTTAATTTGCCCTGTTACCAGTTTTTATTTAGGTAAAATGTAACCAATTGATTTAGATGGTATCTCCCAAGTACTGTAGTTGGCAAAGTTAATTTAAAAGTATATTGTGTTTATTAATTAATAATGTATTGATGAATATTAATTTAGTATTTTTAGGATATACTTTGAGACTATGTTAATATCCCGTTTCTCGTCAAACTTTTAAGATCCATTGATGATTCTTGGTCAATAATGATTGTGATGATGATTGTCAAATGGTGATTTTCTTTTTTAAAAATTATTTTTAGCTTTCTCAATGTATAATTGACACATAGGAATTGTATATATTTAAGGTACACAACTTGATGTTTTGATATATGTACAAATTGTGAAATGATCACCATAACCAGGCTAAATAACAATATCAGAATTTTGTAGAGACACCAATGCTTTTTTTTAAAATAACTGTGCTTACACTGCAGGAAAAGATGCGTAATATTTGCAGTCATGCTAAAGAGTACGCAGTAGATTCTGGTAGAAATGTTTTGTTCGTTTTCTCTAAAAATTTGTGTGAATACTCAGCTGAAAATGGCTGAGAAATACTAATTGTTCTTATCTTTTCTGGATTTATTTCTTTTTATGTTTTTCAAGAAAGGGGAAATCTTAAATACATCATGAATCCATTTTTTATGCTGGCTTTTTTAGGATTATCTACTTCCTCATTTTTATTTTATATCACTAATGTCACAGTAACTTTGAAACAGAAACAAAATAACCAAGCACCATATATAATTTATCTAGAGTTTTTAGATAATCATATCCATAATAACTAAATTTTAGTGCTTAGTATTTATCAGATACTATGTTTAGTGACTTGCCTCTATTATATCTTATAGTCTTCACAAAACCTCTATAATGTGCAAGTATCAGTGTTTCTATTCCTATCATGCAGAACAAGGACTAGCAGGTTGGGACTTTGTCTAAGGAATGCAAAGACAGTTTAATGGGAAAGTAATGATTTAACATTAAGACCACATGATTAAACCCAAACAAACAAAAAATAAGAGCTGGGTATACTTTAAAGGAGAGTACAAAAAAATAGTGATTATCAGCAAATGAATAAAAATCCTTTTTCCTACTAGCATTTTATATAGGTATAAATAATGTGTTTGCCTCAGGTGGAGAAGAGGTTGAAAAATCAAAAAGTCTTCCTGTGAAACTGAGGGTGGCCTATGGGACTTTAAGAAGAAGGAGCATATGACTTGATGAGGTTGAGAGGATTTTTTTCTTCCCATCACCAAGACCAAATATATGCTTTTCTTGGGGATCAGCCTAGGGGAAGGAACAAGCTTCTGACACTAATGAGATTTTGTGTGAGTCTGGGAGAAGATGGAAATTAGCCTATGCATGGCATTCTGGGAAAACTTGAAGGTTGTATGGAAAAATGAGCACATCTAAAAGATGCTTGGAAGCTCCCAAAGGAAGGAAGCATCTGTGTTTGGGTGAAGCTAATGGATTATGCAGCTCAGGCTTCTGTGCCACTATGTATTCTATACCCACAACATTTAATATCTGTATTAATAATTTTTTAGGTTCATTAAACTTCTTAATATAATGTTATATAAATTTATTCTATAAATCAGATGTTTTAAAGAATACCAATTTAAAAGTGGTGAAAATATACCACACGTTATTAATTGACAAAACTAATTACCTGGACAAATTCGTGTAAATGAATGTATTCACCTGAGTGCTATGTAACTATTAGTAAAAAGTACTTAACTGCTGCCTCTGCAAATGCCCCAGATCCCTACTTGAAATTCAGCTATTACCAATTCATTTTAAAAGGGTCTGTCTCCTTCTAATATGTTTGGCACATGCTGGCTGCCTGCATTACTTATGCATCCAGGAAAGCATATGCGTCTATACTTAGACGTTGCATTAACCATGTTTCATGCTTCTGCAAACTTGATGCTTTACTATCTGCCCTGCATGCACATGCTGGACATTCCTTGTTATGAACAACTTGTTGCTACATCTGAGTCACCTACCCTTGGCCTCTTTCCACCTCATCACCCCTCCCCTCTGACCCCACTTAATGGAGTCCTCCTCCTAGGGGTGCCTTTTTCAAATATAAGCCAAGTAATCCAGAACCTATACACCAACCACTTAATTTATCTAGATCTCACTGGGCCACTATCTTCCTGCCCTGATTACCCCAAGGTTGGGTACCAGGCAACTAAGGACAGCCACCATGCCCTAGAGCCTGTTGAAATTATTCCAGCTAGCCATTCCTAAACCTGCTTCCTCTGCCTCTCCAGTTTCTTCTCGCAGAAACCACAAAACAGGCTCTTGCTCATAGTTACTTGCTCTCCTTCTACCTTCTCCTGACTGGCTTTTGTGCTTCCCATGTGCCCTATACTCCCTCCCACTCCCCCACCTTGGTGACATGCCATGTCCTCCTGGGAACTGTGAGTAACAAACTGTCTTTTCAATAGGAGTGTTTCTTGATCTGTTGTCTTTAAGATACCTCACATTTTCTATGAATACACTGTATTTTAAAATAGCTATGTAATAGTTTTTCCTCTAGACTCTCCATCATTTTTGATTGATTTTTGCATTCTCTGTGTCATTCACATTTTTCTGATGTATTGTGGTGAAGGGTAGGACATGCAAGACTCCATTTTTGGGAAAAGTTCACATTTTGAGTTGAAAATTTCATTTAGAGAATTGTAGGATTACATGAACTTGTGAGGAATAATACAGTGACATCCGTGAACCCATTATCCAGTTTCCCTCAGTGCTAACACTTGCAAAACTAGAGTACACGATCACAAACAGCATATTGACTTTCATACAAACCCTGATCTTACTTTCTTTTTGTAAAAATGTAGTTGTTGATCATTACCCTAGATAAAAGCAGATATCCCAGTATGGAAGATAGGTCAGTTCCTGTGAAAACAGCTACTTCCTTCTCCTCTCTTCTCATGACAATTTTTATAGCAGATCAGATATATTTGTATTTAACACTTATAAGTTTGGTATCTTGACCAACATGCATTTCTGCAATTATAGCAACTCACGTTGTTAGTATAAAATCATTGTTGTATGATTACAAGAGAACGTACTTAGTGAAACCATAACTTGGACATTTATGCTTTACCCTCTAGATTACAAGGTCTTCACATTCCTGAATATTCAGTATATGAAGTTATCAAAGCAATTTTGGAATCTTTATCCCAGTAGTAAAAATATGATGTCAGACATTTACACACCACTTTATCTTTGCTAGGTGTCTTCCAGCAAGGTTTATGTATAACAACTTACCGTTATACATAAACCTCTTATTGACTTTCCACAAGGCCCTACATGAGTAGTTACTATTGACTTTCCACAAAGCCCTACATGAGTTAGTTACTATTATTTTTCAAACTTTGCAGGTAAGTAAATTGAAGCAGACAGACATTAATTAAATGTTTCCAAGGTTACAGTATTATAGCTGGTACATAAAGAACCAGGATTTGAATCCAGGCATTTTGGTTCCAGTGTCTGTGTTTATAACAGTTATTCTAAATTGCCTTTCCCATCATAGGGAAGATTTTCATATTGTGACCCTGAACTAGCTACTCTTCTTTGCTTACATTTAACTAATTAGTCCCCTCAACAATCCTAGAAGATGTGTATTTTATTATTATTATTATCTTCATTTTATAGATGGGGAAAGCGAGGCACAGAGAAGTTAAGTAACTGGGTTATAGCCATATAGCTGGCAAATGATACAGTTAGAATTTGAATTTGGTTATTGTTTCTAGACTTCCTATGCTTAACCACTGTTACAAATTAGTACTACCATATCAGAGAGTGTCTAGCAGGCATGACTTTGGTATGAAAGCCTTTACTATAAATTTGGATGATTAGAGACCCTTAACCTGATTCCCTTTAGTCACCAGATAACAAGACAATACTAAGTTAATTGTTAATTTTATTTGTACAGAATCTATTAAGAGTCCAAGATGAGCTTACATTTCATATCACATTCATTAATGAATAAGAGAGATTTGAACAATGCAGTTCTTCTGCATAGCCTTATTCTGAAATAAACTTTGTAATAGAAGATTATTTCCATCTAGTAGGTCCTTCTTATGGGGTTATGTATATGGAAATCTAATGGTTACAGAACAATCTTTGGTTATAATCTTTAGAGGTATAATCCTAGCATTTGAGTTTAACTGACAGCATGCAAGATTCCTTATCTTGTAGGGTGGAGTTTAGAGGAAGCTTCACGTCTAACAGAGGAGACCCAGACACACTACTTTCTTGGTCTATGCAGTTGGTTATGTAACTATTGAAAATTAGCCTTACAGGATTTAATGGTGAATATGTGAATTGAACTACTATGTAGAAAGACTAAATTTTCAAAACTATATTCAGGCATATTTTAAATTAATGTATTGACATTGACTGGAGACGAATTTCAACTTTAGGTATTTGTCCCCACCTTCTCAATTTGTGACTTTTTACGAAGTGTTTTGAGATCTTGAGTACATATCTGATTCAATCTAAACATAGTGCTGCCCATGCTGACTGGAATTCCAGAAGGAGAGAGAGAAGAAAACTGATACTAATTTTGTAACCCAAACTATACTCAGAATTTAACATTCAAAACAAATTTCTCAGCCAGGTGTGGTGGCTCACAGCTGTAATCCCAGCACTTTGGGAGGCTGAGGCGGGTGGATCACTCGAGGCCAGGAGTTCAAGACCAGCCCTGCCAACATGGCAAAACCCTGTCTCTACTAAAATACGAAAATACTAAAAATACGAAAATTAGCCGGCATGGTTGTGCATGCCTATAGTCTCAGCTACTAGGGAGGATGAGGCAGGATAATTGCTTAAACTCTGGAGGCGGAGGCTACAGTGAGTCAAGATCATGCGTCTGCGCTCCAGCCTGGGTGAAAGAGTGAGACTCTGTTTCAGAAACAACAATAACAACAACAACAGCAACAACAACAAATTTCTATCTCCTTAGGGACTTTGTTATCAGTATTGTACCCTTATGTTTTGCTCCTTTTCTGATTTGTCTACTCATGCCACAGTTGACATATTTGGTGTCACGGATTTAGGAAAACAGAAAGAATCTCCATCTTAGTAAATTTTTTTCCTCTTTGGCTTGATGTAAGCTATAACAATATTAGGAAAAATGCAAACATAAAAGCTGAAAATTCCTCATGTTATCAGTTTTTGAGAATGCTTACTGAAAATGAGTTTTTCTTTGTTTTGTATGAAACTAACATAGGACTGTCCACACTGATAATACAATACTTCCAAAATCTGTAATAATTGCCTTATTTTCTATACTGAATGCCAAATAAAAGGCCATGTAAATGATTTTTTCCTTGTGAGTTTCTGAATATCCATTTTTGAATACGCTAAAAGTAGAAATGGAAGATATATGATTTTAGTGAGTTGAAAATAAATGTTTTTTTTTTTGGAAATCTGATGTACTTATAATACTCAAAAGCTAGATCAAAGGTTTCTTTTTTAATACTATCTTTGAACAGAATTGGTTGTTAGCATTGTTTGATGTAAAGGAAACAATATCTTTGGGAGAAGCAAATGAAGGTTGGTAGCTAACTTTTTTTGCTCTTCAAAGTAAATAAGTGTCCTGGGAAATATTCTGTTCCTAGAATGCTATAAAAATCAGATGGAGCCAGGTTTCAGGTGGTTACTTCCTCTGAGTCCAATCTATAATCTCATTACAGTTGCCTGGTTTTGCTATTTGTGTTTTTAGCCTTCTTTTGGCATTAATAGAAAAAACAGCAATAAAATCTACACATTAAAAGCTAGACCTACTTGTAATGTGGCTTACAGTTATTACTCCTCATCCAAAGACACTTCTCTACAAATCTGAATAGTGTATGTTTAATTTAGCAATTGATAGCAATTTAATTGAAATGTTTTCTTAGACACATTGCTTGTCCAAAGATTTTATATTACATCTATACTGCAAATTTTACACTTTAATTCTCATTTATATGCCATATTTATGCCAATAAAATTATTTTTCAATTAGATGGTTAGAGTAATGTGTTCTATTCATTTTCATTTAAATTAAGAAGATAAAAGAACTAACTACGCAGAAATTTTCTAGCTGCTGCACTAGACTTCTATATGCCAGGCATATCTTTTGAAGTTAATGAGCTCCCACATATTAGTAGTTAGTTAATTTTTTTTCATGGCTAGAATATTTTGCATAGCACTGAAAATGCCATTAAGCCACTTAGTGCTTTAAATGGAGTCATCCTAATTGATGCCTTTCAAAATATTAAAACAATTTCCCTGCTTTTATAAAAGCCTGGGTACGAGAGCACAGTTGAGTTGAGTTGCTCCAGTCATTTTAAAAGTCATTGAACATGGATCATTTTGGCAGACAGGACAGCTTGAACTGATGCAAAATAAATTCCTGTTACTTGAAGACAAGATGTTTGGTAAGTTTGAGAGAAATCCTTTGTCCCAGATAAAAAGAAAGCTATATCTACCACTGAAAGTATGCTTTCCATTTAGTTTATTTCAAAAAGGGATAAATGGATTTAAATAGCCCAAAGTATTGAATACTTTTAGAGAAGACTGCAGAGATCACGCTGATCTAATTAACAAAATTGCATGCTTTTTATATGCTAGCTTCCTTTTTATTAGCCAATTGGAAATAATATATTATCAAAGGGAAACCCACTTTTCTTTTTTATGTAGTACTCGTGCCCTATGTTCACTGGTTCTACTATTACAGTTCTATAGTAGGCTTTTTGAATATGGACGCGTCCCTTAATTCTTTGCTCCAGTTCACTTCTCTGGATAAAGGAGACAGCACCCCACCCTACAATTTAGTAAATTACTACTCTGAGAGACTGAATGTCACCCTAGAGCATTAAACCTCAAAGACTTAATGCACTTTCCAAGAACTAACTGAGAGTTATTTGCACACTGGAACCTTCAGGCAAGCCGAGGAAAAGATAACTAATGAAAGTGTTCATAAAGCACTTAGTACTGTAAAGTATCAGGATACTTTTATGCAGTGTTGAATGATGCACTCAGAGCATCTGGGGTAATTTTATTTAAACAGAAATTTCTAAACAGTTATCTAAAACCATTTCATTTTGACCCCTTGTCAAAATGGGGCACTGCTCAGTACTATTGATGAGCCACCTGTGTCGTGAGCTCTGCAGGTCCACTGCAAGTCATACTGATCAGATTTAACTGGTCCCTGGTGATCAGATTTAACTGGCTCTGCTTACTTTTTTTTCTCCAGACAAGTCCATTTCAAAATTTCCACAGTTAACTGTACTAGAACTTCTCTTACTGTCTTCCTAAATAACGCTTATCAGAAAATGAGCTCATTATCTGCATTACTGAGCTTATAGACATTAGTATAACCTATTTCAAGTATCCTTTTTGTTTTTCTCTTATAAAACTATTTGTAGATTCTCACACAGCTTTTCGTACTTTGTTTCTCTCTTTAAAGTATTCTGACTTCTTTTAAAGACAAACTCCTCCCCCTCGGGTCTTCATTAAGTCTTTACTCCACCCAGTATCCACTTTAAACAAAATTGGACATTCTTTACGATGTCTCTCGTATGAACTTTTCTCTTCTGAATATAATACTCTTACCAAGCCATTCCTCAAATTACACTTAATCATTCTGACTATTCTTGTTAATGCACTATTAAAGTTGCTGTCTCCACTATGTCACCAGCAAATAAGGAGGCAAACAATCAATATGGAAGTTGAATATCAGGTTTTAGATACATATATACTCCCAATAGTGTCTTAATTTAAAAAGAGATTTCTAAACAGTTATCTAAACCCATTCTTCTCATTTAAATCACATTAAGCTATGACAAATTCCCATTATTGGATCTTATTAGTCAGAAGTTGTTGAATAGATAAACAAATGAATCAATGTAAAATAAACAGGGCTTAATGTCATAAGATCTGATCTTGTGTCGGGACCATATCAAGAGAGAAACTTTTGGTGAATGTTCAAACCCAGAAGAGGAAGATAGGTGCAGAGAGGATTTTGGTTTTTTTTTGTTGTTGTTGTGGTTTTTGTTCTTTTGGCTTTGGTTAATTATATTTTGTGACATAACTTGCTTATAATGATGTAGCAGAGAAACTGGGTAGATTCATTTTTCTATCATTGCAAAAATTTTCAAGTATCAGTACATAGGTCTCCCAGCAGACCTATGCAAGACCTACCCTTGTACAAGGTGCTACTTGGAACAGAATCTGGGATCGTGTGTCGAGGAGCCTATAGTTCAGATACTATTTTCAGAACAATTTTGCCTTAAATGCCAACAGATCTTTGGAAAGTCTGTCTCTACCCCTCCTAATTTTAGGTAGCAGAAATCCAAGGGCAGAAAGAGGAACTCCAAGACTTACCCATTTTGGTAGAGTGATTACAAAAAATAACTCCAAATGTTTACTTCTTCTTCTATCTAAACTTCTTTCCATATGGCCCTGCAGATATGCTAATCAAGAGGTAGAATCCATTACCCCACCCTGAATTGGTGATTTCTTTGACCAATAGAATTTGGCAGAAGTGACGATGTACTTGCTATGTGACGATGTACTAGCCTCAAGATGCCTTGCACATTTTTGTTCATTCTCAAAATCCTGCCACTGCTACGTGAACAACTCCAGCTAGCCAGTGCCATTCTTGCCTAGCCTGTAGACTATGAATTTGGTGGATGATTCTTATATTCAATGAATGTATTTATGAGGCTCAGTGGTATTGTCTCTAAAATTGCATTAATAATTATTTCAGAAATTTCTCTGGTTATTAAGTGAGAAAATAAGTATAAGCATCAGCCACTTAGTGGCTATTATAATAGTTTTTATTTTCCATTTTGCCTCTGAATATTTTACTTTTCTAGTTTGTTATTCAGTTCTGCTAAACTCATGTATATTGAATTTTATTGCCTGGATCTGGGCTGAGTCCAGATGTACATAATATATAAAACTCATGCTTAAGAATCTTACCATCTTTAACACAAACTGTTAATTAGGCCACTATATTGGCTACATCACCAGTGATCTCTCAATTTTATTGCCAACTATATTCTCTATGTTGTCATTAAGTTATTTTATTTAATAACATATTTCACCCTATTCCTTCTCTAATAATAATAATAATAATATAACCAAAAAGGCCACATTGATATCTTATTTGTTCCATATTTCCAGAGATTAGTCTCCAAATTTCTTAGAGCACACAAGGTCTTTCCCAATTTTCTAAACTATTCTCTACCTTCTCTAAACTTTGGGTCTTTATCAGTAAAACAAACATAAAATCTTCTCCTTATGTTTGATAATTAAATATTATAAAACATATAATTCAATTGAGTGTCTTGCCTAAGTGCTCAATAAATGGTAGCTATTTATACTGCTTCTATTCTAATATTATTATATTTATGTAGTTACTTATTTTACCATCACTGATATTTGTACACTTTGGCTGCTTTTATCTCTATTATATGTTAACGGTGCCTTACTTTTCCCATAAAAGTGAACTTTCCATAATCTTGACAAATTAGGTTATTTATTTTTAAAGAATTTTCACATGATATTTCTTCTGAATTCTTTTTCCAGTCCTCTTTTTGTGTTGTGATTTTCATTCCTCTTCAAGTCAGTTCAGATATTACTTCCTCCCAAATGAGAAGAGTTTCTCATTCTGGAGGCAGAGCTAGATATTCTAATACTAAAACCCCACAGTGTTTTTCCTTCTATCTCTATAACGTCATTTAAGACGTTCTACTGCAATTTATTTATGTTCATATGTTAGTTTATGTATATTTTAAGTGTATATACTTTTTCTCAATAATTTTATTTTCCCATTTTTTACAACATAATATTTGTTCAACAAATATTGTAAGAATAATTCAGAACACTTGAGAATTATTCTATAAAATGCACCAATATTCCCTACTAGTATTTAATTTTTTAAAAATTTTGCTACTTTTTCCTAATTGTACATTGCATTTTCACAACTCTCTTATTCTTTCTTAGGTCTCCTCCATGTTAAGGAGAAATAAGCTCATTAAATAATTTCAAGATTCTGTAATATTTCTTTCCCATTGTTCGAACAAAAAACATTCACAGTCCAGTTAGGAATAATTTTATTTACATTTTAAGAGCTTAAAGTGACACTTTCAATTTGTTTCTTTAAAATAATTATTGTCTTTTTTTGTTAATGTGATTTATTGCTGTAATTATAAAACTTCCATATTTTTAATAAAAAGTATAAACAAATATGTTTATATAAGTGGAGAATTTTACTGAGATAAATATCTGCTTTGGTTTCAAGAGTTTTTTAGTAGCCTTTAACAAAAATAGGTTTAATATTCCCTTCAGCTTGACTAAACTTTAGACAATTCTTCCGACTGTAAGCTCCTAAAAAAATTAGTGTAATTTTTTCATTGGCAGCATTTGACATAGTATAAAAAAGGAAAATTTCTGATTTTTAATTCATACTGTGGGTGTATTAGTTTCCTATTGCTACTGTAACACATTCTGACAAAATTATTGGTTTAAAACAACACAAATTTATTCTCTTACAGTTTTGAAGGATAGAAGTCTAAAATCAGATTTATCGAACTAAAGTCAAGGTGTTGGCATGGATGGTTCCTGCCAGAAGTTCTGAAGGGAGAATTTTCTTTTTAAACATTAGACTGGTTTTATTTATGTTTGCCCCATTAAGAAGTGGGCAGAGAACATGAACAGACACTTCTCAAAAGAAGACATACTTGCAGCCAGCAAGCATAGGAAAAAAATATTCAACCTCACTAATTATTAGAGAAATGCAAATCAAAATTACAATGAGATACCATCTCACACCAGGCACAATGGCTATTATCAAAAAGTAAAAAAAATAACAGGTGCTGGTGAGGTTGTGGAGGAAAGGGAATGCTTGTACACTGCTGGTGGGAATGTAAATTAGTTCAGCCACAATGGAAAGTAGTTTGGCAATTTCACAAAGTATTCCAAGCAGAATTATCATTTGACCCAGCAATCCCATTACTGGGTATATACCCAAAGAAATATAAGTTGTTGTACCATGAAAGGAGCATCTTCTTCCTTCCCTTTCCCAGCTTCTAGAGATGCACTCCCTACATTCCTTGGCTCATGGTCTCTTCCTCCATCTTCAAAACCAGTAGCATAGCGTCTTCAAGTCTTAATTTCTTTCCATCATTAGGTGACCTTATCCTCTCTGATCTCCTGCTTCCCTCTTATAAGATCTTTGCGATTACATCGGACCCACTTGGACAATCTATCATAGTCTCTCCATCTCACAATCCTTAATTCGATTACATCTGTAATGTCCCTTTACCCTGTAAGCTAACATTCACAGGTTTAGACGTTAGCATGTGGATATCTAGATGGACATTATTCAACCTAACACAGTGGGTTAAACAGTCCTTAAGACTACACAAATAAACTCAAATCTGAAAATTATTTCATACCTAATTTACAAAAAGGATTAATTTTAACATATATTTTCTGAGTACTTCTGAAAAAACTCATTATATAAATGAGAAGACCAATGAGTAGTGTTAAGAATTCAAACTTTGCTTTGCATATTAGTCAAACATTTATTTCTCTTTGTAACTAAAACACAAATGCACAGATGCAAGTTCTTTCATGTCACCTAGGATTTTGCAATTTGGAAAATTAGCTTTTATGTTGTTTACCAACTAGGGCTTGTACGACTTTTAGGATAAGATCACTTTCTTTTTACATGACATTGTTGAGAAATACTGATAAGAGTAGTGATCAAATTGCAGAAATACAGTAATATTTTTAATTGTTTCCATCTTAATACTTGCTAAGTGTATTAATATTATTGTAATAGAGATTGGGCTTGACAGAGCTCAGTAATTAAGTTATAACTAAATGCACAACTTCTTGCTTACTTTTATACATGCCAAAGGGAATCAAATCTTTCTAAATGAAAAGAGAATTTGCAGATCAATCTTTTATAATGTAAGCTTGGTGATGTGAGTCCTGTATGACAACATTTTAGGGGCTCCCCATCTACTCAGAATAAAAAGGCAAAGTCCTGAAAATGGCTTTCCAGGGTTTCTGTGATCCGTGCACTAGCTGCTCCAAGCCACACCACTTTCTCGTTCTTTCACCTACATGTCAGGCATGTTCCTGCCTTGGGACATTTGATCTTGCTATCTCTGCCAGAACACTCTTTTCCCAGATAGCTTCATGGCTCACTGATTCTTCACCATCAAGTCTTTGTCAAAACGTCATTTTCTTCATGAGATCTTCCTAGACCAGACCACATTATTTAAAAATTCATCTCTGTAGTTTCATATATCTATTAGCTCCTATTTATTGCTGAGAAGTATTGCATTATATAATTATACCACAGTTTATTCATTCTTCAGTTGATGAAGTTATGGGGTATTTCCAGCTTAAAATTACTTTTAATAAAGCTGCTAAAAACACGTTTGTGTAATCTGTTTGTAGACATAGGTTTTTATTTCTCCTACATAAATATCTATACCAATTAGGATTCTCCAGAGAGACAGATCCAACATGATGTACGTGTGTGTGTGTGTGTGTGTGTGTGTGTGTGTGTGTGTGTGTGTGTGTGTTTGCGAGAGAGAGAGCGCAAGATTTTGAGGGATTGGTTTATGACTTGTGGAGGTTAGGTAAGCTCAAAATGGGTTTTGGGTTAGGCCAGAAGGCTACAGACTCAGGAAAGAGTTGCAGTTCAAGATCAAGGGGAGTCTGCTGGAAGAATTTTTTCTTGTCCAGGGAAATTTAGTCTTTGTTCTATTAACACATTCAAGGGATCGGATGAGGCCCACTCACATTATGGATGGTGATAGACGTTACTCATAGTCCACTGATTTAAATGTTAATCTCTTCCAAAAAACCACCTCCACAGAAATATCCAGAATGTTTGATCAAATGTCTGGGCACTGTGGCCCAGCCAAGTCAACACACAAAATTAACCATCACAAGCAGTTTTATTTTTTTCTTCCCAATCTTTATAACTTTTTGGGGGGGTTATTTAATCACATTAGTCACAGCCATCAGCCTAATACTGAATGGAAGAAGTAAAATCAGACATCCATACACCCTTCCTATCTTATAGGGAAAATATTCAATATTTTGCATTGCATATTACATTAGCAACACATATTTATAGATGCCCTTTATCGTATTATGAATGTTCTCTTATATTCCTAACTTGCTGAGGCTCTTTTTTTTAAATAAGCAATGGGTGTTAAGTTTTGCCAAACTTTTTTTTCCATCTAGTGAGATGATTATATAACTTTTTCTTTATTCTTTGAATGCATAAATTGCTTTGATTGTTTTTAAACATTGAAAGAACTTTGCATACCTGAGATAAACTTCAGCTGAACTTGAGGTACTATATTTTTCATATATTGCTAAACTTTATCTGTTCATAGATGTAGCATCTATGTTCATATAGGACTTTGCTTTGCAACTTTATTATTATTATTTTATTATAATGCCTTTGAATTGGGCAACGTTTTCCCCTCCTTTATTTTTCCAGGGTGAGTCATTTGTGATCCTGTGCACCCCTCATAATCCCCCTCTCTTGGTGAAGGAACTGAGCCAAGATGGGAACATTGGGGTCACCTCCATAGGAATATGAAATTGAGCCTCAGAGAAGACTGTCAGGCTCTTCAGTAAGTGCTGGGAACTTCAAGAACCTTGGTTTGAACCATTGGGGAATCCACCCATCAGAAATGTTGATACGTGCGGCTCATATTAGTGATAAGTGACCCTGAAGCATAGAGAAAGAGAAACAGAGAGAGCCCCCCCAGAATGCTTTCTAGTTTCAAGGTCCAATTCCTTCTGAGGAACTGTCCTTTCTCTCCTCAAGGTTCAGTTTTGCCTGAAACTAACTGTACTTTATCTTCTTGTTTCATAAAATTTCCCTAAAGTTTATAATAATCCCTCGTTTTGGGGGAAGAAAAATATGCAATACATTAGTTTTTACTAGGGCTACCAAGAGAGGCTCATTTAAGACAAGTTGTATTCTAATGCAAGGTATTTAATAGTCATACATGTATCTTTTCAAATGTAGCTCAGATTATGAGAGAAACTATTTGCTAAATTAAGAACATTTTAGAATTTTTTATGGTTATCAAAATCTCAATTAACTACAATTATTGCATGACCGCTCTACTATATGAATCTGTAGTTGTCATTTATAAATTTGTTTATACGTCTTTTTTAAAGTTTGATTTGAAATTTGTAAAAATAACTTAGAGGTATGAAAAATTCTGGGAAAAAGGAATTAGAAATAATGAGGCTGACAACCATTCTAGCAGCTTGTGCAAATTTATTAATATTCCATTTCTTTAATCAAATAGCTGACTGATACAAAGTGATTAGGAAAGCCTGGTTAAATTTTATTCACATCACTATATTATGTGCAGAGTATGCTTTATTATATAATATGTATAAATTCAATGTGTAACCTTTGTATTTCATAAGTATATTTTTATCCCTAATGGAACCTTGTAACAAAATGCTTTAAGGTGCTGTGAGACTTCGGGATACTCAAACGGCTTTAGATTTAAATTAACTTAGGAATTGATTTCCACTTCAAGCAGTGTTTTACTAAATACAAAAATATAGATTGGACTACTTCCTCAAGAAAGAATCTTCAAATTGATAGGTCTAACTTTTACCCTTGAACACTGTTTCAGCTTACACTGTTTATACACGGAAAGCTCCAGGGCACCTAATTTAGTGGCAAATGCAAATACACAGACCTCTATGGTAATTTCTTCTCCAGCTAACAGGCAAATAGTAAAAACTCTCTCTTACTCTAGTGGCTGTTATCCACCTTCAGCACTGAAGTGGGTGAGGATTTGTAAAAGAAGAGAGATTTTCTCTTTCGTGTACCAGGAGAACACTCTGAAAGAGTTAAAAAGCAAAAACCTGAATTTGGAGTATTTATATCTTTGTATCACGGTGGGTTTATTTACATGGAATCATTTTTAACTTGTGATTTTATAAATAATGACATTATTAGCATTGATTCAGTAGATACTTTTTTCTAGGTCTATTCCTTTTAATATTCTATATGTTCTTTCTAATTTTATATTCTCCAATGGCATTAGTAGCCTCTGTTATTGTAAGAACTATCGGACTGATTAGTTTTGGAGTTAAAAAAACTATCTGGAGATTTTGTTTTAAATTATCTTTGTAAGCTAGTATTTCTTATATTCAGTGTTTCAAAAATTGTACCTATTAGTGTAAAATATATGTAAAATAACAGTCAACTTTCTTTTTAGGATTTACTTTTTTAAAAACTGGATTGAAAAAAAAGGTTTCCAATGGATATTTCCTAAATAAATTTAATTCATTTTCACTATTGAATTTAAATATACACTGAATATTATTATCAAAATATTTTAGATTTTCCTTAAAATTCTTCCTCATCCGTATTTGAGCTCGTTCTTTTAGAAGTCAGCTTGGGAGAGGGGCTGGTTAATGGGAGTCTGGCTAGAGGGGCTGTGGGGATTTGGGACTTCAATTCCTCTTATTTCAAAGTCAAGCAAAGGTCTGCTGTTTTATGTGGTCAGAATAGAATGGGAGACGAATGGTTGCTTGTACTTTTTACTGGGGTCTCAGTCACCAAAGTGACTGCTTCATACACATTAAAGAAAAAGACCCCAGCTTACTGAGAATTTATCATAGAGGTGTTACTTGGAATGTTTCTGGTTGTGGAATCTCTGGGAAGCCTAGAGACAGATAATACATAGTTCATGAAGGGACCTTTGGGAAAAGGGAAGTGCAATGAAACAATGACAGAGGATTGCAGGAAGACATATATATGGTCTTTATTTGAACTCTGGTTCATTTTCTGTCTGGAATGATGACTCTGCCCAGGTTTCTACTTCAGCCTCCATGACATAAGAAATGTGAGCTTCCCAAATTGTCAGAAAACAAAAATTTCACATACAGCAATTATTAAATTTCTTTCATTAGATAATTCTATCCTTAAAAGCAGTTCTAAATAGATTTCAAATGTAAAAAGTATAGATTTCAGTTCTTTGCACACCACACAAATATTCCATGGCAGTTTGTTTATTTTTTGGAAAACATTTTTTTAATTGAGTTTTGACTTACAGCAAAGTTGCAAACAGTGTACAGAGAGGTTCTATTTACTGCTTATCTAAAATCCATTAATGTTAACATTATATAACTGTAGTACAATTATAACTTCAGGAAATTAACATCCCTTATTCAAATTTTACCAGTTTTCCCACTAATGTCTTTTTTTTTTCTTCTATTCCAAGAGCCTATCTAGGATCCTGTGTTGCCTTTAGTTCTTATTTCTCCTTAGCCACCTCCAATTTTCAATAGTTCCTCAATGTTTCTTTTTCTTTCATGATCTTAACACTTTTGGAGAATTATCAGTTATTTTGTAGAATGTCCCTTAATTTTGGATTTGTCTGATATTTTCTTGTGATCAGAATGAGAAGAGTTTATGCAGTGTAGGCAAGAATAACAAAAAAAAATGTATATCCTTTAGGTGGATCTTACAAAACAGTTCATGAGATCGATGTATCTTATTTGGGATATTAATCTGGACCAATTGGTTATGATAGTGTGTACTGGGGTTCTCAACTGTAAGCTACTAAATTAACCTGTGTAGAAAAGAAAGATATCTTGCGGGAGCTACTTTGAGACTATTAAATCATGTTTCTCTACCAACTTTCACCTAATTTTAATATCTGTAGGTGGATCTATGAGTTAAAACACAGTATTGTCAGTATTTTGTTGATCAAATTGTTTAAGCTTTGGCCCATTGTGAAATCCTGTTTTTTAAAATTATCTTTTTACTTTTTGGTAGCCCTACTTATTCTGGACTCATTTTGTGTCTTCACTCTCCCAGTCCTGGAATCAATAATTTCTCCAAAGTGGCCTGCCTCCTGCTGTTGGAGAATGATGTTTAGAAACCAACATTTGGGCACTCAGTATTCTCACTACTGGGGTGTCATTTTTGCTAAGTACTCTCACTGCTCAGAACTAGAAAATATGTGTATGTATACTGATCCTTACATATACAGACATCTGTATCTATGTCTATCATCTATCTATCTGTCCGTCCGTTTACCTACCTCTCTTCTAATTATCCGTGTGTATATTAAATACCATGAGTTGATACGAATACCCATGATCCAATTCAATAGAGTTCATTTTACGCTTCCTTTCTCCATATTAGTGAAAATTTGGAAGATAGACTGAACTCAGGAATGACAAATATGTTTTTGTTCTGAGCAATTACATAAATTTAACTTACTCTTTTTATGTTTTTCCTGGAGGAGCTGTTGGTGTGGAAAAGATTGAGAATTGGAAATCTATTTTTGGACATTGGCATGTTTCATGTTAGCTGACTATTACATGGCCAAGCAGAATTGTTAGGCAGGGAGCAGGCTATTAATCAAATTCTCAGGGGGAGACATTAAGGCTGCAGATAAATTTTGGAATTTGCAGAATATAAATGGTACTAATTGTAGGACTAGATGACATTACTTAGGGAGGAAGAGCTGATAGACGAAAAGAAAAAAAATTTAGATTAGGCCCTTGGCAACCCAACATTTAAGGACTAGGGAGAGTAAGAAGACAAAAAAAAAAAAAAAAGATGCTGGGAAAGAATTGCCAGTGAAGCAGGGATGAAATAAAGTATGTCTGATGTACCAGAGTAAAAGGAAGAAAGGCTTTTAAGAGGATATTATTAGTCTTTTGTCAAATGCAGCTGAAATGCCCAGCAAAATGAAGATCAAGAAAAGACCACTAGATTTAACCAGATGGTGTTCATTGACTAAGAAAATACACTGTAGAGCTGATTCCAATTTACTTTTTCCTCTTTATTCTGCCATTCTGATGGCTTTGCTTTTTGCAAAGATAGTATATCTTCATATTTTCTCTTTTAACATATTTTCTCCTCCAGTCCACGGTTTCCAGGATGTTCAGGGACATGCTGATAAGAAACCCACAGTCATAGCTCACTGGGATGAGAGTTTTGGCTTTGTGAAAGGTACCATCTACTTTTGACAAATATGTGTGTTCTAAAACTTTGCAAGTCATGTGTCTGCTCTTGAACTTGTCCATGAACCAGGCCCGATTTTCCTGCATTGGGCGACCATGTTTTCATAGATTTTACTTTGCTTGTTTCTATTTCCTACTTTCACTAAAAATGTAGTTCCTTTTCTATTTATTTTTCTTTTCTATCTTTTTTTAAATTTTTAAGTAGGTTTCAAAGAGAAAAGAATAACAGACACATCTTTCATTCATTGTGTCTCTACCTACTTGAAATACAGTCATATTAAAACACAGATCTGTTTTGTTTTGTTCCTTGTTGTAATATATTACCAGAAACAAGACTTGGAACTTAGAAGTAAAACTCAAAAAATATTCATTAAATAAATGAAATGATACTTTACTGAAATTTCAATTAATTTTAAATCACATTTTAAAATTCTATGATCTGTATTCTTTTCTCCAGATGTGATATTCTCTTGAATATTTGGAGTTATTAATATTTTTAATTTTTTAAAATTCTGTTTGTTCTATAAAATCTTTTATTTGGTGCTGATTTTTCTGTTTCAATTTGGTACATTTCTTTCAACATCTTGGTTTTCTTCAAATGTTTGGTGCTTCAAGGCTATCTGTTAATTTTCACATTTGAGTTGTCCTAATAATCTATATCCATTGTTTATTGTATCCTATCTAGAGATTATGAGATAGAGGAAGATATAATAACAGGCTATCTTTTAGTCACCTAGTAAGTGTCTTGGTTAACAGATCAACTAGTGTGGTATCACAGTACTTGTGTCCAATAGCTCTTATTCTTAACAATGGCCCTAAAGCTCAGGAGTAGTGATGTAAAACACTTTCTCATTGTTTTACTCTTTGCAGTTTCAATTACCCATGATCAATTATGGTACAAAAGCATTACATAGAAAATTCCAAAAATAAATAATTCATAATTTTAAAGAGCATGCCATTCTGAGTAGCATGATGAAATCTCACACCATCCCCCTCCATCTCACCCATGGTGCGGATTATAGCTTTGCCCAGGGTATCCACGTATGAGGAAAGTGCAACATAACAGCGTCAGTCCTGTTACTTACTACACAGTTTTTGGATCTGTAGAATGGATATTACAATAAAACCCTGTCACCCAGGGCTGTAGTGCAGTGGTATGATCTTGGCTCACTGCAGCCTCTGTCTCCCAGGTTCAAGCAATTCTCCTGCCTCAGCCTCCCAAGTAGCTGGGATTACAGGAGTGCACCACCAAGCCCTGCTAATTTTTTTTTTGGTTTTTGTTTTTTTTGGGAGAAATGGTGTTTTGCCATGTTTGCCAGGCTGGTCTCAAACTCCTGACCTCAGGTGATCTGCCTGACTCAGCCTCCTGAAGTGCTGGGATTACAGGTGTGAGTCACCATGCTTGGCCTCAGTTCAACTTCTTTAACATTAGATGCACACCCTATGCCAGGTTGAAAATGATGTAGAAGACATGCCCATTGGCCACAGGCACCAGCAAGTCCTGTTTCACTCTCCTTGAGCAAACAGTGGACACTGTTGACTCCAAAACAAAAAAGGAAGAGAATCAGCTCATTGTTGTGGGAAGTCAGGGACCCCAAACAGAGGGACCAGCTGAAGCCATGGCAGAAGAATGTGGATTGTAAAGATTTCATGGAAATTTATTAGTTCCCCAAATTAATACTTTTATAATTTCTTATGCCTGTCTTTACTGCAATCTCTAAACATAAATTGTGTAGATTTCATGGACACTTATCACTTCCCCAATCAATACCCTTGTGATTTCCTATGCCTGTCTCAACTTTAATCTCTTAATCCTGTCAGCTGAGGAGGATGTATGTCTTCTCAGGACCCTGTGATAATTGTGTTAACTACAAAAATTGTAGAGCATGTTGGTTTGAACAATATGAAATCTGGGCACCTTGAAAAAAGAACATGGCAACAGCAATGTTCAGGGAATAAGAGAGATAACCTTAAACTCTGACCGCCGGTGAGCCGGGTGGAACAGAGCCATATTTCTCTTCTTTCAAAAGCAAATAGGAGAAATATCACTGAATTCTTTTTCTCAGCAAGGAATATCCCTGAGAAAAAGAATGTGCCCCTGAGGGTGGGTCTCCAAAATGGCCCCCTTGGGTGTGGCTGCCTTCTATGGTCGAGACTGTAGGGAAGAAATAAGCGCCAGTCTCCCATAGCGCTCCCAGGCTTGTTAGGATGAGGAAATTCCCGCCTAATACATTTTTGGTCAGACTGGTTGTCTGCTCTCAAACCCTGTCTCCTGATAAGATGTTATCAATGACAGTGGTGCCCGAAACTTCATTAGCAATTTTAATTTCGCCTCAGTCCTCTGGTCCTGTGATCTCACCCTGCCTCCATTTGCCTTGTGATATTCTGTTACCTTGTGAAGCACGTGATCTCTGTGGCCCACACCCTATTTGTACACTCCCTCCCCTTTGAAAATCACTAATAAAAACTTGCTGGTTTTGCAGCTTTTGGGGCATCACGGAACCTACAGACATGTGATGTCTCCCCTTGACTCCCAGCTTTAAAATTTCTCTCTTTTGTACTCTGTCCCTTTATTTCTCAAACCGGCCGACACTGAGGGAAAATAGAAAAGAAACTACGTGAAATATCAGGGGTGAATTTTGCCCGATATCTGGCTGAATTTCCCCTGATAGCTCATTATGATAGTAATCTTTGTTTGCCAGTATAACCTGATCCAACAAGTTTGGGGACTTTCAACTCCAAATGGTGAAAAAGCAATTCAAGGTAAACTTGCCCTTCTCTGTTCTTAATCTCCATATTATATTTTTTATGTGTGAGTCTATGGTAGGAGTTAATGGCAGTGACTCTTATCAGGCTATGCTGACCCTAATGGCAACAATGCTGTTGCAGCCTTGTTTATGAAAGCCAATGGATCCCTCTGGAACTAATCAAGAAACAGAAAGTTGTAGCTTGAGGCCTAAACTGAGTTGTTGGAGAATTGGGAGTTCTAAACTGCTAGATGTGTGCTGGGGCTTGGTGTTCCTCTCTCAGTTTTACCATAATCAGGGTCACCAGTGGAACTAAATGTCCTGTATGATATTTATCCAAGCCCTGTGCTATCCCAGGATAAGTGTTGACTGACGGCCAAAGGAGCATTTCCTATGGCACAGTGCATCTAAATCAAATGAGAGAGGAGCAGAAAACAAGTTTTTAATACCATACACCTTGTCCTGAGGCTCCAGTGCTAATTGCTCCCAAAGGGACTTCCCAACCGATACTGAAAAGCCCCTGGGGCCTACAAACCTGGCAGACATGGATTTGAATAAAATATTTTGAATGAGTGATGACTCTGCTATTTAGTAAGGATGCTACTTCAAGCAAGTTAATTAACTTCTGACAGTCTCAGGTTTCTGATCTGTAAAATGGGGATGGTGTTACCTGTCTCATATGGCTGTTGTAAGGATTAAATTAAATTAGGTAACACATATAAAGTGCCTAGTACATACCCTTGACATGTCAGAGGTGCTTAAGAAATGTTGGTAGGCAGAAAAGTTAAGTACACAAATAATGACATATAAATGATGACATGAGGTTAACGTGGTGAACTGTGCAGAAGTGGCAATGTAAAGTTTGACAGGAAAAGAGGAGAAAAAAAACTTATTGAACACTTGGCACTTGACCTGCTTCTGAAATAATCAGTAGCATTTCAATGGTCAGAGGTGGAGGAAGGGTATTTTCTGATAGAGGGAGGAGCTTGAGGAAGGTCCACAGTTAGAAAAGGCAAATGATCCTAGGAACTGCGAGGAGACCAGTTGGCTGAAGTGTAGACTAGTATGAGGCACAAAAATGATAAGGGTTGGAATTTGCAGTAGGTGTGGTGTACAAAAATGATCAGGTTGGAAAGTGAGAAACCACCATGTAGAGAATCCCTGAAGGATTTCTGGCACAGAGGCACAGATAGCAGCCTAATCAGAGGGGATTAACAAGAATATGAAGTAAACATGGTTGAGGTAGGCCGAAAGTTGAGAGCAGAAAGATGAGGTGAGGATGGGATGCTGGTTCAGTAGATTAGACTGAGGTCAAGTAGAAGGTTAACAATGGGAATGTACGAGGATGGTGGCAGTGGGATAAGTGGAAATGTGTGGATATGAAAAATATGCTGGATGTAGAGATTAGAGATTTCAGGAAATATTTTTTACAGAAGTATATGATTTAAAGTGATTCTTTTGGTTTGGAACCACTGAGGTTGGATGTTTAAACCAGAGAAAAAAATTAAAATTATCCACTTATCTTGAAGTACTTATAGGGTAGTAATGTGTGTTGTTTTTGTTTGATATTAGAGGGGGCTAAAAAAAATACATTCCTGGGATGAGGAGACACTGAAAAAGTCATTTTGTTTATTCTCCTGTCTCAAGGTAAGAGTATACTAAAAACAAACTAAGCCGATATTTATTTGACTTATTAAAACAACTTTAAAAATTACAAAAGTGACATATTTCATTAATGGACAAAATATAGGGAAATAAAAAGAAGATAATAAAATCATCTATAATTTCATTACTCAAACTATTATTTTTATGTATATATGTGAGAGAGGCAGCAGAAAGGTACAGAGTGTGGGGTCTGGATAAAACTAACTGGGCTGGTTTCAATTCCAGCTTCTTCACTCAGTAACTGTATGACCTTGGAGAAGTTATTTAATCTCCTCACACCTCCATTTCTTCATCTTTACAATGGGAAGTATTAATAGAATTCATTTAATTACTATAATATGACAAGTTATCACATGAAACTGTTGAGAACTGTTTCTGGTACATACTAAGTGGCCAATACATGTTAACTGCATTATAATTATATTTTTAGTGGAAGTATAGTTAACATTGTCTTATAGGAGTAAAAAGTTATTAAGAATTTAGGAGTGAGAGAAGTGGGTTAAAGGAATAGCTTTGAAACATATTCTGAGGAAAAGGCTGATAAGACTTGGCAAAGAGAGTCAGGAGTTGAGTCTGGTGTTGTGCTGTCTGTTGAGGATTTGACATGTGGCCAGTGCAGCTGAAGAAATAAATTTTTAATTTCATTTAATTTGAATTAAATTGTAGTTATAGTTAAACATTCAATTCAATTTTTGAAAACCTTTTCAGAAAAATCTTTCTTTCTTTCTTTTCCTTCCTCCCTCCCTCCCTCCCTTCCTTCCTTCCTTCTTTCTTTCTTTTTTGACAGAGTCTCACTCTGTCACCAGGCTGGAGTGCAGTGGTGCGATCTCGGCTCACTGCAACCTCCATCTCCTGGGTTCAAGCGATTCTCCTTCCTCAACCTCTCTAGTAGCTAGGACTACAGTTGCGCCCCACCACGCCCAGCTAATTTTTGTATTTTTAGTAGAGACAGGGTTTCACCATGTTGGCCAGGATGGTATCCATCTCCTGACCTCGTGATCTGCCCTCCTCAGCCTCCAAAAGTGCTGGTATTAAAGGTGTGAGCCACCGTGCCTGGCTGAATCTACTTTCTTAATGTAAATTTTATAAAATCTAAATAGAAATCAAGTATTTCTGATACAAATTTAGTGTCTGAATTGACATGGCTGTAAAGTGAAAAATCCATGCCAAATTTGGAAGACTTCGTACCCCCAAAATGTAAAATATCTTAATAATATTTTGTACTGATTATGTGTTGAAACGATAATGTTTTAGAAATTATCTAAATGAAATATATTATTAAATTAAAAGAAGTTAGACAACTCAAAATTCAATCAAATTGTAGAATATCAACATTTAGTCTTGTAGCCATGTTCTCTTTGGCCCTGATTTCAAGAATGAGGTTATAATACTATATCTAGTTATATATTATATAGCTCTCTATATAAATATAACATATACAATAAATTTATTATATAATATATATAATATAACCTGTTCTTAAAAACTGAATAATCCAGGGCCAATTTTTCTATTCTGTTGTGATAACTCAAGTGTGCATTTTAAGTTAGTCACCACCTATGATTCATTGTAAAGCATACTCAATTTTAAAACACATCCTGTCCTGAAGAAACTTGCTTGAACTTTGTCAATGTCATAGGTTTGTGCTCAGAATCTATTTCTTGAAGTGGATTTTAGGACTAGAAGAGCATCATAACTGTTGAAGGTAAGAACTCTGTAAGTGTAGCAGGAGGAGCCACAGACAAAACCCCTCAGACACCAGGTTAAAGAAGGAAGATGCTTTATCCAGCCAGGAGCATCTGCAGACTTGGGTCTCAAGAACCGAGCTTCTGGCCGGTCACAGTGGCTCACGCCTGTAATACCAGTACTTTGGGAGGCCGAGGTGGGCGGATCACAAGGTCAGGAGATCAAGACCATCCTGGCTAACACGGTGAAACCCCGTCTCTACTAAAAATACAAAAAAAAAGTAGCCGGGTGTGGCGGCGTGCACCTGTAGTCCCAGCTGCTGGGGAGGCTGAGGCAGGAGAATGGCGTGAACCCGTGAGGTGGAGCTTGCAGTGAGCAGAGATCGGGCCACTGCACTCCAGCCTGGGCGACAGAGCAAGATCTCCGACTCAAAAAAAAAAAAAGAACTGAGCTCCCTGAAGAAAGAGTTCCTGGCCCTTTTAAAGGCTTACAACTCTAAGGGGTCCACGTGAAAGGGTCGTGTGATAGATTGTGCAAGCATGGGGTACGTGACTAGGTGGGGGTGGTGAGCAAGGCAAGTATTTCTCCATACCATTGTCTGTGATCTATAGACAGCACAAGTGGTTAGGGTGGTGGTTAATCTTTAACTTACAGGCCTGGCCAGTGGCGCGGATCAGTCTGTTGTTTTTCAGTTTTTACTTCCTCCTTTTCTTTGGAGACAGGGGACAGTAGGAGGAATGGCCTCTTTCCTCATTAGAAGTGAACATCCTATTCCATGTGACCTGCAGCTAGCCCCTATGGTGTTGGGATGCAAGGAAGTGGTATGTGCATGCATAAACAGTAGTTAAAGGAAAGTGAAATCCAAATATTCAGGGCTTAGAAATGCAGCTCCATTATCACAGAAGACAAATGTGTATAGTGTTACAGGTAGTTAGATAGGGATGAGTGAGGCGGGAGAGGGCTCTTCCCCCACCCACTAGGAATGTCAGGTGATGGTTCAACAATTATCACACTGCCTCGCTAAAAATGACAACTCAGTAGGGAGTGCTAGGGCACCAGAGAGAGACAATCTCCTGATGATCCACAGCTATTAACATTAAAGTGTTAAGGGAATAGAGATGCCAGGGAGAAGAAACCTCCGGGGCATGCATGTTAACATACAAAATAGAGAAGTATGATCTTCCAGGGACACTTCACCAGAAAAGGGAAGAAAGCCTCAGATGGGCATACGAGCAACTTCCTAAACACACTACCGCATGCTCAGTTCCCAGGGGCAAAGAGGAGACTGCGCATGCGGGAAGCCCACCCTAAGGGAAGAATCATGGAAAAGAAGTGAGCCAAAAAGTCCTAGGAGACCAAGGTTAAATGCTCTCTTTGACCTTCAGACGCCTTTTTGGATCTCTTCCAAGTGAACTTTCCTTTCTTTCCTATTCTACAGCCTTTAAAAAAAAAACTTCCACTCTTGCTCTGAAACTCACTTCGGTCTTGTTCTGCCTTGTGCTCCTCAGTAGAATTCTTTCTTCTCAGGAGGCAAAAATTGAAGTTGCTGCAGACGCATTAAGATACACTGCTGATAACCTGGGGAAACTCTGATACCAGCCACCAGTAACATATAGTATGGGAAAATATAGTGGTCAAAGAACATGACCTCTGACAACACATTGCACAGTCCTTTGATATCCTGAGTTCACTTGACAGCTGAGTTGAAGAATCTACTTCTCTCTGTTCTGTTGTTCTTCTCTCTTCTCTTGGTGACTATTAAAAGTGGATTCAGAATAGACATTGTTTATAGCGTAGCTGAGGGAATGATAATGAAGTTGCACATAAAACTTTATCATGTTCATCCTCTGCCTCATATTTTTCCAAGTTTCATACTACCTATAGCTACCTGATATACTGCATGAAGTGACAGATCATATCATTTGGTAGTGACATGTTCTTTTATTTATAAATCTACCTGATAGGGAAAAGCAGCACTCACATTCTACTTTCTATTATATTTGCCTCGAGCTTAGTTGACATGCTTGTATGATTATTTTTCCAGAAGAATGTTAAAATAAAATTTTTAGTTTTAAAGCAAAATATATTAGTAAGTGTTGGGTTTTAAGGAAATTTAACAAATATCATTCCTGATGGGAACAACACATTTAAGCAGATGGTAATAAATAATATCATCCTTGCTATGCATGGTAGCTCACACCTGCAATCCCAGCACTTTGGGAGGCCAAGACAGGAGGATTGCTTGAGCCCAGGAGTTGGAGACCAGCCTGGGCAACTTAGTGAGAAATCATCTCTAATTAGAAAAAAAGAAAAAGAAAATGAAAAAATTATATGGCCATGGTAGTGCACACATGTAGTCCCAGCTACTCTACTACTCAGGAGACTGAGGTGGGAGGATATCACTTGAGCCCAGGAGTTCAAGGCTGCAATGAGCCATGATTGCACCACTGCACTCTAGCCTGGGCAACAGAATGAGACTCTGTCAAGAAAAAAAAAAAAAAAAAAAAACACACACACACACACAAAATCACCTATATTGCAAGCAAAGGTCAGATGAAAAACCATGGGTTAGATGTTATAAAATAATGAGTTTTCTAAAACTAGATCCCATAATTAGACATACCTAGCCAGTTACTGACATTGCTGGAAAACCATAGGTGTCTGGAAGCATAGCCAATTTGCTGTTGAGTTTATTGCAGATAACATGCCATATATTATATGATAAACAGCATAGATAAACAGCATAGATAAACAGATGCCAAACAGAGAGAAAGGGAAGATGTGGGGGTCACTTATGCCCATTTTCTTAGCCAAAATTCACTCCTCAAACAATATACTCTTCCTTCCATGGGTAAGTGAGGTGGCCAATAGATGGCAGGCATGTGACACTAATGAATATTCCCTCCATATTGGAGGACAAAAGAGCAGAACTATGGTTTCTCTTTCAACAGTTGAAATATAAAATAAATATACATTGCACTTATGTTTAAATTTTGAGTGCCTTTAAATACTTATGTCTTTTTACCAATAAAATAAAATTGTATCTCTAAATTAAGTCAGGTTACATGACCTTAAAAATTACTTAAAATATGTTTGTTAAACTATTTAGGCCTGCCACTTATATTGAGTTTCACTTTTATCAAATTTTGATTCTTTATGGTTCATGATAGTTTAGGTCTTCTTTTTATTCCTCTTGAATCATTTGTAATTTATGTTTTCCTAAATATTACCACACCATCTTGATCATAAAATTTATTGGCATAGAATTGTACATAATATTTTTCCATAATTCTTTTAATCTCTTCATATCTCTGGTCCCTTGTTCACATTTTTATCTTGACTTACACTTATTTACAAATTCTATAAACTAAATGCCATTTGCTTTATTCTTCTGTGTATTCTCAGTGTCTAGACCTTGGTGCAGGGTAGGGACTTAATACATATTTGTTGACTATATTTGTTTTCAAAACTATATTCTAGCATCAGTTAAAAAAGATGAGACAAGTTTGTTCTGTATGCTTTGGCATTGGCAAGGCTCTTATAAAAGAAACATAAGATTTCACGCTGATTATTCTTCCTACGTTGTATACCTGCCAAGTACTATTGTTAAAGGCAAAAATAATTCTAGCAATAGGGATGTTGTATGAGAAAATGGACTTGATGATAAAATATTTATGAAACCACTACAATTGTGACAATACAAATAATTTATTTTGTTGTCTGCTTCATGTATTGGTGTTGAGAATAGAGCTGGCATACATGTGGAACATTTTTCTTTCTACCTTTCATTGAGAATGTTAAAATGAAAGTCACCCAATGTTTTATCTCAAATATGCAAGTTGTCTTGTGGAATCATAGTCTGAATACACTAGGTATGTTTTTCATATTTCCCTTCTCCGTGTTTTTCTTGTTGATACCATTTTCTTACTATCCACTCTTTCCTTTAAACCATAATTTGGGATTCCAGTTGGTAAAAAAAATTAGGGTAGGAAGGGGTTGTCGTTAATCTACTAGAGTGATGAGAAGTAGAAAGAAAGAAAAAAGGAAAAATTGACTTAAAAATCCCAGATCACTTAAAATTGAGTGCTAAGTGTCTCCCATAGACATGCAGGTGTATAAAAGGCTGATCCTAAAGTGCTACAGATCAGGAACTGTAGGTGAGATCCATAATTAGTTTTATTGTGGTATGAGTTATATGTTATTATATTTGAGTTCTAAACTCACCTTCCATTCTCTACTTTTTGAGATTGGAGCTGGGGCTCTTCACTTTACATTTCTGCATTATTCCATGGCTCTGTGTAAGACCCTCTAGAAGAGCAGCCAAGCAGAGACAGCAAGGCTGGTGGAAGGAGATGAGACTTGCTTTCTCCTGTCGGTTTCTTGTGGAATTCCTGTCTGTCTCATGCGGAATTCCTGTCTGTCTGTGGTCTCTGTTCACGCATCGGCAGCGCTTCTTCATTGCAGTAGCTGAATCCAATTTGCAGTTTTTCCAACATCTTCAAAAACAGCCTCATTTTTCTCCATTCCATATAAACCAGCACCAGCCAAACAATGGTTTCTCTGTAAGCTGTAAGGGGCCCCATATAAATACACATTTTAATAATTCCAATCTCTTTCCTTTATTCCCTCTACCGTAGGAGTGGTTTCTACTTCCTATAGTTGCTACCTTCGTGATACTTTACATTTCTCTTAGATACCTAAATAACAACTTTATACAAAGTTTAAAGTTTTTTCATACTAAATTCTGCCTATTAAACATAAGCAGGAATATAGAAATTCCTTGTAAAATAAAATATAAAAAAATCAAATTATCTCTGTTTATATGATTGCTATGATTTTTTTTTTCTTCTTAATGGACCCTGACTAATAGAAACACCAGTACAGCTGTTAAGGGAATTTATCTATCACTTTATTTGTTTTAATTATATCATGAGCCATCTTGTTGTGATGAATATGTGGATTTCAGAGTCGGATAAATCAGGCTCCACTAATTCCATGGAGTGAGATTTTGGGAGGGTTATCTTAACCTGCCTGAGCTTCAGTCTCCTCAACTGAGAATAATATCTACCTCATAGGTCTATGAGGATTAAGTAGGATGATGTTTGCAAATCATGCAGGATATGCTCAGTAAATGGTACAGATAATCTTAGTGATGAAGATTGTGATCAAGGAACAGTGGTAAGTTTCAAATAATCAGAAGTGAAACTTGTTTTTGACTTTTATTTTAGGTTCAGGGGTTGATATGGTTTTGCTGTGTCCCCACCCAAATCTCATCTTGAGTTGTAACTCCCACAATTCCCACATGCTGTAGGAGGAACCCAGTGAGAGGTGATTGAATTATGGGGCGGGTCTTTTCTGTGCTGTTCTTGTGATAGCAAATGAATCTCATTAGATCTGTTGGTTTAAAAAACAGGAGTTTCCCTGCACAAGCTCTCTCTTTGCCTGCCATCCACTTGATCTGTGACTTGCTCCTTCTTGCCCTTTGCCATGATTGTGAAGCCTCCCCAGCCATGTGGAACTGTAAGTCCAATTAAACTTCTTTCTCTTGTAAATTGCCCAGTCTTGGCTGTGTTTTTATTAGCAGCATGAAAACGGACTAATACATGGGTACATGTGCAGGTTTGTTATATATGCAAATTGTATGTCATGGGGATTTGATGTACAAATTATTTCATCACTCAGGTAATAAGCATTGTACCTGATAGGTAATTTTTTAATCCTCACTTTACTCCCACCCTCTACCCTCAAATAGGCCCTGGTGTCTTTTTTTCCCTACTTTGGTCCATGTGTATTCAATGTTTAGCTCCCATTGTAAGTGAGAACAAGCAGTATTTGGTTTTCTATTCCTGTATTAGTTTGCTTAAGATAGTGGCCTATGGCCTACAAGCTTCATCCTTGTTGCTACAAAGAAAATGATCTCTCACACTTTTTAATGGCTGTATAGTATTCTATGGTGTACCAGATTTAAGCTTTTCAATCTAGTTTAATAGCTTTAAGACCTAAAATTCTAAAATCTGGAGGTATTAAGTGATATATCAAAGTTACAAAATTAGTGACAAACCTCAGACTCCTGATTTTACCTAGAAACTTTGATTATACCCAGAAATTTTGATCATACTTGTCCACCAGAATCTCCCCAGTAACATGTCATTTCATTCAATTTTATTATTCCATAGTGGAACCCTGACAGATAACACCAAGTTAAACATTGACTGAGTTAATTTTCAAGGATTGCAATGTTGTATAGGGAAGTAAAAGTAAATCATGAAATTTATAAAAATAAAAACAAATTACTTTAATGATAAAAGTAATTTTCCAAGGGGGAGTTTGCATTTACACATTATGTGCAGATAATTTCTTTTTCAGAGAAGTATTTCAGGAGTATTTTGTTTAGATAATAAACTTGGCATCAGACTGCTTGGGCTCAAATCTAGACAATACCCTTGCTAGCTCTGTAAACTTGGGTGATTTACATAACTTTACCATGTCTCAGTTCTCTAATTTATAAAATGAGGATAGGCAGTTTCTAACATGTGGTTTTAGGAGGGTTATTACAAAGAAATCAGTTAGAACATTACTTGTCATACTGAAGAAAATGAGTTCTCTTTTTTATCAAATTTAACATTCTTTCATATAGGAAGAGGTCCCTGAAAATATTTCATGTTCTTGTCCTTTTTTGCACTAAAAAATACATAGCTTTAGTTTTCAGGAAACTTCAAGTAATTACTTTTTTAAAAATTACTTTCACTACTTGTAATTTGTAAAACACCAGGCCAGCACCTGAAATACAACTGCCACTTTTCTGCCATCTCCTAGCACCACACTGTAATAACTCTGAATTATATAGGATTGGAATTATATATGAAGTGTTCCTCAATAATTAAACTTTGTCCTGTAGTTAAAACAGACATTCAGGTGAATTGGAGTGTGAAGAATTGTCTGGTCCATTAAATTAGCCTGGTGCTATCTGTTTCTTATCCTCTTTACTTGAAATTTTCTATGTGATACCCCTTGACTAAGAAATAATCATTCCTAGTAAGAGGAAATTGATCACAAACATGTTCTACTTGTGAGGAAAACAATAGAAACAAAAACTCAGTTAATAGTGAACTACATCTTGGGGAAAATACATTCAATTGCTTTGACCACCATAAACGAATCTGGATGGAATTCTGACTTATCTTTGGAAAGATGGTTGATCTTAGCTTAATCACAAAAAGGAAGACAGTGATAAAAGAGTGGGGGGAATGCTGAAATGAGTTTTTCCAGAGCACAGAAGTAGGTAAAGTTGATTGATAGCTAGTGCTACTCTCAGTGTAAGTTTCCATCAATATAATTAAATTAAAAGTGAAGAGTTGGTTTGGAATTTTCTCATCACTTCTCAAAATCACAAGGGCATCTGTTAACAAAGCTGCTTTTTTACACACAAGAAACTTCAAGGGAATTGAAACAAATAAGACCAGAATTATGAGACTATCGAACTCTTTTGTCTTCATTGTATTTCATCAAGTCTCTGTTTTAAAGCAATGAAGTAACAATATAAGGGTTACATTTCAGATGAGTAGGCACTCTGAGAGTTTTTATCTGATTTTGGATTTAACCAAACAACTTACAAGTCATTTAGAAACTAAATTCCTTCCATTCATTCAAAAAACATTAATTAAGCACCCATTATGTTTCAGGCTAGGTGCTGTGGATACAGAATAAGAAAATATTTAGAAAATTTTTATTGATAGTTTAGAAAGATGCAATATGTAATCTCTTAGAAACGTGAGCTTCTGTCATTGGGTACAATAAAACATAAAACTATCTCTACAAGAACAAAATGAGAGAATAAAGCAAAATAGCAATATATGAGAGAAAATTACAGGTATTCATTGACTATCACTTTGCTGTAAGTCAATGGTGGGGTGAAGTTACCTAAAATTTAATATGATTTTAGGGTGAGTTAGGTTGTCAGTAGCAGCTTCCTGGTGGTCTCGTGGTTAGGATTTGGTGATCTCACTGCTACACCCCAGGTTAGATTCCAAGTCAAGGAAATCTTTCTTGAAAAGAAGTCAAGAGAATGTTGTAATAGTTTTCTCCTTGATTAGATTACACTGTGGGATGAAAACACAGCTAAGTAATTCATTTGATTCTATGTTTTCTACTTTAAGAAGAATCATGTCAATATATGAGTCGAACATTGCAACTACTATAACTGAGCAAAACTTAAGAGACTTGTGAAAGGTAAAAATGTGTGCCCTAATATTTTTGCCCTATGTGAAAGAGTGATTGAACTTCATTGACTCTTGAGGGCAGACAAGAAATAATGAGATAAATTTATAGCAGTAGCTAATGTTGAGCTTAGCTACTTTTTTTTTTTTTTTCTCAGAATTGAGGCAACACTTCAGCTGCTGGGAATGATCTTCTGCAAGGACCTTCTGCTCCTTTGTAATCTTCCTAAGCTGAATACAGTCTCTTCACCCAAGAGTAAGTCCCCTCCCTGGGGATAGCTCAAGTCTAATGGTCAGTTGGTAAGGTAAGTAGAACCCTCCCATGTTCTTTTGCTCAAGGCAGGGCAACTTAAAAGGCCTATTTTAGCTCCAAATGTCCATAATAGAGGCCTCTTGCAACCACAGCTAAACTCCTGCCACTGCCCAGTCCTACTTCCTTCACTCCCCCAGACTTGTTGATGTAGGGGTTACCTTTCAGTAAACCTGTACACAAATCTCCATCTCAGAGTCTATTTCTGGGAATCTAGCTTAAGACATAGTAGATTTGAGTTCAGCATTAGGAGAAACTTTCTTACAAGTAGAATTGTCTCAATGGTATGAACTCCATCTAGAGATTGTGAGTTCTCCATTTTTGGATGTCGTCAAGCAGAAGCAAGTGACCATGACTTGAGGTTGGTGAAGAGAGAATTCTTATTTCATTAGGAGTTGGATTGAATGATTTTATGATTTTAAAAGCTTCAAAGGCTTTTAACTCTGATTCTATACTGTATTTATAAAATAATGCAGCCACTCTCTTTATAAAATCTATCTCTGTGATGTTTTATTCACCTAAGCCTAGGTTACTTATTAGAGAAAATAATTCTTTGTACATCTTGGGCCCATACTCAACTCCTGGAAAAGTATATAACCTATAGCCTGGCCTAAGATTCCCAAAACTAACAACAAGAGACTACAGAAAGAAGATTAATTAAATATACGAAGGCAAAACATTTGGTTTTCCTAATCTTTTGAGTTATATCCCAGGTTGTACAGGATCAACAACCTGAGAAGCCCATCAGACCTCTTGTGTTATCTCTAGACCATGTCGACTGTGTTAAGGCCACCTTTAATGCTGAACACTCTAGAGGAAAAATTTTTTTTTTTGGCTGCCCGGCATCCTTCCCTTTTCTCATGTATTGTGATGATAAACTTACAAGGTAGAGTTTGACTCTCACTGTTAAAATCCCAGATATTTGCTTCCTCAATCTCTTTTGTAGTAAAAGCATGAGAATTTGTTTCAGGTACCACCAACCAAATTCATCTAACCCAGACTATAATCCAGAAATTATTTCTGGATCTGTTTAAAATATGGATCATGGTAGCACCAGAAGTTGTGTGTAGTTTCCAGGGAGAGTAGTGTCATTGGTGTTAGCGGCTCTCTAGTATTAGTGGAGCTTAAATCACAAGCTACATCTAGTACTCGGAAATGATACAGAACCTTTTCTGGCTGAGTATCCTCTCAGCCTAATGCTCTACCTCTTGAGGGCATTCTGTGAGTTAACAAAAATATTTTTAAGAAACATATTTTTCTGCTTTAGCCACTCAGAGTGAATCTGGATTGGTTATAGGAGCTTGCTAGATTTGAAGACAGTGAAAATCTAGCTAGTGATATCAGATAAAACTCCGGGTGTTCATAGCACAGACTTAAAAAAATAACAAAAATAACACTGATGATAACCTGGAGAAAAAGTGCCTTTTAGAATCACAGGGACTACTGCCATGGAACTCTATGAAAAAGATAAATGATATAAGAATTGTGGGGTTTGGTGGTTGTTTCTAGTGATAATCCACACCCTAAAGAAAGGAATAGACAAGCTGGATATCTTAAAATCTAAATTCAAAACTTGGCCTGAAAATCATGGGCATCCTGTGATAGTGCTGTCAATGCTTAATAACAGGTATTCTCCCTCAACTTCAAATTCACTTCTCTGTTCTTTGCTTTGAGAGTTAGAGTTTAACACTCAGCAAACCACCTTTCTGCTTTGCCAGTTGGTTCCCAGGTAGGCTATGTTAGCAGTGAACACTTAAGAAAATGGGAAGGCTGGAGGAGAAAGAAGATACTTGTTTCTTTCTGTTTGTTTCTCATTTCTGTCAACATCACTCAGCCCCACTTTTTCATTCTTGCTATGGTTTGAATGTCTCCCCCAAAACTTCATGTGTTGGAAACTTAATAGCCAATGTAACCATATTAAGAGATAAGATAAGATGATTGATTCATGGATTAAGTTATTACCCTCGGAATTAAAGTTAGTTCCCCAGAAAGTGGATTGTTATAAAAGTGAGCTGGGCTTGCTCTTGCAGCCTCTTTTACATGCATTTGCTTGTCTTTCTGCTTTTTCACCATGTTATGACACAATATGAAAGTCCTACCCAGATGCTACTACCATGCCTTTGGACTTCTCAGTCTTCAAAATCATGAGCCAAATGAACTTTTATTTATAAATTACTCAGTCTCAGATATTCTGTTATAACAATAGAAAACAAACTAAGACAGAAAATTGGTACCAAAAATTGGGGTTGTTGCTATAACAGATACCTTAAAAGGTGGAAGCAGCTTTGGATCTGGGTAATGAGTAGGGGCTGGAAGGGATTGGAGGATCAGCCTAGAGAAAATCTGTATTGCTGTAAACAGAACATTAAGGGCAATTTTGGTGAGGAGTTAGAAGAAGACTAGACCAGTGTGCTCAGGATGCAGAAAAAGCAGTCAGAGGAAATTATTTTCCAGCTTTAAGACTAAACATTGTTTTGTCTGTTGGGTTTTGGACTTACTTGGCCTGCTACTCCTTTCTTCTTACCTATTTCTCCCTTTTGGAATGGGAATGCCTATCCTATGCCTGTCCCACCATAATATTTTAAAAGTAGGTATAATATTTTAAAAGTAGGTAACTTGTTTACATGTACAGGCTAACAGCTGGAAGGAATTTGCAAGGTGAATCATGCCTTGGGTTTCACCCATATCTGATTCAATGAGACTCTGGAATTTGGACTTTTGAGTTTTTTCTGGAAGAAGTTGAGACTTTTTGGGCTGTTGGAATGGAATGAATGTATTTTACATTGTGAGAAGGACATAAATTTGGGGAGCCAGAGGTAGAATGCTATGATTTAACGTGTCCCCCAAAAGATTATGTGTTGGAAACTTAATTGCCAATTTAACAGTATTAAGAGGTGAGCCCTTTAAAAGGTGATTGGGTCATGAGGGCAGAGCTTTCCTGGATGGATTTATGTCATTATCTTGGGTGTAATTTAGTTCTTGTGGGAGTAGTGAATTACTTCTTGTGAGAGTAAGTTAACTCTTGAGAGAGTTGGTTATTTTAAAAGCAAGTTCAGCTTGCTGTTTTAGTTTTCTTTGCAAGCGCTTTCTTGTGCTTTTGCTTTTGTGTATGTTATGAAAAAGTACAATACAAATGGTCTTACAATATGCTGCTGCCATGACCTTGGACTTGCCAGTCCCTAGAATCATAAGCCAAATAAACTTTTTAAAAGTACATGAGTCTCATGAATTCTGTTATAGCAAAGGACAAAGATAATTCCAGCAATTCTCATTTATTTCTGTATCAACAATTTAATCCAATTTGCAGATTTTCAACATCTGCAGAACTGACCTATTGTACTTTCTCATAAACACAGGAGGAGCCAGCCAAAATGCCTATGGAAAACAGTTCTATCAAAAAACTAATTCTCCTTAGCCTTACTCAAATCCATTTTGCTGTTTCCTGTTCTAGAACTAGAAACGGATTCCAGGTTAGAGTATATTCCAAGAAGGCACTTATATAAGCCAAGTTAGAAAGAGTAATATTTCCCCTCCCCAAGTTACAAGATTTGGCTAATTCAAAATACAGAAAAATGTAAAGAATACTTTGTGAATGAATTCTGCTGTGTTAGATCAAGGAAGTAGCAAACTTAAAAGTGAATACATTTATCAAAAATTTTGGATTCAATGTGTTTAGCTCAGGTATCTTCAAGGGGTTCCTACTATTTCATCAGTTGGATTTCCTAAAACATGGACACAATTGCCAATATAAAATAAATCTGAAATATAAAAAAGTAATCCTAATATGATATCAAAAGTCTTTCCTTTATTGATCACATTAATTAGCTGGTGGTGTCAGTCAAAGCTTCTGATCAAGGTAGGGACTCAGGTATCTGATATTATACATGCATAGCATAAGATCAGAAGTAATTTTTTAGATTTTCCAAAGATGATTTCCTTAATGAGGATTCTAGAGTTGATGGGAATGTTAATATGTCTAGCCTGAAGCAAAATTCAAGCTGCAATATGTTATAATAGCTACTGAAATAGAACTACCTCCCTTAGTGGGGACCTTAAATACTAGAGGCCCCACATAACAATTTGGGATTGCAGTTTTAACTTGCTGTTAACTGACCTGAATGCCCGTGTGAGACCCAGCAAAAGAAGGTTCTACAGGTGGTCCAGTGTGTAGGGCAAGCTCCTCTGCTGCTTGGCTTTTAGAATATAACTGATTCAAAAGTAGTCACAATGTTTGTGGCAGATCTGGGTGCTATATTGGGTCTTTCCACAGAATCACAGCAGTGATTGTAAATTGGGATAATGTCACAGCCATGCTATTTTTGCTCAACTATTTTTCGCTATTGCTATTACCCATATTAAAGACCAAAATATGCGACATATTATAGATCAACAGGCAACAAAGATATTCTCTATTTGCCCCACTAAATCCTTAAGTTAAACATTCCTAGACAGGTCCACCATGAAATGTGAGTGGTCTTTAGGAGATTAAGACCCTGTACATCCTAAGAATACAAGTAAATTGCAATACTAGGTGGTTTACACTACTAACGCATTTATATCTTACTTACATTGAAGCCTCAGGAGTTCCTTCTGATGAGTTGTCTGAGGAGAAACGTATTGAACCTTCATTTACACCCATGTCTATACAGTTTGGCACCAGGTCAGAAAGGGAGTAGAAAACCTTTTAAACCACACACAATGGTAGCCTTGAAGAATGGTGGGGAAGGAAAATTCCACCTTAGATGAGAACTTGGAATGGTTCTATTTTGTCTGAAAGGGGATTTGGCTCACGTTATGGGTCTACAATATTTTGTTTGCAGTTGTGAAAATAAAGAATGAAACATTTGTGTTACTTTTTTGTTGTTTTATATGTATGCATTTTTGTTCCTTATCTTTTATGTGAAATATGTTGGTGGTTGTGAAATTTGTATTTTGGCTCACATATCACAGCTTATTAATGAGAGGTTTTTGTATTCTTGGGTGAGGTCATGACATTACTGAGTGATCCCAAATTTGGAGATAGATGCAATTGCTGATTGGATTTTGGGAGGAGGGTAAGAGTATTTTTCAGCTGCATTATGTTAATTTTTTATGTTTAATTTTTATAGGTACACATTAGATGTATATATTTACTGGGTACATGAAATATTTTGATACAGACATACAATATGTAATAATTACATTAGGGTAAATGGAGTATCCACCACCTCAAGCATTTATAATTTGTTTGTTTTATGAACATTCCAATTATACTATTTTAATTATTTTTAAATATACAATCAATCAATCCAGTTTTTCTATCAAATACTAGGCCTTATTAATTCTATCTAATTATATTTTTGTAGCCATTAACCATTCCCACTGCCCCACACTAGCCTTGCCAGCCCTCTGGTAACCATTATTCTACTCTCTATCTCCATGAGGTTGATTGTTTTAATTTTTAGCTCCCACATGAGTGAGAACATGCTAAGTTTGTTTTTCTGTGTCTGGCTTATTTCACTTAACACAATGTCCTCCAGTTCCATCCATGTTGTTGCAAATGACAGGCTTTCATTCTTTTTTAAGTTTGGCTAATACTCCATTGTGTATACGTGTAATCAGTCAATGGATTTTTCCTGGGAAGTGTGGGAATCCTTGGTTTTTGTTTACCTTGGAAGAAATAATTCAGCTAAGAGATGTATAGCAAGGGTTAAGTAGCAGAGTTTATTGAAGGAGGATAAAGTACATCCTACAGAGGAGTAGAAAACAGCTCTGGGCTGGTTCAGCTGAAAAAATAGCAGCGTTTATTTAAGGAGACAGTACACTCTGAAAGATGAGACAGAGTGCACAGCTTGAGAGAATGAGCCAGGTGTAGCTAGTGCTGGGGGCTCTCTTTATGAGAAATTTACATTATTATTCACATAGGGGCATGAGGGAGTGTCACTTGAAAGCATGTTTAGGGAGATTCCTTTGGGAATGCATGTTCTGTGGTTGTGCATGCTAGTACACATATTGTATGTCTCATTAGCTTAAAATCTCCACCCAGGGGTGTGTTTTTTACTATTATAATGAGCAGAAGACTACTCTAGGATGAGGTTTTGGAGGATCACACATACTTGTTAGTGGGAAAAACCTCTAGCATGGTTACCTCCAGCTAGGACCTGAGAAGTCCCCTTCAGGGATAGAAGAACCTAACTGCAAGGCCAGATGTAGCTACTGTAACCATTGTCCTTTTTGCTGATTGTCAGTGGGCAGCATCTCCAGGACTTATTTTCCCAGAGGGCTCCCTTTCCTGCTCATTTTTGGCTACCTGCCTACTCTAACACCACCACATGGGAGATAAAGTTATTACTCAAATCAATCTCCCTGAAGGCTCAGAGGTTAGGGGTTTTTGAGAATAGTTAGGTGGGCAAAGGACTATGGAATGGGTGCTGCTAATTGGTTGGGGATGAAATCATAGGGATGTGGAAAGTAGTTATCCTGCATTGAGTCAGTCTCTGGGTAGGGAGTGGGTATTCACTATTAGGACACGAGTCACAAGTCCAGGTGGAATTAGACAGTCTTCAGAAATGCAAAAGTCTGAAAAGATATCCAAAAGGCAAATCTTAAGTTCCACAATAGTGATGTTATCTAACATTAGGCATCATTAGAGAAGGTACAAATCTTGTGCTTTCTGGAACAATGGCCGGTTGTCATTTGCTGACACCTAGATCTTAGCAAAATTCAGATCCCTCTCATAATCCTAACTTTGTGACCTTTCATTAGCTCTTTTTTCTTTTTCTTTCTTTTTTTTTTTTTTTTTTTTTTGTCTGAGACAGAGTTTCACTCTTGTCCAGGCTGGAGGGCAATGGCATGATTTCAGCTCACTGCAACCTCTTCCTCCTGGAGTCAAGTGATTCTCCTGCCTCAGCTTCCTGAGTAGTTGGGATCACAGGTGCCTGCTACCACGTCTAGATAATTTTTGTATTTTTAGTAGAGACGGGGTTTCATCATGTTGGCCAGGCTGGTCTCAAACTGCTGACTTCAGGTAATCTGCCCACCTTGGCCTCCCAAAGTGCTGGGATTACAGGTGTGAGCCAACGTGCCTGGCTGGCCTTTCATTAATTTTACAAAGAAGTTTAGTTTTGGGGAGGGCTATTAGCATCCTTGCTTTAAGGTTAGACTATAAACTAAATTTCTCCCAGATTCAGCTTGACCTATGCCCAGGAATGACCAAGGAGAGCTTGGAGGTTAGAAGCAAGATGGAGTAATCTATGTCAGATTTCTCTTACTGTCATAATTTTGTAAAGGCAGTTTCATATGTGCAACATTTTCTTTGTTCATTTTTCTGTTGATAGACTCTTAGGTTGCTTCTTGGCTGTTGTGAATGGTGCTGCAATAAATATGGGAGCGCAGATATCTCTTCAGTATACTGATTTTCTTTCTTTTGGGTATATACTTAGCAGTAGGATTGCTACATCATATGGTAGTTCTATTTCAGTTTTTGAGGAACCTTCACACTGTTCTCCATAGTGGCTATGCTAATTTACATTACCACCAACAATATACAAGGGTTTCCTTTTCGCCACATACTCACCAGCATTTGCTATTGCCTGTATTTTGGATAAAAGCCATTTTAACTTGGGTGAGATGGTATCTCATTGTAGTTTTGATTTGCATTCCTCTGATGGTTAATAATGTTGAGCACCTTTTAATATGCCTGTTTGCCATCTACATGTCTTGTTTTGAGAAATGTCTATTCAGATCTTTTGCCTATTTTTTGATTGGATTATATTTTTTCCTGATGAGTTGTTGGAGCTCCTTATATTATTTTGGTTATTAATCCTTTGTCAGATGGATAGTTTACAAGTGTTTTCTCCCATTCCGTGGATTATCTTTTCACTTTGTTGATTATTATTATTATTATCATTTTGCTGTGCAGAAGCTTTTTAACTTGGTATGGCTGTATTTGTCCACTGTTGCTCTGGCTGTCTGTGCTTGTGGGGTATTACTGAAGAAATCTTTGCCCAGTCCAATGTCCTGTAGAGTTCCCCAATGTTTTATTTTAGTAGTTTCATAGTTCAAAGTCTTAAATATTTAAGTCTTAAATATTTAATTTAATAATTAAATATTTAATCCATTTTGATTTGATTTTTGTATATGGCAAGAGATAGCGGTCTAAATTCATTCTTCTGCATATAGATATCTAGTTTTCCCAGCAGCATTTATTGAAGATACTGTCCCTTCCCCAGTGTATGTTCTTGGCACCTTTGTCAAGTGTTCACTTGACATGAGTGAACTTGAATGAGCTCACTGCAGATGTATGGATTTCACTCTATTCCATTCCATTGGTTTATGTGTCTGTTTTTATGCCAATACAATGCTGCTTTGTTTACTATAGCTGTGTAGTATAATTTGAAGTCAGGTAACATTATGTCAGAAAGTTAAATCAAGCTAGGTGGAAATGTTTTTAAGTCTAAAGATGAAAAAAAATGGAGTACTAGGAAATCAAAATTGTGAAAATTGAGAAATTCATCAGTTTTTGTTTGTTTGTTTTTTCAGCTCTAACCTTTATTTGGGGCTATTCTCACCTTTAAACATGCAGTCTACTTTCTTCCATATAGCTGACATACCAAATGTCTACTTTCTCAATCCAGCTTGAAATTATGCTGATCCAGGCAGGTAATCAAGTTTCTAATAATCAGATCCACTTACATAGATTCTATCTGGGGAGATATTGAGGAGATAAAATAAATTCCTTGAAGAATTCATTTTGGGTAGAGAGTGATGGCAGAGCTTGCAGCTATATTGAATTAGATAAGCAATAGTGACAGTGCCCATCACAGGACCCTGTGTCTACATGGTAGAATGTGAGGTGCAGCTTGAAGTTTCTGATCACTAGTGGTCCTGATGATCATATCTTTAGTGGACAACCTCCAAAATGAGGGAGGGCTAAGGCAACTGTTTTGCCCATGTAAACTTCACACTTGTTTATCTGGCCCTCCAAATAAATTTATCCTACATATATACAGCTTATATTTCCCAGAGTTTGTTTCAGTTGTTTTCAACTTAGATCCCTGATGAGTATTTCACCGAATATTTGGAACATATCTATAGGCATAATCTGGAGGTCATTCATTAGCTTATGTTATGATGAGTGAGGCAGGTCATGTGAAAACTCTAACTCACTGCTGTCAGATGAATCCAGGAAAACATACTAAGGCATATTCTCTCTTCTTCTTGTCTGACTCCTCTCCAGAACTAGTAATTCTATAAGGATGCACAGGTCTTTCATCTGAATAAGTACCTTCCATGTGCCAGTAAGGGAGATCAACACTGCTGTCACCTTCTTAGGGATGAATCCCTGATTCTCCATCTCTCTAACTAGAAGATATCCTTTTGGTACATGTTTCCTTGAAAACTACATTTTTCTTTCCTAATTATAATTATACTTGTAGCTGATTTTTTAGAAATTATGTCTTTATCCACTAGAATTTACAACACATGAGGACAGGGATCTTATCTGTGGTGTCTTTAATGTCTAAAACAAAGCCATGCACAAAGTAGGTATAAAATAAATAGCTGTTGAGTGAATGAATAAAATGAATGCCTATTTGAGTTAATGCAGCTCTGTTAAATGAAAACATATCAGAAAGGATGAGGATAAGACTAGTGATGGGGTGAGTCCAAAAATAAATGATTTTAAAAATACCAGGAAAAAATAGAAGTGTATAAAAAATATTCTCAAAAGTACCAGATGTTATGGGGGTTGATGTTATGGACTCTAAATTCTCAATTCCAGCATCTGTCTGCTCTTGAAATAACTTCTAGTCTAGTTCTGTGTAGATAGTAAAAGTAGTTGCACTGGCTTTTGCAAGAAATTGTTTTTATATCCAATTCTTAAAATAAAAAAGATAGAGTAGATATAAGCAGAAAGAGATGTGGTTGGTTATGAAATAGACATGTTATCGTGTAATTAATTCTGTGGATGGACTGCATATAAGAAATGTAATTGCAATGAGATACACAGAGTGATATTACTTATTTCTTGCTCAGTATTGCCTTTGAAGATATGTAGAGTTGCTAACAAATGACTGACTCTGGACCTGAACAATGAAAGCCAGAGAATGAATGACATATCCGAGCAAGTCATGCTGATCAGGTACAGTTATTTGGTTTTCTTTTGATCACTCTATTGTGCAATTAATGGATAGGGCTCCTAAAGCATGGAACATAGAAACAGGAAATATTTTCCTTGTTTCCTAGCTTTACGTCTTTTCTCCGTTTTCAGAAAACTGAAGATAAAACAAAATAAAATGCGCCATGCTGATTTTATAACTTAGTTAAAGCAGTCGAATTGATTTTCAGAAAAAAATTATTTTATTCCACAATACACTGTTGTTTGGCAAATGACTAAAGTTTTCACATTTCTCAGATAATCATTAAAATTGGGGCTGTAGCTGTCATATGATCACCATATACTGGAAGAAATAAACCCAGGAATTGTGATGGGAACAATAAGATCCAGGAATATTCTTCTACCCCTTCATCCAGGGTGCTGTCTGGGGATACTTACTCAAATCTAAGATGGATCTCTAATAACACTTCCTATGCATCCAGCTGTATGAGATATTTTAAAGCTGTGAAAATTATATCTGCCACCCTACCCACTCAACCACCCCAATATCATTACAAAGTGCTCAAGACTGACCTGGCATGACACTCTCCCAGTTGTTAGATCTCTTTGTCACGTATCTGCATTCAGTGACATACTTGAAATACCAAATTTCCTTATACAGACAAATGAAGAAAAATTCACTGATGTTTAAGATGTCACTAGGCAAATATCATTCATATATTTTCCAAATTAGAGAAGATAAAATAACATTTTTATTTTTCAGAACAAGGTTTTAAATTACTTCTGTAGTTGTTTTTAGTTATAAGACAAGCAAAAGACCCTACGCTTTTTGCTTGAACGGGTTGACTCTGTGAGGAGGACTTGACAGTGCCCTTTTTCAAGAGGCAATGTTTGCAGTACTATTTATGGAGATGAAATCATACTTGCTAATTTCTATTTGAAGACATTCTTGAATTGCAAGTGCAGAGAAATGGATGCTTAGTTCTGTGTTTCTCAAGGATAGGTTATACTTGTAGGGGCCTAGGGAAAAACTCCCTTCACCCTCTGAAGGCTTAGTGAAAAATCAACTCACAGAAGGCAGGTTAATTGGAGAAAAGGCAAACAAATCTGTTCATGGAAAAAAAAAAAAAGGAAGCTGAACCCTGTGAAATATTTGAAAGAGGCTATTAATTAATTAGTTAATTTATTTATTTATTTTGAGATGGAGTCTTGTTCTATCACCCAGGCTGAAGTGCAGAGGCATGATCCTGGCCCACTGCAGCCTCTGCCTCCTGGGTTCAAGTGATTCTCATGCCTCAGCCTCCTGAGTAGCTGGGATTACAGGCATGTACCACCACACCTAATTTTTTTTTTTTTTTTTTTTTTTTTTAGTCTTGCTCTGTCACCCAGGCTGGAGTGCAGTGGCGCAATCTTGGCTCACTGTAACCTCTGCCTCCCGGGTTCAGCTGATTCTCCTGCCTTAGCCTCCCAAGTAGATGGGGTTACAGGCACCCACCACAATGCCCAGCTAGTTTTTGTATTTTTAGTAGAGATGGGGTTTCACCACATTGGCCAGGTTGGTCTCAAACTCCTGACCTCAAGTGATGTCCCCCCCGCCTTGGCCTCCAAAGTGCTGAGATTACAGGCATGAGCCACTGCACCCAGCCAGAAGAGTTTTATTCTGAGCTAAATATGAGTAACTATGGCCAGAGGCATAGTCTCAAGAAGTCCTGAGAACATGTGCCCAAGGTGGTTGGGTTACCGCTTGATGTTTTTACATTTGAGGAAGACTTAAGACATAAATCAATATGTGTGAAGTTTACATTGGCTCAGTCTGGAAAGGTGGGACAACTCAAAGTGGTTGCATAAAGGTCATAGATGCATTCAAAGATTTTCTGATTGGCAGTTGATTGAAAGAGTTTAATTATTATCTAAAGAATAATTATGATCTAAAGAATCAATAAAGAGGATTGGATGGGTTAAGATAAGGGGTGTGGAGCTGAAGATTCTTATTATGTAGATGAAGTCTCATAGCTGGCTGCCCTTACAGACAACAGATGGCAAATGTTTCCTATTCCGGCCTTTAAAAAGTGTTAGACTCTCAATTAATCTATTTAGGATTGGGAGGGCCTGGAAAGATCTAGTTATGTTAATAGAGATTCTTTACAGATGCAAATTTTCTCCTAAAAAAGGCAGCATTGCAGGACCATTTCAAAAAATGGCAAAGAAACTCATATTTGAGGGTAAAATATTTTGCTTTCCTTCTTTATATGTCATGTGATGATATACTAGAGTCAGGTTCGAATTTGGTATCTTACTACTACAAAGAACGTATTTTGTTTTAATGTTAATGCTGATCAGTTGTGCCTGAACTCTGAAGGGAGGAGGGTATGAGGCATATCTTATCCCCCCTTCCCATCATGACCTCAAATAGTGTTTCAGGTTTCTTTGGGTTCCCTTGGCCGAAATGGGTGTCCATTCAGTCAGTTGGATGGCTTAGGAATTTTAATTTTGGTCTATAAACCTATTAACATACACATGGCAAAGAACCACAGAATGATTACCCTTTTCCCCACTGGAGTTAAGAAGCTCATATACCATGTTGAGTTTACAGAAAGAATGGAGGCTTGGATCCTCACAAAAGAGGTTATGGTTGGAAACATTTTATGGGAAGGGGGAGAAGAAGAATTCTGTTGAGGGCAATAAATGATTACTAGGGAGAATGAATGGATAGGGAACAGAGAGTGACTTGTAAATATTGCTCATGGAATTTGAATGATCCTCATAGACAAAAATTATCTTATGAAGGAATCTGTTCAGGTGTGGTTACATTCTTGATGTTCTTTTCTGCAATAGGTAATAAAACAAGAGAGAGCAAAAGAAAAACAGTTGTTCTGTTTGTTAGGTCTGGACTTTAGGGAGATAAAGGAAATTTAGAGACGAACTTCCTCCTGTGCTTCAGGACAGACAGAGGATTGAGGGACAATAGTTGGGAGAGCGGGTAGTGAGATCAGAGAGATTATGAGCCTCCTTCTTTAGTTCAGCATGTTAAAATGCCATATTTTGCGGTATCAGTCTCTTATTCCCAACATAGGTTATCTTATTTTAGTTTCTGAAATTGAGATATTTTTAATCAGTATATACATCAAATGTGGTAGAAATAGTTTTTCTCTAAAAAAAGCTTATTAAATTGATAGTGTATTTTATAATCCAAAGTGTTTTAGAATCAAGGAAATAGAGTATGTAGAGAGCAGTCAAAGATACTCGTCAAGTAATTGAATTATTAACCTTACAGGTGCTTTTATCAATTTAACCATTTTTATTTCTATGTTAAAGACCAATAATAATGTGGAAAGTAGGCAGGAAGAGTCAGGAAATTTCTGATAATTTCACTTTCTGTCCTGCTTGTGGATGAATCTGGTGGGAAACCAGCTGGGCATTAAAGTTTATACCATTTGTCAAAAACCATCCTGCCTCTCCCCACTCATTTCCTAACACACCCCTCCCTCCAGTCCCAAATACATCCTCATTCAATCCTAATTTTATTTCAGACCTTCTTATGATCTGGCTCTTTTTCATGTTGTCTAAACTAATGACTTTGTGATATTAGTCTTGAACAAATACCTCTGACTTCTTAAATTACTAGTGTATTTGCTGTCCCCGATATCTGGACATCAACTTTTCCAAAGTACTACCAATGTGGCATATTAGAAAACTTTTAGAATCTGCAACTGTGCTGGGTAAAAATGGCTTACAATGCAATATTTGCCTTTTTTTCATTAAGGCAAGGCTAATCCTTCTTGGATTTAGGCTGATGTCAGCATGTATTTAAATAAGTTTAATAGTAACAACTGTTGAAAGCCCCTAAGTTTATTACCTTACTAGGATTTCAAATGCTTTCAGCTGAATATATACTCTCTCTCTCTGCACCCGCAACAAGCAAAAGGTTGAAAAAAAAACTTCATTCAGGAACCTGATCAGTCTTCTAAAAAAGACTTGAGGAACTAGTGATTAAGGATTTCTCAATGAGATGGACTGACCAGGTTCTGTTAGAATGAAGTTTATAGGTATAACTGGAGCCAATTGGAAATTTAAAAGGAAAGAATAGCCAATGATTACTGGCTAGCTAAGGAAAACATCTAACATAAAAATCAGAGACCTAGACAAACAAAAAGGAAAAAAAATAGCTGATGGAAAAAGTGATTTCCACAAACTGCATGTTTGTACTCCCCTAAAATTTATATATTGAAACCTAACCCTCAATGTGATTGATGGTGTTTGGAGGAAGGGCCTTTGGGAAGTCAGTAGTGTCTTTTTAAAAGAAGCTCCAGGGAGATCCCTCACCTCTTCTTCCATTTGAGCATATAGCCAGAAGATTGCCATCTATGAACCAGGAATTAGGTTTTTACCAGGCATTGTGTATGCGGGTAGCTTGATCTTGTATTTCTCAGCCTCCAAAACTGTGGGAAACAAATTTCTATTGTTTATAAGCCACCCAGTTTATGATATTTATGATATTCTATTATAGCAGTCCACATGGACTAAGACACACATTGGTGCTAGGAAGTGAGGGTGCTGTTAAACAGTTAAAAATGTTGAAGCAGATTTAGAATAAAGTAATGGATAGAGGCTGAAAAGTTGTAAAGTGCATGTTAGAAAAAGCCTGTTTTGCTGTGAATGGACCATTAAGGGATATTCAGGTGAAAGCTTGGGAGGAGAGGAGGTGAGCTGTGGACAATGCCTCAGTCTTCTTAGATAATACCTAAGTGATTCTGAACAGAATATTAGTAAAAACATAGACAGCAGAGGTCATTCTAATGAGCTCTAAAAATGGAAATCAGGAATATGTTATCAGACAATGGAGGAAAGACAATCTTAGTTATAAAGTGGCAAAGACTGGTTAAGTCGTGTTCATGTTCTATTGCTTTGTGAAAGATAAAATGTATAATCAATAACCCTGGATATTTGTCTGAGGAAGTAAGTAAGCAAATTGTTGAAATAGTAGCCTGGTTCCTTTTGATTGCTTATACTAAAACTTGAAAAGAGGAGAGTGAGGCCGGGTGCGGTGGCTCACACCTGTAATCCCAGTACTTTGGGAGGCTGAGGCAGGTGGATCACGAGGTCAGGAGTTTGAGACCAGCCTGGTCAACATAGTGAAACCCCGCCTCTACTAAAAATACAAAAAAAAAATTAGCTGGGCATGGTGGCAGGCACCTGTAATCCCAGCTACTTGGGAGGCTGAGGCAGGAGAATCGCTTGAACCTGGGAGGCAGAGGTTGAAATGAACCCAGATCACACCACTGCACTCCAGCCCGGGCGACAGTGCAAGACTCCGTCTCAAAAAAAAAAAAAAAAAAAAAAAGTAGAAAAACTGAAAAGAAATTATTAATCAGAAAGAAGAATTTAAAGATTCAGAAAACTTTCACACTATCCATATTGAAATAAATGAGAAAAACCTGCTTAGGAAAACACAAAGCTGTGCCCAAATGACTGTTTGATAAGGAGATTAGTCAGCCATCTAAGACAGCCTCTTATGCACTTTTCCCAGGATGCAAATGGGGAATGTTCCTCATCAAAATTTGAAATAACTCAGATGGAGGGACTCATGCAATTCAGGAAATGGAATTCAACACTAGAAAAGGGTGTGATGACCTGTTTCTACCCGAGGTGAAAAGTGATTAGCCTGCTTGCAGAGAAGGTTAGCCAGAGTGGAACAAGTCAGGTAGCACCATGAGGGATTTCATCAAAAGATACGGAACTGATTAAGAGATAATTAATTTGATAACACTAAGAGGAGTTTTATAATACTGAGGGGGCATTAGTATAGAATTGCTACTAAGAACATGAAAAATAAAACCAATATGTAAAACTAGAAAATGATTATCTCTAAGGAAAACAAAATGTGGGGGAAAGAAAAAGCAATCGCAATGTAATGCATTACTAAAGTTCACCCTAGAAAAACATGGGGGTTAGTGGCACTTAGCCCTGCAAAGTCAAAAATCCACATATAACTTTTGACTTCCCCCAAACTTGACTACTAAAAATAGCCTACTATTTATCAGAAGCCTTACTGTTAACATACATAGTCAATTAACACATATTTTGTAGGTTATCTGTACTACATACTGTATTCTTACAATAAAGTAAGCTAGAGAAAAGAAAATGGCATTAGGAAAATCATAAGAAAGAGAAAACATATTTACTATTTATTAGGTGGAAATAGATCATCATCTTCACATTGAGCAGGCTGAGGAGGAGGTAAAGGAGGAATTGTTCTTGCTGTCTCAGGGGTGGTATAGGCAGAAGAATATCCATGTATAGACCTGCTCAGTTTAAATCTGTGTTACTCAGGCTCAGCTGTATATGGTTTAGTTGTAACTAGCATTGACAAAGCCATAACAATGTGAACACTAAATATTGATCTAACCAAATTTAAGACATAAATGCATCAGATAATTCAAATGTGTCCATAAAATTATTGGGGCAAGAAGGTGAAAGAGAGCTAGATTGTCATCTACCAAAATGACAGGTCAAAATATCAGAGCTAACTTATGATGGGGGTGGAGGGTCAATATACTCATGCTATTTATAAATGCTATTCATAAAAAATTAAATAATTTACTAGAGAAATTTAAAAGTGGTTACCTCTATGAAATATCAAATGGAGAGAGCTGTGAAATGTCTTCATTTTCTTTTCTCTGTTTTAACAAGCTTTGTAGAACACTTAATCTCTAAACTAACTACAGATACCATACTATATAAGGTGTATTAGTCCTTTCTCACACTGCTATAAAGATATGAGCCAAGACTGAGTAAATAATAAAGAAAAGAGATTTAATTGATTCACCGTTCTGCATGACTGGAGAGGCCTCAGGAAACTTACAATCATGGCAGAAGGGGAAGAGGAAGCAAGGACCTTCTTCACATGGTGGAAGGAGAGAGAAGTGCAAGCAGGGGAAATGACAGGTGCTTATAAAACCATCAGCTCCCATGAGCGCTCACTCCGTATCACAAGACAGAGTAGGGGAAACTGCCCCCATGATCCAATTACCTCCCACCTGGTCCCTCCCTTGACACATGTGGATTACAGGGATTACAATTTAAGACATGATTTGGGTGGGGACATAGTCAAACTATATTATATGGCATAGTATAATAGTTGAAAGTATATTTGAAAGCCCATATATAGGTGTATACACACACACACACACACACACACACACACAATGTATAATGGTAAATATAAAATTAAATTAAACAGTAATTAAGTCTATAATAAAATTTTAATAACATATATATTTACCTTTTTGTTGTTGCTGTTAGGGTCCTCTCTACCCATCCTATTTTTATTTAATAATCATAGTTTTACACTCTGCTTTGAATTTGTGCAGTTAGGCTAACTTTTACTTAAATGTGACAGAACAATCCAAAGTCATCATTACTTAATAAAACATAGACTTTACATTTTTATGTAAGCCAAATTCAGACACCAAAGTAAGTGTCTTTATAGTGTTAGAGATTCAGGCTTCTATTATCTAGCCACTAGGCCACACTTAGCCTATGACTCCATGGCCCAGAGCTGTGAGAGTCCCAGCCATCACTTTGGTAGTCAGCCACCATGAAAGAAGAAAGAAAAAAAAAAAAGTAGCAAAGGATTTGTGCCAGCTTATTTTTATGTTTTTCACAAAAGTAACACACATTTGCTTAAGTTGCATTGCCTAGAACTTATTCACATGGTCTCACCAAGCTGGAAGGAAGGCTAACAAATGGGTTTTGTTTGCTTATTACACACTGTGCTGAATAAAACTTGGGTTATTTTACTAAAGAAAAATAATGGATAAGGATTTAGGTAACAAGCAGTCTCTGTCACACACTATATTTGCCCTTTTGAGTTATTTTGATCCTGTCGCCTGTAAATTCAATATTTTGTATGTTTTTTGTATAAAAGTGGTAAACCCAACTTTAACATAATTAAGGGTGACACTGATATTTTATTCTTCAAAATCCTGAAGCCCAAACATTGAATCATCAGTGTGTGATGAAAGTTGTATTTTATTTAGCAGATTTTTCCTGGCCTCCCATGAGACAAGGGTAAAATAGCAAATTTATTTTCTAGTTGCTATAGTGCCTTTCAAACAGGTTGAGAAAGTAAGTTCTCACAGAATAAGCCAGTAATAAGTTACTGGCACTGTTCTTCTACTTGACTTAACAAACTTCCGATTAAATGAAACTGTACTCCAATACAATATCATACTAATTTTATTTCATATAATAAGACATAATGCTCCCCTCCCATCCCCCAGTTTACTCACAATAAATTCTGCTGTTCCAGAAAGGAACTAGTGGTCAAAATATATCTCACAAACACCATTTAAGTATATTAACTCATCCCCAAATTATTTCCTTAAATGAATATATTTATATTATTTGAGCAGTGGTTCTGTTGCATATAACTTGATACATGTTTCCTCATTTTTAAATATAGATAAAGATTTTATTTCAGGAAGGCAGGTTATGTGAACTGATAGCAATACTGATCATTGTGGTTTAAGAGTTCAAGGTTATTGAAAATTCCAATGAAATGGAGTATGAGAAGAAGCAACCACAACAATTTTTGTTTAAATTGTAGTAAAATACACACAACATGAAATTTTCCATCTTAACCATTTTCAAAGGTGTAGAGTTCCATAGTGTTAAGTATATTCACATTATTTTGTAACCAATCTCTGGAATGTTTTCATCTTGCAAAAATAAAACTATACCTATTAAACAACTATACCTATTAAGCAACTGCTCCCTTTTCCCCACCCCAGGCCTGGCAACCACCATTCTACTTTCTATCCATCTGATTAGTCTAGCACAGTGTCCTCCAGGTTCATCCATTGTTTTCACTGTTAGAATTGGGGCTTTCTTATGACTTTTCTGGTTTTGTTTTTGCCCACATACTTTATCTGAGAAAATAATTTTATACTTAAATTAAGTTTCTGGTAGTGGCTATTCTCAGCAATTATTTATGGTGACACTCTATTTGGTAAGCTCAGTATAGTATAGTTTTCCTATTTCTCTCTCTGTCTTTTTTCTTATTTACGGTATTTGTTTGCAATGATAAAATGGCTTTTCTAAGAAACAAACATTCCATTTAAGGCACTATCACCTCAAATCCTCTTTTAGCTAGACAATGAAAGAAATTGGGATAAAAATACATTTCAAAAGTAAAATTAAATATAGTCCCTTTATTCCATGGTGCATATGTGCCACATTTTCTTTATCCAGTCTAACATTGATGGGCATTTGGGTTGGTTCCAAGTCTTTGCTATTGTGAATAGTGCTGCAATAAACAAACATGTGCATGTGTCTTTATAGTAGAATGATTTATAATCCTTTGGGTATATACTTAATAATGGGATGACTGGGTCAAGTGGTATTTCTAGTTCTAGATCCTTGAGGAATTGCCCCACTGTCTTCCACAATGGTTGAACTAATTTACACTCCCACCAACAGTGTAAAAGTGTTCCTATTTCTCCACATCCTCTCCAGCATCTGTTGTTTCTTGACTTTTTAATGATCGCCATTCTAACTGGTATGAGATGGTATCTCATTGTGGTTTTGATTTGCATTTCTCTAACGACCAGTGATGATGAGCTTTTTTTTCATGTTTGTTGGCCACATAAATGTCTTTGGAATACTAAGCAGCCATAAAAAGAATGAGTTCATGTCCTTTGCAGGGACATAGATGAAGCTGGAAATCATCATTCTCAGCAAACTAACACAGGAGCAGAAAACCAAACACCGCATGTTCTCACTCATAGGTGGGAGTTGAACAATGAGAACATATGGGCACAGGGAGGGGAATATCACACACCAGGGCCTGTCAGAGGTAGGGGTCAAGGGGAGGGATAACATTAGGAGAAATACCTAATGTAGATGACAGGTTGGTGGGTGCAGCAAACCGCCATGGCACATGTATACCTATGTAACAAACCTGCACGTTCTGCACATGTATCCTAGAACTTAAAGTACAATAAAAAATAAATTTAAAAAAGTCCCTTTAGATTTGAAATAGTTTTAACTATGTTACAGTTAAATGTTTAAAAAAAAACAGCCTAGAGACTGTCTCTTTCAATGTACTCTCTTCCTTAAACTTACATTTTAATGTTGAGGATTTTTTTAGGCACTGCTAATTGCCCTCCAATCATGTATGAGAAGTATAAGAAGTAGAGTTATTGTTGTAGAACAGCTTAAGTTTGAAATCACTGGGAAGGCCTTGTTTTCTGGAAAGAGAAGAAAATGGAACAATTGAGTACAAAATGTATTTGGTACAAAGTAAGTATTCCCATAGCTTCGGGAAGTAGTATGGTGCAGAGGCAAGTTCTTGGGCTTTGAAGTATGCCAGATTTGGATGTGAATTCCATCTGTGAAAATTACCAGCTGGGTGCTGGGGGCTGCATCGCCACTACTCAATGTGATAGGAGGACTGATACTTATCTGTGAGTTGGTCGTCACAGGCCTGTAATAAGAACAAAAATTGAGCAGTGTACATTTTAACACTATTGATCAAATTGTCGTTTCTATGTCATCCCACTTACAATCAGTGGATTTGTCTCACTAAACAGGGTGTAAACTAGACCAAGTGTTGCTCAACTAGCCTGATGAGTCATAAGAGGCAAGAGCTGCATTTTAGTTATACGCAGGAGGACCAAGGGATGACATGATGTTTTAAAGTTGGTTTGTGAGGTGTAATTCAATAAAAATATGATAACATGTGTGTGCTCATTTATTTTACAGAAAATTTTAAGGTTTTATCAGATATATTTTAAATGTATAGCTTACCATTATTAGCTATTTAAGTAATCAAAATTTTAACCCTAATATAGAGACAGTAAAGATTTATAATAATTTTTTTGTAAAGTTGCGACACATTTTTTTGTTCAGTAGTAGTATATGAAATTGCAATAATGAAAGTTATTTCAAAGAAGGGCTAAAAAATTTTAATGCTAATTTACATATGGTAAAAGAAGATTAACTGGACATTTTTTGTCAAAAAATGACACATCTTTTATTTCAGTAGTATATTAAATAGTGATAATGGAAGTTTTTTTAAAAAGCAAAGACCAAAAAAAAGGTCAAACTAATTTTACTCGGAAGTATTATCTCTCATATATTGATTTCATTTTGTAGCTGTAATTGGTGATGAAATGATTAAAAAGTATGTTATTTGAGGAGATGAATTGGCTGCTGAAACGATTAAAGCATCAAACTTAAGGCCAATTATATACACAACATAAAGAGATGCATTCAAAACCACAGAATTATATGAAAGAAAAAGTGTTAAAATAGAAAGCTGACAACAGATGTTCAATATTTTGAATACAAACATTAGTGCTTGGCAGAATTTATATAACATGGCACTTCATTTTCCCAAGAATAAAAACACCATGTACAATTACTGAGAAACTAATGAATGATTGTAGCAAAGGGGTTTGTCTAGAAATGTTTCTGTAGCAAAGTAGTTGACTCAAGTACCGCTCTCCAACACTATACCTTGACACATTCAAGAATTAACTAATGATAGAGAAGACTAATAGAAAAAATGAACTTACCATAGTATTTTTTTATTGTAACCTGATAAATTCATAGCCCAACAAGGTAATTATTTTAGAACTTAAGCAACTTAAACATAATATTGATATGATAAACTCTAGCTCTAAATGCTAGCTCTAAATTGTGTACAACTATAAAAAATAATATTGTCAATAAATATGACTTCACATGCAAGGTTTATGTAGATCTATGTTCTGTGGGATAGTCACTTAGTCACAGTGTTTCATCACACACACAAAAAAATCTTGCCAAAAAATTAAAAAAAAAAAAAGAGCTCGTCAGCTCTCAACTATAAGTTGGCTTATATGTGAGTTATGCAAAGGTTAACATTTTAATTTTATGATAATACGGAAAATAATTATGAGTGCGTGGTATTGCATGTAGAAGTATGATGTTTAATTGAAAAAAATATTGGATTTAGAGTGATTGAAATACGGAACAAACTCTAAGTGATTCTTAAAGATAAATTAGTTTTGTCATAGTTTTTTTTTTAAGGAAGTGAAATGGACAGCCAAAATTGCTTATTGATCTGATATGCTTGGTATTTTTAATTATCTTATTACTTTCATGCAATAAAGAAATTTAATGTATATCAATAGCAGATAAAATTGAGGGCACACACAAAAGTTAAAAATTTGAAAAAAACAGTGTTTACAGATTGTAATGACATGTTCTAAAATTTGACACCAATTGTAAATGATGTGAATGATAATCTTGATATTGCATATTTGCAAAAAGTTTGTCAATGAACATTTTTTTCATTTAATAAATCACTTTGGTTTTATTTCTACCAAAAGGAAACCTATACATAGGAAACTCATGATGCAGAATTCATGTCTTTTATAAAAAACTAATTTAAATTTATGAGATGAATTGGAACTGACTACTAATGAGACCTGAGTGAATTTTGAAAATACAGCATCACTTGTATCATTCTGGATAAAAATTAAAGACAAAAATTTTGGTCTTGCTAAAATTTTTTCCAAAAGTTTCTTCTTCTGTTTCTATCAACATACTTTTATGAGACTGGTTACTCTACTGTGAGCACTGTTCTAACAAAACACAGATATACTTAAAAATATATTATCCTATGCAAATAGTGTTGTCATCATCCAACCTAAATTAAAATTTAAAGATTAAAAATTAACATGCAGAATGCCTTTGTCATGTTAAAACCTTTAAACATTGGTATACACAGTGTTCATTCAAAGTGTATATAGGCAGTTATTATGAAGAATTTTTAACTTCAAACTGTTTAGTTTTTGTTTGTTTTTAATTTCTTAATTTCTTAGTTTACTTTAAGTCTTTACAACTTACAAACCCACACACATTCTGCAAAGAAAAACTTTTCTGATCCTTGGGTGATTTTTTCCATCACTGGGAAACTCCTTCTATCAGAAAACTCTTGTCTCCGATCAATCAGGGCTTCCTTCATTATTTTGAAACCATACAACCACAGTGGGCTTAATGCCAAAATACACAGTGAACCCAGGGCCATAATCTTTTGCTAGCATGGTTATGGATTTGCTGAGGTTCTTACTATTTAACTGTAGAATATTTCCAACAAATAGGAAAGAAGTGAGGTCATGTGGGAGCTTCCCTTTGACACAGAATCACGGGGGAAGGAGAAGGGAAACAAGCATGTCTTACACGGCTGGAGCGGAAGGAAGAGCTTGTTTAGATATAATAGAGGAATGAAAAAAACTATAAGTTCAATGGCAATTGTCTATATTAGTCATCTATACACATACTTTCAATAAACAATATAGACAGAGTTCATGATTATTTTCTTTTTCCCTGTTTTGCTTGTTCTGAATATATTCATTAAACTAATTTTGTGACTGCTGACTCTAATAAGGCAACTGGAGATTATGTAAGGCAAGTATTAAATTTTTATTCTGTTTTTTTCTGATAATTTTATTATAGTTCACAAAAATATTGTAACCAGATTGGCTGAAACCCTATGCAATGAGAAAATGGAAAACCAGAGAGGTTTAATAATGTAATGCAATGCGCCTTAAACTATTGCTGGTGAAGAGCCAGTTATTTTTACTTTCAGCTAATCAGGTAACAGATGAAAATAAAAGATGAAAGTGAATTAAAATACAATGCCTATATTCAATATGGCAATTATGACTAACAATAAAAGACCTAGGTTGAATTAAGCTAAAGATTCTCTATGCTGGTTTTTTGTTTGTTTATTTGGGGATTTTTGGCCACATTCCCATCCCCATAATGCAGATGCCTTTTTCCATAACCAATTTTTAAAGCTGGGCCAAGTAGATTACCAATAATTTCTGATATTCTGCCAGTATAACATTTAAAAAATTGCTTTTACGCATATATTCATATATCTATATCTTTTTTATATTAATTGAAAGTAATAGTGACCATTTTGAGCATTTTCTAAATAATAAATACTGTGTTAATTTTTAAAAAGTATAATCTTATTGAATTATTACATTATCCCAATAAAATGCATATGTAGTGTCACCATTTGGTAGATAAATAAACTAAGAGTCAGAGGGCTTAAGCAACTTGCTAATTGCAAAACTAAAAAAAAGGTAGAATCTGAATCCACTTTCATCTCAATATTGTTGTAATATATTTTTCAACATATTATCTTTAGCATGTGATACAGTGATGAGTACCTATTATTGCTAAGGAGATACATATTAAATAAATAATAACTCATTGAATGTGGAAATCAACAGATATGATTTGAAATAATGGAAGTTATAGTTTTGTTTATGCATTTTTGTGTTATTTTCTCAAAATTAGTTTTGCTTATAGTAGTTAAGAAATTATCAAATTACTTTATCAATTTGAAATCAATACATATAAAAACAGTTAATTGATTCATTTGATTGTTGAGTTCAATACTACATGCTAAAATATATGAATAAAGAAAAGTTGAGTTTTCTAATTTGGTCAGATGGAAATAAAAGTTTTTGCAACATTCACTTGGGAATCTTTGATCTTATAAACTGGGATAGATGATGAATATAGTAATTCTGGTCCTAATTCAGATGCCTTTTCTATACATGTCTTGAAGTCATAAACTTTATCTTTTTCATCACTGTATCCTGTACAGTGTCTAGTGTAAGGATAAATCCAAATTTAAAATAAGAAGCTTGTCTCGGCACTGTGGTTCAGTGTAATCCCAGGCTTTTGAGAGGCCAAGGCAGGAGGATTGCTTTAGGCCAGGAGTTTGAGACCAGACTGGACAACATAGGGAGACCCTATTTCTACTTAAAACAAACAAATAAATACATGAATAAGTAAAAATTGTCAACTTAATTCTCCCTGTTAAAATAAGGGAAGAGAATTATCCCTTCCCCTTTTTCTTAGAATATTTACTTTAGAAAACTTGTAATTTTAAGTACTTTATCCTCTCTTTGAAATGTATGTCAATCCTTTTGAAAAGTAGATAGACCGTTTGTCTGCTTTATGATCAAGAATGTCTTCCTCGAGCACCTGGGAGCCATTTATTTGAAATGTAATAATCAAAGAAGATAAAATTCCTATCTCTCACTTTCTATGGATGGATAGGAACCTAACTTTGATTGTTTCAAACTACAAAACTGCTTCCTATGATAAATATATGATAAGTTTATTTTTCCTGTGGATAAAGCCAGTTAGCTAACACAGATGGTCACCCTAATTACCAGGTGAAGTGAGTGTGAACTATATATGACAAATGGTGCTGTCAAGTCCTTTTACTTGAGGACGAGTTACTATCTTGAAAGCATGTATACGAGTTTTATCTATTTGACTATATAAAAGTGTAAGATTTCTTTCTGTCTTTTCAATCTCTTAGCAGATGGCCTGTGATGCCCGCCACATTCTGTATTAATGCTTATTCAATAATAAAAGTGTTTTCTTTTCTACTAACTTTGTGGAGATTATTTCTGTGTTGGGAGAAGATTTTGTTTTTACTTTTATTTCCAAAACAATAACAATATTGCTTACATATGGAGAATATTCAATAATTATTTTTGAATCAGAATAAGAAACCCCAATGTTAAAATACTTAATTTTGACTTACGTGTTCATTTGGCACATTAAAAAATAGTAATTACATATTGCAAGTGTTTGTGCATTGGTAACTCATTTACTCTGTGGTAACTAATTACTCTGCATTGGTAACTAAAGGTACTCTGTGGCCTCACTAGCTCTGTGCTCCTAAGTCAAAACAAACAGACAAAACTGACCCGGAACCACACAAACAAACACAAATGCAAGCAAAATACCATTTCTCTTCTCATAACCTATTTCTGCAAATATTTAATGCAGGGTGCTTTGTAATTCAATTTTCCAAACCATTCCTGATGTTGTAAGCTTCCAATCTTTCACCTATTTTCAAATATATGACCTCAGATCTGTCACTGATTCTGTTCCTACAGTACTGGCTGCTTCTGTCTCTCTCCATGACTACCAGTCATGCCTGCTTTTTAGATTGTGAACAAAACTTCTCTGAAAAGGAATTTGGAGGAAAGACACTTTATTCCAGTGAACAGTTTGCAAATCAGGGAGATGGGGCCTTGGAATCTTAGAACCTGTAACGTAAAATGAAGAAGTGTTCCAGAGAACAAAGAGAGTGTTAGGGTTTTGCAGCAAAAGTTCTTGCCCAAGTTCCCAATAATGCTTGTTTATGCAAGTGAAGGATTGAAACTTGCTTAATTTTGATTGGTCAGCACAGCTGGGTTTTGATTGGTTGATACAGCTCCGATTAGATGGGGTAGTGAGGCTGGTGGGTTTGTTCAGGTGATCTCTGATTGGTTGGCTTCCAGGCCCCAAACCAGAAATTTCTGGCAGATATTTCTTTCAAACTACTGGTGGGGGCTTTATGGGGGTGTGAGGCAGGGGCCGTCTTTCTGGCTACAGTTTATCTTAATCCAGACAACAGGAACTGGATTGGCTTGAGTGTAGAAAGGGAAGTCCTGTGATATTTTTACAATATCTTTCTGAGAACAAAGAGTATGTGACTGCTCCCTCACTCCAGCCATGACAACCTTATTCTGTTTTAACTTTGAGCACCTCAGATAGCCACAGGGAGTCCCCTTTACCTGTTGGCCACAGGCATAGTTTAACAAGATTGTTTTTTACTGTCATGCCACTTACCCAGTGTGATAAAGATCCATGTTAAGCCTTGGAATGTCAGTATTCTTGCAGTTTCCCACCAAAATTTCCGAAAAAAATCAGAACAGCATTTTCAATAATAATTATAATCTTATTTTAGGAAATTGAAGCTTAAATTTAAGGTCATTAAATTACTGAGTAGCAAAACTACAACTAGAGAGCAGGTTTATAGAAGTACACTTAATTCCTTAATTCATTTGCATTTCAGTTAACTGGAAGGCATAATGTGGTTTGCAGAAACTGACAAATATTTAGATTAAATATATATACCCTTCTAAATAGAACCTGAACCAACTATTTCCTAAATGGCTTATTTTCATTTAAAAACCCTGTCAAGTCCTTAATAACAAAACTGAATAAAATAAAAACAAAATCACCTGTAGGTGCAAGTAAAAAATCAAAACATTAACTACAAGGAAAACATCAAAATTTGTATTAATTGAAAATACCAGGCCGGATGCATGCAGTGGCTCATGCCTGTAACCCCAACACTTTGGGAGGCCAAGGCAGGTGGATCACATGAGGTCGGGAGTTCCAGACCAGACTGGCCAACATGGTGAAACCCTGTCTCTAATCATAATACAAAAATTAGCTGGGCATGATGGTGCGTACCTGTAATCGCAGCTACTTAAGAGGCTGAGGCAGGAGAATTGCTTGAACCTGGGAGGCGGAGGTTGCAGTGAGCGAGATCATGCCGCTGCACTCCAGCCTGGATGACAAGAGAGAAACTCCCCCTCAAACAAGAAAAAAAAGAAGAAAGAAAGAAAGAAACTACCTGTTTCTAGCTTCCTCTCACTCCCAAAAGGTTTGTTGTAAGCATTGGAATATTTTATTTCTACTATTAGTAGAGAGGGGCGGCCCCCAGTTTAAAAAATAGACCTTAACTATTATTATCTCAGGTTTTTAGATTTCTTGGGGAGGCTTTGTTTTTCTTTTTCTTTTTTTTTTTGAGGTAATTAGCATAGAATGCTGATTCATTTATTTTGGCTAAATTAAGATGTTAAAAATATTTTTAAAATCTCTCTCTTTTAAAATCTCTCTCCTATCATTGTAATTATTTAAAAGACACTTCTACCACACATGCAAAGAGTCAAATAAATGCAAAGCACTACTGAAGTAATGAATGATATTAGGGATAATTTACTGCAGTTTGAAAATTTAGGTGGCTTGAATGCAAGAATTTAGTGCTTATTTCGTTTTAAAGGTAGGAGGTTTTCTTTTCTATTCTGTTTATAATAGGATTGAATGTGACCTTTCTTGTTGTGGGCAACAACCTACACCAGTGCTATAGCTGGGAGTGTAATTGTTAGGAAATCAATGCAATGAGACAAAAACATCCACTTGATAAACATGGGAAGACAAGAATTTATTTTTCTCTAGTGGGTAGGTGTATGAGAAATATAAAGTCATTGTGAGAATAATAAAATGAATCCAAATTATAACATTATTTTTTATGTTATGGAATAATTTGTGCATTGTTATTTTAAATAAGTTTAATGATTAATAAAAATTATCACAACAAAGCGTCAAGAAAATACATCTTTGATTTTAACTTAAAATCTCTAACTCTGTAGGTGATTTAAACTTGTGATTTTTATATTTAAATCTTTCTAAATTTATAAAAAGCATTAAACCATTTAAGAAAACCTCATTAGCTTACTTTTAAGTTTAATGTAATTAACTTACAAGACTTACTTTAGTGCTTGGGAAGAGGTAGTTTGGTAGTCAAACTATTTAAATAATTAAAAAGAAATTCAATACATTGAATTTATAACTTTATTTTAAAATGTTAATTGAGTTTAGTTAATTAAGTATCAGAATGGGACCAAACATTTGAATATTAAAATTCCCTGGATGCAGAAGTAGAGTAATTCAATTTCTAAGTTAAACATTTCACAAAATTATTAGATTAAAATTTTAATTTACAGATAGAATGGGATTTTAAAGTACACATCCAACTACTCTTCTCTGTGCACAAAACCTACTTTGAGTGCATAAGACAACACACATTGACCTCATTTACAGCAGCTGTGGTTGTAGCAGTTTCCTTGTTCCCACTAGTCTCAATCCAAGACAGATCATTTTACCTATTCAACATTCTCCATAAGAAATTCAGTCAAATTCAGCCATTAGTGATTTTAGTAACAAAAATAGGTCTTATTGTTTACTGTTCTGCCTTTTGTTTTTCTTCTACTCCCCACTGGTTTTATGGTCTTTATTTGGTTGTTTCTCTGGCTGATACCACTGTCCCATCACCTTCCTGTCATACACATGATGCTAACAATCAAAAACCTTGCTTCTTTGTATTCTATCATGGATATTTTTACACTGGCATTATTTTGTTTGTTTTTAAAATTTTTATTGATACATACTAGTTGAATGGCATTACTTGTATTGGCTCACTACATGGATCACTAAGACGTTAGTAATTTGATGAATCATAATATTTCATTTTATGTTGGGAATATGGAGCAGAAGTTTGCATTAATCATACTTCTCACTTTGAGGCAAATTACCATCACTGGTCCTTGCAAGGTCCCTTCTGGGTTTGGTTTGTTAGCTCGGTTTTCTTTTATTCATTTATTTGGATTTATCCCTGTTTCCCACTCCCTTCCTCTCACCACCACCTTAGCTATAGACAACTATTATATATTCTAAGATGTCTTGTATTGTTTGTATATGCTATTGTAAAATGTATATTACTGTTATAAATGCGTATGCATATGATTTATATATCTATAATATAGTGAGTTATAGTAATGTATGTTTGTGTGTATGTGTATATATATATCCAAAAATAGGTCATTCTGTTTCTTACTTTTCTCACTAAGCCCTAGGTTTGAAAGTCCAACCAAGTTGTTAAGTATTATTCTGTGTATATACATATACCTTTTGCTTCTGACTACTGCATAATGTTTCAATGTGCACATGCAGCCCATTTTGCCTACCCCTTCACCTACCGATAGACATCCAGGTTGCCTCCAATTTCCCACTTCCGTAAATACTGCAGTAAGGACCACCTTCATGTTTGTCCCTTATAAAACGTTGGTAGGAATTTCTCTAGGCTACATATACCTTGGAACAGAATTTCTGGGCCATAGAAGAGCATATAATGAACTTGACCGAGTGTACCAAATTGCTGTGCAGAATGACTCAACCAGTCCATACTCCCCAAAACAGTGTCAGTACATGAGAGTTCCTGCATTAGCAAATACCAACTAATGTCTGACATTATAAAGTGTTCTATTTTTGGTAGACAAATAGGTACAGAGCAGTATCTCAGTAATTTCATTTGCATTTTACCGGGTATTAATTATTTTGAGGACCACATTATGTCATCTTTAGTTTTTTGAGTTTCCTTTTTTGAAGAATAATTGTTCATAAAATTTGCAAATATGCTTTCTTCATTCATTCATTTATTTCTTGACTTTGTTAAGAGGCTTTTCAATGAACAAAAAGCATTTCTTATGTCATCACATTTATTGACATCACTTGGAATTCAAACTTTTAATGTTTTATTTGAGAATCTTTTTTCTGTGTTTGAATAAAATATTCTGTTTTTTTTCAATTACCTATTAGGTTTATCTTTCATATTTATACTTTTAATCTAACAAGACATTAACATTTTGTAATGTTAAGGAAAGATCCAATTTTATCTTAGGAAGTGTGACACTTTCCAATACTATTTATATGCCATCTATCATTTCCAATGATATTTGATGTAGTTTTTATAATATGTTAAATCCTGTGTTTACTTGGTTCTGTTTCTGTTCTCTCATTTTGTTGGTTTAATTTTTTTATCTTCTTGTGGCTATTCCAAATTATTTTTTATTACTAATGGTGGTTTTGTTGTCGCATATTTTAATATTCAAAAAAAAGGGATAACCCCTCTTTGCTCTTTTTTCCTAAGGTTGATTTAGCTATTCATAAAATTTTTCTGCACATAAATTTAGAATACATTTCCCCCCTCAAAAAAATAAACTGAAATATTGGCTTTGGCTTTAATTTTGTTTAGATATTAACTTGAGGAGAAATAGCAGCTACATTATTAAATATTATATTACAATTACCTTTTTATTCTAATCATTCTCTACATCTTTCTTTCTTTCTTTCTTTCTTTCTTTTTTTTTTTTGAGACGGAGTTCCGCTCTTGTTGCTCAGGCAATATGCAATGGCACAATCTTGGCTCACTGCAACCTCTGCCTCCCAGGTTCAAGCGATTCTTCCGCCTCAGCCTCCCAAGTAGCTGGGATTACAGGCACCACCATCATGCCCGGCTAATTTTTTTTTTTTTTTTTTGTATTTTTGTAGAGATGGGGTTTCACCACGTTGGCCAGGCTGGTCTTGAACTCCTGACCTCAGGTGATCTGCCCGCCTTGGCCTCCCAAAGTGCTGGGATTACAGGCGTGAGCCACCGTGCCAGGCCAACATCTTTCATTTTAGTATTAAAAGTTTATCCATAGCCCAGCCAACTTGGAAATCTTATTTGGATTATTTTATAAATTGGTTGATAATATAAATAAAATCTTATTTTTAAAATACATATTCTAGATGGATTGTTGGTGGTATTAAAATATGTAATGATTTAATGAAGTTTTTTGGTCTATCTTGTGTCTGGAAAAATTGTCTTTTATTTCATAATAGTTCCTGTGTTGATCCTACTAGCTCTTCCAGACAGATGATTTTATCATCTGCACATAATGGCAATTGTAGCTGGTTCTATTTCTTACTCTTGTTTTTATTCTATTATCGTGTTGGCCAGAGCCAACTGCATCTGTAGATATAAAGACAGCACAGAACTATATTAAATTACAGCATCCTTATCTGGTCACTATCTTAAAAAGAATGCATTTAACGATTTCAGTATGAGATTGTGGATTTCATGCCATGGTTTCTAGTGAAGGAGCATGAGAAACTAAAAAGGATAGGTCATGCCAATGAAGAGAAGGGAGAGGCTGGTGGTGCAAAGAGCCATTAAATTACAAAATTGGGGCATTGCACGAATTTGAAAAAGTTGCTGTTTTGAAAAAATGGTAGAACAAAAGAATGTTATACAGAACAATGGTGCTGCTTTAGCTCCTTGACATAGGGTTTAAAGTGATAGTCTTATTTTAGTATTCAAGTAGATATTTTCTGGACTTGTATTACTCACTTTGTTAATTATCAACTTGGATCATTAAAGTTATTCATTTAATGACATCTTAGAATATTTGCAAAGTTCTTAACAGCATATATGACATCCGTCTGATAATAAAAACATAAATGTATTGTAGAATAGTTAGAAAATTAGATATATATTTCAAATTTCCCCAATCTTATTGTTGAAACAGAACCATGTTACTTAGCAATTTTCTAGTTCCAGGTGACAGAAACCTGTCACCAAGAAGTTGAACTTAAAGAAGAAAAAAGAAATATGTGTTCTCATTAACAGGCTGGTGATAACTTTAGACATTGCCTGACCTAAGATTTCAAAGTCTTCCTTTAGTGAACTATCTGATTGTTTTTCTCCATTTCTAACATCTAATTCAGTGTGGGCTGAATCTTGTAGCCTTTCATTAGTCCTACGAAGACAATTTCAGTCCCCAAACAAAGAGGAAGTCAGTTTTACGAAGGGGCTATTATCATCATTGCTTCAGAGTTAAGCAGAAACTAAATTATTCCCATGGTTAGCTTGGCCTATGCCCAGGAGTGAATGAGGCTGGAAGCAAGATGGAGTCAGCCATGCTAGATTTCCCTCACTGTCATAATCTCTGCAAAGGTAAATTCTTGCATGGTTATCTTCACATGTCATGAACCATACATATATTGTGGCCCTCAGTCCATATATGATACATAGATATGTACCCATTTTTTCACTAAGTGTTGGGTCCTGTAAGAAATACTTAGTGACTGAGGGCAGAAAGGAGAGCTGGATTAGGTTCACATAAAGCACAGAGAATGGAGTTCCTTTAGGTCATGAAGATTCTATCATTAGACAAAGGTTGAGAAAGAGTACCAGAAAGATGGAGAAAAAATTTGATATTAAATTTTTTTAGCATTTTGTTGCATTTCTTTCTGAAAATGTATATTACGTGTGTTAAATAGAATTATTTTAATTTTAATGTTTGCATTTTTGTAGCTTCTTTGTGATATCTTCATTCTTTTTTTTTTTTTTTTTTGTATTCCTGGAGATTGTAATTTTCTGCTGCTAGACTTGTATGGGCCCTTTATAACAGGGGTCTCAACCCCCAGGCCATGCGGACCTGTACCAGTCTGTGGCCTGTTAGGAACCAGGCCACACAGCAGGTGGTGAGCAGTGGGCAAGTAAGCATTACCATCCGAGCTCCACCTCCTGTCAGTTCAGTGGCTACATTAGATTCTTACAGGAGTGCAAACCCTATTGTGAACTGCACATGCAAAGGATTTAGGGGATTTAGGTTGCTCTCCTTACAAGATTCTAACGCCTGATGATCTGAGGTGGAACGGTTTCATCCCCCACCTTTCCCCCCGCCCCACCCCTGTCTGAGGAAAAATTGTCTTTCACAAAACCGGTCCCTGGTGCCAAAAAAGTTTGGGGCCTGCTGCTTATAAGACTAATCCTGTGAGACTAACCCAGTGAGTTCATCTTGCCCACCGCCCAGAAAAGCCAATTCAATGAGAACAGTAGGGTTTTGCAACAAAGAAGGAGTTTAATAACTGCAGGACAGGCCAATTGGAAGAAGGGGAGTTAATTCTCAAGTTTGTCTCCTCAAGAGCTTGCAGGCTAGAGTTTTTAAGGTTAATTTGGTGGGCAAGAGGATGGGGAATGGGCACTTCTGATTGGTTGGGTATGAAATCGTAGAAGTGTCCAAACTGTCTTTGAGTGCTGAGTCTGTTTCTGGGTGGGAATCACAGGTTGAGTCAGTTCCTTGGTATGACTCACATGTCCAGGTGGAGTCAGTAGGTCATCAGAATGCAAAAGTCTGAAAAATATCCCAAAGACCAATCTGAAGTTTTGACAATAGTGATGTCATCTATAGGAGAAATTAGAGAAGTTATAAATCTTCTTTATAAATGATCTCTAGCTTCATGACTCCTGAGCAGTGAGAGCTGATAGAAAAGCAAGCTAGAGAACAATGGCTGGTTACTTTTAACTAGGCCTACATCAAGCAGAATTCAAGCCTCTCCCAAAATCCTAGTCTTGTGGCCTTTCATTAATCTTACAAAGACAGGAAAAGAGGGCTCAGTTTTACAGAGGGGCTATTAGCATCATTGCTTTGAAGTTAAATTAGAAACTAAATTATTCCCATGGTTAGCATGGCATATGCCCAGGAGTGAATGAGGATAGCCAGCCTGTGAGGCTAGAAGCAAGATGGAATCAGCCATGCTAGATTTCCCCCATTGTCATAATCTTTGTAACGGTGGTTTCAACCTTGTTAAATCTCACTCAGATACCGAAAAAGTGCTTGAATATGCTCTTACTCATTTCTTTATGAACCATCTTTTATTAAACATTCATAGGTAGAACATTCTAGACATGTAAATGACCATAAAATACATATTCAAAAAACAATATTCTGCCAAATGCTTTATATTTTCTTGATTTATGATGGGTCTGTATGTTTCAGCTCTACCATTGTCCTTCAAAATTATTAAAATCCCTTTCACTAAATAATACTAATGTGATTTCCTTGTCTTTGTAGTACAAAATTCAAATTTGAACATTGGTCAGCTTTGAGGTAATTCGCTAATTGAGTCTGTAAGGTTGATGTTGTGCAGTGCCTGGCTATGGGAATCTTATCATAGTTTGATGTTTCCAAGTTTTATAAACCATGGAAAGAGTAAATGGCATTTTTAGAAGCCCAAGTACTTAAAAAGCTGAAGAAAATATTAGACAATTTAAATGTCATTAACTTTCAGTTTGAATTTTTGATGTTATGAAAAACTTCATCTTCTTAAAATTACTTGGCTATCCTCTTGATTTTTACATCTCATATTTCCTCAGTGTTGTTAAGATAATTACATAGGTATAGATAAATGTATACAAATGCTCATAGCATACTAAACTCGTGCTAATATTTTATAAGACCAGTAGTTGATTTTTGCTATGTCATATAATTATACTTACGGTACTGTGGGTAAAATAAAAAGGTAGAAATTAAAGATGGTAGAATCACATGCCATCTTTGAAAAACATGAATGCATTTTAAAGTGGTTACAGAAATCAGAAAATATAAAAACCTCTTCCAATTTGTCTTCTAGATCTTCTGATTTAACCTCTTTAGATTGCCGTCATTAAACTATTCAAGAAAACAAACCTCTGACACTGGTGGCAGTAAGGAAGCAGTACAATGAATGAGCTTATATAGTTATTTCATCAGAAATAGGCACAGATTAAAAAAACTGATGAGTATATTTTGAATTTTTCTTCTATAACATATTTTATGTTATTAACATTTGATTTTTCTAATATATTGAACATTGATTAGGTGTATATACTGTAAGTATATTATGTATGGAATTAATTAGGCTTTATTATGAGATACATTTATTACTCTTTTTCTTTACTAAATTAATGGCTTATATTAGATCGTTTTGCTGCCTAGACCAGCTGATAGATTTTAGCTTAATATTGCTCACAGAAATCTTATGATTCTAAGCAGTATTACGTAAATTCTACTATGTCAGTGATAGTTCACTATCTCTTCATTTTCATTCTAAAAAATAAATTATTAATTGGAAGCTTTTAGCAATCTGAGCTTAACTTGAACAAATAAATAAATTTGTTTTGCCTGTAAGGATAAACAAGAAGGAGAAATTATTGGAAGGACTGCACTAACTCCCAGAAATGCAGGAAAACCTTTAGATATGACTGCATTTCTAGAGATCACAGGACTAAAAATTCAGCAATTAATGACTGTTAAAACAGTGTATCTATTAAAAGCCCTGTTTGCAGTTAATTTACATGCTCCTGTGGTTATTGTTGCTTACATTTCTTGATTTGCTACCTCCTTCCCCTCTTCTCATTGGATTATGAAATCTCTCTGATCACAGATGTTTTCCATCTCAACTATAGACATAATAATTTGGATGTATAGTTGAGTCAAATAGTGTAGAACTTACCTAATTCTTAGTTGTGACGTTGTAAAATGCATTTCTTATTATGCTAGACATAATAATAGAAGTGTCAAAATTTAGCTTAAGAATTTTATAATTCTAGTGTTGATGACTCCAAATCTTTAAGCTAATTAGTTTGTTGCCAGAAACAAGCAAACAAACAGCAAGTCAAGCTGCAATTAGTTGAAAATATCTCTATTGGTATCTGTAGCTGTGCTGCAACTGCGTGCTCAACTATAACATAAGGCCAACCATTTCTCTCCCTGAAGTCATCATGCCACCCTTTTGTAGAATACAAGGTTGTCTTTCTTTTTGTTGTCTCAGTACCTGTTCTTAAACATTTCCAAGTAAGAAAATGTCTTTAATAAACCACTATTTCATTAATAAGTATATTCATTCACCTCTACTAAATATTGCACCTGCTAAATTAAAATACTTTTATCTCATATTCAATTTATCACATTTTCTTATCACCAATGAATGCTCAGTTTATTATGGTGATAAATATGAATATTGGAGATACAAGAGGAGTTTTGCTATTTTTTACCTAGAGGAATTTTCTAGAAGGTGGGGAGATGTCATAAATTGAGTTAACATAAAAGAGAGAATGTGTGTATATTTGGCTTTCTTCCTTCCTTTATTTGCAGTAAAATCCTGAAATGTTTTCCTATGTCACTATATTAAGAGGATAAAAACAAAATAATTTTTCAAAATCATCCTTAGGTTCAAAAGGAAAAAAGGGAACAGAGTTTGAGGAGAGGTTATTTAGAGTATGGTGGTGACTGTGAGAATCAACATAAGAGAAATCCATGGAGAAGAGAGAAATTCCAGAGATGTGAAAACCACATGAAAAGCTGTTTTCCTCTCACTAGCCTTTCAGATGAAAGCTCTTGTCTATTCCGGAAACTTTTCTTATATATTTTTTTTCCTAGCTGACTTGTGTCCCCACATTGGTAGGTATTAGCAATTTTTAAATATTCCTTAATACAGATGACTAGATTTACATGATAATTTGCTATCTTTCTCCAATATATCCACCACTGGTTAGCCAGGGATCCTTTGGGTCCCACAACTGGGCTATCCTTTGCCTTTCTTTCTTTCTTTTTTTTTTTTTTTGATACAAGTTCTCACTCTGTAACCCAGGCTGGATAGCAGTGACATAAAAACGGCTCACTGCAGCCTTGACCTCCTGGATCAAGAAATCCTCTCACTCCAGGCTCCCAAGTAGCTAGGACTACAGACACACACCACCACACCTGGCTAATTTTTAAATTTTTTTGTAGAGACAGGAGTCTCACTTTATTGTTCAGGCTGGTCTCAAATTCCTGGGCTCAAGTGATCCTCCAGCCTTGGCCTCCCAAAGTGCTGGGATTACAGGTATGAGCCACTGCACCCAGCTCCTTTGACTTTCGAAGGCTTCCGTGGATTTTGATTATCTAGTAGGGAGTGAGCATTGTATGAGGATGCAAGAGATAGCTTACAATCACAAACACATTACTGTAACAATGATTCAGTCTACTTTATTATTTACTACCAAAGTTTCTTTGATTTATTGTAAGAGAGAGAATGGACCTTTGAATGCAAAATATAATATTTAAGAAGAATTTTACAGATCAGCTAAAGTCCATATTACAGATGAAGAGTTTGAGGCTCAAAAAGACTCATTGTCTTGCCTAAGATGATACGGTGAGGTACGAAGAGAACCAATGTTATCCAGTGCTAAATTTCAGATCACCTAATTATATATTCATGGCTCTTTTTATAACTGCCTCCCACTGTTAGTCTTACAAGTAATGCCAGAAATGGGGAGACAGAATTTTTGGTTCCCAGAGGTAACAGGAAACTTGAGGAGAGCTGTATAAGAGAGAACTGAAATTCTGACAGACGTTCTTGTTTGAACTCACCCATAACTTTTATTAAATAGATTATCAGAAGGATTCTTCTCCAAAACACATTACTTAAAAGAAGGAGGAGGAGTGCTGTTCAAATAACCTTTGCTTACTGCATGGTGAAGCAGTGACTTAAACCAAATAAAATTTTTACATCCTTGACAGGTATTTAGAAATGGGAAGAAATATTTAAAGATTATTGGAACTAAGTGAATTGTGTGCCTTTTATTGTTGCTGTTTTTCTGATAATTTTCAAACAAAGTCTACCTTGCCTATCCTAGGAGCCTTATTTTGAGAATAGTTCACATATATTGAGTATACAGGAAAAAAAAAAAAGTGAGCAAAATGTCATGCAAAAATTGATAGTTTATTTTCTATATCATCTTATTTGTGGGTGAGATGCACATGAGAGGTCACCAAAACAGAGTCAAGATCAGTAAGTCTGTAAATTTTAATTGTTTTTTTATATTGCCAAATAATCTTGTTTGTATAGTCATTTGAAGTGAAAAGTATAAACTGCACATTTTTAGGAAGGTAATAATTTGTCTTTACCTAGAATTTTTTTGCCACAAGCTTTTTGTTTTTAACATATTGAGTTTAGTAATGTGATAAGTTAAACTTATTTCTAATTGCAGTAACATTATATGCATTATTTGGACCTTATTTTTCATTAGCAAGAAATAAAATGAGCATATTTCTTGATTAAAGATGGCAAATACAATCTCATCAACATTTTCTTTATTTTTCCATATTTTGTGCTATTCCTTATAAACTCTACTCTGTGCCTATAAATATTTTTATTTAATATACGGAGACTCTGCTTCTTTGACTTTTAGTCAAGTCCAAAATATTGACTTAAGAAGAGTTTCAGAGATTTCGTTAGAAAATTCTGAAGACGAGTAAGAAACTAAAAATTTTGTTTTAAAGCAAGAATATGGACAGGATTTTCCTAGATTCTTTATATACAGTATTTCAACAAATTAAAAATAAAACTCCCTGGGAAGGATCTATCTTCATTTGTCGAAATTCAACAAATGACAGGTCCTTGGTAGTAAGTAGCTATGCTGGAATGTAAATGCATATATATATGTGATCACAAGGTCTACAATACTCCCATTTTAGAATTATCTAGTGTGTAACTAACATGTAATACATTTAACATAGAAAATGAGTTTTCATATTCCAATAAGATTGAGTTAGAATTATCAAAGTTATAGGAGTCTCTTTACTGCAGGCCTTCTCAGAGTATTTACTACACTTATGGTCCAAGCTAATGTATTTTCAGGCTCCAGGTGTGCACTATTTTCTAAATGTATTTTTCCTCCAGAACTCTAGTGGGGAATGTTTTGTAATATATTTTAGAAAATACACTTGGAAAATATATTTTAGAAAATACACTTGAAAAACTATGCAAGAGAACAGGTTGCCCCAGTGATTATAGACACTGAAGCAATGAGAGTTTTCTGAATGGTTGTTTAGAAATTGCAAATCTCATGTGCTGTGCATTTGTGTACATAACCATGTATTATGGAACATTCCTCTTAAAAACTTGTTTTTGAGCTATGGGGAAAAGTTGCGCTAAACCTACTTGTTTGCTTCTTAGATACTATGAGCTATATTTGATGGCATAGGCTAAAGAGGGAAGCAATCATTTTAAAATTATTGACCAAGGTCATCGTATTATGTCTTAACTTAAACTAAGATAATAAAGTCTAACCAAAAGTCATAGATCTAACGAATATGGGGTTAAAAAGTAGTCGTAATACTAAAATCAAAATTATAAATGTCAATTCCAGCAAGGAATAATCATTAAAAGAAAATCTCCACTAATTATTATCTATGGCATTGCCTTATATGTGCTCAGATGTGTGTATTTCATGTTCTTCAACTAAAATTGTTTTATTCTACATCTCCATGAATGCTTCTGGTATTGCTGCAGATAATGGTGCTTATGAGGATGCTCTTGGGCACAGATGTTCTCATCCTCTGGTAATACTTCACACATCCTCAGAGTCCCTTATAGACTATCTCTCTGGGTAAGTCTCAGACTACCTTTATGGTACGTGCCAGCTGGACTCTAACCAACAGGTTGCTAGACTTATTTCCACATTTAAATATCAGTACAAAAAGGAGTATATCCCCTTTTTCCTAGATGGATGTTGCCTACACCATCTTCATTTACTGCCTCATATTGTCCACTTGCCAATTGACAGTGAAAGCATCTCTTCATGAGAGATATTACATGTGGTATTGTGTCTGGAATTGGTTCCCCATCTTCTGGAAGAAAAGTGGCAGGGTTGAGGGCCATGCACATACATATTTGAAGCACCGGTCCCTCAAGGAGTAGTGTCTGGTGTCTAAGTAGGCAGTTTGTCCGATAGCCATAAACTTCCTTTGGAACCTAGTATGTCATTTACATCATGAGTAGTCCAGACAGTGAGATCCTTTCCTTGTATTATTTCGATAGCCTCTGACACTAAGACGGCCACCACCGCAACTACCCTTAAGCAGTGAGGCTAGCCTTTTGCTACTACATCAATTTCCTTACTTAGGTATGCCCCTGGTTGTGGGGTTGTCCCATGAGTCTGAGTAAGGACTCCAAGGGCTATCCCTGCTCTATCTGTGATGTATAAAGAGAAGTTTTGTCCTGTGGGAAGGCTTAAAGCTGGAGCTTGTACTAGGGCCTGCTTTAAGATTTTGAAGGCTGTTTCTGCCCCTGGTTCCCATTCTACTAGATGAATATTTGCCCTCTGGGTTTCCTTGACTAGAGTGTAGAGGGGCCTGGCTATCTCGCTGTATCTGGGCAAAAGCCGGTGGTTCCCAGGAACCCCCGCAACTGTTTTAATGTCTTAGGGTGAGGATAAGCCAGTATAGGCTGTATTCATCCCTTGCTGAGGGCCCTGGTCCCTCTGGCTAAGATTAGGCCTAGATATTTGACCTGCTATAGGCAAAGCTGGGCCTTCGACCTAGATGCCTTGTACCGTTGATTAGCTAGAAAGTTCAAGAGAACTAGAGTAGCCTGCTGGCATGAGGCTTCCAAACTGGTAGCCAAAAGTAAATCATCCACATACTGAAGGACCAGAGTGCCTGGACTTGAGAAGTGGCCTAGATCTTGGGCCAGTGCCTGACCAAACAGATGAGGGCTATCCCTAAACCCTTGGGGCAAGACCATCCACGTAAATTGGGACGTGTGGTCTGTGGGATCCTGAAAGGCAAAGAGAAACTGGGAGTCAGAATGCAGGGGAATATAGAAGAAGACATCCTTGAGGTCCAGAACTGTGAACCATTCTGCTTCCTCTGGTATTTGGGAGAGCAGGGTATAGGGGTTGGGCACAACTAGATATAGAGGAATTACTGCCTCATTGATGAGTCTAAGATCTTGCACTAGTCTCCACTGACCGTTTGTTTTTTGTACTCTTAGAATTGGGGTGTTGCAGGGACTGCGCATTTCCTTACTAAGCCTTGAGCTTTTAAATATTTAACAATATCCTGTAATCCTTTATAAGCTTCAGGCCTTAAGGGATGTGGCCTTTCATAAGGAAAAGTAGTGGGGTCTTTTAGCCTGATTTGGACTGGGTGGGCATTTTTTGCCCTTCCAAATTGTCTTTCCAATACCCAGACTTCAGGATTGATTCCCTCCTCAAGTAGGGGACAGCAAATGGGTAACTTGTTGCCCATATTCATGTAAATAATAGCTCCAGCTTTGGCTAATATATCCCTCCCTAATAAGGGTGTGGGACTTTCAGGCATAACAAGAAAGCCATGTGAAAAGAGCAAAATCTCCCAATTACAACTGAGGAGGTGGGAGAAATACCTGGTTACAGGCTGTCCCAGGATTCCTTGGATGGTAACAGACCTTGAGGACAGTTGTCTGGGACAGGAAATTAACACTGAGAAGGCTGCTCCAGTGTCCAGGAGGAAGTCAATTTCCTGGCCCTCAATGGTTTTAATGTACCTGGGGCTCAGTGAGGGTGATGACATGAGTTGGCACTTGCCCTGGGCACCCTCAGTCCTGTTGGTGGATCATCTGGTTAGGGGCTTCTGGCCCAGAGAACCTTTGTCCTCTGGGGCAGTGCACCTTCCAGTGATTACCTCAAGATAGTGGACATGGACAAGAGGGTGGCTTGTTTCACACTGGACAATCTTTTTTAAAGTGTCACTGTAAACCATACTGGATAACAAGCCCTACAGGGTGATTGGCCTGCTCCATTTTCTGTCCTCTCTGAACCACCAATGTTTGTTTGTCTGAGAGCCATGACTAAGGCTGCAGCCTTTCTCTGATCTTGGTTTTCCTTTTGGGCCTGTTCCTCTTGGTCCCTATTGTAGAACACCGAGGTTGCCAGGTTTAATAATGCCTCCAGATTTTGTTCAGGGCCCAGATCTCACTTTTGGAGCTTTCTCCTAATATCGGCAGCTGATTGAGTAATAAACTTATCTTTTAGGATCAATTGAGCTTCTAGTGAGTTGGGTGACAGGGGAGTATATTTTCTTAAGGCCTCTCGTAGCCGCTCGAGGAAGGCAGAAGGATTTTCTTCCTTTCCCTGAGTTATGGTGGTCATCATTGAATACTTCATGGGCTTTTTCCTAATTCTCCTTAGTCCTTCTAGAAAACAGGTCAACAGATGTTTTCAACTCCAGTCCCCATGATCTGAGTCGGGGTCCCAGTGGGGATCCATATTGAGGACGGCTTGCTGAGTGGTAGGAATGTGTCCCTTTCTTTGGCTGTCATTCTATCATTTACTTGACTAAGATACCAGGTATCTTCAAACTCTTGGGCTGCAGCTAAAGCCACATTCTTTTCATTAAAGGCAAGGGTTTGATCTAACAATAGCATGACATTTCTCCAAGTGAGATTGAAGGTTTGCCCTAGCCCCTGTAGGACATCTATGTACATATCAGGATCATCTGAAAACTTCCCCAGGTCTGCCTTGATCTGCTTTAAATCAGAGAGTGAGAAGGGGACATGTACCCGGGTTGGGCCAAATTCCCCTCCCCCTACAGCTTGAAGGGGACATAACTGATAGTCCAGGGGTTTTTGTGGTCCTTTGGAGATTTCTTTGCTTGTTTCCTTCTGGGCAGGGGAGATTAGAGGAGGCTTATCACTAATAGGAAGGGGAGCTATAGGGAGGCTAGGATATTGGGGTAAGCTGAGAGGTCCTCCTGTGGTATGTAAATTGCAAGCTTTGCATAGTTATGTATTCTCCTTCAATGAAAAGAAAGCTTGGACATAAGGTATTTCACTCCATTTGCCTTCTCTCTTACAGAAAAGGTCAAGCTGCAGGATAGTATTCTAATTTATACTTCCCTCAGGTGGCCATTTTTTCCCATCAGAGGGAGAATATTGGGGCCAGGCCATAGTGCAGAAAAAAATGAGCCACCTCTTTTTTAGGGTTTGCAGGTCAAATTGGTCCCAATGGCTTAGGATGCATTTCAAGTGTGAGCCTTTTGGTGCCTGAGTGTTTCCCTTCTGAAAGACAAAAATGCCCATGGTTTTGGTCTGTTTCTCCCACACCCAAGAACCTGCAACGGTCCTTGGACCCTGCTGATTGGAATAGTTGCGCTCACTGACTCAGCAGCAGAAACACCTCTTGCTCAAGAACCTGCAACAGTCCCTGGACCCTGCTGATTGGAATAGTTGTGCTCACCGACGCAGCAGCAGAAACACTAGTTTTCCTCCTAGACCACAAGGAGGACCGAGGAATGTCAGATGTAGTGGCCCTTACCAATGCATTCTCAAAAACCTGTACCCTTGCCTGTCCTCCTAGACCACAAGGAGGATCGAGAAAAATCATATTTAGTGGCCCTACTGATGAATTCTTGAAAACCTATTAGAGTCCTAAGCATTCTCCTGTTTGTATTGGGACTTTACCCATGTCCTATAAAGATGTTATGCCCCAAAAGTGAAGTGGAGAGCCATACCCTGAGGGAGGGAAGGGAACTCCAGAGTGGGAAGAGTGATGCCTTTTGTCCTCACTTGAATAGGAAGGATATCATTTCTGAAGCTCCCCATATCCTAGCTTCAGGAATAACTTTTTTTAGGCCTGCTAGTCTGAGGAGGGATCCTAAAATTCCAGATAGGCCCCCCTCCAATGGGGCTTTGCGCAAAAATTAAGTCTTTCTGATTGGTGAGCCTGGGTGCCCAAAGAAGTTAACAGAATCCTGAAGTTTATACTATAAATCATTCTTATAGGAGAAACTAGAAAAGCACCAGAGACAGGGAGTGGTTTTTAGAAGCAGTACTAGCCTCAGAGAAGGGAGGTGGGAGGAAGTTTGTCTGACAGGCGTTAGGACCCAGGAGGCAAGGGTCAGGATAGATAGGATAGATGGGCGAGTCTTGCTTGGGTGACATGACTTTGAAAGTTCCGTTCATGGCTGCAGGGTCAACCAACTTGTTGTTGGGATCCCAGAGCTGAATGGCTTTCCTCTCTGTTGACCCTCAGTTCAGCCCGGAAGTACAGGAAAAGTGGAAGTTGGTTCCAGGCAAACCAATGCTCCCAACTCCGAAGAGTTGGGGGTTGTTAGAGAGCCCTTTCCCAGAAAGCCTGACACCCGTGTCTTTAGTCCGGTGTCCACGCTAGTCGCTTTTAAGTGGCCGACAGGTGCCTGGTATTTAGCCCCTGAATTCTAAGGAAAAATAGGACAGAATAGAAAGCAAAAGGGGTCCGACGGTACTCACCACTTGGTGACAGTCTCTTCATGGTCACCAAAATGTGTCCAGAATTGGTTCCTTCCGGTGGGTTCTTGGTCTCACTGACTTCAAGAATTAACCCGTGGACCCTCGCAGTGAGTGTTACAGTTCTTAAAGATGGTGTGTCTGGAGTTTATTCTTTCAGATGTTCAGATGTGTCCAGAGTTTCTTCCTTCTGGTGGGTTCGTGGTCTTGCTGACTTTAGGAGTAAAGCCACAGACCTTTGCAGTGAGTGTTACAGCTCTTAAAGGTGGTGCATCTGGAGTCGTTCATTCTTCCTGGTGGGTACGTGGTCTCTCTGACTTCAGGAGTGAAGCCGCAGACCTTCACAGTGAGTGTTACAGCTCTTCAAGGTGGCACATCCGGAGTTTTTTTTCCTCCTGGTGGGTTTGTGGTCTTGCTGACTTCAGGAGTGAAGCTGCAGATCTTTGCGGTGAGTGTTACAGCTCATAAAGGTAGTGCAGACCCAAAGAGTGAGCAGCAGCAAGATTTATTGCGAAGAGTGAAAGAACAAAGCTTCCACAGTATGGAAGGGGACCCAAGAGTGCTGCCACTGCTGGCTCGGGTAGCCAGCTTTTATTCCCTTATTTGGCCTCGCCTACATCCTGCTGACTGGTCCATTTTACAGAGTGCTGATTGGTGTGTTTACAAACCTTTAGCTAGACACAGAGTGCTGATTGGTGCATTTTTACAGAGTGCTGATTGGTGAGTTTACAAACCTTTAGCTAGACACAGAGTGCCGATTGGTGTATTTTTACAGAGTGCTGATTGGTGAGTTTCAAACCTTTAGCTAGACACAGAGTGCCAATTGGTGTGTTTTTACAGAGTGCTGATTGGTGAGTTTACAAGCCTTTAGCTAGACACAGAGTGCCGATTGGTGTGTTTTTACAGAGTGCTGATTGGAGCATTTGCAAATCTTTAGCTAGACACAGACCGCTGATTGGTGCATTTACAATCCTTTAGCTAGACAGAAAGGTTCTCCAAATCCCCACCTGACCCAGAAGCCCAGCTGGCTTCACCTCTCAGTATTGCTCTATTGATAAGGACAGGAGGTAGGGAAATTATGGGCAGAAAAAGGAGGTTCCCCTGCAAGGGCCCCACCCTCAAGCTGAAAAGCCTGCTACTGTGGCCCAAAGTGAGCACTTAACATTCCTGTTTTCCCACTCAAATGTTGCCTTTTCCAAAACTATCCATGGCCCACCCTGCCCCCCATCATGTGCTCATAAAAACCCTAGGCTCAGCTGGCAGAGAGAGGAGAAGTAGCTAGATGTCAGAGACTACAGCTGGATATCAGAGAGAAGTGGCTTGACTTCAGAGGGACAGCTTGACAGCATAATTTCAGAGAATAATTTGGCTGGAGATGGCTGGACTCCAGGGGAAGATTACCTTCCCACCCCATCCTCTTTTCAGCTCCCTTTCCCACTGAGAACCACTTCCATTGCCAATAAAATCTCCTGCATTTACCATCCTCCAATTTGTTTGTGTGACCTCATTTCTCCTGGACACCAGACAAGAGCTCAGGTGCCACGAATGCAGATGCAAAAGGCCATCACACTGACTCTTTGCCTTCACTGGCAGAAAGCAGCTGCGTCACATGGAAAGGCAGAGGGCCCACTGAGCTGTTAATACTTAAGCCATCTGCAGATGGCTGAGCTGAAAGAACATTGTAACATTCTCTGGGGCTTCAGGGATTGTGGGCGTCCACCCCCAGATGCTACTGCAGGGCCAGTATGGAAATTGCTTCCATTGGCACCCAAAAGCACTTGCCTCAGCTCCTGCACTCACTCACTGCATGCTCCCCCAGCAAGGGGTGGAACAAAGGGGCTCCTCACCTGCAAGAGGTGGAACACAGCCAGTTCCAGTGAGTGGAGTTTGTCCCTGTTGGTGCCAGAGCAGCCAGCTGACTCCAGCGCTCATGCACTCCTGTTTCCACCCATGAAGGGGGACAGGGAAATATCCTGCTTCACTATGAACCCACAAAGGCAATCAAAATAAACTAGTTTCTAGACCTCTGCAACATTAATGTCATTTAGTGTTATGTAACATCACATGTAGGATATTAACAGTGTGATTCAGATAAGAAATCATCAACACTACAAAGTAGTTCCATTTCTTTAGTAGTTTTTCTTTCATTGTGAACAGAAGTTATTGGTTGTAAATTTCTTTCCTGCAGTGTTAAGCATGTCTGTTCATAAACTTCAGTGCCTAAGTGCTTAAATCAATTGCTTAAATCATAGCACATGTATATGTAAACACACTCACAACTACTCAAGGGGTAGCACTAACATAAAGCACAGAAATATCTTACAGTATTCACGGGGGGAAAAAGAAAAAAAACAAAGCTGAGTTTGAATTCACCCTCATGTGCTTAAGAAACACTTATCTTTTTCATTAAATAAATGCAAATTCCTGGTCCCACCTCCAGTAATTCTGATTTAGTAAGCATGAAGTGAGAGTCAGGAATCTACATTTTCAACAATTATCAACAAGTGACTCTGAAACTGGAGATCCAGAAATTAAGATTTAGAAAAGATAGTTTTAATAATAAAATCAGTTCCTAGAGTGCTGAAATATGCACTCAAGTAACATTAATAAGGAGATCATGTAACATTTTAATCTGAAACATCTCTATTTAGATTAGTTTGCTACATTTAGACATTCTCCGCAAAGAATGTATCAGTAATGTTTCATGTTGGTGTAACCAGAAGTGCCTGTTCTACTGTTTCTACAGTTTGTCCATTTTCAAAACAATTAACTAGTATAAAAAATGCTCTTCTTACAAACACACAAAAATCATCCTTAGAAAAATGAATGCAATGATGTAATTAGACCACTGCAGTAGTGTCTTCGTTGCTATGACAACCTCACTTCTCTTTCTCATCTAGTCCATACTAAACATATTGGTGTCAGCTACCCACTTCAGTCTTTTCATTGGCTTCCTCCATCTCAAAAATTCTTAGTGAAGCAATGTCCCAACATTAAAAACAATCTTCAGTGTAGCATGTATGAAATATCCAACATTAGTTATCACTCTTCTCTTAACACGAACAATTGACTTTAGCCAAATTTCTACCAAATTTCCCTTTAACATTTCACATTTATTTCTAAACATATGCATTTTCTCTTGCAAATTTTTGCCTCAAAGGCACTTTCTTTAATCTACATTCAACTTTTATGCAAAAGTCATTTAAATAAGTCTCAATATTTCTGTCCAAATACCCTATAGCCCCACTAAGTGCTGGGATTATAGGCATGAGCCACCGTGTATGGCTTATATCATGTATTCTAAATGTACATATATTTTTCATTTTCATTTATTTATTTTATTTTTTGAGACAGAGTCTCACTCTGTCACCCAGTCTGGACTGCAGTGGCATGATCTTGGTTCACTGAAACCTCCACCTACCAGGTTCAAGATCTTCTCTTGCCTCAGCCTCCTGAGTAGCTGGGATTACAGATGTCTGCCACCATGTCTGGCTTTTTTTTTTTTTTTTTTTTGTATTTTTAGTAGAGATGGAGTTTCACCATGTTGGCCAGGCTGGTTTTGAACTCCTGACGTCAAGTGATCTGCCCACCTCAGCTTCCCAAAGTGCTCGGAATACAGGGGTGAGCCACCACACCCAGTCAATTCTTCGCTTTTATATTCCATCTCTTTATTTGGGGGTAGAGCCATGCCCTTTACTGTCTCTTCTTACTCGTTTTTGTAACCCTAGTACCTTGTGCAGAGTAGACAAAAAATAAATATGTAATGAAAAAATAAACACATTAATGTACAATTATAATGATTATGTAATGGGATATGTTTTTCCTTAAATTTATTATTTATATAACATAGCTTTCTATGGACAAATAACATATTTTTACTTGGATGAGACATGACTGATGATTGTTTGTAAAATCAACAAAATTGTCAGTATCTTCACAGCCAAGTTGGGGATTTATGAAGGAACTATTTGTTTCAACAGCAAATGTTTTCCACTGCAGAAGTGTTAGCAAATCCTGAGGCATAAACATACACATTGGAGCATGAAAGAAGTTTGTCTGCAGTTTGTGTGTTAGAATTGTGGGAGTTGTTATGGCAGATGACACTTTTGCTCAACAAAAGCTGTTAAATTTGCTTGGATTCACTGAAAAATTTGGATGTGTATACGATTCATTTAAGACAAGTGCACCAGAACAAAATAGGGACATTACATACAGATATAAAGGTCAAATGATGAGGAAGAATTAACAGTTATAAATGTGTTTGCATGTAATAACAGGACCCAAGATATATGAAGCAAAATTGAGGAAACCAAAGGCAAAAGCATAAGAGTTTATTATCTCTCACTAATTGATAAAACAAGTCCAAAAAAGGCTCATAATAATATAAAAATGTGACCAATACTATTAATCATCTTGAATAAATTGCTATTTATAGAATATGACACACAATAACAAAATATTTGTTCTTTGAAATTCATAGGAAATGTTCACAAAGTTTGATCAAATGTTTCTTGAGTTTCTAATTGTTCAAATATTATACAATATGCACTGTAAGAGTACTAAATTATAAATCAGAAAAATAATATTAAAGAAATTAATAAAAATAAGATATCAAAAAGTCCCAAATATATGAAAATTAAATGACACAATTCTAAAGAACTTTATTTGTCACAGAGAAATTTTCCCCAAATGATGATTATGAAAACTGAATATCTGGAAGATGGAGTTAGAGTGTTATTTAGAGAGAAAGTTATTGCCTTACATGGATATGCTACTTCTTTCAAAGGAAAACAGGTTTGCATATATGTTTCACTTTATGAATGTAGATAAAAGAGAGCAAATGAACCACTAAATAAATAGAAGAACAGAAATAAAAACAATAAGAGTAGAAATAGGTAAAAAAGAAAGAAAATGAGACAAATTTGGTTTTTTAAATAATGAACAATGTTAACTACTAGCAAGACTGATCAAGAAATACAATTGTTAAATAACATACAAAAATTTGGCTGTGTGAATGTTGAGCACATAAAAGCTGAAGACTACCTATTACAAAAATATTGCGGTTGATAAACCATAAAGTATTTTATCTACCTTTCCTTAACTTAAAAATAAACACGGAACAATTTTCCATGTCACTGAAGGGTTTTCCCTATCACCATTTAAAAAGGATTGCATAGAATTTGTTACACAACTCAATCAAAAGTATTTTTAATAAGTTTCATAGAATGAGGCATAATTTCCTATAATTTCTTATAATAAACTCATGTGATATGCATTTTTCTTTCTGTGTCTGTGTACACATTCTTAATTTTTCCCTTGAGTGAAATTACTAAAAGCTAATGCACTGATTTAAGGACTCACATGCAGATTGCCAAATTGCCACTGAAAGAAGATTGTAACTCTTTAAGTTGTGTTAGCAGTGTATGAGCATGCTCATTTCCATTATGAAATATTAACTTTGTATTTTATTATTTAAGAAATCTAGCTAACTTGATAAAATTGGTAGTCTTAGATTTAATTTTGCCATTCTTTGCTCATAAAAGAGGTTAAGAAACAAATGTAACGTGATCACAGTAGAAACACTACAAAAAGCAGATGGATAATGCATTTTTAAAATAAAATTTTACTTTCCATATTAGGATTTTGGTGTAGGCATTCCCAGATATTTGCCACAAAAGTGACGACCATATTTGTATTATTTGAACTACTTGAGATTCACCTTCTCCCCACTCCCCCCACTTGCCTCCTGCTCTCCAACCAAACCAAAGTAAATACCCAAATAAACTGTGACAAACATCTCCTCTCTCCCAACAATTAAAAATTAGTGCTTAGCAATGAACTCTAGAACTGGGGCGGGGGAGAGGGGAGTGGGAAGAGGTGTTCCCTTAAGTGCATCGGGAAGCAGATAAAATGGGTTTATAAGGAAAGAATAATAATGCAACAGTAAAAGAGAAATAGAGACTAGTAGACTAATTGCAAAGGGGGAACAATGAAATCAACTTGCTTGTAGAGTCTGTGTAGCCACAAAAGCTAAGGTTAGATCAAGTTAAGTGTGTTCTTGGAGCTGAGGTTGATCAGTCTTCACAGGCAGCAATAAGGCTATGCTAGTATAGCAGTAGCAGGACTTAGTGAAGATAGTTATATGACCATGCAGCATCTCCACAGTCTAACAATTCACCTGCACATAGTAATTGGTTCTATAATGAGTCTCATCAAACGTCCCCAGAGAGGAATTGTTCTAGTATTATATCTAGCTCAAATTATCTACTTCCACTGAATTTCCCATCAGGATTAGTTAAGGGAACCTTTTTTAAAAATAACAAATTTGATCGATATTTTTATATTCAACCATATTTTTTAAATGTGGACTATAAAAACAAATGCTTTTGTTTAAGCACAAATAGAAAAATAATTAAAGGTATACTGCTTGAGTCACGATGTCTACAGAGGAAATAATCCAATTTGGTACAGAATCATTGAAGACATTTATACAAAAGAGCTTTTACTTGAGTTATTTGTAGTTTCCCATAGTGCATGTATACAAGTGTGTGTGCTTTTATATCACAAAATGATCCATAGAACCAAATAATATAGGTGAATTTGTTATCTTACCACAAGTTAATGTTTTGGTACATCATATTAAAAAATAACTATATAAATAATAAATACGTGTCTATGATTAACTTTTCCAAGTTTATGTCAATGAACTCTTGTTTAAGGAATTTAAAAGAAAAATGTATATTTCCATATTCACAATACATTTTTTTCCATATTGAAGTTTTAGTAGATAGATTTGGAAGTCATGTGGGAGAGAATACATTTATTAATGTTAACGTGCTAAATCTGAATAGGAAAATGCAACTTAGAATTCTAGCCAGAAGCAGTCTTTCCATGCTGCTCTATGTACTCTCCCAAGTCTGGAGCTTGGGATCTGCCTGTAAGCAAGATTGCATTTACAGAGCAGATAACACTTGCCTAACTTATCCACTGGGACATTCCACCTTTCTCTATGGGACACATTTAAGGAGACAGAAAGACTTGAGTCTATAGATGCATTTCTCAGAAGGCAGTTATTTTCTCAGAAGGTAGGCTTAGGCACTTATTTATTGGAATTGGGCTTAATAAGGTATCCAGTTCTCAGCTTTCCTGGAAAAGGAGAAAATGGCAGGGATTCTGAGAATAATAATACTGTAACACCTTAACTCTATTAACAGAGGAGCATGAATCAATGTATGTTAGATTATTGCCATTCCATCAATGAATAACTTACACATAGAAAATAGTGTGTAGGGAATGGAAAGAATTGGAGGTTTCTCATAAGAAGCATCATGGAAATAGTAAGATAACTGAAGAAAGAATCTTAAAAAAAGCTAAGTTATTAAAATTATCTCTTCTTTCATAATAGCTTATGTAAATTCAAGGAAACACAATGCCAAACAGTAACTTACTAGATGACACTTATGAGAAAGTGGCTTGTTCTTTTAGATTGGATTCAGCCTTTTATATAACATGTCTTATCAGCTAAACCTAATTACTGGGGATGAGGTGAAAAACCCAGTAAATATATGGGATGAATAAAGCTAGTAAGTTTAGCATTCATTAGATTCAAATTTGTGTACATAAATTAATGTGAGAACCAGATTGGAACCCAGTTTCCAGGGCTTTAAATTCCTTTCAGTACACTTCATTATATTATATTACATTACATTATATGACTACTTTATATTGTTCTCAAGTCAAAATTGTGTTATTGCTTCAATGTATTCAGACCTTGGCTGATCTGAAAGAGTTAATGCCTCTTCCATAAACCCTCTTTAAAAACACCTAGATACTATGAGAAACTGGGTCTTCCTGAGTAAAGTACTTTACTTACTTACTTTGGTGGTTTTATAGGTAATTTATTCCTTGTTAGATATGGGGAGAGACCTTGTGTCTTTCTGTCACCAGTTGATTTAAAGAAAACATGAGTATTTTTGGAGAAGTCTGAAGTTCAATAAAGGTTGAAGTCAGTTTGAAGGACTCAGATGTTAAAATATGTACTTTTAAGTCATGTGTAGAATTTTTTCATAACATATCACCTCCAAATAACAGAGAATATAAATGTAGGGTCTGGGTAACAATGTTATATTTTGAATTATTTCTTTGGCTTTGGCCACAATTCAGAGAAAAATAAAAGATCCATACGTACATTGGAGGAAAAACATTAAAATGAATGGAACAGGTGATATATCTCATAATGCTGAATTCTTGGAAGAGATTTTTCTTTAGATCCACTTAGAAATGAGTTATGTTATTATTGCATAAAAATATAAAATTACAATTAATATAAAATATCATATAAAATTATTTTATTTTGCATGACATCTTAATTCAAGGAATAAAAATTAATTCAAGGATATAAAATTATAATACATGTAATATAAAATTATTTTGCATAAAAGTTTTAATTCAAGGATTATTATTAAGCTTATTACAACTGCATAAATGAATGTCACTAAGTGATAAGGGTCTATGTTAAGCAAATAAAGAAAAATTGCTCTCTAGATGAGTCATTTAGTTCCCAGATTGACCTTTGTAAATTTTCTGCTGGTGATGATGACAATATGTTTTGATGTAAAAGGTGTCACCTTAATGATAACCATATAATCTCTAGTAGGTTTTCTTTAGCTTATAGCATAGGTTATTATTGTTTAAAATTATTATTATCTTCCTTATGTCACAAAGAACCCAAGTATAAAACTGATGTAAAATAAGTTAGCATGGCATTTTTAATCTTGTAGATTTGAAAACGGAATTTATTATTCTCATTTTATATCTCTATTTGTTATTAATTAATTAGTAATGTATGCAGGTAATAATTTATTGGGAACCCACTATGAAAAAACAAAAGAAAAAATGTGAACAAAATAAAGACAAAAAAAGTACAGGACAAAGAGACAGTATAATTTGTTGAGGTTCCTTGAGAATGTACTTAACTGTATGAAAACACCCAGAAAGATAGTAAGTTTAGTGCGAGTAACACAGTGCCTGAGAAAGGAAAAATGTAAGAAGATATTAACATATTTAAGGAAAAATAAATAAAGGACTTATAGTTTTAGTTTCCACATGGAAATAACTTAGAAGTTGCCAGGCCCATCCTTACAATATGAAAATCTAAACAAACTAAAAACCAATGACTTTTATTGTACTCAACAGAAAACTGAAGTTGCGAGCAAATTCCCACTCTGAAATCTGGAAGAGAAGCCACTGGGGCCATCAGCTGTTGGAGCACTTACATGATCACTTTGACCAGTTTTTAGAGTGTAAGTGTACACTGGCATGATAGTGAGAAATGCATGGGGCCATAGTCTTAGTGGGAGCTCACTCTATCTTGGGTTCTCCCCCAATAGTCCTACCCAGTTCTTATAGTGAAGATCCAGGAGACAACCCCCCTTGTGGCTCTGACAATGGGAAAAGAAGAATCACCGTAAAATTTACCCATGGAGGGCTCCATATCAAATTCCTTGCTGCATTTTGGATGTTTGTCCCCTAAACCTTATGTTGAAACCTAATCCCCAATGTTGGAGGTGGGGCCTAATGGGAGATGTTTGGCTCATGGGAGCAGATCCTCCATAAATAGATTAATCCCCTCCCTGGTGGAGGGGGAAGATATGAGTGAATTCTCACTCTGTTAGTTCCCATGAGAGCTGGTTGTTAAAAAGACCTTGGCACCTTCTTCCTTCTCTCTTTCTTGCTTCTTTCACCATATGTTTTCTACATAGCTGGCTCTTCTGCCATGAGTGGTAGCTCCCTGAAACTCTGACCAGAAGCAATGCTGGTGCCATGCTTTTTTGTACAGTCTTCAGAACCATGCACCAAGTAGACCACTTTTCTTTATGAATTACCCAGCCTAATCTACTCCTTTATAGCAACACAAACAGACTAAGACAGGTCTACACTCCAAGGAAAACATTTTGCCAGACTATATGCCACATGATTCCAATTACATGATATTCTGGAAAGATGAAACTATAGCAAGGATAACAAGTGATTTCCAGGTGTTGAAGGAGGGAAGAAGGTTAAATAGATAAAACATAGGGAAACCTTTAGGGTTGTGAAACTATTCTGTATGATAGTTAAGTTGTAGATCCATGACACTGCATTTGTGAAAACCTATAGAATATTGCAGCAAGAATAATGAACCTTAGTGTATGCAAATTTAAACAAATCATTTAGGGAGGATCCCAGTATGGAATGCAAACTTTGATATAACTGTATGATAAGTTTATAAAATAACCTCACCGAAGGGGTGGGGGTGGAGGGAAATGTCAACCAAAATAACTTTAGAAATGAGCAGAGTTTGTAAGACTGAAGACAAGAGACACCGCATGTAAGTAATCTACTCCAATGAGGAAGCTGTTTCCTAAGGGGGCAGAGAGAAGAGTAACGTTACAGTTGAACACCTAAAAATAACTACCATAGCCAGGTGATCGACAGTGATAAGTCATCTTAATGCTATGTTCCTTGGTATGATGTGATAAAAATGTCACTTTACTTTTGTGGTATTCTTAAAACTACATACTCTTAGTCTAATCATAAGAAAAACATCAGACAAATCCAAATTAAAGGACGTTTTATAAAATAGCTGCCCAATGCTCCTCAAAATTGTGAAGGTCATCAAAATTAAGGAAAATCTGAGACACTGTGATAAGCAAGGGACCATAGAGGCACACGACAACTCAGTCTACCATGCTACGCTGGAACAACAACAAAAGGCATTTAAGAAATCTAGGCCAGGTGCACTGGCTCATGCCTGTAATCCCAGCACTTTGGGAGGCCAAGGTGGGCGGATCACCTGACGTCAGGCCAGACCAGCCTGGCCAACATGGTGAAACCCCCATCTCTACTAAAAAATACAAAAATTAGCTGGGCTTGGTGGTACATACCTGTAATCCCAGCTACTAGGGAGGCTGAGGCAGGAGAATCACTTGAACCCAGAAGGTGGAGGTTGCAGTGAGCTGAGACCATGCCATTGCACTCCAGCCTGAGCAGCAGAGTGAAACTCTTGTCTCAAAAAAAAAAAAAAGAAAATCTAAATTAAGTATGGATTTAGTTAATTATAATGTATCAATATTAGTTCCTTAATTGTGATAAATATACCATACCAATATAAGATGTTAACAATGGAGGAAACAGAGCATAGGCTACATGGGAACTGTACGCTATTTTCTCAATTTTTCCGTAAATCTAAAACTACTTGAAGGAAAAATGTATTTTAAAAAAATAAATGGAATATTGGGATGATCCCTAAAATGCCGATATTGAGAGTAATATAGACAAGCCATATAGCTGATACAGGATTTTTTGAAGGCCTGTTTTCTTCCTAGATATTTATTTAAGTTTTTATCACATAGAGGCAATCTTTTTTATGTCTACAGTGGCTTAGCAATATGAATTCATTATCCTAATACTGTATCTCTTCTCACAAATCATTACCAGGCTTTTGCAATGGGTCAACTTGTATTTCAAATATTATCATCATTACTAAAAGATATAATGCATGTTTTTCAAAGGGTAACATACTTCATACATGATCCAATCCCTATTTATCTATTTTTCTGACCTTATAGTCTCCCTATTTTTACTACATTCTAGTTATGTAGAATTCATCTAAAGCACGCCAAGGTCATTTTTTTTCCCCTAAGAGTATTTCACTTGTTTTTTCTTTTGCTTTGAATGCTTTTCCCACAGATTTTGCTTGGCTGGCACTTTCTCATAAGCCAGGTTTCAGTTCAATCGTCATTTCTTCTGAAAGGCTTTTTATCTGACCGACTACTCAAAAGAACAACTTTATCTAGTCATGTTAGCTGTTGTCACTATCTGCAGTTATTTTATTTGTTCCTTTGTAGTACATTCTGTCTACCACTAAAATGAAAGCTACATGAATGCAGGGATTGTGTTATCTGGTTTACCAATGTGTTCAATAAATATTTGTCGAATGCATGTAGGATTGTCATTGTCCCACGATTTAAGGACATATCTCTAAACTCCAATCTCATCTTTGAAAGTTCTATAACTGAAAAAACACATGCAAACAACAAAGAGGTATCTGGCCTGCCATCCACCCAGAAATTATCTGATCCTCAGAATGACTTCGTGAGATGTTATCCCCATTCGACTATTCACCATATTTGACTCTCAGGATAACATAGGAAAGATGAAAAAACCCCCTTTTCTCAAGAGCAAAAACAGCAAAGTAATGGAGAAAAATAATCTAATAACTTCAGGCCAAAAGATGAGTTGTCTCCCTAGAATGGATATCCATAAGTCTCTGGCTTAGGTGATTTCACTAGTTTTGGTGAAAGCTCTCCTATCCCTGCCTGAAAAGGGCTCACATATAACTATCTCAGCTTTCTGGGGAGCCCACAGACTTCAACATCCTTCTGAGGTCCATCTGTGTGCTCTCTCTAGGGGCAGGATATTTGGACATCTGATCTCTTCTCAGCCAAAGAGGAGGGGCCAGAGGTGCTAAACTACAAATAGAGATTTTTTGTTTTTGTTTGCTTTCACTCTTTTCATGTACATAGTGCAAAGAAAACAGGATTTCTGAGAATTTCTGAGGTTTAACATCTAAAAATTCCCACAGAAATTAGCTACCTGCTCAAGAAAAGGTAAATAATGCCATTTTAGTATGTCTGGCAGATGGGTTCTGTAAAGCAAGTTTGCCCATGATTTCCATGCTTATTTTCTATGCATGTATTTCATACTTGACATAGGTGTGAAATATAATTTTCTGTTAATTAAACTTCTTAGCATACTGTTGAGGCAAGAATACTTGCTCTAAATTTAAGATAGTCCCAGGAGTAGTGTCAAGATGGGGTTGGAGAGTGAAAGGATTTTTTTTTATTTCTAGTGGCATTCCATTTAACTAAGTAGAGTAAATCAGAAAAGATTATGCAGATTATGATGCTTTTAATACAACACAGTTCTGAGTCTTAAGAATCTTATTCATTCTCAAGGCTCAGTTTTAGCTAATATAGACCAAATTAATAAAACGCTTTCCTTTTCCTGGTGAGATGGTTTGGGCATGTCCCCACCCAGATCTCACCTTGAATTGTAATAATCCCCACATGTCAAGGGCGGGGCTGGGTGAAGATAATTGAATCATGGAGGCAGTTTCCCCCATACCGTTCTCATGGTAGTGAATAAGTCTCATGAGATCCAATGGTTTTATAAATAGGAGTTCCCCTGAACAAGCTGTCTTGCCTGCCACCGTGATTTTGTTCCCCATTTGCCTTCCACCATGATCATGAGGCCTCCCCAGCCATGTGGAACTGTGAGTCAATTAAACCTCTTTTCTTTATAGATTACCCAGTCTTGTGTATGTCTTTATTAGCAGTGTGAGAACAGACTAATACACCTGGTATTCCCTATGGATGTATACTTACTTAAGAACCAAACATATTACTTGAAGTTAAATTGTGAAAGATACCCCATGATTATACTTTTTTGTTTGTTTGTTTCTTGAGACGGGGTCTCACTCTGTCAACCAAGCTGGAGTGCAGTGGTGTGATTATAGCTCACTGCAACCTTAACCTCCTGGGCTCAAGTGATCCTTCCACCTCAGTCTCACGAGTAGTTGGAACTAAAGGCACATGCCACAATGCCCGGCTATTTTCTTTTTTTTTTCTTTTTCAGAGATGAGGTCTCCCTAACTTGCCCAGGCTGGTCTAAAACTCTTGGGCTCAAAAGATTTTCCTGCCTTAGCCTTCCGAAGTGCCAAGATTACAGGTGTGAGCCACTGTGACTAACCTGACTATAGTTTTTTGAAACACAAGAAATAAATGAAGACAATTTATTTTTACTATACATTTATAGCCTAATTTATATCATTGAATTTTTTTTCCCATTTATATATGTGATTCTCAAAAAAGTTTGTTATACATTCTCTCTGTATTTTCCTCCTGTTTTTTTTGTTTTTGTTTTTGTTTTTTTTAATCCACTCTAATCAGAGTTTTGTTCTGGACATGACTCTGAAATAGCACTGGCAAAATAACTACATGACATTAAACTGCCAAATACAACACTGAATTATCCAGCTATTGCCAAATTAATGCTGCATAACAACTTCAGAATCTCAGTGGGTTACAAAAAAATTTATTATCAGGGCCGCATGTTGCAGGTTGAGTACAGCTGGACTAATTTAGGATGGGCATAGATAAGTGGCTTTGCTTTAGGTGGCTTGTTTATTTGGATTGGATTCAAGCTGGCCATTTCTCTCATCATCCCTAGCCCAGCTGCTATCCAGAGCATATCTTTTTCATAGTGAATGATGGCATGTTTTTGTCAGAATAAGTAGCAAGAGCATAAGAGATTGAACCAAATTGTGCAAATCTTTATGGCATCTTTTTATATTGCATTTGCTAACATTCCATTGGCTGAAGCAAGTAATGTCCATGAGCCCTATATTAACAATGTTAGGAAAAGAAATTCCACTCACTGTAGGAGTATACTGTTAAGTTATGCTGCATAGGATAGGAGAAGTATAATTCCAATTCAGAGAGAGTGTGGAAATTTGCAAATAATAATCCAATCTATCACTAAGAGTCAAATCTCAGTCTTCATCTAATTGTTTTTATTTTTCTGCACTTGACTTCTGGCATCCCACCCTCATTATTCTCTTTCTAACTCAATAGCTGATCCTCTTTAGTCTCCTTTGGTGCTTTCTTTATATCTTTCTTTCTTCTTGGATGACCTCAGAACTAAGTTCTTGAACCTCTTCTAGGTTATCTCACCTAATTTCATATTTCTAAATATTGTCAGTATGATTAAAAACCTCTCCAAGTTAAATCTCTATCCTGCAAGTCTCTCTTAAACTTTGAACTTGTATAGCCAACAGCCAACTCAATATTTACCATTATAAATCCAAGGAGCATCTCAACTTTAACATAGCTGTCTAAGTCAAGGGCTGCTATTACAAAGTAGCATACTTAGGTGGCTTATAAACAACAGAAATTTATTTCTCATGGTTCTGGAGACTGGGAAGTCCAAGATCAAGATCCCAGCAGATTCAGAGTCTGATGTGGGCACACTCTTTGATGCATAGTGGTCTTCTTTTCTCTGTGTCCTCACATAGTAAAAGGGGTAAGGGAGTTATCGGGAGCCTCTTTCATAGGGGCACAAATTTTATTAATGAGGGCTTCACCCTCAAAATCTAATCACCTGCAAAAGGCACCACCACCACCTAATACCGTCATATTGGTGGTTAGGATTTCAGCATATGAATTGGGGGTGGGGACAGCAAATATTCAGTCTATAGCATTTTGCCTCTGGTCCCCCAAAGCTCATGCTATTCTCACAGGCAAAATGCATTCATTATATCTCAACAGCCCCTAAAATCTTAACTTGTTCTATCATCAACTCTAAAGTCTAAAATCCAAGGTCTCATCTAAATATCCTCTAAATTAGATATGGATGAGATTTAAAGTACAGTTAATCCTGGCCGGGCGCAGTGGCTCACGCCTGTAATCCCAGCACTTTGGGAGGCTGAGGCGGGCGGATCACGAGGTCAGGAGATGGAGACCATCCTGGCTAACACGGTGAAACACCGTCTCTACTAAAAATACAAAAAAATTAGCTGGGTGTGGTGGCAGGCGCCTGTAGTCCCAGCTGCTGGGGAGGCTGAGGCAGGAGAATGGCGTGAACCCGGGAGGCAGAGCTGGCAGTGAGCCAAGATCGTGCTGCTGCACTCCAGCCTGGGAAACAGAGTGAGACTCCATCTCAAAAAAGTAAATAAATAAATAAATTAAATTAAATTAAATAAAGTACAGTTAATCCTGAGGCCAACTGCTCTCCAGCTGTGACATTGTGAAACCAAACAACTCATGTGTATCCAAAATGCAATCATGGGACAGGCATAAAATACACATTTCCATTCCAAAAGAGAGAAATCAGGAAAAAAGAAAGGGGTAACAGATTCCAAGTAAGTATGAAGTACAAAGTACAAAGCAAACTCCATGAGATTTTAAGACTTCAGAATAATCCTCTTCGGCTCAATGTTGTGCCTTTTAGGCACACAGTGACAGTAGTCCTACATTTCTGACCCACTGGGGTGACAATCCTGCCTCTGAAACCACTGGGGCAGTGGTCCCGCCTCCACAGCTTCGCACAATTGTTAGGCCTGTTGAAAGAAAGGTGATGGTCTCCCCTTTTGAAACCAAGGAGGCAGCCCTAATGATCTCTGAATTGCGTTTGAGGTCATTCTTCTCCGGTTTTAAAGAATAGTGCACATTTGAAGCTGAGTAGCTCTATAGTTCTGTCCTATAAAATACAGAAAGTAGGACAGTCTTCCTTTATTCCTTTTTGTGTCCTTTTTCTTCAAGTCAAACTGGCAGTTTTCCTGCTCTGGTGGCTGAGTAAGTCCATGGTTCACATCTATATGAATCTCCTTATCTTGGCCACGCCCTTAATGTTCTTCCACGAAAAGGTCTCTTTTTCTTTCCATATGAATAAGCTGAAAAATGTTCAAATCTTTAAGTTCTGCCTCCTTGTTGCTTAATAATTCCACTTTAAACCGTTTATCCTTCTTTCTGCTTACCATAAGCAGTCAGGGACAGTTAAGACTCCACAACTTTGCTTAGAAATAACTTCAGCCAAGTAGCTTCGAATAAACACTAGAACACAAATACAATTCAGCAAAGCTCTTTGCCACTTTGTAACAAAGATTTTTTTTAATCTATTGTCAACTAACATGCTCATTTCCATTTGATACCTCATCAGAATGGCCTCTACTGTCCATATTTCTTCCAACATTCTGATGATTTAAATCCTAGTCCAAGTCTGAGTGCCAGAAAACCAGGAGCAAAATTTCCAAGGGCAGAAGAAGATGAATGTCTCAACTCAAGCAGAGAGCAAGCTTGCTGTTCCTCTACCTTTTGTTCTATTCAGGCCCTCAACAGGTTGGGTGGTGTCCATCAGCATTGAAGAGGGCAATCTTCCACATTCGGCCTACAGATTCAATAATGATTTCTTCTGAAAACATCCTCACACACACCCTGAAATAATATTTTGCCATATATTGGGTCATTCCTTAGCATGGTCAAATTGACACCTAAAATTAATCATCACAATCCTACCCTTTATCAACTTGGCATTTATAAACCTCTTCTTAAATACCAAATACCTAAATAAAGACAATAATAAGGTCCTAATTCCAACTAATGTGATACAGCTATCCTGCACGTTGGTCCATTTTCCAGTAGAGAAGGTAAAGTCCATGAGTGGTTTTCTCTTCTCCTGGTAACCCATTCTTAAATACTATTATGTAAAATTAATAATACTAAAATGGTGATATAAAGTCGGTACATTTTATATTATATAATTGAAAAAAAGAGAGAAAAGAAACCAAAGATATTGGCTTAATATATGTATGTATATAAATATATACACACAGATGTATTTGTGTGTATATATATGTGTACATATCAAATGCATATATGTGTGTGTATATATATCAAAATAAGAAGAAAACACTCATGGCAGCTTGAGTCCTTGTTTCTGTAACTAGTCATATGATTGTAGCTGGTATTTATAACTATCTTCTTCTACTACTCATTCTGTATTTCCTTTGCTTTCAGCAAGTACATTAGCTAATTGTGGTTGTTTACCTGGTAGGGTGACCCAAACCTTCATTCCTGAAGAGTCTCACCTATTAGTAGTCCTGTTTGAATTGGGTTGTAGTTTTCCATTGACCTTAGTTACAGGGCATGGTAACACTGAGAGACACTTTAAGGGATCTCCTGTATTCCAGACATATTCTTCTTTGCCTCCATTTTGGAGAAGTAGTTCAATTTCCCCTTGGTAGTCAGGATTAATCACCCTAGCTAACACCATAACTCCCTTCTTTACCTGTTGATTCAGTGAGATGAGGAGCCCAAAGTGGCCAGGTACTTGTCTTAAAAATCCCAATTCAGTGAAATCATTGTTGTGCCTCCTGGTAGAAACATTCTTCCTTCTTGAACAAGACCTCTAGGCCAGCAGAGCAGAATGTCATGGGAACAGGAAGTAAACATTTTGTTAGTGAATTTCCAAGGGTGACAATAAGAGGTGTGGTGCTACTCCTGTTTCCACCTCTTGATTTCCAGACTCATGAATCCTGGCTATGAAAGAAACAATGCCATATATTGGAGGCTAATTTAGAGCATATACAGACTTCTGAAAAACCATACCCTAGCCCTGCAAAGTTTTGACACTCACTTGCACTGTAACTGAACCTTCAAAAGGCCATTTTATTGCTCTATCAAGCAAGCTGCTTCAGAATGGTGGTGATCATGGTAAGACCAGTGAATTCCATGAGCATGGCCTCCTTACCACATTTCTTTTGCTGTGACATGATTTCATTGATTAAAAGCAATGCTGTGACGAATACCATGGCAGTGTAAAAGGCAATCTGTAGATCCACATATGGTAGCTTTGGCAGAAACACTGCACTCAGGGAAGAAAAACCCAGAGTAAGTGTCCATTCCAATAGGGACAAAATACTACACATTCCATGATGGAAATAATTCAGTGTAATCAACCTGCCACCAGGTATCTGACTGATCACTTTGGGGAATAATGCCATATAGAGGTCTCAGTGCCAGTCTCTGCTGCTGGCATGTTGGGCACTCAGCAGAGGCCATAGCCAGGTGAGCCTTGATGAATGAAAGTCCATGTTGCCGAGCCCATGCTTAACCTCTTTTCCTATCACCATGGTCACTTTATTCGTAAGCCAATTGGGTGATAACAGGGGTGGTTGGGGAAAGAGGCTGACTGGTATTCAAAGAATGGGTTACTCTGTCCACTTGATTTCAAAACCCCCCTCCACAGCTGAGGTCACCTCTTGGTGAGCATTCTTGTGGGACACACATATTTTAACATTTTTTTTCCTTCAGAGATATATATTCATATATCTCTTCCCGATGTTTCTTTCTCAGCAGTTTTCCAATTACGTTTCTTCAAATTCCCTGACCATCCAGTCAAACCATTGGCTACAGCCCATGAACTGGGATAGAAGAACTTTTTCTCATTTCTCCTTTGTGGCAAAATGTGTGCAACCAGGTACCCTGTTCAAAGATCTACTCACTGGGAAGATTTTCCATCATGACTCTCCTTCAGGGATGTCCTTGAGAGGGGCTGTTGTGATGCTGTTGCCCAGTTTTGGGGGGAATCTGCGGAGTCACTAACCTGGCTAAATTTATGATAATCCTCTGTCATTCTCCAAGATCCATTTGTCTTCTGCATAGGCCAAATAGGAGAGTTGAATGGAGATACGGTGTGAATTGCTATCCTTGCATCTTTTCTTAACAGTGGCACTAATAATCTCTGCAATCCCTCAATGAATGTTTTATTATCAGTGATTTACTATGTTCATGGGTAGAGGCCATTCTAGTGTTTTCACTTGGCTTTTCCCATCATAATAGCCCTAACTACACAGATCAGAGAGCAAATGTGGGGATTCTTGCAGCTGCTATGTATGTCTCTTTCAATTATGCATTCTAGAACCGGGAATGCATAATTGCATACCCACAGGATGGGTTTAGGGACACACTCGACCCACTATGAGATGGATCTGAGCTAAAACTTTATTTATCAACTGACCTTCATAAGCTCCTACTCTGAATGGTGAGCCACGATGATGATTAATATTATTTCAGAGCTAGCGTCCAGTAGTTCCCCTAAAATTGGATTATTTTATTTTTCCTAATGCACTGGCCAAGATCTTTTTGGGGAAGACTGGGAGAAAGATTTACAACATACTTTTTGGTAGTCTGTTGGAATATTTCCTCAAGAGGAACTGGATTCCCCCTTACTTCAAGGGGGTTCTGGGCCTATAAATTGGCTCAAGTCTGAGAATTGATTGAAAGATGATGACTAACTTTATAATTTGAGATACACTTTTGTTTACTTGACTTGGAATTTTTCTGTTTATACATATCCAATAAGACTTTAGTAGACTTTTATTTCATAATGTATACATATTCCAAAACATCATGTGGTCAATTATTTTTTTAATTTTTTAATTATACTTTAAGTTCTGGGATACATGTGCAGAACGTGCAGGCTTGTTACATAGGTATACATGTGCCATGGTGGTTTGCTGCACCCATCAACCTGTCATCTACATTAGGTATTTCTCCTAATGCTATCCCTCCCCTAGCCCCCCACCCCGCAACAGGCCCCAGTGTGTGATGTTCCCTCCGTGTTTTCATTGTTCAACTCCCGTGTATGACTGAGAACATGAAGTGTTTGGTTTTCTGTTCCTGTGTTAGTTTGCTGGGAATGATGGTTTCCAGCTTCATTCTTATCCCTGCAAAGGACATGAACTCATTCTTTTTTATGACTGCATAGTACTCCATGGTGTATATGTGCCACATTTTCTTTATCCAGTCTATCACTGATGGGCATTTGGGTTGGTCCCAAGTCTTTGCTATTGTGAATAGTGCTGCAATAAACATATGTGTGCATGTGTCTTTGTAGTAGAATGGTTTATGATCCTTTGGGTTTATACCCAGTAATGGAATTGCTGGGTCAAATCTGGTTCTAGATCTTTGAGGAATCACCACACTGTCTTCCACAATGGTTGAACTAATTTACACTCCCACCAACAGTGTAAAAGCATTCCTATTTCTCCACATCCTCTCCAGAATCTGTTGTTTCCAGACTTTTTAATGATTGCTATTCTAACTGGCATGAGATGGTATCTCACTGTGGTTTTGATTTGCATTTCTCTAATGACCAGTGATGATGAGCTTTTTTTCAAATGTTTGTTGGCTGCATAAATGTCTTCTTTTGAGAAGTGTCTGTTCATATCCTTCACACACTTTTTGATGGGGTCTTTTTTTTTCTTTAAATTTGTTTAAGTTCCTTGTAGATTCTGTATATTAGCCCTTTGTCAGAGGGATAGATTGCAAAAATTTTCTCCTATTCTGTAGGTTGCCTGTCCACTTTGATGATAGTTTCTTTTGCTGTGCAGAAGCTTTCTAATTAGATCCCATTTGTCAATTTTGGCTTTTGTTGCAACTGCTTTTGGTGTTTTAGTCATGAAGTCTTTGCCCATGCTTATGTCCTGAATGGTATTGCCTAGATTTTCTTCTAGGGTTTTTATGGTTTTAGGTCTTACATTTAAGTCTTTAATCCATCTTGAGTTAATTTTTGTATAAGGTGTAAGAAAGGGATCCAATTTCAGTTTTCTGCATATGGCTAGCCAGTTTTCCCAACACCATTTATTAAATAGGGAATCCTTTCCCCATTGCTTATTTTTGTCAGGTTTGTGAAAGATCAGATGGTTGTAGATACATGGTGTTATTTCTGAGGCCTCTGTTCTGTCCCATTGGTCTATATATCTGTTTTGGTACCAGTACCATGCTGTTTTGGTTACTGCGTTGGTTACTGTAGCCTTGTAGTATAGTTTGAATTCAGGTAGCATGATGCCTCCAGCTTTGTTCTTTTTGCTTAGGATTGTCTTGGCTATATGGGCTCACTTTTGGTTCCATATGAAATTTAAAGTATTTTTTTTTCTGATTTTGTGAAGAAAGTCAATGGTAGCTTGATGGAAATAGCATTGAATCTATAAATCATTTTGAGCAGTCTGGCCATTTTCAAGATATTGATTCTTCCTATCCAGGAGCATGGAATGTTTTTCAATTTGTTTGTGTCCTCTCTTATTTCCTTGAGCAGCAGTTTGTAGTTCTCCTTGAAGAGGTCCTTCACATCCTTTGTAAGTTGTACTCCTAGGTATTTTATTCTCTTTGTAATTATTTAAATTACTAAACTTATTTGTAATAAATAAGTTCAAGTTCTCTTTGAACTTACTTATTTCTGTCTTAGTTTTGTTATTTACCCAGTTGTCATTCAGGAGCAGGTTAGTTCAATTGTGAATGGGAGTTCACTCATGATTTGGCTCTCTGTTTGTCTATTATTGATGTATAGTAATGCTTGTGATTTTTGCACATTGATTTTTTATCCTGAGACGTTGCTGAATTTGCTTATCAGCTTAAGGAGAGTTTGGACTGAGACGATGGGGTTTTCTAAATATACAATCATATCATCTGCAAACAAAGACAATTCGACTTCCTCTCTTCCTGTTTGAATATGCTTTATTTCTTTCTCTTGCCTGATTGCCCTGGCCAGAACTTCCAATTCTGAGTTGAATTGGATTGGTGAGTTAGGGCATCCTTGTCTTGTGCCGGTTTTCAAAGGGAATTCTTCCAGGTTTTGCCCATTCAGTATGATATTGGCTGTGGGTTTGTCATAAGTAGTTCTTATTATTTTGAGAAATATTCAATCAGTGCCTAGTTTATTGAGTGTTTTTAGCAATGAAGGGGTGTTGATTTTATTGAAGGCCTTTTCTGGATCTATTGAGATAATCATGTGTTTTTTGTCATTGGTTCTGTTTATGTGATGGATTACATTTATTGATTCACGTATGTTGAACCAGCTTTGCATCCCAGGGATGAAGCCAACTTGATCTTGGTGGGTAAACTTTTTGATGTGCTGCTGGATTCAGTTTGCCTATTATTTATTTGTTATTTTTTGAGGATTTTCTTATCGATGTTCATCAGGGATATTGGACTGAAATTATCTTTTTTTGTTGTGTCTCTGCCAGGTTTTGGTATCAGGATGATGCTGGCCTCATAAAATGAGTTAGGGAGGAGTCCCTCTTTTTCTATTGTTTGGAATAGTTTCTGAAGGAATGGTACCAGCTCCTCTTTGTACCTCTGGTCTAATTCTGCTGTGAATCCATCTGGTCCTGGGCTTTTGTTGTTTGGTATGCTGTTAGTTACTGCCTCAATTTCAGAACTTGTTATTGGTCTATTCAAGGATTCGACTTCTTCCTGGTTTAGCCTTGGGAGGGTGTATGTGTCCTGAAATTTATCCATTTCCTCTATATTTTTTAGTTTATTTCCATGGAGTTGTTTATAGTATTCTCTGGTGGTAGTTTGCATTTATGTGGGATCAGTGGTGATATCCCCTTTATCATTTTTTACTGTGTGTATTTGATTCTTCTCTCTTTTGTTCTCTATTAGTCTGGCTAGTGGTCTATCTATTTTGTTAATCTTTTAGAAAAAGCAGCTCCTGGATTCACTGATTTTTTTCAAGGGTTTTTTTTGTCTCTATCTCCTTCAGTTCTGCTCTGATCTTAGTTATTTTGTGTCTTCTGCTAGCATTTGAATTTGTTTGCTCTTGCTTCTCTAGTTCTTGTAATTGTGATGTTAGGATGTGGATTTTAGATCTTTCCCGCTTTCTCATGTGGGCCTTTAGTGCTATAAATTTCCCTCTAAACATTACTTTAGCTATGTCCCAGAGATTCTGGTACATTTTGTCTTTGTTATAATTAGATTCAAAGAACTTATTTATGTCTGCCTTGGTTTTCTTATTTACCCAGTTGTCATTCAGGAGCAGGTTGTTCAGTTTCCATATAGTTGTGTGGTTTTGAGTGAGTTTCTTAATTCTGAGTTCTAATTTGATTGCACTGTGGTCTGAGAGACTGTTATGATTTACATTCTTTGGCATTTGCTGAGGACTGTTTTACTTCCAATTATGTGTTCAATTTTAGAGTGAGTGCTATGTGGTGCTGAGAAAAATGTATATTCTGTTGATTTTGGGTGGAGAGTTCTGTAGATGTCTATTAGGTCCACGTGGTCCAGAGCTGAGTTCAAGTCCTGAATATCCTTGTTTATTTTCTGTCTCACTGATCTGTCTAATATTGACAATGAGGTGTTAAAGTCTCCCACTATTATTGTGTGGGAGTCTAAGTCTCTTTGTAGGTCTCTAAGAACTTGTGTTATTAATCTGGGTGCTGCTGTATTGAAAGCATATGTATTTAGGATAGTTAGCTCTTTTCGTTGCAGTGATCCCTTTACCATTATGTAATGCCCTTCTTTGTCTTTTTTGATCTTTGTTGGTTTAAAGTCTGTTTTATCAGAGAATAGGATTGCATCCCATGCCTTTTTTTGCTTTCCATTTGCCTTTTAAATATTCTTCCATCCCTTTATTTTGAGCCTATGTGTGTCTTTGCATGTGAGATGGGTCTCCTGAACACAGCACACTGATGGTTCTTGACTATTTATCCAATTCTCCAGTCTGTGTCTTTTAATTGGGGAATTTAGACCATTTATATTTAAAGTTAATATTGTTATATGTGAATTTGATCCTGTCATTATGATGCCAGCTGGTTATTTTGCACATTAGTTAATGCAGTTTCTTCATAGTGTTGATGGTCTTTACATTTTGGTATGTTTTCCAGTGGCTGGTACCATTTTTCCCTTTCCCTATTTAGTGCTTCCTTCAGAACTCTTGTAAGGCAGGCCTGGTGGTGACAAAATCCCTCAGCATTTGCTAGCCTGGAAATGATTTTATTTCTCTTTCACTTATGAAGCTTAGTTTGCCTGAAAAAGAAATTCTGGGTTGAAGATTCTTTTCTTTAATAATGTTGAATATTGGCCCCCACTCTCTTCTGGCTTGTAGGGTTTCTGCAGAGAGATCCACTGTTAGTTTGATGGGCTTCCCTTTATGGGTAACCCGACCTTTCTCTCTGGCTGCCCTTAACATTTTTTCCTTTTTTTCAACCTTGGTGAATCTGATGATTATGTGTCTTGGGATTGCTCTTCTCGAGGAATATCTTTGTGGTGTTCTCTGTATTTCCTGAATTTGAATGTTGGCCTGTCTTGCTATGTTGGGGAAGTTCTCCAGGACAATTTCCTGAAGGGTGTTTTCCACCTTGGTGTCATTCTCCATGTCACTTTCAGGTACACCAATCAAATGTAGATTTGATCTTTCTCATAGTCCCATATTTTTTGGAGGCTTTGTTCATTTCTTTTCATTCTTTTTTCTCTAATCTTGTCTGCACACTTTATTTCATTAAGTTGATCTTCAATCTCTGATATCCTTTCTTCTGCTTGATTGATTCAGCTTGTATACTTGTATATGCTTCACAAAGTTTTTGTGCTGTGTTTTTTGGCTCCATCAGGTCATTTATGTTCTTCTCTAAACTGGTTATTCTAGTTGGCAGTTCCTCTAACCTTTTATCAAGGTTCTTAGCTTCCTTGCATTGGGTTAGAATATGCTCCTTTAGCACGTAGGAGTTTGTTATTACTCACCTTCTGGAGCCTACTTCTGTCAATTCATCAATCTCATTCTCTGTCCAGTTTTTTTCCCTTGTAGGTGAGGAGTTGTGATCCTTTGCAGAAGAAGAGGCATTCTTTTTTTGGAACTTTCAGCATTTTTGTGCTATTTTTTTCCTCATCTTCATGGATTTTTCTACCTTTGATCTTTGATGTTGGTGACCTTCAGATGGGGTTTTTTGTGTAGGTGTCCTTTTTGTTGATGTTGATGTTATTGCTTTCTGTTTCTTAGTTTTCCTTTTAACAGTCAGGCCCCTCTGCTGCAGGTCTGCTGGGGTTTGCTGGAGGTCCACTCCAGACCCTATTTGCCTGGGTTTCACCACTGGAGGCTGCACTGACTGCTCCTTTCTCTGGAAGCTTCATCTCAGAGGGGCATCTGCCAGATACCAGCCAGAGCTCTACTGTATGAGGTGTCTGTTGACCCCTGCTGAGAGGCGTCTCCCAGTCAGGAGGCACAGAGGTCAGGGACCTGCTTGAGGAGTCAGTCTGACCCTTAGCAGAGCTTGAGTGCTATGCTGGGAGATCTGCTGCTCTCTTCAGAGCTGACAGGCAGGAACATTTAAGTCTGCTGGAGCTGGGCCCATGGCTGCCCCTTTCCCCAGGTTCTTTGTCCCAGGGAGATGGAAGTTTTATCTATAAGCCCCTGACTGGGGCTGCTGTCTTTCTTTCAGAGATGCCTTGGCCAGAGAGGAGGAATCTAGAGAGGCAGTCTGGATACAGTGGCTTTGTCGTGCTCTGGTGGGCTCCACCTAGTTCAAACTTCCTGGCGGCTTTGTTTACACTGTGAGGTGAAAACTGCTGACTCAAGCCTCAGCAATGGCCGATGCCCCTCCCACAACCAAGCTTGAGTATCCCAGATTGACTTCAGACTGCTGTGCTGGCAGCGAGAATTTCAAGCCAGTGGATCTTAGCTTGCTGGGCTCTGTGGGAGTAGAATCCACTGAGCAAGACCACTTGTCTCCCTGGCTTCAGCCCCCTTTCCAGGGCAGTGAACAGTTCTGTCTTTCTGGTGTTCCAGGCACCACTGAGGTATGAAAAAATAAATTCCTGCAGATAGCTTGGTGTCTGCCCAAACAGCTGCCCACTTTTGTGCTTGAAACCCAGGGCCCTGGTGGTGTAGGCACCCGAGGGAATCTCTTGGTCTGTGGGTTGCAAATACCACAGGAAAAGCATAGCATCTATGCTGGATAACACGGTCCCTTATGGCACAGTCCCTCAAGGCTTCCCTTGGCTAGGGGAGGGAGTTCCTTGACCCCTTGTGCTTTCTGGGTGAGGTGATGCCCCACCATGCTCTGCTTGCCCTCTGTGGGCTACACCCACTTTCTAATAAGTCCCAGTGAGATGAACTGGGTACCTCAGTTGGAAATGCAGAAATCACCCACCTTCTGCATTGGTCTTGCTGTCAGCTGCAGACCAGAGCTGTTCCTATTTGGCCATCTTGCCAGCCCTCAGTACATGATTAATATACACAATTTCTATTTGTCAATTAAAAAATACATACGTTTTAAAAAAAGAATAGTCTTACTATTTCACTTCTAAGTACATCATGATTAAACTAGCTAATTTCATAGGTCTGGGCAAGTCAGACTATCCTGATTGCTGCTTTCACCCTGCTGCCCATTACAGTAACCAAGCCCAGCCTGCCTTTGGTGGTTGAGTTCCACCACTTGGTCTCTGATACCCCAGGAACCAGTTACTCCCATTGCATTTAGATTTTCCAATTCAGTGACTGCAGTTCCCACTTTGAAGTGTGACATACAGAAAGAGTGAACCCAGAGTTCTTCAAAGATCCTGGGGTTTCTTTCACAAATTTATTTCTCATAGAGTGGTGGAAGGTATGTCTTCTGTACCCTCCCAATGTGGGTGGGTAGTTACTAAATTATAAATTCATTCTAATATTCTAACCTCCTAAGCCTTTGAATCACTTTCTCTACACTAAACCAAGGTACATCCAGCATTTCCAATTTGCTCACAGTGGACCATCCTTTGGTCCTTGTTCTAACCAGGCAACCAAACTGTAGAACGCTTTCTATCCCCAGAAGCTACAACATTAAATGCAGAATTTCTGCTAAATGAGCACATATCAATAAATATGGCCTAATCCTACATTATCTTTCTGCCACCATTACCCCATACTGTTAGTATCATCCCCACATACATTCTCTGGATTCTGCCTTATAAATTAGAAAACTCAAGAAGTGCTTTGTGAGTGTAGCTTACATCCTCATGGGTCACATTTTACACCTCACTCTTAGAAGTCTACTGAAACTTGAGTCCAATTATAGGTCTGGAAGCAAAGATGAGAGATAAGGGGTGTCCTGAGGAAAATCAGCTTCGAATTACGTGGCAACTGCCTTAGGGGAGTCCATTACTGTTGTCATTGCTCAAGGAAGGCAGGGTCAATCCCCTCAGATGGATACAAAGGCCCAGACTATTGTGAGTACAGACAAAGGCAGATACCACTGAGGGTGGAGAGACTGACCCTTGGGAGTAGTGAGGTCATTGTCACTGTGTCACTGGGGGTGGGGAGACCAATATCTCTGGGAGTGGTGTTGCCATTGTCACCAGAGGTGAAGAGACCAGTGCCACTAGGATTTAGAAGGCCACTTCCATTAGGAGTGAGAAAACTTCTTCCATTGGTATGGAAGACTTAACAGAATTTAGGGGTGAATGTATCTAGTTTCATCAAGATCGTTCCACACATCCCCACTGCAATATATATATATATAGGATCCCATTTTCTTTTTCCAGTCAATACCCTCACCCTAAGAGTAGAAATCATTCAAAGATGAGAGTTCAACTTGCACTGTAATTTAACCAGTTGCAGGATGAGGTTTTGTGTTTAAGTTTTAGCAATTTCAGCCCTTCAGCTACAGGAAATAAGGGACCCTTTCAGGACACACACAGATGCTCTTAGGTCATTTATTTGGTACTTGAGCTAGGAATTTGAATCCTAGAGCACATTCTTTTCTTTACCAATTCATCCAGTGACATTTTCAGGTGAGATTTGGTGTGTTCAGGGTGGTAGGGCCATAGACATATCCGGTGACATTAGAAGTAACCAACGAACATAATTATATTAATTAGTTTTCCAAAAATGTTTGAAAGTATCATATACAGAGTCACCTAGCTCCTTGTTTCTTATACGTGGTTGATTAGAATTATACAATGCAGATATGTTGCATATTTTTTATAAACAGTTCATGCCATGGACTATCAGTGTTCTCTTTACTAACAAAAGAAAGTCATCATTGTCTTTAATCAGATTAGGGAATCAGTTCTAGATACCCCAGAAACAATTCAGAAAACTCATCCTTAAAATTTTGTTTTCCTAGAACTACTCTAAACACTAAAATCTGTATTAGCCAGGGTTCTCCAAAGAAGTTAAGAAGGCTGAGAAGTCTCATAACCTTCCAGCTGTCTGCAAGCTGGAAGCCCAGGGATGCCAAAGTGCTACTTTGAATCCAGCTTAAATCTGGTGGCCTGGGAACCATGGAAACCAGTAGTGTAATTCACAGTTCAAGTGCAAAGTCCTGAGAACTGAGGTGTCAATGATGTAAGTTCTGGTCCAAATTGAAGGTTCAAGAACCAGAAGCCCTGATGTCCAAGGGCAGGAAAATATCAATGTTCTGGCTCAAGCAGAGAGCACATTTGCCCTTCTTCTGCCATTGGATGATGTCCACTCAAATTGAGGAGATCTTTGCTCAGATTTTTACTCAGTCTATAGGTTCAAATGTTAATCTCTTCCAGAAACACCCTCACAGATGTACCATCTTTCTGAGTATTCCTTAGCCCAAATTAACACCTAAAATTAACCATCACAATATCCAATACTGAACTTAATGATTTCAAAATCCACACTGACTTGCATTGCCTAAACATTTTTCCCTTCATGGTAAGTCATTGATCTGTTCTTTTGATTTCGCAGGTCAAAAATGTTAGATAACTTTTTTTTTTCCTTTTTAACAAATGTCACTCTTTCCACCCTGACTATCAGAGTATACTATTACTAGAGCAATCAAGTTGGTCAGATAATATCAGTTCTCTGCTTTAAAGACTCATAGCTTACTATCTCACGTGGCTTGAGAAATCCAAAGCCCTAGGAATAGCCTGTGGTTACTTATCTCTTGTAAGTCTCCAGCTCACTTACTTTGCTCCAACCACATTGACCTCTTTGCTTTCTCTTTAAAATGTCAGACATGATCCTTCCTTAAGACTCTTGTACTTGCTAATCAATATGCCTCCAGCATTCTTTCCCCCAAATAACCACATGGTTCATTCCAATACTTTCTTAAGTCATTCTTAAACGTCAAATTGCCAGTGACACCTTCTCTAACCACTATATAAAAAACAAGACTCCCATCCCAGACACACCCATACACTCACAGACAACCCTCTCTGATACTCACTTTCTTTTCATCTATCTCTAAATTAAATAAATGAAACTATCTATTTATCTATCTATCTATCTATCTATCTATCTATCTATCTATCTATCATCTATCTATCTACCTATCTATCTAATCTATTCATCATGAAAATTTTATTACTTTTCTGCCTTACTATGTTAAGTATAGCTCTTTATAGTTGGAGGAGTTTTCCTAGTTAGGTTTATTGTTGTTTGTCCTATAACTAGAATAGTACCTGGGGCATTACATGTTTTCCCTCATAAGAGGTAAGTTATTCTTTCAGCACAATTGCAGAAAATTGCTGAGTTTCAGTCTATACCTTAATTCTGAAATTTAGCAATCTAAACTTGTGATTTATTTCTCTAAGCTGGTTAGATCTGTTAATTTCAGTCCCATCACACCATAGGTCTTGTGTTCACTGTGTTGTGCATATTCTCCTCTAGTAGTGGCAACTCCATCCTGCAAACTTGGCTTTCACAGTGCATTATGGATAATTTTATTAATGGTTTCACCTTGCAAACTATAGGCTGCCAGATCCAATTATCTTAATGTGAACCAGGCTTTACTTTTCATTCACACCCGGGCCAGTGACCAATATCAGGTTTCAGGTCTCTTGCCTGTAACACGCTCTAACATAATGTTTTCAAATTCATGTTTGAGAGGTAAACAAGATTAACCAACTCTGAGTAATTGGAATAGAAAAAAATGTACTTCAAAACATGATATTTCTCCAACAATGTTTGGTGATTTATGAAGCAAGGTTCATGAAAAGGGCAGGAAATAATGGAAACTAAGAGGTTGGAACTACAACCAAAATCATGCTTTGGGTCCACCCAATGGTAAGTTTCCCAAATAAACAATGAGTTTCAAATTCAGAGCATGAGAGAAAGTGTGAAATATTTACTGTTCCAATTGTTTTTTTCCTTTTCCACCTTCTTCCTAATCAATCAGATGCCCATATTATAAAGTTAACTTTAGTGTTACTTTTTATTTGTTTGTATTTAGCAACGTTGAGTGAGTTATTTAAATTCTTTAAATCTCCTTAGGAGTTAATACAGTATCAGTAATAGACCAATATTTTGGGAATTATATTAACAGGTCTAATTTCTTGGTGTTTGGAGGTATCTCACAGCCTACATGAAAGGTAAGAAATCCCCCGAAACTTATACCACAGATTAGTAACTTTTCTATTCATTTTGCATATTTTCCATTGCATTTCTCCCTTTGAGACATTAATACACCATGCAAAATAAAGTTTATATGTTTCAGAAGTAAAATAGCAGGTTACCATAATTTTTTCCCTAAACATTCCAATGTCTTTTTTTCATCATGATATATATTACTCAATGTTTCTCTTCACTTAAGAAAATACAATGCAAGTCTGACCTGATCTATCTTAAACTTCATAATGGGGCTGACATTTTGCAGTGACAATAGCATTGTGTTTCTGGGTCAAAGTTAAATACTACTAACATTTCTTTTATTTATGGAGGAAAGAAAAGACAGCACTGCCATATGCTTTAATCATTTACGTGAGTTGCTCAACAAAAATTTGAAAGGCCTTCAGGCTCAAGCAGTGTTTGCTGCTGAGCATTCAATTGCAATTGCATGCTTCCTAACTGAGCTGAAAACAGCCTACAACTAAATTTCCATTTCAATTTTCTAAGCTTGATAACTTAGAGTTACATTTGGAGTAATTCTATAGCAGGGCAAAGGAGATGGATATTCTAGAAATACTAATAATTTGGCTTGAAAGTCAAGTTGAAATTCACTTAATGATATTTGAGAAACGTATTTTACCTAGATATAGGTGAGACATAAATAACATGATGCCTAGTATAATTAAAACACTGAATATATTTTCTTTGTAGACTATATGTACACAGAAAAGTAAGGTAGTAAGTCAGTTACCCTGGTTATTTATGTTAAATAAGGACTTTGCTTGGTTTGGACTATTGGAACAATTTCTAGTTTTGAATGCAAATATAATTCTCTATTTTCTATTTCATTTTTGAAGTAACTTTTTACTAAGAAAACAATGAAACCTTAATAGATTGACCCACTCTGCTATGCAACCTTTTAATACCTATAGTAAAGCCAGTGAATTTGAATTGAAACAATTGGTAACTAAGGCATAAAACTCATTTTATATATTTTGCTCTTATTTTAAATTGTTTTTATGAATTTTTAATGAATTCAGGGTATACTTATTTCAAGGAATGTTATTATATCTCAAATTTAATACATAGAAATATAAATAATTTCTACTTTCAAACAATTACTCATTAAGTTAACCACTGTAACTCAAAATTTATGGGGTTTTTTTACATATACACGTATGGGTGTGTATGTAAAACATGGTAGCAATCATATAAATTAGCATTTTTACTCAATGTTATTTACATGTTAAACATTTTCTGTGTTGAAAAAAATCTTCATAATTATAATGTTAATGGCTACCCAATTATCTCTATGTTCAATTGTAATTTAAACCATATTTCTATAATTGTTTTCAATTTTTAAAAATAGTTTGTTATTAAGCCAGAATGTTCTGTTGAATATTTTCTTTAGCATAATTTCTTAGGTGTGAAATTACAGATATATGGTAACATTTTCCTCATTCTTTCTGTGTATCATCACTAAGGTTTACATGTGTTTTACCATTTTACCTAAGCAGGTTGTATATGCAGTGTTGAGTTTTATCATTTAAAATATTTGGTATGAAGTTATTTCTCAAGTGGAATTTTTCGTCTCTCTCTCAAACATAGTCCCACTTTGTCTAAGCTTTTCTATCTTCCTCTGCATGTGAAGAGGAATTTCTAATTGGATATAGGCACAAACAATTGTGTTTAGGATTATTTTATATTAAAATTAAGATGCTTTCTTCTGTTTCGTCTCTTATAATTCTCTTTTTGTGTTTTATCTCCATGCCAATTTTACATGGCTGTGTGTGTGGACTCAGAGTGCCTCTTGAGGACCAGCCAACTTTTTTCTCTCTGCTGCATACCTAAGTATTCAGTTCCAAATATTTTAATTGGCATGGGGAAGTAATAAATAAATAAATAAATCTTTCTTAGAACTTAAATTTAAGTCATGTTTTAATTCTACATTTTTACCATGAATTGAATAAATAAATATTTAAATACATTCATGAACTAATGGATAAAGAAAAGTTTATATATTACTAATACATTGATTTGATTCAACTAGGACAATATAAAGACCTGATTTGTTTGTATTTAATTAGCAAGCCATTATTCCAGCATTATAGATTGTTATAGCAATAGCCCTCAATTTAATCATGGCTGTTTGTATCCATGCTATTGAGAAGACTAAAATCCATTTATACTTAACTTGGTCACGTGACTCGCTTTGGACAGCAAGCCCTGGGGTAACAGGTATATGTGATAGAAGGAGGGACTTCAATGTGCTTCTGCTTTGGAATATACCTTACTTTGCTGTTTTTTTGAAAACTATGATCACCCCCATGCAAATGAGTCCCAGGCTAGCCTGATGGTCATAGCCACAGATGATAGGAAGCACTGACCCCCAGACCTGTGGGTTAGTTCATTCTAGACAAATCAGCCCCAAGCTGACTGTAGGTGATGTGGAAGCTCCAACCTTACCAGTGGAAAAACCACCCAGCTGATTCAAACCCATACTGACATTGGACAGAATTGATTCTTGTTTTTAGGCATTGAGTTTTGGGGTAGGTTATTTCACAGCAAAAGCAAACAATGACATCCCACTGTAAACTGTTTGTTACCACAATACTACAATGTCAGTTGAGTGTAAGGATTGATATTTGATATTATTTATGATATAGTGTCTAATCATTCTAGATGTTGGTATCCTTATATTTTTTATAGTGCTACTTTAAGGAAATTCTGGAAAAATTTCCTAACTCAATGCCAGAAATGAGACATTTTTGTAGGAGATATGTGTTTGCTATGGTCTCATGGATTCCGTTGCCTCTAGTGAACCAATCGGTTAACTCACAAGAAAGAACAAAACAAATTAAAATTAGTGAACACTCTACATATTATATAGAATATCAGCAGGATGTTGTTTTGTGCAACTGTGTCTATGATTGTGATGAATTAGTAAAACTTACGTATGTAATGGATCCAAAACTTGAATTTACTGTTTTATGTCTCTGTTAATTCTATATGTTAGAAAGCAGCAATGATCAGTATTTGATCTAAGGTATGTCAAAATTTTTCCTTGACTTTTTGCCACTTAACTTTCATAATATTAGTCAAGATGGAAAGGCAACTTGAACAATTTCTTGTAATGAAAGTACCATCATTTATAGAAGTATCTCTTAGGCATTCACAACTACCTGAAGTAGTCATCTCTAGAATAACTCCCTCATGGTCTATCACTCTCTAACACAGTGAAATAAAATAAGGCCAGATAAAAAGAAATATTTCCTTAGGGAAATATTTCCTTAGGGAATTGTTGCAACTGTGATTTTTTTGAATAGTTGAATAGCATTAATCTTAACTATAAACAAATGTAGTATTTAAAAATAAATTCTCAATTTGACATGCTAAATAAATTCCAAAGTTTGGAAACTTGTTGCCAGTCCATCAATCACCTTTCTTGAGTGCCTGCTATGCAGGGAGTGTCACACAAGTTCAGTGAACATCTATCACACAATTTCATGACAATGAATGTTAAAACTTAACTGTTTCCCATGGTGATTTTACGTATCTTTCATTTGTTCTAATCTGTCTATACTGTTCACATTCCATTTTATCCTCCTGGAACTTCTGCTTCTGATTCTAAATCGCCCAAGTGAAACTAAACATTTATTCAAAAGAATGGTAGCTCAGTTATAGATATATTTAGCCAATTCTTCTGAGTCCTGTTTTAGCAACATGTCAAATCATTTAAAATGGGAAAAATGACAGATTGGGCTTATGAGGATGAAAACAATCTGGAAGATACTAGGATGGTCAAAATTCTTTAAAATCCATTGAATGGAAGTGAAATGACACTAATTATGAATATTCCATGTAACACAGAAAGCAAATTTTCTTTTTATTTTATGGACATTTATTAGCAACTTATTTCATGAGCATTTATGAATTTTTTTCCATTAATTACAAATAAGACATGACAAGATCACTGTTTTACATCCATCTCTTCATACAGTGCTCCCAACTGTATTACAGCAAACCTCAAAGGTTTACCTCTTGATTTAGGATAATGCCTCATCATCAGCATCAGGATTATGAACATGATTAAAATATTAAAAATTTAAATTTTTAACCTTATTAAAAGTTTACTACTTTTTAAAACCATCAATAATTTAAATATATATTTGATAAAATAAAAAATAAAATTATTTTAATATAAAATTAAAAATTAAAAATAAAAAAAAGTTGCTACCTAGCTCCCACCTTAATTATGCCTTGTTTTAAGATAAAGTGCATATTTTTAAAAGAAAATGTTAATAATTTTTACTGCATGAAAGAGTCACAACATACTCTTAAAATAATGCTTAATTTTCATGTGTATTTAAAGACTAGAAATATTCTTTAATTTATTTTAATTAGACAATATGGTATTAATTTAATTTAATATGGTTTAATTTAATATGGTTTAATTTAATATGGTGTTATCAAATTTGTGGTCAACTATTCTCATATTGTAAAAAGTTCACGTGTAATTCAAATATTTTTCAGGTTTGAATTATATGATTAAAATCATTGACCTAAAAAAATCCAGTTAGTTCTTTCTTAGTATCCTTACATCAAAAGTATATTAAGAATCATTTTAATAATTTATTCTCATCTACTGCATTCAGTAAAAAAAGAACCTTACTCTTGAATTCAAAAATTTCTATATCTAGATATTAAAACTTTCTTTGAAAGATGAATTATTCATTCATTTAACAAATAATTGTTCAGCATCTACTATATACTCAACACTGTTACTATTTCATCTAGATAAAAAGTCACTTTTTTTAATATCAGGAATGCATATTATTAACTCTGATAATTCAAGCCACATGAAACTGCATTTTAAAAATTAGATTGTGGAAGAAAAACCCAGGAAGTTTTTGGTAAAATTAGGTATCACAAACTGTTATAAAAGTGCACTTGCAAAATATATGCATTTTATTAAAAAATAGAAATAATTGCTTTTGTCTTTTTGAGATCAATGAATTGAAGTGAGGGTAAAGATACATAGACTTAGAGTTAGCCTAACTTGGCTGTAGATAATATTTACATAGTCATAGAAGTGGAAATGTGGCTATTGGGTTTCAACTTTAGAATTTATGGAAGAATCAATGTTTGAAAAACTTGGTTATGGTTGCAGGAAATAAATAAATATTCTAGCAACGTGAATGATAGAAAATAGAAGAGGGAAGGAATACATTTACTAATAGAAAGAAGAATAGATGAAAGTACTAAAACCCTTATTTTCTAATATGAAGACATGGTGAGTTAAGAGACACTGTCATAAGTTAATGGGATAATTAATTTTTTAATTAAGATAGGAAGGTAATCTACACAAAACTAAACATAGTACACTATTGACTATGGGAGTACATCACAGGAAAATAGGGCTTAGTATGATGCAGGCTTTTCTCTATCTTTAATTGTTGAGCATTAATATATGTTTTTCTAAATTTGATAAATTCAGAAATAAAGATGTTAACACATGATGAAGAATTATGTGGAAATCACCAGATATATTAAAGTGACAGAAGTGGAATGAGTTGCTACTAGGAGTGAAATTGGAGGTGCCTTAACGTGGACCGTGATATTTGATTAGACACCATCTGTTTGTATTACTTTTTGTTTCAGATATTATTTTTAAAATAAAAAAGGAAAAAACCAACAAATATTAACATCAAAGAAAAGTAAAAGTAAAATTTACATAATTTTACTTTTCTTAAATTTTCTTTCCTCAAAGTTTCCCAACCCTTCCTTCCAACCAATGTAAACATGCAGTGCAAATCTATTGTATGATTATTAGTTAGAAATAATGTCAACAAACTTCAAGCCATCATTCAAATTCTCTTTTATGCTAACTAAAGTCAATACTGTAGACTTATTTGAAGTGATTATAGTAATATTCAAAGAGAAGGAGAAACTGATCTGCCTCAATTATTTCTCTAGAGAGCTGCATTTTATTTAAGTATTTGCTAACACTTTCTTCTGGGTAAGCAAGAAAGCACTTTCTTCTGGGTAAGCTTCTGGGTAAGCTTCCTTTTGGCAAGCACACTAATTCAAGCGTTTTGAAATATAATGTTTTTAGTTATTTGGTGATATTTTCACAGGATTAAGAATCAACTGATTTGCACTGTGTTTTTATGTGGCAAACATAGAAAGAAAACATATTTTATTGGTCCTAACTTATAACTGATTATAAGATGCACTAAGCAAAAACAGAAACACTAAAAGAGAAAAGAAAAGGCCCCAAGTAAATTATGACCTGCACACACTACTATTTAATAGAAAATAGAAGTTAAAATATAACTTAGAATATAGTGTTACAAAATACTGTATGTAGTATGTAGAAAAATGCTTTTTTTTCACAGACATAAAGCATGCCTCCTCATAGAGATACAGTACTCTACAATTTCTAGCTATATGCATAATTCTAAATTTTCATAGTAGTCATTATTTAAAAAGTAGAAAAAATGAGTGAAATTAATTATATTTCATGTAACCCCATATATTCAAAATATTATCATTTCAGCATGCATTCTATGTAAAAATATATTAATGCTATATATTTTAATTTTGCACTAAGTTTTTGAAATATAATCTGTAGTTTATATTACGATACATTCTGATTAAGAATAGCCATATTTTAAGTGTGTCATAACCATATGTGGCCAGTAGCTAACCTATTGGACAGCACAGATACAGATCCGTTCTATCTTCACAGAATATTCTATTGAAGAGTGCTGACCTGGAGGGGAAGTGAAAATAAAATAGACATTAATAATAAAGTGTGATAAATGGTGTACAGAGCAGAGGCAACAAATTCAGCCTTGGATGTTAGGAAATACTCCTAGAAATGACATCTCCTTATTCTCCATACATGATATATCTGCAGGAAACCTCTGATTAATTTTGAAATTTTGATATTTATGTTCACTGGGGTAAAAGTTCTTACTTCCAATTATTATTAGCAAAGATAATTTCTATTTATGAATCTAATTAATTTCCTAATATAAATTAGTCAAATCTAGCATTAAGGCACTAGAAAAGCAAATCATATATGAGCAAAACATTTCAATGTTTCAAAGATGGTTTCATTCAAAATGTGCAGAGAAAGCCAGCTATGGTATGATTAAGTTTGTTGATATTATCTGGCCAGGTGCAGTGGCTCACACCTGTAATCCCAGCACCTTGGGAAACCAAGGTGGGAGGATGACTTGAGCCCAGGAGTTCAATACCAGCCTGGGCAACATAGTGAGACTTCATCTCTACAAATTAAATTAATTAATTTAAAAAGATTGTCCATATTTTCAATCTGAAATATGAGAAAATTATATAATATTTATGACATTTCTCATAAGAGAGTTTTCACAGTGCAGTATTCCCCCCTTATTTGTGATTTCACTTCCCTTGGTTTTAGTTACCCACAGTCAATCACAGCCTAAAAATAGGTGAGTAAGTATAATAAGACATTTTGAGAGAGAAAGAGATCACATTCATATAACTTTTGCTTATGGTATATTGCTATAATTATTCCGTTTCATTAATTATTGTTGTTAACCTCTTACTGTGCCTGATTTATACATTAAACTTTTTATTGTAGATATTTATGTATATGAAAAATATACACAGGTTTCCATGCATGTAGGAAAAAAAACACAGTTTAGTGCTGTCCACTGGAAATCTTGAAGCATGTAATCCATAGATAAGGGGGACTACTGTTATGTTTGTGAACATATACAGTATGTTCAGTTAAGGGAGGTCCTGTTTAATCAGGCTTCTGAAATTATTTGAAAACATTACATCTATAATAGATAGCAGAAATTCAATGATGTAGTACTCTTGTATGTATTTTTCTCCAGGCAAAAAGCCACATTACACGTGTGTGTGAAAACGTGTGTGTCTGTGCGTGTGTGTGTGTTTGTGTGTGTGTAACCTAACAAATAGATTCTAGAAACCAGTCTTGAAAGCAAAGAGAAGATGGGGACTTGGTAATGAACTGATCTGTGGTGATTATTATAGTTCACCAAACTGTACAATGCTGGAAAAGCCAGTTTCTATAGTGTTTTTTTAAAAGTGTGTTTGTCCAAATTACTTTGATGATTGCCAAATATAATGATTTTTCCTAATGTATATTAAAGCAAAGTGCTTAAATAGAAAGTGGCATATCTCCCTTACTTTCCCTAAGAAAATGACCATTATTGCATATAACGATGAATAAAATTTTACTGAATTTTTAATCTTCATATTCAAATTATATCTGAGTCTTTGAATTTCAAAAATAGGATAGATGATTCTACTTTCAAAATCTTTACTTGCAATATCTTGAGATTACAGGAGCAGAATTGCTAAACACCTGGCAAGTCTTACTTTTCTCTGGCTGGAAAGCTCCACACTTCCTGTCCCTTACAGGAAGGTGAAAAAACATATGAATGGTTAAGAAAAGGGGATGAATGAGAAGATAAGGAAGAAGAGGAGAGGCGAGAAAGGAGAGAAAGAAGAAAGGTCAGCACAACTTTTAAATGGGGTGGCCCTTGAAGGTAGAGGATTAAAGGAATCCTGACTTCCTTGACTCCTTCAGTCCTTAAGGTCTCAGCAGTACCTAGAGGATGGCTTATCTCGTGGTTAGAATATTCCAGAAACAGACACTAGAGGAGGGATTTTATGGCTTTAGCCTGTGAGTAAAAGGAATGCTGCTGTCAGTTTTCTATCCAGCACTATTTCTAACCTCTTATTCAATAACTTGTTACCTTAGTCATTAATTTCTCATATGTAACATGGCTTTTTGCCTGAAGAAAATTACAGGAGTACTACATCATTGAATTTCTATCATCTATTATAGGTGTAATATTTTCAAATAATTTCAGAAGTCTGGTTAAACATGACCTCCCTTAACTGAAGCAGCAGTGAGTGTTTGTCATAAAATTTTTCTTACTATGAAGAATTTCCACAGTATCACTTTAGTAGTTTCCATTCTTCTTCCTACTCCTCTAATTATATTTACTCATCATATTTTTACATAAAATTATAATTGGCAGAGATTGATGAAGAAAAAGATGAAAAATATAAAAGACATGAGATGTTGACAGTATTTCTAATCATTTCTTACACTGAATTAAAAACACAGAGAAAACTGCATAAAATCTAAACGTGCAGCTAAAAAGTTATTATATAGTTAACACCTCTATAACCACTTTCAAGGTCAAGATGTGAAATAATATGAGCTCCCTGCACACCCATTCAAATCACAAACTGGTCCATTTCTTCTAAAGGCAATCACTATCCTCAATGTAAAGGTAATAACCACTCACTTTCTTTGTAGTATTACTACCTAAAGAATGATAACTCAATGGAATCATTCAGTTTTGCCTATTTTTGAGCATTATATAAATGGAATAATACATTATACATAAATGTGGGTCTGAATTCTCTTGCTCAATGTTATACTTGTGAGATCAGTTGAAAGTAGTGTGTGTAGTTGTAGTTCCATTTTCCTGTGATTGTTGTAAAGCATTTCAGTTGATGAATATATCCACAATTTATACAACAGTTTTCCTGTTAATGGACATTTGGATAGTTTCCAGTTTAGGGCTTTTATGATGAATGCTGTGAATATTCTTACACGTTTCTGAGTTCATATATAAATACATTCCTGTTGTCTATATACCTATGAGGAAATAGTTGCGTTTTTCATATTTTTAAATTACTAGATAATATCACACTGTTTTCCAAAGCGATAGCATGAATTTATATCCCCTAAAAGAAATAGTATGAGTTTTTCTACGTTCATACAAACAATGGGAATTTAATTTTATCTTCTTTTTTGGGTGCAATTTATTGAAACTTTAATATTCTTTTCCTTGATGACTAATGAAATTGAACAACTTTTTTTCAATTGTTTTACTGTACATGCCAATTTCCTCTTTATTCACATTTTTTACCCTTTTTTGTTTGTTTATATTTTTCTAATTGATTTGTAATTCTTTAGGTTTTCTGATTATGTGTCTTTTATTTAGAATTTTCAAATATGGTTTCAGACTTTAACTTTTTTTGTGATCAAATCTTTATGACCAAAGCTTACATTTAAAATTTATGATCAGGCCAGGTGCAGTGGCTCACGCCTGTCATCCAGCACTTTGGGAGGCCGAGGTGGGTGGACCACTGAGGTCAGGAGTTCGAGACCAGCCTGGCCAACATGGTGAAACTCCATCTCTACTAGAAATACAAAAAATTAGCTGGGCGTGGTGGCCAGCATCTGTAGTCCCAGCTACTCAGGAGGCTGAGGCAGGAGAATCACTTGAACCCGGGAGGCAGAGGTTGCAGTGAGCCGAGATCATGCCATTCCACTCCAGCCTGGGCAACAAGAGTGAAAGTCTATCTTAAAGAAAATAATAATAATAGTAATAATAAAAATAAAAATAAAAAATAAACTTAATGATCAGTGCTTTTTGTGTTCTGTTGAAAATTTTTGGCTCAGCATCTGGGGACGCTCTCAGCTCTCAGTGCCTGGCCCAGCTTCCTTCAAAATGTATACTATTTACGAAATCCTGTGCAAGCTCAGCTTGGAGGGTCATCACTCTACACCCTCAGGTGCATATGGGTCAGTCAAAGCCTACACCAACTTTGATGCTGAGGGGGATGCTTTGAACATTGAAAGGACCATCAGGACAAAAGGTGTGGGTAAGTTCACCATTGTCAACATTTTGACCAACAGCAGGAATGCTCGGAGAGAGGATGTTGCCTTTGCCTAGCAGAGAAGGACCACAAAGGAACTTACATCAGCACTGAAGTCAGCCTTACTGGCCACCTGGAGACAGTCATTTTGGGCCTATTGAAGACACCTGCTCAGTATGATGCTTCTGAGCTAAAAGCTTCCATGAAGGGGCTGGGAACTGAGGAGGACTCCCTCGTTGAGATCATCTGCTCAACAACCAACCAGGAGCTCCAGGAAATTAACAGAGTCTACAAAGAAATGTACAAAACTGATCTGGAGAAGGACATTATTTCGGACACATATGGTGACTTCTGCAAGCTGATGTTTGCCCTGGCAAATGTTAGAAGACCAGAGGATGGCTCTGTCGTTGATTATGAACTGATTGACCAAGATGCCCGGGATTTCTGTGATGCTGGAGTGAAGAGGAAAAGAACTGATGTTCCCAAGTGGATCAGCATGATGACCGAGTAGAGCATGTCCCACCTCCAGAAAGTATTTGATAGGTACAAGAGCTACAGCCCATCAAGAGAGAGCATCAAGAAAGAGGTTAAAGGAGACCTGGAAAATGCTTTCCTGAACCTGGTCCAGTGCATTCAGAACAAGCCCCTGTATTTTGCTGATTGGCTGTACTACTCCATGAAGGGCCGGGGGCTCGAGATAAGGTCCTGATCAGAATCATCGTCTCCCGCAGTGAAGTGGACATGTTGAAAATTAGGTCTGAATTCAAGAGAAAGTATGGCATGTCCCCGTACTATTACATCCAGCAAGACACTAAGAACGACTACCCAAAAAGCACTGCTGTACCTGTGTGGTGGAGATGACTGAAGCCCAACATAGCTTGAGCTTCCAGAAACGGTGCTCCCCACGCTTCCAGCTAACAGGTCTAGAAAACCAGCTTGTGGCTAACAGTCCCTGTGGCCGTCCCTGTGAAGATGACATTAGCATTGCCCCCAACCTCATTTTAGTTGCGTAAGCATAGCCTGGCTTTCCTGTCTAGTCTCTCCTGTAAGCCAAAGAAATGTACATTCCAAGCAGTTGGAAGTGAAATCTATGATGTGAAACACTTTGCCTCCTGTGTACTGTGTCATAAACAGATGAATAAACTGAATTTGTACTTTAGAAACAAAAAAAGGAAAATGTTTATATACCTTGAAGTTATGAATATATTTATCTATATTAACTTTTGGATCGTTTAGTATTTTGCTTTTTGTATTTTATTCTATATTGACATGACTCACATTTGAGTCTTTTTTTTCCAAATAAGCCTATCTAATTTTCTCATTACCATTTACTAAAACGATTGTATGTATACTAAATATTGTAACTTTATATTACAAAATTGTATCTGTAGAACAAGTCATGCCACATTGTTGTTCTTCAAGGAAACCTTGACAAATTCTATCCTTTCAATGTTCAAAAGGAAATTAAATAAGCTTGGCTAGGATTTACAAATCTATTATAATTTTGAACTGTAATCAATATGGGTAAAATTGTCATTGTTACAAATGAATCTTATAATCCTGATGATAACATAATACTTTATTAATTCAGATATTTTAAAATTTCTCTAGTGATATTTTATAGTTTGTCCAAATAGGTTGTTTGTTATATTTGTTTGATTTATTTGTAGATCTCTTATATTTTAATAACATTTAAATTGCATTTTAATATGTAATTGTTAATTGTTAATTATTGCAATAGACATACAATATATGTCTGTTTGTTTACTCTTGCTCATTACCTTATAAAAAGTTACACAAATTTGAAAATTACATAAGTGTTCTTTTTATGCACTTCTTTTTATGGATTTTATGCACAATCATATTATTTTACAAAAGTGAAATTTTATTTATTCCTTTTAAATATGTATATCTCTTTTTTTCTCCTGACTTACTTCACTATCTAGAACCTCCAGCATTATATAGAATATATAATACTCAAAAACTGGCAGGGTACTAAAGGTCCACTTCTGTCAGCACAGGCTCCTAGAACTGTAAGTTTGCATTAGCACCAATTCACGTGTTGTTGCATTTCTCCAATTAATTGTAAATTCCATTTGGAAGAGCAAATGGAAATATGTGACTGAATCCAGGCTGAGGATTTACAGAAAAGAGCTGATGAATTAAGAATTCTGGCAAGGGAGTCTTTTGGGTGGTCACTCATGTAATGCTGGCTCCACAGGAAAGTAAGTTTTCTCTTTCTAAAGAACATCAGCTGACTCCAAGTAAAAGAAGACTCAGAGGATGTCTTGATGGTGATAAATGGCTTGTTGTTAGTTTTAGAGTAAGAAATTTTGAAGAAGATGGGTTGTGTTCAGAAGGAATGTTATTGAAGTACACTAGGTTTAAGAAGTAGAAGACTTCTGAATAATTTATGGTTAATATAAAATCTTTTGAATTTTAATATGAGTCAAGTTCTAGTTCTTTGCATACAATTAAGGAATTGAGTCAATAATGATTTTAGAATCCAATCTTCATTATTAAGGCAATAATAACTTTGCTTCTGACTAAGAAAGAATAGCTTGCTGTAGTCCAATGTTTCTACAAGTGGAAAAGCCAAATAACATTTAAAACAAAGCAGAACAAAACAAAAGTTATTTCAAGGCAATACAAAAGTAATACAGGAATAATATGAGAGACCAAGATTCCAGAGTCATATATCTTGGAAAGATGAGCTAATAGCTGGTTACATTTCTTCATGGAACATGCAAATGCTCATTACAAGGTAATGGACTATGATTCCAGGCAAAGAGCTGAGCTGGAGGGCCATAAAGGTAGGTAGGAGGCAGGAAAACTAAAAGGCTAAAAAGTTGGGTTCTTGGAAAGAAGGTAGGAGCAGAGAACAGAACTGGTGCTGTTCTGGTTGCTATTACTGCATGATAAAAATCCTCAAAACATAACACCATCAAACAATGAACCCTTTTATTTTGCTCATGATGTTACATGTTTGGAATTCAAGAAAGCTTTAGCTGGGCAGCTTGAAGTGTCTCACCTGGTTGTAGTCGTTGTCAGCTGGGCCAGTCATCTGATATTTGGAGTTAAATATGCATCTAATAGGGCTCATTCTCATGGCCATTAATGCTAGGGTTCACCAAGGAATTCAGCTTAATCTGGTGACCAACGAGGCTACACAAGTCCTCTCCATCATAGCAACCTCTTGGCATTCAGATATTTTACATAATGGCTGGATTCCCAGGAGAACCAAACTAAAGTTCTCCAATATGTCACAAAATTCAGTGAGTGCCTGGAAGGTAAAAGCTTTTTTTGTTGTTGTTTGCTGGTTTTTTGTTTTTGTTTTTTTTTTATAAGACTCCTAATCCTCTATTACCTTCTTCCAAGTCTTCAGCTCCTGTTTCAAATTGTTTTTGACATTCTTGAACACACACCAATAATAATGATAATAATAATAATACTATTAGTAGTAGTAATAATAACAGCTAAAACAGATAGGAAGACATGATTTAGGTGCTATTAGGAGCGCTTTACTCTATTAACTTCCTTAATCCTCACCACAATCCTATTAGGTAGGAATGATTGTTATCCGTCTTTCACAGTTGAAGAAACTGAGTCACACAGAGGTTAAAAAACTTGCCAAAAATCACAAAGCTAGTAACTTGCAAAGTCTGGATTTGAATACAAGCAATGTGACTGGAGACTCCACGCTCTTTAACACTGTACTCTACTCATACACACTTTGGACTCATTAGGGCAGTTTGAAAACCAGACGCTGATAGGCATTAGGATCTAGACAGAGGGGATATTATTTTGCTTGATTTTCAAATAGTAGTCTGATGAGGAACTATTTAAATGATTTTTAGGGATCTTACTGAGAATAAAGAATGGAGTCAGGCTTTAAACACGGGTTTTCATACAGGACTAGAGCACTCTCTATGAACCAAATTATGAGTCTAGAAAAATTATTCCATGCTACTAAGACAAGTTGGGTGACGTTGGAAACTTTAAAATCTGCTCTTGAGGGGATAAATGTATCCCTGTCCTAATCTCACACCCATGTACACTTCCCCTACTGTCCAAACAAAGCCAAAACTCCTTTAAGTTATTTGGGTCATAAAAGCAAGTTTGTTTTATTGTTTCTCTTTCTATTTTCATCTTGAAACTTCTTCTCTTGCTGTATGCTTGTGATATAAATTATAAATTTAATTATAAATTTAAATTATAAATTATAATCCTGAGAAAGGTTAACTGACTTGTTAGAAAGGCTATAGAAGCTGAGATACTTACTGTCCCCTTGCGCTTGTTCATGCAGCAACAGTAGTCAGCTGGAGAGCGCCTCATGTATCCCAGCCTCTCTCTCTCTCTCAGGTAGTGGTGATGAATTTGAACTACCATTTCTATACTGAGGTAAAAGCTGTCTGCTTATTACAGCAGCGAGAGGACCCCCATGGGTGCAATGAATGGCACTTACATCATATATTTTCCTTGGGTGTAGCAGAACTTGTTCAGAGTGGATGCTCTTGGTACATGTAGCATGACTGATAGTTTTATGCTCAGCCTTTATAGGTCCACAAAGTCATATAAATAAATAATTCTATTAACTGCCAGGACTTCCTTGGAAATCACTGGGTATGTTTCTATGGGTCTTTACAAATTCCTCCATGACTATATAAGAATCTATATACACTGGAATAACTTAGGGAAAAGGTAAATAACCCTAATTTGCTTTCTGTGGCTTGATTTTTTTAATCCTCTTCTTCTTTCTTTCCCTATCCTTCTTTTTCTATAATTTGCTACCGTTGAAACATAATACGTAAAGGGAGTACCACATCTTTAGAACATGAAGCAAGGAAGTGAAGATACTTTGCCGATCAAAAACTAATTATTAAAAAATGGTTAAGAAATAGAACTAAAGAAAAATATTCAAACAATGAAGGTCCTAAATTAAAATAGACACAAAAAGCTTACTTTATAGACTTCAGCATTTTATGGTTGGTACACAGCTTACACATAAAATTAATTTTCTGGAACGTTGCTCATTAACATTTTTATTGTTTTCCATATTTTAAAATAATATCGTTATGTACCACTGGATAAAACTAATAGTGCATTAAAATGGTCTCACCTTAAATCAGAGACAGTTTGCTGTAACAAGAATTTTCAATTCTCTAATGACTTTTTTCTCTGCTATGAAAAGAAAAAGCTTCTATATTAAAATGATGTACACGGGCAAAAGGAAATTTATGATCTAAACTTGCTGCAAATCATTTGTATTGATCTGTTTTGTTTCCATTCTGCTGAAGCTAATGGAAATCATTTGTCACCTGACTTGTCCCAGCTGATTTGAAAAAAACACTGGACCATTTATCAGGCCAGCTGAAGGTCTGATACAAGTGTGCTTATGTCTGCAATCGCCAAGATACATTGAGTTTCTAGGCAAGTAGTGAATATATTAGGCTATATTGGTCATAGGCTTAAACAAATAAATTAAATATGAATGCATACATAATGCATTGTAATAAAACACTAAATAGGAAACTTATATTAGCCAGTAGAATACTCTACTTACAAGTAAGATTTTAACAGTTTTTATTTTGTAAGAGCTAAAATTAAAATATAATTATTTAATATTAATTCTGGTAATAGTGTATACTGGAAACAAAAGTAAAACATCATTACAACGCATTAAAGTCGATAAACAAGCTGCTTTTCTGACACAGACATTCTTTTGAGGTAGACTTTTCCCTTTGAAGAACATTTTTGGTGAGTCAAACATTTAATCCATGTAATTTCATAAATGATAAATCCCTTTGTTTTAAATTCATTTACATAAAAATAAAAGGTGTGTTTCTCTGCTTGTGTGTATGTAAGAGATTTTAAAGAGTTGATCTTGAGAAGTCAATTACGTTCTGTGTAATTTTCAAATTCTCATAAACACACTACCCCATTTATCCCAACCCACATACTTCAGCTGAAGGTGAAAAGAAAATATCTCTCACAAATCTTTTGTGATATTCTTTCAGGCTATTAAAGAGCAAAAATCTTTGTAAGAATAATGTATTCAAACTTTGTCATTATGGTATTTCATGTTTAAAATGTATCTCACATTAGGACAAATTTACCCATGAGTTAAACTCATATATAAAACAACATTATAGAGCCCAGTAAAGAGTGAACTACTTTCCAGAGTTGCACTGTATACTTAATATATGTAATGAGCATTCATTTGTATTTATTTTCCAATGTACTATTTTTTTCTATATCTCCTGCATTCCTTCTCTGGTAATTGTGCACTATCAATTTGAACAGCGTTTCAGAATTTGCATTTAAATGCTAAAATTGAAGAGGATAGTATGGCTCATTCATTCACTCTTCATTTATTTAACAAGTGTTTATCAAATACTTCTAGGAAGCAGGAATTCTGATAGATATGGGGATACAATGGTGTGAAAAAAGAATATATTCATGTTCTTTTAGAACATAAATAGGAACTGAGTAAGAGGATATAATTCATTTCATACGCTGTCCTTGTTTGATGACAAGTTCATGACATAAAGTTATTTGATAAAATATAGGAACATGTGAGCTAACTCAGGCTGTTCTTGATATTTGTTTCTTTTAGTAATCCAATTGTTAAACAGTATATTTTGATCAAAATTTTTTACAGGCTAATTACAATTTTCTGAACATCTAGAAAATTATGAAACATTGAGGACAAGTATTTTAAGTTTTTCATATTAAAAAAATCTGTCAGATATCCACTTTATATTTGTTGAATACGTGAGTTAGTTAATTAATAATAAATGCTGTCATCTGTTCCCTTATGGTTTAGTATTTTCTTTGTACTCTAAAATTAGAGGGGGCTAAAAATATCAGTCATATTTATAAATTTGACTCTCCAGCTCTGCTAAGTAAAATTTAAAGATTCTTATTTATCATTTGATGTCATTTGGGTACTAACCTCCTGTTTCTCATCATCGTGGTTCAAACTGTAGACATCAGATCAAAATTACCGGTGTCTTGATGTAATTCATTCATTTAACAAACTTTGGTCATTTGCATCCCTTGAACAGTGATGGGGATACAAAAGAAAATTATAGAAGGCCCTGGCCTCAGGAATTAACTTTACTGGAAGAGATAGTCATGTATAGGAAAAAAATTATATGATTTAACTTAATGTGTGATCTAAAGTTACAATTTTTGGGTATATAAAAAAGAGCAAATAACTGTTTATAGAACTCTGGAAAATCTTCACATAGGAAAAAAAAGAGAAGCATCCAGAAAAAAGGCGTAGAAGCTTATAGAGACATGGAAGGTCATGGGGCATTCAGGTCAATGTGAAAAATTCAACGTGGATGAAGAGGTATTCTATGACTAGTTAAGAAAGAATACTTTCTAAAGGCCACAGTAAAAATCAAAAAAACAAAAAACCCTCATATTTTTTATCAGAGGAACAGGAGGTCAATTTGTGTTTGGAAGAAGGGCAGAAAAGTGCTTTTTTAAAAACAAAAGATTATATGCTTAAATCATAAACAAATAATTTAGAAAATAGAGAAAAACAGAAAATAAAGATAAGTATATGGATTCTACTGCCAACCTACAACCTGGAGATACTCTGTGCTAACATTTCAGGTATATTGCAGAATATGTTTCTAATAATCAACTGGGTGTTGCAATATGGAATCATACTATACATACTGTGTCTCACCTGTGTCTGCAATAGATGATGTTGACAAGAAAATCTCTATATTGACAAGAAAATCTATCTTAAGTGCTGATCATTGTTAAATTTGAAAAGCGGATTTTACATGTTAAATGAATAGGGAATACAATCCCAGTAAGACAATAAAACATACTTCACTCCTTACAAAAATAACCTCCAGATGGATCAGAGATGTAAACAACAAAACAGGAAAAAGCTCTATAGTTTCTTAGAAAAATACATAGGAGCCTTTTATTTCGTGTATAATGACCTTTGATGGAAACAACTTCCAAGTATGACACAAAAGTGAGAAATCAGGAATAAAATATTGATTAATTTGTCTGTATTTTTAAATAATATGTTTGCTTGGAGAATGCACTGCAACCACAAAAGCAAAACAAAACCAAACAAAACACAAAATCTTGAAAGTAATTGTAACGCAAACCAAAAATATATAACTAATATGCTCAATATAACATTCTTTCAAATAATTTTATCTAGGAAAAGTCTTCAGATCATAGATATATAGATCGATAAACTATCACAAATGTAACTCCTTGTATAATTGTCCCTCAGCTCAAGGAATAGAATGTCACCAGTGTTCTAGAGGATTCCCTTGTGCCCCTTTCCTGATGCTACTTGTTCCCAAGAGTAACTACTGTTCTAATATCTTTAGTATAAATTATTTTCATCCAGCTAGTTCTTTATCTAAAAAGAATCACAGGTATGAATACTTTTTCTACAACTTCTGCTCCATGTATGTGATATTTCACCATATAGTTTATGTAGTTATAGATTGTTTATTATCCCTACTGAATAGCATTTCCTTGGGGCCTACCCCACAATGTATTCACTGTCTTGATATTTATTGGTTTACAGTTCTACTTACTGCTTTCGTGCCATATTTTTCTGTTCTCTAGATGACACTATTTCTCAGATGCCTTTAGTTGCTCTCAGAGCTTGCTGTCTAGAATTTCTTTCCCTTTGCTTGCACATCTCCCAACATGAATGTTTTTCTCCTGTAGAAAGAGCACACTTCCTTATTTTGGTGTTTCTTTCTGGCAGCTGTGTCATAGAGTACAATAGCTTAGGCTTCTACAAATGAACGCCAGCCTTGGAGATTTTTACAGTCTTCTCTTTAGTCATCAAGCATTCAGAAATAGGGAACATTGAAACTATGTTGAGGTGAGTTCCAATACAATGTTTACTGTATCAGTAAAAGCTACTTCCTTGCAACACCCAGGTCTTCCTACTGATTCCAGACTACCTCTCCCTGATTGAGTACCTGTTCTAAGTCACACAAAACTTTCCTGTAGCATGTTCTAGCTCCAAGCCACCCCCAAATACCTTTTTATTCTGAATTTTTACCAGGACAGGATAAGAAAGAAAGGATTTGGGCTATATTAGCTGTGCTCTTGAGGAATACACCATAAATAGAAATAGTAAAGGGAAAAAAATCTGCTTTAGAAATGTTTAAGAAATTGTTTAAGACGTACTAGAGCTTTGTACTAGACAGGAAAGTTTGTTGTCTTCAGAGTTCTAAAAGTTCTAGAAGTCTCCCTTATACCTCTTTGTATCTATATAGAAGTATTTTAATTATCCCTTTCAAAAGGGGTAATGCTCCCAATTTTGTGCTGATTCTCCAGGGAGACTCATTGTTTCATTTCGTAATCCATTAAGCCTTCTAATCATATTGGGGACTCCAAATAAATTGTACATTGTTGTAGTAACATTTTGGGGCCTATATGACTCATTTCTTTTGTCACTTGTATTATGTATTTAGTTTAGGATGGAAACTAGTTTTAAAAAGAAAAAAGCAATTTGACTATTTGTGCAAAAGTGGACAGAACTAGCATAAAAGAGGATGTTGCTTATGAAAGATACATAGGTAATAATTACTCTATGATGATTTGTGACATTAAATTTGTTTCTTTTTTATTTATTTTTATTTTTATTTTATTTTATTTTATTATTATTATACTTTAAGTTTTAGGGTACATGTGCACAATGTGCAGGTTAGTTACGTATGTATAGATGTGCCATGCTGGTATGCTGCACCCATTAACTCGTCATTTAGCATTAGGTATATCTCCTAAAGCTATCCCTCCCCCCTCCCCCCACCCCACAACAGTCCCCAGAGTGTGACGTTCCCCTTCCTGTATCCAGGTGTTCTCATTGTTCAATTCCCACCTATGAGTGAGAATATGCAGTGTTTGGTTTTTTGTTCTTGTGATAGTTTACTGAGAATGATGATTTCCAATTTCATCCATGTCCCTACAAAGGACATGAACTCATCGTTTTTTATGGCTGCATAGTATTCCATGGTGTATATGTGCCACATTTTCTTAATCCAGTCTATCATTGTTGGACATTTGGGTTGGTTCCAAGTCTTTGCTATTGTGAATAATGCCGCAATAAACATACGTGTGCATGTGTCTTTATAGCAGCATAATTTATAGGCGTTTGGGTATATACCCAGTAATGGGATGGCTGGGTCAAATGGTATTTGTAGTTCTAGATCCCTGAGGAATCGCCACACTGACTTCCACAATGGTTGAACTAGTTTACAGTCCCACCAACAGTGTAAAAGTGTTCCTATTTCTCCACATCCTCTCCAGCACCTGTTGTTTCCTGACTTTTTAATGATCGCCATTCTAAGTGGTGTGAGATGGTATCTCATTGTGGTTTTGATTTGCATTTCTCTGATGGCCAGTGATGGTGAGGATTTTTTCATGTGTTTTTTGGCTGCATAAATGTCTTCTTTTGAGAAGTGTCTGTTCATGTCCTTTGCCCACTTTTTGATGGGGTTGTTTGTTTTTTTCTTGTAAATTTGTTTGAGTTCATTGTAGATTCTGGATATTAGCCCTTTGTCAGATGAGTAGGTTGTGAAAATTTTCTCCCATTTTGTAGGTTGCCTGTTCACTCTGATGGTAGTTTCTTTTGCTGTGCAGAAGCTCTTTAGTTTAATGAGATCCCATTTGTCAATTTTGGCTTTTGTTGCCATTGCTTTTGGTGTTTTAGACATGAAGTCCTTGCCCATGCCTATGTCCTGAATGGTAATGCCTAGGTTTTCTTCTAGGGTTTTTATGGTTTTAGGTCTAATGTTTAAGTCTTTAATCTATCTTAAATTAATTTTTGTACAAGGTGTAAGGAAGGGATCCAGTTTCAGCTTTCTACATATGGCTAGCCAGTTTTCCCAGCACCATTTATTAAATAGGGAATCCTTTCCCCATTGCTTGTTTTTCTCAGGTTTGTCAAAGATCAGATAGTTGTAGATACGCGGCATTATTTCTGAGGGCTCTGTTCTGTTCCATTGGTCGATATCTCTGTTTTGGTACCAGTACCATGCTGTTTTGGTTACTGTAGCCTTGTAGTATAGTTTGAAGTCAGGTAGCGTGATGTCTCCAGTTTTGTTCTTTTGGCTTAGGATTGACTTGGCGATGCGGCCTCTTTTTTGGTTCCATATGAACTTTAAAGTAGTTTTTTCCAATTCTGTGAAGAAAGTCATTGGTAGCTTGATGGGGATGGCATTGAATCTATAAATTACCTTGGGCAGTATGGCCATTTTCACGTTATTGATTCTTATGGTAAAGGGATCAATTCGACAAGAAGAGCTAACTATCCTAAATATATATGCACCCAATACAGGAGCACCCAGATTCATAAAGCAAGTCCTGAGTGACCTACAAGGAGACTTAGACTCCCACACAATAATAATGGGAGACTTTAACACCCCACTGTCAACATTAGGCAGATCAACGAGACAGAAAATTAACAAGGATACCCAGGAATTGAACTCAGCTCTGCACCAAGCAGACCTAATAGACATCTACAGAACTCTCCACCCCAAATCAACAGAATATACATTCTTTTCAGCACCACACCACACCTATTCCAAAATTGACCACATAGTTGGAAGTAAAGCCCTCCTCAGCAAATGTAAAAGATCAGAAATTATAACAAACTGTCTCTCAGACCACAGTGCAATCAAACTAGAACTCAGGATTAAGGAACTCACTCAAAACCGCTCAACTACATGGAAACTGAACAACCTGCTCCTGAATGACTACTGGGTACATAACGAAATGAAGGCAGAAATAAAGATGTTCTCTGAAACCAACGAGAATAAAGACACAACATACCAGAATCTCTGGGATGCATTAAAAGCAGTGTGTAGAGGGAAATTTATAGTACTAAATGTCCACAAGAGAAAGCAGGAAAGATCCAAAATTTACACCTTAACATTACAATTAAAAGAACTAGAAAAGCAAGAGCAAACACATTCAAAAGCTAGCAGAAGGCAAGAAATAACTAAAATCAGAGCAGAACTGAAGGAAATAGAGACACAAAAAACCCTTCAAAAAATTAATGAATCCAGGAGCTGGTTTTTTGAAAGGATCAACAAAATTGATAGACCGCTAGCAAGACTAATAAAGAAGAAAAGAGAAAAGAATCAAATAGACGCAATAAAAAATGATCAAGGGGATATCACCACCGATCCCACAGAAATACAAACTACCCTCAGAGAATACTACAAACACCTCTACGCAAATAAACTAGAAAATCTAGAAGAAATGGATAAATTCCTCGACACATACACCCTCCCAAGATGAAACCAGGAAGAAGTTGAATCTCTGAATAGACCAATAACAGGCTCTGAAATTGTGGCAATAATCAATAGCTTACCAACCAAAAAGAGCCCAGGACCAGATGGATTCACAGCCAAATTCTACAAGAGGTACAAGGAGGAACTGGTACCATTCCTTCTGAAACGATTCCAGTCAATAGAAAAAGAGGGAATCCTCCCTAATTCATTTTATGAGGCCAGCATCATCCTGATACCAAAGCCGGGCAGAGACACAACCAAAAAAGAGAATTTTAGACCAATATCCTTGATGAACGTTGATGCAAAAATCCTCAATAAAATACTGGCAAACCGAATCCAGCAGCACATCAAAAAGCTTATCCACCATGATCAAGTGGGCTTCATCCCTGGGATGCAAGGCTGATTCAATATACGCAAATCAATAAATGTAATCCAGCATATAAACAGAACCAAAGACAAAAACCACATGATTATCTCAATAGATGCAGAAAAGGCCTTTGACAAAATTCAACAACCTTCATGCTAAAAACTCTCAATAAATTAGGTATTGATGGGACATATCTCAAAATAATAAGAGCTATCTATGACAAACCCACAGCTAATATCATACTGAATGGGCAAAAACTGGAAGCATTCCCTTTGAAAACTGGCACAAGACAGAGATGCCCTCTCTCACCACTCCTATTCAACATAGTGTTGGAAGTTCTGGCCAGGGCAATTAGGCAGGAGAAGGAAATAAAGGGTATTCAATTAGGAAAAGAGGAAGTCAAATTGTCCCTGTTCGCAGATGACATGATTGTATATCTAGAAAACCCCATTGTCTCAGCCCAAAATCTCCTTAAGCTGATAAGCAACTTCAGCAAAGTCTCAGGATACAAAATCAATGCACAAAAATCACAAGCATTCTTATACACCAATAACAGACAAACAGAGAGCCAAATCATGAGTGAACTCCCATTCACAATTGCTTCAAAGAGAATAAAATACCTAGGAATCCAACTTACAAGGGACGTGAAGGACCTCTTCAAGGAGAACTACAAACCACTGCTCAATGAAATAAATTTGTTTTTCTTAGAAAATACTAGGTCTCTTATTCTACCTAATAATTTTGTGCAAATATTTGCTTTGAAAGTCTATTGAGGCTAGGCACAGTGGCTCACGCCTATAATCCCAGCACTTTGAGAGGCCGAGGAGGGTGGATCACCTGAGGTCAGGAGTTCGAGACCAGCCTGGCCAACATGGCGATACCCATCTACAAAATTAGCTGGGCATGGTGGCGGGTACCTGTAGTCCCAGTACTTGGGAGGCTGAGGCAGGAGAATCGCTTGAACCCAGGAGGCAGAGGTTGCAGTGAGCCGAGATCTTGCCATTGCACTCCAGCCTGCATGACAGAGCGAGACTCTATCTCAGGGGGAAAAAAAAAAAAAGTCTATTGAGTTTTTTTTTTTCCAGCACAGAGTCCTCATCTGCAATCAGTTTCGAGAATTTTTGAAGAAAGTGTTAAATCCAGCTCCTATTTTTTTCTATGAGTGTATTCCACCCCCCATACCTCTGGCCCTGGGATATTGTGATTGTAATGTGTCTTCAATGCTCAGTAGACAACCATATTTAAGGTACTGTCTTTTAATTACATTGTTGATATCAATTGGCAGGTAACTGCCAATGGATTGGTCCACGGATACTAATTATGGCATACTATTTTTTAAGGTCTATAACTTCTGGGTGGGTATTTAAAATCATTTTGATAGTGACAGGAGGCAGCCAAATGTCTAGGCAGATGGGGGCAGATAGGGGTGGGTACCCGACGAAACCCCACCTCCAAGCCTAAGAAAATTTAAAGCCTGAAAGCCAAGCTACAGGTTAAATCCTCAGACCGATTGATAACTTTTTGTCCTGTTTGGAGCACTTTCCTTTAATTGATCCCCACCTTTCACCTATTTTGCATATACCTACCCTTTCCAAATTCTCTACACTGTCGTGCCCACCTTTAAGTGCTATTTTCACTTTAACCTCTTGCATTCTCACAAACCAATCAGCATGCACTCCCCATCCTGTGCCTATAAAGACCCCAGAATCAGTTGGTATAAGGGGAGATGGCCTGACTTGGGGAAGAGACAACCTGATTTTGAGGAGGTTGGCCTGCTTTCCTGTCCCTGCTCCAGCTCCCCTCTCTGCTAAGAGCCGTTTTCATCGCTCAATAAAGTTCTCCACCTTCACCATCCTTCAACTGTCCATGTGCTCTCTTTCTTCTTGGATGCTGGACAAGAGCGCAGGACCCACCGAGTGAGGGTACCAAGAAAGGCTGTCACACTGGCCCTTTGCCCTTGCCAGAGGAGGGCAGCTGGCCCACACGATGAGACAAGGGGCCAACTGAGCTGCTAACACACAACCAACTGCTGATGGCAGAAGTACAGGGACACTGCAACACCCCCTCTGGGGCTTCATGGTCGTGGGCACCCTCATCTGGGTGCCGCCACGTTCCCCTCAAGGTGACACAGCTGGTCTGGCCACGGGTCCTGCACGGAGCTTGTTCCTGTGTCAGCACCCAGAGCAGCCAGCTGAATCCTGCACTCGCTCACTCACGTGCTCCCTTCCACAGGGGGTTGAGTACCGGGGGAGGGGTAGAGGTGGCACCCCTGCCATGAGTCCGGCAAAGGGGCCGAGAAAAATCCCGCATCAATTTCAATAATGTACACCCTTGGAAGAATGTCAGGACTTCACGATGATGATCCATCTGCTCTTGGGCTCTAAGAGTGGTGCACAATATGTTGTGAGTGCCAGTGACTTTCATCTTAGTGTTAGCTTTCCCTTTCGATGCTCTTTCAAAATAATCTTTTGAATAATATTTGAGTTTTATCAGATAGGACTGCAAGGGTGTTTTGAGAAGCCATTTTCTTATGATTAATTTCAATTTTTATATTTTCCCATTTACTAATGGAGCTCTAAATTCCTAGCGTCAGTAATGATATTTGTTTGGACATATGTAAGGATACATGGTTTAATTCCAAAACAGTTGCCCTTTTCCTCCTCAGGGCGCTACAATGTTTTGCGTAGGAAAATAGTGTATTATTTGAACACCAATCACAAATTCACTGGGCCTCATATTGGAGGGATGACAAAGAGGGAAGACAGGGTGATTTTCCAGGGAATAATTTCTAATTAATCTGTATCATCTTGTTTTATCAATGCTCTTGATTTTGGTATCACAGTTGACACTTTCATCTGCACATCAACTCAGTATTTATTTGTCTAATATGGATGTGTGTAAATATAATTTCACCCTCTAGCATAATATAACCAGATTAATTGATCATTCACTTATTTTTTTTAGTAAAAGAAAGCCTGTAAAACAAGTCACTATGAACCACATAAATAACAATATCACAACATCTCTGGTAAAATTGTACTAGGAAGGAATTCCTTTTCCTTAGTTTAAGGGTACGAAATGCACAAGAATCAAGAGATGTTCATAGAACTTCCTGGGTATAGATATTCTCCTGCCTTCTGCTTCTCCTATTTCTTCTTTTTCCCCCTTCTGTATTTCTGTAAAGCCTTCATGACCCTCCTTCTGAAGGCCATCACTATCCCCTCTTTCTAATGGGCTCTCTCACCTAAATTATGTCAGGTGTCTCCTGAATTGTTTCTCAAACTGTGCTCCAAGAGTAGGTATCAGTGAAGAGTTGCTGCACATAGTCGTAAAGGTCCTGAACAAACTTAAGAAGAATCGTCACATAGACTAAGAGGGAATTTGAGAATGTTATGGCTTTGCCATAATTTCGTGAGCTCTGCTCACAAAAAAAAAAAATGGCTTTATTGGTTGATAGTCTTGTGAAATGCTAATTGTCATAGTCCTTATTGGAGATTCATAAATCATATTAGTAAATTATAGGGCTTGGGAAAATTTATTTATGATTAGACTCTTCAGGTCCTTTAATTTGGTTATCTATTTAACCCAGGTTTTTTTTCCAAATATATTATTATTATTTTCTTAGATAACAGTTTTTATTATATCATGGAAAACACTTGGAAAATGCTGGCTTCAGATGGTAATAATACAAATATCAGAAATTGCTAAAAAGAAATCGAACAATTCTTTGGGGGGATGGTCACTATGCGCAAGTGCTTCATATAAACTGTAATTTAATTTTATTTCATAACCATAATTTGATTTTATTGTTATCCGCAGCCTAGATATAGGAAAACTGAATGTTAAATGTATTGCCTAGAGAGGCAAGTTTGTATACGAACCTGAGGAGGACTTAGATTATATTATAATTTTTTAAAGTTTGGTATATAATTTACTACTCAGAGTGAGGTCCATGGCCTATACTTGGGAGCTTGGCAAAATGTACTGAGTGGTAGGTTGTCATGTTTATGTCAGTATTATGTGGTCAAAGCTCCCTGGAAATGGCATCCTTCCCAATACACACTAAGGCTTCTTTAAGGGAAAGTCCTTTAGCCTCTATGCTTTTCCTTTTGCTTTTTTTCTCTCCATCCTACCTGGAAGATGTATTTGAAGTCTAATGGTTTGTGGCCACCTTGAAACCATAAGGCAATAATCAGGAAGAAAAAACGTCAAGACGCTAAATATTATGGAGAAAAATATAACAGGAACCTAGGATACCAACGTATTAAGACACTGTTTCTGTCTTGAGTTTTTGACCTATAGCATTCTTATAAGAAAAATAAATCCCTATTTCATTATTACCACTACTAAGTTTACATTGCTTTTAGCCAAATTGATTTCTCTGTGTTATGATCAAATCAAATGAAAAGTCTGACAAGTGGGAAAGAGCACATAGTTGTGTAGGTAAAACTAACCTAGTATTCCACTGTGGAATAGTCTGAAATGAAGTTTATGGGTGATGGGAGGCGAGGTGGAGCCAGATAATGAACAGCATTGAAATCCAGCCACAGGAATTTAACATCATAATCCTATTGCATATTTTAGTGCTGTCATAAATGAAATGAAGTAATCTACCCTAATGTTGATTTAAAATTTTTGTATTATAGAGATTTTCCACAATAAAATTTTATTGAGTGAAACTTTACAACAAACAGTATAATAACCATTCTTATTTGGATATGGCATCATTATTGATTCAAGTTAACTTGACAATAGTTCACAATGGTAGCCATTTTACCAAAATATACTAATACTTTCCCTTTGAAATTTAGAACAATTTGTTAAGTAGTGCTCCATTCATTGACTTATCATAGGAACTAAAGAATAGGAAAGAAAGAAAAGAAAACCTTTACTTGTGATATGAAACATACACATAGAGAATAGAACATGTGATTTTATCTTTCTCTATATACTGGCTTTTAGTCATATATGTAAGTGTTTTAATTCCAAGAAATATAAAGGAAGCAAGAGAAAAGTATCTGGTTGTGTGTCTTGACACATATTCAAAGAAACTGAGAAAGGTTATATTGGCTTAGTTGAATGAATAAAAATTGAATCAGCATCGATAACTTCTACCAAAAATATTTGTTTAACAAATACTATGTATCAGGCACTACTTTTAGTACTAGGGAGTACAAATTAAACAAAATGAAGATCTTGTTTTTAAAGAAGGTGCTTTATGTTGAAGTCAATCTGACTAAATAGAGATCTGGAGCTGATAATAATTATGAACAACATTAAAGGAGTAATGTGATATAGAGCAATGTTGTAGAATGGTGCCTTTTTTAAAGTAATAATTGACCAGTTATCTGAAAGAGGGGAGCAAGCTATCTCGACATTCTGGGAAAATATGAGAGAGGAACAGAAAAAAGTTAAGTACGGTTAGAATAGCATGAGAATGAAGAGAATTATGAGAGAGAAATTTAGAGAGTTAGCCAGGAGTGGAACCTGTACAGTCTTTAGACAAAGTGAAGGACTTAGATGGATCAAAGTGAAGATAAATTGTATAGTTTTAAAAGGACTTGTACAGTTGATTTGTATTTAAGGTGATCATGGTGACAACTGTATGTAGAATAGGGTATGTTGAGGGACATGAATAGAATTTGGAGATTAGTTATGATGAAAAAATACAGATGACTGAAGATGGTGGCTTAGACTAGAATGCTGAGGTTGTAAAAAAGAGTCAGATTCTGGAAAAGCTGATGGTAGTGTTGATGAATTTTATGTAGATACGGTAAGAAAAAAGATGTCAACAATAGATATTGCACTAGTTATTAAATAGCCAGTAGAGATGTTGAGTGGGCAATTTGGATCCATAAGTCTGGAGTACAAAGGCAAAGTAGGGATTAGAGAGATAAAACTAGGTATCCTCAGCATGGAACTGGCAGTGAGTGAAGATGGTGAAAACAACAGAGCTAAGGGTTGGTCCTTAGGACTTTCTAATATTTTGAAGTTTGTCAAATATATGGTTTGAGTCTTTGTCCTCAGAACTACAGAAATCCAATGTAAATTTTACAAGGGAAGGATATAAGATTAGATTTGCTTTTAAAAGATAGCTCCAGCTGTGGTGTGGAACTGTATTAAAGGGGATTAAAACCAAATGCAATGAAACACATAAGATATTTTCTGAAATTTAAGCTAGACAGATGATAGTTTTGATTGACAATTTGTAGCTAAGGAATGAATGAAAACAAATGGACTCAATTCATTTAATAATGTATACATAAATTGAAACATCATGTTGTACACCATAAACATATATAACTTTTGTCAATAAAGCTGGGAAACAATTTAAAAAAAAGAAAGCAAATGGATTCAAGAGATATTTCATAGTAAAACCAAAGAGAGCTTGTTCACAGATGGTAGTGCCATTGCAATGGAGGAGGGCTTAGGCTAAGTTGGAATAGTAGTTTAGTTTTCAATTTGTTGAATTCCTTGAACCTTATGGCATTTGAAATATATAAATATGTTGTTGTTTGTTCATGGAGGTGACTAAGTTTTAGCTCATTGCCTTATAATCATTTCCTGAGCTTTATATTAATGAACTGTCGATGGCACTACTTATAAAAAAGACTGCTAAACTTTTAAAATTTAACAGGCTAAAGTACATCTGTAGTAGATGCTGTTTGCTGCTGGTTCTCCTCATATCCTCTTACCAGGTAGAGAGTATTGGCTTTCTCTAGGTTACAGCTTTACCCTCCTCTAGAGAATTGCTCAGGCTTCATTCCTGGAGATGCCTGAAGAGGCCATACTCCCTCCTTTAATCCCCAGAGCATGTTATAGAGTCTCTTGCAGTATCAGGCTGAGGTCAGACTTTTGGGTTGAAAGGACATCTAACTATCTTTAGTGTTTTGTGCCACCCCGTCCTGCTTTCCTCTCTTCCTTACAGAGCACTTGGACAAGAATCCTCATATCAAGTTTCAGTTCTTAGAATCTAACGTAAGATACTTTCAATCATTATTTCCCTGAAAGAATTTAAGCATTTTCAAAGCCCTTTTTAATTAAAAATAAAAATGTCTTTCCAACAGAACTCTTGACTCAACTCTTGGCACAAGACAAGTTTGTCTTCCATGTAAGTTCATATTCTATGTTCTTAATTTCCCTAGGAAGTGTCCATGTTTTGTCTCATATATGTGTTATATAAAGCTGCTTCATCACTATGAAAAACAACAAATATAATGCTGACCTTTTAGGTACCCATCAGAAAAGACAACTATGATGTGATCACCAATCATGATGGTCAACTACTTTAGTTGACTTACTTTATTTGGGCACCTGTCACTTACCAGTCCTGCCATTTAAGTAAGTTTCAAAATCTGTCCTCTGGAATATTAATTAAAGAAGACATTGCTAGTTTAATACATGTTATAGGAAAAAAGTTAAATGACCTTTAGAATACAAATTTTACAAATATGACCAGCTTTTTTCGTGCAGAACTTCTCAAATGGACTAATATGAATTCTGAAAATTTAGAAAATCAGAAAACAAGTAATGACTCCCAACATTATGTAAATAAGGAACATTTTAATCATAGACTATCTTGATAACTTAGAACTCAAAGAAATAATGTTGAGAAACCATGCTAGAACTCACTTACTAGAGATCTCTAATCATCTATTTACTAACATCACCAGAAATTTATATATCCGTTCTAATGCCTTCATAGCTTTCCATGCCTTTGGGGTTTAAAATTAAATGCCATTTCTTCAGTGTTTATCAATAGTGATTTAAGTTATACCATTTAGGAACGCTTTTATTTCTACTGAAAATTCAGTTGAAAATGTCATCTATTACATTATTCACAGCTTATATCAAGACCCACACAGTAATTACTTCTCAGAATTGATATTAGAAAAACGTTTATGCTTGTAAGATGAGCTACTTTTTGACATTGCTATGAGTAAATGCAGTGCTAAGTGCAATGCTAAATTGTAGTTACAAGCTCATTTGGGTGTCTGATAACATCAGGGGATTTAGTTATTTTTGCTCTTTTAAAATATTTACTTGCTCTGTTTCATACACTGAGTAAGGTACTTCTCCACTTTAGAAACACAAAAAAATTGGTTTTCTTAATTAATTTGGAAAGGTGTGGTAATAAAGGGTTATAATCTTTAAATAAATATTGTATTAATATGTAAGCTAAACAATAAAATGGAACACAACAGATATCCTCTGGTTATTAGATTCTAGATGACATTTTATAAACAAAACTATTTTTTACTTTTTAGTCTGAGCAATAGGAAGAGCATTTTTATGGAGACCCAACTGTTTTCTAACTCCTTTACCTTTGAGGGGCAACAAATCTGAAATGAATTTGCGCTAGACAAATGGTTATTATGATGCAAAGTATGGTTTGCTATGACTGCAGGGACATGATTCATTGTGTTTCCCTATTTTGAATTCACAGGGGAATGTTGAACATCTCTGAATATAAACATGGAAAACTTCCATAACATCTGTTGCAAATTTCTGCCAGCTGAAAAGTGATAATGATCATGAATATTTTTGTTGATGATGCGGATACATTGGTCTAACTAAATTAACTTGCAGACTATGGGTATCTAATAGAAAACACATGAGTTGTAATATCACCTGTTTAGCTTTATGTTTAGTTACATTTTTAATTGTTTCAACATGTTGAATTTTTATGGCTTATACTTTTTAAAGTTAAAACATACTACAAATAAAAACTGTCAGAGTGTGTCATGCTGACAGTTGCATTCATTTATTCGTTCTCTACCATCTATTCAGAAAAGCAAAATTTTCCTGATATTTTTGCACAGTTAGGGCATGAAACAGTAGCCATTGATGACACAGAAAATATTAAGAGCTGCTCAATTAACACACCTTAAAATGCTGTCCTACAATTCCATATTTTATTAGAACCACATTAATATACCTTGAAAGTATGTCTGCGTAAGTCAACAATCTAATAAGGACTAAAATCAAAAGCTTTCAATATAAATTAAATATATTTAAATATGTAAATTTTATTGATAGGACCTCCTTAACACAATAAACTCATTGTTTGCATCCAGGTTGACAGTTGAAACTTTAGTCTTTGGAATTGACTGTAACAATCATGTAACATTTTAAAGTATAAACTGCACAAAAGAAGGGCTATCTTTTCATGCATCTTATTTGAGAAACCTGGCAAGAATTTTATAACTTTTTGAACGAGAATAATTTGGATGGTGATGTGTTTGCTTATAGGTTTTTTCAAATCGTTAGGACTGGAATATTAATCCCTGTTAAGGGTGCATTATGTACTTGCCTGGTGAAAGGCTTTGATTCAAAGTCCTTGTGATTTATAATTTAACCAAATATGCAACTGTTATTAAATATCAATTAACTGCATATTTGGATTTATTTTACAGTTTGGATAACAAATTGAGACAGACATTATTATCTACAATAAATGTTTTATGTCTAATTTTGCAAAAATAATATAAATGAAGAGGTATTTATGGCAGAGTGACAGATGGAAAATGACAAACTTTGAAAGGTGCTGATGCTGCTTTTTAACAAACTTTTTTTTCAAAGACTCCATTAAACCTCAGAATAAATTTCCTTAGCTAGTTATTGAAGTGGGAGCAGTAACAATTTTCCATGCCCCGATTTATTTTGAACACGAAACCTGTAGAGTTCTGTTTCACTACTCACCAATAGAGCATAAAATAATAAATTGCACACCTAAAGAAAGTCTTTATTTCAGTAATCTTTTAAAAAATATTTATTTAATCTGCGACCTGCTAGTGTGCAGGTCCCTAAATGATGACAGTGAGGCCACTTCTGAGTCATCTCACATTACTTCTCAGCGTATACTCTGCATTGATTGAGGAAACCTTTTGCACACTTCCAAATACAAATTGCTGGATCACACCTGGTTGAGTTTTCTCATGCTTCATTTCAACTCTTCAATAATCCTTTTCCTCAATGTTACGTTGTCAATATTTTCTTTCTAACATGCCCTGGAACTCAGTAATTTTCTTCAGTAGATATATATTTCTTAGCTTGACCATTTTCTTTTGATCACCCTCCCTCTGTCTCTCTAGTGCTTATGTTTCAGCCTATACTCGATTGTTTTATACTTATTCATAGACCAAGTAATATATCATCCCTAATCTTTTTATGTTTCAGGTGTTCAATTAAGGCTCCCTCAAAATATTATTTTTTACATTTCTTTGGAGGTCAGCCTGATTGAGGTTATATCTTGGGTCAAGAGCTTATCTGTTGTGAAAACTTACTTCTATGAGACTAAAAATTCTCATCTGTGATAGAAATTCTTATTACTACCTCTTGTTTTTTCTCTATTTCTTGACCATACATTTGCAAATAACTCCTATTCTGAAACCTCTTTGAATAGCATCAATTTGATTATGCCATTGGTTTTCTGCTGAAACCCTGATCTTTACCCCCTCCTATATAATTCACAGCATCAATACTCAAAGTGTGGTCAATGGACCTGTGTCTGCAAACTGCTCACCACTGTCTATGAAGAGAAAACTACCAAAAAGAAGAGCATTTGGAAACTTTCACAGCAGTTTGACCTTTAAGCATGCAATTCTTAACCTAGTAATTTCTTTTGATTGTATCAGTGCATGATAGTTAAGGAATTTTTTAAAAAATAACTAGAGGCCTGGCGTGGTGGCTCATGCCTGTAATCCCAGCACTTTGGGAGGGCAAGGCGAGTAATCACGAGGTCAGGAGATTGAGACCATCCTGGCTAACACGGTGAAACCCCATCTCTACTAAAAATACAAAAAAAAAAAAAAAATTAGCCAGGCGTGGTGGCAGGCACCTGCAGTCCCAGCTACTTGGGAAGCTGAGGCAGGAGAATTGTTTGTACCTGGGAGGCAGAGCTTGCAGTGAGCCGATATCGTGCCACTGCACTCCAGCCTGGGAAACAGAGAGAGACTCCATCTCAAAAAATAAAAAATAAAAAAATAAAAATAACTAGAAATGGTTCTTCTAAAGGTAGTTTGAGAGACTTGAACATTGTGATTCCACACTTCTTGAATTGACCAGTTGATTTTCCAACAAGTTTCCTTTCAGTGAGTTTACTCATCTCACCAGGAATAAGCCAGTCAAGATCACCAGTGTAATGAGTGCATCTTGAAGAAGTAAGCTCATACTACATCATGAACATTGATGAGCACATTTAACATAAGCAGGCTACTATGTATTACTGATGAAGCACAGAAGGACACTGAAACCAGGATGTGGTCATTTATGCATCACTTTTGAAGAAATAAGAGAAACAGAGAAAATAGAGATGCAATAAACAGAAATCCAAGGTGATTAAATAGTCATTTTACAATTGCGTTTTGCAATTTTTTCCACATCTTTCCATAGTTACTCATTTAAAAATACCATACTTTCATTCAATAAACATTTATTAAGTCATCGATATATGCTAAGACATGGTGATATAGTAGACAATAGACAATATAAAATTAATATACTTAATTACTTTTTAAAAGACTGAGCAAAAATGAATGATAAACGGAATAACAAGTGTTTATTTTGGAATACAGAGAGAAAAAGAAAAAAGGGAAGTAGGGGAAAGAGAAAACTAGTACTCTGGCAGAAAAATTATGAAAAGAAAGACATTTATCTTTGCCAATATTCTAATAATAGGAAATCTATCAAATCTATCAAAATCTCTAAAATATCTAAATGACATTTTTAACCCTCACCAGAATTTCCCCCATTTAATATTTGGTTATAGAAAAAAGATGAAATGATAAAGAAACAACTACAAACACACCTGTGGACATGTTTGTACATTTCTGTATTTTTCTGTGTGGTGTGCAGCAAAGAGGGAATTGCTGGGTTACAATTTTTTGTGTGTGTTTGTCTTTAACATACACCACTAGCAATGTATGAGTTCTACTTATTACATACCCTTAAACCTTGAGTTTTCTCTTTTCTTATAGTTAATCTAATGAGAGTTGTAGAGGTATATCATTAAAGTTTTAGTTTTTCCCTGGTGATTAATAATGGTAAATGATTTTCATATCTTACAGGCTGTAGGCATATTTAAGGTGGTTAAGTGTCTTCTCAAGATTTTGTCCATTTTTACCACATTATCTTATTAAATTGTAACATGTTTTGATGTATTCTGGATAGATTTCACTGTCTAACATTAATGTTACACATGACATCTCCTGGACTTCGGCTTGCATTTTCACTCAGTTAATTTCATCTTTTACTAGAAATGTTTTGAATTTGGATTAAAACTACTTTATTGGCATTTCTTTATAGTTGCTACATTTTATACTACTTAAGTAGTCATTGCTTTCCCTAAGGTTGTAAATATATTTTCTTATATTTTTACCTGAAAACGTTATTGTTTTATGTTTTACCTATAGCCCACAATCCCTCTTGCATTAGTTATGTGAGGTTTGAGGTAGGTAGATAACTTGAATTGTATTGATATTTATTCTGATATTAACTTGTTTGCACTACAAATTTATTTTAAGTGTGATCAATTGGTCTAGGTGAGTGCCTTCTTTCAATGTTTTTACTCAATTATCTTATGAATCTTGATTGTCTGCATGTTGTTTTAAAGTGTTGATTATAAATTACATGTCAGTTTAGTCTACAGTGGAGTAAAATAGCAGTAATGTATGCTACATGATTTAAGTCTCAGTTTCTTAGTGATTGTCATCTCAGGGTGGTTGTTACCTACTTAGCAGCTATTGAAGACATTTTCCTGATTCTGCTATTCCAATTTCCACACTAACTGCTTAACCTGTGGGTTAATGACATTTTTACTTATTGCTTAGTACAAATCCAGGAGAGGGAGAGGTCAACCAGTTTGTTTTTCCAAATGGGCCCTGTGCCACTTTTTGTATGAGTTGGGCTAGCTTGCTTAAGTGCTAAGGAGTTTATAATGAATGTATTTTACCCTTACTGCATTTGTGCCATTATAGCTTCCATTTTAAAATTATCTGATTATCTGAACCTATTTCCTTTCTATCTTTCTGGATTTTTTTTTGTTTTTAATGATGCTGTTTTGTGTTTCCCTGTGATGCTTTAAATTCATTTGGCCTTTTTACATTTATTTTGTTATTTCATAGAATCTTAGGTGAAAGCATGTCATAGTTGCTTGGTCTCTACTTAAGCCGATGTTTTGTTATTTTTCATTCTGGCATATTTGTGACCCTTATTTGAATATATATATATACACACACACACACACACACACACACATTTGTATATACAACATACATATGCACACATATATACACACAGTGCACACATATACTTACCTGAATATATATGTACACATATACTGTATATATGTATGTGGGTATACATTTATGAACATATATACACTTGTACACAGGCATATATATTGGTATAAAGAAATGTGTTTACACTTACACTTTAGAGAACCAAGTATCATAGATAATTCATTTTGTGGACAAAATTTTTCAAATAAAATGTAGTGTAAATAAAGTACTTAATTTTGTACTCTCCAAGTGATTTTTTTTTTTGAGACAAGAGTCTCACTCTGTTGCCCAGGCTGGAGTGCAGTGGCCCGATCTCGGCTCATCACAACCTCCGCCTTCTGGGTTTAAACAATTCTCCTGCCTCAGCCTCCCAAGTAGCTGGGACTACAGGCACACACCACCATGCCTGGCTAATTTTTGTACTTTTAGTAGAGATGGGGTTTCACTATGTTGGCCCGGCTGGTCTTGAACTCCTGACCTTGTGATCTGCCTGCCTCAGCCTCCCAAAGTGCTGGGATTACAGGTGTGAGCCACCACACCCGGCCTCCAAGTGTTTTAAAATATTAATACCTGACTCAGTGAATGTTTGACATTTTTATCACTAATTGAGTGTGCCAATTCTTAAATAAGCACTAACTGAAACTGAATTTATAGTCATTAAAAAAGTGAAGAGTAGCACACTGGCAAATCTATATATGCCCATTCTGTAATTCTTAGCTTTTTCTAATAATTGACATGGTTGGTGTAAGCATATTATTAATGAGAACAATGTTAGCTTAGATAGAATTAATCTATAATACATGATGTGTGTCACAAGTGTAGGTTGCCTCCATATCTTTTGCTAATTATTTTGAAAAATTGTGTGGGAAAGACTAGAAGTGACGAGGATAGCTGAAGCTAATTCATTAGCATTTGTTATAATCATGCAAAGCACTCTCAGGAGGTCAACAGTATCATCCTTCACCTAACCAGTTCTTTTCAGGACAGTTCAACCAAAGGAACAGCTACACTTAAAAAAATTCTGTTTTCAAATACCATAATTCAAAGTAATGATGTGCCGCATGTTAAAATAATCACAATTTATGTCTAGTGATGTACAACTAGGAGTCAGCAGATACATTATTTTAAATTTCTAGTTTGTTATTAGTCCAATTTTTAGGGAAGCAACTTATTGAATGCTGAATATACAAGCAGTTTTGTTAACAATTTCAATTTAAATGAGCATTAATGAATAAAATCTTGCCTTCTTTTCTTATTTACCACCTATCGAAGTTTTTATAATTTGATGAACTTTTTTTTTTTTTTTTTTTTTTCTGAGACAGAGTTTTACGCTTGTTGCCTAGGCTGGAGTGCAGTGGCGCGATCTTGGCTCACTGCAATCTCTGCCACCTGGGTTCAAGTGATTCTCCTACCTGAGCCTCCCGAGTAGCTGGGATTACAGGCACCCACCACCACTCCTGGCTAATTTTTTGTATTTTTGGTAGAGACGAGGTTTCACCATGTTGGCCAGGCTGGTCTCGAACTCCTGACCTCAGGTGATCCACCCGCCTGGGCCTCCCAAAGTGCTGGGATTACAGGCATGAGCCACCGTGCCCTGCCAATTTGATGAACTTCTAAATTGACTATATAGAACACAATATTATCATTGAACTATATTTGCATATTAATATCTAATGACTTACTATATTTGGGGAAATAAGTAAGTAGCCTTGGAGGCAGTGTTCTAATGTGATAAGTGCAATATGGTGATGTTTTCTAAAATACAAGCTTAAACATATTTCTTTACACCTATATATGCCTGTGTGTAAGTGTATATATGTGCATAAGTGCCTACACATGTATATACATATACCTGATATATACATGTATATGTGTGTATATAAACATATATATGTATATTCAAATAAGGAATGTAAATATGCCAGAATATTTTAAAATTAGTATGTAATACTTTATCTTTTTAGTATACTATATTTTTATTATATAAGAGACAGTCTAAATGAGAAGTATACCTAATGAAAAGGTATAGACTACAGTTCACACGGGAATTACATAAATTCCAGAGCACTTGATAAATTAATTACCAGATCAAGTCAGTTAAATTCCATAGCAGCATCATAAGGAAAGTCTGTAACTGGGATATGGACAGCAGCAAAACCAAATGCATTGAATTAAGGCACCAACTTACATAATCAATGGAATAATATTCCAGTATTTTAATAAAATAAAATAATTAGAGATATTGAAATGATTTTTTAAAATATTCATGTAGCAGAGACTGGCTAGAAATTAGTGAAATTACTTTCTGTTATAGGGAACACCAATAAATGAAATGTCTCATCCTGCTTGCCATATTCCTTATTTTTTTCCAATGCAAAGTTGACGAAAGTGATGTATCATTACCTGGCCAAGGCAGTTAAAAAGCTCTTACTTATTCTATTTCTCCCTTCTCCGTTGCTTCCTGCCTGGAGGCAAGAGGTCCACAGAGTCATTTCAGATCTCAGGTACTGGTGGAGCCACTAAACTTAGATTCCATTTTACTAGATTACAGACCACTAAGAATTTAGACTCATTATGTCACCAGATGAACTATTTTAACTAATGCAATTTGTGTTCTTTCTTTTATATAAGCATCAATTCATTTGAAACACCTCCAATTAATTTTTGTTTAGTCTCTGTCCTCAGAAGAGAAATTCATAAAATTTATTTATATCTTACCAGTATTTGAAATGTTCTGCTACCACTGGCTTCTTGCAATACTTCTATCTTCTGAATTCCATACTAACAGATACCTTAACCTCTTCACCTACATTATAGGCTGCTTCCTCTCAGATGTCTTTGCTGGTATCTCATTCTTCTTTAAATGTTAGAGTACCCTAAAGGTGAGTCTTCAGCCTTCCTCATGGTCATTAGTTGTGCCCTGAATGATTACTTTCAGGCCCGTGGCTTTGATCTACATCTCAAATCCTCAATATCCGCCTGAGTTCTAAGCTATGCACCCAAGCCTTAACATCTCCCTTTGGTCAATATATTGTATTCTTGAAAAATGCTGAGACTGGATGGTAAGTGATCTTACTACACAAATGATAACTATGTGAGGTGATGCATTTGCTAATTGAGTTAGATTTAACTACTTTACAATGTAAACATACTTCAAGACATCACGTTGTACATGATAAATACACACAATTTTATACATCAATTTAAGAAATTGATTCATTTAAAAAAAAGAGATATTATATGCTTAACATGCCCCAACTGCAGTTCTTTATTTCTCCCCGAAAACGGTTTCTTTTCCTGGTCTTCTCTACTTCAGTTTATGGCATTAACAGTCATCAAGTTATAAAGTTCAAAACCCAATGTTTGATTTCTTTCTTTTTTTAATATCACACTTCTGATTTGGATCTTCCTCCAAAATGTATCCTATCATGTCCCAGCATCTACACAGCTGCCTAAGATAATGTCATAGCTTCTCTGGATTTAAGAATACTAAGCAGGAAAGTGACATGATCTAATCCATAATTTTAAAAGGCAAAGATCATCTAACATATCTTTTGTTTTTGTTCTTGACTTTCTTAGACAATATCAAGAGTGACCTTGATAATGCAGAAATCAGATTGTATAACTGCCTTACTTAAAAGATGCCCAGGTGATTCTGTTTTTATAAAGTCTAAATTTATAACACACCATTTATCTTTATCTCATAACAGTATATGGATTGATACAAAGCAGTGAAAGATTATCATAACAATTCAATGAAAGAGTTGTTTTCACATGCTTTTGGAAATCCAGAACAATAGCTTCATAGTCTATCAACTAGATGAAATTTGACAAAAAAGAAATTGGGATTAAATGATGATCCTTCTAATAGTTCTGCTGTCTAAATTTGTGTAGTTAGGAAATTGCACATGTATATGTGAAATGATTTTTAAAAAGTCATGTATATAATAACATATATAATGTATAAATTAAATTTATACACATTATATATATGTTATATATATTATTATTACTTTTGGAGACAAGGTCTCACTTTGCTGCCCAAGCTGAAATGCAGTGGCATGATCATACCTCGCTGCAACCTCAAGCAATCCTCCTGCCTCAGCCTCACTAGTATCTAGGACTACAGGTGTGCACCATGACACTATATAATTACAATTATTTTTTTAATAGAGACAAGGTCTCACTATGTTTCCCAGGCTAGTCATGAACTCCTGGCCTCAAGCAATCCTCCTACTTTGGCCTCTCAAAGCACTGGGATTACAGGTGTGAGCCACTGCGCCTGGCCCCATAAGTATTTTTTTTTTAATTCACACTGATGTAGATTTTTTACTTGCATCTTATTCTTATTTCATCATGTTATGTAATAATTTTATCATTCCTCCCTGGAATACAGCAATTTTCTTCTGCAGGGGATCCCTGCTTCTACTCTTGCCTTGTAATCCTTTTTCTGCACAGCAGCCAGAGTGACCTTTTGAAAGTATAAATCAGACCATGTCACTTCCCTGCCTAGAACTCTAAAAAGGCTTTCCACTGCCCTTGAGGAAAAACAAAAAACAAAACAAAACAAATAAAACATCCATACTATAGATGAAAGACACTACTACACGACTTGATTTGATTTCTGGTTACTTTTCTGACCTTTTCTCCTATCTCTCCCTCTTGCTCTTGTTCAATAAGCTTCATCCATACTGTTTTCCTCTTTGTTCCTGGGAGGTGCAAGGATCTTTACTGATTATGTTTGATGAGGCTATTCTCTCTGCTTGGAAAACAATTCCCCCTATCTCAACATATCTAACCCATTCTCTTCATTCTTGTTTCAGTTCAGATAGTATCCTTAAGTGAAGCTTTTCCTTAGCAATAAGTGCAAAACAATCCTCGAACCCAACAGCCTCCAACATATCACCTATAGTAATTGTCAGAATTTGAAAGCACTGTGTTTACATTTATTTGCTTGTTCACTTTATCTTTTAGGATGAAATTCGCCAGGATTTAAGCTCTTATTCATTGTGGTGTCTCCTAGCTACTGATAGAAGCTCCCACACATAGTAATCAGTCAATACATGTATGTTGCTGATTGCATGATTATGTAATCATGTTTAACTGTAGCCTTGATTAAAATCTCCGTGGTGGCAAAAGATGTACTTGACTCATCTTATTCTAACATATGACATTCCACAGAGTTCTCTAGAAAGAACACACATGTAGTCAAGATGTTGTTATAACACACACAGGTCAGTAGTAAGAAAAAAAAATCCACACCAAGGGCTCAATTGAAATGAATTCATTTATTCATACTCGTTGGGTGTTAGATTGTAATATTCCCTTATTATTTATAACCAGGTTATATTGTTCTTGAAATAAATATAATGAGCAAATTCCTGAAAGTTCTTATCCAAATAGAGAGTTGTTTTGTCTACAACAAAATATTTCTCAACCAGGCAACATATTAGAATAATCTGTAGAATTTAAAAATAATACCAATGTTCAGACTCAACCCTAACACAATGGCATCCAAATATTTGGTGTATGAGCATTGATAATTTTAAAAAATCTCTTTAAGCAATTTGAAAATAACCAGAATTGAGAACCACTGATTCTAGTTGGATGTGATTATTTTTTCTTTTCTCATGGATCAGTGTATGTTAATGATTGCATTTTCTCTAAGTGTTCAAGGAAAATGCTTCAATATTATTTTCGTTGGTAAGAGCTCTACTTCTACATATTTACTCACATGTGAACAATTTTTTTCTTCTCTTTCTCAATAGAATTATTCTAATAATGCAACCTGGATTACCCCAACATATTTAAAATATTATAAGGCCTATAATATTTTAGGTTTAAATATTTAAGTCTTTATTATAATATCTTATTGTCAGGAGTTCTGCATTTCATGAAAATAGCAAGTTTAATATCTGCATTAATAAAATCACAGGCATATCTGCAATCATTTTAAGAAAACTGATCTGTCAAGTCTGAAAAAACTTAATTACTTCAATGATTCATTAAAGATGGACTGTATGAATGCCCCACATATAAATAAGTGAAATGATAGAAATATGAATAAATGTATCAAATATAAATATAATAAAATATAAATACATCCTTTATAGTACGTTTAAGCCATGATTGTGCATCAGATAGCATCTGTGCATCTTACTTAAAATTTGGATGCCTAGGGTTTACCACCAAACTGTGAAGTCAGCACTGTTAGAGATGGGCCTATATATATTTATTATTTTTAATTGTCTACTATGGAGAGTTTTGAATATACTTAAAAGCAGAAAGACTGCAAAATGCACCTTCATATGCCCATCACCCATTCCCAAACACCACCAGCGTCACCCACAACCTTTTTACTCTCTGCTTCTTGGAGTATTTTGAGCAATTCCTGACATCATATTGTTTACTCCAGAAATATTTTTGTATGCATCTCTAAAAGATAGAATCTTTAACATGACCACAATACTACCATGATACCTAAAACAAATATGATTATTTCCTTAATATAATCAGACATCTTATAAATGTGAAAATTTCAAATGATCTCCCTTTGTTTATTTGTGTAAATTATAGTCGAAGTCTGAGTTTTTAATTTTCTTGTTATGTATACATTTCTTTCTATTTCTATTTTTTCCCGGTCACTTTATTTGTTGAGAAAACCACAATGATCGTTCTGCAGAATTTCTACTAGTTGGATTTTTCTGGTTTCACTTTTGTGGGGTCAGATAATATGTTCTTATGTTCATATATAGGATAACATAGGAGGTGCTGTGTTCTTTAATCAGGAGGAATAACACTGGAGGAATGACTGGTTAATGGTTCCCTTTTTATAATATTAACATGTTGACAATGAATTTCCTAGGCAAATATATTCAGAAAAATGTCAAGATTGATTCTAATGTATCCCTCTAGTTAAGAAATATCATAAAGAAGATGATAGAATTCCTTAAGTCCTGAATGTGTTTCTACCAACAAAAAGAAGATATCAGTTAAATATATTTCATGTTGGGTATACCACTGGTCATTAAAATAAAAGATAAATTTTCTATGGATGACCAAACAGTAGAGTAAGAAATTTTGTTTCATATTGCATACCTAAAATTTTATTTCAGTTCAAATTCCATAACATTTGAGTCATTATATGCATAACTTTTACTAAAATGAAGAATATAAGTCAATATTTTCCAAACTGGCCTGATCATTAGAAAGATACATACATGCCTTGACAAAAAAATAAAGATTACTGAGATCTGCTAGAATAAGACTTAATCGGAATCTCTAGGGAAAGGGCTTGGGAATCTCTATGTGGAGAAATTATCTCAGATGACTTTTACAAAAAGGTAAAAATAGACAACATTGGCATACATTTAAAAAGAAAACTTCTGTAATCCCAGCACTTTGGGAGGCCGAGGTGGGCGGATCACTTGAGGCCAGAGGTTTGAGACTAGCCTGGCCAACAAGGTGAAACCCTGTCTCTACTAAAAATACAAAAATTAACCGGGCATGGTGGCACAGGCCTGTAGTCCCATGTACTCAGGAGGGTGAGGCAGGAGAATCACTTGAATTCAGTGGGTGGAGGTTGCAGTGAGCCGATACCATGTCACTGCACTCCAGCTTGGGGGACAGAGGAAAACTTTGTCTCAAAAAAATAAAATAAAAATAAAAATAAAACCCCCAGAGTTTCTTCGTTAATGACCAAGAAAATGACTCTGTACTTTGAGGTTTACAATGGTCTTTCCCATTCCTATGTCATTACAGAATTATTTTTAAAAATATGTCAAGTAGGAAATAATTATTCAAATCATTTTTACAGGAGGGAAACATGTTTATGGTGATAAATTGACTCCATCAGTGGAGGTACTCAGACTCAAATCCAATTCATCTGGATACAAATTTATTACTTTTTAACTATAGCATGCTTTCCTATATTTATTTTGCTCTAGCTGATAATACTGATCCTTCTGACATCCAATTCTATAATACATATACTTTCATAATTATATGTATAACTAATGAAAATGTTGTAGGTATTATTAGCAATTAGGATGATTTTCATGATGGAGACGTGCTCACTGTGAAGAACTTCTCTCATAATAGATCTTATTTCAATTATATGATAGATGTGTATCATTCCTCAAGAAGTTGATGCTATATTTATAACTACGTTCCCTTACCTGTGGCCGGTGTTAAAATGTGGTATCTTGTCAGATGTAAAGAATACGTTTTTCATATCTAAAGTAAATTAGTATTTCAAATGAGTTGCCTTGAAATTATAGTCAAAGATATAAGTGAGATAACATTGCCTATTTTGAAGGGTCGAGTTGCCTGGGTTTGGATAAATTGGTATGCCTACTTTCAGCAAATAGAAGCAGGTTACTCTTCCACAAAGGCATAACCTGGATGTGATTGTGCTGACACGAAGAGCTTACTTTGACAGCATCCAGATTCACAGCTGCAGATGGCACTCTTACTCAAAAGAAGAGATAGACCTTAAGAGAAAACACTGTACATTTTTTTGTTCTCATGAGATTGAATCTTGAAGGTCTCACTAATTATCAATGTCCTCTTTAGCCTTTCTCTTTGAAAAGTAAAATAAAATTCAGTGATATTCAAAAAATGCAAACCAAATTAATGGAATCAGATAATAAGATTGCCTGCAATTCTAGTTTGGCTTTTATGTTTTTAGTTAGTGTATTGATAAAACCCCGGCATATATGTTCTTCAAAACTTTTTGTCAATATTTAATACTAATTACTATGACAATGTCAAAATACCTATGGAAGTTTTATATCTAGAATGAGTTTTATATCTAGAATGAAAGTAATTTGAGTTGGTCTTAAAGCACTATGGAATAAGAAAGTCACCAATGAAGCACTATAAATAGAAGGTATTGAAATTAAGTTCAGGGCAATAACTTTTTTTTTAAGTTTTACTTTCATATTTTAAATCCCTGCATTTTGCTTCTCCTTCCAAGCTGTATTGTAGTAATACTCATTGTCAAGAGTAAAAGAAACCACATGTTCAATTTTTAAATGAGGCCATCAAGAACTCTCTTGGAAAAAATTATTTGTAATAAATAAGTCTGTGACACTATGTCTTTTGTATATTTTAGAATATAGATAATAGGTTTAAAAGTCAGTTTGATTTTATAGTACTATCTGGAAGTTACTTGTGGGTTACAAAATGGGTGTTTGAAAAATTGTACCTTGCCATTTACTGAATTTTCTACCCTTTCTCCCTGTAGGATTATATCTTTTTAAATTTAACCAGGAGGCAATCCCACTACCTGCTTTTGAAAGTAAAGTTTTACTGGAACATGCTGTATTAGCCCATTTTCACACTGTTATAAATAATTGCCTGAGACTGGGTAATTTATAAAGGAAAGAGGTTTCATTGACTTACAGTTCGGCATGGCTAAGGAGGCCTCAGGAAACTTAGAATCAGGTCAGAGGTGAAGGAGAAGCAAGGCACCTTTTTCACATGGTGACAGGAAGGAGAATGAACGCAGGAGGAACTATGGAACACTTACAAAACCATCAGACCTTGTGAGAACTCACCATCATAAGAACAGCATGAGGGAAACCGCCCCCATGATTCCATTGCCTCCGCCTGGTCTTTCCTTTGACATGTGGGGATCATGCGGATTACAATTCAAGATGAGGTTTTGGGTGGGGACAGAGCCAAACTATAGCACACAACCATGCTTATTTGTCCATGTACGTATATGGCTGCTTTTGCGTTACAAGACAGAGCTAAGTTGTTGTGAGAATGACTGCTTATAAACACTAAAATATTTACCATCTGTCCCTTTGCTGTCATGTGAACAATATGTATGGAAAGGCTAGAGAGAGAGGGAGAGAGAAAGACTGAGGTTAGAAACACACACATATGGACACTTTCTCATTATCTATTTTTTTCCATTGATCTTGAATGGGTTTTGAAGTTTAAAGGGCAAGTCTATTTTCTTATTTTTAGCCTTTCTATTTTGTTGTATTCTAAATTATGAATTTATTTACTTTCCAAATTTTTGCTTTCCTTTTCCTCTGTCATTAGTTACTGCAGTACCACTTTTACTTTACAAGATAACACAAAGCAAAAACAAAGTCTGAAAAAAGACACTAGCTTTAGCATAAGATAGAAATATTTGAATGCATATCTACACAGCTAGTTTGTCTATTCTCCAAACCAGAAGTAGAGGGCTGAAGTGAAGAGGAAGAGAAAAAGGAAAGAATTCTTCAGTTAGGGAAGGGAAGAAAGCTCCGGGCACAGACAGGAGAGTCTCAACTTCCAGCTCTTCTAATATTTGAAAATCCACAGAAAACCACCAATCCATTCTGGGATCAACCCAACCAACAGTCCTGGAGAGTTGGATACACAGAGGCCCACTGAACAGCACACTTGGAATCTGGACATCTTGAGTGCAGATGTGGGCGTTGAGGGAAAATATCTTCCTCAATCAAGATAATATTCTAGAGAATTTCCCAGTATACCATTGAACACACTGAAAGAGTTATAAATATGTTAACTGTTTTATCATTATTCAATTTAAATAAGCATTTTAAATATTTTAATTAAATATTTATTTTCTAAACTAGGTTTAGTTGATTAAATATAATTTTACGGTAATAATTTTTTTAAAAAATTCTATTGTGTACTTAATAAAAACTTAAATGAAAGCTTTAAAAATTACAAATTTAAAATTTTGAATAAAATCTTCTTTCCAGGAAAGTAACTTGTATGCTTATATATATCATTGTCTCTAAAGATTCTCCAAACTTAGTGTGCACTAAAATAATTTGTGGGGCTTGTTAAAAATAAAGTGTCTGGATTCACCCCTAGAGATTCTTTTTCAATAGTTTGTGATTTTAAGGGGCTGATAAATACCTCCCTTTTTCCCCCTTGAGTTCAAAGCACATTGAGAGATACATGTAGGAATTTTATAAATGGAGATGAAAATACCACTTTTAACTGAAAGTGCTATTTAAAGGACAGCTTTGGTTTGCAGCTAAGTGGGTGATATGGTCTGGCTCTGTATCCCCACTCAAATCTCATCTCGAACTGTAATATGAATTGTAATCGCCATGTGTTGGAGGAGGACCTTGTGGAAGGTGATTAGATCATGGGGGCAGTTCCCCTATGCTGTTCTTGTGATAATGAGTGAGTTCTCATGAGATCTGATGGTTTTATAAGGGGTGTTGCCCCCTTTGCTCTCCACTTCTCTCTCCTGCTGCCATTGAAGAAGGACATGTTTGCTTCCCCTTCCACCATGATTGTAAGTTTCCTGAGGCCTCCATGTGGAACTGTGAGTCAATCAAATCTCTTTTCTTTATAAGTTATGCAGTCTCGAGTATTTCTTCATCGCAGTGTGAGAACAGGCTAATACAGTGGGTTTACTCAGACTTCACTCCTGAATTGGACAGACATCCCTAACCTAATACTGTAGTGTAGACAATCCCAGGGCTCTCCTTGAGAGGAAGCCTCTCACAGGAATTCGTGCATCTTGTGAATAGGCTTGCTCCAAAGAAAAAGCTGATGAGCTAATGAGGATCAGTTTCTTCTCCCACTGTATCAGATAATCTCTCCTCATTCCTAGAGGAAGAGGTAAGGTGTAAGGAGTAACTAACCAGTAATGTTACTTTGTCTTAAATTCTTTTATGTGTAATGTTTAGAATACAGGGAAATAAGCCACCTCTATTGCATCACTGTTCTGTAATTATTTTATACCTAATCTAAAATATGAATTAGAAGTAGTCCTGTTATAAAACAACAACCACAACAAAACATACATACAAAGGTTTGTATATTCATATGTGCCTGTGAAACTGTTGAACTATATTCCTGTGATTATGAAATGCTTGACTCTATTAAATATTGTGCTAAAGCAGAGTGCATTTTTGTTTATCCTAAATGAGTGAGACTGTTAGGCATTTTCCATTTTTTAAATGGTAAGAAGAGAAGTTAATAGCTGTAAAATCAATTAAAATTATACGTTATTTTATAAATGAATTTATTATTATCAAAGTAAATAGATTTTCAAAAATTATATTATGAATTAGTTTGGATTCCCCAGAAGCAGACACTGAGATTAGGATTCTAGTGCAAATAGTTTATTAAAGATATGAAAAAATGAAGGAAAATAAGATAGCCGATAAAGGATGCCAGCTTCTACTGTGGGCTACTGGCACTTTTGCATGGGTAAGAAACTACGAATCAGTGGAGGACACATGCCTCCCAGTTGTTCCCCCCAAGGGCCAGGGTGCAGATGGTGGGTATGTATGCATTAATTCCTATCAGCCATGCAGAGAGCTGCTTCTAGGGCTATTCATTCCCTGGCACATCTGGACTGCCACAGGGGCACCAAAGCTGGCTCAGCAGCAGGAGAAAGCCCTCAGGCAACAGGAAGCACTTGCTGGAAGTTGAAAATCAAGCTGTTTTTACCTCACCTGGTAAGGTCCTAGTTAAAAAAAAAAAAAAAAGGTTGCTGTTTCACCATAAAGTGTTTGCTCTATAGTTTGTGAAAACAGACTGTATCATATCAAGGAAATTCCTTTCTAGTCCTAGTTTGGTGCTTTTACAAATGCATCTAGTAAAAATGTTATACAATTTTGCTTCTTTAATATATTGCTGTGGCAAAGTATGACTGCTTTTTTAATATTAAGCTAAACAGGCATTCCATTATCACATCCAACATATTGTTCCTTTATTATTCATTCCGTACCTTGTTGAATTTAAGGTTTGGCTTCAAAATCCGTGAGGTAAGATACCAATAATGTTCTGTTCTCTCAGTATTCTCTATTAGGTTGGTGCAAAAGTAATCGTGGTTTTTGCCATTACTTTCAACGGCAAAAACTGAAATTACTTTTGCAACAACCTAATGTTTGGCATAAAGGTGATACTGGATTAGTAACACGAGTCTGTCACTCTTCTGAAATTTTCAGTTCTTTGGAAAACTTTATGTCAAATCGAATATAATTTTGTTTAAAATAATTGATACAATATTTCTGTAAAGCATGAAAAGCTTTGTAATTATAAATTCTACATTTATAATAGTAAACAATGCTCAGCTTTTTCTTCTTGTGTCATAATTGTTTATTTCCAGAAAATTATCCATTTAATGTAGCTTTTAAATTTTATTTGTGTGTTTCTATAACTTTTTTATTGTTTTTGTAATATCTACAGAATCTATTGTAACACCTCTGTTTATCCCTGATATTGACTTTCATCATTTACAATTTTTCTCACATTTGACTTCTCTGTCTCATCAGAAACATCCCAACTCAACTGGATTTTCAAAAATATTTTGTCTTTTTTATTCTCTTTATTGTTGCTTATATTTTAGTTTTATGATCTCCTAGTCTGTATCACCTTTTTCTTGTATTTTCTTTGGAATTTAGTTAGTGTTCTTTTATAAACTTTTAATATGGATAAGATTTTTTTATATAATCTTTTTTCTTATATATGAATTCTAGGCTATATTGTTTCCTCTGGCACAACTACAGCTGATTCCCACACATTTTTTTAAGTTTTAAGAGATTATATTAAGAAATGTTTCACATATATACATAGTAGAGAAAATAGCAAAATTATACCCTCCTGTCATGTACATAAATTCCAGTATAAATTACTATCAATTCATGGTCAATCTTGTTTGATATTGTGAAACCCAACTATGTGAGACAGGTCTTAGTCAATTTAGGAAGTTTGTTTTGCCAAAGTTAAGGACGTGCGCCCATGACAGCCCCAGGAGGTCCTGATGATATGTGCCGGAGGTGGTCGGGGCACAGCTTGGTTTTATTCATTTTAGGGAGACATGAGCTATCACTCAGTATATGTAAGTTGTATATTGGTTCTGTCCAGAAAGGTGGGACAACGTGATGTGTTAAGGGGACTTCCAGGTCATAGGTAGATAGTAGAAAAAATGGTTGCATTCTTTTGAGTTTCTGATTAGCCTTTCCAAAGGAAGCAATCAGATATGCATTTTTCTCAGTGAGCAGATGGATGACTCTGAATAGAAAGGGAGGCAGGTTTGCTCTAAGCAGTTCCCAGCTTGACTTTTTCCTTTAGATTAGTGATTTTCAGACCCCAAGATTTTCCTTCACAATATCTACCCCACACTTTGTCATCCTTTCCTTAACATTTTAAGGAGATTTACATATATATCACATGATTTCATCCGTAAACATTATGGTATTTATCACTAAAAGACAGGATACTTAAAACAAAATAACAATACATTATTACCATCTAACATTTTTAATAACAACTTCTCAATATGCTACAATAGCCAGTCTATCTTTGAACTTTCCTGTTTTTCATCTTTCTTTTTACAGTCAGTTTTATTAAGTCAAAATTTAAACAAAAGGTCCACACATTGAATTGGGTTGTTATGTACTTTAAATGTTTTTTAAACTATAGCTTTTACTTGTCAGCTTTTTTCCCCTTATATTTGTTGAAGATATGATGTTATTTATTCCACAGATATTTCTAAATATGAGAATGTGTTCACTATATCTTGTGCTGCCTTTGATATATTTCTAGTTGGCCTGAATTTCTCATAAATGATAGTTAAATCTAGAGACTTGACCAGATGAAAGATTTGAATTTCTGGAAAGAATACTTCATAGATGACGTTGAGTACTTTTTTACCAGCATATCTTTCTGATTGTCTCTTTATTTAAGATATTGAAAGTGATCAGCTGATACAGTTGTTACCTGTCTGATTTATCTATTATACATTTTTCTATCACTATTTCACTTACAGTTTTAGAAGCCATTTATGGTTATTGACTATATCCATTATTTTAGTAGACTTTATATGTTTTTATAATAATACAATTTTTATTCTTTGTTTATTAAGCTAAAAAATTCTATTACAATATTTCCCTCAAGGAGTCTTGATTATTCTGATGTGAAATTCTTCCAGGAAAGGGTGCAAAAATTTTTAATTTCTTTTAATGAATAATTTCTAATTCATAATTTGACACATCGTCTTCCAAAGTTAACCATATAACCATTTGTTCATTTCTCTTAGACACTAATGGATTTTTTAAAGTATTCAGTATGTTTCAAACCATTGAAACCTTTATTCTTTTTGATACAAAAATTGTCTCAACTTCTGAGGGATAAATTTTAAAATGGTTCCTGTGGTTTTACTGTGATTTTGAAAAATTTCTTAATTTTCTCTTTTCACAACAGGTTTTAGGCTCATCTTGTTCATATCCTGCCTCAGATGCGGAATCAGCCAACTCCCTGAGCACCCCTACTTCATTTAGTGAGTAACACAGATTTTGATATGAGGTATTTTTTTCATGTATTATAGCCATTTTTTATCCTAGCAATGTTTTCTTTGAATTATGGCATCTTTAAAAGTGAAATTTTAAATTTCTGTATGTCTGAGGATATTCCAATTTTCTTTTTATTATATTTTTCTAACCTAATTTTATTGTAATTAAGAAGTATGCTCTATATGAGGATTTAGTTAACTATGTTAACTATGGCCTGCTGAGCAAGTCCAGCCCTCTTTTAATAAGGCATTACTGGTGCAGAGCCAGGCTCATTATTATTTTTTTTATATTGTCTATGTCTGTGTTCACACTACAATGGCAGAGACTGTTGCAGTCTTGCCAGTGCACCACAATGTTTCAATTTTGTTGTTTGACGTAGGACATAGAGTTCTTTGTCTCATGACCAGGAGAATTAAGGACCATAAACACAAAGGTGAGGTTGGAGCAAAAGTTTAATAAGGGAAAGGAGAAAGCTTTCCACATTGAAGAGGGGTTGCCATTCTATGGTTGAATACAAAGCCTTTTATAAACAGGTTAGTAGGGAGGGAAGTTTCATTTTCAAAAGGCATGAAAAACTGGTTAAGAAGTGTTTCGTTTGCATAAGGTGTGAATTCCTGACAGCTCCACCTTGTCCTTTTAGTGCACATGTGGAGATTCTTAGCCTAGTCACTCCATATTGTTTAATTTTCCTCACTGTGCACGTGCTGGGGGCAGAATTCTCTATTGTGGACATGTCTGGTTCTGTGTAACTTCTTTTATCTGTGCAGCACAGGCACGTTTCAAGTAAGCCCCTCCCCATGCAAACTCCCTTATCTGAGTATGTCCAAGAAAGGAAAGGATGTATTCACTGAAGCCTACCATGTATATGTAACCATTGTTAGTTATACAGAAGGCATTTTTATGTTGGACTTTGCCCCCTTATCTGTGCTTGCACCTTGATCTTTCAAGCTGTTCCTTTGTTAGAAAAAGAAATTCTACCGAGGACTTGTCCCAGCTATCTGCCTAACTGGTTCCTTTCTCTCTCTTCTCTCAAGACCATGTCACCCACAGAACCTAGCATATTTACCCACAGTCTGTTTACATAAAATATTTGTTGACCTTTGCTTTATAAGGATCCTGATCACTGAAATAACATAAGACTTGCTTTGTGGTCCAATATAGATCCATTTTGAAAAAATATTTTACATGTCCTTGAAAAGAACAGGTATCCTGAAGTTGTGGGGTACAACTTTTATATGCTTACTAATGTTGAGTCTGTTTGTTTTATCAAAAACTGAGAAATGTATTTAAATATCCCACTATGATTTATTTATAATTCTTATTTATCTATTTCTCCTTACTGTTCTGATTTAATACGTTTTATTATCCCTTATTTTGTAATGGTTGAGAGACGATTCATTCATTTTTTATTCAATTAGTTACTGTCAGAGATATTACAAGCTGGATCCTTGACTTTTAAAAGTCTAATGTTAATTAGCATCTTTACCCTACTAGGAAAATGAAAAGACCTTATGCTCTTAGACTGTACTTCTTCTTCTCCTTGCATGAATATGCTGTTTTTTCATGTATTTATATGTCCACATCCATTTTAACAGTCAATTTTAATTCAACTTGACTTCCCATTCTTTATTCCTTGTCACATTTCTGTGCTTCTGACAGAAGTCATTTCCTGAAATTAACTTCCTGCCTAAAGTTAACTAGCTTTTATTCTCTTTAATGCAAATCTGCTGATTGTGAAGACTATCAATTTAAAAAAAATCAATCTAACAATTTTGTTTGTTTGTTTGTTTTGAGAAAGAGTCTTGTTCTGTCACCCAGGCTGGAGTGCAGTGGTGTAATCTTGGCTCACCGCAAATTCCACCTCCCAGGTTCAAGCGATTCTCCTGCCTCAGCTTCCCGAGTAGCTGAGATTACAAGTGCCTGCCACCATGCCCAGCTAATTTTTGTATTTTTAGCACAGGCAGGGTTTCATCATGTTGGCCAGGCTGGTCTTGAACTCCTGACCTCAGGTGATCCACCCTCCTCGGTCTCCCAAAGTGCTGGGATTGCACGCGTGAGCCACTGTGCCCAGCACTAACAGTATATTTTACTCTCCTAATTGAAGGGTATTTTTCCCAGGTATAGAATTCTAATATGGATATTATTGTCCTTTAGTAGATTAAACACATCCTTCTACTGTATTCTGGCTTTCTTGCTTTTATGAGGTGAACTGTCAGTCTAATTGTTGCTTATTTGATGGCAATTTTCCCTCATCTTCTACATACATCATATATGCTTTTAGAATTGTGTGTGTGTATGTGCGTGCATGTGTGTGTAGTTTTATGCAGTTAAACTGTATTGTTTCTTTATGTAATTTTTTTTATTCCTTCTTGAAAGTCTTTTGGGCTTTGGAAGTTTAGCCGTCTCTCAGCTATGTCTTTTCTGAAATGTATGCCGGGCATTCTTACCCCATCCTCTATATCCTTCACTTTCTTTCATAGTTTTTATCGTTTTCCTTTCTTTGCTTCTTTATAAATAATTTATTTGAACCATGTTTTCTAAACTAATTCTGTCTTTAGTTACATTGATTCTGCTGTTAAGTGTATATAATACTAGGCTCTTAATTATTTACTTTACTTTTTATTTCAATACATTCCAGTTGTATTTTTTGAAAAATATTCTATTTAGTTCTTTTATACCTTTAGTTCTTTGCCGAAATGTTTAAGTTTTGTTTTACTTCCATAAGAAGAGCAACTATAATTGTTTTAAAACCTCTGTCTGTTAACTCCACAACCCGAAATATCTGTGGGTCTTTCTCTACAGCCATGCTTTGTGCTGGTTTCCACTTATGTTATCTTTTTATCTTGCATAAATGGTTATCTGTGACTTTTTTCTGTACTTGTGTTTGGAAACTTATTCAAAGAAATTGTGTGTGACCTATGGTCTTATTTTCCTTCAGAGAGAACATCACTTTACTTTGATCACTTTGAGCACTAGTAGTAATCTAGGGTGACCTTAATCCATTTTCAAATTTTGAGATTTTCTGACATAACCTGATGACTAGAAGCTGGATGTACTTTATGCTTTACTTAGTTTACTTTTACTGAAAGGGTACAGATATTTTCATTTCTTCTATCTATAATTTCTCTTTGGTTTTCTAGGCCACACTTCTGGCACCCCTGGCTGGTATTCAGCTCTGACTTTTAGTCTTCCTAGCTCTGCAAAGTTGACAAAGCACTGCTCAGCCTCCCATATGTATCTATAAAGATCTCCTGAGAAAAGTGATATTAATACAAACCTGATTTATTTGGATTTCTGTTTTCTCAGATAAATGCCATCTAGAGCAACATAAAACCATATTTTGCACTATATCTATCTATATATATATCTCGAATGGAAGTATCTGTAGGTATATAGAAATATATTTATCTATATTTCTATTTAACTATCACCCATCTATCTATCATCTATGGAAAATGCTTAATATAACTTCTATCATACATAAAGAAACAAATAGTGCCCATAATAATTCTTTTTCCATAAGGAGAATGCAGATATCATAGAGGATGCGCCAATATGTTTTTCTAAAAAACCTTGGTCTGTAAAGTTGAAATGAATTTTTTCTTTTGTTTGCTTATTTATCTGTTTATTTTAATTATAAATAATATTTGTGTTTGAAATAAAGGCTTTTTTGACTAAATAGCATATGATGCAAAGATAAGATAAAGGCCAAGTAAACAAAAATCATATCAAGTATCTTATTGGATCACAGGAATAAAACTAAAAAATATCAACAGGCACTCTGAAAGCTATACAAGCACACAGAAATTAAACAACTTGCTTCTGAATGATCTTTGGGAAAATGATAAAATTCAGGCAGAAATCAAATCATTTTTTGAAACAAATGAAAATAGCTGCACAACATACCAAAACCTATTCGTTACAGCAAAAGCAGTGCTAAGAGGAAAGTTTATAGCATCAAATCCCTACATAAAAAAGACATAAAAATCACAAAAAATAAAATACCTATGAATACATTTAATGAAAGACATGAAAGATCTCTTCAAGCAGAACAACAAAACACTGGTGAAAGAAATCATAGATGACACAAACTAATTTAAAAAATCCTACGCTTGTGTATTGGAATAGACACCATTAAAATGACCATGTTGCTCAAAGAAATGTACAGATTTGATGCACTTTTTATCAAATTATCATTGCCATTTATCACAGAATTAGAAAAAAAAACTAAATTTCACATGGAACTGAAAAAGAGCTCAAATAGCTAACGAAATCTTAAGCAAAAAGAAAAAATCTAGAGGCATCACATTATCTGACTTTCAATTATACTACAACTCTATAGTAACAAAAACAACATGATACTAGTACAAAAATAGGCACATAGATCAATGGAACACTGTGACAATAAAGCCACATACCTACAGAAATAAAGCCACATATCTACAACCAACTAATCTTTGACACAGTCAACAAAAATATACAATGGAGAAAGGACACCCTATTCAGTAAATGCTGCTGACAAAATTGGCTAGCCGTATGCAGAAGAATGAAACCGGACCCCTATCTCTCACCATATAGAGCAATTAAGGTGGATTAAAGACTTAACTGTAAGACCTGAAAAAATAAAAAACCTACAGGAAAACCTAGGAAAAACTCTTCTGAACATTGGCATAGGCCAAGAATTTATGACTAAGGTCTCAAAAGCAAATGCAACAAAACCAAAAATACACAAATGAGACTTAATTAAACCAAAAAGCTTCTGTACAGCTAAAGAAATAATCAGCAGAGTAAATCCACAACCTACAAATTGGGAGAAAATATTTTCAAACTATGAATCCAACAAAGGACTAATATCCAAAACCTACAAGAAAATCAAGCAACTCATTAAGAAAAACCCTGATAACCCCATTAAAAAGTGGGAAGAAGGCCGAGCTTGGTGGCTTACGCCTGTAATCCGAGCACTTTGGGAGGCCGAGGTGGGCAGATGACTTGAGGTCAGGAGTTCAAGACCAGCTTGGCCAACATGGTGAAACCCCATCTCAAGTAAAAACACAAAAATTAGCCAGGCATGGTGGTGGGCACCTGTAATCCCAGCTACTCGGGAGGTAGAGGCAGGAGAATCACTTGAACCCAGGAGGTGGAGGTTGGAGTGAGCCAAGATCATGCCACTGCACTCTAGCCTGGGCAACAGAGGAAGACTCCACCTCAAAAAAAAAAAGTGGGAAGAGGATATGTATGAGCAGACATTTCCCAAAAGAATGCATACAAGTGCTAACAAACGTAGGAAAAAATGTTCAAAGTCATTAATCATCAGAGAAATTAAAATTAAAACCACATTTAGATACCATCTCACACCAGTCAGGATGGCTACTATAAAAATAGTCAAAAAACAAAAAACAAACAGATATTGGCAAGGAAGTGAAGGAAAGGGAATGCTTATACACTGTTGGTGGGAATGTAAATTAGTATATCCTCTGTGGAAAACAGTGTGACTTCTTAAAGCACTAAAAATAAAATTATCTTTCCATACAGAAATCCCACTACTGGATGTCTATCTAAAGGAAAAGAAATCATTATATTAAAAAGATACCTGCACTTATATGTTTATTTCAGCACTCTTAACAATAGCAAAGTTAGAGAATGAACCTAACTGTCTATCAGTGGATGACTGGATAAAGAAAATGTAGTATATATATATACCATGGAATACTACACAACCTAAAAAAGAATGAAATCATGCTTTTTCAGTAACATGGATGGAAATGAAGGACATTATTTTATGTAAAATAACTCGGAAAATTGACTGCTGGATGTTCTCACTCCCAAGTGGGAGCTAAGCAGTGGGTACACATGAACATACAGAGGGGAATAGTAGATACTGGGGACTCATAAAGGGGGTAAGGTAGAGGGATGAGAGTTGAAAAATTACCTGTTGGGTAAAATGTTCATTATTCAGGTGATGGGCACACCAAAATCCCAACTTCACCACTGTGCAATATATTCATGTAACAAAACTGCACATGTACCACCTGAATATATAAAAATAAAAATTAAGAAAAAAACCTTTTTTGAGGATTCTTGGAAGAAAATAAATATGTCATATTAATTCAATTGCTTATTTTTGAGGGATTAAAAAATAGTCTTGTAAGTGTATCGGACATTTGCTGAATTCATCAGAGTTAATAACCAAGGTACATTGACAATTATAGTGCTTGCATTTTGGTCTCTTTTGTACTTTTTTGAAAATTTTGATCATGATTGTTTTTTTAACAGCATGTCACTGATGATTATGTTCTTGCAGCTTCCTGCTTTATTTATACGTGGAAGTGACTCAGAAGCAATGTGGAAAGTAAAGAAAATAAGCAAACATTAGATAATTTCTCTCTTCTGCTTCTTTATCAATATTTTTTTCAGAGTTTCCTCTGTGACTGATGATGATTAATCTAACTTTACTCGGTCTGTTTTACTGACTCTTTATTATCACATCTCTTTCTACAACCAAATATTAACTAGAGAAAAATATGTATTAGGAGAAAATATCATCTGAATTGTGGAGGATCTTTAGTTATCCTAGTTTTACTATGCCATCGGATACTTGTTTCCTTTTCTGTGACCCAATGGTTAGAAAGAACTGTTTGTATAATTACCTAATTTCACAGGCACATCCAGTTCAAAATAATGACAAGTAAATACAGTTATTTATTTTTGGCCAATCACATAAAGTAATAGAGAGCTATATAAATTTGTCTTTTTTACTTACTGCTGTGTCACCAAGGCTCAGTACAGTACCTACATTAGTCAGGAATATTTGCTAAATAAAATCATGGCTGAATGAGTGAAAATAAACAGATGGGGAAATTGTCACACTCAATGCTGTTAAATGAATACTCTATTCAGCTTGGATTATTCACCAGGGTTGCCACTGATTCTGTTCTGCGGCGAGCGGCTATAATACATGCAAAAAAACAAAACAAACAAAAAACACCCAAGGGTCAAGGGAGCTGAAAGTCCAAAGAAAGAGGCTGACAAATCCAGTTTCTCTGAAACTACTTACTAGAGACTTACAAAAAGAAGTGATGTCTCAGGTGGCTGCAAGATGGTGGATCCCTGCACCAGCTCTCCAGAAAATACCTTTTACATAGCAAGGTTTTAGGGTAAAACACGTGCAGCTGGTTGGTCACGTCTCAGGCTTTTTTGCCAAAACTTGTGACCACTGGGAATGTTAGATATGCATCTTTGTGAGGAGTTATTTATGCTGTGGGCATTGTTTTAAGACTTTGCTGCAGAACACTTTGGTATGCAGGAGTCAAACATTGGTCATCATGGCAGTTTTGCTTCAAGATGGCATAATTCTTGCCAGGCAACAGGCTGTATTCTTGCATTTTCTCTTTCCCTATTGTCACATTGTTCTACAACAGGGTTTCTCAATGTCAGTACTAGTGATGATTTGGGCTGGATAATTCTTTGTTGGCATGGTGGAGAGATGGGTAGTTTTGTGCATTGTAGAATGTCTTGCAGCATCCTTGGCCTCTGTCTTCAAAGAGTCAGTAGTATACCCCTCCAGCTGTGACAATGAAAAATGTATCCCAACATTATCAGTTATCCTCTGGAATGCACAATGTCCCTGGTTAACCAGAGAGATGACCCAATTAGGGCTTGAGTTTCTGTGATTCACTAGTAACAACCCAAAGACTGCTCACACGAAGTTTCTCCATCTTGTGTTTGAAGCAGCATCAGTTAGCATCCTTTCATTATGTTCTTAGTAATTTGGTGCCATTGATGAGTTTGCTCAGAATGTGAACAGACATACTGAAAGACATGATGTTAAAAAAATCAAATATCACTTTGAGAACTGTGCACTGACTCACTATGTCAAGGCTCATCTTTCACCATCTATGGTAAAAGACGTTTTCTTTTTTTTCTTTAATCCAATCCCGTGTGAGCTGATACTCATAAAACGTGCCAAAGAATGAATTAATGAAAAACAAAACCATGGGTTTAGATGTGCTTGCCTGTTGCAACAAAGTCAACTTGCTATGAAAAAATGAATAATTTGTCCAACATAATTTGGACAAGATGTCTTTAATTTTGCATAAATATTTTTTATTGTTTTTGTAATTTTAAGTGAGAAAGGAAATATAAGCAGTGATTAAGCATCCTGGGCCCATGGCCTGCAAGAAAACAAAGAATCTTTTAATGCTAACATTTAAAAATATATATTTATATTGTATCTACAAATGGCTAATGTTATTATGTACATTTTGTAGGTGAGGAAATTGAGGTTTAAAAAATTTAAAAAAAACTTTGCCAAAATCATAAAAGTATTAATTAATAAAGTTAGGAGGCCGAAGATGCTGAATCAGGTCTGAAGCCAAGATTTTAGTAACTCGAATGTAAAGTGTATGAAGACAGAATATTTTATGCACTTTGCTCCCAAATCTTACACAAGTGGCTAGAACGGTGCTTGATACATAATAGGTAAGGAAGAAAAAAAAAGAAGAAAGGAGAGAAGAAAGGAAGAAAGGAATACTGTATCACATAATTTTCATGGCATTTTTGTCTCATTCTCATTGTTGTGTAGCAAAAGTATTTTTTGCATAGTCTAGTATCTTAAATGTTGAAGTCCTTGAATAATTGTTTTATTCTCTAGGTCTCCATTACCTGTCATCCTTCCTCTTTTCCCTTACTACATCCCACAGAATAGTACATTCAAAGTTACCCAAAAAAGAAAACTCATTTGGGGAACAGTGAAGGATTATTGTAATGCTCCCTTGACAATACAAGAATATTTTAGTGGGTATTTTCCACTTCTCCCCTCTGTGCAAACAAATCATTTTTAGATGCTTAAAAGGGCTTGTTTTTACTTGCTATTGCCAGATGTTTTCTATTTCAGTGACAAGAGTCTTTTTCCATGCATATTACAAATCACATTGATTTCAGCCATAATAGAGATGAAAATGAATATGTAAAACAAATAAAATATACTTTATTTCTATATCGCATATCATTTTCATTCTGATCATACATACATATAGCACACATCCACTGTGAGAAATTTGGAGAAGTGAGAACAATAACACAATTTTTATTATTTCACAATATTTTATTTTGGCATTTTTTAGTAAATAGATCCCTATTTTTCCAAATATCACTAGTCTATGATCATATTGATGGCCAATACCAGCATTATTCTGAACTCCCCTTGGGAGTCACAGAAGTCTAGACTTTGCATGTTGTTGCCTATGCATAAAATTATTTAAATCTTTTTAAATATCAACTTTAAAGAAGATAAAAGGGGAGAATATTAATTTGAGGACATCAATTTTTCAAAAATGGCCTGTATAAAAGTTAAAAGGAGTCAGTGTCAAATTTTACTCTAAAGATTCATCAGAGGGATCTGAGTATGGCTTCCATTGTGATTTAGCTGTAAGTCTGTAAAATTAGTATAATTGTACACCATAACATTGTTGTAAGAATTAAAGTGATTTAGACATAAAGTGCTGAGGAAAATGTGTTCTCGTGTGTGTGTGTGTGTGTGCGCTTCAAGAAAACTAAGAACGTAAACACTATTTATTATGTTTCAAATTAAAAAAAGTTTACTTCAATTGATATACATATTCTACGATTCAGTAAATGTTGAGCAACTGAATATACAAATGGGCAATGGCCAGACCATATATAACAGTAGAACTCTGACCTGTAGCCTCTGTAGCAACTAGTCTGGGAGGCCAGAACAGAACTTCTACAGCAACTAGCCCACGAGAGCAAGCCACAATCTTTGCAGCAATTGGCCCAGAATGGGGAGGACTTAATCAGTAACTGCCAGCTTCTCTATTTTTTTTAACCTGATTTCTAAATAAGGACAGATCCAAGAAAGCCAAATATGCTCCCCTAACCAATCACCTGAGTCCCCACTTCTAGTTAGCCCACCTCCAGCCTCCTTATGCCAATAACCTCCAATCAGAGCATATGTAAAAACCTTCTCTCTTATTCACTATAAAACTTTCCCATGTCCCTCTCTATCTTTGAATTTTAGCTAAATGCAAGTGAGGATGGTTGATTTTCTTATTTGGATGGTTTTGTTTATTTCCAGAGTGTTCAAAAATTGACACAAATGTATCAAAATTCCATAAGCTACTTTATCATTGTCATGCTGTCAATCAACTGTGAATCATGTATTCCCTAAATAATGAACAGCAAATTGGGAGCAGATTCTCATATCACTTTTCAGAAAGGAAACCATTGCCTATTAGTGATATGATTAGAGTTGAATTGATACAATGTTTTATCCATAACACCTGAACACTCACTATTACTTTTTAGATTTAGTTGACAGAACAGTAATTTCTGTGTCACAAGTTAGTTTCATTTTTGAAAAAAACTCCAGGAAAAAAATGTTCTCCAATGCTGAGAAGAACTTAAAAAAATTGTCATCTACGATTTAGCTGAAGGGTTTCTTCTAAAAAGAACTATAACCTAAATGGTGGTTACAGAACTGTTTGATAATTGAGGCAAATGTATTTTAGGAAAGAAAAAAAAAAACTCCACATAAGATACTGTGGACATATATTTAAAACAAAGTTTTTTGTTTTTTATTCCTGACTAGGCAAGTAAGTATAATATCATGCAAATAGGGGCCTTTGTTTTAATTTTTGTGCAACATTAGATAAAACTGATAAAAACTTGAGGCCACACCATAATAGATTTTTAATGCTTAGATTTTCAATGTTATGGTAAGGCGTTTTGACTTTCCATTCTTCAGTGTCTGCGGGTCTCACTTGAAGAGTGGAGTAACTGCATTTAATGAAAATGATGTTCAAATTATTGAAATAGTGAATGGGAAGATGGACATTAAGACATGTTTGATAATAAAAAAAGTTTTGGCTGGCTGCAGTGGCTCATGCCTGTAATCCCAGCATTTTGAGAGACCAACACTGGTGTATCACCTGAGGTCAGGGGTTTGAGACCAGCCTGAACAGCATGACAAAACCCTGTCTCTACTAAAAATATGAAAAAAAAAATCAGCCAGGTGTAGTGGTGCACACCTGTAATCCCAGCTACTCGGGAGGCTGAGGCATGAGAATTACTTGAATCTGGGAGTTGGAGGTTGCAGTGAGCCGAGATTGCACCACTGTACTCCAGTCTGGGCAACAGAGGAAGACTCTGTCTCAACAACAACAACAAAAAGTTATATTGCTGACTCAATTGTGTTCTAGAATTGCCTGATGGACCAATGTGCTATCCAGGTCTCAGTGGCTTTAGTTGTTTTCTTCGGATTGACAAGTTATGGATTTACAGACGTCTTCTGCAGTTGGAAAGATAACATTCTGATTATGTAATAATAATTGTTTCCCTTTAAATATTCACATGAGTAGAATTGGAATTTTATTTGTAATATGTAGGATGTTCAGCATCTTTGGTACTTCTTCCATGGGGTGTTAGAATAGAATTAGTATTGCGATTCCTGAACAATAACGATTGACTTACCTCCATGTCAGCTTCTCTGGCATTTCCATGGAGTCAGAAAGAAGCCTGCACATGCAGCCTTTAGGGCCCAACAAGTTTAGTTTGTATTGACAGCTGAATTAAGGCAATTTTCAGACTGACTAGGAAACTGTTCTCTGGGCTGCCTGGGAAGTCACAGAGACAATAAATAGATGCGTAACAAACCAAATGCTCTCTCAGCTATCCTAGGGCCTGACTTACTTCAATTCCCTTTGAAGATTATATCATTTAGTAAATGTCTGCTCTGATCTTCTAAGTGGTCCAAAAAGTCAGGGTAGTATTCTAAATACTTGTCCCTAGAAGAATCTGCGTGAGTGAAAGCACTATTTTGAAAAGCTGTGGCTGACAATGAAGCCAAAAAAACTCCATACCTGTACAAGATGCATTCATTTACAGGATTTTTCCAAGATAAGGAAATTCTACTGTGTTTTCTTACATTGAGAAAATTCATTTTGCTCTTTCCATGTTTGATGATCACAGGCTGTGGTGAGCAAAATAAAAATTGCACTAGTATTTTACAGGATTAACAGGTTTTGTTGAATTATTTCATTTAACAACCATAACATCTTAAATTCACACTGATAATTTCCAGTTTTGATTATAATTCTCACTTAGAGCATCTCAGTTTAATTTCAGTATATACTTCAGGTGATTGATTTCACAGACTGCTCTTTCCTATGCATATGCCTAAAAGCCATAACATATTTTCATGAAAAAAAAATGCCTGTATAGCTATATATTTCTGTTTGTTCTTGATGTTGATCAATCTCTCTCTGTGTGTATATATACATATATATACATATATGTGTATCTCTCTGTGTGTATAAATATATATATTTAGTAACTGCGTATATACACACACATATATAGTTACTGATCTATTTAGTAACTATATGTATATACTCACAGATATATAATCAGATTTATGATCTATTTAGTAACTACGCACACACACAAACACACATACACATACATAGTTGCTAAATAGAACAGAGATCTTCAGGACTATTTATCATAATATAGTTTGACCAAACAACACATTTATAGCATTTTAATGATATTTTCATTAAATGGCTAACACGGAATATTTGATTTTTTCACCTTTATAAAACAGAGGTTATTGCACTGGGAGAGTAAAGTGATTTATACAACTAGATTTAATAATCAGACTTTATTCTAGTAGCATATAAGATAAATTCAACTCAGATCAGCTTATACAAATAAAAGAATGCATTTGATCATATAAACTGAAAACTCAGGGATATGTTTGATTCAAGGCATAGCCATGTGTTCAAGATCATACAACGCTGCAAAGATTTGGCCAATTTTTTTTCCATCTCTTGTCTGTGCTTTCTTTAGGTTTGTTTCACTGTCACACAGCAACTCCCCAAACATAGTATCCCCTGACATCCCTAAATTTTATAGTCAGTGGTTCTAGTACAAAGGGAGATTCTCATTTTATGTACTTCCAATAAATGCTGTGATTGAGTCTCATTCATTCTCTGGAGTCATTCTTGAATGCCTGAAAGAGGAAAATGGAATGCACCTTTGGTTAAATTCAAGTGATGTGACTCACTGGTGCTGAATGGGGTCACCTTCATCTAAAGTACATGGGGGGGGACTAGGGGAAAGTTGTTTACAAAACAAAAGTTTGACTAGAAGATATCAAATTCTTGCAGGAAAAATGAGATCCTCTTGATATAAAATATAAAGGAGAAATAGTCTTACACTAGAAGAGTAACTTGAGCAAGAGTTTTCATTATAATTTAGAATGAATTTTTGTGATGAAATGATAGAATCTGGAAAAATGTTATTAGAAACAACAAGTAGATTAATGTACAGTTTGGGAAAAAAAGACTAAATGTGTTATTTCATGGTGTTTTGATTAGGAAGAAAAAAATTTTGAGAACATTAAGGCTCTGAGGGGAATAATGCTCAGGTTGATAAAGCAATTAGTTTCTTGGCTGAAGAACTCTCTACAAATCTGCCCTCAGAATATTTTTGTGTTATTTTATTTTCACTTCAAGAAATATATTGTATTTTTTTCCTGCCAATTCTTACTAATGCATATGGCTGAGTTAATTCTTCACTAGATTCATTTTATAGAAGATAAAGGAGATTTTTCATAAAAGATGAGTGGAATTTTTGTGACAAATGATGCTTTGGAGTCTATACGCAAAGGGCAGCCCCGACTGAGGAAAGAACTCCCTCTTCAGTTTTGCATGTAGCTCAGCACTGGTGAAGAATCTCAATGTCCGTTGGAAGCTGGAGGAGCTATTTGGGGCATGCCACCTGTGGGCCATACAGAGGGCATCATGATCAGTGAAACATGAGAAAGCTTTATCTGGCTCAAGAAAAAGCAGAATGTGGAAGGAGCTACTTGGTGATTACACTAGCAAATATGTCTATGAACAGAGATGGGTCCCTTGGAGGACTTATGAGAAGAGTGGATTGCACTGCAGTAAACAAAAAATTGTGTGGTCAATGATGAAAACAAAAGTAAGAACTTTGGAATGCTAGCATTGGTGTAACTTCATTGATTAGAGCTCATTAAGGTGTTCTGGTTATATTTGTATTAACATATAGTATAAACGTCAAAGATCATCATTTGTATCTTAATTGTACTTGATCATGTTTTCTCGCAAATACAATTTTTAAAAAATCCAACTTAACTCTATTTGCTTGCCATCTAAAGGTGGGAACATTTAGAAGTAACTTCTTTATTTTTTTGTTTTGACTTATTGAGTTCAGAAATTTAAAGTTTACATATTTTTTGTATATCCTCTAAAGTCACAAATTTGTGTTTTTGCTATAAAATATCTAATAATTATTCATTAGACATTATTGTTATTGCTTGCATAATTTTTCCTAATGTGCATATTTATTGTTGTTTGCACATTTGGTAAACCAAATTTCAACAGCACTCTTCAGTGTTAATTAAATCACAATTTCTGCCTTTAGGTAATTCCATCAAGCATATGGGCCATCTGTTGCATAGACTGCAACTTATGTAATCTTCTTGGACCATCTTTCTGTTGTATGTAGTTTACCTCACTTATTTAATTACTGTATACTTCAAGATTTTGTGGTTTGCAATATGCTCACTAAATGTAATTCTGTCCATATTACACTCCCTATTCATTGAGAAGCAACAACATTTTGTGTTGATTAAAAATCAGCTTTGTTTGTCATTAGAAGCAGAATGACAACACTAAATTATTTTTCTTTTTGTAATCATTATTATGTTTTCAGTGTCAGTAAAGTATATATTTTATTAAAATTATTCATTTTTTTGTTCAGAAAGTTTTAACATCTTATGGATTTTAGCATGGTTTTCTCTTCTTTTCTAATTAATTTTCTGGGACATTTTATAATTAGAAATGTTAAACTGCCAACAAATGTGAAAAAATCCTCAACATCACTAATCATCAGAGAAATGCAAATCAAAACCACAGTAAGATAGCATCTTACACCAGTCAGAATGGCTATTATTAAAAGATAAAAAAAATAACAGATGTTAGCGAGGATGTAGTGAAAAGGGAACACTATATGCTGTTAGTGAGAATGTAAATTATTTCAGCCACAGTGAAGAACAGTTTGAAGATTTCTCAAATAACTAAAATAGAACTACCATTGGACCCAGTCGTTCTATTACTTGGTATATACCCAAGGAAAACAAACATCCTACCAAAAGGACACATGCACTTTTATGTTCATCACAGCACTATTCACAATGACGAAGATGTGGAATCAACCTAGGCATCCATCAACAGTGGGTTGAATTAAGAAAATGCGTTACATATACACCATGGAATACTAGCCAGAAAAATTAGCAAAATTGTGTCCTTTCCAGCAACATGGATGCAGCTGGAGGCCACCATCCTAAGCGAATTAACACGGGAACAGAAGATCAAATACTGCATGATCTCACTTGTAAGTGGGAGCTAAACATTGGGTACACGTGGGCACAAAGATGGGAGCAATATCACTGGGGACTACAAGATGGGAGAGGGAGGGAGGGAGGAAGCAAGGACTGAAAAACTACCTATTGGGTGTCCTGCACACTCCTTGGTGATGGGTTCAATCATACCCTGAATCTCAGTATCATGCAATATATCCTTATAACAAACCTGTACATGTACTTACTGAATCTAAAATAAGCTGAAATTTAAAAAACAAAAATAGAAATAAACATTTTACAAGAAAAAAATTGAAATGTTAGCAGATTTAGAATACTCTCTCTAAAAAAGAAAACTTTATCCTGTTATTCGACAATAGTTACCAATTATACTTCATCTTTTATTTGAATCTCTTGTAGATTATTTGTAAGTATATTACAGTCATTATTGGAGGGATCTCCCAGATGATCACTATATATATAGATTCCTATTTTCCAGTTTTCCATAAAGAGTTTTGCCATTATATCTGCTTACTTTTCTCACTTAAATATATTTATATAATGTAGAATATGGGCCATGATAATTTCTGTTATATGGTGTCAGCACATTATTTTCTAAAAGTTCTATTAGTTAAACATTTCAGATTTCATGCACTTAGATGAGTTTTACAAAACCAACTCAACTATTCACTTGTTGGGTTGTCCCCTTGTTTGTTACACATTAGAGTATTCTTGGCCAGGCATGGTGGCTCACGCCTGTAATCCCAGCACTTTGGGAGGCTGAGGCGGGCACATCACAAGGTCAAGAGATGGAGCCCATCCTGGCCAACATGGTGAAACCCCGTCTCTACTAAAAATACAAAAATTAGCCATTCGTGGTGGCATGCGCTTGCAGTCCCAGCTACTCGGGAGGCTGAGGCAGGAGAATCACTTGAACCTGGGAGGCAGAGGATTCAGTGAGCCGAGATCGCACCGTTGCACTCCAGCCTGGCGACAGAGCGAGACTCCGTCTCAAAATAAATAAATAAATAAATAAAATAAACAAATAAATATTCTTTATCTTTTATTCTTTTCCCAAATTATGTAAATTCTTTGTGCCATTTGTATGTACAGGAGCACTGCTTAGTTATCATAAAATTCCTTTAATTTACTGTACTAAGTTGCTTACATTTGAATGTATGTTCAAACTATTTAAATTGGACCGTGGACATTTAACATTTTCCCATGTAACAAACCAAACTACATGTTATTACGCTAACATTTTGTTTTGCTTCTGTATAATTAATTGGCATAATTCTACCACGTTATGAATTAATTTGATCTCCTATTTTAAATTTAGATCATGTTTACGTGCAATTCATAAAACATCAACCAGAAGCTTCTATGGCTGCAGAACAACACTTCCACTAATGAAAACTATAAAAGCCAGGTAAAATAATAATTTAACAAAACAGCTAGTTGAAGGCATTAGGGAGCAACCAAGGCAGGAAAGACATCGGGTTTTAACATCAGAGAGAGAAGAAAAAGCACGTTCACACGAAGGAAAGCCAGGTAAGATATTTTCTGCTGCCTTTCCCGTCCAGGCATTTGCTAATTTCAAAGACACAGTTGGCAAGAGTTATACATTTGTAATATGTAGATTTTTTCTTAATGTGTTTTTCCTTCAAAAATAACTTAAATATTGAGTATTTAGTCCACCTGAGTAGATTATATGCTGAGACAAATCATATTTAATTTTATTCCTTTGTCCTTTCTTTAGTATGATGAGTAGTTGCCTTAATTGATAGCTAAGTATTGAAACTCAACAGAGTTTGTGCACATGATCTTTATTCATCTGATGTTGAAGGCTTATTTGAGTAGATTTGTTTTTTCTACTTGCACAAATCTTTGTACCACTTATTAATTAACAAGCACAGTAGCATGTTCAATAATGCAGAATTTAGAGTTAGGGACCCTGGGGTTTAAATTACAGCTATTTCACACTTTAGCTTTGGAATAAAATAGGCAGGTTATTTAACTTAACCCATTTGTGTTTCAGTATTGTCTTTTGTAGATAGGAAAATGATACTTTCTACATAGTTGATTGTTACATAAATATGGCAATAACAAAGAAAGCAAAGTGATAACTTGTTCAAAATTATTTGCTATTTCTATTAATACTTTTTGAAAGATATCTTAAAATAATAAGACGGTTCTCAGTCATGAAAATGTATTTTTAACGTATAAAACATTTGTTTACTTATTTTACTGTAATGATAAGAAAAAACAAGCAAATATATTCCTAGCTATAAGAAACAATGACTATATTATTCATGTAATTTTCAAAATTAATTCAAAAGGCATAAAGACATTTTTTCAAAAATCACTTTACAATTGTAAGAAATAATTGTTAATGAAAATGAACCTCCTTCTTACATTATAAAAGAAGCATTTCTTTTTGACTGACAGATAATAAATCTAGAGAGAAAGTAGTAGATACAGTAGAGAATAAATTCCATAAAATTATATAGAAAAGCTGTTACAATATGCACAGTCATCTGTACTTAATAGCTACACCTAGGTTTGAATCTGTCATTAATCGGTTATTGAGCCTTGGTCAAATTACCCAAAGTAACTTCTATCATTATAGAATAACAGCTTAATAATAACATCCTGGTATACATCCTGTATTTGATAAATATAAGTTACTCAATAAATATTAACACAGTAATGTTACAAAAATTATACTTCTTGTTATTTTCAGTACTATATATAAAGTGTAATAAAAGTCTTAAGATCTTAAAATATTATAGTCTTTTTATAAAATTTTTAATTTTTAATTTTTGTGGGTATATAATAGGTGTATATATTTATGTGGTACATAAGATATTTTGATATAGGCATATAATGTGTAATAATCACATTAGGGTAAATGGTATATCCATCATCTATCTCATTAAGGATTTATCCTCTCTTTGTTTTACAAGTAACCAAAATATGCTATTTTGGTTATTTTAAAATGCACAATAATTTATTACTTACTGTAGTCATCTTGTTGTGCTATCAAATACTAGATCTTATGAATTCTATCTAACTATATTTTTGTACCTATTAATATTCTCCACTCCCCACCCCTGACTCCCACTCCCTACTACCCTTCTCAGCCTCTGGTAACCATCCTTCCACTTTCTATCTCCAAGCATTCAAATGTTTTAATTTTCAGCTCTCACAAATAAGTGAGAATACGTAAAGTTTGTCTTTCTGTGCCTGGCTTATTTCACTTAACATAGTGACCTCCAGTTTCAGGCATATTGTTGCAAATGACAGGATCTCATTGTTTTATATTCTTGTTTTGTTTCTTCAATAATGTACTTTGTACATGTTCTGCTTTGGAGAAATTTTTTTAAATTTAATGCACTTTTAATTTTTGGTGACAGTTTAATGCTGAAAAGATGTCTAAATTTCCAATTTTTCAAAGATTTAATAGACATATACAGAGTTTTCTAAATTTTGCCTACAATCCAAACAATTTGTAATGAAATTTCAAATTGTAACATTTCAAAAGAGTTCATTTAAACAAATAGACTTTCAAGGGGAAGGACTGGATTGATGTTCAAAATTGGCTAAAGAAAATGCTCTGTGATGTCATAGATTCATGCCATACAGATGCGTAGAGCATGCAGTTACACTGCGATGAATTGGACATCACCTTAAACTCATGGACACTCTTACCTTTTTAAAATTTCAATAGTTTCTGGGGAACAGGTAGTGTTTGGTTGCATGGAAAAGTTCTTCAGTGGTGATTTCTGAGATTTTGGTGCACCTGTCACCTGAGCAGCGTACAATGTACTTAATGTGTAGACTTTTATCTGTCAAGCCCCTCTCACCCATCCTCGTGAGTCCCCAAAGCCCATTATATCATTCTTATGCCTTTTTGTCTGCATAGCTTAACTCCCACTTATAGATGAGAACATACAATACTTGGTTTTCCATTCCTGAGTTACTTCACTTAGAATAATGGTCTCCAACTCCATCTAGGTTGCCATGAATGCCATTATTTTGTTCCTTTTTATGGCTAAGTAGTATTCCATGGTATACACACATACACACATCTATCTATCTATCTATCTATCTATCTATCTATCTATCTATCTATCACATTACCCACTTATTGGTTGATGGGCATTTAGGTTGGTTCCATACTTTTGCTATTGTGATTTGTGCTGCTATAAACGTGAATGTGCAAGTGTCTTTTCATATAATGATTTCTTTTCCTCTGGGTAAATACTCAGTGGTAGTATTGTGGAATTGCTGGATCAAATGGTAGTTCTACTTTTAGTTTTTAAGGAATCTTCATATTGTTTTCCAGAATGATTATACTAGTTTACATTCCCACCAGTAGTGTAAAAGTGTTCCCTTTTTACCACATCCATGCCAACATCTGCTATTTTTGATTTTTCAATTACAACCGTTCTTGCAGGAGTAAGATGGTATCTCATTGTGGTTTTTATTTTCATTTCCCTGATAATTAGTGATGTTGAGCATTTTTTGATGTTTGTTGGCCATTTGTATATCTTTTTTTGAGAATTGTCTCTTTATGTCCTTTGCTCATTTTTCTATGGGATTGTTTGGTCTTTTCTTGCTAATTTGTTTGAGTTCCTTATAGATTTTGGATATTAGTCCTTTGCCAGATGCATAGTTAGCAAACATTTTCTCCCACTGTATGTGTTGTCTGTTTATTCTGGTGATTATTTCTTTTGCTGTGCAGAAGCTTTTCAGTTTAATTTGGTCCCATCTATTTATCTTTCTTTTTGTTGCATTTGCTTTTTGGTTCTTGGTCATGACATCTTTGCCTAAGCTAATGTCTAGAAAAGATTTTTCGATGTTATCTTCTAGAATTTTTAAGGTTTCAGGTCTTAGATTTAAGTCTTTGATCCATTTTGAGTTGATTTTTGTAGAAAGTGAGAGATAAGAATCCAGCCTCATTCTTTTATATGTGCCTTGTCAATATTCCCAGCACCACTGGTTAAATAGGCTGTCCTTTTCCCACTTCATGTTTCTGTTGGCTTTGTCAAAGATCAGTTGATTGTAAGTACTTGACTTTATTTCTGGCTTTCCTATTCTGTTCCTTTGGTCTACTTGCGTATTTTTATACCAGTACCATGCTGTTTTTTTTAACTATAGCCTTGTAGTATAGTTTGAAGTCAGGTAATGTAATGCCTGCAGGTTTGTTCCTTTTGCTTAGTCTTGCTTTGACTATGCAGACTCTTTTTTGGTTCCATAGAAATTTTAGGTTTGTTTATTCCAGTTCTGTGAAGAATGATCATGGTATTATGACGGGAATTGAATAGAATTTGTAGAATGCTTTTGGAAGCATAGTCATTTTTGCAATATTGATTCTACCCATCCACGAGCATGGGATAAGTTTCCATTTGTTTGTGTCATCAATGATTTCCTTCAGCAGTGTTTTGTAGTTTTCCTTGTGGAGACCTTTCACCTCCTTTATTAGGTATATTTCTAACTTTTATTTATTTGGTGTTTTTTTTTTGGAGCTGTTGTAAAAGGGGTTGATTTCTTGATTCTTTAATTCTCATCAATCATTCTTTGATTCTCATCTTGGTCTTTGTTGTTGTATAGCAGTGCTACGATTTGTGTACATTGATTTTTGTATCCGGAAATTTAATGAGATTCTGCATTTAATGTTGCAGCTCAGTAGTTAAAAAGGTTCTAATAGTTTATTTGCTTGGTTAGCTGAAACATGGATCAAAAGAGGGCCCACTATGAGCGAGCTGGAATGCCTGATCTCCCTTGGTTTAATGTAGAGGAAGGGATCCAAAGGCTTAGGGAGATTGGAATGCTAGAGTGGATTAGTCACTTTAGACCTACTGATCCCAATCAAGAGGGTCCAGAGGACATATTCTTCATCAATATCTGGCAAAATAGATTTGTGAGGGGAGCACCTGAATCCCTGAGGAGCTCTGTGATTGTTCTTCTCTGTACACCAAATTTTACAGTGGGAACCTCATTCACTCAACTGGAAAAGTTAAATGCAATGGGAATATTCGATCCTGAAGTGGCAGGGTCCAAGTGGCAGCACTCAACTGTCAAAGGCAAGGTGGGTGTAATTACAATAAAGGACTGCAGAGGCAAGACAGCAATCAGAATAGTCTGACTACTGTAGGGCTCTGGAACTGGCTAATTAATCATGATGTTCCTAAAAGTGAAATCGACAGGAAGCCTACTACATTCTTACTTAATTTGTATAAGCAGAAAACTTCCAGGTCAAGTGGACAAAAAACTAATTCAAATTATAAAAATAGAGAATCATGACTCCTCAATCAATTTCCAGATTTGAACCAATTTACAGACCCAGGTCTCTTTGGGGAAGGACTTCACTACACTTCTGAGAATGTATACTGTTACTCTTTCTCCCATCCTTCCCCAAAAAGACTTCTGGACTTTTACCAGGGTAACTGTGTATTGGGGAAAGGAGAATGATCAGAACTTTTAGGTACTACTGGACACTGGCTCTGAGTTGACATTGATTCCAGGGGACCCAAAACATCATTGTGGTCCTCCAGTTAGAGTAGGAGCTTATGGAGGTAATTAATGGATTTTTAGCTCAGGTCTAACTTACAATGAATCCGATGGATGCCCGGACTCATCCTGTGGTCATTTTCCCTGTGCCAGTATGCAAAACTGAAATAGACATACTTAGCAGTTGGCAGAATCTTCACATTGGCTTTCTGATGGGTAGGGTGAGGGTTATTATGGTGGGAAAGGCCAAATGGAAGCCATTAGAGCTTCCTCTCCTAGAAAAATAGTAAATCAAAAACAATATATCCCTGCAGGGATTGCAGAAATTAGTGCCACCATCAAGGACTTGAAAGATGCAAAGGTGGTGATTCTCACCACATTCCCATTCAACTCTCCTATTTAGTCTGTGCAGAAGACAGATGGATCTTGGAGAATGACAGTGGAGTATCATAAGCTTAACCAAGTGGTGACTCCAATTGCAGCTGCTGTAGCAGAGGTTGTTTCACTGCTTGAGCAAATTAACACATCTCCTGGTACCTGGTATGCAGCCATTGATTTGACAAATGCCTTTTTCTCCATTCCTGTCCAAAAGGCCCATCAGAAGCAATTTTCCTTCAGCTGGCAAGGCCAGCAATATACCTTTACTGTCCTACCTCAGGAATATATCAACTCTCTTGCTTCGTGTCATAATCTTTTTCACAGAACTCTTCATCAGTTTTTCCTTCCACAAGATATCACACTGGTCCATTACATTGATGACCTTATGCTGATTGGATCCAGTGAGCAAAAAGTAGCAACCACATTAGACTTATTGGTGAGATACTTGCATGCCAGGGGGTGGAAAAAATATGACAAAAACTCAGAGACCTTCTACCTTTATGAAATTTCTAGAGGTCCAGTGGTGTAGAGCCTGTTGAGATATTTTTTCTAAGGTGAAGGATAAGTTGTTGCATTGGCCTGTCCTATAACCAAGAAAGAGGCACAATGCCTCGTGGGCCTATTTGGATTTTGGAGGCCACACATTTCTCATTTGAGTGTGTTAGTTCAACCCATTTATTGAATGGGGTCCAGAACAGTAGAAGGCTCTGCAATAGGTCCAGGCTACTGTGCAAGCTGCTCTGCCACTTGGCCCGTATGACCCAGCAGATCCAATGGTGCTTGAGGTGTCTGTGGCAGATAAGGATGCCATTTGGAGCTTTTGGCAGGCCACAATAGGTGAATCACAGTAGAGGCCTCTAGGATTTTTTTTTTCTTTCCACACGGAGTCCACTCTGTTGCCCAGGCTGGAGTGCAGTGGTATGATCTCGGCTCACTGCAACCTCCACCTCCTGGGTTCAAGCAATTCTCCTGCCTCAGCCTCCCAAGTAGTTGGGATTATAAGTGCGTGCCACCATGCCCAGCTAATTTTTATATTTTTAGTAGAGATGGGGTTTTACCATGTTGGCCAGGCTGGTCTCAAACTCCTGACCTCAAGTGATCCACCTGCCTCAGCATCCCAAAGTGCTGGGATTACAGGGTTGAACCACTGAGACAGGCTGGACTCTAGGATTTTGAAACAAGGCCCTACCATCTTCCGCAGATAAACTGCTCTCCTTTTGAGAGACAGCTCTTGGCCTGTTACTGGGCTTTAGTAGAAACTGAATGCTTAACTATAGGTCACCAAGTTACCATATGACCTAAACTGCGTATCATAAACTGGGTGCTTTCTGATCCATCTAGCCACAATGTTGGGTGCACAGCAGCATTTCTTCAAGTGGAAGTACTATATATGTGATTGGGCTCAAGCAGGTCCTGAAGGCACAAGTAAATTACATGAGGAAGTGGCTCAAAAGCCCATGGTCCTCACTGCTGCTACCCTGCCTTTTCTCTCTCAGCCTGCACTAATCACCTCATGGGGAGTTTCCTATGATCAACTGACAGAGGAAGAGAAGACTAAGGCCTGGTTTACAGATGGTTCTGCATGGTATGCAGGCACCACCTGAAAGTGGACAGCTATAGCACTACAGCCTCTTTTTAGGATATCCGGGGTTAAGGGAAATCTTCCCAGTGGGCAGAAATTTGAGCAGTGTACCTGGTTGTGTACTTTGCTTAGAAGGAGAAATGGCCAGATGTGTGATTATATGCAGACTTACGGGCTGTAACCAATGGTTTGGCTGGATGGCCAGGGACTTGGAAGAAGTATGACTGGAAAACTGATGACAAATACACCTGGGGAAGAGGTATATGGACAGACTTTTCTGAGTGGTCAAAAACTGTGAAGTATTTGTGTCCCATGTGAATGTTCACCAAAGGATGACCTCAGCAGAGGGGGATTTTTATAATCAAATGGATAACATGACTCGTGATATGGACACCACTCAGTCTCTTTCCCCAGCCACCCCTCTCATTGCCCAGTGGGCTCATGACCAAAGTGGCCATAGTGGCAGGGATGGAGGTTCCACATGGCATCAGCAACATAGACTTCCATTCACCAAGGCTGACCTGGTTATGGCCACTGCTGAGCGCCCAATTTGCTAGTAGCAGAGACCAACACTGAGTCCTGGATATGGCACCATTCCTTGGGGTGATCAGCCACCACTTGGTGGCAGGTTGATTATATTGGACCTCATCCATCATGTAAAGGGCAGCGGTTTGTCCTCACTGAAATAGACACTTACTTCTAGATATGGGTTTTCCTATCCTTCATGCAATGCTTCTGCCAAGACTACCTTTTGTGGACTCACAGAATGTCCTATTTGCCATCATTATATTCCACACATCATTACCTCTGACCCAGGCAATCACTTTATAGCTAGAGAAGTGCAGCAGTGGGCTCATGAAATTCACTGGTCTTGCCATGTTCCCCATCATCCCCTAGCAGCTGGATTGATGGAATTGTGGAATGGCTTTTTGAAGTCGCAATTACAATACCAACTAGGTGACAATACTTTTCAGGGCTGGAGCAAAGTTCTCCAGAAAGTGTGTATGCTCTCAGTCAGCATCCAATATATGTTACTGTTTCTCCCATAGCCAGGATCCACAGGTCCAGAAATCAAGGGGTGGAATTGGAAGTGGCACCACTCACCATCACCCCTAGTGATCCACTAGCAAAATATTTGCTTCCTGTTCCCACTACATTAGGTTCTGCTGACTTAGAGGTCTTAATTACAGAGGGAGGAATGCTGCCATGAGGAGACACAACAATGATTCCATTAAACTGGAAGTTAAAATTGCCACCTGGTCACTTTGGGCTTCTCCTACCTCTAGGTCAACAGGTTAAGGAGGGAGTTACAGTGTTGGCTGGGGTCATTGACCCAGAGTATAAAGATGAAATTAGCCTACTACTCCACAATGGAGGCACGGAAGAGTGTGCGTGGAATATAGCAGATCCCTTAGGGTATCTCTCAGTATTACCATGCCCTGTGATTAAGGTCAATGGGAAAGTACAACAACCTAATCCAGGCAGGACTGTGGATGACCCAGACCCCTCAGGAATGAAGGTTTTTGTCACTCTGCCAGGTAAAAAACCACAACCAGCTGAGGTGCTTGCTGAAAGCAAAGAGAATACAGAATGGGTAGTCGAAGAAGGTAGTTTTCAATACCAGCTGTGACCATGTGACTAGTTGCAGAACTGAAGACTGTGATTGTCATGAGTATTTCCTTCCTATTTTGTTAAGAATATGTTTGTGTATGTATATACTTGTACTGAGAAAATATCTTTATTATATTTGAATATATATGTATATATTTGAACCCATATATGCATATATATATGGGTTCAAGTTGATAAGGGGTGGACTCGTGATTGTTAATATTAGGTGTCAACTTGATTGGATTAAAGGATACCTAGATAGCTGGTAAAGTATTGTTTCTGGGTATGTCTGTGAGGGTGTTGCCAAAAGAGGTTAATATTTGTCAGTGAACTGCCGGGAGGAAGACTCAATCTCAGTGTGAGCAGGCACCATCCAATTGGCTGCCAGCATGGCTAGAACAAAGCAGGTGGAAGAAGGTGGGATAAGCTGGCTTGCTGAGTCTTCTGGCTTTAATCTGTCACCCTGGATGCTTCCTTGGACATCAGACTTTGGATTCTTTGCCTTTGGACTCTTGCACTGACACCAGTGGTTTGCTGGGGGCTCTCAGGCCTTTGGCCACAGACTGAAGCCTGCGTTAATGTCTTCCCTACTTTTTAGGCTTTTAGACTTGGACTGAGCCACTACTGGCTTCAAATGTCCTCATCTTGCAGACAGCCTATCACGGGACTTCACCTTGTGATCGTGTGAGTCAATTCTCCTTAATAAACTTTCCTGAATACATACATGTATCCTATTGGTTCTGTTTCTCTGGAGAACCCTGACTAATACAGTAGTTTCCTTTTGTTATGACATGTCCTGGTTTTTCTATTAGGGTGATACTGGCTTCATAGAATGATTTAGGGAGGATTCTCTTTTTCTCTATGTTTTGGAATACTTTCAGTAAGATTGGTATGAAATCTTTGAATGCCTGATAGAATTCAGCTGTGAATCTATCTGATCCTGGAATTTTTCTGCTTGGTATTTTTTTTTTTTTTTTTTTACTATTTCAATCTCACTACTTGTTATTGGTCTGTTCAGAGTTTCTACTGCTTCCTGATTTAATCTAGGAGGGTTGTATATTTCCAGGAATTTAACCATCTCCTCTAGATTTTCAAGTCTGTGTGCATAAAGGTGTTCACAGTAGCCTTGAATGATCTTCTGTATTTCTGTAGTATTGGTTGTAATATCTCCTGTTTTGTTTCTAAATGAGCTTATTTGTTTTCTTGGTTAATCTCAATAATGGTTGATCGATTTTGTTTATCTACTCAAGGAATCAGCTTTAAGTTTCATTTATCTTTTTTTGCTTGTTTGTTTATTTCAATTTCAATTAGTTCTACTCTAATCTTTGTTATTTATTTTCTTCTGCTGGGTTTGGGTTTGGTTTGTTCTTGTTTCTCTAGTTCCTCGAAGTGTGCTCTTAGATTGTCTATTTGTGCTCTTTCAGACTTTTTGATGTAGGCATTTAATGCTATGAACTTTCATGTTAGCTCTGCTTTGTTGTGTCCCAGAGATTTTGATAAGTTGCATCACTATTATCATCTAGTTCAAAGATTTTTTAAAATTTTTCATTATGATTTTATTGTTCACCCAAGGATCATTCAGGAGCAGATTATTTAATTTCCATGTATTTGTTTAATTTTGAAGGTTCTTTCTGTAGTTAATTTCCAGTTATATTGCACTGTGATCTGAGAGGGTACTTAATATAATTTTAGTTTTCTTAAATTTATCGAGACTTGTTTTGTGGCCTATCATATGGTCTGTCTTGGAGAATGTTCCATGTGCTGATGAAAAGAATGTATATTCCGCAGTTGTTGGGTAGAATGTTCTGTAAATATCTGTTAAGTCCATTTGTTCTAGGGTATAGTTTATGCTCATTGTTTCTTTGTTGACTCTCCATCTTGATGACCTATCTAGTGCTGTCAGTGGATTATTGAAGTCCCCCACTATTACTGTGTTGCCATCTATCTCGTTTCTTAGGTTTAGTAGTAATTGTTTTATAAATTTGGGAGCTCCAATGTGAGATGCATATATATTTAGGATTGCAATATTTTCCTGTTGGACTGATACTTTGATCATTATATAATGTATCTCTTTGTCTTTTTTAACTACTGTTTCTTTAAATCTGTTTTGTCTGATATAAGAATAGCTATTTCTGCTTGCTTTTGGTTTTCATTTCCATGGAATAATTTTTTCCACCCCTTTATCTTAAGTTTATGTGAGTCCTTATGTATTAGGTGAGTCTGTTGAAGAGATCAGATACTTGGTTGGTAAATTTTTATTCCTTCTGCTATTCTGTATCTTTTAAATGGAACATTTAGGCCATTTACATTAGGAGTTAGCATTGAGATGTGAGATAGTATTTTATTCATTCTGAATATCTTTTTTTTCCATTGTGTTATTGTTTTATAGGCCCCATGAGTTTTATGCTTAAAGGATGTTTTATTTTTATGTGTTTCAAGATTTTATTTTAAGGTTTAGAATTACTTTTAGCATTCCTTGTAATGCTGGCTTGGTAGTGGCAAATTCTCTCAGCATTTGTTTCTCTGAAAAAGACTGTATCTTCCTTTTATTTATAAAGTTTAGTTTTGCTTGATATAAATTTCTTGGATGACAATTATTTTGTTTGAGGAGGCTAATAAGAGAACATTAATCTCTTCTTTTTTATAGGGTTTCTGCTAAGAAATCTGCTGTTAATCTGATAGATTTTCCTTTATAGGTCATCTGATGCTTTTGCCTCACAGTTCTTAAAATTCTTTTGTTTGTTTTGACTTTAGATAAACTGATGACTGTATGCATAGATGATGATATGTTTGCAATGAATTTCCCAGGTGCTCTTTTGGCTTCTTGTATTTGGATGTCTAGATCTCTAGCAAGGCCAAGGAAGTTTTCTTCAATTATTCCATCAAACAAATTTTCCAAACTTTTAGATTTCTCATCTTCCTCAGGAACACCAATTATTCTTAGGTTTGATCATTTAACACAACCCCAAACTTCTTGGAGGCTTTGTTCTTTTTTTATTATTGTTTTTTCTTTGTCCTTGTCTGATGGAGTTAATTAATAAGCCTGTCTTTGAGCTCTGAAGTTCTTTTTTCTACTTGTTCTATTGTTGACACTTTCTAGTGCATTTTGTATTTCTGTGTTTCTTTTATTTCCAGAAGTTGTGATTTTTTTTTCTTTATAATACCTATTTCTCTGGGGAATTTTTAATCTATATGCTGTATTTTTCTTTTTAATTGCTTTAAGTTGATTTTCACCTTTTTCTAATATCTCCTTGAATAGGTCAAACTTTTGCATTCTTTATTTGGAAATTCATAGATTTCTTCTTGATTTGAATCCATTGCTTGAGAGCTAGTGTGGTCTTTTGGGGGTATCACAGAACCTTGTTTTGTTATATTACCAGAATTACTTTTCTGATTCCTTCTCATTTGGGTAGACTATTTTAGCGGAAAAATCTGGAACTCCAGGGCTGCTGTTCAGATTCTTTCATCCCATGGAGTGATCCCCTGATATGTGCACTCACCCTTCCTAAGGGATGGGGATTCCTGGGAACTGGAGTGCATTGAGTGTTAATGCTCTTCTGGGTCTAGCCACTCAGCAGGGCTACCAGGCTGGGCAGGTGCTGCAGAATGTCTGCCAAGAGTCCTGTGATGTGATCCATCTTCAGGTCTCCCAGGCATGGATACCAAGACCTGCTCTTGTGGAGGTGGCAGGGGAGTGAAGTAGACTCTGTGAGATTCCTTGGTTATAGATATGTTTAGTATGCTGGCTTTCTTGAATGCTGATTATGCTGGCAGTGATCTGAACAAACTCAGGGCCTCCGATTAGCCAGGATGACGCAGGCAGTGGAATTAGCTGTTGTTTTCTCTTTCCTTGGAGCAGGGTTATTCTGTCATGAGTTGCTGTAATGTCCTGAGTTGGTTGGCCTTCAGCCAGGAGGTGCAACTTTTAAGAGCACCAGCTGTGGTAGTAGAAGAGGGATATAAGCTTGCCTTAATTTGGCCAGGATAGGTATTCAGGTTTCTCAGGCAATGAGTGGAACCACAAAGCTCCGAAGAGTTTATCTCTATTGTAATTGACTACCAGTGTGGGTAGAAAATATCATCAGGTCAGGGCAGGGTTAGGTGGGTCTGAGCTCAGACTTTCCTTGGACGGGGCTTGCAGCAGCCACTGTGAGAGAGAAGGAGGTGGTTCTCTGGCTAATAGAGTTATGTTCCAGAGGGGATTATGGCTGCCTCTGTCACCAGGGGAGTGGGGAAAACCTGGTAGAGATAGGCCTCACCCAGCTCCTGCAATGTTGGAAAGGCTGGTCTTGCTCCCACCAAGGCTGTTAAGACCAGAGTTTATCTCCAAGCAGCTGTGCATAGAATCCAGACCTTTCCTCAGGATATAAGCTTCCCTGCTGAGAAAGCAAGAACAACTTTCAAGCCACACCTCCTCTCTATCCGCCCACAATGTAGACCATGGCTCCTGTGCTCCTTTCTGCAGTAGTTCTCCTTTGCCCTCCAAATTCTGTTCAAGAGACTTTGTGCCCAGTCAAAATTATTGCAAAGTTCAGCTGGAAGATTCTTTCACACTGTGACCTCTCCCAAATTTCACCGGCTGCCTTTGCTGAGGGCCCCTGTGAGATAGAGTCACGGATGGCTTTCCTGGGCTCAAGCTGGAGAATGGGAGTGTCTACAAGGCTCTTCGTGCTGCCACTTATACTTTTATATTTCACACTAAATCCATTTCAGCTCTAGATAAGGTTAAATCCTTCTCCAACAATCTGAATTTTCAGGTTTCCTAGCGGAGACGTGTGTTCAGAGGCAGGTTTTCCCCCTCTCACACTTTGGGAACTCACAGTTTTTTGTCTATCTCATGGAATTTGCAGCAGTGTGCCACTTCTTTCAAAGAGTCTATGAATTCTTTTGGTTTTTCTGGTATGTTCCTATGGTGGTTCTTGGAGCAAAAGTCTACAGTATGAGTCTCCACAGGCTGTTATGTTTGCCCAGGTGGGAGCTGAATGTTAGCCCTGCCTCCTCTCCACCATCCTCCTCCCACTCTGGATCTCATTGTTTTCTATGACTGAATAGGACTCCATTGTATTTAAGTACTATATTTTCTTTATCTATTCGTCTGTTGATGGACATGTAGGTTGCTTTCAAATTTCGACTATTGTGGATAGTGCTGCAATAAACATGGGAGTGGAGATATCTCTTCAAAATACTGATTTTTTTTCTTTTGGGTACATACCTAGCAGTAGCATTGCTAGATCATATAGTAGCTTTCTGTTTTGTTTTATGAGGAATTGCCAAACTGTTCTCCATAGTGGGTGTACTAATTTGATTCCTACCAACAGTGTAAAAGACTTCCCTTTTCTCCATATGCTTGCCAGTATTTATTTTTGACTTTCTTTTGGATAAAAGCCATTTTAACTTGGGTGAGACGATATCTCATTGTAGTCTTGATTTGCATTTCTCTGATGATCAATGATGTTGAGTACCTTTTCATATGCCTGCTTGCCATTTATATATGTTCTTTTAAGAAATACCTATTCAGATCTTTTGCCCGTTTTAAAATCAGATGATTAGATTTTTTTCCTATTAAGTTGTTTGAGCTTCCTATATATTCTGGTTATTAATTCCTTGTCATATGGGCAGTTTGAAAATATTTTCTTTTATTCTGTAGGTGTCTCTTCACTTCATGAATTGTTTCTTATTGTGGTGCAGAAGCTTTTAACTTGATGTGATCCTATTTGTCCATGTTTGCTTTGGGTGCCTGTGTTTGTGGGGCATTACTCAATAAATCTTTGCCTAGTTCAATGTCTTGGAGAGTTTCCTCAATGTTTTATTTATTTTTTATTTTTTATTTTTGTAGTTTCATAGTTTGAAGTCTTAGATTTAAGTCTTTAATCTACTTTTATTTGATTTTTGCATATAATGAGAGATAGGAGTTTATTTTTATTCTTCTGCATATGGACATCCAGTTTTTCCAGCATCATTTATTGAAGAGACTGTTCTTTTCCCAATGTATATTCTTGGCACCTTTGTTGAAAATTAGTTTGCTGCAAATGTATGAATCTATTTTTGTGGGTTCTGCAGTCTGTTCCATTGGTTATGTGTCTGTTTTTATGCCAGTGCCATGCTGTTTTGGTTACTATAGCTTCATAGTATAATTTGAAGTCTGGTAACATGATTATTCCAGTTTTGTTCTTTTTGCTCAAGACAGCTTTGGCTACTTTGCATCCTTTGTGGTTCCATATAAATTGTAGAATTTTTTTTTTCTATTTCTGTGAAGAGTGTCATTAGTATTTTGATAGGGATTGCATTCACTCTGTGGATTGCTTTAGGTAGTGTCAACATTTTAGCAATATTTATTCTTCCAACCCATCAATGTTCTTCTGCTTTTTCTGTTCAACTTATTGCATTAATGTATTACAATTTTCATTGTCAAAATCTTTCTCTTGTTTAGTTAATTCCTAGGTATTTCATTTTATTTGTAGCTTTTGTAATGAAATTACTTTCTTGGTACCTTTTTCAGATTTTTTGCTATTTGACACATGGAAATGCTACTAATTTTTGTATGTTGATTTTGTATCATGCAAGCTTACTAAATTTATCAGTTTTAATTTTTTGTGTGCAGTCTTTAGGTTTTTTAAACTAAAAGATCAAATAATCTGTAGACAGAATAATTTGATGACTTATTTTCCAATTTGGATGCCCTTTATTTCTTTCTCTTTCTGATCTAGCTAGGACTTAAAATGCTGTAGTCTTTTAAACATCAAGTAGATACCTATAAATGTAATCTATTTTTCAACATTTCAAATAATTTTTCATATGAAAAACTTATTTTTGATTTGTTACAATGAACATTATAAAGAAATCTAGGGACCCTTCAATCTAACTCTCTGGTACTATAGATAACCTAAGATGAATAGATATTAAGTATATTTTTCTGGATCACAAAGACTATTAATTACTGACAAGCGGAAGATTAAGTCTCACATCACCTCATTTCTATTCAGTGTTTTGGCCTTATAACTGGCTGTCTCTCTTAATTTATTCTCATCATTAGGAAAGAAAATGAGGTAGAGCTTTAAGATCAACAGTGCTTTAATATTGACTCTAAGTAAACTTCAGTTATGCTACAACTCACTACCATCATTTCAGTTTTAAATATTTATTTTTGCTTCATTTCTAGATTTTTATCAGCAGCAACCAGTATTTTTGTTTTGTTGTTTTGTATCCTTTTAAGATTTATTTACATTGTAATATAATTTCCTAAAAATGTTTTAATGCTCTTTATTGCCAACAGAGCTAACACAGAAGCAAAATATTTTCATATGTAATAGAGCTTTTCTTTCTCTAAAAGAATATTATAAAGGATCTCTGGTTTAACATGGCTGACTGAAAATATGCATGCATTTTTACTAATTCCTGTAAAGTACCCATAAATGTGTGCATGTGTAAGGCACTGACACTAGATGAGGAATGTCAACTAATTTTGTAAGATGAAAAATGAAAAAATGTGTGGACCAGTAGAATGTATTAGAAGAGGGAAAAGTCAACAAGAAGAAAGCCATTTGTACCACTAAACCCCCAACATATTCTTCAGTGAACAATGTCAATAGCTCTAAGATATTAACCAAGAAAAAGCATCTATCAACACTGGTATTTAGGCATACTCCTAATTACCTGCCTCTTTATTCAGAAACAATGCCTGTTTGTTATTATATAGGCTCTGTCTTTCTTTATCCATAGAGCTTATCATACTTTGTAAAGCCCTGTGTATACATATAAATTTATATCCAAAACTCAAATTTAGTTTGAGTAGTACCGTATCATAAACAGAGTCCTATACAAACAAAACCATGAACTTAGAGGAAATTATGAAAATGTAGGTAACAACAGATGATGTCAATAAAGCCTATAAGAACCTCTGTAGAGTTGAGAATAGACATGACATTTATGAAATAAGATCAAATTTTCATGAAATGGGATTATCTTAAGCATAAGAAATAACTTTTAGAAATTAAAACCATTAGATCATAAATAACAAATTTGAAAAAGCTTTTATAATCTTGGGTAAAAATGTAAAGTGTTAATATATAAGGAAAAATATGGCAGAATAGCAGGATTCATCTAGTTGGTCCAAGGTCTGGCTCATAGTAGTTCCAGAAATATGTAAGATAGAAAATATATGGGCAATAATTAGCAAAGAATGATACAATGCTTTGTGCAAAGTTAATGACATGAGTTTCCAACCTGAAAGAACTCACATAATATGAGCAAAATCAGTGATCAAGGAGCAAGATAAACATCAAATGCTGATGTCAAGAATAAAGACACAATGCTAAGGGTAAAGAGTAAAAGTGAAGGTAACAGCCAAAACCCCACTACCACCAAAACAGCAGCAAAAGCAGAATCTCTGTATAAAAAAATCAGTAGGTGATTTCTCAAGAGTAATATAGATATCTAAAGAAAATAGAATTATGCCCTTAAGTTGTGAAAGAAAAGTATTAACAACTAGAATTGTATATCTATCCAAGAAATAAAAAAGTTTGACAACATAAGAGAGACATTTTTAGATATTCAGAATCTAAAATAATTTATTTCTGTACATAAATATACTCCACCATCAAAAGGTGGAGAGGATATAGGATCTGATTTATTCTATAGTAAGAAATGACTGAATAACTTCAGCTAATGTTCAAAAAAGAAAAATCAAGACATAACAATATAACTTTATTTTTTAGAATTATGGACATTAACAATGAAAGAAAGATAGTGAGGAAATGTAAAGTGGTTATACATTTAAATCAAATGTGGAATTTGTCACATTTTTTCTTGATCAATATCCAGCTCCTTTTATCATCAATCACCTGTCCTCATGTTTACTTGATATCTGACAAATTTAACCACTCACAGGTAATTTTGAATTGCTTTCCTTTTTCTTCAAGCATCTTCCTCCTTATCCTTTACACAAAGCCTGGAAAACAGGGGAAACCATCCAGTTCAAAAACTGACAGGGAATCAAGAAAATATCACTAAAGCTTTAGAAAACATCACATAAAAATTTAATAAGATTGGGCAGACAGTTATACTCAACAGGTGAAACATGTGCTATCATAATAGAATAATGTAATATGTAGATTTCTGTTCTCTTCAGGTTGGAGATTGAATCCAACTCCTGTTTTAATTTAGGCACACTTGGATTCTGGCTTAGAATTGGATATGAACTCTGAATATAGATATTTACGCTGGTCATGTTGGTTTGTTTAGAGATGAGCTCTGCAAAGTCTGAATGCTGTTGCACATTTGCTGCCCCACTAAAAAGATAAAAAAAAATTTTAAAAACCACAATTGATCATCCAGAAAAGGGATAAGAAAACCTGATGTTCCTAGACGTTGAAGTGATCACCATTAGAAACATAACACATAACGGCCACTCCTCAATCAGCAGTTCGGATCTGGACTGATCATCTCCACAGATGACGATTATATATCCTCTAGTTCAGGATGACAAATGATCAGGGCTGAGTCTTTGGTCTGGGAAATTTTTGCTTAAGAGGACAAGAATAAGACTATAAACCCTCACTGTAATATTTAAGACAGTAATGAAACCAATTTATCTAACCAAATTGTTTGCTATCCGAGCAATTAAATATTAATCTAACAATTTTCTTACCAAGAATTACTTCAAGGTTTCTGTCTTAAAGAAGTCAAACAACCCTAAATGATTATGTGACAAAATTATCCAATCTCAAAAAGCAGTCCCCTTAAAAGACAACCAAAGCTCAGATTCAACAACCATGTAAACATTCATTCATAATTTGCCCTTTTTAAGACTCTTTCAAAGTAGAGTTCTTTCTTATTGTGGTACTTTTAATGAACTTAACTTTGCATTGTCAACAGATAGTACACTGGTTTTTGTAGGGAGCTGATATTTAGCAGGGATTTCTTTCATCAACTTACCAGACTGGTTAAAAAATCAAAGCCCACATATACCTGAGATACAAGCCATGAATGTACTTTTTTCTGCTTTTTTTTTTTTTTTTTTTTTTTGAGACGGAGTCTCGCCCAGGCTGGGGCGTAGTAGCACAATCTCGGCTCACTGGAAGCTCTGCCTCCCGGGTTCATGCCATTCTCCTGCCTCAGCCTCCCAAGTAGCTGGGACTACAGGCAACCGCCACCACGCCCGGGAATTTTTTGTATTTTTAGTAGAGACGGGGTTTTACTGTGTTAGCCAGGTTGGTCTTGATCTCCTGACCTTGTGATCCACCTGCCTCGGCCTCCCAAAGTGCTGGGATTACAGGCGTGAGCCACCACGCCCGGCCGAATGTACTTTTTTTTCTGATAAATAGCTTTTGATTCACTGAGAGTCATGGTAGACTGATGATGCTTTTGCTTTGCTTATAGAGAAAGTCGATTTGACCTCTTTACATTGTCTTAGTTTTAGTTCCTCATCTTCAGTGTGCTTGAACATTCTTGTCTTCAAGAAAAGAATATAGGTGTGAATACTCATTCCTTGTCCAATAATCCCTGTGATTTTATTGAAAAGTACTGTGTTTATTACTTTAGCTCTGACATTAGGAAGACTTTTGTTTCATTCATGTCTGTGGAAATCCTGAATAGTGCCTGGGATCTCATTGTACTCAATCATATTTGTTGAATTAATGAAAATATTAACTTATTAATGGTTTTTAACTTTCTATTCACTTCTGACAACCATGGATTCAATTTCTTTCACAGGCGAATATCTCTTTATAAAAAACTATGTATTGGCCCGGTGTGGTGGCTCATGCCTGTATTCCCAGCAGTTTGGGAGGCCAAGGTGGGTGTTTCACAAGGTAAGGAGTTCAAGACCAGCCTGGCCAAGATGGTGAGACCCCGAAAAATACAAAATAAATTAGCTGGGCGTGGTGGCACTATTTGCTATTTCCATGTATTTGTAGCCTGAGGGTTTCTGTTCTGATCTTGTTGGTCTTCTCATGTTATCAAACAGTATCTCATCCACTGCACCTAGTGAAAAATTGGGAAGGAAGGAGAAGAGAAAAATTTAAAGGACTAATTTAAACCTGAATGAACTGTTTAGATTTCTGAACAGTAATAAATTTTAGCCTTGATTTTATTAATTTTAGACATTCTGTTTGCTCCCCAAAACATGGTAGTGCTTATGAAGGAGATAAAATCAGCTATAGAGAAGTAAGAGTTGCATTTCTTTTATAAAATGAACTTTATTAAAGCATAACTGATGAGTGAAATTGTATGTATTCATGGTGTAAAATGTGATGTTTTGATATATATGTATAGACACTGTGGAATGACTAAACCAAGCTAAATCATATATCCATCACCTCACATACTTTTTTTTTTTGTAGTGATAACATTTAAGATCTACTTTTTTGGCAATTTCAAGTATACAATGCATTGTTATTAATTGTAGTTTTTGGACTATACGATAGATACAATATTTGGTATTAATAATACCAAAACTTATTAATCTTGTGTAACAGAGACATTGTACCATTTGACCAATATCTCCCCATTCCACTCTCACCCTAATCTCTGGCAACTACCAGTCTACGCTGCTCTATGAGTTTGAGTTTTTTCAGTTCCACATTTAAGAGAGATCAGGCAGTACATTCTTTTTTTACAACACCGTAGTCATGTTAGTAAATTAGTGACTCAACATTGTATGCCTTTTTCAGAGGCTTCCTCAGATTCATTTTTGTGCATCAGAAATCTTGTTATAAGCGCTGTGTTCATTTTATATGTATTATAACTAGGATTTTTTTTTCTTTCAGAACATTTTAAAATATATCTCTTATCAGTGAGTCTGGGGCATAGAGGAAATTGTTTGCCGTTCCTCAGGCAGGACACTTTTTCTTTTTTCTTACCCTCTGCATTCCTTCTTCCTAACTAGAGAAGTGTTTTCTCCTATAAGAACATATCAATTTAGTGCTATGATAGGAAAGTATTTGTAAGAGGAAGATATTTATCTGATAAATGTTCCACTTTGAAACATCTGAATAAACAAATGGTACTAACTTAGGAGGACCTTGCTTACAAGGACCCATGGTCTTGCCATTGGTTAGTGGACTCTAGCCTTGATCACAAAAAGTGCCAGCAAGACTGATCCAGGACTTTAAAAGATGGAAAGCTGTAGAAAAAGATGATGGGAAAGATTCTAGGAAAAAGAATAGTAAATTCAGTGCCTATCTAAAATTGACCTTTTGAAATATAACTCATTTTTTAAAAAATCCTTTGGTGTTCTAAATATGTTTATGATAAACTATAATTATTTTATTGTACCTACACATTTTTTGAGATGCTGGATTAATGCTTCAATTCAAAATGTGGGAACTTACTATGTATTTAATATGACATTAATGTTTAGTCCCATCTTCTCTGTTCTATGCACCCTTTCCAAAAAAATGTGACTTCATGATTTACTCATTATCTGGAGTAAATGGTGAGAGTTCCGCTAAAATATATGGTGGATTGTTTTAGTTGACTTTCTAAAGTTTAAATTATAGTAATATGGAGAAATAAATTGGGAATGTTGAAAATAAGTAAGACAGTATGTTGAGTTGACTTGTAAAAATGATTAGGAAAAAGAGGACGTGAGGGAAAATAATTAAAAATTCTAAATCTGGAACCACACAATGTTGTGGTTTAATATGAAGTTAGTTAAAACTGATGCAATCACTCATACCTAAAAAAAAAGTGTTTCTATTTATTGTCTTTTTATTTTCAGGATACTTTGTAATTATAATAATTTAAAATGTCAACTATAGTTCAGTAGTTATAATTTAGCTGATTTCACCTAAAAGTACTTAAACTAATTTCACATATAGCCCAAATATGCCAATATTGTTACATTTCTTATAATCAAAAAAGTTAAGTGCTTAGTTACCCTTCACATATATGCAGTTGAAATTAATTTACAAATTGATTTCCTGATTTTTAGCAGTAAAACCAATGTACAGTATATCCAATCAAGTTTGTTTTATAGGGCTAAATCATCAAATATGCTGTTGCTTATCCAAAAACCAAATTGAGAGATGGCTAAAAGTTTGGCTTCCCCTAATAATTTAAATTATTTGTGTCACCTATATTTCAATAAAAAGGAGAATTCTGAGATCCATGACGACACACCACTGCTTCTTTAATGCATTGATGTAACAAGCTGCTGAACAATTATAGCTTCAGATTATACTTTGAAAGAATATGAAACTCATTCAATAGAAATAGCTTTTGGTTTTATGCTGAGCATGGCTTTAACATTTTTTTTTCATACTTCCAGATTCCAAGAAGAAAAAATTTCATTTGAATTTCTCTCTGTTTCTGTCTACTTTCTTGGTAAGTAGCTAGACCAAGGAATGGTTTGGGAAAATGCATAATCTCTCCATAATCTCCGTAAACTAACTATGTCAAAGTTGCTTGAAATCAAATAGGCAGATAGATTTCACCTAGACATGTCCAAAAAAGAAATTCTTTGAGGTCCTATTGCTCTTGGCTATTATCCATACTCCACTAACCCATGTCTTTGTGTTCCTGGACAGAACCGAGGGTCAGGCTGCTTGTTCTCACAGCCTAATAATGAGAAGCAGATGCCTGGGAAAGAAGAGAGTTTATTTCTGTAGCCAGGTACAGAGAGAAGGCTGGGAAAATATCACTAGATCAACTCAAAATTACAAAGTTTTCCAGAGCTTATAGACCTTCTAAGCTATATGTCTATGTGTAAGTGTGCATTCATCTAAAGACGGAAGTGATTAACTTCTGATCTATAACTAAGGCTGAGTCCTGAAAGCCTTCCTCCGGAGCCTCAGTCAATTTGCTTATCTAGATGGGCCCAGGTGCTGGGGTGATTACCCTTATCTTGTCTCTTCTAAATCATGGAGGTTTGGGGAGTTCCTTTAGACTCCCAATAAAACTTGTTCGTGGAGGTCTGGGGAGTTTCTTCAGACCCCCAATAAAACTTGTTTAATCCTAAACGGGTCCTGTTAAGAATTCCTTCATTATCTTGTCATGCTTCAAGGCCCAGGCAAAACTCTTAGTGGACTTTTTCTACATTCCAGCCTTTATATGAGGGCTCTGGCTCTATCAGCTTTTAATATTTAACTTAACCACTCAGTGCTGAAACAGTTGTCATGGAGGCCTGTCTGTTCAGCTGTTAGTGAGACCTGGCTTGCCACATTAGTCTCCAAAATAAATTTGTATTTATTGATTAAAATATGTATAAATTGTTCCTTAGCTACATAAATATAAGAAGTCATAACTTTCAGCAACAAGGATGTATATAATATTCTTTGGGCTCCATCCTTCATCTAAGGTTGGGTTAATTTCATTCTTTCTCTATAGAAATACTCTGAAGTTAAATTTTTCCAATGTCTCAATAGACACATTCCTATAACAACATTAATATTTTAAATGAAAAACATTATGAATAAATTTTGAAATTTGATAATAAAATTAGCCTAATGATTTCTTATTTATATGTCACAACCATTTAGCAAAATGATTTCACAGTAATTGAGGTTTTTAAGGCTAAGAAAGCAAGTAAAAAGAAACAGGCATATTAAAAGGCCTTATGCTAAAAGTTATTAATATGAATTATGATACTATATTAGCATGTTATCAGGAGAATAATTAATTTTCACCTGTCATTTCAATACAATCGTGTATAAATAAAATTATTATAAACTCAGTTATATAAAACATCCATTTAGATAATATAGAATTCAAATGTTATAGTAACATTAGCACTATAAAAATTATGATAAATATTAATACAATTATTAATTATAAATATTTTAATTGGGGTTTATTTTTATTAAAACCAATTATGAAAAATTCTTCTCTACATTCAATTTTTACAAAATTAAGATAAAACAGGAAAAAATGCACATAATTTAGAAAATGGCCATGATAAACCTTTTAAGATGTAGTATGTTATAGTTTAACACCATCCAAACAAAAACAACAAGAAAGATGTAGTATTTAGTAACGATGGTGAATAAAACATAATAAAATCTCTTCTTTTCTGGAAAACAAGTTAAAATATACTTGTTACAATTTTTTAAAAAATTGAATAAATAGTCTTGAGCGCAAAATAGGTGCCAGGAAGAGAGAGAGAGTTCACTGAAAGATGAGACCTTTCATGCTGTCCATGGAAGTTTGATGATATTCAAGACCTTAGGGAGGTGTTGGGGCCTTATCTATTGGGGTCCAGTTCAAAAGGCTGAAACCACATTCATAATTGAACATAGGAGATGTAATGAAATAATTATTAAGTTGATAAAAGGTATTCATTATAAATAGGGGTAAAGAAAACACGTAATACAGTAATAGCAAAACTAAGAGATGTCAGCAAGCTGGGAGACCTCAATATTAAGTGATGTACTAAATCATCCCCCACCCACAGTTAGTGCGTATCACTCTGAAAAGCAGACTTGCCCAGGTATGGAAATAGGGCTCAAAGACACACATCTAATAGGTTCAGAACATTGCCAGTATTCATGTAGTGTATATATTTTTTTCCTATGCCCTTTGCTAAAACAAGTCATTTGGTGCTAAACTTGTGTTTTCTGTGAACCTAATTGTCTACGTGGACCTTTGTGATCATGCAACAATAGGTATGTGTGTGCACACACACAAACACACACACAAAGAGCAAGTGATAGAATATTATATATATATTATCATACAAATCTAATCCTACTTTCGTAAAAATAAAAACGATAAAGCAGAAACAATCTGTATTTATTTATCTGTGCATGCATGTGTGTGCATTGTGTTCCTAAAGTTTGATAAAACCTTGTTTATGATGAGGTGAGAGACCTAGCTTTGCTAACAACAGTGAAGGAGAAATACACATCTACTTATAATTTTACTGTAAAAAACATCTGTTCATTTTGTAAAACAGCAGCTCTATTTAAAAAAATCATATTATGATGGATATATGTAATTTTGCATTTTCCAAAATCTATAGAATAAACAAAGAATAAACCCCAATATAAATTATGTACTGTAGTTAATAGTGATATCTTAATATTGGTTCATTAATTGTCATAAATGTTCCACACAAATAAATAAACTGTGAACTCTGTGCAGGGGAGAAGGGTGTGTATGAGGATTCTCTGTCTTTTCCACCCCATTTTTTGTAAATCTAAAACTGCTCTAAAAAAACTATATTAATTACAAAACAGTCAATATGAAAAATAATGGAAAATAATTATGGTATATAATTTTTTAAAGTTGTTATATCAGTAGACCAGAAATGCTGTTGAGATTTTGGAAAAGACAAGGCAGGTAGTATTAAAAAACAGTAGAGAAGACACGAATCTAAGACAAACCAAAGTGCATCGTTTCCCAAAAGAGTCATCAGAGAGCTCCAAACCTAGCATAAATTACACTAAGATCTGGGAAGGGTGTGGGTAGGAGAACTGTATTTGTAAATTGCTGCAGATGCCAGCCTATGCTTTTCCTCCACAGAACTTACAGCTGGGAGTGATAGCCTCTGCTCTTAGGTGAAATCTGGGACTTTTTTTGTGGAAGAAATTTCACTCTGCCTAAGAAGAAGTGTAAGGAAGAGTATTAGTTCCTGTGTAGAGAAACAGAGAATCTTAGGGTCTCAGGAACTGAGGGAAGTGTAGAGAAGGAGGAAGGAGAGAGAGAATCAATTTTTCCCCCAAAGTGAAATAAGCTAATGTTCTCCCCTAGATTTATCTTTGTCACAGTAGTTTGGGGGAGTTTGCTTCCTCATGTCAAATCCACGCTCTCTCTAGAGTAGCTGGTCTATCATCTGGCAGAGAAGCCAATTAGGGAAATATACTTAACACAACTAGAGAGGTAAGTTGCACCAGACATCTATACTAAATAAGGGAACCTTGCTTTCATAAATTTGAATAGAAAAACAGAAAGTAACACAAGCAACAGATAGTTTAAAGAAAAACAAAATGAACAAAAACACTCAGATGACCAAAGAGAACTGACTTTAAGGAAATTGACATTATTAGAGGACTAGAAAATAACTTAAAAGTTATGTTAGTATTCCTAGAGGATTGAGAGAGTATTTTATACACAGCATGCAGAGGTTAATATAAAGATGAACAAAATGAAAGAAGGAAGAGTTTTTGGAAAATTAGGCTGTGACTATTGATATAAAAAATCTACTGGATAAATGAACAAAACTATATTAAACTTGGAATGTGAAATGAGAGGGGTGAACATTGAACACAGATCTAAGTGTATATAGGAAACCAGTTGATTATTTACTGAAAATTAAATGTAATATAAATCTAGAAAGCATTATATTTGTATGCCAAATTTTCATAAAAAAATAGAACAGATCAAATGGAGTTGACAAAGAAAAAAATACAAGAAAAATTCACAAAGCTAAAGATAGTAATCCTTTGATTGAAAGTATCAACCCACATGATAAAGAACAAGAACTCCCAGAGACTCAACTTTGTAAAGTTTCAGAACCAAACAATAGGGAGCAAAAGCTAAAATATTTTGGCAGATATTTTGTAATGTTTTTATTTCAAGCATTTAAACATTAAGTAGTAAACAAAACTTGTTATATCTGGAAAGAAAGAATAAAGATAAACGCGAGAAATTTTCCTATTTTATATTCTCTTCTAAAGCTCTTTGAATTTTTGTATTTTTCTTGGCTTTGTGCATGCATGATTTTTATTATTTTAAAAACCTGTTATAAAAATCAAGTGCATGATATACTACTATTTCATTACCGTGATTTTTTTATTCCTACAAATTTTACTGGGCTTTACAAAATTGTGTCTAATTCAAGTTCGCATCTTTTGCTAAAATAATATTGGGTAATATTTATAGCAGACTCTGTGCTCAGGCTGATCCTAACCATTTTGAATGGCTTCTGAGGACTTCCAGCACCTACCTCTCTGGAGCAGAGGGTCTTTTCCTGGAATTTAGCTGCTGAAGAACTGTGTTAGTCTGTTCTTATGGTAAATTAACACCTCCTGGTAGCAGCCCTCAGCAAATGACTCCAGAGAATTGGTGATTGCCTTGTATGCAGTTTCATGGTATGTGGTAATATGGGGGTTAATATTTCATCCCTGGCTGTCTTCATTTCCAGGTACCATTTCCCTGTTCCCCTAATTGAACTTCCTATATTAACTAGGACTATTTGTATCTTTGCCTCAGGGTCTTCTTTTGGAAGATCACAAACTAGACCAGGTCTGATTTTAGAAAACTTAATACAGATTTTTTTCAATTTATTTTTGATGGCAATGAGGCAGTAATTTATTTTTCAATAACTATTCAAAATATTCTCTAATTTTTTGCCCAAGAAACATCCCATTAGTTTTATCTTCTTTGTTTTGCTTGCAAGCTGTCAATTATGGCAAAGTTTTCCTTACAAAATTAGAATATAAGTAACGAAATTTTTAAACATCTTATATCTTAGTCACTTACAATTAAATAATACATATACTTGCATTTGAAGCCATAATTTTTCATAACAGAACTAATAAAATGGGCTTAGTATTTCTATCAAAATAGTATATTCATAATGTTTCTGATCAGATAAATATATACTAAACTTACAAGTAGCATGAGTTAAATAAATTACTTGTTTTGATTATAAATGGAATACAACAAAATTACATATAAAATGTCTAAAGTATTGAAAAACAAAATTTTAACATACGTAGTATTTCGCTGTATTATAACACGTAAAAATCATCAATTTTACGTGCACTACAATTTATCCCATTGAGACTAACTGTACACACATAAGTTGCTTTTATTTATAAGTTTAACAGAGTCTGAATTTATTCATGAATATATTAAACCATATTTACAATTTGAAACTGACAAAAAGACTCATTTATCGAAGAAAAAATGAAGATGACTTAACCCAAATATCTATAGTTGCTAATAGAAGACTGTCTTTCCTTCAAAACTATCATCAAGCTATGTTTAGATGTTTGTCTCTTTAATAATACTTATAGAGCTATTTTAATTACAACATTCAAATTTTTTTCAATTTAAAGAAAAGATACTGTATTTTACTTTTAAATGTTGATACCTGCATAATTTTTCTGGTATTCAGAAAAATATGTATAAAACTTTAACGAGAATTAAAAAGATTTTACATGGGTAGAAAAGTAGTCTAAATTCCTGGATCTTTTCTCTGTAAGGGGCATCACAGCCTTTTTGCACTTGGAAATGTTGGACAGCACTTCAGTACTGCTTTTGGGAGACATTTTAAACAGCAAAATCACCAACAAAAAGAACGAAGATGCAAAAACATGGCACAAAATAAACCATGAGGTTTACGATACTTGTTTATCATATGGGAGATAAAACAAGAAGGCAGAGTGTCTCCTATTACCTCAGCTGGGAATGCGTGTTGACAGTGATCTAAAATTTTCACCACTCTGCACATGTCTGCAAATAACTGCAAAAGTGCCACAAGTATAGATTTTTAGGTTACAAATTAATTTTAGAAGAGTAGGCAAATTCACAAATATGAAATCTTCAAATAATGAGGATTGACTCTATGTATGTTTGTGTGTATTTGTGTATGTGTGTGTGTGGCTAACTAGGTTCTAGAGTAATGTTTGCTTTCCATCTTTAAAAAAATTCTGTAATATACATAGTCACCTCAAATGTGAATTTCCTGTTTTTCCATGTCAGAAACAAGGGAATAACAGGCAAGTTTATATGGTTCTAATAAATATTTATATTTTAATTTTTATAAAAGGAAAAATCAAACTACATAATTAATTCAAAAGGAGAAAAATTTTAACAATTGTACCCATTAACTGAATATCATACTTGTATACTATCAAATATAGAACCCATTACAATCTTTGTGTAATTTCTCTCCCATTAATTAGATTACTGACAAGATAATCAGTAAACATTACACTTTTTATAATTATATTTACCTTTATAAACATGATACATGGTCAACAAAATAAACATTCAAATTCAACAGAAAAGTAATTCAGAATTTAACTTAAATCCTCCTAGAAGTCCAATTTTGAAGGCTTATTTTTTATTTTTATCCATCAGAAAATAATATGTATTTTGGATTTTTTTTTTTTTTTTTTTTTGAGACGGAGTCTTGCTCTGTTGCCCAGGCTGGAGTGCAGTGGCGGGATCTCGGCTCACTGCAAGCTCCGCCTCCCGGGTTCACGCCATTCTCCTGCCTCAGCCTCCCAAGTAGCTGGGACTACAGGCGCCCACCACCACGCCCGGCTAATTTTTTGTATTTTTAGTAGAGACGGGGTTTCACCGTTTTAGCCGGGATGGTCTCGATCTCCTGACCTCGTGATCCGCCCGCCTCGGCCTCCCAAAGTGCTGGGACTACAGGCGTGAGCCACCGCGCCCGGCCGGATTTTTTTGATTAAACAAAATTAAGCTGTTTTAAATTCTAAAATATAGCATACATTCATGAAGCTACATAAGACATGCATTACAATTTAACAAATACATTATAACAACTAGGTGTTTTTCCAGTGTTTTTATAAGGTTTGCATGTATCTACTCCCAAGTCCAAGGCTGAAAAATACACTATTGTAATACCCAAGCAGTTTCACTGGTAGATATGTAGCAACAACTGTAATTTTAATTTTTTTCTTATTGTTATGATTACAAATGAAACTCAGAACTTTTTTGTACTATTATTATTGATTTTGTGATGTGTACGATTAAGTCTTTTCCCTATCTTTTCATTTCTTGTTTATTCTAAGTAAGTTATTCTCTATATATTCTGGATTCAGGACATTCAACAGTTTTATGAGTTATAAGTACCTTCCCTCATTCACTTTTTTAAGGTATTGTTTGAGGAAATAGAGTTCCTATTTTGATAGAATTAAATTTATAAACCATATCTTTGTTGACAGTGTCTTTTGTATTCTAAATAAGAGATATTTACCTTCCCAAGGTCTTGATGATATTTCTATAATTCTTTCCTGGAAATGTATTGTTTTATCTATCGTAATACATCTAATATTCACTGAAAATTGGGTTTGTTATATTATGGTGTGAGGTACAGACTAAAATTCATGTTTTTCATATAGGGGAAAATTTATCTTGGCACCATTTATTGAAAATATTCTCATATCCTTCCAATTTTTTACATATATCTGACATTTTTGAAATATCTGCTATTCATGTCTACATGAATTTTTTCCTTAAATCTCTAAATGATTTTGTCTTCCTATTTGTGTATTACTTCATTATTACCACAATACTTGCAAAGTTTAGATTTATAAGAAGTTCAGATGTCTGTATGGACAAAATTTCTACCTTGCACTTCTTTTATCTTTAATAGAGTTTTAAAAATGTTTGCTATTCTTATTCCTTTGCCTATCCATTTAATTTAATTTGATTTTACAGTTTTGTTTTTAATTTATAAATTATAATCATATATATTATAGTCTAAGATGTATTGTTATGATACATGTGTACATTCTGGAATGGTGAATCAGGCTAACATATCCAGCACCTTAACAGAGTTATCGTTTCTTTCTGTGTGAAAATACTTGAAATCTACTCTTATAGCAATTTTGAAGTATACAATACATTATTATTATTAACTACAGTCACTATGCTGTGCAATAGATCACTAGAATATATTCCTCCTAACTGAAACATTGTACCCTTTTGACTAATAACACCTTTTTCTGCATATTGCTGTCCCTCATTAGCCTTCTGCAATGAATATTTTACTCTCTACTTCTATGAGTTCTACTTTGTTAGATTCCACATATAAGTGAGATCATGCAATATTTGTCTTTCTGTGTGTGGGTTATTTCACTTAGCATAATGTTTTCTAGATTCATCTATGTTGTAGAAAATGACAGAATTTTCTTCTTTTTTAATGCTAAAAGTATAGCATTGTGGGAATACCACATTTTTAGAAATTCATTCATCTGTCGATGGGCCCTTAGGCTATCTCTATATCTTGACTACTATGAATAATGCTGCAATTAACACAAGAGTGCAGAAATCTCTTTAACATACAGACTAAATTTCTGTTGGCTACTCAAAAGTAGGAATGTTGGGTTATGTGGTAAATATGTATTTAGTTTTTTTAGTAACCTCTATACTGTTTTCCAAAATGGCTGTTTACATTACATTCTCACCAACAACATATAAGGGTTTTCTGTTCTCTACATTCTAGCCTATACATTATTTATCATCTTTTTGATCATAGCTATTCTAAAAAGTATGAGGTGATAGCTCATTGTGGTTTTAATTTGTATTTTTAAATTATTAGTGATGTTGAATACTTTTTCCATTTATGTGTTGTCTATTTGTGTGTTTTCTTTTAAGTATTCATGTCCTTTGCCCTCTCTGAATAAGGTTATTTGTTTTCTTGTAATTGAGTTGTTTGAGTTCTTTAGGTATTTTGGATATTAACGCCTGACAAGATATATGGTTTGTAAATGTTTTTTCAAATCTATGAGTTGTCTGTTCACTCTGTTAATTGTTTTCTTTGTTATGCAGAAGTTTTTTAACTTTATGTAATCGCAATTGTCCATTTTTGCTTTTATGACCTATGTGGCTAGAGTCATATTGGGGAAATTATTGCCTAGACCAATGTCATAGAGCTTCTCTCTTATATTGTCTTCCAGTAGTTTCACTGTTTTAAGGCTTATGTTAAAGTTTTTAATCCATTTTGAGTTGATTCTTGTATATAGGGTGTATTTGTCTCTTCTCACACTGCTAATAAAGACATATCTGAGACTGGGTAATTTATAAAGGAAAGAGGTGTAACAGACTCACAGTTCCACATGGCTTGGGAGGCCTCACAATCATGGCTGAAGGTGAATGAGGAACAAAGTCACGTCTTACATGACGACAGGCAAGAGAGCATGTACAGGGGAACTCCTCTTTATAAAACCATCAGATCTCATGAGACTTATTCACTATCATGAGAACAGCATGGGAAAGACCTGCCTGCATGATTAAATTACCTCCCACCAGGTCCTTTTCATGACATGTGGGGATTATGGGAGCTACAATTCAAGATGAGATTTGGGTGGGAACACAGCCAAACAATATCACAGGGTAAGATGAAGGTCCAATGTCATTTTTCTATATGTGGATTTCCAGTTGTCCCAATACCATTTATTGAAGGAATGTGCTTTCCCCATTGTGGGGATGTTGGCAACTTTGTCAAAAATCAGTTGATTGTAAATATATGGGCTTATTCTGAGCTCACTATCCTATTCCATTGAACAACATTTCTGTTTCTATGCCAGTACCATGCTGCTTTGATTAGTATAGCTTTGTAGGATAGTTTGAAGTCACATTGTGTGATGCCTCCAGCTTTTTGTTCTTTTTGGTCAAGACTGCTTTGGCAGTTCAGAGTCTTTTGAGAGTCTATACAAATTTTAGTATTGTTTTTTCTATTTCTGTGGGGAATGACATTGAAATTTTGATGGGAATTGCATTATTTTGGGCAGTATCAACATTTTGGCAGTATTTTTTTCAACTCATGAATACAAAATGTGTTTTTATTTATTTGTGCCATTTTTAATTTGTTTCATCAATATTTTATAGTTTTCAGCATACAGAATTTTTAGGTCCTTGGTAAATTTACTTGTAAGTATTTTTTGATGCTATCGTAAATGATATTATTTTCTGTATTTCTGTTTTATATAGTTCATTGTTGTATATAGAAATGCTACTGATTTTTGCATGTTGATCTTGTGGTCTGCAATTTTATTAAATTAATGTGTCAATTCTAATAAATCTAATCTTAACACAGTTAAGAAAATTAAAATCATATCAAGTATCATTTTTTGACAACAATGGTATAAAACTAGAAATCAATATCAAGAAGAATTATAAAACATTGATAAATATGTGGACATTAAACAATTAAAAGGGAAATTTAAATGTATATATATGTATGTGTATGTTTTTGTGTATGTGTGTATGTATCTTGAGTTTGATACAAATGGAAACATAAATTACCAAAATTTAAGAGACACAGTAAAAACAGTAAAGAGGAAATTTTATAGCATTAAATAACTACCTCTCAAAAGAAGAAAGATCATAAACCACGAATGTTACACCTCAAGGAACTAGAAAAAGAAAAATCTAAACCCATAGTTAGTTAGCAGTGGGATGAAAACAACAAAAAATCAGAGAAGAAATCAATAAAATAGAGACTAGAAAAATAATTTAAAGCTGCTGTATGGTGGCTTATGCCGTAATCCCAGCACTTTGTGAGGCTGAGGCAGTAGGATCCCTCGAGCCTAGGAGTTCAAGACCAGCCTGGGCAACACAGAAGGACCCCATCTCTATAAAAAAAATAATAATAATAAAAAGTAAAAAATTAGCTGGGGAGGCAGAGAAAGATGGTGGAATAGAGGGCTCCACCAATTATTCCCCACACTGCAAGGACAGGACACCAATTTAACAACTATCTACATAGAAAAAACAACTTCATAAGAACCAAAAATCTATTGAGCACTTGTAGTAACTGGTTTTAACTTCATATAACTGAAAGAGGCACTGAGGAGATAGAATACTGAATTGCCAACACCACCCCTCTTCCACCCTGAGCAGAAGTGGCCTGGTGTGGAGAGCATCTCTGTGCTCTGGAGGAGGGAGAACAAAGAAATTGTGAGGCACTGAACTCAGCGCTGTCGTGTTAGAGCAGAAAAAAAAAAAAACTTGTACCAAACTCTGCTGACACCCACTCACAGAAGGAACATTTAAACCAGCCCTAGCCAGAGGGGAGCCACCAATCCCAGCAGTCAGAACTTGAGTTCTGCAAACCTTGCCACCAAGGTTTATAGTGTCTCCAAGTAAACTTGAAAGTCAATCTAGGCCATAAGGAATGCAACCCCTGGGCCAGTCCTAGTGCTTAAGTAGGCCCAGAGACAGTGGATTAGAGAGGCATGTGACCTACTGAGACATCAGCTGGGATGGCTGTGGTATTACTGGTGTAACCCCTACCCTAACCCCAGGCTGCCCAGCTTATGACTCCAAAAGAGATCCCTGCCTTCCCCTTGACGACAAGATACAGAAGGGTCAGAGGGAGCTTGTCTTGCATCACAGATACCAGCTCAGCCACAGCAGGATAGGGCACCAGTCAGCATCATGAGGCCATCATTCCAGTCCATAGCTTCTGGATGACATTTCTAAACAGACTGTGGGCTAGAAGGCAACCCACTTCCTTAAAGGAAAGAACCCAGTCCTGGCAGCATTGAACACTTGCTAACTAAAGAGCCATTGGGCCCTGAGTAACAAGTAATGATACCCAGGCACTATGTTAAGTACCTTGGGTGAACCTCTGAGAATTGCTGCCTTCAGGTGAGACTCTGCACATTGCCAGATGTGGTAACTAGGGTGCAGAACTCCTTCTGCTTGAGAAAAGCAGAGGGAAACATAAAGGGGACTTTGTCTTGCACCTTAGGTACAAGCGAGGCCATGGGAGGTGGAGGTAGAGCACCATGTGGGTTCTTGTGGTCCCATATTCTAGGACTTCACCCTTGGATGGCATTTCTGGACCTGCCCTGGACCACAGAGGAGCCCACTGCCCTGAAGGGTGAGTGCCAAGCCAGTCAGCATTCACCACAAACTGACTTAAGAGTCACTGGACCTTAAGGGAACACTGATGGTAGTCTGGCAGTACTCCTCATGGCCTGGGGAGGTGGTGGCTGCAAAGTGAGGCCTCTGCCTTTGGAAAGGTGAGAGAAAAGTCAGAAGGACTGTGTCTTTTGGGCTGGCACTCAGTTGCAGGGCAATGGAACCCCAGGTAGACTTCTAATGCTTTTGAAACTAGTCCCTGGCTCCTGAATGGCACATCTAGACCCACCCAGGGCCTGGAGGACCTAACACTTTAGGTGGCTCAGAACTGAGAGAGAGAGACTCTGTTTGTTTGGGAGAAAGTAAGGGAAGATAACAAGAATCTCTGCCTGGTAAGCCAGAGAATTCTATCGGATCTTGTCCAAGACCATCAAGGTGGTACCTCTAGGATTCTTTAAGAACCACAGTGTTACTGGGCTTGGGGTGTGCCTTAAAGCAGATATAGCTTAGATCATGACACTTAAGTCCTTTCAAATGTCTGGAAAGCCTACCCAAGAAGGATGGATACAAACAGGCTCAGACAGTGAAGACTATAATAAATAATAAACTCTTCAGTGCCTAGACACCAAAGAAAATCTGCTAGCATCAGCACCACCCAGGAAAACATAACCTCACCAAATCAACTAGATAAGGCACCAGGGACCAATCCTGGAGAAACAGAAATATGTGACCTTTCAGACAGGGAATTCAAAATAGCTGTTTTGAGGAAACTCAAAGAAATTTGAGATAACATAGAGAAGAAATTCAGAATTCTATCAGATAAATTTAACAAAGAGATTGAAATGATTTTAAAAAAAGCAGAAATTCTGGAGCTGAAAAATGCAATTGGCATACTGAAGAATGTATCTGAGTTCTTTAACAGCAGAATTGATCAAGCAGAAGAAAGAATTGATGAGCTTGAAGACAGGCTATTTGAAAATACACAGTCAGAGGAAACAAAAGAAAGAAGAATAAAAAGCAGTAAAGCACACGTGTATGATCCAGAAAATATCCTGAAAGGGGCAAATCTAAGAGTTAGTGGTCTTAAAGAGGAGGTAGAGAAAGAGAGAGGGGAGAAAAGTTAGAGAGCTTCCCAAGCCTAGAGAAAGATATCAATATTCAAGTACAACAAAGTTACAGAACACAAGAAGATTTAACCAAAAGAAGACTACTTCGAGGCATTTAATAATCAAACTTCCAAAGATCAAGGATATAGAAAGAAGATCCTAAAAGTAGCAGGAAAAACAACAACAACAACAATGGAGCTCCAATACATCTGGCAGCAGACTTTTCAGTGGAAACCTTACAGGCTAGGAGAGTATGGCATGACATATTTAAAGTGCTGAAGGAAAAAGGCTTTTACCATAGAATGGAATATCTGGTGAAAATATCCTTAAACATGAAGGAGAAACAAATACTTTTCAAGACAAACAAAAGTGGAAGGACTTCATCAACATCAGACCTGTCCTAAAAGTAATACTAAAGAGAGTACTTCAATCAGAAAGAAAAAATTAACGAGCAATGAGTAATCCCCTGAAGATACAAAACTAACTGGGAATAGTAAGTATACAGAGAAACAAAGAATATTATAACACTGTAACGTTGGTGTGTAAACTACTCTTATCCTAAGTAGAAAGACTAAATGATGAACCAATCAAAAAGGATAACCACAACTTTTCAAGACATAGACAATACAATAACATATAAATAGAAACAACAAAAAGTTTAGAAGTGGGGGCATGAAGTTAAAGCATAGAGTTTTTATTAGTTTTATTTTTGCTTGTTTGTTTATGCAGACAGTGTTAAGTTGTTATTAGGTTAAAATAATTTGTTAGAAGATAATATTTGTAAGCCTCATGGTAACCTCAAACCAAAAAACATACAGTGGATACACAAAAAAACAAAAATTAATAAGCTAAATTATATCACCAGAGAAAATCACCTTCACTCAAGGAAGAGAGGAAGGAAAGAAGGAAGAGAGAGCCACAAAAAAAAACCCAGTAAACAAATAAAGTAATCTTAAAAAGGAGTAAGTCCTTACTTATGAATAATAGAATGTAAGTTGACTAAACTCTCCAATCAAAAGACATAGAATGGGTGAATGAATTAAAAAACAAAACCCATTGATCTGTTGCCTACAAGAAACACACTTCACATACAAAAACACATATAAACAGAAAATAAAGGGATGGTAAAAGATATTTTACAAGAATAATTGTGGAAACTATAAAAATAAATAGAAATTAAACAATATGCTCCTGAATAACCAGTGAGTCAATAAAAAAATTAGGAAGAAAATCACAAAATTTCTTGAAACAAATGATAATGGAAAGACAACATACCAAAACCTATGGGATATAGCAAAAGAGGTACTAAGGGAGAAGTTTATAGTTATAAGTACAAAATCAAAAGAGAGGAAAAACTTCACATAAATAATCTAATGATGCATCTTAAAGAACTTGAAAAACAAAAGCAAACTAAACCCAAAAGTAGAAGAAATAGTAAAGATCAGAGCAGAAATAAATGACATTGAAATGAAGAAAACAATAAAAATATCAATGAAACAAAACTAAGAAAAAAGAGAATATCCAAATGAATAAAATAAAAAATGAAAAAGGAGACATTACAACTGATAATGCAGAAATGCGAAGGATCATTAGTGGCTACCATGAGTAACTATATGCCAATACATTTGGAAACCTAAAAGAAACAGACAGATTTCTAGACACATAAAACCTACCAAGACTGAACCAGGAAAAATCCAAAACCTGAACAGACCAATAACAAGTAACAAGGTCGAAGCTCTAATAAAACGTCTCCCAGCAAACTAAAGTCCAGGAAATGATGGCTTCACTGCTGAATCCTACCAAACATTTAAAGAAGAACTAATATTAATCCTGCTCAAACTATTTCAAAAACTGGAGGAGTAGGGAATACTTCCAGGCCAGTATTACTCTGATACCAAAACCAGACAAGGACACATTAAAAAAAAACTATAGGTTGGTATCTCTGATGAATATCAATGTAAAAATCTTTAACAAACTACTATCAAATAGAATTCAACAATGCAGTATAAAGATCATCCTTTGGAAGATGCCTGGGATGGAGGATTACCCCTAAGATGCAAGGATAGTTAACCATATGCAAATTAATCAATGTGCTATGTCATATCAACAGAATGAAGGACAAAAAACACTTGATCATTTCAACCGATGCTGAAAAAGCATTTGATCAAATTCAACATCTCTTCATAATGAAACCCTACAAAAATTGGTTATAGAAGGAATATACCTCAACATAATAAAAGCCATATATGATAGACCTGCAGCTAGAATGATACTGAATGGGGAAAAACTGAAAGCCTTTCTTCTAAGATCTGGAATACAACAAGGATGCCCACTGTCACCCCTGTTATTCAAAAGAGTAGGGGAATTCCTAGCTAGAACAATCAGAAAAGAGAAAGATGTAAAGGGCATCCAAATTGGAAAGGAAGAAGTCAGATTATCCTTCTTTTCACATGATATGATCTTATATTTTGAAAAACTTAAACACTCCACAACAACACTATTAGAACCGATAAACAAAGTCAGTGAAGTTGCAGAATACAAAATCAACATACAAAATTAGTATCACTTCTATACACTAACAGTGAACAATGTCAAAAATAAATGTAAAAGTAATCCCATTTACAGTAGCAATAAGTAAAATTAAATACCTAGGAATTAACTTTACCAAAGAAGGGAATGATCTCTGTAACAGAAACTGTAAAATACTCATGACAGAAATTGAAGAGGTCACAAAAATGGAAAAAAAATTGACATGTTCATGGTTTAGAAGACTGAATATTGTTAAAATGTCCATACTACACAAAGCAATCTACATATTTAATGCAATCTTTATCAAAATATCAGGGACATTCTTCACAGGAATAGAAAAAAAATCCTAAAATGTCTAAGATTTAGAAGGAACCAAAGTTTCTACCAACAGATAAATGGATAAAGAAAATGTCGTATGTATACACAGTGGAGTACTATTCAGCCAATAAAAAAGAGTTATTTTTATTTTTATTTTCTTGACTGCATAGTACTCTATTGTGTATATGTACCACATTTATAATAATTTAACCTTATTAAATTATTATTTAATTGTAATAAAGTAATTTTATAATATTGATCATCAGAGAAATGCAATGAGATATCTCATTGTAGTTTTGATTTTCATTTCTCTGATGATCAATATTATAAGATTACATTATTAAAATTATTATAAGATGAACACCCTTGTAACTTGTAATTCCTGTCATTTTCAAAATCATGGATGAAACTGGAGCTCATGTTAAGTGAAACAAGCCAGGCACAGAAAGACAAAATCACATATTCTCACTTATTTGTGGGATCTGAAAACCAAAACAATTGAACTCATGGACACGGAGAGTAGCAGGATGGTTATCAGAGGTTTGGAAGTGTAGCTGGGGGTGGGTTGGTGGGGTGCGGTGGGAATGGTTAATAGGCACAAAAAATAGAAAGAATGAATAAGACCTACTATTTGATAGCACAACAGGATGCCTATAGTCAGTAATAACTTAGTTGTACATTTTTTAATAACTAAAAGAGTGTAATTGGATTGTTTATAACTCAAAGAATAAATGCTTGAGGGAATGAATACCCCATTTTTCCTGATGTGCTTATTTAACATTGCATGCTGTATTAACACATCTAATGTACCCCATAAATATGTACAACAACTCTGAACCCACAAAACCTTTTTAAAATATTTTAAAAGTCAGCTAAACATGGTGGCACATGCCTGTGGTCCCAGCTACTCAGGAGGCTGAGGTGGGAGGTTCACATGAGGCTAGGAAGTCAGGGCTGCAGTGAGCTACGATCAAAGCACTGCAACACAGCCTGGATGACAGAGTGAGACCCTATCTCAAAAAAAATGTAAAGAAATTTGATTTAAATAATAAATGAAATTAAGCGGTTTTTATGAGATAAAGAAAATGAACAAATTCTTAGCTAGAAAACAAACTAAGAAAACAGAGAGAAGACTGAAATAAAATCAGAAATTAAAGAAGAGATGTTGACAACTGACACAGAAGTACAGAGGATCCCGAGAGACTACTATAAACAATTATATGCCAACAAATTGGGTGACTAGGATGAAACTGATAAATTCATACACACATACAACCTACCAAGACTAAATCATGAGAAAATTTAAAATCCCAACAGACCAGTAAGTTAGGAGATTGACTTAGTAATAAAAAGTCTACCACCAAAGAAAAGCCCAGGACCAGATGTCTTCACAGCCAAATTCCACTAAACATTTAAAGAATTTGCACTAATTTTTCTCAAACTCTTTTAAAAAATTGAAGAGGAAGAATTACTTCCAAACTCATTTTATGAGACCAGCATTACTCCGATACCAAAGTCAGACAAAGACACAAGAAAAGAAAATCACAGGCCAATGTCTTTGATGACCACAGATGCAAAAATATTCAATAAAATACTGGCAAACCATATATAATCATACATAAAAGGATCATTCACCATGATCAAGTGGGATTTGTCCCCACTCAATGCAAGGATATTGCCACATACACAAATCAATAAATGTGGTACACTACATTAACAGAATGGAAATGGGAAAAAAAACATATAATCATCTCAATAGATGAATAAGTGGCATTTGAAAAAAATAAAATCCTTTCATTATAAAAACTCTCAACAAATTAGATATAGAAGAACTGTTTCTCAACACAATAAAAGCTATATATGGCAAGTCCACAGATAACATTATGCTCAAGGAAGAAAAGGTGAAGGCTTTTCCTCTAAGATCAGGAACAAAACAAAGTTGCTCATTCTCGCCAGTTTTGTTCAACGTAATACCGGAGGTCCTAGCCAGAGCAATTAAGCAAGAGAAGAAATAAAAGGCATTTAAATAGGAAAGGAAGTAAATTGTCTCTGCTGGTGACATTATCTTATACATAGAAAACCCTAAAGACTCCTCTATTTAATTTTAGAATATATCAAGTTATATAATAGTTTACTAAGCGGTGTGTTTGTTTTACATGGCTTTGGGTCTTTGCTTTATATTACAATGTATTTTTAAAAGAAAATACCATGGCAATTTTATTTTGACTATTACAAATATTTCCTTTCCTTTTGTTTATTTTTCTTTCCTTACTACATCGGCTTAACATCCCATACAACATAGAACAGAAATGGGAGTAATGGCCATTCTTACCTATTTCCATTTCAAGCATAGCTTTCAACATTTCGCCATAAAATACAGTGCTTTCGAGCCTGAGCGACGCAGAAGACGGGTGATTTCTGCATTTCCATCTGAGGTACCGGGTTCATCTCACTAGGGAGTGCCAGACAGTGGGTGCAGGTCAGTGGGTGCGCGCACCGTGCACGACCCGAAGCAGGGCGAGGCATTGCCTCACTTGGGAAGCGCAAGGGGTCAGGGAGTTCCCTGTCCTAATCAAAGAAAGGGGTGATGGACGGCACCTGGTCACTCCCACCCGAATACTGCGCTTTTCCGACGGGCTTAAAAAACTGCGCACAACAAGATTATATCCCGCACCTGGCTCAGAGGGTCCTACCTGCACGGAGTCTCGCTGATTGCTAGCACAGCAGTCTGAGATCAAACTGCAAGGCGGCAGCGAAGCTGGGGGAGGGGCGCCCACCATTGCCCAGGCTTGCTTAGGTAAACAAAGCAGCCGAGAAGCTCGAACTGGGTGGAGCCCACCACAGCTCAAGGAGGCCTGCCTGCCTCTGTAGGCTCCACCTCTGGGCGCAGGGCACAGACAAACAAAAAGACAGTAGTAACCTCTGCAGACTTAAATGTCCCTGTCTGACAGCTTTGAAGAGAGCAGTGGTTCTCCCAGTACCCAGCTGGAGATCTGAGAACAGGCAGACTGCCTCCTCAAGTGGGTCCCTGACCCCTGATCCCTGAGCAGCCTAACTGGGAGGCACCCCCCAGCAGGGGCACACTGACACCTCACACTGCAGGGTACTCCAACAGACCTGCAGCTGAGGGTCCTGTTAGAAGGAAAACTAACAAACAGAAAGGACATCCACACCAAAAACCTATCTGTACATCACCATCATCAAAGACCAAAAGTAGATAAAACCACAAAGATGGGGAAAAAACAGAACAGAAAAACTGGAAACTCTAAAAAGCAGAGCGCCTCTCCTCCTCCAAAGGAACGCAGCTCCTCACCAGCAACGGCACAAAGCTGGGCGGAGAATGACTTTGACGAGCTGAGAGAAGAAGGCTTCAGACGATCAAATTACTCTGAGCTACGGGAGGACATTCAAACCAAAGGCAAAGAAGTTTAAAACTTTGAAAAAAATTTCGAAGAATGTATAACTAGAATAACCAATACAGAGAAGTGCTTAAAGGAGCTGATGGAGCTGAAAACCAAGGCTCGAGAACTACGTGAAGAATGCAGAAGCCTCAGGAGCCGATGCGATCAACTGGAAGAAAGGGTATCAGCAATGGAAGATGAAATGAATGAAATGACGTGAGAAGGGAAGTTTAGAGAAAAAAGAATAAAAAGAAACGAGCAAAGCCTCCAAGAAATATGGGACTATGTGAAAAGACCAAATCTACGTCTGATTGGTGTACCTGAAAGTGATGGGGAGAATGGAACCAAGTTGGAAAACACTCTGCAGGATATTATCCAGGAGAACTTCCCCAATCTAGCAAGGCAGGCCAACGTTCAGATTCAGGAAATACAGAGAACGCCACAAAGATACTCCTCGAGAAGAGCAACTCCAAGACACATAATTGTCAGATTCACCAAAGTTGAAATGAAGGAAAAAATGTTAAGGGCAGCCAGAGAGAAAGGTCGGGTTACCCTCAAAGGGAAGCCCATCAGACTAACAGTGGATCTCTCGGCAGAAACCCTACAAGCCAGAAGAGAGTGGGGGCCAATATTCAACATTCTTAAAGAAAAGAATTTTCAACCCAGAATTTCATATCCAGCCAAACTAAGCTTCATAAGTGAAGGAGAAATAAAATACTTTACAGATAAGCAAATGCTGAGATATTTTGTCACCACCAGGCCTGCCCTAAAAGAGCTCCTGAAGGAAGCACTAAACATGGAAAGGAACCACCGGTACCAGCCGCTGCAAAATCATGCCAAAATGTAAAGATCATCAAGACTAGGAAGAAACTGCATCAACTAACGAGCAAAATAACCAGCTAACATCATCATGACAGGATCAAATTCACACATAACACTATTAACTTTAAATGTAAATGGACTAAATGCTCCAATTAAAAGACACAGACTGGCAAATTGGATAAAGAATCAAGACCCATCAGTGTGCTGTATTCAGGAAACCCATCTCATGTGCAGAGACACACATAGGCTCAAAATAAAAGGATGGAGGAAGATCTACCAAGCAAATGGAAAACAAAAAAAGGCAGGGGTTGCAATCCTAGTCTCTGATAAAACAGACTTTAAACCAACAAAGATCAAAAGAGACAAAGAAGGCCATTACATAATGGTAAAGGGATCAATTCAACAAGAAGAGCTAACTATCCTAAATATATATGCACCCAATACAGGAGCACCCAGATTCATAAAGCAAGTCCTGAGTGACCTACAAAGAGACTTAGACTCCCACACATTAATAATGGGAGACTTTAACACCCCACTGTCAACATTAGACAGATCAATGAGACAGAAAGTCAACAAGGATACCCAGGAATTGAACTCAGCTCTGCACCAAGTGGACCTAATAGACATCTACAGAACTCTCCACCCCAAATCAACAGAATATACATTTTTCTCAGCACCACACCACACATATTCCAAAACTGACCACATACTTGGAAGTAAAGCTCTCCTCAGCAAATGTAAAAGAACAGAAATTATAACAAACTATCTCTCAGACCACAGTGCAATCAAACTAGAACTCAGGATTAAGAATCTCACTCAAAACCGCTCAACTACATGGAAACTGAACAACCTGCTCCTGAATGACTACTGGGTACATAACGAAATGAAGGCAGAAATAAAAATGTTCTTTGAAATCAACGAGAATAAAGACACAACATACCAGAATCTATGGGACACATTCAAAGCAGTGTGTAGAGGGAAATTTATAGCACTAAATGTCCACAAGAGAAAGCAGGAAAGATCAAAAATTGACACCCTAACATCACAATTAAAAGAACTAGAAAAGCAAGAGCAAACACATTCAAAAGCTAGCAGAAAGCAAGAAATAACTAAAATCAGAGCAGAACTGAAGGAAATAGAGACACAAAAAACCCTTCAAAAAATTAATGAATCCAGGAGCTGGTTTTTTGAAAGGATCAACAAAATTGACAGACCGCTAGCAAGACTAATAAAGAAGAAAAGAGAAAAGAATCAAATAGACGCAATAAAAAATGATAAAGGGGATATCACCACCGATCCCACAGAAATACAAACTACCATCAGAGAATACTACAAACACCTCTATGCAAATAAACTAGAAAATCTAGAAGAAATGGATAAATTCCTCGACACATACACCCTCCCAAGATTAAACTAGGAAGAAGTTGAATCTCTGAATAGACCAATAACAGGATCTGAAATTGTGGCAATAATCAATAGCTTACCAACCAAAAAGAGTCCAGGACCAGATGGATTCACAGCTGAATTCTACCAGAGGTACAAGGAGGAACTGGTACCATTCCTTCTGAAACTATTCCAATCAATAGAAAAAGAGGGAATCCTCCCTAACTCATTTTATGAGGCCAGCATCATTCTGATACCAAAGCTGGGCAGAGACACAACCAAAAAAGAGAATTTTAGACCAATATCCTTGATGAACATTGATGCAAAAATCCTCAATAAAATACTGGCAAACCGAATCCAGCAGCACATCAAAAAGCTTATCCACCATGATCAAGTGGACTTCATCCCTGGGATGCAAGGCTGGTTCAATATACACAAATCAATAAATGTAATCCAGCATATAAACAGAACCAAAGACAAAAACCACATGATTATCTCAATAGATGCAGAAAAGGCCTTTGACAAAATTCAACAATGCTTCATGCTAAAAACTCTCAATAAATTAGGTATTGATGGGACGTATTTCAAAATAATAAGAGCGATCTATGACAACCCCACAGCCAATATCATACTGAATGGGCAAAAACTGGAAGCATTCCCTTTGAAAACTGACACAAGACAGGGATGCCCTCTCTCACCACTCCTATTCAACATAGTGTTGGAAGTTCTGGCCAGGGCAATTAGGCAGGAGAAGGAAATAAAGGGTATTCAATTAGGAAAAGAGGAAGTCAAATTGTCCCTGTTTGCAGATGACATGACTGTATATCTAGAAAACCCCATTGTCTCAGCCCAAAATCTCCTTAAGCTGATAAGCAACTTCAGCAAAGTCTCAGGATACAAAATCAATGTGCAAAAATCGCAAGCATTCCTATACACCAACAGCAGACAAACAGAGAGCCAAATCATGAGTGAACTCCCATTCACAATTGCTTCAAAGAGAATAAAATACCTAGGAATCCAACTTACAAGGGGTGTGAAGGACCTCTTCAAGGAGAACTACAAACCACTGCTCAAGGAAATAAAAGAGGATACAAACAAATGGCAGAACATTCCATGCTCATGGGTAGGAAGAATCAATATCGTGAAAATGGCCATACTGCCTAAGGTAATTTACAGATTCAATGCCATCCCCATCAAGCTACCAATGCCTTTCTTCACAGAATTGGAAAAAACTACTTTAAAGTTCATATGGAACCAAAAAAGAGCCCGCATTGCCAAGTCAATCCTCAGCCAAAAGAATAAAGCTGGAGGCATCACACTACCTGACTTCAAACTATAGTACAAGGCTACAGTAACCAAAACAGCATGGTACTGGTACCAAAACAGAGATATAGATCAATGGAACAGAACAGAGCCCTCAGAAATAACGCCGCATATCTACATCTATCTGATCTTTGACAAACCTGAGAAAAACAAGCAATGGGGAAAGGATTCCCTATTTAATAAATGGTGCTGGGAAAACTGGCTAGCCATATGTAGAAAGCTGAAACTGGATCCCTTCCTTACACCTTATACAAAAATTAATTCAAGATGGATTAAAGACTTAAACATTAGACCTAAAACCATAAAAACCCTAGAAGAAAACCTAGGCATTACCATTCAGGACATAGGCATGGGCAAGGACTTCATGTCTAAAACACCAAAAGCAATGGCAACAAAAGCCAAAATTGACAAATGGGATCTAATTAAACTAAAGAGCTTCTGCACAGCAAAAGAAACTACCATCAGAGTGAACAGGCAACCTACAAAATGGGAGAAAATTTTCACAACCTACTCATCTGACAAAGGGCTAATATCCAGAATCTACAATGAACTCCAACAAATTTACAAGAAAAAAACAAACAACCCCATCAAAAAGTGGGCGAAGGACATGAACAGACACTTCTCAAAAGAAGACACTTATGCAGCCAAAAAACACATGAAAAAATGCTCATCATCATTGGCTATCAGAGAAATGCAATTCAAAACCACAATGAGATAGCATCTCACACCATTTAGAATGGCAATCATTAAAAAGTCAGGAAACAACAGGTGCTGGAGAGGTGGTGGAGAAATAGGAACACTTTTACACTGTTGGTGGGACTGTAAACTAGTTCAACCATTGTGGAAGTCAGTGTGGCGATTCCTCAGGGATCTAGAACTAGAAATACCATTTGACCCAGCCATCCCATTACTGGGTATATACCCAAAGGACTATAAATCATGCTGCTATAAAGACACATGCACACGTATGTTTATTGCGGCATTATTCACAATAGCAAAGACTTGGAACCAACCCAAATGTCCAACAATGATAGACTGGATTAAGAAAATGTGGCACATATACACCATGGAATACTATGCAGCCATAAAAAATGATGAGTTCATGTCCTTTGTAGGGACATGGATGAAATTGGAAATCATCATTCTCAGTAAACTATTGCAAGAACGAAAAACCAAACACCGCATATTCTCACTGATAGGTGGGAATTGAACAATGAGATCACATGGACACAGGAAGGGGAACATCACACTCTGGGGACTGTTGTGGGGTGGGGGGAGGGGGGAGGGAGAGCATTGGGAGATATACCTAATGCTAGATGACGAGTTAGTGGGTGCAGCGCACCAGCATGGCACATGTATACGTATGTAACTAACCTGCACAATGTGCACATGTACCCTAAAACTTAAAGTATAATAATAATTAAAAAAAATAAACAACATAAAAATAAATACAAGTTTCTTTAAAAAAAAATACAGTGCTTTCTTTGGATTTTATGTAGATATGTAATTTTATATTAAGAAAGTTTTCTTCTATTTCTGGTACTGTAAGTAACATTTTTCATTAAAAATAGATATTTAATATTATCAACTAAGTTTGGCAACTATTAAGATTATTACATGATTTTTCTCCTTCATCTGCTAATGTGTATTATGTTAATTGACTTTCAAATACTAGAACAACTTAGCATTTGTGAGTTAAATTAAGCTTGGTCATGATGTCTATACTGGTTTTGAACTGGTGCACTAATTTTGCTGATAATTTGTTTAGGATTTTTGCACAGATGTTCATAAGAGAGATTGATCTGCTTTCTCTGGTGGCCAAATAAATACTTTCTAAAAATTTCTTTGTGCTACATTCTTGGATTCCTTGTTTTTCTCAGTCTGTAATGTACTTTTAAATATATGTATGCTGAGCTTTAAGTGATATTCTAAATATATGTTTCCCATTTGATAAGTAATTTGATAAGTAATTTGACTGGGATTAAATCCTAGATTTGAAGTAATTTTCTATCAAAACTTCAAACACATTGCTTTACAGGCTTTCAGCTTTTAATGCCGTTGCTGAGGTATAGGATGCTAATTTTGTTATTCTTTGGAATCTTGGCTATTCAAGAAAGCAGGGCAGTGTTTACATCTAGGGAGTTGTAATATTTTGCCAAATGAAAACCTCACATGTTTGTAGGACTTCTCTTCCTTTTGAGTAGGATTGGTAGTGTGTTTGGGAAGAGTACACAGAAAGCATTAAATGTATCTGAAATTATTACTTATACTCAAAAAATTATCTGAGGCAAAAGTAGCAATATACTATGTTTAATATAGTTTGTATTGTTCTCTGAAATATGCTGTATATAATACACAAATACATGCAAATACATGTTTGTGTGTGTGTATGTCATATCTTGATGACAGAAAAACATGCATTTTTTGTAGATTTATGTTTTGAAATACAATTATATCATTTTGCAAGGTTTTGTTAAAGTCTACATAAATATGATTAGGAACATATACAAAATAAATAATTTTAGGAGACATTGCCAATCAGAGCATGAATGTGTTGTTGATACGGGATAAGTTAAATGAAATGAAAGAGTTGATACAGTTACTGTAAAAGGCTAATATGCCAAAATATGTTTATATACAATATATTTTCTAGAATTCATTAATGTTTAAAATCTTATTATAAATATATTCATTTATCCAGTGTACAATTTTATTAATACAGTGAATATATTTGGTAAAACAATTTTCACAAGCAATGTGTTCTCTTGGATTTCTTCTTCTTTTATTATCATAGATAAATGACAGAGTAATGAAAATTGTATAATCATGAATACACTGAGAAAGCTTTCTTTATTACTTAGCTTTTGGTTTACCAACTATTACATTGCTGTGCAACTACAGGCAATCTGAATTTGACCTATTCTTTTTTTTTTCTTTATTTGAGTCGGAGTTTCGCTCTGTCGCCCAGGCTGGAGTACAGTGGCACAATCTCGGCTCACTTCAAGCTCTGCCTCTCAGGTTTTAGTGATTATCCTGCCTCAGCCTCCTAAGTAGCTGGGATTACAGGCGTGCACCACCACATCCGGCTAATTTTTTTTGTATTTTTAGTAGAGACGAGGTTTCAGCATGTTGGTCAGGCTGGTGCTCGACCTCCTGACCTGATGATCAACCTGCCTCGGCTTCCCAAAGTGCTGGGATTACAGGCATGAGCCACCGCGCCATCACAACCTATTCTTCTTGAACATGTTAGTGAAAAGTTATCTATTATTCACATAAAATATAACAACAAAGAGATGTGCCACTACATTTAGCTGTGTTTGAGAAATGTTCAGTTTAGCAAGTGGTCAAGTTTCCCAGCTATTATTTTACCATTGGAAAAAAATACATATGTCTCTTCTTTTGTAGTTGTAATAATCTATGTTGGTTTTCCATACAATCTTTTACTTGATTAACCTACAGAGCTTTTTTACTACTTATCTTGCTATCTAGACTTTATCTTTTTAGATTTCTTACATTTCCTATTTATTAGTACAGGAGTTCTGAAGCTGCAGTGTAATCTCTTTCATCTGTTATTATTTTTCTAATTATATGTGTTTTACATAAGATATTAGATAAATATTTGAAAACTAAATAGGTAAGTTCTAAATATTATCAGTGCCCAGACATTATAATTAATATTTGGAATGCTTGCTTTCCAGTTTTATCAATGTGTAAACTCTTTTTAAGTTGGACAGGAATGGTCGGGCATGGTGGCTCACACCTGTAATCCCAGCAATTTGGGAGGCCTAGGTCAGGAGTTCGAGACCAGCCTGGCCAACATGGTGAAACCTGTCTCTACTAAAAAAAATAAATAAATAAAAAATAAAAATTAGCTGGGTGTGGTGGCAGGTGCCTGTAATCCCAGGCACTCGTGAGGCTGAAGCAGGAGAACTGCTTGAACCCAGGAAGCAGAGGTTGCAGTGAGCTGAGATGGCGCTATTGCACCCGAGCCTGGGCGACAAGAGCAAAACTCCGTCTCAAAAAAAAAAAACAAAAAGTTAAACAGGAATTATATGATCTCATATGTCTTTTAAAATGTATTGTAAAAGTACAGATAAAGCTAAGGTCTTCTAGATATCAAAATGCAAGGCTTTCTTCAGATTTACAAACAAGTATCAGAGGATAAGCAGCAAAACAAAATGAAAGCCCTATACTAAATTATTTCTACACATAGAAAGCCTCCATTTATTATTTATGTTTGTGATTTTATACTCTAATGTATCACTATTTAAATTATAGCTGTATTTTATGTATTGATAATTGTTGGTTATCAGCCTTTGTTCTTTTATTCAAAAGTATCTTAATTATTTCATATTACCAACAAATTTTAGAATCAGCTTGTAAATACCACACAAATTTATTTTAGGATTTTTATGGCAATCGTGCTGAAGGTATGAAAGAATTTGGGAATGATTGGAGCTTTTTGCAATATAAAGACTTTACATCCATTAACATGGTATGTATCACCATTTATTGAAAATTCCTTTCATTAAATGACAGATATGCAGCTATTTTCATTTTTCCTTGTAAAAATAATTTCTATCCCTAATGCTATTTATTCTACACCAATATTTGCCATTATTGATGTACTAGCAGCTCATATTTCAAGAAACATTGTTTTGCCTGAGATTAATATCCATTATGCCTATATGTAAGACGTTGGTGCTGAATGAACATGACTTTAAAAAAATAGATTGTTTCTGGAGCAGTTTTAGATTAACGGCAAAAAATCAGAAGACAAAGAGATTTCCCATACTGTTATTTTTTGTTTTACTCACAATATTTGTATTAGTAAAATACACCATTTGAATGTAGCTAAACGGTGTTATTATTAGGCAAAAATGAAATCATCATTTATGCCTCCCACATTATCAACATCCCCAACCAAAGTGGTGCATTTCTTGCAACTGATGAAGCTACAAAGACACATCATTATCACCAAAGGCCATAGCTGACCTTATGGTTCACTCTCAGTGTTGTACATTCCATGGGTTTGGTTAAACTTATAATGGCATATATCCACCATTGTTGTATTATACAGAATGGTTTCACTGCCCTAAAAATCCTCTGGGCTCTGCCTATTCTTCCTTTGTTACCTCTGCACCCGCCCCCTCCTGCCCCATCCCCCTGGCCAGAGGAAGACATTTTTAAAGAGTGAAACCTACAGCTATTAAATAATCAGTTTTTCTTTCAGGTGTTAGCTTTGACAGAGTCATAAAATGTATATTTAAATTCCAGAATTTTTAAAGAAAATAATCATATTATCATACAATCCTAAAGAAGCACTGATAATAATGAGTAAAAATACACTCTATTTTCCATTATATGTTGACTTTTTTGGGAATTTTTGCATTTAATGCTAACAAGCACTATATAATTTATAGAGTATGGAACACTGAGGTAGAAACATATTAATTTGGCTTGCTACTTAAAGTTAGGTCCAAAGCCCACAGCCTGAGCTCCTTAAGAATACAGAATCCCAGGCCCCATCCCAGATCTCTTAGACCCAAATTTACATTTCAGCAAAGTTTAGCCTTGTGATTCACTTGCACATTACATTTTGAAAGGCATTTTTCAATGTTACAAAGTTAGTATGGTCTGTGCCTAGGGTGTGGACAGAAAATATTCTGACTCTTTGCCCTCTTCCTTTCCTATCTTACTTCACCAATCTCCTTTGTAGATAATCTGGCAAATATTCTCTACCTTTTATTTAACCCCTCCAGTATTAGGGAAGCAGACTTTTTTCACCAGAAAACATCTCATTTTTGACCAGCTACAATAATTGTTATTTTATGGAACAGAAAATTAACTTTTTAATGACTTCTCAATATTTTTTATTGCTTGTTCTACAGAGAAAAAATAAACAATCTCTTTTCAATATGACAGTCCTGTAAATATTTGGAGACATTTTTGATATTATGATTCATTTTATCCTGGTAGCCAATTTCTTTAACATATTCCCAATGGTTTAAGTATTTTTTATTATGGCAGCCTTTCCTTACATGCATTCTACCTTTGTCGTTGAATAACGTCAAAATGTCATACATTTAGTAATTAATTCAAGATACTTTTGCTGAGAATCTATTATGTGCCTGTGCTAGATGTTAGAGATAGAATAAGGGGCAAGATCTGCATGTCCCAGCCTTCATGAACATTGGGAACTGAACCTAATAAACTAGATTGAGACCTTGGCTCCATACTACTGTTATTTCTCTTGCTCTGACTCATACTTGTGTTAATGAAGACAGGCTTTGTTTATGTGAGGAGGTGGGGAATAGGGGAGCACTTTGTGACAATAGGTAGATCTCCATCATTCAATTCTGAGAGTATTTTTTGACATTTTCACGACCACTAGTCTACAAAAATGAATAAGTGAAATTTGTACATGCAGTAATAACAGTGTATTGTAAAAAATATTTTACAATTAAAAAATGCTATATATAATATCATTTAAACTAGCAGAATATTGAAGAGTGGCATAAAGAAAATGTGGAAGATAAACTCCATAGAAATTGATGTACAGAAAAAAATAAATAATTCAAACAGCTCAGAATTGGTTATTACTGATCCTATGTTCTGAATCCTAATTGAAGTCTATTTCTCCCTCTACTATGCCGTCATTTTTGAAAGAATAACACCAGTGATTATTGTTTATTTTCTCTTTTCTTGAAGTTCCTTTTGTTTTTATTTAGTTTTTTGTTTTGCTCATAATATTTATATTAGTAATATATTCAATTTGAATGTAGGTAAACAGTGTTATTATTAAGCAAAATAAAATAATCACTCATTCAACCTGCTGAGAGAGAACTGACAGTGATTTTGTCTGCCAGTTGTATTAACAGGAACTTAGATTCTTTGACGTAGCATTAGAAATTCCAAAAATCTCCATAGATCTAATTTTAGCTATTATCATTAAAATGCTATAGTGGCTTTTACAAGACTACCAGATACATTTTCATAATTAGGCTTTAATCTATTCACAAGTCTTACACTTATCTATAATTTTAGCAAACAATCAAATGATTTATGCAATGACAAGATGAAAAATGGTTTAATGCCATTCTATTCAACATTTGAACTCATGAATGGACAAGTGTATTTAAAAGAATGATGTGAACCTTTTCATATGAGGTATTTAACATTTATTAGTTTTCTTGTTTTTGAGAATTAAGACAGATTCATTTGCAGCAATAACATTATACATTCTTATGTTTACATCATTAAAGATAAATAAGTGCATGATTTTGAGGAAATGAAAAACAGATTTTTGAAAAGTACTTGATTTAGTAAAATTATCACAACTACAATCACATCAATCAATGACATAAGAAGTTAAATAAATGTGTAAAGTAAATGGATAGCTTATAGAGTACTTACTACTTTCTGACTCTAAGATGTAATTAATAAGCAATGACATAAAGAAGGTATAATTTGCTTAATGGATTAAAAAGTCTGTCAATTTTTTTTACACAGGAGCTAACCATACACGTTATATTATCTCTAATTTGGTTACTTTTTTCAGGATTTTAAGTTTATTTTAGAATTAATATGTTATGATTAAATAGACGTGTTTAAGACATAAGCTATCTTTGGAAAATGCTAACAATCATCATTTTTATCAGTGATTGAATTAGCACTATTTTGCATTCTTTTACTATTGCATTATGTGTATTGTATGTACCTGGATGGGTTATTGAATAGGCCGAACCCAGTGGGATTACAAAATGAAAATTACTTTTTTTTAATCAACAACCACTTTTAATCAAAATGATGCTGAGTAATATAGAATGTTTCTTTCTGATTAGGTGATCCAGTAGAGAAGAAGAGAGATTTCCGTAGGAAAGAAACTCAGTATGTCAATAAAAGAAGAGTTTGCAGCAGCAATGTTGTCACTACACAGTAAGCATTAAGTAAATTTGAGATTCTTTTCTCATAAATATTATTGAAGCAACTATCAAGCTAATAAACTGTTTCTAAGTACTGGAATATTCTATACAAGATAGTGATTATTATAATGACAGGCTTTCAAATCCCAACTAAATTGCTTCCCAGATATGTGACATTACTATTTTGTATAGGGCTATTTTCTTGGGACCTCAGTTTTATTATTTTAAATGGTTATAATGAGAATACTTACCAAAAACATGCCATTCACTTAACATAACAATGTCCAGTTCCATCCATGTTGCTTCAAATGACAAAATTTTATTATTTCTTATGTCCAAGTAGTATTCCATTGTGTATATATACCACATTTTCTTTATCTATTCATTCACTGATGTGCACTTAGGTTATTCCACATCTTTACTACCGTGAATAGTGCTACAGAAAACAAGAAGCACGAGTATTTGTTTGATAAGTCAGGCACAGAAAGACAAATACCACATGTTGTTACTCTTATATGGGAGCTAAAAAAGTTTATTTCTTGGAGGTAGAAAGAAGAATGATAGTTATAAGGCTGAAAATGGTATGTAGGAGTGGGGAGTAAAGAGAAGTTGGTTAATAGGTGCAAAAATACAGGTAGATAGAAGCAATAAGTTTAGATATTTGACAGCAGAGTAGGGTGACTATAGCTAATAACAATGTAGTGTATATTTTAAAATAGCTAGAAGAGAGGATTTGAAATGATAAAATACATAGAAATGATAAATACTCAAGGTTATTGATATTCTGAATACCCTGATTGATCATTACAGATATTATGCATGCAACAAAGTGTCACCTGTATCCCACAATTAATACAAATACTATGCATCAGTAAAATGTTTTTAAAATAAAAGATGCCCTAAGGATTAAATGCAATCAATATTTTCTGTTATCAGCCCTCTCAATTCTCTATTTTTAACAGAAAAATTTATCCTAAAAATACTGCTTTACTTATAATACTCTCAAGAGCTGACTTTCATTCTGCAATCTCTATTTGGAACTAGAAGTTTTAGCCAGGTTTTGTTTGATTTTCCCATATACCTTCAATATAATATTTTATATTTTTATTTTTGACATTTTCTACTCCTATAAAACATATACTACCTTTGGATAGTATCTTATTCTCATTCTTACAGCCATGCTAATGTTAACATCTATGTTTCTCATAGACTTGGAATCTGGACTGCCATCGTACAATCTCTGATGTCTTCTGACAACCAAATAGGTGACCCTTATTCCTGTGGCGTTTGTTAGTAGATCCAACTACTTTAGCGATGGATACTGGTTGTCACATTTTTGCTCTTGCTAGCATGAATTATCTTACCTCCAAAATCTTTAACATGAGATTCTACACTATGGAAGAAATTTTGTTTTATTTCTCCTTCATGGCCTCTCCTAGTATACCTATTCTCAAACGCATTATGACTTCTAGTCTATGGATGAGAAATATTTCTTATGAACTGAATTTCTTGTGAACTGAATTCATGTTGCTCTTCAGAGAATGGAGTGGATGGTGCAGATGTAATTGAATTGGTCAAGTTAGATTGAAAAAATCAACTTTACAAATGAACCTAGGTAAAACAAATTATTTTAATCTTACAGCATGAAGTCAAAGGTGATCAAATTTTTGCTAAAAATTTAGAATTATATATTTTTGAAGGAAAAAATGTTCAGTCACAACATGTACTAAAGCAAGTCAAATACAGTTGATCCCTGAACAGCACAGGTTTGAACTACATTGGTCTACTTAAATGTGGATTTTCTTCTGCCTCTGCCACCCCTGAGACAACAAGACCATCCCCTCCTCTTCTCTCTCTTCTTCTGCCTACTCAATTTGAAGACAATGAGGATGAAGTCCTGTATCATGATCTGCTTCCACGTAATGAATAGTAAACGTATTTTCTCCCTTATGACTTTTCATAACATTTTCTCTTCTCTAGCTTACTATATTGTAAGAATATAGTATATAATACATATAACATACAAAATATGTGTTAATTGACTGTCTATGTTATTGGTAAAGTTTTTGGTACAGTAGGCTATTTGTAGTTAGGGTTTGGGGGAGTAGGAATTATGTATAGATTTTCTACTACACAGGGTGTGGGGGGTCAGCACCCCTAACTCCCACATTGTTCAAATGTCAACTATGGTGAAAATAAAGTTAAGGCCTTCCAAACGCCTGATTTTACAATTGTGAAAGCAAGTCCACAGTGTTGAGAAAGACTTCATGAAGAGGTAGAGACATTCTCTGGAATATCTGCTTAAAATATCTCAAACTGTTACTTTTGAGATTTTCATAACTAAAAAAGCATACTTACATACAGTTAAATGTTTACATAATGAAGCAAATAATGTCCAGTGAAATTTTTCAAAGGGGCTGTAACACAGAGACCTCAATTCATGAAAATGCTAGCTGAAATCAGATTTGTCCTCTCAAGACCAGGTCTTAGAAGTTTATTGAATGACAGTTAAGCTAAAGTATGATCAATCATCATTTTCTAGGGTAAAAAATGTTTACATTATAAATATATATGATTAGTTCTAAGCACAAAGGAGGAATAACTTAATTGCTCCAAATATTCATTAACATACAAAACTAACAATTTAAATAATGCTTCATATTAATAGGCAATACTGCCAGCAAGAGTATAACACATTGAGAATATGTACATTATCCTACATTGAAACTTCTGTTTGTCATTAAGTTCAGGTACCTTTAATTATGTGTTATTGGTTAGAGCAGTAGGAAGAATGATACTCTATAAAAATTGATATGCATAGCTATAAATTATTTTAAATGTTATTATGTAAGTGTGATGTTACGCTAATTGGAAGAAAAGGGGGAAACACATCTCAGGAGCATTCTAACATGCAGAAAATTTTGGTAAATTCTTTGTTGCAATACCTGAGTGAAGTAACTGATTTTTAAAATTATGCTAAAAGAAGACGTTATCTCACAAATATCTCTACAATAAATTGCATTTATGCTTAGCTGGAAGTTTTGAATTTTATTTTATATCTCTAGAATTAACTTAGTTTTCAATGTTAACCATATTTCACAGAATTATCTCTGAGTTAACTTTATAAAAATAATTATATATTTGTCTAAAATATTTTTTCGATTTTTAAAATTCTATTTCTAAACCAACTTTGTGTTCCTCCAACCCATCTGACCACCTCTCCTCTTTCAGCAGTTTGAAGAGTTTGAAATGAAAATTTTCAATTTTTAATCTAATTTCCATGCACGCACACACACACACACACACACACACACATCTATGGACCCCAGTGTGGTCTGGAATCACTATTGATCATCCTTCTTGTCCTTATGTGCATAACTCTCAGCTGCTTCTTCATCCTGAAGAGAATACTAAAGGGAGCTTCCCTGATGCAAAAAGATTCTGTAATTTGAACAGTTACAGCATATTTTTTTGTCTTTTTTTGGATTGTTTATAATTAAATACTTAATATACATGAAAGAGTTCATGTAAATATATATATATAGTTAACATATTCATAGCACCAACCAAGTCAAGAAGAATTACCTTGGATGTATGCCAGACACTTCCTGCTTTGTCTTCCTTATTCAAACTCTTTTGCCTCCTTACTTGAGGCACAAGCACTTTACTAATATTATATTCCTTGCATGTATAATTTGATCCTTAAAATTATAGTTTTGCATATATAAATAGAATCTTACTTAGGCATGTCCAAGCTATTCATTTCTTGCTTTTACTTGCTGTTTGTTATGTTTATAAATTTTAAATTTTAATTTACATAACTTTGCTGTAAATTGCCAAATTGTTTTTCCATTCTTTAATGTTTGTTGCTATATACTATTCCATTAGGTAAATATATCACAGTTTTTGTCCAAATATTATTAATAAACATTTTTGTTATTTCTGGTGTTACTATTGGAGACCATGTTGCTATGAATATTCTTGTACACTTTTCCCAATGCACATAAATTTCGCATATACTTTAGTGCTTCTTGATGGTGGTTTTGCTAATTGGGTATATGAATTTTTAACTTTGCTACAAATTGCCAAATTGTTTTTCCAAAGTAGTTTTTTTTTTTTAACCAATTTTGTACCAGCCAAGTATAAGATTTTCTGTGGCTGTCTAGTATTCACAAAAGGGATATTTTCAGCCATTTGTTTTTACTACCCTGGTGAGTGTGATATACACAATTAAAACGTACTCACAGAGAAAATCTCGGGCGCAGATGCCTTCACTGGTGAATTCTTCCAAATCTGAAGACATTAATACAATACCAAATTTCAGAAAATTTATTACAGAAAAAAAAAATCTCTCTAGATGAAAATAAGCTCATTCCCAGAAAAATCTTACCAAACCTGAGAAAGATTTTCAATGAACAAAAATTATAGAACAATTTCTGCCATGAACATGGATGCAAAAATCTAAAACAAAATATCATCAAATAAAACCAATCTTATGACCAAGTGGGAATTATTATAGGAATGCAAACTTGTATTAAAAAAACCACACTCACCATATACTCAGTAGGTGCAAAAAGAGAAAAAAAGAAATTCTATAAAACTCAATACTCATTCATGCTAGGAACTCTTACCATGCTAGGGATTGAAACAGAATCCTTATTTTGTTGGTTAACTTAATATATAATAAACATTATTAAACTCAACAGCCAACTTAAGTAAATCATTGAAAATAGTTTCTATCTATGTTCTCATCTGTCTTCCATCCCTCTGCTTACTGCAATGGTAAATAATGTCTAAATTTGGTGTTATATTCTCTTGTTTTTTGGTCAACTTTATTATGTATAATCTACATACAATCAAACACACTATATTAACTATATAATACAATGACATTTTACTACTGCATACATCCTGAAATGACCAATATAATAAAAAATATTCAAGACCATAAAGCATTATTTGTGTCTCTTTGTAAGGACCTTGGTTTTAAAAATAATCTTATCAGATTGATAGACATGCCTAAATAATATATGTAGTTTAAATTGCTTCTGAAGTTCATAAAAGTCTATTACGTTGTATGCAATTTTGTTGGAATTACTTTTTTCGTTCAATGGACTGTCAGCAGGATTTATCTATATTGTTTAGTATAAATTTATATAGATATAAATATATATGTAAAATCCTATACATAGTTTTCCATTGCGTGATTATAACATACTTTATATATTCTTCTGTGAAATTCGAGATCTTTCAAGTCTGCTATTATAAGCAGTGCAACTATAACATTATTGCACATGTCTCTTTTTGAACATGCACCATAGCTTCTCTTGTATATATTTGGAAATAAACTCTTGGAACAGAGAGTCAGGAAAAGTTCCAAATTTACAAGAAAATAAAAAAATTCTTTTACATGTTTTAGCTAATACTGGTTATACTAAATTTTTTAAAACTTTCCAATAAATAGATGTAGAATGGTATTTCATTGTATAGTAGTATTGATTTGTATTTTCTGATTGTTAATTAGTTTTAGTATATTTGAATCTGTGAATAATTTACAAAAATCTATTCTTTGAAAATTTAGTTTAAATTATTACCTTTTTTAACTTTTAGAATCTCCTTTAAATTTTTTACAAATTAGCTTTTTTTTTTAAAAAAAAAAAAACATTTATTTTAACCTACTTAAAAACTTTAGAGCCATTTATCTTCCAAGTCCACAATGTATGCCTTGTGTTCTATTGTTTCTTTTCTTCTAATTCTCACTCAGCGGTCAGTTTTCATATGTGCTTCTAAATTTCATTGTTAAGCTCATATTCAGATGGCTCATCTTATTCTTTGGAAATCTTTTGATTTGAGGATGGGTCCCACTCAGGGACAATTTCTGCTTCCTTCAGCTACACTGGGGCTATTCTAATCTGCAGCTGCTTTTAGATAATACCCAAGCCTGATTTTTTGTGTGAATGCAAACCCACATGATGGCAAAACTGTGATTGTATTCTCTTAGTAAATTCCACTCATTTTCTCATGATTCCACTCAGAAGCATGGCAGGGACAGCAAAACAGAAAAGTAAGATAGCTTGCAAGCAGCTTATTCCAAAAGATATATTGCTTCTTTTCTCCTTTTTTTTCTGACATGTGTGGAATTTTTTTACCTTCAATTGTGCCCTAAATGGAAGGTACACTGTCCTATTGAAGACTAATTAGCACCAAATATATTCCAAAGAGACGTTACTTTTAGTGCTGGTGACTTATATCACCTCACTATGTTTTCTCACTCTTTTTCCAACAACTGGAGAGAATCCATCAAGAAACACAGGCAGATTCCACATTTTTCTAAGAAAAATATAAACAAAGTTGAGTTGGTCACATATATTTTCTAATCCAGATCTTGAAGTACATCCTGTCTTTTTCTGTACATGATACCTGTATTTCTATATTTACTGCAGCACTATTCACAATAGCAAAGATATGGAATCAACCTAAGTGTATGTAAATGGATAAATGCATAAAGAAAATGTTGAAATGCAGATATCATTTCTATATATTAACTTCTTTTCTTTTGGATATATACTTATGTTGGTTAATGGGTATGAAAATACAGTTGGACAGAAGAAATAAGATGAACTATTTGGTAGCACAATAAGACGACTATAGTTAATAGTAATTTATTTCATATTTCAAAATAACCAGAAAAGAATATTTGGAATCCTCCAAACACAAGGAAATGATAAATATTTGAGGTAATGGATATCTCAATTACCAAGATTTCATCATTACACATTGTATTCTTGTATTAAAATATCACACAGCCTACAAATATGTATAACTATTATGTATCCATAAATATTAAAAATAAATAAAAGAAGAAAAAACTGGTATGGAAATAGGTACATAATACATCTGCTTATAAATCAAAAGTAAATTTTGACATTTGTTCCTATTAACATTTGAAGTATCCATTAAAATAACTTTAACTTCAGGGTCAGTTTGATAAAGCATCCAGGTATTTAATTATTCTATGGATAAAATGTCAAGATAAATCACTCTCTTGATTGTAGAAATGTGCAATAACAGACAATAAATGTACCCTGAGCAGACAGATTAATCTAATGAAAAGATCAATATTGAATTGAAGATTCCTAATAAATAAAGTTGTCAATAAATATTTTTGGAGGAAATAACTATTGGAAATGCTTGTTTTAGTAATATAGAAGTCAGCCAAAAAAAATGACTTGTAGTTTTCAGAGTAAATATAAGTAAGTGATATGTCCCTCAAATCAGATCCTGTCTCATCAATACTTTTCATTTAAAAATGTAGGCACTTAATCAAAAGGAAAAATATTAATAACATGTATGATGTTTTTTGTAACATCACACATTTTAATAATCAAAGTCTACAGTAAACAAAACAGCATGATACTGGTACAAAAATAGACACACCAACTGAACAGAACAGAACAGATCATCCAGAAATAAAGTTGCACACCTGCAACCAATTGATCTTTGACAAAGAGGGCAAAAATAAGCAATGGAGAGAGGACTCCCTACTCAATAAATGGTGCTAGGAAAACTGAATATTATTTAGAGAAGAATGAAACTGCACAGCTCTCTCTCACCGTATACAAAAATCAACTCAAGATGGATTAAAGATTTAAATGTATAACCAAAAACAATAAAAATCCTAGAAAAAAATACTAGGAAATACTCTTCTGGACATTGACCGAGGCAAAGGTTTTTATGACAAAGTCCTCAAAACAACTGCAAAAAAAAAAAAAAAAATTCCCTCAGAGATTGACAATTGAGACCTCCTTAAATTAAAGCGCTTTTGCACAGCAAAAGAAACTACCATCAGAATAAACAGACAACCTACAGAATGGGAGAAGATATTCACAAGCTATGTACCTGACAGAGGACTAATATCCAGAATTTATAAGGAACTTAAACCAATCAACAAGTGGGAAGAGGACATGAACAGGCATTTCTGAAAAGAAGACATACATGCAGCCAACACACATGTAAAAAATGCTCAACATCACTAATCATCAGAGAAATGCAAATTGAAACCATAATGAGATACTATTTCACACTAGTCAGGCTGTTTTAATAAAAAGTCAGAACATAACAGATGGCAAGAATATGGACAAAAGGGAAAGCTTATAAACTTTTGGTAAGAATGTAAAGAAGTATTTTAGCCCCTGTAAAAAGAAGTTGGAAGATTTCTCAAATAACTGAAAATAGGACTACAATTCAACCCAGCATTCCTGTTACTACATATATACCCAAAGGAAAATAAATCGTTCTACAAAAAGACACATGCACTCCTGTGACTCCTATGTTTATCATAGAACTATTCACAATAGTAAAGACATGGAATCAACATAGGTGCCCATCAGTGGTGGATTGGATAAAGAAAATGTGGTGCATATGCACCAAGGAATAATACATAGCCATAAAAAATAGCAAAGTCATGTCCTTTGCAGCAATATGGATGCAGCTGAAGGCCATAATCCTAAGCAAATTAATGCAGAAATAGAAAACCAAATACCACATGTTCTCACTTATGTGTGGGAGCTAAACATTGGGTACACAAGGACATAAAGATGAGAACTACGGACACTGGGACTATCAGAATGGGGATGGAGAGAGAAGGCAAAGGTTGAAAAACCTCCCATTTGATACTATGTTCACTATCTTAGTGATGGGATCAATAGAAGCCTAAATTTCAGCATCACATAACATACCCTTCTTACAAACCTGCACATGTACTACCTGAATCTAAAATAAAAAATAAAAATAAAAAAGACTTCATCTATACTCTAACTGTATGTTTGTGTTTGATAGTACAGTAGAGAAATTACACTTAAAATAATTTATTTTATATTTCAAAATAGCAAGAAGAGAAGATTTGTAATTTCACAATACAAAGACAAAGATAAATGTTTGAGGTGATGAATATCCTATTACCCTGATGTGATCATTGCACATTCAAGTATCAAAATATCACATATACCTCCAAAATATGTACAACTATTATATATCAATAACATTTTTTCAAAAGAAAAAAGTAAAATGAAATACCTTAATACAGTGAAAAATTATAACAAATTATCCAAGAACATAGGGTTATATTTTCATTCATACTAATTTCTAAAACCAGCACTGATTTTGGAGTCTTAAGAGTTGTACTGCTGCCATCCTTGCTGTGTACCAAAGCTTCATCACGGTGACTCACGAGACAGATAGTGGAAAATTTCAACTCAACTTATGCTCAAATAAGGGCACCAAAACCCAAAACAAGCATATGGATAGTAATGAAATAATTAACATGTCCCATCTATAAGTGTATAGAGAATTAGGTTGTATGTCAAAATTTCCAAAAATTGCAGCAAAATAAAAAATATTTATTGTGTTTACTCAATAAATATTCATAAACATTGATAATATCTTGGGTATTAAATGTTTTGAAAAGTCAATAGATTCCATAAAAGAATTAATGTACAACCTTATAATTACAATCCATCAAAATTAATTGAAAAACAAGAAGAAACAATAAGTAAAATAATTAAGGACTTTAAGAGAATAAATAACAATACTATGGCATTATGAATAAAACCCTTCCTAATGTAGCCAAAATGGTACTGTGAGGAAACTTTATCAATTAAATAACAATCTAAATAATTAATTATAAAACTTCCGTAAGACAGGCAATTGTGCAGCATATTCAGCTTTTGAAAGTGTGAGGAAGGAAAAGACAAAGCAGACATAAATGAAGTTGTAAATAAGCAATCACATCCAAAGATACCTACTTCAAGAAATTCATATCATATATCAATTCTTACACCAACTTTATTTGGCTGAGACAAAGAATAAAATTACAGAAAAAGTAGATTAACAATTATAAATAGGAAATTAATCTGACTGAATATTAGTAAAAAGTAAATGTTGATTTTTTATAGTAAAATATCAAAATATCAGATAAAAGTGTGTAGAAGAAATAGAAAAGTAAGTGAAAAACTGCATCTATATTGAGTGTTACGGCGAGGAAATTTCACAGCAGATTTATTAACTAATTAAATAAATTAATTAATATTTATTAGGCATCTACTATTGCTTAACAATATGTTAGATACTAGAGTTATAAAAGAGAGAGAAAGAGGTATTATATATTTTGATGAAGTTTATAGTTTACTAGAGAAGTGACACATTCTTTAAAAAAAAGCAGTGCTATTCTTTGCCAACCTGTAAGAAAAGAATTTAGCCTAGAACAACAGTGGAGGGATTTTGAAGTCTTCTCTGAGGATGTGTAATTGGATCTGAGTTGCAAATGATGAACAGGGTTGAACTGGGGTAAGTATATGCACAAGGTATATATGCCGAGTACCTTAATATGGCTGGTGTGTGATAAGAGCATATATATATAATCTAATGTTATTATTAGTTATTTATGCAATGCAATTTGTATATTTTTAAAATGTGTGCTTTTATATCCATGTATTTTTATGTAAATATTTCTAAAAATTCTGAGAAAAAATGTACTTCTGAGGTGGGGAGTGAGATGACATCTTTGATTTAATAATCATATAGCAATATGGCAATATATTATTCAGTTTTTTTTTTCTTGGAGTCTTGCTGTTGCACAGGCTGGAGTACAGTGGCACGATATCAGCTCACTGTAACCTCCGTCTCCCGGGTGCAGGCAATTCTCCTGTCTCGGCCTCCCGAGTAGCTGGGACAACAGGCACCCACTACCATGCCTGGCTAATTTTTTGTATTTTTAGTAGAGACGGGGTTTCACCATATCAGTCAGGCTTGTCTCGAACTCCTGACCTCAGGTGATCCACCTGCCTCGGCTTCCCAAAGTGCAGGGATTATAGGCGTGAGCCGCCGCCCCTGGCCGAATTCAGGGTTTTTTGTTGTTGTTGTTGTTTTTGTTTTTTACTGCATTATTTTTTATTTTTGAGACACAGTCTCCCTTTGTCACCCAAGCTGGAGTGCAGTGGTGTGATCTTGGCTCACTGCAACCTCCACTTCCCAGGTTCAAGTGATTCTCATGCCTCAGCCTCCCAAGTAGCTGGGACCACAGGCGCCTACCACCATGCCTGGCCTTTTTTTTTTTTTTTTTACCCATAAGTTATTGTGGAAGAGGTGAATTTTGGTTACACGAGTAAGTTCTTTAGTGGTGACTTGTGAGATTTTGGTGGACCCATCACCTGAGCAGTATACACTGCACAGTATTTGTAGTTTTTTATCCCTCGACCCCTCCCACTCTTCCCCTGTAGTCCCCAAAGCCTACTGTATCATTCTTATGCTTTTGTGTCCTTATAGCTTAGCTCCACATATCAGTGAGAACACATGATGTTTGGTTTGCTATTCCTGAGTTACTTCACTTAGAATAATAATCTCCAATCTCATCCAGGTCACCGTGAATGCCAGTAATTCATTCCTTTTTATGGCTAAGTAATATTCCATCATATAAATATACCACGGTTTCTTTATCCACTGGTTGATTGATGGGCATTTGGGTTGGTTACACAATTTTGCAATTGTGAATTTTGCTGCTATAAATAGGCATGTGCAGGTAGGTTTTTCATATAATGACTTCTTTTTCTCTGGGTAGATACTCAGTAGTGGAATTGCTGGATCAAATAATAGTTCTACTTTTAGTTCTTTAAGGAATCTCCACACTGTTTTCCATGGTAGTTGTACTAGTTTACATTCCCACCAGCAGTGTAGAAGTGTTCCCTGTACACCACATCCATGCCAACATCTACTGCTTTTTGATTATGGCCATTCTTGTAGGAGCAAGGTGGTATCACATTGTGGTTTTGATTTGCATTTCCCTGATCATTAGTCATGTTGAGCATTTGTTCATATGTTTGTTGGCCATTTGTATATCGTCTTTTGAGAATTGTCTATTCATGTCCTTAGCCAATTTGCTGGTGAGATTGTTTGTTTTTTTCTTACTGGTTTGTTTGAGTTCGTTGTAGATTCTGGATATCAGTCTTCTGTTAGATGTATAGATTGTGAAGATTTTCTCCCACTCTGTGGGTTGTCAGTTTACTCTACTGACTGTTCCTTTTGCTGTGCAAAAGCTCTTTAGTTTAATTCAGTGCCAACTATTTATCTTTGTTTTTATTGCATTTGCTTTTGGGTACTTGGTCATGAAATCCTTGCCCAAGACAATGTCTAGAAGGATTTTTCCAATGTTATCTTCTAGAATTTTTATAGTTTCGGGTCTTAGATTTAAGTCCTTAATCCACCTTGAGTTGATTTTTGTATAGGGTGAGAGATGAGGATCCAGTTTCATTCTCCTACATGTGGCTAGCCAATTATCCCAGCACCATTTGTTGAAAAGGGTGTCCTTTCCCCACTTTATGTTTTTGTTTGCTTTGTTGCAGATCAATTGGCTGTAAGTATTTGGGTTTATTTCTCTGTTCTCTATTCTGTTCCATTGGTCTATGTGCCTATTTTTATACCAGTGCCATGCTGTTTTGGTGACTATGGATTTATATCATAGGTTGAAATCAGGTAGTGTGATGCCTCTAGATTTGTTCTTTTTGCTTAGTCTTGCTTTGGCTATGCAGCTCTTTTATGGTTCCATATGAATTTTAATATTTTTTTCCAACTCTGTGAAGAATAATGTTGGTATTTTTATGGGGATTGCATTGAATTTGTAGATTGCTTTTGACAGTATGGTCATTTTCACAATATTGATTTTACCCATCCTTGAGCATGGGATGTGTTTCCACTTGTGTTGTCTATGATTTCTTTCAGCAGTATTTTGTAGTTTTCCTTGTAGAGGTCTTTCACCTCCTTGGTTAGGTATATTCCTAAGTATTTTATTTTATTTTTTGCAGCTATTGTAAAAGGGGTTGAGTTCTTGATTAGATTCTCTGTTTGGTCACTGTTGGTATATAGAAGAGCTGGTGATTTGTGTACATTAATCTTGTATCCGAAACTTTGCTGAATTATTTTATCAGTTCTAGGAGCTTTCTGGAGGAGTCTTTAGGGTTTTCAAGGTAAACAATCATATTGTCAGCAATATATTTGACTTCCTCTTTACCGATTTGGATGCCCTTTATTTCTTTCTCTCATCTGATTGTTCTGGCTAGGACTTCCACTACTACGTTGAAGAAGAGTGGTGAGAGTGGGCATTCTTGTCTTGTGCCAATTCTCAGAGGGAATGCTTTCAACTTTTCCCCATTCAGTATTATGTTGTCACAGATTACTTTTATAACATTGAGGTATGTCCCTTTTATGCCAATTTTGCTGAAAGTTTTCATCATAAAGGTGTGTGCTGGATTTTGTGGGATGCTTTTGCTGCATCTATTGTGATAATCATGTGATTTTTGTTTTTATTTCTGTTTATGTGATGTATCACATTTATTGGCTTGCATATATTAAACCAACCCTGCATTCCTTCTGTGAAAGCCACTTGATCGTGCTGGATTATCTTTTTGATAAGTTGTTGGATTCAATTAGCTAGTATTTTGTTAAAGATTTTAGCATCTATGTTCATCAAGAATATTGGTACATAGTTTTCTTTTTTTTTTTGTTTCTTTTGTCTTTTGGTTTCTTTTATCCTTTGGTTTGTCTTTTTTGGTTTCTTTTGTCCTTGCCTGGTTTTGGTATTATGGTGATGCTGGCTTCATAGAATGAATAGGGAGAGTTCTTCATAGAATGAATTAGGGAGGGCTCCTTCTTTCTCTGTCTTGTGGAATAGTGTCAAAAGTATTGGTACCAATTCTCCTTTGAATGTTTAGTAGAATTCTTCTGTGAATCTGTGTGGTCCTGGACTTTTTTTTGTTGGTAATTTTTAAATTACCATTTCAATCTCACTGCTTGTTAAAATTAGATACCTGCTTAAGGTATCTAATTTTTCCTGATTTAAACTAAGACAGTTGTATTTTTCTAGGAACGTATCCATGTCTTCTAGGTTTTCTAGTTTATGTGTGTAAAGGTGTTCACAGTAGCCTTGAACGATCTTTCTTATTTCAGTGATGTCAGTTGTAATATCTCATGTTTCATTTCTTGATGAGGTTATTTGCATTTGCTCTTTTCTTTTCTTGGTTAATCTTGCTAATGGTCTATGAATTTTATTTATCTTTTCAAATAACAAGCTTTCTGTTTCACTTATCTTTTGTATTTTGTTTGTTTGTTTCTATTTCATTTAGTTCTACTCTGCTCTTGGTTATTTCCTATCTTCTGCTGGGTATTGGTTTCATTTGTTCTTGTTTCTCTAGTTCCCTGAGGTGTGACCTTAAAATGTCAGTTTGGGCCGGGCACGGTGGCTCACGCCTGTAATCCCAGCATTTTGGGAGGCTGAGGCGGGTGGATCACGAGGTCAGGAGATTGAGACCATCCAGGCTAACATGGTGAAACCCCGTCTCTACTAAAAAAATACAAAAAAGTAGCCAGGTGTGGTGGCGGGTGCCTGTAGTCCTAGCTACTTGGGAGGCTGAGGCAGGAGAATGGCATGAACCTGGGAGGCGGAGCTTGCAGTGAGCCGAGATCAGGGGCCACTGCACTCCAGCCTGGGCAACAGAGCGAGACTCTGCCTCAAAAAAAAAAAAAAGAAAAAAAAAGTAAGTTTGTGTTCTTTCAGTCTTTTTGATGTAGGTATTTAGGGCTATGAACTTTCCTTTTAGCACTGCCTTTGCTGTATCCCAGAGGTCTTGATAGGTTGTGTGGTTCAGTTCAAATAATTTTTAAATTTCCATCTTGATTTTGTTTTTAACCCAATGCTCATTCAGGAGCAGGTTGTTTAATATCCATGTATTTGCATGGTTTTAAAGCTACCTTTGGGAATTGATTTCCAGTTTTTTTCTATTGTGGTCTGAGAGAGTGCTGAATATAATCTCAATTTTCTTAAATATATTGAGGCTTGTTTTATGGCCTATCATATGGTCTATCTTGGAGAAAGTTTCACGCACTGTTGAATAGAATGTGTATTCTGCTGTTGTTGGATGGAATGTTCCATATGTATCTGTTAAGTCCATTTGTTCCAAGGTATAGTTTTAATTCATTCATTGTTTCTTTGTTGACTTTCTGTCTTGATGACCTGTCTAGTGCTGCCAGTGGAGTATCAAAGTCCCCCACTATTATTGTGTTGCTGTCTATCTCATTTCTTAGGTCTATTAATAATTGTTTTATAAATCTGGGAGCTCCACTGTTAGGTGCATATATGTTTAAGATTATGATATTTTCCTCTTGAACAAGGCATTTCACCATTATATAATGTCCCTGTTTGTTTCTTTTAACTGCTGTTGCTTTAAATTTTGTTTTGTTCGATATAAGAATAGCTACTACTGCTCGCTTTTGGTGTCCATTTGCATGGAATATCTTTTTCCACCCCTTTACTTTAAGTTCATGTGAGTCCTTCTGTGTTAGGTGAGCCTCCTGAAGGGAGTGGATAGGTGGTTGGTGAGTTCTTAACTGTTCTGCAGTTCTGTATCTTTTAAGTGGAGCACCTAGGCCATTATTGAGATGTGAGTCACCATTGCATTCATTGTGCTATTTATTGCCTGTGTACTTAGGTTTTTTGGCTTTGCTTTTAAACTTGTATTTTTATTTTATAGGTCCTATGAGATGTATGCTTTAAAGAGGCTCTGTTTTGATGTGTTTCCAGGGTTTGTTTCAAGATTTAGAGCTCCTTTTAGTAGTTGTTGTGGTGGTGGCTTGGTAGTGGCAAATTCTCTCAGCATTTATTTGTCTGAAAAAGACTATCTTTCCTTTCTATATGATGCTTTGTTTGGCTGGATACAGAATTCTTGGCTGATAATTGTTTTGTTTGAGGAGACTGAAGATAGGGCCCCAATCCCTTCTTTCTTGTAGGGTGTCTGCTGAGAAATCTGCTGTTAATCTGATAGGTTTTCCTTTATAGGTTACCTGGTGCTCCTGTCTCCCAGCTCTTAAGATTCTTTTCTTTGTCTTAACTTTGGATAACCTGATGACAATGTGTCTAGGCGATAATCTTTTTGCAATGAATTTCCCAGGTGTTCTTTGTGCTTCTTGTATTTGGATGTCTAGGTCTCTAGCAAGGCAGGGGAAGTTTTCCTCAATTATTCCCCCAAACACGTTTTCCAAGCTTTTAGAATTCTCTTCTTCCTCAGGAACACTGATTATTCTTAGGTTTGGTCATTTAACGTAATCCCAGAGGAGGGCTTTGTTCACATTTTTTATTCTTTTTTCTTTGTCTTTGTTGGATTGGGTTAATTTGAAGACCTTGTCTTTGAGCTCTGAATTTCTTTCTTCTACTTTTTCAATTGTATTGCTGAGACTTTCCAGAGCATTTCATATTTCTAAAATTGTGTCTAATATTTCTGGAATTTTTTATTGTTTTTTCTTTAAGCTATCTATTTCCTTGAATATTTCTCGCTTCACTTCTTGTATTGCTTTTTTGGATTTTCTTGCATTGGGTTTTCCCTTTCTCTGATGCCTCCCTGATTAGATTAATAATTAACTTCCTGAATTCTTTGTCAGGTAAATCGGGGATTTCTTCTGGGTTTGGATCCATTGCTGCTGAACTAGTGTGATTTTTTGGGGGGTGTTAAAGAACCTTGTTTTGTCATATTACTGGAGTTGGTTTTCTGTTTCCTTCTCATTTGTGCAGGCTAGGTCACAGGGAAGGTCTAGGTCTGAAGACTGTTTTCAGATTCTTTTGTCCGACAGGGTATTTCCTTGATGTAGTACTCTCCCCGTTTTCCTATGGATGTGGCTTCCTATGAGCTGAACTGCAGTGATTGTTATCTATCTTTTGGGTCTAGCCACCCAGCAAGTCTACCTGGCTCTGGGCTGGTATTGGGGGTTGTCTGCACAGAGTCTTGTGATGTGAAACATCTATGGGTATCTCAGCTATGGATACCAGCACCTGTTCTAGTGGAGATGGCGGTGGGCGGGGGGGGGTAGGGTGGTGTGTGAAATGGACTCCGTGAGAGTTCTTAGCTTTGGTAGTTGTTCTATTTTTGTGCTGGTTTGCTTCCCAGAGAGCATCAAGTGTGGTAGTATGGAAAGGAACTGCTGGTGTGCAGGGCCCTAGAATTCCCAAGATTATATGGTGTTTGCCTTCAGCTACCAGGGTGGGTAGGGAAGGAACATCAGGTGGGGACAGGACTAGGCATGTCTGAGCTCAGATTCTCTTTGGGTGGGTCTTGCTGCAGCTGCTATGGAGGATGAAGGTGAGGTTCCCAGGTCGATGGAGTTGTGCACCTAGGAGGATTATGGCTGCCTCTGTTGAGTCATGCAGGTTGTCAGGGAAGTTGGGGAAAGCTGGCAGTCACAGGCCTCACCCAGCTCCCAGACAAACCGAAGGGCTAGTCTCACTCCCACAGTGCCCCCCAACAGCCCTGGATCTGTTTCCAGGTGGTGGGCGAGCTGGGCTTGAGAACTTGCCCCAGGCTACATGTCTCCCAGCTGCAAAAGAAAAGGGCCTGGTTCTTCCCCCATCTGTGGACTCTGCACAGCAGATTCATGCCCTCCCCTGAGTGCCTTCCAGGAGGCTTCTCACCCTGTTCAAATTGTTACAAAGTTCAGTTGGAGATTTCCTTCTCCCTGTGGTGTTTTCCCTGGCCATCCTCCTGATCGATCCCTGTGGTGCCAAGCAGGAATGGCCTACCTGGGGACCCAGCAAGCTCCCAGTGCCTTTCTGCTATTTCTTCTACCCCTGTATTTTGTTCAGCCCTCTAAATTGACTCAGCTCCAGGAAAGGTCGGAAACTTCTCTCACAGATCTTCAGTTTCTCTAGTGGGGGTGTGTGTTCAGAAGACGGGATCTCCCTTTCTCACTTCTGCAGCTGGGGCACTCACAATATTTGAGGTGTCTCCAGGTCCTGCAGGAGCAGTCTGCTTTCTTCAGAGGGTCCGTGGAGTTAAAATTCACAATGCGAACCCCCGCATGCTGCTCTGTCTGTCCAAGTTGGAGCTTCAATCTAGTCCTGCCTCCCGTCCACCATCTTTGTCCAGATTTTTTTTTTAAACAACTAAGAGTCTAAAGCTAGAAGCATGCCCCTTGAAAACCAGCACAAGTCAGGGATGCCCTCTTTCATCACTCCTATTTAACATAGTATTGGAAGTTTGGGCCAGGGCAATCAGGCAACAGAAAGAAGTAAAATGTATCCAAATAGGAAGAGAGGAAGTCAAACTATCCCTGTTTGCAGATGACATCATCCCTCTGTATCTAGAAAACTGTATAGTCTCAGCCCAAAACCTTCTTAAGCTGATAAACAACTTCAGCAAATCTCAGGATACAAAATCAATGTGTAAAAATCATTGGCATTCCTATACACAGACACCAGTCAAGCTGAGAGCTAAATCGGAAATATACTTCCATTTACAACTGCCACAAAAAGAATAAAATACCTAGGAATACAGCTATCTAGAAAGGTGAAAGATCTCTACAAGGAGAATGGCAAAACACCACTCAAAGAAATCAGAGATAACACAAACAAATGAAAAAACATTCAATGCTCATGGATAGGAAGAATCAATGTCATCAAAATTGCCATACTACCAAAAAGCAATTATAGATTCAATGCTCTTCCATTAAACTACCACTCAAATTCTTCACAGAACGAGAAAAAAATGTTTTAAAATTGATATGGAACCAAAAAAAAGAACCAGAATAGCCAAAGTAATCCTAAGCAAAAAGAACAAAGCTGGAGGCATCACGTTACCTGACTTCAAACTGCACTACAGGCCTACAGTAACCAAAATATTGTGGTGTTGATACAAAAACAGACACGTAGACCAATGGAACAGAACAGAGAACCTAGAAAAAAATACCACACATCTGTAATTATCTGATCTTCGACAAACCTGACAAAAACAAGCAATGAGAAAAGGACTCCCTATTCTATAAGTGGTGCTGAGGTAACTGGCTAGCCATATGCAGAAGATTGAAACTGGACACCTTTCTTTCACCATATACAAAAATTAACTCAAGATGGCTTGAAGACTTAAATGTAAAACCCAAAACTATTAAAACCCTGGAAGATAACCTAGGCAATACCGTTCAGGACATAGGCACAAGCAAATATTTTATGACAAAAAGCAATTGCAAGAAAAGCAAAAATTGACAAATGGGACCTAACTAAACTAGAGAGTTTCTGCACAGCAAAATCAGCTATTCAAACAGAATAAATAGACAACCTACAAAATGGGAGAAAGCTTTTGCAATCTATGCGTCTGACAAAGGTCTCATATCTAGCATCTATAAGAGACTTAAACAAATTTATAAGAAAAAAATGAACCCATTAAAAAATAGGCAAAGGACATGAACAGACACTTTTCAAAAGAAGACATACATGCAGCCAACAATCACATGAATAAAAGCTCAACATCACTGATCATTAGAGAAATGCAAATCAAAACCATAATGAGATACCGTCTAACAGCAGTCAGAATGGCTACTATTAAAAAGCCAAAAAATAATAGATGCTGGCAAGGTTGTGGAGAAAAAGGAATGATTTTACAGTGTTGGTGGGAGTATAAATTAGTTCAGCCATTCTGGAAGACAGTGTAGTGATTCCTCAAAGACCTAAGGACAGAACTACCATTCAACTCAGCAATCCCATTACTATGATTATACCAAAAGGAAGATAAGTCACTCCATTATATAGACACATGCATGGCATATGTTTATTGCAGCACTATTCACAATAGCAAAAACTGGGAATCAACTAAATGTGCATCAATGGTAGACTGGATTTAAAAGAATGTGGTAATATACACCATGGAATACATTTCAACCATAGAAAAGAATGAGATCATGTTCTTTGCAGAAACATGGATAGAGCTGGAGGCCATTATCTTTAGTCAACTAATACAGGAACAGAAAACCAAATACCGCATGTTCTTACTTGTAAGTGCTAGCTTAATAATGAGAACACATGAACACAGCAGGGAACAACACACACTAGGACCTATCAGAGGGTGGCAGGTGGGAGGAGGGAGAAAATCAGGAAAAGTAACTAATGGGTACTAGGCTTAATACCTGGGTGATGAAATAATCTGTATGACAAACTCCCATGACACAAGTTTACTGATGAAACAAACCTGTACACATATCCCTGAACTTAATCCTTTACCTATGATTTTTAAAGAAAAAAAGCAACTATGCTTGACATCTAATAATTGTGCTTAAGTATGGATAAAATACAAATTGAGATACATTGTTGGCATATCATGTTAATTTCTATTTTTTAATTAGTTTTCTCTACTCTATACCTTGACTTTCAGTAAAAATTCTTTCTTGATTTTAATGAGACATTTATGGTATTTTCTTAGAAAACATGATTTTAGTGTGATTAAAAATTATACTCAATGATTAAAAATTATATTTCACCTTTAGTTTAAAGTTGTTCTTTTTTTAACAATGTATTCAATTACATGAAGAAGTGATCAAAGTACTTAAGATTGTTCTTTTTCTTAATTTTTATTTTTTTTATTTTTAATTATGTGGGTACATAATACATGTATATATTTATGGGGTACATGTGATGTTTTGATACCAGCATACGATATGTAACGACCACATCAAGGTAATTGGGATATCTATCACCTCAAGCATTTATCATTTCTCTGGGTTCAACATAGACAAATATGCCAGGACAAGAAGAGGTGTAAAATAAGAAAAGGTGGAAACTGCCTGTGTAACTTTGTATTTGTGTAAACTTAAAAGAAAATGAGGAATATTGACAGAAGTCACATTACTTTGTAATTGTAGCTAGAAATAGCTTTATTTAATGCAGTAAACAAGTGTCAGATAATTCACAAAATAGTTTCTAATAGAATGAATAAAATAAAAATAAAAGAGTTGACATGTTAGCTTGAGAGACCAATGGAATAATTCAGCATTTTTATAAAATAGGTTTTTTTTAGTGAAAACAAGGCAACTGGAACTTCCCATATTAAAGGAATGTCTTGGTGCTGATCAAATGCTACCAGGGAACAAGCCACTCTACCTCTAAGCAAGCTTTCTGGAAATTGTCTCAGAGTTGTGATTTATAAAATAAGATTAAAAATTGTTTGCACAATAACTCAAACCAGTAGTATATTTTTAACCAGAACATCATTTATTTAGTCAATCTGAGGCAATTGCAATTTTATGTAATCAAGTTAGACTATGATTCATAAGGTTATGTAGACTACAACCATGCTGTAAGTGGTAATAATAGCCAGTGTGGACACATCTCAGAGGGGAAAGATATCTAGAACCACCACTCATTTTCCATTCCAGTAGGCAGATGAGAGAGACTAGAGAGCCCATTAGAATGAGAAACAATGAAAAATTGTTTCTAATGAGGATATTCCTTCAGCCTACCCATAATTTTTATGGACATGCTGACCAAATTTTCCTATCATTCTTAGCACTTAATGGTTTTGGAGTCATTATACTTCCTCTCAGATATAAACTTTGATTTCATGAGTGCACAAAATACTTTTAAATAATTATCCTAAAAGCTTGTTTAAGGCATTCTTGGATATTTTTCCATAAAAAGAATTAATCAGTACATAAATATTCTCTAGAAAAGGAACTTGTGGGAGCTTTAGAAGGGCCTAACACTGTAAAACACTCTAAACACATAGGAACAGCACCCAGGACCACCAAAGTACTTAGTATCATGTGAAAAAGTTGCTCTACTTATGGCAAATGTGTTGTAGTACTAGGCTTGATTTTATTCACTTCCAATACCAAAGGGGCAATTCTTTATTTAAGAGAACAAACCACATGGAATTTTTCTCCATGTAATGAAGGAAAACAGTTGACACAGACACTGAGATTAACTAAGAGCTGCAAGCCTAGGAAGTAAGTTGATATTCAGCTAGACATTGAAATACCTGTTTTCTCCCAGGATTTATTTATCTCACATCTGCTTAAACCTAGTATTTTTTTAGTGAATCAGAAATATGATCCAGGCAAATAAGAAAAATTTCAGTAAGTTGGAGTGTAGTGATAGTCAAGTTGACTGATTATAAGAAAGAAGCCACTATGGAACGTATACAGCATAGATGTACAGATGTGCCTCACCCCTCCCATGCCACATTAAACTTACTATAAATGTCTATCTGGGGTTGAGACCTTCAATATCTTAAAATTCCACAGGTATTTCTTCAGTGCACTGAGGGTTGCAAACCACTGGTCTAGAAACAATTAAGGCTGAATTAAGGAAATCTTGACAATGAATCCCCATCAGAATATACCTTATTTTAGAAGTTACGATTCAACAGTCATAGTTTATTTTGTTGTTGAATATTATCTTACATAGAACTTAACTCATGTTGACAGCATGTGCTAACTGCAGTCACTGCAAGGAGGAAAAACAATTCATATGCCTAGTCGGGGTGAAGCTAAAAAAAATGACTTCCCTCATTCAAAAGTTGAAAGAGTTGTGAAATATCTTTAATGAAAAGACAAAGACCACTGATTTGGCTTATATTATGAAAAATATTTTAATGAATTTTCTAAAACTTTTGAAGCATTGGGAAACCTCTGGTTTTTCTATTGCTTGCCCTTTTGAAATGTCGGACTGTGGTGTGGATGAATAGCCTTCTAAGATGCATGGGTTTTGCACATGATGTTTTGTGTGCCTACACAGGGACAATGCCTATATAGATACAGAATGAATTTGAGGTTTTCAGTTGGGTATTTTCTTCCAGGTGCAGTATTTCCATCTGTGATAATGTGGCTTTGTGTGGACCTCATAAGACCAACACATCTAATTCTCCCCCCAAAAATGGTCAAGGTCATGCACACTATATTTTATGGGTTTTTGGGGTTTTTCTCCAAATTCATATAGACATTATGTGTGAGTCTAAAAGATATCTTCATAAATCAGCTGTAGAGCATGAGAAGGGTGGTCAACTACTATCCAAGGGGCATAGAAAATAATGAGGGTAGCTTTAATTTGAAATAGAGGTGTTAATCTCAGGTCCCAGGGTAAGCATTGTTTCAGGATTAAGCATAATCCAATATTTCTCTAATATAAGATTTTTAATTTTTAATTTAGTAAAGTTACCTGGTGATATCTTATAATTGTGCCTTTCTCAGAAAAATGTTATCAGCCTTGAAAGTACATTTGAATCATTAGCTATGACTTCATCCCCAGAGATTTTGATTTAATTGATGTTAAGTAGGGCCTGGGTATGTTTTGCCTTGTTTCATTTTTGATATTTTAATATCCCAAGGACTTCAAATATCTTACAATAATAACATCTATATTTATAGATGTTGGTTTATAAGTGTATAGAACCTGAAAATCTGTACATAAAGGAGTGGTTCAACCATATTTACATGGATATCATAAGATGTATTGAGGGAAAATAAGTAACATGCAGGACGGGCATTTCTGACTCAGGATGAGTAACAGTGTCAGAGTTTTGCATTTTTTTATTTAAAAGCTCTCCTTATCTTTATCATAAAATATGTAACAGAATTTTATAGTGTTGGGATAGAACCGAAATTGGAAAAAATGTTGATATTTTGCAAGGAGAGAAAGGACTTTGCCCTTTTACCTGTGAGGAGTGCTTAATGTGTCTATTTTAAATTATTCTCATGAATTTAAATTTCCAGTTCCAAGAGTGCACATGGTGGCACCTATAACATTTTCTAAGATTTCCAAAATACTATAAAATATTCTCATGTTCTCAAAGGCAGAACCAGCCTTTTAAAATTTAATTTAATCAGCACTTTAAAAATTATCCTATGAATTGATGGGTGTAGACTAGATAGTTATCCCTAACTATTTTTTGTCTCCTCATAACAGAATTAAATCTTTTTAGCTATTGCTATGTGTCTTGCCTGTGCATCTAATGGAAATTGTATACATCCTTGCCTCACTGATTTAGGGCTTGATAATATGACATAATTTGACCAATGGGATGCAAGTACAATAAATTTAGCTCCATCCTGGCAGAAGCTTCAGTCATTACATAGTTTGGTTTGGGTGCTTTTGCTTTTCCCCTAAGTCATGAGAGAGCAGACTTGCATGTTAGAATAGGGAGACAGATGGAACAAAACCACAGTAAGTCTGCAGTCTTTTAAAAAGCAACATAACAACAAACCTTCACAATCACAGCAACCCACAGCTGACCCTTAGTATGAGTTAAATGGCAAAATATATTGCTAGTAACACTAGACTTATTTGCTATACAGAATTGCTACAGCAAAAGTATAGACAGTTATTGACAATATATATTTAGCTATTGATAAAATGTATCCTAATATTAACAATAGATATATGATTCAAGGGCATACCAAACACATCACCTATTGACAAACACCAGGTCTGGATACGTATCTATTTATATTTCAATGGGTAAACAATGGGGAAACAGGAGCTTACCATAAAAACAAAACAAAAACAAGGCATAGTAAGCATTTTAAAACCTCAAAAGAAGAAAATAACTCCTAAAAAGGAAAAATTTCTTGGCAATATCTGGAATCATCAATATAATGTAAAACATATATCTTATTAGGAAATAGAAGCAGAAAACCCTTAGGAAGGAATTGACCTAGATAAAAAGACAACAGGAAAAAATACACAGAGAGAAAGTGAAACAATGAAGAATTGCAAAGCAACTGAAACTCAAGAGCAGAAATACATTTCACATTATGTGTATTAAAATGCAGAGTTGACACTATGTACATTTGATCAGTGATGTGTGTGGAAAATGATAAATCTGAGTAGAAGAATAAAGTCAAGAAAAGGATGAGTTAACACCTACTGACTACAAATACAGAGCATAAAACTTAAATTCTAGAGATTCCCGAGAAAGAAGCCAGAGCAACTAAAATATATGGCTGTATTGAAGAAAATTATTCTGGGCTTGGAAAAATAAACTGAAGATATATATTTGTATCTGTATACACGCACATACACTTTAAAAATAAATCCTGACAACATCCAGAAAGAAAGAATACAGTTTATTAACTAGAAAATACACACTTCCACTAAAAGATATCTACACCCTTTCCCATAGTCATTTGGTCTGGTGTTGAAGTCAGATCCATGAAAATTGTTAACAGCATTTCCTAGGCTACAATCACTGGTCACTGGTTCAGATCAGTTCAATCAGAATTTTAAAAAGATTATTTGTTTGATTCTTTGGTAAAAACAACCCTTTCTCTTGTTCTCTCACTTGCTCTTTCTTTCTGTCCCCCATCACCCCTCTGCCTAAGTAAGTTTCTTCACCAGAGTGGTTGGCAGTCATATTATAAAAATAGATGAGTCGAAATCTCAAAATTCTCCTGGCATTGTGGAAGCCATAGTAGAAGAATGGAAAGACACAATGTTATTGAGGGCATTGCTAAATCAACTATGAAGTCAGACTTCCTATGGAATTTATAATCAATTGAACCAATATATTGCCTTATGGTATAAACTTCTATTCATTAATATTTATATTATTTTTAACAAACATTACCCGAAATAAGACCTGTTCTCCAACTGGCAACTATTCATTTTCGATTTTTGAACAAGCTACGAGACCAGTCTTTCCATTTGTTGGGTTACAAATAAAAATTGAGGCCCTTTGAGTAAGGAAGGTGTATTATAGATAATGTCAGTCCAACATAAAGATAATTTTAAATGATTTTGATAAATGTGGTGACAAACCAGAACACAAACAATTAGAAGTCATTCTTTGAAGTTCACTCACATATTGTAAAAAAATTTTTGAAAAAAATATCTGAAAAATCAATGCTGAAAAACCTATGACAAAATAAAGAAAATACAACTATATAGCAAAACAGATATTCATAAATATTCATAAAAATAAATATTGATATTTAAAACAGATGAATAATCAATAATGAAAACATCACCATCAATGGGTAAATGGATAAAGAAAATGTGATATATATGCACACATGGAATACTATTAAGCTATAAAAAGGATAAAATCCTGTCATTTGCAGCAACATGAATAAACTTGGGAGATACAATGTTAAGTGAAATAAGGCAGGCACACAAAGACAAATACCGCATGACCTCACTCATGTGGAATTGGTTGATATTATAGAAGGAGAAATTAGGATACTTGTTACCAGAGTTTTGGAGAGGAGGTAAAAGGAGAAATAAGAACAGGTTGGTCATTATGTTGGCCATCATGAGCATATGTAAATAAATAGGACATGGACTCTGCTAACCAAAATATTAATTCTCTTAAATAAAAGTATCATATGGTGGTAAATAATTGTAAAGAAAAGTAGATCATGAAAAATATATAAAAGTGGCATAAATTCACTTCTTTGAGAGTTCAGAAGAGGTAGATATTTCTGGCAAGACCTAAAGGAACAGGGAGGACATGATAGAAATTATAGTGTTTTATATGGTTCTTAAAAAGTAATCGTAGAGCATGAATTTTTGGACAAATATTGCAAAAACATGCATGCATTTAATTAGTCTGGGCCATTAATATTTATCTTTTTTTAATGTTAGTATTTTTCTACCTCTGTTCTTTCAAAGAGGAATATTCCTCATTGCTTTTATCCATATTTCTAAGAGTGCAGTGTCTAGTGCTGGTCATAAAGTAGCAGATCAATAAATATTTGTAATTTATCATCAGTGAGTCAGATTTACAAAAACAAATATTAAAAAGAAAGCCTAAATGTGCTTAACACCACATGGCCTTTGAAAAAAGCATTTTTATTCAGTTAAGTGGAGTACTGCGATGTGATGTCATCTTTTAACCTGTGGTAAAGATGATCAATTTAATAATAGCTTAGTAAATAGTGATATCTTTGAGGTATGCAGGATTTAACACAGTAAAATTGTGAAAAAGAAAATAGTAGACATTTTGTACAAAATTACCATTTTGTTTGTTCCTGATGTAGAATAAAAGAAAAATAACGGGCAATATTCCCAGCAGTTCTTTGTTTAATGGAGCATACGCGACATAGTCTTATTTTATTTACAACTGCTTTTTTTTTTCGGAAGTTGCTGCTAGAATATCAAGGAAACAGCAATTTAATAACAAGTCTATGTAAGTCACTGTAAAGTGTAGTCATGATTTCTCAACTATTGAAACAAAGTAGAACTCCCTGGGATTGAAATAACAACATGAAGTTTCAATCCCTCGGGAAAAATTACACCAGGCAGACTGATTGAGTGGAAACTATCCAATAAACTGTTCATGGACTTTACAATCAGTGAACTACATAAAAGAGATTCAATTTCCTGAATTGCATGTCAAGGACTGAATTTACATGACTTATCCACTTGAAATAAACATAACTAACCATGCTAGTATATGAATTCCTTGGGGAAAATGAGGTATCACTAAACAACTGCCTGACCTCCCAGCCAGAGTACTTTCTGTGACTGTAAATAAACATTACTACTTAGTGGGAAAAAAATATACTACCACTTACATAACTATTGTCTTTCAAAAAAGAAATGTAATTGTTCTATTGTTAGATGTACCAATTCATATCATAAAGATTCCTAGAAACAGAAATGACAGTATTCCAGCAATAGCAGATGATATGATTTGGATGTTTGTTTTCTCCAAATCTCATGTTTAAATGAGAAAATCAGAAATTGTCAACTTGAAAAAGCACAGTAATAACTAAAATTTAAAAATCAATAAGTGACTTAAGAGATATTAAATGCAGTCCAAAGATTAATTAGTAACTTGTGAAACTTTCACATCTGTGAAAATGTAGTAAACATATTTTTTCTAATTCTTCCCACTACATATAACTAAAAACCCTAGACATAGATTCATCTGTCTATCTATCTATCTATCTATCTATCTATCTATCTATCTATCTATCTATCATCTATCTATCTTGTACCATAGGCTAATACGTTGGGAGGTGTTTCAGTCATGGGGCAGATGCCTCATGAATGGATTGGTGCCTTCCTTGCACAGGTAATGAATGAGTCCTTTCTCTGAGTTTACATGACATCTGGTTGTTTAAAATAGTGTGGCACATCCCCCCTTGCTCTCTCTTGTTCAGTTTCATACCATGTGATTCGCCTGCCCCTGCTTCACCTTCCGCTATGATTGTAAGCTTCCTGAGGCACTAACCAGAAGCCAAACCACTGGGCCATGTTTGCACACCTTGAACCATGAGCCAAAACAAACACCTTTTCTTTATAAATTACCCAGCCTCCAGGATTCCATTATAACAATGCAAACATAATAACACCATAGAATAAGTAAATCAGATCAACTGTCTCTCAGAGGGTAACTAGAAAATCTTCAGAAGATGTATCCAAATATCAACCTAAAAACAATAGGTACTAATAAGTCCTAACAAATTACCAGATGTAGTAGATTAATTGAAAAATGGCCAAGATTCCTTATCTGTCTTTACCTTTATGCTTTACAGTGTGACTCTGGTTTCTCCCAACAGGAGGTGGAGTCTTTTCCCTTCCCCTTAAATCTGTGCTGACCTTGAGACTTGCTTTGGCCAAAGAAATTTGGCAGAAGTGAAAGTTTGCCAGTTTTGAGCTTAGATTTTAAAAGAGATTTCACGCTTCCAATCTTTCTCTTAGAACCTTGCTAGTGTATTTGAACAAGTCCATGCTAACCTGCTGAAGGATGAGGTGACACGTGGAACACAGCTGAGTCAGCCAAGCTAGGGTTATCCTAGAGCAGTCAGCTCCTCAGTCAGCCCTGTGCCTACCTACACATACATAGGCATGTCCAGCCAAAAACATCCACACATCGCCCAGATAAAAAAAAAATTCTAAGTAATCCATTCATTTGTGAGAAATAATATATAGGTATTGATATGGTTTGGCTGTGTCCTCACCCAAATCTTATCTTGAATACCCGTGTGTTGTGGGAGATACCTGTTGGGAGATAATTGAATCATGGGGGTGGTTTCTCCAATACTGTTCTCCTGGTTGTGAATAAGTCTCACAAGATCTGATGGTTTGATAAGGGGAAACCTTAGCAAAGGTAGAAAGACCTCCTACCACCACTCAGTTCAGAAACAACAAAAAATGTGGTGGGCTTGCTGGGTGCTTTGGGACTGCATCACTTACTGTCATTGTTTTGCTTGGCTCTTATTCTCTCTCTTGCTGCAGCCATGTAAGAAGTGCTTTTTGCCTTCTTCCATGATTGCAAGGCCTCCCTAGCCACATGGAACTGTGGGTCCATTGGACCCCTTTATTTTGTAAATTACTCAGTCTTGGGTATGTTTTTATCAGCAATGTGAAAATGGACTAATACTGGTATGGTTGTAATTACTAAGTGACTTGAAATGCCACTACATTACCTTACACACCAGAATGTCCTAGAGGCATTTTCCTTTTTTCATATAAAGGGTAAAAATGCGGACTGATGTTAGACTTTGATAAATTGAGAAGCATTTTGAAATTTCTAGGGGAATCTCTGTGATAGTAATAGAGTATCGCTGGGAATAGGCCCCCAAAATCTGGCCATAAACTGGCTCCAGAACTGGCCATAAACAAAATCCCTGCAGCACTGTGACATGTTTGTGATGGCCATGACACCCACACTGAAGGTTGTGGGTTTACTGGAATGAGGGCAAGGAACACCTGGCCCACCCAGGGCAGAAAACCGCTTAAAGGTGTTCCTAAGCCACAAACAATAGCATGAGTGATCTGTGCCTTAAGGACATGTTCCTGCTGCAGATAACTAGCCACAGCCCATCTCTTCACTTTGGCCCATCCCTTTATTTCCTGTAAGGAATACTTTTAGTTAATCCACAATCTATAGAAATAATGCTTATCACTGGCTTGTTGTCAATAAATATGTGGGTAAATCTCTGCTCCAGGCTCTCAGCTCTGAAGGCTGTGAGACCCCTGATTTCCCACTCCACACTCTATATTTCTGTGTGTCTTTAATTCCTCTAGCGCTGCTGGGTTAGGGTCTCCATGACCAAGCTGGTCTTGGTAAGTATAAATTTTAAGCTTATAGAGCATAAAATATAGAAAAATAAAAATAATTAATCAAAAATAAGATAAACAATGGGAGAAGAACAAACAGAGCCATCAAAAGAAAACTCAAAAAAGGTTGATTCATATCAAATATATTAATCAAACAATGAATGAAATGAATCAGAGTGCAATAATAAGTAAAAGATTATTCTACTCTTAAAAAGTCTTTGCTTTTTACCAGAAGCATGTCTAAAATATAAAGATGTAGAATGTTTAAAATTTTTAAAAAGAAAAAATAGTCTTATGAAAATATCTGTCTAAAGAAAGTTGATGTGCTTATATTAATACAGCCAAATCAGACTTTAATGAAGAGGAACATTTTTACATAGCCTCAAAATTTGGTATGGGCAGAGGTGATTTGAATATAGTTAACTAACTTGACTTTTCGAATATGTGTGTATGTGTATATCTATCTCTCTACCTAATCTATCTATTGTTTACATATTAGTACACCTTACTATTCCAGAATATATACTGTTAAGCAAACAGGAAATATACTCAACAATTGACCATAAAATATAAAAATAACAGAGCTATAATAGACAAAATTTGTCTCAAAATTTGTCTATCGTTTTATTGTAACACATCTGGCCCTCCCCAAAGAAGTTGATAAGAAGTCAGTACTTTAAGCCCCTGTTCCAGATGTCAATTTTTTGCATATTTTGTGCGTATTTTGTGCCAAAGCCATCAACTTTTAGTAATAGAATGCTATAATACCTGATATATAGGTTTTTCTAATGTTATTTACTTTTTTAAAAGTTACTTTCTATTTTCATTTATAAATACAGGCAGCCCTTTTGTATCTGTGGGTTCCACATATTTTGATTCAACCAACTGCAAACCAAAAACATTTGGATACAAATGGTACAGCTGTATATGTATTGAACACATAGAGAATTTTTTTCTTGTCATTATTCCCTCAATGATACAGTATAACAACTATTTACATAGCACTTATACTGTATTAGTATCATAAGTAATCTAGAGATAATTTAAAGTATATGAGAAGATATTTCTAAGTTATATGTAAGTATCATTTTATATAAGGGAATGGGAATCTGTGGATTTTGGTATCCATGGGGGGTCCTAGAACAAATTTCCTACAGATAAGGAAGAACAATTATATTTGCTTATTGTGTAAAATCTGGAAAATAGAGACAAAAAATTTTGTAAGCTCATGAAAATCCTTGATGATAATCCTCACTTATCCTGACCTTGCATTTGGGATTCAGATCTGATTCCAACAGGCGTCTCTAATTTCCAGTGGTTGTACGATTTTGAGAAAAGATACTTAACTTCCCCAAACCTCGATTTCCTCTGATATTAAGTGGTTAGAGTTATTCTATCAGTTAGGACTGCAAGTTATAAATAAACCTTTTCAATGTTATAGGAACATATTTTGAGATTAATTATAAGTATACAGACTCTGTACAGATATGAAAAAATAACAGGACCTAAAAAAGATGCAATGACTAAGATTAGAGGAAACCTGTAAATAGAGGAATAACTAGTCACCCACCCCAACTCCTATTTTTCTTAATATGTTCAGCCTCATTCTCTTGTATCTAGCTGTCTTACATCAAAAAACAAAAAACCTTGGAAAGCAGTCTGATTGACCCACGTTAGGGCCAATGCTCAGCCTGCACCAAATTCACTGCAAAGAAGGAAACAGGTTCACATTTTACGAAACATCTGCTTAATTACAGCTGCTTTTGGAGTGATGAGGCTAATGAAGGGTATCCATGTTAACAGAGCATCCATATCTTTGCAGGGCTGCTCTGAAAATTAAATATATTTAAATCTTCTGGAAATTGTTGATAGTTATTTTTATGATGCTTATTAAACACATTTAAATTCCATAACTAGTTCTACCTTGGCATACTTATCTCAAATCGTTTTACATATTGTAATTGTATATATGTATATCATATGTACACATATACTTAATGTATGCATATATCACTTAGATGAGATTATGCAATAAATAACAACATAGATTTAAACTGCATTTTCTCCGTTAATATTATACTCTAAACTTCTTTATGTGTTATTGAAGGTTTTTTGTAAGTAAAATTTTTGATTGGCTGTTGTCTTATTCTTAATATGCCAGTGTCATAATTATTTGATTTACCGAAACTAACCTTCACCTTCAGAGTGAATCAGAGACTTTGCTTGAACAGATTTTAAAGGATGGCAGTGATATTCTGAAATGATAATGTATGTGATTTATTCTATTTTCATATTGCTATCTGATATATGCTATCTAATAATGTTTCTGATGTCAGATAAAGCCACAAAAAAGAATGAACAGATAGGCATATAAGCATATCCTTCATCGAATGTTATGCTGACTTTCAAATTTTATAGTCCTAATTGTATATATGTATGTATGTTTGTATATATGTATGTATGTTTGTATATATGTATGTATGTATGTATATATGTATGTATGTATGTATATATGCATGCATGTATTTATTTGAGGCAAGGTCTTGCTTTGTTCCCCATGCTAGAGTGCAGTGGCATGGTTTGGCTCACTGCAATCTCTGCCTCCCAACGCTAGTTGTTAATAATATTTGGCAAGTATTCAGCCTTGTGACATTTGTGCTTTCCGATATTTCCTGTACTGTATGACTGTTATTTTTTGAGAAATTTTAATAAAAGAAAAATAACTTAAAACAAATTTTCGAGAACTTTTTATTTATTTATTTCCTGCTTCAGAATTAGAGATTTGGTGTGAAATTGGCTCTGGTAAATATATCTCACTTCTATCGTTTGAGATTAGGAGATGTTAAACCCTTGTTGCAATGGATTTGGTTGTTTATAAAACAGAGGCAATAAAACTATAGCATATGGACATAAACTTGCCAAATAGTACCTGAGCTCTTTTATATCTGTTCATTTTGATTCACATTTCTAGTACTTAATATGCAGGATCTATATAAAACATGAGTTCATGTCCTTTGCAGGGACATGGATGATGCTGGAAACCATCATTCTTAGCAAACTAACACAAGGACAGAAAACCAAACACCACATGTTCTCACTCATAAGTGGGAATTGAACAATGAGAACACATGGACACAGGGAGGGGAACATCACACACTGGGGCCTGTGGGTGGGTGGGGGGGCTAGTGGAGGGATAGCATTAGGAGAAATATCTAATGTACATGAGGGGTTGATGGGTGCCCCAAACCACCATGGCACGTGTATACCTATGTAACAAACCTGCACTTTCTGCACATATATCCCAGAACTTCAAGTATATTAAAAAAAAATGTTCTTCTGATGCTGGCCGCAAATCCAAATGTTGCTCAACTAACTCTTTAGAATATAAGATGCTCATGCACAGATGTTCTAAGCTGAAAGTATTTAATATTCAAACAAAGAAAAATAAGGGATCTCTAAGTTTAACCTCTTCAAATTAGGAATGAAGTGTTAGTAATAAGCTAAACATACTCAACCTACATTCTTTTTCCTTTTTTATTGTATAATGAATATATCAAGAAAGTAATGTGAAACTAAGATAGGACTCTAGATTGCTTAAAAGGGGAAGTGTTATTTTTTCTTTTATGATGAAATGAAACTTGCTCAAATTATGAGAAAGAATTATCACATCATCTATTTCCTTGATATTCATAAACATCATGAGAAAATGCAACCCTTATAGATTATTGTCTTCATTTACTTTCCCCAAAGACTTCATGAATATCCATTATGCAAGGAGGTTTTGAGTATTTGCCAAAGTATGTGTATTTTCTGTTGTTGCCTAGGTGCTAAGATTAATTTGATTGTAAGCTTCTTGATGGCGAAAGCTTTGTCTGATGTATATCTGTGTGTATTCTTACAACTTTCATGGCATTTTGCAGGTAATATTTACTCAGTGAAGAGTTGTACATTAATTTACATGATTATCTAAGATTTAGAAGGCATTGGCTTTTTCTAAAGGTTTTTAGAACAGTGAAAAGTTATCATGTCAAACATCATATTCTATTTTATAAACATATAATATTTCATATAAGAACAATGTATAATAATGAACATAATACAATAAAACAATGTTAAGCATAACTGGTCTAAAATTAAGCATGCATTATATAAGGTTAAATAAAATAGAATAGTATGAAAACTTGCTACAGGCAACGCATGATTAATAGCAATAGATAACATAAACGGGAGGTTCTCACCATTACTGCCAAGGCATATTGGATAGGTGTATGAGAAAAGGGTGGAACTAAAATACCCTGAAATCATGCCTAGTCTACAGACTGATTTGTGTTACAGCTGGTAGCAATGTGGTATTACTGATGGACATGCATTTTACATAAGCATGCTATATCACGGTAGAGGGACAGTGTAACTCATAGTGGATATTGGATTATGAAAGATGAGTTAGTCTGATGTCAAAGAAGAAAATGGTACTTCTGCTAGATTTTATAATCTTGCAAGACTAGACAGATAGGACAAAAGGAATTAACTTTGATATTATTGTCCAGTAAATACATAGAAGCTGGATGATTAAAATTCCCATAGACCTCTTCAAACTTAGAGAACTCATGCAAGTAAAGTGAGGTAAATTTTAGAAAATTCTTTGAGACTAAAGTATTGAAGGCTGGGGATTTCAAACTAAGCAGTTTAGTTGTTTTCTTCAAAACAAAGAATCGGTCAAGATGTATTTTCCTAAATTGCAAATTACAGAATGGTAGGTATAACTATAGTTAACAATAAAAATATGTACAGTAAAAATCTATAATTAATAGTTAATGATATTGAGATTTTTACATTCTTAAATTTATGACAATCTCTTCTCTGTTTATTTCTGAATAACTTTAATCAAAAACACTGAAGCTATATCTAGAAAGTTTAGGAACTGTTGAAATACATGGTATACCAGTTGATTATTTTACCTACAATTGACATTTCTAAAATATTTGGCCCATATCTGAGCTTTTGTATGTATTGAAATGCAAATGTGCAATGTTTTGTTTTTAAGAACAAGCAAAATCGACAGCCACTTCAAATGAAAATGAAGAGGTAGAAAGACTGCTAAAGATTTTTAAATAGGCCCAGATTGAAAATCAAGTTTTGAATTTACAAAACATTTTTTAAAATCTTCAGGTTAGTAAGCAGGAAAGAAATATAAATTTTACAAAGCAGACAAAGATCAGTAATGTAACCCAGTAGTGAAACATAGGCTATGTAACTCTAGAACCAAAACTAATTTTCCTAGAGGAAAACATGTATATTAATTTGGAGTTGGGAAATCCCTTACTGATTAAATGACTTAAGTAATAATAATAATTCTTTACTGATTAAATGACTTTAATAATATATTTTAGTATTTTATCTATTCTGTCATTATCCATGCTGTTCCCTTACCTGAAATTTTCTTTTACCTTCCTGTTCTATCTATCAAACACTGGTTTCTATTTCAGACACTTTGAAAAAGCTGCATCTGTGAAAGCATTTTTGATACAACCATAAGACTCAATATGCATTTTATTGTAATACCATTTCCCCACATTTCTATGATAGGATTTATGCCCTTCTACCTAATATTAATATTCCCAAAGTAATGATTATAGACCTTTTGTGGGTTTTAACACTCAATAAGTGTTAAGTAAATTGAATTGGATTGATCAGCATCACTCATCCAGTTAGGCAGTCTGAGAATCTGGGCTGTAGACTCCCAAACATGAAAGCATTCCATAATTCTCCTAACAAAAGCTGAACTACAGCAAAGCTTTGATGGTGTCCCCATATGTAGAACTAAATTGTATCTTTAAGTAGGTCCTAAAAAGTTCTTCAACTGCCTTGCATCACTTTCTGCCTTAAACTAACCTGAAAGTCTAACCTGAAAAAGCTCAAGTAAATATTATTACAGCACAGAAGTCCTACAGAAAAAAAGTTGGAAAAAATTGTTCACATATATATGGAGGTTACATGGGACACACATATATAATTGGGGCATAAATAGATGATTCTTAGCTCAAGTGAGCCCAGCCAAAGAGGTCCTAAAAAGCCCCTGAATCCCTGAAACCAAAAGGAATCTTCTTCAAGTAACTAATATCTAACAAATTTTCTGCATTTTATTTTCGGTGAAAGATCAGAAAAACATACGTGGACCTCATAGGAAAGCTTTTTAGTTAAATATGTAAGATATACACACACACACACATATGTGTGTGCATAGGTACATTCATATATGCATGAAATTTTCTATAAGGCAAAATTTATTAAAATATTTTCCTTTAGTATTTTTCTTTTCCCCCTTGTGTGAGACAACTTAATTTCCTAAAATTTCTAGTTTCATCTTTTTGTATGTACAGAGATACTTTTGTGTTTTCTCCTTTCTTTCCCCTTAGATACCTGTGGGAAGCAAAGAATTACTGATTAAAAAATCATTCAAAATAGTATGATTATTATTCTTTAAAAGCTAATTTCAATAGATTATTCATTTTAAAAATATTTTAATGTTTTTGTTCTTTAAAGATGATACATGGTTGGCTTGAAAGAACCTAACTGTGTAAGATCGCTTTGCCAGTAGTATTGATGTGACATATGTTGGCTTCTATCTACAGGTGCTTCTTTTTATAGCTCATCCTGAGAAAGCCTGTCTTCTCTTTATCAGTGCCTGTACTTGCTATATTGTCCCAGTGTGAAGTTTGGATCAGTAGTTAAGACAGTCCAATGTCCCTATGGCTTATCATCAGATTCTGCAACCTTGGTGGCTAGGAACTAGTTTATGACTGTGCCCAAAGGCTCTGGAGATTTGAAGAGGAAGGGGGAGAGTATAAAAAAGTGATGCCTCTCTGTGTTGGTTTCTATAGTAACCGTGGAATTGTTCTTGATAAGTTATGACTTGGCTCTCAAGCTAATTCTAGAACTTGTATTTTTTTAACTTGAGATAAGTGAAGCAAGCTTCATTACGTGGAACTGCATGCACCTGATCACTTCATTCTTAACAGAGAACTCTGTACATTATTTGACAAGACCTGTATTGAACTGGTGATTCATCTGTGGATGACAAAGTAAAATTCATTTGACAAACATTATTCTATGTTCCAGTGTTTTGCCTCAGAATGAATAAATGTTAAAATTGGGGTATATTATTAATAATCACACAGAGACCTGGCATTAATTAAAAGGAAATCTCAGAGGTAGGCAAGCCTGTTTTACTACTAAATGGCATTTTTCTTAGAAAAGGATAATTCTGAAATTCTACACATATGTGGCTCTTCTTTGAAACTATCTTAATGTCACTTTAACATAATTATAATTACATTAAGGGCAAGTATCTATTTGCTTAACTTCTGCTTCTGTACTCAGTGCAGTTGGAAAAGGTGATGTTGTGTCTACATAATGTACATAGCTTAGAATTTTGGATCTGCAACTTGGATGGTCAAAGCTGTCTGTTCAAGAACTATTTCACATAGGAAAGAAGACAAAAATATATGGGCAAAACAGCAAGAGAAATATCTAATATTGCTTCTAGAAGGTGATGAACAGGGGCAGTGCAGGCAAAAGTGTAGAGATTTATAGTGTCCTGCTGTGCAAGATGGGAGAACTAGGACTGAGGAGTAAAGACTAAGACAGTTGATGTTATAAAATCTTTGCAAAAAACTATAATTTTGTGCTGAGAACTAGCTGGAGTTTTGCTTGACTCCTATATCATGGCAAAGCACAGGGCTGGTAGGGGTATGTGTGAGAAATAGCATCTCCTAAGATTTTGGCTGACTTATGTTCAGTCAAGATACCTAAAGGGCTCTAAGATGGACGTGGATTCATGTGGTACTGAAAGTCAGGTTCAGGAAAAAGCAAATGGCACTACATCTATGTGAAATAAATGTTACTGCATCTTCTGAGAAATGTGACAGGCAGAGTACTTTTGTATCTAATTTATGCATTACCTTTATTTACCACCATTGTCTTCTCAAGATAGTAGCATAATCTATGTTAATGAAATGGCTTGTTGTAATAAATAAGGCATCTCCTTTAAGTAGTGTAAAGTAAGACTCCAATAGATAGTGATGCCCCTTGTTTTAGGAAAAAACAAAACCCAAATCAAAGAATCATCTATCATGCCAAGAATAGCTGAATTAGTCATAATAGTACAGGATTATGCTAAGACAGCAAACAGCCCCAAAATCTCAGTGGCTTATTCTCTCTGCAAAATTTTCTTGTGCATATAAGGTCCCTCCTAGGTCTCCTGACTCTTCACAGTAATTATCCTGTGGTGACTTAGAAATCTGTTTATTATTATTATTATCTTGTTGTTTCTCGAACTCTCCAATGAACCTGAACTCACTGGCAGAGAGTGGAATGGAATACTTATATCTCCTGTAATGCTTTTGTCCAGAAGTGGTACTGCTTATAACCCGCTCAACAGGACTAATCATATTGCTCTCTTATTTCAAGGAGGCAGAGAAATAAAAGGTAGCACATGGAATATTTAGTGAGCATCAATATATTTGAAAAAATACCTAAGAAAATTTTAAGGAATTATGTAAGGTTACTTGTTTTACCAGGTATTGAGACTTACCCAGCTATAACACTATTACAAATCAACAACAATGGGATATAACTGAGAACCTGAAAATAGACCCAATGATATAAAGAAAATTAATATGGGAAAGAAAAGGTATTAAAGTCCAATATGGCAATAGTGTCTCTGCAGTGCAATGGAGAATGGTGTTGGATAAATGGAACATTTTTACTAGAAAAGAAAATAACTATGGTGCCTGCCTCACACAACACAACAAAGTCAATTTCAGGTACATTCAGGATCTGCATGTATGGGTAATACAATACGTCTCAAAAAAAATAGGAGACTCTCCTCAAGAAATTGGAATAGGCCAAGGTTTCCCAAAAAGAACATGAACATTTTCAAATGTTTCAAAACTTTAACCATATTAAAGTTAACAATTTCTGCTGTTTTAAGAGATGTAATTCAGAGAGTGAAATAGTAAACAACAGTGTAAGAAAATCTGTTGGAATAAATATACCTGCAAAAGACTCATGTCCCTTACATATTTCTACAAAAGAGAAAAGAGAGAAAATCCGAAAAGGAAACAGAAAAGACTTTAATAGGTACTTCATGAAAGAAGATAACCCAATGCCCAGTAAACATATTTAAAAGTGCTCAACTTAATTAATTATTAAAGATGTGTAAATTAAAATCACAATATGACACCACTACACACCCAGCAGAATGGCTAAAATGAAAAAGACATACCACTTGGTCTGGATGCAGATGCAGATCAATGGGAACACTCATGCCATGTTGGTGAAAGTATAGATTGATAAAGTTCATTTTAGAGAATACTTTGCTAATATCATCTAAAACTGAACACATTCAGAACTGCTCAGCTAGAATTCTACTCCATAATATAAACCTTATAGATACATATGTATTCATATGTTCATGAAAATACATGTACAATTATGTTCATAGCAGCACTACTAAAAAAAGTCCCAAGTTAGAAATAAACCAAATTGTACCATATGTATCACAGATTGGTATCAGCAAATTTTTCCTATAGGAAACCAGATAGTACATAATTTAGGCATTGCAGGCCATAAGGTCTCTGTCACAACTGCTCATCTCTGCCATTGTGGTGTGAAAGCAGCGATAGAAAGTATGTAAATAAATCAGCATAGCTGTGTTTCAATAAAACTTTATTGACAAAAACAGGTGGTTGAAGTATGAGATTTGACCTATAAGTCATAGTTTCCCTATTGGTGGCATACAGGTAGAATAAAACTACATGCACAAACATGGATGAATAATATATTTTTGAGTGAAAGAAACCAGACATGTAAGTGTGTATGTTGTAGAATTCCACTTAATAACAGGCAAACTGTGGTGATACAAGTCGGAAGAATAGTTACCCGTGTTTGGTGTATGTATGTTTGGGGGTTTGGGGGTAGCTGGGGCCCTGTAGTAACTGAAGGAAGGTTTAAACTCAGAAGATGGGAGGGGTGTCTGGGCAGCTAATACTCTCTTTGAACTTACTTTGGGTTAGATGTACATGCTTACTTTGTGAAAATTCATCAAGCTATTAAGTATGTGTGTAATACTATTATTATTAAGTGCATACATAAGCTATTAAGTATGTATGATTAATACATACATAATAAATAGCTTGATGTAGCTGTAAATATATTATACTTTACTAAAATATCATTTTATAGATTCTATGGGGAAAAGATTGTCTCATCTGTGAACTTAAATCTATTAGACTATTCTAGAGCAATGACGGGTAATTAAATTGCACTTAAGGGGAGACCATCAAATCAATTTCTGTCAAAAATTTTAAAATAATATTCAAACACATGAGAATATACAAAGACAGAAACATGATATTTTCTCAATAATATATTTGAATACACAATAGTATAGTATTGAAAAATACATAAAGATCTGAGTTCTATTTTAGATTTTTAGTATAACTAACGAGAATTTGGGGTTCTGGATTTATTAGCATTAAAATAAGGGAAATACAATTTTTCTTATTTAAAAAATATGTAAAGCGAAAAGTTAAAAAATGGAAAAATTTGAACATTAATAGCTTTATGGAATCACAAGAATTCTCTTCTAGCCTAAATACATATTAAATATATATTGCTAAAAGAATATATGGCAAATATAAAGCATTTTTTATAAATTCAAAATATACTAAATGAAATGCATTCTAAATATCTCAAATAGTGAATTGGCTAAGTAAATAACACTATTCTATTGAAATAAATATAATGAAAGTCTAAATTAATGTTTAGAAATGATAAAATAACATGTAAATATTTAAGAAGTTTCGAAGAAAGCAAATTACATTTATAATTTTAACAACATATTATGGTCATAGAATTATATAAAAAACAGTATAAACTACATCTAGAAACCCTCTAAGAAAATAGTCCAAAGGTATATAGTAGTTTTTTCTGATAAGATCATTTATTTTTTCTTCTACTTTGGAATTTTTCCAGTCATCTATAATGATGATGCATTATCTTTACAATATAAAAATGGACAATTAATATATATCTTCTCATTTCCTTCACTTTATTCTTTCATCTGTTTAGAATTTAATTTTTTTAATCACAGCTACATTATGTAAGAGTCCAGCCTGGTAAATGTTTATTAAATACCTCTGTGTTAGTGCAAAAAGAAATGCAAAGGTGCCTAATACAATTATTCACCATCAGAGAATACTTGACTTAATAGTCCAAATTTGTTAAAAATTAAGTGGAGGGTTTGAAGAAAATGTCAGAAAAGTTACTTTAATTATTGCTGAAATTTAATTCCAAATATAAATGGTTTTCCTTTCATAGAAGTCTCAAATTGTAATTTAATTAATTTTAAAATAATTTTAAGAAAAAATCTTTTGAATCTAGTTTTCTGTGAGATTATGTAAACTTCTACATATATTATCAGTGATAGTTAACATTAGGTGGCACTGTTTTCCTTTTGGAAAACAAAAAACAAAACAAAAATCAAAAAAATTACATTTGTGTTCTGCTAGTCCATAATAGAATCTAAAGTATGTTCAAGGAGGGAGTTTAATTAAAATGTAGCAGATGTTTTAGAAATGTATTGCCCACCAAAAATTTTATATACTAGGTGCTCTATTAGCAATAATGCAATATGTTATATGTTATAAAAAGAGGAATATATGTTACAAAAATGGGAACATGTTTTATAGATTATGGATTAAGCTTTCAATGAGTATACTTTAAATTATGTTAAAATATGCTTTCTCTGGTTTCATATACAGTTTGCAAAACTTTACCTTGCCATCTGGAGTCTTGTTGTAGTAGGGGGTAGGGGTGGAATTTACTTTTCAATAAAGATATGAAATTTAATTACATTACAATGGCATTATATTCACAGCTACTTCAGTCATTATTGTGTTTGCCTCAGCGTCTAAAATCAAAATTTTTTGTCCTCTTGCTAATCCTTGCTCTTTGAAAGCCTTCATTGTGCCTTTTCAAACTTAATTTACAGATTACACATGCAACCTAAATAATAAACATTTTGATATACACAAATCTTTTTAAACATCTTAGATGTATGTCAGCAGCAAGAGACGAGAAAATACACACACAATATCATCATTAACCAGTTAACCACACATTTTTTTAATTTACTTTTTATTTTTGACATTTATCATTTGCCTGGTGTATTTATTTATTCATTTATTTATTTATTTTTATATCCATAAGTTATTGGGGAACAGGGGATGGTTGGTTACGTGAGTAAGTTCTTTAGTGGTGATTTGTGAGATTTTGGTGCACCCATCACCCGAGCAGTATACACCGCACCCTATTTGTAGTTTTGTTTTGTTTTGAGACGGAGTCTCCCTCTTTCGCCCAGGCCGGACTGCAGTGGCGCTATCTCGGCTCACTGCAAGCTCCGCCTCCCGGGTTCACGCCATTCTCCTGCCTCAGCCTTCCGAGTAGCTGGGACTATAGGCGCCCGCCACCATGCCCGGCTAATTTTTTGTATTTTTGTATTTTTAGGAGGGACTGGGTTTCACCGATTAGCCAGGATGGTCTCGATCTCCTGACCTCGTGATCCGCCCGCCTCGGCCTCCCAAAGTGCTGGGATTACAAGCGTGAGCCACCGCGCCCGGCCCCCTATTTGTAGTTTTTTATCCTTCACCTTCTTCCCTCCGTTTTCTCCTGATTCCCCAAAGTCCATTGTGTCATTCTTATGCCTTTGCATCCTCATAGCTTAGCTCCCACTTATGAGTGAGAACATACGATGTTTTAACCACACATTTAAAGACAAAACTTCTTTACATTATACCTTACTTCTTACATGTAAGTTTTTGATACATTCTGAGTTAGTTTTTGTACATGGCTTGAGATAGAGGTCCAAATTTCTTCTTTTAATATGATTATCCAATTGACTTAGAAAATAGTTGAAAACACCATTATTTTCCTATTTAACTATCTTCGAACCCTTCTTGAAAAGTAATTGACCAAAAACATGACTTTAATTTTGGACACTCAATCTTATTTTATTTATCTATGTGTTTATTCTTATACCAATACCATAACGTCTTGATTACTGTAAGTTTGTAGTAAGTTTTGAAATCAGGGAATGTTTTTGTTCTTTTCAAAGATTGTTTTGGCTATTCTGGGTCCCTTAAATTTTAGCATGAATTTTAGTATTCCCTTGTAATTTCTGCAAGGAAATCAGTTCCAGTGTTGAGGAAGAGTACATTAAATCTGTATATCAATTTACAGAATATTATCATCATAATGTTAATTTTTTTGATCCACAAATATGGGGTACCTTTCCATTTATTGAGGTTTTCTTTAATTTTTTCCACAGTGCTGTATTGTTTTTAGGGTATATGTTTTGCATGCCTTTTGTTAAATTATTCCTATTTAATTTTTGATGTTATTGTAAATAAAATTGTTTTCTTAATTTAATTTTCAGTTTGAAAAAAGCTACAGTATGAAAACTCAATTGATTTTCATATATTAAGCATGCATCCTGAAACCTTGCAGAGATCATTTATTAGCTCTAATAATTTTTTGTAGATTCTTTATGATTACCTATATACAAAATTATATCATCTGCAAATATAATTTTCTTTCTTCTTTTCAAATTGAGATGCATTTTCTTTTATTTTCTTGATTATTCACCCTGATTAGAACCTCCAGAACAATATTGAATAGAAGTGGTAAGAGAAGACATCCTTGTCTTATGCTTGATTTTAAGGGGAATATGTTCTCCACTAAATATGATGTTAGATATGGGGTTTTTGAAGATGTTCCTTATCATATTGAGAAGATTTCCTTCTATTCTCAGCTTGTGGAGTATTTTTTTTTAGTCATGAAGGGGTGTTATAATTTCTCAAGTGCTTTTTTTCTGTGTTTGTTGAGGTGATAATGTGACTTTTGTCATTTACTGATATGGCATATTGCATTAATTGATATTAAATGCCATTTTAAATAAAAAGTTTGGAGGGCAGTAAAATATTTATTTTATCCAGATCTGTATCAAAAGTTGAAAAAAAATTTCATGAGTGGGTACCTATCTCAAGAAAATCAGAAGAAATTGTGAAAATGAGACACATCTGTTTAATTCTAAAGTCAATGATGCTAATCCTTTGATGAAGAGCTAGTGGAGAGTTCACAATGAAGACTTCATTTCAGACTACATTGATTTCCTTTAGCACATGATTGGAATTCATAGGCAGGATTAAACAGTATGAATGATTTATCTGCATTTTAGCAAGACACTTACCATAGTACTACACTATACTTTTAAAGGAGAAATGATATGTGAGGGGCCTTGACCTTCCTATGGATTATTAGTAATATGACTATAGATGATCAAGTTAAGACAAAATCATTAGGATGGGTCCTAATTCAATATGACTGATGTCTTTATAAGAAGGGGAAATTTGGACACAGAGATAGATGTGCATAGAAGAAGATGTGAAGACACAGAAAGAATGCCATCTGTAAACCAAGAAACATCTGAGGCTACCAGAAGAGACAGTAATGGAACAGATTCTCCTTCATGATCCTCAGAAAAAACAAATCTTGTTGACTCCTTGATTTTGGACCTCTAGCCTCTAAAACTGTGACAATAAAAATTTCTATTGTTTAAGCCACCTAGTTTTCTGTACTTTTCTACAGAAGCACTAGAAAAGTAAGATAGTCCTGTCTTAGTCTGTTTCGTGCTACTATAAAGGAATACCTGAGACTCGGTAATGAATAAACAAAAAAGGCTTATTTGAAGCTTGCAGTTCTGCAGGCTGTTTGAGAAGCATGTTACTGGCATCTGTTTGGCTTCTGGTAAGGGCCATAGACTGATTCCACTAATGGCAAAAAGCAAAGGGAAGCTAGTGTGTGCAAAGATCACATGGCAAGAGAGGAAGCAAAGGGGTAGGGGAAGGTACCAGGCTCATTTTAACATCCAATTTTTTCAGGAATGAATAAAGGGAGAGCTCACTCAGCTTTCCTTACCCCTGCCAGAGGTGGCATCATTCTATTCATGAGGTATTCAGCCCCATGACCTAGCTCCTTCCATTAGGTCCTGCCTCCAATATTGGGAATCGAATTTCAACATAAGGTTTGCAGGAATCAAACATTCAAACTACATCAAGTAGGGATTTTCTGGTTGACCCTGAGAAGACTGGAACCATGTATTCAATTAACTGTTCCATGGATTAGATGGTGTCAGATGTCAGATGTCAGTGCGAACCCTTTGCTCTTACCACATCAGTGCACATTGCCTGATATTGAACTCATCGCACTTTCTCTGGACATCAGAGCCTATTTTGCCAAAATATCGGGGTAGGGGAAAATGAACTTTGTGAGCACCCTTTTACTGAGTGACAGGAGGCTATAAATAAATATTCTAGCTTATTTCACATTCAAGAGAGATAACTGAATTGTATGTTCTAATAAAGCTTCCAGAGCACTCCAGCAGGATCAAGCTCCAGTTACCTACAGTGGTAACCAGCCCAATAATGCACATTATTATCTGTCTTTCCCTCTTTACCTTTTCCTTACTGGTATGCTATCAAATCTCTGTTTAGGCTTTGCTTCTGTGGGAACCAAAGCTAAATTAATCTATGTTTTCTACATATATTGACTGTACTCTGTCAGAAACTTACATGTCCTGAGAATTCCATGGTAAATAAAACAGACCTCATGAGGCTGGCAGGAATAACATTAAAATGAGTATAAAAAAATAGTAATGTAATTATACTTGTGTTATGTGTTCTCTCTCTCTGTCTCTCTCTCTTTGCTGTGTGTGTGTGTGTATTTTTCCATGTCAATACTTTGTTTAGATGCATATGACCATAGATGCAGTGTGCCTCATCCAGATATTTGGCCCAACTCCTCTGGCTTTCATCCTAACACTTTAGCAATCTCAGAAGAGAAAGCTACTCATCTTCAATATCTGTGATAAAGCTTTACCAACTACATGGGCAGACAGTTGGAAGACACTGATTAACTTGGTTTAAATCACATGTGATGAAAGAGTAATAGAGGCAAGATCAGCCATCACTTATTTCACTTTTTTAGATAATGAAGAAGTTAACTGTGGCAGAGCTAGATCTAAGGCATGAACTCCTTTGTATATTCTTCCCACCAGATAACACTGCATTCCACTTGTGTTAATTATCCTGTCATGGTTCTAGGTCCTACTCTACTCTGTAAAAGCCTAAGGTTATCACAATAATCAACATAAATTAACATGCTCCTGCTATTGTTAGCTGTCCCAATGTGTGTTGTCATACATATATTATGTAAACTGAGAAAATAACTCTTGTCACTACTGTATATATGATAGGTGAAATAATCAAAATATGAAGCTTAAGAAAAAAATGTTTATTTTAGATAAAAATACCTTGTTTTAACATTGATAGAAATGTTATGTTCTCATTTGTTATTTCATTGGACTTGTATTTTGAATCATATATTATTGATTCTTTGGGTCAAACATGACTATACTAATCATGTACTTTTCTCTCAAGATCCAATTGCTTATATTGTGAATCAATTACTCTAGAGAGCTCATTGATTCTACATAAACAGTTCATAACTAATGAATTTCTGATTGATTTTGAATTTTCTTTTAGTATTTTTATATAGGAAATTATCACTTAATAAACTACCACAAGACAAACAGAAAGAACACTTTGGTTCCAATACTTTCCAGGTGAGAGGACGGTAAAATCACCTTAATCTTATTTATTTATTACTTTTACTGAAGTATTCTTTAGACTTAACTTCCAACTCTCTTTAGAATATTTAGTTGTCCCACAAGTACCCAGAATATCAGGTATTGACTTCACATTTTCCTAAGATGTCATTAGTGTGCAATTATTGTTTTTGATTTTTTTTTGGATTTTTTTTGCCTATAATTTATACAATTGTAAATATATTTTTATTTTATGAAGTCTGAAATCTAGAATCAATTTTAATTTTGTCCACCCTGTCACTCTATGTTGCTTAGATCAATGAGCCCCATAACTCTGTCAGATGACATACCTTATAATTCTATTTTTCTCTTGCATCTTTCCTGGTACAGTATATATAGTCTATTTATTACAAATTTGATACATTATATAAATATACATTACATATATTTGATATACAACAGTCTTCAAAGAGTTCATGAAAAATGCATAATATACAAAACCTATTCATGGATTTCTATTTTTTTGCACCAAAATAAACTTGTAGTAATTTGTTATAACACATTCAAACAAGATCTAGTTTGAGGCACTAGGAAGGATAAGACATCATTTCAAAATAAACTCCTATCAGAGCAACATAAATTCTGCTAAAATTTAAACAAGAAAAACATCAAATTTATGGTGAAGCTGGTGTGCAAAAATGGTGGAATCACTGATGCTTTATGGAAAGTTTATGGGGGCAATGCTCCAAATAAATCAGCATCTTACAAATGATGATTTTTAAATACTCATCTTAAGAAAAGATAAGACAACATCGAAGATGAAGCCTGCAGTGGTAAACTATGTACATCAATTTCTGAGAAAAAGTTAATTTTGTTCATGTCCTAATTGAAGAGGATCTAAAATTAACAGTACAAACAATAACCAACACTATAGACATCTTTATTTGTTCATTGTACACAATTCTTACTAAAAATTGAAGGTGAATTAATTTTCCACTTGATGGGTGCCAAAACTACTGCACCAAGATCAGCTGCAGACATGAGCAGAGCTATCAATGAAAATTTTAAACAATTGACATTAATATTCTGATGCATTTTTTCAAAGAATTATAAAGTAGATGGAACATGAGTTTTCCAGTATAATCCTGATGACAAAACACAATCAAAGCAATGGCTATCAAGAGGTAGAAGTGATCTGGTCAAAGAAAAAGCAAACTGGTCAAGAGTAAAGTCATGGCAACAGGTTTTTGATATACACAAGGCATTTTGCTTGCTGACTTTCTGGAGGGACAAATAATGATAACATCTGCTTATTATGAAAGTGTTTTGAGAAAGTTAGCCAAAGTTTCAGCATGAAAACACACAAGAAAGCTTCATCAGAGACTCCTTTTTCACCCTGATGTGCCCACAGTTGGTTCCTTCCGCTGAGTTCGTGGTCTTGCTGACTTCAATAATGAAGCCGCAGACCTTCACGGTGAGTGTTACAGCTCTTAAAGATGGCGTGGACCCAAAGAATGAGCAGTAGCAAGGTTTATTTTGAAGAGCAAAAGACCAAAGCTTCCACAGCGTGGAAGGGGACTGGAGAGGGTTGCTTCTGCTGGCTGGGGTGGCCAGCTTTTATTCCCTTGTTTGTTACCTCCCATGTTCCGTTTCTGTCCTATCAGAAATGCCCTTTTTTCAATCCTCCCTGTGATTGGCTACTTTTAGGATCCTGCTGATTGGCACGTTTTACAGAGCGCTGATTGGTGCATTTTACAGAGCCCTGATTGGTGCATTTTACAGAGCACTGATTGGTGCATTTTACAATCCTCTTGCTAGCTATAGAGTGCTGATAGGTGTGTTTTTGCAAAGCACTGATTGGTGCAATTTACAATCCTCTTGCTAGCTACAGAGCGCTGATTGGTGCAATTTACAATCCTAGCTACAGAGTGCTGATTGGTGCATTTTTACAATCCTCTTGTAAGACAGAAAAGTTCTCCAAGTCCCCACTCAACCCAGGAAGTCCAGCAGGCTTCACCTCTCAATGACAATGCTTCTGCTCATTCCTCTCATTAAACAAAGGCAATTTTGCAATAATTTAGATGGAAATTATTAAGCATCCACCATCTAGTTCTTATTTGGCAACTTCTGATCTGTATTTTTTTATAATCTTTAAAAAAATCACCCATTTTTCTTTAGTTAATAACATAAAGAATACTGCATTGATATGGTTAAGTTCCTAGAACCTCAGTTTTTTAGCAATGGACTCAAAACTGGTATCATTGCTTCCACAAGTGTCTTGATTTGATGGAGTGTATGTTGAGAAATAAAACATATATTTTTTCTTTTTATCCTTTAATTTCATGTTTTAATAAACTTTTTGAAGGCCCTTCATACTGATGACAAAAATATATTTATACACCAAATTTCTACATAATTACCTTCTAAATTCAATTACTGATACTCATAAAAATGCTAAAGCAAATTTTTAAATTTTATTTTGAAATTATTTTAGATTTATAAAAAGTGACAAAAATAATGCGGTTTAAATATGCCCTTTACTCACCTTTCTCTAATGTTAATATATTGCATAAACATAGTGTGATTACTAAAACTAACAAATTAACATGAGTACAATTCTATTAACCAGCCTATAGACTTCATTTGGATTTTTACCAGTTTTTCCATTAGTATCCTTTTTCTGTTATAGAATTTAATCCAAGATTTTACATTGCATTTAGTTGTCATGTATCCTTAGTCTCTTCCAATCTGTGGCAATTCCTCAGTATCTATCTTTTATGACTTTGACACGTTTGATGTGTAATTGTTGGTTATTTTGTAGAATGTTCCCTTATTTGAGTTTGCTGGATGTTTTCTCATGTAGATAGAGGTTTTTTACTTTTGACAAGCATATTACACAAGTGTTGTTCCCTCCTCAGTGTAATGTATTTAAGTTTATGTTGTTAATATGTCTTATTACTGGTGATGCTAACCACAATCACTGGTTAAGGTGGTCTCAGTCAGTTTTCTTCACTAAAAAGTCATTATTTTCTCCTTTGTAATTAATTAATACATATCTTGGGGGAGATAGTTTGTGCTCTGCAAGTATCCTATTTTTCCTCAATATTTTAATCACTAAAGTTTGCATTTAAGTAGCAGTGGATCTTGACTGCAGCAGTTATTACGAAGATATTTTAGAGTAGTTTTCAAAAAATCTTTTTTTTCCATTCTACATTTAATAATTTAAATTCTTTGTTTAGGATAAACTGTCCCTTCTCCCTCATTTGTTTATTTTATTATTTATTTATTTAGTAGTAAGAACTCATGATTATTTATTTTATTCTGCAGGTTATAAATCATCATTATTCAATTTGGTTATTGTTCCTTTTGTCAAATTATTTCAGCTTTGGTAATTGGAAATTCTTTTCAAAAAATTTTATTTTAGATACAGGGGGTACATATGTTACATGGATATTACATGTAGGGATTGGGCTTCAAGAGTACCTATTGCCCGAATATTGAACATTGTATCAAATAGGTAATTTTTCTACCCTCATGCTTCTTTCACCTTCCACCCTTTTGGAGTCCCTAGAGTCACGTGTCTCCATCTTTATGTCCATGTTGGAAATTCTTTAGTTTGGTTCCTGTGCTCTTTCGAGATACCCATTCTTTATTGTGCACTTCCTTTTTTCTGGCATCACAACATTCTCCAGGATCATTATGAATTTTTTCTGTCTGAACTCTGGAATTAACTACTCTTTCAAGGAATGCTTGTTCATTTTATTTGAAAATGTGACTTAGAAACCACTAGTGGAATTTCACTATATCTAGACCCTCTCAGAAGACAAACTTTTGCAGTCTTCTTTGTTCTTTGTGTTATATCAGCTACTCAAAATACTGTTTTTCAAAGTAACTTGGATTATATTTTTTACTTCCCTACTTCCTCGAGTGTATTTACAAGAGTAAAATTGTAAATTATTATTATTATTATTATTATTATTTTGAGACAGAGTCTCTCTCTGTCATCCAGGCTGGAGTGCAGTGGCAAGATGCCGGCTCATGGCAAGCTCCACCTCCCAGGTTCATGTCATTCTCCTGCCTCAGCCTCCCGAGTAGCTGGGACTACAGGCACCCTCCACCACACCCGGCTAATTTTTTGTATTTTTAGTGGAGACGGGTTTCACTGTGTTAGCTAGGATGGTGTTGATCTCCTGACCTTTGGATCCACCCGCCTCGGCCTCTCAAAGTGCTGGGGTTACAGGCGTGAGCCAATGCACCCGGCCAAAATAATTATTTGTTAAAGTTTCTATTCAATTTTGGAATACAGTTTGGGTTCCTTCAATATCCAAAATGGTGTTTTTTAATTTACACACACTAAAATTCTATCTTTACGGCCTACAAATCCCTACGTTTTGACATATATACATACAGCCATAAATCCACCAAACATTTATAAGGCAGGATAGTTCTATCACTACAACAATTGTGCCTCCAGTTTGCTGTCAACACTTCCCCCCATGCAAGGTCTCTGAATAGCACTTTTCCAGAATGTCTTATAAATGCAATCATACAAAATGTTACCTTTTGTGTTCGGTTTCTTTCATTTAGCAAGATGCGTTTACTTTTTTGTTTGTTTTTAGTTATTTAATAACTATGTAACAGCATCTTGATTTTAATTTACATTTTTCTAATTATTTGTTGTGCTGATCTGATGTTTCTTTGTTATCCTTATACTTTCTTTGGTAATCTGCTTGTTTAGATCTTTTGCCTAGTGTATTATTTGTTTACCTTGTTAAGTTTTCAGTGTCCTTTATATGTCCTGGATGTCAATTTTTTCAAGAAATGTGATTTTTAAATATTGTATTCCTGATTGGGACTTTCAGTTGTATGTTCTCAATAATATCTTCCACAGAACAAATGATCTCAGTATTTATAAAGCATAATGTCTTTTTGTATGGCTCAGGCTTTAGTGCCATATTTCAAAATTTATTCCCTAATTCAAGATCATAAATATTTTTCCTACATTTTCTTTTAAAAGATTTGTAGTTTAAAGTTTTAAATTTAGGTTTCATTGGGAAATAATTTTCTCTCATATTTCTACCCACCTAATCCTTCGAGCAAAGACACTAACAACCAATAAGGATAAGATAACATAAGAATATGGATGATATGGTGAATAAAGTTGAAAGAGCCTAGGAATAAGCCATGTCTTTTTTGCTTCAAATCTCAAGCCTCAGAGGGGAAAGAAGATATAGGATGTAGAAAAAAATGTCTTAGTAAGAAGCAAGCAAGAAAGAATGATGGAGAAGGAAATACATATTTTACTGGAAACAATAAAGAAAAGTTTTCCTCAGTTTACAAAATGAGAAAGAAAAATCTTATGCTTGGCATAGCTGTGAAATTTCCTGGTGAAACAGCCAGGAAGTTGGCAAAACCAATGGAAAAAAGGATTGTATGACATACTAAGAAACTTCAGGACAATGTGTGGTCCCTCAAAAATGCTCATACCTTGAGCTTGTATGATACAGAAACTCCAGAGTGCAGTGCAACCTAAAGGCACCCACTGAATGAAAGATGGATTAAGTCACCAAGCCTTATGCTATGGAAAATATACGATTCTAAATACAAGACATAATTTTATTTTGTGGAGTTGTGGAGCCCTGGAAAGAATGCTTAAATATTCCCTCAAAATAGTAGAAATGAAGTATAAAAAGTACAGAAAAATTAATATCTGAAGTTGAATTTGTAGATTATGCATCATACTTGCTCTGATTGCTTGATGTGCTTCATACATTGCACAATACAATGTCATACTGCCCATGTCTCCATTTCTATACCACCTCCCCAAAAGTTATCCTTCCTTGAAGAATGAACTGTGACTTACCAACTTTTTATTTAGCACCTAGAACTTTACCTGACTTATATTAGGCTCAATATAATATTAGTAGAATGAATAAATTAATGAATAATGTTTGTGAAAGTGTTTCTAAATTAAAATTCTTAATATGTTATTATGTGAGAAAAACTCTATTATCTCCTAGGTAATTACTTTTTGGTTAATACCTTAGGCTACTCTACTTTTAGTTTCAAATGTACAAGACTAGAGATACATTTTTGAAAGTATAATATCCTTTACAGAAATACTTCCTTGGAAATAAGCTTTAATGATCAAGAAGATGTGAGATTTGATTTTTCAATAATGAAAAAAACCCACTTTTATCCTCCTCATATTTTTCCAATGCAAACTTGCTAATACACTCAATTGTTGTGAAGACCCCTTTGCCAGTTTTCCATATCCAAGAATATGGAATCTACTTTGTCCTTCTTATTGTGTAGACAATAAATTTGATGATTCTTCTTTTCATAAGCCACGTTATATATAAATTTATGATTATGAGGCTTTCTCTTTTCCTGAGAAAAACAGTGAAAATATTATTATACATCATTTTATGCAATAGAGTATGTTTAATAAATTCATGTAAATTAATCTTGACACAAATTATGAAATGAATAAAAAAGTGTCCATTATAGGCTGGGCTCAGTGGCTCATGCCTGTAACCCCAGCACTTTGGGAGGCTGAGGCAGGTAGGTCACCTGAGGTCAGGAGTTTGAGACCAGCCTGACCAACATGGTGAAATGCTGTCTCTACTAAAAATACAGAAATTACTTAGGCATGGTGGTGTGCGCCTATAATCCCAGCTACTGGGGAGGCTGAGGTGGGAGAATCACTTGAGCTTAGGAAGCTGAGATTGTAGTACACCGAGATTGCGCCACTGCACTCCAGCTTGGGTGACAGAAAAAAAAAAGTGTCCATTATAGAGAAAAAAGTCTGAAATGTTTATAAAATTCACAATTGAAAAAATAAGATATGCTGTTTTATATTTTTAAATATTATCAAAATAAGATAAAATAAAGCCTAAAGCAATAAACTACCCAATAATATATGAATACATATTTTAATAATACTGAAGTAGAAAATAATTTCAAAATATGACATATTTTAAGATAGAAGCAAGTTTGAATATTTACACATTTAAAATTGCCATTAAAACAAAAAAATATTAAATAAAAATAGCATGTCAAAAATTCCATAAAAATTGAAGTATTTATAAAATTATAGACACTAAAAGACATATCCTTTCTTTTCTAGCATTTCGCCTGTATTTGCTTACCTAGATATCACTAACAAATTCACATGAGGGCTGGGGACTCTTGCTTATTTCTCTGTTTAGCCTATTATCTTTATTGTGATTGGAAAACAATGTTTATATAAGAATCTTTTTGTATAAATTGTATCTATAAGGAAAAGTGTTTTATAATTACTGAGGGCTTATTAAATGTTAGCCAATGAAGCAGGTGGCTTATATTAATTTATGTAAGCTTCTTCATATGCTTTCCAAGTATAGAGCTACCATTTAGCAAAATAATTTGATAAGTGCTTTAGAAGTAACAGTCATAATTGGGACCAAATTTCTGCATAAAAGTTAAATGGACAAATTTAACCAACTGGGAAAACAGAGTTAAATAGGCTAAATAATGTGTGCAAGGTCACATAAGTTAGTGATTAGAATGTTTAAGTTTCCTTTTAGAGTACAAGTTCTTGGTATTAAGGCAAACTTTGGACAAAAAAATGAGTGTTTATTGGTGGTCCCCAATACTCACTTCACTGAACAGACAATATTACTCTCCAAGAATATTATCCACAGTGATCCTGAGAACTCGAGTCAAATTCCCAAATCCACAACTTCTTTTAGTCAAAATCTTTCCTATAATTTCTGAATCCAGCTGGCTTAACTAAGCAGTCAGGCTTCATTCAGAAATCAGGCTTCTGCTGATTTGTCCTACTCCTTGTTATCAGCTCCTGTTGATCCAGCTCGAGAGCCTGATGGTAACTTTTAAAATAAGATAACCTTGCCTTTCATAATTTGAGAACTGGCAACTGAACTGAAGATTTGGAGAAGGTGATACAATTTATGCCCTGAACCACACAGCTTTCTGACAGCTCATTGGCTCTGTATTTTCCTTGCTCCAGTACAAATCTCTCCCGACCAGTTACTGCCACACCAAGTCCCCTAAAATGCATTACGTACAATACCAAAATTATTCTAGAGACTTCTCTGCACCTCCTTTGAAGCCTGATACAGTCATGTGCCATGTAAAGACCTTTGAGTCAATGGTGGACCCATGTACAATAATGGGCCCATAAAATTATAACAGAGCTGAAAAATTCCCATGGCCTAGTGATGCCCTAGCCTTCATAACGGTATAGCGCAACACATTACTCACGTGTTTATGGTGATGCTTGTATGAACAAACCTACTACACTGCTAGTTGTATGAAACTCTAGGACATACAATTATGTACATCATACTTGATAATGATAATGAATGATTGTGCTAGCTACTGGTTTATGTATTTACGATACTACACTTTTTATGATTTAAAGTGCACTTCCACTTAAAAAAACAAAGTTAACTACAAAACAGCCTCAGGCACGTCCTTGTGGCAGTATTTAAAGAAAAGGCGTTGTTATCATGACGGATGACAGCTCCATGCGTGTTACTGCCCCTGGAGGCCTCTCAGTGGGAGAAGATGTGGAGGTGGAAGACAGTGATATTGTTGATTCTGACCCTGTGTAGGCCTAGACTAACTAATGTGTGTTTGTGTCTTAGTTTCGAGCAAAAAGTTTTAAAAAAAGAAAACAAAAATTTATAAATATAAAAATAAGAAAAGCTTATACAATAAGGATATAAAGAAAGAAAATATTTATGTACAGCTCTACAATGTGTTTGTGTTTTAAACTGTATTATTACAAAAGAGTCAAAATGTTAAAAAATTAAAAGGTTTATAAAGTAAAAAATTACGGTAAGCTAAGGCTAATTTACTATTGAAGAATTTTTTTTTTTTTTTTTTTTTTTTTTTTAGACAGAGTTTCACTCTTGTTGCCCAGGCTGGAGTGCAATGGCGCGATCTTGGCTCACCGCAACCTCTGCCTCCCAGGTTCAAGCGATTCTCTTGCCTCAGCTGGGATTATAGGCATGTGCCATTACACCCAGCTAATTTTGTATTTTTAGTAGAAATGGGGTTTCTCCATTTTGGTCAGGCTGGTCTCGAACTCCTGACCTCAGGTGATCCACCTGCCTTGGCCTCCCAAAGTTCTGGGATTACAGGCATGAGCCACCGTGCCCGGCCGAAGAAAATGATTTTTAATAAATTTAGTGTCCCTAAGTATGTAATGTTTTTAAAGTCTACGGTAATGTACAGTAATGTCCTAGGCCTTCATATTCACTCACCACTCACTCACTGACTCACCCAGAGCAACTTCCAATCCTGCAAGCTCCATTCATGGTAAGTGTTAGATACAAGTGTACCATTTTTAGTATTTTGTATGTTACATTTTTTATATCGTATTTTTACTCTTTAGATATGCTTAGATACACAAATCCTTATCATTGAGCTACAGTTGCCTACTGTATTCAGTACAGCACAATGCTGTACAGGTTTGTAGCCTAGGAGCAGTAGGCCATATCACATAGCCTAGGTGTGTAATAGGCTATACCATCTAAGTTTTCATAAGTACATTCTATGATGTTCACACACTGTCAAAGTTGTCTAAAGTTACATTTCTCAGAATATATCCCCATTGTTAGGTAACATGTAACTGGTTGTATTCTCTGGGTTCTAACATATTCTCCCTTAAGCATGGGAACAGATGTGGGACCTGGACACTGTAATGAACTTTTCTTGTTTGTTGTTTTCTTACTCATCAATCACACCCAATTGTGTTACTACAGTACCTTGCTCTCCTTTCCCAGACACTATCCTTCTCTTACTTTAAGCGGTTCAGGTAAAGCACTCTACTTCTGTGATTGGTTCAAGCATTGGATGCATACTTAACCCAGTTCAGACTGGCCAGGGACAATAAGAACAGTGATAATAATTTTGAACTCTACAGGAAGCATGGTGACTCTTTTCTGGAGGACTTGATCCTAGAAGGGTATACCTCTGAAATTTTTTCTGTTCTCTGAAAATTATTTGTGCAGGGATAACTGAGAAGGGAGCCAGGATAGCACACAACAGACATAAGAGAGAAAAAAGTATGTTCTAGAACATTGTTTACACCTTTATCAAGATATATCTGAGGCTACTTCTTCCTGGGCTTTTCAGTTAAATGAGACAGTGAATTCACTATTAGCATAAGCCAATTTTAGTTGGACTTTTTGTTAATTGCTCAGAAACATATAAAACTAGAGATGATGGCATGAAGTACTAGCCTGAAACTATTCTATGTAAGCAAAATAGGATTTCATATGCATTTTCGGCTCTTGGATTTTCTAAAAATATTACCAAATATGTTCACATTTTATGCATAAAATATGCATTTTCCTGTTTACTTTCTGATCCAATTGAATATTACATGATGAACAGTTAGATGATGAAATATTAAGTTATAAGTTATTTTGAATTATTTCTTAATTTTGTTCTATATTTAATTATATAGATAATGTAAATTAAACTGCAAGTGATTGAAAGTATAATGCGTTGCATGGCAATCTGCTAAAAAGTGACAGAATATGCTGAGCTAAATGCTTAATATGCTGATTTTTCACAAAGCCACCATTATCTGTACTGAATTACTTTCTCATTTTCCCAACTGTGCAGATAAATCTTCACTGACTCTTTTATTTCTCCATCCTCTCTTATGTAGTCTCCTGAAAGCAGGCACATGGAATGGTGAGGCCATTGAACAGTTCGAAGTGTATTCAATCATGGCCTGCTCTAATATTTGAAATAGCAGATGGGTATATTGAAGTAACAGTCAAACAAAAACAAATAATAAATATTGCCAATGACCTTGAAATGTCCCCAAACCGATTCTGTATTTGGATATCCTAACAGGATAAGCAGTCAGAAGAGGTGTAACATTATATATACCAATCTGGAGTACAATTTTCACAATGGTTTTCTACTGAGCTTGAATTACCCCTTCAGTTTTGCCTTTGCTACTATCTATTGACGTTAAGTCATCTCTTCCTATTCTGAAATGCAGGACTAATACATTCAGATTTTCAACTCGATTATATCTGTAGGCTCTTTACCTGCCCAAAACAGAAATTTGGCAAAGATTCTGTGGACACCAGGTCACTTAGGAAAGTTGCTGTTTATGTATAAACATTTTTCCCCCCTAGGGAATTTCTTGATGCCCGCAATGAGTTGCTAATCTCCTGTAATATGTCTTCTTAACTTATTTCTAGTTTTCTTAAGATTTCCTATGGAGCTTTCTGTACCAGCTTCAGGTTTAGATTATTTATGGAAAAAGTGAAAAAAAAGTGATGTATTCAGATAATTGAAATACTATTTTCATTAAAAGCTGATTCAAATGAATTATTTTTTAAAGTGCTTTCTAAAACCTGTAAGAATGAATATATATGTACATAAATACCATGGTATATGTATAATGCTTATATATATTTGACAAATAAAGTAGCTTGATCTTTTAATATAAATAAATTGAGTACAAGCTTATTAAAAATTATTAACTTATTTTTTTCCAAATATATCTTCCAAATTCACAATGGGATGTACATTTCCTTTTAGACTTGTTTTGGAGTTTTATGCAGAAACAAAAATCTAATATCATAATGACAAAACCTAATGTGGCAGAATATATTAATAGAATCTGTTAATTATTCATGACTATTTTATTGGTAAAGAGGTAGTGGTATTTCTCAATTGTTACTCCCTTTGGCCACAAGCTTTGAACTACTATTGTGAAAAAAATGGTTATAAGATATCAAGAACAAAAACCAGATTCTTAAAAGAGGTTTAATACATTAGGGGTTAATAAAATACTACTTTAGACTCTAGCGTTGTGTCGGCTACTTAGCTGGAAGGCTTTAAATTATTAATGGCCAATCTACTCCTGTAAAAAATTTTTTGGAAGAGATGACCTCCAGTTCTGAATACAGCAAAACTTAATGAACACACATTCAATAGACAGACCTCTGGGTCTAAAGTATGCCAAGCTCAGCTTAATAAAGAAATCTGATTTCAGGGCATTAAATATAAAGTTTATTCACGGCTGTGTAATGAATGCTTTGTAAAAACCATTTTTACATATGTGGCATTTCATTTACCAGAATGAGAGAAGTGGGTTCTCCATGGGAAGTGAAAGGGGGATACTTTATTTTACATGTACTTTTCTGATCTTTCAGTTTTGAATCTGAAATACTATTTTTCTTCATTACATGTTGCTGCCTTAAGTGAAGAGAAAGATGTTGAAATAAAATGGAGAGGGGCATATTTGTCAGCTCCACAAGGATCTCATATGAGCATAAGAATTATATATTGAGCAGTTTTTAAAAGTAAATTTAAAAGAAGTACTATAATGATATGTAAGTACTTATAGATCATAATTAAATGATTATATTACATTTATATGTAAGGATGCCATAGATAAACAAACAAAAATGACAAATGAGTACATTATACACACATACACACATGAACATATAACTCACTTGAAGGTCAATCCCCAACCCCAGCTAACATCTGAAAATTTAATGTTTTTCTGTGTTTTAATTATTTGATGCATACAAAATAATATATGTAAAATATACTTGAAGTATAAATAAGTACTAACATAATCTCCAATACACCTACAATTCAGATTAAGAAATAGAACATTAAATTCTTCATATTTCTCCCTTTAAAATCGCTTTTTTTCCTATATCCCCAGTAGATATTGATGACTATAAAATTTTGTTTATTTTTTTTGGTATGTGTGTGGTTTTAGTATATATATATCCCTAAACACAATGTGTTGTACAGTTTGTATTTTTATTACTTACTTGCATTTAAAATCTAATGCATGCATAAACATGCATTTGTATATTTAATTAGGCATGCTTTTATTATTCTTTTTACAATCAATATTATGTTTCTAAGAGGTACTCATAGCAGATGCAGCTACTATTCTTTCATTTTCACTGCCGTAAACCATTCGGGTTAGAGAATATAACACAGAAAATTAATCTATTTTTATTGGATTATTTTCTCTTTGTACAATCATTAACACTATTCTTATTAGCATTGTTGCATAGCTATCCAGAAAGATTTTCTGGGTCTTTGGGTGCATACATGTTAAACTTTGATAATACCAAATATTTCCAAAATATGTTTGTAAATTTATACTCCTATTAGCCCTGTATGAAAAAAAAATGATTCTTTTGGTAATCCCCGTAATCACTGGTGTTGTCAGATTTTTACATTCTGCCATTTTATTAATTGGGAATACTATATTAATTTGCATTTCCCTGATTTTGTGAGGCTGATCTTCCATGCTTCTGGACTAGTTGCATTTCCATCTCTGTGAAAAGTCTGTTTATACTTTGTCTATTTTTCTAAGTGTGTCTTTTTTCATGTATTTGTAAAAATTGTTTTTTATATACTAATGCACTGTCCATTTTATAAACTGCAAAAATCTTCTCCAAGTTTATACTTGTATTTTTTATTTTTATTTATAATGTCATTTGATCCTCCTTAGCCCCAGGTCTCACAGGGCTCCTGGTAGGACTAGAGATTGTAAGCACTTCTCACTGATGCTATTAAACTCTGGAGTAAAGGCCAAGTGCAGTGGACCACACCTATAATCCCAGTTACTTGGAAGGCCAAGGCAGAACTGCTTGGGGCCAGGAGTTAGAGACCAGCCTGGACAACATAGTGAGACTTCATCTATAAATAAATAAATAAATAAATAAATAAATAAATAAATAAATAAATAAATAAAATTTGCCAGGTGTGGTGGCGTGTCCCTATAGTCCCAGCTACGCAAGAGGCTGAGTTGGAAGAGATCACATGAGCCCAAGAATTCCAGCCTGCAGTGAGCTATGCAACCTGTGTGGCAAAGTGAGACCCTGTCTCTAAAAACAAACAACAACAACAAAACCGTGCAGTAAAAACAGCAACTGTAGGGGACAAGAAATAGGAAATAGTCTAATGCATAACTACCTTCCAATGTCCTATTCCCACTTTTATTGGCTGCAACCAATGGGGTAATGGAGGGCAAGAGAAACTAAGTAATGACATTCAGAGGGATTAAGGCCCTGACAGAGAAGAGAAAATGAATCTGGAGTGAAATACAAGCTGTGCTCCAAGAAGAAATAGCTTATAGGCCAACCAGTTGTATGACTAGACAAGAAGTGGCAGAACATGAGTAAATGTGGGTTTTTAGGGTGATAGGCCAGAGGAAACAAAATATAAGGATGTTAAAAAGAGAAGTCATTGGCCCGGGTGCAGTGGCTCACGCCTGTAATCCCAGCACTTTGGGAGGCCGAGACGGGTGGATTACAAGGTCAGGAGATTGAGACCATCCTGGCTAACACGGTGAAACCCCGTCTCTACTAAAAAAGAAATACAAAAAATTAGCTGGGCATGGGGCGGGCGCCTGTAATCCCAGCTACTTGGGAGGCTGAGGCAGGAGAATGGCATGAACCAGGGAGGCGGAGCTTGCAGTGAGCCGCATCGCACCACTGCACTCCAGCCTGGGCGACAGAGCGAGACTCCATCTCAAAAAAAAAAAAAAAAAGTCATTGATAGAGAAAGGCGCACTTGTAACAAAGGATTCAATATTATGTCAGATAACTTGGAGTTGGTCCTGTTAGTTTTCTGAGATCTCCCCTGGAAACTTAGACACGAAAATAACCTACAGAAAATTAGATGAGGTGTTAGAAATTTATCAAATTGATATTTAGGGAAGACATTAGGAAATGTAGATATGTGTCTAAACTGGAACAGATTTACTACATAAGTGGAGGTATCCAGCATCTATGTTCCCTATCACTGGTGAGAGAAGGGCCCTTCTTAAACAGAGGTGATGAGGAATTCATGAAAGGGAAGCACTGGTATGTCTGAAAAGCTCTGTGGTGAATATATGATGCAGAACAGGATTGATGGTCATCAGTGATGATTATGTGATTCTGGAATGACAGACGCCAAGTGGCAGCGTTTTCATGAGAACCAAGATGGACGTAATTTTTGTACTGGGCAGATAAATTAACATGGCCACCAGGAAACCTTGACACATAAGAGGTTGTGGTCTCCATCATATGCTTCATTCAATTTACCTGGCCAGCCTTTTCAAAAATAATGTTGAGATCACAATCGACTACTATAAGCAAAACAGGGTATTTGCCCTAATCACAGATAGTCTGTCAGGTCTTTTATTTTTAGAAGTACCACAGCCTCTTGAACTTAGTAAGTAGCTGTTGATTTTACAAAGCCTTATTCTCAATAGTCATCAGTAGAGCAGGCCTTAAGGAATTGACCTTACCTGGCAAAGACAGCAGTGTACTTTCACTCTCTTGCCTCTAAGCTTTGTTAACTTTCCTGCTCTCTGTCATAATGTGTTCCGCTGCATCTACATTTTGATGTGCATATAAACTCTCTGGAGATCTTGTTAATATTAGGATTCTAATTCAGGAGTTCTGGGTTGGGATCTGAGATTTTAAATTTCTAGCAGGCCTCTCTGATGATAGCAACATTACTTAACAAAGATAAAGGCACAGATTGTGATCATCTTGACAAGTGGGAGACTGTCATTCTGGTCCTCTAGACTGGTGATTTCATGCAAAAACCTTTAAGTAACCTAGACGTGATAATAAGACAACTGCATGCCAGAAGGTGAAAAATAAATCTTATAAAAATTTAGTGTCCTATCAAGACAAATTGTTTAGGTTTCAGCAGTTCCAAGCATTATATAGTCTTGCGTAAGGCAAGAGTAAAAATGGTATTGCATCTCACATTTTAAAAACTTTCACAGCATTTTGTGGTCCTCTTGGATGTTAGAGGTTCATACAATGATCATAGGAAGACTATGATCACACATTTACTAGGCGACTTGGAAGGCTGCCAGCTTCATGTGGCCTAGGACAAGACAGGGCAGTATAACCATGCAGCCTCCAGGGCAAGATTTTTGCGTCTTAGACAATATGACCCACCATGGTTTCAGAAGTGTCTTAGGTAGATAAATATGATTTGTGGGTATCTATGGTCTGCCTCATTAAGAGAGTCACAGCATAGACCCATACATTTTTGGAGCAAAGTCTGTGTTATAAAACTACTTTCTTTTAGAAAAAGAGTTCCAGAAACAAAATTGAGATTCTGACTACGGGTACTAAATGTCTATGTGATATGATCTTGTCATTATGAGCAGAGTGTTAATAAAGTGCACTGAATCTAACAGCCACACAGGCACGGCAGCAATCCATTTTAGATTGGAAGTGGCACATTAAGGATTACATTCAACGTGGCTAAAAGTCCCAAGAAAAATATATAAACAAATCACCCATTTCTGTAACTCTGATGTTTCTTTCTCAAAACATAACTAGACTCGTCATGATTCCCTTTAACATCAGAGGAATAAAGGACTCAGTTCTTGTCCATGGATTGTGCATTGTGACATGATGCTGCAACTAGGAATGGACTGTCATAGGATTAGATATGCACCCATGGATAGGCCTGAAGGACAGTGGTGAAAGAAAATCTTCACATTGTTTTGCACAGCATACTTGGTCTACTTTGCATGAAGAGAAAAATATCATGAAATATGAATTTACTCTAATTTTTTTGCAGTAAGGGGCAGAATTGTTAATTACCAATCCCAAGAGAAGACTCCACTGCATGGAGGATAGCAAAGATCATCACCATACTAACCTTGGGCTATAGCTTTATCAGTTGCCTGAGTTTGATGAGACAGAATACACTCACATGTGACAAATTATAAGAAGTGTTTCTTACTTACCCATAAGCAGAAAGGGGCAAAAGAAGCCTCAGGTCCATTGTGAACTGGTCCAAGGCTCAAGAAAGCTGCTCAGAATGGATGAATTTTTGATTGCACATGCCCCACTTGCACCACAGCTAAGGGACCCTGAAAGGCAATCCATCAGGGTCATATAGTTTAGCAGCAACATGACTCACTGGAAAAAGCTTTGAAGGATATTCTGCTTCCAGTGGGGTAGAAACAAAACCCAGACTGTCCTCAGGCTGCTCCTCCCTATCTCAAGATATTATATTTATTCTCTAAGAGGGGTAGGAACAAGACCTGGTTGCTTCAGGCAGTTCCTCCCTATCTCAAGATACTGCATTCCCACCACCTTCTACAGTTATTCTGAAAGCTAAATGTAGGAATGAAGCACAGAAGACCCGGGTCGTTTCAAGGTCACCTAAAGGTCCTCCACAAAGTAGCAAATTTTTAAGGGTCTGCAAGAAACAAGATTGGCACTTCAGGGGCAAGGAGAGCCCAGGAAGCAGTGTGTGGATTTATTTAGGGGAGTGGGTAAAAGCGTGTGAATCTTTGTTTCTTACATTAATGAAAATCAAAAAAACATCAACTTAAACAGAGGCACTCAACAATGATATAGACAGGTTAACTTCACATGTGTGCTTTGACCAGCTTTTCTTCTTCCACTACTTCAGTATGGGAGCAGTGGGGTCATAAATAGAAGGCAGGGATGATGAACTGCAAAATATGGTTAACTTTTTTTTTTTTCACTCTGTCGCCCAGGCTAGAGTGCAGTGCCCTGATCTCAGCTCACTGCCAGCTCTACCCCCCGAGTTCACACCATTCTTCTGCCTCAGCCTCCTGAGTAGCTGGGACTACAGGCGCTCGCCACCATGCCCTGCTAATTTTTTGTATTTTTTTTTTTTAGTAGAGACGGTGGGTCACCGTGTTAGCCAAGATGGTCTCGATCTCCTGACCTCGTGATCTGCTTGCCTTGGCCTCCCAAGGGGTGATCTAGCTATTTTCACCATGGAATACCCAACCTGCCAAGGGCAGAGACTGATGTTTATCCTTAAATGGGCAACATTTTTCTGGTTGAAGTTAACTATTCAGTGGCAGATCAATTAAATTGAACCCCTTTGATCCTGTAGGTGTAACAACTCATCTTTAAGATAATTCATGTACATCCATGCATGCTACTGTCTTCCTTGCTTTCAGTACCTGCACCACCACCTAAAGGCAGTTTACAGAATGTTCCATCTGTTGAAATAGTATCACATAATATAGCCTTGGTTCAAAGGACAGACATATCTTCTGACAAGGGAGTTATAGCAACAAGTTCATGAGTACAGAATTCACTGATTTTGTTTGTTTGTTGTGTTGTCTTTAGTGTTTTTTTTTTTGAGACGGAGTCTTGCTCTGTCACCCAGGCTGGAGTGCAGTGGCACGATCTCGGCTCACTGCAAGCTCCGCCTCCCAGATTCAAGCCATTCTCCTGCCTCAGCCTCCCGAGTAGCTGGGACTACATGTGCCCGCCACCACGCCCGGCTAATTTTTTGTATTTTTAGTAGAGATGGGGTTTCACCACGTTAGCCAGGATGGTCTCAATCTCCTGACCTCGTGATCCACCTGCCTGGGCCTCCCAAAGTGCTGGGATTATAGGCGTGAGCCACCGCGCCTGGCCTGTCTTTAGTTCTTAATATTTTATTCCATCAAATGTAAAATAACCGTTGTGCTACAAAAGTAGAATAAAAACTTGATTCCTCAGCTGAAGTGCCAGCTCAGTGCATGTAATCTGAGAGGCTGGTGCACTCTTCTCCAGAAAATGGCGTATAAATTCAGCCAATGTCTGACAAGTAGACTGTACTGAACAGCTGGAATATACTTATTTGAGAAACAGGGTATTCAAACAAAATTGACCCCTGTCACGATCACTTCTAGTGTTCTTTATGTAGATGGTGCGTTTCCCTTCTCTGTGTTCTTAGATTCTAGAAGATTGGAGGCCTTGGCTCCTACAGTTGTAATGCTTTGGTTTATGCTGCATTTTTATTACTCCAAAAAATTTAAACATTTCTCAAATACTTAAAAATTGACTTTTTAAGTAGCAATTTGAATGTTTTAATCTTTTTATTAAATTTTCAAGGCTGGACTAAAATGGCAATAGAATGTTAATGATTTATGAATTGATAGAGTATAAAGGATTATTTTTATTATGTCAGTCACAAAAGGAATGCACTCTAGAATATGTAACCTCTAATAAAAGAAAAACACACAAATATTTATTAAATATGGATGGTTAATACTAGAAAGATAAATAAATTAAATACTAGAAAGCATTTAATTCAGGGTAAAGTGCACTTTGAGTACAGGTGAAGAGAAATTCAGGCTACTCTGAAAAAGTGAGAATTTAAAAAAATAAAATGTGAGAAGGGTAGAAAAATAAAAACTATCTCAGGCGGATAAAGAGAAAAAATACTACTTTTTCTATTGCTTGTACTCATGTTTTGACAGATATATAGATGATAAATTTTAGGAATAGAATGTGTTTCAATGTGTTAATCAAGTTTTCTGTATAAATCCCTTACAATATTCCACCTTGATATAAAATTAATACCAAATAAAAAATCATTTATGGAACAACAATGGAGCCAACAACTTTTGCTCTCCTCTAAGTAGGCTGAGTTCTTAAGCATCTCTATTGTAATGCAAATAAGATTAGTATTGTAATTTTGGATGGATATTTTCAAAAGCAGTTATTGCCTGTCAATAATGTTTATGATGATCCCAAATGCTTTAATGGCTCTCTTGAAATACAGAAATGCAAGGGCAAATAAACAGCTTTTAGAACAGACATTAATGGAGGCAAATAAAATCCTGTTAGTAGCTCACTTGGTATAATTTTCTTAGCTCTTTTAATGATTCTTAGAATCAAGAAAAGTAATAAATATTTACTAATGTTAGTTTAAAAAATCCTTCCACCTTTTTCTTTTATCCTAACATATTAGGTAAGAGGATTATTAAATATATTTCAAGGCAGTACTTTGAGTAGGAATTAGAGAACTTGTTAATAGTTACTACTGATGGTAATATTGATAATATTATTACCATTACAAATGAGAAAATTCACATTTACTTGCATAATCTAATGTAGTTTTCCAAAATACTTGTAAAAAATTAAAACAGATGTGAAATTTCTTGGCTATCAGCCATTCATATGACATATTTATAATTTTAATAATTAAGTTAAATATAATAAAGTGACAAAAAATTTTAATCATCTAAAAATTGGGGGGAAATTATTTATCATAATCTGCTTTCAATTATAATCAGACTGAAACAAATTGCCTGAAGTTATTAGTAAACTATTCTAAGAATGTGTTATTCAGCCACATCACCAAATTTGGAGAGAGTAAAAGAGTAGTAATTATTTATATGGATAGTCCTTTATATCTTTAAAAATGTTTTATGTACTGGATATCAGTTAACTCTTACAATAGTCCCATAAGATTTTATTTTAAATTAACCTAAGCTAAATATTTTAATATGGTAGTTTAAATCATTATTATTTATTTCAGTAACATATATCTGACCTTATTTCCAGTATTTTATTTTATGCTTTCTATTTTTAAACATTTCTCAATGTAATTTTTTTATTTGGGCATTTTGCTGTATTGAAAGCTTAAATTTATATATTAAAAAAACTGTGACGAGTTAGTGGGTGCAGCGCACCAGCATGGCACATGTATACATATGTAACTAACCTGCACAATGTGCACATGTACCCTAAAACTTAAAGTATAATTAAAAAAATAAAATAAAATAAAAAATAAATAAAAAAATAAAAAAACTAGACTATTGTTTTGTAAATTACTATTTACTATAAATAGAGATATTAACCTATATTGAATTATCTATACATGAAATAAACAGAATCATAAAGGAGTAACACATTTTAATTAAAAATATAAATTATGAATTAAACTGCAATATCTCACTAAACAGAATTTACAAGTTGCACACCTAACATAAGGATGTAGCAAATAAACATTGAAACTAAAAGCAGGGTCAGGCATTAAAATGAACATTTTATAATGGCAAATGATAAATTTACCTAATATGATTTCAACAATTTATTGCAATTTTCTTTGCATTAAGATCAATATAGTAAAAATTCTAAACATAGAAAAATAGTAAAAAGATTTTAATTGTATAAGTTATGTTTTAACAGATCAATAAAGTAAAAATATAAGCATATATTAAAATATACCGCTTCATCTCCACTATTTCTTCTCCTAGGCTTTAGGGGGCTCAGATGATTCTACTGTAGCCTCTGTTTCCCTGGAAGTGATGGCAGATTAAAGGCTTTTCCATTGCACCTTGCCCACTTGGAAGAAGCAAAATAGTGTATAGAGAGTCACATTGTGATCTTTTATTCAAGAACACAGAAATTTACCAGAATTGTCAATTATGAAGTATCCTTGCAAAGGACACTTCAGATCCCAGGGAAGAGAAGGTAGCCAAGCAGCTTGTACGTCAGCCTCCTGCTGAGAACTGTGAGTGAAATCCCAAGAGGAGAGAGGGGGAAAGAGTGTCCCTCTGTAATCCAACCTTCCAGTGGGGAACCTTGCAACCCGGGCCGAGGGAGACCACCTTGTATATTTTCACTGCCCTAAAAATCCTCTGTACACTGATTATTCATCTCTCCCTCCCACCTAACCCCTTTACAACCACAAATAATTTTACTGTCTCTATTGTTTTGCCTTCTCCAGAATGTCATAAGTATGAAATCTTTTCAGATTGTCTTTTCTTACACTTAGTAAAATGCACTTAAGTTTCCTTCATGCCTTTTCATGGCTTGATCCTCATTTATTTTTAGTGTTGAATAATATTCCATTGTCTGGATGTACCACCATTTATTCATTCATTCATCTACTGAAGCACATCTTTGTTGCTTCCAAGTTTTGGCAATTATAGATAAAGCTAATATAAATATCTGCATACAGGTTTTTTGTGTACATATAGTTTTTTATTAATTGGGGTTAATATCAAAAAGTACTATTGCTGAATTTTATGATAAGGGTATGTTTAATTTTGTAAGAAACTACTAATCTGTCTTCCAAAGTGGCTGTATCATTTTCCATTCACACTAGCAATAAAGGAGAGTTCCCAGGGCTCCACATCCTCATTAGCATTTGGTGTTGTCAGTGCTTCAGATTTTGACCATTATAACAAGGGTTTAGTGATATCTTGTTTTATTCTGTAATTTCCTAATGACATGATTTGAAACATCTTTTCATATGATTATTTGCCATCTGCATATCTTCTTTAGTGATGTTTCTCTTCAGGTCTTTTGTCCATTTGTTAATTGTGTTGTTCATTTTCTTACTGTTCAGTATTAATAGGTCTTTGTATATTTTGGATAACAGTCATTTATCAAATGTGTCATTTGCTAATATTTTCTTCCACTCTGTGGCTTGTCTTCTCATTACCTTGACATTGTTTTTGGTAGAGCAAAAGTATTTAATTTTAACAAAGTTCAGCTTCTCCATTATTTCTTTTATGGATCATGCCTTGATGTTGAAATTAAAAAGTTATCTTCATATTCTAGGTCGTCTAGATTTTCTCCTATGTTATCATACAGAAGTTTTATAGTTTTTCATTTTACATTTAGCTCCATAACCCATTTCAGGTTAATTTTTGTGAAGGCTATAATTTTATAAGGTTAAAAGATTCTTTTATTTTTTCTGTATGTGAATGCCCAGTTGTTCTAGCACCATTTGATGAAAGACAATCTTTTCTCCATTGTTTTGCCTTTGTTTTTCAAAGATCAGTTGATAATATTTACCTGGATCTAGTTTGGGGCTCCCTTTTCTGTTCCATTGATCTATTTGTCTTTTCTTTTACCAGTGCCACTGTGTTTTGATTAAAGTAGCTTCGCTTTGTAGTAAGTCAGTTACGGCCGGTCCTCTGACTTTGTTTTTCTTCAATACTGAGTTGACTATTTGGAGTATTTTGCCTCTCCACATAACTTTAGAATCAGTTTGTTGATATCCACAAATAACTTGTTGAGAATATGCTTGGTATTGCACTGAATCTATAGATCAAGTTGGGAATAATTGACATTAAGGACAATACCTATCTGCATTTTTTAAGTTCTTCTTTGATAGCTTTCATCAGGGATTTTTAGTTTTCTTCATATAGATCTTGTATATATTTTGTTATATTTATACATAAGTATTTTAGTTTTTGGAGTGCTAACATGACTGATAATGTATCTTTACTTTCAAATTTATTGCTTATATATAGGAAAGTGACTGATTTTTGTATATTAACCTGGTATCCTGAAACATTTCTATAGTTACTTATTAGTTCCTGAGTTTTGTTTTTACCAATTCTTTTGTATTTTCTACATAGACAATCATGTCATCTTTAAACAAGACAAGTTTATTTCTTTATTCCCAATCTGTATACATTTTCTTTTTGTGTCTTATTGCATTAACTAGGACTTCTAGCATTATGTTGAATAGCACTGGTGAAAGGGAACATCCTTGTCTTGTTGGTGATCTTAACAGGAAAGCTTGAAGTTTCTATTACATGAGAAATATTAGCTGTAGGGTTTTTGTAAATGTTTTTGTAAAGTTGAAGAAGATCCCCTCTATGCTTTGCTGAGAAGTAATCATTAATGGATGTTGAATTTTTTCAAATTGTTTTTCTGCATCTATTGATATGATCATGTGGTTTTTCTTCTTTAGTTTGTGGAGGTGACGAATTACATTAATTGATGTTTGAAGGTTTAACCAGTCTTGTCTACTTGAAATAAATCCTACTTGGTCATGGTGTATAATTTGTTTATATATTATTGAATTTAATTTGCTAATATTTTGTTGAGGATTTTTGCATCTACGTTTGTGAGATATTATCAGTCTGCAGTTTTATTTTCTAGTTATTATCAGTCTGTCATTTTCTTTTCTAGCCTCCTTTCTTTGTTTGGTTAGCATATTAGGTAATACTGACCATATAGAATGAGTTAGTAAGAATTCCCTCTGCTTCTATCTTCTGGGATAGATTGTAGAAAACTGATGTAATTTCTTCATAACATGTTTGGTAGAACGCACTGGTGAATTCACCTTGGCCTGACACTCTGTTTTGGAAGATTATTAATTATTAATTCAATGTCATTAATAAATACAGGTCTGTTCAATTTGAGTGTTTCTTCTTGTGTGAGTTTTGGCAGATTATGTCTTTCAAGGAATAGGTCCATTTCATCCACTAGGTTTGTGGACATTGAGTTGTCCATTGCATTCCCTTATTATACTTTTAATGTCCATAGAATCTGCAGTGATGTCCCCTCTTTCATTTTTGATATTAGTAATTTGTGTCTTCTCTCTCTCTTTTTTATCTTATTCAGCCTGGCTAGAGGCTTTTCAACTTTGTTGATTTAGTCAAATAATCAAGTTTTGGTTTCTTTGATTTTCTCTATTGATTTTCTGTTTTTAATTTCATTGATTTATACTCTAATTTTTTTATTTTTTGACAAACTTGGATTTAATTTACTTGTTTTCTTATGTCATAAATTAGAAGCTCAGAATATTTATTTTAGATATTTCTTCTTTTCTAACATATATATTCAATGCTGTATATTTTCCTGAAGCACTGTTTTTCTGGCATCCTACAAATCATGATAATTTGTATTTTCATTTTTGTTTAGTTAAAAATGTTTTTTTACTTTCTCAATAATTTTTCTTTGAGACATGTGTTGTTCAGAAACATATTATTTAATTTCCAGCTATCTTTCTCTTACTATTTTTTAGTCTGATTCCATTGTAGTCTAAGATAAGACATTGTATGATTTTTATTCTTTAATTTTTTTACTTAAAAAATGTGGTCTATTCTGCCGAATATTCCATGTGCGCTTGACAGAAACATGTAGTCTGCTATTATTGAATGAAGTCGTCTATAAGTATCAATTATATATTGTTGACTGATGGTGCTGTTGAGTTTAATTATGTCTTCACTGATTTTCTGCCTGCAGGATCTGTCCATTTCTGATAGAGGGGTGTTAGAGTCTCCAACTATAATAAAAGATTCATCTATTTCTCTTTGAGGTTCTCAGTTTTTACCTCACATATTTTGACATGTTGTTTGATGCATACATGTTGAAGATTGTTGTCTATGTGGAGCATTAACCCCTTTATCATTATGTAATGTCTCTTTACCCTGATAAATTTCTTGCTCTAAAGTCTGTTCAGGCTGAAATTAGTATAGCTACTTCTACTTGCTTTTGATTAATGTTAACATGGTAAAGCTTTTCCCATGCCTTTACTTTTAATCTATATATGTCTCTATATTTAAGCTGGGTTTAATGTATACAGCATATAGTTGGGTCTTGATTTTTTATTTATTCTAACAATGTCTTTTAATTGGTGTATTTAGATCATTGATGTTTAAAATGATTGTTTATATGGTTGGGTTACTATTTACTGTATTCGTCACTGTTTTGTATTTATTGCCCTTGTTTTTTGCTCATATGTTTGTCTTCCACTCTTTTTCTATCTTTTGTGGTTTTAATTGAGCATTTTATTTGATTCTACTAATTTCTCAGCATATCAATTATACTTTTATATTTTGCAGTGTTTTTTCTGGAGGTTGCAACATTTACAATTAAGCTAAATTCACTGTCAAAAAACAGTATACTGCTTTACGTATAGTGAACATATCTTTTAATTACAATATATCCCTAATTTCTCCCTCCCTTCGATCCCTTGTGCCATTACTCTCATTCATTCCAATTATACACAAGCATATGTGAGAATATATGTGTATATATACTTTATATATATAATTAAGCACATATAACCATATATATGGTTATATAAATAATTATATATAAATTATATATATATATATATATAAAATTTTAGATATCAACTTGGCTGAGTTAAAAGAAGCCCCAGATAGTTGGTAAAACATTATTTCTGAGTGAGTCTGTTGAGGGTGTTACAAGAAGTGATTAGCATTTGATTTAGGATACTGACTAAAGAATATCACCCTCACCAGCGTGAGCAGATATCATCCAATTCATTGAGGACCTGGATAAAATAAAAAGGCAGAGGAAGGGAAAATTGGTTCTCTCCTCTTCAGCCAGGACATTCATCTTCTCCTGACTCTTTCGCCTTGAAATGAGAGTTATGCATTGGCTCCCTTGGTTCTCTGGCCTTGTATGTGGACTGAACTATACCACTGGCTTTCCCAGTTCTCCAGCTTGCAGGTGACATATTGTTGAACTTTCTGGCCTTCATGATTGCATGAACCAATTTTTGTAAGAAATTCCCTCTCATCATATACATTTCCTAGTGGTTCTTATTCTCTGGACAACACTGACTAATAAGACACACAAACACACACATGCACAAGCATTTTATATATATATATACACAAGTACTATATATATATACACAAGCATACATACTTGAATGCATGTTAGTATTTTGAAATTATCTGTTAGATCAATTAAGAAGAGCAAAAATTAAAGTTTATATTTTACCTTTATTTCTTTTCTGATACTTTTTCTTTCTTTACGTGGATGACTTAAATTATTTTTCTTCTTTCTAAAAAACTTTTAACATTTTTTTTGCAGGACAGTTTTACTGGCAATGAATTCCCTCAATTTTTATTTGTCTGAGAAATCCTTTATTTCTTCTTTACTTTTAAAGGATAATTTTGGGATACAGAATTTTATGTTGGTGCTTATTTTTTTTTTCAAAACTTTAAATAATTCAATTAACTCACTTCTTGCTTGCCTGGTTTCTGAGAAGTCATACATCATTCTTATTTTTGCTTATCTATAGTTAAGGTACTTTTTTTCCCCTATGGCCCTTTTCAAGATTTTTTTTCTTTACTTTTGATTTTCCAAACATTGTATATAATATGCCTAGGTTTAGTTTGTTTTTGTTTTATTTGTTTGTTTTTTGACATTTACGTGGCTTGGGGTCTCTGGATTCCTGTATCTATTGGTTGATGTATGGCATTAATTTGGAGAAACTTCTCATTCATTATTGCTTGAGATATGATGTCTATTTCTTTTTCTCATTCTTTCCTGTTAGTATTCTGATTGCATATATGTTACTTCTTTTGTAGTTTCCCACCATTCTTGGATATTTTTCTCTGTTTTTTATTTTGTTTTAGAATCTTCTTAAATCTTTGCTTTTCAGATTTCAAAGTTTCTATTGAGACATCCTGAAATTCAGAGATATTTCCTCACCTGTGTCTACGCTTCTAATAAGCTTATCAAATGCATTCTTCATCTGTCTTACAGTGTCTTTGCTCTCTAGCATTCATGTTTGATTCTTAGAATTGCCATCACTCTGCTTACATTGTCTAGATGTTCTCACATGTTCTCTACTTTGTCTATAATAAACCTTAGCATAATAATCATAGTTTTTTTTCCCCCAATTTCCAGTCTGAGAATTCCACCATGTCTGCCACATCTGACTCTGGTTCTAATGTTTTTCAGTCTCTTCAAATTTCGCTTTCTTGTCTTTTAGTATGCTTTGTGATTTTTGTTGAAAGACAGACACAATGTACTGGGTAAAAGAACTTTGCTAAATAGGCCTTTAATAATATATAGTAAGGCATGGGAAAATGGGAAGCATTCCATAGTCCCACAGCTGTGTCACAGTGTTTTGGTGAGCCTGTGATGCTGGCCTGTGAACTTCACCAGTGGTTCTCAAGTTTCTTCCCTGTTTAAGTGGAACACCATAGCTGAAGTTTTTAATTTTTCTTTCTTCCTTCATACAGAAGGCTAGACGGACTTGATTTGGATATTTCCTCTCCACCAAATTCATTAGGCTCTGATAAAATGCCAGAAGTTTAGGCTTTAGTAAAATAGTCCCTCCTGAGGGAAGTCTTTGTTAAGAACAGAGTGCTCTGACATTATAAAATGGTTTCATTTCTCTTCCTACTGCCAGAAGCATGAAGGGATTTTTCTCTGATACTCACCTCCAAGGCCTCATACAGCTTCAGGAGATAAAGCTCACTAAAGTGTGGGGATTCCCCTATGACTGAGTTCCCTGGAGTTTTTAACTCTCAGTTTTCCACACTGAGCCCCCAGCAATTCAGTTCAAATTTTCCTACCCTGGCATTGGTTCCTATCAAGATTTCTATTCATGGGTTTTGCTCCGCTAGGTTGTGAAGCTCTGTACTCACGTATCTTTCTAATTTTGGGGGGAGAAGTTTGCCCAAAGACTTGAATTCTCTGACAAATACAAAAATTTTTTTTTTCAGTTTGTTTAGCTTTTTACTTGTTCACTTCCATGAGTGATGACTACTAAGCTTCTTACACGTCAAACCGGAAACTGGAAGTTCAGCATGTACATTTCAAGTTCTATTAAAAAAATGCTGTTATGATGTTGATTGAAATTCTGATAAATTGATCATTAATTGGAAGAAAATCGTCATCTTTACAATATTAAATTACCTTATTCAATAATACCATATGTATTTTCATTTATGTTGGCCACTTTGGTGTCCTTTGGCACATTTTTATAATATTTTCTTATAGATCTTATTAGATTTACTGCTATTATATTTTTAATTTTGAATAGCATATAATTTTTAAAATTGCATTCTATGACTGCTTACTGCCAAATGAAGAAAATATATAATTTTAAAAAATTATTTCCCTTATTTCTGACCACCCACTTAGCAGGCTCTTTGACTCATTTTAAATAAGCAGAGCTTCTCTTCATGGACCTTTAGTAACCAATGAAGAATTCATTTTTTTCATATATGTTCTAAATGTTATTTATGTGGAATTACATTTTATTCAAAGAAGAAAATAATGGATATTTATATATCACTTTACTGATTTTGATTTTCAAAGCATTTTCACTATTATATCATCCAAAATTATGTATTTCTAATATTTTGATCTTTGTGAAAATTAATAATTGTTACTCATGTTTATTTTACATTTATATTATGAAATATGATGACACACTCATTTATTTGCCAAAACAAGTCAATTTTGTTGTTAATAAAACTGAGTCAGACAAGCCAGTAAATTTTCTAAAGCTGTATTTAGAAAGCTGTAGCATCTGGATTCTAACCCACAATTCTTAAACTCAAAGGTGACAGCTCTTAACCTTTGTAAAATATGCTTAACGAAAATTTTATTGTAACTCATAGGTAATGAAAATATATCAAGGCTGATTGCCTAAAGGGAGCAATGTTCATTTATGATATTCTAAAAACTAAATGTTTCTTTAATGTTAGTAATTCTGTGTAAGGCCCACGTAGCTACATGGGTCTTAATCCATTTGTGTTGCTCAAAGTCTTATGATATTTTTTAATTGGCCTTTTACTTTGAAAATTGGCTTCAGTTACAAAGGTCTAATTAGGCTTTTCTTCAACCTTGTATAGCAGGGGTCTCCCACTGTGGGTCGCACACCCGTACTGGTCAGTGGCCTGTTAGGAACCAGGTCTCACAGTAGGAGGTGAGAGGTGGGCGAATGAGCATTGCTGCCTGACCTCCACCTCCTGTCAGATGAGTGGCCACAGTCGATTTTTCTAGGATTGCAAACTCTACTGTGAACTGCATATGCGAGGGATCTAGGTTATGAGCTTCCTGTGAGAATCTAATGCCTGATGATGTAAGGTGGAACACCTTCACCCCACAACCGTGACCCCTGCATCCTGTGAGAAAATTGTCTTCAGCAATTCTGGTCCCTGGTGTCAAAAAGTTTGGGGAGCGCTGTTGTATAGTTTTAGAGCCATTCTATTTAAAATATTAAACTTTAGAAAATATACATCCATAAACAGCTTTTTAAAAAAATTGTTAATTACTTTCAGAAATGTTTAGAGTACTTATTTGTTAGATAATTGAAAACATACTTAAGTTCTGAAGAAAGCCCAGAGTGATACAATTAGGTTCAAGGTGAGGCCCCCACCATTGCTCACCTAAACAGTACAGGTTTGTTTTGAGAAAAGGGAATGAAAAATAGTTATCTCATATATGTATATATTGCATATATGTATTTAAATAATTTTGCTGGATATATCTATATCAAACTATATCAGTCTTATGTAACTTCTGATATATTTATGTGTGTACACATACATACATATATTTATGCAAACACCACACAATCTCAAAACCTATTAGGAAGTTCTTATGCAAGTGAAATAATAAAATGAAGTAAATAACAGTTATGGAACACTAACAAGTTCAAATAATTCTCAAAACAATTTAGGAAAATAGGTATTTTAAATCTAAAAAAAGTTAAGAAATTTGATGAAATTAAAAGAACTTAAGAATGAAGGACAGGAGTAACTATCAAATTACAAATTTTACTCTATGATTCCAAATGCCATTCTTTTCCACCACCCTATACCATCTCCTTAGGGGAGAGAAAAGAAAAATGGTTAAGGAACTAACCACAGCATTCAGCATTATTGACTTAGGGATATTCTCAAAGGAAATCTATACAGTGGAAAAATTGAGCATTGGCATGAGTCTTAATATTTGAACCACCCAGTGACTTGTTGTCCTGCAGAACTGCAAAAGAACTTATATTCACTTTAAATGTAAATTTCCCCCTTTTCTTGCAGCCATAAGAGATATGCTCAGGATGTTGTTATATAATCAGAATATTATTAGCTCTCTCAGACAAATACAGTGTTTCAAAGTAGGAAGATTTTCCTTTCCAGCTGTCATTCTTAGCAGCATTTGTCCTCCACCTCCCTTCCTTCTCTTAATATTTTCATGACCATAAAAGAAAAATAAATTATCTAATCTAATAATGCTAATAGTGAGTCAGACAAATATTTTATGTCAGGAATACATACATTTTTTGTTTGTTTGTATATGTGCAAAGATCATAAAAACCATGGTATAGCTTCACATTGCACTTAGTAATAAAATATATAGAATGCCTAAAATTTAATCAATGTTTTTGCCCTACCATAGCTCTATCATATGGCTCCTGCCCATCTTTTTAAAGGCATCATTTTGTACATTTATTAACCCCTACTCCGCTATATTTTCCTGTTCTATGAGCGTTTTGTCAATTCCTAGGAAGCATCAAGGTCTTCCCCATCCCAGGAATCTATACATGCTTTTCCTACCGCATGAAAAACTATTCCCCAGTTTTTACTGATGACATTTTCTTACCCACCAAATATTAATTTAAATGTCGTTTTACCAAGACCAATCTCAATCATCCACCCTGAAGTTCTTCCTAGAAGTCTCAATGCCAATGTCCTGCTTTATTATTTTTCTTACGTATTTGTTTTCTTCAAGAGAATTCAGTATGTCCTGTAATATCATTACAGTATTTGCCTATTTACTTTTGTCCCTCTTCACTATAATGCAGGTTCCATGACAGTATAGAGCTTGTCCATCTTGCAAAGAGTTGTCAATTTAGCACATAACATGCCTAATGCTTGTTAGCCCCTAATGAAGACTTGCAGAATTAAGAAACAAAAACTTAAAATATAAAATTCTCAAGCATTGTGTTAAAGACAACATTTAGGTATATAGTCATTTTTCATGACACTTTACAAATTACACTACAACAGTAACTATCTGCTCAAAAAGTTTATTATTTATAATTGAAATTGTTTTAGTAAAAGACGAAAAGAAAGGGGAAAAAGTGAGGAGTAAAAGAAGTCATGTCTACTCTCAAACCCCCAAAGATGAAATTATATTAACACCATTTAAGCACTTGCAAAGTTTTATATGTAATTCCTGATCAAAATGATCTCTTAAGAGACATAAATTAACTTATTGATCCAAAATAAATTTAAATATAAATGAATACTATTAGAATATACAGAATAACACTAAAATTCAAGTTATACAATATATATCTGTATATATTGAAAATATATTTAAGCTCATGTTAATCGTTCTGACTATGTAGGTCATGTGAACTTAGACACTTGTCACTTAATACAGACAACATGATCTAACAGAAACAATGAGGCTGCAAATACAGATAATTGAAGTTTTAATTACAGTGTTGTGATACTTAAACAGGGTTTAGCTGTTGCCTAGGAAACCACTGACATTTAGATAAGAGGAATAATAAATTGTGCACTGTTAGAAATAACAGCAGTAAAATTTATTGTAAAGAAGTAAAACAGGGATCAAGAAGATATTGATGGAAATTTCAAATTAAATACAAACATAAGCAGCCTCTGGTTTAGTGCAAAGGAGGCTGGTTTTTAAAAGTTAGATTTCCAAAGATATCTATATGTGTCTACAGATTTTGAAGCTGTGGCTTATAATTTTCTCTAACTCTTTCTCTTTATGAGGAAAAAGAAGCTATCATATGTGTCTAACATAGATCATTGATTTGGGTTTGAATCTCAATTCAAGAAATTATCTTGAGGATGTGGCTGAATATTTTAGATATCAGTTTTTACCTGTCTAAAATGTGGATAATAATACATACCTAAAAAGGTTTGGGGGACGATTATATGGGGAAATATGTTTAGAATTCTTTAGATACACTTTTTTTTTCAATTGATAATAATGGCTATTAAAAATATGTTGACACAATTAAAGTATTAAATTTATTTTATTATAGCCTTGACTTTCTTCCTGAACAAATTGTCTGTTTGAATGTATATTTTTTGGTATCTAGTCCAAGATGGATTCTGGGGCTGCATGTGTTAAGGATCTGTGGTGAAACTCTTGATTTCCTCATCTCAGTTCCAAGGATTTGTCTTTTGTATTTCATTCATGCCCTTTCTTGCATGACCCCTTGTTTCTAAAAGGGGACTCCTGCCCTTTGCTTTTGGTTACATTTTCTATCCTGACATGGCAAAAGCAAATCTCTCTTTTTTTCATTTTTAAAATGTCATCATATTTTCTGCAACTTTGAAAAGTATAAAATATATCAGAAAATATGAGACAGAATGATAGACAAATAGGGGATTTATGAAAGTACAGTTAGAAGCAAGTATGGTAAAACACTAATTATAAAACCAGCTTAATAGATATGAGTGTTCACTGTAAAATTCTCCCAAATTTTTTAGTATATTTAAACATTTTCATAATAAAATGTTAGGTGAAAAATTCACCTTATATTTCTTCTCACAATTTACGAGTTTATCTCCATATATATATCCAACTTAACTATTACCCTAGAAACATTCTTTTCTTGCATTTGGAAAGAAGTATGGTAATAAATAAGGCGAGAAATAAAACCATCATAATTCCCACCATCGTGTACTTCCTTACTCCTATTAAATTATATTTAGTCTAAGCACTAACCCAGCTGCTTGCTCTAAGAAATGTCTGCCCCTGAAAGGCATGACTTCAAACCATATAAATATATTAGCTATCAATATTAATACTTGCTAACAAAGACTTGATTAAAGACTTTTAATTTTCTGTGCCTACCAATTCAAAGCTATTATTGTCACAGACTCTGAACAATCCCAATTAGTTTACCACCTTGCAAAACGTGCCTTAAAATTGCCTTACTTATGTCATAAAATTCTATAAAACCTTCCTATATTTCCTCACATTGAAACACTACCTAAAACTCTGTCAAGGTGGTTTTTCCCTTTACTACAGTAAATCTAATAAACTAAGATTTATATGATCAAGAGTTGTTGTTATTTTTCTAGTAGTCTTTTGAGATGTCAACAATGGATAACAGAGTTATCAGTAATGTGTTCAGAGAGAGAATTACATCATTAAATATATCCTATTTTAGGCATTTACTCAGCATTGCATTTGAAACTCTTATATTTCTGTTTCTTCTGAAACTCAAGTTCAGGAAGCTTATAGAAGCTCTAGAAAATATATTAATTTATTCTTTGTGAACTTTAGGATCATTAAAATATAATCATTTAGGATTACATATTTTTTTTGGATTAACTGTGCCTATGAGTCTGTTTAGGCTTTAAAAAACTTTAATAATAACCTTGGACAATTCTATAATCTTTCTGGGACATAAAGTAAAAAATAATGCCTATTTCATTACAGCTGGTATGAGTTTAGATTATGTATGTATAAAATATATACACACATATGTTATATATATTGTCATATATACATACCTTTGTCTGTGTATATTATATATAAAATGAATATATGTACAAGGTCTGATTCATAGTAAATGTTCAATAAATATAAAATTTTATAATGAAAATTTATTTTGTGTGTGGATGTAAATAAAATGAATCTATTTCATGACAACAAAACTAATGACTTCACTGAAAGTTATTAATATAGAAGTTTAAAAGAAATTCTTTAGGCAGATAGTGAGGGTAAGGAAGTCCTCAGTAAGGTTTTCCTTTTAATGAAAAGCAGGCCTCAAATCATTTTCTTTTCTAACAAAGAGCAGACTGTAAAATTGAGCTGCAGACATAGACAAGGAAGCTGGAAGCTTGCACAGGTGAATGCCCACAGTTGTGCAAATAGGAGAAGTTTACCTGGGAATAGGCATGTTCAAAATGGCGGCTCCATCATCTCTTCTCTTTGCAAGTCACATGTACAGTAAGGAACAAAAAAGATGGCACTGGCCAAGCAGGAAGTCTATTTACATAATAAGATTAGGGTGGGGCAAGGAGCCCTCCCCACCCACGCCATGTAAATACCACCCCAGACCGAACCAATCTCTGGGCCTTATGTAAATCAGACACCACCTCCTCAAGACTGCTTACAAAATCCGCCACAGTCTGCCACTGGCTAGCTTTTCCCTTTGGTGGAGAGAGAACTACTCTGCTCTCTCCTTCTTCTGCCTATAAACTTTCCGCTCCTTAACCCACTCCATGTGTGTGTTAGTCTCGGCTCCAGACGACAGACCCTGGGTATTTACCCCAGACAAGGATGCTGCTTCACTATAACTCTATCTCTTTATAATTATCTAACTTTGTTACAGTCAAATAACAAATACATTTGATGATGATAATAGAAAACATACATTTTTGGCTGAAGAAAATATTAGTGCAATTAATAATGTATTACCATTAACTGTTTTTTAAAGCTTAACGTCTTCATTTATTCAAATTTTCTTAATTTCTACGTAATGTATTTTTCTGTTCCAAAATTCTATTCAGGATAGCACATTACATTTATAAGTCAGTCATTAGATTCTTCTTAGCTGTAGCGGTTTCTTACACTTTGCTTGTTTTTGACCATGACAATTTTATTTATTCATTTATTTATTTATTTATTTTTTATTTATTTAGAGACAGAGTCTTGCTCTGTCTCCAGGCCGGAGTGCAGTGGCGCGATCTCGGCTCACTGCAACATCCGCCTCCCGGGTACAAGCATCAGAGGACGAATCTCCTTTGAAGAAGGATTACAAATAAATTAATACTCTACCCTCAAGGAAGAGAGACATAACTCCCTACTTCTTAAGTGTAAGCTGTGTATAATGACTTCCTTGTAATGAGTACAGGAAGGAAAGGAATAAAAAGAGTAGCTTTTAAAACCTGACGAACACAGCATTATTCAGATGATCAAAGTCAATATCAACAGTAATAAACAGATTGATAGTGTATATGCTTGATATAATGTAACAAATATGGCCCCTTAACTCTGGACTTCCTCTGGAAAACCCATAATCCCAGTATAATTATGAGAAAAACATGAGATAAATTTCAAGAGAAAGGCATCCTGCAAAATCTATGACCAGTTTACCTCAAAAAAGGCGGGCAGATCACAAGACCTACAAAGAGACTTAGATAAGCGCACAGTAATATTGGAAAACTTTAACACCTCACTGAAAGTATCAGACAGATCACTGAGGCAGAAAACCAACATATATTTTGAAAACCCAAACTCAACACTTGATCAAATAGACTAAACAGACATCTACAGAACTCCACCCAACAGCAACAGAATATACATTCTTCTTATGTGCATATAGACCATACTCTAAAATTCACCACATTCTCAGCCATAAAGAAATTTTCAACAGATTTTTTAAAAACCTGAAATCATACCAACCACTCTCAGACCACAGCACAATAAAAATAGAAATAAATACCACGAAGATATCTCAAAACCATAAGATTGCATGAAAAATAATTTTCTCCTGCATGGCTTTTGGGTAAACAATGACATTGGAACAGAAATCAAGACTTTTTTTGAAACTAATAAAACAAAGATAGGATGTTCCAGAATCTCTGGGATGTAGCTAAAGCACTGTTGAGAACAAAATTGATAGCACTAAATGTCCAAATCAAGAAATTAGAAAGATCTCAAATTAAAACCTATTATCACAGCTAGAGGAACTGGAGCAAATCAATCCCAAAGCTACCAGAGTAAAAGAAATAACCAAAATCAGAGCTGAACTGAAGGAAATTGAGACATGAAGAACCCTACAAAAGATAAAAAAGATTGGTTTTATGAGAGAATAAATAACATTGATATACTCCTAGCTAGACTAATAAAGAAAAAAGATGAGATGCAAATAAACACAATCAGAAATAACTATGGAGACATTGCTATGAACCCTCAGAAATACAAAGAAGCCTCAGAGACTATTACAAACACCTCTATGCACACAAACTACAAAATCTTGATGAAATGGATAAATTCCTGGAAAGATAGACTCTCACAAGTTTGAACCAGGAAGTTATTAAAATCCTGAACAGACTAATAATGAATTCTGAAATTGGATCAATAATAAAAAGTCTAACAACCAGAAAAATCCTAGGACCAGAATGATTCAAGTCAAATTCTACCAGACATATAAAGAACACCTGGTACCAATCCTATTGAAACAATTCCAAAAATTGAAGAAAGACTTCTCTCTAACTCATTCTATAAGGCTAGTATCATTCTGAAGCCAAAATTCAGCAAAGAAACAACAACAACAAAAGAAAACTTCAGGCCAATATATTTGATGAACCGAGGTGCAGAAACCTCAGCAAAATACTAGCAAACCAAATCCAACAGCATATCAAAAGCCTAATCCACTATGATCAAGTAGGCTTTATTCCTAGGATGGAAGGCTGGTTCAGCATACACAAATCAATAATTGTGATTTATCACATAAACAGTACTAAAAACAAAAACTACCTGAACATCTTAATACATTTAGAAAAGCATTTTGATAAAATTCAACATTCTTTTATGTAAAAACCCTTTACAAACTAGGCATTGAAGGAACATATCTCAAAATAATAAAGAGCTGTCTGTGACAAACCCACAGCCAACATTATAGTGAATGTGCAAAAGCTGTAACCATTCCCTTTGAGAACTGGAACAAAACAAGGATGTCTTCTCTCACCACTTCTATTCAACATAGTACTAGAAGTCTTAGCCAGAGCAATACAGCAAGAGAAGGAATTAAAAGGCATCCAAATGGGAAAACCACAAACCAAACTATCACTCTTCACAGACAATGCGATTCTATACCTATAAAACCCCATAGTCTTTACCGAAAGGCTCCTAGAACTCATACACTCCTTTCACAAAGTTTGAGGATACTAAATCAATGTACATAAATCCATAGGATTTTTATACACCAAAAATGTCCAAGCGGAGAGCCAAATTAAGAATGTAACCCCATTCACAATAGCCACAAGAAAAAAATACCTAGGAATACAGCCAAACACAGAGCTGAAAGATCTCTACAATAAGAACTACAAAACACTGCTGCAACAAATCAGAGATGACAGAAACAAATGGAAAATGATTCCATGCTCATGGATAGAAAGATAGGAAGAACATTGCCCAAAGTAATTAACAGATTCAGTGCTATTCCTATTAAACTATCAGTGACATTCTTCACAGAATTAGAAAAAAGCTATTCTAAATTTTACATGGAACTAAAAAAGATCACAAATAAACAAAGCTGTCTTAAGCAAAAAGAATAATCATGGTCATCACACTACTCAACGTCAAACTATACTACAAGGCTACAGTAACCAATACAATATGGTACTGGTACATAAATAAATACATAGATCAAGGGAACAAGTTAGAGACCCAGAAATAAAGCCACAAACCTACAATCGTGCTCATTGATAAAGTCAACAGAAATAAACAATGTGGAAAGGACTTCTTGTTCTGTAAATGGTACTGGGATAACTGACTAACCATATGCAGAAATTGAAACTGGACCCCTTCCTTTTAACACATGAAAAAACTGACTCAAGATGGAATAAAGACTTAAATGTAAAACCTAAAACTATAAAACCCTGGAAGGAAAACCTAGGAAATACCATTCTGGACATAGGAACTGGCAAAAATTTAATGATGAAGATGCCAAAAGCAATTGCAACAAAAACAAAAATTGACAAGTGGTAGCTAATTAAACTGAAGAGCTTCTGCACAGCAAAATAAACTACCAACAGAGCAAACTGAGAACCTTCAGGATGGGAGAAAATATTTGCCATATGTGCATTCAACAAAGAACTAATATCCAGAATCTATAAGAAAGTTAAACAAATTAACAAGCAAAAACCAAACAACCTCATTAAAAAATGGGCAAAGTATATGAAGACACTTATTAAAAAAAAAAAAGACATAAACATGGCCGGGATCGTGCCTGTAATCCTAGCACTTTAGGAGTCCAAGGAGGGTGGATCACCTGAGGTCAGGACTTCGACACCAGCCTGACCAACATGATGAAATCCATCTCTACTAAAAATACAAAATTAACCAGACCTGGTGGCACATGCCTGTAATCTCAGCTACATGGGAGGCTGAGGAATGAGAATCACTTGAACCCGGGAGGTGGAGGTTGCAGTGACCTGATATTGTGCCATTGCACTCCAGCCTGGGCAACAAGAGCAAAACTCTGTCTCAAAAAAAAAAAAAAGAAAGAAAGAAAGAAAAAAAAAGACATAAACATGGCCAACCAATAAGTACATGAAAAAATGCTTAACATTGCAAATCATTAGAGAAATACAAATCAAAATCACAATGAGATACCATCTCACACTTGACCAGAAAGATTCATATCAAATTCTACCATAATAGTTAGAAAAATCACAGATGCTGGCGAGGACAGGGAGAAAAGCCTTTGCTTATAACCTGCTAGTGGGAATGTTAAGCCACTGTGAAAAGCAGATTGGAGATTTCTCAAAAGCTTAAAACAGAACTACCATTTGACCCAGCAATTCCATTACTGGATATATACCCAAAGAAATATAAATCATTATACCATAAAGATATATGAACCCACATGTTTATTCCAGCACTATTCACAATAGCAAACACATGAAATCAACCTAGATGTTAATCAACAGCAGGCTAGATAAAGAAAATATGTTATATATACACCATGGAATACTATGCAGCCGTAAAAAAGAATGAGGTGATGTCCTTTGCAGCAACATGGATGGAGCCATTATTCTAAGTGAATTAATGTAGGAATAGAAAACCAAACACCACAAGTTTTCTCTTGTAAGTGGTAGGTAAACACTGGGTACATATGGATGCAAAGAAGAAGACAATAGATATTGGAGACTACTCTAGGGTGAAGAGTGGAGTGATGGTGAGGATGAAAAAACTACCTATTGAGTAGTTTCTCATTAGTATTTTCATTACCTGAGTAATGAAATAATTTGTGCATTAACACCTGCAACATGCAATATACCCGTGAAACAAACCTGCACTTGTACCCCTGAACCTAAAAGTAGGAAGATAGATAGATAGATAGATAGATAGATAGTTAGATAGATAGATAGATAGATAGATATCTGTATATCTTCTTAGATGAGGTAACTTTTCAGATATTTTGCTTTTTTATTTTTTATATTAGGGTATAACAATAAGAAAATTAAGAATCACTTTTTCATTCTCTTAACAATCTCTCACAGAGTAGAAAAATTTAATTTTCATAAAACAAACATTAGTTATTTTCTTCCATTATGTTTTTGATGTTATTTTTACAACCTCAATACCAACCCAAGCTGTGTTTGTCCATTGTGTGTAACTGTAACAAACTACCAAAGACTGGATAATATATAAGGAAAATAATTATTTAATTCACAGTTCTGGATTTTAGGAAGTCGAAAATCCAGGAGCTGCATCTGGTAAGGGCCTTCTTGCTATGCAATAACATGCTGGAAGCCATCACATGGCAAGGTAGTGAAAGACAGCAAGTGAGCAAGAGGGGTCAGAACTTGCTTTATTAACAAGCCTGCTCTCAAGATAAGTAACTCACTCCCTCAATAATGACATTAATCCATTTATGAGGGGAGAGCCTCCCTCATGACCTAATCTCCTATTATTAGGCTACCCTTCCCAACACTGCTGCCTTAAGAATTAAGCTTCCAACACATGAACATTGGTGGACATATTCACACCATAGAATATGGTCAACAAGATTTTATCCTAAGTTTTGCTTTAAAAGTTTTATAGTTTTGCATTTTACATTTAAGTCTGTAAACCATTTTGAAGTTCTTTTTGTCTTCTTTTTTTTGGTATTATGTAAAGTCTGTTTCTAGATTTATTTTGCATATGATTTTTCAATTGTTGCAGCAATATTTGTTGAAAAGAATCCCTTCTCTGATGGCATGCTTTTGCCCCGTTGCCAAATGTCAGCTGACTGTGTTGGTGTGGCTGTTTCAGGGCTTCCTATTGTGTTCCATTGATCTACATACCAAATCTTTTGCTAATATCATGTTATGTTGATTAGTGTAGGTTTCTAGTAAGTCTGAATTCTGGTAAGTCCTCAAATTTTCCTTTGTTCCTTTAGTATTGTATTGACTACTCTTTGCCTCTGGCCTTTGTATATAAACTTTAGGATCAGTTCATTGATAGCCACAAAAAAGCTTGCTGGAATTTAAATTAGGATTAAATTGAATATACAGATCAATTTGAGGAGAACTGACATCTTAATGATATTGTGCCTTTCTATCTTTATCTTTGTTTTAGATCTTCTTTTATTTATTTCATTAGAGCATTGCAGTTTTCCACATATAGACCTTCCATGTACTCTGCTAAAATTTTATCTTAGCATTTCATTTTTTGGTGTAATTATAAATGGATTGTATTAGTCATTGCAAATGCCAAATTGTTCATTGCTGCTATATAATAAAGCATTTCATTTTTGCATATTAACCTTGTAACCTGAGACCTTTTGTTTATTCTTTGGGATTTCCTACATAGCCACTAATGTAATCTGCAAACAAAAACAGTTTTACTTCCTCCTCAATCTGAACACTTTTTTTCTTTCTTTTTCCTTGCTTCATTTTAATAGTTAGGGATCATTTATTACAATGTTAAATATGGATGATGAAGAGACACGTCATGACTTGTTTCCTATCTCAGACAGAAAGAATCCAGTTCCTCACCATTAAGTATAATAGTAGCTATAGTTTTTTTTTTTTTTTGTAGGTGTTCTTTATCAAGTTAAGCAAAGTTTCCACTACTCCTACTTTGCTAAGAAGTTGGTTTTTTTTTAATCATTATTAGGTATTTTTTTTCTTCTTCCTTAACCTGGTGATACAGTGGGTTATGTTGATTGATTTCCAAGTGCTATTCAAGCCTTACATACCTGGAGTAAATCCCAAATGGCCATTGGAAATATTTCTTTTTATCCATTGTTGTACTTGGTTTTCTAATATTTTGTTGAGGATATTCACATCTATTTTTATGAGACATATTGGTCTATCATTTTCTTTTATGTACTATATTTATCTGGATTTGATAATAGGGCAATGCTGGCCTCATAGAATGAGTTGTAAAATACTTTCTGTGCTATTTTCTGGGAGAAATTTTAGAAAATTTTATTTTTCCTACTAGGTCTAATGATTTCTAACTTGAATATTATTAATTATTAATTAATTTTTAAAAATAGATACAATAGATATAGGCCTACTCAGAATATCTATTGCTTCTTGTATGAATTTTGGTAGTTTCAGTAGTTGTTCTATTACTGTAGTAATTGTCTTTCATGTAATTATTCTATTTTATTTAAGATAGCAAATTTGGGGATATAAAATTATTGATAGTCTTTTATCTATTGTCTTTTTAATAATGATGCAATCAATAACAATGATACTCTTTCATTTCTGGTATTAGGAATTTGTGTTTATTTTTTCATTTTTTTTTTCCTTTTGGTTAGCCCCTGAATAGAGGTGTATCAAGTTTATTGATTTTTCCAAATAACTAGATTTGGGTTATTGATTTTTACTATTGTTTTTCTAATTTCAATTTTATTAATTTCTCTTCAAATTTTTATTTATTTTTGCTATATTTAGGCAAAAATTGCTCTTATTAGATAGATTTTTTTCTGTGAAGGTCTTATTAGTTCCATTCTTATACTTCTCCAAAATTTTGCTATATATGAATTCTAGCAAAATACCGATTAATCCAGTACAACAAATTATTTGTATTTTTTTCTTGAATCAATTTTGCCTGTATATTTTTTTTTGACATGTTATAGGTCTGGACTGGGCTAAGTCCCCCCTGACTACTTATACAACCTGATACCCCTAAGATCTCCCAGGAGCCTCATGTTGGTGCCAGATCCAGTGCAGATACTGGCTCCACATAGCAGAGTAGCACCAAACATTTGTGCACCCTTGATCGTCCCTGCCTTCTGGAGAGCTGGAATTACAGGCATAGGCCATGGTGTCTGACAATTTTATGTTCTTTTAAAAAGACCCAACTTCTGGACTAATGAACTGGAACTGCCTGTTAGTATTTAATGTAAATGTATTATATTTGATCTGCAAATTCTATCACTAATCAGCTTTTATATTTCAAAGGTTTTCGTATAGGCTAACTCTATTAAAATGCTCAGACACTGTTTTATTTTGTGTTGCATATGCATGCATGTTTATTTGATAGAGAGTTAGTGATAATAGCCTCCTTATAAAGACTTTACTATCAGAGACTACTCTCCAGTGCATTTCATTGTAAAAAGCAAGCCATTCTATGTAGAACAAAATCATGTTATCAAATAGCTTTTACATGTAGAAAATGAATTCAAGTCAGGGGATTTAAACCACAAACTAATCCATAGTGTTTGAAGGATACAAAGTGGGACTCTGATATCCATCGATGTAATTCTCTGAACTTATATCTGACCACTGTATACACTATTAAGTGATAACTTACAATAGTTTCATCTGAATATAAGAAGTATATTCAATACATGTCTTGAAATCTGGAAGCAAGTGTTTTAACTTTTATATTTTTTATTGTATATATTTAAGATATATAGCATGATGTTTTCATACACATGTATAGTGATATCCTTATACGGTTAAGCAAATTGACATATCTATCACCTCAAGTTACCCCTTTTTTGGTATTAAGAGCAGCTAAAATCTAGCCCCTTAGCAAATTTCCAGTGTACAAAATTCTTAGCTATAGTCTTCATGCTATACATTAGATCTCTAGATGTATTTATGCTACATAACTGCAACGTTGTACAAGATAGCTGCCTAGATAGATATAACATTGAAAATAATCACATAACTTTCGCATATGGGATACATTAATTTAGAACTAGCCACAATTATCTGTGTATATTATAATGTTGGACTATAAATAGAGCTGGTGAACTTCTAAGGAATTTAAAACTTGTTTATTAAATTATTTAGAGATTGTTGCTAATAAGATAATAATAAGTCTTTGGATTAAAATGTTGCTGCAATTATCAATCAGATTTGCACAAAGAAAAAATAAAGAAAAGAAAAGCATAGGCATAAAATATCCTTCTAACTTTTTCCAATGACTCTATTATAAGAGTGTAAGAATAGACCTGCAAGAGTGTGCCTGATGATACAACCAATTATCAGCACAAAACAAATTATTAATATGATTAAATGTGATGCTGACAATGGTGAACATGATCACTACCATGCATGTATGCAGGTGAATCTATTTCATTCATGAATTTACAGAAAAATGGTGTAAGGCGGGAAATTGTCAGCATCCAGATATCTACCTGGAAAGCATGCCTAGGCTGTTTTTCCTTTTTCTTTTCAACACACAGGTATTTCTTTGGGTTTTTTCTTAATTTTTAATAGGCAAATAAAATAAAAATCATATATATTAATGGTATATAACGTGACATTTTAAAATACATATACATTGTAGAATGGCTAAATCAAGCTAATTAATATATACATTACTTCACATATTTATTTGTGGAAAGAACATTTAAAATCTACTCTCTTGGCAATTTTTAGTATACAATACGTGGTTAATAACTGTAGTTACCATATTGTTCATTAATTCATCCAAAGTAAGTTAGAAGATTAAGTAAAATGTGAACTCAAATTATACCTTATACATTTTATTTGTAAGTACCCAGTATTTAATACTTCTATTTTTAAAAAGATATACCCTCTTAATGGTTTTAGAAGTGATAAGAAAGTGGTTACTGTGGGAGTTGAGGCAGGTTTAAGACATATTTAGGTGATAAAATTGGCTGGTTGAATGAATGAGCAAGAAAGGAAAAAGGAAGAGTCAAGATGTAAGGGACAATAATGATGCCATGAATTTTGGTAGGAAATAACTAAGAAGGAAGCAGATTTGGGGGAGAAGCAAGTAAGTTTAGGGTTGGATATGATATAATTGAGGCTCCTATGGAAGTTCTATCTGGTTCTATTCAGCAATATTTTAATTAGACAACACTGAAGTTCAAAGGAAGAACGCAATACAGTGTGGAGCACAAAATGTGCTTTAAGGAAACACTACGCATTGTTTAGATGACACTTATTGATTATCTGATTATGATTCTGTGGATGTTCTATATCTTTCATTAGGCCTTTGTCTGCTCAGGCTTGTTAAAGTTTATGAGGGGCCACTGTTTTGGACTTACCTCCCGTACTAGGCCCCCTCGATCAGAACAAACCAGAATGGAGTTACTTGTGCTAGGTGATACATAATCAAACAGAACTTTTAAAAGGGCCAGTTTTCCAAACAAAAGGATATTCTAGTTAACCTGAATCAGCAGGAATCAGAAAATCACCTTTGTTTAACCTCCATAGCAAAAGTACTCTTGCAATTACCAATCCACTTTTTGCCTTTTTCACCCCATTTCTACCTATGATTCCAGTCACTGCTGAGCTCACGGGAACACTCGTTCTGTTTTGCAGAATGAGGTTTTGCTTGATTCTAGAATCACAAATAAAAACCATCAAGATCTTTAAAATAAATTACTTGTAATTTTGATAGACTGTAACACAAATAACTATAGACTAGGTGGCTTAAACAACAGAAATTATCTTACACAGATATAAATCCAAGATAAAGGTTCCAATTGATTTGGCTCTGGTGCATTATCTTCTCCTGGCTTGCAGATGGCTGACTTCTATGTCTTACATAGCCTTACCTTACTGTGCACACATGGAGAGCGAGAAAGAGAACATAAGAACACTAATCCAATTGGATCAGGACTCCACACATCTGACTTTATTTAAAGTGAATTATTTTCTTAACAGACCCATCTCAAAATACAGCCACACTGAGGGTTAGCACATCAACATATAAATATTGGAAGAACATAAACATTCAGTCCATAACATTGCTTTTGAGCTATTTTACAAAGCTGTTAATTGTAGGTAACTGATAGCAATGGAATATAATTTTTGTCTATAGGAATATGTAATAGTGTCTTATTGCTGTGATAATAAATCATCACAATTTGAGAAACTTACAACAAAACAAATTTAATATCTCATGGTTCTGGTGGTCAGAAGATTTAAACTCAAAGTGCCAGCAGGGCAAATTTCTTTGTAGAGGCTCTATGGGAGAATCCACTTTTTTGCCCTTTCTAGCTTCTAGAGGCCAGCTCCCTTGCCTGACTCATGGCCCTTCTCTCTATCTTCAAAGAAAATTACACCACTTTTACTTCCATCACCACATCTCTTCTCTCAACTTACACTCCTCTCTCCCTCTCGTAAGGACCTTTGTGATTACATTGGATTCACTCACATAATCCAGGGTAATCTCCATCTCAATGTAACCAAATAAACACATCTACCAAACACCTTTGCCATGTAAGGTAATATGTTCACAGGTTCTGAAAATTAGAAAATGAACATCTTTTCAGAGACATTAATCTGTCTATGACATGTGGAGGTTGTGTTTACCACAGTGGAGATTCAATTGACCCTTCCTATTGTGGAAGAAAACAGTTTTTTCTCAATTTGCATATTCATTTTAATATTCCTAAATGCACAAATACATATGTTCTGTGAATCATCCTTTGGTTTGGTTGGAATATGCTCTTGGTGCCCTCATTAATAATGAGTTAAATAAACTTTATAATACATGTTAATTTTACATCTTTCTGACAGTCATAATTCTAACTTTTTGGAAAATTATCCCTTAAGGCTAAATATACAGATTTATGACTTATGAGTATATCAAAGGTACTTAAAATTAGAGGAAAAAGCTTTTAATAGAGAACCATATCAAGGTAAAAAATAGTGCTAAAAATGATTTGAGGTTCAAAGTTTTGGGGATGAGGGTCTTTTTTTTTTTTTTTTTTTGAGACGGAGTCTTGCTCTCTTGCCCAGGCTGGGGTGCAGTGGCCACAATCTCGGCTGACTGCAACCTCCGACTTCTGGGTTCATGCCATTCTCCTGCCTCAGTTTCCCGAGTAGCTGGGACTACAGGCACCGACCACCACGCCCGGCTAATTTTTTGTATTTTTAGTAGAGACAGGGTTTCACTGTGTTAGCCAGGATGGTCTCAATCTCCTGACCTCACGATTTACCTGCCTCGGCCTCCCAAAGTGCTGGGATTACAGGCATGAGCCACCACGCCTGGCCGGGGATGAGGGTCTTATAAGTATTGGTATGAACTCTTGTCTTCAACTTAATCTCTATGAGTGTTTTAACCTGTCATACATGTAGCATATAGAAATTTTAATGTAAATAAATGATGAAAGATTTTTTTACTTCAGAGATATTCCTAGAGACAAAATAGTCAAGATACTGGTATTTATTAGATACAATAGTCCCCCGTTATTCAAGGTTTTGTTTTCTGCTATTTCAATTGCCTACAGTACAGTATATAAAGATATTCTGAAAGACAAAGAGAGACAATTTTAACATAACATTTATTAAAGTGCATTGTTATAATTATTCTATTATTAGTAGTTGCTAATCTCTTACTGTGCCTAACTTATTAATTAAACTTTGTCATAGGGAATTACATAAAGGGAAAAACATAGTATATATAGGTGCTGTGGTTTGAATATGTCCCCAAAGTTTATGTGTTGGAAACAAACTCCAATTGCAACAGTACTTGGAAACAGAGATTTAAGAGGTGATTAGGTCATGGGACCAATGGTTTAATGTCATTTTCTTAGGAATGGGTTAGTTATCTGGGAGTGGGTTGCTGTAAAAGTGAATTGGGCCTAATTTGCTCTCTCAGTCTCTCAGGGTCACTCCTGCCTTCTGACCTTCCACTATGGGATGACACTTTCCAGATAGCAGAGCCATGCTCTTGGACTTCACCACCTCCAGAACCATGAGCCAAATAAACTTTTATTCTTTATAAATTACCCCATCTGTGACATTTTGTTATAGCAGCATTTGAAAATATGTTTCAGTACTATCTGTGAACCAAATCAATCAGAACCTTTATCTTTTCAGGTTGGTATCCATTGGGGGTCTTGGAATGTATCCCCTAGGGAAAATGGGGGGACTATTATGTATATATTACTAATAATAAGTATTAAGAAAACAAATATTAACAATAAAATCCATGGTTGGCTATTATATATTTGTAAATATATAAATACAGTAATGTCTATATTTTCTCCTGGTTACATAACTGCCAGTTATTTTACTGTTTTTTGATATCATGATATATTTATTTTTTATTTGTATAGCTTAAATTTATTTAAAATATTTTAATGTAAATTTAGGGAGTTAAGGAAATATGAATATTTGACATTTTTCATTTGAGAATTGGGGAAAGACATTGACAAGTTCTGACCTGTGATTTTTCCAAATACTCTCCAACTAAGTTAAATTTGTCTGCCTGGAAAACAGTAGCTTATTAAGGCATATTAAATAGCCTCACAGTGCACACATCTGAAGCTAAAGCACAAGGCATTGTTCATCCCTCATGTTTTAGCAGCTGTTTAATGAAAAGTGCCAACTCAGTGTGTAGTTAATCTATCTAATAATTAATACAACAGCAGCCTGGGACCAATGTGGATGTAACTCCAAAGTCCTTCTTCATTTGCAAATTAACACAGAGACTTGCTTTTATAGCTAGTTTGTTATTTAGGAAGCAGACAGGGACATTTAAAATTCTTCATTTCAGGGCTTCTACTTGATCACATTTTATTTGAATACATGACATAAAATAGAATTTGAAATGATAATGCTTAAGAGTATAATATAGAAAATTAATCTCCTATGGTTATTAAGATACACATGTAACCCTCAAGGCTAAAAGGATACCAATATGTTTTCTATCCACAAAAAAGGGTAATTGAGAGCAAAGCTCTTTTTTAATGCCCTTAATAATGTGAACTCAATTTATCTGTATGCTCTAGTCAAAAGTTATCTAATATATAAAAAACTATCGAATTAATTGTTTGATATTTTATTTAATATTAATTTAAATATTTTTTCTAACCTATTACCTTCTTGGTTATAAAACGTGTGAGATTATGAGATGCTTCCTAGAAGTGAATAAATAGAAGTAAATACTGGCCCTATGTTAGTCTGTTTCCACACTGCTGATAAAGGCATACTTGAGACTGGGCAATTTACAAAAGAAAGAGGTTTATTGGATTTGCAATTCCACATGGCTGGGGAGGCCTCACAATCATGGTGGAAGGCAAAAAGGAGCAAGTCACATCTTACATTGATGGCAGCAGGCAAAAAAATAGAACTTGTGCAGAGAAATTCCTGTTTCAAAAACCATCAGAATTCATGAGACCCATTCAGTATCACAAGAACAGCATGGGAAAGACCCACCCCTGTGATTCAATCATCTCCCACTGGGTCCCTCCCACAACACATGGGGATTATAGGCACTACAAGATGACATTTCAGTGGGGACACAGAGCCAAAACATATCAAGTCCCCAAAACATAATATAATAAAAGTTGTGAAGTGTAAGTTGGTACCATGAAGAAATATTTTATGGTTATAGTTGCAACTGTGATTAGTACACAAAATTGTTGGTAAAATACAAACCTGAAGCCCTAAAGGACATCTATCTTATCTATCTATCTATCTATCTATCTATCTATCTATCTATCTATCTATCTATCTGTAATCTATCTATCTATCTTTCTATCATCTATTACCTAATCTCTATCACAGTTTACTTGATTACTCTTATGAAAATACATTTCACCTATGGGAAACAGTTTAACTGTTCCTCAAAAAGTCAAACAAAAAGGAAGCTTTTTACACAGAATTTCTTTTCCCTCTTTCCCTAAAATCTGTGAAGCTTCTTTTCAAATCATTGAGGTCAAGCTAAATGCCATTTCTTCTATAAAGCTTTCTCTACTTCCTTGAACATCATTGACATTTTCTTCTGTGTTCTCATATTTCATTGCTCATATATTTACCATTTTCCAAACCTTGTCCTTTTATACTCTTATCTGTGATAATGAATATCTTAGCTTTTTAAAGACAAGGATCATGTTTTTTCCTTCATGCCTTTGTAGACAATAAGCAATAAATGTTGTAGAAACAAATGAACTCAGCACACTTCAAACAATGCATGTCATGTTTGTGAAAATATTAAACTACTTTCTAATTTTAATACTGAAACTACAGTCAACATGTTAAAATATTACCTAAATTACCTTCTAAAAAATAAACAATCAAATTAAAATGATGGAGTCAGCTGATCCAAACAATATTTTATTTTTCCTCTTCTTTTATTGTATTTTATCCACTTTAATCCTTTAATCCTAAAATCTGAAGCACTTTAGAAAGTTGATTTTTTTTTTCCCCTGACACAAGATTTACATGGAACCACTGGTTATTTAGAAAGACCAAGCATTGCTTTTTGGCCACCTAGCCAATCAATTTGTTTGTAAATAATTACTTACACAACCTTTATTCTTGAAGTTCATAGACCACACATTGAAAGCAAACTTTGTTTTAACTGAATAGCCACAAAGAATCAAAAATTATCAGGCACCAACAAAACCTTCGTTTTTTTATTTCTCTGAATTTATATTGCACTTTCAGAAACCACACATGGTTACCTAACATTTCCTAACTAATCCCTAATTATAGAATTATAAGAACATTAAAAGCCCCTGGAGAACACTCTTCCTTTATAACAATAGGAATCAAATTGTATTTCCTTGTACTGCCTCTATAAACTCAGTGAAAGCTGTTGTGCTGACTCCTACCTTTAAACACGTGCCTTATTGTCACAGGTCTTTTCACTGTATGTTTGCACCTCTGATTTTAGAAGTTGGCTTCATGTTTTGGCCTTTCGTTGTAATGAAATTCTGAATATGTTCACTCCAGATTAATCCTTTTTTTTCATTCTCAGGAAAAAATGCAAATGTCAGCCTGTTCTCTGTGTGATGTTTGAAAAACTGGCTGCTTTGCACTTCACTAGTTCCAAGTTTTATGCTAATATTTGTTTTGTGAATTCCACTCCTTAGACTGTGAACTCTTGGATTAGTTTCAGTTTCTAGCATTTTTCTCCTCCTTCTCCGTAATGTAGATGGTGCCAACAAAACCCTATATGCTTTCTTACAAAATCCACCTTTCCTGATATCATTTTTTTATAATAGGGTATATTTTGTACTGTATTAAACAAATATTTTCCATTAGCTATTAACTGTCATGCTCTTTCTTCCTGATACTGACAACTGTTCCTTATTTAATCCTGACAAGACAAGTTTTGTATAACCTACAGAACAGTTCAGACCAATGGATACATGATGAATCCTTAAATATGTTTATAGTACTAGTAGCAGCAACGACCAACCTGGAGAGGCCACTGCCAAGACTTCAGCTGCAGCAAGGGAGATGCAGCTGGCTGTATGCTCCACAGAGCCAGCGGAAACCTGGAGCAGGCAAGAGCCCCGCCCTCCCAGGTCAGGAGACCTGGGCATCTTGGCACTCTTAGGGGACCAGGAAGGTGTCCCTGCCCTGCAGGATTGGAGGTGTTTGCTACCACTGCCTGTGGCCTCTTCTCACTCCCAGCACCTGCTCTATCTCAGAGCAAGGTTGGGGCCAAGCCCAGATGCTGTTGCAGCCTGGCTGGGTATGTGCATGCACGGGCCAGCACTGACACACCAGCCCTCTGTTACCTTGGCCCCCTCCAGACATTGGCCACTGATGAGCACAGAAAGGAGGCCAAGGAGGTGCTGAGGGCAGCTCATCCCTGGCCTGCAGGTACCCCTCAGCATGAACCAGCCTGGGTGCCATGAACAGTGGCAGGAAGCAGACAGGATCCTGGGCAGACAGGGGCAGGTCCTCGGTGAAGCCCCACCTTCAAGCCAGGAAAGGCCTGAAGCCTTGGGCCAGGCTGACAGTTTCGAGGACCAGAGTAGAAACTTGTAGTGCTTTTTCCAAGCCTGCATGTGCCGCCCATGAACAATTGGCATATATTTCCTCCCCTGTGAGGCCCATAAACGCCCCAGACTCAGCCAGACTCAAGAAGACAATGACCTGCTACCTGCACAGAGGAGCTGCCCAGTCCAGGGTCTTCTCTCTGTTAAGAGCTGGGGAGACAATGGGATGAAGATGACCAGCTATGGAGAGGAACTACCCACCCTAGGGTTTCCTCTCTGATAAAAGCTGAGGAGATGACAGGATGACCAGCTGTGGAGAGGAGCTACCCACTTGAGTCTCCTCTCTGTTGAGAGCTGAGAAGACAATGGGATGACCAGGTACAGAGAGGAACTACCCACTCCAGGGTCTCCTCTCTGCTGAGAGCTGAACACTTTTTGGGAAACACTGGCTGCAAAGAGGAGCTACTCACTGTGAGTCTCCTCTGAGCCATTCTATTGCTCAATAAAGCTCCTCTTCACCTTGCTCACCCTCTGCTTGTCCACATACCTCATTCTTCCTGGTCATGGGACAAAAACTCAGAACCTGTTGAATGGCAGGGCTGAAAGAGCAGTAGCAAAAACAGGGATGAAACACACCTCTTGCTCACCACATTGTGGGTGACAAGAAGGAGAGAAGAGCTGTGGCCCTTTGTGGATCCCAGACATAGAAGCTCTTTGAGACAGGACTGTGACACCCTCTTTGGGGCTCTGTGGTTCCTAGCATCTCCAAGCTTCCAGGCACCACTGCATCCCCTAGTACCAACTGTAGAAGAAGCTTTTGGGACACCTGGTCCAGTCACAGCCTTGCAGGGAGCCAGTGCCCATGGCAGCAATTCGAGCTGCCCTCCCTGCTGCAGCCAGCGTGCCTGGCTGCACTCAGTGACTGAACCCCATAATTGCTTGCTTATACACCCCTCACTGCTCCACTTGCCTTTGGCAGGCATAGGTTCCAGGCTGGTAGCATGAGCCGATCACAACCTGCTAGGCTAAGTGGGCCCAGTGGGTCCAAGCAAAACTCAGGCAAAGGCTCCACTGGCCACAGAGGTTTATAGCTGGTGAAGTGATACCCCAAAGATCCCGTAACAGTACTGGACTAGATATTCTGAGAAATAATAAACCCCTGCTTCTGCTAATATGCTTATTTATTTATTTATTATTTATTTATGGTTTCAATGAGTATGTTTGAAATGCCCAGTCCTGTTAGCCACTCCACTTCTTACCTACATGTCCTGAACCACTCAACCAGGTGGCAATACCTCCTGAAAACCTTTTGATTACCCCCCTTTTACATGCTAGATTAATTTATCTCTTTCCTGTGTTCCTATGATGTCTTGTTTATAGGTCTATAGTTGTACTATCTGTGTTTTATAAAATTTTGAACTCCTTTTAAGACCTTGCCTTCCTCTTAATTATCTTAGCTTCCCCAAATTGTGGTACAGTATTGGGTGATAGCAAAATAAATTAATTCATATAAAATCTTGCATTCTACAAAGTCATGCATGCACTGAAAATAACAGAGCTAATAGGAGAATAAGTGTTGGTTAGTCCACCCAAGACTAGTATAAATTCTTAAGGATTCCACTAACAGATAACAAAATTGTATGGGTTTGTAAGAGTCTCATGATTAAGTTTTACTTTCAAAAAATTTAAAAGGTAATATTAAATTATTAATATATAGAATAGACCATAGTAAGGTGGGCATGTTGGCTCACACTTGTAATCCCAGCACTTTGAGAGGCCAAGGTGGGTAGTTCACCTGAGGTCAGGTGTTTGAGACCAGCCTGGCTAACATAGTAAAACCCCACCTCTACTCAAAATATAAAAATTAGCTGGATGTGGTGGCAGGCACCTGTAATCTTAGCTACTTGGGAGGCTGAGGCAGAAGAATTGCTTGAACCCAGCAGGCAGAGGTTGCAGTGAGCCAAGATCGTGCCATTGCACTTCAGCCTGGGTGTCAAGAGCAAAACTCCATCTCAAAAGAAAGAAAAAAAAGACTATGGTAAGCAATAGATTTTCCTTTAAAAATAAAAATAAAAATTTTCTTGATAGCGGCAATGTAAGTTGAGTTACACAACATTGAATTATGAAGTCGAGAGAAAAATTTAAAAAATTGCCTGGAGAATATAACAGGGCAATAAGTACTTCCAAGATTGAATGTATGACCAAATATTGCAAAGAGGAAGAACATGGTGTAAATTGCTATTGCATACACTCAGCTGTGTTAACATTCTGAATTTGAATTCTTGGAAATATCAAAGGTGAAGCAACCTGGCATTTGCTTTATAAAGAATCCTTCTCTTATTTATCAGTTACATATAAACTAACTTGTGATGCAGACGTATGCTTATAGTATATTTGAAAAAGAGAATGGCTTTTAATAAATGCAATTATTCCATGAAAACCCCAAATTTCTTAATCATAAAGGTTTTTATAATATAATATAATATAATATAATATAATATAATATAATATAACATATTCTAAGAACCATGGCAAATGTACTCACTGCACTTTGACGTATTTACCTTGGTGGCTTCGAGATTAACAAAAGTTTGAAAGCTTTGTAAAAATTTGGATCAATGTTCTAAATCTGGGCAATTACGCTGCAAATCCTCCCAGGGGATAGGAGTGAGTGGGGTATCAATAACCCAGGCTTTTCTTTTTTTTTTTGGTAGAATAAGACAAAGGGAGCTGGCCAGAGCCAATCCCCATACACCAAATCTTAGCAAGCATAACTGTAACAACCAGCTATCTGGCTGTGTTGGCAGCATCAGGATTTTTGAGCTGTCCTTACCCCCTTGCTTCATTTTGATACATGTCTTCTAATAACCCAGTTTGTCTCTTCTCACCTTCAGACCATCAAATTACAAATGGTCATGCAACTGGAGTCTCGGACCATGTCTCCCTTTTACTGGAAACCCTCGGATAAGCCTCTGAGAGAGATCTGCCTGTATTCCCAAAGCAGTGGCCCTGTCCACATGAGGCAGTTAAGAGCCATCATCATCTCTATCCTAATGGCAGTTAATGTACCTCTTCAGAGGGGGGAGTTGATAGTGGCAGGAGGCAGACAAATCCCTAGGCAGATAGGGCAGGTCCCCAGTGAAACCCCACTTTCCAGCCAAAGACAGTTTAAATCTTGAAAGTCAAGATACAAATCAAATCCAAGGAAAGGACTGAGAACCTCTCTTCCCATGCGGCATGCTTTCCTCTGATCCCCATCCTTCATCTATTTTGCATATACCTACCTCTCCCTAATTGTTTTTTACACTGTTGTACCCACCTTTGAGTGGTGCCTTTGTTTTAACTTTTTTTTGTATACTCGCAAATCAATCAGCATGTAGTTCTCCATTCAGAGCCTATAAAATCGCCAGACTTAGCCACACTGGGAAAAATCACTCGATTTTGTTTAGTGGGCCACCCTTGTGTCCCCTCTCCGCTGAAAGCTGTTAAGTCACTCAATAAAATATTTCTCCACCCTCCTCACCCTTCAGTTGTCACCATAACCTCATTCTTCTTGGATGCAGGACAAGAGCCTGAGACCCATCAAATGTGGGTACCAGCTGTAACATAGGTGGGCTGGAGCATGCCTGGCCCATCCACAGGCTAAGTGTGGATCTTGTAGTGAGCATGGAATCCAGACCTGTGCGCAAGCCAAGTGTGGTCCAATGGGCCAAGTGGATGGGGCACCTCCTGAAGCATGGCTGGGGGCCGAATGAGACCTGGTTGGGGATGTCACTGGTCACCAGTGGAAGTCCCTGGCTGGCAAAGTGACTGGGAAAAATTTTACATCACCTTCTTTAGAAAATTCTACGTATTCCTCTTAGGAAAATCAGATACAACAGGTATTTAAGAGTAGTTCCTGAATTATTTAGTACACTGTTTGATAGTGTTTGGTCCACTACTATAATTGTAACACATATTTATATGTTAGGAATCTTTAACTTAACATTATTTGGTGAACCCAAGATTAAAATTATTAGTATGCTGTATATATCAATTTAATTGAGTTTGCTGGCATTTTTTCTTCTTCTAATGTTTTCCAGCTTAGATCATCTTTCACTGGCTCAGAACTAAGTTCAGTAGTTAGGACAGGCACCTGCACAATGGTAAGAAAACCTGCACAGTTGTCAGAAAATATGAAGAAATCCTAAACCTAATGGCTGACAGGTATTCTGAGAGTTCAAATTTAAGCAGTTTAATTCAGAAAATATTTTTTGCATACTTTCCATATGCCAGGCATGATTAAATATTTGGAAGACAGATGATGAATAAGATAGAGACTATCCTCAAGAATCTCACAAACTAAGTGACTTAAGTGAGGTTCCAGCCGAGGCTCCTCATTAATTGTGTATGTGGACATGGCTATCATCCTCTAAGAAAGCATTTTTTACTATATTGAATGAAAATAAACAGCCAGATGTTTTTTGGTATAAACGTATCTTTGCATATTTTCTTTTTATATATCCCTGGGAATGCAGCCAGGCAGAGTCCATGTTGTTCAAGGAAAGGGACCCATGTCACCATCTCTGATTGAGCAGTGCCTACATCTATGATCTCAGCCAATTTGCTTCCCTTTCAGATCCATAATTTTCTCATTGTAAAAGGAAGACTTGGACCAGGTTACTACTATGTTTCCTTTTACTACAATAAGCTAGGGCCTTGTTAATTTCATTAAAGATGCAACTAGAATTAGTGTATGGAAATTAAATGCCATTAGATAGTAGTTTTCTAGTCTGGTAGCCTTCTGAAAATGAACAGTTTAATCAAATGCTTGACTGCAGAAAGAGGGATTATAATGTCAGGAAGGGGATAAGTTTTTATAATGTAAACTTAATGATGCAATTTCCTGGAGGCAGTGTGCATGGCAACTTCTCAGCTGGGTTTCAAATTGACTGACTATTTATTATAACAAATATTATAGGTACACAATTTCAGCACTTAAATGAGGCTTTTTTAAGTTTCTAAGGTAACATCATATCTATTTAATTACATCTTTTGAAATAATCACACCTATCTAACCCTTGTTTTTGAAGTTCAGAAAAAAAATAAACAGCAATAAAGTAGTTACTCCCTGATACGGTTTGGCTGTGTCCTCATCCAAATTTCCCCTTGAATTGTAGTTCCCATGATTCCCACGTGTCGTGGGAGGGACCTGGTCAGAGGTAATTGAATAATGGGAGCAATTCCCCCATGCTGTTCTCATGATAGTGAGTGGGTTCTCATGAGATCTGATGGTTTTATAAGAGGCCTTTTCCCCTTTGCTTGCCACTTCTCTGTCCTACCATCATGTGAGGGACATGCTTGCTTCCACCTCTGTCATAATTTTGAGTTTCCTGAGGCCTCCCCAGCCATGCTGAACTGAGCCAACTAAACCTCTTTCCTTTATAAATTACCCAGTCTAGGGTATGTCTCCAATCGCAGGGTGAGAATGAACTAAAACACTCCCCAAGTTAAATGAGACCCTTCAAATGGTTCTAACACCAAGGCACAACACTAAGTCATTTATAACAAAGTCAGCTGTCACCAACTTCAGTATATCCCACAATAGTCACATTAGTCACTCATTTCTCATCACTTTTTTTAAATCAGAAAAAAATAGCTGAACATGGTTGTACTTGCCTGTAGTCCCAGCTACTTGGGAAGCTGAGGCAGAGGCAGGAGGATCACTTGAGCCCAGGAGACTTAGGTTACAATGAGCTATGATTGAGCCACTGCACTCCAGCTTGGGCAACAAAACAAGAACCTATTTCTATAAAAAAGGAAAGAAAAGAAAAAAATTAGGCTGTATTGACTCTGAATTAAGTAGGCACACAATTGCTAGAGTATACATAAATAATGTGGAGCTTGACTATGTATTCAGAGGTAAGATTGAAATCCAAACTTCCCGTTTGTGAAACATGATAGAAGAAAAAACAAAAATTTCGGTGACCTCACCATTATCCTGAGGATTGATTTAAGTTACTTATCAACATGTAAGCTAATGTGTACAGTTATATAAAATGTACATAAATTACAAGTGTATACTTCCTCCCTGCCACATGTTGAATGACATTCTTCACTTGAGTTAACTCATTTTGTATTATTAACAACTAATCTACTACTAATAATCTGTTAATCTATTATTATCTTTTTACCATTTTATAAATTAGGACATTGAAGATTAAAGAATTTAAATAATTCAATTCACAGAGAGCTTAAATTTGTACCCAGTCTAAACTGCAGCCTGCACACTTAACCAAAATAAAGTGTCTGTCACAGAATAAGTAATCAGATGAAGCCCACTACTCACTAGTATTCATCTAGTCTTCTGTAACATTTGCTGATATTGGAACAATGTGTAGTTATGCCTATGATGGCATGAAGGTGTCAACATTTCATGTACCTACTAGAAGTCAACTGGGACATCCTTATACTGTAGATGGTTTCACACAGCCCTAGAACAAACAGTGATGCCAGTACTTATGAGTATGTTTGAAAGCTTGAAGGAAATCAGGAAACAGGTGACTCATAGTTCCATTTTGATCAAGAGCAGAAGATCCCAAGAAATCTTAACTGCCTACACTTTATGTATTTAAAACACTTATTGGGCTCACTGAGTACCAAGGTAGCAAAATTCTTAGCCCCAAACTGAGAATAAAAATAGAAGCCATTGTGGAAAAAGAGCATTATTGTGGAAAGATATAGATACATGAAAAACAGAAAAAAAATAGATGTTTAAGGTAATAATGCCAGAGATATCACAAAAGTATCCAGAAATATTGTCCACTTAATTGTAAAGTTATAGAAATCTGAAAGTAAGGAGAGAGAACCTTAGTAAGGTGCCCAGGGAAAAATATGTGGAAGTGGTAAAAATTAATTGAATTTTTTATAGAAAAAAGAGAGAAATTATTAAAGGCAAAATTAATGTAAAATAAGTGGAGAAGGTCAAGATTTCTGCAAGGAAGCGTGTTTATCAATGTCAGCAAAAACAATGTGTTTCATGGGTGTAAAACATGAGGCATAATACAATAACATAATGGGCAAATTGATTATAGTAGGCAAAATTATTATGTTTCTCAAAGGACCTTTCTTCCTTTTAGAAAATAACCCTTTCACCCACCAATCCAGTGCTAATGTTATTCCTGTACCATCTAGCAAGATTTTTTCCTGTTTGTTGCTTTATTTTCCAGTTTTTTTAATTTTAAATTTTTTCTTATTATACTTTAAGTTTTAGGATACATGTGCAGAACGTGCATGTTTGTTACATAGGTATACACATGCCATGGTGGTTTGCTGCACCCATCAATCCGTCACCTAAATTAGGTATTCTCAGCAAACTAACATAGGAACAGAAAACCAAACACCGCATGTTCTCACTCATAAGTGGGAATTGAACAATGAGAACACATGGACACAGGGAGGGGAACATCACACACCAGGGTCTGTCGGGGGTGTGGGCCAGGGGGCTAGGGAAGGCATAGCATTAGGAGGAATACCTAATTTTTAATTTTTATAGGTACACTGTAGGTGTATATATTTATGGTGTACATGAGATACTTTGATAGAGGCATAGAATGCATAGTAATCACATCAGGGAAAATGAAGTATCTGTCACCTCAAACTATTACCATTTCTTTGTTACAAACATTTTGATTATGCTCTTTTAGTTTCTTTAAAATGTACTACAAATTTTTATTGACCATCGTCATTTTGTTGTGCTATCATACACTAGATCTTCTTTATTTTTATACCCATTAGTCATCCTCACTTTCCCACCACCATCCCAATGCCCTTCTAAGCCTCTGGTAACCATCATTCTACTCTGTAACTCCATGTATTCAATTGTTTTGAATTTTAGCTCCCACAAATAAGTGAGAACATGTGAAGTTTGTCTTTCCATGTCTGGCTTATTTTACTTAACATTATGTCCTCCAGTTCCATCCATGTTGCTGCAAATAACAGGATCTCATTCATATTTATAGCTAAATAGTCCTCCATTGTGTCTATGTATTGCATTTTTCATATACATTTATCTGCTGACAGACACTTAGGCTACTTCCAAATCTTGACCATGAGCAGTGCTGCAACAAACATGGGAGTGCAAATGTCTTTTTGATATAATGGTTTCTTTTCTTTGGGATATATATCTAGCAGTAGGATTTCTGGATCACATAGTAGTTCTAATTTTAGTTTTCTGAGGAATTTCCAAAATGTTCTCCATAGTAGCTGTACTAATTTACATTCACACAAACAGCATATGAGAGTTTCCTTTTCTCCACATCCTTGCCAGCATTTGTTATTGCCTGTCTTTTGGATATAAGCCATTTTAACTGGGATGAGATGATATCTCATTATAGTTTTAATTTTCATTCCTCTGATAATTAGTGATGTTGAGCACCTTTTCATATGCCTGTTTGCCATTTGTATGTTTTCTTTTGAGAAATGTGTATTCAAATCGTTGGCCCATTTTTAATTGGATTATTAGATTTTTTCCTTTAGAGTTGTTTGAGCTACTTAGATATTCTGTTTCAGTCCCTTTTAAGATGGATAGTTTGCAAATATTTTCTCCCATTCTACGGGTTGTCTTTTCACTGTGTTGATTGTTTCTTTTGCTGTACAGAAGCTTTTTCACTTGATGTGATTTAATTTCTCCATTTGTGCTTCAGTTGCCTGTGCTTGTGGGGTATTACTCAAGAAATCTTTGCCCATTCCATTGTCCTGGAGAGTTTCCTCAATGTTTTATTTGAGTAGTTTCATAGTTTGAGGTCTTCAATTTAAAAGTCTTTAACTGATCTTAATTTGATATTTGTATATGGCAAGAGATAGGTGTCTAGTTTCACTATTCTGCATATGGATATCCAGTTTTCCTAGTACTATTTAAGAAAGAGACTGTCCTTTCCCCAGTGTAGGTTCTTGGCACTTTTGTTGAAAATGAGTTCACTGTGGATGTATAGATTTATTTCTGGGTTCTCTAGTCTGTTACATTTGTATATGTGTCTGTTGTAATGGCAGTAGCATGCTTTTTTGTTACTCTAGCTCTGTGGTATAATTTGAAGTCAGGTCATTTGTTTACTCCAGTTTTATTCTTTTCACTTAGGCTGGTGTTGGCTACTCTGGATTTTTTGTGTCTCCATATACATTTTTTTGTGTCTCCATATACATTTTAAGATTATTTTTTCTACTTCTATGAAGAATGTCAGTGTTATTTTGATAAAGATTGTATTGAATCTATAGATTGCTTTGGGTAGTATGGATATTTTGTCAATATTAATTCTTCCAAATTATGAACATAGAATATCTTTCCATTATTTTTACGGTCTCTTCAATTACTTGCAGCAATGTTTTATAGTTTTCATTGTAGAGATCTTTCTCTTATTTGGTCAAGTTTATTCCTAGATATCTTATTTTATCTGTGGCCTTTGTAAATAGAACTTCTTGGTTTGTTTTTCAGATTGTTTGCTCTTGGCATGTAGAAATGCTACTGACTTACATATGCTGATTTTGTATCCTGGAACTTTACTGAATTTATCAGTTCTAATAGTTTTTTGGTGGAGTCTTTAGTCTTCCAAATATAAGAATATATTATCTGCAAACAAGGATAATTTGACTTCTTCCTTTCCAATCTGGATGCCTTTTTTTTTTTTTCTTGTCTGATTGCTCTAGCTAGGACTTCCAGTACTACACTGAATAATAATGGCAAGAGCAGATGTCCTTGTCTTATTCCAGATCTTAGTGGAATGCCTTTCACTTTTTCCTCCATTCAGTATGATACTGGCTGGGGGTCTATTCCTTTTATTTCCAGTTTTTTGAGGGTTGTGATCATGAAGGGATGTTGAATTTTATCAAATGCTTTTTCATTATCAATGGAAATGATCACAGTATGTTTGTCCTTCATTCTGTTGAAATGATGTATCACATTAATTTATTTGTATATGTTGAATTATCCTTGCATCCCTCAATTTTTCTTTAATAACTAGTTTCTGCCTTGTGACTATATAGCTCTTTGACATCCATTTGATATAAGCCTTCAGCCTGTGTTTGGGAAATGAGACAGAAATTTTCTTCTTGGAGGTCCCCACGTCCCAGTAGGGGAAAATACTAGAATTGTTAAAATATATATTTAAAACAAGCCTCAAGTTGAAAATATAAACATTTGTGTTTAATGACGCATAAGATTATAAAAGTTTATTTTATAAAAGTTTATTATATAAAATAAAAATGATAAATTATATGCATGTTATTTACTGCAGTATCTTACAAATATATGCAATTTTTCTGTGCTTTCTACCTGTGTGTGTGTGTGTGTGTGTGTGCATGCACTCATGCACACATGCATGCATGTGTGTGTAATAGTCCACCTTTTTGACTTCAAAATCTCTTAAGCAAATATAAATCAAGCTGTTAATGACCAATAATTCAAGATTACTCTTAGATATTAGCAAAAGGGGCTCAAATGTTTAAAGCGTCTTAAATATTTAATTTATGAAGAATGCATGAACAATTTTGTCATTTGGGAACAAGGACTCAAGTTTAACATAGCATGACCTGTACCTTAGGGTACATCCACTCTGGTTACTAACAATATTCAGGCCCCATAGGCACTCTTCTCTACATCCTTTGTTTTATGTCCTCTGAGTGGCATTAAGGTTGGTTGGTTGCACAGCTGATGGTGTAAGAGACAAAATGCAATTTTGGAGGGCAGGCAAAATTTTGGAGGGTTGAAATCATTATGTATGAGAAAAAAAACAAGTTAATTGAAATTCTTTCCCTGAGATAAGAAGCAATACATTCTTGAATTACAAAGTATTAATTCCCAAAATTAATGAACAATGTTTTCTTGCTTTTCTTGTTACTTATAAGTTAACAGGCTAGTCACAACTTTTGCACAAGGTGGCTATTAAATATTTTGTAAGATAAGCAAATAATGATGCTTTTAAATTTGTATGTATGTTAGACAATATATTGTTAGACAATATTCAGAAAGAAAGGTACAAATTATTTCAGTTATCAACATTGGTAACTAGATGTACTTTGTGCATTAAAAATGTGCTTGTGTATATATATGTGTGTATATACAATACAAATAAAATATTAATATTAAACAGAGTATATAAAATGTTGATTTTATTTGAATATGGATTTAAAAATTTGATTTCATAATATTAATTTGTATTTTTTCTTAATGTAGATAATATTGGATAATTTAGAAGAAATATTAGTTTTAAAAATATAAAATAATTTTATTTTTTGAAATTTCACATCTATTAAATTTAGTTTTAATAAAAGTACATTTGAATTGGTACACTAAAATACATTGTATTTTATTTTTAATATTTTAGATCATTAATGTAAATAAAACAAATTATTCAACAATAAATAATATAGCAACAACTTTAATGATTTTTCTGAAATTAAGATAAAAGTGAATTTCATAGAATAAACATATATGTTTTATATGTCTTAATTTTGTCTCTTACCTCAACTTGCTGATCACTCAGGTGCAACAGCAAATTCAAGCATCTTTGATGTTTTACTAATTGGAATTCATTTTTGTTTTTATTATTACTAAGGTACATATTTAAAAAAATTCCTTTAGAACTTTTTTAGTTTGATTTCTAATATTTAACTACTTAGCATATGTTTTGTGATCATAATTTGTTTGTTCTCTTGGTTTGAGTTCATCAAACCTTAGGGGTGGACATAGACCATTGTCCATTCCAATTTTATTAGCATTTTCTCATGGTTACTGATGTGTCTGGAAATCTTGTGCCTTATGACAAAGGAAATAATTTTAAAGGTGAAATTTATGGTAACTTGTCAGAGGAGTAAGAAAGTAGTTTGGGGAATGAGTGTTTTTCTTGTCATAGAGACATCTGTTAACTGTTTCTTCAAGTCTGAGATCTAAAACACAATTTTGCAATTGACTGCCATGGCGGTTTGTCTTCAAAGGTCTTACAAGAATTTTGGGTATCAGAGTGTTTCTCACTCTCTCCTATATATTATTTTTGCACCTTCTAAATATGAGAACATGAAAAGACCTCCACAAGAAGGAAGTCTCAAAACTCAAAACTTTTATATACTAAAGTTATGTCATAAATATTTACCTCTTTCTGTTCACATCCATTTCTACTCTTATGCTCTGCCCATATCTCAAGAGTAGTCTCATTCAAACTACATTTTGAAAGTATCTTTCTCCATAAGCACCTTTATCCACTGCTTTCCTTGCTCACTGCAGCAGACTATATTCGTCCAATATAGTGTATGGCACAAGTGTGTAGAGTGGGAGGAGGGGAGGAATCAGATTCTTCTCTCTTTATGTTCTGACAGTCTCTGACAGTGACTGTGTTTTCTCTGTGTTTCTATTATCCACCTAATGGGTGTGTTCAGTCCGTTGATGGGTCACAGTCAAATGATCACAACCAAGGAAGATTTAACAAGGAAATTTTATTACTTGCAACAAGTAAGGAGAACATGGGGGATAATTTCCAAAGCAATGCCTCTCCAAACAGCAATAAAAACAGAGCTTTTATTGGGCTGCTTGGCTGCATCATTGTATGTAGAGGTGGAGTAAAGGCAGCACAGGTGCAGTAATCAATAATGCTTCTGTACATCCATGTACAGAAAAAGGCAAAGAAGCTTCTCCCTGGGTGGGGATTTAAGTATGGTATTACAGAGAGTACACTGAAGTTCATTTCCAACTCAGGTGTCTCTGGATACAACCTTGCTTTAACAGGGCTGGGCTTTTCCCTGGAACTTTTTGAAGCAACAAAAACTCAAGGTGCAACAGTTACAAGTGGGTACTTTTTCACAATATGTATCTGAAACCCAAGGCACCCTGGATTACAGTTCTAGCCCTTGCTGGGAAGACACTTCCACCATATTCAGCCTCCCTCTGGCAGCTTGTACCTTGATTCCAGCTCCCGCAATCAAGTTAGAACATTACTTTATTTGTATTTCCAGATGTATGAGATCCTACTGCTTCCTACTGTTGCTAATCTTTCAATTGTTTGGGTTATTAAATTTCTTCCACTGAACTTTCTATTATAGGCTCTCTTTTCTAGTCTGGATCCTGAAGTAGGTGCTCACATCCACTTCTATACTGGTTTCTGATTCAAGCAGCAGAGATAGCAGTTTGAATAGCTGCAAACCCGTGTGTAATGACTAATACAATTAAAAGAGGTAATATACTTTCTGGCATCTCATAGAATAGAGTGATGTCCAGTTGCTCAGGGAGTCATTTTAAATTAATTGAATTAGATTATGATGACTCTTAAATTGAGACTCATTATGATCAATTGTATAGGTTATATCAGATCTATTTCACTCCAGGTCTTTGCTACATAGTAATATATAAATGCAATATTGAGAAAACCAGTTGAGTGAGGATTTACTACAAACAATTTTCTTTTAGAAGGAGATAAATCCTCTTCGCATGTTGTCTCAAAGTAGCTGTTTATTTGTAACTGTTGAAGGAAAACTATTATAAATTAAAACTTTTAAGTAAGTCACAGGATTTGTAATCTCTTTCTCTCTGAAATAATTGTTGTTATTAGATTCTATAAATATTTAGAAATAGCAGATTTGCCTCAGGAAACGTAATAAGACTGTTCTTCTTTTCTCATAAGATATCTGTAACATGATTTATCTAGTCAGTGTGGAGCCTACAAACTTTCCAAGAAATTCTAATCAATATGATGCCCCATCTCACTTATTACCTCCATTTTAAAATAAGGAATGATGTTAACGTAGTTACATGGAACATAGAATGTATCTGAGTCAAAGAAGAGTTTTACAATCGAATATGTTTTTTCATGAGGAATTCATCCCATTTCATTCTGTGTTTATTTTTTATTTTATTTATTTATTTTTTTGAGATGGAGTCTCACTCTGTTGCCCAGGCTGGAGTGCAGTGGCGCCATCTCAGCTCACTGCAACCTCTGCCTCCTGGGTTCAAGTGATTCTTCTGCCTCAGCCTCCAGAGTGGCTGGGACTACAGGCACGCACCACCACGCCCAGCTAATTTTTGTATTTTTAGTAGAGATGGGGTTTCACTATATTGGCCAGGGAGGTCTCAAACTCCTGACCTCATTATGCACCCACCTTGGCCTCCCAAAGTGCTGGGATTACAGGTGTGAGCCACAGCATCCGCCCACTTAATTCTTTATGATAGATTTCATCATTTTTCTAAACATGTGTTGCTCCTCATTTAACAATGCATATAAATTTCCACTCTGTTAATCTCAGGAATGGCCGCATGACCCACTTGGTCATCATATGTGAGGGAAATGATATGCCATTTTGAGCAGAAAAATTAAATACCACTTCACTGTTATATGCTGATGAGAATTTGAGATTTTTGTTTATATAGCACACACTACCTTATACTGACTGATCTAATAATTCACATACAATTATTGAGTATGAGACAGGAAACTATCTTTAGATGTAGATTGGACCCCACCTTCATTCAGGGCAGTTGTCAGTTTAGTTGGCTTTCCTATCTCGAATGCAAAAGAGTTGGCTTAAAACTAATCATCCTGAAAGTTCTTTCAGTTTTAAAATTATATTATTTTATCTCTACTGAGTATTTCTGAAGTGTCTTATAAAAGAAGAATTTTTCCAACAGCTGTTCTTAATACATTCTCTCTCTTTTTAAATAACCTGAGTAAAAGTTGTTCTATTATAATTGCTGTTTTGTAGAGTATAATTTTGTCTTTATGAACAGTCCCAAAACTTTTAACAGTATGTAAGTGACATCTGAAAAAAATTACCTTTTAGGGTTTATTATGTTTCACAGGGCCTAGTTTGACTTCTAACTGGTAGGTAACTTAGCATTTATTTAAGATTGTGCTTTGAATAAAAACTGACTTTAGATATATACGCCTACGAATGTACTTAACAGTATTGCTTCCAAAATTAATGATAATTCTATATTAAAGTTTGTATATTTAAATAAAACAAGTGCTAAAGTTTACTCAGAATGAACATGAAGCTAGACTGTAATCCTTATGAGGTTAACCTTTTTTTTTTTTTTACAATTCCTCATAGATAGTTGGTACTCATTAAAAACTATGTTAGTGAATGACATTATAAAGCCAGAATACAGATTATCTTTATTGGAGATATAAAACAGTCATCTCTGATTTTGTACACGAAAATGTTTTTTGAGCCTAGAAAATACAAAAATGTTAGTTCAGGGATAATGAGTTAAAAATATTGCTGTGCTGCTAGCATTAATTAACTCATTTTTCATGCATTTATTCATTCACTTGAAAATATTTGTTGAGTTTTTTATTGCTAGGTGATATATTAGGTATTGTGGATACCATAAAACATAGATCAAAACAAAGTTTTCTTATTTATTATTAATAAGATGTTAATTTTTTATGATTTCTGATTTATTGATTAGAAAACAACATTACCTTTGGAAAGGATTTATTGAAAATCATGAAGTTATATTATTTAGAAAATAAAAGTTTGTATTAAAAAATTATACAACCAAAATATCAATAGTTACATACATTTGCTTTGACATGTTGTTCTTAATGGTTGCTTCACATGAAATAATTAAGTGATCTCAAAACTCTGCACACAAGTGACTTAATTAAAACATATTGCTACCTAAGGAATAAGGAATCCATTATTTCATCACTATCATAGTCTTGACAATCTCAATAATTTTAGACCCTATAAATGTTTCCTTGAATCTCAAGACAGAAGATGATGTGATGGATGAAATATCATCTTTCTTGCTGATGAGAAGGAACTAGATAATGTTTAAAAAATTATTCTTAAAATAGCAATCAAATCACAGAAACTGATGCAAAATAAAAATGAATGGATTAATTTTAAGAAATATTTAACATTAGGTTTGTAATTATTGATCCCCTACACAGTTATTGATCCATGTATATGAGCAAACAAATACATTGCCTTGATACTACTATAATAATTTAAATTAATATCCTTTTTATAATAACTCCATTAACAAGTAAATAGAACATGGTAAGGATAAACCAGACTCTGTGCACCTCATTGATTAGCCATGCTTAGTCATATCTTTTCTACTCTGCATGATTCTTCTTTTTCTTTTTTTTTTCCCCCTTAAGTGGAGTCTTGCTCTGTCACCCAGGCTGAAGTGCAGTGGCCTGATCTCGGCTCACTGCAACATCTGCCTCCCGGCTTCAAGCGATTCTCCTACCTCAGCCTCCCAAGTAGCTGGGACTACAGGCACGCACCACTACACTCGGCTAATTTTTGTATTTTTAGTAGAAATGGGGTTTCACCATGTTGGCCAGGATGGTCTCGACCTCCTGACCTCGTGATCTGCCCACGTCAGCCTCCCAAAGTGCTGGGATTACAGGCGTGAGCCACCGCACCCGGCCTGTTTTCTCTTTTTCTCCACATTGAACAACCCACTCCAAACCCCCTTCCAACATGAGTTCTAACTAAATCATTTATAACTTACTTCACTTGCTACTTCCTTTATATGCTTCTTTTTACTATTTTCTACTTCTGCCAAAATAAAGGAAGAAAGACCTTCCTTTCTACTTAAAGTTGCATGTCGTTTCCAAATTCCGGTTACAGCGTATCACATTTCATTGGACATATTTCTTTTTTTTTTCCTCAGACGGAGTCTCGCTCTGTCGCCCAGGCTGGAGGGCAGTGGCACAATCTCAGCTCACTGCAAGCTCCGCCTTCTGGGTTCACTCCATTCTCCTGCCTCAGCCTCCCGAGTAGCTGGGACTACAGGCGCCCGCCACCATGCCCGGCTAATTTTTTTGTATTTTTAGTAGAGATGGGGTTTCACTGTGTTAGCTAGGATGTTCTCGATCTCCTGACCTCGTGATCCGCCCACCTCGGCCTCCAAAGCGCTGGGATTACAGGCGTGAGCCACCACGTGCGGCCACATTGGACATATTTCTAACTCGGAAAAGTTGCCCTATTAGTAGCTATTTTAACTAACAACATTTCCTATTGTATTACTAACATTTCTTATACTATTAAATTTCTGTTGGAAGAAATATTTTTTGGTTATGTTTATGCGCTCAGAAGATGAAAGAATGGTAGATTGTAGCTCTCTCCCTCTCCCTCTCTCCCTCTCCCTCTCTCCCTCTCTCCCTCTCCCTCTCTCCCTCTCCCTCTCTCCCTCTCCCTCTCTTCCTCTCCCTCTCTTCCTCTCCCTCTCTCCCTCTCCCTCTCCCTCTCTCCCTCTCCCTCTCCCTCTCTTTCCACGGTCTCCCTCTGATGCCAAGCCGAAGCTGGACTGTACTGCTGCCATCTCAGCTCACTGCAACCTCCCTGCCTGATTCTCCTGCCTCAGCCTGCCCAGTGCCTGCGATTGCAGGCGCGCGTGCCGCCATGCCTGACTGGTTTTTGTATTTTTTTTTTTGGTGGAGACGGGGTTTCGCTGTGTTGGCCGGGCTGGTCTCCAACTCCTAACCGCGAGTGATCTGCCAGCCTCGGCCTCCCGAGGTGCCGGGATTGCAGACGGAGTCTCGTTCACTCAATGCTCAATGTTGCCCAGGCTGGAGTACAGTGGCATGATCTCGGCTAGCTACAACCTCCACCTCCCAGCCGCCTGCCTTGGCCTCCCAAAGTGCCGAGATTGCAGCCTCTGCCCGGCCGCCACCCCGTCTGGGAAGTGAGGAGCGTCTCTGCCTGGCCGCCCATCGTCTGAGATGTGAGGAGCCCCTCTGCCCGGCAGCCGCCCCGTCTGGGAAGTGAGGAGCGTCTCCGCCCAGCAGCCGCCCCATCCAGGAGAGAGGTGGGGGGCAGCCCCCGCCCGGCCAGCCACCCCGTCCGGGAGGGAGGTGGGGGCACCTCTGCCCGGCCGCCCCTTCTGGGAAGTGAGGAGCCCCTCTACCAGGCTGCTACCCCGTCTGGGAGGTGTACCCAACAGCTCATTGAGAACTGGCCATGATGACAATGGAGGTTTTGTCGAATAGAAAAGCGGGAAATGTGGGGAAAAGATAGAGAAATCAGATTGTTGCTGTGTCTGTGTAGAAAGAAGTAGACATGGGAGACGCCATTTTGTTCTGTACTAAGAAGAATTCTTCTGCCTTGGGATGCTGTTGATCTTTGACCTTACCCCCAACCCTGTGCTCTCTGAAATGTGCTGTGTCCATTCAGGGTTAAATGGATTAAGGGCGGTGCAAGATGTGCTTTGTTAAACAGATGCTTGAAGGCAGCATGCTCGTTAAGAGTCATCACCACTCCCTAATCTCAAGTACCCAGGGACACAAACACTGCGGAAGGCCGCAGGGTCCTCTGCCTAGGAAAACCAGAGACCTTTGTTCACTTGTTTATCTGCTGACCTTCCCTCCACTATTGTCCTATGACCCTGCCAAATCCCCCTCTGCGAGAAACACCCAAGTATGATCAATAAAAAAAAAAAAAAAGAATAAAAAAATAAAAAAATAAATTCCTACTTTAAACTAATGATGAAAAAATGAAGACAATTCCAAATATGAGAAATGAAAAGAGACATACAAAGAGATATACGAGACTTTTTTTATTTCGCAAAATGGTACATGTTAACTCTAAGTTGGAAAACATGGATCACTAAGTGATTTTGCGAAACAAACAATAAAATCATTAACACAGAAGTTATACCAAAAATGCAAAGGAGACTTCCCACCTCTGCACAAAACAACAAAAGCACAAAAGTTGTTAGGCTGAGACATTTCAAAGTAAATTATTTTATTACCTCAAGAAAAAGATCATATAAAAGCTATCAGTTCCAGGAAAGTTTCCAAAATGTTTAATCAAGTCAGCGTAAAAATGATACCAAAATCTAGGAGAAAACGCGTAATAAAATAAAATGCTGCAAAAACAGAGTTCATCCTCAGTTATATCAGTAAAATATCCTAAATAACATTCTTGCCAGTAGAATGCAAAAACAGAGACAGAGTAAGAAAGGACACCGAGCAGGAGCCCACGAGGTTCACAGTAAGAAAACAAGTGGCTGAGCAGCCAGAGAGAAAGCAGCCCGGGGATTCTGCCACGTGACGTGCGGTGGACCCAGCCGCAGGGACTGGGCACGCTGCCCGCCCTTCAGCCTTTCAGCCCCTCACCCGCGTCAGCCCCTCAGCCACCTCAGCCCCTCAGTCCCTTCAGCAGCGTCAACCGCCTTATCCCCTCGGCCCCTCAAGCCCCTCACCAGCCTCAGCCCCTCAGCCGCCTCAGCCCCTCAGCCGCCTCAGCCCCTCAGCCGCCTCAGCCCCTCAGGCGCCTCAGCCCCTCATCCCCTCAGCCCCTCACCAGCCTTAGCCCCTCAGCCGCCTCAGCCTCTCAGCCCCTCAGCCGCCTCTCAGCCCCTCAGCCGCCTCAGCCCCTCAGCCCCTCAGCCGCCTCAGCCGCCTCAGCCCCTCAGCCCCTCAGCCGCCTCAGCCTGTCAGCCGCCCCCGCCGCCGTTAGCTCACCCGCCCGGCTGCCTTAGGGATTGGCGCTGCCCAGCGGGCTCCAGCGCAGGCTCCAGCTCAGCCTCCTGCCGGTTTTCCCACCGGTGGCTCCCGCCACTGGCTCCTGGCCGCCGGCTGCTACCCGCGCTCCGTGGGCAGGGCCAGTCTGGGGAGCGGACACCGAGGGGCGCGGCGGGATGGCAGGCGGTGTCCAAAAGCCTCTGAAAGCCGCAGCCGGGCGCGAGTCGCTGACCGACCGGGAGGCCCCGATCTGTCCCAGCCAAGGCCTCCCGGCGCCATCACCCACCAGGAGTCCCGGGCGGGGTCATCGCTCCCTCCACGCTGTCGCGGGCTTCTGCCAGGCGGTGATCCGTGCCCAATGCCACCAAAGGGAAGCTTGTACCCAAGAGTGGGGGGAAATGCATCCTTCACGGGGATCTGAAAACTCCAGGTCCTCCTCCCAGGAGCCCACGGCCTCAGATGGGGCCCAGGACGCGCCCGCGCTGGGGAAGCGCCCCCTCCACCTGAGCCCGAAATTGTCCCTAACAAACCCAACACCCGCAGGGCTGAAGTTTGGGCTCCGGGGTGCGGTGTCCATGAAATGGGCACGGCGTGCTTTCCATGCAAAAGACACGAAGTCTGGAGTTTATGAAATTATTGAAGGAAAGCCGCGCCAGTGCCAAGAGATCATGGCCCAGAGCTGGCAGAACTGATCAGACCAATGCTGAGCAAAAGGCCTGAAGAAGACCATCTGGAGGAGCATCCGGAGGGCTTTCCCCAAAGCACCAGATCGCCTTCCTTTCCGAGGCCACAAAGGCGAGAACCTCCAGAAATAGCATGAAACACTGTGACTTGGTGACATCCAAGCCTGCTGCTCCTCTGAGGCCTGAGCAAGACATCGATAGTGGGTGAAGGCAAGTGTTTGTCCCAGGAGAGGCCCAGGGTGGTTGGTCCCTTGAAGTCAGCCGCCAGTCTGAAGGCCCAGGGGACTTGAGCAATACCAAGAACTGGCCACGGTCAGTAGGGTAAATATTGACATCTTAGCTGCAGAAGGGAGGGATGCAGCGAGCGAGGGCAGAGGCTGCAGTGAGCTGAGATCGCACCACTGCCCTCCAGCCTGGGCACAAGAGCGCGACTCCATCTCAAAAAAAAAGAAAACGAAAGAAAAAGAAAAGAGGAAGAAAGCAAATGTATTGTCTTCAGTGGTTTGAAATAACAAAAGCTGATTGCCAAATACAGTATGTGAAATAACTCCTGCTTAAATTGTTTAAGAAAGAAATGATACAGGGCAAACACAATAAATTAGTCTTGTGTGAAAAAAAAAAAAGAATGGTAGATTGTATACCATTCAAACATTAGTACTTTGAAAGAACAATTGAACACCAATTAGGCAGAGTAGTCACATTTTAATATAAAAATTCATGTAGTAATAAGTTCCACTTTATAACCCTGGTCAAGAATCCAACATTCCTTGATGTCGCCTGAAAATTTCCACTATATTGCTTCAAATCCAACATGAAAAAATTGTAAGTCCCTCTTGTGCTGACCTTCTCCTTTAAACTTGGGCTTCTCTCCTAAACTTGCCATGATATTAATTATTTCTGTTCATGTTTCTGTCAACATTCTGTTTTTAAATAAAACAGTGTAGATTTTTTTCAGCTTCTCACTCCTGTATTCTCAAATTAAGTTGAATCTATCAATTAAATAATGTTTCTCCAATTCCATAATTTATTTTCCTGCCTATAACTATGAGCATAAGAAATTTCTTCTAAAAAAAAGTTCCTTCTATATTCTAACTTAGACTTTAGAGTAGTCTTTAAATGGTTTTCCTATTGCCATTCCACATCTCTTCAATATTACTTAACACTATAAAACTATTTTCCCCTAAAACATAAAAACAATCCTATTAATATTTTGCATACCTGTCATTTACTCTTAATTGCTTATAGAAGAGAAAACAAATGTCTTTGATTACATATATGATTTTTATTTTCAACAAATAAAAACACATGCTTTTGCCTACTTTCCTAGACATATCTTTATAATTCAAGTTTTGAGTATATCTATATATGCACATGTGCAATCTGCTTAATAATTCATTGACTAAATGAGTAGATGACTATTTTTTGGTATCTCTGTATTACATTAATTTTTAAATGACAAGCAAAAAATTATTTTATTCTGTGAAAAGAAGTGAGTTTTCAAATGTAGTCTACTAGAATGTTAACAAAAGTGTATTGTTTTAAAAACAATAACTGAGTTATAGAATATAACTACCCAATCATTTTTCTGACTTTTAAACTGACCTCAGTAAGAAGAAACTGGTCAAAGAATCTTGGCAATATAATTTTACCACCTTTTTGGTTATTTTACTTCTGATACTTTGTGAGTTTTCTCATTTCTAATAAAATCCTCAATCAGAAACTGCAGTAAATACCATTCATTTGCATTTTGATTAGTAATGATATTATCAAGTCCACCAAACCCTTTGTAGAATACAGTATTTGAATAATTATAAACAATAAAGAGGTCAGAAAAATGTACCCTATTAAGGTGTTTTTGATTGCCTTAATAGCTCACTATATTTCATTAACCTTTCATACAAGATCCTCTAACATACATGTAGTAATATAGTAAATTACTGCCATGCATTTTTATTTATCCTGGTTATTGCTGTTATAGAAGAAGAATGAAATTTCATACAGTATAAAGACCTACTAGTAAACTCCATTTGCCCTCTCTCCTGATTAGTTCTACTTGAAATATAGACATATTGACTTGAAATATAGATATATTGACTTGAATATAGATATATTTCTACTTGAAATATAGATATATTGACTGCCTTGCAGTCAGTATAAACTTACCTTGTAAAACAGTTATCTTGCTTATTGTTCCTGTCTTTTTAGATTTTAAGGTTGAAATGATTTTCAACAAATGACAATTTAACTTAGAAATTCTTATCTGGAGATCATGGATGGTAAATGTTTCTTGAGCCCAATACAATTATAGAAACAATTTTATATACATATGTGTATGTACATTTGACTTGAGAGGATTTGCACCATAGTCTTAAATATTCAAAGGTGTCTATGACTGGGAAATAACAATCACATATTTTTGCTAAAAAATGTTACACTTTAATTGTTATACTGATTATAGAAAGTTTCAACTTTTTAGTAGAACTCAGAAGTTATGTAACTGCTTTATATGGCTTTGAATATACTATTTAAATGAGTATTACTTGAGTTTTTTCTCTACTGAGTTGAGAAGAAATCACTATCAAGGAAACTTGGTAGAAAACATGAGAATGAGATTGTAGGGGAAAAGAAATAACAGAATATTTTATAAAATGTAGCTACTACCGGCCAAGCATTGTTCTAAATGGTTTACATAACCTACATCATTTCATTTCCACAACACATTGGAGAACAGAAGTCAAGTGAATATGCTTCCTGAGGCTTTGCTGCTAGAAATGTTGGAAATTGTCACATGGAAATTCAAGCCTAGGTATGTCCAGCTCCAAAACTTGTACATTCTTTCTACCATATTGCACTGCCTCAATTTGACGTTTAAATCAATCTTTTCCTCCAAATCCAGGATGAAAAAAATCTTTAAAGTGGTTTTATTGTAAAATATAGTTCTAAAATACACACACACACACACACACACACACACACACACACACACACACACACAATAGGAACTGAACACTTTAAGAAACAATTTTATTAGCACCTTACAAGGTCAATGTGGTTCTTTTCCCTACCACAGTCCTGTCTCTCCCTATCACCCAAAGTTAACCATGACAATGATTTAGTATTATTCTCTAGATAGATAGATTAGATAGATAGATAGATAGATAGATAGATAGATAGATAGATATTATGTATAATTGTTTATTTGTACAAATTTATGGGGTACATGTGAGATTTTGTTACATGTATATAATATACACTGATCAAGTCAGGGTTTTTAGGGTGTCTACCACTGAAGCACAGTATGTTTTTATTAACTGTAGTCACCCTTCTCTGTTATCAAACATTAAATTTATTCCTTCTATCTAACCATATGTTTCTACCCTTTAGCTTACTCCTCTTCATCCTCTCCCTCCCCCACTCACATTTCTCAGTCTCTTTTATCTATCTTTCCACTTTCTACCTCCATGTGATCAAATTTCTTAGCTCCCACATATAAATGAAAACATGCAATATTTATATATTTGGATCTGGCTTATCTCACTTAAGAAAATTATCTCCAGTTCCACCTATTTTGCTGCAAAAGAAGTGATTTCCTTCTTTTGTATGGGCAAATCATATCCTGATATTCTGTTATGTATATATACCACATTTTCTTTATCCATTTATCTATTGGTGGACACTCAGCTTACTTCCATATTTTTACTATTGTGAATAGTGATACAATAAATACATGAGTGCAGGTATCCTTTGATATATTGATTTCTTTTCCTTTGTGTAGATAGTAGCACAATTGCTCAATCAAATAATAATTCCATTTTTGGTTTTTTGAAAAATCTTCATACTGTTTTCCATAGTGGTTGTGCTAGTTTACATTCCACCAACAGTATATAAGAGTTTCTATTTTTTTCACATCCTTATCCATGTGTGTTATTTTTTGTCTTTTTAATAATAGTGATTCTGACTGGAGTAAGATGATGTCTCCTTTGGTTTTAATTTGCATTTCTGTAATATTTAGTGGTGTTGAACATTTTTTCATATACTTCTTGGCTATTTGTATGTCTATTTATGTCCTTCACCCATTTGTAATGAGATTACTTGTATTTTTTTCTTTTTCCTGTTGTATGAGTTCCTTGTGTATTCTGGATATTTGTTTCTTTTTGGATAATAGTTTGCAAATAGTTTCTTCCATTTAACAGGTTATCTCTCCACTCTGTTGATAATTTCTTATGCCATGCTTTTTAGTTAAATTAAATCCCATTTTTCTATTTCTGTTTTTGTTGTCTGTGCTTTTGAGGCCTTAGTTATAAGTTATTTGCCTAGACTAATGACCAGGAGCCTTACTTATGTTTTATTCTAGTATCTTTATAGTTTTAATTTTATGTTTATGTCTTTAATCTATTTTGAGTTGATTTTTCTTTATGTTGAGAGATAGGGGTTTAGTTTCATTCTTCAGCATATGGTTAGCCAATTTTCTAGCACCCTTTATTGAAGAAGGGTGTTCTCTTCCCAATGTAAGTTTTTGTTATCTTTGTCAAATATCAGTTGGTTATAAATAAATGGCTTTCTTGCTGGGTTCTCCATTCCATTGGTCTGTGTCTATTTTTATACCAATACCATGCTGCTTTGGTTACTATAGCATTGTAATATGTTTTGAAATCAGGTAGTATGATGCCTCCAACTTTGTTCTTTTTGCTCAGGATTGCTTTGGCCATTTGGAGTTTTTTTTATTGTTCCATATAAATTTTAGTATTGTTATTCCTAATTCTGTGAAGAGTGACATTGGTATTTTGACAGAGAGTTCATTGCATCTTTAGATTGCTTTGGCAATATGATCATTTTAATGATATTAATTCTTCCAATCCATAAGCCTGAGATGTGTTTCCATTTTTTTGTGTCATCTTCCATTTTTTTCATCAGTGTTTTTTAGTCTTCTTTGTAGAGATCTTTCACCTCCTTAGTTAAATTTATTCCTAGGTATTTTTGTAGCCATTGTAAATGGGATTGCCATCTTATTGTCTTTCTCAGGTTGATCATTCTAGGTATACATAAATGCTACTAATTTTTATATGTTGATTTTGTCTCCAGCAACTTTACTAAATTCATGTATCAAATATAGTAGTTTTTGTGAAGTCTTTAGGCTTTTCTAGATGTAAGGTCATATTATCAAAAAGAGGGACAATATGACTTCTTCTTTTTCAGTTTGGATGCCTTTTATTTCCTTTTCTTGCTGGATCACTCTGGTTAGGACTTTCAGTACCTTTTGAATAGGAGTGGTGAAAGCAGGGATCCCGTCTTATTCCAGTTCTTAGAGGAAAGGCTTTCAATATCTATTCTTAAAGCATATAATTTTATCTGTTAAACATTTATAAAAATGGAATCTTCTGTATTTGGACTTACGTGATTTTCTCTATTGTTAAGCACTGATATTTTTCTAGTTCTATGCATTTCATACCTTGCTTATAGACCATTCATTTTCATTGCAATATAGTGTTTTATTGTATAAAGATGGTATACAATATTGTACTTATTATCTTGCCAATGTATATTTGGGGTATTTTTAGGTAATGCCCATTATGGAGCTGCTATAAATATCACTTATGTTTCTTGGTATATATGTGTAAGCATATCTCCAGGATGCATAACTATGGTATAATTTCTTGATTTTAGGGAGTACAAATCTTTAATTTCAGCAAGTAAATAAAAATAGATTTCATGAACTAATGTACCAACTATCAGTTAATGAGAATTTTCAGTTATACATCCTCTACATCACTTGATATTATCAGTTTATTTTTAAGTTAACCAAATGGCATGATAATACTTCAATGTAGTTTTAATTTGCATGTCCCTAATTACTAATGAGCCTTGAGTGTCTTTTCATGTTTAATGTGCTATATGGTGAAATAGCTGCCCATGTCTTTAGCCCTGTTCTTTATATTATTTTTCTTTTATAACTAAATTTTAGAAGCTTCTTTTTAAGTTGTGAATATCAGTCCTTGAATTAATATGTGTTACAAACAAATTATTTCAGCTCCTAGCTTACCTTTTCATTTGATAGTGCTTTTTGATTAAGAGAAATCTCTAATTTTAATGTAGTTGAGTCTACTAATCTTTTTCTTATGTTGTGAATAAATATGTCCTGTTTAGTAAATTTTTCATTCCCCAAATATAGAGACTTATATTTTTATACTTTTGCCTTTCAATTTTAAATTTAAAATCCATGTGAAGTTGCTATTTTATGATTGGAGTTAAGTACATTTATATACACTAAACTTCTATGTGTATATATATATATACACACACACTCATACGGAGAGGGAAAACTAGTTATTTCAGTACAAATTATTGAACGGCTCATTTTTTCCTCATTATTTTGTAATGCTTATACACAAATAAATATGATTTCATTATTGCAAATGTGAATACATTTTGTATACGTATAATCTCTATAGTGTTTCATCTGCCTATTTGTGTATTTCTGCATGACTTGAAAAGTAGTTTAGTAATTTTCCCAAATTTTTGTTCAGAAGTTACTGTTTTTGGACTGTATATTCTCTAAATAAGTTATTCTGTTTGTCAAAACAGAGTCTTTTGCCTTTATGCCTCAACATATAACTTTGTACATTTATGTTCATAAGTGAGTCATTTTAATTCCCAGTCTATCAGCTTTCTTTTCAATAAAATTGCATATATGCTTCACTTATTTCGAGGACTTTTGTGAGAATCACCTATGGATGCAAGTGCCACTATTTTAATATCAATAGAAAGCCTTCTGGAACTCATTTTTTTTTAACAAATTTATTATAATTTGATATTTAACATAATATTTAATATGAAATACCTTTTAGTTCAAACTAACCCTCAAACTTAAAAAAATAGAAAGGCTGAAAAAGTCTGTAAGTTGTCAATTCATGGGGTCAATAGAGAATAACTTAGTTTGTCTAAGAATGAGAATTTTAATTAGCACAGAAGTTTGACAATGACACAAAATTTAAACTCAGAATTGTTTGCATGAATTAACTGCCTAACTTTTGTTAATGTGTTTAATCTTCTTAACTGTCAGTTTTCTTATATATAAAATGACAATTGTAATAATACGAAGCTAATATTATCCTTGTGAAAGACACATAAAATGTGAAAAAAATGCTTTGTATGCTTTACTGTGCTATTTAAATCATATTTGTGGTTTTTAAATTGTAGATGTTAACTTGCCACACTGTATGCATAAAAGCAAATTTTAAGTGTCTTAGGGCATCTGATTTAGAAAGAAATCGGTGAATCTGTTTATAAAGCAAATCCTATTTTAATACAAATAAATCCACACAATTTGAAAATATAAACTGATATTCTTGAACATCATGATTCATTTATTTACTCATTCTAAAATAGTTTTGATTTAGACGTGTAGGAAAATTTTCAGTTTTTATATACAATAGGGGAAAAATACTCAATTAAAACATGAAGAGACTCTCCTGAGACCATGAGACTAAGAAATAATTGGTACTCATCTACAAAATCACTCATGTGTTATGAGTATTAGGATTTGTACTACAATTGATTTGGAAATTTTGCCCTTTAATTGGAGAAGGTTAACTAATTACTATGAGAAGTTCTTTCATTTAAGAGAAAAGAAAGAACATTGCTTAAAAGGCAAATGTACACCTCAATAAATATTTTTTATTTAACCTAAGAATATATAAGCTTTCAAAATAACTTCAACTTGTTAATGGTTTTTATAATAATAACAAACTATAGGAACTGGTTAGGAAACAACATTTCTTGTGACAAAGAATATCTGGAAATTTGTAAACTTTTTCCCATATTGTTACATTTTGAAATTATTTTTAATTTTTAATTTAAAATATATATTAAAAGAGAGTATAGACTTACTTGTTTGACATTAATGTTATCTAACTGTAAGAAATAAATTCACACATGCCTAACAACAATAATAAAAATAGTAAATGTTTCTACTGAATTCATGAAATTCTGCTAGAGAAAAGATAAGATAGATAACAGCATATTAAACCTGTATATTTTTCTAAGTCTTTTTGAAAAACTCAGTGTGCTAGTGTAACTATATTACATTATGACTATATTATTTTTAATTATTTTGGCTGCTAAATGGCTAATGACTTAAATCATGTAAGGTGCTGTGCTTGGGGTTGAGTAACACTCAATAAATACTTGCTTCTATCATTATACTTTAGATGACAATTCAAATTCTAAGTAAAGTAAATTATTTTGCAGTGTATCCAAAACAAGGCCAAAAATACAGTCCATGAAAAATAACCCTATTATTTTCTAACTTAAGTGACTTTCCATCTTCATCTCTCTTATCTCCAAAGGGAGAATGTTTAAGAGTATGATGGCTCAGGAGAAGCCATCACATTTGATGGCTAAATTTTTATTTTATTTTATTTTTATAGATGTAGAGAGAACAAGTGCCATTTTTTACATGAATGTATTGTGCAGTGGTGAAGTCTAGGCTTTCAGTGTAACCATTACTGGAACAGTGTCTATTGGATCCATTAAGTAATTTCTTATCCCTCACCTCACTCTCATCCTCCCACTCTTCTAAGTCTCCAATGTGTATTATACCACTTTCTATGCCCATGTGTACACATTATTTAGCTCCCACTTATAAATGGGAACATGAGGTATTTAACTTTTTGTTTCAGAGTTATTTTAATTAAGATAATGGTCTTCAGTTTCACCATGTTGCTGCAAAAGACATGATTTCATTCTTTATTTGGCTGAGTAGTATTCTATTTTATATATAATACAATCCTTTCCTTTTTTCAACTTTTATTTTAGATTTGGGCACATATGTGCAGATTTGTTATAAAGGTATACAGCATGATGCTGAGGTTTGGAGTATGATTGAACTTGTCACCAAGATAGTTAGCATAGTACCCAATAGACAATTTTTCAACCCTTGGAGCACTCCATCCCTTACTCCTCTTAGATTCCCCAGTGTTCATTGTTCCCATCTTTATGTCCATGTATACCCCATGTTTAGCTCCCACTTATAAGTGAGAATATGTAGTAGTTGGTTTTCTGTATCTGTTTCACTTTGCTTAGCATAATGGCTTCCAACTGCCCCCATGTTGTTGCAAAGAAAATAATTTGTTTTTTCTTTTTATGGTGGTGTAGTATTCCATGTTGTGTATATCCCACATTTTCTTTATCCAGTCTGCCATTGATGGGTGCCTGGGTGGATTCCATGTCTTTGCCATCATGAATGGTGCTGTGATGAATATACAGGTGCATGTGTCTTTTTGGTAGAAAGATTTATCATCCTTGGGGTGTATAGCCAGTAATGGGATTGCTGAGTTGAATGGTAGTTCTGTATTAAGTTCTTTGAGAAATTTCCAATTGCTCTCCATATTGGCTCAACTAGTTTACATTCTCATCAGCAGTGTATAAGCATTTTCTTGTCTCCACCAATGTCTGTTATGTTTGGACATTTTAATAAAAGCCATGGTAACCGATTTGATGGTATCTCATTGTGGTTTTGATTTGCATTTCTCTGATATTTTGTGATGATAAGAATTTCTTAAGGTTTATTGGCCAATTGTATGTCATCTTTGAGAACCATCTGTTCATGTTCCTTGCCCACTTTTTAATGAGATTATTTGGTTTTTGCTTGATTTAAGTGTATTATAGATTACAGATATTAGGCTTTTGTTGGATGCACAGTTTGTGACTATTTTCTCCCATTCTCTAGGTTATCTGTTTACTCTGTTGATACGATGAAGCTCTTTAGTTTAATTAGGTCTCAGTTGTCAATTTTTGTGTTTCTTGCAATTGCTTTTGAGGAATTAGCCTTAAATTCCTTGCCAAGGCCTAGAATTCTAGATTTTCTTCTAGTATTTTTATAGTTTCAGATCTTACATTTAAATCTTTAATCCATCTTGAGTTAATTTTTGTATACAGCAGGAGTCCAGTTTTACTATTCTGGATATGAATAGCCCGTTATCTTAGCATCATTTATTGAATAGGGAGTCCTTTCCCCATTGCTTATTTTTGTCAACTTTGTTGAAGATCATATGGTTGTAGATGAACAGCTTTATTTCTTTGTTCTCTATTCTGTTCTATCAGTTTATGTGTCTGTTCTTGTAACAGTATCATGCTGTTTTGGTTACTGTAGCCTTATAGCATAGTTTGAAGTCCGGATTCTTTTTTTTTTTTTTTTTTTGCTTAGGATTGTTTTGGCTATTCAGGGTTTCTGTTGTTGTTGTTGTTGTTCCATATGAATAGTTTTTCTCTAGTTCTGTGTAAAATGACATTAGTAGTTTGATAGGAATAACAAAATTTGTAAATTGCTTTGGGTGGTATTGTCATTTTAATGATTTTGATCTTCCAATCCATGAACATAAAATGTTTTTCCATTTGTTTGTATCTTCTATGATTACTTTCATCAATGATTTAATGTTCTCTTTGTAGAGCTCTTTCTCCTTTTAGGTTAGATGTATTCCCAGATATTTTATTTTATTTTTATTTTTTGGTGTGTGTGGCTATTGTAAATGGAATTGAGTTCATTTGGCTTTCACTTTGAATATTATTGGTGTATTAAAATGCTACTGTTTTTTAAACATTGGTTTTGTATACTGAAACTTTGCTGAAGTTGTTCATCAGGTCTAAAAGCCTTTTGCTGGAGTCTTTAGGCTAGGTAGGGAATCATATATCATCAGTGGAGAAAGTTTTACTTCTTTCCCTATTTGGATGCTTTTTATATTTTTTTCTTTTCCCTAATGGCTCTGGCTAGCGCTTCTAACACTATGTTGAAAAGAATTGGTAAGAGTGGGCATCCATGTCTTGTTCCAGTTCTCAGAGGAAATGCTGCCACCTTTTGCTCATTTATGCTGATGTTGGCTGTGGGTTTGTCATAGATGGCTCTTATTATTTTGAGGTATGCTCCTTTGATGTCTAGTGTCTTGACAGTTTTTATCATAAATGAATGTCAGATTCTGTCAAAATCTATTTCCACATGTATTGAAATGATTATATGTTTTGTGTTTTTAATTCTGTTTGTGTGGTGATTCACATGTTTTAATTTGCATATGTTTAGCAACTTTGCATTCAGGGGGAGTAAAGCCTACTTGATCATGATGAGTTAACTTTTTGATGAACTGATGAATTCAGTTTGCTAGTGTTTTGTTGAGAATTTTTATGTTTCTATTCCTTAGAGATATTGGCCTGACGTTATCTTTTTTTGGTGCCTCTGCCAGGTTTTGGCATCAGGATGATGCTGGCTTCATAGAATGAGTTAGGGAGAAGTCCCTTCTCCTTAATTTTTTTGGAATAGTTTCATTAGAGTTAGTATCAGCTTTTCTTTGTACATGTGGTAGATTCTGCCTAGGAATCCATCTGATCCAGGGTTTTTTTTTTTTTGGTAGTATTTTTAAATTACTGATTCAATATTAGAGCTTATTATTCATCTGTTCAGGGTCTCATATTCTTCTAGTTCAATCTTTGAACATTGTGTGTTTCCAGGAATTTATCCATCTCCTCTAGATTTTATAGTTTGTATTTACAAAGTGTCCCTAACAGTTTCTGAACATTTTTGTATTTCTGTAGGATCAGTTCTGGTGTCATCTTTTCTGATTGTGTTTATTTGGATCTTCTCTCTTTTCTAATTTGTTAATCCAGCTAGGAGTCTATCAATCTTTTTAATCCTTTCAAAGTACCAACTCTTGATTTTATCTTTTATCTGGATGATTGCATGTCAATTTTGTTCATTTCTGCTCTGATTTTAGCTATTTCTCTTCTGCTAGTTTTGGGGTTAGCTCATTCTTATTTTTCTAGTTCTCCTAAGTGCAATGGTAGGTTGTTAATTTGAAACATTTTATAACTTCTTGATGTAGGTATTTAGTTCTAGACACTTTCTTCTTAACACTTTAATGGTGCATCCCACATATTCTGGTGTATTATGTCTCTCTTTTCATTAATTTCAAAGAATTTTTAAAATTTCTGCCTTAATGTTGTTATTTACCCAACAGTCATTCAGGAGCAAGTTATTTAATTTCCATGTAGAAATTTTCCATATAGAAAAATTTCCATATTTTGTTTATCCATTCCTGCATTGATAGACATTTAGGTTAATTGCATATATTAGGAGCAACTAAATTTGAATGCATGGCTCTTTGAGTTCTTCCCTTGGAATAACTAGAACAAAAATTAGAGGTATCAGAGATGGAAAACAGTAGTAGGCCATTAAGAAATGTTGCTGCGGCAAAAAAAAAAATTAACCTTTATAAATCAGAAAATTTATACTTCTTTCAATCATATTATTTTCTGCCTTTCACCCTGCTGTTTACTTCAGAGCATGCACAGGTCCCACGTTGCCCACTGGCTATTTGCATCAACTTTGTTGAATTATAAGTCACACATAAAACAAAATGCAACCATTCCATGAGTTCTTTGAGTTTTGTCAAATTGATCCACTGGTGTACTCATCATCATAGCCAAGGAAAATAATATTGGCACAATTCTTTTCCCAGTCAATTTCTTGCTTCAGTCCCATGTTCTGCTTTATGTATCTACAGATTTGATTGACTTTTCTAGAATTTCTTGTAAATGGAGTCATACAATGTGCTCTTTTGAGAATGACACTTTGTGTTCTGCTTTTTAAAATGATTCATCCATGTTGTTACACATATTAGTTTCTTATTTTTACTTCTGATTCTATTGTTCGAGATCATATTACATATAATACATGCCATCCCCGACATCACACTTAGTTTATCTGTTGATCTGGTGATGGATATACAAGTTACTTCTAGGTTTTGGCTTTTACCAACAAAGCTGTTATCAACTTTGTGTGTATATCTTTGAGAAGACATGCCTGTTGGCTTCTGTTTAGTAAATACCTAAGAGTAGAATGGGTAGACTACAGGGTGAATCAGTAAAAATAATAAACTTTTCAATATTTTCAATAAACTGATAAACTGATTGCCAAATTTACAATAACATTTCATGTTCTCAATAGCAATGTATAAGAGTTATAGATGAGTCATATCCTCACAAACACTTGGTATTGTCATTCTTTAAATTCACTCATTCTAATGGTGTATTGTGGTATCTCAATGCAGCCTTAGATTTCTCTAATTATGTTCGTCTTCTTTTTATATGCTTTTTGGTCATTTATCTTCTTTTGGTAAATACTTGTTTAAATATTTTCCCCATTTTGTTGGGTTGTCTCCTTGATTTATAAGAATTTTTTTGCAAACTGGATGTATGTTCTATGACAGATATAATACATTTTGTCTCAGTCTGTGGATTAGTTTTTCATTTTCTTAACCATAACTTTCATCAGATTTTAAATACTGATTAGTTCCAATCTGTTAATTTTTAATCTATGATTTGTAATTTTAGTAGCCTAAGAAATCTTTGCCTACCTTAGTATTATAAACATTAATCCTATCTTATCCTCTAGAAATTTTAATATTTTTGCTTTTAAATTAGGCCTATGATCCTGTTGACTTAATTTCATGTACGACATGAGATATTGGTAAAGTCTAATATTTTTTCTTGTGGTTATTAGGTTTTTCTAGATGATTCTCTTTCACTAAGTAACTTTTTCACAAGGTTGCACATCACTTTGACCTTGTATGTTGTCTGTTTCTGAATTCTCTATTATTTTCCATTGATCTATGTGTTTATACTTATGCAAATATATACTTGTCAATACAAATATCTAAGATACATTTTGAAATTAATGTTATTTTTCTAACTTTTGTCTTTGTTTTCACAATTATTTTAGCTATTTTAACTCATTTGCATGTCAATATAAATTTTGTAATCACTTGACATGTACAAAATGCCTGCTGGGATGTTGATTGGGACTCCAGTAAATTTATAGATGTAATTTTCAGGATTTTGACAGTTGACATCTTCACAATGTCTTCTCATGCATAAATACCTAATTCTGCTCCATTTATTTTGGTTTCTTTAATTCTTCTCAGCAATGTTTTATAGTTTTCAGTACACAAGTTCTGAGTGTACTTTGTTTAATTTATCACAATTCTGGATATCTTAAATGATATATTTTTATTTCAACTGCAAATTATTTATTGTTATTATATAGCAATATTGCTACATACTTTATACTGCTAGTATATAACTAGTTTTCATAGCTTTATTTTCATAGATTAAGGAGGATTTTCTACATATGTAATCATGCTTTGTGTGAATAAAGTGATCTTCACTTTTTTTTTCCCAAAGTGTATATTTTTTACCTTTGAATTATATTATGACATCAAGTAGGATTTTTATTGCAAGGTAGAATGGAAGCGATTATCCCAAATCTTAGAAAGAAAGCATTGAGTATTTTATTATTAATTATGATGTTTCCAGTTGGTGTATCATAACTATGCTCTCATTAGGTTATGGAATTTCCTTTCTCTTAATAGCTTTCTGAAGATTTTTTATTATGAAATTTATGCCGGCTTTATGAAAAACCTTTTCACCATCATTCGAAGTAATCACACTTTCCTTTTATTCTGTTAATACAGTAAATTAAATTGATTGGTCCTGAAAATGTTAAACCAAACTTGTGTTCTTGTCATAAATTCTACTTATTGATAATGTATTATTCTTTTGTGTGTTTTTTATGTTGATTGAATAATATATTTTTAAGAATTTGATTGATGTTTATATTTAATATCCAATTATAATTTTCTCTTTTGTAATATATTTATTTAGTTTTTAGAATGCGTGTAATCCTGGCCTTAAAAAATAAGTTAGGAAGTTTATCTCCCTCCAATGTTAGCTGAAATAGTCTATGTATAGATAATGTTATACATAGTATTCCATTCAAATTTGAAAGAATTCAATGGTAAGCCGTCAAGACATAGAATATCATTTAGAGTAAAAGTTTTGTATATGGGTATAATTAATTTAATTGCTTTATGTCCATTTCTGTGTTTTATTATTTTGTGATTCTATTTTGTTAATTTTTGTTCTATAAATAATTTATAATATAACTACTTAACTAATACCAATCTACTTTTAAACAATATTTTATTATTAATAAAATGTAAGATTCTTATACCACTAAACTTCTACCTAACTCTCCATTTCTTTATGCTATTGTTGTCTTCATTTTAACTCTACGGTTGTTATACATCTCACAATACATTATAATAAATTTAAATAATTGCCTTTAAATAATATTGATAAAAAAAGTTATATACCTTTACCTGCATATTGATTAATTTACTATTCTGGAGTTCTTTATTCCTTTTTGTGGATCCAAGGGGATTTTTAATGTCTAAAGTACTTTATCTTTTTTTTTTTATTTTAGTGGATTTCTACTGACAATAGATCTGCTCAGCTTTTGTTGTCTGACAATAATAGGCTTGATTTTGTCTTAATTTATTTCGTTAAGCCTAAAATTTTATATTGCTTTTCTTCCCCCCTCAGCATTTTTAGATATTGCTTTATTGTCATCTAGATGAAATAGATTTTAATAAATATTCTGTCATTATTATCTTTGCTTTTCTGGAAATAACATGCTTTTTAGAGTTGGTACTAGTAATATCTTTTAAATAATTAGTTTTGAGCAATTTTATTTTGATGTGCCAATTCGTAGTATTATTTGGCTCTATCATGTTTGAGATTTGCTTTTCTAGCATTTTGGATTGTGTGTTTACAGTTTTTATCAATATTTAGAAATGTTTTGTCCTCAAGTACATTTTAATGACATGTTATTCTTTGGACTCCAGTTGCATATATGCTACATTGCTTGTATAGTACCATAAATCTTTGTGTCTATATTCTTTTTACTTCAATCTTTTATCTTATGGTTCTTTTTTAAAATTATATTGTTATTTACTGAATTTCACTGACGTTTTTTCAAAAGTCTCCACTGCACTTTTAATTTAAGTCAGTGAATTGTCAAAACGAAATGTTACCTTTTTTATCTTCAAGAGTGTAGTTGCATTTTTAATATATCTTTCATTCCTGTCCTCATTATGTTCACATTTATCTTTAAGTAGTTGAGCATTTAACATATTTAAAAGAGCAAGAGCTTTTGTAATATATTTGTCTGTTAATTTTATCATCTCTTTCATTTATGTGCCATGTGCCTGCTTTATTTTATTTTATTTTATTTTATTTTATTTTATTTTATTTTATTTTATTTATTTTTTTGACAAGGTTTCACTCCTGTCACCCAGGCTAGAGCGGTGCAATGGCATGATCTTGGCTCACTGTAACCTCTGCCTTCCTGGCTGAAGCAATTCTCCTGTCTTAGTCTCCAGAGTGACTGAGACTACAGGCACATGCCCCCTCAATTGTCGACTTTTCTGCCCTCTTGTATTGACTGACATTTTTCCTTGGTTATATTTTTCTGCTTAGTCATATATGTATTAACTTTTTTTTCTTTTTGAGAGGCAATCTCTCTCTGTTGCCAGGCTGCAGTGCAGTGGCACCATCTCGGCTCACTGCAACCTCCGCCTCCCGGGTTGCAGCAATTCTCCTGCCTCGGCCTCCAGAGTAGCTGGGACTACAGGAGGATGCCACCATGCCCTGCTAATTTTTGTAGTTTTTTAATAGAGATGGGGTTTCACCATATTGGCCAGGCTGGTCTCGAACTCCTGACCTCGTTATCTGCCCACCTTGGCCTCCCAAAGTGCTGGGAATACAGGCATGAGCCACCGCGCCCAGCCATATGTATTAATTTTTTATTGAAGACTGGCAATTATAAATTTCAGTTTTTTCTAATTATCTCTACTCCTTTCAAGAGTATTGGCCTTTGTCCTTGAAGTCAGTTAAATGACTTTTGAATTGGCTTTATTATTTGACAATTTATTTTACTGTGTTTTTCTTTGGGGTAGGCAGAAGGAAAAGGACTAGAGGAGTTTTTTTTTTTAATTTTATTATTATTATACTTTAAGTTTTAGGGTACATGTGCACAACGTGCAAGTTTGTTACATATGTATACATGTGCCATGTTGGTGTGCTGCACCCATTAACTCGTCATTTAGCATTAGGTATATCTCCTAATGCTATTGCTCCCCCCTCCCCCCACCCCACAACAGTCCCGGTGTGTGATGTTCCCCTTCCTGCGTCCATGTGTTCTCATTGTTCAATTCCCATCTATGAGTGAGAACATGTGGTGTTTGGTATTTTGTCTTTGCAATAGTTTGCTGAGAATGATGGTTTCCAGTTTCATCCATGTCCCTACAAAAGACATGAACTCATCATTTTTTACGGCTGCTTAGTATTCCATGGTGTATATGTGCCACATTTTCTTAATCCAGTCTATCGTTGTTTGACATTTAGGTTGGTTCCAAGTCTTTGCTGTTGTGAATAGTGCTGCTATAAACATGCGTGTGCATGTGTCTTTATAGCAGCATGATTTACAATCCTTGGACTAGAGGAGTTTTTATCCTAGAACACCATGCCCATTACTATGGTATTATATTTCTGGGACTGCTACCAAAAAACCCTTTAATTTATCATGGTTTCTCAATTATGGAGGATGAGAATTTAAATTAACGCTTGCCATTTATTTGCTTTGAAAATTTTTTAAGTTGATAGCTACAAAATAGTTTTTTTTTTTTTTTCCTTCAAGATGATCTTTGATAGGACTTAACATATTTTTACCCTAGTTATGCACTCACCAGGCTCATGGTTTAAGATTATCCCTATGCCAGTTTCTGGAAGTTTTTCTTCTGTATATCTCCACATCTCTGTTACTCTGCTGTTCATATTCTAGCTATCTTAGGCTTCCCAAACTCAAGCTTTATTTGTGTTTCTCATTCCTGGGCTGCACTCTGGAAATTGTCTCACTTAGAAGCTAGGATGATGGTGTCAATTTGTATGTTTTCATATCCTTAGATTCACAGTTATGCATTCTCTGTTGTGCAAAATGTGAAAACAATGTTTATGTAATTTTTCCTAGATTGCTTGCTACTATTATCTCATGGTTAGAATGGAAGTATGCCCCTTGTATTTTAGAAAGATGCACAAAAATCTATCAGAAGTAGACTCAGACACTAGGAAAAGGAATCCAAGCTTTAGACAACAGAGCTTTTAAGATACATGATTAGGAAAGTATCAGGCCTCCTTTTCCTTTATCAGAGTCCAGGATGTTAATACCAATATAATATGGTGAATCCTTGGCTTCACTCTCATCCTGCCAGCTGAGTTGTAAGGAACAACTGTCCCTTCCCTTCTGTAGTCAGAGTCATGGGGGAAAGACTTGCAATTTGATTATATAATGTTTCATGTTGGTGGCAGAATTGACTGGATCAGAGTTTATTCTTGGTGAAGCAAGATCTCTTTTCTGGTATCAAAAGAGGCTGAAGTTTAAGGAGTCTAATTGACTAAGAAGTTACTGCTTTAGACACTGAGTCTTAGTCATTTTCCATGGAGCTTTGCAAAAGGCTAATCTGTCATCTAAAAAACAAGCCTGCAGAGAATTAGCCTTGGACAAATGACCTTGCAATACATGACTTTTATAATGTACTTAAAACGAGAGTGAGAGAATATTCAGAACCCTAACATAGGAGGTATCTATACAGGAATATAAAAATATCCTAGTAAGAATTATACCATTGCATCATTTATTTATTACATGGTTCCATGGCTAAAGTTTATTTTGATTGCTTCCAAATAACATTTTATTTGTTGTTACTGTTAAATAACAATTTAAAACTAAAATCAAAAGCTTAAAACAACAAACATTTATTATCTCATATAGTTTCTGAGGGTCAGAAATCCTAAAACAGACTAGTTTAATGGTTCTGGCTCAGGGTCTTTCATGAGGTTGTAGTCAAGCTGTTGGCTAGCATTTCTGCCCTTTGAAAGCTCCACTCATATGGCTGTTGACAGCAGATTTCAGTTTGCAATCATATGGCTTTGCTCAAGGCCTGGTAGCTGGCCTCCCCCAGTATGAGAAAAATCCAAGAAAGAGATTAAACAAGACAGAACCTGCAGTATCTGTCAGGACCTAATCTCAGAAGTGACACACTATCACTTTAATAGTCTATTGATCAAATAGGAAAGCAACTGTGATACAGTGTGAAAGGGACCTACACAAGGCCATCATTACCAACAGACAGGATTATTGGGGTCCTACCTTGGGAATGTCTACCACAGTTCTCCCTTTGGCACCTAATGGTTCATATCTTTCCCACATAAAAATACTCTCAGCGCATACCAAGGCCCCCATGTCTCATCCTATTACACCCAAAGCACAATAGTGCCTAGAACATAGTAGCTCATCACATATTTTTTTTATTTATTAGAAATTCAAACATAATCCAATTTGGTTCTTTTTGTTTTTAAATATAACTTAGTAAGTAATCAGAAAAACCAGTCTATGTGAATTTGCTGAATTTCATAAAATAAAATAAGAAATAATTTTCTTCAGTTTTTATATGATTTATGCTGTATACCTTTCCTCACTATTTAAAGTAATAATTTTTGGTATAGATTAATGAAATATTTATTTCTTTGATTAAAAATGTGAGGGCCTCAGTTACTACGTTGTGTTTATCATTTCATAAACACATTCAACTTAAGAGAACCATCAAAAGATGATGTGAATTTTAGAGTTATTTCAATAAAATTAAAAAGATTTCCTACAAAATTATCAAAGCACCCAGAATGCAATTTTTTAATCTAACGCATTTTTTTCCTGACAACATATTACTAATTAAAGAGGTCATTCTGAATGAAGAAATTTTTCATTGAGATCATAGTTGTTTCATGGAGCTACTCAATCAGTTGCCATTAATTAAAATACAATGTTAACGTATCTTATTTGTCACCTATAATTTACATGAAATATATTATTTATTACAGAGAACTACTATCTCCCTCTCTCCCTTCTCTTTTTTTTTATTTATAAGGTTATTTTTTGAAAGGTGAAAAGCAGAGGTTTCATAAGGTTTAGTAGATTAAATAAGGTAACATGACAGGACTGGGATTCAAGCTTGGGATTTGCGATTGCAAGAACACTGATCTTTCCATGAAATCATTGCTGATTCCCATGACACTATATTTAATACAAATTATATATTATTAGAATATAGTAAGGTTGGTTTTCAAAATGAACATTATTGTCTTTTCACAAGAATATTAACTCACATATTAAACTAAGTGTAAAAAAATACAGAGAAATACACATTATTTTATAATATAGATGTTAAAATGAAAATTAACAATTAGGCTCAGTTTTAATAGTTTTAATATTTTATCCTAAGATAATCACTAAAAGTACATACTGCTTAGGTACAGTTTGGAAACTAAATATGACTCCAGGAAGATTATGTTAAGAAGCCAGACATTTTGGACAATTCTTTACATATACTAAAATATTAGATAATCATACCAGAGATGGGAACATTGAAAAGATTAAACTGAGTATTTGTGAAGATTTAAGAATATATTTTGCTAATAGAAATATGTAAGTTTAATTAGAATATGTGTTTCTGCAAAGTATCACAGAAGATAACCAATAAGAAAATTATTTGAAATCTGATTTTACACCAAAAGGCAAAGGAAATAGTTATGGAATTTGAACATCTAAAATCACTTAAGCAAGAAATGAGTTAGGCAAAAATTGTATACTGTTCCTTAATTATAAATTACTACCAGGGATGTATTTATGAAAAACATCACTGACAATTTTTATACTCAGGATGAAATAAAATATTTTATACACAGTTTGCCTCATGGATACATTATGTGCAATATAATATATCCTATTAATCTTGCTATTTTTAGTTAATTAGCTTTCTTGTGTACATCAATTTAAGATTAGATATGAAGTATATAAACAGAAGCCACAGGATGAATGGTGAGATCCTGGATATAAATTATGGAAATTTGGATACTTACCTCCCTGTATTACTTCTCAAAGAGTTTTCTTAGGTTAAGACACAGCTTAGAAAGGACATTTTGTCTTTTGCTCACTGCTGTATCCTAAGGGCCTAGGGTCTTTGGCATATAGTATATGCTCAATAAATAATATTGGAATAAGTGACTGAGTCCCCATTTACCAATGGGAAAAAAAATTGAAAATGCCTGAAGGGACATAGGTATGTGTGTGCATGCACATACATTTGAATGTATTTTACAATACTAATTGTATAGCTAAACATATTATATATCTAATATACAACTATAGAGAGAATTTCTAAAAGAAAGCAAATGAACAGTATGTTGGATAATATTACATCTCCACATGATCTAGTTTAACTAACATTCTTTTTTTTCCCTTAGATAACAAATTTTTAGCCAGCAAGGTCCCTAATACAATATGGCTTTTGTATTAAATCTGTGAGAGTGAATTACTTAATGCCTTCTAGACAAATGCTGTTTCTTCACTATGTGTTTACAGTAAATGTTCTGGAAAAATACAGAAAATTTAGTCTATTTTTTCAAATATCTATAATTTATCTTTGCGGATCCCTCATGTTTTGCTCTAATGAGTTGTGATTTGTTCACATAATATTAGGGTAAAACTTATAAAGAAAAGTAATTGCTTCAATTTTTGTTATGATTATTTTTGTCTTTGTGGGTGTGATGCTTAGATTTTGGGGTAGTTTTTGTCAGTAGTGTGTCAACAATTTTTTTTAAGTAGCAAGCATAAGTATGTTAATGTGTTTCTTTTCTTCCTAAGTTTTATTGGTAAGGCTACAAAATTAGTAAAAATTTATATTTTTCTAAAAAGTTGCTGTTCATCCGACATCCTTAATTTTCATTAATATCTTTTCAGAACCTAGATTTCAGAAAACCAACAATTATTTTTTACATAATTTAAGTAACCAAACTTAATGTCTTTAATTCAAGAACATTGTGTTTGGCTATATATTTTATTTCTCTCCACAATAAGAAGGACTATTTCTACTACTTAAATACGTTAGTGACATTGTTGAAACTAGATGTAATGACACTCCATTGTTAGCTGCAAGATCCAAAGGCATGTCTGCCTTGGATATGACTGAAGAATTCAAACTGCCTCTTCCAGAAGTCCTTTCCATAGAGAAGAAAAGAAGAAGAATCTGTTGTTCAAGAACGAAAATTGCATGACATTATAATCTTGAAAAATGCATATTAATCTGAATAATGTTTTATATAACTTTTGAAAAATGTGAAATGTATCTTTATACATTATATATACCCCTTAATACTATCTTAATCATCTTATATATTTGGCCATTAAGAATTGCAAATACTATCTTTTTAAAATATATCTTGCTCCAAAGTGTCTTCATATGAAGAGTGGGACTTTTGCAATGATGCTAGGGGCTTTGAACTTTGCGTATGTTGCTTGATAGCAGTCTCAGAGATTTTCAACTGTGAATTCTTTCCAAAATCTACCTTTGCTTAAGCATATGTACTAAGATCTTTAATTTTGTTGACTTGGTGCTTGAAGATGGATTTTTACTTCTTGGTCTTTACTTAAATGATAATCATGACAGATTGCATTGCAGAGTCACTGAAGAAGATTTATCTGCAGCATTATCACCTAAGAAAGACAAAAAATTTTAATGTTGAAACAGAAAACACAACTCTAGGAAATTTAAGGAAACTTCCTCAACAAATGTTTTTGTTTGTGGGAATTAAAACTATGAGTAATAATCATGAGAAAAAACTCATTTGATTTACATGTAGTTAATATACAATCACTTTCATTAAATTTCAATGAGTTTTTTTACACATATATACAGCCATGTAATCCATCATCTATATCAAGTTATAGAATATACCTAACACTCCAAAAACTCTTGGGCTCCTCCAAGTAGAACTATTCTCATAACTTTTACAATTTTTTTTATCAAATGTGCTGCCTTTGGAATTTTAAAATTAATATAATGATATGGAATATACTTCTATGTATCTGCCTTCTTTTACATAGCATGATAACTGTGAAATCCATTCATGTTGCTGAATGTGTCAGCAGTTCTTTCTTATTGCTGTGCAGTACTCTACCGGGAGGATATATCATAGTTTTTTGTCCAATCTAGTTTTGAAAATTATTTGAACTTTTTCCAATGTAGGGCTGTTATAAACAGTGTTGATACATATGTTTTTGTATAAGTCTTTGTTGAATACATGCTTTCATTTTTGTAGGGTATATGTCCAGGAATTAAATTTTTGCATTATTGGGGAAGTTCAAACGTAGATCAGTAGATGTTCCCAAATGATTTTCAGGATATGTATCCATGTAAATTCCTACCAGCAATGCAGGAGAATTCCAATTGCCCATGTTCTAATCAGAATATTGTTATATCCTAAGACTAATTTTAAATATTCTGATGGGTGTAGAGTGGAGGCATAGTATGATTTCAACTTGTATTTCTTTCATGACTAATTATCTTCTATGTTAATTGTTATTTTGTATGTTTATTGCAAAGTGCCTATCCAGAATTTTTGTCTATAATTTTGTTGTGCTGTCTCTTGCTTTATGAATTTTATAGGATTCTTAATATTATAATTGAGTTATCTTTCTTTTTTATTATTATTATTATACTTTAAGTTTTAGGGTATATGTGCACAACGTGCAAGTTTGTCACATATGTATACATGTGCCATGTTGGTGTGCTGCACCCATTAACTCATCATTTAGCATTAGGTATATCTCCTAATGCTATCCCTTCCTCCTCCCCCCACCCCACAACAGTCCCCGGTGTGTGATGTTCCCCTGCCTTTGTCCTCTTTCTTATACTTGCATGAGCAATCTCCTCAAACTGATACTTGCCTTTTTTGTCCTTGGTGTGGTTTGGCTCTGTGTTCCCACCCAAATCTTCATAATACCCATGTGCCAAGGGTGGGACTGGGTGGAGGTAATTGGGTCATGGGGATGGTTTCCCTCATACTATTATGATAGTGAGTGTTTTCACGAGACCTGATGGTTTTATAACTGTGTGGCATTTCCCTTGCTTCCACTCACTCCATCCTGCCACCCTGTGAAGAAGGTGCCTGCTTCTCCTTTGGTTACTGCTATGATTGTAAGTTTCCTGAGGCCTCCCCAGCAACGCAAAACTGTGAATCAATTAAACCTTTTTCCTTTATAAATTACTAAGTCTTGGGTATTTCTTCATAGTGTTGTGAGCATAGACTAAAACAGTAAGTTGTTACCAGGAGTGGGGTACTGCTGTAAGATAACTGAGAATGTGAAAGTGACTTAGGAACTAGGTAATGAGCAGAGGTTGGAACAGTTTAAAAGGCTCAGAAGAAGACAGAAAGATGTGGGAAAGTTTGGAACTTCCTAGAGACTTGTTGAATGGCTTTGACCAAAATGCTGATAGTGATATGGACAATGAAGTCCAGGCTGAGGTGGTCTTAAATGGAGGTGAGGACTCATTGGGAATGCAAATAAAGGTCACTCTTGCTATGCTTTAACAAAGAGACTGGCAGAATTTTGCCTCTGCTCTAGAGATCTGTGAAACTTTGAACTTGAGATAAATTATTTAGGGTATCTAGTGGGATAAATTTCTAAGCAGCAAAGCGTTCAATAGGTGACAAAGCATAAAAGTTTGTAAAATTTGCAGTCTGATGATGCAGTAGAAAAGAAAAACCCATTTTGGGAAGAGAAATTCAAGCTGGCTGCAGAAGTTTGCATAAGTAATGAGCCAAATGTTAATCACACAGACAATAAGGAAAATGTCTCTAGGGAATGTCATAGACCTTCACAGCAGCCCTTCTCATCACAGGCCCAGAGACCTAGGAGGGAAAGATGGTCTCACGGGCCAAGCCCAAGGCTCCATTGCTGTTTGCAACCTTGAGACTTGGTGCCCTGTGTCCCAGCCATTCCAGCCATGGCTAAAAGGGGCCAAAGTACAACTGAAGTTATTGCTTCAGAGGGTGCAAGCCCCAAGCCTTGGCAGCTTCCACATGGTGTTGAGCCTGTAGGTGCACAGAAGCCAAGAATTGAGTCTTGGGAACCTCCGCCTAGATTTCAGAGGATGAATGGAAATGCCTGGATATCCAGGCAGAAGTTTGCTGCAGGGGTGGGGCCCTCATAGAGAACCTCTGCTAGGGTAGTGCAGAAGGGAAATGTGGGGTTGAAGATTCCACACAGAGTCCCCACTGGAGCACTGCCTAGTAGAGTTTTCAGAAGAGGGCCACCATCTTCCAGATCCCAGAATAGTATATCCTACCACAGCTTGCACTGTGCACCTGGAAAAGAGCAGACACTCAACACCAACCTATGAAAGCAGCCAGAAGTGGGGGCTATACCCTCCAAAGCCACAGGGGTTGAACTGCCCAAGGCTGTGGGAGCCCACCTCTTGCATCAGCATGACTTGGGTTTGAGACATGGAGTCAAAGCAGGTCATTTTGAAAATTTAAGTTTTAATGACTGCCCTATTAGATTTTGGACTTGCATGGGGCCCGTAGCCCCTTTGTTTTGGCCAGTTTCCTCCATTTGGAATGGGTGTATTTACTCAATGCCTGTACTCCCATTGTATCTAGGAAGTAACTAACTTACATTTGATTTTACAGGTTCATAGGTGGGAGAGACTTGACTTGTCTCAGATGCCACTTTGGACTGTGGACTTTTGATTTAATGCTGAAATGAATTAAGACTCTGGGAGACTGTTAGGAAGGCATGACTTGTTTGGAAATGTGAAATGACATAAGATTTAGGATGGGCCAGGGATGGAATAATATGATTTGGCTTTGTGTCCCCACACAAATCTCACCTTCAATTTTAATCCCCATAATCTCCATGTGTCAAGGGTAGGACCAGGTAGAGGTAATTGGATCATGGGGGTGGTTTCCTCCATGCTGTTCTCATGACAGTGGGTGAGTTATCATGAGACCTGATGGTTTTGTAAGTGTCTGGCATTTCCCCTGCTTGCACTCACTCCATCCTGCAGCCCTGTGAAGAAGGTACCTGCTTCTCCTTTGTCTTCTGCCATGATTGTTAGTTTCCTGAGGCCTCCTCAGCAGTGTGGAACTGTGAGTCAATTAAACATCTTTCCTTTATAAATTATCCAGTCTCAGGTGTTTCCTCATAGCAGTGTGATTACGGACTAATACAGTCCTTAATATTGTTTTTTGATGAGCATATATTTTAATATTAATGAAAATCAAAAAAATGGTTTGTGAAATGTTGTGTTCTCTTTATGAAATCTTTGTTTACCCCAAGTGCATAAAGATATTCCTCTTCTCTTTCCTTCTAAAAGCTTTAAAAATTTTACATTCTACAGTTAGATTTACTTGTCATCTCAAATTATTTTTATGTAAATTTTGAGAGATCTAGACACATTGTTTTGTAAAGCATACCTAATTGCTTCAGTACCCTTTATTGAAAATATCTTTTTCCCCACTAAATCACATTGGTGCTTTTGCTCTAAGTAATATGAGTTGGCAGTGTGGGGAAAGGGGTCTGTTTCTGGCCTCTCTGAGAATGTATTTATTGATCTGTGATATCTATCCATACACCAATAGTAACTATTTTATATAAACTACTTTTTTGAAAAGTCTTGACATAAGGTAGTATAAATTCTGTTGCTCTTCTCTGTTTCAGTATTTCCTTTGCAACCCTCTTTAAGATTGCCTTTCACTTCTATGTAAGTTCTCAAAAGAGGTTGTTAATTTTAATAAAAGTTCCTGCTGGGATTTTGATTAAAATTTCATTAAATCTATAGAACAATTTTGGGAGACTTGACATCTTAATAATAGTGAGTCTTGTGAACTACAAGCATGATATACCCTTCCGTTAATTTAAGTCTTCTTTAATATTTCTTAGTGATGTTTTATCCTTTTCATTGTAGAAGTCTTACATATTTTTCATTAGTTTAGATTCTAGATAATAGAGGCTGTTTGCTGCTATAGTAAGGAATATCTTTAAATTTTCATGCCCTAATAGTTTGCTGCTAATGCATAGAAGTATATTTTAAATATTAGTGTTGTAAACAGCAACCTTGTTAAATTCATATGTTTAATTTTAGGAGTTTGTAGATGGATTTTCGAGTTGTGCAATCACATCATCAATTAATACTGTCAGTTTTTAATTCTTCCCTTCAACTCTGCATGTCTTTATTTTTTCTGCCTTATTGCACTGGTTGGAATCTCTAGCACAATGTTAAATTGAAGGGAGAGATAGTAAAACTTTTGTTTTATTCCTTTTCTTTTTTTTTTTTTCTTTTTTTTTCTTTTTTTTCTTTTATTATTATACTTTAAGTTTTAGGGTACATATGCACATTGTGGAAAATGTCCACATTTAAAACATCAACATTATTTTTCATGTTAACTTGAGATTTCTTCATAGATGCTCTTAAATCAATTAAAGAAAGTTTACTTATTCTTCTAATTTTATCTGAAAGTTTTAAAATGAACAACTTCTTAAATATTTGAAATTCAATTTTGTGTATATTCTGATGACAATATGAATTTTCTACTTGGATATATTTTAGTCCACTATCTTTGAGAGTTAGCTCAAGTTTTTGTGTGCATGTCTACTTTGCTGTTAAACTAATCCAATGAGTTATAACTATAATCAATTTTATAAATCTCAAATATTTGTTAAAATTCTTTTCCTCTGTCCTCTTTAACATATTGATGACAGCTATTTTAATGGTCATATTTTTTTCTTATTTAAATGCCTACCAATAATTTTTAATTGGTGTCACACTTTGTATATAAGAAAACTATAAGGACCCTGGACAATTTTATCTTCTAGTAGATAGGGCCTCTTTTTTATTTGGATAAGCAGCTAAAGCAAGAGGCTGATAACCTCCATTCAATGAGGGACTAGGCTGGCTTGGGACTGTGTTGAAGGTTTGATGAGACTCCAGCTGCCTCTATTTACTCCTTGTTTGTCAAGCATGTGTCACTTGTGCCTGGTGGTGAGAGAGCAGCAACTCTCTCTCCTTAGCCTCGTCATCCCCTCAGAGATTTGGACCTTTACTTATTGGTCTTTCACTTATACTCCACATTCAATTTCATAAATTTCTTGAAGAGGTGGCCATGGTATATCAACCTCAGGAAGTTTCAAAATAATAAACACACTATGGAGAGATAGACCACACATTTAAAGCTTTTCAAGTTTCCAAGCTGTGCCAAGTCACATGTTTGTGTCTGTGGGACCAGGCCCAATATGCAGCTCACACTTAGAATTAGCAAATGACCCCAGGAAATAAAATAGCTATTGACATGTTGTTCACATCAAAAAGTCTTTTCTTTCTGTGAGATTTTGGTTCAGGTAATCCTGTCTTCCTCTACATTGATTCAGTGTCTTTAAAAATATAATTTTCAACTCACATCATGAACTTTTGCTCCAACAAGTACCACAGGAACACACCAGGAAAGCAGAGAGAATCAACAGATACTTTGAAGGAAGTGGTTTACCTCTGCAGGCTCAGTGAGACAGCTAAAAAACTCAGCTGTAGCAAGCCCTGTCCAAGGAGAGTCTGAGCTCAGACAGGCCTAACTCTGCCCGCACCTGATGGTCTTTCTCCACCCACCCTGGGAGCTGAAAACAAAGAACATAACCTCTTGGGAGCTCTAGGGCCCCACCCACTGCCTGAGAAACCTAAATACTTATCCAGGTGACCCTAGAGTAATCTTCTATTCTCCCAATACTACCACAGATGGTGCTCTCTTGAAAGCACCACCTCCTGGCTGGAGGCCAAACAACACAAAACCAGCACACATAACAAAATTATAACAAGATGTCACAGAATCCTTCAGGTGTCCTTCACCAGCCAGAAAATTCTGTGGCCAGCAGTGCCTCTCCTTGAGTTTTGCTCATACCCAGTAGGCTCGTTCTGCCTATTAGGCCTGGAAGGCTGTGCTTGGCTCACGCTACCGGCCCAGATCCCATGCCTGCCAAGGGTGAGCCAGGTACCAAGTGCCAAGGGGTGTGAGCCGGGGAGTACGGGGTACTGCCACTGCACACAGCAAGGCACACCAGCTGCTGCAGCAGGGCAGGCAGCTCCAGGCACAAGCACAGGCATTGGCTCCGTGTGAAACTGTGGCTGAACCAGATGTGCTGCAAGCAAATTCCACTGTAGGCACCAGCATCTGGACAAGGGTAACACAATGGTACCCAAAAGCTCAGAGACTCTAGGAACCACAGAGCCCCAAAGAGGGTGTTACAGTGTGTCACAGCCCTGGATCAAAGAACCCTGAAGTTTGGGCTCTCAGAAGGGCTGTAGCAGAGTGAGCAGGGGAGGCAGAAGGATGTGTGTGTTTTAGCCTGTTTGTGTTACAGCTCTTTCAGTCTTACAACCCCAGTCTGGCCTATGGCTCCTGGGCTGGCCCAAACTTGTCACTTCTTCCTGTCATGTGAGGTGACCATCCAGCACCGGCAGAGGGTGGTAGGGTTATAGTGTTACAGCTCTGCCTCAGGGAATCCCAAGGTCTGGGCAACCCGAAGGGTTGCCACTCTTCATTCCCACAGTCCCGGAGCATGTCACTGCCCTCAGCACAGCAAGCCAGACAGAAAAGTGTTACGCCTTCTTTTGCTCCCACTGTTGGGTGGGTCCTGAGTTCCTGTCCCACATCGAGGAAGAAAGATTATGTGGACTACTGGACGGTGAACAAGGCAGAGAAGAACTTTATTGGATGACCAAACAGCTGTCAGTGGAACGGAGACATAAAGTGGGTAGCTCCTATTCGCAGGCAGGTGGTCCCGATGAGTGTCTGAGTCTGGCTGAGTTCAAGGTTTTTATGGGCTCAGAATGGAGGAGGGCATGATTGGTCTGTGGGCAGCCTTGTGGTGGGGCCTGGAAAAAGCACCACTTGATTGACCAAGAGGCATCAAGGAAGTTCTCACTCTGGGTCACAGACTCAACCTGGAAGTGGCAGGCTGGCCACAAGGCTGCAGGCCATCCCTGGCTTGTAGGTGGTGTTTCACCAGGGACCTGCCCCTTCCTGCAGGCTCCTAGGAATCTGTCTGCCTCCTGCTGCCATCAATATGCCATCCGTGGTGCCCAGGCTCTCCACACAGATGGATACCCACAGGCCCACACCAAGCCACCCTCAGCTCCCCCAGCCTGCCTCCTGTACTTGTCAGCACCCAAAGTTTCAGCCTCAGAAGCAGATTCTGGAGGGGGCTGAGACAGTTGAGGGGCTGACATGTCAGTACTGCCCCAAGTGCGTGCACACCCAGTCACAGCAGTGCCTGAGCTCGGCTACCAGGACATGTCCACAGCTTTGCTCCACCATTGAGTGGAGGCTGGAAATGGGAGTGTCCAGGGAATGAGAGCAGGCACTTCTGAGCCTGCAGGGGCAGGGAGCTTCCCTGCCCCCTGAAAGCGCAGGTATGCCTGAGTCCAACCCATGGTTGGGAAGCTGTAGCTATGCCCGGGAGTGTGGGCTCCCCCTGCCAACTTGGTAGGGTGTGGGGCCCCTGCTGGAATCACCTGTTCCCAGCCTTCACCAGTTCCATGGAGCACACCGCAGCAGCTGCACTTCCCCTGCTGCAGCTGATGTCCTTGCAGAACTTCTCCAGATGGGTGGCTGCCACCATCACAAGGACCTTCAAAGAGTACACTTCACTCCCCTGCTACCTCCACTGGAGTAGGTGTTGGTATCCACAGGTGAGAGACCTGAAGATGGATCACGGCAGACACCCCTAGTACCATCCCAGAGCCCAGTAGCCCCACTCAGTAGCTAGAAGAGAAATAACAATCACTGCAGTTTGGCTCTCGGGAAGCCCCATCCCCAGGGGAAGGAGGAGAGAACTACATCAAGGGAGCACACTGTGGGAAAAAAGAATTTGAACAACAGCCCTGGAGCCCCAGATCTTCCTTCTGTCATAATCTACCCAAATGAGAAGGAACCAGAAAAACAATTCTGGTAATATGGAAAAACAAAGATCTATAACACCCTTAAAAGATCACACTATCTCTCTAGCAATGGATTCAAACTAAGGAAAAAATCTCAGGGTTGCCAGAAAAAGAATTCAGAAGGGCAATTATTGAACTACTCAAAGAGGTACTAGAGAAAGGTGAATACCAACTTAAAGGAATAAAAAAAAAATTACAAGCTATGGACAGAAAAATCTCCAGTAAAATAGATAGCATAGGCGACAGGTGCAGTGGCTCACACCTGTAATCCCAGCACTTTGGGAGGCTGAGGCAGGTGGATCTCCTGAGGTCAGGAGTTCGAGACCAGCCTGGCCAACATGGTGAAACCCCATCTGTACTAAAAATGCAAAAATTAGCCGGGCGTGGCGGTGCATGCCTGTAATCCCAGCTACTCGAGAGGCTGAGGCAGGAGGATTGCTGGAACCCAGGAGGCAGAGATTGCAGTGAGCCAGGATCGCACCATTGCACTCAAGCCCGGGCAACAAACAGACTCCATCTCAAAAAAAATCAAAAACCAAAAACAAACAAAAAAAACATAGATAGCATAGATAGAAAACAATAGCAATCTCTGGAAATGAAGGATGTACTTAGAGAAATGAAAAATTAGCTGCAATGTTTCAGCAATAGAACACAACAAGTAGAAGAAAGAACTTCAGAGCTTGAAGACAAGGCTTTCAAATTAATCTAATCCAACAAAGACAAAGAAACAGAATTTTATAAAAGAACAAGGTCTCCAAAAATTTTGGGATTATTTTAAACTACCAAACCTAAGAATTATTCATATACATATATATATTTATATATATACACACACACACCATGGACTGCTATTCAGCCATAAAAAGGAGCGACATAATGGCATTCACAGCAACCTGGATGGAATTGGAGATTATTATTATAAGTGAAGTAATTCAGGAATGGAAAAACCAAATATTGTATGTTCTCAATCATAACTGAGAACTAAGCTATGAGAACACAAATGCAGAAAAATAATACAATGGACTTTGGGGCTCAGGGGAAAGGATGAAGGGGGATGAAGGATAAAAGACTACACATTGGGTACAGTGTACACTGCTCATGTAAGGAGTGCACCAAGATCACAGAAATCATGACTAAGGAACTTACTCATGTAACCAATCACCACCAGTTCCCCCAAAACCTATTGAAATAAAGAATAAAAATTAAAAAAATATGACTTGCCATATGTGTGGGATTTTTTACTTAATAAAGTAAGAAAACGGTCTGTTAATTTTATCATTAATATTATTTATTATAATATACTTTATATTATAATAAATAGTAATTTATTTTAATTAGAACCAGATTATTTTACCATAACATCATTGAATACATTAGTTATGTTTAAACATCTCCAGGGATAGACATTAATTTGGCATGAATATTGACCCTAAATTAAGGAGTCTTGAAAAATTTTATTTGACGTATTTTCTCATAGATTAATAAGGAAATAATATTTCTTCATCATAAAGATGTGTAACCATACCAGTAGAAAAATGCTTTTTTATTGATTCTAAAATATTCAACTTTTACATACATAAAACAGCTATTTTGAGCAAGATATCTATCCATATTTTAGTGTAAATTTCAATTCAAAACTTATCAGGAGTCCCAGCAATATTACTACTCAGATTTTTGTTAATTACAGAAGGAAGAAAAAATCTATTAAGCAACAGCACAATAATAGACATCCCCCAAAATGACCATAATCCCCAAATTAAAAAGGATCCAGACAATTTTTAAGGTTATGGGAGAGTAACTTCAACATGGACAACACGCACCATATGCTTATTGCCTATTTTTAAATGTAGTTTATATATATATACACATATATATATTATATATACATATATATAATATATATACACATATATATATTATATATACATATATATAATATATACACAGATAATATATATACACATATATAATATATACACATATAATATATATACACATACATATTATATATATACATATATAATATATATACATGTAATATATACAAATATATAATATATATACATGTATTATATATATAATATATACATGTATTATATATATATACTATATATAATATATAATATATATACTATATATAATATATAATATATATACTATATATAATATATAATATATATACTATATATAATATATATATAATATATATACTATATATACTATATATAATATATATGTATATATATTATATATACGTATATATAATATATATACATATATATTATATATACGTATATAATATATATACATATATATTATATATACGTATATAATATATATACATATATATTATATATACGTATATAATATATATACATATATAAATATATACATATATAATATATATACATATATAAATATATACATATATAATATATATACATATATAAATATATACATATAAAATATATATACATATATAAATATATACATATAAAATATATATACATATATAAATATATACATATATAATAGATACATATATAATATATATATATAATACATATACATATATAATATACACATATAGTATATATACATATATAATATACACATATATTATATATACACACATATAATATATACACATATAATATATATACACATATAATATATACACATATATAATATATACATATATAATATATATACACATATATAATATATACGTATATAATATATATACACATATATGATATATATGTATATATCGTATATACGTATATGATATATACGTATATATCGTATATACGTATATACGATATATACGTATTAATAATACATATATATGATATATACGTATATATGATATATATGTATATATAATATATAATACATATATATTGTATATACATATATATACATTATATATATACTTTCAAGGAAGATATAAGTTAGGAAGGGCACATAAAATGTTTAAGTTAGTAACCATAAGCTCAAGTCATCAAGACATAAGCAAAATAATATTTAGACATGTATTTCATATGGAATGTACACAATTTAGTGAGATATAAGAAGATAATCTTAAATAGCATTATAAAAATAAATCTACTTTTTTTCCTTTTATAAGTTAAGTGATATATTCTTTAACAAAAACAACTTATATATCTTAGACAAGTTTTTGTGTGGTATTGCTCAATATGAATAGAAATAAAGTCAATTCCCTTATGACTGGGCTTTATGTCAAGGAAAGCAAAATTTTCCTCCCATATCAAGCATTTTAGCATCTCTTTTAGACAATATGCTCATCAGCATTATTTGGGGATAGAGATTATGTCTGCTCCTTGGAGTCAACTTCTTCCCTTTTATTCCAAGAGTTTCACTGATCCTGGGAAATCTAACATTAAGCAAAGATTGGAAAATAAGGAGATTAGTTTCTTATTTCTCCTTATCATGTTTTACTTTCCTAATACTTTATGTATTGCATCTCTTCTTCAAATGCTATAGATCGCTCCGCTATTTTAGAAAGTGATTTGACAGAAATCAAATTTTCTCTCATCATTTTGTATTAGCAGTGGCTTTCAGAATTAAATTATTTAAGAAAAAATCAAAGTTTCTTTAAACAATATATTGTCTAGACAAGAAAACCCTTAGTAAATTAGAAAAAATATCAAACTCCATTGAAAACATCATTTTCAGGCAACCCCAAATTTTTAAGTCATTCAAGTTTAATAATGTGTTCATCTAGAGATGAAAGCATATCTTTACCATTTATACAGGTGCTTTCTACTAAAATCGTCTTAAAATTCTTCTAAGTGAATTTCAGGTAATTTCTTCATTATGAGGTTCATTCATTTCTGAAAAACTGGAAGTTGCAATGAGAAAAGATTTTCATCATTTCTGAACTTGAAACTTCATTACACAAATATTGACACAGCAACCACCTTGTGACAGTTCTTGTTCTAGGCTACTATCTATCAGTGAAATAAAGGAGACAGAAATCTTTGCCCTCATAAAGCTTATATACTCTTATGATAAAAATTACTTCTTAAATGTAATATTAAGTATTAAAAATGTAATAATACTTTATTAATTATTGTATAAGGTTGATTCTGTTGTTATATTCTTCAACCATAAACTCTTTAATAACATTACACCTAAAAGTATGATCACAAACTATAAACTAGAGTCAATGTTTATACCTAATACAACTTTTGTGTGAAACAGCCCAACAGAAGACGCACAAAACACTTAATGAAAGCTATGTAATAACATCATGGTGGCTATCAACAAATAAGGGAACATTGTGGTGCAATGATTAAAATACAGTTATCAGTTATATACAATAACACCTTAGTGTTTGACTTGGGGCCCCTACAGTAGAGCCTCTATTTGGCTCTCACATAGCCAAAAACCTCCATATAAGATGAGCTCACAAGGTGGTGGGTTAACCAAAATTTATGCTCCCTTTACTAGACCAAAGTCCAAGTCCACAAGATGTAAGGATTCCTTTAAGACCCCCAAATTTTCTAATTCTGGTGTAGCCTTCTTCCTGGATCTGTCTTTCCATGACAGATTATAATACTGGTGCCTGTATTCCTAGTTCTGAGAGGTGAACAAAGAGTAAGTGTAGGCTGGGCGCGGTGGCTCAAGCCTGTAATCCCAGCACTTTGGGAGGCCAAGGCGGGCCGATCACAAGGTCAAGAGATCAAAACCATCCTGGCCAACATGGTGAAACCCCATCTCTGCTACAAATACAAAAAGTAGCTGGGCATGGGGGTGTGTGCCTGTAATCCCAGCTACTCGGGAGGCTGAGGCAACAGAATCTCTTGAACTGGGGTGGTGGAGGTTGGAGTGAGCCAAGATTGTGTCACTGCACTCCAGCCTGGCAACAGAGGGAGACTCTGCCTCAAAAAAAAAAAAAAAAAAAAAAAAAAAGTAAGTGTATGCAGGGAGTTTGAGTAAAAGTTGGTCAAATAGTATCCTGAGGTATTGACCTGCACAAGACACTTCTAGTGTATGATGAAACCATAATTGAGAACTCACAGACAAGATCTGGCTAAAGGACTAAAGCAGTGGCTAAATCTCTGTTAAACCATGTCCCCCCATGAAATTCTGAGGAGTTTGAGAATTTTAGATTTAATCCTGGCCTTCCAGGTTGTTATGAAGATATATTTGTCTATGTGGGATTGAAAATACACATTGTTTAATATTTTGTTCGTTTGATTTGTAATTTTCAAATATTTATTTAGTTAGTTATTTTTGCTTTGTTTTAAATTTATATATATTTTTTATTTTCAGTGATGTGGTCTCACTATGTTGCCCAGGCTGGCTTCAAACTCCTGGACTGGAGTGATCCACCCACCTTGGCCTCCCAAAGTGCTGGGTTTACAGGCGTGAGCCTGTAAGTCTCAAAGGGGAGACTCCCCTTAGTCTCAAAGGAGAGACTCCTTCAATTCTATAGAAAAAAACAACACTATAAACAAATAGATATTTTCTAGACAGATTCCCACTAACACCTTCTACAGCTTAGGGCAGGAGAAAAAAATCATAATTCATAAAACTAAAGATCATACTTTAGTATGTGCTTTTTTCAATGTTGATTTCACCCTCAGCACTTAAAAATAGCAGATAAAATTATTCTGTTGTGCCTTCCCATGCTTCCACATTTTCTAACCATCCCTGTTAAGCAGCTGAATCAGGATATCCATTCATGTCAACAAGATGTATACACATTTTTGTCTTCTTCCATTCCCCTTTTATCTGGGAAAACAGAACTCATGAGGTGCCAGGCAACAAACTCAAACACAAACTTTTACAACCTACAAGCCAATAGTAGTCAAATAGTTTACTGCCTATAATATTGTCCTTATAAAAATAAGTAAATATGAGAAATTATTTCTGCAAACATTGTAAGAATTTAAAAATATGCTATAATAAACTCATGGACATAAAAGAGTAGAAGGATGGTTACCAGAGGTTGGGAAGGGTAATAGGCAGGGAGGTGAGGGGAAGGTAGGATGGCTAATATGTACAAAAAAAAAAATTAGAAAGAATGAATAAGACCTAATAGTTGATAGCACAACAGGATGACTACAGTCAATAATAACTTAATTGTACATTTTTAAATAACTCAGAAAGTGGAATTGGATTGTTCATAATACAAAAAATAAATGCTTGAGAGGATGTGTACCCCATTCTCCATGATGTGATTATTTCACATTGCATTAGTGTGTTAAAACATCTCATTTACCCCATAAATACCTACACGTATTATGTACCCACAAAAATTAAAAATAAAAGATGCTACAATGCAAAAGATGGAAAATTCTCATATAACTCAAATAAAGAATACAGTGCAGAATATTCTAGAAAATTTCTCACTTATAGTCTAATAAAATAGAAGCTATTTACTTTTGTATCTAAGCATGCAGAGATAATCATAAGCATTAAAAAGTCAGGAAACAACAGGTGCTGGAGAGGATGTGGAGAAATAAGAACACTTTTACACTGTTGGTGGGACTGTAAACTAGTTCAAACATTGTGGAAGTCAGTGTGGAGATTCCTCAGGGATCTAGAACTAGAAATACCATTTGACCCAGCCATCCCATTACTGGGTATATACCCGAAGGATTATAAATCATACTGCTATAAAGACACATGCACATGTATGTTTATTGTGGCACTGTTCACAATAGCAAAGACTTGGAACCAACCCAAGTGTCCAACAATGATAGACTGGATTAAGAAAATGTGGCACATAGGCCGGGCGCGATGGCTCACGCCTGTAATCCCAGCACTTTGGGAGGCCGAGGCGGGCGGATCACGAGGTCAGGAGATCGAGACCATCCCGGCTAAAAACGGTGAAACCCCGTCTCTACTAAAAAATACAAAAAATTAGCCGGGCGTAGTGGCGGGCGCCTGTAGTCCCAGCTACTTGGGGGGCTGAGGCAGGAGAATGGCGTGAACCCGGGAGGCGGAGCTTGCAGTGAGCCGAGATCCCGCCACTGCACTCCAGCCTGGGCGACAGAGCGAGACTCCGTCTCAAAAAAAAAAAAAAAAAAAAAAAAAGAAAATGTGGCACATATACACCATGGAATACTATGCAGCCATAAAAATGATGAGTTCATGTCCTTTGCAGGGACATGGATGAAGCTGGAAACCATCATTCTCAGCAAACTATCTTAAGGACAAAAAACCAAACACCACATGTTCTCACTAATAGGTGGGAATTGAACAATAAGAACACATGGACACAGGAAGGGGAACGTCACACACCAGGGCCTGTTGTGGGGTGGGGGTAGGAGGGAGGGATAGCATTAGGAGATATACCTAATGCTAAATGACGAGTTAATGGGTGCAGCACACTAACATGGCACATATATACATATGTAACAAACCTGCACGTTGTGCACATGCACCCTAAAACTTAAAGTATAATAATAGTAAAATTAAAAAAAAAAGAATGAAATCATCTCAGACCAAATGGAGAGTAATACAATGCTAAGGAAATAAAAGCCATGACAGGGGCAGTTAAAAGCAGTTTACATACCATCCTCAGAAATACATTTGCGAAGAAGTAAACTTAAGAAATCCTCAAAAACTTAGACAAAAGGGCGTGGTGGTGCATGCCTGTAATCCCAGATACTCGGGAGGTTGAGGCATGAGAATCACTTGAACCCAGGAGGCGGAGTTTGCGGTGAGCTGAGATTGTGCCATTGCACTCCAGCCTGGGCAACAAGAGCGAAACTCCGTTTCAAAAAAAAAAAAAGGAAGATAAAATTTATAATAAAAGTAGAAAACAGAAAAGATCAGTAGACTGAAAGTTCTTTTTAAATAGTATATCTTTTTTATTTCTGAAATAGCACCCAAACTGTACCAAGCTCTGTACCAAACTCAGACAGAAGTTCTGATTAGGTTTGAACCAGCTCGGTGCAGGGTCAAACAATACTTCACCCTGAGTCTGCACCGCAAATATTTTACGTCTTTCCAGGACTTCTCAGATTGAATAGCGTGGAATGCCTGGAGGAAACTCACAGGGCACTCACGCATATGCAACCTTGAAATGTGGAGAGGTTAATGCTCATTGTGTTATCCTCAACTAGTGGAGAATGGGAGCCAAGAAATCAATGTTAAACTCTTTGATTCCCCAGATACATAGTTTTGAAACACATTCCATAAGGCTTTTCAGAATGTTTTGGGAGTTCCAACTTTGGTTGTCCATAGCACAGAGCGTATGGAGAATGCATTCTTGTACTGCCTTTTCTTCTCCATTCCTGTTCCACTGCTGTGGCTTTTACTCCCTGGAATCACTTCCCAAATAAATAGCCTGCTTGCAGATCTTTTTCTCAGGTGCTGCTTCCAGGGAGGTTCCGTTAGACCACAAATGTCACTAAAAAACTGACCTACAGAATGGAATTTAGGAAATGTATAATATACAGATGGCAACAATGTCCCCCATGCCATTAATAAATGAGGGTCGTGATAACCCCTGATATGAAAAAGCATCAAAAAAAAGCATCACTATAAGCTCTGACGGAAGAGTGCTGTAGCACTTAAATAGTAAAGACACAATGATGAATAGAAACCGTATGGAGATTGTTGGCCTTTATTACCTGCTTTAACCTCCCCTCACCCCACAAATAAAAGAATGAAATAGGTTAGCCAAATTTCAATTATACTAACAACATTATGCTAATTCAACTTGTCAAAAAATGAAAAAAAAAATAGGTGCCCTAGATGGTCAAGTAAGATGGATGCATGTCTGATGATGGGACGTAGACCTCAATGAAGTTTCAGGGTTTTCCTTCTGGGTAGAATGTTTAGGAGTCCAGCAGTATGGAGCATTCTGGAATGTCTACCACCATTGGGGCATATAGTTTTCACCTCCAACTTAGAAAGAGATACAATACATAGTGTATCTCTTTGGAATTTATAACACCATATTCTGTGTAGGAAAACAATTTTTTTAAACATATTCATTGGTGATTCAGAAAAATTCCTGTTTTAAGTGGGGTCCAGAGTAAGCAAGAGTGCTGTAGCAAATTGGTACTTTGGCCATGTGACCCAGTAAATATCACAGTGCTATAGGTATTCATGATGAATAAGAATCCTGTGTAATATATCTCGTAAGTCCCAACTGGAAAATCCCAGAGCTCACACATTGAGTTCTGGATCAAGGTCTTCTACAGCGGAAAACTACTTTATTTTAAAACAACAATAAGAAAAGTTCCTGTTATAGGATCAAGTAGAGTCTGAGATCCTGACCATGAGAACACTGTGCAAGCAAGGGTCTTCACGTTCAGCGATAACTAGAGCCAGACATTCAAACAATACTGCAGTACTTTCTTATATGGTGAAAAAAGTTCAGCCTCTTTTGGCACCTACGACATTTGCACTGAAAATTGTCTTCCTGCATCTATGGTAACATTGATGAACAAAGAAAAATATGTCAGGTGTAGTTTACAAATGTATTACACAGTATGTTGGTATTATCTACAAATAAATTGTTACCATGCTATTGTCACATTCAGCAATGGGCCTATAAATTATCCCAGGAGTCAAAGAGATATTTTACTAGGAATCAGAAGTTTGAGTAGTACAGTTGATTATTTATTTTGTATAGAGGCAGTAATTACCTGAGTTATAGATATCCACAAACTTGAGGCCACAAATTGTTTGGATAGCTATTAGGGGATCTGTAAGGAACCCAATTTAAAGTTGGAAACAAAGAGTCTGGGAAACAGATATGTAGATGAGCTAATGGGCATTATTACAAAGCCTACAGAAATCAGAAGAAGCACTCAACAATTAACAGTCCAGCTGTTCTCCCTACAGTTGTCAAACAGCCTCTCTATCCACACCATTATTAGCATGGCCATGGTGGTACGGGTAGAGGATATGCATGGGCATAATGGCCCAGGTTTCCTATTTCCAGTTTGATCTACAAATTGCCGCCATTTAATTGTCCGCTGGTTACAAAAGACACTGATAAAAAAAGAAAAAATCCTCATGAATTTGCTTCCACCAAGGGACATAGTGAAGGTTTTCTAAACTTGAAGTCACAACTACTCTCTAAACAATTTGGGTTTATTATGCCCATACAGAGAGTCTTACAGAACACTAGCAAAGTCGTGGGTAGTAGAGGAGGGGTCACAGAAGATTCTAATTAATTTTTTTTCAGAAAGACAATATAACTGCAACAGAAATATGTGTTTACATTCATATTGACTTCGTAAATATATCTATGTGTGTATGCATATACACACATATATAATACTTAATATTCAAATTATATGTATAATATTGATATTCAAATTAGCAAAAGAAAATTTTTGTTACCCACTAGGCAGGAAAGGTGAAAGTTGAACAAAATAAAATGAAAAAATCATATGTAAAATTTTAAAAAAACTATTAGAAAAGTGAAAACAGAAATAAATATATCAGGAAATAAGAATCCCAAATATCAAATTACCAAATAGTCAATAAATATTATTCCAGTGTTAATTACAAACATGGTCATGAACAGATTCTTAGTGATGCAGTTCATAACCTCCTTTTAGGAAGAAATTGTCATTCATGATGAAATGCTTAAGAAATTTTTATATCATCTTTAAAGAAATTAAGACCTTCTCTGGGAAACTAACTACTCACCTACTTAACTTAATGATAGTTAAAATTCTAATAATTTTTAGCCAGTATCCTTTCTGTTTGCACTCAGTCTATAAGTGATTATACATCAACACTCTTTTCACATAAAAAACTATAAAAATAAATTACGTAAGTGGCATGCTAGAAATTTCTTTCATAGAATATTAAAACTAAAATGTTGGCATATGGTCAAAACTAATTTGAGGGGAACATTTTAACTTTCAGAATAGTAATTTCAGTTTATTTATATTTAAATTCTCCATAGCATAAAGACCCTCAAATTAGATTTATTAATATAAGTGGCCTGTCTCACAAGAAATTCGATAAAATAAATTTTAAAATTAACATAAATGTATTTACATTGTGCCTTATTCATACTTATCAAGAAACACCATCCGTTATTACTAATATCTACTTGTGCTACCTTAGAATATCCCATATATACATATGTAAACTCTATATAAATATTCTATATTTACTTATATGTATATATGAAATATGAATTATGAAATGTGAAATTCCATATGAAATATGAAATTCCATATATGTATTTATGGAATTTATATTTATATATATTTCAATATAAATATATTTATATTGAAATAAATCTATTTCAATAATATATACATATTTGTATCTCATTTACATGTTGTCTTGTTAAATTCAGCTTATCATTCTAGCTAAAAAGATAGTTTACTGCCTACATCAGTCGTTTAACCAATTACTTCTCCTTGCACCTTTGTATAACATGCAGATTTGATGAAATCTGCAGCAATTCCATTTATGAGGATGCTGCAATAGGTAAGAATAAGGATAACACACCAAAAGAGATTTTTCTCCAATCAGTACTATAGCACATTAACTTAAAACAACTTAACTAAACGTTATTCCACTAACCTGATTGAATGGCTTTCTAAGTGTTTCTGCAAGAGTGTTGGAGGATTTAAAAAGGAAGAAATATAAATATTTTTGAAAACCGTATTTCTTTCTGCTAGTCAAAGAGTTTCTAGACCAACTTTTCTCTAAGTCACTGTTCATACAACACAGTTGATATTGAAAGTCTTAGAGTTATGTCATGCAGAACAGGTAAACAGAGATGTAATTGTGGAAAATCTTTCTGTGCATTACATAAATACAGAGCATCTAATGCTGCTGGCATCATTCCATGTAATGTAAAGGAAGGATTTAACATTTGACTTGCTCATTTTATCTGAACAATTCAAAGTAAGAAATTGGTTCTCATTTCATATAAATAAATGATACCATCGCAAATGTCAATACTGGGAAAGTTTCTACCTGTCGCGTGCTGAGAAACTTGACTACAGCCTAGGGCAACAAGGAAGAAGTTCAGGGGTAACACTGTTGGGAATTTCCATCCAGCAATTTGTTGTCAAATGCATGGATGTGAGGCCCCAAATGGCTCCAAAACTGCTTGCTCCAATGACAAGAGCAACAAAGCGCTCATTTCCAATTACCAAGGGGCTTTAAACTGTAAACTGTATTCCACTTCTGTCAGCTGCTCAGAAACCTGGAAAGGGAAATCAGCACATTTCAAAACTAAATTGTCCAACGCTGTTGCATATGTTTATGTAGCATTCTGGTCAGTGTACCTTTGGTGAATAAAATGTTAATGGAGCATGTTTGGAATACTGTTCCTTGTGTGATGGATTTTGCTTAGAATAGTAAAATTGTCTTTTCTGAAATGAAACATTGTATTTGAGGAAATTTAAGTATTATATAAGCAAGATTATCCCAACATATTTTAAAAACCTTAACACTAAAATACACTTTAACTTGATGACCTGAGAATCATTCCGGTTTCAGACTTTCATCTTTTATTAGTTTTTCATGTTTTTAAACCTTAAGATAGGTATATAATCCAAGTGAGATTAGAAAGAGTTGACAACATTGCAAAGAAAAACAAAAGTTTACATGTTATGTGAAGACTGTTGACATCACTTTCTCTGGAGAATTTTCCACAGATACTCCCATCTGCTCTCCAAACATCTATGGGCCCATCATTTCCTACTCATTCCATACAAGAAAGCTTCTCACTTAGAAACGAACTCACTTAAATTATTTGCCTAATCTCTACAAGTATTTGGATCAGTGACCCTATACAATCCCCTTCGTTCTTCAAGCTAAATTTTGAGGTTTCTTTCTATCTCTTCTTACAGGTGCAAAAGTATAAACAAGAAACAACATCATGAGTCTCATAGTAATAGGAAATAAACATGTCAAATATTTTATTTAATTTATTAATTAATAAGGAAAGCAGTAAGTTGTGATGACCAGCTCAAAGACCATTTTAGAAACTTGGGTATATATAAGGTGATACCACTGCCACCTTTGATAAAAAACAAAAACCAGTTGATGCCCATTTGGACCATAAATTTATATGTCCACAAAAAGCAACTATTTACATCTCTAATGGACAAAATCTACATTAGCATAGAACATTACCAAATCTAGGATTTTGAATCAAGAGTTAATACATTTTACTAAAAAAAAAACACCAAGAATCCTAGTAAATCTTGCTCCATACCACATGTGATATTGAAAGAATATGCTGCTCACCTATTTGCTCTATTTCTAGGATTTGGACAATTTTTCTGATAACAATGAGGAAGCTGATTTTCAGGGAATGCACTATTCAAGAGGGGGAAAACATTATAATTACTGTATTTTTTGGCTTCAATTTCTGTGCCCTTGCCAGTATACAAAGCTGAACACTGAGCTATTTTTCAGTGGAAGACAAAGGTTTGAATAAGGTTTCCAAGTAGAAAGGAAATGTTTGCAAGGTAATTTCTTAAAAATTAAAATCCTCCTTGTTATAACCATCTTTGCAAAATGTCTTTTTAAAAAAAAAATCCTTTTCCAAGATTTCATGTGGGATATCACATTACATTTACTCCTCATGTCTTTTTAGACTCCTTGGCTGAGAGTTTCTCAGGATTGTCTTGTTTTTGATGATCTTGATAGTTTTGAAAAGCACTATTCAGCTGTATTGTAAAAATCTATCGAGATTTACCTAATATTTTTCTCATGATTAGAGAGTAGTTACGGGTTTTGGGGAGGGAAACAACAGAGGTTAAGTACCATCCTCTTCAAATCATATCAAAGATTGCTGTTGACCTTGATCACCTGGCTGAGGTAGTACTTGTCAGGTTTCACTACTTTAATGTTACTCCTTTTCCCCTATTTTTTATGATGTATTCTTTGGAAAGAAGTCACTATTTTCGGCCAACACCTAAGGAGTGGGAGTTTTCTCCACCTCCTTGACAACAAAGTATCTATAGAGTTTATTCAGAATTATTTTGCAGGATAAAATTTGCCTATCCCCCTTACATGTATTTATTTATTCAATAATTTATTTACTTAAGTATGAACTTGTGTATATTTGTTTTTACTTTGGGTTATAGTCCAATGATAATTTACTTTTTTGTTTATTTTTCCCCAGCTTTGGCCATTGGGAACATTTTCACTTGATTCTTATGCCCCGTTGACATAACCTCATCAATATTTGTTTGACTATATCCTTACTTCTTGGTACCACAAGATGCTCCGTATTCATCTTGTAGATTTCTTGCCCCAACCTAGATTTAGTCATTTCTCCAAAGAGCTCTGATGTTATTGGATAATGGTATTAGAAACCAAGATCTGAAGCTAGATGACCTAGCTGTTACTGTGGTGCCATTTCATTTAGGCCCTCTTGACTTACAGAGCAAGAAAATATCTGTGTGAATACTAATCTACACATGTTTTTATAGGTAACATCTGTATTTATATTAAGCTAATTATGAGTTTATACTGATGTCTTCAACACTAACTTATTATCACAAGAATCATTCTAGCCTGGTCCCTTTGCTTATCTGTAAATTTCCAGTACAGCAATGAGAAATCTGATCCCCATTATTTGTTATACATTTTTAATTGTTCATTTCTGGTATGCATGAAGACCAGTATCAATACTGTTAACCCAAACATCCTTGTGGTATGGCTTTATCGATTGGGGTAAAATGTTATGTACAGTTCCATTTGCCTTTAGCTTTATGGGCTATATTCATTTCCAAAATTACTCTTTTCCTCTGTCCCCTTAAGTAAGGTAATTTCATATATTTATAGTTACAATTAGATATTTTGTCACAAGTTGAAATCCATTTTGAAATTCCTCATTCCCAAAAAATGACTTTTGAAATTTACATATTTTTAAGGTTTACTCTTTCTGATATAAAGTTCAATGAGTTTTGGCAAATATATTGCATCACATTTCACCACTGCAGTATCATACAGAAGAATTTCATCATCCTAACAACCTCAGGAGCTTCACCTGTTTACTGCCAAACTGCCAGCAATCACTAATCTCATTACTATCTTAATAGTTTTGGCTTTTTCAGAATGTCTTGTGATTGGAATCATACAGTATTTATCCTTGGCAGACTGGCCTCCTTTATTATGCAATATGCATTTAAGATCCATTCACGTCTTTTTGAAGGCACAATAGCTTGTTTTTTTATCACTGAATAATATTCAATTTTATGGATGTACCACAGTTTGTTTATCTATTCTCATATTAAAAAACACATTGTCAGGGGTGGTTCCAAGATGGCCGAATAGGAACAGCTCCAGTCTATAGCTCCCAGCATGAGCGACACAGAAGACGGGTGATTTCTGCATTTCCAACTGAGGTACTGGGTTCATCTCACTGGGGCTTGTTGGACAGTGGGGGTAGGACAGTGGGTGCAGCCCACTGAGCTTGAGCTGAAGCAGGGCAAGGCATTGCCTCACCTGGGAAGTGCAAGAAGTCAGGGAATTCCGTTTCCTAGCCAAGGGAAGCGGTGACAGAGAGCACTGGAAAATCAGGTCACTCACACCCTAATATTGCACTTTTCCAATGGTCTTAGCAAACAGCACACCAGGAGATTATATCCTGCAGCTGGCTTGGAGGGTCCCACACCCATGGAGCCTCACTCATTGCTAGCACAGCAGTCGGAGATTGAACTGCAAGGCAGCAGCGAGGCTGGGGGAGGGGCACCCACCATTGCTGACTCTTGAGTAGGTAAACAAAGTGGCAGGGAAGCTCGAACTGGGTGGAGCCCACCACAGCACAAGGAGGCTTGTCTGCCTCTGTAGACTCCACCTCTGGAGGCAGGACATAGATGAACAAAAGGCAGCAGAAACCTCTGCAGACTTAAATGTCCCTGTCTGACAGCTTGGAAGAGGGTAGTGGTTCTCCCAGCACGGTGTTTGAGATCTGAGAACAGACAGACTGCTTCCTCAAGTGGGTCCCTGACCCCTGAGTAGCCTAACTGGGAGGCATCCCCCAGTAGGGGCAGACTGACACCTCACATGACCGGGTACCCCTCTGAGAAGTTTCCAGAGGAGGAATCAAGCAGCAACATTTGCTGTTCAGCAATATTCGCTGTTCTGCAGCCTCTGCTGCTGATACCCAGGCAAACAGCGTCTGGAGTGGACCTCCAGCAAACTCCAACAGATTTGCAGCTGAGAGTCCTGACAGTTAGAAGGAAAACTAACAAACAGAAGGGACATCGACACCAAAACCGCATCTATACATCACCATCATCAAAGACCAAACTAAGCTTCATAAGTGAAGGAGAAATAAAATCCTTTACAGACAAGCAAATGCTGACAGATTTTGTCACTGCCAGGCCTGCCCTAAAAGAGCTCCTGAAGGAGGCACTAAACATGGAAAGGAACAACTGGTATCAGCCACTGCAAAAACATGCCAAATTGTAAAGACCATCAATGCTAGGAAGAAACTGCATCAACTAATGAGCAAAATAACCAGCTAATATCATAAAGACAGGATCAAATTCACACATAATAATATTAACCTTACATGTAAATGGGCTAAATGCTCCAATTAAAAGATGCAGACTGGCAAATAGGATAGTCAAGACCCATCAGTGTGCTGTATTCAGGAGACCCATCTCACGTGCAGAGACACACATAGGCTCAAAATAAAGGGATGGAGGAAGATCTACCGAGCAAATGGAAAACAAAAAAAGGCATGGGTTGCAATCCTAGTCTCTGATAAAACAGACTTTAAACCAAACAAAGATCAAAAGAGACAAAGAAGGCCATTACATAATGGCAAAGGGATCAATTCAACAAGAAGAGCTAACTATCCTAAATATATATGCACCCAATACAGGAGCACCCAGATTCATAAAACAAGTCCTTGGAGACCTACAAAGAGACTTAGACTCCCACACAATAACAATGGGAGACTTTAACACCCCACTGTCAACATTAGACAGATCAACAAGACAGAAAGTTAACAAGGATACCCAGGAATTGAACTCAGCTCTGCACCATGCAGACCTAATAGACATCTACAGAACTCTCCACCCCAAATCAACAGAATATACATTCTTCTCAGCACCACACTGCACTTATTACAAAATTGGCCACATAGTTGGAAGTAAAGCACTCCTCAGCAAATGTAAAAGAACAGAAATTATAACAAACTGTCTCTCAGACTAAAGTGCAATCAAACTAGAACTCAGGATTAAGAAACTCACTCAAAACTGCTCAACTACACGGAAACTGAACAACGTGCTCCTGAATGACTACTGGGAACATAATGAAATGAAGGCAGAAATAAAGATGTTCTTTGAAACCAATGAGAACAAAGATACAACATATCAGAATCTCTGGGACACATTTAAAGCAGTGTGCAGAGGGAAATTTATAGCACTAAATGTCCACAAGAGAAAGCAGGAAAGATCTAAAATTGATACCCTAACACCACAATTAAAAGAACTAGAGAAGCAAGAGCAAACACATTCAAAAGCTAGCAGAAGGCAACAAATAACTAAGATCAGAGCAGAACTGAAGGAGCTAGAGACACAAAAAACCCTTCAAAAAAATCAATGAATCCAGGAGCTGGTTTTTTGAAAAGATCAACAAAATTGATAGACCACTAGCAAGACTAATAAAGAAGAAAAGAGAGAAGAATCAAATAGACACAATAAAAAAAATGATAACAGGGATATCATCACCGATCCCACAGAAATACAAACTACCATCAGAGAATACTATAAACACCTCTATGCAAATAAACTAGAAAATCTAGAAGAAATGGATAAATTCCTGGACACATACACCCTCCCAAGACTAAACCAGGAAGAAATTAAATCCCTGAATAGACCACTAACAGGCTCTGAAATTGAGGCAATACTTAATAGCTTACCAACCAAAAAAAGTCCAGGACCAGACAGATTCACAGCCGAATTCTACCAGAAGTACAAGGAGGAGCTGGTGCCATTCCTTCTGAAACTATTCCAATGAGTAGAAAAAGAGGAAATCCTCTCTAACTCATTTTATGAGGCCAGCATCATCCTGATACCAAAGCCTGGCAGACACACAACAAAAAAAGAGAATTTTAGACCAATATCCCTGATGAACATATATGCAAATATCCTCATTAAAATACTGGCAAAACAAATGCAGCAAGACATGAAAAAGCTTATCCACCATGACCAAGTGGGCTTCATCCCTGGGATGCAAGGCTGGTTCAACATATGCAAATCAATAAATGTAAACCAGCATATAAACAGAACCAAAGACAAAAAACACATGATTATCTCAATAGATGCAGAAAAGGCCTTTGACAAAATCCAACAGCCCTTCATGCTAGAAACTGTCAATAAATTAGGTATTGATGGGATGTATTTCAAAATAATAAGTGCTATTTATGACAAACCCACAGCCAATATCATACTGAATGGGCGAAAACTGGAAGCATTCCCTTTGAAAACTGGCACAAGAGAGGGATGCCCTCTCTCACCACTCATATACAACATAGTGTTGGAAGTTCTGGCCAGGGCAATCAGGCAGGAGAGAGAAATAAAGGGTTTTCAATTAGGAAAAGAGGAAGTCAAATTGTCCCTCTTTGCAGATGACATAATTGTATATTCAGAAAACCCCGTTGTCTCAGCCCAAAATCTCCTTAAGCTGATAAGTAAATTCAGCAAAGTCTCAGGACACAAAATCAATGTGCAAAAATCGCAAGCATTCTTATACACCAATAACAGACAAACAGAGAGCCAAATCACGAGTGAACTCCTATTCACAATTGCTTCAAAGAGAATAAAATACCTAGGAATCCAACTTACAAGGGATGTGAAGGACCTCTTCAAGGAGAACTACAAACCATTGCTCAACAAAATAAAAGCGAACACAAACAAATGGAAGAACATTCCATGCTCATGGATAGGAAGAATCAATATCATGAAAATGGCCATACAGCCCAAGGTAATTTATAGATTCAATGCCATCCCCTCAAGCTACCAATGACTTTCTTCACAGAATTGGAAAAAACTACTTTAAAGTTCATATGGAGTCAAAAAAGAGCCCACATTGCCAAGACAATCCTAAGCCAAAAGAACAAAGCTGGAAGCATCACACTACCTGACTTCAAACTATACTACAAGGCCCAAACTACATGGTACTGGTACCAAAACAGAGATATAGACCAATGGAACAGAACGGAGTCCTCAGAAATAATACCACACATCTACAGCCTTTGACAAACCTGTCAAAAATAAGAAATGGGGAAAGGATTCCCTATTTAATAAATGGTGTTGGGAAAACTGGCTAGCCATATCTAGAAAGCTGAAACTGGATCCCTTCCTTACACCTTATACAAAAATTAATTCAAGATGGATTAAAGACTTAAATGTTAGACCAAAAAGCATAAAAACCCTAGAAGAAAACCTAGGCAATACCATTCAGGACATAGGCATGGGCAAGGACTTCATGTCTAAAACACCAAAAGCAATGGCAACAAAAGCCAAAATTGACAAATGGGATCTAATTAAACTAAAGAGCTTCTCCACAGCAAAAGAAACTACCATCAGAGTCAACAGGCAACCTACAAAATGGGAGAAAAATTTTGCAATCTACTCATCTGACAAAGGTCTAATATCCAGAATCTACAAAGAACTTAAACAAACTTACAAGAAAAAAACAAACAACCCCATTGAAAAGTGGGCAAAGGTTATGAACAGACACTTCTCAAAAAAAGACATTTATGCAGCCAACAGACACATGAAAAAATGCTCATCCTCACTGGCCATCAGAGAAATGCAAATCAAAACCACAATGAGATACCATCTCACACCACTTAGAATGGCGATCATTAAAAAGTCAGGAAACAACAGGTGCTGGAGAGGATGTGGAGAAATAGGAACACTTTTACACTGTTAGTGGGACTGTAAACTAGTTCAACCATTGTGGAAGACAGTGTGGCGATTCCTCAAGGGTCTAGAACTAGAAATACCATTTGATCCAGCCATCCCATTACTGGGTATATACCCAAAGGATTATAAATCATGCTATAAAGACACATGCACACATATGTTTATTGCAGCACTATTCACAATAGCAAAGACTTGGAACCAACCCAAATGTCCATCAATGATAGACTGAATTAAGAAAATGTGGCACATATACACCATATAATACTATGCAGCCATAAAAAAGGATGAGTTTCTGTCCTTTGTAGGGACATGGATGAAGCTGGAAACCATCATTCTCAGCAAACTATCTCAAGGACAAAAAACCAAACACTGAATGTTCTCACTCATAGGTGGGAATAGAACAGTGAGAACACCTGGACACAGGAAGGGGAACATCACATACTAGGGCCTGTTGTGGGGTTGGGGGAGGTGGGAGGGGTAGCATTAGGAGATATACCTAATGCTAAATGACGAGTTAATGTGTGCAGTACACTAACATGGCACATGTGTACATATGTAACAAACCTGCACGTTGTGCACATGTACCCTAGAACTTAAAGTATAATAATAAAAAAAAGAAATGTTCATAGAAGTAATAAACTGCCATACTTTCCTTTAGAAAGGGCCATATTGGGGGAAACCAGGCCCTGATATTCAATGTGGGTCCTTTTCTGTTTTCCCTAGGTGTCATCTGGTCTGAGAAACAAAGGGAAAGAGTACAAAAGAGAGAACGTTTAAAGCTGGGTGTCCGGGGGAGACATCACATGTCAGCAGTTTCCGTGATGCCCCCCAAGCCGCAAAACCAGCAAGTTTTTATTAGTGATTTTCAAAAGAGGAGGGAGTGTATGAATAGGGTGTAGGTCACAGAGATCACATGCTTTACAAGGTAATAAAATATCACAAGGCAAATGGAGGTACCGGGCATGCATTGTCATTGATTTTTGGGCATGCGTTGTCATTGGTAACATCTTATCAGGAGACAGGGTTTGAGAGCAGATGGCCCGTCTGACCAAAATTTATTAGGTGGGAATTTCCTTGTCCTAATAAGCCTGGGAGTGCTTCGGGAGACCAGGGCTTATTTCATCCCTTATCTACAACCATAAAAGACAGACGTTCCCAACGTGGCCATTTTAGATACCTCCCCTTGGGAACACATTCTCTTTCTTAGGGATGTTCCTTGTTGAGAAAAAGAATTCAGCCATATTTCTCCTATTTGATTTTGAAAGAAGAGAAATATGGCTCTGTTTCACCTGGTGCTCAGGCAGCCAGACTTAATGGTTATCTCCCTTATTCCCTGAACATCGCTGTTATCCTGTTCTTTTTTCAAGGTGCTCCAATTTCATATTTAAAAAAATTGTGCAGTTAACGCAATCATCACAGGGTCCTGAGGCGACATTCATCCTCAGCTTAGGAAGATGATGGGATTAATAGATTAAAGTAAAGACAAGCATAGGAAATCACAAGAGTACTGATTGGGGAAGTGTTGGGAGCAAGCTCCCCAAAATCTGGCCATAAACTGGCCCCAACACTGGCTATAAACAAATCTCTGCAGCACTGCGACATGTCCATAATGGCCCTAACACCCAAGCTGGAAGATTGTGGGTTTACGGGAATGAGGGCAAGGACCACCTGGCCCACCCAGGGCAGAAAACTGCTTAAAGGCATTCTTAAGCCACAAACAAAAGCCTGAGTGATCTGTGTCTTAAGGGCATGTTCTTGCTGCAGTTAGATAAGCCTAACCTATTCAATTAATTCGGCCCATCCCTTCGCTTCCCATAAGGGATACTTTTAGTTAATTTAACATCTATAGAAAGGATGCTAATGACTGGTTTGCTGTTAATAAATAAGTGGGTAAATCTCTGTTCGGGGCTCTCAGCTCTGAAGTCTGGGAGACCCCTGATTTCCCACTTCACACTTCTTTATTTCTGTGTGTGTGTCTTTAATTCCTCTAGCACTGCTGGGTTAGGGTCTCCCTGACTGAGCTGGTCTCAGCAGGGAAGTGATAAGTGTCCATGAAATCTTCACAGTTTATGTTTAGAGATTGCAGTAAAGACAGGTGTATGAAATTATAAAAGTATTAGTTGGGGGAACTAATAAATGTCCATGAAATCTTCACAATTTATGTTCTTCTGCCATGGCTTCAGCCGGTCCCTCCATTCGGGGTCCCTGACTTCCCACAACATCTCTCCCTTTCTTTTTATATAAGTGTGCCATGGTGATGAAGGCTTGTTCGTTCTCTCGATTTTGACACAGGATTCTTTGACTGGTCCGGCACACTAAAAAGAAGCTGATTAAACAGAGAAACATAATTCCAAAATTTACTACAGTGGAGCCCCCAGTAGGCTTAATCCAAGTCGGGGGTTTAGTCCATAAAGATTTTCTGCCACCTGATCTAATGCCTCAGCTCCAGGCACAATGGATAAGTGAGCTTGAGAGGCTTCAAAAATTTGTTTCTTTAATTTAGTTATGTCCAATGATAAATTATCTTCCCTACGCAGAAGGTGTCCTTTGACCACTTCCCATGAATGATCAGTCTCATTATAGGACTATGGGGTGATACAGAAATCCGAAGTATTCCAATCGCATTGCATTTGCATGTGATATTTGAGACTTATTACCCAATCTCCACGGCAAATAACGGACTGTCTTAAATCATTAATTTGATTAGCCAATTTTTGATCAATGCCTTGTTGAGAATTCTACATTTGGGTGGAATTGGCTTGCCAATCATTAACAAAATGAGCCGTTTGAATAGATTGATGTAACACCATTCCAGTGGTGGCCATTGCAGTGACTGTTATTAGGCCCATGATCACAGTGATTAAAGTGAAAACAAATCTCTTAGATCTTTTTAGAATTCACTGTAACACTTCATTAATTAAATGTATTGAGGGGGAGGATTCCCAAGGTCTGAGCAAAGTTACCAGAATCCAGGTTCTTTCTTGAGCTCGAACAAACATTACACTTTTTCTGGAGTCAAAATGGGAGTTAATACAAGTGTATAAATGACAATTAATGAATTGGACAGTTTGATTGTTCATCCAAATTTTGATATTTCCCACTAACAGCATGTAAGGAGGCTTACCACAACTCTGTATGGGAACCATCAGGTTGGAGGTAAGTAAAGCAGAATGTCTGGATCTACGTTGATACTGAGAGAGGGGGACGGTAGAGGGGACAACAGACAGAATAGTTTCCCCTTCCCATACTCGCAGTCCAGACATGGCAGTAGCCAATTTCCAAAGTTCTGGGTGTTCTGGGCTCAGAATGGGGAGTATCATATGAGGCCTTGGGGGGTGGGGGCGGATAATGCCTTTATCTTCCCATTTTAAAGGAAAGAATGAGCTGAACCTTCTATGCAAAGTAGAATGATGATTCTCATTCTCCTGTTAAGAAACAAAATAAGTAGCCTCCATGCATTCCTTTCTGCCAGAGGAGCAATTGTTTCTTAAATAGCCCTTTGGTGCCCAGTCTATTATTAAACCATATGAGTCATTTTTTAATATTACTGAGTGTGAGTCAATACAGTCTTCCCAAATTAAAGTTTTAGATGGGTCATCAAAATTTTTAGGGGATGGTTTTCCTGCAGGTTTATGTTGAAAGTATGGGGTATCTCCCATTACTCCCCCTTTCATTTGTTTTAAAGGAGAAAGGGAGAGGCCAGAGACCAAATGTCCCTGTTCCTCTGTAGCTGATCTCTCCAGAAGATAAGCAGCCCAGACTTGAGTTTCTAGATTTATACAACCAGGTGAATGTCCAAGGCACAGAGGGGGGTATTTACAACCCATGGTAACATTAAATGCAGTGCCTTCTTCTCCCAGTTGAGCAGGGCAATGGTCATCTGTAGCTCCAGGCATCCACACACTATTGTTAGTGTAGATGTCTCAGGAGCATCTATCCAGGTGAGAGGTTGAATAAGTGGAGGAAAAGGCACATAAACCCAATAAGAATAATTTTTTGTAGCAGGTAAATCAGTGGGAAACTGGTGAGACAGAAAGTATAAGGAGGAGAATCATTAAATAAAACCTATTGTGAGATTCAGTGCTGAAGGAGGAAGAGAAGAATAGAGGGATGTTATTTTCAGGCGAATAGAAATGGTGAGATTTTTAGGTTTGTAAGGAGAAAAAGAAAGGTAATCAGGAGAAGTGGGATTAGTTAGATGGTTCTCCATTGCCATCAGGGAGGATTGAATCAGAACCCTTGTGATTTGGTGTGCGTGCTTCTGAGGAGTTAGCAGATCTCACCCCATCTGAGGGCTGTCTCTGACACGGACGTCTTTTCCCGTGGTTTTCGTTGTCAGTATTCACCCGAAGCTTGAGTCTCCTGATGGGTACTCAGACAGGGAATTGATGATCTCCTGGTGAAACATGAGCATATCCTCTTCCCTACTTATAATTGTGCCAGGTTCCCAGGTATTAGTTTGGGTGTTTTTCCATAACACTGGCTTGCCTTCGTTTAGGGAGAATTTTTTGCCTGTATAATGGCATTCGGCTGCAGTTAGATTATTATCTTTAGGAACATTTAAACAATTTAATGTAAACCATGCCAAATGTAATTGGGAGTGGGGGGTAGTTAAATTATGTTTTTGTTGTTCAGACTGTTTGGACAATTGCGTTTTTAAAGTGTGATTGGCCTGTTCCACCACAGCCTGTCCCTGAGGATTATAAGGGATTCCAATAACATGGGAAATTCCCCACTGTTGCATAAATAAATCAAAAGCCTTACTAACATATCCAGGGGCGTTGTCTGTCTTTATTTGATATGGAAGCCCTGTAACTGCAAAGCAAGAATACAGATGTTTTTTAATATGGGCCCTGCCTTCCCCTGTTTGGTAAGTAGCCCAGATAAAACCTGAGAAGTTATCTACAGAAACATGCACATATGACAGTCTGCCAAAGGACCTAACATGAGTCACATCAATTTGCCATAAAACATTAGGAGTTAGGCCTCTGGGATTAACATCAGGTTCCTGATTTGGAAGTATGAAGACCTGACACTGAGGGCAGCTGTGAACAATAAACTTAGCCTGTTTCCAGGTAAGAGCAAATTTATCTTTTAATCCAGCGGCATTGACATGAGTGAAATTATGGAACTCCTGACCTTCTTGGGTTGCAAAAGAGACCAAACTGTCAACTTTATGGTTACCGACAGACGTGGGTCCTGGTAAAGTGGTATGAGATCTAATATGTGTAATATAGAAAGGGTGTCTACGTTGGTGAACCGCCTGTTGTAACCTTGAAAATAAAGAAGGTAATTCAGAATTATCAATATGCTTGATAGTAGCAGTTTCTGTATTTTCAGTGGCATGTTCAACATAAGCAGAATCAGAGAAAATATTTAAAGGTTTGGGGAAATCCTGTAAGGCAGTAATCATAGCAATTAACTCTGCCTTTTGAGCAGAGGTATAAGAGGTAGAAATAAGCTTGTCTGTAGGACCTACATAACCAGGATTGCCATTACTGGAGCCATCAGTGAACACTGTAACAGCCTCAGGAATGGGCTGATCTTTGGTTAATTGAGGGACCACCCAAGATGTCATTTTTATAAAATCAAACAATTTGTTTTTTGGATAATGACTGTCAATAACACCAATGAAATCAGCCAATTTCATTAATGAAATCAGCCAATACGGAATGTTGAAAGGCGGCTTGAACATGGAGCCGATCTAAAGGAACTACAATTAAATTCAGATCAAATCTGGAAATTTGAAGTATTCTACACTGAGCTTGCCCAGTTAAGATGGCTATTTGGTCCAGATAAACAGACAAAGTTTTTGACACAGAATGAGGAAGAAAACACCACTCCACTAAATCATTATGTTGAACTATTAGTCCAGTAGGGGAGTGTAATGAAGCGAAAACCAGAAGCTGAAAAGGCTGAAACCGTTGTACTCTAGATAACTGGGCAGTCTGGATTCTTTCCTCTGTGAATTCCAGTTCTAGTGAAGCCTCTGGGGTCAAAGTCCTGGGACTGCGGAGATTGGAATCTCCCCACAGTGTAGAAAATAAGTTAGACAGTGCTAGGTCGGAATGCCTAAAGTAGGTCTTAAACCCAAAAGTTTTTGGAAGTCATTAACGTTTTCAAAGAATCTCTCCTAATTTGAACTTTCTGAGGTTGAATATGTTGTTTATCGACCACCATTCCTAAATATTGAACAGGAGTGCTCTGTTGAATTTTATCCTGAGCGATGTGTAATCCAGCCTCTGTAACATGGTGGCTCAAAATTTGATAACAATTAATTCTTTATCAGTGGGGGCAGCAATTAAAATATCATCAATATAATGAAGAATATAGGCCTGGGGAAATTGGGCTCGAACTGGTGAAAGCACTTGTCCAACATAAAGCTGGCAGATTGTAGGGCTATTTGGCATTCCCTGAGGAAGTACTTTCCATTGATAACGAGCTGCAGGCTCCTGATTATTGATAGATGCTACAGTAAAAGCAAATTTTTTGCAATCCGATTTATGTAAAGCAATATAAAAAAACAATCTTTAAGATCAATAACTATGAGAGGCCAATTTTTAGGTATTAAAGCAGGGGCAGGTATGCTGAGTTGGACGGCCCCCATAGATTTAATTACAGCGTTAATGGCCCTTAAATCGGTTACCATCCGCCACTTGCCTGATTTCTTTTTTACTAGAAACACAGAAGAATTCCAGGGGGAAAGAGAAGGTTCCACATTTCCAGGTTGTAACTGTTCAGAAACCAATTGAGTTAAAGCCTCCAGTTTTTCTTTAGAAAGCGGCCACTGCTGAATCCAAATGGGTGTGTCAGATTTCCATTGTAAAGGGATAGGATCAGGAGGCGTGGCAGCGGCCTACACTAAAAAGGATAACCCAAACCAGCCCTGTTTTCTTTTACAGTAACTGGGAGGGGTTTAGTAATCCCTTCATGCTTTGGACCGAGACTGAGCCCAGGAAAAAACCCCAATGTTTTCCATCATATGCTGACTGGGAGCACTATAAGAGTTATGTGGAATAATAATTTCAGCCTCCCATTGTGCCAGTAAATCTCTACGCAGATTTACTGATATAGGGCTGATATTTACTAATATAGGGTGATATAGGGCTGAATTGTACCCTTTTGACCATCAGGGCCAGTGCAAGGCAAGATAAATGTGCTCTCATAAACTTCCTCGGCTTTTCCAACACCTACTAGTCCCATGTTAGTGGGATGTCTAAGCCAGGAGGAAGGCCATAAACTAGAGGAAATAACAGAAACATCAGCCCCAGTATCTACTAGGCCCGCAAACTTTTTCCTTGAATGTGTATGGTGCAGGTGGGCCGTTGTTTAGAAATCACATTAATCCAATAAGCGGCCTTTTCACCCCTGGAGCCCATCCCAGGACCACGTGTCTTATCTCCTCTGTTTAAAATGATATTAGGTAGTAAAAGCAATTGAGCAATTGTCTCACTGGCCAGAATGGAAACAGGAATCTTGGCAGACACGATTAATTTAATCTCATCAACAGAATCAGAATTAATGAGACCAGTATGAATGTATGAATGGTGATTCCTTTAGCAGAGGTGGATCAGAATGTGATCATATCTGAGAACCACCACCAGACACAGAGGGCTGTCTGTCCTGAGGTCTTGCCAACACAGCTCTCAAACATGCAGCTGAGACCCTGTGTTGCCTTGTCAGTGAATCAGAAGAGATTCAGTTGCAGCCTTTGGTGTGCTAGATCTGGACTAAAGTTTGGGAAACTATGCATGACTACAGAAGAGATGGGGATGGGGAAATGTGTGGGGAGAGTTGTTGAAGGAGCTCCGTCTAACATCTCCTTGGCCCCTGCCACCAGATTCTCCACCTTCCCCTAAAGGCTGTAAACTGCCAAGGCCCTCAAACTGCTTTTGCTCCCATGCTTCTTTCTCCGACAACTTAAAACAACACGGACTGGTAGTAGAAATTACTACAACCAACCCACAGGAAGCACTCACTACAAACAAAGAAGATATTATGAGGAAAGGGTAGAAAGATGGGTAAGCCATGGGCCTTGCCTTTAAAGGGGAAACAGAAGTCACCACTTCAGATAGCTAGAGAATAATGCAAAGTGATGTAGTCCCTAAGAGAACCACAAAGGGCTTTAAGAACTGAAAAAGCAAGAGACTACTTGAGGCTGGGAAGGGAAAGGGACCCTAAGAAAAGGGCCATGAGCAATGGCACGAAGGAATCAAGTGTCCACAGGCTGGGAAACAGCACACAGTCTAAATGTGTTAGAGTGTGGGATGTGTGCCTGCACATAGTGGAAGAAAAGGTTGGAAAAGTCAAACTGTGGCTCTTGAGTGCCAGGTTGAAACATTCAGTTTATTGCTATTGGCAGTGGGGGCATATTCTGGATTTTGAGCATGGAAATGGCATGATTAGGGCTGCACTTCAGTAAATCCACACGTTCCTTTTAGCTTAGGGTCTATGACTGTTCTTTGTTTGGTTTTGTTTTCGGCTTGGGTGTGGAAGAAAAGTATCAGTGGATAAGGCTGAGTTCTTTTGCCCAAACTAAACAGGGCCAGTAGTTACAGTGTTCTTCTAACAGGGCCAAGAGTACTTATTCAGTTCCCACCACCTAAAGAAAAACTCATTTATAGCCACATCCAAATCTATTTGAGAATTCCCAACCCACTCTCACTTCAGTTTGAGGGGCAACATAGAAAAGGCAATATAAATGAGAAGCTGTGCACAGCATGGGCTTCAGCGTCTGACATCTAGATTTCAGTCCTTTGTTCAAAAGTTAATTTCTCTGAACCTCAATTTTCTAATTTATAAGATGAGAATCATACTAGTGCCTACTCATAGAGTTGCTGAGAATATTAAATGAGATAGTGAATGTAAAACTCTTAGAATGGTTCAGCAAAGTCTAGAATGTTATAAATGCTATAGGATAAACATTCTGGTTTCTGCAGTAAACAAATTACAAATAATAAAAAATGGTGAGAAATCTATGAACTAAAAGAGACTTAGGAGACATAGCAACCAAATGAAATGTGTGGATGGTGTTTGAATTCCGACTGAAACAAACTAAATTTTCAAAGATTTTAAGACAATTTTGGAAACAAATATGGACTAGAAATTTGGTATTAAGGATTTTTAAGGTGTAATATTTTAGATATGATAAAAGTTATTAAGGGTTTTTTGTTGTTGTTTTAAGAGTACTTAGATGTCATACTAAAATACTTGTGGGATAAAATGATCTGACGACTGAAATTTCCTTCCAAATAATCCAGGTTTAGGGAAAGCAAGAGTGGAGCATGGGGTTGGGGGTGTGAGTGGAGTGGGAAAAGTATGGATGAAACGTGGCTAGTTGCAGGCTGAAATGATTGTTGCAGCGAAGTGATGACTATACGGAGACATATTGTATGATTCTCTGGACTTTTGTATGTGACTAAAATTTTCCATAACAACAACAACAACAACAAAAAAGACACATTGTTGCTTCTAGGTTTGGTGATTACAAATAAAGCCAGTCAAACCATTCATCCTGCAGGTTTTTATGGACTTACATTTGGAAATGAGCTGAAATAATAGCTAGGAGTGTTACTGATGAGTTGTATCTAAGACTATAGTTTTGTAAAAAGGTCCAATTGTCTTTGAAATAGAGATAACATTTTGCCTTCCCAACAGAAATGAATTTGATATGTTAATACTGTGTTGAAAATTTTTGCACCTATGTTCATAAAAGATATTCACAGTTTTTATGTAATGTCTTTATCTGGTTTTGTTAGTAGGGTAAGTCTGGTCACATGGAATGAGTTAGGAAGTGTTTCTTTTGCTTCTAATTTCTCATTCAGAAAACAGAATGGTAAATGTTCCATACTATCCTGAGAACACTATATATTCTGCTGTCATTGGATAGAGTATAAATATCAATTAGAAAAAGTTGCTTAATAGAACTCTTCACATCCGTTATATCCTTACTGACTTTGTTTCAATCACTTGAAGATGTTGTAAATGTCTACAAGCGTAATAGTGGATTTATCCAATTCTCCTCTCAGTTCTATGAGTTTTTGATTCATAGGTTTTGATACTTTGTTACTTGCATTCATATTTAAGATTATTATGTCTTCTTAAAAATCAAATCCTTCTTATGTCATGCCCCTCTTTATTATAGTTAGCATGGTATATCTATCTCCATCCTTATACTTTTAAACTGAGTCTTAATATTAAAAGTGGATTTCTTGTGGACAACAGAAAAATGGCTCTCGTTCTTTAATCTACTAGGGCAACTCTTTCTTTTAATGTGTACATTTAGGACATTCACATTGAAAATATTCATTGATATATTTGGATAAATATCTACTGTGTTAGTAACTATTATCTATTTACGGAATGTTGTGTTTGTTATTTTTTTCTACTCCTCTATTTTTCTAGTTTCTCTGATTATAATTGACCACTTATATATGTGCATTTTATTTTGTGTTAGCATATTAATTATACTTAAAAAAAAAAAGTGGCCGGGCGTGGTGGCTCAAGCCTGTAATCCCAGCACTTTGGGAGGCCGAGGCGGGCAGATCACGAGGTCAGGAGATCGAGATCACCCTGGCTAAAATGGTGAAACCCCGTCCCTACTACAAATACAAAAAATTAGCCAGGCGTGGTGGTGGGCGCCTGTAGTCCCAGCTACTTGGGAGTCTGAGGCAGGAGAATGGTGTGAACCTGGGAGACGGAGCTTGCAGTTAGCCCAGATGGTGCCACTGCACTCTAGCCTGGGTGACAGAGCAAGACTGCATCTCAAAAAAAAAAAAAAAAAAAAAGTTTATTAGTTACCCTAGAGGTTGCAACATGAATTTTTGACCAATTTAAATACAGCTTTAAACAATAGTTTAAATCTCCATGTGTAATGCAGGTAGTTCATAACAGAGTATTCTCAATTTCTCCCTCCTTTTGCCTGTGACACTGCTGTTATTAATTTCACTTTTCCATGGGCTGCAATCACTAATTCAGTATTACCATTATTGCTTTGAGCATTTATTTTACATATATTTAGAATAACAAAAATAAAATTTTATTTTATTTTCATTTATTTTTCTCCAATACAGTTCCTTTCTTGATGTAAACTCAAGTTTGTGGCTTACATTATTATCTTTCCTCCTAAAGAACTTCTCCACATTTCTTGCATGGCAGGTCAGCTGGAAATGAATTTCCTCAATTTTCATATGTATGCTATAATATGTATTTCTCCTTTACTTTTATGGTATACTTTTACTGGATATAGAATTGTATTTTTTTTTTTACTTTTAATACTTTAAATATTTCACTCTCTTTATGTTAGCAAGTGTTCTGACAAGAATTATATTCACTGTAATTCTTATTCTTGTTTCCCATAGACAAGACTTTCTTTTCCTTTTCTTCTCTCAAAACTTACTTTTTATTTGGTTTTGTATAGTCTGGATATAATATTCATTGGTGTGTTTTCTTTTTGTTGCTATTATTTATCCTGCTGATGTTTGTTCTCCTAACTCCTGGCTCTGAGGCTAGTGGTCTGTCATTATTTTAGGAAAGTGCTCAGCAATTAATACTATTTATTGTGCTTCATTTTTTCTTTTCTTTTTCTGTTTTTACAATGTCACTTATTGTACCTTTTCATATTGTTCCACAGTTCTTGGATTCTCACTTCTGTTATCTTATTTCTTTTTTGCTTTGCATTTCAATTTGGGAATATTCTATTTACTATTTTCAACCTCACTGGTTCCTTCCTTATTTGTGTTGAGTCTACCCATGAGCCCAGATAATGCATCCTTCATTTCTGTATTGCTGTTTTTTATTTCTTGCACTTTCTTTTGATTTTTTTCTTAGAATTTCAATCTCTCTACACTTTACCCATCTGTTCTTGCACATTATCCATTTTTAATAAGTAATTAAAATATTAATTTTAGTTTTTAAAGAAAATTTCCTGTCAATTCTAGCATCTTTCTTATATCTCAGTCTGATTCTAATATTTGCTTTGTCCCTCCAGGCTGTGTTTTTTTCTTGCCTTTGGTATAGCTTGTAATTTTTTTGTTGAAATGTTTGTATTTGGTAATAGGAACCGAGACAAATAGATATTTAGTGTATTTATGTTAATGTGGTTAGGAGTTGAATTATGTGAATGTTCTCAGTACCTAAAGGTATCAAAGACTTCAACTTTTTCTAGTGTCTTGTTTGTGTCTTCCCTGTTGCCTTTGGCCTTTTCTAAGTATTCCTCTTCAGAAAAAGTCCATATATTGCATCTCTTTCAGCTATAATTCACTGGGATTATTTTCGAGCCTTGTTAATGGAATGCTAAGGTGTGTGGCATAAAGGGAGAGTTCTTTGATTTCCCAATTTAATTTCAGTCTTTTTGTGGGCCTATGATTTGGACTTATAACCTTCATTAATTGTTACTGTAGCAGTCTAATGTTTTCCTATGATGTACCCACTTATTTTCTTGAAGCCCCTTCTTCTGGTGACTGTATTTAATCCCCCTTAAACAAGATAGGAAAACTAAATGAAGCAGAATAAGAGAGAAATGCCCTTCTCTCAACCAGAGGAAGGTTCTGGCACTTGTCTTTGCCCCTAGACAATAGGCATTCATTATGGAGAAGGCTATGTGTGTGTTTCACAATGAGTACTCTTCCCCTTCCTCTGGAAGACCCCCAAAGACATCTATCTCTGATCTTTACTGTGAGAACACGGTCAAGTCAGATTCCTGGAGATGAGCCCATGAAGGCATGGGTGTCCCCCTACAACTACAGTCCGCAGGAGCATCTCTGTTTCACACTAGTCCACATTTAGCCTCCAGCAAACATCAGAATTGCCATTTAACTGTCCCTACCAGTTTACGGCACCTGTGTTTTCTCCTTCTGTGCCTCTGGATTTGTCTGTCTTTCCAAATATGGGGACAGTGGTTCGTCATGCAATCTCTGTTCTTTGATGGATCAAAGAAAAGTAATTGATTTGTAGTTTTGTCACCTTTTTCTTGTTGTAAAGTTGGGAATTACGCTTTTTTCAGCTCTTTACATGTTGTCGCTGAAAGTAGATGTAGTACACATTTTTAAAAAAGTACTTAATGTAAAAAATCAATATGTTCCTTTTCTTATTTCTTCTTTCATCAGTTACATTTCCTCACCTAAAATATAATACCATACTTATCAATCCTGGTTTCCTATAATTTCTCCAGATATGAAAAAAATTCAGATTTTTTTGAAATGTTTCTGAAAAAAACATTTCTCCAGATATGAAAACAAATTCAGGCACTGAAAACAAAAGGATATATCAAATATCAATGTCAGCAAAGTTTACTTTCATCAGGCCTCGTAATACTTTCCTTCTACCTTATTCCATACCTTGAAGAGGTATATTTACAACATATTATATTTGTGTGTTTAAAGGGAGTTTTTGAATATTTGTAAAACCTCTGTTGCTCAGTGGAAATAACTAATTCAAAACTAATTTAAGGTTTAGAATTGTATAGTTAAATTTTTCTTTCTTTCTTTCTTTACATTTTAGATTCAAGGAGTTAATGTGCAGGTTTGTTACACAGGTATATTGCATAATACCAGGATTTGGGGCTTCTATTGAACCTGTCACTCAAATTGTGAACACAGTACTCAATAGGTAGTTCTCAATCTTTCCCCCCTCCTTACCTTTCCCATTTTTGAGACCCCAGTGTCTATTATTTCCACCTTTATGTCCATATGTACCTATTGTTTATTTCCACTTGTAAGTGAGAACACACGGTATTTGATTTTCTGTTTCTATGTTAATTAACTTGGACTAATCGCCTCCAGCTGCATCTATGTTTCTGCAAAGGACATGATTTCACTCTTTTTTATGTCTGCACAGTATTCCATGGTATACATGTACCACATTTTCTTTATCCGATCCACAATTGATTGACACTTAGTATGATGGTTAATATTAAGCATCAGTTGATTGGATTTAAGGATGCAAAGTACGTTTCTGGGTGTATCTGGGTGTGTCTGGGTGTTGCCAGAGGAGATTAACATTTGAGTCAGTGGACTGGGAGAGGAAGACCCACCTTCAGGGTGGGTGGGCACCATCTAATTGGCTGCCAGCACAGCTTGAAAAAGCAGGCAGAAGGCAGAAGAAACTGACTGGCTATCTTCTGGCCTTCATTTTTCTTCTGTCCTGGATGCTTCCTGCCCTTGAACATCAGACTCCAGGTTCTTTGGCTTTTGGACTCTTGGACTTACACCAGTGGTTTGCCAGAGGCTCTCAGGCCTCTGGCCACAGGCTGAAGGCTGCACTGTCGGCTTCCCTAACTTTGAGGTTTTGGGACTCAGACTGAGCCACTACTGCCTTCCTTGCTCCTCAGCTGGCAGATGGCCTATGCAGTGGGACTTCATCTTATGATTATGTGAGTCAATTCTCCTTAACAAACTCCCTTTCATGTATACATATATCCTATTAGTTCTGTCCCTCTTGAGAACCCTGACTACTACATTTCAGTTGATTCCATGACTTTCCTATGTGAGTAGTTCTGTAATAAAATGTGAATGCATATGTCTTTCTGATAAAACAATTTATTTTCCTTTGAGGTGATATCCAGTATTGGGATTACTGGGTTGAATGGTAGTCTTATTTTTAGTTCTTTAAGAAATTTCCATTCTGTTTTTCACAAGGGTTGAACTAATTTACATTTCCATCAACCATGTGTAAGTCTTTCCTTTTCTCCTCATCCTCACCAACATCTTTTTTTTGACATTTTAATCATAGCCATTCTGATGGTGTAAGATGGCGTCTCATTGTGGTTTTAATTTGCATTTCTCTGATTAGTGATGTTGAGCATCTTTTTATATGTTTGTTGGCCACTTGTATGTCTTTATTGAGAATTGTCTGTCCTTTGCTCACTTTTTAATAGTGTTATTTGTTTTTTCTTGTTGATTTGTTTAAGTTCCTTATAGATTCTTGATATTAGTCCTTTAGCGGATGCATCATTTGCAAATATTTTCTCTCATTTTGTAGGTTGTCTATTTATTCTGTTGATTGTTTCTTTTGTTGTTCAGAAGTTCTTTAGTTTAATTTTTCCCATCTTTCAATTTTTGTTTTTGTCACATTTGCATATGAGGTCTTAGTCATATATTATTTTCCCAGGCTGATGCCCAGAAGAGTTTTTCTTAGATTTTCTTTCAGGTTTGTTACCGTTTGAAGTCTTACATTTAAGTCCTTAAACTATTTTGAGTTACTTTTTGTATACAGTGAGAGGTGGGGTACAGTTTTATTCTTCTGCAGGGGGCTATTAAGTTTTCCCACCACTGTTTATTAAATAGGGTGCCTTTTCCCCACTGTGTATCTTTGTTGACTTTAAAAAATGTTAGTTGTTGGAGTGTGTGGTTTTATTTCTCAATTCTCTGTTCTGTTCCATTGGTCTAAGTGTCTGTTTTTGTACCAGTACCATGCTGTTTTATTACTGTAGCCTTATAGCATAGTTTGAAGTCAGGTAATGTGATCACTCTGGTTATGTTCTTTTTATTTAGGATTGCTTTAGCTATTGGGGCACTTTTTGGTTTTGTATGAATTTTAGAATTGTTTTTTCTAATCAGAAAAATGACTTTGGTGTGTTGATAGGAATATTGTTGAATCTGTAGGTTGCTTTTGACATTGTGGTCATTTTAACAATATTGATCTTTTCAATTAATGAGCATGGGATGTTTTTACACTTGTTCATGTCGTCTGTGTTTACTATGTTTTCTTTCATCAGTGTTTCATACTTCTCCTTATAGGGATCTTTCAATTTCTTGGTTAAATGTATTCCTAGGTATTTTATATTTTTGTGGGTATTGTAAGTAGAATTGCATTCTTGATTTGCTTTTCAGTTTGAATGTTATTGATTTATACAAATGCTATTGATTTTAGTATGTTGATTTTATATCCTAAAAATACCAAAGTTTTTAATCAGGTCTAGTTATCTTTTGGAGGAATCTTTAGGGTTTTCTAAGAACAGAATTATGTCTTTGGTGAATAGAGACAATTCAACATCTTCTCATCCTATTTGGATGCTATTTATTTCTTTCTGTTCCCTGACTGCTCTGCCTAGGACACCAAGTACTATGTTCAGTACATGTGGTGAGAGTGGACATCTTTGTCATGTTCCTGTGTTTAGTGGGAATGCTTCGTTTTTCCAGTCAGTATGTTGTCGACTGTGTATTTGTTATAAATGGCTCTTATTATTTTTATCTATATTTGTTCTATGCCTAGTTTGTTAACGGATCTTTTTATCATGAAATGATTCTGAATTTTATCAAATTCTGTTTCTGCATGTATTGAGAAGGTCATACTGTTTTTGTTTTTAATTCTATTTGTGATGAATCACATTTATTGATTTTCATATGTTGAACAATCCTTGTGTCCTAAGAATATAGTGCACTTGATCATGATGAATTATCTTTTTGACGTGCTGGTAGCTTCAGTTTGATAGTATTTGGTTGACACTTTTGCATCTATGTTCGTCTAGGATATTGGCCTGTAGTTTTCTTTTATTGTTGTGTCCTTGCTCAATCTTGTACCAGGATGAAACTAGTTTCATAGAATGAGTTATGGAGGAATCCCTCCCGCTCAATTTTTTGTAATAGCTTTAGTAAGATCGGTACCTGCTTTCATTGTATATGTTTGATAAAATTCAGTTATAAATCTTTCTGGTACAGGGCTTATTTTTGGTTGGTAGATTTTTTTATTCCTCACTCAGTTTTGTAATTCATTATTTACCTGTTTAGGATTTCAATTTCTTTCTGTTTCAATCTTAGGAGATTGTGTATTTCCAAGAATTTATCCATTTTCTCTAAATTTTCTAGTTTGTGTGGCTAGAAATGTTCATAGTATGAACATCTCTGAGACTCTTTTGTATTTCTGTGGTATCAGTTATAATGTCATCTTTGTCATTTCTGATTGTGCTTATTTGGATCTTCTGTTTGTTTTCTTGATTAATCTGGCTAATGGTCTACTAATCTTGTTTATCCTTTTAACAGGAAAAACTTTTACACTTTGTTGATTCCTTGTATGATTTTTGGGGTCTCACTTTTATTTAGTTCAGTTATAAGAAATTTTCAAAGTATAGTTTAACTAATACACTTTTATTTGGAGTGAAGAATACTGAGCTATCAGTTAAAGACATTAATGGGTAACATACAGTTGAGATAAAATTCAATTCCACAGATAAGAAATTGAAGTCATTTCAATGAGAGAGATGAACATCTAAAATTTTTCAATTGTTAAGTAAGAGTTTGTTAATTCATTTTAATTGTTATACACCTCGAATCATGGTAGATATATTTTATTGGATACATTTAAAAGAAGAATGTAACAATTTTATTTAAAAGCATCACTGTTTGGAATTGCTCAGAAATAATATCCTTTACAAGCATAGAAACTTATGACAATTTTTTAGTATCAACTTAAAAATACATTAGAGCAATATAGTTTTACAAAAGTATTTTCTGGGTTATAAAAGAAAGGGCAAAGTTTACAAATGTCATAAGGGTTTGTTAAGATTAGAAGCATTGTCTAGATCTTAGACTGACAATACCATGCTTTTGGGGAATACTAACATCAAGAGGTTCATGTGGAATTGATGAAGCAACTTTTTTGTTACTAACCAGATAAATAGAACAGAAATAGTAAGGAACAAATAGTAAATTGGTTGATCTGCTGGGCTGCAATAGATATTTATAATACAGTGGAGTAGAATACATCATTTTAGATCCCAGGTCCTTAATATTTAAAGACATTTTTTCTAGTCTTTGGCATTTCAAATGTGGTATGCAGACCTTACGAGTTAGCACCACTTAGGAGCATGTGAGAATTTAAAACCCAACCCAGGAGATTTGTGTGCACAATAAACTTTGAGATGGAGATATCGAATTCCAAACTTATCTAATTATTAGAATCACCTGGAGCACTTTCAACTCATCCATAACTCTTGGCCTCACACTAGACTGACTATTCAGACCCTTGTAGGGTCTAGGCTTTTAGGTCACTGACCAGAATTATTCCAGTTTCTCCTCTTTAAAGTAAACACTAGTAAGGAAATGGAATAACCCTCTTTGATCTGGAGCAGAGGTTGGCAAACTATGACTCATAAGCCAATCCTGAGCTGCTGTCTTTTTTTCCATGGCCTGCAAATTAAGAATGGTTTTTACATTTCAAGCATTCAAAATGTAGCATATTTCATGACATATGGAAATTGTAGGATTTCAAATTTGTTTATGTGTTGTGGTTTGAATTTTGTCCCTCAAAATGATATGTTGAAGTCCCAGTCTTTGATATCTATGGATGAGACCTTATTTGGAAACAAAGTCTTTACAGATGTTATTAGATAAGATGAGGTCACAGTGGATTAGAGTGGGTCCTACATTAAATGACTCCTGCAGTTTTAAGAAGAGACACTTGAAGACACACACAGAGGGAAGAAAGCAATGCGAAGATAGAGGCAGAGACTGAGGTGACATGGCTAGAAGCCAAAAGAATGCCAAGAATCACAGGAAACCACCAGAAGGTAAGAAAGAGGAAGAGAAGAATCCTTCTCCAGAGCCTTCAAAGGCAGCGGGACCTGCCAGCCCCTTGATTTCAGACTCCTCCTGGCCTTCAAAACTCTGAGAGAATAAATTTCTGTTATTTATAGCTACCAGTTGTCAAAATTTGTTCAGGCAGTCCTATAAAACTAATATAAATAAATACAGCCATCACTTATTTAAATATTTTATATGGCTGCTGACAGACTGCAATGGCACATTTAACTAATTGTGATGGGAACAGTCTGGCCTACAAAGGCTAAAATATTTACTTTCTGTTCCGTTTCTGAAAAAAAAAATATATTCAGACCCCTGATTTAGAATTTGGCATAATGACTTATCCTTTGGATCTGGCTGTCCAAGAAGTCCATGAGATGCTCAAAGGCTTAGGAAGAATAATCCATGTTGTGTTAGATATGGAAAGCATCGAAAGCAAATTTAAGAATTAGTGCATATTGCAAATATCAGTCTCACAAATAACAAGCATAATATGTCTTTCTATAGCTACAAAATTACCTCATATCTGTAAATTGTATGTATTAATATTTTCTCAGAATTCTTCCTACTTTTACAGTTGGAAATTACCATTTAAAGCACTACACCACAAAAAAATATAATGCTTCTCTTTGGCTAATGTTGGAAATTGTGAACAAGTAGTAAATTTGAATAATGTTGATTAAAAGTGGGGGCAAGAGCAAAATATAAGCCTGTTTCTGGTTACACAGAAAGTCTAAGACCCTGCTTCTTGATTCTCGTCATTTCTAATAATTTCACAGAGACTTGGCAGCTACAGCACAGATTCTGAAATGTAATATCAATTACCTGAAGAATGAAATACTAGTGGTGTTTGCCTCTAGCACTTACTTGAGATTGATTAGCAATTGGGAATATAATGGAGATGGGCAGACTTCCAAGCCTGAGGATCACCTTAAGCCTCTTCCAAATATTTAGATGCTCAGGGTGATTATCCACTCTCAATTACAGGCAATGTGACATGAGCAGAATTTTCAGGGGCTGTTTCTGCCATTAGTTTCTTTCAGTTAAACAACTAACAAAAGTAGTAAAATTATATTTATAAATCTATCCATTCATTTTTAAAAGAAAATAATGTCTCTATTTTCAAGAGAATAATGTCTCTTTAAAAGCAACGAGAATGGAAGGAACAACAGATTTCCAAAACTGTACTATTATTGCAAAATAATTCTTCAAAAATATGTGGCATTTGTACATGTCCAAGTATTAAAAGACAATGGGCTCTGGAACTGTGTTTTCTAGAATAGCCCTAGAATGGTAGGGACAGGGAATCCTTCTGGAGAAAATATATTTACATTCCTAGTTAACTTCAGATAAATATGGTAGCTTTTTCTAGTGACATTTAGAGATATCACTCATAGAGACATTTGCTTGTATTTCAGCAATTGCTCTTTCTCTGGAAGGGAGGTTTGACAGGTTTGGATAAATTTGTCAGTAGTCCCTGTAGAAGATCAGAGTCTAGTAAACATGGCGTTCCATTTGTGTGACCTACCCCCACAGTGTGTGTGTTTACCACTAGTTTTTCATTATCCATTCACACTGCAGGAATTGGGACTCAGGGAACTAGCATTACAATGCTACTCTGGTTGCTGCATTTGCTCTAAGTGATAAACTGTCTTTGTCTCTGACTCAGAGGCCTCCAGTTTTACACATATATACATAGCTTGTGAAAAGCTGACTTACTTGCTTACCCAAAGTATAAAATTTTGGACCATTACACTACGTGACTGTATTTTTGAAAATTTCATTTTCTGATTAAAAGCATAATACATATCCATATGTTCACTGAAGAAAATTTGAAAAACTAAAAATATATAAACATAAATAACACATGACTCAAAATTTTACCATCAGAGGCAATCTAGCATTTTGGCTGTTTTTGTCCTTGCTTGTTTTGCTTTATTTTGTCTATGCATGTGTATATACACTTAAAGATATTGAGAACTTTGAAACAGCTGAAATTTTATGGTCTGGGTTTTTATTTCAGTAACAATACTTTTATTTTATTTATTTATTTATTTATCTTGAGATGGAGTTTCACTCTTGTTTCCCAGGCTGGAGTGCAGTGGCATGATCTTGGCTCACCACAACCTCTGCCTCCCGGGTTCAAGGGATTCTCCTGTCTCAGCCTCCTGAGTAGCTGCAATTATAGGCATGCACCACCATGCCCAGCTAATTTTATATTTTTAGTAGAGACAGGGTTTCTCCATGTTGGTCAGGCTGGTCTCAAACTCCCAACCTCAGGTGATCCACCTGCCTCGGCCTCCCAAAGTGCTGGGGTTGCAGGCGTGAGCCACTGCGCCTGGCCTCAATAACAATAATTTTTAAATAACAAATACAATTTAAGAAATACCAACAAGGTACTATGAAATTTATACTCAATAATAATGTAAATGATATCAATTGACAGTTTTTATTGTATATATTTAATGTATATAACATGATGTTTTGATATACAGCTACATAGTAATGGGAGTACTACAGTCAAGCAAATTAACATATTTATTATCTTACATAGCTACCTTTCTTTTTTTGTGTTTTACAAGGTTGCTAGTAATCAACCCTCTTAGCAAATTTCCAGTATATAATACAATATTATTAACTATAGTCCTCAAGCTGTGCCAATGTAAGTTAAATATGCTTCAGAGAAATTGTGCTGACACACAATATTTTTCTTAGAATTTTTCTGTTATTTTAGCAACAATAAAATAACTTTGCATATAGAATGAATAAAATATCAATATACATAAAGAAGTTTTCTTATAAACAAATGATAGCTAAACATATCCCAGAATGGAAGAATCCGTTCCCAAAAGCAATAAAATCTCAAATCACCTGTAATAAATTTCACATGCATTTTTAAAGGCCAACTTAAAGAGACTATAAAAGAACAGAATAAATGAAAAATGCAATCTTGTTTGTGGGAAATTTTTAACTTTTTTTATTTGTTTTACCTTGTCTATTATACCTTTGCCCATAAATTTTATCATCTCTGTGTTTTGTTATTTTAGGCATGTTCATTGCATTATAACATTTTTGTTATCCTACATGACCATATTTTATTTTCATTTTTTAAATGATATTGTCTTAGTCTGTTGATACAGAAGAATGCCACAGTCCGTATAATTCATAATAAGGAGACATTATTGGCTCATGTTCTAGAGGCTTAGAAGTTTAAGATTAAGGGACCAGCATCTGGTAAGGGCTTTCTTGCTATGTCATCATACGGTGGAAGGGCAAAGATGGTGAGAGTGAGAGAGAAAGAAAGGAAGCAGAACTCATTCTTTTATAAAGAGCCCACTCCTGTGAGAATAAAACCATTCCCATGATAGTGAACACATATATGTGACATAGCAGTAATTCATTCATGAGGGCTGAACGCTCATGGCCTAATCACTTTAAGCTCCTGCCTTCTAATGCTATTACAATGTCAGTTAAATTTTAACATGAGTTTGGGAGGGAACAAATATTCAAACCTTAGCAGAGTCATATTTATCATCTTACATAAATTGACATGACAGGCATGTATTGACCAATCTTATATTTGTGTTTTACATTAATACAGTTGTATTGAATCTCTTAGTCTTTACATAGTGATTGTACTGATTTTATATTCCCACCAATAGGATATGAGAGTTCCCTTTTCTCCACATCCTTGTTGATACTTGTTTTCTTCCATGTTTTTCATAATAGCTGTTCTAACAGGTATGAGGTGAGATGATATCTCATTGTGGTTTTAATTTGCATTTCTCTGATGATCAATCATGTTGAGCTTTGAACTTTTTTTTTTTTTTTTTTTTCTTTTTTTGAGAAAGGGTCTTGCTCTGTCACCCAGGCTGGAGTGCAGGCCTCAGCCTCCTGAGTAGCTGGGATTACAGACATGCACCATCATGGCTAATTTTTGTATTTTTAGTAGAGTTGCGGTTTCATCATGTTGACCAGGCTGGTCTCAAACTTTTGACCTCAAGTGATCTGACTGCCTTAGCCTTCCAAATTGCTGGGATTACAGGTGCGAGCCACTGTGCCCAGCTATGCTGAGCATTTTTTATGTATCTGCTGTTCATTTGCATGTGTTCATTTGTGAAATATCTATTTAGATTCTTTGTCTACTTTTTCATCATGTTATGTCAAAGAGATATTTACCCTCCCATGTTCGTTGAAGCATTATTTACAACAGCCAAAATGTGGTAACAACCTGTGTGCCCATAAATGGATGAATTGATAAAGAAAATGTGGTAGATATACACAATGAAATACTTCTTAGCCTTACAAAAGAAGAAAATTCTGTTGTATGAGACAACATAGATAAACCTAAAGGGCATTATACTAAGTGAAATAAGCCAGACACGGAAAGACAAATACTGCATTATCCCTCTTATATGTGGAATCTAAAAAAGTCAAAATCATAGAAGTAGAGAGTAGAATGGTAGTGACTAGAGGCTGGTGGAGATGAGATGGAATGGGAAGGGCAATGTGGGATCAGGAGGTACTGGTGAAAGAGTGCAAGCTTGTAGTTAGAGTGAAGAAATAAGTTGTAAAAATCTATTGCATGGCATGGTCTCTATAGTTAAAAAAATGTTGTATATTTTAAAATTGCTACAAGAATATACATTAAATATTCTCACCACAAAAATGTGATAAATATGTCACGTGATGGATATGTTCATTAGCTTGATTTATTCATTGCACAATGACGTATGTGTCAAAGCATTGCAGTGTATTCCAAAATTACATACAATTATTTGTCAATTAAAAGATATGCCTTTAAACCTTTAAATATACTAACATCTTTATTAATTGAATTATCAGCTTTAAAAAAATTTGTTCTTAACATTCAAAATAAATTGATACACTTTACCTACCACCTTTTTTAAAACTTCTTTTCATTCCATAATTTTTGTTATAGAATTTTTTATTTGCTATGGTTTATAAAATTGGACAACAGCTTAACACAATGTTACATATTTAAATAGTCATACTCCATTTTTCTATTAATTTCTTACTTGTATAAATACCACTTTGAGAAGGATGTTTGCTGATTTGAAATGTTTCCTGTGGTCTTTATACTCCAATGCATATTTGCAGGTTATAACATCTTGGATCACACTTTCCTTCCCCTGTAGACCTTGCAGGCACGATTCTATTATCTCTTAGAGAAAAATTGTATTAAAGCTTTTGGTCAGCCTGATTATTTAATTTAATTATTTACCTTTTGCCTAGATGAACAAGAACTCTTCTTTTTTTTTTTGGTCCTCAAGATTTTAACTGGGCCAGATCTTATTGTTGAGAAATCTCTGTCAACTTATCCATAGACACCATGCAACTTTTCAATTTTTGATCCATTTTTAATGGAAGTTCCTTTAAAATTTTTTTTGTAATTTTTCTTTTTCATTTTTTTATTCTCTTTATCAGACACTTAGGAAATATTGATGCTCTAATATTAAATTTAATACTTACCAACTTTTCTATCTTTGTCATTTTTTTCTGCATTATTTAGTCCCTCTAGGCTGCTTACAGTGTGGAACATTTTAGTGATAATTTACCTTTCTCTAACTTCTTTGCTTGAACACTGTCAGTTCTTGTTTCAACTCCTTATGTTACTTTGAGCTCTTTTCGTCAGTAGTGAAATGTTTCTCTGTATTGAGTTACTTATTTCATAACAATATGTTTAGACAACTTTTTATTTGCTTAGTTGCAACTTTTTGGGGGATACAGGGTTGAACATTCTTCATCTTATTTATGTTTTCCTGATTCTTTTATATTTATTCCTTTCATATATTATCCCTTGGTACCAAATGAGGTCTGGGGAGGCTCTATCACCAGCTGGAACTGCTGTTTCTACTGTGCCTTCAAAGGAACTGTTGGATTTACATAACAGGTTGCACCACCTTTAAAAAAAAAATCTAATTTGCCAATGCCTTTTGAGTTTACAGTAGTCCAAAGTGTTTATTCTTTATGTCATCCCATTTTGAGATGTAGTATTCATTGCATTTGGCAAAACTTATAATATAGCTTTACAGGAGGTAATTTTCAGGGAAGAAGAAAATTGAGTCTCGGACATCTTACATTCATTTATTTTATAACGGACTACACAGAAGATCTTTTTTATTTCTTAATTAAATAGATCATCTGTTTGTTAACATTCTTTACAAGTAGATAATTATCTGGAAATAATAAAACATTTGGTGTAATTTTTATAAAGTTATATTACATAGTGTTTCTAAAATGCATAGAAAAAATGATTAGTGTTTCATCTCAAATTTGTGATGTAGTTTCCAGGAATTCACAACCAGTAAAATTATAGTCTGTTTATAAGTTTTTTTTACATCAGAGCTTCAACATTATTAACATAATTGAACTTTCAATTTGTATTTATGTTTATTCTTATCTAGAAAATATGTCTTTCTAGCAAATAATTCACTGCACATTCATATATGTCCAATTATTGTAATTAGAGCTGCACCACTAATAATTGATGCTTCGTGCAGAATTAGTATAATATGATTCTGGCATTTACTGTCTAAACCTATTGTGCTTGGAAATGTCTTGCATTACATTATGCATCATGACCCAATGATTTCACCCTAAGAGAAAAAAAAAAGATAAAAGCTTTTAGTTTTTAAACTCCAGCCACATAAATGAATAGTTAGGGAACTTTGAGAATATGACATAGCAATATTTTATTGTAGGGATTCTGTGAGACCCTTCACAAATTAAGCATGCTGTATCTGACTTATGGTGCTTTTATCTGTATTGCAGAAGGACACACTAGCCCACTTAACATGATAAACTATAGTTATATTTCCTATGCAAGTCACTACATTTTCAAAGCTGTTAAAACATCCATTGGAAGTGGTAATTTAGTTGTTTGAATAAAGTGAATTTAGTTTGATCAATCTTTTTTTCTTAATGAGTCCCAAGTGTTTGTCAATTTGCTTTTTATTTATATGCTAATCAATATCTTAATATGATTTGTTGAAAATAATATTCCTGGCTAGTTTGGGTTGTAGATAGATCTTATTTTCCCCAATAAATTATTTTACCACAAAGAAACTTTAATATAAATTAACTAAGATTGAAAGTCTATTCTCCTTTATCCCTAAGGATAATATTTTTAGCTACTGATGGTTTGAATCTACAACTTTCAAGCAAGAAAAATCTAGAATTTATTTTCTTAAAATTTCTTGCTTTAGATGTGTTGTATTAAATGGCTGAAATTTATGGCAGTGGATAAATTTATATTTCATAAATTGAAATAATCAGGATAGTCAAACAACCACCAGAATTTCAATTTCTTTGGCAATACAATGTTTGTCTTAGTGTCTGGCGGACCACCTGCAGCTTCAATTTAGTTAGCACATTAGCCTATTGTGAGAAGTATCCTCTTTTATTTTGTATTTCTTGCCATAAATGCAACTAAAGATAAGTGGAAGACATCACAGTCTAAGTTCTTGATATCTTCAAATAACTTTTTAGGATGGTATTTAAACAAAATTCAATTCAAAAATAATCCTACAGACTAGAAGATTCTTTTGCTTTTGGAATAATAAGAATTGTGATATTATCAGGATACAATTGTGAAATAATATATATATGTAATGTAGACAATTTTTCATTATGAAAATATTCTAATTTACATAAAAATTTAAGAATTCTTACATTAAATACCCATGTACCTATACACTAGATCTATAACATTATATTATTCTCATTTTGCCACGTATCTATCCATCTGTCTATTCTTTTATTCATTTGTCAATTTTTTATATGCTTTTCTAGTAAACTACAGTTAGCGGTAAACGTCTACCACATACTAACTAGTGTGGTATAATTGTTTAGCATCACTTTTTTTGTTTCAAGATAAAGTTTAAGTGTAATAAAACACATCAATCTTAAGTGTATAATTTGATAAATTCTGAAGAGTGCATACATCTGTGCAACTCCAAAATCTATCCATATATAGAAACTTACTCTCACCTCCGAGAATTCCCTTATACCCCTTTTCAGTAAATCTCTGCCGCAAACTGCCAAAGATAGCTGTTTTGATATTTCAATCATAGATTAGTTTTGTCTATTCTAGAAATGCATATAAATACAATCATACGAAATATAATATTTTCTCTAAGCCTTCCTTTACGTAGTATAATGTTTCTAAAATTCATGTAGGTCATTTCTCATTCCTTTTACTTACTGAATATTACTTTATTGTATAAATATATGAAAATCATTTAGCTGTTTACCATTTGGCAGGGATTTGTTCTTTCTGGTTCTTTGAAATTATTATGCATAAAGTTGTTACAAGCATTCTGGTTCAAGTCTTCTTGGTCTTTTTGTAAACTTACATTTGTATTAACATTGAGTACATATCTAGGGGTATTTTATTTAAAAAGATCAGAAACTCACTAGAGTCATTTAGTTTAAATAATTTCTGATTTTTATATATAAATTGTAATTCTAGTTGTTCAACTGTTTACATATAAGCTATTTAAATTTAAATTGCTTTTAATCAAATAATATTAAAAGTGTAGTTCCTCAGTCACACTAGACACATTGCAAGTGCTCGATACCCACAGGTAGCCAGTGGCTACTTTATTAGACAACACAGATACAGACCTTTTCATTATTGTAGAAACTACTATTAGGCAGGAGTATTCCACGTAGCTGTCAACATTTGATGTTGTTACTTTTTAGTATCAACTATTCTAGGTTTTGTGTAATGGAATTTCACTGTGGTTTTAATTTGCATTTCCCTGGTGAATAATATTATTGAACATATTTTCATGTGCTTATTGGCAATCTATATAACTTCCTCTGTCAGCATTTGTTCAATTCCTTTATCTCTTTATTTATTGGATGATTTGCCTTTTATTATTGAGTTGTGAATTATTTTTATATTCAAGATACTATTCTCTTGGGAGATCTATGTATTGCTAATATTTCTCCTAATATGTCGGCTTCTCTGTTAATGTTATTAATGCTGCCTTTTGATAAACAGAATTTTTAAGCTGTGGTTATGTATAATCTAACATTTTTAATTTTATAGTTATTGCTTTCTGACTCATCTGAGAAAATATTGCCTTCACTAAAGTTACAAAGACATATAACAATTTTTTTCTAGAAGATTTATAGCTTCAACTTTTATAATCTAGACCAATGATGTATCTCTGATTATTTTTTATATGGTGTGAAATGTAGGATGTTTCATTTTTTAACCCATATGAATGTCCAATTTTTCCAATATTATACTTGAAAAGACAGTTTTTGGCTCATAGGATTGTTTTGAATTCATTGCTAAAATATCAAACACGGTAGAAGTGTAACCCTATGTGTGGGCTCTTCTCTTTCATTCTTGTAATTTATTGTTATGCTACTGCTACACAGTTTTGAAAACTGTAGTTCTATAATAACTCTTGAAGTTATAGAATAGAAGTCTCCCATGGTTGTTAAATTTTCTGAAATGATTTTATGGCATCTATTTTGATAATCATATTTTTTCCATTGATTAATACAGTGAATGTTATTGATTTTCAGATGACAAATGTATCTCACATTACTAGCATAAACACAACTTGGTTATAATGTAATATCTTATGGATTTGATTTATATATATTTGATTACAGAATCTATTTTCAGTAAGAATATTAGTCTAATTTTCATCTTTTGGTAGGATTTGTCAGTTTTTGATACTATGAAGGCCTCATAAAACAAATTAGGAAGTATTTTCTTTTCTTCTAGTTTCTCAAAGAGTTTACATCAGATTGGTGTTAATTTTTTTTAATTGTATGACAGAATTTGCAAGTAAAACCAATTGCACCTGAAATTTTTATTGTAGAAAAGGTTTCCTATTAACAATAATAAATGCAATTTTCTCAATAGACATGGGGTGTGGTGACTTGGCTTCTCTGGAAAGCAGCATTTGAGAAAGGCTTAATGTGCATGAAAGATGCTTGCTTGTGGGGTTTCTTGAAGCGATCCCTCCGGGAGGGAGCAGGAAAAAAAAAAACACAAAACAGGGTTGCGTAACAAATAAATCAAGTATTGATGCAAGCCTGACCTCAATTACAGCTTACTCAAAGAAAGTGCTGGAATTAAAATACTTTATTAGAATTGTCCCATGTTTGGCCAGAATGGCAGAGCCATATCACGCTATCTCCGCTCTCTCAACAATTAATCTCTGAATGAGGTCCTTCCAGGCAAGGTCTCTGCCTTGAATGAGATGACTCTAAAGTTAAACAATTAGAGGGCTGACAGCTAAAGGTTCTCTGATGACAGAACTTTTAACAGTTGCAAAAAATATATAAAAATTATTACTTGAAAGTGGACCTGGGCAATGCATCTCTGTTTATATCCCAAAGGCTGTTGACTATTTAGATTTTCTATTTTATCTTGTTACAGTTTGGTAAATTTGTGTTTTGAAGAACTTTGTCTATTTGGGTTAAGCTCTTAGCGGTAGTCACTAAACACATTTTCAGTGACTACAGGACAAAAATTTAATTTATTGTCAAACAAAACCTATTTCTTTTTCTTTTTCTTTTTTTTTGAGACGGAGTCTCTCTGTGTCGCCCAGGTTGGAGTGTAGTGGCTCGATCTCAGCTCACTGCAAGCTCCACCTCCTGGGTTCACACCATTCTCCTGCCTCAGCCTCTCCAGTAGCTGGGACTACAGGCGCCCACCACCATGCCTGGCTAATATTTTGTATTTTTAGTAGAGATGGGGTTTCGTTGTGTTAGCCAGGATGGTCTCAATCTCTTGACCTCATGATCTGCCTGCCTCGGCCTCGCAAAGTCCTGGGATTACAGGCATGAGCCACCGTGCCCGGCCAACGAAACCTATTTCTGATATAGGTAAGTTGTGCTCTCTGTCTTTTTTTCGTCTTTAACGCATTGCTAATATTGATAAAATGAAATAAAACACTAAAAATAAATTTTTAAAATTTAAATTGCACATGACCATTAAGAAATCTCCTAATGAGACAGACATGTAGTGTCCCTAAGAAGAAATACAATTGGCTAGTAAATGTTTGACATGTTTTTGAACCTCAACATAATAAAGACAACTTTTTTCTTTTTTCTTTGAATCTCAACTTGAGATCCGAGTCTCCAAAATTTTTCCAAATTTCACTAAACGTAAGAATACAAATAGATTATTCTTGTGATCTATTTTCATACTGACAATGCATCACTAGCGCTTTATGACTATAATCGATATTAAGAGTAAATATTCCAAATACATCAAAAGTATAAACTCCATGTTTTGTAATAAATTAAAGCTTTTGATCATAAGTTAAAATATAAATTATATTCCTGCAACACAAATGTGAAGACCATATTAACTAAAACAATATAACAACATCACATTTTATTTATGATATTGGCACAAATTAGGGATGAGTTATAGCAAGTATTGGTGGGGATATGGAGGTGGTATGGTGGCATTGTAAATTTGTTAAAATTTATTGGTGAGAATTTGGCTATATACATATAATTTTAAATATTTATGACTGATAATACCTTTTTAGAAGAGAAGGAAGGCAAAGATTTAGTCTCCAACAAATAATGTGCTATATTTCCTTTCCTGTGTTACAGTGAATCTAGACCATTTGCAATTTCTTACACATTTAGTGTGTTCTGAACTAAGTTAGTAAACCATTCATCCAATGTTTTAATTTTTGTCTTAACTACATTTTAAGTTTATTTCTTCTGTAGATTAAATAAAATATGAAATGTTTCCATTAAATACTGACAAAAAATCTCATCTTCTATGCTTTATAACTCTTTTTAAAAATGGTTAAAGCCCAATTTTTAACCATCAATAGCAGATGGTTAACTGCCACCACTTATTCTGGCAAGTAAAAATTGCCAAATCTTTGGTTGCCATTTGGACCATTATAAATGCTGACACATAGATTCCTTCCGTCACCAACATCTCCTTTTTCCAAAGTTGTTGCCAAGTTTTCATTATTTAGGATCATAAATCACATAACACACAAGTTTTAATTCCAAAACCAAATTTTGGCTGCTAGAGAATTATATCTCATAACTAACATAATTTCATAGTAGCAAAAGAACCATCAGTTATATTTTTAAAACATCAAGTTTGAATTAGTTTCTAAGTTTAAGTTATTTGTTAAACCATTCTTTTGGGTTCAAGCATATAAGGCTTTTGAAGCAATCTAGTGCATATCCTGCCAGTAAAATAATTCTAAGTTAGAATGAAATGCATAATGACTACATTGTATATTGAACTTCAATTTTTGGTGACTTCTGCAATCGTTATTAAAATAATTTATAACTTTTTATCCAACTCATTTCAGGGTTTCCCTAAGCCAGAAGAGGAATCAGATGACTCATTAATATTGTCAGATTATAATTCTGTATACTGCATTTTAATGTTCTACAAGGAGAACATTTTTTCTTTCTCTAAGACTGCTTATAAGATGTGAAAATTAAGCTAATTTATTTTTTCTGTTCTTCTATTTAAGGTAATGTTTAGGATCAAATTTAACACACGTCACCTCTTTCTGTTCTTTCTGAACAGGTTGATTTAAACAACATTCTGATCAATATTAACTTTCATCATGATATAAACTAATCTACAATTCTTTTCCTTTTAAGGCAACAGAGCAACTTCAGAGAGCTGGAAAGCATTAAAAAAGAGTTGTCCAATAAAAAATGGACAATTTTAGAAAAATTAACAGATGAATATTGAAAATATCAGGGTTTTTTATTAACCAATGGGATGGGAAAAATAATTGAGAAGCAGCTCCAATATCTGGAGAGGGGTTTGGGAATTGGAATCTGACTATATTAGAATATTAGGAATAACTGCAAGAATAGAGACAGAATCAAGTAGCCTCTCTATGTTTCTCTGCATATGTATTCCTATGGTGAAATTTAATAATGTTTATTTTATACATACTAATGCATCTGGATTTAATAACCATTCATAAAAGATAGTCTTACATATTGTTTCAAATTTTGATATGGAAAGACTTTGATATAGGCCCAGCTGGGTCACTTATCTGGCTATTAAATTTAATTCTTGTATGCTACTTTGTCCGAACCTCAGTTTTTTAACCTGTAAAACTGCAATTATATACATCATGGTTGAAAAGAGGACCATGTGCCTCGAGCATAGTAAGACTGTAGAAATTTAAGTCAAAAGAGCAGTGTTTGTACTAATTCTAGAGCTGGACTTCTGTTAGTTAAAATAGGCAATGCCAACACAGGTGGGTTCTAATTGGACTCCAGAGATCAAACAGGGACAGTCACCATTTGAGAACAAAATGTAGCCTCTGGAATTACAACAGTAAATTTTTGATGAAGCACTTCACAATGTAAACTATTTAATTAAAATATATGTTAACTTCCTTCATATATCTCTTAGCTAAAATGACTTTCACTTCCTAAACTGTGACTATCATCACAGAGATGAAAACAGAAAATCTAGATAAATCTAGAAAGAAAGCTTGACAAAGGAAGACAATACACCACTTCAACTATTCTATTTTAATCAATTGATTACATCCTAATTTATAATAGTACAGGAGAAAAAAATAGAATGTGCTTTGGTAAAGACAGAATAAGCTAAATTTATAGTAGACAAGCCTGTGTTATTAAAATATAGTACCACATATCTTATTCAGTTGAATAAAATATAGCCTTTGTCCACACCTCAACAAGGATAAAAACATTTCATTTGCCAAATAATTTTACAGTCCAATTAAGCTCATCATTACTGACTGGAATGGCATAATCAACTACCTTGTCTGAGATTCTCCTTCTGCCAATTTAGCTTTCTCAGTACTCCAGCAGTTAAAGCAAGTATTAATCCTATGCGAAAAAATAAAAGTAAAACTATCGTCATTTATGTGTTCTGTGTTTAGTTATTTTTCGAAAATGTTAATATCTAACATTTGTTATTTAGATAGATCTACCAGTCATTCTCTAAAAATTTACACAGTACTGTCAGTTGTTTAAATGTATTCGGAGATCATAATGCAAACCTGAACTAACCTGTGATTACAAAGTTCTTCTTCTTTATTTTTTATAAGTTTTATAATTTTAGCTCCTATATTCAGGTTATGATTCATTTCCAGTAAATTTTTGTAAATATTATAAGGTAGGATCTAAGTTTATGTTTTTGCGTATGATTATCCAACTATTCCAAAACCTTTTTAACTGATTTTTTTCACCACTGAAGTTTTGGATAACTTTGTCAAAAATCAATTGAAGAAAAATGTAAAGGTTTATCTCTGGATTTTTTATTCTATTCCATTGATTTATATATGTCTGTCATTACAACGATGCCACACTCTCTGGATTATGGTTATTTTATAGTAGGCTTTGAAGTATATCTTAAGCCAGGTAGTGAAAGTTCTCCAGCTTGGTTCTTTTTCTAAACTTTTGTGATGGCTATTAATTTTTATTTTGAAAATCCTTTAAGTTTTGGTTAAGAATTTCATTGATTCTATTAGATCAATTTTGGGAGAATTGTCATCTTAACATTATAGAATTTTCCTACACATTAACAAAAGCTTTTTTATATATCTAGATATTCTTTAATTTTTCTCAGTAATGTTTGGATTTTAGTGTACAAGTTTGTGTTTCTTTTGTCCAATGTATTTCTAGGTATTTTATTCTTTGTGGTGTTGTTTTAATTGTATTATTTTCTTAATTTTATTTTTGGATTGCTCTTAAAAATACAATTGATTTCTATATAGATCACAAATTATTGGACCCTGCTTAATTTATGTATTAGTTCTAGTAGCTCTTTTAGACTCTTCAGGACTTTTTAAATAAAGGAACACGCCATCTAAAATTAACAACAGTTTTGCTTTATTCTTTATTATCCAAGACAACTCCCATTTCTTTTTCTGCAGTTGTTGCATTGATTCCAAATAATTTTGAAGAAAACTAGTGACTGTGGAAATATTTGCTGTGTTATGAGCTTAGAGAAAAATAATTTAGTCTCTCACCAATAAGCATAATGTAAGTGACAGAGTTTTCATACCAGTTCTTTATAATATTAAGGACATTTATCTCAATTCCTAATTTAAACTGTGAGTGGATGTCAGATTTGCTCTGATGCTTTTTCTGCATTTACTAAGATCATGATTTTTTTTTGTCCTTTATTCTATTAATGTGATGTATTACATAAACTGATTTGGGGATGGTTATCCTATCTGGCTTTTCTGCAATATATCCCACTTACTTGTCACTATGTAATTTTTATATTTGTGTTTCTGATTGCCTTTGCTAGTATTTTGTTAAGGATTATGCATCTATGTTCATGAGGATATTAGTCTGTAATTTCATTGGCTTTGTTATCAGGGTAATATTGACCTTCTATTGTAAATTGAGAAGTGTCCCCTCATCCTTTCTTTTCTGAAAGGGTTTGTGTAGGATTGTTATTTATCATTCTTTAAATATTTCATAGAGCTCACCAGTGACATAATCTTGGACTGGCTTTTCTATGAGGGGGATTTATTTTAAGTACAAATTCAATGCATTTGCTTTATATAAGTCTACTCATATTTTTTTTTGAGATGGAGTCTCGCTCTGTCGCCCAGGCTGGAGTGCAGTGGCGTGATCTCGGCTCACTGCAAGCTCCGCCTCCCGGGTTCAGCCATTCTCCTGCCTCAGCCTCCCGAGTAGCTGGGACCACAGGCGCCCGCCACCACGCCCGGCTAATTTTTTTGTATTTTTAGTAGAGATGGAGTTTCATCTTGTTAGCCAGGATGGTCTCGATCTCCTGACCTCGTGATCCGCCCGCCTAGGCCTCCCAAAGTTCTGGGATTACAGGCGTGAGCCACCTCACCCGGCCAAGTCTACTCATATTCTTTATTTCTTGAATCATTTTCGCTGGTTTATGTCTTTCCTGGACTTTATTCATTTTAGTTTAGTTGTATAATTTGTTTACAAAATGTTCTTCATAATATTACCTCATGATCCTTTTAACTTCTGTAGGTGTGCTTGTGATGTCCCTCTCTTCAACTTTAGGCTTTGGTAATTCGCATATTTTTTTCTTGATAAATGTAGCTAAAAATTTATAAAATCTGTTGTTCTTTTTAAAAATTTGAATTTGTTTATTTTTATCTATGTTTTTGTTTTATATTTAGTTGATTTCTGTTCTCAAACTTATTTTCTTCTTCTGTTTGCTTTGTGTTTCATTTGCTCTTTTCTTTCTATTTTTTTGTAGAGACATTTACATTACTTATTGAAAATTTTTCTTGTTTAGATATATGTGTTTTTCTAATATATGCATTTTAAGCTAAAAATTTCCCTTTATGTATGTGTTTAGCTGAATCCCATACATTTTGCTATATTGTGTTCATTCAGTTAAAATATTTTCTATTTCCATTGTGATTTCTTCTCTGTAATATGATATATATTTAAAAGTAAGTCTCTGTAATATTTAAATATTGGTGAGAGCATGAATTTTTATTTGCTGTTTGCCTTAATACATTCAGATTTTTATAACAAAATGTTATACATTGAGTGGTTTATAAATAACAGAAATTTATTTCTCATATTTCTTGAAATTGAAGAGTGCAAGATCAAGGCACCAGCAGATTCGGAGTTTGATGAGAGACTACTTCCTGGTTCATAGATGGTGCCTTCTCACTGTGTCCTCACATGGCGGAAGGGGCAAACAAGATTTCTGAAGTCTCTTCAAGAACAGTAATTCCATTCATGAGAGCTCTGCCCACATGACCTAGTCACCTCCCAAAGGCCCTATCTCCCAGTAGGGAGTTAGGATTTCAGTGTACATATATTGGGTGAACAAAATCATTCAGATCATATACTATTTTCATTTATATCCATTTGATACCCACTTCACTGATTTCAGTCTTTTTAAAGTTATTGAGAATTGTTCTGTGGCCTATGATATGTTTCATCCTCATGAATGTTCTAAGTGAACACTAAAGAAGACATATAAAGCATGAACAACTATATGAAAAGATGTTCATCATTATTAATTATAAAGGAAATGCAAATCAGAACTACAATAAGATAACACTTCACATCTCAAGCTATTATTAAAAAATCAAAAGATAGCAGGTGTTGGTGAGAATGCAGAGAAATTGAAACCCTTGTTCCCCATTGGTGGGAATGCAAATTGATGCAAACTTTCTGGAAAACAGTATGCATGTTGCTTTAAAAATAAAAAATAAAACTATCATATAATCGAGGAATATTACTTCTGGATGTATATCGAAGAGAATTAAGATCAGAAATTTGAAGCAATATCTGCACTCTCATGTTCATTGCAGCATTATTCCCAATAGCCAAAATTGGAAACAGCCCAGTGTCCATTGGCAAATAAATAGATAAATAAAATATGGTATATATATACATATATGTAATGCAATATTACTTGGCCTTGAAAGAGTAAGAAATTCTGCCAATTGCTACAGCATGGTTGAAACTGGAGGACATTATGCTAAGTGAAATAAGCCAGTCACAGAAAGAAAAATATTGTGTGATTCTACTTACATATTTGTAATGCTCAGACTAACAGAAACAGAATAAAATGGTGATTGCCGGGGCTAGGTATTAAAGAAACAGGGAGTTGTTCAATGTGTATGCTTCAGTTATAGTAGATGATTGAGTTCTAGAGGTATGCTGTACAATATGGTACATATAGTTAATAATATTGTATACTTCAAAGTTAAAGAGTAGATTTCATATTAACATTTTAAACCTACACATATCTAAACACAAACACACAAAATACAAATGAATCAAACATTTATTGTCTTGATTGTGGTGATGATATCACAGGTGTTTGTACATGTTGAAACTCACCAAATGTGCACAGTAAATATGTACAGCTCTTTGTATATCAATTATGCCTCAATAAAGCTGTGCAGAAAAGAGCATACATTATTCTCTTGATAGATGGAATGTTTTATAAATATCAGTTTTTAAGTTGTTTCGTGGTGCTGTTGAAGTGTTTTTATACATGTTAAAATGAAAACCTATACAACATATGAATATACACGTTCCAAAAAATTTGTACAAGAAATATCATAGTAATTTTATTTATATGCCAAAACCTGAAAAAAACACAAATGTCTATCACCAGAAAGGTGTACAATAAGTTTTGATATATTCATACAATGAAATATGGCTCAGCTATAAAAATTAAAAACTATATCTGATACATTTAACTGTATAAATTAGCTTCAAAAACATTGTGTTGAACAAGGAAAGCCATATGCAAGAGTGCACGCAATATTATAACATTTACATGAAAATTCTGGAACAGATACCCCTAATATATTGTGATAGAAATTATAGATGATTGCCTGCTTGGGGGGGAATGACTGAAATGGGACACAGGGATTTTTTCATTGGTGATGGAAAAGTAGTACATAATACTACTGGTATTAGTTTATGAGAAGTACAGAAGTACATATTTATCAAACTTCATCAAAATGTACAATTAAGATCTGTGTATATCACTATATATACCTTATTTCCATATACCATACAATTAAATATAATATTGCTTGCTGTCATATAAAATTTGTGAAAATTTCCCCCAGTGTCTATTGAACACCCATAGTGATCTGAATTTAAATTTTCATATGCTAACATTTTACATGTAAGAATTTAAATTAGATGGTGAGATCCATAAAGTTAGAAGTAAAGAGAACAAACATAAAAAGTGGAATTAGAGAACAAAAAATATTTACCTGTTTACTTTTCTGGGAATACAATTTTAAAGGAAAACAGTTCTTTTGAGTGTACATTTATGACAATAGCAGTCTCCCATACTGTGTTGTATTCCATAGGTAGTGTTGAGTGAAAGAGCTGTTTTATCTCATTCTAACATATTACTTATAGATTGTCATATTTTAAATGATTATTACGGTAAGTCTCTTTTTGTCAAAAAGGAGGTGAGTTTGAGAAGAATACTTTCTATTAGTGTGGTTGGCAGACCTCCTAGGTTACTGATATTATCAGTACTTTGAATTTTGACTTCACACTGCATGTCATGGTGAGTTAACTAGCAGATTGCTTGATTTTATCTAATAGGAAGAATAACAGGCATATCAACATTTTTCAGGTATTAGACACAAGGATATAATTCCATGAGCCACCTGAGGATAACACTCAAGGTGGATAAATAAATAATGCAGTCTCAATTATTGAAGAAACATGACATAAAATTTAAGAGGAGAAAATCAAATTTCTCACAAACTAATAAGTCAATATATAAATATCATAGCAATGTCAAAAAACATGTATTTGTCACCTATTCCATTCATTCTGACAACACAGGAAGTTTTAAAAATGTATGAAGATTCATTCCTGCACTCAACGCATTTCTTTTCCCCTATGTCATTATGTACCCTAGGTGTGGCATTAGGTCTCATTACAAAAAAGAGCTTTAATATGAGTCAGTATATAAAATGCTGCAGATGTGAAAAATCAAATGCTATGTGGCATGAGAAAGGAAGATAGAACATTTTCCTCTTTGCTGATGAGGGTAGATTTTACAGAGTTGGTAAAATGCCAGCTTCTCCTTCAAGTAGGGCTACTCTTCAGCCAGGACACACCCACAAGTCCCTACCCAATGTCAAAATGGTGAATTGTTATATTTGCCAAATAGCCACTGTCCCAAGCCTTCATATAACATCCTTCTCCTGCCACCCAGATACCCTAGGTTAACCTCTGAGACTCGAAAATTTCCCAGCATTTATAAACAAAATGATCAATGCCTGGAAAGCATGTATTCTAGGACTCTGTTCCAGTGCTCTGGCCTTTGTCTATTTGTATTAGAACATACCTTTGAAGCAGCATTTGTCGGATGCTTTGGATATATTACTTCTGCCTTTAAAGACGTACATTAATCCAAGTAAGTGAGAATAATAGGACTCCAAGCAGAAAGCATAAGACGGCTAAAAGCATGTGTGCTATTCTATATTGGGAAGAGACTGTAAGTGGAAATACTCATGGATTATCCATGTTGAGGCAAATTTATTTCATAGCAGAGAAGAACTACGATGATAGTGATGCTACAAGAAGTACACTCTTATGAAAGCACAATAATTTATTGAAAAATGATAAGAAGCAAAATGACGTAATTTGCTGATGTTTCCAAAAGAATTACGTTGAAACTCATATTGTGTTAGACTTATATTTAAGTAACTCATATTTTTGGAGCTACTGTAAATTGTACTTAAAATATTCAATTTTTAATTGTTTATTGCTAGTATATAGAAAAACAATTGATTATGGATTATTGATCTTATATACTGTAATTTTGCTTAAGACATTATTTCTAGGAAGATTTATTTCTATTGATTCCTTGGGGTTTTCTACATAGACATTCATGTGGTCTGTATATAGAGTTTTGTTTCTTTCTTTACAAGCTGTCTGCCTTTTACGTCTATTGTCTTATTGCACCAAATATGACTTTCACTTGATTCTTCTTTCAGCTCAAATCCACTGCTTATTCTGCTATATGGAAGATGTAGTTCTATACGGCTATATCATTCACAAGCCTCATAGCCTGAGATACCCCTAAGCCTTGTAACTCTTATTAATGGTTCAATGATATGCACTTCAGGATTGGGATATTTACTTCTAGGATAATAATCAATTTTCTTCAAGCTCTAATGAGTCAGATATCAGCTCTTAACTATCCTATTTTTCTTCCATATTTCCTAATATTTAATAAATATTGTCAATGCTTTTAGAGCAAAGCTGTTGTCTTGATTTAAAAGTAGAATCTTTTTTCTGTTTTTTATTCCTTGTGTTGTTTTGCATAGGTATTAAATAAAGGAGGTGAAATAAAAAATGTCTTTAGTCTGCCATGTTTAATTTACAGTAAAATATCTCTATTCCAGGATTACTTTAAATATTATATATAAGTGGATTCATTTTCATGTCCTTGCAAATAAATTAGCTTTTTTTAATTGAAAAGATAAGAGTTTTATCTATACCTACCCTCACGGTCAAGTAAATGTGTTAAAGAGTATTATAACATCCATTATGTAAATGAAATAAACCCATTTTTCTGCATTTCTGAATTGCAATTTGTAAATATCAAATTATTAAAACATAAACTTTTTAAAAATAGCAGATAAGAGTGTGATATTAAAAGGATACAAGACTTAATTTAAATAAGATGGCCAAAGATCTGTCTGAAGATGTATCAACTAGCCATGGGATGGTTTCAGAAAGAGAAAACAGCCTGTTGTACTATCGAACATTATATTTTATTTATTCTAACTATATTTTTGTACCTATTAACCATTTCTCCTATATAGTTATGTTTCTAAACAAATGATAAATCCTTGAGATGATGGATACCCTAGTTACCCTGATTTGATCATTACATATTGTATGCCTATATCAAAACATCACATGCACCCATAAATATGTATAAATAATATATATCCATAACAATTATTAAAAATTAAAATAAGGATTGAAAAGAGAAAACAGTTGCATGTGCAAAGTCCTTGAGGCAAGAAGAGCTTTGCAATTCTAGAAAACTGAAAGAACAATATGACAATAGTATTGTAATTGAAAAAGCAAAATCTGCAAGAAATGATGAACAGGCAACATCAAGCCAGACTTGAAGGTCATAACTAAATTTAAAAAAATAGATAGGCATCCTCATACTTGTTTACGTTTTTATTGTGAAGAAATTCACATAAATAGAATGCTCAAATATATATATATAATATATATATATGTCCCATATACCAGTCAGCTTCAATAACTATCAACATTTTGCATCTTTGTGTAATCTCTGACTCCATTCACTCCCTTTGCTCATTCAATTAATTTAGATTAAAATGTATAAAATATTTAGATGTTTACTATATCTTTGAAAAAGTATGTATCCATGTTACACAGACCCCTTTAATAAATAAAATATTAACATCACCTCATAAATTCTCTCCTGCCTTGCTCTTGCTGGGTCCATGTCCCACCCTACACACATAAACATATACACAAAGGCAAATTTTGTTATAATTTTTTCACCATACAGTAGTTTTGCTCATTCCAGGATATCATATCAATGTAATCACACATATGCCATTTTTTGGCATTGTTCACTATCAATAACGCTTTTGAGATTTATTCCTGTTGTTGTGTATCTCAGAAGGTAATTATTTTCTATTTCCAGGGTAGCACCCTATTGTATGAGTGTACCAGAGTTTATTTATCCACTTTCTATTGGTACAATTTTAGATTTTTCCAACTTTGCATTATAAATAAAGTTGCTGTAATTAGTATTTTGCAAGTCTTGTTATGAACATATGTTTTAAACTTTATTATCATAAAATGCTTAGAAATGCAATTGCCAGTTCTCAGGGTTTAAGTATATTTAACTTTATAAGAAACTGTTAGAAAATATTCCAAAATGGATAGGCTGTTTTATACTCTCCCTGGAAAAGTAAAAGAGTTCCAGTTGCTTCACTTGCCAAATTTCGTGTAGTAAGACTTTTAATTTTAGCAACTCTACTGGGTGTTTATAATTTTAGAAACTCTTCTGGGTCTTAGTTCATTTTGCTTTTACTTTTTACTTCCCTGATGACTAAAGATGATACTTACTATTTTTCATATGCTTATTAAACATTTGTATATCATTCTTTCTGCAATATCTATACAAGTCATTTGGCTTTTTAACTTGGTTGTCTTTTTTAATATTGAGATGTAGAAGTTATTTATATATTCTGTATGCAAGTCTTTTGTCAGGTATATGTATAATATCTATATTTTCCCTGACTATGGCTTGTCTATATTAACTGTTGTAAGGTATCTTTGAATAGGTAGTAGGTTTTCATTGTGATGTAATCTATTATTTTTATTTTGTATTTATTGTTTATTTTGTTTTCTTTAGAAAATTTTTGCCTATTCACAGTTGTAAAGACTTAAACTTACATCTATATAGTTTTAATTTATACAGTTACATCAATAATCCATCACAAATTAATTAGTGTTTATAGGGTGGCATTTATTAATATGTCCAATATTGTCCATATGGATATCCAGTTGAATCTGCATCATTTGTTGAAAAGACTACATTGTCTCATTGAATTGTGTCTCCTTAATTGAAAATCACCCGATAATGTATTTGTGGTTCTATTTCTACATTATGTTCACATTGATCTATTTTTCTATCCTTATTTCAATACCATACTCTAAGAATTATTGTAGATTTTTTGTGTAACTTGAATTGAGGAAGTATAAGTTCTATAAGAGATCCTCCCATAAAATAGCTTTAAAATCTCAATTGAAAAAACAGCAAACAAAGGCAATGGAGAATGAAAAATATATATATATTTCAGACCAAAGTTGACCGCTGAAAAAGAGACCACCACACAATGTCACCTATTTTATGGCTTTCAGTCTGAGAATAGATCAAGTAGGCACCACATGGTTGGGCTAAAAGTCTGATAAAAAACTTCCAGTCTTTATGGACTGAAAAACGAGAAAATAAAAGTTAGAATAACCACGGTTGCTAAAAATGAACAAGAAATCCTGGAAAGAACACATCTCGAGTGGAGGAGTTCAAACTGTGTGAATAATATTTGCTCAAATTTCTTGCTAACACTTGAACCATAAATCTGTAAGGGCAGAATGAAGGCAGTGCAACTGAAGAGTAAACAAATCAACTTATATTTGGTTTGCCAGTTGAGACACAGAGTTTCCAATTAGAATATAAACACATTAATTGCACAAAATATGAAAACATCAAAATTCTTCGGGTTGTGTAACATAATCCAACACTTCTGTAAAATATTATTCACAATTTCAAGACATAATTCACAATCACATAACATTCAAAAAGTAGGAAAATGTAATCTAGTCTCCACGGAAAAGATGATTTATGAAGACCAATCCCATGATGAACCATTTATTAGAATATGCAGACAAGTATTTTATATCATCTACTATTTGTTCAAAGAAGTAGATAAAATATGTTTTCAATAAAGTAAATAAAAGAAAATTTCAACCAACAAATAAAAACTAAAAATACTGAATGGTAATTTTAGAACTAAAAATTAAGTATCTAAAATAAAGTCCCTTGAGATCTTAAATACTAAATGCAAATAATACAAAGTTTTTCATTGAACATGAAGATAGATCCATTGAAACTGAAGAGAGGAGAGAAATACGATTGACAAAAAATGAACAGAGCCTGAGGGATCTGTGGAACAATATTAGACAAATTATGACATGTAATTCAAGTCAAAGAAGAAAAGAAGATAAAGAATGAAGTAAACAAAAGCAATTGATGATATGATGGTAAAAATCCTTCCAAACTTAAGAAATGACATTAGCTTTTAGATTTAAAAGGCTCAGTAAATCCTGAAAAGTAGGGTAAATATAAAGAGAAACATGGTTAGGAACATCAATAAAAGGCTGAAAACCAAAGAGTAAAATAAAACCTTGAAAGCAAATAAAAACCACATCAAGTTACATAAAAGAAAACACCAATTTACATGATTGCTTACTTACCAACTAGTAACTATGGAAGTTAAAAAGTAATAGGAAAGAGGTTTACAGAAAAATATTGCCTAGACAGTATTAATATATACGACAAAAGTGTTCTTCAAGAATGGAGGCAAATACACACATCTTCAGATAGGTGAAACTAAAAAGTTCACCACCAGAAAACCTGCATTATAAGTGTGGGTATATATATATATTTTTTTCTCTGTATGTTTATATAGGAGAATGTAAAAGAGAAATTGTCAGTTTATTATATATGTAGACATAGTATTTATAATGTAACTCCCATAAATAGATGTAATATATGTATATGTAGCATATGTATATATGATACATGTGATATTTATAACATTAAATACAGGAATATTAAATAGACCTAAAATTGCAAAGTTTCTTCATCATATAGGACCTAGAACAACATTAACTTTAAATAGAGTGTGAAGTTTAAAAATTGATATTTTAATACCTCAAGCAATTAAAAATAATCCAAGGGGTAGAACTAAAAAGCCCATAGAGAAATTAAAATGGAATTCTAAAATTTATTCCAATGATACTAAAAAAGACAGAAGAAGGACAAAGAAACAGAAGACAGAGGGTCTAGCCAAAAACAAAAAATAAAATACATCTAAATTTAACAATTAAAAAATTGCATTAAATGTTAGTGGACAAAAAGTTCATAAATTTTACAAATGAACTTAACAATTTCTGTGTTTAAAAAGACTGCTGAAATAATGATTGAGGTTTTGTTAAATCTTGATCAATGTGTATTTTAACAATGTTGATTCATCTAATGAATGTAAATGAACATGGTATATTACACTATATTTTCTTTAAATTCTCTCATTTTTAGTGTTCAATATAAAAGTCTTTTCTCAATTATATTATGACTTTTGGTGACATTGTAAATGAAGTTCCATTTTAACTTTATTTTTAAGTTGTTTGTTACTGCTCTATAGAAATACTTATTTTTTTTTTTTTTTACATATTTACCTTGTACTCTGAGACAATATAAATTCACATAATAGTTTTGGTAGATTTTAATGTTAATCTCTTAGGATTTCTATATAAATAAACATATCATTTAAGAATGAGGACAGAGGTTTTTTCTACTATTTTCTCAAATCCTTGTGTCAGTTATTTCCTTTTCTTTCCTTGTTGCAATGCTTAGAAGTTCCAATACAATTTTCAGTAAAAGTGCCAAAGGCAGACATTCATAAGGAGTTTCTGATCTGGGTAGGAAAATGTTCATCCTCTCATCATTAGGTTGATATTCATTATTGTATTTGTTATTGCTATTTGTTTCAGGTGCCCTTAATAATACTGAGGCCAGGTCCTTTATTTCCAGTTTCTCAAGAGTTTTTAATCATGGCTTGGTTTTCCATTTTGTCAAGGGCATTTTTAGCAAGGTTTGAGGTGATGAAATTTTGTCGTGGTTGTTTTATTTAGTTTGTTATTTTAGTCTGTTGGGTGTTAAAATACAGTCATGGCTCTCTCATACAGTCTGTTAATATTATGAACTACATCAATTGACTTTCAAATGTTGAACCAACTTTAGATTCCTGAGGTAAATCACACTTTTACTTTCTACTATGATTTTAATACAGTAATCTAGTGCATTTGTCATTCTCCAGTGCCTTAAAAATGTTGTATTTTATCTATTTATCCACCATTTAATATTATTATCAGATAAAAGGGTTAGTCTAACCAATCTATTCAGTGACTAGATTCAAAACCGTGAGTAGACTTTGTGTGAAACTCAGTGAAAAACCATTGAAGTATCACTTTCAATAGTGATGCCATGTTATTTCAGACCAATATCAGCTTTGCTAAGATAGGAAAACAAGTCCTTAACTTAAAAAAACTTATGTTTGAATAGATTTTTTAAATAATATTCAATCATTAACAACAGGTCTTTAAACCTCAAAATAGCAAAATACTATTTTGCAAAAATAAAACAATATTCGCATGCCGTCAGTTTTATTTAATTATTTAAGTTACAAATATATATCAATTAAAATGTGTTATCTTATCAAACTGAAATAAAGTGGACATCTCACTTCTTACTATTTTTAATTCTTGTGTTCTATTTGGGGTTCTTAACATATTAATTGTATTCTACTTATAAAAGACCTTGCATATATTTGGTGAGCTATACTAATACTGTTCTTCACTGACGGCAATTTTTACATACATGAATCACCAGAAAATATTTATTTTAGTTATAATTTTCAGTCTTTACTTTTAAATGTCTCAATCTCTAAAGAAGAAGAAACAAACTCTCTAATTGTAACTCTAAAATCCCAAAATCTCACAGAAAAAGAAACATGATTTTCAATCAGTTTTTACTGCCTTTAGGGCACACTCTAATATGGTTATATAAGATTAGATGTTATTTTTCTCAGATGTCACAGATTTAGGAGTTCAGGTAATCCTTATTTTGAGTAGTATAGTAAATTTTAAATACGTGAAGTATGATTAAGAATGGGATATGATATTTAAAAGTTCAAATACATTATACAATAAGTGTAGTTCTTGTAAAACATGTCTATTGCTAACATCTGTTATCACACAATTCTTCCTTATCCAAAATATACCACATATTAGAAACCATTTCAAATTACAGTATTATAGTACCATTATTTCCTGTCCATTAAAATTCATTACAAATACATGTAAAGAAAAGGACAGTTTTTAACAAATAGTGTTGGGAAAACTGAATATCCATGTGCAAAACAATGATGTTGGGCCATTACCTTACAACATATACAAAAATATTTAACTCAAAAATAAATTAAACCTAAATGCAAAATTTAAAACTATAAAAATGTTACAGAAAACATAGGCAAAAAAATCTTTATGATGTTGGATTTGGCAATGATTTCTTAAATATGACACCAACAGCACAGGCAACAAAAGAAAAAGTAGACACATGGAACTACATCAAATTTAAATATTTGTGCATGAAAGGACACTGTCAACTCAGTGAAGAAGAAACCCACAGATTAGGAGAACATATTTGTAAATCATATACCTTACAAGGGATCAAAACTCAAGTTATAAAAAGAACCTCCTACAACTCAATAACACAAAACAAACAACCTGATTTTAAAAATGGGCAAAGGACATGAACAGCCAATTCTGCTGGCTCACGCCTGTAATCTCAACACTTTAGGAGGCCGAGGCAGGCAGATCCTGAGGTCAGCAGTTGGGGAGCAGCCTGGCTGACATGGTGAAACCCCATCTCTACTAAAAATACAAAAATTACCCAGGTGTGAGAGCAGGTGCCTGTAATCTCAAGCCTGAGGCGGGAGAATCGTTTGAACCCAGGAGACAGAGGTTGCAGTGAGCAGAGATCACATCACCGCACTCCAGCCTGGGTGACAGAGCAAGACTCCGTCTTGAAAAACAAAAAAAATTGTCATTAAGTAAATGAAAGACTTTCAACATCACTAATCATGAGGAAAATAAAAATCAAAACCATTAAATTTTAGTTCACATCCTTTAGGATATTTTTTGATAGACTATTATAAAAAATAAATGCATAAACACACAATTGCTGCCAATTATTTATTTCTTGTTCATTTACATTCTCCCTTATTCGTTGTTGGTGAGAATGTAAAATTGGGCAGCTTCTCTGGGCAACAACAGTTTCTCAAAAATTAAAAATATATATTCCACATGATTCTGCGATTCCACTTCTGGGCATATACCCAAAAGAATGGAAAACAGAGGCTCAAACAGATTATTTGTTTATGGCAGCATTAATCACAATGGCCCAAAGGTGGGAGGAACCCAAGTGTTCCTAGATATGTGAGTGGATAAACAACATAAGATATATGCATGCAATGGAATATTACTCAGCCATTAAAAGAGAGGACATTTTGACACGTGATACAACATGGATGAACTTTGAAAACATTATACTGCCAGCAAAATAAAGAGAACACAGCGTTTAACACAAGCTAGTCACAAAGGGACAAATACTACATGACTTTAACTATATGAGGTTCTGAGAATAGACAAAGTTGTATGGATAAAAAGTAGAATGCAGGTTGCCAGGGACAGTGAGTGTGGGGAATGAGGAAATAGGGAATTATTATTTAATGGGTTTGGAGTTTCAATTTGGGAATATGGAAAGTATTTTAGAGATGGATGTGGTGATCATTGTATAATAACATAAATATACATAATACCAGTAAACTGTGCACTTAGAAACATTTAAAATGCTTTCATGTTACATATATTTTATCACAGTAAAAAAAGATAGAGAAATATTAACTGAGGAAAACTCTAGGTATCATTCAGACCCCAGCATTTGTTTTGAACTTTTCCTCACAAAATAAAAAGAGATTTAAGTCAGCATGATTTTTATATTTAGATATAAAAATCAAGGATGGCAATTGTGAGAGGGTCAATACCCAGAAAATCTGACCAGGATTACATTTTTACTAAATCTTATGAGCCAACAAGTTTATATTTTTTCCGTCCTTGTTATAAAAAAAAAAAAAAAAAAACAAGTTCAGATTCTATTGGATTTTTACAATAAGAAATTCTATCTTTAAGGTCCATTACCTTCACCCCCTTTTTATGTTTTTTTCTAGGAATCCCCAGGTGATTCATACATTTCCACAAACCCAGAGTCAGCCAGTCTTCTAATTCTATTCTTTACTATCAAGTTAACAGACACCTTCCTTCAGAGGTTGCTGCCATTATCATCAGGAATAAATTACCACCCTGGCAAGCTTTAGTTCTGTTCTTACACTGATATAGAAACTAAATTGTGACTTCATATAAGTAAGGTGCATAGGACTTTACAAATAATGCAGTGACTTTACACAGGACTTTACCAAATATTTTATGATGATGGAAGGGAACAGAAGGACAATAAAGCCATTTTACTGGCTAGATATGGCAACTTTTTTTTTTTTTTTTTTTTTTTTTTTGGAGACGGAGTCTCACTCTGTCACCCCGGCTGGAGTGCAGTGGCGCGATATGGGCTCACTGCAACCTCTGCTTCCTGGGTTCAAGTGATCCTCTGGAGTAGCTGGGATTACAGGTGTCTGCCACCACACCCGGCTAATTTTTGTATTTTTAGTAGAGACAGGGTTTCACCATGTTGGCCAGGCTGGTCTTGAACTCCTGACTTCAGGTGATCCACCCGCCTCCACCTCTGCCACTTTCAGAATCTGTCTTCAGGCCTCCAGATAAGGACCAGATTATCTCATTTTGCTCTCTTATACAAACATACACACTTGGATATTCCAATAATCTCCATGCCACGGAGCCCCCATCAAACTGCTGAAAGACTTCAGGGAAAGAATAATAAGATGTAAAGCAATCAATTTTATATAGAGCTATGCTAAGAAAATGAATAGCTTAGTTCCCAATAACTGTACCATTTGAAGCTCATAAGCACACTAAGGACAGCAACACTAATAGAATAAATTTTTTCATAATCTTCTCCACATGTAAATTTCAATCATTGTATTTCAGTACTATATAATAAGTATCTTAAAAAGTAATAGGTATTTATGAGGGGAGGGGAGCAGAAACAAGCAGAAGAAAGTTTTTAGATATAAACAATAGCAGAAGAGACCCAATTAAGGCAGAGTGGCCATAGACAGCATCTCTGAGAAGAGGCCGTACCACCCTCAACCCGATTCCTTTCCAAAGCCGCTCCTTCGATTGAAGAAAAGCCTATACAGTTATTTGTCACTTCTCACCATTTGTAATTAATATCTTCTAAATAATAAATCCTGTACAAAGAAAAATTTAAGCCCTCATCCTTTATAATGAAAAACATTGACTAAAATTTTTAAATATAAATTTTTCTAGTTTCTACTCAAGAAAGTTTTCTAAAATCTTGAGGTTCCATGTTACTTCCAATGTTATTTTATTGCACATTTTATTTAACAACTGATGAACAGTGAGCTCATTCATCTAGGTATTTGGGGGTTCTCTCTCACCAAAACATTAATCAAACAAAATATAATTTGCTTGAATATCTGAATAGGCAAACTGATGTTCTCTATGTTCAACCAGCAAATATATTACACAAGCCAAGCAAGTAAAGCAATAATTTCAATTGATTTTATTGGTACATTTGGGAGAGAGAGAAAATATAGCTGGCAGTGAAAGATTATACTATCAATTTTAGACTTTTCAGAACATGTGGTATTTATGTCTGAAAAGTAGCTACAGACATATCAAGTAGCATTTGTGCAAATATGGAGTCATTTATAGGCAATTACAGTAAAGGAACTCTGGCCAAGTTGCTTAATAGAGTACTCTGAATTTTATTTTTTATATGTCATCATCAAAATGCAAGTCCTAAGTGATCACCAACATGTCATCATTGTTATTGTAGCTGCTGTTGTCCTTATGGCTTAGGGCCTCCAGGTTGGTTCTACAAAGCTAATTAAACAGATCTTATTCTAGAAATGATGTGTGATTGGATTTCTCACTGCCACCATCTCCTTGTCCCCATCCTCATAGAAAACATGCTTTCATGAAACACATTTTTTCAGCTTAAAAAATTAAGGGAAGAATAATATTTTATATAATTGGAGAAAATCAAGCCTAGAAAATAATCAAATTCACATTTGAAATTCCCTTTGGCTTTCTGAGGCTAGGTCCTTGTACATGGTTCACAATTTCCATCAATTTAAATTTATTATTTTATTTGATTACTCATACTCAAGGAACTGTATTGTTTGTTACATTCCTCAACAATGTCTGGCAACTAGATATTTATCTTCCCAAAATATATAGTAGAAACATAAATATTTCATTTGAAATTTAGAAATAATTTTGTATTTTTAAGTTGGTATAAATATTAATGCCATAATGTAAACATACTTTAAAAGATTATGATTTGTATGCTTATAATCATATATTTGTTCCATTTTATTACATAAAATAATTTAATTTTTTCACACGGAATTACCAAAGAATAATGGTAATGGAGAAAGACCTACTCCTGGAAATGAATGCATAATACTGATAAATATAAAGTGATGGTGAACTTAATGAATCTTTATAAACGTAAAGAATATTGAAGAGAAAATGAACTTGACTGCTGTATGTCTGTCACTGATAAAGCCTGAGAAATAAAGCAGACAAAAGAAAAAGCCAAAAAAAGAAAATATCTATTTTTTCAAGCCAGATATATGTACAGACATTGTTGGGTTTATCAGAGTCATATTTGTTTTATTTCTTAGATTTGGTTGTCCAAGTCCAATCATATATTAACTAGTCATAAAATGATTGATATGAGGCTGAATTTAAATCAGCAATGAAATTCTTCATTCATGACAGTCATGACTGTCACTTTTCACTGACCAAAGGTCTCATAGTAAAAATATTTTTGGAAGGGACATTTTCTGCCCTCTCACTAGCAAAATAACATTGATAAGCTGACATTAGTTCACAGGTCTTAGATGATCAGAAAAATGCCTTATCCAAATGTTTTTCAAGTGTTTTCTAATGTAAAGTCATAATTATCCTGGAATTGATTGAATATGTTTTAAATCAATAAGCTAACTAAGTGAGAATATTCATTCCTGAGTGTGTTCTTACCATGATACTTAATCATACTAAGGCTAATCAGTACCATCAGCCACTCATTCCACTTCTTTTTTTAAAGCACTGTACATGGGGTTGGCATTGTGCTAAGATCAAAGTAAATCAACCAAGTTGATTTTATTTGTTTATTTGTTTTCTCTCAAAGAGCTTACAGTCTGTTGGTACAGATAAGTAGGTGAAAGCAAAAAGTTATCGTAATATAGTGTATTCAGCACTATGTACAAACACAGTAGAAGAGCCTACGTTTGAAAGGAATGACACATTTTGCCAGGCAATGAGACACCATTGCTCAGTTTTGGAAGAAAAAAATGAATTAGCTAAGAAACAATACAGAGCATATACAGGACATAGAGACAGCATTAAGATAAAAATGAACTACTTTGGGGAGTGGTAAAGTTATATTGAGGCTGATACGTAGAGTTTAAGAAACAGAATGCTGGCTAGAGAGGTAGGCAGGGGCCATATCATGGAGGAATGTATGCACCAGGGTGAAGGCTTAAAGTTTGTCCCGGAGGCTAGTGTGAGTAGGGCTAACAGGATTCTTTAAACTACAAGATATATGTTTTTACCGAAAAATGTTTCTAGTGGCCCAGCACAGGGTTCAACACGGCACTTTAGTTGCCCTCATTACCTTTACCTTTTCCATATTCTGATAAAATATTTCTTTAAAAAATGGTGAAGTAGAAAATTTATCTTGATATTAGAGACTGTGCAAGAGAGGCTTACAACTACCAGAATTTAAAAAATAATTTCTATAACATTTGACAAACAAGTTAAAGAAAAGACATACTAAAATCATTCAGAAAAATGTGAAATAGTTTTACATATGACTGGTGAAGGTTTATCCAAATAATGCAACAATAGTTCTTAATGTATCACATGTAATTCACCTTTGCAACAGATTATGAAGTAGAACCATATAAGCATCTTATGAGAAAACTTAATCCTTTCTTCCTAGGGTCAGGAAAAAGGCAAAAAACTCTCTTTCACTTATTCTACTTGATTGGGTAATGGAAGTCTTAGTGCAAAAATTTAAGACAAGGAAATAAAAAATATTGTATTGCTAGAATCTATAATTGTCTACATAGAAATCCAAAATAGTCCACACAAAAACGCCACTGGAACTAATAAGTGCATTTAGGTTATTATCAGAATACAAATTCAATGTACAAAAATAATTTTAATAAATAATTCAAAACTAAAACTGAAATAAACAAGAAACAGCAAAAACAAAAACAACAATTAAACAAGCATCAGCCAGGCAAGGTGGCTCACACTTGTAATTCCCGCACTTTGGGACACCAAGGCAGGAGGATTACTTGAGGCCAGGAGTTTGAGACCAGCCTGGGCAGCATAGTGAGACTCTGTCTCCACAAAAATAACATATGTATATATTTATTTATTTGTTTATTTATTTTGAGAGGGAGTCTTGCCGTGTTGCCCAGGCTGGAGTGCAGTGGCGCCATCTCAGCTCACTGCAACCTCTACCTCCGAGGTTCAAGCATCTCTCTGCCTCAGCCTCCCCAGTAGCTGGATTACAGGTACCCGCCACCACACCCAGCTAATTTTTGTGTTTTTAGTAGAGATGGGGTTCCACCATCTTGGCAAGGCTGGTTTTGAACTCCTGACCTCGTGATTCACCCGCCTCAGCCTCCCAAAGTGCTGGGATTACAGGCGTGAGACACTGCATCTGTCCTTTTTTTTTTTTTTTTCACGGAGTGTAGCTCTGTCGCCCAGGCTAGAGTGCAGTGGCATGATCTCGGCTCACTGCAACTTCTGCCCCCCGGGTTCATGCTTTTCTCCCACCTCAGCCTCCAGAGTAGTTGGGATTACAGGCACCCACCATTATGCCCGGCTATTTTGCATTTTTATAGAGACATGGTTTTACCATGTTGTCCAGGCTGGTCTTGAACTCCTGACCTCAGGTGATCCGCCTGCTTCTGCCTCCCAAAGTGCCAGTATTACAGGTACGATCTACAAAAGTCGTTTTTAAACGATTAGCTTGCTGTGGTGGTGTGCACCTGTAGCTCTAGTTACTTAGGAGGCTGAGGCGGGAGGATCACTTGAGCAGTGAGCTGTGATCTCATGATCTCGCCATGTACTACCGTCTGGGCAACAGAGCAAGTCTCCATCTCTTAAAAAAATTATTATTTATATTGGCAACAAAACCCCTGAAATACCAGTATATACATATAACAAGATGTGTGGATTAGTGTTATGCTTAACAAACGTCAAAAAAGATGTTGAAAAATATACCGTTTTCACATAGTGTAGGCTTATATTGCTAAGATGTTAACTCTCCCAAAATTGATTTCTAGGTCAAATGGAATCCCAGTAATAACTGAATAACTGTTCAGTAAGTGGGCTCAAAAGCAGAATGGCAGTAACAGAGGAAAATATCTGTAAAATGGAACATGAAACAATAAATGTTTCCCAATCCCAAAACGGAATATAATGAAAGATCTAACTTCCATATCACTGGAGTTCTGGAAAGAGAGGAGAAAGAGAGAATGACTAGAAAAGTACTAAAAGACTAAGAACTGAAAGACTAAAAATTTACCAAATTTGACAAGAGACATACAACTATAGTTTCAAGAAGATGAGCAAACCCCAAACAAAATAAACCCAATGAAATCTATGCCAAGATATATCACACAGAATTACACTTCTAAAAACCAAAGACAAATACAAAAATATTTAAAGCAGCCAGAGAAAAATAACATCTTATCTGTCAGTAAAAAAATCAATTTGAATGACAGAAAATGTTTTATCCGAAACCAAGTAGGTCAGAAAGAAATGGCAAAATATTCTCCAAGTGCTAAAAGAAAAGGCATTGACCCTTTAAAATGAAAAAGTGCACTGCATTTGGGGTAAAAATAAACAAGCAAACAAATAAACAGATAAGGAATCCCTAGTGTATCTTACTAATTTTTTATTAGAATATAGTCAGCATGTATTTACCTATTTCTAATGCAGACAGGATTTCAATAGCCTAAAAACCAGCTTGCCTAAGACTTATGGTTTCCAGATTTCTGTGCTTCTTTGCCTGACATTTTATACATATTTAATCATTGCAATTTCATTTAGTTGGTATTTTTATTATATTATTGTGTTAATAGGTAAAATTAATATTTATAATTACATAATTCTGAGAGATGTCATAAAAACTGCAATTTTTTATTCCATTCCCATCTAGCTGTATTGTTGAGAAAAGAACTGTTCTTACTTTTAGTGACCTTTTACAATGCTATTTTAAGCTTTTAAATTAATAAGGCATAGGGTAATATGACCACATACTGGATAGCTTGTCTTTAGGCATTAAGAAATATGGCATACTTTTTCCTGTTTATTTTAAAATCTTCCACTTCTCTGGGTAAGTGAACACGATTATTTAAATGCTCAAGTGAGCAATTTTACACATGCAAAATGTAAATCCATGGAATAAACATATTCATTTATACTTTGTGATATGCAATTATTTTAAATACTATGGTTACTTTAAAGCATATATTAAAACCACACACGTCAGCTTATATAATAGCCATGAAAAGCAATTCATGACTAAAGGACATAAAGTTACATGAAATAAATAGAGCAGGAAGCTCTAACATACGGTGGAAGTTTAAGAGATCAATAACATTGATGGGAAGGTGGAAGGGAGACAAGAGACAAATTTCTTTCAAGCCTTTGTGTAGCATTGATATTGTATGTGCTTACGGTGTGCAAATAATAAGTTCCAGGCGGATTGCTGATAGAGGTGAGAAAAGATATTACATTTGCCTTCAATCACCATTTCCCACACCGGCAGCCCTTCACCATATATGAATGCCTGTGAGTATGGCTAAGTTTAGAGTATCTGTAACACTGCAAGTTGTTATTGTGATCTCCACGCAGCACTGAAAACATCTTCTTTCAATGCCTTTACTTCTACTTGATTTGTGTTTATTATATGTCTCTCATCTGTAAATAAATACTTAGGTTTCTTTATTCCTTGAGTTCTTTTTAAGTGGGGATGAGTTAACCATGTATATGCCAAACAAAACGTGCTTACTTTGTCAAATAGGTATTCGTACATCCATGCTTATTGTAGTCTTTGCACAATTGTCAAGAGATAGAAGCAACTCAAATGTCGGTGGAAAGATTAATGGATAAAGACAATGTAGTATATACATACAATGGGTTATTATGCATCCTTACAAAAAAAAAAGAATATCTCGTCACATGCTACAACATGAATGAAACTCAAGGATATTATGCAAAGTGAAATTAGTTACAAAAAGACAAATAGTTTTATCCCACTTGTATGAAGTGTAAAGTAGTCGAAATAATAGAAACAGAAAGTTAGAAAGGTGATTGCCAATGGCTGGAGGGGGTAGGGGATTAGTGTTTAATGGGTCCAGAGTTTCAAGATTAGAAAGTTCTAGAGATTTGTGCACAATGGGAATTTAATTAACGGACTGAAATGTACACTTAAAAATTGTTAAGATGGTAAATTTAATCTTGTATATTTTACCACAATAAAAAATAATTTCTGTAAGAGTAACAATGCTATGATTAATTTAATTGTTGCCAAATAGATTAGATTTTTCAGATTTATTATAGTATTCAATAACAATCGATATTGGAAGCCTTAATTCCTTACATGTATAGTGTATCTTGCTCTCAGCCTCAATTCTGATTTATATTTACTATAAGAATGGGGGGTTTCATTTCTGAAAACTCACATTTGGCATCTGGCCTAATTTATAAAACTTCTAATAATATGACTTAATGTTATTGCATTATGAGTTGCATTAAGGCAACTCCAGAAATATTGAGTCAATGCATTTCATTCAAAGTGAAATAAATGCTCTCAAAATAATAGGTACTGTTTGTTATATATGTTTGCATGCATATACAGCAAACTATATCTTAACTAAAATATTAAAAATCATTTAACTGAATTGTAAGAAATAATAACATTGATATGATGATAAAGAGTTTAGCCTCTAGCTTCCTTCCAAATCACTGTATACAATCTGAGAACACATAACTCCCCCAAATATAGATGTTGTCATTTAGAAAGTGGCATAAAAGAAGTACATGAAAATGAGCCAAATGCTCTTTATTCCAAGACAGCACTATCAGTTAGCTAGAGGCAGTATGTGACTTTGAAGAACATACTTTATAAAACACAGAGAGTCATATTTTAAAGAGTAATGTCTACAATACCTCTTAGTAAAGAGTTTGGTATAGGAAAATCTTAAATGTGATTTGCTGGACTAATGCTTGAATTTCAAGATATTGATAAGAGACAGTGTTAATAGTATTTTGCACACATGATTTCCTCCCCCTAATTTAGGTGAATATATTTTTCTCATTCAGAAATATTATTAAACATATATTTTTCTAATATATAATATATATATCCTGTGTTAAATACTATTTGTGTATCTAAAAAAAAAAGAAAAAGACTTCAAATTTTTAACTCTGAACTCTACATCTGTAAATGTAAAAGCCTAAAACAAATTTGTTAGGCCAAAACACAAAAGCAGGAGAATTTTTCAGCTTAGATGAGAGAAGCACACCTGGCTTCAGACATACATAGAATAAGGAGTTCAAATGATGTTTTTTTAAAGATTCTTGATTTCCGTCTCAGAGTTCTGCTTCCAACACTCTTTGCCTAATTTGGGTGGTTACTGCAATGACCCAATGGCAAGTTTAATATTCATCATCTCAGCCCTGAGAAACTAATGCTGAGCACTACCTAGGTCACGTGTTGTCTATCATTATATCAATTTCTATGTCCAGAGATACTGAATATCCTGATTAATTTGAATCTCATATCCATCCTTGCTATTCAAAGATTATCAGAGTGCTGCCCTGAGAAGTAAAAAGGAATTTTATTAACATAAGACAGAGGATGAGATGTTGGATAAAGTGGAAAAATACAGGGCCAAAAGGGCAGCTAAAATATGGCAAAAATATACATAAACACAAAACAAGACAACATGTTATATGACTTCAGGAGTGGCACAAGCATAAGTCAAGAATTCTCAGATATGAAAAAACATTTCAGAATGAGATAATAAAGAAAGAAATTAGGAGGTTTGTATTATTCTGGGTGTATCTTAAAAGACAATATTTCAATAGGCAAATATGGAAAGATAATTTTAAACAGAGTGAAGTACAAAACATGGTAAAGCACAGATGTGAGGGAAAGGTTTAGTTGTTTAGTTCATTGTTTTTAAGTAAGAGAGAAAGTGAAACATGTCAAAGCTATGTAACTTTCAGCCGAATGCATTTTAAAGGGCTGACTTCTGTTTTTACCCATGAGGGAGGAGAAGTTACTCCACCATTATACAGCAAAATGTGGGGCTTAATCAGGATTTCAAGTTTGGTTTAACATTTTTTAAAAATCAGTAAATATAATATACCATATTAATGAATTGATGAGGAGTTGCTTCTAATGGGTAAGCCAATAAGTGATATCTTAATATGGACTCTATTCCTGGTGAAGTTGCTGTGAACATTGTTGACATGACAATAAAGTATTTACAATACTCTGTATCCTTAGTTGGTAAAGAAGTGGCAGCAGGGTCCGAGAGGATTGACTCTAGTCTTTAAAGAGGTTCTAATGTGGATAAAGTGCTGTGAAACAGCATCACATGCTACAGAGAAATTATTTGTGGGAGGAAGAATCAATCAATGTGGCTAACTGCACCGTCAACTGATTTTAAGAAATCACCACAGCCTCCCCAATCTTTGGCAACAATCATTCTGATCAGCCAGTAGCCATCAACATCAGGGCAAGACCATCTAACAGCAAAAAGATTATAACTCACTGAAGGCTCAGATTATTGTTGGACCTTTTTAGCAGTAAAGTATTTTAAAAATTTAGGTATATAAATTTTTGGACATAATACTACTGCACACTTAATAGACAATAGTAGAGTGTAAGCATAACTTTTATATACCTAAAAAAACCAAATAATTCATGTAACTAATTTATTGCACTATTTGCTTGCTAGTGGTGGTCTGAAACCAAAATCCCAGTATCTGTGAGGTATGCTTACAGTTGTGAAAGTAGACAGAAGATTAGAAAGGATATGGAAAGTTTGAACAACACTGCCAACCAAATTAGTATTTACAAGACAATAAACTGAACACATGCAGAATATACATTTGTTTCCAGAGTAATTGATATTCAATAAAATATTTCATATACTGTGTCATAGAATGTCTCACTAATTTTTTTAAAAAATAAAATCTTTTGTAGATGTTGTACTCAAATGTAATTACATTTGAATTTGATAACAAAAAAATAAAAAGATCCCCAAATATTTTCAAATTAAGCTACACAATTCTAAAAATCCCATGATAAAAGATAAATCTCAAAAAAATTTTAAAATATTTTAACTAAATAAAAACAAAATAACAACATACCAATATTTGTACAAAACAGCTAAAATAGTGCTTACAGAGAATATTAGAGATTTAGAATGTCATAGAAAACAAAAATTTTTAATTGATGATCTAAGCTTCCTCTTAAGAAAGTAGAAAAAGATAGCAAAATAAATGCAAGAGGAAGTTAAGAACAGAAAACATTGAAAGAGAAAATGGTCAAACAATACATAAAATCAACAAAACCAGAAATGGTTTCTTTAAAAAGGTTTATATTATTGGAATAAAACTTAGCTACTTGGATACAGAAATTAAGAAGGAAAACACATGTTATCAGTTTCAAGACTGAAAGAGAATGGATCCCTCCAGATTCTAAAGCTAACAAAAGAAAAATAAAGGAATATTACGAGCAACATTTTGTCAATAATATTTAATAACATATAAAATTGGCACAATCCTTATAAATTATCAAACTTACATTGAAAGAAATAGAAAATTAGAATAGCCCTATATTTTTAAGAATATTAAATTTGTAGTTTAAAATCTTCCCACAAAGAAAAGTTGAGGCTAATATGGCTTCAGAGGGGAACTAAATTCAACATTTAAGGAAGAAAAAAATAACAATTTTACACAAACTCTTTCAGAAAATACAGATAGGGTTAATAATTTTTTGCTTTGTTTTGTTTTGTTTGGTTTTTTTTTGATATGAAGTCTCGCTCTGTCCCCCAGGCTGGAGTGCAGTGACATGATCTCGGCTCACTGCAAGCTCCACCTCCCGGATTCCTGCCATTCTCCTGCCTCAGCCTCCGGAGTAGCTGGGACTACAGGCGCCCGCCACCATGCCCGGCTAATTTTTTGTATTTTTAGTAGAGATGGGGTTTCACCATTTTAGCCAGGATGGTCTCGATCTCCTGACCTCGTGATCTGCCCACCTAGGCCTCCCAAAGAGCTGGGATTACAGGTGTGAGCCACCGCGCCTGGCCAACTACAGATAGGGTTAATACTTTAAAAATTATTTTATAGAGCCACATGACTCTGATACTGAAACAACACATAAATATTACAAGAAAAAAATGACCAAGAATATCTCTCATGAACATACAAAATTCCTTAAAATAATTTAGATAATTCAATCCAGCAACATATAAATAAGATAATATGTTATAAGCAAGTAGCATTTATCACAGGACTTAATGTTTGTTTTAATATGAGAAAATAAATCAATACTATTTGTTAAATTAAGAGAACTGAAGAAAAAAATCATAGGGCCATTTTAATAGAGGCAAAAAAAAAAAAGCATTTGAAAAAGCCTAACATTTATTTTGAGAAAAATTAGCCAAAAACTGGAAATAGGACATTTCCTTAATCCCCAAAAATGGTGAAATATAAAGAAACATACACTATAGGTAACATTTCATTCTAATATTGCCACATGACACTTTCCCCTGAGATTGGGAGCCAGGCAAAAATTCTGCTGTCATTACTTCTGTTTAACATTTCATTAGATGTCTTTGCAAGTACAATAAGGGAGAAAATATAAGGAAAAGACAAAATGATTGAAAAGGAAAATAAAGAACTGTCTTCATTTATAGACTCCGTGATTTCACACGTAGAAAATCTCGGCAATCTAAATGTCTACTTGAATTAATAAGTTTAAAATTGTGAGGTTGAAGAATAGAAAAAAAAATCTTTTGTTTCTCTATAACTAGCAAGGAATAATTACAAAATAAAACTTTTAAAATACCATTTACATTGCATCCAATTAATTAAATACATGAAGTATATTTGAGGAAAGATACGCTAGACACCTACCTAAAAATAGAAAACATTACTGAGAAAGATTAATAATGATCTTTAAAAATTTTAAAATAGCATGTCATTGTATTGAAATTGATTTAATATAAATTAAATCTCTGTATCCTTTTTCATAGAAATTGAGAAGGTCTTTATACAATTCATGTAGAAATATAAAACACTTTAAAAAGCCAAAATAGCTTCATAAAGAGTACAAAATCATAGTACTTATCCTGTGTGATTTCAAAACTTACCATGGATGTTGGCATAAGAGTGGACAATTTGATTGTTGGAATAGAACAGAGAGTCCAGGAATAGATCTAAGACATCAAAAGCAATTCAGTAGGGAAAGGAAAGGCTGTTTAACAAATGGTGCTGGAAAGCTGGATATCTGTATTTAAAAGAAAAAATCAAAGAAAACCTTTGATTCTTATCCCACATGTGTTCAAAAAATGACTTGATATGGATCATGGCCCTAAATATAAAGGAAAAATTGTGAGGCTTCTGGAATTAAACAAAGAAAAATATATTTGGGGGTTGAGGTGGGCAAAGAGATTTCAAATCAATGCAAGACATATTGGGAAAGTTACATATTAGAAGACATATACGCATTAATAAAGGACCTATTCGTAATAAATAAAAATCTCCTACTACATAATAATGGGAAGACAGCCCACTAAAAGTGAACAAAATATTTGCCCAGAATTTCAAAATAAAACTATATGAAAAGCCAGTTAGCACATAAAAGCATATTCAACATAATTAGTCATAAAAATATACAAAGTAAAAGCACAATCAGATACCACTACATTTCCAATAGAATAGCTAAACTGTAAGTCTGACAAAATTAAATATTCCACAACAGTTATGTTGTAGAATAACCAAGACTCTCATGCTCTGCTGTCAGGGATGTAAAATAATATAACAACTTTGGAATACTGTTTACCAGTTTCTTATTATTTTTTTATTTAACTTTAACTTCGGGGGAACAGATGCAGATTTGTTATATAGGTAAACTTGTGTCACGGGGGTTTGTTGTACAAATTATTTTGTCATTAGGATGGTGGCCCTCTTCTTACAGCTCCACTAGGCAGTGCCCCAGTAAGAACTCTGTCTGGGTGCTCCTACCCCACATTTTCCTTCTGCACCACCCTAGCAGAGAGGTTCTCAATGAGGGCCCTTCCCCTGCAGCAACTTCTGTATAGGCATCCAGGCATTTCCATACATCTTCTGAAATCTAGACAAAAGTTCTCAAATCCCAGTTCTTGACTTCTGTGCACTTGCAGGCTCAACACCATATGGAAGCTGCCAAGGCTTGGGGCTTGCACCCTCTGAAGCTACGGTCTGGAGCTCTACATTGGCCCCTTTCAGCCATGTCCAGAGTGGCTGGGATGCAAGGCACCAAGTCCCTTGGATGTGCACAGCACGCAGACCGTGGGCCTGGCCCATGAAACCACTTTTTCCACCTAGGCCTCCAGGTCTGTGATGGGAGAGGCTGGTTTGAAGACCTCTGACATGACCTGGAGACATTTTCCCCGTTGTCTTGGTGATTAACATGTGGCTCCTCCTTACTTACACAAATTTCTGCAGCTAGCTTGAATTTCTCCTCAGAAAATGGAATTTTCTTTTCCATTGTATTGTCAGGTTGCAAATTTTCCAAACTTTTATGCTCTGCTTACCTTATAAAACTGAATGCCTTTAACACCACCCAAGTCACCTCTTGAATGCTGTGGTGCTTATAAATTTCTTTGGTTAGATACCCTAAATCATCTCTCTCAAGTTGAAAGTTCCACAGGCCAGGTGCAGTGGCTCATGCCTGTAATCTCAGCACTTTGGGAGGCCAAGATGCATGGATCACCTGAGGTCAGGAGTTCGAGACCAGCCTGGCCAACATGGTGAATCCCTGTCTCTACAAAAAATATGAAAATTAGCTGGACATGTTGGTGTGCATCTGAAATCCCAGCGCTACTCAGGAGAGTGAGGCGAGAGAAGCACTTTAACCTGGGAAGCAGAGGCTGCAGTAAGCTGAGATTGCATCATTGCACTCCAGCCTGGGTGACAAGAGTGAGACGGAAAGAAAGAAAGAAGGAAAGAAAGAAAGAAAGAAAGAAAGAAAGAAAGAAAGAAAGAAAGAAAGAAAGAAAGAAAGAAAGAAAGAAAGAAAAAGAGAAAGAAATGAATTCCATAAATCTCTAGGGCAGGGGCAAGGGGCAAAATGCCTCCAGCCTCTTTGCTAAAACATGACGAGTCACCTCTGCTTCAGTTCCCAATAAGTTCCTCATCTCCATCTGAGACTACTTCAGTCTAGATTTCATGGTCCATATCATTAACAGCATTTTGGTCAAAGCCATTCAGCAAGTCTCTAGGAAACTCCAAACTTTCCCACATTTCCCTGTCTTCTTCTGAGCCCTCCAAACTGTTTCAACCACTGCCCATTACCCAGGTCCAAAATCGCTTCCATATTTTCAGGTATCTTCAGCAGCACCCCACTCTATTGATACCAATTTACTGTATTAGTATGTTTTCACACTGCTGATAAAGACATACTGGAGACTGAGCAATTTACAAAAGAAAGAGGTTTAATTGGACTTACAGTTCCACATGGCTGGGGAAGCCTCACAATCCTGGTGGAAGGCAAGGAGGAGTAAGTCACATCTTAACGTGGATGGCAACAGGCCAAAAATGAGAGAGCTTGTGCAGGGGAATGCCTCTTTTTAAAACCATCAGATCTCATGAGACTTATTCACTATTACAAGAACAGCATGGGAAAGACTTGCCCCCATGATGAAATTACCTCCCACCAGTTCCTTCCCACAACACATGGAATTCAAGATGAGATTTGGTTGAGGACACAGCCAAACCATATCAAGCATGGAATGTTTTTCCATTTGTTTGTGTCATCTCTGATTTCTTTGAGCAGTGCTCTGTAGTTCTTCTTGTAGAGATCTTTCACCTCCCTAATTAGCTGTATTTCTAGTATTGTATTCTTTTTGTGGCAATTGTGAATGGGATTGGGTTCCTGATTTGGCTATTGGCTTAAACTGTTGTTGGTGTATAGGAATGCTAATGATTTTTGCACATTGATTTTGTATTTTGAGACTTTGCTGAAGTTGTTTATCAGCTTAAGAAGGTTTTGAGCTGAGACTATGGGGTTTTCTAGATAAAGGACAATGTCCTCTGCAAGCAGAGATAGTTTTACTTCCTCTCTTTCTATTTGAATCCCTTTTATTTCTTTCTCTTGCCTGATTACTCTGGCCAGGACTTCCGGTACTATTTTGAATAAAAGTGGTGAGAGAGGGCATCCTTGTCTTGTGCTAGTTTTTAAAAAGTATACTTCCAGCTTTTTCTTATTTAGTATGATGTCTGTAGGGTTGTTATAAATGGCTCTTATTATTAGGTTGGTGCTATTAAAGATAATGTCAAAAGCTGCAATTACTTTTGCACCAATCTAAATATTTTGAGATATGTTCCTTTAATACCCAGTTTTTTGAGAGTTTTTAGCATGAATGGCTGTTGAATGTTATCAAAAGCCTTCTCTGCATCTATTGAGATAATCACGTGATTTTTGTCTTTAGTTCTGTTTCTTTGATGAATCACACTAATGGATTTGTGTATGTTGAACCAACTTGAATCTCAGGGATAAAGTTTACTCGATCATGGTCGATAAGTTTTTGATGTGATTTCGTTTGCCAGTATTTCATTGATGATTTTTGCATTTATGTTCATCAAAGAAATTGGCCTGAAGTTTTCTTTGTTTGTTGTGTCTCTGCTAGGTTTTGGTATCAGGATAATGCTGGTTTCATAGAATGAGTTAGGGAGAAGTTCGTTCTCCTCAGTTTTTGAAGTAATTCTAGGAGGAGTGGTTTCAGTTCTTCTTTGTACATCAGGTAGAACTCAGCTGTGAATCCTTCTGGTCCTGGGCTTTTGGAGGTTCATAAGTTTTTTATTACTAACTATATTTCAGAGCTTGTATTGGTCTGTTCAGGGATTCAATTTCTTCCTGGTTCTGTCTTGGAAGGGTGTACATGTCCAGGAATTTCTTCATTTTTTCTAGATTTTCTAGTTTCTGTGCATAGAGGTGCTCATAATATTCTCTGATAACTGTTTGCATTTCTGGGGGAGTCAGTGGTAATATCCCCCTTGTCGTTTCTGATTGTGTTTATTTGAATCTTTTCTCTTTTTTAGATGGGGGGGCACAGACAGCAAGTTTATTTGGTGAATGCCGACGGCAAAAATCATCCAAGAGAGACAAGATGGGAAAGGTGCTATGACAAGAGAGTCTAGGGAACCTTCAGGACAGATAAAAAATCCAACACAGGGAAAAACATGGGCTCTGGGGAAACTGGGAAGGTCCTCAGCCATTTGGCACCATGCAGATGAGCTCTTCCTAGTTAATACAACCAATGTTATCCTCGTGCCCTGCCCCTAGCATGTCTACTTCTTCCTCTGTCATCTTCTCACCCAGTGTGACAAGAATATGCCAGATTTCAGCACCCATGACCGTGCCATTTCCTTCCTTGTCAAACACCTAAGTCCTTTGACATAATCCTCATAGATGCCCTGGTCCTTGTTTTTGGCCACCACCATCTGCAGCATGGGCAGAAAGTGCTCAAAGTTCAGCACCTTCACATTCATTTCATCTTGGAGCTCCCCAGGACTTTGGGCACCTCAGTGTTGGTGAATTTCTGGCCCAGGGCCCTCATCATGTCCCCACGCTGGCTGTACAGGATCTTGCCATCACCTGTTCAGTCAAACAGCTGGAAGGCCTCCTTGAACTCTGCAGTGTGGTCCTCAGTGAAGCCACACGTCTTGATTGCTCCTCCTTTCTTTTTTATTAGTCTAGCTAGTGTTATTAGTCTATCTCTTACTATTTTTTGTGAGAAAAAAGAATAACAGCTCTAGATTTGTTGATGTTTTGAAGGGTTTTTCATGTCTCTATCTCCTTCAGTTCAGCTCTTATCTTGGTTATTTCTTGTCTTCTGCTAGCTTTGGCGTTTGCTTGCTTTTGGTTCTCTCGTTCTTTTAGTTGTGATATTAGGTTGCTAATGAGATTTTTCCAGCTTTTTGATGTGGGCGTTTAGTGCCATAAATTTCCCTCTTAACACTGTCTTAGCTGTGTCCTAGAGATTCTGGTACATTGTATCATTGTTCTCATTAGTTTCAAAGAACTTCTTGATTTCTGCTTTAATTTTATTATTACCAAAAAGTCATTCAGGAGCAGGTTATTCAATTTTCATGTAATTATGTGGTTTTGAGATAATGTATTAGATTTGATTTCTAATTTGATTGCACTGTGGTCCAAGAGATTGTTTGTTACGGTTTCAGATATTTTGCATTTGCTGAGGAGTGCTTTACTACCAATTATGAGACTAATTTTAGAGTAAGTGCGTGTGCTGATAAGGAGATAGTATATTTTGGTTTTTTGGGTGGAGAGTTTATAGATGTCTATCAGGTTCATTTGATCAAATGCTGCATTCAGCTACTCAATATCTTTGCTGGTTTTCTGTCTTGATGATCTGTCTAATATGGTAAATGGAATGTTAAAATCTCCCACTATCATTGTGTGGGAGTGTAAGTCTTTTTGAAAATCTCTAAGAACTTGCTTCATGAATCTGGGTGCTCCTGTGTTGGGTGCATGTATATTTAGTATAGTTAGATCTTCATGTTGAATTGAACCCTTTACGATTATGTAATGCCCTTCTTTGTCTTTTCTTATCTTTGTTGGCTTAAAGTTTGTTTCATCTGAAACTAGGATTGTAACCTCTGATTTTTACTGTCTTCCATTTGCTTGGTAAAGTTTTCTCTATTCCTTTATTTTAAGCCTATGTGTGTCATTGTATGAAAGATACCAATGGGTCTTGATCTTTATCCAGCTTGCCATTCTGTGCCTTTTAATTGGGGGCATTTAGCCCATTTACATTTAAGGTTAAGTATTGACATATGTGGATTTTATCCTTTCTTAATTGTGTTACCTGATTATTTTGCAGACTAGTTTAAGTGGTTGCTTTGTAGTGTCATAGGTCTGTGTACTTCAGTGTGTTTTTTTCGTGCCTTGTAGCAGTCTTCTCTTTTCCTATTTAGTGCTTCCTTCAGGAGCGCTTATAAGGCACAGCTGGTGGTAATGAATTCCCTCAGCACTTCCTTATCTAAAAAGGATCTTATATCTTCTTTGCTTATGAAGCTTAGTTTGGGTGGATATTAAAGTCTGGGTTGGAATTTCTTTTCTTTAAAAATGTTGAATATTGGCCCCCAATCTCTTCTGGCTTGTAGAATTTCTGCTGGGAGTTTGCTGTTAGTTTGATGGGCTTCCTTTTCTAAGTGACCTGACCTGTCTTTCTAGCTGCCTTTAACGTTTTTTCTTCCATTTAGACCTTGGAGAATCGGATGATTATGTATTTTGGGGATGATCTTACATTGAAGTTTCTTATAAATTTACACATACATTAACCATATGACCCAGTAATTCCACTTCTAGATATTTAAGCAAAATAAATAAAAATGTATATATACAATACTAGTTTTACAAGAAAGATCTCAGTGGACATATTCATGGTAAATCTAAACTGAAAATCCAGATGGTCACTGACAGGATCAAGCACAAATTGTGGTATATTAATAGAATGAAAAAATATTCAACAATAAAAAAGAACAAACTACTGAGGCTTGAAGCATGGATTAATCTTCAAAACATCATACTGGGTAAATAATGCCAGACACAAAACAATGAAAATTAAATTATTCAGTTATGGCAGCAGGCATTACTAATTTAACTTGATAAAAAATTAGAACAGTGGTTGCCTGGAACCAGGGTTCATAGTGGAGATGGAGAAGAATAGGAAGGAAGCGTGGATTGACTGCAAAAGGGCACCAGGAAATTTTGTGGGGTAATGGAAGTATCCCACATGTTGACTCTGATAGTGGTTATATTAATATCTTATATATACATATATATGTTAAAACTTGTTGAACATTTCAATTACAATCTGTGCATTTCACTTGTGTGAATAATATCTGAATTTTTTAAATTTGAAAAATTAAATAGGGGTTAAACATTTTAGAATATAATGTATATTCTCTTCACCTGTAATATATGTCTTTAAAATTTTCCAGGGATAAAACTCTGGACTAAACAGAAGACAATTAAGAATGGTATATTGCAGTAATTTTCTCAGATATTTATTTTATTTTATTTTATTTTATTTTATTTTTTCTACTGATAAATTTAAGTAGTCAATACATAAGATGGTTATTCATTATCGGTGGCATTCTTTTCATCTCTAAACCTATGAGATATACACTGATTAATGTTCAAAGATACTTGGATGACTTTGGACCGACCCTAGCCAATCAGTGGTGATATCCAGTGATCAGCATGATTGCTCAGCCTGTAATTCATCACCTTGAAATATACAGTACATGATGCAATGCTGATTTACTGTCTCAGCCACTTCAACAGTTCTTATCATCACCTAAGTGAAACTTGACAATTGATAGAGTGAAAAAGATTGAAAAACATGAAGGCTTAATCTCACAAAACAATTATTTTTAAAACTACAAGTTATTCAAAATTTTCATTTTAAATTAAAATGACTAATTGAATTTTCCTGCAAATCATCTCAATTTGTTTATACATTTCTCACTGACTCTACTCATATTTTTTCTCTCCTTCCTTGTGTAGTCATGAAAAAAGAGCTATATTGCTCTGAATAGAAAGCAATAAAAAGGTTTTAAGGTTTTCTTCCACAAAACTTACATACAGAGGCAGTATGTATAGTCAATAAGAGAACACTACTTAGAGTTGTATCACCCAACCACACCACTTATACAATATGTGTGATATTAGTTAATTTATCTAACTTTCTGAACCAAATTTCCATCACAATTAAGATAATTAAAGATGCCTACACCATAGAGTTGTGAGAAATTTCATGCTTAGTCCAGTGCCTAATAGTCTTTAAGCACGTAACACAGTAAATATGTAAGTTTATTATTTTCTGCGGATTTCTTTGTTTTCAGGTTTGCAGAAAGCTCTTCTGTAATATAAGAACACCAGTCCGAATCAAAGATTTATTGAGAATATTGATGTTAAATTAGATTATTCACACATGAAATAGATTAAATAATATTTTTGCTAAGACAAGCAAAGGCTTAAATGAAAATCAATGGAATGAGTAGTTGCCATACATTGCCTGGTCCACAACAATCATTTCTGCTCTGTTCACTGATGATTCTAAACTATCATTGCAGGGCAATTACTGTATATAATAGATATCAGTTCCTGCAGATAGCAATAAATGTTTTTGAATAAACAAATAGTTATATAGAGAAACAATAAAAAATACTCAAGGACTATGTGTGTATGTGTGTGCATGTATGTATGTATGCATGCATGTGTGCAAATGTATGTGTATGTGTATATGGTTTGGTTTTGTTGGAATGAGGTTGGTGTTAATAGTAAAATTCAGAAAACTGGGGCATCAACAGGTTGATTGATATTTTGAGTCTCTGGATTTTGTCCCCGCTATTCAAAGGTGACATATTTTACTGCAAATTATTTCAAGTATTTATAACATGGTGAAATAATCTAAATAAAAGTATTGTAAAAATACATTAAAATCACATGCCTAATTTTTGAACTTTCAAAAGCATGGCTCTTGATGTTTAACCTGTTTGCTATACCTATAATGTAAAACTAAACTTACTTATCTTTTAAGAAAGACCATTAGTTAATTTGATCAGAAGAATACTATCAACACCGGGTAGCAAAAATTTAAAGCATTTTACAAAGACCCTCACAAAAACATTGTGTAGTGGACAAAAGGATTTCTGAATTTTATAGCTATAACAATAGTCCATAGGTCTCTCTTATTTTTCAGACTGCCTCCACCTGCATATGACAAAAGCATATAAAATCCAATATGGGGAAAATATAAATTATTTTCCTCAACAAAACCATCCAATTTTCTCATACACATGTAACTATCTATCCAGCTACCCAAATGAGAAACTTGGTATTTATTCTAGATGATTTTTTTCTCACTCATCCAACGACATAATTTCAGGCAATTTTATTTTTCAATAGTGTCTACATTTTCCGTTTTCTATTTCCTTTTTTCTCAATCTCGTTCTATCCCTCATCTTTCTTGCCCATATTTTTATTGCAAAAATAATTGGATAATGTTTAGTACTGACTTATACTCAACTACAAATAAAACCTCTTCCTAGCAATTTAATTAAAATGTTCAAAAGTTTAAAATAATATATATAATTTATGTTCTGTTTGTATGAAAATTAATAGACAAATGTATTTGTGTCTTGTGTGTGCTCATCTTCATTGGAAAAAAATAGAAGGACACATATCAACCTGATTACAGTTACTTGTGAGGAGAAAAGTATAAAGAAAGATAGGGTAAGTAAAGCAATATTTCTATCAGAATTCTTTGTTTATCTGTGTCATGTGAAAGTTTTTACGGTCTAGCCCCTTAACTGAGATTCAGTTAAACAGTTCAGTGGATTAACTGATGTTTTTCCTTTCTCACATAATCACATTGTTATGGCCATAACAGCGTCCTGAATAGGTCATTCATTTGAGCGTGAGCACTTCTAGCTTTGCATGTTGATGCATGTACTCACCAGCAGTCACCTGTCTTTCCAGCAGTTACCTGTAATTGAATAACTCAACTATATATTATGTTAAGATACAATATGACTGCAAAAAAAGAATTGCTTCAATGAAAAAATAAGTTAAATACTTTGAAAGACTAAATGAACAAGGGTTGTTAAGACATTTCTGTCAAATTTGGGATGAGTGATTCAACTAGTAGGAAAATGTATGGACATGTAAAGGAATATTCCAATCTTATCTGTGGATTACTCATACAGAATAAATTGAAACATATCACAGACTATTATGAATATGTATTATGCGGGTATCTAAATGCAGGTCTGCACAAAGAAGAGGCCTTGAATATACTCCTAAATTTGCCGAATCAAAGTACACTTATGTTTTGACAAGATAAAGTGTTTAATGTACATGCTTATTTTTTTATTTACCTCTCTTTCAACTAATCAGCAGACTACTATTCCAAACCATGTTAAATAAAAGCAGTTACGAAATATTTATCACTTCAGCATGTAAAATCAATTTTAGAAATATGTTGATTGATAATACATGCTCAGCTTATGAATTAAAGTGTGAATAGGCCTTATTTTTAATAACTTGATACATGTATTTCATTTACAATTAATGGAAACATCAGTGAAAAAATGTCAGAATATTGAGGAAAAATGACAGAACTGAAAAAATATATTTTGAAGAAATCATATTTATTGTCTTTGATTCCTGATTTTGTTAATTTTAATTTGGAAAAAAAATTATGAAATATGTCTGTATAATAAATATAGAACCTTATTTTATGTGAGAGAATAAGAGCAGAAAATGTAGAATCTATGTTTACTTTGTTTTGTCATTTTATTTTGAAATAATTTTAGATTTATAGAAAAGTTATAAAGAAAATTCAGAAAATTTCCATATTCCTTTAACCCAGCTTCGCCCAATGTAAAACTTACATACTTATCATATAACAATTATCAACACTAAAAATTAAATTGCTAAAATACTGCTAACAAAACTAAATGCATTATTTACATTTTGTCAGTTTTTTCAATAATACACTTTTTCTGTCCTATGATTAGTTCAGGATACTATGTGTACTTAGTTAAGACTTTTTAAAAAAACTTTTTTTTAGGTTTAAGGATACATGTGTAGGTTTGTTATATAGGTAAACTTCATGTCATGAGGTTTGACATACAGATTATTTCATCACCCAGGTAGTAAGCATAGTACTCGATAGATAGTTTTTGGATCCTCACTCTCTTTCCACAATCATTCCCCAAGTAGGTCTTGGAATCTGTTGTTTCCTTCTTTATACACACATGTACGGGATATTCAGCTCCCACTTATAAGTAAGAAAATGTGATATATGGTTTTCTCTTCCTGTGTTAATTCACTTAGGATAATGGCCTACAGCTCCAACCATATTGCTGCAAAGGACGTGATCTCAATCTCTTTTATGGTTGCATAGTATTCCATGGTGTATGTGTAGAATATTTTCTGTATCCAGTCTATCATTGATGGGCATTTAGATTGATTCCATGTCTTTGCTATTGCGAATGGTGCTGTGATGAATGGTGCATGTATCTTTATGGTAGAACGATTTATATCCCTTTGGGTATATATCCAATAATGGGGATTGCTTGATTGAATGATAATTCCATTTTAAGTTATTTGAGAAATTGCAAAACTGCTTTCTACATTAGCTGAACAAATTTATATTCCTAACAGCAGTGTGTAAGTGTTCCCTTTTCTCCACAACTTTGCCAACATCTGTTATTTTTTGACTTTTTAATAATAACCTTTCTGACTGGTATGAGATGGTACCCCATTGTGGTTTTGATTTGCATTTCTATAATGACTAGTGATGTTGAGCTTTTTTTTGTATGCTTGTTGGCCAAGTGTATGTCTTTTTTTTTTTTTTTTTTGAGATGGAGTTTTACTCTTTTTGCCCACAGTGGAGTGCAATGGCACGATCTCGACACACTGAAACCTCTGTCTCCCTTGTTCAAGCAATTCTCCTGTCTCAGCCTCTTGAGTAGCTGGGATTACAGGCTAATTCTTGGTATTTTTAGTAGAGATGGGGCCTCACCATGTTGGCCAGGCTGGTCTCGAACTCCTGACTTCAGGTGATCCATTCGTCCCGGTCTCCCAAAATGCTGGGATTACAGGTGTGAGCCACCGCACTAGATGTGTATGTCTTTTTTTGAGAAGTATCTCTTCATGCCATTTGCCCACTTTTTATTTGTTTTTTGCTTTTAAACTTAAGTTCCTTATAATTCTGAATACGATACCTTTGTCAGATGCATAGTTTACAAATCTTTTCTCCCACTCTGTAGATTGTCTGTTTAATCTGTTGATGGCTTCTTTTGCTGTGCAGAAGCTCTTTAGTTTAATTAGGTCTCATTTGTCAATTTTTTTTTTTTTTGAGACAGGCTGGAGTGCAGTCACACAATCATGGCTCACCGCAGCCTTGACCTCCTGGGCTCAATCAATCCTCCCACCTCCACATCCCGAGCAGCTGGGACTAAAGGTACGCACCACCACGCTCGACTAATTTTTGTATTTTCTGTAGACGTGAGGTTTCATCATGTTGCCCAGGCTGGTCTCAAACTCCAGGGCTCAAGCAATCCACCTCAGCCTCCCAAAGTGCTGGGATTATAGGCATGAGTTCCCGCACATGACCCAATTTTTGTTTTTGCTGCAATTGCTTTTGACATCTTCATCATGAAATCTTTGCCAGGTCCTATGTCAAGAGTACTATTTCCTAGGTTATCTTCTAGGGGTTTTATAGTTTTAGGTCTTATATTTAAGCCTTTAATTCATCTTGGGTTGGTTTATGTATATGGGGTGAGGAAGAGGTCCAGTTTTAATCTTCTGCATATGGCTAGCAAGTTTTTGCAGCATCATTTATTGAATAGGAGAAAGTCCTGCCTCCATTGCTTGTTTTTACAGACTTCTTCAAAGGTCAGATGGTTGTAGGTGTTCAGCTTTATTTCTGGGCTCTCTATTCTGTTCCATTGGTCTATGTGTCTGTTTTTCTACTGGTACCATGCTGTTTTGGTTACTGTAGCCTTGTACATAGTTTGAAGTTGGGTAACCTGATGGCCTCAGCTCTGTTCTTTTTGCTTAAGATTGCATTGGCTATTTGGGCTCTTTCTTGGTTTTATATGAATTTTAGAATTTTTTTAAATTCTGTGAAGAATGTCATTGGTGGTTTGATAGGAATATCATTAAATCCATAAATTACTCTGAGCAATATGGTCACTTTAACAATATTGATTCTTCCTATCCAAGAACATGAAAAGTTTTTCCATTTGTTTATGTCATCTCTAATTTATTTGATAAGTAAATAAATTAGAGGTCTTTCACCTCTTTAGTTAGCTGTATTCCCAGATGTTTTATTCTTTTTGCACCTCTTGTGAATATGATTGTTATTCATGATTTGGCTCTCATCTTAGATGTTGTTTGTGTACAGGAATACTATGAATTTTTGTACATTGGTTTTGTATTCTGAAACTTTGCTAAAGTTCTTTATCAGATCAAGACACTTTTGGGCAGAGACTATGGGGTTTTCTAGGTATATACTCATATCATTTGCACACAGAATAGTTTGACTTCCTTTCTTCCTATTTGGATGCCTTTCATTTCTTTTTCTTGCCTAATTGTTCTGGCCAGGACTTCCAGTATTATGTTGAATGGGATTGGTGAGAGAGGGCATCCTTGTCTTGTAGTGATTTTCAAAGGGAATGCTTCCAGCTTTTGTATTTTCAGTATGATGTTGGCTGTGGTTTGCCATATATGGATTTTATAATTTTGAGAAATATTCCTTCAATGCCTAGTTTGTTGAAGGTTTTTAACATAAAGCGATGTTGAATTTTATTGCAAACTTTGCCTTCATTTATTGAGATAATTGTGGCTTTTGTTTTTAGTTCTGTTTATGTTATGACTCTCATTTATTGATTTGCATATGTTGAACCAACCTTGCATCCCAAGTGTAAAGCCTACTTGATCATGGTGGATTAGGTTTTTGATGTGCTACTGAATTCAGTTTGCTAGTGTTTTGTTGAGGATTTTGGCATCTATGTTCAACAAGAATGTTGGCCTGGAGTTTTCTATTTTTTTGGTGTATCTCTGCCAGATATTGGTATCGAGGTGATGCTGACTTCATAGAAGTCATTTAGGGAGTAGTCTCTCTCTCCTCCTCAATTTTTTTGGAATAGTTTCAGTAGAATGCTACCAGCTCTTTTTCTATATGTCTGGAAGAAGTCAGCTGTGAATCTGTCTTGTCCAGGGCTTTTTTTATTGGCAGGCTTTTTATTACTGATTCAATTTCAGAACTCTGTTCAGGTTTCTTCCTAGTTTAGTCTTTGGAGTTTGTATGTGTCCAGAAACTTATCTTCTTCTTCTAGATTTTCTGGCTTCGTGTATAGTGGTATTTGTAGTGGTCTCTGGGATTTTTTGTTGTATTTAGTGGGGTCAGTGGTAACATCCCCTTTGTCATTTCTAATTGTGTTTATTTGAATCCTCTCTTTTTCTTTATTAATCTAGCTAACAGTTTATGTGTCTTACTAATTTTTTTCAAACGACCAACTCCTGACTTCATTGCTCTTTCATATGGTTTTTCACCATAAAGACAGAAAAATGCTGTAGCATTTTTCAGTATATTATGCTTTATTTAAAAATGCAATTCAGTTTTACAGATGTATCTATCACATTTTATTTATATTTGGATCCATTTTTAAGCATTGCATATTTCCACTTTTTGGCTATTACAAATAATGCTATTGTAAACATTCATGTATACATTTTTGTATGAACATATGTTTTTATTTCATTTGATTTTAGACATAAAAAATAAATTTCTGGGTAATATGATGTTTAATATTTTGCGGAACTGCCAAACTGATTCCAGAGTGGCCACATCATTGACAATTGTGGGGCATTCCCATCATTTCCCATCTCAATTTCCTTTAGTTTCTCTCTGATTTTAGTTTTCTCTCTGGTTTTGGTTACTTCTTGTATACCAACTTTCCAATTGATTTGTTCTTATTTCTTTCATTCCTCTAGTTGTGACAATAGGTTGTTACTTTGAGCTCTTTCTAATTTTTTGATGTGGGCATTTACTGCTATAATTCTCCCCCTTAACACTGCCCTAGCTGTGTCCCAGAGATTCTGGTGTATTTTTAGTTTCAAATAATTTTTTAATTTCTACCTTGGTTTCATTATTTATCCAAAAGTCATTCAGGAGCTGGTTATTTCATTTCCATGTAATTATATGGTTTTGAGCAATTTTCTTAGTATTGATTTTTATTTTCCTTGCACTGTGTTCCATTGTGTTTGGTATGATTTCAGGTTTTCTGAATTTGCTGAGGATTGTTTTATGTTTGATTGTTGTGTGGTCAATTTTAGAGTATGTGCCATGTCCAGATGAGAAGAATGCATATACTCTTGTCTTTTGGTTGCATGCTCTACAGATATCTATTAGGTCCATTTGGTCAAATGTCAAACTCAGGTTCTGACCATCTTTATTATTTTCTACCTCAATGATCTGTCTAATACTTTCAGTGGGTGTGAAGTTTTCTGCTATTTTTGTGTGGTTACCTAAGTCTTTCCCTAGTTCTTTAAAAACTTGCTTTATGAATTTGAGTGTTCCTGTATTGGGTGTGTGTATAGGGTATTTAGATCTTCTTGTTGAATTGAGCTCTTTACCATTATGTAATGTCCTTCTTTGTCTTTTCTGATCTTTGTTGGTTTAAAGTCTGCTTGTCTGAAATTAGGATAGAAATCCCTTCTTTTTTCTGTTTTCCGTTTGCTTGGTAGATTTTTCTCCATCCCTTTTCTTTGAGCCTATGGGTGTCATTGCATATGAGATGGGTCTCTTGAAGACAGCATACTGTTGGGTCGTGCTTCTTTATCCAAGTTAAAAATTCTGTACCTTTTAATTGGAGCAATTAGCCCATTTACATTCAAGGTTAGTACTGATATGTGCAGATTTTCCCTGTTATATTGTTTGCTCTTTATTACACAGACTTGACTGTGTGGTTGCTTCATAGTGTTACTGGTCTATGTACTTAAGTATGCTTTTGTAGTGATTCCTTTCCAGGTTTAGCATTCCCTTCAGGACCCCTTGTAAGGCAAGTCTGGTGGTAATGAAATCCCAGCATTTGCTTGTCTAAAAATAATCTTATTTCCCCTACACTTATAAAGCTTAGTTTGGATATGAAATTCTTGGTTGAAAATAATTTTCTTAGTAATTCAAAATATAGTCACAATTTTACTTCAAGTCTCTTTAGTCTCCTGTTATCTGTAATGGTTTTTTGGTCTTTTCTTGTCTTCCATAACCTTAACACTTGAAAAGAACTAGTCAGCTATTTTGCAGACTAGGGCTTATCCATATTTTATCATAATTAGACTGGGATTACGAGTTTAAAAAAAACTACTACAAAGGTGAAGTGCCCTGCTTATCATATCATATCAGGGGTACAGAATATCAACATAATTTAATCCTGGTGACATTAACTTGAATCACTTGGGTAACATGTCATCTACCAGGTGTTCTCCATTGCAAAGTTACTGTTTTCCCTTTCCATTCTCTGTATGTTAAAAATAGTCACTAAGTACAGTTTGCACTCAAGAAAAGGGGTATTTAAGTCCACTTGCTAGAGAGAGAAATACTAAATTATCTGTGGACCTAGGTGAGCAGATCACAAGGTCAAGAGATTGAGACCATCCTGGCTAACACAATGAAACCCTGTCTCTACTAAAAATACACAAATTAGCTGGGCGTGTTGGTGCGCACCTGTAGTCCCAGCTACTCAGGGAGCTGAGGCAGGAGAAACACTTGAACCCAGGAGGCAGAGGTTGCAGTGAGCCGAGATTGTGCCACTGCACTCAAGCCTGGGCGACAGAGTGAGACTTCATCTCAAAAAACAAAAACAAAAACAAACAAACAAATATTTTGTTTCTTCTTAACGTTTTGTCCACTAATTTTAATTTTTGCATTTTTATTTAATTTGCCTTCAGCATTTATTTCTGTGGTTCTTTTCTCCATTTATAATTTGGAATTATTTTGTAAGAAATAATTCATCCACAATTCTTTACTTAGTCATTTATATCAGTAGAATCATAGATATTTACTTTAGTCTATGGTCATAATCTAATATATAATACTTATTTTGCTTTCACATTGTCTAAACATGGGCCATTAGGAACTTTTTCTAAATGGTTCATGTATTTTTTCAACATGCATCTGTTCTTTCATTTTTTGAAGCATTTTCTTTAGACCTTTTAGTTTTCTGACATTACAAGATGCCCCAGGCTCATCTTATATTTCCCTTTTCCCACTCTACCTAAAAACCTGCCATTTCTCCAAGGAGTTCTGGCTTTTTTTCCTGAAAAATTGTTTTGGAAATCAAAATCATAGGTTTACACAGCTATCTCCTAGTCTAGTCTAGTGTCACAGGGTTTATTCTACTATTACTTTAGTGGTTATTTGTAGCTTCCTTCTCTGACAGTGATTATCTCATTCTCATTATCTACAAATGTTTACTTATTATTTCAACCTTTGTATACAAGAAAGATATTTTCAGAATTGTTATTCTGTAAATATGTAAGAAATAAATTTAGCAACTAGAGTACAGTGTTTTTGTAGAATTCTTTTTGTCTGTAGAATCAAGTCGAACACAGTATTCCAAAGTGACTCAGGTCAGCTATTTTTTTCCAGCCCCTTCATGAGGTTATGTCACACATTTAAAATACAGCTAGAATAATTTGTCACAGTCACATTTCACCTTGAGTTTCTTGAACTTTCTGTTTTTATTGTTTGTTTGCTTTTTTAATTTGCACACAGTAGGGTTCACTCTTTATGGTATACAGTTCTACAGAGTTTGACAAATGCATAGAACCATGTATCCACCACTACAGAACTTTGCAGAACTGTTCCATTATCATTACAATTTATCTGAGTGATGACTTTGTAGGGAACATCTCTCCCCTCCCCAATCCTGGCAACCACTGAGTTTTTTTTATTGTTCTCATAGTTTTGACTTTTCTAAATGTCATATAAATGGAATTTTTAAATATATAGATTTTTGTGTCTGGCTTCTTTTACTTATCAAAATACATTTTGAGTTACAATTTTCTTGATTCAATCAATGTTATGTTCCTTTTTATTTCTGCCTGTATTCTGTTTTGTGAATATACTCCAATTTGCTTGTCTACACACATCTGCTGAAGGATATCTGGGTTGTTTCCAGTATTTGGTGACTAAGAACTAAGTTGTATACACAATCACACGGGCCTTTTTAAACAGATGTATTAAGATGTAATTCACTTATGTAAAGTATAAAATTTAATAGATTTTAGTATACTCAGAGTTGTATAACAGTCACCATAATCCATTTTAGAAAATTTCCATCATGTCAGAAAGAAGCCCCATGCTCATTAGCAGTCACTCCTTATTTACTCCTAACCACACTGCCCTAGGCAACAACTGATCTACTTCTGTCTCTATGGATTTACCTATCCTGGACATTGTATGTAATATATGGTCTTTTAAGTGGCTTTTTTCACTTAGTATAATGTTTCCAAGGATCATCCATGCTGTAGCATTTTTCAGTATATTATGCTTTATTTAAAAATACAATTCAGTCTTACAGATGTATCTATCACATTTTATTTATATTTTGATCCATTTTTAAGCATTGTGTATTTCCACTTTTTGGCTGTTATAAATAATGCTATTGTAAGCATTTATGTATACATTTCTGTATGAACATATGTTTTTATTTCTTTTGATTATAGACATAAAAATAAATTGCTGGGTAATATGATGTTTAATATTTTGAGGAACTGCCAAACTGATTCCAATGCAGCCACATGACTGACCACTGTGGGACATTCCCATCATCTGTGAGACATTTCCATCATTTCTGTGTGCGTTACACTGGAAGATTCAATTCTGTTAATATATCGATTATTCTCAATTTAGTATATAAGATTAACATAATTATAATATAAGCTTCCATCAAGTGTTTTGTGATTTTTAAAAATCTGATTATAAAATATATAAGAAAAAATAAACTAGTATAGCTTTTTTCTTTTTTCTTTAAAAAAAGAAAAAGTTGGAGAACTAATACTTCATAATTTTCAGATTTACTGTGAATCCATAGTAATTAAGAAAATGTGATATTGGCAAAAGGATTGCCAATAGATCAATGAAACAGAATAGAGAGGCAGGAAATAGACCCAGCCAAATATAGACAAGTATTTTATAACAAAGGTGTAAAGAAAATTCCTTCCTTGGAGGAAGATTTTCTTCTAGACAAATGATAATGAATAAATTGTATGTCCATATGCGAAAAAAGGAAAAAGAAAAATCAACCCATACTTCACATCTTATACAAAGTTAACACAAAATAAATCATAGCTCTAAATTCAATATGTAAAATTATAAAACTTCCGGAAAAAGAAAAAGAAAAATATGTGCAACTTTGTGTTAGCAATGAGGTGTAGATACAACACCAAGGCTATGAATTTTTAAATAAAAATTTCATAAATCGGAGTTTATTTAAACATGTTTAAGTCTTGCTCTGTGAAAGGCACAGTTTAGGCAATTCAAAGGCAAGTCACATATTGGAAGAAAATGTTAGCAAATATGTTACAGAAAAGCATCATTTTTTTAAGAATCAACTTTATGAATGTACAATTGAAATATCATATCCAGCCAATGTAAATGTAAGATTAAATGATTTTTAATAAATTTCTAGATTTGTGCAACCAGTGCCTCAATCCAGCTTGATAATGTTTTCATAAACCCCCAAATTACTCCCAGCCTATTGCACTCGATCCCTACCTCCCATTCCCAGTTCCAGGCAACCAGTTATCTACACTGTCTCTATAAACTTGATTCGTGGGGGCATTTTTTATTCTTATTTACATAGTATACTTTTATAATATATAGTCGCCTGTATCTGGCTTATTTCACCTAGCATAATGTTTCTGAAGATCATCCATTTTATGGCATGAATCTGTAATAATATTTCAATTCTTTGTATTGCTGAATAATATTCCATCCTATGGATATACCACATTGTGTCTATCCATTCACCACTACCACTAACTTTCACTATAAAAACTTTGTATGTCTTTTGTTAACTTTATTTCTAGTAATTTATATCTTCTTACACTATTATAAACAAAAGGTTTTTTTAAAGATTTTTTTCAGGTTATTAGTTGATAATATATAAAAATACAATTGATTTTTCCTGTTCCATAATTAACATCAAAATATAGATCTTATATCCTATGAGCTTGCCAAACTGTTTATTGACAATAATAATGTTATCTTAGATTTTTTTGGATTTCCTATATAAAAGATTAGGCTATATAAGAATAAAATCACTTTTACTTCTTTTCTAAAATTTGGGTGCAAATTGTATTTGTTGTTGTTGTTGTTGTTGTTGTTGTTTTCTTGTTGTTTTTGCTTTACTGCTTTTGGTAGACTCTTTGGTGCAATGTTGAATAGAAGGGGTAAGAGCAGACATCCTTAGCTTGTTCCACATTCAGCCTTTCCCTATTAATTATGGTGCTAGTGGTAGGTTTTTGTGAATTTCCTTTGTCAGCTGAAAGAAGTTCCCTTTTACTCCTAGTATGTTAAGAATTTGTATGATAAATAGATGTTCTATTTTTGGTAAATGTTTCCTTCTGAATCTATTGAGATTACCATCTGTTTTTGTCCTTTGTTCTATTAATATGGTGTGCTACATGAATTGATTTGGGGGTGTTAAATCAACCTTACATTTCTAGGATAAATAATACTTGTTTATTTTGTACAATCCTTTTTATGTGTCGATGATTCATTTTGCTAATGTTTTGTTAAAGATTTCTGGGCTTATGTTGTTAAGAAGTATTAATCTCTAATTTTTTTATTAATGGGTTATTTAACTGCCTTTCTTTTTATCAGTGTGATCATAGAATGAGTAGGGAAATGCTCTCTCCACTTTCTGAAACAGTTTACAAAGCTGATATTATTTGTTTCTTAAATATTTGATGGAATTCACAATGAAGTCTTTAGGGTATAAAGTTTCCTCTGCAGGAATATTTTATTCTAAATTTAATGTATTTACTAGTTATAAATAAACCCATATTTATTATCGCTTATTTATTTATTTGTTTATTTGTTTTTTTTTGAGACAGATTCTCTCTGTTGTGCAGGCGGGGGTGCAGTGGTGCAATCTCTGCTCCCTGCAACCTCCGCCTCCCAGGTTCAAGTGATTCTTGTGCCTCAGCCTCCTAAGTAGCTGGGATTACAGGTGCGAGCCATCACGCCTGACTAATTTTTGTATTTTTAGTAGGCCAATGGGGTTTCTCCATATTGGCCAGGGTGGTTTGAATTCCTGGCTTCAAGTGATCAGCGCTCCTTGGCCTCCCAAAATGTTGGGATTATAGGCATGAGCCAACACGCTTGACCTATTATCACTTTTTAAATCAGTTTTGGTAATTGTTTTGTTATTCTAGGCATTCTTCAGTTTATATAAGTATTATAATATGTAGACATAAATTTATTCTCAATATTACCTTAAAATACTTTTAGTTACTTATAGTCAGGGCGGTGTTCCCTTTTTCGTTCCTAATTTTGGGAATTTTTGTCTTATTATCTTTGTCAATCTATCTAAACATTTGTCTATATTTTAAATATTTTTAAACAGCTGACTTTCAGTTTCATTTATTTTTCTATTGTTTTCTGTTGTTATTTCATTAATTTACATCTAATATTTACCACTTTGCTTCTACTTGCTTTAGATTTAGTTTGTTTTCCTTTTTTTTTTTTTAATTATAATTTAAGGTTTGGGATACATGTGAAGAATGTGCAGGTTTGTTACATAGATATACACCTGCCACAGTGGTTTGCTTCACCCATCAACCTGACATCTACATTAGATATTTCTCCTAATGCTATCCCTCCCCTAGTCCCACACCCCATGACAGCCCCTGGTATGTGATGTTCCCCTCCCTATGTCCATGTGTTCTCATTGTTCAACTCCCACTTATGAGTGAGAACATGCAGTGTTTGGTTTTCTGTTCCTGTATTAGTTTTCTGAGAATGATGGCTTCCAGCTTCATCCATGTCCTTGCAAAGGACATGAACTCATCCCTTTTCATGGCTGCATAGTATTCCGTGGTGTATATGTGTCACATTTTCTTTACCCAGTCTATCACTGATGGGCATTTGGGTTGGTTCCAAGTCTTTGCTATTGTGAATAGTGCTGCAATAAACATACATGTGCATGTGTCTTTATAGTAGAATGATTTATAACCCTTTGGTTTATACCCAGTAATGGGATTGCTGGGTCAAATGGTATTTCTGGTTCCAGATCCTTGAGGAATTGCCATGCTGTCTTCCACAATGGTTGAACTAATTTACACTCCCACCAACAGTGTAAAAGCGTTCCTATTACTCCATATCCTCTCCAGCATCTGTTGTTTTCTGATTTTTTAATGATCACCATTCTAACTGGTGTGAGATGGTATCTCATTGTGGGTTTGATTTGCATTTCTCTAATGACCAGTGATGATGCACTTTTTTCATATGGTTGTTGGCCACATAAATGTCTTCTTTTGAGAAGGGTTTATTCATATCCTTTGTCCACTTTTTGACAGGGTTGTTTTTTTCTTGAAAATTTAAGTTCCTTGTAGATTCTGGATATTAGCCCTTTGTCAGGTGAATAGATTGCAAAAATTTTCTCCCATTCTGTAGGTTGCTTGTTCACGCTGATGATTGTTTCTTTTGCTGTGCTGAAGCTCTTTAATTAAATTAGATCCCATTTGTCAATTTTGGCTTCTGTTGCCATTGCTTTTGGTGTTTTAGTCATGAAGTCTTTGCCCATGCCTATGTCCTGAATGGCATTGCCCAGGTTTTTCTTGTAGGGTTTTTATGGTTTTCAGTCTCACGTTTAAGTCTTTAATTCATCTTGAGTAATTTTTATATAAGGTGTAAGGGAAGGGTTCAGCTTCAGTTTTCTGCATATGGCTAGCCAGTTTTCCCAACACCATTTATTAAATAGGGAATCCTTTCTCCATTGTTGTTTTTGTCAGGTTTGTCAAAAATCAGATGGCTTTAGGTGTGTAATGTTATTTCTGAGGCCTCTGTTTTGTTCCATTGGTCTAGGCATCTGTTTTAGTACCAATGCCATGCTGTTTTGGTTACTGTAGACTTATAGTACAGTTTGAAGTCAGGTAGTGTGATGCCTCCAGCTTTGTTCTTTTTGCTTAGGATTGTCTTGGCTATACAGGCTCCTTTCTGGTTCCATATGACATTTAAAGTAGTTTTTTATAATTCTGTGAAAAAGTCAATGGTAGCTTGATGGGGATAGTATTGAATCTATAAATTACTTTGGGCAGTATGGCCATTTTCACGATATTGATTCTTCCTATCCATGAGCATGGAATGTTTTGCCATTTGTTTGTGTCCTCTTTTATTTCCTTGAGCAATGGTTTGTAGTTCTCCTTGAAGAGTTCCTTCACATCCTTTGTAATTTATATTCCTAAGTATTTTATTCCCTTTGTAGCAATTGGAGTTTACTCATAATTTGGCTCTCTGATTGTCTATTATTGGTGCATAGGAATGCTAGTGATTTTTGCACATTGATTTTGTATCCTGAGACTTTGCTGAAGTTGCTTATCAGCTTAAGGAGATTTTCGGCTGAGACGATGGAGTTTTCTAAATATACAATCATGTCATCTGCAAACAGAGACAATTAGACTTCCTCTCTTCCTATTTGAATACCCTTTATTTCTTTCTCTTGCCTGATCGCCCTGGCCAGAGCTTGCAATACTATGTGGAATAGCAGGGGTGAGAGAGGGCATCCTTGTCTTGTGCCAATTTTCAAAGGGAATGCTTCCATCTTATCACCATGCAGTATGATATTGGCTGTGGGTTTGTCATAAATAGCCCTTATTATTTTGAAATACATTTCATCAATGCCTACTTTATTGAGAGTTTTTAGCATGAAGGGCTGTTGAATTTTATTGAAGGCCTTTTCTGCATTTATTGAGATAATCATGTGGTTTTTGTCATTGGTTCTATTTATGTGATGGATTACATTTATTGATTTGTGTATGTTGAACCAGCCTTGCATCCCAGGGATGCAGCCAACTTGATCATGGTGGATAAGCTTTTTGATGTGCTGCTCAATTCGGTTTGCCACTATTTTATTGAAGATTTTCTCATCGATTTTCATCAGAGATATTGGCTTGAAATTATCCTTTTTTGTTGTGTCTCTGCCAAGTTTTGGCATCAGGATGATGTTGGCCTCATAAAATGAGTTAGAGAGGAGTCTCTTTTAGGTAAGTGGCTTGAGATTTTAAAAAAATATATAGGTATTTAGAGTTATATTTTTCCACCAAGCACTGTTTTAACTGCCTCCAGTTACTTTTGATGTGGTGTTTTTGTTTACATTTAATTTCAAATATGTTCTAATTCTCCTTTTGATTTTTTTCTTTAACCTATAGTTTATTTAGAAGTATGTCACTTGATTTCCAAATATGTGTGGCTTCTAAGATTTCTTTCTATTGCAAATGTCTAGTTTCACTGCTTTCAGAGAACATTTGCATTATTTCAATTTTTAAAAATTTATTGAGACTAGTTTTATGACCTAGCATGTATATCTTGGAAAATGTTATATGTGTGCTTGAAAAGAATGTACATGCTGTAGCAATTGGGTAAAGTGTTCTATAAATGTCAGTTTGACATTTGTAGAACAGATCTACTTAGTAGGTCAAGTTGTTTGATATTGTTTAAGACTTATTTATCTTTGCTAACTTTCTGTCCAGTTGCTCCAACAATTATTGAAATTAGTGTATTGAAATCCCCAATTACTATTGTTAATTTATCTATTTAAGCATAGATTTGAACCTATCTAAAATATGTAATTTGCTTATTACTTGCTATTAAACTGAATTACTCTAATCTGTTACATTTTTCCAATTTTTATATATGCCTATGAAATGTTATGCCTCTTCTCTTTTATTTTAAAATAATCACAAACATAATTGTTTAAATAATAGTGGAGGTATAGTACAAAGAGGTTTGATTTCCGTTTTTTTAAAAATGGACCATATTAGAGAACATTTCCACCTTGATGGTCCATCATCCCAAAATACTTTTTCATGTTTCTCTTAGTTAGTTCCACAAATAGCCCTTTTTCCTTTTAGTGGGAAATAATATTTAGAAAACAGTGCTTAGAAAATAGTATTTTTGAGCATATAAACATTCTGCCCACTCTATTCAGGGTCTGATATTTCACATCGGCCTCCCTACAATCAACTTTGACTTTGCCTGCTGGGTTAACATACCTTAAAGGACACACTCCTTCTAATGGTTGGCTGGGCTCTTTATACCAAGTTGGCCCTCATGTAGGAATATCAGATTTAAATAAAAGCAACAGAATGTTTAGTAAAATTTCAATTCATGTTAGCTAATTATTTTTATATAAGTTTACCCCAGATATTGCCCAGGACATAATTATACAAAGATTATCAGAAATGTAAATTGAACTGAGTATTCTGTATTTTATTTGCTAAATCAGGCAGCCCTATCCTCATGTGGATGTCCAGCTCACCCACCTTTGCTTCTTACACACTGCTCTGGCCGCCAAGTTGGCCTCTCCATGTATTGTCAAATTTCATTAGGCAAAAAACAACCATCACTTAGCTCAAATTTTCTAAAATAAGCTAGAGAACCTAATATAGAAGTGTTCTAAAATTATGCATTAAAAATAGAGCAAAGATTTTGTGAATGTGTGATTTTACAGGTTTTTTTTTTGTACAAGGAGCTAGTCTCTTCAGATTTCTCATCGCTTTACTTTATAATCTCACCTATGCTCCTGATGCATGGTACTACTCATAAGTGTGCAAGAGTTTCCTTCTCTTCACAGTCTTGCCAACACTTGTTGCTTGTCTTTTGACAATAGCTGTCCTGATGGGCGTGAGGTAATATGTCACAGTTGTTTTGATTTGCATTTCTGTGGTGATACAGAATAAAACAGTAGTTACAAGGAGCAGGGTTAGGGGGAGAGAGATAATGGAAAGATGCTAGGTCCAAGGATACAAAGTAGCAAATACGTCGGATGAACAAGTCTAAAGATCTAATGTACACCATGAGAACTGTAGTTAATAATAGCGTATTGTATTGAGGGTTTTTGCTAAATGAGTAAATTATAGCTGCTCTTGCCACTGGGATGAATAAATGGGTAACTATGTGAGATAAGGGGTACGTTAACTTGTTTCACTACGGTAATCATTTTATGATATATATGTGTCTCATACATCATGTTGTATACCTTGCTTATATGTTATATATATATGTTTTAAATATATACACATACATACACTAGGGATATATACATATACCTATCCCTAGTATATAATATATATTGAACAGAGGCATATATATATACACTTACTCACTCAGAAGGGTAACAATAAAATTTAACTCAATAATTTATACACTCCCAATGGCTGAGTGTATGCTTGTGTGTGTGCACACCCACTGTATGTGTAATTGAATGATGGGTTTGGTAGATATGATTATTTAAATCAATGTTTTACATTTACTGAATTAAGGTAATATGTAATTCTTTCTCTAATGACATAGAGTTAGGCCTGTAATGATAAATAAAACATCCACATGGAAACGTAAGTCAGGCACTTATTGAGATGAACTATCCTTTCTGTAATTTTTCAAACTTTTAGGTAATGTTATACCATGATACCACCAGAAAATGGACAATCACAGATATTTTTAAGTTGTTAATCCATGCTTACACCAAAGTAAAAAGGAGCCTTTCTTTCATTTGTTCAATGCAGAGATATAGTACCTTTAAAATAATCTACTCACATTTAGCATATTTTTTACATGAAGAAAATAGTGCTGCATTTGTTGAGTGTTTTGGTTTTCTGTCTGGTAGGTTTAAGCTCTTTCAGACTACTAGAGAAGGACTTTACTTATGGATAACCTAACGGCATATTAGTTACATCATTTTCCTGAAAAATAGCTTGCTTACTGAACAGGACTCACTTAATACATTTGAATTTATCTATCACATTTGTAACCCTTTGGGACTTATGTCTTTTGTTATTTTAGTAGTCAGCAATCTGTGAGGACTTCTTACTTTAAAAAACATTTTTCTTCTTTTCAGCTACACTGTAATACCCTTGAGGGCAGATTCAAAATCTGTCAGTTTTTTATATCCACAAGGCCCAGTAAAGTTAAAGATGTCTGACTTTGTCAATTTTCCTCTCTCAGGGGCAGCTACCGTGTTCCATATTAAAAAAAATACACATGCATACATAACAAAAGTATACTATGACTGATGCAACTCACAAAAGCTTTACCTCTCTCACTAATTATATGTGTGTCCTCAGATTTTCTCAGCTTTGTCTCCTGATACGTGCCTGGTTAGCCCACCTCAGCTACTTGTCTGAATGGCACATGTCTGGCACTATTACTCTGATGGAGGTCAATCTTCAGGGGGGCACGCCCAGTGCCTCCCCTGCTATTACCTTCTTTTGCAAAGTGACATTTGCCCACTAGTTGCCAAGAGGCCAGTTGAGACAACCTGAAAATTGAGTAAATATTTATATGGCAAATTTTGACTAATGGGAAGTAGGAAACCAGGATCAGACTTACTGACATATAAATTATCTCTCTATTCTTCCACAATGCACCTTCCAGCTTGTCTTGAAGCCATGGCTACAGCGACAATAAGTCACCTTCTTTTGCTTCTCATTTTTCTCCCTCTCACTGTATATTTTCCTCATTCTTACTGCCCTGAAAAATTGTTGCACCCAATAAACATTAACACCTGATTTTTTTCTAAAAATCATTTTAAGCTCTATTTCCTAGGAAAGGTAGGCTAGGGTACATTTTAAAGTAAGTTATAAGGGTTGACGATATTCATATAATTCCAAATCACAACCCTACCTGACATTTGCTTATGCTTTCTTTTTTCTTTGACTATCAGCTCAGGTTCTCTGCAGACATAAATGATCTACCATTCTAACTAGCTACTTAATTATTAAGGGACATGAATATTTTAATACACTACTTTTTATTTGATATATTCATTCAAACAAGCAAATAATAATTAACCTATCATTCAAAAATCGTTTTTCCTGGACTGGAGATATAACCTAATTATAAAGAAACAAAGGTTAACTCCTGATTTATCAAGTGCACATGGATGTGTTATGCATTGTCAATAGAAGACATTGACTCTTGATTCAGAATGCAATAATAGTTACTACAGGGGAGAAAAAAGAAAAGCATTATTAATATTTTTTTTTCTGGCTCCCAGTGAGGCTTGAGAGAGAGTTTGTGTTTTTTGACTATAGATGTTTCACCTCTGCATTTGATATGTGAAATTGGTGACATTATTTAAATTTTAGCAGTTAGTCTTTCTTGTCATCTTGGGAGGTAACCTCAGTAAAATAATAAAAAGAGGCAGAATAGCAAACAAAGATTTAGATTTAATTGTCACTTTAAGACCCTCGGGGCCTTGGACATTGTAAAGGTTTCATCTTATATTTCTCTTCTAAATATATTTTTGCTGGAAAAGATAAAATTATTTTTACAACTTGGCCTTTAAAAATATTTTGTCAGGTCTTTATAAGCAAAGACATTATTGATAAACAAAGAAAAATATGATGTATTTGTAAATACTGTATTAATAATTAATGAAGTTAGATACTATAATTATTGAAACTTAATTAAAGTAATTAATTTTTATTGTTAAGTTCTCTTTTGGTATTCTGAAGTAAACATATATTTTTAAGTCACTTATTTAGATGAGGCCCTGAAAAGCTTACTGACTTTAGGCAGTGTTTTCATAGTACCAAATGAATATAACATCACAACATCATTGCCTGTTCTTTATCATTGATGAAAATTACTGAACATAGAGAAAATGTATTTCAATGTTTATATTACAACTTCATCAGTATTTACCCAGCCTTTTTTCTACTTGTATCTATGTTGATTTGTATAAGGTATGAGAAAGACCTGGTCCATGTCCTCTTGAAGATTAAAATTAATGGAAGGAGCTTAACTCAAAATACTAGCATTAATGTAAAGTAGCAATATAATGCTATGTACATGGAATAAATTTTTTTAAAGTGTAGAATTTTATTGCCTAATTACTTTCTTGTGAAAGCCATGAATTTTTTTAGTTAATTCTATATAATACTGATGCATAAGAATAGCAAATAAAACATGCTTTACATTTACTTCCATAGAATATTGTAATTTGCCATATTGTGAGAAGGGCTTCATGAAAATAAGACTGGGTAATAAAGCATAACAATTACAGATGAATCCTAAGACATCTGAAAGTATTAAAGGCTGATACACTTGAAAATCTAACATTATATATTGTAAGATTTATGTTTTTCTGATGGAAAATCTTTAAAATTCTTGTAAGCTTTGGAAAAGCAGCTAAATTTAGTGAACTCTCTACTAATTGTTCTCATTTCATCACTTGGCACTAGACTCTTCCTCATTCAGGCCCTCCAAAGTAGAGTCACGTATGCTGCATATGTTGTGTGGGCACAGCCTGGCTCCACATGCCAAGGCTGTTCTCGTCATGACTCAGACCCACGCTCAGCAGGCAGGAGTCAAAATATGACCAGCTTCTGGGGAGTGCCTAAAGTAAATGAGATCAACCGAGAGTTTCTCAGCCTCAGCCTCAGCACCGGTGAGATAGCAGGGTCGGTAATTCTCAGGGAGCACGTGACACTCTTCAGGGTGATGTAGAATGGTTTAGCAAATTTACCCCCAGATGCTGTTAGCACCATGCTTTCAATTTATTTACATCAAAAAAAGTCTCCAAATAGTGTCAAATGTTCCTATAGGTGAGGGATAAAATCGTAACTGGATGAGACCCATTCAGTTAGTCCCATGTTGTGGTGGAGGGTTATCTGGCCATCCTGACATTGCAGTTTGTGCTTCTCCTTGATTTCTTATGCTTAGCATCTCAGCTGCCCACTGAACCTGGGGTTGCCTAAGAATTCTTTGGCTGTGGTCCAGGAAAAGGATCTGTTAGAGCAGTTAAGTCCACGAATTCTGGAATCTGAGAGATTTCAACTCTAGTTCTGTCAACTCCACTTATAATTTTATGAACTTGGGTAATTTACTTATCTCTCTGGTTTCAAATCCCTCACCCATTAAATGGGAATAAAGAAGAAAATCTTCCTCATGTGATTATTATGACTAAATGAGATAATACAGATAAAGGGCAGTATCTACACATGGTTTGCACTCAATAAGTATTACCTTGGCTCCCTCTCAGAATCAGAATTATACTTTAAAATTATTATAAATAGTATTTAGGGTAGGTCATATAAAATATTTTTATTGTCCTTCTGGTGTCATGGTGACTGGATCTTGATCCAAGTATCCCATAGACATTGGCTGGAGTCATTTGCTTGAGTGGAATGATTATCCAGAACTAAGATGCTGTTGATGACACAATATTTCAAACATTTTCTGCTGACCTTATTCCTGTTGTTGTAACCTACCCATTTGGATTGGACATCTTCACATAACAAATCCTGCCTGAACCACATTTAAGTTTGCCAGGTAGACGTGCACACTGTGCCATACATGCAGAGGTGCCCTCGGGGGTAAGACAACACCAACTTCTGTTCTGCATACTGGTTTCCTACTCCTTCCAATGGACTTGTCTACATTATTGAGGCCCCAGGATGACTGATGCAAGTGTGAAATTGGTATGTCTGGTTTTGAAATGCAATCCTCAAATCTGTGTGTGTGCATGTGTTTAATTGTCTCTGACAACTAAAAGTGTCCTGCTAGTACCCTCCTAAAATTCAAAATAATGGTTTAAAATGCATGAAATAATTATATAGATTGGAAGGAAACCAAACATAAAAGAAAACAAATACATTGAAATATACTTCTTACTATATTTTAAGAAATATAATATGTTAAAATATGTTGCTTTTTTATTAACTAATTAATGAGATCTAAGTGTGGACTTAGTTACTACTGTAATTACCTAATGTTATGTCAAGATACTTGCAGCAGCTATGATGTGATTGAGAAATACCTGTAATTTTGGCTGGTGAAAATTAACAGATACAGCTAATAGTCATGGTTTGTTGCCAACATTCATATTTGAGGGAAACACTAAATTCACTTCGATGTTAGTGAAAAAATGCTTTAAAAATATCCAAATTTACTCAGAACTTCAAATTCATTATGAAATATCTCTATGGATCGTTCAAGCCTCAGGGTAACAATTACCTAACTAAAATAATATGATATTGTTTCACATAGCACTTAGGTCTCTCTACTTCCACATCACTTGGAAGTAGAAGTATATTCAAACATTTTGGTCCAGCTTATTCAGTCTTACCACAGTTTAGATGTACCGTTCATTTTTCCTATTTCAATTCTCCAATAGTTAAATTAAGGTAATGTAAGTCAGGGTGTTCTGCTTAGACTCACTTCTTTTTATTGTGCTGAACACTGCTTACCAATTGGAACAATTTCCTCCCTCTGTGTAGTGAGTGGACTTTTTCTCTGGTTGATTGATATTTCTATAGACTGACTCCCTTTGAAGTATTGCCTGCCCTGTAAGCCAGTACTTAAAAGCTGGAAATGAAGTCCAACAGGAGTTATTCCAGTTTGTTTCTAGTAAAACCATACTAACAGCACACAAGAGAAAACAGAAACAAAGAAAAAGGGAGAAGTGATAGTATGCTGTCTTTTTTTTGTTGATGGGAACAATCATTGTATGTCAGAGGTTTGGCTCTGAATTCTTAAAACTGTAACACTGAATAGTTTCCCAATTTAGTTTTTAAAGTCCTAATGCTTACCTTTGGAATTATGGTCTTAATCGTTTTCCCTGCACTTGGAAGTAAATGAGTCAAGTGGCCAGCAGTCCAAGTTGGAACTTAAAGGACTCAGTCCTTGCTTTGCAGTTAAAAATGGGTGAATTTAGAAAAGTTGCTTAGTATTCCTAGGCTTCCGATGCTGCATACATAACATGAGGGGTGGCAAGGGATGAGCATTGGATTATTTGATAGCTCTGGGACTCAAGTTGTATTTCTTGTTTACTCAGCTGTCTACAAAAACAAAAGCAAAACTCAAGGGATTTTGAACAATGAAAATACTGCTAACACTCTAGTTGGCACTCAGAATGTCAGAGACACCATAAAGAGAGAGGTCTTGTTATGAACCGAGTTTTGTTCCCTGCAAAGTTTATATGTTTAAGTCCTAACTCCCAATGTAATGGCATCTGGAGATGGTCTTTGGGAGATAATTGGATTAATATGAGGTCATGGGTGTTGGCCTTCATGATGGGAGAAATGCCCTTGTAAGAAGAAACTCTGAAAAGTTTCTCTCTCTCACTGCAACCCCCTCTGTCTGCCATGTAAGACACTGTAAAAAGGCTATCTACAAGTCAGGAAGAGACTTCTCCAGAATCCCACTATGCTGGCATCCTGACCCCAGACTTTCAGCCTTCAAAACTGTGCATGTTGTGTAAGCCACCCAGTCTACAGTATTTTATCATGGCAACCTGAGCTCATTAATACAGGTCTGAAAGAATAGAGGGATGACAAACATGAAATGGAGTAAACTCAGTATGTTTTGAAAGGTGTTCATTGTTAGACGGGAGTAAAAACATGTACTCTCCAGACAGAGGAAATATATCCTCATCAGTCAGGACAGAGCTCAGGTAAGTTTTCCTTCTCATAAGAAAATTTTAAGTACTCCTTATCATTACACCCGCCTTTAGGTTTCATGTCCTAACCCCTGGAGGAACATAACTATGCCTTATTCATTTTTGCTTCCATAACCTTACACATTATCTGGCATACTGTAGAGTTTAGATAAATATTTGTTGAATTAAACTGCTGAATTATATTTTGTTTTCCTATTCTGTGAAGGCACTATACCAACATACTAGAAACTCTTAATTTCACTTCTCAACAAATGCTTAACATTCATTCTGCATCATTTTAGCATTGTTTTCAACATGTACATGATATAATAAGTGTAAAATACCACTGGGTCATGAGAATGTATTCAAAAAGTAATGAAAAAATAATTTAAAATGTTTGTCCTTCATGTTTCTTATGGAATGTAGACATCATGCTCATTGCTTAGCATATTGTTTGTGTGTTTTGGAGTGCCTGCAATAAAAATGATAACAAATAAGTTTCATAAAAACAAAAGTCAGCTTCTTTAGTAGTTGGTTCAAGAGTTATAATTCAAAATTCATGTCTGTTTTCAAGGACATCAATTTTATTTAGAAAGAGAGTAGAGAAAATACACAGATACTCAGTCTATGACAGAAAGCTGATTTATCGCTGCTGCTTCATTCTCTGTGGACTTTCTGCTCTCCTGTATGACAGTGAGAGCATTTAATTCAAAATGTATTTCTTAATCAGCAGGGATCATCTTGAAGAGCATCAGTCTGGGTAGATAGAGCAGGGCTGTCCAGAGTAATCTCAGGAGTATCCTGGAGGACTATATGTTTATTTTTACCCTGACTTTTGGCCCCAAATTTCTTTGAGCTGAAAAGCATCCATGCACTGTATTTCACATGTCCTAACTTATACTTATTGTAAATGTAGACTGTCATGTTTAAATAAATAAATGAATTTTATTGGGATTTGCTTTCAGGAAGGGAAAACCTATTCAATTAAATGAGTCTCTTAAGGTCCTATACATCAAGCTTACCATGTAGTACTCTATATATTATAAGAGTAAGCCATATTTTTCTTCTGGTTTAAATGAAATGTTGCAATTGGCCATTTGTTAAAGTATACAGTACTTTGCCTCAGTCTCAGAGACATCTCATTGCCAGATATTCTGTGATTCTTCATTTCCCCAGATGGCTCTGTTAACACTCTGCTTGGCACTAGTGGTTTGATTTACCTGAATTGCCATGTGGTAACTTTTGCTAATAAGGAATTCCAATTTTGGCTTAGATTCCCCATGCTGTCAGTCCTAATCCCTTTGTTCAGTCTAGTAGAGTTGCTGCAGCTGTATAATCAGAAGGTTCTTTCTGCCAGCCACATACCCAGTATTGTTTTTTTAAGCATAACTCATTGCACTAACTTTCTTCTAACAGGATTTTATTCAGCTTATTTTGGAGTAATAAACCAGCTCCATTCCTTATCGATGGGTTCTGCGTCCATGAATTCGACCAACTGCAAATGAAAAATATTTTTAAAATAGCAATACAACAATAAAAAATAATATGAAAAATACAGTAGAACAACCATTTGGATGGCATTCATATTGTATTAGACATATAAGTAATGTAGATATGAGATTAAATATATGGGAGGATATGCATAGGTTATATGCAACTACTATGCCATTTTATATTAGGTGCTTGAGCATCCTTGGATTATGGTATCCACAGGGGTCTGGGAACTAATCCCTTGAGGATACCAAAAGATATTTGTATATATTTACATATATACAAAGGTATACGTATTACATTACATATTCCTGTTTATTTATTTTGAATATGTCAACTGAATATTTTGTTTTATAAGTAAGTCATCCTAAAAAACATAAATGAACAAAGTTTACAGATTTAATAAAAAAAATCTTTGTATATTTTAAATGTTTAAGCATTTTTTAAAAACAAATTTTACATGTGGCATTTCTGTACATCAATAATGATCAAGATGCGAACCAAATAAAGAAGGCAATCCCATTTACAATAACTACAAAAAATTAATATACCTAGGAATATATTTAACCAAGGAATTGAAAGATCTCTACAAGGAAAACTGTAAAACAAATTGTAGATGACACAAACAAATAGAAAAAAATATCCCATTCTCATAGATTGGAAGCATTAATTAATTAAAATAACCCTACTGCCCAAAACAATCTACAGATTCCATGCAATGTCTATCAAAATACCAATGCCATTTTCCACAGAAGCTTTTTTTTTCAATTTCATAAGAGTCTCTATCAAAGTGAGGTTTACTGCATATAGTGAAAAGGTACATTATACCCAAAAAATTATTCTAGTATTAAAATGAATTATGCATATAGGAAATCTTCTGATGTGTATAAGAAAACTCATTAAAATTGTATTTGTGTGTGTCAAAATAACACCATTTAAGATTATTTATGTGAATAATTTTATGCATGTGATGGTTAATATTGAATGTCAACTTGATTAGATTGAAGGATGGAAAGTATTGTTCCTGGGTGTTTCTATGAGGTGTTGCCAAAGGAGATTAACATTTGAGTCAGTGGACTAGGAGAGGCAGACCCACCCTCAATCTTAGTGGGCACCATTTAATCAGCTGCCAGCATGGCTAGGATAAAAGCAGGCAGAGGAACGTGGAAGGACTAGACTAGCTAAGTCTTCTGGCCTTCATCTTTCTCCCATGCTGGATGCTTCCTGCCCTCAAACATTGGACTCCAAGTTCTTCAGCTTTTGGATCCTTGGATCTACATCAGTGGTTTGCCAGGGGCTCTCGGGCCTTCAGTCACAGACTGAAAGCTGCTCTACCAGCTTACCTGCTTTTGAAGTTTTGAGACTTGGACTGGCTGCCTTGCTTCTCAGCTTGCAGACTGCCTATTGTGAGACTTCATCTTGTGATTATGTGAATCAATTCTCCTAATAAACTCCCTTTCATACATATATATATATATATATGAATATATATATATACACACACACACACATACATATGTATGTATATATATATATATATATCCTATTTGTCCTGACCCTCTAGATAACCCCTACTAATACATATGCACATGTACACACATACATATGTGCAATGTGTATAATTGTAACCTCTCTGGAAGTATTTGCACCAACTTGCATCTATGGGAATAGTAATAATGGAGAATTTTCACTGTCCACTCCTCATTTCTGCACTTTTAAATGTTTGATAATAAGCATGCACTATTTGAAATTGCTTTAAAAATATGAAAAACGAAAACTATGAATTTGTTTATTTTGCTATGTAATCTAGAAAATTTACATCAAAAGATCTAAAATGTTTGAGAACATTAGTTATTTTCTAGAAGAATAATTTAATTTAGCTCATGATGCATGTATCAGTACACATTATAACTAATAACCAAGATGTTCCTTAAAAATATTCATTCAAATACAATGGGTATTTTTTCCTAGGCTTTATTCAATAAGTTGTCTGAACTGAAGAGAAGGAACTACAGTTTAGGAAATCCTACTGTGCAGACAAAAATCAAATATTGGTTTTATAATCAAGACAAAATAAATTAGAGAATGATTTTCTGTATTATTTTATTCTCTCATGGCTACAAAGAAACAACTGAGACTGGATAATTTATAAAGAAGAGGTGTAATTGGCTCACAGTTCTGCAGGCTGTCCAGGAAACATGGCAGCATCTACTTGGTTTCTGGAGAGGCCTCAGAGCATTCCCAATCATGGTGGAAGGCAAAGGGGGAGCAGAAATGTTACATGGCCAGAGAAGGAGCAAGAGAGAGTGAGGCGGGAGGTGCCATTCACTTTTAAACAACTAGATCTGGTGAGAACTCACTCACTTTTGCAAGGACAGTACCAAGGGCGAATGGTGCTAAACCATTCATGAGAAATCCACCCCCATGATTCAACCACTTCCCACCAGGCCCCGCCTCCAACACTGGGGATTACAATTTGACATGAGATTTGGTGGGGACCCAGATCTAAATCTGGCTTTAAATCTGAAGCCCAAAAAAGGGATTCTTCTTCCGTCATATCCCTGGGACCGAAAATATGTGTTGGTACCTACCTGGCTTACCCAGTGAATTACAAACTGAGAAGAGACAATAGGCCTGGGTGCAGGCATATTCAAGAGGCTATAGGAGAGAAATAATAACATCTGTTTTACATTTGGAGCATTCAGTAGATATGTGATCCAACTGAACTGGCCATTTCTTCAGTGGGAAGTAATCATCAGAGAGAAGAAAGGATACTCCTGGTACTCACTCCAAAAGTGTCTTGGAGACGTTGAATGCATATTTTCACATTATAGGCTATGAAAAAGACTACAGGGAAAAATAAATAAATCAAAACCAAATAAAACCCTGTTTAAATGTTCCCCGCACTTGTTTGCCTACAGGACATCTATTTTTCATATCTATTATTAACTTTTGTATAGTAAGAGACATTGTATATAATTAAACTTTTTAAAAGATTCATTTTTAATGACTCTTCTCTGAAATAAAGGATAAGCATATTGTTAATAAGGGTGATAGTCACCCTTATGATATTTATGGGGTTGAATGTTAATTTTAGGAAATTAATGTCATTAAAAAGACTAAAATTTTTTTAACTGTTTTAAAAATAAACTCCAAGAATTCCCTGGATTTTTGCAAAAGGGCTACTTTTTTTTTTTTAACGTATAAACTTCTCTTAAATTTCTACATAGCTGTATCACGTTAACTTTTCATCCTCCACAAATAAGAGGGAGGAGAAACAAAATCCTTGTCAAGAAGCTCTAGAGACAGGCAGGAAATATATATGCAGGCATGAAAACATAATCTTTTCTGCCAACTGTGAGTCTAAATAGCTCTTAATCTGCTTAGAAATTTCTTTCAAGAGAAGCTTGAACCAAACTTTCAACACCTGAATGATTTAATTAGGAAATAAAAATAATAAAACATGGAAATGCCAGTTTATTTTCTTTATGGCTAGCCAAATTAATAATTCAATTTAAGAATTAAACATGCTATTTTTACAAGCAAGTAATAACTGCATTTTTTACTAGTGAACTCTTGAAATTTTCTCCAGATTCTGCTTGAGTTGAAGTATCAGGCAGAAGCTACCCCATGTATAGTTATTTTTTTATTTTTATTATTATTATTATTTTTTGAGAGAGAGACTCGCTCTGTCAGCCAGGCTGGAGTGCAGTGGTGTGATCTTGGCTCACTGCAACCTCTGCCTCCGGGGTTTAAGTGATTCTCCTGCCTCAACCTCCTGAGTAGGTGGGACTAGAGGTGCACACTACCACGCCTGGCTAATTTTTGTATTTTTAGTAGAGACGGGGTTTCATGTGTTGGCCAGGCTGGTCTCAAACTCCTGACCTCAAGTGATCCATCCACCTCGGCCTCCCAAATTGCTGAGATTACAGGCATGAGCCACTGTGCCTGGTCCATTCTTGCATTTCAGAAAGCCATGCGCTACCCTCTTTTTGTGTCCTAAACATGTTTTGGTTTGAATAAAGAGTGTGGCATTTTGGGGCTGTCAATGCCCCTGTTTCAGTCACAGATGTAATGCTGCTCAGTTCGAGTCTCGCTAAACTCCCATATATCATGAGTTCACCAGAATTCTGTGCTCAGGAGGTAGGATGAATACTATATGCAAGAAATGGTAGTAGATGCACCTACTGTTTATATCACCTCTGTTTATGCACACTCCATTGTTTCATCAGAATTCACTTACAAAAGGTTTGTAAACTATAAAATAGTTTTATAGCTTATAGACAGTTTATAGATAACAGTATTATAAGAGGACAATAGCAAAACATTAAATCAGGATGGGACCCTTTTGAGCACGTGCCTCTGTGCAATGCACAGGTTGAACACCCGCGAAGCCAGACCTGCCCTTACACTCCAGAGTAGATTTCCCACAAATTTAGACTGTGATAGTGAAAGGTTTGTAGTGAACTCAAATTGAAGCTGTAACATTAAATACTTTGTTTTAGTACCTTAGATTCTCTGAGCCTCAGTTTTTAACAAAAAGAAGGAAATAAAAACAGTTTATTAATTGGTGGTAAGGAATATATCATTCCCTAAAGAAACTCAACTTCAGTTTTATGCATACTTGTTCTTCCTAACTACTTCGGCGAGAGTAAGTGGCAGTCCCATTGAGTAGTCTCAATGTGCAATTCTTAATAGCCTTAGGAATTTGATCCATCATTTTTTTCTGTTCTGACCCATGATGCCTAGATGTTTTTCATTTCAGGAGAAAGCAAAGCTGCTGAGCAAAAGGCACTTTAAAAATAGTATCTGAGTCTTTCTTAAAAACTCTCCCCATTATAAAAATTTGGAGTATGTACATATATATATATATATATAAAATATATATGCATATCTTATAAACATGCACATATTATATATATTATACATTTATATATGATACATAAACATACTAATGCATATACATTTATATATGTTAATCATGTGCTTGCTTTCAGAATCATTTTTTACCCATTCCCTTGTTTGCTCTGAGTCACGGAAGCTGAACTCTGCTAATTTTGTTTCTCAGGCTTCCATGCTAGCTTTAACCAATGGGAGAAGCCAAGGTATTTTTAATTTTATTTATCTGCTTTGAGTAGTGTCATCAGCAGTGGTCTTATCTCTGTGGTTGGTTCTGTCTCCCATCAGGTGGCCCCACTGAGTTTTCTGCTCCTACCTGGTAGCCCAGGCTCCTAGGTTCCAGTATTCTGTTCCATTTGCCCATCTATAACTAAGGAGGGTAGTGGCCTAATAAAATTGATTTTGTATCATCTTTTTCATTCTCTCCACTGTTCTAAATACTTTTGTAAATAAGTCCCCATATAAAATTCTCTCAGTTGAATTATCTGGTGGGGAGTTGGTTTTTCTGGCCAAACTAGGGTATTAATACACACATATATTCGTATATGCACATTTATAAACACATATCTATATCATATGTTATATACATACTAGTGCATGTGTGTGTGTATAAAGCTACAGTGAATAAGCTATCTTGTATCTCCCAGATTTTCATGGCAGAAAAGTACAGGAGTTCAAATAGATAAGTAACACTGGTATATTAGTCAAGGTTCTCCAGATAAAAAACCCTTAAGAGATAGATAGATAATAGATAGATAGAAATAGATAGATAGGGCCGGGCGCGGTGGCTCACGACTGTACTCCCAGCACTTTGGGAGACTGAGGCTGGCGGGTCACAAGGTCAGGAATTCTAGACCAGCCCGACCAACATGGTGAAACCTTGTCTCTATTAAAAATGCAAAAAAAAAAAAATTAGACAGGCATGGTGGTGCGTGCCTGTAATCCCAGCTACTCAGGAGGCTGAGGCAGGAGAATTACTTGAACCCAGGAGGCGGAGGTTGCAGTGAGCCGAGATCGCGTCACTGCACTCCAGCCTGGGTGACAGAGCTAGACTCCATCTCAAAAAAAAAGATAGAGATAGATAGATGGATAGATAGATAGATAGATAGATAGATGATAGATAGTGATCCCTTCCTTTCTCCCTTTATATACAGACTAATTTTAAGAAATTAAAAGAAAGATTATTATTATATTGTGCGGAAAAAACATACATAAAGAGATGTATTATAAGAAATTGACTCATGTGATTAGGACTCATGAGGAGTCCCAAGATCTGGAGTTCAGAGGCCTGAGGACAAAATGGTAGTATAAGTTCTTGTTCAAATACAAAGGGAAGACTGATATCCCAGCTTGAAGAACACTAGGCAGAGAGAGCTAATTCCCTCTTGCTCAGCCTTTGTTCTATTCAAGCCTTCACTCAATTGGTTGAGACCAGCCCACAGTGAGGAGGGTAATCTGCTTTACTTAGCCTACCATTTCAAATGTTGAGCTTATCCAGAAACACCCTCATAGACACACCCAGAATAATATTTAATGTAATATCTGGACACTCCAGATTAAATATCTGGACATAAAATTAATCATGATAACTAGCACTAACTCTAAGCACCCTCAGCCCTCACCTGGCAGAAACTAAAGGTGAAGAATACCAGGGAAAGAATCTTTTTTTGCTGACAAAGACAACTGTCATTTTTAGCTCATTATTAAAACTTGGAGTTTAGAATTCAATAGCAATCTTTGTCACATCAGTCATCAGAGACAGGCAGCAAAGTGCAGCACCTTAAATAAAACACCTGTCTGTTGCTCTAGGCAGATTTTGAATTGTTTCAGTCTCTGTCTCTCTCATTCTTTTTTTCCCCTGATCAGTTAATTTGCCGTTAGATATTTTTGTTTGCTTAGCAACTTTAAGTGAGAAAACAATCCTGGGGTAGTTTTCATACTCAAACTAATATTAGATATTTCAGTATATTTGTGAGGCAACTCAATCACTGAGATTTATTCATCTCTTATTCTCATAAATTGCTTATGACACACCTATTTCTTGCTGTCACTGCTAATTTTCTGCGTTTGGAAGCAAGTAATAATTCCAGTTATTTATTCTGCCTTTTCTACATTGTAAATTTAAGTGTCTCTAAACAAAATTAGTCTCACAAAAGAAATATACTTAATAACTAGATCAGTTTAATCAAATTTTAGCAAATTCGTCTTACTAGGATTCTCCATTTGAGAGAGCAAGTTTTAAAATATTATTGTCTGATAATAATATAACTCACACAAATGTATTATACATAAAATTTGCAATGCATTGGATTTAGAACATAGAAGTAAAATTCTGAATGGATTTTTACATAAAAATATAAAATGAACCTATAGTAACAGCTTTATTTTATAATTTCTTAAACCACCAAATTCTCTCTACAAAAGGAAACAAACAAAGAAGTCATGGCCTTATAGAGTATCTCATTCCCTTCAATCCCATAATCTTATTAACATTATTTCTACTTGTATTAGGAATCAGGTGTACAGTATCATATATTAATCAGTAATTTGTTTTGATCCCCAATATAGTATTTAGGTATTGAGCCTGTCTAGGTTCTTCTTTTATTAATCATAACAAGTTCAAGTACTGGATCCCAAATGAATCCATGTACATATGAAAATTAAAGGATACATGTTAGTATCTGATTTTAAGGTTTCACCAAAAACTGCAGAATAAACTTGTATTACAAACTGCAGAATAAACTTGTATTACATTGAAGGTCATCATGTAAATGAAAATCCAAAGTTATCTATGTGGTGGATTTACAATGTAAGTTTATGTTGACCCATAGATTGTTCATTAATTTTCTGCAAGAACATAGTTGCTGTAACATTTGGAAGAAGGTATGTTCTTTTTTCTGTTATCATCACTAGGAGCTTTACATCTTTTCACTGCTGTCAAGGAAGTTAATGATCATTTAATTATATGACTTTTCTGGTTCTGACTCCTGACTCTCTTTACTGAGAAGCCACAAACTCAATTTTCTGAGAAAGGGAATATGCATTTGATCTTATAGAAACCTGGTTCTTTTATATTTTTCTTCCTTTCTTGTTTCTGTTTTGTTTTGTTTTGTTTTTTGCTTTACATCTAAAACACAACATTCATCCCCTGATAAGAAATAATAGAATAACATAAAAGACTAAGCAACCAAATACTCATTTCTGGTGTGTTTTGCTTCCTCAGAAAAATTAATTGATTTCCGTACTAAAGCATCCCTGGCCAATTTCCAGGCAGGACTCAAAGACATTTTACATCAAGGAAGTAAGTGCCCCAGCAGTGAACTAAAACAGTAGAGACCCAAAGAAATGATGCCTCGAGGCATTTCATTCTATTTGACCACTAACGCTTAAGGTTTTACCTGTATATGGGTGTAGGTCTTCACTCTGTGAGGTTTCACAAGAAACACCATACTTTTGGCATTCATCCTTCCTATTTTCCAGCACTGAGGTTCTCAGCCTGGGGTTGTCCTTTAAAACACATCTGTCTTCTAACATGTTATTGCTCTTACAACAAAACTACAGTCAGCATTAAATTTCAATGTGTTTTGGAGCACTAGATTTTAATCCATACAACTAAGATTTTAGATTAAGCTACTCCACTTTCACCTGTGTAACTTCCTTAAATTTAATTTAAAACAAATTTCTGAGTTGTAATTTCTTTAGATTCCCAAAGAATGCTAGAACAATGATTTAATAATACTTTATCATGTACTAGACATAGTGTAAATTGCTTTACATGATGTCTCTTACCATTTTTCCTCACAAGCCTACTGTTTTTTTTTTTGTATAGAAGAGAAAAATAGATCAGAAAGGTGGTAACCAATCAGGAAAGTAAGCAGAATATACACTTTATAAATGGGAGTTTTACAATCAGGATGCCTAGGTTCAAAATCAGCTCAGCAAATAAAGACTGTGAATTTTGAAAAGTTCTTCATCTCTCTGTGCCTCAGTTGCCTTATCAGTATAGGGATATGAAAATAATAATGCTAGCTAGGCGCAGTGGCTCACGCCTATTATCCAAACACTTTGGGAGGCCGAGGTAGGTGGATCACCTGAGGTCGGAGTTCGAGACCAGCCTGGCCAACATATAGTGAAACCCCGTCTGTATCAAAAAATACAAAAATTAGCCAGGCTTGGTGGCACATGCCTGTAGTCTCAGCTACTTGGGAAGCTGAGGCAGGAGAATCGCTTGAACCCAGGAGGTGGATGTTGAAGTGATCCAAGATCGTGCCACTGCACTCTAACCTGGGCGACAGAGCAAGACTTCATCTCTCAAAAAAAAAAAAAAAAAAAGAAGAGAGAGAGAAAAAAAAATACCTACTTCACTGGTTTAAAATCAAATGAGTAAAGACATGTGACAGACAAGAAAACTATCAGATATTTATTAAACACTCAAGAAATATTAGCCAGTATTATTACCTAAGATCACATAGCTACATGGTGACAGAATAGGGGGGTAAATCTGTTCAACTGCGAACAATTAGCACTCCAATGCCACTCATAGATATGTAAATAGCACTTGTCTCCTGTAACTCCCAAATATTCACAAGGATAAAATATGTCAAATTTTTATGAATCATAAAGTCCTATGTAAATGAAATATAATTCTCTTAAATAAATGGGTATAAATGTGAAAGAATTTCTCTATAATTACAGTTGCTACTTAATTACTTTTTATTATTATTTTTTAAACCTTCTCCTAATTGCTTTAATGATTCTGTGGCAGAACGTAAATGCTTACCTGTTTTGATTTGGACAATTTAACTTGTTCAGGTTTTCTTTGCTCATTTTATGGATAAAAGACTTTCCCCAGCTCCACTGACTGGAGCACTCAACATGTATTTATCGAATAAATGAATAAATAAAAGTTTAGATGAATGACTTTTTCATTAATAAATATAAACAGCATCACTGTCATTTGAATAACTTTCTGGTTACCACAATTTTAAATCTGAAGTTAACCCTATTTAACTTATAATAATAGATTAATATTGTTTAAATAGATTTTTTCTATTTCCAAATTTTTTATTGCACATACATATACCATGACAGTATTTTCAAAATTCACTAAGAGGATAACCTGAGAAGGTGTTGAACTGTACAGAAGGCTCTTGTATTTCACTACTTTACCTGCCCTGACCTTTCTCTCTCTCATGAGTTAAACAGCCACTAAGGACTACAGAGGCCTGTTAGCAGATGAGGTCATTGTAGCTAAGCTCTTGCTTTGGTTTTAGTTGGCAAAGGATTCCAGTGCAGGTCTTTATCCTTGTTGGGTTATTGGTTGAGAGTTATAAGGAATATGGTAGTATGTAAGTTTGTGAAACACACATACAAATGCGCACACAGACAGACATATATGCTGTATTATTTTATGTTAGAATATGATGTCTGTCAAACAGAGATTGGGCAAAATAGAGTTTGATGTTCAGAATATATTCATTAAAGCCAGATGCTTACTCTTCAAAGCTCTTCAGTTGGTATAGACAACTATATCAATTGCTGTCTGCATGATTTTGCACAAGGTACATGACCAATTCAGGCCTTAGTTTCTGTATTAATTCCTATTGCTATGATAACAAATTACCACAAACAGTGAACAAAAACAGCACAATTTTTAAAATTTTTTAAGTGGACAAGTAAAAAAATGTATATATTTGTGGTGTACATGATGTTTCAATATGTGTATTCACTGTGAAATCACTAAATTAATCTAATATATGCATTACTTCACACATATCTTTTGTGGTGAGAACACTTAACAATCTACTTTCTTAGCAACTTCTTAGTGCATAATATACTGTCATTAACTATAGTCATCATGATGCACAATAGATCTCTTGAACTTATTCCTCTGATCTAACTGAAATTTCATGTTCTTTGACCATCATCTCCCCAATCCTCCCACCCCACCTCCTCCAGACTCTGTTGTAACCATCATTCTATTTGCTGTTTCTGAGTTTGAGTTTTTCAGATTCCACATGTAAGATCAGTGGGATTTGTCTTTCTGTGCCTGACTTTTCACTTAAGATAATGTCCTCCAATTTCATCCTTATTGTCACAAATGACAGGATTTCCTTATTTTTAAGGCTTCTTTTTTTTTCTATTATTTTATTTTTTATTTTTTTTAGGTATGGGGTCTCACTATGTGGCCTAGGCTAGTTCAAACTCCTGGCCTCGAGCTATCCACCTGTCTCATGCTCCCAAGGTCCTGGGATTACAGGTGTGAGCCACTATGCCAAGCCTCCTCTCTTGCCAAGCAACTATAATTGACCCTTCAAAACAGAGATTTATTAAATATCCACCTCCAGTAGGGGTTTATTTATGAATCCTAGATGAAAAAAAATATATATGATTATGCACTTAAAAAAAAATCTTTTAGAAATCCAAGAAGTCTTTGGTGATAATTGAGTATGGTGCAGAATAGAGTGATAATCTAGAGCAGGGGCGTCCAAACTTTTGGCTTCCCTGTGCCACACTGGAAGAAGTAGAATTGTCTTGGGCCACACATAAAATTCATGAACACTAAGAATAGCTGGTGAGCTAAAAAAGAAAATCACAAAAACATCTCATCATGTTTTAAGAAAGTTTACAGGCTGGGTGCAGTGACTCACGCCTGTAATCCCAGTAGTTTGGGAGGCTGAGGCAGGTGGATCACGAGGTCAGGAGATTGAGACCATCCTGGCCAACATGGTGAAACACCATCTCTACCAAAAATACAAAAATTAGCCGAGCCGGGCATGGTGGTGCATGCCTGTAGTCCCAGCTACTCAGGAGGCTGAGGCAGGAGAATCACTTGAACCTGGGAGGTGGAGATTGCAGTGAGCCGAGATCGTGCCACTGCACTCCAGCCTGGTGAAAGAGTGACACTGCATCTCAAAAAAAAAAAAAAAAAAAAAAGGAATGTTACAATTTGTATTGGGCTGCATTCAAAGCCACTTAGAGCAATATCATGGCAATTTCCTAGTAACAATACTTATGATGAGTCTTTGCTGTTTGTATGTATGGTTGAATAACAAATTATTATTTAAATTATTTAAATTCACTCTGCAAGTAGATTATATGCTCCATAAATTATATCGTACAATGGGTATGAAACAACCAAAAGAATGCATCTCAAATTATGCAGTTAAATTTTCCTTTTTTTAATCATTTAAGCTTCTTTGGAATGAGAGTAGTGAAATTCTGGAAGTAGTATTAACCTGGAACAGGTCAGGACCTCAGAGAAGATATCCACTCTATTTCTTTGAGTCGATTTGGCTGCAGCACAAGTTAACACTCAGAGTAAATCCCTAACCAGTACATTTGTCAGCTTCTGTATACCAAATAGAATCCTAGAATGTGATTCACTGGGATTCTACTACTATTAAAGCTATAAAAATTCAGGAAGCGTAGGTTAAAATTTCCCATTTATCTTGCCACAGAAAACCCATTTTTCTCTTAAGCAAACAAATAGAATACACAGGTTTGCATGTAGAGATGCTTAACTCATTTAAGGTAAAATAAACCCTGCAAACACCTTTTTGTAAAGGAGATTCCCTATAGAATTTTATTAAACAGTGCTTTATTAGCTCAGTTCAAGTTTCTGAATAGAATTGAAAGAAGAAAGATTGCTTTTTTTCATATTGCTATTTAATTCATGCTTTTTGTCCTTTCAAAATAGTTTCCTTCGGTCATCATAAATATTTATAAAATATGGGGGAATCTTTGTGTGTGTGTAGTGGAATCTGGGCAAATATTACGTTTAGGAAACCAATTTTAAACAGGTCAAAATGAATATTTTAGCACACAAGAGTTTTTTATGTAGAATTTACCTTCAGACTATCTTTTTCTGTTCATCTTTTCCAAAATAATTGCTTATATATTTTTAGTAATAACAATTTCTCAGTTACCTCTCAAATTCTTCAAAACGAAAAAGCACTTCAAGCAGAATATTCTGTTTAATGACACAAATTTTTTTGACTGTTATAGACAAAATGATTACTTTCAAAAATAAGCCTTTAACAAGTATACCTAATTTAGATTTTAGTTTTCTTTATCTTTATCTGCTCTTTTAAAATGATATTATATGTGTAGTAAGGATCAAAAATGAATAAAACTGGAAAGTGACTGAATTTTAAATAACTGGTATTATGTTTGTATATAGTTGAATAATACATGAAAGTTTTGTTAGTTTAAAGATAGCTTTACATTCAGTCAATTTTCAGCCATAATATGAATTTTTGTTTCTATTTATATGTGTTTGTGAATATATGTAAATATTCATTCCTCTATGTGCTGTTCTCATGAAGACAGTAGAGGTGATTCAGAGACCACAGGAGGCCTTTAATTAGACCCAATTCATAATTAGCTCAAGTAGTGGAGGATATCAACATTTTTCAGGAAATGGAGGCTGAAATGTTGGAACTGAAAGGTAAGAAAGTTTTCTGAGTGGTTTTCTGTCTCTCAGATATACTTATGAAGTTTAAAAAACCTTGTTATGCTCAGTTATCAAAAACAGTTTCCGGCCAGGTGCAGCAGCTCACACCTGTAATTCCAACACTTTGGCAGGCTGAGGCAGGTAGATTGCTTGAGCCAAGGAGTTCAAAACCAGCCCAGGTAACATGTCAAAACCCTACCTCTAGAAAAAAATACAAAAATTAGCTAGGTGTGGTGGCATAAGCCTGTAGTCCCAGCTACTGGGGAGGCTGAGGTGGGAGGATTGCTTCTTGAATTTAGGAACTAGAGGTTGCATTGAGCCAACCTGGGTGACAGAGTGAGACCCTGTCAAAGAAAGAAAGAAGGAAAGAAGAAAGAAGAAAAGAAAGAAAGAAAGAAAGAAAGAAAGAAAGAAAGAAAGAAAGGAAGGAAGGAAGGAGAGACAGAGAGAAAGAAAGAGAAAGAAAGAAAGAAAGAAAGAAAGAAAGAAAGAGAAAAAGAAAAGAAAGAGAAAGAAAGAAAGAAAAGAAAGAGAAAGAAAGAGAAAGAAAGAAAGAAAGAAGGAAAGAAAGAAAGAGAGAAGTAAGGAGGGAGGGAAGAAGGAAGGGAAAATACAATGGAATCATCTAGAATCTGGAATCCTGGACTTCTATCTGCTTGCCTTTTCATGACAACTGAAATCAATGACAACTGGAACACTCATATCATGGAATTAACTGACTCGAAAACTCAACGTATGATGGTTCTAGATCTGAATGACCAACTCAAGAAGGAAAATCAAATTTTAGTTATGATGGAGTGTGATGTAGAAAAATGGAAACCATTGTTGGCAACAATAAAACTCAGACAAAAATATTTAAGAATATATGTACTGTATGTATTATCTATTGCTGTGTGACAAATTACCCCCAAATTCATCGGCTAACACCAACAATATCTATTATCTTTCATAGTTTCTGTAGGTTCAGAAATTCCAGAGAAGCTTGGCTGTTCTTCCTTGAGGTTGTGGTCAAATGTCAGCTAGACCTTCAGTCATCTGAAGGCTTGTCTGAAGTGAGAGGATTCACTTTCAGGTTGACCCAGTCATAGCAGGAGGTCTCAGTTCTCCCCACATGCTTCACATGTTGAGGGTGGCAAAGATACCCTTCAGTCTCTGTAGTCAGTCTTACTGATGTTCTTCTATTTTTCTTTAAATTCCCAAGACTGATTGTGCTGAACTCCCATAAATATCACCAATGTGCTGATTAGATAAAACAATGGTTATTTTCATTCATTGCAACGAGGGAAAATTCCAGCTTTACTGATCATTGTGGCATCTCCAAAGAGAGAAATCAGATGTAAGGTAGTTATAAGACTTTGAAGCGTGAGTGAAGTGGTTTGAGGTTGGTTTGTTAAGGCAGATAAATGATTGGGATTGGGCAAAGTGCATGATATGATAGTTTAGCATAAGTAGACACAGCTAAGTGGTATCTTGAAACTAGTCTTGATAAGTAAAAGTAACTTGGTAAATGAGCTCTTTTATCAGGTGAGCAGAATGCTATCTGCAATACATCATTTTGTAAGAATATCCTGAAGCAATAAGCAGTTATTTATTGATGTAAAGTTTCATCTTTCTCAGACAAAGCTTGCCTGAAACAAATTATCTTGGCACAAAGTGATCAATGTTCTACCCTGAGGCATGTTGACACAGATGGTCTCAGTTCTCAAGTGGAGACCATGACAAGTCTCAACGATAATGGCCAGGGAATCAATTGCAGCAGGTCGCTTTACAAGGATCCTTTGGGCTTTCAGTCAAAAGGGTTATAATTAAGCCATTAAAAGAAAAAGTAAAAGAAAGAAAACACAATGATTGAACAGACTGTGGTTCATTCTAATCACAATGAAAAGAAAGCACTGTTCACAAAAATTAAGACTCAGAACATTCAAGTCCATTGGGAATAAATAAAATACAGTATCATACAAAACCATACCCAAACAACCAAACATACCTTCGGATTTAAGAAGAAAATCAGTGATTACAAAATAGTTTATATTAAAATAGTACTAAAACTGTTACAGAACGTAAACTGTTACACACTCAAATTGGGATAATCTAAGAAGAGTTTTCTAAGGTAATTATTTTTAAAGTGAGGGCAAAATGTAGGAAAACCATAAGATATGGCAGCCCCTGGCTAGCACACCAGGAGTACTGTGACCCCTCCTGTCCTGAAAGTGCAAGGGAGGAGAAGTGACCAGAAACTGGACACAGAAGGGTCTTTTGGGAAAGAACTTCCAGACAAGAGCTGTGATTTTTGATTGAGAGCTACAGTCAGCTCATTATGACCCTACAGAAAAAGATCCAGAGAAATCTTCCTCATCCTCACTTTCTGCCATCCTTTCTATCTGCTGTTGCTCCTCACTGGCTGAACTCACCTGCAGCTGGAAGGTAAGGATGCCCCCTGATTAACCACATTGGGGCACAAAGCAGAAAAAAGATGAGAGTGGATCTGAGGGGACAAACAGAGAATATCCATGACAGAGAATACAAATAAAATAACTAAAATGGAAACATGATGTATCTAAATTTATGAAATGCACAGAAGGCTGTACTCTCGGAAAAATATATAACCCCAAACCATTTCAACATTTAATATGAAAGAAAAAATAATCTATCATTCATCTCGAAAATTTAGACAGAAGAAAAATTCTCACATGAGGAAAGCATAAAGAAATAAGGAGTCATAAGTTGGAAAAAATAATAAAACAGTGAGTATATCACAAGACAGGTGAATTAAAACAATTCAATCAACAAACATCTGTTTGTCACCAAAGAAATTAAATGTTCTCACCAAAGAAATTAAATTGAGTACCAAAAACAAACAAACAAAATTTGAAATAGGCACTATAACTCAAAACGGATGTTATAATCTTTTATAAATCTTTTATTAAAAATTAGGATGTAGAAATCTATAATATTTAATGTAAAATGCAATTAAATAAGAAATTTAAGATAAAGAGTTAAATTTAAAAATTAAATTAAAAACGTTAATTGATAATGTAAACATGAAAAATTAAATTATATGCTAATTGAGTCAAATCATACCCTCATTTTCAAGCCACCAAACTGGGTATTTGTAATTCAAGCAATTAACCAATGAATTAAGAATAATATAGCTACTGATGTAATGCATTATGTTAAATATCACCAAAGTTCAAAGGAGGGACACTGATCCTACTTTATATATTTTAAACATATTGGCCAGGTGCATACCTGTAATCCCAGCACTTCTGGAGACCAATGCTAGAGGATTGCTTGAGGGTAGGAGTTCAAGACCAGCCTGCACAACATAGTAAGACCCCCATTTCTACATAAAAGAAATTTTGAGCCAGGCATGGTGACTCACGCCTGTAATCCCAGCACTTTGGGAGGCCGAGGTGGGTGGATCGCGAGGTCAGGAGATGGAGACCATCCTGGCTAACACGGTGAAACCCCGTCTCTACTAAAAATACAAAAAATTAGCCAGGAGTGGTGGTGGGCGCCTGTAGTCCCAGCTACTCGGGAGGCTGAGGCAGGAGAATGGCGTGAACCCAGGAGGCGGAGCTTGCAGTGAGCCGAGATTGGGCCACTGCATTTCAGCCTGGGCGACAGAGTGAGACTACGTCTCAAAAAAAAAAAAAAAAAAAGAAAAGAAAAAAGAAATTTCATTGGCCTGATCTGGGGATACATGCCCATGGTCCCAGCTACTCAGGAGACTGAGGCAGGAGTATTGCTTGAGACCAGGAGATCAAGGCTACAGTGAGCTATGCTAGCACCACTGTATTCCTGCTTGGGCAGCAGAGTAAGACTCCATCTCTAAATAAAAATAAATAAAATAAACATGTTTATAAAAGTTAAAATTAAGGAATGAGGACACAAAATTTCAGTTAGAAGAAATAAGTTGAAAAGTTCTACTATACAAAATGGTGACTACAGTTAATAATGTAGTGTATTCTTGAAAATCGCAAAGACGGTAAATTTTAAATCTTCTTACCAAAAACAGTATGTGAGTCGATGCATATGGCAATTAGCTTGATAGCCAAGACATCATGTTGTACAGGGTAAATATATACATTAAAAAAATTCTTTATATTTAGTAAAATATTCTTAATGTAGGTTCTTAATCTCTTTTTTGTGTATAAACCCCTTTAAAATTCTATTAAAGCTAAGAATTTTCTTCCCAAATAAATGCATACATTATGTGAAATATTGCAAATAATTTTATGCATTCAAAGAGTTTCTGAAATCCATTCATAAACTTTTGGTGGGGAAACTATATTTAAGAATGACACACTAGAGAAAGTATCTTTAAAACTTGTATGAGAATTATGTCACCTAACACTATGATTCCCTATTTATTTTAAAAGTTTCTAGCAGTAAGTAAGAAATTAAACAAATAGGAAAGTTAAAATGATTAGAGGGAGAAAAAGTTATCACTTCTCAGGCATCATGATTATGTACTCAGTCCCGAAAGAATCTTAGATTCTGAAAATAAGTTAGTAAAAATGAGTCTAGTTGACCCCTAGATGCAAGAAAAATATGCACAAATTAATGGCTTTCTTACATCCCAGTAATAACCAGGTAGAAGATGTAATAGGAAGGAAGTAATATTCCATTCACAACATTAATGAAAAATGTGAAATGTTTTTAAGTATCTTACAAGAAATGTGTAGGAACTAAATGAAGAAAACTAAAAGTTTACCGAGAGACATAAAAGTAGATTTTAATAAATGGAATACCATAGTATACTATGCTATGGTAAAGGAAGACAAAATAGCATAAACATAACAATTCTACAAAGTTTAATTAAAACTTAGTAGAATTTCTATTAAAATTCTGATGACATTTTACTGGAATGCAAAAACTTGTTTCTTAAATTAATTTGGAATTTTCAATAAACTGGAAAAACTCTGAGCAAATTAAAAATGAAAGATCAATGATTTCAGACAAACTTCTTGAGATAAGACTTTTTTTTTTTATTTTTACAGCTATAGCAATTAAAACTGAGTGAGCAGAGTGGTACTGACAAAATAATTCACAGAACAATCAATGGAGTTGCAGACTTAGCCCTAAAATAAAACCTAGTTCAACAGACCAAGTGTGTTCTTTGAGACTTCATTAGAAAGGCTTTTATTATTTTTCAGAAGAGGTTTTGATTGGGATAAAAGCTCTAAATCCAAGTGATTCTGGAAAACCCCAGATAAACACAAGCATTTTACATTGTCAAATATAGGAATATATAATATAAACTTCTAAGAGAGGAATATAGCTAGCAATTTTTAGCAAACAGAAACATTGTTTATAAGAAATCTTCCAAGACTGGGAATATTTGGAATCCAATTGTTCATTTGTTCATTTGAAATTACATATTACTTCTGCAGCACCTGAGCGCAAATTCAAGTATCCTAGGTATATAAATACGTTACTACTCAGTTTTTGTTGAAAACTGTCTTGGTATTTGTATGAAATTATACACATATGCTAAATAAAAGATGATAATTCAATCATTTTGGAGCCGGTCAGGATTTTGGAAATACTGGTAAATTATTTGGCTAGGAAAGGCTGGAAAATAGATGTATCTCAGATTTAAAAGGAATCTGCTGACAAAGAAATTCCTAAAGCTGATGAATGATGGAAGAAATGTCGGAAAAATGTTTCATTTTGAATTCATAAAATATGGAATTTCAGAGTATTTATACAAACCATAAATATCATTTTAAAAGAAACAAAAAATAAAATCATAAAATAAATATGAAAACAAAAGGTTAATATTCAGAATCAAAATATCTAAGTTTAATAATAGTGAAAATAAGTTCCATTCTTATTATGATACTTAATTTAAAAAATCCCAATGGATAACCATATTATAAACCAAATTTAAAAATAATTTAGGAGCAATTTAGAGACCACAAACTATAATCATTGTTGCCCTTGTTATTAAAACATTGCCATTTTATTCAGTACAGGGTACAAAAACAGATAACTTCTGGATTTTTCTTCTTAAGTTTCTACCTTTAACCAGGAATTTTTTGTCAGCATCATTATCTTTATCATCATGAGCCTCAGTATCATCATCATCATCATCAATCATCATTATTTCTCATATTGACTTTCAAAACAAAACAGATAATTCCTTAGCAGATTGTATATTTGTCTTATACTTTTTTTATTAATGTTGAGTAATATTTAGAGGTAATTTCCACAGCAGATGTATGGAAAGTATTTTTGTTTGGTTTGGTTTCGGTTTTGGTTTTAAAATAAAAGCATAGATTTTACATGTAAGATGCCAGATTTTCCTTATTTCAATGTGGCCCATGGGTATAATGGAGTTTAGTCTTCCGGAGCTAGTAATTTTAAAGAGATCATCTAGTAGAAGAACAAAAATCTATAAAAGAGATGATGTGATGTATTCAGTGTTTATACCTTAATCTTATTTGGGTTTACTCTTATGGTAAAAGCAAAAAAAAAAAAAAAAAAAGAACATGCAACTAGTAAGTGGCAGAGATAATAATCTAACTAGAGCACCATAGTTCCAGGACCCTCCCTTGAAACTACACTATACTGAAGCTCAATTGAAATATACACTGTTGTATAAAATTTATTGAGTAAGGTTTAAGGTTAAGGAGAAATCGTCTCAAGAATATTTTATAGAAAAAGTGAAATTTAAGATGGGCCTTAAAGCATGACATCAACCAGTAAATATATAGCTTCACAGACATCAGCTCCATGAGGACAGGAACCATGTCTGATTTGTGCATTCCTATATCTCCAGGGCCTAAAAGAGAAGCTGGCTCACTGCAGAATGGCACTGGGCACACAAAGCATATGCCACTAGATTTAGTATTATAATCCATGAACAAAATTGTTAGTTGTTATATGTGTAAAGTAAAATGGTCACTGCAAGGATACTATGCTAAATTATATTAACACTATATTGTCTTCACTGAATATAATTTGAAAACAATAATTATTTCAAACTTACACATTCCCCCTAGTTTTTATTTCCTGAAAATTCATTTTGTAAAACTGATAAAATTATGGAGGTAATATCTCAAACAAAGGAAAGTTTGAAATGTAATGTATATCATCAACATTTTAATAATAATTAAGGAAAGTTTATCCATTATTGAGAAAAGCACATCTGGGTAGAGCAACAGAACTTTCATAAATACAGAAATGGGTCCTAGATAAATGACCTAGGACCATAATCAAGCTCAAGTGGCATAATGGCAATAAAAATATATATTTTTATTAAACCATAGTCACCCTGACAAAAGAAAATAGACCAGAGTAACCCAGGAAGTTGAGCAGGAGGCTTATTGTTGGGAATTGGTGACGTCATGTTTGTTAGCACCACGGTATCATGGGCCAAACGTTACTATAAGAAATGGCACACTGACAGCTAGCCTCCTTCCATACCCTTCTTCCCAGAGAGGAGTCATAATTTGTATGAGCTCTAAAGTTTCAGAGAACTGAGAATACCTAACAAGTAAATGACTTTTGGAAGGTTTATCTTAAAGTTCTCCTTGCCAAAGAGTTGCCAGACTGGGGAGCCGCCTTTTCTTTCCTCTCTGGGAAGGGCTCTTTAGCTTCACAGAAGTCATTCTTCATAAATGTGCTCAGCTGCTGATTTATGTAAAAAAAAAATAAAGTCAGTGCTTCAATGAGTCTATAATGATTAATGAAAATAAAACTAGGAATACATGAAACATGAGATGACTTTTATATTCAAAGTCATTAATAGCCATATAGGGAGTTCGGAAATGGCCCATTAAAATAGATTATTATAACAAGGCAAATTAATGGTTTCTTCAGAGTTTAGAAAATAAACTTGATTAGTTATATGAGAAATTTATTACCAAAAATCATTTTTATCTGCATAATAAATTGCAGGCTATGTATAGCTCATTTAGATCCATTTTTGTGATGACATATTTGACCTGCCTTTGTTTATAGAATAAATGCAGCTGCCAAATGTGTTTATATAATAACTAATTAATGTTTGTTTGATGGTCCATCAGCTTGATCTACGAACTCTGCTGTTAAGAAAGAAAAAGAAAACCCATCAAATTTCATGTAATGCCCTGAAATCGCCAACATTCTTCTGGAGAAATATTTTAAAAGAATTTTTAGCAAGATATATTTTACTATATTGTACAATACTATGCAAATTAAATACATCACTTCAGAAGTGCTGTATTTTGCCAAGTGAATTGATTACCAACAGAATTCTTACTCATCTCTTCTAGTTGAAAAGTAGCCCACATTAAGTTTAAAACATCGCATTAAAAATAATTTATTTTGATGTGAATAACTTAGGGGGTGAGTGAAGTTAATGGGTAAAACTTTGCTTTTCATAATAGCAAATGTAATGTATATATTGGATGTATGCATGTTGATATTATTTCTATTCAAAATAAGAATATAAAAGCTAGATGTAAAATTTTCTATTTCAATCACGGCTGGAGAGAGCAGGCATTTGTCTTCTTTCCCTTATAAAATTCCATTGTTATTTAGCAAAAAGCACAAAAGGGAATAAACTCATAAAACAAAACAGAAACTATATGATGTGGTTATCAGCAGATGAGAACTCTCAATAAATTTCTGGGAAGAAGAATATGTAAAGTAAGTTGATGGATAAAAATGAGAGGAATAAGCCACTGCCCAGGATATATACAGCTTAGAAAGATACATTGTGGTCTGCCCCAATGCAGGAAATGGGCAAGGCATGTGGGGCTGAAAAAACGAAGACTGATTAGATGTTGAACTACGGAAGGGCTACACAATTAAATCATTCTATACTCCTTTCTGAACATGAGAGCAGAGCAGCCAGTTTTTAATATCCTATTGAAAAAAAAAGGGGGCTTTCTTTGAAGAAATGCAGTGAAATATTTGGTTCCTTGTATGGGAGTTAGCACCTTTTAGTTAAGTGCTCTTCACTCTGGCATTACTACATAAGGGGAGAGGAAAACCACAATAATGGGAAAAACATCAAGTGCATCCTTTATTTTTGCCATGAACACTCAATCAAATAACACCATGAGAGAGAAAATTCAAGAAAAACTAGAGAAAATGTTGACTCCATAATAGAGGTAGAAACATAATTAGGAATACAGAACAAATAAAGTCTTGAAAATAAATGTTACAAAGAAAAAAAGCAACATCTAATTAGAATTAAAATGTAATAGGAATTAAAAGACAATGTTTCTTAGTTATTTCTTCAGAGCAAGAGAGAAAAATCACAAAGGAAAATAACCTGGGATTCAGGAAAGAATGAATTAAGGACAGGAGTCTGGTGAAGTGAGATTTTAGAATGAAAGCTGTGCGGTGGCCTTAGAATGAAAACAGATCTCAGTAGAGCATATACCAGCTGGCAAGTCTAGGAAGCATTTTCTCTGAGAAATGGACTGGAGGAGCAAATGAGATTTGAGATAGGGTGGATGTATTGTGATATGAGGAAGATTTTATTTTGTCATTTGAAAAGAATGCAATTAAAAGCACCAGGAAACAAAAGATGTATGAGAACATCATCATCTACATGTAAAATACACATTCAATAGATTTCAATTTAAAGTAAATGGTGGAGAGTAAGACATTTTATTTTGCTTTGACACTAGAAATATTTTCTTTAAGTGGCATAAGATTTGTGAAGGTGGGTCTAAAGAGAAAAAAAGTAATCTGAACATACTAATTAGCTAGAAGACTTACATCACAGAAGGGAATGTAAACAGCATCAAGTAAAGGTACAGGCAACAAATGTTGCAAAGATAAATGGTGGAACGTAGGTGTTCTAAAATTTTCATCTTAAGTTAAGGAAACTTTAGAGAAAATGTCTAAAGTAAGGGAGGTGGAACAGAGGTTTAAGCACACTATTTTATATTAGTGATATCTAAGAGGCACATACAAATAAATAATGTACTGTGCAGTCATAGCCATTAGCACTGAATAAAAGGCCATTGTCTGGATGTACCAGTTTATCCTTTCACCTACTGAAGGAAATCGTGGTTGCTTTCAAGTTTTTATAATTATGAAGCTTCTATTAATATCTGCGTGCAATTTTTTGTGTGGACATGTTTTCCACTCATTTGGGAAATTACTTAGGAACAGAATTGCTGGATCCTATGATAAGCTAATGTTTAGTTTTGTAAGAAACAGCCCTCTGTCTTCCAAAGTGGCTGAACCATGGTCCATTTCCACCAGCAATAGTGAGTCTTCCTGTTGCTCCGTATCCTCACGAGAACTTGATGTTGTCAGGGTTTTGAATTTTAGTCATTCTAATGAATGTGTAGTGGTGTCTCATCGTTTTAATTTGAAGCTTTCTAATGACATATGATGTTGAACATTTTTATTTGATTATTTGCTACCTGTATATCTTCAGTGAGATATCTTTAGATCATCTGCCTGCTTTTTAATTAGGTTGTTTTAAGACTTTTTTTGCATATTTGAAATAACAGTCCTTTATCTGATGCGTGTTTTGCAAATATTGTCAACCACTCCATGGCTGGGTTTCTCATTCCCTTGACAGTGTCCTTCACAGAGCAGGTGTTTTTAATTTTAATGAAGCTTAACTAATCAATTATTTCTTGCATGGATCATACCTTTGGTATTATATCTAAAAAATCACCAACCAACTGAAGTTTATATAGATTTTTCTCTTGTTACCTTTTAGAAGTTTTTATAGTTTTTCTTTTTATATTTAGTTCTATAATACATTTTCGATTAATTTCCAAGAGAGGTGTAAGGTCTTGTCTAGATTCACATTTTTTTACATGTAGATGTCCAGTTGTTCCAGGACTATTTGTTGGAAAACTCTCTTTGCTCCACCATTATATTGCCTTTGCTCCTAAGTCAAAGATCAATTAGTTGTCTATATTTGTGTGGGTCTAATATGTGGCTTTTTATAAGCTGGTGTAACATGCATAATGTAATAATTTACAGTATAGCGATATCCCTTTGGAGGTGTCTTCAACTTAGTAACTGGGACTGACTCAAAGGAGAAAAAAACACAAAGATAAATTTAGAAAACAGAATTGTTAAAACTTTTAAATTATCATTTATTAAAAGAAAATTTACCTGTCAGAATTGCACCCATATTATATTACATTAAAAATCGAGATATACATCATCACACCATTTTCTGTTATAAGAAATTATTCTCTGGATTAAGTCGTAGTTAGAGCTCTGGTTTCAGATCATTTTCAATGTGTGAATTATGTGTTTTTAAAAGTATATAGAAAGCCCCTGTCTACTCCATGTTCTTCCAATTGACACTGATACAAAACGCCATTTCCCTTTCACCAACTTTAATGTTTCTTCTGTTTTAAAGCAAAAGTAGAGAGACATAGATGAGAAAGGTGGGACTGTTGATTCCTTATCTAATTTCTGGGATGTAAAAGGAGTGAGATTCAAGTTTCACATGCAATTCTAAGTAAACTTTTCTAGTTACTTTGCTTTTATTTTTTCCTTGAGTTTAGTTAGTGTGATATCCTGTCAGAACATACTTTATACTGCATTCAAGATAAAACACCTGTGTCCACTTTGGGAGGCCAAGGCGGGCAGATCATGAGGTCAAGAGATTGAGACCATACTGGCCAACATGGTGAAACCCCATCTCTACTAAAAATACAAAAATTAACTGGGCATGGTGGCACATGCCTGTAATCTCAGCTACTCGGGAGGCTGAGGTAGGAGAATCACTTGAACCCGGGAGGCAGAGGTTGCAATGAGCCAAGATCGCGCCATTGCACTCCAGCCTGGGCGACAAGAGCGAAACTCCGTCTCAAAAAAAAACAAAAAACAAAAAACCTGTGTCTACATATGACCAATCAGGAGGTCAGAATCTCACGGTGAACATGATTATGTTAGTTGATTCAGTCCAATTAATGTACAATAAGTATTTTATATTTACTGGTGTCTAGTAAATATTCTATTATAGGAGCACAATTTATATTCTAGAAACTAAGATGATATGCACAAATATGCATCATAAAAATTAAGTGATAAAGAATAAGAATAGATTATGACAAATACTTCTCTAATTTTAGAAAAACTGAATAAAATACCCAAAGGGATCAGCAGTTTCATTGTCAACGGCAGTCAAGATGCACTTCATTCCGTGACGACTTCTTCCTCTCTGTTCAACTATTATTACTTAGTTGTTATGTATGCTTTACATGTCCTTTATCCCATTACTATTTCATTGCCCAGTTGAATGTTTTCTTAACAATAGACAATCCTTTATTGTTCTTATACTAATGGTGAATAATGCCAGCTCCTGAAGGAATGCTTCCAGTGTTACTTATAAGCCTGATTGCATCATGATAAACATGAGGCTAGATTGCGTGCTTTGCCTTTTCCATGTTTGGCAAAGTGGACACAATTTCTTTCTCTTTGTTAGGTGATATTATTTTTCTCAAGACCTTCTTTCATCTACATATCCACAGAGTCCAGCACAATGCCCGCCCTAAGTGTACAGCAGGGGGATTGGAATGTACAAATAGCTGATGTGTCTGTGCACCAACTTCACCTCCTAATATAACTTTAAAACTTCAAGCAGTTCTAGTAATTATGACAGATCATAAAACATGACAGACATCTGATAAGGTACAATAAACAAAAAATACATTATGATGCTGTGTTTTGTAAGTGTAAAAATTAGGCCGGGCACAGTGATATGTGCCTGTAATCTTAGCACTTTGGGAGACCAGTGCGAGGAGTTCAAGATCAGCCTGGAACATGGCGAAACCCTGTCTCTACAAAAAATATAAAAATTAGCAGGGCATGATGGCGCATGCCTGTACTCAGGAAGTTAGGGTGGGAGGATTGCTTGAACCCGGCAGGTCAAGGCTGCAGTGAGCCGTGATTGTGCCACTGCACTCCAGCCTGGGCGACACAGCGAGACCCTGTCTTTAAAAAAAATTAAAAAATTAAAAAATTAAAAAACCTCATTAAATTAAAAAATGATAAATTATCAGTCTACCCACGGAAATATATATCAGTGCCATATCAGATTATTTTATCTCCTGATTCCCCTGCTAAGAACAACTGTGGTCACACCCTACTTGTGTGTGACCAAAGCATCCCACCAGAGAGCCCCCAAACGGGGAAAATAAAAGATTGGCCCCAATGACATGTAACCGTGATTCATTCTCCATATGATAAAGTGAACAAGAGAGAAGAGGCTTCACAAAGCACAGACTGTTGAATTTCTTAGTATCTCTAAGAACCCTAAGGATATTCTTCAAGGCATAATTTATTCATCGATGTTACTATTCTGTGCTTCTGTCTTCTCCATGTCCTGATACCTATGTCTGCATGCCATCAGTTTCTCTGGCACACATTTGTAAATCTCTTTGACTCATTTTTCCCTATATAAAGTAGATCTATTATCCATTCAATAAGTAGATATCAGATATCTACCATGTATCAGGCACTGTGCTAAGATCATGCTGCTTTAATGATAGAAAATTCAAGAAACCAAATTAACCACATGTTAGGTGTCCTCTACATTCCAATGGGATCAAAGTACTGGATGTCATGAAATGGGATGTTTTTCTCTATTCTAATATTGGCCAGTGTTTAAGATTACCTATCTGTTAATTCTGATCTTCTACAGTATGAAACATATTCATGAAATTAAGAAAATTGTTACCTTCCCTGTGGTTATAATGCAATATTTTTACCCCACAATTCCTTCTCAGAATAAAAACTATTGAGAAAGTAAAGTTGTGTGAACAAAAAATAAAATTCTAAGGCTCCCCAACCACCTGAATGGACCTCGTCCTCAGCCAGGGCTCTTTTAAAATTTTACCTAAGAGACTGTTTCTGGCCATGATGGGGAGTGGGGGTCAGACATGCCTCATTATACCTCTCCAGCATTAACATCAGCACAAGCTTTAAGTCTAATAAGAAACATTTTATAACGTGTTCTCTCTGAAGCCTACTACCTGAAAGTTTCCTCTGCAAATAAGAACTTGATCTCCACAATCCTTTATCTTAACCCAGGCATTACTTTCTGTTAATACCAGGTCTTTAGACAAACTCAACCAATTGTCAACCAGAAAATGTTTACATTTACCTATAGCCTGAAAGCCCCCATTTCGAGTGGTCCTGCCTTTCTGGACCAAACCAATGTATTTCTTAAATGTATTTGATTGATGTCTCCCTAAAGTGTATAAAACCATGCTGCATCCTGATCACCTTGGGAACATGTTCTCAGGACCTCCTGAGGGCTATGTCATGGGCCATGGTCTCTCATATTTGGCTCAGAATAAATCTTTTCAAATATTTCACAGAGTTTGACTCTTTTCGTCGAGAGTTGCTTAGTATGTTACATAGGAGCTATTTCAATTGTTTATGGGCAATAAACTCCAAAATGAGTATCATTTTATGACTTCTGGTTTCTGAATTTAGCTGGTATTTTTATGAGGAGAAGAAACAAAGGTATTTTTCTTGAGGGTTTCCTTAGTCTGTGTGTGTGTGTGTGTGTGTGTGTGTGTGTGTGTGTGCGCAGAGAGAGAGAAGGGGAAAGAAAAGGAAGGATAGAGAGTAAAGGGGGTGCAGGGTAGAATGAAGGCTTAGAAGCTGAGATTTTATTATCACTTATTTCCTTTATGGTTATTTATTTGAAGAGGGTTTTAACTATGGCTATTGTACTCAAAGTCTTGGAAAATTTCAGCAACATAACATCCTGAATCATTTACTCTGGGAGAAAAATTATTTGATGTGAATTGGACGTAGAGTTAGCTAGGATAGGACCGCTGCCAGACCACTCAAATTGAAGTCATTCTTTATATTGGTCACATGGATATTTTAAGAAGTGAAGCTGGGGCTGGGAAAGAAAAAAGGAGGGGGTGCTTTTCTATGAGAGAGATGGCATGAAACTGACATTTTGCTCTAGCATTTTGCATCAGATACTTCTGCAAAACTTTCATATTCTTTCAAGTTTCTTTTGCTACAATGTCAACTAACAAATGTTTCCTCCACTTATTTGTAGTGTGAGATTTTAGCTGAATTTTTTTATATGCTGTAAGACATCACAAGCAGAGCTCTTCAGTTAATGAAGCAACACGATCCAAATGTAACTTGATTTTATAATTCAGCATCTGCCTACTTGCGATTTGCCTGAGTATCCTGTAACAATGACTGAAAAAAGTGTTTCCCAATTTTTCAGCATTTGTGTGGGAAGCCTGCTTAAAATCCAGTCAAAATGATGTATTTGAAATTCCTTTGGGGTTTCGAGTACACTTCAGGAGACAGGTTGTTATCCCCCAGGGCAACAAAACCTGGGGTATGATGAGAAGCCTATGCAATACTGATCAGGAGAAATTCCCTGTGACTTCTGATACCGTGAAGAATGGTTTCAAGCTGAACTCACATTGTAAGTCACAAAGGTAGACAGTGAATTGCAGGCATTACATGGCAAAGGGATGCTTCTCTTTTGAGCAATACTGTTCCACAGGAAGCAGCATTAGAGATTTATGTTTATTGGAGGCTGATGATTCTCAGAGGACTTCCATGTAAGCCAGGATGTATTTTGCATATATGGAAGCATGAACTTTACCACATTGACAGTGTCTTGAAGAGTTCCATGCAGCATAAACTTCAAACTTCTCACAATTCTAGATTTCCATTCAAGCAATTGAAGTATCTAAAGGATATTAAAACCTGAAGTTATTGATTTATAGGCAGATTGCTGTTCAATGGATTTCTAGTCAACCATTAAATACCAGCAATTACCCTAACAACCACACTCCCAAATTCACAGTCCCCATTGATTTGGTCAGTTAATAAACTGCATCCATGTTTACAAATATTATGAGATTTGTGTTCAGAAGTCAGGATCCTAAAATACTCTTGAGCCTGCTTTAAAGAACTTTAATTATGGAGAGAAACATCTGTTCTTAATAATTGTTTATTTTGTCTTTGCTACTATATTCTTGACATGTTTCTTTTCATTTAATTCCATTTAACTTTTAATTTTCCCAGCTTTATTGATATTACATGACAAATAAAAATTGTATATATTTTAGTTGTTCACATGGTTTGGATATTTGTCCCCTTTAAATCTCATGTTGAAATGTAATGTCCAGTGTTGGAGGTGGGACCTGGTGGGAGGTGTTTGAATCATGGTGGTGGATGTCTCATGATGCCCTAGCACTATCCCCCTGGTGAAGAGTGAGTTCCTTCTCTGAGTTCATGCAAGATCTGGTTATTTAAAAGCATGTGGAACCTCTCCCATCTCTCTTGCCCTCCACTCACCATGTGGCATGCTGCTCATACTTCACCTTCTGCCACCAGTAAAAGCTCCCTGAGGCCTAACCAGAAGCACAGCAGATGCTGGCACCACGCTTCCTGTACAACCTGCAGAACCACGAACCAATTAAACCTCTTTTCTTTATAAATTACCCAGCCTCAGGTTTTTATAGCAATACAAAAACTAACATAGATGTACAACGTGATGTTTTGATATACATAAATATTGTATCTAACTATTTACCATACTAACCACCTCACATAGTAACAGTTTTTTTGGTAGGAAACTTATTTTTTGAGAACTTCCGTTGAAATCCTTCTATAAAAAATTTTAAAACATTTTAGTGTTTCATTCTGCAAATTCTGTCTTGTATTTCAAATAAATATTCTAAAATATTTCTAGAATGTTTATGCTTTTTATTCATACATGTATAAATGTTTACATAAAAATTGTAGGGCTATCTATATAGTCTATTCGACATTTAAAACAATTATGGGAAATTGCAAGAAAGAATATTTTCATGTCAGCATTTGGTAAATAAAAACATCTCTAGAAAAACACAGCTATATTTTATAAAAATTAGGTTGTTATGCTATTACAAATTTGAACCTGTGATACATTGTGGATAAATTTGAAAATAGCGCGTACACAATCCATGAATTTTAACAATGTCAATATCTAGGAAGATATATGTTGTTAAACATGTGTTTCTCAGTAATGGAACACTTCCAACTTTTATAATTGCCTAAGTAAAAAAAAGCTGAATATATTTAGTGTGATTTCACAGTATAGCCTTCCACTCAAATAATTAGTAAAATTATATACTAAAATTTTAATAGGATTTTGTAGTAATTATTATGAACCACAAAATTAAATGGATTATTTCCATGAAAAGGTAGAAAATCATCTGTCTTGAATACAGATGTTTTCTACCTTTTCATGGAAATAATCCATCTAATTTTGCATATTCCTTTGTTAGGTGGAGATTAGTAATATATAAATATTAAGGTTATTTCTGAGGACCAAGATCCTTTGTATTTCTACTTCACATTTACACAAATATTCTATGAAAGCATAACGTTTTTAGCTATGAGTTTGTGAAGAAAAGGGGTCCTTAGGATTTCTGCTATGAATTTTTCCTATGTACTAAGAACAATTCCTTTTTTTTTTTTTTTTTTTTTTTTTTTCGAAATGGCGTCTCGCTGTCACACGCAGGCTGGAGTGCAGTGCATTGATCTCAGCTCACTGCAAGCCTCGCCTCCTGGGTTCACGCCATTCTCCTGCCTCAGCCTTCCCAGTAGCTGGGACTACAGGCGCCCGTCACCATGCCCGGCTAATTTTTTGTATTTTTAGTAGAGACAGGGTTTCACCGTGTGAGCCAGGAATGTCTCAATCTCCTGACCTTGTGACCCGCCCACCTCAGCCTCCCAAAGTGCTGGGATTACAGGCATGAGCCACCCTGCCCGGCTGACAATTTTTTTTTTATATTGAGTCACAGTGTTTTTCAATTGTATAGTCTAACATAGCTCAATTACGTGTCTTGTTGCTCAGCTTAAGATTTATTTGGCAAACTTGCTCAGGGTTTTTAGGATTCCATTCAAGTATGACCATTTCTCTGTAACCTTTCCTGATACCTTTCTATCCACTAAGTAACATCAGTCATTTTTCTGTGCTTTGTGCATTCTCTGTATGTTTAACAATTTTCTATTTTAGTCATAAATCACTATTGCCCATGATTCTTTACAAATTTGTCTTCCCCTTATAAACTATCACCTGTTCAAGGATAATAACTTACTCTATTTCGTGTGTGTCCAATGACTCGCATACTGCCTGGTACCTAACAGGCATCTAATACTTTTTCAAAGGTGAATAAATTAACATATAAAAAAGTACCCGCGGATGACCACTGTAAGTTTTCTCTTTTTCAACCAGATTCTTTAAATTCAATGAGATTAACATTTGAAAATATTTCTTTTTTTAAAAATTGATAAAATAATGTAATAGTATACCATTTTGATAATATATAATTTATATTAAATTTCAACAAAAAAGCCTGTTTGTAACTAATATTTTTAATTAATTATTTGGTCTTTAAATATCTGTCATATTTAAAAACTGATATCTAATCCATCTAAACAAAATCCACTTCAAATTCAAAATAACCTGGAAGAAAAGCAAACAAAATAACCAACTTTAAGTTGTAAAGATGATAACTATTATCAGGGATGTGCCTGTGTCTGCTTCTATTTACTGTCACATTTTAGGCATTCTTTTCTACTTGACAGTTCACTTCTGAGTGACTAGGAATGAAGCTTATTTTAGCCTACTTTTTCCCATTTGTTTTTGTAAAAGAAGAAACACAGAGTATTCTTGAAAATCCAGTGTGGAACATTTTGATGTTTACCATCAGCAATATTATGAAATATGTCACATATCATCTACATCTTTTTGGTAATTATTTATGTACCTTTCATTTTGACACTCAAAAATGGCCACTTTTTTTTCTGTGTATGAAACCCATCTATTACATCCGATTTTATTCTATTTCAAAACTATTCCAATCAGCATTCATTGGACAAACAGATTCTCAATATTTTAGGACTTTCAGTAATGGCACAGATAGTTCTTTATTGCACTTTCAGAATCCTTTCAGTCAGTTCTCAGTCAATAAAGTAGGAATGTTTGGAAATTTCTTCCTCCTGATCAAGCCAGCTTTTTCATTTCCAGCTGGTCTCCTACCTGTCCCTCAACCCTGGATCCATCTTGCATGGCCCATTGTGCTTCAGCCAACAAGATTCATGTCACACTGTGGCCCCTGCCGTGCACAAGTCCTGTTTTGCTTTGGATCCTCACAATGTTTCGGAGAGAAGTGTTTACAGAGCAAATGCAGCATTCCTTTATGCCACACGAGTGAGGAGAAAGCAGAGAAAGTGTGGGACAAGAGACAAAGATGTCAGTCTTATAACTTACTTATTACTATCTCTCCATCATAAAGACTTTTACTGTTTGAATGGCAGGGAAGTCCTAGATTCAAATTGCCTTCACCTCGATATTGAGAACAATATGTAGTGAATAAGTAGTTACATACACAGGTATAGTTATTAGGGCTTCTTTTATCATTTGGTATGCAGCATAATTTAAATAATCACAGAAAAGATTTCCTCTCACATTAGTAATTTCTAGCTTAGTAATCTTATGAGAAAAAATAAATCTTATAATGAGAAAAACAATTACAAATATACAAATTATTCAAATAATTTACCATCAGTCTTAAAATTGCCCCTGTAAATTTGCTTTTTCGAAATCCTGCATGTCACTTAACTGGGCTATTACTAATCAAATATTAAAGATCAATGATTGCAAGAGAATTATCCTAAACTATCTGATGAAATTAAAATCCTTTTTATAATGCAGTTCAAGCTTTTTGGTAAAAGCATATGAACATGTTGAGAGTGGAGGCAATTTTTTTTTTTTTTTTTTTTTTTTCAGACGGAGTCTCCCTCTGTCGCCCAGGCTGGAGTGCAGTGGCGCAATGTCGACTCACTGCAAGCTCCGTCTCCTCGGTACATGGCATTCTGCCTCAGCCTCCCGAGTAGCTGGGACTACAGGCGCCCACCAGCATGCCCAGCTAATTTCTTTTTTTTTTTTTGTATTTTTAGTAGAGATGGGGTTTCACCATGTTAGCCAGGATGGTCTCGATCCCCTGACATTGTGATCCACCCGCCTCGACCTCCCTTCATGTTTTTTTTTAATATCCTTTATATCTTCTCATGGCAAGTGGTCATATCTGATGATCAAACTATATTTGTTAAATAATGTTTCATGTAGTTAATATAGAGCAAGTTGAAAATAATATATTAAAACAGTAATTTCTACAAGGTACAACCTAAACACAATAACTGATACAATACTTTTTAAGTGATTTTCGGGTTTTTTTGGTACCTCGTCTAGAAGGATTATTCAAAAATGCAAATGTCTCCACTAACTTCCCACTTATTTCTTCCTGGGAAAATTTTTACATTTTAAAAGAATCTTGCAAGTAAGAGGACATGAAATGTGCTCGTACACTACCTATAAAGCATCAACACGTAGAAAAATCTGTAAATCCTCTATACTTTGGTAAAGGGGTATGTTATTTCACCTCTCACTTTAATTGACTTTTTCTCATATCTCTACCCATTTCAGAGTAACTTCTTCAAGTTTCTTGTCATTGTCCTTCCATTTGATAAGCAGAACATAACAATAGATGACTCGTAAAAATCTGTGACCAATTCAAGGAACCTGTTAGAGCTGAGAAAGCAGCAAGTGACAGCAGGTCAGTAACTCATTTAAATGTGAACTGGAGTGCAAGGGTGCAAATCTTTTGAATTCCAATTACATTTATAGCTTTTTGGTATATTTCTAGAAGGCAAAAAGGTAGGATATCCAAACATTTAATTCATTTAAGTCTTTATCTTTTAGCACCACACTATGAGAATCCTTTAGCCAGAAAAAAAAAATGCGTATACAATATTTTCAGTGGGCCGTTTAATATAAAAATTTAGTTTCTTGGATTTTAGAAAATTTTTCTAAAACTTAGTAAAAATACAGGTAAGTAAACAGAGGGTTTTTTCCAAAAAATATAAAATGTAAGCTTTAAAACATAAAATGAAGGAGACAACACAGATGCTTTGAAAATCACTTTATATTTTTAAAGACATTCTGGGAAAATTAATAGGTATTGTGTGTGTCTTTATATAAAAATATCCTACATGCCATAATTTTACAAAAAAAAAATACTGAGCTAAGTTACATAGAACAGGCGACATACCCCCATTGAAGAATATGTGTTTATAAAAGCTATATGTATGCCTTATTCAACACTATAAAGTCTCAGCCTGACATGGTGACAGGGAGCCTATAGTCCCATTGACTCTTGGGGCTGAAGTGGGAGGATCACTTAAGCCCAGGATTTTAAGGTTGCAATAAGCTATGATTGTGTCACTGCTCTCCAGCCTGGGTGACAGATATCCCATCTCTAGAAAATTAAAAAATTAAAAATTAAATATTATGTTTATTTTATTTTTTTTTTGTGTTATCACTTTTTAAAGTCTGGGAGACCTTATTTTTTATTAAGGTATGATGGACACCAAAAACACTTATTTAATGTATATTATACATTAAATATACATTATATTGATGCATTTGAAGATAATTATGGAATCTCTTAAAAAATACCTATTCCACGTTTTGTTATGTTGCCCTTGATAATTAATTCTTTTTTTCTCTCTTACTGTGATTTGAAAAAAACCATTTTCCTTCTCTTTTTTTTTTAAATATATGCCTTAGTTATGAATTATATACAGGCAAATAACTTATGACATATGTATTATTATATAGAGATAAAACAACCCAAACTCCCATATGCTCAAATTCCAGTTTAAGAAATAGCATGTTGCTATTGAAACCATCCTTATAAACTTTATATAATTAATAAAGGACACAGGGAGGAGGAGAAATGAAAACCAAGCTGGCAGCACAGTCAGCATTAATGAGGTCAGCTCACTCTCACTCTTATAAACTGTAAGATTATAGTTCGCATTAACTGTTCCATAGATAACAACTTGCCATTATGAAATATTAAGTTTTCCCTTTGAGATATTCTTTTTCATTTATTTTTTAATTTTGTCATAGAGACACGGTCTCATTATGTTGCCCAGGCTGATCTCGAACTCCTGGGCTCAAGGAATCCTACAGCCTTGGCCTCCCAAAGTGCTGGGATTATAGGCATGAGCCACCATGCCCAGCACCTTTGAGATAGTCTTTCAAGCCCTCCACACCAGTGAAACTACTGAACCAGCTGGTCTGAGGGACCCCACTGATGCCAGCTGTTCTGAAGAATCTCATAAAAAGGTGACTCACCAAATAATGCAGTTTCCACATCCTGATAATTTTATCCTCATTGCCTCAGCCAATCAACGTCTTCAATTTTCCAGCCCCTCGCCTTTCATGATCCCCATAAAAACTCTAGTCCAGAATTCCTCAGAAAGAGGAATTTGAGAGTCTCCTCTCATCTTTTTTGCTTGGTGCCCTGCAATCATGAAACCCTTTCTCTGACTCAAATCCTGCTGTCTCAGTATAATCCATCTGCTACTGAGCAGCAGGCATAGGAACCTGTTGGTCCTGGAACACTGTGGGTTATTTCAAATTAAGCTATCCTACAGCACTTAAGAAAATGAATGTAGAATATCACAGATTATGTAAACTACCAATTTTTAAAATAAATAGTACAGAACAAATCGAATAAATAGTATAGAACAAATATTAGATTACTGAGGAATACAAGAAGTATGAAGAGGAGCATAGATCAACTAGAATGACTAAGATTAGTAAAAGAAATATCGGAAGAACTAGAGATTATGTTTAAAGGAAACTGAAGATTATGAGAAGGGAATTTCAAAGGTTTCATATGGTATAGAGAGGTAAGAACAGTTAAAGAATGTGTGTGTGTGTGTGTGTGTGTGTGTCTGTGTGTGTGTGTGTGGAGAGAGAGAGAGGGAGAGAAAGAAATGAAGATGGCCACACATTTCTTGTTACTCTTACCATTAAAAAGGTATGGGTTTGTTTTCCTTTTTTGTGAAATTCCACAAGCCTGTGATTTGTTTTGAGCAATATAATACAACAGAATATGTGATCTTGGGTAGCCTCTGACCTTGGGCTTTAAAAGATCTGAATCTTTTACTTTCCCCTCTGATAGAAAGCTCCCTCTTAGAAGAAATAAACAATTTAAGATGCCTGACTACTCTTAGAAGAAAATGTTGTGAGGGAGCCCAAGCTAGCCACATGAAGAAAAGGAGAAAGAAAATGTTAAAGAGGAGGTGTGTAAGAATATCGAGGTGCTGGACATGTGAACTAAGCCTTCTGGAATTTTCCACTCCAGTCTAGGCAACAGCTAAAAGTAGCCAGGGTGACAGAGTGCATAAACCCAGCTGATAGCATGTGAAAGAGAAGAACCACCCAAAAGAGCCATATCCACATTTTTAACCCAAAGAATCTGAGGTAAATTAAATGATTATTTTCAAAGCCACTATGTGTTGTGCTAATTTGTTACACAGAAATAGATTATGAAACGAAATTGGTACTTAGAAGTGGGGCATTATTGTAAAAGAAGTCTTAAACGTGTAGCATTAGGTTTAGATCTGTGTGATGGTCAGAGGCTGAAGTTGATGAGAACATTTTTATTGGGGGCTGGAAAGTCAGTAAGGAAATTACTACTAGAGACTGCATAAATGAGGTCTCAATTTAGTTCTGACAGAACAAATAGCAGAACTACCACTCATAGCTACAGGAAAGATAGAAAATATAATTTTTTATAATGTGGAACAGGAAATAATATTTCCAGGCACAATGTGGAAAGTGTTCATGGATGACTTTTAGCTAGATATGCAGTATAGCTTGTTGTTACCATCCAGCCAAGCCTAGCTAGAAGACGAATGAAGTCCAGCAAAGGGCATCAGCAGGTGCAATGTGGGAAAGAACTGCCCAGACATGTCTTGCCTACGTTCCTGATTCTCAGTATTGAGAACACATAAAATAGCTATTTTAAGCCACAAAATTACTTTGTTATGTTGTGATAGATATCTGTTGTGATAGATAACTGAAACAAGAGAAGTTTTGCCAGAAAATATGACTTTGACATTATTGGAGTGATGAGGATAAAAGCAAAATTATAAATACAGATTAATAAATAGGAGATTTAAAAGTAGAAAAGAAATGGTTGCTTCTTCTCTAAATTAGCTACCTTAATTTCCATTACTCAACTCACAATAACCTAATTTTTTCTCACAAAAGTATAGTTGCATTATTTTTCTAATTCATTTTAATAATCCCTATTACTAAATTATAAAATACTGGATTAGAGAGGAAGTCAAAGGTTATAAATTAAATAATATTATCTTAAAGACCATAGAATCAAAAAATATTGTATTAGAGAGGAAGTCAAAGGCTATAAATTAAATAATATTATATTTTAAAGACCATAGAAACAATGATTTTTAATGTCTCCTCTAAAATTTAAATAAACGTGAACTATTTACTAATATTTTCCTTACTGATTTTACCTATTTTAAGGAGTTTAGGGTTCACTAAAGGCAATAAATTAAGTATTGTCCATTTACCAGTATTCGGAATTAACAGCTACTAACATTTTAATATTTGCTTACAAACTTTTAAAAATATGCATTGTAACTACCACCCTCAATCCAATAAAATACATGTCAGTTTCCCACATCTATGCCACTTGTGAGAAAATTTATAGTGATCAAGGTATAGATTCTACCATTGTACCATTTTAAAATCCTTAAATTAATAGATATATAGTAGATATATATATAAATAGATAGATATAGAAGTAGATAATAGATATACAAATAGGTATATATATATATATATATATACACACAAAAAAAAAACTTCACAATTTTTACATTACTTTTGTGTTTAATTTACATAAATAAAATTATATTCTATGTACAATCATGTTACTTTTTGGCACTGTAATATATGTGTGGAGATATATTGATTTACTACTTTGATAAATATAGATATGTCAGTACTTTAACTTCCATATTTTATTCCATAACATGCCTTTTTATTCATCACTTCCTCTATTTCAGGGTAATTCCATTATTTCCAGTTTTTCTCTATTACAAACCATAGCACAGTATATATTTTAGTCAAGGTCTCTCTGTAAATCTATAGGAAAGTTTACTATGCAAACCTCTAAAGCATCACTCTAAGATTTGGAGAATGCACCTTGTAAACTGTACTACCTCAGCTGTACAAGTTCACTTCCAGGCAATGGTGTATCCGAGTAGCATCTCCCTCCACCATATACATACTGGCATTAGCTTTGGCTTTTTTTTTAAATTTCCTGATTCAGTAGCTGAAAAATAGTATCTCACTTTGTAAAAATTTGTTTATTCTTGACTATTAGTGAGTTTGAATATCTTTTACTAGTTGATATTTCAACTTGTATGTTAATTGCTTTCCTTTGCCATTCTATATTCATAGTAGAAATATTATACTTATTCTTGTACATTGTCTGTGTAATATATGAATTTCAAGTATGTTTCCATGATCTGTAACTATATTTTAACCTTGCTGTACTATAGATTGTCTTGCCAAATTTTAATTTTGATTTATGGTTAATGTTTTTACCATCTTGTGTAAGAAATTGTTCCTACCCAGAGGTCACAAATATATTTTCCATATTTTCTTATAATAGCATTAAATTTTTATTAAAGTCTTTGTATTTAATTCTATAAACTATTGGAAATTTATTTTTGTCTTTATTATCCCATATGCATAACAACTTGTCTCTAAACCATTTGTATTTTAATAGTCTCTCTCTCTTTCAGTGTTGCCACTTCTAAAATACACCATGTTCCCATAAAATGCTCTGATTTCTTCCTGAGTTCTATTCAAATCCTTTGATATATTTGTCTATTAGTATCTAATAGCTTTTTAAATAATATTGGTGGATACTTAGCATGGCAATTTCCATCTACATTTTGTACTTTTAAAGATTTTTCTTAGGTATTACTGTAACTGTATAGTTTCATATACATTTTAGAATCAGTTTGTACCCAGTTGCTTTTAATTCATAGATTATTTGTGGAAGAGTTCTGTGATGCTATTGTCCTTATCTTGGACCCAATAGTCGGTAAAGTGACAATGTCTGATCTCTACCTCTCTATTTTATATTGTTTATGATTTTGCATTTAATTAGATATTTTTTTCATCCTGATTTAAGATAAATCTTGTACATTAGTATGTTCAAAACCTTAATCTCTTACCAATCTTTTACTATTTAATAACTATTTTATTATTTAATAACTCTCAAGATCCACACTTTCCTCTGTTTTTAATATTGTCTTAGTCCATTTTCTATTTCTTATAGCAGAATATCCAAAACTGGGTAATTTATTAATAAAAACAAAAGAAATTCATTGCTTACAATTATGGAGGCTGAGAAGTCCAGGGTCAACGGGCTTTATCTGGTGAGGACCTTCTTGCTGGTGAGGACTCTATGCAGAGTCCTGAGGCAGTGCAGAGCGTAACGTGAGAGGAGGCTGACCATGTTCACTAAGGTTTCTCTTTCTCTTCTTATAAAGCCACCATTCCCACTTCCATGATAACACATTTGTCCATTAATTCATTAATCCATAAATCACCTCTTACAGGCCCCACCTTTCAACACTACCATATTAGGGATTAATTTGCACATGAGTTTTAGAGGGGACAAACATTCAAACTATAACAGCCACCACCACACAATTCCTAGAGTCACTCACCAATACCACTAAAATAGCCTTGTAGTTAATGTCTCCCTGACCTCATTTGGTCCCCTCTGGTTTTTTTCTAACATCAACTAGAGTGATCTTGTAAGGCCTGTTTAACTTTTACCTATTTAGATCTCTGTCAAAATATACTTCCTCAGAGAAGCTTTTCCTATTATTCTTGAGTTGTTTAAACTTCCCTTATTCATACTTTCATAAAATTATGCAATTATTCTTAATAGCACTTCTCTTTGCTGTAGCCATACATTATTATTAATTGTTATATTAATCACTACTAATTAACAATAATATTATTAGCATATATTGTTCTCAACATAACTTTAAACCCAGTGTGTGCAGGAGCCTTGTCTTTTATGCCAACTATATCATTTCCTGTTCCTAACTAATAACTATAAATAAAATTGCTTAAAATTATTTGATGAGTGAATGTATATAATGGCTGTTTTGAATTAATTTGATTTTTGCCTTAACCAAGTATATTGGGCTTCAAATTGTGAACCAGGGGCACAAATCTTCCACAGGAATTCCCATCCCTGTTATCATCATAATGGGCTCAGGTGCTGAGTACCCAATTTCTGTTTCATCTGCAGGAAACATGCTCATATAAGCTTCAAAAAATGCTCCAATGTTAAAATAAATTTTAACACGGGAGAACAATCATTTAAAACCAAGTTTCCAGTAATTTAAAAGAATATGAGTACTAGTTTATAAGAACAAACTGAAGTGTGCATTTTTTTTTGTTTGTGTTTTGCTTTTATCTCAGCAAAAATTATTTACATACCAAGTCAGCAGAGCTTTGAGGAAATCTTGGCTTTGTTCTTCATATTCCTGTTATTTTAATATTTTATATTCATCTTTAAATAAGGAAAGATCTACTTATGTGTAACGTTTACACATATAGAGTTAAAATTTTAACATATTATCCACCTACTCTTCTTTACTTTCACTCCCTCATGATAACTGTGGGTAGAAAACTCACACAAAAATGAAGCTGAAGCATGACCTTCCTTGCATTAGAATGTCTATTATCAAAAAAACAAAAGATAATAATTGATGGCTACTATGTGGAAAAACTAACTCTTTTTTACCTTTGATGGAGATGTAAAATGGTGCAGTAGCTATGGAAAACAGCATGTTGGTTCCTCAAAAAAATTTTTGTTTAAAAAATCACTATATGATACAGCAATTCCACTTTTGAGTATACACCCAAAAAGGTGTAAAGCAGAATTTGAAGAGATATTTGTAGATCCATTTTTTATGGTGGCATTATTCACAATTGCCAAGAGGTGTAAGGAACACAAGGATGAATGGATAAACAAAATGTGGTAGGTACATACAACAGAATATGATTCAGCCTTAAAAGGATGGAAATTCTGACACATGCCACAACATGAATGACCCTTGAGGACATTGTAAGTAAAAAAGCCACAATCACAAAAGGAAAAATATTATGAGCTTTTACTTGCATTGGGTAACTAAAGTCGTCCAATTCATAGAGACAGAGAGTTGAATGGTGGTTGCCAGGGACTGGAGGGAGAGGGAAACGGGGAGTCATTGTTTAATAGGTACAGAGTTTCTGTTTTACAAGATAAAAAGAGCTCTGGTGATGGTCGATGCTTATAATCTGAATGTTTGTGTCCCCTCCAACTTCATATGTCGACATTCTAATGCCCTAGGTGATCATATTAGGAGGTGAAGGCTTTTGGAAAGTGATTAGTTCAAAAGGGCAAGGCAATCATCTTTAGAATTAGTGCTTTATGGAAAAGAAAGTTAGCTAGCTTCTTCCACTATTTCAGGACACAGCTAGAAGACACTGTCTATGAGGAACAGGCCCTTACCAGAACTCAAAACTTCTGGAGCCTTGGTCTTGAGCTTGTCAGCCTCTAGAACTGTAAGAAATAAATGTCTGTTAATAAGCTACCCAGTTTATGGTATTTTTGTTATAGCGGCATGAATTGATGCAATCTGAATGTATTCAATACCCCGGAACTGTACACTTAAAAATGGTTACAATGGGTCAGGTGCAGTGGCTCACACCTGTAATCCCAGCACTTTGGGAGGCCAAGGCAGGTGGATCACTTCAGGCCAGGAGTTTGAGACCAGCCTAGCCAACATGGTAAAACCCTGTCCCTACTAAAAATTTGAAAAATTAGATAGATATGGTGGCATGCGCCTGTAATCCCAGCTACCCAGGAGGCTGAGACAAAAGAATCGCTTGAACCCGGGAGGTGGCAGTTGCAGTGAGCAGACATCATGGCACTGCACTCCAGCCTGAGCGATAGAGCAAGACTTTGTCAAAAATAAAAATTACAATGGTAAATTGTATGACATGTATATTATAGCAAAATTAATTTTAAAATATAAAAAGAAAAAACATAAATCTGAATTAGCCAGAAATTAGAAACAGCATATATGCCCACCAACTAGTGAATGAATATACAAAATACTGTATATCAAGAAAAAGAAATACTATTCAGCAATAAAAAAGAACTGCTGAACCATGTTGTGACACAGATTAACCTAAAAAATGTGGCAAATGAAAGAAGTCAAAAACAAGAGGTCTCACCCATAATGTGTGATTTTATTTATATGAAATGTCCAGAAAAGGCAAATCTATAGAGACAGAGAGACAACTATTGTCTGCCTGAGGCAGAGCGAGGGAGCAAAGATTAAAAGTTCATGGGCATGAGGGATCTTATTGGGGAAATACAAAACTAATTTATATTGATGATTGCACAACTTGGTAAATTTACTCTTTTGTATTGATTGTACACTTGAAATAAGTGAATTATATGATATGTAAAATATGTCCCAATAAAGTTATATTGACAAGAGGTGTGTACGACCGAAAGTCTATAGAATCATTACTGATTAATTGTGAAGGCAAAGAGAAAAGTAAAATAATCACTACTTGTGAGGCTGAATGATAAATATACTTGATCTCAACCTACTTGAAAGAAAGAACATTGACATTTGAAGTCAGAACTGTTGAAGGAAATACTAGTAATAATTTAAAATATTATGTTACATGGAAGGGTTTGGTCTAGCAATGAATCTATATATGCTGGTTTCTCCCATGTCTCCATCTATGGCTTGGATCCAGGCAACTTCTTCTTCAGGAAGTTTTGCAGATCAGAGTAGAGTCCAAAACAATGAAACAAGTGGTTGGAGAAAAATACTATCTCTGTTCCAAGCATTGAGGGGAGTCTTTTTTTCAGTTCACCTTGTCATTGTTTTCATTTGTCCTGGAAATAATAAGAGTGAGAAAGATAAGATCAAATGGTGAGTCTAAATGTCCTTGATTGTGGAGAACATATGGCTTTTCAATCTCACATTGGATCTATCCAATTTTTATTTGTTAAGACTACAGCATATTCTAGAGCAAAAGCTCTAACCGGGAATGTAGACTTGAAGTGTCCTCACCCCATTATCCTAGTTATTCTGCTTGAGGCAACTTCAATGTACATAAGTTGGGAGATGAGACTCAAGCATCCTAAGATCTTTACCTATTCTTTCCACTCTGTCACAAGCAATAAAAATTTCACAAGAAATGTGATTTCAACATGGGAAAGAAAGGAAGACAATGAAATCTTCTATATGAATTGAAACAGAAAAAAAAGCCTTGTTTTAAGAATGTATTACATTTAAAATTGTAAAAGTTTTCTATCTCAAATTACAGTGACTAAACATTTTATCCACACTTATGAATTATTAAAGCATAGTGTATCTTGCCTTTGACAAGTAGGTGATTATCAAATTTGCTTTGCTTTGGTAGGACAAGTAAGAAAAAGGATTTCTGTCATCTGACATAGGTGTTTGGATTTGGCATAAAACATATCCAATTACTTTTCAAAGAATCTAATATCTTGATGACAGATGCATATAGAAAATATGTCATTGGAATAATATATTAAATTGATATTATGAAATTACCTTAAACTATGACTATATATGCACAGGAGAGAGAATGATAGCAGATAGCAATTTTTTACATATCTGCATTTCAAACATATTTGACAGTAGAAGAAAGGCACGCTTGCAAATGGACTACAAGAAGGCAAGAAGATATAAGGATATAGATACTAAAATATTTTCTGGAAATGAAGTCATGCCAGAATAAAAATATACATGCAAAACTACAGTCCATAGTACCTGAATTCTTAAACTTTGAAGTGTGTGAAAAGAAGAGGATGAATATCAACAGACTTTTGTCCTCTTAAAAACTGTTCTGACATTTATATGTAAAACTTTAATGACTTTTATTATTGTGCATTTTAGAGGTGGGAAACAAGTTTTCTCAGTGCACAATCATACTTCATTAGTTTCGCTTCTTCCTCACACAGAAATCCTCACTGCCTATTCAAGGCTTTGAAGCATACAGCTGATTACATGTTTAATATTAGAGGTTACTAAGTTGTAAAAATAAAGCACAGTGAGTATAATGATCAAAAGAGTATTATTCAAGTAATCAGTATTTCCCTCACTAACGTGAGAGAAATATATTCATTTACTAAATGTTTTTGAAGTTCTCCTATAAACTAGCTTCTATGTTAGGTGCTAAAGCTATCACCATAAACAAGACAGATGAAGGACTAAGAGAAAATGAGAAATCATAGATTATTCTTAGAATTTTGTCCTGAACAAGCCAATAGATGAGTAGTGATGACATTTGCTATGGTATGTTCAAGAGAGAAACTAGATTCTTCCTTCTGAGTTTAGAAAGAAAAGAGCTTGGAATTAAGCAGCCTGTTTTTTTTTTAGAACATACTAAATTTAAAATCAGTATTAGATATCCAAGGAAAACAATAGTGTACAAATTGGATATACAAATCTAAGTCTTACAGGAGTTTTTAGTGTTCTGAAGTAAGCTTGGAAGTCTCCAAAGTAGTCATTTAAGCCATTAGGTTGAATAAGATCACTTAATGAAAGTATGTAGCTGCATGCGAGCTCTGGAAAAGAAGAAAAAGAATAGTCAGTGGAGTCAGGAGGAGTTGCCAATGATGTAATAGAACAAATGAAAAACAGGTAACGAAAAGTGTAGAAGAATATGGTGTTTTGGAAAACTGAAGATAATATTTCTGGAAAGAGGAAGTGGCAAGATGTATCAAATGCTGTTGAGATGTTAAGTGAAGATAGACTATTGATCATTGATTTTGGCAAATTAAAGCTATCCTGTGGCCTTGTCAAAGACTATTTCATTAGACAGGTAGAAACAAAACAGGAACAGAATGGGGGGAAGAAAGAATGTTTCAAACAGAGACAGAGAAATAGAGGGAGGGCATAAGAGGATGTAAGTATAAATTACTCTTCTGAGAAGTATTAATATAAAAAGGAGTAAAGAAATGGAGCAGTATCTGGTATTTTTAAAATATCATTTGCTAATAAATAATAATTAGTGACAGCTACCACTACCAAACACTTAATAAACATTAAGGTATTTAGAGAAGTTTTAAGTTACCTCACTTGTAAATATCCTGTGACGTAGACAAACAGATGAGAAACAGAAATGTTAATACATTTACAAGATCACAGAGATAATAAGTAACAGGTTTTGGGATATGAATTAGGCACATGGGTTCAGAATAATTAAACCTCAATTCTGGTTATATTCACCATATGTGATTATTCATCCCTATGCATTGTATTTAGTATCCTGTCATAATAAAAAAAAACTATTTAGTTTGATGCAATTCATAAAATTTTGCTATCTTTATTGTCTGGTGTCAAATAGATTTTGACCAACTATCAGGATAAAGATTTATTCATGATGTTGCCATGTAGTAAACATAAAACTATATTGTGAAGTTTCAGACAAACATTATTCCCTGTGGCAAGTTGAGTTTCTCCCTCCTTTCAAGTGGAAAAAGATTGCTTTATTGCAATGCTATTCAAATAGTAGCACACAGACCAGGTCAGGCTGAGAAATTTTGTTTCAGGTAAATAGATGAAAACAGAAATTGAGAGTTAGTGTTTAGCAAACTGCTAATTGTGATGGAATCCAGGAGCATTAGTATTTTTCTCATAATTAATATAATTGTATTTTTCAAATATATGAATCTTCCATAGACTAAAAATTCAAAGCAAAAAGCTTTAAAATATTCTTAGCATATTTAGTTTGAAAAACACCATTCATGGGCATTTTTGGCAAAAATAAAAGAAAATATCATTGCTGTCTATAATGCTGACAGACTTTATTGGTTATGTTTTAGTTCACTAAGTCAATGATTAATGGAAAAACCTAGGAGACATTTGTCTGTACTGTTTTTAATTCATTGAAATATTTTGAGTTGCCTCCTGCTGAGACCAGCTCAGCTGGGGAGACTCTAACCCAGAGGCACTAGAGGAATTAAAGACACACACAGAAATATAGAGGTGTGAAGTGGGAAATCAGGGATCTCACAGCCTTCAGAGTGGGAGCCTCGAACAGAGATTTACCCACATATTTATTCACAGCAAGCCAGTCATTAGCATTGTTTCTACAGATATTTGATTAACTAAAAGTATCCCTTATGGGAAACGAAGGGATGGGCCGAATTAAAGGAATAGGTTGGGCTAGTTAACTGCAGCAGGAGCATGTCCTTAAGGCACAGATTGCTCATGCTATTGTTTGTGGCTTAAGAATGCCTTTAAGTGGTTTTCTGCCCTGGGCGGGCCAGGTATTCCTTGCCCTCATTCCGGTAAACCCACAACCTTCCAGCGTGGGCTTTGTGGCCATCATGAACATGTCACAGTGCTGCAGAGATTTTGCTTATGGCCAGTTTTGGGGCCAGTTTATGGCCAGATTTTGGGGGGCTTGTTCCCAACAGCCTTCTGTTCACCTTTGTATCCTTAACCATGTGCCTGAATGCCCATATTAAAATGAAGAAAAATAAGATCACCCCCACTCAGCTAAGCCCAATCTACAGTTGAAAACTTATAAAAAATAAATTCATACAAATTTTCCCTGTTAGTATTCAGAAAACAATGTACATATTAAACATTGAGTAAACCTCAGTAAAACAAATTAAACCTGAAATAAAATATGTCCCTCCTCAAATACACACAGTTTTTGTGAAATAGCACATTTTTAGTAGTTTGGGATCAACAGGAAAAATATATTAAAAGAGTGGAGATAGTGTTCTTGTAGTTGTTTCCCCACAGGGGGTTGTTTAGAATTGGGTGACTCTCCTAGGATTATATAGTTATGAGTACATTAATTTGGCTGAGTTCTATGGCTTTGTATTAAGCATAGATTTTTTAAAGTTTGCAAACTCATTTTCGTAAGGTATACCAATATGATAATTTGTTTGTCTTGGGGGTTTTCATTTTCAATGAAATTAATTAGCTTTACTTGGCTGAGAAATGTTTGGTTTTAATCATTTCATCTTCATGATCAACAGATATGAGTTTATAGATCATTAAAATAAATAGTCATGCATCAAGGAGCTTGATTAATTATAAATAATTTTAAACTCTTTTGATAAATTTAAACACTTCAGTTAGAATGTCCTATTTTCAAGTAACAAACATGCCAAATTCCAAACTGACTTAAACAATAAAATTATTATTGAATTATTTTATTGTGTTGTATTATTGCATTATATTGTATGAATTATTACGATTATTATTGTATTATTTTCCCTAATAAGTGGTTCAGAATTAGGATGGTTCTAGACATAGTACTTCAGGGCTAAGATCCACTTTCCTAAAGTTCTTTGCACTCTATATGACTGTTTGTGGGCTTCACCTTCAGGTAGATACCAAGAAGTCTGCAGCAGTTCTACGTGTTAAATTCAGACAGGACAACAAAATAAAATGTGGATCACTACTCTTGTGATAAAAGAAAAACAAAAAAGCTTTCCAAGAACACATTTCCCAAGCAGCTCCCTATCATGTGTGATTGGACATAATAGAGCCACATCATTCTTAAAGCAGTACAGCTAGGGGAAGAAATAATAACTGTTGGGTTAATGAAATTCATAGCTATGTGGATCAGAATAATTACCAAAAAGAAAAAATTAGGATACTATTAGAAAAGAATAAAGATTGTTTCCAAGAGAATGCTAGGTATGTAACCAACAGTAACTGCTACAAATTACTAAGCAATGCTTACTGATAACACTGTTATTTAATTTTTCAATTAGTTGATAAACTGTCAATAGAGCTAATTTCTGCCAAGAAGAGAATTAGCACTGGTGGAAAGCTCCCTTCCCTGTCATCAAATGTAAAGAAACTGAAGAAGGAATTATTAAAAGATCTGAGGAGAGAGGAAAGTAGAAACTGTGAACTAAAACACATCCAGAGAGACAGAAAAATGAATGAGGGTCTTTATAGCAGGTGTCTGCTTATATGGAAGATAAATCAGAAAAAAGTAGTTTGTTCTGCTCATACCTCCTTCTCCATCATTGCTGTGAGAGAGGCCCCCTTAATTTAATAGCCCTACAAAGGCTCAGCTCAGTGATAACTTGTTCCTTAGAGTGAAATCAGGGAAATTGCAGAAGCTAGTGCAGAATCTATGAATCTTGGAACCCCATCCCCTGTTCAAACCATCACCCCCTTTCATCTTCATCTCCACATTCTCAAGACTAATCAGTCTTAATTTAGGCTCCAGATTATAAAAAGTTTCACCCTCAAACTAATGCCATGCTGCTTTATGGGGATAAGCAGGGGGTTAAAGTTAATCTCTAACCTGAAGCATTAGAGAGGTGATAAATAGTGGAAATAATTACAAATGTGGGATACTCTAGGCCTCATCCCTTCTTGAATTGATTTTTTTTTTTGCTGATATAACTAGGGTATGCCCTCCATAGAAATATGGTCACACTAGACTAAACAAACAAACAAGCAAACAAAATCTGGTGAGTGAATTTATTTTAAAAGAAAAAGAATGAGAAGTACCATAAGAAGTAAAGTTATTTTAATGCAAGGCCATGGGTTCAAGATAAGGATTAGAAATACAATTAAGGAGATGCATGAGCACATGAGAAATAAAAACAGAGAAAAAATGATAGATACAACTAAGTAAAATATTAGGGATTAAAAAATCTAATAGCTGCATAAAGGATATAATAGAATGTATTACTAGTAGTGTGGATACCTATTAGAACAAGTTAGTGAGATGGACTATCTCAAAAGAAGGGAAGGGCAAAACAATATAAATATAAAAAGATTTGTACTTAACATACACTTATGGAATGGTAACTAGAGACCACCATCAATAAACTTTTCATGAAATAGCATCATGGCACTAAAATGACCAATACAACAGAAGCATAAGAGATGGTCTGGATTAATGGTTGATGCTGGATTTCTTTGCAGACAATAGTTGTTCTTGCCCATATACTCAAATAAGCAATACATTGGGTTCAAAACTTCATATGAAAGCAAGGAAACCATTCTTTTGCTAGGCCACGATAATGAAGTTCTTCTTCTTCTCTAAATATTATATATAACTGCCACAAGCCTTGGGTTTTAATGTCATAATCTGTTGGAAGGAATCTTCAGACAATGTCTGCCGGGACACACTGACCTTTACATGACTCGGTAGTGCATTAGACTGGCACAGATACTAGAAGTGAGCAAGTTTCCACCTAAAGCTGTAATCATAAGCAATTTGTGGTCTATCTTTAGTTGCAAATGACTTCCTATTGCAAGGATCTTGAAATGCTGTTGTTCTTGTGTTATGATCAACAAAGTACCTAACACTCTCATGAGTATACAAAATTCCCAGCCTTCTGGCAGGGGTTCTGCGTTCTGGAAGCCTTGAGTTCCTGGATCTTCCCACTGGGTTGTTTTTGTTTTATGATTCACAAAGTAGACCCTGTCTGTTGAATCCATCCTTTTTTCCCAGCCTGGAGGTAAAGGTCCACAAAGGTCATTTTCTGCAGCTAACATTGAAGCCAACTAGAGGTATCACTGGTTGTTAAAAAAAAAAAAAAAAAAAGCTGCTGGCTTTTCTGAAGACAGGTACTTGAACGTGTCAGTTTGTTTTAAATAAATACAATAGTTGAAAAATATAAATAAATCAATATAAAAGGAAAGTTAAGAGATGTGGAGATAAAAGTAAAAGTGCCAACATCCAGATAGCAAGTATCACAGAAAATATTTAAAAGTAAAAGTAGGAAAGTAGAAATATTTTGGAAATCATAGCAATAAATGTCCCAAATGAAAGATAAATGGGCCCATAACATGTAAAATAAGAGAGATTAGGAAAAACCAATATATTTTCGTAAAAAGTAAATATATCAAAGTCAATGAGAATATCGTATCAATTTCCATAAAGAGCTGATCACCTATGAAGAAAGAGTGGTTAGACTGATATCAAACATTTTAATAACAACTGTGAATATAAGAAGAAATGAAGTAGCATTCAAAAAACATGGACAAAAGAATCTTTCATTACAGTTTTATATCTTGTCAAATTCTTACTGAAATGGAAAGCCACAGTAGAAATATTCTCAGGCATATAAAGCTTCAAAAGGTTGGTAACTGGAAGACCTACCTTGAAAACAGTATAGGAGGTGGTACACAGGCAGGGGAAAAAACAAATCCAGGGTATTCTTCAGAAGACAGAGACATGTATGAGAGACACGAGGTTAGCAATATCTATACACAAGCATATATACATATATACGCACATACATGTCAACATATATGTATAGTTTAAGATATATATACATGAAAAATATATGTACATCTTTGCACTGTAAATTGTTTATAATTTTCTTCATGCATATTTCTAAGATAATTATTCTTAAATGAAAATTTAAAACATAGCATGCTATGCTACAAATGTTAGTATGATCAGTATTTTTCAAGGCTAATATATTACTACATTGTAAATCAGTAATGATTACTATGGAAAGGTGAATACCCCAAAGAGCGTAATCCAAATATAAATATTTTTATATAATTTCATTTACTTTTAATTCCAAACAGTATTTAACTTTCTCTTCTGTGTATGTTTATATATATTTATTTTGCTCATTAAGTAAAACTTTATTGTATAACACCTGCTTGTTAAGTTCTGTGCTTTTTTTTTCCCCAATGTGGTAGCAAAAATGCTGTACTATAATTATGCTAATCAATTAAGTGAAACTGTTTATGACTGAAGAGGAATCAAATTTTTTTAAGTAGAGAAAATTAAAACATTTCTATTTGATTTTTAGAAAGAATGGAATAGAAAAATTATTTCTGTGTCACTGTAGGGTTGATTTAGATGTGCTTATTAATGACCACATTTTGTTTTTGTTTTGACCTGCACATGTGTGTATTTATATGTGTGTGTGTATTTATATGTGTGTATATTTAAAGTGAAAGTTATTAAAATTAAGAAAAATATGCATATTATATTTTATGAAATTGTTCATCATTTTCTAGTTGTTTCAACTGCAAGGTAGGACTAAATCTCATAGCACTGTGTTTCTAGATTTTAGATATTTCTAATCAGTCAAGTCTTTATCTCTAGAAGTTTCTACTTCCAGCATTATGTTTTCACACATCTGGATTCTTGATAGTGTTCAGACAAATATTTTTATAATAGAGAGAATGAGTTGCCTTTTAATCTTACCATTCATTCCAATATTTACCTTATTTACATATAATCATAATACTAAATATGAATAATAGGAAAAATGCCATACTTTTTCTTACTTCCTTACACTTCCTCTTATTGCTTATTTTTATATTTTTATTCAGTGTTTTCTGTCAAAATCATTGACAATGCATGATATATTGTATTCTAAGACCTAGGTTTCTTTCATATTTGCACATATTAATTCCTCTTCTAACAGTCTATACAATTGGTTTATTTATTATAATGATATTTTTATTTAGTTTTACTTTCCAATAATGCAACATTAAACAAAATTAAAACCAAAAAAGTCTACTCCGCTTATTCCCAGTGATCCTCTAGTTTGTGAGGTAATTTAAACATCTATCCCCATTTTCTAAATTGCTATGTTCAACTTACCATTTCCTACTTTTCAAAATATCATTTGGCATTTGGAGATTCTATCGTTTTGTTCCAGATTTGTAATTTTACCCTTTCTCCCTAGGCCTAGCTATTACTACAATGCTCTGATAATGAACTCATCCTGACTTGAAAATAATCTTGAATCTTGAATAAAACACCTTTACCAAACAGTTATAGTTTGAATGTAAGGTTTTTTCCACTGAATTCTTGTTAGTTTTAAATGTGTCAGGATTTTGGCTTACTTCAAGTACTCCCTGAAAATTACATTATCAATGAGGTTGATGTTTATAGAAAGTGTTCACACATAAAATCAGTAACCGCTCAAGAGATTTGATTTCTTTGAAGAATTGGTTACTAATTTGCCTCTCTTAAAGTTTGATAATTATTTTGATTATAATTTACCAAGAAATATAATGCATTTAAGTTCCCTTCTTTCCCTGATAAGACTTACATATGATCTTCTGGCATGATGGAGAAGAGTGTTTTACTTTCCTGGTTTGGGGACACATATACAATCCAAGGAAGTCATTCTCATAAGGAACATTCATCAATGTAACCTTCTTTCTAAGGAAGTTTTTATAGCTTTGAATTTTAAAATTTATTCAGTGTTTATATTGACAAAATATCCTCAAAAGCTACTTTTCCTTAAAAGAATAGACACATATATCTGTGATTTTTTTATATGCTAAGACTACATTGTATCTATTTTTCACATTGTTTATGAATAGTTTTAAGAAGTTATACTTTGTTTATATTCACAAGTTTTACCATAAAATTATGAATGACCAAAGTAAAATGAGGACGTAGAGAAAAATTTATATGGCAAATCTTAAAGTAAGCTGTATATTTATTTACACTGTAGGAAAGAAGTATGTAATGTGTCAGGTAGTACATTTGAAGAGAAAAAAAGTGAAGAAAGAAAGCAATTAGATATTTCTGCTAATCTCATTCAGTAAAATAATTTTTCCTTATTGAAAATTTCCACTGTCCACTATATCATATATTTATTTTAGAAAATATCTATAGTGTCTATACAGAAAATTAAGACTTCACATTCACTTAAATTTGGGTCTTTTGACATAACGTTGCTTAGAAGAAAAAACTATAAATATCAAATATAAAGCTAAATCAATAGCAATATATTATATATTTACTGGATACAGGCCTATCTTCTTTAAAATGTTAGGATTGTACTGCAGATTACCATGTATATAATGGTTTCCAAGGCTGTTTCATTTTTATTTCATTTTTACTTTCAATTACTCATTCATTCAACAAAATTTTTAAGCCCTAAAATGTAAGAAACACCAACAGTTTGATCTTTCTGAATATAAGGGTAAGCAGAACAATTGTGGTTCTCACATTCTTTGAAACATGAACAAATTAACTACCACATGACCATCCAGAAAGTTGGGTAATGCCACAAATTCAAATACTATACAGCTAATTGGGCCAAAATCTGTGACTTTTGGGTGAAGAGGAGGGAATATGTATAGATGCTGTGTCAGACTTCAAACAAGATATATCTTTTCCAACATGTGATGTTGTTGTTGAAAGATAAACCCTATAATCATTGGAATATAATGATATCTAAAATCAGAGATTGGTACTTCATAGGGATGCGCTTAAGGGAGAATGTGGGGCAGACTATAGAGAATGCGCTATAAAAGTTTAGTTTGACATCAGGGACTTCCAAAGAGGAGATTTAACAGAAACCATGTAAATAAGCAATTTATATTATACACAAACTTGTCTCTAGTTTGGAAACTTGCCAAATGTGAAGGCAAAGAGGAGGTAAAGAAAAACAAGCCAAAGATTCAAGCACAGAAAGGTTTGATCTGTATTAAAACATCATGTTGTACACCTTAAATATAGGCAACTTTTAAAAGGTTGTGACTTAAAGGGTCTTGCTGCAATCTACATTCTCTTTTTCAATACCTCACACCTGGCAATGACACAGCTCAAAACAAAGAAAAGTCAGATTTAGTGAGAGGTTGTTTTTAAACACTGACACAAAGTGAAAGCTAATGTTTGCTCCAATTCACAACCCTTCTAACATTACCCTTGCCTCTCACACTACTTCTCTTCAGACCCTACTGATCATAACTCAAAGATTAAAATCAAGAAGAAATGTGGGGAAAAATGTTAGAGAAAGAAATGTAAACAAAGAGCTAATAAGTACAATATATCATAGAAGGCACTACTCAAAAAAACACAAAATGAAATTGTGTAAAACATTTGTAATAGTTGCAATGAAATTACAGGCATGCTATTTCTTAGAAAAAGTTACAAGAGTTGTAAATATTCAGAAAATATATATAGTAGACCAAAATGGAAGAAAACAAGGGCTTTTATTTTTCAGGAAAAAAAGGCAAATATATGAAGTAAAAAATGAAAGCTAAATGTAAAAATAAAAATGGAATAAGAATAAACTATATATAATGGCTAAGCCTAAGTAAATCACTGTAAACTTTTAAAAACAACATAAAATTGAGAGAAAATGATAGTAATGGAATAGAGAAAAAACAAATTCTCTTTAAAAATATGAAGCACTTGAAGGATTTGTCCTGGGTCCCACACTCTCGCTGAGTCCTAAGCAGCTACAGCAAGGTACCATTTTGAAATCCCAACTCAAAAGAGCCTGCACACTGACCGGGGGCCCAGAGTCACTAGGATTGAGGTGTGAGTGAAGCAGCCATCACCATGGCTGAAGTACAAACAGAGTGGGTGTTCCTCACCTGCCAGCTTAGGCTGCCACCACTGAAGGCAGCCCTCCCCTCCCCAGTGGCTTGGATCCAGCACAACTGCAGCCACCCTCGACCTAAGCATTCTGTCAGGGCTCTGGGGAATGCAAATTTAAAGAGTTGAAAGAAATGACTGTTACACCAGATGCACAGATACCAGTGTAAGGATACATGAAAACAGCAAAAACATGTGACTCCTCCAGAGGAACACAATCATTCTTCGGCAAAAGATCCCCATTTTTAAAAAGTTACAAAAACCCAGAAAAGAACTCAAAATATCAATTTTAAAGAAGTTCGATAAGATATAAGGGAATACTGAAAAACAACACAAAGCAACCAGAAAAACGATTCAGGATATGAATGAGAAATTTGCCAGAGATATCATACAAAACAACCCAACAGGTGAGAAGATGGCACCACGCAACTGCCTGTCTCTGCTGCTCCCCGCTAAACTTGACCTGACTCTGAGACAGGTCTGCAGCCCAGCCACCCTGCTCCCACTTGAGCATGCTGGCTGCAGCCAGGTGTTCTGAGAGCCATCCCCAACCCGGGGCTGGTGATCCACCCTTTGGCCTCCGCAGCAGTTGCTGCCACTGAGCCATGCTGGAAGCGGGGAAACATGGCCCAACAGTGAAATCCACCCCACTTCTACGGGAGCAAACTGCAAGCAAGCTACGTGCCCCACAGCTGCCAGCCTCCACTGCTCCAGCTGAAGGAGGCCTACTTTCTCCAGCAGCAGGACTGCCCCTGCTTGAGCATTCTCACTGCTGAACGTTATTCTTCTGAGAGCACAGGCCCCAAAGCCTGGTGATATGCCCTTGGGCTGCCACTGCCACCGCTGCTGCCCTCAGCACTTCCAGGCCAGGAAGAGAGTGGGAGGCCAGGCATGCTTGCAGATCCCAAGGCAGGATACTGCCACTGCACCTGTGAGAGGGAGGCTCAAGTGGGCATGCGCCACACAGCTCCCTCCCTTCACTGCTCCCACTCAGGAAGGCCTGTCTTCCATGTAAAATACCTTCAGCACAGCTGTCCTGCTCCTGCCTTATCATTTCAGATGCACCCTGGAAACTTTCTGAGAGCCCAGCCCCCACAGGCCTGTGATCTACCCTGGAGCTCCCACCATCTCAGCACTCTTCCACTGCCTGAGCATTCTGCCTGCCCCTGACTGAAATTTCTGCTGGTGACCCGGAAATCAGCAGCCTGCTTCTCCCTATCACAGAGGGCACCTGACTTCTAGGGACATAAGAACAAGACTGCTGGCTTATTCCGGGCCCAGTCACTCCAGGCCTGTTATACACCATCTAGTTGGCCATTTAGGGTCCTGGGGACACAGAGATTTCCTAGCCCACTCCATCACTGCCGGGGCCTGACCACTCCCTCAGTCTGAGTCCTCAGACTCCCCTAGGTTCTGAGGTCGGGTCCACTTAACCAGCCACCACAACCACAGCTGACACCCACTCATATGTGCCAAAAGGTGAAGCCTCTACCCCTCTCTATGTGAAGCAGCAGTGTTCTCACATTGGAGAACAGAAGAACCACAAAGCTGTCTGTATTAGGCTGAGTGAAGCGGTTCTACCTCAAGGCCATTAAGCATTTTCTGTGGCTCTCAGCCACATGGTGTCCTGGAGATAGATGACAGTGGGTGGCTGCACTGAGAGTCACAGGGCCCAGGAAAGGGGTGGAATAAGGAAACAGATCATGTTCCTGCTTGTCTAAGATATGGAGGTAGTTCAGCCCCTCTCCCCCTGTGGAGACCTCAATGCATTTCACCAGGAGTTCCCCCAGACACCCATCAGATTTGGTGCCTGCACACATCACTGGGGTATTTGTGGGTGAGCCAAGTGGTCCTACTCTGCCTTGTATCCCCACCCCGCCCACTGAACAGGAAAGTCAGGGCACACAACATTCCACTGATAACACAGAAATACAAAAGATCATCAGATACTATTATGAGCAACTCCATGCTAACGAACTTGAAAATCTAGAGGAAATGCATAAATTTCTGAAAACATACAACCTACCATGATTGAAACACAAAGAAATAAAAAACCTGAGCAGACCGGTAACAAGTAATGAGATAGTAGCAGTAATGAAGTCTCGCCCCCAAAAAAGTCCAGGATCAGATGGCTTCACTGATTATACTAAATTATACCAAACTTTCAAAGAGGAACTAACACCAATTTTCCTTAAAGTATTCCAAAAATTTGAGGTAATTCTCTCTAGTTTGCTCCATGAGGGCCACATTATCCAGCTACCACAACCAAAAACGGACACAACAGAAAAAGAAAACTATAGACCCATAACCCTCATGAACACAGACACAAAAATCTTCATCAAAACACTAGCAAACCAAATTCAACAGCACCTCAAAAAAATGATACACCATGATCAAGTGGGATTTATCTTAGGGATACAGGAATGGTTCAACATATGCAAATCAATAAACAGGATACATCACATCAAGAGAATGAAGGACAAAAGTCATGTGATCACCTCAACTGAAGCAGAAAAAGCTTTGATAAAATTCAACATCCCTTCATGATAAAAAACTGTCAAGAAACTGGGCACGGAAGGAATATAGCACAACATAATAAAGGTCATATGGAAGAAATTCACAGATAGCATCATACTGAAGGAGAAAAAGCTGAGAGTCTTTTACCTAAGAAGTGGAACGAGACAAGGATTTCTACTTTCACCACTTCTATTCAACATAGTACTGGAGGTGCTAGCCAGAGGAACCTGGCAAGAGAAAGAAAAAAAAAAGGCATCTACGCTGGAAAAAAAGGGATGTCAAATAGTCCCTCTTTACGGATGATGTGACCTAATATCTAGAAAAACATTCAAACTCTACCAAAAAAATTATTAGATCTGATCAATAAATTCAGTAAAGTTGCAGAATACAAAAACACAGAAAAAAGTAGCATTTCTATGCACAAATAATGAAATTGCTGAGAAAGAAATCAGAAGGTAATCCTACTTACAATAGGTAAAAAAATAAAATATCTAGGAAAATATTTAACTAGGAAGATGAGAGATCTCTACAAGAATGACTACAAGCACTGATGAAAAAAACTGATGGACACACAAACAAATGGACACATATCCAGTGCTCATCAATAGGAAGAAATATCATTAAAATGACCATACTGCCCAAACCAATCTACAGCATCAATGCAATTCCTATTAAAATGTCAGTGTCATTTTTCAACAGAATTAGATATAGCAATCTTAAAATTCACATGAAACCCCCCAAAATATTATGGATACCCAAAGCAATGAGCAAAAAGAACAAACCTGGAAGCATTATACCTGATTTCAAACTATATTACAAAGCTATGGTAGCCTAGTAATAGAGAAACCAGAAATAAATTCATGTATTTATAGCCAACTAATCTTTTACAAAGTTGCCAAGAACATACATTGAAGAAAGGAGTCTCTTCAATAAATAGTGCTGTGAAAATTGGATATTCATATGCAGAAGAATGAAACTGGACCCCTTTTCCTCACCATCCACAAAAATCAACTCAGCATGGTTTGAAGATTTGAATGTAAGATCCAAAACTATAAAACTCTTAGAAGAAAACATAGGGAAAACACTTCAAGTGTTGCCATTGGTTGTGGCAAAGAGATGGCTAAGACTTCAAAAGCATAGGCAATAAAAACAAAAATAGACAATGAGACCATATTAAACTAAAAAATTTCTACATCATAAAGGAAATAGTCAATAGATTAAAGAGACAACCTGGGCTGGGCACAGTGGCTCACACCTGCAACCTTAACACTGGGAGGCTGAGATGGACAAATGGCCTGAGCCCAGTTCTAGACCAGCTTGGGCAACATTGCGAAACCCTGTCTCTATAGAAAAAAAAAAAAACAGCTGGGTGTGGTGGTGTGTGCCTATAGTCCCAGCTACTTGGGAGGCTGAGGTGGGAGGATGACTTGAGCCCTGGAGGTCAAGGCTGCAATGAGGTGTGATCAGGCCACTGCGCTCCAGCCTGGCTGACACAGCAAGAACCTGTCTCAAAAAAAAATAATAATAAAAGAGACAACCTAGTGGATGAAAAATATAATTGCAAAATATTCATCCAACAAGGAAGTAATATACGGAATTTGCATAGAACTCAAACAACAATAAAGAAAACAAATAATCCCATTAAAAGTAGGCAAATTACATGATCAGACATTTATAAAATGCATATGAATGGCCAAGAGGTATATGAAAAAATGCTTAACATCATTAATCAAAGTTTCAATGAGATATTATCTTATCCCAGTTAGAATAACTATTATTAAAAAGACTAAAAGTAACAGGTGCTGGTGAAGATGTAGAGAAAAGGAATTCTCCTACACCATTGGTTGGAATTTAAATTAGTAAACCAGTACAGAAAATAATATGGAGATTTCTCAAAAAGTGAAAAATAGAACTACCATAGGATCTAGCAGTTCTACTACTGTGTATTTATCCCAAGAAAAAGAATTGAAATCAGTATATCAAAAGAATACCTGCATGTCCATGTTCATTGCAGCACTATTCACAATAGCCAAGACACAGAGTCAACCTAAGTCTCCATCAATAGATGAATGGATTTTAAAAAATCTATACAAAATGGAATACTATTCAGCCATAAAATGAATGAAATCATGTCACTTCCAGCAATATGGATGGAAATGGAGGTAATTCTGTTAAGTGAAATAAGCCAGGCACAGAAAGTCAAATATTGCATGTTCTCACTCATATGGGGGAGCTAAAAAAGTTACGTCAAGAAGGTAGAAAACACAATCATAGATACCAAAGGCTGAGAAGTGTGTGAGGGTGGGAAGAGGCAATAAAGAAAGGCTGGTTACTGGATACAAACATATGGTTAAATAGAAGAAATAAGTTCTCATGTTCAATAGCAGTGACTTTAATTAGCAACAATGTGTTGACTATTTCAAAGTAGCTAGAAGAGAGGACATGAAATTTTCCCAACACATAGAGATAATACATACTTGGCAGGGCCCAGTGGCTCACGCCTTTAATCCTAGCGCTTTGGGAGGCTGAGGCAGGCGGATTGCCTGAGCTCAGGAGTTCTAGACCAGCCTGGGCAACACGGCGAAACCCTGTCTCTACTAAAACACACACACACACACACACACACACAAATTAGCCAGACGTGGCAGTGTGCGCCTGTAGTCCCAGCTACTCGGGAGGCTGAGGCAGGAGAATTGCTTGAACCCGGGAGGCGGAGGTTGCAGTGAGCTAAGATCGCACCACTGCACTCCAGCCTGGGTGGCAGAGCAAGGCTCCATCTCCAAAAATAAAAAGAAAGAAAGAAAGAATACAGACTCGAAGTAAGGAATATTCCAAACAGCCTGACTTGATCATTAACACTCTGTGCATATAACACATACTCACATGTATGTACCCAATAAATGTACACAATATTCTCTATTAATAAAAATACATAGTTCTTAAAGAGTACAGTTGAAATGGAAAAGAAAGCATATTCAAAGATAAAATAGATTACTTCCCTGAAACAGAGACTTAATTCTGATAATTCAAAGGGCATACTTTATCTCAAAAAAAAAGAAAAACAAGATTTATCATAGCTGCTATAATAAACTGACTCCTAATTTTAGTATCTTAATTTAACAAAGGTGTGTTTGTAGCCTACACTACGTGTTTCTAACATTGAGTTAAAATATATGAGATTGCCATTTTCTAGTTCAAAAATGGTCAAATAGCAATTTCATGTGGTTCAGACTACAGGTTGACAGTGGGCTCTGATTTGCTGTCCATTAGCTTCATCAGTTGGAACAGGGCCTTGTTGCCATGGTAGCTAAGAAAGCATATGGAAATCCCACTCTTATGATTTGTCCTAGAAGTATCGTTTATCACCACATCTCATACTCCATAACCTGGAAGTATTCATTTGGTCTTCCTTTCTGCAAATTCAGCTGGGACTTACAGCCACCTGTGTTCCCAGAAGACAGGAAGAATAAAATATTAACAATATTAACAATATAAATATAAAAATAATCAAAATAAATTATCCTGGAAAAAAAAGTTAGTATTCAAATTTCTTCATAGAAACACAAGTCACAAGATAGTTGAGTGATATAAAAAGTTCTGACAGATGTCACCAAGATGGTGGAGTACGAGGTAATACCTTTCATCCCATCCAAAAACAAATACAGATAGCTATCCACAAACCAAAATAGCCCTGAGAGGGCTCAAAGGCACATTAAGGAATCTGCAGAAACACTGCGGAGTAAAAAAATGGAGACTGATTATCCAGAAAGGATTGCTAGTGAGATCAGCATTGCTCAGATGCCAGAAGACAGCTATGAACAAAGAAGAAAGTTGTACACTATTAGTGTCAGTCTTTTAGTGAGAACCGCTGTGTTCTCAGCAGCCTATTCCAGAGAGAACATGGGCATATCTTGCCACTGAGGTAACTAATCATCATTCCCACCAGGGAACTCCAGAGAGAGAAAGACATGACTGCATGGCTCCCCACTCTTCCTTAGCTGCTCTTGGCTCCTTCAAGAAAGAAGTTGCCACCTTTCCCAACCTCCCAACCCCATTCATCTATATTATTTGACAAAAGATTATACCTTTAATTTAGCAACTCTTTTAATGTACAAGCATTCCAGTTACGTTAACATTCTACTTCATAATTTTATTTCTAAAACTAACTTATACAGTAGAGTCTCATTTTGTCAATCTATTTTTAAATTTATACATTCAATAAATTCTTATTGTATATTCACCTAGGGCCACCTTGTTGTTACAGGTAAAGCTGTGAATTGGAGAACATTTTCTGCCCACATACAGTTTACATTCTACAGTGGATGCACACGACAAAATTATCCATAGTCATATAATGTAACTTGCAGTAAAAGAGTTCAAGGGCAGATCAGGCAGGGCCTTACAGGCCATGCTAATAAGTTATATTTTATTGCAAAAGTAATAGGAAGTGATTGTGGGGTTTCAAAATGAGGGGATAAGAGCATCTGATTTTGATAATTAATGGATAATTCTCATCACCATGTAGAACTGCCATGAGAGAAAGAGAGATGAAGCAGGGAAACCAGAGAACTTGTTAAATGACCCAGAAGGGACGCTCCTGGGAATTTATGATTATTGGTGGCACTGGTGATGGAAGTGATCAAAATCTGGAAAAATGTGGGTTTTGTTTTGTTTTTGTCTTTGCATTTTTACTAAAAGTTATACATTTTGGCGTCGATAAGAAATAAATGAAATTTAAAGTCACAGGACTGGATGGCCTCTCCTGGGGGTATGATGGGGGGAGCTCTTAATTTTACTTATTTATTCATCTATTCCTCTATCAATCTGTCTGTTTAAACACATACAGATAATTCTAGAAAAATACTATTACATGTAGTTAAGATTTGGAGTCATATTTTGTTGTGTTTTTGTACTTTCTCTGTTTTGCATAATGAAAAAAATACATGTATCATTGTTATAAAAACAGTGACCTCAGTTATTGAAGAAAAGAGTGTGAAAGACAGGGAAGCATAATGAGGAATTAGTGCACCCAGGAATAGTGAGGTTATTATATCTAAACACTTATAGTAACAAAAACTAAGACTTAAGTATTATCTCAAAATGAGAATCCTGAATGCCAACACATGTCACTAGCTGGACATCTGTGTTTACAGTTTGCCATTCAGCATCTACAAAAAGAAGGAGAAGAAATAGGTAACAGTAACAACCAACATACGGTGGAAATTAAGGAACTAAATTATCACAGTTTGAGAAAATGTGACTGTTAACAGTTAAATTTTAATCCTATAGGAGTAATGTCAAATAGCTCATTCAATAAGAGCTTTTTCAAAATTTCTGGGATAAAATTTTAATTTTTAAAACAACACATCCATAATTAAAATCCAAATGCACTAGGCTGCATGTTTAAAAGGGAAATGTTGATATATACATTTGTCAAATTCTGACCGATTTAGGTTGAGAAATCTAGAATTTAATGGTAAGGTAAAATATATTCACTACATTGTAAGTTAATTAGACATTGATTTTAGTCATAGATCTGTATATATCTAAAATAGGGAACAAACAAATCAAGTGAGATGCAAAAAATTATGTAACACCATGTATTAGTCTGTTTTCACGCTGCTGATAAAGAAATACCCAAGACTGGGAAGAAAAAGAGGTTTAATTGAACTTACTGATCCACATGGCTGAGGAGGCCTCAGAATCATGGTGGGAGGCAAAAGACACTTGTTACATGGTGGCAGCAAGAGAAAAAAGAGAAGGAAGCAAAAGCTGAAACCCCTGCTAAACTCATCAGATCTCATGAGACTTATTGACTATCAAGAGAATAGCACTGGAAACAACAGCCCCCATGATTCAATTACCTCACTGTGGGTACCTCCCACAACATGTGGGAATTCTGGGAGATAAAATTCAAGTTGAGAATTGGGTGGGGACATGCCAAACCACATCATTCCACCCCTGGCCCCTGCAAATCTCATGTCCTCACATTTCAAAACCAATTCATGCCTTCCCAACAGTCCCCAAAAGTCTTAATTCATTTCAGCATTAACCCAAAAGTCCACAGTCCAAAGTTTCATCTGAGATGAGGCAAGTCCTGTCTGCCTATGAGCCTGTAAAATCAAAAGTAAGTTAGTTACTTCCTAAATACAATGGGGGTACAGGTATTGGGTAAATATAGTCATTCCAAATGGGAAAATTTGGTCAAAACAAAGGGATTACGGGGCCCATGCAAGTCTGAAATCCAGTGGGGCAGTCAAATTTTACAGCTGCAAAATTATCTATTTTGACTCCAGGTCTCACATCCAGGTCATGCTGATTCAAAAGGTGGGTTCTAATGGTCTTGGGCAGCTCTGCCCCTGTGGCTTTGCAGGGTATAGCCCCCGTTCTGGCTGCTTTCATGGGCTGCATTGAGTGTCTACAGCTTTTCCAGGTGCTTGGTACAAGCTGTTGGTGGATTACCATTCTGGGGTCTGGAGGATGGTGGCCCTTTTCTCACAGCTCCACCAGGCAATGCCATAGAAGGGACTCTGTGTGGGGGCTCCAACCCCACATTTCCCTCCCACACTGCCCTAGCACAGGTTTTCCATGAAGTCTCCACCCCTGCAGCAAACTTTTGCCTGGTCATCCAGGTATTTCCATACATCTTCTGAAATCTAGGCAGAGGTTCCCAAACCTCAATTCTTGACTTCTGTACCCCCACAGGCTCAACACACATGGAAGCTGCCAAGGCTTGGGGCTTCCACCCTCTGAAGCCACAGCCCGAACTCTATGTTGGCCCCTTTCGGCCATGCCTGGAGCAACTGGGACACTGGGCACCAAGTCCCTAGGCTGCACACAGCACAGGGACCCTGGGCCCAGCCCATGGAACCACTTTTTCCTCCTGGGCCTCTGGGCTTGTGATAGGAGGGGTTGCCGTGAAGGTCTCTGACATGGTCTGGAGATATTTTCCTCATAGTCTTGGGGATTAACATCTCTTTGCTACTTAGTTAAGCAAACTTCTGCAGCTGGCTTGAATTTCTCCTCAAAAAATGCATTTTTTTTTCTACTGGATCATCAGGCTGGAAATTTTCTGAACATCTATGCTCTGTTTCCCTTTTTAAATGGAATGCTTTTAACAGCACCCAAGTCACATTTTGAATGCCTTTCTGCTTAGAAATTTCTTCCACCAGATACCCTAAATCATCTTTCTTAAGTTCAAAGTTCCACAAATCTCCAGGGCAGGGGCAAAATGCCACCAGTCTGTTTGCTAAAATATAACAAGAGTCACCTTTTCTCCCATTCCCAACAAGTTCCTTATCTCCATCTGAGACCACCTCAACCTGGACCTTACTGTTCGTATCACTATCAGCATTTTTTGTCAAAGCCATTCAACAAGTCTCTAGGAGGTTCCAAACTTTTCCACATTTTCCTGTCTTCTTCTGAGGCCTCCAAACTGTTCTAGCCTCTTCCTGTTACCCAGTTCCAAAATATCACTTCCACATTTTCGGGTATCTTTTCAGCAATGCCCCACTCTACTGGTACCAATTTACTGTATTAGTACGTTTTCATGCTGCCGATAAAGACATACTCAAGGCTGGGTAGAAAAAGAGGTTTAACGGACTTACAATTCAACATGGCTGGGCAGGCCTCACAATCATAGTGGTAGGCAAGAAGGAGCAAGTCATATCTTACATGGATGGTGGCAGGCAAAGAGAGCTTGTGCAGGGAAACTCCCACTTGTAAAACCATCGGATATTGTGAGACTCATTCACTATTATGATAACTGTGCAGGAAAGACCCACCCCCATAATTCAATTACCGCCTACCAGGTTCCTCCCATGATGTGGGAATTGTGGGAGTTACAATTGAAGTTGAGATTTGTGTGGGGACACAGCCAAACAATATCATGTGACCAACTTGAAATGTGTCACAGGATATCTGTGAAACTAAAATAACAAGAAAAATAGACATGCCAACATTTTGAAAAGAATTAGTCTCAACAGTGACTTTTATATGATTATTTAAATGAGTTTTATTACTCACTCTTGTTTTCATTCATTAAAAAAAAAAGTCCCTCACAATTTTTCACTATGAACTGTTATCTTCCTCTGATGGCTACTAACCAGAGCCATAAAGAGGCTGTTCACTCATGGATCTTTAACTCAAACACTGCTGTCGCAGCTTCTACATTGTACCAACAGGCCTCTTTTGGGACTGGGAGTCCTTCAACCTTTCTAATCATCAGTTTCCCTGTTGGCCAGTTTTTCCACTTTCCCCAGTATTTGGATTTGTGTTACTCAACACAACTTTTACAAATTTATCCTATTGATATAATATACACAATTTAATACGTTTTGCTCTCTATGAAGTTCCATTTCGTATATATACAACAATAAAACCATTCTGATATCTCCATGAAAACTCTAGACCTTGTCATTTTTTAACCTAGTATTTCCTTTTTGAAATATACAATTTATAGTATTTATTTCCACTATGAATATAAGCTGTTTTCTACTATTTTTTTTAATTGGATGTTGCACATTAAGAAACTAAAATTTACAGGCAAATTAAATGAAAAACAAACATAAAGGATGAAATGATGAAACACAAATCTGTATAATAGAGGAAAACAGAAAAACTCTAAAGCTATAGTAATAAAGATAGTACTATATTGGTGAAAGGATAGGCACACATCGTACAATGGAACAAAACAGTGTAGAAATAGACCCCCACAAACATAGTCAACTGATTTTTGAGAAAGATCTAAGTCAATTTAATAAAGAACAAATAGCCACTTCAATAAATTGTACTGGAACAGTTGAATGTAAATAGATCAATAGAATGAAATTCATTAAAATCTTACAATTAATAGAAAAATTAACTCAAAATGCATCCTAGACCTAAGTGAAAAATGTAAAACTATACAATTTCTAGAAGTAAATATAAAAGAAAATACCTGTGTTATTGTGTTCACCAAAAAGTTTTCAGATATCCCTTAAAAATGATAAATTTTATTTTCTAAAAATTAAAAGCTTTTTCTATGTAACAGGTACTTTTAAGAGAATGAAAAGACAGATCATAAACTGAGAAAAATAAATTACAAATCCTACTTTTGACAAGGAGTTTAGAACATATAAAGAAATGTCAGAACTCAGTACACAATAAGAAATTAAAGGCCCTAATAAAAATTGAGCAAAATATCTTAACAGACACCTCACTGAACAAAATATACAGATAGAAAATAAGCATGTGAAAATAAACTAAGCATCAGTGGTCATTAGAGAATTGCAAATAAAAACAACCATGAAATACTGTTGTATACCCAACCTGACAACACCAAGTGTGCAGTGCTGAGTACTAGGACTGCTATACATTTCTGGTGGGAAAGAAAATGGTAGGGACTCTTTGGAAACTATGTTGGCATTTCCTTATAAAGTTAAATATAAATATAAAGTAAATACTCTGTGACCCAGCAAGCTCATACTTACACTTTTTGAAAGAAAAGTGAAGATGTATGTTCACACAAAATCTTTATGTAAACATTTATGGCAGTTTTACATGTAAGTGCCAAAAACTGGGAACAACCCATATGTCCTTTAACTATAAAACAAATAAACTGTAGTGAATCACTACTACAGTTTGAATATTATTGCATAATATTCCTTTATTAAATGAACAGTAATAAGTCCATAAGGAATATTATGCAATAATAAACCTTAATAAATCGTTAATTCATGGAACAACACTGTATTTTGGTAAGTGAAAGGAGCCAGACCTCAAAAGTTACACATTGTATGAGGCCATTCATATGGCACGATGAAAAAGAGGGAAAACTTACAGGGATAAAAAACAGTATTTTCCATGATAGTGAGTAGAGGGCTGTGTCAACTATAAAGGGAAATTTTTAGAGTGATTGAGCTATTTTATATCAACATTCTTGAAGTTGATACAAGAATATATTATCAAAACCCATAGTATTATATAACACAATGTGAACTTTACAGTATGAATAGTGAAAAACATATTAACTAGAATTTGGAGGGAATCAAAATGCTATTAATTGGTAAAACACTTTAATCGATTGTTACAAATTGTAAGAAAAACTAACAAATAGTCATAAATCAATTACAAATGCCTTTCTTTTTTTTTTGAGATGGAGTTTCACTCTTGTTGCCCAGGCTGGAGTGCAATGGCACAATCTCGGCTCACTGCAACCTCCACCTCACAGCTTCAAGCAATTCTCCTGCCTCAGCCTCCGGAGTAGCTGGGATTACAGGCACGCACCACCACGCCCAGCTAACACAAATACTTTTCTTTATTAAAAAATATTTTTCTGGACGGGCGTGGTGGCTCACGCCTGTAATCCCAGCACTTTGGGAGGCCGAGCGGGCGGATCACGAGGTCAGGAGATCCAGACCATCCTGGCTAACATGGTGAAACCCCGTCTCTACTAAGAAAATACAAGAACATTAGCCGGGCGTGATGGCTGGCGCCTGTAGTCCCAGTTACGTGGGAGGCTGAGGCAGGAGAATGGCGGGAATGTGGGAGGCGGAGCTTGCAGTGGGCCGAGATTGCGCCACTGCACTCCAGCCTGGGCGAGAGAGCAAGACTCTGTCTCAAAAAAAAAAAAAAAAAAAAAAAAAATTGTAAATCTTAAATTCAAAACACTCTAACATTTAGATCATTTCTGGAAGACATGCAGGATGGTAGAGCAATTAGCATATGATCAGACGATTTAACCTTTTCACATTAATGCTGTGGACATTGTTCAGGTAAGACTCACAGCTGCTTCCGATATTCCTTTGTTTTACTGGTATAGCATCAACAATTATATTTAAAACTAGTTTAGAGCCAAGTCTTTCTTCTGTGAACAAAAAAGAAAATTCAAATTTGTTAAATAGAAAATATTTGCTCTCTTGTTTGCTGATATAGTTAAGTGAAAAGAGGAGTAAAAATACTGAGAACTTCTTGGAGATTATCAGGTATTGTGACCTGCTTGAGAGTTGTTTGATGCACTAATATTTAGCAATGGAAGTATTTTATAGTTACTAATGACTGGATGAAGATGATAAGCAGTTTGTGTTACATGTAGCACTCAGCAACGTGGTATTTATTTCTGAAGAAAATATATTATGTGCCCTCTGAAATGAACAGGCAGATGGTAGCAGGCTATGCAAGAGTTGGATAATTTATTACATAAAAACAAGTAAAATATGGTTTGTGAAGTAAGGGTAAAAATTTGTTTGATTAGCAGTTTGCAATTTTTTTTTTTTCCACTAGGCTTGGCTGCTTATTAGTTCTTGGATTTTTCACTGTCCTCATTCAGAAGGTTAGCTTCCGGTGGTGATTAAGAACATCTGAATGGTTCTGAATCTGAATACCTATTCTGACTTTTACTGCTAAGTCTCAGTAACTACCTCTTTTAAATATTATAGTAAAACGATAGTCACTGTCCTGTAGGATTGCTTTGAGAATTAAATGAGATGTGTTGAAAGTATCAGGCTCTCAATAAATATTTACTGTTACTGTTTTTAATAGAAATGACAATCTTTGTCTTAGTATTTAATAATATTTTGCATAAGTCCAAAGAGAAAACAGATTTAAATTTGGCTTATAATATTGGGGAAATATAACAATTTAAAATATTTTTAAATCATCATTCTTATTAAATATCTATTTAAGTGAAACCCCAGGATAGCTCTCTATGGGCTGGATCATGTATTCACTTTGGGCAGTCTATTGTCATTTATGTCACCATGGCATGGAATGTACACTAAATTGGAACTTTATTCATTTATTTATGTATGTATGTATTTATTTTTGAGTCTCACTCTGTCATCCAGGCTGGAGTGCGACGGCGCAATCTCTGTTCACTGCAACCTTCACCTCGTGGGTTCAGGCGATTCTCCTGCCTTAGCCTCCAGAGTAGCTGGGATTACAGTCTCGCTTCACCATGCCTGGCTAGTTTTTGTATTTTTAGTAGAGACGGAGTTTCACCATTTTGGCCAGGCTCGTCTCACTAAATTGGAACTATAAAATACGCTTCAATATAAGATGATTTTTACAAAAAATAGCTCAGTTTTACAAATAAAAGTCTCTGTCTCTGTTGGCGTACTTTGGTGAACTTAGCTCCTCTAATTAAATGATTATTTTCTCCCTCACTGTTTGTTTCTCCCTCACTATTTCTGTAGTGTTCAGCAGTAGCAACTTTAACTAGGACACTTAAATAGAATATTTAACTATCCTTTTGATACCCCTTGAGTTTAAATAGCTAATATACCTCATATGGAGACCCAAATTTTTATGATGGGAAATAATTAGTTGCACTTTCACTGATAGTTTTATATTAAATATTGATAAGGACAGTAGAAAAAATGAAGGAATTAAAATGAAAGAAGTAAAAAGCCTATCCGTCTTTTTATGGATAGGATGATATATATAGTAACTTGGCTACATGAGAGAGTGGTTGTATAAAAGGAATTTAGCCTTTATTCTAAAAACCATTTCTAAGCCACTGAAAAATTTTGACATGAGTGACATACTCTCAGGACTTTGCTGTTATAACCAGTGACCCCCTACATGGTTATCGTGGATGGAGAAAGTCACAAAAATGGCACTTGATTTTCCAGACATTTATGTTAGAACCAACATACTCTATGTTGAAAAAATTATCTTGCTCTTTCTGTCACTAAAAGTGAATGAATTGACTTCATTTCTAGTTTTCCTCACCCTCAGAATATCTTAATAAAGAATTTAAGTATTAAGAAATAAGACTATTTGCAAAGAATTAGTAGAGTTATAAAAAAATCTATAATTTTATTTCATTAATAAAAATGAGATTTATTGAGAACATCTATTGCATTTGTATGTTCTTTGATAAGACTAAATAAAACAAAAATATCAAAATATTACAGTGTTCAGCATTATAAACTTTTTTATTATGCAATGTATGACTATGTAGGGCAGCTGTTTAGCCATATTTTGAGATCTACCCAGTCTCCCATCATCACATAAAATGATTTGTAATATATGATACTATAAACACAAACACAAATATTTGGTCCAAGGCTGGGCATCTGATTATATACATATATATATATATATATATATATATATATTTTTTTTTTTTTTTTTTTTTTTTTTTTTTTGAGATGCAGTCTTGCTCTGTTGCCCAGGCTGGAGTGCAGTGGCACGATCTTGGCTCACTGCAAGCTCTGCCTCCCACGTTCCCGCCATTCTCCTGCCTCAGCCTCCCAAGTAGCTGGGACTACAGGTGCCCGCCACCACTCCCGGCTAATGTTCTTGTATTTTCTTAGTAGACAAGGGGTTTCCCCGTGTTAGCCAGGATGGTCTGGATCTCCTGACCTCGTGATCTGCCTGCCTCGGCCTCCCAAAGTGCTGGGATTACAGGCGTGAGCCACCGGGCCTAGCCAAGATTTACAATTTTCATGTACATCAAATAACATAAGGTCCTACCTTCATACTATAATAAAGCAGTGAGATTCCAGTGCCATTTTCAATCTGTACTCAATTTTTTCTTATAGAATGCTCCAAGAGTCCTTTTCAGTAGGTTAAGCACAAAGCAGAATCTAATTCTTTTTAAAAGTCAGGAAGATAAACATCAGCCTATTATCTTACAGACAGATAATGCATTCAGAATTAAGAAGCATGACTTAATAATTTAATTGCATGCATTTTGGTGTGGTTTGTCATGGACTGAGTTATGTTTAAGGTGCACAATAGAGAAGTCAGTTGTTAAAAAACAGAGAATGTGGACTTTGGAGATGGTATTGTGTAGTCAAGAGAGCCAACAATGAGTGAGATAATTTTCTGTATTACCTTTGTATCCTTGTACAAGTTTTAATTTCTCTAGGCCTAGCTTTCTCATCTGTAAATCTGGCATAATATTTATTATGATTAAGTGAAACAATGCTGATAAACTCTTTTTGTAGAAGCTGACCATAGAAAGTACTTAAAACAAAACGTGTTTTAATATTATTTCCAAATGTCAAATAGCCAAATAAATTCTCCCAGATATTGTGTGACCAAATGAAACATAATGTTAATTGATACATAGATTATGACTATAAAACTTTTGTCAGAATAAGATGAGCTCTTACCCAGGTTAGGTTTACAAGAGAAATTATAATATTAAAACATTTGTAATATTGCAGATATACAGAAGAGTTAATACTATAATGACCATAAATAAATAATATAGTAAACATCAAAAGCTTTATTAAATTTTAAATTTGCCATATTTTCTTTAGCTACATTTTAAGTTAAAAGCTGGAAAAAAAGTTGAAGTTCCTAGTGTACCCTTCTTCAGTCCCTTGAGTAAGATGACATTAATGCTACCCTCAGTTTGACTAAAGATGGGATTTTTCTTAACTCTGGGCCCCTGATCTTCCTTTTCTTCTAGCATTTATTTGAGAAAACGTGTTATTGTAAATTTTTTTCTCTGCTCCTTTGAGATATACATAAAACATTAAAAAAAAAAGGCCTCTTGCCAGTTACATAACCTGAAATGTTCTTCTCAAGGTGTCGGGTTCACAACTGTGCCAATTATCACATTTGGGGTCAAGTATTAGCCCATGCTGAGGTCTGAAGGGAGTGGGTGGAGGAGCAAAAAGAACACTCGGGGGGCCGTAGGCAGGTGAAAGATGATTTTATTCATCAGCAGCTCCAATCAACGGCTTTCTCACACTGTCCGCCCTGTCTCGGCTGCTTATTCTGGCGGCTCCCACATACAGCTGCATGGCTGGCTCTTCCCTGCCTTCAGAGTCAGCAGTTTAACTCTTCCTGTCTGTGGGCACTAGCAGGCCGAGCTGTGTCCTGGCTCCCCCATGTCCGCCTGCAAAGATGGACAGCTCTGACTCTCTCTCTTTCTCTGGGCACCAGCATGCCTGAACAGTGTCAACAGGGCAATTGTACCTTTTACAGACAATAGTGGCATAGAGCCAAGGGATGGCCTTCCCAAGTTATGGCCTCATGGCTGTGATAACAAGTGGAGTTATACACCCGCGCTCTAAACTCATTGAGTCACGCAGGATGTAAACATCCTACCTTGGCCTATCCTTGACCAAAGCACAGCCATGTTCCTTACACAGGATCTCAGAGAAAGACATAGCACCCGTATCTCCCAGTGTCAGTGTTGGAAGTTATCCAAGTCACGCAGCACCAACGTATGTTACCGGCGGCAAATCGGTATAGGTCTACAGCAACCTCAATTCTTGCCTTCTCAGAAGAAAGAATTCGACTGAGGGGCATAAGGCAGAAGGTGAGCCTAAGGCAAGTTTTAGAGCAGGAGTGAAAGTTTATTAAAAAGGTTTAAGACAGGAACAACAAAAAAAAGGGAAAATATACTTGAAAGAGGGCCAAGTAGGCAACTTGACAGACAAGTGTGCGGACTGACCTTTTGACTTAAGGTTTTATATGTTGGCATACTTCCGGGGTCTTGCATTCTTTCTCCCCCCATTTTTCCCTTGGGGTGGGCTGTCTGCATGTGCAGAGGCCTGTTAGCACTTGGGAGGTGAGCATGCAGAGTATCTTTACTGGAGTTATATGCATGCTCACCTGAGGCATTCTTCACTAACCAGCAGAGTATCCCTAGGAGTTCATACACTAGTTAAACTGCCATTTTGCCTCTTAGTGTGCATATGTGAGCCCACTCACCCAACTCTTGATATACTATTGGGAAGCGGCTAGTGACCAGCTTCAGGTCTTCCTGTTTATTGGGAGACTGCCTTTCCCTGGTGCTGATTATTTTAGAGAAACAGTTAACAACTGCCTGACCATCACCTGATGGTCGCCTCACATTCCTGGTGTGTGGGGGTTGGTGGAAGGAGTCCTCTCCTGCTCTGCTCATGTTTGACCAGCTACCTATTGTAATGCCAGATTTTATGAAAGGGTAGAAACCCAACTTTCATGGATATTTTTCTCCAAGTTGCAAAATTACTACCTGCCATAAAGATAAATTAGCAAATCCAGGTGGCTTAATGTCCTCCAGTACATTTCTGCTAGCTCACCCCAGCCCTTAAATTCCTAACAATACCTGCTTCAGTAGAGTTCAGTTCAGACTTACGTGCTTTATTGAATTTAAGTGCAGGCTTAGTTTTAGCCTTTCTCTTCTGTTTCAGAAGTCTTAAAGTTTTCCTTGCTTGTTTATATTTTTCATGTGCCAATTTTGCTTTGACATCCATTATCTTCCATTGTTAATTCCATTGAAAAAACCCTGTATTATATGCAGAAAATCCAGAAGTAAAAGGCCATACCATAAACAGTTAGAAACAGAACAAGCAAACACACAAAAAATGCACTAAGGGAATTATTAGTTTCTCAAAACCATCTATCTTTTGAAGCAGATTTGCAAATTTTCAGTTATCATTTCTAACACATTTAGAATATTATAAGATTTTTTCAACATACACACAATATTTTACATGCCTAGCATCTACTATAATTAAGAACATATTCAAAGGTTTACCACCATATATGTTTTAGTCACCAGGATTTTTTGATCTATTCTTAAATAGTTCTATGGTATTTAAGGTGCACAATAGAGAAGTCAGTTGTTAAAAAACAGAGAATGTGGACTTTGGAGATGGTATTGTGTAGTCAAGAGAGCCAACAATGAGTGAGATAATTTTCTGTATTACCTTTGTATCCTTGTACAAGTTTTAATTTCTCTAAGCCTAGCTTTCTCATCTGTAAATCTGGCATAATATTTATTATGATTAAGTGAAACAATGCTGATAAACTCTTTTTGTAGAAGCTGACCATAGAAAGTACTTAAAACAAAACATGTTTTAATATTATTTCCAAATGTCAAATAGCCAAATAAATTCTCCCAGATATTGTGTGACCAAATGAAACATAATGTTAATTGATACATAGATTATGACTATAAAACTTTTGTCAGAATAAGATGAGCTCTTACCCAGGTTAGGTTTACAAGGCACCAAATAATAGGCCTTGATATTTGTTTTTGAAAATTTTGGAAGCAAACAAAACCAAACTATGTTTTGACAAGTTGTCCTACTGAACCTTACTTACCACCCAGTGCACCTTCCTCTACAAATTAGCTTTTTCAAAAAGACTGCATGATGGATAATTCATTCATTCAGATTCTTCAAATGGCTCCCTAGGACCCCTTCATTTACAATGAGAACAGCTCAGGGAGCTAATTACCAAACTAAAAGAGAAACAGCAGGAAACAGTAATCATTAATCACATCTTTACCACAACTGATAAAGGAAGAATACATTCAGGAAAGACAGTTTTTGCTCTGGCTCATTTGATCTGAAGATAGGTAAAATTCTTGACACAAACTGTTGGTGAACAAATGTCCTCTCAAAGACTAGCTAATTTCCATTAAAATTTTATGGAAAGAAAATAAAAGAAACTGAAAAGAGGTGATTAGAGAAAGTGAAAAATTAAGCAGAAAAAGTCAGTACTTCTTTTTCAGTCTTTGTCTTGGCTATTGTGATGGTTAATACTGAGTGTCAACTTGATTGGATTGAAGGATGCAAAGTATTGATCCTGGTGAGGGTGTTGCCAAAGGAGATTAACATTTGAGTCAGTGGGCTGGGAAAGGCAGACCCACTCTTAATCTGGTGGGCACAATCTAATCAGCTGCCAGTGAATATAAAGCAGGCAGAAAAATGTGATAAGGCAAGACTGGCTTAGCCTCCCAGCCTACATCTTTCTCCCATGCTGGATGCTTCCTGCCCTCAAACATCAGACTCCAAGTTCTTCAGTTTTGAGACTCAGACTGGCTCTCCTTACTCCTCAAGCTTGCAGACAGCCTATTGTGGGATCTTGTGATCATGTAAGTTAATACTTAATAAACTCCTATGTATATATTTGGAGCAAAATATCCATGAAAGTTGGGTTCCCACCCTTTCATAAAATCTGATGTTACAGTACATAGCCGATCAAACATGAGCAGAGTAGGAGAGGACTACTTCCACCAACCGCCACACACCAGGAATGTGAGGCAATCACTATATATAGATATATATACCATTCTGTACCTCTAAGGAACCCTGACTAATACAGCTATCTTTTGAATAAATAACAGAATAGTAGCATGAATAGAAAGATTACATACTTTGCCTAACAGTTATTATGGCATAACAACTAGATTTATTTCCATTACATTTATTACTGGCCATTTACTAGACACCACTACTTTTTTTTAATCCTGCAGTTGTATGATTAATCATAAAGAAACAGTAAGATTTATTTTCTTAACTTTAACTGTAAAATCCAAACTATAACTCATTAATGACTGATGTAAAAGAAAGAAAAACTCACAATTTTTAATAATGGATGGAGGTCTCTATCAGGCAGCTAAACAAGAAATAACAAGCAAATTAAAAAATTCTGTTAAAGTATTTCTTTGTTATAAATTCATAGTTTGAATATAATTAATTGTGTAATGTAATTGTATAATATATGCATTAACAATATGTACTGTACACATATTGATATATATGTACAATATGAATTATAATTGTATACTATAATACAATTAATATGATGTTCTTCAAAATTTCCTAAATGTGAGTGTATGTATGGAAACACCATTTTTAGTGTGGATTCAGTTCACAAACTATCCCTTCTTCTCTGAAAATTGCACCCTGATCTTAAAGAATTGGTCACACATGCAAAGTGTGATTCCAGCCCCCGGTGTGGGCGTTGATAGTTAGACAGGGACAAGCACACAAACCAAGCTGGGATTATCAGCTGTTCTTTCCCAGGAGTATGAAATATGGACTAAAAGACAACCAGTGAGTCTCTGTACATGAGTGAAACTTTGTACAATCCCTTGCACAGTGGAGTGGCCAATTTCTATAGTGTGGTATGAAAACAGATAAAACTTATCTTCTAAAATAAAAAATAATGCAGAAGTACAATGTGAGGCTGAAACAGAAAATATGCAACAGTTTAGGTCCCCTATTCCCATACCCCCTCTAAATCCTTCTAGTTCTCAGTTCCAGTTCCTAAAGTTTATCTGCAGTTGAGATAGGTGCAACTTCTCTATGTTGTTTATAAAATTATCTTTGCAATATCTTAGATTGGATTCTTCTAAATACAAGATGACTATAAAAGCCTATTTACAAACAGTCCTGCCCCAATATCCTAGCCAGTTCAACATCCATCCTATAGGATTTTATTCAGAAATATGTTATTATTAAAATAGTTTAAACAGATAATATTAATCGTTTTTCATTTTAATCATTATTAATAGCAGCATTATTTAAATAAGTCGATAGGTTTGGCTGATCTTCACTTTAAATTTCTAAACTATGTAAATACAGTTCCAAGGTGACAACACTTCTCTGTCAATACAGCGTCATCACTGAAGTATGCTCAAATATGAGTAACTAGTAATAATTCTTTGATACTGCTGCCTCTGCCAGCCATCTGCTGTACTAACCAATTGTACCATGGCCTTTGCTGGGAGCTGTAAGACGCAGGAAGCTGTTAGGTTGCTAACTGTCAGGGTTAATGGGAAATGTTAAAATTTATTTTATGTTCATATTATGAAACCAAGCAAATTCAACTTCTACTTTATTTACCTTATATGGGGGCAGTGTTTTAAATATTTGTGATAAATTATTTTTGCTGCAATTAGCTAAAAAAATAAAACTTCATGTTTAATGCAAAGTAAATAATGAATTTCTCTTTTTCACTATTTAGAATTTTTCATTTAGAGTTAATGCCTGTGGTTCCAAATTAGTTTTACTCATTTTCAGTTTGAGGTTTGCTTATGCACTTATAAACAATGAAGACATAGTTATTAAAGTTTTTACCATTGGTAGAAATTTTGCAGATAATTAAGTTGTATGATTGTCTTTTTAGTGTTGTATTAGTCTGAATAACCCCAGAAAGCTAATGGGATACTTCCAGTCCAACTCTGAGCTTGAAGGCAAGAGGAGACCCACATCCCAGCTTGAAGACAGTCAAGCAGAGAGAAAGAATTCTTTCTTGCTTAGCTTTTGATTCTACTCAGGCCTTCAAAAGATCATTCAAAAAATTGAATGGGGCTTATCCACATTGGAGAGGGCAGTCTTCTTTGCTCAGTTTACTGATTTAAATGTCGATCTTACCCTGAAACATATTCACAGGCCCACACAAAAATAACGTTTAACCAAATACCTGGGCATCTCATGGCCCAGTCAAGTTAATGCAAAAATTAATTATCACAAGTGTCCTTAGAAGCTTCAAATAGAAATTGTTAATTCCAGTATGATTACATATGTTTAAACAAATTCCTAAAAGTGAAAATATAGCCTTTAAAAATGCATTCTGTCAAAGATTGAAACATCTGACATTTTTACAAATTAGCACATAAAATATAAAAAGTATTTGATTTGTGTTGATAACATAAACATATTTTTGATAAAGTATATTCTTGTGCCAAAAACAATGCTGTAACTGAATTTATAAACCTGTGCATAAGAAATTATAAGAAATGATTTGGACTTGGTCATGATTCATATATAATTTATAATTACATATGAAATGAGATAGAAACCATATTTAATCAAATTTACAAAAAGTTGAATATATAAAGTTAGAGTAAGTGAGCTACAAAAATTTTTGTGATGAAATTAATGGCAAATGTAAAGAATTGATCAGAATCACAATGTAATCTGAGAGAACAAAACAGACACCCCTTTATCAACTAAGATGAACTTAAGGAGACAACGTTACCTACAGGTCAAAGGTTCAGGATCCAGCTGGCATAGTGAATTTCTGGATTCGTATGGCTGTAAATTTGTAACAATGGAAGTTATCAAATGCCTCCTAACACTGATTTACAATCCAGACCACTACAACTTTGGACACAGGACCAGCCTTACAATCATTATTTTCTGATAAGCTACTGCAGACTTTAAGTCAATATTAGCCAGCTGATAGAAGCTGTGCACAAATTGTCTCATGTTCTATAGCTCACCTTTTGACATAAAAAGTCAAATTCCATTTCATTTAATGCTAAGTCCCACCCCAAAGTGAACATGGGTTGCATATTACATATGTTTACCCATTGCACATGTGCTTTGCTACCCTCATATTTATAGCTTTTCTCCAAAACCTGCTGAATACATATGACTCTGTTGTGTAATAAGAACTCTGTGAGGCATAAAACCCGATCTGTCCTTCCCTTCTTAGAAAAGAGAGCATCTGGTCCATGCTAGAGACTTTCTCTTCCTGGCTTTCAAACCAATATATTATTAGATAGTATTTAATTTTTTAATTAAATTAAGTTCTCTAAAATTTGGTTGCATTTTGGTCAAAATTAAAAGGAAAATTAAGAGAACTCATTAACAATCTAAATTTAATACAACTGTAGGATATTGCCTACAGCAGAACTCTTCAAAGAAAGTACACATCAAATATGTTACTCAATTATTCAAAATTTCAGTGAATTGCAATTTTTGAAAAGTGCTTTTAAAGAGAACCTCAAATGTATATAAAAACAAATTAAAGTGAGAATTAAATGGTGCATAATACTATTAAATTGTGAAAGCCTGTATTTGCACTTTGTAATATTCAGCTTATGGGAAGACTCTTTTAATAGAGCTTCTATTTTAATTAGATAAGTTTATAGTCAGTGCCAAGGTGAAATAAAATTGAGAATCCTCAAGTCTTGCAACATCTAAATTTGGAGAATAACTAAAAATAATAAATTTAGATAACTTATTTGATGTTTTGTCTTGAAAAATGTTATAAACAAAAATATTATGTGTGAAACCTAAACTACTACAACTATGTAAATAGAAGTTCAAAATGATTTAAATATAGTTTACTATTCATTTATTGTGATTTACTCTGAAACTAGCAGATATGTAGCCTTTGTTGATTAGAAACATTAAATTATTATTGACTGAAAGACAATAATATGAGTCAATGAAAGCATTAATTATTTAAAGATTTTTAACCATAAAATGCTATTTTGTCAGTGATATGATTTGGCTCTGCATCCCCACCCAAATCTCATTTTGAATTGTAATCCCTAGGTGTTGAGGGAGAAACCTGGTAGAAGATGACTGGATCATGGGGGGCATTTTCCCCATGCTGTTCTTATGATAGTGAGTGAGCTCCACAAGATCTCATAATTTAAAAGTGTGTGGCAGCTCCCCTTCACTCTCATTCTCTCCTGCTGCCCTGTAAAGAGGTGCCTTCCACCACAGTTGTTAAGTTTCCTGAGGCCTCCCCAGCCATGCCAAACTGTGAGTCAATTAAACCTCTTTTTTTAAAAAAAATAAATTATCTAGTCTCAAGCAGTTCTTTATAGCAGTGTGAAAACGGACTACTACAGAAAATTGGTACCAGGAGTGGGGCACTGCTATAAAGATACCTGCAAATATGGAAGCAACTTTGGAACTGGGTAGCTGTCAGAGGTTGGAATAGTTTGGAGGGCTCAGAAGAACACAGAAAGATGTGGGAAAGTTTGAAACTTCTTAGAGACTTGTTGAATGATTTTGACCAAAATGCTGATAGTTATATGGACAGTGAGGTCCAGGCTGAAGTGGTCTCAGATGGAGATGAGAAACTTATAGGGAACTAGAGTAAAGGTCACACTCTTGCTATGCTTTAGCAGAGACTAGTGGCATTTTGCCCCTGCCCTAGAAATCCGTGGAACTTTGTACTTGAGAGAGACGACTTAGGGTATGTAGCAGAAAAAATTTCAAAATGTGACCTGGCTGTTTCTAAAAGTGTAGGCTCATATGCATGAAGAAAGAGATGGTCTGAAAGTAGAACTTATATTTAAAAGGGACGCAGAAAATACAAGTTTGGAAAATTTGTAGCCTGACCATGTGATAGAAAAGAAATAACTGTTTACAAGCTGGCTGCAGAAATTTGCATAAGTGAAGAGGAACTGAATGTTAATAGCCAAGAATTCCCCAGTGGAAAAAATGTCTTCAGGTCATTTCATAGATCTTTGTGAAAGCCCCTCCCATCACAGGCCCAGGAAGCCTAGGAGGGAAAAATGGTTTTGTGAACCAGGACCAAGGCCCTGATGCTCTGTGCAGCCTCAGGACATAGCATGCTGCATCCCAGCTGCTCCAACTCCAGCCATGGCTAAAATGGGCCAAGGTATAGCTTGGGCCATTGCTTCAGAAGGTGCAAGCCCCAAGTCTTGGTGGTTTCCACAAGGTTTTCAGCCTGCGGGTGCACAGAGGTCAAGAGCTGAGGCTTGGGAGCCTCCACCTTGATTTCAGAGGGTATATGGAAACACCTGGATGTAGGCAGAAGTCTGCTGCAGGGGTGGAGCCCTGAGGAAAAATCTCTATTGGGGTAATTCAGAGGGTAAATGTGGGGGTCAGAGTCCCCACACAGAGTCCCCACTGGGGCACCGTCTAGTGGAGCTGTGAGGAGAGGACCACCCTTCTCCAGGCTCCAGAATGGTAAATCCACCAGCAGCTTTCACTATGTGCCTGGAAAAGCCACAGGCACACAACACTGTCCTGTGAAAGCACTGCAGGGGCTGTACCCAGCAGGCCATGGGGTGGAGCTGGCCAAGGACATGGGAGCCCACTGCTTGCATCAGTGTGTCCTGGATGTGAGATATGGAGTCAAAGGAGATTATTTTGGAGCTTTATGATTTAATGAGTGCCCCACTGGGTTTCAGACTTGCATGGGGCCTGTGTCCCCTTAGTTTTAGCCAATCTCTCCCTTTTGGAAAAGGAGTATTTACCCATTGCCTATACCCCATATTTACCCAATGCCTGTACCCCCATTGTATCTTGAAGGTAACTGACTTGATTTTTTATTTTACAGGCTCATAGGCAGAAGGGACTTGCCTTGTTTCAAATGGGACTTTGGACTTAGACTTTTGAGTTAATGCTGGAATGAGTTAAGACTTTAGGGGACAGTTGGGAAGGCATGATTGGATTTGAAATGTGAAAAGGACATGAGATTTGGGAAGGGCAGGGGCAGAATAATATGGTTTGGCTCCATGTCCCCATCCAAATCTCATCTCCCATTGTAATCCTCATGTATCAAGGGAGTGACCTGGTGGGAGGTGATTGGATCATTGGGATGGTTTCCCTCATGCTGTTCTCATGATAGTGAGTGAGTTCTCATGAGATTTGATGGTTTAAAAGTGTGTGGCAGGTCCCCTTTCATGCTCACTTTCTCCTGCCACCTTATGAAGAAGATGCTTGCTTCTCCTTTGCCCTCCACCATGATTGTAAGTTTCCTGAGGCTTCCCCAGCCATCCAGAACTGTGAGTCAATTAAATCTATTTTCTTTATAAATTATCCAGACTTAGGTAGTTCTTTATAGCAGTGTGAAAATGGACGAATACAGCTAGATATTATAGGTGAATGTTTTCCAAAAATTAGAAATAAGGCCATGTTAAAAAATAAAATTTTTTAGAAAAGTAGAGTAACCAAATATTAGGATATATACAACAAAGGTATTGATTTAAACATATGATTATGAGCCACAAATAATTGTTCTGTTACTTTTAATGTTGAGATAATAATATTCATAATTTAATTTTTTGATTACTATATACAGGTATTACAATTATAGTTTTTAAAAGCAGTTTTGACTAGAACTATTTTAAAGGTTTGCAAATCTCATAAAATAAGTTTTCTCAATAATTATCTTAAAATCTTTATTTTAACAATTATCTTATAGAACCAATGGGTTCCTATGCCCACTGTGCAGTAACATACCAGTATACTAAGACAGCAGGGTTTGCAGCAGAGAAAGATATTAATGATCATAAGGCATTAAGTGAGGAGATGGGAGGAGGCCCTCAAATTCACCTCCCTGAGGAGTTCTTGATTAGAATTTCTAAGAGGATCATGGAGGGCAAGGGCCTGGAGAATTAGGGTAGTTGTTTGGTCAGGTTAAGGGTGATGAAATCATTCATATATGGAAACTACAGTCTTTGGTAAGTCAGCTCCTTGTGGGGCCCTTATATTTTTAAAAATTATTTTTAAAAAATGATTTTTATAAAGTTATTCAGCTAAAAGACTCAGCATATTTTCATGTTTAACCTAAATCAAAACAAAGTGAAATTCAGAAAACCAGATTTTTGTTTTGTTTTGTTTTGTTTTGTTTGTTGGTTGAGACAGGGTCTCACTGTGTCACCTAGGCTGGAGCGCAGTGGCACACTTATAGCTCACTGCATCCTGGACCTCCCTGGGCTCAGGTGATCCTCCCACCTCAGCCTTCCAAGTAGCTGGGACCACAGGAGTGTGCCACATCACTGGCTAATTTTTGTATTATTTGTGGAGACCTAGTTTCGCCAGGTTGCCCAGGCTGGTCTTGAACTCCTGGGCTCAGGCGATTCACCTGCCTCTGCCTCCTAAATTGTGGAAATTATAGGCATGAGCCACTGCACCTGGCCTACATTTAAATTAATATAATGGAAACTGAGAGCAATTGTTGTGGTTGACCAAGCTGGTAAAATAATAAAATTAGCTGTTTACAGTGGGACTAAGCATTTTTCAGATTTACATTTAGCTCAAATATTCAAATAATTAAGAATAGCTTACTATGGAAAGATTCTGGAAACTGTTGGAAGAAGCAAGCTGATTAAGTCTCTTTAATTATTCTATATATCCTTTTTTAATATACACTTTTAATATACCTTTTTTAATACACACTTTTTTAATATACACCAATACACACTGGTGACTTCTGTTAGAAATTGTGGAAGCAGCAATAAAGACAACACATAGCCTCTATTCCCAGAGGACTTAAAGTGTAGTGAGAAAGGCAGACAAAGACAGATTTTGAATTTTGTAAATTAAGTGCTAAATTAGATCTATTTACAGATTTTGTTGAGAAACATAAGTAGGACACAATCTAGACTGCAGGGTGAGAGAGCAGTGGGAAATCTTGAAGGATGGTATATCTGGGTTGAGACCTGATGAGTGAGTAGGAATTCACATTGTCAAGAGAGCTATGTGTGTGTGTGTGAGAGCACACGCTTGTGTGTGTGTTTGGATCTGGGGGCAGATTAATAATGTATTATTGGCTTAAAACAACACAAAATTATTATCTTACAGCTCTGAAGGTCAGAAGTCCAAAGGGGTCTCAATGGGTTAAATGAAGGAGTCTTCAGGCTGTGTTCATTTCTTGAAGCTCTGAGGAAGAATACATTTCTTGCTTATCTGGATTGTTAGCAGAATTCAGTCCCTTGTATTTAGAGGACTGAAATCTTCATTTTCCTACTGGGTGTCAGTGAAAGTTGTTCCCACCTTCTAGAGGCTTGTTGCATTCCTTGTCTCACGGCCCATTCTTCCATCTTCAAAGCCAGTGTAGTAGTTTCTTATTGCTGCTGTAATAAATTCCTGTAAAGAAAAAACTGATGACTTAAAACAACGCAAATTTATCCTCTAAAATCAAGGTGCTGGCAGGACTGCATTTCATCTAGAGGCTAGAAGGGAGAATCTATTTCCTTGCTGTAGAGAGTGCTTATACTTTTATGTTGCCTAAGTATTCATTTTAAAATATAAATTTAACATTATCAAAGCAGAAGCAGGGCTCAGTCACCCTTGACACAGCGTCCAACACTATGCTTCACCCAAATGGTTCCACTCATGGCCAGAGAGAAAAACTTAGAGAAATCTCTCAGACCTAGCAAGGTAGGCTGCCTGCTTTCCTTCAACTTCCTTTAAAGAGACCATTCAGATGATTGCCCTCTAGCTTAAAGTGAACACCTCTCAATCACAGAGTGACCTTCTGGAACTTGTTCAGACTTTTTATCCTCACCAATTAAAGCACCCCGCAGGAAATCTGTTTGGGTATTCTCCTGGACCCAGTAAAAGCATTAGCCTATAAGTCCCTTTTCTCTCTGCTGGACTCCTTGACCTCTGCGTGTGTGGTGCATGCATATGTGTCCTTCTGATGTGCTATGTGCCCCCCAGGGTCAGTAAGTACTAAAATCTCTTAAACTTTCATGTAGTCATTGTCATTAAAGCCTTGATCTGCAATCTGATCCCTGATAGTAAGGCCTGCCTAAAGAGACCCATGCAGGTGGATTTCCTCCTGGTATACTTGTGTCTCTTCCTGTCAGCTGCTGGAGATAGTAGTTACCAGCTAAATTGAAAATTTTATTCAAAATGCTTGCCTTTGACAATGTCTAAAGGCTGCCTGCAATCCTTAGCTTCTAGCACTTTCTGTCTTTTCTAAGTTCGTTACTCCAACCTCTGGTCTCACTGTCATATCTTTTGTCACTTTGATCCTCCTGCCTCCCTCCACTTATTAGAACCTTGGAATTACACTGGGCTTATCCAGATAATTCAGTATAATCTTCTCATCTCAAGATGCTTAGTTTAATCACACCTGCAAAATCCTTTTCACCATTTAGATAATATGATCACAGGTTCTAGGGATCAAGAGGACATGTTTCTGGGGCTATTATTCAACACACCACTGCCAGGTATGGTGAGCCAAGGCCTTCTCTACACCTTTCTCTTTTACTCTCCAGTCTTCTAAGGATTTGAGACCTGGCCAATCTGAGATAATCTCCCTATGTTAATGTCCTTACCCTCAATCACATCTGTGACATCCCTTTTGCCTTTCCAGGGATTGAAGCAGGAACATCTTTGGAGGCTATTATTCTGCCTAACACAAATGATGATAGGCCTTCTATAGAAAAATAAAGCATAGGTGTGATATTGTGAAATATATATTAGGTCTGTGACCTTGTTTCCTGGCATACAATTCCTAAAACCTTTAGAATCTTCAGAGAAGTCCTTTTCTATGCTAATGAGTTGACTAATGGGCTGGCAGCCTGTAGCTAGCCTCAGGATGGGGGCTGATCACAGAAAGATCACAGCATGATTAGAGAATTGGGATATTCAGTCCCACCCCTCACATTCCTCTGGTATGGGGAGAGGGGCTGAAGGTTAAGTTGATTACCGATGGCCAATGACATTAATCATTTATGCCTATATTATGAAGCCCCCATAAAAACCCAAAAGGACAGGGTTCAAAGGGGTTCCAGATAGCTGAACACACAGAAGTTCCTGGAGGATGGCACCCAGGGAGGGTATGACAGGTCTGTCTTCTTCCCCCATACCTTACCCAACACATCTTTGTATCTATATCCTTTGTAATATCATTTATAATAAATTGGGAAATATAAGTGTATAGAGCACCCTTGACATAAGTGACACCATCTTGGAAAACACTCATTTTACATTTTATAGAGTACTTAGCCAACAGGGACAAGATGATTTGCTTAATAAATAAAGAATGAATCCAACCAGATAAGGACATAAACAAGCACATTCTTTTACTATCAGTTTTCACCAGAGGACTCTGTGGCCATACAAAGAGAAAGTCTTCAGCAAATCAGTCATCTAAAATGATACCATCTTGCTATCAATTGTGATAAGCACTCAACATCTGCTGCCAAAGATTATACCCACATCAAAGACTCTTCCTTGCAAGATCTATGGACTGCCCAGCCCAGACCCAGCCCAAACCAGGAGATCATTTTTGCCTTCTTCACTCTTTCTGGACTGGCTTGTTAACCTTTTTTTTTTCCTATTTCTTTTCTCATTGTTACACGTTACTTTGTGAAATATTTAATCTATAACATTTATGTTGCGTAATTATATTATTATGTATGGTTTGCAATATTGACTGACTTGTGGAGTGGCTTGAGCCTGTGTGCCCATGGCTTTGACTATTGAGTGAATGGAAAATACTAACGAGAATTTCCTCCTTGGGAACTCCATGCAGCTTGTGGCTTTTATGATTGAGATAACATCAATAAAAGTTTGACGTTGTGGAAAGACACAAACATGCATGGACCTGGCTATCTCTGACCTTGTGCTGCTCACCTGAGTGAGTGTTTCCCTAAGTTCCATGAGCAGCTCTTGAGAATTAATTGAACCCAAAGTGGTGGTCATGGGAACCCATCTTAAAGCTGGTTGGTCAGAAGTTCAGGGGGCTTGGACTTATGACCGACATCTGAACTGGGGACATCCTTGGGGACCAAGCCATCGACGTGTGGGATCTGACTCTACATCCAGGTAGATAGCATCAGAATTGAATGGGAGGACATCCAGTTGGTGTCTGTTGCACAATTGATTGCTAGCTTGGTGGTGGTAAGAAACAAGTTCCCCCACCACTCTATGCTACCCCACCACATTTGGTCACAGAAGTATTCTGTATGGACTGTTGCTGCTCAATGAAAGACTAGAGGAAAGTATTTGGAGTGTGTTTGCTTCTGAACACAGGCATGGAAACTAGAGAAAATAATGTATATACTACTAAAACACGCAAGTAGTCTCAAAGGGTTTCTATTAGTCTATTTTCACACTGCTGGACATACCCAAGACTGGGAAGAAAAAGAGGTTTAATTGGACTTACAGTTCCACATGGCTGAGGAGGCCTCAGAATCATAGTGGGAGGTGAAAGGCACTTCTTACATGGTGGTGGCAAGAGAAAAATAAGAAGGAAGCAAAAGCAGAAACCCCTGCTAAACCCATCAGATCTCATGAGACTTATTCACTATCAAGAGAATTGCACAGGAAAGACCGGCCTCCAAGATTCAATTACCTCCCCCTGTGTCCCTCCCACAACATGTGGGAATTCTGGGAGATACAATTCAAGTTGAGATTTGGTGGGGAAACAGCCAAACCATATCATTCCACCTTTGGCCCCTCCAAATCTCATGTCCTCATATTTCAAAACCAACCATGCCTCCCCAGTAGTCCCCCAAAGTCTTAACTCACTCCAGCATTAACCCAAAAGTCCACAGTCTAAAGTCTCATCCGAGACAAGGCAAGTCCATTCCGCCTATGAGCCTGTAAAATCAAAAGTAAGCTAGTTACTTCCTGGATACAATGAAGGTATAGGTATTGGGTAAATACAGCTGTTCCAAGTTACAGGGCCCATGCAGGTCTGAAATCCAGCAGGTAAGTCAAACTTTAAAGCTCCAAAATGATGTCATTTGACTCCAGGTCTCACATCCAGGTCATGCTGATGCAAGAGGTGGGTTCCCATGGTCTTGGACAGCTCCGACCCTGTGGCTTGGTGAGTAAAACCTCCCTCCTGGCTGCTTTCAGGAGCTGGTGTTAAGTGTTGGCAGCTTTTCCAGGCACACGGTTCAAACTGTCAGTGGATCTACCATTCTGGGGTTTGGAGGACAGTGGCCTTCTTCTCAGAACTCCACTAGGCAGCACCCCAGTAGGGACTCTGTGTGGGGGCTCTGACCCCACATTTTCCTTCCACACTGCCCTAGCAGAAGTTCTCCATGAGGGCCCTGTCCCTGCAACAAACTTTTGCCTGGGCATCCAGGCGTTTCCATACATCTTCTGAAATGTAGGCGGAGGTTTCCAAACCTCAGTTTTTTTACTTCTATGCCCCCACAGTCTAACACCACGTGAAAGCTGCCAAGGATTGGAGCTTCCACCCTCTGAAGCCACAGCCCGAGCTCTATGTTGGCCCCTTTCAGCTATGGCTGGAGCAGCTGGGACACAGGGTACCAAGTCCCTAGGCTACACACAGCACTAAGACCCTTGGTCTGACCCAGAAAACCACTTTTTTCTCCTGGGCCTCCAGGCTTGTGATAGGAGGGGCTGCCATGAAGGTCTCTGACATGTCCTGGAGATATTTTTCCCTGAAAATGGGTTTTTCTTTTCTATTGTGTAGTCAGGCTGCAAATTTTCTAAACTTTTATGCTCTGTTATCCTTTTAAAACTGAATGCCTTTAACAGTACCCTAGTCACCCCTTGAATGTTTTGCTGCTTAGAAATTTCTTCCCCCAGATACCCTAAATCATCTCTCTCAAGTTTGAAGTTCCATAAATCTCTAGGGCAGGGGTAAAATGCCACCAGTCTCTTTGCTAAAACATAACAAGAATCACCTTTTCTCCAATTCCTAACAAGTTCCTCATCTCCATCTGAGACCACCTCAGCCTAGATTTTGTTGTTCATATCACTATCAACGTTTTGGGCAAAGCCATTCAACAAGTCTCTAGGAGGTTCCAAACTTTTCCATATTTTCCTATCTTCTTCTGAGCCCTTCAAACTGTTCCAATCTCTGCCTGTTACCCAATTCCAAAGTTGCCTCCACATTTTCAGGTATCTTCAGCAATGCCCCACTCTACTGGTACCAATTTACTGTATTAGTCCATTTTCATGCTGCTGATAAAGGCATACCTGAGACTGGGAAGAAAAAGAGCTTTAATTGGACTTACAGTTCCACATGGCTGGGGAGGCCTCAGAATCATGGCAGGAAGTGAAAGGCACTTCTTACATGGCAGCAGCAAGAGAAAAATGGGCAAGAAGCAAAAGCAAAAACCCCTGCTAAACCCATCAGATCTCATGTGACTTATTTACTGTCATGAGAATAGCATGGGAAAGACCGTGTCCCCATGATTCAATTACCTCCCCCTGGGTCCCTCCAACAACACATGGGAATTCTGGGAGATACGATTCAAGCTGAGATTTGGTAGGGACACAACCAAACCATATCAGGGTTGAAGTGTCCAATATAAGGCAAAAAAATACATAAGAAATGTTATAAAGTTATAAAGGGTTTGCCACATTAAAAGCTTTGCTTCATCATCATCTTTTTTTTTCTCCGTTGAGGAACGGGGAGCCGCTGAAAAATGCAATGAAGAGGAATGATTCTGTTAGGTCTACAATTAGATTACAGATTATATTATCCTGCTAGCACAATCACAGGACACACTCACAATACATTTCCACCAGGATGTAATTTCTATGATGGAAGGCAATTTTGTTCCTTTTTTTTTTTTTTAAACTGCTATATCCCAGCAGATAGAGCAGTGCTTGACACATAGTTGATTTTTAATAAATATTTATTGAATGAATATAGGCATGCATGAATGAATGGATGGATGACTTGGCAGTAAGAAACTAATATATTTGTTGCAGGATGTAGATATACAATGCTGAGGGCCATAATTAAATTTTAAAAGTGAAGTAAAATACCAAAACACCAAGAAATTGAATTAACCAGACTGAGACATTGATTTCAAATGGAAAATAGTAGAGGGAAATAACTCAAAATGGCCACTTATTTTCTTATTTAGGCATATAGAAGCATTATAGTGCATTCATAGAGATAAATATTACAGGAAGAAATTCAGGTTTGTAGGAAAACAGAATTCTGGTTTGGACATGAGGATATCCAAGAGGAGAAAGCAGACAAAAGGATATTCAGGTGCAGAGCTCAGTGATAATATAGGAACATTTATATTCATTAAATATATACTCTTACTGTCTTTTATTGGAAAAAGGTTAATCTATACAAAAGATGATCTTAGACAGTAGTAATTTTCTAATTGGATATGAATTTTATATCTCGTGGAGTGTACTGAATGTGTTATATTTAGTGATTTGTTAAGATTTGAAGTATGGAATTGTTCTAATATTTGTGATATTATGAAGATAATTAAAGTACTAGACAATAAAACAAACATGAAATATAAATGTAAAATTTTAAATAGTTCTATGGTTAATTTTTAGGGCCACAGATTTATATTTCTAGAAAGAATAAACCAGAAAATATTAACTATTTTATGGAAGATAAATAAACATTATAATCTTGTTTGATTTTGAAAGAATGCCTCTGTAATTTGCAAAAGTAATGGAAGATTTGTCTATTATCATTTGAATTTAAAAGTAGTTTTGCATACTACATTAGAAAAGTTTTTACCTTTTTTTGGCATTAATAAAAGTCTAGGTTACGAATAAATTTCCTAGAATTATGGGTCAAATAACATTGTCCCTTGAAGTTTTTCAACTTTCATTACCTGTTATAAAGAGGGAAATTATTACTTTTATATCTATTCTTATGATTTCAATATTTTAGAGATTAAAACATTTTATCAGGAAATCAAATTAAGGTAATATTTTGTCCCAATTTTGAATTTAAAATTGAATAAAATAAACCTACTCGGACAGCCACGGTGGCTCACACCTGTAATCCCAGCACTTTGGGAGGCCGAGGCGGGCAGTTCATGTGGTCAAGAGATCAAGACCATCCTGGCCAGCATGGTGAAACCTCATCTTTATTAAAAATACAGAAATTAGCTGGGCGTGGTGGCACGTGCCTGTAGTTCCAGCTACTCGGGAAGCTGAGGCAGGAGAATTGCTTGAATCAGGGAGATGGGGGTTGCAGTGAGCCGAGATCATGCCACTGCACTCCAGCCTGGTGACAAAGTGAGACTCTGTCTCCAACAAAAAAAAAAAAAAAAAAAGAAAAGAAAAAGAAAAAGAAACCTACTCTAGTATTTCTTATACTACTTTGGCTTTAAAAACACAGGTATTGAGCTAACAGGGCAGTGGCCACTAAAAAAATTGTCTTAAAGGTCCTCTTGCCTCCTTAGGATGAGAGTTAAATCTGAAAAAGAAAGAATTTCTTATAAAAATTATGGAAGATAAGGCATGAAAATTATTAGGCAAATAACCAACCCTACTGTCTTTCTCACTCCCTGCCAATTGACATTTCCTAGTAAATTCCTTAGGTATTACTGAGGATATTCGGTCTTTTCAATTGTCTACTTTGTAGGCATTTAATTTTTATTTCTTATTTTTAGTTTAAATTTTTATTACAAATTTTTTCTTACATAAACAAAGATAAAAAAAATTACCTCCATGTAATTTTACCCAACTTCAACAAATACCAGTATCTTCCATTCTTGTATATCTCACCCATTATTTCTGCTAAAGGTTTATGTTTTATTATTTTTTAAAATATTTCATTATGTAACTGTAATAAATTAAGACTTTAAAAAACATAACCATAGAACAAAATGAATAATTTCTTAATATTCCAAGGCTCAGTGTGTTCAATTTTCACCAATTACCACAAAACTATTCATATTTGTTAGCTCAAATCAGTATCCAAAGTCTCCTCGTTTGGCTGATAGTTCCTTTAATAATATTTTTATACAACAGTTTTCTCTCCTCCAGATATATTTCCTACAGTTTGCATTTAGATGAGCATATCATTTTGTAGACTCTTATCATGTTGCTTTATTCCATCAATTTCTATAAACTGGTATTTAAATATAGAGGGTTTTTTAGATTTGCATTTCCTCCCCTTCCTGCTTCCTCCCTCCCTCCTTCACTCCTCCCCTCCTCTCCCCTCCCTTCCCCTCCCCTCGTCTCTCCCTCCCTCCCTCCTTTCCTTCCTTCCGTCCTTCCTTCCTTGCTTCCTTCCTTCCTCCCTTCTTTCCTTTTTTTTTATAGCAAGCACACTTCATAGATTTTTCCGCACACATATTATTGCATCACATCATGAGGCACATAAACTCTGGTCATTTCAAATTAAATGATGTTAAGATTGAGTGAAGTGTTGTCTATCTGATTCAATCCATTATAAAGCTATCATCATTTTACCTAGAGCTTTTAGCATCCTGAGGGGATTGTAAAGTGCTTGCTTTTCTAATTCTTATATCTCTTTTGCATTTACTAGCTATGATTCTTCTAGAAAAAAATAATAAATTTTCTTCATTAATGATATAACTTCTCTGAAATATAGTCTGTGTAGGAAAGACATATCAATATTTACTTCTTTAACTTTATGTTTAAATTTTTGGAATAATGAGTTGGTAATCTAATTAATCTTAAAAATCTTCAGTGATGTTATATTTTTAAATATATTTATGGAGCATTCTCTTAAACCTACAGATTTTTGTTTCTTTGATGTTACATCCACTGCAGTTATCATTTTTGATATTTAGATGATCTCATTTTTCCCCAGTGAGAGTCTTTTCAAATTGCTTTCCTATTCCTACAGATATGACATCGTTATTTCTTGAAAGTTTTCTGGCCTTTAAGCCAAATAAAATACTCCAGCCTCATCTTGGAAATGTCTTGCTCAAAATAACAACAACAAAAATCAGCTCATTCTCTAAGGAGTACTAGCATTTTTTAGTGGGAATTTGTATTTGAAGACCAGGTATTTAAAGATGCTAGGATTGCTAAATATTACTAGGTTGTTATTGCCATCATATTCATCGAGAGAGATAGAAACTATGCAAATTTTTTAGAAAAATTAATTATATTTTTATACTGATATTTTAAGTTCATGATCTAAGGTTGTCAAGTTTTTAATTGTTATTTTTGATTCATTATCTATATACTTTTTTTTTTTTGAGTCAGAGTCTTTCTTTGTTATCTAGGCTGGAGTGTAGTGGTACATTCATAGCTTACTGCAAGCTCTGACTCCTGGGCTCAAGCAATGCTCTCATCTCAGCTTCCCAACTTGCTAGAACTACAGGTGTGCACCACCATGCCTGAATAATTTGATGTATTTATTTGTAGAGATGTGGTCTTGTTGTGTTCTCTGACTGGTATCAAACTCCTGGCTTCAAGCAATCCTCCTATTTTTACCTCCCAAAGCTTTGGGATTACAGGAATGAGTCACCGTGCCTGGCCTCATTATTTACATATGTTTATCTTATGCTAAAATCTTTATATATGTATGCATACACACATATAAAAGTTACATAAATAGATATTGAACATCAATATTAAAAATAAGATTTATGAATGCAGTAATGTAGATTTAGATTTCAATGCTATTATCATTATTTGCATAAAGATATGTACTACTATATATGGACAAGCAAAAGGCTGTTTCACAGTTGTTTTATAGTTATTCTCTGCATGACCATACCACCAAGTTGATAAAAAGTTATGCTTAAATTGTTAATTTTTTTTTAATTTCACTAATTGCCTTTTTAAATGTTAATTTTAGGCTTTAATTTTGTAAAATATTTACATGGTTTAGTGTGATCTAGCCTTTAGCTCTATCCTATTGACACTATTCTTTCCTTTTGCTATAGGTAGCAATTTCTATTAGATTTGTGTTATTAATATATTTTAAAAAATACAAATAGAAAAATACATATACTACCTATATTCCTACATAAATATTAGCATTCATATTTGCTTTTCTGTGTCTTTCTTTCTTACGAATATATACAAAATAATACATAAATATTATTTCTTTTTATAGTTGCTCAGTGCTTCATTTGGATGCAACCAAATGAAACTGGTTTTCAACCAGTACTTATTGAAAGATATTTAAGGGGCTTTCTGTCTTTGCCTATTATTAGTATAATGTAGTGAATAGCTTTATGCCAAATCAGTTTTTTTTTATTTTTGGCAATGTATTTTTGAGATAAATATCAGTTTGTTACTTATATTTTGGTTTTGCTTATTTTTGTCATGTCAAACATTTTTTCATGTAGTCAAATTCATTAATCTTTTATCTTTTTTTGGTGGGGGAAAATTAAGCCATAGTAAACAATTTTCCCCTTTCCCTGCTTACAGGGAATATACCCATGGTTTATTCTATGACTTGTATAACTTTAATTTTTCCATTTAGAATTTTAACCTGTTTAAAATATATTCTGTTTTACATTGTAAAGAATGAATCCAATCTTTCCATATGGCTATCCAGTTGTTCCTATACCCTTATTATAACACATTTTCTTCGCTTATTTCAGATGCCACCTGAGCTGTTCAAGCAATAGCATTTGTTGTTTCTCCATTTATGAAGGTAGTTTGCCCATAGACATAACTTGGCTAATTTCTACCACTACAAATTGAGGAGACTCTCACGGCACTAACTGGCCAAGAGAGATTGCTTCTGTTACGCTCTTGCCTCATTGGACATGTGGCCACTTTGGCTTTCTGTGATACTTCTCCCATGGCCAGAACAGGTCAGATGATGCAACAGGGAAGGGCAGGGGAATTTTGCCAGTGGAAAATTGAAAATAAGAGGCACTGTCCATAAATTATTTCCTTTATCTTCTCCCAGATAGGCTATTCTCAAAAGAAGGTTGTTGTTGTTGTTGTTTTTTTCCTGAAGTGACAGGGTCTCACTCTGTTGTATAGGCTGGAGTTCAGCAGCACAATCATGGCTCACTGCAGCCTCAGACTTCTGAGCTCAAGCAATGCTCCCATCTCAGGCTCCCAAGTAGCTGGGACTACAGGCATGCCCCACCGCATCTGGCTAATTATCTTATTTTAAAAATATTTTGTAGAGATGAGGGTCTCTTTGTACTGCCCACACTGGTCTCAAACTCCTGGCCTCAAACAATCCACCTGCTTAGGCCTTCCAAAGTATTGGGACTACATGTATGACCCACCGCACCCAGCCAAAAGCAGTATTTCATTTGGTTTCTCTAAAGTGTTAAAGCAAACTAAAAATGGCATGAGAAGGACTCCGTATTTCTATATTTGACTCCTGAGGATGAACCATAACCTAGCTTAATAGGCAGACAAGATTAAAAACCTAACTTAGGAGTATGTGCCTGTAACAATAGCTGAATGTTGGCCAATCCCAGTGGCCATACTTTAACCACTGATAGACTGCAGAGGGTTCAAACTGTGTTCAAACAAGGCAAACGCCCACCTGTAACCAATCCAACTGTTTCTGTACCTCACTTCCGACGCTGTATGTCAATTTACTTTTTTTGTCTATAAATTTGTTCTGACCATGAGGCACCCCTGGAGTCTCTCTGAATCTGCTGTGATTCTGGAGACTGCCCGATTCATGAATTGTTTCTTTTGGCCCAATTAAACTGCATCAAATTTAATTTGTCTGAAGTTTTCTTTTAACAAAAGAAATACCACGAGACTGAGCAATCAAGTCAAAGCTGTGGTATCTGAGTAACATACTCCCTCAAATCACCTCTCCTTTCTTTCCTGCCTCATTTTCCCTTTCCTTCACTTCTCTCTTAAGTCTGCATTCTTAACTATAATCTAAGTATATTTAGCTATAATCCTCAATATAAGCTAAGTATAGTTAGCTATAATCCTTACACTAAAGAGTATAGCTAACTATACTTAGCTTATAGTTAAGTTATAATTATAAGTATAGCTTAATTGTACTTAGCTTATAGTTAAGCTATAATTGTAAGTATAGCTTAACTATACTTAACTATTATAAGTATAGTTAGAAATAAATCCTTAACTATAAGCTTTTGCCTCAGACTGTTTACTTATGAACCTAACCAGAGAAATATCTGTCTGTTCATATAGAAATCACCAACTGTTTAAATGGTAAATGTACTTAAAATAGAATTAAAACAAACATATAAAATTAATTATAAAAAGTAATGATAATTATTATTATTTAATATTGACAAAGAAGGCCTTAATGCTGGGCTCGGCTTGGTTAAACTTTAGATAGTCTTTTCCATGACTCTAGACCCCTGACTTCAATTTTCTTACAGCGTTTGCTTTAGAAAACTTATAATTAAAATTCTGTCTCTGCCCCTTTGAAATGGAAATCTTTTTAGAAGCTTCTTACCAGTTTGCAAGTCAGGAATGTCTTTCCCAAGTATCTGGGAGTCATCCCTTTAAAATGTAATCATCAAGGAAGATAATGCTCATATCCCCCAGTCTCTCTGCAAGGGCAGAAGCCTAACTTCCATGGATGTCTTACTCCGGGTTATAAAACCACTTCCTGTCATAAAGATAGGAGAAAGTCTAATTGTCCTCTGGGTAAAGGCCAATTAGCAAACACAGTTGGCCTATATTCCCCTAACTCCAGTTCTTAGAAATTCTACAATTCTTTCTTTCATCAAAGTTGTGCTCTGACTGAGTTCTGCCCTCACTCCCCTATTGCAATCTCCTTAAATAAATGCTTCCATGCTTGTTTAACTTTGGTAAAATTTTGCTTTGACAATAACCAAGAAGAATATCTCCAACCAATATCAGATATTCTGTGTGTATATTCTTCAAAATGATATATAATCAACATCTCACTCCAGTAGACAAAAAAGTAACTTGTATTACGATTACTCTAAATGTATAAGTCAATTTGGGTATAATTTACTTTTTTTTTTTTATTTTGAGGCTTTCAGTCCAAACATAGTCATTTTGTACATTTCTTATTAAATTTTTACATAGGTATTTTGCATAGGTATTGCTTTACATGTGAAAGCTATGAATTTCATGATGGCATATTTTTATTTTGCTACTTTACTAAAATGGCACTTTGCCAATGATTATTTTAGGTTTTGCAGATATAGCTATATATATATATATATATATATATATATATATATATATATATATATATATTTTTTTTTTTTTTTTCTATCTCACCTTTCTCTGCATAGGCACTGCTTTTTCTTTGTATTAGCCAGAGGATGATATGATTGGCTAAGGGACAAAATTAACTCCAAACAATAGAAAAAAAGGGTCTAAATTTACCTAAAATATCTTAAACACAGTACTACTGTTTAACAAACATGGTGCTATACAGTCAATAAAACAGCCTTATACTACTGATATTTTACCCTCATTAAAATTTTATTTTATTTTTAAAATTTTAAATTTCTATTTATTGTTATTTAAACAATTTATTTTTTCTTTTTTTTTAGGGACATGGTCCTGCTTTGTTGCCCAGGCTGGAGTGCAGTAATGCAATCATAGCTCATTGCAGCCTCAAACTCCTGGGCTCAAGCAATCCCTTCACCTCAGCCCTCTGTCTGAGTAGCTGGGACTACAGGTGTGCACCACTACACCTGGCTAATTTTTATATATTTAAATTATTTGTAGAGATGCAGTTCTGCCATGTTACACAGGCTGGTCTCAAACTCAGGCCTCAAGTGATCCTCCCACCTTGGCCTCCCAATGTTCTGGGATTACAAGCATGAGCCACCATGCCCAGCTTTACCCCCATGTGTACATGAGGAAACTAAACTTAAATAGATAACCTAAAACATTTGTGATCATACATCCATCCATTGGTTGCAACTGAAATTTACACCTAAATCCATTTAGGTTTCAACTTTATTTTTCAACTTTATTCAACTTTTCAACTTTATTTTTGCTTCCATCATAGTGCACTATGTTGCTTTGATAGATGTCTGACTTAGATACTGAAATGTATATATTGTTAAGTCATTTGACTTTTTGGTCACAAGAAGGCCTTCTAATCCAGAGGATATTAGGATCTAGAAATACTAATTACAGGCATATTGCCTAACAACCAGTTGTGACTACAGGTGGGAAAAACGGAGGTGTACTCTGCATCATACACATTTAGGTCTGATCCCTTTAGTTTGACTCTATTGCATTTACAATCATAAGCCTATTACAAGGAATCATGATCCAAAAACCTCAAGACTATTCCATAAGAGTTACATTTAAACACATCATTGTATTATAATAGTAAGGACTAATTGATTGCAAGTGACTAGAAGCCACTTGTACCTTAAGAAAAATGGCTGTTTATTAATTAACATGTCTGAATAGTTCAGCACAGTTTGTTAACCTTAAATAATGAAATTCAGAAAGTGTGATTAACTATAGAACTTCTATAGAACTATAGAAATCATTTGAATACAAATCTTGAAGACAGCCACTGAGGTAAGACAGACTCCAAATGAGTAGAGTCAGTGTTCCAAAGTGGTGAAGTTAAGGTTTCATTTATACAGGAAGAGACAGAAAAGTTTAACAGGGTTGCACCATTCTCCATATGAAGATGCTACATATGTTACAGCCGTTTGATTGGTTATAGTTTGCTGCATTTTAAGAAAGATTGCTTTAACAATCCATAAGGAGGGGTAATGGACTTGAGGGAGGTCTTATCTCTGGCATCTTTTCAGTCTTTCCTATTCATTTACAGTACAAGAACAAGGAAGGGAATTCATCTATAATTAGAGAAGCAGAAGCCACAGCTGCATGCTACATTACTCAGGCCACATAGTCACATTTCTCTCAAGATTCAAATAATTTAATGTCCTAACAGTTTTAAGTTTAAATTATTTAATTTTGCAAGTTCTAACTTTAGTCATTGCTTGATTCAAGGGCTTCAAAAATGTCAGTGGGGCAAATTCTGTGTTCTTCTATTTCCTCTCCATACTTCTTGTGTTCACATTCCTTCAATTGGTTTTAATCTCGAGCCATCTTTTCCCTGGAGGAAGGAAGATGTTCATAGCACACTTAGACTTCACTTTCTCTTAGATTCAACACCAGCTGGAAATGTCACTGACCCTGTCTTAACATTAAAAGAAAATACTGCATGGCTTTTCATTTTGTCTGCTTAGGCCATTTGTCCATCCCAGAATTATTCATGATAATCAGGGGAACATGATAATCTAGTTGAGTCTGGCCTAGGTGAAACTCTCAACAACTGAGCTAAAACTGAACTTTTACTTAAATGACGCATATGTGCTGAGATGGAGTAAGAAAGTGAATATATACAAGTTTGCTGGAGTTACTAGAAGACATGAATGGGTTTAAGAAAGAAAACAAAAACTATTCGCAATACCCATTTTGCTGCCCCAAATCTCAAGAGTCTCCCACAGTGAAGTCACTCCTTCAATCATGTCAACTACAGAACAGGACACCCAAGTGCTGATAGACTAATACCCATTCAATCCTCTTTATGGCTAGTGGCATTTTCTGTTCAAGTACCTTAACAGAGGTGAAATGAATGGATGTAACAGGGTTTAAAATGAGATTATTTCTACGGCAAGTGAAGTCATTGGCATTTGTCTCACTAAGTCTCCAAACCAATGATGACACAAGAGCTATTATGACTAGTATACAAATACAATTTCACCCAGATTTCAACATTTTGGACAATTTCCAGTTGTTTTCAGGGAAATCAAAGATGATTAATTTAGTCCCCACACACAGGAAATTAGAATCTCGTGGAAGAAATAAATTTATGGATAGCTGACTGTATTATAAGATACAGTGCACAGAAAAAAAAAAAACACTATCCCTGGAAAAGTTTTTAGAGAATCGTCTTTACCCATTGCAGGTGAAAATTAAAGAGAGAAACCTATTTTTTAAAAGGGGGAAGGGTAAAAGACAGATGTTAATATGCTATATGATAATGTCAAACATCTGCTCTGCTATAGTAGTTATTCCAGAAAAAGCGAGGTTTATTGTTGGATATTTGCAGTGAAAAAAATCTCAACAACCACAGACAATCTAAAGGATGTGTACTAATTAAAACACTTTGAGGACTCATGGTATGATATAGCCATCTTCAAAACAGTGATAATTATACCCATGCATTGAAATCAATAAATACATTATAAAAGGACTGTGACAGTACCTTGGCAAAATAGCATGAGGAACATAACCAAGGAAGGTTAAAGAGCTGTACCAGTGACTCTCCCTAGAGTGAACCTAATGTGAAAATGGAATCAAACTCACATTGTTTAATTTTTTCTTAAAGTTTTTCAATAAAGCTTTTTCAAAAGACTTGAGTTTGAACAGTCCTTTTCTTGTTTTTAGTGACATTCTGGGTCTTAATGCTATCTCTTTGGTGGTAGTAGTGAGGAAAGGAGCAGGAGTCTCTGTTACAGTCTTCATAATCAAATAATAGCTAATATGTACTGTATTGACTTATTTACTGGAACCCAGACAATACCAAGCATTTGTAAATAGTATCCCATTAAGTCTCAAAAGATGCCTAAAAGTTAGATATTGTTGTCTTTCTCGAATCTCTGCTTAATAAACTCAGAGTCAAAGTGACTTGCTCAAGATGAAAGAGCTAGTACATTTCAAGAACAAGAATATGAACCTATATTAGTCTGACTCCAGGTGATAACCAGTTTTCAGAAACAGACTCTTTAGATTTTAACTGGTAGATTAAACTAGGAGGAGAGAATTAAAAATACTCAGCATTTATTTTTTCATAAACTGTTTCACTGTACTTTCTGAAGTAGGATTTCAACCAGCCCTTCTGAAAGATTGGAATGGTAACCAAGGTCGCTCACATGATCATTATTTGAAAGCTGTCTTTGAAGCTCCAAATCTGAGATAAAGTTTAGCTTATTAACCTCGGATATTTAAGTGGCAAAGCAATTAATTGCATTAACTCAATCCACTGTTTAATAATGTAGGATAAATAGGGTACTTACCTTTAAGAAAGCAATGATCTGTTCCCCCAACTTCCACCACCAAGGCCAAGTTGTGTTTTGTGTGGCATTCTTTCTCAAAGTTGACCAACATGAACAGAACTATTACTTTTCTAATGCTGATTTTAGTTTTAAAGCCTATCACTACTTAAATTAATGCAAATTAGGATTTATTACTGACATACTATAAATATATCATAAAATAATTTTGAAAAGTTCCAAAATCTTTTCACTTTTCCAAGGAAACAAATCCTCCAAATCAATGGTAAAAAGAAAGGGTATGTGAAGAATCTCATATTTTTAAACATAGTTGCTTTAATTTAGCTCCTCTGTGATATAATATTTATATCATGTACTAGTTTTATTACTTTTGAGATACAGGTATATTGAGTTATGATTAGGCAGTTTCTGATGATTTACAAACATTTCCCCACCAGCTGGTAAATTAAATTTATGTCTACCTGGCTTTCAAAATGAAAAGTAAAGTGACAGAGATGAATAGAAAGTAGTAGTTTGAAACTAGTGTTTTATGCTAAATTTGAATGAGAGTCATTACATGTGATTTCTACAATCACAAAAATGAGAATGTTAAGTTGTAGTGAATATGACTGCTTTGCTAACCATCAGTGGAATATTTTCTCTGAGTTAATGCCTGTTCCTCTTTGAACTGACTTCAAATTAACTCTTTTGAAGACTTGAATGGTTAGCAAGATGGTTACCATTTTCTAAAATCTCTGTGGGCTTTTTACATATTCCAGCTTCTCTTACAAAAACTTACAAGCTTATTTTTAAGCACAGTACAGAATATTTATTCATTATCACTTAAAATTTCTAATATTTATGGCAATAATGATCTGGTTCTTTAATACATATTTTGCATTAGGCTATCTAATACTTTTAATCACATTTGATTAATCCTATGTGAGGATGGTTGTAATCAACCTTCACTTTCAAAGTTGTGGTTGCAGGTTTTTAAGTAGAATTTAGGGTAGAAAGAAAAGATTTAAATATAGTCAAGAAAATATTTTCTATAAAGATGTGCCTGAAAGAAACAGATGAATTGAAAGTGCAAGGAATATAAAGGCATAAATATCCTTTATAATTAACCAGTAAATGTATTTCTCTGAGTTTTGTGAGCCACTCTAGCAAATTAATTGAACATAAATACGAAGTCTGGGTTACCCCAATGTGAAGCCAGTTGGTCAGAAGTTCCAGAGGCCCAGACATGCTACTGTGTCTGAAGAGGGGGCAGTCTTGTCAGACTGAGACCTCAACCCTGGGATTTGATGCTATCTCCAGGTAGACAGTGTCAGAATTGAATTGGAGGGCACCTAGCTAATATGTGCTGCAGAGTTGATTTCTTGCTTGGTGTATGGGGAAAAACAGCCTCACATATTTTATCACAGAATCCTGCTGTGATTATTGTTCAGTGACAGCTGAGGAAAAACACTTTGGATAGGTTTTTCTTGTGATTCCATCTCTTCAATCAGTAAATATTTATTGAGCATCTACTGTATGTAAAGTACTATTCCAGAAATTTAGATAAACAATTACTAGCACTCATGGAGCTTACTTTCTAGTGAGAAAAGAAGATCTAAACAGTAACAAAACTAACAAAAATAAATTATAGTGTGTTAGATGGTGATAGATGCTGTGGAAAACAAAAATAAAAATGTTGAGCAAGTTTAGAAAGAACAAGAGGAATGATGGTGGGCCTCATTAAAAAGGTGGCATTTATGTCAAATTTTCAGAGAGTAGGGGAAGTAGCTAGGAGGCAATATGAGGAAAAACATTCCAAATAGAAGTATTAACCAGTGGGGCACACTCAGTATGCTTGGAGAACAGCAAAGGTGCTAGTATTTCTAGAGGTGTGAAATTGCAACATAAGATCATATTCATACTTAAATGTTTATTTCTAGTAATAACTCTAGAGGATAAGATTTGTATCCCCTCCAAAATATAATGGAGAAATCCTTCTATGAATTATACATGTAATTAAAATTATTTATCAATCATTTAAAATGACTGTTTGTATGCCAAAACATAGTAATCCAGCCAGGAAAAAGTTCAGTTTCTGTCTTCAAAAGAGTTGATTATTCAAGTAGAGCATAGATTTGTAAAACATGCATAATCCTTTGTGAAAAATGCTCAGACATGCAGTGAGCCGAGATCGCACCACTGCACTCCAGCGTGGGCGACAGATTGAGACTCCATCTCAAAAAAAAGAAAGAAAGAAAAATGCTCAGTGTGAGCAGTATTAGAAGCCTTCTTGGAAGAGGTGACTCTTGCCATCATACCTAACTTGTATCCTCAGAAAAAAATTTGCGGATAGTCACAAGATATGCATTCCAAGCAGTCGGAAGATCACAAGCAAACAGAAAGAGGAATGAGGGCAAGGCACCTGTGAGGAATTGTCAATATTTCATAATGACTTTATTGCAGAGAAAATGTGCTGAGAAATGCGAAATCCAAGGTGAAGAGTCCATCAAAATGAGTGTTGTAAGTTGATTGAACATTATTCAACCTATATATGTATGTGTGTGTGTATGTGTGTATATGTGTATGTGTGTGTGTATATATATATATATACACCCACACACACACACACACCTACACTCCAATGCTCCCAGTATACTTTGAATATATGTATATACAGACACACACACATACATATATAGGTTGATCACAGAACCCTATATATGCATTGGGATTATGTAACTTGAGTGCAGAGTGACATGGTCTGATATATATATATTCCCAATCTTCCCAATATTCGAAATATGTAACTTGCAGTGTGACTTGGTCAGTTTTGTATTTTAGAGAGAACATTTTAGCAGCCATGTGGGAAGCAGATTAAAGTGAAGGTAAGAATGTTGATAATGGATTCATTAGGGAAGGTGTTAGAGTTGCCTAGGCAAAAAGTGGTGAACACATAATTTTAGTTAGTTGCAGTGATCATAGAGAATAGCGGGCAGATTTGAGACATAGTTAGAATATAAAATTTACAGAACTTTTTGTTGATTGGATGTGGAATTAGTAGTGAAAAAGCATCTAGTATGATTCCAGTGATTTTTATTTTGATCAACAGGGTGACCATCCACTGCCCACTATGATATGGAAAGAGGAAGAATTTTAAACAGAATTTGGCAGTTTTGGGAAAACGTATCTATCAGATACCATATGTATGAGTATAACATATTTTATAAATTACTGATGTCTTTTGAAAACCTATTTTTCTTGTTCATCATTGCAGATAGGATCACTATTCTCCCAGTTAACCAAATCTGCTTTTTTTATTTTCAGTGGTCCTACCACAGTTTGATTTCTTATATAGACTATAAATGCTGAAAATTTCCCATGCTATTTCACTTTTTGTTTGTTTCAACCTATTGGGCATTCTAATGTCAGATTCATCTTTATGGTACATAGCTCAGAGTGACATATGGTTTTGTCTAAAACATGTATTATCTAATACTCAAACTATATTAAATTTTTAAAAAATCTTATGTTAGAAACATGTGACTGTAAACTACTTTCTAAGTTTCACTGCCTGTTTTGCAATCAAAATAATTTTCTGTTTCTCAAAATGGCTTGCTTATTTCTACCTCTGTGCTTAAGTTTTATTCCTGAAGTTTTTCATCTATAACCATGTATTAAATCTATTTAAATAACAAATATTTGAACTATTATCATCATATATTTATATTTGTCATTGGATTTATATTAAGCTATCATAATAATTCCAATAATTTTCATCCCTCACTATTTAAAAATACACTACGGAAAATATTCCCTAAGGTCAGGCATGGTGGCTCATGCCTGTAATCAGCACATTGGGAGGCCAATGCAGGAGAATCATTTGAGCCCAGGAGTTTGAGCAAGCCTAAGCAACATAGTAAGACCCCTGTCTTCACAAAAAAAAAAAAAAAAAAATAGGATAACTAACCAGGTGTGGTGGTGTGTGCCTGTAGTTCTAGCTACTCAGGAGGCTTAGGCAGGAGGCTTGATTGAGCCTTGAGGTGGAGGCTGCAGTGAGCCATGATTGTGCCAGTGCACTCCAGCCTGGGTGACAGACAGACCCCATTTAAAATAAAATAAATAAAATAAAGTAAAAAATGTTCTCTGGGCATTTTTAGGCAATAACAGAAACATCCCAAGTAAATTATGCTGTAGATGATCACTTACAACTTACTTATTTTCTTACAAATAACCACTGTTAATAATTTAATGTATGCACTGGGATGCCGTTTCTTATGTATTTACATTTTTGTAAGTGTGTGTACACATAAAGAAATATAGATTTTCACATTAAGAGAATTAGACTATATGTCGTCCATCAATTGGATTATTTTTTACTTATCCTGTATCTTGAAAACTTTTCCATGTTAATACTTAAAACCTACCTTATCATTTTAAATTGCTGCATATTTTCCATATCAATGGATGTAACACTGTTTATCTACACATTGCCATATTAATGGACCATTAGAGTTTTCCAAATATTTACTATTAAAAACATATATTTTGTTAAAATTAAAACTTCTTATGTGGTGGAAATGGGGAGATTTGGGTCCAAGGGCACAGTTGTTCAGTTATAAGATGAGTAAGTCTGGAGATCTAATGTACAGCATGGTGACTACCATTAATAATACTGTATTGTATGCTGGAAATTGTTAAGAGATTAGATGTGAAGTGTTCTCACTATAAACACAAAACATTATAACTATGTGAGGTGATAAATGTTAATTAGCTTGATTGTAGTAAACATTTCACAATGTATAAATACATCAAAACATAGTTTGTACACCTAAAACACAGACAATTTTTATTTGTCTATAAAGCAAGGGAAAACAAAGCCTTTTATGAAAATGAGAAAAGCAAAAAGCTGAGAAGTATTTACAATATGTATATCAAAATAACTTGGATAAAGCGCATGTAAATTATTTCTACAAAACAATAATAAAATAACAATTCAACAAAAATCGGCAATAGTCTTAAGCAGAAACTTTATGAAACAGGATACATAAATGGCAAAAAAGTACATGAAAAGATGTTGAAAATCACTAGTCAACAAGAAAATGCAAGTTAAAACAAAGATGACTTACTATTGCATACCCACTACAATGATTGAAGTTAAATATATTAATAATACTGCATGTTGAAGAGAATGCAAAGCAAGTGGACCTCTCATACATCACTCTGGTAATGTAAAATAGTAAAACCACTATGTAAAAATCATTTAGCAGTTTCTTACAAATTTAAAATATATCCCTATCTTTGATCCAGCAATGATATTATATCATTACTCAGAAATGAACATTTATGTCTACAAAAAGATTAGTATAAGAATGTTTCACAACTTTGTACATAATAGCTAAAATGTAGACACAACCTAAATGTTCATAAAAGAACAGATGTGCACTTTGTATTTCTTTTGTAAAAAAAATTATCTAGAAATAGAATTGCTAGCTACAAGAGCATACACACTTTAAATTTTGTTAGGCTTTCCAAATTGCTACCCAGAAATACTGAACAAACATAGTGGATACCAGTAGTATATATAGTATTATTTTATTCGTCTCTTAGGCAACTTGATAAATTATGGAATTAGGCAACTTTTAATATATTTATTTATATCTATTTATTCGGTAATTTATAATCATTGGCCATGCTTATTTATCTGTTGGGTAATTTTCAATTTTATATTTCTTGAAAATATTTTTTTACATTTTACATTTTAATTTTTCTTTCTTTCTTTTTCTTTTCTTTTCTTTTTCTTTTCTTTTTTTTTTTTTTTGACACAGTCTTATTCTGTCACACAGACTGGAGTACAGTAGTGTGATCAAGGCTCACTGAAGCCTTGACCTCCTGGACTCTATTGATCCTCCAGCCTCAGCCTCCCAAGTAGCTGGTACTACAGGTGTGTGCTACCGTACCTGGCTAATTTTTGTATTTTTGGTAGAGATGTGGTTTTGCCATGATACCCAGGCTGATCTCAAATTCCTGGGCTGAAGTAATTTGCCCACCCTGACCTCCTAAAGTTCTGGGATTACAGCCATGAGCCACCACACCCAGCCTTACATTTTTATTATCTGTGAAAATATTTTCTCCCAATATTTTACTTACTTTAAATGTGTATTATGACTCTTTTATATAAATGTATTGTTTATTATTATTATTATTGGAGACAGGGTATCGCTATATTGCCCAGACTAGAGAGAAATGGCATTATCATAGCTCACTGCAGTCTTGAACTCCTGCGCTCAGGATGTCCTCCTGCCACAACCTCCCAAAGTGTTGGAATTACAGGCATGAGCCACCACATCAAACCTGTGTCAATTTTATATAGTTATTTGTCAAATTTTATATTTTGGCTTCTGAGTTTTGTTGGTTATTTAAAAGTGCTTCACTACCCCATGATTACAAAAAAAAATCTATATTTTCCTCTAATATTATTATAGACTTTTTTAACTTCAATTTGCCCAGATTTTTTTTCTGGTCACTTCTGTTTCTCTACCTGCACCAAGACTATATTTTTGAAACAATTATAATTTCATTGTATGTGTTGATATATTGTAGAGAAAGATCCCTTTTCTTCTTTTGCAAAATAAAATTGTTATTTCACAACATTTTTCCAGATAAACTTGAAACACTGAATTCAAAATTCATAAAAATTATAATTTGAGTTTATATTAAAATTCCACTGAAATTTAAGATTATTTTGTTTAGACTCAACATCTTTAATATTGAAACTTTGGAATTTTCTCAATCAGAATTTGGTGTGGGATTTTTTTTTGGTTTGTTTTTTGTTTGTTTGTTTTGCTCATTAGAACACTTTTATCATTTTGAAATAAGTTGTATACATTTTTATGCCAGGATTATTTTTAGATATTTTATAATCTGTTTCTGTCACAAGGTGGGAACCTCATTTTATATGTCATTTAATAATTATAATAGGATATTCAGTGCGTGTGTGTGTGTGTGTGCACGTAGGCATGCGTGTGTAAGTTGAATATGTTGCTACTCACGTTAATAGCTATTCTTATTTCTAAATAGCTTGTGTTTTTTCTCAATTGGTTCTCTTAATTTTTCAGATAGATAACTACATCCTCTGAAATAAATCTTTATATTCCTCTCTGATATTTCCATTATTTCCTTGCTGCAATTCATTACCTAAGCATTAGCTAAGCAATTTTTAACTGATAGAGTATTTTTGTTTGATCATTTAACATGACATTTGCTAGAATTTCTTAAAGATAAGAAACATTTCCTCTAAATATTCCAGGGACATTTTTCTCTATTCTGAGATCACTAAGAGTTTCTTTAAAAAAAAAGAAAAGAAAAGAACTTCCAGTCCCAGCTACCGTCTGACTATAGATGCATGAATGACTCCAAACCAGACCAGCTACACGGTCCAACTGAGATTATCCAACACAAAAACTATGATAAATAATAAATGATTGTTGTTTTAAGACCAAAAATGGGAATTGGTTTTGAAAATGTTTGAAATATCATAGAAGTTGTGAAATTTCACAGTGTTGAACTCAGCTCCTTGCATTCCTAGGCTAACCTCTAAATGCATCAGGAACTAAATTTTGTTTAATACATGCAGGAATACAACTTGTGAATATTTGATCTAGGGTTAATCCAGCTTGGGACTTTAATTTTTATTTATGGACGGACTCTTTCACTTATCTATTTCCAGTTTAGCACTTGTATCAGTTATACAACCATTTCATGGTTCCTGTGTATACCACATTGTTTTCAATGAGTTGAGTCAAATTGGATTGTATAAGCATAAATTGTGTCAAATGTTAGGGAATTACAAACTAGTAAAAATGTGAAAATAACCCAGAAAACATTACGAGCTTGTTTTAAATTATGGGGTTTTTCCCTTAATTTCCCAAGAAATGCTTTGTAAAAATTATCTCTTGTGTACATTGATAAATCTATTTGAAACATCTATTAATATTTTACCTCTCCACATTAACTTATGGGGCAATTTTACTCTAAAGCATTTTTAGCACATTCTTAAAGGACACTACGAAAATATGAACCACACTGCTGCTTTCTATAGTGTATAAGAGTTCCATTTTTCTTCCTCAGTGAAGTCTTAGTATAAAACTAATAGTGACACAATGTTATAATCAGATGTTCTTCTACTCCTAAAACAGTTTATCATTCTATTTCATATTATATTATTAAGTCATAGGATGCTACAGAATTAATCTTAAGTGTTTCTGAAAATCATGTATAAATTTTACCGTGCAGATTTAGAATTAAATGATGCATTTTAAAAAGTATCTAACAAATTGATAAGCATATATGTTTACATTTTTAAAGATAATATCACTAAACTTAATAAATCTAGTCCTGGATTATTCTTTCTCCTGTGTATAGTGCAGGCCATGGTTTGGAAGTCTCCATGAAAACACCATTGCACATTTGAAAAATAATTACTGTTTCATGAAACTGCTGAAAATTGCATTAACCCTGGACACAGTTTATCAGGTGAAATTGTTGTTTAGTTCACTTAAAATAATTCCAGCTGCACATAAAGATCTTGAACTTTAGCCTCTTATGACTATTTAGCTTAATTTTTAATCTTATAATACTAAGTTTTATTGGAAAAAATCTCATTACTATGCCTACTGGCACCAATACAGATTCATAGCCTCTTACCTCATTGGACCATTATTTTACTTGCTGCTTGTCTGATTCTTCTCTTATGCCACATCTTTTCCACGTTTTCAGTATGTACTGCTTTCTACTCATCTGACCCCTTTTCATTAGCTGATGACATTTTTCTCTGTGTAGTCAGAGAAGTACAAACTGTTATACATAACATCTCTTCGGTTTACATAATCTGGTCCAATTTAACTCTTATACAATTCCATTTTTTTTAACTCTTAAGAAATGGACTATTCTCGCTCTTCTCTAAAACAGTTATTGATCTATGCATTAAATTTTGTTTCAAACCCTATTATTCTGAAAATTTGTTCCCCTGATTATTTCCTCTCTCTCCTTTAATTTCAACATTAACATTTCTCTGTTTGACATGTTAGTTTATGCGTCTGTGGTGTTTTTTGTATAGATTATGTGGTGGTAATATAGTGTGTACAGATTATGTCCCAGCACACCACTAAGAGCCACTTGCCTCCAATAAAGTCTACTTCATCTGAAACTGATCAACACATTTTAAGCTAATTTACATATATATAACTGAAATTGTATTGGTGGTAGTAGCTAAGGCAAGTGTACACCAATCATATCCAGCACAAAAATATTAGGATTCATTAAGTATAAAAACCTTGAGTTTTTATGGCTCAATGACACAGCTGTCAATGTGGGTTGCCTGCTGTGCCTTCACTCTCTTAGCACTGCAAGGTGAGCTCTCTATTCAGGAAGTCTACATCTCACTTTATGAAAGGTTATGGCAGATCAAATGCATAGTGAGAGCCACATCAAGTGCAAAAGAGATCAAGCACTCCACATTTGAGATGACCAATAGACCATCACTGACCTTCATCTACATATTTAGGTACTGTGGCCATTTATCCCTACCACAAAGAAGTGTGTGTGTGTATATGTGTGTGTGTGTGTGTGTGTGTGTGTATGTGTGTGTATAGAACATACTGAAAGGAAAATTTATTTTAGATATATTTTGTTGTTTTATTTTGGATGTTTCTTTATTATGTTAAATAATTCTCCAAAACATATAAGGAATTTAAAATGGCTACCAGTAGTTGGTTTTCACATTTTATGAAGTGAACCTGATTAACTGTAGGTTTTAGACATTTTAGCCTAAAGTTCTGCCTCCTTCCTTTTAGTCTGAAAGTAAATTTTACTTTGTTCCTTCTTAACATAGGTCCTCATTAACTCTTCTTTTTGCTTTACCATAATTTCTGGCATTACAGACTACCTCCATTTCCACAACTTCCAATTGGGGAGGGTTGCTTTACCACATTCTCAATAATATCTTGCAGTCCACAACCCCTTCACCATCATCTAATAAGGACATTAATGTTTTCTCAATCTTATGCAAAGTGCTGTATAAATACAATTCCAAGCCGTGTCAACTGCTCCACAAGGGTTTGCAGCAATACAGCTTCTGATATGTAGAAATTAAGGAGATCCCAGTGCTTCAACTTATTTAAGTAAGTAAGCATCCACCCCACTTCAGAAAATGTTTCAGTTAATATCAGCAACATCTTTTTACCTGTTGAATCAAATGGCTTTTTAAAATTCTCCTCTTTAGCACTGATTATTTAAGTAATTCACCATAAAATTCTTCTGCTCTGTGTTTTAGATTATAACTCTTTCCTAATTCCTCATTTTTGACAGTTTCTTTTTAGTTGATTACTCTTTTTCAAGTTGTGTAAATAAGCATGCAATCACCAAGACTCCATCTTTAATATTTTCATTTCCCACTCACATTCTATCCTAGAAATCTCATTCAGTCATAGAAATTTAACTTTTGCTTGTATGGTGAACATTCCCTGATAAATGTTTGTAATGAGCTATAGTACCCATGTATGTAAAGTTCCTGGAGGAATTTCAAACTCATAAAGTCCCAATCAAGCACTAATTTTCTCCTCTAAAATATCTCTTATTTCCAATCATGTTATAAATTGGGAAACTATAGAAATAATAATAATATTTTAAACTTTTTTTCTTCAGTCTCAGATCCAAATTTTCATACTGTTCTCTTAGTATTACCTCTGCAATATCTCTAGAGTCTAAAAATCAATATTTATTTCCACTACCACCATCTTAATGAGTTTTTGACTGGATAATTACTGTTGTAGCCTAACTTCTTCTTCCCTTGTATGTATTTCTTTTGCCATAAGCCTTATTATTAAAAACATAATTATAATTATACTTTTTTTAAGCTAAAAAGTTCAAGCATGTATTAAGCAACTACTATTTGCATGTCACTTTTCCAGACAGCTCCATATGCCTTAAAGATATCTCTGGGATGCTATTTGTATAATTCAAAGTCCTACCTTGTCATATACACACACTATTATAGAATTATTAATTTTCTCTAGCCTCTCAAATTTGGCAAATCCCATTGTGCACATGCATTTATCACAGAATAAAACCCCACACATGCACATATACACATCTTGTTAGTGGGGGCTTCATGTCAGATATGGTTAGACTTTGTGTCCCCACCCAAATCCCCTCTTGAATTGTAATCTCCAATTGTTCAAGGAGAGACCTGATGGGAGGTGATAGGATCATAGGGGCAGTTTCCCCTATCATATTCTCATGAAAGTGAGTGAGTTTTCATGAGATCTGATGGTTTTATAGGAGCTTTTCCCCCTTCGCTTTCTATCACATGCTCTCTTGCCTGCTTCTATGTAAGATGTGACTGTTTCCTTTACACCTTCCACCATGATTGTAAGTTTTTTGTGGTCTCCCCAGCCATGCAGAGCTGTGAGTCAATTAAACCTCTTCTATTTATGAATTACTCAGTCTTGGGTAGTATTTTTATAGCTGTGTGAAAATGGACCAATACAGTGTTTAATTTAAATATGCCAGTGTTTGAATTTTTTAAAGCCATATTTATTTGGCTATTATTACTGCTATCATCATACTCTACAGCTGTATATTTTGCATTATTGATAATTTCTAAACTACTTTTAAAGAACACAGTTTTTTTAAAAAAAATCAAGTTTAGATCTACTGCATTGTTCCTGAACCCCAAGTCACAAAATTAGCATAATATTTTGATTTAGGCTAGGCTTCTGGATGAATCAAATACAAAATCATGCTAAAAAGATACACTTACAACCCAAACACAAGGGATTTTCATAGGGAGAAATAAAGGAAAATAATCCCAATCAAACATGATCTTGTAACTAAACATTATAAGACACAAAAATAATCAATATTCATTTCTTGAAGTCTATTTATCAGACAAAGTAAATAGTAGGGGTAATTGGATCTCAATAATGTATATGTGAGTAGAATATAAAATGATTATGTTTATAATAATTATATAAATTAGTTAAATAATTAAACCATTTATAAGAAAAGAAAAACAATCTTTAAAAGGACAAGCAGATTGGGAAGTAACAGTATACTCATTCTAGAAATGTTTTTTAAAATATTGAAAAGAAAAACATAAAATGATATATTAGACCCAGAGGAAGACTATATCCACTGAAAGATAGATGTTGAAAACCATTTTATAAGGCAGTCTAGAGAAATAAAGAGATGGAAAAGATGTGAATGTTAAGAAATAATGTCCTTGGATTCAGGAAGCATGACAAGTTCTGAGGAACAAAATAAAAATAAATTCACACCTAGAAATGCCAGCAAATCTTTAGTACATCAAAAGCATGTCGTCACTTTTAAAAGTAAAAAGCTTGAACACCAGTCTAAAAACCATCATTTGAAAAGCAAAAATCAGATACCAAGTAATATTAAAATATTTTTAAAATGTGAGTAAAAATAAATATCAATACAAGACTATATACTCTATTAAGTTATCAATAAGAATAAGAAAGAAAAACTAAAAACATTTTTGTTGAATAATAGAAAAGTTTTAGAAATGTAGGACCTATGGACCCATTTTTTCATGAATTTTCTATTACTATCAGTGGTAGGGTATTAGATTATTATTAACACTTAACTAAAATTGTTAGACTAATAAAACATTTCATTATTTTTATTTCAAACTCAATAGCACCAGAGTAATGATCTATAATGTTGAAATTTTGTATTTTCCTGAAAATACTATAGTGAAATCTTGGGAAGAAATTCTTTAAAACAGTAATAGAGCTTCCTTGATAAATGTTGATAAGAGATATGAGACAGGAAAGCAATCTATACACCTAGCATACATGTTTTATATATGTCTATTGTAGCATTTTTTCCACAATGTAGCATGATTATTTGTTCACAGGTCAGTCTGTTTTTTGAAGATGTCTTCATTTAAAATTAGTATTGGTATTTGTATGTTACATAGAGTAATACATAAACTTTAATTTATAATGTTCTTTATATAGTATATGTTCTCTCCATAGTGTTTTCATGAAATCGTTAATCAAGTTTTTAGATATGTAATATTATTGAAATCACCTTTGCAAACTTATGACAGTAAGAGAAATCTGACATAATTGTTTCCATCTTGCTTCTAACCTCCAACCAGTCCTTGGTCCTTGGTCATTCCTGGGTGTAGGACAAGCTAACTTTGGTAGAAATTTAGTGTATAGTTTAACCTTAAAGCAAAGAGGATGGTAGCCTTTCCCCAAAACTAAATGGCCTTTGTAGAACTAATGATAGGCCATAAGGATAGGAGTATGAGAGGGGCCTGAATTCTGCTAGATGTAGGCATGGTTAAATGATAACCAGTCATTGTTCTGGAGGTCTCAAGTTTTATAATTTTGCCAATTATTCCTGTGGATAACATCACTATTGTATAAAGTAACATTGGTCTTTTGAGATTTTTTTCAAATGTCTGCATTTCTGTTTTTTTTTTTTTTTTTTTTTTTGACGGAGTCTCCCTCTGTCACCCAGGCTGGAGTGCAATGGCACAATCTCCGCTCATTGCAACCCCCACCTCCCAGGTTCAAGAAATTCTCCTGCCTCAGCCTCCTGAGTAGCTGAGATTACAGGCATATGCCACCACGCCTGGCTAATTTTTGTATTCTTAGTAGAGACAGGGTTTCACCATATTGGCCAGGCTGGTCTTGAACTCCTAACCTCATGATCCACCAGCCTCAGCCTCCCAAAGTGCTAAGATTACAGGTGTGAGCCACCCTGCCCAGCCAAATTTCTGCATTTCTAAACCCACAACTCACGATTCAATCAGTCCTGTGGCCCCACCCAGAAGGGGATTCAGCATACAAGGACCATTTCCCAAATCCCTATGATTTCATCCCCAACCAATCGACAGTCCCCCTTCCCTATCCCCCTGCCACCATACAGTCCTTGAAAAACCATAGCCTCTGAGCCTTTGGGGAGACTGATTTGAGTGATAAGTCCAGTTCTCCCATGTGGGCTGGTCTCACATCAATTAAACTCTTTACTTCAAGCCATTGTCTCAGTGAATTAATTTTTGTCTGTGCAGCTGGCAGGAAGAACCCATTGGGTGATTACATTCTTTGCATTTAACATACAAAGAAACTGAAATTTATAAGCATAATTTATTGCACAAGTTGACATGGTAAGTTGTACAGGAGTGAGTCAGGTCTTCTAACTCTTAATTCAGTGTTCTGTATACTTTACCATAAATCTCCATGGACCTAATGATTTTGCTCTCATGTTATATTGTAAGACATATTTTATAAATAGGGTGTTTTTAATAGAGAATTTTAATGAATAATTATTTAAATGTAGTATACATATATATAAATATGCCTGAAATATTTTTTAGATCAGCTGTAATAAGCAATTTCTTTAACTTGGTTTTATTGTCTTCCCATTAAAAAATAATTTAAAATTGTGGATGGCTACGTAACATTGCAAAATATTTTACTCCTAGAATATCTCTTACTCATTCAACAATTTTTTAATTGTCTTCTTATGTTACTTATTGCAGTGCCTATGGGACTTAGCTACATCCCACCTGGCTTTTGTTGCCTAATAAAATGCCTACATGACATAGCTGAATTCCTACTTAGCCTTAGCTCTACTTATTTTTAGGAAACCAATGTCTGTGGTCAGAAGTTCTTTCTTATGACTAAACCAGTCAGCGCTGGCAAAATTCACAGTGGCAGCTTACTCAACCTCTGAAGAATATCTAACTTCATTATAATCCAATTTCCATACTAAATTACATGTCACCTGGCACCATGATAGTAGACTATCACCATGACAATGACTGAGAGAGACTAAAAAAAGGACGGAAAAGAGGTGACTCCCTGATTCCAGAAGAATCTCCATATTTTCCCAAGAAAAGCATAAATATTGCCCCCCTTGCTTTTAACACCCAACTATTTTATTAAAGATACCCTGTATCTATAGCTTCTTGGTTCTTGGGAGCTGAGAAGTAGATGTGGGAGCTGCACTCCGACTTCTCTGTTTCAGGCCATCAAATAAAGCCCACGCTGCTCAGTGCCCACTTAGTGTTTCCCGTATTTGCTTTGTGACACCAAACAGGAAAGAGCTCACCTATTCAGGTAACTGGGATCTTCAGGTAACTGGGATCACCAGGTAACACTTACTGAATATTGAAGGTTACTAGTTAAAGACACCAGTCCTATCATCACATGTTAATACACACTAGCAGAGCAGATAGTATCTATACAGACGCCCATCATGATGAGCAAAATAGAAGAGATCTATCGTAAGAGAGACCACCATAGATAGAATTCTTATGGAAATTCAAAGAACAGTAGGAGTCTTTCTGGCTAGGGTATCTGGTAATGCTACATGAATAGGTAGCATTTAGATGAGGGGAAAGAACAAAGGTACAGAGGTGACTACATAATTGCAGGAGTGTAAAGATCAGAAGCATGCCAAGTCCAGTTTGAGGCAATGTACAATGAGTAAGTAGAATTAAATATAACAGTGAAGACACATTGTGGAGACCGAGGGCCAGGTCATAGTGCGCTAATGCTTTCAGATTGTATTTGAAAGCCAGTGGAAAATCATGACTAGATGTATGCTACCAGTGTGGATATCATATAGCACAGAGAATTATAGCAGGCTTATTTTCTAAAACAGACTTAAAGCTTTTATATTTTCTATGTTTCTTCCCCAACTTCCCTGTATGGTATAATAGCAAGAGTCATAATGCAGTGGAAAGAACTCTGACTTTGGAAGAAAACTTGATACTATTCCTCTTCTTTAATGTATTAACCAAAAGTATGTTAATTTCTCAGTGTCCCTGTTTCTACATCTGTAAAAGAAAAAATGTGGAAAACATCTGTCAAGAAAGCTCCAGGATCTGAAGTCTAAGGAATCACTAAGAAATGTACTGATGAAAGAAAGGAAGTAAATTATTCTCTGATTGTCACAACTGTTAGCATTCCAAATATATCAAATAATTTCTACCACTGATTCTATCTCAAAATTATTTCTAACCCAAATTAATAAGAGATGTGTCTGGGAATATGAATAAATTAATTACTTGTGCGAACCAGATTAAAATGACAACTGTGCTTAACCATTAGGTCTATAATTTTCTTTTTCGCCACTTTTTTTCTGCTGTATTTATATCCAGGTGACTTTCCACTTCATTTCTCAAGTGTTAAGTATTGAACACTAGTAAATTCTGCAACTGCTTCCACTCCCAACTCATGCAATCTTTACTGAATACCTCTTGAGACTGCACACATTTATAACAGCCTATTCTTTTTTTTAACCTCTTTTTGACCTTTCTTAAGTTTCTTGCGTTAGAACTAACCAGACTCACCTTTACTATTTATTTTGACTGACAGACTGACCATGTGGGAATAAAGCAGCAATGACTCTCCCAAAATTCTCTTAACATTGTCTATTTTACTTTACACGAAAAATTATTCCTGTCTTAGGTATTTTAATACCAATATCATGTTTCTTGTTTTGTTTTGTATGTTTGTTTCACGTTTTTTCCAGATCCGTGCCTGTATAGAACCACCACAAAATGTGTAACATTGAATGACATTTGAGATTAAGAAGGCAACAATAATATTATGTATCTATTATAAAGAAGAATGCCACAAAAACTCCCTGGGACCCTCTGCTCATTATATTTATAATGCTGCAAGGAGGAACTTAAATGATCATTTTTGCACCTTATTATTATTTTTTAATTGGAGACAGAGTCTTGCTTTGTGGCTCAGGCTGGAGTGCGGTGGCACAATCTTGGCTCACTGCAGTCTTGACCTCCTGGGCTCCAGTAATCTTCTTGCTTCAGTCTCCCAAGTAGCTAAGTCTACAGGCATGTGCCACCATGCCCGGCTAATTTTTGTATTTTTTGTAAGACGGGGTTTCACCGTGTTGCCTAGGCTGGTCTCAAAGTTCTGAGCTCAAGGGATCTGCCTACTTTGGCCTCCCAAAGTGCTGGGATTACAGGCTTTTGCATTTATTCTCATAACTAGTTAAGGCCAGAGTGGTAAATTCCTGTGTGCAACTAGAAATTAACACTAGAATATGTCAGGGTAAAGGAATGGGTACCGCTGGGGTTCTTATATCAGCTTCAGATTCTTATGCAAGGCAGGCAATCAGAATTGAAGAAATGACTGAGATTAAAAAATAAGGCATAAACCAATATTTGACAATTATTTTTATTTCCTGCTATTCTGAGAAATGGATTTTATAGTCAATGATTTTCTAAGGAAACGAGAGCCAAGCCAGCACCAAAACCTCACAGCTCTGACAACGGTACCTTTTGAATATTCCATTTCTGAAATTTTATTTAAAAACTTAATTTCACATATAACCTACAGATCTTGGTATACAAAGGTTTTCAGGCAAAAATTTGTTAATAATACCCACGAAGTGAATAATTTTTGGCGGAAAACCTCGGTGAGGACTCTGTCAGAGAGGAGTTGAGCTTCAGCACAATGTCCTGAGGCTTCCTTTAAGCTACTACAAAGGGTCATTTGACCTAAACTACTTCAAAGGCTCAGTCATCAGGCATTCACCCTATTAACGTTACATGATCTCTCCAGACGTTAAAATAAATAAAATACAAAGTATTGAATAAAATATTTCTTACAAAAGAAAATTGTGATTCTGCATTGAATTTAGGTTGAAATGCTAAACATGAGTGAGTAACAAGAAAAGAGAGAAATTATTATTAGGATTACAAAACAAATGCTTTGCCAGAGTCTTGATTTTCAAGTAATTTGAGGGACATTGTGGAATATAGAAGCTTCTCTTTCTTCTTCCATAAAGAAGTGAATAAGTAATACTATTATTGTTGCATATATAAGTCAAAATAGATTCATTAGGATCATTAATGAATGTTGAATATTCAAAAATGCAACACGAATACTAGCAATTTCAAAGCTGGTAAATAATATTCCAGATGTATGCATGCATTAGTTTTCTAATACTTTCTGCACAAAGAAAATGAGGAAGGGCCTTTTTTCTCTTAGGAAATTAACACCAGTACAAAAAGAGGCCATCTCTGGAAATGTGCCTGAAGATTTAGATGAAACTTCCACTAGCTACTAAATGTGGCTTTTTCAGGCCTATATTTCAAACATGTCCACTGTCTCTCTGGCATTTTCAGTTTGTTTTCATGTATTTAGATATAAAAAACACAAAGAAGAAAGAAAAATCATTTATAATTTTACATCCAAAACATAACCCCTGCTAAACCTATTGGTGTATTATTATTAAACCTATTTCAGGGAGATTTTTATTCCTATTGACAGTGAGGGTATATAATTCTAAATAATTCAAAATTTAAAATACTTACTTGTAGCTATTTTGTAAATGTCATTATGAAAGGCTAAAACAATACTTAATGCTATGGATTTTATATAAGTTGATTCAGTCATCATACATTTAAAATGTCTTCAGTTACCAGGCAGCTAATATAGAAAATAGAAAGGAAAGGAATTTTTATTAAAAATATTGTGCAAGCATATTTAGGAGGAATTATGCTTACAGAGTACCAGTTTAAAATTCCTGAGCTTTTCGATGTTCCCCAATTTTTAATAATTTAGTTTCTCTCTCTCTCTTTTTTTGATGAAATGATGGCACAATTTATGTTTTTATACAAAAATCTATTTTCCAAAATTTAGTTTTCTTAGAATTTATGCATCATAGTCTTACTACATCATCAGGTGTAAGAATATGTAAGATTTACGAGTTATATGACCAAAGTGTTTTACACAAGAGTTGTATACATTTATATTATATCAGTAGTTCACAGATTCCTGTTTCAATATATCCTTGCCAGTATTACTATTTTTAAATAATCATTCTTAAGTAAATTATATTTTAAATTTAATTTCTTTCACTATTAATTATGACTTTTCTATATTTACAAACTTTTGTGTTTTTCCATTTGTGGATTTTTCTATTCACAACTTTTTATCCGTTTTCATGTAATTTTTAAAAATGTAGATAGTTTAATGTCATTCCCTAGGAGAGAAATTTTCTCCATATTAAAGGATACACAATGAAAAAAAAAAACCTTCATAACACAAAATGTGCTCTAAAGAGTCTATGATTTTAAAAAAGGCAAGGAATTATTTTATAAATGAAAACTTAAAATATTTATCACAGTGTAGAATTATTTAACCCAAAGCAAATGACTGTATTTAAGGAGAGTAACGTGTTCTAAAAGGTCATGGCTTTTCTGTAATCTTCTGAATATAATAAATATTAATACATTGCTGTGAGGCTACTGTATGTGTATGTCACCATTTTGTAAACTAACAAATATTTGTTACAAATAAAATGACAAGTCCGAAATATAATGAATAATGGGAAAGGGGAAGGTGGCCAGTAATATTAATTTATTAAAAATTTGTGGTATTTGACAATCAAATCATTTAATTTAACAAAATTGTGAATCCATGACTGAGTCAGGCAACTGAATGCTTGCAAGTTATTTTTTCTTCTTTCAAGAAGCTCAAAGTAATTTCTGGGAAAAATAAAAAAAAAACAGACAAATTATTCTCTGCAGCTGTTAGTTTGCATAGAAGAATGATTGTATAAGCATGGAGGAATATGTCATTTTGGAGGGGAAATGGTTGGTATAAACAAATAAAAAATAATTAAAAATGCCCTTTTCTAGATGAAATATTGAAAGGAAAATCACCATGATTGCTATTTGTTATTAAAGACACACATAATATTTTTTTAATTAATTCAAAATGAAATAAAGACATAATTCTTCTCTCTTAGGGCTTCAGGCAAAATTGAAAGAAAATGAGATTTTCTTAGAAAAATATCTAGAGAAAATGACCTACCTCAGAACAAATGATGTGTAAAACTAAGTAACTAATTGACTACTTAAATAAACACAGGAATCTACAAAGCAGTTCTAGAAAAATCTACGAAACATATATTTCATAATACATGCTTAGTAGAACATTTAGTAGAATATATGAGTGTAGATTATTTAGTAAAATATTTAAAAATATATGTTTAGTAACATTTTGCTAGAGCAGTTTATGTTTAATAATGTATGTTTAGTATAATTTTTCTTGTGATCACCCAGGTGTTTATTTTATATTTGGGTAGTGATAAAGAGGACAAACATTGTGACATGGAGTCGGTCCTTTTAAAGGAATTACAAAAATGCTACTGAGATTGTGCTAAGATTGTACTAAAAGTTCTATAAATAGCTCAAAGAAGCACTTTCTCCATAACTCTTTCTTGTGCCTACTGTTCAATATTGTGATTGCCTATGAATATGTCACTCTCCTCCTGTACTACGAATTCCTTGAAGGCAAAATCTAAGTCTTGACCTAATTCACCTGCACTTTATGCCAGTACACTCAAAGGGGATGTGTGGATGGCAGGAAGGCAGCCTGGCAGGAAACAATTACAGAGCATGAAGAGAATAGATCAAATGCAAAGCAGAATTCTGTGCAAAACAGAATTCTCTGTTTTCCTGCTTTACGTTATTTACTTTTGCAAGCCTCTCCTTGGCTGTGGAACTTCTTTTCTCTGTCATTCTTCTTCGATGATTTCACAGTATCAAAGGCATCTGCATTTTGGCTTATTAGTAACTTTCAGCGAAGGTTACTTGGACTACTGCAACACTTTTCTAAATGCTTTCCCTTCTGCCTTTGATTTTCCACAGTTGTTTATCCACCTAAATCGGATTATGCCTTTCCTCTTAGAAGACTCTAATGGCTTCCTATCTGATTCAAGGTAAAAGCCAAAAATGTGCCATGTCCTTCACATTCTCCTTTTCTATCTTTTCCTGCCTCTGCTGCCACTGTCCATCTCCTTCATTATGCACTGGTCTCCTCACTATTCGCACTGTTCGCAGAACTTGATCCCAGAGTGGGGCCTCCACCTTTGCTGTTTCCTCTTCCTTAAATACTCTTCCCCAGATACCTATATCGCTTTTCCTCATGTGTATGTAGGTCTCTGCTTTAAGATAACCTGAATTAAGTGTTGCCTGATACTCTGAAATAGCAGCCCACTCTATCACTAGCCCACCATGTCCACTCTAATCTGCTTTATTTTTTCTCATGTCACTTAACATTTATCATCTTCTGTGACACTCAGGTCTCTCCAGTGGTGTATGTAAGCTCCATGAGGGCAAATTTAATGTTTTGTTAATTGCTTTATCCACAATGTCTAGAATAGTATCTGTCAGTCAGTGAGCACAGAAAAATTTTTTGAATGCATATGTAAATGAATAAGAAAGGAGGGCTTATCTCTTGTATTCAGAATCATTCATAAATTTCAATGAAGTTTTGCTCAGATGCCTTTTTCTTCTCCAGTACACATGCTTTTCTAAAAACACTCTTTTCTCTACAGTCTCAAAGGGGCTTTAAAATCTCCTTCTGTTGCAAAAGCTAAAAAAAACTGTGCTTCATCAACATTGATGTGAGTCAGAAGTATGTGCTTCCTGTGAAAAAATGTCATCAACAGCATCACAACAGCCACCACCAATAACAACAGCTAACATTTGCATAGTGGGAGAACGGGCCCTGTTCTAGCTGCCTTACAGATATTGACTCACTTTATCTTTACAAACATTTGTTAATTACGTACTATTATCAGCCCTATGTTACACATGAGGAAAGGAGGCACAATATGGGGTGCATTTCTTTCTTTCTGTTTTTTTAACATTTAAAACTTGCTGTCTTTACAGCTTTATTGAAGTATAATTGACATATGATAAATTGCACATACTTAAATTGTACAATATGATACATTCTGGCATATGTATATACCTGTGAAAATATCACCGCAGTCAAGGTAATAACAGATCCATCACCCTTCAGTTTTCACATCCCTTTTTGAAATCCCTCCCCTTCACTCCTCCCACCAGATCCTTAGGCATCCACTGCCTTGATTTCTGTCACTATAAGTTACTTTGCATTTTCTAGAAATTTACATAAATGAAATAATTCAGCATGCAGTCTTATCTGTCTGTCTTCTTTCACTCAGCATAATTATTCTGAAACTCATCCATATTGTATTGATGTGTCATTCTTTTTTATTGTTTATAATATTCCTTTATTATATTTTTTAATATCTGTTGATACTTAGTGGTGTCAGCTGTCTCATTCTTGATATTAGAACATTGTGTCTTCTTTCTTTTTTTCCTCAATCAGTGTGGCTGGGGATTTATCAATGTTACTGATCTCAACAAAGCAGCTTTTGGCATCATTGATTTTCCCCTATTGTTTTTCTGTGTTCTATTTCATTGTTTTATGCATTGATACATATTATTTCCTTTCTGCTGTTTTCTTTGTTTTTCAGGTGGTAACCAAGGTTACTGAGTTATGACTTTTATTAAAAAAAAAAACTTTTATTTTAGAATCAGGGGCTTTACGTGCAGTTTTATAACATAGGTGAGCATAGTACCCAATAGATAGTTTGTTTTCCACCTTTTCTCCCCTCCTTCTCCATTATTGTATTACCCAGTGTTTATTGTTCTTATTTTTGTGACCATGTGTATCCAATGCTTAGCTCCCACTTATAAGTTAGAACATGTGGTATTTGGTTTTCTGTTTCTGTGTTAGTTTGCTTAGGATAATTATTTTCAGCTGAATCCCTGTTGCTCCAAAGGATATGATTTTGTTCTTTCTTATAGCTGAATAGTATCCCATGGTATGGGGCACGTTTCTTAAGGTCACACACTCTTCAGTAATGGAAAAGTGTAGGGGAGATGGGTGATACACAACCAAGAATCTGTGTACTTAGCAATATGTTACAATGCCTCCATGTAGAGTCCCCTTTGAATTTAGTCCATTAAGATTTTGAAATCTTTGTTCTCAGCTATGAGATAATCATTCTACAGGAAAGCATGCACTTATAATTGAGCCAGCAAATTATAGGAAATCTAGCTGGTAGCAAGAAAAAATATTTTACTAATATTTCATATGTATGTGTGACAGAGGAGAGTATTTAAAGTTGTTACACAACTCATCTTAAATGGAGTCAAAGTCTTCGATTGAACATTGGCCTTTTTGCACTTTGAAGCCCAAACTTAGCAATAAATAAAAATAAACTCTTGATGCACTAAAAATAATTATAGTGATTAAAATTACAATGCATGAACAATTAATACACACACAAAAACATTGGTACATGCAAAATAAGATGAGTAAAAGAAGTGAACGTATTGCTTTAACTTATAAATTAAATTAATATAAAATTTAGAAAAGGCAAATTAATGTATAGTGACAGAAAACAGATCAGTAAATCAGTGGTTGCATGGTGACAGGGGGACTAAGGAATGGGAGGGAATGTAGGAACACAATTACAAAGGGAAGTAATGAAACTTTTTGGAGTGATGTTTATTTTCATAATCTTAGATGACTATATATGTCAAACTTATAATACTGTACTGTGCAATTTATTGTATATCAGTTGTGCGCATCAGAAAATCTGTAAAAAATTAAAACTTATTTTCAGTATCCTAATGATTTCTTCTCCCAAGTTTAAAAAATGATGGAGGCCAATGAACAGATAACTAGAAGAAGGTGATTCCAATCATTTGTTTCAATTCAAATTTAACAATGGTCTATAGTTTCTTTTAATATTGGATAATTAATTTAAGCACAGTAGGGTTTTTATGTCCTATTTAAAAAATTGTTGTGTACTCCAAGAGCACTAAGATTACAAGAATAATTTTATTTTCCTTTAAAAGCTTTATATGAAATTCATTAAGAATTGATGTTTGAACAAAATGAAATGTGGAAGAGAGAGTCTGGATACATTTTTAAATGAATATTTAATTGATCCAGTATGATTTATTATGAACTTTTCCCCAACTGCACTATAGTATTAGCCCTATCAAAAATCAAATGATTTTTGCGGACCTCAATTCTGTTACATTGAGCCATTTGTCTCACTTTTCATTAATATCTCACTGGTTTATTTATTGTATGATATGGTTTGGCTGTGTCCCCACTCAAATCTCATCTTGAAATGTAGCTCCTATAATTCCCATGTGTTGTGGGAGGGACCTGGTGGGAGATAATTGAATCATGGGGGCAGTTTCCCCCATACTATTCTTGTGGTAGTGAGTAAGTCTCATGAGATCTGATGAGTTTATAAAGGGTTTTCCCTATTGCTTGGCTTTCATTTTCCCTTGTCTGCCTCCAGGTAAGATATGCCTTTTGCCTTCTGCCATGATTGTGAGGCCTCCCCAGACATGTGGAACTGAGTGTATTAAACCTCTTTTTCTTTATAAATTACCCTGTCCTGGGTATGTCTTTATTAGCAGCGTGAAAAATGAATTAATACATTGTACTAGTACAATAAGTTACTATCTGATAGTATGGATTATTCAATGTTGTTCTCTGTTTCCATATATAATTTTAGAATCAGCTTATCATTTTTATTAAAAACCTGGTAAGTTCTTACTGGGGTTGCACAGAATCTGTAATTCAATTGGAAAGCAAGTGCTGTCTTTACAGTAACGAGTTTTTCCAATACTGTATTTTAATCCATAAAAATTATACCTGCCTCTTTCTTTATTTTCCTAATGCTGTGTAGATTACTGTGTAGAGATCTTGCACATATTTAGTAAGGCTTATTCAAAGATGAAAATCAAAGATAAAAGTCACAGCATTTTAAAAATTGCTAGTATAAAAAATAAAATTAGTATTGATAGCATCAGGAGACAGACAAATTCCTAATCAGACAGGAATGGGTCCAGTGAAACTCAACCTTCAAGCCAAGGACAGTACAAAGCCTGAACACTGTGCTATCAGTTCTGGATAAAATCCACGGATCAGAGTGAGAACTTCCATCTCCATCTTACCCATTCTCTCTTGATTGGTTGTTTTGAACGATGCCTTTTAACCAATCAAATGGTGCCTTTTCTAAGCCCACCCATAAACCAATCAGCATACATTCCCCCATTCTAAGCCCATAAAAATCCTTGAAATAGCCTCATAGAGGGCGACCCACTTTCAGTTCCCCTCTTGCTATGAAGAGCTTTTCTTTCACTCAATAAATGCTACTCTGCCTTCACCCCTCACTTGTGTCCGCATACCTTATTCCTCTTGGTCACAAGACAGGAACCTGGAACTTGCCAAACTGCGGGAGAGAGAGAACTGTTAAGCTCCACCTCACCGAGGTGCGGGCAGCAGAAGTAAAAGAGCTGTAACATTCCTGCCTGCTGAACTATGGGAGTAAAAAAGCTGCAACAATATTGTATGCCAACGTTGGCTTCCAGGAGTCTTCTTATACTCTTTTAGTAGTTTTAATAAATTTTTGAGCAATAATATAATTCTTATATTCCTCATGTACAAAATCTTGATGCTTGCAAAAATAATGCCAGTTTTCTTCCATTGCAATACAGATACTAGGTTGGTGCAAATGTAATTGTGGTTTTTGCCATTACTTTTAATGACAAAAACTGCAATTATTTTTGCACCAACCTAATAACTTTTATTTATTTTTCTCAACGTCTTCATAAGCTGTTTTCCAATGCAATGATGAATTAGACATGACAATGGTGGACATCTTTGTCTCCGCCTGATCTCAAGAGAAGCACTTTTAATAACTGACCATTAAGAATGATGTTTTCTACACTATTTTAAGGTAATTTTTATGATTTAGGAAAAGCTTTACTTCAATCCTAATTCTTTTTTGATTGATAACAGTACTTTATTTTGCATGGGTGTTAAATTTTGTTAATTTTTTTCTAAACCTTTTGAAATATTTTTATTCTGTAAATAAAGATAATTGCATTGCTGAATTTCAATTATTACAACAAACTTTTATTTCTGAAATCCACCTTATTTGGAACTTGACGTATTAATCATTTTATGTATTATAAAATTAGAATGTAGTTCTCTCATATTTTTCTTTCATATTTTTGATTAAGTTCATGAGAAAGATTAGTATGCATTTTCCTTTCTTATAATATCCTTGTTGATTTTTGCTATCAAAGTTATTCTGGCTTTATAATGTTGATCAATAAATTATATTTTCTTTTATTTTTTCCTGAAGGAATTTATGTTTAAAAAAGGTGCTATTTGTTCCTTAAATGTTTGAAATAATTCAAGAAAACTACTCAAGAGTTTTACTTAATAAGTTTTCTATAACTTCTGTAATTTTAACAGTAAACATAAGATTATTTGAAATTTCACTCGTGTCACTTTTGTTTGTATTTTTTATGAATTTTCAAACAATGTTTTTAAATGAAGGTCTTATCAATCTTACTGGTTAAAAATACCATTTTTGAGTCGTGTAAGTTGTCAGAATTGGTTAGTTTATAAGTTGCTGGTAGTTCTTAACCAGTGTGGGTGCTCAGCAACTGATACCCACGCATATGGCGCTTTGAGATGCTGAACTGAAGAAGCCTCAAGGTCTTTCTAACCTTCCTCTCCTCCTGTCTCTCCATCCTTTGTCTTTCCCAAGCACAGGATGAAGTTGTTCTCCAAAGTTTCCTTATCTGCCAAAGGCTGGAAACACCAAGGAAGAAATCAACACCTCTAGTCCCTTCCCTTAGTTTTTATTAACTGGACTCATATTGTAGGAAGAAAGATTGAAGTTTGTCAGAACACCAGAACAGACTCCTGTCACAAACCATTGTCTGCTCTGTGGGCCCAACAGACTTTGTTGCAGGCCATTGTAGGGTCTTCAAGCCCATTGAATTCCCCTAAAAATCATTTACTATTTCCCTAAAATTATCCACACTTTCCCATCTCCACTTGCCCTAAGAAGGAGGGAACATAGTCACCTGTACCTCATTGTGTGGTACCATAATATCTATGTGGTTCTCTCCCATGCACATTAATATATTTATATGGCTTTTCTCTTACTAATATGTCTTGCATCATTTGATTTTCAGTGAACCTTCAGAGGGCTAAGAGGAAGTTTTCCACTGGTCCCTACACCAGCCTCAGTGAATTTCACCAGACATGTGGAAACCATTCAGTCAGGGAATCAAGGGTAGCACGACACAGATTTCTGGAGCTCTTTCTCTGCATGTTTCACTTTTCTCTGTTACTTTATCTGGTAAACTATGGCTACTTCAGTCTCCCCCTCAGCCCAAGCTCTGTATTCTTAACTAAGGCCCTCATGCTGTTTTGTTTCTCACTCTGAGCTATAGTCCAGGCAGTGCCTCAGGCAGAAATCCATGACAATTGCAGTGCTCACTTCAATTGTTTTACTTCTTTCAGGGATCACAATCCTGTACTGGCTGCTAACTAATTTCTGCAAACAGATTTTTCCACGTATTTTCTCCAGTTTTTCCAGTTGTTTTTAAAGAGAGGGCAAGTCTAGTTTTAGCCACAAATTTATGGTTAGAAGAAAAAGTCCTCTCTCTATATTTTGTCACTTAGTGTCCTTACATGGTAAATTTCCAGGTGTATACATCACAGATATCACTGTTCATAAAGGCGGAATTCGTTGCAATGTTATTACTTTCTCTTTACATTTTCCCCATAACTTCTTATCTCTTTTCTTTTTTTAAATTTTTTTGGTTATTGATGGGAAATTGTATTACCTTTTATTTTAAGGAACTGGAAGAGAGGGAGTAATGATCTGTACATTCTGAATATTATCCATAGTTTCTAGTTAAGCATATTCTTAATTTAATTTCTATTATTTAAAAAAGATTACATTTACATAATTTACATATAAAATAAGGTTACAAGTCTTTAAAAAAGTTCTCTCTCTACTCAACCAGTTTTGCTCCTCTATCCATAATTTTTCCTGCTATTCGAGGACTAAGGTCTGATTTTTTATCTTGCCCAAATTCCTACCTAAGGGGACTGGGGAGTAATGCCCTGCAAACCATAAATTCTCATCAGATGGGTTTTATTTGACCCTAGATATTGTGACATTTTTCAGTCTGACTCTGCCATAACATTATGAGACAAGGAAAAAATGTTTAACCCCAAAATGTATTTCCTTGCCATACCTTGAAATTCCCCTGCAAAGTCTCTTGTGGGAGAAATCCACCTTCTATAGAGAATCCCCTTCCCACTCTGTTTTCCTTCCTTCCTTTCCAGATCCAGGAGATCATCACCTAAGAGTCGGGTACCCTTTTAGGTCTGTTAAAAAACATTATACAACCTGCTCTCTCTCTCTCTGAAGTCTGCTATCTGAGAGATTCCTCTGCACAATAAAACTCAGTCTCCACAATCCTTTATCTTAACCTGAACATTCCTTTCTACTAATCCCAGGTCTTCAGATAAATTCAATTGTCATCCAGAAAATGTTTAAATTTACCTATAGTCTGGAAGTCTCCCCCCGCGCCCCCCACCCCCAACCCGCCCTGGCTTTGAGTTGCCCCATCTTTCTGAACCAAACCAATGTATTTCTTAAATATATTTGATTGATGCCTCATGCCTCCCTAAAATATATAAAACCAAGCTGTACCCCAACCACCTTGGGCATGTGTTCTCAGGACCTCCTGAGGGCTGTGTCTTGGGCCATGGTCACTCGTATTTGGCTCAGAATAAATTTCTTTAAATATTTCACAATCTGACAGTATGTAACGTCGACATGTAACTTAATATTTCCAGATGAGAATTAGACTTTCTTATCCCGCCCTTTCTACTACTCCCATCACCTTACTGCTTTCAATTTCCTGAATATAACCATTATATTTTCACTGTAATTATATTTAAATAAAAATTCAGTTTGCATGAATGACTACTTAAATATCATTACATTTAAACCACATTGTACATTATGATTAAATATTCTTTTTAAAAACATTTTTAAGTGACCAATAAAATCGTATTTACCATGAACAATATATAATGTTTTGAAGTGTATATACATTGTAGAATTATTAAATCTACCTAATTAACATGTAATTGTATACTCTTTATTATGCAATATTTTGCTGTCTCTGAAGTTGAAACTTTGGCAGAGATAATTTATTGTCTACCTAAACATTGATCATTCTTTTTCTTTTTAGCAATAAAATCTGAATTTAGCCAGGCACAGTTAAATAAAAGTAGTTACATATTGCCAAATTCAAGTGGAAGTATTGCTGAAGGATGCTTAAAACAGGAACTTGTTTGAGAGTAACTGACAACAAAAGGAGCTCCAACAACCCTTTCAAAAGCTACATTTTTATTTTAAGGGACTATTTAGCTATACTCCATACATTTAATATGTTTTCAATATAATTAAGTTCAAGATATTTTTCTTCTCCCTTGTAGTTTCTTATATGATCCGTGTCTTATTTCGAAGTGTATTCTATAATTTTCAAAAATTTGGAGTTTTCTGCATTTCTTAATGTTATCAATGTATTAATTGTGTATATTTCTGTTACCTGATCCTCATCATCTTACAGAAAGTGAGTTTTCCCCCTTTTTAAGTTCACACTCCATAATCATGTATACATAAAGTCGTTTATATGTAATCAATCACATATATATGATTATATAAGCATTTAATACTTAGCTGACATTTTACTTAAAACGCAGACATTATTACAATGCCATAGCTGCCAACTGAAGAAAAGAGTAGTAAATTGTAATTTTTTGAATTCCCTACATTATAAAAATTGTGAATAGATTAATAGCATACACATTCACTCATTATTTCAATAAATTTCACTGAACATTTTTTATGTGCCATACTTTCTTTAAGACTCTCAAACTCTAGTGATGAAAAATCAATTTTTCCAATCAGATAACCATAAAATAACATACTATGTGTTAGGAAGGATATGACTGAATTTCCTGGTAGGCACATAGGACAAGTGATTAACTTTGCTATGGAGATTAAAAAAAAAAAAGAAAACTTTGTAGAGTTTTATCAAGTTGTCCTTTGAAATCAGTAGGATTTCACCAAATGAATAAGGGGGAGATGGGCTTTCCATGAGGTTAAATTCCATGTTCAAACAACTAAAAGTTTTATATGAAGGCTGTCATATAAATTTTTAAAGCAATATACTGAGTCTATATTATGGTAAATGATACAGATACCTCATTCTCCAACCTACATCCTCACCTCTAGCATAAATGGTATAATTTAGTTAAATTTTATAGTTCAAAGGCCAAGAAGATGGTGTTTGGCTCTGTATTGCAAAACAAAACTAATTACACATGCTTCGTCTTCTGGAATGGTGATATGGAAATGGACAGGAATATATATAAAAATAAGCAAGTAACATCAGAAAAAGCATAGCTCAAAAAATCTTCCCATACAGTCTCCAAACTGATAAATTATTTAGATTAGAAGATTTTCTTTGAGAATGTAATGGCTGGGGACATTTCTGCCATGTGTTTGGAACCATGTGCTGGCAACTTCTGAATTCAGACATTAGAGATTTTCATAACATTACAACTGTCAGTCTTATTCAGTGCAGAACCATGCTGGACTAAGAATCATATCTGATCTATACCTTTATTTTGTAGTGTGTTTTCTCTTTATTAGTTTGTTATACTGACTATTCTCATGCAGAACTTTGCATAAAAATATTTTTAACAAAACGGGAAAATGTGCAATGACCTTGTTTGGAAAAAAGATTATAGGTATCAATCAGGACTTTCACAATATTTTTGTCAGCTTGTTAATATATCAAAAATGTTTTCATTTTACTGAAACTTTTTGAGTGTTTAGTAAGATGCTTGTCATGGTTCTAAAAGCTCTAAGTATGTTATATAACTCCATTCTTACAAAATTTTATGTAATTTTTTTGCATATTGTAAGAACATATGCAAAATGTAAACTTACTTAAAATATTGTAAGAATGGAATTATATATTATCTACATATATTTTACATACGTAGATAGTGCTATTTAAAGACAGGTTGAGAAATTTGTATAATGACACAATTAGTAATGGATAGAATCAGGATACGAATCTAGGAAATCTGATTTTGACGCTGAAAATCTTATTCCCAGATAGTCACACCTCCCTGGGTGGGTCAATGTGCTAAGCTATGAGTCCTACATTGGGAAGAAGTATCTGAGTACGCTTTTAAGAACTGAAGAGTAAACATGAATTAACCAGAGTATGGGCAGAGCAATCCAAATATATTTTGAGGGTCTCTGGGAATTTAAATGTAGCACAGCTGGAGAAGCCTGCATGATAGCAGAAGATGATGATGCAGATACAGACAAAGGTCAAATAATACCATAATTGACACTTTGAATTTTATATGAATGACAAATCACTGGAAATTTCTAAGCAGGAAAATGTTATAATCTGAGTACTCTGACTGTATAAAATGAAGCAGATGGAATGGCAGTGAAGGAGGGGTGATAGGTTAGTTTCCTAAACAAATATAAAAAGACAATCTGGTAGTAATTAACACTGAAGTTGGTAATTATGAACATATGCAGGTATCACTCTAATTAGTGCTGTGTTTGTCCAGCAACATTCAGCTGGTTTGGAACAGGATGAGAGATGGCCAGAGTGGCAGAGTGAGCAGAGAGGTTGGTGAGGAGGAGATGGTTGAGAGTTAAAGGGTGTTTGGGGCTATGTTTCAAGATGGTTTTTACTGAACCAAGGTCATAGAAATTTAAAGAGTTGAGGATACTGGACTTTCTAGTTATTGTGAATGTGATAGAAGTAACTTTTCCCATCTCTGAAGATTCAGCTGATTGGCCCTGTTTTTAATTTGACAAAATATAAGGTGACTAAGAGATTCATGTACTAAGGGATTACTGTGCACTGGATGAATATTTATATTATTATAAATAATTTCTTTTTAGTTAGTAACAGCAAAGTCACTTGTTCAATCAACAAAATTTATTATCTTCTCCAAAAATAGGTTTTGTCTTTTTAAAATTGTTAAATTCTTAAAAGATGTTGTTTTAAATATGTACTACAGAACAAAGAACAATATAATAAACTCTCTTGTACTTTTCATCTAACCTCAATGATTGTAAACTCTTGGCCAATGTTGTTTTTCTTATACCTCTATTCAACCTTCCAGATTATTTTGAAGCAATTTAGATATAATTTTAAGGTCCATATATTTATTTAAATTTAAATTTAAATTCAAATTGGTTGGTAGTTGTCTTAATTGCCCTTAAACATACAGGTGTTCTTTCTCTCTCTCTGTCTCTCTCTCTCTCTCTCTCAATCTCTCTCTCTCTCTCTCTCTCAGCAATTTATTTCTTAAATACATTGGGTCATTTGTTCTGTAGCATACCAGGGTATAGACATTGCTGATTGTATTCATGGTGACATTTAATATATTTTATCACTCTTAGATATTGTATAAATCAGTAGTTATAGCTACAGACTTAGATGCAGTTTTGATTTTACTGCAGGAACCCTTCCTAGGTGGTGTTATATATTTCCATCAGGAGGCATGTGAAGTCTCGCCGTACTCTTTGGGTGTTAGCAAACACTGATGATCAGTTTAGATTCATTTAATTAAATTGGTGTTAAAAATGGTCACGTCCTAATTTGTCATCTATTTTTTATTTAGTAGCTAGACTATTTCCATAAATAGAAAGCTTATATATATAATGAAATGACTCTGTCCCATAAACTGTTTGACAGCACTAATGTAGACTTAACATCAGATAAGACAAAATAATAAAATAATCTCTTATTTTCCCATGCAAATACATATTTATAATTTCTAAAACTTAATTGCTTTATTGGTATCCTTCAAAGGAGACCAAAGATAACTCTGTGTGACATTATGTACTCATGAATTGAAACACATTTGACATGTTTTAACTAATTGCAGTTATGATTGCATCAGTTAGGTCCTTCAGGAATCAGAAGCTAGACAGTAGTTAAAGACATTTATTGAGGTTAACTCTTGTGAGAGATGAGAAGGAAGCAGGATTGAATATGAAGAGCTTCAGACTACAGTGTTGATCTGACAATGTCTTGAAGAGCCAACACAGAGCTGTGGAGCAAAGATCATTGGTAGAGAAAGATCACTGGTAGAAATCATTGGACAAAATGACCAGGATCTAATTCTGCTATGTTCAGCCAGTGGCTGTGGGCTGAATGCAAAGAGCATGAATTCAGCTTGAAAGCTGCTCTTCCTTAGTTTAGCTTATAATAGTGTGGCAAACTATAATCATTCCCAAAGATTTATCTGTTTTTTGTTTGTAGGGTCATACTGGTAAGTTAAGCAGCACTATGATGGGGACATCACCCCCGCATCTCTGAGAGCCTTAAGATTGAAAACAATCACTACAATCCCCATCCTATGTGATGCTGTTTTTGAATTACTATCCTACCTTGGTTGGGGTGCATTTTCAGAGCCTTCTGCTTGGTCCATTTCAAATAAATTTTTATTCTGTAGGCCAAGAATTTAGTGTATAGGTTATTCTACTTTCCAAGTATATTAATCTCAGATACACATGTGTGAACTGAGAAAACCACTAGGTTAGTCCATAGACCCACCCATGGGATACACTGAAGCCAGACACAGGCCAGAACTCAATTTATGACTTGGCCCCCATATGCCTCCTCTCTAACAGGGGACGATGATGATGCTTCAGGCCTTATGTCAAATCAGATTCCATGGTCCATTTTCCTAAAAAATACATGGTGTTCCCATGTCCCCTCTGTATAGCTACCTGAAAAAAAAAGGTTGTTTTATCTTTGGCTAAGATCTGTGGAAATCATTACAGTATACGTTTGCTGTATTGCTGGAGGGTTCAACCTAAACACCCAGCAACATGACCACTTCTTCCATCAATATGTTCTGGGTTTAAACAGTGGCTTAGTTTTTGCAACTGGGCAAGGAATAGGAATTTTTTTTATCAGAGTGACTAATACGTATAATTTATTTATAGTGATAACATTTAAAAAATGACCCACATAATCCCATGATCTATGTTCCCTGGTATTATGTCCAGGACATCCATGATTAAATTACATAACATGGCAAAAAGGGATTTTGTAGATGTAACTAAAGCTCAAAAGAGTTGACCTTAAGGTAGAGAGATTATCCAGGTGGGCTTGTCCTAATCACAGAACCCTTTTAAATATTAGCCTAGAGGTCAGAGGAAGAGGAAGGCAAAAAAGGAAGTCAGAAAGGTATGCTCAGTATGAGCTCAGTCATTGAAAAACTGGTTAACCCTTTTCTATGGTTGATAGTGGTGAGAAAATTGGGACCAAGTGTTTGATTATTTCATAAAACAATACGACACAATAGATGGGTGGTATTTGCTAAATCTTCATTGGGATTGGTTGTCTTTGCCAAGCCAATCCAAATGAACATCCCCAGACAGGGATAGATAATGAAGATAAGTTGCAATCTTCTCTTACTTTCTCCCTATTTAACACCTCCTGGTTTAGTCCTTTCTTTCTATTTAGCTCTACAGAGCTAATGGAACTGTTATCCCACTTTTGGCAAAAGTTTAATAAGCTCTTTTTTCTAGTGCTGTTGGGATACCAGGCTTATTTTGATTTTCCTTCATAATTATGTTAATGTGGAAAAAGTTATATAACATTGTATCCCATAAAAAACTCAATTAAAAATTTAAATATGTGTGTATATGTATATATACATATATTTATGTATATACATACATTCTTGTTATAATGGTTGTCTAACTTATAAATTAAAATTTGGAGCAAATTTTAAATGTATGAATAAGTAAAATTTATAAATTTGGGGACAGTTTAGAAGTTTGGGTTTTATTTTGCACCTGGATACCAAGTTGCAGCTAAAAATGCAAACCAAAATTTAAATAAAAACCAGAAACCAAAATTTCAAAGCTATAGAAATTCATCTGAGGGACAATATGTAATTAAATCCATTGATGAAACAGAAATAGATCCTCTAGAGATGAGATGCACATCAGTGGGTACTTGAATGGTAACAAAAGACAACTGAATCTCCAACATAAATTCCAAAACATTAAAGCATGTTTGGAGCTCCTTTTAGGGAGAGCTGATGGGTTGTGAAGGATTCAACTAATAGATTAAAAAATACTAAATTTATTTCTTTCTATTTTTTTTTTTTGATCCCAAGTCTCTCTTTGTCACCCAGACTGGAGTGCAGTGCGTGATCTCGGCTCACTGTAACCTCCGCCTCCCAGGTTCAAGCGATTCTCCTGCTTCAGCCTCCTGAGTAGCTGGTACTATTGGCACATACCACCACGCTCGGCTAATTTTTGTATTTTTAGTAGAAACGGGGTTTCACCATGTTGGTCAGGCTGGTCTTGATCTCCTGACCTTATGATTCGCCCCCCTCGGCCTCCCAAAGTGCTGGGATTACAGTCATGAGCCACAGCACCCAGCCTTAAAAATTCTAAATTAAAAAAAAAAAAAAAACTAACTGGACTTGGTGGCTCACACCTGTAATCCTAGCACTTTGGGAGGCTGAGGTGGGCAGATCATCTGAGGTCGGGAGTTTGAGACCAGCTTGGCCAACATATGAAACCACGTCTCTACTAAAAATACAAAATTAGCCGGGTGTGGTAGTGCATGCCTGTAATCTCAGCTACTAGGGAGGCTGAGGCAGGAGAATCACTTGAACCCGGGAGGCAGTAGTTGCAGTGAGCTGAGATCACGTCATTGCACTCCAGCCTGGGTGACAAGAGTGAAACTCTGTCTCAAAACAACAATAACAACAACAACACTAATAATAATAACAATAAAAATAACTTACTCTCTTCTGTTTTTTCTCTTAAAGTGCTTGCTTTGGGACCCTGACTTTCCCTTTTTCAGAACAACATATAAGTGTATTAACTAAATACAAGGAGGTAGGTCTACTGATAGCCTTCAAAACATTCAATCCAAAAATTCTCAAATATTTTGTGCATAGGTAAGTAAAAGTATACTACTTAAAAGGTGAGTTCCATTGTAACATTTTGAAGGCTCGGCGTTTCAATGATAAGTTTATCAACTAAACTTAATGATGCCATTCCCATTATAATAGGAGCCTGAAGGAGCTGTTAGATTAGCTTTTGCTTTCTACAGCAGATTGAAAGCCAGCTACTTGTGTTGACATGACATCTTAGTCCATACATATCAGCAACTAAGAAAGTGACACTGTATCTTATCAGTTTGTGCTCCCTGTGTGTTTGATAAGGGTAAACTAAAGGTGTTTGATTTAGGATGCTTTATGCACTTGTTTTTTCCTATATTCACTATTAAATGCTAGATAGGACTCTTCTTAACACTGCCTATCTCTGCCTATGTAAGGGGACATACTCTGTAAGTGAACATATGGATGTATGTATGTGTGTGTGTATTGCAAATCCATGGACACATATATAAAGACTTCTATAACTCACTTTATACTATAAGGACCTCAAAAATGTACATGTATGTTTACATACACAAATGTACAACTAATGAATTTATGTAGTGCATATTTATGTATATACATAAAGTTATGTATTATATAAACATGCATATATACATATACATTTATCAATGAATTTTTATGTATTCTATGATTTACAGTTGCTATTAATCTATTTTTAGAAAACTATTTGGTCACAAATTCTACCAGGTTCTACTAGAAACAGTTTGAGAATAAAGCAATTGCTTCCAGTTTGTCAACATTTCAGAGCCGTATATTACCTGTAACTAAAAGTTCTCATATGTTTACTCAAGGAACATACTTGGTAGTGCTGGATTTTAGCTTGAGGGGTAAAAGGGGATAAGTGATACATCTTACTCCTAGTGAATACAGCCTCCTTAGCTTATTCTTTAGTGACAACTGTGGGAATATATTCTGTACAGGGTAGACACCCATCAATCTGGCTCTACCGTAGCTCCTGGCATTGCTGATTTCAAGCTTCTTTTGCACTCACTGTAGGCCTGGTGTACTTATTTAAAGAAAGAGAAGAAGAAATACTCAATGTAACTAGGTGTTCTGTAGCATTCCAAGAATCTTTTTTTACTCATATTAGTATCAGAAAAAGAGAACATTTCTCTTGAGAATCTAGCTTGTCATTAGCTTGTGAACAATGTGAAGCCACAGATACTAAAAATTTTCACTTTATATTATTTGCGAGGATTCTCAAGAACTTATTTTATGAAACATACCTAAGAATGTTATAAAACTTATGAATTCTAAGTTCTGATGCCATGTTTGGCTTTATATTATGTTTTATTTTTATCTTGATTCTACTATTCTACTCATTTATTACTTTTTTTTTTTTGGAAAGCTGACTTATTCTTCCTGCAAGTTGATGTGTAGATGAACTATATAACTACACAAATTAATCATAGGTAGAATATAATCAAGTCATCTTGGACAATGTTGACCAGTATTGTATCTTTTTTCCCCTTTATTTTATGATTCATGCTAAAGACTGGTAACTTTTACATTCATACACCTACTCTTGCATTATCCTGAATGCTGGCCATGTTCAATCACTTATTTCTTATTTTAGGTATGATCTATTGGTGAAAAAATATTTTCTAACTTGTTTTTATTATAAAATTTGAAGTAAACTATCAGGTATTATAACCAATGTTTATATTGCTGCCATTAGCTAAGTAGTAAAAAAAGGTACTATGACACAATAACTACACACCATCATATACCCTCATCTTGAATAAGAAATTATTACTCTGCTGTGGCAGCCATATTATTTGATCAAAAGCCGTACACATGGTTTGCTTATATTTCTCTTGAGGAAGAAATTTGCTCAGCATACTTTCCAATAATTTTGCAGCTTCAACAAATAGTTAGAAATAAACCACTTAACTCCATAAAACCATAGCCATTTCAGAAAGGAAAATGAGGTCTCTCTCTGTCAATGATCCATGATTAAAATGACCATATATCTATGTTGCAAGTACAGTCCTGATTTACACCTGTTGTCCTGACATCCAGTCTGGTTAAGCTTTGTCTTGGCTTTACTTCTTTAATAAGATATTTTTAATAATGGTTGCACTAAAATAAGCCAGAATGAATTTGACCTCCATTTTTCTACTCTGTTCTTGTTTAATAGTCTTTGAAATGTACACGCAGTCGATAGATTTCTGATGTTAACATGTGGTTAAATCAGAAAGATGACCAGCAATAACCTGGTGCTTTCCAGAAGCAGCATAACTAACGTTTTCTTTCAAGGACAGCAAGAAGGGCTTTGCTGATAAATAAAATGTGCTTGGGCTCTGAGACAGAAATGGCTAGGGACGGCTAACTCCTGCTCTCAGTGATGAGGAAGTATATGATGATGCTGCCCCTGCCTTGTACTCAGGCTACCAGCCAGTGAGCTTGTGTAATTCAGGCTACAATCTGGAAAATACACTAAGCATCCAGGCTGCTAATCAGTGAATCAGTGGGAAAGTGGGAAAGGTAAGCTAGGTTTAGAAATATGGGGATAGGAAGTAGACTTGAGCTACAGAAAGCAATATTTTATGGAGTTTTCTTTGTTTTGTAATTCTTTTTTGTTTGCTTGTTTAACAATAAACCAGTCTGAATCAATGAGCTACAAAACTGAAAGTACATGTCTAATGAAAAATTATGGAATGGGTTGTAGTTTCTCAAAAAGTTGATGATAAACACACAATCTGAACAAAATGCTTGTTGGCATTCACTACTCACCTTGGGGACAATATTGATTTTACCAATACATGAAAACCAGAAGACACAAATCTGCTAAAGACACCTCTTTGTCTGCTTCTAAGGTAAGTAGGTTTTTAAAGAAGATGAAACCTGAAGATTACACTTTCACACTTGTAGATGAATAACGTGACTTTATGCCTCATTTTAAGAAGCATGACCTATTTAAAAAAAAATAAACACTTTTCTCTCATTTTAGATTACAAGGGTTTTTTTTTTTTTTTGTACATTTGTTGATATTAATCTGCCAGCTCTTAAGGTGTTGACTTCATCACCAGATGTGTATCTGTCACTGGAAACTTCAAAATAAAATTATTTACTCCAATAAAAATTGGCTTTTCAAATTCAATTTATAAAATATAAAAAATGCAATCTTTCCATCAAACTTGAAGCATCTTATATCATTGTCAATACTACTGTCAGTTCAGATTAGAAGTCCCAATAAAGTAAAATTACTTGACTCTATGATTCAAATGCAAACATAAATTTTAATGGAGCATTGTGTTGGGTTAAGAATCATGGTGTCATAAAATTAAGAAAACTAGAACACAGAAATGTGCTTGAATTTGCTTCATATACACATGTAATTTAAAATTGATTGCAATCAAGCCTCAATATTCTATTAATCCAAGTTTAAATTACAGTTCTCAAAAGGTACAAATGTTTTTATAAGTATACAGAGAAGCACTGAACTATAAAATGTTTTTAAGAAACCTTATGTTGAATAGAGAAAATACTTCAACATGACAACACTGAATTACTGCCTGTTATTAATTGTACTTAAAACATGTTTGAGCCTTTAAAATAGTCTTTTGTAAATCCAACTGAATGATTTACAATTCCATTTAACTTTGCTTAGATGGGTTTTAAAATTTTTATTTGCATTTTGTTATCATTCTGGAAATCTTAAACCAAATTTTTCAATGAATGGCGAACCAAAAAACTTTAGCTTTGAAACGTTTATCAAATTGTAATAACTTAAAAAGTGCTTGCAAACAAGATATTGACGTTTATCTGTATAAAAGCAGGACAAAAATGCAATAAAACAGCGGAGCTCAAGTGATGCACACATTACAATTTTTGAAAGGCTATACTTGTTTCTTGGGTAGTGCAACCTGTGAAAGAATTTTTGGTGAGGTCCAGTTTTTAATGGGGTAAATTTATATTCTATCCCAGTATGAAAATACATTTCAAAACTATAAAATTTTGTAACAGTTAAATGCTGTTAAATATTCAAAAATCATGGCAACAGAAAACATATTTGAGAATTTTTTCTGTGAAAATGTGTGCCAAAGTAGGTATTCAGTATTGAGGCATGAAAAAAGTACTTGTAACAGCGTTTGGGCTTAAATATTTACAAATTTTAATGTAAAGAAATAGAATTAAAAATATACTCCAGTTAGTAGAATTTTCTCTCAACTTATGAGATACTTCAGCACTGACAGAGTATTTTCTTAATTCACAGAGAAAATCAATTCAGCATGCAAAAACTTTTAATATTATTAACCTTAAAATAAAATTTAAAGAAAGTTGCAGGTAATTATAAGAAAAACCTGAAAATAAATCCGTATTAAAAAACACATATTCTTTAAAAATTAAAATAAGACCAGTGATATTGAATTTTAGAGAGATACAGCTAGAAAACAAATTACTGTCTATAAATGTTATTTTTCATATTCACATATTTAATAACAATACAAATATTCTTTTCTCTAATATAGAGATAAATAATATTTTTAATTTTTAGGAAAAGTAATTTTGAAAATAATTTTTGAAACAAAATATTTCTAAATCTTCTAATATAATTAATTTGTCAGCTAAGTAAGTATTTAAAAATATACAATTTTAATTGTTTTTAGCACTCCTTTTAACTCTCAAAAATTTCTCAGTTGATAATTGTATGGTTATTCCATTTCTCACATATTATATTGGAAAGCAACTATACTGACATCCTAATACAAATTATCTCTTTACAGATGAGAATCTACAGTGGAAAATGATTATGTAATAAATTCAATGCTCTAAACCAGTTAAAAGAGCCAAGGCAAAATTGCACTCCCTTCATTTCAAGTTCGGGATTCGTTTTTGTTTGTTTCTCCGTTTCTGTTTTAGTTATACAGCTTAGGTTATAAGACAGTTCGTTCTCACCGTAGGTAAGCGAATATAATTCTCACTCCGCAAAAAGAGCTATGAAGGAACAATCACTTACAAATTTTTTTTTCAGACAAATAAAATAAATATTGAGTCCCTCTTCCATCGGACTGGCAGAAAAGTACATATCTGTCACTATTGGTGTTCCCTCTCCATTCCTATTTTTGAGCTTTTCAAAGCAAGACCATTTGAGAAAGCATCCCATGGTTCCACGTTGTTTCATATAGGTTCCTCTTGAGATGCTCACAAACTAAGTCTGTATAATTAAGGGTTCTGTGGCACTCAAGACACCTGAAGAATGAAAATAGTTCTATTTATTTTCCATCTGCTTTAGCATTTTTGAAGGCATAAATCTAGTTCCGTATCTTGGAAAATCTGTGTTCCTCAAATCTATCTTGACACTTGGGGAAAACTCTCCTCCTTTCTCTATTCCTGTCTATATCCTTTAAAGGCCTTGACATTTCCCTTCTTCCTTTCTGGCACATCAAGCATCATTTCTTCAGCTTGGATATTCACAATGGCAGGAAGAGGAATTGTGTTTAGTTTCTTCTGGTAACCTTACAATTTGCCCAGAGGCTAAGGGACACATATGGTCTGGAAACTGTAGCAACTTTATTAGAAGAAGTGGAGGAGAAGCAGTGATATCAATAAATTATCGTATCAAAACTTTCCATGGCTTCCTTTATTATTTTATTTAGGGCTGCCATGGTTCTCTTTATCTGTTGCTTACTGAGGAGAACATGCTATTTTCTGCTGATTAGGCTCACATAATAGAATGGATAATACAATTGTTTAGTAGGTGGTAAGATTTAGTGGAAAGAACACAAGGTATAAAATCATATGTGCTATGTTTGCATTCCAGTTTACGCATCTATTAGCTGTGTTAGCTTTAAAATAATACTTAAATGAGTCATAATTCTTCATTTGTGGAATAGTGAAAACAATTCCAGAATTATGGTGATTTTGTGAGAACTTGGTAGGCATCCAGTATTTCCTATCTTTCCTGTATTTCTTTCCATCTACTTCAAATTTGAGGTAGTTAATAGCATGGACTCAGTATAACTGATTAGAGCAAAATGTGATTGTAGTTTGTTGTTGCTTTGTTATTATTATTATAATTCTGCTCCATATATCTTCCAGTGCTGAACTTCCCAATTCAAACCAAACAAAATATAGTAAAACCTGAGACCATGCTTAGTTAACAAAAAGTTAAAAACTAAAAGTCTTACTGTCCTATGTAATAATGCCTGAAGCATGGCTTAAGCCAAGTTTAAAAGATGTGAACCTTATCTCCTAAGATTCAATAAATGTATTTCGTTTTGTTAGTGAAAAATTTCCTTCAGGTTTAGGTCAGAATTTCTCTAAAATAAAATAGCAACATATCTATACTTTGTCACTATTCTCAGTAAACCATTAGAGCTGCATTATGGCAATCTTGTAAAATTTATGCCCTTCTTAAAATTCCTTTCACATTTATTTTAAGACTACAAAGTCAAGGATGTCTGCTCACACTGGGACTTCCCAGATCTATATTACTAACCAGAGGGATAGGAGAAACTCTACTGTTTTCTTAATTGGGCTCCTTCCAGGTTTCCCACTCACTTATATTTCTTTGCCTCTATTTCCAAAGTGAAAACAGTTCTACCTCATTCCATTTTCTCTATTCCAGGTATAGGTTCACTCCTCCCAGGTTTAATAGTCTTATTCCGAGCACTGCAACTTTTTCATTCCTTCCTCTTGAAGTGTCAGCTTTTGTTTAACCCATTGGTGATGCTTCAATAACATTACCCAGAAGTGGCAACGCAAAGAGAAAAATGGAACAGATGCTGTGTGCATTATCACCAGAGAGCACAGAGGAGAACTGACTGTAGTTGATAACTCTTGATGGGGTAATTGAGCTATCTGTGGTGGATCCTCCGGAATTTATTATTTTCTTAACCACAGAAAAGTGGTATTTACTCTCAGCCTTGAGCATTTGAATGGTTGAATTGTTATCCTGAGATTATGTCCAGAGTTGCTAACAATTGGACCTCTGATTATAGACCTTCCTTTAAAACACATACACAGGCCTGCGATGAAGATTTAATCTGAAATGACTCAGAGGGTGAACTTCCTTTTCTGAAAAAATGTTTCAGTAGCAGCTGTGTTTTCTGGCATCAATCCTACCAAAATGCTGACCTAGCTTGACCCTGGAAGTCCCTTTTAGAAACATAGTTTTGGAGATATCTTTCTTAATAGCAAATTTACTTTGTTAGGGTCCAGTAAGCTATCTCCATATACTAGTAAAGCCTCATTGTTTTGATTCATTCTACTTTCTAAATTTTAGTAATTTAATGACAAGGATTAAAATTATCTAAAAGTTGTAATAGGTAAAAAATTCAAAAAGGGAAAGTGTAATTATGACCAAGATTGATGTTTAGTTTATATACACTAGGATGACTGTATTGATTGTGAAGATGCTAAAGTGTTTTATATTTTTGGTCATATTCTCAAATGTTCAGAGTTTCTCTCACTCTATCCATTGCCCTGGCTCTCCTGGAAATTAATGTTGAATCCCTGAGCCTCCACACAGGGGTTTTATAGAATCCTGTTCCAGTTATGTCTGCTGTTGGTTTTTATTGGTGGTTTTCCTGCTAGGAAAAGTCCACCTTTCAGGTACCACAGCTGGCTCTTACACACCTTTGTCCCATGTGTGTGAGTCAGTCAGCTTACCATGGCTCTTTAACACCTGTTCTCATTAATCTCCATAGTCAGAGTAAGCCCAGATACAAGAAAAGGAAATGTCTTTCATGATGATAATGCCATCACATCAGAGAGAAAATTCTCAGTTTCCTTTTGCGTGCCCACAGACAATGGCCCTATGTTATTAGACAGATTCATTTGCAGTCACTGTCATTACCACTAATCAAACTGCAGCATACACAGGACTTGCCTTAAGGAAGACTGAGAATGAAGTCATAGACAGTACAGTAATGAAGAACAAATTGAGCATTAATCAGGTACAGTGGACTCTTATAAAGAGGGTTTATAAGCAACAGCAAAAGGATGTGAGTAGCGGACAGGGATTTTGGGGTTGTGGGGGGCAGGAAAATACCAATGGTTTGAGTATCTCTTTCTACTGTGAGAGTTGAATTTTATTGTTATTTAGTGGGACAGTTTATTAAAACCAGTGGAATTCCTGCACATTGTGGGCATTGAAACAGCTTAATTATTAAATGTGAATGATAATGCTTATATACTGTTCAATCTATGTTGCACACAATTCTAATAAATATTTAGCCCTATTAATTCTATAATTTTCACTATGATCCTCATTATACTGATAATAAACTTAGGTCCAAATATGATATTTAAAATCTAACTGACAGTATTGCTTTAATTGCTTCCTATTCATCCTTTTAGTGAGGAAGTGATCCCTACCTTAGGGTTGTGGGTATGGTCAAACAGTCCATTGAAAATAGATAGATGAGATTGATAGCAGCTTATTAGTCACATATATCCATAGGGGTTTCAATCAGGAACACAGTTGTAAAACAGAGCTTTGGGAGGCAAATTTGTAGTATCAACACAATAAAGTGCATCCTGGTTTATACAGAAGAATGTAATTGACTTGTATGAATAAATCTCTAGGTTGGCAAAAAACTAGAACTATTGCTCAGGTATAAGTGGGAACTATGGTGTTTTGCTAGAAAACCGGAGCATGAATATAGAGTCGGGGTTTTATGGTTAGGCCATTCATGGCCCTGCGGATTTCACTAAATGTTGAGGCAGCACATAATATTGGGCCTTAATTTTAAGCCTTACATCGCACATCACATGGTGCATATTTCAGGCAGTCCCATAAACATTTGTGATAGAATGTGATAATGTTGATGATAGAGACGTGGAACTAACAAAATCATGGTCAATGTTGTAAGGGCTAGAAAAGTTTTAATGCAATTGCTGCTAGTTCTGCTGAAGTTGAGAAAAGATAGATTATGATGAATAATATTGTTGATATTAACAGAATTCTATATTTTTTAAATTAAAGTCATACAATGAATATTAATTTAATGACGGTCTTTTAAAAAGCTTAGTGTAGTTCCATATACCAAAGCATAGCTCAAACAGGATATTATCAGGATAGCGATAGCCATGTCCAAATACATCACACAAATAATTGATAAAAATTAACAATAATTGAGAAATTGTCGTACTGATTTCATGGATGGTTTACATTAAAATACATAATTTATAAGGCATGTAGCCTATTTTAAGTTATGAGGAGTTTAGGCCAACGACCAAGTTTGCGGGCAGAATTCGAAAGATAACTCTAACTTATGATACCAACTGCAAGTTTAGAGAGTTTCCAAAACTACTCTCACTTTTAAGAATTCACTAGAAAGACCCACTGCACACACTGAAAGCAGTTATACTCACTCTATGGTTTATTACAGGAAAGGATACAGATAAAGACCAGCCAAAACAAGAGATTCATAGGGCAGATTCTAGGAGGTTTCCAAACATGGACCTTCCATTGGCCTCCCCCAGGAATCAGGAAACATTACCCTCCCAGCATAATGTGTACCAATATGCACAAATTATTGCCAACCAGAGAATCTCACCTAAAATGTCAGAGTCCAAGGTTTTTTTTATGGTTCCCTTATGTAGGCATGATTCATTGATTGACTAATTGATTGATTGTCCACATAATTGATTTCAGTCTTCAGGTTGATCTATACCACATTACTCAAACCTGCCAACTGAAGTCACACTGTTAAGAATATCCAGTAGACTGGGTGTGGTGGCTCACACCTGTAATCCCAGCACTTTGGGAGGCCAAGGTGGGCAGATCACAAGGTCAAGAGATTGAGACCATCCTGGCCAACATGGTGAAACTCCGTATCTACTAAAAAAAATACAAAAATTAGCTAGGCATGGTGGCACGTGCCTGTCTGTACTCCCAGCTACTCAGGAGTCTGAGGCAGGAGAATTGCTTGAATCTGGGAGGCAGAGGTTACAGTGAGCCAAGATCGTGCCACTGCACTCCAGCCTGGCGACAGAGCAAGACTCCTCAAAAAAAAAAAAAAAAAAAAGAAAGAAAGAATATCCGGTAAACCCAGACCCTCCTAGTATGCAAAACATTGCTGGATCCAGATATTACTTCCCAGGAGGCCAGACCTCTCTTTGGGCAATATGAAACTCTTCATCATACAAATAAGATATAATTTTCAATATTTCAATTATATTAACTATTAATATCTTAAATACAACTTTTCATTATATTCATGTAAAAAGTTTATTCTTTGCAGTATTTTTCTAAATTTCTATCATATGATATATAATTTATAATTAAAAATAAAATGTATATATATAAATAACAATATTATTTGAATATTTAATCTTTTACCAGAACAAAAGAATAATCTGAACTCTCTATCAATTCACAACCACTATTCTTTTGATATTTATTTCATCAGAGCAGGTTTGATAGACATTGATAAAAGCATAGCTGCATTTTGTTAAAAATTATTCCTAAGCCTATGGCATTAGAAATTGAATTTTTTTTATTATAAGGTTTGATTATAATCTCAGTATTTGTTTCTGTTTTGCTTTGCTGGTTATTGATTAAAAATTTTTTTCATGATGATGAAAAGCCACTATCTGCCTGTTCACATGACATAGATATCTAGAATACGCCTTTTTTAAACCTCTATATTATATTCTGAAGTATCCCTATATTTTTTATTTTGTATGAAATAAATTCTTGGATTTACTGGTCTTTGTGCGTGATGTAGCACCCCTGACATGACATGAATTTCAGAGGTGGAGGTTGAAGTATTCAGCCATAAAATCTTGTTTTTCTCCTTTCCAGTTCTGAGAAAGACAAAATGGTGCATGGCTTTCTGTGATATTTACCACCAGTGAAAAGGGTTAAGTTTAAAAATTCACTGGTTGAGCATCTGTTCATTTTCTCCATGTTAGTTTTGCCTAAAATCAGTTTTTTGTTACCAGCTAAGAGATATTCTTGATCAAAAAAATTGTCATAGTTCCAACAGCAAAATTGCTGCTCAGATAGAGCTGACAGAAGATTAGGGTTTCACCATTAAATTTGTAAATTTAATTAACATATAAACTACTTAAGCAAATTGGATGTAAGTTCACATTCCTCTCTTTGAATCAGGAAATTTCTATGGCCTCATTATGTGGCATGATTCTTCTACAATTCTAACATAGAAGCAGCATTACAAGAGGCTGGGAGCTGGATTTTCTTCTCTTTGTGCTTCAGCCGGTAAAATTATGGCTATTACTGAAATATTTTTGCATAGTTTCTCATTTCCTCAGGATTTAAGTGCTATTTTTTTCAATTTTTTTTTTTACAAATAGAGCCTTATTAAGCAATTCAGACTTGATAGATTCTAATGAGGGCAGGGATGTTATTACTGTCCTTATTAATGTTTTGAATCTGATTTGGACTGAACTGCAATGTACGCTTACTAAATTAATGATTTCAATTTAGTAAGAATTGACCAAGTTCTGAGGTCAGTCAGTAAAGTAGTCAGCGATTCATTAAAATGATGCTTATTATTAGGACAGCCAAGCATGGAGAAGGCAAAAGAGACAAGAATGAACGTCAGTGGCTTGCTGCCACATGGCAGGCTCCAGTTCAATTGTTTATACTTTTTTTAAACTAAAAAAAAACAATGTAATGGTAACAGAAAATTTTAATGGATTTAACTTGAAACCCCTGACAAACCTTAAGAGTTAATCCACGCTGAGTTGATGGCTTTTTTTTAAGTAACATTCATATCAAGCTGATGATCATTTTGGTTTAGCTTGCAGATACAGTACCAAGCCCTTATTTTACTCCTCAGCAAAAAAAAAAAAAAAAAGAAAAAAAAGAAAAAGAAAAAGAAAAAAAAAGGTGCATTTCATCAGCTTGAGTGCAATTTTATCTTGCCTACACCGAACTACATTCACCTGGGGCAAAACCCATTCAATAATTGACTGTGTGTTTGCTAGAGCTGCTGACATGCACAAGTAGCCACTAATTGTTTGGTCTCCGACCAGTTCCTTGTCTTCAGGCACTGAGAATACAAGGTTGCCCTGTATTAGCCTCCTATGTACTCTGACACTTCAACCTCTGGCAAACAGAAAGTGAGAAAATGTAAGCCTGTGTCCGCATTTTTAAAATATTGATAAAACTCCATTAAGTCCTCATGCAAGAGCACTGGGGTAGACAGCCACATTATAAAGAATAAATCAATTAAGAAAAATCAAGTGTTCTTCTCCTGCTTCTGTGTGACATCCACAATATCCACAACAGATATTACAGCATCTGGCAACCAGCAGAACATGAAGATATCAGAATGAGTGCGAACTTGCCAACTCAACCCATTTTAATGGCTATCTCAGGGTTCTTACTGCTTTTAAAGAGGTCTCTAAAGTGAAGATATCTCCTGCATTGACCTAAAACAATTACCTCGCTTTAAAATTTTATTACCACTAAATAGAGAAGCACAAAGACTAGCAATGAGAACAATATTGAGATTATTTTATTTTTTACATCAGCTTAAATTATTTTGTTGTTCCAAACTATATCTGAAACCTTTTTCAAATAATTTACCTTTTGGTTGCAGCGGAAAGAAATATTTTCAAACATAGCAAAAAGAAGGAAAGAGGAAGGCAGAGGAGGAGGAAGAAGAAAGGAGCTACTACTCTGATTGTAGTAAATGCACCCTGAAGGTTAAATATCTGATAAATCAGCATCTACAATTCCCAAGTATCCATGGGAACAAAGAGACTAGGGCGTGAATAGATGCCAACAGCATGTAACTCTTACGTCTTTAGTGTATTACTTATCTATGAGGTGCCAGATTCCATAATATTTATGACAGTAGATTTACTTAATAGTTATTATTGGTTTAGTTAAAGTTTAAAATAAATCTTTCATCCCAATCCCATAATCAAAAGCTATGAATGGATTGGTCCAAGCTCATACTGAAAATCATATAGCACAATCAGCTGGAATTAAACAATGTTCTAGTAGTCATCAACAGAATTAATAATTTGCAAATAAATTATCTGGCATCATTGAATTATTTACATATCAATCAAATGTATAGCATTTCTTTAAATCATTTAAAAATCTTCCTTTCCTTCACATATATTGATTTTAAAACAATAAAATTCAAAAATATCTGGAAGTTACTTTAAAATGTTTTAAAGTAAGATGTATTATACTTCAATTTCCTATTTTATACAATACTGGTAAGAGAAAAGTTGGGTGGCTATTTGACTTTAGAGATCAAAAGTCTTTAAAATATACATTAATTTCACCCCAAAATTCTACTTTAAGAAATAAATACTAAGGACCTAAATGGGAAAAGATGTGCATAAAAACATGCCCATCAGGGGAATGTTTGAAATAGCAGAAAGCTGGGAACAATTCAGGTGCACATGATAGTAAATTGTTAAAGAAATTATAGTATCTTCCCATACAGATGATAATACTAACAATCACAATTGATATTATTGTTTGCCATGTATGTGGCACTGTTCTAAGTACTTTACATAAGTTAACTACCTTAATTCTTATAGCTTTATTATGTATTAACTTTTGGTCCTCATAGTTTTTATTATCATTATTTTACAGAGAAGGAAACTAAAATTCACAGAGGTTTAATAACTTTTTGAATGTCATACCAAAAATAGGAGCTGAAGGTAGTTTATGACAGGCTGGTGCTATTAATCACTATGCTACATAGCCATTAAAAATATTGAGGCATTTCTATAACTATTGGCATGGAACAATAATCGCATTTTCCAGTCTGAGATAAAAGCTATTTTTGGAATAATTTTTGTAGGTAGTGAAACGGCTCTGTTGTCTGGGGTATATACCCTGGCTCTTGGTTGAAAAATAATTCAGGACACAGACACACATGAAGAGTGGATTCAGGAGCAGAAAGTTGAATAGAAAAAGAAAAGAGAGAGAAAAAGCTTCCTCTTGTTGAGAAAGTGGGTCCCCCAAAAGAGGGTCTTCGATTTGCGGGGGAAGGCAATCAATTTCGTACAAGGGCTTGAGGAGGCAGTGATTGATTTACATAGGGCTCAGGGGATTGGTTTGACCAGGTGTGCCATTTACATAGTCTGCGAGAAAATTGGCCCTCCCACACTAGCCTTTTAATATGCAAATACAGCTACCTGGCTGGCCGCCATGTTGTCCTGCACACGTGACTTTATCTGGAGGCTGCCATGACACCTGGCACAGTGGTGACAAGGAAAAGAGGGTGGGAGACGCCATATTAAATGTACCTGGCTTCCAGGTACAGCTGCCGGCATTTACATACAAAAGCTTCTAGTTTGCATATTTATGCCTGACTTCTCAGGCTGCTTTCTGTTAGATAAGAAATGGTTTGGGGATTGTTTTTATTAAAAGGAAATTCTACCGAGAACTTTCACCCTTTCTAGCTGCCTAAAAATAATTTCTTAATAACTCCTGTATTATTATTTTTATAACAGTATACAGTGATATATTTAATTTTTCTAATTGTATAAAATTTAATTTCAAATAAATGTTTTTTTTTTCCTGTAACCAAGAGTGGTTTGCTATATTATAATCAATTACATGCAATTTTGTATACATACACACCACCATGTACATACACACATACATGGAAGAAAGTATGTGACATATGCTATAGGTATTTTGGATGATGGTATAAGTTAGGGAAAGTTCCATATTTGCAATATGGTCCGTAGTCTTGATTTACTAGAAGGCAAACCAATGCACATTTCCAAAGTGAAAAGCATCTCTTTTCATTTTTTCTTCAATATTCTCTGTCACTGTTTGGATAGTATGCACCCATAGTAGAAAGCGGCACCCTGAGATATTAGAATATCATAGTAGGAATCCTAAGCTGAATACCTAGAACCGTTTTGATTTGAAAACTGTCTTATTTAATCACTTGCAGTTTGGAGGATTTTATGACCAGACTCTTGATTTAGTAAGTTCACAGAGAATAAATCAGTTTCTCAAAGACAGACTCAATAACAAAGTGTACAATTTTTATTCAGAGGAATAAACCAGAACTTCACATTTAGAATAGGAAAGAAAAAAAGTCCAAGGAGAAATCATATATATATGTATATGTATATGCTAATATATGTGAATGTATATATCAATAAGTTGGTATATATATGCATATATCTGTATCACTTTCATACATATGTATATATACACGTATGTATCAACTCATATATATATCTTCTTTTGCTATAGAGTGACTATATGTAACATCAAGTTATAATTAGTTAGCTTCTTGGTGAGTTTTAGAGAATGATGTTCGGTTTGTATGGCAAGGGGTGCTGGACTAGACTGTGAAGAAACTAGTTAGAATGTACTTTTCAATACATGCTTTTAAAGATCTTGATCTTCCCATGCTGATAAGATACAAGGAAAAAGAGCAAGTAGGGTTGCCGGGCACAGTGGCTTATGCCTGTAAGCCCAGCACTTTGGGAGGGGGGCAGATCTCCTGAGGTCAGAGTTTGAGACCAGCCTGGCCAACATGGTGAAACCCTATCTCTACTAAAAATACAAAAATTAGCTGGGCATGGTGGTGGGCACCTGTAATCCCAGCTATTCAGGAGGCTGAGGCAGGGAGAATCACTTGAACCCGGGAGGCAGAGGTTGCAGTGAGCCAAGATCATGCCATCACACTTCAGCCTGGGCAACAGAGTGAGACTCTACCTCAAAAAAAAAAAAAAAAAGGCAAGTAGGAACACATTTTATAGTTCTTTCTACAAATTTCATGATAATTTTACAAACTATTTTCCACTAGTTCCCACTGGAAAAAATAAATAAATAAAGCAAGAGCTTAATCAAGGGCAAAGATCAGTATCAACACGCCCAGAGGCCTTACTTGATCTCTCTCTTTCCGTAAGATAGCCAGGTAAGCAGCTGTTTCAAAAAATAGCACAGCAAAGAGCCCCGTGGAGGTGTTTGGGATTCTGAATGAAGGAACCTCAAAGTTGTTTAGAACCATCTGTTTTTCTCCCATGACTTTGGCTTCTGTGGCATTCAAATAAAGTCTGCATTTTGTTTACCAAAGTTAGAGCATCCAGGATCTCATTTCATTGAATCCACACTGTGAGAGCTTCAGCTGGGCTGTATCAGTCAGCTTTGGAGTGTTGCCTGCAGCAGCAATAAACTTTGCAGCAGCAGTTCCTTCATAGGCTACTGTTCTGGTTATCTATTGCTGCATGACAAACTACCCCAGAACTCAGTGCTGTAAAACAACAACCATTTATCATGCTTACGGATTCTGTGGGTCAGGAATTTGGGCAGATCCCAACAGGGATGCCTTGTGTCCGTGATTGTATTTTCCAAAAATAACTGCAAGGGTACTTCCCATCCTTCATGTTCTTCTGCAATATGTCCTTGCTATGCCCCATCAAAAAGTGAGGCTGGCATTAGGAACTCAAAGGTGGAAGGGAAGCTGTGTATCTTTCAAAGCTTGGTCAGTATAGTCCATACCATTTGCATCCATTGGTTGAGGATCACTTGTTCTCTGAGTATTCCCTCTTGGGAGGCTCCATCTCAAAATCCTTTTGCTATTCCATGAGATGCCCAAGCCAGAGGCCTCATGTCCCAGCTCTACTTGGCAGTCACAGTTCACCTCCTACCTTTTATTCTTCTGACTCACACTCTTATTAGAGAGACAGTTATTAGAGAAAAGCTCTTTGGGCATAGTGCTGTTTCTTATCATTGAGGAGGTTTTGTAATCCTCCTAAGGATTTTTAATCCTCCTAAGGAGGAGATTTTGTAAAGAAGAAATGCTCTTTTAATGAAATAAAACAAGGGTTACTTTTGTTTTTTTTTTTTTTTTAGTCGAAGTCTCACTCTGTTGCCCAGGCTGGAGTGCAGTGGTGTGATCTTGGCTCACTGCAACCTCTGCCTCCTGGATTCAAGCAATTCTCCTGCCTCAGCCTCTTAAGTAGCTGTGACTACAGGTGCATGACACCATGCCTGGCTAATTTTTGTATTTTTAGTAGAGACAGGGTTTTACCATGTTGGCCAAGCTGGTCTCAAACTCCTGACCTCTGGTGACCTGCACGCATTGGCCTCCCAAAGTGCTGGGATTACAGATGTGAGCCACCGTGCCCAGCCTAAGCGTTTACTTTTTTGTCAGAAATAGGATCAGCATTATGTTAGTGAGAGGGATTTCTCACCTAGATCAATATGGAAGGTGTTGGAAGAGAAAATTAATCCTCAGAAAATGAAGTATGTTTCAAAATTATAGTTACCATAATAGAAACTCAGTTACACCTCAAGGAAGAGACCTCAACCTTCCACCAAGCCTGAACTTGTCCCTTGCTCTTCCATTGGACAAAGCTCATCCTCTTACCTCCAGGAGAGTCGATAGCACCAGATCAAGACACCAACACTCACAGCATCAAAACACTGGATAAAAGCAGATTCAAGAGGCCTAAGAAATAGTAAGTACCTGAAGGAAACTGTAAATCAAAAATACAATTCTAAGGCCCCCAACCAGCTGAATGGGCTTTTTTCTTAGCCAGGGCACTCTTAAAATTTAAACTGAGAGACTGGTTCAGTACATGACGGAAGGTGGGGTTGAACATGCCTCACTATACCTCTCCAGCAATAACATCCAGATGACATTTAAGTCTGATAAGAAGCATTGATAATCTATTCCTTCTGAAGCCTGTTACCTGAAGGTTTCATCTGCATAATGAGAACTTTGGTCTTCACCATACCTTATCTTAACCCAGACATTTCCTTTCTATTGATCCCAGGTCTTTAGATAAACTCAACCGTCAACCAGAAAAATTTTAATTCTACCCGTAAACTGGAAGCCCCATCCCCACTTTGAGTTGTCCCACCTCTCTGGACCAAACCAGTGTAAACGTTGGTGCAAAAGTAATTGTGGTTATAGGCAGTGAATTTTAAATCCTTACAATTGGCTCAAACACATCTTTACTAATCAAAATAGGAAACATTACAATCAACACATTTTTGCCAATGAGAAATAAGTTTGTTTATTCCTTACCATTGAGGAAGTTTTGTAATCCTCCTAAGGATTACGAAAATCAGGGCTTTGGGATTTAGTGAAGTCTTGGAAAGCATTTTCTGCAACCTGCTTGTTGTGGAAGCATTTTCCCTGCAAAATGTTGTCAAGATGCTTGAAGAAGTGGTGGTCAGTTGACAAGGAGTCAGGTGAATATGGCAGAAGAGCCAAAAGTTTGTAGTCCAGTTCGTTCAAATTTTGATGCATTGGTTGTGTGACATGCAGTCGGGCATTGTGGTGGAGAAGAATTGAGCCCTTTCTGATGACTAATGCCAGCTGCAGGTGTTGGCAGTTTTGGGTGCATCTCATTGATATGCTAAGCAGACTTCTCAGATGTAATGGCTTCCCCGGGATTGAGAAAGCTGTAGTGGATCAGATGGGCAAGAGGCCACCAATCAGTGACCAGGACCTTTTTTTGGTGCAAGTTTGGCTTTGGGAATTGCTTTGGTGCTTCTTCTACGTCCAACTACTGAGCTGGTTATCACCAGTTGTCATATAAAATCCGCTTTTGTCACACGTCACAATCCTGTCAAGAAATGATTCATTGTTGTTGTGTAGAATAAAAGAAGATGACCCTTCAAAACAGCGAGTTTTGGTTTTTTTTTTTTTTTTCAGTCAGCTCCTGAGGCACCCATTTATCAAGCTTTTTCACGTTTCCAATTTGCTTCCAATGCTGAACAACCATAAAATGATTGACACTGAGTTATCTGGCAACTTCTTGTACAGTTGTAAGAGGATCAGCTTCAATGATTGTGCTCAACTGGTCATTGTCAACTTCCAATGGCCGGCCACTATGCTCCTCATCTTCAAGTTTCTCATCTCCTTTGCAAAACTTCTTGAATCACCATTGCACTGTACATTTATTAGCACTGACTGGGCCAGATGCATTGTTGATGTTGCGAGTTGTCTCCACTGCTTTACAACCCGTTTTGAACTCAAATGAGAAAATGGCTTGAATTTGCTTTGCCTAACATCATTTCCACAGTGTAAAATAAACATAAAATAAACAGCAAGTAATAAGTCATTAGCAAAAAAAAAATCATAAAGTGAGAAATGCCCATTAAAATGATGTACAACATAACCACATTTATTTAAGAATGTATTCCAATATCAAATGGCAAATTCCAACAATGCAAAAACAGCAATTACTTTTGCACCAACCTAAATATTTCTGTTTTTTGTTTTTGTTTTTGTTTTTGTTTTGAGATGGAGTTTCATTCTTTTCATCCAGGCTGGAGTGCACTGACGCAATCTTGGCTCAATGCAACCTTCACCTCCCAGGTTCAAGCGATTCTCCTGCCTCAGCCTCCCAAGTAGCTGGGATTACAGGTGCCCACCACCACCCTAAATATTTCTTAAATGATTGAAGTCTCATATTTCCTTAAAATGTATAAAACCAAGCTGCACCCTGACCACCTTGGGCACATGTTCTCAGGATCTCCTAAGGGCTGCGTCACAGGCCATGGTAGTTCATATTAGGCTTATAATAAATCTCCTCAAATATTTTACAGAATTTGACTCTTCATCAACAAAACTGAGGTGAGATTATTTCAGCAAGAAAAGTTGGCAGAACCTAGGAAACAGGGGAGGGAGGGATGGAATAGAGAGGGAAAGTTTTTTACAGGAAAGAGCAATAGGAAGTGAGGAGGGACTGAGTCAGGGAAAGAAGGCAATGCACATGATCGATCACTTCTTAGGCCCAGGCAGTGAGGTGTAGTTTTTAGCAAATAAGATAAACCAGGGCACAGGACAATTCCTCAATCCCCAATATCTTCACCAATCCTCATCACCCACAGACTCTCTACAGCACGGGGAATATTCATTTTCCAAACAATGCATACAACTAATTTACCTTCAAGTTTCTTTACAAGAGTAAGTTACGTGAAACACCCTCTGAAGCAGCTATGGAACAAACTCCTCTCAAACAGACTTGGAGACTTGATCAGCACCTCCTAATTGACTAGCACATAGCTACAAGGAATTCACCACCAGATGATGATCTCCTGTAGAAGCAGCTGGGTGATCTGCACTGCCCTAGGCACTAGAGTAGAACTATAACCAAATAGGTTACCTATGTTAGAAAATTTCCATGGCATCTTGACAAAATTAAAGCTAAAAATGTCATTATAGCTACTTATTGGCTGTGTAAACAAAAAACGTGTAGGCACTGAAAACTGGGTAGAAGAGCACTGCTAAAATGTTTCTAAGTCACACACACACACACACACACACACACACACACTTTACTAACCAAACCCATGAGAGCTATTCTGTGTTTCTTCAAGTTGACTCTATATCCTTGATTTCATCTACTATGTGTCAATTTGTAGGTTAATTCCAATATGATTTTCAGGCCCAAATTTCCATTTCCATTTCCATATTGTTTTGTGGGAGTGGGAGTAGCGTGATTTCAAAGTCACATTTCCAAGTCAACTCTGTGTATATACAAGGAGGGAAGCAGTTAATTCTCTAATTGTGTGGGCAGTAAAAATAAGGACAAGGAAAATGGATCAAGCCGATAATGGAGGCAAGTCAGATGATAGATTAGGATAGGTGTTCAATCTGAAAACTTGTTAAAAAAATAGCAAGGCAAGGAGCTGAGTCATAAGCCTGAGAGGAAGACAAAAACAAAGAGAATTTGAAGACAGGGAAATACGTATGGTACTGCATGAGACCTAAAGAAACAAGTGTAAAAGATAAAGCCATAACAGGCTTATAATTCTTTCTTTGTCCAAGGCAGCAGGCACAATGAAACCAGCCTTGTTAATAGGCCTCCTGGGGGCCTGAGCTACCCCACATGGATACCTAGAATACCCCCTGATACAGCAAGTGGGTGCAGCTGCCAAGTGTTAGAAGTGTCTGATTTTTAGCTCTTTCATTGATATTTCCATCCTCTCTGTAAAAAGAAAAGCCAAGGCTCATCATGGGTATTTAAAAATAAATTGGGATGAATAGGATTTGGTCTCTAATGCACACTCAAACCACAAAGAGATACAGCAACTAATCTATGTGACTTGGTGAATAGTAAATGGCTTCTCTATCTCAGCCCTAAATTTCTCCAAGGTCTAGGGATAGTGGGACAGCACTAATTTACAAGTCTTCTGTAATGTATTAAAATATATACCATTATGTTTTAGGAAAAATATTTAAGGCTTTATTCAGCTATAAATACTAGTGTGGGATTTCATTAAGAAACATCGAAAATGATTTTTTGATTTGCTTTCTATGCCTTGATGGTTTCTAAAAGATAATCTATCTTAACAATGCATTTTCATGTTTTTATTTTTTAAATAACATCTATGAAGGAAAGTTGAGCTGAACCTTCAAGTTACAAGAAATAATGTGTCTTTTATGATCCCAATAACTTTTTTGACATTGGTCATTATTGATTATACTAAGTTATTACTAATTATACTAAGCATTCTTTTCTTTATAATACAGATTTTTAAATGCAACCATATATTATAAATTCAATTCATTTTATACATCCCATGTTGAGTTGTGTATTATTTTTATTAAATAGTTTGCATGTTTAATCTTTCTCATTTTGAGCTATTCTCCCATTTTATCTGACTTTTTAATGACAATGTTAAAATTCTATTGTTTAGTTATCAGTTCTGTATCTTAAAGTGATAGGTACATTTTATTTTCTGTAGAAAATAGAAACTGGAAAGTAGAAAATAGCAGAAAATAGAAAGAGTAGAAACAAGTAGAAAATAGAATATAGAAATTGCATGTGTGTGTAGGGATACAATCATAACAGGGTTAAATGAAGAAGCTCTTTATAACTGGATCTTGTAAGATTGACAGCAATTTTACAGGTAGTGATTGGAAGAAGAGGAGCCTTTTAGCCAAAGAGAGGGGCCGGGGGCAATGACTGTGATAGCAGTATTTAAACTGTGTTAGGTGGGGGACTTAAGGGAGGAGGTTATTATCGTTCTATATGTCGGAAATGATCAAAGCCCAAAAAAGGTAAGTGCAAGTAGAAAGAGATAGAAGGGTACAGATATTACAAAAGCAGAATATTTCTAGCTTCAAGGAAAAAATATAGGAGAAGAAGTACATTTTGTTAGTGGAATAGGTCTACAAATCATATTGCTTTCAATATCTACTTTATGACTTCCAAATCAGTAGTCTTAATCTAGACATTTTTCTTGGTCTTGGAAACGATTAGACACTTTCACCTAAATATTTCACAAGTATTTCAGATTAAATATTATCAAAGTTTAACTCCATCATTCTTTTTTTCTTTTCACCTCAATCCTGCTTCTCTGTTTTTTTTTGTGTGTGTGTGTGTGACTAAAGCTCTACTACCCTTTCTGCTTTTGAACCCAAAATCCTGACTATAACCCTTCATTTCTCCAGGCTTTGCTTAGAGCAGCCTGCTCAATCTCTCTCAGCCCTCTACCCTCTACTCTACTCCTCCTATTGGGGTGTCCAAGGGAGAGAATACAGTCATGGGTTCTTAGTTTCTGTTTCTGGTTGGACCAGTAAAGCCCCTTCCTCATCCCTCTTTTCTGCTTATCACTAAATAAAGAAACTAAAACCCATGGTGTCAGGCTGCTAAAAGCCTAAAACAAAACAGAACAGCAATAGCAACAACAAAACAAGTGTGTATTATTGTCTTATTTCAGGCATCATCATTGCTCACCTGAACTTACTCTTTACCTCCAGGTTCACATTTCCCTCTACTGCTTCTGGAAGATTTGGAATTGCAAGTTGTATCAAGAATCTCGCTTATTAAAGATCCACTAATAGGTCCTCACTGCCTTTGATGTAAAGTCAAAGCTTTACCCTACTCAAGAGTCTTCTTAATATGGTATCTTTTTTATCACCACAATATATGCACTGTATGTTATCCATCCAAAAAATAAATGCGGGTCAGAAAATGCCAGACCTTTTGATAAGACTGAAGTGGCAGACAGAAGATCAATGGTTGCCAGGGACCAAAGGTTGGGGGATCAGGGAACTTTTGTTTGTTTGTTTGTTTGTCTGCTTTCTGAGACGGAGTCTCTCTTTGTTGCCCAGGCTGGAGTGCAGTGGCACGATCTCAGCTCACTGCTACCTTCGCCTCCTGGGTTCAGGTGATTCTCCTGCCTCAGCCTCCCAAGTAGCTGGCATTACAAGCATGCACCATCACGCCTGGCTAATTTTTGTACTTTTTAGTAGAGATTGGGTTTCACCATCTTGGCCAGGCTGGTCTTGAACTCTTGACGTCGAGTGATCCTCCCGCCTCAGCCTCCCAAAGTGCTGGGATTACAGACGTGAGCCACAGTGCCAGGCCACTTTTTTTTTTTGAGACAGTCTCACTCCTCCTACCACAGCCTCCCCAACAGCTGAGAGCACAGACATGCAACAATGTGACTGGCTAATTATTTTTATTTTTTGCAAAGATGGAGGCTTGCTATGTTGCTAAGGCTGGTCTTGAATCCTGGGCTCAAACAATCCTCTAGCCTTGGCGTCCCAAAGTGCTGGGATTACTGGCGTGAGTTACTGGGCCCAGGCCATGAGTGAACTTTTTGAGGTGATGGCTAAGTTCATTCATGGTTTTTTTAGAGGTTCCATGACTATAAGTTTATAAAACTTATCGAAGTGTACACTTAATTTATTAAATTGTATTGCATGTGTTATACTTTAAAAATGATAACATCAATACAGTGTATAACTGAAACTCAAAGTAAGTTTGAAGAAAAGTATATTTTTAAAATATGCATTGCTATATGTAAATTCTTAAAAACATCTCTATCAAAAGACACAAATACCTCCAAAAATATTCAAAATTGTCCCTGAAGGGCAGTGTAACACCTCTGAAGTCTACTAGAATAAATCATTTAGTACTTTGCAGTATAGGTGAATTTGAGGAGAATATGCCTACATTTTGAAAGTAAATGAGGAGGTGGGAAAGGGAAATGATAATAGTTTGAACTCCATGTGGAAGAAAATCAAGGCACCCCAGCAAACAGCAGACACCAAAGACAGACATGCCATAGAGCCCTTCTTGAATTTTCCAGCTCAAACAACGCTCCCACTGAATGCAGCCACATGAGGGAGTCCAAGAGAAGCCAGCAGGGGAGCCAGCAGGCCATCTGTAGAATTGTGAAAAAAATAAATAGCAGTTCTCAGCAGTGAGAATCTTGGATGGTTTATTACATAGACATGGAAGACTGAAATACCCTAAATCAGGATTAGGGGCTGATTTAAAAATGTATAACATTTCATTTCAAAAATCTAAAACTTGTAACATTGGGGTTGGGACTGGTTAGGAATGGAGACAACAGAATAGCAACGAGATCGTGAGTGGAGGCTGGAAGGGCAGAGAGAAAACTGCCACTGGAGGCCAAAGAAAGGGAGACGATGTCATGTAGAAGGAAAAACAAAGTGGTAAAATGTCATCAGTGGTAAATAAAAATAGAGAATGTATGTAAGAAACTTGTGTATTTGGTTTAGGGGAATTTTAGGCAGACTGTTCATAGCATCAGCTATTTTTATTTTCTTTTAGACGTATACATTATGAGGTATGGAAAAAGAGTGATGAACAAATGAAGGAAGTGTTCATTTGTCAGGCAGAATTTGCAAATATAGGAATTCTAAGTCCAAAGCAAAATTGTGAGAAATAATAAATTGTTGTCTTAAGCCATGGTGTTCTGGGGTATTACAGGGAACAAAAGAATTGCCACAGCATTTATCATTAGATACAACACCAGAAGCCAAAATGCACTTGTTCTTAAATAAAATAATTTCTTCAAGTTAAGTTGAAGATAACTTGAGTAAAGTTTTGTTGTGTTATTTACATTAGTTTGAGCTATATGAATTTGCATATTATCAACCATTTTGTCTTACAAAAATGGTACTTTGATATGGTTCAACTTCATAGGTTTTCCTTACTTTCTCCAGTAAGCTACATCATGTTAATATACTCCTCTCTTTCCTTCCTTTCTTCATTTAACAAATATTTATTCAGTATTTTTAATGGAAAGTACTGTGATAACATAAAAATTCATTAGGCTCAAAAATTTTCACAGCATATTTATAATACAGTAAAATAAAATAATTATAGTATATTTATAACATACTTTATAGTATACAAAGCATTTCTTATTATTTTTTCCATTGTTATCTATACATTGTCATTCTGCAGTAGAGGGGCATAACAATGCATAATACTTCACAGCACTTATGACCTAAGTATATTGGAAAAGTTGCATAATTTACTAAACTCAATTTTCTCATCTGAAATTTACACTTCCCCTATATAAAAATGGAAATGAGAGTGACACTTCCTCTTCTAGCTGTTTTAAGGATTAATGAAAATAATGCATGTAAAGAATTTATAATGCTCAGTTCACTCACAGTAAGCTCCCAAAATGTTAGATCAAAACTTCTGCCCAGTAGTATTATTAAATTAGTATTATTACCTCACTCTTCTAACCATTTCACTGACAAGGAAAACAAGATTGGGTGAGTGTAATTGAAATTTTCATAGTAGCAGATCCAAGTTAAAAATCTATGCCTTTCTTTTGAATACCAGCCCAGTCTTTCCCTAGATCTTGAGACCCACCCTGGCCTTTTGACACCTTTAGTTAACTATTGTACTTAGATGTATTATATGTAGTAGAAATTCTTTAATTTGCCTGTATGTGTCTGAAACCTCCAATATTTGCCTCCCTCATCCTAAAATACATTGAGCTTGAGAAAACCTGACAAAGTTTGTCTTTGATGGACATTTAAACAAAATCTGTGTCTTATGATAGGAACAATAATGGATTAATTCAAATTTTACAGTTTTTTTTTAACCACTGTTTTAGCAGAAAACTTGAATAATGAATTTAGACAACATTTCTTTTCATAGCCAATTTTATATGTGAATTCATTGTCACATAGTATCTGGCTTCTGGCATGTGCAATACATATTTGTAAAGAACTATTTGATGTTATTAGATTATATTGATATTATCGTGTGCCTGCACTTAAATAAGTTGAGACTAATTTAATCTCATCACACATCGCAGGTCAGATTTTATTAAGATTATTCCCATAAAACATTTAAAAATAAAAGCTTAGTGCAGATTTCCTGAGATAAATGTGATATTTTAACATATCAAGACTGTGATGGTCAATTTTATGTTCCAACTTGATGAGGTTAAGGGATGCCCAGATAAACATTCTTTCTGAGTGTGTCTCTCAGAGTGTTTCTAGAAGAGATAGGTGATTGAGTCAGTAGACTGAGTAAAGAAGATTCACCGTCACCACTGTGGGGTTGGCATCATCCAATCTGCTGAAAACCTGAATAAAACAAAAAGGCAGAGAAAAGTTGAATTTGCTCTCTCTGCTTGTGCTGGGACATCCATCTTCTTCTGGCTTGGGACATCTGATGCTCCTTATTTTTGGACTTCGGAACTTACACCAGCTTGTCAGCCTTAGTCCTTGGGTGTTATATCATCAGCTTCCCTGGTTCTTAGGCATTCATCTTTCATCTAAATTACACTACCAACTTTTCTGCCTCTCCTTCTTGCAGATGGCATATCTAACTATTGTGGGGCTTCTTGGCCTCCATAATTGTATCAGCCAATTCTCATAATAAACCTCCTCATATATATCTCTCTATATACTCTATTGGTTCTATTTATTTGTAAAACTCGAATCCACATAAATTCCATGGTGCCTTTAGACTAATATTAAGTCGAAAGATTTTAGAGTCTATAGTCTAAAGACTAAAGTCTAAAGTCTAATGACTTTATATTTGTCTAAAGGCACCATGAAATTTATGTGTATATTTTTAAAATTTTGTTACAATGCCCTGAAAGTTTGCTAGAAACATATGCTGATATTCTATCACAAATAGAAATTTTGCAATGTTTTGACATAGTTCCACTCCCAAAGCATAAAAACAGGAGAGAAGATACTGTTACACTCTATGGTCTTCTTTGCTGTTTTCTCTCTTTGCAGCTCTATCCGAATCCAATCTATCCTGAGCAATAGTTTAGTCTTCCTACAGGCTGGGTTAATTATTTTTAAATATTCTTCTACCCTAGATCTTGGTAGATTATCTGACAATACTATTTTTACCACTTTCTTACTCCAAAATGTTCTAATGGCTTCCTAATTTTCATTGCTTTAAACCAAATTTATTCTCACTGACTTGCAAAGCCTCCCATTGTGTATTCTACTCTTACCTAATCAGTCTTACTTTTCACTCCTCCAAATTGTATCATATGTTTGGATATTACCAGTGCACTACTGTTGTGTAAATGGTTTACTATTTCTGTCTTAGTCTTTGATGATGATGCCTTCACTCATGTTGTCTTCCCCTTTAAATTCCTTCTACTAAGAGGCACACTCCAAATAGTGCTCTATGTTCTCCATCCCCTTACTGACCATTGTCTCATTAATTATTATTTAATGCTTCCTAGGAAAGTGACTTCATACTTACTCCACCCTGTACATTTTCTTCAGTAGGAGAAATGGTAATAAGGAATGCAATATGTGCTCGTGAACAAGGGTCATTGCAAATGCAGCCTTCGTTCATTATAACTGGGAATTCATCTATTTAACCCAAATGTAGTCTGTATATTTTAGGGGTTTGTCCACTGGGGCTGATACTTTGCTTTTTAAAAAATTTGTTTTCAAATCTCTGATTCTTTTTTATTTATGTATCTTGTTTTTTCTCATAAAACATTAAACCCGTTTAATATTTTTATCAACTATTACCGATTCCATAATTATCCAGTTAGTACCATACATATTTTATTCCTGTCATTTGTCATTTGATAAGTATTGCCTTCTATTCCTGAAAATAATTTGAGGGTATTTATTTTTTCTTCTAAATCATAACGTAAGGTACTTCAAGTCGAAGACTTTAGCTCATACTTCAAAGCTTAATAAATGCATAAATATTCAGGCTTGATTTAACTGCTATACCAATTTATAATTAGTTGTCCAGTTGTGAATTTTGACAACAATGTGCTATTTTATTTGCCACTTTTTATATTATTCGCTGCTCTAGAGTCTAAGAATCTTGAAGATCAGTATAATTTCTTAAAATTTTCCTGTATTGCCTTCCAGACTAGCTTTACGCTCATATTTGATACTTAAAACAAATTCTTAGTAGTTGATTCATTGACTGAATTAGAAATGAGTTATCTGACTGCAAATGAAATCCTAAGATAAATATTCAATGAAGCATGGTGCCAGTGTATCTAAATTTAATTTTTGATTTGTTAACTTGACATAAACCTTTGTGGATATGGATGATTAATGCTTTCATTTCTAAAATAATATAAATTTGTATTAATTGGCTTGAGTCTAAGAACATTAATTTAAGCATAATATGTTATTTGAATACAGCTGCTCGCCCACATGTGGCCATCCCCAGGATCACAACTGGCTTGGGTGAAATCCACATACAGAGTCTTACTTTTATTTTGTTGTTGTTGTTTTGATTTGAAACATAGAGTCTTGCTCTGTCACCCAAGCTGGAGCGCAGTGATGTCATCATATCTCACTGCAGCATCTACTTCCTGGGCTCAAGCAATCTTCCACTTCAGCCTCCTGAGTAGCCTCAACCACATGCATGCACCACCACGTCTGACTAAATTTTTGTTTTGTTTTTTGTAGAGATGAGATCTCACTATATTTCCCAGGCTGGTCTTGAACTTCTGGGTTCAAGTGATCCTCCTGTCTCAGCCTCCCAAAATGCTGGGATTACAGGTGTGAGCCACTGTGCCTAGCCAGAGTATTACTCTTCTTATCTCACTTTTGGGAAATCTATTCCTTACTATCTTTATTCCTCTCAAATATGCTACCTTGTCTCCATCTCTTTCATATGACTTTGACTATGCTTCAAATTTTACAAAAACAAGAGAGCTTATCAGTTATCAACTCTCTAAGGTTAGACATGTTTACCTATAATGTTATCTAATATGTATTGAAGTCAGAGATAGTGATATTCAGGCTTATATCAAAAAATTATTCTTTTATCTTTGATTTGGCTCTTATCCTCTTTCCAAATACTCAGTATCTTTATTTCATCAAATATTCTCTAGTATCTTCCTCTACATTTGTTTCTTTCTCTCTGCATAGAAATATGTTGAAAATGCTTCCATTCACAAAATATGTTATTTTGGTTTTAAATCTCTTCTACATGCCCTATCATTTTTCCCCTAACATTTTGGGAAATAGTAGCTTACACTATAAGTACTGAATTTGGTATATCCTGTTCCATCAATGATTTATTTATTTTAAGCTAAATTTTTACCTTACCAGGTCACTGAAAATATTTTAATTAAATTTTTAGTATGATAATCCAATGAGCATCTTTTAGACTTCAGTTTTCTTTATTTCATGGCAACATTTGTCACTACTGACCAGTGTTTCCTTCTTCAAACATATTTTTCTCCCGTGGTTTCTGGGATAATTTTCATTTTCCATTTACATTATACACCTCTGGCCATTTCTCAGTCTGCTCTGTGAATTCCTCTTTGCTATGCATTTTCATATCAACATTCTGCAGGAATCTACATTTTAAATCCTTCTTATCACACTGTATTCTTCTTATGAATTGATCTACATTCAAGGAGCAACTATGATCTATATTTATAATAGATAAACACATTTTATCTCACTTGAAAACATTAATTGATTGGTAGATTTTCTTTATTTACCTTAAAAATCAATCCATGGTTAAACTTGTTTATACAATCTGTAAATATTTGTTCTCTATATACATCCTCACTAGTGTCTATTGAAGCAGTTGGGAGTTCACTGTAACTTGTTTGAAAATTTTTAATAGTCTTTTCATCATAATCTGCACTTCTCTACTCTCATCTTCCTTCAGTCATGCCCTGCTCTGCCCTAGTGTGATGCCTTTTTTTTTTTTTTTTTTTTTTTTGAGGAGTCTCACTCTGTTGCCCACGCTGGAGTGCAGTGGCACGACCTTGGGTCACTGCAAGCTCTGGCTCCCGGGTTCACACCATTCTCCTGCCTCAGCCTCCCAAGTAGCTAGGACTACAGGTGCCCGCCACCACGCCAGGCTAATTTTTTGTATGTTTAGTAGAGACAGGGTTTCACTGTGTTAGCCAGGATGGTCTCGATCTCCTGACCTCGTGATCCGACCGCCTCAGCCTCCCAAAGGTGTGATGCTTCTTACATGCAAACATGACTTTGTTCTCGCCTTCTCAGAACTATTCATTTGTACCACATTGCGTTCAAAAAGAAATCTTTATTGATATGTATGGTATTGAAAGCTCTTTAAATTCTGATTGTATTGTTTCACCATCTCAATCCTGTATAGTTTTCTGACTTCATGCATTATACTGTGTAGATCCCATTTACACTTTGCTCTTGTATGCTTCTTTGCTTTTGCTGAAATGCTCTCTCTTCTTTTTGGTGAAGCTGTTCCTGTGAGTCCCTAACCATTCCTTTTCTTATATTTCCCTGCTCTTTATTCTTAGCCCTTAAAATCGTCAAAATATTAAAATGTTATAAGGTTATAATATATTGTATGTTCATATGCTTTTATCTCTTATAAAATGAATTCTTTCAGTTCAAGTCTTATCTCTTTTAATCTGTAAGTATGAAATAATACTGTGAATGACATTGCATATAGTGACAGTTTTAATTAACAAATATTAAAAGTACAATTGTTGTTATTTAGAATGGCCTCTATATTATATTAGTTCTAAAAATGAATTCATATAAAATGCTGAAAATGTTTAAAAGCAACATATTAGAAGAAATAAGCCTTAGCTGAGAAACAGGGGCCCAGGACTAGTTGTGTCTTGCCCTACTAATTTACAGTGCAACTTCTGGAAAATTATTTATTCTTTTTCAGCCTTAGTTCCCGCCTCTGAAAAATGGTGAGCATGTACTGAATGGCCAAGAAGAATTGTGTATTTAAATGGCAGCAAAGTTTCACATAATTAATATTTTTAAAATGGTCACTTTAAAGAAGCATAAAATATATTTTCAACAGTTGAACAGGTTCATGTCTTCTAATATTTTTTATTCAGGATTATGGATTTTTTAATGAAAGAAGAATAACCTCTTTTTGGTTGTGCATCTTGTTCTACCTAGCCTGATTTTTTAATAGAAATATGAAGGCATGAGATAACAGACCCTTTGGATGACATATATTCCATTTTAGAAGAAAGAAAATGTTCAGGGCTGCCTGTATTTTTTTGGCTGTGCAAAGGTCAAAATATTAAGAATTATCTTTAATATTTTTCTAGCCTGATAATCATCTTTTTTCATATGTCATGCAATTGTCCACCCATGACGTTTTATAACCCAGCCAAGTTAGCCTGATAAAAGCCCTTACATTCTATTACTCATCTAGATTCCATTTGATTACCTCTTTGTATATTGTGTGTTCCTCATATTTCAACAAATGTGAATCATGACTCTAATGATATAATAAAAAAGATGACAGAATGACAAAAGACTTATAGACTGAGTGCATTGGATTTAAGTTATAACTGTTTTATCACTCATTTTTATTAAAATATTTTTCTAACAGTCACTGGAATAAATCTTGTTATATACATATACTCAATCTAATATCAGATAAAAAAGCATAGTATTTAAAAAGTGCTAATAAATAATACAATTATTTAGTACGTTTTGCCAGAAGTATATAAAACTATCCATCAGATATGATGCATCCTTCTACCTGGCTTTGCCCTCTCTCACCCATCAGTTTGCCTACTTTGAGGAATAATCAAGGTAAATATTTACCTCAATTAAAATAGCAAATGCTATAAAATAATACTGATAGAAAAGAATAATATACAGAAAGTAAATGGGATAGGGGGTTTAACTGGCTATGACCAGGTACTATCAAGAATTATATTAAGGATTCTTATGTGATTGGTCTAGACCAGTTTCTGCATATGGATGTGCCCATTCTCCTCTAAAAAGTTATAGTCCAAATGGCAATCATGAGATAGACAAATAGAAAAAGAACAAAAATATATTAGGAAGCATCTAATGGACACATATTCGTGCCATTCATATTATAATTATGTCATATCTTTCAGGAGCAAGGAGAAATATGTCAATGAGGTGAGAATGGGGAAAACAACAATGATATTCTCATATCCAAATAGGAGAACATATCAAGTCTTCCCAGATAACTTCAGAAAGCATTCATGGAAGAAATAATATATAGGAAATGTTTAACTATAGAGAAGAAAATTATCTAGAACACACTTACAGAATAGAAATTTATAGAATTACTCATTGACTGAAATGAGTGAAATAGAAAGATTTCATGATTATGATATTTTTTCGTAAAGCACTTTGATATTTCTTCTTTTAAAAATCAAGTTCTTAAAACATGAGTATAATTATTTAGGAGGTTGAATAGTCTTCTTGGGAAGACTCTTGAGTCACAACAGAGACACGGCAAGAGTAGGAATTGATGGGTGGTCCAGAGAAGATGAAGAGCATGTTCTGCCCCAGGGTTAGTATTCAAGATTACAGCATTTGCATACCCAGTGCCTATCACAGTGCCTGCTCACTGTTGACTGTTAATTTAAAAATTATTATAGACTATGTGAAGACTAAATAGCTCCAACATTATATGGATTCTGAGTAATCATGCAGGACTCTGGAAAACAGATTGTAAAAAGTGTAATTTACAAATCTTTTATTCTGCACTGAATCAGTACTGGTGTTAGTCAACTGAATGTATTTGGGTGAGAGTAGAAGAAATATATATAGATACTAATGATCGCTGCTTTCCAGAAGCAACCACTTTCATTGCTTTTGTCTTTTATGGTATTCACCATTATTTCTCAATAACTTGCTTTTCCTTAAATTGCTTTATTTCTTAGTGTTAATGATTAGATAATGACAATTTTCACTATGGAAGGTCAGAATTTTGGTTTATAATAAATATATTGTATTATAAACTTATTAGATCTATTTTCAACGATTACATTTCATTGATGTATTACTGATGAGTTATGTAGTGCTATATACATTTTATTTCTTGGGGTAAATAATTACTCATTTTTTGTTTGAATTTTTTAATCTTCCAAAAATATACATTTCCATGCAGTATTTTCAAATTGATGAGATAATCTATAAAGCTTTCTTTCTCCTCTCTCTCTCTCCTTTTCTTTCTTGGCAGTATCTCTCCTGGTGTATGTTTTGCTTTTTCATGAGTACTCTCTAGGCCTGCTGCTCAGTTGCTGTTCTGCAATCTGTCTTCACCATCATCCTATAAAATCCTTTAAGCCATTTTTCTGTCTTGGATACCCTGTTTTCTGATTCCCACAACTCCTTCTTTCTTGACATATTCTCTCATTTTGGTAGTACACATTTTTTCAATGTTTTTTGTGCATGAGTGAGTGGTTGTGAAATTTGTGGGTTTTTATGTCTGAGAATGTCTTGGCAGTTTTGATTATTTGTCTAGATATGGAGTTCTCCATAGACGGTCACTTCCATTAAATCTTCAGGCATTACTTCATGGTCCTCAAGCTTTCATTGTGGCTGTTTAAAATAATCGATTATATTCTGATGTCTGATCTTCTCTTTATAATATTTTATTTTTAATCTCCCATCTCTGGAAGTATTTAGGATCTCCCCTTAGGCACAAGTGGTCTGACATTTTACAATAACTAGCTTTGGTACAAATCTTTTTCATCCATTTTACTGGACAGTAGGTGGACACTTTCAGTATGGAAACTCATGTGCTTTAGCTTTAATTTTGGAGAGCATAAGTGAATTTTTAAAATATTCTTTGGCTTCATTTCCTCTGTTCTTTATTCCTCATAGATTCATTATTTGGTATTGAGTTTTCTAGATAGTCTTTTAATTTTCTTCTTTTGTCTCTCACTACATCTTTGTATTTATATGTTGTCTTTCTGAAAGATTGTCTTCATTTTGTCCTCAACTGAGGTATTCATTACTACAATTGAGTTTTAAAGACATAGGTTTGTTCTCTGAATAATATTTTTAAAGATTTCTTTTTCTTTCATGGATCCAAAAGTTTTGTTTTTTTTTTCTGTTCCCAGCATTGCCTTTATTTTAAATCTTTTCTGTCATCTTCACTGTTTTTTTGTTTGTTTGTTTGTTCTGTCCTCATTCATATGAGGAGCCAATCCTTGACTCTCATTTTATTTATAAAAAATGAGACCTTAAGAATTGACTGGATGTGCCTACCGTTAGCATGTAGAGTGGATTCTTGTGCTCCAGAATAGGATGAAGTGGCTTGGCAACTGTTGGGGGAGGGCCCCACCTATCAGTTGCAGTAGGTTTTTTTCTTTGGCTACTCAGTTTTCCCAGAAAAGATATAACAATTTCCTACCTGGTACAGAGGGGAGTGAGAAAGTCTGTCTATTAACTTTCTTAACTCCAAATAGAGAGAGAAAGCTGAGGTTTTTGCCAGTTAGTACATATATGCATATTCATAAATTAGCAAATACATCAAGTTAAAATAAATCCCATGTTATTATGCAGGTTTTTATGATTTACTTCTTTACTTGATGTCTTGTTAAAATACCCAACCAATTGATGGTATGAATCACAAGGATAAAAGTAATGCTAGAAAAAATATGAATATGTTTTTAACTGATTAGACCTATCTGTAGGTGACCTCAGTTACTCTTATAGAACAATTGCTTCATTAGAAGAGCATAGTTTTTAATATATTACTTGTCAACTTTGAATGATGCTAGTAGTGATCTCTAAATAAATTTACTATGCTCCCTACTATACCAGTGTGTGCATGTTTGTATGGATGTTTATGTTATGTATGTGTGTGTGTATGGATGTGTTAATTATAGAACATTATAAAATATACAAATAAATTAGAAAAGATGGATGTATTAGGTAGCGTCCTTGTAGAGAAGTGATGATTTTGAAACTTTGAACACAATGAAGGGACTATTTACAGAGCTGTAGATAGGGTTGAGGGAATCAGCAAAGATTGTTGATAGACTAGCAACATCAGAAAATGGTATCACTTGTAGCCCTGAAGGGGCCAGGGGATGAACTAGTAATACTAGAGCCAGGAGGAAGCACAAGTCTTGGAAGGGGAGCTGCCCAACACCAGCTGTAACTGTGGAGAAAAACAGCTATTTCCATGATTCTGGTGCCCAAGCAAAGAGAAAATAGGAATCAGAAAATAGTCACCTTAACTTCCACTTTCATTATCTAATTTCTACCTGGTTCTCTTCATTGGCCAAATCCAACCAAAATCAAAAGTGCAAGGAACCCAAGTCACTGTTCCTAGAGTACAGCCTCTCTATGGCACAGAGCAGGGAACGGGGTAAAGAATGGATCTTGAGGAACAGAGTATGACCAATTTAATAGGATTTTAAAAATTATAAACAAATATGTCACGGTATTTCTCCACAGATTAGGAAGGACTGATTGCCATGAGCATCCTATGTTGGTGAACATGTAGGATCTTGTTTTTAGACTCTAAGAAGTAGAGCTGGATATGGAAGTGAGCAAAGGTTCTAAAAGGAAATCCCATTCCAATCCAAATTTTTCTTAATAAATACTTGTAACATTTTAGTGTGTTTATGAATCATCAAGGATTGGACTAAATTGCAGATTCTGATTCAATGAATCTGTAGTGGTGCTGGAGATTCTGTATCTCAAGCCATCTTCCAGATGATGCTAGTATTTCTGGTCAGAAGCCTACACTTGAATAGCAACTTTCTCTTTTTTTTTTTTTTGAGATCTGTAGCCCAGGCTGGAGTGCAGTGGCACAATCTCGACGAATTGAAATCTCTGCCTCCCAGGTTCAAGTGATTCTCTGGTTTCAGCCTCCCAATTAGCTGGGATTACAGGCGTGTGCCACCATTCCTGGCCCAATTTTGTAGTTTAGTAGAGATAGGGCTTCACCATGTTGGCCAGACTGGTCTTGAACTCATGGCTTCCAGTAATCTGCCCATCTCAGCCTCCCAAAGTGCTGGGATTACATACGTGAGCCACCACACAGGGACGCTTCTTTCAACAGGACTAAGCATACAGGCAATTAATTACCTGCTTTTTCTGTTGCTCTCAAGATTCTTTAGCTTTCCAGGGGGTGGAGGAAAAAAAGCCTTAAGCCTAGAAAGTCTGCAAGTTTCCCTGTGAAATGAAAAGTTTAACCAGATAATCTCCAACAGTATCTAACAATTAAAAATAGAATTCCGTGAAACACATAGACTTTTTTTGTATTTCATGATTTAAAACACAAATTACTAACTTTCCCATATTGTGTGTGTTTTTTTTAATAACAGAAGACACAAATGAATTATTTGGGACATAATATACATAAAATAGAGATCAGTTAATAAGTTAACTAGGAATAGAACAATTTAATTAAATAATTTGAAAGAAAGGCTTTATAGCTACAAATGAATACAACATGGTAGGTGGAAAAATATGTTATTTTCTTGTCATATGTCATATGTTTGTCATATTCAGATCGTGTATAATTAATAATTTCATTGCTCTTTTGCAGGTTAATACACATTTTAGGAAAATGAAGTCATACATAAAGTATATAAATAGGAAAAAAACTGGTTTTCCTAAAAAATTATTTACATAGAAACAGCAGCACGACCATAATTATGGTTATTTTTATGATTAAAGCACTAATGAGTTTTCATTTGTTCCCTAGATTCCAAATCTATTCCTAGATCAATTCACTTATCACACTTGTCATTGAAAATAAAATATCTATCTGGCACTGCTTTGGGAAGATTAAGAAATTGTTTATTTCATTAAATGCAAAGTTGAAGTATCTAGCCCATTATAAAAATATTTACAATTTTTAAAATGTGTGTCATTCAATATAAATTGATGCTTAGGAAAATTTCCATAGTCACTCTTAGTGCTATTTTGGATTATTGACTACAGTAGAAACAGACCAGTTAAAAAACAAAACAAAATAAAACAAAACAAACAAAAGGAAAAACTTGTTAAGTAAGCTACTTTAGGGTTGAGTAGCTTATCTACTTATTTTATTCACAAGATCAACCCAAGGAGATCTCATTATATTCATGATTTATTCAATTTTTTCTTCCAGAATGTTATCTGTGGTATCAATTTTGAAAAAAATTCAAAATGTGCATTCATTATATTATTCTATATAGATCCGTACATGAGTAAATCGATAACTTTCTTGTTTACTGATACTTACCTTGCTCTTCTAACACTGTAAGCCTTCAGAGTACTAGAATAGCACAAAGTATACACACATGTCTGTCTGCTGAGATATCTTTGGATATTTTACTGACATCCTGCATGATCTCATGAAGGATTTAGAGAACATAAAGACTTATGATTCGGAAGCTGTTCATCCATTTTACTTTTCATATGTGTTTGTTTTTTTCCATTTTTTTCTTTTGTTCCATAACCATAAGAATTCACATTTTATACCATATGACAAAAACTTTTTAAGCAAAAATGAACAGTGCATCTGCCAATGTGATTTTTGTTCTCAGCTTTCTCTTATAAACAAACACTATCTGTTGGGGCTTTTATTATTATTATTATTATTATTATTGTTATTGTTATTATTTTTGAGACGGAGTCTTGCTCTGTCGCCCAGGTTGGAGTGCAGTGGCACAATCTCGGCTCACTGCAAGCTCCGCCTCCTGGGTTCAAGCGATTCCCCTGACTCAGCCTCCTGAGTAGCTGTGACTACAGGTACGTGCCCCCATGCCTGGCTAATTTTTTGTATTTTAGTAGAGACAGGGTTTCACCATGTTGGCCAAGATGGTCTCGATCTGACCTCGTGATCCATCTGCCTTGGCCTCCCAAGCTTTTATGAATTTTTAAAGGCTACAATATTTGCCTCTGACCATATGATGTTTACTGTTGAATTATGCCTTTTCTCTCCATATTTCACCAAAGATTTCACCTGTGTCTTCCCCATGTACTTCATCAATAGAAAACCAGAATAATATATGTATATAGATTCTACTCATGAATTAAGGGAAATGTAAAAATTAGGCCAAATGAAAGTGCAGGTTATCAAGGGTGACCCTTTTATTGAAAAGTAAATTCAAGGTGATTAAAATAAAATCCTACCACATTTTCTGGACAAAGAAATAATAGACACCTTTAATTTTAGCAGCATTCAGAAGAACACTTTTAATTCTCATCAAAGTCCCTACCCTTTTCTCCCCAACACTTTGCACCTTAGAATTCTCATTTATAAACTTAAGAGAATTAAAGGAGAAGCTAAGATCCTTCCTTTACTTAAATGTATGTAACTATAAATTTTTATATATCTTTAAATTTATGCTTGTCTTAGTTGTCAGTTAAAAATAAAACATTAACATACTAAAAAAAGACATTTAAAAACAATTATACTTACATCTAACCTGCTGTTTTTAATCATCTCTTTCCTCACTCACATATCCCCTGATTTACAATTTTACTTAATTTCTTTTTTTAGCACCATTTTATTTATGTTTTGCAAGAATATGTATATATGAAGCTTAAAAATGCAGGTGTAAATTAATCTACTTAAGCATAATTTGGAATTTCTCATTATGGTGTTTCAAATCACTGTCAATTGGCATGGAAAAGAGTCTGCATTTCAGAATATCATTTTGCTCTTAGCAATAAAGGAAAGGCACATACTATCGACTCTTAACTTGAATAAAATTTCCCTCAACAAAATTGAAACTTAAAATGATGTGTTGTCTTTCTTATCTGACTTTTACAGATAAAGAAAACATGGCTAACAGAAGTGACTTGCCCAAAGTTACAGAGTTTTCTATTAGTAATTTCTAGACTAGGACTCAAGTATCTCGATTCACTATATGGCAGGGTTATGATTATACAACACATCTACTTAATTTTAGAATGCCAACTGCAGGCATACGGTACGAATACATATACAAGAAATTTATGACAAAAATATAACCAATGAATTTTGAACATCTATCTCGATCTAGTGTGTGAAAAAAATTACTTTTTAAATTGTAGGGGTAACAACACTTAATGCATGCTGGTCTTAAATACTTAGTGAAAATATTATCTAATTCTTTTACTTCTAGCTCCTTGACTAAATATGCGAATATCCTAGCTACAAACTGACATCTGTAATTTGATTGGAATGACCGAATATAGAATGTGGTCAGAATTTGGATATATCAGATGCTTTGGGTGACCTGACCAGATTCCTGTTATTTGGCCGTTGCACCCATTCTACAGCTGTTGCAACTCCAGCCTTCCCCAGAGGCTTGTCCATGGCAAATGGAGCTGCCCCAGTGGGAAACCCCTGGGAAGTTATGCCTTCTCCCTGCTGGGTGGCCTCTAGCCAATGACTGAGTCAGCTAGGGGTACAACAGCTTATCTCGAGGTAAGACAACCACTGTCATGGTATTTACATTCCAGATTCTCCCATAGAACTATACTTACCTTAGACTTCTCTTGACACCATGACTTTGCCTACATTTTCTTCAACATTAACATGCTTTACTCGTTTCCTTCTTCTGAGAGGACCCCTCAATAAATTATCTGTTCAAGAATCACTGTTTTATTTTGTTTTGTTTTTGTTTTTTTGTTTTGTTTTGTTTTTTGTTTGTTTGTTTTTGAGATGGAGTCTTGCTCTGTCACCCAGGCTGGAGTGCAGTGGCATGATCTCAGCTCACTGCAAGCTCCGCCTCCTGGGTTCACACCATTCTCCTGCCTCAGCCTCCTGAGTAGCTGGGACTACAGGTGCCCACCACCACACTTGACTAATCTTTTGTATTTTTAGTAGAAACGAGGTTTCACCGTGTTAGCCAGGATGGTCTCGATCTCCTGACCTCGTGATCTTCCCGCCTCTGCCTCCCAAAGTGCTAGGATTACAGGTGTGAGCCACCACGCCCAGCCAAGAATCACTGTTTTAAACTGTAATTCTAAGTATCTATATCTCAGATGGTAGCATGTAACATCAGTCCACTCCTAGAGAAACATAACAGGTTCGATGCATTAAAGGTGACCCTAGGAACAACAGAAACCAATTGACTAGATTGAATCCACTCACTAACCCACATTAAAGATCTGACAGAAGATGTGTGTCCATTTTTAGATGTAATCAAACCTTATCTACCTGTTTTTCTATTCTTCTTCTCTACATGATAACTGACACTCAAAAATTATGAGAAACCCAAAAAGCAAGAAATAAACAAAATCTTGTGAAGAGAAAAAGTTATCAACAGAATCAGACTCAGAGTTAATACTGATATTGGAGCTATTATACAGGAATTGTCATACTAATATTTTAAAGGATTAACTGAAAAAATTAGCAATGTTTATGAACAGATGAGGAATTTGGGCAGAGAGATGGAAACTATTAAAGGTAGGTTACATACAAATTCTAGAAATTTAAAAAAAAAACACTATCAGAGGTAAAGAATGATAAACTGCCAGCAACAGTGGAAGCCAATAGGAATTGTGTACACAATTGTTTTGAAATTGAAATATTTATGTTTTGAAATTGATATCTTTATGTTTCAATAAAGAGAAAAGAAAGTAAAACAGAGCATCCAAGAGCCCTAAGACAATATCAAACATTATTGCATAAGGGTAACTGGAGTTCTAGAAAGAGAAGTGAGAGAAAATGGGGCAAAATAAGTATTTGAGGAGATAATCATTGAGTTTTCAAAACGTAATAAAAGAGAAAGAAAAGGAAGAAAGGAGGGAAGGAAGGGAGGAAGGGGAGGGGAGGGCACGGAAGGGAAGGAAAGGGAAGGGAAGGAAAGGGAAAGGAGAGAGGGAAACAAAACCCACACATTTCAGGTAAAAGAACTCCAGGCAAAATGTAATAAAAAAAAATAAGAAAAAGAATAAAGGAAACTGCTCTAAGTCTTGGAGTTGAGATGCTTTATTCTCAGCATTCTCGTCAATCATCCTCATGGAAACCAGGGTCTTCATTGTATGTGTCTTAGGTGAGATACGGTGTCCTGCCCCTTAGCAGATGATAATAGACCTCTTGGGCCTAAGAGGTTTTCCTGTGTCTTGCCTATAGGCAGGCAGTTTCACTTCTACCTCTCTTTCAGAAGCAGTAGCTCTTTTCTTGAGCTCTGAGGACCCAGTGTTTCCTGCTTTTCCTCCAACAGTTGAAGCCTTTCTGTCATTTGAAAGAAGAGTTTCTGGATGTGGGCAGTGTATTTTTCTGGTCCCTAGGGGCAATCAACAATCTTACACATACCTGTGCCTGCAAGCAAAACTGTCTCTTGTCTCTCGTCTTTCCCCCAATCTCTCTCATAAGCACCCAGTAGAAGCCCTTGGAAAAGAGCTTGCAAGCAACTGTGAACTCCTTTTGTATCTGTGGATTACAAAGTTTCTTCTAAAATGACATATTGGTCCAATTTTAGCTTTTAATAATTTGTTGTCATTTTAGCTGATTTAATTTTTGCTTGCCTATGTGGCAGCCACCTCTTCCACACCGCCAAATGTGAAACAGTTTGCAAGTCTCCACCTCTTCTTGGAGATACTTGTCACTCTAGAATTCTGTTCACTTAGTAAACATAAAACCTTGGCTCTATAACAGACCCAAGAACATTTATGATTTTGTATATTTTCCAATTTTTACTTGTTTAGGGTAAAAACAGTATTCACTTGCAGCTTTCTACATCCTAAATGGAAGCAGAATTCACCACTTGAACTTTAAAGAATAATATAGGCTTATTTCCTAGAATACTAGGATACTGCATACCCAGGTACTGCATCTCTTTTCATGTCGCTTTGAAAAGGGAGCTTCTTTTACACATTCCTACTCAGGTTCCCTCATCTACACAGAAAAGTGTTTGAGGGTGATATGCTTTAAGCTTATCCAGCACTTTTTGATATTTACCTCCCACTGGAAAATAAGGCAGTGAAGTTGTATGAATATGTGTATGTATGTGTGTGTGAGTGTGTGTGAGTTAGAACAGAAAAAAATATAGTAGGAAAAAGATGACATGTACTTTTGGAATGGAGTAAAGTATGAGAAATTGAACAACTCTCATTTTAAATAGGAGAGGGAGTAACACTTAGCAGCAGTGTGTGAAGTAGAGGAAGAACTATAATGATATTCCGGATAATTCTGACCCTAAGACCTGGCAAACTCACTTAATTTCTATATTGCAACATCTGCATCTACTTGTTTTTCAGGGTTTGTATAATAATCGTGTAGGCTAGTATTTTAGTCTTCGTTATGTCTTCTCCCTGTGGTAAGAGCACTATTAATGAAATAGTATGTGCTCTAAAACTGTCAGTAAATTGGTTGAAAACCCCTGAGAAAGTTATTCTAAACAAGCGGTGAAAAATGTGTTTTTAAATTCAATTTTATGTTTAAGTGTGAATTATTTATAAATTACTGAAGATGTTAAAGCTATTTATTGGAATAAAATTCATTTATATCTGTAAGAAAACTTATTGCTGATCCCATTTGCACTTAGGATCAAAGAAGAAATATAATGTAAGATAAAAATAAAGTCGTTATTTATGCTGTGCAATTGAAACTTTGTAATCTTCAAAATAATTCCGTTCTCTGTTCTGCTTGTTTTCCATTGTGTGTAATATTATTTTAATTTATCCTTTCTACCAAGTGTCTAAAAGGCAGGGAAAATAAAGATATTAGTTTATCTACCACTGAATCATTATCAAAAACATCAAATAAAATGTGATATAAATAAGACACAGTTTAAACTGACATGCTAAAATTTTATTTAATCGGTTGATGACCTATTTAATTCCTCCATGGAAATTAAGACTTTTATTTAGTTGTGTGGTGGGGAGAGGATGAGACAGTCTCTTCTCTTAGAAATAAAACTCAAACTTGAAGGATATGAGAAACCTGAGATGCTAGATTGCTACAAATTTCACAGTGACTGTTGCTAAGTATTAAAGTAAGAATTTTGGTGAAACTTGCTTCAGGAGAGGGAGCAGATTAAAATCTATCTGGCTCAGAAGGCCAGGAATCGCCTCTGCTCTAAGCCCACAAGGTCTCCCACTCCTCCCACTGCTACTTTGATGGGAAGATAGGTTAAAATCTTCTGTCCCTCAAAAAAGGGGGAAAATCTCCTGGTCCCAGAATTTGCTCCAATATGAAATAGAGATCTGCTATGATTTTGCACGGTACAGGAAACCTTTTCCCACCCCAAACTCACCATAGACATAATGGATTGTTTGTTTGGTTTCCAAATAAGGAGCATGGCAGGAATTCAGAGAATTTCCAAAACCCAAGGCCTGGACCAGGAAATGTGAGAACCTGTTTGATCTCATCATGATCAAGAAACAAAGAGGCTCCAGCTCAGGGAGAGGCAACAGTGTGGAGAAACCCTTCTGTGACTAGTGTAGGCATCAGGGACTCCTGAAAACTAAAAGTGGAGTAGAAAGACAAAATTTTTGATGCACCCAGCCACCATACTAAGTTCAAGGTAATAGAAGAACATACAGATCAATGGAAAGTCTAGCAAGCCAAGAAATAGACCCACACAAGTTTAGTATAATGTAGATGCATTGAAAATGTATTGGAGAGGAGATAATCTTTTCAATAAGTGGTACAGAAACAATTGAATGTCCCTATGCAAAATAAGATCTTTGACACAGGATTCACATATATAAATCATATAAATGTTAACATAAAATGGATCATAGGCCTAAATATAAATGGTAAAACTGTAAAACTCCTTGGGGAATATATAATGGAAAATCTGTGTGACCCTGGAAATGGGAATTTTGTATAAAACAAAGTCATAATATAATGGAAAAAATAATAAAATGAACTTTATCAAAACTAAACACTTTTGCTCTGCAAAACACACTGTTAAATAAATGAAAAAAAGACCAAAAACTGAAAGAAAATATTTTTAATTAAAACTCAAGTGTAAGAAAACCAACAATCAAATACAAACAGGCAAAATATCTGTATAGACACTAAACCAAACAATATATATGGATGACATATAAGCACACAAAAAGATGTTCAGCGTTATCACTAAATAACTACTAGAGTCCCCAAAATTTTAAAAGATGGAAAATGCCAAATTCTAGCAAGGATAAGGAATAAATGAAACTCTCATTTATTGCTAGTGGGGATGGTAAATGGTATAATCACTTTGAAAAGCAGTGTGACTTACTGTTACTACACAACATAGCAGTCCCACTCTGAGGTATTTACTGAAATAAATGGAAAACTTTAGTCTACACAAAAATTTTTTATAGATATTTATGACAACTCTATTCATAATCACCCAAATCTGGGAACAACCAAAATATCCCTCAACACATGAAAGGATAAACTGTGGTTTATCAATACAGTGGAATGCTATTAAACAATTGAAAAAACAAAAACAAACAAACAAAAACTCAAACTGAAACAACAACAAAAGCCTGAAGAATTGAATCACTCAATTACATGTATTAATCTTGAATGCATCTTGCTTAGTGAAAGAAGTCAAACCCAAAAGACAGCATGCTGTATTATTCCATTAATTAGCCATTCTGAGAAAGGCTAATCTCTAAGGAAAAAAAAAAAAAAAAAAAAAACAGATCAGTGGTTTCCAGGAATTGGGATAAAGGAGAGGCACTGATTCTAAAGAAGCCAAAAAGGGTACTTTATTTTATGGAGACAGTGTCTTGCTACTTTGCCTAGGTTGGCCTTGATCTCCTGGGCTCAAGTGGTCCTCCTGCCTCAACCTCTACAGTAGCTGGGTAATGAAACTGTTCCCTATAGTATTGTGTTGGTGGATACCTTACTTTATGCATTTGTCAAAATCCATAAAATCAAACAAAACAGTTAACTTAGCTGTGTGAAAAATTTTAAAAAAGATCAACCCAGATTCCAAGTGATTACAGAATAAAATACAGAGTAAAAAAATGTGAATCTAATTGTATTGTAAATATGCGGCATAACCTTCCTGAAGAAAAGTCAAAGTTATTGACTTAAGTAATTTTCAAAAACAATGCTTTGACTTGATCGTATAAGGTGAAAGACCAACAAAAGCTACTCTGTTTTAACAGTGTATTCATATTACATTTATTTCTAACAATGATATGATTTCCCAATTTTGAAACTACTTTATGTGAATACTAGGACTGAATGTATAAGTAAATAAATTATACTTTGTGAGAGTTAGGTGTCTCAATGTCGCAGACAAAAGTTACAGATATGCAAGTAGACATGGGTGGTGGCTAGAATTAACCTTATGTGCTGGATCAGAATTGAAGATATCAATATGGACTCATAAGTATCTTGATGTATACATGGTTAGATAGATAGATAGATAGAGAAGTATATAAAGATTTTGTGTATGCAAGTAACTTACATTCATATATTTCCTATTATATCCACGACAAAGTAATAGAAGCAGTGACTCTGGTAGAAACAAGAAACTGATAGGAGAAACATTAAAAAAAAACCATAAAAACAAAAAGTCCTATTGAGAGGATAAACTTAAGCCTAACCATATGAATTACTACATTGAATTAAAAAGTAGAGATTGTCAGATTAGATAAAAGCAAGACTCAACAATACAATGTATGTAAGAAACTCACATGCAGTTATTAAAACATATGTTACAAATGTTCAAAATGAGATTATATATTTGCTTGTATATGTATATAATGGATTCTAAAGAAGCCAGGAAATATTGTTAAAATAATTTTAACAATAGTCGATAAGACTACTATATCCAGTGTAGAGAACTGCATGTATACTTTGTACAAGAATACTTAGAGCAGCCTAAGTTTTAATATCAAAAAAGTGTAGGCCGGGCACAGTGGCTCACACCTGTAATCCCAGCACTTTGGGAGGCCGAAGCGGGTGGATCACGAGATCATGAGCTCAAGACCAGCCTGACCAACATGGTGAAACCCCGTCTCTACTAAAAATACAAAAATCAGCCAGGTATGGTGGTATGGGCCTGTAATCCCAGCTACTCAGGAGGCTGAGGCAGGAGAATCACTTGAACCTGGGAGGCAGAGGTTGCGGTGAGCCAAGAATACGCCATTGCACTCCAGCCTGGGTGACAGAGCGAGACTCTGTCTCAAAACAAAACAAAACAAAAAGTCTAAACAACCTAAAAAATTGTCAGGTAAATACAATAGACTAATATACTGGAGTAGCTTTACATAGTGGGATATTGTGCAGCAGTCAAAATGGTCTGACTTTCTTTCTTCTCACAAAATGATACTTTTTTTAGGGATCTCACTGCAAAATGTCTGATTATACTGTATTTTTGTGTAGAGTGTTTCTAAACTGTTATTTAACAATTACGTTATTTTAAAACCATTCTTAAATAGCTAGTGGCTAACACAGAAAGTTAGCAATGCAGAAAAAAAGAAAGATGGAAAAACGTACTCATAATTTTCCTTCTTAACATCAACTGTTATGGCTATTTTCAGAATTTTAATTACAGTTTAATTTCTATGTATTTTGTTATTATATAGCTGAGATTATTTATACATGTAATTATATCATTTTTGCTTTTAAATTCTGTGGAAATAATTCCCCAGAGTATAATAGAACTTTGCAAACATATTTTTTTGTGGTTGCAAAGTCTTTCATAACATTCAAAAATCATGCTTTATTTATCAATCCTTTATAATTGGATATTTTGATTTTTTAAAATGTCACAATGATATATAATGCTATAAGGAACTTCTTTGAACATATACATATATCTCCTTTACAGTTTATCACCTTAGCACATGTTCCTATAAGAGTATTTATATTCTCAAAGCAATTGAAAGTTCTTGGTATTTTTCAAATTCGTTTTAGAGAACAGTTGCATCAATTTCTACCTTACCTACTGCTTTATGACAAGATCATATTGTTTTTTGGACCTTATTTATGTATGTTGGTGATTAAATTCTTTTAAAAAGACAGCATTTTTTGGTAAAATTTATTTATATATAGAACATGAAAAATTAAGTATTGCAGCCAATACAAAGTTTAAAGAACCAAATGTTTTCTGTAAGTTGGAAATGGTTTTCCTTAATACCTAGAAGCAGCTGTAAACCACCTGAATTGTACTAATGAAATTTATGGAAGAGACAAACCGTGACTATACACCTCTTCATATTTTCAAATTGGCTGCACTAATCAAAAATTAGTATCTGGGTACAGAAATAAAACATTTATTTTGCTATGTTTTAGAGATAATTTTAACTTTCATATTTGTATTATGTTCAACAAGAAGCATTTCTTAACAACAAACCTGCCTAAGTATTAAATTAAAAATTTGAAAAAGTAGCAAAGAATTCATTTGCAAAGGAATACTGAGAAGACTTATTCTAAGAGTATTTTTGGCACAGTGCAGAGAGTAGCTGATTGTTATCCATGCCCATTAATTATTAAACAACTGTTTTGAAATTATAATATCATATGATTTTTATTTTGAACAGATACTCAATTATGGGTTAAAAACAATCTAACATGCAAGATTATCATTATTTTACTCTCATGTGAGTTATCTGATATCTTTCAAATTGTTTATTATAGGTACAGTATTTCATACCTTACTCAGTTTTACTTTCCATGGTTTCAGTTACCTGCAGTCAACTACGGCCTGAAAATATTAAATGAAAAATTCCACAAATAAAGAACCCATAAGTTTTAAATTGCACGGCATTCTGAGTAGCATGGTAAAAATCTTGCACCATCCTGCTACATCCCTCCCAAGATGTGAATCCTCCCCTTGTTTAGTGTGTCCCTGCTGTCTACATTACTGATCTGTTAGTCACATAATCACCCTCTTGATTGTCACATTCACTGTCCAGGATTTGCAGGGCTTGTGTGCAAGTTTATTTAATATTACTTTACTTACTTTACCTAATAATAGGCCTGAAGTGCAAGAGTAGTGATGCTGGCAATTTAGATACGCCAAAAAATGTCAGAAAGTGATTTCTTTAAGTGAAAACGTGAACGTTCTTGATAAGGAAAGAAAAAAATTTTATGTTGAGGTTGCTAAGATCTATATTGGGAATGAATCTCCTATCCATGAAATTTTGAAGAAGGACAAAGAAATTTATGCTAGTTTTGCTGTCCAACCTCAAACTGCAAAACTCATGGCCACAATGCTTGATGGTGCTTAGTTAAGATGGAAAAGGCATTAAATATGTCCACGGAAGACATGAACAGAAACCATGTTCTGATTGACAATGTGTTGCACCAAAAAGCATTGAGCCTACACAAATACTTCAGCAAAGGATCCCTTGAAACAAGTGACACAAAATCATTTACTAAAAGTACAGGATGGTTGCCAGTTTATTTTGAAAATGAAGTAACTGAGATAAAAACAAATTGCCCACTGTGCCTATCTCTTACTCCTCCAACAAATTTAGGAATGAATTTGGGCTGAAAAATGTGAAAGTCACTGAAGAGTTTGTTTCTGTTGATGAAGGAGCTACTGTCACATATGTAAAACGGAAGAAGATTTTAAGAGGGAGATAATAACTATATTCAAGTAACTTTGATTATGGTGTAATGTTATAACTTCTATTTTATCATTTGTTATGATTATTAATATCTTACTGTGTCTATTTTATAAATTAAACTTTATCATAAGTATGTATGTATAAGGGAAAACATTATATATATATATATATATATATATATATAAACTCAGTACTATCTGCAGTTCCAGGCATCCACTGGGGGTGGATATCCACATATCCTCTGTGGATAAGGTGAATCTACTGTACTTCATGACAGTTTTAGCTGTTTTCCTAGTCAATTTTCACTGCCATGACAAAGTACCATAGATTGGATGACTTAAACAGCAAACATTTTTTTTCTTACAGTTTGGGAGACTGAAAAGTCCCACATCACTGAACTGACCAACCTGAGGTCTGGTGAAGGCACCAATTTTGGTTTGCAAATGGCCACCGTCTGTAGTATCCTCACATGGCCAGAGCAGAGGGAGCAAGCTAGCTTCCATGTCTCTACCTATAAGACAACAATCCCATTCATGAAGCCTCTACATTCATGACTAACTACCTCTCAAAGGCCTCACCTCTTAATACCATCACACTGGGGTTGGGATTTCAATATATAAATTCTGGGGAGACACAGATGTTCAATCCATAACATGTATTTTAATAATAAAAATAGATTTAATTTTTATTTCTACAAAATCTAGAAAGAGTCAATAGTTCTGGAAAAGATGGGTTATCTTTTTAAAGACAGTTAAAAAGACTGTCTTGTTTCCTAAAAGTTTAAAGGAGGGCTGATGTTTTTTAAAAAAAGCATTAGTATAAAAATAGATGAATTCATTATAAGGCTATTTTGTAATGAGCAATTTGAAAATGCTGTTTCTCATTGCCCAGGTCACAAAGCTCATTTTACCTGAATGAGAATTAAGTCAACTAGGAATTCTATTATTTCCACATAAAATAAGTTGAGGTAACTGAGGAATAATTTAAAATATTTAATTAACTTGTGATTAAAAGAATGTAGAGAATATTTTCATCAAGCATTTATCATAATTTCTGCCCTATGCAAAATACAGTACAATAGTTTGAAATTGCATGTAAATTATGAAAATCATAATACCATGTAAACTGAAATTGATGAGATATTTCACTCTGATAAAATTTACAGCTATAAAAATAGACAAAGGAAATATTTCACCACTTTCAGTGTGTGTGTGCATGTGTGTGAGAGGAGTAAGATACAGGTGCAGTGGACAATTTGTTTTATCTCTGTTACTTCATTTTCAAAATATACTGGATGGACCTCATACTCTCTAGGTATTTTCACCTTATAAAATTGAGAGCTTCTGAGCTGTTCTTGTGATACCTCAGTAAATTTCACTAAGTGAACATAGCTCTAATTAAAAGAGAGGTAATTAAGATCAAATTAGGATCATTTTCCCACTAAATTCCCCAAAGTCTTATTCCACATGACAGTAATAAAACCGTTTTAAGAATATTGATTCCTCCTAATAGGAGGCTTTTTATATGTAAAAAAAGGTCATCTTGCCCTTAACTTCTTCTCTAAAATTTGTGTAGCTTTAAAGATGGTATTTTTGGACTAGAAACAGCCACAGCCTCCTCTGTACGCATATTCTGTCTAATTCAGAGGGAAAGGATAAGGGCAAGGGATGAACAATGGTTTCTGCAAGTAGGCTGTATCATAGAAGAGTACAGCATGACTTCAGTTTCATGTTGACTCTCATTTTGCTCTCTCTCTCTCTATATATATATATTTTTATTATATTTTAAGTTCTAGGGTACATGTACACAATGTAAAGGTTTGTTACATACATATACATGTGCCATATTGGTGTGCTGCACCCATTAACTCATCATTTACATTAGGTATATCTCCTAATGCTATCCCCCCCCCCCATTCCCTCACCCCGCAACAGGCCCTGGTGCGTGATGTTCCCCTTCCAGTGTCCAAGTATTCTCATTGTTCATTTCCCACCTATGAGTGAGAACATGTGGTGTTTGGTTTTTGTCCCTGTGATAGTTTGCAGAGAATGATGGTTTCCAGCTTCATCCATGTCCCTACAAAAGACATGAACTCATCCTTTTTATGGCTGCATAGTATTCTATGGTGTATATGTGCCACATTTTCTTAATCCAGTCTATTACTGATGGCCATTTGGGTTGGTTCCAACTGTTTGCTATTGTGAATAGTGCCACAGTAAACATATGTGTGCATGTGTCTTTATAGCAGCATGATTTATAATCCTTTGGGTATATACCCAGTAATGGGATGGCTGGGTCAAATGGTATTTCTAGTTCTAGAACCTTGAGGAATCGCCACACTGTCTTCCACAATGGTTGAACCAGTTTACAGTCCCACCAACCGTGTAAAAGTGTTCCTATTTCTCCACACCCTCTCCAGCACCTGTTGTTTCCTGACTTTTTAATGATTGCCATTCTAACTGGTGTGAGATGGTATCTCACTGTGGTTTTGATTTGCATTTCTCTGATGGCCAGTGATGATGAGCATTTTTTCATGTGTCTGTTGGCTGCATAAGTGTCTTCTTTTGAGAAGGGTCTGTTCATATCCTTTGCCCACTTTTTGATGGGGTTGTTTTTTCTTGTAAATTTGTTGGAGTTCTTTGTAGATTCTGGATATTAGCCCTTTGTCAGATGAGTAGATTACAAAAATTTTCTCCCATTCTTTAGGTTGCCTGTTCACTCAGATGGTAGTTTCTTTTGCTGTGCAGAAGCTCTTTAGTTTAGTTAGACCCCATTTGTCAATTCTGGCTTTTATTGCCATTGCTTTTCGTGTTTTAGACATGAAGACCTTGTCCATGCCTATGTCCTGAATGGTATTGCCTAGGTTTTCTTCTAGGGTTTTTATGGTTTTAGGTCTAACATTTAAGTCTTTAATCCATCTTGAATTAATTTTTGTATAAGGTGTAAGGAAGGGATCCAGTTTCAGCTTTCTATTTATGGCTAGCCAGTTTTCCCAGCACCATTTATTAAATAGGGAATCCTTTCCCCATTTCTTGTTTTTGACAGGTTTGTCAAAGATCAGATGGTTGTAGATGTGTGGTATTATTTCTGAGGGCTCTGTTCTGTTCCATTGGTCTATATCTCTGTTTTGGTACCAGTACCATGCTGTTTTGGTTACTGTAGCCTTGTAGTATAGTTTGAAGTCAGGTAGTATGATGCCTCCAGCTTTGTTCTTTTGGCTTACAATTGTCTTGGCAATGTGGGCTATTTTTTGGTTCCATATGAACTTTAAAGTAGTTTTTTCCAATTCTGTGAAGAAAGTCATTGGTAGCTTGATAGGGATGGCATTAAATCTATAAATTACCTTGGGCAGTATGGCCATTTTCACGATATTGATTATTCCTACCCGTGAGCATGGAATGTTCTTCCATTTGTTTGTATCCTCTTTTATTTTGTTGAACAGTGGTTTGTAGTTCTCCTTGAAGAGGTCCTTCACATCCCTTGTAAGTTGGATTCCTAGGTATTTTATTCTCTTTGAAGCATTTCTGAATGGGAGTTCACTCATGATTTGGCTCTCTGTTTGTCTCTTATTGGTGTATAAGAATGCTTGTGATGTTTGCACACTGATTTTGTACCTTGAGACTTTGCTGAAGTTGCTTATCAGCTTAAGGAGATTTGGGGCTGAGAGGGTGCTCTCTATATATTTTTTGATGCCACACATGAATTTATCCCCAGGTCAACTCCCGAGAAAAATTTGGGAACATATAGTGGTTCCTCCCGTGTTAATCGACCAGAACAAGACGGATGGTCTTAACTCTCCCCTCACTTTGACTAAGTTTTAGACAGGTTTCTTCCTGATTATGGGCTGGCAATCTCCTTTTTCTTAGAACATTTACTTTAGAAAGCTTGCAATTGTAAATTATTTCTCTGTCCCTTTGAGATATAAATCTTCTCCTGCCTCCAACTAGTTTTATAACCCAGGAATACGTTTCTCAGCGACCTAGGAGCAATCCTTTGAAATGCAATCATCAAGAAAAATAGGGCTCCTATCTTCCAGTCTCTCTATGAGGGAAGGAGCTTAACTTATGTAAGCACCAACGTGAAAACACAGATGGCCTAATCACATTGACCAACATCTCCCTTAATATTCTTCAGTAATTTTTCACTCGATTATACAAGCATTTAAAAACTTTTCTGACTTTTATGTCAGTGCAGTTGAGTTCAGTCTTTCTCAACTATTTAAATAGTCTTGATCCCTATTGCAATAGTCTTGAATAAAGTATTTCTTGCCTATTTCACTTGTTGAAATTTTTCTTCGACAATCCCAAAGACAAAATACCATGCATGTTAAATTTCAACAGCCTACTGAAAGATATAACCCACTTAATAAAAATAGATATATGTTCCAGTTTTCTTACAAGTGATTATATATAGTGGTATATGATTCCAAATTTAAAATATTCTTAACTATATGTATTATTATAATTTATCTAAGCTCATAATGTTATGATATATATGTATACACACATGTGGTTGTTTTTGTATGAGAATATATATATATATGTTGTTGCTATTTATATTAGGAACATATTATATGTTACTTACCTTTAAAAACACATATAAGAACGCTTTTTTAAAATTCAAGTTCTCAGTTTTTTTGCATCAAAGGACAATAGTATAATTTTACAAGCATATTGACTATTTTATAATAACAGTAACATAGTAAGGAGGTATATATAATAAATATGTAACATATATTACATGTAATTATATCTCAATAATACATACTACAACAACAGAAGTTAGGGACAAATTAATGTTATAACTGAATTTTCAGAGGAATCTTGTAAACAGCAGAGAGAAGTTTTAGGAGAAAATTTTAAGGAAAAAGAGTATAAGAACTTTAGAAAGATTTGAAAAGAAACAATAAATAAAACAAAAGGAGAGGATGATAGATAAGAACATGTATTTTTGTAAAGATGCATTGAAAGAGTAAAGCCAAGTGGCTTTGCTGTTGCATGTGGCTTTGCTGTTAAATGTGGCTTTGGCTTTGACATTTAAGTAAAGAGTTAATATCAGCATCTTTGAGCCAGTACTTTAAGTAGTACTGTGTGTGTGTGGGTGAAGCCAAGGCTATTTTGGATTATTTTTGTTATTTATTTAATATCTTACTTTTACCATCTCTCTTATACCCTACCAGTCAGTGAAGATGGTGAGAGCTAACATTATTTAGGAGCATGCATTTGAGACAATTATCCATTATTGTAGTAACTGTTTAAAAGAAACACGCTACTCATCAATTTTTTTCATGTAAATTGAATCCATAATTTTTTATCACAATTAAATAACTGATTATTGGGGAAAGTAATAAATGTGGCTTAGGTGTTATAAACACAATGTTCTCATCTCACTAAAAAACTGTTTAAATTTTTTTGTTTCCTTGATTTTTGTTTTTACTGAGATTTATCAGAGAATTCAAATAACATGATGTCTTAGTCTGTCAGTGCTGCTGTAACAAAACAACTTAGACTGGGTAATTTACAAGGAATAGAAATTTATTTCTTCCAGTTCTGGAGGCTGGAAAGTCCAAGATTAAGATGCCAGCATTGCAGTTGGGTGAGGGTTGCTCTCTGCTTCCAAAATGGCACCTTACTTGATAAAAGGCAGAAGGGCATTCTTACCTGATAAAAGGCAGAAGGGCAAGAGTGAGAACCTTTCAACCTCAAGACATTTTATAAGGGCACTAATCCTATTCATGAGGGTGGAGCCTTCATGACTTAACCACTTTCCAAAGGCTTTGCCGCTTAATACTGTTGCATTGAGTATTGAATTTCAACGAATTTCAACATGAATTTCAGAGGGAACACCATTATTCAAATCATAGCACATGGGTAAAATCATGTAGTTCTCCCTTTTTTTAAAAAACAACAGTCTTTTTAAAAATGTCCCATAGCAGACACACAAAGCCTCCTTGAAGGGATGAGTCACATAGAACACACATTTGCTTCAACAGATGACACGTGGTTTAGTACCTACTGCATTTTTTTGGGGTGGGGGAACAGGCTAATTTTTAATCACGAAGAAGCTAGATACACTATATATTACTCACTGACAAATATATGAACTCCCTTTCCAGCTTTTCTTTGAGCAATTGCACTTAGGAACTCCTAATTATACAGTATATCAGCTAAGAGATATGAGATGACAATTTAAAGGCTTTCTTTCAAATTATGACTTCCATTTATTTTTAAGCAATATTATTTATTATAGAATCGCAGACATTCACAGCACTTTGTACTTCTTAGAATGGAGGGAGAGTCCCAAAGACCTTAACATCAGAAAACTTTAACTATTATCTATCAGTCAAGCAAATGGAAGTTCTAGTAGGTGGAAAAGGAGTATAAGACATGGCAAAATTAGAGAATAGTGACTACACAGGAAAAAAAAATGGACTATAAAGACAATTTGAAAGATGTGAAAGCCAATATTTCATGTATGTTAAGAAAAAAGGATGAAAATGTTTTCTCAGAAAAAGAAGAAAGTGTAGTAGATGGCAAATAGAGCAGTCAGGAAATAGATTGCAGAGCATATGGTAATATATACAGAGAAATGGAAAGTTTAACCATTGGTTTCCAAGTACAGAGTTCACTATTTTGGTCTTTTCATTCTGATTATCTCATTTACCAACATGATACTTTTTAGTGTCCTTTATTTGGAAATAATAGTTTTAATTCAGTATTTCTAGACCTTTTTAATGTTCTAAATGTTAGAAATATGTTAATTAACAAAAGCATTATGTATTATTTATTACAAAGGTAATAAAATATTTTAAAGTCTCTGAAGTACACTTTTTGTTGTCATCTATCTTTCCCTAAGAGTGAAAACACCATTTCCTTTAGAGTCAGCTCTATCTGAGTTATCTGAGCTATATGGTTGGGTCACTTAATATGGTTGGGTTACTTAATCTCCTTGGATCCTATTTTTCCAATTTTAAATGTGAATACTAATACCAACATGTGAATATTAATTAAGATAATATATATTCCTAGGGAAGAGGAGAGGGCCAGGAAATTCGATCTCGCAGCTGCCCTTTTCCTGTCACGTAACAGGGCTATTGATTGTGATACTTGTACTTAAGGCTGATAATACTCCAGAAAAATCTTTATAGCTTTCTAGAAGTTAATCTCCAATAAAAAGCCTAGAAACTGCTTTATATCCAAGTACTGGGATTCCTACACAAGGGAGTTAACTTGTTTTACTTCTGCTAAAAACTCTGCTTAGTAAGTCATCTTATTTACCTAAAGAAAGAAATTCAACAACTATTCATGCTAAAAACTCTCAATAAATTAGGTATTGATGGGACGTATCTCAAAATAATAAGAGCTATCTATGACAAACCCACAGCCAATATCATACTGAATGGGCAAAAACTGGAAGCATTCCCTTTTAAAACTGGCACAAGACAGGGATGCCCTCTCTCACGACTCCTATTCAACATAGTGTTGGAAGTTCTGGCCAGGGCAATTAGGCAGGTGAAGGAAATAAAGGGTATTCAATTAGGAAAAGAGAAAGTCAAATTGTCCCTGTTTGCAGACGACATGATTGTATATCTAGAAAACCCCATTGTCTCAGCCCAAAATCTCCTTAAGCTGATAAGCAACTTCAGCAAAGTCTCAGGATACAAAATCAATGTACAAAAATCACAAGCATTCTTATACACCAATAAGAGACAAACAGAGAGCCAAATCATGAGTGAACTCCCATTCACAAATGCTTCAAAGAGAATAAAATACCTAGGAATCCAACTTACAAGGGATGTGAAGGACCTCTTCAAGGAGAACTACAAACCACTGCTCAATGAAATAAAAGAGGATACAAACAAATGGAAGAACATTCCATGCTCATGGGTAGGAATAATCAATATCGTGAAAATGGCCATACTGCCCAAGGTAATTTACAGATTCAATGACATCCCCATCAAGCTACCAATGACTTTCTTCACAGAATTGGAAAAAACTACCTTAAAGTTCATGTGGAACCAAGAAAGAGCCTGCATCGCCAAGTCAGTCCTAAGCCAAAAGAACAAAGCTGGAGGCATCACACTACCTGACTTCAAACTATACTACAAGGCTACAGTAACCAAAACAGCATGGTACTGGTACCAAAACAGAGATATAGACCAATGGAACAGAACAGAGCCCTCAGAAATAATGCCGCATATCTACAACTATCTGATCTTTGACAAACCTGAGAAAAACAAGCAATGGGGAAAGGATTCCCTGTTTAATAGATGGTGCTGGGAAAACTGGCTAGCCATAAATAGAAAGCTGAAACTGGAAACCTTTCTTACACCTTATACAAAAATCAATTCAACATGGATTAAAGACTTACATGTTAGACCTAAAACCATAAAAACCCTAGAAGAAAACCTAGGCATTACCATTCAGGACATAGGCATGGGCAAGGACTTCATGTCTAAGACAGCAAAAGCAATGACAACCAAAGCCAGAATTGACAAATGGGATCTAATTAAACTAAAGAGCTTCTGCACAGCAAAAGAAGCTACCATCAGAGTGAACAGGCAACCTACAAAATGGGAGAAAATTTTTGCAACCTACTCATCTGACAAAGGGCTAATATCCAGAATCTACAATGAACTCAAACAAATTTACAAGAAAAAAACAAACAACCCCATCAAAAAGTGGGTGAAGAACATGAACAGACACTTCTCAAAAGAAGACATTTATGCAGCCAAAAGGCACATGAAAAGATGCTCACCATCACTGGCCATCAGAGAAATGCAAATCAAAACCACAATGAGATACCATCTCACACCAGTTAGAATGGCAATCATTAAAAAGTCAGGAAACAACAGGTGCTGGAGAGGTGGTGGAGAAATAGGAACACTTTTACACTGTTGGTGGGACTGTAAACTAGTTCAACCATTGTGGAAGTCAGTGTGGCGATTCCTCAGGGATCTAGAACTAGAAATACCATTTGACCCAGCCATCCCATTACTGGGTATATACCCAAAGGACTATAAATCATGCTGCTATAAAGACACATGCACACGTATGTTTATTGTGGCATTATTCACAATAGCAAAGACTTGGAACCAACCCAAATGTCCAACAATGATAGACTGGATTAAGAAAATGTGGCACATATACACCATTGAATATTATGCAGCCATAAAAAATGATGAGTTCATGTCCTTTGTAGGGACATGGATGAAATTGGAAATCGTCATTCTCAGTAAACTATCGCAAGAACAAAAAACCAAACACTGCATATTCTCACTCATAGGTGGGAATTGAACAATGAGAACACATGGACACAGGAAGGGGAACATCACACTCTGGGGACTGTTGTGGGGTGGGGGGAGGGCAGAGGGATAGCATTGGGAGATATACCTAATGCTAGATGAAGAGTTAGTGGGTGCAGCGCACCAGCATGGCACATGTATACATGTGTAACTAACCTGCACATTGTGCACATGTACCCTAAAACTTAAAGTATAATAATAATAAATAAAGTAAAAAAAGAAATTATTTAAAGTATATTTTCACTGAGTTTCCTAAAGAAAAGCCAGCATGTGAATTTTGCTTCTTTATCCCTATGTTTTATCACAACCTTCTGATGTTGTTTACCTGTGTTAACTTTTCCAGCATTGACTTTTAGAGAAAAACATGAACCTGGAGGAGCTATCAGTTCTGTCATGATCATTGCATCATTGGATAGAAATAATTGAGCTTTTTCCTCCAGAAAAAAAACAAACTAAACAAAAAAACAAAAACAAAAACCCTATATGCTTGAGTTATGGCAGACTCTACAAGTTAGCTGCTGTTATGCTCCTTTCCAAATCTGTTTCATTTAGCTACACTTTGGCTACTTTTGGATGCTGTTAGCCAGTGGATAGAAGGAGGATTTCTGATTCAGTTTTTCTAGAAAATCTGCTCCCTTGACACAGACACTACTGCCCTTTCACATTCTTTCTTCCTGCTGTATGTATCCGTATTGACAGAAGCAATGAGGCATCAGCACTGACAACTCAGAACCCTTTAATTAGTTCCAACAACTACCTTGTTATATACTTGTTATGACAGACAAGAAAAAAAATATTTATTGAAGTTTGTGTAAATGCTGTTCTGTTACCTGCAGCTAAAAGCATCCTATCTTGTGCACTTTGTAGGTTAGTCTGTTTGGTCTTCTATAACAAATTATTCTAAACTGGGTAACTTATAAACAAAAATTTCCCCACAGTTCTGGAGACAGGGAACTCCAAGGTCAGTGTGTCATCCTGGTCAGGTTCTGGCAAGGGCCTCTTTCCTTCACAGATGAAAGTGGTCTCTCTGCAACCTCACATGGCAGAGGGGTCGATCTAGCTCCCAGGATCTCTTTTTATAAGGGTACTAATTCCATATAAAGGTAGTAATTACTTCCCAAAGCCCCTACCTCTTAATACCATCACGTTGGGGATTATATTTTAACATATGAATTTTGGGAGAACATAGATATTTAGGCAATATCACTTGGTTAGGCCATTTTTTCTTTCTAGCTATGAGTGTCCTCACATAGAAAGGTACAGATCAGATAGATCATGGAGTACATCTATCCCCAAGGATCTTGATTCTCATTCCATTGTGTTAGCCTCGATCAGGTTATGAGGACTCACTTGGAATTGAAAAGATGATGGCGATACAAAAATGAATTTTAGTTTCAATTTTGCGAATTGCATCCATCTCTGATCATAGCCAAATTTGATAAATTGTTTCTTTTAAATCAGATTTGCTGAGAATTAAATGAGGATAATTATTTTAACTTTCCTAACATGCTTCCCTCAGTAGTACATCTCATGAATTTATCTTCATGTGTGAGGTAGTGGAAAGAAATGCTTGAAAATGAAGAAAATAAGTCTGTGGGTAAGTTTAAACAGTATATATGTAAAATTAATAAAAATTTGTTCAATGTCTCCAGGTCTGAGTGACTTTATTTTTTGTAGTTAATCATGGAAGTTAACAAAAAAAAAAAAAAAAAAAAAAAGCAGGGGCTGCTAAAATAACCTTGCTTGCTTGATTATAGAAAATATGGCAGAGAACTTTCTATGTGATATCTTGGCTATAATAATTAGGTATCTGCAACTCTGCTGTGTTTATTACAAAGGGAATATGATTATGGATTTATTGGAGTGAGAAATTAGACCCAAATGAAGAAAGAAGACATTGTATTGAATTTGTAGCATTGACCTCGTTAAGGTGAAAAATATGAATTCTTAATTGGGTTCTTTTGGCTAAACACCAGAAAAAGCTGTAATGTGAAAAAATATATAAGGGAAAGTGTAGAGGAGATACAAGGACTTATCTATGAAAGGCAGATATCTAAGGCAAAAGCAAAACACTGTGTCATGTTCCAAGTTGGAGATTAAATATGGGCGTAAAAATGATTGACAAAGTTGATGTGAAATATACAGCATGTTAAAAAAACAAAGACCAAATCAATCAAGACGCTGAAACAAGTCAACAACTCATTAATCTAGACTCATTGTATTTGGACTAAACTTGGCTGATGCTCAAATTGCAGACAAACTCCATCCTCCTATATCCAACATCATGTATGCCTGTCTCCCCACTGATGTCTGTGTGTATCTGAGGGAAACACACACCACAAATGCTGTCTTCTGGGGTAAGAGTCAGCTCCAAAGCATTTTTTGACAAACCATTTTTTTGGAGTTATAGTTTTGAGGTTTTTTTGAGTATCATAGTTTGAATTTCATCATTCTGCCTCTCTTTGTATATCTCTTGGTCCTAAGGTAGGCATCTAGGTTACTCTGCAGTTGTGAAGTGGTAATTCTAAAACCTCTCTCATAATAGAATTCTTACAATGGATATATATGAGCCTTTTTGGGGAGAAGTAGGGGGAGTTTGAGTGTGAGAAATATAGAGAAACTCAGAAGACAGTGATGTGATGTAGAATCATGACATAAAGAGAAACTGCAGTAAGCAGAACCCATGATTAAATAGAAGTTGTGGTGTAGGAGAAAAGAACTATAAGTGAAGCAGAAAGTGGCTGAGTCACTATCATGGTGACTCATTAGATTTAGCTTTTATCTAGAATGGCATTTCAATTTCTATGTGGTATGACTGTACAATTATTGACAGAGTTTCTTGTCTTCTTTACTTACTCGTGCATATTTTATTCAGGGAAACATTGTTTCCCTGAATATATCAGCTCAAATGTGCTTTCACAACCTGAAAAATTCTTAAAAATACAGTCTATAAGCACACATTCTCATATTCTGATCTGTGTGTAAAATTTTACTGATGCTGAACAGTACTGAGGTCAAACCCCAGGCAAAACAGCTTCGCTAAGGTATGAAACCGAGCTACCTGTTTTTGATATTTGTTGCTTGTTTTATTTGGTTGGTTGGTGGAAAGTCTTATTTGCTTGTCTATCTTTTAAATATTCTATGTGAAACTCTACAAAGTCATGATATTTTTACTGTATTTGAAACAAAATATAATCAAGACTTGATTAATAACATGGATTCCTCACTCTAGGTTGACAAAGCTAGTATTATAAGAGAATTCAAATGCAAAGTTTCACTATAGCAGGTAATATAATGTCCCTTAGGTCTGTCATCCTATATCATCCTCTAAATGTAATTCCCTTCTGTTATCTGTTTCTACTACACTCTTACCCTAAGCTGCATCCTATCTCCTCCCTTTGGATTTAATTTTTCACTATAGGCTTCTTTTGCCAACCCATTCCACTGAGCCATCTGGAACCCCAGCGTACCATTGAAAACAAAGCAAAACAACACAAAATTACATGGCATCAGTATATTCACTGAATGTTCTCTACTCTTTGCCTTAAATAATATCTGCTTCTATTTCAAGGGTACCAGGATCCTTATAAACATATCAAGTGATCGAAGAAGGTTTACTCTTCCATTCTGTATATACAGAGAAATCAGGAATGATGAGGAAGGGAAGGGAGAATGGCAATTTCAACTTCTTTCTGGTTACTCTTACTTTTGCAAAATAACTCCCTTTCACACTCACTCAAAGACCCTTTCTTTGTAAGGTGATCAACTATCACTGTTTCCCTGGAACTGTCTCAATTTTAACACTGAAAGTTTTGTGCCCTGGAGCACCCCTCAGTTACATATAAATCAGGAGAGATGGTCACCCTAGACCTGAGGTAATATCACCTCACATCCCTCCTGTGTTTCTAATTCGCGCTCTGATGGAACCACATGGTCAAACATGGCTTCTATTTCTACTGCTTGACGGAAACTACTAAAAGTTTGAAAGTCTCCCTATTTGATGAAGTGATCTCTTTTCTTGTGCCTTGAGACAAAATTCACTAAGGATTTTTTTTCTGCCATTCCAGAAACTTCTCAAGTATTTCAGGATCTCTCACGCCAATGATATTTTAATGTTGGTGTTCCTCATGGGCCTTGCTCTTTATTCCTTATTCTACTCACTCTCTATGTTCTTCATGGATGGACTTATTTAATTCCATTGGCTTTAATTATCAATTATATCTAATGATCCTTAAATCGATCTCACATTTGAGCTCCCCCATTTATCTGTTTCCTGTTGGAGATTTCCACTAGAAGTTCCACATTCACCTCAATATGTCTCTAACTGAATCATAATCTTTCTCCTGCTCTTCTATTTCTTATTTTGGTAAAAACCACGAGTATACACCCAGGGACTTAAGAAAACTGTTACTCATTCCATTAATCTCCCTTATAGCTCCCATCTCCACCCTCCTATCCCAGACACAGTGTCCAGTTTTAAATATTCTACCTCATTAATACATTTTATATGAACACTTATTTACATAATTTATCAACCAATCTCCATTTGAAAGTGAAAGAGTAGGCTAATCAAACAGAATGTTGAGACAACAGGGGATAACCAAGATCATTTCTGCTCTTTGCTTTGGGGTTTTCCAGAAGGAGGTGTGTGGGAGCGGGGGGGCGGGTGGGTGACAGAGAAGGAAATTTATTTTAAGGAATTGACTCACACAACTTGGGGAGACTGGCAAATCAAAAATCTGCAGGGCAGGCTGGCAGGCTGGAGATCCAGGATAAATTGATGTTGCATTCTCAAATCCTAAGGGCTTCTGAAGGCAGAATTCTTTCCTTCTTGGAAAACTGCAGCTGTTTCTTAAGGCCTTCAACTGATTGTATGAGGCCTATTCATATTATGAGGAGCCATCTGCTTTACTCAAAATCTATTGAGTTTAATGTTAATTGCATCTAAAAAATACCTTTACAGCAACGTCTAGACTGGCATTTGACCAAATATCTGGGAACCATAGTCTAGCCAAGATGACACATAAAATTAACCATCACAGCCTTGCTTAAAACTCTCTCAGCTTCAGTATATATTATCCCTCCCCCTTGTAGACTAGCAGTTACGGAATGAGTTATTCTATTTAATATGTCCTTGTTTTTACCATACACAACTATCTCATGCTCTAGGATGTCTTCCCTATCATCTCTGAAGATCATTGCACTATTTATTTCAGGTTCTTGCGGCCTGTTATACAGATCTCGGGCATATTAATATAATTCTGTTTGTCGCTATCTCAGTAGACTCTATTCTATATTGCTTGAGGACAGGTACCAGATCTTATTCAAATTTATATCATTTAGCCTTAGGACAGCGCCTGTCATATAGTCAATATTGATAAATAAACTTTTTTGTGTGTGCTCCTACCATTGTGAATCATTGTACTAGTTACTGGTGTAATGAAAATAAAAATATAAATATTACTTGAAAGAGCATGCAGCATAATTAGGGAGCTGTGCATATAAATAAAAGATTTATGCCTCATAAAACAGGAGCTTGTACTGCCCACTGTTATGTCATAGAGTAGCATGTGCATGAAAGAATATCAGAAGCTGAATCATTATCCACCTAGAAAGGAAAGGTTTTTGTTTGTTTGTTTTAGTTCATTTGTTTGTTAGCATATTTTGCTTCATTCCTCTGGTAACAAGATTCTGTTTTATTTTCACACTGATTTGTTGAGAAAAAATACAAATTGTTCCAAGATTCATTTTCTCTGTCTGCTAATGGGAATAGTAACTAAAGTGTAGTAAAACTACAGCACAACAAAAATGAAGAAAGAAAAATATTTTCAATTATGTAAACATTGACTTAATAAATAGCAAACTTTCTTCTTGTGACACTTGCAGGCAGAATAAATACATTCAGTGTCTGACAACAGGGAAAGACATTTATAAGATTAGAAGTGATTTTCTGGATTAATAGTGACTTTTGGGTCCTCTGAAGCCCATCTCTCTGTCTCCAGATGGAGTTATCCTTTAACCTTCCTGGACAGGTGGCTATCAGTACTCCATCCTCAGGGAGGGTTCTCCTAGTGTTATTAACAACTGTCATTCAACTTGACCTAAGCTCTCAAGTAGAACTACCACATGCTGACTTCAGCTTATTTATATAGTGTTTTTTCAATTGTCTTGATGAGAAAAATAGGATTCTTAGCTGTGAATTTTCAGTGACAGAACTGAGCTCTGTAAGCCTAAAAACAAATTCTACAGCTTCAATTTGATTTCAGTTTTCTTCCATGTAACACAGAAAAACTGTTAATCTCCTTTTTTGTATTAAGATATTTTCAAATTATATAGCAAAATTAAAATAACAGAATGTCTATTTTGTAATATTATCTCAGGTTTAATTCAGATTTCACTGCCAAGTGTTGCCTTTTAGAAAACCACAGAATACTAAATGATGATAATCCATTAAGTTGTTAGAAGTATTTTAAAAATAAACTTGTATTGAATACATACTATCACTCTTAGTACCCTATCACCCATTGAGAAAAGGGCTTTAACTATTTTTTTCCTTGGTTCCAAGGATTATTTACTTATAACAACAACACCAAAATTGTTATAGTTTATCCACTGGGGAAAAAACAAATAATACACATATTATTGGTTATTTTTAGAAGAAAATTTAAAGAAGATTTACAGATAGCAATCTGTGGGAGAAATGGAAGATGACATAGTTTGAAATAGAATAGACACATTTGAATTCCAAAGACAGCACATTCTATTTCATTAAAAGCATTGAAATTGATGGTGCAAGTGCAGTAAAAACTCAATTAACTGATACCTGACTTGTCTGAAATTTCAATTAGCCATATCTCCCCCACATTTGATTTTTAGAAAATAATGAAAAATGAGGGAGAAGAGTTCCTCACTGATATAAACTTAAACACCTTTAGTCATGCCAGTTTTCCCATTCAAACCTCTTCAGTAAGTCTCCTTGACTTTTCAATTTCTTCTTCCCAATAACCTGCACCTTTCTAATTTCTACCTGCAACTAGAGTTATCTTGTGAAGTAGAAATCTCTATCTCCATTTCAGTTACACATTTGAAGATTGAACAATCTTCTTAGATACCTGACAGAGTTTCTTGCCATGACCTATACAGCTCCTTCATGGCCAGCACCCCACTTTTCTCTCCATCATTATCTTAAACCACATTTCACCTTGCCTTCCCCTCTAGCTGCTCCTGCCTCTGCCATCTCGGCATTATATTCATGCTCACTCCCACTGCAGAAGTATTTTTTCTTCTGGAAATCTCTTAGCCTAGTGAATACCTATACATTATACACTAAGAGGAATAAATCTGATACATGGGTAGATTCCAGCTTAATCTACACGTCCTTAAGGAAACCTTCACCAACATCCTCACGCAACGAAACCCATATTATCTGTTCTCCCAGCACATATTTCTCCTTCATAATTATTATAGTTATAATTTCACGAATACTTTGTGATTATTTAATTAAATATGGATTTCTCATTCATTAACCCTTAAAAGGCATCCATATGTGTTTTTGTTTGTGATATTGTTTCCAGTCCTTAGCACACTATTTGGTACATAGTGAGTTCCATAAAAATTTGTTGAATGAATACCAGTACAGATTTCTTATAAAGAGAAAGTAAAGTCTTCAGAAATCACTTAGTACTCTTGTTGTGAGGTGTTTTGATTTCAGATACATTCATGCTATTTGAGACCACGTTGGAAGCCCCTCACAATGCTCCCACTCAAACCTACTTACGGGAGTGACTTTCATGCACTGTCAGTAAAGTCAGACAATTTCTCCTGCCAAGTCAAGTGGTATTTGATAGAGAAGAAAAATGAGTGACACTTAGGGAAGTCTATGATTTTATAATTTATGAGTGGCAAAGAGAACGTAGAAATGGATTGCTTTCACAGGGAATTCTGGGAGGCCCCAGGATAAAGAGTACAAGGAAATAGTATGGTGGGTAAGGTTAAGGGAAGCAGTGGTGAGAGGTAAATATGAAAGGAAAGAAGATGAAACAGAGTGTGACCCTGGAACCATGAATCAAACACCACTGCCTGATGCCTCCTTCCCCCTTCCCCCACCACTCCAGACACACACATATAGACACAAATGTAGAAATCAATGTAGATACATATGTATTGAAAAACACAATGAAAAACCCTGATAACGTTTAATTGATCTTAAGAAAATTTTGGAATATATGTCCTGCAGTGTGGCTTATGACAAGATCATTAAAATAGATAGATTTATTTCCTGTTTTTTAGCATTTACTTTTGTTCAATAGAGGCATGGATTAAAGATACAAAATAAACTCTTTGACATAAATTTTTGTAACTTTTCTAAGCTTATTATTTTCTAAAATATATACAGTCATCCCTTGGTATCCGCAGGGGATTAATTCCTGGACTGCCTCGGACACCAAAATCCTTGCAAACTGCATTCTTGTAGTCCTCCCTGTAAAATCTGCACATATGAAAAGTCAGTCTTTAGGGTTTCACGTTCTGAGAATACCTTTATTTTCCATCTGTTGTTGGTGGCAGACATGGAATCACCCATTCAAAGGGCCTGACTGTATTTACTGAAAAAAAATACATGAATAAGTGGGTTCCTTCAGTCAAACCTGTGCTGTTCAAGGCGCAACCTGTATTTTAAATCTGAATACTAAGAAACATGTAATTATATATTTTTAAAAGCATGCATTTACTTGCAAGACTAATGTATTTTGCTCTGAGGAAAAATAGTTACTAGTGTGAAAATCAGATTAATATATATGAAGTTTCAGAGCTATGAGATATTTTTGTGACCATTTATTCATTTTATTCATTCATTTTTACTACTCCAGTAGTATTTATGGCTGGTCAGCCTTATAGCTGATAGAAAATAGATAAAGATTATGTCCTTAGGGAGTATCTGCATATGAATTGAAATGTTCTAAATTGCTAGCTGGAACATAGTAAATACTTTAAGAGTTATGTCTCTGGCAGTTCAGAGCAAGGGTGTCTTCATCTAACAGAGAAGATCAGAAAAGTTTCACTGAATTAATTAACTGGCCCTTCCTTGAAGAGTGAGCATGATCAACAAATGCAAAAATGAATTGTCAATGGATTTTTTTATGGTAGCAGAATTCTTTCTTCAAATGAAATAGTTTGTGGGACTCTAGGAAATAAAATGGAAAAGTGCATTTGGAACAGAGGTAGATGGTTGAAAAATCCCACTACAGGCTATATTCTCCCAGACATTTCCACAAAATATAGATCGACCTCATCTGAGCACCACTTTTGCATGCAAAAGGAAGCTTGAGAATAAGTGTTTTACTGGTGATCATATAGCCATATAAGAGGTGACAGCTATTTAACAGCAAAATAAGTGGTAGAACATAGGTCCCCTGACTTCTGCTTAGGATGAAAGGTATTGAAAAACGAGTAGGGTTCATAAATCAGATATTTGGTGTAACTCTCGGCTCTGCCATTTGCTGGCTGTATGCTCTTGAGCACCACATGTAACATCTCAGAATTCAGTGTCCTCATCTGAAAAAATCAAGTATTATCCAGTACTGCTTGAAAGCATCTGATGTATATCCTGGAACATAGTAGGAACCTAAAAATTGTTGTAAAAGACCCCTGGATTCATCTAATTCTTCCACATGTGAACACTAACACCAGCAAACTTTTCTTAAAATGATTGCAGGCACTGTATATTAATTAGCTAACTAACACGTTTCACCCTGTTATATCAATTCAGTTTGGCAAGGTCACCACAGTTTGCACTATTACTGGTGTTGTGCTATTATTTAAATATTGTGTTAAATCTTGTCTTTTTTTTTTTTAAGGATGAAATTGGTTAAAGATTGAGGAGACTTGAAACTAATGCCAGTACAAGAGGAAGCTGGCTTGGAATCATTGGGCATGCTAAAAGTAGTGATTTGCTGGTCTTAAACCAACACTCACAAATACAAAACTGGTCATATGTTCAATTAAAAATAACTATGAAATGCTAGAAAAATGATTTAAAAGAGAATATATCAAAGTAAGCTGAAAGAATGCAGAAATGGAGAAATCTTTAAAAATACGTGAAAAATTATCAGAAAAAAAAATCTAGTTATCCAAATGCAAAAGATAAGATACCCATATATACAGAATGGTTGTTCAGATAGCTTTACACAGATTTCTCTGCATAAGAAATAACCCTCATTTTCATATTTTCTTGACAATTTTTCCAAAATAAAAATACGATTCAATCAAATCTCTCATCAAAATTCTTCTAAAAATATTGTTTTCAGTTCTTACATAAAACAATAAGAATATATGTCTATAAAAATTAAAGTCCAGCTGGGTGCGGTGGCTCAAGCCTGTAATCCCAGCACTTTGGGAGGCTGAGGCAGGTAGATCATTTGAGGTCAGGAGTTAGAGAGCCACCTGGCCAACATGGTGAAACCCCGTCTCTACTAAAAATACAAAAATTAGTTGGGCATGGTGGCGTGTGCCTGTAGTCCCAGTTACTCAGGAGGCTGAGGCAGGAGAATCGCTTGAACCCAGGAGGTGGAGGTTGCAGTGAGCCAAGTTCATGCCATTGCACTCCAGCCTGGGCAACAGAGCAAGATTCCATCTCAAAAAAAAAAATTAAAGTCCATTATTTTATTCTATGAAATATTGCTTTAAACAAACTGAAAGAACTAAAATTTGAGATGATAGATTAATTTATAAAACTAAATATGCATTTGAGCATTTTAACTAATGTGTTTGTTGCTGACTCGGATTGAATCCACTTAAATAGCACACAAATTTATACATATACCCACACTTGTTAGATAGGTGTTTCTTGCTCAATTTGTATAATTTCAATATTTACACATATGTCCAGGAAATCTTTAGGTATGGAAGTGGACAATAGTCTCTTTTACATCTGAAATAACCATGATTAATATGAAATCATTTAGTTACTGTACAAAATGGCATCACAACCAGTGATCTAACAGAGCTTGGAAAGGAATGTACTTTGAACACTCTATTTATTGAATTGTGACCCACATGGAATAACTCCATGAAGACAAGTTGAATGGTTTTTTATTCTGACAAAAAATTTATTTTGAACATGTGTTGATCCATGCTTTTCGTCAGATGCTTTGCCACCCAAGGAGATAGACAAGTAAAAGTTCTGGGACATTTATACCAGTAGCTTCACCTTCAGCAAGACTGAAAAAACCTTATAAAAAGTAATAACCTTAGCCAGTATTTTACCTGTTACCTGTATAAAATATAATCATTTCTTGGTGAGGTTTCAGCTGAGGAAGAATATCTCTTCACTATTATTTCTTTACACTTGATGGAACTGAGATAGAAACAAATCAGAACATCACAAAACAAAATACAATTCTAGCCTAGGATGCAGAAATCTCTGACTACAGTCTAAAAGAGTTTCTTAGCCTTTTTTGGTCTCAGTTTATCTATCTTTTATTACAAGGATATGAAGAACTGTCCAACCCTACTTTAGAGAATTGACATTAGAAATATGTGAGTTAATATGATGGGATGTTTTGAAAAATGTAAAGTCCCATAAAATTCACTTAACATCCCTAAGTAAAACACGATAGTCTTATTTTTTCCAGCACAAAATGGGCCATCCCTAAAGAAGTGCTTTCTGTTTTAAGAGGCATGTGGACAACTACAGCATATGCTGAGGTTAAAAATCAGAAGAATAAAAGACCTTCTAACTGAGTCACAAAAGAAGGAAATATGTGGCTGGGTAGAGTGGTTCATCATAGTTGACTACAGGGATAGATATAGAACTAAATGAGTAGCAATTATAGGAAAGAGATTTTCCAAATGAAAAAAAAAGAACTATATTTGAATAGAGTTATCCAAAAGTTGAGTCAACTGTTTTAACAGTTGTTGAGTTTATTGGCATACCTGGCCATTAAGCAGAGGCTATATTGCCACCTGAAAGAAAAGCAGAGAAGAATACGGAAACCTCTGATGTGTAATCAGATTGTATAGCTGCTATGGTCCCTGCCATTCTGATTCTGAAATGTTGCTATGGAAGACCATTACTGTCATTGCATTTTTCACTGTCCTGGATATTTATTACTGTATAACAGACTATCTCAAAACTTGGTGGCTTAAAGCAATATTTTTTTAGCCCCACCATTGTGTTGGTTGACTGGGAGGATCTTCAGCTTAAAATGGTATTATTCAAAGCATTGGAAAGGCCAGGAGGCCCATAACAGCTTCACTCAAATAGTTGGCCATTACTGATGGCCAGCAGCTGTTAGATCTGCCGAGGCACCGTTTTCCTTTATGTGGGCCTCTCCACATGGCTTCTTCCTCACAAAACATAGAGATGGAGTTTCGAAAAGCTGCAGCTCTCTTAAGCCTGAGCCACCAATGTTACTTTGACCCATTGAATGTTCTTGAAGTATTGCTGTGTGAGTAACAGAGCTATTCCAGAGTCAGTGTGTCAGGAAAAGGCACAAGGACTTAAATACTGGAAGCAGGGAATCACTGAGGGCCATCCTGGAGAGTGGCTTTCATAGTTGCGGTATTAGTTGTTAAGGGAAAGAATGTGGTAATAGATACAATTTTAAACAGGTATTTTTCAGGGCAAGAGAGTAGCCCAGAATTTATTGAAATGAGTTACATTTTTGAAAAGTAAGTTAAAACATGGATATCATAGCTTTATTCTGTTGACTTATAGATTTTGGTCAGATATAAGGTGCGAGTAAAAGCTGTTTAGTCCAATGTAACAAATAATGAGCAGTTATTAGATGTCAAATATAGGACTAGTTATGCGAATGACATGATGTGCCTGATATAAGCCTTGCCCATGAGAAACTTCCTGAGTAATTGGGAGGCAGACTGGAAAATAGATAGTAACAAAATGGAAGCAACAGTATTAAAAGAGAGTTGTATAAAGTGCTATGGAGAATACAACTGAAGTGGCCTCAGAGGTGAGATGAAATACGATCTTTTCTTTGAAAGATGAATATGCATTTTTCTAGCAGTGAAAAAGAGGGAGAATGAAAAGAACTGACTTTTTATGTGCCTGTTTTGTGCCAGGTGCTGTGCTAGGTGGCATTTATCAATTATCTACTTTGGTTTTTAAAGGATTCCCATGAAACAGATATTACAATACCCATTTTACAAAAAGAAGAAACAGATAAAATTACTTACCCAAGGTTAAACATATCAAGGGACTGTGATTCCAAAATCCATAGTCATTTACTACCCCATATTGCCAGGCAGTAATAAAAGCACATTGAATTTGAAATACTTTCAGAATGTTTACAACTCTTTCCATGAGATTGACTGGGCAGGGATCATATAAAAAGCCTCCTCTGCTTCTACACATCATCTCTAGAATTCCTCAGTTCCTCATATCACTTCCCATGGGCTTCTGTAACAATTCCCTGTGGAAGGTTGAGCTAGGCTTGCCCTTGCCTAAGATGTTATTCCAATATGAAAATGTTCAATATGTAGGAAGTTGGAAGTATTGATCTATAGCTCAAGATTGATACATGCTCAGATATAGATTAGAAATCAAATATTTAGTTAGCAGTAGTAATAATAGAACTAGTAGAGGTAGAAGTAGCAGTAGTAGCAATATAATAATAATAATAAATAAGAAAATGTAATTGTAATAAGCCCTAACGCTGCAATGGTATTACACATGCTATTCTATGGCTGGGACATCCTCATGTACTCCTTTAAACCTTCGTCTAAGTAAATTCTACACTGCATTTATATCTTAGCTTGTACAGAATATCTATTGAGCTTTCCTTAATTTCTTCAGCCTAGGTTCAAGTATTTTACATATTTTATTAAAAAATTCTATGCCTTTACTTCACAGAAAGGAAATTTATTTGTATGATTTTTAAAAAAGTTATACCTATATTCATTTTTAGTGCATAAGTTCTATCAGGCAGAAAAATAATCTCTTTTTTATTGCATTGTATGTCCTACTCATACACAGTAGCCAGCACATAGTAGATATTTAAACTTCCGAATATGTGAAAGGATAATTAAAGCCTGGGCATGTACAATGTGAGCAGAATGCCAAACAATATCAATTTTCAAGTAGTAAACTGAGAAAGTTGTGCCCTTGAAAGATGCAGAAGAAAATGCTATTGAGCCTGACAGAACTAGTAGAAGTAGAAGTAGCAGTAGCAGAAGCCTTTCTCCACAAACACGTGCCAGTATTAGTGGATCCATATTTACATCTTGCTATAGTTCGATTTGTTTGAAACTCCAAATTTCATGTTGAAATCTGATACCCACTGTTGGAGATGAGGCTTAATGGGAGGTATTTCCGCTGGAGGGCAAATCCCTTGTAAATGGCTTGATGCCATCCTCAAGGTGATTGAGTGAGTTCTCTCTGTTAGCTCCTGAGACAGCTAATTGTTAAATAGAGTGTGACACCTCCCTCCCTTCTCTCTTGCTTTTTCTCTCACCATGTGATCTGCACACACAGGCTCCTCTTCTTCCCCTTCCACCATGAGCAGAAGTAGTCAGACACCCTCATCAGAAGTAGATCCTGGTGCCATGCTTCTTGTACAGCCTGCAGAACCGTGAGCTAAATACACCTCTTTTCTTTATAAATTATCTGTCCTCAGTTTTTCCTTTATAGCAACATGGAATGAACTAAGGTACATGTCCATCAGTTCACTATATTGATTTTAAGTATACATACACAGAAATACACATGCACTTACAACTACTGCAAAATGGTGATGTCATGTATATTTTGCTATTAAGTATGTTCCTAAAATATTTTTAATTGAAAAGTATAGAAAGACAATTCTACCAGTCAGAAATATAATCTTTAGAAGAGGAAAGAACCAGATTTGATAATCCAATAGAAATTAAAATGCTTATTAAGCTATGAGATGCTTTCTATAACTTTTGGAACTTAAAAGTTGTGATGATTATTTTTAATATGTCAACTTAAAGTATTTAGATGAAATTAGCACTAATAAATAAACTTTCAGTAACCCAGATTGCCTTCCAAAATATGGATGGGCCTCATCTAATCAGGTTAAGGCCTGAATAGAAGAAAAACCTACCTCCTCGAGTAAGAGGAAATTCTCCAGCAGACTGCCTTTGGACTTTATCTACCACTGGCTCTTGTGGGGCTCTGTCTGCTGTCCGACACTGCAGATTTTGGATTTGTCAGCCTCCATAATCACATGAGCCAAATCCTTGTATCTCCATATATATATATACACATACACACACGCACACACACAGAGATGCATATATATATAAACACACATATAGATATATACACACATATATATACATGTATATATATACACATATACACATCTTTATTAGTCAGGATCAGTCACCCCAGCCAGCCCATATATATATATATATGTATGTATATGTACACACACATATATAGATATACACACACACATATATACATATATATACACGTGTGTATATATATACATATATATAAGCATACACACAGTCAACACACACACACACACACACTATTGGTTTTGTTTCTCTGGAGAACCCTGCCTAATATAGATTTTGGTACTGAGAGTGGTTCTAGAGGAACAAATTCTTAACGGCAAATTTTCAGAATTGGTTTTGGGGTTTCCAGAATTGGATATTTAATCTGATTAGATTTAAAGTCATTAATGACTATTTTCAGTAGTAAAGATAGTTCATGGTATGACCTGGCAATATAGATACACAAAATATCAACAATGGATAATCATAACCAAACGCTTTTAAGAAGCAAGGATCTGAGTGGTCCTGGAGAGATTCTCAGGCCATTAGGCTGAGATGGCCCAGAATTTTAGATTCCTACATAAGCAAAACAAATATAAACAGTAAAACAAAACTTAAGTGTAACTAATGAGAAACCACCAACTGACCTCTGAGTACTTTCCACTTTGACCAATCAAACATATTTGTCTTGATTTTGCAAACATAAAAATTTCCTCTCTTATTCCTCTCATTGGAATGGTGAACAGCTTTCAGTCTGGTTTTTCCCAATTCATAAATTGTTGAATGCTGAAATAAATTATTTAAAATTGTAATGTGCCTAAGTTTTTGTTGTTGATGTTGTTACACTTCTAATGTCACTGGATAAAGTGGGAGAAAAACAGGATGAGCGATCCAAAAAGTTGCTGATTTTGAATAGGACCCAGAATAAAAGAAAGCTCTGCAGTAGTTCCCGGCTGCCATTTAAGCTGTCATATGTGCAAGTGAGACATATGGTTCAGCAGATGCAATGGTGTGTTAATTGTTGGTGGCAGTTAGGGATGCTGAAGTGACTGGTTGGGGTGCTCCTGTAGGTGACTATATACTGATTCATAGGCTATGGCCAATGGTTTGGCTGGATGGTCAGGGACTTAGACAGTAACATGGTTGGAAAATTAATGACAAAACAGTCTGGGGTAGAGATAGGAGGTGGGTAGACCTCTCTGAATGGGCCAAAAACCATGAAGATATTTTTGACCCATGTGAAGGCTCACCAAAAGGTAACTTTAGTGGAGGGAGACTTTAATAATCAAGTGCGTAGAATGACCTGTTCAGTGAATACCAGTCTGCTCCTTTCTCCAGCCACCTCTGTCATTGCCCAATGGGACCAACAAATTGGCCAGGGTGACAGGGATGAAAGTTGTGCATATGATTGGAAACACAAACTTCCACTCACCAAGGTGACCTGGCTACAGTCACTGCCGAGTGCCCAATCTGCCAGCAGCAGAGACCAACACTGAGTCTACAAAACGACACCACTCCCCGGGGTGATTAGCTAGCTACCTGGTGGCACACTTACTACATTTGATTACTTCTGTTATGGAAGGGATTGAAGGGGTGGGTTGCCCCTCCACACCTGTGGGTGTTTCTCGTTAGGTGGAACGAGAGACTTGGAAAAGAAAAAGACACAGAGAGAAAGTATAGAGAAAGAAATAAGGGGACCCAGGGGACCAGCGTTCAGCATATGGAGGATCCCGCCAGCCTCTGAGTTCCCTTAGTATTTATTGATCATTCTTGGGTGTTTCTCGGAGAGGGGGATGTGTCAGGGTCATAGGATAATAGTGGAGAGAAGGTCAGCAGATAAACACGTGAACAAAGGTCTCTGCATCATAGACAAGGTAAAGAATTAAATGCTGTGCTTTAGATATGCATACACATAAACATCTCAATGCCTTACAGAGCAGTATTGCTGCCTGCATGTCCCACCTCCAGCCCTAAGGCGGTTTTCCCCTATCTCAGTAGATGGAACGTACAATCGGGTTTTATACGGAGACGTTCCATTGCCCAGGGACGGGCAGGAGACAGATGCCTTCCTCTTGTCTCAACTGCAAAGAGGCATGCCTTCCTCTTATACTAATCCTCCTCAGCACAGACCCTTTACGGGTATCAAGCTGGGGGATGGTCAGGTCTTTCCCTTCCCACGAGGCCACATTTCAGACTATCACATGGGGAGAAACCTTGGACAATACCTGGCTTTCCTAGGCAGAGGTCCTGCGGCCTTCCGCAGTGTTTGTGTCCCTGGGTACTTGAGATTAGGGAGTGGTGATGACTCTTAACGAGCATGCTGCCTTCAAGCATCTGCTTAACAAAGCACATCTTGCACAGCCCTTAATCCATTTAACCCTGAGTTGACACAGCACATGTTTCAGAGAGCAAGGGGTTGGGGGTAAGGTTATAGATTAACAGCATCTCAAGGCAGAAGAATTTTTCTTAGTACAGAACAAAATGGAGTCTCCTATGTCTACTTCTTTCTACACAGACACAGTAACAATCTGATCTCTCTTTCTTTTCCCCACAAGGGATAGTGTTTGGTTCTTACTGGAATGGACATTTACTTTGGATATGCATTTTCCTTCCCTGCACACAATGCTTCTACCATCCATGGACATACGTAATATCTGTCCACCATCATGTTATTTCACATAGGAGTGTTTCTGATTAAGGAACTCATTTTACAGCAAATGAAGTGAGACAATAGAGCCATGCTCCTGAAATTTACTAGTCTTACCATGTTCCTTGCTATGCTGAAACAGCTGGATTGATAGATCTATGGAATGGCCTTTTAAAGACTCAATTACATTGCCAATTAGGTGGCAATACATTTCAGGCTTGTTGCAAAGTTATCCAGTGGGCTACATATGCTCCGAAAAAATGTCCAATATATGATGCTGTTTCTCCTATAGCCAGGACTCAAGAAGTCTGGGAAATGAGGGGTGAAAATGGGAGTGGCATGAATCTCTATTACTCCTAGTGACTCAGTATCAAAATGTTTGCTTCTTGTCTTCATGGCCTTATATTCTGCTGGACTAAAACTCTTAGTTCCAAAGGGAGGAATGCTTCCATCATAAAATCTAACAATTAACTTATTGAATTAAAAGTTAAGATTGCCACCAAGTCCATTTTGGACTATTCATGCCTCTGAATCAACAGGCAAAGCAGGAGTTACTGGGCTGGTTGGGGTGACTGCTCCTGACTAACAAAGAAAAACTGGACTGCCATTTCACAATGGAGGTAAGAAAAAGTATGTGTGGAATACAGGAGATACCCTAGGGAGTCTCTTAGGATTACCATACCTTGTGAATAAAGTCAATGGAAAACTACGACAACCAATTAGATAGGAGTACTAATGCCTAGACCCTTCAGGATTGGTTTAGGTCACTTCACTTGGTAAAGAATTATAACCAGCTCAAGCACTTGCTGAAAGCAAAGAAAACACAGAATGAATAGTGATAGATGGTAGTTGTGAATACCAGCTATGACCCTGTGACCATTTACATAGATGAGACCTGTGGTTGTCATAATTGTCAGGAATATTTTCTCTTTATTTTGTTATGAATATGGTTGTGTGTGTGTGTGTGTGTGTGTGTGTGTGTGTTTATATATAGTTGACTCTTTTTTTTTTTTTTTTTTTTGAGACAGAGTCTCACTCTGTCACCCAGGCTGGAGTTCAGTGACACGATCTCGACTCACTGCAAGCTCCACCTCCCAGGTTCACGCCATTCTCCTGCCTCAGCCTCCCGAGTAGCTGGGACTACAGGCACCCACCACCATGCCTGGCTAATTTTTTGTGTTTTTAGTAGAGACGGGGTTTCATCATGTTAGCCAGGACGGTCTCCATCTCCTGACCTCGTGATCTGCCCACCTCGGCCTCCCAAAGTGTTGGGATTACAGGCATGAGCCACTGCGCCTGGCCATACAGTTGACTCTTGAACAATATGGGGGTTGAGGTACCAAGCCCCAAGCAGTCAAAAATTCACATATGACTTCTGATGTCCCAAAACTTAACCACTAGTAGCCTACCGTTTGCCAAAAGCTTTATGGATAACATAAACAGATGATTAACACAGATTTTGAATATTACATGTATTATGTATGGCATTCTTACAATAAATAAGCTAGAGAAAAGAAAATGTTATTAAGAAACTCATAAGGAAGAGAAAATATATTTACCATTCTTTAAGTGGAAGTGGATCATCATAAAAGTCTTTTTACTCATTATCTTCACATTGAGTAGGCTGAGGAGGTAGAACAGGAGAGGTTGGTCTCGCTGTCTTGGATGGCAGGAGTGGAAAAAAAATCCAAATATAAGTGGACCAGCACAGTCAAACTCATGTTGTTCAAAGGTCAACTGTACATACATACTTAGGTATATCCAATATCTCTGTTTTCTTCACTCTTTCATCACTGTATCATGTAACATAAGATGGACTGACTTTATAGTATTTAAGTATTGTTAACTTTGCACTATAGTATTTAAGTTACAGGATACCAAAGAGAAGAGTAGACATCAGCCAGAGATTTTGCATCTTGTTCTGGGGAAAGACTTAGTGAGTTTCCAGCTGTACACAGCATAGTTATATCACGTCAGGTGGAAGTATAGCCTTGTTATTGTATTTATTGGGAAAGGAAACATAGTTTAAAGAAATACATGAGTGCAAAGTTGACAAGGGGTGGGCTTGTGATGGTTAATTTTATGTGCCAACTTGAGGATATTTTTGGATGAGATCAACACTTAAATCAGTGAAATCTGGGTCAATCAAATTGTCCTTCATAATGTGGATGGTCCTTATCCAATCCGTTGAAGCCTGGAATAGAATTAGAAGACTGACCTCCCCAAGACAGAGGGAATTTTCCAGCAGACTGCTTTCGAACTTCATCTGCACCATCAGTTCTCTTTTGTCTCTGCCTGCCAGTCCACACTGCAGCAGATTTTGAACTTACTGGTTCTATTTCTCTGGAAGACTCTAATTCAATAGGATAAGATTTTATTTTTCAACTTATTCACCAAATAGGAAAGATGAAGAAGGGCTACTGGAGAAAGTGCTAGACTAGAACTATAACCACATATTGTGTTACAATCCTTGCCAACTCTGTGATAAATCTATTTGTGATATTACTACCTCACTCACCAAAGCCAAAGAATACATTTTTCATTCTGAAATACAAGAAATCTGTTTCTTTTTTTTTTTTTTCAAATTCTCAAGGTGATTTTTGCAAACTCTGGATAAAAATTGAAGCTTAAAAGATAATAAGCCTCACTGGAAGTTTATTCTGATGGATTGTTCCAGAAAGTGTATGGAGAGAGAATTTGATTGCCCATTTCTGGAGAAGAGGTTTTTTATATATTGAGGTGTTTCTTGCCAAATGTTGGCCTAATTAAGCCTGAGAAAGCCCATTTCTCTGCAGGCCTGGAGCCACAGGATAAAGACAAGTAGTGCTGCAGCATCATGAGACTTTATTATTATGTTGGCAAGACTCCTTCATAAGGAATAGTTGGGAGGACACCTGGCTAACTGGGGTTTGCAGAATATATGATTTCCGCAACATTGCAGCTGGAATGTTAAAGAGCACAGTGCAATTTCTGGAAGAGGATGCTTTGCAGTTGCCAAGAGGCTGAGTATTTCCAAAGGATATTCAACCAATAATCCTCTTCTTCATGCTGATAGTGTTCTGCAAAGCAAATGAAGCATTTGAGGTGGTTCGGAAAGACTGATTCCACAAACCAGTAAAAGCAGTAAGCAGATGTCATGCCATTAAACAAATTGATCTCCATAATTTCCTGAAAACAAACAACAACAACAACAACAACAAAACTCACTGGGTACATACAGCATGATCTCAGTTTGTAAAAAACTCAGGCCAAGAAAAATCTTTTCTCCCTATGCCTATTCTCAAATTAAATTTGGACTAGTTTTAGTTTGAACCTTTCAACTAGCTTTGCCTTTCTTTTTAAAACACAATGCAGTAATGCTTTTGTTTTAACATTTTCTATGTCAGAGTATATCATCAGCCTGGTTCTTGGATTACTTATTTATTTACAAAGAATTTCATATGTACCATGTGAATTATCTGGGTCAGTTTCTTTTTTCTTTTTTTAAAAAAGGAAATTTAAACTTTGTTATAAATTAAAATGAAACCTGAAATTTTAAAAAATTGAAATTTATTCTGTGATTGTTACTACTGTAGAACAAGTTTTACCCTTTTTATATTAAGCCTTAGTAGTTTTATGTGTATAACAAACAAGCTTTCAAATTTCCTGGCAACAAACCAGGGAAGAGAGTTAAAATATTTTAAATCCTATTCGGTTTTTCTCTATATAACTTTTAATATATTCCTTTAAAATTTAAACCAAAGGACTTTTTGAAATTATTATAGTTTATGAGTTAGATTGTGTATTTGTCACTATATGTAGCCTATCTACCAGGGGAAATTCAGCCCCCGATATTTCACGTGGGTCCTTTTCTATTTTCCCTAAGTGTCAGCTGGTCTGAGAAATAAAGGGAAAGAGTACAAAAGAGAGAAATTTTAAAGCTGGGTGTCTGGGGAAGACATCACATGTCGGCAGGTTCCATGATGCCCCCTGAGCCATAAAACCAGCAAGTTTTATTAGTGATTTTCAAAAGGGGAGGGAGTGTATTAATAGGGTGTGGGTCACAGAGGTCACATGCTTCACAAGGTAATAAAACATCACATGGTAAATGGAGGCAGGGTGAGATCACAGGACTAGGGTGAAATTAAAATTGCTAATAAAGTTTCGAGCATGCATTGTCATTGATAACGTCTTACCAGGAGACAGGGTTTGAGAGCAGACAACCGGTCTGACTAAAATTTATTAGGCAGGAATTTCCTCATCCTAATAAGCCTGGGAGCACTACAGGAGATCGGGGCTTATTTCATCCCTTATCTACAATTGTAAAAGACAGACATCCCCAGAGCAGCCATGTTAGAGTCCTACCCCTAGGCACGCATTCTCTTTCTCAGGGCTGTTCCTTGCTGAGAAAAAGAATTCGGCAATATTTCTCCTATTTGCTTTTGAAAGGAGAGACATATGGCTCTGCTCCGCCTGGCCCACAGGCAGCCAGACATTAAGGTTATCTCCCTTGTTCCCTGAATATCTCTGTTATCCTATTCTTAAGGTGCCCAGATTTGATATTGTTCAAACACACATGCTCTACAAACAATTTGTGCAGTTAACGCAATCATCACAGGGTCCTGAGGCAACATACATCCTCCTCAGTTTACGAAGATGACGGGATTAAGAGATTAAAGTAAAGACAGGCATAGGAAATCACCAGAGTATTGTTTGGGGAAGTGATAAATGTCCACGAAATATTCACAATTTATGTTCTTCCGCCATGGCTTCAGCTGGTCCCTCTGTTTGAGGTCCCTGACTTCCCGCAACACCTATCAAATTTATAAAACAATAGTACTTAATTTTTTCTGCAAATAATTTTTGTCTACATTTATCTATTTCATTCCTTCTCTGTATATTTCCTGTTCCTTCATACCCAGAGTCATTGAATTTTTTTCAAATATCTCAACTCAGTATAACTTTTTAAGATCAGAGCATGCATATATTATTATTCTACCTATAATTTGAAAATATTTTCAGCTAGAGACCAGCTTCATGAGAATTAGCAAGATATTGTGTGCTTATAAAAATAGCATTTAGCTCATATACATATATATGTGTATATGTGTGCTTGTGTATAGTCATGCCTCTCAAAGAGGACATGTTCTGAGAAATGGATCATTAGGCAATCTTGTGAGAACATCATAGAGTGTAATTACACACACCTAGGTTGTATAGCTTACAACACACCCAGGCCATATGCCATATGGTATAGCCTATTGCTCCTTGGCTACAAGCCTATACAGCATGTTGCTGTATGAATACTGTAGGCAATTGTACCACAATAGTAAGTATTTGTGTACCTAAACATAGAAAAGGTACAATAAAAATGTGGTATCAAACACTAAAAATGGTGCACCTATATAAGGCACTTTTCATGAACAGAGCTTGCAGGACTTGAAGTTGCTTTGGATGAGTCAGTGACTGGTGAGTGAATATGAATGTTTAGGATGTTACTATACACTGTTGTAGACTTTATAAACACTTTACACTTAGGCTACACTAAATTTATTTTAAAAATAAAGTAATTGTGCTATGCTATTCTGTCAGCTACGACCATGAAACCACTGTTATATAGGCAGTCAATCACTAACTAAAATTTCATGTCATTATGTGACTATATATAACTATATATATATACACACACACATATAGATACACATAATTTTATTTAGTGTATTGCATATATCCACAATTTTAAGAAAAATTCCACATAAAAAGTCTAAACTCTTATTATGACAAAGATTCTTATTTAAAACTCTTTGTCAGCTTTTCAGTTGCTTCTGAACTGACCTTATGACATTTTATCTTGCTTCTTCAATATTCTTTCTTGCTCATCAATCACTGTTTTTTTCTTCTGTTCAATGTCATGATAAGACTAGTGATGCAGTCACAAATAATGGATCATGAGCAAGATTTTGCCATTTATATCATAAATATGACAGTGCAGTGCCTGCAGACAGTGTTATTTCCGGTCTGCATTTCTGGACACTGAGGTCAATAAAATTGCTACTAGCCATAAAGCACAGACATGAGACATGCTGTTATGCAGTGGATATTCTAACTGGAGAATGAATTACTGCTTTAGGATGACAAAATCAGGGCATCTAGGGGTTTCTGGTAGAAACTTGATTCTATTATATTTTGGAATTTTTCCCTTGCACACCCTCCTATGATTTTCTATAAACCTCTATGACTTGGTCTATTTGCTTCTTTCACCACTCCTAAATAAAGCTTTTCCTAAATTTCTCTACTTTCCTCAATATGCATGCATAATAGTTCTTTGAGTCAATTTTATTCTTTTGAACATTCTCAGAAGCAAGCACAGCTCTTCCACATTTTAATCCTCTTTTAAGTCTTGTACCACTATATAGTAAATGAAGAAGCCACTGATTAGAACCAATAAACATTGGAAAGAAATCCCCACATCTTTGAGCTTCAAATCTGGGCTTTCCCAAATTTTCACATAGCCCTTTCCCCTGTAGCTTTTCTGCAGTCTCTTCAATGCCCATGTTGACTCTAGAAATACCTGGTGATTACTCTGTCTCTCTCTCTTTGAGTCATATGTTTCATATTTCTCATTTTAAACTTCTTATTAGTACTCTTCACATCAAGAAAGAGTTGGCATCTAGCATGTTTTATGCATCCCAAAAATCAAAATCAAAATTTATTCTTTCATTCTTGATCCTCTCTGCATATGCTGTTCCACTTGACTGTTTTTCTAGTTATTCTTTCTTTGCCTTCACTCCCACTTACCAGCAGAAGATTGCAGAAATGTGAGGAGAGGCTTCACACCTTCCTCTCTAAGAGGCCACAGTTTTGATTGACTGTTTTCCATTATAGCTTCTGTATGGTGGCACTTCCATGGCTTCAGAGTCACTGGTTTTGGGAGATATCATCACCCTGCCTCTTCTGGGCTGAAAATATTAATAAAATATAGTAGAATATGCTACCCCAAAATATGCCACTTTGGCATAAGGATTATTTTGAGCCAAAGCTTCTTTAAAAAAAAAAAAAAAGGCAGATTCGGCCAGGCGCGGTGGCTCATGCCTAGAATTCCAGCATATTGGGAGGCCTAGGCAGGTGGATCATGAGGTCAGGAGATGGAGACCATCCTGGTTAACACAGTGAAACCCCGTCTCTACTAAAAATAAAAAAAAAAGTAAGGCAGATTCAAGAAAGGCACACTGAACCTTTCCTCCCTCTTTTTGAAAGAAGGATATAAAAACCCATATGGAAGATGTACTCCCTATACCAGAAGAAAAGTTACATACTTACCATCAAAGACAGGAAGCTGAGACAGAGAATTCTGTACAGAAAGACGTGGTTAAAATAATTCTTATTTACCTTCTGTCTCTCCAGACACTTTAGTAACTTTTCCACAATTTCCTCTTTTTGTTCAATCAAATATAAACAGTTAGGTTTTGCCATTTCTCAGGTCTTCATTTCCTTATGAAGGTTCCCATGTCCTAAAAAACTTATATTAAATAAATTTGTATCCTTTTCTATTAGTTTGTCTTACATGCTTGATTATGGTTTCACTGTGTCCCCACCCAAATCTCATCTTAAACTGTAGTTCCCATTATCCCCATGTGTTGTGGGAGAGACTTGGTGGGAGGTAATTGAATCATGGGGGCAGTTACCTCCATGCTCTTCTCCTGATAGTGAGTTCTCATGAGATCTGATGGTTTTATAAGGGGCTCCCCCAACCCCTTTGCTCTGCCTTGCTTTTTACTGCCACCATGTTAAGAAGGACTTGTTTACTTCCCCTTCAGCCATGACTATAAGTTTCCTGAGGCCTCCCCAGCCCTGTTAAACTGTGAGCCAATTAAACCTCTTTCCTTTATAAACTACCCAGTTTCAAGTGTGTCCTTATAGCAGCATAAGAACAGATTAATACGTATGCTTTTCTATTAGTTTGTCTTATGTCTATTTAATTTTTTAGCCCAGAATAAAAAAACCCTAAGAGGGTAGAGGTAAAATTGTGACTTGGCCGCAATCTTAGGGGTGTCATACTTTTTCCTTCCTGTGTGCATCATCATTTACTTTTTTATTCCTTTAACCTTGCCTACACCTTCGTAAATAGTTCTTACCTTAAATTATTTTCCATTGAATTATTTTGAATCTGCCATCTGTTTCCTGATATAATTCATACAAGTAAATCTGCAGTGATGTTTTCTTTGTCCATACTGGAGCTTTTCATATAATTAAGTTCTCTTTTTTATTCAATCTTAACCCAATCATCACTTAGAAAAGTTTTGTCTCACCTCTCAGACTAAGTAGCTTCACTATCAACACTCTTGTAAAACATTATGTCTTTTTCTTAGAAAGTTAAATTATTATATTTTTTTATATACTGGTAGAGTTTGAACGTGTCCTCCAAAGGGCTCTGCCCTCATAAATGGATTAATGTCATTATTGAAGAAGTGAATTACTTATCTCAAGAATGGGTTTGTTATAAACTCCAATTTGGCCACCTTGCTAGCTCCCTCACATGTGGGCTTTCTTGCCCTTCCACCTTCCATCATGGGATGACAAAGAAAGATGTGGCCCCTGAGTCTTGGACTTCTCAGCTTTAGAACTGGAGGAAATAAATCTCTGTTTCTTATAAATTACTAAATTACCTGGTCTCAGGTGTTCTGTTACAGCAACAGAAAATGGACTAAGACATAATTATTTCCCTATCTGCCTCATTTGACTGCATTCTCTATCAGGGCCGGGTCTAGGCCTTCCTTGCTCATCATTATTTTCCCAGTGCTTAGCCTCACTTCTGTCATATTGTGTGCACTCAATAAATAAGCTGGAAAAATTAAATAAGTAAATCAATTCCTATTCTGATTCAGGTTAATACATACTGTTTTCTCTCACATCAGCAAATCCCTAGGCATTATTCTTCTTTTCTAAATTAGTCAAGCTGGGTCATTTTCTGACTTTTCTCTGACTACATTTCAGTAAGAAAAGATGTCTCTTAAAATAAAAAAGTCATTTTGAGGAAAAATATGGGTTGTACAGGGTTGCAAATAAAACTTTGAAAAGATAACAATACTCATTTGAGTATAGTAGTTTTGCTGATCAAAATATTTCTTTGTCAATGTAGGGATTATTACTTAAAATGGCTAAGGGCAAGTCTAGGCAAGTCTCAAGAAGTTTCTACCATGGGAGAATGATCTGGTTTCCAGATCAGTTGACCTTTCCAGATCTTTGTAAAGGTCAGCATACAATTCCCCTGCAGCTGAAGCTCAGCTCAGCTTTGCCTAAAGCCTTATCTCTAATTTTGAATTTTGCTAGAATACTTCCTTCCTTTTTGCTTTCAGCATTCTTTTCTCTGGTTATAAGTTTTGTGAATCTATTAGATGCTCTCAGTGATCTTGTTGTATTTTTAATTCAATTCTTAAGTAATGATAATATAATTCTACCTGCTTAATACAAAGACATTTATACTCATTTCCCACCTCCACTCCCGGCTTCTTATTTACTCTCAGTGTAGCTGAATATAATAAAAATGTAATCCCACTTCAGAAATTTGCCTCATCGTGTTTAACTAGTGACTCAGCTTCTAGTGACAGGAATCTTTTTTAGCCTGGTCACTCACTTTAATAAAACTTTAAAACTCAGTAGATTTCTGAGTAGATATTATTACTTACAGCAAACATGGGAAATTCCTAATAAGAGAAGTAGTTATTAGGACTAAACTCTGATTTTCTTTTTATCTTGCTCAAATTTCTATCTAAGGGGTCTGGGGAGTCATGCCCTACAAACCGTAAATTCTCATCAGAAGAGTTTTAGTTAACCCTGTATATCAAGACTTATATTCCAATCTGATTCTGGCATAATGAGGAAGAAAATAAAAATGTTTTACTCCAAAACATGTTTCTCTTCCATATCTTGAAATTGCCCTGCAAAGTCACTTGTGGGAAAAGTCTACATTCTATAGAGAATCCCTTCCCCTTTGTTTTCCTTCCTTCATTTCCAGATCCAGGAGACAATCGACTAAGAGCCAGGCACTCTTTTAAGACCCATAAGAAACATTTTACAACCTGCTCTATCTGAGAGTTTCCTCTGCACAATAAAACTTAGTCTCCACAATCCTTTATCTTAACCTAAACATTTCTTTTCTATTGATCCCAGGTCTTCAGATAAACTCAACCAATTGTCGACCAGAAAATGTTTCAATTTACCTGTAGCCGGGAAACTCCCTGCCCCGGTTTTGAGTTGTCCTGCCTTTCTGAACCAAACCAATGAATTTCTTAAGTGTATTTGATTGATGTCTCATGCCTCCCTAAAAATATATAAAACCAAGCTGTACCCCGACCACCTTGGGCACATGTTCTCGGAACCTTCTGAGAACTGTGTCACAGGCCATGGTCACTCATATTTGGCTCAGAATAAATCTCTTAAAATATTTTACAGAGTTTGACTCTTTTCATCAATAGTTAGGAATATCAGTAAGTGTTGCAAATGGTTATATAATATTATGTTATTTATTAGTGTAGCCAAAATCACAGTTTTTATTTTTATTTTATTTCCTTTTCAGTCTCCAAAACACTATTTCTAAATCAATTTTGCACCCATATTAGTGCAGTGATGATACAACCTCTTCAATAGTTATATACTAACATCAAAATTACATACCTCATTTAGGATAATAACTATAATTCAAAGGCACATTTTTGTCTTTTCTTAGACTAAATAATGACTATACAAAAAATTTTTTAATTTAACTCAGATACCAGGCAGGTGCAGTGGCCCACGCCTGGAATCCCAGCACTTTGGGAGGCTGAGATGGGCGAATCACTAGATCAGGAGATCGAGATCATCCTGGCCAACATGGTGAAACCCTGTCTCTATTAAAGATACAAAAATTAGCTGGGCGTGGTGATGTGTGCCTGTAGTCTCAGCTACTTGGGAGGCTGAGGCAGGAGAATCGCTTGAACACAGTAGGCGGAGGTTGCAGTGAGCTGAGATGCGCCTCTGCACTCCAGCCTGGGCGACAGAGTGAGATTCCATCTCAAAAAAAAAAAAAAAAAATTAACTCAGATACCATCAGCAACAGTAGTTACATCTGAGCCATCTCTATGTACCAGAATTTATATTCACATTTCTTGAATAAAAATAACAATATGTGGAACTTATTACATAAAGATTATTTTCCTTGAATTGAGACAGATGCTTTACATATATATTATCTATTTCTCATAAAACCGCAATAAGGATTTCTCTCTACTTTATAGATAGATGCATAGAACTCAGAAAACTGAACAATTTGTTCAATATATGCCAAAATTAAAATACAGGTTTCAATTTAAGCCTATATTCAATCCACAGCTTCTTTCTTATGCTAACTCAGAATAGTTTGAGGGGTAGAAGAAGAAAGTGACTAGACAGTGTGAAGGCTAAACAGGTTCTAAATGTTATAGGCCTGTATTTCAGTCACATCTCTATCTTTACCTCCTAGCGTATACTTCAGTACATTAGTTCTCTTTAAGTCTCAGGCTCTTCTGTTGTGAATTAAAATCACAGTATAAATATTATAAATAGATTATGTTGAAAATAAAATGTGCCTGGTATGGTACATAGTAAGTTCTCAGTATGATAGTTATCATTATTATTATTATTTCATACTCCTCTCCAAGCTATGCTATTGAATCATTAAAAACAGCTGCTCTGTAGATGTCAGAAGTTTCCTCCATCCGATGTCTCAGTTTCAGACAAGACAGAATAAACACATCTTAGCCCATCTTTCCTGATAATGATAATGGAAAACTCTGGGAAAAAATATATAAAACAAATACCTGAGGGCTCTAAAAAGTAAACAAAAACAGATGCATTTTGAAGGAGAGTGTGAAAATAAACAAAAGGAAAACTGATCAATTCAGGCCTATTCCAAACTTCTGTCCTGACCCAGGAATGTGTATACATGCAAAGGCAGCTATGTTCATTAGAGGTAAGTGTTACAACCTCCCATAGATAGTTTGGACATCTGAGTAATAAAACCAAGGCCTAGAAACTAAAGCTGACCCCTTACCTGTGTAATCAGAGTTAGCTAAATATTTCACCAATAGGTACTGGTTGTACACTTATCAGATGTGGAATAAAGTCAAGATGAAATCAGTTATTCTTCTACTAGATGCTAAGATACCTACACAATTATTAACCTTTTTCTTCTACCACTCAGCCACATATTTGCTCTTCCCTATGTAGAACATCACTCAACACCAATCAAAATGGTAAGAATGTACCTGTTGCTTCACTGCTCACCCTCTGTACTAAATATATATCCCTGTTTTAAACAAAAGTGTAAATACTGTACTTCACGTAATCAGCTTCGGAACTCAGATTACAGGCTACTGCCATCCTGGCATGACATCCTCAAGCTCTGGCATTATAAACTTCACTTGATTAAAGTTGCTGTCTCAGACACTCATTTGGGTTGGTAAGAGTCAAAATGTGAAGAAGCAACCTACATGGGAGTGAGTTTTCCATTTTTTTCTCTTTTTTCTTACAACAATTTCCCCATGGGTAGGCCCAGTTATGGAGTGAGTGGTACTGTTGGTACTGAAGACTGAAAACTAAGAGAAACCTTGTCTTTTTTGGTCAGAGAACAGGGAACAGGGCCTCTTCTTTGCAAAAAGTGTGTGTGTCAGTTTTGGGAAGAATCCCAGGGTTTTGTTTTTTTTTCATCTTTTATTCTCGTGGCTTTACTCGAAGAGAAGGTACTAGTCACAGAGCTTGCAGTGGCAGCATCATAAACACATGAAATTCTAAAAGAAATTTTATCTTTCAGGGCAGAGAAATTGAGAAAAATGACTCTTGAGAAATTGAGAATAAGGAGGAAGTTCTGGAGAGAAGACATCTGTAAAAAGCTACCAATCATCTTTCATGTGGACCTTCATAAGTCCTGGCCCAACCATGATCTAAGCATACGTGGGACAAACTGAAAGTATCAAAGCAAAGGCTTTGAGAACTGAACTAAATTTATGCCACCACTGAAGTTTCAGACTAATCTCTGAATGTCACATGCATATGATGGATGAAAGCAGCATTAAAAAGACTCAAATAATATTAAATCACCATTTCCAAGAAGATTGAGAGAAAACTTGCAGTCTGAAATTGTTTTTGACTGCCTCCTAAAACCAAACCAAACCAATAGAAACCAGAAAAGAAGCATTCTTCAAAGGATCCTAAACAACACAATATTCAAAACTTTCAGTACAAAATTCAGTTACTTATCGTATAAGAAAGCAAGAAGACATGACCAATTCTCAAGAGGAAAGACAATTCACAGATCCCCATTCCAGATGACAGAGAGAATGGAAATTTCGAAGACTTTACAGCAGTGCTTACAACTATGCTTGATGAAGTAAAGTTCGAAATAAATTGAGAGACAAAAGTTCCTAGCAGAAACATAAAACCTGTAGCAAATAATCATATGGAAATTTTAGAACTGAAAAATACAGCATTCATAAAACAAAAAAACTAACTGCCTGGGCTCAAAAAGAGAATGGAGATGACAGAGAAAGTCAGTGACCTTGAAGAAAAGTAAATTGAGCTTATTTATTCTAAAACACATAGAGAAATGAGACCATCACAAAAGATCTAATATTCATGTTATTTGAGTACAAAAGAGTAGAAATTGTTTCAGAATAAATACTGGGAAAAATGGCTGAAAATTTCTCAAATTTGGTGGGGGACATTGCCAGAATCCAGGAAGTCAGCAGACCTCAAACAGGATCAGAGCAAAGAAAACCTTGCCCAGACATGCATCATAATCAAACTGCTAAAAAACAAAGATACACACACAGACACACACACACAGATATGGAAACCTGCTAGAGAACAATGCCACATCTATAAAGAGGCATGGTAATTTAAATGACTGAAGATTTCTCATCAAATGCCATGAGGACCAGAAGACAGTAGAATAACATTTTTAAGTTCTGAGGAAAAAGAAAAGAAAAACAAATCTACCCTGAATTCTATGTCTAATGAAAATATTATTTAAGAATGAAGGTGACTCCTATAACCTAGCACTTTGGGAAGCCAAAAAGGGTGGATTGCTTGAGTCTAGGAGTTTGAGACCAGCCTGGGCAACATGTCAAAACCCTGTCTCTACAACAAAATGCAAAAAAATTAGCTGAGTATGGTGGTGTATACCTGCGGTCCCAGCTATTTGGGAGGCTGAGTAGGGAGGATCACTTGACCCTAGTAGGTAGAGGTTGCAATGAGCCAAGACTGACCCACTGCACTTCAGCCTAGACAACAGAGTGAGACCCTGTCTCAAAAAAAAAGAAGGCTAAATGAATACATTATCAGAAGACAGAAAAGTAAGGAAGTTATTCACAAGTGTACTCTCTCTAAAAGATATGCTGGAATATCTTCAGGCTAAAGACAAATTATACCATAGGGAAACTTGAGAAACTTGGAATTTCAGGAAAGAAGAAACATCGACAGAAATTTTAAAACTCCACATGTATAAAACAGATTGCGTTTTTTCTTCTTAAGGTTTAAAAATAGGACTGACAACCATATCAATTATAAACATTAATTATTCATTGAATGCAAACCACAGGTTGGCAACCTTTTTTCTGGAAGCAGTATGATAATCAAAATTCTTGGCTTGTCGACCATATTAGTCTCAGTTGCAACTACTCAATTCTGTCATTGCAGTGCATAAGCAGCCCTAAACACTATGTAAGAAGATGGATGTAACAAAGGTTCCCCTGAGCAGGGTAAACTGGGCCACAGGTTGTAGTCTGACACCTTAGGTCTAAGCACACAACTAAAAGACAAATATGGTCATATTGTATAAAAACACAAGACCCAATTATGTTTTCAACAAGAAACCCACAATTGATGTAAAGAAGTAGATAGATTAAAGGATGAATAATTGCAAATAATGACCGGAAGTAGGAGTGGCTATACTAACATCAAACTATGTAGACTGCAAAAAAAGAATATATTTTTGGAGATAAAGAGATCATAATAATAAAATGTCTATTTACCAAATAGGCATAACATACTAAATATGTGTGCACCTAAGGAGAGATTTTCAAAATACAAGAAGCAAAAGCTGATAGAACTGAAAGGGTAAATAGATGAATTTACAGTCATAATTGGAGACTTTAGTATTTCTTTCTCAGCCATAAATAAAATAAGTAGACAGAAAATAAGTATTGATAGAGAAGAATGGGACAACCCTCAACAAAACCGACCAAACTGGTATTTATAAAATGTTCTACCCAACAACATAGGAATACACATATGTATAAATTATATTAGCTTTCTTTTGCCCTAAAATTCTGCATAAAAATGAGCAAATTAAAACTAAAAACAGAAGGAAGGAATAATATCAATAATGGAATAACATTAATAACATTGAGGATGAGAAAACAATATCAAAAATAACCAAAAGCTGTTTCTTTAAAGAAACAAAAATATTGGGCCAGGCACAGTGGCTCACACCTGTAATTCCAGCACTTAGGGAGGCCAAGGCGGGCAGATCACAAGGTCAGGAGATCGAGACCATTCTGGCTAACACGGTGAAACCCTGTCTCTACTAAAATACAAAAAAAGAAAAAAGAAAAAAAAAAATTAGCCGGGTGTGGTGGCGGGCGCCTGTAGTCCCAGCTACTCGGGAGGCTGAGGCAGGAGAATGGCATGAACCCAGGAGTTAGAGTTTACAGTGAGCCGAGATCACGCCACTGCACTCAAGCCTGGGTGACAGAGCTAGACTCCATCTCAAAAAAAAAAAAAGGAAATAAAAAAATTGACAAACCTTTAACCTTTAGTAGACTGACCAATAAAAAAAGGAAAGAAGATACAAAATAAAATACAGGAATGAAAGAGGGAACATAGCTACAGGTCCAAACGCAACAACAAGAAAAATAAGAAATATTGCAACTTTTGCTTATAAATTTGAAAACTTAGATGAAATGAATTAATTGCTTGAATGACACAAACTCAAAAAGCTCATTATACATATTTTTTTCCTTTGTAGGCCATATCATTCTCAGCTGCAACTATTCAATTGCAAGGAAATTGAGGCAAACCTCGAAATTTCTACATCTATTTTAAAACTTGAATTTATAATGAAAATCCTTCCAACAATAATTCTCATAATAAAATAAAACAGATTCCAGGTGTGGCCATCCTACTGGTGTATTCTATCCAACACTTAAGGAAGAAATAGAAATTATTCACAAACTTTTGCAGAAAATAGAAGAGTAGAAAACATTTCTCACTGCATTTTTGAGGCCCTATTACTGAAATTCCAAAGTAGACCAAAATGTCACCAAAAATGAAAACTACAAACCATTTCATCATAAATGTTATTCAAAATGCTTTAAAATATTAGCAAATCAAATGCAACAACATATAACAAATGATAAGATAGCATGAAAAAATTGAGTTGATACTAGAAATGAAAGGCTGCTTAGGATTAACGTTAGAAAATCAATCAGTGTTGTTATTATTATTATTATTATTATTATTATTATTATTATTGAGATGGAATTTGGCTCTTGTCCCCCAGGCTGGAGTGCAATGACATGATCTTGGCTCACTGCAGCCTCCACCTCCCAGGTTCAAGCGATTCTCCTGCCTCAGCCTCCCAAGTAACTGGGATTACAGGCACCTGCCACCATGTCCAGCTAATTTTTCTTGTATTTTTAGTAGAGACACGGTTTCGCCACGTTGGCCAGGCTGGTCTCAAACTCCTAACCAAAGGTGATCTCCCCTCCTTGGCCTTCCAAAGTGCTGGAATTACAGGTGTGAACCACCACACCTGGCCTAATCAGTGTAATTTATGATGTGAAGAGACTAAAGAAGAAAAACCATATGATCATCTCAGTATATACAGAAAAAGCTTTTGGCAAAATTGAGTATCCATTCATGATTCAAAATCCACAGAAAATTCTGAATAGAAAGGAATTTTTTAGCCTAACATTGAGCATCTGTAAAAAACCTATACCTAGTATTGTATTCAATAATTAATATTCTTCTTAATAGTGTGCTTTCCTGTAAGATAAGGCAAGGTTGTTTATTCAGTGTTACACTGGGAATTTTAAGCAATGCAATAAGGCAATAAAAATAAAAGCATACAGTTTGGAGAAAAACAAATAAAATATCTTCTTTTTCAGGAAAAATAATTTCCCAAATAGAAAAATACCGAAGAATTTAACAACAATAACAAAAGAATAAGTAACTAGAACTAGTGAGTAATAACAAGATTTCAGGTCAAAATCAATAAAGTAATGAGCAATTATATTTCTAAATACTACTGATAATCAATTGAAAAATATTAAGGATGTCATTTATAATAGCTAAAAAATCAAAACAAGCAATGATTTGTTATAAACCTAACCAGTATGTGAAGTATCTGGATGCTGAAAACCATGCAATGCAGGCAGTCCTCACTTAGCACAGCCCTGATATGCACAGATTTCAAGTACCATGGCTTAGCCAAATGGTGCCAGTCCTCCAACAACACAGCTTAAATTTCTGTTACCAACAGTTATCAACTGTTATTAATTGAATAAAATGTAATATTTGCTGCCAGTTCTTCAGCCCATAAAAATAACTACATAAGTAACACATGTACAGTATAATCAGTGACCAATGATGCCACTTCTTTTAAAGTCTGTCAGTGATTGGTCATTGTGCCTGTTATTTCGTTCCCACACAGACAGCAAAGTATGTAGTGTTGTTGCCTTCTTGTCTCCGATGATAAATCCACATAAACCGACATGATATTTCACAAAAATTGATAATCAAAACATGGATCTTGCCAACAAAGGTGAAAGTATACTGATAAATAAAGTAATAATGTTGGAAGTAAAATTATAATTGCACAGGAATTGAGTTACAGTAAAAATACTTGATGGGGAAATGTTGACATTGCCACCATTTGAGAGACTCTAGGTATGCAGCCAGAAGAACTTATGAAGGGAAGCTTATTGAAGGAATAAAACAAGTACAGTGTCATGAAAAAGATGACAACATCCCAAAGAAAATTATATTGTCAAAACCTACACTAAGGAAACTAACACGTAAATTTTATGACATTGTAAACACTTTCAAATTTCTCTAAAATGTTGAAAGAAAATAAATCTATAAATGAAAAAAAAAACCCACGAAAAGTAATGTAGTTTGCTAAAATAGGATTAGTTACCTTTGCCATAGTGTGTCCAGAATTGGTGGGTTCTTGGTCTCACTGACTTCAAGAATGAAACCGCGGACGCTTGCGGTGAGTGTTACAGCTCTTAAGGTGGCGCGCCTGGAGTTTGTTCCTTCTGATGTTCAGATGTGTTCGGAGTTTCTTCCTTCTGGTGGGATTCGTGGTCTCGCTGGCTCAGGAGAGAAGCTGCAGACCTTCGCCGTGTTACAGCTCATAAAGGCAGTGTGAACCCAAAAAGCGAGCAGCAGCAGGATTTATTGCAAAGAGCGAAAGAACGAAGCTTCCACAGTGTGGAAGGGGACCCGAGAGGGTTGCCACACTGGCTCAGGCAGCCTGCTTTTGTTCTCTTATCTGGCCCCACCCACATCCTGTTGATTGGTAGAGCCGAGTGTTCGGTTTTGATAGGGCGCTGATTGGTGCTTTTACAATCCCTGAGCTAGACACAAAGGTTCTCCACGTCCCCACCAGATTAGCTAGATACAGAGTGTGGACACAAAGGTTCTCCAAGTCCCCACCAGAGTAGCTACATACAGAGTGTAGATTGGTGCATTCACAAACCCTGAGCTAGACACAGGGTACTGATTAGTGTGTTTACAAACCTTGAGCTAGATACAGAGTGCCGACTGGTGTATTTACAATCCCTGAGCTAGACATAAAGGTTCTCCAAGGCCCCACCAGAGTAGCTAGATACAGTGTCCATTGGTGCATTCACAAACCCTGAGCTAGACACAGGGTGCTGATTGGTGTGTTTACAAACCTTGAGCTAGATACAGAGTGCCGATTGGTGTATTTACAATCCCTGAGCTAGACATAAAGGTTCTCCACAACCCCACCAGACTCAGGAGCCCAGCTGGCTTCACCTGGTGGATCCCGCACAGGGGCTGCAGGTGGAGCTGCCCGCCAGTCCCCCGCTGTGCTCCCGCACTCCTCAGCCCTTGGGTGGTTGATGGGACTGGGCGCCGTGGAGCAGGGGGTGGCGCTCGTCGGGGAGACTCGGGCTGCACAGGAGCCCACGGAGGGGTTAGGAGGCTCAGGCATGGAGGGCTGCAGGTCCCGAGCCCTGCCCGGTGGGAAGGCAGCTAAGGCCTGGCGAGAAATCGAGCACAGCGCCAGTGGGCCGGCACTGCTTGGGGACCCAGTACACCCTCCGCAGCCACTGGCCACGGTGCTAAGCTCCTCATTGCCCGGGGCCGGCGGGGCTGGCGGGGCAGGCCAGCTGCTCCGAGTGTGGGGCCGCCAAGCCCACGCCCACCCAGAACTCCAGCTGGCCCGCAAGCGCCACGCGCAGCCCCGGTTCCCGCTGGCGCCTCTCCCTCCACACCTCCTTGCAAGCTGAGGGAGCTGGCTCTGGCCTTGGCCAGCCCAGAAAGGGGCTCCCATAGTGCAGTGGTGGGCTGAAGGGCTCCTCCAGTGCTGCCAAAGTGGGAGCCCAGGCAGAGGAGGCGCCGAGAGCGAGCGAGGGGTGTGAGGACTGCCAGCACGCTGTCACCTCTCAATAGCATAGGTACTCACTTTTCCATGATGTTGCTGCCAACATTTTTTTGAGATATTTTAAGATGTTGTTATCAACTAAAATAATCAGAATTAATATTCCTTGTTCCTTTTTGCTTTTTGAGCCAAACAAGATGGTCAATGAAGTATGTTTAGTGTACTGTAGTAACCTCCTGCAAAATAGTAGCTCAGAACAATCAGAAATTATTATATTTATCAAATTTGTGAATTATACATATTTTTAAATAAGTTACTTCATATTTTAACCATCAGGACCGCTAAAAATTTGCAAACCAGAGCAAAGGGTTAAAGAAAGCTACATACCAAAGGCTACAAATTGAAAATATCTCTCAGGCAAAGCTTCAGTTTCACTCTCTATTATTACAATTGTTGCAATTTCATAATACTTTGTCTTACTTTAAGTGAAATCAAATTCTGAAGAAAAGTGCAATTGTAGTTATTTGTAAGTACTAATTTCTCAGCTGATATCTTTCTCTGGTGTATATGGGTAGGACCTTTAATGGTTTCTATAAGTCTCAAAGACTGGTTTTAGTTTAAATGTTTGGATAGATACCATTAGAAATGTTCTGTTGATGGTTTTATAACTCATTTACAAAAAGATACTATTTGAATTTCTTTATTAACTTTGGGATTCATCAAATTAACACAGTTCATGACCATTTGTAGTTTCTCTTGATTAGTTTATTTTGAAACATTCAACTACAGTGTTTTTGGGAATATTAGCATATTCAACTGTAAAAAATGACCCCATTGTTTCAAAGCCATCAAAAGAATCACCATCATCATCATCATCATCATCATCATCATCATCATCACATAATCAGATGAGCTTGTTTCCTATTAGGGTTATATGGCAAGCCTTGGTCTAAGCACTTCAGAAATTTTAACTCACTGAATCCATACAGAAAGGAAGTTGGTACTGTTATTTTCCCCAGTTTACAGAAGCTAAAACAGCAGCACAGAGAAGCAACTTTAATTGCTCAGAGAAGTTAGTTTAATTGCTTAGTTTAATTTAATCTTTAATAATTTCAAAGCCCAGAAGGTAGTACTTGGTGCAGCCAAGATTCAGACCTAAGCATTTGGAAGTTCATATTCTCATTCACTACACGAGATTGACACAGAACAGGCTCTCAGAGGAAGTCCGGTGCAGTTAAAATTAATTTTCTCTGCCACAAGTATCAATGTGATTTCAAACAAGTTAAGTGACCAAACTCTCAGCCAAGTTTCATTTTCTGTAAAAAGGGAAGTTGAACAGTATCACAATTGATGACTTTTATAGCTTTTTTTGTTTTTTACCCTGTATGATTTTATTTAGTTTGACTGGATTGAAAGCTTCTTATGAGGAAGTCATGCTATACAAGACTTCCCACTTTATCTTGCAAGCAAGTTGTTAAAGGCTTAATAAGTACTTCTTTTCTCAAAATCAGGAGGATGACGATTATGGAAAGTACGTTGGAATTTGGATAATCTTTACTTACACAGTGATGAAATTGCGTGGTTGATATGGTAGCATAAGAAAATTAACTAGACCCCACCTCAGTGCTATTCTCTTTACCATCCTATCAACCATTATTGGATAAATACATATTATACTTTCTAATACACACGCATATTTGCATACTGAAAATCCATATGCATACAAACAAGAACAAAAATATATTAAAAGCATATAAAATTCAATCTGTTTTTGGAAGATATCTGTAGTTAAAAGGACAATATCAATAGGAACATTTATTTTTCTGATGATGGTGCCTTAGTATTCTTCTCAATGTCAGAATCAACTTCCAAATGAGTACCACAAATACGGCTTGAGTTAGAACATACGACTCAAAAGTTTCACTTAATGTAGAGAGTATAGTTTATTAGTCACTGAAGTCATGTCGAATGTATAAGCATGAATAAGTGAAATCAACATATCCCTTGTACAATTAGAGAGAAGTTGTCCCCTTTGCATAAGTAACTTTTGACTATGGTATATGGATTGACAAGGAGAAGGTAGTTGGCATTTTTTTCCTTTAGTCCCCTTAGCCAAGAATTTTGGTGCAGAGCAAATAGCGTACAACCGTGTGTGACAGCCCTAACCAAGACTAAAGAGTAGGCTGTTACTTTGTACCCAATATCAAGAGGTTTTATAAAAAATAATTTCAAAGGTGAATAGAGTAGGAACAAATGGGTATCCATCTGTGACTTCAATTGATAGTGACCAACTTATATGACACATAGATGGCATGGCAGAAGTTAATTTGGTCTTGTCAATTAATTTCCTAAAGGAAGCCAAAGTCAAGCAGGGCTAGGATATAAATCATTTGTTATCATTTGAAAAGAATTGTGGACAATTAGAAAAGGTAATCCTGTTAGAGATGATCTTATGCATTTTTGTTACGTAAAAGATGGAAATTGAATCTAAATTTGTTTAAAGAATTTCCTAAGATCAGTGATGCCATAAAGATCATACAAATGATTGACTCAAGTCTCAGTATATTGTAGAGAATGGATGGAAGATATAAACTATAGGCACATAAGTATGTTTATTTAGCATCTCAAATTATTCCATTTTGTGGCAGTAGCAGTAATTTTGTTTGTGTTTTGGTTTTGTTTTTGCAAGTATGAGATAATACAAATGTGGCTGATAGTTTATTGATTTATTCATTCAGTAAATTTTTAGTAAGTCTTTTGCCAGTCCATTCACCTTGCTTTTAATTGTATAGAAGACATCTCTTTAGAATACAGGCAACACCACCTATAAACTGGTCATGCTGATTATACAATATAAATCTTATGCAAAACAATCAATTGTAGCAATGGAGCACAGCGCCATGGGTTAGTATACAGTCTTATTTGTCCTATGCTCACAACCTTATTTCTCTTTCCCCCAAGATGTAGCCACCTAGTACACCTTGTTTCTCATTTATCTCATATATCACACTCATAATTTTCTTTCTCACTCAGAATCACAATTGACCACAGTTTTTGTCTGCCTAGACCCTGGTAAATCTATTACTCCTCCTTCAGCAATGTATGCCATCTCTTAAGGGTAGGCTCAGTGCTACTACAACAATTACATCTTTCTAGTAGCTGTGATCATCTAAAGCATACTTAGAGAAAGACTATAAATGGAAAAAGGTACTCTATTCAAGAGGTTCACTTTCATTCAAACTTGGTCAGGAGACCTCTTTTCTTGAGATATTTTTAGTTTCCTTTCTACTTTTCATTTCATAAAAATAAGATAATCATTTTTGAGCTATGGGTAGAAAAACTAATCTTCAACCTATGGTCTCATAACAGAATGTGAGACTGTTATTTTCCAGAGTGACTCAAGGTTTGTAATTATCCTTTCCATGAGTTTGATTATTTCTATGGAACTAGAATGACAAAAAATTGGGAATTTGGGCTGATAGTAAGCAATGGTGCCAGAGTGGCCAGAAGCCTTAGCTTTCTCATTCTCTAATTCTTAGTCCAATGTTAATCTCCGGCAGAGTTGCATGTGGCCCTTAACAGAGTGAGGAATCTTTGCTGGTTAAGTGCTAGACTAGCACTCTTACAAACAGAAAGACTTCCTGGTCCTTTTGCTTCTAGCATCTTCAAATGCTTATCTGTATTGCCTAAGGATTTCTAGCCATTAATTGTCACAGAATTACTTACAAGGGCATAGGATCCCACTTTTAGAGCACGTGGCATTTCAAATTTTCTTTATAAAACAGATCCATTGATCAATCATGGTATTAACAAAAATTAATGGAAATAATTTATGGAAGAAGACCGGACATATATTTCCTTGATAAATTAAATTTTTTTTCTAAAATACATAGAAATAAGTCAATTAAGAAGATTTACAGCCAGAGGAAACAACAACATTGCTCAAGAAATTTAAATCATCCTGAGTCTTAACAGACACTACAGAAGTGGATAGTAGAGTGAGGAACATGTATAAACATATGCAATCATAAGACTTTCTGTCAAGTTTCAGACTTAAGTTATCCTAAAAGTAGCCAGAGGTTCCTTCATCTTGTCCTGATACAGCTTATCAGTCTTGGAGAAATTTACACACACACACACACACACACACACATACAGACACATATACATACAAACATATATATAATTATAATGTAGGTAATATACCTTTATTCATTTATTTATATTAATATATGTCTTTATATATTGTATATATGTAATTAGAAGGTAATTATACCTTCCAATCCCATACCTACACAAATATCTTCTAATTCTATACTTACACAAATATAAAAAAAATTCTCATTTATCAACTTCAGGATTTTCAGCTGATATAGTCTGAGGAATTCCTGAACATAATGCTGCAAACCACATTCAGATGAGTTTCCAGATGTAGCTCTTCAACTCGTCAAAAAATAATTTCTTCTATATTTCCTGATATTTTGGTAGAAAATCCTGACTCTACTTTAGATAGATAATGTGGTACGGGTCATAAGATGACTCTGCTGTTGTTAGCAACAAACTAAACATTTACTTACTTCTAGGGAATTGGTGGCTGTGTCCATTGTCTGACATTATATTTATCTTATGCTCCAATCAGATTTTTCACCCTTCACCCCTTGTGCTCATTTATTTTCTCATCCACACCCACACCTTACTTATTTTCTAGTTTTGTTGGGAAATATGTAAGGTGTGGCTGCAGATGTGCAAATCAGTCTTCATCTACATTGAAACAAATTGCTTGTCATCTTCATGAATAAGCCCCGCATTTATTTTCTTAGGATGTAGCCTTCTCCAATTCTTACCAAGTACATATGATTTTTCTTGTCCTTTGAGATGTTAGAGAACTTTCTGCATCTCATTTGACCTCTGTTACTCTCTATCTTAGAGTATAATACATGTTTATCTCCTTTATGACATTATGTCCATCATTGTATCCTACCACATTATGTCCACTGTGCTTTATATGTCCTAAATATATATGTGAAATATAACACATACATTTGTATTTATTGTTTTGCTCATTCATGAGTGAATACAATGTCTGCGTGTTGGAGTGTTTGACAAACCTGGAGCTGACTCTCACATAATTTTCTTATTTTAATATTTAAGTTTCTTATTTTATTTAGAATGTGATTGAACTGTATAAACACAAAGAGCAAAAGCCAGAGGATTTTCATGTTTATTTCTCATCAAATATAATTCCCAAACAATACACCTATCTTACTTTTACCATACTCATTCTTAAAATAATCAAGATGATGCCTTAGTTCAGGTTGCTGTATCAAATATACCATCTATATGGTAGCTTAAAAAAACAGACATTTATTTCTTAGAATTCTGGAGGCTGGGAAGTCCAAGAACAAGATATCTGTATGTTTGGTATCTGGTGAAGTCATTCTTCCTGGTTCGGAGAGATGGCCTTCACCTTGTATCCTTACAGGCAGACAAAGCAAGAGAGAGGAAGCCAGCTCTTGAGTCTCTTCTTATAATGGCTCTGCCTTTATTACCTAAATGCCTAAATGCCCTATTTCCAAAAAGGCCCTATTATTAATACCATCACACTGCGTATAAGGATTTCAAAATATAAGTTTAGGGAGAAACAAACATTCAGTCCATAGCAGGTTATAGTCATCAATAGTCTGATGAAGAGTCTTGGTCTACCAAACTGGCTTTGTTTCCTTAGGAAATAGGTGTAGATTATGGAAGAGAATCTAACTGTGTTTTTTATCTCTCTGCAGTCTCTACCAGGAATCACTTCCATCCATGAAAGATGATGGCACCCTTCCCTCCTTTTATTTTTCTTCTTATAATTAAAAAATATGAATGTAGACCGGGCGCGGTGGTTCATGCATGTAATCCCAGCACCTTGGGAGGCCGAGGTGGGTGGATCACCTGAGGTCAGGAGTTCGAGACCAGCCTGGCCAACATGGAGAAACTCCGTCTCTACTAAAAATACAAAATTAGCCAGGTGTGGTGGCTCATGCCTGTAATCCCAGCTATTGGGGAGGCTGAGGCAGGAGAATTGCTTGAACCTTGGAGGCAGAGTTTGTGGCAAGCTGAGATTGTGCCATTGCACTCCAACCTGGGCAACAAGAGTGAAACTCTGCTCAAAAAAAAAAAAGAATGTATAGAACAACTGTTCTTCATCTGCATTTGTCTTTGTCTTTTTCAGAAAACAATGAAAGAAATGATTTCTATGTGTAGAGATATTCATATCAAAAAAGAAAACAAATAAACAAGAAAAACTTTAATCAAAGGAATTAGTGGTGTAATTCACTTTCCTCATGAAAAAGAACAGAATGAACTTGGTTAAATTCAACAATCTTTTATTATTCATATCTCAGCTTATGATGAGCTGTAGTTAAATGACATTGCTAGGACTTCTCAGAATCCTTTTGTGGATTTTTTGAGTGATCCCTACCAATCTCTTTTATTCTATACTTCTCTAATACTCACCTGTTCTAATGAGATTTTAGTGGTTCTAAATCAATTTATCTAACAAATAGGTGTTTCACAGAGCATTATAGGGTCTATTTAACCCATTATCACCTGAGATATCTATTTAAAATGCAACTTTCTAGACCCTATGGCAGCTAGTGATTCAGCATCCCTAGAGTCAAAGTCTATAATTCTATCTTTTTAATAGACTACCATTAGATAGTTTAGCAGCTAAATTTGAGGACCACTATCCTGATGGGAATATAATTAAAACCTACATTTTAATGCTCAATTTAATGGTCACTTTATCTGAAATTTAATCGCTCTTTAGAATTATTTTCTACATTTGAATTTTCAAATATTTATATAACTATTTTGGTATTATAAGAATTTTATTTCTAAGTGCATTTCTTTAAAAAAGTAGTAATGCATCTTTCAAAGTATTTCTATCAAATGATGTGTTATAAGTAATAAAATTTAATCACATTTTAAAAATTCCTGATAGATTTAACCAACTTCCTACTTCATCATTGTTACCTTTTTTCTTTGTAGTAAGAATCCCTTTATCTGGCCATTAATCAAATTAGTAGATGCCATAGCTTTTTTCTCCTCAGTGAAAGATTGGTATTTTGACAGTCAGAATAAAAGTGGAATTAACTGATCAGAATTTTACCTAAACCTACTGCATGTAGCTTTTTAAACCCTGTATGGATGAGGCACTATTGGATTTGAAATTATAAGATGATTCAAATCACACCATTATCAGCCGTTATAGGGAGAATATATAAGCAATTGTAATCATTATCATTTAGTGTCCCACTCATAAATAATCTCCAGATTCTTCTCAGGATTTTGCTGTTTTTTTCCTGCAGCAGAGGATGCTAGTGCCCTCTCTGCTCCATTCACACCCTGTTTTGCCTTTTCCCTTGCTCACTGTGACTGTCACAGACTGCATCACAACTGTATGCAACTGACATTGTTAGGCCAAAGGCCGGGGCAACACTATGGCCTTCCTTATAAAACTGTCATTTCTATAATATGACAAGCTGGCTAAAAAGTTTGTGAGTGTTCAAAGTAGATTAAGAAAAGAAAAAGACAACCACAACAATGCAAGCCAATTCTGTGAATGTAGAAATAATTATTAAAATCATCATCATCATGATAAAAATATTAATAATGAGAAGGAGTAGGAAGCTTGGCTCCTCAATAAAATGGCTACAAAATGATAAAAAGAAACAATATCAATACAATAATGATTAAATTATAACGGAATCAGTGAAGAGGTAAAATGATCCTCCAAAAAATTATGTGAAAGCCTAGATGGTATAGACAGAGCAAGCCGTTAAACCAGACAGTAATATCAGCTTTGAACTCTTAATCTTGTTCACAATTTTGTAATGATTGAATGCCTTTCATTTATATAGTACATTACAGTTTTGCAAAGCATTTTAATTTTTTCTTTTATGTCACATTCTCATTTTACAAACTAAAAGAAATATCTCTAGAGATTATGTTTTTGGCTTAGGTTTGCACAGCTAGTGACGGGGCTGGGCCCAGATCTCAGGATTTCTCTTAGAACAATATCTGCTACAGTACACTTCATAATCATATGGCTAATTCTTTGCATTTGTCCCCAATCATGATGGCTAATCCTTCACTAGATTCATACCGTATAAAGGCAGCTGCTTGAAAAGAATCTGCATACTTGTAAAGCTATCTGGATCCACTCCCTCTCCCTTATCCAGGCATATAGTCATCTGTCTAGGAATTCTGATAATGAGCCATCAATGCTTGCTGTTCAGAATTTTGATAGAGTTTTTTATTCTGAGTGGAAAAATCTATGCGAAATTAAGTATCTCAAATAATTTTTAGACTATTCATTTTTTTGCATCCAGTAGCTACAAATGTGAAAATTTTTCACATTTGTATTTTTCTATTTTTAACAGACTTTAGGTAAATATAAATTTGTATTGGAGTTCAGAGACAAACATATATTTATATATGTTAATTGTTTATCTATCATAAAGTGTGCAGATAAATTCAGCTAAACACAAAGCAAAATATTAAATCACCAGACTCTATAAAGAGCTCCTTATGTATTCCTCACACATCTCTGTTTAATGAGTTAATAAAATTGTAAATGTCATTATAGCAATTTCATATTCATCAAGGACAAAAATGAGCAGAACAATTTGTATACACCTGTCCCTGATTTTTATACTAAACTCACAAAACTATTTGGAAGTTAGCAAAACTCTTCCATTAATTATTTTTTATGGAATACTTATTTTTATATTAAAAATACTCATTTTTTCCTTAAAATATTTTAAACTAACTGTAGTTTTCAATAAACCACATTTTTTCATGGAATTCTGAATCTTATGCATCACCCAGGACCACCAAACTATAATTTACCGACAGATGAATTCTGAAGACAAAAAAGGGATTCAAATTAAGCATAGTATTGAGAGGGCTCTATAATTAGAGAAGGCAGAATACACTGACGGCAGGCACCAAAGCTTTGTCCATAAGTATTGTAATGAAAGCAGAGATAAAGTATAGGGACAAAAAGCTTATTTTGGAAAAGATTATTGACACTTTATGAGTTTTAATAGATATATGCATGTCTTATAAATAAAAATCATTTTATGAAAGAAACACCTTTAAAATTGACATTTTGTGTGTGGTATTTTTCAACTATTTAATGTGTATTGCATTAAGAGAATCAAGAAAGACACAGTCATATGTAATTTATCATTATAGAAAAGATGAATCAAAGTGGTTTTGTCTGGTAGCTTTATTACCTTTACAATCTCATATAAAGTGTTTACTAATGTCACAGGATTGAAGGCTGCCAGTATGGAAGATAAAATACCATTATTAGACTTTAGAAGGAGTAACCTAATAGCATATTAAAATGCTAATTTTTCAGAGTCTTAAAAAGATCTCTTAACTTTCAAAAGACATTTAAAAAATCATACCGTAACTCATCCTTTGTATTTAAAAGACTAACTTTAAATAATATCTGTTATGACAGTAACTCTGAGATCTAGGTACATGAGGTACGAGAAGGCAAGCTCATCATGACATCTAAGATCTAATCCCATGAAATGTGTGTGAATATGTTTTTAATGTCTTTATCAGCTGTCTATTTTGCCTTCCACTTTTGAAAGACCCACTTCTCAGCAAAATACATCTCTAGTCATTCAATTGCTTATGGTTATATAAAAGTTTTTGCTTTAAGAAAGCTTTTTGACAGTAAATGAATATCTAGACATTTATGGATATGATCATTGTTTATGTATTCTGAATGTCCAAGATAAATAACTAAAATGTTTAGATAAAAAATAAAGTTTAGTAAAGGTAAATGTGCAAAGTAATTATATGAAAAAAGAATAATCTTATATTACAAGGTACCAGATAGAAAATGTAATGAAAAAATTATACTAACAATGACTTAAGAAACAGCATACCTAAAGACAAACATTAAAAAAATGTAAAATTCTTCCATGAGAAATTACAAAACTTAACAGAAGACATATGAGAAAACTACATGAAATGTAAGTGTGTAGAAATATATTTCTGGACGAAAAAAACCCCGACTGTTTAGATGTCAGTTTGTAAGTATGTGAAGAACACTTTGAGGATGACAAGAAATTTCTTCCATTCAAATTGACGTGTTTATGTTCAACTATGTATTTATTTACTTGCCAAGGTCACTGGGATATGTTTGTGGATATAGAATATCTGGCTTTGAAGGGTTTCAGAAAAGGGTTCTCCCCATTAGAGATTAATGTCTTTGGGGGCTCATTTAAGGGGAAGGAGAACAAATTCCCCAGCCCGAACACCAGGACTCACTGTTACATGACAGTCTAGCTATGGGTTAAATCACATCCGTTCAAAGTTTTTTTGAGCACTCACAATTTCTTGTCATATAAATCTTGTCACTAGGAATAAAATGGATAAATTTGCATGTGATGACAATAAGCTCCAAAGGAGAAAATAGTTAAAGCCCTGGTACCTTCCCATTGGTGGTGCAATATAAATGAAACTCATCATGTTTACTAGGATAGTTCTAATTGAGGTCTATTGACAAAAAAAAAAGGCACTAAAGCCCTCTTATTATGAGATAATAGACTCTGATCTAGTGATCTAGACACAAGAACAAGGTTTTGGGAATTTGTGGGAGGATGGGTTACCTCCAGTAATGTATCATGTTGAAGGTGAAAGTTGCCATGGGCTAAGCCACCTGACATGGTATTGTGCTCTTGGGAAAATGTATGGGCATTTATCTGTAAAGTAAAAGATTTAAAACTTTGGAAAATTGCTCAGAAGTTTATTACACTTTAAAGTCAATTTGGCACCAAATACTCTATCTTATTGGCATCTTCAGAACTACCTCTAATGAACTCTAACATGCCATCAATTCTATATTGAAATTTCTTTCTGTGAATTAAATTAGTTGATATATTTATTTATTTTTATTTTTAATTTTTTATTTTTGAGACGGAGTCTCACTGTGCCGCCCAGGCTGGAGTGCAGTGGCGTGATCTCGCCTCACTGCAAGCTCTGCCTCCCGGGTTCACCCCCCATTCTCCTGCCTCAGCCTCCCCAGTAGCTGGGACTACAGGTCCCATGACTACAGGAGTAGCCATGCCCCGCTAATTTTTGTATTTTTAGTAGAGACAGGGTTTCACCGTGTTAGCCAGGATGGTCTGTCTCCTGACCTCGTGATCCGCCCGCCTCGGCCTCCCAAAGTGCTGGGATTACGGGAGTGAGACAACCCACCCGGCTGATATATTTATTTTAATAATATTTCCAGGCTATTATTTATGTAACTCAATAACTTTTCATCATTTCCATGGGAGGAATTCTATCCCAAAATTGGTACCGATGATACCAATAATAGCTGTACTTTTCCTAGACAATTAGTTAACTTTATCTTGTGGGGCCTTGCAGATTTCTTGAATGACCAATCCTTCCTTCCACTTTGGCCCTTGGAAAACTTATTGCCAACTTTGGAGGCATCAAATCAAGTGTTTAGAAAATTGTGATAGATATTCATACTTATCATTTTTCCTTTTCTTATCTTTAACATATGCTATTTGATAAAGTTTGACATACCTTTTAAATTAGCTTTAAATCCCTTCTGTATTTCTAGTTAAATGTTAACCAGAGTCTGAAACCAGACACTGTCCTTGATATTCACTCCCTCCTAATATTCCATGAAAATGATGATAAAAGAAAATAAATGACAACTTCACATCCTTGTAGGATTATTCTTTTCAACAGCTATCATTTTAATAGAATTTTAAAAGATAGAAAGATAAATGCATACACTCAGTTTGTCATGTTTATACAGAAATCAGCACAAACTTTTAAAATAATAAGCTATAATTTATTGATTGAGCCCTAATTATGATAAAGAAATTGTCAAGTAGAATTGGAACTAGCAACTAAGTGTAGTAATTTTAATAACTGTTTGAATGTTTCCTAGGTGCCAAATATTCTGCTATGCATTTTAACATATATTGCATCCAATCCCCATAGCAGTGCTGTATAGTGATAGTAATATTGTTTTACTTATTCATGTTTACTTATTACTAGATAAGTCATTTATGAAAGCATTGTTGATACGAAAGTTTACATTGACATAAATATATAAGGCAATACTCAAAGGTCACCCTTCACCTTCTCCAATTCTGCTCTTCTCCCTGGAAATGCTGTCACAGTACAGAGTCATATTAAATAAATGACCTGATATTAATTACAATGGTCTAGATATATGTACTAAGAGTTTAGCTTGGTGCTGTCTTGATAATCTCTACTTAAGTGCCTTTCACTGCAAAGAGTATTCTTTTAAATTCAGATTGGTCAGCTGAAACCAACATTCTCCTAGTACACAGGAAGAATCAATATAATTTAAATGGCCATACTGCCCAAAGCAATTTATAGATTCAATGCTATTCCTATCAAACTACTAATGACATTCTTCAACAGAACTAGAAAAAAATTATTTTAGAATTCATATGGAAACAAAAAAGTACCCAAATAGCCAAGGAAATTCTAAGCAAAAATAGAAAAGGTGGAGGCATCATGCTACTTAATTTCAAACTATACTATAGAGCTACAGTAACCAAAATAGCATGGCCCAGACACATAGACCAATGGAACAGAATAGACAGCCCAGAAATAAAGCCAAACACCTACAACCATCTGATCTTTGGCAAAGCTGACAAAGACAAGCAATGGAGAAAGGACTCCCTATTCAATAACTGGTGCTAGAATAAATGGCTAGCTATACACAGAAGATTAAAACAGGAAGCCTTCCTTACACCATATATAAAAATTAACTCAAGATAGATTAAAGACTTAAATGTAAAACTCAAAAATATGAAAACCATGGAATACAACCTAAGCAATACCATTCTGGACATAGGAATAGGCAAAGATTTCATGATGAAGACAGCAAAAATTAACAAATAAAATCTAATTAAAGAGCTTCTGCAAAGCAAAATAAACTGTTTACCAAGTAAACAGACCACCTACAGAATGGCAGAAAATATTCGCAAAATTTCCATCTGATAAAGTTCTAATATCCAGCATCTTCAAGGAACTTAAACAACTTTACAAGAAGAAAAACAAACAACTCTATTAAAAAGTGGGCAAAGGACATGAAGAGACACTTTTCAAAAGAAGACATACATGCAACCAACAAACATATAAAAGGAAGCTTAACATCACTGATAATTAGAGAAATGAAAATCAAAACCGCAATGAGATACTATCTTAAACCAGTCAGGATGGTTATTGCTAAAAGTCAAAAATTAACAGGTGCTGGTGAGGTTGCAGAGGAAAGGGAACATTGTTAGTGGGAGTGTAAATTAGTTCAACTATTGTGGAAAACAATATGGTGATGTCTCAAAGACCTAAAAACAGAACTACTGTTTGACCCACCAGTCACATTACTTGGTATATACGCAAAGGAACATAAATTGTTATATTATAAAAACTCATGCATGCATATCTTTATTGCAGCACTATTCACAATAGCAAAGACATGGAATCAGCCTAAATGTTCATCACTGATAGACTGGATAAAGAAAATATGGTACATTTACACAATAAAATACTATGCAGTCATAACAAAGAACGAGATCATGTCCTTTGCAGGAACATGGATGGAGCTGGAAGGCCATTAACCATAGCAAACAAACACAGGAACAGAAAACCAAATACTGCAAGTTCTCACTTGCAGGTTGGAGCTAAAACATGAGAACACATGAACACACAGAGGGGAACAACAGACACTGGGGCCTACTGCAGAGTGGAGGCTGGGAGGAGGGAGAGGACTGCAAAAATAACCAATAGTTACTAGGTGTAATACCTGGTGAAAAAATAATCTGTACAAAAATTCCTGTGACATGACTTTACCTATATAACACACCTGCACATGTACCCCTGAACTTAAAATAAAAGTTTAAAAAAAAATGGTCAAGTAGAATGCTTTAGCAAATTCTTCTTAGGTGAAATCTTTACTATTAACTGTAGTGCCTTTGTTAGTTTTCAGCTTAAAATTTGCTGTTGCTATTTTCCTTTTTAATTGTACAAAAAAACCCAGAAAATGCACGTAACATTTCCTATAAACTAGACAAAGGACCATATTGTGAAAGAGAGAGACATACAGAAATTACCCCTATCGAATGCTTACACGTGATTAAGTATTATATATTCAGATAGATGATTGCACATGAAAGTTGGAGCTTGCCTGACCTGGAGGCTATTTTGGAGCATAATTACCTATTTGGAACTCAGAGTCTTGTTTTTCACAACTCAGACAGTAAATGCATATTTTCCATCTCACAAACTTATTTAAGGGTCATGTTTTAGCACTCGCATTTGAAATAATTTCTGCTGGTGTACACTTTCATTGGGGATGACTTTTGTTTAATATTTAAAACTGCAAGGAATTATTTGAGTAATTTTCTTTTATAAATCTTTACTAAAAATACTAATAAACCTCATTATTTCTCCACAGTTATTGTGCCTTAAAATTTATAACTTGCATATTGGTAAATAAGAATGCACCTGACTCGTCTACACTCACTAAAAGCAGTATTTCAAAGAGGATGGAGCAGATTGCCCCACCTCCCTAATTTCATTCAGAATCTTTGCAGAAATTATATACACTCTGTCAGTATGCTCGGGTGCTCAGGAAAGCTATATGGATAGCTTTGTTATGATCACCCCATTTGAAACTGCATAGAAAATGTTCTACAGCAAGTTAGAAAATAAAAACGTATGTTAAGTGTTATGGGTTGAACTGTGTCCACCCCAAATTCCTATGTTGAAATCCTAGCCCCTACTAACTCAAAGTGTGATACTGGGAGTCAAGAGTCTTTAAAAAATAATTAAGAGAAAATAAAGTTATATGGATGTGCCCTAATACAACGTGACTGGTGTCTTTATAAGAAGAAGAGATTAATAGAAACAGAGGAAAACCACATGAAGACACAAGGTGAAGATGGCAATCTCAAATCCTAGGAGAGAAACCTGCAGAAGAAACCAACCCTGGTTATAGCGTGGTCTTGGACTCTCAGCCTTCAGAACTATGAGAAAATCAATGTTTGTTGTTTCACCCACCCAGTCTTTAGCAGCTTGCTGTGGCACCTGTAGCAAACTAATACACTTAAAGAAAGGCCTTAAAGAAAGCATGAGTAATGTGTTTCCAGAGAGAAAGAAACTATACAAATAATGCAAAGGATGTTGGCCAATAACTAGGTTTATGTTTATAAGTATATGAATTAATGTATAGGACATAAAATGGTGATGAATTTCAGATACAGACTATGAAGTTGGTGTGGATTTCTTCAATATATCTAAAATGTTAAGTTGACAGAGATTTCGAGGTTACTAATTTATGAATGCACTTGTTTTGTTGAATTACTTGTAAGATGCACAACATAATCAGGGAGTTGTTGATAAGTAAATTATTTTGTATAATTATAGTGTTAGAAAACCTTGACTCAATTTGGAGCTTTTTCTTTTGATTGCAGCCAAGTGGAATATGCTTCCCCATCAATGCATATGAGAGTGGTTGTCTTTGTGACTAGTCATGAGCATGACTGGCTGCCTTCAATGGTAAGCTTCCCCAATTTTCCTTCATTCTGCAACACCGATTTCTGTCAAACCTTGTCAAATTGGCAACTATCATCCTCACACTGGCAACATCTATTCACACTTGCCGTTTTTTTCTTTATTAAACATTCTAGTTAGTTCTCTGAGCTTGAAACCTAAAGTGGTGATAAAAGAAAATGAAAGGCAGTTGTCTCTTAAAAATAGATCCCTTTAAGAGTTCAATATGTAGATACCAGATTAATCAATGGGTTTGTAGTATCCGATTCTAGTTAAGTTGTCCTTGGGAAATATGCTTAATGCATAATCTATAATAGGTTATTTTCAAAAATGTAAAATGTAGATGTTAATATTTATCACGTGAGTATTTTTGTGAAGATTTTATTAGATAATTCTTGCAACGTGCTTACTATAATATTATCATTAACATTACTTCTTAGAATTAATACCTTGTAAGTTTTGTTTTGAGGATTCAATAATGTAATATGTGTCCCCTCAGTACATTGTAGGAACTCAACATATATGAGTTTACCCCCCTTTCTTGAAAAAAACAGAAAAAAAAAACCCTAGAAAATCTGACTTTGTGATTTCAGAGAGAGACAGATGTGGTAGTGGGGAGAAAGGGAAGTATTTTTGAATCTTCACATAGTTTCAAACCATTCTTCTTATACAAGAGTAGCTATTTCACCTTTCTGGATCTGCATTTTTAATTGATTTTCCCTTCTAATTTTTATGTATTTTTGTGTCTTGCTTATATGCAAAGTGGCAAAGCTTATATGCAAAGTTGCTTATATGCTGATAATTTTTTTATTCCTATTCAAGAGGAGTTTGTTAAATATTTAAAGATCAGTTAACGATAAATTTATAATTTATTTTTTAAAATTTATTAGACTCATTTATCTCCATTCTAGTTTAAATATCTGGAAATTCATGTGCACATACAAGCCACAAATACTAAACCCTTTCCCTGTATAGTTGCATTTACCTGTATATTCTACATGTGCTCTTTCAAATCTTTTTGCCCTGGGGAATATTTTCTGTTATTTTCTGATCAAAGAGACTTTCTTCTGTGTTATCTTTTTGCAAAAAAATCAGAAATTTCTCCTATCAAGGCCTGAAGATTTCTTTTATTATAAGACATAGCAAAGGTAGAAGATATGTATTATTCCTGTGTTACAAGATATGACTTTGATTTCCTAGATAAAAACACACATCTCAGCTCAGCCAGGAGTCAGTCAAAGTTAGTTGCTCTGATTTTGGGCTACTCTTATTATTAAAAGAGCTGAGGGTAACATTTTCCATGAATGCAGGATAGAGAGGGCCTGGGAAAAAACATCCATGGTGGATCCAAAAATCCTGCTGGTAAAGGGCAGATTTCATTGATTTCAAAGGTTGCAGTCTGTACCTATTGTCATCAACGAAGCAGCTTTTTCATTCTGAACTTTCAATCAACTGAGCAGCAAGCAGCAAACTAGAACAAATTTCCCATCTAGATACTGCTCCTTTTTCTGCCTTATCATGCACTCTACTTAGGCAGGTTGCTAATCAGGTAGTTTTGTGACTGTAAGTTCAAAATGATTGGAGAAAATGACAGCTATTCATCGAATCCAAAACAGGATGTAAAAATAGCTTCCCCCAGTTTTTAAATTGCAAAATAAAATTTGCTACTAAGAAGAGTGGCAATTTCTGGCTTTAAGATGTAAAAATAATTGAGACTTCTCTATTTCCTCAAGAGGTAGCCTGTAGTTTTGGAGTGCTAGTTGTGGTTGCAACTCTAATAGAAAGGAAAATAATGTAAACATATAATATAATGCAAAAATGCCTTGGGAAAGTGCTTACCTGCATTTAGTCTAATCATTGTTATGTTATACAATACACTTAAATGTAGAGTACAATACAAGGATGTAACAGATACCCCATTGTGAGTCCTGAGAATTACTGTGAGTTTACCTTAAAATATATGTTTTTGTTTTGAAAACAAAAAAGTTATTTGAGGAGCACTAAAATAGTCTCTCTACAGCTTTTGTTATTCTGAAACATGAAATTGTTTGTTTAGCTTAAGTAAAGTTGAGTTCTTTTGATAGTTTAAAAAACAAACAAGAATCATCACAAACCAGCCAAAACACTATTTCTGGAAAACCGTAGCTGAAATATCTATCTTACTAAATGATTTTTTGGATATGTTCTTTCATATGTGATCTCATCTATATAAGAAGATTAGTCTATGGTTACCTTTGAAGATAGAAAATGTGTTGCTTTTCTGAGTATTTATTTTGAGTAATGGATTCCCCCATGTACTGGAGTACTGTGTGCTGAATGAATTCTTGATGTTGTAGAAGATGCAATAACTTCACCTTCTTCCAGCATCTGCAGTAGCTCCCTTGGTTTTACTAAGGTATTGAATGCAAAATGGTCCTGTGGAAAACAGTCTTCTGAGACCTAGATGAAGGGTAGCGTTTGTCCAAGAGTTTAAAGGTTTGAACTTTAGAAAAATAGGGAAAAATGAGATGATGAATTTTTAACTGCAGATCATGGACCAATGTCATTATACTGAAATTACTTATTGTGACATCTACAAAATGAGTGACCAATTAATCTTATTCTTAATCATTTTAATACTTAGATCCTTTTGATAAGCTGACCCATTTTATAACTTTGTTTAATATGATTTGAAATTTTAAAAAAATGAATAGAATATCTAAGACTCGATCAGAAAATGAAATAATAAGTACTAGGTACTTAAAATTAAAACTCAATATTCAATATATGTATCTTACCCCAGGACAGATATATATGTGTGTGTGTGTGTGTGTATGTATATATATATATATAATTTTTTTTTTTTTGAGACAGAGTCTTGCTCTGTTGCCCAGGCTGGAGTACAGTGGCATGATCTCAGCTCACTGCAACCTCCGCCTCCTGGGTTCGAGTTATTCTTGTGCTTCAGCCTCCCAAATATCTGGGACCACAGGACATTCTGATGCATGCATCATACAATTACAAGTGAAGAGAAAATCAATATCTGACCTATAACTGTCTTGACCATTAAAAAAATATAATTCCGTGTAACAGATACATCATGTTTTATGAAACCTACTATTTAATTAATGCTTTGATTTGTATTGTGTATATAGTTATATAAAATTTCACAACAGAACCGGATGAAGACATAAAACTACACAATTCCACCTTTGAAATATGTAGAATTGGTTTTAATTAACAAAAAGTGAGATCCAAGATTGTTAGAGTAAGAAATCTCTTTAAATATTAAAGGAAGTGAAAAGAAAAGAAATCCCATACTTGAAAGATAGGGACTTAATATAAAGTGCATTAAAAAATAAGATCAGTAAGACAAGGAATGATGAAAGAGTTGAATACGGTAATGAGTAAAGCAGAGTCTACTGACTGTGGCCTACATCAGACCATAGGCCCATCTGGCCTCATCCATACTAACTTCACATCTGAGAAAACCAACCTTCTCTTCCCATTCATTCTTATTTTAAGATTAAATGATGCATAAAAGATGACACTCTGTAAAACCACATTCCTACAGAGTCACATACAGTTTTACTGGCTATACAATATTATCTGTCAGGTTTCAATTGTACAATAAAATACTCAGATAAATTTTGGATTATAAGGATACTTAGACCAAAACGAAGTAGGGCTTGAGAAACAGCTCCAAAGATAATTATTAATGTTCTTTCCCTAAAGCTGAAGATTTTTGAGTAAATTTTAGAACCTACAGCATTGGAAAGCACATTAAAGGCTCTATGACTTAGAAATCTTCATGTCCTTCCTGAATGAGACCACTCTTCATCTCTACACAGTTTAATCAGCAATAAAGGGTGGGAGATTGAGAGATTTTGACCACTTATCTCTATTGACTGGAAATGCCAGTATCCCTCTAACATCACACTCTGATGCTCCTTTGCATTCCCTCCCTCAATAGAGGTTGGAAGGCATCATCCAGTCTCCTTTCTTATCACTTAACCAGTCTCTAACACAAGATTGAGTAATAAAGGTCCCCTCTTACACCATCTTCTCATTTTACAAATAAGTAGCTAAGAACCGAAGTGGTTACTTCACATTCATCTAGCTAGAGCTAAGGCCAGGATTAAAGCCCAGTTCAGTTAATTTCATTTCCATGTCAAGTTGCCTCAAGCAAGTAAGTAATCAGGCAATGCATTATGCACAGAACTCATTAATAGCAATTTTGAGTATTGTCTGAACACCATCAAACTATTATGAGGATTTCTTCTCAATAGCCATTCAGGATTTTATAACATTAAGAAATTTACTCTGTAATTAAAGCCATAAAAAGCATGCATTTATGACTTTAACAGGTCGTTAAAATACACATAAGTACCACTCTTAGAAAATGCTGAGTCTTAGAGAGATTTTCTGGGAGTCATGTATTTTTCTAAAGCAAATTTAAAATTTTGCACTTTGCCAATCTTTACTGCATACTTCACTGCACAGGCAGAAGGCAATCTTTACACTGTCAGATTCCTAACACAAATAAAAGTTATTTGCTTTATTTTTTTCATGGCATTTCCTTTTATCTGAAATTATCTTTTCTGTTTGTTCCACCTTGCAAGAATGGAAGCTTCATAAGGGCAGAAATAGCGTTTGCTTTTTTCAAAGAAGTAACCGTTATAAATGAATGATCCAATAAATTAATGCATAACATAAATGAGGAAAGGGGAACTTAGCCATACAATTTCCTATTAAAATTTTTAAAGCTTTTGCAAGATTTTGGATTGTCTTCATAGGCAAAATAGAGGGTTCGGTAGTAACTAGTGTCTGCTTACCCTTCTCTGCAAGGGAAACCTTCAGAAAACTACTCAGAGCTTCTCCTCAGTATATGAATTTGGGAAATCGACATACCTTAACTCTCCCTGAGCTTCAGACCTAAAAAACTTGGCATATTTTCTAAATCCACAACAGGATTATTACATGAATGTCTGTTTCCCTTGCATTCTGTTCTATTATTCCCACTTTCCTCCCCTTGAGGTCACCAACCATAGCCAGTTTTGGACTTGGCCACCATTTTGCATCTGGCCAGTGCTGGCTGCCCAGGAAACACAAAATGATTTCAAAATTATCTGAATAAAAAACGTTCTGTAACCTTCCAGCTTTCTCTCCTTCCAAATTATAAGAAATTATTCTGGGATTAGCCCGTTCTTATTTGGACAAAGCTAGAAATCTCTTTTTTTTTATGTACAGATCTGCAAATTAGAATCTGAGAAGATTTTGTTTACAATGGTTTGTAAGTCACCAAACCAGACAGTCCTCCTAAAGAACTAAATGGAAATCTAGATGTTTTGTGAAACTCTAGTGGTTTCTTTGTTTGCTTGTTTGTTTCCACTTCTGGCACCAAATCATCCTATATAACAAATGTGAGAGCTTTGAGATTGTTCATTCCTACATTGTAGGTCAATTCAGGCACCAGTCATTTCACCAGTCTCATTATCATTGTTATTCTTGTTACCATATACTTTATTCTTCAGTGTTCATTATCCTACTGCACATCAGGCTTCAATTCTTTTTCATTTACCTACTCACTTAAAACGTTAGTTTCTGTTATAATACAGCTTATGCACTTTGCTAAACCCTGGGGATTCTGTAATGAAGAAAATTTGGAGCGATGCTCAAGGAGTTCACAATCCAGTAGAAAATAGATTTAAGGAAACATAACTGTGATATATTGTGAGGTGGTGCCATGATAGGTGAAACAAAGGGTACGTAGGAAGACATCTCCATCGCATATATCCCTTACGTCTTTAATTCCTTGACAGAATGTATGTGCCACACCTGTACCTGCTGACACTTGCCTCACACAGAGTCTTGGCTTCTCTTTCACTCCCACACTCATTACTGTCTCTCCCTTTCCACTTTTATCATCAGCTAGGGTGGCCAGGCTAACATTTAACATGTTTCTCATTCCTCTGACTTTCCAATCATTTTCTCCACATCCTTGTTGAGACTCATGCCATTTTCTGGTACCTAAGGGTGGCCATTATGTCCTGGTTTTCCTGGGGCAGTCCCAGTTTACATCTAACGTCCTGGACCCTATCAGATTTAACATTTATTCAGTGCACATATCTCAGTTTGGATGATAAAATATAAGCTCATTTATCTATATTTCTCTCTGTTCTATCACATTTATGACAGTTCTTCCCTTATAGCTTTGGCACCTAGTTCTCAATATTCTGCTTCAGATCAATCTCAGCCTTGGATGACTTGAGTTCAGGATAGACATTTTTAAAACCACAACCTCAAAGCTGTTTGTCTATTTTAACTTAAATATGTTTACTGACTCTCTACATTCATGGCCCAGACCTATCCCTATGGTTAAACCCTGGAACTCCTAATCTCTTCAAAATCTGTTGCCCTTTTGACATCATAAATGCTAACCACCTACTCTCTAATCACAATTCCTTACTATTCCCATTATCTTACGCTACTATGTCATCATGCCTCTTTTCTTTACTAATTTATTATGAATTATCAATTTATTTTTCTCTTAACAGTCCCTACTTCTCAGAAAGTATCCTGATTTTCAGGTTTAAGCAATCTGTAACTATGTTCTTACTGTGCAAACCCACAAATATTGATGCTGTCCCTGAGGTCTGCATCCAGTCCTTTCTTCATTCCTAGCTTATAGGTGTGGGTCTTTTGGAAAAAATTGTGATAACTAATTTCAACTTTCCACCCTTACTCATAAAATCATTTTCTTTCACAGTTGTCTATATTCTCTAGAAAAAGATGCTGAGATACCATACTTGATGCCCCCAAAATTCTTCAAACTGTCATTTTGATGCCCAACTACTATATCCCAAAAATTTACTCCATCATTCTGCTTTTCATATAGAAAATCCCTCCTCTGCTGTAAATTTTTTCTCAGTTAAATAAAAAATGCATATGTCTCTCTGAACCATAAGAATTATAATAAATATATAATTTTTCCTTATCCACAGAATATATAATAATGTATATATTATATATAATAATGTATACAATAATTATATGTAATGCATATATTTTATATATAGTTATATATATAAAAGACTCTACCTAAACAGTCAGCATTAGCTTTTAATCTGTTCAAAGGCCATGTTATGGTCTGAATGTTTGTGTCCCCTAAAAATTTATGTGTTGAAATCCTAATCCCCAATGTGGCTTATCTATCGTATTAAGAAATGGGGTCCTTCGTAGGGGATTAGTTCCTGAGGGCAGAGAATGGAATTAATGTCCTTATTAAAGAGGTCCTATATATAACTGCCTCAATTTCAGAACTCGTTGTTGGTCTATTCAGGGATTCAATTTCTTCATGGTAAAGTCTTAGGAGGGTGTATGTGTTCAAGAATTTATCTGTCTTCTAGATTTTCTAGTTTATGTGCATAGAGATGTTCGTAATATTCTCTGACGGTTGCTTGTATTTTTGTGGGGTCAGTGGTAATATCTGCATTGCTGTTTCTGATTGTGCTTATTTGAATTTTCTGTCTTTTCTTTATTAGTCTATTTATTTTTTTTTTCAAAAAAAATATCCTGGATTAGTTGATTTTTGATTTTTTGTGTGTGTTTCTGCCTCCTTCAGTTCAGTTTTAATTTTGGTTATTTCTTATCTTCTGTTAGCTTTGGCATTTGCTTGCACTTGGTCCTCTGGTTCTTTTAGTTGTGATGTTAGTTGTTAACTTGAGATCTCTCTAACTTTTTGATGTGGTTATTTAGTGCTATAAATTTCCCTCTTAACACTACCTTAGCTGTGTCCCAGAGATTATGGTACATTGTAACTTTGTTCTCATTAGTTTCAAACAACACATACTGGGGCCTTTAGGAGGGTGGAGGTTGGGAGGAGGGACAGGATGAGGAAAAATAATTAATGGATACTACACTTAATACCTGGGTGATGAAATAATCTGCACAACAAATCCCCATGACACAAGTTTCGCTATGTAACAAACTTGCACTTGTACCCATGAACTTAAAAGTTAAAAAAAAAAGAGATCCTAGGTTTGTTTGCTGATTCCATCATGTTAAGGTACAGTAAGAAGGCATTGTCTATAAAAGACTCAGGCCCTCACCAGACGCTGAACCCAGCAGCACCTTGACCTTGGACTTCCCAGCCTCCAGATCTATGAACAATAAATTTCTGTTGTTTACAGAGATAAGCTACCTAGTTTATGGTGTTTGTTATAACAGTCAAATAGAATAAGACAAGATACTTTTCAGTCTTCATCTTGCTTGAACTCTTTTCAGTCACAAAAATGTTTCCTCCCCATTCAATCTCTCTTTATGATCTTGAATTTATAATGTTAACAGTGCATACTGATGGTTTATACATCCAGTTCATACCTTGTTTGCTTTTCTTACTCAATCTTGAGAGGAAGAAGTATGTCCCCAATAGAGTTTGCATTCACTTTTATATTATATCGTTTTATCTCTAGGCTAATTGTTATTAATGTAAATTAAAATCAATCTGTTGGCATGTAAAATGCCTCAAGTTGCCTCTCATGTTTCCTAAGCATTTGAAGACTTCAATACACCTAAGAATTGGAGTATTGAATTAAGAAAGAGAAAGAGAAAAATTTCTCCAAATGCACATAAGTTACATTTGACTTTCTTCAGAATTAAATGTTAATATATCTATGTCTCTGAATAGATTATAATCATGTTGAGGCCAGGGCCTTTTTTTCTTTATATATTCCAAATTTTAATGTTAATGCTATTCATAAAAATAATAAAAAATTACATTTTTTAGTTATTAATTATCGAGACATTAATTATTAATGCCTTAAGAGAGATTTCATAGACAATAAGACAATACCATTCCCCTAACTGCAAAGTTTCTTACAATTATTTTCTGCTGTCAAGAAGAGAATATAAGAAAGCAGTACTTTTCAAAGGAAAAAATCTTACTTTGTTTAAACTTGAACTTCTAGCCGGTCTGTTGCAGGTGCTCAGGAGATGAGTCCTGAATTTTAAAAAATCTTGAGTTTTTACATAAATCATAAGTCTTATTATATGTATTTTAGATTGGCATCTTTAGACTCTTTTAATACGTGATCTTTTGAAAGAATTTCAGGAATATTCAAGATCATTTACAGTGTCACTCATCTCTAGTAACAGATAATTTTTTTAACCAAAAGTGAAATAAAAGGTATGAAGTATGAAGAACATTTATATATATACATTTTTATATATATGTGAGTGAACATATATATGTTCACTTCTAAGTGGATACTACATATATTTATCTTTTTGTAAGTCAGAATGAACACTGAAGTCAGAGGAAAAGAAAGCAAAAAATGCTTTGTCTTAAGAAACCTATTTTGAGAACATTTCTTTCTGTTTTAAAAAAATCAAGTTGATGAAATTCAGGGAGAAATTCAATTTTTAAATATTTTTAGACTTGAAACACCCACATACAGCACCCTCAGACTCTTAAAATCAGAAGTAATGGAAGTGCCTTGTCATATCTGGAACTAAAATTAAAGCATTCTGTCACATCCATAGAAGTGGCAATAAAATGAATACTGAGTAATTTAGTTTAAATGCCTATTTTACTATTTTATCTTTACCTGGGATTATGATAAATCAATATTAGTGTCATCATTAAAGTTTATTATATTATGTCTACAGCAACAATAACCGTTTCAGTGGAATATAACTTTTTAAATAGGCAGAGCTTGTACAAATGGCAATGCTAATAAAGTTACATTTCTGTATGTATTCCTAATTAAACACTGAAATAGACTCTTTGTTTTTCCCTCTGCCAATAACAATTAGGAGTATTAGATTCATCTTGTAGCATAATGAGTTAATAAATTTCAAAATGAATACAGCTTTTCAAATGTCAGAGTAATAGGGAAAGAAAATAATGTGTTTTTATGATTCTCAAACTAAATTGTTAACACTTCAAAAATGTATGGCATTTTGCCTTCATTTGTAGATTTTCCCTGTGTACACCTAAACATTTGCCTGATGTAATTTATAGTCAGCATATTTAAAAAATACATCTTAAAAATTACATAATGTTTATTCTATTGGTGGTTAAATGCTGTTTTTGTATATTTGTTCTCAGTCTATGCATGAAGAAAAGGAAAAATAAATACCATATTTTAAAACTGTTACTGAAAATTTAAATTACTACTTTATTATTTTGCTTTACAAATTTTATACAGTTTAAAACCTATTTTTACAGATTATAATATAAACTGAAGCTCAGTTAGGTAAACTCATAATCAAATAAATTAGCTAGTTTTAACACAAGTCATTCTGATCACACTAAGTGAGAAAACCGGAAAGCTTAAGTTCAAAAAACTATTTTCCCAAATTTGATTTGTGGACCACCTCTGATATCAAAACCAGACCTTTAAAGGGTGGTTAAATGTAAAATCAAGGGTATGAAAGAAGATGGGTGCAAAATTCTCACCATTCCTTTAGTTGTTTCTTTGAAACTATTCTTGTGTGTCCTATTAGACATAAGTAATAAGCATCATATATGTACTATGAACAAAAATAGATATGCTGTATTATCATTATATTAATATATTATTGACATATTTATTACTTTAACCATAATTTATTAAAAGCTACAATGTTTAAGCACAGTGCTAAATGCTTTACTTGGTATATATATATTCCCAGCAACAAAACTAAGAGGTTGACATTGTTAATATCTCAATTGTCCCAAATGAGAAAATTAAGTTATAGAAAAGTCAGGCCAGTTGTTCAAATTGCACAGCTAATGTACCTGTACTGGATGAATTCAGAGAAACACAAAAAGAAATTATGTTCCAGAGTTGCAAGCCTTAAACACAGTCAATAATTGATGGTTTCAAAATTAAATTGATACCTCTTATTAGCAACAGACATGCACACGTATGTTTATAGTGGCACTATTCACAATAGCAAAGACTTGGAACCAACCTAAATGTCCAACAACGATAGACTGGATTAAGAAAATGTGGTACATATATGCCATGGAATACTATGCAGCCATAAAAAATGATGAGTTCCTGTCCTTTGTAGGGACATGGATGAAACTGGAAACCATCATTCTCAGCAAACTATCACAAGGGCAAAAAACCAAACACCGCATGTTCTCACTCATAGGTGGGAATTGAACAATGAGAACACATGGACACAGGAAGGGGAACATCACACACCAGGGACAGTTGTGTGGTGGGGGGAAGGGGGAGGGATAGCATTAGGAGATATAACTAATGCTAAATGACAAGTTAATGGGTGCAGTACACCAACATGGCACATGTATACATGTGTAACAAACCTGCATGTTGTGCACATGTACCCTAAAACTTAAAGTATAATAAAAAAAAATTTTGGAAAAGAAATGAATAGTTGTTAATTTATAAACAAGAAATAAAAGATTGACTTTTCTTAAACTTTGACTTAAAAAAATCAAGTGCATTAAACTAAAAAGTTTTGCTCCCCCTTTTCACCACAAAAAAGTGAACATGTGAAATGTAACATTTACCTAATAAAGTATGTTAAAATAAAAGTAGTTATTCTTGCTTATTGAATTGGAAAGCCGATAAAACTACTTGTTGGGAAAAAAATCACTACCTTTTGGTAGAGCTATTTGATAATATCCATCAAAAAATTTTTTCTAAAGAAGCAAGCATACCTTTTAACTTTTAATTTACTAGTACAAGGGGAGACTCATACTATTTAATTAACCCACAATGGAAATAGAGGTGAGTGCAAAAATGTCTGTCTGCAAAGATTGGCATTATGGTATTGATAATAACACAAAATAAAAAAAATAATTTTTTATTGAATAGTAGCTTGTTAAAATAAATAATATTGCATCTATTTATATTTCAGCTTAGCCATTATATAGACATGTGCAGTAATATATAAAATTTGTTTAATTAATGATGTAAAACTTAATTCACATGTTTAAATTAAATTAAACTAATAGATCAAAATAAATTTATTAACTTCCAATATCTTAAAATATTAAATGTACATATTTAATACATATGGTAAAATTTTAAAATAAATATGCATTATACATTTACATATTGCCAGGTGTATAAATACATGTAGAATGTTCTGAACAAAGTTGTTCAAAGATTGATGATTATGTCACATGATGGCATAATTAGAAAACTTTTTGCTTTCTTCTATTATATTTCTATTGTGTTAAATTTTCTTTAGCAAATTTGTAGCACCTTTGCAAACAGAAAGTACAAATAAATGAAAGACAAAAATAAATTTTAAATATATTTTAATAATTTTTATGTTCTCTTTTTTTCTAATTTTCACTTTGGTATTGTGAATCCACTAAAACATGAATTAACAAATTAATTAGAAATTTCTGTAGGACAATGATAAAAATACGTCTTCATACATTTTCAATTCCTAAAATGTATCATAAAACCTACTATTGGCAATAATAGTTTTTTACTTTATTGTAATTTAATTCATACCTGAAAGCCTGAAATGCATTCAAATTCATAGATTATTTTACATAATGATGTCTATAAGCACTCTGAATTTTCAGCCTTTTATTTAGACAAATTTTAATCCATTAATTTATTGTATCTGACCATATAGGATTGTTTTAAAGAGAAGTTAAAAAAATTATTCTTGTTCTTATGTGCTAGGTCATCTTTAACTTTGTAAATGAGATATGATTATTGTACCTTTATCTTGCACAAGGACATTATATTAGTCACAACATGTTCCAACCTCAGTAATTGTCTTACTGACTTCTTGCTGTTAAAGCCTTTCTATTTTCACTATTTTTTTTTTAAATTATACTTTAAGTTCCAGGGTACATGTGCACAACATGCAGGTTTGTTACATATGCATACGTGTGACATGTTGGTTTGCTGCACTCATTAACTCATCATTTACATTAGGTATTTCTCCTAAGGCTAACCCTCCCCTATCCCCCCAACGCACGACAGGCCCCGATGTGTGATGTTCTCCACCCTGTGTCCAAGTGTTCTCATTGTTCAATTCCCACCTATGAGTGAGAACATGCAGTGTTTGGTTTTCTGTCCTTGAGATAGTTTGCTCAGAAAGATGGTTTCCAGCTTCATCCATGTCCCTACAAAGGACAGGAACTCATCCTTTTTTATGGCTGCATAGTATTCCATGGTGTATATGTGCCACATTTTCTTAATCCAGTCTATCATTGATGGACATTTGGGTTGGTTCCAAGTCTTTGCTATTGTGAATAGTGCCACAGTAAACATACGTGTGCATGTGTCTTTATAGTAGCATGATTTATTATCCTTTGGGTGTATACCCAGTATAGGGATTGCTGGGTCAAATGGTATTTCTAGTTCTAGATCCTTGAGGAATTGCCACACTGTCTTCCACAATGGTTGAACTAGTTTACACTCCCACAAAAAGTGCAAAAGTGTTCCTATTTCTCCACATCCTCTCCAGAACCTGTTGTTTCCTGACTTTTTAATGATTGCCATTCTAACTGGTGTGAGATGGTATCTCATTGTGGTTTTGATTTGCAGTTCTCTGATAACCAGTGATGATGAGCATTTTTTCATGTGTTTGTTGGCAGCATAACTGCCTTCTTTTGAAAAATGTCTGTTCATATTTTTTGCCCACTTCTTGATGGGGTTGTTTGATTTTTTCTTGTAAATTTGTTTAAGTTCTTTGTAGATTCTGGATATTAGCCCTTTGTTAGATGGGTAGATTGCAAAAATTTTCTCCCATTCTGTAGGTTGCCTGTTCACTCTGATGGTAGCTTCTTTTGCTGTGCAGAAGCTCTTTAGTTTAATTAGATCCCATTTGTCTGTTTTGGCTTTTGCTGCCATTGCTTTTGTTGTTTTAGTCATGAAGTCCTTGCCCATGCCTATGTCCTGAATGGTATTGCCTAGGTTTCCTCCTAGGGTTCTTATGATTTTAGGTCTAACATTTAAGTCTTTAATCCGTCTTGAATTAATTTTTGTATAAGGTGTAAGGAAGGGATCCAGTTTCAACTTTCTATTTATGGCTAGCCAGTTTTCCCAGCACCATTTATTAAATAGGGAATCCTTTCCCCATTTCTTGTTTTTGTCAGGTTTGTCAAAGATCAGATGGTTGTAGATGTGTGGTGTTATTTCTGAGGCCTCTGTTCTGTTCCATTCGTCTATATCTCTGTTTTGGTACCAGTACCATGCTGTTTTGGTTACTACAGCCTTGTAGTATAGTTTGAATTCAGGTAGCGTGATGCCTCCAGCTTTGTTCTTTTGGCTTAGGATTGTCCTGGCAATGCGGGCTCTTTTTTGGTTGCAGATGAACTTTAAAGTAGTTTCTTCCAATTCTGTGAAGAAAGTCATTGGTAGCTTGATGGGGATGGCATTGAATCTATAAATTACCTTGGGCAGTATAGCCATTTTCACAATATTGATTCTTCCTATCCATGAGCATGGGATGTTCTTCCATTTGTTTGTGTCCTCTTTTATTTTGTTGAATAGTGGTTTGTAGTTCTCCTTGAAGAGGTCCTTCACGTCCCTTGTAAGTTGGATTCCTAGGTATTTTATTCTCTTTTAGCAATTGTGAATGGGAGTTCACTCATGATTTGGCTCTCTGTTGGTCTGTTATTGGTGTATAAGAATACTTGTGATTTTTGCACATTGATTTTTTATCCTGAGACTTTGCTGAAGTTGCTTATCAGCTTATGGAGATTTTGACCAGAGACAATGGGGTTTTCTAAATATACAATCATGTCATCTGCAAAGAGGGACAATTTGGCTTCCTCTTTTCCTAATTGAATACCCTTTATTTCTTTCTCCTGTCTGATTGCCCTGGCCAGAACTTCCAACACTGTGTTGAATAGAGTGGTGAGAGAGGGCATCACTGTCTTGTGCCAGTTTTCGAATGGGAATGCTTCCAGTTTTTGCCCATTCAGTATGATATTGGTTATGGGTTTGTCATAAATAGTTCTTATTATTTTGGCATATGTTCCATCAATACCTAGTTTATTGAGAGTTTTTAGCATGAAGGGCTGTTGAATTTTATTGAAGGCCTTTTCTGCATCTATTGAGATAGTCATGTGGTTTTTGTCTTTGGTTCCGTTTATGTGATGGATTATGTTTATTGATTTGCACATGTTGAACCAGCCTTGGATCCCAGGGATGAAGCCAACTTTATCTTGGTGGATAAGCTTTTCGATGTGCTGCTGGATTCGGTTTGCCAGTATTTTATTGAGGATTTTTGCATTGATGTTCATCAAGGATATTGGTCTAAAATTCTCTTTTTTTGTTTTATCTGCCAGGCTTTGGTATCAAGATGATGTTGGCCTCATAAAATGAGTTAGGGAGGATTCCCTCTTTTTCTATTGATTGGAAAACTTTCAGAAGGAATGGAACCAGCTCCTCTTTGTACCTCTCATAGAATTTGGCGTAAATCCTTCTGGTCTTGGACTTTTTTTGGTTGGTAGGCTATTAATTATTGCCTGAATTTCAGAGCCTGTTATTGGTCTATTCAGAGATTCAGCTTCTTCCTGTTTTAGTCTTGGGAGGGTCTATGTGTCCAGGAATTCATCCATTTCTTCTATATTTTCTAGTTTATTTGCATAGAGGTGTTTATAGTATTCTCTGATGATAGTTTGTGTTTCTGTGGGATCGGTGGTGATATCCCCTTTATCATTTTTTATTGTGTCCAATTGATTCTTCTCTCTTTTCTTCTTTATTAGTCTTGCTAGCGGTCTATCAATTTTGTTGATCTTTTCAAAAAACCAGCTCCTGGACTTATTGATTTTTGAGGGTTTTTTTGTGTGTCGTTGTCTCCTTCAGTTCTGCTCTGGTCTTAGTTATTTCTTGCCTTCTGCTAGCTTTTGAATTTGTTTGTTCTTGCTTCTCTAGTTCTTTTAATTGTGATGTTAAGGTGTCGATTTTAGATCTTTCCTGCTTTCTCTTGTGGACATTTAGTGCTATAAATTTCCCTCTATATACTGCTTTAAATGTGTCCCAGAGATTCTGGTACATTATGTCTTCGTTCTCATTGGTTTCAAAGAACATCTTTATTTCTGCCTTCATTTCATTATTTACCCAGTAGTCATTCAGGAGCAGGTGGTTCAGTTTCCATGTAGTTGTGAAGTTTTGAGTGAGTTTCTTAATCCTGAGTTATAATTGGATTGCACTGTGGTCAGAGACTGTTTGTTGTGATTTCTCTTCTTTTACATTTGCTGAGGAGTACTTTTCTCCCAACTATGTGGTCAATTTTGGAATAAGTGTGATGTGGTGCTGAGAAGAATGTATATTCTGTTGATTTGGGGTGGAGAGTTCTGTAGATGTCTATTAGGTCTGCTTGGTGCAGAGCTGAGTTCAAGTCCTGGATATCCTTGCTAATCTTCTGTCTCATTGATCTGTGTAATATTGACAGTGGTAAGAGAGGGCATCCTTGTCATGTGCCAGTTTTCAAAGGGAATACTTCTGTTTTTGCCCATTCAGTGTGATATTGGCTGTGGGTTTGTCATAAATAATTCTTAATATTTTGAGTTAGGGGGTGTTAAAGTCCCCCTTTATTATTGTGTGGGAGTCTAAGTCTCTTTGTAGGTCTCTAAGGACTTGCTTTATGAATCTGGGTGCTCCGTATTGGGTGCATATATATTTAGCATAGTTAGCTCTTCTTGTTGAATTGATCCCTTTACCATTATGTAATGGCCTTCTTTGTCTCTTTTGATCTTTGTTGGTTTAAAGTCTGTTTTATCAGAGACTAGAATTGTAATCCCTGCTTTTTTTTTTTGCTTTCCATTTGCTTGGTAGATCTTCCTCCGTCCCTTTATTTTGAGCCTACATGTGTCTCGGCACGTGAGATGGGTTTCCTGAGTACAGCACACTGATGGGTCTTGACTCTTTATCCAATTTGCCAGTCTGTGTCTTAATTGGGGCATTTAGCCCGTTTACATTTAAAATTAATATTGTTATATGTGAATTTGATTCTGTCATTATGATATTAGCTGGTTATTTTGCCCATTAGTTGATGAAGTTTTTTCCTAGCATCAATGGTCTTTACAATTTGGCATGTTTTTGCAGTGGCTGGTACCAGTTGTTACTTTCCATGTTTAGTGCTTCTTTCAGGAGCTCTTGTAAGGCAGGCCTGGTGGTAACAAAAATCTCTTAGCATTCACTTTTCTGTAAAGAATTTTATTTCTCTTTCACTTATGAAGCTTAGTTTGGCTGGATGTGAAATTCTGGGTTGAAAATTCTTTTCTTTAAGAATGTTGAATATTGGCCCCCACTCTCCTCTGGCTTGTAGAGTTTCTCTGAAGATCCGCTGTTAGTCTGATGGGCTTCCCTTTGTAGGTAACCCGACCTTTCTCTTTTACTGCCCTTAACATTTTTTCCTTCATTTCAACCTTGGTGAATCTGAGAATTACGTGTCTTGAGTTTGCTCTTCTCAAGGAGTATCTTTGTGGTGTTCTCTATATTTCCTGAATTTGAATGTTGGCCTGCCTTGCTAGGTTGAGGAAGTTTTCCTGGATAATATCCTGAAGAGTGTTTTCCAGCTTGGTTCCATTCTCCCCATCACTTTTAGGTACACCAAATGTAGATTTGGTCTTTTCACATAGTCCCATATTTCTTGGAGGCTTTGTTTATTTCTTTTCACTCTTTCTTCTCTAAACTTCTCTTTTCATTTCATTTCATTCATTTGATCTTCAATCACTGATACCCTTTCTTCCACTTGATCAAATCGGCTACTGAAGCTTTTGAATGAGTCATGTAGTTCTCATGCCGTGGTTTTCAGCTGCATCAAGTCATTTAATGTCTTCTATACACTGTTTATTCTAGTTAGCCATTTGTCTAATCTTTTTTCAAGGTTTTTAGCTTCCTTGAGATGGGTTCGAACATCCTCCTTTAGCTCGGAGAAGTTTATTTCCAACCTTCTGAAGCCTACTTCTGTCAACTCGTCCAAGTCAGTCCAGCTTTGTTCCATTGCTGGTGAGGAGCTGCAATCCTTTGGAGGAGAAGAGGCACTCTGGTTTTTAGAATTTTCAGCTTTTCTGCTCTGGTTTCTCCCCATCTTTGTGCTTTTATCTACCTTTGGTCTTTGATGATGATGACCTACAGACAGGGTTTTGGTGTGGATGTCCTTTTTGTTGATGTTGATGCTATTTCTTTCTGTTTGTTAGTTTTCCTTCTAACAGTCAGGTCCCTCAGCTGCAGGTCTGTTGGAGTTTGCTGAAGGTCCACTCCAGACCCTGTTTGCCTGGGTATCACCAGCGGAGGCTGCAGAACAGCAAATATTGCTTCCTAATCCTTCCTCTGGAAGCTTCATCTCAGAGGGGCACCTGGCTGTATGAGGAATCAGTCGGTCCCTACTGGGAGGTGTCTCCCAGTTAGGCTACTTGGGGGTCAAGGATCCACTTGAGGAAGCTGTCTGTCTGTTCTCAGAGCTCAAACACCATGCTAGGAGAACCACTGCTCTCTTCAGAGCTGTCAGACAGGGATGTTTAAGTCTGCAGAAGTTTTTACTGCCTTTTGTTCAGCTATGCCCTGTCCCCAGAGGTGGAGTCTACAGAGGCAGGTGGGCCACATTGAGCTGCAGTGGACTCTACCCAGTTCGAGCTTCCAGGCCGCTCTGTTTACCTACTCTTATTTTCTCTATTTTTTGATAAAATAAATTATTCCCCTTGATTTCTAAAGAAGTGAGACACAAAAGCAAAGAGCAAGAAAGCATTTCAGATGTGATGTTTCTGCACTCAATCTAGTGGTGGGTTACTGTTTCAAACAGTTTTCTCACCTTGCAGCTGAAAATATGGCAGTTTCATTCTTATGTACAGTGAATATCTGGATACCTAACATTGATCTAGTCCAGAGATGGTTTGGTGTTGCTACCATTTGATCCAGCGATCCCACTATTGGGTATCTACCCAGAGGAAAAGAAGTCATTATACAAAAAAGATACTTGCACTTGGATGTTTATAGCAGCACAATTTGCAATTGCAAAAACATGAAACCAAACTGAATGCCCATCAATCAACGAGTGGATAAATAAACTGTGATATATACATATATATCACATATATATCACATATATATGTATATATATGATGAAATGCTACTTGTTCATGAAAATGAGTGAATTAATGGCATTCACAGCAACCTGAATGAGATTGGAGACAATTATTCTCAGTGAAGTAACTCAGGGATGGAAAACCAAATATGTGTGTTCTCACTCATAAGTGGGAGTTAAGCTATGAGGATACAAAGGCATAAGAATGACACAGTGGACTTCGGGGATTCAAGGGGAAAGGATGGGAAGGTGGTGAGGGATAAAAGACAATAAACAGGGCACTGTGTACACTGCTTGGGTGATGGGTGCACCAAAATCTCACAAATCATCACTAAAGAACTTACTCATGTAATCAAACACCACCTGTTCCCCAATAACTTACAGAAATAAAAAAAATTAAGAAAATGATTAAGCAGGTTAGCATATTGCAAATTTAGTGAAGAAAGGAAATGGTATACTCTGTAAGTTGCCTTTTTTATGGCTTTTTATCCCCACATGCTATGACAGAATAAATTATTTTTATTATCTCCATAATATCACCTTAAAATATTCGACGATTTTTTTTTCTCTAAAACAAGAGCAACATAAAAGTCTGTCTTGCTTGTTCAAGAGTTTGAAAAGGCCGGGCGCGGTGGCTCACGCCTGTAATCCCAGCACTTTGGGAGGCCGAGACTGGTGGATCACGAGGTCAGGAGATTGAGACCATCCTGGCTAACACGGTGAAACCCCGTCTCTACTAAAAATACAAAAAATTAGCCGGGCGAGGTGGCGGGCGCCTGCAGTCCCAGCTACTCCAGAGGCTGAGGCAGGAGAATGGCGTGAACCCCGGGGGGCGGAGCCTGCAGTGAGCCGAGATCGCGCCACTGCACTCCAACCAGGGCGACAGCGAGACTCCGTCTCAAAAAAAAAAAAAAAAAAAAAAGAGTTTGAAAAGAAGAAACTGTTTATCGTGGCTAGTGTTCTTTCTATATGCATTCATTCACCAGCATTTTTTTTTCTTATATAGATCAACTTCTGAAGAACAAAGTTTTGTCTTGGTTTCATCTATTTTAATGATTCTATGCTTATGATACTAATTGAAATTGATATATAAGAGCATTCTTTGCTTTCTTCATATTTTAATTATAATTTCAAATTAATCTGATATAATTTTAATAAATAATACTTACAAATCAGAGCCCTTATAAGGTCATAAACATTTGCCATTCCATTAAGAGAGGTTTTAGATACTAAGATACAAAGAGAGTTATACTGTGCCTCTCTCATTTATGTGACTGGTTAGAAAAAAATTAATGAAGGTCAAGGGATGTGGTACTATCAGCATAGATTCTCTTGGTGATATGGTTTGGCTGTGTTCCCACCCAAATCTCATCTTGAATTGCAACTCCCACAATTCCCACGTGTCATGGGAGAAATCAGTGGAAGGTGATTGAATTATGGGGATGGGTCTTTCCTGTGCTGTTCTTATGATAGTGAATGAGCCTCACAAGATCTGATGGTTTTAAAAATGAGAGGTTTCCTGAACAAGCGCTCTTTCTCTTTGCCCACCACCATCCATGTAAGACATGACTTTCTCCTCTTTGCCTTCCAACATGATTGTGTGTCCTCCCCAGCCATTTGGAACTACAAGTCCTATTAAATCTCTTTTGTTTGTAAATTGCCCAGTCTCGGGTGTGTCTTTATCAGCAGCGTGAAAACAGACAAATACAGCAAATTGGTACCAGTAGAGTGGGGCGCTGCTGAAGAGATACCCAAAAATGTGGAAGCGACTTTGGAGCTGGGTAACAGGCAGAGGTTGGAACAGTTGGAGGGCTGAGAAGAACACAGAAAAATGTGGGAAGTTTGGAACTCTCTAGAGACTTGTTGAATGGCTTCGATCAATATGCTGATAATGATATTGACAATGAAATCCAGGCTGTGGTGGTCCCAGATGGAGAAGAGGGACTTGTTGGGAACTGGAGCAAATGTGAATCTTGTTATCTTTTAGCAAAGAGATTGGCAGCATTTTGCCCCTGCCCTAGAGATCTGTGGAACTTTGAACTTGAGATGATTTAGGGTATCTTGCAGAAGAAATTTCTAAGCAGCAAAGCATTCAAGAGGTGACTTGGGTGCTATTAAAGGCATTCAGTTTTATGAGGGAAGCAGAGTGTAAAAGTTTGAAAACTTTGCAGCCTGACGATGTGATAGAAAAGGAAATCCCATTATCTGAGGAGAAATCCAAGCCGGCTGCAGAAAATTGCATAAGCAACCAGGAGCCAAATGTTAAACCTCAAGACAATGAGGAAAATTTCTCCAGTGCACATCAGAGACTTTTGTGGCAGTACCTCCCACCACAGGCCTGGAAGTTTAGGAGGAAAAAGTGGATTTGTGGTCTGGGTCCAGGGTTCCCATGCTGTGTGCAGCCTAGGGACTTGATGCCCTGCTTCCCAATCACTCCAGCCATGACTGAAAGGGGCCAATGTAGAGCTTTGGCTGTAGCTTCAGAGGTTGCAATCCTCAAGCCTCAGCAACTTCCACGTGGTGTTGGGCCTGCCAGTGCTCAGAAGTCAAGAATTGGGGTTTGGGAACCTCTGCCTAGATTTCAGAGGATGTATAGAAATGCCTGGATGTCCAGGCAGATATTTGCTGCAGAGGCAGGGCTCTCATGGAGAAACTCTGCTAGGGCAGTGCAGAAGGGAAATGTGGGGTCGGAGCCCCCACACAAAGTCCCTCTTGGGGCACTGCCTAGTGGAGCTGTGAGAAGAGGGCCACCATCCTCCAGACCCCAGAATGGTAGATCAACCAACAGCTTGCACCATGTGCCTGAAAAAGCCGCAGACACTCAACAGCCTGTGAAAGTAGCCAGGAAGGAGGCTGTACCCTGAAAAGCCACAGGGGAGGAGCTGCCCAAGACCATGGGACCCCACCTCTTGCATCAGTGTGACCCAGATGCAAGAGATGAAGTCAAAGGAGATCATTTTGTAGGTTTAAGATTGGACTGCCTGCTGGATTTTGGACTTGCATTGGGTCTGTTACCCCTTTGTTTTGGCCAATTTCTTCCATTTGGAATGGCTATACCCCCATTGTCTCTAAGAAGTACAAAACTTGCTTTTGATTTTACAGGCTCATAGGAGGAAGGAACTTGCCTTCTCCCAAATAAGACTTCGAACTGTGGACTTTTGTGTTAATGCTGAAATAAGTTAAGACTTTGGGGAACTGTTGGGAAGGCATGATTGGTTTTGAAATATGAGGACTTGAGATTTGGGATGGGCCAGGGGCAAAATTATATGGTTTGGCCATGTCCCCACCCAAATCTCATCTTGAATTTTAACTCTCGCAATTTCCACATGTTGTGGGAGGAACCTGGTGGGAGGTGATTGAATTACGAAGGTGGATCTTTCCTGCAGTATTCTCATGATAGTGAGTGGATCTCACTAGATCTGATAGTTTTAAAAATGGGAGTTTTCCTGTACTAGCTCTCTCTCTCTTTGCCCGCTGCCATCCACGTAAGATGTGACTTTCTCCTCTTTGCCTTCTGACATGATTGGGAATCCTCCCCAGCCATATGGAACTGTAAGTCCAATTAAACATCTTTCTTTTGTAAATTGCCCAGTCTCAGGTATCTGTTTATCAGCAGCATGAACATGGACTAATACACCTGGATAAATTATAGCATTACATCTGCACCTGTGATATCCTGAGGCCAGAGTGGGATGATAAAAGAAGCACTGGGGTCACACATGATGCTTAAAGGCATGATTTTCAGAGTTAAGTAAGTACTGGTATTTTTGCTCTGTACTTTTAGGAAGGTATTTAGCCCCTTATCTACAAATTGAAAACAATAATAAATTCTCATCTGTAATAAGGAGACAATAAGATAGTGGTTCTTCAAAAGGTTTTGGTAAGGATAAAGCTAAATGAGGTAGTGTCTATACAGGGTAAGAACTGTCTAGCATCCAACTGTCATTTAATAAATAGTACCTAGGGCCGGGCACGGTGGCTCACGCCTGTAATCCCAGCACTTTGGGAGGCCGAGGCTGGTGGGTCACGAGGTCAGGAGACCAAGACCATCCTGGCTAACATGGTGAAACCCAGTCTCTGCTAAAAATACAAAAAATTAGCTAAGCATGGTGGCAGGCACCTGTAGTCCCAGCTGCTAGGGAGGCGGAGGCAGGAGAATGGCGTGAACCCGGAAGGCAGAGCTTGCAGTGAGCAGAGATCGCGCCACTACACTCCAGCCTGGGTGACAGAGCAAGACTCTGTCTCAAAAAAACAAAAAATAAAATAAAAAATAAAATAGTGCCTATATTCACAAGGTGTGGGAAGAGGGGTAGAAAGAGAAGTTAAAATGGGGATAAAGAACTAGCTTTGGGCCTGTAATCCCAGCACTTTGGGAGGCCGAGGCGGGCGGATCACTAGATCAGGAGATCGAGACCATCCTGGCTAACACAGTGAAAACCCGTCTCAACTAAAAATACAAAAAAAAAAAAGAAAGAAAGAAAAAATTAGCTGGGCGTGGTGGCAGGCTCCTGTAGTCCCAGCCACTCGGGAGGCTGAGGTAGGAGAATGGCGTGAGCCCGGGAGGCGGAGCTTGCAGTGAGCCGAGATTGTGCCACTGCACTCCAGCCTACTGCGCAAAGTGAGACTCCGTCTCAAAAAAAAAAAAAAAAAAAAAAAAAAAAACTAGCTTGGGAACGCATTTGCAATATCATCTTAGGCAAAGTGCTTGAATTCTCTAAATCTTCATTTTCACACCTGTAAAATAAAGATGATTATATCTAACTGTATTAATTTTCTTTTACTGTATAACCAATTGCCACAAGTTTGCAGCTTTACCATTAAACCATTTCTATGAAATGGTTTATTATCTTTCAGTTTTTTTAGGTGAGAAATCTAGACGTAACTAAACTGCATCCTTTCCACAGTGTCTTACCAGGCTGCAGTAAAGGTGTCGATTGGGCTGCATTCTCCTCTGGAGGCTTCACTGGGGACGAATCTGCTGCCAGATTTATTCAGGTTGTTGGAAGAATTCATTTCCTTATGGCTACATGACAGAAGGGCTGGCTTCTTACTGGCTGTTGAATGGAGGCTGCAGAAAGAGGCTGCAGAACCCATCCACAATTTCTTGCTACCTGGCCCTCTCCATACATTAGTTCAAGGAGATAAGGAGAAACTCTCACCAGTCTTCTGAGTCTTCTATAACATAATGTAATCATGGGAGTGATAATCCATCATATTTGCCTTTGAATAACAGCCAATCAAGAGAATGGCACCCCATCACCTTTGTCATATTCTATCGGCTAGATATCATGGTTTCTCCTACACTGAACAGTAGGGGATTTCACAAGAATTTGACTCATCCGTTGTCATCTTAAAGTGTGTCTGCCATATTATGTCAGGATTTTGGTGCATATACAATGATCAAAATGTGTTTATGTATGTAATTATGAGCAGTCTTTCTAAACTTCAAAGTGTTATGCAAATCTAAGAAGGTATTAGCATTTGATAAACTTTTCTACACATGATTTAGCTTAGTAATGCTGAAGGAAAACCCAAAAGGATCTTCAATCATCAAAGAACTCTTCTGATAAAATGGACAGATAGGTAAGTAGGAGAAGGGAAGACAGAGAGAAAAAGAGATTCTATAACTAATGCAGAAAAACACAAGCATCTATTTTGGAAAAATTTACCAAATACTCTAGGTGATTAAGATTCTAAGTGGGTACAAAAAAGAGGATCCAAAATCTACTCAAGTATCTCACACAACTTAATTAACTGACTTATATGATTTTTTTTTCTAGTAAATTCTAATGAATTTAAAATGTTGGGGCTCAGCAAGGTGGCTCATGCACTTTGGGAGGTAGAGGCAGGCGGATTGCCTGAGGTCAGGAGTTCGAGGCCAGCCTGGCCAATATGGCGAAACCCCGTCTCTACTAAAAATACAAAAAAATTAGCTGGGCATGGTGGTGGGTGCCTGTAATCCAAGATACTCGAGAGGCTTAGGCAGGAGAATTGCTTGAACCGGGAGGCAGAGGTTGCAGTGAGCCAAGATGAGATTGTGCCACTGCACTCCAGCCTGGGTGATAGAGCAAGCAAGACTCTGTCTCAATAAATAAAATAAAATAAAATAAAATAAAATAAAATAAAATAAAATAAAATGTTGGAATGCTTAATGTTAAAGGGTTTGAACTTAGTTTTATTAATATAGAGGGAATAACATTAAAATTATAGAAATGGAACATTAACTGATGCTTGCATTACATTAATGTTTTGGAAAAATTGCTTTTCATGTTGGTTACCACATACATTACTTGATTGTGATGATATAATGAAAAAAATTCTGCATATGACATTGATTTGATTCTCATTCCTTCAATAAAAGTATATAAAAATCTCATTAAAAGACTGACTAAAACTTGGCTTTTCCTTCATATCATTGATAAAGTTTATGAAAGAATATCCAGAAGCTTTTTAAACATTATTTAGTTTTACAATAAATATTAATCCTAGTTGATACAGACTTTTTTGTGTAAATACTAAAGATCTCCCATTAGGCTATTAGCATTGAAATACTAGTTAGAAGTTAACACAAAAATATTTTGCATTCCTGAATTCCTGAGATCAACCACTATGAGCCTTCATTGTCAAAGGAGAGTGTAAATAGAGACCAAATCTCTAGAGACAATTGTGGACATGGTCTCTTATTCACAAAGGGTCATTCATGATGTTTTCAACCCATGGAACCCCTATTCAAGGTGATTGAGGGTAATGGTGACACATATGAGTCTTTTAAATTATTTTGTATGATGTAAAATTTTATTTTATTCCTAATATGATTCAACTGAAATTGTTTTGGGATTTTTCTCCATATCATGGGAACAGAAGCAGAAAAATTTAAGCTTCTCAAGGAAAACAATCATTTTATGATCTTTAATAAAGTGCATCATATTTAATAGAATTAAAATTTATTAAGTTATTGATAAAATTGATTTTTTTCCATAGATTAACTCACTTTCTTCCTTCCAACAATTATCAGATACATATACAGATAAGGAAGCTAAGAGGTAGGAATTTGAATAATTTATCCAAATCATACGGATTTTTCTTGGCAAAGTCAGTATTTAAACCCAAGCTCTCTGACTAGAGGGCATTTGTGCTTATCAAACCTTCTTAACTGCCTTTACAACTCATGTTTTTACTTCTGCTATGAATTCATAATCTGCTTATCAAATTTAATGTTAACGTGATAATATACTGACAGAATCTCAGAGAAATTGGATTATTCAGAGAAATTGGATTACTCCTAATTATTTTGTTGGGTGGCAGCAATTTTGAAGAGGAAGAACAAGGATATATTATGAGGCTTTGAGAACTGCTAAAATGGCTAATGAGCTTAATATTTTGTTAAAATCACAGATACATAGAGAACATGTTTTTGTGCTAAGCTGGAATTAAGGTAAAATTCAGGAAACTGGGGGATAAGTTAGAAAATTTATTCCAATTTTTTCTTTAATCTTCAAAAATGCATGCGTTGTTTTTAACAACGAGATCTAGGAATTCTACTTTACTCTGTGTGTGTGTGTGTGTGTGTGTGCATGTGTGTGTGTGTGTGTATCTGGGTACATGCTTGCATTGGTCAGTGTGTTTTCATGTGCAGTTTAATAATATCAGCAGAGAGTCAGGAGCTAGGAGACAAGGATTCCTTTTATTGATTCCACAAGCCACTTATGGATCATGCTACATTAAATAAGCTAGTCTGAAAAAAAGTCAGCAAACAAACAAAAAACTTACTTGATATGATATCTTAATGTGGGTCAGTTTGTTATATGTTAGAGCCAGTTTCTATACCAGTGTAGTTGACTAATTATCAGATCTTCACATATTTTGGTGCTAAAACAAAGAGGAAGAAATTTTGGAAATTGTGGAGGGTTATCTTGCTGTGAGAATAACAAAAGCCTATTGTTGATCATCATCCTCTTTCCCCTAAGCCTTATATAAGATCACTGTTTAGTTTTTTAAATTATATTTTTGTAATATTGTGCTATTCTAAATGATGTTTTTCAAAGTGGAATGTGTAAAATAGTCCAGTGTGGTGCAAGAAGAAAATATCAAAACACCTATTTTTCTTATTATTTTAACTAAATAAGAAAAAACTACATTAATACATACAATGAAATCAACTGAATTCATGCATCAGATGATCACAAGTCCAAGCACATAAAGCTCAAAGGGATAAAAGAGAATTTCCAATGGTTGAGCAATAGTGCCTTTATTCTCTTTTATTCCTTCAATAAAAATATATCAAAATCTCATTAAAAGGCTGACTAAAACTTGGCTTTTCCTCCATACCCTTGATAAAGTTTATGAAAGGATATCCTGAAGTTTTTTAAACTTTGATGTAGTTTAGTAATAATATTAATCCTAGTTACCACAGATTTTTTCATGTAAATACTAAAAGTCTCCCACTAAGCTATTGAGCAATATATGGTTTAAAAATATTCTCTATAAGGAGAGAGTAAATCTAAAATAGTATTAATAAAGCAAGCTCAAGAATGAAACAAGAAGGTGGTAAGCTGGTAACTTTGATTCCTACTCTGCTATGAGCACTTTGTCAGCACATAACATTACATACAATAAAAAAACACAAGAAATCACGTCTTGACATATAAATTTACATTCTCATTATGTTTTTCAGAGGGTATAATGCATTAGTAGAATAGTACACATATCATTTATAAAAATACTATTTAAATAAATAAATACATTTTTGTTTGCTACTTTGTCTTTGAGGTCCTTCCTTCTCCCTCATCCAGAGAGTATTTACATAATCTTAATATTTGAAGACGTTTCTTCTGAATAACCTGTATTTCTCTTATTTCTATGCATGATATATTTTCAAATAGTTCAATTATATACAACCATACAATATAAAATATACATTATTTATTAAGCCCGTAAATGCTTTTAAGAATTGTTTGAATTTTTTAATATATTTTGAAGATTTTGTTTTGTAATTATATATTGTTTTTGTTCCCCTTTTCTGCACATTCACATTATATTTAGTTTTTTATGCCATAAAGGGTGATTACCATCCTTCCCCCTAGAGGCTCTCAGGGCCAAGCCATTGGCCAATGCCCTCACTAAATTCAACTTATATTTTTTCTCCCTTCTTCCTCCAAATATTCCAGTACCATTGAACACTTTTCATGCCTCCTTCTTTCTTTACTTAAATTATTGTCTCTAAATTATCTGGTATAATGCTCTCTGGTTTTCTGTTACAAGGCTCTGCAGTTTTATTTCTGCTTCCCTGACTTCTCATTGCCGTCTTTCTAAGATCATCCTTTTCTACCTTGACATTAAATTTTGAAATTCATTTGAGTTTGGCACTGTACTTTCTGTGGTTCTCATACTACCTGCTCTAAACCTTCTCCTTAGATAATCTAACTCAGGTTTTAGAGTTCATTTACTACCAAGAAAAATAAGAAAATTTTATCTACAGCACTGACCGCTTCTCTGAACTCACAATCTATATATCTATATCTATAGCCTTTCTGCCATATCCTGCTTAATGTCTCAAAGGCTCTTGAAATTTCATTTTTAAATGCAAACCCATGATCTTCACTGAAGTCGACCCTGAAAAACTCTCCAGCAAACCCTTTCCACAGCTATGAACTTGGGAATCAACCTGAACACTTCCTAATTCCTCACTCCCATGTGATTTATTTCTACGTTATATATCTTGATATCTATCCAATGTCGTCTCTCTCTATCTCTACTGTTTGAATCCAAGCCACCATCCCTCTCTTACCTGGTCAACGGCAATTGCACTGATGCAGTCTGGCATTGATGCAGTCTGGACTTCCCCATTCTAAAGTCATCACCATAGCCAGAGGCATATTCTCAAATTACAAATCTAATATGTCAGTGCCCAGTAATGGCTTCCCACTGTTCAAGCTAAAATCTGTGAGGTTCTAAATCAGCTTTGTCCCCACCTATATCTCAAGACACCTCCTTTCATGTTTTGTGTCATCCCATTTACTCTGCCTTCACTGAATTTCTGTCAGTTGCTTGTACTTTTCACACTCCCTTCCTCAGAATCTATTATACCTCTGGTTACCTTTGTTTGCTTATTAGCTTGTTTTCGTGCTTCTGATATCAAACTGGGATTCATCTACAGAGGAATTCTTCTTAGACTTCTGCAACTAGGTCATTTTTACCATTGCAAGCACACATGGCTCTTCTTCATGGGACTTATCAGAATTGCAATTTTACATTGGTCTGATTATTGTTAAACTCTTGTTTTTTACTATATCTTTATAGCAACCCTCTGTGACTATTGCTGTTTATTTTCTTAAGAAAAATGTTCAAAAATGGAGTTGTTGAGGCAAGGGAACTTACACTGTATTACAGTTCTATATAGATGTGTTCCAATTACTCTTCAGAAAGAAATATCAAATTGGATTCCAGCAGTGGCATATGAATTGTATTCTTTGGTACAATAGGAATTTTAAATTCTTTCTTCTCATTATTACAATGATGATGATTGTAAATGCCAATGGAAAAGTAGTTTGGAATAAATTATATACCAGCCACCATTGATGTTAAAATGTCACATTGGTGGGAAGGAGGGCTTTTACAATATTGATTAATAATGTTTTTACTAATATCCCTTCCTCAAAAAAAAAGTCTTTGTTTCTGTGCTGTACATGGATAAGTAACTGGTGTGACTTGAGATGGCAGTGGTTGAGAACTACCAGACTGGATAATAGTTTGGTTTAAAATGAATAATATAATCTAAATAAATTTTTTTAAAAAGAAACACTGCAGTTGAACTGATTTTATAAACATATTTAAATTATAAAGTATCTCATATACCAGTTTTTTTCTGTAAATACAAGTGTATAATTCTGAATCCACAATCCAAACTGCTTTATATAGGCAATAACTTTAATAAAGCCATCATGTCATTTTATTATTTTTGCCATCTAATATACACCTAAATTAATGAGAAAATAAAAGGCCAGCAACTTCCATCACTGCTAAAGAAAAAAAGTGGGATAAACTGTCTATAACTCCTTAGCTCCAAGGGGAATGCCTTAAAAAGATTTTTATGAGTCTTTTTACCCTGAAAGATAGCAAAGTTAGAAAGATACTGATTTATGAAATTACATGTGTCAATTCAAGTAAGATTGGTTACTGAGTACAAAAGAAACATTTGAATCACTATCCCAGACTGTTTTTCTTCTGCTGATTTATATTTATATTTCAATAATATTTATATTCAAGAGGAAGAAGCTTATAAACTGTCACTCTTATTTCTCAATAGCCTGATGGTTTCAGTTAAATTAATTCCTAGCTAACTCACTCTAAAAGCATTAAGCATGATTATTTGCTGCTATTTGGCAAAATAGAATTTTGTTTTCCTTATGCTGATTTTAATAAAACCTAAATGTTAAGGACATAAGGCACTCACATGGTGCTTGGCATAATGGAATACGTCAAACTGTCCCTGGTGATGATGAGAGATTTTGTACAATTTGAACCATAATGGGATGACAAGATATATATGTTTACTTGGGTATGAAAAGCCAGAGAAAAAAGTGCACCAAATGTGAAAAGCAATAAAAGAAATCACTTTTTTATGAAACAGTATATAAAATTTGTTACCAATGATAGATTTATAGTGAACTAATTTGTGGAATAAATGAAGTGTAGAGATTGAAATGTGTTTGAAGTACTAAAACTTACCTTGCATTACCCCTTGTGATTACTGACAATTCTAGGTGCTTACAGAAGATTAAAAACCCCTTCAATATGAAAGTATTACTGTTTTGAGGTTTCACTGTGTTCTGGAATCTTTATCCATGCATTTGACATTTTCGTTTGGTATGCACTAATAACTTTCATAATGAAGAGACTGCTTCCCTGAAACATACATTTTTCTCAGAAAAAAATTTCTACTTAAAGGAAGTAAAATACTAAATTTGCAGAGGTATATTCTAGAGTTTTATAAAGTGAGGGCTAAAGTTTTTTTTAAAAGACACAAAGGAAGAGTCAATATGTTACAATTAATAAATATGTCTCTGGGGTTTTTTGACTCAGCTATTGAGAAAATCATTTTCAGGTCATTTTAAAGGTATTTGGGGAATATTAGAAGTTAGGCTCTGCTAGGAAGAAAGTTCTGATGAAGAAACCTGGCAGTGGAACTGCAAACCAGTGACATGGATCCCATCATGAGAGACCTGGTGAGGAAGTAACACAGACTCTTGCAAGGTCAAAAATCTTTTGAGACTTTTTTTTTTAATATTTCTATTTTTTAACTTTGAGACGGAGTCTAGCTCTGTCGCCCGGGCTGGAGAGCAGTGGCGCGATCTCGGCTCACTGCAACTTCTGCCTCCTGGGTTCAAGCAATTCTCCTGCCTCAGCCTCCCAAGTAGCTGGGGCTACAGGCGTGCGCCACTACGCTTAGCTAATTTTTTTTTATTTTTAGTAGAGATGGGGTTTCACCATGTTGGTTGGCCAGGATGGTCTCTATCTCTTGACCTCATGATCCGCCTGCCTAGGCCTCCCAAAGTGCTGGGATTACAGGCATGAGCCACCGTGCCGGGCCGATACTTTATTTTATGTACTTTCTCCTACATTGTGATTGTTTCCCCAGCTTCTGGAGATCTGGGATTGTTTGTGGGGAACAGATTTTAGACTTTCTGACCTGTTCCACCTTTCCTTGAATCACCCTCTAGCCTAAACTTCCAATAGGATAACTACTAGCCCACATAGCCACTGAGCACTTAAAATGTGGCTAGTCAGGTTTAGCTGTGTCATGGTGTGAAATATACACAGGATTATACAGGCTCCGTGCAACACAAGAATGCACAACAACTCACAAATAAATTTTACATGTATTACAAATTGAATGCTTTGAAGACATGTAGTTTATTAAAATTAATTTTACTTGCTTTTTTAAAAAAATGTAGCCTCAACCCCGTCTCTACTAAAAATACAAAAAATTAGCCAGGCGTAGTGGCGTGCGCCTGTAGTCCCAGCAGCTGGGGAGGCTGAGGCAGGAGAATGGCGTGAACCCGGGAGGTGGAGCTTGCAGTGAGCCGAGATTGCGCCACTGCACTCCCGCCTGGGCGGTAGAGCGAGACTCCGTCTCAAAAAAAAAAAAAAAAAAAAAAATTGTAGCCCCTAGAATATTTAAAATTACCTGTAAGGCTCACATTCTGTTTCTATGGACAAATACTATGGTTAACAGTAAGTACGGCAGGGTTCTCCTCTTCTGCCAACAAAAATCTCCCCAGCTAACAGTTGAAATTCCACTGGGTTTGGAATAGTGAGAGGGAAAGAAAAACAGTTATAATATAGAAGGCTTGAAGTCCTAATGTCTAATTAAAGAAAATGCTGTAATGTGAATAATCATTTCAGAAGGAATATTTTAAAGTCAATCACCCATTTAAAAGGATAATTAATGAGTTTTTTTGGTGTTTTGGCTCAAAGAGGGCCAGCTGAAGTGAAAAAAAAAAGTAGGTTATGAAGATAACAGTATTTGGGGTGGATTTTGAAAAATAAATTGCATTCCAGTGTGGGTTGGCAGAGGAAGATCGTAGGCCAAGAAGATTGCGGAGGCAGAAGACAATTTGTATTACTTTATAAATTTGGACATTGCATACCTTCAATTAGCCACAGCAACCAATAGTTATGCAGGTGGGGATTCTTCCTATGGAGCTGCAGATGCAGCCATATCTTCCATGACACTTTTTATTCTTCTGATTTAAAGCCCTAATTCAAAAGTTTATGGAAGCTGTTCACAAATGTCATAATGTTAATTACTGAGAATTTTGAGCTAGCCAACTAGATAAGCTTGATTATTTGACCTAGTAACATATTTATCTGATAGTAACATAGTTATCTTTCTAGTAACTTAACCAAATCCAGGCATGTCTTTCTATTTTTGCAATGAGAAGTTTGATGGGGTGTAATACACGATGGTAGCAATAATTCATATTTCTTGATTGTGTCTCTAATTGTATTGGTTAATACATAAATCAATAAATGAACTATTCTGAAAATTTAATACATGCAAAGAACTGGACACTAGGAACACATTATTAATGTGGAGGAGGTAAATGTACTTGTAAAAAGTTTAACGGACACATCAACTCACCTAGAAGATACAAAATTTGTAACTACTGGCAAGCAAAGATGAGGCTTAGGCAATTTAAAGCTGTTTTCTGGAGAAACAGACAAGAAAAGGATGTTTTGGCATTAAGTATTTCACAGATAGTTGCGGTTAAATGGGGGCTCCAAACTGGGTTTTGAGAAAGGATAAAGTTTAAATTTATAGAAGATGTTTGCGAATTGGGAGGAAAATAATTAACACTGTGTACCTAAGGCATTAAACTGTATTTATATCAGTGGGACCCCAGTTAAACTAGATTGGAAATTGTGTGCAAGTGAGGAGAAGAAATTAAGGTTGAAACCGTATATAGGTACCTGACTGTGGAGGTTTTTGAAAGCAAGTATATACTCAGTTATTAATGGGCTCTTTAAGATTTTTTTCTAGTAAGCTGGACAAAAGTATTATTTTACAAAAAATATTTTGGAAGCAGTGTGAGAGATAAAATGGATAGACATTAAACGTGAGATGTGGAGATCAGTATTATTCATTCAAACTACAGTTGACAAGAGAGTGAATTAGATTGTTGGAAGTGGGAACTGAAAAGAGCAGATGTGGGCTTTAGTATTTTTACTAGAAATGTTTCTCTTTATCATTTACCCCAACCTGTGAAAAGTTCATAACTAGGTCCACCTCATGCTCAAACTTTAGATTTAACACTGAGGTTGCCAAATAGTCAGATATTATAAAGTTCTTTTATACTACAGGTATTAGGAATTATGACAGCAACCACAGTTGAGATTTTCTAGAGTTAATCATATCCAGACCACAATTTGCTCCAGCCCAGGTCTCTGGCCCCTGCGATTTCCATCATATGTGCATCCATGTCCAATTAGTACTTCTTCCTTTGTTAGAAAACAAGAAAATCACTTTTTAATGGGAATTTTGTCTACTCTGAGTAATGGTTTTTGCATGAATGCTAACAATATGATATACTTTCTTGATAGATTAGGGAAAGATAAAAGTTATTGAGCCACTGATTTCTACCAACAGTAAGCTCGGAATTTATTAATTTATTCCTTGAATGCACCAGTGCAGCCTCTAAGCTCAGTTTCAGGGTAACTTTTTATTAGCCTTTGTTCTTTCATGCTGGCAGTTTCTCCACATCTCAGTGTTTTCAGTTCAAGAGCTGTGACACCCACGAGTCAGATTGGAAACTGGGGAATTAGGTTGGGTCCTGTTACTCATCGAAATATTATTAAAATTTTGCTGCACAGAAAAAGGATAGGAAAGAAGGAAAAAAAGGAAAAAATTGGCTGGGCATGGTGGCTCACACCTGTAATTCCAGCACTTTGGGAGGCTGAGGTGGGGTGGATGACCTGAGGTCAGGAGTTCGAGACCAGCCTGAGCAACATGGCAAAACCCCATCGCTACTAAAAATACAAAAATTAGCCGAGCGTGGTGGCACATGCCTGTATTCACAGCTACTAGGGATGCTGAGGCAAGAGAATCGCAACACTGCGAGACCCTGTCTGAAAAACAAGAGGGGAGGTGGGGTGGGAAAGAAAGAACAAAAGTAAGAAGGGGGAAAAGAGGGAAGTAGGAATCTGGTATAACTTCAAGTCAGGATTTTTATTTGATTAAAAATTAAAAATAACCCACATACAAAATCCTCTATAAAGAGAATTTGCAATGGAAGAGGGTTGGTGGTTCTTAGAATAACTCATTAGCATTTCCTAAAGTGAATGTTTTTATCAAAAAGGAAAGGTTTTGAATTATGATTCCTACTTCCTTTGGAAGTTTCCTGATGTCTGAGATGTATGAGACTTCCAAAAGCCTTCATAAGTCAGGGGATGCATGTATTCCCATAACATGTTCAACTTTAGGAGTAATTTCTTCTGCATAAATCACATGGAAATTATCCACATGGGTTTCAAACCTTGCAGGACACTCTGATTTCTGAAAAGACTTTATACACATATGTTGACAAGAGACAACCCAAGTTTCCAAAACTTAAACAAGAAAAAATCTAAAATTGTCAAGGGCAGCAGAGGTCCTCAGCTATTATTCTCTTTCCAAAGAATATGTACAACTTACGTGATGCAATGTGGAATTGAAAATTAGGTTGTGTTCTTATTTCATAAAGAGTGATGAAATCTCACTAGGTGTTGAATATACTTTCCAGAATAATGTAGAAATGTCCATTCCTATAAAAAGAGAAAGTTACAATTATTTCTGAAGCACAACAAAACATTTTCCTTTATGTTAAACATACGGAACTTTTGTTATGGTAAACATATAAACTTTTATTTTCTTTCGTATCTCTATTTTAGTGAGATACTTAAAAGTATACTTATTGTACTAAAAATATAGTTTAATGATTCAATTTCTAAGTTACATTTTTATTTCAATAATGCAAATCTCTTTTCAGGAAATTCTGAATATGTTGCAGGACATTTGAATTCTCACTTAAATAACTGATATTTTAATTATTATGAATCATATTTCCAAAGGATGGGTGTTTCTTTCGTTGACATTTTTATATTTTGTTCTTAAAATATCAAATAAGTAAAATTATATAAATAAAATTGATAAGATAAATTTTTATAAACTATATACCCAAGGGATATTTACTTTATGGTTCAATGTGAATTGTATTTCTAAATATGACTGACTATTCAACATTTAAAATTGCACTAAATTATTAAAATGGGGATGATCTTATTTTAGAGAAAGAAGAATGAGTACATTTGTAATTATTATTGGAGAAATAAATTAATAGAGAGATAAATTGAATGGTTTTATATGTTTTCTAATCCAAGATAATACATACTGATTCTTTTAACAAAAATATTTATTAAACATAAAATGATAACAGACAACGCAAAATAGATACTGTAGTTTGGGGAAGGAAAGGCTTACAATAACCAAAAATACATGAGAATGTAGCCTGGAATGGACCCATTGGCTTCCTTCTTAGGTACTCACAGGCAGACACCATCTTGCCGCATTTACAAGACTTGCCAGAAATCAAGGTTCTCTGCATTCCTTAAAGGTGGGTTCCTAGTAACTGAGCTTCTGAAGCTGATGAAAAACATCAGAATGACAATTTGTTAATTTATAACTTAGAGTCTCTCTGCAATAGAGATAATGTATTGTCTCCCTGTAGGCAAATTAGCACAGAAAATCAAATTTTATTCAGAATGTTATTTGATGGGTATGCGATTGAAACAGAATATTGTTGTTTGATTCAAACATTTAATGCTATTAGACATGTATTCCAAAATAAACCACCTGCCAAATGTCCTAAATTATGAATTGCTTGGCAAGAACTTGCTCTCATATGTAGAATATTCAGATTTTCTGTGCAAATTATCATTTTCGTGATTGTCTTTTTACCTGTTTTGTTGGATGAAATAAAGACTTTCTGAATGACACTTTATTTTTGAAAGGAGTTTAATATTTTCACATTATAGTCTATAGTGTGTTAGGTATATCTGTGTTTGAATATCTAGGGGAGAATTTATTTCCAATTTGCAAGAAAAAAATGTCAATGTGGTACCCATATTCTAGCGATAATATAAAACGCAAGAAATTCACGTGGACAGTGGACAGGAGAATGAGAAAACAAATATAAAGTAAACAAATTTTGATTCAAGAATTCCATAATACTTGTGAATATATATTTGTTAAATTTTTAAAAAACTATATTTTCCACATGAATTACAATTTTTAAATATTATTTAGAAAATAAGAGAAACACTACAAAATAGAATAGGAAACATTTTAAATTTAAATATCAACATCACTGCTGCTATTATTCTTAACCTTCCCTAGCTTTCCTCCTTACCTATCTTTCTTCTAAATCCATGCCTCCAAACAGTATGTTGGGTCAATTTCCCTCTCTATCTCTCTTTAGAATTTTTGTCTATATTCTTTTCTTTCAAAACCACAAGGCCCATCTCTCCCATCACTTCATCATCCCATCACTCATTTCTAAAAATAAGTGTTTTGTTCAAATATATTAATGGCTATTTTGCTTTTTGTAATAACACTCCCTCCCTTTTTATAAATTCATTATAAAAACTAACTTTTTCTCCCCTTGAATGAATAAAAGAATATATCATAAAACTTTATGTCTTAAATTAACAAATTCAGCGAACAATGGAAATGAAGCAGCTTCCAGACTAAACTCAAGCAAATGTTTCTACGTGGACTTTTTTTCTAACACGAACAGCTATTTTGTTAGACTGTAACTCAGGAGTCTCACTCTTCCCTTCCCTCCTTGCTTCCTTCTTTCCTTTCTTCCTTCCTTCCCCTTCCTCTTTTTTCTTTCTTTTTATTTTCTTTCTCTTTCTCATTTCTTTCTTTCTTTTTCTTATTTCTTTTTCTTTCTTTCTTTTCCTTCTTTCTTTCTCTTTCTTCATTCTTTCTTTTTCTTCTTTCTCTTTCTTTCTCTTTCTTTTTCTTTCTTTCTATTTCTCTCTCTCTCTCTCCCTCCCTCCCTTCCTTCCTCCCTCTCTTCCTTCCTTTCTTCCTCCTTTCCCGCCTTCTTTTCTTCCTTTATTCTTTCCTACCTTCCTTCACTTCTTTCTACAATGGACCACCAAAAATATGTAAAAATCACTGGATGATTTTCTCATAGGAGTTTGTGGCTGTGTTAATGTTATTCATAGTGTAATTTTTCTGTCTTTTTTTCAAATTATGTAATTTTGAATAAATAATTGGCTTATTTCTAAGTTTATTGAATCTTTTCGCCCTTATTTACATGTAAAGCTAAGCAAAATCTGTGTGTGTTTTTTGTTTGTTTATTCTGATTTTTTAATCTTAGGAGACCTGTTATCAAAAACATTGCGTTTCAGTTAGGTCTAGCTATTATAGTTTCTTCTGTTTTATTTCTCCGGTTATGTTTCTTACCTGTTCATTAGTTATAACATATTTTAAGTTTTTAAACACATTTAGAATAGCTGCTTTAAAGTCTTCGCCTGTTCATTTTAATATATGAGTCAGCCCTTTGTCGGTTTATTTTGACCACATTTTCTCCTAATTACTAGTACCATTTTCCTACTTCTTTACATGCCCTGCTTTATTTGATTATACACTAGACATTTTTAATACTGTGTACTTGCATGTCTAGATTTTTTTTATATGGTGCTAACTTTTTTGTTCTGACAGGTAGTTAATTCACTAGATTCATTTGATATTTGTTTTTATAATTTATTAGGACCTATTTATATAACCCCTTATTTTAGTGGTAGAATTCTCCTATTTCTTTTGCTTTTCTTTCTTTCTTTATTTTCTTGAGATGGAGTCTCACTCTGTCACCCAGGCTGGAGTGCAGTGACATGATCTCGGCCCACTGCAACTTCTGTCTCCTGGGTTCAAGTGATTCTCTTGTCTCAGCCTTCTGAGTAGCTGAGATTACAGGCAACTGCCACCACCCCCGGCTAATCTTCGTATTTTTTGTAGAGACGGGGTTTCACCATGTTGGCCAGGCTGGTCTCAAACTCCTGACCTCAAGTGATCTGCCCACCTCAGCCTCCCAAAGTGCTGGGATTACAGGTATGAGACACTGTGCCTATTCTTCTATTTCTAAGACCTATCTGTGTAGGCCATTAACTGAGTACCTGGGATATTCTCTTTCTTTTACATATTTAGATGTCCCATGTCTCTCATCACTGTCAAACCTCTAGAATTTTCATTTATCTCATGACATCTAGAAGCTGTTGCCTGCTAAGCCCTCGTGCATCTTGTTCTGCACAAGTACAATTTAGTAACTGGCCAAAGACTAAAATAATCTCATGCAATTTCTGAAACTCCTTATCCATATATCTCTCTTCTCTCTGGTAGTCTGTTCCACAAACTCCACTCACTTCAACAGCCCTGATGCTGATCTCTGTTAACTCCACTTTCGTGTTATTACTACACACTACTTGTGCTTTACTTTCTCCATTGAGATCTTGACAGTGTCTCTAGGTGAAAACCCAGGAAAAATGCAGAGTTCATTTCATCATTTTCCCATATATCTACTCTTACAATCCTCAGCTATCTGTTGAACATTTGTATTAGTCTTCTGTTGCTAACAACTGGCCATAATCTTAACTGCTGAAACCAATGCTCATTTATTATTTCATTGTTCTAGAAGTCAGAATTCTATTGGGTTCTTCTGGGTTCTATGCTTAGCAGCTCATTAGGCTAAAACAAAGGTGTCAGCTGCCTTAGGCTCTTTGTTGGGAGCCTCTGGGTTAGAATCTCCTTCCAGACTCATTCACCTTATTGGCAGAGTTCAGTTCCATGTACTTTTAGAGCTAAGGTCTCCATTTCATTGCTGTCTCTTAGTCAGGGGCCATTCTCAGTTCTAGATATTGTCATAATCTTTAGCTTGCAGCCCTCTTTCACCACATCCAAAGTCAGTAAGGCAAGTTGAGTTCTTCTCATGCTTCAAACTCTTCGACTTCCTGCTCTCCCTTGTCTATCCTGTTGTGTATCTTTGACTACAAATAAATATAATATTTTTTCTTTTAAGTTTTCTTGTGGTTAAATTCAGACCACTCAAACAATACGGAATATTCTCCTCCTAAGGTCTATAACTATAATTATATCTGCAAATTTTCCATTGACATATAAGGAAACATATTCACAGGTTCCAGGTATTATGGTGTGGATATCTGTGGGAATCATTCTGCCTACCATGTTTTTATTACGTTTTCATGGTGAAGCAACTACTCTGGTACCATCAGTGTTTAAAGAAAAATTTTCTACTTTATAAGACAAGTTACTCTAGATGGTTTCTAAAAAAATTTTTCTGATGTTGGCATCTGTATATATGTAAATATATTCGAATATATATAAGAATGTGTCTAAATTATTATATGTATCATAATACTTTTATCATTATATACATATAATACTTTAAAGAAAGTATAGTATTCCTGGAGAAATTTTGCTTCCTCCATATTACAAGAACATATATACATACCCTGAACAGTAAATATCAAGGCATGTTTCAGAGCAAACAAATTATTTTATTTCTGGTTTGTCTACAATAAACAAGTAATGCGGTAGTACAAGAACATACATAGGCAATATTTCTGCTCAGGAAATATATATATATAAACACACACACAAACACAATTAATTAAGAGACTAGAAAAATACATAAAACAATGTAACCCATTATACTCTGCTAGAAAAATTTTGATGCTACAACAATTACATAAAAGAAAACTACAACTACAACTACATAAAAGAAAACATATTTGCTTACAAATTAAGAAGCAAAAGTTGTTTTTAAATATTGATACTCTAAAAGATTAATACATTCTGAACAAGTAGTGCTTACCTCAAGGTTATAATTAGTCTACATTTAGAAATTTATTGTTATAAACTACTAAATTAAAATAATAATAGAAGAAAAAATAATTACAATACCTGTCTGTCAAAAACTATGCACTAACATTTAACAGCCATTAATTATATCTTTCCAAAGTAGAAATATATGTAGTTTTATTTAATTTGATATATAACCTGTCAGAAACCTCCAAAAGGCATTGAACATAAGATAAAAGCCAAAGAGGCATTTTTGCTAAAATAAGAAACAAGACAAGAATTTTCAACATCACTACTATTTCTTGACATTATACAAAATAACTAAAATTTATAAACAAAATTATGTGTCACTTTTTTGTTACAAATTTACTTACACAGAGGTTCCAAAAATTTAAAACATAAATTATTACAGTCATTGTTCAGTATCCATGGGGAATTGGTTCCAAGACCTCTCGGTGATACCAAAGTCTTTGGATTCCCAAGTCCCTTTCATAAAATTCCATAGAATTTGCATATAACCTATGCACCTCCTTCCTCACATTTTAAATCAACTTTAGATTACTTATAATAGCTAATACAATGTAAATGCTAGGTAAATAGTTGTTATATTGTTCAGGGAATAATGAAAAGGGAAAAAAGTCTGTACATTTTCAGTAGAGACAAACTTTTATTTTGTGAATGTTTTTGATCTGTGGTTGGTTGAAACCATGGATGCAGAACCTATGGAAATGGAGGGCCAACTGTACATCTAATAATGCACTCCAGGAAAATGGCAAATAAAAGAACAAATTACAAAAGCAATAGCTTTCTTATATTGCAGAAATAAAAATTAAAAACTTAAGAATATAAAACATTCAATCACAATTAGCAAGAAATAAAGTACATTATTTGAAAAAATACTAATAAAAATTTCAAGGGATTCATGGTTTTTATTTTTGTAATGCTTATTTTTATAATGCTACAGAAAGTGTATTGGACCAGTTCTGCTTCTGATCAGTACATAAAAAACAAGATTAGATTGTTGCAGGCACCATAACAATAAGAAAAGAGGTGAATAGCCCACAAAATAAAAGCTTTTCATAAATCCCATAAAAGAAATGAAGTCTCATGGTCACTAGATGGAAACACCATAGAGTAGATGAAAAAAATGAATTTTGAAAGATTAAGTGTTCGCTACTATAAGGGTTTATAATACTTGAAAGCTCAAGGTTTAAGAGTTCTTGGCTTGACACTGATGGACCAACTCTTTTCACAGATCCCCTCCTTGTGTTCACAAGAAAGACTTGAGTTGGACCCAAAGACCTGAAAGAATTCCACTCTCTGGTGCACAGCAACATGACTACGTACTCTCTCTCAGACAATACTCTTCTATAAAATATGTGAGCCATAAAATAACTCCCTGCAATTTTAATAAGATTGAAATCACAAAGTGCATTTTCTCTGACTGCAATGTGATTTAAGCTAGAATTCAATAACAGAAAGATATGTGGGACGTCACAAAATATTTGGAAATTTAACAAAGCATATCAAAATAATTCATAGGTCAAAAACAAAAAAAGTATTTTGAAAAAATATTCCATGCAAATGAAAACCAATAGTGAACAGGAGTAGGTATTCTTATATTAGATAAGACTTTAAAGGAACCAAAGTATTATAAATAAGACAAAGAAAGTAATTATAATAAAAGGGTTAATTCAACAAGAAGCCATAACAATCTTAAATATATATGCACCTAACTCTAGAGCACCCAGATTCATAAAACAACTACTACTAGACCTAACAAAAGAGATAAACAGCAACACAATAATAGTGGGAGATTTCAAAACTTCACTGATAGCACTAGACAGGACATCAAGGTAGAAAGTCAATAAACACTGTACTTATACGGCACTCTAGAACAAATGGACCTAACAGATATTACAAAACATTCTACCCAAGAATTGCAGAATACACATTCTTCTCATTGGCACATTTTCCAAGATAGATTATATGATAGACTACTAACCAAGCCTCAATAAATTTTAACAAATAGAAATCATAGCAAGTATTTTCTCAAACCACTGCAAAATAAAACTAGAAATCAATTCCAAAAGAAGACCTCAAAACTATACACACTAAACAATCTGCTCAGAATGATTTTTGGATTAACAATGAAAGATGGAAATTTAAAAATTTTTCAAATGAATGATCACAGTAACACAAATTATCACAACTGCTGGGAATATGGCAAAAGCAGTGCTAAGAGGAAAATTCACAGTGTTGAACAACTACATCAAAAAGACAGAAAGATGACAAATTGGCAACCTATTGTCACACCTCTGGGAACTAGAGAAACAAAAACAAAGTAAACCCAACCCTGGCCAAAAATTAAAAAAAAAAGCGAAGGTCAGAGCAGAACTAAACTTAATTAAAACAAGAAATTAATTAATACAAGAGACCAGTGAAACAAAATTGTTCATTTCAAAAAATGAAATTGATAGACCATTAGTTAGATTCATCAAAACAGAAGACAGAAGATTCAAATAAGCTCAATTAGAAATGAAAATGGAGACATTACAACTGATACCACAGAAATATAAAAGATCATTTGAGACTACTATGAATATCTCTATGTATACAAACTAGAAAATCTACAGTAAATGAATATACCTCTGGATACATACAACCACCCTACCTTGAATCAGGAAGAAACAAAAGTGCTGAACAGACCAATAACAAGCAGTAATTAAAAATATGCCAAAACAAAAGCCCAAGGCTGGATGGATGCACAGCTGAATTCTACCAGATATTCAAAGAATTGGTACCAATAATACTGAAAGTATTCCAAAAGATTGAGAAGGAGGGAATCTTCCTAACTCATTCTATAAAGCCATTATTACCCTGATACCAAGCCAGGAGGGACATACGGAAAAATAAAACTACAGACCAATATCCCTGATGATCATAGGTGCAAAAATTTCTTAACAAAATAATCCCATGAAAATGTGGGCAAATGACACGAACAGACTTTTCATAAAAGTAGATATACAAATGGCCAATAAACATTGAAAAATGCTCAACATCACTAATCATCAGGGAAATGCAAATTAAAACCACAACCAGAAAGGCCATTATTTAAAAGTAAAATAATAGTAATAATAGCCCAGACACTGCTCAAGATAAAAAATAAATAAATAAATAAATGTTGGCATAAATGTGGTGAAAAGGGAACACTTATACAATTCTGATGGGGATATAAATCAGTACAACCTCTGTGAAAAACAATACGGAGATTTCTCAAAGAACGAAAAGTAGGTTTATCTTTCGATTCAACAATCTGACTGGTGGGTATCTATCCAAACGAAAATGAGTCATTATATCAAAAAGACACCTGCACACATATGTTTATCACAGAACAATTCACAATTGCAGATATGGAATCAACCTAAGTGCCCACTGATGGATGACTGGATAAAGAAAATGAACTACTTACTATTGGACTACTTATTCAGCCTTCAAAAAGAATGAAGTAATGTCTTTTGCAAAAACTTGGATAGAACTTGAGGTGATTATCTTAAGGGAAGTAACTCAGAAATGGAAAACCAAATGTTACATATTCTCACTTATAAGTGGAAGCTAAGCTATGGTTACACAAAGGCATACAGAGTGGTATAATGGACATTGGAGACTCAGAAGTGGGGGAGGTGGGAGGAGGATAAGGGATAAAAAGCTACTATTGGGTACAATGTACAGAATTCAGTGATTGAGTACACTAAAATCCTGGATTTCACTACTATACAATTATCCTTATAAGCAAAAACCACTTGCACCCCCAAAGCTATTTAAATATAAAAATTTAGAAAAGAAAATATTTAGAATTGAATAAAAATAAAAACACAAGTTATAAAAAATTGCAAGATGCAGCCAAAGCAAAGTTCAGAGAGAAAGTGTTAGCAATAAATGCTTATGGTAGAAGAGACAAAAAGTCTGAAACAATTACCTTAAGAAGTTAAGGAAAAAGCAAATTAAGAAAGATAGATAAATTTTAAAAAGAGCTTCAACCAGTCAATAGAAAACAAAATCAATGAGAGGAATTAAAATAGAGGATTCAAATAATTAAAATCGGAAGTAAAAAAGGAACTTTTCTATAGATACTAAAGATACGGAATTAATAAGGTAATATTATGAACAAGTGTATGCCATCAAATTTGATAATTTATAAAAAAAATGAAAAATACGTTAGAAGACATTTACTCAAGAAGAAGTAGATAGCTCGTAAAGCCCTATATCGATTTTAATGTTTTTGTATTTATAAGGGATCTGCCCCCATGACCCAAGCACCTCCCATTAGGCCTGACCTTCAACATGAAGAATCAAATTTCAACATGAAGTTTAGGAGGGCAAACATCTAAACTACAGCAATTCAAATACTAATAAGTGAGTTTATCAAGGTTATGGTATACAAGGTGAAAACATGCACATTGTTGTATTTCTATATATAATCTGCTCCCCAAATTCCTACAAAAGTAACTCTAACTGGGTATGATCTTTTGGATTCTGATTCACACCACACCGTTTGATATTTCAGGCTTTTAAAAATATGCAAACATGAAAATAATGAATATAATAAATTAATAAATTCAATTAGCATTAATTTACTATACATAAAAATTATATATAAAAATCATCCCGGTATTTAAGTTGTTTTCATTGGGAGGGTTGGCTCAGATTATCTTGTTCACCATTCCTGGAAGCAGAAGTCCAGATATCCAAATGTTTCACCCATTAGACTGGCAAAAATTGTGATGTTGTGAAATTTAGAACTAATCTAAATGTCCATTAATGGAAGAATGGCTAAATATATAAAATATGTTTTTAGGTATTAAATTAGAAATAACTTTAAAAACAGTTATTTTTTAAGTCAAATTTTAAAATACTTATAATACTGTATATTAAAAATACGTATTTTCTTTGACTACATATTTTTGTCTTCCGGTATCTCAGCAATTTTTCCAATAATATGCTTTTTCACTTTATTTTTGAAAATTCTTATTTTTGACTAAAGTCCAATACTATTTATTTTATCCTATTTAGCACAACTTTGTATTAAAACGTGTTCTTAACATTCTGTATAGTTTTAAAATTATAATTATTAATCAAAATAAAATTTACTTAAAACTCAAGGTAGTTTATTTGATATTATGCACTAGTTTTAGTGGCTGTCATTATTATTTATAAGATGTGAGAGTGATATTCTATTACTCTATGATTACAGCATGGATGTATGTTTTTTAAAAAGATTTGTAAAGGAAGACTCTTATAAGTAAATAAAATAAGTCCCCTAGATTATACATCATTATTCAATAAGAGCTGAAGAAATTGACATTTGGTTCATATTAAACAATATAAAAAGTAGAATCTCTATAAATATCTCATTGTTATATCGACACATTAAAAACATTAGAGCAACTATTTGGGTAAATGGTTTTATAATATCATAGCTTTGGAGTTCCTCCAGTAAATTAAATGTTTACTCAAAACAAAGTTAAGTCATGCCTCAAATGGGTAATCAAAATACGTCGAAAGTGTGAAATATTTTTGTTTCTTAAGAAATGAATTTGAACTAGCTTCATTACTTGCATTGTATATAAAATGTGGATACTTTTTTAAAAAAGTATATAAAATGTGGATACTTTTTTTAAAAAGTGTGATTGTTACTTGTGAGATTTAAGCTAAAATACAAATCCAATAAAGGGATTATTCGATGTAGCTCCACATTGGGATATGCATTTGTCCCAATTCTGCTGCTAAATCATTCATGCTTACTATTAATAAAGAGTAGCTCAGGAGTAATCCCTAGAGGAAAATGGTATGAGGAAAACAAGTCCAATTAGTTTTAATACTATATTAGGTATATATCTTATTTTTCTCCAAAATAAATGAAGTTTAAAATATTGGTGCAAAAGTAAATTTACTGAGCTTCCTATTATTTAGTATTACATGTAAAAAATGTATAGTGTTGAAAAACTATTCTCAATAAATATTCAGGAATAAATGATGCAATACTAGAGCACTGCCTTTGAAATCAAACAGATGTTATATAGCTAAACAAAACCAACTGCCATAAATGGGTCTTAGGAATGACTGAAATTTAAACTATCAGTGTCAAATTCTAACCAAAGCTAATACATACATTATATAGGTTGTTGTAAGCTGCATCCTACATGATTATAGAGATTTTGAAGGCAGTTTCCAGAGACTCAGGGTTGCAGCAAAGTGGTCTCCATTTGATCTTAATTTCCCTGAGCAACCAGCATGTCTTTTATGCAGAAAATGCTCTTAATGAAAGGGCAGCAGGTACTAGTGGGAATATCACCAGAATGAGAATTGGAAGTCTGTATGTTTTTATCTCTGTAACCATGTTTCCTTGTCTGTGAAGGCAATCGAGCTTCAGTGCTGGGAGTGCTGGGAATTATATGTAATTCCCCAAAAGCACTGACTATTGAATCAACTGAGCACTTTCAAATGGAATAATGTCTTAAAGACCCAAACTACCATAGAGTTTCTGCAGTAATAATGACAGGATTTAGGCGGCACCTAAATGTTAAACATTCCCAGCTGCAGGCAGTTTCTTCCTGCGAATTCAAGTATCTTTTGGTTTTGGTTTAATTATTTCTTATACAACTTCAAGATCTAGTGTGCTTTAGAGTAACTATGTGCATGTCATTTCTTGACAAATGTATTACTCTTTTATCTCAACTCAAATAGTGCCTTGCTTAAAGTTGGTATTCAACAGAAGTTTGATGAATGAGTGAATGAAAAAATAAATGAATGAAAAGCAGACCTTAAAGTCTGGCAAAAAAGCAGACCTTTTGAAATAGAAAGATGATTTAAAGAGTTAAATAGTCTTTTGATAAGCATGAGGTAACCCTAGATTACAATCGCTCATTTTAATGTTAAGAGAGCACATTTCATTATAGAAAACAGTCTTTTTAAATTGAGTAAGCAAGAGAGTGAATGAATGAGTGAATAAAATTCATTATTATGATTTATAGAAAGCTTAGACTTTGATATTTTTTACAATGTGAGCTGCAGTAATTAACTGCTGTTATCCCACAATCAGTTCATAAATATTACTTTAATAAGCTGCATAACATTTGGCTCAGATGTTTGCCTTAATTAAAATTTAAATCCCATATTATTTCCCTAATTTAACAACGCAATATTTATTGTACACAAGTTATTCAAGAAACACATTTGGTTAGGATCAAATTCAGAGGATAGAAAAAGGAAGTTCAAAACATGGAATTTGGTCAAGGAAGGTGGGAAGTACACTTTTCACAGAATTATGCAGACAAAAAATTATAGTAGAAATTTGAACACAAATGTAATACCCATTATTCAGTATCTGGAAGTATAAGTATTTACATGATGGTAACTGTAGGTTGCTAGCATATCTTTAGGCTCCTAATATCCCGTAAGTCTGCATTTAGTCAAATACCGAAATGGGAAATATAAATATTTTTAAAATATTTAATTATAAATAATTAAATCAATTTTACCTAAAATCTTAATATTTATAGATCTGCATTAACTATGTTTTTTGCCAGAACAATTGCCATGGCTCTTTAAAATAAAGCACAGGCTATGAAGCACAAAAATACGTTTTAATTATATTCATTGAGTAACTACTAAAGTAGTGCATTATATTGAATTGCTTTGAAAATGAATGATATTCAAATTAGGTATATACAATAAATCCTAAAAAACATAGAAAACTCGACTGCCCAAGTATATAATTTACCAAATATGTTTGAACATTAAGTTGTCTTTTACCCAAGTAATCCTTTCATAGACCTACTATTCCCAATAGAAACTACTGAAATAAGTGAGATTGAAAATAATATAAATATTCTAAAATCACTGGTTAAATTATAGGAAGTAAATTTTCAAAATATAACAGTGCCAGGTTGTGCTTTTATAGTTTTTAAACTAATGATAAAATCAACTTCTTACTTTTGCCTTTGCAAATATTATAAATAAAACTAATGTCTTATCTTTATACCAGAGAAAGTAACTTTCTAGTATGGAATACACTGAATTTCTCAGGAAAAAGATGCTCTTTAATGCAGGCACTTTTGATTTTCAAGTTTAAATAACTGTACTCTAACCATGCTAGCAACATTCAAATTAATAGCTGTAAAATATGCTATGGAGTGTAAATATTAATAAGTACTTGATATGTCCAAATGCTGATTAAAACTGGAACTCACTAAAAACCATAGCTTAACATAAATGATTTGGCTATTTCTTAATTTGAGGGAAAAAAGCTATATTTCTGACAGGAATGTTCTATTGGGGTTTTTGAGAAAAACACACAGACCAATGGTTTTCGTTTTTGTTTTCTTGGTTTTTTTTTTTTTTTGAGATGGAATCTCCCTCTGTCCCCCAGGGTGGAGTGTAATGGTGTGATCTTGCCTCACTGCAACCTCTGCCTCCCAGGTTCAAGCGATTCTACTGCCTCAGCCTCCTGAGTAGCTGGGATTACAGGTGCCCGCCACCACGCCTGGCTAATTTCTGAATATTATTAGAGATGGGGTTCACCATCTTGGTCAGACTGCTCTTGAACTCCTGACCTCAGGTGATCCACTGGCCTTGGCCTCCTAAAGTGCTGGGATTACAGGCGTGAACCACCGCGCCCGGCCCGGACCAGTGGTTTTTAAAATGTGTTCCCTAGAGCAGCTGTATCAGCATTCTCTGTAAATTTAGAAATGCAAATTCTTGAGCCTTACCCTAGATATACCAAATCTTCTGGAAATAGAAGCCAGAAATATATTTTGTCAACTTCTCCAACTGATTCTGATGTAGGCCAAAATCAGAGAGCCATTGGTATAGACAGACCCATGAAGCTGTTATTTTCTAGCCCCCTCCAATAGAAAGAATTGATGGCTGTTTGGAAAGAAGGCTGTATCTTTGGGTCTCACAGAGCTCAGGGTTGTCCTGGTAGTAGAGGGGCAGGTACCAATACAGGGGAGGTCATCATAGGTAGAGCCCACGGATGAAAATGGAAGCCATATTGTTGAAGGGGTTTGAGGTCAGAGCTGGAAAACGAAGTTTAAACAAAATGATCAATCAAGGTGTCAGAGGTGTTTGAAACAGAGCGACTCTATCTTGAATAAGGGCTGGGTAAAATAAGGCTGAGGCCTCCTGGCCTGCATTCCCAGGAGGTTAAGCATTCTTGTCACAGGATGAGATAGGAGGTCAACACAAGATACAGGTTACAAAGACCTTACTGATAAAACAGGATGCGGTAAAGAAGCTGGTGAAAACCCACCAAAACCCACCAAAACGAAGATGGTGATGAAAGTGACCTCTGGTCGTCCTCATGGCTCATTATACATTAATTATAACGCATTAGCATGCTAAAAGACAGCACCATGACTGTTAGCAGGTGCCATGACAACATCAGGAAATTACCCTATATGGGCTAAAAGAGGGAGGAACTCTCAGTTCTAGGGATTGCCCACCCCTATCCTGGAAAATTCATGAATAATTCACCCATTATTTAGCATATAATCAAGAAATAAGTAAATGCAGTCGAGTAGCCCATGCTGCTGCTCTGCTTCTGGAGTAGCCATTCTTTTACTCCTTTGCTTTCTTAATAAACTTGCTTTCACTATATGGATTCACCTCGAATTATTTCTTGCCTGAGCTCCAAGGACCCTTTCTTGGCATCTGGATCGGGATCACTTTCCAGTAACAAAGATAATCAGAATAAGGGTAAAAAAACTGAAGCCTAGATTTAGGTGCAAGCAGATGAGATCAAGGAGCTATGGATTACTTAAGCTTTTCAAAATTCTTCATCTTTGAAATGACAAATACAATACTACTTGTAGAATTATCATGAAACTTAACTGCAATAGTTAACGTAAAATTAACACCTAATATGTGCTGGAAATTTGGCAAGAGCATTATCTAAGTTATTTTCCTCACAGATCTTATGAGATAATCATAAATATCATTCCCAGTTTACAGTTTACTGTAGCATAGAGAGATTGAGTAACTTACTTAATTTCAAATGGCTGGTGAGTTATGGAGGTGAGATATGAACAGAGGGGGAAAAACGGGAGTCTATGCTCGGCAGATAAAGTATTTAGTGCATTTCCTAACACAGAGTAAATCCACTAAGAAATGGGAAAGGAAAACTAGAAAGGTTATGCAAGCGAATTGAAAGGAGTATTGATCACCGAATAAGACCAGAAATACCTTCTTACCCATCACAGTGCTTTCTGTTTCAATATTCACATCTATATTGAAGGGCAAGGATGAAGTGAGGTATGACTTATCTGGATACACTTTGATTTATTACTTTTAATATCATTACTATTTTGAAATTTCTTTCACTGTATTTGGAATGTTTGTCCTCATTTTAATTGAGAATCTGTTAGACTCTGTGCCTTCCTATGTCATATAACTTTTTCCTCATAAGCAGAACATGATGCTAGCCAGCATGTCCAATTAATAATGTTTATGATAAACTCCCATGGATTAGACTATTGTTAAAGGAAAATATGCCAAAAATATTTGGGATTTATTTACTGGATGAAAAAATAATTTTCCAAAATCTTTGAGCTCCAAAATGAAAAGCAGTGTGGTGATGTATCTCATAGAGCCCGAGACCAGCCAGAATACTTTTTTTTTTTTTTTTTTAAGTGCTATATGCAGGAGAACCTGCGGTCTTCTTCACAGAGGGGATCTGTTCCTGGGAATTCTGTACTGGAGCTCTGTGACACAGCGGAAATGGCCTCGGGGCTTTTCAAAACGTGCCAATAGAAATTGAACCAAAGGATAGTGTTACAATTCTGTGGTATATTTGGCAGACACTTTTTGCCATACCTACTGCTAGTGTATTCAAGGAGCAAAATCAGAATTTTGATGACAAGCTGAAAATGATTTGCAGAAAAAAGCTCTGTATTTGCAATCTCCACCCCCCCAACCCCCTAGCCCCTACCTCTTGCTTTTACTGAGGGAAAGTGCTACTACAGGGAAACTTGCTTAAATTCACAAATTCCAATCTGGACCTGATGCTTCGGCAAGTTACTTAATCTCTTTCTGTCTTCCTTTACTCACTTGAAAAATGAGAATAATAACACTTTCTTCTTTCTTGGAGTATTGGTGAAAATTAATGCATTAATGCTTTTAAAGAACTTTGAAAGGAAAAAAAATGAGCTATGTACAGAGCAATATTGCTTTCCTTCTCTTTCAAAGTTAAACACATACTTTCTGACCAGCAACGCCATGGAAAAAATATTGATCTAGACTCAGCTCTTCAAAGGTATAAATATGCTCAAATATTTGGCTTTGTGCCCGGTAGTCAACACTAAACAACAAGATTAGTGGAGATTTGCTGTTTTGGGCTACCAAACAACAATTTTCTTAACTGCAGTGAAATTCGTTTTGGGAAACGAACTCTTTCTCATTCTTTTACTCTTGGTGGTACTATAATTCAATGTTCCCTGAGTTCCTTATCTTGAAAGGGTGAAGTAAGCTAATCCAATCTGGCACTCTTTTCCCAGGTATTTTGAATTCTATTCAAAGTTAATGCAAAGATAGCTAAAAATCCCAAATTGGCAGAGCATACCTTCCGGTTACTTTCTAAATTTATTTTTTTAGTTTCCAGCTGATTCCGTCACTGTAATCAAAGAGAGACTTTATCACTCAAGTCAAATATCACTCTAATCAAAGAGTCATTGAGTCAACTTGTTTTACTTAAAAACTAAATATCCATAAAAATAAGAAAATTCTAGCTATGGTGAATAGTCAGGAGATACCTGGGAACAAAAAGTATCTTATAAAATTCAAATTAAAAACCTGTAATGCAAATAAATAAATAAATAAAAGAGGAATCAACTGAGTTGCCACAGTAGTATAAAATTATATAGATTTATGTATCTTTTCATCTTTGTATTTTTATCTTTATATCTTTAAATTTAAACCATTCCCACTCTTGAGTCCATCTACAACTCAGGCACAGCTAGAGAGGAGATTTTGAGTACTCCTAAGGAGGAACACTTCTGTAACAATACAAGTGTGTATTATCAGTACTCTAATCTCAGATACATGTGACTGTTCTTGTATGAGTGTCTGTCCCATAAAACAGGAAAACCAAGTCTTTTAAGAAATGCTGTATTTGGATCTAGACCAACACAAATTCCAGGGTAGGTAGAGTGCTAGTGAGGTGTCCCTACCAATGTAGGAACTTACAAGGTCAATCAAATGATCAGTGAAATTTTAACCCTCATTCATACCTTGGAAAATCCTACAGGACTCGAAACCCTTCCTGGGATTATTTTCCCAGTTACCGATTGTAGAGTTGAAATAGATAACTTCAGCAACTGAGAGGATTTCCCCAGTGAATTCCTGATTTGTGAAGTTGCCATTAAGGATATTTACTGAGCACCAGCCATTGCTATGACATAAGTTTTTAAACTTTAGAGAGCATCAGAATCACGTGGAGAACTGCTTAAAGCAGAGACTGCTGAGGCCACTCCCAGAGTTTATAACCTAGTAGGTCTGGGTTGGAACCCAAAATGTACATTTTTAACAAGTTGCCAGTTGATGCTGATGCTGCTAATCTAGGGAACACATTTTGTAAACCACCATGCCCTATCCACAACCTAGGCATTCTAATTCACTTCTAAATTTAATAAAACGTTATCTTTATTGAGTTTATAGTCTAATAAAAGAGACAGACAATATATAATTTCAGGTAGTGCTAAATATTATAAAGAAAAAAGAATAGGGCAAGGAATAAACAATAGGTACAGCTTTTGAAAGGATGACCAAGGAAGTCCTCTCTGAGGAAGTGGCATTTAAGCGGAGTGCTGAATAACACAGAGGATTAAGCCATCTGAGATAGGAGCTTTCCCAGGGGAACAGCAAAGACAAATGCTCTAAAATATTATATGAAACAATGAAGATTACAAAATAAGACAATAATATTCTATTCCGTGACTTGAATGATGCAAAAAAAAAACAGAAAGAAAAAAACAAGAAGTGCATTTATTGCTGCATTCTCATTTCAATCTCCATTTGACTGGGTACATAACACAACAGGATCTGAGAATGACATTGGATTATTACAGATGTATTAAAGTGGCGACTCTAAGAAAGCTTCTATTCATTACAGAAAATCCAATCATCATATGAAAACAGGCATTCAGCTAATGACACATAAATTATTCTTCATTTTGATCTGAATATGTAAATAAATGTTGAATAAGAGGTTTGGCCAAGGGCAAAACTATAATGCAATAGATGATGAAGAAAGAAAATGATTAATAAAACAGCTACAATATATTAACATGTGACAAATTTAGGACTACAGAGGGCCTCTATTTCCTTTCTTGTTCTTTTGCTTACATTTATATATATTTTAATTTTATTTCTCATCTTCTTTTCTTACACTATGGCATATAAGATGTGTTGGTGGATTCAGGTATTAACCAATTACTCTGCAGAATAAAAGAAAATATTTACCACTAATTCACAGAAGAAAAACAATAAATGAATTGCAAAAGCAAAAGAGAAATGGACAGCTTTTAACATTGTTTATAGCAACAATAAGACTTCGGCTTGTCTCACTTTGAAAAGAGCAAAGTGTTCTTAGGGTTGAGAAAGAGCTTTAGTATTGTAAATAGAGGATTTTGGAAGCCGTAAGTGTAGGAAGAAAGGAAAGGCACCATAAACATTGACTACTTTTGGCACTTGCCATCTACAGTATATTTTTTAAAGATCTTAATTTTCTTTTGGGTTATTATCTTTCTTCTGTTGCATGCTTAGGAACCAGGTTACCCTGCTCTTCCACAAGAGAAACCGATGTTCCTAGAGAATCTACTTCTAAGTATATATTCTCACTGTTTCATAGTCCAGCGGCTGTTGCATGATCCTATTTTCTAAGATTGAACACTTTCAAGTGTATTGGCAAGAGAATGAAAGAAATTCATGGATAATTTTTTAGTGATATATTCAAGGTGAGTTTTAAAAAGATCTTCATAATATAAATACTCTGAAAATTCCTTATTCTTTGCTGCTCCAAAATTGATCATTCAAAGCTGTCATAAAACCCTGTAAACATCCCTTCATCTCATATCTTCTCAAGAATTTTCTTCAAGTTTGTGTGTGATATTTATTATAAAATAACTGATTTGGATTTGAACATAATTTCAAATATTTTTCAGCAATTTATATTTATTTCCTTCATCATAACTTTTGCCTGTTTCCTAACATTCTATTTTAACTGATTCAGTCTAGCTCTTTATGAATACTTGGCACTAAAATTTATCTCTTTAATATATAACAAAAAACTTCTATGGTATTGTTTTCCTTTAGAAATTGTAAGTTTATATTACCAGGGAAATATTTGCATATATAATTTTATTCCTTTTACCCCTCTAGCTAGAAGCCAAAATAACATTTTTTTATATTTCTTCTAAAGATTTTCTATTTTTTCTAATTTTCTAATTTAGCACTTCACACAGAATTTGTGCATAATGTGAGGCAGATGTTAAACTTTTGTTTAAATTGTTGGTGAATTTTTTCATAGGTAGGAATTGAACAATGAGAACATGGAGACAGGAAGGGGAACATCACACTCTGGGGACTGCTGTGGGGTCGGGGGAGGGGGGAGGGATAGCATTAGGAGATATACCTAATGCTAAATGAAGAGTTAATTGCTGCAGCACACCAACATCGCACATGTATACATATGTAACTAACCTGCACATTGTGCACATGTACCCTAAAACTTAAAGTATAATAAAAAATAAAATAAAAAAATAAACACAGAAAAAAAATTGTTGGTGAATTTTCTCAGCACCATTTTTTGAATAGGTCATAGTTTCTTAATTGACATTTGGTTCCACAATTATGTCACATTGCCTCTTTATTTCCACAATAGCACACAGTCATAATCTTACTTGTTAACTTGTATACAAGTTATCTTTTTAACCCACCGATTTCAAGCTTCATAAGAGCAGTAACTCATCTATCCTCTTCAATACTTCATTTTTAGAGCCTAGAATCACTTGCACATAGTAGATTCCTCAAAACATTAATAGAATAAAGGCATAAATTTTAACAAATAAACCAGTGAGTGATTAAATTTTTCAGAGTAAAGCATAAATATATGTGTATACATGTATTTGTGTATACCCCTACATATATGTACACACATACACAGGTATTTGTGCTTATAGTGTTAATAAATCCACTGAAAAGATTTTTTTTTAAAGAAAGAGATGATTCCAGTGAGCAGTTTGCAAAACAGAGATGCAGCCTTCAGTACAAAATAAAGGTGCACTGACATTAAGAATGATCACAGGTTGCAGTCTATTGGTTAGGTCTAGGTGGTGAAATGGGACTTTCCAGCAGCCTTTGATCTAGACTATGTAAACAAGAGCAGACAGCTATGAAAGTTCCTATGCTACTTAAGCATGGTTTTTTTCCAGGAACGCAGAGTACATGGGTGACGTCTAGTCAGCAAATGGCCACTCAACCCCATTTTGAATATAGGCCCATTTAGCCACTCAAGATCCATCTGGAAGGATCGGCTCTTTCAAGGTTCACAGGAGATATGTGTGTTATTTAGGAACTTGGTAAATTTGGGTCTACTTGATCTATTGAGAAAAGTAAATTAAAATCTTGTAGTCCTATTTAGGTTTTGTCAGTTTCCTAGTTAATATGTTATATTTTAAAGAATATCATGTTGTTAGTTGCCTAATAAATAATGAAATTATTTATCTTAAGTAGTAACTATATAATTAAAATGCCTGAATTTGTTATATGTTTTTGCCTTACATTTATTATTTTGTTATTTACTTGGGTTTTTGTGTTTATTAGAGATGGTATTCTTGAATAGTACTGAAGCTAATGACTGGTGTAGACCTGGTGCAGGCAGTTTTGAATAAAAGAAAAGCTATTCCAACCTGTGAATTTAATTTATTTAAAGTTAATTATGCTTTAGTTTGTTTGTTCTGACAGTCCTCTATAACTTTATCAATGAAAAACAACTTAAATAGGAAGAGCTATGTAACTTTTTTGCCAACACCACCTTCGGTACTAACCTGGGTAAAAGGTAGAAAACTTGTTTCTTAAGCCAGATGTTCAACTACAATAATTTTTACCTTCTCATTAGTGGAGGACAAACTTGACATGAATATTTGAGAGAATATGGGACGGAATAAAGGGCTGATATGTCAGAAGACGAAAACTAATTTCCATCCTAAAAGAATATCATTTGTCAACTTAAAGAAGTTCTGATACTGTGATCATGTTTGGTATTCTGTATGGTATTTTCAGTCACATTTTTCAAAGGACAGCTTAACCCAGTGAATTGTGCTTTGCCTGGGCATTGAGATCTCAATTCTAAATTACTTTTTCAGTGACCTTTCTTTGAATTATTAAATTTTCCTTATTATACAAATGGAAAACACAAATAATGTGGAACTTCAAGTTATGTGGTGATATAAAACTTGAAACTAGAAAGCGGGTTTTAGGTGACAGAAAACTTTAGTAATATTTCTGAAGAAAATATTCTTCTTTCATATCCTTACTTTTGCAGCAGAATTTTTTTTTCTGGAAGAGTTCTATTATTATTATTTTTATGAGAAAAAAGTCAAAAAGATATTTGTTGAGAGGTTATTTCAGTTAAAAACAGAAGCTAGATTCATTGTCTTGGGGAATGAACAGTCTCATATGATATGGTGGGGGTTATTGTTTGCTTTTAGCAATTTAATTAAAAGTTCTAAAAAGTAAAGCCTACAGGAGACTTCTACCAGAGAGTAATTTATTGCTAAATACTATTCTGAGTAGTACAACACAGAAAGTAGAATACCTGCTATAAGTAGTCTAATTTATAAAGGTAATACATTTAGCAATTCTTAAATAGTATACCTTTCTTAGTGAAGGAGAAAACACTTTCAGCATTTAGCCTATCTATCAGTTTGTTTGGGACTGTTTTATTATCTGTATATATTGATATCATATCCAAAAAATGTGCTTCATTGATTTCCCCTGATTTCAGTATGCATATATATTCAGTGAATCTATATATGTAAATATATATGTATATATATTTGTATATATGTAATGTATACAATATATTACATATATACGTGTATGTGTGTATATATATATAGGTGTATGTGTGTGCACTCATATGTATACTTACACACCCAAGAATGTATATATATTTCTTTGGTTTAGGTCATTATCTTATTTTTATAGGTTTATTTGTGAGAAAATGATTCTTCTATCCTTCACAAGGAGTAGGAAACATCATGAGGAATCTCTGGGGCTTATGTTAAATAGTAGAGTTATTAGAATGTCTAAGAACTTTGTTGTAACTAATATAACTACAACGTATATGCAAAAAAAAACTTACTTATAGCTATTTCACCACCACTATGCTTGCCTAAGATGCCTTATCTTGTCATACCTTTGGGTAGAGAGGGATATTGCTTTTATGACTCATAATAGGGTACTTGATCAGGGTACTGCAATATGGGACAAAAAAGGAATAATGAGCCTAATCTATGAATTTATACTGCAGGCCCTCATGCCAACTGTGTTAGTCAGGGCTCTCTAGAAGGACATAACTAATAGGCTACATATATATAAAAAGGGGAGATTATTAAGGAGTATTAACTCACACATTCACGAGGTTCCACAATAGGACGTCTGCAAGCTGAGTAGCAAGGAAGCCAGTCTGAGTCCCAAAGCTGAAGAACTTGGAGTCCATGTTCGAGGGCAGGAAGCATCCAGCATAGGAGAAAGATGTAGGCTGGAAAGCTAAGCTAGTCTGATCTCTTCATGTTCTTCTGCCTGCTTTTATCCCAGTCGCAGTGGTGGCTGATTAGATTGTGCCCACCCAAATTAAGGGTGGGTCTGCCTTTCCCATCCCACTGACTCAAATGTTAATCTCCTTTGCAACACTCTCACAGACACACCCAGGATCAATACTTTGCATCCTTCAATCCAATCAAGTTAACACTCAGTATTAACCATCACAAGTCCACCCCTTGTCAACTCGAACCCATACACACCTCCTGAGATCATACATAATCTTCAAATAAAGAGAATTATAAGGTCATAATTATGCCTAACATATTACAACTATCCTTCATACAACTGGAAAGGCACCAATCCCCAATCCAAATGCTATTACATAAAGTTAAAAACACTTAAATGCTAATGTGAAGTCAGTAAATCTTAAATCACATGATAATGGAAAAAGGAAATAAAATGAAGATATTTTCTTAGTACAAGTGTATGCATGAACAAATATGTTTTTAACAAAAGAAGGAGGAAATACTCATGACAATTACAGTTCTCCTTTCTGCAACTGGTCACTTGGTTGTGACTGGTATTGATGATTACCTTCTTCTACGACCCATTCTGTTTCCCTTTGCCTTCAGCAAGCACCTCAGCAGGTCGTGTTTTTTTTTTTCCTGGTGGAGTGACCCAAACCTTCATTCCTGAAGGGTCTGTCTGGACCATTTGTAGTCCTGCCTGGATTGGGATGTTGTAGTTTCCTATTGACCTTAATCACAGGGCATGGTGATACTAAGACAAGCCCCAAAGGGATCTCCTGTATTCCAGGCATGCTCTTTCTTACTTCCATTATGGAGTAGTAGACAGATTTCATCTTGATAGGCTGGGTAAGTCACCCCAGCCAACATTGTAACTCCCTTCTTAGCCTGTTGACTTAAAGGTAGGAAGAGCCCAAAGTGTCCACGTGGCAATCTCAACTTCCAGTTTAATGGAATTGTTGTGTCTCCTGGTGGGAATGCTCCTCCCTCTGGAATTAAGACCTGTAGGCCAGCAGAATGTAATGTCATGGGAACAGGAAGCAAAAATTTTGCTAGTGAATCACTAGGGGTGATGGTGGGTGGTGCCACTTCCACTTCCACCCCCTGATTCCTGGACTTGTGAATCCTGGCTATGGGAGAAACAGTACCATATATTGGACACTGATTCAGAGCATACATGGCCTTCCGGAGAACTTTGCCCCAGCCCTGAAAATTATTGTCACCTAGTTGGCGTTGTAATTGTGACTTCAAAAGGCCATACCACCATTCTATCAATCCAGCTGCTTCAAGATAATGTGGAACATGGTAAGACCAGTGAAATCCATGAGCATGAGCCCACTGCCGCACTTCTTTAGCTATAAAGTAAGTGCCTTGGTCAGAAGCAATGGTGTGTGTGGAATACCATGACGGTGGAAAAGGCATTCTGTGAGTCCACGGATGGTAGTCTTGGCAGAAGCATTGTGTGTAGGATAGGCAAACTCATATCTAGAGTGTCTATTCCAGTGAGGACAAATCTCTGTGCTTTCAATGATGGAAATATAAGCAACCTGCCAATGAGTAGCTGGCTGATCTCCCCTAGGAATGGTGCCATATTGAAGGTTCAGTGCTGGTCTCTGCTGTTGGCAAATTGGGCGCTCAGCAGTGGCTGTAGCCAGGTCAGCTTTGGTGAGTGGAAGTCCATGTTGCTGAGCCCATGTGTAACCTCCATCCCTGCCACCGTGGCCACTTTGTTCATGGGCCCATTGGGCGATGACAGAGGTGGCTGGGGAAACAGGCGGAGTGGTGTCCACAAAATGAGTAATCCTATCCACTTAATTATTAAAATCCTCATCTGCTGAGTTCACCCTTTGGTGAGCACTCACATGGGATACAAGTATCTTCACAGTTTTTGACCACTCAGAGAGGTCCATCCACATACCTCTTCCCCAAATTTCTTTGTTACCAAGTTTCCAATCATGCTTCCTCCAAGTCCCTGACCATCCAGCCAAATCATTGGCTACAGCCCATGAATCAGCAAATAATCTCACATCTGGTCATTTCTTCTTCCATGCAAAGTGCACAACCATGTGCACTGCTCAGAGTTCTGCCCACTGGGAAGATTTCCCTTCACCACTGTCCTTCAGGGATGTCCTAGAAAGGGGCTGTAGTGCTGCAGCTGTCCACTTTTGGGTGGTGCCTGCATATCATGCAGAACCATCTGTGAACCAGGCCCTAGTCTTCTCATCCTCTGTCAACTGATCATAGAGAATTACCCATGAGGCCACTGGTGCAGGCAGGGGAGAGAAGGAAGGGTGCCAGGAGTAGATACCATGGGCATTTGAGCCACTTCCTCTGAAACTTAGTTGTGCCTTCAGCACCTGCTCGAGCTCAATCACATATATACCACTTCCATTCGATGATGGAATGCTGCTGTGCATGACCCACTTTATGACTAGATGGGTCATAAAGCATCCAGTTCATGAAAGGCAGTTTAGGTCACATGGTGACTTGATGACCCATAGTCAAACGTTCAATTTGCACCAAAGCCCAGTAACAGGCCAAGGGCTGTCTCTCAAAAGGAGAGTAGTTATCTGAAGAAAATGGTAGAGCTTTGCTCCAAAATCCTAGAGGCCTCTTCTGTGATTCACCTTTGGGGGCCTCCCAAAGGCTCCAAACAGCATCCCTATCTGCCACTGACACCTCAAGCATCATTGGATCTGCTGGGCCATATGGCCCAAGTGGCAGAGCAGCTTGCACAGCAGCCTGGACCCATTGCAGACCCTTCTCCTGTTCTGGACACCACCCAAAACCGGCAGCCTTTCAGGACACTTAATAAATGGGTCCGAATAACACACCCACATCAGGAATGTGTTGCCTCCAAAATCCAAGTAGGCCCACTAGGAGTTGTGCCTCTTTCTTGTTTGTAGGCGGGGCCAAATGCTGCAACTTATCCTTCACCTTAGAAGGAAAATATCAACAGGACCCACACCACTGGATCCCTAGAAATTTTACTGAGGTAAAGGGCCCTTGAATTTTAGTCAGATTTATTTCCCATCCTCTTGCACACAGTAAGTCCAATGTGTCTCACCAATAAGTCCAGTGTGTCTGCTACTTCTTGTTCACTGGATCCAATCAGCATAATATCATCAATGTAATGGACCAGTGTGATATCTTGTGGAAGCAAAAAAGCCATCAAGGTCTCTTCGAACAAGATTATGACACAAAGCAAGAGAGTTAATATACCCCTGAGGTAGGAGAGTAAAGGTATATTGCTGGCCTTGCCAGCTGAAGGCGAATTGCTTCTGGTGGGCCTTATGGACAGAAATGGAGAAAAGGGCATTTGCCAAATCAATGGCTGCATACCAGGTACCAGGGGATGTGTTCATTTGCTTAAGCAATGAAAGCACATCTGGTACAGCAACTGCAATTGAAGTCACCACTTGGTTAAGCTTATAATTAACCAAGATCCATCTGTCTTCTGCACAGGCCAAATAGGAGAGTTGAATGGGGATGTGATGTGAATCACCACTCCTGCGTCTTTCAAGTCCTTGATGGTGGCACTAATCTCCACAATCTTTCCAGGGATGTGATATTGTTTTTGATTTACTATTTTTCGAGGTAGAGCAGCTCTAACGGTTTCCATTTGGCCTTTCCCACCATAATGGCCCTCACCCTACTAGTCATGGAGCCAATGTGGGGGTTGTGCCAGGTGCTAAGTACATCTATGCAAATTATGCATTCTGGCACTGGGGAAATGACCACAGGATGAGTCCAGGGACTCACTGGACCCACTGTAAGTTGGACCTGAGCTAAAAATCCATTAATTACCCGACCTCCATAAGCCTCTAGTTTAACTGGAGGACCACCATGATGTTTGGGGTGCCCTGGAATCAATGTCAGCTGAGTCAGTGTCCAGTAGTTTCTGAAATGTCTCATAATTTCCCTTTACCCAATGCAGTTACCCTGGTAAAAGGCTGGAGGTCTCCTTGGGGAAAGATGGGAGAAAGATTAACAGCATAAATTGTCGGTAGTGTATTGGGGTCCTTCCTCAAGGGGACCTAGCCTCCCCTTCATTCAAGGGGTTCTGGGTCTGTAAACTGGCTTAAGTCTGGAAATTGATTGAGGGGATGTGGTTCTCTGTTTTTATGATTCAAATTAGTGTTTTGTCCACTCGACCCGGAAGTTTTCTGCTTATATAAATTAAGTAGGAATGTTGTAGGTTTCCTATCAATTTCACTTCTAGGCCCTCTATGATTAATTAGCCAATGCCAGAGCTCTCCAGGAGTGAGACTATTCCGATTGCTGCTTTGCTTCCACTGTCCATTATGGTAGCTATGCCCACCTTGCCTTTGACGGTTTAGTGCTGTCACTTGGCCCCTGCCACTTCGGGATCCAATTATTCCCATTGTATTTAAATTTTGTAGTTGAATGACTGCCATTCCCACTGTTAGATCTGACATACAGAGAAGAACAATTACAGGGCTCTTTCAAAGATGCAGGTACTGTGCTCACAAATCTATTTCACAAAGCATTGGTCAAGGGTCTATCTTCTGGACCCTCCCAGCTGGGATGAGTAGGTCTAAAGTGACTAATCCACTCCACCGTCTCAGTCTCCCTAAGCCTTTGGCACCCATCCTCTACATTAAACCAAGGGAGATCAGGTATTTCCAGCTCACTCACAGTGGGCCATCTTTTAATCCATATTTCAGCTAACAAGCAAATAAATGATTAGAAACACTTTTATCTCCCCAAGCTGCAACATTAAATGCAGAATCCCTGCTTAGTGGGCCCAAATCAATAAATTCAGCCTGATCCATCTCTGTTCTTTCCACCATTATCCCGTACCCTTAATATCCATTCCTATGTCTGTTTTCCAGATTTCTGCTTCTATAAATTAGAAAACTCAAGCACTTCTTTTCAAGTGTGGGTCACACTCTGAACTTCACCTCTAGAGGCCTGCCAGGACTTTAGTCTAGTTATAAGTCTAGAAGCAAACAGGAGTGTTAGAGGTGGCTCCTGAAGAAAATCAACATTATCCTGCCTGGCACCTGCCTCAGGGGAGGCTATCCTTCTTGCCTTAGTAAGCACAGAGTTTATCTCCTCGGACAAAAGTGGAAAGGCTGATGGCAGCGTGGGTCAGGGAGGGGATGTTGCCACTACTGGGGGTGGGAAAGCTGTTTCTTCTGGCAAAAAAAGGTTCATCAGAGTTCACAACTCAGTATCCCCAGCTTCATCAAGGTCCTCCCACACATCCCCATTCCAAGTTGTAAGGTCCCATTTTTTCCAATCAATGTCCTCACTTTAACAGCAGACACCTGGTGAGGCTGTGCATGCACTTTTCATTGCAGGTCAGCCGCTCACATGATAAGAACTTGTGTTTGATTTTCCACAATTTTACCTCTTTCTCTACAGGAGATAAGACTCTCACTCAGCAACCTTAGCAGATTTGAGGCTCAGTATCTGCTTCTGAAGCTGGGAGTTAGAATCCCTGAGTTCATTTTCTTTCATCCCTTTTCCAGTGAACTTAGGAGCAAACAACCAACTTCATTATATTCCTTGGTTCCCCACATACAGTCAGTTATTATGTATAGAGTCACTAAACTCCTTGCCTCTCATAAGCAGTGAATCAGGAGAGTCAAATGCATTTATTTTGCATAACTCTCTAAACAGCTCATGCCAAGGACTCTCAGTGTTCTCCATGCTATTAGAAGTAGAGTCCTTAGCATTTTTTAGTTTAATCATATTAAGCAGCGAACTCCAGAAACCCTAAAAGCACAAAAAGAACTCCATCCTTAATATTCTGTTCCTCTAGAACCACTCCTGTATCAAAATTGGCATTAGTCAGGGTTCTCCATTGCATCCCTCAATCCAATCAAGTTGACACTTAACTGTCACACCAACCAGGACAGATAAGGACAACTTAATATTGAAACTTTCTCAGTGTGAATACTGCACTGGTTTGCCAATGATTAGATTGGCCACTATGATGAAACTTTCTGGAACGAAATTGCCAGTCTTTCTGAAACTAAGTTAAATGGTTTTGATAAAACAGTCATGTACCTTGTACCAACGTTTTAGTCAAGGACAGACTACATATATGAGGTTGTTCCATAAGATGATAATGGAGCTGAAAGTTTCTTATTGCCTAGTGACACTATAGCTGTCGTAATGTTATAGCATCTTACATTACATTACCCTTTCTGTGTTTATATGTGTTTGGATAAACAAGTATTTACCACTGTGTTATGATTGCCAACAGTGTTCAATACAGTACCATGCTGTACAGACTTGTAGCCTGGAGGCTGTAATGTATAGCATAGCTGTGTAGTAACCTATACCATCTAGGTAAGTACACTCTAGGATGTTCACACAATAATGAAATCGCCTAAGGATGCATTTCTCAGAAATGCATATATCCCCATTGTTAAGTGATGCATGGTTGTACTTACATGATAGTATTATTTAGAGAAGTAAGTTGGGCAACACGTGAAACGTACTCAAAAGTTACGTATATTGTGGTGTTCAATAATGACTGAAATATGAATAAGTGAAATTTTATATGAATGTAGAAGCTATATTTTTATAATCTCTCACCATGTATTCCAGATAACTTTTATATCTCCTTGAAATGTTTTGTAAAAATAATTCTGTTTGATCAATATTTCATAACATGGATTGAGCACAATTGTTTAACCGTTCCTCTACTGTTGAAGATTTCATTTGGTTTCCAAATGTTTTACTATGCAAATACTGTATTAGCATAAATATTTTGGCCAGGTTTTGGATTTTTTCCCCTAGAAGTGAGTTATTCAACTAAAAGTATCAGTTCAAAAATGAACAATTTAGAGGCCCTTGGCACATATTTCCAAATTGCTTCATGAAAAAATTGAATAAACTTCCATTAACAAAGAGTAGATAATAGCCTCATTCATACTTGCCATCATCAAATATTATGATATTTTGTTTTGCTGATTTCATAGTAAAGATTTTATTTACTGCCAGTGATATTGAACATATTTGTATTATTAGATTTTTTGTTTTCCCTTTTTTGTCCTTTTTCAGATTTTATTATTGGTATCTGCATGTGTGATGGTTGTAAATTTCTAAATTAGGAGTTTCCTATCTTCGGTTCACAGAAATAAATTATGAGAAAATTATTATGACTTACTTTATTAGCAATAAATTCATAGATATAGAAACAAATGGAGAGATATGGAAGAAAAGAGTAAGATCTAAATGTAAATATTCTCTCTAGCTTCTAGGAATGTGGAAGCTCCTACTCCCCAGAGCCTTCCCTGTCTTAGGATTACCATAGACTTTTCAGAGGAAAGTTTGATGAGTAGCCTCCCAACAAAGTAGGGAGGAGACAAATTTTAATCTAACATCAGAAAATAAAATTGAATTATTGGGTATGGACACAGAGGATACAGTCTTGATGGAAATTTCTCATAAAAATATTTATGATTATGTAACACAATAGATTTCAAGCACTTTCATATTCATGGTATCATTCAATATTTATAAAAATATTAGAACACAGAAAAAGAAGTGGACAGGGAATATACACAACAGTGTGAATCCATGTAGCTTTTGGAATTATGGAATATTTCATTTTTCATGTTGTGAGATGTGATGTTTCTGGAATGATAATGGCACACTAAGGAGATAAAAAGAAAAGACTGTATAGGTAAACATGAAAATGTCTTTCACTGAACCCATTGCTGTACCCTTCTCCAAGGAGAAAAAGAAGATATGGAGGGAAAATTCTTTTTTGCATTTCATAAGAGTATTAGTAGCCACGATGAATAAGCAGAGATCTGGGCCTTGGAGATCTGTACCAGTGGAAACACCTTGGTCTGATTCAGAGCATTACCTTGTAATGGCACTAGGACCAGGGGTTGCCATATCACTGCTTGGCTAATGCTAATATCAATGATGATGGGATAACTTCAACTTAATCAGGATTAAAGTTGTGTCTGTGATGGTTAACAGCAGAGAGCTGCTGAAGCAATGGCCTTTTGTTGCAGTTGGCACCTCTATGGAGCTATGGAAGCCAGTGGCCACATAGTTCTAGTTTGGCTGACTTCAAAAAAGCAGGGGAACCATAATTTTTTTCATGGACGGGGATAAGACACTCCTGGAGGGCTTCCTAAATTATCTTGGAAAGAAGAACTTTGTAAGGGCCAACGTTCCATCCAGCCAGAAGCATCAAGAGCCGTTATAATTTCAACATTGTAGTAATCATTTCACAGAGTATATGCCCAGCTAAAAATAATGCCCTTAATTTCTTCTCTCACACACAATGGTTTATTTCAATTACCTACATTTGTGCTAAGTAGCCCCTCCTCTTGGACATGGTTGATTGGAACAGAGAGGATGTCTGACACAAACCATGCAGGTCATTGGTAATGTAAGCCAGGAAACTGTGTGCTTTCTACCTTTCATTCCCTGTGTAAACTAAATAGCAGAGAAAGCAGCTTTTCAGAGAGTGAAGAATGACACAGCCTTTTGGCTCTCTGGAATCCCAGGCTCCTGACAATTATCAGGCTCTGCTTCTGGCCTTTCATAGTTCAGCAGCACCCTGCTCTTGAAATCTAAAATATTTAGTTATCTTAAAAATCTAGGATTACAATAGCTCTAGCTGGCTCATTTTTTTGGGAAAAAAAGTAGTTCCAACTAATTATATATTAATATTAATGACATCTATTATATTTTCGTTATATCTCCATGCACTTAGGAGGTGCATGTACACATTGTGTTCATTGAATTCTTCTCTCATAAAATAGGAACCTCACCTCTTAGAATTCTTAGAATTAAGCACATGTTTTGAACATGGAAACAGTTCTCTTAAAACATTTTTTTAAATTTTTAACTCGTATGGATACATAGATATATTGATGGAGTACGTGAGTGTTTTGATACAGGCATACAATGCGTAATAATCACATAAGAGTAAGTGGAGTGTGCATAATTCCATCATCTCAAGCACTTATCCTTTCTTCATGCTATAAACAATCCAGTTGTACTTTTTTTTTTTTTTTTTTTTGAGATGGAGTCTTGTTCTGTCACCCAGGCTGAAGTGCAGTGGTGCAAACTCGGCTCACTGTAACCTCCGTCTCCTAGGTTCAAGCGATCCTTCAGCCTCAGCCTCTCAAATAGCTGCAACTACAGGCATGTACCACCACAATCGGCTTTTTGTATTTTTAGTAGAGACGGGGTTTCACCACGTTGGCCAGCCTGGTCTCAAACTCCTTACCTCAAGTGATTCTCCAGCCTCAGCTTCCCAAAGTGCTGGATTACAGGAATGAGCCACAGTGCCCAGCTCAGTTACAGTCTTTTCATTATTTTGAAATGTACAGTAAATCATTGTTGGCTGTAATCACCTGTTGTGGGACAAAATACTAGATCTTATTCATTCTATCTAATTATATTTTTGTACCCATCAACCATCCCCATTTCCCCTGCTTCACTACCCTTCCCAGCCTCTGGTACCCATTGTTCTACGCTATATCTCCAAGAATTCAAGTGTTTTAATTTTTAGCTCCCACAAATAAGTGAGAACATGTGAAGCTTGTCTTTCTGTGCCTGGCTTATTTTATTTAACATAGTGACCTCCAGATTTGTCCATGTTGTTGCAGATAACAGCATCTCATTCTTTTTATGGCTGAATAGTACTCCATTATGTATAAGTGCCACATTTTCTTTATCCATTCACCTGTTGAAGAAAACTTAGGTTGCCTCCAAATCTTGACTATTGGGAATAGTGCTGCAATAAACATGGGAGTGCGAGTATCTCTTCAATATACTGATTATCTTTCTTTTGTGTATATGCTTAGCAGTGGGATTGCTGGCTCATATAAAAGTTCTATTTTTAGTGTTCTGAGGAACCTCCAAACTGTTCTCCATAGGGGTTGTACTAACTTATATTCCCACAAACAATATTCAAGAGTTCCCTTTTCTCCACACCTCCTCAAGCATTTGCTATTGCCTGTTTTTTGGGGAAAGAAAAGCCATTTTAACTGAGATGAGATATCTCATTGTAGTTTTGATTTGCATTTCTCTGATGATCAATGATATTGAGCATTTTTTCATACACCTGTTTGTCATTTGTGTCTTCTTTTAGGAAGTGTCTATTCAGATTTATTGCCCAATTCTAATTGGATTAGATTTTTTTTTCCTATAGAGTTGTTTGGGATCCTTATATATTCATGTTATTAATCCCTTGTCAAATGGATAGTTTGCAAATATTTTCTATGGGTTGTTTCTTCACTTTTTTTTTCTGTGCAGAAGCTTTTTAACTTAATGTGATTTCATTTGTCTATTTTTGCCTTGGTTGTTTGTGCTTGTAGGGTGTTACTCAAGAAATCTTTCCCCAGTCCAATGCCATGGAAAGTTTCCCCAGAGTTTTCTTTTAGCAGTTTCATAATTTGAGGTCTTAGATTTAAGTCTTTAATCCATTTTGACTTGATTTTTGTATATAGTGAAAGATAGAGGGTTTAGTTTCATTCATCTACTTATGGATATCCAGTTTTCCCAGCACTATGTATTGGAGTCTGTCCTTTCCCCAATGTATGCTCTTGGCACCTTTGTCAAAAATTAGTTTATGTAGGCGTATGGATTTGTTTCTGAGTTCTCCATTGTGTTTCATTGGTCTGTGTCTTCTTTTATACCAGTATCATCCTGTTTTGGTTACAATAGCTCTAGTATTATTTGAAGTCAGTTAATGTAATTCCTTCAGCTTTGTTCTTTTTACTCAGTTTAGCTTTGGCTATTGTGGGTCTTCTGTGGATCTATATAAATTTTAGCATTTTTTTTCTATTTCTGGAAGAATATCATTGGTATTTTAAAATAGGTTACATTGGATATGTAGATTGCTCTAAGTAGTATAGACATTTTAACAATATTGATACTTACAATCCATGACCATGGAATATCTTGTGTGTGTGTGTGTGTGTGTGTGTGTGTGTGTGTCCTCTTCAATTTCTTTCATCAATGTTATATGGTTTTCATTGTAGAGATCTTTCCTTCTTTGATAAGTTAATTTATAGTCATTTAATTATATTTGTATCTATAGTTTGAAAGTTTGTGAATGATGTCACTTTCTTGATTTGTCTTTTACATTTTTCGCCATTGGTGTATAGAAATGCTACTAATTTTTGTGTGTTGATTTTTCTTATCCTGCAACATTACTGAATTTATTCATGAATTCTAATAGTTTTTTGGTGGTATCGTTAGGTTTTTCCAAATTTAAGATTGCATAATATTCAAACAAGGATAATTTGACTTCATCCTTTCTAATTTGGATGCCCTTATTTCTTTCTCTTGTCTGATTGCTCTAGCGAAGACTTTCAGTTCTTTGTTCAGAAACAGTGGTGAAAGTGGGCATCATTGTTGGGTTCCAGAACTTAAAGGAAAAGCTTTCAGTTTTTCCCCATTCACTATGGTACTATCCGTCATGTACAGCTTTTATTGTGCTGAGATATCTTCCTTCTATGTACAGTTTTGGGAGGGTTTTTATTATGAAAAGATGATGAACTTTATCAAATGGGTTTTCAGCATCAATTGAAATGATCATTTGGTTTTTGTTCATTATTTTGTTGATATGATGTATCACAATGATTGATTTGTACATGTTGAACATCCTCACATCCCTGTGATAAATCCCACGTGGTCAAGATGAACGACATTTTTAATGTGTTGTTGAGCTCAGATTGCCAGTATTTTCTTGAGGATTTTTGCATCAATGTTCATCAGGAATACTGGCTTGTCATTTTCTCTTTTGATGTGTCTTTGTCTAGTATTGGTAAAAGGGAAATGTTAGCCTTGCGGAATGAGTTTGGAACTATTCCCTCCTTATCTATTTTTTGGAATAGTTTGAATAGGATTGGTGTTAGTTCTTTAAATGTTTGGTAATTTAGGTCCCAGGCTTTTCTTTGCTATGAGATTTTTTTTATTACAACTTCGATTTTGTTACTTGTTATTGGTATATTTGGGAGTTGGATTTCTTCATAGTTCAATCTTGGTAGGTTGTATGTTTCTAGGAATTTATCCATTTCTTCTTGGTTATCCAATTTATTGGCATATACTTGCTCATAGTAGCCTCTAATGAGCCTTTGAATTTCTGCAGTATTGATTGCAATGTTTCCTGTTACATCTCCTACTTTATTTTTGGGGTTTTTTCTCCTGTTTTCTTAGTCTGGTTTACTTTACAATTTTTACTTTAAAAAAAAAACCAACTTTTCATTTCATTGATTTTTATATTGTTTTATTTATTTTAATTTCATTTATTTATTCACTAATCTTAGTATTTCTTTATTTCTACTAATGCTGGGTTTGAATTGTTCTTGCTTTTCTAGTTATTTATGATGCATTCTTAGGTTATTTGAACTTTTTCTACTTTGTTGACATAGGCACTTATAGCTATGAACTTCTCCTTTAGCACTATTTTGCTGTATCCCATGGGTTTTGGTGTTGTGTTTCCATTATCATTTGTTTCAAAAAAAGTTTTAATTTCTTAATTTCTTCATTGACCCACTGATCATTCAGGAAATTAAAATTGTTTAATTTTCATGTGCGTACACTTTCTAAAATTCCTCCTGTTATTGATTTCTAGTTTTATTCCATTGTGGTTAGAGAAGATACTTAATATAATTTCAATTTTTTGAATGTTGTAAGACTTGTTTTGTGGCCTAACATATGATCTATCCTTGAGACTGATCCATGTGCTTAGGAAAAGAATGTGTATTCTGCAGCCATTGGATGAAATGTTCTATAAATATCTACTAGGTCCTTTTGGTCTATAGTGCATATTAAGTCCAACGTTTCTTTGTTAAATTTCTGTCTGGATGATCTGTCCAATGCTAAAAGTGTGATGTTGAACTCTCCAGCTATTACTGTATTAAGGTCTGTATCTCTCTTTAGCTGTAATAATATTTGCTTTACATATGTATGCTCCAGTGTTAGGTGCATATATATTTACTGTTGTTTTATCATGTTGCTGAATTGACCCTTTTGTCATTATATAATGACCTTCTTTGTTTCTTTTTATAGTGTGTGTCTTGAAATCTATTTTGTCTGACATAAGGATAGCTACTTCTGCTCTTTTTTTGGTTTCCATTGGCATGGAATATCTTTTTCCATTCTTTTATTTTCAGTCTATGTGTGTCTTTATAGGTGATGTGTGTTTCTTGTCAGCAATAGATGCCTGAGTCTTGTTTTATTTTTTTTAAATCTATCCAGCCACTCTGTCTTTTGAATGGAAAGTTTAGTCTATTTACAATCAATGTTATTACTAATAAGTAATGATTTACTCCTGCCATATTGTTATTTGTTTTCTAGTTGTTTTGTGGTCTTTCTTCTATCCTTCTTCCCTGCCCTATTTTTAATGAAGGTGATTTTCTGTTGTGGTATGTTTTAAGTTCTTGCTTTTTATTTTTTGTATATTTCTTATATGTTTTTTGATTTGAGGTTATCATGAGACTTGTAAATAATATCTTACAAACTATTATTTTAAACTGATGACAACTTGACACTGCTTGCATAAACATACCACAAGAAAAGCAAAGAAAAATATAATTCAAACTTTTTTTTCCCCCACTTCTTAAAGTTTGTTGTTTCTATTCATATCTTATTACTATAGTTTCTATTCATTCCTATTACTGTGTGTGTCTTGAAACGTTGTTTTAGTCATTATTTTTGATTGGTTCATCTTTAATCTTTCTACTCATGACATTAGTAGTGTACATGTCACAATTGCAATATTATAATTTTCTGTGTTTCTCTGTGCATTTACTATTACCAATGAGTTTTGTACTTTCAGATGATTTCTTATTGCTCATTAATGTTCTTTTCTTTCAGATTGATGAACTCCCTTTAGCATTTCTTGTAGGACAGGTCTGGTGCTGATGAAATCCCCCAGCTTTTGTTTGCTTGGGAAAGTCTTTATTTCTCCTTCCTGTTTGAAAGATATTTTTACCAGATATATTATTCTAGGGTAAAAGCTTTTTTTTTTTTTTCCTTTAACACTTTAAATATGTCATGTCACTCTCTCCTGGCCTGTAATGTTTCCACTGAGAAATCTGTTGTCACATGTATTAGAACTCCACTATACATTAATTGTTTCTTGTTTATTGTTGTTTTAGTATCCTTTCTTTACCCTTACTTTTGGAATTTTTATTATTAAATGTCTTGAGGTTGTCTTATTTGAGTTCAATCTGCTTTTTGTTCTATAACCTTCTTATATTTGAATATTCATATCTTTCTCTAGGTTTGGGAAGTTCTCTTTTATTATCCCTTTAAATTAAACTTTTTAACTCATCTCTGTCTCTTCTTTAAGGCTAATAACTCTCGGATATTCCCTTTTGAGGCTGTTTTCTAGATATCATGGGTGTGCTTCATTCTTTTTCAGTCTTTTGAATTTTATCTCCCCTGACTGTGTATTTTCAAGCAGTCTGTCTTCAATTCTTTCTGTCTGTCTCACTAATTCTTTCTTCTGCCCAGTCAATTCTGCTGTAAAGAGACTCTAATGAATTCTTTGGTATGTCAATTGCATTTGTCAACTCTAGAAATTCTGCTTGATTCTTTCTAATTATTTCAATCTCTTCGTCAAATTTATCTGATAGGATACTGAATTTCTTCTCTGTGTTAGCTTAAATTTCTTTGAGTTTCCTTAAAACGGCTATTTTACATTCTCTGTCTGAAAGGTCACATACCTCTGCCTCTTTATGATTGGTCACTGGTGCCTTATTTAGTTTACGTGGTGATGTCATGTTTTCCTAAATGATCTTGATGGTTGTGGATATTAGTCAGCGTCTGGGCATTTATTGAAGTCTTTGAAGTCTGGGCTTATTTGTACCCATCCTTTTTGATAAGGCTTTCCAGGTAGTAGTCAAAGGGACTCAGATTTTATGATCTAAGTATTTGTTCACTGTAGTTGTATCTGCATTAGGGGGTCATCCAAAATCCAGTAATGCTTTGGTTCTTACAGACTTGTAGAGGCACAACCTTGGTGGTCTTGTATAAAATCTGGAAGAATTCTCCAGATCATTAGACGTACTCTTGTTCTCTTCCTTATTTCTCCCAAACAAATGGATTCTGCTGAGGTAACGAGCTGGGGAAGGGGTGACACAAGCACCCCTGTGGCCGCTACAACTGGGACTGCACTAGGTCAGTCCTGAAGCCAGCACAGCACTGGATCTCACTCAGAGCTTGTGGTAACTACTGCCTGGCTACTGCCTATGTTTTCTCAAGGCCCTAGGGCTCTACAGTCAACAGCTGGCAAAGCCAGCTTGGCTTGTGCCCTTTCTTTCAGGGCAGTGATTTCTCCCTGATCCCAAGTGAGTCCACAGCTGCCATCTGTGAGCCCGGGCCTGGAGTCAGGTACCTTAGGAGAGTCTACCTGGTGCTCTATTCCACTGCAGCTGAGCTGACATCCAAATCACAAGGCAAAGTCCTCCCACTCTTCCTCCCATTTGCACAAGCAGAAGAGTCACTACCCACAGACACCACCACCCCAGGCCTGCAGTGAGTACTGTCTGGCTACTACTGAGGTTCATTTAAGGCCCAAGGGCAATTCAATCAGCTTGTGGTGAATGTTACCAGGCCTGAAACTCTCCTTTCAGGATGGCAGGCTCTTCTCTGGCTCAGAGCAAGTCCAAAAATGCTGTCCAAGAGCCAAGGCCTGGAATCAGGGACCCCAAAAACACACGTAGTACCCTACTTACCCCACTGTGGCCAAACTGGTAACTAAGATGCAAGGCAAAGTCCCCTTTACTCTTTCTTATCTTTTTCCCAAACAGAGGAATTCTTCATTTTAGCCATCACAGCTGGGACTGTGCTGGGTCACACCTGAAAGCCAGCACAGCTCTGAGTCTCATTCAATGCCCACGGCAAGTACTGCCTGGGTAATGCTGCTAATTATTCAGGACCCAAGGACTCTTTAGCCAGCCCATGATGAATCCTGTCCAGACTGAGTCCTTCCCTTCAAGGCAGCAGGTTCCCTTCCAGCTCAGGGTGTGTTTAGAAATGTTATCTGGAAGCTAGGGCCCGGAATGGAAACCCCTGCCTGGTACTCTATCCTACTGTGGCTGAGCTAATATCCAAGTTGTGTGTCAAAGTCCTCTTTTCCCTCTCCTTTTCTCAAGTGGAAGTAAGGAGTCTTTCCTGGAGCTGCAAGCTGTGCTGCTTGGGGTTGCGGGAGGGGTGATACAAGTACCCCTGGTGTCCCACTGGTTTGTGTGTCCCTCAGGTCGCTGCCTCTGACCCTAGCACAACACCAGGACTTGCCCCAGAATTGAAGTCCTTGCAGCCTAGACTGGCTTTCAAGTTTGTTTAGGACCTTGGAGCACTTTGGCCTAATGGTGGCAAGGCTTGCTGGAGCTCAGGTTCCAACCACTGTGGTGGATAATTCCTCTCTGGCTAGGGCTAGTCTAGTTGCTCCCTCTGTGCACATTGGCTGAGTTTTGCCTAGTGTTGCTTTCCATTATGATAGCACAGCACTGAGTTTCAGTTCAAGGCCCCACTATCACTGCTCTCTCCCTCCCTCAAGTGCACAGATTCTGTCTGTATGATATGTGGCTGCTGCCAGGGGATTAAGGGAGTGGTGGCATCAGCAATTCAATATTGTCTTTCTTCCCCTCCTCAGTGCCTCTTTTGGTGATATGAAGTTAAAACCAGTTACTGTGATCACTCCTCTGATTTTCTGGTTCTTATGAAGATTTTTTTTTTTTTTTTTTTGGTGTGGATAGTTGTTCATTTTGGTGTTCTTGTAGGGAAGATGATTGGTAAAGGTTTCTACTTGGCCACCCTGCTCTGAGGGCAACCTCCAGTTCTCATTTTTGAGAACCTAAATAGTAGAAAATTACTTTATCTGGAATCTTATAAAGGTAGTCAACCATTAGTTGTGAAATGGAGTATATGAAATTTAAAATCTATATGTCCCCTTATATTTTGCATCTAAATGAACTATTGTAAGTCTATTATTTAGCACTGTATTTTATTTCACAAAATATATATTTATTATTAGCACCACTCTAATAAAGGGAAATTTGAGGAAAATATAATGTAAACTCCCTTTATTCAATATTTAATATCAGCATTTTCTGTGTGTGGAAAACAAATGAAGAAGAGAATAATGTGTCTTCAAGGCAGGAGCAACCATAGACAGAATAACAGGCTTGAAAGAACTTTGATCTGCAGCAGAAGCTTCCTGCAGCTACTGACTTCACAGAGACAGGGAGGTAATGAGATTCCTGGAGAGGAACACTGCAAAGTAGGTAGATTCATTGAGCCCAACACAGTTGCTGTGCATTAATTTTCAGATAATGGAGCATAACTAAAATCAGTACAGGCTGAGGGCTGCAATCTAGACTTCAAGTTTAGAAGAAGTCAGTGGAACATGAAGAGTAGACGATGTTCACTGCCAGAGAGTTAAAAAAAAAATCCTAGGCAGCAGTGATCAAAATCAGATGTGTTGCTATAGTAAACTTATTAACTGTCTTTTAGAGTGATAAAATTGTATAATGAATTTAAAGATATTGATTCTAAATGTAAACACTATTTTTGTGTAGAGTCTTAAATTTTTCTAATGGAAATTTCATAGGATATTGGTTTATTTATTCAATGAATATAAATACAACTCAGTATTTGCTATGTGTCAAGAGCTAAGCATGGAGACATAAACAAAACCACATCACTTCCTTCTAGGAGCTCAGAGTCCACTTGGTGAAATAAAACACCAGTGATTCCAGAAGAACATGGAGGGTGCTGCACGAGATGTTAGGGATATGGAGAAGATGGCCTTACTCGGCTCAGACTGGGAAAGGGGTTTCAAGAAAAGATTTTATTCATGAAATTATCCTTGGTCTCAACGTTTCTCACAGGAGGTGAACTGCTTTTTTGTTGATTGCACTGCCAAAATCTGAAGGAGACCTATATTTCTAAACAAAGCTTCTGTGTTTTTTTCTGGGCAATATGCTTGGGCTTTGTGGTAGACTCAAAATTATCTATTGAGAGATTCAGATACTCCATGAAGGATTTATATACATATACATATTTTCCCGTGGCAGTCTTAAGAGTCAATAGAAATGACTCTACCTGGACTATGTCAATTATTCCATATGCCAATTATGCCCAAATTGTGAATCACATGGAGGTGTTGTGTATTGTGTGTTTGTGTATAATAATATACATTTTTTATGTGTGTATATACACAGGATACTGAAATGAGGGTGGATCTGAATATTTTCCAGGACAGATGTAGGGTAGTCTTGTTAGAAATAAGTATGCAATGATGACAAGTCTTAAACCCCTTTCTTCTTGAAGACGGATTAAACAAAAGATTTATTTCCAGTGAATCAAGTTGAGAAAGAAAAGAAAAGTAGCATTACAGTGGAGAAAACTGGCAAAAACTAACATTAATCAGTAATGTCATGTGGATATCATGCCCATCCTGATATGATATGATGAGAAGAGTGCTTCAGCTGTTTGGTACTTTTTTTCTACAAACCTATAACCCCAGACTAATCATGAGAAAACTATTAGACAAATCTAGAATGGAGGACATTCTCCAGGATACTTTGACAGCACTAGTTGCGATTGTCAGTGTCCTGAAAAACAAGGAAAAACAGAAACCATCACAGACCAGGGTAGCCTGGGAAGACATGCTTACTAAATGCAATGTAGTAACCTCAGTTGGATCATGGAACAGAAAGAGGATATTAATGGAAAGTCCGGTGAAATATAAATAAAGTATGTAGTATAGTTAAATAATCATTACCAATATTGGTTATTAGCGTTGACAAAACTTAGTTTGTACCACATTAGTGTAATGTGCAAATAATGGGGAAAACTGAATGAAGGATGTACAGGAATGCTGAACCATTTTTGAAATTTTTCTGTAAGTCTAAAATTATTTCCCTCCCCTCCAGAAAAAAATTCCTTGTGGGGAAATACCAAATATGATAGTTATAATGCTTAATTTCTAATTTACCAATACTTATGTTTCACTTCAAACTCATCCAACAAATGAATCAGAATGTTTTGTAATTTAATGACAATGTTCTGTTGAGACTTTGTAGATGTGAGTGAAAGAGAACCAATGATAATAAATGACAGAAATTATTAATACCCGCAATTGGATACAATGCATCTCTTTTAAATGAAATTTGCCTTAATAGCATATGTATTTTTTTTCTGTATTTAGCTACAATTAGCAGTGCCATGTAGATAGGGGATGACTATTTACAAAAGTCATTTAAATATAGTACAAAATCCTTTTCACACAAATTTCAAATGTTGTCAACCTAACAAATTTTTAAAAAATAAAAATGTGCAATCACCCCAACTTTCTATCACAGCTGATGTTACCTAGCATTAGAAAAATATATGGTGATTTATAACTAATAAATAGTTGAAGGCTTGAATGGTAGAGTTTTAGACAGTTGTTATATATGTATATGTGTGTATGTATGTGTATATAAACATTATTATATTTAAATGCACACATCTGAAATAGAGAGTACCTTCTTTCTTAACTTTCTTGACTGCAAACCCTCAGTTAAAGCTATCTCGTTATAAGTGGCTTGCTAGTATTCTTAGAGGTATTAATATCCAGATTATTGAGCCTCACAATGTGCTACCTAGCAATGCCTTGACACCCATGACTCTAGTGATCCTTTCCACTTTAGTTCAGTTAGTCGTTAGCACAGCCACAGCTTAGAACTCATCATCACGCTCTCCTCTTAGACCATAGCATTTGGAAGAAGTATATGATAATAAAAAGGATTCTAGGACTGTAATAAAATACTAAGTTGAATTAACAGAAAGCAGTGATATTCACAAGTTTTTACAAAAACAAAAATGAAAATTTTATATATCCAGCCTAATATACAAATATTACAGTGGTATTAACTTCACATCTCTTCACATCTTTTTGATCTACTGAAATCACATTTATCTACCTCATGATTTGCCTAATCTCTGGAAATCAACAGAATAAAATGGACTTTTACCAAGTGTGATGTGAGCTTGAAATCCAAGAATTGTGGCTCCTTTTATTCATGGTATAATTCAGAAACATTTTTCTGGTTCTCTGAGCTCCACTTATGCATTGGGGAAAAATGATAAATTGATATATCATATTTTATCCTTAACATGTTTTTAGGAAGATTACATAAGTGTAAAAATATACAGTAGAGATACATGGTGGATTTTTAACAAATAGTAATTCTTTCTTTATATATTCTGGCAGTAGTTCCCTCTGAATCTCAAGGTAAACCATCAAAAACATTACAGGACCTAATTGGAGATCTTTTTTTTAGCAAGTAATTAATGAACTCCTATGTGTCTGGTACTATGTCGTGTTCTGATGATAAATGGTTAATAAGCAAACTTACTATTTAATCAGAAAGCCCAGCAGAAAAAAAGTCAATAAACACATGAAATTAAAATTGCAATAAATGCAAAGGCTTTGAATAAGCAAATGTGGCACATATACACCATGGAATACTATGCAGCCATAAAAAATGATGAGTTCATGTCTTTTGTAGGGACATGGATGAAGCTGGAAACCATCATTCTCAGCAAACTATCACAAGGACAAAAAACCAAACACCGCATGTTCTCACTCATAGGTGGGAATTGAACAATGAGAACACCTGGACACAGGAAGGGGAACATCACACACCAGGGCCTGTTGTGGAGTGGGGGGACGGGGGAGGGATAGCATTAGGAGATATACCTAATGTTAAATGACGAGTTAATGGGTGCAGCACACCAACATGGCACATGTATACATAAGTAACAAACCTGCACATTGTGCACATGTACCCTAAAAGTTAAAGTATAATAAAAATAAATAAATAAAATAAATACCCATATGTAAAACCCCAAACTATAAAAATCCTAGATGAACAACTAGGATTAAAGCAAGTCCTTAGAGACCTACAAAGAGACTTAGACTCCCACACAATAATAACGGGAGACTTTAACACCACTCTGTCAACATTAGGCAGATCCACAAGACAGAAAGTTAACAAGGATATCCAGGAATTGAACTCACCTTTGCACCAAGCAGACCTAATAGACATCTACAGAACTCTCCACCCCAAATCAACAGAATATACATTCTTCTCAGCACCACACCACACTTACTCCAAAATTGACCACATAGTTGGAAGTAAAGCACTCCTCAGCAAATGTAAAAGGATAGAAAGTATAACAAACTGTCTCTCAGAGCACAGTGCAATCAAACTAGAACTCAGGATCAAGAAACTCACTCAAAACCACTCAACTACATGGAAACTGAACAACGTGCTCCTGAATGACTACTGGGTACATAACGAAATGGAGGCAGAAATAAAGATGTTCTTTGAAACCAACAAGAACAAAGACACAACATACCAGAATCTCTGGGACACATTTAAAGCAGTGTGTAGAGGGAAATTTATAGCACTAAATGCCCACAAGAGAAAGCAGGAAAGATCTAAAATTGACACCCTAACATCACAATTAAAAGAACTGCAGAAGCAAGAGCAAACACATTCAAAACCTAGCAGAAGGCAAGAAATAACTAACATCAGAACAGAACTGAAGGAAAGAGAGAAACAAAAAACCCTTCAAAAAATCAATGAATCCAGGAGCTGGTTTTTTTTGAAAAGATCAACAAAATTGATAGACCGCTAGAAAGACTAATAAAGAAGAAAAGAGAGAAGAATCAAATAGACAATAAAAAAATGATGGAGGGGATATCACCACCAATCCCACAGAGACACAAACTACCAACAGAGAATACTATAAACACCTCTATGCAAATAAACTAGAAAATCTAGAAGAAAAGGATAAATTCCTGGACACATACACCCTCCTAAGATTAAACCAGGAAGAAGTTGAATCTTTGAATAGATCAATAACAGGCTCTGAAATTGAGGCAATAATTAATAGCTTACCAACCAAAAAAAGTCCACGACCAGATGGATTCACAGCCGAATTCTACCAGAGGTACAAGGAGGAGATGGTATCATTCCTTCTGAAACTATTCCAATCAATAGAAAAAGAGGGAATCCTCCCTAACTCATTTTATGAGGCCAGCATCATCCTGATACCAAAGCCTGGCAGAGACACAACCAAAAAAGAGAATTTTCGACCAATATCCCTGATGAACATCGATGCAAAAATCCTCAATAAAATACAGGCAAACCGAATCCAGCAGCACATCAAAAAGCTTATCCACCATGATCAAGTTGGCTTCATCCCTGAAATGCAAGGCTGGTTCAACATATGAAAATCAATAAATGTAATCCAGCATATAAACAGAACCAAAGACAAAAACCACATGATTATCTCAATAGATGCAGAAAGGGCCTTTGACAAAATTCAACAGCCCTTCATGCTAAAACTGTCAATAAATTAGGTATTGATGGGATGTATCTCAAAACAGTGAGAGCTATTTATGACAAACCCACAGCCAATATCATACTAAATGTGCAAAAACTGGAAGCATTCCCTTTGAAAACTGGCACAAGACAGGGATGCCCTCTCTCACCACTCCTATTCAACATAGTGTTGGAAGTTCTGGCCAGGGCAATCAGGCAGGAGAAGGAAATAAAGGGTATTCAATTAGGAAAAGAGGAAGCTGAATTGTCCCTGTTAGCATGTGACATGATTGTATATCTAGAAAACCCCATCTTCTGAGCCCAAAATCTCCTTAAGCTGATAAGCAACTGCAGTAAAGTCTCAGGATACAAAATCAGCGTGCAAAAATCAAAAGCATTCTTATACACCAATAACAGACAAACAGAAAGCCAAATCATGAGTGAACTCCCATTCACAATTGCTTCAAAGAGAATAAAATACATAGGAATCCAACTTACAAAGGATGTGAAGGACTTCTTCAAGGAGAACTACAAACCACTGCTCAACAAAATAAAAGAGGACACAAACAAATGGAAGAATATTCCATGCTCATGGATAGGAAGACTCAATATCGTGAAAATGGCCATACTGCCCAAGGTAATTTATAGATTCACTGCCATCCCCTCAAGCTAACAATGACTTTCTTCACAGAATTGGAAAAAACTACTTTAAAGTTTATATGGGACCAAAAAAGAGCCCTCATTGCCCAGACAATGCTAAGCCAAAAGAACAAAGCTGGAGCATCACGCTACCTGAATTCAAACTATACTACAAGGCTACAGTAACCAAAACAGCATGGTACTGGTACCAAAACAGAGATATAGACCAATGGAACAGAACAGAGGCCTCAGAAATAATACCACACATCTACAACCATCTGATCTTTGACAATTCTGACAAAAACAAGAAATGGGGAAAGGATTCCCTATTCAATAAATGGTGCTGGGAAAATTGGCTAGCCATATGTGGAAAGCTGAAACAGGATCCCTTCCTTACACCTTATACAAAAATTAATTCAAGATGGATTAAAGACTTAAATGTCAGACCTAAAATCATAAAAGCCCTGGAAGGAAACCTAGGCAATAGCATTCAGGACATAGGCATGGGCAAGGATTTCATGTCTAAAACACCAAAAGCAATGGCAACAAAACCCAAAATTGACAAATGGGATCTAATTAAACTAAAGAGCTTCTGCACAGCAAAAAAAACTACCATCAGAGTGAACAGGCAACCTACAGAATGGGAGAAAATTTTTGCACTCTACTCATTTGACAAAGGGCTAATATCCAGAATCTACAAAGAACTCAAACAAATTTACAAGAAAAAAGCAAACAACCCCATCAACAAGTGGGCAAAGGATATGAACAGACACTTCTCAAAAAAAGACATTTATGCAGCCAAAAGACACATGAAAAAATGCTCATCATCACTAGCCATCAGAGAAATGCAAATCAACACCAAAATGAGATACCATCTCACACCAGTTAGAATGGGGGTCATTAAAAATCAGGAAACAACAGGTGCTGGAGAGGATATGGCGAAATAGGAACACTTTTACACTGTTGGTGGGACTGTAAACTAGTTCAACCATTGTGGAAGACAGTGTGGCGATTCCTCAGGGATCTAGAACTACAAATACCATTTGACCCAGCCATCCCATTACTGGGTATATACCCAAAAGTTATAAAACATGCTGCTATAAAGACACATGCACACGTATGTTGATTGTGGCACTATTCACAATAGCAAAGACTTGTAACCAACCGAAATGTCCAACAATGATAGACTGGACTAAGAAAATGTGGCACATATACACCATGGAATACTATGCAGCCATAAAAAATGATGAGTTCATGTCTTTTGTAGGGACATGGATGAAGCTGGAAACCATCATTCTCAGCAAACTATCACAAGGACAAAAAACCAAACACCGCATGTTCTCACTCATAGGTGGGAATTGAACAATGAGAACACCTGGACACAGGAAGGGGAACATCACACACCAGGGCCTGTTGTGGAGTGGGGGGACGGGGGAGGGATAGCATTAGGAGATATACCTAATGTTAAATGACGAGTTAATGGGTGCAGCACACCAACATGGCACATGTATACATAAGTAACAAACCTGCACATTGTGCACATGTACCCTAAAAGTTAAAGTATAATAAAAATAAATAAATAAAATAAATACCCATATGTAAAACCCCAAACTATAAAAATCCTAGATGAACAACTAGGATTAACTGAAGAATTAAATTACTTCTGATAGAAGCCTAATCCTCAGAAAACTTGGCATTGAAAATAATCAATATGTACCTGTCTGAGCAGTGGTCCTCTGGTTGCTTACTACATAAAGAGACAGAAACAAACCACTACCTCTAGGGTACCTACCTCTCTTCTTTCCTCTTTCCTTCTTTTATGACCTATTTTTGTTTCCTACTTTTATCCCTTTATATCTTTCAAACATGTCATCAGTATGTATGGGGGACACATTAATATTCTGAAGTAAATTGATGATGGGATTTCATTCTGGATGTTATAACTTCAGAATGTACTTGGCAGTATTCTGATCCACAAGGAGAAAAATGATCAATAAGGCTCATTTACTTTCTCTGATCCCTCCTGAAAAGTGCTGAGACAACTTTTTCAACACTCTTGCTATGCTCATGGCCAATACCCAATATACTTCATCTGAACATTGCTGAAAAATAGGCATCATTTTTTCTTCTGCCATCACTTTGTTCTGAATAGCATAAATATTTTTTGGTCCATAAGTCTAGATAAAGAATTCTTCCAGTTTATCCTAGCAGAAAAAATTGGCAAGGAATTCACACTCTACTTTTATCCTCCTAATTTGATATGAGGCTGCTAATAGAAACATTCATGTAAATGATACATATTAGCAGCTGACCTTGAAAAATAACAACATTTCCCACATACAAACAAGTCTCCACTTGGCACTTTACTAGTGATAATGATCCAGAACAGGTGTTAATTCTCAATTTGCAGGTTCATTATGAATCTGTTAAAGTTTAGAAGTTGAACATGTCTCTCATGTGATTCCAAATTTCGCCATTTTCATCTATATAGTGGGTTTATGTTCTCTTACTTACAAAGAACATATGCTCTGCAATGGTAATGTGGTCCATAGCATATTCAGTATTACATAAACATTCTTTCTCTTGAAGCATTTACCTACAAATGTAATGTATTCTCAGCTCCCCTCCTCATTTTAAAAGTTCATTTAGATGACAAACTGTGGATTTCTTTAAAACGTTTTCACTTTTTCCCATGTACTTTTATAAAAGTTTGCACATCTTTTTTGTGGTGTACTCAGAAGCGCATTTGTTTCTAACAGCATAGATACATATATTGCTGCCCATTTGAATCATTTGTTTTGTTTTCTATGGGGCAGAGAGTAATGTGAAAACAAATTAGTATTAGTCATGAAAGCTTTCTCAAAAATCAAAGTGTTATATATTCATACATGCATTGTCCCACTTTGAAATGACCAGCAGTAGGCACTGATAATATTTAAATACAATGATTAAAATTTTTTTCTTAAAAAATAGGTTTTCTTCAGGATAAGTCAGATAAAACATAATAAAGTTACCTGGTGAATCTTCAAAATGTTGGAAACCAGAAATCTTACTGGAACTAGTGAGAGAAATCTTTGAGCTTACACTGAAGTATAAGAATGTAAGTGTATTGGAAATATCATATTCAACATGGAACATAAATAGAAGTAGGCAGAACATATGAGAAAGTCAAGAATATTAACATAGATACCAAGACTAGAATGCCTGTAAGTAAAAAACATAAATGAAATAATTTGAAGTAGAAGTAAACAATTTAAATATGGTTACTTTTACTTTAATTTACAGTAAAGTATTTGAAAACTTGAAATAGTCTCATATATGTTGTTATTTAAATTTCATTTTAAATATGTTGAAATCAAATTAGAGTTAACCAATTAGTTACAAGTATCTGAGAAATCATTGCTGGAATGCAAGAGAAAAGAAACAAGAAACAGAACCATCATGTATTAAATGCCTACGGTGTGCCAGATACGCCTTTTAAAACTTTTGCATGATTTTTCCCAGTTAACCCTCACAAATAGCCTAACAAGTTAAAATGTTGTTTTATTCAGATAAAATAATTGAAAATTTGAAAAGTTTGATTCACGTACCTATACCAACACAAACACTAAGTAGTGAAGCCAGAATTTAACCTCATCTCCTTCATACTCTATCATTTCATATTCTTCTCAGAGGAACCTCAGTGACATCCAGTTGTGCAGAAATATATGTGCCTGCTTGGTAGGAAGGATTTGAACCTGCATTAAGAAGCAATCTAAAGTTATTTCAGTTGGAGTGGCCATGAGGCAGAGATATTGGATTTTTCATGGTTGTTAATTGCAATGGGAGGAAGAGCTGTTATGTTAGAGGAGATTTAGTTCAGTAAGAGCTGTTTATGGCAGAGAAAGCAAGAATGGTGTAGTAAAGAGTCTGCAGAGACACTAAGTACCTTTTCTCAAACACATTTGACTCCCAGATAAGGATGCTCACTAAAATGATAAAGTATGGTGTCCAGGTAAAACTTATTGCCTGAGAAACTGGGAGAAGATGCAGTTTTAACTTGTTCTCTCAAGCAAAACTTGGAAAGACCATATTTTGAAAATGTTTGTTTGCTTTCTTGTTCTAATTGAATACAGCAAGTGTAAAAATGCCTTGAATTTCAAGGACCTAAGAAAGTCAAAATAGCCTGAAGACTTTTATTAATACAAAAGCTGATGATGTTTGTAAGAAATACAAACTCATGGCCCTCATATAATAAGTTTGAGGCCAGAACCTCAAACTTATTATATGAGAGCCATGAGGTTGTATTAGTTTTTTCCAGAGAAACGGAACCTATATAGGACATGTATATAGGCACTGAGAGCAAGAGATTTATAATGGGAATTGGTTTGCATGATTATGGAGGCCAAGAAGTCCAACAATATGCCATCTGCAAACTGGAGAACCAGGGAAGCCAGGGGTGGAGGGTGTGGGTAGTGGGAAGCTAGTATAAATCCTGGAGCCTGGGAACCAAGATCTCTGATGTTCAAATGTCCAAGGGCAGGAGAAGATGGATGTTTCAGCTTAAGGAGAGACAGGAAACTTATCCTTCCTCCACCTTTTTGTTCTATTTAGGCAGTAAAGAACTGAGTAAGGAACTACATTCCTGAAGGTGGATTTTCTTTACTCAATCTAGTAATTCAAATGTTGGTCTCCTCAAGAAACACCTTTACAGACACACCAAAAATAATGTTTTACCAGCTATCTCAGTATTATTTAATCCAATCAAGAAGACACATAAAATTAACAATAACAGAAATAAATAGAGAAAAGAATGTTCAATAATAAGTGTGAATATTAGAAGATCGATCATGAAATAATAAAAGCCTTCCAAAGGTGGCTTACAGATGTCCTACCTCAGGGACTAGAAGGAGGGTAATGCCATTAATAGAGCTCATGTGACGAAGCCATTTTCTAACTCTTGCGCAACTGGCATCTAATGTAATGAAAGATAATTTTTCCATCCAACTACAAAGTTCATAGACAGGCAAGAAATTATTTGGACAACGTGTTTTAAAATTTGAACATGTATGTAATCCCCATTTTGAGAACTTTGGAATTCTCTAGTAATGTTGAAGACACCCACCTCCTATGAACCACCATTTCCACTCTTAGTTATCTACGCTACAGAGAAACTCATACACATATGCAAGAAAAAAAATTTCTGATTGTAGAAAATTGAAAAAAAACTTGTGTTCATCATATATACACACACACTTATATACTATATACATAACTATATAGTGTGTTTATATATGATATATAAGATAGTGTATATATACAAAAAGTGTGTGTATATATAGTGTGTATATACATATAGTGTGTATATAGTGTGTGTACAAATAGTGCATGTGTATATATAGTATGTATATGTAATATATATAGTGTGTACACAGCATATATAGTGTGTATATTTAATGTGTATATTGTGTATATATTTAGTGTGTATATAGTGTATGTGAATATATTACACACACACATGCTGAGAGAGAGATTACCAATTTCCTCCAGTAATGAATTTACCTCTAGATGAGGTATATTTAGGACTAAGGCAAAATACAAAGGGATTTTATAAATGTTCAATTATATAAATGTTCTGGGGGGAGGCACGAGTTGAGTCTTTGGGAAGCAAACATTGATTCAGAATTTAGTGTGCAGGATATTTATTGAAGAGTGTCCTTGAGATCCACATCTGTTGAAGGGAAGGGAAGGAAGCAGAGGAGAGCAAAGGGAAAAGTTAAAATGCAGTGCAAGCCCAGTGGCAGTCTCAGCTGACCTTATGAGGATCTCTGTTGCTAAAACGGCCCATCAGGTTGGCCATTTATAGCCCAACCTGAAGTAGTCATTGGATATTGGCTATTCCAGAAGGGCCTTCCTTGCAGAGAGTGGGTAACTAGAAGCTGAGGCAATTCATGAAGGGGCCGAAAGCTGAAACCTCTCTCAATGGACAACTTCTAGTAACAGCTGGCTCAATAAATTCTTCCTTTGAAAGAGAGCTAAGCTCAATTCAATAAACCAAGTCAAAGACAAATGAATAATAAAACTAGGAATAAATATTTGCAAAGAATATGGCTCACTGAGGACACATTACTTTAGTACATAAAGATTGCTTACAGCTCATGAGAAAAAAATAAATCAAACAATCTAATAAATACAAAAATGAGCAGAGAACATAAACAGGCTACTCACTCCCACCATAAACACACATGAACATGTGCAAAAATAGGCAAATGACCATTAACAAAATAATATAATGATAAATCTCTGAAGGAAAAAGAAGGACAAATTAAAACTATAATTAAAAATCTTTGTTTAACAATTAAAAGGATATACTCTGTTAGCAAAAATATGGGAAATACCATAGTCGTATATTGACATATATTGCTTAAAATGTATGAAGAACAATTTAGCACTATATATCATTTTTGAAGTTTATATTCTTGACCAAGAAATTTTCCTTCTAAAAATATATCCAGTAAATATAGTCACATATATGCATAGGAAATATTCATCTGATCAAATTTTATAGTGTAAAAAACACAGAAAACAAATAACAAAAATATCTAATAATATGGAACCTATTAAATAAATTATTTTAGAGCCACATATTAGAGCAACATGCAATCATTTAAAAATAATATATCTCTTTTAAAAGTGTAAAAAATTAAAAGAGACACTTTTAGTGAAGAAAGAATAATAGTAAACACTGTATATAATGAACCATTTTTGTAAGAAAAAGTTATCTCTTTGTAAATACTCATTCCTCTCTCTCTCTCTCACACACACACACCCCCACACACTCAGACTCTTTATGCTTATTTATTCATAGAATCTCAAATCTCATTGGAAGAATACATTATAGACAGGTAATGCTCATTTGAGGAGAAGGATTAAGGACTCAAGGTCAGAAATAGTAGACTTACTTTCCAAATTTGATGTCTAATTATTCTCCCTCTGAATGCATCTCTTTAATTAGGTTTTCCAATGATAACAAATAAAACTGTGTGAAAGACATATACCAAAATCCAAATAACTTCTTTAATATGTTAGTGAGATTTTTTAGTTGCTTTTTTTTGCAATGAATATGTTATTTGGATAAAGAGGAATACACTTATAAAAATAAATGAGCATATTTTCCAAATTTAAATTATTAGAAATTTTACGGTTTGAGGTATTAAGGAAGTAACATCAAAGTTTCGCCTATGTTTCATGTTTCTTCAAATTTTACTTCACAGCACATTTTCTATATTTGTTTAGATACATAGAATTTTTCTTAATGAAAATAAATAGAAATTTTATAAACTACAGATGCTTAAAAAGAAGAAAATTCTAAGCTTTTATAATACCCACCAAAAGGAAATGACCAAAGCAATCATATTTTTGTTGGTAGTATCTTTTGATGTGCATATGCATGGGTGTGTTTTTTATAAACAAAACAAGATTATATTCATTTTAAAGTTTCTTTATTGCAAGTAATCCATCATAAATATTTTAATGTTTTAACATTTTATAATATGTTCAAAATATAACCTACATTTATGTTTCTATTTTATCAAAATGATCTTTTTGTTTAATTTGGTTTATTTTTTGAAAAATCAAATATTTTGTCTTTGTATTAAGCTGCTTATATTTAAGAGGATGTTAATTATTTTACATGCTTCAAAAGAATGTACCTCAACTATTTAATGACAATTTCCTGTAAAGAGAATCATAAGGAATAAGATATGATTGTCACATCTCAAGAAATGGCCTAGCAAATTCAGTTCAACCATAGCAATCACACACCAATAAAAAGAAAAACAATAGGAAAGTGCAAGAAGGTAAACAACTCTTCTATGGAATCTATAATAAAAACTACTAGGAAACAAACCTTTGTAATATTTGAAAATATACCAACAAAAGCACTTCAGAACAGTTTGAACTCATATTCAGTATAATGCTTTCATCTCTGAAAATGAGCAGTGCATACAGAAGAGTTTGGGGACTTGGTTTGCATTGCATAGGATGTGCTGATCCATTGCCATGAAAAGATTTTGGGCATGTATTCTAGACATTAAATTATGGTAATTGAAATGGGAAAATATCTGTAGCCTTTCTCAATGTGTTTGGGTTAGTTGCACATGAACATCTGCTTTCCCTTTATAACCCGAGACTGGAGAATAGCATCAATTTGCAGGCATTAACAACTTCTGCTCATAAAACAGCAGACAACTCTCTGTTGGAACACCACACCACATAGTCTGCTCAGGGAACAGTCTCTAAGCGCTTACAACAATATCAAGCCAAAAAATGTACTTGCTAAAAAGAAAAGAGATCAGTGTTCAGCCATTTTGTGTGGATATTTCTTTCTTCCTCTTTTTCCTTCCATCCTTGAGTAGATGGAAAAGTTCACGTTTGTGCCATTTTAAATCACAATTGATAAGTTATTAAAACTATAATGTTTACAGTATATTGATATGACTCAAATTTCTCACAACCTATTCACTCTACTCCCTAGAGAAACCATGGTATTTTTTCAGATCCTTTCTCTGCATAAATTTTACAGTATTATTTTTGTAACTAGCTTTTCCCATTTACATTATTGATATAGGTGTGATAAACGTAAACATAGTAAGTATATCATGTCAAGGGATCCATATGATTTCATTTAGGTATATAAAATAATTATGTAACTTTTCTTTTATCGAAAACATTTTGCTGATGTAAATTATATTCCAAATATTAAGGACAAAATAATTTCAGTTTTATAAAAAATATTTGAAGAGAAGAAAGAGAGGGAACTCTTTCCACCTTGTTAGGAAGTCAGATAAACATGACAAAGGTATCAAAAGATGAAAAGGTAAAGGCCAATCTTTGTTAAAAACACACAAGCAAAAATCCCTAACATCGTCAACTTCTTTTCAACTTTGTACCAAATTGGGCAATAGAATAAAGAAAGAAAAAGAAATAAAAGAATAAAAATTGGTAAAGTTAATTATTGTGCAAATGTCCAAATGAATCTGCAAGAAACTCTTAGAATCAATAAGTGGATTTGGCAAATTCACTTGAAAAACAATTATTATGAAAAATCAATTTTACTTTGATACACCAGCAACATTTAAAAAAATTTGAATAACCGTTTTTAGTTTTATCAAAAATACACAGGACTTAGGAATAAATCCAGTGGACAATGTGAAAACTACAAAACACTGTTGAAGAAAATAAAAAGAGCCCAAATAAATGTAGAGACATATGCTGTTAATGAATGAGAAGACTTCATATTTTAAACATGTCACTTCACTCTAAATTTATTTTTTGATTCAATATAGCCCCACCAAAATTGCAGCAGCTCTTTTTTTAATTGTTAAATGGTGAGTTGATTCTAAAATATATAGAAAAAGAATGGGCAACAAATAGCAAAAAATACATTTTCCTCCATTCCTCTTGAAGTTCACAGGGCACTATCCTGTCTGACCAATTCCTGCCTTGGTTTAAGCAGGAGAAGTCAGAAGTGGAGGCAGGTCCACCCCAGGCTCTTCATGCTCACAGCATCTAACACTTCCTTGCTTGGCTTGCATCCAGAGGGGCACCTTCTTTCTCTCACTAGTTTTCCTGAAAATATGTTGTGCTATGGTTTCTTCTTCAATCAGATCTCATTGCACAATATCTTTGAAAGAGTACTCATAGTTATTCTTCTAATTTTAAGTATTCAAGGTTATAGATTTGTTAAACAAAAGATAATTTTCTATTTGTTTAGAGATTTAGGATCAAAAGGGTCAGCTGTAATGTGTAGTTTGAATTTTGATCCAATTCTCCTTGGTTATAGTTTTCTTTTTAGAAACTCTTCACAATGAAAATATGATGGATGTAGTATATGTACAATCTTACCAAACAATATCCTAAAACAAGAAGGTTGTTGGGTATTCAAATGAGTGAAATCTTAAACTTTTTGTTTGTCAAAGGAAATCTAAGGACATAAACAATATGTCATTGTGTATGTTAGAAGTGACGCATATCAACAATTTCCATGAGTTGTCTTCAGCTCCAATTCTACATTTGTCAATGCTGTTGACTTCTTTGTAATTCCCTCTAGACTCACCAAGAAACTGGCAGAATCTCCAGCTAATTTGGAATAGAAATGTGATGTGATGAATTAATCTAGGTATTTAGCTTCTGATATGAGGACTCACAGCTCAGTTAAAATATTTTTCCCGAGTCCTAGAAATCAGAAATCCATTTGGAAGGAAGTGGCTTGCAGTTCCCATTAATAATTTTCTGAGGGTATCAAAATATACAGTTTTTCTTCATCAGTTTATCAACCACTTTATTTTGCATGCATCATTTTTATACATGTATTACTTATGAATCCAATAGCTCTTTTTCTTTAAAATATCCTGACTCATAATATAATTAAAATTATAAAATGCATAGTGGCAGGGAGATATTTATCTGTGAAGAGTGATGTTTTTAGAGACTTAGATACAGTGCTTAAATTGGAGAATATTACCAATATGTCTCCTATAAAAAATGTAACTCAGAATAACATATTAAAGGGTATTGGAAGTCCTAGCCAGAACAATTAGGCAAGAGAAAGAAATAATGGGCATCCAAATAGGAAGAAAGGAAGTCAAACTATGTTTACAGAAGACATCATCCTATATCTAGAAAACTCCATAGTCTTGACCCCAAAGCTCCTTAAGCTGATAAACAACTTCAGCAAAACCTCAGAATACAAAATTAATAGCATTCCTATATACCAACAATAGTCAAGTGAGAGCCAAATCAGGAACATAATTGCATTCACAATTGCCACAAAAGAAATAAAATACCGAGGAATATAACTAACCAGGGAGGTGAAAGACTTTATCAAAGAGAACTATAAAACACTGCTCAAAGGAATCAGGGATGACACAAACAAATGGAAAAGCATTCTATTATCATGGATAGGAAGAATCAATATTGTTAAAATGGCTATACTACCCAAAGCAATTTGTAGATTCAATGCTATTCCTATCAAACTACCAATGGTATTCTTCACAGAACTAGAAAAAAAAAACTACTTTAAAATTCGTATTGAACCAAAAGAGACCTCAAATACCCAAGGCAGTCCTATGCAAAACCAACAAAGCTGGAGGTATAATGCTGCCCTACATCAGACTATACTACAGGGCTATAGTAACCAAAACAGCATGGTACTGCTGCAAAGACAGACACGTAGACCAATGGAACATAATAGAAAGCCAAGAAATAAAGCCACACATCTACAACTATCTGATCTTTGACAAAACTGACAAAAAAACAGCAATAAAGAAAGGAAATGCATTTCAATAAAAGGTGCTGGGATAAGTGGCCAGCCATATACAGAAGATTGAAACAGAACCCCTTCCTTACACTATATACAAAAATTAACTCGAGATGGATTAAAGAGTTAAATGTAAAACTCAAAACTATGAAAACCCTGGAAGACAACCTAGTAGGAATGGGAAAATATTTCATGACAAAGACACCAAAAGCAATCACAACAAAGGAAAAAATTAACAAACTAAACAGCTTCTGCACAGCAAAAGAAACTATCAACAGAATAAACAGACAATCTACAGAATGGGTGATAATTTTTGCACACTATGCATCTGACAAAGGTCTAGTATCCAAAGTCTATAAGGAACTTAAACAAATTTACAAGAAAAAAACAAATAACTCCATTAAAAAGTGAGCAAAGGACCATTTTCACAAGAAGACATACATGTGGCCAACAATCATATGAAAAAAAGCTCAACATCACTGATCATTAAAGAAATACAAATCAAAACTACAAGACACCATCTCACATCAGTAAGAATGGTTGTTATTAAAAAGTCAAAAATAACAGATGCTAGTGAGGTTGTTGAGAAAAAGGAATCCTTATTCACTGTTGGTGGGAGTGTAAATTAGTTTAGCCATTTTGGAAGGAAATGTGGCAATTCCTCAAGGACCTAGAAACAGAACTACTATATGACCAAGCAATCCCATTATTGTGTATCTACCCATAGTAATATAAATTGTTCTAACATGAAGACACCTGTGCATGTACGATCACTGCAGCACTATTCACAATGGCAAAGACGAGGATTAAACCAAAATTCTCGTCGATGGTAGACTGGATAAAGAAAATGTGGTACACTTACATGATGGAATACTATGCATCCAAAAACAGAATGAGATCATGTCCTTTGCAGGGACATGGGTGGAGCTGAGGGCCATTATCCTTAGTAAACTAACACAGGAAAAGAAAATCAAATGCTGCATGTTCTCACGTATAAATGGGAGCTAAAGGATGAGAACACACGGCCACAGAGGGGAACAATAGATACTGGGGCCTATCGGAGGGTGCAGGGTGGGAGAAGGGAGAGAATCAGGAAAAATAACAAATGAGTACTAGGCCTAATACCTGGGTGATTAAATAACCTGTACAACAAACCCCCACATGACACAAATTTACCTATGTAACAAACCTGCACATGTACCACTGAACTTAAAAGTTGGGCTGGGCACAGTGGCTCAGGCTTGTAATCCCAGCATTTTGGGAGGTCGAGGTTGGTGGATCACTTGAGGCCAGGAGTTGGAGACTAGCCTGGCCAACATGGTGAAACACTGTCTCTACTAAAAACACAAAAATTAGCCAAGCATGGTGGCAGGTGCCTGTAGTCACAGCTACTTGGGAGGCTGACACAGGACAATCGCTTGAACCCAGAAGGCAGAGGTTGCAGTCAGTTGAGATTGCACCACTGTACACTCCAGCCTGAGCAACAGAGCAAGGCCCTGTCTCAAAAAAAAAAAAAAAAAAAAAAAAAAAAAAAAAAATATATATATATATATATATATGTTAAAAATATATATATGTTAAAAATAAAGAAAAGGAAAAAAGACAAAAATAAGTACAACAAAAAAGAGTAGTGTTCTGACCAGACACCAAAAATTTTGAAAGGAAAAGACAAAAGGAAAATATTTACAAACTAATGTTTTAAATGTATGAAGGCATAAAAGAACTGATGAAAAATCTCATTGTTCTACATGACTAAATATAATTTACTTTTGCTTTCATGATCAAATTTATGATCACTTTTCTAAACAATTGTTTGTTTCACTTCATATCTGAGTGACAAGTGTTTTCCCTTTTGCTAAATTAAAATAAACATGCATTTCTGCCTCATTTGATGGGTTTGGGAGAGAGACTTTATTAGTTTCATTTTTTACTGTTTTTTTTTTTAAATCACAGAGGTGTTGGGATTTAAGCTTATGCTGAATAGCACGCTATTTGATGCTATCTTTACAATGATTTTTCTGATAATGCCAATTTCACAGATATGTTATGACCCAGAATTTTAAGATTGTCTCTTTTGTTTTCAAATTTACTTTCCTTTTAAATAAAAAACATGATTATCAACAGGTTTTATGCATTATTAATGGCTTAAATATAGGGAACATTTTGGTCTTATAATGCACACATTATTCATCCTATATTATTTCACTTACTCTTGAGCAAAGAAGGATGTTACCTTAAATTTTAAAGTAATAGCTGACTTGTTTGTCTAAAACAAGTATCAAAGTTAACTGTCATTCCTTAGCTATAACTTTAAAAGTTACTAACTTTTCTTTTAATTTTAGAAAAGTCCCCAAAGTTTTTTTATTTTCAACTTTGTACACTTAAAAGATTTTGTCAGAAGAGTAAATGCAGTTTACAATAGAAAGGTAACGTGACAAATCCAGGAACTCTTGATGTACATTGCTAACTGTAAATTTATATACATTACTGAAAATCTGTGTTAAGTTAATGTGAAATAGCTTTACAATTTCAATTTGTATTAGCCTAGTGATGATTTAGAATTTATCTCCATTCACATAGTGTTTACTAAACACATACATGCAACATACACATATTAAAAATATTACACAATATTTTGTTTTCAAATGTCCTAAAATAGTAAATATTATATAAAACTTAAGTTTCTTATAAAACTTTAAGAAGTTTGTACAGACACAAATATAGTTGATAGTATTATGAAGTTGCTATAAGACATTTACTGTAAGACATTTACTCTTTTGGACATCAGTGAACTTTTGTAAAATTGTACATTTCAGGGATGTTTTGGTGATTCGATTTGGTGACAGTCTCTTCCCTCACCTTCTGTTCTCTCACTCTCAGAGTATATGTGTCTCTTGTTAGGTTGACACCTCTCTCTCCCCTGTGTTTGTGCTTATATATAATATTCTCTAACATCAATGTATCATTGTTTCTTCAGATTATCCTTGTCTTCTCTGCATTCTAACCTATCCTCTGCAACTTGGCTCTTTCTGTAAAGACTATAACTATGTTAAAATGTAAACTTCTTTCATATTATTGTTATAATCATTTTACTACCTTGAATATGATCCCTCCAAAGCTATGCACCTGTCTCTGCTCTTTCTTTCTGTTGATAATTCCCATTTATTTCTTAATCTTAAGTTTGAAGAATCTACCCCTGAATGCTCATTATATGAACTGCAGCTATCAAATGTAATAAATACTTTAGTTCTAATGTTGCTTCACCACATCCCCCCACAAAACATATCTAATCAGGCCCCAACTCCAATCCTACCTCTATAAAACCATGTCATATCGATTTTTGTTAATGTCTTTGTATTGGGCCTACATGGCTAGGATGAACAATGTTTCTCAGAATTCCCATTGTTCTATATTCCTTCCGGTGGATCACAGGAGACATTTTAAAGATTAGAAGGCAAAAGTGAACCACAACCATTTATTTTTCTAATGCTAAGAAAGGTCTAATGCTAGGAAACAACAGAAGGTGTTGTAGCTCATGTATATGGTCATTTACCTGCTGGCTTGGGACATTAGATAGCCCACTTTCTTCCAGAACTTTCTTCAACTTCTCCAACTCCTGGGTCAGGACTTATTTAGATTCATGAGGAAAAGCACCAGTTTCTTTTGACACCATCATTGAAGTTAGAAGCAGTAAGACACTTAAACAGGTTCCAGTCTGTCCTGGTGGGTTCAAGCCCACTTTCATAAGTTCTAGTTTCTACTCGTTCTCTCCTATTTCATATCCATCTTCCTTTCTGACTTACTGACCTCAGATGTCAAGCTCCAGGATCAGATGAGAAGACAGCAGCCTTACACAAACTCTTTAGCCAATGTCCACAGTTGTACAAGGACAGATCCTTTTAATAAATTATGAAAGTATATCTATCTCTGGCCGGGCGCAGTGGCTCACGCCTGTAATACCAGCACTTTGGGAGGCCAAGACGGGCGGAACACGAGTTCAGGAGATCGAGACCATCCTGGCTAACACGGTGAAACCTCGTCTCTACTAAAAATACAAAAAAAATTAGCCGGGCATGGTGGTGGGCGCCTGTAGTCCCAGCTACTCGGGAGGCTGAGGCAGGAGAATGGCGTGAACCCGGAAGGTGGAGCTGGCAGTGAGCCGAGATCGCGCCACTGCACTCCAGCCTGGGTGCAGCTCTGGGTGACAGAGCAAGACTCCATCTCAAAAAAAAAAAAAAAATGTAAGTATATCTATCTCTGTCTCATCAATTTTTAATCTATCATACACCTATCTTTTTACCTATCTATCTTTTATAATAGTTTTCTTTGATGATCATGCCTGGACTGATAGAGTCCCCTAATCTTTCCTTTGTTTCTTTTCTGACTTTGATCATTACAATCTCCTGACTGGTGTTTCTGCCTCCAATCTTGCACCTCTCCAAGCATTCCCCCCAGCTATAAAAGTTAATTTAACGTTATCAAAATTTATTTGTGTTATTTTCCAAAGTAAAACCCTGTTGTGGCTCTTGGTCACTTTCACTGCACACCACAAAACACAGATATGATCTCCAAGGCATTATGAGTTCTGGAATTTAAAAAAATCTCTCCACTCTTATTTTTCACTACAACCCCATCACCTATGAGCATTAGGTACACACTTTCATTCAGCTATGCCTAAATATTTTAAATTCTTTAGACCTCCTTTGCTTTCATTCAAGCTCCTTCCTTACTTCTGTATTCATGATGAATATGTAATCATCTTCATGACTTATGTCAAGAAATGTCCCTCCTGGTGATCCTCTCAGGTGAATAAAAGCTACTCCTGTATCAGTCACTTAATTGTGAATGAATATTTTTTATGTAAACTTTTCCAATGCTAAAAGGATAATTTACCAGCTTTACTGATCTTTACCTTTGTGCTGTGGCCCCTTAATACACTAATAGTATTGGGGAGAGTGTGGTGGGGATTTAATTTTGGATTAACTTGGAAGGTAACCTTCGTCAGCCAATGGAGTATGAAAAATATGTTGAACTCCACTCTGGGTGTCTTTATGCCTGATAAACCTGTCACAAGGATCCTTTGCTCTCCCGTGCATTTCAGTGTCTGTGGACAGCCTTTCTGACTCTTAATAATTTTAGTATATATAGACTGCTTTATCCACTTTTTAGCTTCCTCTTCCTATTATGGAAAATATACGACAAACCCTCTTTACTGATTTCCATGTGTGCTTTGTTTTTTGTTTTGTTTTGTTTTGTTTTCATTTACTTTCTTGACCCTTTCTCTGGATTTGTGTCTCTCAGGTGTCATTCTGTATACTCAACAGAGCTCTACTAAATTTGATTACATACAAACATGCAAAAAGAACCAATGATAACTGATGCCTCTGCTCTACAACTCCTCAGAACATGGGACCTAATAATCTCAGATGATATTAGATTACATCACATTATAATTATAATTATAATAACAAATTAGCCCCACATAAAACTGTGGGAGGCTAATATTGCATAACAGAGCTGATGTTTGGGATAAATGGAATTCTGTTCTCATCAGAGGCATCAACTATGACGGAAGCTTATGAAGGTGAAGGAGGATCGATTTAATGAGGACCGTTAGAATTCTAGCCCTAATTAATATTAGAATTAGCTACTTTTTCTCACACTACACCATGCATCATTTCAAATAGAAAAGTAGTGCCTAATGAAACTGTGGAGCCTAGTGTTAAATCATGGGTATCTGAGCCAGAGGGTCTGCTTTTGATTTCTGCCTTCGCTACTTACCAGCTGTGTGACCTTGGGCAAGTGTCTCTCTTCCCTCAGTTTAAAATTTTGCTGCTATTTCTCAGAGGGTTGTAGTGAGAAATTCAGTGAGTTTAATGCCAACCTTAGAATTCTTTAGGCAATGAAATATTAGCAATGGGAAGAATGAAAAGACCCTGACATGGAGATCCCTTTATTTGTCATTTGAAAAAAGGGAGTCTAACAGATGCTTTCAAATCTTTCCTTTGTTTCTTTCTTTCTTTCCTCCTCCCTCTCCCTCCTTCTTATTCTTAATCAGACATCATTCTGCCTTTAAATGCTCAAAAATGTTAGAAAGAATCCCTTACTGGAGACTCTTATATGGAACCCTGAAAATGGGGCAAACCAAGTATTTATTTATTGTGGTAGGTTCACTTTGACAAATCCACAATGGAGAGATATAAGAGAGCTGCTTCTCTGAGAACCGTTTTGTTTTCTCTCATTTCTTGTGGTCCTTTTTCTTTTGACATCTCCACCTTCCCCACATTGTTCTTCTTCTTCATAGCCCTGACCCATGTGCAGGCATTTTTGTTCTAAACAGTTTCCCTTTAAACTTTTTTGCAAGTATTGAGGTATGAAGAGATTCTCAGACAGAAAATGAGTGTAAAGAATGCAGGAAAGGTGGTTTCCCTCAACTGGGAATAACCTACTGCAAAAACAGACATTTCTAATGTTGAGACTTAGCCCCATCTTTTAACTCCATTTGTCATTATGCCAAAAAAGTTTCCATTTTTTATGTGTTTCTAAAAGCCTCTACTATGATTTTATTTGGCCCAGAGTTCCAGAGTATAAAGCTTCCTTCACAGTGGATATGGCAGTTATCCTGCTCTGTCAGGTTTTATTTTTAATTTTTTTTTATTTCAGTTTCTGGGTTTTTGTTTTTGTTTTCTGTTTTGTTTTGGTTTTGCCTTTGTGGCAAAGGAAGAAAAGAGAAAGAAGTTTTTGTTTGCTCTAGGAAGGAATTTTGTTCACAGTGGACATGACAATGAGGGTTCAAGGGCAGGGAATTCCCACACTCTGTCAATATGAGGGGCACCTGTGACTCCTAGAGCTTAGGACAGGACTTTGAACAAAGTAAGTGTTAAATAAGTAATCATTTGACAACTGAATGGAGTGTGTGTTCATGAGGCACTGCTGATGGTGGCAGCAAAGTCAACACAAAGACACTGAAAGCAACAATCCAGGCAGCACTGATGGCTCCTTCCTGGGCCACTTAGAGCTACAGAAGAGTCCAGAGCAATGACTGTGACTGTGGCCCGACCAAGATGGATTTAGAGTTCCTTCCAACTTGATTACGCTTTAGACAAGTTTCTTCCTGACTCTAGGCTGCTGGCCTCCCTTTTCTTAAAGCATTTACTTTACAAAACTTGTCATTGTAAATCCTGCCTCTGCCCCTTTGAGATACATGTAAATCATCTCCCAGGCTCTTACCTGTTTTACAATGCAAAAATGACTTTGTTCAGGTCCTGAGAACCATTTCTTTGAAAATGTGTTGCCTATACACCATGGAATACTACACAGCCATAAAAAAAGAATGAAATAATATCCTTTGCAGCATCATGGATGCAGCTGGAGGCCATTATCCTAAGCAAATTAATGCAGGAACAGGAAACCAAATATTTCACATACTCACTTAGACGTGGGAGCTAAATACTGAGTACACATGGTCACAAAGAAGGGAACAATAAATACTGAAGATTACTTGAGGGTGGAGGGTAGGAGGAGGGTGAAGGTTGAAAAACTACATATTGGGTGCTATGCTGACCACCTGGGTGATGAAATCATTTGTATACCAAACCCCCAAAGATATGTAATTCACCCATATAACAAACCTGCACATGTCCCCTCTGAACCGAAAATGAAAGTTGAAAAAGGAAAAACAATGTGAAATATAAACAGCAAGGAAGATAGTGCCCCTATCTCCCAGTTCCAGTGGGAGCACAGGAGTCTTTCCACTTGAACAAAAGGGGCTTGCTATGTTCCAAGTCATAAAACCAAGTCCTATTATGAAAAAAAAAAGAAGTGGCTGGGCGTTGTGGCTCACGCCTGTAATCCCAGCACTTTGGGAGGCCAAGACGGGTGGATCACAAGGTCAAGAGATCGAGACCATCCTGGGCAAGATGGTGAAACCCCATCTCTACTAAAAATACAGAAATTAGCTGGGGATGATGATGGGCGCCTGTAGTCCGAGCTACTTGGGAGTCTGAGGCAGGAGAATCCCTTGAACCAGAAGACAGAGGTTGCAGTGAGCCAAGATCGCACCACTGCACTCCAGCCTGGCGACAGAGTAAGACTCTGTCTCAAATAAAAAAAAAAAAGAGAGAGAGAAAAAAGAAAAGAAAGTTTACTTTTCCTTTGGGTAAGGCCAACTGGCAAACCCAGACGGCCTAGATTCCCCCTCCCCAGTCCAGCTCTTAATAACTCTCCTGCTTTTGTATCTGAGGAGCAGGGTGTCTACACCCGCCCCATGCTAGCAACAGTATCAGAATAAAATTGTCTTCTCTCTGCTCGTCATGTTATCATGTCTGGTGCAATTTTGTCTTTAACAAGACCAACCAGCAGAGTGTGGAATATAAAACCGGTCACTTAAGGATTTGTCTTTAGGAACAAAAGCCGGCTGACAAATCACCTGGAGTAGCTTCAGATACAGGTACCATAGAGCAGAGAGTTACTCAGACACTATTCGTAACTGCCAGAATAAGACAACTGGGTAGAAAGAATTTATTCAGTAACACCATATGTGGGGTAAAAAGAATCAGGTCTCCTGACAGTGCCATACAAATACATGTATGAAAGCATGATTTACTTGAGGCTGGCTACTTAGAAGAGACTCCTCCTGGCTGTGTATGCTCTGAATTGCTGAATAATTTGGAGCTTTTTATGGAAAATAGATTGGGCAGCGCTTTATTAATACTTTTGGCTTTCCTTTAACTAAAGAGGAAATCTCCATCTTTATTAAGACATCATGTAGGAACAAATCAAAGTCTAGCAAGACATTCTGACCTGCCTCCTCTGGCCCACTCTTTGAGTGAGGTTCCAGCATTTTTGTCTTGTTTTCTGAGGCTTCATTGAAGAAACTTCACTTTTCCTTTTCTGACATTCACCTCACTCCCTCACTCACTTCTCAGTCTTCGGTTATTTCTTTTCCAATAAAAACAGCCTCTGCAAGATTTTCTTTTGTGACTGTAATTTCTGTGCAACTATAGAATTAACTGACTTGAAGACAGAAAACTGGGCAGAGAAGAGAAAAGAGAGAGAGAAAGATTAGGCGTGAGGCTATAGTTATAAATTGATCAAAGTTTCAGATTATGACAGAAGGAGGTAAGGTAAGTTGGAGAGAGATATATACACAGAGCAGTACAGGGCTTAGAGTGAGAAGTTACGAACATGGGAATGAGTCTGCTTTCTGTTTATAAAGCTATTTCTGGAACTTTTGTGAACTTCTCTGTAAAATCACTGCCTTACCTGTCAAACAATTTTGATAGGAACAAGTGAGATAACACAAAATTATGTGCTATAAACTATAAATTACTATAAGAATTGTCAGTATTCATTTAAAAGATATTCAAAAGGTGCTTACTCTAATAAACCTTGAGTTATTTTTATGATTTTTTCTTCATTATAATTATAAATTTTTAATCCTGATGAGAGTTGGTAATAAAAGCAATTACAGAGATGAGGAACTGTATTCATAAAGGGCCTGGACACATTTTTATTAACCAAAGGAAGAAATCTATTGTGGGAATTTATCAGCAAGCCTCATGAAGCACAGGAAACCACTTTTAAGCCTGTTTTTTTCACCCTTAGTCCCAAATCTATAATACAGCAACACAAACAGACAAAATATGTTCCTCAGAGCTTTCTCTGTCCTAAGGGAGAAAATAAATTTGTTCTGGTTTGTTTGTACTTTCCAGGAAACCAGAGTTTAGTAAATACTTTAATAGTTTATCAAAGGACTCCAAAAATCTGCTACCATAACAGTGTCGGTAAATTAAATTTTGCTTGCTTCTAGTTTGATGTATGTAGCATAATTGGAATCCACTTTATTTTTAAAGAATGGACTTTATGTGGCATCTATAAGTCTTCAATGTAAAATAAAGAATAACATTTATTCAATGTGTTGTGCACAGTCATGTTCCTGCTATAGACAGCATAGTCTGTAAGACTACACATCCTAAGATTGTTCACACATAGTTACTACGTGGCATTTGATATCCATAGCTCAGTGGTCTAAAAACTCAGTAATTCTCAGAAGGCTACATGTTTCTCATATGCAGGCTTGCCATCTGCAGTATCCTGGTCAGACTCTATATATCCAGTTACTGCAGTAAAAATAGGAACTACAATAACATAAACAGATGCTACACATTTGCTATGGTTGGAATGTGCCCCCTCGAACATTTATGTTGAAACTTAACCCCCATTGCGGTGGTATCAAGAGATGGGTCCTTTGGGGAAGTGATTAAATCATGAGGGTTCCCAGAACTATAAAAACCCTAAACCAAAACCTAGGCAATACATCCTAAACATAGAAATGGGCAAAGATTTTTAAACAAAAACATCAAAAGCGATCACATCAAAAGCAAAAAATTGACAAATAAGGTCTAATTAAACTAAAGAGCTTCTGCACAGCAAAAGAAACTATCTACAGGTTAAAGAGACTTGTAGACTATCCACAAGTTAAAGAATCTACAGAATGGGAGAAGTTTTTTGCAAACTATATATCTGACAAAGTTCTAATATCCAGCATCTATAAGGAACTTAAACAAATTTGCAAGAAAAAAAAAAAAACCAAACAACCCTGTTAAAAAGTGGTAAAAGAATACGAATAGACACTTTTCAAAAGAAGACATACATGTGGCCAGCAAGCATATGAAAAAAATGCTACACATCCTAACAATTATAGAAATGCAAATCAAAACCACAATGAGATACCATGTCATGTCAGAATGACTATTAATAAAAAGTCAAAAAATAACAGATGCTGGTGAGGTTGTGGAGAAACAGGAACACTTATACACTTTGAGGGGGAGCATAAATTAGTTCAACCACTGTAGAAAGCAGTGTGGTGATTCCTCAAATTGCTAAATGCAGAATTAACATTTGACCCAGCAATCTCATTACCAGGTAGATACCCAGAGGAATATAAATCATTCTAACATAAAGACACATGTCGATGAATATTCATTGTGGTGCTATTCACAATAGCAAAGACATGGAATCAATCTAAGGGCCTATCAATAACAAATTGGATAAAGAAAATGTGGTACATATACACCATGGAATACTATGCAGCCCCCAAACGAACAAGATTATGTCTTTTGCAAGAACATGGGTGGAGCTGGAGGCTACTGACCTTAGAAAACTAACACAGGAAGAGAAAACCAAATACTGCATGTTCTCACTTATAAGTGGGAGCTAAATGGTGAGAACTCATGAACACAAACAAGGGAACAGTGGACACTGGGGTATACTTGAGGGTAGGGGGTGAGAGAAGAGAGAGGAGCAAAAAAACACAAAAAACAAAAAACAAATAAAAAACTATTGGGTACTAGGCTGAATACCTGGGTGATGAAATAATCTGTACAACAACCCCCCTTGCCACAAGTTTATCTATATAACAAACTTTCACATATACTCCTGAACCTAAAACTTTTTAAAAAAATCATGAAAGTTCCACCTTTTTGAATGCATTAATCACCCGCAAAAGGGCTGGAGGGAACCAGCTTAAGCTCTTTTTTGCTCTTTCATACTTCCACAATGTGAGGACATAACAAAAAAGCTCTCAGCAGACACCAAATACAGGCACCTCGATCTTGGAATTTCCAGATCTGTAAAAACTTTTAAAAATACATTTTTATTATTTAAAAAGTACTCAGTCACTTTATTTTGCGTTTTTTTAAAACAGCGACAGAGACTAAAATAACACTTTCTTTTATTTATCCAATAATAGACACATTTTATGAAGACTTCTAGTTTATTGGATATCAGTAAAATATCTTGTAATGTAACATTAGCTATTACCAAATAATATATGGCAATGATTTTAAATATCGAATAGTCTTATTGACTTAATTAGCAAACAAAAAAACAGCAGTCTCCTGCTCCTTTCCCTCCCCTGTCTTTCCTGTTCCTTGATTCCTACTCCACAGCAGTAATCACCCTCAGCTATTTTAACTCTAATTTAGTACTAATTTATTTTTTCTATTTTTCCGTGTTCTCATAGAATACATTTGTATTGTATTTGGAGGATTTTGAAATTCAGAAGTAGATATCCACTACTACCCTTACATTATATCCAGATATCAATATTATCTACTAATCTTGCATTGTATGTTGTAGGTAAAATAACTATATTCTGTTATTTAGGCTTTTATTTTAAAATATCTAAATTTTCTTTCATATATATGTCACTGGATATGATATTTTAATATTGGAGATTGTTCTTATTCAGAATTGGCTCTGTTGGTTGTAAGTTCCTCGTTTTTGTTTGTTGAGGTCTCTGTCTTTCACACCACATCGTAATTACCCAGTAATCCTTGGTTGTCTACTCTATTACGAATAAAGCACTAAAAAGCTGATTGGAAGCCCTAAGTATATGAAAGAGATTTCTGGCTAGCAGGTGGCACATTAATTTAAAAAACTTTTCATAAAATTATTGGAGGATTTCTGGTTTTCAAAATCTATGGATTCTTTTTCTTCTTTGCGAAGGTAAATTCCCCTAAGAGAATTCTCCAGTCTTAGGGGAGAACATCCTGACAGCAAACGTCCTGAGAGCAAAATCAGGACAGGGGCATGAGCCCCCTGGATTGGAACATAGTCCATCAATTAATCCCTGTTTCTGTTTTGCTTCCAGACCCTAGTAATACCTACTGTTCCTGGATTCGGAGTTTCTCAGATTCGATCTGTACAGAGAGTATGCTGCCAATCTTCTACTGGATTGGGGAAAAGTTCTTCTTTGCTGTGTGGGCGGATGAGAAGGCAGCTGGTAGGCTAAGTGCTTTCAAGTCCCCTGGCACTTGGAGGGCTATTTGGTGTGCATGCTTATTGAGTTATTCTTGGTTTTGCAGACAAGTAACCTTGTGACCAGGTGTTGCTCCACTCTCAGCTTTGGTTACAGATTCTGCTAAGTAAGCTGTCACTTTTCTATTGTCCTATCACCTCCTAAAATACTGCTGTTGTTGCCTCTCCTTTCCTTTTTACTTGGCATGTATTCCCTTTGAAAACGTCTTCACTGTTAATTTAAAAGGATTTAGAATGCAACAGAGATAAACGCGTGTTTAACGTATCATGTTTATAAAGAAGTCCACCACGTCTTTCTTTCATGGGATCTAAGCATGATCATTGAGATGTAATACAGAGGAAATAAATTTCAAAAATTTTTAAAGTTACCTGGCAGAAATTTAGATAGCTATTTTCTGTTTAAAACATCAAGTCAGTATTCATATCTTTTTTTTTCCTTTTAGCCTCTGTTATGGCTTGGATGCTTGATGCCTCAAAACCTCATTTTGAAATTTGACCTCAGTGTTAGAGATGGAGCCTCATGGACAGTGTCTGGGTCTTGGGGGCAGATCCCTCATTAATAGAAAAATGCTTTGCCTGAAAGGGAGTAGTGGTAAGTGAGTTTTTGCTCTATAAGTTCCCAAGATAGCTGGTTGTTTAAAAGAGTCTTGTATCTCCCTGTCTCTCTTTCTTCCTCCTTGCCAAATGATCTCTGTACATGCTGGCTCCCCTTCACCTTTCGCCATGAGTAAAAGTAGTTAGAAGTAGTCATCAGATGTAGATGCTGGCACCATGCTTCTTGTACAGCCTGCAGAAGCATGAGCCAAATAAAACTCTTTTCTTCATGAATTACCCAGCCTCAGGTATTCCTTTGTAAAGCACTAAATGGACTAAGATAGTATCTGAGTCTTAGTATTTTCAAGAAAATTTGAGCCGTATTACCAATAACCAATGAGTCATTGCTTCTCACTCTTTCTTCATTTTTAATACATTCTGTCCTTTCTAGCCACACCACCAGAATCCTTTATATAATCTAGGACAGGATACTAATTATCAATTTATTTTCTACCTATTTAGAGTGTCCTTTGTTTGGCTACCTTGAAGTTTTACTTAAGGGGTTACCATGGCCCTGTAGTAAATTCTTTACTTGTGTTCTGAGTGTCTTCCCCTTTCCTAGACTGTAAAGCATAAAGCTTGAGTTCATTCATTGTTGAATGAGAAAATGAAGACTGCAAATACTTGTCTGTTAAGTTCAGAAAACAGTGATTAATATAACAGGTAGATTCAAATAAAACTTTTAAGAGTATTTTCTGTTCCCATGCTACATGAAAGATACTTGAGTTAAAGGAAAACAAACAAGATGTAGAAAGGAAAGAAAGAGAAAGAGAGGGTATCAGGTGAAAGAAAGTTTGGTATCAGCAAGCCCCATGGAGCAGTGCCCAAGATGCCTAGAAGTCCTGTCATCACCTGCCTTTCTCCTTGCTGCTACCTCGTGAGAATTGCCATGGAATGCAGCCAGAAAGCCACCAACCATCAGTGATGCTGATCTGTGCGGCATAAACGGTCTCATGTCAGTGGCTTTGGATACTCATAGACTCTTGGAAATGAAATTGGGATATGAACCAAAAGTGCTGTAAATGGATTATTCTAGTAAAGACTTGATTAAGAATTAAATTATTATTTTTCCAGCTTTCTAAGGGTAAGGTAAAAAACTATATCTTGTCCACTTTCTTCAGTAACAGATTCCCAAAGTATAGTTTGTGGATTTCTACATCAGAGTCATCTGGTGTAATTGTTAAAATAATATTACGCATGGCCCTACCACACTATCTTGGGAGAATTCCTGGAGTGGAGCCCAGGAATATGCTTTTCTTTTCTTTTCCTGTTTTTTTTTTTTTTTTTTTTTTTTTTGAGATGGAGTCTCGCTCTATCACCCAGGCTGGAGTGCAGTGGCGTGATCTTGGCTAACTGCAACCTCCATCTCTCAGGTTCAAGCGATTCTCCTGCCTCAGCCTCCGGAGTAGCTGGGACCACAGGTGCCTGCCACCACACCAGCTAATTTTTGTATTTTTAATAAAGGCGGGGTTTCACCATGTTGGCCAGGCTGGTCTCGAACTCCTGAACTCAGGAGATCTGCCTGCCTCAGCCTCACAAAGTGCTGGAATTACAGGGGTGAGCCACCATGCCCAGACCCAGGAATGTGCATTTTTAAAGAAACATCCTAGATTGGTGGTATGCACACTGAAGTTTCTCTGCTATGATTATTATCTCTACTTTGAATAATTTCCAGCAGGGAGAAAATTATTTATACTAATTAATAAAGAAATTTAAAAGTTTCTGTTTGTTTTTTGGTAAATTTTTCTCCTACATTGGTATGAAGAACCTTCATTACCTGTCTAAACTTTAATCCTCTACACATACATGACTTTTAAAAATATTATTCTTAACTATAAATCTACTTACTTATTTGTTCATCCATCTATCCATCTCTTGTTCATTTGTTCATTCATGCATTTAACAGATGTTTATTGACTAGAATTATGTATTAAGCATTTTGTTAGTCAGTGACCTAAAAGTATAACTTTAAGCAAAAGAAATAGAGAAGAAAGGGTGAGGGCTTGAGGAATATATATCTGGGTATGGATCCTACATATGTTATTCATAAACTATATGAACTCAGGCAAATTAGTTTAATCTTTACACATTTAATTCCTTAACTTCAATAGGTAAATAACGATTTCTACCTTGCAGAGTAACTGTGGACAGTAAGTCACATAATTGTTACAAATTATACCATTCAATTTGTGGCACATAATGTTAAGACTTCTTGCTATATTATTACAATAATCATTGTGATTATTCTCCTTGTATACCTTGTACAATCTCCCACTACTGAATTATGCTGGCTGAGGATTTGAGACTCTCCGTCTTGAAAGTGTTAACCTAACAGGGATTTCTTCCAGATGTGAAATGTACAGCTTAGGAATAATATCAAAAATCAACATAATGACTTGGTGTGGTAGCTCACGCCTATAATCCCAGCACTTTGGGAGGCCCAGGCGGGCAGATCACTTGAGGTCATGAGTTCGAGACCAGCTTGGCCAACATGATGAAACCCTGTTTCTACTAAAAATACAAAAAAATTTGCTGGGCATGGTGGCATGCACCTGTAATCCCAGCTACTTGGGAGGCTGAGGCAGGATAATCGCTTAGACCCAGGAGGCAGAGCTTGCAGTAAGCCAAGATGGCACCACTGCACTCCAGCCTGAGTGACAGAGTGAGACTCTATCTCAGGAAGAAAGAAAAATGAACATATTACTATGTTTTTACATCAGTAACAAAGTGGACACTCAAGAATCAACTTAAGACTCTAATGAGAGTAAAATACAGGCAAAGTAATATGTGAAGCTAAGAGCACTGGAAACTGAGAAAACTGTTAAAGAGATTCAGGAAGGTAAAAACTGAAGAAATTCTCTGAGTTTAAATTTTATGTTGTGTGTAATCTTTATGTGCTATAATCATTGTAGGTAGAGAAGGGAATAGCAATGAAAAGAATGCTTTCTCTCCTTTAACTATTAGCCAGATAGAGGAAAGACCCATGAAGATGAATAATTAATATGCCAAACGGAAATGTGATAAAAGTATATATGAAATATTCAAACCACAGAAAAGAAGAAAATAGTTAAATTTAGAGATAGCATATAAAATATCTATTGAAAAAATGTTAAAAAACACAAGCCCACTCTTAGCATTTGCAAGGTTCATGCAAGAATGCAAATAGAGCCCTGAACACCATTTGTCTAAATATTTAAAAGTTCTAAATCAAACTAACCAAATTTTATGCTAAACATGTATTAGATCCCTATTGTCAAAAAACATGGATCTTTATAACATATGGAAAGCCAGTATAAATGTCAATTACTTGAGCTCCAGTAAGTTCCTTGTGGGAACTTAGTGGTAGAAACATAAAAGGACCTAAGCTTCCCTTTCCAAAAGCCTCTTTTCTTTTACTACCCCAGGCTCAGACTTACAAAGAAAGGATCTAGGTGCATCCCAGCTTGCCCAGTTCAACTTCCATCCATCACCGCAGCGAAAAGCTACTACTTATCTACCTGCCCAGCCCAGGGGTGTGCACACCATTCGATCAAGACCTTTGGGCAGGTAACTCCGGATTTCTGGGTACACTGAACATGCCTGGGGCTGGGGGAAAGGAGAACAGGCCTCTCTAAAATACGGGACCTAGAACGGAAGACTCTCTTTCCTTGGCCTAGGTTAGGTTTTAAGCAAATGTCCCACAAAAGACGTCAATAGTGATGACATAAATATAAGTTTGGAAAATACGTAAGAAGGAAAACGAAGGATTCAGAAGAAAAAGATGGAGGAGGTTCTGAGAAAGACCAGCATGAGCAAAGGCACAGAGATGGAAAAGAATATACTTTGCCTTGAAAGAGTTAACACAACAAGCACCGCAGGAAATCTGCCCTCCCCACACCAGACTTGGTGCACAGTCAATGCACTGCAGCCTCTAGAGGGAGGTGGAGTCAAGAACTCAGATCCTATGAATAGCTGCATCCCTGGCCTACGCAGCACTCCTATCCTTTTCCCAGCTTCTTCCCCCCAGCCTCTGCACCCCCCAAAAATGTCAGGAGCCTTCTCTTCAGGACTTCCTAGCTCTCTGGGCAGTGTTTTTAGTGAGATGAATCCATCTCCCCAGCCCCCACCCTGCCAGTTGTCACTGGTATTTCCCTCAACCCTCACTCAGTAGCATTACTTGGGAAAAAATACTACTGTAGGGGTTCAACTGTCTTATAGGTCTAGAGAATGCTACCTTTACCTCTTTTCAACGTTTGCTTCTTTGTCCTTTGTAGGTAAGAAAACAGCTTTATGTTACAGCATTAAGAGTCTTTTCTGGCCAGGCACGGTGGCTCATTCCTGTAATCCAGCACTTGGGAGACTGAGGCGGGCGGATCACGAGGTCAGGAGATCAAAACCATCCTGGCTAACACGGTGAAACCCAGTGTCTACTAAAAATACAAAAAAAAAAAAATTACCCGGGCGTGGTGGCGGGTGCCTGTAGTCCCAGCTACTCGGGAGTCTGAGGCAGGAGAATGGCGTAAACCCAGGAGGTGGAGCGAGTAGTGAGCCAATATAGTGCCACTGCACTTCAGCCTGGGCGACAGAGTGAGACTCCATCTCAAAAAGAAAAAAAAAAAGTCTTCTTCTGTGTGTTGAGAATGTTATGGTCAGGAGAAGGCAGAGCCTAGAGACATCTTAAAGATTAGTGAGTCAATACTTTCAGTAATGCCCCTTATGACTCACACCTTCTTTAAAAAAGGCGGGGTGGGGGGCTTTGGGGAAAACTCATACAGAAGTCATCTTATCAATGCGCAAAAGGAAATTCAGTAACCAAAAGCAAGTTTTATTAAGTGTTCAGGTAAAAGTGAGCATTATTGGAAGGAACTGTACAAATGAAGTGATCACTATCTTCATAAAAAGAAAAAAAGAATGGAGCTGTTCCAGTGTAGAAAAGATTAAATATTTAATTTTAAGATAACCTCATATTGTTCATGGATAAGTCTGCTCCTGTCCTCTTTTCTGGGATTAGCCATAACGAAAAGTCTTCTATTTAAACATATGACTTCCCCTCTGCCAGAATAATTTTATGCTTATTAAAATTTCTGATCATAAGTAATTGCCAGAAACTTCTTACTCTCACTTAGACCTTATTTCTCTAGCTTCTCATCTGCTCTGGCCCTTCATGTTTGGCAGAATGATCAGCTTTTTTGATTCACAATCCTGCGTTTCTACCCTTGCCTTAGGACTAGAAGATACATAACAATATAAGTAAGTGTGGCTCAATCTCACTTCAGGTGTAGGCAGAAGGAGGGAGAGATATTCATAGGTCTATTTGGAAAATGAAGGCATAGCAGCCTTCAACTCTAGACATCTTGGTTCTAAGGATCCTAATAAGCTGATTCAGAGATTTTACATATATATATATGGGATTCAAGTTCCCAAGGACATGATATGTAGACATAAATGGTTTTGGGGTCCAAGGTCAGAATGAAAAGCAGGAAAAGGGGCAGGTTATAAAAGAAATGGACCAGGCATATAGGATAGTACTAAGATTTGAATGTGTCCCCCAAAGTTCATGTGTTAGAAACTTAGTTCCCCATGCAACAGTGTTGAGAAGTGGAATGTTTAAGAAGTGACTAGGTCATGAGGGCTTTGCTCTCATTAATGGATTAATGTCATTGTCCTGAGAGTGGGTTTTTTACAGAAGCAAGTTCAGCCATCTCTTGATCTCTTTTACCCTCTCTCAATCTCTTGCCTTCCACAGTATAATGATGCCGCAAGCTGATACTCACCTGAGTGGACTCCTTGATACTGAATTTCCCAGTTCAGAGTCTTCTGGGCTTATAACTCCAAAAAAGTTTCACTGGCTATGGATGAGATGGGTTGCTAAAATGTGGCTAAGCTTGGTTCTCTTTAGAGCAGCGATCACAAACCCAAATGCCTAATAAGGACAGATATATAAATGAATGAAGCAGATTCTGGGTAAGAGCATTATGAACACAGTGAGTAATTGGTGAAAACTGGCAAAATGAAGAGTATTCACATTGTCTAGTGAGAACAGCTGCTACTCAGTTGCAGGCAATTATTGCCATTTGAAAATAAGGCCCAGTGTTGTCATCTAAAGATTTATGAGGAGCTGAATATCTAAACTTTCAGGTGAAATCTCTTACTAAAAATGTGGACAGGAATTTACAAAGGAAAAACCATACTCTACTGGAAATAATAAAGCAAAGTCTGGTTGCAGACTATAAGTTTGAGATATCTATTTAGGTTTTAAGAAAATCTGAGTTGGCAAGTCAAACTCTAACCCTATCAGGAAATCTCTGAGCATTGGCCTAATAAAAGCTCGACAATGTTAAAAGTTATTAAACTCTGTTATTTCCCGCCTCTCCACTGTTTTCTATATAGACAGGATTTTCTTAAGCTTATTTCTGGCCTCTAACTATACCATTACTCACTTTGTCCCAAAGGGTAGTGAAGGGTAGTGAAGTGACACTTGGTTAGTGAGTATGGGAGCAAGAACTTAGTATGCCTAGCACTCCTCTTCCTTTCTTCCTCTTGAAGTAAACTACTCCTCAGGCAAAGGGACCTGCCACTGTTCTGCCAGGTACTTTATTACTTAGAAAATTGCTGCCCCAGACCTGAGTGGCTTGGTTTCAGTGATTGAATAGTTTGCCCAATTTAGGGATTGTGTTTGAGTGAGCAGACATGCTCAGTGTATGTGAAATAACATTCTGCAGCCTGAGCATTCTATGAGTTATAATTTAGCTTCCATATGTTACTCCATTCTATTTTTCAAATGAAGTCTTATGGGAAAAAGGGCTGCTATTTATCAGTTGCCTCTGAAGAACTTTAACAAATATGTGATCATTTTATTTTACCATCAACTAGTGTGCTGTTTTAAAGTCTGCTAAAATATCATAAAGCTTATTTTGAAAATATCGATCTTGTCCAATTTTTATTTATACATACAAAATCTAGAAGTCAATATCACTGATTTACATAAGGTTGCCCAGAAGTTACTGTCAAGACTATGGTAAAAAGTAAGATGAATTTCTTGTTTTGGGACTTGGAAGTTGTCACTCTCATTCTTACAACAAGAAAATAATCGAACAATTTGAAAAGGAACAACTCTTCTTAAATCTATCTAATAATTGCTGTCACAGGGCAAGCTGCCACCATAAAAACCGGAGAGAAGGGCAATCAACTTAATGATTTGACAACTTCACAACTTTGCAAACCATCACAATTTGACATACTTCGAATTTTGAATTCTGATCTTTGCCTGGCCTAGGACTATGTGGTACATAAGATATTTGACACTTTTTTCTTATATATATATAAATATATACATATATTTGCTCTTTATATATACATATATATGTATATATATATAAAATAGGCTTTGTATTAGGTGATTTTACCTAACTATAGGCTAGTGTGAGTGTTCTGAGTACACTTAAGGTGAACAAGGCTAAGTTCTGTAGGTCTGGTGTATTAAATGCATTTTCAATTTACAAGATTTATGATGGGTTTATCAGAATGTAACCCTATTGTATGTCAAGGAAAATTTCTACTGTGTATCACAGTACTTTCATGAATCTTAACCTTCAGGAGCCTAAATAGATTCTTATGGAGAAGATGAGAAAAAAGTATCCCTTCCTGTTTCCAGCAGAAGGAAGGGAAAAGTAGCCATTTTGAAATGCACTCAGAGCTTTCTGTCCTCCTTAACAAAAGCGTGTCCTCAAGGGAAGCTCTTTTGTCACACCCTAATTGACTTTATTTTTACCAGAGCAAGGTCATTTAATAGAGAAAGCATTGACTTCCCAACAAATGGAACTGAAACAAATACACATCCAATAAAATTTTTTAAAAAAGGAATCTTGATAGTTTTTACAAAAATTAACAAGATAACTTATAGACTTAAATGTAAAATGAAAAACCATAAAAATCTAGAAGATAGCATAGGAGAAAATCTGTGTTGGGTGTAGAGTCTTAAACATAAGACCAAACCGTCATGAAATTAAAAAAAAAAGGCATAACTCAAAGATAGTGCAGGTTTGGTTCCAAACTGCCACAATAAAGTAAACATTACAATGAAGTGAGCCATGCAAGCTTTTTGGTTCTTTCCCAGTGCATATTAAAGTTATGTTAACACTACGCTGTAATCTATTAAGTATGTAACAGCCTTATGTTTTAAAAAGTACAAAGCTTCATTAGAAAATAATTTATTGCCAAAAATAATTGCTAATAATCACCTGAGCTTTCAGCAAATTGTAATCTTTTTACTGGTGGAGGATCTTGCCTCCATGTTGACAGCTGCTGACTGATCAGGGTAGAGGTTGCTGAAGGCTGGGTGGTTGTGAAAATTTCTTAACATAAGCCAGCAGTGGAGTTTGGCATATCATTTGACTCTTCCTTTAACAAAAGATTTATCTGTAGCATGCAATGCTGTTTGGTAGCGTTTTACCCATAGTGTAGCTGCCCAACAGGTTCACCTTGCCTGCTGCCTAGACAGAGTCAATTTATCAAAACAGGAGAGTTGCAACAACAAAAAGAAAATAATTCATGCAGAGCCAGCTGTAAGGAAAACTGGAGTTTTATTATTACTCAAATCAGTCTCCCTGAAAATTCGGGAATTAGAGTTTTTAAAGATAATTTCGTGGGTAGGAGGCCAGTGAATCTGAAGTGCTGATTGGTTGGGTTGGAGAAGAAATCACAGGGAGTCAAAACTGTCCTCTTGCGCTGAGTCAGTTTCTCTATGGGGGCCAAAAATCCAGATGAACAAGTTTATCGATCTGAGTAGTGCCAGCTGATCCATCAAGTGCAGGGTCTGCAAATATCTTAAGTTCTTAGGTTTTACAATAGAGATGTTGTCTGCAGGAGCAATTTCAGAGGGTCAGAATCTTGTAGCCTCCAGCTGCATAATTCCTAAACCATATTTCTACTCTTGTGGCTAATTTGATAGTCCTGCAAAGCCAGTCCAGTCCCGAGGCAGGAAGTGGGTTTGTTTTGGAACAGGGCTGTTACCAACTTTGTTTCAAAGCTAAACTATAAACTAAGTTCCTCTCAAAGTTAGTTTGGCCTACACCCACCAATGAACAAGGATAGCTCAGTGGTTAGAAGCAAGATGAAGTCAATTAGGTCAGATCCCTTTCACTGTAAATAACTTTCGCAGTTATGATTTTGCAATGGCAGTTTCAATAATAGAACTTGCTATACTGGAGTCAATCTTTTCAAGCCCTACCACTGCTTTATCAACTAAGCTTAGAAAATATTCTAAATTCTTTGTTGTCATTTCAGCAATGTTCACAGTATCTTAACCAGGAATAGATCCCATTTCAGAAACAACTTTCTTTGCCAATCCATAAGAAGCAACTGCTCACCCATTCAACTTTCATCATGAGATTGTAGCAATTCAGTCACATCTTCAGGCTCCATCTACAATTCTGCAGTTACTTTCTTCACTGAAGTCTTGAACTCCTCAAAGTTACCCATGAGGGTTTAAATCAACTTCTTCTAAACTGCTGTCGATGTTAATATTTTGACCTTCTCCCATGAATCGCAAGTGTTCTTAATGGTGTCTAGAGTGGTGAATCCCTTTCAAAAGGTTTTCAATTTATTTTGCCCAAATCCATCAGAGGAATCACTATCTATAGCAGCTATAGTCTACAAACCAAAAATGAAATTCTAAGCGCCCCCCAACCACCTCAATGGATCCCTCCTCTTGGCTAAGGGTATTCTGGAATTTGTCTGAAAATCTAGTTCAGGCCATGATGGAATAGGAGGTTGGACATACCTCATTATACTCCTCAAGTGTTAATGTCAACGAAGAACTTATGTCTAATAAGAAACATTTACAATATACTCTCTCTGAAGCCTGCTACCTGGAGGCTTCATCTGCATGACAAAACCTTGGTCTCCCTAACCTCTTATCAGTTTTTTTTTTTGACGGAGTCTTGCTCTGCTGCCCAAGCTGGAGTGCAGTGGCATGATCTCAGCTCACTGCAACCTCCACCTCCCGGGTTCAAGCGATTCTCCTGCCTCCATCCCCTGAGCAGCTGGGATTACAGGTGCCTGCCACCACATCTGGCTAATTTTTGTATTTTTAGTAGAGATGAGGTTTTACCATGTTGGCCAGGCTCGTCTCGAACTCCTGACCTCAGGCAATCTGCCCACCTCGGCCTCCCAAAGTGCTGGGATTACAGGCTTGAGCCACCATGCCCAGCCCCAACCCCTTATCTTAACCCAGACATTCCTTTTTACGGATAATAACTCTTTCAACCAATTGCCAATCAGAAAATTTTAAAATTTACCTATGACCCAGGAACCTCACCCCTTAGCCCTTCTAGGTCCAACCACTGTAGATCTTACATGTATTGATTGATGTATTATGTCTTTCTTAAATGCAGAAAAGAAAGCTGTACCCATGGGCACATGTCATCAGGACCCCCTAAGGCTGTGTCACAGGTGCATCCTTAACCTTGGCAAAGTAAGCTTTCTAAATTGATTGAGACCTGTCTCAGATATTATGGGTTCACAAGTCTTACAAAAGGTATTTATTAAATACAAATACTTGAAAGTCTAAATGACTCCTTGATCCATGGGTTGCAGAATAGATGTTATATGAGGAGCATAAAAACAACAAAACAACAACATTAATCTTCCTTTTTATCTCCATTAGGCTTCTTGCATGACCAGGTGAATTGTCAATGAGCAGTAATATTTTGAAAGGATTTTTTTAATAGTAACTCTCAATAGTGGGCTTAAAATCTTTAGTAAACCATGCTGTCAACAGATGTGTTGTGACCTAGGATTTGTTTTTCCATTTATAGAGCACAGGCAGAGTAGACTTGACATAATTCTCGACAGCCCTAGGATTTCCAGAATGGAAAATTAGCATTGGCTTCAACTTAAGTCCCCAGCTTTACTAGCCCTTAACAAGAGAGTCAGCCTATCTGTTGAAGCTTTGAAAAAATGCATTGACTTCTCCTCTCTAGCTATGAATGTTCTAGATGGCATCTTCTTCCAATAGAAGGCTATTTCATCTATAATGAAAATCTGTTGTTTAGTTGTTTATGTTATCTAGCCAGGTCTTCTGGATAACTTCCTACAACTTCTACATCAGTACTTGCTCCTTTACATTGCACTTTTATGTTATGTAGTGACTTCTTTCCTTGAAACTTACAAACCAATCTCTGCTAGCTTCAAACTTTTCTTCTGCAGCTTCCTCACCATTATCAGCCTTCACAAAATTGGGGAGAGTTAGGGCCTTGCTCTGGGTTGGGCTTTGGCCTAATAAGGGAATGTTGTGATTGGTTTGATCTTCTATTCAGACTACTAAAATTTTCTCCATATCAGCAATAAAGCTCTTTCTCTTTCTTATCATTCCTGTGTTACTGAAGTAGCACTTTTAATTTCCTTCAAGGACTTTTCTTTTGCATTCATAAGTTGGCTGTTTGGCACGCAAGGCCCATCTTTCAACCTATCTCAGCTTTTCACATGTTTTTCTCACTAAACTTAATCACTTCTAGATTCTGATTTAAAGTGAGAGACGTGTGACTCTCCCTTTAACTTGAACATTTAGAAACCACTGTAGGGTTATTAATTGATGGAATTTTAATATTATTGTGTCTTGGTTAATAGGGAGGTCCAGGCAGGGGCTGAGACAGCCAGTCAGTAAAGCAGTCTGAATGTACAGAACATTTATTATTTGTTTGCTGTTTTATATAAGTGCAGTTCATAGTACCCCAGAAGAATTACAATAGCAACATTGATAAGCACTGATCACACATCACTATAACACATATAGTAACAATGAAAATGTTTGCTATATTGGGAAAATTGCCAAAATGTCACACAGAGACACAAGCGAGCACATGCTGTTGGAAAAATAGCATTGATAGACTTGCTCAATGCAGGGTTGTCACAAACTTTCAATTTCTAAAAAGCTGATATGTCAAGGGCAATAAAGCAAAGCCCAATTAAATGAGGCAGGTCTGTTTTGATAAATTGAACTTCATTAAAATTAAAAACTTCTGCTCTGAAAAGACATTTTTAGGAAAATGTAAAGACAAGCCATGTGTTTTGCAAAAATCAAAATATTTGTAAAAACACATACCATAATATATAAAAAACTCTTAAGACCCAACAATAAAAAATAAAACCCAATTCAAAAAGCGAGCCAAAAATCTAAAAAGACACCTCACCAAAGAAAACATACAGAGGCACAAGCAAGCTTATGAAAAAGTTTTCTATATTATATGTCATTAGGAAATTGCAAATTCCCTAATTTCCACTATTTCGTTTACTAACCTCAATGACATACCCATGAAACAGTCCCAGTTGTTGGGTTTGTTTTTCTATGTTGAGGGGTAGGAGACATACAGCCATAGCTCTCAATTAATTGGGCTACTCCCTTCCTTCATGATTTAATTATTCTAGAATGCTTGAAAAGGTTACATTGCAGAACCCTGTGACTGCTCTCCACAGATTAGAATCCTGAATAATAGTATAGTTTATTAACGTGGTTAGCTTACACTGTGTATCTACCATACATGATTCAACAAATACGTGTCAGCTCTGAAATACACTTGAAATATATTATGCAACCATATATACATCCTCTAATTACCCAATGAAGTAAATAATGAGACATTATCACTACATAAAAACAAAACCTTCACAAATGAATGTTTGAGAACACTCAAAAATATTTACCAATACTTATCTTAAAATACAGTTGAAATTTGCATTTTTATGTGAATATTAAATTGAGATAGATAAAATCTGAATTTCCAATTCTTAAAGTAATTCAGGCATTTCTAGTTCTTAATATCTCATTGACAGAGTGAATAGGATTATATTTTCACATATCTGTTATTGAAAGAGCCTGTTGCACAGAAATATAGATTTTTCAGTTTGGGGAAATTACTAAATTTTTTAGTATCTTCCTTTTCTTTAATTATTTCTTCTTTTTCATAAATCCAATATTGAATATATAGAGATATTGGTATTTTACTTGTGGGCACAAGGAAATTGCAAAATAAAAATTCTACTTAGACAATTTTCTATAACAACATCATCTTTCAAATGATAAGAATAAATAAAGCAACACATAATAAGAATTCTTAGCATCTTCTGTTTATATGAATATGAAGAAATCTGCCTATTTTGGACTCCTATGTGAATGTGAACATTCACAAGCCCATGTTTGTATGTGTGCTGGGTTAGATGAGGATCAAGGAGATTTGGAATGCAAAGCAGACTAGCATTAATATGAACACAAGAAATTACTTACTAAAATTTCAGTGATACCATCATCTATTTACACAAAGGCAAATGCATAGTTTTGGTTGGTTTGATATTAATAATACAAAATAAAAATGAACATTGAAATGTCAGTGCTTGAAGTTTAAATCACTAAGGTCTTTTGGAGAGAGTTTAGTAGTGTTTTAAAATACACACACACCACACACACAAATACACACATATACACACCTAAATTGTGTTAGAAAATATTGTATATTAAAATGTAAATAGTGGACACTCTTCTATTGTAGTATACATACTACAATATGTATGTATACTTCTACATCTAATGTATACATACATTGTATATTCATTTTATACTCAATTTGCTAAATTAAGTAGAGTATACAAATTCATTATGTTTTAATTAGTGTAGCTTTTATAGTACATAGTTCAGTGAAAGCCACAAAATAAAGAGAAGTTTCAAAGTCCTTAGATTCCAGAAGTAAGTAGTTAAAAACCATGGGAATTTACTGAATAGCATCTAGCCATGATAATTCCTGATGAGCACACACAAATAATCAAGAATGACCATTAAATGTATGGATACCTTTAAAGCTAAACTCTGGGGAATGTATGCCTTCATAACTTACCAATATCCTCCATTGTTAACTGAGGTATGCTTAAGGACCTATGGCTGGCACTTACCAAAATAGAGAAATAGAAAAACAGAAGTGAAAGGTTTATGAACCATATACTTTTGCCATGTAAAGAATTATAGTCTATTTCATAGTTTTCACAGCCATTAACTAATTCTAGTGTTACTCTGATTAAATTCAGCAAATAATACTTAAGCACACCATGGTAATCTCTGTGAAGAAATGAAAACTAGTGGTTCTTGACTTCGAGATGTTTTCACTGTAAAGAAGGATGAGTTAGGCTATAATGGCAAAATCATACTACTTACCAACCATGAACGAATCTAGTATGGTGTATATAGATAGTTATATACATGCTTAGAGGTCGACTTTGTGTGGTTAACTTAGTATTACTTTTGAAAGAGCAAAATATGACATTATGGGTAGGTTAATAAAGCAGATATTTAGAATGACAATAAAGCAATATTTTAAGAATTTTTGGAGGAATAAATAAGAAAAAGAATGAATGACATAATTTTTCTAGTTTACTATCTTCATGAAGAGATAAAATATCTGTAGGAAGTGTCATGAACACAATTGATAAGTAATGTACTCCAAGAATACAATGAGAATGTACAAAAATAATCTGTAAAGCATTAAGACAGGTTGAGCAAGATTGTCATTTGAGTCCTGTGGAAAGAAAATCAGACTGGTATTTTTTTCTAAATGCTTTTCAAAATAACAATGGAAAAACAATTAAAAACTCCAAGCCTTGCTCAATGCCACATTATGCAGATAGAATAGGATACTCTCAATTTTCTTGAATTTATGCATGAAACAGTTTTTTATCTTTACATAGAAAACAATGACTTGTCTGTGCAATTTTTCTTGCTTTGATATTCTAAAACATGAATATTCTTTATTAATTAAAAAGGTGTCCATGGTTGCAGATGAGTTCCCTATAAAATATCTCTTGCTAACCAGTAACCAAGAAAACAGAATGCTTCATATGATTTTGAACGTGAACCTATCTCAGCAATCCTATTACAAAATCCAATTATGCTTGTCTCTGCCTTTATGTTTCTTTCGAATGTTTTTAACGTACTTTTTCATCTCCACCTCAGGCAGTCAGGGCTCCTTTTCATTTCGCCTTCCTCAAAAACTTCTATACTTGAACCTCACAAATCCTGGAATTTCAAAAACTAAAAGGTATTTCCCAATTAATTCATTAACAGAACATGTTGAAGGTATAACAACTTTTGCTTACTCTGAACAGAATGGAGGAGTTAATACATTTCTTCCATCTGAAAAGAAATTGTAAAGATCTAAACTTTCTTTGAATATCTACTTGCTCTCAAATAATTTGGTCAGTTGTCTTACTTTAACTTGAAAACTATATTCTTAACGTACGTACACAATTCTAAAAAAAGTTTTAGTCTCAGTTAGAAAAGTCATATGTAAATAATTAGAGACAGTAACTAATTATTAATGTCTTTTTAAAAAATGTTTATGTATATATAATTTCATCTGTTCTAAAAATAATTAGGCAAAGCAATCATGTTAGAAGACACTTCGCTCTGATAAACTGTTGAGATGTTAAAATCAGGAGAAATTGGTAGAATTACAGAAACTACAGTTTGGAAGTAACCTCAGAGGGCATCTCATTTAACTGGCTGCCTCATGGATTGATGCCTTCAGAAAGGTTTAGGAGTAGTGACTGTGCAGTTTCTGCTTCAGTACTTCCAGAGAAAGAACACTCACTCTTAATACAACCAGGCTTTTCAGTTTCTGGAGAGCACAGTTAGAAATCTCTTTCTATTCTTCAGATCAAGGTCTACTTTATAACTCAAACAGTAGAACTCCCATATATTTTTGTAAACAACTTTACATTTCATAGCTTAAAGTTGAAATAAAAATGTGCATCCGTGGCCCTAACTAGGATAAAGTAATATTCAAAACCAAGAGTGGCATCTGACATTGTTCACTTTTGAGACTGAGTTTTGTTTTTGTTTTTTTAAATCAGGCAATATGGTAATCTGTTAGCCTAAGAATATCTATACTTACATGTTCAAACTATAGAATAATTATTTCTTATAATGACTGCCTAGTAGACTAGAACAACTAGGGGGCATGTGGAAAGTTAAGAAAAATCATATTACTTGAGGAATATATGGCTATATTAGTGTGTGTGTTTGCATGTGTGTGTGTGTCTATATAAATGCTTGTAACTGTGTGGATGTGTCTGTGCAGATTTTATGTTGTCTATAGATGTGTCTGTGTGCATGATGAATAAGAAAGGAGTAGAAAGTAAAGATTTATTGTTAGCTCTGACTTCTTCCTTGCATATCATTTAAACTTAACAGCAAATAACACTGGAGAGAACACATTTGACTGTTATACCTGCATACTTGAATCATCTGTGTTCTTACTTGAATATGGGACAAATAGATATTTATAAACAGCTTCAGGTGAATTGTATATTATGTTGAATATGTATATTAGATAAAATCCAAAGATTTTTCTGATGTCATGTTGTGTGTTTGTTGGGATGTGTGGGGTTTTTGTGTGGGGGTGGATAACAATCATTTCTGTTTGGGGAGCCATGCAATTTGACCACATGTAGCCAAGTTAAAGATTGGGACTCCCAGCCCAAACTAAAAATTATGGGTTTTTTTGTATAGAAGAAGTAAAAGATTTTGCCTCCAAAATGTTAAGAGAAAATGAATAGATTTTGCAAGCACATACTATTACCTTCTGAATATCATATTTTGAATATTTTAAAAATTTGGAATTGAATTTTAAATATCATTTATACATTTGAAATCTATGTTTTCTAGATACCCAGAAGGTAAAACCAAAGGATTCATAAAAATATATTGGCAATTTTACTAATTAGAAGTTCTATACACAAATAAGTGAAACCAAAGATATGAGGCTTTTTAAAAATCATTATTATTATAAGAGCATAGATTTGGTTGTCTTTGTTCTATTTTCTGTGCTAAAATTGCCAGCCATCTTGAATATGGCATCTATTATATAATTTATATAATTTGAATATGCCAAATAGTAAATGGTCAATTTTATTTTATAAAAAAAAGCAATTATTGAATTTTATGTTTTCCATTGTCTAAATATATGCTATTGTTTGCCATACAAGTTTAGAAACGTTAAAAAGACAGTTATAAGAAATTAAATCTTTAAATAATTACAGGCTTTGGAGTTTTTTTCTTTCCTTTGTGTTCTTTTCTATAGCTTTTAAAGTTTCTTGGATAGAGGACCCCCTATTTACTTCTCTTGGCTTTGATATTTTTTGGACTCATTGCACTTAGAGCATACTCTCTGATACATTGCGGTTTACTTAAAAAAAATTCTAATCTGGTGCTCCACACCTTCCTATAACTAACTAGACATTTAGCCTTATAATTTACATAGGTTAAGATATAAATCTTGAAAAAGAATATGCAATAACATATCAGACAAAATAAGCATACTTAAAATACATAAAAGGACTCCTAAAAATTGTCTATTAAATGTCAGATAACTAATTGTTTTAAGTGCAAAAGAAATAAATGAACATGTCACAAAAGAAGATCTAAGAATGCCCAATTAACACATGAAAAGCTGTCTAACAGCTTCAGTCAATGGGAAAATGCAGATTAAAACCACAATAAGATATTGTTGTCCAAAGAACCTACAACATTTTACCCTCCCACCAGCAACGTATGAGATTCATATCTGTTTTACATCTTCACCAACATTTTGTATTGTCAGTACCCCCCAACATTCTTTTGGATGTGAAATAGTATTTTACTGCTGAATAATATTCTTACACATTTCTTTTCCTGTGAGAGTTTCTTATAAATATAAATTTACACTTATTCCGTGGTTAAGCAATCCCACCCCTAGGTGTTTTCTCAAGAGAAATAAAACAAACATATGTTCACAAAATGAATTTTACAAAGTATCATGATAGCCTAATTCCTAATAGCTAAAAGTAGAGTACTCCAAACTTCCATGAACAGCAAAATTTTTAAAAATTTACTTTTATTCTTATTTTTTTATTTTTAACTCAGCTTTTTATCCCAAGTCAAGAACTGCTAAACAAATTATGGCATAACAATGAAATGGAAAGCTACACAGTAGCAAAAAGGAAAAAAAAATAGGAATGCATGCAATATTATGGATAGATTTAAAAATTATTATGAGTAAAAGAAGCCACTTTCTAATGTTGCTGGCTATTAATTTTTACAAAGACATTTCTATCACTTTCTACATAGTTCTAAATATGTGCTATCCAGTATGTCCAATAGCTATATGTCAGCGGCTATTACCACCAACAAGGAGCTGTTAAGAACTTGAAATATGGCTTGTGTGATTAAGAAAGTAAATTTTAAATTGTATTTAACTTTAATTAAATAAATGTTAAGATTAAATAGCCACATGTGACTAGTGGGAACTATACTGGACAGCACAATTCTATATCTCGTTTAGAGTGGTAGTTAAATGGGTGTGTACAATTGCCAAAATTCATCAAGCTTAAATCTGAGTAGTTTATTAAATTTATATTATACCTAAAAAAGGCAAAAAAGTTGCAATGTTTATTTGTGAAAGTTTCCATTTAAAAACTAAAACAAGAACTCAAAATTAATGACATAGTTTTGAGGGCATATTCAAGAAGGTAAGAAGAATAAAGCTTCACGTATCCTTAGAATTCAAATAAAACCCGACAGATTAAAACATTAAAGGAGAATCTCAGACCTAACTCAGTTTCTGTCTTTCCAAACGTTACTTTATGTTTATTTCATAGGTGGAATGTTGTACAGTGTCATCTGTTGCTACCAGTGAGTGACATCTGTGATTAATCGCATTGCCTTAATTAAACAGCAATTGCCTGGATGTGATCACCTGCAGTGGCCAGCCTCCAATCAGATTAGCTCCCAAACTCCAGTTCTCTCATTGCAATTAACTTCACTTTTCACATAGGTCCCCAGAGAATTTCAATATGTCTGATGTCAAGAACGGAAAGTGAGACAGCCAGGTGGGAGGGGGTCCCTGGAGAATCTCCAACCAGCCTGCGCACTGGGAATGCGCACTGGAGTGAAAATACAGAAGTTGGTGCCCTTTGCAGCAGCCAGGAGTCCGACTCCTCCTCTTCCTGTGTGGAACCTGGAATTCAAACGGCTGGGTAGGAAGCACGCTAGCAGGGGCCTCTGGCCTTGCTGAGGGTCCCTGTTTCCCCTTTTCCTTCCTTTTCACCCAACAAAACCCTGCTTTACTCACCCTTCAAACCATCTATGAGCCTAAATTGTCGTGGTCGTGGAATGGACAAGGACCCAGTCTTTAGCTGAACTAAGGGAAAGTCCTGCTTTTTGGCGCGCAACAGGGGAGCTCAAGAAACAGTGAGTGAAATGGGGACTCAAAACCTCTCACTGTTGATCCTAAGCATTTTCATCCTCAGACTACTGAGGGTGGGGGAAACACGACCCCAAACTCCGTTGCTCCGTTGGGGGTCGTCGGGGGAAAGGCCTTTTCCTTCCTTTTTCAGGACAGACAGGAAAGCCGGGGCTCCTCACTCCCCCTCCCCTCTGTGCCCGGGACGGGATGCATGGCCCAAGGGTCCCACACAGCTGGCTAGATGGTTCTCAGACACAAGCCACCGCAGCCTTCCTTTTCCCCTGCCAGGGGGTTAAACTTTATCAGAGAGTAATTAAGCTTTAACCCTGCTGTTGAAATCACTTGCAGACGAATAAGAAGTTCTTCCCCAGGCATTTTTAAACCTTTTTTCACTCCCCTTTTCCACCTCCTCAACAAGTAAACCCTTAAAGTTTTTTTTTTGTTTGTTTGTTTGTTTTTTTTTAGAAGACACTTTACTAGGCCACTCCCTCTGCTCCCCAGCTATCACTGTATGCTCTGCAAAGTTTTGCTTGTGAAATAAATCCTCTATTTTGTTTTACATCCTGAGGCCATGGCTTATAACTCTGGCGGCAAGGATTTGTTTAGCAATCCTGCCTTAGGGGATGAGCCCTCTCTAATTCAATATCTGCATGTCCCCTGTCTCTTAAAGGGCCTCACTCACGGCATATGGAACTAACCACGCCCCTAACTAAGAAGGCACACCTTAGTTGCAGTTAGCACACAATTAAAGCAACTCTCCAAGTTTTACCTTAAAGTTCAAAATTGCTAGGAGTTGAAACTACTAGAAATATATTTACATGCAAGGTGAGTAAGAACAGTAAAATGTGTTTTTTAATAAAAGGTTATAAGAAGGCATGGAAATGTAAACTTTTGCCTAGGGTTAAAGGATTGTTTGAGTTAAATTAGGAAAAAGCTGAAGGTTCAAAGAAGTGGTGGGAGAACTGTGGAAATTAATCTTGCAGAAGAGATTCTATGTGAACATATTGACTAAATTCAGAAAAGGGTATTGTTTGGTTTTTCTGTAAATTGAAATAAAAGCATAACAAGATTTTCCTAAGGTGCTAATCTGCTCTTTGGCACATTTGTAAAGGGTTATAACAGGTTTTTGCTTCTTTAAAATTTCTGAGTCATGATTTTGGCAAAATAAATAACTTTTGGTAACCTGGAATTCTATTTCATAATATCAAGTTATTTAAACCTCAAACATTTAACAGCCTTCCCAAAATCAAACCTCAGTTTCAAAATTGTCTTCCCTGGCACCTGGCTTTTCAAATATGTCAGAGGGCCCCTGAAGTGTCCAGAGAAGAGAGGTAAACAGGATTATTTGACATGTTTAGGTACATGGGATTGCAAAAATTATGCTCAGTCTTCTTTAGGTTGTATCTGGGTGAATAATCCTAATACATGTTCCAAAATTGTATGAGATTTCTAGAATTCTAATGGCTGAATATATGCTATCAGTCATAATTAAGGTCGTTATGTTAAGTTATTGTAAACCACGGAGATAACCAAGCTTCTTTGTCAATCGTGTTTCTAACTGTAAGTACCCTGGACATTTTGCTATTCACAGACAGTTGTTGCCTTGTTTAATCCTTCTCAAAGATGGTTTATAATGAGCTATAGAACTTTAACAGGTGCTCTCAAACACAGGCTTCTGGTAACTTTGGAAATTGTAACATTAAAATAAAGAAAAATATACAGGACTCATAAGGAGCTGAAATGCTCACAAATATCAAACAAAACAAGAGTTAACTAAATGGACTGAACTCAGGAAACTGAAACCAGGCTGGGAGCGGTGGCTCACACTTGAAATCCCAGCACTTTGGGAGGCCAAGGCAGGTGGATCACCTGAGGTCAGGAGATCAAGACCAGCCTGACCAACATGGCAAAACCTTGTTTCTACTAAATTAAAAAAAAAAAAATTAGCCGGGCATGGTGGCACATGCCTGTAATCCAAGCTACTTGGGAGGCTAAGGCAGGAGAATCACTTGTACCCAGGAAGCAGAGGTTACAGTGAGCAAGATTGAGCCATTGCACTCCAGCCTGGGTGACAAGAGCGAAACTCCATCTCAAAAAAAAAAAAAAAAAAAAGAAAAGAAACTGAACAAATCTTTTTAACCTTTGCTTGGAATATTGCTGATCCGTGTTTTGTTTTTCAGAGTCAAAGAAACTTTGAACTATTTATGGCCTTTAATAATTAAGTAAGGTATACTCCTGTGATCAAGACTTGGAGCATATTTGTTTCTCTCTGCCTGGTTCCTCTAGAAATTGGAAACTATCAGTGAGTATTTTTATGACAATATAGTTGTTTGCATCAGTGCAGTAAGAGTCCATTTTCAATGGCGGAATTCTTTTCTCACTCTTTTCGTTGTTTAATAATTATTATAGCAATAATAATAATAATAAATACCAATTATTACATTAACTCTCTGCATGTCTATGTTCTTATTGCATTTTCTTATAAGAACACAAGACGTATTGGATTATGACCAACTCTAATGATCTTATTTTACCATTTTAAATATCCTATCTCCAAATACAGTCACATTCTGAAGCACTGGGAGTTAGGATTTCAACATAGGATTTTGAAGGGGCACAGTTCAGTCTGTAACAGTGGTTAAAAACCCAAGTTCAGAAACCAAATTTTCTTTGCACAAATTGCAGTTTTGCAGATTAGGAGATATGAGACTTTGGCAAACTTGCCAAGACCTTGGTGACACTCTTTATGTCTTCTTGTTCTCATCTTTAAAATGAGAGGTGAAAGAGGATTAAAAATTATTACATAAAAACAAAAGACTTAGGATGATGATGAAATGCTGGTAATATATGTTAGATATTAGTATTTTTTATCTCAATAAATTCAATTGCTGTAACTCTTGATTCCTCATCTTGCTACTGTGCAATTGCCCTCCTCTTCCCTCAGTGTCACCCATCAAAGGGTAGATAGTCTCATTACAATTCTTACTTCTATATTTCTTTTCTGATTGATCAGTTCCGCCTCTTTATTGACACTGGGATTTATATGCATTGACTTAAAAATGGAGAAACTACAAGCAGCATTAGAGGCTGTTTTTTAATTAATGAGTCTCTCCGCTTACACCATCAAACTGAAGATTAGCTGTTGATTTATGAGATACCCTCAGCTTGTATCTTGTGCCACATCCAGATCATTGCCAATTCATTTCCAGAAGGAGGATCAGTACCATTATCTGCTCAGTATCTCTCATTTCAAGCACCTCTCAGAGAGAGAACTGAAACATCTTTATCATTACCAGCAGTAAAGCTAAAGCAAAAAGCTATTCTCTGAAGCCTGCTGAGGGGATGAAATTTTTCAAAAAATACATCTCTGGGAGATGGGAGAAAACCTTTTCCACACCTTCCCTGAGAGAAGCAAAAGGGATGTGAGAAAGGGAGGCATTCTCTTCTGCCAGGGTAACATACTCCTCCTATAGTAATCCCACATCACTGAGGGCCCAAGTTCCCAATGCTTCTGCTCTTTATTTCATCTAGACAGCCATTCTTTCTTGCTTTTTTTTTGTTTTTTTTTGAAACGGAGTTTCACTCTTGTTGTCCAGGCTGGAGTGCAATGGCGTGAACTCTGCTCACCGCAACCTCCCAGGTTCAAGTGATTCTCCTGCCTCAGCCTCCTGATTACCTGGGATTACAGGTGGCTGCCACCACGCCTGGCTAATTTTTTGTATTTTTAGTAGAGATGGGGTTTCACCATGTTGGCCAGGCTGGTCTCGAACTCCTGATCTCAAGTGATCCACCTGCCTTGGCCTCCCAAAGTGCTGGGATTACAGGCATGAGTCACCATGCCTGGCCAGCAGCCATTATTCTTATACACACCCACAGACCTAGAGAAGTTAGTTTGAAGTTTCTGTCTGTGCCATATGCTACACTTGAGACCAGTCCCATTCTCCACTTTTCCCATGATGTGAGTGTCAAGTTTTATCCAAGCCTTCACTCCAAACTCATCCTCTGATGCATTATTAGTTCTTCCTTCTAGAGCCCTGTTTTCCTTTCTTTACCAAGGAACTCCTTCCTTTCTTGAACAAGTTAGTATCTGGTCCCATTCATCAGAGCTATTCTGATACTATTGAGTCTATATAGGGTAAGGGTTAAAGCTTGTATTCTTTAATTACCCAGGAAAGGTTGCATGCACTATCACAAGCAGCTGTCAGGTACAATACAGTATCTGGCATGGGTTGGGAGGTAGAGGGTAGGGGGTATTGTTGAAGACTTTGCTAAAAAAAAAAAAACTTAGGTTTTACTGAAGATGCAAATTTAGTCAGTAAAGGGAGGGATACAAAATTCTCTCCCCATCTGCTCTTGGTTCATATGTTACTAAGCTTGGAAAAATTAGATGATTTTTTTAACCAGTGGTTTCCCCCCATTTTGTATTCATCTGTCTTATAAACCAATGGTTTTATAGGGGCATATTTTTAACTGCATGGAAATAAGAATATGTATATAATGAGTTTGTTTTACATGCAAAGTTTAACAGAAGTCATAATATTAAGAAATACAAAAAATTTGGAAAGAATCTAATTAAATTAAGAAGAGAAAATAATAAAAAGTGAAACTATAGGACAACAAAAAAATAAATATGTGGTAGTTGAGACTTCAGGATTAATTAATTCATTTTCAATACTTTTTAACAAAATAATTGTTATATCTACTATTGATTTAGAATTTACTAGGAGCGAGGCATTTCTCTAAATTTGTTTATATTATTATAAATCTTTATAAGTATAATATAAAAATTACTATGTTTATTTTACTATATTTATTTTAAATAATTTATTTATAAATTCACTATATTTATTTTAAAGATAATGAAAGTGAGGAAGTCACAGAGCGATTAACTTTATCACACACAGCTAGTTAGTTGTAGAGCCATGGTATGAATCTGAATCTACAAAATTCCAATTCTCTAAATTTTTTTCTAAGTTGTTTTATGTTTAAGCTATAGTTCTTAGTAATATATTTATATTGTGTTAATTTTTAACACAGCAGTATACTATCTTTTTATGTGTTATTGTTAATAAAATTATATGGCCTTCAAAAAATGTTTAAATATTTTTCAAAGCTTTTTTATATATATACATATAATCATTAAATTTATTTGTGATTTATGTGGCACAAAGACAGGAAAGTATATATATGACAACAGGTAAAAGAATAACAAATCTAAAAATATAATAATGGCAAGAAATTAAACGAATTTCAGAGGATATCATTTTATATTTAAAAAATCAAGAATTAAAGTTTTACAGTATAGAAAAAGAAAGACATGTAATACAAAAGCTGATGAATAGGAAGATGGTTGATAGAAAAAATAAAAACGATGTTGAAAAATAAAAATAATGTCAGAAATAAAATACCATTGTAAATTAACAATTAGAGCAACACCAGTATTATCTTAACGTAATGAAATTGTATAATTTCGTAAAATGAAAAAAATTATAGTACCCAGTTTCAACAAAGGGAGAGGAGAGCAAGCTTGTTAACATTTGCAAAAGTACAGGAGGAAACAATAAATAGATAAAAATAGTCATATTAATGAATGATTATGGAGAGAAGATACCAGAAAGCCAACAAAGATATGATTGGTGTTCTTGATGTAGGAATCAGAAAAGGAAAAAAAGAAGCAACATTCATTCTTATTTCTTTCAGCCTTAGGAACAAGTTAATTTGAAAATGTAAAGATAACTATATAAAAAGATAAAGAAATACCAAAGTCAGTATAATACTAAGTAGGTCAACATTTAGATATATGTTGGCAATTTCAAGCAGAAAAAGAAAATGAAAAACCTATGTAAGAAAAATGAGGACAGATTCAGATGTATTGTACCACATAAAATGACAGAAGAAAATGAAATAATCTCTTAATTCGTTAAGAGAATTAAGGAGGAAACAATTGTGACAAAAGACATATTAGCCAGCAAAGATTTTTCACATATAAAGATAAAAAGCACATCAAAACAAGTATTTTTTAATGTTTAAGGCAATAATGCATGCATGAAGCAAAAAACGAGTGATCATAAAAACACATAACATTTAAATAATCTTTTGAGAAACATAACAATGTGCAATGGGATGCACATCAAGATAAACAATTCCAAAACAAGAAAGCCAAACACAGAAAGTGTCACAGTTGACGCTGAGACTGTTGAAACATAAAATAAAACTACTTTTTGCAAGAACAGCTAGAAAATACAACATATTAATAACTATTAATGAAGAATATGTGACATAAAAGGTAAAACAAAATTAAGAAGTGTCTAAAATCCTAGACTATTCCAAAAAAATGGTAAAGATGTTAAAGTTTCATATTTGAGATGAACTAATTTATTCATAATATACACGTACACAAACATATGTATGTGGAAGTCAATACTATTTCATGCTTTGAGCTTATAATTAGATAAATATGTAAAATATGTCATTGCTATTTTTGTTTTTAATAAAAATTTAACAAGTAGAATAATTAGAAAGAGAATGCATAGCTTAACAAAGAGTAGTGAAACAAACCAAAATTACAAAAACTCTAAAAAACAGGGGAGGGAGATATATTTCATCAAATAAAAGACAGGGAAAGAAAAAAACCAAAAGAAAGCAAAATATAGAAAAAAAAGAATTACAGTTCTGAATACTAAGTTCTTCATTAAGAGAAAGTGATCCTCAAATTTAATAAAAACCAAATATATTTATTTGAATTCTATAAGAAGTGCAATCAAAACCACATTATAAAATGGACACAAACATTTTAAGTATTATGATTTGTTAAAAACAATAGTGGCAAAATATAAAATAAATTTTTTTCGTCTTTTTTTACATGAAACATATAAAAAAAAGACATCTATACCTAATTCTTGATAATTAAGTAATCAAAAATAAGTATTCTGAAATCAAATATTATAATTTTAATGTTGTATTGATTTAATTAAGATGTGTCTTAATTGATATAATATAATGTATTGATTTAATTAAGATGTGTCTAAATCCATAATAGGAAAATAAAAATCTTAAATTTTCCCCTCCAAAGTTATACCATATATTGTATTACTAGGTCATTTATTAGGGCAAAACTTTCTTGTATATATATATTATTATCAGTTATTCTGTGGTATAGAAATATATACCTCTAGATATTTAACCAAAATTTTAAACAATAAAAGAATTCTTGAAAAATTAACCTTTAAGCCATTTATTCTAAATAAATTGAATTTTTGAGCAAAGACATATGTAAAATGAGTACTGCTATATTATTTTTAGTATAGAAACATGACATGCCCTATGCTGTAAAATTGCTTAATAATAACCTACTATAGATAGAAGAATTGCCATGGCATATCTATACCTTATTATATTGTACATGTTATATACACATTTAAATATAAATGTTTTCTAAAATAAGATTATATTTAAGTTTACTAAGTATAAATATTTATTTACTTTGGAGATACGTAAGGTTTCAACTGATTATTTTAACTGCCTTTTGGGGGCTTTTAACATTCCATCATTCTTAGAGAAAAGTTCTTTCTGATGGCAGTCTCTAAGGTAATGTAATATAAATAAAAATTATTTGTAGAATGCAACAACAGAAACATTTCTTAAAGAGTTTTCTTAAATACTAGACCTCGTTTTGCTTATATTATCTGTATAAGTTCTTCAGAACTTTCAGATCTCAAGTAAATTAAGTGCTGAAGTCAAATAAAACTGGCTCCATAATGATAACACTCAGATATCAAGTACAGATTGCCTGCCCCCAAAGTCTGTGTTTTACATATTTAACCATGAATTTGAAATTGTTATTATCAAAAGGTTTATTTTAATAGCTATCTCTGCCTATTTGTATTTTCTCTATTTACATATCTTTATTTTTAATTGACAAATACAATTTATATATATTTATGGGGTACAACATATACCTTAATAGATGTATATGTTGTGAAATGGCTAAATCAAGCTATTTAATGTATACATTATGTCATATATTTTTGTGGTATGAACACTTGACATCTACACTTTCAGCAATTTCCAAGAATACAATATATTGTTATTAACTGCAGTCACCATGAAGTACAATACATCACTTGAACTTGTTCCTCCTGTCTAACTGAAATGTGTCCTCTAAGCAACATCTCCCCAGTTCTTCCAGCCCCCAGCCTTTGGCAACAAGCATTTTACTCTCTGTTTCTATGAGTTTTATGTTTTTAGATTCCACTTAAACCTCTTCCATTAAAGAGATAATATAATATTTGGCTTTCTGTGCCTAGCTTATGTTTAAAAAATATCTTGAGTTTTTAAATTTGATTTAAACAAGTATTAAGCATACTCCCAACATTCTGATAATTCCTTCACCTTCTTTTAAAGTTGAATTTTCATGCTCTATGGAATAGTTACTTTGTGACTGTCTATTCCCACTCTTTTCTCTCTAGTTTTATATACCTTTTCCTATGTTGTCTATGACCTACTTAAGAAAACAAATGATTCCATTGTACTACTAGGTTCGTAAAGTGTTTTAGTCATTTAAAGAAGCTTTTAGTGAATACCTACTATATGTCACATATACTGAAGGTGCAAAAATAGGTCAAACATGGATTTGCTCTTAAGGAAATCACATATATGTCATCATTTATATTTAACATTCCTGTTTTAAATTGCAAATCATTGCCAGTAGGTCTATAACAGAAGTCCAGGCATCCAGCTGTGGTAGCATAGAAATAGAGGAATTAATAACTCCTTTGGACAAAATCAGCAAGAAATTCAGGTAAAGCTGCACTAAGAAAACATCTAATAAAAATTTTAAAGAACATTTTAGATCTAACAAATGGCCATGTGGAAAGATAAAAGTGTACAGAAAAGAGGGAGAGAAGAGAGAACTAATATTTATTTAAGGCCTATGATGTGTAAGACACTATGCTAAGTGCTTTACATGGGTTATTATCTGACAATAGGTAAGTAGTTTGACTTTTATTGTTTTAAGCAGGGGAGTGATATTATCCAATACGTATTTTATAAGGATTAGTCTTGATGTTGTAATGTAGAGGGTAAGTATGCAACCAGGAAAACCAGTTACAGGCTATCACATATTTCAGGGGAGAGATGATGACAGCCTGAACAAGGATGACAATAATGGAAACAGAGACAAAAGGACAGAGGTGGTATGTGTGCACATATTACATTTGCATATTTAATGTAAAGTAGAAAGAACTTGATGATGGATTTATTGTAGTAAGAATTAGGAAAAGGCATAAATCAAGGCTGCATCTTAGTATTTGTTTTTGCAACTGTGGGTATATTACTAATTACCGAGAGGAGAAGCACAAAAGAATTAAACAATCTGAGGGGACACAATGGACAGGGGAGAATGAGAAGACAGGAGACATTAATAGCTCTATTTTGGACATGTTTAGTTTGAGATGACTATTTGGGTATCTGTGTAAGATGAAAAGGAAGCTGTAGACAAGTAAAGGACTTGGAATACTTCGGGAGAGAATTTAGAACTGGCAAGAGATAGCATAGAAGAAGGCAAAAGTTGGGCCAGGTGAAGTGGCTCATGCTTATAATCCCAGCACTTTGGGAGGCCAAGGCAGGAGGATTGCTTGAGCCCAGGAGTTTGTGACCAGCCACAGCAACCTAGCAAGACCCCCACTGCTACATTTTTGTTTTAAATTAGCCAGGTGGGGTGCTACATGCCTTTGGTTCCAGCTGCGTGGGAGGCTGAGGAGGTAGAATTGCTTGAGCCCAGGAGGTTGAGGCTGCGGTGAGCCATTGTTGTGTTGTTGCACTCTAGCCTGGGCAACAGCTAGATCCTGCCTCAAAAAAAAATAAAAGATAAAAGAAGACAAAAATCAAGGGAGTGATGTATCACAAGAGGACAGTGTTTAAAGAGAAAATGATCAAGAATGTTGTTTACTGCTGAGTGAATGGGAACAACATAATAGGAGCCATAACTATTCCTGTGCAAATCTGTCCCATCTTTACGGGGTGGTTTCCTAATTTCAGTCTTCGATACATGATGCAGAATGAAGGCAACAGATATTCCAGACAGCTGTTTTAAGTTCTGTGCTCTTTCCACACTTAATCACTATACCTTTTCAGCATTTTATTCTGGGCTTTGAAATTGTTAGATTTTCTGGACTTTGAAAATGTTGGATTTTTGGTGTTGAGATGAAATATTAAATGTGCTTGTATTATCTAAACTTATTGCCAGAAAGCAATTTGCTCAGGTGAACATTCTGCATTATCACAGTATACATGAATAGGTGAATGAATAAAAGAATGAAGGAATGGATAAATAAATGAATTTTGAATAAAATTCAAAAGGCTTAAATGCTTCATATGTAAAATCAATAGTAGCAGGAGACAGACAAATCCTAGGCAGACAGGGGCAGGTCCCCAGTGAAACCCAACCTTCAAGCTGAAGACAATTTGAAGCCTGGCTACAAGTCCCGGATAAGTCCACGGACTGGATTGAGAACCTCTCTTCCCATTTGGTGCACTTTCCTCTGATTGATCTCCATCCTTCACCTATTTTACAAATACCCACTCTTCTCTAATTGGTTTTTTACACTGTCATGCCCACCTTTAAGAGGTGCCTTTCTTTTAACCTTTTTTGGCATACTCACAAACTATTCAGCATGCACTCCCCCATTCTGAGTCCATAAAAGCCCCAGATTCAGCCACATGTTGGGACTACCTGCATTTGGGTGGTGGGAGGACTACCTGCCTTTGGGTGATGGACCACCCCATTTCGAGTCCCCTCTATGCTGAGAGCTGTTCTGTCCCTCAATAAAACTCTTCTCTGTACTTGTCACCCTTCAGTTGTCAGCATAACCTCATTCTTCTTGGACACGGGACAAGAATTCAGGATGCACCAAATGCAGGTATAAGAAAGAATGTAACACTGTGGCCCTTTGCCCTCCATTAGCGCTGGGCAGCCATCCCACACAACAAGAAGCAGCAGTGGGGCTGGGTCAGCCCCAGAGCCATGGGCCTGAGCGAGGCAGAAGAACTGAACAATCTGTAACACAGCTGGGCAAGGGTACACCTGGCCTAGCTGCAGGCTGAGCACGGGATCTGGCTGGGGTGCATGCCAAGTGCAGCCCACATGGCTGAATGGTCCAGGTACCTCCACCCAGGAGCCCAGGACCAAGCAGAGCCCAGGTGGGGGTGTTGCCAGCTGCAGAGGTCTCTGGCTGGCAAAGCAGCACTAAAAAAAATCATATGTCAAAATAATTTAATGCTTAAACTGTTACTATGATATTCTTAGTTTTTGTATAAAGAAGAATGGAATATAGAAGGTTAGAGGTTCACCTCCACAGAAATAGTAAGCTGAAGAAGCAGAATTTAAGCTCAGATTTTCTAACTTGAAATGTTGTAATACACTGTAACTATCTCAACAGTAGCAAACAAAGCCACAAATTTATGAAAATTCTGCTGCTATTTCAATAAGTTTAAAAATAAATGTTTTGACAATTTAAAAATGAATTAAGTTAAAGCTATTGTTAAATAAAACGTAAATGGAAGACACAACTTCACATTTAAAGAGTGAAACAACAATATTTGTAAACTGAAACAAGGTAAAACCTATATAAAAAAATGCTTACAAAATTTCCAGAAGAGACTTACTGGCATTGTAGAGATAGATATAAATTTCTGAATAAAATTCTTTGCAGTTATTTTATTAACCCTTCTATTAGTAACATTTCTAATAAATAATTTTGTTGTGGGAAGTCAGGGACCCCAAACAGAGGGACCCGCTGGAGCTGCAGCAGAGGAACATAAATTGTGAAGATTTCATTTTAATATGGACATATATCAGTTCCCAAAATTAATACTTTTATAATTTCGTATGCTTTTCTTACTTTAATCTCTTAATCCTGCTATCTTCGTAAGCTGAGGATGTACATCACCTCAGGTCCACTGTGATGATGGCGTTAACTGTACAAATTGATTGTAAAACGTGTGTTTGAACAATACAAAATCAGTGCACCTTGAAAAAGAACAGAATAACAGCAATTTTTAGGGAACAAGGGAAGACAGCCATAAGGTCTTACTGCCTGCGGGGTCAGGCAGAATACAGCCATATTTTTCTTCTTGCAGAGAGCCTATAAATGGACGTGCAAGTAGGAGAGATATCGCTAAATTCTTTTCCTAGCAAGGAATATTAATAATTAAGACCCTGGGAAAGGAATGCATTCCTGGGGGGAGGTCTATAAACCACCACTCTGGAAGTGTCTGTCTTATGTGGTTGAGATAGGGACTCAAATACGCCCTGGTCTCCTGCAGTACCCTCAGGCTTATTAGGGTTTGGAAGAAACCCCACCCTGGTGAATTTGAGGTCAGACTGGTTCTCTGCTCTTGAACCCTGTTTTCTGTTGTTTAAGATGTTTATCAAGACAATATGTGCACAGCTGAACATAGACCCTTATCAGGAGTTTTTGACTTTGCCATTTGCCTTGTGATCTTTATTGGCCTCAGAAGCATGTGATCTTTGTTCTCCTTTTTACCCTTTGAGGCATGTGATCTTTGTGACCTACTCCCTGTTAGTACAGCCCCTCCCCTTTTTTAGTCCTTAATAAAAACCTGCTGGTTTTGCAGCTCAGGTGGGCATCATGATCCTACCAATATGCGATGTCACCCCAGGAGGCCCAGCTGTAAAATTCCTCTCTTTGTACTCTTTCTCTTTATTTCTCAGACCGGCCGACACTTAGGGATAATAGAAAGAACCTATGTTGAAATATTGGGGATGGGTTCTCACGATATAATTTGTTAATATTTAGTGAAAAAAGTTTTGTGGAAAGATACACCTGAGAAAATGCTGCAGAGAGAGGAAGTATTTATGAACTGGTACTTTAAGGATCTAATAGAAAAAATAGAGAAAAGATTAGGAACTTCAGCAAACACGTCAGCAGTGTATTTGACTATTTCACAGTATAGTTCAGCTTTGTCAGAGTTTATGGAAAAAGATAACAAATGCAAAAGTCAAGTCATGAAAAATAAAGTTTTGCTGCCTCCACAATGCTCCCCTAAAAGCTGCAGACTTGTTTAGAATAAGTTGATTATAAAGGACAGATATCAACTTGGCATGCAGAATTTTAGGATATTTTAATGAACACTAAATATTTACCAGCACCAAGGAATTAGTAAAGATAGTGAGATAACACAAATCCAAAGAAAGGAATAGTCTATGCTAAAAATAACATAAATTTAGCATTATAATGTATTCATTGATTCCTTACAAATTCAGTTTCCTCATATTACAGTAACAACCATATTCCATAATAATCCGATAATATTGCAATTATTTTATTAACCTTTCTATTGGTAACATTTCTAATAAATAAATAATAGTATTATCCCATAATAATCAGGACCATTAGTCGGGGAGAAAAAAAGTATGCTTTTCTTCAGTGGCCATCAGGGGCATGTATCTTCCTCTTGAAAACTCTTTATACATTGGGAAATGTGGCCAATGCTTCTATAAAACAACTCTGAGAGCTTCAACTGCTTTGCTCACCTTGGAGTCAAGGATACAACTTAAGCCTACTCATAATTCCCAATGTCAAGAATCTACATGCTACGTTCAGTCAACATAGCTAAATATAACCTAAGCTGCTCTATTAGGCTTTGGTTCTCTTGGTTGTAGCCTGTACCCAAAATGATAGTGCTCTGATATTAAACTGAATCTTTCACAATTTTAAACACACATGCACACACACACGTGTGCATGCACATCTCAATCTTGTGCTTAATTCATTTGTATTGAACTAAATATTATTTGTCATATCACAGCATTTTACTTTTTATTTTGTTTCAAACCCTTTTTTTTGCAACTCAAAAATAAAACAAATTTATTGACTAATTTTATACATATTTGTTTAGTGATCACCTTTTGGGGGTCCGAAAATATCCTGAGATTTTACCTTCTTATTCTTTTAAAATAAATAGTGCTTACTCTAAAAAAATGTGAAGACTAAATTTTTCTTCTCTGAAATATATGCTTATTCTTGTTTATGTAGTCTTGGACAGTTGGAAATCAATGCTTCTATTACAAAATATAGGAAATGAAAAGGAGAAGTTGTAGGAAAGAGATTAATCATGTCTTAGATATGCTAAATAAATAAGTATATACAAGGGATATAAAGTAAATGTTGTCTTGTTGGTGGTTACAGATGTAGGGCTGGAAATTGGGAGATATTTAAAGGCTTTTGGTATACAAGTGAGTTACAAACATGTATGTAGTAGTTGAAATGGGTTTACTGAGAAAAAATGAGCCACTGATAATATATTGAAGACTTTTTATTTTTGTGGAATGAAAGTATGTAAACATCTAGAGAAACAGGAAGGCTTTGAGATTTTGAAAACAAAGTAAGACACTAAGGGGCAAAGAATAAGAAATAGCAAGTAGTCCACACCTTAAAATATTAATATAGTAAAAGAGGAAAGTAGTTATTATCCATGAGTAGCGTAGCATTTATTATGTGCCTAGTATGAGGCATACACTATTCTAACCTCTGGGAGTATGAAAAAGTTTAATTTTTGGCCTTTTACCTTCATGAATTTAAAGATTAAGAGAAAAAAACAGACCACATACCGTAACTATAATACAATTTGGTGAGAGCTTAAATAGAAGCTGCTTTACAGGTGCATTTGGAAAAGAACTATGACAGAGACCAGCCTTTCTTTTTCCAGGAACAGAGACCAACTCCGTTTCCCGATCCCTTTGCAATCTGCATTGAACCATGAGTCAAGTTCTTGATAAAGGAGTGAAAATGGTAAGTCTAAAGCAATGAAAAGCTGCTGTATTGACTACACATGCCTTCATTTCTTCTACCCTGCTTCTTTCATGCCTGCTTATCTGAATGACACCAGGATGACATTTAAGGCACATCTGAAGATGGGGAAACCACAGCACAGAATAAGGCTGGGCCCTTGAATCAATAAATGAAGGAGAACTACTCAAGAGAACAAAACCACCAGCAATATCCACCTGTATTTGTCTTTTCATAAGTGAGTAAAAAAGTATTAATACATCATTGGGATTCAAGATTTCAGTTGTTAATGATAGCACAGCATAGCTCATCCTAGATGAGATTTTAATGTTGGAAAAAGGTTACTGGATCTGGAGAGTATTGGATCAGAAAGCATTGAGTGAATAGTTTTCATAGGTTTTAAAGAATATATTTGTTTAGATTGTTCAATATATGCATTTCTATAAATGTGTATTAGGGATGTCAATGTGGTTAAAGTAGAAAAATACTTTTAAAATCCTGCTGTGGAACAAAGAAGGGAGATAACTTGGAAAATTGGTGGGGAACAGGGAAATTCAAAAGGAATGGCAGAAGCATGGGCATACAGGGAATGTAATATGGTCATTTTTATAGTTGAGGGGAAAGCAGTATCATATAGCAGGTGTTCTATGTCTCTTTGCTGAATACATGAAAATAAGTAAAATCAATAAAAGGAAATGGATTTATATCAAGTACTACGATCCAAGTGGTGAAATCAATTAAGATGAAAGTAAGCTATGATTGAAAAGACAGCAATAAACAAGATGAAGAATGGCATTGAATTGCCTAAAAAGATTCTGAGAGAACTTTTCTAGGAAAAATGACAAAAAGGAAGTTGTTAGTACATGTTCGCAGAATAAAGGTCTGGACTAGAAGCATCAGTAAAAAAGCAAAGAACATGTTGGTCTTCTCTTTCATTCCTGTGAACATTAAAGAAAAGTAAAAAAAAAATAAACTTTTTCTGGGTTGATCCCAAGAAAAAATAATGTTATCAAGATATGATGAATGATATGGTTTGGCTGTATCCGCACCCAAATGTCATCTTGAACTGTAGCTCCTGTAATTCCCATGTGTCATGAGAGGGACTCAGTGAGAGGTTATTGAATCATGGGGCAGGTCTTTCCTGTGGTGTTCTTGCGATAGTGAATATGTCTCGAGAGACCTGATGGTTTTATAAAGGGGAGTTCCCCTTCACATGCTCTCTTGCCTTCCGCCATTAAGATGTGACTTTGCTCCTCATTCGCCTTCTGCCATGATTTTGAGGACTCCCCCACCATGTGGAACTGTGAGTCAATGAATCTCCTTCCTGTATAAATTACCCAGTCTCTTGTATGTCTTTATTAAAAGCATGAGAACAGACTAATACAGTCAATTTTGACACATGTGAAAAGATAAAAAGAGTTTTATGTATAAAAATGAAATATGGTGGAATGATGGGTTTATGGTGGAATTTGCAAAGAGTATGGTGGCAGTTGACAAACTGCACTGAGTTAGATAGGGATAGTGATATAAGAAAGTATAGCATATAATTTTTTTTAATTATACTTGAAGTTCTAGGGTACATGTGCACAATGTGCAGGTTTGTTACATATGTATACATGTGGCATGTTGGTATGCTGCGCCGATTAACTTGTCATTTACATTAGGTATATCTCCTAATGCTATTCATCCCCCCTCCCCCGACCCCATGACAGCACCCGGTGTGTGGTGTTCCCCAACCTGTATCCAAGTGTTCTCATTGTTCAATTCCCACCACATGTGAGAACATGCTGTGTTTGGTTTTCTGCCATTGTGATAGTTTGCTCAGAATGATGGTTTCCAGCTTCATCCATGTCCCTACAAAGGGCGTGAACTCATTCTTTTTTATGGCTGCATAGTATTCTGTGGTGTATATGTGCCACATTTTCTTAATCCAGTCTATCATTGATCGACATTTGGGTTGGTTCCAAGTCTTTGCTATTGTGAATAGTGCCGCAATAAACATACATGTGCATGTGTCTTTATAGCAGCATTATTTATAACCCTTTGGGTATATACCCAGTTATGCATTGGCTGGGTCAAATGGTATTTCTAGTTCTAGATCCTTGAGGAATCACCACACTGTCTTCCACAATGGTTGAACTTGTTTACACTCCCACCAACAGTGTAAAAGCGTTCCTATTTCTCCACATCCTCTCCAGCACCTGTTGTTTCCTGACTTTTTAATGATCACCATTCTAACTGGTGTGAGATGGTATCTCATTGTGGTTTTGATTTGCATTTCTCTGATGGCCAGTGATGATGAGCATTTTTTCATGTGTCTTTTGGCTGCATAAATGTCTTCTTTTGAGAAGTGTCTGTTCATATCCTTTGCCCACTTGTTGATGGGGTTGTTTGATTTTTTTCTTGTAAATTTGTTTAAATTCTTTGTAGATTCTGGATATTAGCCCTTTGTCAGATGGGTAGATTGTGAAAATTTTCTCCCATTCTGTAGGTTGCCTGTTCACTCTGATGGTAGTTTCTTTTGCTGTGCAGAAGCTCTTTAGTTTAATTAGATCCCATTTGTCAATTTTGGCTTTTGTTGCCATTGCTTTTGGTGTTTTAGACATGAAGTCCTTGCCCATGCCTATGTCCTGAATGGTATTGCCTAGGTTTCCTTCCAGGGTTTTTATGGTTTTAGGTCTGACATTTAAGTATTTAATCCATCTTGAATTAATTTTTGTATAAGATGTAAGGAAGGGATCCAGTTTCAGCTTTCTACATATGGCTAGCCAGTTTTCCCAGCACCATTGATTAAATAGGGAATCCTTTCCCCACTTCTTGTTTTTTGGCAGGATTGTCAAAGATCAGATGGTTGTAGATGTGTGGTATTATTTCTGAGGCCTCTGTTCTGTTCCATTGGTCTATATCTCTGTTTTGGTACCAGTACCATGCTGTTTTGGTTACTGTAGCCTTGTAGTATAGTTTGAATTCAGGTAGCGTGATGCTCCAGCTTTGTTCTTTTGGCTTAGCATTGTCTGGGCAATGAGGGCTCTTTTTTGGTTCCATATAAACTTTAAATTAGTTTTTTCCAATTCTGTGAAGAAAGTCATTGGTAGCTTGATGGGGATGGCATTGAATCTATAAACTACTTTGGGCAGTATGGCCATTTTCACAATATTGATTCTTCCTATCCATAAGCATGGAATGTTCTTCCATTTGTTTGTGTCCTCTTTTATTTCCTTGAGCAGTGGTTTGTAATTCTCCTTAAAGAGGTCCTTCACATCCCTTGTTAGTTGGATTCCTAGGTATTTTATTCTCTTTGAAGCAGTTGTGAATGGGAATTCACTCATGATTTGGCTGTTTGTCTGTTATTGGTGTGTAGGAATGCTTGTGATTTTTGCACATTGATTTTGTATCCTGAGACTTTGCTGAAGTTGCTTACCAGCTTAAGGAGATTTTGGGCTGAGACGATGGGTTTTCTAGGTATACAATCATGTCATCTGCAAACAGGGACAATCTGACTTCCTCTTTTCCTAACTGAATACCCTTTATTTCTTTCTCCTGCCTGATTGCCCTGGCCAGAACTTCCAACACTATGTTTAATAGTAGTGGTGAGAGAGGGCATCCCTGTCTTGTGCCAGTTTTCAAAGGGAATGCTTCCAGTTTTTGCCCATTCAGTGTGATATTGGCTGTGGGTTCGTCATAAATAGCTCTTATTATTTTGAGATACATCCCATCAATACCTAATTTATTCAGAGTTTTTAGCATGAAGGGCTGTTGAATTTTGTCGAAGGCATCTTTTCAGCATCTGTTGAGATAGTCATGTCGTTTTTGTCATTGGTTCTGTTTATATGCTGGATTATGTTTATTGATTTGCATATGTTGCACAGCCTTGCATCCCAGGGATGAAGCCCACTTGGTCATGGTGGATAAGCTTTTTGATGTGCTGCTGGATTCGGTTTGCCTGTATTTTATTGAGGATTTGTGTATTGATATTCATCAGGAATATTGGTCTAAAATTCCCTTTTTTGTTGTGTCTCTGCCAGGCTTTGGTATCAGGATGATGCTGGCCTCATAAAATGAGTCAGGGAAGATTTGCTATTTTTCTATTGAATGGAATAGTTTCAGAAGGAATGGTACCAGCTCCTCTTTGTACCTCTGGTAGAATTTGGCTGTGAATCCATCTGGTCCTGGACTTTTTTTGGTTGGGAGGCTCTTAATTATTGCCTCTATTTCAGAGCCTGTTATTGGTCTACTCAGGGATTCAACTTCTTCCTGGTTTAGTCTTGGGAGGGTGTATGTGTCCAGGAATTTATCCATTTTTTCTAGATTTTCTAGTTTATTTGCATAGAGGTGTTTATAGTATTCTCTGTTGGTAGTTTGTGTCTCTGTGGGATTGGTAGTGATATCCCCTTTATCTTTTTTTTTATTGTTTCTATTTGATTCTTCTCTCTTTTCTTATTAGTTTTGCTAGTGGTCTATCAATTTTGTTGATCTTTTCAAAAAACCAGCTCCTGGATTCATTGATTCTTTGAAGGGTTTTTTTGTCTCTATCTCTCAGTTCTGCTCTGATCTTAGTTATTTCTTGCCTTCTGCTAGCTTTTGAATGTGTTTGCTCTTTCTTCTCTAGTTCTTTTAATTGTGATGTTAAAGTGTCAATTTTAGATCTTTCCTGCTTTCTCTTGTGGGCATTTAGTGCTATAAATTTCCCTCTACACACTTCTTTGAATGTGTCCCAGAGATTCTGGTATGTTCTGTCTTTGTTCTCATTGGTTTCAAAGAACATTCTTATTTCTGCCTTTATTTCGTTATATAGTCATTTAGGAGCAGGTTGTTCAGTTTCCATGTAGTTGAGCAGTTTTGAGTGAGTTTCCTAATCCTGAGTTCCAGTTTGATTGCACTGTGGTCTGAGAGACAGTTTGTTATAATTTCTGTTCTTTTACATTTGCTGAGGAGTGCTTTACTTCCAACTATGTGGTCAATTTTGGAATAAGGGCGATGTGGTACTGAGAAGAATGTATATTCTGTTGATTTGGGGTGGAGAGTTCTGAAGATGTCTATTTGGTCCGCTTGATGCAGAGCTGAGTTCAATTCCTGGATATCCTTGCTAACTTTCTGTCTCGTGGATCTGTCTTATGTTGACAGTGTGGTGTTAAAGTCTCCCATTATTATTGTGTGGGAGTCTAAGTCTCTTTGTAGGTCTCTAAGGACTTGCTTTATGAATCTGGGTGCTCCTGTATTGGATGCGTATATATTTAGGATAGTTAGCTCTTCTTGTTGAATTGATCCCTTTACCATTATGTAATGGCCTTCTTTGTCTCTTCTGATCTTTGTTGGTTTAAAGTCTGTTTTATCAGAGACTAGAATTGCAATCCCTACTTTTTTTTATTTTCCATTTGCTTGGTAGATCTTTCTCCATCCCTTTATTTTGAGCCTATGTGTGTCTCTGCACGTGAGATGGGTCTCCTTAATACAGCACATTGGTGGGTCTTGACTCTATCCAATTTGCCAGTCTGTCTTTTAATTGGAGCATTTAGCCCATTTACATTTAAGGTTAATATTGTTATGTGTGAATTTGATCCTGTCATTATGATGTTAGCTGGTTATTTTGCTTGTTAGTTGATGCCGTTTCTTCTTAGCCTCAATGGTCTTTACAATTTGGCATGCTTTTGCAGTGGCTGGTACCGGTTGTTCTTTTCCATGTTTAGTGCTTCCTTCAGGAGCTCTTGTAAGGCAGGCCTGGTGGTGACAAAATCTCTCAGCATTTGCTTGTTTGTAAAAGATTTTATTTCTCCTTCACTTATGAAGCTTAGTTTGGCTGGATATGAAATTCCAGATTGAAAATTCTTTTCTTTAAGAATGTTGAATATTGGCCCCCACTCTCTTCTGGCTTGTAGAGTTTCTGCTGAGATATCAGCTGTTAGTCTGATGGGCTTCCCTATGTGGGTAACCTGACCTTTCTCTCTGGCTGCCCTTACCATTTTTTCCTTCATTTCAACTTTGGTGAATCTGACAATTACATGTCTTGGAGTTGCTCTTTTTGAGGAGTATCTTTGTGGTGTTCTCTGTATTTCCTGAATTTGAATGTTGTTCTGCCTTGCTAGGTTGGGGAAGTTTTCCTGGATAATATCCTGAAGAGTGTTTTCCAACTTAGTTCCATTCTGCCTGTCACTTTCAGGTACACCAATAAGATGTAGATTTGGTCTTTTCACATATTCCCATATTTCTTGGAGGTTTTGTTCCTCTCCTTTTACTCTTTTTTTCTCTAAACTTCTCTTCTTGCTTCATTTCATTTATTTGATCTTCAATCACTGATATCCTTTCTTCCAGTTGATCGAATCGGCTACTGAGGCTTGGGCATACATCACGTAGTTCTTGCGCCATGGTTTTCAGCTCCATCAGGTCATTTAAGGTCTTCTCTACGCTGTTTATTCTAGTTAGCCATTTGTCCAATCTTTTTTCAAGATTTTTAGCTTCTTTGTGATGGGCTCGAACATCCTCCTGTAGCTCAGAGAAGTTTGTTATTACCAATCTTTTGAAGCCTTCTTCTCTCAACTTGTCAAAGTCATTCTCTGTCCAGCTTTGTTCCATTGCTGGTGAGAAGCTGCATTCCTCTGGAGGAGAAGAGGTGCTCTGATTTTAGAATTTTCAGCTTTTCTGCTCTGATTTCTCCCCATGTTTGTGGTTTTATCTACATTTGGTCTTTGATGAAGGTGACGTACAGATGGGGTTTTGGTGTGGATGTCCTTTCTGTTTGTTAGTTTTCCTTCTAACCATCAGGACCCTCAGCTGCAGGTCTGTTGGAGTTTGCTGGAGGTCCACTCCAGACCCTGTTTGCCTGGGTCTCACCAGCGGAGGCTGCAGAACCACAAATATTGTGGAACGGCAAATGCTGCTGCCTGATCGTTCCTCTGGAAGCTTTGTCTCAGAGGGGCGCCCGGTCATATAAGGTGTCAGTTGGCCCCTACTGGGAAGTGCCTCCCAGTTAGGCTACTCGGAGGTCAGGGACCCATTTGAGGAGGCAGTCTGTCCATTCTCAGATCTCAGACTCCATGTTGGGACAACCACTATGCTCATCAAAGCTGTCAGACAGGGACGTTTAACTCTGCAGAAGTTTCTGCTGCCTTTTGTTCGGCTATGCCCTGCCCCCAGAGGTGGAGTCTACAAAGGCAGGCAGGCCTCCCTGAGCTGTGGTGGGTTCCACCTTGTTCGAGCTTCCTGGCCGCTTTGTTTACGTACTCAAGCCTCAGCAATGGCGGGCACCCCACCCCCAGCCTCCCTGCTGCCTTGCAGTTAGTTCTCAGACTGCTCTGCTAGCAGTGAGCAAGGCTCCATGGGTCTGGGACCCTCCGAGCCAGGCGTATGATATAAACTCCTGGTGTGCTGTTTGCTAAGACTGTTGGAAAAGCACAGTATTATGGTGGGAGTGACCCAATTTTCCAGGTGCCATCTGTTATGGCTTCCCTTGGCTAGGAAAAGGAATTCCCAGACCCCTTGTGCTTCCTGGATGAGGCGATGCCTCTCCCTGCTTCGGCTCATGGTCTGTGGGCTGCACACACTGTCCTGCACCCACTGTCCAACAAGCCCCAGTGAGATGAACTTGGTACTTCAGTTGGAAATGCAGAAATCACCTGTCTTCTGCGTTGTTCATGCTGGGAGCTGTAAACTGGAGCTGTTCCTATTCAGCCATCTTGAAACCTCCCCTCAGTATAGCATATAATTTTAAAAGAAAAAGTAATGTTTTTTTCTTGCTCTTCTTTTTTCGCTGGTTCCATTCCTTTCTGTCACTCTGTCCACTGCTGTTTGACAAACTACTGATTCAAATGCCTGGCTAAGATACAAATCATATGCAACAGATAACAGGCAGGGCAGAATGTGGGTAACAGAAATGAAGGCAGCAAGAGGAGAGGGGCAAAGTTATATAGGAATATGTTTAGACCTCTGGGGCTCTTTTATGATGTTTTAGTTTTACTAAAATAAGCTTGGAACTTTGAAGCAGTATATGAACACCAGGTACTGTTTATAATGTTAAGACAGCTACATTTATCTGCTCTACTTTGGCACAGTGTAAAATCTAAATTACTATGGGAAGAAGAAAAACAGGAAAAGATGTGTTAATCCTGTTTTTTTAACACATTATTTGGCATTATCTTTGAGAAGATGTTTGGCCTCTTCTGCTTAGTTTCGTCATTTGGAAGCTCATTACCTTACTGATTGTCACCTAGCAATATTGAACTAAAGTTCCAGTGTCAAAAGAGAACGTATATTGGAAGATTTATTTTGAGAATTTAGATGACTTTCTGCACCAAACATGAATTTAAGCAATATAAATAACACAATCCATAAATCTTGTAAACAAAAAAAAAATTGTACAGCTCTTTTTAAAGTATGAAAAAAAAAAGAAACAAAAACTGCTCCTGTGGCAGCTTCTGCCAGTGCACATAGACATAACTATGACTGCCACACAGGTGCAGGTGCATTCCAGGAGTGAGGGGGAGAGGCCAAGTCCTCATATCTGTTGAATTTACCACCCCCCTTAGACTTTCTGAGAGAGCTTTTCTAGGGAAAATGATAAAATGGAGCTGTTAAAGGATAAAGTTGATTTTTTTACAAAGTAATCTAGTAAAGGAGACTAAAGCCCAGGGTTACTGACCCCATGTCTAGGGCACAACAGGGAAAATGAAATCTAATAATGGAAATCTAAGACATCATTTGCAAACCTGAAATCAATCTATAAGGTCAAAATCAATGCTCTTCCCTAAAAACATTCATGAATATTTGTTATTCTTTTAAGTTATTGATGTTTGATAGGGAGTAACAATGGGTAGTTTTAAACTCAATTTATTTTTCTAGAGTTCGTTTCAAAGGAAGACACAAGACTCTACTAGGGAAGAGAAGCTGAGCAAGTGGTAACTTAAAAACTGTAAAATTCCTTCTCCATGGATAATTAACATTGTTTTGCTCTTCTGACCTTAGAAAATACTACATAATAAAAATATTAGGCATTAAAATGTATATATTACATTAACTTAGCCAGGTGATCAAGATTAACATCAGTGGTCATAAGTCTTGTTAAAAGTATGTGCCCTTGGTATGATGTGATGAAAATGGCACCTACTTCTGTGGTCATCCCCCCAAGAACTTATAGCCTCCATCTAATCATGACAAATGTGCCAAGAAAATTCTGTCATTCTGCAAAACGCCAGACCAATATTACTCAAAAATGTCAAGATAATCAAAAACAAGGACAGACAGAGAAAATTTCACAGCTAGGGGAAACCTAATGATAATTACTACTGCAATGTGGTATCCTAGATGGGATCTTAGAACAGAAAACGGACGTCAGGTAAAAGTTAAGAATTTCTGAATAAAATATGAACTTTAGTTCATGATAATATATTAATATTAGTTCATTAATTTTAAAAAAATGTACAATAGTAATCTAAGATATTTATAATGAAGAAACCAGGTGTAGGGTATGTGGATTCTCTATACTGTTTCCTCAATTTTTTAGTAAATCTAAAACTGTTCTAATAAAGTATCTTCTTAAAACATTATGCTTAATTTATAGGTAGAGTTTAATGAATAAGAATAAAATTAAAACCATATGCCATTGTCTGACTTAACATAGAAATATAACTATTAACCTTGGAGTCTCCTATGTGCACTTCTCTACTAATTTTTCTCTAAGTATTCCATTTTTAAAAATTTTCTTTATGATTAAAACAAGTTATCTAAAAAAATACTTTATTGTTTTATTTTAATAATTTTAAAGCCTGGTGCAGTGGCCCAAACCTGTAATCCCAGCAATTTGGGAAGTGGAGGTAGGAGAATCACTTGAGTCCAGAAGTTGGAGACCAGCCTGGGCATCATGGCAAAACCCCATCTCTACTAACAACACAAAAATTAGCTGGGCATGGCAGCACTCCTATAGTCCCAGCTACCTGGGAGGCTGAGGTGGGAGGATTGCTTGAGACCAGGAAGTCAAGGCTGTGGTGAGCTGTGATCGTACCACTGCACTCCAGCCTGGGTGAGGGGAGTGAAATACTGTCTCAAAAACAACACAAAAAATTATATCAAATTATATATTTGCTTTTTTGTTCAATAGTGTACATTTAAGGTATTCATGTTGATTTAACTAGCTATAGCTTACAGTTTTTTAAAATAAAATTGTTAATTTTAACCCTATTTCTTTCTGGTTTGTACGTTTTGTCATTTTTTTTTAAGTATGTTTCTTTCCATGGAAGAGAAAATACTTTATATTTTTCACTCCAAGTGTGTGTGTGTGTGTGTATATATAGTGTGTGTGTATACACATAGGTATATATAGGTATATATATACCTAGATGTGTATATATAGGTATATATATACCTAGATGTGTATATATACATATATATGTGTATATACACATATAGGTATATATGTGTGTTTATATATTTGCACAGACACATAAACCTAAGAACATTTTTTTATTTAAAATTGTTTTATTTTCTTTTTCTTGCTGTTTGTATATTTATTTATTTATTTTATTGTTTTTTGAGACGGAGTCTCACTCTGTCACCCAGACTGGAGTGCAATGGCATGTCTCAGCTCACTGCAACCTCCACCTTCCGGGTTCAAGGGATTCTCCTGCCTCAGCCTCCAGAGTAGCTGAGATTGCAGGTGTGCACCACCACACCCGGCTAATTTTTGTATTTTTAGTAGAGATGGAGTTTCACCATATTGGCCACACTGGTCCTGAACTTCTGACCTCGAGTGATCCGCCCACCTGGGACTCCCAAAGCGCTGGGATTACAGAGATGAGCCACTGCTTCCAGCCTCTTTTTATTTTTAATTTAATGTTTTTTTCTGTATACCATATGGACCCAATTTTATTAAGAGTTATAGAAATTTAAAAAATCAACTTGGAGATATTCTGTAAAAAAAATTAAAACATTACTATGTAGATCAATAAAAATCTTCCTATGTTGCATGTGAGAGTATAATTGGCACAATACATTGATAAACTGTTTGAAAATATCTATAAAATTTACTTACATGCATACTGTAAATGCAGCAATCCCACTCCTATGTATATACCTAACAGGTATACATTCTATTCATCTAAAGATAGACACAAGAATGTTCACAGAAATCTTATTCTTAAAACTCCAATGCTGTAAATAACTCAGTGATCATTCACCACAGAATTAATAATTTGTGTTATATTCATACAATGAAAAACTACAAAATAATAATGAACAAACCACAACTTTGCAATGTGGGTGTATCTTGCAAAGGCATTTTTGGGCTAAAGAAACCATATATAAAATAAATATTTCCATGTGATTTCACTTGCATATACATTTATATATTTTATATATTACAGAGAGAATTCAAAATAGACAAAACTAAGCCCTGGTGTTACTGATTACAGGGTTTCTGCCCAGAAGGAGGCATGAAGTATCCGTCTGGAAGTGCTAGCAATGTTCTGTTTCATGATATAGGTTATGGTTACATGTATGTGTTCAGTTTGTAAAAATTCATTGAGTTGCACAACTATGATTTTTCACTTTCTATATAGTCTTCTATTCTTCAATTAAAAGTTTACTACAGATCTTAATAGTTATATGATGAGAAATGAATTTTTCTTTGATTCATTGTATTTTGCTGTATTTTTCTAATTATTTATGGTAATAAGTATTCCCTTTTTATGAGAGCTTTACTGAAATATAACTTACATAAGAAAAAATCAACTCCTTTTAAGGGTACAATCCAAGATATAGAACATGTTCATTTCCCCAACATTTCACAGTGTCCTTTTGCAAACATTCCCCTGGCCCACTGTGGTCTGATCTCTGATTGCTTTTTGTTGCTACAGTTTTGCCTTTTCTAAAAATTCCGCATAAACGAAAGTTTTTTGTGTCTGGCTTCTTTTACCTAGCATGATATTTTCAAGATCATGTTGCTGTGTGTATCAGTAGTTCTTTCCTCTCTAATGCTGGGTTGAATTCCATTGTATAAATATTGCATAATTTGTTGCCTATTCAGCAGCCAAAGAACTTTTGGATTGTTTTATTTTCTTTGATCTTGTGAATAAAGCTTCCAGGAGCATTTCAATACACTTTTTTTTTCCTTTGGGGCAGAAAACTAGGAGCAGATTTCTTAACTTTGCGATAAGCACATATTTAATTTTATAAGAAATTGTCAAGCTATCTCCACAATGGCTATAGCATTTGGAATTTTGTTTTGTTTTACTTTTTACTTTGTTTTTTTAAATTTATTTTTTACTTTTAAGTTCAGGGATGCAAGTGCAGGTTTGTTACATAGGTAAGCTTCTGCCATGGGGGTTGTTGTACAGGTTATTGCCTCACCCAGGTATTAAGCCTAGTACCCACGAGTTGTTTTTCCTGATCCTCTCCCTCCTCTCATCCCCCACACTCTGAAAAGCCCCAGTGTGTGATGTTCCCCTCTATTTGTCCATGTGTTCTCATCATTTAGCTTTCACTTATAAGTGAGAACATGCAGTATTTGATTTTCTGTTCCTGTGTTAGTTAGCTAAGGATAATGGCCTCAAGCTCCATCCATGTCCCTGCAAAGGACATGATCTTGTCCTTTTTAATGGCTGCATAGTATTCCAAGGTGTATATGTACAACATTTTCCTTATCCTCTCTATCATTGATGAGCATTTAGGTTGATTTCGTGTCCTTGCTATTGTGAATAGTGCTGCAATGAACATACACATGTGTGTGTCTTTATAATAGAATAATTTATATTCCTTTGTGTATATAACCAGTAATGAGATTGCTGGATTGAATGGGATTTGTCTTTAGTTCTTTGAGGAATTGCCACACTGTCTTCTACAATGCTAAACTAATTTACACTTCCACCAACAGTGTATAAGTGTTCCTTTTTCTCCACAACCTTGCCAGCATTTGTTATTTTTTGACTTTTTAATAGTAACCATTCTGACTGGTGTTAGATGGTATCTCATTGTGGTTTTGATTTGCATTTCTGTAATGATCAATGATGTTGAGTTTTTTTTCATGTGATTGTTGGCCAAGTGTATTTCTTCTTTTGAAAACTCTCTGTTCATGTCCTTTGCCCACTCTTATTGTTTTTGTTTTGACAGGGTCTCACTCAGTCACCCAGGTTGGAATGCAGTGGCGTGATCTGGGCTCACTGCAGCCTCCACCTCCTGGGCTCAAGCAATCCTCAGCTTCCCAAGCAGCTGGGACCACAGGCACACACCACTATGCCCGGCTAAGTTTTTATATTTTTTTGGTAGAGATGGGGTTTCTCCAGGTTGCCCAGGCTGGTCTTGAACTCCTAAGTTCAAGTGATCTGCTCACCTCAGCCTCTCAAAGTGCTGGGATTACAGGCATGAATCACCGTGCCCAGCCTTTTGGCCCACTTTTTAATAGGTTGCTTTTTTTCTTTTAAATTTGTTAAAGTTCCTTATAGATGCTACATATTAGACCTTTGTTGAATGCACAGTTTGCAAAAATTTTCTCCCATTCTGTCAGTTGTCTGTATACTCTGTTGATGGTTTCTTTTGCTGTGCAGAAGCTCTTTAGTTTAGTTAGATCCCATTTGCTAATTTTTACTTTTGTTGCAATTACTTTTGGTGTCTTCCTCATAAAATCTTTGCCTGTGCTTATGTCCTGAATGGTATTGCCTAGGTTGTCTTCTATGTTTTTATAGCTTGGGATTTTACATTTAAGTCTTTCATCCATCTTGAGTTAATTTTTGTATATGGTATAAGGAAGGGGTTCAGTTTCAATCTTCTGCATATAGCTACCCAATTAGCCCAGTACCATTTATTGAATAGGGAATCTTTTTCTCACTGCTTGTTTTTGTCAGCTTTGTCGAAAATCAGATAGTTGTAGGTGTGTGGTCTTATTTCTGGGTTCCCTATTATGTTCCACTGGTCTATGTGTCTGTTTTTGTACCAGGACCATGCTGTCTTGGATACTGTAGCCCGGTAGTATAGTTTAAAATCAGGTAACATGATGTCTCCAGCTTTGCTCTTTTTGCTTAGGATTGCCTTGCTTTTCAGACTATTTTTTGGTTCCATATGAATTTTAAAATAGTTTTTTCTAGTTTGTAAAGATTGTCAATGGTACTTTAATAGGAATAACATTGACATTATAAGTTTCTTTGGGCAGAATGGCCATTTTAGTGATATTGATTCTTCTTATCTATGAGCACGGAATGTTTTTCTGTTTGTTTCTGCCATATCTGATTTCTTTGGGAAGTGGTTCTCCTTGTACAGATCTTTCACCTCCCTAGTCGGTTGTGTTCCTAGGCATGTTATTCTTTTCATGCCAATTGTAAATGTGATTGTATTCCTGATTTGGCTCTCAGCTTGAATATTATTGGTATATAGCTAATGCTAGCGATTTTTGCACATTGATTTTGTATCCTGAGACTTTGCTGAAGTTGCTTATCAGCTTAAGGAGCTTTTGGGCTGAGACACTGGATTTTTCTAGATATAGGATCATGTAATCTGCAAACAGTGATAGTTTGACTTCTTTTCTTCCTATTTGGATGCCATTTATTTTTTTCTCTTGACTGACTGCTCTTGCCAGACCTTCCAATTCTATGTTGGATAGGAGTGGTGAGAGAGGGCATCCTTTTCTTGTGCCACTTTTCAAGGGAAATGCTTCAAGCTTTTGCCCATTCAGTGTGATGCTGGCTGTGGTTTTGTCATATATAGCTCTTACTATTTTGAAGTTTGTTCCTTCAATACCTAATTTATTGAGAGTTTTTAAGATGGAATGACATTGAATTTTATCAAAAAGCCTTGTCTGCATCTATTGAGATAATCATGTGTGATATTTTCCTATTTGGCTAATCATTTTATCATTATACAGTGTCCCTCTTTGCCTTTTTTTACTGTTGTTGCTTTAAAATCTGTTTTTTCTAATATAAGAATAGCTACTCCTACTCACTTTTGGTTTCCATTTGCATGGAATGTCTTTTCCCACCTCTTTCCCTTAAGTTTATGTGAGTCCTTATGTATTAGGTGAGTCTCTTAAAGACAGCAGATACGTGGTTGGCGGATTTTCATTCATTCTGCTATTCTGTATCTTTTAAGTGGAGCATTCAGGCCATTTACATTCAATGTTAGTATTGAGATGTGAGGTACTGTTCTATTCATCATGTTAGCTGTTGCCTAAAAACTTTGTTTTTTCCATTGTGCTATTGTTTTACAGACCTCGTTAGATTTATGCTTTAAGGAGGTTCTGTTTCAGTGTATTTCAAGGTTTTGTTTCAAGATTTAGAATTCCTTTTAGCATTTCTTGTAATGCTGGTTTGGTAGTGCCGAATTCTCTCAGCATTTTTTGTCATCTCTCCTTCATTTATGAAGCTTAGTTTTTGCTGGATACAAAATTCTTGGCTGACAATTATTTTGTTTAAGAAGGCTAAAGATAGGACCTCAATCTCTTCTGGCTTGTAAGGTTTCTGCTGAGAAATCAGCTGTTAATCTGATAGGTTTTTCCTTATAGCTTACCTAATGCTTTTGTCTCACAGTTGTTAAGATTCTTTTCTTTGACTTTAGTAACCCAATGACTATGTGTCTACTAATGATCTTTTTGTAATGAATTTTACAGGAGTTCTTTGAGTTTGTTGTATTTAGATGTATACATCTCTAGCAAGGCCAGGAAATTTTCCTCAGTTATTCCTGCGAAAAAGTTTTCCAACTTTCAGATTTCTCTTCTTCCTCAGGAACACCAATTATTCTTTGTTTTGATAATTTAACATAATCCCAAATTTCTTGCAGGCTTTAGTCATTCTTTAAAATTCTTTTTTTTTTAATCTGGCAATTCAGATATTTCTTCTCAGTTTAGATCCATTGCTGGGGAGCTAGTGTGATCTTTTGGAGGTGTTATAGAACCCTGTTTTGTCACATAACCAGAATGGTTTTTCTGGTTCTTTTCCATTTGAGTAGACTATTTCTTAAAATTAGAACTACATTTTAATAGTAGGTCTGTTACTATTGATTGGCAAGCTATCTTGATGATATTCAAACTCTACCTGGGCATAGGTTTATGTCTTAATTCTCTATTCAGTTGCATGGGTTTATTTCTATATTCCTGTTTCACTATCACACTGCATTAATTAGTATACAGCTATAATAAATATAATATTGGGTAATGCAATCTTCTCCAATTGTTATTCCACTGCAGAATGTGCACCCTTGAAAATTTATGTTGAAACTTAGATCCTTTTGGGAAGTGATTAAATCATGAGGGTTCCCAAAACTATGAAAACCCTGGAAGACAACCTAGGCAATATCATACTGGACATAGCATGGGCAAACTGGTTTTTTGAGGTGGAATCTACTCCTGGTAAAGATATTGTAAACATGGATGAAATAACCAAAAACAACTCAGAATGTTATGTAAACTTAGTTGATAGAGTAGTTGCATGGTTTAAGAGTATTGACTGCAATTTTAAAAGTTTTCCTGTGGGTAAAATGCTATCAGACAACATCACATGCTACAGAGAAATATTTTATAAAAGGAATAGTCAAGATGCAGCAAACTTTACTTTTGTCTTATTTTAAGAAGCTATCACAGCCACCCAAACTTCGTCAACCAGCACCCTGATCAGTCAGCAGGCACCAGCATGGAGGAAAGACCTTCCACCAGCAAAAAGATTATGACTCCCTGAAGGCTCAGATGATTGTTAGCATTTTTAGTAATTAAGTATTTTTAAATTAAGATATGTACATTGTTCTTTTTAGACATTATGTTTTTGCTACTTAATAAACTACAGTGTAGTGTAAAGATAACTTCAATGCACTGAGAAACCAAAATTTTTGTGTGTCTCACTTTATTGCAATATTTGCTTTATTGTGATGGCCTAGAATGGAATGTGCAATTTCTCCAAGGTATGCCTGTATACTCAGAAGTGGGATTGCTGGACCCTATAATAGTTCTATTTTTAACAATTTAGGAAATGTTCATATGATTTTCTATAATGGCTGCACCAATTTACACTCTCATCAACAGTGTGCAGGTGTTCCCTTTTGTTCATATCATCATCAACTTTTTTTATCTTTAGACTTTCTTAAGTCTAAAGGTGTAAGGTTATATCTCATTGTGGTTTTGATTTGCGTTTCCCTGATGAGTTGTCTGTCAAGCATGTTTTCATATACCTGTTGGTCATGTGAATGTCTTCTTTGGAAAACTGTCTATCCAGGTCCTTTGCTCATGTTTTAATCTGGCTAAAATATTTATCCATTCTTAAGCATCCATCTCAAGTACACTTCTGCTGTAAAGGTCATCTCACTACCTAATATTACTCTACAACATATTTACCTCCATAACTGTATGTTTTCTATTTTGTCTTGTATATAAGTCTGTGTCAATGCTAGATAGACTCTTGAAGATAAGACTCATGGTCATACCCCTCAAAACTCTTTCTGAAAAAAGATGAGTAATAAGTCTTGTTATTTATCTTTGTATCTCACTTCCTTACACCTAGCATAACAAAGGGCCTCAGAAAATGTTGATTGATTTAAATGATATAATTCTACATATTGGAAGAAATTTCTATACCCTTGCAAAGAGAGCAAGAGAATGCATATAGCCTTAAGTTATAAATGACAACCAAGTGACTGGAGATTTTTGGAGTAAATGACCCACTAATCTTGGTTTCTTTTGAGCATATTTCATTTTCATTCTTTCCTTGGTGTTTACTTTTCAAACCATATCAAATGCCACATACTTAGGATGGAGTTGAGTTTTCTGTATTTGAATATTTTATTAGGCATCTTAAAGAATAAATTCAGTACAATGCCATGTCTCCCATTGGAATTGAGGTCTTTTGAGTAGGCAAATGGCTAATTTCATTTCTAACCATTGCTTTGTTGTGGTCTTTTTCTTTTCTAGAATTGAGATATCTGTCTATCTCAGTTTTAACTCACAAAATTTGCAACTTATGGGTAATTTATTAGGATAGATTTAGTTGTACAGCAACTAAATATTGAGTGTTTGGTTTGGGGACATTCTAATAGAGCTGGTCTATTATGGTGCTTTTTGATGAAGATATTAGACTTAATAAAGTTTCCTTCAGCTACATCTGTTAAGTTCCTTTTAACAGGAAAACCATTCATTAGTATTTTAAAGCTTTTATAGTTTTCTTTGTGTGTTTGGAAAGTGTCTGAAACATTCTAACACTAACAAAAAATTGAAGTTATGCAGTAATTCCAGGAATATTACAGTTTGTCTTGTTCCACGTGTACTATTTTTATCCTCCTTTCAACTAATCTTAAATGTGTTAAGCCCTTTTCCTTAATAAATTTTGATTTTTAAAGCAATCATATATGAATTATTATCATATTAAGACTTCCAGCTAGCCAAAAACAATGACTATCTAGGTCTCTATCTTCAATTATTTTCCCCACAAATATAGAACAATGAGGAGAAAAAAGTAAAACTACAGGAAAACCTCAGCATAATTTCAAGACAAGAAATGCCCAAATGTCAAATTATCTAAAAGTATAAAAGGAGAAAAAAATGCCAAGTTATGGCACATGAACTCTAGTGCTCCTACTCTATGAAGCAAAGGCAGGTAAGAAAACTGCATGGAATGGAGAAATATGCAGGAAACAACAGGGCCTAATTTTAATGTAAAACCACAGTCAGAAAGAATAATTGATCCTAAGTCTAAAAATACTATAGAAGTTTCAGGGAAGACCAGGAAATAGATAAAGGGAAAGGACTTACTAGTATATTTAATTTGAATAAAACTTTGTAGCTTCTGGAGGAGGAAAAAAATGAAAAAGGAGAATTAGAAGCAACTTTTGGCAATTAGGTGGTTAAGGGAAAAATTTATGGTGCTAAAGACAAAAAATAACTAAAAATTCAAGAGACATGACTTCTCTATCCACCATAAAAACTAACAAACAAAAAATTTAGTATATGTCTTGATTTTGCTGTGTTTACAGAGTAATGACTTTCCAAAAGAGACTAGACTAAAATAAAAATTTATTAAGCAACACTGAAGTAAGGCAGGAATCAATCAAGCTAAAAAAAATAAGATACAGACATAAAAAGTTTCAAAAATAAGGTAATAAAAATGGAAGACAATAAAGAATCACAGTTTTATTGAAAAAGAAAAGCAATAGAAAAAATACTTAAAACTTTAATATAATAAACTGTCAGAGTTAAAATATTTTACTCTACATATTTGAAAGGTTCATCAAGTACTTGGAAAAATAAAACCAAAATGAACAAAGAAATATAGTAAAAATATTAGTTTAATAAAATATTCGACATTATTTCCAGGCCAAAAAAAAAAGTCAAATAACTTCAAAAACAACAGAAAAAACTTATAATGGCAAAGGATTAATGAAAAACAATATGCACAATAAGACAGAAGTGGAAAGTATTTTTTAACTTAATAAAAGTAGATCTGAATAAAGTAATTTATATGCAATTATACTTTCCATCAAATATCAAGGTTATTGTGAGGAAAAAAAGCAGTTTTCAGAATACTTAGAGAATTCCATTTCATCCATGTACCCATCTTAAGGTATCTACTAAATAATTAGTTTCATCACCTATAAGATGACTGAGAAAAATCCAGCAATAGGATGGTGGTAAGTGTGTATATATGACTAATCAAAATTGGGACAAGGATGGAATTTATTTGTTCTGACCAATCTTACATAATTATAACAACAAAATAATGACAATAAGGAATTATAACTCATAAAATAAGTGTCAATTAGTCCATACTTACATAAATAATTGAATGAATATATAAATGAATAGATACAAGAATAAATAATCATAGCAAGAAATAGTTATTCCTCAAAGTAGACTTCCAATTCAGAAGTGTAGAAGAATTGATGGAATGAGAAAATCACCATCAGCCAAATACCACAGTAATAATATTCCAGGCAGAAATAATGAATGGAATCTAACATTAATGAGTACAGAAATATTGAAAACCAGGATATTTGCATCACCTTAAAATATCTCCACATAAAATATTTATTAAATACAAAGAAAAAAATAGTAGCATTATAATGAAGAATCACATAACTCCTGATACAATATACTTCAAAAGACACCACGTAGCTTCTTTGGTTATGTTTTTCTAAAAATGCATAACATTGGTTAAGCCATCAAACATCAAAATATCAAACTGAAATTGAAAGACATTCTACAAAATAATATGCCAGTTATTTTTAAAAGTATCAAGGCCATGAAAGATAAAACAAGACTGAGAAACTATAAAGGACTGAAAAAGACTAAGAAGTAATGATGATACAGTACATTGTAAGAGCCGGGATAGGATCTAAGTCCAACAGTATAACAGTAGTGGAACAACTGGCAAAATTCACATAACGTCCACAGGTTAGTTAATAGTATTCTATCAATGTTAATTTCCAAGTTTTGATAATTGTATATATCATGGTATGTAGTGTTTTAAAAGTAATGAACTGGCTGAAGAATATATGGGGATTCTGTATTATTTCAAAAATTTTCAGTAAATATAAATTATTTCAAAACAAGAAGTTCTAGATTTGCTATTTCCTAATGACTAATAATATTGAGCATCTTTACATATATTTATTGGACATTTGTATATCTTCTCCAGAGAATGTCTATATAAATCCTTTGCCCCATGTTAAAATAGGATTGTTTACCTTTTTATCTATATCCTAATAAGAAAGTTTTTTTCATTTGTTTGTTTTACTGTGGCAATACCATTGAAGAGCATTTCACTATTAGGTAATTTTCGCTTTTAAATTTTTCATTATAATATTTCCACTATGTAAATGTCATTGAATTTTGCACTGCAGGTAGATAAAATGTAGTTTTACCAACAAAATTCCTTGAAGAAGTTATGAAAATTGCTCTAAATTAACATACTGGCCCACTTGAAAAATAGGCACATGATTCAAAAAGTTGAAATACCAACAATAGTAGCAAATCTATGTAGGAGAACACTGCTTGGATATGTCTATGAAGATATCTAGAACTTGGGACCTTCTTTAAAGTTCTTCTGCAAAGCTAAAGTTCCCCTAAATGTTTGTATAGGGGATGGAAGGACCTAACCTGACCTATTCTCTCTTCTGGTCCTGAAAGACAAAAACTGGACCAAATCTATATGACTGTAATAGAGAAGAATGTTTCTGTGTCCCAGCAAAGTATCTAGAAAAGTAGACCAGAAGATAGCATGGTTACTTGTTTACCAAATCTTACTAATTGAAGTCATTCTTCCTTCCTTGTGAAGTTACTAAGGATGGTTAGGAGTTAGAACAAGCACATTCAAGAAGACATAGTGTATATTTTATCCATTAGCACCAACCTGAGAAGGAAAAGGGAATTTCTTACCTGTAACTAAACTGGTCATATATCCTGGTTTATAACTGTATGCCTTATATTATGTCAGATGATCCCTCTTTCTCTCAAAATTTGGACAATAAATAATATGGTTACACTACCCATATATTAATATAATAATAAATAAAATGTTACCATATGTTCTTCTGGATTTTTTTTTCTTCAAGTGGATCAGCCACTTTTCACTTTATCTGGAGCTTAGTGAGTTTGGATTAAAGTTAATCAGGGTAAATTATTAACCAATATGACAGAAAAGATTTTTGCTGAGAAAAACTATTTGCCTGAAAATAGGTGTTTTTCTTCTTTTCTCTCCACAACATAACATCTAGCCCGTAGTTTGTTCCCACATATCAGAAAGCATTGTTGGTTCCATCAACAGAATAGGACACTGAAAAATTTAGATAGTTAACGTATACATGAGAAACATTGGAGTGCAAGAAGGCTGAAGTAGACTTGGAATATTGGCCATAGCTAAGGTGACCCTAAAGTGCCAAGAAAGAGGAAACTCAACAACCACATTAGGAAAAACAGTCTATCTGGGATGCTTCTCATGCTGCCAGATGGTATTTGGTATAGGACACTCTTACTGACTCAGGGAATGTATCCTTTATATTTGCCCACCTACAAAGATTCATAGTCATTGTGGAGTTTACCTTTCCTTCCCTCCTTCCTTTCTCTTTCTTTCTTTCTTTCTTTCTTTCTTTCTTTCTTTCTTTCTTTCTTTCTTTCTTTTCTTTTTCTTTTCCTTCCTTCCTTTCTTTTTCTTTTTTCTCTTCCTTCCTTCTCTATGTCTCTCTCCCCCTCCCTCTCTCTCTTTCTCTCTTTCTTTTTTCTTTCTTTCCTCTCTCCTTTCCTTCCTTCCTTCCTTCTTCCCTCCCTCCCTCTCTCTCTTCTTTCTTTCTTTCTTTTTTTCTTTTTCTTTTCCTTCCTTCCTTCCTTTCTTCTTTCTTTCTCTTTCTTTTTCTCTTCCTTCCTTCCTTCCTTCCTTCTTCCTTCCTTCTTTCTCTATATCTCTCTCCCCCTCCCTCTCTCTCTTTCTCTCTTTCTTTTTTCTTTCTTTCCTCTCTCCTTTCCTTCCTTCCTTCCTTCCTTCCTTCCTTCCTTCCTTCTTCCCTCCCTCCCTCTCTTCTTTCTTTCTTCTTTCTTTCTTTCTTTCCTTTCTTCTTTCTTTCTTTCTTCTTTCCTTTTTCACTCTGCCTGGATGAACAGACTTTTGAAGGGCTTTTCCAAAAAAAACCAGTCAGCAGAACTGGAATAACTACCTATAACTACCTAATTCTTCAAATGCACAGACATCAATGTACAGCTACAAGGATCAAGAACAATCAAGGAAACATGCCATGACCAAAGGGATAGAATAACATGCCAGTGACCAGCATGAAAGAAATGAAGATATATGAACTGTTTGACAATCCATTATAACGTTTTAAGAAGGGTTAATGGACTTCAATAAAATTCAGAGAAACGATTTAACAGAATAAGGAAACAATAAGTGACCTGAATGAGAAATGTGGAAAACATCCTAAACCTGGAGAAAGATGTAAATATCTAGGTACAGGAAAGTCAAAGTTACCAAAACAGATTCAATCCAAATAAAACTAAACTGAGTCAAACTGACAAAAAACAAAGAGAGAATACTGAAAGCAACAAGATAAAAGAAGCAAATAACATATGTAGGAGTTCCAGCAATGCAGATGCTGCTAGAGGACATTATCTGAAGTGAATTAATGCAGAAACTGAAAACCAATTATCTTATGTTCTCACTTATAAGTGGGAGTTAAATTTTGAGTACATGTTGGCATAAAACAGGAATAGTAGACACTAGGGATTCCAAAAGGAGGAAGGGGAAAGGGCTGAAAAACCTCCTATTGGGAGGTTCAGTATCTGGGTGATAGGCTCAACAGAAGCCCAAACCTCAGCATCACACTATATACTCTTGTAACAATCCTGCACTTGTACCCAGGCTGTACAGCACAAAAAGAAATACGATCCACTTGGAAGAAAGAGAAGGAAGTGAACACAGAACTTTGCTTTAGACTCCAATAAAAGTTGAATTTAAAAAAATAAGCAAAGGACCTGAATAGAAATTTCTCAAAAGAAGATATACAATGAACAGTGAGTATATGAAAAAGTAGTCAATATTACTAATCACTTAAAAATTCAAATTGGAACCACAACACAGTAGCACCTCATATTTGTTAAAAAGGCTATTATCAAAAAGACAAAAGATGACAATGGCTCATGAAGATGTGGAGAAAAGGGAACCCATGTACACTATTGGTGGGGATGCAAATTAGTAAAACTATTATGAAAAATAGTTTGGAGTTTCCTCGAAAAATTAAAAAGTGAAAAAACCATTTGATCCTGAAATCTCACTACTCAATATATATACAAAGGAAATAAAATCAGTACATCACAGAGATATCTGCATTTCTCTGTTTATTGCAGCACTGTTGAAAATAACCGATATGGAATTAACCTGGGTTCATCAGCAGATGAGTGGATAAATAATATGTGGCTTGTCTAAAAAATTGAATACTGTTCAGTCATAAAATGCCACTACATGGGTAAAACTGGAGGACATTATTTAAGTGAAATAAGCCAGGTACAGAAAGACAAATATTGCCTAATCCCACTTCTACGTGGAATCTTCAAAAGTTGATCTCACAGAAGTACAGAGTAGGGCTAGGCACAGTGGCTCATGCCTGTAATCCCAGCACTTTGGGAAGCTGAAGCAGGAAGATCACTTGAGCCCAGGAGTTCAAGAACTGCCTGGGCAATATAGCAAGAAAAGAAGAAGAAAAGAGCAGGAGAATGAGAAGAAAATAGAGAGGAGAATAATAGTAGTTACCAGGGGGCTGTGCAAGTTGTGAAGGGGTTGGGAAGATGTTGGTTGGTCGGTAGATGGGAGGAATATATTCAAGAGATTCATTGTATAGCATGGTGACTAGAATTAATAATGATAAATTGTATTCCTAAAAATGCTAAGAGAGTGGATATTAAATTTGCTTACCATAAAAATGATGACTATGTTAGGTAATTTATATATTAATTAGCCAGATTTAACCATTCCACAATCTGTATGTACTTCAAGACATCATGTTTGCATGATGAATATATACAATTTTATCTATCAATTGAAAATATAATTTTAAAAAGAAAATGTTCTTCAAAAGGCCCCAAATATTATAGAAACTAAAGCAGATTTGTGGCTTTCAAAAGCTTGAGAGGGTATGTGTCTGGGTTGGGACATAGGGAGTAACTGGTAATGGGTATGAGATTTTATCTGGCGTGTTCTAAAATAGATTGTAGTGATGGTTATAAATCTCTGTGAATACACTAAAAGTCCTTGAACTATACTTTTTAAATGAGAAAATGTTATGAGATATAAATTATACCTCAATAAAGCTATTAAGAATATATCATGGCTGGGCGCAATGGCTCACACCTGTAATCCCAGCACTTTGGGAGGATGAGATGGGCCGATCATGAGGTCAGGAGATAGAGAACATCCTGGCCAACATGGTGAAACCCTGTCTCTACTAAAAATACAAAAATTAGCTGGGTGTGGCAGCGCGTGCCTGTAATCCCAGCTACTTGGGAGGCAAGGGCAGGAGAATCGTTTGAACCCGGGAGGCAGAGGTTGCAGTGAGCTGAGATTGTGCCACTGCACTCCAGCCTAGCGACAGAGCTAGACCTCTGTCTCAAAAAGAAAAAAATAATAATATATCATAACACACATATTGCGATGTTGCTATTAAACATAATTTGCACCAGTACCATTGCATAGAATCATAACCATGCCTAAACTGTAAAACAGTGTATTATATATAATTTATAAGCATTCATGTGATTAAAAAAACGTAAAAAATTGTAAACTTTATGTAGGTTTTAAAAGTCATGGTGGCATACAATGGATGTGTAACAATTCTTTGCTACCATTTAGGTGAATATTTCAGTTGATTACACCTTTGTGCTTGGTGATTTTAGTAATTTTTCTCAAGAAATAGAACCCATTCAACATTGAATATACACAGCTAGCCTCTAATACATAGATTAGCCATTCATTTTGTATCTTTGGTTTCATTGTAGGTAATTTCCTGTCTATATGAGTGTAGAAAATTAACACTCAATTTTAATCCTGTTGCAAACTTCAAATCATGGTGGAAGGTGGAATTTTTAAGGGAGCATATCCATATTAAAATGTATCAACACTGTAAAATAGTCTGAGTTGAATTGTGGCTCAGCAGGATTACCAGACTTAAAATTTGTCAATTTATATTTCCTCTGCTAAAAATGTCAATGTTAAGTTTGTAAAATTTGAGAGTAGAACAATAAGGGGTAATGTTATATGTTGTAAGTGCCTTCTGAAAAAATACATACTCTTCTTTTCACCTTTACCATGTAGTCTGTGATTAGCATATCTATCTATAATAATCAGAGCCATTTGTTTCAAAGGCAACAATGTTGACTGTGGTGAACATATGCCAGTCTGCAGAGATATTAGTTATACTCCATCCATATAGTGTGTAAGATAATACATAATTATTGAGGAACCATTTGGATGAAGAAATAAGTTGCTTGAAGAAAATAGTCATAAAATTCACTTCTAAATTATAAAATAATAATTGAAGGCTGGCCCTTGCATTTGAAAATATTAATATGTTTAAGTCAGCTACGTGCCAGATAAAAATATACCACAGGCCTCCAGAAAAACTCAGCAAGTATTTAGAAAATGGAAGCAACAGCTTACAAGATATCATTTTAATGGGTTTATAAAAGCTCATGTCTCTAAGGGACTTTTTTTGCTCAAGAAAATGTCATGGAGATGTATGTCTCAGACAGTGTTTATGAACAGTATAGTTATTCATAGTTTTCTTTACACAATGCCTATGGTCTGTGTGTCAAACCGCCTGCATGCATTTACGATGGCTTCCTGCCATATAAAATCTGGCTGACTTAATCTCTGTGAACTTGTGTTATGCATAGAGCTTTCATACACCAACTCACTCAGAAGTATCCTTGATGTAAAATAATTTTTATGTAGTTATTCAATTAAAGCTTGTAAGAAGAAAATGTAGATGCTTTTAAATCAGGCATAGGTTGAAAGTAAGCTCATATCTGTAATTAACTCATTAAGCTGCTTGTCCTATTGATAGAATTGAGAAATTGAATTATGAAAAATTTTTTTAAATATAAAATATGTTTATTTGAGTGGAAATGTGTTGATAATTCACCTGAAGTAAAACAGAAAATAAGAGACAGAAACAGCTTGAACCCGGGAGGTGGAGGTTGCAATAAGCCAAGATCAGGCCACTGCACTCCACCCTGGGAGATAGAGCAAGACTCCCTCTCAAAAAAAAAAAAAAAGAGAGACAAACAATGCAGCAGAGAAAACAGTCTAGCATTTTTATGGCTAGGATGTACTTCCAGAGAGTATTATTTGAATAACTTTTCTCCCTGACATTTACAATAAAATAATTTAGCCAAGTAACCTCATTGTTAAGGGGTAGAACCCCTTGGAATCTTAAACAAATTAAATTTTGATACTTCTAACATTTCTTAGACATATAAAAATTTAATATTTATTAGATTTATTTAAATTTCTTCTCATTTTTGCCATCATTAACATTGTAATATATCCTACCTGATTACCATAGTTGTATAGCTTAATACAGACATGTAAAGTCATTGTCACAAAGCCTAACACAGTGAGCTCTGTCTAAACAGTTTTATGTTAATTACTAATGAAATTCACACCTAAGAAAGGCATTTTTTTCAGAAACGAGTTTTGCCTTTGCGTCCTTTCATTTCTCTTATCAGTTTTCTCTCTTCTCTTCCCTACCCCTCAATCAATTTCTCTTGACGATTTCACACTCATTTCAAGATCTCATTGTTAGTCCCCTTTCATCCAGTAAGATTCTTTCCTAAGAAGCTTTCTCATATTGAATATGTCTTATAAATATATATTACATAAAGTACAATGCCTGATGGTGCCTCATCATTCTTACATTATTTTAACAACTCAAGATTTTTGAATTAGAAGACATATCCTTCCATTCACTTTTACAACTTTCATGTAATTATACTTGTCAGAGATTTAACACAGTTGACTACCCATTTCTTCCTATTACACACCATTTTTTTTTTATCTTCACTGGTCACTCCTCTTTAGTCCCCATAGTTTGTTCTCCCTACTTGAGTAAATGTTTAAGTGATGGACTTCTTCAGGTCCTGGTGCTGGATCCTTCTCTATTCTCTTTCTTTAGTCCCTTCTAGGAACTTCTATTTCCAAACCAAAATTTCTAGCCTATCCTAGATAACCCTGAACTCAAGCCTTCCATTGCAAATTTAATATAACTAAAATAAAAAAAATTATTCCTGCAAACTTCCCCTTGTTCAGTTGTCACATCTTTGCCTATAGAACATTTTTAAAATATTACCTTAAAACTAAAATTTTAAAAAGTTAGAATTTTTAAAATGATAACTTTCACCCAAATTCTTGCTAATGAAGTATCTTGACATAATCCCTGCTTCCCTCTTTTTCATTAACTCTTATAAATGTACCTAGACAATCCATTACTGATTTTCTAACTTAATATGTTGAATTATGATAACTGATTTAATCCACTTCAAATTTCTTTGACTTCATTGTTTTCCTTTCATACATTACTTATAGCTAGGGATAACCATATAATTCATATGTGAAAAAAGAGACTTAACCACAAGTCAACTGACTCATACTGACATACTTCTCATTTAAATTAAGTAATGTGGGTGTACTAAATAAAAATTGTTATTATGTAATGGTTAGGTTAGCTATTATATTGAAATCAAACAATTTCATGATCTAAGATATCTATTATTATTCTTATGATTCTCAGTACTATTTCTTCTTTAGTAATACTTCTGTTTAATATTTTCTTAATAGTGTAAAAATCTCAGTTAAATTGCTGCTAACAGTTTACTTTTTTTGGGGAAATGAAGTGATACCCAGATAAATACATTTAAAAGATACAGTTGAAAGGAAAGAAAATCATTTTAAAGGAATAGCCTTCAATGCAATAAAGGTAAATTCAGTTATAGCTAGCATTATTTCTAATATTGTACCATATGGAATCTATTACTCTCAAATACACATATATTTAAAAAGTTATTGATTATCTGTTATGTTCCAAGCACTATTCCTGGCACTTGGGATGTAGCCATAACAAAATACAGAAAAAGTCACTGCCTTTATGGAACTTATATTCTAGAGAATGAGAGAGAAAACACTTTAGTATGTAATATGAAAAGTGGTGATAAGTGAGATGAAGAAGAATGCAAAATCAGGAGATGGAGAGTGATGGTCCAGTCTGAGTGAGTAGTATTTCGTATTCCACACAGAACAAACAAGTAAGAAGTCCTAAAGTTGGAGCATGTTCTGTGTATTTAAAAAACAAAACAAGGAGGTTGATATAGGTAATAAAAAGTATTTTGTAGTCAGAGTAAAAGGACATGAGTTTAGAGAGATAAGAGAGGATCTAGCTCATGTAGTGCCTTGAAGGCCATGGTAACAACTTTGTATTTTAGCCTTAATAAGATGGAAATGCACTGAAGGGTTTTGAGCCTAGAAGTGATGTGACATAATTCAGGGAATTACTCTGAAAGGGAAACCTATAGAAATAATTTCTCTATGGAAGATAGAGACCCTTTAAATACTGGCAGGATAGAGCAAAGGGATTTCTCAGTCAACAATATTGAGTCTTTGTAATACAGTGGTCCTCTATGTAATCTCAGGAAAACTCCAGAATATACAAATATGAGGAAAAGAATCTATTTTACTATAAGTAAAAGTGACAATTATTATCAATACTGTTAGTAACCTGACTTCTTTAGCTTTTGTAATTTCAGTGACCATACAATTGCAACATCTTACCTATATAATGAGTGATTAATCAGTGAGTCTTTGTGTGTGTGTGTTTGTTATGCTACAATAATAATTAGCCTCATATTTTCATTGGCTTATAAAATAGCAAAGTTTATTTCTTACCTATATGGCAGGTCAGATTCTGTAGATTGATTACAGGTCAGATTTGCTCAAATCAAGCAGCCTAGATATGATACATGCTGATCATATAGCATAAGTAAAGTGAAAGGCAAATTATAGAAACATCATGGGTCTTATTACTGCCACTTGGATATTGTGTGTGTTAAAAATAGATAATCAGTACTGTGAAGAAAAGTCAGCACAGAGACAAAGAATCTCTCAGCAAGGCAACCTTTACTTTCTGCAGAAAGGGTGCTGCTCACAGATGCAACAATGGCGAGAGCACACTTGAACAAAGGGAAAGCAGACATATTTATCCCTTACGCATTTGGTTTGTCTTTACTGCTGTGTCCTGCCTCCATTGGCTGGAGCTGGACCTCACAGTCTTAAACTGATACCTGATTTGCTAATAACCTAAAAGTTTTCTAAATAGGTAAGTGCAAGGGAGAACCAAGAAGGAGAGAAAATTGCTTATGAAAGGTTTAAGGAAGCAATAACATTTCCAAGTAAGGAAGAGGCATAAGCTATGAGCTAAGACTTGCCTGGGCCTGTCCAGACATGCCTGGGTAAGACAAAGCAACTAACTGGGCTAAAGTGTAAGAACTAATAGTTGATAGGAGGCTTTAGAGTAAGAAGCTATTATTTCTAGTGTCTATTATTTTATTTTTAAACCAAGACGAGCTTTGAAGGGAACTTTTTTACTTTCTACAGTGTGTGACACATGTGCTCATGGATTATTGTCCGAAGCAAGACATGTGACCAAGCCTAACATCAACTGGGTGAAGAGCTATATGTTCCTTTCTCAAGAGGCACTACAAGTGACATGCCACTGGGCAGGTAAGATCCTCTCAAATGAAGGGACTGTGAATATTTGACTAATAATACAAATATTTACTGGATATTTTACAGTGATATTTACAAATATCACTGGCTAACTTTTCCCAGCTTGATATCCTGAAAGAGGCACAGTTTCAGTAGTAAATGGTAAATTTACCTTGATTGCACTGAAGGCTATTTCTTTAAAACTATTTTCTTTCCTTTTGACTATTCCATGTATCCTTTCAGAAGTAAACATTGTTTTTACCCCTTTAAAAAGTCTACTTATACCATCTACTTAATTTGGAATTTATCTAACATTGCCAGTTTGATATAGATACAGAAATTTAATGAGAAAATGCAGTTCTATATTTAGAATATGGATTCTTCAAGATGTTTCTGACACACATTTGTTTTCATTGAAACATTAAACAATTATTTAGCTAACATCTGAGGAGCACATTGAATTTTGTACAGTTCAACTTTTTTAAAATGAAAGAAATAGTGTTTCTTGTAGAAGGGAGGAATGGAGATTAGCACCAAAGGAAAATTTGACTCATTCTTTGTCTCATTTGGTCTTGAAGGTTAGAGTCTGAATAAGAGAAACTATGTCCAGGAAGTGTATCTTATGAATAAGCAACTAATACATCACATTTTCATGGAAATTATTTTTAAATAATCAGAGTTAGTAAATTCAGTTTTTGTCTGTTTTTTTTTTTTTTTTTTAACCCTAAGGCAAGCTCACAGGCCATACTTAAAGTTGTAAATATAAGCCTTAAAGAGTAAATTTCTAGGCAGAGCATGGCAAGGTAGATGAATGGATTCCATTAATGTCTGTGGAACCAACGGAGTTAAATCCTTTTTTCATTTGTCTCAAAAACGAAGCCCTAAGCAAGCTTTGCAAATGGCAAGAGTAATAACAGTTGAGTCATGAACCTAAGGCTCTTAGTGTTAATGCTCTAATTCATTAAACCAACTGTTTTCCTGATGGAAGTCATTTTCTAAATGGTTTCTAAGCCAAAATGCCTGGCATAATTAAAATTTAAATTTTGGTTATTTTCTTCACTCTCCCCCATTTTTTAAATTCTTTTATTTATTTATTTATTTTTTATTATTATTATACTTTACGTTTTAGGGTACATATGCACAATGTGCAGGTTAGTTACATATGTATACATGTGCCATGCTGGTGTCCTGCACCCATTAACTCATCATTTAGCATTGGGTATATCTCCTAATGCTATCCCTCCCCACTCCCCCAACCCCACAACAGTCCCCAGAGTGTGATGTTTCCCCCCAGTGTCCATGTGATCTCATTGTTCAATTCCCACCTATGAGTGAGAATATGCGGTGTTTGGTTTTTTGTTCTTGCGATAGTTTACTGAGAATGATGATTTTCAATTTCATCCATGTCCCTACAAAGGACATGAACTCATCATTTTTTATGGCTGCATAGTATTCCATGGTGTATATGTGCCACATTTTCTTAGTCTAGTCTATCATTGTTGGACATTTGGGTTGGTCCCAAGTCTTTGCTATTGTGAATAGTGCCGCAATAAACATACATGTGCATGTGTCTTTATAGCAGCATGATTTATAGTCCTTTGGGTATATACCCAGTAATGGGATGGCTGGGTCAAATGGTATTTCTAGTTCTAGATCCCTGAGGAATCACCACACTGACTTCCACAATGGTTGGAACTAGTTTACAGTCCCACCAACAGTGTAAAAGTGTTCCTATTTCTCCACATCCTCTCCAGCACCTGTTGTTTCCTGACTTTTTAATGATCGCCATTCTAACTGGTGTGAGATGGTATCTCATTGTGGTTTTGATTTGCATTTCTCTGATGGCCAGTGATGATGAGCATTTTTTCATGTGTATTTTGGCTGCATAAATGCCTTCTTTTGAGAAGTGTCTGTTCATGTCCTTCGCCCACTTTTTGATGGGGTGGTTTGTTTTTTTCTTGTAAATTTGTTTGAGTTCGTTGTAGATTCTGAATATTAGCCCTTTGTCAGATGAGTAGGTTGCGAAAATTTTCTCCCATTTTGTAGGTTGCCTGTTCACTCTGATGGTAGTTTTTTTTGCTGTGCAGAAGCTCTTTAGTTTAATTAGATCCCATTTGTCAATTTTGGCTTTTGTTGCCATTGCTTTTGGTGTTTTAGACATGAAGTCCTTGCCCATGCCTATGTCCTGAATGGTAATGCCTAGGTTTTCTTCTAGGGTTTTTATGGTTTTAGGTCTAACGTTTAAGTCTTTAATCCATCTTGGATTAATTTTTGTATAAGGTGTAAGGAAGGGATCCAGTTACAGCTTTCTACATATGGCTAGCCAGTTTTCCCAACACCATTTATTAAATACTTTGTATCAAATACAACTCTTCAAAATGTATGACAATTTTCTTATTTGATAATTTTAATTTCATGATTTACAAAATTAAGCTCACTAAATATGAAGAAAATTCACAACTGAATGTATTCTAAATCCTAGGGAAACATTCCCTAAATTGAGTCATTTAATAGTTCTGGAACAGGGATCAGCAAATTTTGGCCTGCAACCAATTTTTTAAAATAACGTTTGTTTACATATTACTATAGCTGCTATTTTTGTGCTACCATGGCAGAGTTGAAGGAAAGGAAAAGAAAGGAAAGCAAATGCTTCCTTCTCCATAGTACTCAGATGCCTGCCAAGGTGCTGGAGCTATGTGACATAGAAAGAATTTAGTAGTTGTTTTTTTTTTTTCTCCTCAGATTCCTACTATCCTATAAAATTGGAACTTTAGTCTTTTTAATGGAAAGATGATTTCATTCTTCCATTCATTTTGATAGGTTTGTCCCAATAACAGGAATATGATTTAAGTCAGCTATAACTGTGTCCACAGTTTTCTTTGTTAATATCACAAATCTCTTGTTTTAGAACATAGGATGAGACAAGACAAGATCTTTTATATGGCTGGTTTGGAAAGTGTCTGCTATGGAGACCCAAATTTTCCCACATTTAAGTACAGAGGTGAATTTGGTGGGGCAGGGGTGGAGTCGGGGGTGGATAGTATCAAACCTAACTTTGACCTTCAGTTCAAACCAAGTTCTTCAATAGACTTCTTCTAGTAATATACACAGAAACTGGTATTTGGATTCCTATTTTTTTTTTTCTAAATCACCCAATTGACTGAGAATTTGGAGATAGGGGAACAGAATTAATATTATGCCCTAACTCCAGCCCCAACCCTCTAACTTTAGCACTCCTGGGGCTGACCAGGAATTTCCCCTGGCCAGGAAAGAAACACATTTACCACCAAATCCAATACGTCAAGTGGACAAAAATTTGTAAATTGAGAGGAGAAGTACTTCTCTCGCTTTAGCACACACTGTTTAGCCCATAAAGTAGAATCATTTTCTTTGTGGAAGCATAGAGAGAACATCTCCCTTCTCTTCACATCTAGCCCAAAGCTTGGTCCCTTCAGACCCTCTTGGCCTTGAGGGCACACTGTGATTGACAAGTGGGAAGAAAGTCAGAATTCCTTTTGTGGCTGCAATAGAAAGATATTCTTCTGAAAAATGAATTCCACTATTTATATGTGAATATAGAGAAATTCAGGGCTAGCTTCATGGATACATGACCTGTGCACTTGTACAGAGTCCCATGCTTAGAAGAGTACAATGTTTGGTTTAATATTCTGCTATCCCTGTCTCAAAATAGGCCCAATAAATTAGGTAGCTATCCTGGGTAGGGTATTAGAGTCACATTCTCTTGTTAAGTTCAACCAGAAATAATGTCATATTTTGATGTTTATGTTTTCCCATGTATACTTCTTAATTGCTGCATTTCTCAGTTGGGAAAAAAAATTGGTGTAATATTGCCCACAAAGAATCTTCATTTAAAGTTGGTCAAATTATCATTTATGTTTTCCCCACACAGGATGGGTTACACCCAGAAATCTCACATTTAGTACTTTGCTTAAGCAGATTATTAAATGTCTGTCCATGAATAACTTCTCATAGACTTGCACAACCACAACACATCTTTAGAAGTAAAACCCCAATTTATGTGTGAATAATGATTTGATCACAAATCCAAGTGTAACAATATTTGGACTGAGAATATTGGTGGCACATAATAGTTACTAAATACATCAATTTATTTACATTAAATAAATTAGTTTCACAAAAGACACGATCTAAAATTCTATTTTCATGTAGGAGGCAGTTTGTAAAAAAATATATTATTTGGCTGCTATTAAGAATAACTAATATTATTCTGTAATTATAATTTTAACATGCACCTTTGTTAATAAAACAGCTACCTGAAATGGATATTTTAACTGCCGTATCTGCTTATTCTGGCCTTAAATACTATTTTGGATTAACTAATTCATAAATTTTTAAATTCCTAATCAAGTTGCTAATCACAAAATGCATTTATTTTCAGTAAATTCACAAATTAAGCAGAAAAAAGTATAAACCTAATAAATTGAACTTTTAAATAGTAGTGATTTTTTTCTATCTTCCATTTTTGTTTCATTTTGTTTACAATGACTGAAATTATTTGCTATTTAAATACCTGCATTAGTTAAAGTTAAGATGTTGTAGTAAGGATACTCCAAAATATAGTGGCTTAAATAAAACATTAATACAGTTCTCTCTCATGAGACAGAGCTGAGTGGTGCAAAACAGAACAGCTCTGCTCTATAACACCATTCGAAGACCTGTGTTTCTTTTATTTTCTTACTATGCCGTTTCATAGAGTTGTCCTTGTCTCAACGGTTGAAGCTAGCCACCGCTATATCCAGTCTGCTAGTGGGAAGAAGAAAAGAGGAAGCTTAAGGCAAAAGGCTTCATTTTATTTATTTATTTATTTATTTATTTACTTATTTATTTATTTATTGAGACAGGGTCTTGCTCTGTCACTCAGGCTGGAATGCAGTGGCATAATCATAGTTAACTGCATCTCCAAAGTCCTGGGTGCAAGCAATTTTTCTGTCAGCCCCCTGAGTAGCTGGGACTACAAGTGCACACCTCTATGCCTGGCTAAGAGGTTTCATTTTTAAACAGGTGACCTACAAATCACATGCCTGACTTTTACTCAAATATCATTTTTCCAAACTTAGTCATGAGGCCAAGGCTGTGAGTAAAGTTGGCAGCCATGATCCATGCACCTAACTAAAAGTCAGCAACCAAGAGCGAGAGGGAGAGAGAGAAGGAAGAAAAACCATACTGTGGTTACAATTAATGCTATAATATCTCAAGTGTTTAAGCTGTTGTAACTGACACATAATTCTAATAAGGTCCAAAAGATATGAAGGATTTAGTGTGTACAGCCTCTTAATCCTTGGCTAAACGGAACTAAGTTAAATTAAAAGGTTGGAATTACTATATTCCTTATTTCACTTGTAAATAGCAACATAAAGTACTATTAATAAATACTAGAAACATTTCAAATATGGAATATTATAATCAGGAATTTTATGAGAATTTAGATACCTATATTTGGAGAAGCAATACTTCTCAAAGTTCCATCCCTTGGCCTTGCATTGATCTTTTTGAAGTTGGGTTGTTTGCAACATAAGAATATAATTACAGTGAATATATTTATTTAATATAATTTATGTTCCTTATTCTTAAGTTTTCTCTTTTCTAAAAATTTGATGTTGGTACATTTTCATTAATAAACTGACAATGATATAATAGGTTTTGGATATTGTTGTGAATTCCATATTCCTAAAATATAAGTTGGCCGTCCATTGTGGTCCACCTATTAAAATAAATTAATTAATTAATAAATAGTACTGGTGCATAAGATCCAAAACATTGTGGCCGATAATGTGAAGAATAAATGCGAGTTTTCTCCATTATGAGGTTACATTGCACAATGCAACTCTGAACAAAAGGTATTCCGAAATAAAATCCTATATCTAAGGTAATGTATGATGAAGAAACAACACGGAAGCCTTAAAGGATTTGCCCAAGTTTGCACGATTTGGCAAAGGCATTGCTGGCTCCAGAACACTGGCTTCAGCTTATTTCTTTTTTTTTTCTATTGCATAATAAAAGCAATGTTTTCCATCGTGTAAATGGTGGAACATAATTCCTCTGGATATTATTATTTAAAAAATAAATTGTAAAACATGCCAAATAAGTTCATGAAAAGACTACAGTAAAAATTAAAAAGGAAAACTAGTGTCTTTATTGCAGCCTTTTCTAAACTAAGGTGCTTTGTGAGTTACAAGAGAGGGATAGAGGACAGAGCATTTTACACAGCTTCCTGTCTTTGAATGAGCGTCCCTTTATTTCTGCTTACTGAGAATATTTTTTGAGAAACATTTCTCTCTTGGAAATGATTTTAAGCAGACCGTCAACAAACTTTCAAAAGCTTTCTTGTATCAGTATATTTCAAACTCACACACACCTTAAGTTATGCCATATGACTTGCACATGACATGCAGCATACTGAGATACCATTAACTGAACTTTCCTGTATTCAAGTGTAGGGTTCAAGAGGTGCAAACCAATGTTTACTTTTCTGTTCTTATAAAATTCTGGTGCTTCAGAAGACCAAGAAAATACATGAATTCAGGAACTTTCACCTTTAAGTATTCAAATGGCATTTGGTTTATAACGGGCACTAAAGAAATATGTAACACAGATCACTTACGATAGCATCCTGCTGCAGTCTTTAAAATTAGTCCTCAAGTGATTGAAAACATTAGAGGCACGTCTTTTGTCATTGTTATATGTGAAACCGCAACAGCAACCTACACCTTCCACACACGCACACACACACACACACACACACACACACACACACACAAAATTAAGACAATTGGAGCTAAAAAATACAATATCATAACAGGTTATCCCTTTTTGTACTTGTGCACATTTTTTATCTACTTGCCCTGATTTAGTATTTATTTTTTTTGCTGGGTTCCCATTTTCAATTTTCTTCATCCACCATTTCTTTTGTTTTTTATATGTGCTACTATTCTCACTCATTCTTTTACCCATAAACATAACTCATTCTTACTGAGTCACAAATGGCTCCAAGGCATAGAAATATCTTTAAAAGACCATTTCCAAAGTTCAGAGATTTTTTTTATGTTGGTCAATAAATGCTACATGTTTGGGCTTGATTCACATTTTACAAGAAGAGTAATGGAGATGTGATTGGAGTCAGCTAACAGGTATTTTTTTGGAAAGACGTTTGGTGGAAGTGTCACATTTTATCTTAGTTGACTTGTTTGACGTTTATTAAGTTTCTCTATTGAGGTTTATCTAATGTTTTTCTCTTGATCAGACTGGGGTTATGTGATCTTTTGAAGAAGGCCACAGAGCTAAAGTGCCATTCTCATCAAATTATATAAAAAGTACATATTTTCAACATGACATTACTGTTGATGTTGACCTGAGGTAGTGCTTGTCAGGTTTCACCGCTTTAGAGTCATTCCTTTTTTCCTCTTGCCATACTGTATGCATTGAGTAGTTGCTGAGTGCTGGGCATAGTTTTAAGCACTTTATCTCTACCTCCGCATTTAATCTCTAAAATAAGTCTTTGATATCAGTACTATTGTTTTCCCTACTCTGTCCAGAACGGGGCTAATTTCTCAAGGTCACACAGAATAGTAGGTGATGTAATACAGATTCACACCCATGCAGTCTGACTTCTCTAGTGTCACTCATTCAGAAACTGAGTATTTTCTCCATCGTTTTAAAACGACAATCCTTTCTTTGTCTTGTTTTGTTTTGTTTTGAGAGGAAGTTTTGCTCTGTTGCGCAGGCTAGAGTGCAGTGACGCGATCTCGGCTCACTGCAAACTCCACGTCCGGGGTTCAAGCGATTCTTGTACCTCAGCCTCCTGAATTGCTGGGACTACAGGCATGCGCCACGTGCTCTGCTACTTCTTGTGTTTTTTAGTAGAGACAGGGTTTCGTCATGTTGGTCAGGCTGGTCTTGAACTCCAGACTTAAAGCGATCCACTCGCTTCGGGCTCCCAAAGTGTTGAGATTACGGGCGTGAGCCACCGTGCCCAGCCAGAACTTAATCCTTTCTTTCATTCATTGTACTTTTTTGAATGTACAGCTAATTTGCTTCTTATATTTAAAAAAAAACATTTCTGACATTATGGAAGCTCTCCTAAAAACCTAAAAACTTTATGAAAATTAGGCACTGTTCTATTTGCAATACTTTATCACACAGTATTAAAATTGTACATATTTAAATCTCTCTCACCACTCTAGCTAATAAACTTCTTAAGATCTGGAATTTCATCTCTTATATCCCTGATCTTGTCATTATTTATGCTTGCAATACATCTGAATAAATGCATGTCTACTTTTTGTTATGAGGCTGCAAGCAACTAATACATCTGATTCATATTAATGTTTCATTTTTAATAATTTATACTCAACCACATTGTAGATGTTTAATAATTAATGAATGAATGAGTATGGATCTGTGAAATATGTCTTATCACCCCTATGTGGATGAAATTTGAATGATATTTTTTAAAACAGAAAATAAATATAGGAAGACTAGGTCTAAATTTCCTCAAGATATTTATGCTAGCAATTTGTTTCTCTAAATAGTGTGTAGTCCTTCAATTATTTCAAATTGTTGTAAAGATTCATGGACTTTTATTTTGCTTTGTTTTGTCTTAGTCTACAATTAGTAATTTTTAATTTACCTAATAACTACAGAACCCAAGGTAAATAAGATAATAGTTTTTTTTTACAAAGGAAGATTGAGTAAAAGGGTAAATTTAAAAGAATTGTGGTGGACCAGGCATGATGGCTCATACCTGTAATCCTAGCACTTTGTGGGGTGAAAGCCAGAGGGTCACTTGAGGTCAGGAGTTCAAAACCAGACTGGCAACATAGCAAGACCCTGTCTCAACGACAAAAAAAATATTTAAAAAATTAGCCAGATGCAGTGGCACACATTGTAATTCCAGATAATGGGGAGGCTGAGGTGGGAGGACCCCTTGAGCCCAGGAGTATGAGGCTGCAGTGAGCTATGATCATGCCACTGTATTCCAGCCTGGGGAACAAAGCAAGATCCTGTCTCTAAAATAAAATAAAGTAAAAGTAAAGATTAAAAAAAGAAGTTGTGAATACTGAAACAGAAGAGAATTATTTTAGGTACTTCAATATTTATTTCTGATTTCTTGTCTCTGGCCAAAAGAAAGAGAGGGGGAGTTAAAACTGAAGTGAATTTAGTCCTTTATCATTATTCAACAAATTCAGTGAACAGAAAAATATAATGGATTTTCTAGGAATAGCTTCTGTTATTTTAGAAATGCTGAAAGTAGATTAAAAGCTGCATAGTTATTGACCTAAAAATATCCACTGCTAGAATTTTTCTTTCATTATTCAGAAGCAAATGCTTTGCTAAAAACCTATAAATAAAAGTACTGATGTTTTTAAGTATGTTTGAAGAACTCACTTTTGGAACAATTGCATCAATCCAAGATAATGTTAATCTACTGGAAAAAATTACAGACCATGTTTATTGGATATTTAACTCTGTGTGGAAAGTAATTTCTTATTCATCTCTCTGCTCCTTCTTACATCTAATAGTGTTTAGCCCATAAGAGTCGATGATAAATATTTATTGTATGTCTGCATAAAATACAGACATAAAATGTCTGTTTAAAATTAATTTTAAGTCAGTTTTCTCATAGAAAAACTGTGGTTTAGCATATTGTTAACTTAAGCAGGTATTGACATAATAGTTATTGAACTTAAACTTTACTATTTTTTTAATGAAAAATATTTTGTATAAATTCACTTATACAACTGTTATTGTACCCTCTGACTTTTTTTGGAAGAAGTAAAAATTATATTATGCAAGGAAATTTTTGACAGAATATAAGGGACAGATAAATTCAAAGTGTTTTTTATTTTCACAATTGCATTCAGTTTTATTTTCCATTTTAATAATATATTTTCATAAACAGGGACAAATGAATCATAAAAAGTAAACAAATTGCAGCCTACTAGTGGCACTGATGCTTTCCCACAGATTCTTAGGTTAAGTCTGTAAAGAAATAAAATCATTAATTTGAAATGTTTCCAGGTTATTTGTGCCCCAAACTTAATAGTGAAAAAAAGTATACCCAGATTTGCCTTTACATTTGCATTATGGATACTGTTTTTTTTAAAATGTTGACTTCACAGTAATTCACAGCCTATAGTCCACTAATTGTGACATACATAATTAATATTTGTTGGATTAAATTTCACTGTTCATTAACATGACTTTGAGTAAGAAGGCTGACCTAGTAAATTTCCACAATAAACGATGTTAATATTACCAGTAAATTCTAGTTAAGTTCCATGCAAAAGCTGTTTTTTTATCTCAAGCAACCTGAGTTATCAAAATATCTAACCCTCATGTATTTTAAGTATTGTTCTGGAGATTCATCAATTTAATCAAAGCTATTGCTTCAGTCCTGATAAGTAGTCTTGTAAAAGACGCTAAAGTACTGTACAGATTTATAATCAGCAAAAACCGACAAACACATGCAATATATTGGACAATGTGCCCCAAATATTTTATTACTCTATTTATTATATTTTCCAATGAGTTGTAGAATATAGTTTACAAATCATTACACTGACTATTAGCACATTATGAGCCTTCAACATATTCCATTACACATGAAGAGAAAACTGAAGTCTTAAGATGAATGCAAAAACATACTTAAAACAATAGCTCTAGAGGAAGATATATGGTTTATAATTCTTCATATAGTCTACCTGATGGCAAAAAAAAATCTTAAATCAATAAAAAATTTACTGGTCTTATACTTTCTTTGTGCCCAGTGTATATAATCTCTCATTCTCTTAATATATATGTGAACTCACAACTGATTCTACACTCAATATGTTGTGATATTTTGTTTTGGTTTAATATGTGAAGAAAATCTGGACTCACATAGACATGTAATTGAAAAAGGGAGGAGTATTTTAATAGCCTTATGATTGGTGCAGTTAGTCCAATTTGATGTTACACCCAGCTTTACAAACAGTAGTTTCTTAAAGATTAGTTGCAATTTGGAATGAAAATTGTATCAATGAACTTCTCATAATCTGTTTAATTTCACTGATATATCTTAGATATAAAGTGAATTTTTGGTAAGGTCACTGATCATTTGAAAAATTATCAGTTTACTGGGTTGTGTAGATTTCACAAAAGTTGATACCCTTAACTAGGCTAAATGTTAATAATCACATGTTAATATCACCATTGAGCTCATCAGAAACATTTTCTTGTATTGAGAAACTGTCAAGCTCATAATGGTGGATAAAAGTTTTGCAAAATTCTGTTTCTCTTGAAATTAAAATTTCATTATTTGCAACACACACTGTTAGTTGTTTTCCTTTAAGTAAACAGTTCTGTTCCTTAACTTCGTAACACTAAATTCTGAATAACAATACTTTGACGGTCATTCTTTCAAGTGGAAATGGTGTTTAGTATCAACAGATAGCTACATCAGCTCACGAGTCAAACAACTGCACAATTATTTTTCTTGATACAATCTTCATACTTGGATGGGCAGCAGAAATGCACTTTATATATATTTCTCATTTTCATCATATAGAATATAAAAAGACATGTTTTCAAATTAAAAGATTTAATAAAATTAATAATTTTCGAAGACATTCTTAGGTGAAACAGGTATTTTTTTTCACATGTGTGGCGGGAAAAATTATTTGGTATCACTGCCTCAATTCCTGATAACACATCAATGATTTTACATATCACTGCTTTTGTATCATGAATTCAAATGCATACACAGTGAGAAAGGCAAATACTTTCTTAGCATTATTAAGAAAAAGTTTTTTATTGGACCAGCTGAGAGGGTTACAGTGAAATTTGGAGCCAAAAATCACAGCTTAATAACTATTGTTCTAAATATATCTAACCAAAAACTGATAGCGTTCTGTGGAATAGAATACAAAGTAACTGTAACTGCAAAATCTTCCATATGTGCAACAAGAAAAGATTTTGTATGAGAGACTTTTGCTTTCTGGGAGAATCCTGCTTGTTGAAGATATGTTGGAGGTTACATCTTATTTATGAATTAAATACAGGCCATTTGTTTCTTATTTTGTCTTGAAGCTTACAGGTTCTTTTACATTTCCATTCACCCCCACTGCCTTTTAAAAGAACATCAGAATGATAGATATTCAGAGTTCTTATTGTAGCTTACACAAAACAGAAGAAATTATATTTGGAGTAAAAATAAAGAACCTTTACTTTCACCTTTATATTTAAAGCCTCTCAACTCAGGAGATACAGTGTGGAAGATCTTATTGAAACCACCTTTGCAAAAATTATAACTGAGAAAACTATGACAATGAAAGAGATCTACCTGATTCCATCTTGCTTCTAACCTCTACGCTCTCCTAATTTATACCTGGGTTTAGGCAGAACTATTTTTTGGAGGAACTTAGTTTATAGTTTAACTTTGGAACAAAGATGATCACAGCCTCATCCCAAAACAAACTCCCTTCCTGCCTGGAGGCTAGATTGCCTTTGTGGGACTAACAAATTAGCTACAAGATTAGAGATTATGATTTAGGAGTCATGCATCTGGAGGCTACAAGATGCTGAACCTCCCCAAATTGCTTCTGGGGATAACATTACTTTTGTAAAACCTGAGATCAGTGCTTGAGATATTTTACAGACACTGTACTTGATGGCTTATTTGGTCTTGTGGCCCCCACCCAGGAATTGACTCAGTGCAAGAGGACAGCTGGGACTCCCAATGATTTCATCTCTCACCGCACCAGTCAGCACTCCCCACTGTCCAACCCCTGCCACCAAATTATCCTTGAAAACCTCGATCCCCAGGTTTTCAGGGAGACTGATTTACGTAATAATAAAGCTCTGGTCTCCTGCACAGCTGGCTCTGTATGAATTAAACTCTTTATTACAATTCCCCTGTCTTGATAAATCGGCTCTGTCTAGGCAGAGGGCAAGGAAGACCCCTTGGGCAGTTACATTATCTCTTTTCTTCTTAGAACATAAGTCTTTCTCCATTGTATTGAAAGGTCATTAAGAGTCTGTTCAAATAACTCATATGTGAAATATGACAAGAATTCCATACTAATATAATGTTATCCAGTAATATTTACAGCAAAGTTACTATTTATGCAGTGTTTTGCTGGAGCCAATTTATAATGGCACACAAGAGTCAACTGTGCACCTCTCTTCCCAATGCTACATTCGATGATGTCATCAAAATAAAGCTGAGATTTGCCAAACTCATTGTCAATCAGAGTTTGCCTAAGGAGGTATTTCTAAGAATAAAACATAATTGAGTCCCGAAAAGATATGTAAAATATTCATTTTTAATGATACTGCTGCTGTTACTGACAATAGTAATTATATTTATTTTTTGGCCAAAAAATTTAATTATAAACTTTTGCCAAATTGTCTTTGTCAATTAATAAAGTTTAAAATTTATCAAGTATTTCTTCTACTGTGTTTGGAAAAATTCCCTGGATCTCTATTGAGCTTACTTTGAATAATAAAAAAAAAACTCTTATTTTAATATGAGGAAATCTTCCAGTGCTGACTTTGCCCTGTATCAGACATATATTCTTAAAATAAAGACTAAATATTTTATGTAAGCATTTTAGCAAATGTTTCCAGTACTTTGGATGGCATCATGTATATATATTAGATAATATTTACTTAAGGATGCCAATATAAAAAAAACTAGATCTTTAGCAAAAACCCAACTCAATATAGAGTTATCCTTGTGTTTAGTTGAAATAAATTTTTGACTTTTTAGCAAAAATAATTTCCATATCTTCAATAATTTTGTTAAGAAGTATTAAAAAACCTGTGAGAGACTGGTTTAAAGTTAATATGATGAAAAAATAGATAAACCTCATGAAATAGAGCTACATGAGAAAATAGCACCCAGCACAGTTCCAGTGGTCAATCTATCAATGTTAATTAAGAGAAGTTCTGCCTGGGTCTAAAGAACAGGAAAGAAAATGAGAAATGTGGTCAGTAAAACAACAGCAAGAAAAGAAAGAGGGCTTGGTTAGATGTCAAGATACCCTTCTGGTTTTCAGCCCAGTTCTGCCACTAACTAGCTGTGTCCCTTACTCTTATGGAATGTGTTTCTTTGGGCCCTTGTTGGCTTAAATGTACAGTGAGAGAAATTAATTGGTCTGCTTTAAATTTCTTACATTTCTAAAACTTACAGTATGATTAAGGACATAGGATAATCAAGGAGATTTATATATATATATTTATATATATAATCCAACAACTACTGCATGATATATATATAGAGTTTGAACCATGAGTTTTGATCAGATTAGTTCAGCTGTGATGATAAGTTTATAAAACTGCCTAAACAAAACAATTTCCTCTCTCGTTTCTGCTCAGAACATGGCAACTGCAGAAAACCCATGGTCAGTTTCATAGTAAATTATGAGATTGTGACACTTCTGCCAAAAGGGATAACACAGATTCCAAAACCTCTAGAAATTTTTAAGGTATTTCCACAGGTTTCAGAAAACCAAAACAAAGCAAGAATATTTATTACAACATATGATTTTGGTAAATGTGTTTTTTCTCTTTCATATATAATGTTGAAAACATATCATGCGGCTGGGTGCGGTGGCTCACGCCTGTAATCCCAGCGCTTTGGGAGTCCAAGGAGGGTGGATCACCTAAAGTCAGGAGTTCGAGACCAGCTTGGCCAACATGGTGAAACCTCATCTCTACTAAAATACAAAAATTAGCCGGGCATGGTGACGGGCAACTGTAATCCCAACTGCAAGGGAGCCTGAGGCAGGAGAATTGCTTGAACCCAGGAGGCAGAGGTTGTGGTGAGCCAAGATCGTGCCACTGCACTCCAGCCTGGGTGACAGAGTGAGACTCCATCTCAAAAAAAACAAAGATATCATGCATAGCACTAAATACAGTATAAACTAAGACATATTCTTGGCCTGGTGATTAATATTTATAGTGGATGATTATAATCAACTGGTTCAGAAAGTTTTTAAATTTTTAGAGTATAAGACTTATTGGCTATAAGAAGAAAATAGTAATTTAAAGATGTAAAAATTCTTTTATTAAGACATAAAATAAAACTACACAAGTAATTGAAAATAATGGGCTATAAAACCAAAGGCGATGATTGACATCAGTGTTACTGATAGCTATATTATAGTGTGATGTACAAATAAAAATCACAACTTGGAAACATAGTATCAAATTTCCTCATAAATCATAAGTTGAGAATAAATGTTCTTTAAAGAGGAACTCCAGGCTCAGATGTTAGCTGACCTGGATTTTAAACTTGACTACCTTCCTTCCAATCATATAATCTTTCATGTCTATCTCTAGTAGTAATAAGGTTAATCTAAAGTAAATGATAATTTTTATGCTGTGAAATAAATTGTTTTTATTTTATTATATATTTTTCTCTCTTATTCGAACTATATAATAATCATATATCACTTTTAGTAAATACATAATGATAAAATCCAAAGGAAATACAGCAAGATTTTAAGAAATTATTTATTCTGAACAGTAAGAGTTTGAAGAATTATTGTTCTTTTCTGCATTTTTTGCATTTTAATAATTAAAATTCAATTTATTAAAATCATTAATCATGCCATCATTAAAAATAAAAATATATTTAATGCAATTTATACCTTAAGCTCTCTATATATTTTACATTTATCTCAACAAATATTTATAACAACTTCAGGCAACTGAAAATGTTATTACTTTCCTTGTATCAATTAAAAAATGCAGGTTGAGAAAGATTACTGTCTTCTCCAAAGTTGTAAGTGTTACAGATAGGATTAGAACATAGATATGCCTTATTTAGCTCATGACATTTGTAGCCCACATTTCCCATTGAGTAAAGGGACCAATTAGTTCAGCCAAAACTGCAAATTCAGTTCTCTTCTCTACAACTAGCCTTAGGATTGTGAAAACCATTTTTATTCATGATCCATTTCCAATAAACAGAATATCCTTTTTCTTTCATTCATGCCTAACATAAATAAAATCAAAGGTGTTTTGGGGAGAACATTGAAAATGAGGATTTCAATATTAACATTGACTGAAATAGATGACAAGATCATAGGAAGCATCTAAGTATGTTTTTCTTTATAATGCCTAGAAAAATCAGCACTGGTGGTTTCTGTGTAGAAGTTCAATAATGTTTTATCTCATCTGTAATATATAAATAATTATGGTAGAACAAGAAATAGTTTCAGACCAAACCCTATTTTCTAAGATTGCTCTTACACTATGGGATCAATTTATTTGCAAAAGTTTCTTCTTTTCTTTTTTTTTCCCTCAGGATTATCCTTTCTACTCTCCTACTTTCTGAACTACTTTTCTCCCTCTGTAAGTCTTAAAGAAGTTCAATGAGCTATAAGTGAACTCAGGTAGACAACTCAACAAAATCAAGAAGACAATACATGAACAAAATGATACTTTGAATAAATAAATATAAACCATAAAAAACTTGAATTATTCAGTTCAGTCATAATACATGACTTTAAACTTCAAAACAGTTTGTTATAGTACAGCCAAAATCATTAAAATTGGTCAGCTAAGAAGTATATATTTTTTCTAGTTCTCTAATGGATAGCTGTACATTATATTCACAACTTACAAAATCTGTCCAGCAAGATAACAGATTAGAAGACACTTAACATTGCTTCCCCCACAAAGGTATAAGCAGTAACTATTCAAAGACAATAAAACTACCCTGAAGTTACTAGAACTTGAGAGAGAAGCAGAGGAACTGATGGAGCCTGCAGAAATGAGAGAAGCTGTGACTGATAAATGACGATTTTAGAATCTGCCACCCACTACCCCAAGCCACATAACAGCTCACAGAAAATTTCTATACATTTAGGATGTCTGAGTTGGAAGAAATTCGAAGTTGAAAATAAACATTCAATTTCCCTATCAGTTGAGGAGGCTTCATGGGAAGTCTACATGGGTCTCATCCCATGGAAAACACTGAGAGTTCCAGGAGGGCTGAATGACCTGAGTGAACTGAAGATAAAATCAGGAGAGCTGATTGCAGCAACTGTCCTGTGGATCTTGGTAGCTGCTCTGCATTCTGCTCAGCAGGAATGCCATGCTGAGGAGACTGTCAAGTCTCATAGCACTGCAGAGGTTATGAGCCCTGGAAATGCCTGAGTCCTTTTTTGTGTTTATGTGGCACCTTCCCCTGACCCAGAAGCAGCTGAAATATTTAGTAAGTTCTGGTGCTCGCAATAAGTCTTTTCCAAATAACAAACAATGGCAGAGCAGTGATTTCACTCCAGTGCAGCATTTAAATTCTGATACACACTAAGTCCTCCCCACTCAGGAGTCAAAAGCTGGACAGCAATTAAGTTCTGATATTAAGTTGTAATGATCTAAGACCACAAAAAACACCTGCAAAAACAGAAAGAGGTGACCATCTCCTCAAATTCACAGGCATCAATATAAAGATAAAAGGATTAATAAAAATCAGGAAAATATGACACCAACAAAAGAAATAAACAAAGCTCTATAATGGACACAGAAGAACTGATCTATAAAATGTCTGAATTCCAAATTCAGAATAATCTACTTTAAAATTTTCAGGGAATCACAATAAAATATAAATAGAAAATTAACTAAAATTTGGAAAACAATCCATAAATACAATGAGATATTTGACAAATAAAGAAACATTTTTAAAGCCCAAATAAATCCTAGAAATAAAGAATATAATAACTGAACTGAAAAAACTCAATAGAAAGCTTTTACAGTAGACATAATCAGAGGAAACAGCTTGAAGACGTATGAAATTAATCAGAGGAGCAAAAAGAAAAAAGAAAAAATATGGTGAAGAAGACCTTCAGGAATTGTGGGACACTATTTAAAGTAAACTAACCTTCACATAATAGGAGTTTCCGAATGAGAAAAGGGAGAATAGACCTAGAACACATATTTAAGGAAATCATAGCTAAAAACCTCCTAAATCTACATGTAGAAAACAACATCCACTTACAAGAAACATAGAAGTTACTAATCAAATTAACTCAAAAGGAATTCCCCAACACCCTTCAAATTATGATAAAAAAAATCAAAGACAAAGAAAGAATACTGAAAAAAAGAAGAGAAAAGAGACATATCACATTAATCAGGGCCCTAATACAGCTTTCATCAGATTCTCAGCAAAAACCCTGCAGGAAAGGAGAAAATGATATGATATATTCAAAGTAGTGAAGGAGAATAAAAACCTGCCAACCAAGAATATTGTACCAAGCAAAGGTATTCTTCAAACATAAAGAAAAGATAAAGTCTGCAGATAAACCAAAGCTGAGGGGATTCATCAACACTAGACCTACTAAAATGCTAAAGGAAGTTTTTTAATCTGAAAGAAAAGGATGCTAATATGTAAAAAGAAAACATCTTAAGGTATACAACTCATTGGTCATAGTAAGTAAACAAATTCAGGGCACTCAAAAACTAATTGGGCCAGGTGTGGTGGCTCATGCCTGTAATCCCAACACTTTGGGAGATTGAGGTGGGCGTATCACCTGAGGTAAGGAGTTCAAGACCAGCCTGGCCAACATCGTGAAACCCCATCTCTACTAAAAATACAAAAATTAGCTGGGCATGGTGGCATGCACCTATGGTCCCAGCTACTTGGAGGCTGAGACACGAGAATCGCTTGAACCCAAGAGGCGGAGGTTACAGTGAGCTGAGATCATGCCACTGCACTCTACCCTAGGTGAATGAGCGAGACTCTGCCCCCTCCCCTCCAAAAAAAAATAAGAAACTGTAAGTGTATATAAATCACTTACATCTTTTTTTCTTTTCTTTTTTTTTTTTTTTGAGACAGCATCTCACTCTATCACCCAGGTCAGAGTGTAGTGGTGTGATCTCAGCTCACTGTAACCTTTGCTTCCCAGGCTCAAATGAATTACCCACATCAGCCTCCCAAGTAGCTGGAACCATAGGTGTCACTTACATCTTTATATAATATCGCTTTCATCTTTTAGTATCTAAAAGAAAAAAAATTAATGATAATAACAACAATTGTTTAAGAGAAAGAACATGTAAAAAGAAGTAAAATTTACATATCAAAATCCAAAATTTGGAAAAAGACTGGTTTAAAATGTAAAAACTTATGATAAATACACTAAAAATAAAAAGTGCTGAACCAAAGCATACTAGAGAGAATCACTTTACCACAAAAAAGACAGAAAAATGAAAGAAAGATAGTTTGCTGAGAACGATGGTTTCCAGCTTCATCCATGTCCCTACAAAGGACATGAACTCATCATTTTTTAAGGCTGCATAGTATTCCACACACATCAGGGCCTGTTGTGGGGTGGGGGGAGGGGGGAGGGATAGAATTAGGAGATATACCTAATGTTAAATGACGAGTTAATGGGTGCAGCACACCAACATGGCACATGTATACATATGTAACAGACCTGCACATTGTGCACATGTACCCTAAAACTTAAAGCATAATAAAAAAAAGAAAGACTCTCCAAAACAGTTTTAAAAAGTGACAAAATGACAGTAAAGTCTTTACCTAGAAATAATAACCTTGAATATAAATGAATTCACTGATTAAAATACATAGGGTTGTTTAATGGATTAAGCACACACACAACACACACACAGACATACAAAGCACCCCCACACCCACACCATATGCTGCCTACAGAAACTCACTCCATTTATGAAGATACAAATGGACTGAAAGTGAAGAAAAGAAAAAACACATTCTACACAAATGTGCACCCCATAAAAAGCAGGAATAGCTATACTTACATAAATAACCTTCAAGTCAAGTACTGTAAAATAAATACAAAGAAGATTATTATGTAATGACAAAGCTGTTATAACATTTGTACATATACATGCACTCAGCACTGAAGCACCTAAATATATAAAGCGAATACTAACCTAGAGGAAGAGATTGACAGCAGGACAATAATGGTGGAAAACTTTATCACTCCCCTTTTCAGCAATGGATGGATGATCCAGAGAGAAAAATCAACAAAGAAACATCAGAGTTCAACTGCACTGTAGATAAAATGAACCTAACAGATATTTACAAAACATTCTATCCAACAACTACAAAATACACTTTCTTTTCAAGTGCACATGGAACAGTTTTTAGAATAGACTATGCTGAGTCATAACACAAGTCTTACAAAATTTTCAAAAATAAAAATCACATCAAGTACTTTTTCTAAACACAATGAAATAATACCAGAAATCAATAAAACTAGAAATCAATAACAGAAGGAATGGTGGAAGCTTTACAAATACATGGAAATTAAACAGCACGCTCTTGTATCCCCATTAAGAAAAGAAATTTCTGAAAATTTCTGGAGATAGAAAATGAAAGCCTATGGGATATAGCAGAAGTATGTCAAAGAGGAAACACTAGAGCAATAAATTCCTACATCAAAAAAGTAAAAAGATATCCAATTAAAAACCATCTGGTGCACTTCAAGGAACTAGAAAATTTCTAAAAAGCCAAATGCAAAATTAGTAGAAGAAAAGAAATAACAAAGATCACAGCAGAAACAAAAAAAAAACAGAGATTTTAAAACAATACAAAAAAATCCATCAAAGAAAAACAATTTGTTTGAAAATCAAAAGAAATTAGCTACACTAAGAACAAAAGAGAAAAGAGTCAAATAACTAAAATCAGAGAAGAAAAAAGATATATTACACAGAATTTGTCAACAGAAATACAAAGATCATAAGAGATTTTATGAACAACTATAAATCAAGAAATTTGAAAGCTAGAAAAAATGAATCCAGACTGAATTATGAAGAAATAGAAAACCTGAACAAATAAAGAGTAACAAGATTGAATCAGTAATAAAAAAAAATTCTCCCATCAAAGAGAAGCCTAGGATCTGACAAATTCACTGCTGAATTCTACCAAACTATCAAATAACTAATACTAATTCTTCTAAAACTACTATGTTAAATTGAAGAAGAAGGAATATGTCTAACTCAGGCTATCAGGCAAGCATTACCTTGACACCAAAACCAGATAATGACACAACAATAAAAGAAAACTACAGGTTAGTATCTCTGAAACATAGAGGCAAAAATCCTGAGCAAAATGCTAGCAAACTGAATCCATCAACACATTAAAAGATCACTTACTATGATCAAGTGTGATTCATCATAGGAATTTGAGGATGATGTGTTAGGCTCTTCTTGCGTTGCTACAAACCAACACCTGAGACTGCGTAATTTATTTTTTAAAAAAGATTTAATTGGCCCTACAGGGTGTATAAGCCTGGTTCCAACATCTGCTCAGCTTCTGGGGAAGCCTCAGGGAATATTTACTCATGGTGGTAGACGAAGTGGGAACAGACACATCACATGGTGAAAGCAAGAACAAGAGAGTGAGTGGGAGGTGCCACACACTTGGAAACAACCAAATCTCATGAGAACTCATTCACAATTACAAGGATAGCACCAGTCAATGAGGAATCCACATCTATGATCTAATCACCTTTCACCAGGCCCCACCTCCAACATTAGGAATTACATTTTAATATGAGATTGGGGGGACAAATATCCAACCTATATCAGATGGTTTATAATATGCAAATCAATAAATGTGGTACGTTAACACAATCAGGTACAAAAAACATATGACCATTACAATAGATGCAGAAATAGCATTTCATAAATTCAACATCCCATCATGATAAAAACTTTCAATCAATTAGGTATAGCAGGAATATAACTCAACCTAATAAAGACATGCAAATGGCCAGTAGATATTTGACAAATAATGATTAGCATCACCAATCATCATGGAAATACAAATCAAGACCACAGCGAGATATTACCTCATACCTGTTAGAATGGCTATTATCAAAAAGACAAAAAATAACAAATGCTGGTGAGGATGAAGAAAAAGGGGAACACTCATACACTGTTAGTGGGAATGTAAATTAGTACAGACATGGAAAACAGTATGAAGGTTTCTCAAAAAATTAAAAATAAAATTATTAAATGATTTAGCAGTCTCACTGTGAGGTATATATTCAGAGAAATAAAATGAGAAGTCAATGAGATATCTGCATTTCTATGTTGTTTATTGCAGCACTGTTCACATTATGTAAGTGATAAAATTGACCTAAATATCCATCAATGGACAAATAGATCAAGAAAACATGATAAACATACACAGTGGAATACTATACAGCTACAAAAAGAATGACCTTCTGTCATTTGTGACAACGTGGATAAACCTGCAGGACATTCTGTTAAGTGAAATCAACCAGGTACAGAAAAACAAATATTGCATGAGCTCACTCATATGTGGAATCTAAAGTAATTTTACTCATTGACCAACCTCTTTCCATCCCCCATCCCCTTTTCTCTCCTCAACCTCTGGTAACTGCTGTTCTACTCTTTATTTCTATGAGACCACAGTTACAGTTAGATAGGAAGAATAAATTCTGGTGTTCTATTACATAGCAGAGTGACTACAGCTAAAAATAGTGTATTATATATTTCAATATAGCTAGAGAAGAAGATCTTGAATGTTATCACCACAAAGAAATGATAATGCTGTGGTAATGGGTATGTTAATTATCCTGATATGATCATTAAACAATGCATATATCTATTGAAACATCACAGTATACCCCCAAACATGTACAATTATTGTGTCAATTATAAACAAAAATAAGAAAGAAAATTCAGAAGGAGGGATTTTTTTTTAATCTTGTCCTTTTTTGTTCACACTCCAGGAAGATCCTTATGTTTCACCATTTACTTCTATTTCAACAGTTGAGTGTGATATAATTAATTAGATTAGAAAGTAGGGCAGGATATACATGTCAAGCACATTGAAGTAATTTGCCATGATTATCTCTTTAATATTTTCATGTAAAATCAAAGCTGACTGTTATATTCAAGATCTATGTGAAAGATATACACCTTCTAGTCTATAGTTTTGAACTTTTTTATTTGATTGTGGTTTACTAACATTAATTTCAATATATGTGTTACTGCCTCACATATGTGCTTTTTATATCTAGAAAATATAAGGGCTCCTGAAATTTAAAAATAGTATGAAATTAGTACCTTATAGTAAAAATCTCTAGCTTGACCAACTATGAGGATTTAAAAGGTGGCATGAGGATACGTGGTTTTATTCTAACATGTTTTAAAATATATGTAGACTGATAAACTTTTAAATAAATAAAATGGCTGGTAATAGCTATTTTGAACATCACATAAACAAATGTGTAAATGTCCAGTGGTAAAATGATGAAGGCAGTAGGCATAATGCAAAATATACGCTAAAGTGTTAAACCAGTAACTCAACTCCAGCATGGTTTTGCCATTCAGGCTAAAGGAAACACAAGAATTCCTGCCTTGCCCCCCACGTAGTTTTTCTAAAGAAATGCAAAATTCAGATTCTTATTTGAAATATTCTGATTTCTATATGTCTCTCAAAGAACAGTTGATATTTAATGACTAGTGTTTCTAGGTATGTAAGCTTTATATTCTACTATTTTGTTGCATTCTCATACCACTTTAATAAGTCAGGCAAAGGAAGCAACTGAAGGCTCAATAAAGGACGGTAGATCAACAGTAATGATTGATACCTAAATTCTGATAACAATTGTCCCACTTGATTCATGAATTTATTATCACTGAATAAAGAGTCCTTCTGATTTTCTCTACTTTGTCTGAAAAATTCAGCAGGGATTTTTGCTGTTGTTTATTTCCCTTCTCAACAGGTGTTTTGCCTTCATGCTCAATAGCTATTTCAATTAAACTGTCAGAATATGTTTCACACTTCCCAAAACCTGGCATCTTACAGCAAAGTGTGTGCAACCTTTTATTAGGAAGTTTGGAGAGCTTGTAATGGATATACAAATGATTTTTCCATAAAGACTTTCTGACTTTAGAATGAACAGCACTAGGTAAATCCTTATGTAGTTTATTGTTATAAGAAAAATCAAAGATTTGGTTTAATTATACATAGATTTGAAATTCAGTTGCAATGGGGACTGAAAGTAAAGGATATTAAGTTTTGCTCTGTAAGCTCTTCCAGGAATGAATTGCATTGGCCTCTTGAAGTGGCTCCTAGTCATCACTTTCAAAGGCATTTAATAGTTGTAGTAGATCTAAATCATAACTTATATGTACATTGATACTTGCTAGCTGTATTAAGGCCTGAGTCAGCAGTGGCCACGGCTGAGCAAGATCAGTTATTTGGTGGCTTTCACCCAACTGGAAAAGGGTTGCAGCTTTCACTGTGACTATGATAAATCACTCTCTTTTTTGGCCTGATACAGGAGATTTTTGAACTCGATCCATTGTGGTGTTTTTTGATGTCATTTTAGGTGAACTCCTGAGAAATTTGGTGTAAAATAGAAATTTAAATCTGGATTTTATCACTAAAAATAATTGTAGGATTTTGATATTGAAAGTAATCAAGAGATAATAAAGTCCAATTCCTCATTTTAAAGATAGGACAAATAGGAATGGGCAAGGTGACTGCTCCAGGTCATATAGCTTTTTAGTAGCCAAGCTGAAACAGGAACATAGGGAACCAGTTTATAAGGCCAATGTTTGAGCACCTGTACTATGCTACTAAGTACTAGCATTTAATATTTAGCCATGCCAATGTAAAAAGAAAGAACAGGAGAGGTGGAAAGTCAAATGTGGAGAAACAACACTGATCGTCTTTGTTAGTTTAAATTTTTCTTTACAAGGTGTCTCAGTAAGGCAATTTTATGTCTCTCTTTTGCTAAAAAGCATCTGAAAATAATCAACAATTTCACAAAAGGGACAAAATCATACAGTTTAGAAATAATTACAATAACTGTCCATAAGCAAGGATTCCTTCCTAAAAGATACTTGCTTTACTTAATCTTTGACCATCTTCTGCATTCACACTACTTTCCTAAGTGCAGTATAAATGGCTCCCAAAGTATGGAATTTAGAGTTAATGAGGAAATAATATAGGTTCAATATCATTATACTATCAAATATTGTTTAGGCTTAGTAAACAACAGGTGATATTGCTACTGATTAATACATTCAGAACAGGTTCATGGAAATGGTGACATTGTATTTGTCCTTAAATGGTAATAAATTTTTCAACAAGTGGAAGTGAGAGAACAACTGTAAGTGTATATTTCAGGCAGAGTGAGTGACAAAGGCATTGAGATAGAGTGGTAGAGGAACAAAAGGAACACAGCAGAGGTAGAATTTGGTTCAAGGGTATTGTGTTTCTAAGGCCAACAATAGAAGATAATTTTGGTAAATAAAAGATCTCTAGTAACATACAATGGTACCAGGGCATTATAATATAGGAAAATGTTTAAACAGAGAAGTGATATGTTCAAAACTGTTTTAGAAAGATAATGCTAGCAATAGGTTTAAGATGGATTGCACAGTGATGATACTTAAAGGAAAGAAGGATTCTGAGACTTGGATTTGGATGGAGCAGTGGAAATGGCTGATAAAGAAGCCTGTGACTTTCTTCAGAGAAAACCAGCATATCTTTATAACTGATTCAATGGGGAAAGTGAACAATATAAAGAAAAGAGTAACATTAAACATGAATTTGAAATTTCAGGCCTTTGGAGAATATGGATATAATGAACAAAGATTAGGAAATAAGTAAGTGGAAAAAATTTGGAAAGAAAGATGAATCTTCTAAGAAGATGCTAATCTTACTAGGTGAATTTTATTGATGGCATTAGATATATAAGTATGGGGGGCATCCTAAAAATGTGATATGAGAAACATTGAGGGATATGATAATTAGAAAAATGAATGAGCATTTCAAGAATGTCCCTATTGCCACAGAAGGTTGAAAAGATGATCCAGTGAAGAAACAAGAGAAGATGTAGCCAGGAAATATCTGAAGCAAACTGGTGGATTCTGAATGATTAAAAATAATAATAACCAAAGAGAAAAGAAGTAGTGGATGAGGTTGGCAGAGATGAGGAACTGCCATTTCTCCAAAGCTCTGAACCAAAAGCAAAGACTCATTTGAATGTTTTACCAAGCTTGAGTACTTTACAAAACTTGAAAGTGTGCAAGAGCAAAGAGGTATCATTTAGCACACTATAAATAGCATCTTCTTTAAAAATGTTGTACACATTTCTCATATTTGAAAGTAAATAACCTGAGATTTAAAACATCTGTCAAACAATCTGTGAATGTTATGTGCCATTTTAATACATTTTGACATTATTTCATGTTGAAACATACTTTCTCTGATTGTATTGACTGGATTATATAGAACCTCTTTGACTGACTTAGTCTATAACTTGCCCAGATAAAATGTACATTGCAAGTAAATAAAATATGGGTGATATGGGAATGAAATTTCAAGGCAAGTTTCGTGTATAATCTGTAGCTCCTCTCAAACTATATTACCACTCCTAAGACATCCTTTATCTGATACGAATGCCTAATAAGGAGCAACATTTCTTTTTATGCTATAATTACATTGTACTAATTCTTTTTCTAAAATGGAAATGCATACCATCAAAGAATAAAACAAAATGTTAAGAATTTCACACATTTATATTTGATAAAATGACACTTTGTATTCAAATGACACATTCATTTTTTCCCTACTACTTGAATGAATAAAAACATCCTTTATTGTTCATAAGCATTACATAACGTAATTTTCCAAAATAATAATTATGTACTTTCCAGCAAGTACAAAATCTTTTTAAAATAAACTTTATTTGGGGAAGAGATAATTTAACATATCAATTTCTTCAATTTATAAAAGTGATAATTTCACTCCAATATTTGAAGAATAAACGTATATTTGAAGAAGTACATTTGTAGAATAAAAAGCAACTCTGATTTGATGAGCAATAATAAAATTATTCTATCATCTTTAATATTTAGCCATCAAAAACGAGAAAATTACAGAATATAAAATCCGTGTCCCAAGTCAAAAGTAATTAAATTTACTTGTGTTTTAGAGTAAAAGATTATTAAAGGAAGAAACTATTGCTTATTATACACACACCACACAGACACACACACACACACACACACACATACATATATACCCCTCTACCTTTGTATCATATGCATTAGAGAAATTTTTAGATTTCCTTAAAAGGAAAGGTATGGACTGCCATTTCTCACAACATAGTGAAATGAAAATTTTGTGAAACTTCTAGATCATATTCATAACTGTTGGCATATATGTATTTAAAGTTGATATGATGCAAAATTAATATAATTTTACGGAGACAATTTTTAAAATTGTGAACTTATAAAGATAAAGTAGTTCTAAAAATAGCATTTATATTGTATAGATCTACTGATCCCTGGCTGTCTGGAGGCTGGGATTTACCAAAGGGTCAACATAAAAGACTCAGATAACAAAGCCAAATTTGTAAGCAGAATTAAAGTTTGGATTGAGATGTCTAAATGGAGCTAAGACTTCAAAATTACAAAATCCTCAGTGAGTGGAGCTAAGTAGTAACTGGGGATACATGCATGCTCCAATTTTGACTTTGGGAGAATTAAAAAAAAATCATGAAACTTTTCAACCACAAATTTACATTTTAGATTCGGGGTTAACAACCACCTGGATTTATGACCTGAAACTTCAAGGAGAAACATAATTTAGAATAAGTTTTTGGTTGATAGTACCTTCAAGTCTATTGCAGACAAAGGCAAATACACTGTGGAAGAAAAGATTAATCCAAAACTCAATATTTTCTTGCTTTCTTTTTTTTTTTTTTTTTTTTTGAGATGGAGTTTTGCTCTTGTTGCCCTGGCTGGAATGCAATGGAATGATCTTGGCTCACCATAACCTCTGCTTCCCAGGTTCTAGTGATTCTCCTGCCTCAGCCTCCCAAGTAGCTGGGATTACAGGCATGTGCCACCATGCCTGGCTAATTTTTTTGTATTTTTTTAGTAGAGACGAGATTTCTCCATGTTGGTCAGCCTAGTCTCAAACTCCCGACCTCAGATGATCTGCCTGCCTCAGCCTCCCAAAGTGCTGGGATTACAGGCATGAGCCACTGTGCCCGGCCAATATTTCCTTTAGTAGTAGAGCTTTAGGGTAAGTCTTTTAAAAGTTTATTGTGAGTAAAAAGCCTAATGAGATTTTTTACTAGCATTATATTGAATGTGACAATATAAAATCTTAGAATCTATTAAAATGCTGTACTTCTCCATACAGTATTTAGGCTTTTTTTAATTGGTGTGTTCTAGTTTTCAGTGTATATATCATGAAAACTTTTATTTATATCTAAGTATTTTAGTTTTAGGAGATTTTATATATGCTATTAATTTTATAATTTGAAATAATTTGCTTCATTGCTAGTGTATAAAAATATAATTATTTTTTGTATATTACCTTGCACTCTGCAGCCTTGGAAAACTCATGTATAACTTCTTAGAAGTTTTTATGAGTTGTTTGGGTTTTCTATGCATATAATAATATCACCTGTGAGTTGAAACCATTATTTCTTCCTTTGATTCATTTTCTTTTTCTTGTGTTATTACACTGGTTAAAACTTAAAATACAATGCTGAATATGAACTTTGTTCCCAGTCTTAGAGAATAAGCAAGCATTCAGTCTTTTACTATTAAGTAACATCACAGCTAAAGGCATTTTATTGATACCCTCTATTAGATAAAAAGAAGTTCCACTGTATTCCTAGTTTGCTGAGAATTTTTACCATGAATTAACGTTAAAGTTTGTCAAATGCTTCCACATCTTTTGAGATTGACATATCATTTTTGGATGATAAGTTGAATTACATTCATGGGGAAAACTGTTGTTCAAAATTATTTTTATATGTTGATAGAATAAATGTATTAGCATTTTGCTAAAGATTTTTGAGTTTATGTTCATAAATATTATTGCTCTATAGTTTTCTAGTATTGTAATTTCTGTGTTGATTTTGATATTTATGTAATGCTAGCCTTATAAAGTTTATTTGGAAGTATTGTTTCATTTTTTCTGAAAGTTGCTGTTTGTAACTGTGCTGTAATTCTCCCTAAAGTGTTTGAAATTTTTCACCATTGAAGATTTCTTTGATTGAAATATTTTTACTACAAATCCAATTTTTAGTAGATACAGGACTATTCAGCTTGTCTGTTGTCTAAGTGAGTTTTCATAATTTGTGCTTTTTTGGAATTAGTTCACTTCAACTATTTGTGGAATTTATACGCATAGAGCTTTTTGAAGAGTTCTTTATATGACAGGCAGAATAATGTCTACCCCCTGAAGATTTCCACATCTTAATTTCCAGAACCTGTGAATATGCAACCTTATATGGCAAAATTGACCATACCAAAGTAATTTAACTAAGAATTTTGAGATGAGATGGTTATCCTGAATTATCCAGGGGAACCCAACTTAATCATAAGGGTTGTCATAAGAGAAAGAAGGTAGTAGAGTCAGAATCAGGGAACATGATGTGGTAACAGAAATAAAAGATAAGGCAATATAAAAATGGAAGCAGGGGTCAAAAGAATGCAGGCAGCCACTAGAAACTAGAAAAGGCAAGGACACAAATTCTCTGCTAGAGTCCTCAGAAGGAATTCAATCTAGCTGATATCTTGGTTTGAGGGCTTCTGATCTCTAGAACCATAGGAATCAATATCTACTGCTTTAAGCTAGTAAGTTTGTGGTAATTTATTGCATTAGAAAATTAGCACACCTTAGTATACTTTTAATGGCTGTGTGGCCCATAGTGGTGGCCCCTCTTTATTTTTGATATTGGTTATTGTCTTAACTCCTTGTCTACTTGCTCAGTTTGGCTAGAGTTTCTTCAGTTTTATAGATGTTTTAACAAAAAACTATCTTTCCATTTCACTGATTTTTTCAATTCTTTGTTCCAATTTAATTATTTTCATCTCAAGTTTTAATTTCTTTGTTGTTTTTATTTATTTATTTATTTATTGATGTGGAGTCTCACTCTTGTCACCCAGGCTGGAGTGCAATGGCACAGTCTCGTCTCATTGCAACTTCCACCTCCTGGGTTCAAGTGATTCTCCTGCTTCAGTGACCCAAGTAGCTGGGATTACAGGTGACCACCACCACGCCTAATTAATTTTTGTATTTTTAGTAGAGATGGTGTTTCACCATGTTGACCAGCCTGGTCTTGAACTCCTGACCTCAGGTGATCCTCCAGTCTCGGCCTCCCAAAGTACTGGGATTACAGGCACGAGCCACTGCACCTGGCCTATTTCTTATTTCTAGTAATTTTGAATTTAATCCTCTATCCTTTCCCTAGTTTCTTAAGGTGAAAATTTTATTTATTGATTTGACACAGGTTTTTTTCTGCTATATGCATTTGAGACCAAAAGAAATCTCTAAACAATGCTTTAGAATAATTCTACACATTTGGATCTGTTGCATTTTCATTTTCATTCACTCCAAAATATTTGCAAATTTATCTTGAGAATTTCGCTTGACTCATGAGTTACTTAGAATACTTTTGCTAGTTTTCAAAAAACTGGAGATTTTTCAGTTATCTTCCTATTACTGATATATATATTTTTTTGAGACAGAGTCTCTGTTGCCCAGGCTGGAGTGCAGTGGCTCAATCTCGGCTCACTGCAACCTCCACCTTCCAGGTTCAAGCAATTCTCCTGCCTCAGCTTCCCAATTACCTAGGACTACAGATGTGTGCCACTACACCCACTAATTTCTTTTTTTTTTTTTTGGTATTTTTAGTAGAGACAGGGTTTCACTGTGTTAGCCAGGATGGTCTCAATCTCCTAACCTCATGATCCGCTTGCCTCAGCCTCCCAAAGTGCTGGGATTACAAGTGTGAGCCACCATGCCTGGCCTCTATTACTGTTTTTTAACTTAAACATATTATCATGACAACACATACATTGCATGATTTCTAGTCTTTTAAATTTTTTAAAGTTTCTCCAAAAATAGTATGTCTTGGTTAATGTTAAATGTATACTTGAGAAGAATGTGTATTTTATTGCACAGTGGTGTGTACTATAAATGTCAGTGAACAAAAAACAATAAATTTGTAAAAATCACTTTTAGACGTATCTTTTTTTTTTTTTTTTTTTTTTTTAGACAGAGTCTGGCTCTGCCACCCAGGCTGCTGGAGTGCAGTGGCGCAATCTCGGCTCACTGCAAACTCCACCTCCCAGGTTCATGCCATTCTCCTGCCTCAGCCCCCGGAGTAGCTGGGACTACAGGCACCCGCCACCACACCCGGCTAATTTTTTGTATTTTTAGCAGAGACGGGGTTTTGCCATGTTAGCCAGGATGGTCTCAATCTCCTGACCTGATGATCCACCCGCCTCGGCCTCCCAAAGTGCTGGGATTACAGGCATGAGCCACCACGCCCGGCTAGACATATCTTAATAAAAATAATAGAAATATGAAATAAAGAAAATCATCTGAAGGCAGCTAGAGTAAAGTGACACAATGCATGACACATGGTAGAACATATCCATTAGTATAAATGACTACAGGTGTCACATAAGAAAAACTAAATGATAGAAAACAGTGAAAAAAGATTTTAAAGGAAAAATGTGAAAATAAAATTCTATAACTAATGAAAATATTCTTTATATGTAAATGCAAAATGAAGATTTTTTATATGAAGTCAATTGCCAGCAGACTTGCAGCAATTTACAAAAATGCTAAAGGAATTCTTCAGGCTGAAGAGAATTAATACTAGAGGGCCAATCAGATATTCAGGAAAGAGCGAGGATCAATAGAAATAGGTGGAAACACATAAAATAGTACATTTTTTTCTCTTAAGTTTTCAAAATTAATATGTATTTTAAATGTAGTTAATATTTGCTGGTAAGTTTTTAAAATACAAATACATTGAATGCATATAAGCACTATAACATAATAGTTCATGGGGAAGAAGAACTTATTCATTCTTAAGGTTTCTATCTTTTCTGTGAAGCGATACAATATTAATTCTAAATAGTCTGTGAAAAGCTTAATATGAAGATTACAATTTCCAGAGCTACCTCTTAAAAAAGAAATAATTCAAAGAAAGCAGTTAGGTGCAGTGGCTCACACCTGCAGCCCCAGTACTTTGGGAGGAAAAGGTGGGTTGATCACCTGAGGTCAGGAGTTTGAGACCAGCCTGACCAACATGGTGAAACCCTGTCTCTATTAAAAATACAAAAATTAGCTGCAGGTGGTGGTGGATGGCCATAATCCCAGCTACTCAGGAGGCTGATGCAGGAGAATCACTTGAACCTGGGAGGCGGAGGTTGCAGTGAGCCAAGATTGTGCCATTGCACTTCAGCCTGGGTGACAGAGTGAGACTCAATCTCAAAAAATATATATAATAATAATAATATTTTTAAGAAAGCCAAAAAGAAAATAGGCAAATTATAAAGGGATAATTAGAAAAATACAAATAAGCCAAAAGAAGGCAGTAAAAGAGAAACACTGGAGCAACAACAAAACAGATGGAGCAAACAGGAAATAAAGACTAAAATGATGAACTTAAATTGAACCACATCAATCTTTACATCAGATGTTAATCATCTAAATACTTCAATTAAAAGCAAGAGATTGGCAGAATAGATTAGAAAGGAAAAAAGCAAGATCTTACTGCATGCTGCTTACAAGAAACCAATTTTAAATATAAATATGCAGAAAGGTTGAATATAATGGAAGAAAACTGATAAACCCACACAAATTGTGCACATCAGAGGACTGGTGTATCCATTTAAATAAAGGATTAAGCAGACTCCAATATCATGAGTATTACTAGAGAGATAAATAAAGATCTTTTACAATAAAAAGTAAGACAATTCATCAGGAAGATATAACAATTATAAATACGTTCCTATAAACAGTCTCAAGATAAAAGAAAATAAAATGGAGATCAAAGTAGGCCAAAAGTAAATAAGATGGGGGACTAATTTTAAAAAACATAAATTGATGAAATAATAAAACAGACATGTTTTAGAAGATTAACAGTGCAAAAACTGGTTCTTTGAAAAGATCAGCTAATTACCAAACTGCTACTTAAATTGATCAAGAAAAATAAGGAGGAAACACAAATAACTCAATATCAGGGATAAAATATTTCAAATATAGGTCTGATAGACATTAAAATGATTTTAATAGACTAAACCATATTACATCAATAATTTTTATAAGTTCAATCAAATATGTGTATTTCCTGAAAAATATAACTTACTGAAATTGACATAAGAAATAAAAATAGATTCTGAAAGTCATTATATCTATGAAGTTAATGGAATTTATCATGAAAAAAAATCACAGATAGGAAAATCCTTCTGGCTTAAAGAAGTTTACTGATTAATTCTATCAAGTATTGAAGAAACAAAAAATACCAAACTTATACTAACTATTTTAGCAAGTTGTGGAGGAATGGTCACTGTATATTTCATTTAAGTTGTCCAATTTCTTAACATGCTTTTTGAGGGCAACATAACCCTAATATGAAAACCTTACAAACATGATGCAAAAGTGAAAAGCACAGATCAATTTCACTTATGAATATGAATGAATATATTTACAAAATATTAGCAAATCTAAACTCAATGTATATAAAAAGAATGGTATATCACAACCAAGCAGCAATTATTTAAAGGACTTAAAGTTTTAAACATTTGAAAACCACACAATGAAGTTTATAATATCAAACAACAATAATAAAAGTTACATGATAATTGCAATAGATTTAGAAAAAGCAAGATTAGATAATACAAGATTGCTATACAAAAATCAGCTATATTATTTTACATTAGATTCAAAAAATTCGGAAATAAAGAGAGGAAAACACTTTAATTTACAGTAAAGCCTAGAAACAACAACAACAAAAACAATTAGAACTAAGTTTAAGAAAAAGCATTAATGAACTTTACACAAATGTTATTAAAGAAATTTTTTAAAAGACCTAAGCAATTGTGAAGATATACCATATTCATGATTGGAAGACTCAGTATTCCCTTAGGATGTCAATTCTTGGCTGGGCATGGTGGCTCATGCCTGTATTCCCAGCACTTTGGGAGGCTGATTAGGGCAGATCACAAGGTCAAGAGACAGAGACCATCCTGGCCAACATGGTGAAACCCCATCTCTACTAAAAATACAAAAATTAGCTGGGTGTGGTGGCATGCTACTCAGCGTCCCAGCTACTCAGGAGGCTGAGGCAGGAGAATCACTTGAACCTGGGCGGCAGATGTTGCAGTGAGTCGAGACCGTGCCACTGCACTCCAGCCTGGCGACAGAGTGAGACTCCATCCAAAAAAGTAAAATAAAAGTAAAAATAAAGCTGTCAATTCTTTCCTAATTGAGTTGTAGTTCCAAATGTCAGTAAATATTATAGCAGTTTACTATTTTTTTGGTAGAAATTGCCAAGTATACTCTGAAATGTATGTGAAAATGCAAAGCACCTAGAAAATAACCAAAGCTGTTCCCAAAATAAAGGAAAAGTTAAGAGAATTTATCCCACCTCACTTGGAGACTTAGTATAAAGATACAGGAATCAAGACACTCTGTTATTGGAGAAAATAGATGATAGATGATTGATAGATAGATAGATAGATAGATAGATAGATGTAAAATCTACAAATAGGTGCCAAGGCAATGCAATGGGGTAAGAAAGTCTTTTGACAAATGGTATTGAGTTACCTGACTATCCTTGTAGAAATAAGTGAGCACTTACTCTAACTTCATGCAATACTCACATCATATAAAACCAAATTAAGTTTAACTTCATCAAAATTTATAATTTGATTTATAGCTGGAAATAAAACCTAAAACTATAAAACTATTTTTTGTTACAATTAGTTATTTCTGTAACAAACGGCTGTTATTGTGTTGGTACATTGATCATATATTCTGCAACCTTGCTAACTCTCTTATTAGTAAAAATACTGTATCTGTTTATTTTCCTTCATTATCAGCTACAAATATATATCAGCTACAAATGATAATTATATATTTCCCTTCAAAACTCATACTATATCTCTCTTTTTAGGCTATTATCTTATTATTGACAAAGCATTCCAATATGGTATTACATAAGAGAGGAACTTTGGTTATAGGTACCTTTTTCCTTATTCCTAAACAAATGTGTCTCAAGTTATAGCATAAACTGTAATTTTTATTGTAGATTCTAGTAAAAAGCAAAAATAAAAATATTATTTTATGGAAGTTTATTTTTATTCTATTATTTTCCAATATGTTTAATATAAATATGTATTGAACACTAAGAAATGCCTTTTACATTTATTGACATAATAATTAGCTTCTTTAGTTTTTTAATGTAATTAATTATATTAATAGGTTGTATTAAATCATATCTGTGTTCTTTACCTAACACTTATCTGGAATTTTTATTATCTAATACTTATCTAGAATTCATTCATTATCTAACGCTTATCTGGAATTTTTTTACATCAATGTTTCTGTATAATATAGGCTTATTTCTTTTCTAGTACTGTACTTATTCATGACTGGTAATGAAATTAATACATTTTATATTTGTATAATTTTAGTTGATACCTTCTCCCTCCACTCTGAATTTTTTTCTTAATGAAGCTGAAGCAAGGGAATGGCATTAATTATCTAAGTGCCTAAGTATCTGATGCTAGAGAATGGCATTATCAGATTTGCATTTTTTAAAGGTCGTTTGGATATAAGAGTCGAGAACTAATTTGAGGGCACTAATATTGTTAGAGTCAGGGAAAGCAATTGAGAGAGTGAATTTTTTGTAGTTTTGATTTGTATTTTCCTGATGATTAGTGATGTTGAGCATATTTTTATATATTTGCTGACTATTTGTAGGTCTTGTTTTGAGAAACATCAGTTCAGATAATTTGCCCATTTTTAAATTAGATTTTTTTTGCCATATAAATGTTTGATTCCTTGTATATTCTGAATATTAATCCCCTGTCTGACGAATAGTTGACAAATATTTTCTCCCATTCTGTAGGCTGTCTTTGCTCTCTGTTGATTGTTTACTTTGTTGTACAGGAGCTTTTTAGTCTAATATAATTCCATTTGTTTATTTTGCTTTTATTGCCTGCACTTTTAAACTGTTAAATATTTTCAAAGACCAGTGAAGTATCATCTCATCTGGTTAGGGTGGGTATTATCAAAGAGACAAAAAAAAAATGCTGGTGAGGATGCAGATAAAATGAAACACTTATACACTCTTGGTGAGAATGTAAACTTGTACAGCCTCTATGGTGAACAGTATAAAGTTTCTTCAAAAACTACAAGTAGAACTACCATATGATCCAGCAATCCCAATACTGGGCATTTATTCAAAGTCAAGGATATTGAAGAGACATCTGCACCCTGATGTCTGTTGCAGCACTATTCACAATAGTAAGATTTGGAATCAACCTAGGTTCCCAACAACAGATAAATGAATTTTTAAAATGTGGTAATATACACAATGGAATACAATTCAACCATAAAAACAATACAATCCTGTCATTTGTGGCAAAGTAGATGGAAATGAAGGACATTGTTAAGTGAAAGAAGTCAGGAACAGAAAATTAAACACCATATGTTCTCACTCACATGTGTGAGAAACAAAAAGCCCCCAACCAACTGAGCATACCTTCTCCTGACCAAGGAGACACCAGAGAAACCTTGAAAACAGAGTTCTCAGGCATGGCAGGATAGGAGATTGGACATGCCTCATTATACTCCTCTCTCGCTAACTCCCATTAGGCTTTCTTCCCTAAAGGCTAAAAGAAAACCAGCCATTTCAGAGGACTCCACTACCACTCATGTCAACCAGACACTTGATGTTGCCCCCTCCTTTTATTTGCAGAATGACCACAGAGTGGGGTTCTGGCCAGTCTATGTGAATGTGCAGTGAGGATTTTTATGTCCTCTGCTTCACCTTTTTACACTGAAGTGCCAGAAATTTCACACTCAAATCATACTAACACACCATTTCTTTGTCCAGGGACCCATGAAGGGTCATAACACTCAATTCCTCATGCACATGTTTCTCCTTTCATAAATATTCATGAGTCCTCCTATAGCTTATTAAATATGTATATTTGACCACCCCATTTAGCATAAATTCCTATTTTCTTTGCCTCTCTCTTGAAGTGTCTGTTTCTAGACTTCACCTCTCCTACTCTTCAGTGCACATGTGTGTATGCATCCTGCCATCTCACCACTGTCAGTGGGAGCACAACTCTCAGTCCCACCCCTACTAACATGCAGGCACCCCACCATGCCACCAGGACGGGCATGAATGCTGGCAACACTGTCTCTGCCAGCAAACTACCCCTGCTATGCCACCACTGCAATCATGTGCAAGAATGCTTCCACCCCACTCCCATTGGTGCCCCACCAAAGCCAATGCACATGCACCCCAACATGCCACTGTTGAGGACCAACCAAAATATTCAGGACCTGAACTAGACACTTGACCAAATGGAACTAACAGATATCTACAGAACTCTCCACCAAAAAATAACAGAGTGTACATTCTGTGCCATTGTGACTGCTGAGACACACAAGTGAGCATGGGTTCTGCTGTCACTGCCAAGATGAAGTGCTTTGGCCAACACCATCCACTGAAGTGCTGTGGTCAGCAGACTGAGAACTCCTCAGGCCCTCCATCACAACAAGTTCCCAACCACCAGGGGCCAGAAAACAGAGCTGGGGACCTGTTACCAGCCCCAGAGTTAGAGTACACAGCCCAGGAGTGCTGAGGTGTGCTTTGGTCCCCTAACATGTTCCAGAAGCAAAACCAGTCAACCCACTTTATACCACAATCAAACCTCCAAGGGCATCAAAGAAGAAAAAGGCAAAAAAAAAAAAAAAAGCCATCCAAAGGATAGCACCTTAAAAAATAAAAGGAATAGCAGCACATAGAGATGGGAAAGAACCAGTGCAAGAACTCTGGCAACTCAAAAAGCCAGACAGGGCATGGTGGCTCATGCCTGTAATCCCAACACTTTGGGAGGCTGAGGCAGGTAGATCACCAGGTCAGGAGATCGAGACCATCCTGGCCTACATGGTGAAAGCCCGTCTCTACTAAAATACAAAAAAATTAGCTGGGCATGGTGGTGCATGCCTGTAGTCCCAGCTACTCAGGAGGCTGAGGCAGGGGAATTGCTTGAACCAGGGAGGCGGAGGTTGCAGTGAGCCGAGATTATGCCACTGCACTCCAGCCTGGCAACAGAGCAAGACCCCGTCTCAAAAAAAAAAAAAAAAAAAAAAAAAAAGTCCGAGTGTCTTCCTACCTCCAAATGACAGCATTAGTGTCTTAGCAATGGTTTTTAACCAAGCTAAAATGGCTGGAATGCCAGATGTAGAATTCACAATATGGATAGGAATGAAGAACATTGAGATTCAGGGAAAAGCCATAACCCAATCCAAAGAATCTAAGGAATACAATAAAATGATACAAGAACTGAAAGAAGAAATGGCCATTTTAATAAGGAACCAAACTGATATGATAATGCTGAAAAACTTACTGCAATAATTTCACAATAGAATTGCAAGTATTAACAGGCAAAGTGAACAAGCTTAGGAATGGATCTCAGAGCTGGAAGACTAGTTCTCTGAATTAACTCAATCCAATAAAAATAAAGAAAAAAATGAAGAAAACCCAGGAGAAATATGGGATCAAGTAATGAGAAAAAATTTATGACCCATTGACATTCCTGAAAGAGAGGGAGAGAAAGCAAGCAACTTGGAAAACATATGTGAGGATGTTGTCCATGAAAATTTCCCAAACCTCACTAGAGAAGCCAACATTAAAATTCAGGTAAGGCAGAGAGCCCTTGTGACATACTATACAAGATGACATCCCCAAGACACATAATCTTCAGATTTCCCAAGGTCAAAATAAAAGAAAAAAACGTTAATGGCAACCAGAAGGAAGGGGCAGATCACCTACAAAGGTAACCCCATCAGGCTAACTGCAGACTTTTCAGCAGAAACTCTCTGAGCCAGAAGAGAGAAATAATAGTGGGAGGCTTTGCCATTCCACTGACCTTATTAAACAGATCACTGATACAGAAAACTAATCAAAATATTCAGGACCTGAACTAGACACTTGACCAAATGGACCTAACAGATATCTATAGAACTCTCCACTAAAAAACAAGAGTATACGTTCTTCTCATCTGTACATGGCATGTACTCTAAAATCGGCCGTAAAACAATTCTCAGTAAATAAAAAAAATACTGACATCATACCAAGTGCACTATTAGATCACACAGCAAAATAAAAATAGAAATCAACACTAAGTTCGCTGAAGACCATACAATTACATGGAAATTTTACAATGTGCTCCTGAATGACTTCTGGATAAACAATAAAATTAGGCCAGAAAACAAGAAATTCTTCGAAACTAATGAAAACAAAGACACAACATAGCCGAATGTCTGTGACACAGCCAAAGCAGTGTTGAAAGGAATGTTCATAGCACAAAATGCCCACTTCAAAAAGTTAGAAAGAATTCAAATGAACAACCTAACATCAAACACAGAGAAACTAGAAAAACATGAGAAAATGAACCCCAAAGCTATTAAAGGACAAGAAGTAACCAAAATCAGAACTAACTGACTGCAATTGAGATGTGAAAAACCATACAAAAAATCAATGAGTCTAGAAGTTGGTTTTTTGAAAGTATAAATAAGATTGATAGACTGCTATCTAGATAATTAAAAAGAGAAGTTCCAAATAAACACAATCAGAAATGACAAATGCTTCTAGACTTGATAAACAACTTCAGCAAAGTTTCAGGATACAAAATCGACATAAAAAAATCACTAGCATCCCTGTATAAAAAGAACATACAAGCTGAGAGCCAAATAAGGAACACCATCCCATTCACAATATGTACAAAAAAAAATAAAATACCTAGAAATACAGCTAACCAGGGAGGTGAAAGCTCTCTATAATGAGGATTACAAAACACTGCTGAAAGAGATCAGAGATTATACAAACAAATGAAAAAGTATTATGCAGCCATAAAAAATGATGAGTTTATGTCCTTTGTAGGGACATGGATGAAGCTGGAAACCATCATTCTCAGCAAACTATCACAAGAACAGAAAACCAAACACTGCATGTTCTCACTCATAGGTGGGAATTGAACAATGAGAACACATGGACACAGGAAGGGGAACATCACACACCGGGGCCTGTTGTGGGGTTGGGGTCGGGGGAGGGATAGCATTAGGAGATATACCTAATGTTAAATGACAAGTTAATGGGTGCAGCACACCAACATGGCAGATGTATACATATGTAACAAACCTGCACGCTGTGCACATGTACCCTAAAACTTAGAGTACAATAAAAAAAAAGACAAAAGAAAAAAAAAAGAAAAATATTTCATGTTCATGGATAGGAAGAGTCAATATCATTAAAATGGCCATAGTGCCCACAGGAATTTACAGATTCAATGCAATTCCTATCAGATACCAACGAGATTCTTCACAGAATTTGAAAAAAAAAAAAAACTATTTTAAAATTCCTATGAAACCTAAAATGAGTCTGAGTAGCCAAAGCAATTCTCAACAAAAAGGACAAAGCTGGAGGTGTCATATTACCCAACTTCAAACTCTGTTACAAGGCTACAGTAATGAAAACAGCATGGTACTGGTACAAAAACAAACACACAGACCAATGGAAGAAAAAGGGAGCCAAGAAATAAAGTCCCACACCTATAAACATCTAATCTTCAACAAAGTTCACAAAACCAAGCAATGGGGAAATGAGTCCATATTCAATAAATGTTGCTGAGATAACTGGCTAACCATATTCAGAAGACTGAAACTGGACCCTTTCCTTAGGCCATATGCAAAAATCAATTCAAAATAGATTAAATACTTATATGCAAAAACTATAAAAACCCTGGAAGATACATAGACCCTGGTAAAGATTTCATAACGAAGATGCTAAAAGTCTTTGCAACAAAAACAAAAACTGACAAATGTGACCTAATTAAACTAAAGCGATTCAGCACAGCAAATGAAATTATCAACAGCAAACTGACAACCTACAGAATAGAAGAAAATAATCGTAAACTGTGCATCCAACAAAGGCCAAATATCCAGAATCTATAAAGAACTTAACAAGCAAAACAAAATAACCTTATTAGAAAGAGCAAAGGAAATGAACCGATGCTTCTCAAAAGAAGACATACATGCAGCCAACAAGCATATGAAAAATCACCCACATCACTTACAATTATAGAAATCAAATCTAAACCACAATGAGATATACCCTCTCACACTCAGAATAGCTATTATTAAAAAGTCAAAAGATAACAGATGCTGGTAATGTTGAAGAAAAAAGAGAATACTTTTATACACTGCTGGTGGGAATGAAAATTCATTTAGCCATTGTGTCAAGCAGTTTGGTTATTTCTCAAAGAACAAAAAATGGAACTATCATTTGACCCAGCAATCCCATTACTGGGTATATATGCAAAGAAATATAAATCATTCTACCATAAAAATATATGCAAACATATGTTCATCACAGCACTATTCAATAATAATGAAGACATAGAATAGACCTAAATGCCCATCAGCAGTAGACTGTTAAAGAAAATGTGGTACATACACACCATGAAATACTACACAGCCATAAAAAGAATGAGATCGTGGTGTTTGCAGCAACACGAATGAAGCTGAAGTCCATTATCCTAAGCAAATTAATACAGGAAGAGAAAATCAAGTTGCAGGAAGTCAGGGACCCCGAACGGAGGGACTGGCTGGAGCCATGGCAGAGGAGCATAAATTGTGAATTCTTATGCCTGTCTTTACTTTAATCTCATAATCCTGTTATCTTCGTAAGCTGAGAATGTAAGTCACCTCAGGACCCTGTGATGATTGCATTAACTGTACAAATTGATTGTAAAACATGTGTTTGAACAAAATGAAATCTGATTGTAAAACATGTGTGTTTGAATAATATGAAATCAGTGCACCTTAAAAAAGAACAGAATAACAGTGATTTTAGGGAACAAGGGAAGAAAACCATAAGGTCTGACTGCCTGTGGGGTCTGGCAAAAAGTGCCATATTTTTCTTCTTGCAGAGAGCCTATAAATGGACGTGCAAGTAGGAGAGATATCACTAAATTCTTCTCCTAGCAAGGAGTATTAAATATTAAGACCCTAGAAAAAAATAAAAAAAAAATTGCATTCCTTGGGGGAGTTCTATAAACGGCTGTTCTGGGAGTGTCTGTCTTATGCAGTTGAGATAAGGACTGAAATACGCCCTGGTCTCCTGCAGTACCCTCAGGCTTACTAGGATTGGGAAATTCCAGCCTGGTAAAATTTGGTCAGACTGGTTCTCTGCTCTCGAACCTATTTTCTGTTAAGATGTTTACCCAGACAATACATGCACAGCTGAACATAGACCCTCATCAGTAATTCTAATTTTGCCCTTTGCCTTGTGATCTTTGCTTTGCCCTTTGCCTTGTGATCTTTATTGGCCTCAGAAGCATGTGATCTTTGTGACCTACTCCCTGTTCATACACCCCTTCCCCTTTTGAAATCCTTAAAAAAAGTTGCTGGTTTTGCAGCTCAGGTGGGACATCACAGACCTACCAATATGTGATGTCACCCCCGGCGGCCCAGCTGTAAAATTCCTCTCTTTGTACTCTTTTTCTTTATTTCTTAGACCAGCCGACACTTAGGGAAAATAGAAAGAACCTATGTTGAAATATTGGGGGATGGTTCCTCCGAAAAAACCAAATACCACATATTCTCATGTATAAGTGGGAGTTAAGCATTGAGTACATATGGACACAGAAAAGGGAACAGACACCAGGGCCTATGTAACAGGGGAGTGTGGGAAGTAGGGTATGGATTGAAAAACTACCTATCAGGTATTATGCTGATTACTTGGGTGAGAAAAGTATCTGTATACCAAACCCCCAGAACACACAATTTGCCTATATAACAAATCTGCACTTGTTATGTATTTGCCTATATAACAAACCTGGACTGAACCTAAAAGAAAAGTTAGAAAGTAAATAAATCATTATTTTAAAGAGTTTTTTTTCTTCTTTTTATTATTATGAGTGGAAATGATGAGGTAGTGGGAAGAGGTAAGAATTTTAAGAGCTGTAAATAAGGTAAGATGAGATCCATATAATTTTGTGGCCATTACGTAAGTGAGGCAAAGCATGATGAAGCTTACATTTTTCCAGTTGGGAACCTGATAAAACCATTGCTTAGATATGGAATATGGAATAAAAATAGTGGCCACAAAAATGGTTATAATAATTTTTATGTATGTATAATAATTGGTAGTCATTTAGGATTTATAGGTATAGGCCTTTAAGGTGAAATTAATTCTGGAGATTTCTATTTGAAAGAGGATAGAGATTATGATTTTACCACAGGAATAGATGAAAATATTTCACATTCAGTGAGTAATTTAACAGAAAGCAAGAGTTCCACGAATTTTGAGGTAAATTACAGGACAGTTGTGAAAACTATGATTTAGCCTTGGTTTTTGTTTGTTTTTCAGTTAGCAATACTTCTTGCTGAGTTGTATTTCACAGTCAATGCAATGATGGCTCCAAATTTGAGCCCTCAAAATTGTGGAATTTAAGGAATCCCCTGAAAAATTATTTACATGGTACCTGGACTGCAGTCAGCCCTCCATATTCATACTTCTGGATCTCAGGCTACAAAATGGGTACTTTAATAGAGAAATTAGCACACATGTGACAGGTTTCTCTTTTGCAGCCCTGATATGTAATTCAGGGCAGAAATGACAATATAAATGCAATATCTTGAGTAGGATTCTCTGCACCTTTGTGAGCTAATAGAGAGGAATCTGCCTAAGATTGTAATGTTGGCAGGGAATAGATTTGATTCTGAGCCCACCTGAAGTAAGAAGAGCCTTTGTTAAATGGCTTAACACCTTGTTATATAAAGAGAACACAGGCCCTATCTTTACAGAAAATGTATCCAAGCAATCCTTGTTCTTGTGCAAGTGAACGCTAATGCTTCATTCTTAAAATTTCACCTATGGAAAGAGTATCATGTAAACTCTTTTCATTCCCCAAAGTGGCTGCTATGGAAACAAGTCCTGATGCATGACAGAGGAGGAAAGCTATCAGTCCTGTGGTTAAAGAGGGGACATTTCCACTAGATTTCCAATTGCATATGGAATCAAGAAAGAAGCAACTGGGAATTACTTCACACAGCAAATCTAAGGAAGAGACTGTTAATTTGGCTTTGCCAGTTACTCCTTCTCAAGGCCCATAATTAAATGTGAGTTTCTGGGCACTAATGCAAAAGCCAGATTTGCTCTGAGCCTGCGGGGCTTATAAATTGGTTGCTTTTGCAAACTGTTATTGTTCCTTTAGGTCAAGAGGGGAAGAATTATTGACTTTGTTCAGTTGAATTAAATGCTCCCCTTGTGGTTTGAAAGAAGAAATTTGCCTCCCTCACCCTCTAAGATTACATACAAAGGGAGAATTGTTTTTGGGCAAGTTAGACTTGATGAAAAAATATACAGTTCTACTGGATTATAGCACTGTGTGTTGCCTTAGAGTCACATGACTCCAGTTTTGCCTTCTATATGAAGCCCAAGGCTTTCATCTTTTTCTGATACAGTGGGCTCTTCAGCTTTAAGCACTGACTTTTGTGTGCTAGTATACAATGCCTGTACACTCCCACAAAAAGCTCAAGATGTCCTTACACGTATTTGCTGTAGGTGTCCTTCAGCCGATTTCAGTGCCTAGAATCTAGATGCTTTGCACCTAGTTTCACCTTTGCTCACAGATGCTAGTGCCTTTTAGAATCCCAAGAGGCCAAAGTAAAACTGAAAAGCCTAGGAGGACCTGGTGTGGCAAAATCTCATCATGATCCATGCAACAGTGGAGGCAATGTTACGCTCTGCCTCAGGTTATACTTCTATGCAAATTAAAAATAAAATTCATAGGAAGCAATTATATTAGAGTTGGTATTTAATCCAGCATTCTTCTGAATTATCTTACATATAAACTTAGTTCATCTTAATATGAGAATTATATAATAAATTTGAGGAAATCTTACAGATTTGTTCAAAATATGCTTGCTGAATAAATAAATTAATAGTATATGCTAGCACAGTGTATGCATGTGTGTTGCATGTGTGTGTATGTGTATATAATGGCTAATTTTTAATATTACCTATACTAATGCCTCTAAAAGTTAAATCTTGATATACACTAGAGCAAGATTGTCCAACCCACAGCCCATTGACCACATGCAGCCCAGGATAGCTTTGAATGTGGCCCAAAACAAATTCATAAATTTCCTGAAAACATTATGAGATTTTGTTGTGATTTTTTTGTTTTCAGCTCATCAGCTATTGTTAGTGTTATTGTTAGTGTTAGTGTATTTTATCTGTGGTCCAAGACAATTCTTCTTCCAATGTGGCCCAGGGAAGCCAAAAGGTTGGATACCCCTGCATTAGAGTAAATACTTTGCATTCATAAATGAAATACAAAAAAGAGTAGTATAATAATTCAACAAAATATTTCTGCCTTTAATACTTATGAGACATATTTAACCTAAATTTAAGCATTTTATTGGGCAAGTCACCATTTCCCTTTAAAAATTTGTATATTCCAAAAAAATTAGCCAGGCACGGGGGCACGTACCTGTAATCCCAGCTACTCAGGAGGCTGAGGCAGGAGAATCACTTGAACTCAGGAGGCAAAGGTTGCAGTGAGCTGAGATGGTGCCACTGCACTCCAGCTGGGTGACAGAGCAAGACTCCGTCTCAAAAAAAAATATATGTATATTCATAATTACAAAATCTCATTCCCCTTTAAAACCATTTTGGTCACCCTGAGAAACCTGAGATAGTTTTGCAACACTAGTTGGTCATATCCTCTGGTTGTTGGCTCCTGAATAAACCTGCATTTCCTCTCATCAACACTTCTCTTTCGAGTTTGGCTTTCGAGCAGCAAGCAGCTGAACCTGGGTTAAGTTACAATTTTTGGTGCCCAACATGGGATTGTAAACTTCAAGTGGTCTAGCTTGCCTGGTATCCAACAGATGGAGCAACTGGGAACAGCAGCGTTCACACTACCAAGCAAAGCATCAATCACTTTGAATGCAAGCTACTTGTTGCTAGCTGACCCCATAGCTGGGATTCTAGAGACACCCCAGCTGCCAAAATTGCTTTGGCTTGGGGGATCTCCCTTCTTTCCTCTTCCCAGCATCAGCTGCCTGCAACACTTCACTGGTGTTAGGAAAAGTGGTGTGTCTGGGGAAGCTGACATGCTCCAGGACTGAGTAGGTCACTCTGGTGTGTAGAGTTAACAACTCCTTTTACCTCGTATTTGGGTTTTTCCTTGGAATAAGCCACTTTGTGTATTGACTGGAGTACCCTATTGGAGAGGGGAATAGCTATTGGATTTTTCTTTTTTTTTTAGATGAAGTCTCCCTCGGTCGCCCAAGCTGGAGTGCAGTGGTATGATCTCGGCTCACTGCAAGCTCCACCTCCCGGGCTCGTGCCATTCTCCTGCCTCACCGTCCCGAGTAGCTGGGACTACAGGCACCTCCCACCATGCCCAGCTAATTTTTTTTTTTTTTGTATTTTTAGTAGAGACAGGGTTTTACTATGTTAGCCAGGACAGTCTCCATCTCCTGGCCTTGCGATTCGCCCACCTCGGTCTCCCAAAGTGCTGGGATTACAGGCATAAGCCACTGTGCCCGGCCAGCTATTAGATTTTTACCCAATTTGAGAACCAGTTCATTTGCATTTGTCTTCCAGTTGTCTTTGTGGGCTCTGGGGTTACATCTTTAAAAAAATGGGAAAGTTAAAAGACATGCCAGGTTTTCTGGGACTCTAGATGGTTATATACTATGGCCCATTTTTGCACATTTTAAACTGATCAGCAAATTACAGCAAGAAAAATTCAGAACTCAAATGGTTAACTTGCAATTATAGAGTTAAGTAAAGTCTTCTAAAACTCTCTATCTGTTTTTCTCTTTATTTTTCTGCCTACTTTGAATCTACTGTGAGAGGAAATAGCTTTGTAAGCTATTGGTGTTGGGATAAAACTCACTGTTTATGCTGACACCAATTCAAGGTTACTTGGAGATTTTGTTTTTCTTATACAGTTAAGTCAGTTCTAGCTAAAACATAAACACTGCAAACTCATTTGAAACTGAAGGGAAAAGGGGGTGGTGGTAAAAGAGGCTTTTCTAAATTATTAAACTTCCCTGAAATGTGCTTGACCCAAAATTTTGGTCCACAACCTTCACTGGATTACCAATCAGACAAAGTTTAGCCATGTGGACAGGTCTCAATTTTGTCAGAAATAATTTGGATCCAGCTATGTCTTTTATAGGCTGGTGACTTTGTGATGCTGTCTTATGATTAGAGTTCCAAGGTAAAAGATACAGGATCTTTGATTTTGTGTGTATATGTGTTCATATGTGTATGTACATGTATTATGTTAAAGTCATGTCCAGCATGTTGCCAAATTGGCTTATAAGTAAATGATTACTCACAAATTAAGTAAATCCAAATGCTTTTCAAGTTCACATAAATTTAGTAATCTTTGGTAAATAAAAATAATTTTAAAATTATTAGTAAAACAAAACTAGAAATGCCTTTGGAATTGTAAGCATACATTTTTTATGTGGGCTTACAGATTATTTTATATTTTGCCTCTGCTAGAAATTTTAAGGTGTCAGGGGTTGGCACAACCACAAAAGTTATAAGAGTACAAACCCAACCAAAAAAAGAATAATCTTTGTTTATGTGAATTTTTTGACAAATAAGACTAATTTAAGATTGCTAATTCAATAAAAACACCTGAATTTTCTGAGTTATCAGCAAGATGCTCATGTGTTTCACTTTAAGGTTCTTTCTTAGGTGAATACTTGGTATTCCAAGGGTACACTAAATGGTTAACAAGAAAATAACTTGAAATGATGACTAGCTTTGTCTAATATCTCAGTTTTCAGAAATAATTTGGATAAAATGTTAATAATTAAAGAATTTCTGGGTAAAGTGGCTCACACCTGTAATGCCAACACTTTGGGAGGCCAAGGTAGAAGTATTGCTTGAGCTCAGGGGTTCAAAAGCAGGCCCTGGCAACATAGGCCCCTATCTCTAAACAAATTTTCTTAAAATTTAAAAAATATTTTTAGCTGAGCATGTTGGCTCACAACTGTGTCCCCAGATATTCAGGAAATTTAGGTGGAAGAATCACTTGAGTCTGGGAGATTGAAGCTACAGCGAGCCATGAGCATGCCACTTCACTCCAGCCTGGGCAATAGAACAAAACCCTGTCTCAAAAATAAATAAATAAATAAGTACATGTAAATGGGATACATGCTCACTTATAAATTTTGTAATTTAAAATCTTAAAATTATTTTGAATTGAATAGTAGATGCTTGTTGGATGTCTGGGTAATTTTCAATTAAGAAAGGGTTATCATATGGAAAACATGTTACTAAAAATTGTGGAGTGGTTTCATCTATAAAATGTTAACATCTGAGAGTCAGGTAACAATTTGCTGCTTCCTAAAATTTAAGGCTACTAAGAACAAGAATTCTAGTTAATACATAATTCTGTAAGTTGTGTTTTTATTAAGAAAAGAGGTAATTATAAAGTTATGAAAGAAGGTAGGAAGAAACAAGTAGGAGGAATAATGCAAAGATACTTAAGGATATGAAGATGTATTTTTGTAGGGAAAATTATAAAGAAAAAAGAATAATTTTGTATGGAAAGGGATCTTGTATGCTAAATTTTTATCCTAAAGTACAATGACTGGTTTTTTAAAAGAGAGGGAAGTATGGGAAAAACACAAAGTCCAAATGTCATTAATGGTCTCTGTAAGTCATGATAAGGTTTGTGAAATGGAATTTATGAAAGGAATTGTATATGTAAGTTCATTATAATTATAAAGGAAAGTATTTATTTACTCTTAATAAAATTATAAGAGGTTCTTATTTTTAATTCTATGACCTGTCTCCTTTTGAAAACTCCTTAGATTTATATCTTGGAAGTTCAACTTTTGGCCAGGTGCTCATGCCTATAATCCCAGCACTTTGTGCCTCATACCTATAATCCCAGCACTTTGGGAGGCTGAGATAAGAGATTTGGTTGAAGCCAGGAGTTCAAGAATAGCCTAGGCAACATAGTGAGATTCTACCTTCATAAAAACTTAAAAAAATTAAAATTATCAGGACATGATGGCATGTGCCTATAGGCCTAGGTACTTAGGAGACTGAGGTAGGAAGATTGCTTGAGCCCAGCAGGTCAAGGCTGCATTGAGAGCCACAACTGCCGCACTGCATTCTGGCCTGGACAACAGAGGGAGACCTTGTCTCTAAACAAACAAACAAACAAACAAAAAAAACACAAAAGAATTTTCAGCTTTTGCTGTGTATCACTATTTTCGTTGTTTCTCTCCCTTTTAAAAGGCCTGAGATGATCACTCTCTCTCAACTTTTATCTTAGCTCCTGTAACTCTTTTTCTCTGTTTCTAATTGTTGTTGTGGCCTGATGCTAAAATGCTTCATCTTGAGTGTCTAACAAGTAATATTTTCCAAAAATCTAACTTGATTTTGTCCTCTTTGCTTTTCTTCATATTTCTGAATCATTTCATGTAACTGGGAAACTTCTCATGCAGTTACAAGGAGTCATATATTCTCCTGCTATACTCATACCTTGAACACACTCCCTGTGTATGGTTAATGTCAAATACCTTTATTATCAAGTCTGACTTCTAGGTTATCTAAATGGGCTTCCCATAAGGAGAAGCAGTCACACTGCAGGTTTTTCTTTGCTTTTTTCATAATCAAGTTAAGAAACAAGAGTTTACATTTTATCAAGATAATTACTAGGCTGTCTTTATTAGGTTTCTGACTACTTACTTAGAAAAACTTTAAAAAGGTTAAGGCTTTTATATTGATGTAAGTTTTTCTGTATTGCTTGTAAAGTCTTTTGATTATCACTCTTGCCTAAATGAGTAACTATTATTCTATGTTGATAAAATGTTGCAAGCCTTTTAACACCTTTGATAAACGTCCTCAAAATCAAAACTCTTAAGTCTCTGAACTAGACTTATTACTGGGGACTTATCAAAGCTATACAAATTAAATTACTGTGAGGTTGAAGAATCCTTTTCACAACTTCCAGTTAGATCATAAACTCCAGTATCACCACCTCCACTCCCCTTGAAAAGGTCCTTTATCATGTGCTATTAACTAATCCTGTGCTGTTAAGTTACAGGGCTTTGATTCAGAGTACAAAGATCTTATCTAAAGATGGCACCAACTCCTGCCAGTATCTGACACCAAACTTTAGTTAACCACAGGCTTATCTTCAGACCTGAGAAAACATAACAATCAAAGTAACTACCTCATGAGACATATGAACAGTCCTGCATTAAAAATTACTGAGATTCATTTAGTAATTTTCATTCAATCTGAGTCCTAGATTCTAGATAATTTGAATGTTTATCTATCTGTGAGCTTCCTTTTCCTATCATTGTCAAAATCAGACAGGGGTTTTGACCTTTTTTTTTGAAATGTTGCTAATTCTTTATGTTTGGTTTTACAGAGCTAAGAAAACCTTTTTTTTCTCTCTTTTTGAGCTATTTAGGACTTACAGAAATTGGGTAAAACAATAAAGATTACATTTCTCTCTCATCTAATATCTCCAGATTTTGAAAACTGTTCAATCCCACTGGGCCCATCTATTTTGCTTTGCCAACACACTGCTGCTAAAGCTATACAGTATCAACCACCTTCCCTCTAAGCCCAGGGACTATCGTGAAAGAGGTGGGCATATGAGATTGTTAAGTGCCAGTTTTTAGGGATGAAATTAGCTCAAAACTTCCAAATCAAAGACAAGTACACAAGTGCCCATACAGCTGATGAGTCAACACACAGAACTTATAGACAAGTCAATCCTGTAACCTTTCTTTTTGGCTTTGGGTTTTTGACTCTTATGTTACTTAAAAGGGTTCTATTGGTTAATGGCCCTCTGGCCACTTCCATTCCCATATGGCCTAGAATGTTTAATTGGCTGTAAGTCTTTTGACTCTAAGCTGCTTGGCCATAGGGGTCCCAACAAGTGACATAATGGATCTGAGGCAGGTAGCCACACCATCCTGGCAATGACATTAAACTAAATAAAACTTTGGCAATTGATGTTGCCTCTGGCATGTCTTGATGAAAAAGGAAGAATGTAAACTATAAAAATAAAATCCTAACATCCCACCAACTGAATGGACACTTTCTTTGGCCAAGGCAAGACAATGCAGGTGTCTCCTTTGGCCTCTCCAAAAGTGCCTTAACAATTTAGTTCCCAACACTTATGGGACAGGAGGTAAAATATGCATCATTATACCTTCTATTTTATGGTTTAGACACATCAACTGATCAGAGTTAATGTTAAAATAGAGATTATAAGACTGACAGAACAGATTCTTTTAGAAATAAGACACAAATTATAAACAAGTCTAAAGCCATGCCAGGCAAGGATTAAGTCTCCACCACAAGGTAATCAGGGTCATATGTTGCATGCATGTTTGTTCAATATGCATGTCAAGATCACCTCCGTGAATATAGATCCTCCTGTAACTAGTTAAATACATATTTTTAGCCAACCCATCCTTGTATCTCCACAGGAGCCCCAGGTGCAACTGACAGTGGGATACAAACTTTTATTTTTTTAACATTTTAAATTTTATTTTCTTTCTTTTGTGTGTGTGTGTGTGTGTGTGTGTGTGTGTGTGTGTGTGTGTGTTAGAGTCTTGCTTTGTCACCCGGGCTGGAGTGCAGTGGCACAATCTTGGTTCATTGCAACCTCCACCTCCTGCTTTCAAGTGATTCTCAAGCCTCAGTCTCCCAAATAGCTGAGATTACAGGCATCTGTTACCATGGTAGGCTATTTTTGTTGTTGTTGTTGTATTTTCAGTAGAGACAGGGTTTCACTATGTTGGCCAGACAGGATTTCATGTTGCCCAGGCTGGTCTTGAAATCCTGATCTCAAGTGATCCGCCTGCCTCAGCTTCCCAAGGTGTTGGGATTACAGGTGTGAGTTACCACACCCAGCTGGTACAAACATCTGACTTTCTTCTACGGGGGCCACAGATTCTGTAGTTAACACTCATCTATCCCCTGATTCAAAGACTATGATGATTACAATAATGTCAGGGGAAACTGTGACTCACTCTTTTCTACAACCTTTAGATGGGCATCTTGGTGACAACAATTAACGAAAAGATTAACCATAATCTTTTAAAAAAGAGCAAATATGTTGAGGAACTAATTTAACTTGAGATAAGTCATTGCTGGTTGCCCTGTTGTGGATTAGAGTGGCTCCCCAATGTAGGCTAAAGTTGAGTCCCCTTGAAATATGATGTGGTAGGCTACGTCCAGGTTTCTGCCCCAGTGGAAAAACCAACTGATGCTTTAAGAGATATAGCAATTGCCATATATGTTAACACTCTAGGTACTATGCTTACTACATGTCATGAGTTTGCTTCTAGCAGGACCACTCATCCCACAGACATGTCCCTACATCCTTTTTGATTGGGAGATAGGGTCCTTCTAAAGATTTGGAAAGTATAAGGTCCTGAACACCAACTTGCTGCCAGGTCAAATAGTTTCATTTCCACAGTTGCCCCACATTGACCATGTTCAGCAGGAAGCACCCAGATGAGAGACGATGTCCCACTGTCCCTAACCTTACAAGACTGTGGAATGAGCCTTTGACAGTGGGGAATTGTAACAATGAATCAGCAAAAGAGCTAACATAATTAACTCCATTTTTGTTTAAGGGGCCTTTACCCATTCCTACACATAGGCTAGGATAATTTTAGAGCACTAAGAAAAAACACAAAAACAATAATCATGCAGTTTTTGAAACTAACTCTGGGGTTAAAAGGGAAATATGTAAACAACTAGCTATGTTTTGTTAAAGATTTATAGGAACATTGTGACCTGACCAAGGATGAAGAAGTTCCAAACCTCTTCTGATCCTCACTGGTACCCAAATGCCTGTGGCCATTGGTCACCTCTTGTTCACAATCCCTTTCTCTTCCTCCTGCCTTTAATATAATAAGAGCCTGAAATTTTTACTGACCTAAGACAGTTCTTTAGAACATCAGTTCACCATTTTCAGGGTTTGCTGGCTCTCCGAAATAAAGTTGCTTTCCTTGCTCAAACAGGAGTTTGAGGAAGAAGAGCAACTTTATTTCGGAGAGCCAGCAAACCCTGAAAATGGTTGTGTGGTGAGCAGGACAAGTTTGGACTTGGTTACAATATTATCACAGAGTGAGAGAACACCTTAATTGTGATGCCCTGATTATATAAAAGGCTTAAACAGAAATATAAAAAACCTCAAGTTTATCCTAAAAATGACATTAGCCAATATCAAAAATGCAAGGAAAAATATGTTTAGTCAACAAGAAGGTAAACTTTTCAAAAATGAGAAAGGTGTTAGGAAAAAGACTTGCTAAAATATTTCAGCTTCTTTCTTTGAATTTTATTTAATTATTCTGTTTATAGCAGCTCTGTTAAAAAATATGGGTAGAGCTTTAATGAACATTACCATGAAGTGTTGGTACTTGCTATCTTTATGCATTCCCAGCAAATTTTCTCTTTTAACACAAAGCAGGTTTTTAATCCCATAAACTATGAGGAGGAGCATCATCATATCTCATTCAACCTAATGATTATACAAACCCTCAGCTAAGTCAAATAAGTCACTCCTTTGCTGCAGAGTCTCCAATTATTTCTCATTTAGCTTATAAGGAAAGGCAATCCTCATGGTGCCTGTAGATCTCCATATTTTCAGGCCTGGAAATCTCTGTAGACATTTTCCCTTTGGGCATAAAGAAACTTTGGGGCATAAAAGTAATATTATCTATCTTGATTGAATACTGGTTACTTGAGTGGTTACATGCATTACAATTTAGAAAAAAATTCAAAATGCATTAATCTGTATACCTTAAATAGGTGCATTTTATTATATCAGTTATAGCTTGATAAAGTTGAATATAGAAAATAGGGAAGAGGGAGGAGAAGGAAGAACAAGTGCAATCCATCAAGCACAGATAAAATTCATTTGGCCTTTCTAATGAAAATGGAAGCTCCCATTTTTATTCAGAGATTCTTGAATAAAGAGGAAGGAGGTATATATCAACGAATGGCATCATGGTAATTTGGAAGATTAAAGAATTATAAAGAGTACTATAAAAGCCATACCGTTATAAAGTATTCAAATATGGTGTATATTTACTATGACTTCTTTCAGAGCTTTTATGTTATGTGATAGCAATGAAACTAATTTTATAAGTCTATGTTCTGCTCCTTTCCCCTAAATTTTAGGATTTTTATTTCATTTGCAATGAATGAAGAAGCACAGCTCTGAAAGACTGAATTCCCAGCACTGGGTGTCAGCTCTACCAAATGCGGTACAGATTGCAATCTGACCACAGAATCTCACCACAAAGAATGCCGGGGTCTCCTCTGATTATAGCTACTGGCTATAAGTTCTAACTAGGGTTTAATGCAAATTTTCCCTGTAGTCTGCTTGGGGAGTTGGCCTCATTCTTGAATTTTTCTCAGAAAGTTATTGCCAAAAATGTGAGTTCTCACCGCAGTGAAAGAGGAAATCCAGCTATGAGCATATATAATACAGGAGAAAGAATGCAGAGAAAACACATTCTTTTCTTGCTACTCAGTTGCCAGAGAAGTATATCTATAATATTTTCAGTTGTGATGCTATGTCCCATTGAATTCAACCACACATTGGAAAAATCAGTTTACCCTAGAATCTAGTTATTGTTGTGGTACAGTTTAATTTTTGTCAAATAATTCTTTCTAAAATTTCTAATGTAAGTCTTTAATTTTCAAGATATTTTGCTTAGAAGATGATATGGTTTGGCTGTGTCCCCACCCAAATCTCACCTTGAATTCCCAGGTGTTGTAGGGGGCAGGTCTTTCCTGTGCTGTTCTTGTGAAAGTGAGTAAGTCTCATGAGATCTGAAGGCTTTGAAAAACAGGAATCTCCCTGTACAAGCTCTCTCTTTGCCTGCTGCCATCCATGTAAGACGTGACTTGCTCCTTCTTGTCTTCTGCCATAATTGTGAGTCTTCCCCAGCCATGTGGAACTGTAAGTCCAGTTCAACCTCTTTCTTTTGTAAATTGCCCAGTCTTGGATATGTCTTTATCAGCAGTGTGAAAACAGAGTAATACAGAAGTAATTTCTATGACATTATATAAGAACTAAAGTTTTATTTTTCCAAAAATGTTGAATGTTGATGCTGTATTCTGGTGATGTTTGTTTTACCAGAAAAATACATCATATTCAGGATATGAACTAAACAAAAATTAGTTGCTACTGCTCAACTGACTTAAATATGAGATGTTGTCTAATTATCTCTGATTGCTTCCTTTGGTTTCTAGTGATTAATTATGCCTAATTATTCCTTGATTTTTGGAAAATCACATTTAAGTTTCCTCTGCAAAGAAAAGAATAGGTAAATCAAGTCCTCTAGAAAAAAAGCATAAAAATATAGTTTTGAAATTCTAAAACTCATAAAGGGAAATAAAAATCCCATTCGTTTTTATTTTAATATTTTGCTAGAAAGTACAATGGAAGGAAAGAAGTCTTTTTTCTAAGACAGCAGTATTTTAGTCAATTGTGTATCAACAGACTTCTGTATAACTGGGAGCCACATCTTGGAAATGCTCTTTCCAATGGCAGTGACATCTGAGGAGAGTCCACTCTGATATGGACACTATACTAGGAGGAGACAAGAGTACAGTAGGAAAAAATTAGTCTGTGCGGTGAAGGAGTCCTACATTGTCCCTCAGTAGATTTCTATAAAATTTCACTTAATTAGTAGCAAGTAACAGAGTTGGAATGAGGACCTAGATCTTTCATTTTAATCTAATACTCTTTCTTCCACTATTTTAGTTAGAGTCATATGGGCAAGCCCACAATTAGTACATGAGGACATTTTTAATGGGTAAGATTACAGAGAACCATTAATTCTAGCCATTAAATTAATCAATTCAGCAAAGCTCTGATTCCCCCTTCCCTTAATTGTTAAATAAGTAGTTCTCCATTCAGTTGTTAAAGGATTATTTCTTGATAACAAGGAAATAATAAACTTCTTAAGACACCCTGGTATGAATAGCTGAAATTGATTGATAGTAATCTCAGTAAATCGTTTCATTCTAATTTTTGGTATATCTATACTGCTTTGAATAACTCTTCTACCTACAGCCCATTAATAAATATTTGCCTAGTCAAATTTTAGTTTGTGCTATACTCCTAGAAGGACATGGGGTGTATGGAAGCGAAACTAACTGGATATTTAAGGCATTCAATAATGTCTTTTTGCTTCCGATTCTAGCTGTATAACATAGGTAAATCTCTTAAATTCTCAGAACTTCAATTCATTTATATGTAAAGTGAGGAGTTGTACCATATTGGTAGTTATTAACATGTACTGTACTTATGAATCAGTCTGAAAATCTTGCTAAACTGCATATTCTGAGCTTTTCTTAATTTTTTTTTGTTTTCTCGGAAACGCTGATTCTCTAGGTCTTGGTTGGAGTCCAGGTATCTGCAAATTAAATAAGCACTTGAAGTGATAGTATCTGAGTGTCCGTAGGCAAATGTTAGGAGAACTGAATCAGATGTTCTTTGAAAGATTTTCATGGTTCTAAAATGTTCTGATTTAAAATCCACAAAGAAAAAAAGCATTGAAAATGAATCAGCAAACTAGATGTAATTAAAGCTTCTTGCAATTCCATTAATAAACTTTTTAGAATGAATTACACTTTATGTCTTCATTTTTTCTTTTACATTGGCATGAAAGCAGTGAACCCTGAAATGTTTCAGTCCTTGAGTTCCCAAAGTTATGTAAAAGCTTGATAATCTTAATTAACCCACATTATCTCTTATCATATAATAATAGTGCTTTCTAGAAGTTGACTATCAGATGGTGAAGTTAGGTTTATATCAGCTGGTCATTACTTCAAGTTTTTAAGCTATAGAAGTCTGAACTACCACCAAAAAGAGCAACTATCATTTTTTGCTCACATAAAGAAGTAAAAATCTTCAAAATATTCTCAGGTGTTCTATAAATATTTTTCTCTCATGTTCTAGGAAACCACCTAAAGTATATTCCAATTGATAAGCTAAAATCACTTGGAGTTTGCTAATTTTGAAGATGAAAAAGCTCCAGGAGCTTTCACACAGCTCCTTAGTGGTTTCAGTGTGGCCTGACTAGTGGCTGGACTGTGCCACAACAACTTATTTTAAAGGTTATTGTGATACTATTGGTAAATAAATGATTGGAAAACATAGATACCTATCTGCATGTAAAATAATAGCCTTCCACCACTTTCTCTTTTTCACTTTTCACATTCCGATCTTATCCCTGTTTTACTACTTATCACGTTGTAAAATAAGTTTATATTAGATTTTACCTGAAGATAGTAAAGATAGTAAGGATGCTAAGGGTTTTCTTAGGATACTTAGAAAATATAGTAATTCTGTTATCTCTCTAATTATAATAAGATTATTGACTAATAATCTGGAAGTATGGCCTCAGTACACTCACCTGAGCAATGAGAGACTGGGTAGGCCTGATATTCTTTATTATAGAAACACATTGTTTAGAATAAACAGTTACGTAATCAAACTGCTGTGTTAATTTCTTGGTTTCGTCACTTGATTGCTTTGTATACTGGGCAAGTTATTTCAGTCATCTTTGATTCAATTTCTTCATCAACATAAAAACCATGATCACTATTGTACATACTTCATGAACTTCTGCAGATATTAAATTACTTAGTATACATAATTATACCAGTTATGTCATTTTTTAAATTGTTGCTAATACTGTTAATCCATTCAAATATTAAATGAAAGCATAGTTTGTAGTTCTGTAAGTTTCAATACTTCACTATATAATTTGAGTACAATGCATTATTCGTAAGCTGAATATAGGGTTTTGGATATCTTCTGAAGGGTAGGTTACAATAAAATTGCTAATTATAGAGGGTTGCTAAAGGTATTTGTACCCTGTGAAGTATTCTATTATCAGTTCTATTCTGGTTATTCAATGTCAGCCACAATGCCTCTAAAAAATTTGAAGTCAGCCTTTATTTTAAAAGTGCCTTAAACATTTCACTGAAATAATTAAATGTATTGGTTTAATGGAACTCTCATGATACAGTAGAAGAAATGGGCTGTTAAGAATATTGAAAGAATTAAGAAGCAGTGAATTTAAAGCGCCCTCTTCAACTTTTCTTAGATGTTATAAATGTAACCATTCCTACTAAAGTACACCATACTCGAAAGATCTTTTCTCTTTTTTTATGATTTAGAAATGGTAGTTACAATATGTTGAAAGTATAAGCCTTGGTTTTTTATATATGAAAGCACTATCAAATCATAATGAAGGCAATTTTTCCTATAGTCTTAATTTAGCTATTTAATATAAAATCAAAAAAATGGCATACATAACTATCTAGAAGTGTCAATAAATCATTAGAGCGGACATTCAGTGTTTCCAGTAAATAATTATTAAGTATAGATTAGGTTGCTTTGGGAGAGTATAACATCTTAGAACTTTACTTCATGATAATAATCACCACTTATTAAATATATACTGTATGTGACACTACATACTAAACCCCTTTCATTTAATCTTACTTAATATCTCAATAACCAGTGCTGAATTGTCTTACAAAGTTGGTATCAGCACCACCCCCTCTGAATTCTCCCTGATTCAAGGAAAAATAGGAACTGAGTTCTAGTGAATTCACTTCCACTTATGGTTTTGACATAGAGAGAAATGAGAAATTCTGTCTGATACATAAAATGCAGGAGACAAAGAGAGACCATTATGCTCCAGAGACAGTTGCTCCTGGACAGCTACAAGGTTCAAAGTAACTCAGATGAGCTGTTTGAGAAGAACCTGCATCATTGCTGCAAGCTGAGATTATCTGGATGAGCTTCGCAGAGATCTTGAATTTGCTATGGCCGTGGACTGAGCTCTTCATAGCCATATACTTCTGTTGTGTTGACAGTGGTTTCAGATCTTCCATTTGTTTTTTAAACACAACATTTAAACCCTTTCTATTGATAACAAATAAGGTGGTGTCTATTTTCCTGACTGAACCTTGATTGACTCAATCCTGATAAAGTAGGTATCATTATTCCCTTTTGAAAATCAGGTTATGTTCAAAGAAGTTAGGTAACATATTTGAAAATCACATGACTAATACATGGATCCACTGAGATGTGTTCCAAATTCAAAGATGATTTTGCTCGATGAAGAACATATCAGTCACTAAGTTCTGAGGCTGGTTCTGAAAGTGGTATGTCTTATACTAAATTAATCTATGTTGTATCTACACAAAGAGAAAGAAAAGGGTATGTATCATGACAAAATGTAGGATATCGATCTGGGTGGTGGGAAAAGTTATAAGAAAAGTTATAGGGAAAGACACAAACCTTCTTTGAAGGCTGGGAGGTTTTGCAAAGATTTGGGAGAGAATAAAAGCTGAAGGAGGCTAATTCTTTTACCTTGAGGCTGAGGGCAAGAAGTAGGTAACAAGGGAGTGTAAAGGAGTTTATCTAGATACATTTGTTTACTTATGTTGTCCGGAAACTGACCTTTGATCATCCCCGTGCAAGACTACTCCCTGGGAGGGGGGACGGCAATGTTAATTATCCACAGGTTGTGTTGGCTCCAAGCCTTTGTCATTAAATCTGTACTGAATAAATACAAGTGGCTCTGGCTTATGGAGACTGCTAACTTTCTTCGGCCCCTAGTGCCGGCAGTCCCCTAGCCTGCTCTTTCACTGGATACCTGTGTCTGAATACTGCTTTCATCTGTCGCTCGGTCAGGGTCTGTGGAATGGACCCGGCAACTAAATATAGTAATATAAATTTAATTTAATGTACATTTATTTTCTATCTAAAATAGGGGCAGCTTAATAATGAGAGAACTTCATCATGCAAGTTTATAAGGGTTTTTTTTGTCCAAGTTTCCATAGGTGTATGCAACCTTAAAAGTCTGATGTGCCTTTAGAGTCTATTGGTATTAATACATGAAGACCATTTCCTCATGCAGCAAGCCACCCTGGGACCTGAGACATGATAACTGAAAACTTTACACAGAAGATAAAGACCAATGGCTTAGTTTTTTGAGGAAGGTAACACAGAAGGAATAAGAACATTAAGAGCCAAAAAGAAAAATAATTTAATGAAAGTAGGCAAGTGAAACTAAACTGACTACTCTCAATTTACATGTTTTGAGACAACTGACTCTTCTAAGGTTGAAGTCAATTGTCTTGTCTCCTTGGAAACAAGATGTCTCCTGGATAAAGCCCTCTCCCCTCTCAGGCTAAATTCAATAACCCTTGCTCTAGCTCCATTATCACCATATGTATGTATTTATCAGAAAAATTTCAAACTTTCTTGCCATTTAAAATGGTGGACAGAGGCAATATCTTTAGTTTTGGAATGTCGAGAATCTTTAACGAGGTATGGAGAATTGTAGATGCTTAGTAAGCAGTCATAATAATAATAACATGGGTCATTTGTGTATCTCTTTGGTGAAATACATAATCAACTATTTTGCCCATTTTTAAATTTTTTCTTCTCTATTGAATGGTGAAAATTTTTGTGTATTCTGGATACAACTTATTTACCAGATATACGATTGGAAAATATTTTCTCCTAGTTTTTCACTCATATTTTCATTTTCATAATGATGTCATTCGAGATGCAGAAGTTTCAAATTTTGGTATAGTGCAGTTTATCAATTTTTGTCCTATAAGAATTATTATTTTGGTATTACATATAAGAATTATTTGCCTTATCCAAGGCCAAAAAATTTATTTCTCTCTTTTTTCCAGATGCTTTTGTTTGTTTGTTTTTATGGTTATAGCTCTTATATTTAGGTCTTTGATCCACTTTTAATAAATTTTCTATATAATGTTAGGTAGAGGTGCAAGGTTCCCCCCTTTTTTCTAATAAAAAATATTTCAATGGGGATATATAATTTTTCCAGCAGCATTTGTGAAATGACTATTCTTTTCCTATTGAATTGTCTTTGCACTTTCGTCAAAAGTCAGTTGACCATAAATATAAAGTTGATTTCTGGACTTTTAATTCTGTTCATAATCTATACTCTTCTCTTAGTGTCAATGCCAAATGGCATTGATTACTATGGATTTATTGTTCTTACTTCTTCTTCTCATTTTATGTATCATGAGTATCATTTCAAGTCAATGTTCATGCTTTTGAATAATTTAAGGAATCTTCCTCATACTTTGTAATAATAAACATAATTAATGAATAATGCTTTTCAACTGGTCCCTTATGGATTCATAAAGATTGCCTCCTATGCTGTATTATAAAAGCTTTGTTTGGCTATTCACATGTAATCTATAAATTATTTGGAATGAATTTTTGTAGTATAAATGGGAGGTACAATAATTTTCATATCAGTACTTAAATGCCTCTGCATAAATTACTCGAAAAGACTATAGGTTACTCACTGTTCTGTAGTGCAATCTATGCCATAAATCTATTTTTTTAGACCTTCTTAAAGATTTTCATTAAATTTTTATACTTTTATTTTTTCTACTCAAGTACACCTTTGTCAAATTTATTACTATGTACTTGATATTTTTCATATACTGTAAATTATATCTTTTTCTTTGTAGTGTGTTTCTGAATGTTGTACTAGAAACCAGGAGGTTTGCTCAACTTTCCAATTAATTCTAAAAAATTAATGTTTAGAGTCTATTGAATTTTTAAACACACACACAAAATCCTATTGTCTATAAACATTTAGAGATTTTCTATTTGCAATATTTATACTTTAATTTATTTTAGTTCTTTACAGCATTTTCCAATATTGAATAGAAGTAGTAATTTTGAGTCTTTCTTTTGTCCCTATTTGTACAGAGAAAATATTTTAATGTTTCACTTTCAGTATGATGATTCTAAAATTTTTTGTTTTGTTATGTTTTTGCTTCTCTGTTTATTGTTGAAAAAAATCTTTGTTTAATTAAGTAAGCTCCACTCTATTTGTATAGTAACACAAATTTTATAAGATAATTTTTTCTAAAACTACTGAGATACTCAAATGATTTTTCTTCTTTAGCTTGTTAATGGGATGCAACATGTTGATTGGCTTTTTTAGGATTGACCTTGGTAATGTTGAATTCTCTTTCTATATTGGTTCATTATGTTTACTCATATTTTATTTAGAATTTTGTATCTGGTATCTTTTAGTTTATCTGTAATTTTCTTTGCCTGTACTGATGTTCTCAGTTTTAATATCAAAGTTATAATTACCATTTAAATTGATTTAAGGGGTGTTTCCTCATTCCAGTCTCTGGAATAATTTATTTAAGATTTGAAATATGGTTTCTTCAAATATTTGGTAAGTTTTCCCAATGAAAACATTAAGTCACAAAATTTTCACAATGGTAAAATATAAAATTACTAATTTCTTTTCTGTATTAAATATATAATTACATAAGTTTTCTATATTGCTTGTTTTATATGTGTTGTTAAAAGCTTTGTCAATTTTATTTAGTTTTTCATTTTAGCTGAAATAAATTCGTTCACAATATCTTATTGTCTTATTTTCTGCTGGGCCTAAAGTGAATCAATAAAATTTTCTTATTCATTCCTGATATCAGTGATAAGATTTCTCTTTCTCTTTTTCTTTTTCTCTGTCTCATTAGTCTTGCCAGAGTTTTATCAATTTTACTGGTCTTTTCAAAAAATTAATAGTTTACTTTGTTGATCCTCTCTTTTGTATTTTTATTTTGCTTTTTATTTATTTATGCTTTATTCTTTATTATTTGTACATTTTTACTTACTTTGGATCCTTTTATTTTTATTTTCTTTTTATTGAACTTTGCCTAACTTCTTGGGGTGGATATTTGACTCATTAATCTTCAATGTTTCTTCTTTTGTAATATACTCACTTAACAAAGTTCTTCAAGAAATTGTTTTTCTGTATCTTACAAACAATGTATGGATTGTTTTCATTGTCATTTACTTCAAATATTTATTTTTTTGCAGCTTCTTTGAAATGTGTATTATTTAGAATTGTATTTTTTAGATTTTAATTATTTGGAGATTTCTTAGTTTTATTTTTTATTCATTTTTAATGCAGTTGTACTGCAGTTAGAGAGTATATTCTGTATGATTTCAGTGCTTAACCATATGTTGAGGTTTGGTTTATAGACCTGCAATTAGTCACTTTTTATCAGTGGCCCATATGTGCTTGAAGAAAACATATTCTGCAAATTTTGGTTTTACTCAAATCTTCCTTGCCCTTTCTTATTTTTTTCAACTTTTTCTTCTGTAACTGGAATGCACAGTTACGTAAGTTTCAATTCTCCTTCAATGATTGTTAATATGGCTACTTCTTTCTGGTTTCTCTTTATCTTTGTTTCATATGATTTGAAGCCATATATTGGATGCATATATATTTTGATTTGATGTATTTTCTTGGTACTTTATAAATTAAACTTTTTATTCTTGTGAAAAAGCCTCTTTTATCTCTTAAAATGCTTTTTAATCTTTCTTTCTGAAAGGAAAACAAAATCTGAAATTGATCTCCATGTGCAAAACTAAGTCACACCATCATCTCTGTAGGTAACTTTTCTCCTCTACTTTATATGCTATTTTATTGACAATGACAGCATTCCACATTCATTATTTTTCTTTATATATATATATGTGTGTGTGTTTTTGTTTTTTTTTTTTTTGAGACAGGGTCTCACTCTGTCACCCAGGCTGGAGTGCAGTGGTGCAATCATAGATCACTGTAACCTTGAATTCTTGGCCACAAATAATCTTCTGCCTTGGCCTCCAAAAGCACTAGAATTACAGGCATGAGCCACCATGTCTGGCCACAGTCCTTTTTGTTGTTGTTGTTCCTTCTCACTTATGGCACTGAGTGGTAAGCTTTCTATCTTCTCTAACAAAACTATTACAACACAGCAAGCATACATGGCAAAAGGACCATAGAATCTCATGATTTTACTCATTCCTATGATTAGAACTTATATAAGCTAATGGGAAGCTAAGAAGTAATTTGTAATAGTAAGTAATTTGTCTCTTGTGGATTAGCAGTCTAAATTATATTTTGTACTATGATCTCCTGGTGATAGTTTTAAAAAATCCGTATGTTCACCAAGGAATATGTTATTTGGAATGTATTCTGTCTTTCTCCTAGCTCATCAGAAATACAGGGCATTGTCTAAAATTCCTGTGATGGTTCTTGTCATTAATGAGACTTGTCTATGGGTATCCCTAATAATGTTTGTGTTGATTAAATTATCTGGCCTGATTGTTTAACCTAATGAGAAAAGCTACTTTTTAAAATGCGACTAGACTTCATATTTTAAAAGAGTCCCAGCCAGTAAAAGTTTCCCTAACTGGAAAATAAATATGTATCATTTTTATTGGAAAAAGTAAGTTAAAAAATATGAAATGCAGAGACACTGCCCAAATATTGTCAAGGCTTCACGGGACAGAAACAATCTCTAGCTTCACCCACAATTTAATTATTCTATGCCCAATTGACTTTTTATTTTTCTTCTCCCCAACTCTATCAACATTTTTTAAGATATGAAATGAACAGAGTTAGTGGGACTAATACTGAATTTCTGTGACTTGGCATTTAGCAATCATGACTGTGTTTGCTTCACTGATTTTAAGTAATCTTAATATATATAAATCAGAATGTACACCTGACATGAATCTAAAGATTTGTTAGGAAACCTGCAGAGAGGTCCTTATTGAATCTAAGAATTCATGGCAAGTGGAAAACATACATTCTGAAAGCAGAAAATAGCCTATTCAGGTTGAATTAATCTTGTCACTAACTTATTAGACCAGTTTCCTTAAAGTAATACGAAATATGAAATAGCAAATCTTGGGAATTTTTAAACAATTTTTTGTTATAGCAATGAGTCATGTTGGTTGAAAAATACATGGAAAAAATCACTATAAAAATCAGAGGCAGGTACTGCTGTTCACTTTTTGGTATTTTTTATTTTAATCTTAGTTTTATTACTGTGTATATATGCATAATTTTAACCATCTCTAAAACTTTAAATCTTTTATAACAATGTCTCATTTATTACATTTATCATCAAAATATATATATATATATATTTTTTTTTTTTTTTTTTGAGATGGAGTCTCGCTCTGTCACCCAGGCTAGAGTGCAGTACCGCAATCTCGGCTCGCTGCAAGCTCTGACTCCCAGGTTCACACCATTCTCCTGCCTCAGCCTCCCAAGTAGCTGGCACTACAGGCGCCCACCACCATGCCTGGCTAATTTTTTATATTTTTAGTAGAGAAGGGGTTTCGCCGTGTTAGCCAGAATGGTCTTGATCTCCTGACCTCATGATCTGCCCACCTCGGCCTCCCAAAGTGCTGGGATTACAGGCGTGAGCCACCGCGACTGGCCTAACATATTTTTAAAACCTGCAGAATGTTTGTATTACTTTTGTCATAGTACATAACATTTAAATGGATTTCTTGTTTGTGTATGTGTGTATATTCATTCACAACACTGATAGTTTTTCTGAATATTTCCTTTGGATTTTATTCTTTTCTCATTCAACTAAATAAGAACCTGCACCATCTTTTTCTAGTGTAAAAATTACAATATCTGAAGTGAAACTACTAGAATAAATCTTGTGACAATTCTTAAGGATTATCTTTTAGTTGGTATGGTTTCCAAAAAAGATTGTACTAAGTTTTACTCCCAGTGGAAATATTTAAAGGCAATACTTCCATTTCTTTTTTACAGAATAGAATCCAATTATTCTTTTTCATCCCATTGTTGTATACAGACTTTATTTCATTTACTTGTAGATCAAAGGTTTTTTGGTTTCCTATCTTTTGGACACTGTTTTGGGTACTAGAGAGAGCATGAGTAGCTAAGTTTCTGAAATTTACAGTGAATGGAAAAAGATAGGCATAAATGAAACAATCACAAAAATAAATGTAACAGCTACAGTTACAGTTGTAAAACTGTGGTCAGTGCTATGGAGGAGTGTACAAGGTGATATGAGAGATCATAATAGGGAAGTTAAATCTCTGGTTCATGTAAAACTGCCATGGACACACTCTCAGTGAACTTAGAGCTAAAAGAGGAGTAATAGCCATTAGACACAAAAAAGCAGATAGAAAATGTTCTGGGAAGAATAATGTCTATAAAGGATCTGGGGTAGGAGAGAGCATTGTTCTTTGGTGATATGAGATTGGAGGGATAGGTGAATATAAAACATAAGCATAAAAACTAGATAGTATTTAAATCCTTTCCTTGGATCTTAATGAGAAGCACTAAAGAGATTTAAATAGAGAATGACAACATGTAATTTGGCTTTTAAACAAAGTTATGTTTTTTAATGCAGAAAATAAATTGGAATGAAGCCCATGTGAATGCATGGAGACAAGGTGAAAAGGTAGATGAGAAAAAAGTTGGAAATATTTGCAGGTACATTTGACAGGACCAGGAGATGTCTTGGGCATTCATGATGATGGAAGAGTGGTCAATAATGACTCTATTTTCTAGCTTGTATCATGAGATGAATGGAGACCCGTAGAAGAATAAGTTTTGTGAGTGACTGGGTCATGTAATATATTTTGGATTTGTTAAATGTGAACTACTTTTAAGAAACTGTGGGGAAAAACTTCGTTTTGTTTACATCCATGAATCATTTGAAGCACGAAAAATAATTCTCAGCTGAAGATACAAATATGAGGGCCCTGGGTGTATAACTGAAGGCACGAGTATAAATGGGATTATTTAGGGAGGGCTTAAAAGTGGATAGAGAGTAAATTCACAGACTATAGGTACAAAATAATCACCAATGACAATATATTATGCAGCTTAAGACCAATTGTATGTATTTTCCTGACAATGTCTTTTAGAGCCTGTGACTAGTTTTCTCCTGAAGATGTGGTGATCTTCTTATCAATTTTTAAGAGTACTTAAATGTTTTAACAATTATATTTAACTCAAAATTAGTTTCCAACTTGTTTTCCTTTAATTATAATTTAAAGTGTATATTTTATGTGTACGAATATTAAAAATTTATGAAGTCATATCTATTGCCTTTGTCTCTTATTACTTTACCAATGCTTACAAAAACTTTCCTCATTAATGCTTATATAAATCTTCTTTTTTATTGCAAATTTTTCCATTCTTCTGGTTTGTAAAATGCCTAAAGTAAAATGTGTATCTGAATTAATTAATCGTTAAATATCTTTTCAATTTTCTCAACCCAATATATTGGACAATTCACCTCTTACTCCCAGAGTTTTATCTCTACATATTATTCCTATGAAGCTTTTACACATGCTGAGACTAAATGGTCTGTTCTATGTCATTGATTCTATTTGCCTAGTTGTCTATTTACCTTGTAGTTTTGAGGTAATAAATGGTCCTTTAAACTGTGTGGTGTTTGTGTGTGTGTATTTAAATTTTCTCAATGCTATTTTTAGTAAAGGTAGATTAAATGTGACAAATAACTACCCAAATGGAAACAGTTGAGGTAACTTGATGAATTGACTATAGTTATAGTCTTTTAACATACCTATTAATTATTTATAGAAAGCAAAATTAAAATAAGCTAGAAAGAGAAGATTAAATAAAGAGAGTAACATACTGGAAAATATTTACCAGATATTTAACATTATCATAAATAATTTAAGTATTCTGAAAACCAAGCAGAGGGAGCTTTGTTTATCTGAAATTTTTGGAGAACATTTATGAACTGGATTTATAAATAGATTTGCTAACTGGTACTTTGTAACTTCTAAAAAGCAGACTAGTTTATTTTCCAAAATAAGTGAGTTCTTTAAATGACTCACGACCAATTTAGACTTATATTGAAGAAACATCTAGAAACAAATACTTTCCAATTTTTTAAAAATTGACTTTGGTGTCATGAACTTAATGTTTATTAATTAATATTCAGAATATTCTAACATTTTAAAGATGACAATACAATTTACTTTATATACAGCAGTTTGGTAAAGAAAACAACAAATAATCAATTTAAGTGAAATAACCCATTTTGAATATGTATTTTAATTAACTCGTCAGAGATGTTAATTGGCTTTCTATTATTTTGGACAGTTGTGGTGCTTTGATAAGCTCAGTTTTTCTTCTTTACTTTTATCTACTTTAGCATGAATTAATTTTTATATTTTATAGATATGTAAAATTTTACATACTTTATTAATTTTAATAAAGTAAAACATAATTCATGCTAAGAAAATTAAGTTTATAAAACAACTGACAATGAACAGTTTAGCATAGCCTTCAATCTCACTCAGACTATATTCTCTCTTTATTTCATTTTAAAATCCAGTTATTTCAAACTGGAACTGTGTTGTAGAAGAGAGCTTTAATATTACTTTTTATTGTTTCTTAATATTTCTAACTATTCTATCTTCAAGATATCCAAAGAGAAAGGAATTTCCACAGTGTATAATTATTTATTTTCATGTTTAAAATCTTAGAAATCACTCCCCAATATTATATATAAAAGAAATACTATTAGAAAGGAATATTTTTAAAACTTGTTTCTAAAGAGTGAAGTTTTGCTTCACTCTTTAATGATGGACAAGAACGCCTTCCCTAAACTTGTAATGTGGCTGCCGCTACTTATAGAAGCCTGGTGATAATTGCCCTATGGGCCTTTTATGTAAGATGAATCAAAACTTGCAAATATATAATTGCTGAATTAAACACTCACCTTAAAGGAACTGTTCCAGAATATAACAGAAAATCAGTCAATCTCTTTATGCAGGTTCCTTGATTTTAGCAATTTTCAAACAGATATGATTAGGTTGGTGCAAAAGTAGTTGCAATTTTTGCCACTGAAAGTAATGGTCAAAATCGCAGTCACTTTTGCACCAACCTAACAGAAGTTTTAATTGGCGTGCAATCACTTGTAGAGTGCCTTGAATAATATAAGCATCCATACTCTAGCCTGAATCTCTTAAATTGGAACCTGTGAAAATGGAACCAGGTGACTATAATTTCTTTAAAACACTGTGGAAAGATGATCTTAATGCAAGGCAGTGATTAACACAAGAAAATGAGCAGTAGAATACAACTAAGAATTCATTACTTACTACTATTTTACAACTCTAATGGAAAATGACCTACGATTTTATTAGAAAGGTTTAGAAGAAACTAAGCAGAAGGATTGTGAAGAAATCAGCATGATAGAAAGAGCTCTGGACTGAAGGTTAGAGGACATCAGGCATTTTTTTCCTTGGAATCTCTGAGTCTCACTTGGACTCTGTACCCCAGTCAATAAACACAAGAGTGTACCGGGTAATAGTAACAGACATGTGCTTGCTTTCTGACAACCACTTTTCCTTTCATTTTCCCATTATTTCTATACCTCTTTTTAATAATCCATATGGTCCTGGATTAGTTGACCCCATTACCAGGCCAAAGGACTCAGACTTTCAAAGTCAATCAGTATATCCCATCTCTCCTGTCTACAGGTATGAGTGCAATGCTCAAATCAAATGATTTTGAGTAAATATTAAAATTTTGCTCATTTGAAAAGGACATGTAGGCACCATTCATACCTGATAGGCCCCCACACCAGTACTAAAAACCAAAATATTAACTCTGACTTTTGATTGGAATTATTCAACACTTAAAGTCTAATACTCTGAGGCTGTAAATAATTCTTCCTACATCCTATATGCCTCTGATTTTATTCAAAACTGTCTTTTGTTTTGCCTGGGATGTCAAGCCAACCGTAAGTATGCCCCAGGATATCCCTAAACTAATGATGGCCTGGTATTGGGGTAGCAAAGGATAGTCTCAAGCTCTGACCAATTCGTTGGGGCAGTTTGTACTCCTGAGTTGCCATTGGATCAGGCTGAGGCTAGTCTTCAACTGAGACCACACTTTTGCTTATGTCTTTTCTTTGGCCTGTCCTATTATCTCACTTCCCCCTTCCAGAAAACTCTTCCTCCATAAATCATGTGAGTAAGAATGTACCTCTCAGCTTCTAGGTAACCCTTGTTCCCTGCCTTTTCCCCTGGTGCTGCAGTCTCTGCCTCAGGAACATGCCAACTTCCCCAATCTCTTGAGAACGGGAACCATCCCTTGCACTTAACATTTTCTCTTTAAAGGCCTGGAGTTCAGATGCTTGCAACTTTTTTTTTTTTTTTTTTTTTGAGACAGAGTCTTGCTCTGTCGGCCAGGTTGGAGTGCAGTAGGATGATCTCAGCTCACTGCAACCTCCGTCTCCCAGACTCAAGTAAATCTCCTGCCTCAGCCTCCCGAGTAGCTTGTATTACAGGGATGTGCCACCACACCCAGATAATTTTTGTATTTTTAGTAGAGATGGGGTTTCACCATGTTAGCCAGGATGGTCTCGATCTCCTGACCTCAGGTAATCTGCCTGTCTTGGCCTCCCAAAGTGCTGGGATTACAGGCGTGGGCCGCCGTGTCTGGCCTGATGCAACTTACTCTCCACCACCATGCTTTTCCTTGTCTCTCTAAAAAGCTTTGTTTCTGGATTCTGTCATTAGTTGATATTTGTTTTGCGTCATGATTTTGGAAGATGGGGGAATCGACTAAGATAGGCTTACTTAAATGGAACAGATTTTTTGGAACATTTCAAATACCAGCATGTTCTCGTGAAAAATTTCTGTGTCTGTAATATAAAAATGATTGCAGATATAGAGATAAAGCCATAGAACTTTACATATGCATAAATTGCTAGGTCTGTATCTCTATTAATTTATCCATTTTCCAACTATAGATTGTATGTGAGGGGTGGTGTTTTCCTTCTACTTGTCTTTCTAAGGACTATATATTAGGATCATGCCAAAGGCATGCCTGTCTCCTGGATGACACCTTTGTTTAAATTACAATGCCTCTTCTTATAGTTAGAAAGTACCGAGAGCAATTACCCTTCTGGGTGTCTTCTTTTTTTATTTTCTCATTTTGTTTGTGTTCTTTTCTCTGCAAAACATAAGGATACAGATCTATCACATAACATCATACTGTGTAGCTTCAGCTGCTCTTTCTTCTGCTTTTACTTTATTTGAATCTAGGATCTAAGATATCTCTAGGAAGTAAATTTAAGATCAATATAAGCAATAGCTAGCCAGTACAGTTTTTCCAAATTGAAACAATTTGTGTGAGGGAGTAGATAGGAAAATAAGCCAACATTCGAGTGAAATACAATAAAAGAGGTTAAGTCATTGACCGCAGTGGAATAGATAACCCTAATGTTTCTTCCTACTCTGAGATTTTTTTATTTTCTAAAATAATAGAGAGTAAAATAGTGAAGATTCCAAGTGTTAAAGCATTGCTCTTTTCAAGTTAAATAAAGTCTAAACATTTTCATCTTTTATGTCCCTGACAAAGGAGAGGATTTGTTGACATTTAAGTTTGACCCAAATTTCTTACATCTTTTTTTATTTCTCTTGTGTTAATTTTTTTTTTTTTAGATCACATCAGTTTCAAGAGGAACCCAGAATGTTTCTGATTACTTTTTACTCAAGAAATGATGTTTTGAAAGAGGTAGTCAGGGTCTTGAAAGATCTTATAGGCCTTTTTACTAATCCTGTTGGAGTGTTTTTTTAAGACCAAAATTTACATTTCATCAGTCTTCCTTGAAATAAAATTATTATTGTTGCTAAAGTAACATTTTAATATCTGTAAAAAATCTACATTCCATATGGTTAGCTCATCCATTTTTGTTTAAGCCATAGTTATTTCAACAATTATTTTTCTTTTTTACAATTAGCAAAAGAGAGACAGATTAAGTAACTTTGCGAAAAGCCACAGTAAGGTGATAATAAACTAAAGAATCAAATTGACCACTTTCAGTTACCAATCATGTTACTCTCTAGGATTAAAATGTGAAAACTAAAATTCATGTAAGTTTTAAATTAGGCAAAAGAAACATATAGTGTATTTCTACATATAGACAGGTAACATTTAATTATTTTGTGGTGTGAAATTTCTGAAGTTTAATTTCCACTTTTCACTATATTGGCCCAGTATTTTTTTCTATAAAGGAATATATAGAATACCTAAGAAAATTGTACCCTCAAGATGTATCAAACCAAAGAATTTTTAAAAGAAAAATCCTATAGGCATAACATTACTTATAGCCAAAGTATTATAGTAATAGAAATAACACGAGATATTTTTCATTATTTTATAGCTTAAAAAGTTATTTTACTTGTTCCATAAAACGACCTGTGATATAGGTATTCTTTTTCTTCTCACCTTTTATAGATTTGAATAAAAAAAAAACCTTAGACTGGTTAAGAGACTGGCATGAAATCACATAAAATCACTCTCAAATTCAAGTTTTCTCATTTATCTGTGCATTCACCCATCGTCAGGATTCATATACTGCAAGACTGTAATATGTATCTCACTAAGAAAGATGGCCGAAGATCTTAGTGTGACTTAGATAAGAACAATAATTAGTAGGCAAAATTTGTAATACTAGTATTTTCACAATAGAATGAAGAGGGTATTACATGCATGGTCAATATCAGAGGGCTCTAGATCAATAAAGAGGTATTGTATGAAGGGTCTCTTTGAATAAGAACTAATAAAATAGTCAGTGTGATTAAAAATGAAAACATTAATAGATCTTTTTAATAGCAGCAACTACTAACTGGGGAAAATTAAACATTTGATAATAACAAAATAATTTTTAAAACACCTATAAGTTAATCTTCAAAGACATGTCCAAAAACCATTTAAAGAAAAATATGAAAGATTAATGATAAATGTAAGATGTTAATAAATGGTAAGACCTGCCTTCTTTTTGGTGGCAATGTCTCAATATAAAAAATATGCCAAGTCTCCCTAAATGTATTACTTAAATTTAAACAATCAAAATCTCAACCAGATTTCTCAAGAATTTGACAAATTAAATTTTATCATATATGTAAAATATTTACGTAAATCTGAACAATTGGTGGGAAATGAAACAATGGTCACAGGGTCTTATAAGAAAACTAAACACACTATAAGCATTGCAAAAATACAAAAGATGTATAAATGAAGTAGAACTCTTCCTTATATTTTCACGAAGTTCACCTTTAATTGATTAAAGAACAAAGTATACAAAAATAGAAACTTATACATACGAGAAATTGATAACATTGCAGTGCTGGAAGTTTCTGTAACATAAAAATACAGTCAACCCTCCGTATCCATGGGTTCTGCATTCATACATTTAACCAACAATGGATTGTAAATTTTTTTAAAAAAATGGATGGTCACATCTGTACTGAACATGTACAGACTTTTTTTGGTCATTATTCCCTAAATAATACAATGTAACAACAATTTACATTGCATTTACCTTGTCTTGGATATTATATGTAATCTAGAAATGATTTAAAGAATAAGAGAGGAGGAGGAGTACAAGACCAGCCTGAGCAACATAGCAAGATCCCAACTATTTAAAAAAATTAAAATTAAATAAAAAATAAATTAGCTGGGTGTGGTAGCATGCACCTGCAGTCCTAGCTACTCAATAGGCTGAGGTGCTGGGATTGTCTAAGCTCAGGCGTTGGAGGCTGCTTGAGCCATTATTGTGCCACTGCACTCCAATCTAGGGGACAGAGCAAGAACCTTTCCCTAAAGGAAAAATGGGAAAAAAAAATTATTACCTTTTAACTGTGGCTAACTTGTATGTTCATTTAGTTTAGCAAAAGCTGGAGGTGCCTTGACATTTGCAGTACACTGAAACAGTGGCTGGCTTGAAAAATCCCAAAACGATTTTCTGCAGGAGAGCCCTTTTGACTAATATGAGGTAAGTTTCTACAAAATAATAATGTGTAAAATCATCACCTTCTACTCTAAAATTTCTGGGTTTATTTTTTGTCAGTTTGTTTATTTCAAGGAAGATAAAGATATTTACAATGAGCTGGAATACTATGAGTTTCTATTCTGAATCATTTAATATATGAAAAAATGTTGAGCAGGTTAATTTTAAAAAATCATTTTATACTTAGGCATTTAGCATCTGTTTTATTTCTTAGAGTCTTATAAGACTGACAAAATATCTTCTGGTCCATTCAACATACAAGCATTCTGTAGAGTCTAATAATACAAGTTCCTGATTCAACTCCAACCATGTCTATGGTAGCTGCACATTCCATTCACACTGATTAGAGTCCAAAACTAAGTATAATCCCTAATAATTGCTTACCAATTCAGTTTGCTTTCTGACTCAGTGTTCTAGTGAGACTCTTATTAAAAGGTCAGCAGCTTGTCTCCAACTCATTTTGTTAAATATGAAGAAAAAAGCAGCTTTATATTATTTAGCAATGACAAGGCACATTATCACAAAGTGAAAGGTGTTAATATCTATTCTTACTTAAAATGAATTGCAGAACTTCTTCAACTTTTTTCAGAGCTTTAATTAGCATTTTAATAAGGGTATCTTATAAGACAGTAACATGGTAAAGAAGACAATGGCTAGCAAGAATTTCCATTATTAAAGAACACTTTTAGTCATTTAAAAGGGAGAAAAGGCTTAAAATAGTTTGTTAAATACTAATTTTATACATTTGAAATCAGTGGTAACAGCTTTTCAGTCACAGCAGACCAAGATGTCATTGATGATGTGGATTCTTATTAACAAGCTAACTAAATTTGAATGAAAGATGAATAGGGTTTTATTTATGTGCCAATTTAATTCCTGCAGAATCTTATTTCTATTTTCATAATAAAATCAACCAACCACTCCAGCTAGCACTGGCTAGGCAGAGTTTAATGGTTAAGATTTACATTTTGCCTCATCCACTTATTGGTTATTAATATAAGTATCAACTTACTATCATTACTGAACATCAGTTTTTTATATGTAAAATAGGATAATTAAATACACTATAGTACCTGTCTTATAGGGGTACAGTGAACACTAAACAATCTATATAATATAGTTTACACAGGACTGATTATGTAGTCAGTGATGATAAAAATAGAAGTTATTAGCATTGCTATCCTGTAAGTGGGCCCTTTTTCAAAATTTTTCTTCAGGCTTTTAATGAAATAGAAACAGTTTCCTTGAATGTTCCCCTACTCTCCACACAGGTAAACGCCACTCATCATTTTATATCCAGCTCAAATGTTTATAGTGTCTCTAATGAATACTCTTCTGATCACTTCCATAAGTTTTTATTATCAATATCATATTCTTTGCACTTGAAAAAGCCTTTCCTATTTATTAAAATGATTTTTCTATTACCCCTATATTACATATATATTTCAAATTTTTCATTTCTTCTTTTGAGCCTTGGTTCTTGTTGAGAATCTGATGAAAGCAGTAAAACTTCTATAAAAGTCATCTATTTTTATCTCTCTCTATATATACATACACATATTTTTCTATATATATATATATATATATATATACACACACATACACATACATATGAGATATATGTATATATACATATTTGCACCCACACAGACACACAGGATTCTTGACACCCAATTTCATAGGAGTTCATGACCTACATCAAATCATCACATCTCTGGTTCAACAAGGAGTTATTTAGGGGTTTATGAGCCCAGCTTTAAATATATTGGTGGACTATTTGGATTTCTGAAAACCTCAAGCTGGCATAAACCCAATTCTGCATGAGAAGACCCTGATTTCCTTTAGCTCCAGATTACAAGATAATGTAGATTTGATATAAAATACTTGGTAATTCAATGTGAAGTCAATTTGAGACAGGAAAAGTGAGGTTAATATAAGGTTGAAAAGACATGGGATAAGTCTTAAAAGGGCACTCATGGAATGTATCAGAAGATGAAGACAGAGCAAATGCAGATCTCATTGAGAAAAAAATGTAAGTGAGAAAAGATATATCAATACCTTGCTTGCGTTGGAGGTACAAAGAAAAAGAAGTCTACAACAGATGTGCTGAAGCTCAGAAAATGGCACTACAAAGTGTGGCACTTTGACATGCTAAGTACTTTGAACTAAAGAAGCAGCCTCAAAACGAAGATCTTTCTGAACTTGTCTTACCACCCCGTCTCTCTACCCTGTTTCTCCCCTAAAACTCTCAGAGAGGCTTTCTGTGAACTTTCCCTTATCTGACTAAGGGAAGTTCCTCCAGAAGCAATGCAATTGTTATGAACCCCTTCCCTGGAATCCACATTAACCAGAGAAGATTATCTCATGTAGCAAGAGAGGAGACTAAAGGTCTTTCTGTCCAGGATACCATATCTACAGAGGCTTTACATCCATTTTTCTGAGAGTTCATCAGACCATGTCTGTGCAAAAACCGGGACAATTCCAGTGTACACTAGGAAAAAGTTATTCAGCTTATTTCAGCTTTGCAAGAAACTTCTCATCAAAGAAACACACAGGCTTCTTGGAAATCAGTGTGGGAAAGACAATGAAGAGCCAAAGAGAGTGATGGAGAAAAGTGGTCCTATGTCTAATGCACTCATGTGGAAAATTAACTGTTCACCCATCTAGGTCATTAGGACAACTTGAGAAGACTCAGGTAAGCTTACTGATTAGGCTGCTCAAGTACAAATTCAGAAACCTCAATTTTGTTACTAGCTTTCTGCCTTTTGACCTTTTGAAAAAGTAATTTCAGATCTCATTTTCTCTGGCTCTTAAATAGAATCATACTTGTCCATAAGGCCATTTTAAGATACTCAGATGAATGATGTTACACATGTTTAAATGCAATTCTCTACTGATTTACTGGAAGACATATATTTCTTTATTTGAAAAGTGTCATATATTTTATTAGCCCTTACCATGTTAAAAAAAAAAAAAAAGTCTGAAGTAAGCTACTAATAGAATCCCCAGTTTGCCAATATGTAAACGGAATAATAGCAGTGCAAATAAAAGGATCAGAAATCAGAGTTTCAGAAATCAAATACAGTGAGTTACTCCAAAAAAAGACAGCAAATAATGACTTTGACACATTCCAACAATCTTAGAGCAAATAGAATAATGTCCACTGTATCTAATTATAATTAATAATAATAGGTAACACAATGAACAGATTATGTGCAGGTACTGTTCTAGGCATTTCGCATATATTCATTCAAGTATTCTCACAACAACCCTTTGAGGTATATAGTATTGCTCCATTTTACATTGAGGAATCTGAGACACAAATGACTAATACACTTGAGATCAATAAGTGCCAGAGCCAGGATTTGAACCTGAGAAAAACAGATTCAGAATCCAGGCTTGTACCAATTCTCTATACTACATATCAAAAATCCATGAAGTTACCTACCAGCTAACTTCAACTGTTTTAAAAATTGGTTAAAAATCTTTGTTTTTAAAAATGAGATAACATTTATTTAATTTGTATAATGTGTAAGGTGCTGAGCTTTACATTGGTTGGATGAAAAGGATTAAAAGGCAGTGTTGTTTTCTTGCTATTTTCTATATTCTAGCCATAAGAATACAACTTTAATTTCCTGGTAACATTATAAGACATAAAAGAACAAATTAGTATAGTCAGATATTTACTACTAAAATAGCTAAATTACCCAATTGCTCAAAATTTATTGATTACTCGACAATGTAGACTGGGCCTTAACTTTGTGAAACAAAAACAGCTCCATAAAGATTGCTTGTTTGTTTGTTTCTTTATGATTACTCCTTTAAACTCTACTTATTTAAATCTCACATGCATCTCAAGAAAATACTGGGAGTAACACTGCAGTTTAGAAATATTCAATAATAGCCAATATATTTTAATTGGTGATGTATTAACAAGAGATTCAAAACATATTTGACCCCAAATATTTGTAACAAATCAATATATATTTAAACTAATTTAAAGAAAGAGTATAGATTCAGATTCACAGCTCTTAGCCAGTGTCTAATCCACAGCCACAGGCCATTCCTCCTAATTAAAACTTGGCTTCATACTATGCTAAGATATGCTAATAGATTTAAAGAAGTGTTTATTTATGTGAATACATCTCAACAACTTCTTATAAATTTGTTTCCTAAATGAGTACATAAATATTATTTATTGAAATGCTTATAGGTTTTCTTCTTTAGTATTCTAATCAAAATGGGTTGTCCAAATTGTTTTCATAAGCAATACTTTCCAAATCACTTTACCAGCTGAAAGATCTGGCTTCTAGGTAAAACAATGCATTACCTTGTATCTAGTTACTCTTATGTAGAATGAAAAAGACTTTGAGAAAATCACTTCACCAAAGTTTTTAAAAGACCACAAATACCACATAACATTATTTTGCATTTCAAATGATGCCTAACTATGTTGTCTGATTTCCACTTTAAAATCCTATAAGCAGAAGAAAAATTTGTTATATTCTTTACCCAATGCCAACAAACTGCATATAGATAGACACTTGAGATTCTCTTCAACTTGCTAGAAATGAGACTTGATCAATATAATTAATCAAAATTATATGTGTATGGCTGCCAATGGCTACAATTTGTGTTTAGGATAGTACTTATGTAGTTTGGACATATTTGAAAGACTTAACATCACAATTTTTAAACAACCTTAATTGCAATGTAAGATAAGCATTGGTCTTCTTAGGATAGTATGCCATATGTTAGATTGCCACTGAAGTCTCTTTCTTAAATTACAGATTATTCCATAAAGCATAATGCACCAGAAATGACAGACTTTGATTCCAAAAGATAATTCAGCCATGATGTGAGACTACAGATTATAGGGATTGAGCTCAGTAGCATAAAGGTGAAAATCAAACAGAAAACACATCATATCTGTTTTTCTTGGATAATTTCATGTTTAGAGGAATACAAAGTTTCATATAATAAAGACTCAGTAACTATAGGTAGGCCAACCTAATAAGTCATTTAGAAGTAATACACATAAGACTGTGATTTAAATCAATAAGAGCCACTTCGTTATGTACCATGGAATACAGGTTTTATTTTAAAAAGAATAGGTAGAATAAAACCTGTGTTGTATCACAAAACAGAATAGCCACAGAATCTAAATTCCCCAAAGAGATTTCCATGGTTGAAATAAATGTTTATTTCTGCTCTGTGAACAAGGACATGTCAGAGTTTTCTACGGAGTATCTGGGGAAATGAACATATCTTTTCCCTTCTATTAGATGTTACAACTTCATGCCAGTGGAACAGACAGAGGTGCCATTTGTGGGTTTCTTCTGACAGAATGAACACCATAAAAATATTAATAAAGAAGTTTGTGCTAATTTTCTGTGATCCTTAGCTATTTCCACCATTGCAACATAATAAATCTTGATTTTTTTTTAGATTGGATATTGGACATTGGTAGCACTTCAAAGATAATACACCAATAGTCTCAATTTGCTTTTTGAATGGACATATTAAAAAGCCCTCCATTATCCTTAGTTATAAGGAGAAAAGCTACCAATTTATATAGTAGGCAAGGTTTACTTTCAAAAGGAGCTGACATATAGGGCTGCTGATTGACCTCATGCTTCTTTGCTACATGTGTTAGTTATGTTTATTTTTTTACAAGGTATTTCTACAATTATCTCAAGAGCAACTTCTTTGCTGCACTGCCAATGCAGAGTGTGATGCTGCACACAGAATTGGTGTGCACGATACATCTTTGTTAAATTCATTCTATCAGCATTCAGAATAGTTGCATGGAATTAAAACATCTGTGTCTAAGTCCAGTTATGCCACTTCAAGCTCTGCAGCATGGGGTCAGTTTTCTCATCTGCATAAAAAGGATAATGATAATGAAATAGGTTGTTATGATGGTCAAATGTGGTAATATATGAGAAAGTGCCTTGTTAACTCTAAAGTGATGGAGAAGTAAATATTATTTGGGATATGCATTTAGCTATGTAACTATTCATTTTAAATTTTACATCTAATTATATTTTGTAAAATGCTTTGCATTTGTATAAATTGTTTTTGCTATAAGCTTTCATTCATGCAAAAGAAGTCTCAAAAGCTCTAAGGTTTAATTATTTCATATTTAAGCATCACTCAACTCTACCACAATTTCACTAAGTCAGGAACTAATTATATGGATTCATTTTTGTCACCAATTATGTATGTGCAAAAAAAACGAAAAAACCCCTTTGATATTTATCGAGGTTATTTGTGATTGTAAAGGGCCCAATATTAAATGAACTGGTTTTGAAACTATAAATTTGTTCCAAAATAGTGTTAGTAAGTTCCTCACCATAAAATAAGCATGAATTGAGAGGTACAATCTCTGAAAACATTATCACAAAGAATTTTTTTGATCTCCTAAAAATTATTAGTACTGTAAGAATAAAGTCAATGATTATTCCATACCACATAATAGGGTATTCTAAAAATTGGGCAAAAACTTTACTGTACTTCTTTCTATGTTTCAGGTAAATACAATATTGCCATCTCGGTTTTTTTTTTCTTGAAACTACACAAGAAAATAGCAGGCATCTCTTATTGTGTTCAATGGAGGTATTAACTTTAGAGCTACCTGTCTTGAAGAACAGGACTTGAATTGAACTCTTCAATTAGTTGGGATTTAACTTTTGGGTTCAATATAGTACTGAAGAAATGCATTCAGGCAGAAATCCAATTTAGGTCTTACAGATTTCCTGTTCTTGAGACTACTAGACTTCTATCCAGAGGCAAAGTTCTATTTTTTATTGTTTTATAAAATGTAAAATAAATAAAAAGAGGTACTGTTACACTTCCCTACATATTTATCTGACATTCTATACACACATAAGATTAAATTCTCAAGCAAATTATTATTTTGAGAGCAATTTTTCTTACACCCTTCATGCTACTTCTGACAGCCTAGGACTCCTCACTACTCTATCTCCCCACAGATATAACACTTGAGTGGGGTCCTTTCTGCCTTATCAGTGTTTGCCTATCTAATATCTCTCATCTTCTGCATAAAAAGAAACATATATATGGTATTAAATTTTAAGAAAATTTCAGTGACTTATTATAAATATTACAGATGTCAGAACAAAAGCAACAAAATAAAAAGACTATAGGGAAACATAGCAGGCATATGTTCAAGGTCATTTTCGAAATCATAGTCTGTGTCATTGGTCATGACTGACAGTAAAAGAATGCAGGCAGAAAACGTGGGCATAAAATTTTATTTCTAAAGCTAAAACGAAAACCTGATATTTTTGGTAGAAGTGAAAGACAAATATTTGCCCTAAGAGGTAGATCAGTGGCCATCTGAATAACTGTATCTATACACAGGTATTTCTAATTAATAATTCAGTGTAGAGAAATCTCAAATGGAGAGCCGAAGAAGCCTGTTTTTTTTTCTATATTGTACATATTTTAATTAATTTCATAGATTAAAGTCTTCAAAGGATACTGACAAAATTTTCACAGGTGAAGCTTAGTTTGTGACAGGCTTTTATGGGAGGAAAGAGGTAAGCGGTGGACTAGGTAAAAAAAGAGACAAACCAACAAACAAAATAAAATAGAAAATAAACAAAAAAAGTAAAAAAGACATACCTAACTAAAATGCCAATTTTACTTTTTACTGTACTTTTTCTAGGAGATATCTGAGAGAGTTTAAGAAAATATAAACAAGAGATAGTCATGCTAACTTTTAGAAGAGATGACATCTGTTGAATTCTTATTTGTTGATGAAATTGCTTTGGAAACATCTGCTTCTCTCTGTTACTCCCTGGAAGTGACAGTATGACACAAAGAACACTGTACCTGATTCCTCGTAAATTCTAGATGAATATACATTAAGAAACAGTACAAATAAAGACATATCCCTCCCTATTTAACCCTACCTATCTTTCACTCATTCTAAGTCATGGCAAAGTGGATGTAGAATAGGTATTGGAAGAAGGTAGTTATAACTGCCATTTATAAATACCAGCTATGACTGTGTCACTAGTTTCAGAAGTATGGACTAAAATAATTATGAAAATGTGTGCCAGATGTGGTGGCTCACACCTGTAATCTCAGCTATTCAAGAGGCCAAAGTGGCAGAATCCCTTGAGACCAGGGATTTGAGGCTGCAGTGAGCTACAATCATGCCCTTACACTCCTGCCTGAACGACAGAATGAGACCCTGTCTCAAAAAAAAAAAAAAAAAGAAAAGATAGAAAGAAAAAAGAAAATACCTTACACTCCTGCCTGAATGACAGAATGAGACCCTGTCTCAAAAAAGAAAGAAAGAAAGAAAAAAAATATATTCATTACTTTGATTTAAATATGTTTGTATATATGTTAATCAAATATTTTTCTACTCTCACATTTTCCTCATACATAACATAGAATTTGTTAATGGTATTTAACTTTACTCTTAGTATTTCTGTTGCAGAATATTTATGTGTGAATCAACTAGAGGAATGAACATCACCTAAAGACAAAACAGGATCTTTGTATACATCTTCTGGGAAGGAGTTGTTATCATTTCCACAAGGCCAATTGCATCATTCGGATAAAAACATTATATTGTTGTCTTTATTTGGAAGTAAAATATATTTTAAAGAGATGTGAATGATTATAAAGTTTATAATAGGTATACTGTGATGACTTTGTCAAACGTTAACTTGACTAGGCTGAATGATATTTCCTAGAATTCCCTTTCCTTTGTTTTCTATTAAAGAGGGAATGTTTTCTGGTAGACCATGTAATAGAGATAGAAGTTCTTCTTTTTTACGCATTCATTCATTATTATAGTTTAATGAATCATAAATGAAAAAAAAACCCTCTTCCAGAAGCATTTACTAACACTTTCAGGTATATGAGAATGGAATAATTTTCAGAAACTGGGCTTTCTGTATTTTCCCTGTTGGCTATTTCAGACCAGTTCCCGACCCTTCTCCATCCTTCTCCATGCCCTGGGAAACCGACTTTTATAGACTGCAAAAGTATGCTCTCTTACACTTTGGTTTCTTATTGAGGTCAAATAATAAAAATCACTGCCAAAAAATGGGAAGGCAGAAGGAGAGTGAGATGGTGCATTTATTCCACTCTGATGGGCAATATATTCATCTATATTGATGGTTGTCTCTTATAACATTTTTAATAACCACATTCTTTGACCCTTGCAATCTAGAGTGGTGTAAGCTGTTTTCTGTTGCTAGTCTTAATATACTTTGCAATCCCTTTTTGGTTTTATGTAACCCTACCCATAGCTTTGTAAATGTTCTCTTTGTTGACGTCTTCCAAATTACCATATTTGAACATACTTAACTTGCTGGGATCTGGACCTACACTGAAATGGCACTGGGAAATTGAATTATAAAGCTGATGTATAGGATTGGCTTCCTTCCTTGTTTGAAGAGTGTGCAGAAAACTGACCTGGCAGGGAGAAACAGGACACAGGTAATCTGTGGCATGTGATGACTTCATATTTCTCAAATTATTACCAGTGGTTGCAGGATACAAGATTCAGGAAGAGACAAAACATTGGGCGATCAAGACACTGTAGGATTTAGTCGCCAAGATTATAATTCTAATTGTAAGGAGTGCAGCATGAAACATCTGCCTTGAATTACCTGAGAGCACATACTCAGGAAAAAGAAAAACGTGAAGGCTTTCGATAACAAACATAACAAAATGGGCAGGAAAAAAGAAACCACGAAACCACTATGACAACTTTTAAGAAGGAGTCCATATCTTTTAATGTCCTTGAGACTATAGAAGTTAATATAGCAGACACTAGGTAGCTGTGCTTCAACATCAGAGAAAAAGTGGGCACAGTGGCCACTATGAGCCACAGAGACTGAGTACTAATTAGAGTGCTTTGACTTAACAGTCATCTTTAATGATGGCTAATTAATCATGGGATACTAAGTATTGGAATAGATTGATGCCCTACTAAGGTAATACACAGGATGTGGTATGTGTCTTAAAATATAGGCTCTATAGAGTTGTATTTCTCACAAAGCCCACAGGACAGCTGTGAAAACCAATAGATGGTGTTTAGAGTGACTGCCGTATGATTATACCTAATAAATGACTTAAATAATTTGTGACCTTGGGCTCGGTGAATTAGAAGGTCATAAAACTCAGGACAGGAAGATTTTCACAAAGAAATGCAATCACTATTTTTGTTCTCTCATTTCGCTAAACCAGTATCTAGAGAAAGAGATATTGGCTAAGGATATTTATTTCAATTTCCAAGAGGAATTTGGGCCTTGATAGTTAATGAGGGCAAGGAAGACTATACCTGGAAACCAAGAGATTCATTGAGGCATTTGTTAGTATTCCCTTAGCCAAGAGTTTTTGTCAAAAAAAAAAAAAATGTCAACTCAGTAAAAACAAGTCATTAAGAATTTGTATCATGTAGGAGTGGATCTGTGGTTCACGTCACTCTTTAAAGAACCCTGACTAGCTAAGGTCCTTATAGAAGGAAAGAGGTCAATGGAACACATATAAAATATCCTGAGAGTCATTATCAATTTTTGCCTTACAACCAGCAGAGAAGCAGGTTTTATAACAACAATGACTTATGTAAATTTATCATTTTATTTCCGCTTCTATAACACTTTATATAAAATGCACAGATGATAGTCACCATGATACATATCAGGCAAGAATATGACGAATGAAACTAATAATTATGTAGTAGTTAACAAGTGCCAATCTGTGGAAGTGTGTGTGTGTGTGTGCATGTGTGCTACATTGTTGTGGAAACCTTTTTGAGAGGATCTGGTAAAATATCAGTAGTACATGTGAAGGGCAGAAGGAATGGTTTTTGATATATTCTCCTATCCGCCCTTCCAAATCCATTTTTCACCTTGATTATGCCTCTCCAAGCTAATCTTTATATATTGCATCAGCATTTCCTTTGATGCCTGCCTTCTGGTTAGATTTGTTAAATGGAAGGCAACTGTAGGAGATTAGACTTAAAAACAGAGTAAGATCAGAATATTTATTATCCCTGTTTACTTTCTGGGGGACTACAGTTGTGTTCTTCAACCAAAGGCCACAACTCCTGTTGGACAGCATGATGATAGTTCTTCTGAATTCTGGTAACCTTGCATAGGTGGTTAGTAGCAGTTCTTTACTTTTGATAGCCCTAAGATTTTTCATTGTTGATTTCCAGTAACCTTTCACACAACTTTTGTGGGTTTCCAGTAATCCTTCACCTTTCTGTGAATAGCTCTTCATTGAAATCTACTACCTTGAGCGATGACACTGACATAACACAGTGTCAAAAAAGTGAAAATTCACAGACCACCTATTGAAATAATGAGAAAAATAAGTTTTTATCTGCCTAGATTTGGTTTCCTTAGATCATCACCTGCATTTTACCTTTCTAAGTCTTTTATTTACTTTTAAATTAAAAATTAAGAAATGGTATGTACAGAAGAGTGTGAAACGATATGAAATTATAAAGTAAAAAATGCAAGTTCCATTTAATCACCTACACTCTCACTAATGACACCCCACTTCACCCTGACATTTCTTGTATGCAGAAAAAACTATTGTTATTTTAGCCTTTCAGATTTTTTCTCTATGCATGATTTCTGTTGCTGGGTAACAATTTACCAAAAACTTAGCGGCTTGAAACACCCCCTTTCTCTAGGTCAGCAGTCTAGGTCTGAGTTTCCATTCATGGTTTCAAGATAAATAATGAAACCAAGGTGTCAGCCAGGCTGTATTCTCCCCTGGAGGCTTAAATAGGGATGAATCTGACTGCAGGATTCCTCTGGTTGTTGGCAGGCAGAATTTATCACCTTATAGGTATGGAATTCATAGAGTCTTGCTTCTTCAAAGCCAATAATGAAGAGAGAAAGAGAAAGAGGGAGTTGGAGAGAAACAGAGAGGGAGGGAAGGAGAGAGAGAGAGAGAGAGAAAGAGAGAGAGAGAGAGAGAGAGAGAGAATATCCATGGCTCTGAATCACTGAACTCTAGAACCTCTTCAAAAGATTTCACCTGATTATGTCAGGCTCATGAAGGAAAATCTAGTTTTGATTATCTTAAAGTCACAGTTGGACATTTCCTTAGGTTTCTTTAGGTTGCATAAAATTGTTTGTTACTCAAGTAATTCATGGAATTACTGAGTAATTTAAATTTTAGGAAATTTTAGAAAATTTTCTTTAATGAGACCAACATGTTTTTAAACTGTCCTTAAAAGGTCAATATCATTAAAATGGTCATACTGCCCAAAACAATTTTACAAATTCAATGCTACTCCTATCAAAATACCAATGCCATTTTTTACAGAATTAGAAAAAACTATTCTAAAACTTATATAGAATGACAAAAGAACTTGAATAGACAAAGCAATCCTAAGCCAGAAGAACAAAGCCCAAGGCATTACATAACCCAACTTCAAACTATACTGTAAGGCTACAGTAACCCAAACAGCCTGGTACTGGTACAAAAATAGACAGGCCAATGAAACAGAACAGAAAACCCAGAAATAAAGCCACACAGCTACAATGATCCAATCTTTGACAAAGTCAACAAAAATAAACAGTGAAGGAAAGGACTTATTCAGTAAACGGTGCTAGCCATTTGCAGAAGAATAAAGCTGGACCCCTACCTTTCACCATGTATAAAAATTAACTTAAGGTGTACTAAAGATACAAATGTAAGACCTCAAACTATAAAAATCTTGGACGAAAACCTAGGAAATATCCTTCTTGACGTCAGCTTTGGCAAAGAATTTATGGCTAAGTCCCCGAAAGCAATGGAAACAAAACAGAAATTGACAAGTGGGACCTAGTTAAGCTAAAGAGCTTCTGCAAAGCAAAAGAAACTATCAATTGAATAAAAAGGCAACCTACAGAATGGGAAAAAATTCACAAAATATGCATCTAACAAAAGCCTAATATGCAGAATGCAAGGAACTTAAATCAACCAGCAAAACACAAATAATCCAGTTTAAAAATAGGCAAAGGACATGATCAGACACTTCTCAAAAGAAGACATACAAACTGCAAACATATAAACTAAATGCTCATCATCACTGTATCATCAGAGAAATGCAAATCAAAACCACATTGAGATACTGTCTTATACTAGTCAGAATGGTGATTTTTTTAAAAGTCAAAAACTAACAGATGCTGGCAAGGCTGAGGAAAAAAGGAAATATTTATACACTGTTGGTGGGAATGCAAGTTAGTTCAGCCACTGTGGAAAGCAGTTTGGAGATATCTCAGAGAACTACCATTCGACTCAGCAATCCCATTACTCTGTATATACCAGAAGGAAAATGAATAGTTGTACAAAAAAGACACGTGCACTCATATGTTCATCGCAGTGCTATTCACAATAGCAAAGACACGGAATCAACCTAGGTGCCCATCAATGGTAAAAGAAAAAGAAAATGTGGTACATACACAACATAGAATAGTACGCAGCCATAAAAAATTCATGTCCTTTACAGCAAAATGGATGCAGCTGGAGGCCATTATCCTAAGCAAATATACATAAGAACAGAAACACAAATGTTGTCACTTATAAGTGGGAACTAAATATTGGGTACATGTACACATAAAGATGTGAATAATAGAAACTGAGGACTATGAGAAGTGGAAAGGAGGAAAGTGGCCTGGAGTGAAAAACTACCTATTGGGTACTATGCTCATCATCTGGGTGACAGGATTATCCATTTCTAAACCTCAACATCATACAACATACCCATGTAACAAACCCTTTGAATTTAAAATAAAAGATGAAAACACAAAAATTAAATAAAATGTCTTAATATATTTACTGAAGATAAACATGATTAATGTTATCTATCATCTGTCAGTTATTTCACTAAGTGTATATAGTGTCTTTTCACTTTTTAAAATATAATTGATATCATAAAACACACACCAAAAATTTATACTTCTATGCCAAGTATGGATATATATACTCACTTTTAATAGCTATACAGTATCATATTATATGGACGGGCTATAATTTTTATATCCACTCTCCTAATGTGTGGAAATATTGACTTTTAATACTTTCTTTTCTAGCCAATGCTAATGTGTGTTTTTTATACTTATTTCCTTAGGATAAATTTTTTAACATTATTCACACACTTAATACCATTGAGTTATTACCTAAATTGCCAAATTTCTATTTAGAAAGATTATGCCAGTTTGAACCCATAAACAATATGTAGTAAGTTCATTATTCAAAATTCGCTAATTTTTTGCCAATCTAACGATAAAAATCATATCTTATTTGTTTATATCTTTTTAATGCTGTTTGAATATTTTTCTTAAATTAGGAGATTTGCTTATCTTCTTTATTTAGTGTCTCTATTATCCTAATTAACTTTTGTATAGGAAAAACAAATATTTATTGACTTGGAAAGCATGTAAATATTAATAATCAAAATTTTGGTCATAATTTTGCAAATATGTTTTCCTGTTTGGGTATATCATTTTACTGTTTTAAAACTATTTCTGTTTTTTCATTATTATTTGTGGCTTTTATTGTATGGATGATTTTGGTCAGAGTTAATTTGCATGTAGTTAAGAGTTTTTTTACATTTTTTCCTTTCATTTTATAGTTAAAAATTCTCTGCAAAAATTATGTAGTCACATATTATTTTCCTAGTTAGTAATTATGAGTTTTTCTTTTTCTGGTGTTAAAATAATCCTTAGAAACATACTTTAAAAACACAAAATAGCTGATTATTTTGTTCTTCCACACTAGAAATATATGAATATATACATACATACACACATACCTTCATGTTTCTGTATGTGTGTATATATTCAGCTTTCACTCATAGTGATAAACCCTAATTTGTTTCTAAATTTTTATGTCATATAGAAATTTGTCTTAGCTTTATATATATATAATTTATCTATCAATAAATATACACTCATTTTATTATGTTCTAAATATTGATCTTTGTTCATCTAACAATACCTGTTGGGCATTTTTCTATGTGAATGCATAGGACACAAACTATTTTTAGTGACTGTATAGTTATGCGTCATCTAGCAATGGGAATAGGTTCTGAGAAATGCATAGTTAGGCAATCTCATCATTGTGTGAACATCCTAGAGTGTACTTATACAAACCTAGATTGTCTAGCCTACTACACACTTAGGCTATATGGTATAGTCTATTGCTCCTAGGCTACAAAGGTGTACAGTATGTTATTACACAAAGGACTGTAGGCAGTTGTCACACAGTGGTATTTGTGTATCTAAACGTATAAAAGGTACAGTTAAAATATAGTAAGAAAGATAAACAATGGTGCAGCTGTATAGGGCAGCTCCATTATAATCTTATGGAACCACCATCATATATACAATCTGTTGTTCACCAAAATGTCATTATGCAGTACATGACTATATACCATTTCTTATAATGCATATATCACAATTTGTCCATTCACCTATTGATTAATATTTAAATAGTTTCCAATTTTTTGCTACTGTATATTTATATGTACTAGTGGCTTTATTTTGACAAAATCAATTTCTAGAATGTTTATTTTGAAAAACATCTACAAATATGTATTAAAAACTACTAAAAGTTGCTATTTTGTAGTGCGATTATGACAGCATTTTTCTTCATGCATTATATATTTTATTATTCATATTCTTTATATTTTACTATTTACAAGTGGATTTTTCTGCAAATGAAAAAGAATATTTGTTTAAAATTATGGAGGATCTCCAAGTAAATACAGTGATTCAACATGTATATTGAAAAAACCTCTTCCTCAATGTCCTTTTAAAGAAAAGAAAAGAGACTTTTCTTAAATTCAGGAATGCACAATGATGAAGAGAACAGACAAGACAAGAGCAAGAAAAGAATAATTGGGAAAGATGGAAGGCATGCCAAAGCATAACATAACTGATTTAGAAAATCTGATACAGCCAAATTATATATCAGAAATGGGAAAAGCTAAGGAACAACAAAATTTAGTTGACAGATCCCTCAAAAGACTTAGAGATGGGTAGCATCTCCTCCTACAAGGAGGGCATTATGATTGTATGTGTGTGTGCATGTGTGTGTGAGTGTGTGCATGTGTGCCCATACGTAAATAAAAGTGGAGACTTGGTTTAACAGGTCCAACATCTACCATACTCACAGAGAGTCTGATCCCCCCCCCCCCCCCGCTCTCCCATAGAGATTTAGTTCACTGTTACAGTAAAAGTAGTGTCTGGAGTGATGGATATCATGAATAATTTAGAGTGGTGATACTGTACTGAAATCAGGTTGTTATATGAATATCTGAATAATGTGTGTTGAGGTTTCCTAGTTTCTCAGAATTTAGTTACCTAAGCCTAAACTGTTAGGGAAAAAATAAAAAAAAAATCTTTCTCCTGGAAATTTGAACAGACCAAAATAAAAGGGATAAAGATACTAACAATGGGGGAATCCAATGAAGCTTACGTAGGTCTTTGTCCCAAGCCTCCAGATAAGACGTCATTGTCTTAAGAAATTTATACTGGCCTGTGACATCCTGAGTATAAAGCCTAGTTGAGCTGCCTGACCTCATGGAACTATTGTTTTAAGCCACTATGTGACAATCTGTTAAGTGGTGATACAAAAGTCATTCATGAAAGGTCATAAAATGATTTCCTCCAGTATCCTTCCTTAGAAAGTTTCTGAAAACTGTGCACTACCTAAACGAGGCTGAACCAGATTCAGGTTTCAACAAGGTTGAAGTCAAGAAAGTAATGTACAAAAGGTGCATAAAATAAGAGATTCAAGACAAAAGGCAACAGAAGGAAATAGCCAAGATAATAAGTGAAGAGAGATGACAGGTAACAACTGTGTACCAGACTGGAGCAGAAGAGAAGGCCCCAGGAAAACTTTCCTCAGTTAGATTGATTTGATAGAATAATTCATGAATGAAGACATTGGGGAAAGATTTAGACAATTGTTAGAATGTTTAGCATTAAATAAGTGAAAAATACATCAAAAACTAAGCAACCTTCCTTCTCTGCATCCCTAAAAATAAGATAATTATTAACTCCAGAGGAAAAAAAAATTGAAGCAGGAAGTTTTTTCAATGGCCATAGTAAAATAGATGGTTCAGCTTGAGTAATGTTTTCATACTTACAACATGAATACTGAAATCAACAAAAATCAAAATTACAATTTAACTAGACTAGATATACGGGAAAAAGGGAGGCTACATGTGTTGGGGTGGTTTAGGGGCTTGAAAAGGGTTGAAAAAGACCTACCTTCTAATATTCTCTGGTAGGGGCAGTATATAATAGTATATAATGCTTAAAACTTAGAAAATAATCAAGGAGTAGCTAAATAGGTATATTATTTGGACATATACAGTTAAATTCTAGAATAAACGTCAAACAGAGTTGAAAGTGGTAGCCTCAGGTTAGAAGGGAATTTAGGATGTGTGAATTGCTACAAGGACCCTTGTAGAACTATTTTACCCCCAATTTATATTGTGTGCAAGTATAACTTTTAATAATAGTGAAAACCATAAATAATTATAAAAACAAGAAAATGTTTCATATAAAACAACAGATTTTATATGAATTTCATCAGTTTCCACTTCTCTCTATTTCGGTGTCCAACCCAGAATCTTATTTTCACACTGTGCATGTATCTTCTTGGTCTCCTGCAATATGTGACAGTTCCTCCTTCTTTCTTTGTATCGCATTACCTTGACACTTTTGAAGAGTATTGATCTACAGTTTTTTCCTTTATAATTAAAAACATCCCAGAAAGATAATCCTTGTAAAAAATATGTTTCTTTTCAAGTTGCAGCCCACTAAATTTAGCATCCATAATTTATTATTATCCTCTCTCATAATTTACCTATTTATTCAATAATGTATTGCTATCATTAAAACATGATTAAATACTGATAGCAATTAATGTATTGCTATCAGTGTGGATCCATATATGCTTCTATTATTCTATGGATTATAATAATTACTATCAGCATTTATCTTGCTATTCAAAATTTTCCGATTCTAGCCATGAGTAGCTCCTTAAGGTTGACTCATGTGTGCTTTCAACATGTTACCCGCTTTTTCTGAACATGTGCTTACTTTCTGACACAAGATGCTCTAGGCTCATGTTGTATTTTCCCTAAATCAGCCTTGAGTTCAACCATTCCTCCAAAGACGTTTTATCAGTCAGGGCTCTCCCAAGAAACGGAACTACTAAGATGTGTGTATATATGCATATAGAAGGATTTATTTTAAGAAATTGGCTCACACAATTATGGGAGCTGGCAAGTCCAAAAATCTGCATGGCAGGCCCACAGGCTAGAGACCCAGAGAAGAGTTCATATTGCAACTCAAGTCTGAAGGCAGTCTGCTTATAGAACTAGCCTTTTCCTCTGGGAACTTCAGTCTTTTTCTGTTAAGGTCTTCAACTGATTATATGAGGGCCCCTCACATTAAGGAAGATAACCTTTTTACACAAAGTGTACTGTTTAAATGCTAATCTCATTTTAAAAACACATTCATGACAACATCTGGACTGGTGCTTGACCAATTATCTGGGAACTATGGCCTAGACAAGTTGATACATAAAATTAACCATCACAGAGCCCCAGTTCCTCTTTTTGGATACCACTTACAAACCAGCACGTGGATGCTAGGTATGCTCACTGTTACTGGGAAATCAATGCCTCTCAGTGTACAGAGCTAAGAACATTTGTATAAATACTGTAAAGTATATGTATAAATACTCATCCACACAATTCTTTCTCTCCCTCAATCTCTCTCTTTCTTTATGTGTGTGTGTGTGTGTGTGTGTGTATGAGTTCTTACTTATACTTTTAATTCTAATTCAACATAACAAGACCCTCCTCTTTATTTGTAACTTTTTTCTACAACGCTGATAAAACAATATATGTGTGTAAAGTCATTTCAGAATTACTCACACTCTTATGAGAAACAAATTTCCTAACTGTATGACAGTATGTGTGTACAGTTTCTTGTGTCTTTAGCTTTAGAGTATCTGGTCAAAATATTTTTTTCCAATGTTATTTGGGTTAGCTCTTTTCTTCCCTTCTACCTTCAGTGTGATTATGTTATTCATCTGTAATGCATTTAGCTTCTTTTGTTCCTGTTTTTATTACCTTTCTGGTGGTAGGTCAATTTTTAATTTAACATTAAAAGACAATACTTACATAATGAAGAGTGAATTTTTAAATTTAAATTCCTATTAATTTTTTAAAACTCTGTATTAATCTTTAAGTATTAGTTAATGTCTTTCATTTTAGATTTTGGGTAAGCTCAGTCCCTCATGGGAAGATGGAGGGGAAGAAGCCATTGACCTTGCTCAGCATATAGATTTGTTCTCTCCTCTTCTAGAATTTGCCAGTTCTCTTGATGCTCACCCAGTACCTATAAAACTGTTATTTTTGTGAGTAAAAAGCAAGCCAAAGTGCTAGCATGTTGCTTGACACTGCCATGATAACTCTCAAGAATTGTGTAAGACATCTGGTTTGCTAAACTAATTTTGCATTAGTTTTTCTATCTAGTGAGAATTTTCCACAGAACATGGAAACTATATAAATGTACTTCCCAGAGATTACTCTAATTCAACAGTAATACTTGATCATGTTTTAAAAATTTTTATTGATATATAATATCCATATACATTTTTTGACAGTACATGCAACGTTTTGTTACATGCATAGAATGTATAATGATTAAGTCAGAGTATTTAGGACATCTACTACTTTGAGTATTTTTCATTTCTATGTGTTGGGAGCATTTCAAATCCTCTTGTCAAGATATTTTGAAATATACACTACATTGGTGCTCAGTATTGTCACCCTATTATGATCTTGAACATTAAAACTTATTCCTCCTAACTATATGTTCACTTGATAATATTAATTAAAATAGGTTTGTCTTCAGACAAATTGCAAGCATCATTTTTTCTACAGAAATCACATGAGTCTACTGTGTGATTCCCTGTTTGTGACATTCTAGAAAAGGCAAAAACTGTAAGGACAGAAAACGAGTCAGTATTTATTTAATAGGGTGAGGACTGACTTTAAGTGGGCATGAGGGAATTTTTTGTTAAAATGGAGGTTGTCTATATCTGGATATTAAAGACAGCTACATGAAAGCATACAATTGTCAAACCACATTAAACTGTATACTTTTAAATGGTTATCTTATGGTATTATATTTCAATTATAAAAACATGTTTAATCACAGAGAACAAGAGCCAAAGTATTATATATTGAAAGTAAGATTTAATGACAGCATTTATAAACATGTTGGAATATTAGATAATTCAATGATATGCAGTGAATGACCAAAAAGACTATTTTTATCTTAGGCTAATTTTCTTCTGCAGCTTCCTCACCTCTCTCAGCCTTCATAGAATTAGAGAGAGTTAGAACCTTGCTCTGGATTAGGCTTTGGCTTAAGGGAATGTTGTGGCTGGTTTGATCTTCCATCCAGACCACTAAAACTTTCTCCACATCAGCAGTAAGGCTGATCTGCTTTCTTATCATTTGTGTGTTCACTGGAGTAGCACTTTCAGCTTCCTTTAAGAACTTTTCCTTTGCATTCACAACTTAGCTAACTGGTACAAGAGGCCTTGCTTTCAGCCTCTCTTGGCTTTTGACATGCCTTCCTTCCTCGCTAAGCATAATCCTTTCTAGTTTTTGATTTAAAGTGAGATATGTGGTGACTCCTCTTTCCACTTGAAAACTTAGAGGCCATTGTAGGATTATGAATTGGCTTAATTTTAATATTGTTGTGTCACAGGAAATAAGGAGGCCCAAGGAGAGGGAGAGTGATGAGGGAATGGCTGGTGAGTGAAGTAGTCAAAACACACACAACCACAGGATTTATCCATTAAGTTTGCTTCTTTATAATGTCGTGATTCATGGCATCCCAAAACACTTACAATAATAAAAAAAATCACTGATCACGTATCACCATAGCAAATATAATAATAATGAAAACGTTTGAAATATTGCAAGAATTACAAAAATGTGACAATCAGAAATGAAGTGAGCATGTGCTGTTGGAAAAATAGCTTCCTATGGATTGGCTTATTTGAATAATTTTCCAGGCTCCAAAGCATAGGGCTATTCCTAGTTGTCTGAAACCTGGCCCCAGAGTGATTTGGGTTGGAGCATAGTGGCCACGAAGGTGAGAGCTCTTTAATGGAAATGGTGGGGGTATGGACTTCATTAGCTGCTAAAAAGAACTGAATCACCTGTAGCTAGAGACTCAACATTGGGTCAAGATACCATTTAGTTGAAACACAAACCAAAAAGCTCCATTACAGTCCTTATCCAGGTCTGTTAAATCAGAACCTGTGTTTTGAAAATACCTCCAGAAGATGCCAATGCACGTTCAGATTTGGGAAGCACTGCTTTAAACAATGCTTTTTCAAGAGCAGTTGAAACATTACAAATGTTTAATTCAGAAAAGAAGAAATTTTAGATGGATATGGAAAGTGAGTCAAAATATATTTTTAGGGACTTTGGGTGGGTCTAAATATATGAGGGCTCTCATAAGACATTTGATCCCATAGGAAAGAATAAGAAATATCAATTACAAGTTCAAAAACATAGATTTTGTTAAAATAAGATCCTGGTAAAGTGACTACATTATTTGAGGATCATCTTTATGGAAGAATTATATAACCTTATTCTGTTTGACTTAGCCATGAACACTCAACTTGTTCTGGCCAATGAAACGTGAAAGAAAAAGACATTTGTTATCTCCAGACAGAAACTATAAGAAGCAATGAATATTTTGCCATTTTCCCTTTCTTTGATTCTGGAATCACAGAAGTATATGTCAAGATAGAGCTTCCAATAGCCTATGTATCTCAGGAACTAAAATAAACAGAGTGTCTTGGCATACTGCAATAGATACATAGTGTAAGCCATAAACATTTTATTTTAAAAAACTTTTTGGGTTTCTTTGTTTGTTTTATGCCTCTGAAATTTGGAAGTTACTTGTTATTGGTGTAACATAACCTAAGGTGACCTGACAGATACGTGACAATGATGATAGAACTTTCTAAGATATGCAGCTTACAAAAATGCATTTTCTTCTGAGAAATAAGAATGAGGGTCTGCAACTAATTAAACACAGATTTAAATTGCAATCCCATTTCCATACCATTTATATTGGCTGGTATTTCATAGGTGTTTGATAAGTGTTATTTTTTATTCCATTAACGCAGTGGTTTGTAAATAGTCTTCTGGAGCTCCATATTTTTATGCTGGTGCCTGTGGGATCATGGTGTACCTCAAAGAGGATGGTGTGGGTATAGGCTTCAGGTCGGCAGTCTCCTATTCAATTCGTGCAACCCTACTTGAAAATTTTTACATATTACAGTGGCATTTAAATTTAGCTGACTAAAAATGTTCAAAAGGGCATGGAATGTAAAAAACAGTGCTCTACAGAATTGCTTGTGAATGAAAATGTTCTAAACATTTCAGTTAAGTATCATTGAGCACCATTGGTGACAATATGTCTCAGTTTTCTCAGGACAGTCCTAATTATTAATTAGTGATTTTTCCCTCTTTTACTCTCAAAAACTACCTAATTGGATAACAAATTATATGGCCACCCAAATAAAAAGCTCAGTACAATGACTACGAATAAATGATTATAACAATAAATAGTTAAAATGTACATGTCACAATATACTACAGATTTCTTTCCTTTGTTAAAAGTGATTCTTTGTCACCTGATGAGTCAATCAACCAGATGCACTTTAAAATTACATTTAAACTTTGAAATTCTATTACAGCATAAACAGAAATAACCTAGAGTAACACTCTGAAGAATGAGGAGACTGTCATTGCTAAGAAAAATACATTTTGATAACACCAAATATACGGAAGCCATGAGAAACAGACAATGCTAATGGAACATGATTTTAATATTTGAAAGCCTTATGTGGTTCTAAGAGATGAGATGTATATTATAAGAGTTCTATCAAGTTCAAAAGTCTTTAGAGTTGTAGGGAACAGTTAATTAACTTGGAGAACTTAAAAGCAACAAAATTAATATTACAACCAAGAACTATAGCCATCAGTTACCAGTTACATATAGTTTTACTTAAAAAACATAGGTTCTAAATCTAAGGCACGTGTTCAGCATCATCACTTCATCTTTCTGTAACAGAGTATGACAACTGTAAATAGGGTTCACCTATATCATCAGTGTTATAGTAAATTGTTCAACTGCATCCTAGCCAATCGTCCTGTTTCTTAAGTACTTAGAAACTCAAAGATGCAGGTCCAAAAACATTGCTTTAGGAAAGCAGCCCTTCACAGTATTTGGGCTTATATAATTGTGATTGCAGTGGTAAGCATTTGAAAACTTATGAAAATTTAGAATCACTCAAAATACAATTGACTCCAGGTTATTAATAATTTACATTAGGAAATATAAGTATAAATATTTACATTTCAACTATTTTAATTGTTTAAGACAATTTGACCTTTCAAGAAGATAATTTTAAAAAGTAACTCCAATCTCAAATGTATAATTGTAAATTGATATTTAATTTGAAGACTTCATTAATTTAGAAACAATATTGAAGGGTTTATGATAACTTAAAATTTTTAAAAGGTCTAGCATATTATGATTTTAAGAGTCACAAAAGTGCTTGAAAAGGTTTGTCACCCAGATAATGGGGAAAGTTAAAAAGGATATCAAGTATTGCAAAGTATCTGATTAGTAGAGAGACTAAATTCAGATGCCAGCATAAAGTTTAAGTGCCTCACACTGTTATTTAACTTGTGTTGGCCAATATAAACCAAATTTAGAAAATTCATCTTTCATGCCTAATATGTGAATGAAGAAAAACAAAAAAATTTTAAAGAAAATTCATCCTTTTATAAGCCTAACTGTTTGTGGGAAAAAGACAGTTACCAAAAGCAGTCATAAAATGACTGTGTGCATTTTCCTAAGTAGTCATATACCAATTCTGTTTCCTCATAATTTCCAGCCATGCTTTTCAGACGTATAAATGGCAGCATATGGCCACATAACAAAGTTTAAGAAACTAAGTATTATCATAAATTTCACAGAACACTAGCCTCTTATGAGCAATGGGAACTTGGGAATAAATCTAATCTTTGTGATAGAACAGTATCTCTACATTTCATTAATTGAAATAGATAATTTTCAAGACTTTTCAAACCATAAATGCAACCCAGTATGAAAAGTCTAAAGCTCAGGTCTAGAGTTCTTATCTGATGGAATGTTTAATCATGAAATCAATATTTTGAGAACAAAAATTCTAGTGAGCTGTGTGTGCCTGGGGAGAATATTTTCATGGCTTGTGATGCTACTTAATAAGTGAAAATCACTGAGACACAACCTGAGAAGGAAGTCTGTGAAATAAAACATTTAGCTGTTTTTACAAGATATTGGGCAATGCAAATTATGTTGTCTAACCACTGTGATTTTTTAAAGCTTGCTGATGCCTATGCAATGACTTGTCAGGGTGGTAAAACTCGTGGTGCTTTTTATCCTGAGTTCATTGATACCTGATTTCATTTTTTAAATCACTCTGCGTCAGCATTGAAAAAAGGTAAACAAAACTTTTACAAGATGAAATTTGAGGTGGAGAAAATAATGGCACATCATTTCCATTCCTGTCTTCTTTTATTTTATTTTCTTTTTTTTTTAAGGAAAGCATACAGACTGGAAGAACAGCCCTGTATGGGTCCTTAGAAGCATCTATAGTGCACTGGGCAGGAGTACTGACACTTTCCCATGTCTTGCACACAAGGTTTCTGTAATTCATTGTAATCACAGTTCCCCACATCCCTACTTGCTACAAAGTTCTACAGAGATGAAGCATTTTGGTTATGTCTAATGCTCTTAGAAAATGATTTTCTAATTCTAGAAAACACAGGAAAGCCACCAACAAAAAGACTTTTTTTTTCTTGAAACAGTAAAAATAACATGGTTTAAAAAATGAAAGAATAAATATGGGTAAACTCTGGTCAAACAAGATGTCACTTACTAAACAGAAAGATAGAAGAGGTAAGGAATTGATGCCTGGCTGGGTGCGGTGGCTCACGCCTGTAATCCCAGCACTTTGGGAGGCCAAGGCGGGCAGATCACAAGGTCAGGAGATCGAGACCACCCTGGCTAACACAGGGAAACCCCGTCTCTACTACAAATACAAAAAATCAGCCAGGCCTGGTGGCGAGCGCCTGTAGTCCCAGCTACTCGGGAGGCTGAGGCAAGAGAATGGCGTGAACCTGGGAGGAGGAGCTTGCAGTGAGCGGAGATTGTGCCACTGCACTCCAGCCTGGGAGACAGAGCGAGACTCTGTCTGAAAAAAAAAAAAAAAAAAAAAAAAAAAAAAAAGAATTGATGCCCCTAAGTATGTGTGACTGTGTTGACTTGGTGCAAGGGAAATGTACTGCTGATTCTCTCTCATCCTTCCCTTTTGGGGCTTCTCTCTTTTCTTTTACAATCCTTACTATCTCTGCTCTATGAATCTAGGTACCTACGCTTCCCTAGTGGGTAAGATGCACACAATGTGAGCAAATGTGAATCAACTCACTGAAAGCAGTTGTTTTGAGTCTCTCAATAAAATGTACGTCTGTTGGCATCTCATTGAATCTAGGCCCAGTTCACTTCTCTGAAAAGATAGCTAATTAGTCTAAGTATGATAGATATAGATACACGCCACCTGTCAGGAAAGAACTGCCATGCTGCAGGAATGTGATCAGCAGACAGCCATCAACATTCAGCTCCTTTATAATCAGCCTCTGCTTCAGAAAGTAGCCTTGCCAGAGGTCATGATTTTCCCTGGGCAGCCCACATTGGATAAATAAAAGGCTGGGACATAAAGGTACAGTCATTTCAGCTCAAAATAGGACAACTAGACAGGTAATACTTGCTCCTGATCTCTTCCCTCACATTGGCTGAATGTTTGACAGACATACATCAGAGTACGACTTCTTCCTCTAACCAATCTTTCTTTCTTTACCTTTCACAGGTATTAATCCCTAATAAATACTTTGCACCCAAAACTTCATCTTAGTGTATGGTGCTGGAGCTTTCCGAACTGTGACATCAACTAATTTCTTCTAAAGTGTTATTAGCAAATAGCAGCTTAATGTGCCACACCTCTGAGTACACTGTAGTTTAAGAAGAGACCCCTGAAAACACAATGCCTTTATCCAAAAATAGTCATTCTAAAATGCTAGGATTCTTGTAACTTGGTAGGCTAGAAATTTACATAATGCTTAGAGAGCAAAAAAAAAACCTTCCTAAAGTAATTTTAATGTATCTCATTAAAAGGCTACTTATTGTTCATTAACCATTTACCAACACAGCTAGAAAAAAAAAGCCACAGTTAATTCTACTAAAAATGGATAATTTCACTTTTGATAGTATACATAATTATTTTAAAACTAAAAATGTTTCAGGCACTGTATTAAATTCTGTAAATTTATTTTCACCAATTTATTCTTGGAGCAATCCCTTATGTAACTTTATAGATAAGAAAACCAAGGCTCAAAAAAGGTAGATAGATAGATGATAGATAGATAGAGAGATGGATAGATAGACAGATAGATAAAATGAAGATGCAAAGCAAAAGCACAAGTCAAAATATCAAAAGCCTATGACCCTAACTTTCTGAGTAAAAAGCAAAGGTGAAATTTGGGAAGGGGAAATAGTATAGGTTCTATCATTAGTGTTCATCCTATCACTGGCAGATCCAGAATTTTGGAGCAGAGACTCAGCAGAAAAAAAGAAGAGGAAAGGTTAGAGGCCTGAGATTATTTCAGGACTGATTCTTTTTGGGGGGAATTGCCTTAACCAATGTCAAATGCTGCAGGAAAATTTTGTATGAAGTTTGACATAAAACGCTATAAATAAAATATTTTAACTTGAGTTCCCTGTTTAGAAAGTAGAACTTTAAGAATATATTAAAAATCAATATATTCCTACCAAGGGTTTTGATAGCAACTGACTAAAAACACGAATAAAAGCTCAGCATTATCACATATTTATTGAGTCTCAACACTAGACAATACCATTTGAAGCACAAAGACATGTTATCTCGATAGCTGTTATTATTTACATGCAGTCAAGGTTTTCAGGTGTCTAATGATAAACTCCTAAAAGCAACCAACACACATCAGGAAGGTTACTTTGGCAACCATGACTAATCAACCACATGTACATTTTAGGATGACAGCCGACTGTCAGTGATAACACTTTTAGATTGACATAGGAGGAAAAATTGGCATTCTGACCATTAATAGAGTGGGAACACACTTAAGGTAGGCAGAAATAAATGCTGCAGTAGAATGTGTTCTAAAATTCTACTTACAAAAAAAATCATTATGGCTCAAATAACTCCATTAGTTTCCAGAGGATGTTTAATATTCTATCAGGGACTGAGCTTTCACAAGGTTGAAGCTTTAGTTGCCTACCATTATCTTTATCATAGTATTGTATGGTCACGCCCAATTGAATGTAGGTACACAGATATTTCAAATGGGGGCCTTCAGGGCACTAGAAAACTCTTAATGAACTGTTCCATGAATGCCTTTTCAATAAATAGATATAGAAGATACTATTCAAAAGTTGAAGCTTAATTCATTGATCTCATTTATTAGGTAGATGTGGAGAACTGAGAAAATGGGAATACTATGTGGTCTTGCTCATTCCCCTTCAACTATATCACATTGACATATCCAACTCCCTTGATTTTTAAGGCTGAGTTTAAGTTGGTGGTCTTCTGAGAAAGTTAATTGAAATGTCACTTTTTGTATAGACCAGACCAATACCCTACATACTGGCTTTCGTTCTGCAGGATAATTTAGTATGTAAATAATATGCTGAGCAGCAAACTGGAATCCTTTCCTATTATTTCAGTATGGATAGGCAGTTGGATTACAAACACCACACTATAATTAGCATATTTGCTCCAAAATAGTTCATTTATTTAGGATGAATACATGCAGACATAACATGACTCCAAAAAGGTGTACTGTGTATTTTTTGCATTAAATCATTGGACCCTACCAGAGATAGTGATCCATATAATGTAGCTTCTTTTGGCCTGACTTTAAAGATTGAGTGAAATACTCCATTTCCTTCTGCTTAAAGAACACTATAATACAATTTATGACATTATTTTGTAATTTTGTATCCTGGCTTGTCTCTTCTTTTGACTGAAAACTCTTTGAGAACAGCAATTCTATATGTATACATTTATATCTCCAGTATCTATCTCAAAGTAAATGTAAAAAAGTTTGCTGAATGTAAGAATAAAATAATATAAAACACGTATTAATTAGAATTACTCCCACTTAGTGGAGTGAACTGTTCCATGGCTTCTGATAGTCCTGATGTTCTGATGTTCCTGTTGGCTTCTGACAGTCCCTCTGATGTGTCTCAAGGTGTGCCTCACACAGCCTCTCGGTAAGCAGGGCTAGCTTATAAGTAAATAAACTGCAAGTGAAGGGGCAGTAACTATTCCCCCTCTCTTCCTTTCTCTCTTTCTCTCCCCCTCCCTTTCTCTTTTGTTCATAGACTCACACTCACTGTGAATTATACATTTTCCAATGTTGCCTTGAAACAATCTTACCTTTTGTAATTTTCTCTACCCAGACTCCTAATATAAGCCTCAGATCTAAGATATTGAATTTTCGATTCATCACAGTGGACTGGTGATTCCCCGTGTTCCTTGTCTTGATTGACTAATTCCTGAGAACTGGCTGATTGAGCCCCACCCAGGCTGTCTAATCCTAGCCAGATCTGCTTAAATTCTCTTATTAACATGATAAACAAGGATTTTTCTTAAATTTTGTGCATTGTCTTTATGCCAAGGAATATCTAGAAATTGGGCCAACTACATATGTTGTCTTCAAGAAAAGCTTACCAATCGCTTTAGGGAATCAAAATGTATAGGTACACTTCTCCATTGTGACCTTGTTTCCCATGTTTTTTCAGAGAGAAATATTTACTTTGCAGGTATCATTTAATTTTGTATTAAAAGTCCCATTGTTCTCAAGGCAAATATTCTACCCCTCCTTTGGATGAGCAAACTATGGCTTTGAAGTTTTGTTTGAACCAGCAAAACATAGAGCCTGGATAAAAATTCACATTTACTTTATCCTTGAGACTCCTCAAAGACTCTCCAAATAACAACTTATCTCAGAAAAAGAACTTAACAATTTTATGAATTCCACTTGGGTCACAAGAAGATGCTATGTTATTCATGCTGTTCTCAAATAAAAGGATGTTATGGTGATTTGAGAGGATTTATGTGTAGTAGCAACAATATAGTAGATTCCTGATAAGAATAAAAGGCTTTTGTCTATATTTTCAAGTGATTGTGATGTGAAAAAAAAAATGGAAAAGGCTTTTAGAAATGTTTATTTTAAAAAAATGGTGTATATCTTTGTCCCTGTCATTTTTATTGACACGATTTGTGTATATACAGGGACTCTGACATGAGTAGATATCTCATAGTTCATTTTAGGTCCCTCTTATATTGGAAGTTTATCTTTATATTTTTATTCATTATTTCATTTCTCCCAGAAATCTAGGCGGTTTCTTTTCTATGAAAAATATATTTTAATTTGATGAGCTAGGAAGCTATATCTTAATAGATCTCATGATAGACAGACATAATAAACATTTATTTAAATTGATGTTGCAAAGGCAAAATAAATGTCATTTTTAAAAAATTACGAGATGACCTTTTGAAACAAGGCTAATGCTCTCATACCAAAATGTATAAGTGATATAGAAAACATTACTTTTCATTTGTCATGATCTGCAACCACACACATGACATTTCTATTTGAAAAGGTCAGGAGGGATGACGTGATTGCTTACCAAGATTAACACTACAATTTAAATTAGATATTTTACGAGTGTATTATTGAAATTTTTTTAATGATCACTGGGAAAAATTGATTAATACATCAGAAAATTTCCCATTCTAAAATTATCATGGCCATGTGCAATCATCTAAAATAGAAGGTGGTAAAATGTTTGGTCTCAGAATTTTTCTTCTGGGTGCTATCTTGAGCTTGCATAAAAATATTTCTGACCCCGCTTCCACAGAACATATATGGCCCATGCTTTAGTTGTGCACCTTAACTTTTAAAATATGACAAATTCATCTTCTGATCTGTTGATTGTCAAAAATATATGGAGTTGAGATGGGCAAACTTTATTCTTAAGGCACCAATTAGTATATGTTTTAGATTTCATAGGTTACTCAACTCTGCAGTTACAGCATGAAAGCAGCTGTAGAAAATACACAAACAAATGTGTGTGGCCATGTTCCAACAGAACTTTATTTAGCAAACAGATGGTGGCTGGATGGGCTGAAGTTTGACTCCTAAAAGAATACCAGCATTTTACAGTTTTGAAACATAAAATTTCTTTGAAATCTTAATATGCAAATTACCAAATAATCTATTGTGAACAATATTACTCATGGGGCTTTCCTTGAAGGAGAAGCAGTCCTTCATTTCTTTCACCAATTACCCAAGCGTTTTGTGGAAAATAGTATTTCTATACAATATTCTTAGATTGGTTTGTAGTTAAAATGAGTTTGGCAAATACAGTAGCCCTCCCTTATCCACAGGATATGTGTTCAGTACTCCCAGTGGACGCCTGAAACTGTGTATAATGTCAAACCCTATATATGCTGTTTTCTCAGACACCTACAAACCTATGATAAAGTTTAACTCATTAATTAGTCACAGTGAGAGATGAACAACAATACATAATAATAAAATAGAACAGTTATAAAAATATACTATAATAAAAGTTATATGAATGTGGGCGCTCTGTCACTCGCTCTCACTCTCTTTCAAAATATTTTATTGTACTGTATCCACCTATTTTCTTTTTTAAATTTTTAATTTATTTTTTAACTGCCAAGTCAAAATTGCATGTATTTATGGTTTACAATATGATGCTTTGATACACGTATACATTGTGGAATGGCTAAATCAAGCTATTTAAATATGCATTACCTTACAGACGTAACTTTTGTGGCCAGAACACAAAATTTACTCTCTTAGCAATTTTCAAGTATGCAATATATTGTTATTAACCACAGTCACCATGATATACAATAGATCTCTTCAACTTATTCCTTCTCCGTTACTGAAATGTAACAAACCTGCCCGTTCTGCACATGTATCCTATTACTTGAAGTAAAATTTAAAAAAATAAAAATAAAATGCAGGTTCCTCCTGCCAAAAAATAAAAAAATAAAATAAAAAAGACAAATACTTCACGATCTAACTTATTATGTGGAATTTTTAAAAAATCAAACTCAGAAACAGAAAAATGATGGTTACCAGAGGCTAGGGTTTGGGGGATTGAGAGATTTTGGTCACCTATTTTCAAACTGTGATTGTGGGTAACTGCAATTACAGAAAGTGAAACCACAGATTAGTGGAGATTACTGTATTGGATTTAAAAAGCACAGTAAGTCTTTTCTGGAGCAGGATTTGTCCTAACTTTTAATACGATAAAATGTACCATGTATCTTCAAAAGGGGAAAGGAGAAATTTTCTACGCTTATTTTGTGTTTTAGCCGCTTCCTTTTTTTTAAAACAATATTTTTTTTCATGGATTGCTATCTGTGGGACACGGTTTGCAAGAAAATTACTTTTAGTTTAATTTGTGAGGTAGTGATTTGTTTTTTAATGATTTAAAACATTATTTTAGTGTTTTTTGGTTGTTTCTTTTTACAATTGGGAAGTATTCATATTAGTTCTTTAAAAAATTGTGTTACCTCACAATATATATGATTTAAATCTTTGCCTTTACGAAAGGTTTGAGGTTAAGATAAAATGGAGAAAGGTGAGATGACATTGTTGTCATCACACTCTTTATAAAAACTTCACAGGTAGAAGGGAAACTGTACGCGCCTGTAAAAGATCTCACAATTAGCACTTGCACACTATAATGTTGTTGGACATTTAATGCAATTTTCAGACACCTTTTCCACTGCTGCCTCCAAGTGAAAACAATTGTATCAATACTAAAAGTAATATAAATTAAAGTACACTCAGTAATATGTATATACATTTTTCTTTTCTTAATTCAATTCTCAAACTTTTAATTGCTATAATAATTTCAAACAGGCTTACTTCATATGGTAACTCTTTTGTTAACAATTTTTTATCAAAATAATTCCTGTAAAGATATACCACTTTTAGAGAGAAACTCTTCTTAAAATTTTATAATGGCATTTTTTGCAAAAGACACTGAAGAGTACAGTGTAAAATATGACATTCAATTAAAAGTTCAGGTTATAATAGATTCACACTTTTTAGGAACACAATCCACTTCATTCAGAGATTATTATATGGAACTAATGTAAAGTACATGCCATATTTGGATGAATCCACAACAATATGCTTTGCATACTTAATCAAGGATGTGGGATAAACAAGGATTATCTTCCTTAACTTCAGTTTCTTGCACAAGTATGTCATTTCCAAATATTTTGAAGCTCTCCTACTTTTATTTTTCTCTTACTGGTTTTCTGTCTTAAAAGTGATTTTCAGTGTATTTTAAATTCAGTATAACCAAAAGCTCCTGATTGAGAAAAATGATAAATAAAAGAGCAAAAATAAGACTGCACTTTCTGATAATACTCTCATATCCCTGTTCACCAACTACTAACCGCTGTCAGCCTATACCTTCCTCTTTGGAGATTACAACAAAGAGGCATCGTAATTATTCAAAGACTACATGCTTATGTTTAAATTATTCTTTACTACTTAGACAAACTCTTTCTCTTTTGCTCAAATGATATATATTTTTTTCTCTCTGTTAAAATTTCTTGAATTTCTTTGGCTATGATATAGTATATTATATTTTCTGAAACAATAATAAAAATATTTTCTGCAAATGGCTTTTATTCAGTAGCAGAAGGAATAATTAAAATTATTAAATTGAAAGGCCAGGTACAGTGGCTCACATCTGTAATTCCAGCACTTTGGGAGGCCAAGGTGGGCGGATCACTTGAGATCAGGAGTTCGAGACTAGCCTGGCCAACATAGTGAAACCCTGTCTCTACTAAAAATACAAAAATTAGCCAGGTGTGGTGGCACATGACTGTAATCCCAGCTACGTGGGAGGCCGAGACAGGAGAATCACTTGAACCTGGGAGGCAGAGTTTGCAGTGAGCAGAAATCGGGCCACTGCACTCCAGCCTCGGTGACAGAGCAAGACTCTGTATCAAAAAAAAATAAAATAAAATAAATAAATAACTAAATAAATAAATTGAAGGAGAATATAATATATTGCATTTTTGTTAAGGTCGGCCAAATATTCCCAGTTAGTTTTAAGTTCTTAGAATGTAGAAATTATGTCTCATATGCCTTCTATATGACATAGTATTATGCTGGATACCTGGTATATTGATGGAATGGTTAAACTTTCTCAGGGAACAGCTGATTATGCTTTCCTATGGCACTTATTCCTTGAAGATTTTTATTTCGAAAAAACAATTTCTCTGAGAATGCTCCTTTATAATAAAGAGTTGCTGGGAATTACAGTAATAGAAATAAGGTGGAGAAAGCACACAATGTGTGCTCAGAGGACATGAGTATAAGTTCTGCCACTGTGGTTACTAGTAGTTTCACCATTAGCAATTTAGATCACTTTTCTGAGACTCATTTGTCTCATCTTTAACGTTATAATAATAGGCCCAATTTTTCAATATCATTGTGGAGATTAAGTGAAAACATGAATGTGCACATGTGGCAGGAACATCTAGTGAGCCTTCATGTTCTAAATGGGCAAAATGAACACAAATTAACAAATAGACGGAAAATAAAATGTCAAAGCATATAGCAAAGAGAAATTATCTTTAGCTAAGAGTGTCCAAGACAAAGGAGGTGGTATATGAACTGGAGGTTGCTTTGTTCTATCAGTTCGTTTCACACCTCTGTAAAGAACTACCTGAGACTGGGTAATTTCTAACGGAAAGAGTTTTAATTGACTCAGAGTTCTGCAAGGCGGGGGAGGCCTCAGGAAACTTACAGTCATAGCAGAAGGCAAAGGGGAAGTAAGGCATATCTTACACGGTGGCAGGATGGGAGGGAAGTACTACACTTTTAAACCATTAGCTCTCATGAGAACTCACTCACTAACACGAGAACAGCATGGGGGAAACCGCCCTGATGAACCAATCACCTCCCACCTGGTCCTGCCCCTATACATGGGAATTACAATTTGAGCTAAGATTTGGGTGGGGCCACAGAACCAAACCAGATCCTTTGTGGAATGTTGAAAGTAGAACACAGTGGAACGCATTTCAGGTGAAAGGGGATATGTTAATAAAGGTCAAAGTGTAGTGAGTAGAAGGAAAGTTACATCAGGGAAGAGAAAGTAGGCATCTTTGGCAAATGATGGGAAACTTGCTTTGAAGAAAGCTATAAAGGCAAATTGACATAGATCTGAGTGGACACTAGTACTACACTAAGAATTTTAGATTTATTTTTGGAAATTGGTACAAACTTTGGGTGGTGGACTCTCTAGGACATATGAATTACTGGATAAACATTAATGGAAGATGAAGGTGGAATACAGATAATTTCAAGATTGCCTGAAATGTGATGCCGATAGCAGGAAAGAGAGAGAACAGGAATGGGGCAGACAGATTTCAATTCCAGAACTCGAAAACAAAGATTAATATAGAACATTATAAACATATTCAGGAAATCAAATAAATTTAAAGACACATAAATTTGGTAGAGTCGTACATTAACACCTGACTGTGTTTGAGTTGACTGGGATTCTTTAATCATGAACCCATTTTGTGATTTCAAGTTTATTTCCCAATGAGATAGGAATTTTAAAAAAAGCAAAATTAAGCCTTTGGTTGGATGTTGATTTTAGGAGCTATGGTAAATAACTATCTATTGTGTTCACCTCATTTCATTTTGCTAATTGCAATAGGATAAGAGCAGCTTTAAATTTCTACCTCTCAAATAAGAAACCATAAGATTGCACAGAAGAATTCTCATATCGTTTAGTTCAAGTTCTTTGTTTTACGGAGGTCCAGATGACTGAAGTATACTGAGCAAGCTCTTCAAAAGCGGGTTTGCTAATCTTTTTAAAACATGGTTTAAAACTTTCTTATTTTATTGTAGAAAACGTCACAGTATATGACAATAAAGAACAGAAAATAATTAACATTAAGACAATTCAGGAATTCTACCTACCTTCCCAGTGATCCCTTAGACAGGCTTTTAATGCTTTACCTAGGGCCTAAAATGTTTACAAATTTGCTAAAAGACCTAGGTTAAAAATGGATTAATTTCTAGAGACTGAAATTCCAAAGAAAGAAAACCAGGAAAAAAAATAAATCTAAATCACAACAACAACAAAAAGAAAAATCAGCACATGACTTTTGTTCTTAAAATAATTTTTAAGATTATGTTTGCTAAATGTACTATTAAGCCAAGTAAAAGAAATCAATGTAAAAAATCTAGAAGTAAAACAGAAGGCTTATGAATCACATCACTACATCAAGAATATTTCTTTTTCAGCATTGTATTTTTTGCACATATGGAAAAGAGAAAAACAAATATGAAAATGTAAATCTAAGAGTTACCAAGTAAATATCTCGGTTTCACCATAAGTGATATATAAGATGTATATCCTTTTAAAGTGTTTGACTTTTCAACTTTTTTAATGTATTTAAAAAATTAAAAAAATATGAAAGACTGGGTCCAGATATGCAATGATACTAATAGTGATAAAAATATATATTGAACAATGTCAGATATATTCATTTAGTTCCATGTGTATCAATTAAAAAAATCATATCTCTCCTTGAAAAATATAGAAATATTACTAACCTTCCTTTTATATTTTGGAAAATTTGTTTATTTCTAATTCCCTAAGTACTTTTCTTTTTATTCAGATCAAACACTCTTCTCTGAATCTTTTTCCTCCTTGAAGCATTTGGATATAAGTCTGTAGAAGGCAGTTTTTTCAGGGGTGACTTACTTGATGAAACACAAAAGAGGACAACTGTCCCCACTAAAAGATAATACCTGAAACAGGTCAAGCATTTTATGCAGATTGTGACTTGGAGCACCCATTCAATAAGAACAACAACAAAATAACACTACCATGATTTCAAAGCAAGCTTGAGAGGTTGGCAGTAAGACAGTAGCATCAGCAATATAGTATGTGAAGCAAACCACACTTCCCCAGAAACTATTTAAAATTAAAATTATAAAAAGCATGACTTAAAATAATTTCCAAGTTCTTTATGAAGCAGTTAGCTAGAGACAATGCATCGCATCAAATGCCTATATCAATAAAACTTAACATAATTTGATTATAAAACATAATTTAAAAATATAAAAAAAATTCAACAGAATAGGTTGAAAGAAAGCAGAAGGAAGTAATGACAAAAATAAAAGCAAAATTTAATAAGGTATAAATCGGCAAAGTAACAATTCCAGAAGCTGCCTCTTAAAAAACAAAACACTTAGCTACCCTAATTAAAAAGTGAAAGAGAAGAAAGTGCTAATACCAATATTTGAAATTATAAGGTAAAATGTCATGTAAAAAAAGAAATTTTATAAAAACATAGAAAACAACTTTTCTAACAATTTGCAAATGTGCTTGAAAATCCAAGAAATTAATAATTTTGTAGGAAAATAAAATTTACCAAATTGTCTTCAGTAGAGGCAGAGTCTTAAAAAATTCTCAAAAAGAGAAGAAATAATGAATATAGTCAAAAAGTCTCTCCATATTATATTTTTCTAGAACAAATCAACAAAACTATTCAAGAATAGACAATCTCAAACTATCCACATCACAGAAAAGGAAAGAACTATCTAATCATTTCCATGAAGTGAGCATGACTTTAATTTGAAAATATGACAAATATTTCACAAAAAAATCTTAAATTCTAATTTAAAATATAAAATCTGATTTTTGATTATAATACTGTAAAAATATTGCAATTTTAGCATTAAAATATTAAATAATTTTAAATAGCAAAAAGAATAAAATAATTATGTTTAATAATCAAGAATGAAAGGGTGTTTTAATATTATGAAATATATTAATATAATGAATTATATTAAAGAAATACAGGGATAAGCATATTGCTATTTCCATGGTGTCTATCTATCATTATGTATCAAACTACTTCAAAACTTACAAAACAACCAATTTATTATCTCATGATTGTGTGGGTCAGAAATATAGTGCAGGACTTTGTTGGAGAATATATCAATTCTTCATATCATTGACTATGATCACTCAGAGTATTCATCTCATATCTGGGCTGGTCTGGAAGATATTATGACAATTTCACTCATATAACTGGTATATTGCCATAAAGAAGATTGACAGCGAATCACCCGGGTGCCATTCATTTCCTGTACCTCTCTAGGCATTCTCCCCAGGAAAGTAACTACATTTTCTTCACTGTGGCTTAGAACTGCCATCCTCTAAAATACTAAGCCTAGAAACTGATAAAACATTATTTCTATTGTAATCAATTAGCCAAAGCAGTCATATAATAGTTTAGGTTCAAAGGAAGGGAGCTTAGACCCCACGTCATTAAAGAAAACCAAATATTTGTCATCATTTTTATTTCCTGCAGAGGTAGACTATGCATTTAAAAATAATAACAGAAATTTAACAAGAGTTTTAAAAAATAACTGTGTTAAAGTTAGGAATTAGACATAGATGCTGCCATCTTCACTATTACTGTATTACTCTATTAGCCAATACAATAGGCAAAAGAAAGCAAGTAGAGTCCTAATAATTAAAACAAATATATTTATTTGAAAATTATATTGTTATAGGTGGAAAATTTAAAAGAATATGTGGAAAAACTAAAATCAGCAAGAGAATTTAATGAATTCATTTATAAGATCAACATACAAATATTAATAGCCCTCATGTATATTAAAAAAAACAGAATACATAATGAAGAGCAGACCCCATTTGCAATGGCAAAAATTTTTAGAGGTAAGATAAAATGTCATGTATACATTGAAAAAATCTAAAACTTACAAAAAGAAACTCTAAAATATTGAAAAAACATACACAAGATAATACATTTTGTAAAATGAAAAAAATTACCATTTTTTTGACAAAAGACTTAAAGTTATAAAGATGTTAAACATTCTCCACATTAACTTATAATAAATATATATAATTATAGTTTATTATTTATAAATTTTGTTCTCTAAATTAAAAACATCACTGTGTTTCTTATTTACTACAGCAAAACAAAGTGATTATTAGGTTCACGTGGAGGAACAACCAAGGCAAGAATAGCTAGAAAAATACTGCAAAAAAAGAACAACAATGAGAAGGGAGAAGGTCTTACCACTATTCAAACACTGTGACATGGTATATAAAGGAACAGAATAGAAATCCAGATATTGATTCAATTTTGTATGGAAATAAATCATAAAAAGGCAACATGTTAAATAAATAGTAAAAAAGAATTACTTTAAGTTGTTCTGTGATAAACAACTATTTTTAAAAAAACTAATAATATACAAATGTCTGAAAGCTTAAAATTATACCAAAACAAAAAGATAGCAGAAAAATTATTCTTTTTTATATTACACACAAGAATATATTCTCAATGGATTGAGAATATGAATGTAAAAATTAAAGCAGAGATTTTCTTTTTAGTACCTCATTGAAATCTCCTAGTATAAAACACACCAGGAAAAACAACTGAGAAAAATTGTTTAGGAAAGTATCATAGGCAGTAGATAGTATAACACACAGATCACTGAAAGAAGACAATATTACAAATGGGCATCATAACTGCCTAGGAAAAGTTACATAGCTGCAGCACAGTGAGCTGGATGCCAGGCTCAGAGCCTGTTGTTCCTGTAGAGCTGCAAAAGCAGTCATAGGGTTTGGGGGAGCTAACATAGCTCTAATCTATCGGGAACAAAGTGGAGAGGAGGACACTGGATGTGTGAGGGTCTGAGAACTGTATGTGAAGGGTCTTCATGAAACCTTGAGCAAGGGTTGTGCTGAGCACATGCAAGGTACAACTAAATGAGGCTTACTAGGAAGTATCTGCTATTGGGATGGGATTGGAAATATCAGAGATCTAATTCAACTGAGACTTTGTTAACATGTTAACATCACAGACATCTAAATGAAATACCAGAAGGCTGTACCTTAGAAGTATGAACCACACCCTACAATAGGGCCTACTCTAGATCCTCCTTAAACACACACACACCCATACACACACACACACACACACACACACACACACACACTTATGGAAGAAAAAAAAAAACTTCTGGTAAAATGTTATGGGGAGAAAATGGTTGGGAATCCTCTAAAGTTAAAGGATATTAGAGAAAACACTATTTCTACACTTCTACCCTTTAAAAAGCTCAAAGACAAGGCTACACAAGTTTAAGGCGACATGCCAAAAACTGAAATACCTATTAAAGCAAAAATAAATGTACTTCAGAGAAAGTTACTAGAATCTAGAATCTCCACAAATCAAGAATGCCCAATATACCATAAAATATGGCAAGACATGCAAATAAACAGGAAAATGTGACACTCATCAAGAACAAAAGCAGTCAACAGAAATGGACCCTAAGATATCTGAAATATATTTAGCTGATAAAGATCTAAAAACGTGTTATAAAAAGGTTTAAAGAAGTAAAAAAAAATAAAGAAAAAATTAAATATAATCTTAATGAGTGAATTAATAAGGGTCCTAGGCAGAGAAATAGTACCTATAAAAATGAACCAAATAAAATAAATTCAGAATGAAAAACTATAATACATTTTTAAAAATTCACTGGATAAGATTAATAGTACGTTGGAGATGACAGAAGAGTAAGTAAACTTTGAGATCAACAAAATGATCGAATGTGTCAACAAAGAATTCAATCCTGTACTCACTGAAAGTTTTCTTTAAAAATGAGGGTGATGGGATTTTTTTCAGACAAATTAAAGTTGTATACTTGCACTACAAGAAATGCTAAAGCATGTTCTTCAGATTGAAGGGAGGTGATACCAGGTAGAATCTCGATCTACAGGGGAAATAAAAGAAGAGCATATAAAATAGTAAATAAGAAGGTAAATGTTGATGATATTGCTTTTATCTTATCATAATTTTCCTAAAAGGCAATAAAATAGCTCCATATATCTGAGTGTACAATATATAGAGAAGTAGAAAATACAACAAAAAGCAAAAAGACAGAGATATTCGGGTAAATGGAAAGACACTTGACATTGTTGAATATAGGAGTAAAAAATAGAAAGTAGCAAATTGAAGTGCTAGGTAGAAAGTGTGAAGGGTCAAGTGTGAAATGAAGAAAAGACATAATGTACCTAGGGATAAACTTAAAAAGAAAAGCAGAAAGAGACAAAAAGCATCATTCTTTTGACTGCCTGATGTATGTGACTATTGCATTAGTCAAGTCTCTCCAGAGAAACAGAACCCACTGGATGTGTGTCTCTTTGTATATTTCTCTATCTTTCTCTTTCTCCTTGTCTCCTTTCTCTCTTTCTCCTTCTACACACACAGACACACACACACACACAAATATTTATTATGAGGAATTGGAATTGGATCATGTAATTACGGAAGCTTGCAATTCCAAAATAATGCAGTGTGGGGGACCAGGGAGAGCTGATGGTGCAGATCAAGTTCAAAGGTGGTAGGCTAGAGAATTTCTTCTTGCTCTGGAGGCCACGGTTTTTGTTCTGTTCAAACCTTCAACTAATTGGATGAGGCTCACTCACATTAAGGAGGGAATCTGCTTTATCCAGAGTTCACCAATTTAAATGTTAATCTCATCTAAAGACATCCTCCAAGCTGACATGTAAAATTAACCTTCACAACTATTTTCTTTAAGTTAATGCACTAAATTTATTACAATTCCAGTTAAAACACTGCTAGAATAATTGGAATTATATAAGCCAATATTAAAGTTCATATGGAAAATAAATAGCAAGAATTTCCAGGGAAATTCTAAAAATAGAGAGTAATTAGAGGTGACAATTTCTCCCAGATATAAAATATGTTTGGAAGACACCAGTGAGTTCCTGGTGAAAAATCTGGTAAACAAGTCAAAAATAGTATAGAAAAAATCTGAAAATTCATAGAAAATGAATAAAAATGTATCTTAATAAGAACAAGTCCCATCCTATCCACAATAAAATAAATGCATATAAAACTACATTGAGATATAATTTTTATCTATTACATTGAGAAAAAACAAATAACTGATAGCACAATACATTGGAAATGACGTAGGAAAATAGGCACTATTATGTATTGCAAATGATAATGCAAATTAGTAAAATTTCTACAAAAAGCAATTTAGCAACATTTATCAAAATCACAAATAAACATGCTATTTGACAAAGCAATTTCCCTCAGAAATGTATCATTCATATTTATTTAACATATATGCATTATCACTTGTAAAATCAATAGAAAACTAGAAAACTTAAGGTTCATTAATTGTTTAATAAATATGTTATATAAAACATAACACTATATGACTTTTTAAAAGACTAAGAAAAGTCTATATAAACTATATTCAAGATATATCAATTGAACAAAATAACAAAATGTAGACCAGTGCATAATATATTATTCTACCATTTGTTTGTATAAGGGAAAATAAATACATATACATTTACTTGTTGATGAATAGAATATCTATGAAAGAATGTATAAAAAAGTGATATTATGTGTTGCCTTTATGGGTGAATAAATGGTTGGACAGCAAAGGAGAGAAGATTTTCACTAAATTAATTTCTTGCACAAATAAATCTAAAATATTTAAATTATTAAAATGTTAAAATTAGAATATCTTATCAGCCTCATACTATGATGCGACTTGCAACTTCAACACATGGGCACATATGAAAATTATTTTTGTAGGCTCTAATGATTATGTATAGTATAGGTTTTTTTTTAATTTTTCAGTCTCCATTTTAATATTTTCCTTTGTTTTGTTCAGTTTGAATGTTTCCAATTAAATTTATGTAATTTCCTGTTCACAATCTTATTACTTACCTCTATTTTCTTAGTTTTTAAGTGTCTGTTTTGCTCATTAGTTCGATTTTCTGTTACCCTCAGTCAAGTTTATTTCTTACTGAATAGAAATGACGTGTCTTGTTTTATTTCTCATCTTTAGTAAGCACAATTGCCATCGGTTATCCCCCAACTCCTCAGCACCCCACCCAACCCCGGACCTCATCACCAGGGTTGTCCTTTAAGGTCTTTATACTTCAGTCTACCACAAGTCATGCATCAAATCCCTCTGGTAAATCATGTGATTGTCCCTCTGCATGGTCAAGGCAAACCTAGAATTTCTTCAGTAGTGCTGCTTTGAGAAAAGATTCATAAAATTATATAAACATTTTATAGTGTGTACTTAATAAGAATAGTCATCTATCTAAAATACATACAATCTAAAGTGATATCTATTGTTTCCTTTATCTGTTCTCCTGTTTTATTTCTTAATTATAATTCATTTAAACCAACATAGCCTAGTTATTTTTAGTTAGAGATGAATTTGCTTTGATGTGATTTTTTTTCTTTTTCTGCAATGAAGCTATGTCCAAAGAATGTACTTTTCTTTTCTGTCCCCTGGGTTGAAGCAATTCTTGTGCCTCAGCCTCCCAAGTAGCTGGGACTACAGGCACACGCCACCATGCCCAACTGATTTTTTGTATGTTTAGTAGAGACGGGGTTTCGCCATGTTAGCCAGGCTGGTCTTGAACTCCTGGCCTCAAGTAATCCACCTGCCTCAGCCTCCCAACATGCTGAAATTACAGGTGTGAACAACCACGCCTGGCCAGAAAGTACTTTTCGAGAAGTTTCATATAGATTCTTTTCCTGTTGCTTAGAAATAGATGGCAGTTATTCAGAGAACCAGAGAAACTAAAGTGTGTACATTTCCCAGTCAAAAAAAAATACGATAAAAATATTGACTATGAGCAGATATATTGTCTGGATTGTCTGTTAATTATCCGTGTTCACATGCAGTGAGTAATATTTGGCACATTTTTTTCTACATTCCTTATTTTCATCCAGAGTATAATTAATGTCTTAATATACCAGAAAGAAAAACCGCTGTCCTATATATTTTTGAAGGAATGAAAGCTGAAAACAGGGTGTGAAAATGATTTGTTTACCTTGGTCCAAAGCAAAATCTCTTTAATTTTTCCAGCTGCATTGCTGCAGTAATTTGAAAGCCTGAGCATATCTCCCAGTATCATTGAAACAAAACTGGAATTAAGATACAACCCACTCAATCCATATCATAAAGTAGTCAAGGAAATGCTGATGATGGTTGAACCATTGAGAGTTGGTTGAATTTTATGAATTAATGGCATATATATCATCAACAATTATGCAGATAATAAACTGATTCTGTTATGCTTAAACAAAAAAAGGGGCTTGCCCTAAAAATATGCCATTTGAGATATTATCTTTTCTTTTACTTCGTGCCTAAAACACGGATATAGGTGGGAAAAAGAAGAAGACTGTCACACTGATACAGAAGCGGGCAGGGAAGTGTTGGGTAGAGAAAGGCAGGTCCCCTGGCTAGGGTTCCACCCCTGGGCCTATACCCACAGACCTAGGTGAGGACAGGCACTCCTGCCTTCATGCCCAAATGTTGCATTTTCCAAGACCACCCTGCTTGCCATGCCCCCATCCTGTGCCTATGGAAACCCCAAGACCCTAGCGGGCAGAGACATGAGCAGCTGGACATCCAGAGGAACACATCAACTAAAGAAGACACAAGGGGCTGGATGTCAGAGCATGTTAGCAGAAGAGCACACCAACAGGCCCGAAGGCCATCGACTGGTGGAATGATGCATACTTTGACCAGGGTGGTCAGACGAGAGTTCGTGCTGCTGAGCGGCCCAACTCCAGGGGAAAACCATCTCCCTTCTGGCTGCCCCATCTGCTGAGAGCTACTGTCACTCAATACAACTTTGAACTCATTCTCCAAGCCCATGTGTGATCTGATTCTTCTGGTACACCAAGGCAAGAAACCCTGGGATACAGAAAGCCTTGTCCTTGTGATAAGACAGGTGGTCTAATCGAGCTGACTAACACAAGCCAACTATGGGTGGCTAAACTAAAAGAGTACCCTATAACACACGCTCACTGGGGCTTCAGAAGCTATAATTCACCCCTGCACGCCCCCATGGGGTCAGAGCCCCACAGCCTTACCCATTTGCATGCTCCACGCAGAGGTTTGAGCCACAGGGCACTGAAGAAGTAAGCCAGACCCCCACTGCATGCTCTATGAGGGGGATAAGAGAACTTTCAACACCAATAACCTAAAATGTGAAATGTGTGAGCTAGATGGACCACTTGGATTCTACAAAAGTGTAGTTTGAATACACCATTTTCTGGTTGACGTATGTTAATTTGAAACACTTGGCACTGCAAGGAAATCTTCACTTCCTGCAAGTGTCTCTGTTTTGAATATTCTGAGTAGCCTAGTACTGTCTTTATATCTTTCAGGAGAGTGTCTTGCTGTCTGTGTGTGTATTTGAGAGTGGAAGTGTGTGTTTGAGATGGGAAGAGGGCTAGGCCATCTAGTGATGGTTCTCTGGGATACCAACAAAGTAAATACTGAAAGAAAGGAAATCAGTGGAGCCAAAGGCCAAGGAGAACCTGAGGTCAGTGAAGTGAACATGTGTCTTACCTACAACCTAGCAATTCCAATTCTAGGGAGGTAACTAGGGACATTTTGACATAGGTACACAGGAGACCAGCACTAGAAATGTTCATGGCAGCATTTTTTGTAATACCTCAAAACATGCAAACAACCTAAATGTCATCACTATTAGAATAAACAATTTAGCATATATTCATTCAGCAAATACTATGCACAGTGAAAATGGATCCACAAGCTATATGTGTCAACTGTGATGAATCCTAAAAATGTAATATTAAGAATGAAGCACGGGGCCGGGCGTGGTGGCTCACGCCTGTAATCCCAGCTCTTTGGAAGGCTGAGGCAGGAGGATCACCTGAGGTTGGGAGTTCAAGACCACCCCGGCCAACATGGAGAAACCCTGTCTCTACTAAAAATACAAAGTTAGCTGGGCTGGCGCATGCCTGTAATCCCAGCTACTCAAGAGACTGAGGCAGGAGAATTGCTTGAACCCAGGAGGCAAAGGTTGCAGTAAGCCGAGATCGTGCCATTGCACTCCAGCCTGGGCAACAAGAGTGAAACTCAGTCTCAAAAAAAAAAAAAAAAAAAAAAGAATGAACCACTGTCAGGCACAGTAGCTTAACCCTGTAATCACAACACTTTGGGAGGTCAAGGTGGAAGGATTGCTTGAGGCCAGGAGTTTGAGACCAGACTGGGCAACATAGCCAGACCCTGTCTCTACAAAAATATTTTAAAAATTAGCCAGCTGTGGTGGCACATGCCTATAGTCCTACCTACTTGGTAAGCTGAGGCAGGAAGATTGCTTGAGCCCAGAAGTTTGAGGTTACAATAAGCCATGATTATACCACTGCACTCCCTGGGTGTCAGAGCAAGATCCTGTCTCAAAAAAAAAAAAAAGCAATTTAGATATAACTCAAAAGAAAGATTAATGTAAAATTAATTAGAATGACTGCTTTTGGAAAGAAATTGTAAGGAATATGATGAGGGAAGGGTAGAAAAAGGTTTTCAAAGTGCAGTAAATATTTGATTTTTTAACTTGGGTAGAGAAATGTTTGCTATATACAAAATGTAAATTGCGTACAAAATATAAAACACTGTTATTGGCTCTCTTTTATTGAATATTGTCACAGAAATTTTGTAACTTATTTTCCCAAAGCATCTGGTACTACTATTATTCCCTTTTATGTAGAAGCAACCTTAGGCACATATTAACCCAGCCAAGGTCACACAGAATAAATTATCCAAGATAGCATGGCTAGCAAGTTTCAGATCTGGGATTTAAACCGTGGTAATCTGAGTGCAGTGCAAATTTTACTCTCTATATAGTGCTACTGTACACATTTCCTTATCTAAGCACATGCATGATTTTAATGTGGCTAAAATCATATTAAATTCTGCATTTTATCTGTAACATTGCATTCAGGGATTGTCTGTCACCCATGCATTTTCTGTGTCAATGGGTATGGTTAAATACTCATTGAAAACCATATATTTTAATGGTTAATATTTTATCCTATAGTTGTGCCATACTTTATTTAAAGCCACCTAAGTGTTTATTTCCAATGTTTCAATATAATAGTTTCAAAAATATTCTTGAATATGTTCTTTCTTTTCAATAAAAAATACAAACGTAATTTTAAAACATTCTCATTGGTCTCTAAAAAGCCCATATCAACTGACATTTCCATTAGGTATTTATGAGAGAATTAGTATTTTGAAAATTGGACACATCATCATCATATAACATTGCTGCTTTCATCTGCATACATTTAATAAGCAAGGGGTTTGGATTTTTATGTGCATTTTGATAAATAATTTTATTTTTATAATATTTTAGTTTTCTTTATTTTTTTTTTCTTCTTTTTTGTTTTTTTTTTTTTTTTTTTTTAGAGGGAGGATCTCACTCTGTCACCCAGCTGGAGTGCAGAGACACCCTCACTGCAGATTTGAACTCCTGGGCTTAAGCAATCCTCCCATCTCTGCTTTCCAAGTAGCTAGAAACACAGGCTTGCCCCACCATGCCCAGCTTTCTTTTTTGCAATAGCTAAGTTAGTATTTGTTTTAGTGCCAGGTAAGATAATTTAGTATAAAAAAGATTATGGTTATTTGTCATGTTGGTCTAAAGGTTTTGTTATTCTACAGGTACCTTTTAATTTTATTTTTGACCTAAAATGTTTTAAAATTTTTCATGAGTGTGTGGCCTTAAAACTACTAATATGTTTAGGAAACTATTAATTTGTGTGGGAAATATATTTTGTGTTTTCTACCACAAAAATCATATACAAACACCATTTTTTCTTCTTTATATGTTTTAAAATTATTAATTATTATACCTGCATCTTATTTTTGGTCAGATATAATGCTACAGTCTGAAAGTTTGCCTTCCCCTCTCCCAAATTCATATGAAATTTTAATCCTTGAGGTGATGGTGGCATTAGGAGATTGGGCCTTTTGAGAGCTGGAGGGTAGAGGCCTTAGAATGAAATTAGTGCCCTTATAAAAGAGACACCCGAGAACTGACGTGCCCTTCCACCTTTTTGAGGGCAGTGAAAAGACTCCATTTATGAAACAGGAAATGAGCCCTCATCAGACACTGAATCTGCCGGCACATTGATCTTCGACTTCTGCCTTCAGAACCATGAAAGGTAAATTTCTGTTGTTTATAAGCCAGCCAGTCCATGGTACTTTGTTGTAGACACCCAAACAATCTAAGACAGATGAGTATATCACTTTTTTTTCCAAAATCGTTTCCTAATTTTCGGAAAGTTTTCAATATTTCTTGTATTTAATTAATTTGGAATATATATATATATATACTGCCATCCTTTTATTCTATCAATTCTTACACCGTTGATTTCTAAATCATTTACTTATCTATCAATGTTTGTACTAATACAACATTGTTTTTCAATATATACAAAAAGCAAATATCTTTACAATTCTATTTGAAAAAGATTTCTAGATTTCAATATTACTCTCTTCTCTACAAATTTAGTAGCAATATCAATTACTTGGACCATTGCAATGAAGTCCTGACTGGCTTATTCACTTCAGCAGTATCCTCCATTGTCAATATTTCACCTAGCAGCCAGGGTGATTCTTAAACATGTCAATCATATCATTTCACAGTTTAAATAATCTAATAGCTTCTTTTTGATTTTATAATTTAAAGTTTTCATGGATTATTCATTTCTACAGAATCTGGACACCCCATTTGGTCCCCAGTTTTGGCCTAATTCTCCATATCTCTCATTTTGTTTTAGCTACTTCAGCCTTCTTGATATTCTAGGGACAAATCAAGTATAATTCTCTCTATAGAAATATTATTGGAATTTTTGCATCATTTTCAATCTTAAAATGATGTTGGTATTAACTAAAAATAATATTGCCATTGCTTTCCAGTTTCTAAATAACAAAAATTATAAAACAACTTTATGTTTTTCAATAGCCTTACACATGGACTTAGATAAAAATTGAGCCTTTTGAACATGAAGAGTGGTGTCATATTGCTTGCTGATGAAAACATCTATATTGTAGCCTCTGGGTCAAAAATTGATCACAAAAATGTGATCTTCTAGGGAATTTGATAGTGACTGCAAGCTCATTTGATAAGCAGGGACTGGATAAGCCCAGGCACACGCTTCAGTTCAAGAGTCTTGGGGAAATTAGCTATATCCCATCCCTAACCCTCAATTTTATTGTAGCAAAAACTACAATGGAAAAACAACCAATTGTCACATCCTATCTGGGAAGGGCATTGTGTGGAATAAACAGAGAAGTCATTAGCTAGTCCAAGCACTTAGATTTTTTGTTTCTCTTTTTTAATCTTCAAGACAAACTGAAGACACAAAGAAGAGAAGTTATTATCAGGCTTTTTTTATAATTAAAAAACGTAACAGATAAATTTTCTATGCATGAAATCCCTTTATATTGAACATAAATTTTCTTGGACAAAAATCTTGGCTTTTAAGAAACATTAATAGCTATCTTTTTTCTTTTTGTTAACTAGAATCCATTTATAATTCAAGTTTTCATTCCACCAGAAGAAAGTAACTTAGTCTGAGTTAATTGAGTTATGTTTATTGTATACAAGTATCCACTCTTAGGACATCACCTCTTCTAGGAATCAAAGCTAATTTCCTGGAGAGAATGGCTTACAAGGAGGACATTTTGTTTATCATCATTATCCATGCTGGTACTAGCTGGGCATCCAAGTTCCCATAAGTTCCCAAGTTCTCAGTTCAAAAGGCCCATGCAATGCTGGGCACGGTGGCTCACGCCTGTAATCCGAGCACTTTGGGAGGCCGAGGCGGGCGGATCACGAGGTCAGGAGTTCAAGACCAGACTGAACAACATGGTGAAACCCTGCCTCTACTAAAAATACAAAAATTAGCCAGGCATGGTGGCATGTGCCTATAATCCCAGCTACTCAAGAGGCTGAGGCAGGAGAATCTCTTGAACCTGGGAGGCGGAGGTTGCAGTGAGCCAAGATTGCGCCACTGCACTCCAGCCTGGGCGACAGAGCGATACTCCATCTCAGAAAAAAACAAAACAAAACAACAACAACAAAAGGCCCATGTGGATCACAGCTGTATTCTTTTGACCATAGCTACACAGTCACTTTAGACCTTATGCACTCTCAGTTAATTTGATACACCACTAGGGGACATGGAAAGTGTTTTATTGCCCTCCTGCTCTTCTCTGAGGCTGTGAGGAAATTTAAAACTATCAGCTCCCCATAATTTATATACACTGTATTATACTTTCTACTCTACTCCTCCGAGAGAGTCAAGTGTGTAGGAGTCCTTTCTTTGAAAATCCATTTGGGAATCTGGTCACAAACTCCATACAAATTAAGCCCCACAACTACCTCTCGGATTTTATTCTTCAACTCATCTATCTCTACCCCAGGAATTAACCCTGGTACAGCAGGTTAGAAACCTTTTTCTCAGGCATACGTAGAAATGATTAACTTTTTGGGGGGCATGAGACTCCACATTTTCTACCCTTTCTCTGTTTGTTTGGCTATTACTGAAGTATTCTTGCTTAGTATTAATTTATAAAATACATTTATGTCCATAGCTATTCTAGGCTATGGCTTTTGTAACACAAAATATGTTTTCTTGAGAAATAATGCTCTTTAGAAAAAATGATTTTCAAAATTCCATTGTGAAACTCAAAAACCAATACTTGATATGTTTTGTTCTATGCATTTTTATATGGAAACTTTCATTGCATAAGCCAATTAATCATTCTTATCTGATAGAAAGAAACAAAAGGCAAGAAAAATGATTGTGAATGAAAAAGATGTCAATAAAATAATTTCATTTAAAAATGAAACTATTGAAGAAAATAAAATCAAATGATGAAAGCTCCTATTTTTCAGTCTCTAGTAGACTGCTATAGTTGTCCAGAGAAACAGAACCCAAAAAAGACATTATATATATAGAAACCCTTATATATATAAATATATCTTAAATATATACAAAGCTTATATATAATATATATTTAATACATAGAGAATATACATAATTTATATATTATATATAATTAATATATACTTTAGATACAATTTATATATTATATATCATTAATTTATATTAACATATTATATATAATTAACATAGGCTTATATATAATATATATTATACATATAAACTTTGTATATCAATTTATTATGAGAGAGATTTATTATAAGAAATTGGTCCACAGAATTATGAAGGCTGAGAAGACCCAAGATCTGCTGTCTATCAGCTACAAACCCAGGCGAGGTGATGGTGTAGTTCCATCTGAGTATGAATCCATGGGAACCAAGAGAACCAATGGTATAAATTCTAACCCAAATCTAGAGCAAAGTCCTAGGAATTGGAAGGCTGCTATTTTAAATTTCAGCCCAAGTACAGCAGAACAATATTCCAGCCCAACAGTCAGGCAAAGAGAGTGAATTCTCCCTTCCTTCATACTTTTGTTCTATTTGGGTACTCAAGGAAATGAATATTGTTCACCCACATTGAGGGCAATATATTTTACTCAGCCTACTGATTCAAATGCTAATCTCATTCATAAACACTCTTGCAGACAGAAATAATGATTACCCAAATATCTGGGCATCCTATGACTCAGTCAAGATAATACATAAACCTAACTATTAAAAGTCTACCCTTTTTCAACGTGGCATTCATCTGTGTCTCCTTAAACCACAAGTAATCTCCAAATAAAGAGAGTAACTGGGTCACGATTCTGCCTAATGTGACACAGTGATCCTGTGCACAACCAAAACCACACCAACTCCTTCCTAGAAAAGGAGATAAAGTACGTGAGTAATATTTAGTATTCTCTTTGATATCTTGTAATATAAATACTATGAGGTAAAATAGACTATACTTAACTAATATGATATAAAGTTAATACATCTTAGATTATAAGGGAATAAGACAAGAAAAAAAACAAAGATATTTATTACACACACAAATGGAAACAACAAAATAGGAGCAATACTCATGACAGTTACAATGCTCACTTTTTCAGTGGTCACATGGTCATAGCTAGTATTAATAATTATCCTTTTCAATATTCAATCTGTTTTTCCTTTGTCTTCTTTCAGTAAGCACCTCAGCTGGTCATGGTTCTCAACCTAATGGGGGAACCCAAACCTTTATTCCTGAAGTATATGGCTCATTAGCAGTCCTGGCTGGCTTGGGTTGTTGTCATTATCCATCAACATTAATCAAAGGACATGCTAATACTCATAGACATGCTTTCTTATTCTCCATTGCGGAGTGGTAGTCCAAATTTCTATTGGTAGTGAGGATAAACCACTCAAGTCAACTCAGTAACTCCCTTCTTTGCCTATTTATTCAGAGGCACAAGGAGCCCAAAGTTAGCAGGCAGCAGTCTTAACTTCCAGTTCAGTGGAATCACTGCTGTGCTTCTTGTGGAAGCATTCTTCCCTCTGGCCATTATGCCAGCAGAGCATAAGGTTGTGGGAACAGAAAGCAAACTTTGCCAGTGGGTCATTGGGAATGATAGTGAGAAGTGCCACTTCTATTTCCATCCCTTGATTCTTGGATCTGTGAATCCTTATGGGAAAAACATGTTAGAAACTGATTCAGAGCATATACAGTCTTCTGAAAAACACTGCCAAGATTTGCAAGGTCTTGCCACCTAGATGGCACTATGAGTCTTCAAAGGGCTCTTCCACCTTTCTGTGAAGGCTAATGCTTCAGGATGGTGGGGAACATGATAATACCAGTGAATTCCATGAGCATAGGCCCACTGTCATATTTCTTTTGTGGTGAGTTCCTCGATCAGAAGCAATGCTGTGTAGAAGACCATGATGGTGGATAAGGAATTCTGTAAGTCCACAGATGGTACTTTTGGCAGAAGTATTGTATGCAGAGAAGGTAAATCCATATCAAGAGTAAGTGTCTATTCAAGTAAGAACAAAATGCTACCCCTTCCATGATGGAAGTAATCCAATGTAATCAATCTGCCTCCAGGTAGTTGGCTGATTACCCCAGGGAATGATGCCATATCGGAGTCTCAGTGTTGGTCTCTGCTGTTGGCAGATTGAGCACTCAGATGTGTCCATAGCCAGGATGGGCTTAGTGAGTGAAAGTCATGTTGCCAAGTCCATGCATAACCTCCATCCCTGCCACCTTGGCCAGTTTGTTCATGAGCCCACTGGGCAATGACAGGAGTAACTGGAGGAAAAGGCTGACTGGTAACCTTAGAATGAATCATCCTATCCACTTGATTATTAAAAATCCTCCTCCACTGAGGTGACTCTTTAGTGAGCATTTACAAAGCACACAAATATCTTCACTCTTTGTTTTTTTGCATCTTCAGATAATTCTATCTACGTACTTCTTCCCCAAATTTCCTTGCCTCCAATTTTTCAATCGTGTTTCCTCCAGATTGCTGACTGTCCAGCCAAACTATTGTCCACAGCTTATGAATTAGTATATAATCATATATCTGGGCATTTCTTCTTCCAAGATAAGTGAACAACCAAGTGTGCTGCCTGAAATTCTGCCCATCAGGATAATTTTTCTTCACCATTATTCTTTAGAGATGTCCTGAAAACGGGCTATAGTGCTGCAGCTGCCCACTTTTGGATATTGCCTGCATATCATGCAGAATCATCTGTAATCTAGGCGTAAGTTTTTGCTTTTTCTATTAACAGATCATAGGATACTCTCCATAAGGCCATAGGTGCAGATGAGAGAGCAGAAGCAGTGTAGCAGGAGGAAGGACCATGAGCATCTGGGCTATATTTTTATATAAATTACTTGTGCCTTTAGAGCCTGTTTGTGCCCAGTCATAATATAATACTTCCTCGATGATGCATCACTACTGTGAAAGTCCAACTTTAAGGCTTGGTGGGCCAGGTAACACCCAGCTCATCATGGGCAGCTTAGGTTAATGGTAACTTGGCTGCCCATGATTAAGCATTCAGTTCTCTATGAAGGCTGAGTAAAGAGTTGTTCCTTAAAAGGAGTAGTTATTTGCAGAGGATGGCAAGAGCTTTGTTCCAAAATCCAAATGGCCTGCACTACCATTCATCTATGAGGGCCTGCTAAAGGCTCCAAACAGAATCCCTATCTGCCACTGACACTTCAAGCACCATTGGATCTGCTGAATCATATGGCCCAAGAGGTAGAGCAGCTTGCACAGCAGTCTGGACCTGTTGCAGAGCCTTCTGCTGTTCTGGGCTCCACTCAAAACTAGCAGCTTTTCAGGTCACTTGGCACTGTCACACTCGGAAATAATGTATAATAGGCAAAACAAGAAAAAATGTTTAGCCAAATATCTTGGCATCAGTGACACAGGCCACTTCACATGTAAAATTAGCTGACACAATTGTGCTGAATTAAAATGGCTTAATTGGAATAGGAATGATAAGAGTGTTAACTAACTCATAGCTCTATGTGTCTTTTGAATATAGCTGTCTATCTTTATATCCATCCACCAATTTATCTATCTAAGAGATAACATACGTGTAAAACTAACATTGTGAATCATGACTCAGTTGAATAAGAACACTACAAATAACTTTAAAAACTCAAATGCCTTTGAAACCTTCTGTCTTCCCTTCAATAACAAACTTCTAAATTTTGTTTTTATCATTCTCCTGTTTTCAAAATAGTTTTACTGAAAATAAATGTGTTTTGAATAGGATACTGTTATACTTTGTATGTTTTCAATTTTATATTAATGATATACTACATGAATTATTCTCATGTGCCTTTTTCACTCAAAATTGTTTCTTGACATTTATCCATGTTATTTTACACAGTTATACTTTATTTTCAATGCTATCAATATTCCAGTGGATAGATATTCTGCAACTTCTAAATTCATTTTAATATGTTCTGCATGATATCATTTTGGAAGCGTTTTGGGTTAAGTTTTACATCTTAATAAAAAATAAATTTTCATAAACATTACATATGTGCTTAAGAAACTACCTTCTCAAATGTTTGAAAAATAATCTTATATATGTGCATTTAATGTACTTAACTATGTTCTTTTAGTGGTAGATGGTCTTATTTTTTGTCTACATTACCTATCAATGATCAACATAATGCAAATGTTGAAATCTTTTAAATATGATTATGAATTTGCCAATTCATTTTCTATTTCTATCTAATATCATTTTCTATATTCTACTTTTGATATATTTCTTGTCAACATTAACTGGATATAATATTTTAAATATAATTTAGAAATCATTGTCTTTTAAATAGTTAATTGGTCCATATGAATATCTAGATTATTGCTATTATTGATATATTTGGAATGAAGTGAATATATCATATATTGATATCTCATATATTGCTTTACTATAGATTGAGTTTTCCCCAGGTTATGTCCTCCTTTCTTGCCTTCTTGGAATTATTTTACTTCTCATACACATTCTCCAAACACTACTTTGGAAACCATATAATTCATGAGTTTTCTTTCAGTGCATACTCATTAAAAATTATTGTGTTTATTTAACTTGAACATCTATCTTAACTACCCTCCCTCAAAAGAGAAAGAATTTGGAACTCTATCTCTGATTAAATCTATCTTGAATGTTATCATTTTTGAGCATTTTAGTTCCATTTTTTATTTCCTAATCACAGACATATAAAATATTATCAACAGTGTTAGGACCATCACAATTCCATGGGCAAGGATATATCCGGGCAAAGATGATTGCATTTGACTAACACAGATCAATGATTCTAATATGAAATACAATCTACTCATCTCTCGTGTCTCTGATTTCATGGTCTGAAAGCCCCCCTATGCTTTTTCCTCAAAGGATGTTTCCTCGGTGGATGCATGACAGCACATTGCTGTCATGAACATTCCACACTGTTTGGCAGTATTGTTTTTCTCATTTTAACCAACAAATTGAAACTGTAGTTTATATGCTGGTCTCTTGGGAATCTTTTAAATTATGGCAGGCATAAACTTACTCCAGAGAGATCAGATCCATTTCCTGGAAAGGCAAACCCAAAGATAAAATCCTGGGACATAAGCAATTTTGTTTCCTTAGAAGTCCTTTCATCTGTCTTGTTACTGCAGCACACAATTGGTCAGAGAAGCCCTCTGAAAACTTCAATAACAGTAATGCTAACTCTACACACAGAAACTCAATTGCATGTTTTCAGGAAAAATGTAAAAATCAACAATATGATATACATGACCCAAACAAATAAAAACATCACACAGTCTTTATTCTCATAAGACATTAGCTGCAATAGGGAATTAACATATAGTGAAAAAATTATTTTTAAAAATTTTTCTCCTATTTTCACTTGTGTTGTTTCCACTTTTTGAAACTTTTTTTTTTTTTTACTTTTCTTCTTTTTTGTTTTTTTCATTCATTTATTACTGCTTTCATTGTCTTTCTATGTTGATAACTGGGAAAAGTGTATAAGGTTAAATCTTGGGTTACTAAGGAAAAGCTATAGAAAAGAATCATATGCGGCCAGGTGCAGAGGCTCATTTCTGTAATCCCAGAACTTTGGGAGACGAAGGCAGGAGGATCACTTTGGCCCAGGAGTTTCAGAACAGCCTAGGCAACATAGGGAGACACTCTCTACAAAAAAATATGAAAAAAATAACCAAGTGTGGTGATGCACACCACACCTGTAGTCCAACTTACTTGGGAAGATGAGGTGGGAGGATCAGAGGAGCCCAGGAGTTCAAGGATGCAGTGAGCTGGGATCATGCCACTGCACTCCTGCATAGTTGACATAGCAAGACCCTGTCTCAAAAAAGAAAATAAAGTAAGTCATGCTATTAAAAAATATAAAATGTATTAAGCTAACTCACCAGATAAAGAATGGAAGAAATCAGTTGAAACCTAAGAAATAATTAATGTCATTCAAAGATAATTGGTGAGAGTCAAGATAATTTCTAATTAATAATTGACATTTTAATAGAAGCAGATACAGTAAAAAAATAAATTTAGAAATAAGATTTTATTCAAAGGAAGCATATTTTGACTTTAAAAGGCTAAACTCTGTCAGAATGTATTATTGTTGAGTGAAACAACAATTAAATTTCATTGTAGACTTAAGGAAAATTATTACATAAATATCATGCTAGTTCTGATGAATCCACTTTTCAGATGCTTTGCTTTACACTAATTGGCTTATGTTTGCCTAAGGATTATGTTTGAATGCCATCACAGTAATCTTGCTTATTCTTGTATTTATACACACAATATATTTTTCATACATATTAATGCTATGAATGAAATAAACTGTGTCATTGCTATTGGCAAAATTGTGTGAGAAAAAGAAATCTCGAAGGAGCATTTTTCAGACCACATTAATATTTTCCTGTGTCTGTCTCATTCTCCATTTGTATACAAATATAAAAATGTAGCTTTGAAGGTGATTTCTCTACTCAGGCAATGATTTTCCCAAATATCCTGAAATCACATGTTACCAAAATTCATATTCACTAATTGTTCTTTTTCTACTCTCCATACTTGCATATTTGTCTTTTGTGAAGTATTACAAATAACATATGACATATGATTATTATTATTTAGAATGTTCAGGTAAAACTTTTAATGATCATCTACAACCACTCCATATTCATCAAATACTAGTTACATGATCTTGCAGATTTAAAAAATCCAATATCGTTTAATTGTTAACAGTGACTAGTTATTCTTTTTAATATTTTCTTGTATTCATTATTGCAAATTCACCTAACACAGGTATTATGGAGGTGATAATTAAGTTTGGAAGATTGATTTTACTTTCATGACATCTAAGCATATAGTCAACAATGTTGTTAATTGAGATAAAGTAAGCATAATGATTAGAAACTCAAGTATTTAAACCAGTAATCATTCTCAGCTACCAATATTGTCAGACTTACTGTTGATGTTTCAGTGCATATGTCAGACTCATATCACCTGCAAGGTAATTTTAAAGTAAAACTGGTGAGGATTTAGATAATTATACGTTGATGAACATTTTCATAAAGTCTGATACAAAAAGTAAAAACAAATGAGGATGTAGTTTGTTTCTGTTATTCTTGAAACAGCAAGACAGAGAAACGATACTCTTCATAGGGCTACATATATATATATTTTAAGACAGAATCTCTCTCTGTTGCCCAGGCTGGAGTACAGTGAAGTAATTTTGGCTCATTGCAACCTCTGCCTCCTGGGCTCAAGTGATTCTCCCACCTCAGCCTCCCAAGTAGCTGGAACTACAGGTGCATGCCAGTATTGTATTTTTTTGGAGACACGCCTGGCTAATTTTTGTATTTTTAATGGAGACACAGTTTCACCATGTTGGCTGGGGTAGTCTCCAATACCTAACCTCAGATGATTTGCCTGCCTCAGCCTCCCAAAATTCTGGGATTACAGACATGAGCCACCGCACCTGGCCCATAGACAATATTTTTTTGACTTGCATGAAACCAAAAACACATATAAGACAGCGCACAGCAAAAATTAGAGTGTACTAACTCAAAACTTTCATGGATTTGATTCTTTGATAATCCATCTCTAAAATATTTTCAAAAAGTATCTCATTTATGGGTCCAGAATACTTGCCTGAGTGCTCTCTCAAAGACATCTGATCTTTTTCCATGTGTGACCTCTGACAAGCTCATGCATGAAACCTAAACCACTGTCAGATTCAAATCAATTTAATTTAATACTACGTTTTTGGAAAGAGGAAAGTATAAATGTTTCATGTATGAATATTGTATATCAAATATACAAAATCATCAACTGATTACCAAAAATATCAACTTATGCCTGGTAGGGTTGAGTAGAGAGATTCAGAAATAGCCATAGAGAAACATTTTATAAGATATTCAACTTAAAAAAATCACTGCAGTTATTAATTACTCCAAAACAAATGTGATCATTTCTAAAAAATTGGAAACTAATAGGATTACAGAAATTTTAATCCACTACAGAGTGTTTAATACACATATATTCTGAGCCTATCAAATCAGCTATATACTAAGAACACATTTGTGTGAGTGTGTATATTTTTATACATAACTTTAACAAATATAGAAGTATTTTTATAGCCAAATTATTACTCTGTTTTGAAGGAAGTAATTTTTTTGGACTACATTATCCAATTATATTGCAATTGTTTAAACTTTGCTAATGGAAAATTTCTTTCAAGTTTCAGTAGGGCACAATATTTAGATTGAGTTCAATATCGATTATGATTATTATTGAATGAATATTTCATTTGAAAATAGCCAAGACATTTAAAACAGAAACAAGTCTGGTAGAATATCAGATATTACAGAATTCTCTATATCATACTATAAATACTAAGTTTGTCCTAAGAGCAATGTGAACTGACCAAAATGTTTCAAGTGAGAAAACTGTAGAATAATTAAATTGCATTGTTCAATAATGATTCTTTCTGGAATGAGGGGACATAATTAAAGAAGATAATGATTTGCATGAGTAATTATACTGAATGAAACTAGTGTGAGATCATTGATGATTGAAGAAGTTGATTTGAGAATTATTAAAATTTTTAAAAATTAATTTTTTTTGAGGCAGTGACTCGCTCTGTGACCCAGGCTGGAATGCAGTGGCACTATCTCAGCTCACTGCAACCTCTGCCTCCCGGGTTCAAGTGATTCTCCTTCCTCAGCCTCCCGAGTAGCTGGTATTACAGGCACACTCCACCATGCCCAGCTAATTTTTGTATTTTTAGTAGATACGGGGTTTCACCATATTGGCCAGGCTGGCCTTGAACTCTTGACCTCAAGTGATTCACCTGCCTTGGCTTCCCAAAGTGCGGGGATTACAGGCGTGAGCCACTGCACCTGGCCTAAAATTTGTATTTTTAGTTGACAATAATTGTATATCTGAGAATTTTAATTGACACAACTCAGTGACCTACTATAAGTAGTTGGTGAAAGAAAAGGACTTACATATTTCTGGATGGAGCAACTATGTAAATGATGGCAGCTCTCATGAGATAGATAATATTGGAATAGAAAAACATTTGAGTAATATAACGTGTCATTTATTTCAAATATATTAAGTTTGAAGTGTGTAGTATGCAATTTAATAGTGAATCTGAAACTCAAAAATTGTTTACAGTTGGTGTTAAAAATTCAAAGTTGTCAGAATACGGTTGATGGTGGAAATTGCTGGAGTCAGTTGGTTCACTGGGGGATATAAAGACTGAGAAAAGATAATTACTTAGAGTATATAGAATCTCAAACATCTGATGATTACTCAAAGAAAGAACAAGCAAATCAGACTGATAAGGAGTTGTCAGAGAGGTGAAGGAAGACATTGAGATTATGCCATTGTAGAAGCCAGAGAAAGATGGCTCAAGATTTTTTTTTAATCAAATGGTGCTGAAATCTAGTAAAAGTTGTCTTACAATTACTTTTCAATAGAAGCTTTTAGTAGAATAACTAGATTTGAAGCCAAAGAGGTGTCTTGAGAATACGGTGGAGATGAGAAACTGAAGACAATGAACAAATGAACCATTAAATATGTCAAAGAGTTTCTAAAGAAGAAGAAACAGATAAGGCAGTAAAAGATGTATTAAAAATATGTGAGACAGAAGTTTTTTCAAAACATGGATTTTACTTGAGTCTGCATAAATGCTGCATAAATTAATATGTAGAGGGAAAAAGATGGGGGGGATAGAAGAAAGAGAAAACTGAAATTAGGGAAACATTCCAGAGCATAGGAAGACCTGGTATTGAGAAGACAGCTGGGGGAGGGTCTTTATTTAGGAACAAAATGCAAATCAGTGACTTATCTCATAACATATATGAAATTATTCCAGATAAAAAAATTAAATGTAAATAGAAAATATATTTACATACCAAAAGAAAATATTGATAAATATTTAAATGATTTTTAATGAAAAAACTTGATGTAATGGTTTTTAAAAGAATCAATAGATTTGACTGTATAAACTATAATCTATAATATGTCACAAATGCCATAAACATAATTCAAAATAAGTAGTAAAATGAGAAAAAAATGCTAGGTATATGAATGCTACTAATATAATATCAGAGTAGATATTAGAATGTATCTTGTAAATAAGGGCCACATGTGATGATAAAACCAGAAACAAATGAAAAAACAAGGTTCGTGGGAAGAAAATGAATGCCTAGAATGTAGAAAGCAATAAGAGAAAGATGTTTAGACTTAATGAGAAAAAAAATGGATAATCTACCAAAATAGACATTTTTTAAAACTCATCAGTGATGAGGTCACAATAAAACCAGGTATGTTGTTCGCAAATTTCCAAGTTCATACATTTCCTAGTTCACACACACACACACACACACACACATATATGTCTCATATATATATACCTGAATGTATATAATATATATATTTCTATCTCTCTCACTGTCTATCCAAATATCTATATCCTCATTATTTGCCAAGCCCATTTTTGAAGATTTTCCTACTCACTAAAATTTTTTTGTGAAAACAAAATTAATACTTGCTGCACTTTCACAGTCATTGATGGACATGTGCAGATTGGCAAAAATGTATTACCCAAAGTACAGGTTGCCTACTGAGGTCAAACCAGGAGATGCTCTGCCTTCTTGTTTTAGTTCTTACACTATAAACAAGTGTCCTTTTGGAATTCTACTTAGTGCCATACCTATTACATTTTTATACTTTGGTGATTTGGTTGTTTAGAATGACCCACAAACATAGTGTTGAAGTGGAAGGCTGAGATGTGCCTAGTAGAGAGTATATGTTTGTTAGATAGATAAGATTCATTCAGGTGTGACACATAGTGCCGTTGGCCATCAGTTCAATATTAATGAACTCTCTCTCTCTCTACATATATATATATACATATATATATATATACATATATACATATATATATATATATACATATATATATATATACATATATACATATATATATATATATACATATATATATATATAATTTTTTTTTTTTTTTGAGACAGAGTCTCGCTCTGTCATCCAGGCTGGAATGCAGTGGCACGATCTCGGCTCATTGCAACCTCTGCTTCCCGGGTTCAAGTGATTCTCATGCCTCAGCCTCCTGAGTACCCGGAACTACAGGCACCTGCCACCACACCTGGCTAATTTTTGTATTTTTAGTAGACCTGGGGTTTTGCCTTATTGGCCAGGCTGGTCTTGAACTCTTGACCTTGTGATCCACCCATCTTGGCCTCCCAAAGTGCTGGGATTACAGGTGTGGGCCACCGTGACTGGCCAACATTATGTATTTTAAAAGATGTCTTCAAATAGAAACACACATAAAATAAGGCCATTTATGAATCAGTTGAAAATAAATATAAAATCTGGTTATATGAAAATATAACCAGAGCTCTCAGGGCCCTAACCCTGTGTTTCCCTTAGGAACAATGGTTTAGTATTTGCAAATTCAGTGTTTGCAGCAACTTTATATTTCCTAACTACCATGAATAATAAAAAATGACTCTAAATAGAATCATGTGTCACTTAACAATGAGGTTACTTTCTGAGAAATATGTCCTTAGGTGATTTCATCACTGGGTAAACATCACAGAGTGCACTTACACAAGCCTAGATGGTATGGCCTCCTACACACCTAGGCTATGTGGTATAACCTATTACTTCTAGGCTGCAAACCTGTACAGCATGTTACTCTACTTCACACTGTAGGCAATTGTAACAAAATAGTATTTGTAGTATCCAAACATATCTAAACATGGAAAACACACAGTAGAAATAAAATATTATAATCCTATGGAACCACTGTCATATACGCTGTCCATTGTTAACTGAAACACCTTCATGTGTTGCATGACTGTAGGTGACTGGTAGCTAGCTAGCTAGATTGGTAGCTAGATACATATATGTTCATACATAAAATAGTGAAGATACAGGTGTTTTATTATTTTTATATCTTTTAACTTTCTACAAGGAGCTGTAATATATTGACTAACACTCAACAGTTTACCTGATTAAAAAAATGTGTTTGTGATTGTGTATGTTATGCAATCATATGAATGTGTTTGGATATGTTTTTGACTGTTTTCCTTACAAAAAAATTGTAATTTTTCTTTGTTCTCGAATTTCTGTTTTAGCACAAGATTATTGATGATTTCTGTTTCAGAATTGATCTGTGGTTTTCAAAGTATGTTCCCTGAACCAGGCATCAGGATCATCTAGAAAGTTGTCAGAACATTCTCAAGCCTCACCCCAGACTTAGTAATTCAGAATTTCTGGGTGTGGGGCCAAGCAATACATGTTTTAACAAAACTCCAGGTTATTTTGACACATGCAAAAGTTTGAGAACCACTGGTAGGAATCACTGAATTGGCCACACAGATATCTGGCAACATTCTGTTACCACAATTTAAAAGAAGAATTGTAATTTTAGTGGAATGGTAGACTTTTGTCTATTGAATATTTAAATCCTTTATTTGACAACATTTTAAATAAAAATATGATGACATCCTCAGAAAATGCTAGTCATATCTCAACTATATGTTTCTGAAAATCAATTTTTTTCTTTCTTTTATTGCAGCTAGAATTATCAGGAGATAGTTCTTTTAAAACTATATGTAGACTCCTTTAGTCAATAATACATAATGACATACCATCTGTACAATAATGCAACATGTCACATACACAATACAAACCCACACCTATGTACAAGCATGAAACTCTTCTTATTTGGGCTATTTGATGGCAGGCATTGCCTCTGGCTAGTAATTTCCAAAATATTTATTTGTAGCAAACTTTATTTTGCTACAAGAAAAATATAAAAACTATTGTATAAGCTACTTTTCAAGGACAATCTTATATAAACTCATTAATACAGCATGCTTTATTTTGTGAGGATCCTTGCATGTGATATGAATTCTAGTTCATTTCTATTCTACAAACATTGCTAATAAGGGATTTAGAACAAGGAGATCAGAATAACTGTAAATGTTGAGAACAACAGTTCAGACACTCAAGAATACTAACAACTACAAAATATTTTCAGATTTAAAAACAAACCTACATTTAAGAGCTTCTAATAAGAATATAATTTTAAAGTCTTGGCATTTTCCTGAAAGAACACTGATTAAAATAAAATACATCAGAATCTGCTTAAGTACAGTGCAACTACTTTAGATAACCAACAGTAACTTATTTTTAACTAATTTTAAAACTATTTTATATGTTTTTCGCAATTTTCATCATGCCACTGGCAAGTTATATGATGAAGCCAAACCTCAGCAGCTTCTTGGGCTAAAATCAATAAGCCAGGGATCTTTTGTGACTTTCTCCGGGTTTTAAAAATGTCTTATGAAGGATCATCAGCCTCAAGTCTAGACACCTCTAAAGGACTTATTTTCTTAAAATGTCTGCACACAGACCTAAAGGTAGAAAAAGACCTGGTGTAAATAAGAGCTGTTGGAGTTAAACCGATAAAGTCTAAGGTTGCAGTAAGCATGATGATAACCCTTGTCAATGTTTTGCAAGATTATTTACCTTTCTCTCCTGGAATTCTTTCATAGGCAAGGAAATAAAGATTCAGTTTGCTGGTGATAAGTAGGTCACCAAGAATTTAACGAAACCAAAAGCTGGGAATTGAGGAAAGGAGAAGCTGTGTGCTGAGTTTACAGTACAAGAAGCTGTGGTTTTGCCCAAGTTTTAGTATTTCCAATTTGAAACCAAATAACAGAAAATTTGGTATTTACAAATGCTACCCATGTTTCACTGTGTTATTGAGATGGCTCAGTTATTTTATTAAGTGGATCACTTCAATCCAGTTAAAGAACACTCTTCTACGGTTTTACTGCTTTAGATTATTTATCATCAGGATTTCTCAGAGCTTCAGATCTACCTAGAATGTTTCTGGGCTTGCATTTCTATGAATCATAACTCACACATATTTATAATTCATAAAACCTGCCAGGAACTGATCTGTCAAGTAAACATTTTCTGAATTTCATTATGCATATAAAGGACAGACTCATAATATGAGTAGAAAACAAAATTGTTATCTCCAGAAGATACCTAGACACATTTTAATTCATTTGAAGGAAACTTGCTGTTACAGTAGAACTAGAACAAATGGTTCATACAAAATTACCTACTTGCTTAGGTACAGTGCAGTAACTATTTCAGGTGACTAGGAGAACTTCAAGCAAGTTTTTGTTCTGGAAAACTCAAATGGCCAGAGAATACAGTCATATGTCCCATGTTGACATTTCAATTGAAAATGGACAGCATGTATGACAGTGGTCCCATCAGATTCAAATACCATATTTCTATGTCCCTTTTCTGTGTTTAGATATGTTTACATACATACTTACAATTATGTTATGATTGCCTGCCATATTTAGTACAGTAACATGTTCTACAGGTTTGAAGCCTAGGAGCGATAGGCTCTATTATATAGCCTAGATGTGTAGTAGGTTATGCCATCTAGGTTTGCATAAGTATACTCTGTGATATTTGCACAGTGATGAAATCGCCTAAGGATGCATTTCTCAGAAAGTATCCCCATCATTAAGCAATGCATGATTGTACAGCTATGCTAATTAGAATGGTCCAATAAGTCAAATTGACCTGAAAGTCATTAGTAAGAATATGAAGTGATGCAGCTTTCCAGAGTATTTCTTACTAACACTATCAGATTTTTAACATATTTCAGGATGATGCATAGCTAGGGCAAGTAAGAATTGGGAGAGGGGGAGGAATAAGATATAGAAACATCTTCAAAAATGAAAGTATTTTATGTAATTTCTTTTCCAGAGTCCCTAATGTATTAGGGAATAACCTAAGTGAGCTGATTAAGCTCATTAAAAATACTACTAGCAATGAATGACAGATTTAAAGGTTTTACATTAATTCCTAATTTTTTGATAAGTTGTCCTCATATTTGCGTACATATTTTCTTTTTCTTGTCTTAGAACACTATTAAGTTCAAGAACATTTTCATCAGCACAAAAGGAAACTCCATATCCTCTAACCAGTCATTCTCCATTTCTCCCTCCCACTAGCTCCTGGAAATCACTGATTTGTTTTTAGTCTCTATTGATCAACCTATTCCAGATATTTCATATGGAACAATATGAAATATATTGTTTCAAATGGAACAATATAATATGTGATCTTTTTTGTCTGGCTACTTTCAAGTAGCATACTTTCAAGCTTCATTCATGTAGTAGTATGTATGAGTACTTTTTCTCTCTTTATTGCCAAATTCCATTTTATTTTTCCATTTACTGTTGATTAACACTTGGGTTGCTTTCCACTTTTGGCTATTGGAAATAGTGCAGCCATGAACACATGTAAAAATTTTTGTTTGAGTACTTGTTAATTCTTTTGCTTATATACCCAGGAGTTGTATTGTACAGTTATATAGTAATTCTATATTTGGCATTTGAAACTGCCAAACTATTTTCCACAGTGGCTGTCCCATTTTACATTCCCACAAGCAATGTACAAGTCTTCCAATATCTCCATAATTTTGGTTAACATTTTAAAATTTTGGTTCAGTTTATTATTTAGTTATATCATTGTTTACTCACTTATGTATTTCAGAGACAGGGTCTCGTTCTCTTTTCCAGGCTGGGGTGCAGTGACACAATCATGGCTAACTGCTGCCTTGAACTTCTGGGCTCAAGCAGTCCTCCACCTTCAGTCTTCCCGGTAGCTAAGACTACAGGCATGCACCCCACCATGCCCAGCTAACTGTTCAATTTTTTGTAGAGCTAGGTGTTCGCTACGTTGTCCAGGCTGGTTTCAAAATACCAACCTCATGTGATCCCCTCACCTTGGTCTCCCAAAGTTTTGAGATTACAGGCATGAGCCACTGCACCTGGCCTATTTTCTTTTATTATGGTCATCTGTACCAGTGTGAATTGATATCCCATTGTGGTGTTGACTTGTATTTCCCTGACTAATAATATTGAGCTTCTTTTCAAGTACTTGTTTGCAACTTTTAAATATTCTTTGGAGAAAGGTTTATTCGGATTCTTTGTTCATTTTAAATTCTGATTGCTTTTGCTCTTCTTGAGTTTAAGAGTTCTGCTTATATTGTGAGTTCTAATCCCTTATCAGATATATAATTTGCAAATACATTCTTCCATTATGTAGGCTGTTGTTTCACTTTGTTTATAGTTTTCTTTGATGCACTAAAAAGTATAATTTTCATAAAGCTCAACATATCTCTTTTTTTCCTTACTTGTGTTTTTGATGTGATTTATAAGAAACCGTCATCAAGTCCTATTTATGAAGATTCACCACGGTGTTTGCTTCTAAAAATTGTAGGATTTTAGCTATTATATTTGCCCCTTATATCAATTGTGAGTTGCTTTTTGTGTGTGAATTGAAGTAAGGGTCTAAGTTCATTCTTTTGCATGTTGATACCTATTTGTTCCAACACCATTTGTTGAAAAGACAATTATCTCCCCATTGAATGATCTTGGCAACCTTGACAGAAATTATTGTAGATATATGGGTTTGTTTCTGCATACTCAATTATATATATCAATATATGCAATTTTTATGCTAATATCAAACATGATTATTGTAGCTTTTTTGTTTTTATTTTTCAAAAATTTTTAGAAGTGAGGTTTCGCTATGTTGCCCAGGCTGGTTTCAAATGCCTGGGCTCGAGCAAACCTCTTGCCTCAGCCTTCCAAAGTACTGGAATTATAGGTGCGAGCCACCACATCTGGTGATTATTGTAACTTTACAGGAAGTTTTGAAATTAGGAAATGTGAGTCTTCCAACATCATTCTTTTTTCAAGATTGTTTTGGCTATTTGGAGGAAGAAGCTGTTGGAATTGTGACAGAAGAGTGAATTGAATGTGTAGATAACTTTTAGTAGTACTGCCTTTTTTACAATATTCATCTTACAATCCATGAACACATAATAGCTTTCCATTTATTTGGGTCTTATTTCACTTCTTCTAAAATATTTTGTAGTTTTGAATTTACATATCTTGTACCACCACAATTATATTTATTCCCAAGTATTTTACTCTGGTGTTATTATAAATGAACTGTTTTCTTTCTTGATAAATGTATAGAAATATAACTAGATTTTGAATGTTAATCTAGTATTCTAAATCTTTGCTAAATTATTCGCTTAGCTGTAATAGTTTTTTTTGTGTGTGTGGGTCCTTTAGGATTTTCTATATGTAAGATCATGTCTTCTGCAAAAAGAGGAATTTTACTTCTTCTTTTCCAGTATGGATCCTTTTTATTTATTTATTTATTTATTTATTTATTTATTTATTTATTGCTTGCCTAATTTCTCTGGCTAGAACCTTCAGTACAACACTGAGCAACAGTAAAGAAAGTGAGATGCTTCTCTTATTCCTGATCATAGGGAGTCTTTCACCGTTGAATATAACGTTAGCTTTGAGTTATTCATAAATACTCATCATTTTGCAGAAATGTCTCTTTTTCTACATTTTTCAGTTTTTTTTTAAATCATAAAAGGAATTTTATCATATACTTTTACTGTGTCAATTGGGACAATTATGTGAGTTTTTTTTTTCTTTCATTCGGTTAATACGATGTATACCATTGATTGATTTTCACATGTTTAACCACTCTTGCATTCCTGGATAAACCTCATTTTTTCGTGGTGAACAATTCTCTAAATATGCTATGGATTCAGTTTGCTAGTGTTATGTTGAAGATTTCTGCATCTATCTTCATAAAGGATATTGGTCTATTGTTTTCTTTCTTTTGTGCTATCTTTTCCTGACTTTGTTATCAGTAATGCTGATCTTATAGAATGAGTCAGGAAATGCTTTTACTTTTTTTTTAATTTGTTGGAAGAATTTGAAAAGCATTATTGTCAAATCTTTTAAATATCTCTAGTATAATTCACTAGTGAAACAATCTGGCTCATTTCTTTGTCGGGAGGTTTTTTATTAATGAATTATTCTCTTTACTCTTTATAAGTCTGCTCAAATTTCCAATTTACTTGTGAAATAGTTTTGAAAATCTGTATGTTGTCAGGAATTTATCCATTTTGTCTAGTTTTTCTAATTTGTTGCCATACAATTGTTCATTGTATTTTCTCAAAATTCTTTTTATTTTTGTAAATTCAGTAGTAATATTTTCTCTTTCATTTTTGTTTTACTTATTAGTGTCTTATTTGTAGCCAGTCTAGCTAAATGTTTGTCAATTTTATTGATCATTTTTTTTAGCTCTTTAAAGTATAGAGTTAGGTTATTTATCTGCCATTTTTTAAAAAATGAATACATTTATAGCTACATACTATACTCTGAGCACTTCTCAGAGGAATTAAATAATGGTGTAGAGAAAATCTTGAATAATTTTATCAATAAATTTCAATCTTTTATTGAACCTCTTTTCAAGGACTGGGGACTTCACATGCGTTTCTTTGCTTTTTCATTTTTTGACTCTTCTCCCCACCTTAGGTGAGACAGGAAGGTTAGAGATGGGTAATTTTAATGACAGTTATCTCTGTGGTCCTGACTCCATATTATGTAACTTCGAAGGATTCTTATGATTTGCACATGGCTGTCATGAAACTGACTCCCAGTTTACTCCTTGCTGTAGTCTGAGTTCCCTGAATCTCAGCTGATAGATGTAAGGCAGACAGAAAATCATCCAGAGAAGTGTCAAAAAAAAAAAAAAATTGGGGAAAGAGAACTTCAGAAAATAAGAAACATTAAAAGTGCCAAATATAATGGAAACATAAAGAAAATCATATTCTAATAGCTTGGTCACTGGAATGCACATATATAAAAAGAATGTTTTTGAGGGCTTTCAAGAGAGTGTAGTGTTGGATACACAGAAGGTGTTCATACTGCTATTTAGTTTGATGAAATAAATGCGTCTTCTTTAAAAAAAATGTTAGATTTGAAGAAATTAGTCTTCTCCACTTTTAAGTGTGAACATTTCCACAGTATTCACTAATTTATCTCTCATTTCTTCTAAAGTAAAAGAATTAAAAGAAAAACAATGTCTTAAAAAAGCAAATCAAATAGGGCGTAGACAAATAATCCATCATAATTCAAAATAAATGATTGTTATTTCTTCCATTTAAAAAAAGTTACCAAAAAGTATTTTGAAAGATAGTATCCTGACATTGAAAAATGATTGTGTTCATTTGTTTTCAAATGCGGCATCAGTTCAATTGAAAATATGCTATGAAACGCTGTGTAAACACAGTCAGAATGTATTTAAATTTTTTTTCAGTACCAATGCTTAAGAATATTAAATTACATTTCCTACTAGGTTTGGCACATTTCAAAATCTTTACAGATGCCTATACATGTGATCTCATGCCTATACTTTTCATTGTCATAAATCAAAAAGTTAGTGGTACAAGTAATTTTAGAAAACACCATGATCTATTATAAGTTTTAATTTGTACAGCCCTCATTTAACCTTTGTGTTCATATACTGACTGGATTCAAACTCAAATAACAATGAAATTCCTCAATTCTAGGATGTAAAAAGAAGCAAATTCTGTAGCTATTCCCCTAAGGATGCCAGGGTGACAGAGAAGATACGTTATAATTGACATTAATTGGCGCTCCTGATTTCTGTGTTGTATCTTTATACTAATGTGTGCAGGAGAGCTGGATAGTCTGTTTTCACACTGCTGATAAAGACATACCTGAGACTGGGAAGAAGAACAGGTTTAATTGGACTTACAGTTCCACATGGCTGGGGAGGCCTCAGAATCATGGCAGGAGCCTAAAGGCACTTCTTACATGGCAGCAGCAAGAGAAAAATGAGGAAGACGCAAAAGCGGAAACCCCTGATAAAACCATGAGAACTCATGAGATTTATTCACTGCCATGAGAACAGTGTGGGGGAAACCACCCCCATGATTCAAATGTTCTCCCACTGAGTCCCTCCCACAATGCATGGGAATTATGGAAGTACAATTCAAGATGAGATTTGGGTGGGACACAGAGCCAAACCATATCATTCCACCCCTGGCCCTTCCAAATCTCATGTCTTCACATATCAAAGCCAATCATGCCTTTCCAACAGTCCCCCAAAGTCTTAACTCCTTTCGTCTTTAACCCAAAAGTCAACAGTTTAAAGTTTCATCTGAGACAAAGCAAATCTCTTTCGCCTATGAGCCTGTAAAATCAAAAGCAAGCTAGTTACTTCCCAGATACAATGGGTGTACAGGTACTGGGTAAATACAGCTATTCCAGATGGGAGACATTGGCCAAAACAAAGGGGTTACAGGGCCTATGCAAGTTCGAAATCCAGCAAGGAAGTCAAATTTCAGAGCTCCAAAGTGATGCTCTCCTTTGACTCCAGGTCTCACATCCAGGTCACACTAATACAAGAGGTGGGTTCCCATGCTCTTGGGTATCTCTGCACCTGTGGCTTTGCAGGATACAGCCTCCCTCCAGGCTGCTTTCACCAGCTGGCATTGAGTGTCTGCGGCTTTTCCAGGCGCGTGGTGCAAGCTGTCTGCGGATCTACTATTCTGGGGTCTGCAGGACGGTGGCATTCTTCTCACAGCTCCACTAGGCAGTGCCCCAGTAGGGACTCTGTGTGGAGGCCCCAACCTTACATTTCCCTTCCACACTGCCCTAGCAGAGGATCTCCATGAGGGCCCCGCCCCTGTAGCAAACTTGCCTGGGCATCCAGGTGTTTCCATACATCTTCTGAAATCTAGGCGGAGGTTCCCAAACCTCAATTCTTGACCTGTGCACCCACAGGCCCAACATCACGTGGAAGCTGCCAAGACTTGGGGCTTCCACCATCTGAAGCCACAGCCCGAGCTCTATGTTGGCCCCTTTCAACCACGGCTGGAGTGGCCGGGACACAGGGCACAAACTCCCTAGGCTACACATAGCCTGGGGACCCTGGGCCTGGCCCACAAAACCACCTTTTCCTCCTGGGCCTGTGGGCCTGTGATAGGAGGGGCTACCATGAAGGTCTCTGACATGGCCTGGAGACATTTTCCCCACGGTCTTGAGTATCAATATTAGACTCCTTGCTACTTATGCAAATTTCTGCAGCTGGCTGGAATTTCTCCTCAAAAAATTGATTTTTCTTTTCTACTGCATCATCAGGCTGCAAATTTTCTGAACTTTTATGCTCTGTTTCCCTTTAAAATGGAATGCTTTTAACAGTACCTGAGTTACCTTGTGAATGTTTTTTGCTGCTTAGAAATTTCTTCCACCAGATACCCTAAATCAACTCTCTTTGGTCCAAAGTTCCACAAATCTCTAGGACAGCGGCAAAATGTCACCAGTCTCTTGGCTAAAACATAACAAGAGTCACTATTGCTCCAGTTCCCAACAAGTTCCTTATCTCCATATGAGACCACTTCAGCCTGGACCTTATTGTTCATATCACTATTGGCATTTTTGTCAAAGCCATTCAACAAGTCTCTAGGAGGTTCCAAACTTTCCCACATTTTCCTGTCTTCTTCTGAGCCCTCCAAACTGTTCCAACTTCTGCCTGTTACCCAGTTCCAAAGTCGCTTGCATATTTTCAGGTATCTTCAGCAACGCCCCACTCTAGTGGTATCAGTTTACTGTATTAGTCTGTTTTTGTGTTGCTGATAAAGACATACCTGAGACTGGGAAGAAAAAGAGGTTTAATTGGATTTACAGTTCTGCATGGCTGGGGAGGCCTCAGAATTATGGCAGGAGGTAAAAGGCACTTCTTACATGGTGGCAGCAAGAGAAAAATGAGGAAGATGCAAAAGTGGAAAACCCTGATAAAACCATCAGATCTCGTGAGATTTATTCACTACCATGAGAACAAGATGTAGGCTGGGAGGCTAGGCTCATCTCGTCTCTTTGCATTTTTCTGCCTGCTTTATATTCGCTGGTGGCTGATTAGATAAGATGGTGCCCACTTGATTAAGGGTGGGTCTGCCTTCCTCAACCCACTGACCCAAATGTTAATCTCCTTTGGCAACACCCTCACAGACACACTCAGGATCAATATTGCATCCTTCAATCCAATCAAGTTGACACTCAATATTAACCATCACATAGCCTAAGCGTTCACGGGCTCAGGATCATTGTCTTCCACCTCCTCATCTTGTCCCACTGGAAGGTCTTGAGGGGCAGTAACGCACATGCAGCTATCCACTATGATGACAATGTCTTATTCTCGACCTGCCTGAGGCTGTTTTATAGTTAGCTTTTTTAAATAAGTAGAATATGTTCTAAAATAATGTCAGGCAAGGTGCAGTGGCTCACGCCTGTAATCCCAGCACTTTGGGAGGCCGAGGCAGATGGATCACGAGGTCAGGAGATCGAGACCATCCCGGCTAACACGGTGAAACCCTGTCTCTACTAAAAATACAAAAAATTAGCCGAGCGTGGTGGTGGTGGGCACCTGTAGTCCCAGCTACTCGGGAGGCTGAGGCAGGAGAATGGCGTGAACACAGGAGGCAGAGCTTGCAGTGAGCCGAGATTGTGCCACTGCACTCCAGCTTGGGCGACAGAGCGAGACTCTGTCTCAAAAAAATAAAATAAAATAAAATAACATAAAATAAAATAATGATAAAAAGTATAGTATAGTAAATATGTAGGCCAGCAGCATAGTCATGTATTATCATTATCAAGTATTATGTACAGTACATAACCGTATGTGCTATACTTTAATAGGACTGGAAGCACACTAACTTTGTTTACACTGGCATCACCACAAACAGTAATGTAAGGACATTACAACAGCTACCTTGGCTACAGTGTCACTAGGAGATAGGAATTTTTCAGCTCCATTATAATCTTATGGAACCACCATCGTGTATGCAGTTCATCCTTAAGCAAAATGGTATGTGGTGCGTGACTGTATTTGAAATCATATTAGATATTATTTTGGTCCTTCTTTTCTTAATATCTTCAGCTAATAAGCATTTTCCCAGTGCACTTCAATAACATTGCCTAACCACAGTTAACATTTTCAAAGGCTATATGCAATTTTATTAAACTGATTCATCACAATGTACTTAGCCTTTTTCCTGTCCTTGGAAAGGTAGGCTGTTTCCAAAAGCTGCTGTTATACAGAAAACTACATTTAATATAGTTTTTGTTTATTAATGTTTCCAATTAATGATTATTTCTCAGTATCATTAAGCAGTTATAAAAATTCTAGGATAGACAAAGAAACATTTTAAAGAGGATACATGTTATCAAACTGCTTTATAAAATAATATTCCACTTACCACTCTCAAAATAAGGTCTTATTAACACTTACAAGCCTATGCCATTTTTTTTCTGACTGTTTTAAGCTGTCTTTCTCTGAGTAGGGAGGCAGGTCATTTTTATGTGTTTGTTTGCTGCTTGTATAACTAACTAAGGAAATCAGAAGTTCATTATCTTTGCTCACTTTTCAATTAAAGTCAAAGTGTTTGCATCTTCTTGCTGTGTACATACTTTTTATGTAATAAATAATGTATGTCGTTACAATAAATGTATTCCCATCTTTTTGATCTGTGGATTTTGACACTATTTTACATATGCAAGTTTTAAATTTTTGTAAAGTGTATCCATCTTTTGCTTTTTAATGTCTTCTATTATTAAATAAAAAGGAATCTACCCAAAATGATTTAATTTTTGTTCATTTAGAATACTTTTTTGTTGAAAGATATGACTATAACTTTATTATCATAAATTAATAATTTTCCAAGTATTTAGCCAATTGCCTCAATACTAGTTAATATAAATTCCTTTCCTCCTTGATTTGTGCTTTCTCTTTTATCATGTAATAAACTGATACATAATAGGTCTTATTTCCTAGCTATCAATTCTGTTTTATTGCTCTGTCACTCTAATTTTATATCAGCTTCATATTATTAAAATTAGTTCTGAGATGGCTAATGCCCCCCCTTCCACATTAAAATTCTTTTTGCAAGTCTTATTTGCTTATTGTACCTGATAAGCTTCAGAGTCATTTGGCTGAAGCTCAAAATTAAATTCTATTGAGTTATATAGTAGAATTAAATTAAATCCATTAATGAACAGGAGCTAAAATTTGTCTAAGAGTGGCTTCAATCCAAATTGTGGGAGATAATCTGGATTCATCACATAAGAAGCAGATATTTATAGTCAAAATCACCCTGATCAGTATTTCTTCACCATTGTGCTCCAAGATTTATAAATATTACTGCTTATCCACGTAATTTAGGATTTCATACTTATTAAATGTTGATATTCAGTATCTGAGAATAGCTTGTATGCAGAAATTGTGGAATTTCAGTAGACATTCTATTGGCTAGTGTGGGACATAAGGGGCAATTAGACACCCAGATTAACTAAAGGATAATAAACACTGAAAGCCTTGCAAAAATATTACTGAATGAATTGCAAGGTTCACAGCCCAAGACTTACTCTTCCGGTCACAAGATTTTTTACATGTTTCCCCATAGTATGACAATTATAGGAGATTTAACTGAAAATTTGCAAAGAGAGAAAAGACTGTTCCTTCTTTCTGTATAAATATTGTTAAAAATGTAAATTTCTGAGCTATCTGGAAGTTCCTCTCCTATTTATATTAGTACACTATATTTGAAGACCCTGATCCACAACGTAATATTTGAATTCTATGCCATATTCCAAGTACTTCAAAATTAGACTTGGCACTAGAAACATTATCTTCATAAAATTTATTTGTATTTTTCATGAGAGATTTTATTCATACATTCTTTTTTATGCCTGAAAGAATAAAAGTGGCAGTTGCAATAGTTTTCTGCTTTATTTATATTATTATGATCCACTTGATTTCACATAAGATATGAGAAGTCTTGAATAAATTAAGGCAATTTAAGAGAAAAAAATTGATAAGAAAATTAGAATAAAAAAATACAAAAAGAAGAAACAACTAAACATGAGGAGAAATACATAATTTAGGTATGTTAGCCAATGTTCTACAAAACTAAAGTTGAACTGCAAATCTAGTTTAAACAAAATAGATACATTTTCAGCTATGTGACTCACTTTATCCATCAGGCTCACACTGCACTGATTTCTCAGAAGAAAAAAAATCATTTCCAAGGCCTTTGTTAAGAAGAAATTTTAGACATGGATCTCATAGTGGAGCCAAATTAGTGATGTGAAAAATGTTGCTAGCTACATCTTTTTAATAACAGGTGGTATAGATAGTTGCTTGTTAGATTTGATTTTTGCAACAGTCTTTAATGTCAGTCAATGTGATGGTGCTAAAGTGTAGGTTTATTGTCACAGTTTGAAGTGGGGAGAAAAACAAAGTGGCCAGTGTAGTCAGCCTTTGGTTCATTTGGCCTGCATCAAAGAAACTGAAAGAAAATAAGGAGTAGTCCAATTAAAAACTGCAAGTGTCTTTTAAATATATCAGTTCTTTCAACCTGACCTTTAACAAAAGTTGAACATCAAACCTTTTGATATTACTATGTTCATTCTGGTTTTATGTAGTTAATGAAAGGGAATGCATATATTTCACAAATTATCTGAGTGAATAGTATGGTCTTTGTTCTCTCCGTGAGAGTCAAGGAGCCAATGCCAACTGCTGCTTGTAGGACTAGTTACCCTGCCTCTGAAGAAGCAGGCTGAGGTTTTCAAAAGAGTGAGCTTGTTTCTCTATTACAATTGTAGTTTTTCTCATGTATTGAAACTCTACTTTCACTACATTTTCTGACTTCTTAATTTGTTTCTAATATTGATAACATTTTTGTTTTACATGTTGTTTCACTGGGCAGAGATTTTATCTCAATATTAAAATACAAGTGAGCTTTTTGTTTCTCTTTTATTTCTTTATTATCTGAAAATGTTACCTGAATTGTCCTTGAACTATACTGAAATCTCATCTATAATCATACTTCAGTATCTTCTTGTTATCTAGGTCTTTGCTTAAATATCACTTCCTGAGACAGAGGTTGATGGACACCTTTGTCTAATGTAACTGTTCACTTACTTTCCATCCTACTGCTGGGTTTTATATTCTTCACAGCACTTTAATATTTCTCCCCCAGCTAGAATGTAAATGACATAAAAGCAGGAACTATTAGAACCTAAAACAGATTCTACCACACAGTAGTGTATCAAGGCATATTGGTAATGTCAATGAATTAGACCAAGGTGAATGAATAAATGAAGAAAAATATTAATGTAATTAACCTGTTGACTGCTTAATCATGATATTGAATGGCATGATATTGAATAGCACACTAAAATATTTACCTGTCTTGTCTAATAATTATAAGATATCAGTGCTAGATTTTATTAAAATTTCAAGAATCAGATTAGTGCATTATTTATTTTATCTTATTTCTCAAAGTTATATATTTTACTAATATAACTAGTAAATTATATACTAGTTAGTAATATAACTAGTAAATGCCCTAACATTCCTTGCATATTTGGGATAAACCTTACTTAATTATAAGAGGGTCATCTTTACATATACTCTTCACTTCTATATACTATTAGTTCATCAAGGATTTTCAAACTTATACTTCACAATTTTTAGTTTATATTAAACATATTTATCTTTAATCATATGCCTTACAAAAACATTAAAGTTTTTCTTTGTTGACCACATTTACCTTTTTATCTTTTTTTAAGTCTGAAGTGTAAAATGGTCCATGCAAACAATATGACTCTGATATGCTTAAGCAATCAAAAATGTTATTCCTAATTTCCAGGGTGAGGCAATGAAAAGCCAATCTGTAATTGTCTGCTCTTTCTTACCCTGCTGCTAACTACTGAGGAAACTGCTACAGATGGCAGAGCCTCCATCAAGCCAGGTGGACTGAGTAGCGCAAACTCTCTCTTTACCCGTGTTGGACAGGTAATGTGAGGAAAAGTAAACTACTGTTTTAAGCCACTGAGGTTTGAAGATGGTTTGTTACTGTAGCATATTATAGTCAGACTTGATTAATAGATGAGGCCTCTAGGGAATTTTCTTTGGGATTTTCTTTGGAAAAATCCAAAGAAAATATTTGCCCTTCTAACTCTCTTTTAAAATTAAAATAAATTATGAACCAAAAAAATTATTTCTTATATCTATTTGGCTGACATCACAGCTAATATTAGATGATTTATACATATGGAATATTTTTCTAAAGATGTGTTTTATGTGGATATTTGAATATATAGAAAGCAATTTAAAATCAAATGAAATTATTTCTTAGGCAAAGAAACATGGTATGTATATGTTTGTAGAGATCTATGTATTTCTGTTTGTTTGTTTTTGCATGTGTCTATTATATACCTGCCAATGTGTCTAAGTACAATTTGGATTATCTGTAACTAAAGGTTCTATGGTCTAAATAATTGCATACCCCACCCCAAATTCATGTGTTGATATCTAACTCCAAATCTGATAGTATTAGTAGCTATAGCCTTTGAAAGGTGATTAGATCATGAGGGCAGAATCTCCTGACAGAGATTTGTACCCTTGAAAAGAGAGCTAGCTACTTCTTCCGCTATGTGAGGACACAGTTGGAAGTTGACATGTATGAGGAAAAAAGCTCTCGCCAAACACAGAGAATGCTGACACCTTGATTGTGAACTTCCCAGAATCCCAGAATTTAGCCTCAATAGAATAAATGGAAAATTTAAATAATGGATATTGAGACATAACTAGCACAATTATATAATCCCTAAACTATTATACATAGATCTGTCAACCTTAGATACATTTCTCTTTTTACCAAATCTAATGTTGTTTCTTCATATATTTGTGATAATGCTAAGAGGGCCTTAAGGACAAATGACATTTGAGTTATCAACTGGAACAAATTAGCACTCTGCTTTGGTGTTGGAGGATAAAAGGGCCCTATGACCTTAATGTAAATTATTTATTGGGGCATATTCCGCAGGGTTGTTTTTTTTATCATACACTCTGGTAACACACGTTTGTAGTGTGTTAATGCTAATAAATTGTATCTAATACTATGACAAAATGCCTAGTATACTCAACTGGGGTAATAAAAATCTTGCATTTTCCTGCCTGAAGTAATGCTTGTGAAAAAACAAAAATTCTCACTGTGATTCTATGGAGAATCAGCAATTTCTAAAGCCCTAATAAGTCATAACATTATAATGCATATATGTATATATATATGAATTACATATAAATATTGCATATATATGTGTATATATACATAAATATTTAATGCACATATATATTACATTATGTATATGCAAATATATATACATATATATTTACTTGTTCTTATTGATGGGGTTTACCATAAAACAAAATTAAAATTTTTCTTTGAACACTGCAATTTAGAAATATTTTTTATTGAACATTGACTTTATGTTCAGTGAAAATGTCAACTGAGAAAGTTTAAACAGCAATGATATAGCTTGGCTTTGTGTCCCCACCAAACGCTCATCTCAAATTGTAATCTCCACGTTCTGAGGGAGGGACTTGTAATTCCTACATGTCCAGAAAGGGAAGTGATTCTGAGGGAAGGAAGTGATTGGATTATGGGGGAAGTCTCCCCAACACTGTTCTCATGATAGTGAGTGAATTCTCACGATGTCTGATGCTTTTATAATTGGTAGTTTTTCCTGCACTCACACATGCTCTCTCTCAACTGCCACCAGGTAAGATGTGCCTGCTTCCCCTTCTGCCATGATTGTAAGTTTCCTGAAGCTTCCCCAGACATGTGGAACTGTGAGTCAATTAAGTCTCTTTTCTTTATAAATTTCTCAGTCTCAGATATTTCTTTACAGCAGTGTGAAAACAGGCTAACACAAGCAGTTATTTTGCTACCATCTACTGAATCTTATAACGTATTATATGAAAACACAGGGAATTGAAGTGATGCAGGAAATACTGGAAATCTGCCTGCCTGCTGCTACTTCTCTCTGTAGCATTGGAAAAACAAGTTAACTTCTTTGCTTCCATTTCATCCTCCACTTACGTGACAGGAAGAAGATTACCTGCTATTTCTAAAGAACTTTGAAGCTAAAAGCTAGTGTGTAACCAGAAAAAGTGCTTTAATTAGATTTCAAATGATTCAAGCATAGTCCAGTGTAAAACAACTCCCAAACACCTGGTCTCCTCAAATGAATGTTTTTCTACAGGACATAAGTGTATTTGAATTCCTTTGGGAAGTATATGCTTCATGAACCTATTTTAAGAGTTTTACTCTATTAAATACATTCATTCAAATCTTATACATCTATGTTTTAAGCTGATTGGACTTCCCTTTCTTTCATTGTCTCACCACGGAAAAAATAAATTCATAAAAGCATAGACTAAGTAAAATAGCTGACAAAACTGGGAAAGAGCTGAACAATTAAAATGCATATTTCAGTTAGCCCTAAGTTGCTTCCTACCTGTGAGGAGAACTATAAGTAAAAATAACTTACACAGTAAAATCTTTGAACTGTGAAATGGCTTACTAAATGTGAACGGAGACACACTGTAACATTTACAGATTAAATTTCTCAAAAATCATTATTTCACGTTCTTCTGTATGCAGCACATTAGCTCCTCAAAGTTTTCAAGTTTCCAGTTTTAAAAGTTCAAAAGTAAATTAAAGTTTGTGGGATGTTTGTGTTATTCTAAGGCAATTTTATCTTGGCTATTGTAAGACTGGTGAGCAATTGGGAAATGGTTTCTTCCGAATGTTGGAAAATAATATATATTTATGATTGTCTTACAGGATCCATAATAACTTTTCTTTTTAATGGAAAAATTAGTTCAGTTCAGATTTATTTATGTACTAAAATGTATGTCAATACTTCTAACCATTATACTAGAAAAACAGAGTTTTTTTCTGTAAAAATATAGCTTCGTCCTTTTGTTTAATACCTGAACCAGGGCTGGCCACAGTGGCTCATGCCTGTAATCCTAGCGCTTTGGGAGGTTGAGGTGGGAGGACTGCTTGAGCTGAGGAGTTTGAGACCAGGTCTGGACAACATAGTAAGATCCAGTCTCTATAAAAATGTTTTAAAAAAATTACCTGAAATATGATATCACAATTGTCCATCAGCAAAATTGCTAGGATTTAACCTAACAATTTTGGGGTTTTTTAGCTATATCTGAGTTTTTTAGAAGAAAGTCTTCTGATTCTAGCCTTCTTGCCTTTACAACATTACAACACAAGATCCCTGAGGCATTGCCACCTTGCTGCTCAAAGCTGCCTTTCATTAATGATTGCTGCTATCCCTCACACTGTTTTTGATTGTCTCCAGGAGTATCCATGGTATGTTTCTGTGGTGGGATGATGCAATGCTCTCCTAGGCAGTTAGAAAGTTGTTTTTGACCATCTCACATCCCATAAAACAACTTAGAGTGGGAGGTACAACTAACAAGAACTTACTGAGCATTTAAGATAACAGAAACACACAGGCACATCCAATAAAGTAAAGCTACTGCATAACCCCACAACACCTTAGGGCGTCATAATCTTATTTTCCACATGGATCCCACATCCTAGACCAGGAAAACTACTCCAGGCCTTCAAAACCCAAATAAACTGACCTCAGGTCCCAGGTAAAGGAAAGATTTTTATTTCAAACACAATTTTAAGGCCTACTTTCAGAAGTTTTATTCCCTGTCCTAAATGCTTTTTCCCAAAATATTTGACACTAGGGACAACGATTCCGTTAAGGCAAATGTCCACGCTCATTTTGTATGTGCTTGCTTTATGGACCTAAAAAATCAAAATCAATCCTAACATAGTCTAAAGTTGATTCATCTCCTAAAGTCTGGATTATTTTCTAGTTTATAGCTACCATTGTGTAGCAGTCTGAAGATTTAGATATGCTGTATTATGCTTGAAAAATTAAAATTACAATTTATGGCTGGGCACGGTGGCTCATGCCTGTAGTCCCAGCACTCTGGGAGGCCAAGGCGGGTGGATTGATTGAGGTCAAGAGTTCAAGAGCAGCCTGACCAACATGGTGAAACCCCATCTCTACTGAAAATACAAAAATTAGCTGAGTGTGGTGGCGGGCACCTATAATCCCAGTTACTCAGGAGGCTGAGGCAGAAGAATCGCTTGAAGCCGGGAGGTAGAGGTTGTAGTGAGCCAAGATCATGCCACTGTACTCCAGCCTGGGCGACAGAACGAGACTCTGTCTCAAAAAAAAAATACAATTTATAACATTTTATCAAGTAAATAGCACAAAATTATAAAATTATATAATTTTATATAATGTATAAAATATATATTTAACATTTTATTATATAAAATTATATAATTTCATCAAATTTTATATAATTTGTATATAAATTATATAAAATTAGCCAATGTATTCTCAATCAAGTAATTGCTTCTATTTTTCTTTTTGGAAAAATAACTATTTTCACTATCCACAAACATCAGATAATAGACAACTTGCTAATTTGAGGAGTTTTCAAAAACTTCGTAGAAAATCCATACTATGAAAAAGCTATGCATGGATTTCAATTATTTTTTGCACTAAACAGAACTGGTACTAACATGTTCTAAGATGTCTAAACAAGATCTAGTTTGAGGCACTAACAAGGTATCATTTGGAAAACCCTCTATCAGAGCAACATGAATTCTGCTAAAATTGAAGTAAGAACAAACATAAAATTTATAGTGAAGCTTGGATAGAAGAATGGTGAAATCACTGATGTTTTACTAAAAGTTTATGAGGACAATGTCCCAAAGAAATCAGCGGTTTACAAATGGATAGCTTGCTTTAAGAAAGGACAAGATGATGTTGAGGATGAAGCCTGCAGAGGCAGACCATCCAATTCAATTTGTGAGGAAAATAATTAATCTTGTTTATGCCCTAATTGAAGAGATACAATAACCAACACCATAGACATCTTGTACTCAAACACAGGTTTGGCTGCTTGCCACTCGAAGCCCAAACCTGAGAGAGATCAGAGTTGGTGGCAGGAAGAGCAGGTTTACTCAGAGAGCCAGCAAACCAAGAAGATGGTGGACTATCGTCCTAAAAACCATCTTCAGTCACTACAAATTTCAGGCTCTTTTTATGTTTAGAGAAGGGGGAAAAAGAGGTAATTTGGATCAAGTGGTGATCAACAATCACAGACATATAGGCACCAGTAAGGTTCCAAGGAGATTGAGAATTTCTTCATCCTTAGTCAGGTAACAATGTTCCTATAAATGTTTAACAAAACATTGTTAAAGGTTTACATACTTCTCCTTTCCAGAGTTAGTTTTAAAACTACATGATTGTTGTTTTTGCATGTTATCTTAGTGCTCCTAAATTATCCTTGCCTATGTACAGAAATGGTTAAAAGCCCTTTAAACAAAAATGGAGTTAGTTGTGTTAGTTCTTTTGCTGTTTCACTGTTATTATCTCAACTGATTCAGCTTAACCAATTCTGAATGAAAAATTAAAGTTGAACAAACTTTTCACTCAACGTGTGCCAAAGCTTTGTACCCAAATCAACTGTAGACAAGAGCACAGCTTTCAATAAAAATCTTAAATAAGTGAGATCACAATCCTGAACGATTTATTCAAAGCATTATAACAGGTGATGAAACATGGCTTTACCAGTACCATCTTGAAGACAAAGCACAATCAAAGTAATGGCCACTGAGAGGTGGAAGTGGCCCAGTCAAAGCAGGAGTGCACAAGTCAATAGTGCACAGCAAAAGTTTTTTCACATGATCAAGACATTTGGTTTATTGACTTTCTGGAAGGCCAAAGAATAACATCTGCTTATTATGAGGGTGTCTTGGGAAAATTAGCCAAAGCTTTAGCAGAAAAAAACACATGGAAAAGCTTCGACAGAGAGTTTTTCTCCACCACAACAATGCTCCTACTCATTCCTCTCATAAAACAAAGGCAATTTTCAAGAGGTTCAATGGGAAATCATTAGGCAGCCACCTTGTAGTCCTGATTTGGTTCCTTCTGACTTCTTCTTGTTTCCTAATCTTAAAAAAATCTGTAAAGGTCACCAATGTTTTTTCAGTTAATAATACAAAAAAAAAAAAAAACTGTGCTCATACAATTAAATTCCCAGGACCCTGGATTCTTTAGGGATGAACTAAATGGCTGGTATCATTGTGTATTAGTCCATTCTCATGCTGCTATAAGGACACACCTGAGACTCAGTAATTTATAAAGGAAAGAAGTTTAATTGACACACAGTTCTGCAGGGCTAGGGAGGCCTCAGGAAACTCACCATCATGACAAAAAGGGAAGCAAACATGTCCTTCTTCACATGGTGACAGTAAGGAGAAGTGCCAATCAAAAGGGGGAAACTCCCTTATAAAACCATCAGATCTCATGAGAACTCACTCACCATCACAAGAACAGCAGCATGGGGTAACCACCCCCATGATTCAGTTACCTCACACCAGGTCCCTCACACCATACACGGGAATTATGGGAACTACAATTCAAGATGAAATTTGGATGAGAACACAGCCAAACCACATCACATTGCTTATAAAAATATCCTGAACTTGATAGTGTTTATGTTGAGAAACAAAGTTTATATTTTTATTTTTAACTTTTTTTTTTTTTTTTTTTGAGATGGACTCCCAATCTGTCACCAGGCTGGAGTGCAGTGGTACAATCTTGGCTCACTGCAACCTCCACCTCCCGGGTTCAAATGATTCTCCTGCCTCAGCCTCCCGAGTAGCTGGGATTACAGGCGTGCACCACCATGCCCAGCTAATTTTCATATTTTTAGTAGAGACAGGGTTTCACCATGTTGGCCAGGATGGTCTTGATCTCTTGACCTCCCGCCCGCCTTGGCCTCCCAAAGTGCTGGGATTACAGGCATGAGCCACTACACCCAGACTATTTTTAACTTTTAATTCCATTTTTCCATGAACTTTTTGGAGTCCCCTCTTATTTACTAGAAAGATACAATGCTGTTTTAACACATTTAGGAGTCTCAGTAACATAACCTACAAGGATAGTTTACATAAATAAAACAGTATGGGTATTTTTCCAGAATCTAATAGAATTTTCAAGGTATTAATGAGTTCAAGAAGCTTAGAAGGTTATGTGTACATCTGTGGGGGGCATCTGGAATCATGCATATGTGCGATTTGGAAAGTTGAGTAATATACCAGAACGAGAAGACTTTATACACTGCAACTTTTTAAAAAATATTTTTATTGTATATATTTAAGATGCACAATATGATGTATGTGTGTGTGTGTGTGTGTGTTGTGTGCATGATTACTACAGTCAAGCAAATTAACATACCTATTATCTTACCTAGTTACTTTTTCTGTCTTTTCTTTTCCTGTGGTAAGAACACCTAAAATCTATTCTCTTAGCAAATTTCCATGATACAATAAATGTTATTTACTATCATCCTCATGCTGTATATTAGGTCTCTAGACTTTTTCATTCTGCATAATTGCAACTTTGTACCCTTTGACCTACATCTTTTCATCCCACCCTGGTAACCACTACCTTACACTGATTCTATGTATTCAACTTTATTTAGATTCCAGGTACAAGTGAGATAATGCAGTATTTTTCTTTCTATATCTGAATAATTTCACTTAGCTTAATCTCCTCTAGGTTCATCTATATTGTCCAATGTCTGAATATTCTTTTATTTTAAAGGCAAAATAGTATTATATTGTGATTGTGTCCACACACACACACACACACACACACAATTTCTTTATTGACTCATCTGTCAACTGACACGTTGTTTCTGCATCTTGACTATTGTGGGTAACACTGCAATGAACATGGGAGTGCAGATATCTCTACAAGGTGCTGACTTCGTTTCCTTTGTGTCTAAACCCAAAAGAGGGATATGATAGTTTTATTTTCAGTTTTTTCAGGAAACTCCATACCGTCTTCTGTAATGGCTCCACCGTATACTTTCTCACCAACTGTGCACAAGTCCCCCTTTCTCCACACCTTCACTAACACTTGTTATTGCTTGTCTCTTTGATAATAGCTATTCTAATAGGTGTGAGGTGATATCTCATTGTATAAAAAAAGCTGCTAATTGAAAATCACTTTTTTCTCTTAATTCTTAAGGTGCTTTTGCCAAAGTGTTGTGCAAGACATTAACTCAATTTTAAATAGACTCTTAAAAGTTCCATAACTTAAGCCTCTTCTTTGAAAGGAATTTCAGTACAGTAAAAAGTTCGGTGGAGTAGTGAGAACTCTAAATTGCTTTATCAACAGATGTAATATGATCAGAATAATTTGGAGATCACTGGTGAAGAAAGCTAACATTACACAGGCTGACATCTAAAAAGTGAAATAAAAATATGACCACAATAATTTATGTTTAAAACTTCCACCCCCTTTCTGCAGTTATATTTTAATATTTGGTTTTATTTCTATCCCTATGAGCAGATTCATGTTTAGATAGACTACATGATATTTTTTTTCTAAAAATCACCCATATCAGTATTTTGCAGTGGCCTATTATGAGAATTACTTCTTAAATATAGATTTTCAGTAATTTAACTTTCTTCCCAAAGAAAGATTAAAGACAGATACATTTCTATCAACTCAAGTAAGACCTTTCTGCTCTCATCATTTACATTTTCCCCCTTATCCTTCACACTGATTCTTAAGTTCCAACTATGTAGACCATAGTATTATTTCAAATGTTGATTTTTAAATGTGACACAAAATAAATGTTCAAAATGATACACAATTAAAATTAATGTAAATTCACATCACTGTCAGCGGATTATAGAAACAGAAATGGTGCATGTCATGTGCTTAAAACATAAGGAATAATGTTATTAACTAAGAGAAAACAAAATTTATAGCTTACAAGTCATTTTAAGTATAGATTTGTTTTGTAAACACTGAAAAAGCTAAGCTGTACTAATTTTCTAGGTCTGAAATGCCCTTATTTACTTATTTAGACTTCAAAACATAAAAATAAGTGCCTCCAAAGAAACGATAAAATTATACTGCCTTTAAATTCCAAAATACACCTTATTGAATTTAAAATATATTACATACAACTAGATCTGGAGGTAAAAGACAGTCTAAATTACAACTTAAAGCTATGTTCATTTCATGATATTTTTAATAGCATGATAAAAGTTAGATCATCTAATTATTTTTCATTAAATCCATACCCATTAATAATGTATGCTTATTAATATCAGAATAATAAAATAAAGAAAGGAAAATAAGAAGAGATTTTTGTTTTACAAATGTATTTCACTTTATTTACTTTTTATTTATTTATTTGAGATAGGGTCTTATTCTGTCATCTTGGCTGGAGTTCAGTGGTGTGATCATGGCTCACTGCAGCCTCCATCTCCTGGGCCCAAGCTATCCTCCCACCTCTGCCTCTCGAGTAGCTGGCACTACAGGCATGCACCACTGTGTGGGGCTAATTTTTTAAATTTTTTATAGAGATAAGGTCTCTATGTCTATGTTGCCTAGGATGGTCTCGAACTCCTGGCTTCTAGCGATGCTCCCACCTCGGCCTCCTAAACTCCTGGGATTCAAGGCGTGAGCCACCATGCTCAGTCAATTTTCTTTTATTTTTAGCAGCTTTATTGAGATATAATTCATATCCCATACCATTCACTTATTCAAAATTTGTAAGCCAATGGTTTTCATTATATTCATAGATTTGTGCAATAATTACCATGATCAATTTTAGAATGTTCTTATTACTCCCCAGGGAAAAAAAAATTTCACCCAACCCTGTCTCCCCAGCCCTAAACACACATTAATCTACTTCCTGTCTTTACAGATTTGCCTACTCTGAAAATTTAGTATAAATGAAATCAAAATAGGCAGTCTTCTGTGACTGAGTCTTTTCACTTACAATGTTTAAAAGGTTCTTTGATGTTTTTGCCTATAGCAATACTTCATTCCATTTTATGGTTGTATAATATTCTATTTTACAGTACAAAATTATATATGCATATATAATTTAAAAAAATTTATTCATCAGTTAATAGGCATTTGGTTATTTCCACTTTGATTATTTTGAACAATGCTGCAATGAGTATTTTTGTACAAATTAATGTGTGGACATACATTTTTATTCCTATTAGGTAAATGTTTAGGAACGGATACTGGCTGAGTCACATGGTAACTTCATGCTGAACATTTTGGAAAATTGCCAAACTGTTTCCCAAAGTGGCTGAACAATCTTGCATTCCCACCAACAGTGTATGAGATTTCAAATTTCTCCACATTCTCTTCACCACTTGTTAGTTCCTGTCTTTTTGGTTATAACCATCTTAGTAGGTGTGAAGTGGTATTGCATTGTGACTTTGATTTACATTTCCCTAATGACTAAGGATATCAAGCATCTTTGAATGTGCTGTTCACCATTTGTAAATTTTCTTTGAGAAAAAGTCTATTCATTTACTTTGCCAATTTTCTGATTGAGTTCTTGTCTTAATTATTGAGTTTTAAGATTTCTTTATGGCTTCTACTTACGAGTTCTTTATCAGGTATATAATTTGCAGATGTTTTCTTTATTTTATAAATTGTTTTTTAAATTAATGTTCTTCAAAGCAAATGTTTTTAGTTTTGATGAAGTTCAATTTGTTTTTGTCTTTTGTTTGTTCCATGTGCTTTTATGTCATATCTAAGAATTCATTTCCTTACCCATGGTCATGAAGGTGTAATCCCATATGTTCCTTTAATAATTTTATAGTTTTACAACTTATTTTATGTATTTGACCAATTTTAAATTGACTTTTGTTTATGATGAGAGAGAGACATTCATATTTATTCTTTTGCATTTGGACATCCCATTGCACAAGTATTATTTGTTGAAAAGATTATTTTTCTACCATTGGATGGTCTTGACATTCTTGTTAAAAATCGAATAATTGGCTTGTAAAAACTATACATTATTTAATGTATACAACTTGTTGAGTTTGGGGATAAGTATACACTACAAAACCATCACCATTACGACCATGAACATGTCCATCTTCTTTCTAACTTTTCTTCTACCTCTGTGTGTGGTAAGAAAACTTAACATGAGATCTACTTTTCTCTTCTACTTTTCTTCTTTTCTGTTTATGCCCTAAAGTTTACTGTCTTAGTGATAGCAGCTTAAAATAAGTAAATATTTGGTAGGATGAGTTCCCTACCTTGACAATATTGTCTTATTGCCTTAGACATTTTTGCCTTTTCTATTTCTTATTAATTCTTATACTCACCTTTAACTTTTGAAGTCTCATTTTCTCTCTCTCTTTTCTCTCCCTCTTCCCCCACACCATCTTCCTCTCTCTTTCTCTCAAACACACACACACACACACACACACACACACACACAACACAAGCACACAGTCACAAAGTTTCTGATAGCTTTTATAATAAAGATGCATAATAATCTGGATGAAATGTTCACTTCGCAAAATAGAAATAATCCATTCATAAACATTGTATACACCACCAATTATTTAGGTCTTATTTTATGGTTCTCAATGATTTTTCTATATCAAGAGGTTTTTTTTCCTTTTTTTATTTTTAATAGAGACAGGGTCTTACTATATTGCCTAGGCTGGCCTTGGTCTTGTGGCCTCAATTGGCCCTCCCACCTCAGTCTCCCAAGTAGCTGTAATCACAAGTGTGAGCCACTGCATCTGCCTATACCCAATTTTTGCATATGTTTTATTAGAACCATTCTCAGGTACCTTTAGTTATTATTATTATTACAAACAGTGACTTTTCTATAATTACATTTTTAGCAATTCACTGAAATTTTATTCCATTTCTCTGTTCTACCACCCTGAGAAATAATTAGCCTTCCCTTAGGATATCAAGACTTCTAGAATTCCAGATATTATAGCCAGGTATGTCAACATCTGGTTGATAAGGAGGGCCTTTTCTCCTAGCAGTCACTTTTAATTACGGATGGTACCCTTTTCTAGAGTATCACAACTGGTTTGCTGTTGGGTTTCTTGACTAAGATCAGGTCACATGCTAATCATGTCCAGCCATAAAGGAGAATGAAAATGTAAATATCTGAGTTTTCAGATGCTACACTAGAAAGTGGTTCCTTTCAATTGAGATGGGGTGGTGGTTATAAATGTTGGAAAACAGTAAACAAATATGAGTGAATGTTACAGCTTTCTATTTGAGAAAGCTCATTGCGATAGATGTTGATGGTGGCACCAGCCTGTCTAGAACAGCCATTGTGGGGATGCCAGCTGCTGTGCAGGAGGCACTGCTGAGGCTGCGTGCTTTGTGGAGCCAATGGGGTCTGGGAACAGGCGGGAGCTCCACCCCCTACTGAGTTGGTGAGGCGAGAGCCCCACACTCCTGGACACAGCTGCAGCCGCCCAGCTGCAGCTCTGGACCAGGGCATTCTTGCACTCTTGGGGGTCCGGGAAGCTCCCTGCCCCCACAGGCTCAGAAGTGCCTTTTCCTGCTCCCTGGCCTCTCCCCACTCTTGGTGCCCACTTCAATTTTGAAGCAAAGTTGAAGCTGAGCCCATGCACTATCATGACCTGGCAGGTGTGCGTGCCCTCGGGGAGGCGCTGACACTCCAGGTCTCCTGCTGCCTCAGCCTCCTCTGAAGCTTTGGACAATGAAGAGCTCAGGGAGGGAGGCTGGAGGTGGGATGGAGGGGCTGAGGGACGCTCAGCACAGGCCTTATAGGTGCCCTTTGGGGTGAAGAGCCTGGGCTCCAGTAACAGCATGTTGATGGCAGCAGGAGGCAGACAGGTTCCTAAGTGGAAAGGGGTGGGTCCCTGGTGAAGCCCCAGCTTCAAGCCAGGGGTGGCCTGAAGCCTGGGAGCCGGGCTGCCAGTTCTAGGTAGAGTCCGTCATGGAGAGTGAGAACTTATGGTGCTTTTTCCAGGCCCATCCGTGGCTGCCCATGGACCAATCAGCATGCGCTTCCTCTCTTCTGAGCTCATGAAAACCCTGGACTCAGCCAGACTTGCACACTCGTCAGGACAACATCCCTGCAGAAAGGAGCTACTTGCCATGTTTCTCCTCTCCTCTGTGAGCTGGAACCCCATCAGGACAACTTGCCTATGGAAAGGAGCTACCCACTTTGGGTCTCCTGAAAGCTGTTTTGTCACTCAGTGAAGCTCCTCTGCCTTCCTCACCCTCAAATTGTCCATGTATCTCGTTCTTCCTAGATGCAGGAAAAGAACTGGGACCTGCTGAATGGTGAGAATGAAAGAGCTGTAACACAAACAGGGCTGAAATATGCCCCCTGCTCACCACATTGTGAGTGATGAGGAGAAAAGAGCTGCAGCCCTTCTGGGAATGCAGACATCAGGTCTCCCTGAACTAGGGCTGTGGCACTCTCTTTGGGGCTCTGCTTTTGGGCACCATCGCATTCCCCTTGTCTAGATGCTGGTGCCCACAGCCAAAGCTGCTTTTAATATGCCTGGTCTAGCTTCAGTCTTCCATGGAGCTGGTGCCTGTGCCAGTGCCTGGAACCGCCCACCCCTCTGCCACAGCTGGAGCACCTGGCTGTGTGCAGTGGCTGGACCCTGCACTCACTTGCTCACACATCCCTCACTGCTCCATGCCTGGCTTGCCCATGGCAGTTAGGGGATGCGGCTGGTAGCACAAGCCGAGCAGGGGCTGCTGGGCTGAGTGGGTGGAATGAGCCCAGCGAGCACAAGCAAAACCTAAGCAGAGGCACCACCAGCCACAGAGGTTTCTGGCTGGCAAATTGACACCCTAGGAATCCCATGACAGCCTGGGCTCCCTGGTTGCCCACTGCATTCTGGGAGAGCTTAAGGATCCACTGTCTTTAACATCAAGTTTTCTAACCTATATCTGTTGAGACTTTTTAAGTTACATCATTTCAGAAACATTAACCATTTTTCCGTCAGAATCAAAGCCTGAATTCCAAATCTTTTGGTACCAGTAGCATATTTTTACAGTAATTTTCATTTTTCAACCCTGGCCGTTCTGATTTTGTAGTGTACCAGCCCCTACTCTGGCATGAGATGGAAAGGCTAGGGAAACTAGGGGTTCAAACATTGCATTTTCAGCTGTTTGAGATAATATAAGCTTTGTGTTATGATTCTGCAGGAAAATAAATAAGTAGATAAATAAATAGCACCAAAAAATAACCATTAAATGTCTCTGAGGGGCAGACTAATGATAAGCCATAAATTAGGGCATAAATACATTGATCAGCTGGCTACTAGCAAACCACCAGAACTCTGCCGCTATCTGGAATGATAACCTGTGGGATACAGTCAACTTTCTGCCAGAGCTCCATTTGAGCTTGAGCCTGTCATACTCAGCTGATGCCCAAGTGACCCCTTCTCTCATCTTTCATTCATTTTTCATGCTTACATTTTCATACTACCCTGCTTTGTTCCCTTGCCACCTCTTACTTCCCTCCAGAGGTTTACAGCCATAAGTCAATGGCAAAAAAAAAAAAAAAAAAAAAAAAAAATGCCTTACAATACAGTGCCTCAGTGTAAGATTTAGAAAAAGCTAGAAAGATGACAAGTTGAAAAGATGTTCTCACCCTTGTAATGGGCTGACTCCTGAATCTGTGTTACCTTCTTGTACAATTCACTGACCTATTTTTCATTTGTTTCTTAACTTGGTTTTAACTTTGGCCTATTATTCTAAAGTTGGCTTCCAGAATCCAATCTCTATTCTAGTTATTCATTCTTTACTCAAATATAGTTTTAAGGCCCAGTCTTTGCCTAGCACACAATTGAAATGTTGACCATAATACCCCCTTGATATCTTTCTCATGCTTTATTCTCTGTGAAGAATAGCAGCGTGCACCTTTGTTTATTCCTCATGAATAAAAATATCAATAAGAATATATGAGTGAGAGCATAGTATGTATTTTATAACACATTGATTTGTCCTGTGACCCTAGGCAATATATATTTTATTAAAATTATACAACAATGAATTCATCCTGTTCTTCAATAATTTATCTGAGTAAATTCTTTACAATGGGATTTTTTAACACGGAATGTCACAGATAAAGCCTGGATCGTCTCATCAGAAATTTTTTACAAATTATTAAATGAACTGGCTATTACTTGGACTCACGGTTTCTAACCTTCAGTCTCACTTGGACTTCTAAGGATGCAACTAACTCCTTCAAACTAGTGAGATACAGAAAATGTAGCTGCAATACTATAGTACAACATTAACACTCCCATGCACAAAACTGAAAGGGATCATATAATACTGGTGTGTCTACGCTGAGATGACATATTGCACGCTAACAAACATTGCAAAATCCAGCACATCAAGAAAATGAAAAATTGTTGAATAGCAGGTGATTGGAATGTTAGATGCCAATGAGATCCAGGTATTTTGCTAACTGTTCTAAACACATTTCTTCTGTGAAGAGGAAGCAATACAATGGTGATTGCTTCTCTTCTGTGCCTGCCTTGTATCACACTTTCAAAAGAAAACAGTCTTTTTAACCATAATTTACAATGCATTATGTAATTGGCTGCTGCAGTGAATATGCAGAAAGTATTTGTTTAATTTAGAATTTAAGAACTGCTGAGCTTGGTCCAATAAGTGTGGCAAGACAGAACTTCTATACTTTTGTTGAAAGTCAACATTCCACACTCAATACTTAAGCAAGTCCCTTCAATATGTCAGTTTCACCATACATCACTTTCTTTATAAGTTGAGTTCTATTAATGACAGTTTTGATGGCCATTTATGAAGATGAGCTCTTCATAATGCCTTATATATATCTCAACTTGTGCTGTGGATATGCCATTATGTAAGTCATTTCCTTGTATTTTTAACAGAAGATGAGCAGTTCAATGATACTGATCGATGTTGGTGGCTTTTTATATTCTTCTCTAATGAATAATGTGAGGTGCTAGTGGTGCTATGTGTTTGTGTAAGCATATTCATATATATATATATATATATATATATATATATATATATATATATATATGAATACAGAGGTGGTTAAAATATTAAGCCAAGTATTCCCATATGCATGTATGAAATTTGTTTTAATATTTTCATACAATTTTGGAGTCATTATTAGTGCTATTTAAAGATGACTTACCCTTTAAGATATTTGGCCAAATACCTAAAAATTTTCTTACATCTTATCTTAATCACTTCCATCAGATTAACTTGTAAGTCACAGAATTTATGTTATCAGTAATCAGAAAAGATTAAAAAATATAATTTGGGCACCCACTAATAACTCAACTAGGCATCAATACTTAGCCAAGCAGTACTACAAACCTCAAGATCCCAAATCATTAGCAGCAAATCAAGATTGAGAATAAGGACCATCTCCTAGTCATTCCTCAGGAAAGGTTGGGGCTCCTGCATAAATTTCCAGGGGTCTTTTAATATCCAATATTATGGAGACCTATTCACATTATAATTTCTGAACATCAACCACTCTCAGTTTAACTTCATTTATGACTCTTTGCCCTTAAGAGAGCCAGTGACCAACTTCAGGCAGGGGTAATTCCATTTCTCTGAGGAAATCTGTTGTACATCCCATAGACATATTCAGTCTTCTCCCACTTTTCTGCTTCCATCTCCTCATCTGATGTTTTCCCTCTTTACTTCCATATTCCCTATTTGCCAATCATCAGATACCCCACCTGAGTTAGGGTATCATTTCATTGTATTTTATTACCATCAGGTAACTGGCAGGAATATCATGAATTTTTTTATCCTTTAAGAAAAGGATCCCTTATTTCTTCAGAATTCTCTTATCTTTTTTCACCTATGTTTTAAGTATTTTCCTTTGAGATATTTAGCTAATTTGACATTGGTTCCAATTCCCACCTGGTTAGTGGAGATAAGTCTCTCTCATTCCTGGTATATTTTACACTTTTTAAACCAATGTTATTTGCTTTGCTCTCTGTTCTCTGAATCATTTTTCAGTTTTTACACAAGATAGAGCAAAACACAGAGGTACGTAATTTAAATAAACCTGCAACAACCCTAGGGAGAGATATTGTTATACAAATTTTATAAACATAAAAACCAAGTTTAATAACCCACCCAAAGTCAGGCAATTAATAGATAAATGGTACAATTTTGTATCGATTTTATCTCATTTTAGTATCTAAACCTTTCCTATCAGTAAACAGTTTCTCAGGATTTGAATTAATATCCTTAACTGTTCCTTTTCTATCTTCCCCACTAGTACACTTTGACCTTGCTTGGCAAATTTGCATAATAATATCTGGATGTAGCATCTTTTTCTCTGAGGGATATATATTTGCTTATCATTTGTCTTCTGCATTTTCTATAAATACCAGAATTTTTTTGCTAAGAGAACTGGATAATAAACACTATGGAATCAGAAACATCTAAAAATTTTTTTAAAAATTAATAAAATTTAGTACAGTGAGCACAAAATAAAAGTAATTCTGTGACAGCGACTTTAGCAGGAGACATGAGTCCAGTAAGCAAATCTGACTGATTTGTTGAAGCATTCTGCCTGCAGGTCAGTGTTGCCTTGCTTGTTGAAAAGCCCACTTTAACCCCCAACTCACTGAAGGGTACGTTACAGCCTGCTTCATGAAATGTAAAGTTTTCAGGTATGGATGTTTGGCATTTTCACAAATGAGAAATTTGAAATGTTTACAAATAAAATATGCTCCAAATGACAAATTCACTTACAGGAGGGTTAGAAAGCATCCTATTTTGACAGCTAATTTTACTCTGCTTACTATAAGGAAATTTTCCTGGAAAATCAGAATCTTTGGAGCAATATCTAAGTTCAAATCTTATATACTGTGTCCATTATCAATATAAGCTTGGAAAATTAAACACCTCTGAATCAAGTTTCCTCATTTGTAAACTAAAGACTGTTTACTTAGTTATGATAAGTGAAAGACATCAAATACCTCAGTGCTCAGTTAGTAATAAATTACTTTCTCACATTCCTTTCAATGGGGACAGGATATTATTCCATGGGCCTTATGGGTAAACAATTATCTTACATATGTAACCAGCTCTTAGTATAATGGAGCCAGGAGAGAATCCTCCTAATATATGTACTTCACAATTTTTTCCTCTGGCTACTTGTTTTAAATGAGAATAAAATTAAGTAAAATAGCCTAACAATTCAAAACTAGACCAGCAATAATGTATTTTTAAACCCTGGAAAATTTACTTATTCATCTTGAACTCCAAATTTCTCACTGAGATAATATGTTGTTTAAACAAAAATGTCTGTAAGAGTCCATAAAGTGACAGAATGAGTGAATGTGCAAAGAAACTATTCCAAGAACCAGGAAAATACAAGAAGAGTTAATAATAACCCAAGCAATTAAAATGATGCATATCAGGTACTGGGGATGCTTTAGTGTGCTTGGGCTGCCATAACAAAGTACCACTGATTGGGTGGCTTAAACAACCAACTTATTTTTCACGATTCTGGAGGCTTGAATTTCAAGAGCAAGATACTAGCAAATTTGGTTTCTGGTGAAGACTCTCTTCCTAGCTTGCAAATCACCCACCTTCTTGCTGTGTCCTCACATGGCCTTTTCCTCTGTGCTTACAGCGAGAGAGAGAGAGAGAGAGATCTGGTGTCACTCTACTTATAAAGATACAACTTCTATTTCATAAGGGTCCCACCCTTATTACTGCCTTTAACCTTACTTAGTTCCTTAAAGGTTCTCTAAGATGGTGGGGTGGGGTGGCATTCAGTTCAGAACAGGAGATATGGCTAAAGTACTGGAAAGAAAAATGTACAGCCTAAAAGAGGTACCTGCCCATCCATTCATCTACTCCTCCCTCCAACCACTCCTCCCACTATCCATTCAGTATACATACATTAAGACAAAATTTTAAAACTCAAAAAGATATATAGAAAGACTTAATACAAGTAAAAGAAGTTAATAAAATAAAATATTTTGAAATGGAGACATCTCAAGTAACTCCAAATTTCATTTCTTGTAACTAAAATTTGATCAAGAAAATAAAAAGTAACACACACACAAAACATAACAGAATCAGAGAAAATAAACATACTGCAGGTATGATTGAGAATCAGTGAAAATATCCCACATGGTATACCAAAAATTTAAATATCTTTGTGAAATAAATTAATTTTTGGGAAAATAAAAATTACTCTTATTGACACAAAAATATAGAAAAAAGCATTAAGCTAATTGGAAAGTCAATTAATGATCTATTTGTATTATTTGGGGAACATGTAGTTAATATATTCCCTAATCTGTTCCACAGTACAGAAAAAAATTGGAAAACTTCAGATTCATTTTACCTTGCTATATTATGTTATTCACAAATTAATACTAGTGATTGTTAGCCTCCAAAAGAAAAGTTTATGCCAATTTCACTTATTAAATTGAATTTTTTAAAATCATAAATAATTAATAACAAATAATATTCACCAGTTATTTAATTAATACCTTATCCTATTCTAGGAAGCATAATCATCCCCCACCAAAAGGCAACTATGGTACAAATTATGAAGTATTATTATAATAAACCACATTGTCAAATGCAGTTATTCAGTTAGGGACCATAGCAAAGTCTGAGAGTAGTGAGTTGTAACAGGTATTCATGAATAACACCAAATGTCCCAGATCTTAGCAAGAAATGTTTGTCAAGGCCATTTTACCAACAAATGCCTTGTGGATAGGGGTAGATTTTACCCTTGTTGCAGTCATCTATCACCACATAAGAAAATTCTACAAAATGTATTATTTCTATGATTCTGCTCTCTGTGTTTGGCTCAGCTGGGCACTTTGTCTGCTCTAGCTGGTGTCTATTAGGCTGAAACTTCTGAGGTGGCAGTATTAGACTGCTAGGACAGACTGTGTGGCTGAAACAATAGAAATGTATTTTCTCACAGTTCTAGGGGCTAGAAGTCTAAGATGAAGTTGCTGGCAGGTGTGGTTTCTTCTGAGGCCTCTCTTCTTGGCTTGCGGACAGCTGCCTTCTCACTGCGTTCTTGTGTAAATTTTTCTTGTGCTTCTGTGTTCCTAGTGTCTTGTCCTCTTCTTATAAGGGCACAATTTTCTTGAATTATGGCTCCTCTCTTATAACCTTATTCACCCTTATTTACATATCTAAAGGCCGTATCTCCAAATACAGTTACATTGAGGGATTAGGGTTTCAACATATGAATTTGGGAAGAGACATAACTCACTTCATAGCAGTGGCTTTATCACTCACCTGTTTGATACCTCTGTTGGAAAGGCTGGAACAGCTGGGAGGTTGACTGGACATTCTCTCTCCAAAAGGCTTTTCATTGTGGCTAGCTGGAGATTCAGCACAGCTCATGCTCTCACGGTAATCAGACATCCTATACAGTGCTGGTTTTAAAGAAATCAGAAGTTTCAAGGTCTCTTTCTTGATAACTAGCCCAGGAACTGACAGAGCCTTACTTCTGCCACATTGTATTAATCAAGGCAAGTCACAGGCCCGCTCAGATTTGTGATGGAAGGGTGGAGAAACAGGCTCCCCTTCACCATAGGTGCAAAGGCATACACACATAGGAGAAAGAGAATTGTTGATTTCTCCCATTGGAGGCCACCACCCCACTGAGAAGAATTAATGTTCTCAGTGTCAGTCAACCTAGGAAGATTAATACTGGAATAAGGAATAAATCTCATCAAAGGGATATTATATGAAGAAGAGAAGCTTCTATTTCTGGGCAATAGAATAAATGTATTCAAATTCTAAGTGCACAAGAGCCCTGAAACAGTTGTTAGGAAAATATTGGATGAAATTGATGAGAAGCCCCAAGCTTGGCCAGAAGTTTTACTTTCCTCTCTGTTCTGTAATTCTCATTCATGATCCTTACCCTTTCATTAAACTCTGATTAAAATTATGGCCTTAGCATTGGTTCTGCTGTGGGGATAGAGGAAAAGAGTCTGTGTTCCTAGTTGAGATGAAATAATATAAAGGAGAACACAGTGTCCCCAGCCTAAAGCCCAAAGAGTGATTGACAGAAGCCAGCCCAACCAAAAAATTGCAATTAGGCATAGGTTAGCTATAATAGAGGCAATAACAAGGCAACACGAAGTCATAATGTATTATCTGACAAGATGCAGTAACCTGGGAAATAATGCTGGTGAATACTTGTGTCACTGTCATTTGGATGCATGATGACATCATATAAACCTCTTGTACTATCTTGTCCCATTTTAAAATCACTTATGTTTCCTGGTGCATATAAAGTAGAATGGAAACATCACAGCATAACCAGCTGTATATAATTTTGAGTCATTTGATGGACATAATATTGCCCATAAACCCTTAATAAAATGTAGTATGCATCTTTTCTAGTTGAGTCAGCTTTCCTAAGATTATTAGTGGAATCCAATATCCAACAAAAACTGAAAAAAGTTGTCTTACCATCTTATTTCTCACCGCTAGTCCCATTAGACTGTATACTCAGTCACATCACTTGCAACTCTCTGAAAATGTTTTTTGGCCTTTTGCATTTCCATGAGTTTGCCTATTGTCTTTATCTGAGCCCAGACTCTCTTACCTGTTATGTATTTGTTCCCTCAGAAATCATATACTTACAGTCTGTACAAGCCTACCTCTTCAAGGAAACATTTCCTGACACAGAGCCTTAGCTCCTGACAACTCTGCTACTATATTGAGAGTTCCTTAATAGTATGAACTCTGTCTTGCATTCCTCTCCAAAGAAAAATAACAGTAAATATTTTTAAATGGTTAAAAGAATGATATAACTTCACACTTAGATTTTAAATATAGAACTTCTCACTGGCTCTTGATACTGTAAAATTTTGAATTTGAAGGAACTTGGCAAAACCACAAATTAATCTCCATATGTTCTCCTTTGAGATTCATATGAATATTGCATTCCATGGAAAACCTCAGTATTACATAGGTCCTTAAAATAAATGTGCAAAGTAATCTTAATCTTTTGTGGTATATGTTTTGGTTAAATAAAAGAAGCCATAGCAATATGCTGCAAAATTGCTTTGGTTCAAAATGTCATTTTAGATCATCTTCTCCTGGGCAAAGGTAAATATGATTCTAATAATATTTGACTTGTAAACTGTATTTTTATTAAGGTAGGTTGACTTTCTTATAAACTGAAAATTAATTTGAAGAATTCCTAGTCATGCAAATGACAGTATCTAAGAAAAGAGACATGTATAATATCATCTAAAAGAGTTGTTGTTTCATATGTTTTCTTCTTGATATGCAGCCATACAAGTGATTTTTAATGTTCATAGTATGGTAAGTTAGTTTTTCCTTTTTGATATAAAAACATGACAGATTTGGCTCTCTTTTGGAGTGCTATTTCTGATATAAGAAATCACGTACATATCAAAGTATCTCTCTTTTCTTTGGGCAGAGTCTCACTCTGTCACCCAGGCTGGAGTGCAGTGGCATGATCATGGCTCACTGAAGTCTTGACCTCCTGGGCTCAAGTGATCCTCCTGTCTTAGCCTCCCAAGTAGCTAGAACTATAGGCACACACCACCATGCCCAGATAATTTTTTAAAAAGTTTTTGTGGAGACAAGGTCTCAATATATTGCACAGGTTAGTCTTAAACTCCTAGGTCAAGCTAACTTCCTGCCTCAGCCTCCCAACCTGTTGGGATTACAGGCATAAGTCCCCACACCTGGCCTCAGTGTATCCCTCTGTATGATTAAATTGCTTTTTTGCAATAATCAGAAATTAACTTACATTAGCTTAAGCATAAGAGTAAGTTTTTGAAGCAATGTCAGATCTTACAGAATCAGATGGAAGGCTATAGAATCAAGTCTCAGCAATGAACAAACTCTACCACCACTTTGTTTGCCATAGCCACTGTCATTCTTTATACACCAATGGGAATCATTTCAAGTCTCAAGACTTCAAGTCTCCAGTTTACCCAGCCTGGCGGAGGAGAGGCATTAGAAATACCTAGCCTCCATTGTACTTGTGAGAGGTGGGACCTAGTTAAAGATTTCCCAAAATATAGAAAAATTGTTGAGAAATAGATAGCCTTCACATGTCACAAACATCCACTATATATTTTTAATACGTTGGGAAATGAAATACTGTGGACATTTTGGCTTTTCTTAAAATATATAATATATGGTAATATCTGTATGTTAATCTGGTATAAAAAGTGATAGTTGTGGCCAGACACAGTGGCTCATGCTTATAATCCCAGCACTTTGGGAGGCCGAGGTGGGCGGATCACGAAGTCAGATCAACACCATCCTGGCCAACATGGTGAAACCCTGTCTCTACTAAAATACAAAAATTAGCTGGGCGTGGTGGTGTGCACCTGTAGTCCCAGCTACTCGGGAGGCTGAGGCAGGGGAATTGCTTGAACCCAGGCAGCGGAGGTTGCAGTGAGCTGAGATCATGCCACTGCACTCCTGCCTGGTGACAGAGCAAGACTCTGTCTCAAAAAAAAAAAAGTGATAGTTGTAAGAGGACTTATTCTTTCATTTGCACTTAATATGTACAATATATATCAACATATCATGGGAGCAAAAGAAGAAAAATAATATGCTTGTATAGTGTATGGAATCTTGATACATATGAATCAGGCTGTTATTATAGGACACAGCTTAAAAATTATGAATTATCATTTAAAAAATCACTAGAAGTAAATAATTTATTTTAGTGTTCCCTGAGTTAATTGAAGAGTAACAAGAAACTTCATAGAAGAGTTTGTCATTTGTTTTATAAGAAAGTGAAACCGCACACAATCAATCATATGGGTTGACGCTTCCTCTTAATGTGATATCAACAAAACAAATTGGAATGGGTTATAATTCAGGATATAAAGACATTTCTCATGGAAGTGCTAAAGTCAAATAAAATCACCAAGAAGAGTGTCAAGAGGTACCAACAGGTTGGAGACTATTAAAAAGCATGAAAATACTAGTAGGCATTCCCTACTGAAGTTCCAGTGGCATGTTAATTATTAAAATGGTGGAAAAAAAGGTCAGAAAATTACAGATAATGTATGTTGCCATTTGATATGGTTTGGCTGTATCCTCACCCAAATCTCATCTTCAGTTGTAACTCCCACAATGCTCACATATCATGGGAGGAACCCAGTGGAAGATGATTGAATTATGGGGACAGGTCTTTCCTGCACTGTTCTTGTGATAGTGAATGAGTCTCATGAGATCTGACGGCTTTAAAAGTGGGAGTTTCCTTGCCCAAGCTCTCTCTTTGCCTGCAGCCATCCATGCAACATGTGACTTGCTCCTCCTTGCTTTCTGCCATGATCGTGAGGCCTCCCCAACCATGTGGAACTGTAAGTCCATTAAGCCTCTTTTTCTTCCCAGTCTCTGGTATGTCTTTATCAGCAGCATGAAAATGGATTAATACACCATTGTTATTTATTTATTTATTTGAGATGGAGTCTCGCTCTTGTCATGCTGGTAAGAGTGCAGTGGCATGATCTTGGCTCACTACAACCTCTGCCTCCTGGGTTCAAGCGATTCTCCTGCCTCAGCCTCCCAAGTAGCTGAGATTACAGGTGCCTGCCACCACACCCGGCTAATTTTTCTATTTTTAGAAGAGACAGGGTTTTATCATGTTGGCCAGGCTGGTCTCGAACTCGCAACCTCAAGTGATCTGCCCACCTCGGCCTCCAAAAGTGCTGGGATTACAGGCATGAGCCACTGTGCCCAGCCCACCATTGTTATTAAAAGGTCATTAGTCTAGATTGGGAAGGACTTTCTAAACTTAGAAGTAATAGGAGAAGTTACAAAGTGAGGCATTGGCATACCGAATACACACAACTTGAAATTGATCTATTTCAAAGTCAACATTATGTCAAAATTAAAGACAACAATAGGCTACATAAAATATTTTCAATAAATATGACAAAGGATTAATATTTTAATGCATAGAAAATGTTTAAATATTAATAGTCTTTTAAGATCCCAATATGAAAATGGGTACAGGACATATAGGTTGGTGCAAAAGCAATTGCAGTTTTTGCCATTGAAAGTAATGACAGGCTGGGCACGGTGGCTCTCACCTGTAATCCCAGCACTTTGGGAGGCCGAGGCAGATGGATCACAAGGTCAGGAGATTGAGACTATCCTGGCCAACATGGTGAAACCCTGACTCTACTAAAAATATAAAAATAGCTCAGTGTGGCAGCGCACACCTGTAATCCCAGCTATTCAGGAGGCTGAGGCAGGAAAATCGCTTGAACCTGGGAGGCAGAGATTGTAGTGAGCCGAGATGGCACCACTGCACTCCAGCTGGTGACAGAGCAAGACTTCATCTAAAAAAAAAAAATAATGACAAAAACTGCAGTTACTTTTGCACTAAGCTAATAATTAGTCAAAAAAGAGAAAATAGTTAATACAAATATCATCATATGTATGCATTCTCCAATGTTTTAGTAATTAATTACATTAGTAATCAAATAATATTATACTTAATAGATGTCAAATTTTAAATGAAAATGTGCATTGTTCAAAAGGTTCAATAATAACAGGGCACTTTTATTAACTTTTTCAGAAGCCCAGAGTAATATAAGTTTTATAGGCCAATAAGGATGTAGACTTTGAAACAATAATATACATGTTAGAAATGCTTGTTCCCCAGTGCCATAACGAAATAGCATTTGAACATAAATTTAATTTTCTCAGGAAGGCCATTTTTTTTACCTTCTGCAGAAAGGGTACAGTTGCCAGCAGTTTTGCCACCAGAGTACACCAAACAAAGGAGACAGGGTTGTTTATAACCTGACACATCCACCCTACTGCTGTGTCCAGTTTCCATTGGCTGGAAAGGGAGCTCATATTCTGTATTTGTCCTAATTGGCTAGCAACTTAGAACTTTCTAAAAGATGTAAAAGCAGAGGAGAACAAAGGAAGGAGGAAGTAACTTGTGGAAAGCTGAGAAAGGTAAAAACACCTCCAAATAAGGAAGAGGAATTGGCTATGACCTAATGCTTGCTTGGACCAATATAAGCATGGCAGGGCAAGTATTCAGGCTAAATTGTGGGAGCTAAGAACACAAAGTACATTGATTTCTTTATTACAGTTAGCAGATATCTAAGATTGTTAGCACAGGTCCTTGAATAAATTTTGCTTCTAAGAGAAGTTACTATTTATTCCTAATTAGATGGAGAGGAAAATCTCTTTGAAGAGGAACTTCTACTTTACTTTTTACGTACATAAACTTGGACACAATGGTTTTAATTATAGATGTTTAGTTTAAATTAATTCATAATATAAAAAATACTGTTGCTCCCTGCATTATTTATATTGGTTAAAAAAAATCCTAAAACTAAACATTGAACAAACTATAAGTGAGCCAAATTAACTATAATTAATTTAAAAATGTTTGGTCATTAAAATTATTTATGAGACGGTTTTAGCTCCAACTTAAAAAGATCTTAGAAATAGTCAATCCCATCATTTTGATAGGAAAAAGCAAACAAACTAAAAATCAATGACTTCTTGGATCCATCAGAGAACTGAGTTTGCAGGGCACATTACCTCCCTGAAATCTGAAGAGACAGGTGGATTCAAAAAGTCACAGGTGAAATCTGTCCACCCAGCAAAAACCGCTGGACCTGTAAAATGGTAAGAATACTGCAATGGTAACTTTGGAGAACTGCTTTAGACTGAGTGTGAACCAGCATGTCAGAAAGAAATTCCCAGGAGCCCCATTCTTGCTTGGGGAAGGTGGCAAAATTTTCATGAGTTTTGTCTCCAGGAAATCCATCAGGTTTTCAAGGTTGAAGGTCTGAGAAAAAGATCCTTTTGTCTCTAGCAGGAAGAAAGGAAGAGAAATCATTCTGAAATTCCGCCAGAGACTTCTCCATAACGAAGGCCTATTATCCAGGGAAAAGACTTTACAAAACAAAGCCTTTTCCCAGAGCAATGGGAGATGGATATTCTTCTCATTCCACCTCCTTCTAGCCTTCCTATCTCATCTAAGTGCAGGGGTGGGATGAAAAACTATAGAAGAAGAAACGCTTGTAGTGGTCACAGATTAGAGACATAGAGCCACTAAAAGACTGAGACTGAACAGAAATATTACAGAAGCTTCCAACTCCCACACTTTATTATCACACCCACCAGGCTCCAATAAAATAATAGTGGATTATAACTGAAACAAGTGAAAGACACAGACTATCTCTTAGGAGTAGTATTTATTGGAGACGAAGGTCAAGACAAAATCAAGTACAACAGAAAAATATGAAGCTTCTGGGAGGCACAGCTGCTGCAAAGATGAAACATGGCGCAACTCTTAGCCACATTAGAGGAAAAAATAATAACACAGTGGGAAAAGACAAAGGAAGCACTGAAACAGATCCAGGTATGACACAGATGTTGCAATTATCACACGGGAATGCTGTAATGGAAGAGTAGGCAACTTGTAGGAACAGATGTGTAGTGTTATTAGAGAGATTAAAATTCTAAGAAAGAATCAAAAGGAAATGCTAGAAATAAAAATGGAGAAGTTCTGTGTTAAATTAAGTTTAGCCTAAAGCTGCTTCTTCACATATTTTAAGTTTGGCATAAAAGTTTCTCTGTACATAGGGAACTAAAACCTAACTGGATATGTAAACAGACTGTAACCTACTCTTGGGCCAGTCGCCAAGTCTTGGCCAATCAAAAGTGGCCAACTGTTCAAACCATATTCAGATAAGGCAAATGCCAAGATGTAACCAATCCAGCTGTTTTTGTACCTCACTTGTTTTCTGTGTCACTTTCTTTTCTCTGTCCATAAATCTTTCTCTACCACATGGCTGAGCTGAATCTCTCTGAGCCTACTCTAGTACAGGAGGCTGCCCAACTTGCAAATCATTCTTTGTTCAATTAAACTCTGTTACATTTATTTGTCTAAGGTTTTTCTTTTAACATCTGTGATAAGCTCATCAATAGACTGGACATGACTAATGAAAGAATCAGTGAGCTTGAGGTAGGTCAACAGAAGCCTAGAAACCTCACAGACTTAAATGCTATTATACAAAATTAGAAGAGGCTATTGTTTTGGACAGTCTGCGTATATTTTATTGGGTTTTTAGTCTTATTATCAAGTTGTTAGAATTTTTTACACATTCTGTATATGGGTTTTTATCAACTATATATATAATGACATTTATTTATTAGAATTATATACAAATATGCATATCCACATATCATCAATATTTCCTGTCTATGACATGCTTTTTTACTTTCTCATTGGTATCTTTCAAAGGAGAAAATTTTGCTTTTAATTTTCTCTGCAATGTCTTAGAGTTTTCATTGAACAAGTTTTGAAATGTGTTGACATAATTTATCCCTAATTACTTTAAGTGTTTTATGTCATCAACCTGAAATAATTACAAGAGTCGAAATCCAGTTTTTGTTTCGTTTTGTTCTGAGACGGAGTCTTGCTCTGTCTGCCAGGTTGGAGTGCAGTGGCGCGATCCCAGCTCACTGCAAGCTCCGCCTCCCGGGTTCGCGCCATTCTCCTGTCTCAACCTCCCGAGTAGCTGGGACTACAGGCGCCCATCACCATGCCCGGCTAATTTTTTGTATTTTTAGTAGAGACGGTGATTCACCGTATTAGCCAGGATAGTTTTCATCTCCTGACCTCGTGATACGCCCGCCTCGGCCTCCCAAAGTGCTAGAATTATAGGCGTGAGCCACTGCACCAGGCCGAAATTCAGTTTTAAAGAGTTTACTTAAGCATAAAGCTAAGAATAGACATCTGGGAGAAAAAGATTCCAGAGAAATGGGGTCAGTGCTCGAAAGTTAAAAGTTAAGTGCTTGCTTATATAGGAGAACAAACAAACAAAAATATTAACAGGATTACAACATGTTTAATACAAGGTTAGCTTGGGTTACAATAAGTTAGTTACAGTCTTTCTTTTCTCTATGGCTTGTTTTCTTTTCTCTATAGCTTGTTTTCATTTCCTTTCCAACTTAGAAGTGTTTATTTAACATTTCATCTTAAGGTGATGTGATAACCATGAAGTTTTTGTGTGAGAAAGGTAAGAAGGAGGTTAATCTATAATAAAAGTCAACAATAATAGGTAGGATGTCTTCCCCGGTGGCCTTCAGCCATTCTCAACATTTTACAAAATAATGCATGTGAGGAAGGCTTAATCTATAATCAGAGAAAACAAAGATTACACAGTTGCTTAGGTTATAGCTACCTGTAAAGTTGACTCAGTCCTCATAAGAATTCCTTTAAGGCTCAAAATCATTTAAGGAGTTCCAACAGCTTAGATTTTTGAATTACTTATGTTCACAATGTTTTATAAATTATAATTTGCTTTCAGTTTCCAGTTGGTTATTGCTAACATAAAGGAAACCAGTTGTCGTTCATATATTGATTTTTGCATCCTGAAAATTTACTAACCTATTATTGTTTGCTGTTTCTATTGTATTGACTAGGACAAATAAAATGTTGAATAGAAGTGGGTGCAATTGCCTCCATTTTCTTTTCCAAATATTACCAGGGAAGCTTTCATTCTTTTACCATTAAGTATGATGTAGCTGTAGTATTTTATTGATATGTATTATCAGGGTGATGAAATTTTATTTATTCCAAGTTTGCTGAGAGTTTTCATTATGAATACTGTTCATATTGTTGAATTTTTCAAGTGCTTTTTTTAATGCATCTACTAAGTTGATTATTGTCAAGCAAACAGGTGTTGAAGTGGTCAATTAAGACAATGAGACAGACAGTATGAACCAAGGCTTTATTTACTTACGGTGGCAGCCTTAAGAAAGAGGTTAAAAAAGCTCTGACTCCCAAATGTTCCATTTTTTTGTTCCCTGTGGAATGGCATTAGGTGAGGGTCAGATAGGTGCAGTGTAGATGATGATAATTGCCTCTCGGCTGAGAATTGAATAAAAGCTTCTTGCCTCTTTAAGCCCCCACGGGTAGGTGGTGAGGGAGAAGAGGAAGGGCTAGGAGTGGAAACATACTGAGTTAAAGTGGAGAAATGTGCCCCAGACACGGTCCCTGATAAAGAGGCCTTCATATAGTCTAGGGCTAAGAACACAGATAGTCCTAGGAGCATGACTTGGGGAGGGGAGAGGAAGGAGTGGAGTGGCTGAGTTTGTGACTGCAACTTCCTCCATAAAACTGCAATGCTGTGCTATTTTATGAAGGAAAGCTTACATTCATTATATGAAGGAGGGCTTACATGCATTGTTTTGGCACACAGCATGGCATACATCCTTACAATGCATTTAAGGAGGGCAGCTTTCCCCCAGCTATGCACCAAGTTTGGGGTGGGGAGGGCTGACTCAAGAAGCCTGGCAGGCAAAGCCTTGTAATTGCCTATGGTTGAACATGAAAGATTACACATAGGATTTTGGCCTGGAACTGGACCCCTCAATCACAGGTTTTTCTTCTTCATTCTTTTACTTAAAACAATGATTTGGGCTGGGTGCAGTGGCTCATGCCTGTAATCCCAGCACTTTGGGAGCTGAGATGGGCAGATCACGAAGTCAGGAGTTCGAGACCAGCCTGACCCACACGGTGAAACCCCATCTCTACTAAAAATGCAATTAACTGGGTGTGGTGGAGTGCACCTGTAATCCCAGCTACTCAGGAGGCTGGGGCAGGAGAATCACTTGAACCCGGGAGGTGGAGGTTGCAGTGAGCCAAGATCGTGCCACTGCACTCCAGCCGGGGGTGACAGAGGAGGTTCTGTCTCAAAACAACAACAACAACAACAGCAATAACATAAGATCATTCTTTTTTTCCTAAAATATACATTTGAAACTTTAAGTCTCCCTCTGAGTATCCCTCTAAGGACCACTTTGGCTGCGTATCCCAATATTTCTATAATTTTTGGAATAATTACTCATGATTTATATAACATACATATATTGTGTATTTTTAAATTTTATAATCTGCCTTTAAATAATATTTTAACACTTCACACAGTCTAAGGAAAGGCAGGAATGAAAACACAAATCTGTGACTTTTTTTCAAAGCACCAATTTTCTTCTGAGAGCAGGACACCATTTAGCTGACTTGGTGGCCCATGACATTAGGATAAATTAAATGTCAGGGTTCAAAACGTTGATTTATAATTCTGATCTGAATATGTGAGGGAGATATTCATGATGGCATTGCATGCCTGAGTTTGGAGAACACAAATCTGTATTTGTACCAATGTGTAAAGCTGTGTGGTGTTCTCCAGCAGCACTCAGCAGCCTGGAAAGGAAGTGGAGAAATATGTGAGGTGAGGTTGAGGAGGACGGACGGATATGGCAAAAAAAAAAAAAAAAAAGCTCAAAGATAGATGATGAAAGAGTTTGTTGAAATGACACATTTTTTTCTTTCCCTAAACTAGATGAGAAAGAAAATGAATTGATAAGACAGGTGAAGGGTTAGAACACAGGAAAGTTTCACATTCAATCTAACATTTCACACTCATTCTAGGATAATTGTGAAATGAGAAGAAAATTTACAGAAGAGACAGAAAGGGATAGAGAGAGGAAAAAGGAGAGGGAGAAAATTTAACAATGATATAAATTTTCTATTATTCTGTTTCCTTGTATAGATAAATTCTGGGTTGGAAATTTTCCATTTGCCCCATCAGATCCAATCTGCACCATTTTTTCACCATACTCTCTGCCTTAAAATGCTAACCTATATGGAATTGCATCATCGATTGACTTCCATGACCTTCAACTCCCTTCAAGGTTGAGACATTGAGGGTCACTAGCATAAGATCAAAAGACAGGCAGAGAGTGAGCTCAAGGTAATTACTCTTCTCACTTCCTCCTTGCCAAGTTACAGCTCCTGCTAGTATGCCTTTTATGTAGTTTCTGTCTACAGATTCTACTATCTGCTTCCTTTCTTTGCCCCTTCGTAGTAACGTTTAACAGCTTCAGGTTTGCATTATCCCCTGTTAGTTTCCCCTAAGCCTACCTATACCTTTGTAAATCATCTCCTTTTTAAATTTATACTGAACTTCCCAATTTCAGTGTGCCATCTGTCTCCGGTGCAATCTAGACTAACACACATACACACACATGTGAGTGTGCTCATACACACACACTAATAGCATAGGGTGATGTCAAATTTCTTTCTGATATTGACTTTCCTCACTAATAACCAGCATTTCTCTTGGATTTGTTATACAAGTTCACGGATGCATAGTGGGAAATATGGCCACCAAAGTTCTATGCTTGAATGAACAAATTGTAGGACCCTTATAACCAGCTATTACTGGTGTCTAAAATTATATCAATTACTCTAAAATCAAGTAATGAATTCAGAAAAAAATTATTCAACAAATATATATTTAAATGCTCAGTAGGTACCTGACAAAAATTAAGAAAAAAGAGCCAACATGTGTTGAATGTGGAGGGTGGAGGCTGGAGAGTGTCTAGGTTCTTGGCGTCTTGAACAAAGAATTGGACAAAACACACAAACAAAGCAAGGAAAGAATGAAGCAACAAAAGAAGAGATGTATTGAGAATGAAAGTACATGCCACAGGTTGGGAGCAGGCCTGGGCATAAGGACTCAAGACCCCCATTACAGAATGTTCTGGGGCTTAAATACCCTCTAGAGGTTTCCATTGGCTACTTGGTGTACACCCTATGTAAATGGCCTGAATCGGCCTTATGTTCTCTGCCTCCAGATCCTATTCTCCTGCCTTAACTGTACTATTGAAAGTGATTTATATGAATTACCTCTCTTGCTTCTCTCAACAACCCTGTGAAGCACATCCTATTTCAGGTGAGTAAACTTAGAAATTTTGAAGGAAATAATTTTCCCAAAGTTGTCCAATGCTGCTATGTGAGAAATCTGGATTTTCACTCAACGAGTCCGATTACAGTCTTCACTATTATGATCTTCACTACCTTGCATCTCTACCTTCTTAGACTAATCGTTTAGAAGGATGAAAGTTATTATACCAAGTATTTAATTGACCTGATAATAAAGATATAAATGAACTGTATAGAGATTCAACAATTGTTTAGTAGAAATAACTAGCATTTATGCAATAATGAGAGTCAAGTTGAAAACTGAAGAAGATTATGTAGGAGTTAAGCAGGTGAAGAGAGGGTGGAAGAGTATTTCTAACAGAGAAAACCACATGGATGAATGTCTCATGGTGGGAAGGAACATGGTACATTTCAAGAAAAAATAAATTGACACTGTCCAAATTATAGTTTATATATACACTGAGAAATGGAGTCAGGGTAAAACAGGACACAAAATGAATTCATTTAGATAGAGATAGTTGTGTGACAGGTTACAACCTTATAAATAATGAAAACCTTTAGCAATTAATGATGGCATGAGACAGGAGGATGGGTTTAGCATTAAGACTCCACAAATGAGAAATTTCACCAACAACATTTTAAGTGAATATATTCTTATATTACTTTGCTAAGGCTGCTGTGGCATACTACCGTAAACTGATTGGTTTATACAACAAAATCTGTGGTCTCACAGATTAGACTTTTAGTCTGGAGTCTAAAAGTCTGAGATCAAGGTGTCTGGGGGTTGGTTCCTTCTGAAGTCTGGGAGGAAGAATCTGTTCCCTGCCTCTCCCCTAGATTCTGGTGCTTTGTCGGCAATCTTTGGTTTGTGGATGCATCACTGTGATGTTCTTCCTGTGTGCATGTCTGTGTCCAAATTTTTCTTTTTTAAATAAGGATATCAGTCATATTGGCTTGGGCCCCACCCTCATCTTAACTAATTAAATCTGCAATGATGCTATCCCCAAATAGGGCCCCATTCTGAGCTACTGGGGATTAGGATTTCAGCATATGAATTTGGAGTGGATACAATTCAACTCATAACAATATTCATTTAATAAACTGTTAGATAATCTTTCATGTGCCTCAAATGGGCTCAAACTGTGAGGCTTACTACATTCATCTCAGTATAAAATACTGAAAAGAAATTGGATAGGTATACTCCATCTGTTATAGAGTTAGCCATAGACAGCAATGATAGTTTATTGTCACATTTTGCCAAGCATATTGACAAATCTCGCTTTTCGTACTCTTGATAGGAATATATGAAGATTAACTAGAAGTTATTTGAAAAAAATGTCCCTCAGTGCTCATGAGTGAATCCAGAAGATTTCCTTTAAAGCTTAGGAGCTGGAGGATGGACTACTAAATCTGAAGTGAAAGCACGTGTCTGATAGATGAACCCTTTGATCCTTTTCTCCCTTTCTGTTGAGAAGAGTTATAGTGAAGTACTGAGGATATATGAGTGCAATCTGTCTCTCACCCTCTTCCTCTCCATTTCTTCCACTTTAGTTCATTTTTCTTTGTGGAAAAAAAGACTTTGGAGAGCCTAAGAGCATACCAGGCCTTTGTGTGTGGATGTGTGCGTGTATTTTAAATCAAAGAGACTTCTAGTGAGCAAAAAGTCAGAGATCACAGGTGGCAAAGCTCCCAGGTCTAAGGTATTATCTTCTGTCTTTTTTTTTTTCCAAAAAAGGCAATTGACCCTCTCTATAATAAGTCACTGTTTATTTCCATACACAGAGCTATCAAAAGTTTGAAAGCACAGCATGTTCAATACAAAAGTGCCTGTTCTGCTATCTATAATAACTAATACAATATTAGTGGGATTGAGTGAAAATTAGTCTAATCTCTATACTAAAAAAAAATACATCCTAAAGTACATAAATTGTTTTTCCCTTAGTAGGTGGAAGGAAATACAGAGATATATGGAAAAATATATGCTATCAAATGTGACATTTCTCACCATTTATAAGTCCTATTGTTTCTGAGAATTTTTTGCATTCATTATATAAGGGAGAAATGAATGACAGGAAGAAAGCGTATCTCAGGGTTGAAGAAATAGCAGAACATAGAAATAACTCTGAGGGGAGAATCACAAAATCAAATTTAGAGCAGGAATTAGAACAAATGTGATTAAAGTATACTGAGAAAAAGAATGCAATAATAAAAGTAATTTTAATTTGTGATCCTATTTGAAGCTTGTAGCCACATTAAATCTCCTACTTGAAAAAGGAAGTGGTAAGAAATTACAAAGGAAAGGGAGAGCATCAGGCTAAATAACTAATGCATGCAGGGCTTAATACCTACGTGATGGGTTGGTAGGTACAGCAAACCACCATGGCACGCTTTTACCTATGTAACAAACCTGCACGTCCTCCACATGTATCCCGGAACATAAAATTAAATTAAATTAAATTTTAAAAAAATTTGAGAGACAGACTTTTTTTTAAAAAAAAAGATATTACAAAGGAAAAGATTATTAAAAACTGCAGGTTTAGCTGATAAGAACACAAGGACCAATAAAATGGAGTTTTCTAATGCTTCAAACAGATATTGTGTATGTGTATGAGTGAGCACATGTTTTCGTACATATTTTGGTAAGTTTGAGGCTAAGTGTGTCTTGTAGGATTGCTGAGGGATTGAGAGGGAGAAAACGTATGTGAAAACATCTGCCATCATACTTGATATATAGTAAAGGATTAATAATAGAAGCCAATTTCTGGTGTTGGTCATTAGGAGCAAAACTTTCCATTTTGACTCATCTTCTTTCTACTCTAAAGTTGGATGAACAAAACCTATAAAATAATATTAGAGGAGAAAAAAAATGGGATGCTAGATTTCTTGCTGCTTGCTTCCAAGAAACCTTAAATCTCAGAAGAGAGGATGGTGATAGTGTGGTTATTGTTGTTGTGTGTGTTATAGGAAACCAGTTGTTTGTATTATTGGGGGAGAAAGGCTAGATTGGGCAGTGGCCTGAGAGGATAAGTAATATGAGAACACTTTATTGTCTAGAACTTTGTTTTGCCTGTGGATAGAACTTCAAAAATGGAATTGTGTCTTTTTTTCTCATGTATATTTTGAAGAAAACCTTATTTTAAGGATAGTTTTCCCATGATAGATTAAAGAAACTGTGCCAGATTAAGGAAAAGGTGCCAGATAGCTGACAGGGAATGGAGCTTGCTTGGTCAACTGAAGCTACATTTGAGCAATTTTTTTTCTTTCACTATTACTACAACCCGCCTAAATAGAAAACCTCTGCATAACCCAGTCTCAGATCAGCCCTGATTACAAAGGGACAGCGACCATTGCTAGCCAGTAATACAAAGTAAGTTTTAAAAAGAATTCCAAACCTGCATCTCTACAAAAACATTAAGGAATTTTAATTAACAATTTGCTTACACATTTGTATAACTTTCTTTCTTTGTTTTAAACTACACAGTTATGCCACAGCATCTAACCCTCCAAGTCCTCAATATTTTCTTCCTTCTCACCCCAATCTTTGTAGCATTTCTCTGCACTTTCATCTCCCTATACCCTATTCTCTTGACTCTCTTAGCTCTTTCTTTAATTCTTCTTGGTGAAAGTCACCCTCCCGCCCCGTCTTCTTAAGAAGCAATAACTACCCTTTCTTATAAGCCTCCCACTTCTCATCTGAGGGTCTATCATTAGTGGAATCTGCTGTCTTCTGCGGTTAATTTTATCTCTGTTTTCTCCAATATCAAAAAAATTTTTTACCGTGAATAGAAGTCTTGGGAAAACTCTCTACACCAGCCTTTTGAGTCTACATCTCTCTACTAATCCCTCTTCTACATTACTGAAAAATAAAACTTAAAAATAAAAACAAAGAGACCGAAAATCAACTTCCAAATTTTTGCCAGCATAAGTAGGTGAGGCTCATAACATTTTAAGAGTTACTTTTTTTGTGTGGATAAAAATTATATCGGTTAGTTTATGGTTAAGAGAAGCAGCACTTCAGAGATTTCAAAAAGGAAGGTTTTCATTTATTTAGGATGTATGGTGTTATCTATCTATTATCTGTCTATCTACCTATCTAATCTATCTATCATCTATTTATTTGGTAACATGGAAATAAGGACTTGCAAAACAATTGGAAGGTCTAGAGGAAAAATGGTTAAGAAAGGCTGCCATTAGACCTCAGTTCTTGCCTTTAGCTCTGCAATGACTGAAGAAGCCCACGTTTCTATAAATCCCTTGTTGTCTCCCACACAGAAACAGGTTGTTTCTAAAGAAGACTGATGAGGAATCTTTAATTTGCTGAAGCCCACTCTCCTGCTCCCTCTTCTTGAGAAGTAATAAGTATCCTTTCTTATCTCATAAGCCTCCCACTTCTCATGCAAGGGTCCATCATTAGTGGAATCTAGCTCAGATCTCTACAGGGAGGGGCCCTAAGAAATGTACTTTTGGGCTCCCAGTGTCTATATTACAGAGCAGAGTATAGAAGGACTTAGGTGTCATGAAATGTTGCTAACAATCTGGCAGAACCCATAATGCCACTTCCCACTTTGCCTTTTTTTCTTTAAACATCATTTTGCTATTTAAATCCCTAAGAGATAAAATCATCCAAAATCATTGCTTAAGTCTGAGGATGAAAGTCAGATATTTTTGTATTTGTATAGTCTCAAATAATGTTCCATGGGTACTTTCTCAAGGCACTACAGAAGGAAAAGATCAACAAAAAGGGACTAGGTAGGGAAGAAGATGTAAAATCCAGGCAAGAGGATATCCATTCTAGGAATGAATAGGGAATTCATAGGATCATGTTGCTGGGAAGTCCCAAGTGATACCCACATACCATTTTTAGAAAATCACCTGTCCAGGCCGGGCATGGTGGCTCACACCTGTAATCCCAGCACTTTGGGAGGCCCAGGTGGGCGTATCACAAGGTCAGGAGATCGAGACCATCCTAGCTAACACGGTGAAACCCCATCTCTACTAAAAATATAAAAAATTAGCCACGCATGGTGGCATGCGCCTGTAGTCCCAGCTACTTGGCAGGCTGAGGCAGGAGAAGGGCATGAACCCGGGAGGCAGAGCTTACAGTGAGCCGAGATTTGCACCACTGCACTCCAGCCTGGGCAACAGAGTGAGACTCCGTCTCAAAAAAAAAAAAAAAAAAAAAGAAAGAAAGAAAAAAAAGAAAATCACCTGTCCAGATTGAGGCAGGAAGATCATATGGTCTAGAAAACCCTGTCTGTCACCAGGCACGATGGCTCACACCTTTAATCCCAGCACTTTGGGAGGCTGAGGTGGGTGGATCACTTGAGGTCAGTAGTTTGAGACCAGCCTGGCCAACATGGTGAAACCCTGTCACTACTAAAATATACAAAAATTAGCCAGGTGTGGTGGTGGGCGCCTGTAATCCCAGCTACTTGGGGGCCGAGGCAAGAGAAACACTTGAACCCAGGAGGCGGAGGTTGCAGTGAGCCAAGATTGTGTCACTGTACTCCAGCCTGGGCGACAGAGTGAGACACTGTCTCAATAAAAGAAAAAAAAGAAAACCCTGTCCCTGATAAATCACATGAGGTACTTAACAAGGCATTTTAGAGTCCTTTTGGTCATGGTTCATTTAGGCGGAAAGGTTGATAGGTAAGCATCTAACAAGAAAATAATTAAACTGGAGTGGAGGGTAGGGAGATATATAAGAAAGAAAATGTAATAGTATGGTATATATATCAGCTGTGAATAACACCATAAGTTATTATGTATTTCATAATAATGGAAATATATAACACCAATTTGCAAATTGTGATATAAATAACATTGGGAAAATATTTAATGTGTGACTTTAATGTTGAGGGAGTGATTAAGAATGCTAAACCCTTATTTTCCTTATGAGGAAGTCAACAGATAACATGTGTAATTGAAAAATCAATACATTATATTATCATAAGTGTGTAATTTAGAAGTATAATGGCAAATATCTCCTAAAACAGAAATGTGTTTCTCTCTGTGGGTGAGAATGGGGCATTGGAGGGTGGTAGGTGGGGAGTGCTGCCTTTTAGTATAAGACTTACAGTACAAAGAGTCTCAAAAAAATAATTTTAAATGAAAGAAGAAAAAAATACATATAATTTTAAAAGTTGTCTAGTATTTTATGATAAACTCAGAAGAATATTTGGACAACGTGTGACTAAATTTAAAAAATAAGTTATATCAAAGATCAACTTGCTACTTGTCTGCATCTTAAATAAGACAGTGAGAAGACAAAGACTGTGAAAGAATAAGAACCAGGTTGCATTTGTGCATATGAATGTGATACCTCCAGCCCTTACTTTTGACAGCACATATGTAGCTAAAAATACAAGCATATATCTAAAGATGCTAAGATTTCTACTGCCATATGCATATGTAACATATTCACATCAAAGTTAATTGATGTGTTAGCATTCTAAAAATAAGGACCAGATTCTACAAAATTCATCTACCTTATGTGTTTCCCACTTCTAGGCTTTCAGGCCTCACTCAACCGTTTATTCATTTAAGTAATTCCTTCTCAGAGGAATACATTGTTTGGTTTGGCAATTAACACAGCAAATAGCTTAAACAGCATTTACTCAGAACATTTTAGCCTTGTACACAAGCCTCATAGAATAAAGGATTTCTGCTTCAAAAAATTAATACCACAAAGTGCTCCTTAAAAAGAGTAGTTCTATGACTAATAATGTTGAGAAACAACATATCTATTCCCTAATCTTGAATAGTGACCACAGTAGTCTTAACGCTGCCTTCAGTTTGCCTTTAGACAGGTTTCTTTCTTAGTACTGTTCTCTGACCTTCCTTTTATTAGAGCATTTACTTTAGATAACTTGCAATTATAAGTTCTTTCCCTGGCCTTCTGAGATGTAAATCTTCTCCCAGTCTCTTGTCAGTTTTATGAGCCAGGAATGTCTTCCTTGCCTATGAAATGTAATCATGAAGAAAGATAGAGCCTCTTTTGCTTCCAACAGATTCCAGTAAAACAAACAAACAACAAACAAAACAAAACAAAAATGATAGGACCTCTATCTCCTAGTCTCTGTAGAAGAGGAGAAGCCTAACTACAATAAACACCAATTAGCAAACACAGATTGTCCAAACACATTTACTGACTTCCCCCCAAAGTTTCCAGTACTTTTCCACCAGCATACTCCAGCGTTTAAAGACTCCTGCCTTTTCTTTCAACAGTTAAGTTCAATCTGTCTCCCCTATTTCAATAGTCTTGAATAAAGACTCCCTTGTCTGGTTAACTGCATCTGGTGCAATATTTCTTTGAAAATATTCACCAAGAATATTGTATATTAAATGTATTGATAAATACTGCAGAAAATAAATCCAATTGATGTTCTTTAAGTCATTGTTCCCAATCATCTCACAATGAGCACCTTACTTATTTATTAATAGAAATTCCACTGCACCAATCGTTCTCAAAGTGTGGTCCAAAGACCAGCAGCATCAGTGTCATCTAGGAACATGTTATAAATACAATTTGGGGGCCTCATCCAGACCCCTTGAATCAGAAATTTGAATAGTTTTCTTGTTGTTGTTTCTCAGGATAATACTAAAGATGCTCATGTTGTAGGTCAACTTTCATGTTTCTAATGGTCATTCCCAATTCCCATTCTCCGAGGATGGGGCCCAGCAACCTGTGGTTTAACAAGTCTACCAGGTGATTCAATGCATACACACTAAACCAATACTCTTCATCATATATAGGGAAATTCAATCCTAGGTAACAGCAATAAAGAAACAGGAAACCAGCTAAAAAAGAACATTACTAAATTTATTTATTTATATATTTGTTTAAATGGTTTAAATGAACACTCTTTTTGTGTTCTAAATTTTAATTGCAGTGCAACCTTATTTGCACCATACTTATGACTAAAGGCTTAATCTGAATTTTCTCTCTAGTCTTCCTTTTTGCCATGCACCCTTTTATCCTGTTCCATATAATACATAAATAAGTTTTTATACCCTAGTTGTTCAAAAACAAATATGATAGCTGGATGATCAAGTCTCTGGAGGTGAATTGTACCCATTATTGTCAGTGCTGGAAAGTCTCAAGTCGTCTTTGAGATCTTATGAAATATACAGAGCATTGGCTTATCACCTACTGCTTTCTCTCCTCTTTAAATCCCCAAGGAAACTGTTTAAAGCTATTTGAAAACACATATTTAAATTTCTTGGTGGACTTATATTATTGCTTATCTTTGCATATGAATGTCTATATATTTTTCCTTTAATAATAAATTTAATTAGTTTTTATGAATTCGGAATTACCAGTGTTTTGCAACTCCTTCCATTGGTTACCAATCATGGGAAACTCATGAAATTTGACCAGTTTTGTTGTCCTTTCTCAGGATAATACTAAAGATACTCAGGTTGTAGGTCAACTTTCATGTTTCTAACTGTCCAACAGTTTCTAATATATAATACAACATGTTTGTAATATATAACCATATATTATATATAAGGTTATACATAGATATATAATGTTATATATCTCATTGTAAATATATATAATATAGTATATATCATATATAAATAAACGTAAGCTTAGCATTAATTAATTTTGGTCTTTTTTTGCATTATGCCATCATGTGTCTGCTGGAATTCACAAATCTTCAAATTGGTTTTATTAGAACATATTCTTTTGCTATCAATTTGCTAAAACATAGCTGGGAACAATATCAGTAACTATCACTGAATGGAATGTGAAATCTTTATCCCATGGGAAAGCACTATTGGCTGAAATAGGCTCATCATTCCTATTTTCTGAGGAAAATAATGAGAAGAAATATATGTCAACCGCTTATGGGGTTTTCTGAATTCTTCTATTAGAAAATACTTAGTGAACAAATGAGCCACTCGTCAGAGATGGCTAAGGGTAAATTTTACAAAGCAGGGGATTGTCTACATGAGAGTGACTAGAATTCCTACTGGCCATGGACTGTGTTTTGAAGAAACGTCTTTGAAGTTAGAAGCTGAAGATGCTGTTTGCAAACATTAATATAGTTCAGATTTTGGTAAATAAATGATCTCTGGTTCTCTTTTTTTTTTCCCTTTGTATTTTGAAGATGTTTTATGTACTGTGTTTACAACTATGGGGACTTCACTTACATTAATGAATAGGTGAAACCAAATAATACTGACATCACTCTGACACTGATTGTCAGTGACTGTGCTGGCAAACACTTTTCTGACTTCTCTAAATTATCTATAATACCATTTGCTCTTCTATTGGTTACATAACTGCATGGAAGAAAAATCTTCTCAGTGTCTAATTGCACTAGTTTACTGTAAATTACTCTTATGAAAATATTCCCATGTATTTGCCTGTGCAACTATGCATGTAATTGCATTTTGGCAAGAGTGCAAAACTATATCCTTTTTGAAAATGCAACCTAAGGGGTGCTTCAAAGAACTATGATATTTTCAGCTTGACTCTTAGTTGAAATTTCTTCTGTACTCATAAAACCGACAAGTTGACAGCCTTGTCATCTGAGCTTTTCCAGCCACAAGACAGGTACAAAACAGATGCTTCTGGGTTTTTTTCTGACATTGAACCTTTGCGGACATGCCACATTTAACAATAAAGAGAAATTTCTTGTAAGCCCCTTAAGCATGCCCTGCTGTGGGCATGCTCATGTACCTCTCAAAGCCCATTAACCAAGTCATATGCAAATATATTCCAAAAAGCACTGTTTCTATTATAAAATGGATGTGAATTTGAGGTTTGGGGAAATAATGGAAGAAAACTGAGCTGAAAGATTGCTGTCTGCATCTACTTATCAATAACCTATCAAAATGTGGCAACCTGAGCAATCAACTCATTCATGAGTGAATGGCAGCTATCTAGAGTTTTAAGTCATAACTGTTGAAAAGGAAATTTTCTGAAAGAGATTTGGTAAATATATAGTCCCCTTGAGAGTGCTGAAAAATTGTTTTTATTACACTATCGTATTATAAATATGCCCTACAAGTTATTTCTCAGAATGTGAAGTGATTTTTTATGTGAATGGTTGGAGCTTTCTATGATCTTTGTTTTCCCAGATAGTCATTATTGAGGATTTTACAACTTTAGACAAAGTGATTTGGCAATCATACGTAGAAATAATAGTTAAAGGAGAAAAACTGTAAAATTCACGGTGTTTCTTTTTTCTGCCTTAAACTTGATTCTACTTTTTCACTCTTGACTTCTTCTTCAACAACCCCATACTAAATTGCCTTTTTAATATTTTCTGCTACAACATTCTAATCCAGTCAAATATTATAAACATAGCTTTATTCTAAATGTACCTCTCTATTTTTATCTTCTGCTTTATTTTGTTCTTTTATTTATTTTGTACTTTTTATTTTGACTTTATTTTGTACTTTTATTTTAGAAACCCTATTTACTGCATGAAATTTAACCACTGTTGTCCAGAGACAGCTTCCTCAGTGATCCTTACTGTATTCTCAGATTCTACTTGTATTGAATTGAATGCATGTCTTTCATTCTTACCTAACTGTTCATACATAAACTACTCAGGCCTTTTGGAAGGTGGTTCCGTGACTTAAGCTTCTTTACATTTTCTATTATGCATTGTACAAAGAGTAGGCATCCATATTTCTTAATAGAGTGTTTTAAAATAGGTTTAAAGGCAGTGCGATTTAATAGTTATGAGGGATTCTTCTGCCTAATTTAAAACTCATGAACACTAATTACTACTATTAAAGAGGGATTAAAACAAAGACTATATGTGCTGATGTTTAAGAAGCAAAGGAATTAGGGGAGAAATATATAGAACACCTGGTTTAACATGTAGGCATCACGGGTGGGTTTAAGGAGTTCTGGCAACAAGGGCAATGGTTATAAAATGAGATCGGTTTTAGAACCACAATAAGAATATTTTTGTTGTACGGTTATTTCCCCCAAACGTATATTTGAATATTGGGAAGAAGAACACTGGAGGTGGGAAGAGTAGACAGGTATATTCTAACAAATATGCCCCAGATGATTTAGAAATATCCATCATATATTTTCTCCCACACATTGAGAAACAATAAAATAAGAGTAGAGAGGCATATAAAGAAGAGATAAAAGACTCACTTACCCTTGAGACTACAAACATGATATTGGCAAAGTTTGTGCATATTTTCACCTTTATAATCCCTGGGCCTATCACAGTACATGTCGCACAGCAGTTGTGTAATAAATTTGTGTTGTCAAAAAGAAAGAAAAACAACACTAGTTCCACAGCATATTAATAGGTGTTACATACCTGCAAAGGGTTTTGTAGTCAGATGTATTTGGAAAGTACTGGATTAAAGGGAGCTTAACAAAATATTTCCTGAAGTCTTTAAAATATGCCTTGTGAGTTTTCAAGTGTAAGTGTACATTTTCCAGATTTACTTGACCAAAGGATTCTTTCCCTGTGTTTTTCCAGAGCCTCTAATGGAACTCTTATTCCATGAAATAAAATATTGGCAACACCAGATTAATTAAGTAGAATTAAATTGGATTTATCTTTTTCAAAATTCAAGCCAGTAGGTAATCTCTATTATGCTTTAACATTAGTTATCTAGAAGTCTATCTTTGTTATTTATCAGTTTTTAAAAAAATAATACATCTCTTAAGAAATATAACTACATACAAGATTTTCTGGTTATTCCATTGTTAGGGGGAAGTGTGACACCTACCCAGGCCTCTTACCCAACCATCACCTGCAGAAATAGAGATCTCTACAAAATTCTATTTCATGACCTGAAAGAATCAGGCTTTTAAATAACTTTGCTCCTGTAATAGAGCTTGGACTAGAATCTGGGTTTATTCCACTTTATCCCATGTAAGCAAAACTTAAATATGTTAATACTTATGAGACATTCCTATTGTGTCCGGAATTGGTGGGTTCTTGGTCTCACTGACTTCAAGAATGAAACCACGGACACTCACAGTGAGTATTACAGTTCTTAAAGGCGGCATGTCCGGAGTTTGTTCCTTCTTACCTTCAGATGTGTTCGGAGTTTCTTCCTTTTGGTGGGGTTCGCGGTCTCGCTGGCTCAGGAGTGAAGCTGCGGACCTTCGCGGTGAGTGTTACAGCTCTTAAGGTGGCGCGTCTGGAGTTGCTCCTTCCTCCCGGTGGGTTCGTGGTCTCGCTGGCTTCGGGAGTGAAGCTGCAGACCTTCGTGGTGAGTGTTATAGCTCATAAAGGCAGCGTGGACCCAAAAAGTGAGCAGCAGCAAGATTTATTGCATACAGCGAAAGAACAAAACTTCCATGGTGTGGAAGGGGACCGAGCGGGTTGCCACTGCTGGCTCCGGCAGCCTGATTTTATTCTTATCTGGCCCCACCCACATCCTGCTGATTGGTCCATTTTACAGAGAGCCCAGTGGTCTGTTTTGACAGGGTGCTGATTGGTGTGTTTACAATCCCTGAGCTAGACGCAAAGGTTCTCCACGTCCCCACTAGATTAGCTAGATAGTGTCCACACAAAGGTTCTCCAAGTCCCCACCAGATACAGAGTGTCCATTCGTGCATTCACAAACCCTGAGTTAGACACAGGGTGCTGATTGGTGTGTTTACAAACCTTGAGCTAGATACAGAGTGCCGATTGGCGTATTTACAATCCCCTAGCTAGACATAAAGGTTCTCCAAGTCCCCACCAGAGTCAGGAGCCCAGCTGACTTCACCCAGTGAATCCGGCACTAGGGCCACAGGTGGAGCTGCCTGCCAGTCCTGCGCCGTTTGCCCCGCACTCCTCAGCCCTTGGGTGGTCAATGGGACTGGGGGCCGGTGTGGAGCAGGGGGCAGCGCTTGTCTGGGAGGCTTGGACCGCACAGGAGCCTACGGATGGGGGGAGGCTCAGGCATGGCGGGCTGCAGGTCCTGAGCCCTGCCCCGCGGGAAGGCACCTAAGGCCCGGCAAGAAATTGAGTATAGCAGCTGCTGCCCCAGGTGCTAAGCCCCTCACTGCCCCGGGCCAGCGGGGCCCGGCCGGCTGCTCCGAGTCGGGGGCCCGCTGAGCCCATGCCCACCCGGAACTCGTGCTGGCCTGCAAGCACCACGCGCAGCCCCAGTTCCTGCTCGCCCCTCTCCCTCCACACCTCCCTGCAATCTGAAGGAGCCGGCTCTGGCCTTGGCCAGCCCAGAAAGGGGCTCCCACAGTGCAGCGGTGGGCTGAAGGGCTCCTCAAGCGTGGCCAGAGTGGGCGCCAAGGCCGAGGAGGCGCCAAGAGCAAGCAAGGGCGCACGCTGTCAACTAATTACAAAAGAAACAATCAATTTATATTGCCAAGTGTTAGATTAGCCTAAGTAGAATTATTACTTCTGGGTCTGCCTTCGGCTTGAATAACTTACTCCATTAAATTACTGAAACAGAAATCCTTTTGTTTACAACTGTCAAAGAGAGAAGAAAAATAGTGATAGAAATGTTAATGGCTTGAAAGAAATTTTAATGTTTTCTTATAGAAAAAAACATCATTTTGAAGTTCTAAAAGCATATTAAATATTTAAGTGTCAGAGTCTGTCAAAAGTCAAATTAATGATAGTTACCTCCAAAAGTGAGATATTCACTTTATACAACTTCTCAGTTTTTAAAAAAATCATTATGAATTCATAGATTATTAATGAAAAAATTTAAATCCACAAAAGTAAAGAGAATGGTGTTAAAACTGCACACTTTACCAATACCAATACACGTATAATCTTGTTTCACCCAACACATTTATATTCTCCTATCACTGAAGTATATTGTAGAAAATCCCAAGCATTATTTTATTTCAACCATACTTTAGTAAGTTACAGTTTTATGTAATGTATGAGTTACAATAAATGCAATCGTTATTGTCACTACCATATTATTTTTGTGTTGAGTTCAGCTTTAATGGAACCCTCCCCAAGCTGACTCCAGTGTTCTAAAATGGCTCATCTCTACTTTCTTCTGGGGCATACTATTTCCTCTCAGAATGACAATTCTGTGTTGCCCTTGCCTTTTTAAATTAAATTACTTTATTATTACATTTAGCAGAAATTCCTCTAAGTTTTTGGTAAATGAAAAGAAATTTACCACATTTATGAGAGGTTTGGGCTAAGGAATGGGTAAGAGCCTCTGCTTACATCTTATTCAAAATTTAGGTCCTGGTGGCTTAAAAATGGCTCAATTACAATTGTTCATTGTATTTTTTTAGATTATTTGAAATAAGCCAAGAAGTAGGCCAAATAATTCTAAATTCTTTTTGGAAGTAACTATCGTACAAAATCTTTAACCCATAAGTTGGTGATTTAATTATTTATTTTGTTCTTCCAGAAGGACCTATATCTCAAGGTAACCAAATAAGTATAACTAATAAGAAATAGTTTTTTGCTTTTTTTAACAAAAGAATCACATATAGTATAATACAATAAAATAATTTTTTAAAATCACTACTGCCCTTTATTATTAAATAAACTAAATAATCTATTCAAGCTAATACCATTATATGAAAAATTAACTTAGAAATGAATATTCACAGTCCACCAAAAAGTAAGCTGGTGTGATATAAAGCTTTGTAATGGAGGAATTAGACTGTAACTATCTAAACCTCAAAATTAATTTTATCTGAACCAATAGGAAATAAATGACACATGTATACTGATGCAATACAATATGAAATACTCAGCTTCATCTCTAAGTTATTCTTGCCTAATTTTTTAATCTGAATTTAGTCAAGTCCATAGATCTAAATTTCTTTTTATTACAAATGCAGGGAATAGAGTGGCATGTAAATACCACCAGGATACATTTGCTAAACCTAAAAGAGAATTGGTATTTTCCTCCCAACAAGTTCATAACTAAAATGTAAAGGAATGGGAATGGATTTTCTACATTAAAGATTTAAAAAACAATATCTAGCCCTGTTTCCAACAACTCGCTTTATAATTTTTTAAATCTATTTTTTATTTTTTTGAGACGGAGTCTCACTCTGTCGCCAGGCTGGAGTGCAGTGAGGCGATCTCAGCTCACTGCAACCTCCTCCTCCTGGGTTCAAGCAATTCTCCTGCCTCAGCCTTCCAAGTAGCGGGGATTACAGGTGCGCACCAACACATCTGGCTAATTTTTCGTATTTTTAGTAGAGATGGGGTTTCACCATGTTGGCGACCTCCTGACCTCAGGTGATCCACCTGCCTCGGCCTCCCAAAGTGCTGGGATTACAGGTGTGAGCCACCATGCCGGGCCCAACAACTCACTTTAGAAAGACACTTCAGAGACAATTAGGAGATTTAGAAAATTCAGGAATATGAACTGAGCATTAGATGATATTAAGGAACTATTGGAATTTGTGGGTGTGATAATCATACTGTGATTTGGGGGAAGAAATATCGATGAGTTGGTGATGCATACTAAAGTAGAATGACACTTCAAGACATGACACTTCAAGAAAAGTCATGAAGCAAAACTGACAAAAATTATAATTAGTGCTGGTACGTGATAGTTTAATTTCTTTTCTAACTATAAGTAAAGTTTAAATTTGCATAAAAAACAGGCTTCTAACAAGATGTTGCTTAAGATACCCTCTTACTTATAGTGGTTCTCATTCATGTCTGTTTATTAGTTCACTTGGGAAAGTTTAGAACTAACTGCACAGATTAATCATGGTAGCTGAGCATGGACCTTGAACATTAAAAATAAATCCTCAGATGATTCTAATGTGTATCAAGGGTAGAGGATGACATCTCTAGGATGTGAAAACTGATTTTCTTGATAGAGCGTAGTAAAGAGTAGGCTGAGAGATCATTCAGATAGTAGTCTCCTTTTTTAGCCTTCTCCCCCTACATGGGGCAGATAGCATTCAAGCACACAAGTTTATTTCAGATGCCATGTGACACATCAACCTCCAATTGTGTGTGCTGCTGGGGAAAGGGCCCCGATGAAGAGTGGAGGGTGGTATCTTCTATACTGCCTGATGTATCAGAAAAGCAAGGAGAGCCCTCAATTCTAACTACAAATTCACTTTCAGATCACAAACCAAGTCTTATGCAGTTGGGTATTCAAACTAATAAACTCTGACCAATTTGCTTTGTTTCTTCAAGGATGCAGACTTAACATGTAATTCAATTAGATTTCAATCTCTGTACTTAAGTTCTTGTGGAATTGCAATAGCTAAGTAACACAAGTTAGTAGAGGGGTAGAACACATAAAGAAATAATTTTCATAAAATGTATTAAGTCTTTAAATCATTCATGGGGCTTTCAGGAAGAAAGTGTTCTGTATGAATTCCATTATAAGGGATTGTATAATAGAGGCTTCACAACCACTGCAAGGCGAAAGGAGTGAGGGTCAAATAACTTGCTATTAATAATTTGAGCTCACAGTGTGAAAGACACTTCAGTTTGTCAGAAAAATTCAGCTGTTGCTATATTTATGGTTCGCCCCTGGGCTGCAGAGTAGAATCATCTCGGAGACGCAAGTGAGTGACTCTCAAGGGAAATCACTGGAAGGCACCACATAACTCTCAGGTTGCAGTACCTGCGTGTGTACTTCTCAAGAAGCACACCTAAAATCTACAGATCCCATACCTGCTCACAGATGTCTCCGCAACTGCTCCAGGAAATCATGTGCTATCTCTTCATTCCACTTTCCAAGCCTCAAGTGAGTTTTTCTCATTGACAAACTTTAACCTGGAAACATGGGAAGGACGTTCTGTGAATTGTTGTCCTTGGCTTCTTCTTTATCATAATAAAGGAATTGGGAACTTAAAAAGGGAGGATGAGGTGGTCACCAAATTAGCAACAGATAATTAAGTGCAAAGTACTAAAATGTGGATAATTCTTTGTGGGTCTGGTAGAAACACCTAAAATAAGTGGGCAAGTACATTAAGATTTCCTGAAACCACACTTTAAATAAATCTAGAAAGAAGAGCAGATGAAAAAAGGAGGAGGTTATTAAGGTAGAAATTTGACATGGGCAAAATAAAAGAAGCACTGCACTGGTTTATAAGAATCAGCAATTTATTTTTCATTTGTTTTTTGTAGTATTTTATCAAGGTGTTATTTTTATTTTAAGTGTTTATTCTGTATTTTATTAAGATTTTATAATTTTATATAATAAAATTCCTATAACTAAAATGTAATTTTTATAAATTTATATAAATAAACATTATCCAGTTCAACATACAGAATATTTTTCTTACCACGGGAAGTTGCCTTGTGCCCTAAAAAGTCAATCCACTCTTCCACAGAGGAAGCTGCCGTTCTAATTATTGTCATAGATAAGCTTTGTCTGGTCTTTGAATGCTTCCATGTGATATTAAATAGGATGTAATCTTTGTATGTGGGTTCACTCAACATAGTGTTTTCACATTCTGGTTATAGCTGTCTTGTTTTTTATTTCTGTGCCATATTCTATTGCATGACTTGCCAAAAACACAGATGGTTATTTAGGTTGTTTCAAATATGGGGCTATTACAATAAAGCTTCTGTGAATGTGGCTATGTATATATTCATTCATATTGGGTTATCTAAGACTGGAAATGTTGAATCATGAGACAGACAATATTTAATTTTTTAAAAACCAACAAAGAGATTTCCAGTGTGGTTGCACTATTTTATACTCTCATCACAAATGTAAATTTCCAATTTGACACAATTTTTACCCAAATTTGGTGTTGTCACAATTTTTTCATGTAATTTTAGCCATTCAAGTGGATGTAGAGTAATATTTCATTGTGCTTTCAATTTTAGTTCCTTGATAACTTTTGAAGTCATATGATTATTGACCATTCTGATATCTTCTCTGTAAAATGCTATTTTTAATGTATATATCTTTTTATTATGGATTTGTAGGAGTATGCGTAATATGTTTTAGCTATAAGACTCTTGTTAGATAAATTCTTTCAAAAAATTTTTTTCCAATCTGTGACTTATTATTTAAATGCCATGAATGCTGGTTCTTGATGAAGAGAAATTTGCAATTTTCATAAAGTTCACTTAAGCTTTTTAAATTTCTGTTTTCAGATTTTGTGTCCTAAGGATTCTTGTAAAGAACTCCATATCTTTTAAGAAAATTGGCTATATACCTAAAACTATTCTACTCCCCAAGTATCTCTGGCTCAAATAACTTCACCGACAAATTCTGTAAACTATTGAAGGAAATGTATCAATTCTACAGAAACTTTTCCATAAATTTGAAGTACAAGGAATTTTTTTTAAACTCATTCAATGAGGTTGGCATTAAAATGTTACCAAAACCTGATCAGACAGGAAAAAGAAAAGTTCAAAGTGATAACCCTTCATCAACATAGATGCAAAGATTGCAAACTGAATTTCAACAAAGACATCAAACAATAGATTAAAAAATACATCATGAACAACTGGGTATTTTCCAAGAAATAAAAAGTTGAATGTTAAAAATTGATCAATATAATTCAATTAACATGCTGAATTTAGTTTAACAAACTAAAAAAGAAAATCTATATAATTAACTCAGTAAATGCAGGAAACTTATTTGAATAGTGAGGATGTTCTCCAATTTTTTTTCTAGATGTATTTTTAACTTTCATATGTATACCTGTGATTCATACCAAATTAATTTGTGTGTTATGATTTAGTAGACAACAAAGTTTCTTCTATACAATATCTAGTGTTTCAAGCACATTTATTGAAAATATTTTCCTTTGTTTATTGAATTATCTTGATGTTTTTGACAGTATCAATTGACAATATATGTATGGGTTTTTTTCTTTTCTGTTACACCGATCATTTTGCCTGTCTTTATGCCAATATCCATTCTATTAATCATGATAACATTTTAATAAACTTTGAAATCAAGCAGTATTGGTTATCCTATTTGTTTCTCTACTTCATAATTCTTTGGGGCATTCAAATATCTTTACACTTCCATACAAATAATTTTTTTTTAATTTTGTTAATTTCTGTGACAAGTCTGAGGAATTTTGACAGGGATTGCATTAAATCTATAGATCAATTCTGGGACAACTGACTTCTAAGTAATTGAGTCTTCCAATCTGTGACATATCTCTTGATATTTGGGTGGTGTTTAATTACTTTTGTCAATATTTTATACTTTTTAATTTAAATATTTTGCATATTTTCATCAAATATATTGTTTATTCAATATTTTATTATAAATGATATTGTTTGTGTAAATTTAGTTTTCTGTTTGAGTTGCCAGTATGCAAATCAATTTATCTTTTCTATATTAACTTTTATTCAGTTGCCTTTTAAAATTTACTCATTAGTTTAATAGTTTGTTTTTATTTATGTTCCTTTGAATTTTCAGTGCACACAATGATGGCATTTGCAAATAAGGACAATTTTATAACTTTTTCCATTTTTAAAAATATTTATTATGCCATTGACCAGAACTTCCTGTGAAATAAAATAAATAGGTGTGAAAATTTTTATTTGTGTCTGATTTTGGGGTGAATATTCAATATTTCACAAATACATTTGATAGTAGATGGAGGCTTCTTTAGATATTCTATAGCATATTTTATTTTCCAAAGAAAGCTATAACAATATCTATTGTATTACATGCTTTCTAGAGTCAAATTCTGCCCTCTCCCCTACCCCGCCCCCACCACCAAATTTGGTCTGGGTCTGGGTTTGGTATTTGCTTGAACAGTAGAACGTGGTAGAAGTGATGTTTGGGGACATTAGAGATTGTGCAGCTTCTGCCTGAATTTCGTGGAGTGCCTACATTCCAGATACTTTCTCTCAGAACCCATCCACCATGGTGTAAGAAATCCAAGCTACATGGCTAGGCTGTGTAAAGGTACTACAATTGACAGCACCAACTGAGTTTTCAGTCAACAGCCAGAATTAACTGCCAGTCATGAAACATGGCCACTTTGAACATAATCGAGAGCCCTCAGATGACTAATAGCAACCACATAAAAGACATTAAGTTAAGAACTGTCTAGATGAGGCCATGAAAATAATATGAGATAACTAGGACATCAGCTTTAATAGACTTAGGCTACTCTTTAAATATTTACTTTGCTGCGAGTTTTTATTTTAAAAGAGAGATACATTTTACTAAATGTATTTTATTCATCCATTGATTTTTTAAATTTTATTCCTTTGTTAAGATAAAGAATTATATTGATTGACTTCAGGTCCTTTCTCTTTCCAGATGAATTTTAGAATCAACTTCTCAATTCTGAGAAAAATCCAACTTAAGTATGGTGATTTTATCAGATCTATAGACCAATTTAGAAAGAATTGGCTTCTCATCACAAGATTGAGTCTTCTGATACACAAAAGAAATACAGCTCTCCACTTATTGGCATGCTTAATTTTTTTTCAGCAACATTTTATTCTCTTCAATTTAGAAATCTTTCACAACTTTTGTTAGAATTATTTCTAAATATTTTCTGTTTTGATGGTACAGTAAATAGTATTTCTATGTCAATTTCTTGTTGTCATTGCTAGTAAATAAAATATAATTCATTTTATATTTTAATATTTTATTCTGCAAGGTAGTAAACTCATTTATTTGTTCTAGTATGAATATTTTATAGATTTTATCTAATTTCTTCATAGACTATAATGTCACTTGTGAATAAAGACTATTTTACTTGCTTCGCAATATGGATGTGTTCTATGCATTTTTCTTGTCTGATTGCTAGAGACTCTACTCAGTGTTGAACAGAAGTGAAAGAGTGAATATTCTTGTCTTGATCATGATCTTTTAGGAAAAACATTGAATTTTTCTTCAAGTATTATGTTAGTTATAGGTTTTACAAAACATCTACTATCAGACTGAGAAAGTGTCCTTCTATTTCTTGTTTGCTGAGGTGTTTTGTTGTTGCTGTTGTTTTGTTTCGTGGTTTTTTTCAAAATGGATGATGCATTTTTCAAATAAGTTTCCCGCATTTACTGAGTTAATTATATAGATTTTCTTTTTTAGTTTGGTAAACTAAATTCAACATGTTAATTGAATTATTACTAGCTAGAAATGTATAAATGCTATTTATTTTCCAAAATAGCCACCCTCAGGTTTTCAAAATTTTTTCTCTATTTTTTTCATGTTTTATGTTTAATTGATTTTAGTATGATCTATTTTATTTCTTTTGTTCCTACATAATTTGGTTTCATTTGCTCTCTTTCTGGTTTCTTAGGGTAGAAGCTAAATTATTTCTTGAGTTTTTTTTTTAATATAGATGTGTGGTGGTACAACTATTTTCCTCAGTACTATTCCAGTGGCAACTTCCAAATTCTCTTGTTATGTTTCAATTTTCATTAAGTTCAAAATGCTTTCTAATTTCTTTTTTTTTTTTTTTGTAATTTGACTGATGGCTATTTGGATATCCATTCATTCTCCAAAGGTATTTCTATGGTTTCTAATTTAATTCCATTGTTTTCAGAGAACATACTTTGTATATCATGGATCCTTTTAAATTTATTGAGGGTTTCTTTATGGCCCTGATTATGTTCTGTATACATGTAAGAAGAATCTGTATTCTGCTGTTGTTCAGGACAGAGGTAAGTTTAGAAATGTCAACAGGTAAATTAAGTAAAGTCTGTTAATAATGTCATTCATTTTTTATATCTTTATTGAGTTCCTTTCTACTTTTCTATCAGTTACTGAGAAAGGGCATTGAAATCTTTAACTATGATTGAGAATTTGTCTATTTCCTTTGCAGTTTGTCAATTTTTGTTTCATTTCTTTGGAAGTTCTGTTATTAGGTACATAAACATTTAGGATTCCTATGTCCTCTTACTGAATATGTCTATTTGCTTTATGAAATCACATTTATTTCTTACTGGTAATATTCTTTGCTCTAAAATCTACTTTGATTAGTATTAACAGCACATGGTATATCTTTTTCTATTATTTTACTTTAACTGATATGTATCTTTATACTTATAGTGATTTTTTTTTGTAAACACAACATAGTAGGGTCCTGCTATTTTATGTCATAGTATCTATCTTTTAACTGGGACACTTAGACTCTATACATTTAATGTGATTATTAATGTAGTTAGGTTTAAATTTATCATGTTGGTAATTACTTTACATTTTCCCCATCAGTCTCAGCCCCCTTTTTTCTCTTTTCATGGCCTGCTTTTGGGTTAATTATTTTTTAATGGTTCTGTTTTATTCTTTTTTTAATTTGCTACCTTTTCGGTTGATGTTTTTTAATGATTGTTTCAAGATTTATGGTTGTATCTTTTACTTAGTAGAGTCTACTTTGAAGTGATATTATAACATTTCATGTATGTTATGACAAACTTATAGGACTATACTTCAGTTCTTTTATTCATCCTTCCTGTCATGAATTTCATCTTTATATATACATAGACTCCACACTACATTTTTACTATATTTTAACAGCAAATTATCTTTAAAACTATTTAAGTAAGAAAAATTTTTATATATTCAATTGCCATTTCTGATGCTCTTAAGCTCCTTTGAGAAAATGCAGATTTGCATCTGATATCATTTTGTTTCTGCCTGAAGAGCTTTCTTTAATATTCCTTATAGTATAAATCTACTGGTGATGAATTCTTAAAGTTTTTGTAAGTTTAAAACGGTGTTCATTTTGCCCTCATTTATGAAGAAATTGTTTTACTAAGTATATAATTCTATATTTTAAAAGTTTCCAGCGGGATGCGGTAGCTCACGCCTGTAATCCCAGCACTTTGGGAGGCCGAAGTGGGCAGATCATGAGGTCAGGAGTTCGAGACCAGCCTGACCAACATGGTGAAACCCTGTCTCTACTAAAAATACAAAAATTAGCTGGGAGTGGTGGCACGCACCTGTAATCCCAGCTACTCAGGAGGCTGAGCCAGAAGAATCACTTTAACCCAGGAGGTGGAGATTGCAGTGAGCCGAGATTATGCCATTGCACTCCTGCCTGGGTGACAGAGTGAGACTCCATCTCACAAAAAAAAATGTTTCCTCCTAATGCTTCGAACATATTGCTCCACTGTTGTGTTTGCATTATTTTCAGTGATAAATCTGCAGTTATTTTTGATCTTTTTTCTTTTGCATGCAGTGTGTCCTTTTTTCTAGTATCTTTAATATTTGTTATCAATGGATTTGAGCCATTTTAATTTTGATGTCACAAAATATATAATAGTTCATGTATTTTGTGCTTGTGATTGTTAAACTGAATTGTCTCATATTTTACTTCATTTACAAGCTAACAAGTTTGCTTGCTACTGTTTTATGTAAGAAAATGTAACATAGCTAGGTCAGAGAAACAGACTACTCATTACTCATAACCAAAACAGTAGTCAGAACATCTTGAGCTGGTTCCCCAAGCTCCAAACCCCACAAAGCAATGTGATACAGGACACATACTACCTGCACATGAAGTGGGATGCACTAGAGAAAAACCCCAACATTTAGAAAACTCTCAAATTTTATAGTTCCCTTGTTGGCACAATATGTCTCCGGAGACATTACTCATCCCAGAATATGGGAAAGGCATGTGTATAAGTTTTCTTTTGTTGCATAATGAATTGCCACAACTTTAATGCTATATATTTATTCTTTCAAAGTTTCCATGGATCATATGTCTGGGCAAGTGGATTAGCTATGTCTTCTGCTTAAGGTTTTAGAAGCTGCAATCTGTGTTCTTATCTGGAGCTTGGGGTGCTATTTCAAGTTCATATAGTTGGGTACATTGGCTCACGCCTGTAATCCCAGCACTTTGGGAGATCAAGGTGGGTGGATCACTGGAGGTCAGGAGTTCGAGCCCAGCCTGACCAATATGGTGAAACCCCGTCTCTACTAAAAATCCAAAAAATTGGCTGAGTGTGGTGGTGGGCACCTGTAATTCAGCTACTAGGGAGGCTGAGGCAGGAGAATCACTTGAACCCTGGAGGCGGAGGTTGCAGTGAGCCAAGATCGCGGCATTGCACTCCAGCCGGGGTGACAAAGTGAGACTCCATCTCAAAAAAAAAAAAAAAAATTATATAAAAGGTTGGAAACATTTGGTTTCTTGAAGTTATGTAACTGTGACTCTCAGATCCTAGAGCCTTCATTCTCTTTTTCTTCTTTTTATGCATTTTTTGGGTTAATTTCTTTGTTAGTGATTTATTTATTACCTTTCTTGGCACTCCATAGGCAATTCACAGCATGGCAATTTGCTTCCTCAGGATCAGCAGAAGAGTGTGTCTACTACTTTAAGCCTCCTCCTTCAGGGAAAGCCTGGGTGCTGTGTTAAAAGGCTTGCCTAGTTATCTCATGCTCGCCCAGGACGATCTTCTTGTTGATTAATGTAAAGTCAACTGATTAGGGACATTAATTACACTGGAATTTCTTTCTTTTTTTTTTCTTTTTACCATTGCTATATGTGCAGTCTAATCATGGGGAGAGGGTTACACAAGATGTGCAAACCAGGGAGACAGAAACTCTGGAGTCATTTCAGCATTCTGATTACTGCAGAATCTCCCAGTTTAAGCAAATGTCTCTGGGGAGAGGAAAGAGAAGGATTTCTCTTTATTACTTTGGGAGGTTTCTGGGGAAGTACATCTCTAAATCTCTAGTTGTTTGCTAATCAAACATCCCCTTTGCTTAGAAGTCCCAGGCTATGTAATAAAACCATTGAGAATTGTCTCCCAACAGATCCACTCATCTTTTCTATATAGTTATGTTCCTTTGTGAATTTTCCCATGTACATACCACTTTTTTTTGGCAATTCTGATTTATTTAATTGACATTGCATGGGACCAAATGCATTTTGTTTGTCTCATACAGCATTTATTTAAGACTATTGTCAACAAGACTCTGAACAACAAAATGAAGTCTACATGCAATACTGATCTCAGTCATGCCCCCTACAGCTTCATATCTACTCTGAATAAATTCCATGAGCCAACAGAATCTAGCTTAGAAAACCAGGTAGATTTCTTTCTAAGTTCATGTGTTGACTTTCTCAACTGGACAGAGACATTAATCCACTTATAGCAGGATGCATCAGTGATTGCACAGACCCGACCTTGGCCTGCAAGGAGGAAGCCTGGTAAGTGCTATCATCTGTAACAAACCTAGCCAGTGAGGTAAAGATGATCTGAGTGCCTTTCAGGGTCCAGATGGTGCCACTGAGGATGTCAGCTACAGTCAGGGACAAATTTCATACCACTTTTTCTAACTAAGTCACTTCTGTAAGAAAAAGCATCAAATTGTAATGTTCCCAGCACAAAGAAAAGATAAATACTTTAGGTGATAGATATGCCAATTACCCTGATTTAATAATAACACATTGTATACATGTAAGAAAAATATTACATGCACCCCCAAAATATGGGGGTATGACTATATCAATAATAATATTTAAAAATACATGTAAATAATGAGTTATGTATCCTTCTGAAAAGCTTCCTGAATAACTACAGTTAGCATCATTTTGGAGAGATCTTTACAGCTTTCTGAAGACTACAAGGTCTACTGGTGGCATTTTCTTAAACACTTAAAGGTTTCTTATAACCATCCCCTATGGGGCAAGTCACCATGTTTTCATAAGGGAAGCAGGCCAATGTCAGGCCTTCCCACAAGAAGTATAATAACTGGGGTATACATGGTGTCTTTAGTATTTAGTTATTATTTATAATTATTGGGACCTATCTGGTGATACATATATCAGTTAGACTGCAAATTTATAGTGACTCCTAAGGAACCTCTCATGGGGCTTCCTGTGCATATGGTAAACCTTAGAGTTCCTCTTCTGTTGTCCATTTCCCTGCAAATTCAGGTAACATCTGGTCCACATCACATCACTCTGTGGGGATTTGCCCTTGTGGAACTAAAGTGAGATGCTGCTCGATCTGCTCTTTTGAATGTGTGTAATGAATGGTCTCTTTTTCTGACCCAGAGGTCTTGTGTATTCTGCCAGTATATGGACTCATTAGTGTGCAAATAAAATAAAATGTTAGCCCCTTCACAGTTTCTTACTTAACAAAAGTTTGTTGGGATTTAGGAAATTTGGGTAATTGTTTTCATCAAATTTGGAAATTTTTAAAACATTATTTCATCTATAGTTTTTTATGTCCCCTCCTCTCTTTTCTTCTGGGATTTCAATCGCATTTATATTCAGCCACTTCAACCTGTACCACAGCTCATTGATGTTATACTTGTTTAATCATCATCATTATTATTATCATTATCTTTTCCTTCTTTGTTTCATTCCTATTGCTATGTCTTTAAATTTATAAATCTCTTTTTTGAAATATCTAATCTGAAATAAATCTTATCCAATATATTGTTATAATTTTTATTGTTATGGTTTCTTTCTAATTTGTCTTGAGATCTCTCTGTCAAGAGTGACCATAAGCAAAGATAAAATTCTCTAGGAGAGCCCTCAGCAGAGGAAAAGTTAGGTTCAAATGTGCATGCCAATGAGACACAATGAGGAAGTAAAACTAAAATACATGACAGATGAAATTTATTTCTTACAGGTCTCAAGTAAATTAGGAGTTCTAAGGGGGAGGCTGACAGGAAGTCTGGAGGCAGCAGGGAGCTCAGTCAGTAGGTGGGGAGCAAGAGAGAGAGAAGAGAGAAAGAGGATCTGTGGGACTATGCCTTGAATGTAGCCCATGAGAGTTATCCCTTAGGCTTTTCTGCAGGGGCTATGGATTAGATGGTATAAAGAAAGCACATATAGGCTGGGTGTGGTGGCTCACACCTATAATCCCAGCATTTTGGGAGGTGGAGGCAGGTGGATCACTTGAGGCCAGAAGTTCAAGACCAGCTTGGCCAACACGGTGAAACCTCATCTCTACTAAAAATACAAAAAGTTAGCCAAGCATGGTAGTGGTACATGCCTGTAATTCCAGCTACTCAGGAGGCTAAGGCAGGAGAATTGCTTGAACTCAGGAGGCAGAGTTTGCAGTGATCCTAAATCCTGCCACTGCACTCCAGCCTGAGCAACAGAGAGAGACTCCATCTCCAAAAGAAAAAAAATAGAAAAGAAAACGCATATAAAGTAGGGAACTTATTTACATGACTCTAGTGTTGACCATTAGGTTTTATCGTGGTCAACAGCTGTGGTATGTGTTGGGTTTGGGGTCAATGAGCTAAGAAACAAGTGGGCTATATTGCAACCGCTACATGGAGAAGTTTTAACTAGACCAAAGGTAATGAGATATGACTAAGTTTCCAACAACTTATGTCAGGCCTAAAAATGAATACCAAAGCAACAATAAAAAACAAATTTTTAATACATATTTTCAATTCACACATTACTGTTTTCATATCTGCTGCTTGGATTTCTCATCTTTTAGAGTATAGAGAGTATATACAAATCTCTCATATTTCTGCATATCTTGCTAGCAGAGAAACTGTCTTTATGTTTTCAAGGATGGTTGTATAGCAAGCAACCTTAGAAAATAGAGACAGTATCTCCTCCTGGAACAAACAGCAGACTTGCTTATTATTAGTATAATAAATATAGTGGATTTTTTCCCCTAGGGAAAAAATGTTTTATTTGCATTCCATCATAAAAGATTTTAATCATCTAAACTAAGATTCCTCGGTTATGATGAAACCCACTGGAGGTATAACATTCATCTAGGTCCCTCTATGTGACCTCTGAACTTGAAGGCAAGAGGCCCAAATGCAAATATGAGTTCACGCTACTTTCTTTGCTACGAGTAATAAAGTCCTTTGAGCCTGGGCTCTCATGTGTTCTGAGAGCATCCATAAAACTGTGGCAAGTTAACGTGCTAAATCACAGCTACCATAAGATTTCGGACTCTTCATAGCTCCTGACAGTAATCATAACTGGCTTACTATCCTTCTCTGCTAACTCTAACATATGCCTCAGTTCTAGGTTGATTTCAATTCATTTATTATTTTATTATGGGTTGTATTTGCCTGCCTCTTTTCATGCCTGGTAATTTTTTATTGGATATCAGGCACTGAGAATTTCACTTTGTAAGTGCTGGATAATTTTATATTCCTGTACATATTCTTGATCTTTGCCCTGGGTTGCTGTTAAATTACTTGGAAACAGTTTTAGCCTTTTTGGTTTTGCTTTTAAGATTTCTAACTTAGGTAAGGTCGCAGTGGTGCTTAATCTAAGGAACATTATTCCCTACTACTAAGGCAAGACATTTCTGTGTGCTCTGTCCAACGCCACAAATCATGAGATTTTCTAGTCTGGCTGGTGAGAACAGGCATTCTCCCCAGCCCCACATAAGTGCTAATCATGTGGAGTGCTTTTTTCTTGGCCTCAAGTAGTTTCCTCCCAGGAATGCACTGATTAGTACTCAGCTGAATACTTAACAGGAACCACTGCCTATCTCCAGAGTTCTTTTTTTGTGCAGCTCTCCTCTCTGTTACTCTGCCCTGTGAATTTTAGCATGTTGGTTTTCCCAGACTCTCAACTGTGTCTTTTCCACTTAGGAGATCTGCCAGTTCCCTGTGGGCTTCTCTCTTTCACTGCAATGCTTCTTAGAAAGTCTTGCAAGGCAGAAAGCTGGGAAAATTGTAAAGCTAACTTTATTTGTTTACCAGTTCCCAGGGATTACTTTCTTTCATTTCCTGATATTCAGTGCAGTGTCTTAAAAAATAATTTTATATATCTTATCCAACTTTTGAAGTTTTAGGTGGAAAGGTAACTCTGAACACTATTACTCCATCTTGGTCAGAAGTAGAAGTCTTTACCAGTAAAATTTTTTCTCATGGAACATTGTTCTTAGAGCAGCAAAGGTTTAGTAACATTGGATTAAATTATTTTTATACATTCAAATATATTATCTTATTCTAAAGTAAATATTTGCATAATCATTAACATAAACACTTTGTTTTCCATTTTTAAAAATTATGATGTATAAAATGTGGAAGAAAATCTGCTTGATATACATCTTGACGAAGTAAAAATAATGACTAATCTGATAAACACTGGGGCTGGAAGATAGGAGAATCATACAAGAAAGTATAGAGAGATTGAATTTCTCTGCTTACATAGTGATATGGTTTGGCTCTGTGTCCCTACCCAAATCTCATCTTGAATTGTACTCCCATAATCCCCACATGTTGTGGGAGGGACCCGCTGGGAGATAATTTGAATCATGGGGGCAGTTTCCCTCATATTGTTCTCATGGTAGTGAATATGTCTGACGAGATCTGATGGTTTTTTCAGGGATTTCTACTTTTGCATCTTCCACACTTTCTCTTGCTGCCACCATGTAAGAAGCGCCTTTCACCTCCTACCATGATTCTGAGGCCTTCCTAGCCATGTGGAACTGTAAGTTCAATTAAACCTTTTTCTTCCCAGTCTTGGGTATGTCTTTATCAGCAGCATGAAAATAGGCTAATACACATAGAAAATCGAGAAAAAAATATTTTAAATCTTTAGTATTAGATTAAGAGGCCTGAGTTTTTAATTTAAATACATTAAAATAACCAGTAGGTGGTATTTATACATTGCAGTTTTTAAGAGCATACAATCCTGCCTCAGAATTGCAGAGATTAAATCCTGCTATTTAATTATTGTAATTTGGACAGGTTAAGCTCTCTCTGTCATCATTTCCTTAAAGAAGAAAATTTGAAAATAACTACACTAATGGAGTTATTTGGAGGAATAAATAATATACAAAAATTACATTATATGGCCGGGCGCAGTGGCTCACGCCTGTAATCCCAGCACTTTGGGAGGCCGAGGCAGGAGGATCACGAGGTCAGGAGATCGAGACCATGGTGAAACCCCGTCTCTACTAAAAAATACAAAAAAAATTAGCCGGGCACGGTGGCAGGCGCCTGTAGTCCCAGCTACTTGGGAGATTGAGGCAGGAGAATGGTGTGAACCTGGGAGGCGGAGCTTGCATGAGCCGAGATTGCGCCACTGCACTCCAGCATGAGCATGGGCAACAGAGCAAGACTCCGTCTCAATAAATAAATAAATAAATAAATAAATAAATAAATAAATAAATAAATAAAATTTAAAAATTACATTATATATCTGACATATAGTAAGCATTAACTATTTTGGACCTTTAAAAATGATAATTTTGTATGGTTTAACCATATGTACATATATTCTACGTTGCCATGTGTATAAATAAATCTGTTTTTACTGTAGATAATTCATATACATGTCTTAAAAATGACAAATCAAAGGAGGGGTATTCATCAGTGATCTAGTACCATTACCAGAAGAACAATATAAGTAAAATCATCATGAATATTTAGCTGATGTATATGGATATGGGGCTGGGAGAGGAGGAAAGTATTGTTCAAATATGCTTATCCAATTTTAGCCTGCAATAATAATAGAAATAACAATAAGAATAAAAATAACTGCTTCCATGAATTTTTACTCATTTTTAAATTCTACATTTTTTTGCTACCCCATATCACAGACATCAAATTCTACTTTTAAACTAATAAAATGTAAGTTTTACATGATATTTCTTTAAAATGTTGAATTTTTCTATCAGATATTCTGGAGTTTTTGTTTTCCACAGTAAATCTACATAGTTATTTGAGATGTATACTTTTTACCTATAGTTACAATTTACATTCCCACACCAAAATGATTACTGATATAGTTGAGTAAATAAAATATATATATCATAACATTTAAATGACAAAATTATAATATAAAGAAAAGAAAATATTCAAGAATTATATAGTATGTATTTTCAAATTAGGGTCCTTGTAAGAGACTGATTATACCCAGGTCAAGAAGGAAGTAAGACTTAAATGGCTGCAATAAGTGAAGTCCATCCGGGCCAAAATGAGGACTAGCTGTCCAATCTCCTCTGAGCCTAAGAACTTTAGCAACTGTTCCAGTTTTGCTCATGGTTGCAAAATGTTTCCTATATGGCAGAGATGTAGAAGAGACAATTTTTTAAAAAAATAATTAGAGTGGAATATTGTATATTTATATTCTATAGAAGTTTTTTCCACCTTGTTTATAGTCTTTTTAAATGTTGATGAATTCCTTAAAATGCGGAATAAGACAAAAATAGGCTGGGCATGGTGGTTCACTCATGTAATCTCAGCACTCTGGGAGGCTGAGGCAGGTGGATCACCTGAGGTCAGGAGTTTGAGACCAGCCTGGCCAACACAGTGAAACCCTATCTCTACTAAAACTACGAAAAGTTAGCTGGGCGTGGTGACACACCTTGTAATCCCAGCTACAAGGGAGACTGAGTCAGGAGCATCGCTTGAACCCGGGAAGGGGATGTTGCGGTGAGCAGAGATGGCACCACTGCATGCCAGCCTGGGAGACAGAGAAAGACTCTGTCTCAAAAAAATAAAAATTAAAAAAAGAAAGACAAAAATATTGGTCTTTATTCATTTAGCCAGGTACCAAGGAACTCCATCCCTTTTAAAATTAAAATATGAAATGAACAACTAGTTGGAAAATCTAGGTTACCTTAGGTTCCCACATGCCTCCCATAGTTAGATCCCTCCTTTCTCATGTCTTGAGATCCTGCTGCACTTGAAGCCTACCTCACTTATTGCACTCATCACATTGTAATGATATTAGTTTCCTTTCACATCAGCGATACCTCTTTAAATGAAAAATCTAACACTCCTACACAAAAGGTGCTCAACAAATGTTGACTTATCTTAATTTTGTTCTTCTTCTAAATTTATACAAACATTGTGCATACAAATACTCACTTCATCTAGTCCCCTATAACAATCTTCTAAGAAGCAGCTCTCTTCATAAGCATATCTCTTGGTCCTTTAAGAATTAGAAGTTTCTGGGTGGGTGCGGTGACTCACGCCTGTAATCCCAGCACTTTGGGAGGCCGAGGTGGGCGGATCACGAGGGACAGGAAATCGAGACCATCCTGGCTAACAAGGTGAAACCCCATTTCTACTAAAAATACAAATTAGCCAGGTGCGGCGGCACACGGAATCCCAGCTACTTGGGAGGCTGAGGCAGGAGAATTGCTTGAACCCAGGAGGCGGAGGTTGCAGTGAGCCGAGATCGCGCCAACTGGACTCCAGCCTGGGCGACAGAGTGAGAATCCGTCTCAAAAAGAAAACAACAACAACAAAAAAAAAAGAATTAGAAGTTTCCATGGAATTAGCTAAGTTCTTTCATTCAACCAGCAGATTATGTGTCAGCTCTTAGTGCATTTAAAATTCTGGCCTATCATTATGATAATATATAAAACTCTTACCATAGGAGGAATAAATACTAGATAAACATTAATTCCATGTGAATTTCTTTTCTTCTTTTGTTTTTGGAGAGGGAGGCTCGCTCTGTCACCCAGGCTGGAGAGCAGTGAGGCAATCTCACCTCACTGCACCCTCCGCCTTCTTAGATGAAGCGATTCTCCTGCCTCAGCCCCTGGTTAGCTGGGACTACAGGCCCGTGTCACCACGCTCTGCTAATTTTTTTGTATTTTTAGTAGAGACGGGGTTTCACCATGTTGGCCAGGCTGGTCTCAAACTCCTGACCTCCTGACGGCCCAGCTTGGCCTCCCAAAGTGTTGGGATTACAGGTGTAAGCCACTGCACCCAGCCTCCATGTAAATTTCATATGAGAAATAATTCAAGTACATATTTAGTATTGCTAAATCTGACTTTCTCTAGTAAACATTTATTTTCATAGACAATCTCATAGGCAAATTTTAAAAAAATGTGTCCATTTGCTAAGAGAAGTTGGTCATTACCTTTTATACTCATGACACTATAGTTATGCCAAACATTCTTCATTACTTTCTTAAATTGTGTAGAACATAATTTTTCTAGAAAATAACCTTGGTGGATAAATATAATGTGTTTTCATATTTATTTAGTAACATTATAAATATAGAAGTGCCTACCAAGGATAGTTTAGCTACAGCCACATGTAATTACATTCTGGTGATCTGCTTTGCCTATGTCAGTTTCCAAACTTCAGAGATGTGCTAGCTATACTCCAGTTGTTCAGAGTCAGTACTTTCAACATATAAGAAATTTGTTGGCCGGGTGCGGTGGCTCACGCCTGTAATCCCAGCACTTTGGGAGGCCAAGGCGAGTGGATTACCTGAGGTCAGGAGTTCAAGACCAGCTGGCTAACATGGAAAAACCCCGTTTCTACTAAAAATACAAAAAAATAGCCGGACGTGGTTGCGCATGCCTGTAATCCCAGCTACTCGGGAGGCTGAGGCAGGAGAATCGCTTGAACCAGGGAGGTGGAGGTTGCAGTGGGCCGAGATCACGCCATCACACCCCAGCTTGGGCAACAAGAGCAAAACTCCATCTCAAAAAAAAAAAGAAATTTGTTTTTGCATTTAAGTGTCTGGTGTGTGCCAAGAACATATTTTTGAATGGGCATTATGTTCAACTTAATATTTTAAATATGGAAAGGTTACATGGGAATGCCTTGGATGGACCATTTTAAGAGATAAAAAAATCAGTGTATTTATTTGCCATCTTTAAAATCATCATCATCAACAATAGCAAAAGCAAAATGACATATTTTTCTTCTCTTTGGTTTTTGTGTCCCAGATAGGTGCCCTTTATTTGCAGTAGTTGTAAAAGAAGATGAAGAGCTGTAGTATGAACTTTTTATTACCTCAAGGTCTCAAGAGATAATGGTGGAACAGGTTTCTGGTGTATCAAATTTTATTTCACAAAGTGCAAATGCAAATGCTTTAATAAAAACAATATGTGAACAGAAAAACTTGTTAAAAATGTCAGAAGGAAGTTCACAAGAATTCTATTTGCTTTTTTTTTTAAAAAAAGGTGGCATTTAGGTATTTGAAAACATTATTGTTACTTCTCATCTCTGTCTACTATTATCAGAAATAAAGCAGAATTTACCAAATAACTGCTTTAAATGTAGGTGATATCTAAATAAATATAAAAAAGAATATATTAAAATATTTTAATCACTGATTTTATGAAACCTCAATCCCCCCTACCCACCAAGACCTTTTCTCATATATAACTTTACGTCATTAATTTGAAAAAGATAGCTTACATTCTGGGAAATTTCAAAGTATTTTCTGCTAACGCGTATGCTTTTCTCTTTGAGTAATTTTTTTTTTTAAATTGAGATGGAGTTTCACTCTTGTTGCCCAGACTGGAGTGCAATGGTGTGATCTCGGCTCACTGCAACCTCTGCCTCCTGGGTTCAAGCGATTCTCCTTGCCTCAGCCTCTCCAGTAGCTGGCATTACAGGCACCCACCCCCATGCCCAGCTGTTTTTTTGTATTTTTAGTAGGGACAGGGTTTCATCATGTAGGCCAGGCTTGTCTTAAACTCCTAATCTCAGGTGATCCATCCACCTCGTGGATGGATCCCAACGTCCTGGGATTACAGCCATGAGCCACCATGCTCGGCCGAGTAATGTTTTAATTAATGAAATATGGACACAAAATAAAATCAAAACCATTATTTAAATTATTATTGCAGTAGATTTTATGAAGGGTTAGTGTTGACTATCTTTTTCTAAAGGATGCAATAGTATCAAAAATAATCAATGTAAATTTTTTTCAATTTTGTTATCCTGTTTTATATTACTGTGGTCCTTTATTACTGTGGTCCTTAATTGACATTATTAGTCATTATGGTATCTTGTATTATTTTTCTATTTAACTATCTTATTAGAAGTAGAACAATTATATTTTTCTATAGTGCATGAATTTTTATTGCTTTACATGATATCATAAAATGTAATTTGAATTTTATTAAACTAAGTATACTGTATTTATAAATAGAGGAATACAGCATAAATTCAGCAAATGCTTATTTTAGTGGAGTCTGCAGAAGACACTAGTATAACAGAACCATAATTCCTGACCTCCTGTCATTTATAATATAATTAGGATAGAATAAGACCTGGTATTGGCTAACATAACAGGGTGAGTATAATCAAAAATAATTTAGCTGTACATTTAAAAATAACTAGAAGAGTGTAACTGGGTTGTTTGTAACACAAAGAATAAATGCTTGTGGTGATAGATACCCCATTTACCCACATATGATTATTAGACATTGCATGCCTGTATCAAAATGTCTCATATAACCCATACATATATACCCATTATATACCCACAAAATAAAAAATAAAGTCACAATACAATTAAGCTAAATAAATTCTTGTATGCATAATTTAATAAAAGAGTAGAGTATAATGGGTGCTCAATGAAGGTTTACCTTCTACTATGGAAGTTTGGAATGTTGGAGATGCTTCAGGTAAAGAGATGTAGAAAGGCTTCTTAGAGAAAATATAAATTGAACTTTGAATTATAGACAGCTTTTATTTATCAGTATGAAAGGGGAATGGGATTGAGGGAATTTCTTGGCAAAGTGAACCAACATATATAAGCAGAATAACAAAATTAAAGTAATGATACTTCTTTTTATTAAATGTAATTCTTTGTCACTTCCCAGCTATTTGTTTAAGGTTTCTTGCTAACCTCATGAGCTCCCCCAGCTTCTTCCTAGGGCTATTTTGATACTAAAAGGGTTATTTCATATAAAGTATTTAGCACAATGACTGGTACATAATCAGTATTCAATACACACTTACTTGTACTTATTATAATTATTTTATTAAATTCAAAAATATAGAAATGTAAATATTATCATTAAAGTAAATTCCTGGAGTGTAAAAAATATTTTTGTAAAACAAAAAAAAAATTTTTGAGTTTAATAATCAAAGTAAATTCTACAGGGATTTTAACATCTATCAAGACAAATGCCCAACTAAACTTATACTAACTTTATGTGCATTATGTAGATATAGTTTTTCTTTACTCAATTAGCTGAATGGTGGTAGGTGACATATTTCCCCTATTGAGTTATTTATTTCTTAGGATTAAAATGCCAACATTCCTAGTTTTAATGTTCATGCTAATTGGCCAATAATATATGTTGATTAGTGCAGTACTTAGTGGGCTAGATAGGAAAATTAATAAAAGCAAAAAACATGGTGTTTGAAAAGTAGTTTTGATTATGTTATTATTTACATAGAACATTAAGAAACCTCAATTCTTAATTGTGAACTAGGTATTATTTTAACATTTTTATATTGCATTAGGGGGAACCTCAGTGTCTGAAAATCTACCAGGGGATAAAAATGCCCAAGAATATCTTGTGGAACAATTTAAAATTTTTAGCTTATATTGGTCATTTCTACACTTGCAAAGTTATGTATAATGTTAAAATCCCCCAGTGTATATCAACCATTCAGCCCTACCTAACTCAAAGGAAATAGTAAACTTCCAATGTGTCTGTTGAAATGCCCACCAAGTTATTTTTACTAAGTTCACTCCATAGAGAATAATAGGGAAAGAAACAGTTATTATCACATCATTATCATCTTTAGCCAAGTGAGATTTATTATAATAATTCAGCCTGCTAGTTTGTAAATTATTTCCTGCCCTACTATTATCTTTGTCCTCTATATCTGCAAATGAAAACTCTTTACATCAAAACCCCCTGGAAAATGACAATGAATGAAAACTGCAAAAAACATTCTGTCACAAATTTATTTACACATTCTCTGAAGCTGTAGTATTTAAGATTTGACAATTAAAGCTGCATCACATTTCTTGTGCTTTCGTTCTGTATTGTTAATTAGCATTTCCTGTATAGAATTCCTTTTCCTCCAATCTAGATTAAATGCATAAAACAATAACAACAACAAAACCTGAAGCAAAGGCTATTTATTAGTGTCTTCATATATAGATGTCAATTAAACAAAATCAGAAAGCCAGTCTTGGTAGTGTCTACAAAAATTCAGGCTTTTCTTCCCCTACTTTCATTTCTTTTTATTTTAAAATAGCTTGACACAATGTACGGGGTATGATTTTCATCCTGTAACAATTCTATAATCCTTATTTGATCATCATTACAAATACACACTATTTTTATTCCCAAGTAGAAGTTGTGTTTAGAGATATTACAGATAATTTTACAAGAACATTTACATTGTTTGTCTTAACCTCTTCAAAGGCTCAAGATTGGGTTGCTTGTGTGTAACTGCCAACCCCTTTAATGAAAGTGTTTTAAGCTGTTGGTTCTTTCTTCTTTAGTACATGAGTAATTGATACAATAAACCATAATAGCTCCAATTATATAAATACATATTTAGGGACTTTTTAGAACACATTTTTTTACACAATCTAATAGCTCCTTCAGAGCTGTTAGAAACTATTGTTTCACAATCTAGTTGAGCGTGCCTCCTAACACGTAAATTCTCAACTCTTTAACATTCATATTAGTGACAAAAATGTATCATAAAACTTCTCTTGTCGTTGCAGTTATAGCTTGCAATGAAAATAATTTATGTTCTAGTTGCGCATCACGAATTTGTGATCTCTTCTTTACAGTCGTTAAATGCATGTGTGTATACACAAAGATTGAACTGCCAGCAAACACAACAAAACTACGTGCCTTCTCAAAACTCTCAAGTGAATGTCAAGCACATTGTTTAACAATCTGGAATAAGTATAGTTAATCAAAGACAAATGGCTTTTAATTTAAGTTAAAATGCAGTTATTCTTAAATATTCATACAATATCTGGCAGTAATGTTAAAGGTGATTATATAACTTATGTTACTTAGCTGCAAAAGTACACATGAAACAAAAGTTGTGTTTGGCTAATATTATACCTACACAGCAATCAAATTCCAGATCAATTTAAGAAGTTGTCATTGGAGTGCTCTCATCTTTTGATTAAATAGCTGTGTCACTTTAGTTGAACTTATCCAAGGTCTGAGGTATGAACTCGTGTTGCATATGAATCCTATTCCTCAAATAAATAGACCTCATTGTTTGGTCAATTTTTAGAAATTCACATTGTCTAAGAAATAGACTGTCCATCAATAGCCTTGACTTTTCATGCACTGGAAAGCAAATGTGAAATTCTACTTTCTGGTATAGAGTTCGCACTTACATTCTAAAGGTTTTTGAATTATTTACTTAATTCCTCAATTATATTCCTTTCCCCACTTCCCACTACCACTACCATACATCCCCAGCTGGAAGATGGAAAAGGCTAATAAAGTACAAGTGTCCTTTTGGACGTGCAATTTATTTAACAGAAGTTCAATAAATACAAGAAGTTCAAATTTAATTTGGTTTCAATCATATTTAAATTGAGATTTTAATTCATTCAGGTGAAAACTTCAGTATTTTCCATGCTTACAGTTTCAAAGAAGGTTTTTGGTGTGGGTGTGTGTTGGTTGGTTGGTTTAATTAATCAATTATTTATGTACAACTGGCAAATAAAAATTGTATGGGTTTATCATGCACAACATAATGTTTTGAAATATGTGTACATTGTGGAAAGGTTACATTGAGCTAATTTTGAGAAGGATTTTGAAAATTGTCAAACTTGAATTTTAATCCCAGTTCTGCCATAGAGCAGTTAAGTTGGTTGCACATAATAATCTTTAAAGTTAGTGTTTGAATCTGTAAAACAGAAATAATAATAGCCATTAAATAAAAATGTTGTGAGAAATTACTGAAATCCCAAATGTAAATCACCTAGTTTTATGTCTCCATGTCTGCATAGAAACCCTTAATTCCATTTATATTCCATTTAAATTTTGATATTTAAATATGTCATTTCAATCAATACCACTAAATTCTTCTGTGCACATCTTGTCTTTGTTGATTTGCTTGTTTGTCTGTTAAGGGACTCCAAAACATGTTACTTACATGAACTCTTTTCATAAGAGGACATACTTCACGGCAGCAGATTTTCTGCTCTTCTCCAGAGAAGCTCAGACATTTTTCCTTCTATCGAACAACCAAGAGTTGATAATTAGATTTTGTCCCAAGATAATGCCTGCTTGTTAAAAAATTTCTCATTTAGAGGTTAATTTCCATGATGTGGAATTCTGCCTCTGTAATCTCAAAAAGCACAACTCAGAAAACCCGAAGGCTCTGAAAAATCAGTGCCACCTGATAACATGTTTAACTACAGGATATTCTGTCATCTCTCCACAATTCTTTTGTTCCATGATTTAAAATCAGTGTAAGAAGGGAACTCACATAACACAGTCCTGGACGCATGTTTTGCAGGTGAGAAAATCTCAGAATATAGGAAGGGAAATGGATTAGTCTATTCTCACACTGCTATAAAGATACTACTCCAGACTGGGTAATTTATAAACAAAGGTTTAATTTACTCACAGTTCTGCATGGCTGGGGAGGCCTCAGAAAACTTACAATCATGGCAGAAGGGAAAGCAGGCACAACTTAAATGGCAGCGGGTGAGAGAACGTGTGCAGGAAGTGAAGGGGGAAAAGCCCCTTATAAAACCATCAGCTCTCATGAGAGCTCACTCACTATCACAAGAATGGCAATGGAGGAACCCTCCCCCATGATCCAATCACCTTCCACCTGATCCTTCCCTCGACACACGGAGATTATGGGGATAAAATTCGAGATGAGATTTGGGTGGGGACACAGAGCCAAACCAAATCAGGACATAACCTAGGTCACTTAAGAAGTGACCTACACACATCTGAACTAGTTTATGCCTCAGTTAATGCCTTTTATTTACCGTACACTTTGCCTCTGCTGAAAATGTTTTCTGTTCTATGGATAAGTGCCCCTAAGAATATGCCACATGTAAATACTCCACTCTGAGAAAAGGAAATGCTGAAACCTCTTTTGTGGGAAAAGACAAAAAACAAACAAACAAAAAACCAGAAGACTACATGCTGCAGACTTTGCTGACATTCCTTTGGATACAGTCTAACCCAAAGTTTGGGATGAGTCCAGTAGCCACAGTCACTATAGGGTCTTGCTGGCATGTTTCAGGTGAGGTATTTGAAAGTCAGCAAGGCTGATAATCATCACCATTGTCCAGGCTCAAAGTAAATAATAGGGACAACCTGCTAAACCTGCTGAACTGAAGTGGATGGACTTCATTATGCTTCCATATTGACAGCTTGGGGATCTCTCTCCCAAATGGAAATTTTAGTAAGGGTATTTGGTTTGTTTTCTAAAAAACATACACAACAATTTACGACTATTACAGTGACTTGTTTTAATACACTCATAGCTTTTTTTCCCCTGTAGATATGACCTTATTTCCATTTAAAGAATATTCACATGAACTAACAACAGTGAAAAGTAAGGAAATGTTCTGCAACTTTCCCAAATTAATTAAGCCAGGGAGAAAACCAGGACTTAAACTTGGGTCATATAACTACCAGAACTGTACTCCTTCTAACACACTATTTTGCTTACTCTAATTTTCCATGAAGGGCATTATTAGAACCCATATCTGTTTCTTATTCCTAGGTAGAATGGCAATGTTGATGGCTATGATATTAGAGCTGGAAAATACCCCTCAAACATCTCATCATTATGAATGGCCCTGGCTAGAAGTTGACAAAATGTTTTCTGCAAAAGATCATATAATAAATATTTCAGGTTTATGAACTATAGGGTCTCTATTACAAGTACCCAACTTATCTGTTGTGTCATAAAAAGCAGCAATAGACAATACTACAACATGTTGCTCAAAAAGGTTTGTTTGGTCAAATTATTTGAAGAATTATCCAATAATCTTACCCTTTAATAGAGGTTGAGCATATTAAACACTCAAAGAAGTATGCCAATTTAGGAACCACTGTTTCCTAAATATTTTAACTATAAAATATCCTTCTTTATTCCATAAAGATGTATTTAGTACATAATAAATTCCAGGCCAGTGGTGGGATAAGAAAGAAATGATCATTGCTTTTTTGGACACTAAAGCCGAGTGATGAATATGTTACTTACCTGAACTCTTTTCATAAGAAGACATGCTTCACAGCAGTAGATTTTTCTGCTCTTCTCCAGAGAAGCTGAATATAGACCTGAAATAAATACTCAACTTATTGCAATTTAGTAACTATTATATAAATAGAAGGAAGTACTATGAGTGTGTGTAACATGGGAATCTAGGATAACTCGGAGGATCAGGGAAGGCTCCTCTAATATTTAAAGGCATGATATGTAAGTGAAAAGCTGAAGGGTAACTACTCTACAAGGCTAAGAAGAAGCAGAAGAGTGCATGAGTAGAAATAGCTCAATGAGTAGAAGAATCTGAATCATGAAGAAGTTTCAAATATTTGAAGACAAAGTGGACCGTGGACCTGGTAAACAAGGGGAAGTTCAGACACAATGTATTAGATGATTTTAGTGCATGGTTATAAGCAAAAGGAATGACAGTAATACCACAAGGGAGGGGAAGAGGGATTGGGAATATTGTGCTATAAAGTACCTAGGTACACTACATTTGAAATGGAACAGTATTTTTAAAGATAGAATTAGATTATTTAAAAATATGTATGTAAACTCTAGGCAACCGCTAAGATTTTTTAAAAAGAATATGACTAATGCTATGAAAAAAGATAAAATGAAATCATAAACTCAATTATACCAGAGAAGGTAGAAAATGAAGCCTCTGGCAATGCATAGAAAATTATTAGAAACAGGATTGATATGAGTCAAAATATATCAGTAATAATCTATTTAAATGTGAATGACCTAAATGCACCCATTAAAGAATGTTTTGTCAGAATACATATAAAAGGCCTCACTATGATGTCCACAAGAAAGCTAATTTAAATATAAATACTCTAACATGTAAAATAAAGGGATAAAGATACACCATAGTAACACTGATCAAAAGCAAATGGAATCAGCATGTTAATTTCAAACAAAGCAGGATTCAGAGTGAGTAAAATTATCAGGAATAAACGGGGGTACTATTTAAAAATGTTTATTCTCTAAGAGATATCAATCCATAGTTTATAGGCCCCCAACCACAGAATATCAAGGTACATGAAGTAGGCCAAGCAGGGTGGCTAAAGCCTGTAATCCCCGCACTTTGGAAAGCTGAGGTGGGCTGATCACAAGGTCAGGAGTTCGAGACCAGCCTGACCAACATGGTGAAACCCCATCTCTACTAAAAATACGAAAATTAGCTGGATGCGGTGGCGTGCACCTGTAATCTTAGCTAGTCAGGAGGCTGAGGCAGGAGAATCGCTTGAACTCAAGAGGTGGAGGTTGCAGTAAGCTGAGATCACCCCACTTCACTCCAGCTGGGGTGACAGAGTGACACTCCATCTCAAAACAAAACAAAAAAACACTAACATATCTCCAAATACAAATAGACAAATCCACTATCGTTAATTGATAGTCTGATTAATTGATAACTCAAGCGGGCAGAAATCCATTAAGTATATACATGATCTGACCAGCACTAACAATCAATTCAATCTAATTGTCATTTATATAATACTCCATTTGACTAAAGAAGAACACATGGGCTGGGTGCGGTGGCTCACTCCTGTAATCCCGGCACTTTGGGAGGCTAAGGTGGGTGGATCACGAGGTCAGGAGTTTGAGAACAGCCTGACCAACATGGTAAAACCCCATCTCTACCAAAAACACAAAAATTAACCAGGCGTGGTAGCGCACGCCTGTAATCCCAGCTACTCAGGAGCCTGAGGCAGGAGAATCGCTTGAACCTGGGAGGCAGAGGTTGCAGTGAGCCAAAATTTTGCCACTGCACTCCAGCTGGGCAACATAGCAAGACTCTGTCTCAAAAAAAAAAATACGTGTTCTCTAGCTTGCATGAAATATTCAGCAAGGTAAACCATATTCTGAGCAATAAAACATACATTCACAAATTAAAAAATATATATGAGTCATACAAAGGATGTTATCAGTAGAATTAAACTAGAAATCAGTAGTGGAAACATGCCTGAGAAATCCCTAAATATTTCGAAATTAAACAACACTCATTCAAACTATGGGTAAAAGAAGTCTCAAGATAAATTTTTTTAAAATTTGAACTAAAAATTATAATAAAATTCGTCAAAATTTGTGGGAAAGAAATGCTAAGAGAATGCAAAGGCAATAGCCAAAGTTTTTACATTAGAAAACTGGCAAAAGAAGAGCACATGAAATTTAAATCAAGAAGAAGGAAATAAATAATAAAAACTAGAGCAGAAATCAGTGAAATTATAAAAAGGAAAACAATAGAAAAAAACTAGTGAAATCTTATCCAGTTACATGGAAAAATCAATATAATTGATAAACCTTTAGCTGGGTTGTATCAGGGCAGTCTCTCACTGCTAAAAGAAATCCTTGAGACTGGGTAATTTACAAACAAAGGAGGTTTAACTGGCTCATGGTTCTGCAGGCTGTACAGGAGACATGATGGTGGCATCTGCTTGGCTTCTGGGGAGGCCTCAGCAAAGTTATAATCATGGCGGAAGGCAGAGGAAGGTGGCACTTCACATGGATGGAGCAGGAGAAAGGAGGGGGGGACGGTGCCACACACTTTTAAACAACCAGATCTCATGATAAATCTGTCATGAAAACAGGACCAAGGGGATGGTGCTAAACCATTCATGAAGGATCCACTCCCATGATCTGATTACCTCTTACCAGGTCCCACCTCCAACACTGGGGATTACAATTCACCATGAGATTTGGTGGGGACACAGATCCAAACCATATCATGCATTAACGAAGAAATAAGAGAAGAGACAAAAATTACAAATATCTGAAATGCATTGGGGTCATCACCATGATTCTCATAGACATTAAAATAATAAGAAACACTGTGAACAAGTCAATGTCCACAGATTTGATAATATACATGAAATGACCAATTTCTTGTAAGACATAAACTACCATAATAATTAATAACCTGCAAATAACAAATTGTCAGGTCTATAGGGCTCTGATCTTGGTTTGTAATACCATTATCCGATAATAGAAACCAGGACTCCACAGAAAAATGACTGATTCTAGGATTGAGCAGGAAATGTAAAAGATGATCCTGGAACATCTTACAGCATCAGAAGTAAGAAACTGCTAAAAAGAAAAAAACCCAAATAGGTTGTAGGTATGCCAGAGGTATACAAGAGCCAACTGAAAGAGTGTGGCATGGCCAAAGTTGGGAAGTTTTGATCAAGTTAATAAAATATTATTAGAATTTAACCCAAAGTATAAAATAAGTATCCATGAATCTACAGTGGTAGAAATAAATGGTTGCAAAATAAATAAATATTACAGACGATAAAAATATCCTGTGCAGAAGACATGCTAATAATTTATGTGGCTACTCAACCCTCCAGGGGAAGAATGATAACTCTCAGTTCCCCAATGTGGGCTTCTAATAATAGTTTTATTTCAATAGTAATTAACGGAAATTCAGGGGTCATTTAAAATGAGGAAATTTGACAAACACTCTATCAACCCATGTGACCAAGGTTAATATCAACAGTGATGTCATGTTGATTGGATATACGCTTGATGTAAGAAAAATTACATTTTATTTATGTGGTCTTCACCCCAAAATACATTATCCCAGTCTGATCATGAGAAAAACATCAGACAAATTCTGATTGAGAGACATTCTACACAATACCCCAAAATTCCTCAAAACTGTTAAGATAATCAAAAACAAGAAAATCTGAGAAACTGTGACAGCCAAAAATTGCCTAAGGAAATGTAACAACTATATGTAATGTGGCATCCTGCATGGGTTCTTGTGACAGAAAATAACATTAGGGAGATACTGAGACAATCTGAACAAAGTATGGTTAATAAAGTGTGCCAACATTGATTCTTTAGTTGTGACAACTGTTCCAAACTAATGTAATATGTTAACAATAAAGGGAAGTGAATATGGGATTTGTGGGATTCCTATGTACTACATTTGCACATTTTCTGTAATTCCAAAACTATTCCAAAATAAAAAGTATACTTAAAACAAAACAAAACTCCAAAAGAAAAAAGAAAGGAAGAGAGAATTTCCAGGTAGAGAAGGCATAGATTATTCCTGGCTTTGTAGGCTATGTCATTGCTTTTGGATTTTATGCTCTGAAGAACCAGAGAATATTATAGGATTATAAGTATGTGTGTGTGTGTGTGTGTATGAGAGAGAGAGACAGAAAGAGAGAGAGAGAGCTAATAAAAGTAATTGGATATGATCAGACAAATGTGTGTAAAATATTTCTCAAGCTTCTGTGTGGAAAACAGATTGTACAGGATAGTGAACTATTGCCATAATTAAGGTTAAAGTTATTGAAGGCTGAAAATCACTGGATAGTCATATTTAGTGAGAAGAGAATGAATTCTATATTCCACATATATTAGGTAGAATTTTCAAGACTTAGCAATGATGTGGTAGTTTGGGAAGAAACATGTTTAGAAATGACATTCAAGTTCCTACCCTCTAGAAAAACCAGGATTTGTTCCATGGAACACACTTTGAGTGTTGCAGAGCTGAATTAAATAATTGTCTTCTGATACTTAGTTGAATGTTTTATTCATTATATTTGATATTGGTTTTGTAAATACCATTATATAGTAGGCCCTTGAATTTGATGGGGTTTTTTTGTTGTTGTTTCTTTTTGTTTTTGTTTTTGAGACAGATTTCAGCTTGTCACACAGGCTGGAGTGCAGTAGCGAGATCTTGGCTCACTGCAACCTCCGCCTCCTGGGTTCAAGCGATTCTCCTGCCTCCAAGCAATTCTCCTGCCTCGACCTCCTGACTAGCTGGGATTAAAGGCACATACCATCACACCAGGCTAATTTTTGTATTTTTAGTAGAGACAGGGTTTCTCCATGTTGGCCAGGCTGGTCTCGAACTCCTGACCTCAGAAGATCTGCCTGCCTTGGTCTCCCAAAGTGCTGGGATTACAGGTGTGAGCCACCGCAACTGGCAGGCCCTTACATTTGAGATGAATATTTTTCATGCTTCTCAAATTACCAAATATAATCTCTCCCACTAAATGAGGTAAGAAAAATTTAAATTTAATAAAAAGTAAATACAAGATATCCATTCAGACTCTCAATGAACGGTAACAGAGAATGATAAAGTCACAATAATGTGGGGATGTTAAACGGTGACTAGGTGCTCCTTGTCACATAATTTACATCTGCACCTAAATAAAATGACAAGTTACTTTTATTACACATTGTCAAATTTTTACGTGACTAGTCAGAAATATAATTGTTAAATTATCCGGTCCAAATACCCTCCATAGAAGTTTACCTTTTAAAGAGTTAAACATTTTAATAGATTATATTGGGGTGATTGTGACTCAAAAGTTCCATTTGGCCAGGCATGGTGGCTCATGCCGGTAATCTCAGCAATTTGGGAGGCCGAGGTAGGTGGATCCTTTGAGCTCAGAAGTTTGAGACCAGCCTGGCCAACATGGTGAAATCCCATCTCTACAAAAATTACAAAAATTATCTGGGTATGGTGGCAAGCCTGTAGTCCCAGCTATTTGGGAGGCTGAGGTGAGAGGATTGCTTGAACCCAGGGGGTTGAGGTTGCAGTGAGCAGAGGCTGTGCCACAGCACTCCAGCGTGGGCAACAGAGGGAAGCCCCGTCTCAAAAAAAAAAAAAAGGAAAAAAATGAAAGAAAAGAAAAGTTCTATTTGTTTCAGAGACTGTCAGGAATATTAAAACTCACTAATGATGTGAATTATTATGACATCACTCTATAATTTGGGCAGATGACCTGCAGCCAGTCGAATTCCAGCGTTACTTCCCTTCCTTTAATGAAAAATAAAATAGAATTTTGATCAAAATGTATTAACCAGTTTTCAGTCTCTCAGAAAGCAATCAGCTTCATCTGTGACACTGACTGTTCTCTCAATATCTAAAACAAATTGCATCAGTATATATTATCCATTATCTAAGAAGTCAACTCCCATATTTATCCCTATATGACAATTAGTGATAAATGAAGGGTTAGTGTGAGCAAAACATTATGTAGGATCTTGTAAAGAGATTTCCAGTTCTGCAGTGTGCTTTCTCAGCAAGAAATGTCTTGACTAATTCATGCCACTTGCCTGGAGGCAAGCATATCTCAATCCCAGAGAATGGAGCTCTGGATGTATTAGTCCAACTCCATTATGTTAAGCCTGGGTAATGTTGCCTTTAACCATCTAAAGATTTATAATTTATTAAAACTTCATGATGATACAATTCAGCCCCTTGAAATGGAACTCAGCTTGATTAATTAAATAGGCAAAATATGCCTTTCTTGCAGTTAGAGGAAATACACTCTTTAGAATACCCAAATTGATTATATATGTGTGTTCATGGATGAAAAAGGATAAACTACTGAATATTCCAGTGACAGAGTAATTTCTCAAAAACCTTTTTTTAATACAGTCAACCATGCATGGAGAAAACATTAATTGTGAAAATGCAATATGCACATGTACAAGAGACACTGAGAAGAATGTAACCATACAACATTACATATGGATGATCAGTCAGAATTCTTGGTGAATATGATTCTTCCTGTGGCTCAGATGCTTCTAAGTTTTATATTAGTTTAATTCTCTATGTCTGAAAAGAGAAGGTGGCAGCCAAAGACAGATAAATGTTTGGAAAGAGAAGGAATTTTTACAAGAGGATTTGGGTACTCTTACCCTTGTTATGTGAAATTTTGCTGGCTCAGCCTTGTCTGTTAGTCTCAGAACCACTGGACAAAGTTCAAATCTCTGACACTTCATAATATTCTATGTTAAGCCAAAATTACTTGATTGTGCTTGAAAACTTGGAAAAAAAAAAAAAGCCCCTAGAGTTGAAGTAACTATATGTCCGAGGCTTGGAGATAATTTGAGGACATAGAAGTGTTTCTGGGAGTCTAGTCCTTTACTCTCCACCCTTAGCAAAAAAGTTTTCTTTTTATTATACTTTTATTACACTTTTTGTTATAATTTATGTTGCTCAGAAGGAAAAAAGGAAAACAACAAGCTAAACTGTAAGAATAAACACGTTTTAAAAAGTCAAGCTTTGATCATTTAATACCCACTTTTTATGTATATCTATTTCCGCCTGATACATGTCACCTGGAATATTCACTGCCTTCAGAACCATCACACAATGTACATACATTCATACCCATACATAAAAAAAAATACGTGCAACAATCCACAGGATGTGGTCTTCACTGTAGCGCTATTGGGCTCTACAAAATCCTTTTAGAAATAAACATTGAGCAGAAGAGAAATAGTCATAAAATTATCACTTTAAAAAATAAAAGCCTAAGAAAAAATAACATGAACTGCTGGTATTTCCTTACTATAACCTTAAGCAAATTACTTAATTTCAGAGTCCATTTCTTCTCCTCTACAATGTATGTAAACTAAGAATTTGTACAAATTCAATCCAAAAACACTTCCAGATTTTCCTACAGCCTTTTTTATGACATCTGTTTTTCATGAAGATGACTGATTTACAACATTACAAAAGAATCTAGGCAAAATTTAAAAATTTTACTCATTGAATTTGAGCTTGTATTTTGCCTTGCATTAAAATTTTCCCATCTCACTTTTCTTACTTCAATCACTTTGCAGCAAGCTCAAATATGTTTTGTCAACATAGCAAAACACATTAAGCATAAAACCAAATTGGAGGTCACTCTTCATTGTATCAGAGTGAGTGTGTGCAGATCCTGTCACTGGAAGACACAAATACTTGCCAAAAGTAAATTGTTATAAGTTGTGTGCTCGTTTACTCTAAACTCATGTGATGATTTTAAAATAATGAAATAAATGAAGCATGTAATTTAAATGATACTTCATCTGTTAATGGAATTTGTGCCAAATTTCAATAGCTTTTGGTAGTGTTAATGTAATTTGATTTCTGAGCAATTAAGCAGCACATTTAGAATTGGCAAAATGATTAATTAGAAACTTTGGACAATGTGCCAAAAAAGTTAACTTTTTCCTCTTATGTAATTTCTTCCAGAGCATTCCAGGATCATAGGTTTATAAACATTGTAGATATTAGAGGTTATGGAGTCCAGCTGCCGGTCTGCTGCATACACAATGCCTACATTTTTCCTCGAAAGTAATTGCCAATATCTTATTGGAGCACACATTACCTTCCAAGAAAACATACTCCATTGTAAAAGGGTTTGAATTTTTTCTTTTTTAAAAACCTCCTTACATTTATCTATTACTTAAAATATTTTCAAAATATTTCAGAAACTCTGTGCTGGAAATGCAAGGTTTATTTAGGTGAAGTTCTTGCCTCCAGGGAGCTTGCAATCTAGTAAGAGATTAACAGATAAAACACATAATCAGGACTGCAGTTAATGCTTGATAGAAGTGTTCATAGAACACAATAAAAGTACAGAGAAGGAAAGTTAACACAGCTTCAGAGTTGGATAAAGACTAACTCTAAGAGCTGACTCCTTATCTAAATATTGAAGAAGGGTGAATGCCTATAGCAATCCAATTGAGTATCTGCAACAGATTAAAGGGGCTGGAAATATAGATGTAGAATTCATTAACACATTGATAAATCATGTAATCGACTGAAATTACCCAATGAATGTGTAGAGAAAAAAGAGGAATAAACCAAGAATGGGTGGACAGAGGAGGGGCCTGTGAAGAAGGAAGAATGGCCATGGTCTGTTACTCAAAGCTATGTAACGTAGAGACCAAGAAATAGATATTAAGCAAGAATAGCATCAATCAGGAAACATGAGTGCTATTAGAAAGTTGTTCAAAAACTCCTGAAAGAAATAGAAACTCTGAACAGACCAATAACAAGCAGTGAGATTGAAATGGCAATTTAAAAATTGCCAACAAAAAAAAGTCCAGGACCAGACAGATTCACAGCTGAATTCTATCAGATTTTCGAAGAAGAATTGGTACCAATCCTATTGACACTATTCCACAAGATAGAGAAAGAGAGAATCCTCCCTAAATTATTCTATGAAGCCAGTATCACCCTAACCCCAAAACCTGGAAAGGACATAACAACAACAAAACTAAAGACCAATATACCTGATGAATATAGATGCAAAAATCCTTAACATAATACTAGCTGAGTCCATCAGCATATCAAAAAGATAATCCACCATGATCAAATGAGTTTCATACCAGGGATGCAGGGATGGTTTAATATAGTCAAGTCAATAAATGTCATACACCACATAAGCAGAATTAAAAACAAAGATCACATGATCCTCTCAATAGATGCAGAAAAAAAACATTCAACAAAATCCAGCATCTCTTTATGATTAAAACTCTGAGGAAAATCGGCATACAAGGAACATACCTCAATATAATAAAAACTATCTATGACAAACCCACAGCCAACATATACTGAATAGGGACAAGTTGAAAGCATTTCTTCTGAGAACTGGAACAAGATAAGAATGCTCACTCTCACCACTTCTATTCAACATAGTGATGGAAGTCCTAGGCAGAGCAATCAGACAAGAGAAAGAAATAAAGGGCATCCAAATCAGTAAAGAGGAAGTCAAACTGTCGCTGTTTGCTGATGATATGATCGTATGCCTAAAAAGCCTTAAAGCCTTATCCAAAAAGCACCTAGAACTGATAAATTAATTCAGCAAAGTTTCAGGATACAAAATTAATGTACACAAATCAGTAGCACTGCTGTACACTAACAGCAACCAAGCTGGGAATCAAATCAAGAACTCAACCTCTTTTATAACAGCTGTAAAAAAAAAAAAAAAAAAAAAGAAACTTAGGAATATACCTAACCAAAGAAATGAAAGACCTTTACAATGAAAACTACAAAACGCTGCTGAAAGAAACCATAGATGACACAAACAAATGGAAACACATCCCATGCTCATGGATGAGTAGAATCAATATTGTGAAAATGACCATACTGCCAAAAGTAATATACAAATTCAATGTAATTCCCATTAAAATACCACCATCATTCTTCACAGAACTAGAAAAAGTAATCCTATTGTTCCTATGGAATAAAAAAAGAGCCCACATAGCCAAAGAAAGACTAAGCAAAAAAGAACAAATCAGGAGGCATCAGATTACCTGACTTCAAACTAAACTACAAGTGATAGTCACCAAAATAGCATGGTACTGGTATAAAAATAGGTACATAGGCCAATGGAACAGAATCAAGAACCCAGAAATAAAGCCAAATACTTACAGCCAACTGATCTTTGACAAAGCAAACAAAAACATAAAGTAGGGAAAAAACACCATATTCAACAAATGGTGATGGGATAATAGGCAAGCTGCATGTAGAAGAATGAGACTGGATCCTCATCTTTCACCTTATACAAAAATTAACTCAAGGCGGATCAAGGACTTAAATCTAAGATATGAAACCATAAAAATTCTAGAAGATAACATTGGAAAAACCCTTGTAGACATTGGCTTAGGCAAAGACTTCATGACCAAGAACTCAAAAGCAAATGCAACAAAAACAAGGAGAAAAAGATGGGACTTAAAAAAACTAAAAAGCTTCTGCACAGCAAAAGAAACAATCAGCAAACAGACAACCCACAGAATGAAAGAAAATCTTCACAATCTATATACATCCAACAAAGGACTAATAGACAGAATCTACAAGGAACTCAAACAAATTATCAAGAAAAAAACAAACAATCTCATCAAAAAGTGGGCTAAGGACATGAATAGACAATTCTGAAAAGAAGATATACAAATGGCCGACAAACATATAAAAAAATGCTTAACATCACTATTATTCAGGGAAATGCAAATCAGAACCACAATGCAATACCACTTCACTCCTGCAAGAATGGCCATAATTAAAAAAAATCAAAAAATAATAGATATTGGTGTGAATGTGGTGGAAGGGGAACACTTTTATCCTGCTGGTGGGAATGTAACTAGTACAGCCACTATGGAAAACAGTGTGGAGATTTCTTAAAGAACTAAAAGTAGAACTAACCATTTGATCCAGCAATCCCACTACTGGGTATGTACCCAGAGGAAAAGAAGTTGTTATATGAAAAAGATGCTTGCACACGCATGTTTATAGCAGCACAATTCACAATTGCAAAAATATGGAATCAGCCCAAATGCCTATCAATCAACAAGTAGATAAAGAAATTGTGATATATATATATATATACACACACACATACATATATATATACACACACACCATAGAATACTACTCAGTCATAAAAATGAACAAAATAATGGCATTTACAGCGACCTGAATTAGAGACCATTATTCTAAGCGAAGTAACTCAGGAATGGAAAACCAAACACTGTATATTCTCACTCATAAGCAGAAGCTAAGCTATGAGGATGCAAATGCGTAAGAATGATGCAATAGACTTTGGGGACTCAGGAAAGGGTGGGAGGGGGATGAGGGATAAAAGACTACAAATTGGGTACAGTGTACACTGCTCAGGTGATGGGTGCACCAAAATCTCAGAAATCACCACTAGAGAACTTATTCATGTAACCAAACACCACTTGTTCCCCAAAATCCTGTGAAAATAAAAAAATTAAAATTAAAAAATAAAATTGTTCAAAAACAAGCCATCAATTCCAGGGAATTAAATGAGAGGCCAATTTAGGTATAAAATAAATTACTTATCATAAAACTAGATTGCTCATTTCAGATTTGGAATTTAAATCCCAAAGGCAAAATCATGCAGAAAGCCAAAATTGAGTTGTTGGCCAACAGAAGAGCGAAGTAATATAGGAAGTTGGTGGGGAGGACGAGCCTAGAGAAGTTCCTGGGTCCAAAAGCATGTTGCTCATTCTGTTTTTTATACAGGTTACTGGCTGTATTAGAGAGATGGTCTGGGCTTTTAAAGGCATAACTGAAAAGGGAATTTCATACTAGTTATGGTTAATGCCAGAGTGCTAGAACTAGTGAAGCCTACTGGGAGAAGGTATGTTTTTCTAAAGAAAGAATTTTGGCCTTTAATGTTACAACATTCAAATTTGCATCTAAAACTTTCACTCTGGGCAGGTTAGAAAGTTAAAGATATTGGTCAAATGATTGGGCAATTCACCTGTTTTCATTAATCTGTGTTTTGATCCCTATGATGTAAACAATATTAGTGGATGGATTCCAGGATTCTTCTGAGAGAGGGATATCTTTTTGTTTACAGAAATTATTTGATGAGAGATTAACATAAAAAATGATGATTTGAATGCCTGGATGGCTGTCCCGAAAGCAACAGAGAAAATGGTTGATAAGAAAATCAAGAGATGCACTTAAGTTTGACTTGTTTTTGTTTTCTCCTGGGAAGATGAATAGTGTTGAAGGATTAAAAAGATGATAGAAAAAAAGAAATGAGAGAGGCATTATGAAAGAACCCAAGATTGGCTGCTGTAGGATGAGAACAATCACTGGGTACATGTAAATAAGAAATATTATAGAGCGTAGATATTTCTAATAAAGAGTTTTAATCTCTCTTTCTGTTTTTGTGCAATATATGTCATAAATCTCATGCAACCCTCATGTGATTGATTTATTTTCAGAGGCCAATGCTGGTGAAGAAACTGAACATTTTATAACTGGTTAGACATGGTATGGAACAGAGGAAATCCACACTGAAAAAGCTGCTCAGAGGGAGAAGAGAAGAGTAAGTTTAATGATCATATGCAGAATTTGAGGGCTGTCAGGCTACCCTTTGATGTGACATTCAGCTGGGATACGTGGGTTATTAAAGTTAACTTGATTGTAACAATAACTGATAAAAGCTGCTGTATCCTCATTCATAGGTAGATTATGTTTATAAAGAACAGTACCTGATACTACTAGATCAGTTTAAACATAGTTTTGCTATTGTTAAGAGACCAAAGAATTGCTACATTTTGATTGGTTGAATGCACTCGAGGTTTAATGGGTCCATGACAAGTGACACATAGTTACCTGACTACAGTATCAATTCAGGCCAGGCGCGGTGGCTCACGCCTGTAATCCCAGCACTTTGGGAGGCTGAGGTGGGTGGATCACGAGGTCAGGAGATCGAGGCCATCCTGTCTAACACAGTGAAATCCCATCTCTACTAAAAATACAAAAAATTAGCCAGGCGTGGTGGTGGGTGCCTGTAGTCCCAGCTACTTGGGAGGCTGAGGCAGGAGAATGGTGTGAACCTGGGAGGTGGAGCTTGCAGTGAACAGAGGTTGTGCCACTGCACTCCAGCCTGGGTGACAGAGCGAGACTCCCTCTTAAAATAATAATAACAATAATAATAATAATAATAATGCCAATTCAATGGATTCTATCATTAGTTTCCTACAAGAAAAATGCCCCCAAGAAAAAGGGCTGAAAATATGTCTATTTATATCAGGTAGATTACACAGATTATGTTATAAAAATGGAGCAGAAATGAGTTCATTGCCAAATGCTTATCATTCTCATATTATGCCAAGAACATATTGATTATAGTCTAGTGTTAGGCTGATGGCCTATCAAAGTTTCTAGTATAATTCGAACCCTAGTCTGTGACTTATCTTCCATAAACCCAAATTCCTTTTGTCTTTGCTAGATTTTATAAACATAATTTAGCCATGATATTCTTTGTCTTTGTAAATGGACACCATGCAAAGTCCCAAAACTTCTCAAATATCTTAAACTGAAATAATGAATGTACACATTATTATTGTTCATTATTATTGTTGTTTTTGTTACTATTTCTTTTTCTCTTTTTTTAAATTAATTAAATTTTTTTTTTTTTTTGAGATCGAGTCTCACTCTGTTGTCCAGGCTGGAGTGCAATGACGCAATCTTGGCTCACTGCAACCTCTGCCTCGCAGGTTCAGGCGATTCCTCTGCCTCAGCCTCCTGAGTAGCTGGGATTACAGGTGCGCACCCATGCCTGGCTAATTTTTGTACTTTTAGTAGAGACGGGGTTTTACCGTGTTGGTCAGGCTGGTCTCAAACTCCTGACCTCGTGACCTTCCCGCCTCGGCCTCCCAAAGTGCTGGGATTACAGGTGTAAGCCACTGCACCCAGCCTACTATTACTATTTCTAAGCAGCCTCCTATATGATGTTAAGCTGTGTCCAAATAGCTTAATTATCAAGGCTAAGAACAGAGACAAACTTTTGTTTCCAAACATTTATTGATCAAGAATAAAGTACTTTAAACAAATAAATAGCTTGCCTGCAAAATAACTTACCTGAACAAACAGTTTGCTCACTGGGGCAAACAACTTACTTTCCACAGAATAGTTTACTTACAAAGATTTTTTTTCAGGTCCACCAATCAAACAATGATATTATAAATGCTGCCCAGTTATAATCAATTTCTCTCTTCTAAAGACTTGCCTTAAATCCCTGAAACTCAGATACGAAACTCTCTCTATATATCATCTCCTTAACCTTCTAAGAAAGAGGTTCCCAACCTTTGTGACGCCAGGGACCGGTTTCATGGAAGACAATTTTTCCACAGATTGGGGGTTGGAGGAGATGGTTTGGGGATGAAACTGTCCCACTTCAGATCATCAAACATTAAATTCTCATAAGGAGCACACAACCTAGATCCCTTGCGTGCAGTTTACAATAGGGTTCTCCCTCCTATGAGAATCTAATGCTGCCGCTGATCTGACAGGAGGTGGAGCTCAGGTGGTATTGCTAACTCGCCTGCTGCTCACCTCCTGCCATGCAGCCCAATTCCAAACAGGTACTGGTCTGTGGCCCAGGGGTTGGGGACCCCTATTCTTAAACATTAAGACTCTGTCAAGGTAGTTTTCTTACCTAGACCTAGCTTTGATTCATCAACGGTTTTTCTGGTGGTCTTTTTGTCTTTTTGGGGAGTTGAGTCATCAAATTTTAACAAGTTAATTACTTCTCTGTATCTCAGTTACAGTATTTGTAAACAAGAGCCATGATATTATTTGTTTGATGAAATAATTTAAGTAACATGACTTATGACAGTTTCCAGAACACAATGAATGTTTAGTAAATGTGGATTATTATTAACAGAAAGCATTAAGAACTTCCTTGTTGTTCTTAGAAATAAACACACAGTAATCCCAGCACTTTGGGGGGCCGAGTTGGGTGGATCACTTGAGGTCAGGACTTCAAGACCAGCCTGGCCAACATGGTGAAACCCCATATCTACTAAAAATACTAAAATTAGCCAGGCATGGTGGTGCATGCCTGTAATCCCAGCTACTTGGGAGGCTGAGGCACGAGAATCACTGGAACCCAGGAGGCAGAGGTTGCAGTGAGCCAAGATCATGCCACTACATTCCAGCCTGGGCGACAGAGCAAGACTCCGTCAAAAAAAAGAAAGAGAGAGAGAGAGACAGAAAGAAAATAGGTTTGCATTTTTATAATGATAACAATTTTTCCTCCATTGAAAATCACAGTAGCTATAAATGATATTAAACTATTTCTTAACTTCTTTTACTTTAATCTGTTTGTTTAAACCAGGTGTGGAAACTTGCTAGGTACAGTTTCCTCAAGTAGGTGATGGAATTAAAAAGGAATAAAAAACTAAAGAATAAACTATCATTCCTTATGGGATATGCCCCAGGAAAGAAGTGTAGATATTTCTTGGACAGTACTATACCTAAGGAAATCTAAAATAATGAAATTTGTTGGATATCAACAACGTCCAGAACATCAAAGAATAGAGTGAGAAAAAAACAAGTGATAATCAGTCAGGGGATATATGTTACTCTTTCCATGGTAAAATCCATCTATAAAATTAACTCAGCATTACCTTTCTATTGAACTATTAAAATATCATCATGTTTTTATTATTGCATTAAAACTCTTTTTATTCACAAGTTTATAGGACAAACTTGACACAACCATAAAGCTTACATAAACAGGTGAGATCCAGTCTAAATTTGGATATCTTAAACCTAGAGGCCAGTTTTTTTGCTTGAGTATGTGTTGTCACACTTGTCCAAGTTAAAACTTTCTTCCAGATTGTGAGGAATGTGTAGCAGACAACTTGTTAAACAGAAGTTATTTTACCTGTTAACTTCAAATTCAAAATAGAAAAATGATTCATAAACCTCTTATGCTGACCAATAGAGCAAACATCATTATTCCATAGTTGCACTACTAAATTTACTACTGAATGCACCATACAAATTTCCATAGAAGCCCTTGGTTTTCTTTTATTTAAAATTTTTATTGCAAGTCGTGTGGGAAACTGCAGAGTTCTATAAAACAAGTTACCTCAGTTTCAATTTAAACTAAATTTCTATCTTTAAAGTGATAGGAAATGTTTTCATTTGCTGGAGCTCTGACTTCTACCATTTTATGAATCCTATTTATTTAATTGCCCAAGGATCAAGTGGTGTTTTCATTGATACAGCACAGCAACAGCCACAGGGGACTGACTTTTCTATTCTTTAATTTAGTTGAAAACAAACAGACAAATACAATCTTTTTGGAGGAGGGCAGTTAAAACTTGTTTACAGCTGGGCGTGGTGGCTCACACCTGTAATCCCAACACTTTGGGAGGCCGAGACGGGCCGATCACTTGAGGTCAGGAGTTCCAGACGAGTATGGCGAAACCCCGTCTCTACTAAAAATACAAAAATTAGCCAGGTGTGGTGGTGTATGCCTGTAATCCCAGCTACTGGGGAGGTTGAGTTAGGAGAATTTCTTGAACCTGGGAGGTGGAGGTTGCGGTGAGCCAAGATCACACCAATGCACTCCAGCCTGGGCAACAGGGCAAGACTCTGTCCAAAAAAAAAGTCTTATTTTCTTCATCCTTTTAAAAATTTCCATCATCTGTACAATCGACTTTCTTGTACAGAGCCACCTGTTTGGGGGAAAATAACCAAGACCCTTGTCGTTTCATAATAATTTTATGAGGGTAAATATAAAGTGCATGTAAGTCGCACTGAAATTTTTGTTTTTGCATAATCAGATAATTTCACTCAGTATTTATCAAACTCTGATATGTGTGTTGTGATCATCTCAATAAATTATATGTTGTCACTATAATCATCATTAAATAAATAATGGATAGAATATATCACCATAAGTAAATAGATCATACATAGCAACATTAACTAATGTTTACTTCATTATCATCTCTCATGTGCGTCAAGGAAGAGAATCTTGGAAATAAATTTTGTAGAATCTCCTTCCATGCCTTCTACCTGATTTATAGCCTTCAACTGAGAAGTACTCAGGTAAGATTTGGAAAGCAGAATAGATGAAGCCATTGTTTTCTATTGACAATTCAGATGAACTCACTCACAAGCAATATTGAACTCTCTCAAGAGCTCACCTCCTTTGAGCATGCAAACAATTAAAATCTGCAGCGGTGGTGGTCTCCATGTGAAGTTCTCCTAGAGAATGTATCCTAGTCTCTAGACTGTTGAAACCAATTTAATTCTGTCTGGGAGTTGAGACTGCCACCAATGTCTTCCTCTAAAATGCTAAGACTCACGACAACTTCCAAATGAACTCCAGTGAATCACAACTTCTGGAAGCTTTTCTTTCCTTTATTTCATCAGCACTTCCAAAGCTATGCGTAAATCTAATATTATGATTTTTCTGCTGAAAACCCTCCAATAGCTCTCTAGTGTCCTTATGATATAGAGCTAAATCCTTTTGTGATTTGCGATATCCTGCACTATCAACCTTAACCTCTTCCCAGCATGTTCTACTCTTTGTAGCCACTGGCCCTTTCATTGTTTTTCCAAAACTCTAACACTTCATGTTTAGGTTTGTAATTTCTTCTCAGAGATATCTCATGTTAACATTGGGAATGGAGAAGTCGGTGCTATTTCTCTAATATCAAATAATGACTAATTCTGCCAGAAGCATAAATTCATAAATTTCCCTGTGCCCACAAAAAACATCTAAAGGCCTGACTAAAATTAGTCAAAGAGGTTACAACAATGCATAAAAACTATTACTTTCATTTTCTGAAAACAAGTTTTAATTGTAAACAGTTTACAACACTTCAATTGGGCTTATCACACCTTCACAAATTCAAGACTCTTGATGGTGAATGATTTCTAGAATGAAATTAACACTGACATTGAAGGAATCTTAAGTAGAGGGTAGAAAAAGTAAATATGAGAAAAATAAATGTAAGAATATAAAAGTAATTTCAGTGACTATGTTGATAAATCTCTGTCTCTCTGGTATCAAACCCCTGTTGTCCTTTATTTTGGTTTCTAGATATGGGTTCTAGATGCAAAGAATAGTACAAAGAGATATCTATTTATTAGATTTTTGTATTTTTATTAATAACATTAATTTTAAATAATTTCAGAGTTTAAAAATATTGCAAAAATTCCACAAAAATCTCCATTTTCCCCTCATTTGGCTTCCTCAAAGGTTAAGATCTTATATAACTCCAGAGCAATTATCTAAATAAGGACAATAAAGTTGATTCAATTCAGTTAACTAAACTGCAGATCTTATTCAAATTTCCTCAACTGTTTTGTCAAGTTTTTTATTGTTGGTCCAGGATCCTACATTGTATTTAGTTGTCATGTCTCTGTAGTCTCCTTCAATCTTCGGTTGTTCTTTAATCTTTTTTCATCTTTCATGAGATAGCAAAAAGGTCACAAAAGTGATTGTGTTGTGATCATCCCAATAAATCATATCAGGAGGTACATGATAACAATTTGTATCATTATTGGTGATGTTAACTTCAATCATTTTACTAAGGTAATGTGTGCCAGGTTTCGTCATGGTAGTGTTACCATTTTTCTTTCTTTTTTCTTTTCTTTTTTTTTTTTTTGAGGCAGAGTCTTTCTCTGTTGCCTGGGCTGGAGTACAGTGGTGTGATCTCTGCTCACTGCAGCCTTCATCTCCTGGGTTCAAGCAATTCTTCTGCCTCAGCCTCCTGAGTAGCTGGGACTACGGGTGCATGCCACCACATCCAGCTAATTTTTTTGTATTTTTGGTAGAGACAGGGTTTCATCATATTGGCCATTTCAGTTATTTATATGATAATAGTATCATGAATATTTATTTTATTCTGTTTATATTAGAATAAAATCATGGATATGCAGCTGTTTATGTTGTGTCATATTTGGCCATCGAGAGCCCCTTCAAGCTGTGCCTCTTGACATACCGCCATCACTTTTTGGAGCATTTCTTAACTTTATGCTGCCACAAGTTATTCCAGGATCAACTTGAATTTTCCATGTCCCAGGAGTTTTTTTTATTAGACAAAAATATTTAGAAAATAAGATCTTTGCACTAGATATTCTTACTTCTACTACTAGTGTAGGTTTTTTCTTAGCCTTCTGAACAGACATATGCACATACACATATATCTAACTCTATTTATATATTTATCTACCTATGTTTACAATATTTAAGTCAGAATTCATACTGACAACTCTAATTCCAAATTAACTCCATGGAATTCTTTCTAGCCTTTTCTTTCCTTGTTTATAACTCCTTCACTGGAAGAAGAAAATGGACTCTCATTATCTGCAAGGTATTTCCTTATTTACTTGGCCTTAGAATACTTTATATTTTATATAAAATATTTCAAATTTTTTTTTGAACACATAGTTATTTAATATTTAGAAATTTGTAAAATATTAATTTAAAAAATATTTAACCTTCAGATTAATTTATATGAATTTGTAATAGTGGAGAAAATACACTTTCTTTACAAATGCAGGAAAATTTATAAAGGGAATTATATTTAGACCCCTGGAGCCATCTAGAAGGTCATAACTTGGAACAAAACAACATGGTTAAAAAGATAATGCAGACAATGAATTATTACAGGCTAAACACAGAGTAGTGGACAGTGAAAACAGTTACTAGTATTAAAAACCAAAGAAAATGTTTCGGTGCCAAAACGTATAACATTTTGATTAAGAACATGGACTCTAGAGTCAGACTCCTCACATTTCAAATATAGGCTGTATCACTTACAAGCAGAATAATTTCATACAACTTTTGTACCTCATTTCCTCATTTGAAAAATGAACATGATAATAATGGGACCCAAACTTATAGGATTTTTAAGAGGATGTAATGTGTATTGTATATGATTGTGTATGTGACTTTGTATAAGTAAATGATTTCACATAGCTGTGTGATTTTGTATGTACTTGTGATTGTACATGTGTGTGTGATTGTGTATGTACATGTTATTGTGTATGTGATCATGTGAATACATATATATTTGAGCATGTATATGTTTTCCTGCCCATGTTTATGAGTATGTGATTGAGTCGAAGTATGTGATTATAATTGTGAATGTGATTATGAATATATGTTTATGAGAGTATGTGCATGTGTATGTAATATACTTACATATGTGCATGTGAGGATATGAGTCTGTGTAAAGTACTCAGAATGCTTGCCACATAGTAGGTGCTCCCTGGAAGCTAATTGTAGCTAAAAAAGGTAATTGCATTGAAAGGGAGGGAAGACATGGAGGGAAAACAGGCTGAGAATATTTTAACAACAGAATGACTTTGAGTAAAATTAGCACACTTTTGTTTGTGTTCAGAGGGGTGAAGACTGGTTTGGACAATTAGTGGGGAGGAACATTTAAAAGCTACTAAAATGAAAGCAAAGAGGCACAAGGTATCCATATTACCCTGTGAAAAACTAATTTACTAAAAAATACAGTATTTTCATATGGTTCTTTTTGTCTTGTCTTTTAGTATATAGTAAAAATGCCATTTTCAAGGTTACTTCGGTAGGTTCTACATCCTTCAGTGGGGTTGTGTCATTTATTTGTAATACCATTACATTCATTTGTAAGTGAAATCCAGAAGAAGAAGAAAGAAACAGGACAGCAAAACACATTTTAAAAGATATTGGTTGAAAGTTTTCAAAATTAATGACACATACCAAACCAGAAGAAAGACACTTAGATCACCAAAGTAGTATAAATACCAAACAAAAGTAAAAATGAAATAACCTCTGAACTCAATATAAAGTACAATGAACATTTCTAATATCTTTGTCAATCAGGGGCTCTGGTGGAGTCTTGAAACTAGAAAGAGGAATTGTTAAATAAAGAAATTTTATTCTCATTTTTAGCCATTTTATATCAACCAGTTAAATGGGATATTAAGCTTTCTATACAATGAAGGAAGAGGAAATTTCATATAAGCACACTCCCTCTCTTCTCAGAGGCCAGCATTTGAAATCTTTTGCATCTACTTGCAAAATGTAGACATATACAATGTGTACATCCCCCCTCCTCTAGCTTCCCATCTTCTGAGATTCCCTTTTGCCTTTACTTCTCATCCTACACACTTAAAACCACTTACTTAACATTTTGCCTTTATGTAGTAAATATTTGGCATCTCTGCTTATAAGCTTTGTCTCATTTGTGACTTCCTCAGTTACTCCTATAGATAACATTACTATTGTAAAACATAAGATTTGATTTGATTTGTTTTACAGACTGACCTTACCCAGATTCATGACTAATGACTCAACAGGTCCTGTGGCCTCACTCAGCAGCTGACTCAAAACACAAGGACTGTTTTTCACACCCCTGTGATTTTATCTCCAATGAATCAGCAAGCACTCATTACCTGGCCCTTGCCCTGCCCACCAAATTGTCTATATGAACCCTAACCTTTGAGCCTTTGAGAAGATTGATTTGAGTGATCACTGCCATTCTCCTGTGTGGCCAGCCTCAGGTTAATTAAACTCTTTCTCTACTGCAATGGCATGGTCTCTGTGAACCAATTTTGTCTGCACAGTGAGCAGGAAAAACCTGTGGGAGGATGATTATAGTACTTTTCACGGAATCTGAAGCCCTCCTGCCTCCTAGCTTTCAAGTACAACCCTTGCCTTCCATACTGTTCTTCAGATTTTGTTTTGCAGAGTCTTCTTGTGAGACATGTAGAAACAATGAATTTTTGAATCTGCCACATGATTACACCATTCAAGCAAATTCTGATCACCTTCTCTTGCATTAGTACTTGATTTTGTTTTTTTTTTCTCCATCTCCCTGTGCTTTATTTATAATTGATTTAAATTCCCTAGGCCATACCCTTATAGAAACTCTATTACTTTAAGGCATATTTAATAAGTATAAAAATATTACACCCTGATCTTCCAGGTCTTCTTCATTCAAATTTGTTCACATGTTGAACCATCTTGTAGCAGAATTCATCATTATAAGCTGTTTCTCAATTGCTTTTATAATTAATTCCTGATTTACAGCTTTGAGAGAACTCCTTGTATAGATCTTGGGGTCTTAGCTCCTCTGGAGGCATTAATTAATTTGGTACCTGAGTTCCTCTCTTTTATATTTTGTTAGATTTTTTTAACATCTAGTGGCTAATTGACCAATAATAGCTCAATTATCTCCTCTTCTTACTTCTACTTCTTAGTTCCACTTTTGTGTATAAAGTAGATCTCCTTTTTTATTGTATAGACAGACAGATGATAGAAAGATAGATAAATAGCCAGTCTGATCTTTAAGATCTGATCTTTCTCAAGAAGTCACTTCCTTCCATCTGGCAACATGTGTCCCATTTTACTTTTCTTTCATTTTTCCATGTTCAAAATTAGACTGAAGATAATTTTGAACTGTAACTGTTACCATTCACTCTCCTCTAAACACATATGATACCTAGAAGATCTAGGTTTAAGTCTTTTTAATTTTCTCCCCAGACTTTGTTATTACAGAATTACATAAAAATATTTTTCCACCTCAATCCAAGAAAATGACATATTTCCATATAAGGATCCCCACTCATTTTTGTCTGCTTGTCAGTGAGATTAACTAATTCAGTATAATTAACCTACAGCCCAGGTCTATAGACTATAATCAGAGTTTATGAAATAAACAATAAAATTTAGACTATGTGTGATTGGGGATGATTGCCTGCATCCTGGTAAGGACATAATAAAAGGGAAGAGTACAAAACAAACAAAAAAAAGATCTCTTCCAGTCAACTATGCTGAAAAAGACAAGTTGCCAATTATGCTTTAAAAAGCATAGTGAAGTTGTTTTGAGGTAAGACTTACCTAGAAATTAACAACAACAACAACAACAAAATATTATGACAATATGGCATCTAGAATATCCAGGTCTATAATTACATCTGTGGTCACAGTATGAGAAGCTACCAAATGTGCCACCTGTGTCTCACCTGGCCAGTTTCAGCAGATGTACCCAAAGCTTGATTTCCTGTACAGTACTTCAATCAAACCCATCCAGTATCTGTTCTTATTTATAAGGATTTCTTGCCAATTCCTTAACAGTTTGCCGTGGTGAGAGGAGGTATAAAAGTCATTCTAAGAATTATTTATGCCTTGCTTGGGTTTATAACCAATGAAGAGTAGACCCAAGCAACTGGGCCTGGCTGGATATGAATTGAGGATTCATGTGTTAGTATTACTAACTGGCCAGGCAGTTTCCTAATAGTTCACTACTCTGAAAGAATAAGGCCCTCTAATAAAGTTAAATTGGAGAATGCAGCTTAGCTCAATGATCAAAGTGGGGGCCACATTTAGAACTCCTTACATTTAGAACTGCATGACCATTGGTGGAAAGAACTGAGTCTACAGAGATATTATAGCTAATGACATAGAAGATTAGACATAGACCTTTTTCAAGTTCATGACTGCTGGCAGGAGAGGGAACACAAAGGAGAAAAAGATGGGCACACACTGTCTTCTTAATGTAGTGACCCCCCAACTCCTAGTGTAAATATAAGATGTTCAATAATAAGAGTAAATATATTTCCCAGAGGAGAAGACTGAATTAATTAGATGCAAAGAGAGACTAAAAGTGGTTAATTCCTGAAACCTGTTCTTGTGAAGAAAGAAAAATCGCATTTCTTTTTTCTATTAATTAACGTATTTTATTTATTTATTTATTTATTTTAGAGACCTGGTCTCGCTCTGTTGCTTAGGTTGGAGCACAGTGGGGCTTAATCATAGCCCACCGGGCTTAAGTGATCCTTCCACCTCAAAGTCTCAAGTAGCTGAGGCTACAGGTGTACATCACTATGCTTGGCTATTTTTTTTCTATAGAAGTGGAATGCAAAGATTGGTGAACTAAGAAATTTCTTAAAATAAACATTTAAAATTAGTAAAATTTTCAAAAAATATAAGAATAGATTGGAGAAGAAAAAATTCAGGTAACATTTTCAAAAAAGATGTCAAGAAAAGGGTATAATCAAAATACATTAATGTAAGAAAACAGAGTAAGAAGAGAGTGAGTAGAGACTCAGCTACAGGAATATATTTGGAGAAGAAAAATTATTGGAAACAAAATTGGGAATGGAAACCAGATGGCAAGGCCTAAAAAGAATAAGTAAAAGGAGACAAAAAAAACATATTCTTCACTTAAAAGTCTGGTAGAATGTGAAGGTTTTTCCATGATGGGCAGAATTGCACATGCTTACAATAACAGAAGGTCAAGGAAAAAAGGAAAAGTGCCTGGGATGTGAAAAAAAAAAAAGTATTCAATGAGAAGAGGCCTCTTGATTTGGTTCTGGGATTTATTTTATCAAAAAATCTATGTAGTTTCCCAAACATCTGGTGCTAAAAATTAAGGCAATTTATTGTGGAAATTAAGAGGCCAAGAAGGGATGTACAAGGTTTAGAGGAAACGAGGAGGGAAGGCCTTATTTCAAACTGGAGGGGAAATTTTTTCCTCTATAATTTCTTTCTGTTTCAAAATAAAAGTAGATTTTTAAAGAACCCAAGAAGTCTCACAGTTAAATAAAAAGTCTATCTACACTGGACATTTGTAAGTAAAATGAAACCTAACTCTGAAGTAGTGGGGAGGGGAGACAGAACACATGGTGTGTTAAACTAGCATGTGGTGAATGAGACTATGACCATGAGGCCTAGGGAAAAACATCCCAAAGAATAGACATGGGGAGTATGATAGGGAATCAGAATGAAGAAGGGATGCTATGCAGGAGTCTTGCTCTTAGCTTTGCTGCAGGGGTAGCATTACTTTTCTGTTTTTTTTTTTTAGATAGGGTCTTGCTCTGCCCCCTAGGCTGGAGTGTACTGGAGTAAACACAGCTCACTGCAGCCTTGAGCTCCTAGGTTCAAGACCTCCTGGGTTCAAGAGATCCTTCTGCCTCAATCTCTCATGTAGCTGGGACCACAGTCACATGCCACCATACCTGGCTAATTTATTTATTAATGCTTTTTGTAGAGATGGGTGTCTCACTTTGTTGCTCAGGCTGGTCTCGAACTCCTGAGCTCAAGCAATCCTCCCACCACAGCCTCCCAAAGTGTTGAATTACTGACATGAGCCACTGCACTCAGCCAGCATTATTTTTCATGAAACAAGACTACAGGGTAACAGTACCTCCCATAAAATTGCCCTGGAGAGTGATATGTTCTGACCCATCCTCCCAGGTTTGTAGTTAAGTGATATGACAGCTACCACCTTTAGTTCATGTATAGCTCTATGGGGTGTGGGACAGAGCCATGGGGGTTTGTTTGTTTTAATTTGATTTTCTCGTATTTTAATTAACATCAAGGTCTTAGACAGAGTGAAAGGGTTAACTGGGTCTAATTGTATTACATTGGCACAGCAGTAGATTAAAATAAATCAGATTCCTAGGTTTAGAGCTCAACGTGTCAGTAGAACATTTTCCACAAATGTACTGAAGACACCAAAACCACTGTTAATTCTCACCATGCTACTTCGGTAGAGTTTGAGGAAACAAATTATATTTTCCTAATTTCCCCAGAAAAACTGCTTTCATTACTCACTGGGTCAGCTTAATAAGATCTTAATATGATCTTTTAATAGGCATCATTTTTATGAGCCTGGGGTGGAATATTTTTAGCTATAGTAACTCAGAGTTCTTGAATTTTTTTCCCACCAAAATCCTTTAAACAAGGACAAGAGTTAAAATGTCACTAGCACCAAGAGAAGGAGCATGTGTTTGGTTATAAGTGGTTATCCACATGAAAACTATTTATCTGAAATCTTAAGTTATAATTTTTAAACATTGTGATAATTCAATATTGTATTACATGATATAATTTTTGTTATTTTAATGTAAAAATAATATTGTAAATTATTTCATTTTCTGCCAAGTTAACAAGTGATGTAGGCCTTTTTCACAAATGTATTTCAAATCTCATAAATGAAAAGGATCTTTAAGATCATCTTCATACAAAATTCCCTATTTATTTATTTATTTATTTATTGGAGAAGGAATCTCGCTTTGTCGCCCAGGCTGGAGCAGTGGCGCAATCTCGGCTCACTGCAAACTCTGCCTCCCTGGTTCAAGGGATTCTCCTGCCTCAGCTTCTTGAGTAGCTGGGATTACAGGTGCCTGCCACCACGCCTGGCTAATTTTTGTATTGTTTTTAATAGAGACAAGGTTTCACCATGTTGGCCAGGCTGGTCTTGAACTCCTGACCTCAGGCGATCCGCCCGCCTCGGCCTCCTAGAGTGCTGGGATTACAGGCATGAGCCACTGTGCCTGGCCAAAACTCACTTTATAAAGTGAGTTTCTCAGTGGGTGAGTAACTTGACCAGTGTCACAAAACTAAGTTACATTAAATTAAGGATCAGAAACAAATCCTATTAATGCAAAAACCATTTTAAGTTTTACTTAAAAATTTCAGCCTCAAAATAAGAGTTTCAATAAATTAATTATGTATTTCAGATGTAAAAATTACAGTCAGATAAAACAAAATTATGAGATGTCATTATTATTCACTATTATGGAATAAATATGAGGTTGATGCTTTCTGGGTTTCTAAACTTTGGCTATTAGAGAATTTTAGGAACATAGACTCAACGATTTGTAAAAGGATACAGAATTCTGCTGTCCCTATTCTATGCAATGTAAAATGACACAAGAACATTCTAAACAAGATTTCCCCAGCTTCATTGGTAGTGCTTTCATGCTGCACTGTATTTATATCCTGTTCAAGCACTGAGGTCCAGGAAAGCAATTCAATGATTATATTTCTTAAAGTTTCAATACTAAAAACAAAATTGAACTGAGCATATGCACTTGTGATTTATTCACTAAACTTTTGCTAATAAAATATTAAACCTATTTCTTTGGTCATGAAATTTTACACCCCCAAAATAAATTTACAAAGCTGAGAAATATACTAACTTCAACAGTATAATTTTCATGGATTCTTTATTCAACAATTTTTTTTTAACAGTAATTCCTAAAGCTTTTGTCAAAAGATATTTTCAATAATAAGATAAGCACTCTTAACTTTTTTGTGTATGTCTGAGGTGTGGGGGACAGGAGCTAGCATTTTCTGCTTATTCAAATACTGGATTTTTATCACGTCTTGAGTACCCATTTGTACTTAAGGGAAAATAAAATACATTGACAATCTTGAATACTGTTTACTCTCTGCTAAGTTGATAAGGAATCCACTTCTGTCAGTTGCTTCTGGGTTCCTCAAGGGTCTCAATTTTTATCACTCTGTAGAGGCCAGGTAAAAATGATTGTGTGTGACAGAATGCTAGATAAACATTTTTTCTCAACAGAAAATAAGGACATTGGTCTCATTTAACTCCTTTAATTTCAGCCTACTCATCTATAAAGTGTAAATTTCAGGATGTATTACTGCATTGCATAATGTTGTAATAATTAATCAAGCTATGTATATAAAAAAGATTTAAAAGCTGTTATGCAAGATCAAGTGTAAGGCATTTTAAAAAGAATTATGTGAAATGGCTTTGTGATATTTCTTGTTGCTATGAATCTTAATCATTGAGAAATAAAAAAGCTGAGGCAAATTTGAATAAAGCGATATTATGTGGTTCATGTATCACCATTCCCAAGTATCCTGGAGCCTCCAACAGTAATGTAAGGAAGATATTTTTTCTGTGAAACACACCAAGTAAATGGCGGATGGTATAATGGAACTGAATGGAGATCGGCTCACCCCGTGCAGTTAAGACCAAATATTCACACCAAGGTTTTGCAGCAGCAGAAAGGAAAGTGTTTACTTGCAGGATGTCAAGCAAGGAGAACCAAGCATCTAATGCTTAAATCCTGACCTTCCCGATGACTTATAGGTAAGGAGTTTTTTTGTTTTTTGGTTTTTTTTTTTGAAATGGCGTTTCGCTTTGTTGCCAGACTAGAGTGCAGTAGCGCGATCACGGCTCACTGCAACCTCTGCCTCCCGGCTTCAAGTGATTCTCCTGCCTCAGCCTCCTGACTAGCTGGGACTACAGGCGCACGCCACCACCCCCAGCTAATTATTGTATTTTTAGTAGAGATGGGGTTTCACCCTGTTGGCCAGGATAGTCTCGATCTCTTGACCTCGTGATTCGCCCGCCTCGGCCTCCGAAAATGCTGGGATTTTTAAAGGCAGAGGTAAATTTCAGGAAACCAGAAGTTACAGGCAAAATTGTAAATCAATACATGGAGGTTACAACTTGGTTTTGGCCTAAAAAGGTGAGATATCTTGAAGTGGGAGCTTACAGGTAATAGGTAGATTCAAGGATTTTCTGATTTGCAATTAATTAGGGAAGAGAAGTTTTGTTTAAAAATTTGATGTCAACAGAAAAGAATGTTAGTTCTGATTCATGGGTGTGACTCCCTCCAGGCCCCTCAGGAAGAAATTTAGAACAAAGAACAATGATCAGAGTTCAGAGTTCAGTTCCCCTTTCTGGAAAAGGTCTCCATGCCAGCTGATCTGTTTGGTTGGGGTCCAGGTTTCCGAAAAACAATTCAGGGACAGATTTTAAGATATTATCTTTAGTTTCCCTAGGGAATAAAAACATCTCCCGACTCTAATTTCCTTGACTATTATTTTAAGTTCTTACTTGCTTTTTTATCAAGTTGCTAATTTGCTTTTCGGGGCTAGCTAAGGGCCCGGAATTTCTCTTGAAGGAACTCAAGATTTTCCTTCCATGCTTGTGTGTGGCGGGGGAGGGGCGGGGGTGGTAGGTAGCGGTGCATCAGCAGGCCCTTTAAACAAGGCCCTTGACCTGTCTCAATAGTGGCTCAAGACCAGGGTAGTGACTGCACCCCAGGAGCAGTTGCTATCTTTTTTTTTTTTTTTTTTTTTTTTTTTTTTTTTTTTTTTGAGACGGACTTTCGCTCTTGTTGCCCAGGCTGGAGTGCAACGGCGTGATCTCGGCTCACTGCAACCTGCAGAGTTGGGTTCAAGCTATTCTGCTGCCTCAGCCTCCCGAGTAGATGGGATTACAGACATGCGCCATCACACCCGGCTAATTTTGTATTTTTAGTAGAGACGGGGTTTCTCCATGTTGGTCAGGCTGGTTTCCAACTCCCGACCTCTGGTGATAAACCCGCTATTTTTTTTTTTTTTTTTTTGCCCCCGAAGCTCATTTCAGTTTGATTACCAAATCCTCATAAAAAGGAGCAAAGCATGTATCTATGAATAATTCTTTAAAAATCCACTTGGGAACTTTTCAAAAAAAAACACAGTTCACTAAAATTCCAACATAAAAAAACACAAAGTCCCTTCTGCAAATTTTCATAATTAACCTTATGCTTCCAACTAATAGCAACTTTGTAAATTTTTATGACAGGGAAGATCAGAAGTTTTTCTTTTTAGACTATTTTTAACAAAGCTGTTTGTATAATTTTGCAGTTGAACATGCTTTTTAGATGTGACAATTCTTACACTTAGAATGAATGCCATTTTATTAAAGCATGTGAATTTACAAAATTTGGTATTGGCCTCAACATTTTCCCACATTTGAGAGTCTTTCCTAAGGGAAGACTGACAAAAATTGAAAACGGTTAAAAATGTTTATTTTATTTTTTTTTTAAGGCTTCCATTACATTAATTTGAGGGCTTATGTTAGGGTGAGACAAAAGGAGACAAAGGTGAGAATAAGGGGCAATTAGTGCTGACAGCCTTTTGGAGGATGCAGAGCCCTCTGGCCTCACACAACACAACAGAGGCCTGGAAAAGGGACCAGGCAATTGTGGCATGGGATTATGTATTTCTAGTCTTCTTTATTTGCAAACATAAGTGAGACAGAGGGAGATCTTTGCAGCCATTTATATATGAAATGCTGAGGCTGCTGAGAGCAAGGACAAAGCATTAGACCTCATGCTTGTGGGGTTGCTTCAGGGTTTAGTATTTCACAATCATGTCAAGCCAGGGCTCTGCCTGGAATGTGTGTTTTATAATGATGGGTTCAAGAGCTAGCAGGATAAATAGCTAATGCATGGGGGCTTAATATCTAGGTGATGGGTTGATAGGTGCAGCAAACCACCATGGCACACGTTTACCTATGCAACAAACCTGCATGTCTTGCACGTGTATCCCAGACCTTAAAATTAAATTAGATTAAATTAAAAATGAAGAAAAAAAAAAGACCATGGATATGAAGGCGAGGTAGTGGCTGACATGACTTGTTCATTTGTGTTGTCGCATCACATTAACTTTTTTAACATTAATAAACTTTTATTTGAGAATAGTCTTAGATACACAGAGAAGTTGCAAGAATGTTCCCATATGCCTGCACTTAGTTTCCCCTAGAGTTAAGATTGCTTTAGTGCATATGTCATACAAATGAACAAATATTCAACATTATTATTACCTGAAGTCCATATTTCATTGTGATTTCTGTGCTATTTATCTAATGTTCTTTTTTTTTTTTTTTTTTTTTTTTTTTTTTGAGAGAGTCTCTCTCTGTCTCCCAGGCTGAAATGCAATGGCACAATCTCAGCTCACTGCAACCTCCACCTCCTTGGTTCAAGGGATTCTCCTGCCTCAGCCTCCCATGTAGCTGTGGTAACAGGTGTCCACCACCGCACTCGGCTAATTTTTATATTTTTAGTAGAGACGGGGTTTGGCCATGTTGGCCAGGCTGGTTTCGAACTCCTGACCTCAAGTGATCCGCCTGCCTTGACCTCCCAAAGTGCTAGGATTACAAGCGTGAGCTACCACGCCTGGCCAACCTAACGTCCTTTTTATGTTGCAGGATTCTATTCAAGATATCACGTCACATATATTTGTCATGTGTCTTTAGGCTTCTCTAGACTCAGAATTTCTCAGCGTTCAATTGTTTTTATGACCTTGATAGTTTTAAGGAGTGTTGGTCAGCTATTTTGACAAATGTCAATCAGTTTGATTTGTGTGATGATTTTCTTATAGTTAGACAAAAATTATGTGTCTTAGGAAGGCCACAGAGGTAAAATGTTATTTGCATCACATCATGTCAAGGGTACATGCTATCAATATGAATTATTACTGGTATGTTAACCTTGTTCACTTGGTGGAGGTAGTATTTGTCCATTTTCTCTACCCTAATGTTACTCATTTTTTTTCCTCTTTTCATATTGTAGTCACTAGAAGAAAATCACTATGTGAATCCCACACTTCAGGAGTGGAGAGTTACATTTTACCTCCTTGAAACTGAAGAATCTACATCAAATTTTTCTGTATGGGAGACTTGTCTATTCTCTCTTATTTATTTATTTATTTAATCCTTCATGTATAGCAGTATGAACTCACAGATATTTATTTTATACTTTGTTATAATACAATACTATGTTACTTATTTTGTTGCTCAAATTCTTCCAGCTTCAGCTATTAGGGTCTCTTACACTTGGCTCCTATGCCCCATTGACTGACCCCCATAATTTCATTTTTTTGAGCACTTTCTTACTTCATGGCACTTTAAGGTACTCCATGCTCATTTTGTTTATTTCCCACCTCACGCCAGCCCTAGAATCAATCATTTCTCTGAGGAGATTGGGTTCCTTTTATTGGAGAAGGTATTAGAAAAGAAGATATGGGTGAAGGGTGTGTTTGTTGTGACTAGTGTGTCATTGCTTCTAGTCCCTCTCAGAGGACAGAAAAAGAAAATATATAGTTACATATGAGCCTGTGTGTACACATGTATTTATGAATTTTTTATATGTTTTCAACTGTATATATAAAAAAGCTGACCTTGTGTTCATGCTGATGTCTCCAACTCTAATCCATTATCATGTTTCATTCTAGCCTTCAGCCCTTGCTTGTCTGTCACCTTCCACTCCAATATGACTGTCACCATTCACCATCCATTTACTTAAATTCCAGAATACATGTGTGATTTCAGAGCTGTTAACCTATATCCCCATGGTCAGAGTACTTTATCAACTAGAGTACAGTGCTTATGCTCAGTTCCTTTCATCTTTCATTTTACAGTTTCTACTTATTTCCAAAGTTACTGAGATCAGAACCTTTTTCACTAACTCCCCTCTGTGAGGTGATGCCGTGTGTTTGTAATACAGTTCGATTCTCCCATTACAGTGTGCATTCCATAAATCTCCTAACTTATTGTTTCAAATTTGCATACATTAGCACTCATTCTTTATGATGTAATGTTCTATGTGTTTTGACAAATTCAAAGTATAATTTTGTGCACCACTACAATGGCATACAGAATAATTTCACAACCCTATAAAATTTCCTGTACTTCCCCAATTCCACCCTCCCCCAACCCTCAATTCCTGGCAACCACAGACTTGTTTCCTATCTCTACAGTTTTCCTATTTCCAGCATGTCACATGAATGAAATCATAAAGTATATAGCCTTTCCAGATTGGTTTCTTTCACTTAGCAGCATATATTAAAATTCACGGCTGAGGATGGTGGCTCATGTCTATAATCCCAGCACTTTGAGAGGCCGAGATGGCAGGATCCTTTGAGCCCAGGAGTTTGAGACCAGACTGGGCTACATAGTGAGACTCTGTCTCTATGAAAAAAAATAAATAAATAAGAAGTAGGCCAGGTGTGATGGCTCACGCCTGTAATCCCAGCACTTCAGGAGGCCAAGACGGGAGGATCACCTGAGGTCAGGAGTTCGAGACCAGCCTGACCAACATGGAGAAACCCCATCTCTACGAAAAATACAAAATTAGCCGGGCATGGCAGTGCATTCCTGTACTCCCAGCTACTTGGGAGGCTGAGGCAGGAGAATCACTTGAACCCGGGAGGTGGAGGTGGTGATGAGCCAAGATGGTCCCATTGCACTCCAGCCTGGGCAACAAGAGAGAAACTCCTTCTCAAACAAAACAAAACAAAACAAAACAAAACAAAACAAAAATTGCATTGTTCTGTGGATTGAAAGCTCTTTTCATCATGGGATAATATTCCATTGTATAGAAGTGCCACACTTTGTTTACAAATTCACCTATTGAAGGACATTATTGTTGCTTCCATGTTTTTGCAAGCACAAACAAAGTTGCTAAAAGTATTTACGTGCAGCTTTTTGTGTGAATGAACATAAATTTTCTATTCAGGTGGATAGATACCTAGGAGTGAAATATTTAATCATATGGTAATACTGTTTTTATCTTTGTAAGAAAATGTCAAAATCTCATACAAAGTGTCTGTACCATTTTTCATTCCCACTAGCAATAAAGGAGAGTTTTGGTTGCTCTGCATCCTAGACAGCAGTTGGTATTGTCATAGGTTTGGATTTTAGCATTCTGATAGGTTTGTGGTTATATTCAGTGATGTTTTAATTTGCATATCTATAATAACATATAGTATTGAACATCTTTCATATGATCATTTGCCATCTGTGTATCTTTCTTGTTGAGGTGTCTATTCAGATCTTTGTACCCATTTACTAACTGGGTTGTTTGTTTTCTTAGAGTTGAGTGTTAACAGTTCTTTGTACATTCTAGATGCAAGTATTCTATCAAGCGTGTATTTTGAAAATACTTTCCATTTGTAGCTTGTCTTTTCATTCCCTTAGCAGTGTATTTTGCAAAGCAAATTTAATTTTTATTTTTTAAAAATTTAAAGTTTAACCTATCAATTTTTTCTTTCATGGACTATGTTTTAGGTGTTGTACCAGTAACATCTTCAAACTCCAGTTCATGCAAATTTTCTCCTAGATTTTCATCTAGAGGTTTTATAGTTTTGCATTTCACATTTAGGTTTCTGATTCATTTCAAGTGAAGTTTTGTGTTAGGATGTAAGGTCTCTGTTCTGGTTCATTGTTTTATATACATAGGCCAATTTCAATTTTTGAAAAGATCTTTTTTACATGCACCTATTTTTTTTGTGCCTATGTCAACAATTAGTTGACAATATTTATGAGTGTGTTTCTGTTCCATTGATCAACATGTCTGTTCTTTTGCCAATATAATGCTGGCTTTAAGATATTTATAGTGGATTTAAGATAAATTTTGAAGTCAGGTAATGTGAACTTTTCAATTTTCTTCTTTTTTAGAATTATATTGGCTAGTCTAAGAGCTGTACCTGAATATATACATTCTAGAATCAGTTTGGCAATATCTAGAAAATAACTTGCTGGAATTTGAATTTGGATTTATTTGAGTCTGCAAAGTTGAGAGACATTGACGGATTTTTTCCTCTAGGGAATTACTTCCCACTGGAGACTAACCTTTTTTCTTTTCTCTTTTTTTGAAGGACATGTCTAGGCCAGTTTCAAGAGTGGTATTCTTTGCTCCACCAACATCCATTTCCCCCACTTACCCCAGACAGAACCATGACGGAATCAAATCCTTACCATGAAACATGCGGGATTCCCGGAATTAAAGCTTATACACATGTGTACCGGGAAGTCCCTTATGACTTTAGCACACAGCTCTTTCTCAGTCTTAACATAGTTTACATCCAGCTTCCAGTAATTCACCAAAATAATTTTTTAAGTGTTTCTATCATCTTAAGGATTTCAGCAGCTTTTTCTCCAACTAAGCAATTTTCATTAGCTGTGTTTCTCTAGATTACTTGTCTCTCCAGATTTGGGGCAGCAATCTCTGTTCTCTGATGAATTCCAGAAACGTTGTTGATTTTCAGTTTGTCCAGTTTTTTTCTCCCTTAAAGGATGATAGAGATGACTTCAAAGCTCTTTACATACTGGAGCTGAAACCAGAAGCCCCATTATGTTAACTTTTGCCTATCTCCACCTTAAAATGGTTTAACACATGCGCGTACCTTCCCCCACCACCAAAATAATGCTATTCAAGATACAGCCATTTTCTATTTTATAGAATTTCTAATTTGTAGTGATGTTCTCTATCAACTTTAATAATCATAGTATTGGTGACAGTAAAGTGAAACTAAGTAAAATATCCTTGTTTTTCTATGGAATGAATGAAAATACAGATAAAGCAGCTGACTTATGTGAGATCATACAGCCAGAATATAGCAGAAATAAGTAATTATTTCAGAAGACCGAAATGCCACTTTTTCAAACATGGGGAAAAAAACTAGCTTATTATTAAAATTATCTTCGTTCTATCATGTCATATAAATTCTAATTCCTTTTTACAAAAATAAATACAAACTGAAATCATAATTTTCCTAGGTCTTACAATGAACAAGTACCATTACTTGATAGTCATATCCCACACATAATAAGGTGGCTTTTTAAAAGTTTATTTTGCAGTTACTGCACCAACTGAAACATAATAGTGTAGGTTAAATATTTAGGGGGCTAAGGGAGATAATCACCGTTGGTTTATAGTGGCAGAAATTCATTCATTATTTAAACTGTTTACTTTTCCCTGATTCTGAATTGCTGTGGATTGTCCTCTGGTGTCTAGATGTAGATTGCAGGATGAAATACTGAGGTTTAAATTCAGATCTTGGCAATGTTTGTAGAGAAAATTGAATCCACATCACATTCGGAAGTTCAAGCCCCCGAGTGCCTGGATATCACAGCTTTTGTATAGAATTGGGGAATAAGCAATCTTGTTTATGGTCCTAATTTATCATGGCAATGCTTTGGCGCAATTGTAAGAGATCTTCCAGTTAGCACTTCACCCAGAATAGTAAAAGTTCTTCTACACTTTGAAGTAAATGGTACCATTTGACATTTCTTTTAGTATTTTTGCTCTAGTCCAGTGTTCGCATCAGGTTAGCATAACTTCTAAACTTATAGAGGGGCTACCTCAGACAGTTCAGAAGTACCATATATCAGTATCAAGTTCAAGGTGTAAGCTCCAGGTCTGGCTATGATTGTATCCTAGTGCACCACTCAGTGCCTGGCACATAGTCTGAATGTAATATATATTTTTTTGAATTATTGGGCACAGCAGACATCATCTAAAAACCTCATTTTATCTCATTTCTAGCACGAAGTTCATGAATAGTTTTTAAATATCTTTAGGTAAAGTCTTTGTTCCACGAAGATAGAATGTAAGCTATAGTCCTAGTCTTCTAGATATTTACACTCAGATTAGAGCATAAGACTTAGAATGGAAAAAAAAATTATTTATTATTATTATTATTTTTGAGACGGAGTCTCACTCTGTCACCCAGGCTGGAGTGCAGTGGTGCAATCTTGGCTCACTGCAACCTCTGCCTCCCGGGTTCAAGCTATTCTCCTGCCTCAGCCTCCCAAGGAGCCGGGATTACAGGTGCATGCCACCACACCTGGCTAATTTATGTATTTGTAGTAGAGGCGGGGTCTTGCCATGTTGGCTAGGCAGGTCTCGAACGCTTGACCTCAGGTGTTCTGCCTGCCTTGGCCTCCGAAAGTGCTGGGACAACAGGTATGAGCCACTGCGTCCAGCTGGATGGAAGAAAAATATACACAGAAAAAAATGAGACACTGAGACACTGATGCAAATACTTGGAAGAATATAGTAAGCATCATAACGTATACGTATGTATGATATGTGATTTAAAGTAATGGCAGATAGAGGATGATAATGATCTGGCCAGGCGCAGTGGCTCATGCCTGTAATCCCAACACTTTGGGAGGCCAAGGTGGGTGGATCACCCAAAGTCAGGAGTTCGAGACCAGCCTGGCGGACATGGTGAAACCCAGTCTCTACTAAAAATAGAAAAATTAACTGGGTGTGGTGGCACATGCCTGTAATCCCAGCTACACGGGAAGCTGTGGCAGGAGAATTGCTTGAACCCAGAAGGCAAAAGTTGCAGTGAGCTGAGAACACACCACTGCACTCTAGCTTGGGCGACAGAGCAAGACTCCATCTCAAAAATAAATAAATAAAATAAATTAAAGAGGTAGATTTTACCTGCATCATAAATAATATGTGAAAATACTACTTTAAAATATCATAATAATCAGTTTTAAGCTTCCTTGTCAACTACCTTTTTCTATTGCATACGTCCTGAGCATTAAAGCCTCAAAAGTAATTATTACTATAGGAGAAAGACAAAGAATCAATATCCGTATTAGACTTTCAAAAGAAGATGCATAAAACACAAGTCCATTTCAGAGACTAAAGTTGAGAAAGCCAAGGATTATGTAGAGGAAATTTTGTTATGGTTGTTTTTATGTTTTTGTTTTGTCGCTGTTGTTTTATAGCTCAAAAGGCAAAATTCCAAAGGAAAATGCTAATCGGTAAGCAAGAGACTGAATAGAGGAAAAGAGATGAGGAAGAACTCCCAGGAAAGCATTAAGATTGCCCTGGTGCAGTGAAATGGAGGGGGTCTGATAGACGTGCTGGAGTGGAACATGGAGAAGTAGAGAGCATCTGTGAACCACCCAGCCACCGCCTGAGTGAATAGCATCTGTGCCGAGCACCAGGAATAGGCACGAGAGCCAAGCCATTGCTCTAGGACAAACTGAGCTCACTGGGAACCCTAGCAGGAATCTCTGCGGAAGAGGTTTACTATCATCTGCCATTCTCATTACTGTTCAAAGAAGGTATTCTATACACAATTTTGTTAGTACTTATCATTTCAATTTCAGTAACCTTTCCCTGTACCAAGAGCTTTGTAAGCCAGTCTGGACTCTCCTGTGTGGTGATTTTGCTTAAATAGGGAACTGAGTGCAAGATACCCAGAGGGAGAAATTGTGGTTAAAAAGGAAAAGAGTGGCCTATCAACTCTGTCACCTCTGCTTTACCACTTAATCAGTTATGTTCATTATTCTGAATAAGCTTTAATTTTCTGTTAGGTTAAATTAGTTAAACCATTCCCATCCTCAGATGGGACAATGAGAAAAACCATCTCCAATGTGTAGCTATACAATCTCTACGTATCATAACAATATGATACGCTGAGAAAAACTGAGTATCTTCTCTCCACTTCTTCCTGTCCACTCAAAATTTAAAAACGTGTAAGGGTTCAAGAGTTCCACTAGATAGTATATTAATATGATGGCATTAGTAGCATGATTTACTGATATTTTGAAGAATATATATTAATATAGGTTTCATTAACAATAAATAAGTTATTGTATACTTAATAACTTAGCAAAGTGTTTGTCATTTAGTATCAATTAATGCTAATTACAACTCCTCTCCCATTTCCCAACAAAGACATGGAGAGGAAATAAGCCAATGCAATAAAGGAAATCCTAATCAAAGGTTAGGTTATTTGGGAAAGAGAAAGAGCAGGTGTCAAAAGATTTCCCTCCTTAGCAAAATTGGTGCACCTGCAATGAAACCAATCTTTTTATTTGGACCTTCTTCATAATCTACACTGGGCCAGACTGACTGGGCTGCCATGCATTAACTGTAGAAACAGATGAAACAAATAAATTGTGTGTATCACGGTCTGTTTGTTTCATATGCTTAGGAATCAGCTACTCTTCCAGAGAACAATGCATCTCAAATTAAAAAAATGTTATGTTTTAAGTGGAATTCATCTCAGAAGTGCCATTTCCCCAATGGCACATCCTAAACAGGTGGCACTCATTTTCCATTACCCTTCAGAACTCACCAAAAACATCATAACATTTCAATTGAGCTGTAGTTGAGAATAAATGTCCATTTTATTATCTCTTTAAGCATTAGTGGATGAGCAAGGAGCGGAAAATTTAACTGTCTGCTCTTTTCTTTTTATAGCCTCTGACAGAAGCAGAACCCCAACCAACTGATGGACAGTGGCACAAAGGGGCACTAAAGTTATATTAGGAATGTTTGCATCTTATTATTCAGGCTCCATCTCGAGCAGATGGCTCAGCGTCTTCAAAGGGGATTTAGAGCATTGCAGAGCAGGATGGCAGTGCAGCAGCCCAGGTAAAGGAAGATCTGTGAGAAGTCCAAGTCACACAAGATCTGTGAAGAACAAAAGTCTACTCAAGTGTTATTCATAATTATTTAATGTGCTTGGCTAAAGTAATGGTTCTATCATTGGGATTGTCCTAGAGAGTCATGCATAACATACACAACTTAAAGATGAATTATAACTCCATCTCTACTGAAAAGAAAATACGAAAATTAGCTGGATGTGGGGGCGGGCTTCTGTAATCCCAGCTACTTTGGAGGCTGAGACAGGAGAATTGCTTGAACCCAGGAGGCAGAGGTTGCAGTGAGCCAAGACCGTGCCATTGCACTGCAGCCCGGGCAAGAAGAGCGGAACTCAGTCTCAAAAAAAAAAAAAAGAATTAGATGACAATATTTTTTTTTTTTTTAGACAAATCCTTGCTCTGTCACCAGGCTGGAGTGCAGTGGCACGATCTTAGCTCACTGCAACCTCCGCCTCCTGGGTTCAAGCGATTCCCCTGCCTCAGCCTCCCAAGTAGGTGGGACTACAGGTGTGTACCACCATACCTGGCTAATTTTTTGTATTTTAGTAGAGACAGGGTTTCACCATGTTGGCCAAGATGGTCTCGATCTCCTGACCTCGTGATCCACCTGCCTCAGCCTCCCAAAGTGTTGGGATTACAGGCGTGAGCCACCACACCTGGCTAGATAACAATCTTTAACCTACTGCATGGGTGACAGATGCCTTTGCCGGAGTCTAGTACACTCAATAATGGTTCAGAGGCAGTGGTAGTAGTAATGGGAGCAGACTGGGGAAAATCCAGACATCGTTTTTCTCATCACCACTTCCCATTAATAAAAAAAATTAAAAAAGAAAACCCTGGCATCTGGCCAGGCCCCTTATTCTGAAGAATTATGCTCAGTTATAGGCCTTTAACAGAAGTAGATTGGCTGCTAAAATTTGAAAAAGTCTCAAGCCCAATTTAAGACATTTGGAGTTTATCTTAGAGGAATGTCCTTTAAAAATATTACAATCCTGAACATTTACTATATTCTACTACTACGGAAGCCTGTCACCTCTGTGGGTTCTGTTTTAGCACTTATTGGTTATGATCACTATACACTGGATATGTTTCTGTTTTTTCATCTATATGTGAAAGATTAAAAATAGTACAACTCCTATTGTGATTGCTACTGCTAAATGGTTTTGTTCACATAAAGTACTTCGCAGAGTGACAGACCTATAAAAATGCTATTGTTATTATTATTACTAGCTATTAAAAACATTCTATGCTTCTACAAAAGATGTCTTTTTAACAGTCAGTTAATTTTATTCCTGGTGTCAGAGTCCTAACTAAAGTTAGCCAGTCATTTATGAATGTTGTGTTGTCCCTGTGGATATTTTAAAAATTAATATGCTAATTCTAATTTGTGTATTTTTAAGATTCTATGTGTTTTTCCAATATGGTTAGAGTTTTATAATGCAAAGTTGCAATTGTACTCTATGGCTTAGTAAAGCCTCCAAGGATATCAGAGCGATGTGTGTGTATGTTTGTGTGCATGTGATAGTTTTTATGTCCAATGTAGAATTTTAAATGTATCTCTCCCAGGAGAGGATAAAAATAAATGAAAACACAACCATAGTTAGTAGACTTGGCTAAAGAGAGATATGGCCAGAAATGGAGTTTTGTGATCTGCCCTTCCCAATGCAGGCCATCATGGAGTATACAAACCAATTTTATTCCACTGGGGAAGACCTGAAGCAACTTTGTGAAAGATGCCACCTATGAACCCCATGTATGGTGTGAATCAAAGCAAAGCCTCAGGGTGACCTAACTACCCTCCTTCCCTCTTTCATCTTATAGGTATGCTCTCCGCAAAGATAGGAGTACCTGTGCAAAGAGATGCAAAGAGAGGAGTATGGCTCTCAGGAAAAAAGGAGATTGAAAGTAGGGGGAAATATTTACCTTCAGCATTATACAGCAAAGGAAACACTGTGTAAGAGACCCACTGGTAGCTAGGAAAAAGGAGCCATCTATTCACTCACTGTGTTTTGATGGCCTATTTCTTGCTAATGTCTCCAGTTTCTAGTGGATGCAATGTATGGCAATTTCCATTCTAAAGTGTTAATAGTGCTTTGAAATGTATTCAGACTTATATGAAATTGAGACAAAGTGTTTCCTTTGTTCATCTCCTCTTCTTTCTCTTCCTTCTCATCCACATATTTAACTTAGGTTCTAATTCACTAAATCTAACTCAATTTCTGCTCTTCAAATCAGAGCAGAGTCAGGGAAGTGTCTGGAGTGAAATATTCATCATAGAAATAAAACAATGTTTAATTTATTTTATATTTTATGTCATCAAAGGTGCTTTCAATAGATGTTACTTTTTGTATTCAAAAATTACATATTAAACTGCACATATTTAATAACTAATAACTATATTTTTATGTAGGATATAGTGTGATATTTTGATACATGTATACAATGTATACAGATCAAATCAGAGTAATTAGCAAATCCATCACCTCAGACACTTACTATTTCTTTGTGTTGAGAATGTTAAAAATCCTTTCTTCCAGGTATTTGAAAATATACAATAAATTGTTATCTAGTCACACTTCAGTCTATAGAACACTAGAAATTATTCTTTCTATCTGGATGTAATTTTGTATTTGTTAACCTCTCCGGATTTCTATCCCTTTCTCAGCTTTTAGTAACTACTTTTTGTTTGTTTGTTTGTTTGTTTGTTTGTTTGTTTTGAAATGGAGTCTCACTCTGTCGCCCAGCCTGGAGTGCAGTGGCACGATCTCGGCTCAGGGTAACCTCTGCCTTCCGGGTTCAAGCAATTCTCCTGCCTCAGCCTCCCGAGTAGCAGGGATTACAGGTGCCTGCCACCAAGCCCAGCTAATTTTTGTATTTTTAGTAGAGATGGGGTTTCGCCATGTTGGCCAGGCTGATCTCGAACTCCTGACCTCAGGTGATCCACCCACCTCAGCCTCCCAAAGTGCTGGGATTACAGGCGTGAGCCACTCTGCCCAGCCAGCTTTTAGTAACTGCTATTTTCTCTATTAATACTTCTATGAGATCAATTTTTTTACCTTCCACATATGAGTGAAAACATGCAGTATTTCTCTTTCGTTTCAGGGTTATTTCAGTTAACATAATGTTCTCTAAGTTTATGCATGTTGCTGCAAATGACAGAATTTCCTTCTGTTTACGGCTAAATAGTAATCATTGTGTATGTATACCACATTTTCTTTAACTGTGTGTCTGCTGATGAACACTTAAAGTGATTCCATATCTTGGCTATTGTGAATAGTGCTTCAGTAGTCACAGGAGTACAGATATCTCTTTAACATACTGATTTTCTTTCCTTTGAATATATAACCTGTAGTGGGATTGATGGATCATGTCGTAGTCATTCAATTTTTAGTTTTTTGAGGAACCTCCATACCATTTTTCATAATGGTTGTACTAATTTACATTCCCACCAACAGTGTGTAAGATTTCCCTTTCTCAGCATCCCTGCCGGCATTTGTTCTTCTTAATTTTTTGGATAATAGATTCATCCTATCTGGGGTGAGATGATATCTCATTGTGGTTTTCATTTGCATTTCCCTGACGATTAGTGATTTAAGCATTTTTTCAGATGCCTTTTGCTCATTTGTATGTCTTCTTTTGAGAGATCTCTATTCAAATCATTTGCCCATTTTTAAATTGAATTATTTAATCATTTTTGCTGCTGGGTTACTTGATTTACTTGTATATTCTGGAGAGTAATCCTCTATCAGATAGATAATTTGCAAATATTTCCTCCTATTCCATAGATTATCTCTTCTCTCTTTTCGTTGTTTCTTTGGCTGCTCAAAAGCTTTTTAGTTTGATAAAGTCACAAATATTTTTGCTGCTCCTGTCTTTGTTATTGAAGTCTTATTTAAAAAATCCTTGCCCGCACCAATGTCCTGACATATTTCCCCTATATTTTCTTCTAGTAGTTTTATAGTTTTGGATATTGCTTTTGGTGTTTAATCCATTTTGAAATAATATTTGTGTGTGGCGAGAGATAGGGATCTAGTTTCATTCTCCTGCATATGGATATCCAGCTTTCCCAACAACATTTATTAAGGAGACTCTTCTTTCCCCAATGTGTGTTCTTGGTAACCTTGTTGAAAATCAGCTGGCTATAAATTTGTGGATTTACTTCTGAGTTCTTTATTCTGTTTCAGGGTTCTATGTGTCTACTTTGTTGCCAATATCACACTGTTTGGTTACTATAGCTGTGTAGTATATTTACAAGTCAGGTGGCATGACACCATCAGCTCTGCTTTTTGTGCTTAGGGTTACTCTGGTATATTCAGGGTCTTTTGTAGTCCTATATGAATTTTAGGATTGTTTTTTTCTATTCCTGTGGAAAATGTCATTGGTATTTTGATAGAGATTGCATTGAATCTGCAGATTGCATGGACATTTTCATAATATAATTCTGTCAATCTATCAACAAGGGATATCTTTTCATTTTTTTGTCTCCTCAATTTCTTTCACCAACGTTTTATAGTTTTCATTGTAGAGATTTTTCAACGCTCTTGTCAAGTGACTCTTAGGTATTTTTTGTAGTTACTGTAAATGGGATTGCTTTCTTGATTTTTTTTTTTTAGGTTGTCCACTATTAGTTTTTAGAAATGCTACCAGTTTTGGTATGTTGATTTGGTATCCAGCAACTTTACTGAATTTGGTTGTTAGTTCTAAGAGATTTTGGTGAAGTATACATTTTTCTGTATTTAAGGTCATTTGTTTCTGTAAACAGGAATAATTTTACTTCTCCGTTTCTATTTGGATGCCCTTTATTTCTTTCTCTTGCCTATTTGCTCTGGATAGAATTTCTGATACTATGATGAGAGTGGTGAGAGTGGGCATCCTTGTCTTCTAGTTCTCACAGGAAAAGCTTTCAGCTTCTCACTGTTCAGTATGATGTTTGCTGTGGGTTTGTCATTTATGGTCTTTATTATGTTAAGGTGCACTCCATTTATGCCTACTTTGTAGAGAGTTTTTGTCATGAAGGAGTGTTGAATTTTATCAAATGTTCTTTCTGTATCTATTTAAATGACTATAAAACTGTTGCCCTTCATTCTGTTTGTTGATTTGCATATGTTAAACTATCCTTACATCCCAGGGATAAACCCCAGTTGATCGTGCTATATAATTTTTTGGATGTGCTGTTGGATTTGGTTTGCTAGTACTTTGTTGAGAATTTTAGCATCTGTGTTTATCTGGCATACTGAACTGTGGTTCTATTTTTTGGTTGTGTTCTTGCCTGGTTTTGGTATCAGTGTAACGCTGGTCTTATTAGAATAAGTTTAGATTCCCTGCCCTTCAAATCTTTAAAATAGTTTGAGGAAAATTGGGATTAGGTCTCTTTTTAACATTTGGTAGAATTCGGCAGTCAAACAATTTGGTCCTGGTCTTTCTTTGTTGCTAGACTTTTTCTTACTGATTCAATCTCATTGCATGTTAATAGCCTGTTCAGCTTTCCTGTTTCTTCTTTGTTATCTATTGGTAGGTTGCATGTGTCCAGAAATGTATCTACTTCCTCTGGATTTTCAATTTGTTGGTGTATAGTTGTTAATAACAGTCTCTAAAAATCCTTTGTATTTCTGTGGTGTCAGTTCTAATGTCTCCTTTTTTGTTTCTGATTTTATTTATTTGCATTTTTTCTCTTTTTCTCTTAATCTAGCTAATGACTTTTTAAAATTGTGTTTAACTTTTCAAAAAACCAACTTTTTATTTTGTTAATTGTTGTGGGGTTGTTTGGGTCTCAATTTCATTTATTTCTGCTCTGATCATCATTATTTCTTTCCTTCTGTTAATATTGGCTTTAATTTGTTATTGTTTTTCCTAGTTTCTAGAGGTGCAACATTGGGCTGTTTACTTGAACTCTTTTTACTTTTTTAATATAGCGATGTTTTGCTAAAAACTTCCCTCTGAACACTGTTTTTGCTTTATCCCAAATGTTTTGGCATGTTGTGTGTGTCTCTATTTTCATTTGTTTCAAGTAATGTTAAAATTTTTTTTGTTTTTTTTTTTTGTTTGTTTGCTTTTTTCTGTCGCCCAGGCTGGAGTACAGTGGTGCCATCTCGGCTCACTGCAACCTCCACCTCCCGAGTTCAAGTGATTCTTCTGCCTCAGCCTCCCAAGTAGCTGGGATTACAGGTGCCTGCCACCACACCTGGCTGATTTTTGTATTTTTAGTAGAGATGGGGTTTCATCATGTTAGCTAGGCCTGTCTCAAACTCCTGACCTCAGGTAATCCACCCGCCTCTGCCTCCCAAAGTGCTGGGATTACAGGCATGAGCCACCGCGCCCGGCCTAAAATTGTTTTTAAAATTTATTCACTGATACATTGGCAATTCACGAGCATGTTGTTTAATTTCCAAGTATTTGTACAGTTTCCAAAGTTCTTTTTATGGATTTCTAGGTTAAGTCAAAAAAGACACTTGATATTTTTACTGTTTAAAATGTGTCGAGACTTGTTTTGTGGCCTAACATATATGGTTATTCTGAGGAATATTCCATGTTCTAATGAGAAGAATGTATATTCTGTAGTTATTGCATGAAATGTTCTATAAATATTTGTTAGGTCCAAACATTAAAGTCTTTTTTATAGCATATAGCTTTAAGTCAAAATCTATAAAAAGGTCATTATATAATATTAAAGGGATTGATTTGGCAAGAGGATATAAAGACTTAAAGTCTTTTCTATATGGTATTTAAAGTTGAAATCCGATGTTTCTTTGTTAATTTTTTTTTGCCTAGATAGTTTGTCCCATGTTGAGAGTGGGGCAACAAAAAGTCTCAACTATTACTGTATTGGAGTTTGTCTCTCTCTACATAGTTAATAATATTTGCTGTATGTATCTGGGTGCTCTACTTTTGGATGCATGTACATTTATGATTGTTATATCCTCTTGCTGAATTGATCCCTTTAATATTATATAATGACCTTTTTGTCTCTTGTGAAAGGAAAATAAATCTTGGCATTCTTGGGGCCCCAAAATCACTAAGCTAAAGGAAAAAGTCAAGTTGGGAACTGCTTAGGGCAAACCTGTCTCCCATCCTATTCAAAGTCATCCCTCTGCGCACTGAGATAAATGCATATCTGATTGCCTCCTTTGGAAAAGCTAATCAGAAACTCAAAAGAATGTAGCCTTTTGTCTCTCACCTACCTGTGTGACCTGAAAGCCCCCTCTCTGCTTGAGTTGTCCTGCCTTTCTGGAAGGAACCAACGTACGTCTTACATATATTGATTGATGTCTCATGTCTCCCTAAAATGTATGAAACCCAGCTGTGCCCTACCTTGGGCACATGTCATCAGGACCTCCTGAGGTTGTGTCATGGGCACACATCCTCACACTTGGCAAAATAAACTTTTGTTTTGTTTTGAGATGGAATCTCACTCTGTTTCCCAGGCTGAAGTGCAGTGGTGTGATCTCAGCTCACTGCAGTCTCTACCTCCCAGGTTCAAATGACTCTCCTACCTCAGCTGCCTGAGTAGCTGGGATTACAGGCCCCTGCCATCACACCCAGCTAATTTTTGTATTTTTGTAGAGACAGGGTTTCAGCCTGTAGGACAGGCTGGTCTGGAACTCCTGACCTCGGGTGATCCACCTGCCTCAGCCTCCCAAAGTGCTGGGATTACAGGTGTGAGCCACAACGCCCAGCCAGCAAAATAAACTTTCTAAATTAACTGAGACCTGTCTCAGATTTTCAGGATTCACACTCTTTTCATAGATTTTGACTTAACGTCTTTTTTGCAAGGTATAAATATAGCTCCTCCTGCCTGCTTTTGGTTTGTTTGTGTGGAGTATTTTTCTCTATCCTTTCACTTTCAGTTTATGTGTGTCTTGACACCTGAAGTGAATTTCTTGTAGGCAGCATATGGTTGGATCTTTTTTTAAAAAAACCTATTATCTAGTCTATATCTTTTAATTTGGAATTTTAATCTGCTTACAGTTAAGGTAATTACTGATAGATGAGTACTTACTCCTGTCATTTTGTTAACTGTTTTCTGGTTGTTTTGTACATTCTTTGTTCATTTCTTCCCCTCTCATTGCTTATCTTTGTTATTTGGTGATTTTCTGTAGTGATAAGGTTTGATTTCTTTCTCTTTCTCATATTTGTACCTGCTTTACCAGTGTATAGTTTCATGTTTTCATGATGATAGTTATTGTCCTTTAGCTTCCAGATGCAGGACTCCCTTAAGCATTTCTTGTAAGAAAGTCTAGTGATGATGAATTTCCTTAGTTTTAATTTTTCCAAGAATAACATTATTTCTCCTTATATCGTAAGGGTAGCTTTGCTGAGTGTAGTATTCTTGGCTAGCAGTTTTATTTTTTTCTTTCAGCACTCTGAATACATCATCCCGTTCTCTCCTGGCCTTCAAGTTTTATGCTGAGAAATTTGCTATTAATCTAAATTGGATTCCCTTATATATGACATGATACTTTTTCATAGTGTTTTTGTAATTATTTTTGCCTTTGACTTTTGACAGTTTGACTATAATATGTCCTGGAGAGAACCTTTTTGTGTTGAATCTATTTAGAGTTTTTGAGCTTCCTGGTCTAGATGTCCATATCTCTATCAAGACCTGAAAAGTTTTTAGCCATTATTTCATTACATATATTTCCTATGCCTTTCCCTAACTCTTCCTCTTGTAAAATTCCCATAATGTGAAAATTATTTGCTTTATGGTGTCCCAAAAATCTTTTACACTTTCTTCATCCTTTTTTATTCTTTTAAAAAATTTTTGTCATCTAAGTGATTTCAAAAGACCTGTCTTCAAGTTTAGAAAATGTTTCTACTGCTTTGTCTAGTTTTCTGTTGAACAAAAATACTTGACTGTATTTTTATTTCATACATTAAATTCATAGACTGTAAAATTTCTGTGTTTTTGTTGTTGTTGTTGTTGCTAACAATATATACCTCTTAGTTGAAGTTCTCATTCAGACTATAAATTGTTTTCCTGGATTTGTTGAATTGTCTATCTATATTCTTTTGAATCTTGCTTAGTTTCCTGAAGATCATTATTTTGAATTCATTTTCTGGCATTACACAAATTTTCTGTTCTTTGGGGTCATGTACTTGAAAATTATGTTTCTTTGGAGGTGTTCTATTTCCCTGCTTTTTCATGTTTCTTGTATTCCTGCATTTTTATTTGCACATGTGGTAGAACAGTAATTTCTCCTAATTTTATAGAGTAACTTTTGTACAGAAAAACTTGTTCCTGAAGATGGGTCTTAGAATGTCAAGTGGGTAGGATGTGTTGGCTTTGGTTCTGTGTGAACACAGTGGTGTAGTCTCTGCCTAGTTTCTTCAGCTGTAATTCATGCTAGCAATGTTTGTGAGTGTCTTGTTGGCTTAAGCTGCATGAGTTTTTGGTTGCAGTGGTGTGGCTTTTTAAGGGATGGGTTCACCAAGCTGGTTATCAAGCCAGTGAATGTATGTGCACACAATGGATTGTCCAACTGGAGGACTGGCTCACTGAGGGCTGGGCTGTCAGGCTGTTTTTCAGGTCAGGGTGTAAACACATAGTGGCTCTGTGGCTCAGGGATTGGTCTAACAGGGGCAGGTCCACTGGGCTTTTTTTCCAGCTGGGGTGGGTTCATTGCAGCTTGGAAGTTCAAGAGTGACTCTATTCAGGGTGGGTCTGTCAGTCTAATTATCCAACCAGGGTCACAAGCATGCAGTGGCTCAGCCAAAATAATGGTGAGCTTGTTGGAGGTAATTCACCTGACTGTTTCTTTAACTAGGTGCACAAGCATGTGGTGGTTTGATCAGCCCAGAGTTGGCTTCCTCACTGCAGAATGGGAATCACAGTTGTTCTGGTCCCAGACTGTGAGTAGCCAGTGTTGTGGTTTTGAAGCCATCTATGTAAGCCTGGTGGAATAATGGAAGAGCCTCAAGGCTAGAGGTCAGTGACTACTGGCTCCCATAGAAGGGCACACTCCAGCAGTGTCTCTGGTGTTAAGATGGCAATGTGCTGCAGCACCTCGGGCCATGAGAGATGAGGAGTGCACAATTCCAGGCAGTGTGAATTCCAGGCAGCTCCCCAAAGTGGACTCAGGATTTGCGAGGACTGTGGGATTCTTAAGTAGTAAGAACTGCAGGTGCCCTTTTATGGCAATGTGGACTGGTAAGGGCCTTCTTCTTACCTTTCTCTTCAAGGGGAAGCTCCTCATGGCCTTTAACCCTGAGGATGGGGTGGCAGAGGCAGGGAGCCTTGCTCTCCTTCTATACTACCATCCTGGGCTTTTATGCTCCACAGTGATTTTACCAGTTTCTTGTTGGACTCCCCCACTCTCCCTCAGATATTCCATTCAGATTTTAGTTGTTCATTTGTTGTTTTGGACAACACCTTTTTGTGTGGGAGTGAGCACTAGGCACATTTAGATGCCATCATGGTGATTCCACTTCTAATATTGGATAGATGTGACTTTTAATCTACACAGAATCTGTGAGTAGCCTTTACTGCAGACTTTTAGCAAAACCTAATAGAAATTCACCCTATTCATCCATTAATAGAAAAACTATATTTTACCCTAAAGCTCAGCTTCTGAGGTAGAATAACACCTCTGAAGATGTAATCACTAAATATCTTTAGTAAGTGAAACAATTTACTTACTCTTTGGTTCACTAATTTATCTAAATTGCATGATTGCTTATATATTTGGGAAGTGATTTTATATATTTCTGCTACCCTCTTTCTGTAATACCATAACTTTGAACCTGAAAAGTCATATTGTTACTCTACCCTCCAGCTCCACATAGATTTTTAAGCATCGTAACTGGGTACCATAAGTATTCTTGTAAATTATAATCATCTGGTTGGGGGCGGTAGCTCATGCCTGTAATCCCAGTACTTTGAAAGGCCGAAGCAGGTGGATTGCTTGAGGTCAGGAGATCAAGACCAGCCTGGACGACATGGCAAAACCGGTCTCTACTAAACATACAAAAAAAATTAGCCAGGCGTGGTGGCGCATGCCTTTAATACTAGCTACTCAGGGGACTGAGGCAGGAGAATTGCTCGAACCTGGTAGGCAGAGGTTGTAGTGGGCTGAGATCTGCCATTGTACTCCAGCTTGGACAATAAAGCGAGACTCCGTCTCAAAAAAAAAAATTATGATAATCTACACTTACAATAAGAGCTTCACCCATATATCTTTGGAAATATGTAAGTGGAAACCTATATATGATAAACAACAATATGAAAGAAAAACTCATGAGGTCATATGGCCATGAGTTTTCTTATGTTTTCTGATCTTCAATATATAAGGATTTAATCATTGAGTTTTTATATGATATGACTCACTGCCCATTCAAATGAAGCACTAATAGCCACTAGAAAATCTGAGATGCTTCTGGCCAGCACTTTGTGGGGAAACTGTGAATTTAATACCTTCATCATGCTGGAACTAACAGGCAAATCAATTCCATCTTTTTGTACAGAAGCCAGCTGTATCTATTATTGAATAGGGTATTCAATGATCCCACTTAAGATGGTATTTTTTTAAAAAGGAAAAGGTAAAAGAGATGTCAAGGGAAAAATATGGGTTTGGAAGTAGAACCCTTTTTTGTTGTTAATTTGAATTTCCTATCACCAAATTTTATGACCTCAATTCCATTATGAAAATCCATTTTGAATAGATTCAGTAATTTTGGAAAATTAAAGTTCAACCATAACCAGATTTAATAATTCATTTGATTCAGGTCTTAAATATTTTAATTATTCATTAAGTTCAAAAAATCCTTGCAATGATCTCACCTATATGTGGAATCCAAAAAAGTAAAACTCACTGAAGCAGAGAGTAAAATGGTGGTTACCAGAGGCCAGAGTTTGGGGAATTGGGGTAATGTTGTCCAAAAGATACAAAATTTCAGTTAAACAGGAGGAAAAACATTCAAGAGATCTATCGTATATAATGGTAATTGTAATTAACAACAGTATATTATATACTTGAAAATTGCTAAGAGAGTCGATTTTAAGTGTTTTCAGCCAAAAGAGAGAAGTATGCAAGATAATACATATGTTAATTAACTTGCTTTAGCCATTTCACAATGTATATATCAAAACATTATGTTGTATACCATAAATATATATAATTTTTATTTCTTAATTAAGGAAATAAGATAAATTAAAATTGTTAAAAATCCATGCCATTAAATATATTACAAAATATAAATTCAACAACTCTCTGCCAAAACTATTTTTTTAAAAACTGCATCCTCCACTACCTCTACTGCCCATTCCCCCACTTCACACCTGCTCATTACCTACTCCTTCCCCACACCCAGTAGATCCTACATTCTGCCAAGTTTGTAATCAGACTCTTTTCGAGCTGATAAATATCAGGATTATAGTTTATTTCCTAAAGAGGAATTTACTCTCAAACAGACAGAGAGCTTTGCATATTTACTTTTTCCATAAGGTAAACAATTCTAGGAAAGTTTCTTAATGATGTCTCTTACCTTATTTTATGTTCTGCGATGATATCTTTGTGTTTTTTTTCTTTCTGGAAGTTTGTGGCAGTCAAGTTGCACATTTATGTTTGATAAAACAAACACCATAAAAATTATACTGTCAGGGGAACACTGACTACCACTTGTACCGGCTGAGCTTCCCCATGCTCAACCTGAGTGGTTTTAACACAGCCTGATTGAGAATAGCTGAGTCATTATGGAGTTCTTTGCTTTTGTCATCACTTGATTTACTGATGCTCTGGGTCTCTGTGATCAAGAGCTAAATCACTTCCCTTTTCTCTGATAACTTAGTGTAGTCAAGATGTTCATAATTAATGAATATACTTTTGAAAACTGTAAGTTCATCATTTAATGCTGTAGTAGTTGCTGGAGGTAAAAGTGCTAATCTTGTTGGAAAAATAGACATATGAACAGATAATTTCAATATTTGAAAAGCAAATTTGAGATGCTATGGGTGAAGGAAGGTGTACTTTCACTGGCTATTTTAGTCCTGAGGGTGACCCAGGTGGCTTTAACATTCCCCTCTGTTTGACTCAACTTTGACAGGTTTCTTCCTGACTCTAAGCCCCTGAGCTACCTTTTCTTAGATACTTTACTTTAGAAAACAGGCACCTTTAAGCCCTTTCTCAGTCCCTTTAAAATATTAATCTTCTCATAGCCTCTTGCTAGTTTTATGACCCAGGAATGCCTATCTCAAGGGCCTGGGGTTCATCCCTTTGAAACGTATTCATCAAGAAGGACAGAGCCCCTATCTCCCAGTCTCTGTGGGAGGGTAGAAGTTTAACTTTGATAAATACCAATTAGCAAATATAAATGGCCTCATCACCTCCACTACCTCACCCTAGCGCTTAAGAACTTTCCCACCTCTTGTTTCAGAGGATGTTACATTCTCTCTTATTGCAATCATCTTGAATACAGTCTTTCCTGCCTGTTTAATTGGTTTGATGCAATTTTTCTTCAACAAGAGTCACCAAATATAAGATTATAGAATAATGTTTAGAAACTAGTAGGAACAGAATAAATAAGCGCATTATTATGGTTCCAAGAATTCAGCAGTTTCTAGGGGCTGGATTATGGCCTCCTGCCTTTCTGGGAAGGGCACAAAGCACTGCTGATTACTGTTATAGCCAATCTACTCTGCCTAGCAACTATCCACAGCATGAAAGAATTCTCTAATATGACAAGGAAAGAGATTGCTTTAACCTTCACCTAGATTTTCCCTTAATAGTCTCTGTCCACGCTTGTTCAATTCCTCCACCAAGGCCAGTTGTATAACTCTCCCTCCCTCTTTCAAGCCACTTTTGCTTCTTCCTTCTATAAACCCCAATAGCATTTTTAAAAAACGTTTTTGAGCAATCTATTAAGAAAGTTTGCATTTTATTATATAGGCTTTATTTAAAAATGTATTTTCTCCAGGCACCACAACCCAACTCTTTTTAATTTTTTAATTTTTAAAAAATTAGTTAATTTTTAGTCCTGCTCAGTTTCCCACCCAACCCTTAGTATCCCTTTACACTGGCACTTTCTAAACAGAACAGAATATAAACATTTTCAAGATTTGGGCATACAGGTCTTTTATGGGGAAAAAATTGTAGGACATGATTGCTGAAAGGCAGTCTTAGACCATTTATTGGGTTTTAGACCCTCTCTGCCTCAGGGAGTCTCTATTTTGATTCCTCTTGCCAACACAACACCAGCCCCAGAAGAATATTGGTGTCCTTTTCTTTCTTTCCTCGTATGGGCAAAAATGAAATACTACTACTTCTTTATCCCTCATCAAATGAGAAACATTGTATAATATTATATATGCTACCTGAAACACCAAATGAGAAATTGATAACAGCAATGACAAAATTTTAAACAGGATACACTTTGCACATGTTGTATTTGAAATTCAATAACATTTATAAGACATTTAGAAATGGATTCTTTCATTGAAGCCAAAATACTCTAGAACTCTTTCTCATCTCCTAATAACAGCACTGAGAACCTTCCATTGAACTTTGGGGCTTTGAGGAATTCGATTTGAAAACTACTGACCTAAAAGACTAAAGTCACAGTAGTTACCAAACTTCAGGGTGTATAAAATCAGTGGGAATCACTTGAAAATAAACATTCTGCTGCAGGGTATCTATAGACCAATATAGGAGGGAAATACTCAGCCAGATCTTAAAAATCAGGCCTAGTATTTCAAGAAAAATCTTGAGAAATCTTATTTTAAAAATTTATGGCTCAGCTTATCCTTCTGTTGGGGAAAAAAAGTTTTAAAGTTAATATTTGACCAGATGAAAGAAAATGTAGACAGCTGCAAAAATCACTAATTAGTTAAATTAGACTCTTCAAATGGTTAGTGAGTTCAACTTTAACTCTGCCAAATAGCGCCTGTTTCTCTTTATGAGTTCCAGGGAACTTACAGAACTATATTTTCTAATATTAAAAGAATTACTTTGAAAATATAATTAAGACATCTAAAGAAGAAAAAAAGCATTCTTTATTCTTCTTCCTGCCTCCTTTACTGTGCCTTACAAAAAAATATTGTTGACAGTTGGCTTGCCATCTGTTCCAGCAGGGCAAAAGTGTAAAAGTTGGTGATATTTTTCAATGAAAGCAGTCTGAAAATAACACATTATTTTCAGAAAATACGTCTGTTAATGTCTCATTAAAACATTAACCAACAAAGCAGCCAGTTTGAAAAGAATCCTCAAGATCGAGAAGGCATGTTTTTTACTTCCCAAGTTATCCAAAATTGTATTTTTCAGGTTAAAGCTCCTTTAATTTTAAATATATCATTGGGCAATGGGGAGGGATAATGGAGTGAGGAACAGCCTAACTTTCCAATTCTACATTGCTGACTTCATAGGCCAAGACCAAACTGGTCATTATTATTATGATGACAACACAGTGACAGCAGCAAGCTATAGTGGGATAAGTTCTTTGAGCTACTAAATGAGAAAATAGCAAATATATTGCAATTCCTTCCAAGTCTTTATGTAGCTAGCAGCTAGCATCATTTGTTTTAAGCCACCTGAAAAAAAAAATGATATAGTGAATCCACAAGACTCAACTTTCTAAATCTCTGTTTTCTCATCAGCACAATAGGAATAACCACGTGCACTTTTCTCTTCTTGGCAAACTGTGTTTCCATTCTTCTGAGAAGAGAGAGCCCCAAGAGCCCAGTGCATCAGCCTGACTGGTCAATCCAGTAGACTTTGATGAAAGTGCTTCTTACCTTCAGTCCTCGTATATGCTGCCAGGAGATCCACAACAAAAGTCATGTGATAGGACTTTGCTCAACTGGCAAAGCATGTCAGGATGGAACTTATTCAAATACGTAACAGTGAAATAGACACTGAGAAGACTCTCAAAAGATATTATTATGTGGCCCATCTCACCAATTTCTTCCCATAATTAACCGTTAATTCTGCATTTTTAGTTATTTAAGATAATGTTAGTATCAGGTTATTGACATGGTAGGACTTTGAGAAAAAAATTTATTCTTACTCCCAAGCTATCCCAGACTGATGCATTTGTCTAATTTTTCATGTCGTTGTATAACTTCTCCAGTAATCATTTTCTTTCTTACTCAGGTACATTTAAAAACTGTGGTCTCTAACCAGAATTCTTCACATATGGGTGAAAGTGTGTCTCTGCTTATTCTGTTATCCATGTCGACAGCGGAGAATTTTCATTGTAGGTCTCCAAGCAAGAATTTCAAAGTGGATCCCTTGACCTTACTTAATTATAAAATAAGTACATCTCTTCTTTTAAGTGCCTTCTTGACAAGCAGGGATTGTGCAGGAGGAAACCACACCCCTGAGAGCCACTGCTGCGTCTCTGGGAAGTCTCCACTTGTGTGAAGAACGTTATTACTCTGCCCTCCAAGATAATTCTCTCCAGAATGAATAAACTCAATTCCTTTCATCTTTCCTCTTGGGCTTTCTTTTCCATGCCTTTGTCATTTTCTCTTTTATGCCGCGTTCAGAAATAAAAGGAGCGTAATAGCAATCTCTACCTGAACAAGGCTAAATGTTACAAATGTACAATTAATACTATCCATGTCTCCATGCTAGGAGAAAAAAATAATTTAAAAATTTGATTTTTTTCCTTTCACAATATTCAAACTCAGACTATTTTATGTAAATTTTTATTTATATAATTTTTTGCCATAACTAAAAAAATAGCACTTGTGATGTTATTAATCTCTTGCAATGGATACTGCTGAAGGCAGAGCAAGACTGTTTAACTTCTGTCCCTGTTGACCTCCTGTGTGTAATCTAATGGCTTATTTACTGAGCAAAAACAGATCAGCTAGTCCTTATTAAAGCCTGTTAGAGCAACAAAAGTATAATACTATTTTTTAATCTGATAACAACAGAAGTGAGGAGAAGAAATCAAAATTTATTAGCCTGTTAATGTGTTAGCACTCCTTAATGTAGACAAAGTAAACTCTTCCAGCAAACTGAAGTTCAATGTTAACTTGACTCCCTATTTATATGTCTCCTTGGTACCTATAAAGACCTTGAGAAACTTGAAGGGATGGCTTGTGTTATTAAACAGAATAACGTCTAACACTGTAAATCTTGGTTCCAACCCTACATAGCCAAGACATGACGTGAGGATAAACTTAAATTTGTTTGCTCGTTCATTGTTCTACCCATATAGACCTGCTGCTCTGGCACAGCTGTGACTTTATTCCATGTTAATATTTTTACCTACATTCAAATGTCTTAAATCACTTAAAAGTTGTGTAGATACAGCTATAAGTACCTAGAAAAAGGCCCAAAGGACATACACAAACTTTTAACAATGGCCTCCTCTAAAATGGCCAGATCAATGATTTGCAGGGTTTTAGCTGTTCTATAGCCAGGCCTTCCCTCAGGTGAGATCCCTCTTGGTAGCACCCATGTGTAGTATCTTCTCCACAGGGAGAAGATTAAGTACAATTTCCTTGTATGGAGAGAGGCACAGAGAAATTAGAAAGAAACAGAATAGAGAATAAAGACAGTAATATTCTTTGAGTTATCTTGCAAGGCTAGCCTCCATAGGAGAAAATTTCTTTAGTGAAGCCTCATGGGAAAGCTCATTTAGGCAGATGTTTCTATGCTTCTGCTATGTTTGATTTGAATACTGCTTTAGATTATAAGCAGTTTGAAATCAGAAGATCTCAAACCACAGGTTAAAAATATTTGGAGAAATTGAAAAATTATTATAATAAATTACAAAGACTCCATTACAAAAAAAAAACCATTTCTTGGGTTGGATGGGCTCTGTTCCCTGGTTTTGTTAAAATCACACCATGTACACATAATTTACAGATAAAACTGTTATTAATTTACAGAATGACCGTGACTATGTCAGTTTCTTCTTGGTTCACAGCCTGCTTTATTACCATTAACTCAAAGGTGTCTTGTGACAAGAATGAAGAATGAATTGAGAGTGAATCAAGAATAAAGAAGTAGGATGCTTTATCTAGTTCCTTTGCACCTATTCTGTGAATATGTCATGTGCTTTAATCCTCTCTGCAATTGCATATGCTGATCCTTGTTACAGAACTCATATTCTAATTCCACTCATACTATAAGCCATAATTATATATAAAATAATTTATATAATATTAAATATAAATACATTATATATGTATTATAAAATTTTTCCCTCTAAATACTTATCTTTAGCTCTCAGTTTTTATATTCTTAGGAGTAGGAACCAGATATTACCTAGGCTTGCGTCTTCCGTAGAAGTAACAGGTGCCTGGTATTCATCAGGTGTTCAATTTGTGTTTGTTTTTATTAATGTCTTTATGTTATTACATAGTCCTGTCTATTCTCAATGGCCACTTTTTAAAGTAAATCACCAGAATTTAACACAGTTGATCATTTCTCCCTGTTTGGAATATTTACTTCATTTGACTTTCAGGATACAAACATTTCTTGTTTCCTGTTTTTCTCACTGGCCATTGTTTTTATTATCATCTAGTTTCTGCTCATTTCCTCAGCTTCCAAAAAACGGAGGACTGAAAATGTAATGTTTTCTATCTACATTCACTTCTTTGGGAATCCAATTCCATCTTATGGTATTAAATTCCTTCTATACCCTGATTAATATAGAAATTGTGTTTCTAGCTCAAACTTTATATCAAATTCAGATATTTATCATCTGAACTCTTTATCTTCATCTTGAAACATTCTTCTCCTATTTTCTTTTTGAGATCAATCACTGGCAGTTCTACTTTTCCAGTGTTCATGTTGGAAACCTTGTGATGAGCCCAGCCTTCTCATGTTATTCACAGTGTGCTAGTGACCCATCATCAAACCCCATCAGCTCACCTCTTTTCTCATCTGATTTAAAGACCATAATGTTTAATATAGATTATTGAAATAATGCCCTAACTTGTCTTTGTGTCTCTGTCCTTGTCCCCATTCAGTCTATTCTCAGCACAGTAGTCGGAGTGATCCTTTTAAAACATAAGCCAGATTAGATCACTCTTCATCTCAACACCCTTTAATGAACTCTCTTAATCCAGAAAAAAAGCCAAAGGTCTACAAGAACCTGCAGAGTCTGACCTCAGACCTCATCTCCTACCATTTTTCTCACTCACTTCCCCTCCAATCTTACTGGCTTCTTTTCCAGACAAGCTCCCATCTCAGGGTCTTGGCATTGTATTTTTCCATTTTCCTGGGATATTCTTTTCCTAGATGCACATAAGCTCTTTCCCTTTCCTTTTTTTCCCCATCCTAGACATCATCACCGAAAATATTTATCATTTTCTATCTCTCCCTGATACCACACAAAGATAGAAGGTTTTGTTGGCATTGTCTTATTTATTACAAATAAATATTGATATTTATTATCCTTAGCACCTAGCATATCATGTGACAAATGGAAGGCACTCAAATAAACATTTCTTGAGTAAAAGAATAAGTGAGTAAATAAATTAAACCACATAATTTCTCACTTCCTCTTTTCTAATGTTTCTAATGTCAGTCATTAAGATATAATCTACACTGTCCTCCAAATATGCTCAAACAACCACTTTGAAAGATAAGGAATGAATGCATTGGCCTCTTTGTAATTTAAAGTATTCTTTTTCAAAATCTTAGAGCAGGTAAATGCATAGATGATAGTTGAAATATATCATGGATTATGTGGCTATATGCATTGATGTAAATCTATATTTTCACACATGTGAAATTGTCCACGATATTATTTATTAGGGGAAAAACAGTAATTATAAAGGATTATATACAGCCAGTTTCCTTTGAAGAATGGAGTGTGAAGGAGGTAGGAAATAAAATATTTGAAAAATATAAACTAACACGTTATCAGAAGTTATCTCTGGAGAGTCATTTTCTTACTCCTTCCACCCCCATGCTTTATACATTTTGGAATGAAGCCATGTTAATCAGAAAAAAATGGAAAAATTAAAGCTTAATACTGAAAAGATCATGACATCCTCTGTCTGAGCTATTGTCATCCTTAATTAAAGCAATATTCAAAGGGATAATTAGTTGAACAAGGCTTTATTTTTAAAATAAACCAGAATAGACTCTGTTTTTACTGTTCTTCCTTTAGAATTCATGTTGGAATCTCACCTTACCCCACCTACACATTTTCTTCTGCTTTTTTGCTTTCAGTGGAAAAGGTCAGAAATTGGTACAGAGTTATTTAGAGATATGAGAGTTAAGAAATTTACTCTTTCTCTTTATCTAATTCATTGCTATAGAGATGGTTATGTTTCTCTTTAGTTTCATAATTTCCCCAATTCAAAGAAAAAAAACTCTAAAGAAAGAAAAAAAAACTCTAAAAAACAGAAAAAACTGCTAACAGCTTTCTGAAAGACATGTTTTTTTAAACCTCAATACTTGTCAAAGCAGAGCCTGATTGTGCTAGAGAAATAATTCATCTCTGAATAATTTTGAGAAACACTTTTGCTTTAATAGTCATAAAGAATACAACTACTGTCTGTTTCACTCAAAGAAAGATTTGTTTATAATTTGGTTTTCATTATAAAACGATGTGAAATTGAAGTTTTCACTGTTTATATTTAATTGTCGTTAGCACAAATCTCAATTAACTAATAAATACTTCTGGGTAGCATATTTTTTCCCTTTTCAGCATTTCTCTATAAAATTTACTTTCATTGCCTCTCCGTACTTTTCCATCACAATTTAAACATGTTATTTTAACATCAATAAGAAATTATTTTTTAAGTGATTTTACTTGCCTGGCCACATTTTGTCTTTCTTGAAGAGCAGAGGAATTTGCTTCACTTTGCCGTTCCTCACTTGTATCTGTTTGGACTGGTTAGCTAGGTAATAAAGAAGACCAGATATCACAGGCTTAAGATCAAGAATTATAATATATTTTGAACATATATTAATATATTAATTTATACATATAATATATACTTATAAATGTATATAATATATATTTATATATGTATATTACACACAAACACACACACATACATCTCCCTCTCTCAGCTACAACTCTGACAAGTTGCCTTCCCTCTAATACCTAATCTGGTGATCATTCTTTGTCTGGTTAAACTTGTGATAGAGGAAGCATGGTAAACCACTGGCTGGTTTTTAAAATTTCTGCCTGGAAATGACACACATCATAGGGGCTTACATTCCATCCAGATTTAACAAGATGGGATGTATAATACCATCACAGAAAGGCACAACAAATTTTAATTGTCTTACAATCCACCCTGTCTTTTTTTTTAACCTACCTTGCCACTTTATCCCCAGAGTTTATCATGTGGATAGATAGATAGGTATCAGAATGTTTTTTCGAAGATAAAATTTTTAATGTAAACAGCATAGTATATCTGAGCACTAAAATAGATGAACAAAATAAAAGAGAAGTTAAGGTTTACAAAAAGTAAGTCAGAGAGGAAGTAAATTGGAGAGGAGGTGAGTTTGGAGTAGGATTTTTAAGGAAAAATCAACAGGTCATGATATAAAGGGTCACGTGCAAATTCAAGGAAAACCAAAGCACGAGAAGGAGGCCAAGAGTGCTGAGTTTCAGGACACGTGACTCTTTGGGTCATGATAATTAGATCATGGAGATGGTTGATAAAGGAAATGGGACTTGTGAGGACTCAAAGATGAGTAGCAGATTTCATATGCAAAGAAAATGGAACCACACTATTTTGCCTAATGCATTGACATAAATTTAGAATAACACTGTGATGTAGGCGTCTAGCGTTGGGTGAATCGGGGCAGTGGAGTCGAGGTGTTCATTAAGCACTCTCATGACCTCTGACAGCTGTGTATGTGTGTGCATGGATATGCTTCTGTGTGTGTGGTGTCTATTTATTTGGGATTTTGTGGTAGATAACTGCCACCAAGTGACAGACATGACTATAAAAATACTGGATCTGTCCAGGTTAAAAGTTTCAAGAAACAGGAACTAACTCTGGATAAGTTAAACCTCAAATGAATTTTTAGAAATAATTTGGGCAGCTCAAATCAGCGGGAGGGATGGAAAACAGGTTTGAGGGAAAGCAGCTAGTAGAAGAAACCAACACTACATCTCAAACATGATTTGATGTGGAAAATTCTTCTTCCCTTACAACCTCCACTAGAAAACAGCCACCTAAGCCCATGGTTTTTGGCTGCATTTAGCTCCTGAAACAAAGATCAACATGTATGCATCTGAGAGCTGAGCCTATGCCTATTTATAGGAGTCCAGACAGATATGGCTAAAGAAAAAATGAAATAGGATTTTGGAGTTTTTGCATCAGGGGCATGGAGAATACACACAGATGGTGGCAAGAAAATCATGACCTTTGGAGCTGGAAAGAAAATTTAAAATCTTGTCTTGACATGTACTAGTTGTGTGGCCTTAGTCAAGTTAGTTCAGGAACCTCAGTAAATTGGAGATAATACTACTATGAAGATCTAATAAAATAGTTCACGTCAAGGGCCTATCATGCTCGTAGCATATGGCTGGTTCAACGAACATTACCTAGCTCCTGATTCTCAAAAAACACTTTGTGTTGAGAGCAATGAGGAATATCAGTAAAAAAATTCTCATGTTCCTGCATCTAATGCCCTGAATTCCTCAGAAGATGATGATTGGAAAATAACACTTTAAGAACATAAACAAAACTTGGAGGTAAGTTTTGCTTTTGATAAGGAATAGAATATTTTCTGGAACCTGGCTAGATTATATTGTACCCTGTTCTGGTTCAAGGTGCTGAAGACAGACTAATCCTTGAACAAACCTTAGTTTGTTCAAGCAGGTCCTTCAGGTTATACCCCTGGACTTCCTCTGCTTCACCACCATTTCTTTCCAAGTAGATCTGGATATTAGTCAGTTTTAACTTAATCCATCCTTTGAATCATTTCTGAAATGAAAAGAAAAGAAAAGGTAATTCAAGTTCAAAAGCATTAGGAGTATAAAAGGTCTATATCAAGGGCCCAAATTCAAACATCTTGATAAATATGAGTATCACCCCTGGGTAAGACAAGAGAAAGAGCAAGGTCTGAAGACTGTTTGATCTCCCTAAAGGTATTACCAGATAAAATGTTTAAAAACCTTCAGCCAAAGTAAAATATAAATGAAGGCAGATAACCCCTGGCTTGTATTAGGCATTTCTTACCTTCTGTTCATCCTCTTGCCTCTGGCTCCAGGCAAAAGTCTCGTGGCTTGAACTTAAGCAGATCTATATTTCCTCTATCATTTAAATGAGGTTACACAGGATATCATTTGAAAACTAGGTTTTATACCTAAAAAGGAGATCTTGATTGTGATACTCATGTGTAGACTTTCAGGATCCTCTCACCAGACAGTTATACATGAAGACCACACTTTACTATTTCCTAAGCACTTTCACATATACTCTTTCATACGATCCTTTCAAAAACCTAATGAGGAGAGATACCACTTTAGTATCTGTGATCAAGAATGTGGGGGTACTTATCATTTTGATTCAACAGAATAAAGTTGTACAATTTTTTTGGAATCTGAAAGGAAAGACTAATATTTTCTCCACAGTCAGAGATTTTTCTTAAGTCTCTAAATGGGCCCGTTCTTCCTGGAAAAGAAGGTATTTGAGGTTGAGAAAATAAAATCTGAAGTCAAAGTGTTTTGGAGACACAAGCCTTGACCAAGGCCTTAGCGATCATCACATTCCTGGTTAGTAAAATTCATTGGAATTCTTGGCTCACTATACTGTAATCCATAACTTAGGTGTATTCTAGTAAATAGAGGTGCTGCCATATGGCTCTTCTGCTTTCCACTCTTCTTACCAGATCCCCCAGCATGGAAAGAATTCTAAGAATTATATATAATTGGAAAGAATCATGGGAACCTGATATTAAAAGAGATAATGATAAATCATGAATCTGTGTTTTCTTGTTATGTCTTAATGTACCAGAAAGAATCATGTCTCTAGAATTGGCCATTTCATTCTCAATTGTACCAATTATTTAAAAGTGTCATTTATATACAAACCCTGAAGCTACATCAGTGCAGCTGGAACTTAATTTAATCCATTTACTCATTTGTTTAATTAACATTCAGTGAACACTTAAGATGTCTGCCCTTACTGCAGGTGTTCCGAAGTAATCAAATTGGGACTCTCCAACGAATCCCAGAAAATCTGGACAACACAAGCAACAAAGCATTTGATAATGCGTCATCAAATATGTCATGGCCACATGCAGTAATTTAATATTCGACACGAACTACTGTTCACAAAAAGTAGAGAAAACAATTTTTGCTCTTAAGAATCACACCCATTGGGAAAATGCATGCATTGGTTTATGTAGGATTACTTCAGCAATTGAGGGATTATGCACACACATACACACAACACACACACATTAGAATATTGCTATTTATGACATTACCAGTTATCACTGATACAGGAGCAGGACAGGAAGTGCTGGGTAGAGAAAAGTGGGGTCCCTGGTGACGGCTCCATGCTTGGGCCTGTGCCCATGGACCTAGGTGAGGAAAGGTACTCGTGTTTTTGTGCCCAAATGTTACATTTTCCAAGACCACTCTGGCCCATCACACCCTCCATCCTGGCCTATAAAAACCCCTAGACCCTAACAGGCACAGACCCAAGTGGCTGGATGTCAAGAGGAACACACCCACAGAAGAACACACAGGCAGACAGACACCAGCAGACTCTGGCAGGCCATCCACGGATGTGGAGTTTGGCCAAGGGCAGTGGGAGCCCGGTCTGAGTGACCTGACTCCAGGGGAAGAACAACTCCATCCACTTTCTGGTTCCCATCACCCTTCTGGTTCCCATCCACCTGCTGAGAGCTACCTCCACCATTCAATCAAACCTTTTTACTCATTCTCCAAGCCATGTGATCCAATTTTTCTGGTACACTAAGGCAGGAACCTGGGATACAGAAAGCACTCTGTTCCTGCAATAAGGCAGAGGATCTAATTAAGCTGATTAACACAAGCCACCTGCAGACAGCAAAACTGAAAGAGCACATTGTAACGCACACCCACCAGGGCTTTCGGAGCTGAAAACACTCAACCCTAGACACTGCTGTGGGGTCAGCGCTCCCCACAACCTGCCCGTCTGCATGTTCTCCTTAGGGTTATGAAAATCAGGGCACCAAAGAAGCAAGCCACACACCCATTGCACACCCTGAGAGGGGGATAAGGGAACTTTTTCCATTTTAACATCATATGGAGTAAATTTGTTATCTCCCTCTGCCCCAATTTTCTCACCATCTGGTATGGCCAAGATGAGCTACTTTTTTCGGTAAGAAATAGGATAACGTATGCAAAACATCTAGCACAATGCTGGCATGAAATAACTATTCAGTAATGCTTGATGTCATCATGGTCTTGGTGGTGGTGATGATGATAATTGTCTCACGCATCCGTGTGAGGAGACCACCAAGCAGGCTTTGTGTCAGCAAGAAGTCTGTTTACTTCACCTGGGTGCAGGTGGGCTGAGTCCGAAAAAGGAGTCAGCAAAGGGTGGTGGATTATCATTAGTTCTTATAGGTTTTGGGATAGGTGGTGGAGTTAGGAGCAATGTTTTGATGTTTTGCGGGCAGGGGGTGGATCTCATGAAGTACATTCTCAAGGGTGGGGAGAATTACAAAGAACCTTCTTAAGGGTGGGGGAGATTACAAAGTACATTGATCAGTTAGGGTGGGGCAGAAACAAATCACAATGGTGGAATGTCATATTTTCACTTCTTTTGTGGATCTTCAGTTGCTTCAGGCCATCTGGATGTATATGTGCACGTCACAGGGGATATGATGGCTTAGCTTGAGCTCAGAGGACTGACAATCATGATCATGATATTCCTATGATTGCATTTATTTTATATAGTGGTGGAGAAAAAGGAGGAATGAGATATCAACTACTCAATAACACCAAAATAATTTTATCTACCAAGTTTTCATCAAAGATAACCTACAACTTGGAATCTAGTTTAGAGGTGTTTTGATTACATGGTAGTAGGTTAGTGAAAAGGAGTGTTGGTCTTGATAGCTTTGGAAGCCCTGGCAAGGGTCATAGCATTGCTTTTCTAGCCAAGCAATAAGAGATCTTCACAAAATGGACAAGGAAGAAATAGGTATATGGCACACATGCATATACACACACATCATATTATATGTATTGTATAATATATATTTAGCAATTATGTTAATTGCTTTTCATTGTGCACTTACTATGGACCAGGAACTGCACTAAATATGTTGTATGCATATTTGCAATTAATCCTTACAATAATCCTATGGGGTTAACTCTATGGGGCAGTTATTATCTCCACTTTACAGATAGAAAAATAGAGCTCAGAGATATTAAATTAATTTCCTGTCTTAGCTGGTAATTTGAGAAGGTAGTATTTTAAGGCAATTAGTCTGGCTCAGAGACAAACTCATAATAATTAATGCTATCTTGTGCTTTTTAAAAGTGTTTACTGTGTTTCAAGTCTGTGTTTAAAACCTGACTCTTCTGCTGCTTCTCTTCCGTTTCTTGAGCAATTATTTAAACTCTGAGCCTCAGTTTTCTCAGCTAGAAATGGGTATGCTGATAATATCTACTTTAAAAAATAAGGATTCTATGAAGTCACATTCATAAAAGCAGCTAATGTCGTGGTTTGCAGTTAACATACGTGACAATACATAATACATATCTCTAAATTGAGATATACTAGTTGAACAAATTTCTTTCCTTGATGCAGGTAATTTGAAAAGGAATCTGTGCTGGCAGAACAAAACAAAGCAGCCTACAGCTGCAAAACAAATGAAGACCTCCTTATCATATCCCTAGTGCCTCAGGTTGAGCCATAAAAATGGGAAAAGTTAATAACATCATGTAGAGATTTCTGTATGGGAGGAATTATTTTAAGTGATTTGATTTTATTTTATTTATTTTTATTTTTATCTTTTTTTTTTTTTTTTTTTTTTTGAAACGGAGTTTCACTCTGTTGCCAGGCTGGAATGCAGTGGCTCTATCTCAGCTCACTGCAACCTCCACCTCCAGGGTTCAAGCAATTCTCCTGCCTCAGCCTCCCAAGTAGCTGGGACTATAGGTGTGTGCCATCATGCCCAGCTAATTTTTTTTTTTTTTTTTTTTTTGTATTTTTGGTAGAGACGAGGTTTCATCATGTTGGCCAGGATGTTTTCGATCTCTTGACTTCATGATCTGCCCACCTCACCCTCCCAAAGTGCTGGGGTTACACGCGTGAGCCACTGTGCCCCGCCTTTTATCTTTTTTTAAGATGGAGTCTTGCTCTGTCACTCAGGCTGGAGTGCAGTTGCACGATCTCGGCTCACTGCACCCTCCGCCTCCCGGGCTCAAGCGATTCTCCTGCCTCAGCCTCCCTAGTAGCTGGGATTACAGTCACCCACCACCTCGCCTGGCTAATTTTATACTTTTATTAGAGACAGGGTTTCACCATGTTGGCCAGATGGTCTTGAACTCCTGACCTCAGGTGATCTGCCTGCCTCGGCCTCCCAAGGTGCTGGTATTACAGGCGTGAGCCACTGCGCCTGGCCCTTTTAAGTGCTTTTAAATACAGTAATTTGTTTAATTATCTTATACATATTAGAGGTACATAACCACTTTATAGGTTAGGGAACACAGGCACAGAGACATGAACTAATTCAAACTTGGGTTGTCACAGTCAGAGTCCTCACTTCTAACCATTATGCAGTCCTCCCCTGAGAGTCTCTGTGGGAAAAGCACCTGATGTTCAACTTCGGATCAGAAGATCTTACATCCCATCTTCTTGCCTACTCCAATAAAGGCCAGTCCTGGATCAACCCTCTAACAAATATCTATGAGCTACTTGATATATTCGCTTTCATAATCAATGAAGAAAAAAGATATGATTATAAATTTCCTGTATCTTCTCTTTTTACTTATTCTTCTCCCTTTTCTATTTTTCCCTAAAACACTTTGTAATAAAGAACAAAGGAGTCATTTCCTCTTAGACCTTCCCCTATAAATTCTTTCTAAGGATGAGCATCTCTACTATTTGAATTCCTTTTGTAGAGCGTCATTTTCACAAGGGCACCTCTGGTATGTCTGGAAACGTAGAGAACTCTTATGCAGGGATGAACAGGGGAGCTGGTATAGATATATCCGAGCATTGAGAAGGAGATATGACCCACAGCAGAGGCCCTGAGGAATATGAAGCTAGAAATTATGCCTATTTGGGTTGAAATATTTTTGTCATATTCCACAAAACAAACGCCAGAAATAGAAACCCATGTATTTTTCCATTTGTAAAAATACAACTCAGAGTTATTTTTTCCTCCCAGGAGATGAATGTGTTAGGTTAGCATGAGGAAGGAGAGGCCTGGGGTGGAAGAAGGGTTCTGAGCAGTCACTGAGCCTCCTTGTAGAGGGAGACACAGTGTTGGGGACCTGCCTCTGATCTTGCTCATGGTTTGTGGAATCACAAAGCCCACGATTTGTCTTATTCCTTCACTGTCTTCCCTGTTTTGGCCAGCCACCCCATGGCTGCTCCTCGGATGCCCTCTCCTGCGAGCTGACTTTCACACTCTCCACCAGCCTGTTTTCAGAACCTGGTGTGTGTGGAGCTGCTTTTCCCACAGGGGTTTCGCACAGGCTGCTCATTCTGCTTACAATGCTCGGTCATCACATGTCACCAGCAAGCTCCTGCCGATTCTTCGGATGTCCGCTTGGAACTCACTTGCTCAGACCAGCCTTTCCAGATTTCCCTGACTCAGCCAAATCCCCTCAACTTAGGTTCATTGCACCAGTGTGGCTCTCCTTTGTGGCAATTTTTAAAGATAAAAATGTGTACTCTTGGATGCATTATTTAATTAACTGCTATGTCCTCTGCTAGTCTCTAAAGTCCTTCTAGAGGAAAGATTGTTTTTACTGACTGCTGCAGCCCTAGTACCTAGAAGAATATCCAACCCATGTGTATTCAACAAATATTTGTTGACAGAATTAATATAAATTGGCTACTCGCTATGATTCCTTGGCGTGCTTTTGGTTTTCTGTTCCAGGCATTTCTTTCTCTTTGTTCCCTCTATAAAAGAAAGTTTTAAAAGTGTGATTTGCGTGTTTTAATCTTGAAGCTTCTCAGTTGTATATATAACAATAAAGATGTTTAAATTTTTATGTTGTGTTTATGCTAGGCATCATTCATAGTATGTATATTAATTCATTCAATATTCATGACAATTCTGTGTGGTAGGATCCATTATAAGACATATAAATATTTTGTTACTTGAACTCTGAAATGTAAGCTCTGTTTCACAAATGAGACTATGTAATGAAAGGTAATGAGAGGTTTAGCAACTTGCTTGAGAAAGCTGATGCTAATAACGATGGAGCAAACCAGGTGGGGTCGCGCCAAAGCCCATGCTGTCGGCCATGGTGTCATCTTGCCATCCCACAGTAGTCACACATCTGGCCTGTTTTAGCATTTCTCAAATCAGGTACAGCCATCCCAGTAGATTTCAGGCAAGGCACATCTGGTGTTTATCTTAAACATGGTGCGACCCACTTGACCATCATTATTTGGCAGAAAAATGTGAAATTGCCTTTAAAATAAAATAAGCTGTACTATAGTAAACAAGGATATATCCCATAGTAGATTGCAAAATGTATCTAAAGTTTAAGATAAAATCTAAGACTTCTCATTGCTCTTCAGTTACGGTGTCTCATATTTTCTGAGCTCCTTACTTTGTGGTCAGGCATACATGAAAGGAAAATTTGAAACAGCACTGAGTGTTATGGATATCTCTTGTTTTCACATACATTCTTTTGAATACTTAAAAACTGGGACAAGTAACTTAGAAGGAGAAGTGCTGCTACTATAGCTCTTGTGAGCTGACTGTTCAGATTGTCAGTCGGGCTAGAGTTGATCAGACTAAGAAAATAAGTTAATGTTTAAACTAACAGACATGGGCCTATTTGTCCTTGGTCATTTGAAAGTCTGTAGGGTCCCCCAAGTTGCCCTTACTTTTTTTCTTTGTAATGACGAAGAAACACAGAGTGCCTTGACTGCTTTGTGTCTGGGCCAACTGTATGTATTTTCTTTCATGCTTGAACCCAAGCTGGGACCCTGAACATTTCCAGGCACTGATAAGCTTATTTAATTGTTGCTTGAAACACTAAAAGATCCAACATGTTGCTATACACATTAAAACTAGCCCCAGCCCTAAACCAAATTCCTTAAATCCCCATATGTGCTCCATAACCTAACCTCCTTTTTGCAGACATATCTAGATCTCTTTTCTCACTATTTGTTTCAAGGACTGCTGTAGTACTCTGTATGTAAGTTCCTTTAATAAACTGTTTGGACTGATCACCCTGGTATTTAGCGTTTCTTTCTTTGGAATCCCAATGGGCCTCATCTTGGGATGGTTTGGGAAAGTCTCTTGTGGTAACTCTCCTGCTACCATTTTTAGGATGTCTCCAGCTGTGGGTTCATTCAGATGGAACACAGATGAAACAAAAACTGTTCAGATCTTTGATGCAAAGGCTTCTGTATGAGCAGATGGTGAAAAATAAAAATGATTCCAGTCTGCAGAATAGTTTATATTAGAGACCAAATTCAGGCTTCTTTGTTTCAGATCACAAATCTGCCTCTCACTGGCGGGGTGTGCATGGTCAAATTACTTATACTGGTCTTCATCTCCTTATCTGCACTGTGGGAGGAGGATGAAGTAACCACTAAGCTTCAGTGAAGAGTCAATGTAATAGTGCAGGTACATGTTTGGCACAATTCTGGACACTTAGTAAATGCTTGATAAATATGATTTGCCTTCAACTTTCATCATCTATTAGAGCATATATGATTATGCTTTTAGACAGCTGGTTCTCTTTAATGTGACCAAGTACACTGGAAACAATATCTTTCACAGAATTCGTTGCTGTAGCTGACAATTATTACTGTCAGTTTGTTTGATGCTTTCTGGTTTGAGAATATTTCTTTTTATCACTATCCCTATAATTTCACCCAGGCATTTGTTTAGCTCATACAGAACTAGTGCAACTGATTTTTCCTAGTCCCTTCTCTCACTCTAAATAACTTATCAATCCTACATTTTACTACCTAATTAGTCATCTTATAACTTTGCTTGTATTTGAGAACTTGCTTGCTAGAAGACTTTGATGTTGTACCCAACTACAAATTAAAGCCTTAACACCTCAGCCTGACATTGAATCTTCTGTGATCTACCCCACTTTTGCCTTTCTGAACTCTTATAATATCAGTACCATTCAGTGCCCTCCATGCTGGCCAGTTGACCCTGCATGTGACAAACTCATTCTTATTTCTATGTCTTGACACATACCCTACTCATGGAATGTTATCGTTCTGTAAACTGCTAAGCCATAACCACCCTCCTATTAAAACCTCAACAAATTCCCCCCCTAGAAACTTGCTTTGCTTTCCTCCACCATGGTAAGATTCCCATGAGCAGCATTTTTATTTCCCTAGTGCTGCTAATTACTTTTAATTAACCTGAGGAGCCCACATCTTGATTCCAAAACATTCACGCTTCTTTCTATTATCCATAACCCTTTCACATATAACAGTCCCTCAAGAAATATTTTTGGCTGTTGAATAAACAAATGAGTAAGAAACACCCGGTGGCTTTTCCTTATCAGTAACTTTCATTTACCTAAGGCAGTGGCAGTGTTTAGAAAGAGTGGCAGGAGGAATCAGGAGTTTTCAAATTATTTCCCCGACATTGGTTTTGTTTCTGTAAACGTGGAAATTACCAAAGCTCTCAGAATTTTGGTTTGCATAGTTCAGCAGATGGCCCAGGTTACAGAGCAGTAGTGTTCTGCATTCATTCATTTGAAATAAACTAATTCATGGTTTTGTTCATTCCTTTCAAAACTATCAGTTGGGTTCCTCCCATGTGCCATGCCATTCACTGTGCCAGTTGTTGGAGATACAAAAGTATAAATGATATAACTGTCCCAGGGTTTCAGAATATAATGGAGTTAAGGGGCTCAAACATTTCTCTGGCGTTGGGACCTGGTACAGCATTAGAGTCTTCCAAACCTAGCCTCAGAGTGACTGCGACATAATTGATTAACCTAGTGGGTGGGAGATACTATGAGCAATTATTGGAAAGGAGGAGCTATTCCAGGATCCGGCTGTGGATCCCCAGCATCACCACACAGGCTTCCTCCAAAGCAGAACAAAAGCATAGTTAGTTCTCTTCCCCTACCTTCTCCAAATCAATGCCTGCAGATGGCAGACTCCCAAGGGAAGTGTTCAGGTCTGCATTCAGGAGGATAGCCCACTTTTGGTCCTTTCAGTTTAATCTGAATAGTACTCCACCCACTGCTAGAAAACTGTCTTTTCTGATGTTAGAAAGGAAACATGCAGATTTGATCTGCACACCTAACATTCTGTCACTATCAACAACTAAAGGGACAGTGAGAAGGCAAGAATGTGGCAGGAAGGAGAGCATTTCACCTCTTTGTGAAGCTCAGAGTAGCAGATCCCTGTCTCCAGGCTACCTCCCTGAGCCTCAGGGACAAATGACAATGTTGTAAAAGCCTGTGTGTGATCCACTGTACCTAAACCACTCCTCTGTCAGCTCCCTTGGGTTTGACACTCTCTTTGTCTTCCTGACAACTCCCTTTTCTGGCCTATACACCAAGGGAACTTCTCCTTTCTAAAACTAGGAAATTCAGACAAAGTAGGAAGTCAGGGTTACTTGATCAGGGACAGCAGCTTTTCCTCCAGAGGCCACAAGATGGACATGCAGTGACTGGAAGTTACATCTCCGAGTTACTGCTCCTGGATGGAATGTTTAATGGTCCTGCCCAGGAAATGTCAGGGCATCAGCTCAGCCTCTAGGCAGGAACAGACTCTTCTTGCCAAGAGTGCTTTTAGTTCCACTTCCACCCCCAGAGCAAGCATGACAAACTGATCAAGGCAGATAGAATACTGCTGCCAGAGCAATTATGGGCTCCTGGGGTCCAGGACAGAATGAGGCAGAAAGGCAACACCACACTGGCATTTCCATTAGCAGAGTCAGATGGTGTCTGGCAGAACTGAATCAGGGGAAACATGGTCTTTCAGAAGAATCAAGTGACAAAGACAATACTTAGAGACTGCATTTTGGGAACTTGCAGACTGAGACTTCGCTGTAGGTGTTCTGAAGTAGTAAGGGCCCTGAAGGGAGAAAATGATGTGATTGATGTTCTAGAGTAGATAGCAACAGCCTGTGTGACCCCTGGAAGAGGATCGAGAGGCTAACCCCATGGGATTCATACTGAGAAAGGATTATTATCAGCCTAAAAATGAGGAGGCCAAGATGGATGTTAAAAACCCACCAATTTTTAGATACAAGAGCATTGGTAGAACCAATGGTATTCCATGACCACTAGGGAGTATGTGTTCGGACATTCTCAGAAAAGTTATTGATCATTTTCATAAAGTCCTAAGCTAAAGAACAACTCTTGAGCTACACAGAACTATTAAAGGCATGTCTAATGCCCAAGACTAGTGCCTGTATTAGACCAAAAATGCTCATTTAGACTATGAATTTAATTCTATCAGATATGCTTCAGATTACTTGTGTGCATGCAGTAGTTTGGAAAAGTGCCTTCCTGAATTATAAATATAAAACTGAAAGAGGATGAGAGTGAAGGTGACACTTAGAAACACATGGTTGGACTACTCAGCAATTTATTAATCTCCATTTTTTTCATCCCACCCAAGAAATCCGCCACCAAATATCAACATAAAATGCATAGCCAATCTTTTCATTTTTATTGCTTTAACACACATTTTAATTTTCAGTTGAACAAATTCTTAATGAGCTACAGAGTGACATGAGTTGAAATTAGAATAAAGTAAAATAATACTATATAACCAAAACAAACCCAGTGTTACATATGTGAAATAATGCAATTAAGAGCACAACTAAAAAAAATCATTGATTCAGTTAAACACAAAAGACATGCAGGGTCTCAAACAAGGAGTATTTGGGCTTCTATGTCAATGTCATAGGAAAGAGCTTTTTCTATTTCTGGATAAATATTTCATTTTTATTGATTGGCAAAAATACTTTAAGGATAAATATGGACCAGAAAGGCCTACAGTATTTTTGCCAAATTTTATCTATAGCCAAAGCACAAAACTGCTTTGAACTGGTCATTAATATAATGGGCAGTTCATTCAATCATATTCTGTCTCTGCAGAGCAGGGTGAAATGAACAAGCAAGATAGTCAGAAACACCTCAAACGCCACTAAACTTAAGTTCCCAAGATATTGCTGCAATAAACATGACTATTATGAATTGGTTACTTTTATTTCATCTCAGAAAGTCTTAGTTTAAATCTGCTTTCATCCTAAATTATAATGTGCATATTACCTTCAGAGAGGTCACTACATTTAAGCTGTCAAAGTTGTTGTTGTAATACGACATAAAGTAAATGATTTTTTTCCCCCAAGTTGCTATGAAACTAAAACCATAATCAAAATGGAAAACAGGGGCATCTGGAAATCTTTCTCTAGAAGTTTTAATTCATATTTAATCACCCAACTTGCCCAAGAAAATTTTGTTTTAAGCCTCAATTATTAGGTACTAAATTGGGCATAAAATATGTCTACTTCTGTTTTCAGGAACTTGTTAGTCACGGATATGGAGGAGAAATTATTATGCTACCATTTAGGTCTAAGGAAATTTTCTTTGGAGGGACTGTACCACATGAGAAAAATTTGCAAAATCAACAAATAGCACATCTTAACCCTGCAAGACAGTTGCTGAAATTCTCATATTTATATCCCTATGGACACAATGTATACTAACATGTAAAAATACAGCATTATAATGGTATAAGATTTGGCAAGCAATGGAACATGATTTTTATAGTAGTTTAAAATTAATTTTATGTTTAAATATTCAGGAAGGAGGATAGTTCTGTTTAACTGAGAGCAGGGGCTAGCATCTCTGACTTACTCCTTTGCTTTACTAATAAACACTCCACTACAAATCTGGTGTTAAAAGCCCAGGTCAAGGAAATCCCTTAGTAGAAGCTCAACTCTCAGTGAATACCACAGAGAGGTTCAGGTAATTTACACAGATGGGGAACTGATGTGACATACCTAAGGTTGGCCTGAGTCTGCAGAAGCTGGGCTGTCAGAATAGAAAAGCAAGATATCTACAGGCTTTTGAACTATTGATACAACTATTCAAAGGGGGCTTTAAATGTATAAGGAAGTGTCACAGACCTCCAACACCAAATAACCAGAACTAAAAATAACCATCCTTCTTGAAAATGCCAAGGAAATAAACTTTGGAACTGGGAATATTTCATTTGAAATGAAAACACAAGAACTACTCTGCTAATATTAAGTAGCTTTTGTACATGTTCTAAATTGAAGAAACATTTAGACATAATTGTTAGAAATCTGAGCCTTTTTGAAAGAGAATTTTCTCCTTGAGGGCTTTCCTTTCCTACAGTTGGGAATAGGCACCATCATGACTACCAGATACATAAAAGTGAAGATCCCCAATATACACATCCATTGCTCAAACTAGGAATGTGTGTATTTCTTATGTGGCTCCACCGTAAGAAATATCAGAAAGTCATTTAACTCTCCAAGGCCTGAGATTTGAAAGCCTATCCAGCAACATGGGCAAGAAGAGTCTAGCCTTCAGTCGACTCTAAAAAAGGCCATGTAATTTTAAAACACAAAGTTTACCTGTATTCAGGCACATACTATGCACACGTGTGACCTCCATAAAGAAGGAAAGATGTATTTGCTACAGTTTGGGTAAATTTCAAATACAGGGAAACTTTATCCTACTACAATAATCCTTGGCCAACACTCTGCTGCAATCTATAATTTTAAACACAGTCACATGTTAGCAGTAAAAGAGGAAAGGATTGGTGTTAACAAATGGTATTAACCAACCAATACTGAAGATGGGCTGAAACAGGCATTTCATTGAAGCTTTCTTCTCCATGGTAATAAAAGTAATTTGGCAAAGGTTGTCCTCTTATTTCAGATCACGTAAATAACTTACTTCCCATGTACCTGACACTCTACATTCAGTTAATAGAGGTGAGAATATTCAGCTAATTATATATCTGTCTTGAATGATGTAAAATATATATTAATATTTTAAAGCCAGTGAGACTTTGAGCAAGATTCTTATCCCATTTAACCCTCAGCTTCCTTGTCTGTGGAATGATATATATCCTATAGGGTTATTTGGAGGATTGAATAAGATAATAGTTAGCATTTAACACAGAGCTGGCACATGAGGGCAAGGATCACTATTTGTTTTGTTATATGGTGTATCCTAAGAACCTAGAACAGTGCCTGGAACATCACAGTTGTTTAACAAATAGCTGTTAAATATATGAACGTATGGTAACCCAGATTGGCTCTAATATTGGGAAGAATTTCACCTACCATCAGTCAGGAGAATGGCTGAATTTCTGTTTCTCAACTTGCAAACAATATTACTAAATCATGCTCAAAATATGTGTAGTTCATCCTTTTGCCTTCGACACGACTTCACCAAACCACCAAGACAAGTGTCTCATTCTATCCTTAATACTTTCCTCAGGAGGGCTGCCTAATCTTCATAAAACCAAAAAACTCTCCCCTCATCTATGAAAGCTAAATGCTTCTGCAACTACCCCTCTCAGACCCTTCCCTACCTCTGGCACCTTCTTATTTGTTGTGCCTTTAGACTACTCCGTATCGTCTCCATTTTTCTCCAACTTACCAAACTCATATTGAATATCAATCCATGTGTTTTGTTCCCACAAACCAGTGGGGACTGCTAGATGCCATAATGCAGCCAGCAGCCATAAAGCATCTCGTCTCAGAATAAAACTTATGGTCGGCCCCACAGCCCATCTCTTGCCTGCGGATGGGATTCTGGTCAGGTTGAGTTCCATTTGGAGACAGCTCTCTCAATTAACATTACTTTCTTTTAGAGTGTCCAGAAATGGATTCTATCTTGTCTGTTAGGGGGAAAATATTCACATGCAAGAAGACTAGTGTTTTAAACTATTCTTTATTTTGCTTTAATAGAATATATGTTTTTGTTCATATGAATTGGTTAAAAATGCCAAAAAGGTATTTAAAATTTTACTTCTTCTCTTTCTCTTTGAGATGACTAAGATAGCGTTAGTAGCCTCATTCAAAACATTTTTAACTACAACTAGTTTTAATAGCATCCATGTTTTCTTTCCTAATTAAAACCAAAATGCCAAAATAAAAACTCTCAAACTGCTATTGTTATTAGTCCTGGCTTATTTGTTTAGTGGTAAAATGGAAAATACTAATGCTGAACATATCATAATGGTATGGGAAAAGAGTCATAAAGAAAAAAATGGAATTTTCATATAAATAAAAACAGTAACATCTCAGGTGGCAGAAATTTTCCTACTTTACTTAAAAAGAATTATTAAAATAATATAAAATTATATTCTTTTTAACTGAAATATTTCTGGCTTTACAAACAGAAAAAATGAATATTTGATTCCTAAATATACAATAGGCAGGCTGTCTTGGCAAAAAATAGGCCAACAAAAGAAAGTACAGATTTCATTCAAATTCAGATTCTGGTGCCTGCTTTGCCAACCTAAAGAACTACTTACAATGAAAGTGAAAGAGGCTGTTTATTCTGCAATGAGTTCACAAGAGAATGGTGGATATCACCAGGAAAAGTCTCAGATCTTATTCCACTCATACTACCACTATACAAAAATCTGTAGCCATGGGAACCACAATCTCTAGGACAGAAATGAACATTTGATACCAAAATTTAAGAATGTTTTGGGGAATAGAAAGACTAAAGGAATAATGTTGCTGGAAATTAAAATTCATAATTTTGACTAAAACTCTGTAAAATTTATTAGTCAATTTATACCTGGGATAGAGATGAGAGACAGGAGAGAGATATTTTTGGTTCACAGAAGAGGAAAGGGCATTAATTGGAGTAATTTGCTGTGATGGGCAGTCCTGATTGCACTATTTTGGTAGGAAATTGTTAGCAATTAACAGAGGATACCTAGCCCAGAGGTGGGTGAGATGAGAACACCCTCAAAATGAAGGTTCAGGAAGCCGTTGAAGTCACTTACTCTGTTGTTACACATTAGGCTTTTCAGCCACTCATTATTTAATTTGAGGAGCATTAATTATTTGGTCTGAAGGCCCAAGTTGCGCACTTAATTGTATATTCACAATTTTAGCTTGAAATTGAAACCGACTGCCTTTGAAGCTAAAGGTGTTAAGAATGCCAGACTGCAAGAATGGGTGTCTCTGTGTAGCTATGGAGGACCTTATTCCCTGTACATAAGAGATTTTTATGGGGAACAAATATGTTATATTGATCTTATGTTAAAAGATTTCAAAGGCCAGAAGGCACACTTGTGAATGTGAAGGCTATATTGTCTTTTCTAATACATTTGCAATTTGCACTCATATAATAAATAATAAACAGAAAGGAATAATGAACAAATTAGCTTAGAAATTTAGTGTTTGAGTTTTTTCTTGACTCATTCAAGAACTATCCAGAAACTGACTTAGAAACATTTTACTTCAATAATTTTAATTTGTCATAAATTAAAGGGAATGATTTCTATTTCTCACTTTTTATATTTGATAGAAATCTTCAAATTTCTCTAATTAGAAGGCCATTTAGTGGATTATTATTTCGTTTTTTTTTAAATTTTCATTCTAATTCCAGTCTAACATCTGGCAGGGATACTGGTGGGTAACCAGGGATGGAACTGCTCCTGTGGGTGGTAAACACCCCTCTCCTCCCTCTCAAGGAACGTTTTTCCCTATGTAAATTAACACAAATTGATTTCGTTAAAAAGAAAGGTGAGTTCTTATTAGCAGGATCAAGCAAATGTATTATCAGAGGAAGCACTAATCTCTGTGATGAGACATCAAAAGGTACATAGGTGGATCACCAAATTATCACTCTCATTAAGAAATTTCTGGCAATCCTCTGCAGAAGAAATACCTAAATATAAATGTGTCATGCTGATTAGTTTTTAACATAATGGGGAGATTTATTCATATCTTGCTGCTAGTTTTTCTTGCATATAAGCATTTGTTTTATCAGCAGGTTTGAATCAAACTAAATCTTGAAATGCTGCCTACTACAGGAATTCACTCAGGTGGACAGATGCCTTTTTCAGCTCTATGCATCTTGTTTTTATGTCACTATCGATTACCACAGCAGATTAACTCCTAGGATATTCATTGAGTTAAAATTTTTATTGTTTTATTTAATTATAGTTTGCTTTGAGCTAAGCTGAAAATCTGCCTGGGTTAAAGAGGAGAACTTGTTCACATCTCACTTTGGGTAAAAAGTCATTTTTATCAAAGAGATGGAGGTTATTTGGTAATTGTATAATTTCAAGTTATTTCTGTTCTTTTGGTGTCCAATACTGCATGTTCTAAACTCCAACATGTGGAAAGATGATGTTGGGTCCGGTGGACATTAGATTTTCTAAATGAGATGCTTATGATTCTTGTGAATGTGGCTTTAGGAGCTAAGATACACAACTGCTAGTTTGGTGATTTCAAAAAAATTTTCTATACAGCTGGTAGTTTGGTGATTAAAAGAAAATTCCTCTCCCCACTAAATTATAAATTTATACTTCTATCTGGAAGAAGGATATACCACAGATGTCACTCGTGCAACATCTACACTTAGAGCAGAAAATGATGGCAGCATTTCAATAAAAGAAAATCTCTATTTGCCTCAATCATCTAGATAATTCTGAAAAACAGAGTCATCTGAATTCCCTAATTCCCTTCTTCACTGCCTTTTCTTCTGGGCAGTGCATTCTGTTCAGAATAGTTATTGTAGGCCAGTCTATGGTGCAAAACAGGGAGGAGTTTATTGCCTTCACCTCCTAGGAAGTTTTACACTGAGCTCAGGCAATCCAGCTACTTGGAAGATTGAAATAATTCATTACAAGAAATTTAACATTTCCTGCATAATTAATAATGACCTATTAAATAGATCCTTCTTTTCCCATACCATTATGCTTAAGATTCCACACATATCGTACTGTCAATCTTTATGCTTTTCTATGTTTCATGCATCCTTTTACCCAAACTGGTTCTCCTAATATCAACTGGTATTGTATGTGTAAATTTTTTTCTCATCAATCTAAGGTTACATCGTTGCTGAGACGCCTCTCATCAATGGCAATGTTTTAGAAGTAAAAAGGTACAATATAATACTATTATGATAATGTAGAATAGAAAATGTTTTTTAAAGTCTGTGAATCAGAACTCTATGAATGAGAAAAAATGAAAACAAAACTTATGGCCTCCAAAGAGTTTCTGTTAAGGACATTTTTGAAAGACAGAGAGAGGCAGGTCATCAGGGGAGAGAAAAAGAGAGAGAGAATGACAGAGAGAGGTACACTAGACTCTAAGACTATTATGAAGTCCATTATGAACTCAACTAGGAATGAACACAGTGACTGGAGTTGTAAAATGACCCCAGTGACTTTTATTTAAAAGAACGTTATTAAAATCACTCCAGCTTCATTGCCATTAACTGCTTCATAGTTCAATGGTACAGTTCATGCAGTTATATTTTACTCAACGTCAAAAGATTTTTCAAACTGCCATTTTCCTTTTAATTACAATTGCAAGCTGATAAAAATGTATTTTTATGTTTGTAAAAATAGGGTCATACAGAACTTACACTTCTGTTATTATTAATATAACTCACTTTGGGATATAGTTTGTTGTCTCATTTTCCCAATGGGTGATAACTCTTCTTTCACATATGTATTCGGATAGGCCTAACACTCAAAAGTACAGAACTCTCTAACACATTGGAAACCCAAAAGGTGAGTATGTGGCATCAGAACTCATTGTAACCTTTATAATGTTAAGAAAGCATTTTATTAATAAACAAGGTTGACCTTCAAAATCCAGCAAGTAGCCTAACTATTCAAATTTGATTAGTTTATAATGGATATTAGCCTAATAAGTTGACAATGAGTACAGCTATCTAGAGATTAAAAGGTGGTTTTTTTGCTATGGCAGGAATCATACATTTCTGCCTGGTTAGGTGCCAGGTTAGATCAGATAAAGAAAGCATGGAGATTAAATGGGAAAATATTTTATAAAAGTCTTTTGTTTCTATTAAAAAACCAAGTTAGGAGCTCATGTTAGTGTTTTAATTCAAGATAAGGATGATAAGTGTACATGAAGTATTACAGATAAACAGGACTCTCTGGCCTCTCCTGTGTTTATTTGGTAACGAATAGTAGATAATCTCTATGATGGGAAACGCTGAATGACACGTGATAATTTCATTCATTCAACAAGCAAATATTCCTTAACTATTAGGTGCTGACCATACAGAAATGACAGTGATATGATCCCAAATATATATTGCTTTTGTTGATTTAGCGCCCAATATTTTATGTTATTTGTGAGTTAAACACCAAAACTTAGTGAAATTACAGAACTTCTTAAGTGTAAAATAAAGCAGTGTGGTTAGGCAGGATTTTGTCATATAGGCACTATATGTAGAATAGTGGTTTCAGTAGATTTGTCTTCCTCTAAATTCACTCATGACTTGCAATGGATGGATTTTTTTCTTTGCTGAGCCTCGTCTGACAGCTGCACACGTTTCCTCTGGCTTCTCTCTTTTAATCAAGGGTTTTTTTGCAGGAGCCTTCATTCTCCACATCACAACTGGGTGCCGGGGCCCAGCAGGACTCTGGATTCGGATGATCTTGGTTGAGGCAATGTAAGACATTTTCACTGTTTGCACTACAGCATTCATTAAATTTTTGGCTGCTTGGATCAGGGATGTGACACTGTCCAACTGTAGGGAAAAAAGAGAAAAAAGAGCTATTATTCCAGGAGGTTTTGTTAATTATTGCCAAGCGTGGGCATGGTGGCATGTGCCCGTTGCCCCAGCTACTCAGGAGGCTGAGGAGGGAGGATCACTTGAGCCCAGGAGGCAAAGGTTGCAGTGAGCCAAGATGGCGTCACTGCACCGCAGCCTGGGTGACAGTGAAACCCCATATAAAAAAATAAATAAATAATAAAAATAAAAATAACTGAGCCTGATAGTCTATTAATGTCACAATAAGCTGCTCAATATTGTCTATGCCCAAACATAAATCAATAAGTTCTGCCTCATTTTTTTGTATCTAGATGGATAAGTGATTATGTTCAATTAACTCTTATGCTAATTATGTAATGTGTTTTGCAAATAACCCTAATACGCCAATTTAAATAGAATCCTGTTAAATATTATCCTGTATAAATCTTACTTTTATTATAGTGTCTCTTCTGTGCTTTGTGGTATTATATGGTTTCAGTTTAACAACGGTACAAATTGGACCAATTCTACAAATGTTTACGGATAAAGGACTTGCTCTTAAAAACATATCAATAGCCATTTACTACAAAAAGGTGGAGTTTAGCAACAATAAAATACATTTTCTGTTTCCTCATAAAATGTTAACATTTCGTCCATGTAAGTAGTTTGTATAGAATACCTGGATCTTTTCTCAAAAACACTAAATACCTATAAATCCTTGACAACTATGTCAATTTGGAATGTCTGCTAGCAAACCCTTGCCAAAACCCTATTGTAATTAGTGATAGCTAAGAGGAATATTCAAAAAGACATGGTACATATTCCTTCTCTTGCTTTTGGAAGTTTCTCACAGAGATTGTGTCAAAACACTAGAATGCTTTCTACTCGTAGGACACTAGTCTAACTCCCTATAGTTTGGATTCAAGACTGTTACCAGACATACGCCTTACATGAGGATTCTAAGCCTACGTGAACCTCACTTCCACTGGTGTGGATCTCACTTTCTTGCACCTGGTCTGTCACCTGGGAAAGCAGCTTCCCAATCACAGGGCAGTGTGAACTGCCATGCCAACTGCTTCTTCTGAGACTCCTGCTGAGAGAAAAACCTGATGCTGCTTGGAAAGATATATGGTCTGTCCAGTAACCTTTTTGGTAAATTGGTACCAAATGTAGCCTATGATCTTGAGTCTCAAGGTGTACCTGAATTCAAAGACCCCTGTTGGATGTTGGTCCTGCACAAAAGCAATTTTTGAAAGACAAATGTCAAGAGTTTGGTTCCAAGTGTCAGAAGAGCTTAAAATAATTGCTAATATCTATTATATGCTGTAGTATGCAGTTGACATAAAGTAACTCATAGCAACCCTATGAGGTAAGTACTCTTATTATCTTCATTTTATGGATGAAGAAACAAAGGAACTGGAAGGTCTGGTGACTTGCTCAAAGTAACACAGATATTAGATAGTAGGGCTGGAACTGGAACCAAGTAAGTCTGGTTCTACCTTGCGTTTTTTCTCATTACATAAACCTGCCTCCAAGAATATCCTACTTCCAATATGTGATTATTTTTCGATATCAAATAGTTAAATAAATTATACTAACCTTAACAGAGTGTCTAAAATTTTAAAGTTGACTAGCCAGCAACTCTGCTTTTAAGAAGCTTGCTCTTATTTTTGTAATGCATGTTGCTACCAGGAGCAATAGAGTATCTTATTTGCCAATGCATTTTGTTAGGATTGTGGTTTGAAAATTTATATACTAATTTCCAAGTTGTGTTTCTTTGGAAGAGCAAATAGAAGTACTCAGTCACCCTTATAGGCCCCAAACCATTTAAAGACATTTAGATTAAGACTATTTCATAACAAAACATTTTTAAATTTTAAAACCTGGGTCTCAATACACATATCAATAAGGCAAAGAAGAACCATAAACAAATCACATTATAGGTTCTAGGACATGGAAGTACATAACATTTATCTTTAAATCTTTTAAATGTGTCAGTATAAATACAATCCTGATTAACCAAACTTTTTTTTCTTATTCTCCAATAAAATTAAGTCAATTTGTTTGCTTGGTTTTGCAAAAATAACAGGATTTGATCCTAGGACTCCAGAGTTTCTTCTCAATGTAGTTATTTTTAAAGTTGTATTCGTTCATTTACACACTACTACAAAGATACTACCCGAGACTGGGTTATTTATAAAGGAAAGAGGTTTAATTGACTCACAGTTCTGCATGTCTGGCAGGGAGGCCTCAGGAAACTTACAATCATGGCAGAAGGGGAAGCAGACACATCTTACATGGCAACAGGAGAGAGACAGCAAACAAAAGCAGGGAAAACTGCCTTATAAAACCATCGATCTCATGAGAACTCACTATCACGAGAACAGCATGGGGGAAACTGCCTCCATGATCCAGTCACCTCCCTCCCTCAATATGTGGGGAATTACAGGTCGCTCCCTCACACTTGGGGATTACAATTGAAGATGAGATTTGGGTGGGGACACAAAGCCTAACCATATCAAAAGTAATCAGTTAAACTATTTGGAAATGAAGTTAGCATAGGCAATGTCAAAGGGCATATGTATATGTAATGGCAGATTACAACTGACAGCATAAACTATTTCTAAAAAGACTTAAGGATATTTGTAGTCTTTTTAACTTATAGGTGCCATTTGCACCTCAAGATTGACCTAATGGTAGTAGTTTTATGCCACAGTAAATGCTTAAATATATTTTCTGTAACCAAAATGCATTAACTTATTCAATGTTTTTATGATCTACTCTGAATGTCTCTTTTAAGAGCTAATTTTATCCCAATACTGGCTTAATACATTCTTTTGTTTCTGAACAGATTTTTAAAAGAACGGTTGGCATTGAGAGCATTCTCCCTTTTCAGATGCATTCAAAAATGCTAAACAGCCAGGGTGGCTTCACAGGCAAATCAGATAAGGAGCTTTGTTAAATCCAGGCAAAGTGGTGTTGCATCTCCAAATTGAAATTGTCAAGCTTCTAATTAAATTGAGAAGGTAGTTCATTCTTTGGATATGAAGAATCATTCCAATGGGCCACTGATATAATTGGCACAGTAGATTTGTCCTTTGTCAATGTTCCGTTAGAATGTGACAACAAAAGACAACAACTTAAGTTGAAAGGGGAGAAATCAATGCATGAAATAACTAAAAGAAAAGTAAATGTAACACTACAGAAAGGGCCATACATAAAAGGAAATATGACATTTATTCAGTTATAATCTTGTCCTGTCAAAAAGCATCTATAAGATGCTTTTTTTCCTAAAGCTAATTTTTTTCTGAAGGAGATACTCTAGGCCAGAAACATTTTATATCCCGTAAAAAGAAATAATCACAAACAATGCCAATTCAGGTGGCTACTCAGAATTCCTTTTACTTTTATTTAAAATGACCTATTATAAAAATATACATATTGGTAATAATCCTAATATTTAGCTATCCTTCAACCATGTTGACTTAAGGCAAATGCTTAGCTGAAGAACCAATTTTCCAAAATATTACAGCCCTAATTAAACAGATTCAGAAAAATTAGTATATTCTTTCCCATGTAGAGCCAGCAAGAGTGGGTTAGGTATGGCATGGTTCTCTCAACACCAGTGTTTCAACCTTAGCTTCCTCTTCTCAGCACCATCAATCAGGACACTGAGATCTGCCCTCTCCATAGCGGGCTGTATAATAATATTAAACCCTGCATCTTGATTATGCTTCAGGATCTATGAGCTAAGAGTAACAAAGCACCAGCCTCCATCCTTGATCCTACACTTATGTCTTTCTTGACCATAAGCAAGGAACAACTAGGCTGCGTGAAACTAAAAGACCAAATGACATTAGTTTTACAACCCATGCAGAGCTTCCAGACCACAGATATTTCCACGTACCTATAATTTTCAACTCTTTCAATCTCGATCATTCTACCATTTTGATAATATTTGGCAATATTTAATATTTCTTAGCTCACTTCTCTCTCTACTACAGATGTCTTGCAGAACAAAATTATCCATTTCCCTAACACTGAGCCAACAGGTGACTGTCTACCATTTTTAGAGAATCCCCTTGTATTAGTTTGTTCTCACGCTGCTAATAAAGACATACCTGAGACTGGGTAATTTATAAAGGAAAGAGGTTTAATTGACTCACAGTTTCACAGGGCTAGGGAGGCCTCACAATCATGTCTTACATGGCAATCAAGGCAAGAAGGAACAAAGTCATGTCTTACATGGTGGCAGGCAAGAGAGTGTGTGCAGAGGAACTGCCCTGTTATAAAACCATCAGATCCTGTGAGACTTATTCACCATCATGAGAACATCATGGGAAAAACCTGCCCCATGATTCAATTACCTCCCACTGGGTCCCTCCCATGACACATGGGGATTACTACAATTCAAGATGAGTTTTGGGTAGGGACACAAAGCCAAACCACAACACCCTCACTGAACAAATTAGTTTCTAGATAAATTAATGGTCCCCAACCTGAAACTAACAGAAAATGCATCTGTGTGTTTTTAGCTAATTCTTGTATCCATTCTACCCAAACACTAGTCTAAACTTCCACTTTCATCAAACCTCTAGCCCCTCATATTCCCACTTGTTCTGCAGATTACTTCACTTACAACAAATATGAAATAAGCAAACAGACAACAACAATAAAATCGAAACAGTAAAAATGAAACTGTCCCCAACTTCTATCTTTCATTCTTATCCATTTCTATTAAAATGAAAATTATCTGGTTCTCTTCCTCTCTACCTTCTTGCAGACTTTGCACATTTAATAACTTCTTTCTTCTAATATATCTTTTCTTTTTTTTGAGAAGGGGTCTCGCTCTGTTGTCCAGACTGGAGTGCATTGGTGTGATCTCAGCTTACTGCAACTTCCACCTCCTGAGTTCAAGCAATTCTCATGCCTCAGCTCCCCAAGTAGCTGGCATTACAGGTGCATGCCACCATGCCTGGCTAATTTTTCTGTTTTTAGTAGAGACGGGTTTTCACCATATTGGCTAGGTCAGTCCCCAACTCCTGACCTCAGGTCATCCGCCTTCCTTGGCCTCCCAAAGTGCTGGGATTACAGGCATAAGTCACTGCACTTGGCTCTTCTTGTAATATATCTTTATTCTATTCCTTTCTACTGACTTTTTCACTGTAGTATATAAGTGTTTATAAAACCATATCTTAAAACATAGCCAGACTTATTAAAAGGTTATCTATTATCCCTAAAACTATTTTCCTCACTTATCACTTCTTAAGCCATCTGATTCCTTTCATATAAATGCTTCCCCTTTATATATATGTATGTATACACATAATATATAAAATGACACATATATATCAAATATGTGATAGGATATATAATCAGACATCTTATATATTAATATGTAATGTATGCTAGATGTATTATATAATATATAATAGATACTAAATATATAATAGATTACATACATGTTAAATATATAACATATATGTGAAATTTTTCAATTGGTAACCTGCATAACTGTTTTCTTTCAATCAAATCACATTTATAAGATCAATTATTTCTCATTCTTGAATGCTTAATTACATATAAATATCACAGTTTATCCATTCTACTATTAATAGGCTTTTAGGTAGTTTGGAGCTACTTAAAATATATAAATATAAAATAAATAGGAACTTATGAATATTCTAGTATGTGTCTTTTGGTGAACAAATGTATACAATTTTATCAAGTATGTACCTGAGAGTGCCACTGTGGAATTATGAAAATGCATATATTCAGTTTTATTGGATAATTCCAGGGATTTCCAAAGTGCTTCTGCAAATTTATATTTCTAGCAACAATATATGAGTGTTCCAATTTTTTTTTTTTTTTTTGAGATGGAGTTTCACTCTTGTTGCCCAGGCTGGAGTGCAATGGTTCAATTTTGGCTCACTGCAACCTCTGCCTCCCGGGTTCAAGCGATTCTCCTGCCTCAGCCTACCAAGTAGCTGGGATTACAGGCATGTGCCACCACACCTGGCTAATTTTGTATTTTTAGTAGAGACAGGGTTTCTCCATGTTGGTCAGGCTCGTCTTGAACTCCCAACCTTAGGTGATCCGCCTGCCTTGGCCTCCCAAAGTGCTGGGATTACAGGCTTGAGTCTTCCAATTGTCACACATCTTCATCTACATTTTTTTTCCCATATTTTTCACATTAGGCATTTTTGCAAGTATGTAGAGATATTATATTGAGGTTTAATTGGCATCTCATTAATTACTAATGAAGCTCAGCATATTCTCCTATGGTTACAGCTTTGACTTGCACATACAGACATTGTTCAATTCAATTTTTAATAATCCTTATATATTTTTCTATAGTCTTTTAGATTTTCTATGTATGAAAGCATATCATCTATGAATAAAGACAGTTGTATCTTTACTTTTTCATTTTTTTTAATTTTTGTTCTGTATTATTCCACTAGACAGAAATGCCAGTATACAAGTGAGCATACAAGGTATTTTTGAATCATACTCTAACTCAGGGAGAATGATTTCAATATGTTTTCACTGATTTTTTAGTTAACTCACGTATTAAACGAGTCTTTAAAAATTTTTCTAGTAAATGAGGACTTACTAGTCTTCCTTTTACTATTGATTTCTAACCTAAAATACTATTGTGATTAAAGAATAAGCTCTGAATGATTTAAAACATTTTATATTTGTGGATGCTTTGTTTATGACGTATAATCAAATATCATATGCTTTAGGTACACTAGAAAGGAATGTGAATTCTAGTATTGTTACATCAGTGTTCTATTTATGACAACTGGTTTCCTTAAGCCTATTATCAGTCAAGATCCTTCCCACCCCAGGTATCAGGCATCCACAGATCTGCTATAGAGCACCACAGATTAGATGTATATTTTCTATAGTTGTATATAAATGGAATTCTATGGTATGTAATTTTTTGTGTGATGTTTCACATGGCATTACATGTGTAAGCTTCACGTATGTTGCTGCATGTACCAGTAGTTTATTTTATTTATTGCTGAGAAGTATTACATTTTATACATATACTGCAATTTGTTAATTCATTATCTTTGTGACTGGCATTTGGTTTGTTTATTTCATTTGCTATAATAAATAAAGTTGTTATGGCATTATTGTACAACTATTTTGTATTGTATGTTTTTATTTCTCTTGGGTAAATAACTAGAAGAAAAACTATGTTCTGTTGTTAAGTATGTTTCTAACTTCATAAGAAATTAACAAACTGTTGACCAAAGTTATTTTACCATTTTGAATTCCACCAGCAATGTATGAGCATTATAGTTATTCTGCATCCTCAGTCACACTTGGTATTTTGATATTTTGATTCTTTTTACATTTTAGGAATTTTGATGAGCATAAAGAGAAATGTCACTGTTTTGTTTTATTCATCTTCTATGGTTAATAATTTTTGTCCTAGCAAAAAATGGCTACTACAATGTTAAACAGATTTTCCTTTATGCTTTCTTCCAGATATTTGAAGTTAGAGATTTATGTTTATGATTATGCTTACTTTGTATTAATTTTTGTATATGGAGTAATGTGCAGTACATTTTTTTCATATACAGATATTGTTCAAGCATCATTTAGTCAAAATGATTTTCTTTTCTTTTTAAATAATCTTGGAATTGCTGTCAAAAATAAATTGATCATTTATGTTTGGCTCTATTTCTGCTTCATTTCTATGTCTATCTTTATACCAGCATCATACTATGACGCTAACATCACTTTCTCAGGGAAGAGTTCCACAATACTAAGACTAGATTGGATCCTCTTTTTTATGTTCTTATAGAAATCTATACTTCATTTAACATTAGATTCATCAGAAGGCAATATGATCCATGTAGGTGGAGACAATGTTCTTTTTTACCCTTTTATTACTTGACACAGTCTACAGGAGATATCTGGCATATGAATAAGTTACTGGAAATATTTCTTATATAAATTGTAGAATTATTAAGTGCAGAAACCACATGCAAAATACTGTCAAAGGCAGACATGAATTCAATTATTCTCTTGTATTCTGCACAAACTGTTAATATTTTCCAGACATTTCATACCCTCACTCCATCTACCAGGAGGTTTCTGGCCTCTAAACATGGCACAAAAACCCTTGATCAAATAATGTTTCTCATTATTTATGTTTAAAACTCAGAATGCAAATCTGTTGGAAGTCATGCTTGTCAGAAAGTTCCAAAGTCCCAAATTCCCACTTTTAGATTATTATTTCTCTTTTTTTTATTATACTTTAAAGTTTTAGGGTACATGTGCACAACGTGCAGGTTAGTTACATATGTATACATGTGCTATGTTGGTGTGCTGAACCCAGCAACTCGTCATTTAACATTAGGTATATCTCCAAATGCTATCCCTCCCCCCTCCCCTCACCCACAACAGGCCCCAGTGTGTGATGTTCCCCTTCCTGTGTCCATGTGTTCTCATTGTTCAATTCTCTCCTATGAGTGAGAACATGTGGTGTTTGGTTTTTTGTCCTTGCGATAGTTTACTGAGAATGATGGTTTCTAGCTTCATCCATGTCCCTGCAAAGGACATGAACTCATCATTTTTTGTGTCTGCATAGTTTTCCATGGTGTATATGTGCCACATTTTCTTAATCCAGTCTATCATTGTTGGACATTTATTAAAAACTAACTTCTTGAGAAATATGTCTTATTGGCCCAAGAATAAAACATCAGTTTTATAGTCGACAACCTGTGTTTGAGTCCCAACTCTGCCACATTCTAAATACAAAGCCTGGGGAGAAATCAATTAGCATATCTTGGGCTCAGTTTCCTTTCAGCATAATTACAATACAAATACATTTCAGTATTGTTTATTAAGATTTAATGTGATAACAGCTAATCTTAGATTTGTGTATACACATACCCATGCACATAAATGAAGCTATAGCTTTTCTTTCTTTCTTTTTTTTTTTTTTGGAGACAGAGTCTCCCTCTGTCACCTAGGCTGGAGTACAGTGGCGCAATCTCGGCTCACTGCAACCTCCACCTTCCGGGTTCACGCCATTCTCCTGTCTCAGCCTCCCTAGTAGCTGGGACTACAGGCACCCGCCACCACGCCCTGCTAATTTTTGTATTTTTAGTACAGACAGGGTTTCACCATATTGGTCAGGCTGGTCTCAAATTCCTGACCTTGTGATCTGCCTGCCTTGGCCTCCCAAAGTGTTAGGATACAGGTGTGAGCCACCGTGCCTGGCCAAAGCTATAGCTTTTATAAGTTTATAAGGTGAACTGGAAAATAATATTACACCAAATTTGAGGATTTTGGTGGAATAAAGCTTAGGACAAATTCTACCCACGGTTGAAAATCCAGAAACAGCACAAGAACATTTCTTGACAATTAGAGGTGAAGGGGCAGGTACTGTGACTCTTTCCCATTATCCACAACACATTTGTGTGCACATGCATGTGCACACACCTGTACTTACACACACATAAGTATGTACACACACTTCACACACTTTTCAAAATAGTGTGAGGTCAGCTCGGTTAATCACAATCCTTTTGGTGAGTGTATCAGTCAGAGCTCAGTAAAAAAAAAAAAAAAAAAAAAAAAAAACAGAAACTACTGTAGGTGCTTCAAACATGGAATTTAACACAAGAAATTAATTATATAGGCAACGGAAAAACTAAGAAGCCAAATGTAAAGCAACCCTCACTTCACCATCAGCCCAAGTTGTTACCATCCTGGTGCTGAAGGAAATGGAGAAGATGAACCCATGCCAAGTAGATAAACTAACACAAATAAATGATTGCTTGTCAGCAGTCTGTCAATTTTCTCCCATTGGTTAACTCTAGCTGAAAATCAGTAAGTAGTCAAAACATCTTGACTAGGAAAATGTTCTGAGAGTAAAAGTAACCATGACTAGCAAAATGGATTTTTAGCCTGAGCATGCATATCCCCTCATTTTTAGTATGTCGTGATTTCATTCTTAAAATCTCATAGTAGTTAATTTTTTTATTTCTGTGATTATAATATTGAGTATGCTTAAAAAATAAAGTTCACACATTCATACTCTCATTCAAAGAAATGTTTGTACAAAATCAACATTTTGTATAAATGTCATCTTCTCTACCTCCATCACTAGAAAAAAAATATGATAGAGGGATGGGCTTTAGCTCTCAGCCCTTTTACATATTCTTGATCCTTAAGATGCTGTCAAATATGCCTATTCATCTCTATACAAATTCCAGTATTTTGTTGGGAAAATAGAGGCTGCAAGAGCAATGGGATGCATAGATTAATTGTAAATTAATACTTATACACATAAGTATATATACTGTACATGTTTATATAAAGAATATGGTTTTCTGATTTTTAAATAAAACATCAGCTTCTCTATTTTTTTGAAATACAGCTGAAGTTTTGCCACATGTTGAAAATTTCCTTCATGACCCAGATTTTTCAGGGTCTTTGAAGATTCAACCATGGTTTAACTTGACCCTATAAACTATGTCATTGGCTCTATTACTAAATTAATAGCTGACTTTCACAATTATCTATAAAGTGAGAGCTATACTGAAAAGATGACTAGCTTTAGACAATTGCAACAACAAAATCAATGATAAAGGTACCAGTTTTCAGGGCTCTTGTGTGCTTTTGAAATACATATCTTTCTCGTAGTCTCATTTAACTGGTAGATGTGGGCACTGCCATAGCGCCTTGCCTGCTAGGAACTACAAACATTACAATATGTACTATGTCAGTTGTTTAAACATAGGTTAAGCAGCAGCAGCATTAACTCATACCATTATTGCTTCATCAACACACTGGAAGTAAAGGGAAGCAGATAACAAGACAGTACGGTGCTTTGGAAATTATTCCAGAGATGCCTGGAGCAACAAGGTTGTTATCTCAGATGTGAGGCATAGAATATGTCAGGTGTAAAAATGCACCCTGAGGAAAACAATTAAAGTGACTGTCTTCTATTTATTTGAGACTCACACACTCTGTACCTAAGTGAATATCAGAGGTTGGAGAAGTGTCTGTGATCGGGAAATATTAAAGAGTTCTGTTCCTGAATTTAGTCTCTCTTCAAATCAGAAGTCTCTCTCTTCCTGCCTAGAGTGTCTTATAAAACACAAACAATCTTCCAGAGTCTTTCTATAGATCAGCACAGCTGTCTCCTAGCTGAGAGGACGAGGTTCAAACACATTTCAGAGCAGCTGGTTGTTGGCTTCCCAGCTGCTTAGGAAACAGGAAATTTTATTGGCAGCAATCCCCAACCTGAAAGCAGTAGGCATCTAAACTAATCCCCAGGCATTGGAATTCAGCAACCAGGAGAAGCAAGAAGCCATGTGTGGTTTTTAATCACTGTGATGTTGGTCTTTGTGTAAATTCAAAGAATAAAGTTCTCAAGGTTACGTGGATGACCATGTAGGTGAGAGGGTGTGTGTAAGCTGAAGGGAGGAGGGAAGTAGAGCTGAGGGGTTAAGAATAGGGACTCTGGAGGTAAACTACACAAATTCAAACAAATTCTTTCTCTCTCTGAGTCTGTTTTCTCCTCTGTTAAATGGAAAACCAACGACATCTACCTTATAGGGTTGTCAGAAGGACAGAACGTGAGGATCCAGATTAATGATATAGCAGAATGGGATGTATATATCCTGTTTCATTGTCATTACTATGATTGTCAAGGTTTTGAAAACAACAATAACACTCCTTTATCAATTGTTATTGCAAAAACTGAAAGAATGCACAAAGCTGAATTTGTAATAATGGCTCCCATTTTGTAAACTTGTGTCAAGACCATATGCTTTAAAATATTATCTATAATCCTAGTAACAGCCTTGTGATGTAGGTATTATTTTTCCCACTTATTAGATAAGGTATCTAAGAACTATGACTCAGATAATTTCAGTGCCTTGCCCAAGGTAACACAGATAGTAAGAGGTAAACTTGGGATTAATTCCAAATCGCCGTAACTCCAAAGCCCTCATTCTCTCAACCATCTTGTGCTGCTACTTTTTTGAGAAAAGGAAATATTTTGTAGCTCATTGAAAAGATCTCTTAATTGGGACTGTTTTGTCCTGGCTAAGGTCTCCCAACACAGTCTTCTTATTCTACCTCTGAATACTTTGTACTAAGATATTCTTCCTCTCTAGTTTGGGAGTCTTTTTAAAATTTTTTAAAAATCCTTCATCATTGAACTTTGTCCCCACTTGGTTTTTCTGAATGGTGCTCCCCAGCTTCTCTTGTCCTCCAGAAACATGTGCCAAATGTGATTGCTCGCTCATTCTACTGCACCTTAATTGCACCATTTCAAGGGGAAGATTGACTTTTGTGATTAAAAACTGCTTGAATTTCTGGGCAATCCTCATATGAACTGACCCCAATTTTTGAATGCTATATGCCTAATAATAGACTGAATGGTGCGTGTATGTATGCGCTTTCCACTTTAGATTCCCTGGGTTTTGTCTTCTCTTTTAAATCTAACTGTTCAATTTGAATATCCATAGATAAAAAAAATACAACAATATAATGATAATAGCACAATGGTCACAAAGAAAGAAGAGGGTTGTCCTCTAGAAGAAAGCTTTTAACCTAGGGGTCCAGACACATTGGTGCATTTCAATTATTTGTGACATGTCTCACAAGAGCCATAATTTGATAGTAATAATAATAGTTCAAATATTGAAATTAGAAAATGATTTACTGTTTTCTCACAAATTGGAGTGGCTTCAAGGTTATCCCTCTAATTATGCCCTTTTACTCACTTGCATTCTGATATACTTCCTGGAGCAGGAAAGAAAGGGGAAGGGCTAAAGCTAGTTTCCTAGGAATCAAGCTTAGAAGCCCACCTTATTAAGACAGTGTTCAGTGAAATGGGCCTACTCATAAGAAATGTGTTCTGCATGTGAATGTGCATCATAGCAAAAAAACGAAAAGTAAACATTTGAGATTGTCTTCTCCAGGAACTAGAGATTAGGACTAAACAGATTAATTGCCTTTAAGATCTTCCTCATAACACCAGTGTAAAAAAAAATGGCCATGTTCTAAGATCCCAGATTCAAGGTCTAAAGTATTTTTAATAACCTGTCTTACCCATTTAATAAGTTTTCAATTCATTTTCATTCATCTTCCACAATGTCTTCTGTGGCAGACACTATTTGCCCATTTTTCCTTGATAATGATAACCTGATTTTATTCAGGCAATTAAACCAGACCTGACCTTTTACAACTGATTGGTCTAGAGGTGTTTCATGTGACCCAGTCCCGACCAGCTGGGTAGGAGGAAATCTGCTGGAGTGGTTCTGGCACAGATTCTTTTTTGCATGTCATATAAAGAGAATGCTCAGTCTCTTACTTCTTAAGTGATGGTGTAAAAACATGAAATTTAGAGCTGCTGTATCCATATTGAAATTATGAGGAAACACATAACAGTAAGAAACAAATGATGATAGAAGGAAATGTTAAATAATCTAGGTTTAATGACATTATTAAACTTTGTAATAACCATAATCTGGACTTCTTGTTATGATTTAAGTCATTGATAATAAGATTTGTTACTTGCAATTAAAAGTACTCCTTTTCCAAATCCCATTTTCATTTCTCTATTTCCAGCCTAAAATAGTTCAGATGAAGACAACGTAATCAGTCTCTTAGATGAGGTTCCACATTCTAACCATCTTGGTAACTTCAGCTGCAGCTGTTTCTCTCCAGCACTAGTTGCTTCACATCACACCCATGTTCAAAAATATGCAGACTCTCCTTGCTCTGGATATTCATGCTGTGGGCACTCGGTGTAGCACTGGCTTATCTAACTCCCAGGTCATAACTTTACTTAAGCATGACTAGTCCATTTGCTGTTGCTCATCTACAACTAGTTGATCCTGCCTTCATAATTTGAATTCTAAATTATTATTTTATCGATGGAATCACACTCACCCCACTCACATCTATTTTGATCTTTAAAATCCAGAGTTTTGAAGCAAAGTTTTTGTTACTTCAATAAAAACAGTGTTTGTAGGTATGGATCAAATCAACATGGTATTGAGATATTGTTTAACAATTCCCTCAGAAAGAAATACAAAAATATGGGCAGAGAGGTCAATCAAAAAAGGAGGATGACACACTGAGAGAATGGCTGCATGGAGGAACCAAAGGAAAGCCCCTTTAATAAGTAAAAGATCTTGGGCACCAGGAGGTCAGAGTTTTCATCCTAGGTAATCATTGATTGAGGACCGATATAAGATGGCCATTGATTTTAGGGAGCTCTGTAGCCTTTTAGAGAAAATACTGGGGCTTAGTAGTGCAGAACTCAAAATCTCATAGCCTAAGAGAAACACAGTAACACTGAGTGAGGAGTCAGCCAAGCAAAGAAGTAGCAGTGCCCAGTGTGTCCATATGACTGTCCCCTATTCACTCCCATGAGCAGCTGAAATGATAAGACATGTACAAGCCAGTGCAATTTGAGTTATTCCTGTTCATATAACATGATATGTATAACACTTGGATTGCTAAGCTCTAGAAAATTTTTGGCTACAACAGTAGTCCGTTGTCCTAAGAAACTATATTTCAACGTATCTTCAATCTTTTGAAAAATCTACCATTCAAAGGAAGAATAAAGAATTTGTTTTGCAAGAAGATGCTAAAATGTGTTTTCGTAGGCTCCTATTATTTCAAGATTTTCAGAGATGGATCTGCCAATGTCATGGAGATAATTTGCACTAACTTGGTTTTTTTTAATCTTATCGTTCTGCTTATAATCATGCCATGCTTCTGTTTTGTTCTCTTTTAAAATATCTGGTTATTATGCCTTGATTTATTTGAATTAAGCAGAAACGGTGACAGAGGCAACTTGTCCTGTGCTAGAGTTTTGGTGATTTGAAAAGACTGGTTTTTATTTTTACAGAAATCTTATTGAAAATGTTCCAGTTAAGGAAAACCTGCTCTAGAAGTGATGCAGACAATGCAGTTTAAATGATGAGAAAATGTGGTGAATGCTAATGTTTTATAGCTTTTAATTATTTTGTCCTTTGGGTTCAGCGAAATGGTTGTGTATCTTAGGGTCACGGAGAACATTCATTTTCTAAGTGTGTGTGTGTAATTTTTCTTCTTTATTTCTTTGTTAATTTTTTAAATTGACAGATAATATTTTATGTTTTTATCAAGCACAACATGCATTCTAGCTTATGGAAAGGCTTTTGCACTGAGTATAGAAGGCTAGGGGTATTTTCAGTGGGTGAACTTTTATGGATAATGATATGACCAAGCTATAGGGCAGCGTTTATGAATGCATATTTTATTGGAACTGATAAAGAAGTGAGATGGTCTGTGGAATAGACAGTCAAGAGTTTAGATAGTGAGGTTTTTGCAACAGCATGGAAAGAAAAGTATCAATCTTGCTTCTTTGTTCAGATACCTGATGTATCTTGGTTTCAGGCTTTTCAATTTATTGTTCAAAATGCTACCAGGGAAGACAAATGACTAACTCCAGTTGTCTTGTAACAACAGTAAAGCTTTGGTTAGGGAGTTTACAATTGGACTTAGAAGACAGACTGCGCAAGTTCTTCAAATCCAAATTTAATAATAGATAAATGTTGATTAGGATTCTTTATTTTCTTAAGTTAACTTTTAGTATCTGGTATTAATGTAGTTAGGTGCAAAAGAGTTCTATGAATTTGCAAGTACCACAGTCAAATAATTGTTTTGAATATATAAACAACCATGAAACCAAATATATTTATGAAATAATACAGTAGTTGTTGCTTTGTATTAACGCTATAAAAGGGGTCTAGAAGTAGACTCTTGATGGCATCAAGCTGTCTTGAAGTCCCTATTACTCTCATTTGGGCCAATAAAATTATACATTATTTGTTGGACAGTGTCTACAACTCCAATGAACATTCATACGCTGAAGAATTCCACATCTTCAGCTCTGACATTTGGGTTCCATTATTATCATATTTCCAATTGCCTTTTGGAAATTTACACTTAGATGTGCTATAAGGATCTCAAATGCAAGCCAAACTTTCTCCCCAGCAGTGTAGCATAATGATTAAAAGTGATTAAAAACACAGACTTCAGAAGCAAATAGTCTATGTTGAAAACTTTTCTCTGTCACTTATTAAACAAGTGACCATGGATGATTTATTTAACTTTTCTGGGCCTCAGTTTTCCCATCTGAAAAACAGGCATAATAATCATATCTACCTAATGAAGTAGACATGACAATTACATAAATTATACGGTTATATATTTATTTAAACATTTGTAATAGTGTCTGGCACATACATATATTAAAAACAGGCACAATAATCATATCTACCTAATAAACTTGTTGACATGACAATTACATAAGTTATATAACTATATATATTATATAAATATAAACATTTGTTATAGTCTGCCACATAGTATGCACTATATATAAACTTTTAAGTACTATTACAGTAGCCTCCAAATCTGTGCCTATTCCACTCATAGTCACCACAATGTATTTATTGTATCTCCTAAAGCTCTTAAATGTAAACCCCCTTCTTTGACTTTACATCTGCCTAATTAATGCAAATCAATGTCCTTTTTACATGAACCATTGAAATAGCCTCCCATTGGTCTCATAGAGTTGTTTCCCTTTCTTTAATTTATCCAGGATTATCTTTCTAAAATATGATTTGGATAATTACTTTCCTGTTTTACAAACTTCAAGCAGCAATAGTAACCATAGAATAAGTTCAGAGTATTGAGCATGTTATAGTCTCAAACTATGATTTTGCCAATCTTATTTTCCACCAATACAACTTACTCACCGTTTCTTTCTCACAGTATGAAATGAAAGTCATGCTTCCATGAGTAGATGTTTGCCTTTCTTCCAAGAGTTTCTTTCTTGAATTCACACTGTTCTTTAAGACTCAGCTTGATTATCTAAGTCATTTTCCAGGGAGATGGTGATGATATCCCCAACACCATTCTCCTCTTTCAAGTAGTGATCATGACCAGTTTCTTTGTGCACCCTGTTGTATTTTGCCCATACACTGTACTCCTATTATAGCACTTACCAAAGTGAACTGCTATTGTCTTGCCCTGATCTTCACTAGGAAAATGAATATAAAACAAAAGATGTAGGATAAGAAAAACTCTAATTGTACTTGATTGTTGGCTCACATTTAAGTAGTGATTACATTTTTTAAAAGATTCTGGAGAAATGACTATTTTTTTCTTTGATTCTGTGAATCTAATAGATCATGACACTTTGCAAGCAGGTTTGGCATGCCAGAGTAAGCAAAGGAAGGAGTGAGAGAAGAATGCTACCTTAATCAAAACAGGTTCAGATGGACTGCCCTGTCCTATATCCAAAAAAACTCAAAAAACAAACAAAAACCATGTATTAGTTATTCTGATGTTGTCTTTGATAAGAACTAAGAACATTAAAAAGAGGGAGGCTGCTGATTCAAATATCCTGCAAAGATTTTGAAGGAAAGCAATGATCAGGGGCCATCTCAATGAGTATGTTGAAGCTGAGGGGAAACAGTTATTTCTGGAGCAAGTTTAGAAAATGAATTGCCCTCAGAATTAGGTAGATATTGTATCCTGGAGTATTTGATTCCGTTGATACTAGAATCTTAATGCTTTGTTTCACTTTCCTGATTTTGATACTTAAACGTGCTTCGTAAACCATCTGAAACCAAAGCTACAGGATTGTCTGAATTTAACCTAATGATACCAGGGAAATAACGCATAATTATTTCTGCTCTCCTTAGCAGAATTTAAATTCTCTCTCTTCTGTCAGAAAGATGACAAAAAAAAATGACTCATGTCAAGAATCAATTTGTCACATCTATAACCTTGACACTATTGAAAATAAGTATATAGTGAGATGACTGGGGACTTTAAGGGGTTGGAAGAGGCTTGACAGAAGGAAGTCTGATTTATAACCTTTCTCATCTATGAACTTTCCAAAGACTTTCATCTAATGTTCTTCCTGGATCCCAGCCCTGAATTTAGTTAACCTTTGTGGCTGTGCCAATTTATCCACACCTTTGAGTTCTATCTCACTCCAGAATATGAAACCAATCTTGGCCAAAGACAGAAGCCTATAAGGCATCTTTGGCAGGTGGCATAACAGTTTAGCATTGAGTTATTCTCCTTACCAACGGTGTGTGTTAGTGAGCCTATTCGATCCCTTATAATTGTGCTCTGAATGATAAGGGATCAAATAGGCCCACTAACACAGCTGTCAAGTAACTGGAAGACAGCATAGACTAGTAGAAAGAGTTTTCCTTTTTTTTTTTCTCTTTTTTCTTTTCTTTTTAGACGGAGTCTCGCTCTGTCGCCCAGGCTGGAATGCAGTGGCGCGATCTCGGCTCACTGCAAGCTCCGCCTCCCGGGTTCACGCCATTCTCCTGCCTCAGCCTCCCAAGTAGCTGGGACTACAGGTGCCCGCTACCATGCCTGGCTAATTTTTTTTGTATTTTGTAGTAGAGACGGGGTTTCATCGTGTTAGCCAGGATGGTCTCCATCTCCTGACCTCGTGATCCGCTCGCCTCGGCCTCTCAAAGTGCTGGGATTACAGGCGTAAGCCACCGCGCCCTGCCTAGAAAGAGCTTTTCAGCTGTAAATTGAGACTAAATATTCAATGTACATTTTGGCTACCGAATAATTTTTTCCTAGTTACTTAATGTTTCTGAGCTCAAATTTCTTTGTGCAGTATGCAGGTTGGACTGAATGACTTATAAAGTCCCAACCAGTTCTACAATTTTAAGATTAATAACTGCTACTTTTTCCTCTAGGTCCTCCACAGACCCTTTAAAATCATGACAGATTATATCAGTGACTAGATTTCTGTCTTTAAATTCTTATGTTTAGTTCCTTGATACATGCAAACTGTTTTCCTACCCATACATAATGAATATTCTCTTGATTTAATGCAGATTTGGGGGACACATTCCTATATTAATATTTTCTCCTATCCTTGACACTTTCTATAAACTAAGTACATCCTAGCTTAGTGTAATTTTTTGAGTCTGTCCTATAACCTATCACTAGCCTCTCTTTGGTAACTCTTCTAAACTCTCAATGAGCAAGAAAAACATTACCAACTTACGTACATTATGCGCTCAAACTACTATTATTGTACTGCAGTTTTTATAATATAAATAATTTGTATGATTATTTGATGAATTATATAATGATAGGTTACTTTTGGCATTAGCAAGATTATTTATAATAAAATGCAGTGTGGTGGTATTTTGGGAAAAAGTAACCTGAACACCAAAACTTTTATTCTTGATTAATAAAGAGGATAATATGAAATATCCTGGAAGGGAACTGTATATTATTTATGACAAAATAAGTCAAATGGAATTGAGCAATGGATTTCTCTTAATCAAATCAATGTATTTGAGCACCTTCCAACTGAAAAAGCAAGGAATTAGTTGAATATCCCAACCCAAACCAATCTAATAATAATTTATTTCAATTTTCTAGAACCCAATATTTACCTTAACACATAAAGAGCATTTCTGAATCTGTAAGAAAGGAAGGCCCTAAACAGTCATTGTGTTGCAAAAATCCACATGATCTGTACTCTTCAATGTGGAATGTACTTACCTCTTGTACTTCTAAGCCACAAGAAATTTTAAAGTACTAGTCAATATTGTTTCATAACAGTTGGGAATTTGGCAGATAGTTATTGAGGGACATTTGATGACCTCTAGCCCCAGATTAGTTTAAAACATTGTTAATCTATAAACTACAGGCATGTTCTGCTCTCACACTTACTCCAACATAACAGAAAACAGGAAAAACATATCACTTTATTATGTGTTTTTTATATTAATGGCCACTATTCACTCTGATGTTATTATAGATTATGTTGTTCAACATATACTGACTCTTTCATATCACTGAGCAGAGACTAGATGATATTTGGTACAAATGGAAAAGTAGTAAAATATTTATTCAGAAAGTATGTGAGTTCATTTTACTTAGAGACCTGTGATTACACACATGTGGTTTTAGCAAAAACAGAATTGAGATGCATAGGCCTTTATCCCGGCAGTGAAACAATTTTTTTTTCTGATTTAAAAAATTATACTCTAAGCAGTTGAGGGATTTTCAGATTCCCAGTTAAATTTTGGGATTATATCCTGTTCAAAAATCAGTTTGTGAAACTTGCAATGCCATTCACAAAAGAAAATGATATTTCAGATGGTGATATGCTTTCTCAGCCTGTTCATTGAACCCTTCTTGTTTAACTCATGTTTCATGTGAAGTATTTAAGTCACAGTAATCCAGAATGCCACAATAATAATTAGTATTTACTGATTCTTGACCATGCCAAAAGTATTATATCCATTATCACATTTAATCCTGAAAATAAACCAAACAAATCTTATGGATATAGATAAGAAAAAGAAGATTACTTATCCTTTCCAAGACCACAAATCTTGTCAAACCTTGCAAGCCAATATTTACATAGTTCAAATGCACAGTAAGCAGTGCTTATTATGTGCTAGGCATTGTTAAATAGCTTTAGATATATTTAAATCATTTGCCATCAGAAGTCTGTACTGTAGGTCTTACTATTATCCTCATTTTACAGATGAAGCACAAAGATCCATAGTCACATATTTTGTAACAAGAGCAGGATCTGCAGCCAGGCAGTCTGGGTCCATGGTCCATGTTCTTACCCATGGTGCAATACTGACTCTTGAAGTCCAGGGTCTACTAAGAATCCAGGTCTACCTGACTCCAAAGCCAGTGCTTATTTTACTACTCACTGCTGTCACTCTAACGACATGTAGAACAGCTTATGGAATAAGAAAATGCGTTCAATATGCCAAGTCAAGATGCCTGGAATATTTAAGCTACCCACGTGATTCCCATGCAGAAAATAAAGCCAGAGTCTGCATTTTCCCCCCAGGCTAAGGAAGAAAAATTCAGTTTGCTAGAAACAATCTCAAAGACCTGTACTAGGGGTTTGTATGGGGAAGGAGGCCAGGATTTGTGCAAGTATAAACTCTGGATTCAGTTCCAAGTTCAGAATGTTACTCTGGTTAGTTCCACTGACTGCTCCCTCCCCCATTTCATATTTAGTATCTTGATTAAATTGATTCTGATCTTTCCTTCCCAAATATGACTATGGTCAGTCTTGGAAGATATCTTCCACCTGTTGGAAACTTAACCAAACACAAAGAGTCCTGAAATCTTTTAAAGATGTTTACAATTTGCAACAATGGGGAGAAAAAAAAATGGGGTAAAAGCAGCATTTTGAAAAGAATTAACCCTTGTGTATGTCTTATTTCTAGAACTGGTGTTTCTGGCTCACTCCATTTTAACAGAGAATGTTCACCTTATATAATTGCCTGCCCCAAGCCCTCGTCACCTGTTTTGGTTTTTTGTTTGCTTACTGAAATGGTATATTTAAAATATATGTTTCACAAGGGTGTTTACTCAAAGGAGTACATTTTACTAGATTTCAGAGAAGAACTCTATACTTATCTGTTCATGTTTCATTAAAGCAGGTTTATTTAAAAATCATTAAAATAACATTTAGGGTTGGATGCAAGGTAGGCTCTCTTGTGATGTGGGGAGCAGTTGGAGATGCATTAGAACTTGGGAATGATTGCAAGTAGATTGCCAATGGCAGAGGAATTAAAACAGAAGGAAGCATCCAGGAGGCTGAGATGGGCAGATCAAGAAGTCAAGAGATCGAGACCATCCTGGCCAACATGGTGAAACCCTGTCTCTACTAAAAATACAAAAATTAGCCAGGTGTGGTGGCAGGTGCCTATAGTGTCCCAACTACTCGGGAGGCTGAGGCAGGAGAATCGCTTGAACCCAGGAGGCAGAGGTTGCAGTGAGTCAAGATCGTGCCACTGCACTCCAGTCTGGTGACAGACAGAAACTCCCTCTCAAAAACAACAACAACAACAACAAAAGAAGCATCCATTAGCACATACAAATTTATTTTCATTGCCTCTTTTCTTTCTCTTTATCAATATATCTTCTGACCTGAACTTCTTGCAAGGAGAAGTGAGAAATGGGCTTTGGGTAAGAGAATAAGAACTGAAAAAATATTTAGCATAGACAAATTTTGTATTGCTAAGCTAAAATCAGTCATTTATTTATACTTAAAGAATCTTTACGTTTGTGAGACAGTAAAATGCTCTGGTTAGGAGTACAGGCTCTGGAATAAAAAAACCTAGATTTAAATCTGGATTCCACAACATACTCATGGTAGTACCTCACGGACCAGTTACTCAAGTTTTGCCTCAGGTTTTAATTTGCAAAGTTGTGGTAAAACAACAGAGATTGCTACAATTATTATAAAGATTAAATAAAGTAAAATATATAAAGAACTTAAAACATTTTCCGATATATAACAAGCGCTAGTAAGGATTAATTTTTGTTATTGTTGCTTCTGTTGATAATAGTTATGTCTTTTTTTCTTTTTCTTTTTTTTTTTTTGAGACGGAGTCTCGCTCTGTGGCCCAGGCTGGAGAGCAGTGGCGTGATCTCGGCTCACTGCAAGCTCCGCCTCCTGGGCTCACGCCATCCTTCTGCCTCAGCTTCCCAAGTAGCTGGGACTACAGGCGCCCACCACCGTGCCTGGCTAATTTTTTTGTATTTTTAGTAGAGACGGAGTTTCACCATGTTAGCCAGGATGGTCTCGATCTCCTGACCTCGTGATCCACCCACCTCAGCCTCCCAAAGTGTAGTTATGTCGTTTTTAATATGCATTGTGATCCAGATGCTGGGATGATAGTTTTACACAGAGGATCTATACAAAGCACAACTGTACATATAACCTCAAATATTACTGCTAGGATTCTCTAAAAGAAGTAATATTATTTTATGAAGTGACATAGGACAAACAAAATCCTCAATGACATTACATCAAACCTATTCGCTGCATGCAACTAGCAGGGTGAATGGTAGGGCGTGGACACAAATCTTTCTGTCAATATTTCCATTTACTCTGGCTTGTGGACCCATGGACACAGACAAGATGGGAACCCTGAAGGGTTCAGCCACCACAGGTCACTACTTTATGATTCAATTTCATCTTTAGGGCAGGAACCTCTTTACAAAGTGTATGGGTGAGCTTTGGAGTCAGTAAGCAGTGCAATCTTCCCCCAGTTTTATCTTAGAATAGGTATGTGAACATGAGCAAATTATTAACCTTTCATGAGACATAGCCCCATCATTTGTAAAATGGAGATAAAAGTATCTACACATTAGGTAAGTAACAACTAAAGGAGATGTTGTATATAAAACATAGCACCTTACAGATATTGATTTAGCAAGCCAGCTATTCTTATATTATTATATTTAATCTTCAAGTTGGAAAACCAGGAACAAATTTACCTTTTTTAGAACAACTAATTTATGTATGTATGCATTTTTATATGTAGGCAAATACCTCTTCTATAAATGTCCCTAGGAATTGTTGCTAAAGCAAAATCCTTTCTTCTTGAGAAAGCCTTTAAAGTCTGAAAGGTTGGCAAAGGAAGATTCTTAAGTCCTCTTGTATGAATTAGCAGACAATTTTTCTCGGCTTTCAAATCACCCTTCCCAAAACAAACCACAAATAGTCCCAATATTTGCACAGATCCCTCAAAGAGAAACAAACTACAGTTTCCCTGGAGCTCGTTTGTCACTTTTCCCTTTCTTTTAGCATACTCCGAGGCACTTAATGCCATTAGGCAAAATTATGCCATCCATGGCATTGCACCTGGCATGGCTAGTGTTCCCAGGTGGAGAAGCAGATGTATAATGGGGCTATTCGAAAATGCTACATTGGAAAAACAGCTATACAAACAAAATTAGTGAGACAACACTGAAGATTGCTCTTCCTTCTATTCCAGCATAATTTATCTTCCAGAAAAAAGAATTACTGCATGAACCATGGATGAGCATAATTAAGGGGGAAGGCAAAGTGGAGGAGTTTTGTAGCCGCATCCCGTGTACATTGTGCAGGGAGAGAGAAGGGAAACCAAAGCATTCACTCATATGTCCATGCATATTAAGCCATTTAGCTGGCATATGGAATGTTTCAGGTTGTTCCAGGGATATAGACAAGGAACTAAATATTGACTCAGCAAGAGCTCAAATGAGAGGTCTAATTAAATTAAATGGTACAAAGGGGAGGCTTGTTTCATAGACTCCAGTAATTGCTTAAAACACAAAAGAGACCAAATAATGCTCAAAGAAGTATAGTAACAAACAAGAAAATATCTGTCTATCTATCTATCTATCTATCTATCTATCTATCTATCTATCTATCATCTATCTATCATCTATTTATCATCTATCTATAAATATCTACACACTAGGTAAGTAACAGCTAAAGGAGATGATGTATATAAAACATAGCACCTTACAGAGATTGATTTAGCAAGTTAGCTATTCTAATATTATTATATTTAATCTTCAGGTTGAAAAACCAGGCACAAATTTACCTTGTTTAGAACAACTAATTTATATATGTATGCATTTTTATATGTAGGCAAATACCTCTTCTATAAATGTGTGTGTGTGTGTGTGTATATATATATATATAGTGAGAGGGAGAGAAGACATGAGCATAAAAGTTACCAAGAGTTCAAAGGCTATGGTTGGCTCAATTGTGAAAAATGGTTGGAATTTGTTATGACAATATATAATCAGTGGTGCCTTTAAGCAGTCTGGCGATGACACATGCATCAGCATGTTAGTTTTAATTTTACGTTAATGACTGCCTATCTGCAGAAATGCCTTAGGATAATGTCCTTTCTTTGGACAAACTTGATTGATACTTCACGAATTATAGGAGCAATGGTTCTGAACTCTAAAAATGCTGTGCTTTAAGTCCTGCCCAAGGAAAGAGTGAGGGTGAGGGACCATGAAGATGATTCTGGTGTACTAGGGTTGTCTATTTCAGAATAATACATTGAGAATGTTGGACAGCATTTATAGAAATAGACAGATTTCATCTCTGACCCAAAAGCACTATTGCTGAGTGTTGGGCATGCCAGAGCCCATCTTGGATAAAAGGGAGATGCAGGATGGAACTGGGGAATGAGGAGAAAAGAGGCTCTTTTTCTTCCTTGTACCTTAGCTCTCTGAGCCTTAGTCTGTCATCTATAAAATCAGAATAATAATGGGACCTTCTTCATTGGTTTGAAGATTTAAATAACATATTTAAGGGATGTAAAACCACTTCTGGTCATTATTTAGAGCTCAATAAATGTTAGTTGTCATTGTGGTTACCATTACTCTTACCGTAATACTCACAGAAATGAAGAATAAGAACCCTGTCCTAAAAGAGTGTTTCATCTGCTCAAAGGGAAAGATAGGAACCCTGGATCTGCTCAATTTTACATTTTCACTAAAGCTTCCATGCCCCTCTGCTGGGCAACTTAACATTAAATGTACATACTTTAGAATGAGGGAACTGGGTTTAAGATATGGCTCTGCCTCTTAATAGCTTTGTGACCTTGGATAGTTGTTAGACCTCTTTAAGTTGCAATTTTCATATCTATAAGATTGTAATAATAATAGCTATTCCATGGAGGATTTTTTGGTAAGTATAAAAAATGTCAATGCATTTTAAATATTTAGAACAGTGCCTAGCATTAATAAGCACTCATTTTCATGTACTATACAGGCATATGCATATATTACATATATAGTTTACAAATGTAAACCAAACTGACATGCACACACACATATTCCACCCTTCATTCTTTTAGCTTTAAATAAAATTACAAACTTTTTTAGCATGATGAAACCTAGTTATATCACTGAATCTCTCTGTCTCTGTCTCTGTTTCTCTCTCTCTCACTCAATCACACTCTCAAATATACAAGCATATGCTAGCAAAGCGTTAGTTATTATCTGGATCTCTACTTACACTACTTCCTAATTTAAACAAATCTTTTAAAATTTATTATTAAAAACATCACCTTGCATTCTTAGAACATTTATATTTTCAGGTCAGTTACATAGACATTTTCTCTCTCCATCTAACCAAATTCTAATTCTTTATTATTTAGTGCAAATTTTCTGTGAAATTCTTTAGGCTATTCAAATGAAAGTACTTTATTTCCTGCAAATCTTTGGCATCTATTGTCCAAAACATTTATTAATTCTGTACTGCTCCTAAACATTTCTGTAAATATAATGGGCTGTTGTACCCTGCCCTACATCTTAAAAGTCCTTGCTACTAGAAGTGTTAATCTTGCCAAAAAAATGACTTCTTTGAATTTCTAGGTAGTTAAAGTTCTATTCTGTACAGTAATTGAATATTTCTGACATGTAACCTTATATAAACACTCTAATAGCAAATAAAAATGTCTCTATGTCCATTGTTGAAATCTCAGGGCTAAATGTCTCCATTTGTATTAGGAACAAGTAGATTAAAGTCCAACCATCCTTCTGAAGAGCTTTTCCCTTGTGCTGAATACAGTTAATGACAGCCTAAGTCTTTTGTTTGTTTTTTTTTTTTTTGTAGAATTCATCCATTACTCATCAGCTATATCTGAAACAAACTCTAATCTTGGTACAGAAGCAGAGAACATTATTCTTCCTCAAAGCCTATGCCACGTGTTGCTGCTAAAACAGGAATGGACAAAAAAACAGTTTCATAATAAATAGAGAAATGAGCTTACTAAAGGCACGGCATTTTCTTACCTTTTTTCTTTACACATAATTTGAAATAACTCTTACAACAATTAGATGAAATATATCAGTGAATAATATCACTTTAGGGTAAATTTAACATTTATCCAATATTAGCTAATTCCATGACTACTGCCATGACTACTACGACTATTATTAATAATAATAATCACAAATATTTAATGAGCACCTGCTACATGCTGGACACTAGGCTAAGCAACTTACGTGTAGTAGAATTTCCCTCCTGGAAGGTATTTATTGTCCAGTGAGCAACCTTTCTATTCTTCCCTTTCCTTGTACATAAATGATGGAGGCCTCATTAGTGAGATTCCAGAAAGTACATAATCCCTGGTCCATGTGTAAAAATGTAGAGAAAAGCTCCCTACCAACCTGTATTAAACTTAAACGCAAGTGAAATTTAAACTTTTGTTGTGTTGAGTCACTGAGAATTGGTAGCTGTTTGTTACCACAGCATAACCTAGCCTAAATTGCCTAATTCAGTGTTATTGACTGAAACAAACCTTTCTTACACGTTTTTCAATCATATTCATTCCATGTTATGTGAATGAGAGCCTGAGGCTAGCATATACATAATTTATCTCTGTGTTGAAGAGGAATAGACTTGAACTCTACAGCTGGTTGGAAGTATAAGTGAGGGTCCTAAAACTTGCATGAGACAAAGTCAATTTTGTAGTCAGTGATAAGAAATACCATGTGCGCGGCCAGGCGCGGTGGCTTACGCCTGTAATCCCAGCACTTTGGGAGGCCAAGGTGGGCGGATCACGAGGTCAGGAGATCGAGATCATCCTGGCTAACACGGTGAAACCCCGTCTCTACTAAAAATATTTTTAAAAAATTAGCTGGGCGTGGTGGTGGGCGCCTGTAGTCCCAGCTACTCGGGAGACTGAGGCAGGAGAATGGCATGACCCCGGGAGGCGGAGCTTGCAGTGAGCCGAGATCATGCCACTGCACTCCAGCCTGGGCAACAGAGCGAGACTCCATCTCAAAAAAAAAAAAAAAAAAAGAAAGAAAGAAATACCACGTAAGCGCATGCATGCACACCCCCCCCAACATAGTAGGTGCTCAATGTCTACACAATGTATGAATATATACATAGAAAGAGTATAGATCACTTTTTAAAAAACACTGAATGTTGCTAGAAAACTCAACCACGAATTGCCTGTGACCCAGGGCTTGACCAAAGCTTCCTTAAGACATCAAATATTGCAAAGAGACAACTTAATGCACTTATTCCCCTATGGTTGTCAGTGTTTTTTTTTGTGATTAGCTAGATCATCAGAAAGTAACATTTCCAGGTCATATTATTACCACAAATCCGTGCTAAAGAGCCTTCACTAAGTTGAAATTTAATGTAACTTCAGGTTTTATTGAGGGTCAATGAAGAAATGTCTATTTGAACATTTCTGTCTTTTACAGACCCCTAGGTTAGGACATTGTTACCATTTGTTACCATTTGTTATTCATGTTACCATTTGTTATTCAAATAATTACCATACACAATAAGTTTCTCTTTAAATTTGAAGCCTGAAAAAATGTTCTGTCTTAAGAAATGTCTATGCTGTCTATCAACAAGTAATGACAACTCTAAACTATAATTACTTATTAATTTCTAGTTAAGTTTACTCATCTAGAGTAACTAATTAATCCCAAAAGTCTTTATACTTTTGAAAATTCTTTAGAGCTTGTTTCTATTTTGAGTTTCAAATTTTTATATTTTTCTTGATTTCTGAAACTGTTGTAATTTTTCAGAAGCAGGTGGAAACAAACTCTATTTATGAAATAAAACTTCCTGTAATTTATTATTATTTTTTGCTTGTCTTTTCTTTCTGGCTGCATTTCTAGAGAACAAAGACCTTGCTTATTCATCTCTGCGGTGTTGTTTCAGAGCAGGCAAAATGAGAATAAATATATGTTAGCATGGAATGACACAAAGAGCTCTGAAAATAAAGCCCAAATTCACATTTTCGCTCCATCAGTTACTAACCATGTGACATTTGGCAAGTTATGTTCATTTATTAGCCTTTCTTTTCTTGTCAACAAAATATCATAAGTTTACTTGTAGCACTGTTGGGAGGATAGAGAATATATATAAATGTGTCAATAAGAGTATTCACCAAATCAGCAAATACTCCTGTCACCTTTTCTCCACCTATAAAGTGACAGTAAAGGACACAATGATGCTACTATTTGTCTCTTGAGTAGGTACCCACAAAGAGAGCCTGAGAGAAATTTACTCATGTGCTTTACTGAAGGTCTGTTCTCAGAAGGGGAGGGAAGAAAAAAGCATGGGGAGGTAGGGCCTGGAACTAATAAGAAAATTATTAATCTAAGTCTGAGACTAGCTTTACCTGACCTCAGAGCGGGTTGTGAAATTGTACAGCAGAGTTGGTTCCATCTTGAAGCAAGGAGCCTGAGCTTTATATCCTTCTCTCAGTCAGTTATTAGCGATTGGTTGTCAGAGCATGCAGGGGTGGTGGTGCATAACCACTCATACATAGTGACTCCTGCTTGGCTGACAACATTATCCAGAAGAAGGAGCAGCTGTGAGATGTTAGCAGCCAACACTCACAGTAGCAGGAAAATGGGCAACCAGGTAAAGGGATGGCCACTGGCATCAGAGTGGGTGGAGACTGGAAATGTTGTTAAACACTCTACAATGTTCAAGGAAGCCCCCCACAACAAAGAATTATCCAGCCCCCAAAGTCAATAGTGCTGCAGATGAGAAACTGTGGAACAGATGAAAGCATGAAAAAAATCAATGTTTAATAATTATTACTAGGAGTTATTGATTTGCTATTAATAACATTCAGACATTAGTAATCAAAAGGGAAAATATGGAATTTCATTGATTTTGCTAGGGAACACACACACACACACACACAAACAACCTCACAGTTTTTATCCTGTGACTTTAGTATTCTTTCATATTATGCAACAACAAGCATAAATTCAGCATGAGTCAGACTGAAATGACTACTTTTGCAAATATCATCCATACAGTCTTGTGCCTTTTTCCACATCTGCTTTCAGTTCTGCCTTATACATGCCTTTATAGATTTTGACGCCAGCACTTTACTATCCTAGAATCTACAGCTACTTGATTTTTTTTTTTGTCTTCTCTCCCCTTTTCTTCTGTGTTTTTCCCTGGCTTTCAGCTCAACTCGTGAACATCAGGATGTCTGCATCCAGCTCTGTTTTTTTCCTTCAGCTGCACTTTGCCTAATGGGGAATTTGGCACATTCCTATAGTTGTCAAATACATCTTGTTCACTTTCATGGCCTCTCATTTCATCTCTGGCTTTGAAGTTCTATAGTTCAGGTTGTTTAGCACACAAGAGAAATAATTAATCTCCTCCCTCTTTTCTAAGGATTGATAACAACCAAGCTAATTATTTACTCCAGAACAGAAATAATTGTTTATGCTAAGTTTTAAATTCAGGCAAAATTCCTTTTGAATAATATGGAACTATTTGACATATGAATAAGAATATAGTAATTATTGTAAGGAGTACATTTAACAGTAGAGACTCTCACATCACATCTATACTTTTTTTTATCTCCCCCCTTCATTTCTTTCCTTCCCATATCCAGGTTTGTGTGTGTGTGCTTCATCCAGATTTTTTTTTCTATCTCTGTAATTGCACAAAAGGGATCTAATTTCACAAAACAGATCACTGCCATTTGTGAGAGAGATACCACAGCAGTCTCAGTAAACCATGTCAAATCAATTCTCAAATCATAAACAATATATTGTACCATTTTGGTACACATGTACTTTTTTCTAGGTTTGCAATTAGCAGGTAACTCCTGAAGGAGCTGATCTCATTCTCACTGATGCAGATTGCTTAAGCAAAATTGGAGAAGCACCCTCTTAAAATCAATCAAAATGAAACAAAACTGCCTTCTGTAGCATAATATAATTTGTCAGTTGGTACTGAGAAGAGTAATTTGGATAGCAACTGTGAAGGGAAAGGTAAAACAAAGAAGAATAAGATCAGAGATTCTGATTTGGAAGGAACCACGAGGCTCATTTCATCCCAAACTTGATAGATGAAGAAATGGACCCAAAGAGATTAATGTCTAGACTATAACAGGTCTTATAATTTGGGGTCCAGCAGCTTTTCTATAGCCTCATGTTAGCTTCTCATTTTGAGGCTGAAGTGTCTGTTCTGATTAGTTCTTCTTAAGAATCCAGAATCATTAAATCATCACTATTATTAATACTGTGCTCTAGTCTGTGTTTCCCCACATCTTTCAATTAAAATCATTCCTTAGCTCTTGATGTATGTAGCAACCATCCTAGCAGGGTATGCTAATACCACCCACTCCTCTCCTACCTCCCACCCCTGTCATCTCAGCACTAAAGTCACCGAGAGGTCATAGGGCTTCATTTCAGTAGCAATGAAGTAAAGAACATGAGACCTAGAATGAAATAAAGAACATGAGATTCTAGGTCAGGCGCGGTGGCTTACGCCTGTAATCCCAGCACTTTGGGAGGCCGAGGTGAGCGGACCACGAGGTCAGGAGATCGAGACCATCCTGGCTAACACGGTGAAACCCCGTCTCTACTAAAAATACAAAAAAATTAGCCGGGCGTGATGGCGGGCACCTGTAGTCCCAGCTACTTAGGAGGCTGAGACAGGAGAATGGCATGAACCCGGGAGGCGGAGCTTGCAGTGAGCCGAGATGGCACCATTGCACTCCAGACCGGGCGACAGAGCGAGGCTCCGCCTCAAAAAAAAAAAAAAAAAAAATCCCTCACCTATTTCATTGTTTATAAAATGAATATGAGATAGATAGCTATAACATAAAGAGATTATTTCTAAGGTTTCTTCAAGTACCATTATAACTGAATGCATTGCACAATCAAAAAGAAAATCCAATTCATTGTAATATTAGTTTACCTAGATATCAAGGAAATGCCTTAGTCCACTTTATTACAATGCAATACAAAAGAAAAAAAGGAAGAACAGCACCCCCACATGCATTTTTTGAAGTATATCCTTTAAATTACTAAGGTCTGATTACTTCCATGTACCTCCTGCTTAAGATTAAAAGAAACAAAAAGCAACACTCAATAGGGTTGAATTTACTGAAGCATCTTCTTTCTTCTCTTTCCTTTTTCTTTCTTTTATTCCTCCTCTTCTTGCTTCTCCTCCTTTCCCTTTCTTCATTTCTTTTGCTTCTCTCCCTTCCACTTCATACTTCTTCCCGTCTTTCTTTCTCTATAAATATTCCAGTTAATTTTCCAATTTTTTTTTAATTTTCCCTGTTTTCTTTCTGTCTACAAATGATTGCAGTAGGTTCAGAAAGCTCATTAACTATTTTCCTTAATGCTTTAACAAAGCAAACACATTAACCTACTGTCATTCTGTAAGTACTTGATTGCCTACATTCTGTAAGCCCTCATGGCTCTTTTGGTCAATAGCTGAATTATTGCTGTTTCCTATCTTTCCTAATTGAATGAACATGGCCCCTTGATTTCTGTTGAAGCTGAGTTGCAGTTGCTTGGCGAATTTTCAGTCTTTCTGATCTTTCCCCTTTGACTGATTAGTTTTATTTATCATCCAGTTTTTTAAATTGTGGCTTTGGCACACCTGCCTCAGGCTAAGAGAACGTGATTAAACACATTAAAAGAAATCCACAGAACAGAGTGGTTACATAATTAATCAGTCTTGAGCAGTACCAAAAAAATGCTGACCCAAAAGCATGACATTTGGGGAAAGGGTAATTTTAAGAGTTTAAAAACATTCTAATGAATTGATTTTTGTTCCTGAATTTCCTTTTTCATATATACAGGCTAGAATATAACAATAGTTATTTCTTTATAGCAAGTCTCCTTTTACAAAATACAACAGTTTCCCACTAGGCGTGGTGTATAGGAATACTAGGTGAACAGTTGATGAAGAATCTGCTCCCTGATGAGAATGCCTTGAGGTAAGTCAGATACATTTTAATCTTCTTAGAGTTATATTTTTTATTCTATTTCTAATTTAGGACATTCATACATCAAGATGACTAGGGGAACTGAACTGCAACAGTATGTATTTTCCATAGAAATTTTTATATACTCACCTCTTTTTTTTTTAGTGTTTTTTCTTTTATTATACTTTAAGTTCTAGGATACATGTGCACAATGTGCAGGTTTGTTACATATGTATACATGTGCCAAGTTGGTGTGCTGCACCCATTAACTCATCATTTACATTAGGTATATCTCCTAATGCTATCCCTCCCCCCTCCACCCACCCCATGACAGGCCCCGGTGTGTGATGTTCCCCACCCTGTGTCCAAGTATTCTCATTGTTCAATTCCCACCTATGAGTAAGAACATGCAGTGTTTGGTTTTCTGTCCTTGTGTTAGTTTGCTCAGAATGATAGTTGCAAGCTTCATCCATGTCCCTACAAAGGTCACGAACTCATCCTTTTTTATGGCTGCATAGTATTCCATGGTGTATATGTGCCACATTTTCTTAATCCAGTCTATCATTGATGGACATTTGGGTTGGTTCCAAGTCTTTGCTATTGTGAATAGTGCCACAATAAACATATGTGTGCATGTGTCTTTATAGCAGCATGATTTATACTCCTTTGGGTATATACCCAGTAATGGGATGGCTGGGTCAAATGGTATTTCTAGTTCTAGATCCTTGAGGAATCACCACACTGTCTTCCACAATGGTTGAACTAGTTTACAGTCCCACCACCAGTGTAAAAGTGTTCCTATTTCTCCACATCCTCTCCAGCACCTGTTGTTTCCTGACTTTTTAATGATCGCCATTCTAACTGGTGTGAGATGGTATCTCACTGTGGTTTTGATTTGCATTTCTCTGATCGTCAGTGATGATGAATATTTTTTCATGTGTCTGTTGGCTGCATAAATGTCTTCTTTTGAGAAATGTCTGTTCATATCCTTCGCCCACTTTTTGATGGGGCTGTTTGATTTTTTCTTGTAAATTTGTTTAAGTTCTTTGTAGATTCTGGATATTAGACCTTTGTCAGATGGGTAGATTGCAAAAATTTTCTCCCATTCTGTAGGTTGCCTGCTCACTCTGATGGTAGTTTCTTTTGCTGTGCAGAAGCTCTTTAGTTTAATTAGATCCCATTCATCTATTTTGGCTTTTGTTGCCACTGCTTTTGTTGTTTTAGTCATGAAGTCCTTGCCCGTGCCTATGTCCTGAATGGTATTGCCTAGGTTTTCTTCTAGAGTTTTTACGGTTTTAGGTCTAACATTTAAGTCTTTAATCCATCTTGACTTAATTTTTGTATAAGGTGTAAGGAAGGGATCCAGTTTCAGCTTTCTACATATAACTAGCCAGTTTTCCCAGCACCATTTATTAAATAGGGAATCATTTCCCCATTTCTTGTTTTTGTCAGAATTGTCAAAGATCAGATGGTTGTAGATGTGTGGTAGTATTTCTGAGGGCTCTGTTCTGTTCCATTGGTCTATATCTCTGTTTTGGTACCAGTACCATGCTGTTTGGTTACTGTAGCCTTGTAGCATAGTTTGAAGTCAGGTAGCATGATGCCTCCAGCTTTGTTCTTTTGGCTTAGGATTTTCATGGCAATGTGGGCTCTTTTTTGATTCCATATGAGCTTTAAAGTATTTTTTTTCCAATTCTGTGAAGGAAGTCATTGGTATCTTGATGCAGATGGCATTGAATCTATAAATTATCTTGGGCAGTATGACCATTTTCACAATATTGATTCTTCCTATCCATGAGCATGGAATGTTCTTCCATTTGTTTGTGTCCTCTTTTATTTCATTGAGCAGTGGTTTGTAGATCTCCTTGAAGAGGTCCTTCACATCCCTTGTAAGTTGGACTTCTAGGTATTTTATTCTCTTTGAAGCAATTGTGAATGGGAGTTCACTCATGATTTGGCTCTCTGTTTGTCTGTTATTGGCGTATAGGAATGCTTGTGATTTTTGCACATTGAATTTGTATCCTGAGACATTGCTGAAGTTGCCTATCAGCTTAAGGAGATTTTGGGTTGAGACGATGGGGTTTTCTAACTATACAATCATGTCATCTGCAAACAGGGACAATTTGACTTCCTCTTTTCCTAATTGAATACCCTTTATTTTCTTCTCCTGCCTGATTGCCCTGGCCAGAACTTCCAACACTATGTTGAATAGGAGTGGTGAGAGAAGGCATCCCTGTCTTGCGCCAGTTTTCAAAGGGAATGCTTCCAGTTGTTGCCCATTCAGTATGATATTGGCTGAGGGTTTGTCATAAATAGCTCTTATTATTTTGAGATATGGCCCATCAATACCTAGTTTATTGAGAGTTTTTAGCATGAAGTGCTGTTGAATTTTGTCAAAGGCCTTTTCTGCATCTATTGAGACAATCATGTAGTTTTTGCCATTGGTTCTGTTTGTGTGATGGATTACGTTTATTGATTTGCATATGTTGAACCAGCGTTTCATCCCAGGGATGAAGCCTACTTGATCATGGTGGATAAGCTTTTTGATGTGCCGCTGGATTCAGTTTGCCAGTATTTTACTGAGGATTTTGGCATCAATGTTCATCAGGGATATTGGTCTAAAATTCTCTTTTTTTGTTGTGTCTCTGCCAGGCTTTGGTATCAGGATGATGCTGGCCTCATAAAATGAGTTAGGGAGGATTTCGTCTTTTTCCATTGATTGGAATAGTTTCAGAAGGAATGGAACTGGCTCCTCTTTGTGCCTCTGGGAGAATTTGGCTGTGAATCCTTCTGGTCCTGGACTTTTTTTGGTTGGTATGCTATTAATTATTGCCTCAATTTCAGAGACTGTTATTGGTCTATTCAGGGATTCAACTTCTTCCTGGTTTAGTCTTGGGAGGGTGTATGTGTCCAGCAATTTATTCATTTCTTCTAGATTGTCTAGTTTATTTGTGTAGAGGTGTTTATAGTATTCTCTGATGGTAGTTTGTACTTCTGTGGGATAAGTGGTGAGATCCCCTTTATCATTTTTTATTGCATCTATTTGATTATTCTCTCTTTTCTTCTTTATTAGTCTTTCTAGCGGTCTATCAATTTTGTTGATCTTTTCAAAAAACCAGCTCCTGGATTCATTGAATTTTTGAAGGGTTTTTTGTGTCTCTGTTTCCTTCAGTTCTGCTCTGATCTTAGTTATTCTTGCCTTCTGCTAGATTTTGAATGTGTTTGCTCTTGCTTCTCTAGTTCTTTTAATTGTGATGTTAGGGTGTCAATTTTAGATCTTTCCTGCTTTCTCTTGTGGGCATTTAGTGCTATAAATTTCCCTCTACACACTGCTTTAAATGTGTCCCAGAGATTCTGGTATGTTGTGTCTTTGTTCTCATTGGTTTCAAAGAACATCTTTATTTCTGCCTTCATTTTGTTATATACCCAGTAGTCATCCAGGAGCAGGTTGCTCAGTATCCATGTGGTTGAGTGGTTTTGAGTGAGTTTCTTAATCCTGAGTCCTAGTTTGATTGCACTGTGGTCTGAGAGACAGTTTGCTATAATTTCTGTTCTTTTACATTTGCTGAGGAGTGCTTTACTTCCAACTATGTTGTCAATTTTGGAATAAGTGCGACGTTGTGCTGAGAAGAATGTATATTCTATTGATTTGGGGTGGAGAGTTCTGTAGATGTCTATTAGGTCTGCTTGGTGCAGAGCTGAGTTCAAGTCCTGGATATCCTTGTTAACTTTCTGTCCCGTTGATGTGTCTAATGTTGACAGTGGGGTGTTAAAATCTCCCATTATTATTGTGTGGGAGTCTAAGTCTCTTTGTAGGTCTCTAAGGACTTGCTTTATGAGTCTGGGTGCTTCTGTATTGGGTGCATATATATTTAGGACAGTTATCTCTTCTTGTTGAATTGATCCCTTTACCATTATGTAATGGCCTTCTTTGTGTCTTTTTATCTTTGTTTGGTTTCAAGTCTGTTTTATCAGAGACTAGGATTGCAACCCCTGCCTTTTTTTGTTTTCCATTTGCTTGGCAGATCTTCCTCCATCCCTTTATTTTGAGCCTATGTGTGTCTCTGCACGTGAGATGGGTCTCCTGAATACAGCATGCTGATGAGTCTTGACTCTTTATCCAATTTGCCAGTCTGTGTCTTTTAATTGGAGCATTTAGCCCATTTGCATTTAAGGTTAATATTGTTATGTGTGAATTTGATCCTGTCATTATGATGTTAGCTGGTTATTTTGCTTGTTAGTTGATGCAGTTTCTTTCTAGCCTCGATGGTCTTTACAATTTAGCATGTTTTTGCAGTGGCTGGTACCGGTTGTTCCTTTCCATGTTTAGTGCTTCCTTCAGGAGCTCTTGTAAGGCAGGCCTGGTGGTGACAAAATATCTCAGCATTTGCTTGTCTGTAAAGGATTTTATACCTCCTTCACTTATGAAGCTTAGTTTGGCTGGATATCAAATTCTGGGTTGAATATTCTTTTCTTTAAGAATGTTGAATATTGGCCCTCTCTTCTGGCTTGTAGAGTTTCTGCCGAGAGATCTGCTGTTAGTCTGATGGGCTTCCCTCTGTGGGTAACCCGACCTTTCTCTCTGGTTGCCCTTAATTTTTTCCTTCATTTCAACTTTGGTGAATCTGACAATTATGTGTCTTGGAACTGTTCTTCTTGAGGAGTATCTTTGTGGTGTTCTCTGTATTTCCTGAATTTGAATGTTGGCCTGCCTTGCTAGGTTGGGGAAGTTCACCTGGATAATACCCTGAAGAGTGTTTTCCAGCTTGGTTCTATTCTCCCCGTCACTTTCAGGTACACCAATCAGATGTAGATTTGGTCTTTTCACATAGTCCCATATTTCTTGGAGGCTTTATTTGTTTCTTTTTACTCTTTTTTCTCTAAACTTCTCTTCTCACTTCATTTCATTCATTTGATCTTCAATCACTGATACCCTTTCTTCCACTTGATTGAACCAGCTGCTGAAGCTTGTGCATGTGCCATGTAGTTCTCGTGCCATGGTTTTCAGCTCCATCAGGTCATTTAAGGTCTTCTCTATGCTGTTTATTCTAGTTAGCCATTCGTCAAATTTTTTTTCAAGGTTTTTAGCTTCTTTGCAATGGGTTCAAACATCCTCCTTTAGCTTGGAGAAGTTTGTTATTACCGATCATCTGAAGCCTTCTTCTCTCAACTCGTCAAAGTCATTCCCCGTCCAGCTTTGTTCCATTGCTGGTGAGGCGCTGCGTTCCTTTGTAGGAGAAGAGATGCTCTGATTTTTAGAATTTTCAGCTTTTCTGCTGTGGTTTCTCCCCATCTTTGTGGTTTTATCTACCTTTGGTCTTTGATGATGGTGACGTACAGATGGGGTTTTGGTGTGGATGTCCTTTCTGTTTGTTAGTTTTCCTTCTACCAGTCAGGATGCTAAGCTGCAGGTGTGTTGGAGTTTGCTGGAGGTCCACTCCAGACCCAGTTTGCCTGGATATCACCAGAGGAGGCTGCAGAACAGCAAATATTGCAGAACGGCAAGTGCTGCTGCCTGATCCCTCCTCTGGAAGCTTTGTCTCAGAGGGGCAACCAGGCGTATGAGGTGTCAGTCAGCCCCTACTGGGAGGTGTCTCCCAGTTAGGCTACTCAGGGTTCAGAGACCCACTTGAGGAGGCAGTCTGTCCGTTCTCAGATCTCAAACTCCATGCTGGGAAAACCATTGCTCTCTTGAAAGCTATCAGACAGGGACGTTTAAGTCTGCAGAAGTTTCTGCTGCCTTTTGTTCAGCTATGCCCTGCCCCCAGAGGTGAAGTCTACAGAGGCAGGCAGGCTTCCTTGAGCTGCGGTGGGCTCCACCCAGTTTGAGCTTCCTGGCTGCTTTGTTTACCTACTCAAGCCTCAGCAATGGCAGACGCCCCTCCCACAGCCTTGCTGCCACCTTGCAGTTCAATCTCAGACTGCTGTGCCAGCAGTGAGTGAGGCTCTGTGGGAGTGGGACCCTCCGAGCCAGGTGTGGGATATAATCTCCTGGTGCGCCATTTGCTAAGACCATTGGAAAAGCACAGTATTAGGGTGGGAGTGTCCCAATTTTCCAGTTACCATCTGTCACATCTTCCCTTGGCTAGGAAAGGGAATTCCCCGACCCCTTGTGCTTCCTGGGTGAGGCAATGCCCCTCCCTGCTTCAGCTAACACTCCATGGGCTGTACCCACTGTCCAACAAGCCCCAGTGAGATGAACCCAGTACCTCAGTTGGAAATGCAGAAATCACCCATCTTCTGTATCGCTCATGCTGGGAGCTGTGGACTGGAGCTGTTTCTATTTGGCCATCTTGGAACCTCCTCCCTTTTTTAGTGTTTTGAGACAAGGTCTGGCTCTATCACCCAGGGTGGAATGCAGTGGCATGATCTCAGCTCACTGCAACCTCCACCTCCTGGGTTCAGGTCATCCTCTCACCTCAGCTTCCCGAGTAGCTGGGACTACAGGCATACACCACCACACCTGGCTAATATTTGTAGAAATGGGATTTGCCATGTTGCCCATGGTTGGTCTTGAACTCATAAGCTCAAGCAATCCACCTGCCTCAGCCTCCCCAAGTGCTGGGATTACAGCCCTGAGCCACCGTACCTGGCAACTCCCCTCTTTATTTGATAAAGGATAGCAGGTGGAAGGCCAAACTGGCTTCATTTCCATGTGAACTGAAGCTGCATCAGGTTCCAAGATCCAGACAATGTCCTGGAGCTTGGCTCTGGTAAAAAATGTCTATCATATGCTATCTCTGTTCATGATCTCAAAAACTTGCTGTGAACTTAGCTTATTTTCTCTTCTAAGCAGTGTTGAGAAAAGTGATTGAGATGTGGACATCCTTATTTTGTTCTATTGCTAAAATGAAACTTGAATAGAGTGCTCATATCTTAATTTTAACAGAAAACTACTCTTTCCATTTTACCAAACATGGGATTTATCAGCAAGAAATTCTTCAACCTTTCATTCATTTCTATAAATGTGATTCTATCTTTTTTTAAGTTAGACTAAATCAATTTTTTATTTATTTTTAAGATTCAGGGGGTACGGCTGGGTGCAGCGGCTCACACCTGTAATCCCAGCACTTTGGGAGGCCGAGGTGGGTGGATCACAAGGTCAGGAGGTCGAGACCACGGTGAAACCCCGTCTCTACTAAAAAATACAAAAAATTAGCCAGGCGCCGTGGGGGGCACCTGTAGTCCCACCTACTCGGTAGGCTGAGGCAGGAGAATGGCATGAACCCAGGAGGCGGAGCTTGCAGTGAGCCGAGATCACGCCACTGCACTCCAGCCTGGGTGACAGAGCGAGACTCCGTCTCAACAACAAAAAAAAAGATTCAGGGGGTACATGTGCAGTTTTGTTACAAGGGTATATAGCATGATGCTGAGGTCTGGGCTTCTATTAATTTCATCTCTCAAATAGTGAACATAGTACCCAACAGGAATTTTTTCAGCTCTTACCCCTCTCCCTCTTACCTTTTAGAGACTCCAGTATCTACTGTTCCCATCTTTATGTCCCTGTGTAATTAATGTTCACCTCCCACTTGTAAGTGAGGACATGTGGTATTTGATTTTCTGTTTTAGCATTAATTTGCTTAGGATAATGGTCTCCAGCTGCATTCATGTGGATGTGAAGGACATAATTAAATTCTTTTATATGACTGCATAGTATGCCATGGTGTATATGTACCACATTTTCTTTATTTAATAAATGTGATTATATCTTAATTCAACTTCATCCTGGCTGAGAAGAAGAGCTCTTTTTTCTTTTTTTCCAAACCTAATCTTTCTACCCGTTCTAACATCACATTCTCTCATTTGCTTGACTTTATTCCATCAGTTGTAGTCTTAATTTTTCACAGGTTCATTCTCTTCTGGTCGCTTTTTTTTCTTTACCTAAACATTTCTCAATTACTGCCACTTTAGGCAGTATATAAATAAAAATGTTAACAAACAAAAATGCTTTTGGTGACTCTGTCTGCTCTGACCCTCAAGTATCTCTTTCTTTCTTTCTCTCTCTTTTATTCCTTTCAACTTCAAACTTTTGGAAAATTGAGTCTGTGCCACCATATTTTATCTGTCATTGCATACTCAGTACTCAACTGATCATGATACAATTTTTGCCTTCACCATAATACTGATACTGCTTTTAAAAAGATATAAAAACACCTTCTAAATGCAAAACCCAATGTGTACTTTTAAGGCTAAGCCAACCTGCATAATTTTGCCGGTTGCATCCTTTATAGTCGTTGGCCACTGCACCATAAATCATGTAAAAATATTCAAGGACTTTATAGTCTAGAGGGGAATATGTGCAAAAATATGACTATGATATGTGTACTGCTGTGATTTTGGTAATCATAGAGGGAATATGATAGAAACTGTTAGCTGCCACCCAATATCCATTCTCTTTTTCATAGAAACAGAACTCTGATTACACTGGGGAAAGCAATGTGCAGGATTAACACACAAACAAACATACAAAATTTATATTTTGTAGCATACCTTGCAGTGAAATATAACAGTATGACTAAGCTCTAGCGAATAGTTTGTAAAAAAAAAAAATTAGTATTTGAAAGGGACCTTCTGGAAGGTCCCTTTCAAAGTGTAAGGAATGTTTGCTTCAGTTTCTCTTTATTCTTACTGCCTGGAATATACAAGTCATTGTTAGAGCCGTATAAGCCATATTTTTGACCTTGATAATAACGAGAGCCGGAAGCCAAGAAAAGTGAAGCTGAAAGACAAAAGTGCCTGATTCCCTGGTGACTTTGTGAAGCTGTCGTAACAGTTCTAGACCGCCCATTCGCAGACTCACTTTATGGAGATGGTAAACTCCCAGTTTGTTTTAACTGCCACAGTCAAGTCTCAGAATCTATAAAGGTACATTGGAATCACTTTGTGAAAAAAGTTGTTTCTGGATCACTGTCTCAGCTATTTTTAAAAAAATGGCATCCAACATATTTTCACTGGATGGTCCCATATACTTCTCTTTCATACCTCTTTCCTAAGTTCCAGAACCAAAGACCCAACTTCTCCTAAACCTTTCTCCTTGGATGCCCCTTGGTCACTTAAATTCAACAAGCAAAACCTGAATGAGTTTCCATACTCACCGTAACATGGTCTTCCTTCTATATACACTGTTTAGTTAACGATGCCATTGTTGACTAAGTAAACTATTTAACCTCAAAACCTTTAGGAAATTCTTAATTCTTTCTTCTTTTTCACCCTTAACACCCAATGGATAATTGCTTCTAAACATATTTTCCTCAGAATTGTTCCTTGTATAGATACACTCCTTTCCATTCTCATCAATATTGCCCTAAGTAAGTTCTCACTGTTTCTCTCTTAGACTAATTTTTTTTTTATTATACTTTAAGTTCTGGGTTACATGTGCAGAACATGCAGTTTTGTTACATAGATATACACGTGCCCTGGTGGTTTGCTGCACCCATCAACCCATCACCTACATTAGGTATTCCTCCTAATGTGATCCCTCCCCTAGCCCCCCACCCCCCGACAGGCCCCAGTGAGTGATGTTCCCCTCCCTGTGTCCATGTGTTCTCATTGTTCAACTCCCACTTACGAGTGAGAACATGTGGTGTTCGGTTTTCTGTTCTTGTGTTAGTTTGCTGAGAATGATGGTTTCCAGCTTCATCCATGTCCCAGCAAAGGACATTAACTCATCCTTTTATGTGGCTGCATAGTATTCCATGGTGTATATGTGCCACATTTTCTTAATCCAGTCTATCATTGATGGACATTTGGGTTGGTTCCAAGTCTTTGCTATTGTGACTAGTGCTGCAATAAACATCTTAGACTAATTTTTAAAAGTCATTCCTAAATAGGTCTCAATCCTTTAGTCCCTTATCTTTCTAATCTATCACTGCTGTGTCTAAAAAATGTTAACTTTGAAATACATAGATTTACTATTGCCATCTCAAACTAAGAAATTGTTCATTACTCTCAATTGCCTACAGGGTAAAATTAAATTATAAATGATCCTTTCAAAACATTCCCAGTTTCCTTTACAAGCTTTTGCTCTACTTGCCCACCCACCCTTATTCCACAAAACACACACCAAAAGTACCAAGGAAAGTTGATTTCAGTCAAATCAGACTGCCCACCATGTCCATAACATTCCATGTCTTCCCTATCTCTGTTTTATTTCAGTTGTCCCCTCTATCTCAAATCCTTTCCCTCTCCTCCTCCTACAAGTACACATTTGTTTTCTACTTATTAACCAAGGCCCAAAACAGGTTTGCGCCACTTATGAAGCTTTCTCTTGCCTGCTCTGCACATCAAATAAATTATTTCCTCACTTGCTATACATGTACATTTTTACATGCCAATGTTGTATGGTTTATTACAGTGTTCTGGAATCTTTTTTGTATATTCAGGTACATTTTATGTTTCTTAATTTTTTATGCATTTCAATATCTTAAGGAAATTATCATATAATCATCTTTACATCCCTCAGATGTACTACTATGCCTTGCACAGTGAGGGGCTCAATTCATAGTAATGGATTTGAATGAACTACATATATTTTGTCTCTATACAGGTAAAACATGCAACTTCAAGATGAGTGCTTGCAATATAGATGTAAGAATGATTGTGGAATAATTTTAATTAAATGGTGTATTATAAGAATATCTCTCAGGTTATTTTATTTTATTAATTCATCTTCTTTATCCTAAACCTTCACACCTCAGACCCAGAACAGAACATACTGCCCATTCACTTTAGAAATGCATTCCGTTCACACCTACTTATTTTTAACCCACTATATTTGGTAAGGCAATGTTTCATGAACCTAATCTTGGGATGCCAGCTTTATTTAGTAAACTTTGAATAGTCTGTAGTTTTGAATACCAAATTTCTGTAATTTTTAGTGTCTCTCTGCTTTGGAATCATGCTTGCCATTTTTCAAGAGATCTTATAGAAAAATGATAGATTAGATCTTCTGAATTTAAAGAATAGGAACAAGACAAGAACTCAGGGTCACTGAGAGATTAAAGTAAGTGTGCTTTGGCACACGTAAATGTAATGTATTTAGAAAGCTTTCTAGGATCTACCTGCAAACAGATGGCAGTAAGATATGCAAAAGGGGGCATGCTCTCCTTTTTCAGATTTATTTTTTTTCTAATGGGGAATAGTGAGTGAGATGATGACAGATAGTTTTGGATTTGCAATGCTCTTCCTCATTTTATATAATGACTCAGCTTTTAAATTGTAAATCATGGATTCTAAATAGCTCCTGCCTAATTTATCTGTAATATATGTAAAGTTCATGAATTTGAATCATTATACCAAACAGGAATGAATTTCTATATATAGAAAGGAAATTGTATTTTGGAAGGATAATTAACACCAATATATTTTAACAGCTATGCAGAGGCTGAACTTCTACCACAGATTTTTTGAAAGCTTAGCGTCATACAACATGAAACTGTATATTTGAAAAATAAAATTTATATGAAATTTAGACCTTACAAAGCACGATTAGTGTGTGAAAATGACAAAAGTAAATGGAAGAGTTTATCCTCCAAATAAACATACTTTTTTACATATTTAAGGCAGTATAATGTTAAATGAGAAAATGAAGACTGGATGTTTAATAAGCCAAAAGGAATATACAGTAGTTAAAAATATGTATACATATTAATACATATGCATCTATACACACATACATGCTGTGTGTATCTATATAAATGTATATATACATACATGTATGCATATGTGTCTATACACACGCATGTTCCTATTTGCATGGCTTGTGACTAAACAAAATGCATTTTTCTCTGAAAAGTGACAGGGCACTAGTAATGCACTCACTGTGTTTATGTGGGATTTTTGATAAAATTTGAATATCAAAGACACTATTTTTCCCCCTCTAACAACCACTGGAATAAAAAGCTAGAATGCAATACCATCTTATAATTTCCAAATTATTCACTTTCGACTTGTGTTTTTCACTTTCATCACAAATTCAGTGTTGTCTCTCTGAACAGAGGAATCATAGACCTTTGAAGGTAAACTCAACTCTGACATTTACTAGTATGACATTGGGAAAGCTATATAAGAAAACAGAACAAATAAATAAGTGATCCATCTGGCATGTTATTGTGAAGATTAACATAAAATATAGGCAAGACATAGACAGTCACTATTTGTTTCCTCCCCTCTACTTTTTTTTTTTTTTTTTTTTTTTTTTTTTGAGATGGAGTCTTGCATTGTCGCCCAGGCTGGAGTGCAGTGGCACGATCTCGGCTAACTGAAACTTCCACCTCCTGGGTTCAAGTAATTCTTGTGCCTCAGACTACTGAGTAGCTGAGATTACAGGCATGCGCCACCACACCCAGCTAATTTTTGTATTTTTAGTAGAGACAGGGTTTCACCATGTTGGCCAGGTTGGTCTTGAACTCCTGACCTCAAGTGATCTGGACACCAAAGCGCTGGGATTATAGGTCTGAAACACCGCAACTGGCTCCTGCCCACTACTTTTGATGGTGATCCTTTGTTTGTGTTTTTGTAATTACATCCTCTTTCAGAACATTAACTCATTGAGGGACTGTCGAATGCCAGGATAGAGAGGCCCTATATGTTACAGACATATAAATATACTAGTGTAATTAAAAAAAATTTTCTCAGAAATATAAATTCCCAGAATATTTATATTGTTTCATTTAAACTTAAATTTATAATCTTAGTCCATGTCCTTCTCAAAGTCACTGATAACTGAATCCAATATAGATATCAAATATTATTTTATTACCATTTCTTCTCCAGAGAAATGATCTACTGCTATTAAAAGATGAGTAGAAAAGGTATACATTAGTTCTACCATGGTAATTTATAGCAGCTTAAAACTCAGGGCCACCAAAGAATTTATGAAAATTCCTCTAAATCTATTAAGTTTTATCATACTCCATTTCTGAAAATATATATGGAAATGAAAAATCTCAAGACATGAACATCTATGTTATAAAAAGAAATAGGGGGAAAATGAATATCAATTAATAGCAGCGAAGCAATCATTTTATTAATTTGCAATTCCACATGCATTTATTTTAGAAAAATTATAGGATTCATTCCGGAGTTCCATCTGTACACATTCTGAAGTCATGCTCTAAATTAACATGCATTTCTTATCCAATTGGCTTATAAAACTTGATTTACTCTTTAATCTCTGAAGTAAATAAAAACAACATTTTTAACCTTTCTTTAAGAAATCTGCTAGTTTAAGATTTCTTGCTAGTTTAAATACATGTACTTTTAATAAAAACTCCAATTTAGTTTTTCTAAACTAATTTTACCTAAAAGATTTGGTCATGTAAACAAGGGTGTAGTTACTCTGTTTCAAGCATCTTCCACCTGTGATCATGTAAGTGCTAGGCAGTACTCACAGCTGACATGATGAGCTCTCCTCCCAGGTTCTGGATCTCAGCTTTAACTTGACTGCAGATTTTCAGTTGGTGGGAGTAGAACTTAATCTGTTCCAGGTAGGCCAACAAGTCCTGTTTACAAGATGGATCTGGGCACTAAATATGAATCAAAGATAAAAATAGATACAGCAGAATAAATAATAGTTAGATCAAGGTGAGTAAATACAGTATTCACATGGCAGGTACCTTATAAAGCAGCAATTTTATTTTCATACAGGACCAAGTAGCTTCTGATATGCTTCTACCATTTACAATAGTTCATTCATTTTGCAACCTTAGTTACTTCAGCTTAGCCAAAAGGAACGTTAAAATAATTATTTTTTTGAGATGGAGTCTCGCTCTGTTGCCCAGGCTGGAGTGCAGTGGCAAGATCTTGGCTCACTGCAACCTCTGCCTCCCGGGTTCAAGTGATTCTCCTGTCTCAGCCTCCCGGGTAGCTGTGACTACAGGCATGCGCCACCACACCTGGCTAATTTTTTGTATTTTTAGTAGAGACAGGGTTTCACCGTGTTATCTAGGATGGTCTTGATCTCCTGACCTCATGATCTGCCTGCCTTGGCATCCCACAGTGCTGGGATTACAGGCGTGAGCCACCACACCTGGCCAAGAAACGTTAAAATAATTTTTAGACATAAAAAGGTATATAAAATAGCTGCCTTTAATTTATGACAAAGGTTAGAAGCCTTCAGATTATATTTTTGGTAAATCTATAGAAATATTTAAAATGTAATTATTTCTTTCACCTAGAATTACTATTAGAAGGCTCCTAGAATTACTATTAGAATGCTGCTTGAGACTCATGGTCTCTACACTGTCTGTCCTGTGCTACTCAAATGGGCATAAACAACATGGAGCAACATAATATGTTCTACTACTTTCAGCATTCAATGTACTTAGCTGTTACAGACAAAGGAAATTATTTCTACCTTAGATAACAGCTGTGAATACAACTGAAGCCAAGAAACAGACAGGACACATGTTTTAGAATATTAAATTTCCTTATGAAAACCAGCCTCCTACATCATTTTATCTTTTCGAAGGAACTTCCTGGAGGACAGCTTTGAGCTTTATCATACCATGGTAAATAGCTTTGGTTAAGATTTAATCTTTGTGTTCTTTCTCCTATGCAATTATAATAAATTTATAAAAATTCCTTCTAATTTAATTCCACTTTTAGTAAATTTTTATAAGAACAAGGAAATGTGGACAGTGATTTATATGCAAAGATCTTCATTGTAGCATTATGTATAATAACAAAATTTGGAAATAACCTAAATGTCCCAAAATAATGGAAAGACTAAATAAGAATGAATATCAATATAATGTAGCATTACTCAGTATCAAGAAAATAGAGTTTCAAAGGATGTGGAAAAATGTTTTTGGAAGTTAAAAAAATCAATATGTAAATATTGCAATCAAATTCTATTAAAAATTGTGTGTATTTAAAACATGCTGAATGCCAGACGCAGTGGCTCATGCCTATAATCCCAGCAATTTGGGAAGCTGAAACAGGAAAATCCTTTGAGCCTAGGAATTTGAGACCAGCCTGGGGAACATAGGGAGACACTATCTCTACAAAAAATAAAAATAAATTAGCCAGGTGTGGTCCCAGCTATTCAGGAGGCTGAGGTGGGAGGATTGCCTGAGCCCGAGAAGTTAATGCTGCAGTGAGCCATGATTGCAACACTGCACTCCAGCCTGGTCAACAGAGTGGGACCTTGTGTCAAAAAATAAATAAATAAAAATAAAAAATAAAATAATAAAACCTGCTGAGACAGCCTGAGCTGTCCATCCTTCCTAGGCATAGATCATGGTGCATCAGGACTCTCTTTGCTCCATACCCAGGCAGATCTCCAGGCACTCAGAGTACCAGCTTGCCTAAATCATCAGGCTGAGCTTCCCTACCCTTTCTGTGCATAGATTGTGGTGTAGCAGGCCCTCTCCACTCCACGCTTGGGCAGATTTCCAGGTATTCAAAGTACATGTTTGCTCAGATTGACAGCCTGAGCCACCCCACACTTTCTCTGCAGGGATCCAGGTATGTAGAGGAGCCTCTCTGCTTCATGCCTAGGCAGATCACCCAGCATCTGGAGTACCCAGTCCCCTGGATTAGGAGTTTAGGCCACCCCAAATCTGTGTGTAGAGAATTTGAGGACAAGAAAGCTTCCCAGCTCCATATCTAGGCACACCTCTTGGTGTTTGGTACCCACTCACTGGATTATGCTTCAGCACCGGTGCTCATGCCTGCCCTTAGGGAATTATAGGCAAACCTGCCAGTCTGGACCTGCCCATCTTGCTCCCAACACCTCTAGGGCTGAGGAGGGAGCTCAGAGCATTTTGCACTACAAGAATAAGCCCATTGCCTGAGGCAAGAAAGAGCTTCTGCTAGTAAACAAGGATGAAGTATACACCCATCGGTATTGGTCATACACACCATCTACAGGCTTGTAGGTGGAACTGAACCGCCCAATATGAAACCTGCTGACAGAAAGGTGTAGGAGTACACAAGTTAAGCCAAAAGACCTTACCCAGCATTCTCTAAAGTCACACTCCCTAGGGAAAAATAGATGGGAAAGGGAAAGGGAAAGAAAAAAAAATCAATAGTATTATAGGGAAAGAAAAGAAAAATTATATCTGCACAAATATAATTACAAAAATTTGAAGTATCAATGCTTCAAGATGAGAAAGAACCAGTGTAAGAATTCTAGCACCATGAAAATTCAAAATGTAGTGATACCATCAACATACCATACTAGTTCTCCAGCTATGGTCCCCAGCAAAGTGGAAACTTGGAAATGACAGATAAAGAATTTGAAGTGTGGATTGCAAGGAAGCTCAATAAGATCCAAGATGAGGTTGAAAATTAACACAAAGAAACTTTTTAAAGCAATCCAGAGAATGAAGGAAGAGATAAACATCTTTAAAATATCAATCAGAGATTCTGGAATTAAAAAACTAATTTAATTTCAAAACACAACTGGAAGCTTCACCAATAAACTGGACTAAGTAGAGGAAAGAATTTCAGATCTTGAAGACCAGTCTTTTGAATTGACCCAGTCGGAAAAAAATAAAGAAAAAGTAATTTTTATAAAATAAACAAAGTCTTTGAGAGATATGGGATTATGTAAAGTGGCCAAACCTAAAAATTAGTGACATTCCTGAGACTGAGAAAAAGATAACAACCTAGAAAAAATACTTGAAGTGATAAATCAAGAAAATGTTTCAAATTTTGCTAGAGAGGTAGACATCTAGATATAAGAAATCCAGAGAACACTTGAGAGATACTATACAAAAAGGAACGTCACCAAGGCATATAATCACCAGACTATCCAAGGTCAATACTAAAGAAAAAATCTCAAAGGCAGCTAGAGAAAAAGGTCAGAAGACACACAAAGGAAATCCCAAAAGGTTAAAAGCAGACTTCTCTACATAAACCTTATTTATAAGCCGAGACAGATTGGAGGCCTATTTTCAGAATTCTTGAAGCAAAGAAATTTCAACAAAAAGTTCATATCCCACCAGGCTAAGCTTTATCACTGAAAGAGAAATAAAAATATTTTCCAGACAAACAAGCACTAAAAAAATTAATTACCATTAGGCCAGTTGTGTCAGAGACCTTTAAGAGAATTCTAAACATGGGGAAAATATAGAGCTGATACCTGCTACCACAAAAACACAAGTACAGAGCCCACAGATCTATAGCGCAATCAAACCATAGAAAATATAAAGCAACCAGCTTACAACTTCATGATAGGATCAAAATCTTGCATATTAATATTATCCTTGAATGTGAATAGCCTAAACCCCCCACTTAAAAGGCACAGAGTGGCAAGTTGGATAGAATAACAACATCCATTCATCTGCTGTTTTCAAGATACCCATCTCACACATAATGGCATCAATAAGCTCAAAGTAAAGGGTTGAAGAAATATCTATCTTGCAGATTAAACTACAACAAAAAAGAGGAGCGGCTATTATATTAGATAAAATATATGTACTTTAAAATATATTTAAAATATAATATATATAACATATTAGGTAAAATATATGTATTTTAAAATATATTAAAATATAATATATAATAGATAAAAAAGACTTTAAACCAACAACAGTAATAAAGGACAAAGAAGGGTATTACATGATGATAAAGGGTTGAATTCAACAAAAAGTCTTAACTATCCTAAATATGTATGTACCCAACACTGAAGCATCTGAATTCATAAAACAAGTACTTCTAGATCTACAAAAAGGCTTAGATAGCCACACGATAATGTTGAGGAACTTCAACAACTCACTAAAAGTGTTAGACATGTGAAATGTTAGTCAATTAAACCTCTCTTTTTTTTTTTTTAATAAATTAGCTAGTCTCAGTATCTTCATAGCAATGTGAAAATGGACTAATAAATTTACTTTTGGGTAAACAATGAAATTAAGGCAGTAACCAAAAAATTCTTTGAAATAAATAAAAATAATAGACACAACATATAAAAATCTCTAGGATGTAGCAAAAGTGCTGTTAAGAGGAAAGTTTATAGCAGTAAACTCCTACCTCAAAAAGTTAGAAAGATCTCAAATTAATGATTTCACATCATGCCTAGAGGAGCAAGAAAAACAAGAATAAACCAACCCAAAAGTTAGCAGAGGAAAAGAAAAAATTAAAATTAGATGGAACTGAAAGAATTTGAGACCTAAAAATTCATAGGAAGAATCAATGAAGACCAAAGTTGTGTTTTTTTTTTTTTTGAAAAAATAAACAGGATCGGTAGACTGCTAGCTAGATTAACAAAGAAAAAAAGAGAGAGGATTCAAATAAGCACAGTCAGAAGTTATAAAAGTGACATTGCAACCAATATCATAGAAATACAAAAGAGCCTCAGAAACTATTGGGAACACATCTGTGCATACAAACTAGAAAATCTAGAGGAAAAGATAAATTTCTGAAACACACAATCCTCCAAGAATGAATTAGAAAGAAACTGAAACCCTGAACAGACCAAAATCGAGTTCCTAAATTGAATCAGTAATAAAACACCCACCACCAACAACAACAAAAAGAGCCCCAGCCAAATTCTACCAAACATACATAGAAGAGCTGATACCAATCCTACTGAAACTATTCCAAAAAATGGAGAAGGAGAGACTCCTCTTTAGCTCATTCAACAAAACCAGCATCATCCTGATAGGAAAACCTGGTAAAGATACAATGAAAAAAATCTCTGATACCAATATCTCTGATAAACATAGATGCAAAAATCCTCAACAAAATATTGGCAAACTGAATTTAGTGGCACATCAAAAAGTTAATTCACTATGATCAAGTAGACTTAATTCTTGGAATGTAAGGTTGGTTTAATATAGACAAATCAATAAATATGACTCACCATATAAACAGAATTAATAACAAAAATCATATGATTATTTCAACAGATGTGGGAAAAGCTTTTGATAAAATACAACATCCCTTCATGATAAAAACCTTCAAGAAACTATGCATCAAAGGAACATATCTGAAAATAATAAGAGCCATCTAAGAGAAACCACAGCCAACATTATACTTGAATGGACAAAAGCTGAAACCAATCTCTACTTGAATGGGCTAAAGCTGAAACCAATCTCCTTGAAAACTGTTACAAGGATGCCCACTCTCACCTCTCTTATTCAACATAGTACTGAAAGTCCCAGCCACAGCAATCAGGCAAAATAAATAAGTAAAAGGTATCCATCTAGACAAATAAAAAGTCAACCTATATTTCTTTGCTGTTGATATGATTTTATACCCAGAAAACATAAAATACTTTACTAAAAGGCTCCTGGAACTGAGACACGACTTCAGTAATTTTTTAGGATACAAAATCATTGTATAAAAATCAATAGCATTTCTATACACCAATAACATTCAAGTTGAGAACCAAATCAAGAACTCAACTCCATTTACAATAGCTGCAAATAAATAAATAAATAAAACACCTAGGCATGCATCTAACCAAGGAAGTGAAAGATCTCTACAAGGAGAACTATACAACACTGCTGAAAGAAATCATAGATGACACAAACAAATGGAAAAATCATTTCAATTTCATCAACTGGAAGAATGAATATCGTTAAAATGGCCATGCTGCTCAAAGCAATCTACAGATTCAATGCTATTCCTATCAAGCAACCAACGTCATTTTTCACAGAACTAGAAAAAGAACTATTCTAAAATTCATATGAAACCAAGAAATATCTTGAATAGACAAGCAATCCTAAGGGGGAAAAAAAAAAAAAAAAAAGAAGCCAGAGGCATCATATTACTTGACTTCAAACTACACTATAAGGCTACAGTAACACACACAGCATGATACTGGCACAAAAACAGATACACAGGCTGATGGGACAGAATAGAGAACACAGAAATAAAGCTGCACAACTAAAACCATCTGATCTTTGACAAAGTTGACAAAAATAAGCAGTGACTCCCTATTCAGTATCTGGTGCTGTGACAGCTGGCTAGCCAAAGGCAGAAGAATTAAACTGGACCCCTATTTTTCATCATCTAGAAAAATTAACTCAACATGAATTAAAGATTTAAATATAAGACCTCCACAATAAGAATCCTTGAAGAAAAACCTAGGCAACATCATTCTGGACATCAGTCTTGGGAAAGACATTATAACTAAATTCTCAAAAGCAATTGCAACAGAAACAAAAATTGACAAGTGGAATCTCTAATTAAAGAGCTTCTGCATAGCAACAAACTATCAACAGAGTACATAGACAACCCACACAATGGAAGAAAATATTTGCAAACTATGAATCTAACATAGTTTTACTATCCAGGATCTATAAGGAACTTAAACAACTGAGCAAGCAAAAAGCAATCCCATTAAAAATGGGTAAATGGTACGAGTTAGGTCATTCTTGAATTGCTACAAAAAAATACTTCAGACTGGGTAATTTATAAAGAAAAGAAGTTTAATTGGCTCGTGGTTCTGCAGGATATACAAGCATTGCGTTGGCATCCACTTGGCTTTGGGGTGGGGGCTCAGGGAATATTTACTCACAGTAGGAGATGAAGTGGGAACAGGTGCACGACGTGGGGAGAACAGGAGCAAGAGGGAAGTGGGAGGTGCCACACACTTTTAAATGACCAGATCTTCTGATAATGCACTATCCTGAGGACAGCTCATCATGAGGAATCTGCCCCTATTACCCAAACACCTCCCACCAGGCCCCACCTCCAACATTGGGGATTGCATTTCAACATGAGATTTGGGAAGGACAAATGCCAAAACCACATCAAAACATGAATGGACACTTCTCAAAAGAAGACATACAAGTGGCCAACCAATGTGAAAAAATGCTCAACATCATGAATAATCATAGAAATGCAAATCAAACCAAAATAAGATACTATCTCACACCAGTCAGAATGGCTATTATTAAAAAGTCAAATACAACAGATGCTGGTGAGGCTGTGGAGAAAAGGGAACACTTTATAAACTATTGGTGGGGATGTAAATTAGTTCAGCCACTGTAGAAGGCAGTTTGGAGATTTCTCAAAGAACTTAAAACATAACTAACATTTGACTCACTCATCCCGTTACTATGTACATATTCAAAAGAAAATAAATTGTTCTACCCAAAAAGACACTTGCATTCATATGTTCATTGCAGCACTATTCACAAAGCAAGGACACGGAATCAACCTAGGTATCCACCAATGGTGGATTGAATAAATAAAATGGGGTACATATACACCATGGAATAACAGCCATAAAAAGGAATGAATGAAATTATGTCTCTTGCAGCAATGTGGATGCAGCTGGAGGCCATTATCCCAAGTGAATTAATGCAGGAACAAAAACTCAAATACCATATGTTCTTACATACAAGTAGGAGGTAAAGAATGGGTAATGATGGACATAAAGATGGCCACAATAGAAACTGAGGATTACTAGACAGGGGAGGGAGGAAGGGAGTAAAGGCTTGAGAAACTAATTATTGGGTACTATGCTCACTACCTGGGTGATTGCATCAATTGTACTTCAAACCTCAGTATCATGCAATATACCCACTGAATCTAAATAAAAGTTGAAATTATTTTTTAGATGCATTAAAGATAAATACATTCTGGACTCTGGGTTAAAAAAAATTAAAAGATGCTGGGAAAGAAATATATGACAATCATCAATAAATGTGATATAATCAATACTTTTATTTTATTCAAATTTTGTATATCTTAAATATATATTTCTTCTATAACTATAAAATGTTATTTTTTAAAGCTTTTATTCTAATGACCTAAACTGCAAATTAAAAAGTAGGATGAACAACCAGAAAACCTTTCATGCATTTCTGCTTTTATTCAGTAATTAATAACTTAAGCTGGAGTGTTTTTGGAAAATTTGTGAGGTACTTATCGTCTTATATTTTTTAAATAGGCTGTGTAGCTCCAGAGTGTGTGCACAAGATGAGAACACATTACCCTGAGTCAAAGTCGATAATAATCAACAAAGGTAGCAAAGAATTCAACTCTTCTGCAGAAATACTATCAATCTGCAAGATAGGCATGGACATATGCATGAATAGATACAGGATAGCCAGACAGAGACACAATCAGACAAGAATATAGAAATTAAGGGTGTTTCTCAAGTTTTCAGTAAGCAAATGAGGGTTATCCCTCAAATCTCCTCAAAAGGATTATATTGTAGCTAATTAAGAAGAAGATTGGAAAGGAGAAAGATATGGAGAAAGAAAAGAAAAAGAAAGAGGGAAAGGAAGAAGAGGAGAAGGCAGAGACAGAGGAGGAAGAACAATAGTTAATTTTCATTTAGCTCTTACTATGTGCCACATGCTATGGAAACTAATTTAGGCATATCTTCTCACTCAATCATTAAAACTGTAAGACGCAAATATTTTCCCCAATTTACAGATGTGAAATTACCTAAAACGATGAAAAACAAGTCATCTCTTTGTTTTCTCTTGACAGGCAGCTGATCTTTATTAGGTACTTCGTCTGTGCCAGGTACTATGCCAAGGCCTTTACATGCATAACTTTAGTACTCAAAGCACCATTTTAATTAGATCTATTATTTTCATTTTGTAGATTTGCAAAGTAAGTTTCAGAGAGAGTAAATGATTTGAATTTAGTTTTCTCTGTTTCATTCACATGCATACACAATAATCTCTTCTATAGGGCATTCTTTCAAATCATTTTTTGTTATTATTGCTTTCACTGAGTAACTTTCTTATCTATTCTTCATTCTTAAGTATGGACACAATGATAATACCTGACATGTAAAGTGTTTTATCTGTCATCTATAATTCTAGATGTTTTGTCTCTACTAATTGTTTTAATAATCACACAACACCCACAGTTTCATGAGGTAAGTGGAATCATTATCCTCATTTAGTGAAGGAGAATATTGACAAACAGAGAGGTTAACTCACTTGCCAATAAATGGTATTAGTGGTAGAGCTCGTGTTCAAACATAATCTGGCTACACCTCCTTACCTCCATGTTCTAGGAACAGTATCAGTCTTCTTGCCAATTTTATCTTTTTTGTAAATATTAAATTGTCATTCTGATTTGTAAGTTGGTTTCTTATTGATAATCTTATTTGTCAATTATAAACTCGATTAATGTGGATTTGTTCCTTGAAGACCAGCACCACTATACAACTCTGATAAAATCAAACTGTCAAACTAGTAATCAGATTCTTGACCAATAACCAATTGCAATCACTCAAGTTTAAGCAAAACATGCTGTCTCTATCAAGAGACTCTTCCAAGGCCACAGTAGAAAAGCCTATAATTCCATTAAGGAAAGAATGAGTCAAATGAGTAGAAAGTGTGAAAATGATCTTTTGAAATTCAAAGTTGCTTGACCTAAATTTACCTTTCATTTTCAGAACTGATGGGAATATCTTGGTTATAACAGAAGCAGTCAGTTTTATAACCAAAGTAAAACAAAATACTATGTGGTAAATTCTTATACTTATAAAAGTTATTAAAGCCTTCTTTCCCATTGACATGCAGAAAGCCTTTCTGAGTCAGTTTTGCTCACTTAGAAGCAGAATCAGGAGAATGCCTCATTCCTACTTTAAGAATATTCTACTATTTTTCAAATCTCCTTTGGGCCACTTTTATGTATTCAGGTCTTTTCCCATTTTTTAATCAGGTTACTTGGATTTTTTTTCTATTGAGTTCTGCATGTTTCTTATACACTCTAGATATTAATTCCTTATCAGATCTATGGTTTGCAAATATTTTCTTTCAAACCATAGGTTGTCTTTTAATTTTGTTGATTATTACATTGTATATCTTAAGTCCTTAAATATGTACAATTTTTACAAAAAAAATTAAATTTAAAAACATCGAACAATGCTTTTCCCACCTTTTAAATTTTTACGTGAAAGTGACAGAAAAACTTCGGTCTCTAGGTTGGTAGAACATTCTTGCCCTTTACTGTTGTTTCTCAAGTAACATTTGCTTTAAAATAACTTTTAAAAGAATACTATTAGGGACTTTTCCAGAACATCTACTTAGTTCCTTAATGCATGATTTTTTTTTAAATCTAAGTTTTATAATCACAGGGACTCACAACATGTAAGCAGATGGCATTTCAGCCTATGTGGTTTTCTCACTTTAAGCCAGTTTTCACGTTTCTACCAAGACGCTTGGAGCCAATATGGAATACATCATTTAGTAATGAGGAAAAATGTAAAAAAAATTCATTACGTTTTAGTTTAAATTTCAGGGGTGAATTAGCAAAACGAACACTTTTCAAGACTTTTATTCCATAATCTTAGTATTTTTTTGCTCATATTGGAGCCTAAACTTTAAGAAATTTAAAATGACTTTTGCAGCCAGGTGCGGTGGCTCACGCCTATAATCCCAGCATTTTGGGAGGCTGAGGCAGGCAGATGACCTGAGGTCAGGAGTTCGAGACCAGCCTGGTCAACATGGTGAAACCTCATCTCTACTCAAAATATGAAATATTAGCCGGGCATGGTGACTCGTACCTATAGTCCCAGCTACTTGGGTGGCTGAGACACGAGAATCGCTTGAACCTGGGAGGCGGAGGTGCAGTGAGCTGACATCGTGCCACTACACTCCAGCCTGGGTGACAGAGAGACTCCGTCTCAAAAATTAAAAAAATAATAAATAAATAAATAAATAAATAAAACGAATTTTGCAATTACAGACAATAGCCTACATTTTGCTAAGCTGGAAAAGTTTGTTAATGAAAAGTACTAGGTGTCACTGTGAATTTCAAAAATAGGAATTTAAAGCGATCAGTGGTAGCAAAAGCACTTGGTGTTCATGACTTTTCCCATCCCACAGGGCTCATTTCTTCACCTGTAATGCCTTGTTTCATCTTGCTCAGGATCACAGATCATCAATGATCTCATCTTTTCCTCTACTTTTAATGCCTTTTTTTTTCTGATTCCTGACTCTATCAAGTCCCTCAAAGCAAAACCCTGACTTCTATAATCCCATGTCTCCTTTTTTGTTTATGAATATGCCTACTAAAATGTTTCAATGCAGATTCCTCCTTTCCTTATCATTCTAAGAACTGTTTTCAACTCCTCCAGTCCGCAGAATTTTATCTTACTGAGATCACTAATGGACTTATAATTGCCGCATTCATTATATATGTTGCAGTTCCTCCCTTATATCACCTCTCTGGAGCTTTTAGATCTTTATTGATTTTCATAAATATTAATTCTCATGAATGTTTCCTCTTAGATTTTCTCCTAGTTTTACACCAGCCTTCCCAGACTGTATTGTAAGCATTTTTTTTTTTCCTTGCACGTGTTGTTGTTCTCAGCTTTTGTTCCTGAGCAATTTTTTTTTTTTTAACTTTCATTCTCTTCTTGGACAACAGTAGACAGTGCTCTGGCTTCATCTGTCACTTACACAACACAAACTACAAAATTCTAACATCCAGCTCTGTCATCAGGCGATCCATGTAACTACTGTGTTAGTCCATGCCATTTCAGCATCTCATCAACATTTCACACTTAACACATTTATCTCTCAGCTATTTCACTATCTTGCCTACTCACCTATTCAACTATTTTTTCTCTTTGTATTAACTATCTCAATGAAGAATGCCTTGTTCCTCTTTTCCATCTCTTAAATCTGGTCAGCCATTAGTTTGTGCTTATTCTACACCTAGAAACCTCAATATATTTTAAGTATTTTTTTCTTTGCTATGCCTATGACAGCTGCTGTTTAGCAAATTCAGGTTTCTGAAACACAGAACAGAGAAGGTACCTATAGAAGTATGATTAAAAATACACTGGAACTCTGTTATAATGTCAGTGGTAGAGGATAACATTGTCTCATATGGTATGTTCAAGACTGGACATGTTGATTTATGAGAGTTATAATTGGGAAAGTATGGTGCATGGCATATCTCAATGAATAAAGGTTGTTTTTACCAGAAGTTATATATGCTGTTAAAATCCTGTCATATTTTGTCCATATTTAGGCTGAAATTGTCTTGAGTTTAAGAATTGTTTCAAATTCCTTTTTATTTTCAACTTGGTTTGCACATACAGCTATTGAGAAAGTGACATGTACTTTGAACACAATACAAATTAAAGACAAGATGTTTTCCTTATTCAACAAAGCTCCTTTACTTTAGTAGATGTAAAGTTATGACTCAAGCTACTTTTCAGCTTTATGTTACTTCCATGAGAGATTCTCAGAAGAAATGAGTGTCCTATGTAATAGACCATAACTCAAAAGTGTCACCCTCTCCCTCATGCCTGAAATTTGTCATTCAAAGAATTACTTCGACTGAAACAAACTCATACAAGTGCATTATCCTGTACATAAAATAAGGATGTGGAAAAGATGGTGGAAAGGTAACTCAGACAAATTCTGGTTATTTGGAATTTTTGATTAAAGATAGCCAGCCAACTACAAGAAGAAACTTTGCTCATCCTTCCTCTTCTCCACTTATACAAGATAGCTCCTTCCACCTAGACCCTAAAACACTTTATTTTTTGGTTACATAGTTTTGTAACTATACATGAAGTGAACCTGAATAGATAATCACCCTAGGAGCATTTAAAACACTGTTTCAGTGAAAAAATGTCAGACATTACATAAAGGGGAAAAGAGTAAAGCAGCATCTCTTAGAACAGGAGATTCACTATTACTTGAAAGACGCAAATAGATCAAATATTTCAGTATACATTTAGTCCTATTTAAATCTTGAGAACTTTCTGTGCATTTATTTTTATAAAGTAGGAGTTCATTAATCTGGAGAACTAATCTAGGCATCAACATTTCTGCCAGAGAAGAAAATAAATAACAAAGATCTGAGCAGAATAAAATGAAATTGAAACCAACCAACACACAAAATACAAAAAATAAATGAAATATAAAGCTGGTTCTTTGAAAAAATAAATAAAATCGATAGATCATTAGTGAGATTAACGAAGAAAAGAAGACAGAAGGTCCAGATAAATTAAATTAGAACGAAATGGGAGATATTACTACTGATACCACAGAAATACAAAAGATTATTCAAGGCTACTATGAACACCTTTACATACATAAACTAGAAAACCTAGAGGAGATGAATAAATTCCTGGAAATATATAACCCTCTTAGATTAAACCAGGAAGACATAGAAACTCTGAACAGGTCAATAATATGCAGCGAGATTGAAACGGTAATTTAAAAATTGCCAACAACAACAACAAAAAAGTCCAGGACCAGACAAATTCACAGCTGAATTCTATCAGATATTCAAAGAGGAATTGATACCAATCCGATTGACATTATTCCACAGGATAGAGAAAGAGGAAATCCTCCTTAAATCATTTTATGAAGCCAGTATAACTCTAGTAACAAAACCAGGGAAGGACATAACAAAAAAAAAAAAGAAAAGAAAACTATAGACAAATATCCCTAATGAAAATAGATGCAAAAATCCCCAACAAAATTCTAGCTAACTAAATTCAACAGCATATGTAAAAAAAAATAAACTGCCATAATCACGTGGGGTTCATACCAGGGATGAAGGGATTATTCAACATCTGCAAGTCAATAAATGTGACACACCACATAAAAAAATTTTAAAAATATTACATGATCATCTCAATAGACACAGAAAAAGCATTTGACAAAATCCAGCATCCCTTTATGATTAAAGCCCTCAGCAAAATCAGCATAGAAATGACATACCTTAAGGTAATAAAAGCCATCTATGACAAACCCACAGCCAATATTATACTGAACGGGGAAAAGTTGAAAGCATTTCACCTGATAACTGGGACAAGACAAGGATGACCACTTTCACCGTTTGTATTCAACAGGACTCTGGAAGTCCTAGCCATTGCAATCAGACAAGAGAAAGAAATCAAGGGCATCCAAATCGGTAAAGAGGAAGTCAAACTGTTGCTGTTTGCTGATGATATGATCATATATCCAGAAAACCCTAAAGACTCATCCAAGAATCTCCTAGAACTGGTAAATTAATTCAGCAAAGTTTCAGGATAAAACATTAATGCATTCAAATCAGTGGCTCTGCTATATACCAACAGTGACCAAGCTGAGAATTAAATCAAGAACTCAACCGTTTTTTTACAAAATCTGCAAAAAGAAAAATAAAATACTTAGGAATATACCTAACCAAGGAGGTGAAAGACTTCTACAAGGAAAACCACAAAACACTGCTGAAAGAAATAACAGGCGACAGAAACAAATGGAAACACTCCCATGTTCATGGATGAGTAGAATCAATATTGTAAAAATGACCAGACTTCCAAAAGCATTCCACGAATTCAATGCAATTCCCATCAAAATGCCACCATCATTGTTTACAGAGTTAGAAAAAACAATCCTAAGATTCATATAGAACCAAAAAAGAGCCCGTATAGCCAAATCAATACTAAGCAAAAAGAAGAAATCTGGAGGCATCACATTACTTGACTTCAAACTATATTATAAGGCCATAGTCACCAAAACAGCATAGTACTGGTATAAAAATAGGCACACAGACCAATGGAACAGAATAGAGAACCCAGAAATAAAGCCAAATGCTTACAGTGAAATGATCTTTGCAAAGTAAACAAAAACATTAAGTGAAGAAAGGACACCCTATATGACAAATGGTGCTGGGATAATTGGCTAGCCAGATGTAGAAGAATGAAACTGGGTTCTCATCTCTCACCCTATAAAAAAATCAACTCAAGGTGAATGAAAGAATTAAATCTAAGACCTAAAACCATAAAAATTCTAGAAGATAATATCTGAAAAACCCTTCTAGACACTGGTTTCGGCAAAGACTCTGTGACCAAGAACCCAACAGCAAATGCAACAAAAACAAGGATAAATAGATGGTACTTAATTAAAATGGAAAGCTTCTGCACAGAAAAAGAAATAATCAGCAGAGTTAATAGAAAACCCACCGAATGGGAGAAAGATCATCACAATCTACACATCTGACAAAAGACTCATATTCAGAATCTCCAAATAACTCAAACAAATCAGCAAGAAAAAAAATCCCATCAAAAAGTGGGCTAAGGACATGAATAGACGATTCTCAAAAAAAAAAAGATATACAAATGGCCAACAAGCATATGAAAAAAATGTTCAACTCACTAATTATCGGGGAAATGCAAATCAAAACCACAACGAGATACCACCTTACTCTTGTAAGAATGGCCATGATCAGAAAAAACAAAACAACAAAAAAAGGTGTTGGCATGGATACAGTGAAAAGGGAACACCTTTACACTGTTATTGGGAATGTAAACTAGTACAACCAGTATGGAAAATAGTGTGGAGATTCCTTAAAGAACTGAAAGTAGAACTATCATCTGATCTAGTAACCCCACTACTAGATATCTACCCAGAGGAAAAAAAGGCATTATACGAAAAAGATACTTGCACACACGTTTATAGCAGCACAATTTGCAATTGCATAAATATGGAATCAGCCCAAATGCCCATCAATCAATGAATGATAAAGAAAATGTTATATATACATATATATATATAAATGTGGTATATATGTGTGTGTGTATGTATATATATATGTGTGTGTGTGTGTGTATATATATATATTCATGTAACCAAACACCATCTGCTCCCCAAAAACCTCTTGAAAAAAAAAATTAAAAAATTTCTGCTGGAAATAAATTTCAGATAGGTAATACCTTTAAAATACGCATATTGTCACAAGGTGTATCTAGGAATTATATCCTTAGGAGTTGTGTAATCATGATATAATGAAGGCTCCAGAAGCTTCTCAGTAGTATAGTTTCATTGAAATAATTTTTTTGCCTCTTATAATATCAACATGAAACAATTCAAATGAGGCCAGCCTCCAAGAATATTTTGTAAAATATTAATACAAATTATACTTGTAGGTTGTTTTGTTCATAATGGAGTGCATTTTGTGTGATTTGGTTTATATTTCTTTACTTTGGTTTTTAAACATCATCTTTTCTTGAATTAGAATTAGCTGCCAATGTATTTAACACTAAAAGTTCGTTTTAATTTTGTTCAGTTACAATTAGGTGGGAATGTCCAGTTATTAGCCTTAATATCTTTGCTTTGGCAAAATTACAAGGAGGAAGTAATTAGGCTGCTTAAAGATCACCGAGGGATCAGAAAGTCTAACACTGTTCTCTCCTGGTGCAAAACACTTTTAGCAGATGCTAATTTTATTTTGGCTCCTATTGTCTCCTTCCTATCTAGGTTATACTGCTTCTATAACTATTTGAAATCTTTTTGTGCATTATCCTTACCTTATGAGATGTTACTTTATCTAATTTAGAATATCTGCTAATATGATTAATTACAATGTAGAGTACAGAAATAGAAAAAAATATGTACTGAAAGCCTGAAATCTTGGATTCATATTTTACTTCTCCAACTTATTCTGTTTAATTCACAAGCAAAATTTTTAAGAATTGTTATAGGTAAGAATAGCTATAACAATCTTGTTTTATACAAGGATACTGTCTAAAGGAGACAAAATTTGTGCTAAAATTCTACAAGACTTAAATATATCTTTGATGGCATACTTAAGCCTTTTTTGAGACCGCCATTTTGAGACAATTCTGAAGTCTAAAAAATGTTGAATGACTGGGAAAATTAAACAGAAGGTTTTAGTTCTTCTCTTTCTAACTAGCTAATGCCAATGCCAGAGTAGTGAATTGTGTGTGGCATACACACAATAAATATTCTCTCAAGGAAGCAATGAAGGAAGGAAAAGTGAAAAATAAAAATGAAAAGGCCAAGCAAGCAGAATGAGAAGCATCAACTAATCTAATTGTTTCATTCTTTCTACATGTGAACTTTAACTCTGAAACTTTACAGAATGTAACTAAATTGGTCTAATAATATATGTAATAGATGATATATATATAAACATGCATTTAAATAATTTAAATATATATATAATTTCAAATCTAATGTTAGTTGGAATGGATATTACTGTTTGACCTTCTGACACACCAGCAAAAACTAAAGCTAGAATGTATTATTTTTGAAATATTAAATTGATCAAAAGAGAAAGCAACCAATGTTCCAGCAGATTTTTTTCATAATATACATAGACACTGAAAATCACATTGCTTACATTACTCAATTTATTCCATAATCAATTTCAGATATTATTTTCTGCCTAAAATGTCTTAATCTATCCAATAATAATGTCAGAAGCACATTCAAAGACAACCTCCCTAGATGGTCACTGTAATAACTGAGTCAGTTTCTTCATTCTCAGTTTTGATTACTTAGAACTATATTTCTTCAGAACAAAAGTAATTCATCTGAAACTATTTTATGTATGAAATGGAAAAGGCCAAAAAGAGTCATCTATAATTCTTTATTAGTCAGTGACTACTTCTCTAAGCTTCTCTTAAAATGTCAAAGCTATACAGAAGTAAGATGATACTTTTGCTTTCTCCCATACCATTTGAATAATGCTAAAAACAATGACATAATTTGATAAAGCCATGTTATAGAAGTACCTACTTCAAGGCAACCTGATCCAATTAAAGAAGATTATCAATATAAGAAAAAAAACCTTCAATGTGACACAATTATGTCAACTTTGAAAACTGGGTGTTTCAAAATAAACAGAAAAAAATGGGAGGAAGCATTCAGTATTTAAAAAGTTATTAATACATGTAAATATGTGTCATGTACTATGTTTCACTTATTTCACTAAGATTTAGTGTCTCTCATAAAAGTGAATGCAATAAGATTCTAAAATAAAGAAAACTGTGGGCATATATAGGCTTCAGTCACATAATCAAACTCAGAAATTTTGACTTATTTAGGATATAGTTTGTTTTAGCTGTAAATACTAAATACTAAAAAAAAGGATTAATAAAATTTTATAATAATTAAAGTAACACGGAAAAGACATATGTTCTTTATTATTAGGAATGTTATTAAACAGTTTATTATAATTAGTCTTTATTTGTTTCTTATTCCTTATATCCACAAATACAATATTTAATAGGAGAGAGTTCTTCATTTTCCAAGAGAGTATAAACATAGTGAACAATAGTAATCATTATAAAAAGAAGCCCAAAAACCTTTCCCTAATACTATTTAAGCAAGAAATAATATGAAACAGTTGCAAAAATCCTCATTTTTTTCCAAAAGGAAATAAATATGTACTATGAAGTTGAACATAATATAAAAGCCATGAAATAATATTATACCTCAGTCTGAAATATTAATTGAATATCTCAACACATTAATGAAAGCAACAGATTTTTCAGTTAAAGTGTAAAGTATTTCTAAGGATGCAGCAGCTGCTTAGAAATACTGAAATAAACATGAGAAATCTAAAAAAAGGAAACTAAAATGTTTATGAACACCAGTCTCTATATTAATTATGTATTTTATGCATTTTATATCTTTAGTATTATCTTTAGTATTCTACTAAATACTACTTTTCTTTGAATTTTAAATATTATATTAGAATATATTGTTGACACAGAAAACCTAACATTATAACATTTTAAAATGTATTAATTTTTGAAGAGCAAAAATAAGGAAACAATTGACAGACTTTCCTGTAAGATCTGAAACAAGACAAGGCTGCCTACTGTCACCATTTTTATTCAACATAGAACTGAATGGCCTAGCCAGAACCATTAGCTAAGAGAAAGAAATATAGAGTATCCAAATTGGAAAGGAGGAAGTCTAATTGTCCTAGTTTATAGATAACATGGTCTTATATTAAGAAAAACCTTTCTTTGTGTTACAAACAATCCAGTTATAACTTTTAGTTATTTTTAAACATATAATAAATTACTTTTGGCTATAGTTGCCCTGTTTTGCTATCAAATACTAGATCTTATTTATTCTATCTAACTATATTTCTGTACTCATTAAATATATTCTTATCCCATTTGTCTTTACTGATTGATTCATGAAAATGTCAAAAGTGTAATAAAACATTGCTATTACTAATTAAACTACTAAGTGAAAATTAAAATTTCTTTTTGTTTATTTTGTCTCTGGATAGTTGACTCTGAGTGTGAATCCTGTACCTTATTTACCCTGTTGTGATTATTACACATTGTATGCCTGTATCAAAATATTTCCTGTACCCCATACATATATAGACTACCATGTGCTCACAAAAATGAAAAATAAAAATATATATACAAAAAAAAGAAAAACCTAAAGGCTCTACCAAAAAAAAAAAACTCTTAGATTTGATAAAAAAATTCAATAAAGTTGAAGGATATCAAATCAACCTGCAAAAATCAACAGCATTTTTACACACAAATAGTGAACAATCTAAAAAAGAAATCAGGCAAGCAATCCTATTTCTCATAGCTACAAAAAACAAAACACCTAGAAATCAATATAACTAAAGAGGTGAAAAATCCCTACTATTAAACTATAAAATATTGATAAAAGAAATTGAAGAGGAGACAAAAAAAGATATCCTCTGTTCATGTATGGAAAGAATTAATATTGTTAAAATGTCCATACTGCCCAGAGCAATATACAGATTCAGTGTAACCCATAGAAAAATACCAATGACATTTTTTACATAGATAGAAAAAAAAAATCCTAAAATTTACATAGAACCACAAAAGACCCTGAATAGCCAAAGCAATCCTGAGAAAAACAGCAAAGCTGGAAACATCACACGACCTGGCTTCAAAATATGTTACAAAGATATAGTAACTAAAACTGCATGGTACTGGCATTAAAAAAAAAAACCACATAGACCACTGGAACAGAATGGAGAACCCAAAAATAAATTCACATATTTATAGCCAACTGATTTTGAACAAGTGTCAAGAACACACATTGAGAAAAGGATAGTCAATAAACAGTAGTGGGAAAATTGGATATCTATTGCAGAAAAATGAAACTAGGCCCCTACCTTTCACCATATGGAAAAATCCAATCAAAATAAAGGCCTAGCATAAAATCCAAAACTATAAAACTAGTAGAAGAAAACACGGGGCTTCAGGACATTGATTTTGGCAAAGATTTGATGGCTAACACCTCAAAAGCACAGGCAACAAAAGCAAAAATAAACACATGGGATTATATCAAACTAAAAAGGTTTTGCACAGCAAAGAAAACAATTAACAGAGTGACAAGACAACCTACAGAATGATAGAAGATATTTTCATACTATTTGACAAGGGATTAAAATACAGAATACATAAGACATATCAACAGAAGAATAAAACAAATTTAAAAATGGGCAAATGATCTGAATAGTCATCTCTCAAAAGAAGACATACAAATGGCCAACAGGTATATGAAAAAATGTTCCACATCATTAATTGACAGGAAAATGCAAATCAAAAGCACAATAAGATATCATCTTACCCCAATTAAAATTGCTATAATTGAAAGAACAAAAAATAAATTCTGTCAAGAATGTAGAGAAAAGGGGACTCATACCCTGTTGGTAGGAATGTAAATTAGTACAGCCATTATGGAAAATAGGAGTTTTCTTTAAAAACTACTACTAATAAACTAATAATAGAACTACCATATGATCCAGCAATCCATTACTGGGTATTTATTTAAAGAAAAGGAAGTCAGTATGTCAAAGAGATAGCTGCACTCCTATGCTTACTGCAGCACTGTTCACAACCTGTCAATCAGTTAGTTAGAATCAATCTAACTGTCCACCAATGAATGGATGGATAAACAAAATGTGGTATACAAGCACAATGGAATATTCAGGCACAAAGAAAAATGAAATCCTGTCATTTGTGGCAACATGACCAAGACTGGAGGACATTATGTTAAGTGAAATAAGTCAGGTACAGAAAGACAAGTACCACATATTCTCATATGTGAGAGTTTTAAAAGTTGATGACACAGAATTAATGAATAGAATAATGGTTATCAGGGGCAGGGAAGAGTAGCGGAGAGGGGAAGATAAAAATAAGTTGGTTAAAGGTACAAAAATACAGTTATATAGGAGGAATAAATTGTAGTCTTCTGTAACATAGGCTGACTATAGTTAATAATTTATTGTGTATTTAAAAATAGCTATATGAGAAGATTTTGAATGTGTTCAAAACAAAGAAATGATAGATGTTTGAGGAATAGTATATGCTCATTACCTAATTTGATCAATACACAGTGTATACATGTATAGAAATATATGTACTCTACAAAGGCAATTATTATATGTCAATTAAAAATAAAACATAATGAAAATAAATGTTAAAAATACACAACCAAAAAAGAAAGAAAGAAATATAATGTATCAACAACAACAAAACTCGGTTTTGTAATTACAATTGATTAAAATTAATTGAGTATATTTGATGCTGAAGAGCTGATACTAGAAATAATTTGAGTATGTTTTAAGCTAAAAATATCTGCCCTAAGAAATAATTAAGCTTCCTTATAATCGTCCATTACCTAGTGTATTAATAGAGCTATTAGAAATTCAATTATAATTTAGAAAAAATGGTTGAAGAGAGTAAAAATTTAACTTTGCCTAAATCAATGTTCTAATGGCAAAGAGCAATTAGCATGAACTTTTATGATGTCCACTTGTAAGTAACTCACCTGATTAGCAATCTGCCGAGCAAGGACATCCATCCTTGATCCTGATTCTGATATCATTTTCGCTGCATAGATCACATCAGTTGTATGCTTTAGTGGTCCTTTGCCCCTGGAAAAAAATTTATATATGTTAGCTGTGGTGTTCATGAGAAAATATATGTTAGCTACGATGGTTCATGAAAAAATGTATTAATCTATGCGTCCATCCATCCGCATATGTAAAATATTCGCATCCCAAAGAACGGCTATTGTTTTTGTGATTGTTTGTTTTGAGACTGAGTCTCACTCTGTCGCCAAGCTTGAGTGCAGTGGTGCAGTCTCGGCTCACTGCAACCTCCGCTTCTCGGGTTCAAGCGATTCTCCAGTCTTAGCCCCCCGAAGAGCTGGGACTGCAGGCGCGCGCCACCATGCCCGGCTAATTTTTGTATTTTTAGTAGAGATGGGGTTTCACCATGTTGGCCAGGATGGTCACGATTTATTGACCTCGTGATCCACCCGCCTCGGCCTCCCAAAGTGCTGGGATTACAGGCGTGAGCCGCCGTGCCCTGCCAGCTGTTGGTTTTAATATTTTGATTTTGAAAAGAGCACAATCAGACTCCAGTATTATTATTATTATTTTTTAATGCCAGCCTATTGTGTTAAGTCAAGAAATACTGCAGAGAAGATGAAGACCTTTTTGATCTTCATTCCCAGGTGTTTATTATAGTAAAACTCAGCCTAGAGATACCCTTCATAGACCTAGATACCTCAAGGCAAAGGTATTTTCCTGATTTTAGAGAGAATCATAATATTTTGGATATTATATGTATCTAACGATTTATTTTTTATCAGCAGGCCTACTTTTAGTATTTCACATTTTTTCTGTTGCTATATTTTAGTTACTTTAAAAAAATTTATTGATGGTAAAATTCATTTTTTATGGGGTACATGTATTATTTTGCTATTTGTACATACATAGAATGTGTAATGATTAAGTAATGTTATTTAGGGTATCTGTCACGTCAGTCAAGTATTATTTCTATTTGTTGAAAATATTTGAAGTCTTCTCTTCTAGCTATTTTGAAATATTCAATACATTGTTTTTAACTATAGTCATCCTACTCAACTATTGAATATTTGAATTGTTCTTTCTAACTGTATGTTTGCTCCCATTAACCAACCTCTCTTATCCCCCCAATCCCCAACAAACACCATGCCAAGCCTCAGATAACTATGATTCTACTTTCCACCTCCATGAGAGCAAAGTTTTTAGCTCTCACATATGGAGGAGAAAGTGATATTTGTCTAACTTATTTCACTTAGCATAACATCCTCCAGGCTCATCCAAGTTGCTGTAAATGTTAGGATTTAATTCTTTTTTAATGGCTGTGTTTCATTTTGTGTGTAGTGTGTGTGTGTGTGTGTGTATACACACACACACACCACATTTTATTTATCCATTTATCCAACACTTAGGTTGATTTCACATCTTTGCTATTGTGAATAATACTACAATAAAAATAGGGGTGCAGGTATCCTTTTGATATGCTGATTTCCTTTTCTTTGGATAAATACTTAGGAGTGAGATTGCTAGATCATACGTTAGTACTACTTTTAATTTTTTGAGAAATATCCATATTGTTTTCCATAATGGCTGTACTAGTTTACATTCTCATCAACAGTGTATAAGAGTTCCCTTTTCAACATACCTTTGCCAGCATCTGTTTTTTTTTTTTTCCTTTTAATAATAGTCATTCTAACTGGGGTAAAATGATATATTATTGTAGTTTTGGTTTGAGTTTTCAAGCTAATTAGTGATGTTGAGCATGTTTTCATATACCTATTGGTCATTTGTCTTCTTTTGAGAAATGTCTGTTCATGTCCTTTGCCCGCTTTTTGATGGGATTATTATTATTTTCTCCTGTTGAGTTGTTTTAGTTCCATGTATTCTCTGAACTTTAGGCCCTTATTAGAGAAACAGTTTGCAAATATTTTTAAATATTAAATATTTAAATAATTTAAATATTAAATATTTTCTACTATTTAACAGGCTCTTTACTCTGTTGATTATTTCTTTTGATGTGCAGAAGCTTTTTAGTTTAATATAGTCCCATTTGCCTATTTTTATCTTGCCTGTGCTTTTGAAGTCTTAGCCATAAAATCTTCGTCTAGACCAATGACCTGAAGCATTTCCCCAATGTTTTCTTCAAGCAGTTTTATAATTTTGGATCTTACATTTAGGTTTTAGCTGATCTTGATTTGATTTTTGTATATGGTGAGAGATAGGTGGCTAGTTTCATTCTTCTGAGTATGATTATCCTGTTTTCCCAGCACCATTTATTGAAGAGCCATCCTTTCCCCAGTGCCTGTTCTTCCCACCTTTGTCGAAAACCAGTTGGTTATAAATGTGTGGATTTATTTCTGGGTTCTTTATTGGTTCATGTGTCTATTTTTACGCTCATACAATGCTTTTTTGGTTACTACAGCCTTATAATATGTCTTGAAGCCAGGTAGTATGATGTGTTGTGTCCTTTTTCCTGTTCTTTTCCTCAGTATTGCTTTGGCTATTTGGGGACTTTTGTGGTTCTATTAATATGTAACATTTAGGATTGTTTCTTCTGTTTCTGTGAAGAATGTCACTGATATTTTGATATAATTCCACTGAAAATGTAGATTTCTTTTGGTAGTATGGATATTTTGACAATATTAATTCTTCTGATCTATGGGCATGAAATATATTTTTTATTTTTTGTGTCTTGTTCAATTTCTTCCACCAGTGTTTTATAGTTTTGTTTGTAGAGGTTGGTTCTTGTTTGGTTAAAATTATTCCTAGGCTTTTTTTTTGTAGCTATTTTAAATGGGATTGCCTCTTGATTTCTTTTGCACATTTTTCAGACTGGTGTATAAAATGCTATTGATTTTTGTATGTTGATTTAGTACTCTGCAACTTTCCTTAATTTTTCAAATCTAAGAGTGTTTTGGTGGAGTCTTTAGGTTTTTCTTAATATAAGATAATTTCATTGCAAAGAAGGACAATTTGGCCTCCCATTTTCCAATTTGGATGACTTTTCTTTCTTTTTCCTGATTGCTCTGGCTGATAACCTTCAGTACTAGAATCCTGAAGGGGAGTTATAAAAGTGGGCATCCTCATCTTGTTCCGGATCTTGATAGAAAGGCTTTCAGCTTTGTTCCAATCAGTATGATGTTAGCTGTGAGTTTGTAATATGTGGCCTTTATTATGTTGGGGTATATTCCTTCTAAATCTACTTTCTTGAGAGTTTTCATCATGAAAAGATCTTGAATTTTATCAGATGCTTTTACTGAGCCTATTGAGATGATCACATTTTTTAATCTTTCATTCTTTTGATATGATGTATCACGTTTATTGATTTGTGTATGTTGAATCATCCTTGCATCCCAAGGATAAATCCCACTTGATTAACATGTGTTATCTTTTTGGTGTGCTGTTTGATTAATTTTGCTAGTATTTTGTTGAGGGTTTTTGTGTCTCATTCATCATGGATATTGACCTGTAGTTTTCTTTCTTTCTTGTGTTCTTGTCTGGTTTTGGTATGAGGGTAATACTGCCTCATAAAATAAAATAGGGAGAATTCCCTCCTCTTCAGTTTTGTGGAATGCCTTGAGGAAAATCAATGTTAGTTATTCTTTGTAAGTTTGGTAGAATTCAGCAATAAAGGAACCAATTCTGGGCTTCTCTTTTTCGGGAGTCTTTTTGTTACTGATTCAATCTACTGTGCATTATTGTTCTGTTCAGATTTTCTATTTTTTCCACACTTGATCTTCGTAGGTTTTGTGATTCCAGGAATTTATTCATTTCCCCTATGTCTTCCAGTTTGTAAATGTTAACTGTTAATAATAGTGTCTGATGACCTTTTGTATTTCTGTGATGTCAATTGTAATGCCTCCTTTTACATTTATAATTTTGTTTATTTGGGTATTCTCTCTTTTCTTGGTTAGTCTTGCTAGCAGGTTATTTAATTTTTTATCTTTTCACAAAACCAATTTGTTGCTTTGTTGATCTTTCGTATTTTTTTAGTCTCTGTATCATTTAGTTCTGTTCTTATCTTTATTACTTATTTTCTTCTACTAATTCTGGATTTAGCTTGTTCTTGCTTTTCTAATTCCTTGATGTGCATCATTAGATTGTTTATTTGAAAACTTTCTAGTTTTTTATAGTAGGAATTTATTGCTATGAACTTCCCTCTTAGCACTGCTTTTGCTCTATCCTATAGGTTTTGGTATATTGTGTTTTTATTTTCTTTCTTTTTCAGAAACTTGTTTGATTTCCTACTTAATTTCTTCATTGACTTGATGCTTGTCTAGGAGATTGTTGTTTAATTTCTACGTATTTGTACAGCTTCCAAAATTCCTCTTTTTACTCATTTCTAGTTTTATTTGATTGTGGCATAGGAGGACACTTGGTATGCTATTAACTTTTAAAAAATTTGTTAAGATTTGTTTTGTTGCCTGACATATGGTCAATCCTACAGGATGTCTATGTGGTTATGGGAAAAATGTATATTCTACAACTGTTCAATAAAATGTTCTGTAGATTGGCCTCTTAGGCCAATGTGGTCTAAAGTGCAGTTTAAATACAATGTTTCTTTTTAAATTTTCTGTCTAGATGATCTTTCTAATGCTAAGAGTTGAGTGTTGAAGTCTCCAACTATTATTGCATTGGAGTACATCTCTCCCTTTTGATGTAATAATATTTGCTTCATATATCTGGATGATTTCATATTGGGTACATATGTATTTATAATTTTTATATTCTCTTGCTGGATTTGTCCTTTTATCTTTAATATAATGACCTTCATTGTCTCTTTTTTACTGTTTTTGACTTAAAAATGTTTTTATCAGATATAAGTAGAGATACTTATGCTCACTTTTGGTTTCTGTTTGCACCAAATATCTTTTTCAATCCTTTACTTTCATTCTATATGTCTTTACAAGTGAAGTGAGTTTCTTAGAGGCAGCAGATAGTTGGGTCATGTGGTCCTTGCTTTTGGTTTTGGTTTTTGTTTTCAAATCCATTCAGCCAGTCTTTCTCTCTATATATATTTTTTAGATGGAGTCTTGCTCTGTTGCCTGGGCTGCAGTACAGTGGCACAATCTCAGCTCACTGCAACCTCCACCTCCTGGGTTCAGCCTATTCTCCTGCCTCAGCCTCCTGAGTAGCTGGGATTACAGGCATGTGCCACCATGCCTGGTTCATTTTCGTATTTTTAGCAGAGACAGGGTTTCACCATGTTGGCCAGACTGGTCTTGAACTCCTGACCTCGCGATCTGCCCACCTCAGCCTCCCAAAGTGCTGAGATTAAAGGTCTGAGTCACCAAGCTATATCTTTTAAGAGCAAAATTTAATCCATTTACCTTCAAAGTTATTATTTATGTGTGAGGATTTATTTCTGTCATTTTGTAAATTGTTTTCTGGATGTTTTGTGTATACTTCGTTCCTTTCTTTCTTATTGTTTATCATTATGGTTTGGTGTTTTTCTGTAGTTGTACCATTTGAGTAGTTTCTACATTTGTATGTTTACCAGTAAGTTTTATACTTTCCTGTGTTTTCATGATAATAGATATCATCTTTGCACTTTCAGATATAAGAACCCTTTAAAGGAGTCACGAAAACAAAGGAAAGTAATAAATTTCCTCAGTTTTTGCTTATCTGGGAAAGAGTTTATTTCTTTTTTATAGCTGAAGGATCAATTTTGCTGGGTATAGTGTTCTGGATTGACATTTTTTTTTTTTGGTTTTTCTCCTCCCAGCTCTCTGAATGTATCATCTCATTCTCTCCTGATCTGTAATTTTTCTGCTGAAAAATCTGCTGTTAGTTTTAATAAGGTTTCCTTTATATTTGACTTAACATCATTCTCTTCCTGTCTTTAGAAATCCTTTCTTTGTATTTGACTTTCAACAATTTGACTATAACTTGCCTTTAACAAGAACTTTTTGAGTTGAATCTATTTGGGGCTCTTTAAGCTTTCTGAATCTGGATGTTCATATCTCTCCTAAGACTTTTAAGTTTCCAGGCATCATTTTACTAAATAGATTTTCTATGGCTTTGGAATTCTCTTCAACTTCTGGACTATCCAGAATTTGAAACTTTGGTTACTTTATGGAGCCCCATTTGTTACACAGGATTTGTACAATCTTTTTTTATTATTTATTCTATTTTGCCTGACCAAGTTATTTAAAAAATCCTTTATTCCTGCTATAAAATTATTTCTTGTGCATAATAAAATCTGTTGTTGAAGCTCTCACATGAATTTTGTATTTCATTCATTGAATTCTTAGTTCCAGAATTTTTGTTTCTTTTTTATGATGCTTATCACATTGGTAAATTTCTCATTATGTTCTTAATTGTCTTTTCTGATTTTTTTTTGTATTCTTTATCTGTGTTCTATTGTATCTCACTGAGCTTCTTTAATATTATTACTCTGAACTCTTTTTTCATCATTTCATTAATTTCTTTTTTATTGTAATATCTTGCTGGACAATTATTATGTTTCTTTAGATGTGGCATATTTCCTTGACATTTAATGTTTCTTTTTTCCTTTCATTGATATCTTTGCATATGGTGTAAGTCACTTCTTTATTTTTTTGGATTGTCTTTTGTAGGGGAAGGTCCTAAAGATCTATCTGTAGTGTTGGTTTCACAGGACACTTTAGTTTGATTCTGGGTGCATGCAGTAATGTAGCCTCCATGTGATTTATTTGTCTATAAATAGCCTCAGTGGTATCTGTGATTTCCTCTGTCAATTAGGCTGTGGCTGTTAGTGCAGGCTGTGGTAAGGCTTTGTAGGGGATGAGAACTGCAGGTGGGTTGGTCCTCAGGCCTCGGTGGTGGGCCAAGCATGCCTGTCTTTGGGCCCACAGGCAGCGTGCATGGGCACGAATGTAATTAGGTCTAAGAAGGCTAATTCTTGGACCTCCAGGTGGCTTTCTTGGGTTCTGGCAGTGGCAGTATTGGGCCATGTGGTTCATTAAGTTCCTGGGTAGCATGCATGGCATGAGCAATGGCCATATCTGTGACAGGACAACCCCATGGGCTCACAGATAAAACATGTTTCTGTTAGTGGTGGCTGTGATGAGCTGGGTGGGCCTGCGCTTAAGCACCTGAAATACTTGCACTGATACCAGTGGTAGTGGGTGGGGCAAGATGATCCCCAGGTCCCTAGACAATGTGCCCAGGCATGGGTGATGTTGCCAGGCCAGACAAGCCTGTCATTAGGCCTCCTCCATTGTGCACACAGGTACAGGCTGTGATCGGCAGGCCAGGGTGAAACCTAGGCTCCCCTGGTAAAGTGCTGGGTGGTGGCAGCAATGACAGCAATGAGCAGGGAGAATCCATCCTCAAGGCACGTGCAAGTACACTGTGGGCCTGTTTCTGGGAATTGGGGTTATTTTCAGTGACAGCAGCCACAGCCAGTTGGCTCTCAGGCTCTTGGAAGTATACGCTTCAGTGTCCAGAATTGGTGGAAGCAGCAGCCATGGGGAGAGCCAGTCTTCAGAGCATGTGCAAGTTGAGGATTGCTGAGGAGGCAGAGTTGCTATCAGTGGGAGCAGCCCCAGGCAGGCAAGTTTCAAGTTCTGGGGAGCACATGCTTTGGCTCCCTTTGTCCCAGGGGCACCTTGCTTTGCCTGCTACACCACCCATAACCTGGGGTGCAAGTTGCTGTGTGTTCTATAGTGCTGAGGACCCTGCTGTTCTGCTGAGTCTAATCACTCTCATGCCACTGCAGTCCTGTAAGGGATGTAGGGAGATGTCAGTGGGGTTCTAGGGATGTAGGAATGCAGGGGCTGCTGAGCCCCAGGGAGAAATGCAGTCTGGTTTGGGCCACATTCTCATAATGACACTGTGCTACAACTGCTTAGGACTCAGGGTGTTTGTGGGACCCAGCATAAGCTACCTATCTGGAGCGACGCCATTACACACTATCCAGGCTGCTTCCTGTGGTAGCCTTATGGTCTGCAGGGGTCAAGGAACTCTCCAGTGACTAGGATTGCAGGAGCCCATCATGGGAATGTGGACTGCTGGGGCATATACCATTTTCCCACACTGGGGTGACTCTCCAAGCTCCCAGGTGATCCTGACCAAGCTGGCAGCTTTACTTCCCTGTTTTTTTTCTTGCTTCAGGTGTTTCATGACACTCCTCTGTTGAATTCCAGTGTTCTGTCTTAGATGCTGTATTCAAAGAATGATTATGTACTTGCTATTTTAGTTTTTCTTTGTGGAGGAGGCAATTGCTGAATGCCTCTAGTCAGCCATCTTGGAGTCCTGTTCCAATCTTTATTTTTTAAATCTGTTTTTACAGTCTTTCCATTAATTGTGTTTTTTTTAATCCCATTATCTATTCTCCACAGTTGATTCAAACATGGAAAGTCCAAGCCTAAGAAATGTGTAATCTAAGGCCTTCAACATGAAAACATGAATTAAATTTATCTTCTCGTTTGTCTCATAGTGGTTCTCCCACTTTCAAAGAGGAGTTACCCCAAGACTTACCTAAGTAAATCCATTAATTCTAGCATTCACTTAAAAGGAAAATGTTGAGAGTATTGCTGAGATGAGTGAAAAAGAAATCCAGAAAAAAATGAATTAGGCCTGAGGACAATTAATAAGAAGTACTGAAATGACGTGATATCTGTTGATCTAAAATAATCCAGCCAAATTTTGGTGAAATATAAAATCTGGTGCTGCACACTGGTCAATCGGTATACCATCTTGGGTTAGCCAACAGAATACTACAGTTGGAGGTGGAGAGCGGTGGCCTGGGTCCCTTTACATGATCTTACCCCTCCCACCCTTTGATCTGATCTTGTTTGCCCATTACTAAGTTATGTCACTTAAACATCATGATTTAAGCATGAGAGAAAGAAAGAAATTGTCCTATAGGAAAAGGATGGAAAGTCTAAACTCAGAGAGTACCGGAAAGTCAATGAGGCCTATAAGAACACCATTCATGTATTCTTCCTTACATGGTTTATTTTTGTCCCTCTCAGTTCTCCCTCAATCTGTTTACTTGCTGTTAAGTAAAAGAAAAACGTCCGGGAGCAGTGGCTTCTGCCTGTAATCCCAGCACTTTGGGAGGCCGAGATGGGTGGATCACCTGAGGTCGGGAGTTCAAGACTAGCCTGAGCAACATGGAGAAACCCCATCTGTACTAAAAATACCAAATTAGCTGGGCATGTGGTACATGCTGGTAATCCCAGCTACCTGGGAGGCTGAGGCAGGAGAATCGCTCGAACTCAGGAGGCAGAGGTTGCGGCGAGCCAAGATCATGCCATTGCACTCCTGCCTGGGCAACAAGGTGAAACTCTGTCTCAAAAAAAACAAAAAAGAACTATATCATAATAGTTGAGTATAATATAAAGCTGGAGTCATGTTATCTTGGTTCCTAATGCCACAGAATAAAAGTTGCATTGATTTCAGGATTCTACAAGGTAGGAAAAAAGCAAGAAGTGTGCTTTTAATTTTTGGAGAAGTTTTCCATTTGTTTCCGGAGTGAGTGACCATTTTGATACAAGAACAGCATTTCTGTGAGAAAAATGCATACTGTTTTTGACACATTACTGTGAAAGGGAGCCAAACACCTATATAATTGGATCCTTTCACCAAGAGCTCCTTTCTTTAAAGATGTACAACTGGACTGAAATATGATAAGGGGACATTTTTCTATCTTCCCTTTTTTGAAAAAAAATAAACGAATGATTATCTGAATGAATGTAGCTGTTCCATCCATTTACAACCACTTCTGTCCATATTTCCTAACTCTCTACTGAGTCTTACCACACTGAATTTCTCGGTTTTAATTATTAGATTTCTGTTCCTTGTCCCTAGCAGAGAATAGCGCCCTGAAGAAACAGCTCACTAAAGCAATTGTTTTGATGCTTCAAGGGAAAGAGGGATAGTGAGGAGGGGAAAAAGGAATAAACTAGTTAGAGTGAGAAAAGAAAAATTCTGAGAGGCCAAAATACAGTTGCTTAAGAAAAGACAGGGAGTGAAAACAATCTTGGTGCATGTCTTATTTATGCCTTGAACTGACCTTGAGAATAGACACCCTAATATTAAATCCAATAAGATGTGTTATTAGAAGAAAGTCTTTGTTCACTAAGAAGAATAGCACTATGTAGTGATAAAAGACAGAGGGGATTCATGCAAAGCTAAATGATCAAAGAACTCTATACCTGAAAACCTGAACCTAAAATACTTGTGCCCTGTAAGCCAAGAAAGGCCCTTTCATTGCCCTTTTTCCCATGGTGCTTCTCAAAATCATTATTAGCAAGTTTCCCTGTAAAAATGAAACAGCATGTCTAACAACAATGAAAACCTGGTCTCATAGATGGTTATCATCACACATTTTCTCTGAATCTGCTGACAAAGATTGCTTTGTAATAAAAAAATCAACATTAATCATTATAATATTTGAGTTGCTCTTATCAAATTTACACATCAGGCAGGACTAGATGTTACGTACATGGTTATGTTCAAGTAAGGCATTGCATTTCATTATTTCAATGCATCTCTAGAGAAAGTTCAACTTAAATAAAGCTGTCTAAGCTCCTGAAAGGCAATGCATCAATTTTTCAAGTCTTAAACAATGGACAAAGATTGTTTCTAAGGAGAGCAGCTAAGGCTCTCATCTTTTAAATGATAGACAGTGTTATATCTAAGGAGCAGCTAAAGTACCCTTCCCCTCAAAATACTATGTTTCCCAGTTTAAAAACCCTGGGCTGATGAAAGGGAAATTACCTCTAGTTTTAAATGCATACCTTGTTAGGAGACCACTATCTTAAGCACATGTAGAACCTAAAAGTAATGATAATACACTATGCCAAACCACAATTATTCTCTTCCTCATGTTTTTAATTAAATGTATTGCCTGGCAAGCTTCCTACTGAATGCCAAACAAAATACACATTTTACAAATGAGTCTATATCATGCCAAACTTCAAGAGGATTCTACAATTACTGAAACTATGATAAATTTTTAAAATTCTCAGCCTGAAATGTACTATGTAATGAAGGCTTTTTAAATTGGGAAATATATTCAAACGTTGTTTGCTGCCTTCATTTCCATAATGGGTTCTTGGGATCTCCTGTCAGCAAATAGCATCTTAAATTATTGCATTGGATCCTACAGAAAAAGACCTAGAGAAGAAAGGGTTAGAGATTGAAAATATTTTAAAGAAACCAGAGGCCAGAAGTCTTTAATAAACAGTGGTTACAATAATAATCAAAAAAAAAAAAAAGCAGATCAGACTCTGAAGTAGAGGGCCTGCCACTAGCTGAGGTAGTGCATAAGTTAATTAGCCATTCCATTTTTATACATACTTCAAAACATTATCTCGTACACAATAAATATATACATTTTGTCAATTAAAGAAAGTAAAATGTAATAAAGATAATTTTAAAACATTATGGGTTAGAAAGTATAATGAAAAAGGCTATAATAACCCAGTGATGGTAATACCATGGACATTTTATTCAGATAAGTGAAAGGAATATCTTTGAAAATTTATTGGCTTGGCACAAACCTGCCAGTCATTTCTGACACTGCCTCATCCTTGACTCTCTTTCCTATCCCTGACCTCATCTCATTTCTGGCATTCATTCTCCTTCCTCCTTTCTCTTTTGATTAAAACGAGAAAGAAGAAGATGGTACAGGTGATCAGAAACAGGTCAATTAACTAGGGCTATGGCTTAAAAACAAAAAATACCAAATGTTTTCATAGAGTCATTTTGTCTTTTTAAGGACAGTGAATATCTATGAAATGATTTGGTAGTTTCTGCTATTGTGTGAAAACAAAACAGAAAGTTTAATTATATTATTTATATTTTTATTCCCTAAATCGTTGAAAACATAATAGTATTAAAGATCAAAAACTTCCTCCTTAATCCTTTTTTTCTTTGATGTTTATATAGAATAAGTCCCATAACATAGCGGTTGATTTTATAGATGAAAACAATAATAGCATATATTTTCTTCTGTAATTAAGAGTTAGCACATTCAGCATTTTCTGTTTGCCAGACACTATACTATACACACACTAATTTTATCAGTATAATAATCATTAAGTTTATAGCACTCTTGTGCTTGTTTTGCAGATGAGCAAACTGACGAACAGACAAGTTAAACGTAGCTTGACCAAGTTTCACAGGTAGTAAATATTGGAGATGGGATTTGAACTCAGGGAATGTGGCTACAGAGTCCACTTTTAACAACTATGCTATGTTGCCTCCCATAAAACATATCGAGTTAAAAATTAAAATATTAGAAGATCACCTTAGCCATTGATGGGCATTACCATGAATGCAACAGATTGAAGACCAGGGTTAAATATAGGTGATGGGTAGTTGGGAGGCCCACCAACAGTGACTTCATCACACATAGCAGCCTCAAGGAATACAGCCTAAATCTCTGTCCCAGTAAAATAAAAAATATATATATATACTACATTGCATAGATTTCGGGGGTCATGACAAGTGATTGAAATGGCCCCAGTAGCCTACAGTCCTGGGGTTTCTTTCTTGAGATATTATTACTTCTTTCTGTCTCTTATTCCCATTACCCTTCCTCCCTCTCTCCTTCTCCCTGGCTTCTGAACGCTACACTGAAACTCAGCCATTCCATGTGCCATGCTACATGGGAGATTGCACTTTGATGTTTTCTTTTTTATAATATAGCAAATGGAACTTTTATCTGAGAGTCTTAGCTTTAGATATAATCATTTTATTTCTAACATTCAAATTTAGTGCTGTGATAAAGTAGATTGAAATGAATACAGACTTGAAAAATAAGTTTTGTCTGCATCCCAGGACTGCCACTGATTAGCCATGTAGTCTTCACTAGTTGACTTTGCTGATCTGAGCTTATTTTCTCTTAATTAAAATAAAACTGTGGCATTTGTCACATGGTAAGGAATAGAAAATCAAATGTTTTACACAACATTTGACACATAGCAGATGTTCATCAAATGTCATTTTTTCTTTCCTTCTCCTTTTACAAATAATTATATTTTATAAAAATCTACCTTTTCATTTTATTTACTTATTTTTTACTGTTCTTAAGGTGCATCAGCACCTTTTCACTTTTTTAAATTCCAAAATTACAATACTTGCCAGATAACATCAACTGAATGGATTATATTGAGTTCCTTCTTACACCTGCTGACAGTAGTACTTTGCAAGTCTTGTCCATATATTCTTTTAGTGAGAAAAAAGGAATATAAAATATATACACACATAAACTCTCTCTGTGTGTAGTTGTTATCGTTTAAAGTTGTTATTTAACTCCTAATACAGAATTTATTTACTCTTAGTGACAGATATTTGTGGTAGTATAACTTCCTAGGATTATATAAATTAGCTCTACAAGAATAGAGCTGAATTACAAGAGTAGGGGAATTCTACTACCAGAATTCCCTTACTTATAATTCTGTATTAGATAAAAAAGAAAAAAAGTAGTTATCATGGAAGCAACCAAAAATGATAAGTTGAAAAGAGATATAGACTCAAGCAAGGACACACTGTTCTTCTACTATTCAAACATGAAACTTTAATTTGGCAAATTTCTCCCTCTGGGTGTTACTTTCTCTTGTAAAGTGTCATTCCAAAGTTTTGAGGACCCTATAAAAGTCCTTGGAAAATCAGCTAATGAATACTCAGCTAGCAATCATCTTGAGTAATTAGTATCCTGAAGAACTTTTGGGATTCAAGTCTGAAAAAGGAATTGCTCCATGAAAGAGGGAAAATGTTTGTCTGGCATTGTATATATTAGTCTCCTTTCTATTTCTCTTGTTCCATATTATTCAGAGTAGCCTAACTGCTATTATAATATCAAAATGTCTTAGTAGCTTAACACAATAAATTTCATTCCACTCTCACATGATAGTCCAGGCGAATTGTGGGTGGTGGGCTATGTACCACATAGTTGTTCAAGGACCTAGGTACCCTCGATCTACAAGATATCCTGTCCCCTAAGGCTCCAGAACCCTCTGCACAAGTCATTGCATCCAGATATCCAACAACAGAAAGGAATGAGAATAGATCTCATAGGAGACTTCTGGGGTCAGGACAGAAATTGACACACTTCACTCCCACCCATATTCCAGAAATGAGATACAAAGGCTCATGTAACTGCAAAGAAAGCTGGGAAATGTATTCTATTCCGTTCGGGAAAGAAAAGAAAACAAGGTTTTGTGAACTCACAGCATTGCCTTTGCACATGATCCCAGGGGTGCTAAAATCCTATATTTTATTTTATTTTCATTTCAGCAACAAAAGGCTGTGTTCCTTGTGAAAGGAAATTTTGTATGTCATCAAGTAGATGGGAAAAATTGAGAAAGAACTGAGGCACTTCACTAATACAGCTGTAATTACATGACATATACTCTGCCTGGGCACAAGACCAATTTTATTTCCTATTTTGAAATTGTCACCATCTAGAGGATCTATTATTAAAAACAAAAATTACATGAATTCTACTTTGTGCACAATAATAGTGTTTCATATTCAATGTTGCATTTGCTTATGAAACAAGGATAGAGTGTATTTTCAAGATATTTTAGGAGATCAACCTGGGAGAATACTTTATTACTATTGCCATTGCTGCTGGTGGCGGTGGTGGTGGTGGTGGTGGTGTGTGTGTGTGTGTGTGGAGAGAGAGAGAAGAAATTCCCTTCCTCAAATTCACTACTACTTTTCTAAAGAAATCCTAGGCACAATTTTATTTTCTGTTCTTCGGTCCTCAAATACCTCAATTTACCCTTTACCTGTTAGTGTTGTAACAAATCCTAGACAGATTATAGAATTCATAGAAGAATTTCATGGAGGGGGAAAAATCCCAAGAAAAAACACAAAACCCATAGGTGAAATCAAAGGTAGAATTAGAATGAAGAATTTCTTTGGCAAAGTTTGTTTTTTGTTATATTGTGGGCAAAATAGAGATCAGTAAACCAAATAATTTTGATTTTTGTCTTTAGTAAAACAGACTATTTTCTCCAGGACTTTATAAGTCTGAAGATTTAATATTTTTTTGTGTGATTTTGTACTGAAAACATAACATAATAACAAACATTATTGTGTTATTATGTGCTTACAACGTTCCAGGCACTGCTGCAATTGCTTACTTTTCTTACTCACTTCTCATACCCAGCACTGCTGCATAGAACTGCACACCTTTTGCACTACACACATTTAAGGGCAGCCATTCACAGCATGGACATGCCCATAATTGCGCACATCACATCATATGCTGCTTCGCATGCCCACTCTGTTCCTAAAATCTATTATCTTTGTCCTATAAACAAGAAAACAGAATTTTAGACGCTCAACACTCCTTAACTTTTCTCCAACATATAAGAATACAGGTCAGTTTCAAATGAATAGCAAGGAGTTTAAATCCATGTTTTCAGAGCTAATTAAAAATAAATCTTGCAGTGAAAGCATCATCATAGGTTTTATGTCAGTATGCATCTTAAAGCACTGAAATTCGACGGGTACCTCAGAATCAGTGGAATGTTTTATATATTGCAAAGAAATATACAGAAACAAGATATTCCCAGCCGTTGTTCTAAGTGGGTCTGATTAAAACATTATTCTCTGTCTACCTGAACCAATCCCAAGGATTATAAAATAAATAGCCCCTTCTTTGGTTGAATTTCTTTCATCAGAAATCTGGCATGTATCTTTTTCTTTTCCTTTTTTTCCCATCTACTTGGGTCTGAAAAGAGATAGATCTAAGGGGGGGAATTACTATGGTTTTCTCCCCCAGTTGGACTTTTGGTTCATAGAGACATGTAACCTAGTTGTGGGGGTCCATGATCGACCATCCGATGTTCCCTAGAACCAACAAAAGTAGCCATTAATGTTAGCTGAGAAACTTTACCCTAGTGAAAATTGTGGTTTCTAGGTAGAAGTTCTTCTAAGGACTTCAGCCTATTTTGTGACTAAGTTTGTTTTCTATAACATCTAAAGAGCACAGCTGTCTAAGAAACACTGCCACTCTTCTCTGCTCTTTCTTCCAATGGCAATGAAATTCTTGCATCACCCTAAGGAGAAAACTAGAGTTGGTAGTTGAATGCATTTTAATTCTTACAGTTCCCTCTGTAACTCATGACTGGCATCACTCCTGTATTACTTGTTCCACTAATTTTTCTTCATGCAATTCTTGCATTAGTTTCTTATCGCTGCTGTAACAAATATTAACCAATTTGTTGACAATACACATTTATTATTTTATATTTCTGGAACTGGGAAGTCCAAAGTAAGTTTCACTAGGCTAAAGGGAAGGTGTCAGCAGGGCTGGTTCCTTCTGGAGGCTCTGAGAGGAGAATCCATTCTCTCACCATTTTCAGCTTCTAGAAGCTGCCTGTATTCCTTGGCTTGTGGATTTTTCTTTCATCTCCAAAGGATATCACTAAAAGGTATGCTTCTGTTATCACACTTATGTCCTTCTCCTTTCTGTTCTCCTGTGCTCTTGAAAAGACTCCTATAATATCATTGGACCAACACAGATGATTTACAATAATCTCTCCTCACAGGTTTTGGGAATTTGAAGGTGGACATCGTGGAGAGCCATTATTTAGCCTACACAGCCCTCAGGAGTCACTACCAAGTAGTCAGAATCAGCTCCTATGATGAAGCTATTGATTTTCCTGCATTTAAATCAAAGCAGTCAGTTGGGATAAATTGACGGTGTTATGGTGATTATTTCTCTAGATTGCCAGTTATTTTTTAACATGACCTATATTATTCCAACTTCCAGTGAAAGGGTCAGGTTCTTGGTTCTTAATTATTTGCTAGCTGTATGCTCCTTTACTTACAATTCATATCGAAGGTGGGTGGCCTGGAAAAATTTGGAGACCTGAGAGAACCAGAATTACCTGGGAAGACACTTTATGTGTCTGGTGCTACTCTCCTTCCCCGATACACTACATATTAAGTTTAACCTGCCTTTTCCCTCTCCTGGTGTTACACATTATATAAATACTCCTTGAAAGCACATAAGGCTCTGGCGTGGGGCAAAAGGAAGAAGGAAACCTCTTCTAGGGTAGATGAGAACATTTTTTTTTCAGGTGATTATTATATATACTAATTTCCTCTTTGACACCCATGGACCTTGAAAACCCTAGTACATGTTTTCATAAGACATTCAAATACTATATAAATACTGCATACTTAAAGGCATCACTTAGGGATGACATTATAGTTAAAACTACTTAGTAATCCCCTTTATTGAAACTGTGAGATGTGGTATAAACTTCTCAGTGGTGCCTTTCCAGACTCATATGAGTAGTAAGAATGCACAAGGAAAGCCTTTTTTTTTTTTTTTTTTTCCGAGAGGGAGTCTTGCTCTGTTGCCCAGGCTGGAGAGCAGTGGCACGATCTCGGCTCAGTGCAAGCTCTGCCTCCTGGGTTCACACCATTCTCCTGCCTCAGCCTCCCAAGTAGCTGGGACTACAGGCACCCACCACCGTGCCCGGCTAATTTTTTTGTATTTTTAGTAGAGACGGGGCTTCACAGTGTTAGCCAGGATAGTCTCGATCTCCTGACCTCGTGATCCGCCCGCCTCGGCCTCCCAAAGTGCTGGGATTACAGGTGTGAGCCACTGCACCATGCTGCAAAGCCATTTTTATCTTCCCTTGTACATGGGAAAGTTACCCCTGCAATGTCCTCCTCACCAACACCCCCCCACACCCAACAAACCAAAAGACTAAAAGTCATTATTCGTTGACACCCTCTCTGGACACAATGGGAAATCTGTACTCAGCACCAACATTTGAAAACAGGTCTTTTCTTGCCTTCCACACATTACTTCTCTGAGTGTGCACATTAATCAAAGCCAATGTACTGTAAATACCATCACACTCTCTGACTGTGAGAGTCCCTCTTTTTCCTGTTGGCAGTGGCCTCAGCATTAATCATGCACATGATTCTTACAGAGCCTGGGCATTTTTTCCAGCTTCGCTTTAAACCACCGTGATATACTGGCTGCCCCTGCTCCTTTCATATCAGACCAACTTTTATAAGCTCAGAAAATAATCGCATTCAATTTAGGAAAATAATATAATTTAGCCATTATTAGTTAGCATCTGACCTTCTTAAAGCCTACTGACTCACTTCTTATTCTGGTCATGGCATAATATTATTCTAAGGTCCAGATGAAGAAACACACAAAGGTGAAAGAGCCACTAACTTAGTCAAGACCAATCACAGCTAATAGATTCAGTACAGAGTTAGTTCAAGGGTCTGCCTTGCCACCAGTCTCAGGCCTTGTTGTTGTTTCTGAGATGACAAGACCTTTGGCAGCTGATCTTTGGCATGCCCCCCGCACCCCCACCATTCTAGTCTAGTACAGCTATAGGTCATTAAATTTTAGGACACCGTAAAGCTTACTATTTTCAATCAGCTTATTCAGACTGAGTATGACTTGAGACATACTGAGTTATGCAGCTAGTTTTCATGTTAATGTGTCATTTTTGCTGCTCTCAATTGATTTACATGCTTTATTGAATTACGATATTGTGCAGTGACCCAAAGTCAATTTTTAAAGGGTACAATTTAAAAATTTGAAATAATCAGCCTTAGTTCAGACGTATACATTATTTAAAATTTTTTTTCTCTCCATCAGATTATTTGATCACACAGGTATTAAGCCTAGTACCCATTAGTTATTTTTCCTGATCCTCTTCCTCCTCCCACCATCCACCCTTCATGAGGCCTAACATCCCATTATTTATCTATTGCAAAATGATACAACATAATGCCTCTTCAATTAACAAATGTTAAAGCAAAATCACCATAATACGGTAGTTATTCGGCATCATGTGCAGCTGTGAGTGATCCTCCTTCTCATGTGGATGTGTCCTTGCCTTAAAAAAATTTGTGCCTCAGGAAAAAATAGACTAACACCATACTTAAATATTTGGACCTGGCTTTATATTAGGTAGCTCCATCTGGAGGGTCTCATATTGGTGTCATTCTGAAAGGAGTATAAGCCAGGCTTTTAGATCCTCCCTCCCTCCCTCCCTCCCTTTCTTCCTCCCTACCTTCCTTTCCCCCTCCCTCCCTCCCTCTCTTCCTTCCTTTCCTCCCTTCCTCCCTTCCTTCCTCCCTCGCTCCCTCCCTTTCTTCCTTCCTTTCCTCCTCCCTCCCTCCCTTCCTTCCTACTTCCCCTCCTTCCTTCCTGGAAGGTGTGCGTGCTGTGCTGCTGCCCCAGCAGTGTGCCTTAAGTCACAGTGCCAGGATGTATTAGGCCACAGCCTTTTTCTACAACAGATCTATTTCATTTAAGGTCTGCCAGTTGTCTTTCTGAAAATAGGCCTCAACGTTTTCCCCAAATACTCTTGAAAACCATCTGATGACATTTGAGCATATTGAACCGGGCTGAGAAGGCTGCCTTTCTCTACTGCCTAGAACTGCTCCCCAAACTCTAGTGTTTCTTTTTTGAAGACAATCACTGAAACATGAGATACTGGGTCTCAATTAAGTGGGGTTATTTAGGAAGAAAAGAATAGAAAATGAGAAACCAACAGCCACGTGACAGGGAGGTTACTCTGAATATAATTCAAATCCTTTGCAGCTTTCAGGAGGAAACTCATAGAATATATTTTGGTGGCTTACACACTGGTGCTGAATAACTTCTTTGCCACTTAATTGGAAAAAAATATGACATTTTCCCAGAAGACTGAAATCATTAAGACTGTGCCTGTTCCATGGGATCAGTTCCAAGAAGTCTAATATGTTTACGCCAGGAGCTGGCATCCGAAAGGCGTCCCTCTTCACATTGAGCTTTTGGTGTCTTAAATGGCAAAACATTGATAGCTTCAGCCAAATAGGTTGCTTTGGGGCTTCTATTTTATTCTCTGTCCAGAATAGAGCCTTTACATGCTTTATCTTCATTCTCTATACGTCTATGTTTCTTTATGTTATACCTGCATTATCATGCTACTAAGTTATGTATAAGATGTATACAGAAATATACATTTTAAAGAGATCAAGTAAAGATAAAAGAAACTATTTTAAATATCTTGCTAATGATAATGTCATTAAAAACAATCTCAAGATGCAATATTCCCTCAGGAGAAATTTGTGAATGAGTATTAGAGGATGCAAATCTGTACTTCAGGCCGGGTGCGGTGGCTCACACCTGTAATCCCAGCACTTTGTCAGGCTGAGGTGGGTGGATCATGAGGTCAGGAGTTCAAGACCAGCCTGACCAACATGGTGAAACCCCATCTCCACTAAAAATACAAAAATTATCCGTATGTAGTGGCACGCACCTGTAATCCCAGCTACTCAGGAGGCTGAGGCAGGAGAATCACTTGAACCCTGGAGGCGGAGGTTGCTGTGAGCCGAGATGGTGCCACTGCACTCCAGCCTGGGTGACAGAGTGAGACTCAATCTCAGAAAAAAAAAAAATTCTGTACTTCACGTAGTCTTCTTGATAACTAATTTTACTGGCCTAGTTCTTTTCAGTTTTGACTGGATAATCACTGATTTTATTTTGCAATGTTGCTGACCATCATCTCTACTAAGATTAAGAGAAGTGCCAATTCTGACATCTTGTTCTGTTTGGGCTTCCCTTTTAATTATCCTTAATCCATAGTTTATTTTATAAAAAAATTAAAACAATGGGTCGCACTTAAGGAGGGTTATAAATCCAGGTATCTTTGATTGTGATAATGTTGAAAGCTACAGAACAAGTGACAGCACCACAGACAACCCTTTAATAAAGCTCTCTTGTCTGGGATATACACTAAAGGAGAGTGTCAATGCCAATCATACATTAAATCCTGGGAAGGCTACAATGTTTACGTTTTAGATAACAAATTTAAAGAAACTTTCTAATATTTTCTTTTCACTCTCGAAAAGAACATCTTATAGCCATTTTGAAGACTAATATTTAAAGCCATAACTCCAATGTTATTTTTTCCAGATTATATTTCCTGTTGCCCAAAGCAGGGTAGAAACCTTTGATTTCTCTCAACATATCTCTCATCTTACCCATACCTCTTTTGAGATTGTCACCCCTTTCTACCTCATGGTTATGTATATAGATATCTTAGTTCTTGAACAAGATTGTAAGCATGTTGAAGGCATGGTCCATGGCTGACTCATGCTCGGTTTTCCCAGAGAATCTGGAGACACAACAGTAGAGAGACTAGCCATGGTCTTACATATCACAGTTCTTCCAAAAATATACGTGTCGAGAGATGAATTAATCAATTCCTTTATCTGAGTTGCAAATAAGCTTCATGGTTTTGAGTTTTATTTTGTATGCTTGGTTCTATTAGGTATTTCCAAACAAAAGATTATGAGAAAGCATGTAGAGAAAAGATGGAAGGAAGAAAAAGGTATTCATTTTTTTGAAGGTTCAAAATAAAGGTGACATTCATAATGGATAATCATTTTTGAAACCAAAATAGGCAGTGAATGATTATCCGAAAACATTGTTCATTCTAAAATTGTTAGCATGCATCTACTTTCAACATGTTACTATCATCTACGATGTAGCCTCCTTTCCCTTGGCTAAATCAGTTCCAAATAGAAACTGTCAATGACCATAAGGACATATTTTTATTGCTCCTCATTTCAGATGCTGGATATTAGAGAAGGAAGTAGTATGTAAGTTAAAGAATAACTAAAAAGTAGTTTATTCCTGTGAGCACAGATGCTATAGTAAAGACAAAAAGAATTATTTTTAGGGGCTTTTTAGACCAACAAAAAACAAAAGGAGAAAGAGGAATTCAAATTGAAAACTGGAAAACATTGTTACAAATAATGATAATAATAAAAGATCTAAAGAACAAAAGAGCAGCTTATTTTCAAACATAGCTATTATTTTAGAAACATGGAAAATAATAGCTGAAGGGCTGGGAATTGTAGGTTCTACTCTGTCTTCTAAGAGCTGAGTTTGGGCATCTTTTATAGCAACCAATTTTCCATACACTCAGATGGCTCCCAAGGATCACTGAATTGAGATGTATGATTTAATTTTCCTTTCAAAGATTATGTTCAGATTATTATGCCACGCACATGATAACTAATTGTAGGGAAAGTGTGTCAGGCCAGGCTTGGTGAAAACTGCAGAGGTTTCAGCTGTGACACACTGTACAAAATGTAAGCATTCAGTCAAGTCATATGCATTGCAAGGCCACCACTACCAGAAGGTGGTCTTCTACTAGAGTTTGGGTCTTGAAAACTAGAATGCATGTCAACCAACTAAGAAGAGATTCTTAGTAGGCATAAGCCTATGTTCTTGCTGCGGTTTCTACTTTAGCAATGAATAGGTTAATGTCACCCTGTCTCTGGCATTTGTAGTCACCCATTTCCATGGGATGACACCTCATTCTGGCTAATCTTGTGTTGATTTGAAACACAGAATCCTACCTCATCCCTCACTTGACCTAGTCTATTGCTTTGAAATGAATGAAGTCTTAATTTAGAGATTTCAGCCTATCTGTGGTCACCATAGATGCCACTCGCAATTCCCCTCCAATGCAATTATTTCTCTTTTGTGGGTTCTACTCCCTTTTCTCTTCCTCCCTCTTGGCCACATTCTCCTCCTGTGACCTCATCTTGTATATTTTATCTTCTCTTTCTCTTTCTTTTCTCACTCTTGTTTCTTTTTTATTCTTTGTCTCTTCTCTTTCTCTTCTCCCTTACTCCCTTCTATTCTCCTGCTAGTTAAAACCAGAGACACTTGTTACTCTTACATGTGAATTGGAGAGGTTTCTGCTCCTGGGTTTCACAGAAGTTTTAATGCTACCCATACTGGTAAGTTTTAATTGTATGGCATTTTACAACCTAAACAAATTTCCCACATATATTGCATTTTTTATATACATAGCAAGTCTGGAGTATAGGAATGGCAGAGATTATTAGCCCCAATTACAAAAAAAAATTGATGTGCATGCAAGATTGTGCCTTGACCAAGTTCATACTGTCAGAAATGTGTAGAGTAGGGGTCAATCAAGCCTGGCACTTCTAATTCTTGTCCCATATTTATACTATTCCAGTTTGCCAGTTTCATTTATTCTCTTAAGGGCCAAAAATCGACACACAGCAACTCTCTTTCTCTTGTTTTAATTGTAAAAGAGTCTAGTTTACCAAGACACTTTAGAAAAAGTGATATCACTTCCATGAAGGGTTTTAATTCACCCATACAATTAACAGTTGTTAATTTGTTATGCGTGTGGCACTTTGCTATGCTGTATGATGGATAAAAACAAGAATAAGGCTGGGGCCCTGCTGTCTGCAACATAGAATGACTGGATGAAAATGACACCCCAGTGGAAAGACCATTTTGGGAACAGACTCTTTTCCCTATTAGATCTTAAGCTTCATGGATGCAAAATAAAATGTGGCTTATTCACCCACGTATTTGTTTATTAATTTATTCATTAAATTTATTTATAGTGCACTTTTACCATAGACCAGGAGTTTTCCTAGGCATTTGTATCCATAAGGCTTGAAATCAAATAGGGAAAAGAGTAAAGTTAAAAAAACAAATGAACATGTAAACAAATAAATAGTAATAAGGTAGTTTCAGATGCTAATAGATGTAAGGTGAAAATAAAACTGGGTCATATGATAAAATACTTGTTGGTGTGGGGAGAATATTAGTTGAAGGAAAGAATAATGTCTGAATCAAGCTTGGAATTGAAAGAAGAAGTTATGTACTAACAGTAAGTGAACATGAATGACAAAAAAGACAACTGTTACATTTAAAGTCCAGTTGGGGTTTTAAAAATCTGACCCACAGAGATTTCCCAAAGGAGCTAATTTCTCTCTTCAATAAGTACCATAAACCATACATAATTATATTAAAAGATAAAACTAAGTAAAATGAGACAACTGCATAAAAAATACATAATCATAGATAATCAGAGTGGGCATGAATCATGATATTTCACAATCACAAATGCCTTTGACCTATACCATTATAGAAACTAATAGTTGAATGGAAACTTGATGGTCAATTAGTCTGGGGTCTCTCAACTGTGGAAATAATTTCTACAAACTCCATGACTAATAGCTGTCTAATTTCGCACTGCATATTTCCACATTAGGGGCCCATAACTCCATGGGATAGTTTTCTTTTTGCTAGATTGACAGCTTTAACTATCAGCTATTTCTTTAAATTCAACAAAAATCTGCTGAATTCCTCAAATTGGTCCTAGATCTATTCTCTGGAACAACACAGAATCCACTGGCTACAGTGCATCATATATCAGCTCTTGTCACCCAGGCTGGAGTGCAATGGGACCATCTTGGCTCACTGCAACCTGTGCCTCCCTGGTTCAAGCGATTCTCCTTCCTCAGCCTCCCTAGTAGCTGGGATTACAGGCATGTGCCATGACACCTGGCTAATTTTTGTATTTTTAGTGGAGACAGTGTTTTGCCATGTTGGCCAGGCTGGTCTTGAACTCCTGACCTTGGGTGATCCACCTGCCTTGGGTTCCCAAAGTGCTAGGATTATAGGTGTGAGCCACCGTGCCTGGCCTCAATGTTTCTTTTTATATACTGTGCATGTATATTATTTTCATGAAATACAATCCTAAAGGAAAGAGAGTATATTAATTTAAATAGTTTAGCATATTATATCAACCATTGTATTGAGTGGACCAGAACTGAAAATATGCCTTTTGTCAAAAACTATAAGTCTATATAAGTTACATATGAGTATCAAATAAAATTATATGTATGGACCTGAACTATGGCAAATTTTTAAATAGTGGATCTTAGAGCATGTGCATGATCTAGACCTGCACTGTTCCACGCAGGAGCCCCTAGTAATAACATGTGTATATTTTGTACACACATACACACATCACACACTAGTATTTTGCTAACGCGCTTTTAACTGATAATTTCAAATGTTTCTGCAAGAGGCTTTGATGTCAATGAAAACCTTTTAGTCATTTGAAGTAAAAATATTTTTCTATTGATATAAATTATTTCAGCATTGAATTTTATTAAAACAAGTATGATAAAGGTTGTAAAGTTTAATTTAGGCACCACATTGTCAAAAAATACGACCAAGTTTTTTAGATTTTGTGTTAGCTGTGTTCCTAGAACATCTGTTATGCTATTATGACAGGTGTTTATTAATATGGATGTCTAATCAAATCTCTTGGTTGCTAATAGCTTGGCAATTCAACATCTAAATATTGTCAAAATCCTTGATTATATGTTGAAAACTGTGGATAATTGATTCAAAGCTGTTTGCCTTGACTAGATTAAAAAATTAAAACCTGTCAAGTGTATTAATACTTTCCTTTAAAACCTCAACATTCTCCTGAAATTTCTAAAATGTTTCAGTAATAACAACTTGTGAAGGAATAAAAGTCTTCTACAGGCCAACATCTGTCCTGATCCAAGTTTCCTTAGACCTTTCATTATACGCATAATTTTTTTTTTTTATTTTTATCATGGGCTAGGAATGAATGCACAGAAGGGGAGTAACAAAATGAAAGTCCTACGCTACATACAAAGAATGCCCTACAGAAACGTGTTTTGGGTGCATTTAAGCTCAGATTTTTAAAATTAAACTTTTTTGAAAGTATTTAATAATTTCTGAATAGTAGAAGCCTGCAAGAAGCAATTTGGTGGCCTTCAGCAATGTGGTTGAGTAGCTTCAATGGGTGCCATTTGCAGCTCAGTTACTGAGCTGGAATTTCCTTTTGAATGTACAAAGGCATTACATAAATCTCTAGGAAGGTTCTGTGGTAATAGCATTCAATGGAAATCTTTAAAATTCTTAAATAACGATTATAGATTTGAAAAGTTCCCAATTTATTTCCCTCTGACAGAGTAGTTCTCTCACTTCTATGAGATAGTCTGCCTTTTAGTAAATGCTTTAATGACTATAAATGTGTTTTTGGTCTAGTATAAGTACTGTCCAATAACACTTTTGACAATAATGGACATGTTTTCCATGTTTCCACTGTGATAACCGCTAGGCCAATGTAGCTACTGAGTACTTGAAATACTTTTTACAACTAAGAAAAAAAAGTTTACATTGTATTTAACTTTAATTAATTTGTACTTAAAAAGCCACATTTGGCTAGGGGCTACTGCATGGAACAATGCAGTTCTAGATCACGCTATATAACTTTTTGATTTGCCAGGTGCGGTGGCTCAATGCCTGTAATCCCAGCACTGTGGGAGGCTGAGGCGGGTGGATCACGAGGTCAAGAGAGCGAGACCATCCTGGCCAACATGGTGAAACCCCGTCTCTACTAAAAATACAAAAATTAGCTGGGCATGGTGGCGCACGCCTGTAGTCCCAGCTACTCAGGAGGCTGAAGCAGGAGAATTGCTTGAACCTGGGAGGCAGAGGTTGCAGTGAGCCGAGATCACACCACTGCACTTCAGCATGGTGACAGAGCGAGACTCTGTCTCAAAAAATAATAATAATAATAATAAAATAAAATAAAATAAACTTTTTGATTTAATAAAATTTACTTTATTGGAGTTCAAAATGATGCTAAATGATTTTTAAAAATACATACTTGAGCTAGAATTCCTTGATTCTATCAGGAGAATATTAACCATATCAACACCTAATAGACTAGTCTTTCTAGGCATTGTTTGCTGTGGTAGAAATGAAACCACTATAGCAACAGATAGTTCATTAAAATAGGGATATATTCAGAATATTGTCCACATGACCTAGGAGTGACAAACTGTAACTTCCAAGCTAAGTTAGGACACCACTTGCTTTTGTGAATAAAACTTTATTGGAACACAGCCACATTCCCCACACTCCTTCATTTATGTATTGTCAATAAGTGCTTCTGTGTTACAATAGCAGAATTAAGTAACTGTGACTGAGATTGCTGGGTTGCAAAGCCTAAATTATATACTGGTCTTTCCATAGAAAAAGTTTGCCAACTTTTTCGTTACCTACATAAATAGCAGAATTAAGTAACTGTGACTGAGATTGCTGGGTTGCAAAGCCTAAATTATACACTGGCCTTTCCATAGAAAAAGTTTGCCAACTTTTTCATTACCTACATAAATGCTTATGTGTAAATATTAGGATAAAGTCCCTTTTATGGAGAAGCACATTCTTCTCAGTTCATTCACCATACTTAACACATATAACACACATTGCTAATTCCTGTATCTTTTCATATATATGTACCATATAACATGTAATATGTTAGATATGAAATTATATGTACATATATATGAAAATATGCAGCAATTTAGCAAGTATGATACTAAATATATATGTTAAATATTTAGCAAATAAACCTCTATGTGCTTTCACTCAGATCACGGGAATTTAATGCACAAACAATGATTTATAGCATCTGTTTTCTAATTTAAGTTAAAGGTGTGAGCTAACATGTCTCTCCCTAGATCTTGATAATCAGATAGTATCAGAGCTAGAGTGGAACATGAAAGTGCATTCCAAACTCATTTTAGAGACAATAGTTGGGAGATGCCTAAGGACACAAAGAGATAATAACCAGTTAATCAACTATTTAATAGCTCATTTATTGAGACACACCTATTTATGTAACCAGCCAGAAGGCCTAGTAGTTGTTTTGTACCATTCAGAAAGACAGTGCCTTAAGAGCCCAGGCTGCAGACTGGGAGCAAAACCCTTTGTGTTGTCACAGTGGCTGTGCTATGAATGACATATGCCCTTACTTCAATCCAACAGGGAAGAAAGACGATTCTTCCCTGGAACACTTATGGTCTATCATTTAGTGAAAGAAGCAGTTGGCAAAACTCACCAATAATCTATCTATCCCAGAGAAGAGTCTCTATCTGCTCCATTAAGCACCTGTATTTTAGGCTTTATTATTTATTTTTACAGTAATTTTGAATTGTTTTGAAGACTGTCTCCAAAATAGAAATAACCCCACTTGGATTACTGTCTAAAGAGTGAGTCTAATTCCATTGGGATTCTTTTTAAAAATTCTATTCATTGATAGGAAAAAAAATCTTTAACTTAAAAGCTACTTTCTGACCTCAGTAGAACTAGTCCCTATTTTTCCTTCTTTATACAGGCAACATATCATAAAAGAGATGTGCTTCTATTCTCATCTAAAATATTAAGTTTTAAGGTAAAATATGACAGTATTATTTTCATAAGATATTTTCATTAAAATCATCATAGATTTCTGGGTGTCAAAAATAGAAATTACAATTGAAATTAAAGTATAATGACAGAAATGTAAATTTCAAATTCTGCATTAGTATAACCTCTAACCTTTACCAGAATAATCTCACTTATCAGATACTTAAATAAAAACTAATATCTCAACTTAGTATATTTTTCTCTCCCTTTTTTCAATCTAACAATATGGAACTTGAGTTTATAATACAATAAAGTTCACCATATAATCTGAACTACATAAATGCCTGGACTATATTGCCTTTTCTTCAGCAACATGTGTCGATTTAGACCTTTGATTGGATTGTGGAATGCAGTAACAGAACAAACTAATCATTACAATTACATTATATCATACAACCAAGAATAATTTATAATATGCTTCTTGTACTTTTTGGAATCATTGTTCTCATACCAGTGTGGTGCCTTATTAATCCTATGAAGTCAGTCATATGGTGATAAAACAGATACAAAAGACTTGCCTTAATATGTTATTATTATTGACTTAGCTCTGACCACACCACCTGATGGACAGGTTCCAAGTAAAGACCTAGATAGTCAAAGTGAGTACTATTAGTAGACTTGAAACATTTAATTTCTGTTGGAAGAGATGACTAAAGCTCTCCATGAATTCTTTATTTATATCACAATCTGAAATATTATTAATATTATTGAATGAATTTTATTTGAACTGGAAGAAAAAGGTAAAAATAAAGTCACTATAGTGCTATAGCTGTGAAAATTTGGCTGACTTACAAAATGGCAGTGAGTTGGTGAATTAGGACAAGTGGCTTCCAGAGACTAAAGAACCTCTAAACTTTTATCATCAACAGGCACATTTAGGATGGATCATCCTAAATATCACTTAATCATGTGGCCAAACAGAACTATTGTTAACCGACAAAATGCTATGCATTGAATTTCTGGTTTAACAAATGAGAAAATGGGTTTTGTTTACAGTGGCAGTTCAGAATTACATACTTATAAATATTGAGGTTAGGGTCTATTAATGGGCTGTTTGGTTCTAATCATCTGAAGAATAATTCATTTTCTCACAGAGATACACATGATTTGCTTTCATATCCTATACGGCCTCCTTTATGTTTATTCAATTTTGTTATCATAGTGAGGTATATGAAAGCCCATGAGCTCGGAAGGTACTATCTTTGCATCATCTTAATCCTTTGGCCATAAAAGAAAATGATTGGTCCTATAGAGGTCTCCTCAACTTCGTCCAGAAACAAGTGTGACATGATCGAATCTCTGTCATATTATATACAACTTACAAAAGATATACATACCCATAGCCATGAGGCGCAAGTGCATATCTAGTTCTATATGAGGATACAGCTCAAATACACACACACACACACACACACACACACACACTATTTTATTGGCTGACAAAGAATAAGTGCAGAAGTATCGAGTATATAAAATCACTAATTATGAATCAGGAGAACTGTTTGTATTCACTGCTTTTTAGTTTAGTTTTATTCAGTAAAGCATTGTACTACTTAACTTGTTTTTGAAGTTTGCATACAAACTTCGTGACATACAAACAATGTGAAAGCATTGTAAATTTTTTCTTAATATACATGCAGTATTATTTTGAGAAAAATAATGTCACCCTCAGATAAACATCCAGATGGTTTTACAAGCACAATTATGACATCTATTTTACCAGTCATTCTTTATAAGCACTCACAATTCAGGTAGAGCAATTATATTGCAATATTACTTACTTATTACATAATCAACACTTCTGTTTGTATGAAATGTCACATTACATCTAAAGCCCTGAAATGCAATGACCTACAGAGAATAATCAATTGTTTCTCAAACCGTTCACTCTATAAAATATATTAAATTTTGAAAAGAGGAATTATCTTTTCTATCTGTAAAATGAGAGGGTGGAGCAAGAAAAACTTGCAAGACTTTTTAGTTGTTAGATATCATAATTTGAAGCCTTTTTCTTTTTCAATAAATGATTCCTCAGAATTACATAGACTACATCTTTGAAGGAAAAAAAATAGGAAGTGATAGATGATCAATCACATTCACGTTTATGGTGGGATATATTTATTTTCTATTTTAGTTATAAAGAAAACTTGTTTCCATTTTCAGCTATCTGAAACCAGTTAGAGAGACAGTTACACAGATGATCAACCATATGGCATTAATAAATGTATAACCAAGACAGATATGAAGCATTTTATATTTTAACCAAATGGCTAAACTAACTCATGAAAATGTCATATGTTATCTATTTAGCTGAGAGCTTTATTGCAGAGAAATTGTGTCATAATTAACAATTACCACAGGACCAGCCATTTCATTTTATAATTACTTCTCAAACAAATTAAGGAAGATGAGGTTTTACCCACATTCAGTTACAGCTACATTCAATTTCATAGGTAGGAATATGTAAATGTCTATGTTTTATAAAAACAACTCAGCCAGCTCTATCAGTAGTATTTACATAGAAGATTCAATGGGAAATAAAATCACTGTAATTAAGTATACATAATTTTTAAATAGATCAGTGTTGTCAACCTATCTTTCGCTTGCCTTCATGTTGAAGGATATAGAATAGAAATGGGAATCAGATCCCCCCCAAAAGTGGGGGATCCCACTTCTCCTACTGTAGCATTCCCAAGTTCGTCTTCTTTTGCCTATATTTGTATAATGGGGTTATGCCTAAAGTTTTGATTTTTAAAATGATTCCAATGCTTCTGACATAAAAAAATCTGTTGCTGAAATACTTGAATACTATAATATATTAAATGATCTAAGTAAACATAGGACTACAGAAAAAAGAATATGAGAAAAGGATCAAAAGGAAGTAACTGATAAAAGTCAAGGAGAAATCAAAATTTAAATAAAAGAAATGGGCAAAAAAAATAGTTAAAAAATTGCTTAGTGTAGTTTGATGTTCCTGCAGCTTCAAAGTCTATAAAATGAATTACAGTGAAGTAGGAATGTTAACTTTTTTTGTTTTCTGTCTACTTAGAAATGGAAATATTTAGCATAATTAGTCCATTAGTGTTTCCTCTATTTTATCGCTGCAGTATTATAATTAACACAATATTACATTCAGTATAGATATGAGACCAACTTATTTACCTCAGAGGAATTACAATGGAAATAGATTGAGTTCTCCAATGCTACCTGATTTTTAAGCATTTAAAACTTAATAAAATACATGTATTTCAAAACTTATTCTTTCCTTCATCACAAAATACTCATCATCAAAAACCATAGTTGAATGTAATTTTCTGTATTTCAATTGTGTCAATAAAAATGGCAAATAACAGCAAAACAAATTCCATTATCATTTTAAAGCTTATAAGATCAATTTTAATTTGGGATAAAGGCATCCCTTGCATGCATCTATCCCAGGAAGCTAAGTGCAAAAGTGCAGGAGGGTAGACTTGAGCTGAAGAAAGTGGAAGGTTTGGCCAAATAGACAGGAGGGAGTGGCTGGCACATATGAGTTCCTGGGAAGAGACTGCTTTTGCACTCTGGGAAAAGACTGCTGATTTTATCAGAACAGAGACCAGAGGGGTGATGGACAAAAAGTTGGAGAGTAGAGACCTGGAAAGCCTGCAAGGCTGACATGTTTAGGGCACCTGTATTCTCAACACTCTTCAACCAACACTGAACATTCCTGCAGAGGAAGGCAACTGGAAAATATTTAAGCAGGATTAATTTATCTTACATTCTGGCTGGTAAACTTTCTGATGCTCAGGGAGCCCTAGTTAGCCTCAGAGATAATTTGCCAATTGATTGGAATATTTCACATGCTTGAAGCCTAAACACTTGCTGATGATCTGAATTTTTTTTTTTTTTTTTGAGATGGAGTCTCACTCTGTCGTCCAGGCTGGAGTGCAATGGCACGATCTCTGCTCACTCACTGCAAGCTCTGCCTCCCAGGTTCACGCCATTCTCCCACCTCAGCCTCCCGAGTAGCTGGGACTACAGGCACCTGCCACCATACCCAGCTAATTTTTTTTGTATTTTTAGTAGAGATGGGGTTTCACCGTGTTAGCCAGGATGGTCTCGATCTCCTGACCTCATGATCCGCCCTCCTTGGCCTCCCAAATTGCTGGGATTACACACGTGAGCCACTGCATCCGGCCGATGATCTGAATTTTATTCATGGTTGATCACTGACTCTTTCTTGATCACTGACTCTTTCTTGATCTTTTGCTTAACCACCCACAGCTCATAAGTATCTCTGTTCTCTGCCCACTTAGAGTAATCGTCACTTTTGTAAACGTCTGTGATCTCTATTTGTCACGGACATGACTTAAAGACAGAACGTCTGGTCTACATATTGTTTGCACACCCCGAAACATCGAATATAAGAATTGTAGGTGCTAAAATGCTGTTAATACTTAGACTGACTATATCAAACCTACTAAATTAGGAACTTAAGAGGCTGAATTTATCCAATCTTTTTTTAAATGGCAGAAGAATCAGTGATACTGAAGAGCAATCCACATCCTCATGTCTTATAGGAGGATTGCCAAACTGGAGGAAATTGTAACTACTATCAGGGGATTTGTGTTTGTCGTTATTCTTTGTTATTTAAAATGTGAATTATTGCTGTCGGTACTTATAATAATACTTTGCAAAGAATTTACATTAAAAATAACGAGGTATTTGTAAATAGCAATATGTTGAAAACAAGCAGTGAACTTTGGCAGCATTCTTACTGCTTCATTCATATTTGCATTATTTATAAGATGCTAATTGGGCTCTACTCTAAAGGAGAACTCTAAATATGGTACTCCACAAGAGTTCTAATTTAGTTAAGCCCAAACAACAAATATTCATAGAGCTCTCAGATTCTGAATATTCCATGTTGGGCAAACCACAGTATTAGTGTCCAAACTGAGACAGAAAAACAAAACAATACTAAACTTAGAATATTTTTAGCTTGATTGAATGAATACTTCAAGTAACATATCTTTTTTCCCCAGAATAATCTGGAAATTCCATATACAGGATCTTGGCTTTTTTTTTTTTTTTTAGATAGATAGGGTCTCGCCCTGTCACCCAGGCTGGAGTACAATTGTACGACCGCAGCTCATTGTAGCCTTGACTTCCCAGGCTCAAGAGATGCTCTGCCCTCAGATCCCAAGGAGCTGGGACTACAGGTATGTGCCACCACCCCTGGCCTATTATTTTATTTTTATTTGTGTAGAGGTGGGGTCTTGCTATGCTGCCAAGGCTGTTCTCAAACTTTTGGGCTCAAACAATCTTCCTGTCTCAGCCTCCAAAAGTGCTGAGATTACAGGCTTGAGCCACCATGCCCAGCCTCGAAGATGTCTTTCATAAACGTAAGGATTTGATTTTTGACTTTGAATTTCCTTGGACTAGTTGATGACATGTTCAACCTTCATATGCTGAGTTCTCCTCACTTTCAAATTACTTCTCAAATAAATAGCAAAATCTCCAGTAGCTTTAAACAAAAGTTATATTTCAAAAATGAATGATGTATAGTTATCTTCAACCTATGCGCAAAGTACAAGGTTGAGAAGGACTTCATTTTTGCTTTGATGAAAGGCAATTCCATTCATGATTCTCTTTAAATTCTTCAGTATTAACATCTACCAAGAAAAGAATTCACTGTTCCATGACCTGAGATGCATTAAAAATTACATGTCAAATCTACTTTACAGGCAAAGGGGAAAGAGGAACTGCATGTGTCCTATATACACTTGCTTTACCAGTAGCATGACACCCAGGATATGCACATGACACACACACACACACACACACACACACACACACATACACACACACACCAAAAGCAACCAAGCTTCCTTAGCAAGAGATACACAATTGCTTACCATCTGGGTTCCAGATATCTAAGCATATCCTCCCATACTAAACACTTCTTACCACACAAACCTTTGATGCTACTATTTGGACAACTTTACTCCTATATCCCCTTGTGGTCTCATCTTTATTATTTAGCTGTTTCCATTTCCTTAGCCTATAATCGTTATCCTTGCTTCTCCACCTAGTTAATTCCAATTTATCCTATGCCATTCATTGTTTAATTTCCACCTCTTCTCTAAAAAATGTGAGGACTTCCCTAAAATAATCAGTTGCTCCCTCATTGTTTTCCCATATCACTTGGAGTAGAACACTGATATCAACCCATATCCAGTTATTTTATTGTTGTTTTAAATAGTGTGTTTGCTTCCTTGCTAGAATTCGAACACCTCACGGACCAAGTCAAAGTTTTTAAACCAACCATCTCTAGTACTTAGAACAAAACATATCATGAACTTTGTACATAATAAATGTTTTTAGAAAGCCTTTCACTACCTATTTTCCATGTTTGCTTAAAATACTAACCCAGTCAAAGAATTATAAAATAAATATTAAAAATGGTTTTAAGTAGTTCGTGGAATTGCAATGTTTACTTATGTTGCAACAGAGGAATCAGTCACAACTTTGCATTTAGTAAACATTTTTGGAAAATGTAGAAAGTTTTGAACTTGTTACTTATCTGTTAACATACATACCTCATGAGTTTTAAGTGGCAAACAGAGAGAGGGAGAGAGAGAGACAGAGAGATACAGTATTGAAGCAGAATGTTGACTCATATTTACATCAGCAAATTTTAACTTAGCACCTGGTCTCTCTATTTCCAGTAATGAAAAATATGGAGGTGAAATACATTGCTCTCTTACTAAAGAAATATAGATATTAGATAAATTAAAGTATGCCTATGAATGTTACAACAAATTATACTTTAAAAGTACCAGCACAAATGTGTTCAGTGATGAAATGTTGCTTGAATAAAGGGATTTGAGTTCTCCCTAGACGTATTGTGAAATTGCTTCTTGAAGTCTTGCTGAGTCTCACTTCCTCACCCATAAAATGAGAAGATGGTCTACAGAAACTTTTAGGCCTTTTAAATATTTGAAACATAACTCTTGATAAATAAAGTAATTTACACAAAAGCTGAATTGCTAGTGCACTGTCGCAGTTCCCCAAGTCTCCTTTTAGAAAAAAAATTACAAGCTTTTATATAACGGAGAAAAATTTCTACACCCATATGAAACTCGTTCTACGATATTTTAACCAATACAAAGTTTATGGTGACTATTCAGAAACATTTCTTCTCACAAATAAACTAGAGTCAGATAGCTTCTTGTTAGAACAATTTGGTTTAGTGTGAGTCAAAAGTATGTAGCTCCTCTAGTTATCACAGAAACTTATACCATACACATTTTTTTTTTTTTTTTTTTTTTGAGACGGAGTCTCGCTCTGTCGCCCAGGCTGGAGTGCAGCGGCACAATCTGGGCTCACCGCAAGCTCCGCCTCCCGGGTTCATGCCATTCTCCTACGCCAGCCTCTCAAGTAGCTGGGACTACAGGCGACCGCCACCACGCCCAGCTAACTTTTTGTATTTTTAGTAGAGACGGGGTTTCACCGTGTTAGTCAGGATGGTCTCGATCTCCTGACCTCGTGATCCGCCCACCTCGGCTTCCCAAAGTGCTGGGATTACAGGCGTGAGCCACCACGCCCGACCCCATGCAAAACTTTTAAAAAATCAAAATTTACCCAAAGTCGTTGATACAGTTTCATAGATTGATAATGGTTTGAAAATGTCCATACTTTGTTGTATGACCGTTTAACAAAATGTAACCATTCTCTGTAAAGATGTGTACTGATCTTTACACATACAGTTCAGAAAAATCAACATATTGACATACACTTTCATGACCAGTCAAATTAAGAAACAATCACTGAACTCTTTTTCCTAGGTAACATATGAGGTCAAGACTAAACTGTTTGATAATGTAAACAATGGCTGGATTAAGAAATGGAACATAGGCTTTCAGAGATGAGTGGCAGACCTGGGGAACTAATTAAACAGAGTCAAATGATGAAACTAATCTATGACAAGCCTGAAATAGGCTAAAACAAGTTGCACGAGTAAATAAAAGTATTGCAAGTCAAGAGACTTAAGAATCAGTGATACAGAGAGCAGAAAGCTAGATCCTCTGCAGTCAGCACCCAGCTTGATAATGCATCACAGCTGGAAGAAAGGGGCTGCTGATTATTTACAGATCATGATTTCTAAGCCATAGTACATGAAAACATTCCCAACATGAATAGCAATATCTTTTATGTTTTTAAATACTAAATCTAGCAGTGACAGCTTTGCATCTATTTGAATGCTTTGGTTAACAGTAATTAGTTAAGAGGCAATATTGGCTTCTGCAAGAATGCTTATTTTAAAATAAAAATTCTGCCAATGGCCATTATGTTACATACTCTATTTGCATTTGTCCACCATTGCAGACATCTCACATACTCCAGAGTGAACTGGAGAAGCTCTCTCAGTTGGTTAGAGCATTGGGTTAATGAGGACAAGGTCACAGATTTAATCCCATACAGCCCAGTTAACTTGGCAGAGAAAAACTTTGCTGCACAAGCTCTAGCTGCTATTTCAGCAAAACCCAATTGTAAATTCATATTGTGGATCACAGGGGAAGCTTGGGAAACAGTGGAGGTGATGAAAACAACCCACCCATCCTGTTTCCTGGAAAACAATGTCAAACACCCATGGGTCAAGTCAGCAATTGCTCATTTTATTTAAATAATACCACTTTTTTCCTGAATATTGCCTAGCCCTGAATACTGTTGGAAGATATAAATTCAGATAAATGTGTTTTACATCATTGAATGTGTTTTTGCTCATCATCTACTATCTTCCTCACATCTATGCTTTGTTCACCTGTATCAAAGGAGTAATTCATACACCCTAAGCAGCAAGTTCAACTTGCATCAGGCAGAAATGGTGATTTCCAAGGGTATAATTATGTAAAATGGAGTACATTTTCTGAGCCTCAGATTTAGAGGAAATTTTTCAGCAATGAGATATATCAAGCCCTACTAAAAACAGACATTTTGCTCCCTAAGCATTACAAATAAGAGACATCCTATTTCATAAAAGACTCATAATTTAAAAATGTGTCTATGTGATAGATTAGTGAATTAGCTGCAACAAAATATCCTACATGACCAGGCCAAATATTAGAAGCAGCACATATGCTGTACAGTATGAACATACACACACACTCACATGTGCACACACGCACACTCAAGCTAAAAATCAAAATGTGAGTGCCATTGTCTAATATTAGTTTGTTTTACATCTCCCCCTTCAGTCACCTGTTTTGAATTTTTGAGAGCGTATCATTAAAGATCCTAAAGAACCAGAGGAACAAAATAAAGTTGCTTTAATGAAGTTAGATGAACTAGCTCCTTCTGATTTCTAGCTCTGTCACTGAATGTCTGTGTCATCCTGCTTTATATGTGCTTTAGATGAAAGACTGTGGCATCTGCTTCGTATAGGAGAAAATAGAGTTAAAGGGTTGGCTCAAGATGCCAGTCATTATAATAATTCCCATATTTAATCCTCTATGTTCCTAAAAGGCTTTTTATATTAATGTTTACTTTGATTAAGGTATTTAATCAATGTTTTCATTGAACTGAGTTCCATCACTCCTAAAGTTTTTATCCCTTTCTTCCGGTTTAGTCTCGATTGTTCTCTAAAGCACAGAAAAGGGAAGATATATTTAAAACTTCTATCAAAACAAAGTGAAAGAGTAGAATCATTAGATTTTTTCAGGAACATCTGCAGAACAACAAGGGCCAAAAATGACTTCAAATGACACATAAAAATGTCTCAGTCTAAAATATTGGCATTCTGCTAGGCCCTATTTGACTGATAAGTATTATGCATTTTCCTCTGTCTCTTTCACCTACAAGGCTGAGCAACAAACTGTGTCTAGAGTTTCTTCATTTTAATATTCTTGTTGTTCCATCTGGGTCATTTATTAACAAATCCCACAAAAGTGTATTTGAGTCATCTTATTGGTCATCTTATTGGTGTTATTGACACAAGATTTTGAAGTCGCACAATAAATGAGAAGATAAATCAGTTTAAAAAATCACCCATGGTTGAGCTCTAATATAATCAGATTTAAATACTACTGTATGAAAATGGTGCTTCTAAGTAATATTGTAAAGTTTAAACAACAGTAGTAAATAAATATTAGCATTTCTAGGGGTTATTTTTTCTCTTAAGTTCAGATTTGTTTTTTATTATAAACACTGAAATAAGTCAAATAAGTTAAATAGATAAAATAAAACAAATGGATATAAAGTCTAGGGATTTAAAAAATCATCTTATTAATTTTTTAGCTGTGGTTTTATTTCATAAGGTATTATAAAGAAAATAATTGCAATGTGAAAAATCAGTTCTGAGTTTGCTATGGCTCTAGTTTTTGTGGTTGTGTGACATTAGGCAAATTACTTATGTTCTTGCAGTTTCAATTTCCAAACTTGCAAATTGGAAGATAAAAATTATACTAAATATTATAATTAACACATAAGATAGTCACACATACTAGGGGCTCAAAAGTTTAGTGATCATTTTATTAAGGTGAATATATTAATAATTGTGTTTTATGCATATTTAACAATTAGTCTTATTGTTGTTAGTAACACTAGGTCCAAAATGAAGTAATCATCATCAACAACAACTAAAAGCTTAAATGTCTGTCTCTCCCTGTGCTCACCCTATGTGCTCCCATGAAATAAGGTCATTGAATAGGCTATGCCAGAAATGTGCTCTCTACTGGTAATTTTTCATCTTGTGAATGCTTCCTTATTAATTAGATCTCCTCATAATTGTCCCTTTCTTAGGGAAATATTCTTGACCTCCCTAAGTCATCTTGTTTTATTTTTAAAACAAAAATAAGAGCACTTACCACTTTGTAATCTTGTATTTACTTATGGTTCACAGTAAAGGAAGACTCAATTTAGGATTACAGACACAGGCTCCAGACTCAGCAACACTAGTCATAGCAAAAATGAGGCTAATATTTGGTTTATAAATAGTCAACGCCACCCCACTCCAATTTCCCTCCTTTATCTTGGCTCAAAAAATACTGACAGCCAAAATTTATCTCTCAAGCCAAAAGGCAGAAATTTCTTCTTTGAAGAAATATGGAAAGCATATTCTAAGAATTCTCTAACTGCTTACACAAATGTTGACAATGACAGATTAAAGCATTTAGAGTCCTCCAGTTTAAAGGACAGATTCATCCTACTCATTCTTTGTCAAGTGAGACAGACAAAACCTGCATAAGTATATAGGCCCCCAAGTCTGCCTTTCTTTTACTTATACTTAAATATGAACAGCGATCCAAGCATTACCATACATTTGAAGACAGCCTTCAACATGGAAAAATCAGTTTTTTAAAAAAGGGAAAATGGACTGTAAACTAGTGCAACCATCGTGGAAGTCAGTGTGGGAATTCCTCAGGGATCTAGAACTAGAAATACCATTTGACCCAGCCATCCCCATTACTGGGTATATACCCAAAGGATTATAAATCATGCTGCTATAAAGACACATGCACACATATGTTTATTGTAGCACTATTCACAATAGCAGACTTGGAACCAACCCAAATGTCCAACAATGATAGACTGGATTAAGAAAATGTGGCACATATGCACCATGGAATACTATGCAGCCATAAAAAATGATGAGTTCATGTCCTTTGTAAGGACATAGATGAAGCTGGAAACCATCATTCTCAGCAAACTATCGCAAGGACAAAAAACCAAACACCGCATGTTCTCACTCATAGGTGGGAATTGAACAATGAGGACACATGGACACAGGAAGGGGAACATCACACACCAGGGCCTGTTGTGGGGTGGGGGAAGGGGGGAGGGATAGCATTAGGAGATATACCTAATGTAAATGATGAGTTGATGGGTGCAGCAAACCAACATGGCACATGTATACATATGTAACTAACCTGCACATTGTGCATGTGTACTCTAAAACTTAAAGTATAATTTAAAAAAAAGGGAAAATGACTATTGGGGAAGCAGAGATTACTCAAAGAAAAGGAATAGAAGTTAAACTAAACCCAAATAAAATTCTCCATACCAATATTGCTAAGATGATTTATTTATGAAGACAGTGTATCCATAATACAGGTATAGGGTGCAGTGGGGAAAAAAACAAACAGTGAAAGAACAACAAAAAATGAAACTAAAAGGTACTTTCAGTGGAAGAATTGGAAGATAAAATGAAGAATAGGAGGTGAAACTTTTGAGAAAAAAAGCTAAGAGACATATAGAATCAATACAAAAGATCCAACATATAACTCAAGAAAGATAGAACATTTAAAAAGAGATAGAAATTTCAAGGAAATAAAAGACATGGAATTCCCAGTGTTGAAGGACACATCACAATTTTCCTGCATTCTTACATAGCTTCTAATTGGCCTTTTTACTTGGATATTTGCTTCTTACATTTATTTATCAATATAGGAGTAACCCTTTAAAAAATGTAATACAGAGCAGTAAACATCTTTGCTCAACCCCCGAAATGCTCCCCTGAAATAGAGGAAAAGTGAGAGTCCTCACTGGATCTGTCCCCACCCCAATCCCCAGCCCCAATCACATCTCTGACCTCATCTTTTAACACTTTCACCTTTGCTTACTCCAGTCTCAAAGATCAGGTACACTTCCCAGGTAGGATTTCCTCCTCTAATTCTGCCTTCTGCTTCAAACTCTATTTCTCTAGATATCTGTGTACTGAACTTCCTTATGTACCTCAAATATTGTTTAAATGAAGTCTAACTGATCACACTACTTAAAATTATAACCTACAACCAGCAAGAATGGTCTTCCTCACCCTGCTTTATGTTTTCATTTCCCCATAGCTTTCTTAAATGTGATGTAATTTATTTACTTACTGTGCCCAATCCTTATTATTTGTCTCTGTTCAATGGGATATAAGCTTCAGGAGGTCAGGAACATTTGTAGTTTTCACTCATTATTTTATTCCATGAGCTTGGAACAGTGCCTGATACATAGAAGGTGCCCTGTAACTATTTATTGAATGAGTAGATAAACATACAAATAAATGAAGAAGTTCTTCATGAGTGGCACACAACTTTGAAGTACTGGAATTATAAAAAAGAAAATGTAATCTTTGCACACCACTCATTGTAATGAGCAATGTTCATAGTCCAAATAATAATTATGGTATTACAGACTTTTCAAATTATAGAATCAGGCAATTGAACAAAGCATGAATGACATAATTACAGCTATACAAGGAGGTGAAAGATCTCTACAAGAACTATAAAATACTGTTGAAAGAAACCACAGATGACACAAACAAATGGAAAAACATTCCATGCTCATGGGTAGGGAGAATCAATATCATAAAATGGCCATACTGCCCAAAGCAATCTACAGATTCAACATTATTCCTATTGAACCACTAATGTCATTTTTCACAGAATTACAAAAAAACTGTTCTAAAATTTGTATGGAATCAAAAGAGAGCCTGAATAGCCAAAGCAATCCTAAGCAAAAAGAACAAAGCAGAAAACATCACATTACTAAACTTTATACTACAAGGCTACAGTAACCAAAGCAGCATGCTACTGGTACAAAAACAGACACAATTGAAACAATAGAGAAGCCAGAAATAAAGGTGAGCATCTACAACCATTTGAACATCAAAAAAATTGACAAAAATAAGCAATGGGGAAAGGATTCCCTATTCAATAAATGGTGCTGGGATAACTGTCTATCCGTATACAGAAGAATGAAACTGGATTCCTAGCCATCACCATATACAAAAATTAACTCAAGATGGATTAACAACTTAAATGTAAGACCTAAACCTATGAAAATCCTAGAAGAAACCTAGGAAATACCTTTCTGAATGTTAGCCTTGGCAAATAATTTATGACTAAGTCCTCAAAAGCACTTGCAACAAAAATAAAAATGGTCAAGTGGAATCTAATTAAATGAAAGAGGTTCTGCACAGCAAAATAAATTACCAACAGATAACCTACAGAATGGAGTAAAATATTCAAAAATTATGCATCCAACAAAGGTCTAATATCTAGAATTTCTAAGGAACTTGAACAATTGAACAAGTGGAGAACAACCCCATTAAAATGCGGGCAAAGGACATGAAGAGAAACTTCTCAAAAGAAGATAGTCAAGCAAAAACATACATATGAAAAAAATGCTCAACATCACTAATCGTCAGAGAAATGCAAATTAAAACCACAATAAAATACCATCTCACATAACTTTATTATGTGTCTCACATGACTTTATTAAAAAGTCGAAAACTGATAGATGGTGGTGAGGATGTAGAGAAAAGGGAACACTTGAATACTGTTGAAGAGGATGTAAATTAGTACAGCCAATATGGAAACTCGATTGGAGATTCCTCAGAGAACTAAAAATAGAACTATAATTTGACCCAGCAATCCTATTATTGGGTACATGCCCAAAGGAAAATAAATCCTACCAAAAAGACATGTGCACTCATATGTTCATCGCAGCACTATTCACAATAGCAAAGACATTGAATTAACCTAAATGCCAATAAACAATGGATTGGATGAAGAACATATGGTTCATATATACATCATGGAATATTATGTAGCCATAAAAAAGAATGAAATCATATCTTTTGCAGCAACGTAGATGCAGCTGGAGGCTATTATCCTAAGCTAATTAACACAGTAACAGAAAACCAATACCACATGCTTTCACTTATAAGTGGGAGCCAGGCACACTGGGGACACATGGACATAAAGATGGGGAAAATAGACACTGGAGCCTCCAAAGTTGGGGAGGGAGGGAGAGAGGGAGTAAAGGGTTGAAAAACTATCTACTGGGTACCATACTAACTACCTGGGTGATGGGATCAGTCATACTCTGAACTTCAGCATCACCTAGTATATGCATGTAACATATCTGCACATGTCCTGAACCTAAAAGTTGAAATTTTAAAACATGTATAATTATGATTATAAAATAACCTTGCAGAGTAAAAATCAAGGTACACTTGTAAGATTTGGAAGGTAGAAAGTGGTCAGAAAAGGATTAAAAATGGCAAGACAGCTACCAGGTCCTACCACACAAATTAGGAGTCCAGATGAATCCTGTTCTCATAGAAAGCTGATGGTTAACAAAATGGTTACTAAAGTATTATTTTTAAAGTTATAGAAGTAGCTGGTAAAGGAACTGAAAAACATTGGTATAAATTTATGGGGAGTCAAAAGGCAATGACTGCAGATGAAAAATTATGAAATAGAAAGATATTTAGTTAAATCTAGGTAACTAAGAGAACAGCTAAACATAAAAGTAGCTAAAGTAGTCATATCTTGGAATTTAGACAGGGACAGGGAAGGTGTGAGTGGGAGAGGACATTTTTAAAAAATATATCCTTACATATTATTAGATTTTTCTTTAGTGCACAATATTTCTTTGATTTTTTTAAAAAAATTATTTGAAAAGTAAATGGCTTAGAGAATGCTTAATAATTACTAACCTAACTAACAAACATTGTTTTTCTTTTGCATGTGAAAAAACCCTTTGATTAAATTATTTTATGAATTATGTAGAGGTATTTTTAGGTGAATTATAATAAATTATAACTATGAAATTAAAACACAAAAATAATGTTAAATTTAGAATGCTTGCTACTAGTCATTTATCCTGAGATGAAAGCAAGCATGACAGATTTAAATAATACTGCAGATTTTTTTTTCCACAGTCCAGTGGTTGAAGCTACGGTCTCCTTAAGGCAGGGCAATGACAGACATGGAAAAACTGTAGCTTGACATTTATTCATTTTTATAATTCATTTATTAATTTATTCACCAAATGTATGTTGTATGCCAGATATTTTCCAGGCACTGTGCAACATTTTATGAGAGAACTCACACAACCATGTTCTCATTTCTAAGTAATTTATCACATCTAAAGCCATAGGTCAGGAATTTAAAAAGAAATAGCTACTGCATATAATCATTTGTTTCATGAAATATAAACATGAAGATACTATTAATAATACATTAATTTATATACCGTTTTATAGTTGATAAGGCATATTCATGTATATTATTTTTCTTCACAATGGCCTGGTGTAGTTGGTGGTATTCAATTTCTAATTTACAGGAGAGGAAATGGACTCAGAGAAGTCAAGGGACTTGCCCAAGGTCACCATGTTTGGTAGAAGCAAAACAAATAGCCACATTCATTGTACTTTCCACAACACTTCAGCTACTTTTGTTTCATTCTGATGCTTGGGCTCGACATGTTCATCTCATCCTGGTTATTCTGTAGGCCTAGTTCAAGTGCTCCTCCCTGGAAGTTACACTGATTCAGCTCAGGCTGTAATAATTTTTTTTTCTTTTTTTCTTTTTTTTTTTTTTGAGACGAGTCTCGCTCTGTCACCCAGGCTGGAGTGCAGTGGCGCTATCTCGGCTCACTGCAACCTCCACATGCTGGGTTCACGCCATTCTCCTGCCTCAGCCTCCCAAGTAGCTGGGACTACAGGCGCCCACCACCACGCCCGGCTAATTTTGTTTTTTGTATTTTTAGTAGAGACAGGGTTTCACCATGTTAGCCGGGATGATCTCGATCTCCTGACCTCGTGGTCTGCCCGCCTCAGCCTCCCGAAGTGCTGGGATTACAGGCGTGAGCCACTGTGCCCGGCATAATTGTTTGTTTAATCTGGATTCTAAACCTTTTTTTTAAAATGCATATAAGTCTTCTAAATCTTGTGTGCATGTATGCATACATGTATGCACATGTGCTCATGTGTATGTGTGTGTGTGTATACAATAGCACTCATTCAGTTTCAGTGTGCTTATGCACTTTCCTGGACTGAAAGCCCCCCGAGATCAGGGACTGGAAAGACTCAATCAGTGATGCTCTTTAGCTTGTATGTTCCCTTATGAAGCTATGTTTATTATATAGGCTTGGAATGGAAGAACTCTGGCTTCTAATTCTGACTGATTGAAACCTTAAGGCTGGATTTTCTATAACTTCAGACCCAACCAGATGACATTTTTTTCTATACCTCTACACGTCATAGAGAGATATGTATTAGGAATCACAGACTTATATAATGTCTTCGCTCCTACTTCCTTCCCTGCAATATGTTGGCAAAGCCTAGGGGCAGTTCTGGAGCCCGGCTGCTCGCATTCAAATTCCATCTCTGGCATTTACCACTTGTGAGGCCTTCAGTTATGAAGATATTTTCTCCATGCCTCAATGCCTGCATCTGTAAAATATTAACAGTATATACCTCATAGGATTTACTTAAATGAGTTAAGAAAAGAATTTAGAACAGGCTTTGAAATGATATGACAATAAATAAATTATAACTATTTTTATCTTCCTCACAGGTGATCTAGATATTTGAATTAGATAGTGTGAGTGAACGTGAATTGAAAGTACTCATACTATTTATATTAATTATATTATATTATATTATATAACAACAATTGAAATTTAAAGTTAGAAAGTGCTAAATGACTTCATGGGAAGCATTACCTGAAAATATTTAAATGTTATGCAGTAGAGACTGACTGATACTGTGAAGTTCTCGGCATACTTCTCTATTCAATTTTCATCCATATCTGATTCATTCTACTAGAGAATTCTGAGAATGAAAACAAGGAAAAATTTGCTGTTGAATTTCTGGAGCTTCTGAACATTTCTCATTATACAGTCTCCAGTTCAATTCTTCACCATTTTCACCTAACTTCAACAGCAGCAGCAGCAGCAGCCCTGTGCTCAGTGACAGGAAAATAGCATGTTTATTTAGATGATTCAAAAGCTAGCTTCTATTCCTTACCTTTATTTGTATAATTTCTAACTTCACACTATTTTGACCATTAACTAGTTTTAGATCATTTATAAAACTCTAATTTATGCACTGTGAGTATTCCAGAGAACTCCTTTAATAGCCACTTACATTCAATTTCCTGTGGCCTAGACATTAGCTACCTGAATGAGAAGGGATCAGTTTTAGCCAATTAAAGCTCATGAAGGGAAAACAGACACCACCCGTAAGCAAAACAAGAACTGTGGATTAAAAATAGAAAATGAATGGTGTACCTGCAAATCAGTAAGTGTTGTGCTTTCCATAAACATTTAATTATATGTTTAAAAAGTACATTTTACTAAATAAGTTACTAATTTTAAATTTTAAAATAGTTAATAACTGTAACTATTTTATATCACTCTCTTTTGTTAAACAGCTTAGAGTTAAATTTATACTCCACATTTGACCAGCGTGCAGTGTTTGGGGCATTCATTTTTATGTTTGAATCTCAGTGCTATTTAATAACCAAATATTTTTCCTTCCTTTGCCTGGCAGTCCTCACCTATTTCAAATTTAAAGAAAATCTGTTTACCAGCATATCTTTGTAGTCCAAATTATATATTTCAAAATAAGCAGGGAGGGTAATTAGATGGATAAATAGAAGGTGAGTGCATTTCTGAGGAGTTTGTGAAGCCGAAAAGGGTACAGGTAGGGAATGAAATGAGCATTCCAGGGAATAGTAGTATACAGACATGGGGGGTCTAAGAAAGCACTTTTCCTCTCACCTCCATCCTCCTTTGGGTGGTATTTTGGCAGCCTAAGAATTTAGAATAACCAAATAACTAAACAAAAGTTAACAGTATTATGGTAGAAGCAAATAATTTAAATAAACAAATACATATATACCTACATAAAAGATTGGGAAGAAATAGGTCAATATTCCACAAAAGAGGAAGAGGGAATAGTAGGAATAGAGGGAATGAGGGTATTTTTTTTTTTTGCCGCTGGCTTTATAATAAATGTATTATATTCTCAGTAGATACTTTGATACTTAAATCTTTTTAGGTGAAGTATTTGGGGATGAGTTTACCTTACACAAATTTCTTTATCTGTTTATAGATAAAGGATTTTCTTTTACTTTGGGGGGGTTTCTTGGCAACATTTGAGGGTAGTGACCATGTGTCACTTATATTCCCATAGCCTAGCATAAGGCCTGGCTTATAGTGAGAAGTCTAGAAAGAATTTTGTGTAAAAGGCTAAAGATGGAGTAGAAATGAAAGATGGGCTTATTGTGAATGTTAATTTTTAAGGATTACTTAAAAACTATCAACAGAAGTTTTCTAAGGAGAAATATAAATTTATGAGGTATCAAAAAGAATACAACAGATCCTATACTTTTCTTTATCTTTTACTTTATATATACCCATTTACTCTTATCCCACATACCCACTCACCCCACACCATATTTGTAACTTAGAAGCTCAGTGAAAACTAACTTCAAATGGTAGAAGGAATACATTTAGAGTCAAAAATAAATATCTCTTTCACCTCTGCCTGACCCCCAGTTCTCTAGAGAAAAACACCTAAAGATGTTTTATACATCTACCAGCATATGGATTTGTAACATTACTATCTTCTCCAGTTAATAGTGAATAATATTAATCATGCAGTTTAACCTAGTATTTTCTCAAACAGCTCACGGCAGAATCAACTGGAAGGCATAAAATATTCTCAAATGCTATACTTTGACATTCAACCTCAGTAAGTCTCTAGACGGCGAAAACCATGCATGTTTAAAAGGACCACCAGGTTTTTTTTGTTTTTGTTTTTGTTTTCTTTTTGAGATGGAGTTTCACTCTTGTTGCCCAGGCTGGAGTCTCATGGTGCAATCTCGGCTCACTGCAGCCTCTGTCTCCTGGGTTCAAGTGATTCTTGTTGCTTCAGCTTCCCGAGTAGCTGGGATTACAGGCATGTACCACCACGCCCTGCTAATTTTTTGTATTTTTAGTAGAGATGGGGTTTTGCCGTATTGGCCAGGCTGGACTCAAACTCCTGGCCTCAGGTGATCCACCCACCTCAGCCTCCCAATGTGTTAGGATTACAGGGGTGAGCCACCACGTCCAGCTTGCCAGGCATTCCTGATTACAGTTTGAGAACAACCGTTTTTACTAACTCCTTGGTTTACTTTTATTAAAACTATCCACATATACAAAGTTGAATTTACTTAGCAGTTGTTAAAAGAGAATTATTTGGCCTGGACTATATTACAGAGACTTATCATAGAAATGCATAAAATTTATATAGTAGTTCCAATTTTTTTTTTTTTTTTTTTTTTTTTTTTGAGACTGAGTCTCGCCCTGTCGCCCAGGCTGGAGTGCAGTGGCGCGATCTCAGCTCACTGCAAGCTCCGCTTCGTGGGTTCACGCCATTCTCCTGCCTCAGCCTCCCGAGTAGCTGGGACTACAGGCACCCGCCACCATGCCCGGCTAATTTTTTGTGTATTTAGTAGAGATGGGGTTTCACCATGTTAGCCAGGATGGTCTTGATCTCCTGACCTCGTGATCCGCCCATCTCGGCCTCCCAAAGTGCTGGGATTACAGGCATGAGCCACCGTGCCTGGCCAGTAGTTCCAAATTTAAAATGACACAGATATGAATGATATAAGAAAAATTCTAGATTTTTATAGAAAATTACTGCTTTAGAGCATTTTGCCCTTCAGGGTCAGAATAGTTCAGGACTAAATTTGGTTAAAAGAATAAACACTAGTTAATATAAGCAACATTCAGATTAATTCTGATCTCTTACATTGAATCCAAGATTTTAAGCTGCCAAATATAATTTGACAAGTCTCTTTAATTAGTTTATGAAGTTAAGCTGTTGCCAAGCTTCTCATAGGAATCATAATTCAGCCCATTCTCTCTCATTTTTCTACTGAAAAAATAAATAAGCAATTCATGGAATTAAGCCTCACCTTAACCATAAAATTTAAATCTAAACACAGCTTTCATAATAATGAGGATGAATGAGAATTAAACTTATTTAAAGACTTTGCCAGTGCACTACCTGGAAATACAGAGTAAACCATGATATGATACATTCTCATAGCAAAGTGGATTCCAGTACGGTCAAGAAAAGTTAATCCATGGTGAAGTATCCTGCCTTGCCCTTGTGTTCATCCCTCATTTGAAATGAAAATAAATGCCGTTCAGGAAAGGCCCTTGTTATCATCAACCTCTCCCGTGTTGTTACTGCTGCTAGAAAAGCTATTTCTCTAGTTTTCAGCTGGACTAGGAAAACATAGAGTTTTTTTTTCTTTTATACCAACCATTTGTAATTGCTATTTTTATTGTGTATCAATTTATTAGAAATGACACAACACAGGAACAGCCCAAATGGAAAGGATGCATAAAGCGAAGGGGAGGGACAGACCACAAAGCTCCCATGCAGCTCTACGTGTTCACCAGCCCAGAAGCTCTACGCATTGCTTTAAAAATAACATCATTGTCTGTAATACAACTCCACAGGAATACAAGACAAATGTGCAACAAATATAAAGAGATCAATAGACTGATTCTAGAAGTCACTAGTACAGTTTCATGTCTATATGTAACCCATGTATAAAACATGGTATGGAAAACATTATATGTATATGAAATATTTGCTTATTAAGGTGAATTCTGAGCCCATGGATATCTTTCTTACTTGAAGTGTGTTCCTTCTGATGGTGATGGCAACTTTCTCTGTAGGAGTAACTGAACAACATGCATTCCAGTGGCAAGGAGTCTCAGGCAGAGGATGCTTTCTATGAGGATCAGCCTCTCTAACCTCTTTTATGTTTGGAAGACAGTAGCTTCGTGGCTGCATTGCTGATACCTACAGTAGACCCCAGCAGACTGACTGCCAGACCAGGAGCCTATGCTGTCTCATTGTGAAAAAAAAATTTGAGCATTTAAATAACCTATGGTCAGTAGGATATACATTTGAGCAATGGCTTTTTCAGTACTGTTACTTGAAAATTATGGAAAATAGGACCTGCTGAGTCAATTTCAGAGGATTTTCATAAGAATTAAATTAAGTAATGAATGTGTGAGAGCTTTCAAAATTATAGCACACTTTAAAAAAATGCAAATTATCATTATTGTTGGAAGACCACTTGATGGAGGCATGAAAGGATGAGAAGTTTCCCTGGATACCTCAAAATAATAAGAGCCATCATGGCAAACCCACAGCCAACATCATAATGAATGGACAAAAGCTAGAAGCATTCCCCCTTGAAAACTAGCACAAGAAAAGAATGTTCTCTGTCATCACTCCTATTCAACATAGAATTGAAAATCTTAGTCAGAGCTATCAGGCAAGAGAAAGAAATAAAGGGCATCCGAATAGAAAGAGAGGAAGTCAAACTATCCCTGTTTGCAGACCACATGATTCTATATCTAGAAAATCCCATAGTCTCAACCCCAAAGCTCATTAAGCTGATAAACAACTTTGGGAAAGTTTCAGCATATAAAATCAATGTACAAAAATCACTAGCATTCTTACACACCAACAACATCCAAGCTGAGAGCCAAATCAGGAATGCAATCTCATTCACAATTGCCACAGAATGAATAAAAGACCTAGGAATACAGGCAGCCAGGGAGGTGAAAGATATCTACAAGGAGAACTACGAAATGCTGCTCAAAGAAATCACAGATGACACAAACAAATAGAAAAACATTCCTACTAGGAAGAATCAATATTGTTAAAGTAGCCATACTGGCCGAAGCAATTTATAGATTCAATGCTATTCCTATCAAACTACCAAGGATATTCTTCACAGATGAGAAAAAACTATTTTGAAATTCATATGAAACCAAAGAATAGCCCAGGAAATCCTAAGCAAAAAGAGCAAAGCTGGAGGCATAGACTACCCAACTTCAAACTATACTATGGGGCTACAGAAACCAAAACAGCATGGTAATGGTACAAAACAGATATTTAGACCAACTTAATAGAATAGAGAGTCCAGAAATAAGACTGCCCACACACCTACAACCATCTGATCTTGGACAAAGCTGACAAAAACAGGCAGTGCAGAAAGGACTCCTTATTCAAAAAATGGTGCTGGGATAACTGGCTAGCCATGTGCAGAAGATTGAAACTGGACACCTTCCTTACACCATACACAAAAATTAACTCAAGATGGATCAAAGACTTAAAGAAAAAACCCCAGACTATAAAAACCCTGGAAGAAAACCTAGGCAATACCATTTTGGACATATGAACGGGCAAAGATTTCATGATAAAGACATCAAAAGCAATTGCGACAAAAGCAAATGGGATCTAACTAAACTAAACAGCATCTGCATAGCAAAACAAACTAAGAACAGAATAAACAGATAACCTACAGAAGGGGAGAAAATTTTTCCAAACTCTGCATCTGACTAAGCTCTAATATCCACCATCTACAAGGAACTTAAGCAAATCTACAAGAAAAAATAAAACAAACAACCCCATATAAAAATAGGCAAAGGACATGAACAGACACTTTTCCAAACAAGACATACATGTAGCCAACACACTTATTTAAAAAAGCTTAACATCACTGATTATTAGAGAAATGAAAATCAAAACCCCAACGAGATACTGTCTTGCACCAGTCAGAATAGCTATTATTAAAAACTCAAAAAATAACAGGTGCTGCTGAGGTTGAGGAGAAAAAGAAATGCTTATACACTATTGGGTGGGAGTGTAAATTAGTGCAAGTATTATGGAAAGCAGTGTGACAATTCCTCAAAGAAGTAAGAGGAGAACTGTCATTCAACTCAGCAATTCCATTACTGGGTAAATACTCAAAGGAATATAAATTGTTCTATTGTAAAGATAGATGCACGTGTATGTTCATTGCAACACTATTCACAATAGCAAAGACATGGAATCAACCTAAATGCCCATCAATGGTATACTAGATAAAGTAACTATGGTACATATACACCATGGAATACTATGCAGCCATAAAAAGAATGAGATAATTTCCTTTGCAAGAACATGGATGGGGCTAGAGGCCATTATCCTTAGCAAACTCATTCAGAAACAGAAAGCCAAATCCAGCATGTTCTCACTTACAAGTGGAAGTTAAATGAGGAGAACACATGGACTTATAGAGGGGCACAACAGACACTGGCGCCTACTGGAGGGTGGAGGTTGGGAGGAGGGTGAGGACCAGGAAAAATAGTTAATGGGTACTAGGCTTAGTACCTGGGTGACAAGGAATCTGTACAACAAATCTCCATGACACAAGTTTATCTATAATAACAAATCTGTACATGTATCCCTGAACTTAAAAGTTTAAAAAAATCTACCAATGGATGTCCAAATTAGTATGCGAAAGTTTGAGGAGAAACAAAATAATTTCATAGTCTCAAAATATCTCCTTCAAGATATTTACTAATTATAAAAGGAAAAAGTGTAACTTTACAGGGGAGAAAGCCAGCAGACACCACCTTAACCAAATGATCAAGGTTAATTATCACCAGTAATAAGACATACTGACATGATGTACTCCCTGATATATAGGCTGAGAAGGTTATATCACTGTAGCATGCCTGCCAAAAATGCATAACTTCAATCCAATAATGAGAAAACATCAATCCAACCCCAACTGGCAGTTATTCTGCAATATAACTGACTAGTATTCTTTAAAAGTGGCAAGGTCATGAAAGACAAGAAAAGACTGAGGGAATGTCATAGATTGGAGGAGCCAAAGGAGATATGGCAGCTAAATATAAGGTGAGATCCAATTAGTAAAAGAACTGGTGAAGTTCCAATTAGGCCTGTTTAATAGTAATTAATAGCAGTAATAATAACATTAATAGCACAAATGTTAATTTCATGGTTTTGATCACTGTACTATGGTTATGTAAGATGTTACCTTAACATTCAGGGAAGCCAAGCAATGTGTAGATGAGTGCTCTCTGCATGTTTTTTCTAACTCTTCTGTAAGTCAAAATTTGTATCAAAATAAAAAGTCAAAAACTAACAAAACAAACAAATAAAATGAAGGATGAGCAGGTTCTTTGCTGTGTTCTCTCTCTTCGATGTTGACAATACCTTGCATCTCATCACTAAATATAGATTCCTGGAATCAGCCTCTCTCTCACTCCCCACATCAACTAGCATTTGCATTTGTTCCTTTTTTTTTCTAAATAATTCTTGAATCTGTACTTTCTGGTCTTTCTCTATTGTCATCCTGATCCAGATTCTCATAAAATAGCTTACAACTGGGATACCTAACTCCATTCTTATATCCCTGAAATCTGTCCTGTCTAAATAGCTGAAAGAATATATAATAAAAATGAATAATTGTGGCCATTTCCTTCTTCAATGCATTTCAGTTTCCTGCTCATGTCACGCTTCTCAGCATAACAAATAACATCCTCTACAGTGTGACCCTTCCCTGTTCTCAAGCTCCTTTGTCACATTCTCTGTCTTCCACTTATGCTCTGGCAATACCTAACTACTTCTTCATCTCTACCATGACATGCTATTTTGTATCTCTGAGTCTTTTTGTCACGCTGTCTCACTGACCTAGAGAGCACTTTCCATCACCTCCTCCGTCAATTCTTAGAGGTAGTAAACATCATCCAGGTAGTTTTTCTTGATGACATCCGCTCTCAACCCATTTCACATTCTCCAGGGCTTCTATAAAACTGCAGGTTTATTTATATTCATGAACTTTCTATATTTTTAAAAATTTATTAATTTATGTGTCTATCTCTTCTAGATGGGGAAGTTCTTGAAAGCAAGGTCTATGTCATAGTATGTTCCTATATGCCAGACACATAGAAAAACTCAATAAATACTTATAAAGCATGAGAAAGAAAGTGGTGGGAAAAGGGATATGATAAACCTTATATAAATGTAAAGAAAAAGAAATGACTGAGAGATGGAAGAAGCAAGTAATTTGTAAAATGAGGTTAAAATGAAGGGAAAGGATAATTGATGAGATTTAGATAAAGAGGGTCATATCTAAAAGATAAATGTTGAATGGAGAAATAGAAGTAGTATTAAAAAAAAATGAGAATACAGCCAGGCGCAGCAGCTCATGCCTCTAATCCCAGCACTTTGGGAGGCCGAGGCGGGTGGATCACTTGACGTCAGGAGTTCGAGACCAGCCTGCCCAATATGGTGAAATCTTGTCTCTAGTAGAAATAAAAAAATTAGCCAGGTGTGGTGGTGCATGCCTGTAATCACAGTTACATGGCAGGCTGAGGCAAGAGAATTGCTTGAACCCAGGAGGCGGAGGTTGCAGTGAGCCGAGATCGCTCTATTGTACTCCAGCCTGGGTGACTGAGCGAGACTCTGTCTCAAAAAAAAAAAAAAAAAAAAAAAAAAAAAAGAAAATAAAAATAATGAGAATAAGTGGATTGGAGAACAGGACTATTAGAGAATAAGATAAGAGGAGTAGACTATGGAAATAAAAGGATGAAATTGACCATCTAATTACATTGAGGCCAGAGAAGTAGAAGAAAATAAAACAGAAGGTGTGTTGACAAGTAATCTCCATGGAAAGCAGTAAACATAAGGTAGCTATCCGGGTAATGAAAAAAAAAAAAAAAAAAAAGAGAGAGAGAGAAGAGAAATCTCAGAGTAGTTACAAAAAGATAAATGATTTAATGGCAATGCTAAGAAAAGGACATGTGGGGGAAAAACACGAAAAAGAAAGTACAAAAATGTGACTTGGAAGTATATTGGAAGATTGTCTTAAATATTGAACGCTTTGAAATAATGGATGCACATTGAACCCCAAATTAGCAATTCCACTGGCAATGTAGTCATTAAGAGAGCACTGTGGAGTTACTCATGTCTTTTTTTAGGTTAATTTTATTATACTTTGTAGCTATATTAAATGAGTTTTGCCCTTATCCAGAGCAATTGCAATTCAGTATCTGTCTTTTGCTATAACAAATGAGCCAGATTTGAAATATATACTGTCCTTTTCTGTCAATGCACTTTAAAAGACTACCAGTCCCCACTGACCTCTTACAGTGTATGATTATACGAAGAGAAAAAATGGAAGAAAAGCACCATGGGCAAATGTCCTGAATGCTGTCAGAGCAGGTGACACTTATGTGATATGACTCAACTTGACATCTCTCAGTATTCCATTACAAATCTGAGAGATTATGTTTTCACCTGTGGACCGCAGTTGCCTCAGGTGCCCAGATACTATCCCTGTTCTTCAGCAGAGGTCAGCCAATACTCACTGTTAAACACCAGTCAAACACATGGCAGCCAGCTGGCAAACTGACGCTCCTGAAATCTTGAATCTGCCTTTTCTAATATTATTTTGTAGGAGGCATACCTCAAGGGACATCAAGATGTTAGTTAATTAGGGTGTGCCTAAAAATGTAATAGGACTATGCTGTGTGTGTGTGTGTGTGTGTGTGTGTGTGTGTGTGTGTTTGTGTGTGTCTGTGTTTGAGATGGAGTCTCACTATGTCACCCAAGCTAGAGTGCAGTGGTGCGATATTGGCTCACTGCAACCTCCCCTCCCAGGTTCAAGCGATTCTACTGACTCAGCCTCCCAAGTAGTTGGGACTATAGGTGCATGCCACCATGCCCGGCTAATTGCATCTTTAGTACAGACGGAGTTTCGCCATGTTTGCCAGGCTGGCCTCAAACTTGTGACCTTAGGTGATCTACCGCCTTGGCCTCCCAAGGTGCTGGGATTACAGGCATGAGCCACTGTGCCCGGCCTTCCATTTTTTATCCAGAAAAATCAAAAGCAAACCAAACAAATGTTTATATTTATCCAGAAAAATCAAAAGCAAATCAAACAAATGCTTATATTTATTTAAAACAACACCCTTTAATGTTTGTTTATCTTGATTTTTTTTTTTTTAGAAATTTCTTCTCATTTCTGGCAATGCAGAATATAATCTCCTCCTCTCCGTACATGACCCACATCACTGAAACTGCACTTTGCCTTTTGGCTCTCTTCTAATATTATCCCGCCATGAATTAGCTATCTATGATGACTATTCTATGCTGTTTTTTTGGCCAAAATGTTTTTATCCTTTTTCTGTCATCAGCTGTTGACTATAAACTTTTTCATCGTCCAGCTATGGCATTATGTGGGTTTGCCCCATATTCTAAGTTTTGTGGGATTCTGTAAAGAATTTTAAATTCCACACCAGCTCTGCGCTATGGTTTTTCTCCTGTCTGTTTACATTCTGTTTTAGAGAATTTGAAGTAATTTGAAAATAACAATCACCATTTATTGTGTCGTCACTCTGTACCATACATTTTATATGCATTATTATATAATCATCACAGCAAACCTATCATGGATCTTCTTTCCTCATTTTAATAATGACAAAATTGGAATTGAGAAAGAGTAATTGATTTGTCCATACCACAGTTAGCCTCTAATGACAATCTCAGGATTCAATAGTGGTGTGTGTTGGATTCCAAAGCCAACACTCAATGAGAAACACTAGAAAAACAAACAGTAGCACTCTGGCATTTTCCACTATGCATGGTACTTTTATATATGCCAGGGAAGATTCAATGACAGAGATAATCTGATGGGAGGAGAAACAACAACAACTACAAATATTACACACTTAGAGTTGCTGGGGACATTGTTCATCACAATTAGAGCAGATTTTAGAGAGCATCCTATTTACTCTGAACCTAAAGAAACAACTCAAAAACCAAACTACTCTATACTGGGAGGAAATGACATTTGCTTCCAATAGACACTCCTGCCACAGTGCTAGGTTTTATCTACCTAAACCTTAAAATATTGTGTCTCTTTTGCTTTCTGTTCAAATAACATACCCTGAAAACTTATTGTGAGACTACATCCTCTGCCCCTTAATTGTCCTTAAAATGTAGAACATAGGTGAAAACAGACTAAACAAAAATGTTACTGATTGTTATAACATTAAAATATTCTATGTAGAAATATATTTATTTACTTTGATTTTGGTATCTCTAGTGGCATCCTAATGGAAACTTCTTTTTAATAATAGAAGGTGCTCTAACTCCTGCTTAAAAGTGGAATAAAAAAAGAAAGTGTTCATTGCTTTAACCCTGTTGCTACTATGTATTTCCACCCTAGAGCAGATAAGAATATTGTGGTAGAAATTCAAAGCTAAATTTCCTTTTTGGTTATATTGAAGAACTACTGAAAATATGAGTATTCCTTTTTTTCTTCTAGGCTACTAAGCTCTAATCTGGAAACAAAACCAACCAACCAAACAAATAAAACTGAGGAAACTACAGCTGTATTCTTCATAGATAAGGGATTTCATGGAACACCTATACAATATTCTCATTGCCAGGCCTATAATGATGATGTTTTATCTTTTATTAAGTTTATCTAAGAGGTATGTGTAATGTACAAGAAAGTTTTAAAGAGGGAGTGGCCAAGATGGCCGACTAGATGCAGCTGGTGTGCATGGCTGTCAGGGAGAAGAATGAAAGGGGTGAGTAATACAATGCCCTCAACTGAAACATCCAGTTACTCACTGGATGATTACAACTAATCAAGGAAACAACTTGACCCACAGAGAACAAAGAAGGGCAAGACAGGACAACTGCCCACCTGGGAACAACACAGAGCAAGGAGAACCTCCCCCACCCAGAGAAGTGGTGAGTGAATGAGCTGCCCCAGGAAACCATGCTTCTGCACAGATCTTTGTAACCTTCAGGTCAGGAGATCTCCTTGTGAACCCATTGTACCAGGGCCTTCAGTCTGACAGACAGAGACACTTGGAGTCTTGGAAGAGCAGCTGCTCAGCCATATGTGGAGACCCTGGAGCCTTAGATACTTGGGCTTTCCAGCAAAAGTAGCTGCAGGTCCAGCAAAGTGGGAGGTTAGACCCCCATACATACAATATACCAGAATCTCTGAGACACAGCTAAGGAAGTGTTAAGAGGGAAATTCATAGCACTAAATGGCCACATCAAAATTTAGAAAAATCTTAAATTAACAACCTAATCTCACAACTGAAAAAATTAGAGAAGCAAAAACAGATAAACCCCAAAGCTAGCAGAAGATAAGAAATAACTAATATCAGAAGTTAAATGAAGGAAATCAAGACACGCAAAAAATTCAAAAGATCAATGAATACAGGAATTGGTTTTTTGAAAAAAATAATAAGATAGATAGGCTATTATACCTAGACAAATAAGGAAGAAAAGAGAGAATATCCAAATAAACACAACTATAAGTGATAAGGTAATGTTATTATTGGCCCCACAGAAATAAAAAGAACCAAAAAGAACCATCAGAAACTACTACAAACATCTCTAGGCACACAAACTAGAAAATCTAGAAGAGATGGGTAAATTCTTGGACACATACACCCTCCCAAGACTGACCCAGAAAGAAATTGATTACCTGAACAGGTCAACAAGGAGCTACAAAATTAACTCGGTAATAAATAGCCTACCAACCAAAAAAAGCCCAGGACCTGATGGAAACACAGCCGAATTCTACTAGATGTACAAAGAAGAGCTGGTACCATTCCTACTGAAACTATTCTATAAAATGGAGGAGGAGGGACTCTTCCCTAACTCCTTCTATAAGGCCAGCATCATCTTGACACCAAATCCTGGCAGAGACCCACACACAAAAGAAAACTTCAGGCCAATGTCCTTGATGAACATTGATGAAAAAATCCTCAACAAAATACTTGCAAACTCAGTTCAGCAGCATGTCGAAAGACTAATCCACTATGATTAAGTAGGCTTCATCCCTGGGATGCAAGGTTGGTTCAACACACACAAATCAATAAATGTGATTCATCACATAAACGGAACTAAAAACAAAAACCACATGAATATCTCAATAGATGAAGAAAAGGCTTTTGATAAAATTCAACACCCTTTCATGTTAAAAACTCTCCATAAACCAGATATTGAAGGAACCTACCTCAAAATAATAAGAGCCATCTATGACAAATCCATAGCCAACATTTTACTAAATGGGCAAAAGCTGGAAGCATTCCCCTTGAAAACCAGCACAAGACAAATATGCCCTCTCTCATCTCTTCTATTCAAAATAGTATTGAAAGTCATACCCAGAGCTATCTGGCAAGAGAGACAAATAAAGGGCACCCAAATAGGAAGAGAGGAAGTCAAACTATTTCTATTTGTAGACTACATGATTCTATATCTAGAAAACCCCAAAGTGTCAGCCCAAAATCTCCTCCAGCTGATACCTTCGGCAAAGTTGCAGTATATAAAATCAATGTACAAAAATCGCTAGCATTCCTATACACCCACAATAGCCAAACCGAGACCCAAATCAGCAAGGCAATCTCATTCACAATTGCCACAAAAAGAATAAAATACCTAGGAATACAGCTAACCAGGGAGGTGAAAGATCTCTACAAGGAGAATTACAAAAGCTGCTTAAAGAAATCAGAGAAGACACAACAAATGGAAAAACATCCCATGCTTGTGGACAGAAAGAATCAACATTATTAAAATGGTTATACCATCCAAGGCAATTTACAGATTCAATGCTGTTCCTATTAAACTACCAAGCACATTCTTCACAGAACTAGAAAAAAAACTATTTTAAAATTTATATGGAACCAAAAAGAGTCTGAATAGCCAAGGCAATCCTAAGCAAAAAGAGCAAAGCTGGAGGCATGATGTTACCTGACTTCAAACTATACTACAAGGCTACATTAATCAAAAATGCATGGTACTGGTACAGAAACCGACAAATAGACCAATGGACCAGAATAGAGAGCCCAGAAATAAAGCTGCACATCTACAACCATCTGATCTTTGACAAAGCTGACAAAAATAAGCAATGGGGGAATGACTCCCTATTCAATGAATGGTGCTGTGATAACAGGCTAGCCAGGTTCAGAAGATTGAAGCCGGACCTCTTCCTTATACCACATACAAAAATCAACTCAAGGCTCAGCGCGGTGGCTCACGCCTATAATCCCAGCACTTTGGGAGGCTGAGACGGGCGGATCACGAGGTCAGGAGATCAAGACCATCCTGGCTAACACGGCGAAACCCCATCTCTACTAAAAATACAAAAAAATTAGCCAGGCGTGCTGGTGGGTGCCTGTAGTCCCAGCTACTCGGGAGGCTGAAGCAGGAGAATGGCATGAACCTGGGAGGCAGAGCTTGCAGTGAGCCAAGATCGTGCCACTGCACTCCAGTCTGGGCGGCAGAGCGAGACTCCATCTCAAAAAAAACAGAAAACAAAAATCAACTCAAGATGGATTAAAGACTTAAATGTAAAACCCAAAAATTATAAAAACCCTGGAAGAAAACCTAGGCAATACCATTCTGGACATACAAACAGGCAAAGATTTCATGATGAAGACACCAAAAGCAATTGCAACAAAAGCAAAAATTGACAAGTGGGAACTAATTAAAATTAAGATATTCTACACAGCAAAAAAAAACTCTTAACAGGGTAAACAAACAACCTAAAGAATGGCAGAAAACTTTTGCAAACTATACATCTGACAAAGGTCCAATATCCAGCATCTATAAGGAACTTAAACAAATTTACAAGAGAAAAACAACCTCATTAAAAAGTGGGCAAAAGATATGAACAGACACTTCTCAAAAGAAGACACATATCTGGCCAATAAGCATATGAAAACAAGTACAACATCACTGATCATTAGAGAAATGCAAATTGAAACCACAATGAGATACAATCTCATACCAGTTAGAATAGCTATTATTAAAAAGTCAAAAAATAACAGATGCTTGCAAGGTTGCAGAAAAAAGGGAACACTTATACACAGTTAGTGGGAGTGTAAATTAGTTCAACCATTGTGGAAAGCAGTATGGCAATTCCTCCAAGAGCTAAAAGCAAAACTACCATTCGGCTCAGCAATCCTATTACTGGGTAAATACCCAGAGGAATAGAAATCATTCTATCATAAAGACACATGCACACAAATGTTCATTGCAGCACTATTTACAGTCGCAAAGACATGGCATGGAATCAACCTAAATGCCCATCAGTGACAGACTGGATAGAGAAAATGTGGTACATACATAATACGTCATACTATGAAGCAATAAAAAAGAATGAGAGCATGTCTTTTATGGGAACATGGATGGAGCTGGAGGTTATTATCCTTAGCAAACTGATGCAGAAACAGAAAACCAAATACCACATGTTCTTACTTATAAGTGGGAGTTAAATGGTAAGAACTTTTGAGCACAAAGAAGAAAACAAAATACATTAGCATCTACTTGAGGGGGAAGGGTGGGAGGAGGAGAGGAGCAGAAAAGATAACTATTGGGTACTGGGCTTAATACCTGGGTGATGAAATAATACGTACAACAAACCCGTGTAAATGTATTTGCCTATGTAACAAACCTTCACTTTTACACCCAAACTTAAAATAAAAGATTTTTAAGGCCAAAAAAGTGTATAGGAACCACACACACAAAAAAGAGAGAAATGTTTAACAATTTATGAATGGCCAAATTAGTATTTGGTATTACAATATATTATATTTCAAAATAAAGACTAATATCTAACCTGTAGATTCATTTTCTTCTCTTTTCACATAGCCTACCCTGAGAAGCTCTTTGGCTCTCAAAGCTTTAATAATTATGCCTCTGAGAATAATTCCCAAATTTGGATGTATAATGAATATTCTCCTGAACCCTAGCTGCTCTTTTCAACAGGAAGTCAGATATTTTCACATGCTCATTTTTTTCTGAAATCCAAAATATCTGATTTTGAACTCTCTATCATCCTCAGAATTATCTTTTTCCTTTAATTCACATTTCAGTAAAAAAAAAAATAGCACCAATATTTTTCTCGATTATCCATGCACAACACATTAGAGTCATTTTAAAATACTTGACATCCTCATGCATTTTTTTTTTTTCCTTTAGCAAGAGAGGGAGTCTTGCTCTGCTGCCCAGGCTGGAGTGCAGTGGTAGATCATAGCTTACTTTAGCCTCAAGCTCCTGGGCTTGATCAAGTGATCATCCTGCCTCAGCCTCTTCACTAGCTGGGACGACAGGCTAGGGCCACTATGTCCGGCTCCTTAGATTTTTATAATATTAAGTTTTGATTCCAATCCTTTCATGATGTGTTCCCAATTCACACCATGTTATCTCCTGCTTCTTTTCTTCTAACTGTGCCCTACATTCCATATTCCTTCTCTGGGGAATGCTGCTTCCACTTTCCCACCTAGGAAGCTACTCATCCTATCAGATTGAGCTCAAATAGTTCTTCCTTTATGAATTCTTCATTAATCCACAGGACATAGGCTGCTCACTTCTTTTCTGGGTTCCCATTTCTTACTTTTTTTTTTTAAGAGATGGGGTCTTGTTCTTTCGCCCAGATGGGAGTACAGTGGTGGAATTAGAGCTCACTGCAGCCTGGAACTTCTGGGCTCAAGTGATCCTCTCGCCTAAGCCTCCTGAGTAGCTAGGACTACAGGTGTGGGCTACCATGCCCAGCTAATATTTCCTTTTTATTTTTGTGGTGGGAGGGAAAAGTGAGGGTGTGGGGTCTCTCTTTGTTGCCCAGACTGGTCTTGAGCCCTTGGCCTCAAGCATCCTCCCATCTTAGCCTCCCAAAGTGCTGAGAATAGAGGCCTGAGCCACTGCACCCAACCTGGATTCTTATTTATTACATTTATTATTCCTCTAATTTCTGTAAGTCCTCAAGGACAGAAATTGAGTCCAAATTCAGATTTTGTTTTTTACGTGAAGACCATAATCCTGTGTATAATACATGATCATGAAATATTTTTTAAATGCATGCATGAATGAATGAGCACATGAATGAACAAATAAGTGAATGAATCTTTGACTTCTTTATTCAGTTTCCTGGACTTCGTTCCACTGCCTTTTGTTTTTCCTTCAACCTACTTACTTGCAAAATAATTCCCCAGGTAATTTTAGTATCTGCTTAAACTGAAAAGCCAAGGCTTTCATGAAATATCTTGTATGAAATAATTCAGCTTATTTTTCTAGTTCACAATATGTTGGCAAACTTCAAAAACATTTAGTGATTTCCAAACAGTTACATTAAGCTATCTGAAGATAGTTTTGAATGAATTCTCTACAAGTGAGGATAAATTGTAATAAACAAAAATACTTTTAATGTTCAAAGGACAAAATATTATATTTAGTGTTCTCATTCCTACAAATCACTTGTTTCCACTTTTATTCCTATTTTTCTTGCAGACTATCAATTCTATCAGTTCAGAAACATGATAGAACCCTTTCCTAACATCTTAGGTCTCCCTTGTGGGATATAAGAAATATTCTCCTGCAGATAATAATTAGATTGATAGGTTTCAGGGTGTTTTCCTAAGGGAAACTCAGAAGTTATTTCTTCTAAAACATTTAACAGCCCAAAATATCTAATTCAAAATTCTTAATGTTTTGGCCCCACAATAATGAAATTGTGAGTCTTTCTTTTTTTGTTATTATAGATAGAAAAAAATTTGAAGCCAGTAAAAATTCCATAAATTGGCACATGATATGAATGCTATATTGATGGGAAAGTCTAGATAAGTAAATATAATGATTTGAAAGCACAGAGTAAGCTCCCATGGAGAAAGTATACTAAAGGGCCATTTTGCCATTATATGAACAAACAGAAGGCATTCTTACATTTTAAGTGCCATGATAATTACAATGAGAATGATAACTAATATTTGTATAGTTGCACCCAATTGACCAGTGAAATCATGCAGAAAGGACCTGGCTAATGAGCCTGTAACAGCCAAGGTATAGGCACTGAGATAAATTCTTATCCATAATTAGGAAATGTGGTCACAAAATACAAATATCAAAGATTGCCTTTGAGGTGAGTACTTACTTGAAATGAAGGATGGGGAAGGCAGAGGAAAATATCTGTACTCAAGGTAAAGCATTCGAGGTCAAAGACTTAGAGAAAGTAAAAGAAATGTTTACTAGAGAGGGTCAAGTTCTCTCTCAGTGTGTGCATGTTGTACGTTGTTTAAATTAAAAGTGTCTTAAGCAATTACATTTCAGAGTAGCAAAAATTTACTGTCTCTGTTTCTCTGAGGATCCCTCCCTCTATAACATTTCCTAGTACAAATACCTGAGCACTAGCGAAAAATGGGTGAGTTCCACAATCTGAAGACCAAACAAAGGACAAAAAAAGTCTGTGGTAGGATTGAGGCAGGGTTGAGATTTTGTGTCATATGGACATGAGAGACGGAGAGATCAAAATTTTCATGAGAGAGTAGTTAAAATATGGGCAAAGCATTCTTTCTGAATAAGAAAATAAATAAAGAATTAAGTATCTAAATAAGTTTGGAGAGAATGACAAAATCTAAAATGAGACATGACGAGGTTGAGGATAAGGTATTACAATTTTTTTTGGAGAGAGACAGAAGTTGAAATTTAAAATTTCATTTCTGAAAAAAATTCTATGCATAGAATATATTCATTAAAGTACTGTAGAAGACCAAATAAATCCAAACTACTCTAACTAAGAGTTCTTGAAACAGACAGCGAGAATAAGGCTGACAAAAATAGTTATATTCACAAAGGTGCATCCATTGAACTATCTTACTGTGTTTTTTTAAACCAGGTACTTTTAAACTCATTGGACTATTGGTTTAGAATACACATTATCAGAGATCACCTTTTTCTATAAAAATAACTATTTTATTTTTGTTTTTAAATATCAGATTAATTCAATATTGTTTTTATAACTACCTACCAATCACCATCTCAAAGAAATGATATTCAGTTAAATTTCTTTTCTTAGGATGTTTTTCACACATTTTTACATTTTTAATTTTATTTTTTAAACTTTGTTTTGTTTATTTTTAAATTTTGTGGGTACATAGTAGATGTGTATATTTATGGCATACATGACATATTTTCATATGGGCATGCGATGTGAAATAAACGCATCATGGAGCATGGGGTATCCATCCTTTGAGTTACAAACAATCCAATTATACTCTTCATTTTAAAATGTACAATTAAGTTATTATTGACTATAGTCACCCTATTGTGCTATCAAATAGTAGGTCTTATTCATTCTTTCTATTTTTGTACCCATTAACCATCTCCAACTCCCTTAATTTTTAATTATTATGAATACATAATAGTTGTACACATTATGAGGTACATGTGATATTTTGATACAAGCATATAACATATAATGATTAAATAAGGGTGGCTGTGGTATCTAATATTTATCTTTTTTGTGTTAGGAATATTTTAATTCTACTCCTTTAGTTATTTTGAAATGTACAATAAATTATTGTTTACTATAGTTTCCCTATTGTGCTACCAAATGCCAGATCTTATTCCTTTTACCCAACTATATGTTTGTACCCATTAACCACATCTCATTTTTCTCTTAACTTTCATGGTTTATTATTATTATTGTTATCGTTGTTGCCACCTATTAATGAGAACATGTGATATTTGTCTTTCTGTGCCTGGCTTATTTCACTTAACGTAATATCTTACATTTCTATCCATGTTGTTGCAAATGACAGGATTTCATTCTTTTTATTGTTGAATAATATTCCATTGTGTATATGTACCACAATTTCTTTATCCATTTATCCTTTGATGGATACATAATTTTATTCCATTTCTTGGCTATTGTGAATAATGCTGCAATAAAAGTGGGAGTGCAAATATCTCCTTGATATGCTGATTTCCTTCCCTTTGGATGTATATCCAGCAGTGGGATTGATGGATCACATGGAAGTTCTAATTTTAGATTTTGAGTAACCTCTATACTGTTCTCCACAGTGGCTGCACTAATTTGTATTCACGCCAATAGTGTACAAGAGTTTCCCTTTTTCCACATTCTCATCAGCATTTGTTACTGCTTGTCTTTTGGATAAAAGCCATTTTAACTGGGGTGAGGTGACCTCAAGGTAGTTTTAATTTGCATTTCTCTGATAATTAGTGATATGGAGCATCTTTTCATATACCAGTTTGCCATTTGTATGTATCCTTTTGAGAAATGTCTATGCAGATCTTTTGTACATTTTTGATTGGATTGTTCTTTTCCTATTGAGTTGTTCAAGCTGCTTATAAATTCTGGCTATTAATCTCTTGTCAGATGGGTCATTGGCAAATATTTTTTTCCATCCCGTGGGTTGGCTTTTCACTTTGTTGATGATTTCCTTTGCTGTGCAGAAGAAGCTTTTTACTTTGATGTGATCCCATTTGTCCATTTATTTTCTTTGGTTGCCTGTGCTTTTGAGGTCTTACTCAAGAAATCTTTACTCAGACCAATGTCCTGAAGTTTTTCCCCAATGTTTTCTTCTAGTAGTTTCACAGTTTGCAGTCTTAGCTTTAAGTCTTTAATTCATTTAGGTTTTTGTATATAGTGAGAGATAGAGGTCTAGTTTCATTCTTCTGCAAATGGATATCCAGCTTTCCCAGCACCATTTATTGAAGATACTCTCCTTTTCCCAATGTATTTTCTTGGCATTTTTATCCAAAATGAGTTGACTATAAATGAGTGGGTTTATTTCTGGGTTCTCTATTCTTTTCCATTGGTCTGTGTGTCTGTTTTTATGCCAGTATCATGCTGTTTGGGGTACTATAGCTTTGTAGTATAAATTTAAGTCAGGTAATGTGACGTCTCCAGCTTCAGTCTTTTTCTCAGGATTGCTTTGGCTATTATGGGTCTTTTGTGGTTCCATATACATTTTAGGATTACTTTTTCTGTTTCTGTGAAGAATGTCATTGGTATTTTGACACAGATTGCATGGAATTTGTAGACTGCTTTGGGTAGTATGAACATTTTAACAATATTGATTCTTCTCATCCATGAACATGAAATATATGGCCATTTTTGTGTCCCCTTCAATTTCTTTCATCAATGTTTTACAGTTTTATTGTACAGATATTTCACTTCTTTGGTTAATTCCTGGGTATTTTATTTTATTTGTGGCTATTGTAATGGGATTACTTTCTTGGTTTCTTTTTTTCAGACTGCTTGCTGTTGTTATATAGAAATGCTACTGGTTTTTATACATTAATTTTGTAGCCTGAAACTTTACTGAATTTATCAGATCCAGTAACTTTTGGGATAGTCTTTAGTTTTTTTAAGATAAAAAATCGGCCGGGCGTGATGGCTTACGCCTGTAATACCAGCACTTCGGGAGGCCGAGGCAGGCAGATCATGAGGTCAGGAGTTTGAGACCAGCCTGACTAACATGGTGAAACCCCATCTCTACTAAAAATACAGAAATTAGCTGGGTATGGTGGTATGCACCTGTAATCCCAGTTACTCAGGAGGCTGAAGCAGGAGAATCGCTTGAACCTGGGAGACAGAGGTTGTAGTGAGCCAAGGTCACACCACTGCACTCCAGCCTGGGCGACAGAGCGAGACTCCATCTCAAAAAAAAAAAAAAAAAAAAAAGATATAAAATCATATCATCTGCAAGCAAGGATAATTTGACTCATTTCTTTTCAATTTGAATGACTTTTATTTCTTTCTCTTGTCTAATTGCTCTGGCTAGGACTTCTAGTATTATGTTCAATAAAAGTGGTGAAAGTGGGAATCCTTGTCTTATTTCAGCTGTTAAAGGAGAGGCTTTCAGGTTTTCCCCATTCAGTGTGATGCTAGCTGTGGGTTTGTTATATATAGCGTTTATCTTATTGAGATATTTTTCATTTTGAGGACAAATACATACTTGTTGAGGGTTTTTACCATGAAGGGATGTTGAATGTTATCAGATTTTTTTTAAGAATCTTTTGAAATAATTGTATGGTTTGCATCCTTCATTCTGTTGGTATGATGTATCACACTTATTGATTTGCATATGTTGAACCACTGTTGCATTTCTGGAATGAATCCCTCTCAATGATGATGAATGTACTTTTTAATGTGTTGTGAATTCTGTTTGCTAGTATTTTGTTGAGTATTTTTTTTATCATGTTCATCAGAGGTATTGGCCTGTCATTTTCCTCTTCTGCTGTCTTTTCATCTGGTTTTGGTATTAGGATAATACTAGCCTCATAGAATGAGTTAGGAAGTACTCCCTCCTCCTCACATTTTAGAAATAATTTCAGTAGGATTGACATTATTTATTTTTAAATTGTTTGGTAGAACCCAACAGTGAAGCCATCAGCTTTTAGCCATTTCTTTTATGGGAGACTTCTGTTAATATCTCAATACTTGTTATTTGTCTATTCAGGTTTTGGATTTCTTCAGCATTCAATCTTGGTACTTGCATATGGTTAGGAACTCCTCCATTTCTTCTAGGTTTTCCACTTTGTTGGCAGAGAGATTAAATGTATAAATGAACAATGGCCAGAATTTATATGACAGTAGAGCTTTGACCATAACCTCTGCAGCAACCAGTCCTGGAAATTAAACCACAGCTTATGTAGCAATAGACCCAGAATGGACATGATTTGGTCAATGACAGCCAACTTACCTATATTTGCCAAAGCTTTCAATTCAGTAAGAATCAGAGAAAGCCAAATATACCCCTCAAACCCATCTCATAAAATGTCCTGCTCCTATTTAGTCTACCTGAAACTTCTCTACCTCAACAGTATCCCATCAGAAAATACTAGAAATCTCCTTTTTAAAGCTTTCCTTTTCCCTGCCTGTTTTTGAGACTCTGCCCAAAGCAAGTGATGGTAGCTGATTCCTCTGTAAGGTCTGAATAGTAAAGTCTGGATGAGCAGTCCCTGTATGTTCTCATTCTGTTTATTCCCACATTTTTGTATTAATATAATTTAACTATAACACCTAAAATCTCTGAAGATTCACACGATACAGAACCGGTCTGCCACTTAGGAACTAAAATAGCCATTTCACTAAATTTTCTGACAAATTTACTACAGAGTTTAGAAATTGAAATTGAGATTTCAGGTAAAAGCATTTATGCCTTCCCAGTTAATTTTAATAAACAATTACTAAGATCTTATTTAAGCTGAATGTTTGCTCATTACTTATCATGATTAGCAATCATCCTGTACATTTTTATCATGTAAAAGTAACTGACAGATAAAATCAGTCTCCTTTATATTAAAGCATTTCTCATCAGCATTACTAAATAGTTTCTAGTGATTCAAGACTACATAAAGTAAAATAAATGGATTATTTACAGGGAGAATATTTATGGGAAAGGCAATGATTATTGCTTATAATTACTCTAACACACTATCCAATAGGAAAAAAAGTAAGCCATCATTCTGGAGCACAGCAAAAAATAATTTTTCCTTCCAGATATAATTATTTCAAACATATAATGAATGTTTTCTTAAAAGTATAAGCTGAAAAGCCAGGCATGTTTTTCAAAATTGTAAATAATCCTCTTATCCCATATTTTATATTTCAATTATTTGTTAGATATTTGTGTATATTTACCACACATATGAGAAAGAGAATTCAGTAGTCTTATCAAGTAATGTAAAAAATGGACTTCTCTGCCTTTACAGTTTAAATCATAAGACATAGACTGTTTCTAAATGGGGAAAACATAAAACTTACCAATATTTCTAATTCCCTTTGCTGTGTGTGCTACAATATTTAAATTGCTATTGTCATTAACACATTATATTAGAATATAAATGTTTCACCTCAGAAAGCAAAACGAGTCATGTGCAAAGAGATTTCTTATTTAATGAACAAAAAGATATGAGCCATAGAACATACAGATTTCACATACTCCAACTATGCTTTCAGAAAGATTTAATTCTGAAACCCTAGCAGAAGTGAGGCCAGGTGAGTTTCCTCCCTCCCTCGCTTCATTTTCTATTCCATCTCTCAGGGTTGTATCTTAGAAAAGACAGCGGGGGCAGAAATGCTTTGTAAATGCAAGCTTGTTTCCAGTGGGAAGTATGCACAGGGTACAAAATAAGTTCAACCCCACCTCCCAACCTAGTTCTTCATCCACCATCCCTCTGAAGCTGTGCATCCCAAGGATTCTTTTTGATGATGAATGCAACATTATTTCTACATGGCTATTTTTGAGTGTTGCTTTGGTTTCCCTTCTGTTTGACAGATTTTAAAACATCTCCCCCATTGTCCAGTCAGATCTTAGGCTCTCCTGGACATGAGGAAAGCTGAGAGCTCAGTGCTTCCAAACAAACCCTATTTGATCCACATATTCCTCCATGTTTTTGGTTAATTCTTGAGTGCAACAGGCCATGCTTAAAATGGACAGAGTAAGAAAACACCTGGCTCACTTGCAGACAAGTTGGCTTAGTTAGCTGGCTCATCAAAATTCTGAGACCATGTTTAGGGATATTATAGAAACATAATACCAGAAGGATTACTGGCTGTGATATTAAGTAACAGGATGAGGTCAGGCCAGCCTTTTTAGAAAATGCAGCATACATGCTTTCTCTTGGGTAACTAATCAAAACTTTTTAGAAAGTTGTCTTCTTCCCATGTTTATTATACATATGGTTAGACTTGTGTTATAATTGACCTTTCAAGTTGTGATGTTTCAGGGGCACCTGAATAACCTTGTGATTGACCACATTTGTCCCCAGAAGGTTGGCCCATTACCAGACAAATGATGTCTATTAACAAAGAGGTTTTCAGCTGTATAAATTATCATACCATAATTTATTTTTTCTTACTGGTAAATATTGATCTTCATATTTTCAGAGGGGGGAGTATCAGGAAGGAATTAGCCCCATTTTGGTAAGGAAAATTGGCATCTCATTTGGCTGACAAATAACCCGTTTTCTGTAGCTATTTCTGTCCAAAGTTCTCTTCAGAACATCATTCTCATAAATACAGAATTGTGTCATTGAATAAAATTAAAATGAAGACAGCTGGATAATGAAGGTCCTTTCCGTTCTTTTATTGTCTGTTCAACAAACTAATAGACTTCATTCAACACCTGCCAGAGTCTCAGATGCCTGAGTATAAGTAGACTCAGGTATAAAAACCTTGAAAATCTTTACTTTCCCTATTTATATCTCAGCTCCTAGCAACATTCTGCATTCCTTTCAGAGATGAATTTCTGCACCAGCTCGTCTGCTCCTAACTGTTATCTTTCCTTTATATCTTTTTCTTTCCCTGTCTGCTTTGCTGCCCATCTCCTTGTTCTCCTCAATTCTTCTTCCATGCTATCTTATGTTGCTCTGGCTCTAAATTCTCCACTGTGTTCACTGTATGTCCTTAATACCAAGGACAAGGACAGTACCTAATATTCAGCAGATTCTCAGTGAATGAGCCAATGGAAATTCTAGAAAAATCTGTATAAATTTAGTAAAATTAGTACATATTTTTCAAGTAAAAACACATCACATTGTATCTTGAAATATACAATTTCATGAGGATAGGGATGTCACTTTGGCATATCTTTGAATAAATAGTTTTAAGCATGTTGGTGCTTAGAGCAGCTTTACTTTCTTTTAGGTATTTTCAATTTTATTACTTTAATAATATTCACACTAAAGGTGGTACACTCTTAACAGTCATTATTTTTGCAAAGATAATATACTGGTTTGTATTATTTATTCAAGGAAGAGTTATGTTTTGCCTTTTACCCCATAATTTTTCTGCAACTTTTAAGGAAATGCATCCTAGGTGATCATAGAAGATATAATTAAATATCTGGAAGTTATACCTAGAGCCTGTCTTCTGCTCACATCAGGGAAGGAATGAAATGGGTCTCAAGTGTTATGAAAGTCACAAAATGTGGGAACTGTTTAAGTTCACAGTCAAGATTCCGCGTGGACAGAATTTACCTAAGAGGGAGAGCAAAAAACGGGGCCATAATTTATGAAAAAAATAATATCTAATCTAATATCTAACTCTCATAAAGAGAAAACTTTCACAACCTTAATAAAAACTAATGGGCTTCCAGGTTAAGATGGCAAACTGACACATGTATCTAATTTTGCTCCTTTTCAAGTCTCACTAAAACTATATATGAGTTATTTTTGTTTATTTCTAAAGACTTAAACACACTAGCACGGAGAGAATGGAATGGAAGATAAAATAACAGCAAGAAATATTAACAAACTCAAAAGCAGATGACAAGTACTAAATGACATAGCCAATCGGAGAAAGTCAGAGTTCAAACCAGCAACAGGGAAAATTAAGAATCAAGTGATTTTATGCAGAAAGACTTAGGTATGATTAAACTTGGGGATGAAGAGAGGGACTGAAAAAGGCAGTTTGATCCCATCTCCTATTTCACACCACTGAATATCTACCCCCACCTCAGCCCAGCATAATTCCAGATATTATTCTCTGAAGAGGATAAAATGGTCTTTGCATTGTGGGTCTTTAGACTTATTTTAGGGGTGGGGTACATTTTATGAACAACAGGGTGATTAAATGAATGTGTGAATACTCAATGCTAAGTGTCAAGGTCCCAGTCACCCCATCCTCTACCACTCTGCTCCTAGTTCCTTACCTTCTAGGAAGAAATTTGAAAGATGTTTTTCTGGGAAAGAAAGTGATTAGTACAAGAAGAAATACTTGCTTTCCTCTAGAAAGTTTTAAATCCTTTACTCTGATTCTAGAAAATACCAGAAGATGTATAAAAGGAATGCTGGGTTGTTAGAAGATGCCACCTTCTCAATGTTAACAATGTAACACAGTTTATGTGACTGTAGGAATGGCCCTTCACCAAGGAGAAATCATGTTTTCAAATCATAAAGCCTGACTTCTCTGCCCTTGAATAAGGCTATCACAAGGGGAACAGAGATGCCTTGCTGCATTTGTAACTGTGCACAAATGACTAGAGTAGAACTTGCTCCACATCTTCAGTTTAGGCTGGAAGGTCAAGGTTCATGTGCCAATACTCAGAAATGGCTACATCAAGTTTTATGTAAGTAATTTTTTCACACTGCTGATACAGTACTTTCTATGAGTTTATTGTGTTTGAATTAGTCTATACCAGACTTTCTCCAAAGCGCATCTAATTATGAGTCTCCAACTGTGGCCGGATCCATATGGGTGGTCTCTGCTACAGTGCCACGCATAAATGCCTGTCCCTCTTCTCACTTATCATTTCCATTATGCCCCTACCATGATCATAATCCTTCAGTTGTTACGTATCTCCTACTTCATAAAAAGAAAAACTGTCAATTTTCTAAGGCCTTTTATAACCTATCACTTTCTTCATGCCCATCTTAATTTCCTTCTTTTTCATATTTTTTTTCTTAGAGCCCCTAAATGGACGTGACTCATTCCTACCTGCTGGCCTCCATTCTCATGAACTTTCTCACATACATCATCACCTTCCATGACTCAACCCCACACCTCATTCAAAATCGAATACAAATTTCATTTGTTCATACTTTTTCTTCTGTGCTTATTCTCCACAAACTCTCTCTCTTCCAAAATCCTAACAGATTGAACATTTAACAGTTTAACAACACATAACATAATTATTGTTATCTCTGATGTGTCAATTTGTTTCTTCCTTGAGGAAAGAACTGATTGGGTCTTATCCTGTGTTTAGCACAGGGTAAAGTCTTGTTGTACAATGGGTAGGTGCCCAAATTCTGAAGTCGGACCAACCTCCATTCAAAATTAACTTTGCTTGTGTGTCCTTGGGCAATTTATCTGACCTCTATTTCTTTATTAATAAAATGGAGGGTATAATAATCAATCAAACTGTCTAGAGGATAAACAAGAAAACATGTTTTTCTCAAGATACAGTACACAGTAAGCACTCATCAAAGTTTAGCTATCATTATGTCTTTTATTAATAAAATAATATTTGAATAAAATGAGAAAACAGCATTTTGTGGCACTTCAGAAGATATAAAGCATGAGCTATTTTTTCTTTTATTATTTTTAAACTATAGAGCTATTTAAAATCTATATGGAGGACTTCAAGTGTACTACTACTACCACCAAATGGGGGACTACTAGCTGATAAATACTGCACTGCCAGCTGTGACCCTCACTCTCACAGGTCCCACTACAAACAAGCGAAAAACCTGCAATGAAAGAAATGTGACAAAGGTGGAACCAAGGAATAGCCTATATATAAAACTGCTAAGTTTAACCCTCAGAAAAACATTACGGTGTCTGAGAAGAAACTCTTGAAACAGAATTGGGAATAAAATAGAAGTAAAGAACAGATTTCATTCATTTTAAAACAATTGGAGATTTATCACAGTTTATATGAACTGAAATTTAGGTGACTCTGGATTCAGTTCAAGCACAAGAGATTATCAGAGTCTAAAATTCAATTTTACTACCCTTCCTTTATTGCAGTTCAAACACACAATATTCCTGTTCTGTGGATGCCTTTGCTAGTGATGGCTATAGACTGAGAGAATGTTGGGCTGCTTAGCTTTTGTAAAACATGAAATGTGTCTATTTTCAAATGATTTGTCACTCTATGGAGTTATGAATCCCCTTCTAACACCCCAGCTACAGATTAGGATACCCTCAAAGCCACTGATTTGTCAGAATCCTTTTACAACTTGATTCAGAGTATGCCAACAGTAAGATATTAATTCCTTTAGGAGGGAGACATGTACAGAGCAGGAAAAAATACTACAAGGAGGTCTGTAACCTCACCATCTGTCAAGTGACATGCTGTTATTTTTCCACTTTGGCTCTACTCCCCAATATCAGTTCCTTTCTTTCCCAGTGTAGACCCAGTCATTTCAATATATCCTTCTTAGTAGTTTCAGTTCTGCTCCTTTCCAGCCAATGACTGGATACATGTATATATATATATATATATAGATATAGATATAGATAGATAGATAGATAGATAGATAGATCTATATATAGATTTATATATCCAGTTGGATATGTATGTATAAATCTCTCTCTCTATATATATATATAATATATATATATATTCCTAGTCGATTACCTTTTATATATCAAGATCTGCTTCTCTATCAAAGTTGTCACTCCATGTTTGTCTTCTGAAGGCTTCTCATATTCCACAGATGGCATTACCCCACAAATAGAAGCTGTTAGGTATTTACTTCTGAAATTTCTTTCACTTTTTTTACACATTCCTTTACTCTTTTAGAGAGAGATTTCTTCCTCTTTCCCATGGTTCCTAGATCAAAAGATTCCTATACGCCACTATGTTAAATGACAGATTTTTAAATAATTTTATTTTTAAAAAACTAGTAAGCTTACTAAATCTAAATATTAGAAATACTGATATTATTGGTATGATTTATAATGCTATTGCTTTTTTATATTTACCCTAAATTTTCATTTTATTCTCATTTTCTAACTTATCTTCTCTACATTAATTTTGTCTACTGATATGGAACATTTATTCTATTTAATTCTATTTTCATTATTGTAAAGATGTCTTGGAAATTTAAAATGCATATAATGCATATAATTTTCTATGTAGCAAAGTATGTTAATACTTTAAACTTCTTCCTGAATATAAGAATAGTAGGCCATTTAACTCTGATCTTCAACCCTTACACTTCTCCTATGTAGTGTGGTCACTTCAAATAGTCTTTTTTTGTTGTCATTGATTGTATTAGTCTATTTTCACACTACTATAAAGAATTGCCCGAGACTGGGTAATTTATAAGAGGAAGAGGTTTAATTGACTCACAGTTCCGCATGGCTGGGGAGCCCTCAGGAAACTTACAATCATGTCAGTAGGCAAAGGAGAAGCAAGGCACCTTCTTTACAAGGCGCAGGAAAGAAAAGTGCCAAGTGAAGGCGGAAGAGCCCCTTATGAAACCATCAGATCTCCTGATAACTCGCTCACTATCACGTGAACAGCATGGGGGAAACTGACGCCATGATTCAATTGCCTTCACCTGGTCTCTCCCTTGACATGTGGGAATTATGAGGATGATAATTCAAGATAAGATCCGGATGGGGACACAAAGCCTAACCATATTATTGATGGTGTTTTACCAAGCCTTCTTTGAATGTGTCAACACCTTTTCTAATTTCCTTGGTGATCATTCTTTTTTGCATCTTAATTTCTCTTTCATGGTGGCATTTCTGATTATGCAATTTGAAATTCATCAGTTTAATAGGTCACACACTTGGGATCTCTATTTCTTAAAGATGGCCTTTATTTAAATAAGACCCCCCAGGGAAAAGCATTCACCGTTGATGCTCCATCAAGCTGGTGTGTGAAAATATCTCTGGTTCCCCTTTTAAAGGTAGGGCTATAAGCTTTTCTAAGAGTCTTAGTCCCAGGTCTCCGGACTATGTGTCTCCTCCAAATGCCATAAGGGCATTAAAATTAAAATCTTAGTATCAACATTTAGGATCTATATATGGGCTAACAAGCAAGCAAAGAGAGTGACTTTCAAGACTTTCACAAAGTAAGCTTATGCTTACTTCCCTGCTTTTTGTTCAAATTTTGTGTTTTTTTGTTTATTCCTGGTTCCTTCTGAATTAAAGTAGTATTTTAAAAATCTAATTAATTCAGCTACTACATATTAAATATATACTAAGCATATATACACATGCTGTTATAAATTCTGGGTATAAAAAAAGGCAAATTTCATACATTCATACAACTTATACTCTGTTATGGAAATAGAGGCAGGAAATATGGGAAAAAATGAATTATTTAAACCAAAAAGTGATAACTGCTAAAAGGAAAGTAATATAGAGTGATAATGAAACTGATGTACAGACTAGTTGGGGAAAGTCTTTACCCTGGGTGGCCAAAAAAGGCTAATCTGATTCTCAGCTCATTCATTCAAGCTGTGACCAGAAGGAACAGCCATGTAAACTTATGTTGGTTTAAATGGTTTTTTTTTGTTTTGTTTTGTTTTGTTTTCCCTTCTCACTAACCATTTATCTCATTTTTGGCTATAGCTTTTTATTCCCCTTTTACAATTTCATTCTGTCCCTCCCCATTTCCTCTTTCCCTTCAGCCTAAAATATATTCAAACATCCAGAAGTCTCAAAAATCTTGTCATGATCATTAGTCTCTTTTAAGTTACTACCTTGAGTCTCTTTGTTTTTTGATCTGCTATTCTCTTACCTATCTTTTTAAATAAGGTTTTTTTCCATTCACCATTTCGTAAAGCAAAAGTCAACAACAAATTGATTAAATCTACTAATTGCCAAACTAGTATCTTTTTAATCATTATCTTCAAGTAAGACCATTGATTACTCACTGAAATTCTCTGCCCAGCATCCTCCTTTGTATGTTACTTTTCTTATTAACACTTGAATGCTCTTTCTTTATCAGATTCTATTTTCTCTGCCCACTTCTTCAAAGCTTCTGTTCCTCATGGCTTTACCCTTCATTGTTGTCCCTTCTAGCTCTAAATCCTGTCTATAAATACACCCACTTGAATTATTTATACTATTTTATGGTGAGAAAGCTTAAGAGTCTTCTCAGTGCCACTTACCAAGTTATTATTATTATTATTTTATTTATTTTTATTTTTTTGAGACAGAGTTTCGCTCTTGTTGCCCAGGCTGATATGCAATGGTGCAATCTCGGCTCACCACAATCTCCGCATCCTGGGTTCAAGTGATTCTCCTGCCTCAGCTTCCTGAGTAGTTGGGATTACAGGTGCATGCCACCACACACAGCTAATTTTGTATTTTTAGTAGAGACAGGGTTTCTCTATGTTGGTCAGGCTGGTCTCGAACTCCCAACCTCTGGTGACCTGTCCACCTTGGCCTCCCAAAGTGCTGGGATTACAGGCGTGAGCCACCGCACCTAGCCACCAAGATGATATTATAATATAACTATTATAGTTCAGGTTTCTTTCCATATGTTGTTTTTCATATAAATGTATTGATACTTTAAATCAGCAACAAATTATAGAAGGTTAAAAGTTGTAATTAAATTATCCAAAATCCAACTACTAAAACATAATCATTATTTAAACCCATGAAAGTTTAGTTTTGTTCCTATACAGGCATATACATGTCTATGTTATATATGTTTGTATTATATAATGCTTGTGATTATATGTGTGGAGAAAGAGAGAGAAACAGAGACAGAGAGAAAGAGAGAAGCAGAGACATATACAAACAGATTTCTCCGAATCTTTGCCTGCAGAAATTGAACCATGGGCCAAAACTGAATTACTTTCTATATGAAGAGGAATAAGAAGACATTTAGAAGCTATGGACTAGAGTTGGAAAAATGGCAAGAGTTAAGTGCAAAAAATAGAAATAGACATTTAAAGAGGTATTTTTATGAAATTCCATGTATAATACACAATAAATTTAATTTTCTCACTTTCCAATGAAATCTTCACTGCACATAATCTTTGGAAAGTGGATTTCTTTCAGAAGAATACAAAGTAGAACTGAATTATATTGTAAAGAGTAAGTTTGGTATAAAACAAAACAAAGACAAAAATATGCATATGAGAATATCTATGCATCCATATACATAATAGATTATAAAATTTAGACTACTTTCATACTATTTAAAAAACTTGACTTTATTTTCTATAGACTCTTTTCATGTGGCAGGCAACCATTTGTTTAATCATCCCAATTTTTCTATTATTTTAAATAATTCTATAGTTATCCTGTTGGGGCTCAGAAAAAAAAAATATACGCCAAAATGAAGGACTTAGAAGCAGCTTCAGAAGCAAAAGTTTTTCTCTGATTTTTTTCTGTTCTCCTGTTGCTCAGTTCCATTTTCCCCTGAGGCTAGTCATAAATACTAGAATCCTTCTCCAAGGCAGGTCACAGAAGCCAGAACCCCTTTTCCCCAAAGCTAGTGATAAAACATAAAAATATTATTCTAAAACGATCTCCATCTCTCTGTGTAATTGTACTAGTCATACAATAATTTTCCTACCTACCTTGTTTGACTATAGGTCATAAGACCCATATTCCAGCGAGGGTCTTGCCCCATATCCAGAAGGTAGAAATACATGTTCAGAGAAGCCAAGAAAAATCTAGACAGACAGGCCTTGCTGGGTACCCCACTCAGTCTATTAACATAAGATCATACCTTATTTGTCCCATCATATTTCTACATGATTGTCCATACTTTATTGAACTTAAGCATAAAAATAAACAATTTATCCTGTGTCTTTGGGTCTTCATTCTGAAGGCTACCATATATACTTGGTAAATAAATTTATATGTTTTTTCACCTATTAATCTGCCTTTTGTGAGTTGATTTTTCAGTAAACTTTCAGAGGCCAAGGGTTTCCTTTATTCAAAAAAGTTTGGCCAGGTGCGGTGACTCATGCCTGTAATCCCAGCACTTTGGGAGGCTGAGGCGGGCGGATCACGAGGTCAGGAGTTTGAGACCAGCCACACCAATATGGTGAAACTCCGTCTCTACTAAAAATACAAAAATTAGCTGGGTGTGGTGTTGTGCGCCTGTAGTCCCAGCTACTCGGGAGGCTGAGGCAGAAGAATCGTTTGAACCCCAAAGGCAGAGGTTGCAGTGAGCCGAGATCGTGCCACTGCACTCCAGCCTGGATGACAGAGCGAGACTCCATCTCAAAAAAAAATAAAAAGTTTATCACTTTATATTATTTCCTTTGGATAGGTTCCCTGAAGTATAGTACAGATATGGATACAGATGATGCACGTATGAAAAGTTTATAAAGATTTTCATTTTACGCATATTCCCAAATTACTATAAGGCTTATGTCATTAGATTTTCAACACGATGCTCTGTACCAAGCCTATTTTAAAAGTTTTGGCAAATTTGATAGATTTAAAATACATCTTATTCTAACTATTTTATTTTTAATATTTTTCAAATATTTGTCTGCCATAACTTTTATAAGGAGAAAGTGGTTAATAATATAACCATATTCTTTGTCCATTCTTCCACTACAATATTAATTTTTTATGTCTGCAAGTATTCTTTATATATAAATGGGATCAAATTTTTGTTTATCCAGTTATCCATTTACATTTCAATATTGCTTAGGACATTCTATTGATGTACATTTTTTGAAGTTCAATTTAACAATCCTTTCTTTGTAAATTATTTTGTATGTAATTTTCATAAACTGTTTCTCAATTTTAATATCACTGAAAGATTCATGTACATTTTCTCCATTAATTATGATTTTAAAATTAACAGTTATTTCATTACTCCACCTGAAAGTTATTTTGGGGTATAAATGAATGTACCAACGGTACACAGCACCATATACATGAATACTACATGGTAATACAAATGAAAGATTTTCTAAGTGTACTAGGTCAGCTTCAGTGTATCCTTCTGTACTGTGGCTTTTATAACTACACCACGACTGAATTATTTTAGTTGTTATAGTTTGTGTACATTAGTTACTAGTAGGGCAGCCACTATATATTTTATTGCTTTTTGACTAACTCTATAAAATGACATTTTAAGACAATAACAAACATTTTTATTACTTCTGCAATATGCCCACAATGTACATTTTTTTCATGGCTATCATTAAGTGATTATAATTTCAAATATATCTAGTTCTCATCTCAGAAGCAAAAGATACCACTATCCTGATTATGCTATAAATCACTATAACTAAAATTACACAGCTATGAAACTCAACCATTCAGATAGCTCCAATACCAGCGAATCACTTGGTTTACCAAATTCTTTGTAGAAGTCACATGCTAGTATGATACACAGAGCAGATGCCTGGGGAAGGGGAAGGTGAGAGAGTATAAGTGGTGTCCAAACCAATTCCACAGAAGTTTCTGAGAAACTTGCCATATTTATTTATCGATCGAAACCTCTAGAATTGTACACCTACAACTTTCTAATACTATATTTGCTTTTCCCCTACCACCTGATTTTTGGCACTTGACACTCAGAGAATCTTGAGGTTTCACTAATATGACTAATATTTTCAGCCATTATGAATATTACACATCGTTTTCCACATAATTACCTAGTGAAGTCTGTCATCTCCATCATGATCATACACATGTTCTTGGCCAGAACAATGATGTCGTTGCTTGTATCATCCCATATCTCAATCTCAGCATCCAGCTTACTCTTTACTTTCTTGAAATCAGCAACTTGCTCAGCAATCTTTTCTTTTTCTGCCTCAGGCAGTTGAGTCATCTTAGCCTAAAACATGTGATAATTAGAGTTAAAATCATTCCACTATGTCAAAAGCATTTTAGGAATAAGTAGATATTATAGGATACTCATAAAACTTGTTCATTTAAAATCAGAGGCACAATATAGTTAAATTCATTCAATTAAAACTTTCCAGGCTTAATATTTCATATAAAAATCTATTAAATTATAATAGTTTGCTCTAGAACTATAATGTTACATTTAGAATAACACTGTAGAACTTGGTGTCCAACATACTTAAATCCATTTTATAAAATAAATGTGGGACTTTGCAAATTTCTAATACGCTTCAAATTTTAAATTAACATCAATTTAGTGTAATGCATCACCTTTGTTAGAAAAGTGCGTATAAAAAGGTGGATGTATAACATAATTTAACTTGAAATGAGACTATGTCTACCTATGTGTATATATGCAATTACAGGATGAATTAGTCATGCCTCAACTTTAACATAATAAAGAAAAAACAATGATGCTTTTAGTTTGAATTTTCTGTAAATATCTCAGCATAATGCTTGACACATATTGAATGTTCCATAAATGGTAGCTATTTCTTATTCAATAAAATTATCAAAATATTTTCATATGTCTAATAAATTTTTTCATTTTGTTTGTATTTTTTCTATGAAGAATCAAATTAAGCTACACAAGACTAAGTTTTTAACTGACACAAGTGCTATTTCTTAGCCTCTGAAAGTAGTTTGTAGTTTCTTTTCTGAGGAAATGTGTCCTATGTGAGGTTGTAAGAGAGGAGCAACTTTTACTACTGCTGGCATATGGCAAAGCACGTAAATGAAGACACAGCTCACTACTTCTGAAATGAAAAGTAATATGCAAGCACGTTAAGTAAATTATAAGCCACCAACCCATTAAACTGACTCACGAATAGAAATGGGTTTTCTCCATCTTGACTACCGGTCATTATCATTCTCTCCATTCTCATAAAAGGTGTTTAAATGTTCAAATTACAATAGCTCCAGATAGGTTCAACTGGTGCTTCTCTTTACATTCTGTATCTCAGAGGTCATAAATCTGTGATTCTATTTATTAGAATAAATAGTGCTGAATATACACTGGTATATTATGGAAAATTATTTACTGTTCTCATAATAAAGCTATTCAAGAGCTGAACTGGTTAAGTGTATTCCAAGTTCAGTTACTTGGAATGCCACTGATTTCCAATATGACCTTGAGGAAGTTACCTAACCCTCCTGTCTAAGTTTCCCTAGACACAAAATGACAGTAATTGCAACTGCTATCCACCTGCCATGCAGGGAACAGAGTCAATTATTGGATAAGATTGCGACTGACCCTGTTGTGGACAGGGAGCTCATTGGTTGCACTTCATCTCCTTAATAACATCTCAACTCAAATGGTGAATTACAACAGACATTTACCTCTGACAAGATAAGAGCCAAAAGTTGGGCAATAGTTTGCAAAATTAAAAGTTCTAGAGAATTCTGGTCCTTTTTCTCAGGGGGAACAATAGCAGCAACAAAACATTAAGTTACTGACACCTTTGCAGAAGGTTTTAAGTGCTTCTATGATTTATTATATGTCATCGATCAATTTCAACCACGCTGAAAATTCCAAAGGAAGACTTAAGAGAATACTTGATGTTTGGAAAGTCTAGGTGAAAAATTCTTTATTGAATTATTTTGTTCAAGTTAAACAAAGAAACTGAGGTACAAAGCTTAAGAAAAATTAAGTAAGTAGAATATCTCTGATATATATCGCCAGGTGGCTATGTGTTTAGGTTTCTGCTTACATCTATAGAGCAGAACTCTGATAGAAATAACTGTCAAAGGCTTTTTCAATCACTGCCATCTGAATAAGATTATATTGTGTAACTATTGATCTTGGAATGTGTTACCAAACACAAGAAACATTTAAACTTCATAGCAGCCCTATGAGGAATTATTATTATCCCAATTTTGTAAGTGAGGAAATCGAGTCTCTCTGAAACATTAAGTGATTTATCAAGATTATAGTGTCAGTCAATGGTAGAATCAGGATGTAAATCAGAAAATATAGCTCTAGAGTTTTTGTTCTATCACTAAGCCAACAAACACGAATAATATTGCCCACAATATACCAATATATACACATTCTCCATGATGGTATTTCTCTATCGCTGTCTACCTTTGAAAGCAATTGTTCTCCAAAGAATAGTCACATTGTTTAGAACCTAAGTTTCCAAATCTTTAAATTATATACCATGATCTTTACCTGACAGGCTGTTTTGGACATCAAATGATATGCAAGAACACACTTTTTGAGTAAAGTGATGTTAACTGTCAACCATTACTTACACAAATAGATTCAGTTCTTTACTCTCTGCAGTGAATCTCAGAACTCTATTTATAATATTATCCATTATTTTTCAATGAAAAGCTGTGTTATCCCAATTGCCTATTAGGCATTTTTAAGCATAGATTTCATTTACTAATTTAACTCTAAAAGAGAGGTCGGCAGAATTTTTCTATAAAGGACAAGATAGTGATATATGCTTTGCAGCTCACACCATATCACTCCGTTACTCAACTGGCAGAGTTGTTACTCTGTTATATTGCAAGAGCAGTCATGAATACTACATAAACAAATCAGTGTGTCTCTGTTCCAATAACACCTTATTATAGACATTGAAATTTGAATTTTACATAATTTTCACATGCCACAAATATTATTCTGATCACATCTGATTACATCTATTCTGAATTTTTTCAACCACTTAAAAATGTAAAGGCCATTCTTAGCTCATGTACAAAAGCAGGCAGCAGGCCAGATTTGACCTGTTGACTACAATTTGCCAACACCTGCTATAAAACTTTCCTATGACCAGGGAACACAGATTTTTATTGTTTTTCTCTGTCTTCATTATCCTTACTTTGTTTGTAACTCCTGAAAGTGCTGACCAAGTGATGCCTGAAACATTTTCTTGTTTTTGTTTTGTTTTGTTTTAAGGCAGAGTCTTGCTCTGTCACCCAGGCTGGAGTGCAGTGGCATGATCTCAGCTCACTGCCACCTCTACCTCCTAGATTCAAGCAATTCTCCCACCTCAGCCTCCCAAGTAGCTGGGACTATAGGCGCCCACTACTGTGCCCAGCTAATTTTTGTATATTTAGTAGAGACGGGGTTTCACCATTTTGGACAGGCTGGTCTTGAACTCCTGACCTCGTGATCCACTCTCTTGGTTTTTGCCTTCCCCTTACATCCAACTGCCCCTTCTCAGAGTCCTCCATCTCCCCTTATCTGCCAAACGCGCATCTCCCAAAGAATCTGTGCTGACCCTTTTAACTTTCTTCATTATCTTCTCCCTTAGCACACTCATCTACTTTCTTTTCTTTTTTACATTGGGAAATAAAATTGTAAGTACTTACTATGCACCACATTATGTTCTGAAGTGTATATACCTTGTGGAATACATAATGGAATACTATTCAGCCATAAAAAAGAATGAAATCCTGTCATTTGTGACAACAGGGAATCTGGAGGAAATTATGTTAAGTGAAATAACCAGACACTGAATGATGAGTACCACATGACCTCACTCATATGCAGAATCTAAAAACGGTATCACAAAAGGAGAGAATAGAGTAGGGGTTACCAGGAGCTGGGGTAGTGGGGGAGGGGGTTTGAGAAGATGTTGGTCAGAGGATAAAAAATTTCATTTAGACAGGAGGAATAAGTTCAAGAAATCTATTATACAACATGGTGACTACAGTGAATAGTAAATTGTATTCTTGAAACATGCTGAGTGAGTGTAAAGTGTTCTCACCACAAAGATGATAACTGTGTGAGGTAATGCATGTGTTAATTAGCCAATATAGTTCTTCTACAGTGTACATATAGGTCAGCTACGCTACTTTCATGACTTCAGCCATCACTGCTATGAAGATTACTTCCAAACAACCTCTTCAGTCCTGTTCTCCTTTCCAATACTGTGATCAGTACATTCACTGCTGTTAGGAATACCTCATCACAGAAGGATGAAAAACACACTCAGCCAAACCATTTATCCTCTTGATTTTCATGTTTCTCAGTGATACTTCCTGCCTTCCAGTCTTGAAGTTTTATATTTTAGAAAATTATCCTCTTTTCTTTAGCCTATTCTGTCAGTTGTCCATTTTATCCTTTATCACATCCATTTCCCTCTATATATTAATATTACCATTCCTGCTGTCTTCTGGTCTTAATATTCTCCTTTGTTTTAAATCTTCTTGCTTTGCTACTGCTTGATTCAATCTTTCTGAATATGATGGAATTGTGCAATCCTTCATCTAATCTCCTTATCTTTACATCACCTTATCAAATAAAGGGTATCAATTCCTCAAACACCACCATTATATTTGTTTGATTAAAATAGAAAATTCATATAAAATGCCTAAATCATAAATGTACAGTTGGAACGATTTTCACAAACAGAGCAAATCCATGCACCTACACTCATATCAAGAAACCTTAAAAAGATTACAGACACTCGGAAGCCTCCTTCTATCTTCTGCTAGTCACTATCTCCTAAGGGTAATCACTAACTTCATTTCTAAAACTGTAGATTTGCCCATGTTTTAATCTTATAAAGGTGTGGAATAATAGCACATGAATTCTTGTGTCTGGCTTTTTGTATTCAGCACTTAAGTGCTTGAAATGCATCTATTCTGTTGCATGTAGTTATATTTTGTTTATTCTCATTGCTCTATACAGATATTATTCCACTCTACAAATATATATATATATATTTCTATAAATTTATTCATGTTTTTCTATAAACAATATTTTGAAAACTATTCCGTTTTTGGCTATGATAAATAATGAGTATTCTTGGACTTTTCTTTAGGTGCACATATGGGTGTATTTCTCTTGAGTATGTATCTAGGAATGGAATTAGTACATCACAGGGATCATCATAACCTTTGTTTCTACCAGCTTTTCAATCTCATCCCATCTTACTTCCTTCAACACACTGTACCCTCAAGCTAAGCTAAGCTATTTGTTGCTGCAGGTAAATATCTTGAGATATTGCCCATTAATTATTTTTGCTCATCTTCCCTTCCCCCAATTTGTTGGTCCAAATTTAATCATATTTCCAGGCCAGACTCATATAGTATATGCCCCTTTCTCCATTCTTCAAGTGTGTGTAATTATTCTCTCAAAATTTTTAGAACATGTTGTCAGTTCTTCCCCCTAGATGTTCATATTGTTCTCTCTTGTAGTCTAATCTTGTGAACACAACTATCTTATCTCACTTACTAGAGATGTTGTTGAAAACAATATCATCTTTCAGAATAATAATTATGACATTACACATAATTTTTCATTTGTACTTTTTAGATGTATTTTTTTCTCCTTCCCCTAGAAAATAAGTCCTCTTAAAGTAGGAACATATTGCATGATAAATGTTTGTTTGTGATTGTTAACAGAAATACTCAAGAGCTAAAAAAAACTCAAGACTTTTGAGCTCAAAATTTTATATCACTGATCTTGTATTTTCATTGTCAACCACATTTACACAAATGCCAAGCTTTTGCCTCTACACAGATCTTAGATTCATTTCTCTTATGCACTTTTCCTAGTATTTTTCAAACTCAGGTCCTTATTATTCCTCCAAGACTGTATTAATAGCACAATTGATCGTTTTTCATCTTCATATCTGCTTATTAATTGTACTATGCTCATTACTACTGCATCAAATATTGATATGCTTACATTATTTATCTGCTTAAAAAATTTAAATGACTATAATTACCCCTTAAAAGAGACAAAAGGAAAAGAAAGGAAAAAAGTGACATAATAGGAAAAATGCAGAAATTGTTGTCATACAGACCACCATTCAAATTCCACTTTGGCCAAGTATTAGTTATACAGCAATTAACAATCCTAAACCCCAGTTTCATATGTTAAATGATAATAAATTTATAGGAGTTGTGTGAGAATTAGTTATGACTATAAACAATTGTACCTGGAATATATTAGGGACTCAGTAAATGGTGCATATATAAATAATGTATATAAATGTATCATCTTGGCCTCCAAGACTTTCCACAAAATGGAAAAGAAGGATAACTAAAATATTCATGTAGCCTACCTCACAGAGCCTAGGCAAGAACCAAATGAAATATTTTGAGTAAGTGCTTTCCATAAGCAATAAATGCCATAGAAATATAGCGCCATTATAATTATCTTATTCTCAGAAGCCCCAGAATCCACATCACTTATTTTGCAGATAAGAAAATTGTCCCAGAAAGGGGAAATGACTTAAAAGAACTCTCCAGCTGGCTAGTGACAGATGTGATGTTTCAGTCCATGTGTCTTCATTAGTAGCTTTCCCTTTCCACAATTTTTTTTTTGGCTTTCCTTAACTATAACTTTTTTTCATGGAAATTAAATTCTTAGGTAAATCATATAACTTTGCTAATTTCTCTATCCATGAAACTGGATGAAACATAGAAATATTATTTTGTTAATAAATAATCCACAATTATGATTTTTTTAATTTTATAAATATTAGAGAATTTCTAATTAATTCATATCACTCATATGAATGGGTAGCTAGAACTCAACATTCAAAATAAAATGTTTGATAAACTTTAAAAATATACACATGGTATATATACATATTGGAAAAATAGTTCTCTAATGATAACTCATGTTCTTACCTTCAGCGTGTCTCAAATTTAATAGTGACATGTACGTGTTTTCTTAAAATAAGCCTAGAGGCATTTGGGAAATAGATGTATTTTTAATACATCAAAAGTATAAATAGCATAGAACACTTTGATGGAATTTTAGAAAATATAAAGTGCTTTTGGCAAAAATTCAACCTAATTAAAATTTTGAGAACAAATTTATTTAAGCAAGATTTATGCATTGGTATCCTAAGCATACTAAATTGTGATCTCAAATATATTCCTGAGAATTCATTAAGAGCAATTTTCTGTAATATTTTAAAATTAACATTTAGGAATTGGAGTTGGACTTTAAGAAGTGGTATACATTTCTACATTTTTATGTATAGACCTCTAAATCAGACTTAAAATATATATTTGCTTTAATTAGCTCTCAGTTTCCTCATCCATCAAAAAACACCCCTCTTAACACCCAGTGGGTTACTTTCACTGTTATAAAACTGTCTCATTTTATTATAAAACTTTATAGGCTTCAGGGACTGGGTCGAAACAGAGTAAATTATCAGGTATATTTGACTGATTATCTATGTCTTAAATATAATAATGATAGTGATTGACATTTGTTCACACTTCCAGTATGCCAGTCACTCTATTGAGCACTTTTGAAAAAATTATGCCATTTAAATAATAATATGATGAGGTAGATATTAATGTCCATTTGTCACAATCATGGAAATGAGTTCCTTAGGGAACATTTGCAGATCTCCTATAATGAAACCCTCTCCAATGTTTTATTTCTTTTTCATAAGAAATAGTTATATTTTATCTGTGAATCTAGTTTCTCTCCTTGTTCTAGAGATAAATAAAGGTTGTAAAGGGCATTTGGGAGATGGACGAAGGAATCTGTGTATAAACTGAGTATTAAGGAAAATTAAGAAGTGATTGTTAATTTTGTTCAGTGTTGTGATCATATTGTGGTTATATAAGAGAATGTTCATTATTTTGGGATATTCCTGCTGAAATATTTAGATATAAAATGCTATGATGTTTCAAATTACTTTGATGTAGTTTAAGAAAAACCCAAATATGGCTCTGGAACTATGGTTAAACTGTTATTTCTAGGTAATGGGAATATGAGTCTGTATTGTACTAGTGATTAAACATTTCTGTGCATTTAATTTTTCACAATAAAAAATGAAACACAAATAACATTTTCTACAATTTTTTGTGGAGGCATGAGAGATCTTACAGGATATATAATATCTTATTTCAAAATATCATTCCATCTATAACATTTGTGACCAATAATGCTTTCACCACTTTTCGGACTTTCCTGAAAGTCCAATGCTGGATTCTCTGGGCCTGAGAAATAAAGCAGTCCATGCACATTTTACCAATAAAAATTAAAACATAATAAATGAGACTCATGACCTCCAGAAGTAATCTTCACATAGATAAATTTCATTCAGGATCTTGGCATGTATCATAATGACAGAAATTTACACTTAAGTGTGGCTGTAGCATAAACCTTTCTCCAAAAAGAAAAGTTGTTTCAAAGGTGGTGATCTGTATGGAGCCCCTAAAACAAGATGCTGATGTGAGCAGGTATCAAGAAAGCTGACGTGAATATCCTCATCCTTTTGACAGATGTGATCCTAGCACGGCCATATAGTTATTGCAATATATATTTTATCCAGAAGGTGAAGATCCAAGCCTTTATACTCTTTCCTCTAAAATTATATGTATATATAATTATATATTGAAGGGTTGGTAAATTTGTTTAGCAAGAGTCAATCTTTAAAAGCCTGGTTGATTTGTTTAGGGGCATCAACACTAAAGAGTTTCTATTCCCAACAGTGAGGACCAACCCCAGGACTTCAGTGACCTCATCACTGAGGAGATTCTACTTGAGCTGTTAACCCTTTTTCCACTTGATATCTTACTTTTGTCTTCCAACAACAGGCAAGTACTTCCTTCTGAGGCACTGAATTACATTTTTAGACAGAGGTAGTTATTAGAAAATCTTTATCTTTCCTCTCTATGTCTACATATTAGCCTGAATTCAGACCTCTAGAACCTAAAGGAGTATATGTAATCTATTTTCCACAAGATGATCTTGCAGTTATGTGAAAAATAATCATCAGATGCTATTAACTGTCATCTTCCCATTCTCTCATTCATTCCTTCACCTATTCCTTTTCTGTAGAACTCTTCAATTCCAGACACTTCAAGAACTTGTTATCCAGAAGATCAGAATCAAGGTTTTCCTTTGGGGATATTTCAGTATATCATCGTCTCTTTCATAAAATGACTTCCAGACAGAATTGCAAATTCTAGATGAATTCTGACCAGTCAAGAAAACAATAATGGTCTTTGTTCAGGACACTATATTCGCACTCTACAAAGACCAAAGTTGTAATAGAAATTTTGTAACATTCATGTAAATTATTTACTCATACTTAACACTCAACTGAAATGCCCATTACAAAAATAAACTATAACTAAGCCATATCAAAACTGTCCTGTATTTTTATTTTTAAATATAAATATTGCAAAGATTTACACTAAATTTAATTTATTTAATTGCATTGTGTTTTCTTTGGTTCCTCGTTCCAGAATGCTGATATACTTTTTGTCTTTTGATGCTGCCAAAACTGACAATATAGAAATCCTCAAACAGTTCAATAAATAAATATTATAAAGGCTGTGAGGAAATCAAACAATGCTCTCTAAAAGTCTATTTTATTCACAAGAATGCCTTTAAGATGCTATTCAGTGCCCAGAAACTTATACTTTGCTTATAATTTGAATAAGTTTGGTTACCTGAATTCCATGACCCAGTTTACAGTAAATTGGAAGTAGACAGAAGGTGTATTAGTCTGACCACAAAGATGGAAAAGAAAATCTATCAAAAAAGAGACAGACTACTCAGTCAGATAATGAGGCCCTTCAAGTTATAAATAAGCTTTCCTGCTTATATCAGGACACCTTCATCCTATTATTGTATTATAGCATAGTACAATTATATTTGGTCACAATACTGACAATGAGTCATCCACAGCATCATCACCCAGCATTTATTGATGTCTACTGTAAAGTAGAGTTGGATGGCACCATTTCTGCTCTCAAACAGTTTAAAAGATCCCTGTGCAGAAAAAGACGTATTTAGAACATTTTGGTTGGTAAGGTAAAGATGCATATAATACAATTAGAAAACCAATTCTAGTGACTTTTAAAAAAGTTAAATCTTATTATATGAATTTTATAATGACAAATTATATGAATAGTATAACAACTAAAGTAAGATTTGAGAAAGAATTATATACCTCCTAGTTTTATATGTATTTTCTTTTAATCATATTTTTGCATGAATATAATTTTATTACTATGTATGTATTAAATGTGTAATTGAATATAATTACCAGATTTCCCTCCAAATTGTTTATGGAAATTTGAAAATTTCATTCTATCTTTCTAACAACAATTTTCTTGATAAAATAACAATTTGAGGAATATTGTATAGAATTCTAAATATGGCATTTGCTTGTCCATAAATTATGCTTACATATGTCTATATTATTATGATTCAATATGACCAAGACTAATGATCCATATAAATATGCTAATTATAGCTCCTTCCATTGAAAACCAGATGCAACACCTGTAGTGACACAGTCGTGGCAAAGAAAATATAAAATCTATTCTCATTATATTATTAACAACTGAATATAGATTATGTAATGCACAAAGAAAAATAAGCTGTTATATTTCACATAATATTAATCTATTGCCTATTTACTAGGTTTTTAAAAAGGTAAAATAAAATAGTTTATATCAATTTGAGTAATATACTACTATTATTTCTTTCTGACTCCATTACTGGGTAATCATTCATGATTCGGATCGCTTGAAGTCAGTTTAGTTTATGACCTAAACCCAAAGTTAGCAGAAGTTTCCATATTCTGAAATATAAATAAAACAGTCATGCTTCTTCTCATACATTCTTTGAGAGTCTCAAGTTTACTCAAGAACTTCATAAATTACTGAGGGCTTATATTCCCATAGGCCACTTTTCTTCTCTGCATTTCTGATCTCGATCTACTGCATTCATTTGAGAGTGATCTTGTATAACTATTCCCTTCTTACTCCATTATAGTAACCCAACATTGTAAAATTCTTCAAAATCACTCTTATATATATACAAGAGAGTGATCTTGTATAACTATTCCCTTCTTACTCCATTATAGTAACCCAACATTGTAAAATTCTTCAAAATCACTTATATATGTCATTTGTGTACATGTGAAGGTTTGTGAAAATGTTTAGGGACAACATGAGAATTTTACAAAGTAAAATGACTTAACATTGCAATATCTCTGATTTTTACTTAAAGATGTAGAATATGGGTAAAAAAGTATCGCTTCCACATTTACATCAACAACCAAAGCCAAAACTCTGCAAGTCCATGACTTTTCCTAAAGCCAATCATAGTTGTCAAATAATAATTTCACTGACTGAGTTAAACAGCCAAGGAAAATTTTATTCAATACTGCTGCAATGGAGGCAGAGATGGAACTCAACTCTGCTGAAGCGAAGTGAAGGAGAGTTTTTAAGCACTGGGGTGAGCTAGTAGAAAAGTACTGGAGGACATTAGTGGAGATGGTCAATGTCATTAGACCATCTGTGTTTGCTAAATGGTACTTACTGAATAGGCTTCTACCCTCCTACAGAGAGTAGGAAATAGAGGCTTTACCTTTCTTGATAACTACATTTCAGAGATGGTTCACAGATGCTTAAGAAAGATATTATATTTTGTTAAATTGGCAAGAAACTGGGACAAGATGTACATCACAAAGGGACAGAGAAAGAATTTACAATGGGAAGTTCTCTAAAGTAGATGCTTTAAGAAAAGGGAGGCCAGGGGCCTGTACTCAGAAGGAATCCCATCAAGACAAGGAGAAATTTAAGGCTTTCTTGGTCAGAAGTCAGAAGTCAACCAATGAACCTGAGATCTAGGGCAATAAGCGCCTTCTGAAAGAGATATGATGTAAGTGTTTGCTTGCCTTGGGTAGATGCCACCTGACACTGGCAAGTAGAATTCAGCTAGAAGAGTTGACAAATTAGTTGAGTATGAATCATCCTATGGTGGCAAAAAGTAAGTAATTGCTCAAAAAAGAAGGACCTGTTAAAAAGAAACAGGATGTCCAGGCCTGGTGGCTCATGGCTGTAATTCCAATACTTTCAGGGGCTAAGGCAGGGGGACTGCTTGAAGCCAGGAGTTCAAGACCAGACTGGCCAACATAGCAAGACCCCATCTGTAATAATAATCATGAAATAGGAAAAAAGTAAAATTTAAAAAAAGAAAAAAACTTTCAATACCAAAAAAACACAAAAAAAACTTTCTATATCAAAGGTTGGACAATTTGGTCAGTGAAATAAGGTTAAACTCCATAGACTACAATAAATATCCATGAGTTCATAGTGATATAAATAAATAATTGAATGAATAACTAAATGTGGGAGAAGGGACAGCTCTTCCTTAAAACTCCAACTAATAAATATAGAAGAAGTGAGCAAAGTAGAAAATCATGGGTTAGGCAAACACCACAGTAATTATTCTTTGGCAAGGTTCATTGATGGAGATTAAAATTTATAGGTGAACATTTGAGAAGGAACAAAATTGAATAGTCTTAAAGCACTGCACTTTGGCTGGGTGCAGTGGCTCACGCCTGTAATCCCAGCACTTTGGGAGGCTGCGGTGGGCGGATCACTTGAGGTCAGGAATTCGAGATCAGCCTGACCAGCATGGTGAAACCCCATCTCTACTAAAAATACAAAAAATTAGCTGGGCATGGTGGTGGGTGCCTGTAATCCCAGCTACTCTGGAGGCTGAGGCAGGAGAATCGCTTGAACCCGGGAGGCTGAGGTGGCAGTGAGCCAAGATCTCGCTATTGCACTCCAGCCTGGGCAACAGAGCAAAACTCTGGCAAAAAAATAAAAATAAAAATAAACATAAAAACTGGCACTGCACCCAAGATATTAACTACAAAGAAAAAAAAAAAACTTAGTTTTTCAGTGGAAAAAGCCAGCAACCAACACCAAATGACAAAAACCAACATCACCAGAAATAAGATCTATTAATATCTTGAACCTCCTGATTTGATGGACTGAGAAGGACATGTTAGTTTTGTGATATTTCCTCCAAAAATGCATAACCTTAAAATAATGAGGAAAACATAAGACAAATTCAAATTATATGAGATTCTATAAAATACTTCATCTGTATTCTTCAAAAATATCAAGATCATGAAACATAAGGGAAGATTCAGGAAATACCATACTCTAGAGGGGACTAGGAGATGTAACAACTAAATAAAATGTTGAATCCTAGAACAGAAAAAGAATATAGGTGGAAAAATTGATGAAATTTGAATAAAATCTGTGGTTTAATTAGTAGTATAATACCAATGGTCATTTCTTCATTTTGACAAATGAACCCTGGGTATGCAAGTTGTTAACATTAGGGGAAATTAGGTGAAAGGCCTATAGGATCTCTGTACTTTTTTCAGCTTTCTGTAATTATAAAATTACTTCAAAATAAAAAATTAAAAACAATGTAAAATATGCACCTGAATTGTCATATGTATGTCAGCAAATACAGAATAATTTACTTCATGGTGGCTACCATTTTCAGTCATTGGCATCCTGTCTTCTTAGATGGGCCCCATCTGTCCTTTTCTCATCTTTCCTGTGTGTTCTCCTGCAGCAAAATACTGCATATTTTCTAAGCACACTTTTTAAGTATTGTCATATATATATTCATCCATCAGAGTCTCATCTCCCAACACGGTGCAGCATATTTTCCTGAAGAAAAAGAGTCCCTTCCCTAAAGGAAAGTCTAAAACTATTTTTTTTTCTCTTTGCTAGAGATCTTCTTAGTGAGGAGTAAAAAGAAGTGAGGGCTTAAGTAAACAAGAAAACATTATCCTATGATCACAGATACTCACCAAAGCCAATTTGAATGTTATTAATAGCTTATAAACTGAGATGCTATAAAAACTCACCTAATTTTGGATAACCACATAGCTTGTCAATTAAAGCTCTACCCAATCTTAATACTAGAATAACATCATTAAATAACATGCAACTTGTAATTTAGGATGTTTAAATGGATCCTGATGTCTCAATAAAATATTCTTGCTAAGACAAACTCCACAGGGGTAACGCAACTGGACCAAGCAGCCTATGCTAGTCTTCTCCAGATTCACCTCCCACTTGAGTATTTCTTCCTAATTATCATTGCCACAACCTCCTTGGTTTCACGTGAGGGTCAAAGGACCGCCACACACTTTCTACCTAACATCTTGCCTATGAAAAAATAAAATTTCTCTTAACTATCTTTGATCAGCTAGCATAAGCCTGGACTATATATAAAAATATTAGACAAGATATTAAAGATTTTGAAAGGCAGACAGATGCAGAGTGATATGGTCTTGGTAAAGAGGCAACTAAGGTCTGGCTTATTCTTCTACGCTAGTTATGACCCATCCTATGTATTGTGGAAACCATCGTATATCCATTACTGATCACCCAGGTACACAAACAGGATATTGTGTCCCAAATATAAGTATAGGTAGCCAAGTCCTACAGAGGCCAGGGTTTTCTTATTATGGCTTTCTGAGCACTCACTTCTCCAAGTGATTTACATTAGAAATGATAGTGAGTTGGCTGGGTGTGGTGGCTCATGCCTGTAATCCCAGCACTTTGGGAGGCCGAGGCAGGTGGATTACCTAAGGTTGGGAATTCGAGACCAGCCTGACCAACATGGAGAAACCCCATCTCTACTAAAAATACAAAATTAGCCAGGTGTGGTGGTGCATGCCTGTAATCCTAGCTATTCGGGAGGCTGAGACAGGAGAATCACTTGAACCCAGTAGGCAGAGGTTGCGGTGAGCCAAGATTGGGCCATTGCACTCCAGCATGGGTAACAACAGCGAAACTTCATCTCAAAAAAAAAAAAGAAAAAAAAAGAAAAAGAAAAAAAGAAAAGGAAAGAAAAAAAGAAATGATAGTGAGTTTGCAGAAGAGACCAAACTTTCAAAATGTAGTTCTGCAGGCTCTGAAAGTATGGCCCATCAGAATGCTACAGAAAAGTACTTAAAGCACCACAAAATATTTGACTATTCTGTTGCATGCCATTATCAAAATAATTCATGTACTCCATAAATACATACACCTATCATGTATCCACAAAAATTAAAAACTAAAAAAAAAGAGAATGGGTCTTCCATTACAGTGGTATTAGTTTTGGAACTTCAAGCAATTTGTAATACCTTGAAATCTACCAGAAATTGAAGATGATTTCTAAAATTCTAGATTACTTACAAAAATGTAGGCAGTACCTAAAATAGATGTTTACTAAATAATGTTTTTTCTAAAGAGAATTTTTGGAATTAGAAAAAAAATTCTTAGAAAAAGGACTCATCTTGATTAGTTGAAAATGTTTTATCTGTATACACACTGAATTTTTCTATTTTCTCTAAGCCTCCTTCAGCTAAAGATTCATTTAATAAATCCCCAAGTGAGTTATGAATTATTTCCCCAGAGGTGGGACACAATAATCAAAAAATAAAATTGTTCGGGTCAATTTGTAAAATAGAAGTTTCAATGGCACGTTTCAATGTTATATATCTATCATCTATCTATGTATTTATATATTTATTTGTGTATTTTTTTATTTAAGGTGATATGTAACAAACTTGAGATCTTATAGGATAGGAGAACACTAGGACACTAATTAGGAACTGGTCCCAGGAACAAAGACCTTCTGGACTCATCTGACAAGATAAGAATCATCAAGCATTCTTCCAGCAGAAAGTGACAAAGCCCTCCTTGAGCTGCTCATGAGAATTCACAAAGTAAGGCAATATGTGAAGAATTAAGATAGAAGAGCTTGCAAAGAATCCCTTGTCTCTATTAGATTCCAAGATTGAGCCTTAGAATATTTCAAAATGATAAAAAAAGAGAGTTTAAAAGATTTGTAGAAGAAGAATGAAATAATATATTCATTTTGAAACAATATATTTTCATTCAGGATTATTAATAAAATGCTCATGTTAGTGATACATGATTCACTAAGGAAAATAAACAAGGAAGAGAAGATGGATAAAGTGATAGGAGGAGGAAACATGACACAATTGAGAAGGCACTGAGGTAGAAAGAGAATTGGTGTTTGTTGGTATAATTTAACCAGTTTTCATTCAATCACCTGGACCACAGAAATTCTCAAAGTACAATTCACATGCAACTGTAATAGATTACATCTTGTCTGTATAATAAGTTAATGTGCAAGATTTTGAATATTTTCTTATATATAGAATAGTATTATTTTTTCTAGTTTCTTTTTTGATTTATTTTTCTTTCATAATCAAGAAAAAAATAAATGAAAGAGAATATGGGAGAATGTCACCAGAGAGTCACAATGTTGGCATGTTATTCTGACAATTCAAAAAATTCTCAAAGAATCTAAGTTTTAAGTGCTAAAAACTGCCAGATCATTTTTTATATTTATTCTTCTGATTACAGTGCCTACAGCATTCGTAATTCTCCAAACAAAATCATGAGGCTTAATTGTTTTGAAATATACTTCTGTGTTACATTGTCAGATCTCAATTAAAGGAATCTTCCTTCTATATGCAATGGAAGTAATTCAATCCCTTTTTATGTAGTACCATAATTTATGTTAAAATATGGCACAATCACTGCCTAAGATTCAAAACATGTAAAACACCCCTTTGCTGCTGCAAGAATCAAAACACAGGGTTGATGGTAACACCTATCCTACATCAGTAGCACTAACAATACAATCAGTTTGTACAAGCTAAATCCATCTGGTCAGAACACACACCAACATTAAATAAACAAAACATAATTCTTCTTGTCTTCTGAATGTGAATTTGGAGGGGGAACATCTGGATTAGAAAGGCCCATAGCAATAGACAAGGCTTTTCCAAGTAAAATTCCATTCAGGCACTAGAAATAAGACCCTCTGCTCAAGAGGCAGCAGCTGACACACGAGCCTATCTTAGTACTGAGACAGGATATAGATGAAGCCATGTCTATAAATGAGCACAAAAGGAAATTAAAAGTAAGGCTTCAATTAGTTAAGCTTTCAAAGGTAAAACTCTAGGGTGTTTGGAGGAATCTTTCAGGAAGATATATTCCAGTTTTACTGCAGACTCAACACAAATGGCTCTCAGACAAGTCACATCTATAGTAATTGGAAACATTTTCAAAGTAAAAGATGAGAGACCATGGTTTTTGCCAAAGGTTCTTAAGCATGGGCTTTCATGGGCATGCGAATTTTTTTTAAAAAGTAGCAGAATAAACATATGTTTGCAAATTATTTTATTTTACCAAGTAAGGGCAATAAAACACACACGTTTAAAACAAAAAATTTAAAAAGGAAGAAAAAATTACCACAAAAAACTTACCATCCACTATCACTATTCTTTTCTTAAAAAGAATATTTTAACCTCAAAATTAGGAAGGACTCAGTAGAAAAGAACGATCTTTCCTAAGAAAGAATGGCTGTTCCTTTGGTTGATTTTACCTCTCCCCGACTCCGCAATCACAACCTCATTGTTACTTGGCAATCTCTTGGAAGATTATTGTTAGTCACAAGTGATGTGAGAGGTGTGCGCTACTGGTGATAGAGTAGTAAGAAATTATTTAGGCAGTTAGTGAGGGTGAAAGAGTTCTTGGTAGAATTTTCTTTTAATAAAAAGCAGCCCCCAAATCATTTCTTTTCTAATAAAAAGCAGCCTGAAAAATCAAGTTACAAGCATAGATAAGCAAGATGGAAATTTGCATAGATAAATGGCATCAGCTGTACCTGGAAGCTAGGTACATCCAACATGGTGATTCCTTCTTCCTTTTCCTTGTCGCCACATGTGCAGGTGTCATGGCACCAGCCAGGTAAAACCTTATCTACATAATAAAAGATTTGTGGGCTATGTAAATAGCACACCTGGTCAAACCAATCCCCTGGGCCCAATTTAAATCAAACACCATCTCCTCAAGCCCCTCTATAAAGTGGACCTCATCTCACCCCAAACCCAGAAACATACTTGGGGACCCCCTTTCTCTGCATGAGGAAGCTCTCTCTTCTTTCTTTTGCCTATTAAACTTTCCGCTCTTAAACCCACTCCGTGTGTATGTGTCAGCATCTTTGTTCCTCTTATCGCGAGACAACAAACTTTGGCTGTTTCCCCAGACAATGATGGTGCTTCATTGGCATCTACTGGGTAGAGACCAGAGATGCTGCTAAACACCCTACAATGCACAGGGCAGCTACTACAACAAAGAATTGTCTGGTCCAAAATGTCAACAGTACACGGTAGAGAAACTCCTCCCTACACTGACATTTTAGCTAAGGACCAGTGGACATTTTGGCTCAGACTGACCCTCATGTAAGCTAACCAGTTTACGGAGCCAGTGATCTCTGGAGTGCTTGGTTGACTCTTTTGTTTTCAGTCATTTTTAACAATAATCATCAGCAACAGAACTGCAGTGGTGGAATTCTACTCAATCAATTAGAACTAGCCTGAAAAATTGTCACTAAAATCTATTCTGCAATTCTATCACTTTGACATCAATCCCACTGGCATATTAGTTTGTATCTGAACTTCAGGGCATTAGACTTAGTCTAGAGGTAGTGCTACTGTTTGGAAATGAAAGAATATTTAGCCAGTTTGAGACAAGAATTAGTAGCCTCTATCAAAAGATAGAGAACAAAAATTTCGTCTTACAGTGGGCTTTAATAATGTATGCTTCATTAAATATTCAGTAAGAGTATATATACTTTCTATTAATGTAACTTTTTAAAGATTAAGAAAATCAAATGGATTAACAACCACGGCTCATTCTAGATAGTAAACTTATAGATAGCTATTTTTTCCTTATGTTTATTTGAAACATTTTGGTCTATAAAATTATGCACAAACTCTCAGTAGTATGGTAGGCTTCTTTTTCCCTCTGTACTTTCATACAGAATACCTTTATTTTCATAAAATATTGTTTCATATACCAAAGATTTTGAAAGCAATATTTTAAGACTATTCTTGTAGGCTACATATATATGTGTCATTATTTTACAAATTATATTGCAAAATGAGATCATATTATGTATACTGTTTTGTTCCTTATTTTTTAACATTATAAAGTAGACCAGTGTCTGTATAATATAGATTTGTCACATTTTATAACTCTTATTTCATGATTTAGATCTGGTATCATTTATCTACATGTTATTAATGGTTATCAGTTGTTTCATATTTATGTAGATAGGTAGGTGTTTTGTGTGTGTGTGTGTGTGTGTGTGTGTGTGTGTGTGTGTGTGTGTGTATACTGAGTGGTGAATATCTTTCTGCAGTTCTCCAAATGTATCTGGGCAAACATTCTAGAAGACAAAGAGAATGCACTTTTATAAAGGTTTTCAATGCTTACTTCCCAGTTTTCCTGCAGACAGCTTACCCTAATTGGTATCTCCACAAAGTGTTTGAGTATCAATTTTCCATAAAAACTTTCTGACAATGGATATTAACAATCTTTTCATGTCTTCTTCAAATGTTATCCGAATATAGTATTTCATTGTTGTTTTCATTTGCATTTTTGTAATCTCTGATGAGATGGGACAACAATTAACATACTTACTATAAATGTACATGTATTCTTTATGAATACCTTGTAATAGGGCCTATGCCCAGTTTTCTGTTGGCCAGGCGTGGAAAGTGGGGTGAGGAGTCATTTCTTCTTATTAATTTGTGAAAATCTATTTCTATGAATATATAAACATTTTCTTATATAATTTGTGATTATTATCTCCTCAAATGGATGTTTGTCTTTATTTTGTGTTTTGTTTGCTTGGGTTTACCTTTTTTATTTTGTATTCTCAGCAGTAAAGTTCGCGCCCCTTTTCTTTTGTTTTTGGTCTTTGGTATCACATTTGGAACATCCTTTACCATCCTAAAGTCACAAAAATAAATATTTACTCCTTTTTATCTAGTACATATAGGGCCCTTTGTTGTTGTTGTTTATGTTGCTGGAACTCAGGAGCTGAGGATTGCATTAGTCATATTCTTCAGTTCATTGCACACTATTACTCTTGGTAAATAGAGAGTCTTCCTGCCCCAACCCAAACCTCTCCTCTCTTTCTTTCTCCCTCCCTTCCTTTGCTCCCTTCCTTCCTTCCATCCTTCCTTCTTTCCTTCCTTACTCCCTTCCTTCCTTCCTTTCTTCCTTCCTTCTATATACTTTTGTTTATTCCTATTCCTTGTGCCTTTTTTTCTATTCCCTCCCTGCAAATTAAAACATAAACTGTTTTTTTAAATCTACTCTGGTTCGCCTTTACCTTAGGTAACTTATATTTAATTCACTGCACAATATGAATCCCTTATGATTTGAAGTTACTGTTCTTTATAAACACTATATTTTAATAGAACAGACCATGTGTTAGGCATCTACTTTGTTTTTATCACTACACAAGGTCCTTTATATGCATTATTTCTAATTATAATATTACAAGGTAGGTATTCTCTGAGTTGAAATATAAGGAACCAGTATCTCAGAGAAATATATATATATATATTACTAAATGTCATACTGTCACTAATAAAAAGAGCCAAGATTAATCTTAGGGATGGTGACCCTAAGACCCAGGCACTCTTGGTGCTTCTTACAAAAACAATAGCAAACAAAACCAAGCGAGTTCTGCATATTTTTAGAAACTATATTTGAAAATGAAATCCTTTTTCCTTATAACACCATTTTATATTATTTTAGGAAATTTTAGTAACAGTAGTTTCTAATTTCATCATTTCAAAGAACAACATGAATCTAATGCTACATTCGTGACTACATAATTGCAAGCAAACGGATTTAGGCATCTGGTGTGATAACAGCCCTGACAACACAGCACTTCTTTTCTTCTGAGCTGCAGTTTGAAACTGGACCAGGGTAGGCATGTGGCTCAAGAGCTACCCATCTATAAATTAACTAGAAATTCATGAAAGAATCCCATGTAAAGGACTTTGTACATAGGAGGAAATTTATTTAGCTTGGCCAATCAGGCTGGCTCTCCCCAGAAACCCTTCTGAAAAATCTGAAGAGAACTAATTAGCAAGGTGAATGTTGCCAAGCTGCAAAAATAGCAGAGATGTCATAAATGTGAATCCACTCAACAAATAATGATGACAACCGTGATAGTGGTGGTGGTGGTAATGATTATGATGATGACAGATATTTTTTATCACTTAATGATACATCATTCCTTATAAATATTAACTCCTAGAAGCCTCACAATAACCCTATGATGTATGTCCATTTTAAAAATAAGTAAGCAAAACACAGAAATGTTCAGTAACTTGCTCAATGACAGCAGTTAGTAAGTGGCAAAGTCTGATTCAAACATAGGAGTCTAGCTCCAGAAATTGTGCTCTCCTTTAAAATGGTCTTAGCATCAGAAACGAAGAGACATGTTTGGAGGCTGACTTTTTCTAAAAGCTCTGTTTCTTACAAGTACATGACTATTACATAGCTGATGACTTTACACTCAAGGAAATGCTTCTATTATATGTCTGTTCATATTTACATGGGATTTTAGCCAAGCTTTAGATGTTTAGAGTGCTATATAGCCTAAACAACTTATATATTAGAAATACATGTTCACATTTCTAAAAAATAAATGTAAGTTAGAAGTTACTCACTGATTAAAAATATGAATATAAAAATACTATTTCGGTTATGGTACTTTCACCGTACAAAGGTAATTTTTAGAATATTAGAAAGCACGTAAAAGAAGGTGTTGCATTTGGCTTCTTTTTCTGCTACCTTACCTATTACTACACACTTATTGTCTTTAGTAGGAAAAGATGTAAGTATATTTTTGTTAACCAGGGACTAATAATTCAACAATATGTATACATGTTCAATTTTCAACATAAATGAAATAGGACTTTTTCAATGATGACAATTTAAGGCAGAAAAAGCAGAGACATACTTGCTAGCCAGATGTCTACCACAAACACCTTTAAACCTACAAAGAGAAAGAATCACCTGAGTACTTTAGCCTCAACATTTTTCCAAATGCCCATTGTCTAAGTAATTATCTACTAAAATACTATTTTGGAAATATAGGAGCTACCCTATTTATTCTGTAGCTACATTATAATTGGTTGGATTCAAGTGCTGTATCTGAAACAACCCCACCACCCCCAAATTTTCTGCACAGGTCTCTTTTCCCAAAGCACATATATGGTTAACACTGTTTATTTATTGACTCAATAAATATTTAAAGCACATTTACTAGCCAGACACTGTTCTAAGTGTGGGGGAATACATCATGGGAAAAAAAAGAACATTAAAACTGTTGCCTTCATTGAATTTGCTATCTAATAGGGAGACTAAACAAACAAGCAAATATGTAATACATCAGAGAGTGAAGGTAATGTTATGGAAAAAAGTAAAGAAAAAATGGAAAGAGGTTATAAGAGAGTTGGAAATGGAGTCACAGTTTTAAGTCAGTGGTTAGTGGTGGCATTACTAAAAAGGTGCTATTCAAGAGAACAAGTATGTCAGAAAAGAGGAGATTTGTTGGGGGATGAAGTCTGAAATTTGAAGGAAAACAGACCTAAAGCCAATTCCTTGAGGAAAAAAAAATGGTCACCAAGTAATACATAAAACTTCACTGTAAGTTTAGAAGGTTGCAAAATAATAATATAAAGCTATGCATATAAGATAATTTCCAGTCTAGCTGACATCTTTGCTTGGTTTTTCAACTGACTTTTAGTCTAGTCACAGTCAAAATTAATTTCTGCTCTTTCACCATCTCCAGACTGCTCAATTCAGTCTCCTCTGTATCAATATAAATAGTAAGCCCATCTTCCCAGTTCTGAAGCCAAAACCTTGAGTTGTCCCTGACTCCTGTCTCTCTCATTCCCAATATCCAATCTTTTAGCAAATTTAGTTAGTTTTACCTCTCACCATATATACACAATCAACAACGTTCAACCTCCCCATTTCTAAAATCCTGGTCTCTGTCTCCACCATTTTTCACCAAAATAATAGCAATGGTTTTTAACTTTCTGCTTCTTCCTGAATCACTTCTCAGACTATTTTCAACACAGCATTCAGAAAGACTCCTTTAAAACATGTCATATCATGATTCTTCTGGCTTCAAACCCCTCCAATGGCTTCTCATTCTACTCAAAGTAAAAGGCAAATGTCTTATGATGGTTTATACATCATCTGGACCAGGCCTCCCTTTTAGTTTCAGACTTCTATTACTGCTCACTTCACCAACATTCACCTCCAAAAACATTTTCTTCTCAGAACTTCTCTGCTTGCTATTTCTTCCACTGTAAATGCATCGATGAGTAGAAAACTCTGTTTAAAGAATGGATGGCAGGCTAGGTTCACTAAGTAGCAAGTAAGTCACATATATCACAATATACCACTTAAATTCATGCCTTGGTGGCATTATAAACTACTAAAGATATAGAACTTTGGTTTTTTTGTCCATGTTATAAGGTGGAAAACGGGCATTTTTGAATACCAACGTTCTACTCTATAAATCAATGGAAGAGGAGAGAGATTTAGGCTTAAATCACAGAAGTTCTAATTGTTGCAAAAATATACTTGATGCCTATACCTTCCCTCACTCTAAAATATACTTCATCATTGGTGATAAGAAAATTTTGACAACGGAAAAACTAAATTAAGAAAAACTATAATAAAAAAGATATCTTTTTAATTTTTAAAAATTATATACTAAGCAATTCAGATTAGCTATTGAATATTAATTTTTACATAGAACTTCCCAGTAACCAAAGCAGGATGAAAATGTACATATTTTAATGAAGCTCCACTGTCTGATAAGTAAGAGCATATTAAGATATTTGGTAAAAATCTTTCCCAGATTGAAATTTCAAGAAGCATTTATTAACTCGTATATAAGAAGTTTTGGATACTATAATATACAGTGTTTTAAACTTTAATTTTTCTCTGTCTAGATTTTTATACAGTGACTTATAAAATTAAAGAAATGACACTAAATTTAAATTCAAGTAAAGAACTTAAAGATCAAACTGCTCAAGTACACTACTTTACAATGGATAGAGATAGAGCCTAGTGCACTTGACATGTAAAAATCCAAAAGGAGTGAGTAAACTGTCCTTTAGACAGCTTTTCAGCAGAAGTTTTTGTTTTATTAAATCAATAGGGGCTAAAGTATAAAGAAAGCTTTATGAGAATAAAGGGAGTTGGGCTCATCTAGAAGAACTTTTGAAAGGAAGTAAAAAAGACAAAACTAGACCATTCTGACATGGAAAAATCAGAAATATAGGCTCAGGGAAAATCCTAACTCTCTGTCAGAAACACAAGGATCATTGTAGCAAATAAAAAGGATTGAGGTTCTATATCCCTTATATGGCCAGGAATAAAATGGCGTAGTGAAGGACTTCGGCAAACAAGCAGATCAATTAATATTTACACTAGCTGGTACTAAATTGAATATTTCAGTGTAGTGTCTAAGAATTTATAGTAAGATTTATCTGGCACAAGGAGTTACAACTGTTGGAAGAAAAAAGATAAAGAAATAAATTCATGTAATACCCTAGGCTCAATATATTAGCCTAGGGTGTGCTTTTGGGGCAAGATATCTTACAAAATAAAGCCTCTCCTTATGTTCTTTCCTATATGACGTGATTCACATATGAATCTCCTCTGTACTAAGTAGTGTCCTACGTTCTGCAAATGTAGTGCTAAAAGAAGACAACATGTCCCCTGCTGTAATGGAGTTTAGAATTTAGCAGGGAGAAAAATCCATTATATAGGAAATTATACAGACACAATGAATATCAAAATGTGAGAATCCACATGTAATGGAAGATTATTGGAGGGAAACTATCTCAGACTTGCGTATCAGAGAAGGCTGGGCTAATCTGGAATCCTAATGATGAGCAGATACTAGTAAAGGGAAAGAGGGGGCAGCGTAGGAATTGTGTTTCTCAGAGATAATGAAATGGTGTGAGGGTGAGCCTGATGGTTGTAAGACCTGAGATTTCTGCACGAGGAGGTAGCATTGAAGAGAAACCGGCAAAATATAATGCAAATGAGAGCAGACCCTGAAGTTCCTTTACAGAGGGCATTAGGAGATTGGATTTCATGCTAAGGGCAAGGGGTGACACTAAGACCTAAAAGGGCTTTTATGTATGATGATAGATGACAGATTTTTCACTTTGGAAATATCACAGGAGCTTAAGTATGGACAATGGAAGTTTACAAAACTGATGGCAGGAGACAAGTTAGGAACATGCTGCAGAAATCTAGGTGAGAGGTGCCGGTGCCTAAACTAAAGGAGGGACCAAGATGGCATGAATGTTCCCCTCCGCTTGAAAACGGCTTTCTCCAAGTTGTAAAACCATCTCCTGTTATAAAGAAAACATTTATGAGAAGTTTTACGATTTCTTTGGTTAAAGGCAATTAGCAAATTTGATGGACTATAATCCCTCTCACCATATCTCTGACAAATCTTTGTTTCAGCAGAGTTGAGCTCAGAATGAATTCTAGCCTTTGTTCCATTGCAAAAGCCTTGAATAAAGTCTTCCTCTCTTATTTAACTTTGGTGCAATTCTTCTTTGACAGTGGTGATAGTGGAGATGGTGAAAAATGGACAAGTTCAGAAAATACTTAGAAGAGAGTAAAACCAGAACATGTTGTATGATTAGCTATGGGAAGACTCAAAAACTATTCCTGAGTTTAGATTTGTGCAACTGAATGTACAGAGGTGCCTTAAGGAATGTAAGAGTTTGAGTAGATTAGTGGATTAAGGTGGTGCATTTAGGTTTGGAAACAGTGGGATCTACAGATGCCTGTGATTATTTCAAGGAGAGGAAATTTGTAGGCCTCCCAATATATGTAGTCAGAGCTGAAAAGACAGGACTAGGCTAGAATCACATGCCTACATATGATATTTGAAATCTTGGGATTATGTGACAATGTCTAAGAAAAGTAGGAAGAGCTGGAGGACTATAGGGCTTATATGAGAACTCTAATAAACCCTAATGTTTAAAAATAGATAGAGGAAAAGGAAACCATGAAAAATATGAAAAAGATCACCCAGAAAGATAGGAGAGCAGAGTTACTGCCAAACATAAAATTGAAATGATAGTAACCAATGATGAGAAAATGTATTGCCTGCTGTGTTGCTGCTGATTAATGAAATTTTATCTATATTGATTAAAACTGTTTTTTATAATAAGCCAAATTAGATCATGAAGATGGTAATGAGGTCATGTGTCCCAATATTCTGTAAGGTAATTCCGTACAAATTTGAGTTATTGAGAGTATATACTGATAATAATTATGGCCTGTTAAAATGTTTTTAATTTTTAGAGTAAACCACTCATCCATGGAATTGTTTTTCTATTTCATAGTGAAGGATATTCAGGTAACTGCATGTAAACAAGCAAAAGTGAGGCAGTTTTTCCTATCACCAACATAAAGTTTACATGGCATTTTTTTTACACTAAGAACCATCGCAAGTATTTTAAGATTTGATATGCTCCAGTTCATCTGTTGCTATTGACGTTTTGAGGTTGTGTCCAGTAACCTAGGCAACTGTTCTTATTTCTGTCCTAAATTACTTCTATTTATAGACCTTATATAGATTCAATGGCCCCAGAGATTTTCTCTAAGGCAGGGCAGGTTGACAAACTATATGCTCTTAAGTGAATATAATGTTAAACACATGACAGACCTTAGTCATCAAGCAAAGACTGCATATTACAATTTCTGTAATTTGGGGTCATCAGTATATATGACAAATAATGTATCTTTAAAAATGTAGTATAACCTGGTCACAATGAAATATGAAATGACTATCGTTGAAATTATAATATTTAAATGTCTTGTTTTTAATGTTCTATTCATTAAACTCAATTCCAGCAATTAGAACTAGCAGATTCAAATATCCTTAAATAAAAATCTTACCCAGTCTAATTCAGTGCTAACAAATTCCTTTTCTCACCACTCACCTACAAGACACTATAATCAAAGTTTAAGTTGTGTGAGACAGAACAAAACCTTTGATTTAGTATTTAGACCTTATTGGATTTCAAGTTGTACAGGCGGAGGAAAGAATGACTGTAGAATATGTTCTTCTTGGGCAGGGGCAAAGAAAGAAGAGGTAATTATAAATGACTACTTGCAGAACTATCTCCAACATGCATCCAATAAATATCAGAATGAGATGTATTTTTTTCTCTTTTTTTAAAAAATCATTATACATCTAGAAAAATTAAATGTTGTTTTTTTCTTTTTTCTTTCTTTTCTTTTCTTTCTTTTTTTTTTTTTTTAGGCAGTCTCTCACTCTGTCACCCAGGCTGGAGTGCAGTGGACACAATCTCCGCTCACTGCTACCTCCACCTCCTGGGTTCAAGCAATCCTCCCACCTTACCCTTCCTAGTAGCTGGGATTACAGGCATGCATTGCCATGCCCAGCTAATTTCTGTATTTTTAGTAGAGATGGTGTTTCACCATGTTGGCCAGGCTGGTCTTGAACTCCTGGCCTCAAGTGATCCACCCACCTCAGCCTCCCAAAGTGCTGGGATTAGAGGTGTGAGTCACTGCGCCTGGCAGAAAAATTAAAAATTGAAAAGTTTAAGTCCTATGCAACTTTATGAGAACTGACAGAGACAGAAACTAATGGATTACCAAGCTACCAAAGTTCCACAAGGAAGAAAAACTCCCAGTGCAGAGCCAGGCATTTTACTAAATGGTGAGGGAAATAAGAACTTGACAACTATTGGGTCAACTTTTCGGTGATGTTGCATTAACAAGAGTTGCTTTTTTGGATATCTATTTCAGTTCTAGCTTACTTTTGTGAATACAGATTTACATAAACTTGCTGGCATCATTAAGAATCACAATGCCTTCTTCCTTTTAATCTCTTAAAGCATTTCTTCATTAGTCCCCTTCTTGAGGCAAAAAATAATTTCAAAAGACTTCTGGTAGTAAAGTGTCCATGATGTCAAAAATACTTAGTACCATGAAACAGGAAACCAAGTAGTCCCATATCAGGAGTCAGAGAGATTTGTATTTACAAAGCTCCCTGAGCTACTCAATAAAAAGTCAAAGCACATCAGGAGCACACAAAGATCTGCATTTTTCATGAGATTCATTTTATAAAAATCAAAATTTATTGTTCACTTCCTATGTGCCAGAAACCAAACAAGAATTTTCACATATCTAATTGAATCTTCAAAAACACCTATAAAATAGATATTATTATTATCATCATCATGATTTTACAGATAAGAAAATTGAAAGTTAGAAATGTAACTTTATGAAGGTCATATGGACAGTAATTGGTGGAACTGAGATTTGAGTCAAGGTTTATGTGACTCCAAAGTCCATTCTCTTGACTTATACATTACAGTAGTTCTATAAAAGGCAAGTCATTTGCTCACCTATTCTATTCCCCAAACTCTCTTTCAATCAATTTTATGAAGAGCCTTTTTAAACCCACAGTTATTACTCAGGTAAGTTTGAGGAACGTTCAGCTGCCACCCTGCTGCAACTTAAATAATTTCCTAAGTCTCTACTACGACTGCTGCCCCTATTGCAGAAAATAAAACAGGAAAAACTTCTAGAAATTAGAATTCTCGTTTTATTGAAACATCACACAGGCCAATGTGATGAGACAATGACTAAGGAGCAACTGCCTTTGCTCTTCTGGATTCCGTGGTGGGAACTAACTTTGGATCCTCACCCTGCAGGATCCCCTGCTATATGACCCTACTTGCCCAATACTCCACTTCATCAAGGTGAAGTGACCCACCAAGAGAGACTTTCAGGGTCTGGGCATTACCAGGTAGTTTCTAAATGGTAATCAACAAGCCAATTTTGCTATTGATAGAAGATTGTAGGATGGGGACGTGTAGAAATTTGCAAGGTTTAAATACATCTAATTTTAAGGTTTGTGGTCTTCAGTTTAACAAACCATCTTTCTAGTACAGCAATTTATAATATTGACTCTATAATGCTGGCTGTTGCAATAGTAGATCAATGACAATATTAAGGGATGATGAGACTATTCCAGTTTACAAGTGTGCTGTACTGGAAAGAGAACATGTTTGAGGCCAAAAGACCTGCGATTTGGTCCCAGTTAATATGGCTTGCATAAACTACTTAAATTTTTTGTTTCATTTCCTAATTAGTAAAACCAAACGGAAAAGATAACAAAAAATAAGCTCCAGGGCTTTTTATAAATAAGCTACCAATTTGAAAATGTTCTGTAAACTATGATGTGTTAAACAGTATCAGGCACTGCTCTGTTTAAATAGAAAATATGATTTAGTCTGTATGTCATATAACATTTTAGGAAGCTTTTAGGACTTACAAACATCTTATTAATAAGTTTAGAAATTTTATTCTCTTTTAAAAGGTGTATTTTCATGTCTCTTTTGAATTTGAGTTTTTCAGATAAAAGATGCCTATTTTATTCTGGCTGAAAGCATGAACAGAATAAACAATGAGCTCTGTGAAGAATGTTCTATGAACCCGAATCAAACTCAAACTCCTGTGTCACTCCGGTACGCCTGATCACTGGATATAACCACGTATTGGTCCAGTGAGTATTCATGTTTAACAATTAAGATAATTACTGATTTCCACTGCTATTTCCATTGTCACTTCGTAAGTCATGCATTATTGGTCTTTTAATATTTTGTTCTCATTGACCACAGACTCTAAATCATTATATGTTAGTTACAGACCTTTACAATGCCTACTGGCATTTGCCACTGGTGACAACAATAATAAATGATGTTGAGCTGAAGCTAGTAGGAATGAATACAGAAAGTAAAATGATAATAAATAACTGTCACTCCATTACTAAACAGTGCCTGGTTCTAGCGCATGTGCAATACAGCAGAGTCTGCATGATCCAAGAACTAAAAAGGCATTTACTCTTTAGAAACAGCAACAACAAAAAAGAAATCCATTTACTCATCTTGTGCTGTGACCCCAAATTCCACACTGAGCATGGCATGAGTATTTAAAGACTTCTCAACAGAATCTCCTTCAATATCTTATAGTATCTTCTCAAAGTGAGAGTGTGTGTGAAATGTGCCAAAAGTTACACTCAGTGCAATGGATATGAAATTACAGCAATTACAGCTAGAATGTGACAATAATGTCTCAGATGGATAAGAGATTGAAGATATAAATGTCATTTTATTATTATAAGGAGTATGGAACACAGATATTAGTATAAAGAATATGGGACTCAAGAATACGAGATGTCTGGTAGATATTGTAAAACCTATCTAAATATAATGTTGGTTCTTGTTGGGTGATTTGGGTGGGGACCAAATCTGAGCTATCCTTTTCCTTGGCCATCTGTCTCATAAACTTAACTTATGAGAGTAGAATCTGTTGTAATAAACTCACAAGGCAGATATAATGTAAGGGGTGTTATTGGTACCAAATTATCTACAATATAAAATAATTTCTCTTCAAAATTTAAAGGAAAATTTGTGTCTTCCCCTTGTCAGACAGCTGTGACATCCTTTGCTCTGTCCTCTTTCTCATTCCATTAATGATACATCAGGTTTATTGCTCTGGTGGTGGTCTATCTGTTTGTTTTTTAGTAAAGGACTTATCATAACTTTATTTCCTAAGTAAACTGACATGTGGCAATCACAGAAGGTCTGAGTCTGAAGACATAATCCTCTTACTACACAAGTTACATAAATTTGAGCCTTAGTGATCTTATTAGTAAAACTGGAATAATATTAATATAGCAAATTTAATGTAAAAATTAAGTAAATAATATATATGGAGTAATTTTCTTTTATTATTTTCTTCCAATAAGCAGAGTCTGAGATTGGAAGGTAGTTTGTTTTGGAAATAGATATTAGTAAACGGAACTGGGAGCCTGGGAAGAACGAATCAGGAAAGAAAGGAGAGCCAGTCTAAAGACACAGTATCAACATGGTTACTACTTGATCCTACTGGGGACCCTTTCAGGTTCTGTGGAAAATGCATTTCCAAATTGTCCATCTTAGAAACAGAATAGGGTTATTGGTCAAGAGTTGCTCTATGTGGGGTTCGTGCCTCATATAAGGTTGTATATGTATTATCATGACTGAGCAGTTATCAGAGGGATTCCACATAGTAGTTGCTAGGGAGCCCCAATGCAGGAAGTGAATAAAATCCAATTATTTGGGATTTATGCAGAGGATATTTATAAGAGCAGAGAGTAGCCAGGTTGAATATAATGTTGCCACCAGTAGATTTCGTGGTCAGGGATCTATCTTGTCACTAAACAGTGGTGAGGTTTTCACCCAGCGGCATTCCGAATGAACTGGATTGTCTGAGAACTGTACGCAGCAGAACACTAATGCAAGATGCAGAGCAGTTTCAGGGTAGTTTCCACAACATTAGAAGCAGTGGCTTCTATGAAAAATTCTTAAGATTCAGAATCATAGAGATCATCAAGTTTGTAACCTATAATGGGCAGCCAGTCATCTAGCTGGCCTGGCCTATACTTTGGACCAAGAACAAAAATACAAATGAAAATAGTAGTAATAAGAAGTTTACCATCGTATATAATGTGGAAATTTTTGAAACACTTCCATATGCATTATCTTATTTGAAGTTACCAGTGATGCTGTGAGAAACTATGGTATTATTCATCTCATTTTTCAAATGAATAAATTTGGTTTTCTAACCAAGTCTTCATCGTCTACAAGTGCTAAGCCAGAATAAAAACTGAGGTGTGTTTATCCTAATTCCAGCATTCTAAAAAGAGCCTTAATTTTAACAAAATTTCCTTTGGTCAATTACTTTGCAAGCCTTGACACCTACACTTTACCTTCAGTGGCATCAGCCTGAGTGAACCACGCACCCACTTCCCTGAAAGCAAGAGCAAAGCTTACTTTTAGCAAAATGTATTTCCAATTCAATTTCCACTCATAAGATGTGATCTCTACCAATGATGCCAACTAGATTTGAAGGAAACTAAATCCAGATGCTGTGTGACCCTAGACAGTTTTCAACACAAATTGGCTAGTAGAGGGCTGACAAATAACCCAAATAATCTGTAAGAAATGGAAACTCAAGAAAGTAGCATTTCCCAATATATTACCAAATACTATCTGTCTGGCTATGTGATAATGGTGTCTACTCAAAGAACATTTTTTCTCCACTGAAATGAAATATTCCTATTACCAAAATTTGAGATAAGCAATGTTTCTGATAAAACACAGGTTTTATTTTCTTGGCTGATATATATTATTTCTAGGCAATCTGAATGTCTGAAAACATGGAACTTTCCCAAATTTATCTTTTCCCATATTATGTTTTACCATATTTTCTGTATTTTATAGTAAATGAGAAAATACTTAGCGCACTGTAAAAACAAATATGTAGATGCAAGATATTATTGTTAATAAAAAGATATAGTTAAGCTCTAATGAGATAGCTTTTTAAACATTCATTTCACATATGTCAAAGTAGATAAACAAACAAAATATTTTACATAATATGTTGTGGGATTTTAAAAAGGCAATCAAAAAGAATAGTAGAAACAGAATGTGACTCTCTGCATCTGTTTAAAATTAGATATTTTTCAGTGTATTTATCTTATATTACATTCTTAGGGAATAGAAATCCAAAGGATTCTAGGTAAAATTTGGTAAGGACTAAAGTTGTTTTTTCTTCTTCAAATCAGTTTCCACAAGCCATAGATTACAATAGAATATCAAAACATGTGAGGAATATCAACATTTTTTTTAAGGAAATGTGCACTAACACTCATTGTGACATGGAGTTAACCAAACGGGTCTTTGCTTGAAATGTTTCTGCAGAGCTTGTATAACAATATGTCTACAAAAACAGAGTATGCGCCAGCCTTTCAATATAAGTGCTTCAACATCAGATACAACCATAAGAGGCCAGAAAACAGAGGGAAAGGTTAGGAATTTGCTTCCATCTCCAAATTTTATGTCACCGAATTTAACTAACTTAATAATAATATTAATAATGATGATCATGATAATCCTACTATTGTTGCTGCTGCTATTACTACTATGAATGATAGTAACTAACAGTTATTGAGAAGTTACTATGAACTAGGCACTATATAAGTGGTCTGTTAGTTGACTCAGTTAATTCCCACAGTAATCCTCATATGAAGGATACTATTAGTATCTCTGCTTTACAAATGAGGGAACTGAGGTACAGAGAAGCTAATTGACTTTCCCAAGTAACACTCCAGAAGGAGGTGGCAGATGCACATGCATTCCCAGGAAGGCTTAGGCACTGTGCTGTACTACGTGGGTTTCAGATCCAAGGTTTGTTGTCTGGTCTGTAGTTGCAAGCGATAAGTGGCTAGGATGCCAAACTTTCACAGATACCCAGGCACTGGGTGGGAGTAAAGTGAAGTACAATATCTCAGAGTAATTCAGAAATTAGAATAACATATTTGGAGTTGTGTGGTGGTGGTGGCAGTGGTGGTGGTGGTGGTGGGGTGTGTGTGTGTGTGTTTGGGGGCAGGCACAGGAGAAGTTATTGTAGAGAAAGAAAAGTAGATTATTGACTCAGACGAGTTTTCTTCTCCACTAGAATTCCCGAGTATATTTACAACTTCTTCGTTTCTTTTTTCTAGTCTAAGCAAACATGTACATATTTCACTTTTATATTCCCATGACTCCTATAAAGATCAAAAGCAGTATGGAGTGATTCACTACATGACCTGAAATGGACTTACTGTGAGCTCTCAAGATAGAGGAAAATAATTCCCCTCATGTGGTTTCCCTTAATGCTAAGGCTTTTCTCCATGTGCTTCACAGAACTAGCTCCAGATCCAGGAGTCCCACCCATTAGAGGCTGCCTAGATTGACAAAGGGAGGGCACAGCCTTCAGTGACACAGTACATGGTTCTCCCACCAGTTGAAGTGACATACCCTATCAGTTTTCCCTTCGGTCTGAATGCTGGTGTGACTGCGGACCTCGTGTTCCTCTTCAAGGTCAGAAACATCCTCCAGTTCCTCTGGGGTCTATAAAAAGAAAGCAAAACATTGCTAGTGGGAATGTAAAAGCATTTCTTCTTTGGAAAACAACGCGGCAGTACCTTAAAAGGGTAATCATAAAGTTACCATATGACCCAGCAATTTCACTCCCAGTTATATACTCAAGAGAAAGGAAGGCATATGTCCACACAAATACGTATACACAAATGTTCACAGGAGCATCAGTCATGATAGCTAACAAATGGAAACCAAATGTATGCTTACTGATGAATGGATAAACAAAATGTGGTGCATGTGTACAATGGAATATAATTTGGCCATAAAAAGGAGCAAAATACTGATACACACCACAACACAGGTGAACCTTGAAAACATCATCCTAAGTGAAGGGAGCCAGCCACAAAAGGCCACATATTGTATGATCCTGTTTACATGAAATGTCTGCAATTGGCAAATCTATAGCAATAGAGATTTAATTAGTGTTTGCTAGGTGCTAGGGGAAAGGGGAAATGGGCAATGACAGCTGATGGGTATGTGGTTTCTCTTTGAGATGATAACAATGTTCTGCAGTTAGATAGTAGGAATGATCACAAACCCTTCTGAATATACTAAAAAACACTGAGTTTCATACTTCAAAATGGTGAGTTTTATGGTATATGAATTATATCCCAATAAATTGTGAGAGAAAAAGAAAGCAAAAAAATGATCACAGGGAAAATTTTATTTCAGTGAATAGCAATTTGGCTACCCACTATGTGGTTACTGCAAACCAAGATGCTTACAGTTGATAAATGCATTAGATAATCATCATTAAAATCATATATCATCAAAATGCCACCAGAAATTATCAAGAAATTAAAATTTTAGGGACTTAATAAATAATTCAACTTGAAATTCAGTGTCTATTATAAAGAGTTAGCTAACTTCCATTCCTTCTTTCAATTTCAGCTTAAATGCCTCTTTCTCAGGGAGGTGTCTTGCTCAGGAATCCTCTAGACTGGGCTGGATTCCCTGCCAAGTGTTTCCTAGCCCCCTCTACTTTATCTGCCATAATGATCATTATACTTTAATATATCATCGCTGAATTAGGCAGCTAATTGTTGAATTGTCTATTCTGTGAGGCAGGGACATGTCTTCCTTGTCATTTTTGCAAATACATGTCAAAGTGCTTAACAAGAATTAGCCTAGTATTTGTTTTAGTGCACAAGGTCTCAACTTAATATATTTTTTTTATTTCAATAGCTTTGGGGATACAAGTGGGTTTTGGTTACACAGATGAAATGCATGAATGTGAAGTCTGAGATTTTAGTGAGCTCTTCATCCAAGTAGTACACATTGTGCCCAATATGTAGCTTTTCATTCCTAATCTCTCTCCCATCCTCCCTGCTTCTGAGTCTCCAATGTCCATTATTCCACTCTGTATGATTCCTTTGCTACAAAATCCTGGTGACAAACCCAGAAAATAAGTATTTAGGTTTCATAGAAAACAACCAAAAACGAAGTAGAAGATGTCCTTGGGCCTGCATCTTTCATGCACATATGGCTGCTGAAGACTGGAAATGGGCAGAGCCCATCTCCTTAGACTAGCTCTGGTTTGCCTTAAACGTTGCTTTACACACAGACATTCTGTTTATTGTCAGGGCTGCCAATAGCCTTTCATCCCTTGGGAGCACTCCAGAGATGGGGACATTTGATGATTAGCTCATATTATATAGCAAAACTACCAATTTCCTATTCATTAATGGCTTCAGATTCTTTCTCATCTCATAGATCTTTAAACAGCACTTTCTTTGTTCTCACACACTTGCACTGAGCAATACCCATCCCTTTGCAGAAGAGCATTTTGCATTTATTTCAACCAATTCCTATCAGATATTAACATCCCCCCTCTCGCCAAAGCCTTCAATGTGCTATTTTTTATCTCCGTGTTGATCTCTTTGCAATCCTTCTTTGCTGCAACTACATGCAGCTATTATCTCAGGACAATTTATTCTTTCTTCTTAGGTATTAATAGCACAAGTTCATTACGATGTAATTTCTATACAATCATATATCGCATTATTAGCCTTTTTGTGCATTCTTGTCACAGTATTCTTGAGAAAGCATCTTTGCAATTTCCCTCCTTGTTATATCACCAGGCCCTATAACATTTGAACAAATTCAGTTAATCAAATTCTCTTTCTTGTGCCCTGTTGTTTTGCAACTGAAGGCTGTCTGGTGTCCCTACTGTGATCTATTCCTTATAAATGTCTGCTGTTTATTACTTGGGTTATATCCTATCATGCAATGACAAATAACTTCATCATCCACTCCTATAGTTTATTCAACCCCCAAATAAAGTAACAAACTAAGAACAATTGCTGCTATCAGAAGTCACAAGTGCCATTTTTGTTGGGGATGCTGTACGAAGAGATAAGCCTACCATTTACACCCACATACTTCTGTGTTTTTCTTTGTGTTTAACACAGGATTAATAGTTTTCTTGCAAAGCTACAAAAACTGACCTCTTCTTTTCATGAACAAAATCAGTGGGGAAGTGTTCAAAACACTTGCTGGCAGCATTTCACATTCTGTAAGGCATGGTGTTGGATGGTATTGTGAAAATAAATAGTTAAATACAAAATGCTACAGTTTAAGTGGAAACTAAGAAAGAGAAAGGAGTACTCTAATAATTTTGAGGGCAATACATTAACTCCTTCAGCACTAAACACAAATAATAGAAACAGCAAATATCCCAGCACTTTGGGAGGCCAAGGCGGGTGGATCACCTGAGTCAGATGTTCGAGACCAGCCTGACCAACATGGAGAAACCCCGTCTCTACTAAAAATACAAAATTAGCTGGGCGTGGTGGCACATGCCTGTAACCCCAGCTGCTCGGGAGGCTGAGGCAGGAGAATTGCTTGAATCCAGGCGGCGGAGGTTGCAGCGAGCCGAGATCGCGCCATTGCACTCCAGCCTGGGCAACAAGAGTGAAACTCCATCTCAAAAAAAAAAAAAGAAAAAAAAATGGGGTGGGAAAGGAGGGATGATAGAGTACCCTAGATCATGCCTTCTTAAAATTGTCTGCTTCTACCTATCTGGTAAACATCTGGAAGTTTTGTGTGTGTGTGTGTTTGTGTGTGTGTGTGTGTGTGTGTGTGTGTGTGTGTGTGTGTTTCTAATCAATTTCATTCTGTGAAAGATTAACTATCTTAGAGGCAGTGTTATATATTAGAAAGGCCCTATAATATTGAGTAATGCAGACCTGAATTTGAGTTCTGGTCCTCTAATGAGTGATTATGGGCAATATGTGTTCTCTTTTAAAGTTTGTTTCCCTCAGAATAAAATTCGGATAATAATACCTAATCCCAAAAGTTGTTGTGAGGCTCAGTTACACTAAGATGCTTTGGGTAAGAGCTTAGCCCACAGACCTAGCTGGATTGTGGCAAAAGTTTATTTCTGTTTGTTGCTTTTCCTCTTCTTTCTCCACTACCTTATACCTCATCCCAATATACACCTTTATATTTTTATTAAACATTTATGTAAATTTATCCAAATTTTAATCACCTTTATTCCAAATTTAATAATTTTAATCCAGTATAATCCAAATTTATTTTTGATTTGGAACTTTGGATAAGCCACCAATGTTTCTGTCCTTTAGATTCTACACAGACATTATTTTGGGTTGACATGGTACATTTACTAGTTGCCTCTAGTTACAGTTACCTGAGTTTGATTATCTAATGTCATTGTGCTAAACAGGGTTTAATATAATTACCCATGCACTGCTTCCTTCTAAAATCCATGTAAGAGATCTCTTTTAATTGGACTTTAATCATGTCTAACAGCGAAATTATCTCTTAAACTGGCCTCAGCAAAGATTCACTCTAGCATGATTCTCAGGGATGATGGAAATAATTTGTCTTCTTTAAGCTGGGCTGTCTCTAAACCAGACAAAGATGAAGAGAGCCCATTTTTTCAGAAAAAGTGTTAATCAATGCAGACATTAACGTTATTTCTCATATCAGAATTGTGGAGATATATTTCATATTTTCCTATTTTACCTCTGGCTTATTATGGTGTCTTCCTTAGGCAGCCCAAAAGTGATTTGGAATAGGCTTAGTTTCTTCACCTGTAAAATAGCACAAATACTACCTAATTTTTAGGGTTATTGTAAAGATAAAACAAGATGACGGACTAGAACATTATTCGGTGACTGGGAAATACTGAATTATTAATATTGTTTATGAATATTATAGATTATCATTACTGTTGCTATCTCACTTGATTCAAGCAAAAGAAGCCAAAAACAAATATAGAAGTTGAAGCTGAAAACATTCAGGCTGAGGTGTTTACATAGAAGCCAGGACAGCAATGACATAGTAGTAATACATTAAGACTTCAGGGTCACAATACATTTCATATATATATCCTTTTTCCCACAAGGAGTTCAATCCTTTCTATAGACATTATCTCACTAATCCTTTCAGGATCCCTAATGAAACAGGTGGCATTATTACAATTAAAAATTCACTTGCGCAGACTTTATAAATATTTAATATTAAAATACAAAAAAGAAATTTGTGGTTGCTAAATTTTAAAGAAGAGAGAAAAAAACACAGGAAGAAAATAAAAAAGAAATAAAAAGTATTAAAAATACTGTGGAAAACAAGAGTCATGCTTGGCTTCTTCTCAGAATTATGTTTGAATTCTAAACCATACACATGACTTATTAAAAATATAATTCACTGGCTAGCTTTCACTGACTTACTAAAATCAAATAACCACCACAGTAATGTCAGGAGTGGTCTCGCACTCAGAGAAGCTCTTAGGAAACATGCTATGAATGTCCATCCCAAGCAGGAGACTAACGTCACATGTTCAATGATTTCATTCCAGCTGAGGTAGTAACGTAGGATGATTTTGCAATGTCAAAATGGAGAGATCACAATTAAAATACATTTAAAAAATAAAAATATATCAATGACACAATGCCAAAATAAAGAAAATTAAGACATGGCCCTTGTTTAACACACACACACAAACAAACACTGAAGTTCCTGCCCCACACCTTTGACCATGAGACTGGCACTCTACCTTATAAATATTCAAGAAATCAGTGACATTTCTGTTACACTGACCCCTTTTCTCCTCCTCAAACATGTCCCACTTGTCAGCACTTTCCACTTAAGACTCTTTGTGTCTTTCTATTTACCCCTTCTTGCAGACTGGATCCTTCTCGGCATGGGAGCTCAGATGCTCTCTACTCAGAGAAGTCTCCCCTGGCCAGTCTAACTAAAGTTAACCCTTTTCCCCATTTCATTTATTTCTTATATTAGTGTATATATTTTCTTTAGGTCCTTTTTCATGATTTTCACCTAAAATTATATTTTCTCTTCATTTTTTTCCTTTTTTTGGCAGGTGGGTTACATTTTTTATTTTATCCCTACTAGAACTTAACTTACATGAAAATAGGGATGTTGTTTGTCTTGTTTTCCACTCATGAAATGGCACATAGTATGTCTCAATTTTTCTATTTCTTAGCTGAATAAAGGAGCAAACAATTTAATTACTGACAAGCTTTTGTTATTGATCAATTTCACAAGAAAATCATGGGAACATTTTTGAGCTGTGGAGAATGTATAATCCTTTGCCTTCTGTCTTTTAATAAGTATTGAATCAATAATTCCTTGCCTAAAGAAAAGTATATGCAAATATTCTTGAATTTTAAAAAAATCCTATGGAAACTAGAGATGAGATTTTGTGTAGAGAAAGGTTTTCCATAAGCTCAGAAGAGATTCTCAGATGTGGAGGACTAAAAAGTTTATGATTCCATAATCAGTACTAACTTGCCCTACTCCTTGACAATCCAATATGGATAAAAAAGACTTCAGAGAAAATGTCATCCAGTAAGCCCAGAACAGTGTTTCAAATCTTACCATAGCCCCGTGCCACAAACTTGTCATGGAAACAGTGGTAGACCTGAAAGGGTTACATGGGCTGGGACAATGGATGTCTCATTGGCAACCAGTGTGGGTAAATGACAGGGTCGGTGAGACTCCCTGACATCTTGATGCAGCCCAAGCCTCCAGAGACAGACTTAGCCTCAAGAGAAGTGTTTCTCAGTCTTAGCATTGTTGACGTCTTGATCTGAATAATTCCAGTTGTGAGAATCTGTTTTGTGTATTGTAAGAAGTTTAGCACCAACCCTAGCTTCTATCTACCACACACATTTGGACCCTCTCAAGTCATGAGATATAATTAAATATGTTTCCAGACATTACCGAATATCCCCTGGAAATTTGGAGGCTTAGGAATCACCCACTTGAGAACCATTGCTCAAGAATTTTGGCTCACTTGGCCCAACATAGGTAGCAGGAGTAAGGGAAGGCCCAAGAATGACTATATTTAAATTTCCCATGAGCCAAGTTAAAAATAAATTTACTTGCAAATAAGTATGTAAACTGAAAGTCATATCCCATATAATAACATTATGTTTACAAGACAAAAGAGAGAAGACATTTTAGTCTTAACCAGACTACTGGAAGAAGATATCAGAAAATGTATGAAAATGAGTTAATAGGTGCAGCACACCAACATGGCACATGTATACATATGTAACAAACCTACACGTTGTGCACATGTAACCTAAAACTTAAAGTACAAAAAAAAAAAACTACAAACTTGCTTGCAGCCTTTTTTAAAATTTGTTTTTTAAATTTTTAATTGATAATTGTATATATTATATATTTATGTAGCATACTGTGATGTTTACAACAGTATATATTAACATTATGAAATGATTAAATTCTAATTAACAAATCTATCTCTTCACTCATGTATCATTTTTTTGTGGTGAAAACAATATTCAAAAGGGTCTGGGCACAGTGGCTCATGCCTGTAATCCCAGAACTTTGGGAGGCAAAGGAGGGTGGATCACCTGAGGTCAAGAGTTCAAGACCAGCCTGGCCAACATGGTGAAACCCCGTCTCTACTAAAAATACAAAAAATTAGACGGGTGTGGTGGCGTGTGCCTGTAATCCCAGCTACTAGGGAGGCTGAGGCAAGGGAATCATTTGAACCTGGGAGGTGGAGGTTGCAGTGAGCCAATATCATGCCACTGCACTGCAGCCTGGGTGACAGAATGAGACTCTGTCTAAAAAAAAAAAAAAAAAAAAAATTCAAATCAATATGCCTAAGAGATATCTGCACTTCCATGTTCACAATAGCTAAGAGATGGAAGCAACCTAGGTGTCTTTCATTGGATGAATGAATAAAGAAACTGTGAGCTCTCCCTCTCTCTATATATACACACACAAACATATACACTCAGTGAAATACTATTTAGCCTTTAAAAAAAGGAAATTCTATCATTTGTTTGTCATCTTAATACCAGAATTTAATAAGCTGCTTTCATTCTGCTGATCTTGTTTTTATCTTTTATTCATAATGAGATTATCTAAAGATATCCAGTGCTAATCTAAGTTTGCTTGATTATATAATCAACTCAAGTTAACTCAACTAACATATTCGATTGTCTTACATATACAGTCATGTTGCTTAACAATCAGGACACATCCTGAGAAATGTGTCATTATATGAATTTGTCACTGTGCAAGTATCATAGAGTATATTTAAACAAACCTAGATGGTATAACCTACTACACACCTAGGCTGTATGGTATAACCCATTGCTCCTAGGCTACAAACCTGTATGGCATGTTACTGTACTGAATACTATAGGCAACTGTAACACAGTGGTAAATATTTGTGTATCTAAACATATTTAAACATAGAAAAGGTAAGGTGTTGTGTCACGATGTTAAGATGGCTATGGCATCTAATATGGTTTGGATTTGTGCTCCGGACAAAATCTCATGTCGAATTGTTATCCACAGTGCTGAGGGAGGGACCTGGTAGGAGGTGATTGGATCACGGGGGCAGATTTCCTCCTTGCTCTTCTCATGATAGTGAGTGAGTTTCCATGAGATCTATTTAAAAGTGTGCAGCATCTCCTCCTTGGCTCTTTTCTTCCACCTCCTGCCCTGTAGATGTGCCTGCTTCCCCTTCACCTTCTGCCATGATTGTAAGTTTCCTGAGGCCCCTCCAGCCATGCTTCCTGTACAGCCTGTGGAACTGTGTGCCAATTAAGTCTCTTTTATTTATAAATTACCCAGTCTTAGGTAGTGCTTTATAGGAATGTGAGAACAAATAATACAATGTCATTAGGTGATAGGAATTTTTCAGTTCCATTATAGCCTTCTTAGGGGACCATTATCCTATATGCAGTCCATCACTGAATGAAACATTGTCATGCACGGCATGGCCGTATGTAGACAGGAACAATTATGCTAGATACTGGGAATCTTGAAGGAAATAAAACACAATCCTTGCCCTCAAGAGAGATAAAGGGTAAGAATATTAGATGGAGATGAAAGATATTCCATAGAGTTATATGATTTGAGACTGAAGTTGAGTGGTTAGAGATGAAAAAATTTCCTGGGATGTGTCAGGCAGAAGAGAGGAACGAGTGTAAAGCACCTGAGGAAAAACTGGGAAGATATTTCTTATATCGCCAGAAAGCTGGTAGGCTTGTGTTACGGTGGGATATTAATGGAACTTGAAGTTAGGATACTTGGGTGTCCTAACTAAACTAGTTGTTTTTTGTTAGGCCAATCTCAGACTTTTCCTATGCTTAAATTCCTTGACCTTTAAAATGAAGATGAGAAGTAAGTAAAACTGATAATTTTTGTAAATCCTTTGAATTTTCAGTTTTTATGAATTGATGCTTAAACTGAAAACATAATAAGGCTGTGACAAACATTAGGCTGGATCAAACACCTCCTCAACACTGAGAGATCTCAACGCTAGTGAAGATTCGGTAAATCTGTTGAGTTCAGTTGATTGAAACATAGTCCACTCTAATTCATCACATCAATTCAAAATAGGGTTAATCTCCTGAATACACATATCTTTCTGTTATAGCCACCAGAGGGAGAAGGCATCTAGTATTATTCTCAGTTTTATAACCCAAGTGTCTAACGGTGCCTGGCACACAGTCAGTACTCAGTAAATACATATTTTATTGAGTTAATGCAACAGAAGAATAAATGAAGATGCAAATAAGATGTATGTCTCTATTTGTCAAAATCAAGAATTGGTGACTTTTCTTCTTACAATCTTTTAAAATATAATTCAAAACTGCCTCCAGGAACCATTAGCATCCCTCTATTTTGTTATTATTTTTCTTTACACTATTATTATCAGTATTGTATTAACATTTAATATGAAATCTACCCTTAACAAATTTTTAAGTGAATAACATAGTATTGCCAATTATAGGTACAATGCTGTATATATAGTAGGATCTTTATTTATTTATCTTGCATAATTGAAATTTCATAACTTTGGAGCAGCAACTCCTCATTTCCCCTCCCCTCAGCTTGACAACTACCATTCTGCTCATGGTTTCTAGGAGTGTAAAAACATTAGTTACCTCATATAAGGCAAATCATGCAGTATTTGCCTTTCTGCTAATGGCTTACTTCACTTAGAATAATGTCCCCAAGGTTCACACTTGTCGTTGCATATGACTGATCTCCTTTTTTTTTAAGGTTGAATTGTATTCCATCTTACAAGTTTATCACATTTTAGTTACCCTTTCATCTGTCAATGAACACTTAGATTGTTTTCACATCTTGGCTATCGTGAATAATGCCGAAATAAACATGGGAGTCCAGATATCTCTTTGAGATCCTGATTTCAATTCTTTGGGACATATAACCAGAAGTAGGATTGCTGGATCATATAGTAGTTCTGTTTTTAATTTTGAGAAACCTCCATACTATTTTTTAAAGCAGTTGTACCATTCTACATTCCCACCAACAGAGTACTAGGGCTCCAATTTCTTCATATACTCACCAACACTTATCTTTTCTGTGGCTGTTGATAATAGGTATCCTAAGAAGTGTGAAGTGATATCTCATTGTATTTTTTTTTTCATGTCCATGATGATTAGTGGTACTCTGGCTCTAAGTTATACTAAGCTTGAGATGAATTCAATTTTCACCTATAGCATGCATAGAAGTGTGTCAGTGGACCTGCAAGATGTTCCTAAGTTATTCTTTTTTCTTTAATTGTTTGAATTAAGCTCTACGAATAAGCACACCTACTAAACATGCTCTGAGACAGAGCTGTGAGTTTATATCCTATTTCCAAATTAGGAACAGAAAATCTATGGTAAGTGACTTGCAAAACTTCTTACAACATAAGGCTGGAACTATGGTAGAACATAATATCTAGGATTGACTATCCAGATTCAAGGTCAAACGCTGCCCTTAATATCTTGTGACCTAAAACAAGAACTTAACTTGTTGAGAACACAGCTTCCTCAGTGGTACATGAAAAGATTGGACTAATTATTTATAAAATTTCAGTCATTTTTATTAACTTTAGAATTTTATGATAGGTTTAGCAAGGTATCAGGAAAGATAATGAATATCTATTTCAGAAAACTTTGTATTGTCAGCATATCCTTTATTCAACATGCTGAATACAATTTTAGATCACAAATCTCTTATAGATTGTTAACTTCTCAGGAAATTAGAAACAGCTTTTTAAACTTCCTTTATGCAGGACTATGTAGGATGATGTGAGGGTTCTTCACGCACAGCAATTGCTGATGCCATTGACAATTGTGGCAATACCATTACTCTTCTTGATCTATGGGGGGAGGTGGTTGAAACCATGCAATAATAATAAGAGCAGTAGTGGGGGGAATGCTAAAAATGGTGGTGGCAGCAGTAGTAGCAACAGTAGCAGCAGATGGCTAGAAACACACCCTGACCTTCAACTCTTATGTCTGAATGTCGGATCAAAAATCAGAACACCGGTGCCATGAATATCAGACCTATTCCAATTTATTTTAGTGAGGAAAATCTCACCTTTTTCATCAAACTCTATAGCCAAATAAACTCTACATATGTGATTTTTTTTATCTTATCCTTAGACTAGACAGTAAAAGGGAGTCTAACTTAAAATTTGTTCATTTTTCTTTTCCAAAAATGCTATTCTATAGATATTAAAATAAGAGTTTCAGAGAATGTCTAATAGCAGAGAAAATGCACTTGAAATATTGTTAACTGAATATCTGTATATATATGTGTGTGTGTGTATATATGTGTGTATATATGTATATGTGTATATATGTATATTTGTGTATATTCGTATGTATATATGTGTATATATGTATATATGTGTATATATGTGCGTATATGTATATATGTGTATATATGTGTGCATATATGTATATATATATAGTCTAATTATTTAAAACTCATATTGTCCGTGTATGTGTGTGAGAAAGAGGAAAATAAAATGAAAAATATATATATATCGGTTGGGTACAGTGGCTCACATCTGTAATCCCAGCACTTTGGGAGGCGGAAGCAGGCAGATCACGAGGTCAAGAGATCGAGACCATCCTGGCCACCATGGTGAAACCCCGTCTCTACTAAAAATACAAAAATTAGTTGGGCGTGGTGGCACGTGCCTGTAATCCCAGCTTCTCGGGAGGCTGAAGCAGGAGAATCACTTGAACCCAGGAGGCAGAGGTTGCCATGAGCCAAGATCACCCCACTGCACTCCAGCCTCAGCGACAGAGTGAGGCTCCATCTCAAAAAAAAAAAGAAAAAGAAAAAGTAAAAGAAAATATATCAACATATTTTATTAATTATCATCTATGGGTTGTAGAATATTATAAGTGACTTTTCCTCTTTTAGTTGATTTGTCTCTAAGTTGTTACAAAACATTTTTCTATCTTTTATCATAAGGAAAAAAAACAAGCAATGAGTGTTATAGGAAAATCTGCTTAAGGTTGAACGTACCATTTCAAGGACGTGTCAGCAATACAAAAAGGACAAGATTGCAAAATCTGCAGTGGGGTAGTATAGCTGGCCTTGTCACCTTGCAATAGGTCTATCAACGTTGCATGATATTTGAAGCTGATGTGGACACAGAAAAAATCTTTCGATTGACAAGAGGAAAATTGCAGTGTATGTCTTTATTATCAGAGCAAACATTAAAGGGGGTGGTGACAGCAGATACAGAGAAGTGTCCCTTACCAGGTCCCATGCTATTTCCCTGTTTTGTATGGTCTTTTTTGTTCTGTGGATGCGTAAAAGCTGTTACTTCATTATTTTAGGTATTACATTTTCAGTGTCTTGGAAAGTGGTTTTACAAAAGTTTTCCATAACAAAGATTTTGAGGGAAAGAGATGTTGTGGTTTGACTTCCCAATGGGGAATATAGATAGATAGATAGATGATAGATAGATAGATAGATAGATAGATAGATAGATAGATAGATAGACAGATAGATGATAGATAGATAGAGATAGAGATAGAGATAGAGATAGAGATAGAGATAGAGATAGAGATATAAACTGACACGATGTCTTTTACTTTCAGAAATCGTTAAGCTGCCAGGTATAGTATCAACAATCCTAACCAAATTCATCTGGTTACATTTGCAAAGTAATCCTAGGCACAGTAATAAAGCAAAAAACTGCCTGCTGTGTTCCAGCCACGGATGTTAAGTAAGGATAAGCAGGACGGCCAAAACTGACACTCCTATTTCACTGGTCAAAAAAAAATATGAAAGAAATTACACATTACTGTAGGGGGGTGTTGCTCCATAAGACAGTAATTCAGATCTATATTAGACTTTTGGACATATTATTCAAGGTTACTGGATTGAAGTTTGCTTTATGGGACATAAGAATTCCCTACACTGCTAAATTAAAGTAGCTTAAGTTGGCAGCTTATATATAAAATAGAAAACTAGAATGCGACAAAACAAATATTTGGACAACACCTAAGGAAGAATTATGCTCTGTATTTAAAGAGATTTTTAAGTTCCAAAACTAAAAGGCCTATTTGTAGAGGCAAGTGAATACATCATTGTATAAGATGTAGTCAGATATAAGTGGCTGTGAAACTAGCTCATGGCAAATGCATTGTGCTGTTTCTACACAGACTTGTCCTGACCAAAGGAATTAGGACAAATGAGGAAACAAACTTAATGTGGAGAATTGTTTTTTTTAAAATGTCCATGTATTTCTTAACATATTAAATATTAAATATATACACACCATAGAATCTAGTCATTCTACTTGTTAGTATTTACCAAAGAGGAATAGAAACACATATTCACACAGACTTGTATACAAATATTTATAGCAGATTTATTTGTAATATCCCAGTAGTGAGAACAACTCAAATCTTAATCAACAGATGAATTATTTAACAAATGGTATGCCCATTTAATGAAATATGATTCAGTAATAAAAAGGAATAAATTTGATTAAAGCAACAATATTTATGGATCTAAAAATAATTATACTGAGTAAAAGAAGCTAAATAAAAACACATACTGTATGTATTAGTCTGCTCTCACACTGCTATGAAGAACTACCTGAGACTGGGTAATTTATGAAGAAAAGATGTTTAATCGACTCACAATTCCACAGGCTGTGTAAGAGGCATGGCTGGGGAGGCCTCAGGAACCTTACAATCATGGTGGAAGGTAAAGGGGAAGCAAGCACATCTTCACATGGAGCAGGAGAGACAGAGCCAAGGGGGAAGCGCTGCACACTTTTAAACAACCAGATCTGGTGAGAACTCATTCACTATCACGAGAACAGCAAGGGGGAAGTCCGCACACACGATTCAATCACCACCCCCCCAGGCCCCTCCTCCAACACATGTGGATTACAATTCAACATGAAATTTGGGTGGGGATACAGAGCCAAACCATATCACTGCATGATTCCATTTATATAACATTCTAAAACTTGCCAGTCAATCTGTAGTGGCAGAAATCAGATCTGTGGTTATTTGAGAGTTGGTGGGAGGAGTGAACAGATTGTGAAGGGGTATGAGTAAGCTTTTGGGTTTGATATATGGGTTCCTTATCTTGATTATGGTGATAGCCTTGGGGTTTTATACATAAGCCAATAAAACATATTAAATTGTATATTTTAAATGTGCATTTTATTAAATGTTATGCCTCAATGCTGTCAAAAATGTGAAATGCCTATATGAACTCTTATTACATAGTGTAACATTGTTTGGCAAAATACTATATTATATATGCTACTAATATAATATAGTATAGCTGAAGTTCTGTTGAATAAATACATAAAAGAAGTAGTAATGCTACAAGATCATTTTTAATCAATTAATATACACACTTATTTTCTATTTTAAAAAATGAACTTGATTTTGCAGCAGGGGACCACATATTTTGTTGTTGAGTAATGAAAGATGAGCTTCAGTTGAGAGACACCTTGTTCATGAGTCCTCTCACCAGAGGAACTTAGAGATCAAGAAACATTGCAGCTTTTAGTAAGCATGCTACCAAATGTAGGCTTTTCTATATGGATGTGAATGTGAAAGGACCACTAATAAGGCTGGCAATATGGCAGCAAATGTGATTCTCCTATCACTTTATAGTGTTTATGAAATATCAAAGCAAGTTTCATTTAAGTCAATGGTTTTCAAAAGTAATTTAAGTAGTAAAACCATTTTTAATAAAATTATAGAATGCCAATATTATTGACAACTATATAAGAGTACTATGGAGCTATCCTAAGTAAGCCATAACACCACGGAGCTGGTGTGTGTGGATATACAGTGTGAAGTCTGGATCATCAGGCCACTGGCCCTGCCCGCCTTCTAAAGCAGCCCAAGAGAGAGACCACAGCTGAGGGACCACCATGCTGTGTAACCTGGGAGAGTTACCGTCAGATGTTTGATTATGTCTGACTGAATTGGCATGGACCAACTTTTAGTTAAACATGGAGGATTTAAGAAAATTATGCACCTATACTTCCTCTTATATACGACTAATTTGACTATAGTTTATTTAAAAATATACCAGAGTTAAGTAATAATAAAGCAATTACAAATAATCATTGTAATAAGTACAGGTGGCATCTACTGGATTTCATCAGCTTTCCTTATGTCTTTGCTTTGTCCTATTTTTTTTTAGGAACCTCCCTCTCTGTTACTACTCCCTTTGGATTTATCCAGTAGTCTTAGACGTCACCAGGGCCAAGCCATGCATATATAGATTGAAATGTTGTTTTCAAAACCTACTCAAGCTATCTCTTGATGAACAAGATTAGTACCATCTGATTACAACCCTGAAGGTATATGCTAAAGAAAACTAATAATAACATATACTATTCTTAAAATCAATCATTCTTTTTACAACATGACCGAAATAAGTCCCAGGCACTCTTTAGCTATGCTCTGTCCTCTCTTTTGGAATAATCTTTTCTTCCCTTCTAACCGTCACCTTATATTCTTATCTTTCCACCTATTCAAAGTAATTTAGTATGTCAACAATGTTTTTTCTAACATTGTTCTGTCTTAGAACTTTTTCTCCCTGCAGATCTCATCCACTATGCAGAAACCAGTAATAATCATTTGTCTCTGTAAAGGTGACTTTGTTTTAAAATTAGTTTTACAATGAGAGAGCTGATCTACTTTGGAAAAGGATCACTGTTATCAATGTGGCAAGATGAAAAAGCATGCCATATTCTATCTACTTGGTTTAATTGAACCAAGCATCAGCTTGGTTTAATTGAATTAACCGCAATGACTGTGTTTGTGTGTCACACTATTCTTTTTATATTTATATTTATTATTACTATTTTTTAAGAGAGACAGGGTCTCCCTATGTTGCTCAGGCTGACCTCGAACTCCTGGGCTCAAGCAATCCTGCCTCTGTCTCTCAAAATGCTGGGATTACAGGGGTGAGCCACCATGCCCAGCCACACTATTCTTTTTAAATTTAAAGATATAAAACATTGATTTTTATTAAATTTTAAAACAGAGAACTTTTAAATAGATACAGATTACATTCAGCAGGTATTCATGGATTACCTACTATGTATGAAGTACAGTATGCTAGGTATGGTGGGACTGTCATAAATTAGATGAGGATACCACCATTATGAAGCTAATGTAACATTGCCCAAGTTCTGTGTACTGTTTTATTCAAAACTTCATGAATATTGAAACAGTGTTCACATTTTTCTATCAACATACAGTATTATTTGTAAGATGAAATTGTTAAATTTAATTACAAAGTGTTCAGTTTGGTTTGTTTTGCTAGACACCCTACAAGCTGTTCCTATTACTCTCTCTCACTCTAATGTTTACAAATTGTTATAGCTTAGTGCTAAAGTGAACAGCAGAGTACTCTTCAAGATTTTCTAGGATCTTGCAGACAAATGTATACATATATTTTTTACTCCTCATGCTGTTTTATCACTTTTTGATCCCTCCTAGGGGATTAGGCTGTGTAATTGTAAAGCTTTTTTAGGCTTTAACTATGGATTATTTGTATAATGAAAAAATAAGATAACTTATATTATATATTGAACTGAGTAAGGGGTAAATTCAGTCATTCTTAGGTAAAAAGACAGGATAATTAGGTTCTCATTCTTGTTTTTCATTCGTTCATGTATTCAATCAATTTTTTTTATTAAATAAGCACTCATTAATATGCCAGATACTGTGGTAGTTGCTGATGAGGAACCAATAAAGAGCCCATGTGGTATCAAAGGGCTTTCCTGTCTAATATTTATTTATTCTGTTACTCTGGAAAACTTATTTGGCATCTGGTTTCATATATTGAAAAATAAAGATAGCTGTCTCTGCCTTCTTTATGTTCTATATTTTACCTCTTTCTCATTGTAAACTTTGTATGGTCAATGGAGAAGGATGTGGATTCAACTCTGAATATACACTATGTAAGGCACACTTTTCATTCTCGTGTGAAACTAGTTTTATAACTCAGCTCAGAGCACACAGTAGGTTCTCACTAAAAATTTTATCTTCCTTCTCTTTTTTCTTTTCTAAGATGGTAGTGTAGAAGATAAGTTGATACCATGCACATTCAAATAATTAATTTTAAATTATGATAAACCATGGATAAGAAGTTGTGTAGCATTAATCATATTAAATTCCTTCAATTGTGATGTACCTATCTTATAGGGTTGTTGTGAGGAATATATGACAGTAATGTAAAGTACTGAATATAGTGCCAAGAACACAATAAATGCTCAGTAAATATTAGCTATCATGTCATTCTGACTTATGTCAATAAATATTAAGTATACTGTCTAGTTAATACTGTTAGAATTACATTAAATAAATAATGTAGAAAATTTGTCCTGGTCCAGTTATCTACTGACTAGGTGACCTTAATTATGTCTTTTTTTGTTAACTTTTAGAGTCTAGATTCCTTATTCTGCAAAATGGATTTATTGTATCTCAAGGCACTGTGAAGTTTGCAGTAGTAAGTTATATGAAAATTTTTAAAGCATTATGATTATAAATAATATGATTATAAATTGGAGAACAGCTGCTAACACAATTAAGAAATTTAAAAATATTATTGCTTTTTTACTTTCACTCACATTTTGTTTTGTTAGATAATTGAAAACACTAAGAAGTAACTTTTAGAGAAGCTAGGTTGTACCCAGACAGTGAAAGTTTAAATAAGTTTTAAAAACTGAAAACTATTTTCTCTTTAAAAGGCATGTATAGGCAAAAAGGAAAGTCCAAAGAGAGGAAAAGAAAGCAGGAGAGATCTGAAATGACACAAGAAGTGACTCAGAATGGGAAGATTGTGCACTCCTTGTTGTCCCCTAATGCACATGGAAGTATGCAACAGAAGCTGTGAAAATAACCCAGGTGCGAAGGCCAATGGTTTTCATACATTTCAAGCTTCTCTCCGTGATGTCCTTTTCCATGTAAAATCTAAATCAGGTGTCCTATATACATAACATGAAATGGAGATGTAATGCAACTGAAGCTAGGAAACAAAAATCTTGCCTACTAGCCTTCTCTCAAACCAGTGATCAGAACCCTGAGTTATTTCTTTGAGAGACTAAGTACAACACAGAAGCTCAAGCATAGAAATTAAGAGTTAAAATTATGTCAAGTTTCTTCACTGAAAAAGATCCCTATTAGCCTTTGACCTAATTTTGTTAATTTATAATGGAAGTTAACAATCACTAAATGTTATTGCTTATAAATCTCTTTACCTAATTTAAAACACTGCTAGTTGTAGCTAGAAATAGGTATTTCTTTATTTCTTTTAGCTATGTATTCCTTCAAAAGAAGCTCCAGACTTTTAAAATTGCACCACCTCAGTATTTCCTCAGTTTCTTTTTTTAATACAACATACATACACACACACACACACTATCTTATATATACTAGCTTAATAAATCACATGGTATTTTAGAACAGATCAAAACTTGGAATAATCATGTGGGAAAAAAGTTGTAGCCAGGTGCAGTGGTTCATGCCTGTAATCTCAGCACTTTGGGATGCCAAGGCAAGTGAATTGCTTGAGGTGAAGAGTTCAAGAGCAGCCTGGGCAACATGGTGAAACCCCTCTCTACAAAAAATTAGCAAGGCATGGTGGCACATGCCTGTGGTCCCAACTACTTGTGAGGCTGAGTTGGATAGATCGCTTGAGCCCTGGAAAAAGAGGTTGCAGTAAGACCACACCACTGCACTCCACCTGTCCAGCCTGGGTGACAGAGTGAGACCCTGTCTCAAAAAAAAAGTTGCTGAGGTTTACCAACTTTTTAAAATATTTGCTCTTAGACAACCAGTAAAATTGTTTCTGGTACAAAAGATGTTCATGGTTTCCTTCCAATTACAAATTAAAACATATTGCTATGGTTTTGTTATAAATACTTAATCACATAAATGACAACTTCCCACACAACCAGATTGAAACATGACACCAGTGTTATACTTATCAGGCAGAGAATTTAAAATACTACTCTTAATAAAGGCTAGAATGGAAAAACAGATAACAAACAAAAGGTAGTGGGTAATATAAATAGAGAGATGAAAACTCTAAGAAAAAAATCAAAAGGAAATATAAAAATTCAAAATCACTGTAACAAAAATGAAGAGTGCCTTTGATAGGCACATCAGTAGACTAGACACAGCTGAGAAGAGAATCAGTGAGCTTGAAATTTGTCATTACCTACTTCCCAAATTGAAATGTGAAGAGAAAAAAAATTACTTAATAAAGAGCATCCAAGGAGTGTGGAACAATTAGAAAAGGTGTAACATACATTACATGTAATAGAAGAAAGAAAAAAGAAAATGAAGCAAAAGAAACATTGAAATGATAATGGCTGATCGTTTTCAGCAATTCATGATGTATAACAAACTATAGATAGATGAACCTCAGAGAAGACCAAACGGGATAAATACCAAGAAAGTACAGCCAAGCATATTATATTCAACTACAGAAAACCAAAGACATCTTGAAGAAGTCAGTGAAAAAAGGATAAGAATGATAGGATACTTATAATCAGAAACCATGTGTAAACCATTTTCATACTGCTGATAAAGACATACCAAAGACTGGGCAATTTACAAAAGAAAGATGTTTAATGGACTTACAGTTCCACATGGCTAGGAATGCCTCACAATCATAGCAGAAGGCAATGAGAAGCAAGTCACATCTTACATGGATGGCAGCAGACAAAGAGAGAGCTTGTGCAGGGAGAACTCCTCTTTTTAAAACCATCAGATCTTGTGAGACTCATTTACTATCATGAGAACAGTGCAGGAAAAACCTGGCCCCATAATTCAATCAACTCTCACCAGGTTCCTCCCATGACATGTGGGAATTGAGGAGTTAAAATTCAAGACGAGATTTGGTTGGGGACACAGCCAAACCATATAATTCCACCCCAGCCCCTCCCAAATCTCAGTCCTCACATTTAAAAACCAATCATGCCTTCCCAGCAGTCCACAAAAGTCTTAACTCATTTCAGCATGACTCAAAAGTCCACAGTCCAACATCTCATCTGAGACAAGGCAATTTCCTTCTGCTTATGATCCTGTAAAATCAAAGGCAAGTTAGTTACTTCCTAGAAACAATGGAGGTTCAGGCATTGGGTAAATACAGCAATTCCAAATGGGAGAAATTGGCCAAAACGAAGGGGCTACAGGCACCATGCAAGCGTGAAATCCAGCAGGGAAGTCAAACCTTAAAGCTCCAAAATGATCTCCTTTGACTCCATGTCTCGCATCCGGGTCATGCTGATGCAAGAGGTGGGTTCCCATGGTCTTGGGCAGCTCCGTCCCTGTGGCTTTGCAGGGTACAGGCTCCCTCTCGACTGCTTTTATGGGCTGGCATTGAGTGTGGCTTTTCTAGGCACAGGGTGTAAACTGTCAGTGGATCTACCATTCTGGGGTCTGGAGGATGGTGGCCCTCTTCTCACAGATCCACTAGACAGTGCCCCAGTAGGGACTCTGTATAGGGGCTCTGACCCCACATTTCCCTTCTGCACTGTCCTAGCAGAGGTTCTCCATGGGATCCCCACCCTGCAATAAATTTCTGCCTGGACAGCCAGGCATTTCCATATATCCTCTGAAATCTAGGTGGAGGTACCCAAACCCAAATTCTTGACCTCTGTGCACTGGCAGGCTCAACATCATGTGGAAGCTGACAAGGCTTGAGGCTTGCAACCTCTGAAGCCATGGCCCAAGCTCGACATTTGCCCCTTTATTCATGGCTGGAGCAGCTGGGAGGCAGGGCACCAAGTTCCTAGGCTGCATACAGCACAGGGACCCTGGGCCTGGCCCACGAAACCACTTTGTCCTCCTAGGCCTCCAGGCCTGTGATAGAAGGGGCTCCCATGAAGACCTCTGACATACCCTGGAGACATTATCCCCATTGTCTTGGTGCTTAACATTTGGCTCCTCATTACTTACGCAAATTTCTGCAGCTGGCTTGCATTTCTCCTCAGAAAATGGGATTTTCTTTTCTATCGCATTGTCAGGCTACACATTTTCTGAACTTTTATGCTCTGCTTCTCTTATATAACTGAATGCCTTTAACAGCACCCAAGTCACATCTTGAATGCTTTGCTGCTTAGAAATTTCTTCTGCCAGATACCCTAAATTATGTCTCTAAAGTTCAAAGTTCCACAAATCTCTCTAGGGCAGGGGCAAAATGCTGCCAGTCTCTTTGCTAAAACATAACAAGAGTCACCTTTGCTCCAGTTCCCAACAAGTTCCTCATCTCCATCTGAGACCACCTCAGCCTGGATTTCATTGTCCATATCATTATCAGCATTTTGGTAAAAGCCATTCAACAAGTCTATAGGGTGTTCTAAACTTTTCCACACTTTCCTGTCTTCTTCTGAGCCCTCCAAACCATTTCAACCTCTTCCTGTTACCCAGTTCCAAAGTCACTTCCACATTTTCAGGTATCTTTTCAGCAGCACCCCACTGTACTGGTACCAATTTACTGTATTAGTCTGTTTTCACACTGCTGATGAAGAAATACTTGAGATGGGGCAATTTACAAAAGAAAGAGGTTTAATGGACTTACAATTCCACATGGCTGGGGAGGCCTCACAATCATGAAGGAAGGCAAGGAAGAGCACGTCACATCTTACATGGATGGAGGCAGGCAAAGAGAGACAGCTTGTGCAGGGAAACTCCTCTTTTTAAAACCATCAGATCTCATGAGACTCATTCACTATCACAAGAACAGCACAGAAAAGACCCACCCTCTTAATTCCATCACCTCCCACTAGGTTCCTCCGATGACACATGGGAATTGTGAGAGTTACAATTTAATATGAGATTTTGGAGGGGACACAGCCAAACCATATCACCAAATAAGAGAGTAGAGTAAATTTTTTGAATTGTCAATTAGGAAAAAGAACTCTACATTTCTACACACAGCAAAATTATTCTTCAAAAACGAAGAAGAAATAAAAACTTTCTCAGACAAACAAATCTTGGAAAATTCATCACCAGCACATCTGCCCTTCAAGAAACATTAAAAGAAGTTCTTCAGTGAGAAGGGAAATGATGTGTTAGAAACTTAGATCTAAAAAAAGAACATCAGAGAAGCACTAAATGAAGGTAAAATTAAATCTTTTTTTCTTATTTTTAATTGATCTAATATGTAACATTTGTTCAAAATAATACTAGTAACAATATATTGTATGATTGTAGCATTGAGGTAAATTAAATGAATGATAGCAATATTATAAAGAGTTGAGGGGAGGAATTGAGAATACTGTATTGAAAGATGACCCTACTACCCAGAAAGCAGTTTTATGAAAGTGGACCTAATTGTAAATGTATATTGCAAACTCTAGGGCAAGTACTCAGTTTTTTAAGAAAAGTATAAGTTATATGCTGACAATAAAAAACAAAATAGAAACCATATGCAATGATTAAAACTAGAGAAGGTAGAAAAGAAAAAAGAAATGAAAACAACAGAGGTAATTCATAGAAAACAGAAATACTAATAATCACTTTAAATGTGAAAGGTCTGCAGCATCATTTAAAAGACAGAGATGTTCATGCTTAGAATGGAGTATTCTTCATAAATATAAAGAAATGAACTATCAAGCTATGAGAACACCTGGATGAACTTTAAATGCTTATAGCTGGGTGAAAGAATCCCACCTGAAAAGGCTACAGACTATATGATCCCAATTGAACAGTATGTTGAAAAGAACAAAACTAGAGGAACAGTAAAACAATGAGAGACTGCCAATGATTCAAGGCGAGAGGAGGAGGATTGAATAGGTGAAGCGCAGGCCTTTTTTGACTGGTAAATCAATTTTGTATATATTAATGGTGGATACATGACATACCTTTGTCAAAAGCCATAGAAATTTACAGCACAAAGAGTAAACCTCAATTATGTAAGTTTTGAAAAAATCATTTAGGAGGGCTAGGATCCTAGGAAAGAATGCAAAGTTTGACAACATTATTTACACATGTTCTGATTGTAACAAATAATCTCACTGTATGGGGTATGGAGAGGGAAAAGTTGCTGATCTAATAAACTTTGAAAATTAATGTAATCCATAAGACTGAAGTCAAAAGGAATTACCAGTAAGCAATATGCTGCACTTGATAAAGCTACTTTCCATAAGGGTACAGGTTAATGATTCTCATAATGTTATACTAGTGTACTGAAATTAAACAGTTAGGTAAACAAATGATGGTGATGGGAGTCAGGTTTTTCATTGTTAGAATAGAAGTTTATAGATGAACAAGGGAAGAAGGCTAGAATATAAATTCATGTTTAGCTAAATATAGATACAGATGTAGAAACATTTATGGACATGTGGATTTACCTTAGTTAGTATGCACACATATATTCCCTTGCTCTGTCAGCTGTCACCTAAAAGAAATGACACCTTAGCAGCAACAAGCATGGCTGACACTCAGATTTTGGTTTCTGATACCATTCACCAATAAAGGGGCCAGGGCTCCTTAGAGAAATGCTAATTCTACGACTGGGAAGGAAATATATAGAAAGAACCTGAAGTATTAGATACTGCCAAAAAATAAGGAAGAACTAAAAAATTTAAATCTGCAAGTACACACTGAAAGAGTTGTCAATAGCCATATCTGGAATAATTTGAGCAGTAAAATAAACAAAGCAATATGGAATTCTAACCCAATGTATAAACTAAATATCCATAAGTCCATAGTGATAGAAATAAATGACTGAATATATAAATAAATTGAAGAACATATACAAATATACCCTGAAAAGCAATTCCAAGTAAATTCCAAATAATTCCAAAGTATTATATAGCCTGCCCTCAAGGAGCGGAAAATAACTTCCACTCCTTAACTGTGGGCTACATAGTGACTTCTGTCCAGGGTAGAGTGTAGAAAAGGGGGAAAATGGCCGGGCGCGGTGGCTCACACCTGTAATCCCAGCACTTTGGGAGGCCGAGGTGGATGGATCACGAGGTCAGGAGATAGAGACCATCCTGCTGGCTAACACGGTGAAACCCCGTCTCTACCAAAAATACAAAAAAATTAGCCAGGCTTGGTGGCGGGCGCCTGTAGTCCCAGCTACTTGAGAAGCTGAGGCAGGAGACTGGCGTGAACCCAGGAGGCGGAGCTTGCAGTGAGCTGAGATCGCGCCACTGCACTCCAGCCTGGGCGACAGAGCAAGACTCTGTCTCAAAAAAAAAAAAAAAAAAAAAAGGGAAATAAACTTTATAGTGTAGATACTACAACCTCAGCCAGGTCATCAATGTCAACATCAACAGCAATACCTAATATCAATACTTGAAATGATATGATAAAAATGGTACTTTTTCTCACTGGTCTTCCTCCCAAAACCACATATTCCCAGACTAATCATAAGGACAAACTCACAAATTCCAATAAAGTGACATCCTACAAAATCTCTTATCTGTATTCCTGAAAACTGTCAAGTTCGCAAAAACAAGGAAAGTCTAAGAACTGTCACAGCCAAGAAAAGACTAAGGAGGCATGACTATTAAACGCAATGTAATATCCTAGATAGAGGGCTAGGAAAGGAAAAGGACATGAGATAAATACTAAAGAAGTCTGAATAAATCATGAACTTAATATTACAATGTGCACTTATTAATTTTTAACAAAAGTACTATATGAATGAAGATGTTAATAATAAGGGTATAAGCCATATGGGAACGCTATGTTCTATCTTCTCAATTATTCTGTAAAACTAGAACTGTTTTGCCTGTAATTCCAGTACTTTGGGAGGCCGAGGCGGGCGAATCACGAGGTCAGGAGTTTGAGACCAGCCTGGCCAACATGGTGAAACCCCATCTCTAATAAAAATACAATTAGCTGGGCGTAGTGGCAGACGCCTGTAATCCCAGCTACTTGGGAGGCTGAGGCAGGAGAATCGCTTGAAACTGGGAGGCAGAGGTTGCAGTGAGCTGAGATCACACCACTGTCCTCTAGCCTGGGTGACACAGCAAGACTCCATCTCAAAAAAAGAAAAGAAAAACAGTTAGAACTGTTTTATAAGATAAAGTATTTTCTTAATTCAGGAACTAACAAGGTAGAACATTAACATACAAAAGTTACTAATCTTCATATACACAAACAATAATCACTTAGTCAATATAGAGAAAAGAAAATAATCTGTTTACAAATGCAATAGAAATAACAACTTATTTAAAAATAAATTTGGAAAAAATGAGCTAAATTTCTCTGAGAAAAACTTTCAAATATGCCAGGTCCACATAAAAACCTGCACATATATTTATAGCAGCTTTATTCATAACTGCCAAAAATTGGAAGGAACCAAGATCTCCTTTGGTAGGTGAATAAATAGATATACTGTGGTACATCCAGACAATAGATATTATTCAGTGACACAAGCATGAAAAAAAAGCTGCCAAGCCAGAAAAAGACATGGAAGAAACTTAAATGCATATTACCAAGTGAAAAAAAAAGCCAGTCGGAAAAGGCTACATACTGTATGATTCCAACTATATGACATTCTGGAAGAGGCAAATTATGGAGACAATAAAGATCAACAGTTGCCAGGGCTTAGAGGGAGGGGATGTATAGGCAGAACACAGAAGGCTTTTAGGGCAGTTAAACTACTTTCATTACATTATGATGGTGTTTAATGTCCAAACTCATAAATTATACAACCAAGAATACACCCTGATGTAAGGTACAGATTTTGGGCAAAAATTATGTGTCAATGTAGGTTCACCAATTGAAACAAATGTACCCACTCTGGTGGAGGATGTTGATAACGGGAAAGGCTGTGTGAGTTTGTGTGTGTGTGTGTGTTGTGGAGGCTATCTCTGTAACTTTTATTCAATTCTGCTGTGAACCTAAAAAATAGTCTGTTTAAAAAAAAAACAAAAAACAAAAAAAAAACTTGGCTGGGCGCAGTGGCTCATGCCTGAAATCCCAGCACTTTGGGAGGCCGAGGAGGACAGATCACCTGAGGTCGGAAGTTCAAGATCAGCCTGACCAACATAGAGAAACACCATTTCTACTAAAAATACAAAATTAGCTGGGCGTGGTGGCATATGCCTGTAATCCCAGCTACTCGGGAGGCTGAGGCAGGAGAATTGCTTGAACCTGGGAGGTGGAGGTTGCAGTGAGCCGAGATTGTGCCATTGCACTCCAGCCTGGGCAATAAGAGTGAAACTCTGTCTCAAAAAACAAAAACAAACAAAAAACTTCTATTAAGGTACAGGCAAGCAGCAAGCTACTCTCACATTGGGCCTCTGGAATACTGGCAGGATGAAATTCCTCAACCACCATGGCATTGGAGTTGCCAGGGAAAGCTGCTTAGAGAAGTGGTAGGATCAGAACTCCAGCCAGGGTGGAGCCCAGAGGGTTTGGTGTGGGATTGTCTGTAGTGCAGCATGGCCAGGGACACCCATCACCTTAAGCTCGACTTGCTTCCATAGGAGACTTTAGCCATAGGAGAACTGTTGAACGTGAACTCTGCAGGGCGGTCTTGCCTCTGAGATGGGGTTGATTAGACCTGGGCAACCCTCAGTCTACTGGCCTCTTCTGGGGCCCCAGCCTGGCCGTGCCTGCTTGCAGTGCAGCCCCCAGGTACCTGTGGGTGTCTGCATCATAGCTCCTGCTCTTGTGGACTGCACCTGATAAGCAGAGTGCTCCTGCAGAGTGGCCCCCAAGACACACACCAGGCCATCTGTGTCCTCCCCTCACTGCAGCCTCCCCCAGCCACTGTGCCTGCATGAACACACCATAGGCACCCCCCCACATCACTTAGCCAGTGCCTATGTGTGCCCTTGGGTTGGATCTTGCTTTTACTTCCCCGACAGTGCACATGAACCCTGCACTATGCCATGCCACTACTGCCTGCATGAGGGTACCCCACCACCCTTCTCCCCACCACACCACCATTGTCCTAGGAGCATTGGCAGGCATGAAACCTGCCTGCTTCACCTCTGCCAGCATCCTGCCCCTGTGCCAACACTGCCATCAGTGCTAAACTAGGCACACAGAACAGTGACCTGCCCCCAGCCCTGAGCGGCCACCATGCCAGCATGAACACATGCAGAGGGCACACATAGTCCTGCACCCACCACAAACATACAACACACCATAATCTCTGGGACATAGCTAAAGCAGTGGTAAGAGGGAAATTTGTAGCACTAAATGCCTACATCAAAAAGTTAGAAAGATCTCCAGCTCACAACCTAACATTACAATTAAAGGAACTAGAAAAGCAAGAGAAAACCCACCCCAAAGCTAGCAGAAGACAAGAAATAACTAAAGTGAGAGCTGAACTGAAGACTGAGACACGAAAAACCATTCAAAACATCAACAAAATCAGGATCTGTTTTTTTTTTTTGGAAAAATTAATAAGATAAACTGCTAGCTAGACTAATGAAAAGAAAAGACAGAAGATCCAAGCAAACACGATCAGAAACAGAAAGGGGAATATTACTACTGACTCCATAGAAATACAAAGAATCGGCCGGGCACTGTGGCTCACGCCTGTAATCCCAGCACTTTAGGAAGCTAAGGCAGGAGGATCGTGAGGTCTCGAGTTCGAGACCATCCTGGCCAACATGGTGAAACCCTGTCTCTACTAAAAATACAAAAAACGAGCCAAAAAATGAGCCTGGCATGGTGGCACGCACCTGTAGTCCCAGCTACTCAGGAGGCTGAGGCAGGAGTATTGCTTGAACCCGGGAGGTGGAGGTTGCAGTAAGCCCAGATCGCACCACTGCACTCCAGCCTGGTGACACAGCAAGACTCCGTCTCAAAAACAAACAAAAAAAAAAAAAAAAGAAAGAAATACAGAGAATCATCGGAGACTATTATGAACAACTCTATGCAAACAAACTAGAAAATCTAAAAGAAATGGATAAATTCCTGGACACAGACAACCTTCTAAGACTGAACCATGAAGAAACTGAATCCCTAAACAGACCAATAATGAGCTCTATAATTGAATCAGTAATAAATTGCCTACCAAAAAAAAAAAAAAAAGAAGAAGAAGAAAAGCCCTGGACCAGACGGATTCATAGCTGAATTCTACCAGACACACAAAGAAGAGCTGGTGCCTTTCCTACTGAAACTTTTCCAAAAAATTGTGGAGGAGGTGCCCCCTCTTCAACTCAATCTATGAGGCCAGCATCATCCTGAACCAAAACCTGGCAGAGACACAACAAAAAGGAAGACTTCCGGCCAATATCCTTCATAAGCATTGATGCAAAAATCCTCAACAAAATACCAGCAAAAATCCAGCAACACGTCAAAAAACTAACCCACCACAATCAAGAATGCTTTATTCCTGAGATGCAAGGTTGGTTCAACATATGCAGATCAATAAATGTGAACTAATGAAGAAAACATTCCATGCTCAATGATCACACTGCACAAAGTAATAATTTGTAGACTCAATGTTATTTCTATCAAACTACCAATGACATTTTTCAGAGAACTAGAAAAACTATTTTAAAATTCATATGGAACCAAAAAAAGGCCTGAATAGCCAAGGCAATTATAAACAAAAAGAACAAAGCTGGAGGCATCACATTACCTGACTTCAAACTATACTACAGGACTATGGTAACAAAAACAGCATGATACTGGTACAAAAACAGACACACAGACCAATGGAATAGAGAATAGAGAGCCCAGAAATAAGGCCGCACATCTACAATCATCTGATCTTCGACAAAGTTGACAAAAACAAGCAATGGGGAAAGGACTCCCTATTCAATAAAAGGTGCTGGGATAACAGGCTAGGCATGTGCAGAAGACTGAAACTGGACCCCTTCCTTACACAGTATACAAATATCAACTCAAAATAGATTAAAGACTTAAATGTAATACCTAAAATTATAAAAACCTTGGAAGAAACCTAGGCAATACCATTCAGGACGTGGGAAGGGGCAAAGATTTCATGACGAAGACACTGAAGGCAATTGCAACAAAAGCAAAAATTGACAAATAAGATCTACTTAAACTAAGAGCTTCTGCACAGCAGAAGAAATTATCAACAGAGTAAACAGACAACCTACAGAATTGAGGAATATATTTGCAAATTATGCAAATATTTTCTGACAAAAGTCTAATAGTCAGCATCTATAAGGAACTTATACAAATCTATAAGACAAAAGCAAACAATCCCATTGAAAAGTGGACATGAACAGACACTTTTCAAAAGAAGACATACATGCGTCCAATGAGCATAGGAAAAAAAGCTCAATATCACTGATCATTAGAGAAGTGCATATCAAAACCACAATGAGATACCATCTCACACCAGTCAAAATGGCTATTAATAAAAAGTCAAAAAATAACAGGTGCTGGCAAGGTAGTGGAGAAAAAGGAAAGCTTATACACTGTTGGTGGGAGTGTAAATTATTAGTTCAACCATTGTGGAAGATCTGATTCCTCAAAGATCTCAAAACAGAACTACCATTCAACCCAGCAATCCCATTACTGGATATATACCCAAAGAACTATAAATCATTCTGCCATAAAGGCATATGCATGCATATGTTTATTGTAGCAGTATTCACAATAGCAAAGACATAGAATCAAACTAAATGCTCATCAATGACAGATTTAATAAAGAAAATGCAGTACATATACACCATGGAATACTATGCAGCCATATAAAAGAATGAGATCATGTCTTTTACAGAAACATGAATGGAGCTGGAGGACACTATCCTTAGCAAACTAATGCAGGAACCAAAAACCAAATACCACATGTTCTCACTTATAGGTGGGAGCTAAATGATGAGAACTCATGGACACAAAGAGGGGAACGACAGACACTGGGGACTACCAAAGGGTGGACGGTGGCAGGAGGGAGAGGATCAGGAAAAATAACTGTTGGTTACTTGTCTTAGTACCTGGGTGATGAAATAATCTGTACAGCAAACCCCCGTGACACAGGTTTACCTATATAACAACCTGTACAAGTACCCCAGCACCTAAAATAACATTTTTTTAAAACTCCAGAACATACAAAATGTACTTGAAAAAAAATAGAAAGGCACCCCATGATCTACAAATAAACATCACAAATATGTAAATTCTCCTATGTTAATATAGTTGAATCCTATCCTAATAAAAATACTACAAGATACTTTTCTGGAATAAAACTTGTGGGAAAAATATCTAGCCATGTGCAGTGGCTAATGCCTGTAATCCCAGCACTTTGGGAGGCCAAGACAGGTGGATTACTTGAGGTCAGGAGTTCGAAACCAGCCTGGCCAACATGGCGAAACCCCATCTCCACTAAAAATACAAAAATTAGCCAGGCGTGGTGGCAGCCGCCTGTCATCCCAGCTATGGGGGAGGCTGAGACATGAGAATTGTTTGAATGGGGGTTGGAGGTTGCAGTGAGCCGAGATCACGCCATTGCACTACAGCCTGGTCGACAGAGTGAGAGTCTGTCTTAAAAAAAAAAACAAAAAACAAAAAACAAAAAAAACAGAAGAAAGAGAGAAATAAAGCGAGAAAGCATCTAAGAATATCCTGGAAAAAAAAAAAGTCGATGAAGCGGGATTAGCCCAATTAGAAATGAAAATATACACTAGGTGATCTGAAATCAGTCTATACTGGTTCTCATATCCACAGCACAATGTAACAATAAAAGAAAGTCTAGAAATAAATCTATATTTGGCAGGTAATAAGGATGAAATCTCAAAAATGTTTGAAAAAGGTAGACTTTTTTAAATGAATGAGGTTAGGAAAACTGTATACTCATTAGGCTTGACATAAAATGGATGTGAACAACATACTCTATAGCAGAATAAACTTCACATGAATTTTTAAAAATCTAACTTAATAGAAAAGTAACATACAGAAATAGAAGAACATCTGGATAAATTATTTACATCCTCATTTGGGTAAACTCTAGCAAAGACTCAAAATGCAATGCAATGAAATAAAAGATTGATAAATTCAACTACAGGCATATTAAACATTAATTGAATGACAAAAACACCACAGTCAAAATCAAACTATAAATAATTAGAAGAAAATATCGACAACATGCAACTCCGATAAAAAGCTAATATCTCTAAATGTATAAAAAACTCATAAAAACCAAGAAAAAAGAACATTAAAGTGATCTTCATTTTAAATAAGAGGTATTAAGACTCCACAAATATGTCATTTCCACCCTGTTAGACTAGCAAAAAATTTAAAATCTTAATAATACACTCTGTTGGTGTGGCTGTGGAGAAATAGCACTTTCATGCACTGGTGGTTAGATTGTAACAGTTATTTTTTCTAAGATACAAATCAATCTTTGGCAATTTCTATAAAAAATCTGTATGAGAAGTTCATTATTTGTAGATATTATAGAAAATATTAAAAACAAATTACATGGTTTACTATGTAGTACTAAAAATAAGATGAGGAAGATTTGTATGAGATAATTAGAAGTGATATTCAAGATGTTCAATTAAGTGGGAAAAACAAGTATAAGAATATATAGGTATCAGAAGCATTTTCTGTATGAAAGAAGGAAATTTAAGAATATTTGCTTTCAAACAGAAACATAGGGTAGATAATTAGTCATTAACCAAAATGGTTAACTACAAGATGCAGGTGTGAATGGATGAAAGAATTAAGAATGGGTATCAGACTTGTGCAAGCATGCGTTTGTATCTGTGGTGATTTTTTATTCATATAAAGGTCAAAATGTCACAAAATAAATACACATTTTTAAGACAGCAAACCATAAATTAAATATAAAAATAAGAATTGATCCTAATAGTTATTAACAGAGAAAAACAAAGATTTAAGTCAAGGAAATTTTGATCACAGTACTCTGTACACTCTTGGTTGGAAATATTATAACAAAAGAATCTTGAACTTTACATGGTAATGGTACTGGTAAAATGATTCTGAAAATATTTTGTGTGATTGTAGATAGAGTGAATGTTTAAAGATATTGTTGTATTGGAGAACTAGAATTCTTAATGTAAGAAGAGATACTGAACTGGAATGAAAAATGATAAGAAAATATTCTTGATCTTATATTTGAATAAGAGGTATTATTTTTCATAATGCAATATTTCTTAGCTAGTAACAGTAAAAGAATGACACCTCAATTGCAACAAAAACACATAACACCGAGGTTTTGATGACTAAATATAATTCTTCACTACAAGGAACTAGAACTGTTTGGAGATATGGTTCTTTCTGGCTAAGGTAATGTGTGCAATGAACGTTGAATATTTTGTTGGGCGAGAAGGCAAAAAAACTGCCCCAAACCTAGAGATCATGACTAAAAACACAGAGAAGCTAGTTTAAAAGTTCTCCCCTAAAAATGTTTGGGACAAATTAGCTAAAAAAATTAATGATTTCAGTAGTGTTAATGTATTAAATCATTTCATCAATCCCATCTGTAACAGTGAGAGAGAAATTGAAACAGCTTTTCTTTGTAGAAAAATCACAGCTAAAACATATAGAAAGAATAAAATAAAATCACTATTTTGCTACCAGTAATGTACTAATTGATTAAAGCAAGAATCATCAATGGATGCTAAATTCATTAGGTAAAAGTGTTGTTGAACAACAAGGATGTTACTATGATCTCTAAGTATCCTCAAGCAGATAATTAAGAACAAAAGAAAAAGTGTTTCTTCACAATGCGGAGATATTGCAGACACCGCCTTTACTAAGTAAAACCTATCTATCATTACTGAAACAAAATAGCTTGCATGCACTGGTGTTCTGCTAAATGTTTAACAATTGACTCTAAAACACATGCATATAAAAAGGGCAAAATGCTTATATAATATTTACAAATATTAATAGAAACGATATGTAACACAATTTTTTTTTTTTTTTTGAGATGGAGTCTTGCTCTGTCGCGCAGGCTGGAGTGCAGTGGTGCGATCTCAGCTCACTGCAAGCTCCACCTCCTGTGTTCATGCCATTCTGCAGCCTCAACCTCCCAAGTAGCTGGGACTACAGGCGCCCACCACCACGCCTGGCTAATTTTTTGTATTTTTAGTAGAGACGGGGGTTTCACCATGTTAGCCAGGATGGTCTCGATCTCCTGACCTTGTGATCCGTCCTTCTCGGCCTTCCAAAGTGCTGGGATTACAGGCGTGAGCCACCGCGCCAGGCCACGTAACACAATTTACAAATAACATATAATACTCTTTATTGTAAACTGCATATAATAAATCAATTCTCAAAGAATATTTTCAGTTTTATTGCCAAATTGTCTTCAATTCATGTTTTGGTTGTTAAGTGATGAATAAGTGTAGTTCTAACATGGATGTTGGTTAATATGTTTGTTTACCTTAATGAGTAAGACCAACAAAAAACAATAAAGATGTATGCCAGAACTTAATCATGGCATAAGCTACTTTTTACTAAATTGGATAATAGTTTTCAAACACTAAATAGTAATTTCTTCACTTTTTTTTTTTGGTGTTACAAGGTAATTGTTATACACACAGCAAAATATAAGTTTAGTCTACATTATTAACACTTTTCTCCATCACTTTCTGACAATCAGTATCATAAACCATGTTCTGATGTGTAGCATTTGCCAATTCTTGCAATGTAATTACTGCACAATGGCCTACTTCCAGCTATTAATGTGACATCACTGAAAGCGGAGTTTAGAAGAGAGCATTGTGTTGTATTATCTCCATGACAGATGTAAATTTGGTAAAATAATTAAGAAGGAATGAAATTTTAGTATCTATTACATTTGCTTAATACTTATTATTTGTGAGTTCACATAATTTTTTTTTTTTGAGATAGAGTCTCACTGTCGCCCAGGCTGAAGGGCAGTGGCATGATCTCAGCTCACTGCAACCTCCACCTCGTGGGTTCAAGCAATTCTCCTGACTCAGCCTCCTGAGTACCTGGGATTACAGGTGCGTGCCACCATGCCCAGCTATTTTTGTATTTTTTTAGTAGACATGGGTTTCACCATGTTGGCTAGGCTGTTCTCAAACTCCTAACCTCAAGCGATCTGCCCACCTCAGCCTCCCAAAGTGGCTTGAGCCACCGCGCCCAGCCTAGTTCACATAATTTAATGTTTAATAATGACCATGTTTAACAACTAGCTCAGAGACTTCTTGAGACTTTTTTTTAGCAATCAGCTTCCAGCAAACCACTGCTTTGACGTGACTCCTGTGCAACGCAATGAGGATACAATATCAGCTTCATAGCACTTCTACAAAAGATATTTAATCTTTTAATTATAAGGAAACAATCAGGAAAATCCAGAATGTTAGATATTCAAAAAGCCCTCTAGCTTGGAATCTTCAAAATTATAAATGTCATGGAATACCAAATGTAAAAAAACAAAGTAGGAGGACTGTTCTGGATTAAAGAAAACCAAGAGGCATGACAAGAAAACCCAATGCATGAATCTCAATTACATACAATGGCAGGGGGCAGGGACAGAAAAAAATTTAAAACTAAAAACAATACTTAGAGAAATTTGAATATGAACCATATATTAAATAATACAATATCAACATTAAATCTGTTAAGTATAATAATATTGAGGTTATACTGGAGAATGCCATTGATTTTATGAGATACGCGGAACAGCAAAAATAAGTTTGTGGACTGGGTTTGGTGCCTCATGCCTTAACCCCAGCAGTTTGGGAGGCTGAGGTGGGTGGATAACCTGAGGTCAGGAGTTCAGGATTAGCCTGGGCAACATGGCAAAATCCCGACTCAACAAAAAATTTACAAAAAAGTAAGTGGGCATGGTGGCACGTCCCTGTGGTCCCAGCTACTCTGGAGGCTAATGTCGGGGGATGGCTTGAGTCCAGGAGGTGGAGGTTGCAGTGAGCCAAGATTATGTCATTGTACTCCAGCATGGGCAACAGAGCCACATCCTGTCTTGAAAATAACAACAAAATTTTGTGCATAGATATATAAATAACAATAAATGATATATATCTATATAGAGAAAAAACAAAGAAAATAAAATAGTAAAACTTATTAAATCTAAGTAAAAGAACAAAATTACTCCAAAGAAAAAATAAAAGCCCGCAGTCTTTGAAAAGTATATGAAAGAAATAATAATAAACCCAAATATATGTATATATGTATGCATTAAATTTAAAATTTGCATTTTCAAAGACAAAGTTTGAAACTTTCTCCTTGAATCCAGAACAATTATTTTAGTTGCTATTTATTGAGCAACAGGTGTGGATCAAGAATCTGGCAATTTACTTTATCTATATTATCTCAATGCCTCCAACCACATGATGACATAGTAATTCTTATTGTTACAGATAACAAACTTTGAATACTGACTATCTTTGGGCAATGATATCATGCTATATAACCAACAATCCATAATGGTCAAAGAAAAATTGTTTCTATATGGCCTTGTATTTTGTTGAGGCAAAGAAAACAATAGTAGGCTTATTCATGATAATTCTTTATGTATTTTGCTCATTTGATGATAAAAATCCTTATTTAAAAGACGAATTGGGCTGGGCGCAGTGGCTCACACCTATAATTCCAGCACTTTGGGAGGCCGAGGTGGGCAGATCACCTGCCATCAGGAGTTTGAGACCAGCCTGGCCAGCATGGTGAAACCCGGTTGGTTTCACTTCTAAAAATACAAAATACAAAAATATTAAAAATACAGAAATCAGCCAGGTGTGGTGGCATGCACCTGTAATCACAATTACTTGGGAGGCTGAAGCAGAAGAATCGCTTGAACCCAGGAGGTGGAGGTTGCAGTGAGCTGAGATTGCACCACTGCATTCCAGCCTGGGAACAAAGGGAGACTGTTTCAAAATGAAATGAAATGAAATAAAAATAAAAGATGGATTGACAATGATCAAACATCTGGACCTTTACACATCACTCTCTCTAAATAAGAGTAATTTAACATTGGTCTTCATTTCTTCACAATTTCAAATTTCTGCACTATATGACCAGGAAAGCCAAAGTTTCCCCCAGGCTTTCTGGTCATGTTGTTTGCCTCTGCCCTGTGTGATTTTTCTCCTGACTCAATGAAGGGAATTCTAAAATCTGACAGATTAGCAATGAAATCTTTTACACCATTTCCTAAGATTCCTCTTAGATTTATGGCTGCACGCTTAGGGATATCATGATGCCGAAATGTTAGGCGAGAAATAAAACTATATTTTCCCCTTTCTTACTTCAGTGGAGCACAATTTCCATTTATTCACACTGTATTTCCTCACACAATATGTTCTTCCCACCCAAGGCTATAAATTTGAAAATATTTATAGGCAAGATTACCCCTGATGCCATTTATACCTTGATGGCTTTGTGTTTCAGCTCCTAAGAGCCACTCATATGTCATATGAATGGCTTACAACCATGTACTGCCTTGGATTTTTCCCTGTCAAATGCAAGGCCCTTCTTTGACTACAATACTCTTGATTCAATTTATTATTAATAACACACCCTGCTAATGACTTCAAAGAAAGCCTCTTTATGTGTGTTCAGAGGTTTCCCAACTCTTGCTTTCTAGGTTTTACAAGTCACTTTTAGATTTTGAGAGTGAGGGTTGTGTTCCCCCCTTTTCTCCTATATGTATTTTTATAAAAATATTCAAATTATGACATTTCTCACACTACAATAGACCATCATAATTGTCCCTCTCATTGTGTCATATTTTTCAAGTGAAGGACATGGACAGACACTGCAAGCATTATACAGCTCTGGGCGGGAATCAGGCAGACAGGCCTGTAGTTTGTACATAGAAATCCAGCCTCAGTCATCCTGAGATGATGTTTAGGTCAAACAAGAAGGGAATATCCTGGGTTGAACTCCAATAAAGAGACTTTGCCTTCGTCCGGTTCTCCCTTTTCCTGATGATTTTGTAAAGGGACTAGGAGGATCAACTGGGTATGTGGCAATGGGGGCTTTTGTGGTTTTGAAGGTGGCCTCATTAGTGAATATGAGTATCTTGTAACTGCACGCTCCATGTCTGGCATGTTGCATAGCAATCATTAAAGCAGCTATAAAACTTTCAGATATGTTGAGATTTTGAGCAGCTCCATTTATGCACAGAGTAGGGACCAAAATTCTAACTAACTAATCGCCACATAACATGAAGAGAGCTTAGAAATCCTAAAGAGAGAAAACCTATTAGTTGTTCCTCATCCTTCAAATTTTTGCACCAAAAGCAGAGAACCAGAGGAAATGCAATTTAACTTAATAGTAAACCCCCTTCAAGGAGATTAATTAATCCCTCCTCCTTTCAATTCTTTCCAGATGAATGTTGTTAAGTACCAATGTAATCGTATCTGGTATCTTTGAGGTATAGTGAACTCTGAGGAAGGTAATGTTAAGATGCATTTCAAGAGTATAAACAATCCACGAGCAAAGTAGAGAAAAAATTTAGTCTCCTGACATTTTATAATACAATTAACCTGAAGAACAGAGATCTATGTTACGATTTCTCTAATTTTATCTTTCTAATGATTTAAGCCCTATTCATAATGTCGTTAGGTATTGGGGTTTCCATTTGTCTTTATGTATTTGTTCTCTCCTAGCAATAAAATGACCTATTGTTTATTGGTCACTGTTGAACAACATACCTGAATAACTCTTTAGGAACATTCTGTCCTATTCTGCAAATCCCACATTGCATGGCTAAAAAGGAAATGCAGCCAACTCATTTGTAAAAGACCTATGTGAGGAAGTGCCAGTTGTTATTTTTAAACAATTTGTTATAACAGAAGTAGTTCTGACTTTTCTTCTTAATTGCTTGGATAGTTCATGGAGAGTATCTTCTCTCTTACTTTAGTCTATGCTTCTTTATGTTTTTATTTAAGAGATTTTGTCATTGTTGTTGCTGTTGGTTGTGATGATACTTGAGGAGAAGCAGGGTTTAAGAAACATCATAATCTAAGAACATTTCAATAGAAAATTTTCTGAGTCTGGGTACACTGGCTCACGCCTATAATCGCAGCACTTTGGGAGGCCGAGGCGGGAGGATCACCTGAGCTCAGGAGTTCAGGACCAGCCTGGGCAACATGGTGAAACTCCAACACTACTAAAAAAACAAAAATTAGCCTGGCATGGTGGTGCATGCCTGTAATCCCAGCTGCTCAGGAGGCTGAAGCATGAGAATTGCTTGAGCCCAGGAGGTGGAAGTTGCAGTGAGCTTAGATCATGCCACTTGACTCTAGCCTGGCAATAGAGTGAGAAGACTCTGTCTCAGATTAAAAAAAAAAAAAGAAAGAAAGAAAGAAAAATTTCTGAGAAAATGTTTAATTGCAGTATAGTTTGCTTAACAGTAATTAGTTTAATATTTAAAATTTCAAGAATGTTTGAGGTTAAAATTTACATTAAAGAATATTGTTATTTATACCAAAAAAAAGCAAAGAGATGACTCCCCAGAATTTAGGATTGAATGAAGATATCCTCAAACAGTTAAACAATTGTTAAACTGTAAAATCAACATATAATTTGCCAAGATCAGAGACATAAAAATTCTCCAATTATGGAGAAAATCTCCATCCTAAGACAGATGTATCTTAACTTGCCTCAACATATTTAAGTGAGATTTGGAGGGATGAGGTACAGATAAATATAGATTAAAGTTTTATTGTTTTTGTCATACTCCAGTGAATTGATTTTATATAAACGATAAATAATTTATTCATCTGATAGTGACAAAATATCCCCAAAATAACAGCACATATAAGAGAGGTTGACTTAAAATTGTACTTAGAGAGTCACTGAAAACAGTAAAACAAGCAAAACACTGTCTATTCGAATTCAAGCATTGCCAACAAATTGATGATAATGTGTATTCTGAGGCAGATGTTTCCTTATAGAGAAGATGGATAGCCCAGGTTATTAAAGATATATCCCATATGTCTTTCGCAATTATTGTCTCCATGTCTGTGGATTCTCTTTTTATTCTCTTGAAAGTGTCTTTCACAGAGCAGAAAGCTTACATTTTAATAAAGTCCAGCTTATCAATGCTTTCTTTCATGGATCGTGGCTTTGGTGTTGTACCTAAAACGTCTTTGCCAAAGCTGTTTACCTAGATTTTTCTCCTACCTTTTAGAAATGTTATAGGTTTGTATATTTATTTAGGTCTTTATCCATTTTTAGTTAGTGTTTGTAAAGCATATAAAGTCTGTGTCTAAATTCTTTTCATTTGTTTGTTACATGTAGATATCCAGTTGCTCCAAAACCATTTGTTGAAAAGACTATCTTTTCACCATTGTTTTGCCTTGACTCTTTCATCAGTGGTCAGCTGGCTTTATTTAGTTGGGTCTATTTCTGGGCTCTGTATTCTATTCCATTGATTTATTTGTCTATTATTTGACCAGTATGACACTGTCTTGATTATGGAAGCTTTATGGTAAGTCTTGAACTCAATGTTGGTCCTCCAACTTTTTTCTTTTCTTTAAATATTGTCTTGTCTATTCCAGGTCTTTTAACTCTACATATATACTTTCAAGTCATTTTGTCAATAAAATAACTTTCTGAGATTTTGATTGGGATTACACTGAATGTGTAGATCAAGTTGGAAATAATAGAGCCAGTTTTGAAACAGGATTTAAACAAGATCTGTTCAGCTCCAACATTAACCTTTTGCTATGACACTGTGACAGCAATTAAACAACCATAAATCACAGGTTAAAACTGATATATTTCAAAGACATTTTAAGAATTAGAGACCTCACCACAATGCATAATACTTGTTTTTGGGTAGTTTTCTTCAGTGAATTCTAATGCTATAGGTATTACTGGCAGAAATTTTCTAGGAAAAGAGCAGAGTATAAAAATAATAAATAAGACAAGCATATGGAAAGAAAAAGTCAGTTGCAGAGGAAGAAAAGTTAAAAGGATTGTGTCTTTTTAAGGCGGTGAATAATACTTAGTAGATCATCTCAAATGTTTCTGATTTCTGGCTCTGCTTCCAGAATAGCAATCCATTTTAAGCAGTTAAATACACTAAATTTCTGACAGTGTAATATACAATACTTTATGTATTTTATTGGAAAAATATTTTAATATATCTGGTCTCATATATTTCCTAATAGAATATACCACCACCATTATTATGGAACTCAATTATAAAAATATGAACCATTTGACAGAAATTGGCTATCCTGAAAAATTGGAATACATATGCATTATTGATCAAAATATGCTTACAGTACCAAAAAAGCATAGAGTTAGTTCAGTGTTTTTAAAGCTTGATATTATGATACCAAGCAATAGCCGCTGAAATAGAAAGGAGTATACTTTATAAAATTAAAATCAGGTTTTTAAAAAATTTTCTTCAGAGGGCTAACTGGTCCATAATTGTTTTTAAGTTTCTTGCTGAAAAATTGAAATAGGTCCCAGGAGAACTTATGGCACTGATAAAGTAAAACTGTCACTTTCCAGTTTGGTCGTCAAATATATCATCCCTCTGTCTATTACACACAGCAGTTCTGCCACAAATCTTGTTTCTACTCACAATTAATTAAGCAAAACTAAAATGTTTAAAGCTACCACAAATCAAATTTAATTTAAATGGCTACAATAACTTAAACAGAGATAAATGAAATGACTTTCTTATGCTTCATTACTTCCTCTAATTCCTTTTAAAACATTTCTGTAGAAGAAGTTCTGAGGATGAGGAGACAGGGGTGGACCAATGAGATTTCAATTAAACTACCAAAGTAATACCTTAACCGCAGGTGGTCCCAGGACCAGTTATTTCCACTTATTCCATTCCCTTTGCCACACAGACACTTTAATGTGAATTTTAAAGATATATATGTTACAATTTTCAGAGTCTGATTTATCTTAAAACTTTAAACCATATGACATTTCTAATGTAAAAATGTAATCTTGATTTAGGTGCTTAATTAAAAGGATGGCTGCTTTATTAATAACTCAATTATAAGTTTAAAATATGTCATAGTATAATCTAATGATTGTACTGTTTTCCCCCATGGGACCTTTAAATACACACAAAATAATTCTATGCCCTGATAGAATTCTATTTTTTGTTGTTGCTAAGACAATTTATTTTTGTTATTTCGTGACTTCACTGCATTTTATTGCATTTCTGTGATTTCTTTTTTTACTGCAGCATCTCTAAAATCTCTTCTTACAGTTTGGGCATAGAATTGAGAGCAAAATGGAATTTATCGCAACTACCTCATGCATTTTTTCTTAAATTGAAATCAGATTACACAAATACTTATGTTTTGTTTCCATGGTTATGCAAGAAAATAGTTTTTCAGTCACTTATACAAATCTATGCAGAATTTATACATGTATTGCTTATTTTATTTTATCTTTTTATCAAACTTAGCATGTTAGGAAACATTACTAAATTCTGAAAATGTTAGGAATTTAATTAATAATGTATTTGTAGCCTCGACCATCTTAAGAAAAATATATGGTGTTGGCTGGTTAATTTATATTTATTTATTTATTTTTTTTTTTGAGACAGAGTTTCGCTCGTGTTGCCCAGGCTGGAGTGCAATGACATAATCTCCGCTCACTGCAACCTCTGCTTCCCGGGTTCAAGTGATTCTCCTGCTTCAGCCTCCTGAGTAGCTGAGATTACAGGGACCAGCCACCACACCTAGCTAATTTTGTATTTTTTAGTAGAGACGGGGTTTCTCCATGTTGGTCAGGCTGGTCTCAAACTCCCAGCCTCAGATCATCCACCCGCATTGGCCTCCCAAAGTGCTGGGATTACAGGCGTGAGCCATGACACCCAGCCTTCTATTTAATTTTTTAATAGGCAGGCATTAATGTCAGTTAATGCTATATAAAATGACATATATGGAGAAGTCTCAATACCAAAATTGCCTTCTATTCCAGTATCCACTCCCCTTCCACATATGCATACTTTTAGGGAACTCTATAACTAGTTTATTTATTTCAGTATTTCTCTTAGGAAAATGTAATGAAATGCATATTTGTATACCCCTACTTTTGTATAAAAAGTAGCTTCTATATTATGCATATACACTATTCTCTCCCTTGCTTTCTTTAATAATATTTCCTTATGAACAACTCATATCAGTATATAGACATCTTCATTCATAAAGGAGACCCTACAAACTACTAAGTATTTATTACTAGTTACCAGGAATCAAAAGAATAGCCTTTTAGCCATCCTTTGAAGTATATCCATATGCCGTTCAAGACTCTAAAACCTGTAAGGGCTACTCCACAGCTCTAGCACATGGCTTTCCTTTCCAAGGCCCTTCTCCACACAAAGACAAAGGGGAATGTACATTAGCACCATATCATGTACAGGTAAACTAGAGTGGAATAGAGAAAGCCTACAGATATGGAAGTAGCAGAGAGGCCCATGAAGCTGTCCTTATGCCCCAGAGAGGTTTGCTTTGCCCCAGTGGGCATAGTTGCTTTAAATATATCATTGAAAGGACTCCAGGAAAGAGTTCCTGACACCCAAATATCTCTATATATCATTTATAGAGAAAGTGGGGAAGGGTTTCTCTACTCTAAATGACTATGTAAAAATAGGTCCTTCTTGGTGAAGAAAATGGTCTTGTGGAAAGAGGTAACCACTGGTTCTCAATGCCTGATAACAGCAGTCATTTTCATTGCACTAACTTGGACCTGCTGAGCCAGCTTATTGCAAAGCAAGTAACAGGGAAGGGAATGAGCCTCCAGGGTCATCTGGGTTTGTTTCTCTTCATTAAGTGTTTTTTATTTTTTTTCATAAGCATTGCTGCTTATTCATAGATACACATAGAGATGCAGAATCAAAATGAGACATGAATGCTGGTTATCAGCTGCACTCACTCACTAAGTGGCTTTCCTTCTTTTTCTTTTGAGATGGAGTCTTGCTCTGCTGCCAGGCTGGAGTGCAGTGGCATGATCTAGGCTCACTGCAACTTCTATCTCCCCGGTTCAAGCGATTCTCCTGCCTCAGCCTCCCGAGTAGCTGGGACTATAGGCACGCGCCACCAAGCCCTGCTAATGTTTGTGTTTTTAGTAGAGACAGGGTTTTACCATGTTGGCCAGGATGGTCTTGATCTCTTGACCTTGTGATCCACCTGCTTTGGCCTCCCAAAGTGCTGGGATTACAGGCATGAGCCACCGTGCCCGGCCGAAGTGGCTTTTTTATATCTCAGCTTTATACTATGAGGTGAAAATTTGAGTCTTAGTAAAATTCAAAATACTGGCCCTTCCAGGTCATTTTCAGATGGCTGAAGCTAGTCAAACCAGGAGTAGCAACTGCCTCTACTGAATAAAATACAACAGTGTAAATCTAATATAATAAAAAGAACTAGACCTGCCTCAGTAGAATATGATCTGGTTTACACTGAGTAATAGATACTTTATTTAACAGGAGTTACTCCAAACTTTCATGCAAGTATTCATTAGACCTCTCCCACTCTCTGGACACCACATAGGATCTAAAGGAATATGAGTTGGGGTCCAGCATAAAGACAATTACAGACAATAGGATAAGACAAATGGCACTCTGTTAATAAAGCATGTATTCTGTTTGTTTGGTTGGTTGGTTTTTTGAGCCACAGTTTCACTCTCGTAACTCAGGCTGCAATGCAGTGGCATGATCTCAGGTCACTGCAACCTCTGCCTCCTGGGCTCAAGTGATCCACCCACCTTGGCCTCCTGAGTATCTGGAACTACAAGCCTGCACCACCATGCCCAGCTAATTTTTGTATTTTTTGTAGATACAGCATTTCACCATGATGCTCAGGCCAGTCTCAAACTCCTGAGCTCAAGCAATTCACGCGCCTCAGCTTCCCAAAGTATTGGGATTACAGGCATGAGCCACCACACCTGGTATTTTTAACCAGGGAAAATATTAGTACTTAGGAGATCTGATAGAGGCAGAAGCAGTAAAGGGCAGTTTGTTGAAATAATATGAAAAGTTTTCCTGTAGAATATGCAAATTTTGACTGGTTAGAAAGTCAGAAAGAAATGCTTTTGTTCTGAGGATATAAACCTTCTAAATTGCTCTTGAAGGTTGAAATTTTTTGGTTGCTGTTTTGTTGCTTCATGTTTTAATTATTATTATATTTATATCTCTCTTGTTAAATCTGGGGTATGGGGAACAGTGCCATTACCAGAGAAGAATTTACAGGATTAACCTTAAATAGAAGAAAGTGTCTCTCTTCTAAGTATTAAGAAATTATCTCTGTAATAGTGAACTTATCGGTAATATGATTCAGGGACAATCATTCTATGAAATATAATTAAATGCCCAATATTCTTCTTTTTTAAAAAAAGTTTCTATTAGATTTTTAAAGTACAGCTATAATTCATGTTGTTTGTAACAAAAGTTGCAAAGATTAAAAAGAACTAATATTTTACCACTTGTCCTCCTTTCTCAGTCTCTGAAGTATAATCAAAATGATATGATATATAGTGTTCTCATTTTATCCAGGTGTTTTATGCATCTGTAGTATCATCTCTTTGTTTGTAGAACAACAGATGACTCTCCCTCATTTATTTTTAAAGGCTACATAATACTCCATAGAATAACTGTACCATGGTATTTCAGACAGCCTTTTGAGGGACACTCAGGTTGCTTTCAGTTTTTTTTTTTTTTTTTTTTTTGTCGTTGTTGCGCCAATGCTCTTAACAGTAGAAAAATACCTTTCAATATATATCTATATTTAGTGGCTGTTTTATACCTGTAAGATACGTTTATAAAAGTATGTAAAATATGTTTATATTAGTATGCATATTATGTTTAGTATAGTATGTATAGTATGTATGTATAGTATGTATGTATAGTATGCTATGTTTATATTAGCATGTATGTATATTAATATGCTTATAAAAGTATGTAAGATGTGTTTATAAAAATTGAACTCTGGATTCAATTTTAATTTGTATAGAGACTGCTAGTTTATTAATTTATCAAAATCCACATCACCATATACTTAGTCACACTAGATGCTATCCCCATTTTTGTTCTTCTGAAGGGTGATACAAGGCAGCTCATTATTGTTTTATTTCCTATATCCTTGATTGTAAACAGAATTGAAACTCATATCCTTATTGCTCAAATATTTTCCTTCTCTGTAATTTACTTTTCCATTTTTCTGATGAATCATTTGCTTTTCTTAGTATTTTCAGGAGCTTGTCATATATTATGGGCATTAATGTCGGGTCATTTACAATAAAAACATTTTTCTTGTCAATTTTTTGTTCTTTTACTCTGTTTATAGTATAGTATTGCCTATATTTTTAGTTATATTTTATGTAAACCAGTCCTGGCTTGTTTAAGAAAAATCTCACCACAAAAATGTTGCACAAATAGTATCTACTAGTTTTTAAAAATAATATATATATGCTATGGTTTGAATGTATTCCTCGAAAATTCATGTTGAAATCTAATCCCCATGGTGTTGGTATGAATAGGTGAGATGTTTGCAGAAGTGATTAGTCGTGAGGTCTCTGCCCTCGAGGATGGGATTAGTGCCCTTATCAAAGTGACTGAAGGAGTCCCTTTGGCTCATTCTGCCAGAACACAGCATTCCCCTTTTCATTATGTGAGGATACAGTACTTCCTGCTTCCTCCATATGAGGAATACAGTGAGAAAGTGCCATCTCTGAAGCAGGGAGAGAGCCCTCATTTGACACCAGAGCTGCTGGGTCTTTGAACTTGTACTTCTCAGCCTCCAGGACTATGAGAAATAAATAAATAAATTATCCACTCTAAAGTAATTTGTTATAGCAGCAGGAGCAGGTTCAGGCTAAGGCATTATGTGTGTATGTATTTATAAAATGTTGCACAAATAGTAACTACTAGCTTTTAAAACTAAATATATATTTATATGCTATGTATATATGTACACTGACAGCTACTTATCATATTCAATAAGTTTTAAATAGATTACAAATCTAAATGTACAGTTATATACATTAATTTTGACCTTACATGTAATGAACATGCATTATATTTAGATATTTATGTATATAATTTAACTACATAGTTATAATTAACTGTAATTTAACTACGTAGTTAACAATACTTGTTATAGTTTATAGTTCAATTATAGTTAACTATATAGTAAAATTATGTGCACATATATCTAAATATGAATAAATGCATATATATCTAACGCATATATATGTATATATAAAGCTAAATATAGTTAACTATATAGTTAATTATAACTAGTTATAATATATAATATATAAATATATATAACTCTATATTTATAGTTAACTGCATAGTTAGCCATATCATTAAAATATATGCATATGTATATTTAAATATAAGGAATGTTCATTATACATAAGATTAAAGTCAACATATATAATTGCACATTTAGATTATTAATTTCTTTAAAAATTATTATTGAACATTGTAAGTAGCTGTCAGTTTTTTGTTTTCCATGTAAATATCCAATTAAGCCAGCCATAACTATTAACTAATAACTTCATTAGTTAAATGGGTACTGAATTCAATCAAATCATTTTGTGGAATTCACTATACAATTATATTTTTCTTCTTTTATTGTGTTTTTATCAATTATACTGTTAGTTTTTCTAATGTATGAACACCCTTACACTTTTAAAATAAAGTATTCTTGATCACAAATGATATTCTTATTGCACTGTAAAATTTGATATACTTTTACTTTATTTAGAATGGTAGCATTCTTAATCATAAGTAAAATTAGTTTGTAGTTTACATTCTTATGCATCTTTTTCAGATTATTAAAATTACAGTTCTTTATAAATTAAATTAAGCTGAGTATCATCCATTTTTATAGTCTTTCACTTTAAAAACAATGGAATAAACTATCTCATTATTATAGCAAAAAAAATTAAACCATAAAAGTATCAGGCCCTTGTATTTATTTGTAATGGTAAATATTCTTCAATATGTTTTTCCACACTTCAATAAAAGTTTTTCTTTTCCTTCTTTATGGTTTCTAAATGTCCTTGAGTTAACAATGGACTTGGATTATTATTTCATAATCTTTCTAATCCACAATGAACTTATTTTGGTTTTTCTTTGTTTTCCATAATGGTTGATATGGTTTGGCTGTGTCCCCACCCAAATCTCATCTTGAATTGTAACTCACACAATTCCCACGTGTCATGGGGGGAACCCCGTGGGAGGTGATTGAATTATGGGGGTGGATATTTCCTGGTCTGTTCTCGTGATAGTGAATGAGTCTCATGAGATCTGATGGTTTTAAAAACAAGAGTTTTTCTGCACAAGCTCTCTTTGCCTGGCACCATCCATGTAAGATGTGACTTGCTCCTCCTTGCCTTCCACCATGATTGTGAGGCCTTGCCAGGCATGTGGAACTGTAAGTCCCTTAAGCCTCTACTTTTGGAAATTGCCCGTCTCGGGTATGTCTTTATCAGCAGTGTGAAAGCAGACTAATACAATGGTGTTTGCCAAAATATATCTATTATGGTCTTTTAAAAAAATAGCTTAATTTTTTTCTATTTTTTTATTTTTAATTTTTATAGATATATAATAGTCATACATATTTATGGGCTACATGTAATATTTTGATACCAGCATACGATGTGTAATGATCAAATCAGGGTAACTAAGATATCCATTATCTCAAGCATTTATCATTTCCTTGTGTTGGGGTCATTCTAAATATCTTCTATTTTGAAATATATAATAGATTATTATTAACTATAGTTACCCTATAATGCTATTGAACACTACTTATTCCTCAGGTAAAACTACTTATCATTCCATTTATTTTTATTAGCTGATTTTCTAGTTCATTATAATCACATATTTTTGTTTTAAACCTGATTTCTTAAGGTAAAAACTTATCTTTTAATACTTTTACTGAGGAATAATGTTATGCTATACAGTGTAGCATTGTAAGTGTACAATACAATTATTTTTAATAAGGGATGGGACTGTATTTCTTGAGTTGTTTCCCTTCAGTGGCTTCAATCCATTATTAGGTCCTTGTCTAATTTATATATTTGCATTTCTCTTACGAAGTATAAACTGTATTTAATAAACTTTTAAAATGCAATTATAAAATTGATTCATCACTTGAGCAAATATGTTTTATTCCTTCATAAGATGTCAATAATTGGTTCAAGAGTTGGTAATATAATATGTATTCAATCTAGTGGCAGAAATAGACAAGAAAAGACTTAATTGTAATTCAGAATGTCATGTCTAAATTGATATTTAGATAAAGTACTATGGGGACAACTTATGAAGGACTGGTTACTTCTAGCTTGAAGGAAGTGTGATAGGAGGGCTGAGATAAGATAAAGTTTTCACGAAGAAGCTCACATCTGACATAGCTTTCAGAGACTTTCTTAAAAGAGAAAAAGGAAAATGTTTTAACTAAAAAATGATAATAGTATGTGCAAATATTAGGAGTTATAATGACACATGGAATATCCATAGAATTTTGAGGATATTTACTTCTGATGCTCTTCAGTTTGTTTTCTTATGTTTGGTAACATGAAATTTAAAAAGACCAAATTCAAAAGTTTCATAACAAATGAGTCACACGTGACTCATTTAGCAAGAAAGGATTTCTTCACTTACAAATCTTTGGATTTCTAGAATGTACTAAAGATAGAAGTATCTCCTGTAAATATCTGATAAAAAGAGATATACTTGCCTCTGTTCTTCAGCCACTGAAGGGAAACAAGAACGACAAGCTCATCCCTAAGGATGATATCATGCACCTTCCTAATAACTTTAAATGTCTTGACATATTAAAGTTTGAGTTAAGCTACACCAGAGTTAAAAGCACCAACCAATTCCTCAGTCACTTTCTATACATGCTTCAATTCTTTTTAAAATTAGGTTGAATAATAAGTTATAGCTTAATCATTGATTTAACTAGAAATGATAATCATCTGGATCATATTAATATTGGAACACATAGATTGAATGCTATAGAAATAAAATTTATGTGGCTACATTTCTGCCAGGGAACTTAAGGAGTCCTATAAATCATCATTTCAGATAATCCAAATAACCAAGAATGTGGAAATCATATTGTATCTATGCTTATTCTTGTTTATATAACCATGACAAATTATTTTTACATAATTGACACAGAATCATTTCATTCCTGCTGTAAAAAGAAGGAAAAATAAGTACCATTCAAAAACATTCTACTAAACTTGACAGAAATATTAAGACAGCAGAAGATGTTTTCAAGATATTGAATTATGAATAAGCAGAATGCTAGAATAACCATGAAAGTTAAATATACATCCAATTTTACAAGCACTTGGAAAAATACCAGAAAATAAAGATACAGGCACTGATAATACAGATATTAATTGTAAATGATATACTATGATGGAAGTTGATAACTAATACAACTCATTAGCTAAATTATATTTCCAAAACAGGAAGCACAGATATACATAATGGGACAAAAAGTAAAATAATGAAAACTAAGAATGTTCTAACAACACAAAGTATAAAAATTCTCATGTATACTTTCACAATATAAAGAAAACTAACAACATGTATTCTGAATTCACTGTATCAGAATGTCTTATAGACATTAATCAAAGTCTAATAATAACTAAAAATGATTTTAAGATGAGAAAGAGTGTATAAGTTTTTAAACTAAGATTCTTGGTAATTTTCAAAATGCTGTGCAAACTATGCCTATGACCCTCAAGAGCATTTTTGAAATAAAAAAGAAAGTATGACTTTTTCCTATTATCACCTCTTCTGGCAATGCTGTACACTACCATGAGCTTTGACTACATTTTCCAGCCTTCTAAAGTGCCCTACTGAAACTTTGTTATCCTTTCTCTTTATTGAAAGTAGTCCAATTCACTGAGCTCCAGGAATGTGTAAATAATTTTCAGTAAGTCATCGTTCAGTTTGAGTTTTAAGCCATTATTTTCTTGAATATTTTTTGTGCCTCATTCTCACTCTCACCTGGGACTCTAATTAAATATATGTTAAAAGTTTTAATATTATCTCATAGACAACTTGGGCTCTGTTGATATCTTTAACTTTTTTTCTCTTTTCTTCATATTGATCTATCTTAAAGTTTAGTAATTATTTCCTTTGTCATCTTCATTCTTCTATAAAGCCCATAAAATGTTTCTTTTTCAAATATGCGTGTTTCAGTATGTTTCAGTTTTATAATTTGCATTCAGTTCTTTTAAAATATTTTCAATTTCTTTACTGAGATTTCCTATTTATTTATTAAGTTTATTTTATTAAGCATAGATTTATTGGCTGATTTATAGTCTTTATCTGAAATTTCAACATCTGGGTCGTCTCAGGGTTGGACTCTGTTAATCATATATTTTTTCTTTGAATGTGAAGCCAGTCTGTATTGTATCCAAGTCATTATTTCTGCATTCTCTAATATTCCTCCAAAGAAAGATACTATTTTTATATTAGAAGGCAATTAATTGGTTAGGCTCAAATTACATACTTTGTGTGCCTATGGAGGGAGACAGCCAAAATCTCAGTGTTGTTCTTTTAGCCTTAGCTGCAGGATGTTTTGAGTCTGCTGCAGACATGCTCAATTCACCTGTCAGCCTGAGAATTGGGCAAAGTTTGTATACCAATTTGGGGGCTCTTATCTTCTGGATTTCTCTTTTCTGAGATGCCTCTCCACCTTACTTTCTAGTACCTGCAGTTATCCCAGGCTCATTCCTGGATGCCAAGAGGATAGATTCTCTACCACAGTGTTAGTTATTTGCAGTCCACTGCACCTGCAGACTGTCCTTACACTAAGACTAAAAAATGAAAACGTATCCTATGCTGGTCCTGTCTTCCAAGTTTTGTATCATCTCCAAATCTGCCTCTGATACTTAATAATTTGTTTACACACACACACACACACACACACACACACATACCTATATAATATAAATTATACATAATAAGTTTTTTTGTTTATAGTTGTGATCTGTTGGCGGGCTGGACCATTTGAAACTTACTCCTTACTCTATCATACCAGAAATGGAACTTTTAGTAATTAATCTGAAGGGCTGCAATCTCTATCATCACTCATAAGGTCAAGATTAAACCCATACCTTTAAACACAGCTCAAAATATTCAGCAAATAAATAAGGCAGTCACTACTGATGGTAGTAATTATTGTCCAAGACTTGTATTTTTTGGAGATATTTCTTATCCCCAAACATATCCAGCTTCAATTGGTTTATTTCTGGTACTTAATCCTTGGTTCTACTCTTTTATTTATAATCCAGCAAATCCTCTTTGGACTTATATTTTAAATTACTCCTGACTCTCAGGTCTCCTTATCAAGGATATTAGTCTACTGTAGACTTAAACAATCAGCTCTTTTAACATTGAGCAACTAGAGTAAAATATACCTACTACCCACCCTCTCCCATACTACGACAGGTCTTTTGGAATCTTACTTATATAGCACATTCACAAAAGACAGCCTACAAATATATCTTCTGCTGCAAAGGATGTTTGTTTTAGTGGGTCTTAAAAATATCTTGATATTCATTTTCAAGGGTGGATTTTTACATTAGCTGTGGCTCTTACTTGCAAGCTACTGTTAATGGCAACATTTTCCCATTTGCCGAAAACTACTCACAATGACAGTGGCTTCCACCAACAATTTTCGTCAAAGGCAAGTGATAGTATATTTCGTTTTTAGAAACTCCCTGTAGTAGTTTCTGGCAATCATCTTTTTCTCTCTCTACTTTTTGAAAAAGTTCATATATATATATATATATATATTTCCCTTGAACAATTTATATGAAGCTCAATATTAGGAAAATGTCCTATTAATTTTTTAACACTCACTAGAAAGCAATATAACAAGATGACCTGTTTAAGCCCCTAGTACAGCTGTGGTAACCAAACAGTTCTTTTAGAGGAATATGTGCACATTCTCTAGAGTTGTTTGACAAAGAGTTGACAAACATTTTCTATAAACAGCCAGACAGTAAATATTTTGGGCTTTGTGAGGCATACAATATTTTCCACAACAACTCAACTTTACCATTGTAGCACAAAATTAGCCATTAAAACTTTATTTACAAAAATAGGTGGCAGGCAATTTGGCCTGCGGGCTGTAGTTTTTCAATCTTTGCTCAAGAGTATAGTGTGAAACAATTCCAATTTGCCATTGAACTTCTCCAGCATTCTTTTATGTGTCCCAAAGCAGACAGAAGTACAGAGACTCATAACTTAGAGAGAACTCTTGCATCTTAAAGGCAACTTAACTCTTGTATCTTAACAGTAACTTCCTAGGTATTGATATGAGAACTCATTATTTCAGTGATTCCATAAGCCAAGTGACTAAGACACTTGGCGAGAGATACAAATTATGGAATTTCTGCTGTCCTACTCAACTGGAAAATCAGTATCTGTGTTATACTTGTGCCACCAAATTAAATAAACTAAACTTCATGTCACATTTTGATTTCAAAAGTGGCACCATTCTATAAAAGTTATATCTTAATCAGGAAATAATAAAAGAAATACCTGTGGCTAAAAATGGCAAACTGATCAATGGAAAAAAGTCCAGAAACAAACCCACACACGTTCCTGATCTACAGCAACAACAATAATATGAAGCTTTGGTGCTGTGGGGAGCGGAGGACCATCTTAATACATTGCACTAGGTCAAGTGGATATATGTATGAGAAAAACATCATCTAGATTCTCATCTCACACCATACACAAAAGTTAATGTCATAAAAATGTGTTATATAAAAGTAAAATATAAAACAATAAAGCTTTTAGAAGCAAACATTAGAGAACAATTCCATATTCTTAGGGCAAATAAAAAGTTGATACATTGAACTATATAAAAGCCAAGAACTTCTGTTTTTTAAAAGACATTGTTAATAGAGTCAATGAATCCACAGTGTGAGGAGCGTTTCCCAGAATAAAGAAAGAACTCAAAAAAAATCAGTAAGGAAAAGGAAACACAACAGAAAAAATGAACAAAAGATTGAAAAGACACTTTATCAAAGAATATATCCAAATGGCCAAAATAGTATATTTTAAGAAGACTTCAAGTTAATTAGTTATCAAATTAAAGTCATGCTATACCATTACACATCCACCAGAATAGATTACGTATGCTGAAACTCTGAAAGGTAGACAGAAGTTAGACTGGTCAGGCATCTTGGGACCCAAGGAACAGCATGATGGTGAATTACCTGGGTTTTTATTCTCCCTCATATATCCCAGACTTGGAGCTGAAGAAGCTGACCACAGGCCTAAAGAAGCTTGCAACCGACTAAAGAAAGGAAACAGGAGGGATCCTTGTGATGATAGAAATGTTCTATATCTTGACTCTATCAATGTAAATGTCCTGTGATTTTGTTGTGATGTTGGACCACACTTTACAAATACCGCCATCAGGAAAAAACTAGTAAAGGATTTGTGAAGCTTCTATTACTTCTTAAATTCACAGGTGAATATACAGTTAAAATTAGAAAGTTAATTTAAAATATTTATTCAATGCTTTCTGTGTGCCAAGTACAATTATAGATGCTAGGAAATAAGCAGTGAGCAATGCCAACACCATCTCTTCAAGATGTTTGCAATCTAGTTAGGGAAACAGACAATAAACAAACAATAAAAATGTCAAGTGGTGAAAATGAAGGAAAAAAAAACAGTAGTGAACATATAGAAAGATAGAGGAGATGATATTTCACATATGGCATTGGGAGTGGTCTTGGCATGGTCAAAGAATAGTAACTAGGCCTTTGTATCCAAAGTGTGGTTAATGAGGTGGAGACTGGTAGGATTTTGAGTTCCAACATAGTGGGAAGCCAGATCATATAGTGCCTTCACTCATAATAAGGCTCAATTTTAATCTAAGTGTGTGAAAGGTGCTGAGGGAGAGGGATCATGTATAATTTTGAATAGGGCATTGCCTTGTTCTGACGTGTTTAAATAAGGTGACTATGGCTGTCTTGTTGAGAACAGACTGATGAGGAGGACGTAACCTATTGATTTTCAGTTTTGTATTTCATTTGCATTTGGGTTTTGGTTTTGTTTTGTTTTGCTTTCCTTATTTCCTTTTTTAAAATTTTTCCATAAGTTATTGGGGTACAAGTGGTATTGGTTACATCAGTAAGTTCTTTAGTGGTGATTTGTGAGACTTTGGTGCACCCATCACCCAAGTAGTATACGCTGCACCTTATTTGTAGTGTTTTATCCCTCGTCCCCCTCCCACTACTCCTCGCAAGTCCCCAAAGTCCATTGTATCATTCTTATGCCTTTGCATCCTCATAGCTTAGTTCTCATATATCAGTGAGAACATTTGATGTTTGGTTTTCCATTCCTGAGTTACTTCACTTAGAATAATAGTCTCCAATTCCATCCAGGTCACTGAAAATGCTGTTAATTCATTCCTTTTTATGGCTGAGTAGTATTCTATCATAGATAGGTAGGTAGGTAGGTAGGTAGATAGATAGATAGATGATAGATAGATAGATAGATAGACAGATGATAGATAGATAGATATGTAGATAGATAGATAGATAGATAGATAGATAGATAGATAGATAGATAGATAATCACACTTTCTTTATCCATTCATTGAGTGATGGGCATTTGTGTTGGTTCCACAATTTTGAAGTTGTGAATTGTGTTGCTATAAACATGCATGTGCAAGTATCTTTTTCGAATAATGATTTCTTTTCCTCTGGGTAGATACCCAGTAGTGAGATTACTAGATCAAATGGAAGTTCTACTTTTAATTCTTTAAGGAATCGCCACACTGTTTTCCATAGTGGCTGCATGAGTTTACATTCCCGCCTGCAGTGTAGAAGTGTTCCCTGATTATCTCATCCATGCCAACATCTACTGTTTTTTTTATTATGGCCATTCTTGCAGGAGTAAGGTGGTATCGCATTGTGGTTTTGATTTGCATTTTCCTGATCATTAGTGATGTTGAGCATTTTTTCATATGTTTGTTGGCCATTTGTATATCTTCTTTTGAGAATTGTCTATTCATGCCCTTAGCCCACTTTTTGGTGGGATTGTTTGCTTTTTCTTACTGATTTGTTTGAGTTCATTCTAGATTCTGTATATTAGTCCTTTGTCAGATGTACAGATTGTGAAGATTTTCTCCCACTCTGTGGGTTGTCTGTTTACTCTACTGATTGTTCCTTTGGCCGTGCAAAAGCTCTTTAGTTTAATTAGGTCCTAGCTATTTATCTTTGTTTTTACTGAATTTGCTTTTGGGCTCTTGGTCATGAAATCTTTGCCCAAGCCAATGTCTAGAAGGGTTTTTCCGATGTTATCTTCTATAATTTTTATAGTTTCAGGTCTTAGGTGTGCATCTTGAGTTGATTTTTTTATAAGGTAAGAGATGAGGATCCAGTTTCATTCTCCTACATGTGGCTAGCCAATTATCCTAGTACCATTTGTTGAAAAGGGTGTCCTTTCCCCACTTTATGTTTTTGTTTGTTTTGTCAAAGATCAGTTGGCTGTATTTGGGTTTATTTCTGGGTTCTCTATTCTGTTCCATTGGCCTATGTGCCTATTTTTGTACTAGTACCATGCTGTTTTGGTGACTATGGCCTTATAGGATAGTTTGAAGTCAGGTAATGTGAAGCCTCCAGATTTGTTCTTTTTGCTTAGTCTTGCTTTGGCTATGCAGGCTCTTTTTTGGTTCCATATGAATTTTAGAATTGTTTTTTCTAATTCTGTGAAGAATGATGGTGGTAATTTAATGGAAATTGCATTGAATTTGTAGATTGTTTTGGCAGTATGGTCATTTTCACAATATTGATTCTACCCATTCATGAGCATAGGACATGTTTCCATTTCTTTGTGTTGTCTATGATTTCTTTCAGCAGTGTTTTGTAGTTTTCCTTGTAGAGGCCTTTTGACTCCTTGGTTAGGTATATTCCTAAATATTTTATTTTTATTTTTATTTTTTTGCAGCTACTGTAAAAGGGGTTGAGTTCTTGATTTGATGCTCTGCTTGGTCGCTGTTGTTGTATAGAAGAGCTACTGATTTGTGTACATTAATCTTGTATCTGGAAACTTTGCTGAATTCTTGTATCAGTTCTAGGAGATTTCTGGAGGAGTCTTTAGGGTTTTCAAGGTAAATGATCATGTCATCAGCAAACAGTGACAGTTTGACTTCCTCTTTACCAATTTGGATGCCATTTATTTCTTTCTCTTGTCTGATTGCTTGGCTAGGACTTCCAGTACTATGTTGCAGAGTAGTGGTGAGAGTGGGCACGCTTGTGTTGTTCCAGGTCTCAGAGGGAATTCTTTCAACTTTTCCCCATTCAGTATAATGTTGGCTGTGAGTTTGTCATAGATGGCTTTTATTACATTAAGGTATGACCCTTGTATGCCAATTTTGCTTTGAGTTTTAATCATAAAGCGATGCTAGATTTTGTCAGGTGCTTTTTCTGCATCTATTGAGATAATCATGTGATTTTTATTTTTGATTCTGTTTATGTGGTATATCACATTTATTGACTTGCATATGTTACCATCCCTGCATCCCTGGTATGAAACCCACTTGATCATGGTAGATTATCTTTTTGATATGTTGTTGGGTTCGGTTAGCTAGTATTTTGTTAAGGATTTTAGCATCTATGTTCATCAAAGATATTGGTCTTTAGTTTTTTGTTTTCTGTTTTTTTTTTTTTTTTTGGTTATGTTCTTTCCTGGTTTTGGTATTAGCATGATGCTGGCTTCATAGAATGAATTAGGGAGGATTCCTTCTTTCTCTGTCTTGTGAATTAGTGTCAAAGGGATTGGTACCAATTCTTCTTAGAATGTCTGGTAGAATTCTGCTGTGAATCTGTCTAGTCCTGTATTTTATTTTTGTTGGTAATTTTTCAATTACTATTTCAATCTCACTGCTTGTTGTTGGTCTGCTCAGGGTATCTAATTTGTCCTGATTTAACCTAGGAGAGCTGTATTTTTCCATGAATATATTCATCTCTTCTAAGTTTTCTAGTTTATTTACATAAAGATGTTCATAGCAGCCTTGAATGATCTTTTGTATTTCAGTGGTGTCAGTTGTAGTGTCTCCTCTTTCATTTCTCAGTGAGGTTATTTGGATTTTCTGTCTTCTTTTCTTGGTTAATCTTGCTGATGGTTTATCAGTTTTATTTATCTTTTCAAAGGACCCGTTTTTTGTTTTATTTATCTCTTGTATTTTTTGTTTGTTTCAATTTCATTTAGTTCTGCTTGGAACTTCGTTATTTCCTTTCTTCTGCTGGGTTTGGGTTTGATTTGTTCTTGTTTCTCTAGTTCCTTGAGGTGTGACTTTAGAATATCAGTTTGTGCTCTTTCAGTCTTTTTGATGTAGGCGTTTAGGGCTATGAACTTTCCTTTTAGCACCGCCTCTGCTAAAAATTCCAGAGGTTTTGTTAGGTTGTGTCATTATTGTCATTCAGTTCGAATAATTTCTTAATTTCCATTTTGATTTTGTTTTTGACCCAATGCTGATTCAGGAGCAGGTTATTTAATTTCCATATATTTGCATGGCTTTGAAGGTTCCTTTTGGAGTTGATTTCCAGTTTTATTCCACTGTGGCTTGAGAGAGTGCTTGATATAATGTCAATTTTCTTAAATTTATTGAGGCTCATTTTATGGCCTATTATATGGTCTATCTTGGAGAAAGTTTCATGCGCTGTTGAATAAAATGTGTATTCTGTGGTTGTGAGATGAAATGTTCTATATATATCTGTTAAGTCATTTGTTCCAAGGTATAGTTTTAATTCATTGTTTCTTTGTTGATTTTCTGTCTTGATGACCTGTCTAGTGCTGTCAGTGGAGTACTAAAGTCCCCCACTATTACTGTGTTCTGTCTATCTCATTTCTTAGGTCTATGAGTAATTGTTTTATAAATTTGGGAGCTCCAATGTTAGGTGCATATATGTTTAGGATTGTGATATTTTTCTGTTGGACAAGGCCTTTTACCATTATATAATGTCCCTCTTTGTCTCTTTTAACTGCTGTTGTTTTAAAGTTTGTTTTGTGTGATATAAGAATAGTTACCCTGGCTTGCTTTTGATGTCCATTTGCATGAAATGCCTTTTCCCACACCTTTTCTTTAGGTTTATGTGAGTCCTTATGTGTAAGGTGAGTCTCCTGAAGGCCCCAGATGGCTGGTGAGTCCTCATGCATTCTGCAGTTCTGTATTTTTTAAGTGGAGCATTTAGGCCATTTACATTCAAATGTTAGTATTGAAATGTGAGGTACCTTTGCATTCATCATGCTTTTTGTTACTTGTGTACTTTGGATTTTTGGTTTTGCTTTTGTTATTTACTTGTGTTTTTGTTTTATAGGTCCTGTGTGATTTATGGTTTAAAGAGGTTCTGTTTTGATATGTTTCCAGCATTTGTTTCAAGACTTAGAGCTCCTTTTAGCCATTCTTATAGTGGTGGCTAGGTAATGGCAAATTCTCTCAGCATTTGTTTTTCTGAAAATGACTGTATCTTTCCTTCATGTATGATGCTTAGTTTCGCTGGATACAAAATTCTTGGCTGATAATTGTTTTGTTCAAGAAGGCTGAAGATAGGGCCCCAATCCTTTCTAGCTTGTAGGGTTTCTGCTGAAAAATCTGCTGCTAATCTGATAGGTTTTCCTTTATAGGTTATCTGGTGCTTCTGTCTCACAGCTCTTAAGAGTCTTTCTTTCATCTTAACTTTGTATAGCCTGATGACAATGTGCCTAGGCAATGATCTTTTTACGATGAATTTCTCAGGTGTTCTTTGTGCTTCTTGTATTTGGATGTCTAGGTCTCTAGCAACACAGGGGAAGTTTTCCTCAATTATTCCCCCAAATATGTTTTCCGAATTTTTGGAATTCTCTTCTTCCTCAGGAACACTGATTATTCTTAGGTTTGGTCGTTTAACATAATCCCAGACTTCTTGGAGGCTGTGTTCATATTTTTTTATTCTATTTTCTTTGTCTTTGATGGATTGGGTTAATTCAAAGACCTTGTCTTTCAGCTCTGAATTTCTTTATTCTACTTGTTCAATTCTATTGATGAGACTTTACAGAGCATTCTGCATTTCCGAAAGTGTGTCTAAAGTTTCCTGAATTTTTTATTTTTTTTTTCTTTAAGCTATCTATTTTCTTGAATATTTCTCCCTTCACTTCTTGTATCTTGTTTTGGATATCCTTGCATTGGGCTTTGCCTTTCTCTGGTGCCTCCCTGATTCATTTAATAACTAACCTCCTGAATTCTTTTTCAAGTAAATCAAGGATTTCTTCTTGGTTTGGATCCATGGCTGGTGAACTATTGTGATTTTTTGAGGGGATGTTGAAGAGCCTTGTTTTGTCATATTACCAGGGTTGCTTTTCTGGGTCTTTTTCGTCTGGGTAGGCTCTGTCAGGGGGAGGGTCTAGGGCTGAAGGCTATTGACCAGATTCTTTTGTCCCAAGGAATGTTCCTTTGATGTAGTTATTCTCCCCCTTTTCCTATGGTTGTGGCTTCCTGTGAGCCAAACTGCACTGACTGTTGTCTCCCTTCTGGGTCTAGCCACCCAGCGAGTCTACCCGGCTACAGGCTGGTACTGCAGGTTGTCTGTACAGAGTCCTGTGATGTGAACTGCCTATGGTTCTCTCAGCCGTGGATACCAGCACCTCTTCCAGTGGAGGTGCTGGGTCGGGGGGTGCTATGGACTCCATGAGGGTTCTTAGCTTTGGTCATTTAATGCTTTATTTTTGTGCTGGTTGGCCTCCTGCTGGGAGGTGGCCATTTCCAGAGAGCATCAGGTATAGTAGTATGGAGAGGGACTGACAGTGGTGGGGCTCTAGAACTCCCAAGGTTATATGCCCTTTGTCTTCCACTACTAGGGTGAGTAGGGAAGGACCATCAGGTGGGGGCAGGGCTAGGCATGTCTGAGCTCATACTCTCCTTGGGCGGGTCTTGCTGCAGCTGCTGTGGGGGGTGGGGGTAAGATTCCCAGGTCACTGGAGTTGTGTACCTAGGAGGATTACGGCTGCCTCTGTTGAGTCATGCAGGTTGTCAGGGAAGTGAGGGAAAGCTGGCAGTCACAGACCTCACCCAGCTCCCACATAAACTGAAGGGCTGGTCTCACTCCCATGGTACCCCTGCAACAGCCCCAAGTCTGTTTCCAGGTGAAGGGCGAGATGGGCTTGAAAACTTGCCCCAGGCTACCTGCCTTTCAGCTATGAAAGAAAAGGGCTTGGTTATTCCCCCTCCTGTGGAGTCTGCACACAGGATTTGCACCCTCTCCCCATTTCTGGCCAGGAGGCTTCTCACCCTGTTCAAATTTTTACAAAGTTCCGTTAGTGATTTCCTCCTCCCTGTGGAGTTTTACCCCCTGCTCCTCTGGCCACCCTCCCAATGGATCTCTGTGGTGCCAGGAAGGAATAGGCTGCTAGGGGACCCAGTGAGCTCCCAGGGCCTTTCTGCTGCTTTCTCTACCCCTGTATTTCTCTTGGTTCTCTAAATTGACTCATCTCCAGGTAAAGTCAGAAATTTCTCCTGCAAACAGACCTTCAGGTTCTCCAGTGGGGGTGCGTGTTTGAGAGAGGAGGGTCTCCCTTTCCCACTTCTTCAGTTAGGACACTCACAGTATTTGCAGTGTCTCCCACGTTTTGCAGGAGCAGTCTGCTTCCTTCAGAGGGTCTCTGGGTCCTCTTGGGATTGCTGGTTTGTTCTTGCAGTTGATTTCACTTCTTACTTCTGGGTTTCAGTTATATTATTATATATAAGCTATATGCACAAGGAGATTATATTTTTTGGCAGTGATGCTTAAAAACTTGGATTCCAGACCCAGACTGACAATCACTAGCTGCATGACCATGTTCAAGTTATTTAGCCTCTTTCATCTTCAATGTTTTCATATGATCTATGGTGCAATAATAGCACTCAAGTCAGAAGGCTTTTATTGGGATTAAATGTGTTATATGTGTAAAGATCTTCAAATAGCTTGAGACATGGTAAGTACCATGGAAGTGTTTGCTATGTCATTTTTGTGTTGGTACATATTTGAGTAACATTGTAATGAAAACAATTAAAAGCAACATGGGAGAAAGCATAAAAATTATTTTCCTTAAGAGGGTTCATACTCTAGTGACTTTGAAAAACTGTTTGAGAGCGTGCTAATGTCATATAGCTCAGATGCTTACTATTTACACATCAGTAATTATTGTAGGGGCAGGGAAGGCACTATAAAATTTGTCTGTAACCAAAAATTAAATATTTTTTTCTAACTTGCAGGCCAATCACATTTTATTTTAATTTTAAAATTAAAAACCCAAATATGATGTATATAGTAAATACCATCAAGATACCTATTAATGAGAACTATTATTTTCTAATTTCTTGAGTGGAAGTTATTGTAGTAGATATATTCTGCTTTTTGTCCTGCATTTGTACATTTGGGCAACTTCTCTTCTCTCTGTATTGCACTATTGGGAATATAGGTCATAGATTGCCAAAGTGTCCTGTTCTCCTGGCCACAATCATTGATTCAGGAATAGGAAGGTATCCAAGAACAGCTAACCAGTTTCCACATGGAATTGGACATATGGACACTGTTTTTTTTTTTTTTAGATGTTTCCCTCTTCCCCTCAGACACATAGCAATAAGAGCCAAATTAACAACACAGAGTCTGTCTGAGAATTAAGTTAAATAATCCCAACGTGAACTAGAAAAAGAAAGAAAATCTCTGTAAATGTTATTTAATTATAGAACAATTGACACAATACATAAAAATATGGTTGTGTTCTATGTGAAATTTGTCTTTATTCTAGAATAGTGATTTTAAACATGAGAGATTCTTACCTAATAATATCAATTGATCAAATTTGTGATACTAAAACATAAATCAGTATTCATCCTTCCAACACTGGTTCTATTTACATGAAATTGTATCATTTTAGAGGGGAACAAATGTGATTTGCCGTTTTTTAAATGAATCTTCTGTAGGTCACATTATATTTGGGAGTAGTTTCTAATTATTATTCAAAAAAAGAAAGAAAGGAAAAAGGGAAAATTTCTGTTCCTATCTGACACTTGGCATATTAGTCAAGATCAAATACAGAATACAATACCCTAAATGAAAATAATATGTGCTATATACACCATGGAGTACTATGAATCCATAAAAAAGAATAACGTCGTGTACTTTGCAGCAACATGGATGCAACTGGAGGCTGCTATCCTAAGTGAATTAAGGCAGGAACAGAAAACCAAATATCACATGTTGTCACTTAAAAGTGAGAGCTAAATAATAGGTTTCATACAGCTAAAGAATGGGGACCCTATAGCTCATATGCCATATATAAAGATGGCAACAGTAGACACTGGGGACCACTAGAGTGAAGGGGGTGGAGGAAGAGAGGGGAACAAGGAATGAAAAACTAATTATTGGGCACCATACTCACTACCTGGGTGAAGGGATCAATCATACATCAATTTTACTCTAAGTAAAATTGCATTATGCAATATACCCAGGTAACAAACCTGCATATGTACCCTCTGAATCCAAAATAAAAGCTGAAATTATAAAAAACAAAAGAAAATAGTATGTGCTAAATATTTATATGGTGTTGGTTAGTCATCATTTCTAAAAACCCAATGAGTCCTAATGCCAGTCTTCTCAAAAGCTCATATATAGGATAGAGGAAAAATGGTGAAATATATAGTATTTATTTACAAAGAGAAGGCACTATAGATGTTCATTTACTTCACTGTAGTGAAGTATTATTACCATCTTATTATATATGTGCATGTGTCATCATTTTGTATACCTTCAATATACACAATACAATTTATTTATTTATTTTATTATTATTATTATTTTGAGATGGAGTCTTGCTCTGTCTCCCAGGCTGGAGCGCAGTGGTGCAATCTTGGCTCACTGCAACCTTTGCCTCCCAGGTTCAAGCAATTCTCTGCCTCAGCCTCCCAAGTAGCTGGGATTACAGGCACCTGCCACCACACCTGGCTAATTTTTGTATTTTCAGTAGAGATGGGGTTTCACCATCTTAGCCACCTTGGTCTTGAACTCCTGACCTTGTGATCCATCCTCTTCGGCCTCCCAAAGTGCTGGGATTACAGGTGTGAGCCACCGCACCCAGCCATAAAATTTATTTTCAAAAATGCTTTCACAGAAATTATCTCATTTGAACCTCAAACAAAACCTTCAAGAAGGTAACTGCATTATTTTTTAAGAAAAAAGTTTCACAGAGGCCAAGTGTGATAGCTCACACCTATAATCCCAGCACTTTGGGAGGCTGAGGTGGCCGGATCACCTGAGATCAGGAGTCCAAGAGATCAGGAGTTCAAGACCAGCCTGGCCAACATGGTGAAACCTGTCTCTACTAATGGTGAAACCGGTGTCTACTAAAAATACAAAAACTTAGCAAGGCATAGTGATGGGCACCTATAATCCCAGCTACCTGGGAGGCTGAAGCATGAGAATTGCTTGAACCCAGGAGGCAGAGTTTGAACCGAGCTGAGATCGCACCACTGCACTGCACTCCATCCTGGGGGACAGAGTGACAGTCTGTCTCAAAAAAAAAAAAAAAAAAAAGAAGAAGTTTCAGAAAGATTAAGTAGCTTATCTATGGTTAAAAACAAAAAGCAAAAAACTGGTAACTCACAGAGGTAGAATCTAGTCTCAGTTCAGCTGTTTCCAAATCTCTATGTGGTACATAACATATTTTCGAAGTTTGCATCTCATGTGACAATGTGGGAGGCATAATCAAAACATGGAAACATGAAACAACTAGAGAAGTAATCACATAATTAACTATTATAACAGCAAAAAAAATTAAAATAGGATTAAATTGAAGGGGTGAATGAAGGTTAGTGTGATCAGTTAGTATGATGGCAGAAAAAGAAAAATATTCAATGTGTCCTAAAGGATACATAAAACAGGAACAGGTGTCGATAGAGTTCATGTAACAGTAAGGGACATTTCAGGAAGCTTGAGTTTGGTGGGAGGAGTGGAGCTTTGGAGATACAATGGGAGGTTGGAGAGGTGTGAAGAAAAAGGTGATGTCACTTTATAAAGGAAACTGGAAAGTAAGGCAGAGCAATTTAGACTTGAAGGAATTTCATTTGCTTCTAAAAACTGAAGTATTGTAACATGCAATATGCCTTTCACAAACAAAATAGTCACATATGCCTCTCAGAAAGAAAAGGTACCATGAAATAAGAGAAAGGGACATAGGACACTGTGCTGTATGTAAAAAAGAGGAGAGATTAAGTGTGATAAAATGTTCTACTTTTAAAGCAGGTAATTCCACCTTTCTGCCAACAATTATTATTTTAAAAGGAGGCAAATAGAAAAAAAATTATATGTTAGATTACTAAAGAATATACTTCAAATCTATAAGAATTGAAGCAGTTAGAAAAACTAAATAGTTTACAAATGTGACAGCAAACGTTAAGTTTCCTGTGAGATTTACAATGTCTTTGTATCTGCCCTAGAGATCACTGGGGCTTAATAGACCACCAAGTACAAATGAATCGTTTTAAAAGATTTTAACGTCTTTTGAAGTTCCTACTTAGAAGTAGGATCTTTAATTGACTAATAATTGTGTTAAATCAAAATCATGGAAAATAAGAATGTTTATAATATTATTTTACTTTAATTTTTGGCAAGGTAGAAAGTTATTTAAAGAGACATCAAAAACAAGTTGATCTACTTTATTACTTTGTTAATCTATGTCCTCTGAGAAGCAGACATCTCATGGGATTAAAATCAGGAGGAAGCTGGAAAAGGCTAAGAGAACAGTCAGATCATGATGAAATTATTAACCTGAGTGAAGGAGAGAAGAAAGGATGATTGGGTACAAACTTCCTAGACTGCTGTGCAGTTTGAGGAAAATGAAGTGAAGTTACTGAGGAGTCCCAAGGCACAGGTAGCCACCAGAGGCATCAAGTGTGTCCAGAAATTGGCCTGCCTTAATATCCCAGATACACCTAGTCATCGGCTAAGCACAGCCCATGGGAAATGTAGACATAGCCTCAGCATAGATGCAATCATGGGTTTCAGAGCATGACAGCTGGAGCTCTTGGCCAATTGCCCTCCTTGTGGTTGGAGATCTAAGAGGTGCATTCCTATGGGTGCCAGAGTCACTTTGCTTAAGGCTGGACATGATCTCATGCAACATTAAAAAGAGCTTTTGGCATTTTATTTTTGATGAACAATATATAACTGTGAGCTGTCTATTCTACTGGAATTTAATACTTCTATTACTTTGTAGTTCTTATATTGTGTCACAAATGGAAACTCCCCATACCATATTGTGAAGTGACATCCTGAAAGATAATGAGAGCCACAGCTATAGGCAGGCAATGCCACCGTTTCTAGTAGGCCACTGAATTATCCGTCCACTCATCTAGTTAAGGTATCCATTTATTATTTTTTTTTAAAAAAATACACATAGTCTGGCCTTTGCCTAACTTTTCAACCTCATCTTTTATATTTCACCTATGGCTTACTGTACACTATCGTTCAGTGGTTTTTTTCTGTTCATTGAGCAAGCCAAACTCATTATAACCTCAGAATAGTAATAGCTATACTCTCCTTTGCCCGGAATGTTCTTTTAGATTTTCACATGTTGGACTCTCACACTATTCAGACCTCAGTGCAAGTATTACTACCTCAATGAAGCTTTGGTTGATCAGCTCATCTAAACTAGCACCTTGTCATCCAACAACAGCTATCCAATTACTGGTGCTTTTTTATATTATAGTACTTACTAGTAACTGCAATAATATCATTTTGTTATTCTCCAGTCTTTGTAGATTTGTGTCCCTGGAAAATCATAGAACTAATGCTCTCTACCATATAATCAATATCTAGACTAGCAATTGGCAGCTAAAAGTCAATAAATATTTGTTGAATAATAATTGACAAAAGAAGACTTCTATATTTCAGTTGCTATAATGGGTCTGAGAATTCAAAGATATGATTTCTTCCCTCACTAGAGATTATAGTCCAAATAGAAAGTACAGTCTAATTGCTTAGAAATTACTTTTCCCTCACCTCCTAACAGTCATCTATTCTTTCTTAAGTTGCTCCAGGCATTCCTTCTCATGTACCAATTAATTGTCTATTTTTGTTGTTGTTGTTGTTACATAAATAAGTTCTTTAGTGGTGATTTGTGAGATTTTGGTGCACCCATCACCTGAACAGTACAAATTGAAGCCAATCTGTAGTCTTTTATCCCTCACTCCCTTCCTTCCCTTTACCCCCAAGTCCCCAAAGTCTATTGTATCATTCTTATGCCTTTGCATCCTCAGAGCTTAGGTCCCACTTTTGAGTAAGAACATACAATTCTTGCTTTTCCATTCCTGAATTACTTCACTTAGAATAATAGTCTCCAGTCCCATCCAGGTTGCTCTGAATGCCATTAATTCATTCCTTTTTATGGCTGAGTAGTATTCCATTGTATATAATAGTTTCTTTATCCACTCGTTGGTTGATGGGCATTTGGGCTGGTTCCACATTTTTGCAATTATGAATATTGTAATGCTATAAACATGCGTGTGCAAGTATCTTTTTCATGTAATGGCTTCTTTTCCTCTGGGTAGATACCTACAGTGGGATTGCTGGGATCAAATTGTAGTTCTACTTTTAGTTCTTTAAGGAACCTCCACACTGTTTTCCATAGTGGTTGTACTGTTTACCTTCCCACCAGCAGTGTAGAAGTGTTCCCTTTTCACTGCATCCATGCCAAAATCTATTATTTGTTTATTTTTTGATAATGGCCATTCTTGCAGGAGTAAGATGGTATTGCATTATGGTTTTGATTTGCATTTCCCTGATCATTAGTGATGCTGTGCATTTTTTATATGTTTGTTGGCCATTTGTATATCTTCTTTTAAGAATTTTCTATTCATGTCCTTAGCCCACTTTTTGATGGGATTGTTTGGTTTTTTCTTGCTAATTTGTTTGAGTTCCATAGATTTTGGATATTAGTCCTTTGTCAGATGTATAGATGGTGAAGATTTTCTCCCACTCTGTGGGTTGTTTATTTACTCTGCTGACTATTTCTTTTTCTGTGCAAAAGCCCCTTAGTTTAGTTAAATCCCACTTATTTATCTTCGTTTTTGTTGCATTTGTATTTGGGTTCTTGGTCATGAAATCTTTGCCCAAGCCAATGTCTAGAAGGGTTTTTCTGATGTTATCTTCTACAATTTTTATAGTTTCAGTCTTAGATTTAAGTCCTTGATCCATCCTGAGTTGATTTTTGTATAAGGTGAGAGATGAGAATCCAGTTGCATTCTCCTCCTCATTGTCTTTTTTTTTTTTTTTTTTTTTTTTTAGATGGTAGAATAGCTCTGAACAACAGAGACTTTGGAACAACAGAAATATGGCATTCAAGAAGGCAATTTCTCTAGAACTTTATTTCCACAAATTCATAAATAATAAAACACTAGATTGCATGCTTCTGAAAAATTTGAAGTTTTACATATCAAGATCTTTTAGAATTTTCTTGAATAAAACATTACTACATTTGGTCAACAAATGTCTGCTGATACCAACCATGCACCAAGCAATGTTTTGAAAAAATGGAGATACAATGCAGATCCAAACAGATAAAATCCTTACAGACTTAGTGTTTACTTGGAAAGAGAGATATACACAATAGGCAAAGAAATGAATATCACAAACTGAGATAGGGCTTTGAAGAAAAAAGGCACCAAGTAGGGAAAACTGCATATAAAAGGCTTAGTCTAGTTATATAGATCAGAGAAGATGCTTCAGAGAAAGCAATGTTTACCCAAAAAAAAAAAAAAAAGTTACTGGGTAAAAGTGAAGGGTATGTAGTTAGGAACATATGAAGGCAAGAGCCTTCTAGCAGATGAAACAGCAAGTGTGAAAAAACTGAAAGAAATATCTAACAAGGGGCTGGGCACAGTGGCTCTTGCCTGTAATCCCAGCACTTTGGGAGGCCGAGGTGGGTGGATCACTTGAAGTCAGGAGTTTGAGACCACCCCAGCCAACATGGTGAAACCTAGTCTCTACTAAAAATACAAAAATTAGCAGGTGTGGTGGCAGGCACCTATAATCCCAGCTACTTGGGAGGACAAGGCACGAGAATCACTTGAACCTGAGAGGCAGAGATTGCAGTGAGCCGAGATGGAGCCACTGCACTCCAACCTGGGCGACAGAGGAAGACTCTATCTCCAAAAAAAAGAAATATCTCACAATGACCTGAAAGAAAATAAGGAACCATAATATGTGTAAGTCCTTGTAAAGTTTGTAAATTAGGCTAATCTTAATTTTAAAAAGCAAACAAAAAACTAACTATGCTAGCCTTTATTTAAAAAAAAAAATCCTAACTTTGGGCTGGGCACAGTGGCTCACACCTGTAATCCCAGCACTTTGGGAGGCTGAGGTGGGTGGATCACCAGAGATGGTGAAACACCATCTCTACTAAAAAATAAAAAAATAGCCAGGCATGGTGGTGGGCACCCGTAACCCCAGCTACTTGGGAGGCTGAGGCAGGAGAATTGCTTGAATCTGGGAGGCGGAAGTTGCAGTGAGCAGAGATCGCGCCACTGCACTCCAGCCTGGGTGATAGAGCAAGACTCCATCTCAAAAAAAAAAAAAATTTAATATAAAAAATGACATAAATTAAATGTGCACAATCTATGGACCTTAAGCATGTGTTCGTTATGATGTCCTGCTTGGCAAAGCTTCTAGAAAAACTGTTGTTTGGTTAGGCTCATCCAGGTTTGGACTAGCCAAGTATGGAAGAAATCGAGCAGTACTGGTTCTAATGATGGAATTAGCTGAAACTTGGAGCCATGATTTTGCAGGTGGTGTGATGAAGAATGGCAGACCCTGGATTTATTGAAAATTTAATTACATACTTAGTACAATTAAACCATGAAATCATGAGGGAACAAAAAAAATTAAAAAAAATCATCAATGCTGCTGGGCAGCTGGAAACATTTTCATATTACAGACTTAACTTCTATTATCAGTGTCAATATCTATATCATCCTCTAATATCTCATATGAATTTCGCTAATGGAATTAGGAACAAAATCAGGTGGCAAAGAGCAAGTATGCTCACTTATTGATAAAATACACTGGCGTTGTTTGATCTCTTCTTCACAGTACTTTGCTTGTCCTTTGTTGCCCTGAATTACATGTATCCCTTATGAGATGAAAAGCTAATTTATATGATTGATGTTATATGCTTCCTGAAAGTTTAAGTATATGACCAAATGAGAGAGCAGCAAGAAACTCACTATTTTTTAAACCATAATTGTGAAAGATATGATTAAAAATATAGAGTTTCTATATTTGATAGAAAACACAAATTTATGTAATGATCTTTTCATTAGTTTAGCAAAGCCTTTGTTTTCCTGCAGTAAATGTATAATTACAAAACTTAATTTAGTATTTGGCTCAATTAACTCTCTGCCTGTAAGTTATAGAACTTTTGTAACCTGAATAATTGAATATGTTTTACATTATCCTATGTAATTGTTTGTTTTTAATTTTAGACTTAACATTCTTGTTTATTTTATCTATATTATTTTATGTATGTGTGTATATATATTTATTTTTCTTGTTTATTTCAGACATTTTGTTATGATTTTTTGATTTTGATGACCATTATTTGCGAGAAAATTTCCAGGTAATTTTTCATTCATTGCATCTATGATAAATTGATGGTATTTCTTTAGGAAAGAAATACCTGTTTTATCAAGCAATCACCTTCAGAAGAATTCATATACAGTGAAGAAGAAAATGGTCCTTAACCCATTAGTTGAATGAACCCTGGAGCCTGTGTTGCAGCTAGCTTGTCCTCACATTCATATCTAAACCCTGAGCTACAAAAAATTTCATCATTTTAATTAGATGACTTGTTCAAAACAAACACATCTACGAGCAAACAACAACAATAAAAACAACTTGGCATCTAATTTGAACAAGGCATTATAATAGCTGTCTTGGGTGATGCCGAGATAGATACAACAAATTTACAGCCCTCAAATAATGCACAATTAAGAAGACAGTAAAAGCATACACTGACCCAGTGGAGCCTGAGAGAGGGAGTTTAAAGGGGAATATACAAAGGACTATGGAAATTCAGAGGTGGTTGTGAGAGAGTTGAGGAGAAGCAAAGGGAATTTTATGAAAAAGCACATCTTTTCATGTACATCCTAATCTATTAGAAGGGTTTCACTAAGTGAATAAGAATAATACATTTGAACATTTACCATGATAAGTGAGTTGTGGAACCTTAAAAAACATCTATGTTTGCATTCAGGCAAAAGAAGGGGTAGAAAAAGAAAAGGTAGAGTATGAGATATTTTGAGAAAACCCAGCAAACAACACAGATATAAAAGCCAATTGACAAGAAAGTTCAATGGAGGAGGAGATGTCTAGCAATATCGAATGTTCTAGGTGATCAACAAGGATTTAAATGGAAGATTTAGTATTTAATGTGGTAACAAAGAATATTGAGTTTTTCAGTTTGGGAGGTAGAGTTAGGAGGATTGCTTGAACCCAGGAGTTTGAGACCAGCCTGGGCAAGATAATGAGACTCCATCTCTACATTAAAAAAAAATTAGCCAGGCATGGTGGTATGCATTTCTATTTTCAGCCACTCAGAAAGCTGAGACAGGAGGATCACTTGAGCCTGGGAGGTAGAGGGTGCAGTGAGCCATCATCATGTCACTGTACTCCAGTATGGGCAACAGACAGAGACCCTATCTCAAAAAAAATCAAAAAAGACTGTTGCAGTACATTGAGAGAGCAAATGTGGTAATGGGAGGGCTAAGGAACACAGAGAATTTAGGTACATATTTTTTATTTTAATATTTAAATAACCATATTTATATTCATAGCTACAACTTATTTGTGCATTCAACATCTATTGAGCACCTACTATGTTCCAGGTACTCTTATAAGCATACAACAAGAAGCAGAAACTGAGGTACAAAGATTTTAAGTAACTTGCTCAGCTGGTAAGCTGAAGATGCCAAGATTAGGAGCCAGGCAGTCTCACTTCAAAATCCGTGTCCCTAGTCTCAAAAAAATAGCCTCTTTCTCTGTTCTAGGCACTCTGATGCTTTCAATACATTACTTCATTTAGTACCCACTACAGTCCTGTGACATATTGCTATGCTGATCATTGTTTAGGTAAAGAAACTGAGGCATAGCAAAGTTAAGTAACTTTCCCAAGCTCACACAGCTAGAAAAAGGCGGATTGGAATTTTAGTCTAAGGAAGCCTGATCCCAAGGCCCAGGCTCTTATTTAGTATAATACTATGCAAATATTTTATTTAGAGACATTTTGGAAAAAGTTTGGAAAATGGTAAAATATAACAAAGAAAATAACTCTACCTAGCAATAACTACTACCAAATTTTTAATATATTTCTTTACAATATTATTGTGCATTTTTACATAACTGAAAATTTTAAATATATACAATTATATATGATTATTATCAAGATTTAAATTATGTGCAAAACACTGACGCTGCATCTAGTACATAGTAGGCATTCAAAGAAGGTATGTACAATTATATTTCTACTTTTATCATTTTAATTAAATTAACATACAGTTGACCCTTGAACAACATGGGTTTGAACTATGTGGGTCCACTTATATGTCAACTTTTTTTCAACCAAACAGGGATCGAAAATAGAGTATTTGCAGGATGTGAAACCTGATAGGATTCGATAGGGAGGGCTAATTTTTTGAATATACAGGTTCTGCAGAGCCAACTGTGGGACTTGAGTGTGCATAGATTTTGGTAAACATGGGGGTCCTGGAACCAATCCCCCATGTATACTGAGGGACAAATGTATTTATATAGTGCTTCATACATTAAAAGGTATATTCACATATGCTATCTCCTTTGTTCTTCAATGCATTTCCAATAGGAGCATGAACTTTGTTACATTTTCATTTAACAAATGAAAAATTCAACCCGTGAATTTAAGTGATTTGCTTAAAGTTACACACACAAGCAGTAGTAATGCTTGGCCTAGAACACCATGTCAGATAAAATATATGTAAATGATAATCAATGTGTCATTGCCTCAGATATTGAGAAAGAAGGTACAAGATTTCATTTTCACCATGAGCTAATCATATACCAATTTCAATTCCTTGGGGTAGAAGCTACATGATATCTTATTTTGCCCCAACAATGACCCTATGTGGCAACTGCTATGTCGGCCCCACAGAATCAACACACACATGCACACACACACACACTCACAACCCTCAGCTAAAGCCATGACAGGTTAACTGACTTGCTCATATCCATGCTCCTTCTAGATCTTGCAAGGAGTGTATATATCTCTTTTCTTCTACAACTGAGGGAATAGAATAAGCAGAGTACAATAAGAAAGATACAGACTATGAATAGAATAGGTATAGAAGTAGAATGTGCAACTTCCGTTACTATAAAATACCATTTCAGAGAAAATAGAGTCGAGTCAACACCAGTGGATGCAGTGTAGGGATATGCATTTAAAAGACAGGGATATCACCAAACACTGACCAGGTAGAGCTGGGTAAACAGTGGTGTGGGTACCTCCAAAAAGTCAGGGTGAAGGACTGCTTTTGAGGCAGTTAACACAAATAACAAAAGGGTAGGAGCTTGAGACATTTGGTGGAAACACCAGCTATTGGTGAGAGGAGGGTATTGTCAATGGACAAGATTTTCTGCTTAACTCACCAGTCACAATGGAGACTATATGGTTACTGTCAGCTAATCTTTCTGCAGATTAATTTCCCTTCCAGGTGCTGGCCTTTAGACTGATGCTAACACTCAGGATTCATTAACCATATTTATTTAAAGAACCACAAAAATGCCATTATTCAGAAATTTCTTATGAAAGTGCCTCATAACAAAAGAATTATCATGGGTTAAACTTATGCTGATGCTGACCCAATGAAAAACATGCTTACAAAATTATCTGCGCTGACAACTCTACAATAGTCTAACACAGGGATAAGCTCAAGAATTCTTTGGAGTTCCATTCAGCTTTTATAATTAGGTAATTTTTCTATCACAGTCAGCTGGAGATTAATCATAAAATGTGAACAGTTTTATTTTCTGTATTTCAGGAAACGTAATTGGTGATAATCATTATAATTGTAAAGAAATCTGCAGAGCCCTTTCATTGTGGCCATAGCACCGGCTTTAAAACAAGTTCAGTTGATGTCTGTGTGCATGTGTGCACACACATACGTGTGCGCACATGTATTTGTGAAAGAGTATAATTATACAATTAAATGAAGAAGTAAAAAGATTCTTAAGAGAATGTGACAGTTGATGGTCTGAAAGTAAAGAAAAGGAGAAAGGATAATGCTTCTGAAAACCATCATTTAGACACGCAAATGGAGGCTTACATAAACCTGTTCTGACCTTATGTATTTGAAATATTTTTAAATTACTGAAGTCTTTGGAAACTGCAAATAGTTTCTTATGAAAAAAGATGCTCTTACATAAAAGGAACTATTAAACTTAGAGAATTGAACAATGGAGAGATCAGATAGTAACTTACTATTCTTTAAAAGTCTTAAATATATGTAAAATTCACAAAAATTCACAAAAAGCAGAGGAATATTTGTGTCCCCCTAAAATTCATATGTTAAAATCCTACCCCACAAGATGACAGTATTAGAAGTTGAGGGCTTTGAGAGTTGATTAGGTCATGAGGGATTAGTGCCCTTATAAAAGAGGCCCCAGAGAGCTAGCTACCATGTAAGGACACAGCCAGGAAGTGTCATCTATGAACCAGAAAGTAGAACCTCACTAGACACCAAATATGCCTTGATTTTGGACTTCCCAGCCTTCAGAACTGTGAGAAATAAATTTCTGTTGTTTATAAGCTACACGGTTTATGGCATTTTGTTACAGCAGCCCAAACAGACTAAGGCAGAGGCTTACATAAACCCTGTTCTGACCTCATGATTGTGAAATATTTTTAAATCACTGAAGTCTTAGGAAACTGCAAATAGTTTCTTAAGGGAAAAAAAAAAGTGTTCTTACTTAAAAGGAACTCTTGAACTTAGAGAACTAAGCGAAGGAGGGATCAGACGGTAACATAATTCTCTAAAGGCTTAAATCCGTGTAACACTCACAATGCAGAATAAACATGCACCCACGCACAACCTAAATCTAACCAGTTACTGCTGAAAACCTGAATGTTTTGGGGAAGTGTGCCAGAAAGCTCTAAAGATTTTTAAGCTTTTCCTGACCTCTTTATTTTCACTGAAATGCAAATATACATTTAAAAATCTGTTTACATAAACTGAAGAAAAAGAAATCAATATAAAATTTTCCAAATTTCCTGGATTTTAAGGTTAGAAGCAAAAATGAGAGAAGATATTTTCATAAAAAGTAAGAAAATAATCAGTTTTGATTCACTAGGTCCAAAAAATGAGTAGAAACATACATCTAAATGCACCAGATTTTTAAAAATTTTGTTCTTTATTTCAAGAACAACACTGCATTTTTGGAGGGATCTATTTTTTTCAGGGAAGAAAATATCACAATTTTGAAAAAAAAGAGACCAATATAATCTCCCTTTTTGAATTCTAGACGAACGATAAAAAGCGATTTTGTTAATGATTTTTTAAAAATGAGCTTTGCAACATATTGGCAGCCCTAGACTGAAGAATTTTACCGTTCTAATTACAAACAGTAGCAGTTATTTTATACTAAACATACCAAAACGTAAGTGAGCATTTTATATGAATATGAATTATTTCTACTGGGTACCTATATACATGTTTTAAATATTCTGTGATTTACCCAGAATCTAGTCAGAAGTAGGCCATTTTGATAAAAAGTGCCTTTAGAACATCGATGGGTAACTAAAAAATCTATGCATAATGTAAACATTCCAACTATTTGTTAAATAAGAAACATTTTTGATTATTACTTTTTTAAACTATATTCAATTTGGTTATTGGTAAAATTTAGTTTAAGGCAGGCATATTTCTTTTCATAATTTTGTTTTCTTTTTTCATGAACATTTATCATGTCCAGAAGGCAGGCATATTTCAATGAAGTAATGTTTATGCCTAGCTAACATTTTTTATTTTTAATGATATGATACTGGGTATATTAATGCAAAGATCCTACAATTTTATTTTATAAACTCTTACCTGATTTTGAATCCTTTTTTCAACTTTTCCAGTTATGCATGAAGACATCATACTTGAAAAACTAAATATAAATTAGCTTCTCTTTTGTAAAATAAAAACAAATTTGCAGGACTTCTGCTAGAGAGATGGATTAGGTATACATTCCTCTATTTTTTTTCTTAAGTAAAATATACAATTAAAAACCTTGAAATGAAAGTGTATATGTATGTGTATATATTACAGACACATATATATGTGTATACACATATATAGGGATATAGTTTATTAAGTACAACATACAACTACAAACCTTGAAAGTGTATATATATATATATATATATATATATATATATATATATATATACACACACAGATATAGAAAGAGAGAGGTACATACACAGACACACACACACATACACACACCCCTTAAGAGTTCTTAAACTTGACAGCAGAAATATATACCATAAAAGGAAAAATTGATAAACTGGATTTCATCCAAATTAGATTATATTACTCTGTGAAGAACTCTGTTAAGAGGATTCAAAAAACAAGCTACAGAGTTGGAGCACATATTTAAAAACCACAACATCAACAAAGGACTAGTATCAAGAATACATAAAGACCTCTCAACACTTAACATTAAAAAAATCCAGTTGGAAAATGGATAAAATACATGAGCAGATAATTTATAGGAGAATATATGAATAGTAAGCACACAAAAATTTGCTCACCATCTTTAGCCATTAGGAAGTTATAAATTAAAGCCACATGAAATATCATTACATACCTATCAGAATGGCTAAAATAAATAATAATGACAACACCCAATGTTAGTGATGACACAGAAACTGTGTCACTCATACATGGCTAATTGGAATGTAAAATGACACAACCACCCTGGAAAAGAGTTTGGCACTTTATTACAAAAACTAACCATGCAACTATTACATAATCAGCAATTGCCTTTCTGGGAATTTATCCCAGAGAAAATAAAAGCTATGTTCACCACAAAAACCTGTATATTAATGTTTATAATAGCTTAATTCATAATAGCCCCAAACTGGAAGACATCCTGATATGCTTTAATGAGTGAATGATTAAACAGACTACAGTATAGCCATATCATGGAATCTCGCTTAGCAATTAAAAAAACGAACCTACTAACGTATGCAAGAATCTGGATGAATCTCCAGACTTACGTTGAGTGAAAAAAAGTCAATCCAAAAAGGCTATATACTGTATGAAAAATTGTAGAGAGAATACTTTAATGGTTGACACTGGTTGAGGAAGGGTTGGGAGTTGGAGGGAAGTATATGTGGCTATAAAGGGTCAATAGGAGCAATCTTTATGGTGATGAAAATCGCCTGTATCTTAATTGTATCAATATCAGCACCCTGGTTGGAATACTGTACTATCGCTTTGCAAGGTGTTATTTATTGTTGGGTCTCTCCATATTATTTCTTATAAATGCCTATAAATCTATAGTTATCTCAAAATAAATAGATCTACTTAAAGATAAATGGCTAAATAAATAATTTGCAAGCTCTGAAAGGATCTCCATAAAGGCAATCACAAAGGAAAGCTCTTCTAGGTTTTTGAGATTTTTTTTCCATTTTTCATTTAAATTTTTAAGTTTTTCTACGGGAAACTTATACTGCTGTGGTAATAAGAAAGACAAAATATAATATGCTTGTAATCTAAAATATTTTTAAGATACAGTTTCATTCCTGTGTTCACATCAATACAATGTTCTATATATGAGAGGCAACTTCTAAATTCACCATCTGTCTATTATGAAAAATTTTATCCTGTGGTCAGGGTATTTTATAGCTAGAGTATAAACTTGTAATTTGAATAAAGAGTATGGGTTGAATAGTAGATGTGCCAGCTTTGCTTTTTTTCTATCTTAGAAATTTATAAAAAATTAAGTTTGCTTTTAAAACTTAAAAGTGTTAGTTCTGAACCCTAGAGATGCTGACCTAATGGCGGCATATTATGGCTGTATGCTGCCAATTAGATAAAAGCAGCATCAGGAATCATTTCATATCGCTTTGCTTGGCTGGAAGTGTGTGTGCACACAGATACATAAACACACTTCTAATTTCTGCAAAAGATCACTGTTAGTTCTTTAGAAAACTGCTGGCCTATTTTCAAAAGCCGAAAATGAGCTGGAGCCCAGTGCTGAACATCAGAAATCAAGAGGCAATCTAAGTGATGGTGACAGTAGGTTTTAGTGAATACAAAAGATGAAATGGTAGGAAGCTGGATAAAGATAATTCTGCTCCAAAATCCAAAGGGCAAGAGAACATAAAGATGTCAGAGGTCAGTATCATTGAGGAGGGAAGAGTTTTGTAGCTCTAATTGATTCTCCGGGCTCCTAGAGGGATTGAACTTCTTTTGGAAACATAAAGGTAGAGGGCATAAGCAGAAAATATATATCAGATACAAAACCAATTTCTCCCAGAATACATCTCAAAAAGTAATGTCATTAAATTCTGGAGCCCTGAAGCAAAATTCTTCAAAGTTGTCTCCTTGCAGTTTTCACAAGAAATAACCTTTGCCATACGCCCTGGGAAACTCATGTTTTCATCCGCAATATGGCAGTGCTTATCAGTCTGAAAAGATTATTCTGAGAAGTTACATAAACTTGTAAACTATTAAACCTTAAGTGAATGTAAAAATGTTACGTCATCTTCATTAGCATGCCTCCCTAAAACAATAGAGAGTGCTTAGCCTGAGAATCTGAGCTAAGCTTGAAGTGAAACACTACTCTGCTGTGTAATTCATTACTTGAAGAATTTACTTCCGGCCTAAATTCTGTTTAGTGGTAGGTCTGCCATCTAGTGGCCACTTACATAAATACAAGTTGTGATCATAAATTAAAGACCATATGAAAATACTAGGTCATCCAAATGGACCATTTCTAGTCCAAGTATAAAAAGGCAAAGAGGATTTGACTGATGGTAAGAAAATTTATATTCAGGGATCACTTAGAGGTAAGTGTGCTGACTCAAAACACTATGAGTACAAAAGCAAAGTAAAAAGTCATTTAGACTTATGTGGACTTCAAAATGAGAAATTTATATTCATAAACTTTCACTAAATTTAAAAGAAAGTAACCGTTGTGTTAACTTATTTATGTTTTCTCCTCATTATCTTTTAGTTCAATCACATTTATATTTTCTACTTAATGTAAACCATGAAATAAAATTTTCTTCAGTACTTGGATTTGTGCTGCCAATTTGCAGAATTGTCAGTTATTAAATAAAATGTAACACAGTTTCAGAACTTAAACTCTAAAATACAAAAACATAACATTGTTCACCTTCAAATAATACAATAACTTTTGGGGCTCTATTATTATTATTGCTTTCTTTGTTAATAGAAATGACAGGTAATGCTAGGCCTTTGATGCTCATTCTCTTGGCATAATTTTTAGTTATTTGTCCAAAGCTACACACTCCCACCCTCAGTTCCTTCCAGAGTGCTAACCTGAAAGCTTATATTTGTAAAAGCCCCATTATTATTAAAAAGCTCATTAACATACCTGCAAATGGTATTTGCACAGTGGCTAAGTACACTGAACACACCCTGAGAAGTATTTACTAAGCTAAATTCATCAGACAAGTGTACAATATTCACATTTCAGTGTTACAATTGTTATTTTTATTTATTTGGTTTTTGAGTTGGTATGCTTAAGAAGAGATTAAATCTACCTCCAAATTATAGTTCTTTGACATACTAATCAGTTACATTAAAGCCATTTAAATAAATAATATTTTAAAAATCCCCAAACCATTAGGCATGTTTTCATTATTGTTGTATCCAGTTACTTTCCCCTTAGGCTTATTATTATTGCTTGAAATAACAGGATGATATCATATTGTTCAAACTGGAAATATAGATAATTTTGCAATTGCTAATGTTGTGTAAAAATGTCCTATGATAATCCACAAACCAATAATCTGTATTGTTGATATCCTAACAAGTATTTGTAAAACACAGGCCAAATAATAAAACAATTCCCATTCCATACTTAATCCTTGATTTTATGGGGTCCCATTTATTTGTAATTTGTAAATATAATCTCTTACAATCAAGTATGGGAGCCTCAAAGTCATGAATGATCTCCAATTTAAGGTAAGAATGCTCATACATTTGCTTGTGGATACATTTCTTTTTTTTTTTTTTTTTGAGACGGAGTCTCGCTCTATCGCCCAGGCTGGAGTGCAGTGGCGCGATCTTGGCTCACTGCGAGCTCCGCCTCCCGGGTTCACGCCATTCTCCTGCCTCAGCCTCCCAAGTAGCTGGGACTACAGGCGCCCGCCACCACGCCTAGCTATTTTTTAATATTTTTAGTAGAGACGGGGTTTCACCATGTTAGCCAGGATGGTCTCGATCTCCTGATCTCGTGATCCGCCCGCCTCGGCCTCCCAAAGTGCTGGGATTACAGGCGTGAGCCACCGCGCCCGGCCGGATACATTTATTTCTAAATAAGAACATCTCATGTGGTTCCTAAGACTGATTATGCCAAGACCCATGTACTTCAAAATACGGCATTCCAATGTGTGGAATTTTCTTTTTCCACTCAATCTGTCTACTTTTTAACAACATGGCCAAACTCCCAGGATCTTAATGCCAAAAAAAGATGATTTTTTTTTAAAAGAAATAATTTAAGATCCTAAAATGAAAGCAAAATGTCCATCCTCGTGAACAACAAAGTCAGTCACAAGACTGAAACCATGGTCTATAATAATTTAAATTTATTTATTACTTACTCTATTATGTGTCAAACTTACCCTGAGTCAAAATCGTGAAGGTGAACGTAACATTAAATGTGCGTTTTCTTTAAACCACACTGTGATGAAATGGACTCTCACTCGGGAGTCTGGCTCCAGAGGCCTCACCCAGCAGAGTGTTCACTATCACAGAGGACTTTTCACACATTTCCTCGGAGAGGAGGGAAGAAATCCATCAAGAAAGGGGATTTATATTCCAAAATCACAAAATGGCTACTATATCAACTGGAGAAAAACTACTCACAGGAAGAAAAACAGCACAGAACAAACCTTTAGACAGTCCATGCCCTAGCACAGGATTTGGACAGACATAAGCCAAGGGCCAAATCTGGCTCTCTATCTCTTTTGTAAATAAAGTTTTATTGTAAATAAAGTTCAGTGGACACACCATGCCCATGTGTTCCCATATTGTATATATGTATATAACTTCTGTCTCCTTTTATTCATTGCCTTCTCTGTATGAGATATGCATTTCTCTTACCTCAATCAATAAAATCCAACCTATCGTGAAGGTATAACTTTGTATAATGGAATTAAATTGAATATATCATTTGGAGCCTTGTTTTTACATTTAATATTTTTTCTGAGATTTATGGATACTGCTGAATATAAGTGTAGCTTATCAATTTCCACTTTTTAAGTGCTATGGACTATTCAATTATACAAATCAATAAAAATTAACCTATACTATGCCAATGGGCATTGGGTTGGGGTTAACACTTTGGCTTTTCTCAGTAATGTTTCTATGAATGTTTTTGTACATATTTCTTGATTTACAAATGCAGCAGTTTTCGAGAGTTTTTACCTAAATGTTGATTTATTTTTGACATAGTTGGTAAACACTTGACATTGTGACTTTTTTTCTTTTTGGTTAGTAGTAAAAGGAATCTTTTGTGGGTTTTATTGATACCAATTATATACCAATTATCTTTTTATCATTGATTGCCATTTGTGTTTCATCTTCTATGAAAAGCCTATTCAATTTTTTGGCTTTTTCCAATCCTCCTCTCAGTTTGCTTGTCTTTTTACCTTATTGAATTGAAGGTGTTTTTTTAATATATTCTAGATACTACCTCTTTATCAATTATATGTTGCAAATATCTTCTCACTTTATAACTTGTATTTTGTGTATGAGGTTTTTATAAAAGAAAATTTTACGGCTCACGCCTGTAATCCCAACACTTTGTGTTGGGCAGATCACCTGAGGTCAGGAGTTCGAAACCAGCCTGGCTAACATGGCAAAACCCTGTCTCTATTAAAAAATACAAAAATTAGCTGGGCGCGGGGGTGGGCGCCTGTAATCCCAGCTACTCAGGAGGCTGAGGCAGGAAAATCACTTGAACCTGGGAGGCAGAGGTTGCAGTGAGCCAAGATTGCACCACTGATCTCCAGCTTGGGTGGCAGAGCAAGACTCTGTCTCAAAAACAAAAAAAGAGAAAATTTTAACTTTAATGTAGTTAAACTTACCTAAATTTTATTTTTATGGTATACAATTTTATATTTTGTTTAGTAAAACTTTCTCTGCCTCTGAGGTAATATAGGTATTGTTCCATATTATAACCTAAAAATGTTAAATAATCTAGAATCTACTGTTGTACAGTTCTAAGAAAGAGATAAATCCCTTTATTATACAAATAACCAATTTTTTTCAGCATCATTTATTAAGAAGTCTATCTTTCGTCATTGTTTTGCAACGTTAACTCTATACTATAAATCACGTTTCCATAGATATGAAAGTCTTTTCCTGGACTCTATTATTTCAGACTGTTCTCATTGGAACAACGTGACAATGCTTAATCTTTTAATTCTGTATTTCCTTTGTATACTTTTAGCCAATGTTGTGCTTATCAGTACAGATATAAAATTGTTATATCATCCTGTCAAATCAAACCTCTTATCATTATGTATTGACTCTCTTCATTCATACTCTTTATTCCTACTAATGCATTTTGTCCTAACTACATAAGTATTATTATGGGTAGTGTTCACCAGATACACCTTTATTTATCTCTTTACTTTTAATATTTGTATTCAGAGAAATCTGATGTGCAGAACAACACTGTTATGCCATGAATTAGACTGTTGTTGAATATTCACTGGAAGAGTATTTTTGTACGGCCTTGCTCTAAACTTTCTAAATGAAGTAATTATTGTCATGTCCCATGCAACTGTGTGCATAGCACTCACCACTAGCATAGCTATTGACTGGGTATAACATATAAGACCTCTCCTATCTTTCCTACTGAATCTTCTAAATTAGTTGATTACTAAGTTAGAAACAATGTACTAAACAATGAGGTTTTTATTTACAATAGCAATAACAATTTCGGTAAATAAATAGAGAAAAACATCACTTTTGAATAACACAATTAGTAGATAGAGTTGGAGGATGGTAAATACCAGAGACAACAGTAATCTAGAGCAATATTAAATAAAAGTTCTGAAGATTATTCAGATATAACCTTACCCCCACTTAATAGTTAGGATACCTTTTAAAAATGCTTCAAAGAGCATTATTTGTACCTCCATAAGTAACAAAATATTGAAATGAGCTATTAAAAGTTATAAATGAATTCATGAAAACAATGCATTTGAAAAAAATCTATATAATAATACTGCACGAAAAATGACAGAAAGACATAAAACTTTACATCAGGAATCTGTCTGAAAATATCAAGATTTCAGTAATGTATTTTATTCACAGAGAAGCTTGCTCTCCTACGCAAAATTTGTCTAAAATGTTACCACATTAGTGAATCTAATGAATTCCAAAGTCCCAGGTTCCTGTAGGTTTTCAGCTTTACAGAAATGATCAAAATTGAGTGTCTCAATGTATTATTTAATTAAAAAAAGTTTGTCTGAAGTTTACAAGCCAAAAAGTAAAAATTATATATGGGTAATACTTTACAGATTTTTTTGAAGGGTAGTTGTGGATTTTTTAAAATGTCTTATCTAATATTTAGATAAGAACCCAAATAAAGTATATTGTCAATGTGAATATGTATACTTATATATATGTATACACAAACATCTCTCTCTCATCACACACTCTCTCTCTCTATATATATATACACATACACATATATATACACGGATATGTACACACATACACACATATAAAAATATATATGTTCAATGGATACAAAGTTATAGTTAGGAGGAATAAGTTCTAGTGTTTAACTGCACAGTAAGGTAACTATAGTCTGAACTAATGTGTATTTCAAAATAGCTAGAAGAGAGATTTTGAATGTTCTCATCATAGAGAACTGACAAGTGTTTGAGGCAATGGATATGCTAATTACACTGATTTGATCATTACACAATGTATATAGGTACCAAAACATCACACTGTACCAAATATGTACAGTTATTATGTGTCAATTAAAAACAAAATAAAATGTGAGTGTGTGTGTGTGTGTGTGTGTGAGAGATAGAGAGAGAGAGATGAGTGTGTGTTGGAAAGCTTACAATTTTAAAGTAAAAATTCAACTTTGGAAAAATTCACTAGTGATGTCAGTGTTATAATTTAAGTCTTAAGGAGAGATTAAGAAGATAAGTATGCTTAAAATGTGTATGCTTAAAGAAAATCTTCATCATTTTCTTAAATACTTGATGCTTCACATTGATAATTCCAACTGAATTAAATTAGAAATTCATCTGCATTATCATAAGATATATCAACATTTCATATGTTAATAAGAGATTTAAAGAATTCTCACTCTGAAATATAATTTAAAGAAATAAAATTATCTGAACTCAGGTTATTGTCAAGACTGGTTTTATGGTTTTATCCAGTCAAGAAAAGGCATTCAGGACATTTGTTATTAACTACTTGTGCAAACAATGTTAAACATCAATGAAGACTATCAAGAATTTGGTGTCGTTGTGGGCAGCAGTAATCCCAATATTACTTCCAAAAATCTTCTTCTCCATAAAAGCAACAAGAACACTGCAAAAAAAAGGTGAACTTCAACTTTTTTAGGACTCTGGAGATTAAGCAAAAGGTTTCAATTATATAGGTAATGTTTATTAGAAAAATAATCGCTGAATCTTGGTAAAACATGAAGTTTTGTGATGTTTTAACTTGCCCCAATATTGTCTCCCTCTCTCCAAGCCTGTGATTGCCTTGAAAACCAGCAGTTCAACGATCATAGTAAAAACCAGAAGTGTAGCAATGCCTGGAGGGAGCAGAATAGATTTAGAGCTCCTCCAAAATCTAATTCCCAAGCAACTGTCATTATTTGACTTGCTTCTGGAAAATCCTATGTGCAAAAATATTTGGCTTGTTCCCTGGAAAATCCCACGTGCAAAACTTGTTACTTGAGCTAAGTCAGAGCTTATCCAGTGCAGAAAGCTGTTTCCCTGTAGGCAGTTACTACAAAGAATTAGCAGCAATTGTTAAATATTGTGGTTAGCTGAACTGGTGACAGCAGTTAGGAAAAAACAACAAGGCAACCACAAAAAAGGAAAAGCTAGGAATGAGTTATTCATAGGTGGATTAGAAAAGTTCTGTGATAATCCTGGGAATCTAGAATGCCACACTTAACGCTTACAAGTTTGTGTATGCCCAAGAAAAACTAGAGAAGGCCCTATGCTGTCATGCTGTCATCTCTAGATGATGTTGAGCTTCTGTGCAAGCAGGAAGTGAGGCCTAAAGTGGTGTTGCAAGCAGCCTGACTGGGAATTGAAGGTGTACCACAACGTGCACCCTGAGCTCCTCAGCAAAAGCTGGGAGACTTATTGGTTCCAGCCTGTAAGAAAATCTCTATCAATTTTTTAGCTAACTAATAAGTTAACCAATAAGAAAGTTTAGTGTCCACCCATAAAAAGAATGCTAATTTTACAGAACTAATTCAGGAAAGTCATTAAACAAATAAACAACAGCAACAGCAACAACAAAAACCAATCATAGGAAAAGGAGGCAGAGAGAGTTAGCAAATTATATTATTTAAGATGTCTAGTTTTCAATAAGGAATTATGAGAAAAACAAATAAAGGGCCATTCACAGGGAGAAAAAAAGCAGTGAATAGAAACTGTCCCTAAGGAAGCTCATACATTGGACTTACTAAATAAAGACTTTAAGCAATTTTGAATATGTTCAAAGAAAATTATGGAAGTAAGTCTCACAAAACAAAGACTTAGAAATAAAGAGACAGAAAATATAGAAAATCACCAACTAGAAATTTTGGAGTTGAGAAATACTATCACTAAGCTTGAAAATTAACTAGAGGTGCCCCAAACCAGATTTAAATGGAGAGAAAAAAGAATCAGCAAACATGAAGACAGATCAATTGAGGTTATTTAACCTGACAACAGAAGTAAAAAGAATAAAGGAAAATGAACAGAGTGCCCCAGAAACCTAAAAGATACCATCAAGTGTACTAGCATACTTACCTTTTATTAACTATCTATAGTCCTCATGTTGTACATTTGATTCCTAGACTTATTTATCCTGCATCATTGCAATTTTGTACCCTTTGACCTGCATCTTCCCATTTCCCCACCCTCACCCCTGGTAACCACCATACTACTCTGTTTCTTTGTAGTCTTTCTTGTTTTTTTTTTTAAGATTCCATATATAAGTGAGATCAGGTGATATTTGTCTTTTTGCATTTGGCTTATTTCACTTAGCATAATGTGCTCTAGGTGATTTTCTTATTTTTAAAAGCTGAATAATATTCCATTTTCTGTGTGTGTGTGGGGGGAGGGGGGGTCTCTGTGTGTGTGTGTGTGTGTGTGTGTGTGTGTGTGTGCCACAATTTATTTTCCCACTTATCCAATGGGTAACAATACTTTGCTTCCATATCATGGCTATTGTAAATAATGCTGCAATAAGCAGGAGAGTGTAGGTATCATTATGAAGTAATGACTCCCAGATTGCTCGGTCATATTGTAGTTCTATTTTTAGTTTCTTAAGGAACAGCTATACTGTTTTCCACAATGGCTACATTAATCTAAATTCCCACCAAGAGTATATCAGGTTTCCCTTTTCTCCACATCCTCACCAACACTTATCTCTTGATATTTTTATAAGGGCCATCCTAACAAGTGTGAGGTAATATCTCGTTGTGGTGTTGACTTGCATTTCCCTGATCATTAGTGATCTTGAGCACCTTTTCATATACCTACTAGCCATTTTACATCTTTGGAGAAATGTCTATTCAAGTCCTTTGCTCACTTTTTAAATTAGGTTTTTCATTTTTATTGCTATCAAGTTGGATAATTCCCATATATATTGGATACTAACACCCAATTAGATATATGGTTCACAAATATTTTCTCCTAATCCGTATGCTGCTTTTACATTTTGTTGACTATTTGCTGTGCAGAAGCTTTTTAGTTTGATTTACTCCCACTTGTTTGCTTCTCTTGCCTACACTTTTGGAGTTCTATCAAAAAAAAAAAAAAAAACATTGTTAAGACCAATGTCAAGGAGCATTTCCTCTTTTCTCTAGGAGTTTTTCAGTTTCAGGTCTTATGTTTGGGTCTTTAATTTATTTTGAGTTGATTTTGTGTATAGTATGAGTCCAATTTCATTCTTTTGCATATGGATATTCAGTTTTCCAAACACCATTTATTTCCCCATTGTGTCTTCTTGGCTCCACTGTTGAAAATGAGTTGGCTACATATGCTTAGTTTTATTTCTGGGCTTTCTATTATGTTCTGTTGCTCTATGTTCCTGTTTTCAAGCCAGTACCATACTGTTTTAGTTACTATAGATTTATATATATATATATATACACACATACACACACATATACATATATATATACACACACACATATATATATATTGTTTCTTCATTTTTCTTTTAAATTACATAGTAGGAAAAATAATTACAAGTAAAAATAAATTTATACTGTATTTTTATATTTAGGTATATGTTACCTTTATTTTCCGTATGAATTTGTGTTACTGCCAAGTATTCTTTCCTTTTCAGCCCACAGAACTTCCTTTAATATTTTTATGACAAGGTCTACAAATGAGTAATTCTCTAATTTTTTATCTGGTATTGTCTTAAATTTTCCTTTCATTTTTATGGCCTATTTTTTTCTGAATAGAGTGCACCAATATACTTAAAATGGCAGTCCCACAAAGAGAGGAGAAAGAGAAAAAGGAAAATAATTTTTAAAGATATACTGGCCAAAGACTTTCCAAATTTGAAGAAACATGTGAAACTACAGAGCCAAGAAGCTCAACAACTTCCAGTTAAGATAAATTTAAAAAGACACACAGTAACACATTGTAATCAAACTGTTGAAAGCCAAAACAAAGAAAGAATCTTGAAATCAGTAGCAAAGAAGTGATTTATCATATATGAAGGATCTTCAATAACAGTAATAGGCAATTTCTCATCAAAAACCATAGAGGCAGGAATACAATGAGATGACAAGGTCAAAGTCCTGGGGCAGAGAAATAAAAACAAACCTGTCAAACAAGAATTCTTCATCCAGGGGAACAGTATTGAATCTTAGTTGACATATAATTCAACTGATGGAAACGAAAGTGTGTGTCTGTTGGAAGAGTAGTCTTTTAGACCTGAGAATGCTCTGCTACTCTGAGATATAGAGTGCCATTGACATCAGTCTGGAAGCCTTATGGTCTGAGTGGACTAGATAATTAATCTATTTAGTAGATTAATTATGCTTTCCTCACAAACCACTACTCAGTTAATGTCTCCTGGACATGGTTCATAAGAAATCTTTGAGGAGTCATTTGCCTATATGCAAGTCAGCAAAATGTGAGTTTGAATCTGTTCTGTCTTTCCTTGTCCCTTATGCATGTTTCGTTTGTAGCATTCTACCTCTCCTCATCTTTCTACGTCTTCTCATCCTGTAACCTCTTACACAGGATTTGATTCTGAGCAGGATAACACACTCAAGTAACTGGCCCATCATTGTCTCTCAGTGGTTCAAAAGAAAAAGAATTGAGTGAATAAATCAAGTTCACCTTCCCAAAAGATGTTGCCTACCTTTCTGAAGGACCAGGACCCTCCACTTTCATAGCTTGAGTGTAAATAGCAATGACCCCCTAGCGGATGACCTTCAGAAAGTATATCCCACAAGACTGCTGGGAATTGTATGCCTGAGGAAGATGATCATTAATCCAGAATTATTCATGTTATATTGAATGCAAAAAGTGAGATTTCTGGATCAAGTCAGAATATTATACTTTCTAGTGTGATGTGACAAGAGGCAGGTGGACAGGACTTTACATTCAAAAGAGCATTTTGACACTAACAAAGAAGGACCCAGAGGTTCTAAATCTAAGAACTTATATACATATTTTTGAGAAAGGTAGAAAAACCTTTGCTCTGTAGGATAAATAAATTCTCTTGAGAAGAGAGATTCTAGGTTCTTGGCTTCTTAACACTTTGGAACAGAAATAAGGGTCTCCAGGAATAAAATAAGACAATCCTTCTGGATTTACAACCCTTAAAATGTCTCCATGGTCCTGTGTTTCATCCCTCCATGTAATGTAAACACATACCTCAGGGAGGTGAATCTCTCCAGAATAGCCTGTCACTATCTTACCATCCTTTAACTTCCAAGGTGATTCCTTTAACCCAATTACCAGGTTTCTTTCTTCAAAAAGGCCTAATCATGCAGAAACTTTAAAATCTGTTTTCTACAGTCCCATAGGTGTACTTCCGTCATTACTAGCAGCCTCTGCTGTGCAGTGCTGTTCAAAGATTGGCACTGCCCACATTTGTATTTCAATGTGAACTGTATGACTTGAAAAAAAAAAAAAAACTCCTGTAGCACCCATGTATATCTCTATTCCTGACTTAGCCTAGACACTCAGATTCTGAGACATTCTTTCATGATCATGGATCTATGGCTCATTTTCTGGCTATTGAAAATGACTCTTCTTTGGGGACAGACTATCCATAATGGCCCTTGCTATGGTTTCAATGTTTCTCCCAAAGTTCATGTTTTGGAAAATTAATCCCCAATGCAACAGTGTTGAGAGGTAGGACCTTTAAGAGGTGATTAGGTCTTGAGGGCTCTGCCCTCATGAATGAATTAATGTCATTATCACAGGAGTGGGTTCTTTCTTGTGGGAATGGGTTTATCCTAAGTGAGTTTCAGTCCCCTGGCCATCCACTCTGTTGCCTTCTGCCATGAGATGACACATCAAAAAGGCCTTCACCAGATGACAGCCTCTTGATATTAGATTTTCCAGCCTCCAGAACTCTGAGAAATAAATTTTATTTCTTTATAAATTACAGTCTTTGGTATTCTGTTATAGACCACAAAACAAACCAAGATAGATCTGAACAGTAAAAACCCCAGAGTGGTAAAATTCTGAGATGGCTCTTCCTTCTAGCAATACCTTCACACACTCCCCCGCCAGCAGAACTACACCCTACACATACATGCATACAAATTTACTCCCAAGAATTAAATATTTTCTATAGGTTGAGTGCACATAGAAAACACTTTACAACAAAGAAATGTGTTTTGTGCAAATATGTGCACATTCAGCAAATATTTGAGTGCTACAGAATAAGAAGAGCCTTGAGAAAAATCACTCCAAAGTTTTAATCTGTGTTGATATTCCCGTCATTTTAATTTGGTAAGAAAGAAGCTGATAAGTGAACTCCACAAGTTCATAATGGTCTCAGAAGTTATAGAGAATAAGCAAGCATATGTATAAATTAAAAATTATTTTTCCTGTACTTTTAAGATAAGTACTTGAGTGCTTAACATGTGTTACAAAAACCTTGGATGGTCTGACCTTTGCTCCCATTTCTAGTTTCACTACCCTGTGCTTTAAACTCCAGCCAAACCAGCCTGCCTTTATTTATTCAAGGATAACACTCTTTCTTCTACTTTATGATGTTTGCAATTTCTTTACCCCTTTCCCAAAACATTTTTTTACATTTCCCCAGCTTGGTATAAATAAATTTCTTTGCATATATTTTGCCTTACACTTAAGTTCTATTTACTTAAAATTGTTAATCCTGATTGAAATTATGCTTGGTTTGTGTGACTACTTGATTAATTGTATCTCCTCCACCAGACATTTGTTCCCTGAGAACAGGGACCATATGTTTATGTCACCTATTTTATTCCCAGTATATAGGATAACGTCTGACATGTAGGGCCTTAATAATTTTGGAAAATAGAGTTTGTAAATAAGTCAGAAAAGTATTTACTTAGAAAAAACAAAGTTGTGAGTCCCTGTTTATCAGCATTCACGAAAGCCATTTACAAGGTCTATTGGGAGAAGGTACAATGAAAAGAGGGACTGAGAATAAACTATGATATTTATTCTCAAGAAACCAATGTCTAGTAGAAGAGATACAATTAATCAAATAATCACACAAACCAAGTACAATTTCAATCAGAGAGTAAACCTTCAGGTTTTTTCTGGTCAGAGAAAGATCCTGGCCAGAGAAGTATGCTGCTGCAAAGGAGTCCGACAATAAATACAATTGCTGGGACAAAAACCATAAGACTGTGGTGTTGTGGAGCAAGTGGATAGTCTGTTTCAACAGGGATGGAGGGCCTAAGGAAAGATCAAGCAAGGCAAATACTGAAAATTATGCATTGGATTTAGCAACCAGTGGTCACTAGCAGCTATAGTGAAAGTTGAAATGACAGCTAAAGGAGAAGAAGCCATATATAATCAGCAAAGCTCAGACCCAATGCTGAACTACAGACTCTAAAAGAATTTTCACCTCAGAAATTATCACTTAAAATAAGCAATTTTGTCTAATATCATTTTTAGACAATATAGCACAGTATAGATGTGAACCTTATAGAGGCTTCCCAAAATAATTACCTATTAGTAATCCATTCAGTTATCTTTATTCCTGTTGCTTGGCTTTATTTCATACTTCCTAGTATGAAAGCACAACACATAGCAGATTTCTTTCTAAAAAGCATGGCAACATATCCTGGGCTATACTCTGTTTGCTAATAATCCATCTCATAGCTCTTGTGAGTGCATAATACTCATTGAAATCAATAAGAATTACGGGCACAGAAGTGCTGCAAGGCTAAGTTTTTAAACTCAAGAATATATTGTCCATACACAGCCAAATAGCACTTGGATAGTCTGTGAATATAATTATAATATAACCCATTATGTCTTCTTTCAGAGAGAAAGAAAAAAATGATGTAAATTTAAACATAGCATATTCTGGAAACAGTATGCTTATGGAACAGCCAGAGAGATTTTCAAAACTTGATCATCTAAATGCAGAGAACAGTTTCAAGGTATGAGCAATGCATTAAGAGGCCACAGATTTGGGCCACATGAATGACCTGGGAGACACTTTTTAAAACAGCACAAAAATAGCACAAAAGTAGCACATTTTTCTTTGTAAAATATTTCAGTAAAATAATTATGCCTACATTTCTCACTAAACATTTGCTGTGCCCAAATGGATAGATTTCAAATAGAAACAGGCTGGGTGTGGTGGCTTACAGGTGTAATCCCAGCACTTTGGGCGGCCGAGGCAGCCAGATCACCTGAGGTCAGGAGTTCAAAACCAGCCTGGCCAACATGGCAAAAGCCCGTCTCTACTAAAAATACAAAAATTAGCCATGCATGGTGGCAGGCACCTGTAATCCTAGCTACTTGGGAGGCTGAGGCATGAGAATCGCTTGAACACTGGAGGTGGAGGTTGCAGTGAGCCGAGATCATGCCACTATACTCCAGCCTGGTGACAGAGAGAGAGACTCCATCTCAAAAAATAATTAAATAAATAAAAACTAAACAAACTTACCATTGAGTGAAATTTACACATTACAAGAATTTAAAACAGACATATGGAAAAGGACAATATCGACTGTGTCTTTTTTCTCAGATTTATGGTGTACATACATTCTATTCTCTGTCCTCATACAGTGGTCCATGAGACATGGGTCCTCACAGCACCTCATTATTCACCAGCTGAAGCCTAGTTTTTCTAGACCAGCACTGGAAGAACCAGGTTAAATACATTTATGTTGAAAATCAGGCTCTATCCTGCCTTTTCCCCACCACAAAGGTGAAGAGAATCCCTCAGTATATTTTATGTTATGCAATCAATGCAAAGGAATGAACTTTGTTCTAGGCATAAAAATAACTTAATTTGCTGTATGAAGTACAACCGAGGATGCCTCACTTCATGCTGTATCTGCATGCATACTTTCAAAATGACATTAAATAATTTAGGTAGACTTGGGCATATACATGTTTAGTTTAGATGGAATATCTAATAAAACTAAAAGGAGCTTGATCATATTGGCCACTGATAAATGGAGCCTACAGATGTCACTGCAACTAGATATCACTGGGATTTAGAGAACAGATCAAGAGCTTCCCTGTATCTTTTTTGTTTAAAAAAAGATGACCCTTTATTTTCTCTATATATAACACTACTGAAAAGAGGTTCATTGAGACTTTCTCATCAATCAGAACTATCTAAAATGCAATCTTACAGCTGCTATATGATATACCACCAGTGTGAAATAAATAGGAAAGGAAAGATTAAAAAGGCAATATTTACATTTAGCTAAGATTATGAGTACTCTCTGATATCATGGATAATGTAAATAATATTAAAATGAATATTATTGCAGACTAATTCATTTGTATTGTTATGATCAAATAGTTTTTGGAGATACATACATAATAGCCCTGTCTCAGTTAGCAGTGTAGTGACATTTATTCAATACCAATAATAAACCAGGTGCTGCAACAGAAGCAGACCAGATGGTCCAGGAGTTTCCACATGAGAGAGCAAACTTGGGCAAGTCTTTGAATGCATTTTATTTCAATCTTTCCTTTATTGCAATGGAAAGCTGTCAACAGGAGTAAGTCTCTATGCTGCTTAAGGTAGAATGAGATTAATGGAGCATTATCAATATCTCCACTAATTTTTATTGCATATGTTGCCTTGGGCACAAGTTCTATTTTTATGGTAAGAGGAACATATATACAGAATGTTAACAGATTCTGAAAAAGCAACATCCTGCTGGGTGAACACATGTTAGCCATTGCCACAGTAGTGAACTATAAATTAATATTTTAAAGAACTGCCATTTGTGTGTAAAAATATCGATCTATAATTGTTTCTTAGCTACACACACATACACACACAAAGCAATTGGATGTTCTTAGCAAGAATATTCATATCAGAAGAATTCTAAATGCTTCAAACGAGGAAATTATTAAAAGAAAATAATATAATGTTTACATAAAAATTCTATGTAGTTATTAAAAGAATGGGGTTTATAATAAGATTCCAAATTGGAAAGATATACAGAGTGTATTGTAAAATGACAAAAAATAGTGAAAGAAAGTTTAAGAGAATATAAAGCAAAGGTTAAACATTTGGAAATCTATAAAGTCTAGCAAGATAACATTAATGAGAAAAGTAGGAATCCAAGCTGATTTTCCCTAGAAAAGAATCTTAGACAAAGCTTACGTGCTAATACTTTATTTAGAGCTGCAATCCCGAACCAGCAAGCACAGGGAAAGGAAAGAGAGGCATAAAAAGTGAGGCAAAGTCAAGGTTTATCTGGCCACAACTTCAGGAAAAGACCCAACTGGTTGCTTGGCCATAGAGGACATCACGTCTTTAGGGAAGCCAACCAGAAACTCCATGCCTCTGTATATCAGAGGAAGTAAAGGAATGGAATTTATTTGCTAACTCTAGATGTCTTCTTCCCTCCCTTACTGATTCACATTAGGATTAACTCAGGAACTAACTCCCTCACTTTCAGGTTACATCACCTGGCCCCTTAGGTGGCTTCTGAGAAAACCAAATCTCATGTCCTGTTGAAGGACACTTTACATGAGTAAAGTAAGAATAGAATGGAGAGCCTCTTTAAATCTGACTAGGTTGATGGCCAGAGCTATTATGGCTCCTGGCAGGCAGAACGGAGCAATGGAGGCCATACCAGGAAGCCCATTACTCACCCCAGTAGCAGCCAAGACACACAGAAGTGTTAGAATCTGAGGTAGATTCAGCTGCAGTGGTGACACCAGCAACCAGGATCCTCCATGAGCTAGTGAATGGGGGCCCAGTAGACAGATGAAGCTGAGTAAATCAGAGCAGGCTCATGAATTGAACCTGGTATGTTAGGCAGGACAAATTACAGCTAACACATATCCAGTGATCATGAGGAGTGTGGAAAGTGTGAAGAACATAAGACAGCATGCTGCTACCCAGCTCTAGGAAACTACTACCATGCAAGGATATTGGTCTATGTCACCTGACTTTCCAATTTTTCAAAAAGACTATACCTTCATTTTCCCAGTGAGAATAATCACCTACAAACTGGATCTCTAGAGTTTTTTTACATAAAAGAGAATTTCTAAATATTGGCTTATCAAAAAAACAAAACAGAGTGTAGACTAAAAAGAGATCTGTTTATGAGTTATACTCAACCCATAGGTTACTGTTTTACAAACTCTGATGTATAAAACAAATGCGTTTAAGAACTCAATCCAAATCTCTATCTATCTATCTATCTATCTATCTATCTATCTATCTATCTATCATCTATCTATCCACGTTGCTCTCCAGGTTCATACATGCAAAAGAAATGATCAGCTACTTTGATCTCATAAACCTAGACAAACACATAACTCTATCACATAACTTTATCATAACTAACCTCTAATTATTCAATTATACCTTCATTTATCCAACAAGAATAATCACCTGCAAAAAAAGTATACTCTATTAATGTATAAAATGTTCCCATTAATTAGTAATATAAATCAATATGTGGACAAGATATCAGATTTCTGTCTTCCTAGAGACCAAGAGGCCAGTGAAAGCCAAGAAGAATGTCCTTAAGTAGAAATTCTCAAAAACATGTCACAAAGAATTTTAGTTTCATTTGAGGTCCAGGGATTATGGAAATAAAAGCAAGACTAGTAAAGGCCAGCTGTTTTATGGTGCGCTGTTCTTCCTAAGACAAACACCAGCTTCATGTAAGCCTCCAGGCTTAAGGTGATACAGAAAGACCTATGCTTACCAACTTGAAAAAATAAAAATTTCAATTCAGAGATGATAGGAAGAAGTAACATACGAGAGAAATATACAGGAAAATAACTCTAAGGAGGCAAAGGTGAATAAAAATCATTAGTAAGTGACTCATTTTTTGTAGGAGGAGAAAAATAGGGTTGAAAATAAAGGCTTCATCTTTTGTTCCTCAGATAGAGACTAACTGTACATCTGATTCTTCTGAGGATTGAGAAAGCAAATTTTACTATCTCCCTTTTTGTTTCCCTGTGTAAAGACAATTAAATTTCAGTTTATTTCTCTCTGTGTGGGGATTGCTCAAACATTTTTTCAATATTCCAAATTGTATTGACATCTCTCATCCAAGGAAAGCTTTTTTCCTTAATTCTATTCTCTTGTGTTGATATATTTTTTCAAAGCGTTTTTAATGAGATCTGAAGAAAGAGCCAAGTTTAATCTGCATATAATCTGTCATCTGAAACTATCGGAAGGACAACCCTTAGTTTTGCAAATTCTTTCATGGAAGATTAATTATAAGAGGAATCTACCTGATTAATTTGGTGAATTGGTGTAGTCCTTGTAGCAAAACCAGACAAGAAGAAAACAAGAAAATAAAAACATAGATGAGTATCACTTAGGTACACAGCAGAAATATTAAATAAAATGCTACTAGCAAATTGAATCTGCTAGACTGTGAATAATAATAATGATCTCAGAAATACAAGATTATTTAACATCAGATAATCTATAAAAAATTTACCATATTTATAAAGAAAAACACATCTTCCCAATAGTTTTCAATTAAATTCTACATTCATTAATAATTAAAGACTTAGCAAATATGAAACAAAGAGAAACCTCCTCAGCCAAATAAAAATTATCTATCCAAAAATGTATAGCATATATAATTATATACAATGTACTTTATGTAATATATTTTCCAAAAGTCCTATGAGCGAACATTGTAACTTCATGATTATTGCATTGTCTTCATCATTTTAGTGAGAACACATAATATTGCTGGATCTTATTCTTCCTTTTGAAGGTTTTGAAGAAATATGTTTTCATTCAGCTGGACTTCTAGATAATTAAGATGATAGAGTAGTTTTTCAACTGCTTTAGGAATAAGTGTGAGTAGCCAGCACTTGAAAATCAAATCTGCCTTTTATCCTGCCCAAGACAAGTTTTCCTTTTTTGCTGAAGAGTTGTTTCCATCACGGGAATAATGTTCCTTGATGCTAACATGACTCCCTACTTTGTTTTCCAGCCTGAATTTCTAAATTGGCACTAGATCCTTGGCTTACCTTCTCGGAGGAGGCTGGATTCAAAGGTGATCCTAGGTGCTCTTACTAAATCAGTTAGCATAGAGCTAGTGGAAACATCAATGGTTTTACATAAAAAATTTCAAAGATTGACTGTATTAAAAGCATTATAATATAACATAGTACATTGTTTTCAACCTACTCTCACGAAATACCAGCTGCCCAAATTAATATACTTCCTTTCTGGTAGTTGACTCTTGTGTTTTTGTTTGTTTGTTTTTAAGCACACAAAGGGAATGCATTTGTGTATATTCTTTAAAGTGTCATACTAACACACATTTTAACAAGCAAAAAAAAAAGAACAACAAAACTTCAGTGCTATGTATGTATGGTCTTTACATTTTATCCTACGTTCATTTTATGACATAAAAACTATCAGACATATTATCTCACTACACTTCAGACCAAATAGTTTGTTTGTTTGTTTGTTTGTTTTTTTGTTTTTAAGGCGAAGTCTTGCTCTGCCGTCCCGGCTGGAGTGCAATGGGGTGATCTCGGCTCACTGCAACCTTCGCCTCCCGGGTTCAAGTGATTCTCCTGCCTCAGCCTCCTGATTAGCTGGGATTACAGGCGTGTGCCACCACGCCTGGCTATATATATATATATATATATATATATATATATATATATATTTTTTTTTTTTTTTTTTTTTTTTTTTTAGTAGAGATGGGGTTTCACTGTGTTGGCTGGGATGGTCTCGATCTCCTGACCTCATGATCTGCCCACCTTGGTCTCCCGAAGTGCTGGGATTACAGGTGTGAGCCACCGCGCCCAGCCAATAGTTATCTTTTTAACTAAATTCCTATGGGCATCAAATGAACAGGAAGTAGCGTTCAGATAAATGGCATATTATTGATTGATTTTAAACACCTTTCTACAAATTTTAAGTGACAAAGAAGCACATGTATGTACACACATGTATGTATGCACGCATACACACGCACACATACACACACACACTCATATATTGTCTTGAAGAGAATCAGGCCTGGGTTGTTTCCAAGAAATCGCCTGAAAGTGGTTTCATGGAGAAGAGGAGAGAAGGGAAGGGAAGGTAAGGGAAGGGAGGGGAGGGGAGGAGAGGGAAGGGAAGGCTTAAGCACCAGGGGAACAGTGTTTCATATAAACTCCAGTGAGAAATGGCAGAAAGGCAAGAATACAATTAGAAGAAAAAAGACCACCAAGGTCAACAGAATGAACAGTTTCTGAAGCATGAACAAAAGTAAAATAACCTGTAGTGATTACCTGACCGCCAGTTCTTGCAAGGGTTCTGGACATTTTGAGATAGGACTGGAGCTACTAAATGTACTGAAGCGGTTTGAATAAATACTGAACTAGCCAGTTTTGGAATGATGACTTAAGTTCTATGATGAAGTTCAGTATAAAATATGGATGAGAGTGTCACAATGACTGGACTTCTCTTCAGAATTGCACTGCGAATGTATCCGATAAAATTTCCTTGATGTAATTTCTAATTTATGACCACGGGCAGTCCTTTTATATTTCTGTTCAATCCTCCTATTTCTGAAACATGCATATGAATCACATCCCTGTGGTTATAGCATTTTACTGAAATCTGGTTGTATTAAACATTACCCAGCATATAAAATATAATTTAATAGCTAAAGCTTAGGCAATATTTTGCTATAAGGCAAATTGCTTTAGGTTGCACTTTGTAGAAAACATTTCACCTACAAATAATGATTTAAGAAATCCAAATCAGCCTATCTTCTCATGACCCCAGCATTTAGATTAGTATTTTTCTTATTATCCATTGTTACTGACACCATGAAACCAGTGTTGCCGACCCATGTGACACCCTGAAACTCAGTTTCTTTAGCTTGCTTACTACACTGCCTGACTTCATAACAGCACTTATCACTCAGTATTTCTCCATCTCCAAAATCTATAAACTTATGTGATTTTAATCCCATTCTCATTACCTAATACATTTCTACTTTATCCACATAAATATCTATATATCCTTACTTATCTAGCTTAATTCTGACTGTTCTTTACTCACTACCCAGACAAATATTCAGTTTAGTTGCATCATTATTACCTTCACTAACTGTCTGCCTTCCTAAGGATTTTTTTCCCTCTCTTATCACCATCATCATTCCCAATGTTTGCTGGGTTGCTAATAGTTGATCCTGAATCTTTCCTACCACCTTTTTCGGTTGGTGTTAATGTTACTGGCAAAAGGCAGAAGAACTGCCCTGCTGTAAATTTCGACATCTAATTTCAACCAGAGTTTCATTAGCAATTGGTATTCCTTTATTCACTTTTGTATTGCTTTTCTGATGAATTCTCCAATAGGCCTATATCTAATCCTTCTCCTCCAACAGCCAAAATCCCACTTTTATTTTCTCAAAAGCAGAAGTTATCAGAAGACATCAGCCACGTGATGTTACTTCTTTTATCTACTCTCTCCGTATTTCAAAATATTTGTTACGGTAATACCCTTATTTCTCTCTATTAGAATATGTATATCCTATATTTCCAAAGCTTGCCTGCTGTTTCTTTTAGACTTGCTATAGAACACACAGTTATAACAACTCTTTTGGTTGTTTATACTCATTTGATTGTTGCTGTCTTTTTACTTTTTCTTTTTTTTTTTTTTTTTTTTTTGAGATAGAGTTTCACTCTTGTTGCCCAGGCTAGAGTGCAGTGGTGTGATCTCGGCTCCCTGTGATCTCCACCTCCTGGGTTCAAGTGATTCTCTCGCCTCAGCCTCCTGAGTAGCTGGGATTACAGGTGCCTGGCACCATGCCTGGCTAACTTGTATTTTTAGTAGAGACGGGGTTTCACTGTGTTGCCCAAGTTGGTCTTGAACTCCTGACCTCAGGTGATCCAGCCACCCTGGCCTCCCAAAGTGCTGGGATTATGGTGCGAGCCACCACACCTGGCCTTGCCATCTATTTTTAACCAAAGAAAGCTATTGCACCTACTGCAAAAGTTTAAACAAATCATTGTTTAACATTTATGTACTCTCTTTTATTTCAAACATCCTACATTGCTTTTATTTCACAGTTCCATACAATCTCCCCTCAACACTGTTAAATCAAGTTCAGGCTAAAGGTTTCTCAGTACACCGTGAACTAAAACCTAAATGGAATTGTAAACAGACGGTAGCCTCCTCTTGTGTCAATCACCAAGTTTTGGCTAAATAAATGTGGCCAACTGTTGTTAGAATCATGTTCAAATAAGGCAAATGCCAAGGTACAACCAATCTGGCTGTTTCTGTACCAAACTTCCAATTTCTGTGTTTTACTTTTCCTTTTTCTGTCCATAAATCTTCTACCATGTGACTGCGCTGGAGTCTCTGAGCCTACTCTGGTTCGGTAGGCTGCCTGATTTGTAAATCGTTCTTTGCTCAATTAAACGCTTCTGAATGTAGTTTTGCTCCGGTTTTTCTTTTAACAGCACCTATAACATAAATTTTTACTTCTACCAGACTGGGTAATCAAACTTTTCTTCACTTTTAGTTAAACCATTGATTTTTTAAAAATCTTATTTGACTATTTTGTGCTGTTTGTCTGGCAATATTTTCATTTTCTTTCCTTGAAACTCTGACTCTTCTACCATACTACTTCTCTTTCCTCTCATCATCTTTTGTGAGCACTCCCTGAGGCACATCTGCTAGTCTTACGGGTGAGATTTTAAACTCTTTTAAGGTGATATCAATTAATTACTCATTAATCATGTACTAAATGTATATTAGTTCATAGATTTTCTCAGATGAATCTAATTTAGCAAGGTTTCCTCCTTTTAGTGTGGGGTTCTTTTCACACTGTATGGACTAGAAATGTAAATATAAGGAAATAAAGTCTCTACTGGTCTCCACTGCTGAGGTCTAAGCTACGCTTCATGGGACAAACCATTAAAAATTACAAACAAAACTTTAGTGTTTGGACCAGGATCAACCATATAGATCTATGTCCATCACTGTTTTCTGATAGAAGATCCAACCATTAATGAGAAACAAGCATTATGGCCACACTTGAAAAGGTCAATAAGATGCTTCAGAACACAAAGGGGAAATCATTAATGACGTTAGATGAATCAGTAAAGAATCCAAGTCAATCCCCATTTAGAGAACAATATAAAGACTAAATGAATTTCATTATAAAATGAGCAAGATTGTAAGTATAAACTAACAGCCATAAATAATACTTCAAAATGCGGCTATGCTTCAAAGTATATTACAAAATATATTTCTGAATAGTGATAAGCCCAGATTTTCTGAAAGGATTTTTCTGAGTTTTCAAAAAGTCCTGGGTAATGCAGGGAGCGTTCTCACTCCCATGTAAACAGAGGAGTAATTATGGAAATATTATAGAGTAATCTTAGTGGACAAAAAAAAAGATAACAAGGGCCATAATTATAACATAGGCTTAACCTCAAATATTGAAACATCACCAAAGAAAGATGCTCTGGCTTTGAACATTGTTTTTATAATTAATTTTTTTCTTTAATAAAGGAGAAAATTTTATTAAAAATCATGTCTACAATTACCTAATTTTGTTAACCCATCTGAAAAATTATGAACACCTAGGGTTACCAAGCAAAATACTTTTATTATGTTTTTAGCATAATTTATTCATTAACTGAAATTCAAATGTAAATCAAGGTTTTGTATTTTTATTTGCTAACTCTATCTTCTCTGTAGAGACCTAATGATGAATGTTATTTTATATTCATATTACTGCTTGTTCACCTTTACACACCCCCATGAAGAATATAAATTCTAGTAGAGACCACGTATTTCACATTTACTACTCTATCTTCAGCATCTAAAAACCACAAATTCTAGGCCCAAATTTGGAGGTAGGACTATGATCAATTTTACAGACACATTGTCATCTTTATTTTTAATAAAGCTACCAAGCGTGAATAAAAAGTAAATACCATCATCACACTCCAAAAGCTCAATAAGAGCTCTTTCACAGAGAGTAGATTCTTCTAAAATAGTTGTTTTAAATAAAAGAATGAAAATGAACTACTCACATTACTTCATCTCTTCACTTCTAGGCTACTCCACATAGCAGTGAAGTGTTCTTTGGTTGACAATGTTACCTGGTAGCTGACTTAACCAGTCAACACATCTAAATTTCTCATTCAGTCTCTCCCCTCTCCCTTACTGTTCAAAAGAATAATGACCCAATGTGACTGAGAAATCACAAAATTTTGGAACAAAAAGGGACAGAAAATATCAGGTTAACCTCCTTTATTTTACAGATTAAAGAACTAAAGCTCACATACCTGCAAGAGTGTTTCCCTGATCCAAACCTTTCAATGGTTCTGGGTCACTTATAAGATAAACCTTCTAAAGTTTTGGCATGCTACAAATGTCCTCCAAGATTCTGCCCCAGCCTTCAGCTCCAGACGTGTATCTCCTCATAGGAATTAATACTATCTCCTGGCACCTATAAATGACGAGTATCCCTGTGCTCTTAGTGACCCAAAGGTGACCACTTCCTCCCTTGTACTTACATCCATTCATACTTCTATTATAGCACTTTTAAGATTATGGAATGTAGAATGGAATTTATCAGTTTAAATGTCTGTCTCCTCTTACTAGTCTGAGTACAGGAACTACAGCTTATTCCTGCTGGAATTACTAATGTCTATTCAAGTGCCTGGCATGTGCCAGGGCACCTGGTGGAAGCCCAATATGCATTTGACAAATGAAGAAACACATACATAACTAATGGCACATATTATTATATAATTAATGGCAGAAATGAAGACTGTGCTTTATTACCAATCCACAGAATTAAGCTAAGAATCTATCAATATCAATAAAAAAGAAAGTAATAAATTTTGAGATAAAATTTGTCTTAAAAATCAGTGTCAGCAATATGTCAAGCTTACAAACATGCTGAGAAAGCCTGCTCTACAATGTTCAAAAAAATGTTGTTTTTCACTTTTCTGTCCACTAATTAAGCTTGATTTTTTTTCCAGGCATAGTTTTGAACATGAATATCTATTTCTTATTCCTTTATGTTTAATTTCTATAGTACAGTAAGTCCTTATTTAAATTCTTCCATAGTTCTTGGAAACTGTGACTTTAATTGAAACAATGTATGATGACACCCATTTTTTTAAAATCATCAACATTGTAAGAAAACAATGTTGAATAAAACAACATTATTTGAGGGCCACTAAAGTCACAGTTTCCAAGAACTTGCTGAAAACATTAGTGAGAACTTGCTGTACTATATTTTGTAATTTTTCATTATACACACCACTATTTTGATAATAATGTGGATTGAGCAGATTATGGAAGAGAATACCTTCAATCATTTTGCTTCTATAACTTAAGTTCTCAACTCCTAACTTAAGAATGGATTTCTAGAATCTAACTTGTGTGAAAACTAAGACCCACCATTGTGTATGCAAGGTAGGAATAGAAAAAAACCCATACACAAAATGTAAACCAAAATTTAAAAACAGTTATAGGTACAATTTCCATTTATAAACACATTTGAAATAAAACTTTAAAATTTGGTAAATGTATGTTAATTGATGCATACCAGCGTCATCATTTTTTAATTTTTTAAATTCATTGCGATCTGACTTATAATAATATAAAATGATCCATTTATCCATAAAGCCTGTCATTATGTGTAGCTGAGTTATTTATGTGTACATCTTTTAACAGAACTTTTAAGAATAGTAAAGAAAAAACAATATAAAATTGGTGATTCTTTTTATAAATACAAACGTCACCATTTATTTGCTATGTTCAAGTCCTAATTATGTACAAGGCACTGAACTAACCACATTATGTCAATTTAAACCTTGTTACACTCCAGAAAAATCAGCAATATCATTACCCTCTAATTTGACCAAAAATTTAGTGGATATACTCAATTATAAGAGAAGTACTTTTGTTACATAAATATTACTTAGAAGTGAGAAGTGAGAAATTTAGTCCTTTTACTAGGTGTGCTCTAAATTATTTTATTTTGATCACCATACTTAGGGAAGAATCCATCAATCATAGCTTGGGGTAATTGTAGCGATAACCTATATGCATTTAAAAGAAAAAGTCAAGGAAATATAACACCAACTTAGTCACTATTTCTGGGATATTATCTAATAATTGTTAACTATTGGACATAATTTCAAATAAACCTTTCAAAGACTGCCTTATCAGAGTAAGCAGCTATCTTGTAGAGATCATGTATATGTGTCTACAGAATAAATGAGTGAACGGGAATGGCCTAATTTCGTGGGACAACACTCATGAAATAAATTTTCCAGTGATAATATCACCCATAGATTCATACACTTGAGTATTTCAGAGTGTTATCCTCTAGAAAACTGTTTAAGAGGACTCAGAGAAGATGAAGCTACTGATATCTCAAGATACCAGTGAAGAACACAAGGGAATGAAATTCATGAAATGTGATCAGAAACCACTTCATAGGTTTTATATAATTTTAACATAAACATATATAACCCATATATTAATTAATTTGCAGAGATTTGGCCATATCATCTACACTCTTAGAAGATTTTGTCATTAAACTGGCCAATTAAGAGAAGATTTTCTTTGTAAAATGAAAGATTGGCTTATATTTTCTGGTGTTTCTTATTCATGGGCATGTATCACAACCTAACTACTCTTTTGTAAGCTTTAAGGGGTAGAATCAGACTGACCAGCATCTGCCTACCTCAACAGCCTGCCTTTTAATTACTGTCTATTAAAAATGTATATTCACTCTCCCTCCTCTAAACTTTTCAATATAATTAGTAAAACAAAATTATACCTTGGTAGTGTCTAATGCTTTCTAATGGCAGTCTCTTGGCAGATAAGAGGATGTGCATGTATATTCAGTTGCCATGTAGCATCTCAGAACTGGGTATGATTCAGTGAGTGCAAATGAATATTATCTAACACAATTCACTTTAAAAGAGAAAGATTATAAGACTAACTAAGGAAGAAAAAGAATAAGCTTTTCTAATATATCATTTATTTAATATATAGATATATATCTAATGATCTATCTAATGATATCTACCTATCTATATATAGATATACTTCTAAAAGGTATGTATTTTGATCCTTAAAAGTCATGCTGCAATTGGGTAACATTCTTAAAACTTATCTATCATATTTTATAAAACAAAACATGTGTCTAGGTCCGTCATAGAAGAGATATTTACTGTATGGGATTGGTACCCTTCCTTTATATAATATGCAACCAAAGAAAGAAGTGTTTCTTTTTGCCAAAGAAAAACAGTATTTAAAATACACAATATATTTTTCACCCATGTTTGAGATATCCGCAATAACCATAAAACAGCTGGAGTGTTTTCCCAAGCATTATCCATGTCTTAGCCATATTCTTTGCTCTCATGTTATTCCTAGCCCCCAAATAAACCCATCTTCTAGACATGTCATCAATTTAAGTATCTATCTTGCCAAATAACAATTCCAACATTTTTAAAAACTGTTGCGTTTTACATTGTGAAGCTAATTATGGCAGAAGTGAGAAAAGGAGTAGGCAAAATTTTACTGATAGCTTATAAATATAATAATCGCTTTCTAAATATATAAATTTGAGTTTCAGAAGGACTAGGGCTTGTAATGATTATGTGGTCTTGTTGTTCTATTGTGCTAATTTGAATTGAAATGGTGCTGCAATGCCAAAACCACTGCTTTTAAAGTAATTTTCTACCTGATTTATTTACTCACATTAATAAAAAAAATATTGTGCTGTAGTCATTCACAGAAGCTGAAACAGCAAAATACAAACTAGTCCACCATGATCTAATTTGTACTTGCCACCACAATATTTCTTCCAGGCACAATCAACTACTCTGTCAGCATCAGTGAACTTCTCTATAATGTTTAATGAGAAAATGTGAAGAAAGAATATCAAAAACATTTTTATCAGGGCTCAATTTTCCAACCCACTTATAGTTTCAAGATTCCTAGGCAATAGATGAGGCTCAGGAAAAGGTGAAGAACGACTAATGATCTTGGTTTCTCATCTGCGGGGTAAGAATTAAGTAGACAGAGAGAGAGGGAGATTGTACAGGACTTAGTAATTTTGTAGCTACTCAAACAAGGGAAAGAGAAACGAAAAGAATTCTAAACCTGCCAATGCCACTCCCTTTACATATTAACAGGAAATAGATTACAAAGAGAAAGGACAACCTCAGATGATTTTAGCATCATTTTAGCAGCATTCCTAGGCTGATAATATACTAGAAACAACATGGTAAAACTTAACTAAACCATAATACAATTGTCACTAAATAGTAATAGCTAAAATAAATAGCATTTATATAGTACTGTGCAGTTTCCACACATATATCGCCATGGGTGCTTCTATCATCTTCAGTGAATAGATTTTAAAAAAATAAACCTTTCCAAAATAGTTTGAGAAAGAAAATCAAGAACACGCTTGAAAGGAACTTAAAAAGAAGAGATTTATATAAAAGTTTATAAATGGGTAGAAAGTAAAGTCAGTATACATTTTGAAAAGTGACATTTTATGGCCTTCTGTTACATTTACAGTGCATGTAAACATTGTTTCAAATATATAATTAAACATGACGACCACCACCAGCCCTCAGCCCTCAGCCGCAGATATACTTCACCCACTCCACATTCTCACATAAGTACCACTGTTTTAATAACATGAGGATTTCTTCCATCCTAGTCACCAAAGGGCCCAGGGGACACTGGAGTGGATAGCTTTAGTCTCCTCCACTTCAATGTACCCCATTGCATCCCACCAAAACCATCCTAAGAATACTCAATCCAAGTAAAATGAGTATATATTTTATGGTATATTTATAGTAAAATATACCATGTATAAATACAATATAGTATATTTTTATGCAAATGCATATTTTTTAAAAGTCCTCCAATACTATCCCCATCTTCTAATGAGCTGGCTATATCTAACCTGCCATTTAGAAGCTCTGGATATATCAATACATTAAATAATTTTCCAGTTAAAGTAATAACATCATTTCTGCCATGAGTCACACATTTATTCATTGAACAAATATGTAAAGGGCCTACTTTATGTCATGACTCTTCTAAGATTTGGTGATACATCAGTGGAAAAAAGACAAAATTCTTAATCTCTTGAAGCTTACACTCTAGTGAGGACAAAGACAAACAAATAAATTAGTAAATGATATAGAATTATAGCAAGGTAAGAAGTATGGAGAGAACAAGATGGGAGTCAGTTACAATTTTAAATAGGGAACCTAAGGTACATCTCAATGATAAGGTGACATTTGGAAAAGAGTTGAAGGTGAGAGAGAGGTCATGTCATGCATACATCTGGAGTATGGAAAGAGAAAAGCTAGTTCCAAAGCCCCGAGGCAGGATCATAGCCAGCGTGTTAAGGGAACAGTAAGGAAGGTCAATGTGAGGAAGTTAATGGAATAAACAAAATAGAGTAGAAAACGCAGTCAGAGATTACAAGGATCTTAGAAGACATGTTTTGAAGAGCATGAAAAAAATAGAGGAGTCAGGGATAAGCCAATTTTTTCATATTGCCATATTTTATAGTAATAAGCTAGTTTCTGCTTATAAAGAAATCTGGGACATAGGACAGTAAACCATGTGTCCTCCGGAAAACTTTAGCATGTGTTTCTCACATTAGGTTAAAACATGTATGTGTAGTAGCTCGTATTTATGCCTTTCCTATAGTGTTTAACATAAACATTTAAGTCTATCCTACAAGCAACTTATATGCAAAAGTAAGAGAGACAGAGATAGAGGCAGAGACAGAGAGAGCACTAAGAAGAAATGTAGTGGCTAAGAAGGCTTTACTCTGACTTGGTGCTCCCTTCTGGCTCTCGGATCTTAAAATCACAGTAAATATATTGCTGAACAATGAATGATAAGAAAATGCATCGAACACACATAATACCCAGGGTGGGTTAATTTTTAATTGACCATTTAAAATAACAATATTGCACAAACCAGCTGGAGTAAAATAAGGGTAAGTATGATAAGGAATCTTTAGGCATTAAAAATAAACTGTATCATATATGGGAAGAAATGGCTTAGGTATGCCAAGAAGCAGGACCTCAACACACAGCTGATATGGGGAAAAAATGGCAATGATAGTGGAACCACTTCCTATAATTTACTAAGGCAAACGAGATAACAAAAGCATCTGATTTAGAGTCTTTGCTTACTCTAAATAATTGCACATCAATTGAGTCCAGGGTTCTTGCATTGAGAAATAAGGGAGTACTACTTTTTAATCCTGACAGGAAAATTAAAAGGCCCAAGTTATTACATAATGTAAATAATGTATTAGAGTTAGCAATGAGAAAGACTTCCTTTATAGCAAGGCTTATTTCATAATTCCAGGGTAAATCTATTGTTTCGATAAGATTTTTTTTCAATTGATACATAAATAAATGTATACATTTAGGTACACTCTTACTTTTACAGAAATTTAAATTTATGTTAACGTACCACTTAAAATTGCATTAAATAAAATAGCATAATATGTGTTTTTGTAATGTAAGAAAGATATCAGTGTATGCTAAAATATATAAAATCCGATGCTAAGCAAATGGAGTAAACAACAAAAAACAACATAGCCATATAAAGTTTACAAAATAATTCACATGTAGTTTACAATTGTGTTTAGAACGTGATCTACTGAAAATGATAGAATTATTTATAGCATCTCTTTGGGGCCTAGGCCACCTTGTACATATAGAAAGCCACAGTTCTTGGGTGGCTGACATACTCTGAAATGTTCTCAGATTTTAAATTGTAGAAACAACACTTCCCATAAACAGAGAGCTCTCTGGGGGCATCTATAGGACTAAGTGGTAATTCTCAGGGAAGCAACGTTTTGGGAACATTCCATCATACTGTACCATTAATGAATTGCCTGATTTATGACCAATGTAAATTTGGAGCTAGCTACCTTCCCAGAATGCTTCCAAACGGCAGCACAGTTGCAACAGTAACACCATCAACACAGGAAAAGACAGCAGCCTGAGGAATTCACAAATGGACATTTTGGCCAAGGCGTGAACATATAATGGATGCAGAGTTCCAAAGGAGGTGCTAGACTTCAAGCAGCACATAAAAACTGAAATACTACATATGAGTAATGTTACACTTCAACCTTTGTCACACAAAAGCTCTAAAGGGCTCCAGATATGGGGACAGCAGATATGGGCAGCATCCTTGAAGCAATTATTTTAGAGAGAGCTCTGCTGTGAGTATAACAAAAAAGGAAGACTGGGAAGCAGTTCCCTAACCCTGAACTAAGATTTCTCTGCAAGTACAAAAAAAGCTTGAATGAGCTACCTGCAGTTGGGGGATGCTTTGGCCTGGAGCCTAATTCACATCTGAAAAAGCTAAAGAGGCCAGTGAGTACCGAGTACAAGCCTGTGTTTGAGTTTAAAAGCAACCCCTTCACCTAGATATTGAAAGGGGATGAATTCCAGAAGCCAACCCTAATATCTGCAGTAGAATCTTCAGTGTGGAGCCATTTAAAAACAGGCTGGCCCAAGAGGGCAACATGCCCGGATAAGAGTTCCTGGTAGTAAGAGGTGGAGTTTACTGTGGGAGTCCACGATGATGGGGAACACCAAACACCAGCCAATTCCACAACAGAGTTGCAATCGGAGGGACCCAACAGGCAAGTTTTTCTTCAAAAATCCTTCTCTCATGTCTACTGTCCCTCTCTATGGATGTGATTATGTGGTTCAAGAATTGTTGAACCAATTTCAGATTATAACTTTTGTGCATGTCTAACATTTCCTTTGCAGTCATAGCAACTATTGTTTTTGGGTTTTTTTTTTTTTTTTTTTTTTTTGAGACAGAGTCTCACTCTTTTCTCCAGACTGGAATGCAGTGGCGCGATCTCAGCTCGTTGCAACCTCTGCATCCCAAGTTCAGGCAATTCTCCTGTCTCAGCCTCCTGAGTAGCTAGGGTTGTAGGCACCCGCCACCACGCCTGGCTAATTTTTGTATTTTTAGTACAGACGGGGTTTCACCATATTGGTCAGGCTGATCTCAAACTCCTGACCTTACGTGATCCACCCACCTCGGCCTCCCAAAGTGCTGGGTTTACAGGCTTGAGCCAATGCGCCCAGCCAGCAACTATTGTTTCTTAATGCCTCAGCCTAATAATACTTATAGTAATCTGTTATACATGTGTGCTTTAAGGATTTTAAAACCTCTCCATTTCTTAGCCAGAACCTAAATATTCAGGTTACTTTGCTGTTGTTAATTTTTTAAACATTTCTTATTAGCATCCCTAGAAGTTTTATTTCTATTTTAACTTTCTTATTATTTTGGCTAATAAATATAATTACTTTTATATTTCGGAGTTGTGTTTCTGCTTAATCTTTTTTTTGATGCTTTTGAAGAGGGTGCAACAAAGTAATTGAGGGCAAATGCTTTCAGTAGTGTGCTGTTGTAAAAGATTTTTAATTTAGTATTTGAATTATGTATTAATATCATTTCAGTGTAGCTTTCTTTCAGGAAAATATTAAGAGATAGCTAAAAATAAGAAATGTCCTTTTTTGGGCAAGCATGGTGGCTCACACCTATAATCCCAGCACTTTGGGAGGCCAAGGTGGGCAGATTACTTGAGGCCAGGAGTTTGAGACCAGCCTGGCCAACATGGCGAAACCCCATCTCTACTAAAACTACAAAAATTAGTAGTTTTAGTAGCACATGCCTGTAATCCCAGCTATGCGGGAGGCTGAGGCATGAGAATCCTTTGAACCTGGGAGGCAGAGGTTGGAGGCGGAGGTTGCAGTGAGCCAAGATCATGCCACTGCACTAGAGCCTAGGTGGTAGAGAGACTCTTGTCTCCAAAAAGAAAGAAAGAAATGTCCTTTTTGCCCCATGTTACACAAATTTGTTGTATTAAGACATATTAATGTATTACATTTATTACAATATCATTTACTATATTCTCTCTCCAAAGTTTTACAGTTAAAGTAGTTTTGCTTTAATTTAAAGGTATTTTCTTTTTACTGAATTTTCTACTTATAACTTCATAGGATATTGAGATTACATTTAAATGGGCAAAATATTTTATTATAATATCATGTATCCTCATATTTGAAGATGAGTGTAGAAAAAAAAATCCCCACTACATCATGTCCCATTTAGTGTTCCAAATTTCTTTATTTGCTTTGATACATCTGACTATAGCATTATAGATTTAAATATTTTAAAAGCAAATAGTGGTTAATTTATATATCATACTAGCTAGATGAATTACTGACTACGCTACATTTTTTCCTATGTCAGGGAAAAGTTAGAACATTGTACTAGTACTTAAAATAGATATAAGCAGATGATCTCCAGTATATTTTCATTATATCCAGTATATTTCATTATTATCTTATAATACAGTATGAGCTAAGCTAATGAGAAGAAATATTGAAACCACCTTGCCAATATCAGTAACATTGACCTACCTTGGCCTCCTAAATCAGTTTTGGACTCAACCATCACATACTATGAACTAATTTGAGACTCTCAAACCTTTTATTTCACAGTATTTCCTAGTGCCTACGATTGTAAGACATATTTAAGGGGGAAATGGGTGCCTAAATTCTCAATTCACATTAATGCGTTTAATGTGTAAGAAAGGGTAGTAGGCTACTGCTTTGCAAAGCAGATTTTTATGCTTTGGCCCCTAGCCATACCTGAATTTCTTAGAAGGAAAATGTTTCCTCCCTTAGAAGTGCTTCAAGAAAGTGGAATTCAGGAAATTGTTTTAAAAGAGTCACTTAAAATATGAAATCAGCAGAAATTGGGGATTTAGTTGATAGTAGCCAAAAACATTGTAAAGAGCACTGGAGGCTGTGTAATTTTGAAAGGATTGTGTTTGTAGGCATTGTGTTCAGCAGTCAACATGAGCAAAAACGATAAGAAAAAAAGATTCAGCAGAGGCTCCATTGCCAGGGATGCTAGCAGCCTGCCAAACACACAGAGGTAGCAACCATTCTACCTCTTTGGCTGTCTTCAGGGTAACATTACCCTTCCCTGCTAAACAAAGGAAAAGGTGCCCATTGAAATCTGCAGCATGCAGTCACACCTGCTTAAGTTGTGCTTGCTTTTCCTTCATACAAAATATTTGTGTAACTGCAAGCAGAGGGTTACATCTCCACCTAGCATATAAAATGGAGAAACAGCATATATTATAATTTTTCACAAGACAGACAATAAGGACAAAAAATTTTAGTTAAGTATATTTTACTATGTTATTTGTGATTGTATATTGAATCGTATTGTCATATTAAATTTATTTTTACTTCATTATATATAGATAGGCTGCCTGGACAATTCAAGGAAATGTATTCCTCTTGTTCCTAGAAGTACAGGTTGTCTCCTGTCTTATAAGACAGCTATTTGGTTAGAGCAGCTTCTGATTTTCTACATAAGGCTTATAATTTAAATATTTCAGGAAAGAGAGGGAGAAAAAATATATATTATATTTAATTAGTGGATTTTCTGAACACAAAATGAGAAGAGAAAGAAAATGACTCTTCCTTCTGGTTTCGTAAAGGGACATACTAACTTTGCCGTTTTAGTCTATTAGCTAGAGGAACTGAGCAGCTTCCTAGGATATTCTAAGTAAAAAAGAAGTGATGGGCATAATCCCCATTGAAAAATGCCAGGTGGCTGCCTGAGGGTAGAGGAGACTCTCAGTATATATAAAGAATTTCCCTCAAACTAGCTCTCAACCCAATTCCCTATGGACTCATGACTCATGAGTAAGTCTTAGGAAAAAAAGACACTCACTGAAAAAACTTCCAAGGTTGATGACTAGATAGATAGATAGATGCATAGATAGATAGATATGCAGAAATTTCTGTTATTGTGAAATATAAACTAATACTTGAAAAAAAAGGAAGACTTGATTTCAGTCCTCATTGGAATCTCATGTGCACAGAGTAAGGAACAAGAAATAACAGGGATGATGGTTTCCAATGAGAGGTGAAAATATTCAAAAGATGTGGCTCAACTGTGGACACTGGATGCCACCAGGAGGCGGTGTAGGAAGCAACACGTGCATGATCCAATCTGAAGGGAACATCAGCAGGGGAAGAAATAGATGCTGGGATATTGAGTTACTATTTTTTCAGTGTTTGAGCCAACCCAAGCAACGTGCTATGCCCTTTACATCAGTTACCTCAGGTGATCCCTATAATTAAATTAGATATTATAATTCCCAATTTACATATGATGAAACTGATGATTTAAGAGCAAGTATTTGAGGAAACTACCCACTTCTGGTATCACTGTCCTGTCACACATGAAAATATACAATGACTCCATCTCTGGGAATTCTGGAAATCAAAACATTACATTGCAAATCAATATTAGAAGACCAAGAGCAGGAAGGAGTGTCATTACTCAAAATTTATAAATAGAACAATATATAGTAACTGTTAATACACAAAGCTAAGATGGTGGTAGGGAGATTGTTAGCTATTCATGATTTAAAAGAAAACTATAAGGTTTAAGATAAGACACAATGAAATTATTAATAGCACTAAATAAGAACCATGGAAGGAGGAGTGGAGTTTAGGTATCATAGGCTTATGTCATGATTACACCCAAGAAAGAAAATAAAGATTTCAAGAATGCTGCCCAAGGTGGAAGGCACAAGTCATGTCTTGACATTGTCAATTGGCATTAACAATTACATTCTGGAGGAATTTCACTGTCTCCCTCTGCTTCTCTCACACTACCTCTCCATTCCCTTTTTGTACAGATTTCAGAAGTAGAAAGCAAAGGAAGGCAAACTCTCAAGCCTCCTGTGCTTTTACTTTCAGTTATTTTATTACTGGCCTCATTGTATGTGGAGGCTAATGCAAATCCATCTTGGATGCTAATCTGCCGTGTTGACTCTTGATTAACCCCTGTTCAGGGAAAGCCTCTCAGAGTTCTACCTTGTCTGTTGTTAGGGTAAATCCTGCCCTTAGGCCAAACATCCTTGACCATAAATCCTGTCCTTAGGCAAATTTACATAGCATTCTTGCTTTTCCCTTGGAAATCTGTCAACTTCAATCCGATCTTTGTATGTTGGTTATGCGGGAAGAGACAACTTATATCTTTAGTTTACAGGTCTACAAATCAAGATCAACAGTACTGTGGTATATAAGACCTGGATCTGGCAGGTAATTGTGTGGGGATCCACCATCATGTCTCACTGTCACCCATGACTAGGGCTTCTCTTTGGAAATCCATAGTAAATGTTTCTTTCTGAGGAACTGGATATGTCAGCCTCTTCCTTTGGCCTCTTAGCCTCCTTAGACTTTGGGGATAAATTTGCACATATCTAGCTATTGCAGAACAGCATAAAAGGTTTTTGTTTTGTTTTGTTTTTACTACCAAGCATCATAACAAATTAACTGGATTTTTAAAAAACTAACATAAAATGGTTAAGCAATGCATCCACAGCTACACAGTTAATAGGTAACAGAGTTGGGATGTAAACACAGTCTGTCTGACTTGAGGAGCCATTTTTTAATGCTTTTTATTTTAAAATAATTAAATATTATATTCACAAGAATTTGCAAGATAGTACAGAGAGGAACCTACACCCTTCACCCAGTTTCTTCCAATGGTTCTGTGGTACATAACTACATTACAATATAAATACCAGGAAGTTGTCATTGGTGCAATAAATGTGTATAGCTTCATGCCATTTTATCTTGTGTATAGATTCTTGTAACTACCATCACCACAGCTAAAATACAGACCTATTCCTTATCACGAAGATCTCCCTCATATTACCCTTCTACAGTCACAACTACACTCTCCTCCAACCATTTCTAAACCCTGATAACCACTTACTTGTTCTCTATTCTATAGTTTTATTTCAAGAATCCTATATAAATGGAGTCATACAGCCGGGCGCGTTGGCTCACGCCTGTAATCCCAGCACTTTGGGAGGCCAAGGAGGGTGGATCACGAGGTCAGGAGTTCAAGACCAGCCTGGCCAAGATGGTGAAACGCCATCTCTACTAAAAATACAAAAATTAGCTGGGCGTGGTGGTGGGTGCTTGTAGTCCCAGCTACTTGGGAGGCTGAGGCAGAGAATTGCTTGAACCCGAGAGGCAGAGGTTGCAGTGAGCCGAGATCACGCCACTGCACTCTAGCCTGGGCGACAGAGCGAGACTCTATCTCAAAAAAAAAAAAAAAAGAAAGGAGTCATACAATATATAACTTCCTGATATTAACTTTTTTTAACTTTGTGTAATACCTTTGATCCATCCAAATTGTTGCATGTATCAAGTTTGTTCCTTTTTATTGATGAATAGTATTGTATGGGATGGATATTCCAGTTCGTTTAACCATTCATTTGTTGAAGGACATTTTGATTGTTTCCAGTTTTCACTATTACAAATACACTTGCTATGAACAATCATGTAAATGTTTTCATCTGGACATACATTTTCATTGTTCTGTGGTAAATATCTAGAATTATGACTGCTGGGTCATATGGTAAATGTATATTTAGTTTATTTTTGTTTGTTTTTAAGAAACTGCCATTTTCTCCCCCCAAAAGGATTAATGTTTAACCACTGTATTTTAGTTATTTTAGTACTTACTATATTTGGATAAACAGTATCCATGATGGCTGTGGTAGGGATAGAGACAGGAGATAGCGGGAGGTCCAGCGAAACTCCACCTTCAAGCCTAGGGCAGCCTGAAGACTGAAAAACCAGACTGCGGGTACCAGATGAAGTCTGTCACCTCCTAACTGATTCTGAATAATGCCCACCTGCGCACTAGGGGAAGGAGCTGGAGCCAGGAGAAGCTTAAACTGTTTTCAGAGGGGAGGAGCCAGGCCTCTCCAGCTCCTGTGTGGTGGCCTGGGATTCAATCTGTGAGGCAGGAGACCTGCCAACAGGAGTCTCTCACTTTGCTGAAAGTTCCTCTTTCCTTTTTTCTTTTCACCTAATAAGCCTGTCCTACTCACCCTGCAATGTGTCCGCATGCCTAAATTTTCTGGGCCATATGACAAGAACCTGTTTTTTTCTAGAACAGTAGCCAGCTTGCAATATTTTCAATATGGTCCCCAATGATCCCTGCCTCCTCCCAATATTCACAGCCTTGTGTAATCCCCTCCCACATTTTTCTAGGTTTAGAATGTGTGGTCAATAGTTTAAAACAGAAGTGATGGTAGACTTCCAAGATTAGGTTGTAAAAGACTGTGGTTTCATCTCTCTCTCTCTCTTTCTCTCTGTCTGTCTCTCTTCATATGGCCTGAAGGAAGTCATGTTGGAAGGAACCCTATAGGCGAGCTCAGTTCTAAAGAACTGAAGCCTTCTGCAAAAACCACATGAGCAAACTTGAAAGTGAATCGTTCAGCCCCAGTTAAGCCTTCAGAGACTACAACTCTAGCAAACACTTCAACTGTAACCTTTTAAGAGACCCTAAGCCAAACTCAACTAGCTAAGACACTGCCAGATTCCTTAAGAAGCTAAGTTTTGTGTTATTTGTTACTCAAGCATACACAGCAAATATATATTTTGACACAAAAGTGCAGTGATGCCAAAATAAAAACTTAAAATGTAAGAGTGGCTTTGGAACCACCTAATGAATGGAGCTGAATAAACTCTAAAGATTTTGAGAAGACTGCTAGTGATATCTTAAAGAGCCTTTTACACACTGTTCATAGAATTTTGACTTTGATGAATAACTCCTGGGCAGATACAGGACAGAGTCCTAATCAAGAAACTTCCAAATTTTTCCTGACTGAATTTAAAACTTCCTAGGAACAAAGACTCCTTTGTAACTTCCATTGTTCTCCTTTCTTATTAGAAATACCTATAGTGGTTATTCATATGCTTGTCCCACCTTCGTATGTTGGTTATGTGGGAACAGATAACTTATCTCTTGAGTTTACAGGTCTATAAATCAAGATAAACGTACTGGAGCTTTACCTACAGAACTGCACCCAAGAAAACTTATCATAACTGGTCCTGATTCATATAGTGAAATTCTAGATTATGAGCTGATGCTGTAATAGGATGAGGCTTTGTGGGGTATCGGGGGTGGGTGGCGAGGGGCCTTGGGAAAGGGTGAGTGTGTTTTCAGTGTGGGAGGGATATGAATCATCAGCAGATAGAGGAAAAACTGTAGCATCCAGGCCCCAAAATGGCTCCCAGTGATTGCTGAATCCTGGTTTCACACTCTTCTCATGGTCCCTCCTATATTGTATTAGGATCAGTCTATGTGACCAATAGAATATGACTGAAGTAATAGTATAGTGTGTCACTGCTGAGATTCAGTTATAGAAAATTGTGGCTTCCGTTTTGTTCCCTCTCTCTCTCATCATTTGCTTTAAAGAAAGACATGATGTAAGTAGCCCACATGGTGAAAAACTGAATCCTCCTCTTAACAGCCACATGAGAAACCTTAGAGTCAGATCCCTAGTCCCAATTAAGTCTTTTTTTTTTCTTTTTTGAAACTGCACCTCTAGCCAACACCTCGATTGAAACCTCATGAGACAACTGAGATAAAATCATTCAGCTAAGCCACTCCAGCATTCTTGATCCACAGAAACTTTTGGATAATAAATGTCCTATTTTCAAGCCACTATGATTTGGGGTAATTTGTTATGCAGCAATAGGAAACTACTACTGTGATTAATAAGACTTAAGAATAAAGGCTGGGTGCAGTGGCTCACACCTGTAATCCCAGGACTTTGGGAGGCTGAGGCGGGCGGCTCCTTTGAGGTCAGGAGTTTGAGACAAGCCTGGTCAACATGGAGAAACCTCATCTCTACTAAAATACAAAAATTAGCTGGGCATGGTGGTGCGCACCTCTAATCCCAGCTGCTCAGGAGGCTGAGGCAGGAGAATCACTTGAACCCGGGAGGCAGAGGTTGCAGTGAGCCGAGATCACGCCACTGCACTCCAGCCTGGGCAACAGAGTGAGACTCGGTCTCAAAAAATAATAATAAGAAGAAGAATAAAGATATCCACAAACACAGAAACATGGGTAAGATTTATCTGACACAGAAATAACTGGAGTTTTTCCCAAAAAATGTGGTTTTAAGCACAGTTTAGATGCTCAGAATTATTGTTTCAGAAAGGCATAAGTGAACTGTGATTATAATTTGTAGAACATATCTCTAACATATTGAAGTGTATCCTTTTGAAACAGGAAATTTTCTCTGACTTGTTTACTCAGCCGGTAGTTCTCAACCCCTGAGAGGGTGCAGGGGCTGGGATGAGTGCTTCTGGGCGCCAGCAGGGGCAGAACTCTGTGTGGCCCCGTGGCAGAGTTTTGGAGGGTACCTGCGACCCCTGGAGCTGAAGAGGGTGTGTGATACAGTGTGGTCTGTTAGCTTTGCTGTCTACGGACGGCTTAAGTATTTAACAGCTCATTGTGACAGCCCTCTGTATTTCGAGCTCTTGTTCAGCATCCAAGAAGAATCAGGCCGCACAAACGAATTGAAGACGGTAAATGTGGGGGATTTTATTGCCGATGGAAGTGGCTCTCAGCAGGATGGGAAGCTGGAAAGGGAGGGGAGTGGGAAGGTGGTCTTCCCCTGGAGTTCAGGGCAGCCAAACTCTTCTCCACAGTCCCACCATCAAGCCGTCCCTCTGAAGTCAAGCTGCTTCTCACCAACATCAAGCTGCTTCTCTTCTCTCCTTCTCTGCCACATGCTGCCAGTGGAGCCTGGGATTTTTATAGGTACAGGATGGGGGGTGAGGTGGGCCAGAGTGGTTTTGAAAAAGACAACATTCAAGCCAGAAAACAGGGATGTAAAGTTCTCACTTTGGGCCGTGGGTCCAGGCTTGATGGTAGGGCCCTCGCCAGGGATCGCCCGCTTCTACCCAGTATTTCCCTGCCCTCTGTCCATATCACTTTTGGAGGAAAATAGCAAACAAAAGAAGCTGTAAGTGTGTCTCCTATACTATTCAGGAGAGCACATATTCTGACCAGGTAATATGAATTCATTTGGCCAGTGTCTAATCTTATCAAGGATTGCATAGAACTGATGACATTAAATAATTACACCAGCTCATCTGGTTGTGATACCACATTCACAAAGACACCATCTAATTATAACCTGGCTTAACTCATAAATTTTCCTAGAGAAGGCCCAGTTCACTAGCTACCTGTTATTTGTTTCTAAGCTAGCTGGTATTTGTGACCTGTATCATAAACAAGCATTCTGATTTTTATGTAAGTGATATGTGGTCATGTTAGCAGAAGCCAGTTACGGTAACTCAGATCAATTCTGGATGCCCTGCAGAAAAAAATAAGCTTCTTAATTTTTAAGTCAAAAGAGCATGGGAACTGCACTGAGATCTTAACAACTAGTGCTCTTTCCTCTGTCCCTTCAACAGCAGTGAGCTGGCCTCAATTCCATCTCTGATTTTACTCACTTTAAATTCAATACTACTATTACTAAATCTCACTGTGTTACCCATTCAACCAAATATAACTTAGTAATAGTTTTCAGGCAATTGAGAACATACTTCCATTTAACAATGACAAGAACAACAAAATGCTAGATGAATGAATGAATGATAGGTCAGTTAACTTTTAGAAGCTGTAGTTAAAAGCAAGTATTTTGAATGTATTAACAAGGCAATGTAACATGCTGGGAGCGGGGGAATCTCATGTCATGTTTAGTGTGTGTATTTGCTACAATTTGTCAGTCAAGTATAATTTTACAAAGACCTTGTATTTAGAATCAAATCGCAATGCTTGGAAGTAATTGAGTTGCATTTTGGGATTTGCCTTAAGGGAGATAGAAGGTGAGAGGCTTCTAGCTTAAGTACAATTACAGAAAAGGGCCTTGCATTTTTATGACTTAGGTTATTGGCCAATCAATGGGTCATTGGATCTTTATTATTTTAATTAAAATTGGTTCACTTTGATGACATAAAACATATTGATTATGGGTATTCTCCTCAGAGTCTTGAAAGATTTGGTAGAAAATAGCAGTCTCTACCTTTCTCATGTACCCATCAATTCTGTTAACTCTCTTAGTCTGATTTCTCTTTTCTTCTTTGATTTTACTTCTACATCACTTTTTGTTTTTATTCATATTTTGCAGTAATCTTATGGAAATGACACCCACCCCTACACAGCGTATAACCAGGAGTCATTACTACTCTGTATTTGATAAGTGTAGAAAGGGCCATTGCTCATGCAAATGTCTACACATTCTCTGCATAGCTACTTACTATTAGCTTCAATATTGTTTAACTCAAACACTGTAATTTTGACCATAGACCCAAAATTATTCTGTTATTTTCTTTTTCACTCATGTGTTTATGCATTTATTAAAAAATATTTCAGTACTTACTGTGTATTAAGTTGGGAAGGAAGGAAAGAAGGGAGAGAAAGAAGAAAATAAAGAAAGAGAGAAAGAAGGAAAGAAAGAAGGAAAGAAAAAGAAAGAACGAAAGAAAGAAAGAAAGAAAGAAAAAGAAAGAAAGAAAGAAAGAAAAGAGAGGAAGAGAGTAAGGAAGGGAGGGATGGAGGAAGGAAGGGAGGGAGGAAGGAAAGGGAAGGGAAGAAGGGAGAAGGGGGAGAGAGAAAAAAATGAAAGAAAAGGAAAAGAAAAGAAAAGAGAAAAGGAAAGAAAAGTAAAGAGAAAGAAAAGAAAGGTAGGCACTAAAACGTTGCAGGTATTCATAAAGCAGCTGCTTAAAAATAAAACTAATTCTTTTCTATAAGGTTATTCTCTTCTAGACAAAGTTCAACTGGTCAAATACTCTTGTTTTTTAAAGTTGCTTTGTAATAATTGTCCTAAGCTTGTTTTATTTATATAATTTAGTGTATTTAGAGTGTGGATACTTAGATATTTGGGTTTCAAAGTTCACGTGCTCAAATTATCATCTAAGCTCTAAGATACAAAAACCAAAAACAAACAAACAAACAGAAAACCTTAACAAAATGTTTATAATTTCCTTAAGCTGACCTTTAAGAACATCCCTGAAATGCATCTTTTGGACAATATTTTGTTTGTAATGTTTCTGGACATTAGGAAAAGTTAATATAGACGAGGGAAAATAAGTAAGGAATAAAACTCTACATGTCTAAAGAATAATGCCAAGCAGGAGAAAGGAAGTTTAGCATTTTTAAACTACCTAAGTATGTTAGGTAATGGGTTACTTATGAAAATTAAGTATTTGTACATTTGTACATTTTTATAGCAGCCCTTCAGACCAAAACATGTTATTGAATTTATATTCCTTCAGATTTTAGAAAACTAATTCATGTGTTTCTTTTTCTACTACGTTCATCGTTCAAAGGCAAAAGTTATGATTATTCACACTAAATAGGATTTTTAAAAGACTATCAATAACTTCTTATTTGCACAAGATTTACCACCAAATGATTTACAAGATTCGTTTCTATTTTTCAGAGGTATTTGTTTGTTTTGAATTTTGAAAATGGTAATAAGCACTGATAAGACATCATAAGAAAAGTGAGGTTTACAAGTATAAGTTACCCAGCCTGTCAATTATTGGCTTGGTATACATGCCCAAGATCACCACATTAATATTTAGTGGTATGACCATTAATTTTATGTATCAACTTTATTGACCACAGGGTGCCAGATAAAATATTCTTTCTGGTTGTGTCTTTCAGCCTGTTTCTGGATGAGATTAGCATTTGAATTGGTGGATTCAGTTACGTAGCTTACCCTTCACAATGTGGTTGGGCATCATCCAAGTCTTTAATGGTCTGAGTTGAACAAAAAGCAACAAAAGGCTGGGTGCAGTGGCTCAAGCCTGTAATCTCAGCATTTTGGGAGGCTGAGATGGGAGGATCACTTGAGCCCAGGAGTTCAGGACTAGCTTGTGCAACACAGTGAGGCCCTGTCTCTAAAAAAATAAAAATAAATAAAAATGTAAAAAGCAAGAAAGGGGAAATTCACTACAGTTTTCCTACCTCACTGTTTGAGCTGAGGCATCTCATATCTTCTCAGACACTGGGAGTAGGATTTACTCCATTGACTCCCCTGGTTCTCAGGTCCTCAAACTCCAACTGATTTACACCACCAGCTCCCATGTAAGCCAATTTCTCTTAATAAATCTTCATATATATAAACAATCTCCTACTGGTTCTCTTTCTCTGGAGAACTCTGACTAATACAAGTAGGAAGCGTTCAACAAAGATTTATCCAGTGGAGATTCAAACTAATGCCTGACACATTTTATACTCCACGCTTTTCCACCACACCAGGTAGTGCCAATTTATAGAAAATACTTTCTCCAGAAGGCTTGGTATTTAGAAATGTCATATAATATTATATTGCTTGTCATGGTAACAACGTGAAATACAAGAATATGATACTAAAATATTTGCTTTAAGGTAGAAATTTTCTCTTACAATTTTTCCTCCTACAAGAAGGGCGTAGATGAGTCAGACACTGATCCAATTCTCACTGGCCCAGTTAACTTGTCTAATGTAATTGAGAAGATGAAATGAAGGAATTCATCTATACATTAACTAATAGGCTTCCTTAAGTACTAAGAAATGTCTACTCCAAAAGGAAGGATGTGGCTTTCTTAAAATACGAACCAAACATAGAAATCTCAGAAGGTCCTTTATAAGATAACTTATATAGCAATTAAATGGCATTATACACTAAAATTCATAGTCCTTACAGTTTTTTGAAAGCAGTCTCAATTTAGTTTGTAACTGTGATTTTCTTTATTTTCTAAGTCCAATCTCATTTTTTTCTTTGGTTTTCATTTTTAATTGACACATAATAATTCTACATATTTATGTCGTACAAAATAATATTTCAATACATATATACAAAGCATAATGATGAAATCAGAATAATTATATTTATGACCTCAAAAATTTATCATTTCTTTGCGCTAGGAACATTTAAAATCCTTTCTTCTAGCTATTTGAAAATATACATTGACTTATTCTTAACTATAGTCACCCCACAATGCTATAGAACCCTATAACCTATTCCTCCTTTATTGCATCTAGCTGTAATTTTGTATCCATTAACCAACGTCTCTATCCTTTCCTCCCTCCTACCAATCCCAGCTTCTAATAATCACAGTTTTCACGGTTTACTTCTATAAGGTCAAGTTTTTAGCTCCCACATGAGTGAGAATATGTGATATTAATCTTTCTGTGCTAGACTTATTTTGCATAACATAATCCCCTCCAGACTCACCCATGTTTCCAAGAATGACAGGATTTCATTCATTTTATTCAAATATATATATATATATATATATATATATATATGAATGAATAGTATTCCATCGTGTATATATACTATATTATCTTTATCCATTAATCTGGTGATAAGCAATTAGGCTGATTCCATATCTTGACTATAGAGAATAGTGTTATAATAAATATGGGGATACATATATCTTTCTGATACACTTACTTTATTTCCTTTGGGTAAATATCAAGTAATGGGATTGCTGGATCATATGGTATTCAAATTTTTAATTTTTGGAGGAAACATTATACTATTTTTCAAAATAGATGTCCTAATTTACATTCTCATCAACAGTGTATAAGAGCTCCCTTTTCTCCACATCCTCACCAACATTTCTGATTTTTTTTTAATAACAGCCATTCTAATTGGGGAAAAATTATACCTCTCTGGATTTAATTTGCATTCCCCTGATGATTAGTGATATTGAACATTTTTAAATATACTTATTAGCCACTCGTATGTCTTATTTTGAGAAATGTCTATTCAGATATTTTGCTCATTTTAAAAATGAGGTTATTTGGATATTTTGCTGTTGACTTCTTTGAGTTCTTAATATTAATCCCTTGTCAAATGAGTAGTATGCAAATATTTTCTCCCATTCTACAGGTTACTTCTTCATTCTTCACTCTGTTGTTTCCTTTGCTGCACAGGAGCTCTTTAGCTTTATATAATCCATTGGTCTATTTTTGCTTTTATAGCCTATGTTTTTGAACTCTTAACCACAAAAACTTTGCCCAGGCCAATATCTCTAGTTTTCTTCTAGTAGTGTTATAGACTTGGGTCTTACATTTAAGTTTTCACCCATTTTGAGTTGATTTCTGTATATAGTGAGAGATAGAGATCTAGTTTCATTCTTCCACCTACAGATATCTAGGTTTGTCAGCACCATTTATTGAAAAGGCTGCCATTTTCCCAATGCCTATTCTTTGCACTTTTGTGAAAAATCAATTGGCTATACATACGTGGATTTATTTCTGGGTTCTCTATTCTGTTCCATTTGTCTATGTGTCTGTTTTTATATCAGTATCACACTGCTTTGATTACTATAGATTTGTAGTATATTTTGGAGACAAGCAGTATTATGCCTCTAGCTTTATTCATTTTTCTCAGAACTGATTTAGTTATTTGAGGTCTTTCGTGGTTCCATACAAATTTTAGGATTTTTTTTCCTTTTTTTTTTTTTGAAGCATGTCCTAAGTTTGGATGGAAATTGCATTAAACCTGTAGGCTACTTTGGGTAGTATGGTCATTTTTATAATATTAATTCTTCCAGTCCATGAACATGGGATGTCTTTCCATTTTATTTGTGTCCACTCTAATGTATTTCATCAATATTTTATAATTTTCATTGTAGAGAATTTTCAACTCCTTGGTTGAATTTATTCTTAGGTATTTTTTTATTATTTTTACAGCTATTATAAACATAATTGCTTTCTTAATTTATTTTTCACTAAGTTTATTATTGGTGTATAGAGAGACTAATTATTTTTGCTCATTTATTGTGTATCCTGCAAATTTACCAAATTTATCAGGTCTAAGATTTTTTTTGGTGGAGTCTAGATTTTCCTATATATAAGATCATGTCATCTCCATATAGGGATAATTTGACTTCCTCTTTTTTGAGTTGGATATACTTTTTTAAAGAGATAGGGTCTCACTGTGTAGCCCAGGCTGGTTTCAAACTCCTGAGCTCAAGTGATCCTCTCATTCTAGCCTCCTGAGTAGCTGGGACTACACAAATATGCCACTGCACCCAGCTGCACTTTATTCCTTTCTCTTGCCTAATTATTCTGGCTAGGACTTCCAGTGCTATGTTAAATAAGAGTGGTGAAAGTGGGCATCATTGTCCTATCCCAGTTTTTCAAGGAAAAGCTTTCAGTTTTCTCCATTCAGTATATTAGCTGTGGTTTTGTCATATGTGGCCTTTACTGTGTTGAGGTACACTTCTATACTTAATTTGTTAAGAGGTGTTTTTTTTTTTTTCATGAGGTAATGTTGAATTTTATCAAATGCTTTTTCTGCCACTATTGAGGTGATCATTCAATTGTTGCTGTGATGTATCACATTTATTGACTTGCATATGTTAAACTATCCTTGCATTCCTAGAAAAATAATCCCACGTAATTGCAATGTATAATCCTTCTGATATGCTGTTGGATTTCATTTGTTAGTTTTTTGTTGAGGATATTTGCGTCTATGTTCATTCAAAATATTGGTCTGTAGATTTCTTTTATTGTTGTGTCCTTGTCTGGTTTTGGTATCAGGGTAATGCTTCCCTTATAAAATGAGTAAGAAAGTTTGTACTCCTTTTTACTTTTTTGCAAAATTGTGAGAACTGATTTTAGTTCTTTAAAAATTTGGTAGAATTTAGCAGTGAAGTCATCTGGTCCTAGGCTTTGTGCTGTTGTTATTGGGAGATTTTTTATTTCTGATTTAACATCCTTACTCATTATTGGTCTGGTTAGATTTTCAAATTCTTCCTGGTTCAGTCTTCGAAGGTGGATGTATCCAAAAATTTATTCATTTCCTCTAGGTTTTCCAATTTATTGGCATATAGTTGTTCACAATATTCTCTTGTGATCCTTTATATTTCCGTGGTATCTGTTGTAATGCCTGCATTATGATTTTTGATTTATGTGGGTCATCTCTCTTTTTTCTTTGTTTGTCTCACTAACAACTGTTCAATTTTGATTATCTTTCCAAAACACTATCATTATATTGTTTTTATTTTATTGATCTTTTGTATTTTTTGTGCCTGTTTTGTTTATTTTTGCTCTGAATTTTATTATTTCTTTCTATCTACTAAGTTGGGTTTGGTTTGTTCTTGCTTTTCTAATTTCTCAGAATGCATCATTAGGTTGTTTATTTGAAATCTTTCTTTTTTGATGTGTTTTTGCCATAAATTTCTATATTACTACTGCTTTTGCTGTATCTCACAGGTTTTGGTATGCTGTCTTTCAATTTTCATTTCTTTGAAGAAATTTCTTCATGTTCTTCTTAATTTTTTATTAACTAATTGACCATTCAGGGGCACGTTGTTTGATTTGAATGCATTTGTACAGTTTCTGAAGTTCCTCTTGTTATTAATTTCTATGTTTATTTCATTGTTATTTTTTAAAAATACCTCACATGACTTCGATTATTTTTAAATTTATTAGGATTTGTTTTGTGACCTAACTTTGTGCTGATGAGAACAATGTGTACTTGTAGTTGTTGCATCAAATCTTCTCTACTTGTATATTAGGTCTATTTGGTCTATATTGCAGTTGAAGTTTGATGTTTCTTTGATTTTTTGTCTAAATCTGTCCACTCTCTGTTCAATGTTGAGAGTGGGTTGCTGAAGTCCCCGACTATTTGTAATGGAGTATATTTCTTCTATTCGTTCTAATAGTATTTGCTTCATATATCTGTGTGCTCTGGTGTTGGGTGCATATATACTTATAATTGTGATATCTTCTTGCTGAATTTATTTATCATTATATAATAACTTTGTCTCTTTTAATGTTTTTTGACTTAAAGTATTTTATCTGATATAAGTATAGCTACTTCTGCTCATTTTTGGTTTCCATTCACAAGGAATAACTTTTTCCATTCTTTGACTTTCAGTCTGCATGTGTATTTCCAGGTAAAGTGAGCTTCTTGTATGCAGCATATAGTTAGGTCAATTTTTTAAATCTATATAGCCCAGTCAGCAAAACTTTTAATTTGATAATTTAAACCATTTACCAAAGATTTTATTGAATGTTGAGAATTTACTCCTGTTCTTTTGTTAATTGTTTACTGGTTGTGTTGTAAACCCTTTGTTTTCTTCTCTGCCTCTTATTGTTTAACATTGCAGTATGGAGGTATTCTGTAGTGAGATCATTTTACTTCTTTCTCTTTCTTACTTGTGCATCTGCTGTACCAGTGAGTTTTATACTTTTGTGTTTTTTCATAATGGCAGATATCATCCTTTCACATCCACGTGTCAGGCTCTCTTATGCAATTCACGTGGGGCTGGTCTCGTGGTGATGAATTTTCTTAGTTTTTGCTTGTCTAAAAAAGATCCTATTTCTTTTTTATTTCTGAAGGATAGCTTTCCTGAGTATAATATTCTCGTCTCACAGGTTTTTTTTATTTCTTTCAACTCTTTGAATATATCATCCTATTCTCTCTTGGCCTGTAAGGTTTCTGCTGAGAAATCTTCTGTTAGTCTGATAGGGATTTCCTTGTATGTGACTTGTTGCTTTTCCCTTGCTGTTTTTAGATTCTCCCCTTGTCTTTGGACAATTTCAGTATAGTTTGCCTCAGAGGGCACCTGTTTGGGTTGAATTTATTTGTAATTTTTTTAGCTTCTTAATCTGGATATCCATATCTCTTCTAAGACTTAGGACATTTTTAGCTATTATTTCATTAAATAGGTTTCTGCCTTTTAGCATCTTTTCTCTTGCTGTAACTTCTATAATGTAACTATGTATTTGCTTAATAATGTCTCTTATATCCTATAGAGTTTCTTCATTCTTTTTCATTCTGTTTTTCTTTTCTTTTCTCCTCTTTTTTGTCTCATTGGGTAATTTCTCTATTCACCTTCAGAAATTTTTTTTCTGCTTAATTCAGTTCTACTATTGAAGTTTTTCTATTGTATTTTTTATTTCACTTATTGAATTTTTCAATTTCAAGATTTCAGGTTGGATCTTTTTAAACAATATCTATCTCTTTGCTAAATGTCTCTTTCAGATCATAAGCTATTATTTTTTCTTGGATTGTCTATTTGTGTTCTCATGTCTCACTGAGTTTACTTAAGATCATTATTTTAAATTTGGGTCTGTTACTGGAGAATTATGATGTTGCTTTGAAAATGCCATGTTTCTTTGCTCTTTCATGTTTTTCCTGTTCTTAAATTGATATTTAAGATCTTGTAGGACAGTCCCTTCTTCCAATTTTATGTAATAGTTTTAATAGGGAAAGACTTTTTCCTGTAGATATTTTCAATAATGTGGGTTGGATAGAGTGCTTTGGTTAAGGTTCTAGGTGGGCACTGTTGTATATTATCCATATGATTTCTAAAGCTGTAATCAATGTCATCAGTGTCTGAGAGTGCATCAGCGGTCTAGGCTGCAATTATTTGTGAAATCTGTGGCAGAGCTTTACTGGGGACAGGGATGCCAGGTTGGTTGGTCCTTGGTCTCCAGGAGAGCCCACAGAGGTGCACAGTCACGTTGCCTGTGGAGGGGTCAAGATTGCCTGTGGCGGTGACAGGCTCCTCATGGGACAGTCCTCAAGTTTATGGAGAGCGTGCACAGTCTTGTGATGGCCCCATTTTGGATGAAGCAGGGTCCCTGATGGTGATGGAAAGCCCTGGGCAGGTGGCTCTTGGATTCTGGGGAATGAGTGTGTCAGGTCACTATGTCCTGAGGGCTGCCTTCCCAGTGTGCTGGATCATTTATGCCCTGATGTATAGAGCTCTGCCTGGGCTCTGGTAACAAAGTTACAGCTGCACCACTATGTTCATCTTTTGTCATGATGCTGCAGCTTTCCTGGTAGATGAGGTGGAAGGTCAGCAAGCCCCAGGGATATGGAGGTGCAGGGGCTATTGGGCCCCAGGGAAGAATAAACTCAGGTGGTGGCTCTTCTCTAAAAATGGGGCCATGCTGTGGCAGCTTGGGTCTTTGGAGGTGAAGAGGACCCAATGTGAATTTTCTTTCTGGGACAATGCAGTTGCATGGACTCCAGGCAGCTCTCTATACTTGACTCAGCTCCTGCAATGGCTGTGAAGCTCTCCTGTTAGTAGGAGTGTGAGTATTCATCGTGGGAATGTGGACTACTGAGGATCTCTTGCTTTTCTTTTTTCTGCAGTGGAAAGCTCCTCTTGGCTTGCAGACAATCCTGGCCAGACACTTCATTTTCTCTATATGCATATATGATACTATATAACCCTAGTATCTATGCCTCAGAGGGTTTTTGATATTTCGTAATAGAAAAAAAAATCATAAGATTTACTGAATCGTAAAGTGCTTTTTTTTCCTTTGATGAAGTCATTTGAAATATTCTAATATCTAGCAGTTGTCCCTCTGAAACATTTCATGGGGAAGGGGGAATCCTTCCAGAATATGGAGGTTTAAGATTGTAACCTGATCCAAGTGGAGCTTGACTTCTTGGCTCCTGATTTTGATGCTGTTTTCCCTCATTATACACTAAGATAGCTTTATACAATGTAATTAGTGGTTTTAGTCAGCACATTCATTTCAGGGTAAAGGGAAAACAAAATAAAATATCTGGGAATGGGTATATATTTTAAATTAATAAAGTTACTTTATTTTATCCTCCCTCTTTACTAGAGAAGCTAAATGCAAAACTAAATAGACTAGCAATTATTATCCAATTATCCACAGACATGTGTATGCTTTAGCTGTATTTTTAAGAATACCAACAATGAGAAAGCTGACAGTTTCACAATTAGCTGACAAACAAAGCCCCCATTCTCTCTCTACTCCTCCTCCTTACTCTCTGATTTTACAAGATCAAATTAGTATTACTGAATAAACTATCTCAATGCTATACTGCTACTGCTAAGGATTAAATTCTGTTTCACCATCTAAACAGAAATTTAATTTCCCAGTCTAAACAGAAGATACAGATCCAAGAATATCTAATGAAATACAACCCACAGTGTGTTCTAATTACATACAGTTGAGGTTTTCAGAGTTAATCCTAAAGAGAGTAATAACTTCCCCCAAAATCAGACACTGTCCAATGCCTTGATTTCAGTCTAGTTCGACTTTGAGCAGGAACCCCAGACAATATGCACCTAAACTATGGACCCACAAAATCTATGAGATAATAAATTTATGTTGTTTTAAGCTGATAAATTTGTGGTAACTTGCTATACATCTATAGAAAACTAATACAGTTTAGTTCAATATTGTAAGGATTTCAGTTCTCTTAAGTTAATCAACAGAGTCAATGCAATGTACATAAAAATCCCAGGACCTTTCTGTGCAAATTTTAAAAATAATTTTAAAATTTAAGTAATTTAAAACTAATAAATTTAAAATTTAAGTAAATTAAAACTAATACAATTTTGATTCAATATTTTAAAGATTTCAGTTCTCTTCAAGTTAGTCAATAGATTCAATGCAATGTACATAAAAATCCCAGGACTTTTCTGTGCAAATTTAAAAAATAATTTTAAAATTTAAGTAGAAAAGATCCAGAAATGACCAAGTTAATACTGAATAGGAAGAACAAAGGAGGAAGATATATACTGATACTAGTGCAAGGACAAACATTACATGGAATTTAAAAATATATCCAGGAGCAGAAATAGTGTAACATTTATACAATCACTTGATTTATTACAAAGTTGACCTTGAAGTAAAAAGAGAAAAGATGATTGATTTGATAATTGTTACTAGGTCTATAGGATATCCACATGGGGAAAATTGTATCTTAACTTTTACCTTCTGCAACATCTGTCAACAATCAATTTCAGGCCAGGCGCGGTGGCTCACGCCTGTAATCCCAGCATTTTGGGAGGCCGAGGCGGGCGGCTCACGAGGTCAGGAGATCGAGACCATCCTGGCTAGCATGGTGAAACCCCATCTCTACTAAAAAATACAACAAAAATTAGCCGGGCGTGGTGGTGTGCGCCTGTAGTCCCAGCTACTGGGGAGGCTGAGGCAGGAGAATGGCGTGAACCCGGGAGGCGGAGCTTGTAGTGAGCCGAGATCGCGCCACTGCACTCCAGCCTGGGTGACAGAGCAAGACTCCACCTCAAAAAAAAAAAAAAAAAAAAAAAAAAAAAAAATTTCAGGTGTATGATACATTTAAATATGAAAGGAAAAACAATAAAGTTTCTACACAGTATCTTCATGACCTTAAAGTTTAGCAATTATATTTTAAGCAGGACACAAAAATCACTAACCATAAAGGGAACATCTAATTGATGTACTAGTTTTATTAAAATAAAAATTATTTTTCTAAAATAAGCTACCAAGTGAACAGTAAGCCACAGAGTAGAAGAAGATATTCACATTACACTCATCAGACCAATGAATAACATTTAGAATATGTAAAAGTCTTATAAATCAATTTTAAAAATCAGATAACTTATTTATGAGTGTCTTAAATAGGTACTTTACAAAATAGAAATTTACATGATCAATAAACACATAAAATGGTTCTCAACTTCCATATTTATCAAGAAAATGCATATTACAGTGCTCCAGCACTGCATATAGACTAGAATAGTTAAAATTAAAAGGACTGATATCATTGAGTGTTGGCCAAAATGTGGACCAACTTAAAAAGCAATACTATTTCACTTCTGGTGGATTAAACATATATATAAAACTTTGGAACTTGCCGTATCTTCTAAAGCTAAATATGTTATACTTGATGATGATCTAAGAACTCTTCTCCCAGGTGGAATTGAAAATGTACTTAAATGTGTGTTAAAGCACATGTATAAGAATGTTCATAGCAGCATTATTAATAATTGTTAAAAACTTAGAATGCTTTTCCAGTAAGGAAAATGGATGAATCTTTACTAAACAAAATGTCATAGTTGAATTTCACAAACTATTTTGAATAAAATAAACCTGTTGTAAAAATGTACATATGTTCTCTGTTCCATTTATATAAAACTAAAAAATAACAGGCAAAATTAATTTGTGGTGATAGGGAAAAATGACTCCTTTTTAAAAGGTTAATGACTGGGTAGGCACACAAAGTATATTTCTTGTGGTACTGATAATATTCAACTTCTTAATCCATGAATGCTTTCATGGGTGTTTTCACTTTATATAAAGTCATTTATATTTTTTATTTTACACTTCTTTTTACATATGTTACACTTCAACAACATGTTTACCAAATAAATAATCCAAAAATATATATATTTGGTCATAAATCAGGTATGGTTCTTCAACAAGAATCTGTCTCCCCCTACTAAACAGCAGGACTCCTGTGCTCCTTAGAGTTGAAGATACACACATACACACAGACAAACACATTCACATACAGCCAAACACACACATGCCTGGAAAATATTGCTGGATTCAAGATATGTGTGTGAAGGATGATTGAACATTGATCTTTGAGAAACTTTTACGGTTGTTATGCACCCCACATACATAATATATGATTTGTAGTTGCGTGTCTGATATAAAAGATCTAATTTTTATAAAATTGTGTTACAAGTATTTGATTGAGACTGACAACATGAAGTAGGAAATCCTTAAATGGTGACCTACATCCCTAAGGCAGGTGAAAAGTATCATGAGAATCAACTGTTATTTTGCAAGGTGTAGTAACTCAATTTTAAAATGGCCCCCACAGATCCCTTCCTCTTATTATTTACAACTATGCAAAACTCCCTTCTCTTGAGTATAGGCTTGAACTATTAACTTGTTTCTTATGAACAGAATGAAGCAAAAGTGAGAGGTATTTCCGAGATTACCTTCCAAAAGACTGTGACTTTAATCTCCTTCACAGGCTCTTTCTCACTTTCTCATTTGATTCCTGCAATTGAAGCCATCTGCTATGCTGTGTCCTGTTCTTTGGATCAGCACATATGACAAGGAAGTGAAAGTAGTCTCTGTCCAACAATCAGTCTAACAGCCTGAGAAGAACTGAATTCTGTCAATGACCACGTAAGCTTCGAAGCAGACCTTTCGCTTGTTGAGCCTTCAGATAGACAGCAGCCCTAGCTGACATCTTAACTGCAGTCTTGTGACAGGTCCTCAGACAGGATAAGCCAAATTATACCCAGACTGCTGATCCACAGAAAATGAGAGGTAATAAATATCGTTGTTTTAAACCACTAAATTTGGTAGTAATGTTACATAGTAAAAAATAAGAAGTATACAATATATCAAATTGTGCTGCTTCTTTATTTCATGCTTTAAAATTTTATTTCCAATTTTTAGTTTTTAAAGGTATTATCTATGGTATTAAAAATAACTATAAATTTATTATTAAATGTATTTTATTATAGTTTTATTAATATTCTATTACATATAAGATATAATACCAACTTATGGATTTATAAAATTATTTATCCTGATATATAAAATAAATTGACATATAAAATAATTATTTTATTAATCATCATTGTTATTTAAAATAACCACATATAATCATAGCCTAATTATATCTCAAAGCTACCTAATGCCTTCTTTAAGTGACTAGTTTCACATTCCAAAGAAGAGTCAACTAATTTTAAGTATATTTGTAGAATTTTCGTGGATAGTTCTAAGTAGTTTGGTCACATATTTAGTTAAATTGGAAGCAAGTAAATAAGAAAATAGATCCGCCATGAACATATCCGATATTGGAGTGTGAAAGGCAAATACCCAGATAGTTATGATAAAAATGAACAAAGCTATTAATCTGACAATTAATAGGGCCAGATTTAGCAAGATTTCAGATTATGTTTTATTTTAATGTCCATTTATCATTGTCTATAAGATCCAAAGAATGCTCATATACATTGAATAAATTGTCCATCTGTCCTATTTTTTAAGGATGATTTGACTAAAAACATTTTTTCTCACGTCTATTTTCTCATAGTAGCACTTTTGACACATCCATTTCCCATTTTTGGTTTTGGAAAATGAGGTCACTCTACCTATGGAAAAGACAAAGGAAATTTTAAGTCTCTCCCCTTGGGTTGTTTGTAGTCTCATTGAGAAGAAGACAAAGATGTGTATCTTTATCTTCCCTTAATACCTGTAAATTAGGAAAAGTAAGAATGGAAAAACAAAGGAACAAACGGAGACAATGAGATACAGAAAAGCTCAAAGAAAGATAAGTCAGAACTAAACACAAGTTTTCTTATGAATAAAGTATCTCTTCTTTATTTACTTTTATCTTGTTTCCTAGATCAGTTGTCTTACAGAATTAGACCAACCAATTACAAAAATGACAAGATACAAACATATAGCAAGCATACAAATTCTCAGGAAAGCTACACTTGAAACTAGTTATGTGGCAATGAAATAGACAGATTGAATATATTTTGAAGCTGCCACAATTATCTAAATATTTAGTAATATTTAATCTGTAAGATATTTTGGTAGGTTTCCTTGAGGAAGCACAATTTCTTCTTTTTAGAGGGAATGTCACCTGTCAGTTTTTATAAAATATATTGCATTTGGGAAATCTAAAGTCAGAACTATCCATAATTTTTAAGGAAAATGTAAAATCATCAAATCAGTAGCAATTTTATATTTTGTTTCTGAAATTGTTTTCCCACCCTCTTCAACTTTATGATAATTTATCGGGTTTTCAGAGAAAAAATACACAGGAGATACAAAGAAAAAATATTTTTCCAGGTTTATCTTTCCAACATGCTTTTGTTCATTTAGGATTTGTTTAGCTGTTGATTTTGAAAGTTTATTTTTTCATACATACTAGCTGCATATAGTTGATAAAAGCCTCAAATACAGCCAGGCATGGTGGCTCACACCTACAATCCCAACACTTTAGGAGGTCAAGGAGAGAGGACGGTTTGAGCCCAAGAGTTCGAGACCAGCCTAGGCAATGTAGTGAGGCCATGTCTCCACTAAAAATTAAAAAAAAAACTTAAAAAGATTAGCTGGGCATGGTGATCCACACCTGTATTCTTAGCTACTCAGGAAGCTAAGGCAAGAGGATCACTTCAGCCCAGGAGTTCAAGCCTGCCATGAGCTTATGATCACACCACTGCAACAGAGCAAGGTCATGTCTGAAAAACTAATGATCATAATAATAACCCAAAAAAAGAATATGAAATATCTAAATCTATATCCACAATTATAAAAAAGGAAAGAGATTTTATATTCAACCACTGAATATGTATATGGAAGGCAGGATGGCTTCCTCTCTACCCACCAATAGAAAAGTAATGTACAATATTAGCAAAGGTTTGTGCCTTCCCAATTTTCTTATAGCATTCTGTGGCTTGCTACTTGAAACATCAGGGGAATTGTTGTATTTGAAAGAAATAAAATCATAATTGTTAAGATCAAGCAATGGCTTTACATGATGACGTGTATATTTTGTTATTCGATCCTCCTTGGCCCGAAATGCTGACTATTTAATACAAGAGATATTTCTAAGCAATTTGAAGCATGATTGGCTTCAACATTTGCTTTGTACTTTTCTCAGAACACCAAGTACATAATAGAGTTTTGTGATTTTTTTTTTTAAAAGGGGTGTGAATATGTAGTATTACAATTGCAATAATGACCTACAATAGTGGTGATTCAGAAGTTGCCTTTTAGGGCTACGTAAGACTGAGTTCCAACCATAAAAATGGCAGCAAATAAACCAATCATTTAAAAGTGTCTTATAACCATTTTTTTCAAAGTATCAGTAATTTACAAAATTGCACAGCACATTAGTCAAGTCTTGTATTAACTAAATTTAAAATTCTAAATAATCATACAAAGTCCATATCAATGCTTTGATACTTGACATTATGGTACAGTGGGTTTATCATTTATTACAATGAGTTATTTTCCCAAATTCTTGCATCTGTGGTTTCTTCTAAGAAAATAAATTTATTCTATGCATTTTCAAATCAAATCATTTGCTATAAATGATAAATTTTTTTTCTAAATTGTCATAGAAACTATGCTTATTTCAACATATAAAATAATCAAATTCATGCTACTTGAAGGAAAAGACAAGTCCATATTTAAAAGATAGATTTATCTATTAATTAATTACATTTTATTTCAAATCCAAAATATAAAGCAGGTTCACCCTATAGTTTTTGCTTTTTATTCTTTTAATTGGGGAAGCAAAAGTGATGAAATTTAAATATCCAACTCCTGCTTCCTTGGATCTTACTGAGGCGGGGAGAGGGGTACATCAGGTTATAAATATTAAATAACTCAAGTCTGAAAGAAGGGATCTTTAATGAGCAGGAACCCACTGTACAAGCTGAAGGTGATAGTAATTATTTTATAATGTTATAGTGTCATCTTACAGATAAGTTTTAGACACGTTTATTTTATGAGAAATCTAGAATTTCAGTATAATAGTTATTTGAAATTATCAGGTTGTCACAAAAAAAATTATTGTAAACTCAAATTTCTTGTCTTACCAGATTCCAGAAATAGTTGTATAGACAGCCAATAAAAGATTTGCCTTCATAATATTTGTGAAATACACAGTAAAAATAGCATGCGATGACTAACTTAGAGAGCAATAATGAGGGTATGGGTGGCAGACTTAAATGGGAGTAAAAACAGATTGGAGAATAATTTGTATAATCTGATCCCATTTTGGAATACTAATAAATGTCCAAATATATATATATATATAATTTTTTTCAAATATCTTCACAGAAAACACTTGAAATAGTTATCTCTGGGTGATAAGACTACAAATGATTTTATTCTTACATTTTTAAAATATAATTTCTAATGTTTCAATTATAAACATGCATTACTGGATAATTTTTAAGAAAAATAATTGTTTTATGTGACCATGAAGTAAGCATCCTTTGTTTTCCAATGTGAAAAATACTGTCAGTAATACCTTGGTAAGATGAATATGGTTTGTATTTATGAGGAGGTTATAGTTAATGGAGAATCAACAAAGAAACTCTAATGCCATTCAGTAAATGAAATGACAAATGAAATACAGGGTTATATATGACAGCATCTATCAGAAGTATATAATATGGTCCAAGAGTTAAGCAATGGCAAAGGAAAAGAAATAAGAACTATAATATATTTATAAGAGTATTGGAAACATGGTAGTTTTCAATAATCAATTAATCAATTAATTACAATTTTATTTTATAATTAATTGATTAAGTACATTTAATTAGTCAATTGATTTTACAAATAATTACATTTTATTTTAATGCTAAAATATAATTAATTAATTAAATTTAATTACATTTTATTTTAATTCTAAAATATAATGTATGCTAGTCTTCTGCTTTTATTCTTTTAACTTTGGAGATTGAAAAAAGCTAAGGTATGATTATGCCCAATCTTCTGCTCCCCAGTCTGGGGTATATTACCCTTAAAATCAGTGGGTAGACTGTTCACTTTTGCAATGGACTAGTACTACAATTGTCTTTCGATAGCCTCTTTCAGAAACTGTGTTGAAAAAGCCTAATAGATTAGGCACTCTCAACAACAACAACATCAACAAAAACAAAAGCACTTTATCATCATTCAGAAATAAAATGAGGCTATAATTACAACACTAGCAGCATTTCACAGTTTACTTTGAAATTATCCTTTGAGGTGGACATATTTCATATATGTTTTACATGGAACATTTTAAGCATTTCCCTTATGAGTTTCAGGTGGCATTGATACTGGTTTGTTGTTTTTTTCGTATTCTCTTTCAACTATGCGCATTGTTTGGGACAAGACATGTTGCTGTGGCATATGTTACTAGGCTACTTAACTGTTAAATTGGGCATTTTTCCTTGACACAAAATCCTATACATTATCTTTGCCCAATGTGTTTAGTTTAAATTCCTCTGCCCACTATTCTAAAAAAAAGAAACTATAAACACTAAAGTAGAAAACTCTGGCCAATTTATTTTATCTATACCATATAGATGGATCTACATGGTATAGATATCTATGGTATAGATATAATAATCTAGAGCTATATAGATTAATCTATATCTATAGTTATAGATATCCATAAGTGTTAACAAATACATTGCCTACATTGTGTAACTTATATTTTTGTATTTTTATTATAATGGTAATTGATATATCAGCATATTTTAGCATTTATAGCTGCTTAGTAGGAATGTGGGCTATAATTGCCACTTTCTACCTTTCTATTTTCTTAGGAAACTCCAGGATTCTAAAAGTAAAGCCCTATGGAAATAAATCAATAACATTTCAAATGAAGAACCAAAATCGGGAAATGCAAATCACAACTCTAACATCAACATTAACTTATGTAAACGGCTCATTTGAAATTATCACACTTTTTTTCTGTTTATAAAACACAGTTATCTTAACCTTAAGCATTGTATCATCCACATGTTTTCATCTTTGGGCTTCTGAATATGTACTAGCCGGACAAAACAAATAATAGTCTTTATAATACCTACAGATCCCTGTAAGAAACAAATAGCCTACTGGGTTACCAGATGCGCTATAGTACTACAAAATTAAAGGAACAGACTACAAAATTAAAGGAACAGATGCTCTTTGTTAACCTTTTTTCTAACAAAAAATAAATAAAGTTTTAAAAATAGAGATTGGGAGCAAACTCAGAAACCTCACATCTCTAAATATTGGAAAGTTTGAAAAACAGGGATAACTGAAAATGTTGCTTAAAAACATCAAGCTAAAAATGAAGAGAAAATCTTTGATAACAAAGAAGAGAGACATCAAGAACCAAAGGATGAATTTTGAGTAAATAAATATATTGAATGATGTAAACAAAGAACAGTGGTAAGAGTAATCTAAGCAACCTCAAAAGTTTTTTAAGTAATGGAAAAACATTGTTTAGTATTATATAAAATTTGTCAATGCTGTGATTTACAAAAGAAAAGAAACCGTTTAGTCAAGGAGAAAATAACAAGTTTTTAGGAAATAGAAATATAAGGATTTCAAATAAAAATAAGGACAAAAACAATGTTTTGCATGTAGTGACCCATGGATTGCCTTACACATAAGAATGAGAAACTCAGGTAGAGAAGAAGAAAAATGAGCCCTTCAAACTCATTCATACTGAACCAGAACAACCACAAACAAACAAAACCTTAAATATTAATTGTCTTCTTAAAAGGGTTAAAAAAAAACAAAATAAATGCTCATACACAATTGGGTAAATGTAAAACTGGCAAAATTGAGTAAGGTCAATGAAATGTATCACTGTTGATTTTCTGATTGTGATATTGTGCTATAGTTATGCCAGATGTTACAGTTGAATGATACACAGTATGTTTCTATATTTTTTCTAACAACTCTTTGTGAATCTCAAAGTAACTCAAAATAGAAAGTTAAAAAATTAAGGAAAATAAAGGTTGACCTTTTCAATCATCTCAGCTATTGTTCCAATTACAAAGTTAAGTAAATCTTACAAATTTCCTTCAAATGGTCTTACAACATATCTTTGAGGATATTAAGACCTTAGGAGAATATAATCGGAAATCATTTAAAATCAGAAAACTGAGAAATTGAGAAATAATCAAAAGCCATTAGATTCACAAACACAGTGAGACTATTATGTGACTGTGGCCAGAAAAGAACAATTAAACATCCCCCCACCCCCAGCCCCCCCACCTCCTCACGTGAGCTACTTAACTGGGCAATGATATGGCTATAGAAAGAAACCATGAATTTGAATACCAGAGGTTGCCAAATAAAACGAAAAGGGGTAAGACCTAAATAATTGTCTTAAATATTAACCTAAGCAAAAAACCTATGTAAAATCAAATTAAAATATTAAAATAACGTTAGAAAACTCCAAATACATGGGAATACTAAAAATCTAATATAACCAAATATAAATCTAAGACCATTCCACTCCTAAAACAAAATACAGGAGAATACTTTCAAAACCTTGGAGCTGCCAGTTTTTCTGTTTTAATTATTATTATTTTTAATTTAGGACAAGACTGCTATGATTTGAATATCTGTCTCCTCCAAAACTCAAGTTGAAATTTAATCCCCAATGTGGCAGCAGTAAGAGGTGGGGCCTTAAGATGATGAGTATGCTCAGCCCCCCTGCCATGTGATTCCCTGTGCCACTTCAGAACTCTGCAGAAAGCCCTCATCTGCAAGAAGACCCTTACCAGATGTGGACCTTTGACCTTGGACTTAGCCTCCATAACTGTAAAAAATAAATTTCTTTTCTTTATAAATTACCCAGTTTGAGGTATCCTGTTACCTGAAACAACAGAAAATAGATTAATACAAAGAGAGAAAAAAACAGCATTAACCGTTAAAAATAAAACTAAACTGGATTTCACCAAAATCAGCTTTTCACTTATTAAAAGACACCATTAAGAAAATGGAGAAGCAAGCCACTGACACAGATTGGAGACGAAAATGATATATTGACAGTACGCATATTCAGCAAAGGACTGCTATCAAGAACATACGAAGAACTGCCAAAAGTAAAAATATGAAAAATTATTGATAAAAAAATAAGCAATGAAAAAATGCTCAACATCCTATATGACCAGGAATATGCATATTAAAACCATAAGGAGATACTATTTTACACTTATAAGAGTGAGTAAAATCAAAAGGACTGATAACACTAAATGTTGACATGTGGACCAGTCAGAACCCTTATGTATTGCTCATGGGAGTGTAAAATCGTGCAAATATTTTGGAGAGGAGTTTCTTAAATTAAGCATATATTTAGCCCTCACCCTGGCAATTCATTACTAACAATAAAATTTAAGCAGGAGAAATAAAAATTCCCTTGAATTCCATGAAATAATATGTGTAAGTAGGTACATAGCATTGTTATTCATAATAGTCCATAAAATGAGAAAAGTCTAAACATCCTTTAATAGAAGAATGGATAAATATTCTTGAGGCATGTTAATACAATTGAACAGTGTAAACTTAAAATAAAATTCTAAGCCCCCTAACTGATAGAATGGATCTCCCTTTCAGCCAATGATGTTCTAAAGTAAATGTGAAAAACTAGTTCAGGCCATCATGGGAAGGAGGGGTCAGACATATCTCATTATGCCCTCCTCCCTTTGGAATTCAGGCACAATTGATCAGTGTTAACATTAAAAAAGAGATCTTAAGACTGACCAAACAGACTCTTTGTGGCAATCAGATACATCACAAAATGACATATACCAGGCCCTGTAAGAAATTGAAGTATTTTACCCTGAAATATATTTCTTCGATATATCTTTAAACAGCCCTGTAAAGCTGCCTCTTGTGGGGAAAATCAACATTCTGTAGAGAATTCTCTTCCCTTTCCAGGTCTTTTCCTGATCCAGGAGAGATTAGCTAAGTCTGGTACCTTTTTAAGTCTGATAACAAACATTTGCCCTCTATTCTATCTGAAGCCTGCTACCTGGAAACTTCATATGCATAATAAGAAATTTGGTCTCCCAAACCCCTTATCTTAACCCAGACATTCCTTTTTTTCTATTGATTCTAGGTCTTTAGATAAATTCTTTCAACCAATTGCCGAACAGAAAATACTTGAATCCATCTATGATCTGGAAGCCCCGGCTTTGAGTTGTCCTGCCTCTCAGGACCAAACCAATGTACATCTTACATGTATTGATTGATGTTTTACATCTCCCTAAAATGTATAAAACCAAGTTATAGTCTGACCACCTTGGGTACATGTTTTCAGAGTCTCCTGAGGCTGAGTCATGATCGTGTCCTTAACCTTGGCAAAATAAACTTGTAAATTGATTGAGACTCGCTCCCTTGAAGGGAAGAACCCAGTAACCACCTGTTGACCAAAGAGCCCTTGGGTCCTGAATAACCAGCAGCAATACCCAGGTAGTATGCCATGGACCTTGGGTGAGACTTTGAGACATGCTGGCTTCAGGTACTAGCTCAGTCACAGTGGATTAAAGCACCAAGTGTGCTCTCGAGGTCCCCAATACAAGCCTACACTCTTGGACAGCATTTCTGGACCTGCCCTGGACCAGAGGGGAGCCCACTGCCCTAAAGGGTGAGTCCCAGACCTTGTAGCATTTACCACAAGCTGACTAAAGAGCCCTTGGGTCTTAAATGAACATTGGCAGTGGCCTGGCAGAACTCTCCACAAGCTGATGGTGGTGATGGACCTGGGGAGAGGCTCCTCTGCCTATGGAAAGAGGTAGGGAAGAATGGGAAGGACTTTGTCTTGTGGTTTGAGTGCCAGCTTAGCCACAGTAGAATAGAACATCAGGTAGATTTCTAACGTTTTTTACTTCAATCCCTGGCTTCCAGACAGCATCTCCATCTGGGCCTGCGCAGAACTTTCCACCCGGAAGGGAAGGACATAAACATGGCTGCCTTTGCCACTGGCTGACTGTAGAGCCCTAGGTCCTTGAGGGAACATAGGCAGTAGCCAGGTAGTAGTTACAGTGGGCTTTGAGCAAGACCCAGTGCTGTGCTGATTTCAGGTCTAGCCTAGGGCAGTTCCAGTGATGTGGCCACAGTGGGGCCCTGTGTCATCCCACTTCCAGCTCCAAGTGGCTCAGCTCAGAGAGAAACAACATTTGAGAGAAAGTAAGAAAAGAGAAAAACAATCTGCCTGGTAATTCGGAGAATTCTTCTGGATCTTATCCAAGACAACAAAGGCGGCACATTTATGAGGCTGCAATAACCCTAGTGTAACTGGGCTTAGGGTCCCCGTTAAAGCAGATACAGCTTAAATCACAATGTCGAAGTCATTTTTAATATCTGAAAAGCCTTCCCAAGAAAGATGGGTACACACAAGGCAGACTGTGAAGACTAAAACAAATACCTAACTCTTAAATGCCCAGCTACAGATGAACATTTACAAGCATTGAGACCAGCCAAGAAAACTTCACCAAACACAGTAAATAAGACACCAGAGACCAATCCTGGAGAAAGAGAGATATGTGACCTTTTGTTACGGGATCTTTGGGGTGTTGCTTTTCTGGCCTGAAACCTCTGCCTGGTGGCGCCTTTGCCCAAGTTTTGCTTGGGCGCACTGGGCTCATTCTTCCCACCCTGCCTGGCAGGCTGTGCTCAGCTCACGCTACCAGCCTAGATCCCATGCCTGCCAAGGGTGAGTCAGCAATAGAGCAATGAGGGGTGGGTGAGTGAGTGTGGGGTCCGGCCACTGCTCAGTCAGACATGCCAGCTGCTGCAGTGGGGCAGACAGCTACAGGTGCTGGCTCTCTGCAAGGCATAGTTGAACCAGGCACACTGCAAGCAGCTTCCCTGGCTGGCCCTGGAAGCACATTGGTGCCCAGAAGCTCAGAGACACAAGGAACTACAGAAACCCAAAGAGGGAGTCACAGCCCTGACTCTGGGAGCTCCCAGGTCTGGGATCCCTGAGGGGCCACAGCTCTTCTTCTCTTCTCCTGCAACATGGCAAACAAGGGACATGTTTCAGCCCTGTTTGTGTTAGCTCTTTTAGTTCTGCCATTCAGTGGCTCCCAAGTTCTTGTCCTGCAACAGGAGGAAATGAGGTAGGCAGACAAGTGGAGGGTAAGCAAGATGAAGGGGAATTTTATTGAGCAATATAACAGCTCACAGAAGTCCCACAGAGGGTAGCTCCTTTCTGCAGGCAGGGTATCCTGATGAGTGTTCAGCTCCGAGCACAGAAGAGACCAAGGAGTGGGAAGCTCCTCTCCAGGCAGGTCATGCCATCATTTTGTACCTCTCAGCAAAGAGAAGGCCCTGGAGTGGGTTGCTGTTCTCTACAGCTGATAGTCCTGACTTCTCTGCAAGTTTCTGAAGCTCTCAGCAAAGAGGAGGCCATAAAGTGGGCAGCTCCTCTCAGGTTCTGGTCATACTGACATCTCCCACTCTCAGCAGAGAAGGTAACTACTCTCTGCAGCTGGTCATCCCATTGTCTGCTCACCTCTGGCTGAGACTTTGGCTTTTATGGGCCTCAAATGGGAGGAAGTGTGCACTGATTTGGCTCATGGGCAACCATTGGTGGGCCCAGAAAAGGCACCACAAGTTCCCACTCTAGTCTGTGGGACTGGCAGCCCAGGCCCCAGCTTTCAGGCCCTCTATGGCCCAAAGGTGGGGCCTCACCAGGGATGTACCCCCTTCCACCCAGCAATCTGTCCACCTCCTGCTGTCATTCATGGTGCCTGGGCTTGGCCCTGACTTTCCTCCAAGATCAGAGTGGGCACCACACTGAGAGCAGGGAAAAGCCAGGCAGCAGGAGCAGGCACTTCTGATCCTGAGAGGGCAGGGGGGCCTTCCTGGGACCCCAAGAGTGCAGGGATGTCTAAGTCTGCAGCCATGATTTGGGCAGCCACAACTGCGCCCAGGGTTGGGGGGTGGGGCTCCTGCTGGCTCCATGGAGCTGGAGGTTGGAGTCTGCAGCCACAGTTTGGCTGGCTGCAGCAGTACCCTGGGAGCTCCTGCCCCATCTTGCAAGGGCCAGGGCTCCTGCTTGTCCCCAGCTCCCAGCTGCTCCATGGAGAATGCAGCCCTGGCCATGCCTCCTTGCTGCAGCTGGCATGATGGCAACAGCAGGCAATCTGGAGCAGCCACTGCCATTACTTTCAGAAAATTAAAAATAGCTATTTTGAGAAAGTTCAATGAATTTCAAGATGATAGAGAAGGAATCCAGAATTCTATCAGATGATTTTAACAGAGACTGAAATTAAAAAAAAAAGCAGAAATTCTAGAGTTGAAAAAATGCAATTGACATACTGAACAATGCATCATAGTCTCCTAATAGCAGAATTGATCAAGCAGAAGAATTAGTGAGTTTTGGGATGGGAGCAGTGGCTCATGTCTGCAATCCCAGCACTTTGGGAGGCCAAGGCAGGTGGATCACGAGGTCAAGAGATCAAGACCATCCTGGCTAACACGGTGAAACCCCGTCTCTACTAAAAAACACAAAAAATTAGCCAGATGTAGTGGTGGGTGCCTGTAGTCCCAGTTACTCGGGAGGCTGAAGCAGGAGAATCACTTGAACCCGGGAGGAGGTTGCAGTGAGCCAAGACTGTGCCAGTGCACTCCAGCCTGGTGACACAGCAAGACTCCATCTCAAAAAAAAAAAAAAAAAAAAAATTACTGAGCTTGAAGATAGGCTGTTTGAAAATACACAACCAGAGGAGATAAATGAAAAAAATGTATTAAAAATTGAAGCATACCTATTAGGCCTAGAAAGTAGCCTCCAAAGGCCAAATCTAAGAGTTATCGAGCTAAAAGAAGAAGTAGAGAATGGAAGGAACTTTGTCTTGTGGTTTGAGTGCCAGCTTAGCCACAGTAAAATAGAACATGTGGTAGATTTCTAAGGGTTTTGACTCTAATCCCTGGTTCACAGCTAGCATTGCTGGACCTGCCTGGGGTTTAGGGGAATTTGCTATCCTGAAGAGAAGGACACAAACATGACTGGCTTCACTACTTTCTATAGGATTAGAAAGTTAATTCAAAAGGATAATTTCAGAGAACTTCCAAAATCTACGATATCAATATTTAAGTACAATAGGGTTATAGAACACCATGCAGCTGCAACTGAAAGTGGAATACCTCAACACATTTAATAATCAAACTCCCAAAGGTTGAAAATAAAAAAAGGATCATAAATGCAGCAAGAGAAAAGAAATAAATAACATATAAGAGAGCTACATTACATCTGGCAGCAGGCTTTTCAGTGGAAACCTTATGGGCAGGGCAAAGTGGCATGACATATTTAAAGTGTTGAAGGAAAAAATCTTTTACCCTACAATAGTATTACTGGTGAAAATATCCTCAAGCCTAAAGGAGAAATAAATACTTTCACAGACAAACAAAAGCTGAGGAATTTCATCAACACCAGACCCATCCTGCAAGAAATTCTACAGGGAGTTCTTCAATCTAAAAGGAAAGGACATTAATGAGCAATAAGAAATCATCTTAAGATACAAAACTCACCAGTAATAGTAAGCACACAGAAAAACACAGAATATTATAACACTGTAATTTGAGGGTATAAACTCCTATTTTATGTATTAGGTAATAGAAAAACTCAATGATGAACCAATCAAAAATAATAAAGGATTACATCTTTTCAAGACATAGTACAAGAATACATAAAAACATAAAAAGTTAAAAGGCAGTGAGATAAAGTGTAGCATTTCTATTAGTTTTTTTCTCATTTGTTTGTTTATGCCATCAACTTTAAGTTGTCATTAGTTTAAAATAATAGATTATAAGATAGTATTTGCATGCTTCATAGTAACCTCAAATCAAAATATACAACAGATACACAAAACATAAAAAGCAATAAATTCATCACACCACTAATGAAAATTGCCTTCACTAAAAGGAAGACAGGAAGGAAGAAAAGAAGAAAGAGAAAATCATAAAAAAAAAACAGAAAAAAAATAGCAGGAGTAAGTCCTTATTTATCAATAATAACATTACATGTAAATGGATTAAACTCTCCAATAAAAAAGACATGGAGTAGAAGAATAGATTTTAAAAAACCCACAATGATCTGTTGCCTATAAAAAACATACTTCCCCTATAAAGATAAACACAGACAGAAATAAGAAATAAAAAAAGATACTTCATGCCAATGGAAACCAAAAAAAAGAGTAAGAGTTGCTATACTTATATGAGACAAAGTAGACTTCAAGATGAAAACTGTAAGAAGAAACAAAGAAAGTGATTATATAATGATAAAGAGGTCAATTCAGCAAGAGGATATAGCAATTGTAAGTTTATATGTACCAAACACTGGAGCACTGAGATATAAATTGCAAATATTCTTAGCCCTAAAGAGAGAGACAGACCTCAATACAATAATAGCTGGACACTTCAACACCTCACTTTTAGTATTGGACAGATCTTCCAGGCAGAAAATCAACAAAGAAAACTGGAGGACTCACATTATCTGATTTCAAATTATATTAACACTACAAAGCTATAGTAACCAAAATAGCAAGGTGCTGGCATTAAAACAGACACATAGACCAATGGAACATAATAGAGAACCCAGAAACAAATCCATAAAACTATAGTGAACTCATTTTCAAGAAAGTTGCCAAGAATATACACTGGGGAAAAGACAGTCTCTTCAATAAATGGTGCTGAGAAAACTGTATCTCTACATGCAGAAGAATAAAACTAGACCCCTATCTCTCACCATATACAAAAATCTAAGACTAGAAACTATAAAACTACTAAAAGAAAACATCGGGGAAACTCTCCAGAACATGAGTGTGGGCAAAGATTTCTTGAGTAGTACCCTACAAGCACAAGAAACCAAAGCAAAAAAGAACAAATGAGATCAGATCAAGTTAAAAAATCTTCTGCACAGCAAAGAAACTATCCACAAAGTGAAGAGACAACCACAGAATGCGATAAAATATTTGCAAACTACCCCCCTGAGAAAGGATTAATAACCAGAATATATAAGTAGCTCAAACAACTCTATAGGAAAAAATCTAATCATCTGATCAAAAAGTGGGCAAAAGATCTGAATAAACATTTCTCAAAAGAAGACATACAAATGTCAATGGCAAACAGGAATATGAAAAGGTGCTGAACATCATCAATCATCAGAGAACTGCAAATCAAAACTATAATGAGATAACATCTCACCCCAGTTAAAATGGCTTTTATCTAAAAGACAAGCAATAACAAATGCTAATGAGGATGTGGAGAAAAGGGAACTTTTGTACACTGTTGGTGGGGATGTAAATTAGTACAACCACCATGAAAAATAGTTTGGAGTTTCCTCAAACCTCAAAATACTAAAAATAAGGCGGAGCTTGCAGTGAGCCGAGATAGCACCACTGCACTCCAGCTTGGGGGACAGAGCGAGACTCCATCTCAAAACAAACAAAGAAACAAACAAACAAAAACTAAAAATAGAACTAACATACAATCCAGCAATCCCACTGCAAGGTATATACCCAAAGGAATGGAAATCAGGATGTTAAAGTGTTAACTTCACTTTATAGTAGGCAGCATTATTTATAGTAGGCAAGATTTGGAAGCAACTTCAGTGTCCATCATCAAATGAGTGGATAAAGAAAATGTAGTACATATACACAATGGAGTACTATTCAGTCATAAAAATGAATAAGATCCTGTCATTTGCAACAACATGGATGGAACTGGGAGGTCATTATGTTAAGTGAAATGAGTCAGAAATAGAAAGAAATGAGTCAGGAATAGAAAGATAAACTTCACATGTTCTCACTTATTTATGAGAGCTAAAAATTAAATCAATTGAATTCGTGGAGATAGAGGGTAGAAGAATAGTTACCAGAAGCTGGGAAGGGTAGTTGGGGACTTAGGGGGAAGTGAGGATAGTTAATGGGTACAAAAAATAGAAAGAATGAGTGAATAAGACCTAGTATTTGATAGCATGACAGAGTAACTATAATCAATAATAATGTACTTGTCCATTTTAAAATAACTACAAGAGTACACAATTTGTTTATGACACCAAGGATAAATGCTTGAGAAGGCAGATATCCCATTTACTATGATGTGGTTATTAGGCATTACATGCCTATATCAAAGTATCTCATGTGCCCTATATATAATCACACCTACTATGTACTCTCTACAATTAAAAATAATAATTTTTTTGAACGGCAGGAGCAAAATTTCTTATAGCATCTGGATACACTGCAGCTATAGTAACCTTGTTGTTTTATCATTATCAGTGGTGTCTTTTGCTACCCAATTCAATATTCTATAGCTACTCAACTACTCTTTGTCTATGCTTCTATTGTTTCTTCTCTTGACATGACAAATGCTTCTGGAATTAATTTATGCTTCTTCCTAGCTTTTTCTGTCTAATAATGTCACCGTACTACTGCTTTTTCTCTATCTTTTAGCTTCTGTACTTCTCAAATATTACTGCTATTTATATGTGGCCATTTTCTAGAGGGTAACATAGACCATCAAAGGATCTGATTGAATTGACTAGTTACCATATGAAGTGGAGAATGTTAGTACTGTATGTTCTATACCTCTCATATTGCCCTGCCTTGTAGACCATTGATTATTCCAGATGATTGACTGAATGAGAGGTGATTCCTGCTCCAATAATCCCTGGCTCTGCTTGCAGAACCACATGGAACTAAACACAGTGATCCATGCACCAGGAACCTCTTAGAAGGAAACTGAAAATGTCATGCACATAGAGGCTCTCCAGAAAGAGTATTGTAGTAAGCAGCCATCTTGTGTGGCCTGCCCTAAAACATTCATTTATTAGTGTCTCTTCCATGGACATCTCTTTTCTTACACTGATCAGTCTTTGTATTCATGAAGCAATACCAAATGATTAAGATTATACCTTTGAAATTAAAAAAAAAAATCTGATACTTGACAATGCCTCTCATATTCTTTTACTTTCTGATTTTTCTTAGACGTTTGGTGATTTTGCTTTGTTAGGATGGAATTTTAGTCATTTTATCAGTTTCCAAAAATTCCCCCTTGAAAATTAGATTGGAGTTACATTTTTATAAGTTATTCATGGCTAAATTGGCATCAAAATATTGAATATTTCTACCAAGGCAATTATAGTAGAGTAAAATCCACTGAGCCAACCTCTTGTAATCCAGAAATTCCAATATTTCCACAAGACCAAATTGAAACATAATAGAAAATATCAATAGTAATATGGCTCATATAATAATATTACAGCTATATAATAAATGTTTCATGGTATTTCATTATATCAAAATATTTTTAGAATATAAGAAGTGCTAATTACTCTATTTAACATGATAGCTCAGAAATTAGAAATATCAACATTGTTCAAATAATAAGATAATAACTATTAAGTATTTAATTTGTGCCAGGGTTCCAAGAGCTTAACTTGCATTGGAGCATTTAATCCTCAGTGGGAGATTTATCATCCCCATTTTGCAAATGAGGAAACACTTACAGAGAGTTTAAGCAACTTGCCTAACATAATACAACTACTAAGTGGTGGAACCAGGATTTAAACTCCAGGCAGTTTGATCTAGAGACCATACTCTTAACCATTATTAAGATCAGTCTATGAAATATGAAAACCATCAATTTAATCTCACAGAGTCACTTCTTTGAGACATATGTCAAGTTTTAATATATATTAAGGGCAACTTTGAAAAGAAGGCAGTGTTGATGAGAGTAAAAAAGACAATGATATATATATTATTTACATTGCCCAAATGTTTCTATGATGGTTAAACAAAGTATCAGATACAGCCTTTTAGCTTGACAACGTATGTTTTGTTTTCTTTTTCTTTTTTTCTTTTAGCTGACTCTTGCTCCTCTCAGGAAGAGAACATATTTTCAAGTTTATTTGCCTAGGCATCAAATGTTTAAATATTTTAGTCAATTTCTAATTAAAATAATTACTTTTAATCAACATTTTCTTATATTTCTTTCTCATTTTTAATTTCAGAGCCAGACAATTATGCATTTCTTTAGTCAACAACTAGCTGCTAATTATTTACTATGTGTCAAGTCTTATAATGCTGAAGTGAAGAAAAGAGATTTAAAGTCATGGATGTGGTTTCCTTTGGACCTTAAATTCTAGCACAAAATATGATAAACATTGTAATCAATGCTATCATGTACAGGTATGTGGTGTTATGTGAATATATGGGAATACCTAATTCGTAAACTGGGTTTAGAAAATTCTTGCAGAAGAAAGTGGCATCCAAACAAAGAACCAAGAACGAATAAAAATTATTATAGATAAAGTGAAGCGGGTCTAGTGGAATGACAAAATTACTGAGTGTCAAGAGGTGGAAGGACTTGGTGAATAATTTGAAAAGGAACCATCGGAGGATGATGGCCACATTTCTGGCTCCAGCCATCAGGTAAATATTAACATTCCTTTAAATCTGCATTTTTGTTTTAAATCGTTTTCATATTTATTATCTTTATTTAATCTGAGAACAACTTTTTGGGAGATAGAGAGGTATGCATTTTCTAGCTGAAAATACAAACTGTTTACATAATTTGCCTAAAGTCTCAGTTGAAGAGGGTAAGGGAGGGTAGTTAGTGGATTGCACACAGAATGAAGTTGTTTTCACCATAATTTCTACTCATTTAGAACATACTTTTTATTCTGCTGTCTAAAGAGCAACATGTCTTCTTTCAGACAAGATTATTATCTGGATTCAAATCAATGATACATTTTTCCCTTTGTCATCTGATGTAGACATTTCTAACTGGCTCTCCTGACAGGAGCAATCCATCATCATAGCTGGTGGAACAATTTTGATCAACTATGTCAACACCCCTATCATTACCACCAAGTGCAAATGCACATTAATATTCTATGTAATGGCCAAGCAGATGCAGAAAGACAATACATCTCTTCAAAAGGCTCCTGCAGGCCTCTTCTTTGTTTTCTCACCCTCCCTCTTTTTTTCAAGCTTTGATCATATGTTCTAATTAGATCTCAAGGTTCATTTTACTATACCACAAGCTTCTGTATGGCCACTGGAATCCTTCTAACTCCATTTACCTACACTATCCAATTATAAACTTAGATGGAAGTTAAACAGCCTGTGAGAACTCAGAAGGATATCTCATTGAAATGGTAGAAGAGTTCACTGCTGTATCTCAGTAGCAGGCAGGCACCTCAAACTGGTTAAACTGTGTGCACCACAGTACTGGTGCTATGAAGGTTTCTTTCACAATAGTTTTGCATTTTTTAGGTGTTCAAGATATGTCTTTGTGGTGTATGCATGTGTGTTTCTGTGTGTGTGCACGTTGTGTGTCTGTGTGTTTCTTTTGCTTTTTGGATGGGTGGGAAGTTAATAAGTGTCATGAATTATTAAAAAGGAACTTGACCTTATAGTGATTCCAACAGAAAGGAACAAAATCTGGAGATATCAGAGAGTCCCTTGTGCATATTCCAGGGACTATGCGGGCAACTATCTCTGATGGTTGCAAGAGGAAAAAAGAAGGATTTCAGCATAGATGACAAATTATCACTCAAATGATGATAGTCTGTGGTTATAGGCCTTGCCTCCCACTTGGATTTTGGTATTACCCACTAAAAGTGCTCATCTTGGAAGAGGATGTGGAGCCTCAGATGCCTTCTCTGCTTTCCCTATATGGTCCAGGAAAGCCTATTCCCTGAGACTTTTCTCAACAATCTTACCTCCCAAGACAGACAACACTACTAAATACACTCCCTGAAGGATGAAGGCATCTTGTTCGAGGAAAATTACCTAGTGACCATCAAGCAGGCCATCCAGAGGCAAAACTCCTTATCTGAGGAATTTAGAAGTAATTTGACTTCCCTATTATCAAAAGCATGCATCTGGTACCAAGCTCTTTTCCCAAAACTTTGTAAGTAACTAGAATTTCTATAGATCTCTGGAATGTATGCATATTGAAACTCATTGTGCAACCCTTGCTGACATCAAGGCACCAAAATATCTATAAATGTAATCATTCCTCATGACCTACATGGCTAATACGGTTCAAAATACCCTTAAGCTCCCACTTTAAAGTCCATAAAAACCCCTAAGGAAAATCCACCGCTTCACACTCAGTCCTCCCTTGCTGAGGTGCCTCGCTGTACTCTTCTGCAGCATGCTTTCTATCTAATAAAACCTTCCTTTTCAAACCTATACTGTTGTCAATAAATTCTTCTTGCCAACCTGAGAGTCAACCACTTTCTGATGCTGGGGCTCTGACACCCTGCCGGGCATCTTTTTGACTCATCCTGGGACTTTACTGGGATTTCTCCCTTCTTTTTTCTCTCTGCTTCCCTCAACAGTCTGGTACTTTACTCTTAGAAACCAATGATCTTTGGCTGAGGCCACTCTTCAGTGGGATCCTGAAGCCCTAGAGAAGGAGTGTCTGTCTGTCTCTGCCCTTGGGGCCGAGAAACTGGCCAGGGTTCTTTTCCATTTTTGAATTACCAGTGAACCAGCTTAAGTACTCTTTGGCAATTGAGGGTTTCTGGCTGAGTGCACTCCTTGGTATTATCCAAAGGCCAAGACAAAAAAGCAAATTTACTATTGCCCCCTTCCAAGGGTGGCAAGTCCACCTTCACTTTAACACTGTAAACCGTGCCTTGGAAATGAGCAGCAGCAAAATCAACTCTGCACAGACACAATCTGCTGGTTGTGGACCCCATTTTGAATTGAACTTTGTCACAGACATCACATCGCAAGTCACGGACAAGTTCTCCTTCACATTAGGTTTGAGCTGATCACTCAAACAAGGGCAGGCCTAGACTGCTCATCCAGGCAAGGGTAGGCCCTCTATCCATGGTAGGCACCCCCAGATAGAGTGAGCAAAGGGAAAAGGGAGGTCAAAATCCCTCGCAGGCACTTCAGGAATCTTATAGTGCCGTATCTAAACCCAACATGGGTTCAACTCATTCTTCAGTTCTATCCTATTTGCCCTTGGGTTGCATTCTTATAAAGTGGTCCCATTTTGACCCACAAACTCTTTAAACTTTTATATTCAGAGACCCCATATGTTCAGGTCTTTTGGGCTTTATCTGATACGTAAAATTACATAAAAATTGCATAATCTTCCAAAGAACTTCTTCTCTACCCGATTCTGATGTCTTAGATGATCCTTCCATTTGCCTCTCACACTCTCCTCATCCTGCTCCCACTTTACCTACACCCTTTCCATCTGCTTCATCCCCCAATCATCACCCTCTCCCCATAAACAGATACTTTATCCTCCTCATATACTTGCACAGGAGTTACATAAGCCACTAGTACAGAGTCCTCAGAAAACCTCCAAAATGTTTTCCTTGTCCATAAGGTGGCAAATGAAGATTTGGGAAAAATTCGAATTCATGCACATTTCCAATATTGGATCTTTTGCAAATTCCATCCCAGTTGCGTTCATTTAGCCAGGAGCACTCTAAGTTAATTCAAGAATTTCAGGCCTTAACTATTTCCTTTGTTTTAACGTGGCAAGATATATTTGTGGTATTAACTAGTTGATGTTCCCGCGAAGAAAAATCTTGCCTTTAGTTTGAGCTTAGGTGGATGAAACTCATGCTCGTAATCCTAATGATAATATAGCCAGGGAAGAAGCTGTCCCTGACACAGAACCCAACTGGCAACACCAGGCCACCAATGTTGGCCCAGACAGAGGCAGGGGCAGGTGAGATTATATAATAACTTGTTTGTTGGAAGGAATGAAAAAGACCGTAAGAAAACCTGTTAATTTTTCTAAATTATGAGAAGTCAGTTAGGAGCCATCTGAGAATCCTGCCCTTTTACAAGCTAGACTGCTGGACACTATGCAAAAATATGCAAATTTAGACCCCCAAAGCCCTGCAGGCCAATCCATTCTGGCTGTACACTTTCTAAGTCAGGCATCCAAAGACGTCAGACAAAAACTCCAAAAATTAGAGGAAGACCCACAAACTCCTTTTCCTACTTTATTAAATGCAGCCTTTCCAGTTTTCAATAATTGGAAGGAAATATCAAAAATAAAAAAGGTGCTTGGGGCGCGGTGGCTCATGCCTGTAATCCCAGCACTTTGGGAGGCCGAGGCGGGTGGATAACCTGAGTTTGGGAGTTCGAGACCAGCCTGGCCAACATGGAGAAACCCCGTCTCTACTAAAAAATACAAAAATTAGCCGGTCATGGTGGCACATGCCTGTAATCCCAGCTACTCAGGAGGCTGAGGCAGGAGAATTGCTTGAACCCGGGAGGCAGAGGTTGTAGTGAGCTGAAATTGTGCCATAGCATTCCAGCCTGGGCAACAAGAGTGAGACATTGTCTCAAAAAAAAAAAGCGTAAATTGGAGGAGAAAAAATGCCGTCGCCAACTAATTACATGGCGACAGCACTGGCACATTCTTTTTCATTAACTAATAAACCCAGGGCTCATCCCTATGCTACTAACAGAATGGGGACCTGTTATTGCTGCAGAAATCCAGGACACTAGAGTAGAAAAGGTTCCTAACCTCCAGGTTACAAGCCAACCCTGGAAGCCTGTCCTCACTAGAAATAAGAGGGTCATCGGAAGAGCGAGTGACCCTCTCTCCCTCATGAGGTGGGGCACCTCTTCCTTCTGGGCTGTCACAGCTACAGCCTTATCAATCTACCTAACAAGGGAGTCCTGCAGAATGGGGACGAGGGCAATGCCAAGGACAAGCTCTTCTAACTCTATTCCTGGATTATAATCAAGCCTCTGAAATTCATCCTCTAGATGACTGATGGGGCCTTGAGGCCATCCAGCCCCTATCTTTTCCATCTCTATGGATAAGTCTAGAGTAAATCTGATTGTGGCTAAACAAGAGATAATGTTCTTCATAGATACAGGGGCCAGTTATTCATCTTTAAACATTTACTATGGCCCAATGTGCCAGTCCTCCATTTTTCTCACAGGTATTGATGGAAAACCCCAAGGAGGCTGTTTTACACTGCCACTCCCTTGTAAAATGGAAGGCTATTCCTTTCCTCATTCCTTTTAGTCGTGCCAAGCTGCCTTGTTCCATTATTAGGCCATGACTTAACACAAAATTACATGCTAATTTACAACGAAGCCCTCACCTTCCAGCTGTATTAACTCACACTTCACTAAAAGAGCAACTGCAGTCTACAGAAACTCAAACTCTAAAACAAGTGCCATTTGAAGTTGGAATACTTCTCTTCCTGGTCAATCAATATCAGCTGCTCTTGTATTCATTCAGCTTCAGATTCCCAATAAGTTCTTCAGACTCCCTGATGCCTCTTGAAACCAGAAGCATGAAAAGAGTTACAGCCCCTAATAACAAAATTTTTAACCCATGGATTATTGCACCCATGCAACTGACCTTGCAACTCTCATTTTAGCTGTAAAGGAATCAGATGGCTCCTATCAGCTAGCACAAACCTTAGAATTATTAATGAAGCTGTTATTCTGATTCATCCTATTGTCCCAAACACTTATACCCTTTTTGGACAGACTCTCTCCACCACAGCTTAGTTTACTGTACTTGATCTTAAGGATGACTTTTTCTGCATTCCTGTACAATCAGATAGCCAATTTTTGTTTGCTTTTGAATGGCAAATAACTTAACTTGAACAATTCTGCCCCAGGGAATGGCAAAACACTTAACTTGAACAATTCTGCCCCAGGGAATCAGAGATAGCCTCCACCTTTTCGGACAGGCCCTAGCTAGAAACCTGTCTACCCTGCAGCTTCTCCAAGACAGCAATCTACTCCCTTATGTGGATGACCCTACTAATCTGTAGTCCTAACAAGGCTGTTTTAGACAAAAATACAGTGTTAGTATCAAACAAACTTGCTGACTGTGGATACAAAGTATCTCCTTCTAAGGTACAAATATTCACAGAAAGCGTTCACTTTTGGGGCCTTATTTTAACCCTTGGTACAAAGAGCCTCTCTAGCGCTCCTGAAGATCTTATCTTAAACATGACAACTCCAGGAACTAAACAACAGCTTCTGTCCTTTTTGGGTATGGCTGTGTTTTACAGAATATGTATTCCTTCCTTTGGATTAAAAGGAAAACCTTTATATGAAGCCCTCCAGGGAAGTGAGGAACAACCTCTATCGTGGACTAATAATGTGAAGCATGCTCTAAACACTTTAAAAACAGGCTGTAATCTCAGTCCCAGCCTTAGCCCTACCTGATCTGACTAAGCCTTTCTTTTTTTACGTACACAAATGAAGGGGGATAGTTTTGAGAGTGAGCCTAAGATCTATGGCCCTCTAAGCACCCCACAGCATATTTTTCAAAAGCTTTAGACCTAGTATCCTAGGAATCCCTCCCCACCTCCCAGCTTAAGAGCCTTAGCAGTGGTAGCCCTCTTAGTCTAAGAAACCTTAAAAATATATTAACCCTCCTGGGATCTTATGGCTTTGCTTCACTGCTAATTACCCCCTAGCTAAAAAAGGAGTCTGTGCGTTCATCAATAAAACATGTTCCACTTCTCTTTTCTGTACAGGAATGCGGAAAAAGAGAAGTGAAAACTAATGTCCAAAAAAATTTTCAAACAAGCCACATGGCTATACACACTTTCCTAAAGTAACCACTACTGGGCCAAAACCTCTACTGATTGGTTTCTAAAAATCACATGGCTTCTCCTATTACTTGGACCTTTATTCCTTGTTACTCTTCTTTTAATCTTTGGTCTCTGCCTTTTTAATGCTCTCATTAAGTTTATATCATCCAGGTTACGATTCCACCTACAGATGACTATGCAATCCCAATATCGGCCTGCAACAGCAACTTCCATTTACATGGGGCCTCTTAATGGAATCGTTTCTTCTCCCCATGAACAAGTTTTTCATGATCCTCATTCCCTTCATGACAACAGAGAGAAAAGGAAAAATACAACTTATCCACTCACTATCCCCTTTCAGCAGGAAGTAACCAGACAGACCTGGGGCCCCTCTTCACTGTGCTATTTTCTGTTTCTTGAGACTGTAATAGGCAGCAGGTAGACATGAGCATGGGGGAACACAAAGGGTCAAAGATTTGACCAAGATATTTTCAGGAAGAAAATAAGGAGAGGAAAGATCACCTGGAGACTATCAAGCAGGCCATCCAGAGGCAAAACTTCTTATCTGAGGAATTTAGAAGTAATTCAACCTCCCTATTATCAAAAGTACATAACTTCACCCTGCACTCTTCAACTACTCAGTGATTCCCACACCTCAGTCTACTTCAAACCCTAGATACCTAGCTCCAGATTCTTTAGAGAAGAGGATTTGAGGTTTCCTCTCATCTCCTCCTGTGGCTATCTTAAGATTATTAAACACTTTCTCTGCTGCAATCTCCAGTGCCTCACTATATTGACTATTACATAACTGACTGCAAAGCATGTCTGTATTTGTGTAAAATATTATCAGAATTGTGGGAAAATAGACAAGTTCTATGATAGAGTCTATTTCTAACCCATGTTGACTCCAAGTCTCTATATTGGGCCCACCTGCAAAATCAGAGTGTAAACGAAAGAGTTGAGCTGCAATTAGAAACCTTAATGAAAAGCAACTTTTCAGGCTTTGCTTTTTTCCTTGGCTATTGTTGGGGCTTAGGAACTGATACCCCAAAATACATGCTTCGATATGCAGAACTGAAGAAACCTCAAGGTCTCTCTGACCTCTCACTTCCCCATTGTCTCTCCCAAAGCACAGGATGAGTTGTTGCCTGAAGTCCCTTTATCTGCCTAAAGTACTGATCCACCAGGAGAACAACTGTTTATTCTTCTCCTTACTATTATCTCATTATCTATTACAGAAAAGAAGGCCAAAAATGTAACCACACTTGAATAGACCCTTTCACAAGATAATGTCTGTCTCTCAGGCTCATTCAAATTCCATGGAGAAATATCTTAAAGTTAATCATCTCTGCCCTCCAATCCATTCATTCTCCCTAGTTGTCATTTATTGCCTGTCAACAGAATTCCTCTTTTCCTCCCTCCTATAACCTGTTTTGCCAAGACCTAAGTTCCCATTCTTTCTGTACCCACAAAAGATGATATATAAGCTTCTAAACCCTATTTGGGGGATAGGTAATCACTCCGTGATTCTCACTGTGTACACATTAATAAATCTGTATGCCCTTTCTCCAATTAATTTGCCATTTGTCAGTTGATTTTTCAGTAAACCTTCAGAGGACAAAAGGGAAGTTTTCCCTTTGGTCCCTACACTATTAATTCCTATGTCTTACCTACTCAAATTTCTTCAAGCTTTAAACAGAGTCAAAGCAGGAAAAAGCAGAACAGGTAAATGACAGGAAGTTTCTACTTACAGAACACTTGTAAAAGTGTATGCAATGTCCTATAAACCATCATTTTTTTCTTAATCGTATCTTTATAATTGGATTTAATTATATTTTCAAAATTTTAAGGATAGCTCATATATATTGAAATTAATCTCTCACACTTCCATATTCAGAAACTCTAGATCTGACATAGAGATCATTTCACCTTCCTGATTAATATAGGCAGTACGTGGTGCACAATGAAGACAGACTTTGCGGCCAAGACAAAAGTACCTGAGTCTTCACCCTGTTGGAACAGTGTATATCAGAGTGACTTTGGGAGAGTAATTTTAAGTTATTTGTTTTCTTTCCTATCCATAAAATGGTTTTCCAAGTCCCTTCCTCAAGGGTTGCTTTAAGGTAAAATGAGAGAATGTATGTGAAGTTCCTGTCAGGTAGTGATCTCTCAACAAAACTTCCTTCCCTCAGGCTAGATTTCATTATTAGCAGCTCAAGGGTATAACTTTTACCTTTACTTGATCTTCTCAGCTTCTGTTGGGAATTTTATTTTAAACTGAAGGGCATTTTCTCTTTGCTTCACTTCTTAAGTAAATTCAGTACATTTAAATTATTTCCCTTGATCTTCCTACCTCATCTTCTTTTACAGAGAAACTAATTTGACCTTCCCTCCAAGCTACTTGTCACTTGTCTCTTTTTCTAGTCCTTATGTTATATTCCTATTCTTAGCCAATGATTTCAAATGCAATTCTTTAAGTAATATTTTTCAAATTGCCTTTAATTAATAAAATATGTTGTATTAAACACATTGTATTACAATTGTATTTAATTAATATAACGTGTTTTGCTTGTCTTTCTGTTAGTATGAACTTATGGTTGAAGGCATTCTCAGGGGTTAACAAGAATTCTGGACAGAAATATGGCTATAAGTAAGTATTAATCAGGCTGCACTTTGACCCACTTCCTTGTAACTGAAAGTCACTAGATCCTGAATATTTGTATCCCCATTCCCACTGTTCTTATAGATAGAATCTCTGACATCAGAATCATAAGGCTTTTCTTTAAGAATTGCTTAAAGATGTTCTTCGGATCCCCAATTCCAGTGAAACAGCTGATGACAACCATTTTGAAGACCCCCACAGAGGAACAGAATCAACATGAGATGGTTTCTTCCTCTCCCCATCCTATGACTTCCCCCTGTACTCTTCCACCAATTAACAATCTCCACACTTTGACCCACTCCAAAACCCTTAAAAACCCAGCCCCAAACTACCTGGGGAGATGGATTTGAGGTTCCTTCCCATCTTCTCCTTCGATGGCCCAACCATTAAACCTCTTTCTCTGCTGTAACCTCGTGTCTCAGCATATTGACTTTTTGCACATATTGGGCAAAAAAAACCTATTATGGTTACTTGATTGTGATAACATCAAAAGTACACTGAATTTGGAGTCAGGAGACCTGAATTCTAATCCTAGCTTTGACATTAATTAGCTACGTGGATATAGGTAACTCACTTCACTTCTGAAGGCCTCAAAGCCCTCCAAGGATTTTGAGATAGGCAATTTTTCCCTCAACTTAGCATTATCATTTCATGGTTTTATGATGCAACTTTTACAGCATCACAATGTTCCATTAATAAAATTATATTGGTTTTTCCATATTTTTAAATCTAAACCTTCAAATAACTATTTGTTTTCATTTTTTTCTGGTGTGTTGCCTTTGTCTTTCCCCTTTATTCTTTCATGTTTTGCTTACCTAAGGAAAAGCTTACAAGAAGGAGCTGTGTCAACAGTAGTTGGTATGGATCCACACTAACTTTTATTTGGGGTTTTAACTAAGAGAACTTAATGTATGACTTATTGTAAAATTATAAAAATCAAATCAAGTTTTATAACAACAGCCATAGAATGGTCTTTTTTTTTGCAAAACCAAAGATACATATACATAAATGAATATGATTTATGTAGAAAATGATATTAAAGGATACATACAAAATTATTGAGAAGCAATTAGCCCTGGAAGAGAAAAATCTGAGCTAGAGGGGTAGTGAGGCTAAAATTTGTACTATAAACTGTCCTATATTATTTAATTTGGTATAACAAGAGTGTATTATTCTTATAATAGGAATATTACTTTAAACATTTTTATTAACTGATATTTATTTTATGTATATAAGGTTTTTTTTCAATGTGGCTTTGTAATCTACCACATACTGGACTTAAAGTTATAAACAGGAGAGATGACTGAAGTGGAGGAAGGTTCATTAGCCTCACACAGGAAATGCCTTGAAGTAGACCGTGGGTGAATCTGTTTAAGCTGTGACCCAAGCAGAAATACTTTCTTCTCAAAGTGATTTGAAACTATTATTCTCATTGAATCTATGATAAGAAAACTAATTATGATAACAGACATACGGTTGGAAGAGGAAACACAGGTAGAGCTGTCTTTACATTAGAGAAAGAACTGAGAGAGCTAGGCAAAAGCCATCATTGGGGGTAACAGAACACAGCAGGGGGAAGCATTCTGCAGAGCATATTGGAACAAAGCAAGTCTCTCCAAAAAAATCTAAAGAAAATATTTTCAGAAAGTGCACAAGGCAAAGACTAATGGCTCCCTGCAGATATTCATAAGGATATAAGAAAGAAGAGGCTTTCCAAGAAAATATAACATATTTCAACAACAACAAAAGACTGGGCTAGATTTGAGACACACTAAGAGTCATTAACAACTAGAAGTTCTTATCATAACACTATCTATACTGTTTACAATTGTGTCACTTTATGCTTATATAAAGTATAAAGAGACCACTTTACAGAATATGGGTTCAGTCATTGTCAGGGTATCAGAGTATCTTTTGTTTTCCTTTATTATATTGTAAGGACAACATAAAGTAACCCAAAGAGAAAGGAGAGAACAGCTTAACCTCTCTAAACACTGCACATTTTGGAAGTCTAATCCCCTCTCCCTGTCCCAAATCCTCTCATTATATCTAAGCCCAGTGGAAGTATGCTGGTCCTCACAGGCTGGCAGTTTTCTCAACCTGCAATTAGAGTGTTTAGCTCTTTTTGCCAGCTACAGCTTTAGTCATCAATTCCAGGAAACCCTGACACCAATTCACTGAATATCTAAACATACATTACCTACTTGATCATCTATATTCCCAGATGCAATGAACATATTTTCTTGTTATCTTTTTAAGTCTTCTAAGTTATATTGTGCACAATTTAAATACACTTGCCTTAGTTTCTGAGACAGCCGTTTCTCGGTTTTCTATCTTTCCCAGTTATTTCTTGCCAATCTCCTTTGTTAGCTCCTCCTCTTCAACATGAATTCTAAATGTGTTTGCTTCTATATCATATTTTCTGCTCTAATATACCCTGTCTATATGTTATTACATCCTAAGAAAAAAACAATTCCTATCATAGGTCAAACTTATGCTCTAAATTCCAAAATCATATACCCAATGGCTGATATAATATAACTATGAAATGAGCAAATTCAATATCTAAAGGCCACTAAATTGGAATGAGACTTCTACCCGAAACAGATTCCTCCAAGTCTTCCTTAAATCCATAAGTTACTTTCACACACACACAATGCCCCAAAACAAGAAACCCCAAAGCCACATTTGTTTCCCAATTTCCTTCAATCCCACATTCATTCCCAGCAATTTCAGTCAATTTTACCTCTAAAATATGTTTTGAATTTGTTTACCTCTTCTGCAATTCTCTAGTGCATTACTAATATAAATACAATGCAAGCAACATATGTAATTTTTAACTTGCTAGTAGTCATATTAAAAATAATTTGTGTAAGTCAAAGTGATAATATTTTGGATATATTTGGTTAAAATATATTATTGACATTAATTTGACATGTAAAATATAAATATATTTGAGATATTTTATATCATTTTTCCTTGATAAATGTTCAAAATTTGTTGTGTGTCGTACATTTACATGGCACATCTCATTTCACATAGCCGAAGTTCAAGTGCTTGATAAGTCACATGTAACTACTATATCGGACAGTGCAGCTCTAGTATATGGCAACATTACCTGTTGCCTGGAGAAATACAACAGACTCATATCTGGTATCCTCACATCTATTCTTGCCCATCCTCCATTTCCAATAACATACTTCCTATGGATTGGTGAGAACTGAAAACGACATAATCCTCTGTCCCACAGGGACAGGAACTGGGCAGACCTTCCTGCTCCTGTGTTAATAATACTAAGAGCAAGCAAAACAATACTTAGCTGCTTTCTCCAGGAAATACCTGCTCCTAGAAGAGAAAACTGAAACAGTTAAACTGACCAATTATCAAGACTAGTAAGCTCATTAAGATTTACTACCAAACCTTCAATTCATTTTGTCCACTCATCCAAATCTACTTATCACCACAATCCAACCAGTTCTCTCTCTTGCAAGATACACTTTAAAATCACTCAGCACAGGCTTTAAAATGCTTCTCTAATTTTCCCACCTTGAGTTATCCACATATTGGCCAACAAACCTATTATGGTTACTTGGTTGTGATAACACCAAAAGTACACTGAATTTGGAGTCAGGAGACCTGAATTCTAATCCCAGCTTTGACATTAATTAGCTACATGGATGTAGGTAACTCACTTCAAGGTGGTATTCTCCTTTATCACACTAAGTCTTAGTGGTAGTACTGCTTGATTAACATACTTTTGGAAAGTCAACATTCAACAAAATCAAGAGGAAACTTCTTAAAATGCAAATTGGATCATGCCCCTCCCCTGTTAAAGCTATTACAATAGTTATCAATGCTTTGGAACAAAATTCAAACAGCCTAGCATGTATGAAAATGTCAAAATAACTTATTGTCTGTCTTCCTTTCTAAACTCTTACCACTCTACTCCTCCATTCAGTAACTTTTAGAAACAGTGCCTCCTTCCTGTTCTTTAGGTATAACAAGCAATTCCAAATTTTAGCATCTTTGCAATTACTCTTCTCTGCCTGAAACATTCCTTCAGTGTTTTAAAATTGCTGCCACACTCTTATCCTTACTAACTAACTAAAATTCGATCTCCTCAGAGTGTAAAAGACTGCTTTGACTGAAAGTGATTTATCTCTTAGGCCAATTTTCTTTTCATCATATCATCCTGCTTCCTTCCTATCACTCATCATAACTACTTTATCCATATCTTTCTTTACTCCCTGTCTCTTTCTACAAAAATGTAAACTCCATGAAAATGGAAATCTTATCTGTCTTATCTATCTCCATATGGCTAAGTGTTCGATAGATTTATTGGCCCGTAGTACGTACTCAATAAAACAACAAAATAAGTGAATAAAAAGACAATAAATGGATAAAAGAAAAAGAAAGAAAGGAAGGAGGGAGAGAGGGAGGGAGGGAGGAAAAGAAGGGAAAAGAGAGAGAGGAAGGGGGGGAGAGAAAGAGAGGGAGGAAGGAAGGAAGGAAGGAAAGAAGGAAGGAAGGAAAGAAGGAAGGAAGGAAAGAAGGAAGGAAGGAAGGGGCTCTGAAAACGTGCCATAAGTAAGGCAAGTGTGATAATCCCCTCCCTTGTATATTAGAACACCATGTAACAATGCATCAAAGGGAGAAACCCAGGACTCCAGAGCTACTATAACACGTAGCTGAGACCAGGATCAAGGTCTTCTGATTTCTAATCCTGTGCTCACCACAGCCTAACACACTGTCTTTCAGCCTTCTCTGATTGATGTGGTTCTTTTGAAGCTAAATGTAAGGCTTCAGATTTAATAAATAAGGCATTTGAAGGAGAAAATTATTCTCTATGCATTAATTGGTGAGTTCATATGTTTTTGCATTTACATCTCCTACTTGCATTTTGATTAGCAATTACTTCTGTCAATTTAACACCAACATTTTCCGTAATCAGAGACATGTTATACCTTGGAACAGACTCAATGAGTCCCTGAAACTGGTGAGACAGCACTTCAATCCCTTCACCTTGGCTGCTCTAGTAGTGAACATGCCTGACTACCAGTCTGATTTCCTAAATCTCCTCTGAGATTTTAGATGGTTAGAAATACTTTTGACATATGCTTGGCTTCAGCTCATTGCAAATACAAAAACGCTTGTTCCAAATACAAGCCTCATTTTTTTCTATTATTATTGTTAGTATCATTATTAGTATTACCTGTATCACTCTTCTGAAGTCACTTTTAAAGAGATTCCATATCCTGAGAAAGAGAAATCCCTGAAAATTACATTTGATCAGTAAATTTAGTGAGGCATAAATGGTATAATTAGTATTTGATTGAAATTTCTATCCTCCTTTAGTAGTAAATATATTGTAAGAGATTGTTTGTCATCTATTCGATAATTTCTTATCCCTTCTCTCTTGCTTAAAGAATCTCAATTTTTAAATATTAGGCGGCTTAAGGCAGGTGACTGAGGAACTGAAAGGGATGACTATGCTGCCATCCCAACCATACAGGATGAATTTTGAACACTCTATACTAAGCCTAGTAATTCCGTTCCTCTCGCCATTTAGCAAGGTCATGTTTCTTTGACATGCATGAAGACTCTTAAAAATTTTAACTCTGCTTATGTTTCTACTCCTCCTCCACCTGTACACTGGCGTCCAGGTACCCTTCACCTAATTGTAGTTCTTTCTCCTGTCTTGACCTCCGTATCCTTGCAAATGTGCTGAGCCATAATTCCAACTATCCAACTCTTGACTCATTCATCAAAGCCCAACTGGAATGTCAACAAATGGCTACATCTTTGCATAATTTTCTCCATGGCAGAATTTAAAGTCTCTGTATTTTAAAACATGATTCCATGTGCTTCCATTATATTACTTATCACAATGTATTCCTGTCATTTGCTTATGTACCTCTTTATTCTATGAGAATGCCAATTACTTGATAGCAAAGATCATGACTCAACCATGTTTGCGTTCTTAAAACCTAGCACAGTGATTAAAAGATAGAAAATACTCAGCCATTTTTCAAGTGATTGACTGTATCCTGTACAGGATAGAAAATTACTTCTCAATATGATGTCTTCTTCATTGTATGTTTCCCATGTTCATGATAATCTCACATTCCACATACCCTCCTCAAGACTTTTTTCTGTTTTATACTTTCTAGCTATTATTATTTCAAAGGGTTTTATTTAGAAGAGGGTATCAAAAAGATTATGTATAGCTTAATATCTTAAATTGGCAGCAGCTATATTTATAAAAGACATTAAAGTATGGCAATTTAATATTCTATTCACTAAAATATTTGACTAATTATACCTCTAAATCTTTACCTGTCATTAAACAAATGATTATCTGAAGTGATTTAAGACTCTTTGGATTGGTTTATTTTACTAATTAATAAGCAAAAGACTGTTTAAATTGACTTATGGTCACATAATTGTTAAAAAATAACTGTTATTGTTGAAAATGATGATGATGATGATGATAATAATGATGATGATGACTATGATAATAAGAGCACGATGACAGAAGTGGGTCACTTTGTATTTTCTAAAGATGGATACAATATTATTCCTCATCTCACATGCTCCTTTTGACCTTTACACTCTTTCCATTGAAAGATGGGGTTCGTGTCTCCTCTCCTTTGAATCCGGGAGGCTTTTAACTTGCTTGTAACCAAGACTATGACAGAAGTGACACTCTATGATTTCCAAAGTTAGGATACAAAAGGCAATATGGCGTGTGCTTTGTTAACTGTAACTTATTCTTGGATCCCTGAAATGTCACACAAAAAGCCCGACTATCCAGTGGCTACCATGCTGTGAGAAAGCCAAGCCCCATAAGAGGCTAAATGTCACCTTCCTCAGTCTTCTACTCCTTAGTCCAGATGTCAGACATGCACAAGAAGGAGTCTGTACCCTTTCTAAATTCCTGACCCATAGAATGTGAGAGCATGATACATTGATGGTTGTTTTATACCATTATGTGTGGAGTAATTTGTTATGCAGCAATAATAACTGGAACAAAGAGTGTGACAAGGAATGTTTATGTGTTCATCAGTCCTATTTCTTCTTAGGCACAGAGGAAGAGGGCATTCACCAGCTCCTTTGCAGTTTATTCAGGTCCTTTTGATGGATTTTGTCCAATGAGATGTAGAGGAAAGTACATTGCATTGAGGTCTGGCCACCAAACTTCCTATTCAATTATCTACTCTCTCTCCCATTTCTGCAGTGACATGGAGGCCAGCTTATACAGATGGCAAAATCACAAGATTGAAAGATACTGAATCATTGAGTCACTACCTTGTAGAGACCTATTCAGGAAAACAGGCTGGCATCAGACCAACGTAAGGTTGATAAATAAACCATCATTGCAATAAGCTACTGAGATCTGGGGGTTGTATTACAGCAAGTAGTATTTGTTATTCTAACTACTACAAAAACTAATACTCACTAAGCAGTTACAATGCCCTAGAAATTTTACTAAATGGCTTGCATACATTAACCCTTTTAAACTCTGATGAACCATCCTTACGTAGGTATCTTTGTTATCCCCATTTTACAAATGCAAATCTGAAGTTAAAAGACTACATGACTTACATAGGGTTACAAAGATATTCCAAAGAATGGGAATTTCCTTGAAGACGGAGGCAAACCTAAAATAAGTTTGTACTCTAAGAGTTAAATAAGCAAAATCCACTGGAAGAGATTAGCTATTTGTAAATGCATTGTCAATGTGAGTTTTTGGTAAATGGGAGTCGTGAATTTAATCCCAAACCATTAATTTTAGAGACAAAAGAAGATATATAAAAATCCCTGGTTTTATTTTAATTTTATATTTTTTAGTAAACAGACCACTATGGAATTGTTAAAATGTATTTTACAGCCATTTTTAAGGTTACAAATAATTTTTGTTATGGGATCTTTCTATATTTTATGACTTTAATTAAATTTCTGATTTCTGTTCCAAACATTGCAATATAAGACAGTATAAAACACACTTTAATCATTAAATTTATAGATAATTTTGTGACTTTTTAGAGCTTATAACACCAAGGGACTGATAATAGAGGATAATGTGCATAAAATACACTCCGGCACATTCCACAAACTCTATCCTTAGGATCTTTTTTTCCCATAACCCAGCCACTAATACATACACTAAGAAAGTCTCATCCGGGCTGTTCTACAATTGCCATCATCTTTAAAGAGTAATCTTGTCACCTGAACTAGGTGAAATGAAGAACTTTTAAAACAACCACACGGATCCGACTTTGCAGAAGCTTCTACGAAGACAAATAGCATCAAACAGACATGTACTGTGCATTCATAATTACATTAGTGGCCACAAAATACAATGCTTAGTACACATCCTTGGAACTCTTAAAACCATCTTAAATAAGAGATCAAGCAAATTTAATTCTTTGTGAAAATATATCTCAAGGTAGTTTCTACTGTCCTTAATTTTTGTAGTATAAAATTTAACAAAGTAACATCGCATGTTCTTGTCCTTAATTCCTTGGGGTCTAATGATTACATTTTGAACAAATGTCCAATTTGGAAACCAAATCAACCACTTTATTTAATGCAGAACACTATAACATTTTTTGGGGGGGGGGGCAGGGTCTCACTTTGTCACCCAGGCTGCAGTGCAGTGGCAGAAACTGTAGCCTCGATCCCCCAGGGTCAAGCCATCCTCCTGCCTCAGCCCCACAAGTAGATGGGAGTATAGGCATGCACCACCATGCCCGGATAATTTTTCTGTTTTTTACAGAGACGGGGGTTTCACCATGTTGCCCAGGCTTGTCTCAAACTCCTGAGCTCAACCATTCCACCTGCCTCAGCCTTCCAAAGTGCTGGGATTATAGATATAAGCCACTGTACCCAGACAGACTTTGTTTTAAAGGTCTGAATCTTCCTTATTTCATATAGCCTACATTCTTTTGTGGGAACAAAGAAAACAGATAAATAAATGAATAAATATGTAATACGTCAATCATCATGACAAACGCTACGCAAGCATAAAATTGAGCAAGAAGATGAAGAGTAGCTGCGGTGGGAGATGCTATTTTTAGATGTGGCTCTATATAGGATCTGTGTAGGGTGTTGGATAAGGCAAGGATGAAGCTGACCTGAAGAGGCCTCCTGTGCAGAGTCTTGGAAGAGAGCATCACAGTTAGAGAGCACAGTAAGTGGACAGATGCCAGAAGCATGGGCCTGTCTGAGGAATTAGGGGAACAGCCAGCAGGCCAATGTGTCTGAATCTCAGGGAGCAGGGAAGAGTAGTAGTAGGATAAGTGCTCTTTAACAAATTGCCCAAAAAGTGATTCTTGAGATTTATGTGTTTATAACTGTTCCATCAACAAAGGGAAGTCTATGGAGTCTAAAGGCTCCCATGGTATAAAAACATTGAGCTGTTGTATTCTCCTATGGTAAGAGAAAATGTTCTTCAGGCATTCAGGTGCCTGAAGACCCTGAATCTCTTGCTGTGACTTTCCCTACCAGTATAGGACCTCAAGTGCCTCTATTCACTTAGAGAACTTTTGCTATCAGACTCCAGAATATTTTTCCCGTTGAAACTCCATTATTTAGTTTACAGATACTGGAGTTATAAAATTCCCAGTCTCCCTCCATTAGCTACATCAAAGTCTGTTTTCTAAAATTCATCATTTTATAAGTTGTATTCCCATATTATTTTCTCCAGAAGGCTGATTCAACTCTCCAAAAGTTGTTTTTGAAATGTAGATATGCAGAGAAACTTTATGTTTGAAGAGGTTAGCATTCCTTAAGAGTTTTTAGGATAAAAACAAGTTTTTGTACCAAAATAATAAAACTTACTAGATTGAATACTTAATATAAATCTAACTTATTTAATACTTATACAAGTTTATAATAGTATGACATTTAATAATTCACTTAACAAAAAGCAAACCAAAAACTCTAAGATTCTGCAAGTAACCGTCTTCCCCATATTACCCTTCCATTCACAATGTTAGCCATTTCCCCTGAACACCTGGAGATGTTTTCAAAGGGAGATGCTTGGCTCCTTATATTCAGCTACTTTGAGTCAAAAGCTCTGAGCTGCACTTGTGTAGAGCTCTCTGAGTGCAGGACTAGACTGCATCAAAGTCCTATTGGACCATGGACTCCCCTGCCAGTCCAGTGGTGTTGACCCTTTGGTGAAAGAGCACTTCCCAGAACGACTTCAAGCTGAACATCTTTCTCTCAGAATGAGCAACTGAGATCACTAACTAGCGCGGCTTTTGTAGCTTAACACGTTTCCTGAATATCTTTTTCTTACTCTAGTCACCTCTGCTCCCTTAGTCAAAAGTTTCTTCAAATGGGATACACAAGAGGAGGGCCATTAAATGTGCTGAGAGCATAAGACTTCTTGCTGACCAGTGCCAGCAGGCGTTCCAAGGTTTCCCTACCTTATACTCTGTTTTCAGAAGAAGCAGCAAGAGTACTGTTACAGACTTCTTTCCACTAAGGTTTGATTTAAATTTGCATATAAAACTAAGGTTACTTTGCTATTGGCCTTTTACGAAGTTCCCTTAGGAATCCCCCTGGTAGGTGGTTTCTTTACAAACTGGTCCTGACACTAGAAAAGAGTCATATTACTTCCAGAAGGGACAAAGTGTTTTAACTGGCATTCCATGAGTCCTGTGAGGTTGAAGAGCAGAGTAACTTAGATGAACTTAGGAAATCTGCCTAACACTGAAAAATGAAAAGCTATGAAGTCTTTGTACATTAAATAAATTGGAAATGGTGCCTGAATAAATTCTCCACAGTCAACAAAGTATCAGAAAAGCATGAAGGGGAGAAGCGCACATTTGATAGCCGTTAGGACTATGGAGAGAAAGTGTTCCCTGGGGTTAGAAAAACTGGCTTGACAGGGAACTATGATCATTAGTGCCAAGCACCGGGAACTGTCGCCCTGTGGGTGGAGACAATGCACCACAGGGCCTCAAGCAGTACCATCAGGACCCAGAAACTAGTGAGCTTACCAATTTATTCTCCAAATTGGGCACTTAAAAGGCAGTATAATCCAGTACTGTCCTGTGCAAGCCAAGCCATACATATATATACTCATCCTGTCACTATATTTTAAACTCACTTAGCATATACTTATTTTATGTAAACTCATTTGTAATCCCAATAATCTTCAGACACAATTAATACTACACTGCCCCCAACCCCCTTATCCACAGGGGTTATGTTCTAATACCTCCAGTGAATGCCAGAAACCTCGGATAGTAATGAATCTGATTGCCATCAGTCCGAACACATTTCCATTTCTGTCTTCCACCCACAAATTTAATGCCTTTTCCATCTTAACTAAGCACTTATCATACCCTGTGGCTGTGACTTTTGAGTCTGAAGAGTGATAGCAAAACTAATACCAGTTTCTTTTTCCTTCTTTACAACCCTACAGATAGAAGATTCATTCTTACTGTAGATCTTAGTAACCTTGGCATATGATTTTTTTTCTTTCCTTAATAAGTCAAGAACTTTCACCTTTTCACTTAAAGGAAGCACTTTACAGCTTCTTTGGCATATCAGGATTGCCTGCATCACTACGTGCACTTTGGGGTCATCATGAAGTAAAATAAGGGTTACTTGAACACAAGAACTGCAATACTATATGACTAATGGGAGGGGAGCACAGACAACATGGATCTGATGGACAAAGGGATGATTTACATCCCAGGCAGGACAGAATGGAACAGCATGAGGTTTCATCACACTACTCAGAAGAGTGCACGATTTAAAACTTATAAATTGTTTAACTCTGGAATTTCTTATTTAATATTATCAGACAGTGGTTGACCACAGATAAGTGAAACCATGAAAATCAAAACCATGAATAAGGGGATGTCTACTTCTCTATAACATGAAACAACAACAACAAAATGACATGACAGAATACAGCTGATGAATTTCAACATTCTATAAACCTTAAAAATTGAGTTTCAAAACATACCATAATCAAAGGCGAGGCTAAAATTTAATTTTACGTGTTGAACAAATAATGCAAAAATATCAAAAGGAATGTAAAAACTCCCTTGCAACCTTTGGAGAAGGGTGGGTTCTGGTAATTAAACAACTTTATTTGAAAAGCATCAGGGCATGAATATAAAATTTGGAAATTAAAACAAAAAAACAAGAGTTTGATCCAGAAAAGAAAGGGTGAGAAAAAGAGTACCTGGATGAATGGCAAGCCATGAGGGTGAAAAGAAGAGTAGAGGAGGGTGGAGAGTACAGCCTGGGACCCTAGACTGTGAATAGAAAGGGTTAGCAGAAGTCATTCTAGGTGGTCGTGTAGCTCCAGGAACCTCGAAGAAAAGACAATTCTAATATTCAAATATTTGGGATGATTAGATGTATAAAGGAAAACTAATAAAAAGGTGAGTGGATTCTTGGAAAAGCCAGGCAGGATTTTCGTAAAGGCTAAAACAAAATCTCTAAGGCAAGGTTAGTAAACTTTTTCTGTAAAGGGTCAGGTAGTAAATATTTTAAGCTTTGTGAGCCATTATAGTCTCCTCATAACTCCTCAACCTTGCCATTGTAGCACAGAGTCATAGATATAAACCAATGGCTGAGTCACGTTTCAATATGATTTATGGACAGTAAAATTAGAATTTTATACCATTTTCATGAGTCACAATATCATATTCTTCTTTTGAATTTTTTCAACCATTTAAAAACATTAAAACCATTCTTAGGCCACAGGCCATACAAAACATATAGTGGATCAAACGTGACCCAAAGGCCAAAATATGCCACCTGCTGATCTAAAATAGTAAATAATGATTCACATATATGAGAAATAAAAAATAAAAGAGAACCTCCATACATTAGAAATGTTTGGCAAACAGTCACTTATAAAGTAGAAAGGTATTATTAATTTTATAATATTTGAGATATCAGCATTTTTAATAGTCCATGCAAGTTTTTCTAATTAGCCCTAATTTGTAATTTGGTATGATTTTATCTATTTAAAATTAGCTATTTTCTGAGGTGTTGGCTATGGAGTTGATTATTTTTTAATGAACTTTATTAATATCTAATTTACATGCAACTTTAAATGCAGTTTGATGAGTTTTGGCAAACGTATCCTCCAATGTAACCACCTCAAATGATCGGTTTTCATAAAAGAGTCTGCTGAGAATTTAAGACAGTGATAAATCAATCTGTAAGTCAATCTGGGAATAACTGACATCTTAATATTGAATCTCCAACTTCAGGAATATGATCAATCCCTTCAGATATTTAGGTGTTTTTAATTTTTTTAATGTTGTATTATAATTTTCAGAGTATAGATATTATATTTGTTTTGTTAAAATTATTACCGCTTATTTTATAATTTTGGATGCTGTGATATAGTCTACTTTATAAATAATATTTTCTAATTGTTAGTTGCTACTACATTGAAATACATATTTTGAGTTTCATTGTATCATTGTATTTCTCTATTGTCCATGTCTTATTTAATTTGCATTTTTTTTCCTTCTTTTTGGAGATGGAATTTTGCTCTGTCACCCAGTCTGGAGTGCAATGGCATGATCTCAGCTCACTGCAACCTCTGCCTCCCAGGTTCAAGCAATTCTCCTGCCTCAACCTCCTGAGAAACTGGGACTACAGGCACGCACCATCATGCCCAGCTAATTTTTTGTATTTTAGTAGAGATGAGGCTTCATCATGTTGGCCAGGCTGTTCTTGAACTCCTGAGCTCAGGCAATCCGCCCACCTTGGCCTCCCAAACAGGCGTGAGCCACTGAACTTGGCCCTAATTTGCATTTGAAGCATGGACAGTCTCATTTTTTTCATCATCTTGGGAAACACTGTTCAGTCCTTTACTTTTACATACAATGATACTTAAAAGTAGAAATTCAGTAGTGTTCTTCCATTTTCCCCTGCAGGGAAGAAACTGATGACATCATGTAAAGTAAAAATATAAATGGTAACATGTACAGCTGAGACTTGAACTCAGGTCTTCTGATTTTACACAATATTCTTTCATTATTGGACCATTTCCAAACTTAATTCCAGAGAATTGTAATTGGATAAGATAACATTCTACATTGGTTAGTGACTATCTGAAACTGTAAAAGTCTTTCCCTTTAGCAGTTTGAGTATGAAACTTCAAATAGCCAGAAGCTCAGCCTGGAAGACACATAAAGAAAAGATGTCTACAAGGCCACCAAGAAAAAAAAAATGTTAAGGAAGAAAATGACAGAAATTTATAGAAGTTGTGACACTGCAGGTAATCTCAATTGAGAAAGTTATATTTAATTCCAGGAAAAGCCATAAATCTGTTCATTCCTGTAGGTGAAATAGAATCAGACCCAAAGATTGGATTGTTATATAAGCTGATATTTTATATTGGACTGTGTCCCAATTCTAGAAGCCATGTAAATGATTCATGTAAAAACAATTAATGTAAACTGGGCCATGTAAATTTATCTTATTTTTCTTTGTTTCCTCAAAAATTAACCTTCATCAAGTCAGATATGCAAAATATGTTCCTATTCCCTGATATATAGAGTTAGAAAACTGACACAGAAAATGCAAACTTGAGTTATGGACCTGAAAATCTACACACTTGGCTTTGGAAAGTATCTCTATATTTTTGAAGCGCCTTTGATAAGGCACATATGAAAATTCACAAACAAAACATGTGAAATCTACATTCTGAATGCCCGTTATAGGAAAAATTTTACCTGAATCTTGTTTCTTTTTGTGAGGATACTTCACTGCGGGCCACTTATACTACCCTCTCTCTCAATTCAATTATGTACTCTTTTAAAATTTCCTCCATTTGTGGTTAAATGTCTTTTACCAAAAAAAGATGAACATTGAGAGTTCAGTTCTCATTTATGTTTTAAGGGGTCTATAAAAATTATGTGCAGAATTATAATACTACCTTAAATTAATATAGGTTCAAAAGCATAATTTGCATTTAACAGTCTATCATTTAGATACCTGATGTTAATAAGCATAAGTATCCTCTTATTTAAACATTGCCTTATAAAAGAAGAGATTTCTTGATTTAGGACTTTGCCCTTCATGTTGCTCTACAAGCATGCTTATGTAGTTAATATTCGTCAAGATATGCAAAAATATTAATTAGCTTCAGTAGGTCTAGTAAGTACTAACTCTATGTGGTAATAATAGTAGTAGTAGCTATCTTCTTATTATAGCCTATTGTTTATTAAGCATTTCATTTCTATTAACTCATGTAAGCATAATAATCTTTTGAAGTAGGTTTAATACCATGTCTATCTTACAAAGGATGAAATTGAGGCTAAGTAAGATTTGTTTCTTGCTTTAGTTTTAACCATTATATTATGCACTCTTAATAGTTGTATAATTTACACATGTATATTAAATATCAAACAGATCAAAATATTTAATACTGCTTATTCTCTGAGTGTGCTAAGTATGATAGTCTATAACCTCACTTGTCTACACACTGAGTCCAGTGGAAATAGCAATACTAAATGTCACAGTATTTAGTGACATTCTAAATATCTTAGAATTTTAAACAACTGCTAGCATAATTATTGATCAAAACAAATAGTAAAGACATAATCATATTTTTATAAAACCCTATAAAATGCCAAGTTCTGATCTTGAGTTAGTATTTTATTGTTTCAAAGGCACTGAAGAGTATTCATAAAAATTTAGACATAAAATGGGATTCTGATACACTTACAAATATCCTCAATAGCATAGCCTATCCCTCCCTGAGCTTGTATAATTACACATTTATTGCTTTAATGTTGACACTTTTTAGATACCTTGAAGAAAGGATCAAATACTTTGCAGTTCTAAGGCCAGAATATTGGCCAACATTAAATTTGACCTTGTAAAAAGAAGATTATACCAGATCAAGTTTATTCTCTTCTGTGAAAAAGGGACAGTCTTTAAGAAAAAAACGGATAGATTTTCATTTACTTGCACCTAAGTGAGAATTTATTTTTATGCTATAACCCAGTTAGCGATTAAGTCCATAAGTTTATGGATCATTTTCCAAGGAATCCCTGTAGAAGTCGTGTAGAGGTTCCCCTAGAGGCTGCTTAGGGAACTGGGGGTATAGAGATAGAGACGATGACCCTCTGGGTATTCCTCCCTGGTTTCAAGTACAGCAGCTCTGATTTTATTTGCTTTATCTTTTTGACCATAAAGTGTACTTAAAGAAATAATATATCTGCCTTAAAACTCAGAAAACACTCTTTCAAACCATGTACTTAGAGACATGTTCTCAGTTGCATGGAACATCAGATACTAAAGGTTCTTAACACTAATGCTCTTAACTGAATCTCTCTAGCAGTGATTACAGTCAGATAAAGGACCAATATAATTTAATGTTTTATTAGTTATTTAGTTGAAGAAGCTAAGACTCTACATTTCATGTTTCTGATTGATACTAACTTGATAAATTCAACAACCAAACCAGAAAACAATCTGATAAATCATATGAAGAATCATATACAGTGTAATAGGATTAGGACTTAAAAACAAGAACAGAACAAATCAAAATAAAGGATGCATACATAGGCATACAAGATAAAAAAAAGGAAAAGGAAGTCAACCTCTATCCAATAAATATAATGTTTAAATGGAAAAAAATATAGGCTAATAGCAGTTGGCTATATTGGTAGAAATAACATAAGAACAAGTCTTCTAATTTATTTGACATTGGACAGGCACTAATTTGAATGTATTCTTGATAGTCTCTTTTGAGAAGTTTGTTGAAAATTAAATAAAGACTAGTGAAGAACACAAAATACTAAATTTTTCTTATGAGAAAAAGTTAACAGAAATGGAAGTATTTATCTTGAAAAAGAGATGACTATGGGAGAAAATTACTGCTCTCAAAGGCTATTAATAATTACAATAAATTGTTCTCCTGCCCTACAGAGGACCACTGTATATGAGGAATATGTAAAAATAATGGCAAGATAATTTGATTTGCTATAAGTAAGCTATCTTGATAATGAGGAAATGTAAAAATACTGGAACATCTAACTGGGAGAAGCTATAAGATGTTTTTTTCCATCCCTAGATAGCTTTAGTAAGAAGAAAAATGCATTCCGTACCCTGGTTCCCCTGTGCTATCTCACTGGTTTATATTCTCAAATATCCACTCAGGAATAGTGAAAATGGAGAGGTTTCACTCTGGCAAGACTATATCCTGAAGTTCATGTGCCTTCTTTACACTTTTAATGTTTCTTTTATGGATTCATCTACCTCTCAGCTTTGGGTTATTACTAGTCCACTAATCCACAGAGGTAAGGCCTAAAAATTTTGCAACAAGAAAATTGGTAAAGTTTCTTGCTGCCCAGACATAGTCATTGGTACAGGGCCACATTTTCTAATCACTTAGAAATAGTTGTAGGTTGCTCACAAGTATTTATCCTGAGGTTTCTCTTTGATATGGTAATTGGTTTGCTTTCAGGTTTTCCCAAGCCTCAGTGTACTAGATTCTTTGTCTTGACACCTTTAGACTTTGTCTTACAAGCTCTTCCACAGCATCCTGCTGCCCTGCCAGACTCCGTAATATTTATTGGCCCTTTTCTTTACAAGGTCCACAAATGACTTATGGACTGCTCAGTATAGCCAGTGACATTCAGGCCTATCAGATATTAATACTACTGATGCTCCACTCATATATTCTCAGCACTTCTATATCCATCTTACAGACTTACTAACAGTTAAGTCCAGAGGCTTAAAAATTGAATTCTATTCATACTTAAAAATTATATTCACCAGTCCCACTGAATCTTCCTACAGCAAGCACCTGCTACCCTGCCTGAGAATTACTTTCTTTGGCCACAAAAGCTTGATTGGCCCTGAACATGAGGTTCAGGTGACACCTCTGAGGGTAGCTTTTCACCCAGGATGAATAGGTGGCTAAATATCCAGTTTGTTCATGTCAGGTAAGATAATTCTGAAGTGCTGAGGTGCATTCTGCAGTACTACCCAGAGTTTAACAGCAGGATCAAGCCCCAAGCCCCAGTTGCCTGCAGTGACCCATAATTACACCTTCTTGGTTTTCTTCCCCTCTCTGCCTCACTTTGTCTCACTTTCTCTTAAATAGACTATTGATAACACAAATCCTTACTTCAGAGTCTGTCTTCAGGTGAATCCACTTAAGGTATCTCCATATCTTTACATATGCATTTTCCAAAGAATGTGCATTTTTTGGTAACATTTAAAAGAACATTTTACATTAATAATTGAGGGAAAACAATCCTGGTTTCTGTATATACAGTGTGCCTGCAACAAATTGTGCTCTCACGCCTGGGAAGGTGGAATATATGTCCCCAAACAGACAACTCCCAGACTGGGACCCTTGAAGTGTTTGTTGTTGCCAGCAACTCCAAGTGAGATTTCTTGCAGAACACTCTGTGATTTTATGATCTAGGATGAGAGGGTTTGGCCATAAAATACCACGTTTTCCTATCAATTCCACTACAGTGATAAGAAAGATTCTTTCCTTTTTGTTCAACAAAAATAAAAAAGCAAATTACTTTATGTATTTTTCTTTGGCTTCTGATCATGCTAAGAGACACCTCAACAAATCCTGCACCCAACAAATCCTATCTTTTCTGCACACGCAGCAGTAAAATGCACTCATTTGTGTAAGTTATAACCAAATACATAAGTAAAAGTGTTGTTTGTGACAGTAGATCTGACTTTGGGGATACATATGAACTTCTAAAGTTTTAATAGATTTCAGCATTGACATTACAGCATAGAAATAAAGCATTTCTTGCAGTCATCCCAGGCATTCCAGATGGTGAAGAACATTGCAATAATTCAATGGAAGGAAAAGCAAACTTACCCGAATCATCATGACTGAACATCTGATATCATGAATTGTATCATAGATCTTCTTTGAGATGTCCACAAATTGATTATCATCCAACACATTCAATGAGCTTTTGCTTAAGGCTTCCAAGGCAACATTCACTTGTGTTACAAATTCAGGAATTACTGTTAAAATAAAGAATAAGGAGAAGATTGTCCTCTTTGTATTTTTGGATTTATACAGTAGTTTCCAGGAAATGTAGAATTTGGTTTTAAACAAATATTTGATTAATAGATCTTTAATTGTATTTTTTAAATATAGAGATACACAAATTTTAGCAGGATTATCTTGAATCTCTGAAAAGTAAAACGAATCAAAGACAATTAAAGGCATTTTTTTTTTCTAAACCCCAGGCTTCTGGAGAGAAAGGCATTATTATATAAATGTTTTAAAAGATTATCTTTCTCCTTTATATCATCTTTGTTTTTACAAAACCTTGGGACCATACAATCATTTCTCATCCTATTCAATATAAACCACAAGACATTACAAAAAGGAATTGGTGTGTAAAACAGTTGGAATTGTAAACACAAAGATATTTAAAGAAAGAAAGCAATTGAGTTGCTAAACAGAAGAAAATTTAGCTAAAAGTAGTAATTCTGCCTTATAGAAATAATAAAAATATTGTAAACTTCCTTTTAGTAAGATGTTTTCTCTATAATAAAAAAAATTAGTGAAAAGGAATTGGCATTCTCATATGAAAACTATCTTTAAAATAACAAAACACTGACTGACTATAGGGATGCTTCTATCAGTAAGCCAATCCATGGATTATCTTTTTAAATTAAGGCTTCAAAATAGTTTCAAATAAAAACGCTTCTTCAATTTTACTTTTAAGGTTAATGATATTAACAGTTATTATCTCTTCACTAGGCTCAAGGTACTTTTCTAAGTGTTCAATGTGATTCAAATCTTAACCCCAGTATTAACTGAGTATTAATAGTTTAACAACTAGGACACAGAGAAATCAAGACTCTTCCACAGATTCATTCTGTTAATGTGTAATTAGAGATGTGAACTCAGAGTCCCAAAATGCAGTTTTTGGGACTTTACACTTTACACTCAAACTAATCTACTATATCATAGTGAGGAAGCCTCTTGCCCATATGAAGATGTCGGGTAAAAAGATTAATTTTTAGAAGAAATAATTATAAACCTGGAAGATAGAAATATTTTGACTGGTATAAAAATATCAATAAATGTTATTTTTCTACATTTAAGTTGTATCTGCTTGTATGGCATACCATCTCTTGCAATTCTGCCTGCCATGTTATTGATATGAGGAAATTTTGATGATATACATGGGCACTCTTTTTATCTGGTCCTTTCTTTCCTCTAGCTGCCAAAATGTATCACTTATACCCTACTTCTGAGCCACCATATCTGCTGACATTATCCACTGTGCTCCTATTCTCTGTCTATTCTCTAGGCACATTGTCTAATAAAAGGTGGCTACTAGCTGCATATAGCTATTAAAAATTAAATTCATTAGCCTCAAATTTTAAATTCAATTCCTTAGTCATACTCATCCCATTTCAACTGCTTAACACATACATGTGACTAGTGATTACCATTTTGAAGAGTGGATATATGGCTATCATCAGGGTAACTTTTGGGATAACAGAAACTTCTATTGGGTCATACCACTTTGCACTGAGAAACCTTCAAATCACAGTCTCCCTTTCAGCGGACGGAATAATAAAGCAAGAGGGAGAGCAAACTCATACCACTTTGCCTAGGAGAAACAATCTCAAACCACAATTCTCTTATATATGGATGTGACTCTCAAAGTATATCTCTAATCTAGACCTTTCTCCTTAATTTCAGAACTGTATATCCAACTGACAATGGCAAAATTCTGCCTGAATCTTTTATAACATCTCAAACATATTCTATCTAAATCTAAATACATTTCTTTCTACCCAGGAAACCTAATTTTCCTTTACCATATTCTATGTTGGTGCTGAGTCATTCATGAAAAAAACCCAGGTGTTTTATCTGACCTCCTATACTTCTTTATTCCTTACATCCAAATACCTACTAAGTGCCATCTGCTCTACTATGTAAATATATCCCAAATCCATTGAGAATTTTTAGCCCCACTGTCTCTATTCATCATCATCTACTATTTCCATCCACAGCATAGTTCTTCCCATGTCTAAATTCTGCTCATTCTCAGGTTCATTTTAAGTATAATCTTATGAATGGCACCTGCTCTTAGCATTAAGTATTATAGTATCTCTCAAATGATGGACACTCAATAAGTTGTTTTATGAACACATCATGTTAATACAGTGTTTACAAGTTTTCAATTGTTCCTTGAAGCTTTTCTTTGTTTATATCCTAAGTGCATAGGTTGGCATGCAGTAAATAAATGATCGAATGAATTAAGTGATTAAATGAATGAATGAATTAATTAATTAATATGTAAAATCAAGCAAAGAGTAGGTACAATGAAACATGTCCAGCTTGCATTTAAATGTGATTTTGGTTTTGTTAACAACTGAAAAGCTCCAAAAATATATTTATGCAGGCTTATAGGAACATTCAAATCTGCTTAATGAGTTAATCATTACTTTTGTAGTGTTAAAAGAGGAGGGAACATCTAAGAAAATGTGTCCAGTTATTTCACATTTCCTTCAGGTTCTGGAGTAGACAGCAAACCAACCGTCAAAACTACTACTCTAAAGAACAGGACAAAATGGCTTCTAGCCTCTGTGATATGCTCTATTCACTCCAAAGACATAGTTAAGTAAAAAGAGATATGTCCTCAAAACCTGTAGGGACCTGTCGGCTACATAACTTTATTCATAGTCATCCCCACTAAAAAATGCTTTTTCTCATATACCAAACAAGTGTGCAATACAGTAATAATTTAATTCTGTCTATTAATACTTTCAATCTGCTATTATTGATACAGTTCCCACCATCTTCCTATGTAGATTTTGGCAAAAAAAGAAAAATTTAAAGTCATGTAAAGATCTGTTTTTCACTGCCCTGTGAAGTAACTGCAAGAAAGATTTAAGGAATCTTACAAAAAAATACAACACAGCCTTTTCATTAGTGCAAAATGATTTCATTTTAACTCCTCTAAGGGCCTTTTACTAATAAATTAATATTAGCTTCAATTAAAATAAAATCTTTCAGAAGCAAATGTTTAATTTCTGAAGTACAGATGGAAACTACTACTTTCTCACTCTAACAACATAAATGAACTATTCAAAGCTGATATGTAATTCATTTCTCATTTCATTAGCTTAAACATCAGCTGTGGGTGTACTTTACTTACACTATGGACATATGGTTGCTTGGATCAAACTAGGAGTAAATTTTTTTAATGCTTTCAAGAAAATACAAAATGAGTATAAATAAGTAATCAGTTTATGGTAATTTAGGAAGAATAGCAAATTGACAAGCCTGTCTTTACTCCATAATCTACCTAGGTTTTCAGAAAATGAGGTTTAGACATTAATATACAATCATGCTATAGAATTATTGATCAAAGAGAGGGATACCTTAAACACATCCATTCTAATCAATGGAAATGCCAGGTAGGATAAGCTGTTCTGAACTTTGGAGTGTAGATTTATCAAACAAAGGCGGCCTTTTGGTCAACACCCCGGCGACTTCAAAGTATCTTGTCTATTTTACACAGCCAAATTCAGAACCAGTTCTGAACTCTTTTGCAGCCTATACTTTCTCTGCCTACTTTATTCAGAATAGACAGAATAATAGCTACCATTCTCACTCATCTTGGCACTGTGCTAAGCATTTTAGATGCATGTCTCATAATCCTCACGGAAGCCCTGTAAGGCAGGAACTATTACTATCCTGATTTACCTATGAGGAAACTGAGGTCACATAGTTAATAAGAGATTGGCTGGTAATTGAGAATATAGAGCCAGCTCTCTGAACCCTAAATCTGCACTGCTTTCTTTTGATAAGTAAAGTCCATGGGGTTTCTGAATTGCTGCTCTCCTGGGGGAATTCATGATAATTTTCTGACAATGCAGTTAACAGACCTACACAGCCAAGTTCTCCTAGGCCTTGAGCTTCTGTCTGGTAGTAGCCCAAAAATATTTCATCCCTTCTTAATCCTTGATAAATTTATTATGTGCATTTGAAAGTAGGTGAGGATACATTATTATGGAATTAAATAGGTCAGAAAAGAATTCAGACTCATTACAATAATGATCTAAAAATGATATCACCAAATTGTTTTCTACCATTAATAAAGCCCAGATTAAAATATTTCTAATTATACCATTACCTTTGAAAATTACTGGTGGTAAAGAAATTTGCCTTTGAAAGCTCACATAATGCTAAGTCATCATTTCTTTAGGTTATGTTAAGTAACTGGGAGAGAATTAATAATACTAGAAAGTGGCATTAAGCATATAAATGACTTCTACAAATACCACTTTATACTCTTCTTTTTTTCATTTATTCAATAAATGCTAATTATTGTGGTTCATATATATTTAATATTTAGGGAGCCAATATTATGTATCAAGAATATGTTTGGTACCTCATAGATCATATATCATACAAATCAATGACTAGTAAGGATTTCACCATTTTTCAAATGATATGTCCCAAAGTACTGACCTACTCTGATCCTTTATCACACATCACATGGTTAACAAGAGCAGCACTTTTGACCTCTGTGTTATACTCTACTCTATCTTTCAAGAATATCTGGAATATCTTCAAAAAGTAAAAAATAAAATACTAGAGAGAAAGGACTTAGATATAGCTTCATGAAGCTGATACATTATGTTTTCCCCCTCTGGCAGAGTAGGTTTTCTACATATGAAACGCTAATCATTTAATTAGCCTGAGTGTCCACCTTTGAGTCTCTCCAGTGACTTAGAAACTCATCTTCTTTCCCTGTAGCTTAATTTAAAAAATCTTCATATGTCTACATAATGGGTTAATATTAATAAATAATATTTCTGATTTAATTATATTAAAAGTGTATCCAATGAATTTTTAATATGATGAAGATTAAGCTCTTTCATGCTTTTCCTCACATCATTTTCTAATTTGTTTACATCACAGTAATCATTTACACAAATGTGACTACTTAAATATTCAAAGTTGGACCTGAACCAAGTAATGTTCTATGATGACCTTTGTTCTTTTATGTACTACTTTATAAATTTTATTTATTTTAAATTGTTAATAAATTTTATTTTTTTAAATTGCTTGGTTTTCTTTGCATTTCTCAGTAAGAATTCTCAAATGTTTAAATTATCAATACTATTTTTATTTATGTTATGTTAATTAACTGGGAGAGAATTAATAGTAGAAAGTGGCATTAAGCATATGAATAAGAAGTTCGTGCAACTGTTTTGGTTCATGCAAATAGAATCATACTGCATATACTTTTTGTATCAACTTTCACTAAACATTAAATTTTTTTCTATGTAAGTTGTATATGGAATTATTCATTCTCATTGCTGTATAGCATGTCATTATACTAAAATGTATTTATCCAGTCTATGGTTGATGGGCATTTGCATAATGTTTAGTTTGGGACTATAATATATATGGTGCTATGAATATCCTAGTAGATGTTTTTTGGTGAATATATGTGTACATTTTTAGGGAATATACATATCAGTAGACTTGCTGGGCCATAGTATATCCATATATTTCACATTAGTAAACATCAACAATATCCTAAGTGGTTGGAAAAATTTTTACCCCTATCAACAATGCCTAAATATTCTAGTTGCTCTGTATCTTCCCTAATATTTGGCACATACCATCTTTTACTTTTTAGCTTTCTGCAGAGTATATTCTCTTGTTCCCTTTTAATATCTCTTCCAGGGATCTGGTTTCTGCTAGTTAAGACTAGGGATTACTTTGATTTTTTAAAAAATCTACTCCTGCATCTTGAGTTTAGACTGTTAAATCTTCCTCTTTTAGAATCACTCACCATCCTATTGCTCAAGATCAAATCTTAATTTCTTCACTTTCTACCATTCAGAAAAACAGTTACAACAGGGAAAAAGTTAAAGAAAAATAGAAAGGTAAAAGGGCTCCAAGGTCTGTAGTGTTAGCAAAATGCTGCTCAGTACTCAGAGGGTATCCTGAACTAGAGGAACAGGGAAAGAAGTCTAGAGTAAAAAGGTGCAGAGGTTTAAAAGGTACAGAGGTTTATAGGGTGGGATCACATCTAGTAGGAGAAATGTATCTTCCTTTGACCAGTGGTGTTGAATGAAGGTGGTCCTTCACATATTGCTGGGGATTCCTTGGCTGAAAATAAATAGAATTGATCTTACCTCTACAAACTTCAACTCTCTTTGCACAGTTGTCTATAATTATGTGTCAGAGTAGAACCATTTTTCCAACCTTGTCTATCTGGTATCTTTCTGCCCATTCTTCAGATTCAGATTATTGTTTATTTATTTACTTTTATAAATTTATTTTTTATTGATACATAATAGATGTACATATTTGAGGGTACATATGATAACTTAATACCTTCATGTAATTTGAAATCAGATTCAGTTTAAACATAAGCTTCTCTGCGAAACTTCCCTCAATCAGCACCCCCACACTTGCCTCCAAGTATATTAGGAAATCCTGTCTCTTGGACACGCTAATGCCTGAAATATACGTTTATTAAAGCACCTGTGTCTTAGCCAGGCATGGTGGCATGTGCCTGTAGTTTCTACTACTTGGAAGGCTGAAGCAAGAGGATCACTTGAGCCAAGGAGTTCAAGGCTTCATTGAGCTATGATCACACCACTGCAGTTCAGCCTGGGTAACAGAATGAGAGCCCCTTGCCTCTGCCCTACCTTTTTGTAAAGCTCCTATGTCTCTTACTTTACTGTATGTGTTTTCTTGTACTCAGCCACTTCTAAAATCCTGACAGAAAGCTCTCAAAGTATAAACTCTGTCAGGTCACTTTGTTTCCTCAGGAAAGTAGTAGGTAGTAGAGTAAGAATTCAAAATTAGGCACTCAGACTCAGAGCCTGTGCCCATAGCCACTATGTTCTATTGCTTGGATGTAAGAATAACCACCCTGAGACATACCCACAAAACATTGCAGGACACTTAGGATAAAGAGAAGAGCTACATCTTTAAGAGAGAAAAGATTATCAGCAAAATATTAAAATCAGATTGGCATTAGACTTTTCATGAGAAAGGCTAGATACCAAAGGAAAAAACATAAAATAATGCCTTAATTCTAAGAAAAATTTATTTTAAACTTGAAATTCAATATCCAACCAATCCATCAGTTAAGTGAATGATGGCATTATTTCAGACATTCAAGTACACAGAATATTTAATTTCTATTAACTGTCAGGAAGACACTTGGCACACATACTCTTAAAACAAGAGGTGAATCCAAAAGATCAAAACGTGGGGCTGAGGAAATAGTGGAGTTGGAAAAGCAGTATAAGGAATACCCAGAGAGTATTGAGACAATATGTAAACATGTGATATATTTGAGAGCCAGGGTTCTCACTATGTAAACAGGGAGGTACTGCTAAGGAATGACAAACTGCTGTGGTAAGACAAAGATGAACCCCATGGGACTGGACTGAACTGAAGATGTTGGCTTGAACTCATAATTTTATATGCAGATATAAACATAAATTGTATATACAGATATATATGTGTATTATTTTTGTGCAAGAATGAAGGAGAAATAAGAAAACACATCTTAATTTGCCTATCTTCACACACATTTTTAAAAAAGATTCACATTAAGGATAAAGGAATAAGAAGACTTGTTATATACAAGGAATCTTAAGAGTAAGGTAGAAGGGATATGAGAAGATAGATTTGTCTCAGAGTAGTTTTTGTACATTTTTGACTTCTGTAAACTTTTTAAGATTCTACAATAAAAAAAATAAAATTCAATCAACAAGGGTAGGGAGTTGGGGAGAGGAAACCTAACACCAAATGCAAATAGCAATAAATTAATGAATGAATATGTTTAAAATTTTTAACGTGTGCACCACTGAGTTGCTCATACTTCACTATTTTCTAAAGTTGTGTTGTTTAATACAGTGGCCACCAGATATACGCTGCTATTTAACCTTATATTAAAATACTATAAATGAATACAATTAAACATTTATTTCCTTAGTCACTCTAGCCCACCACATATGGCTACCATATTAGATAGTGTAGATATAGCTCAGTTCTATCATCACAAAAAGTTCTATTGGACAGCACTATTTCAAATATTTGCAAATCAATTATTTGTGAAGCACCTGTCCTCTGCAGGGCACTGGTTTAATGTTGGATGAGTGATATCGGTATCATCTTTGATTCTGTGTATATCTCACTACTATGAGTTAAAAAACCCTAAAGAAACCCTCTCTGGCACCTCAAAATGCCCTGGGCTATTGCAAAATTGTATTTTAGCTCCTATCTAATGATACAATTCTTAGCTTTATTGGTCAACATGTATCTTCCTTGGTATAAATATAGATGACTACTTAACAACAAAAAACATAGTTTTCCTTGTAGTTTGAGAAATTATAGATTATCTCTTTGCCATATTAATTGTGTTAATCCCTTGAAGTTTATGGGATTCTACAGCTGATGAAATTGTACTAATTGCAATATATGTTAACAGTGTCTGGAATTTCAGTTCCAATTTGTTACTTTCATTCTAACAAAACTGTTAATTAATTTTAAGGAGTTGTAATACTACAGTAAAAGATTATGGATTCAATCTCATTGATAGTTGTGATTTTATTTTCCGCATTAGCTGTATTTCCCATGGAAGCATAAGAGCTTCCTATATGCAAGGGGTACAAGGTTAAGATTTTTAAAGAACAGGCCAGGCGTGGTGGCTCATGCCTGTAATCCCAGCACTTTGGAAACAAACAAGAAAGATTTTTAAAGAATAAATTTATTTTTCCTGTATTTGATATTCATTTATTTTGAATCCTCCTACTATTACACCCAATATATTAACTTCGGGGAGCCCAAATTAATACGGCTTAAACATATAAGCATGTTTAACTCATGTAACATACTTTTCTAGAAATCTGAATAGAAATTGATTGTAAACTTTTTGGCTGTGAGAGTTTGGTGAACTGAATTATTACTTTTAATAATATTTGTTGAATGAATGAAGAAAACTCCTGTTTTAAATGCAGTAGGGGAGCTTACTATTTAAGGCAACTGAAGTAACTTCTATCATAAATATTTACCTCCTAATTTCTTTTTCTTTTTAAAGCTGAATTTCCACATGTTGGTTTACAGACACTATTTTAAACAAGTCTATACAAGAAAATGAAGTTTTATAACCATGCTAAGCATGTTTAAAGTAGTTATAGAAATCCAAAAACTTTCTGAATCTATGTAAACTATGATTATGAAACATCAGAAAACAAAATAAGCTAAAGTTCCCTTCTATAAAATGAAAAAGTTGGTTTAGTTCTTCTCCTCTAGCATAGTTACTCTCTGATTCCATAAGTTTCTTCACAATCATACATGCATTGTATTTATTTTCTCTGGCTATATCTGGTTACAAGCAGAAATTCATTTGAAAAGAATAAATGGAAGAATGAGAGGGTGGGTAGATGACTGGATGGCTAGGTGGGTGGATAAAAGGAAAGAAGGATAGTAGTAGGAGAAGTTGGGTGGATAGATGCATAGATAATACGATGTGTGAATAAAGAGAAGTAGAGATTTATTTTTATAACTCTCCTACATCTCCCCCAAAAGTGAATTAAAAGCAGCTTTTAAAAAAGAGTCAAGTGTGCAATAAGCTTTAAAACAAGGCCAACAGGAGCCACATAATCAAAGTTAGGGAGCAGAAATATAATTACATTAAAAATCCTAGAGTTAAGGTACAGCAATTAAGTATAAAATTGATTGTTTGAGGTCCAGGCAAAAATGAAGCAATGGGTTATATGGTTCATATTACCTACTAAAAGGAACCTAAGCACTTTGAAATTTTCAAATGAAAATGATAATTTCTATTTTCATCAGGATATACTTGAAAAGACTTTTCCTTCTCAATGCTGTATACTAAGAGGAATAAATGTATCATGTATTTATTTATGTTATTGGTTATTAAATAATAAAATGAACAATAGTCTTTACAAATGATGTTAAGAAAATGCAAAAGCATTCTTCATAAGACTATTTATTTTTTACAATATCAGATTATCGTCTGCAGAGAGTTAAAGTACTAGAGTTTTGATTTGCACCTACCTGATATGACATACAGAAATAGGTCTTGATTTGAATTCTAGAGAGAAAGTCAATGCATAAATGAATAAATGATCTCAACATGGCTTTTGACAGAAGTGAGTCACAAATTATTCGAAATTGATGTCAACAGTGAGTTACTTCTTGTAGGATGGTCATTCAGGTTTATCAGGCAAAAGAACTTCCAACACTTGTTTTAGAAACAAAAATGCTAATGATGTAAATTGATATTCTCTTGTGAAAATGAAAGTGACTTGTATCAGCTGCATTTTATTCCTGAGACAGAAAGCCTCAGATCAGGATTACAAAATATGATAACCTATATGACAGTGTCCATCATAATATCTGATCGTTTGGAAATAAGAGAAGACAAACATCTGATCACTTACTAAGTACCAGTTATTTTGCTAGTGATTTACACGTGTGAAAGCAGTAATGTGTGGTATGTTGAGGCTTGACATCAAACTTCCTGATTGGGGGTCTCTTCCCTGATTGCATTTTCTCATTGCATTTTATATGCATTGTGTTTTCTCTGAAGTTTTACAAGGCTGTAGTCCTGTGCAAACAGTAAATTCATTGCTCGGTAAACTTTATTATAACACAGTAGTTTTCAAACTTTACCATGCATCAGAATCACCAGAAAGGCCCATTAAGGCCCCACCCATGGAGTTCCTGGTTCAATAGGTCTAAAGTGCTGCAGAAGAATCTAAATTTTAACAAGTTTTCAACTGATGTGGATACTGCTAGTCCAGGGATCATCTTTGAGAATCACTTTTAGCAGATACAATTGGTTGGCTCCCCGAATACTCACTACCAACATTGTTGCTAAAAGAACCATGAATTTGTTCAAACGTCCAGTTACATCTGAGAAGAGGGAAGGTGATGCAGTTCTCGGTCAGTTAGAGTAGGTTAGTATTCTCTGTGCTCTTCCCATATTGTATTAAAGAAGGAATTTTATTGTAATAGTTGTTATTGTTTGTCACCCTATTTGATGTTCCACAAAGGGAAGATACTTAGAAGATATGTGTGCATAAATTATATATATGTGTATTTATATATTAATATATATCTGTCTGTATATATGTATGTGTATGTGTGTGTATTTGGCATATATATACACACCAAATTATATGTGTGAACACATAAATTATATATATGTGTATGCATATATATGTGTGTCTATATATGTGTGTGTTTCTGTGTGTATACCAAACACTTTTGTGTACATATATGTATATATGTATTATAATATATCTCATATTGTATATCAATATATTATAATATACCTCAATATATCATTTGATGTGGAACACATACAGATATATATACACATACACACATGTATACACACACCAAATTTGGTATATAAAACATGCATATACAGATACACACACACACACACACATATATATATACATACACATATATATCATTTATGTGTAAACACATATGTTTCGTATCATCAGTTTCTCCCACCAAATTTACTCTTCTCTCTCCTCATGTATCTCCCACTCTCCATGTTCAATCAATCAATCACTATGTCCTGCTGATTCGGCCTCTCAAATATGTTTCTGGCACATAGTAGATGCTCAGTAATTATGCACTGAGTGAATATGCCTACCTAGCACAAGTTCTATCAATTCAATGATCTAACTTCTATGCATCATAACTCACCCAGTTTTACAAGTAAAACATATAATGATTGTCTTTTAATTAATGCACCTACTAACTTTATCATTAAGGTCAAAGGAGTTATCATTAAGTTATCATTGAATCAGTTGCTGTGAATTTCGTGTAGGTCTCTCTCAATGGAAAAGTTTGCTTCTCAAACCTTTTCTGTTCCTATTCACTAAAGTTCTGCCACTGCAATTCTTGGCTGTGCCTCAATAGTGCACACACAGTACATTTAGTATATTACTGATGGACAAAGCTCTGAAGTTAAGAGGATTAATAAGGATAAAACCCAAAATACCTAAAGCTAATATCAATTCACTGAGTCAGCAAGAATGCTCTGAAAACCTTTTATTTTGAGGCATGAAAACCTCTCACATATCATTTTATTATTTCTACCTCTGGAATTCTCCAAATCATCATGAGGCTGCCTGCAAATGTAGAGAGAAAGTATATATAAGCAATTTTGTTATTTTTAATTCTAATAATCTTAAATCTACCTACTTCTTTCTCCTCAAAAGACCTCATTACCTTGCCTATTATCCTCAAGATGCCTAGAGATGCCTAGAGAGACAGATATGAGCTAAGATCTCATTTTTTCAGGCTACCTCCTTCTATCCTTCTATGCATTGTGTTTTTCTTTTACTGCAGGAAGAAATCATTTCAATAGATATTTACTTATTGATATGTATAAGTTTTGATGATCACAAAACTAAGGTTCAGTCAGATTAAGTATTAATGTCTAAAACTGCATAGCTAGCAAAAAATGAATCACAAAATACTTCTAAAAATGAAGAATTGTCCTATAAAGCTTTTAAAAGGTTAACAATCTCTTTGAGGTAAAACAAGAACATAACAAACTACTGGTGGCTGAAAATGTAGATTTTAATTATGTATTTATAATATGATTTCAATATATTACCTGTTATATATTTGCCTGTGTTTCCTACTAACTGTAGAATACAAGGCAGAATAACAAAACTGCCAAAAGAGAATCATATAAAGCTTCAGAGACATTAAAATGAGAAAAAGTAGAGTTGAGATTGTAATATCTATCAATGTAGTAAAACAGGGAAAAAAAAGCTAAAAGTTAGATTACAACAAGTTGTAATTTAAACTTTAAGCCAAAGAATCTATTCTTAATTTGATAGATATTTAATGGCCTTTAGAAAATTCCAGTAGTATTCTAACATGACTAGTAGTGAGAAAGTAAATCTGCTACTTGATCTGCCTTAAAATTTCCTGTACAATGTAATTCATTACTTTTTCTGTGAATTAATCAGCATTATTTTTTCTTTTTTCTTTCTTTTTTTTTTTTTTCTGAGATGAACTCTTATTCTGTCGCCCAGGCTGGAGTGCAGTGGTGCGATCTCGGCTCACTGCAACCTCCGCCTCCAGGGTTCAAACAATTCTCCTGCGTCAGCCTCCCGAGTAGCTGGGATTACAGGCGCCTGCCACCACGCCCGGCTAATTTTTTGTGTTTTTAGTAGAGACGGGGTTTCAACATATTGGCCAGGCTGGTCTTGAACTCCTGACCTCGTGATCTGCCCACCTCTGCCTCCCAAAGTGTTGAAATTACAGGCGTTAGCCACCGTGCCCGGTCATCAGCATTCTTGACAAGAAAAAAATCAAGCACCTTTCTAATAGACTTTCATGAGATTATGACCTCTTCTAGGAGATTAGACTGGCCTCAAGTAACCATCATGCTAATAGCCCAATGATTGTTAACGAGAATCTTTGGAATAGTTGCATATAATCTAATAGTGATTGTCTAATCATCATGTTTTAAATGAATCATCTCTATCAAGAGGACATATTTAAATTTACTTTTTCTAAAGCCTATTTCCTTGCAGCATGTTGGAAATAGAGTTTTATCATCCGGTCATAATTAATTTGTCTGAGAAGTTGTTTTAACAGTGGTTTTCAACTCTGTTCCAATGAGAGTGTCTCAGGAAGCACTGTGGGTAGAGAGAGAAGAAGGAGGGGGTGAGGAGAAGCCCTACTGAAAATAGTGTGAGTTCCCACACTCAATCGCTGTTACAAAGACAGCAGCACTTTTTCATCTGTTCTATATATTTAAGTTCAGTTTCACTGGAATAAAAGGTTGTGTAATACTAAAAAGACTGGAAATCATTGCTCTACATTATGAATATAGAAGTCTTGTATAAAATAGAAAAGCTGAAACAGGAAGACAAGTTAGGAGGTTTTAGAGTAGGCTAGAAGAAAAGAGTTCATAAAGATCTGAATGAGGATGTTGGCAGTGGAAATGAACAGGTTGGGACATTTGGTACTGAGATAGAAACTTCACGATTTTATTGCTGATTAGATGCAGGGAGGTAATGCAAAGGAAGAATTCCAAGATGACTAAGGTATTGACTAATCCTGATGTCTAGAAGAAAGTGGGCAAACTATTATCAGTAATAAAAGAGCCAAAAGGAAAGGAAGTCTCGATGGGTTAATAAGAGTCTATTCACGTTGAGTTTCAGGTAAGTTTCAAGTCCAGATACCTATTAGACAGTCAGGACAGAGAGAGAGAGAGAGAGAGAGAGAGAGGGATTTGGTAAACATTTGCATTGGGATGACAGTTGAAGCCATGGCAATAGGCCAAATCATGCTTGATATTAGGCTAATTTCCCTATAGTTTGAAAGAGGAACTTGGTAGTCATAATTAAATGTGTCTCTGTTGATAGCTTCACAGACTTTTAAGACAAGAGGGGATTCATCCTTTTGGTGACACCTGTCATGTTACAGGAATACCTGTATTGTATGTGAAAGGACTGTGGAACTCAAAATTACTGTTCAAATGTAAGATGGAAATATTTATTGACATTATTATTACATTGTAATAGAGACTTAACCTAAGACTTGTCTTTTTTTTAGAATTTGTTAATGAAACTGCATTTATCTAATGCACTATAAGAGCAATATCTTACTGAAACATTCTAAGCGTAGGTTAAGAAATGCATAATCGTTGGCTTGGTAATCTCTTTCTGGGCAATAACAGCAGAACCAACCTCCAGCAAAGAAAGCTTAGTAGCAGAGATCCTATCTACATTCAGAATGGGACTCAGTGTATTTCCCTGATAAGAAAATGGAGAAAGTGGCACCAGAATTGAAAGTTTGTAATTGTAGGACATGGTAGGTGATTGCACATGTAGGGGGCTGGGACAGAGGGAATACCTTCAGAGATTACTTGCAATAAGGTAGTGTCAGTTTATAAAGCCAAGACAAAACAGAAATCAGGACACCATACCAGGAAGAAGGAATCAAAACCAGACTCAGCTGACCCTAAGGCTACAAGGCCACAAATGTCGAACTTTTTCCTCAGTGACTGCTGCTGTCAACTACAAAATAGGCTCCCTCCTGGTAAAGATAGCAGGTCACATATCTTAGTTACCGCTCAGGAAATAACCTGTCAGCACATCATCTCTGAACACAAAGGACAAGATAATTGTCCCACGTTCTGTCAGGCAGAAGTCCCAGTCATCTGCAGAAGTGGTAATATGGAACATGGTGTATTTGTATTAACATTAACTCTTTTGTCTCTGGCTTCAGTAGGAAAAATTTTGGAGATGGCAATAACACTTTTTAGTATTGGATGATTTCCTTAGTCTTTCTTAATGCAGGGGATGCATACCTAACTTTTGTAGTTAATAATTAAGGTATATCTATGTTGAATGATTAAGCAAAATCAAAACCAAGACTGATTTTTATTTTTTTACACTTTCTATTTTTACTTCAACCAGAATGGAAGAAGTACACATAATTCTGGATAAATTCCAAATCCACTGAGAGTATATTTGGTTTATGTGGTAGGGAAATTAGCCTATTATTAAAACAGATTTTTAAAGATTTATAGGAAGAGGCAAGTAGATGAAATTGCCCTGTCAGAATATTTCATGACTTTGATGGGATAAAAGTAAAACTATATGATTTCTATTGTACTTTCTCAGCTGTTACTCAAATTGATTATAACTATAAAGGAATTTCATTTTCTGATTCATCACCATATTAAAATGACTATGAAGTCTTCTAAACAAAAGCACGAAATTCTGTCTCCTCTTCTAGTATTCAATTCACATAGCAAGATCTCTTTAAAATGGTCATCATATTTTGTATTTATCCCTAAGTGTGTTTTAAAAATAGCCAAGGTTAGAATAACAAAATAAACTCACACACACATGTGTGTGCATGCGTGTGTGTATATATATACACACACACACAGATCTATATATCTATATATCTATATCTATACACACACACACACGCATGCACAAAAATCATGCCTGTTGATTGATTCTGGAAACTAGAAGAAATTGTATACTGTTTATAATCCAAGGGAGGATTATCTGTATGGATTTCAAGAAGATTTTACTTCACTAAATGTTGTGACATTTTACAAAATGTTGGTTGTGTCATGCTTTACCCCCTGGCTTTAACACATCCACAAGGCTTTGAAAGCTTGATTAGCAAACATAAATAATAAAAAGAAAAGTAGAACTACTTAGGGGGCAATATTAAAAGATGGATGTGCTAAATACAAAGCAGATAAATAATCAGACATGTTATTTTTGCCCCACTGAAAATCCATGCCAAAAATAGTAACGACTGTTTTTCTTTTTCTTGTCCACTTTCTTTTGAACATTGATACTTCACATTTTGTTAATTCTGAACAAGACTATGAAAATGTTACATCATTTTACTGAATTGAAAACATTAATGAAATATAATGTGTGAGCAGATAGATTCTATGAGTTTATGTGTGAACTTACACTAGAAAGAGAAGAATGGCAGTAGATGTGGGGGGTTGGAAGGAATCCAGTCCTATACACACATAAGAGATAAAAATAAATTTATTTATTTTAAATTCATCCTTGAAATAGGTTAATCATTGAAAAAGACGGATCTACAGATTCCACATAACCACCCCCTGGTTCCATCCTTGCAAGCCGGGCATAAATGCTGAGACAGAATAATAAATAAAATAACAATTTAAAATAATTTCTGGGAAAATTATGGGACTATATACATGGAAAGAAACTTCCTGAAAACTGGTTTAAGAATACATTTAATCATATATTTTCAAAAAGTAATTATATATATTAAAAGGTAAATTTTACATCTGTACCAAAAGTACCCTGTCTTTTGCCCTCTCTTCTGAGAGAAACATTGCATTTTTCTGCAATATCTCTTCCTCGTGTCCTCTATCCTACATTTATAGAGTCTCAAATATGCTCAGCCTCAAAATTAAGATGCTTTGAGCTTCCAGAAAACACTACACAGATAAAGGTGGCTTTCAAAAGAGATGTTTCTTATTGTCTACGTAATCATGCAGAGTTAAGCAGTCACTGCAACCTTTCATCATTTTCTACAATAAGGCCAACTTTCCAGATAACCACTTAGTGAAACAAGAATCCTGTATTTCTATGGTGGAGCTACTGCGGGTCTCATCCAACCTCCTGCCATGTTTGGGCCACTGACTGTTTGGGCACTTACGTCCAGCTTGCGAGGATGGAGCCATGGGGTAAGTTAAGTAGAATTTGAAAGCAGATGAGTATAATAGGAGTACTTACTCTGGCTTTCAGAATTTAGGCAGAGAGAAACAGGGACTGCCATAACTCAGTGAATTTTCCCTATAACTAGACTCCATAATTTGTAATAAACTGCATATTTAATTAACCAGTTAGGAGGCTATTTTTCCTGTCTGGTTCATTGTTTGTGTATGTGCAACCACAGCAGAAATCATGAAAGCAGCAGCAGCACTGGGAGAACCCAGCCTCTAAAATGTGTTAGAGTATTTATCTCTGCAAGATAGAGGTAGTTGATAAAATAGCAAGGTTAAAGGGCAGACACTTGCAGATCAAGCCTTTAAACAAACTTTCATTTTGAACACATACCATAACTTAGATGGGTTCATTAAGGAGACACAAGGCATTTGGAAGTAATAAAGTTAGTAATGGTTTCAAACCAACACTGTAGGGAAACTAAACTTATTAGAAGAAAATAATGAAATAATCATAAAATAGCTGACCCATTACTTAGCAATGTACCCAATACATTGTAATGTGCATTATATATATATGTAATATATACCATATACACACATACATATATATACACACATAAAAAATACATTGCTAAAGATGAGATAAGAGAGTTACAGTGGTTATATCTTACATTTCTCTTCCCCAGTATCCATCACCCTTTCTTCCAGCCCTGAATTTTCTCTCAGGAAATCACCATTTCCCTTTCGTGGATATTTTATTGGGAGACGGTACCTGCCTTTCACTCTTTAAGCCAAAGAGATCATGTCTTCTCCTTCCCCATAGTATCTATAGACAGAGAGTTGGCAAGTGATCTAGTCAGCCAAAAAGATTGTCTTTCCTCGGATTTTGAATCTTGAGCTAGTGAAGCAACAAGGTAAAGAAGAATACAGGATCTTCCATTATTCTCTAGTGTTACATATTGTTCAGAGAAACATTTACAACATATGAAACCTACGAAAGGAAAATAAATCTTGGAGCCCCCAAATCACTAATCTAAAGGGAAAAGTCAAGTTGGGAACTGCTTAGGGCCAACCTGCCTCCCATTCTACTTGAAGTCATCCCTCTGCTCATTGAGATAAATGCGTATCTGATTGCCTCCTTTGGAGAGGCTAATCAGAAACTCAAAAGAATGCAACCATCTGTCTCTTATCTGCCTATGACCTAGAAGCCCCCTCCCTGCTGCGAGTCTTCTGGCCTTTGCTTCAAGTTGTCCCGCCTTTCTAGACGGAACCAATGTTCATCTTACACATGCTGATTGATGTCTCGTATCTCACTAAAATATATAAAACCAACCTGTGTTCTCACCATCTTAGATGCATGTCATTAGGACCTCCTGAGGCTGTGTCACAGGCGTGGGTCCTCGACCTTGGCAAAATAAACTTTCTAAATTAACTGAGACCTGTCTCAGATTTTCTGAGTTCACAAACCTAAAAATGCTGGATTAAATATAGTTAAAAAATTGTACCATGGGGGTAGAAGAATAATTTTTTTAAATCCTCAGAAATTACAAAAAATATAATCCCAGAAGAGAAAGTAAGTGCTAGAGTGGTGTTTGCCCTGGAGAACTCTGCCTAAAGTAGCAGGTTAATTCCAATGAACCATGCATAAAAGAGAGGATGAAAAGTCTGCACCATGAGTGGGAAGGAAAATTGTATCTGAACTATTTAGCCTTCACTGCATAAAGCTTGAACTTTCAAAGCATCACACTCATTGGATGAAGTAAATCTATACTATCCATTCAGAGAGAAATAGTTGGGATATGTAAACTGGAAGACAGATTTGAAGAAACTACACAGAATGAAACACAAAGAATAACAGGAATGGAAAACAAAAAGAGAAGGTAATAAAGAAGACGGAATAAAAATCAGATTGAATATATGCTTACTAAAAGGCCCACAGTAATTTCCAGACTTAAGAAATTTGAACAACTAAGAATAGAAAAATAAAAATAATATACATCCAGAAATAGTAAAATACAATGAGGAAATTTTTTTTCTTTTTTTGAGATGGAGTCTCGCTCTGTTGCCCAGGCTGGAGCACAATGGCATGATCTCGGTTCACTGCAACCTCTGCCTCCCAGGTATAAGCAATTCTCCTGCCTCAGCCTCCCGAGTAGCTGGGACTACAGGTGCCTGCCACCATGCCTGGCTAATTTTTTATATTTTTAGTAGAGACGGGTTTTCACCATGTTGGCCAGGCTGGTCTTGAACTCCTGACCTCGTGATTCACCTGCCTCAGCCTCCCTAAGAGATGGGATTACAGGTGTGAGCCACCACACCTGGCCTACAATGAGGAAAAATTTTTTAAAATCACCATTAGAATATCACAGATATAATTTTTACTGATGAATGCTAAAATTACTGGGCAAAGCATTAGGAGAAATAGTACACTTGCAAGGCATGAAAATACTTGCCAAACCATATTTATTAAATATCCTGGTGCTTGTATTGAAAATTCTTTGATACTTCTGGCACCAGGAGGATTATTTATTTTCTTCCACTTGAGTATAAACTGGACCTGGTAACTCAATTCTAAACAACAGAGCACGGAAAGGGAGTAGTAGCTTTATACTGAAGAAACATGGCAAGTACTGTCTTAAACAAGTGATTGAAGTTAATATCACTAGTTATATAAGTCATGTTGATATGGATTCCTGATACTAGATGATGAGAAAGATACTTCATCTGTGTGGTATTCTTCCCTAAAATCTGTAATTCCAGTGAAATCATGAACACTTTAGATACATACAAATTGAAGGTAATTCTACAAAATGCTTGCCCAGTGCTCTTTAAAAGTATCAAGGTAAGGTATATATGAGAAAAAAAAAATTAAAGTCTATAACCTAAGCTTCTACTTTAAGAAACTAGAAAAAGAGCAAATAAAATTCAAACTAAGCAGAAGAAAATAAATTATACAAATTAGAGCAAAAATCAATGAATTTGGAAGCAGAAAATCAGTAAAGAAAGTCAACAAAATCAAAAGCTAGTTATCTGAAAAGATCAATAAAATTTACAAGCCCGTAGCCAGGTTAACTAAAAAAAAAGAGAGAAGATACAAATTACTAATATCAGTAATGAAAAGGGACTATGACAACTGATATCATGAACATTAAAAAGATAATAACAAAATACCATGAACAACCCTATACTCACAAATATGATAGCCTAAGTAAAATAAATAATTCCTTGAAAGATACAATATACTGAAACTCATATACACAGACATAGATAACATGAATAGGCTTATAGCTATTGAGGAGATTGGATCAATAATTAATAAACTTCCAAAACAGAAAGAACCAGGACCAGATAGACTCACTGGTTAATTCTACCAAACACTGAAGGAGGAAATTATACCAATTCTTTCCATCTCTTCCAGAAGGTGGAAGCAGAGTGAATACTTTCCAACTCATTCTATGAGGCCATAATTCCCCTATTACCAAAACCAAAGACATTGAAAGAAAGGAAAATTACAGATCAATATTTCTTACGAACATAAATGCCAAGATTTTTAAGAAAATGTTAACAAAACTAATTGAATTATGTATAAAAGGAATTATATACTAATTCTTTTAGTATATAAATAATTTTATTATAAATAGTCATAAATAAATCTACAAAGAATCAAGTAGATTTATCCCAGGTATGTAAACCTGATTCAGCCTTCAAAAATCAATTACTATAATCCATCATATCATTAGGCTAAAGAAGAAAAATCACATAATAATATTAAAAGGAAAAGCATTTGACAAAATCCTACACCCACTCATAGTAAGAACTCTCAGCAAAGTAGGAATAGAAGGGACCTTTCTCAACTTAATAAAAAACATCCACAAAATGCCTACAGTTAACATCATACTTAATGGAGACAAACTAGATCTCTTCCCACTAAGATCAGGAAGAAGGCAAGATGTCCACTCTCACCACTAGTGAATGTAATAAACAATAAAAGGAAATAAAAACCATTCAGACTTGGAAGGAAGATTAAAAATCTCTTTGTAGATGACACGATTGTCTATATAGAAAATAGCAAAGAATCAATTTAAAAAGTCCTGGAACTAATTAATGACAGCAAGCTTGTAGGATACAACTCAAGTCTTTTGATTTCTTATACACCAGCAATGAAAAACTAAAATTTGAAATTAAAAACACAATGCCATTAACATGAGCACCAAAAAAGAGATACTTAGTATAAATCTAAAAATAATATCTACGAGATCCATGTGAAGAAAATTACAGAACTCTGATGAAAGAATTCAAAGAAGATCTACATAAATGGAGAGTGAGTTCCGGTGCCTAGATAGGACTCAGTATGGTCTAGATGTCAGTCTTTCCCTACTTGATGTACAATCAAGTTAATATTTAATACAATCCCTATCAAAATTCCAGCCAGGCATTTTGGGTATTTACTAATTGACCCTAAACTTAACAGGGAAAAGCAAAAGACCCAGAATACTTGATACAATATTGAAAGACAAAATTAGAGGACTGACACTACCTGACTTCAAGACCTACTATAAAGCTACAGTAATCATGACAGCATTGTGTTTGTAAAAGAATATACATAAAGTAAAAGAAACTGTGAAAAGTTGTCACATTTCGAAAGACACTATGAAGACGTGATAACTAAATGCAATGTGATATTCTGGAACAGAAAACAGACATTAGTAGTGAAATTTGAACAAAGTCTACAGTTGCCTTGCACCAATGCTAATTAATTAGTTTTGACAAATATACCATGATAATGTAAGATGTTAACTTTAAGGGAAACTGGTAGAAAGGTATGTGGGCACTTTACTATCTGTACTATCATTGAATCTCTTCTGTAAACACAAAATTATTTTAAAATAAATAGTTTAAAAAAAGATTCTAAGCCAAATATCTCTCATGTAAAAACATACAAAAGTCCTAATAAAATTTTAGCAAGGCAAAATTCATCATTACAAAAGAAAGATACTATTCCATGCCCAAATTAGATCCATTTCAGGAATACAAGTTTATTTTAACATTAAGTAATCTATTAATTTTCTAATTCATCTTATTTACAGATTAAAAGGGAAATTAGATATAAGCTTCTCAACAGATAGAAATCAAGTAGGAATTTGTGACATAATTTCTTACTCAAACTAGGAATAAAAGGGAACACCTTTAATTTGACATAGCACATTCACAAAAATTTACCGCAAACGTGATATTCAAATGTAAAATGTTACAAGCCTTATTTTAAAATAGGATAATAGCAACAAGGATAAACACTAACAACACTTCTCTTTAGCGTTGCCTTGGTTATTGTAACCAGCACATTAATTAAAAGCATAAAGATGAAAAAAGAAATAAAAAAATGTACAAACTACAACAAACCCAGAGCAAAGGTTAAGAATAAACAGTGTATTCTGGAAGAAAAAAAAGAAACAATAGTTATGAAAATTTTCTTTACCAGTTATCATGGCATTTTAAATTTAGAATAATTAAGATGCACAGTAAAATAATAGAGACAGACATATAGTCTATTGGAACAAAAGACAAATTTTTACACAGACAATGCATTTATACTTGATTATGTATCTGGCTCTGCACATCATTATGGGTAAAAAAACTTTTTTATTTAAACAATTATTATTAAAAAGTTTTTATATAATTGGTTAGGCATATGAAGTGAATAAAAATAAAAGTCTTATCTCAATATACAAAAAAATACAAATGGTTAAGATCTTAAATGAGAAAGGCAAATTTATTTATTTATTTAGAGACGGAGTCTCACTCTGTCACCCAGGCTGTAGTGTAGTGGCGCGATCTCAGCTCACTGCAACCTCCTGTCCCCGGGTTCAAGCGATTTGCCACCACGCCTGGCTAATTTTTTGTATTTTTAGTAGAGACAGGGTTTCACCGTGTTAGCCAGGATGGTCTTGATCTCCTGACCTCGTGATCCGCCCACCTCGGCCTCCCAAAGTGCTGGGATATATAGATGTGAGCCACTGTGCCCGGTAAAACTTGAAAACTTTAAAGGGCAATTTTTAAGTCCTCAGTAGAGCAAAGGATATAAAACCACAAACCTTGAAATTTTCTTTAACAATAACATCATAAAGAGAATGAAAAGGAAATGTAAACTAAGAAAAGATGAAATATATACAACCCATAGTATCCAGAAAAATAAAAACAACCCCAAAGAAAAATGGATCAATGTTGTACCAGTATTTCAAAGAAGTGAAATAAAGAGATAGGACAAACATATTGGGGGGAAGAAGCTCAATCTCATAGGGAATCAAGGAATGCAAATTGAAAACATGATATCATTTAGATATATCTCATTTACACATTGGCCAACAATTCAAAAAATCTAAGTCTATAGAAGGTTGTTAAACATCTGAACTCCTCCTTCACTCCTCGCTGAAGTAGAAAATCAGAAAACCTTTTGGAAAACAATTTGGTATGACCTCGTAAATCTGAACAGCCACAGAACCTATGGCCCTGTCCTTCAGTCCCAAGCATGTATCCTAGAAAGCTTTTGCAACAGATGCACCAGAATTAAATTGTTCATAGTAGCTTTGTACATAACAGAAGAAAGAGAAAAAGAGGAAAGAGAAAAAGAGGATGAGAATGAACAAAGATTTGCACTAATAATCCATACGCTCATCAGTAGTACAATAAATATATTTCGATACATTTATATAATGGGGTAAAGCATCTGTATCTTGAAAACAAAATGTGGAGAAAGCAAGTTGAAGAGGATTAAAAAAATAAAATTTGATCCTACAATACAACAATATAATACTCAAGAGTATCCGCCCACACCACTCACATATAAACCATACACACACACCTAAGTATTATGTTGTATTGACTGTGTAACAAAAGTATAGGAACAGGTATAAAAATGAGCAATACAAATTTCAGAACAGTGATTAAGTAAGAGTGGGGAGACAGGACCATGAGGTAAGGTTAAGTACATAGATATTTACTTGATTTATTATTAGTAGTAATATTTTAAGTACATATATGTTATATTTACTCTTGTGTTTGATATATATTTCCTAGTTTTCAAAGGTTCAAAACAAAAAATTTCAGTCATATGAACTTTTGTGGTTCTGGCTCCTCTCCCTTCTGCCTCTCCCTGGTGGCACACGCAACTTCTCATGCCTGCCTTTCACATGCAGGCTCATCCTCAGCCCCTCTCTAACCCCCACTATATAAAAGCCCTGATTTCGGCTAGCCAAGTTAATTTCTCTTGCTTCCACCCAAGAATCTCTTCTGAAATGCAACATAAACATAATCTTTCCAACTTAGAATGACAAAAACTATCTCCCTAGGTATTTAAGTTATTAGTTGTATTACTTTTGTTTCATTAATTGTAGTTTTATTGATTTTAGATCATATGCACACACATATCATGTTTGAGCTTCTTTTGCTGATTTCTATAAAAGAATTTGTACAAAACAGTGTTGATAATAATGTATCCAACACATAGGGACACATGAAAAACTGAAAAGAATAAGGAAAAAAAGGTGAAGCAGTCAACCCTATTTTCTCAAGTGGACTCTGCATTTGGCTCATTATTCAATCTTTAATCCTGTGTTACCTTCCTTCCACCATCCTGATTCAAAATCCCCTTAAGCAAAATATAATTAGCACAAGGAGTCAACTGAAAGTAAACATATATGATTTTAAATTCTGATGGTACCTTATACTTTTCTAGGTGCTTTCATGGTGAAGTCTTCCTGTTCATGAAGTAGACAGTTTAGGTGTTGCCTGTTTTACAAATAAGGAAGTCAAGGTCCAGGCAGGTTAAAAGATTCATCTGAGGTTATAGAGCAATTATCAATGACAACTCTGATACTGATGCTACAGATTCAGAGAGGATTGTCTTATTCTTAAAAAGGGAAAATGTATATAAAGCCCTTGTTACAATGGTGGACACATAGTTAAGTACTTAATAAAGGCAAATTCTCTCTCTCTTATCCCTTGCACTTTGCCTCACTTATCAATTCCATGCAGCTGATTATTCTGGTCTATAAATCTAAAGTCTCAGCAAGAATGTTGAGTGAACAGTATCCAAAGTCACATAGCGGCTTTTCCTATCCTGACCCAACTAAATGTATTTTGCAAATATGTCACTTATTAATTATTACTACACAAAGATTATCACATAATCCCACATTCCAAGCAAATAATAAAAAACTGTCACATACCTAAAGGGTTAGAAAAAAATCCAGATTTTAAGCAATACATAGACGCAGTGTCCAGATACTTAACTAAATTTTTTGAAGGTTCCATGTGGAAGCACAGATAGTGGACAGACCACAAAACTGGCCATCAGCCACCTGGATTTTGTGTTCTGTAGTTTGACTTTCAGCAAATCACATAACTTCCCTGAGTCTCAGCCTCCTCATCTAAAGACAGACAGTTTAACTAGGTATTCAATAAGGTCCTTCCCTGTTCTGAGTCTTCTTTTATTTTTTTAACTGCCACAAATTTATAGTATCTTAGTGTTACTGCCAATATAGAAAGCCAAATGACAGCTTCAACGCTGGTGTTTCTCAATAATGCACTTTATGCTATAGCACAGAAGGGCTTAGTGAATCGATGATGGTGCCAAAATTAGAATTTATGGCTGTGCCTAATCTATTGTTTTGCTAGTAAGCCATACTGCCTGATACTGCCTCCACTTAACAATAAAACAAGATTTAAAGGGCAAAACTGTATGATTTCATACTGGCATATGCAAGGGTAAAATTGAAAGACGGTACTATAAAATCATCTCACCATAACGACCATCGAGTACTTACGCTCTGCAAAAAATGTGTACTTGTCTGCCCTTGCCAGACAGATAGCAATATTTGGTTCAAAGGATTATAGTGGAGTTAAGAAAAAAAGAATTAAAGACTGGTTTTCGTATGTCTGAAAGCTTTGCATACAAAAGTACATCATGGAACGACACTCACTAGAAAAAGAACAATTATACTTCTAAAAGTAAGAGATTTAATAAGCAATGAGCTTAAAACTAGGCTGAAAGAAAAGTTAATTGAAGTCTAATTTATCTCTTTCTGGACCCTAAATTACTAACAACAAAAAAATTAGCTAACAGTTACTGAACCTGCGTGTCAGGCACAACGGCAAGCATTTTTTATGTGTTAATTCACTTAATCCTCACAAGAGCCCTCTGAATTAGATACTGTTAATATTCCCAGTTTATAGATGAAGACACAGAGATTTGAAGTTATATAACTAGTACAGAGCAGAACAGGAAGCAAGAATAGTTTCTGTTAAACATGTGACCTTCTTCCTGTATGTAAAATGGCCATGTTAGTAATTTTTACATGTGATTTTCATATATTCATAAAGGAGTGCATGTTGAAGTCTGCACTCTTTAATGATGTAAAATAAAAATTATTAAGAACTAAAAATAAGTTTTATCATTATAGTATCTGGAAAATGTTACATATCATTTGCATGTGTGACATTAACTATTTTAAATAAAGGTATATTGAAACTTAAAAAATTAGACTTGTTCCACAAACATGAACAAGTCAGTTTTTAGTCATGATTCTAAAGATGCTTTTATGTGATATTGTAAATTGATATTAGAATATGTAAGTGGCTCCAGTCATCTTTAACACTTCTAATTATTCAGAGAGATGACATAATATCTTCTGACAAATTCTGATTTGCTATTTTCCCACTAGCTGTTTTTTTAAATTGACAAACTCCAAATTTTAATTTGATTTAGGATGAGAATAAATAAAAATGGTTGATTCTCATTTGCAAACTGTGACACTCATTATGAATTTCATAAAAATCAAAAGTATTGCATTTTATTGATCTAAAGACTTAAGTTTCATTTTTAGTTTATTTCCTGATAATTCATTTTTTGACATTATCTAAAACATATCCTTTGCAAATACACAAATGGAGAACATTAGTTTCTTAAATAAGGTTTACTAACTGAGACTGAACTTGCTTGTCAAATGTGCCAAGAAATGCAGGCTGCTGCTCAGCTCCATTAAGCAGCCACTCTGCTGGTTTAAATATTTTCCAGAGTGGGCAGTAGTTCCTGAGGCATACCTGGAAGAGAGGTTGACAGGGTTGCCATACTGCCACCCTAATTTGCAAGACCAAAGTCTCATTTGAGCAGGGTTTTCACTGAAGCATCATGTCTAAAACACATCTTTGTTTATACTGTAGGTGGCAGGATTTTTATGCTTTAAACATTTTGCTATAACCCTGCATTTTTTGCAAATGAAAATTTAAGATGCCATCAGATAACATTTTATGAAAATATTTATATGGTTCCAGAAAAAATAGCCAGGCCTTGAAGGTGGGTGCCTTTCATTCTTGGTATTGTTCATAAATTAATATACATTGTTTGATATAATCATATTTCACATTAGGTTTAACTTTTTCTCTTTGTTCTGCAAATTCGATATTTTTCTAAATTTTGAGATTCAATAAATTAAAAGCACTAAATATTGAAACTTAAAAACAGAATTCACTCCTGTTTAAGATTTGAAAATGGGTATATCTGCATTGAATCCAATATGCCAAATGACTTTATTTCAGACTTTTGAGTAAGGAATATAAATTTCTGAAAGAGGGCATCATTTTTAGCCATTAATATCTGAAAAAGATAGCAATTTATAAACAAAAACAAAAACTTATCAATTCTTTGCAAGCTTATGAAATTCTGAATCAATCTTTTTATTTTGGCTTCCAGTAGTACAAAATGTTTCCATTCACATTTGATATACTTACATATATTTAAAATCATCACTATTTTTTCATAATATATGAAAACATTTTTATCATGTCTTTTTAAAAGCAAATTATGTCAGTGAAGACAATTTTCTTGGCTAACCCTTGTACAGGCTAATTTGCTTATATTATAAACATCTATAAAAATTCATGTTTTATTATATATTTCAAAGCTCTAAAATGAAATTAATCAGGGTGACTTGAAGTTCATCAGGACACCTTGGCTTCTTCTTAAATTGAAGTTGACATATGCTCTTCCTTAATATCTGTTTCTTACTCTACTTAAGGGAAATGGCAAATTATCTAAAAGTTAACTCAAATTGCTTAATATGCTATTTCAGCCTTTGCATTTCTTCTACTTGGCCCATACTCTCAACTAATTCAAAAAGAGTTCTCTATACAAATTCCTACATTTACCAACAGTAAAATGGCTATCACTCACGTCTACTTAAGATGAACAACTAATGATCTATTTTGTACAAATGTGTTTATGCAGGCATTTTAGAGGAAATTTTATCTCCTTAGGTAAAGTTTATGAACCTTTCTCAGTAAAAACATGAGACCTAGAACTATATATACTCTGCTCTTATTTGAAATGCTTCATGAGTTTTTTCACCAAAAGTTTACCTCAGTGTTTGAAATCATTATGTGCCATCATAACAGTTACACACACAGACATACACACAAATAGACGCTTCTAATAACACCTTTTTTTTCGTCTCTGGAGCTCAAAATTCTGTCATTAAGGCTAGATTCCGGGCCGGGTGCAGTGGCTCACGCCTGTAATCTCAGCACTTTGGGAGGCCAAGGCGGGCAGATCACGAGGTCAGGAGATCGAGACCATCCTGGCTAACACTGTGAAACCCCATCTACCAAAAATACAAAATAATAGCCGGGCATGGTGGCGGGCACCTGTAGTCCCAGCTGGGAGGCTGAGGCAGGGGAATGGTGTGAACCCGGGAGGCGGAGCTTGCAGTGAGCTGAGATCGCGCCACTGCACTCCAGCCTAGGCGGCAGAGCGAGACTCCGTCTCAAAAAAAAAAAAAAAAAAAAAAAAAAAGGGTTAGATTCCAACCTTATATAGATAGGGAAATAGGGAAATGAGGGACAAAAAATAATATCCTTGGCCAAGTGCAGTGGCTCACGCCTGTAATCCCAACACTTTGGGAGGCCAAGGTGGGCGGATCAGGAAGTCAGGAGTTCGAGACCAGCCTAGCCAACATGGTGAAACCCCGTCTCTACCAAAGATACAAAAAATAAATAAATAAATAAATAAATAAATAAATAAATAAATAAATAAATAAAATAAAAATAAAAATAAATTAGCTAGGCGTGGTGGTGAGAGCCTGTAATCCCAGCTACTTGGGAGGCTGAGGCAGGAGAATCACTTGAACCTGGGAGGTTGCAGTGAGCTGAGATTGCACCACTGCACTCCAGCCTGGGCGACAGGGTGAGACTCCATCTCAAAAAAAAAGAAAAAAAAAGGCAAAAAATAATATTCTCAATGGCCTTTTTTAGAATAATTTTTACATTTTTTTCTTGCAAACATCAGATATTAAGCCTTTGGTGCTATCTTTCATGACTTTACCACTTTCTACTCTGCAACATATTTACATAGTAAACTGTGATTTTGACATAGAGATATTCGTCACCTTTAACAGAAAAGAAGAAATCTGAAGCCCACAGAGGTTGATTTATCCGATATCATATGGACAAAGCCTAGCTCTCCTAATTCTAAATTTAGTTCAGTACCCCACGATCCATTTCTGTACCCTAAACTATTTCTATAAATTGCCTTTATTTGGGCAATAATAGATGATAATTTGTCTGGAAAACTGGGTACATTCCATCAAGTGTGTCTTTAAATTTGGCCTATATTCCTTGGAAATCCATGCTATGCTAAATTCAGTTTCTAGAATGTTTTATTCTGTGTTTTCATCATGCCTGAAGAGGGTAACATAAAAAAGCAAATATTTATTTCCCATTATTCTAGGCCATATTCCAGTTGAGCAATAATATTTGTTTATACATAACTTTTTTTTTTTTTTTTTTTAGGCGGAGTCTGGCTCTGTCTCCCAGGCTGGAGTGCAGTGGTGCGAACTCAGCTCACTGCAAGCTCCGCCTCCCAGGTTCATGCCATTCTGCCTCAGCCTCCCAAGTAGCTGGGACTACAGGCACCCACAACAACGCCTGGCTAATTTTTTGTATTTTTAGTAGAGACGGGGTTTCACCATGTTAGCCAGCCAGGATGGTCTCGATTTCCTGACCTCATGATCCACCCGCCTTGGCCTCCCAAAGTGCTGGGATTACAGGTGTGAGTATATATAACTCTTACTTTTGGAAGTTGAATTAATTCACTTTTTCCTAGACTGTTGTCCTAAATGCAATAATGCTCCACATTCTATCAAAGTGTAGGTACAGTGTATCCCAGAATCACTAGAAAAAGGTAACTATATGCCCACCTTATGTAGAATACTTGAGGCATATATATCCAAAGAATATATGTTCTACAGATTGTGGAGAGCACGTCACTAATTAGGAACCAAGTATCCAAACACATAGATAGCTACCTTCAAAATTATCTTGGTTAAAAGAATGACAGAAATCAGAAAGTTTGTTGCTCTTATGGTCATTTTAGGTTTTCAGTATTTTTTTCCTATGGCAAGTTGCACTAGCTAAAAGTAGCATAAAGAGAGTTAGAGAGAATCACACCCAGGTGTAAGGCAAAGCTGAATAGCTGAGCTTCTGAAGTCTTTGTGGCTAAACTTTTCATTTTTAAGACATAGTAGTCAGTACAGGAATCAGAAGGTGGAACCATCTGCAGCTATCAGCTTATACAGAGTACATGACAGTGATCCAAACAGCCACAAGAATAAGCAGTCCTAACAGTAGCATGGTGCTTTACTTCACTTAGTACAGTGACAGGGCCTTGACCCGCAAGCTCCAGCAGAACCCCACCACGTGTGTGATGTGTATTCAACCTGCAATGGTAACATACAGCAATACATTAGGCACACAGTAATGCCAGAAGTTTTAATATTAGACTCAGAAAGATACCACAACTAAAAATTTCTACATGGGGCTCCTATATGCATAGAACTCTTGTATATGGAAAAGGAATATGGGAAAATAATTTTTTTTACGTTGCTCCCTGATAGTTACTCTCCTGGGGAATTTCAGGGTCCTGATTTTTAACTTCTCCTATCTCCTGACCCTTACGTAGATGATAAGACTTTTTAAAAGCCATGTTCTATCTTCTAAATGTTGGGTTTTGGTAGATGACTTGCTACTTGAATAATAGAAGGTAAAGTATAGCTACATATAGTTTAATGTTGTAATTATGTAAAACTTACAACTAAACAAAGCTGCTACGTATCACTATTAAGGGTGTGCCTAAGAGCTTTTGTAGTTATAATAATTAGCCACATATAGGCTATTTTAGTAATTGTTATAATTATTTTCATCTAATTAATTGAAATAGATTTTTCTCATTTTTTAGTACTCTAGTATCTAAAAAGTGTCTGCTTAATATTCATGACACACTCTCCTGACTCACTTGCTTGTGTGGCTGGTCTCCTTACCCACCTCCCAGTGCCATTCAGTTAAAGGCAAAGTTTCCGAATCCTAAAATTTTCTACATCTCACTATGTAGTTAGGCCTTGGGTAGCTATCAAGTACATGCCTAACTTGCCTGCAACAATCTTTCTTAGAAATTTTTGAGCAGTGTTTTTAGCTGCTTCATGATTCCTTTCCCAATCTACAAATGTGTGTTTTTGTGTGTGTATGTGTGTGTTGTGTTGTGTGTGTGTATAAATACATTGAGGGGGAGTATATATGAAGGCTGTCAAAATAATCAGAGGGTTATAAACCTTAGAAACTCTGAGTCCATGGATTGCAGATTGTTTTTTTTTTTTAGACAGAGTCTCACTCTGTCACCAGGTTGGAGTACAATGGCATGATATCAACTTACCGCAATCTCCACCTCCTGGGTTCAAGAGATTCCCCTGCCTCAGCCTCCCGAGTAGCTGGGACTACAGGCATGCATCATCAGGCCCGGATAATTTTCTGTATTTTAGTAAAGACAGGGTTTCACCATATTGGCCAGGATGATCTCAATCTCCTGACCTCGTGATACACCCACCTCGGCCTCCCAAAGTGCTGGGATTACAGGCGTGAGCTACAATGCCCGGTGGGATTGCAGATTCTTTAAACCACCACCAATTGTCAGACAGAAGAAAGAAGGGGAAAGAACTAATGTTACAGGTGGGAAGAGGTGAGGAGGGAGCTCAAACACATTGCCTGCTGAAATTCTTAGACACAAGCCTTGACCATGATAAACTTTAAAATGAAATCACACAAATCATAACTTCACCATTACCGGACGAAGGAAAAGGAAGAGAGTCTAGATTGAGAAGAGAGAGAGTGTATCTTCCCCCTTCCTTATTTAAAATAATAAAACCTATCATTTACGGAGCACTTCCTATGGGCTGGACATTCCCGTAAAACTCTGCATGGCATATAGCCTTTAGTTCTGACAAAAAGTCCTATGATGTGGGTATTATTATCTTTGAAGCTCAAATAAGATTAAAACCAGTACCAAGATAGATAGCTAGTAAGTGATCAGTCTGGATGATTCTTTTGCCTAAGATTTGCTTCTGTTTCACAGTGTTTGGGGGAGGATTAAATGAGAGTTTCCAATGAACTTACCAACTCTTCACCATGGTTTGTCCACTTTGCCAATATCATCTTCCTTTTATTCAAGTAGGCTGCAATTGCATTAACTTTGTTTTCAGACTCTAAAGCTGGGAGATAAAACACTGTGTTCCCAAGGCGTTTGCTGCTGTTGATCCTCTGCCTAGAGTTCTCTTCTCCCAGCTTGTACAGTGTCTGGCTCCTTCTCCTCTTAACTCTCATCCTAAATGTCATCCACTCTGAGAGGCCTTCTCTGACCACGTAGCTATAGTTCCTACTACTGTTTGCATGAGTAGCAACTTCTTTACTTGATTACTTATTATTTGTCTTTCTCTCAAGCCTTGGGCTGTGAGGGTAGGTGTATATCTCCAGCAATTGCCATGACAATGACATAAAGACACTCAACACACAAGTGAATGAATATATGCAGTAAAGCGTAAGAGCCTGATTCAGAGCCTGGTACACATTTCACTCATTACATCTTAAACTCCTCCATTCTCTAATAGCTACAAGAAGGCAAATGGGTCAGAAAAATAATGAATACTGAAATATTTCCCTTGTCTACAAGGTGAATTTGGTAAAATGGGAGGCCCTCAGATTTCTTTGCTCTATTTTAATTCCTGAATTTGAGACATACAAACTATCTCATCCTCCCTGGCCCAGAAACTTTAGGTCTAACAGACAATTGAAGCAAAAATAAATATACTCATACATACATACATAGGATTACCAGTGTATGCAGGCTGCTTAGCCTTCACCAGTCATAGGAAACATCTCAGCAGGGGCCCCTGTTTCATCATAGCTCACATGTTCTTCCCCGGGAGCTGCACAGGTAACATGAATGAGTGAAGCTGGCCCAGGGACAGCATTGAGCACAAGACTAGATGTCCTAGATAAAGAAGGCAGCTCCACCCCAGCTTTAGCTAATTCATAAGTGATGATGCCATGATGAAATAAGGCCCAAGGTTGCCAAATGTATCTTTTTTTAAAAAGGCTAGAAATTAGATTTGTATATAAAATCTTTCTAATTATAGGTAGCAAAAATTAATTTAAAAATTTTAAAATATCATGTGTGGAAAACATCTGTGTGATTATGCTCTCATTGACCATCAGTTCCTAATTATCATGATCCAATATCATTCTTTTTTCCTTTTCTTCTTCTCTTCCCTCAAGGGGACATTCTTGAAGTATGGCAGAGAAAACTCTAAGTTCAAATATACTTTGACAAGATCTCAATTTCCTCCAATTAGAATATAGAATCTTCAATAAGTTTTTCAACTTCTCTGAGCTTCAATATCTTATAAAATTTGAGATATTATTGGTTGAATAAAATAGAGTAGAACTTCTTCACAGGTACTAACATTTCAATAATAATTTATATAAAAACAATTAATTTAGTGTTCAAACTGTCTTTTACAAGATTGAACACAATACTTATAAATTTCAAGCCAATCTTTAGCATCACTTGGATAAAAGTCAGAAGAATAAAAAACAGTAAAAATCCAGTTTTAAAAAAATCATATCATAATTAAGCATCTGCTTTTGCACTCAGTTGTGTCTGTCAGTGCAAAAATAAGTCCCCTTTAAAATAGAAGGAAAGTGACAGTTCTTAGAAAGAAACTTACGATGTGTGGTGGGTTACTTTTTCACTTTTTCATGGACTTACCCTTTCATCTCCAAGAAGATATGGAAAAAACTGAAGGAGGCAAAGGTTACATTTTTCAAGGGTAATAGTACACCGTGGTTCTTTCTTTATTAATAAATTTTACTGAGATAGCTTATTGCTCCTTTTTTTTTCTCTACTAGAAGTAAGTAATTTTCCTCCTTAACTACAAATGATTTTTAAGTAAATACCAGTTTTACTAAGGTTTCCAGATTCCCAGTTCTAACGCCACAATCCCTGATGACTTAATGTATCTTCTATCCTGGCCCCACTTCATTATTAATAATGACAGCTGACTGATATTAGGTCAAAATATGGACCAGAGATGTAAGACAGATTTTGTATATCCTGCCTCTAGTATCTACAACAACCATGAAAGAAAGGTCTTATACCCATTTTATGAACAATGAAAGTCTCAAAGGAGTTGAATGACAAGTATTAAAGGGCTCTGTGTTTGAACCAATCCAGAGGCAAGGGGCTCTAAAAATCTGACTTCTCTTGTGTGTGTGTGTGTGTGTGTGTGTAAATAAGTGCTATGGTTTGAACACTGATCGTAACTTGGTTTTGTTTATATACACTTGCTAATTATTTCTGGTATTTCAGATTTATACCACAAAGACTATTTTCAACTTGCTTATTTCTCAGGCCAGATGTTACAGAGAAGGATGAGGCTGATAAAAGGCAATATGTTAAAAATTTCTTATTAAATGAGATTCTGACCTAAGGAGAAATTATTCTGTAATATTTCATCCTCAAAACAAAGGTAACAAGTTTATTCTCTTAGGAACTGGAAAAGCTGAAGCCCATATTTCCTACAACATGATAAAACTCTAAAACATGAAGGCAAATAAACAATACTATCTTAAGCCAGTCTGAAAAGATTTTAAAGTCAGTCACACCTTTATTCCCTTCATCTTAACATCATAACTTGTAGGAAATCCTCACTTAACATTATTGATAGGTTCTTGAAAACCGCAACTTTAACACAACCAATTTTAACGAAGGTTAATTGATATAAACAAGAGTTAAGCTCCCATGGCATGTTTCTGGTCACAAAAATATCAACAAACTTCTAAATAAGACAAAGAGACTTTCAATATTGAGTATTGAAATAAATGTGAGCTATACTTACCATTAAGAAAGACAAACAAAAACAAATAAAATAATGGTTTACCCAATTTTTGGTGAATCAGTGAGTGACAGTGGTGGTAAAGGTAGTGGGTTAAATCTAAGAATAAATATTCGCAAAAGTGAAAATTGTAAAGAGCAGCTCTTCTATCATGCAGTTCTAAAACAATCATGAACAGGGTGGGCTCCCTGAGCACTTTTGCACTGCATCATTTTATGTAGTGAATTTGTGGGATTATTGTCTACTTTATGAACTTTTATTTTACAGTAATATATATTAATTAACTCATTAATTTTTTAATTCCAGTTCTGGGTCACAGGTGGCTGGAGCCTATCCCCGAAACTCAGTGCACAAGAAGGGAACCAGCCCTGAACAGGACACCATTCCATCACACACAGCAAGTACTAAACACACACCCACACTCACTCTGATTGGGACAATGTAGACAAGCCAGTTAACCTAATGTGCACATCTTGGGGATTTGGGAGCAAACCAGAGTACCAAGAAAAAACCCCTATAGACACCAGAGAATGTGCGAATTCCACACAGACAGTGGCCCAGGTGGGAATTGATTTTCTCCCCCTATCATTGTTTATAACAACAGGAGTTGAACAAAATGATATTATTCAAGGACCTGCTATATTTAACTTCTAATACTTATTTAAAATTTCAATTATCCAGTTGACAGATAATTATGTTTTAAAACAAGTAATATAAATTTAACTTGTTGTCTAGACCAAAACCTATGAACTTTTCTCAATAACTGATTACGGCAGAATAAAATTTAGACAAAACGTTTACTTAAAAAGAATTGAATAGCAGACTAATTAGTGATCTTAAAAGCACCCATAAGATAGATGAAAGTTCATAAAATGCACACATATTCAAAAACAAATTAGTTCAGTTTCGCATTACATTCAAAATATAATTTTTTTAGACATTCATGCTTATATCAAATGTAAGTGAAATTTTGTTAACATAGTCTAATGATCAGTTAGACAATAAGATAAAATACAAATTTTAAGTTTGGAAACTTAATGCAAGTTTAATACATTAAAATACAGAGAAAATGGTGATGTTTCTAAGAATACTTCTTCGTTCAGTATCTGATGGCCAGCACATGCCTTTGAATAATTTTTTTTCCACAAACTAAATTTATGGTTAGTCAAGTTTTGCCATTTCTACATAATTCCTCATTTATTTGGGTTTGTTTATGATACAGTTTTCGTAGAAATACTTATAAAAAGAAATTTTAAGCCGGGCGTGGTGGCTCACACCTGTAATCCCAGCACTTTGGGAGGCCGAGGTGGGTGAATCACAAGGTCAGGAGTTCAAGACCAGCCTGGCCAACATAGTGAAACCCCGTCTTTACTAAAAATACAAAAGATTAGCTGGACGTGGTGGTAGGCACCTATAATCCCAGCTACTCGGGAGGCTGAGGCAGGAGAATTATTTGAACCCAGGAGGTGGAGGTTGTAGTGAGCTGAGATCACTCCACTGTACTCCAGCCTGGGTGACAGTGCAAGACTCTGTCTCAAAAAATTAAAAAAAATTTAAAATGAGAAAAGAAATTTTATAATTTATATTATCAAATTAGTGTGATTTAATGTCAGTAACACAAACAGTAAAGGAATGCATGGTGATTTATTTCTATGGTGTTTTGTAGGAAAGGACATTTGAATTTTCTGTCAAGGTTATGAAAATGATCTCTGAAAGCTCTCAATGATTTTCGTTAACTAAATCAATAACAGTAATATTTAATTACATTCACTAATGGATTCTCCTTTTATTTTATAGAGTCGGATATTTATTAAATAAGTGCATGCCAGCAACTATATGGACAAAAGACAAAGCAAAATATGAAAAAGGTGGAAAGCATTATGGTATGTGGTTGAAAACATTGCTTGAAAGTTTTAAAATAACCTTCAGAGCCCCATCTCCTTGTACAGGCTCTTATTTATTTTGCCCATGAAGCTTTATTTTCAAAATGAAGCTTGCTTTGCAGCTGGCCCAGTGGGATAGCAGGGTTTTTATCTTGCCCTTTGTCCCTAGATCAACCAAGTCATCTATGAATAGTTAGTGGAATCAGCTGAGTAAGATCATTTGCAGGTGGAGTTGCTGGGAGATATATATATATATATGTGTGTGTGTGTGTGTGTGTGTGTGTGTGTATGTGTGCACGCGAATTTGGATAAGTGAGATTTTCTTCTAAATATAATGCATACTCTATAATCCCAGTGGTCAATAGTAATCTCTCCACCTATGTGAAGGTCTTTGAGACAAGTGCACCTATCTTTCTTTGTATTCTGTCGTTGTGATCCATAGATACCAATTACTCTGGTCTTCCCTCATTTTGATCTGATTGCTCCCAGTTCTCTGTGCACGCCAAGCTTCCTCTCCAATATCCATATGCCACATGTTTTTCCTCATCCATGCTATTGCCAAAATCCATGCCCTCTAAGTGAAACTTTATTTCCATGTTTCTAGGTCATCCCTATTCTCCAACAACTAGATTAACCACCTCTTCTAAAAATTCTTCCATGCTTAGATGAAACTGATCTCACCCTCTCTGAGTGGTTCCCAAGTCTTAGTATGCACATGTAAATGCTCTTCAAAGCTAATTATGCTGCAGTTACCAGGCTCTGTCCCTAGATATTTGGTAAAATAATTCTGATGCATGCAATCCAGAAATATCTTTTGAGAACCTTCTTGCATAAAACTTCTCTGAGCCACAGTGGTATTTCAACTTCACATCACTGCACCTTAAAGGTAGAAGTATTTTTTTTTTTTGGTTCAGTACCCTTTCCCTATTACTTTAAGAGCACTCGTTCACGCATTGCAAGCCCTTGAGTTACTCCTGAGAGAAAGAAAGGAGCTAGCAAATACTTAAGAAATCGAGTTATTAAATGAGTCAATTTTAGGTTTGAATATAAATCCACTTTTATAAAGTATGAACTTGGTCAAGTTGCTTAGCTCTTCTGAGCCTTGGATATCACAACTATAAATGGGAATAATAATAAAAATGGGAATAATTACTTGATCATAATCAAATGGGAAAAAAAATCAAGTGTTTAGTGTTTTATTCTCCCTTATTCATGTTTTCAAAAGAGAACTTCACCTTGAGAAAAACACTCTTGGAGTAACATGTCCCATAGAGCTACTTACTGATTCAATATTTACTCTCCCTTTACATTAACGGAATCCCAATAATTGAGGGAAGCAATATGCCCAGTTAAAATCTACACACCAAGCCTACTTTTCAGCTAGGGATAACCATGCGATGTTGGTCAGTAAGATGTACGTAGAAGTCCTTGGGTAGAAATGCAGAGAAAAGCTCTTCATATAAGATAGGGGATGGGATGTAGGGATAAACTAAACTTGTTTGCAACACTTTGCCTTTTGCTTTTCTAGAACATAGAATATGAACATAATTGTTTAAGCAGCTATATCTTAACTTCCAGGGAAAATCTAAAAGAATCACAAAATCCTTTGCCCTGATATTTTAATGCCACCAACCATACACCTATAAATTTCTTGTCATTAGACAAAAATAAAACAATTACATTGGTTAATCTACTGTTTGGAATGTCTGTTACTAGCATTCAAATGCGATTTGTAACTGGATAAAAGAAAACAAACAAACATAAAACACCAAAAAACATCTTTCACTTCTTACTCCCACTCTTCAAAGGAAGAGAGTATTTATTTGTGAGACTAAGAAAGGGCATGAATTAAAATCACCAAGTTCCTGTTCTCCTGTGGGTAGGAGTAGATACTGAGTGGATGAATTTAATACTGAGAGAAAACTATTTAGAAAGGTCATTAGGATTCAAGTTGATTCACAGAATTCATTGCACTCTCCAATGCAGCTCCAGTAATAAAGCTGACATTTTGACCCATCATCAAACCTACATTATACCTACGTTGTGGGGCTGTTGTGAGCTTTTACGCAGCATTGCATATAAAATGCCTAGTCTCGCACCTGATATATAAGTCTTATCGACCATCACTATGACCATTCTTATCACTATCATCTTCATTTTGAATATTCTTTCTTTTGGTAAGTCACAGTTATTCTCCTGCTGGCTTTAGGCTGCTGTTTTAATTTCCCTAAGTCTCCCTCTAGTTGTGATCTTTGGCTTTGATTTACCCTACACATTTATGCACTTCTTTTTCTTGCCTACTTGGTTCTAATTTTTCCTGCCTCTAGCCAGTTGGCAAATTTCTCCTTTTGATGTCTATCTTGGCATTAAATAATGTTTAATTAATATATGTCAGTGTTACCAAGCATACCATCTGAAACAAAATTGCCATTCAGCCAATGTAAACTGAATGTGAATCTTACAAATTCTTGCCTTAGCTTCGTCAATTCCTGGTCACTTGAGTTATCTCCACAACCCTTGGCCACTTGCTGCCCTGAGGAGCATGACACATTGACAGGTTGGCTGTCTTCGTATCACTAGGACTTTGGTGCAGGTCTTGGTTCTCTCATTCCTAACCCAGCCTGAGACATTCTGTTCCTGATAATAAAAAACACATTTTCCTTTTATATATAATATTCCATATCTTCTAATACATCTGTAAAAATACTTTTGACCTAGTAATTTAAAGATGCTTCTTGTAACACCATAAAAAAGAGAAAATATTGCCAAATGTTGCCAAAGGAGAGAATAGACAGAAATAAAGAACAGTAATGCAAATGAAGCTTTTCATTTAGACTTTTGTTAAAGTGGCTGAGAAAATATTCTTTTGGCCAAGAAATGTGTTGTTATCAACAGCTTCCAAAATTTTGGCCTTTAAAAATCATGTTTACATTATTATTATTAAGACATCAAACATGCAATTAAATAACTCTCTCTTTAAATGCAATAACTTTGCCTTCCAGACCAATGCCCATCACAAATAGCCAGCCAGATTATGCTCTGTACAGCTTCAGGAGTCCTCATTCCCATAGATTATGATATGAATAGTGGCCCTTGAGTTTTACATGGTAGCCCAAGTCCAGCTTCTACTCAACTGATCAATGATTTTTAATTATGTTGGACCATCTTTGTTGAATAGGTAAAAAATAAAATATAGATTTGAAAAAAAATAGTTATAACATGTTAGAAGAGCTTTCTGCAAAACATAATTTTGGAAAAGTCATGTTTCCATTGGGATCAAGATTGTCCATTCTATTAAGTTACCGAAAGAAACATAAAAACTAAAGGTAAATTTATACCTTAGGGGGCTGCTGATATTTAAAGGTTGGAGGTAGAAGAGGGTTGGACTTGGTGGAAATCCTAAGAAGTAACTTAACTGTGCAATTAAAGTGAACTATAGATAAAATTAGAAAGTGAAACTAATAAAAAACTCTTAGCCTGTTTTAGAATCATTCAAGTTATTCTCAACAATTCCACTTATTATTTCCTTTAAATGTATTCTTTTACTAAATATAATTAGTTGCATACATTTTTGAAAACCTGCAATGAATACTTTTTTATGGTAACTACTTAAATGCCAAGATTTAAATTTCAAAATACTGATTGTTTCCATAAACAAAGATATAACATATTTTTATACTCTCCGAGTGTATTTTCTATTGCCAAAATACTGTGTTTACAATAAACTTTAAAAAATTCTCGCTATTTTAACCTTTGTCCACTGCTACGAAAAAGCTCCAAATAATACTCTTTATGCTGAAGCCAAGGAAATGTGCGTATGCTATATGAGTGTCCTAGTGACCAGGCTGTGATGTGTGGCCTTGCACTCTCATCTACAATTAAATAGTTCAGGAGTAGACACATGAGTCAGATGGATTATATCCAAGTTGGCATTTAAAGGTCTTCATTTGGGAATGTGCATGGCACCCTGGAACACTGAAAGTGAGACTAGGTAGACTAGTGGGTGAAAATGACAGTGGCTGAGGTGAAGCTCTGCTGGTAGATAGGGCCCAGAACACACTCAGAACAGGCCTCACAGAGGATTTCGAATCTTTTTCTAAGTTCTGTGGAAAACCATTGAAGAGCTCTAAGTAGAGGAATCACACACTTATATCTGTTTTTAAAATATCACCCTACTGCTTCTGGCTTTGAGAATAACTGGTAGCAGATCAGCCTGCCAGCCATAAACTATTGGAAAACTCGAAAAATATGTGCAACAGCTCTTTTCAGGCACTGGAAAACAGACACTAAGGAACTGTGTTTGCAATGAGGAGTGGAACAAATGAGGAATGTCCTACAGTCGCCCAGGATTTCTGCCTGGAGGCACTTCCTAGATTTAGACATGAGCAGAGGAAACCCAAGCAGGGCATGCCAATCATACTTAGCTGAAGAGACAGAAATCAAAGTTCAGTTGGAGGAGGTGAGGCAGCTGGAATTTGTAGGGCATTGTACCAGAGAGGAGGGCACTATGCAGTAAAAGAGTTCCAGAAATCTCTATACAGATTTCCTGGAATCTTTGGCTGAGCTGTAAATGCAGAGAAGAGACTACACAAAGCCTTGCAAAACAAACAAGTGCCAGGAAAAGAACAAATCCTGGTTGGCGGGAGGGAGTTGGCAGGAGTATCTCCATTCTGGACATTTGGGAAGAACAAGAATCCTGCTGAATATATGTTGCCAGCTGCACTTAAGTGTCAACCTTAGGAAAAGAGACTTTTGACAAAATATGGTGACTTACTGGAGACCAAAACATTGGTATTTAGTGTCCCTTTTCACTAGATACACCGCTCCCCAGGGCATTGTGAGGGAGCAGAGAGCTGCTTTTCAACCTCCACTCTCTCAAGGACCTAGAACCAATCTGGTATAAGCCCTCAAAAGTCTCTAGTTAGTCACCTTTCCTAGAAATCCAAGAACTCCCATACTCCTGCTTGAACTGTGCATCATAAATCCCATAAATGAGCCCAGACCTGAACAAACAAAAGTCAGGACTTATTTGGCTTATGGGTATCTGGTAACTTCTGCTTTAAACCTGCAGCACAAAAGCCTCTGAGGTAAAAGACCACATTACGGGGTCCCTTTTAAAAAATTTATTTTTAATGATACAGGAGGTAAATGTAATTCCAACAGCAGTAAGAACAAAATACAAATTAATGTCTCAATAAATTAATCTGCCACACTAAGTATCTATTTTATAAATTCAAACCAAATGTGCTTAATCATCAAGGGTTGTATTTAATATATTTTTTTAACATGCCATTTGTACTTCTATTTAATTGTGATGATATGAACAGGAGTTGGAAATACTGGGTAGAAGAGGGCAGTCTACACCTGTAATCCCAGCACTTTGAGAGGCCAAGGGGCACGGATCACCTGAGGTCAAGAGTTCGAGACCAGCCTGGGCAACATGGTGAAAATTTGTCTCTACTAAAAATACAAAAAATAAAAATTAGCTGGACGTGGTGCCATATGCCTGTAGTCCTAGCTACTCAAGGAGGCTGAGGCAGAAGAATCGCTTGAACCCAGGAGGCGGAGGTTGCAGTGAGCCAAGATCGTGCCACTGCACTCCACCCTGGGTGAAAGAGGGAGAATCCATCTCAAACGAAAAAAAAAAAAAGAAGAAGAAGAGGGCAGTTCCCCAGCAAAGCCCCTACTCTCAAGCCTGGACACCCGTGGCCCTAAATGAGAACAGGCATTTCTGTTTTCTCTCCCAAAAAGTTGCCTTTTGGCCTGCCATGTCCCTATCCTGTATCCCAGGCTCCAGAAAAGACCAGCAGATGAGGATATAAGACAAGCAGATGAACAGCAGAATGACACAGCAGAGAAAGAGGGAAGAGGGGGAATGTCTGAGTGCTGAGAGGAGTTCGGCTTGGGGTGGTCAGAGAGGAGTTTAGTGGCTGAATGGTCCAACTCCAAGGGAAGATCATCTTTCCACTCCATCCCCACTTCTGGCTCCCCATCCATTCCACTGAGGGCCACCTCCACCACTCAATAAAAACTCACATTCGCTTGAATTCCCAGCACTTTGGGAGGCTGAGGCAGGCAGATCATGAGGTCAGGGGTTCCAGTCCAGCCTGGCCAATATGGTGAAGCCTCATCTCTACTAAAAATACAAAAATTAGCCAGGTGTGGTGGCGCACACCTGTAATCCCAGCTACTTGGGAGGCTGAGGCAGAAGAATTGTTTGAACCCAGGAGGCGGAGATTCCAGTGAACTGAGATCATGCTACTGTACTCCATCCTGAGCAACAGAGCGAGACTGCATCTCAAAAAACAAACAAACAAACAAAAAAACCTCACATTCATCCTTCAAGTCCATGTGTAATCCAATTCTTCCAGGACAGTGGGCAAGAGCTCAGGACACAGAAAGCTGTCACTCTGGCCTTCTGCCCTTGCAAAAAGGCAGAGAGTCCACTGAACTGGTTAACACTTAAAGCCATGTGCAGACAGCAAGGCTAAGACAGCATTGTAACACTGGGGTTGCAGGCACCCACCCCTAGACACTACCACAGGGCCAGAGCCCAAAGCACTGGCCCCAGCCTCTGCACCTGCCCATCTGCATGCTCCCCTTCCTGCAAGGGGTTTGAGCAGTGATGGCAACTGAACAAGTGAGCCACAAACCTGTTCCATGTCCTGCATGGGGGATCAGGGAACTCTTCAGTTTCATGATGACAAGATGCTCTGAGAAGCCATCATTTAACCCGATGCATGCCGGTTGGCCTTCAGTTTGCTTTAATTAGTTTATCATCATGCTTAAACTGGATATGGAGATTCAAAAGGAACTAAGGTAGAACCAAGCACAGCCAAATGAAGATACCCTGTCATAATTTTACAACTTCTGAGACATCATAATTTTACAACAAAACATTGGAGATATTTTCTGGACCAAATCACAGAGAAGTAAACCCAAACAGAGCCTGGCAGTCTTCCTCAGCTGTGGAGAGAGGTCAGATTTGCAAGAGTGGGATAGCTGGATTTGTGAGGCACTGTCCCAGAGAGGAGGGAGCTACACAGAGGAAGAATTTTAGAAATCACCACAGAAATCCCCATGAGTCTTTTGGGACCAAAAGCAAACATTAAAATAAGAATAGGCACACGAAAGGCAGGAGTGCAAATACACTTAACGATAATCAGTAATGACTGTAGTCCCTCAGCTACATGCTTATCAGTTTTTGTTTAGTATTGACTGTTTTCTGTACATTAAAGGGTGAAAGAAAAAGAAACATTAAAAATGTGCTGGGTACCTTCTATGTGCAAAACTTTGAATGACAGATTTGATTTTACCATTTCAAAGAATAGAAACTAGCAAACAAGAGTCAAGATGAGTTGTTCATATCTTGCCTGCAGAAAAAATAACGTGCTTCTTTTTGTTGTAGAGCCGAGGAGTCTCCCTATGTTGCCCAAGGTGGTCTTGAACTCCTAGGCTCAAGGGATCCTCCTGCCTTGATCTCTGAAAGTGCTGGGATTATAGGCATGAGCCGCTGCACCTGGCCAACAATGAGCTTCTTAATAATTGTTTTCAATGAAGACAATGAAGGGTTGTTCTGAGGAAGATGCTCACCTGTTCTACATCTCCCCTGCAAGCAAATCTAAAGGCAAAGAGTGCAGCTCTAACCAAGTCATAAGGCATGCCTTCTTGACTCTGAGGCTGTTTAGCCACAAGAACTACCAAGGGACTCTAAGTGGGGTCCTGCTATTAGAAACATTAAATCTAGGACTGAAAATTGTCTGTTTGAAATAGTTATGTGCTCATATTAAAAAATGAGAACTGATTAGGTAAATTGGGAGAGCAAAAGGGCAAGACAATGTCTGTTATTGATGATTTTCAGATTGCTGAATTAAAATGCTTATTTCATTCGAGAAGAAGGATTTAACAGCCAAAATCACACTTAACCATGCATGAAAAGAGCCACTGTTGAAAAATGGCTGATAAAAATGATTACTCAATTTTAAAAGCCTGCATTGTTTAACGTAATTGATGCAAACTTTAGAGAACTGAGTCAGAATTTTGTAAAATGAACAAGCTCAATCCAACTAATACAAGTGCAGAGTGCCCTTTACAATTTTGAAAGTAATACTTGGGTGTAAATGACTACATTGGATTACAAGATACTTTACCACACAACTTAGAAGATCCTTTTGACATTTAGAGCAGAATGTATCAAACAGCAGGAATGGGTAAAGTGAAGGACACTAATACTTGATCTACATGTTACGCTTCACTCTTACAATGCTCTCATCACTCTTTATGCACCTTCTTCATCTACATAACCAATAAGAGTTTCATATAAGGCAGATGATGCTACTCGACATTTGGCACAGGTAGTACTTATAAATACCTTACAATTTGGCCTCCATCTATGGGATTGGTAGAAAGGGCAGATTCATATTCAAAAAGTACACTAACTCATATTAAATGTGTTCAGAGTTAGGTTCAGTATAGGTATATAAGGCATGAGTCATATAAAAAGTGAATGTATATAAAATGCTGCATAAGTTATAGGAAAATAATACAATGAAGGGTAAAATATATAAACTGAAACTATAAATAAAGATAAACTGTAATGGCCATTAATTGTTAGTGTACACTAAATTAATGTATATTTATAAATTCATATTAATAGATGTACATTAAATTCACGTGTGTATTGGGGGTAGCGGGAGATCAGACCAGAAAGGGTGCTAGCAGATTGTTGCAACTTCTTTTTGTTTAATCATAGTCTCTAGTATCTTCCTCTTTGGGGGGTAACAAATATATTTTAAAAAATCCTTTCATATTTCATTCATTCAGTGAATGAGTTTACAAAATAAAATTCTTTTCAATATGTGTTTTTAGTCTTATTCATAAGGGAAAACAAAGTAGGCAGAGAGCTTTTCAGATTTTAATTCTGTCATAATTACTTACATGTGCAAATACATAGAAAAGTTTAGTCAAACAGTTAGGCAGCTAATTGTGTTGAAAATACAACTGCATGCTCACAAAGATAATCAAGCCCCTAGGGTGTACACTTCTGTTTCAGAACTATTTTTAGGCCCTCAGGAACTTCAGCCACCTCTTGACTCCTGGAAAACAATGTCAAAATCTAACTAACTGAATGTGACCCAGCATTTATTTCAAAGCGACAACACTAAATTTGATTGCAAAGTAACAGTAAGAAATTAAAAGTTTAAAAGCCAGCAACTGTGAATGTTCAAATAGGAATGTTCCTGCTATCAATTTTCTACACATACAGTGAATAAATTGTGTTAAATAAGGAACTGATGTTCTTCACAGTAGGGAAACAACCATTTATTGCAAATCCTAAATTTGATAGGAAAATTTACTTTCTTTTCTTATTCTGTGTCAAAAAATATTTTTGGAACATTTAAAATGATCCTGAGATTGCAATTGTTTATCACTACCCATGCTAAAATAGATACATTAAGGTGTTAAGGACCTAAAGAATTTAGAAATGTCCTTCAGGGGAAAAATTCCTGAAATTTCATTGTACATGTGGCATATATTTCTTTGCCATTGTCGTTCAAATTTTGCATTCTAGAATCAATTACCCTATCAATTTTCCCTCAAAAATATTATCTCTAATCTTATTCTCTCCCTTTAAAAATCTTCAAGTGCAATTCTTAGGACCCTATAATATGATTATTAAAATTTTTTCCATTGTGTATATTGATATTTAGAAAGAGAGTGTGAAAAGAATTGTGATTGGCTTTTAAATAAATTTTCTTAAAACTGTATCATGAATAATTTGCCATAATTTACATTTTATGTGTCAATTTATAAACACTATGTATTTGTTTCTCATTTTATTATGTCACCTTGCATTATAACTAAGATGTTATCTCTGCTTGTTTCTTAACTTCAATCATTTTATGAGAGAAATACCAGTTACTTACTCAGGAAAGATGATTTGAAACATGGAAAAGAAAATTATTTCCCATGAGGGAATGTCAATAATGGGAATCTAACATCACCATTCTTTTAATATTTAATAGATAGCCATTCTTTTAATATTGACATTGTGCCATGCTAATATTATTTCAAGTGTGATCTCTGCCAAAAGGTAGGTGTCTAGGGGGTAAGAATCAATAATGACAACAATCTTTTATTTGTAGGCCTACTAAGTGTTACACATTGTGCTGACAGCTTTTAGCATATTGTATTCAATCTTGATAAGAAAGCTTCAAGGTGAGCATTATTATTGTCATGTTATAAATGGCAAAACAGGGCTTAGATCATTTTCCCAAGTTATAAACCTAGTAAGTAGCAGATGTGAGATTCAAACCTAGGGATACATCATATTTAAATGTTAGATTAAGTAGTATCAAGTGGCAGCTAAGACAAGACACCTGAGCATGCTGAAGGGTACCTAGCTGTGATGTTATTGTGCTCCTCTACCATTATAAGTCATTCTGAATCCTTGTCAATTCAACTCTTTATTTACTGGGAAAATTCTCACTTTTCCTTCTAAAATCAGTGCAGCTCAGACTTGTCCATAGAGAAGTCTTTCTTGATGATCACAGGATTTCTTTCCTGAAATCTCACGGTCCATTTTATTACTTAAGTCTGTGTATTACTCAGGTTCTCCATAGAAACAGAACCATTTTATGTGTATATAAATGAGGAATGACCCATGCAATTATGGAGGCTGAGAAGCCCACAATATGCCTTCTGCAGGCTGGAGACCCACTAAATCTGGTCGTATAATTTAACCTGCATCTGAAGGCCTGAGAACCCAGGAGAACCAATAATGTAAGTTTCAGTCCAAGGGCAGGAGAAATGTGATGAGACATTCCAGCTCAAGCAGTGAAGCAGGAAAAAGAGGGATAAATTCATACACATACACACACACACATATATACATATATATATATATATATATATACACACACACATATAAATATAATTTTTTTTTTTTGAGATGGAGTTTCACTCTTGTTGCCCAGGCTGGAGTGCAATGTCACGATCTCGGCTCACTGCAACCTCTGCCTCCGGAATTCAAGCAATTCTCCGGCCTCAGCCTCTCGAGTAGCTGGGATTACAGGTGTGTGCCATCACACTCTGCTAATTTTTGTATTATTAGTAGAGATGGGGTTTCACCATATCGGCCAGGCTGGTATCGAACCCCTGACCTCAGGTGATACACCCACCTCAGCCTCCTAAAGTGCTGGGATTACGGGGTGAGCCACGGCGCCCAGCCAAAGAGGGATGAATTCTTACTTCCTCTGCCTTTTGCTCTATTCTGGGACCTCAATAGATTGGATGATACCAATCACTTTGGCAGGGGTGATTGTGGGCCTTGCAATCTACTATACTGAGTCACTGATTCAAATGCAAATCTCAGCCAGAAGCACCCTTACAGTGTAACACCCCAAAACAATGTTTCTCCTGGGCACCCTGTGGCCTACTCAAATGAACGCATAAAATTAACTGTCACAGTCTATAATGGAGTATAACATGCGGCACTGCCTGGTACACCAGTCTTCAGCTCTGTCATTAGAAACCCTAGGGCTTGAACATGTTTCAGGGAAAAAAAAAAAAACCTACTACAAAAGTACTATCGTATGTCAAAATAAAATGAAAGAATGAACGAACAGTTGAACAATGGGCGAATGAGTGAATGTGCATCACACATAGCTGGACGAGAAAAATTTAATACTTTTTTTTCTCACAGAAATAGAGTTATATCAAATATACTTGAATAGTTTCTAGTGTTTTCAGACTGAAAAATTAATTTCAAAGAAACTTTATTTACTTTATATAATACCCTGTAAGTCATGAAGCTCAAGTAATTGGACTGTAAATTAAATTACTGAGTTACAAGGACCCATATTACAAGCTATTCCTCCTGCTGTTTTTCATCAGAAACGTTCATATGATATTGTGGAATTGAATTTTTACCATCAAATAAATATTGCATGCTTGGTTAAATGGGACATGATTCCAAGCTCAAAAAATAAAATATAGAACAGGCAATTCACTGGTCAGTTGTGAAATATGAAAAAGAAGTAAGCACATATTTCTTTTTTTTATTATACTGTAAGTTTTAGGGTACATGTGCACAAGGTAAAAGTTTGTTACATATGTATACTTGTGCCATGTTGGTGTGCTGCATCCATTAACTCGTCATTTAACATTAGGTATATCTCCTAATGCTATCCCTCCCCCCCTCTCCCCACCCCACAACAGGCCCCGGTGTGTGATGTTCCCCTTCCTGTGTCCCTGTGTTCTCATTGTTCAATTCCTACCTATGAGTGAGAACATGCAGTGTTTGGTTTTTTGTCCTTGCCATAGTTTGCTAAGAATGATGGTTTCCAGCTTCATCCATGTCCCTGCAAAGGACATGAACTCATCCTGTTTTATGGCTGCATAGTATTCCATGGTGTATATGTGCCACATTTATCTTAATCCAGTCTATCATTGTTGGACATTTGGGTTGGTTCCAAGTCTTTGCTATTGGGAATAGTGCCACAGTAAACATACGTGTGCATGTGTCTTTATAGCAGCATGTTTTATAATCCTCTGGGTATACACCCAGCAATGGGATGGCTGGGTCAAATGGTATTTCTAGTTCTAGATTCCTGAGGAATCACCACGCTGACTTCCACAATGGTTGAACTAGTTTACAGTCCCACCAACAGTGTAAAAGTGTTCCTATTCCTCCACATCCTCTCCAGCACCTGTAGTTTCCTGACTTTTTAATGATCACCATTCTAACTGGTGTGAGATGGTATCTCATTGTGGTTTTCATTTGCATTTCTCTGATGGCCAGTGATGATGAGCATTTTTTCATGTGTTTTTCGGCTGCATAAATGTCTTCTTTTGAGAAGTGTCTGTTCATATCCTTTGCCCACTTTTTGATGGGGTGGTTTGTTTTTTGCTTGTAAATTTGAGTTCTTTGAAGATTCTGGATATTAGCCCTTTGTCAGATGAGTAGATGGCAAAAATTTTCTCCCATTCTGTAGGTTGCCTGTTCACTCTGATGGTAGTTTCTTTTGCTGTGCAGAAGCTCTTTAGTTTAATTAGATCCCATTTGTCAATTTTGCTTTTGTTGCCATTGCTTTTGGTGTCTTAGACATGAAGTCCTTGCCCATACCTATGTCCTGAATGGTATTGCCTAGGTTTTCTTCTAGGGTTTTTATGGTTTTAGGTCTAACGTTTAAGTTTTTAATCAAGCTTGAATTAATTTGTGTATAAGGTGTAAGGAAGGGATCCAGTTTTAGCTTTCTACATATGGCTAGCCAGTTTTCCCAGCACCATTTATTAAATATGGACTCCTTTCCCCATTGTTTGTTTTTTTTTTTTTTTTTTTTTTTTTTTTTGAGACGGAGTTTTGCTCTGTCGCCCAGGCTGGAGTGCAGTGGCGCGATCTCGACTCACTGCAAGCTCCGCCTCCCGGGTTCACGCCATTCTCCTGCCTCAGCCTCCCGTGTAGCTGGGACTACAGGCGCGCACCACCATGCCCGGCTAATTTTTGTATTTTTAGTAGAGACGGGGTTTCACCATGTTAGCCAGGACCCATTGCTTGTTTTTGTCAGGTTTGTCAAATATCAGATAGTTGTAGATATGCAGCATTATTTCTGAGGGCTCTGTTCTGTTCCATTGGTCTATATCTTCGTTTTGGTACCAGTACCATGCTGTTTTGGTTACTGTAGCCTTGTAGTATAGTTTGAAGTCAGGTAGCGTGATGCCTCTGGCTTTGTTCTTTTGGCTTAGGATTGACTTGGCAATGCGGGCTCTTTTTTGCTTCCATATGAACTTTAAAGTAGTTTTTTCCAATTCTGTGAAGAAAGTCATTGGTAGCTTGATGGGGATGGCATTGAATCTATAAATTACCTTGGGCAGCATGGCCATTTTCACGATATTGATTCTTCCTACCCATGAGCATGGAATGTTCTTCCATTTGTTTGTATCGTCTTTTATTTGGATTCCTAGGTATTTTATTCTCTTTGAAGCAATTGTGAATGGGAGTTCACTCATGATTTGGCTCTCTGTTTGTCTGTTATTGGTGTATAAGAATGCTTGTGATTTTTGCGCATTGATTTTGTATCCTGAGACTTTGCTGAAGTTGCCTATCAGCTTAAGGAGATTGTGGGCTGAGACAATGGGGTTTTCTAGATATACAATCATGTCATCTGCAAACAGGGACAATTTGACTTCCTCTTTTCCTAATTGAATACCCTTTATTTCCTTCTCCTGCCTGATTGCCCTGGCCAGAGCTCCCAACACTATGTTGAATAGGAGTGGTGAGAGAGGGTATCCCTGTCTTGTGCCAGTTTTCAAAGGGAATGCTTCCAGTTTTTGCCCATTGAGTATGATATTGGCTGTGGGTTTGTCATAGATACCTCTTTTTATTTTGAGATAATTTATTGAGAGTTTTTAGCATGAAGGGTGTAGATTTTGTCAAAGGCCTTTTCTGCATCTATTGAGATAATCATGTGGTTTTTGTCATTGGTTCTGTTTATACACTGGATTACGTTTATTGATTTGTGTGTGTTGAACCAGCCTTTCATCCCCGGCATGAAGCCCACTTGATCATGGTGGATAAGCTTTTTGATGTGTTACTGTATTTGGTTTGCCAGTATTTTATTGAGAATTTTTGCATCGATGTTCATCAGGGATATTGGTCTAAAATTCTCTTTTTTTGTAGTGTCTCTGCCAGGCTTTGGTATCAGGATGATGCTGGCCTCATAAAATGAGTTAGGGAGGATTCCCTCTTTTTCTATTGATTCGAATAGTTTCAGAAGGAATGGTACCAGCTCCTCCTTGTACCTCTGGTAGAATTCGGCTGTGAATCCATCTGGTCCTGGACTTTTTTTGGTTGGTAAGCTATTAATTATTGCTTCAATTTCAGAGCCTGTTATTGGTCTATTCTGAAATTCAACTTCTTCCTGGTTTAGTCTTGGGAGGGTGTATGTGTCTAGGAATTTATCCATTTCTTTGAGATTTTCTAGTTTATTTGTGTAGAGGTGTTTATAGTATTCTCTGATGGTAGTTTGTATTTCTGTGGGATCGGTGGTGATATCCCCTTTATCATTTTTTATTGAATCTATTTGATTCTTCTCTCTTTTCTTCTTTATTAGTCTTGCTAGCGGCCTATCAATTTTGTTGATCTTTTAAAAAAAACCAGCTCCTGGATTCATTGATTTTTTGAAGGGTTTTTTGTGTCTCTATCTACTTCAGTTCTGCTCTGATCTTAGTTATTTCTTGCCTTCTGGTAGTTTTTGAATGTGTTTGCTCTTGCTTCTCTAGTTCTTTTCATTGTGATGTTAGGGTGTCAATTTTAGATCTTTCCTGCTTTCTCTTGTGGGCCTTTAGTGTTATAAATTTCCCTCTACACACTTCTTTGAATGTGTCCCAGAGATTCTGGTATGTTGTGTCTTTGTTCTCGTTGGTTTCAAGGAATATCTTTATTTCTGCCTTCATTTCGTTATGTACCCAGTAGTCATTCAGGAGCAGGTTGTTTAGTTTCCATGTAGTTGAGTGGTTTTGAGTGAGTTTCTTAATGCTGAGTTCGAGTTTGATTGCACTGTGGTCTGAGAGACAGTTTTTTACAATTTCTGTTCTTTTACATTTGCTGAGGAGTGCTTTACTTCCAACTATGTGGTCAATTTTGGAATAGGTGTGGTGTGGTGCTGAAAAGAATGTATATTCTGTTGATTTGAGGTGGAGAGTTCTGTAGATGTCTATTAGGTCTGCTTGGTGCAGAGCTGAGTTCAATTCCTGGATATCCTTGTTAACTTTCTGTCTCGTTGATCTGTCTAATGTTGACAGTGGGGTGTTAAAGTCTCCCATTATTATTGTGTGGGAGTCTAAGTCTCTTTGTAGGTCTCTAGGGACTTGCTTTATGAATCTGGGTGCTCCTGTATGTGGTGTATATATATTTAGGATAGTTAGCTCTTCTTGTTGAATTGATCCCTTTAACATTATGTAATGGCCGTCTTTATCTCTTTTGATCTTTGTCGGTTTAAAGTCTGTTTTATCAGAGACTAGGATTGCAACCCCTACCTTTTTTTGTTTTCCATTTGCTTGGTAGATCTTCCTCCATCCCTTTATTTTGAGCCCATGTGTGTCTCTGCATGTGAGATGGGTTTCCTGAATACAGCACACTGATGGGTCTTGAGTCTTTATCCAGTTTGCCAGTCTGTCTTTTAATTGGAGCATTTAGCCCATTTACATTTAAGGTTAAAATTGTTATGTGTGAATTTGATCCTGTCATTGTGATGTTAGCTGGTTATTTTGCTCGTTAGTTGATGTAGTTTCTTCCTAGCCTCGATAGTCTTTACAATTTGGCATGTTTTTGCAGTGGCTGGTACCGGTTGTTCCTTTCCATGTGTAGTGCTTCCTTCAGGAGCTCTGTTTGTCACCACCAGGCCTGGTGGTGACAAAATCTCTCAGTGTTTGCTTGTCTGTAAAGTATTTTATTTCTCCTTCACTTATGAAGCTTAGTTTGGCTGGATGTGAAATTCTGGGTTGAAAATTCTTTTCTTTAATAATGTTGAATATTGGCCCCCACTCTCTTCTGGCTTGTAGAGTTTCTGCCGAGAGGTCAGCTGTAAGTCTGATGGGCTTCCCTTTGTGGGTAACCCGACTTTTCTCTCTGGCTGCCCTTAACATTTTTTCCTTCATTTCAACTTTGGTGAATCTGACAATTATGTGTCTTGGAGTTGCTCTTCTCGAGGAGTATCTTTGTGGCATTCTCTGTATTTCCTGAATTTGAATGTTGGCCTGCCTTGCTAGATTGGGGAAGTTCTCCTGGATAATATCTTGCAGTGTTTTCCAACTTGGTTCCATTCTCCCCATCACTTTCAGGTACACCAATCAGACGTAGATTTGGTCTTTCACATAGTTCCATATTTCTTGGAGGCTTTGTTTGTTTCTTTTTATTCTTTTTTCTGTAAACTTCTCTTCTCGCTTCATTTTATTCATTTGATCTTACATCACTGATACCCTTTCTTCCAGTTGATCGAATCGGCTACTGAGGCTTATGCATTTGTCATGTAGTTCTCGTGCCATGGTTTTCAGCATCATCAGGTCCTTTAAGGACTTCTCTGCATTGGTTATTCTAGTTAGCCATTTGTCAAATTTTTTTTCAAGGTTTTTAACTTCTTTGCTATGGGTTCGAACTTCCTCCTTTAGCTCAGAGTAGTTTGATTGTCTGAAGCTGTCTTCTCTCAACTCGTCAAAGTCATTCTCTGTCCACCTTTGTTCCATTGCTGGTGAGGAGCTGCATTCCTTTGGAGGAGGAGAGGCACTCTGATTTTTAGTGTTTCCAGTTTTTCTGCTTTGTTTTTTCCCCATCTTTGTGGTTTTATCTACCTTTGGTCTTTGATGATGGTGACGTACAGATGGTGTTTTGGTGTGGATGTCCTTTCTGTTTGTTAGTTTTCCTTCTAACAGTCAGGACCCTCAGCTGCAGATCTGTTGGAGTTTGCTGGAGGTCCACTCCAGACCCTCTTTGCCTGGGTATCAGCAGCAGAAGCTGCAGAACAGTGGATATTGGTGAACAGCAAATGTTGCTGCCTGATTGTTCCTCTGGAAGTTTTGTCCCAGAGGAGTACCCGGCCATGTGAAGTGTCAGTCTGCCCCTACTTTGGGGTGCCTCCCAGTTAGGCTACTCGGGGGTCAGGGACCCACTTGAGGAGGTAGTCTGTCCGTTCTCAGATCTCCAGCTGCGTGCTGGGAGAACCACTACTCTCTTTAAACCTGTCAGACAGGGACATTTAAGTCTGCAGAGGTTTCTGCTGCCTTTTGTTTGGCTATGCCCTGCCCTCAGAGGTGGAGTCTACAGAGGCAGGCAGGTCTCCTTGAGCTGTGGTGGGCTCCACCCAGTTTGAGCTTCCCAGCCGCTTTGTTTACCTACTCAAGCCTGGGCAATGGCGGGGTGCCCCTCCTCCAGCCTTGCTGCTGCCTTGCAGTTTGATCTCAGCCTGCTGTGCTAGCAATGAGCGAGGCTCCGTGCTTGTAGGACCCTCCAAGACAGGTGCGGGATATAATCTCCTGGTGTGCTATTTGCTAAGACCATTGGAAAAGCGCAGTATTAGGGTGGGAGTGACCCGATTTTCCAGGTGCCGTCTGTCACCCCTTTCTTTGACTAGGAAACGGAATTCCCTGACCCCTTGTGCTTCCCGGGTGAGGCAATGCCTCACCCTGCTTCGGCTCATGCTCGGTGCACAGCACCCACTGTCCTGCACCCACTGTCCGACAATCCCCAGTGAGATGAACCTGGTACCTCAGTTGGAAATGCAGAAATCACCCATCTTCTGCATCACCCATGCTGGGAGCTGTAGACTGGAGGTGTTCCTATCCGGCCATCTTAGCTCCACCCCCAGCACATATTTCTTCTTACCTAATTTGATTACCCAAAATTTTGCCACCGTTTGTCTAGTCATTTAATAATAACTTTGGAATCTTTGCTTATGTAAAAAGAATTGCAAAGAGTTAATAACCTCTCTATCCTCCAGGAATTATTGCATAGTTTAAGACATTCCTTATTAACATCCCACAAGAATTTCCCAGTGGCCCACAATAGTCTTTCTTCACACAATATTTTTTGTAACATTGTCTATTCTATAATTCATTATTTTTATAATTTGATTATGTTTTCTAATATTCCAAAAATTTCACATCTACTTACTTTCCAATAATTTTTTTCAAAATTAAGTCCAAAATCATTCACACTGAATATAGTGCTGAGTATAAACAGGGCCTAATTAATTGGGTTGAAAAATTCTCTCATAGCTCTTATAGCAATGCTTCTCAAAGAGTGGTCCAGGGCCTCCAGGGGGGCCTTGAGAACCCATCAGAAGATCTGTAAAGTCAAACTATTTTTGTAATAATACTAAGACCTTATTTGTCTTTTTCACTGTTAGGCTCTCATGAGTTAACTGTGGATTTTTTTCCAGAGGCTGCATGAAGTGCAGTATAACAGATTGACTGCAGAAGCAGAGAGGAAAACCCAGATGTTTTCTATTGAGCCAAATCATTAAATAGATTTGGGAAATGTAAAAAAATGCTACTCTTCTCATTATTTTGTTTCTAAACATATATTTATTTTTCATAAAAATATTGTTTATGTTAACTTCTAATGGGTTTATCATAGTTATTGGAAAAATTAATTTGTAAACAAATTTTTAAAAAATATGTCAGTTTTAGTATCTAATACAGAAAATATCAATAAATTTAATCTGCATACGAAGGCTTTTTGTAGTCTTCAATAATTTTTAAGAGTGTAAAGGAGTCCTGAGACCAAAGAGTCTTAGAATTACTACTTTTAAGCATCTCAAACGGATAAGTACAGATACACTTATTTGGAAGAATAGCAACTACTATTTACTGCATTTGTCCAACCAGCTGGCCACTTTATACACATTACATCATTTAATCCTCCACAGTGCTATGAGCCAGATATTGTGCTCCTCTCTTTTTGGGAAAGAAATCTGTGGCTCAGGATGATCAGGATGTTCCTCTAAGGTGATAAGAGGAAGCACTGGACTTTGAACCAGGTCTGACTACGTTCAAACTTCAGATTCTTAATCATTACCCTGGCTCAGTCTCAAAAAAGATTTAAAAACTTGTTGCATGAGCACATGAAAAGCTGATCAACATCAAAAGTAATTAAGGCAATACAAACTAAAACCCTAATGAGATGTCATTTCATAGCCACTAAGGTGGTCATAATAAATAATCTAGACAATAATAAATATGAACAAGAATGTAAAGAAATGAAGAAACCTTATACATCACTGATGGGAATATAAAATGGTGCAGCCACTTTGGAAAACAGTATGGCAGTTCTGAAAGTGGAATATATATGTGAGTTACCACATGACCCAGCAATTTCATTCCTAGGTATCTATATAAGATAAAGATAAATGAAGCTATGCATAGCCTAGGTATCCATAGCTAAGACAAATAAAGTATATGTTCATGTAAAGACTTGTAGAGAAATGTTGATAACAGCATTATTTATAAGAGCCTAAAAATAGAAATAACCCTAAATGTTCATCAGTTTAAGAATAGATAACATAAAATGTGGTATATCTGCACAATGGACTATTATTCAGCCATAAAAAGGAATGAAGTTTTGATATATGCTACACCAAGGATGGACCTCAAAACATTTTGCTAAGTGAGAGACGCCAGTCACAAAGGACCACATGTTGCATAATTCGATTATATAAGATGTCATAGAAAGGCAAATTTAAACTCACCAAAAGTAGATAATTGGTTGCCTGGGCCTGGAGGTCGGAAGGATTAATAGCAAATAGACATAAGAGTTCTTATTGTGGTCATGAAAATGCTCAAAAACTGACTTATGGTGATAGTTGCACAGCTCAGTAAATATACTAAACATCACTAACTTTTATTCTTGAAATGGGTGAATATGATACACAGAATAAGCCTCAAAAAGTGCTTAGGCCATTTGGAAAGATCTCTTTTTAACAGTTACTGAAGGAACATACAGTAGTTAAAGAAATAACATAGTAATTAAGTGATAGTAAAGAAAAAGCTGAAAACTTGGTGACTGAAAGCTTAATAGAGATTAGGGAGTCAGTGCAAGAATAAGATCAACACAGAATAAACAGGGGAATGAAAACCTAAAGAGAAAAGAGCAAGGAAGGATGAGACAAAGATCAGGGAGGCAGGTTGTTAACTGTGATTTCACAGTTCTAAAAGGAAGTTGGAACTGAGCAGATTAGAACAGTCTTTGTCCAAAGCAATGTGAAAATAGACATCAAGACCCTTAATTTTTCTTTCCTTTGACCCAAGGATTTATACTGTGAAAATTTATCCTAAGGAAATTATCTTAACTACAGAAGAAAATGTTACGCATGAAATAATTTTAAAAAATAAATCCTTGCCATTGTTTACAGTGTAAAAACTAAAGAATACCTAAATTCTTTAAGAAAAATAGTGAAGTAAATCACTACATTCACATAGTGAACTATTAAACAATAATTAAATTGATGTTACCAATGAGATTGTGTTCAGTATCTTCATCTGTAAAGGCGATAATATTAGCATCTAGCTCTACCAACAAAAATCTATGTATTTTTTGTTGAGAGAATTAAATGTAGCTAACACATATGAAACATGTGCATTCTTAAACACAGTGAGCAACACATGGTAAGCGATTATTTAAAATTAATCTCTGTTATTAATTGACAGAAACTGACACATGGGAGAATCAATAAGGGATTAGAGTAAAACAATTTAGCTAGCTATTAAAAGAACAATAATTTTTAAATCATTTATTTATTCCAAAGCAAAGGAGAGAAAAATATGGTACTTTTGTGAATATCTAAATCAAACTTTAATTTCTATATTATAAACATAAAAGTCTGATTGTTAAATCTTAGAAATCTTTCATAAATCAGCAGAGGTAATAGGTTCACCAATTATGAAATTTCTTCTTTGAGAAGATTAAAAGAAGAAATTGGGAAAGAGAAATAAACAATTATAAGCTAAAATAAAAAGATAGATAAAGACAGTAAAGGAAAGATTTTAAAAGCTCAGCCAGGGTTAATTCTTATGTCCTACTTGGTTTCCTAACCCCCAAATTCCTTTTATTTCTACAGACAGGGTTACAGATAGTTCCTGCTACTTGAGTGCCGTCTAATGTCCCAATTCCTATCTTTCCTGTAGTGAAAAGGGAATTTTAAAAATCAGTTCTCAGAAGGGTCAGAGTTGATTTAATCTTATTCATAATCCAGCTCTGACCTTGTGTTAATTCTAGTAACTAGACTTCTGGTTTACCTATGAGATTAAGTCACCATTTTCTACTTCATTTCAATAATTGAATTCTTTATTGTCAGATTTCTTGAGTGGCTCCCTGCTTCTAATACCCATAATTTGCTGGATTTATCTTGCTAGAATCCCATGGATCTCATCTTTGAAATACAGCCGAGTGGATGGAGCCTTGCAGACATCCCTCATGCATGATACTTATTTGACTTCATAATTAATAATACATGTACTAATGTTACCCAGGATTGTACACACCTGTTACATATTAATAAAAAAGGACAGGGTTATATTTGTGGGTCTTGGTTGACACTTAGAGCTTGCCTAAATTGTCATCTCTTGCCTGTCACCATATACTCAAGAAACTCAACTTCCCTTGCCTGACTAGCTTTCTTGACTTACAATATAGGTTGTTACATCTCCAAAACAATACTTATAGCATCCAAAAAGTCACATTCAGTATAAAAAGTGTCAACTCTACTACTGAATTTTTCCATTGCAGATACCAATTCTATGTCAAGTTCCAGAGATAAAAATTGAGAATCAGAGAGTCAGAGAGGTCAAGGAGACACAGCTAATCCCTTGGGTGGTTATACCTAAAAACCTAAAATCTAAACTCTAATTTAGAGATGGTAGAGCTGTTTGTTTGTTTTACGTACTCCACTAGACAGATAGTATAGAGTGTATATATGTTTAGAAATTTTCTATATTTGTTTTAAATATTACTATGTCTGAAGACAGGAAGGAGCCTATACTATTTACATGATTCTATTCTAATAAGATTCATTACTACTAACCCTATTTAACAGTTATTAAGCAATTGCAGTAATTATGGTTATTCATATTTCAATACATGAAATATTATTAAAGATAGTGTCTTAAATAATATCTCATATTTATCATTTGATGAGAAATTTTAAATACATTATTAGATTTAATTTTCGTAACCATCCTGAGAGATATACGGATGAGATATTCTTACCCCTGTTTAATAGATAAATAAAATGTGGCGAAAAAAAGGTGAAGTAATATCCAAAGGTAACATTATTTTTATTTTAGGTATAATTTGAACTCAGATCTGCAGACTCGATATATAGTGTTGGTAGTAAAAATTATGCTCCTGTCTCTATAATGTATTTTTAATGGAATTTTAGAAGTTAGCATTATGCTAAATGGAATCAGATTAAGAAACATACCTCTGTCTAACATTGAAACAGACTCCAAATGTCTTTATAATGGGCAAGTGGATACAGATTAAGTGCCATGAACTATCATCATCCTAAGAGTCTTACTTCCTTTCATGGTGATTGTCAGGGATGCTTTTCTGAGATTCAAATATTCTCATGGATGAGTTAAAAGAAGATGAAACAAGATGATAAAACCAGTCTCTTTTCAAGAAACCATAAACATGTTAGCAACCATCAAATTTCTTTACGCCCTCATTCTAGTAAATTATAAGCTATCAAAACTGCACACGTTCTGAAAGTTTACTAAATGCAAATAAAATAGTCTCTTTGCCATGCTGTAACTTGAGATAATAAAGGACTTAAATAAATTCAGTGAAAGCAAAACCCCATATGTTTGGGTGTCAGAGGCTACTTTGACTAAGCTCATTTCAAATTATAACATCAGCAAAATTAAGCTATTAAAACTACAAATAAAAGAGTATTTTTAGTTCTAAGAAGAAATAGGACTAATTGGATACACATATGCCTCCTAGGCTGTATATCTTAAATGTGAGGCTCATCAGTAGTTATTATTAAAGTTGGCAGAAATAATGGACATAGTAAATTGTACTTTAGATTTTTCTTTATGCACAATTGCTTGGTGTTATCTTCTTAATTGAGTCACAGAATAAAATCTAAGAAAACAGATGTAAACACACAGACATTAAAATGCATCACTACTTTTGCCTTTACCTTTTCATATTGGTTTTCGAAGTGATGCATGGTTAAATGAACCTAATTTGAGAGAAATTTGGAGATGGCCGCTGAGTCTGTGTGCTGGTCAGGGGGTTGCTTTCTACTGTTGATATTATTCTTTGCGTATTAACCTCAGAAGGGGAACAATATATGGAAATGGGATAGAAAGTCTTCAGAAACCACAGTAGGAAGATTAATATTCATAGCACATTTATGAAGTAGGCATCATTATGTGTGTGTGTGTATATATATATATATATTCACATATATATAATTTTTGAAAAATTATTTTACAGATAATGAGTTTGAGATACAAGGATGGTTTATAACTTACACAAGATCACACAGATTTCAATATTCTAATTCTAATTCAATTTTTTCTAATTCTTAGTTGCATGTGTTAGTCCTTATCTAGGTCTTAGAAAATTACACTTCTTTTTTGCAATAGTCCAAATAGTCTAAACCGTACTTAGCATTTAGTGTTCAACCAAGTTTCTTGACTATGTCAGTAAAATGTGCTGGCTTTAAACGCTGGGATCATGTCATCATCACTGTTTCCTCAGAGCCCAACAAAATGCCTGGCACATATCAGGAACTTCATAAAGAGCATTAAATGAATAGATAATTGAGGACATGAAAAATACATCCATTTATTCATTTAGAAAACTGTGTGTATTTATAAATGACAGCATTCCAAGTCACACATATTTAAACTTATGAAATTTCTAGATGGTTTAAATTTATAATTAATGTAAAAATGAGGAAGGACAGAGAAAACATTCTTTGTATGCAAATATTATTATCTTCTACATAGTCAATAAGATTTTAGAAAACAATGTTGCATAGAACATATGAAATATCAATTGCTTACTATTATTGTCAATAAAGGAGAGCTTCTCTTATATAACATTCATTATAAACATCTGTGTGTAAGGAAAGAAATTAGTTTTGTGCTATAAATATTGGTCATATAATTCATTAATTCCTTCATTTATTCACTAAGAGGAATGGACTACTTTAGGTAATGTTGTAATATAAGCCACATCACAGGATCCTTTATTTCTCTTCTTCAATATTCTGAATTTATTCCTTAATATTCAATAATTTTTGGAAGATATTATCTTTGTCGTATTATTTGTTCAATGACAACTATATGTAAAGAATTATTTGGAATATTTGCTGATTGAAAACTATGTGCAAAGGGCAGTAAGAATCTTTTCATTGTTTTATTTAATTCTCAACAAATATAACATGAGGTCACCATTTCACATATATGAATACTGAAGTTCAGAAAGTTTAAGCACTTTGCCTAAAGATGCAAAACCAGTCATTGGCAGAGTTTAAAGTCTCTGGCACATTGACAAGCCCTCTCAATGTGGAGAAAAAGGAACTCATAAGCTGTTGGTGGGAACGTAAACTAGTACAGCCACTATGGAGAAGGGTATGGAAGTTCCTCAAAAAGCTACAAATAGGACCCCAATATGATCCAGCAATCCTGGTACTGGTAATTTATCCAAAAGAAATTAAATCATTATATCAAAGAGACACCTGCACTCTCATGTTTATTGTGTCATTAATCACAACAGGCAAGACATGAAATCAACCTAGGTGTCTAACAACAGATGAATGAATAAAGAAAATGTGACACATATACACAATGGAATACTATTTAGCCATAAAAAGAATGAAATCCTGTCTTTCACAGTGGATAGAATTGGAGGATTAGGACATTATGTTGCGTGAAATAAGCCAAGAACAAAAAGTTAAACACCACACTTTCTTACTCAAATGTGGAAGTTAAAAAAAAAAAGTTGATCTCATAGAAGTAAAAGAACAGAGGATACTGGGGCTGGGAAAGGTCAGGGGAAGGGAGTGATAGGGAGAGATTTATTAGAGGATACAAAATTCCAGCTAGATAGGAGGAGTAAGTTCTAGTGCTCTATACCACTCTAGGATGACTCTAGTTAACAATAATATATAGTTTCAAATAGCTAGAAGTGGATATTTAATGTTCCCAACACAAAGAAACGATAAATCTTTGAGATGATGGATATGCTAATTACCCTGTGCATTACTATACATTATATGTATCGAATCATCACTATGTACTCATAAGTATGTGCAATTATTATTTGTCAATTAAATAAATTTAAAAAGACAAGCCCTCTCAATCTTCAAATTCTATAATTTTTACTCTTCCTCTAAATCTCTATAAAATTGATTGTAGGCTGGGCATAGGGGCTCATGCCTGTAATCTGAGCACTTTGGGAGGGTGAGACTGGCAGATCACCTGAGGTCAGGAGTTCGAGATCAGCTTGACCAACATGGTGAAACCCTGTCTCTACTAAAAATACAAAAATTAACCAGACGTGGTGGCGGTTGCCTGTAATCCTAGCTACTCAGGAGGCTGAGGCAGGAGAATCACTTGAACCCCAGAGGCAGAGGTTGTAGTGAGCCGAGATCGCACCATTGCACTCCAGCCTGGGGGACAGGGCGAGACTCCATCTCAAAAAAAAAAAAAATTGACTGCAATGTGTTTTTGTTGTTGTTGTTGTTTGTTTGTTTGAGAAAGAGTCTCGCTCTTGTCACCCAGGCTGGAGTGCAGTGGCGTGATCTCAGCTCACTGCAACCTCCGTCTCCCGGGTTCAAACGATTCTCCTGCCTCAGCCTCCTGAGTAGCTGGGATTACAGGCATGTGCCACCATGCCCGGCTCATTTTTGTATTTGTAGTAGAGACAGGGTTTCACTATATTGGCCAGGCTGGTCTCGAACTCCTGACCTCAGGTGATCCGTCGGCTTTGGCCAACCAAAGTGCTGGGATTACAGGTGTGAGCCACTGGGCCCAGCCTGTAGTGTGTATTTTTGTATGTTTCTAATTTTAAAAATCAAAAATTGAAATTCCTGCCACTGTTTACTTAAATAAACCTAAATTAGATACCACTACCCTTATGATCTAAAGTCTTCTCTCTATGGTCCCAAACAGTCTCTTTATGAAAGTTTATGATTTCTATAGAAGGAAACATCCTTCAGACGAACTGACCAATGGTACTGGCAATAGAGGCATCTGATTTAGAAAGCCAGTTGGTATAAATATGGCCTTATCATATTCCTGCCTTCCTGGTTCTAGAATCCCCAGTGTATACAAATCTAAACATGAATGCTTTCTTGCCCACAAGTATAAAGCAAAAAATGTTTCCTTTCTGGAACCTAAAGGTATACAAAAATTCTAGTCCTTCATTAACTATATTTAATTTAATAATTAAGGAAACATATTAAAAAGCTAAGCCACAGGTAATTTCAAAATAGGGGAGAGTAAAACTCAGGAAAGAGAGGAGCAAGACTTATCTTTATTAAAGGTTTATCATAAATTAGAAAAAATATGGCATAGTCTTTATATTTTCAGGCATAGAAATTTTGCCGGCATTCTGAACTACAAATGCTGCTGTTAAGATAATTTTGTCACTAAACAACAATATGTGATGGGAACAAAGCAAGATGCCAGGAGATACAATAAAGGCTAGAATGTAGTTTATAGCAAATTTGGCCCACTGCAGTGGAATTGGTAAATGGCTTCTGGAAAATGTATAGCATCATAAAAAACCCCAAAGCCATGTTTCCTCTGAAAAATGTTAAACAAAGGTTTCAAACATAAAAATGCTCATTTCCATATTGATTTTGATGACCAGCGTTAAATCAGGCAGTGTGAATGGCTGATGGACTCTGCTCCTCTGTGTCATTATTCTACCATTTCATTCTGAAGGGAATTACTGTATAGATGGCAGTTTGAAACAATTTTCAAGCCTCTAGATAGAGGGTTTTATTTTTTTTCTCTAAATAAATGTAAACAATTCTTTTCTGAGAATAACTGTACCCAAAGAAGGTGGAAACTTGGGAATTCAGTATGATTTTAAAGAATAAAGGTGTTATTTCACTTGGGTAAGTATTATTTGGTTGAATTCTTCATGATATAGCAAAATAATTTTTGAAAAGTCCCTTTTTATAATGACAAGCTATGCATACATTTCTGAAAGCAGCAGAAAGTTTCTGAATCATCTTGAAATATCCCACATCTGAAATAATGGCGTGGTGGCTCACACCTGTAATCCCAGCACTTTGGGAGGCCAAGGCGGGTGGATCACCTGAGGTCAGGAGTTTGAGACCAGCCTGACCAGTATGGTGAAACCCCGTTCTCTACTAAAAATACAAAACTTAGCTGGGAGTGGTGGTGTGCACCTATAGTCCCAGCTACTGGGGAGGCCGAGACAGGAGAATTGCTTGAATCTGGGAGACAGAGGTTGCAGTGAGCCGAGATCGCACCACTGCACTCCAGCCTGGGCAACAGAGAGAGACTCCATCTCAAAAAAAAAAAAAAAAAAAAGAATATTTAGTTGGAAACCATTGCCTTCTGTTCTCATGTTAGAAAGAATGTGGAATACATCCTCCAATTTGTTGTAATATAGGAAATTAAATTGAATAGTAAGTATGTGTGTGTGTATATATATATATATATATATATATATATATATATAGAGAGAGAGAGAGAGAGAGAGAGAGAGAGAGAGAGAGAGAAAGAGAGACAGAGACAGAGTCTTGCCCTGTCACCAGGCTGGAGTGGAGTGGCATGATCTCGGCTCACTGCAACCCACGCCTCCTGAGTTCAAGCAATTATCCTGCGTCAGCCTCCTGAGTAGCTGGGACTACACACATGCACCACCATGCTCGGCTAAGTTTTGTATTTTTAGTAAAGACGGGGCTTCACCATGTTGGCCTGGATGGTCTTGATCTTTTGACCTCGTGATCTGCCTGCCTCGGCCTCCCAAAGTGTTGGGATTACAGGCGTGAGCCACCGCACCTGGCCAAATAGTAAATATATTCATAACAATTAAAAACACTTGTTTGGTAACTGCTCTCACAACATAAATTTTGTATGACCAGTAATGACTGGATTAGAGACTTTTGCTTGCAGCTATATGGTAGGATAGACAATTCTAATTACTTGATCCTAATAACTTACTTAATTACCTAATAACTTACATGAAACGTTATTTTTATCACATTTCTGGGCTCTCAGTAAGTAAAGAGACTCATTGAAGGTGTTAGGTTGGGGAAAGAGTTGTAACCAAGTGTGAAAGACATTGGGCATCTAGACTTGAGTGGAAAAATTGAGGTGATGAGATTAAGAATCTTGATTATACTTGGGACCCTGGAATGGGGCTAATGTGGTCTGAGATCTGCAGATGTGAATATAAATCTTCGGTAGAAAAAAAAAATGCCTCACAAAAAGCAGCAAACAACAAATATCAGATTTACATCCTGAAAAAAATTCATGTACTAGAGTGATCTAATATAGTATTTCTCTTTCTTTGTCTATAGATAGAGATATGGAATCATAAAATCAGAAAACAAAAATAATCATCAGGCAAATTCAATAAATAGTAGAAAAAAATATACATGTCATTTCCTATGGGCCAAACATTTTATAAGTTTCAATACATTAAATGATTTAATTCTCTAGTTATTGTCTAAGGTAATAACAATTTCCATATTTCCATTTTATTTATGAAAAGATTGAAATTAAAGGAAGTTTTATGTCTTATTAAGAGCCAAACAGGCTGGATGCCATGGCTCACACCTGTAATCCAAGCACTTTGGGAGGCCAAGGCGGGAAGATTGCTTGAGGCCAGGAGTTCAAGACCAGCTGGGGCAAGATTTTTGTGAGATTCCGTCTCTACAAAACATTTTAAAAATGAGTCAGGTATGGTGGCCACATCTGCGGTTCCAGCTATTCAGGAGGCTTAGGTAGGAGGATTGCTTGAGCCCAGAAGGTAGAGGCCACAGTAAGCTGTGATCCTGCCACTGTACTCTTGCCTGAGTGACAGAGTGAGAACCTATCTTAAAAAAAAAAGCAGACAGCAAGAATCTACCAAATATCTAAAATTGAAGAAATATATATGTTTAAAAAAAGTTAACAAATGGATGAATCATCATATCATACACAACTGAAGAAAAGATTAGTGAATTGGAAAAGTTATCTGCAGAAATTATCTGGATTACAGTACAGTGAAACAAAGGCCTGGAAATACATAAATCTGAATAAAGAATATGGTGGATAGAATGAGACTACCCATCATGTATACTGTCACATGCTCAGGACGAGATAATCGAGATAATAGAATAAATGACATATTTGAATAGAAAATAGCTAGGAACTTTCTGAAACTTGTTAGAGACATGAGTTCACAAACAGGAGGCAATGATATATACCTCCAAAACAGTATAAATAAAAATGAATCCGCACTTAGACACACCTTAGTGAAACTACAGAATAACAAAGACAAAAAACAACCTTAAGAATACTAAGAATACCAAATCATGAAAGACAATCAGGTTGGCATCAGATTCAGAAAGGAATCCTGACTCTTAAGCCTCTTCTCTTCCTGTCTACTCTTTCTTCAGTCTTTCTTGCAAAAATGAAACACAATAACTTCATCTTAGATAAAATATGATGTTAGCATTAATTAGTCTATATATTTTTATCAGTCTTAGAATAGTGGCTAAAAGAACAGGCTTTGAACAGCAGATTTGCATTTTGCTATCAACCCTATAATTTAATTAGCCGATTATTAGCTTAAATATAATCAATTCACATAATCCCACTGAGACTCCATTTCCTCATCTGTACAATGCATATTATTCCATGTACTGCATAGTATGGTTGTGGGATTGAGTGTGATAATGTATATACAATTTAGCATTCTTCTTGGAATGTATAAAACAATACAGGGAAACTATCAGGTTGAATCATATGAAATTATCTTGTAGGTCAAAAAAGTTGAATATCAGTCATTTCACTTGGGTCAACTTAATAGTAAATTGTGGTTTCAAGTTGAGAAAGAATCAAGTTTACTTTTAAATTCATATACAAAAAGAGACATACATTTTAATAAGGAAAAGAAGCTAGTTTACAATCAATCTTGCCTCCTACACCATTATAGTCTGTAGGTTTTACTCTACGAGTGTCCGCTTGTTGATGATGTGATGTAATCTACCAGAATCTGACTTGAATAGAATATTTAATAAGTTGATAATCATATAACTACTTTTATGATTAGACCATGTATTGGCTGCTCAAATAACAAAATTTCCTGGTGCTTCTACTGGTACCAGGGGATTTATGGTTTAGGCATAAGATTTAGGCTTGCATTTTATTGTGACTATTCTAAATATTTCTCTGATGTGTCAGGTAGTCCTTTAAGGTGGCCACCATGACCCTTTCTTCCTGAGTTTGTGACTTGTTTGTAACAAACAGAAAACGGAAAAGTTGATGGGATATATTTGATTACATGTTCGTTACTTCACAATTCGTTACATAAGATTATATTTCTTGTCCTGATGGAGTCTCTCTCTTCCTTGATGGCATTCAGAAGACAAGCAACTTTGTTGGGGAAATCATACAGCAAAACCTGTGGGCAGCCTCTAGGAGCTGACAGTGGCTTTTGGCAGATACAAAGAAGAAACTGAAGCCCTCACTCCTACAACCACAGGGAACTGAATTCCGCCAACAACCTGAATGAGCTTGAAAAAGCCTCAAATGAATCCACAGCCCTGTCTGACACCTTGATTGCTTTCTAAGACTCCAATCAGAGAACACAACTCCAATCAGAGGACACAGTAAGCCATGCCTGGATTTCTGACACACAAAAACCCACATGTGAGTATTGTTTTAAGCTGAGAACTTTGTTGAAATATTAATAGGCAACAATGATTAACAAATATACCTGGAAAATAAAGAGCTATCATCAGAGAGTGGCTCATGAAGGAAAAGAAAAAGCAGGTTATTCTTTCCAAAGCCATTCACAAATTTCACAACTACGCTAACTTTTCTATTTTGAAACAGTTGCAATCTTAAGAAAATTGAATTATCAGGATGATCTTTAAAAGTAATCATTTCCATGAGAAAAATACCCAAAGAGATTCAAAATCCAGAGAGTATGACATGTGCAGTAACAAGTTTGAGAGTTTTTTTTGTACAAGAATAATGTTGAAATAAGGTGGTTTTATGGTCATAAGTACAGTTTTTAAACTGCAACTTTACCATTAAATGGCTTAATCAAAACTAACCAAAACAAATATACTCATCATTTACTCTTCAGAATATCACATACCTAGCTTCTCAGTCACCCCATCACCAATGGCTTTGATCCTGCAGTTTTCTTTAGAGGCAGTTTACAGAGCCAAAGAAAAACAAATGAGTGGACCATTACTAATACTCTTCAACTGCACAGGAATCACATTTCCTCTATTATAGCAACGTAACACATTGGTGATATAAAGTTATATCATTCAGTGTAAAGGATTATTCTGTGATTTTTAGTATATATTGTTCTAGATAGCAGGCATAAATTGGGTACTTTGTTGAGAATCTGCTGCCCAAGTTAACTGCAATATCCTCTTTCGTTAAATACTTCAAAGTGTCTTAATTGGCTCTTCTGTGAACATTCTGGGCTACTCACTGAAAGACACATAAGACTATACATGGAAGCAAGAATCTTAGAGGAAGCATTCAGGACAGAGAAGGGAAAGGAAGCTTGCTTTTTGCTGTCACTGCCTAGGCAAATGATAGAGCTTCAATTTGCTCTGAGAAAGAGAAATTTTGATTATACTTTTTAGCATTTGTCCACAAACAAGAAGCAAAACTTAGAAATATGTTCTTTTCCCAATCAAAAATAGAATGTTGAACGAATTTATCTGAGTAAGGGCAAGAGATACATTTCCTGACTCCATAGTCAATGAACACAAAATAAATCAAAACGTAGCTCCAGAAAAAAAAAATTGGGGAAGAAATTCCCACATCTTATTGAAAAATGATGGGAAATTGGAAAGGGGCTCCTGAAAAAAAAAAAAGCCTGGAGAAATTGCTGAAGGGTCAATTGGGAAAATGCTTATTTTCCTCTTATTTCAGGGCAACACATGACAGAATCAATGTCATCTCAAGAGATTCCAGTAGCTGAATGGTTTATTTACATATTAAACACAAGTTGGAGGAATGAGTTTGGTCTTTGAGTATCCTGAATTTTACACTATTTACACATCCCCTCTTGAGGTTTTACTTAGTGTACTGTAAAGGCAAACAAAGCCTTGTCTATCCACAGAAGGACTCCTCCAGATCCTATGGGAAAGATCCAAGAGCTTTGTTAAACACCAAATAGTCTTTAAATAACAATCTTCTGATAACTTGATAGTAAACAGCCATACTTTAGTGATTTCCTAGTAAACATAAATTAATATACTATATCAGATTATTTGGAAAGATCATTATTTTCTTTGAAAATAAAACAAAAACAAAAACAAAAGTCTGTAATTTTGTGCACAGACCCAACAATCTCATTTCCCATTTATGACAGAATTCAGTGAATCATGCTTCTACAACACATTCTGCTTCAGGGCACACATCTAAAAATTAATCTTTCTGAGGATACAGTAATCATGACCACTCCGGTGTCAATTACTGTGTATGGAGAATGTACTATGTGCCAAGTGCTCTGCTATTTCATTCAATATGTAGAAGGTTATTACAACAACCCATGAGGTTGCTGTAAGTATTTCCTCTAATTTTTCAGATAAGAAGACTTGGGCTGAGAGAAGTTAAATAACTTACCTACAATATCAGAATAAAGTTGGGATTTGAATGCAGACAATCTGATTCCTGAGTACCATTGTTAAATAGCAGATATTAAAAAAAATGTGAGTCAGTGTTAGAAACTGAATAATATCATCTTACATTTATTCAGGAACATTTAACAATATGATTGCTTAATGAGATTCATAATTTTACTGCAATCAAATGCTGCAAAACTCAACTCCTGAATTAGATTTACGGTATGCTGCAAGTAGATGGTTAAAAACATGATCACATTGTAGATATTTACAAAAATAAATGAATAAAAATAAAAATTTGCACTATCATGTTTAGTAGCATGGAGAATTTGGTATGGGAAGGTCAAGACAACTTCCTAGTTTGATGAGTTTTGTAAGATATTTCCTAATTAAGTGTGTGAAATTTTCATCATGTAATATTAAAGATCTCTCATATACAATTCTGCACAAAAAGAGGTCTGAAAATCTGAATTATTTTATAGTACAAATAACACAAATGTAGTTGAAATTAGCAAATGTTTAGTGACTATTATATGCCATTAAGTATATCAATTTCACATGCATCCAAACTTTAATTTTACTGTCCAGGAGGTGACAATATATAATAATAAAAATAATAATAATTTTAAGAGTCATGAAGTAAGTACTATATGCCAGAATGAAAGGGAGAAGCACTAAAGAGATGGAAGATTTCATTCTGACTTAGTTAAGATGGATTCCTAGAGCAGATGTCACTTGGATGGGTTTTTAAATAGTAGAATTTCAACAAGCAAGCAAGAAGGTATCAAATGGAAGGAATATTTCATTATACTTAGTAGGTAACAAGGCCCCAGCAGTCAGACTGAAGACTCAAACATACATGGGCTCTTTGGGGCTACCCTCCCTCCTTGTATCTCATTTCATAAATTGATTTTCAGGCAGAGCCTCTTTAGTGGGGAAGGAACATACACAATGAACTATTGTGATCAAAACATAGACAAATGTGCATGACAAATTGGTAGAGATAGGAGGAACCAAATATTGAAGGAAGATAGAGATAGTTTTCCAAGAACATTCATAATAAAGGAAGAGGACTAGCAGTAGGAAGCAAATACAACAAATGGGGTCTGAAAGATGAAGGAAAACAGTGGTTCTCAGCACTGCATTGCGATAGGGCCTTGAACTCAGCTAAACCCATCTAGCCTAACACCATTGTATACTTTGGAGTGAAAAAGGGCTGTATAATAAATTGTGTCATTAAATGTGGCCAATAATCCTATCATGAAATTCCCCTAATTGGCACAGAGACTCTCACTTCTTAAGGTGCCATTGAGTTGTTTTAACTGTGAACATAGGGATGAAATGAAAAGAGAGAAGCAAATCACGTAAAGATACTTAACAATATAATTCCATTTTATAAATCTCAAAAATGTACAGCTACATTAGATATTATGCACTATATTCTTATCTGGCAAAACTATTTTTAAAAGAAATAACAAACAAACAAAAGCACTCATTAGTGGTTATCTTGGGGAGGCAGACTGTGGTGAAGCAGGAAGAGGAGGTCATCAACGAGGGGCACTAAAGGGGCTTCCAAAAATGAAGCAAGTTTTATTTCTCAAGCTGAGCCATAGGTAAATGGGTGATTATTTTATTATCATTATGTAATCTTTCATGTATGATATATTTCATCATAAATAAATATTGATTTTAAAGGTAGCCGGTTTTATCTTTAAATGATATATATATGCTTCTCTAATTTTGTGTCCTACTTTTTATTCCTGTATAATATACTCTGAAAACTTTCCAATTTCATTAAAAATTCCTCAGTAAAGCATTTTTAATGTTTGGAACAAAATCTATTAAAATAGAATAGATTCATGATATATATTGTTGGGTACTTTCCTAATTTTCATTGCTACAGTATCAGATTCATTTCCATTATAAAACCAGTGACTGCTTCAGGGCCCACAGAAATGGGCACAATTGTAAATTCAGTAGGCTCAAATATATATTTTTAAAAGGCTATGTTTGTACATCTTTCTTAGCCTGTTGGATGCGCAGCTCACTGTGTTGAGGCAGACATCTGTTGGTATGCACAAAAATAAAATATTGTTGTCTTGTTTTTGTATTTTTCATATCCAGAGAATCAAGTCATAGCTTTTGCCTGAGGGAGAACCTCAAGAAAAATGAACTAGTGTGACGTGTGTTTCTGCCAAGCAGAAAAGAACATGGAAGTAAACTTATCTACATAAATTAGGTCAGACAGCTGGTCCGAGTCTGCCCACTCAGCCTGCTAGGGGAGCAACCAAGCAAAAGTTAAGATTGCCAATTTGTTTCATTTTGTTTCCCTCTGGATTTCAGGAGTTGATGTAGAAAAAAAAATCAGGAAGGAGGAACTGGAGATTAATCAACCCAGGGATAGTTTTTGTAACAGGGGAAAGGGATCGCTGAGATAAATCTAGGGAGATGAAAACTGGGTTTAGAATATTTGAGGAGGCTTTTTGTTTTGTTTCACTATGCAAATGGGGAAAGAGTAAAAAAAAAAAAATTAAAAACACACAAAATCTCAAAAATGTGAATAGTGAGGAAAAATAATCATCCATATGGGAGTATCCGTGACATTTGTAAAAATTCCGTGAACACGGCCAGACGCAGCGGCTCACGCCTGTAATCCCAGCAGTTTGGGAAGCCAAGGCAGGCAGATAGCCTGATGTCAGGAGGTCGAGACCAGCCTGGCCAACATGGCAAAACCCCGTCTCTACTAAAGACACAAACAATTAGCTGGGCATGGTGGCGGGCGCCTGTAATCCCAGCTACTTGGGAGGCTGAGGCAGGGAGAATCGCTTGAACCCGGGAGGTGGAGGTTGCAGTGAGCTGAGATGGCACCATTGCCCTCCAGCCTGGGCAACAAAGTGAGACTCCATCTCAAAAATAAAAAAAAAAAGTCTATGAACACTAAAAAAAAAAATAAGAGTCCCTTGTTAGTCTGTGTCTAAAAAAGAAACTAGCACTGGCTCTTGAAACAACATCAAGGTATCAAGCTCTGCTTCCTTCTGTCTCATAAAGCACATTGTTCTGAACTACCTTGAGATATCAAAAATGTGTCCAAAAACAGTTGAAAATCTGAATTATTATAACTAAAGGGTTATCAGGCTCAAAGGAACCTGAGTTTGAGGGTGGGTCATCTATTTGCAACAAAATATTTAGAAGTAGTTGAGAATCTGTCTTTTAGAGTAAGTGGATCGTTGAAAATGCCTCCTCTTTTTGCCATCCTCTTCACTTGGGTAACGTCCTTAGCCTTTTTGGATTTAGGCTTTCACTTCATGTGCCCTGGGAAGTCATTCTAGACCTCATTCCATTAGGACCTAGACATCCATTACTCTAAGTCTGTCACTGTGGGCTCTCTCTTCCCGAACTAACTGTGAGCTCCTGAAGAATACATACTTTGTACATCATAGCATCTCACCACCCAGCATAGTGCCTGATGCATAATAATATTTGTTGAATGAAAAATCACTGAAATAGAAAGCATATGTATAAAAATGTTAGTTCTAGTGTACTGGGATTCAAAGGATCATCATGATCTACACTTATCAGTCTTAACTTGGAATTACCAGAAAGATAGGCTCAGACATCTGCAACTAATATTATTTTTAAAGAATAATCAAATATTCAGACAGGCCAGGCAGGAATACACACGCTAGACAGGCTTAATTCTGGTGTGGCGTTCATCATCAAACATACCTGAGAGTCATGACAAAGTGAGTTTGGTTAAGTAGATATACGATTTAAAAGAAATACAACTTAACTGAGAGCTCATTACTGAGTATTAGTATGTGTAAGAAACTTGCATTTAAAGGTACTCTGTGGCCTCTGTGTTTATGCCAATTTTGGTAGCAAGCCCATTTTATTGTAGGAAGTCACTATTTCATGGATCCACCATTTAACTGGGTCACATTGGGAAAATTATTTTATGCAAATCTTTAAAATGAAAATAATATTATGCTCATAGGGCTGTTACCAGGATTAAATGTAATGGCAAATGCAAATCACCTAGCAGTACCTTCGATACATTATAAACCCTCCACGAATGACGCTTCCCTCTAACCCTTGAGAACAATATGTCAGTAGCACCTACAAACATAAAATAGGATATCTCTTTTAATTGATTGTAATTTCCATTATTATGTTATTTTTGCTATGGAATAGGAAACTCTTTATTTTTGAATTTTTACACTGTTTCATATATTCTAGATGCAACATTTTTGAGGAGTATGATATGATATGCAAATATTCTTTCCCACTCTATTATGACTTTTCACTCTTTTAACAGTGCCTTTCACAGAGGATTTTTTTTAACTTCCAAGGAAATCAAATTATAATTTTTTTATGTCATTACTTGGTGTTGTATCTAACAATGCCAAACCAAAGTCACAAAAATTTATCCTATGTTTTCTTTTAAGAGTTTTCTATTGTAATTTAAAGCTGTTATCTAATTTGAGTCATTTTTTGTATATAATGTAAGGCATAAGTTGAGGTTCAATGTCTAAATTGTTCCAGCACCACTTGATGAAAAGGCTAGTCTTTCTCCACTGAATTATCTTGGCATTTCCATCAAGAATTGTTTGATTTCTGAACTTTCCAAATGACCTCATTGATCTATGTGTCTACTCTTTTGCAAATATCACTCTTAATTACTATAGTTTTATAGTGCAAGTCTCAAAATCAGGTACAGTGGATGCTCCAAATTTGTTTGCTTGTTTTGTTTTTTTTTTTTTTTTTTTGGCTATTCTGGTTCCTTTGCCTTTCCATATAAATGTATTTTTGTAATTCTTTCTTTAGAATCAGCTTATATATAGCTGGAAAAAAATTCTGCTAGGATTTTGACTGGTATTGTAACAAGTTTATAGATCAGCTTAGGAAGAATTGATATCATCATCATATTGAGTATATTCCAATAATGGAACATGATACATCACTCCATTTTTTAAGGTCTTCTTTAATTTCTTTGACTAGCGTTTTGTAGTTTCTGGCAACATATAGGTGCAGCAATTATTTTTTTTTAGATTTATACTTACGTATATCAATTTTTGAAGTTTTGGTAACTGGTATTCTTTTATAATTTTGGTTTCCAATTGTTCATTGCTAGCACGTATAAATATAATAGATCTTTGGAATTCACAATCATGTCATCTGCACATAGAAAAATTTTATTTTTTCTTTGCCAATATATATGCCTTTTATCTTTCTTTTGCCTTATTGCACTGACTAGAACCTTTAATGTAATGTTAAAAAGGACCAGTGAAATAACTAGCCTTGTCATGTTCCTGTTGTTAGGAAGAAAGCATTCATTCTTTTACTGTTAAGAATGATGTTAGCTGTGGGCTTTTTGTTGATACCTTTTATCAAATTAGGAAAGTCCCTTTCTATTTCTAATGTATAGAGAATTTTTATTATGAATAAAATTGGAAGTTCGTTGAATGCTTTTTTCTGCATCTTTGATATAATCATTTGATTTTTCCTTTTTTAGTCTGTTAATATGGTGGGTTGCAATAATTAATTTTTGAATTTTGAACGGTCCTTGCATCCTTGAGATAAACTATACTTGGTTATACAGTTATTACTCTATATTGCTGGGTTAGATTTCCTAATATTTTGTTGCAGGTTTTTGCATCTACGTTCATGAGAGATACTGGTCTGTAGTTTTGTTTTCTTCTAATGTCTTTGTTTAGTTTGATCCCTCGGGTATTACTGGCCTACTGAAATAAGTTTAGAAGTGTTCCATCTTTTTAATTTTTTGAAATTATATTTAATGTAATTCCTTACATGATGCAATGTTTAGTAGAATTAACCAGGGAAACTGTCCAGGCCTGGAGTTTTATCTCTTGAAAGCATTTAAACTGCCAATTTAATTTCTGCAACAGATAGAGGACATTCAATATGTCTCTATCTTCTTCAGTGACTTTTTTTTGACAGCTTTAAGATATAATTTACATACCATGCGAGTCACCCTTTAAAGTGTACAATTCAGTGCGTTTTGGTATATTCACAAAGTTGTGTATCTATCACCATAATCAATTTAAGAATAAGTTTATCACCCCAAAAAGAAACTCTGCGCCCTTTAGCCATCACTCTCAAATGTCCCCAGTCCCTCTAGGCAACCACTAATCTGCTTTCTGTGCTTATATATATTTTCCTATTGGAGTCTGCTATGAAATAACATTTTATATTAATGGAATCATAAAATATATAGTGTTTGACTGGCTTCTTTCACTCAGTATAATGTTTCCAAGTATTATTATACTTGGAATAATGTAGTATGTATCATACTTTATTATATAGTATGTATCAGTACTATTATACTCACTTTAGGGCTATTAATAATGATGCTATAAGTACGCATGTGTAAGTTTTTGTGTGGGTGTATGTTTTTATCTCTCTTAGGTATACAGATAGGAACTGAATTGCTGTGTCAGATAGTAACACATACGTATATTGTTTAAAAACAGTCTGACCATTTTCCAGAGAAGCTGTACTATTTTGTATTCCCACCAGCATTGTGTCCAATTTCTCCACATCTTCCCCAACACTCCTTATTGTCTGTTCAATGACATTTAAAGGTACGTGTCCTTCAAGCACTTGGTTCATTTCATCTAGTTCATTAAATGTATGTGCATAGACGTGTTTGTAGTATTTTATTATTATCCTTTTAGTGTCCATGGTTCTGTAGTGATACCCTGTTTCATTCTTGATATTAATAATTTGTATTTTCTATTTCTCTTCAGTCAACAGGGGAACTGCTGCCACCACTACCTCCAAAGTGGACTTCATTTTCAAAGGCTAGGAGAGTTAAATGAGTTTCATCCCATACCCCTAACCCCTGCTTATCTGTCCTCTGGCCTGAGAAAGTGTTTTGCTTGGAGGTTTTTTGTCCATGCTTGGTGTGCACTTCCCAGATTCAGCTTGCAGAAGAGTCTAAGCCAGGAAATATGGGGAAAAAAAGGGGAGTCCAGGGAACATATTATTGTATGGGGTTATCCTTCAAACTCTGATTTCCTCTCCAGTCTGCCATTACTTTACAGAGTCCTCCAAGATTTGCTTTAAGTATTATGTCCAATGTTGTAGTTGACATCAGTGGAAGAGTTAGGGAAAGGTATACTTACTCCATTTTTAACTTGGGTTGGTGCCACAAGCTACCCAGTCCCACGTATGACTTACTAGTCACATAAACTGCCTGACCTAGTGGGAAAATCTACTCACCTTTCTGCTCATTTTTCTTTCAAGGACACAATACTTGAAGGATAATCCTGAAACATTACAAGAACCTAAAGTATCTTTGCAATCAAAAGAAGATTAAATCAAGTTCAGTATAATTTTAGTTGTCTCTAATTACATCATAATGTAATACAAATATTTTGACATCCTTTCCAGGAAGAACATACTTTCTTTTTAAATTTAAATAATGTTTAGATTCCTACTTTTGTTCTTACATCTTCTACCTGGTCTTCTCTGACCTACAAAACTTATAAAACTTACAGTTGTATTATGCTCTAATCTATTCCTTTTTGCCCCTATTCATTTTGTTCCTTAACATATTCCTGCCTTGTTTTATAAAAGAATCCCACTATTTAATATATCCTCAACCACAGTTAAACAACTGAAAGATTTGAATCATGCTCTCCTTCTCAGCACTTAGTTTATTGGTATCCTCACAGCAAGTAAATATCAAATCAGTTTTGACTGAAGAAACAAGTAAAGTGAGCATAATCCTTCATTATATTCTCACCCTAAAATGGCAGAGGGGATAGCATTGCATCCAGACACTTATATGATGAGAAGCTGGAGACAGTTTTACAGGCTCCTCACAGGTAAATGTTGATAGATAGGAGGTCGTAAAAAGGGACAGAACAGGAAAGTTTGCACTTACTTTCAGGGATTGAAGTCTACTGTTTTCTTTTTTATTATAGAAGGAGATGGGGGTGAGTGGATGTGGATTGGTTCAGAATATGAATTATGACTTGATTAGCCTCTCATTTCATAATGGTGGATAAGAAAAAGCTGGTGATCCTAAATAAGGCCTGATAATTATCTAGGAATATCAGGAATTAATATTCTCCTACAATTATGTTATAGAGATAATTAATAAGCTAATTTCTTAAATGTTTAGTTCCAGGGTAGTACTCCAAATTTTCTACAATTTGAGTATCCTGATTTCTGGATTAAATCATTCCCAGACAATAGCATCAATTAGGAGATACATGCATACCTCTGTTCTGTTTTGCATTAAAGGTTCACATCTGTCATCCCCCCCAAACATTCATTCTTCTTGAGAGAAAGAATTATGTCTTATTTATTTTGTCTTTATTCATTATTTGATAGGTACAGTGCTTGTGCATCAGTATAGTTCAATGAAGGTTAAAGTGATCTTCTAATTGTGATGTAATTGCATGCCATTGTACCAATCATCTTACTATTTTTTTTTTTTTTTGAGATGGGTCTCCCTCTGTCATCCAGGCTGTAGTGCAGTGGCTTGATCTCTGCTCACTGCAACCTCTGCCTCCCAAGTTCAAGCTATTCTCCTGCCTAAGCCTCCTGAGTAGCTGGGATTACAGGTGCATGCCACCACACCTGGCTAATTTTTTTTTGTTTTTAGTAGAGACGGGGTTTCAGCATGTTGGTCGGGCTGGTCTCGAACTCCTGACCTCATGATCCACCCGCCTTGGCCTCCCAAAGTGCTGGGATTACAGGCATGAGCCATCGCACCTGGCCCTCATCTTACTAAATTTGTTCAGCATTTGAAAACTTTTAAAGCATTATATCTATATATAAAAACACTGAACTTTTTTTTTTTTAAACTCAGTCAATTTCTCATCCCTCTATCATGTAGCTTTACATTATTCAATATCTGTACATTGAAAATAAGGGTTTCCACGTGTTTGGGAAAGAGGAAATCTATGAATAAAAGTTACTCTCATATCTAATCATTTGTATATCTTCATTGTAGGAAAGGCAATGGCTTAAAGTGAAGTCTTCCCCATTTTTCTGTGGGAAATAGATGTTGCTCATTACTGAACAAAAACCCAGGATGTATTTGAATATGACATCTGAATTTTAGAAATTTTCCAAAGTCAATGTAGAGATAATCTAAAACAGATTATGCTGAATTTTTTGGACCAGTATGTGCTTTCCAGGTGGGACAGGGAAACAACTCTGAGGCTTACCTCTAATGTATTCTTTCCTTCTTTCTTTCTTTCTTTCTTTCTTTCTTTCTTTCTTTCTTTCTTTCTTTCTTTCTTTCTTTCTTCCTTCCTTCCTTCCTTCCTTCCTTCCTTCCTTTTCTTTCTTTCTTTCCTCCTTCCTTTCTTCCTTTCTTTCTTTCTTTCTTTCTTCCTTCCTTCCTTCCTTCCTTCCTTTTCTTTCTTTCTTTCTTCCTTCCTTCCTTCCTTCCTTCCTTCCTTCCTTTCTTTCTTTCTTTCTTTCTTTCTTTCTTTCTTTCTTTCCTTTCTCTTTCTTTTTCTTTCTTTCTTTTTTCTTTATTTCTTTCTCTCTCTCTCTCTCTTTCTTCCTTTCTGTCTCTCTCTCTCTCTGTCTCTCTCTTTCTTTCTATTATATTTTAAGAGATGGAGTCTCACTCCATCACCCCAGCTGGAGTACAGTAGTGCAATCATAGTTCATTGCATCCTTGAACTCCTGGGCTCAAGTGATCCTCCTACCTCAGCCTCCTGAGTAGCTAGGACTGCAGGCATGCACCTTCATACCCAGCTAAATTTTGAATTTTTTGTTTTTTTTTTAGTAGAAGTGAGGTCTCACTATGCTGCCCAGGCTGGTCTCGAACCCCTGGGCTCAAGCAATCTATCTGTCTCAGCCCCCTAAAGTATTGGGATTACAGGCATGAGCCACTGTGCCCAGCCATCAAATTCATAATGTTTTAAACCAACAAGAATCCTCCCCTCCCCGCCCCTCCCCTTCCTCCCTCCCTCCCTCCTTTCCTTCTTTCTTTCTTTCCTTTTCTTTTTTCCTTTCCTTTCCTTCCTTCTTCCCTTCCACTTCCACTTCCCTTCCCTTTCCTTCTTTCTTTTCTTTTCTTTCTCTCTTTCTTTATCTTTCTCTTTCTTTCTTTCTATTTTTCTTTCTCTCTCTCTCTCCTTCTTTCCCTCTCTCTGCATCTTTCTCTCTTTCTTTCTTTCTTTCTTTTTTAGAGATAGGGTCTTGTTCTGTCTCCCTGGCTGGAGTGGAGTGGCACAATCTTGGCTCACTGCAACCTTCACCTCCTGGGCTCAAGGGATCTTCCTACCTAAACCTCCCAAGTAGCTGTGACTATAGGGGTGCACCACCACACTTGGTTGATTTTCTAATTTTCTGTAGAGATGAGATCTCACTATATTGCCCAGGCTGGTCTCAAACTCCTGGGTTCAAGTAATCCTCCTTCCTCAGCCCCCCAAAGTGCTGGAATTACAGGTATGAGCCACCATGCCCAACCTAACCATTCTTTTTGAGATTAGGGTAGTCGCTTCCATCATTAACCTTTATCATCCACTTACCTTCTGTTTCTTTCTTTAATGAAGTGTTAAATTGTACCCCACCACTGCATTGAGAGAATACTTTTGAGTGAAACTTTATTAGCCTTTGTAATATCAGAAAAGATCTGTGTGACATATGCAGCTTTAACTAAAAGAAACCACTGGTTTTGCTCAAAACAGTGATATTTTCCAGCAAATATCACAGAGGTTCATACACAATTTTTTTTTTTTTTTTTTTTTTTTTGAGACGGAGTCTTGCTCTGTCACCAGGCTGGAGTGCAGTTGTGCGATCTCAGCTCACAGCAACCTCCGCCTTCTGGGTTCAAGTGATTTTCCTGCCTCAGCCTCCCAAGTAGCTGGGACTATAGGTGTGCAACACCATGCCTGGCTAAATTGTTGTATTTTAGTAGAGATGGGGTTTCACCATGTTGGCCAGGATGGTCTCAATCTCCTGACCTCATGATCCTCCCACCTCGGCCTCCCAAAGTGCTGGGATTAAAGGCATGAGCCACCATGCCCAGCCCACAAAATTATTAAAAGGTAATTTGATAGGCCAGGTGCAGTGGCGCATGCCTGTAATCCCAGCACTTTGGGAGGCCAAGGCAGGAGGATCACTTGAGATCAGGAGTTTGAGACTGGCCTGGCCAACATGCTGAAACCCTATCTCTACTAAAAAATACAAAAAATTAGCCGGGTGTGGTGGTGTATGCCAGTAGTCCCAGATACTCGGGAGGTTGAAGTGGGAGAATCACTTGAACCTGGGAGACAAAGGTTGCAGTGAGCTGAGATCCTGCCATTGCACTCCACCCTGGGCAACAGAGTGAGACTACTTCCCCCTGCCGACCAAAAAAAAAAAGGTAATTTGATAAATTGGAAGCTTTAAAGAATCCCTCAGATAGCTTTGCTCTGAGAGTTCTGTCAAATGTTTATTTTTTATACATGAAGTAGTTTTACAGACTAAGATGCTTTCAAATTTGCTTTTCACATTTAATTAAACTGTCATCTGTCATTAAGATAACTATTAATTAGATGTTCTTGATATCTTTTTAATTCTCTAAAAAAGTGACTATTTCTGAAAAGGAAAACATCTTTAAATAAATTCCTTCATTATAAACTTAGATCAGATGACTTAGTCTTTCACTATTTTTCTTTTGGTATAAAATACACGGTTTCTTCTACCATTGTATTCCTTAAGCATGTGTAATAGCGATACACTTCAACAACAGAATGAAGCTGCTAAACATTAGGCCAAAAAAATCTCCTTTGCTATATCGTGCGCTGCTTATCATTTGAATTGTTAAAAATGTCTTCTCTTCAAAATAATTTTAGTTTGAAGAAAGGACACAAAACTGGTAAACCTAGATGCTGTGGACTGAATGTTTGTGTCCCTCTCAAATTCATGTTGAAACCCTAATCCCTAATGTGATGGTATTTGGAGATGGGGCCTTTGAGAGGTAATTAGGTCATAAAGGTGGAGCCCTCATAATGGGATTAGTGCCCTTATAAGGAGAGACATTAGATAACTTGCTTCCTTTATCTTTCGGCTCTCCATCATGTAGAGACAGCAAGAAGGCAGCTGTTTGCAGGCCAGAAAGAGGGCCCTCACCAGATGCTGATGATGCTGGCACCCTGATTTGGGACTTTCAGCCTCCAGAGACTGTGAAAAATAAATCTCTATTGCTTAATCCACTACTCCATTTAATTTGTTATAGCAGCCCAAACTGACCAAGACACCAGATTACAATAAAAAAAATTAAAAACATATTAGGGGAAGTGAAAACAGCCCTGGATATAAAATTTTGTCAGAACAAAATACAAATCTCAGTATTGGTTGTTTTCTGTGATTTATGTTTTATATATTGCACATTAACATATTTCCACTTCATTCAGAAGGTAAATCACATGAAATCTAACCAAGTATTGCTTTACTATATTCCAATCCAATAATAACAACAATAATGTTAATAACTTGCTATTTATAGAACTAAGACTATGCAGCAGGCATTTCAAGAGATCTATATATGCTATTTAATGGAAATTATCACAAAACCTCTAAGAGATAAGTTTTATTGCCCTTGTTTTACAGATGACAGAACTAAGGCTTAGACTGGTTAAGTAATTTGCCTAAGATCACTTATTGTTGGTAAGTATTAGAGCTAAAATTATAATACAGCTTTTGGTTTTAATATCTACAAATATTATTTGCCTACTAAACCACAATAAACTAAATTGCTTAGTCTTTATGTACTTCTCTTTCTTTTGACAAACCTGACAAATTGTTCTTGTTATATATATATAATATATATATATAGCAAATAATTAATTTCAACCATTAGAACAATAGCAAAAACAACAATAAAATCATTTAAAATATGGACAAAATGTCCAGGTGCACTGACTCATGACTGAAATCCCAGAACTTTGGGAGGCTGAGGTGGGAGGATCACTTGAGCCCAGGAGTTTGAGACCAACTTCGGCAACACAGTGAGATCCCATCTCAATTTTTTAAAAAATTATTGAATAAAAAAATTACATCGACAAAACACCTAGTTCTCCAGGAGTAAAAATGTATAAGATTGGCAGAAAACTTCTTAAGAAATTAAAAACAACACTTTTTTATATTTTGGACATTTTTTCTTTGGTTATTTTATATTTTGGCCATTTTTTCTTTGGTTATTAAAAAGATGTAGAATTTTGACAATTTGAAAACAGCTAAATAGCAAATAAATTAATGCATTGTAGACAAATGAGTCTTAAATTTATTTCTTAAACGTTTAAGTAAAATAATGTACAGAGGAACATTGAAGATCTCCTAGTTAACCCTCTTCTAGCACTTACAGATATGGGGCCCATAGAGTTTAACGTATTTTCACAATTATATCACAGTAAATCTAAATCTAGAATTTTGGTTTTCCATATTTCCTCTGTAATGATTTCTCCACATGACCATGGCACATAAAATGATACTTATGGCAATGGTTACAGTCCTCTATGTATGTCTCTAAAATGATGAAACCATGTTGCATGAATTAGCAACGGAGAGGATTTCCTCTTCCACAGTATTCCGTACTATCAATAATCAACTCTATTAAGGATCCCTGGTAAGATGTGCATTGTATTATTCATCCATTTAATATATACATTTACTGTATGTCAGGTCCTTTGCTAATGTTTCCAGTATTAAATGTCAGGCGAGAAAACAGGGAGGGGTATAAGATATATGTGCACTAAAAATGTGTAGTCTCTCGGAACCAACCCAAATGTCCATCAATGATAGATTGGATTAAGAAAATGTGGCACATATACACCATGGAATACTATGCAGCCATAAAAAAGGATGAGTTCATGTCCTTTGCAGAGACATGGATGAAGCTGGAAACCATCATTCTCAGCAAACTATCATAAGATGAGAAAACCAAACACTGCATGTTCTCACTCATAAGTGGGAGTTGAACAATGAGAACACATGGACACAGGGAGGGGAACATCACACACCAGGACCTCTCAGGGGCTGGGGGGACTAGGGGAGGGATAACATTGGTAGAAATACCTAATGTAAGTGTTGGGTTGATGAGTGCAGCAAACCACCAGGGCACGCGTATACCTATGTAACAAAACTGCAAGTTCTGCACATGTAACCCAGAACTTAAAGTATAATAAATAAAAAATGTATAGTCTATTTGGTGACATGGGACCATATGAAGCATATCCAGAGTATAAGCCATTTAGAAGTTGTAGTAGGCAGCCTGTAACATTGTCCAGTGATATCTGCCTCCTGGTATTCATGCCCTATTCGCTTCTAACAAACTGAATACAGCAAAAGCGATGGTATGCCACTTTAGAAGTTATGTTATACAAAGATGCTGGCTTGCATCTTAGGCTCTCTCTCTCTCTCTCTCTCTCTCATCTGGATCATTCACACTGAGGTGCCATGATGTGAAAAAATATAGGCAGCATGGAGAGGTGCCCATTTAGTGAGGAACTGAAGCCTCCTGCCAACAAAAACATATGAATAAGCTTGGAAGCAGATTCTTTAGCCTCAGTTGAGACTTAGATGACTGCAGCTCTGGCCAACAGTGTGAATACAACCTCACAGGAGACCCTGACCAACACCACCTAGCTTAGCTGCTCCCAGGTTCATGACCGTCAGACATTATGAGACAGTAAATGTTTGTTGTCTTAATTTGCTAAATTTTAGGGAGATTTGCTATGCAGCATAAATAACTAATATGGAGAGGATAATGTCTGTTGCAGTTCTCAGTTTTTAAGGAGGCAGAGTAAGGAAGCTGTAATTTGGTGGGCAGCTCACACTGTTGCAGGAAAGGCCATAAAAGGCTGAGTCAGTACTCATGAGAAACGTTTGCCCATTAACTAATGAGATATAATATGCATGTCAGTTAGGTGTAATGTGTAAGTTAAACGAAATAAATCTTTAGTCACTAAGGTTTTTGAGCTTGGAAAGTTCTCTGAGAAAAAACCATGATTCAGCAATTCTGACTGCACAAATTCTATGCTATTGTCTACATATGTGTTCCCCCAAAATTCATATGTTAAAACCTATTCGCCAATGCAATAGTAGTAAGTGGTAGGACCTTTAAAAGATGAAGGTCATGATGGTTCTGCCTTCATGAACAGTTATTAGTGCCTTTTTAAAAGAGGCTTGAGGAAGCTTGTTTGTCCTTTCCACCACTTAGAACACATCATCTATGAGGGATGCATCCTCCCCAGACATTGAATCTGCTGGTGCCTTGATCTTGAATTTCTCCAGCTCCAGAACTGTGAGCAATAAATTTCTGTTGTTTATAACTTGCCCAGACTAAGATATTTTGTTATAGCAGCCTGGATGAACTGAGATGGTCTAATTATAAAAGCTTACTGAGCACCTTTTAAAAAGTAAATAAAAACAGAGCAGTTAGCAACAAAACCTAATGCAACCACTTGCTTAACTCTGTATGATTAAGGTAGATGTGTATGTGTGTATCTTTGTGTGTGTGTGTTCTAGTATCTTCAGTGGGTTTTTAAAATAAAATAAATGAGTTATAACTACAACAGTTACAGACGGTGTTGGATAATTGAAAGGGTTTGCAAAATTCTATGGAAACTACTCAAGGAAGACCTATTCAATGTAAGAAATGCAACATAGCAGAAGAAAGAATGTGCAGCCCACACACCCGGGCCTGGGAGACTTGCACACCTACCTAGAGTCCCTTCTCAGTCACACAGGATGTGCTTCATCTCTGAATTATGAATCTTCAGGATATACGTCCCACTGATCACATAGCCAAGCCATGCTATGTAACTGGTTAGCCCATGCGTAAGCCATCAATCTACACACCCCTAAACATTGTAAACAAGCTGACTCTTGGTACCAACAAGGTGATTTCAAACTTAAACAATGTATTATAAATATAAACTAGTTCAAGCCTTCTTATTGTGGCCAAAAGTCAGTGTCAGACCTCCAGGTAATCATGGAGAGTTCCAGCCCAGCTGTAAGATAACTCTTTTCCAAATGATCATTTAAAACAAAAGAAATCAATCATTGACATGTTATATATATAATACATACTATACATATATAGTTGCAACATTACATATAATACATATATTTATATATAATATTGTAAATATATAGAAACATATGCACATATGTACATATCTTTAATATATGTAATAGATATTCAAAACCAGCATAACAGATGTTTGCCATGTGACACTAAAATCTGGTTTCTTAACAATGACAAAAGAAATGACAAATATAGGAAATGAACAAATACAAAAAGTTAAGCATAAGCTGATAGCAGTGGAAGCCGAATTTTAAAATTTTGGGGTCATATAGTTAGATTCATGATATTCTAAGCCTCCTGGGTGGGGACTGGTAGAGTAATGCATTTTACAGAGGATAGCGAATTGCTTTCTTTATCATGTGACTAATTTAGTTATTCTGGTTTTCTGCATCTTTTTAAGGCTTCTTTTATAATAATAATAATAATAATAATAATAATAATTATTATTATTATTATTATTATTATTATTATTATTATTATTATTATTTTCTGGGAGCCCGCTGACTTTGTATTCTAATGTGGATCCATTGCTTTCTGGATCTGCTGGGCATCTGCCAACTTGCCATTTTATTCATTACATCTCTGGGTTAGAATCACTATTTCAGCATTCCATGTCGTCCTATTTCTGTTTTTCCCATCTCTTGTTTAGTTTGGGCACACTTTCAAGTCATTTCTCAAGAAGATCTACACAAGTTACATTTCTGAGTTCTTATGCACACAAAAAGGTTTTTATTTGACCACATAATTTGGATGAATATAGTATTCTAAGATCATGTTAATTTTCTCATGAACATGAAGCCATTGCTTCATTGCCTTGCAGAACTCAGTGTTGTGATAAGAAGTCTAACAACAGTCAAGCAGAAACTCACAGCTCCTCAGCAGAGCCCTCCTGTGCACAGTTTAGATAGAGGCTTTTGCTGCTCTCTTTCATCTATCTCCATGTTTCCAGCTGCTTTCTATCTTCTGGATCTTTTTTTTTTCCCTGTGATAATCCTACACCCATGCATTTGCCATTAAGAGTTTATTCCCTTTTGTGTTCCTTTACTGTTATTTTAACGGGATGTTAGACTGGGACTGCGTAGTTATATCTTTTCAGTTTACTCTTGTGTTAGCTTTCTAAATAGATGGAAAAGACAAAACAAAACATTGTTAGTACCTTGACTCAAAGTTATTTGATTGTAATTGTGGAGATACGGCAAATACATTAATAAATGCAAATAATGGAAAAACACTAATACCGATTTACCAACAGAAGTAGCTATTAAAGGATATATAAATAAATAACATAGGGGAGATGGCAAGAGAAGTACAATATTTTAACTTACTTCTTCTTCCCTCAAAAATAATTTCATTTTTTATCAACATCCATACTTTAATTCCTCTTTTTACATAAGCATTTTGAGGCATGTGGTAAGGGAATTTGTATAACCTTTCTTAAATCACTACAACCTACAATCAACACTAGACTTTAGAATATCTGGAATCTTAAAGAAATACTGCCAGCAGTGTTTATAATAAATGATACTTTTAAAAATCCCTATATCAGCAGAGGAATTTTATAATATAAATTGTTCATTTAACTTTAACTGCTACAGATTTTGGCAGACAGTAAAATTAAATGGTGGATGATCACCAGAATATATTACATTTTGCAAGATAGCACTGGGTTACTAATACATTTCAGGAGAAGAAATCTCTTCCCAGGTCCTTAGGCTGCTGTGTAGTATTATTAAGCAGTAATACTTTCTTTTGTAATTGATGAAAGAGGAAGCTGTAAATTACCATGAGCTAGAAATTTTGATTTGTGAAGTGAAAATATATTTCAGTAGAAATCATGGCTTGGCACACAGTGGAAACCGCTTTCCAGCTGTCTAAAGTCTCCTTGGCTTTATTCGAACTACTTCTATCCTCCCTGAGCTGGTTAACTGGACACCTGATCGATGTCCACTTGTTCTGCTCTCAGAATTGTTCTTCCAATTGTGGCTATCTTTAGAATATCCTTTCCACCTTTAGTCAAGCAATCTTTCTTCATTGATGATCTTATGATATCTAGTGTTTACAGTTTTTTTGTTTTTCTATTATACTTTAAGTTTTAGGGTACATGTGCGCAACGTGCAGGTTAGTTACACATAATTTTTTCCCAAGTGAAAGAGAGCTAAATAGAATTTACCCATGCATGATAAACAATTAATTGATTTCATTGAATAAAATATTCACATCTATTAATAAAGCTTGTAGATAACATTGTCATTTGCAAATGTTGGCCGGCTAATTTGTTTTTTTCTTAGCAACAATATGCCCTTTCAGCATTTGCTTTTACGTCCATGAAGTCTGATAGCATAAATGCAATATACCTTATTTCGGCAACAGCTATAGGTACTGCTCACCTAAGAAATGCTTAATTCTTCATTTACTAAACTTGCTCGTCTTGAAAACGTGGCAATATAATTATACCCATTGTAACCACCCCCACCCAACCAGGACTACATCTGAGGAATCACATAAAAATTGGCATGAAAGACATAGTTGGGAAGAGGGTGGGGATGAAATGGCTAAAGCTATTGTCAATTAAGTTCTGCTGCCTGCACCAATTACTTACCACCAGGGGAAATGCAATCTGATTTACACACTCGAATTCACATGGTTTATGTTCTCTCCCAAACTAGAGGAAAGAAAATCTAAGGGACATAATATCTTGGTTTATTCTCCAGCCTCAGTGACCTTGAACCTCGAATTAAGTTTTACAGATGAGTATATAAAAGTTTTATCAGCTCACATCAATAAATATATAACCAGACTTTTCTGGCTATATATAAAGACCCCTAAAAAAGTAAAATTAGCTGTCTTTGCAGCTACAGGCTATTCATACATGAAATAGATACTTGCAACAACTGAAGGGAATTGTTTCATTAGTTTCATAAATCTGATTTTTGAGATGAAATGGAAGAGAGAAGCCTTCTGCCAGTTTGTCTACATTTTTAAAAACATACACTATGTTATGGTTTATAAAACATTTTACAGTAATTATCTTTCAAAGATACTTAACTATTGGATTACTCAGTAGACAGCTATCTAGAACAGAGCTCCTAACAGCTCTGGTGAGGCATATTGGTGTGTGTTAGTGAGAGGAGCTTTCAGATCTTGAGCTCCTTAGCTCTCAAGGTAGCTGGGAAGGAGCTAAAACTGCTTGATAACTGCAGAGCCTCTGATCCCCTCGGGCCTTGAGCAGCCACTTCTTTTCTCCCAGTGGCTGTGCAAACATTATGATTTTATTTTATTTTTTTGAGAGACAGGGTCTCACTCTGTTCCCCAGGATAGAGTGCAGTGGCACATTCACAGCTCACTGAAGCCTCAAACTCCTGGGCTCAAGTGATCCTCACACCTCAACCTCCCAAGTATTTGGGACTACAGGTGTGTACCACCATGCCTGGCTAACATTTTTTAATTACTATTTTCTTCTTTTGTAGAGCTGGGTCTCACTATGTTGCCTAGGCTGATCTCGAACACTTGGGTTCAAGCAGTCCTCTCACCTCAGCCTTCCAAAGTGCTGGGATTACAGGTATGAACCACTGCCCAGCCTCAAACAGTATGATCTTAGAAAACACTAGTCTATGCTGTTACAAAGAATGTCTCATACTTAGTAATCTTAAAAATTAGTGAAGTCAAAGTACCCATTCCGTTGGATTTAAAACAAAATATAAAGTTCAATTCAGTATCACTCTACATTTGAACAATACCAGGATACAGATGTGTTAAATTTTGTCATTGTAGTTAAAGAAAGAAGAAACCTCAGTATATCACTGAAGGGTAAACGTTCCCCCTTTTTGAAAACCTGCATAGACTCCTTTATACTTTTACATATACAGCAAAACAAACATTATTTTATGAAGCTAGTGTCTTGGCCATAGAATCATATTCACATCATATATTCTGCTATGGCATGTCTTCCCTGGAATGTACCTCAATTTGGAGTGGTATCATAATACCTTGTTTAATAAATCTACCAGAAATAAAGCAGGCTTTTATGCTTGTTTTAAAGGTTTCATAAACCATCTAAAAGAATTGGCTTTGCAACAAGCTGCTGAAGGGCAATGTTCTTGGTTGCATAATATGGATGCAAGTAGTTCCATTGTCCCAGTGATGTCCAATTAAGTTGGCAGCATCAATCCTCAATTTCCTTTCTCTGGGTCCTTTTGCTTCCTCGTTGATAATCATCCTCTCCTGCTTCTCATCATCCCCAACTTCCCCCTTTGCTAACAGACTTCAAAGCCCTTTATTATGCAGGGAATATGCCAGTGTAAGAGTCTTAGTGTGAGGCAGAGCACTGTCTGCAAAGAAGCTCGAAGGCCAGGTACTCACCCCTATGCATGCTGACAGCCAAGGTGTGGGCACATGATTTAAACTCTACTAAGATAATGCTTCTGGCACTGGAAGTTGAGTTTAAAGCAAGTGAGGCAAAAGCAGGGATATTTTATGATTTATTCCAGTGGTAGAACCATCTGAAATGTGGTAGCGAATAAATGTACCAGCTGTGTGGTCCAGTGTCATAATGTTATGATACTGTTAGTGGCATTAAGTGTTCAGAGGGGGCTGGAATGGTACTTTGAAAAGCTATTCTTTGGGATGACTTTAACTGTGTTCCTATATGAAGTGTCCCTTGCAGTCTGCCAGTTTTTTCTTCTTGTTCTCCAGTCTTCCTGTGTTTTTCTGCCTAATTTAGCCATTCTTAATTTCAGTTCTTTGCAACCCAGAACCAAAACTAATACTTAATACTTCATGTCTAATCTTTTTAAACATAAATTATTTTTCTATTGCCTTCAGCACATAAAGATCCATAGAGTAAATCTGAATTAGTCATTTTACAGAAATACGGGAAAGTAGGATCAGAATGAAAGATGTGACCTCTTTCTCTTTCTAGATGATATCTTGTTTCCCAGGAGAAGATCCATATGAGGCTAGTCACAGGTGTTCTAGAGTTACAGAAGATACAAGACCTCTGGAACACCTTTGCACTGGTGAATAACCACACAGCATGTTCCCATTCTCTGGTTCATCTTCCAATTCTCCCTTCTTTTCAGCCCATGCCAATTCATCTCCACTGTTGTTAACCCATCCTTCATTTAGCAAAAATCTCAAAGTTACTGTATTAGTCTGTTCTCATACTGGTCTCACACTGATATGAAGAAATACCTGAGACTGGCTAATTTATAAAGAAAACAGGTTTAATTTATTCATAGTTCCACATGGCTGGGCAGGCCTCAGGAAACTTACAATCATGGCAGAAGGCACCTCTTCACAGGGAGACAGGAGAGAGAATGAGTGCCCGAAAGGGAAATGCCAGATGCTTATAAAACCATCAGATTTTGTGAGAACTCACTGTCACAAGAACAGCATAGGGGAAACCACCCCCATGATTCAATTACCTCCCACTGGGTCCCTCCCTCAACAAATGAGGATTATGAGAATTACAGTTCAAAATGAGATTTGGGTGGGGACACAGCCAAACCACATCAGTTACATATTTTACATTTTTCAGATATGGCAGTATCTCAACCCCTCTTTATGATTCTTTAATATCCACTCTTAAGCCCTTTATATTATTCCTCATTTAACAATAAAATTTCTATCACTGTGTCAGAATATATTATTTTTTAAAAAATAAGGCTATACCAACAGTGTCACTTTAGATTACTCCATGTACCATGTCAAAAAGGTGAGAAAAGATTTTGCATCACACAATACATATTGAAGATTGCAGTTTTTATAGCATTTTCTTTTTTCTGACAAGTTTGTATGTTCATTTACTTAAAATGGCAAGATAAGAATCTTGCCATTCTTATTTTAGTTCTTTAACTGGATCCTTAGTCTCTTAACTAGATCTGGGTCCTATATAAATCCAGTCTTCCTTGGACAGAAAATAGATTTTTCCACTCAGAAGTTCTAACAGCTACTTTCTTCAACTCATAATGTCACCTAAGGTCCCACACTCCTATGGGAACAGAAGCACTTCCACGGTCATGAGATCTTACTCTTCTTTAGAGAGGCTGAGTTGTAATTTAATTTCCAACTTTAGAATTATCAACACGAAGACACACAGTTATCCAGGTTAGCCAAGTGATCTGCAGACAGAAACCTCTTGTTAATGCTCTCTAATTGTGTTAAAAAAAAAAAAGAGTTATATTAACGTCTAATCCAAAAGGCAGAAAGGATATAATTTGAAAGCCTGTTCAGACTGCTTAAAGGGGAGGAAATTCGCCAACAATGGCTCCCAAATGTGAAAGCACAGTTACTACCCCTTACAGGGATTTGCTGGAAGCATTACCAAAATTAGGTTCAGTCAGATCTTTCAACAGACGTAGTTCAATGATGGTTCTTGTAAGTAATTGAATACACAATATTCATGATCAATTGTTCAAAAGCTTGCTAAAGAACCTTTTAAAAATCTGACCCCAAGTTTTCTGGAAGTGGCTAAGATCTAACTCTGGACAGTAATGAATCACTTTCTTAATCTTTTCTCTGCCCCATCCTTTGACACAGCCCACTGTTTCCAGGGGTTGTTTTCCTCCTGAATTGGGATGACAACCTATTCTCCTGCTTAACTAGACTGTATCACAGTGTAATCTTGCAGTACATTTTAAATTTAAATTTTGGAGAAGGACTTGGTGATCATTGATCATTGGGCCCCTCTGCTATGTGTAGATGCTACCGGGGAAAATAAAAATAAAGAAAGTGTGGTGTCTGTCTTTAAGGACATTACAATCTAGTGGGAGAAACTTGTATGTAAATGGCTGATTATGATCAAAGGCAAAGTGAAATAAACATTAACTAGAGGACAAGCTCATAGTAATACAGATAATGGAGCAATTAATTCTAACTGAAAGGGAATCAAAAGCTCCTTTGCAAAGGTGGTGGCATTTGAGAAAGTGTTTAGAATGATTATATTTTAAGAGGGCAGTAGAGAAGAAAAGGCAATCATTCCAACTGCAGGGATAGAATTAGCAAAGCCTTAGAAGCTCAATTCAAGAGATTTCGTTTTGGGTTTTGATTTTTTTTTCTTTTTAATTCTAACATACGACACAATGGTAGGCCCTGGGAGAGATTCAAAGAAAAATAATATGAGTGTCTTTTTCTCCTGTAGCTCATATTCCATTTTGAAAGAAAAGCCTTTTTTTTTTTTTTTTTTTTTTTTTTGAGACGGAGTCTCGCTCTGTCACCCCTGCTGGAGTGCAGTGGCAGGATCTCAGCTCACTGCAACCTCTGCCTCCTGGGTTCAAGCAATTCTCCTGCCTCAGCCTCCCAAGTAGCTGGGATTACAGGCACATGCTACAACACCCATCTAATTTTTTTGTATTTTTTCTAGAGACGGGGTTTCACCATGTTGGCCAGGCTGGTCTTGAACTCCTGACCTCATGATCCTCCCGCCTTGGCCTCCAAAAGTGCTGGGATTACAGGTGTGAGCCACCACACCCAGACCAGAAAAGCCATTTTTATGACAGTATATCTGAGGAGTTCATCAAGAGCATATACTTGTCTGGGATGATGTAATTGAGTTGGCACGTCCCTTAAGAGCTACAGTGCACGAGAACAGAAAGAATTCATTATTGCCAAAGATTTCTAGAGGACATGAATATAAGCTTTTTCTTGAAATATGCATAGAATTTGATGTGAGAAACAAGGGGTAGAGATATTTAAAAAGAGAGTGATGGCAGTTAATAATCTTGGCATGTCCCCGCCATTGTGGAAGTATTAACTTAAGTGTTGTGGAAGGTGCCTTTTGGCCCACATCAGAAAAAAAAAAAAAAAGTTAGAAATAAAATTTTAGGTGAAATCAAATTCCTCCAGAGTTCAAGAAGGTAAACTGAGTGAAGAAGACTGGGGCTATAATGAGACAGAGTGGAAGAGACTATGGCATGGTAGAGACCATGGCCAAGGCTCAGTGAAAAAGAGGACACCACTAAGCTCCAGCCAATTCCCGTGAAAATTATGTTGGTCAAAACTCCACTGGCCACATAAAAATTCTTTGAGTCATACCTAGTATGTAGACTACTAATTTTCAAACACTGCCGGACTGCAGAGGGTAAGGACTGCTAGAACTAAAACCTTTAGTTTTTATAAATATTTAAGATTGTAGGACAGAGCTGCAATGCCAAAAAAAAAAAGCATGTTTTAATCAAGCTACAAAATGCAAGATATGTATATGTAAACCATATTAAATGAAAGGGAATTGAGAGGGGTTACCAACTGCTATTAAAGTTTTTTCAAACTACGTTTTAAATGAAATACATCTTAAAACTCTATCTGTTGCTTAAACTGGAGTAAACAATTTACAACAAAATTTTAGAAAAATTTATTGGCTCAAAATTTCTTTCAACTGTCTCATTTGCCTTTGAGACAAAAAACATGTAACTATATGGCAATTGTTCATTCTAAGAAGGTGGGAATTCTGGATACACACTTTCCAGTCTCGGCCTCATCAGATACTTGATGAATGAACCTGTATTTGCCATCACTGCCAGTTGCCAACAGTGGATGCCACCAGGATATCTTGGTCAGATTCATTTATGTACCTGTTCTGTTTTGGTCCATGAGCCTGGCAAACAGTAAAACTAGGTGGGGGTTGGAGGTTTGCAACAGCTGCTCTGGGGCCTGCTGATTCCTGAATTTTATAGCGTTCATAAATCACACAAAAATGTCTTATGTCCGTCCACTTCCAGTTTAGGTTTTTCCCCAACGTAGTACAAAAGAACTGAAGTTGACACTAAGAGTATAATTTGTAAGCCTTCACAATACAGTCCAGAAGGTTTATTATTTATTTAAAAAGCTAATATATTCTATATTCTCTATTAAGAATTCCTGACAGGAGGAGGAGCTTAGTAACAGGGATAAATGGGGTGGAATAAAGAATTTCACATGAAGATTACAATATTATGCTTCTATCTGGGTGAAATGTAGCATTCCAGATGTTGACTACATTTCACTAGAGTTTGTGAACAATATAAATTCCTGAGATATAATAGGTCAGCCCTGCTTCTTAATGCTGAGAAAACACTTAGAAGATCATCAAATTTTGAAAATGTACTAATGAGCTACAAAGTCTGATTAAAATCAAAGGTGCTATGTTCTAAAAACCTTCTTTGTGATTTAGATAAGTATGGCTTATATTTCATCATTTATGACAATACTTTAAGGCAAACTTTGCAAAGACGGAAAAGTCTTGGTAATAAACAACAATTCACTATAGCTCCTCATAAAGTCATTTTCAGAAAGCAGGGTTAAATCCTGAAGACTGTATAAAAGAAAAGGAAACACAGAGAAAGACAGTCCACAGATATTACTGTTCACTTGCTAAAAAGTAAACTATTAAGGCCTCATAACACAAAACATGATATTTCCAATTATTTAATTTGGCAATTATTTATAACTAATAAGTCCAAGATGTGAAGCAGACGCAAACAACGATGAACATCTCCTGTTAGTAAATTCTGGAGGATAGAGTAGTGGGAAGTATCTTTCATAGACAATGTCTCCATGGGAAAGAAAATTTTCACATTTTTCAGCTTTGGTTAAGATCAAACTGATCTAATTAGTTTTCTCATCTAATTTATTGCTCAGAATTCCTTTTAGTAAGGCATGCTTTTCATAAATTTCAAAGAAGGCTATTTGGAGAATAGTTTGGAATTAGACATAAACAAAAATGGAAAGCTTTTTCAAAGATACACCAAAATTTTTCTGAGTAACTAAAATAACAAAATTGGGACATCATAAACTATACCGTTACGCTAATAATAAGATGCTGTTTATACATAATAACCCAGGATTATTTTATATTCATTATATTTGGGATATAGGACATAATTTATCTAGAGAATTTTAATTAAAATTATATACAACTAATTAGAAGAAAACAGATTTTTTTCTCTTCTGAATGTGATAATGTAGCCATATGGATTAGCTATCTAGAAAGGTTATTATAAATCAAAGAGGTATTAATAAACTTGCAATTAAGTGTTTAAATAACTTTGTTTCATTATTTTCTGATCTCAGAGTGATTGCAAACAGTGGCATAAAACTGTAAACCTGGTACCTCAAACAGAATTATGATCATAAAGTATGCTCACAAGACTAACACGATTATAAAACTGAGACAGAGGCAAAATATTAGTCCTCCTAGATTTTACCTAACCAATTCCTGATAGGAAATTTTTATTTGTCTAAAAAAAAAACCCCTGTTACATTCTTCTTTTACTTACATTCTATTCTCAGAAGGTAGAAAAAAATCAGGGACACAGAAAACTCTGTATGTGGTTTTGACCAACATGAAAGGAGTGCTTAAATTTAGTTAGGGAAGAGATACTGAATGACCAGAGCACAATCATCTTTTTAAACAAGTAAATATATTGCCATAACTTATTGAAAAAGTAACTACTATGTGCCCTATTGATACCGGTGACTTTGAGGAGTGGATATAGCAATATAAATTTAATAATATCAAGAGTTTTATCTTTCCTTACCACATTGTTAGCATTGCATTATTTTAGAAATATTTCAAAGAGATAGTAAGAAAATTACATACCAAGATTCATCAATGATTTTGTTTATCAACTTGCTAGAAAAACAGCAAAACTGATCATCAATTCCCTGCAAACCTTGCTAAGCTTGCCTTGCAGCATAGCACTTCAGACCTAGTCTCTAGTGAATATTATTCAACTGTTGGTTTGTTTCTCTTAATTCATTTCAAGGAGTGGCTTCAAATATAAAAGAAAAATTAAAAAAATGACTCATCTTTGTCCCTTCTACTCTTTTGGCTAAACAATGTGCATATCAAATTTCATATTCCATATGCATAACATGAAAAATGATTCTCCAGGATCGATGACTTAAGGTTGGAATTTCAAATATTTTAGGAATCACAGATGCACCATCACCCTAGTGTGAGGAGGCAATAGTAAAAATTCTAACCTGAGGATTTCACAAATTCACAAAGGGTTTTCCCAGGAAGGAGTTCTGCTATCATGACTTATAAAAATAGTTGATTGTCCTCATTGTTTTTGAATCCATATGAATTCAGACACTTCTGTAAGTTTCTTGGAGAAAGGTTAACAATAGTGTTAAAATGCCATTTCACTGAGGGATTCAAGAACTAAGCATTTGCTGGCTGGTTTTTCGAAAATACTAACCTGAGTGCTGCAATCAACACAAAAGAGTGGTTCCACATTTCTTATGCAATCAAAGAAGATTATGTGCAAGAACAAATTGCTGTTTTGCAAACAGACTGCAGATGAAGGTAAGAGCATTTCTCTGGAAACGTAGGACAGACTTGCTGTGTTTAAGTAATGTAAACAAAAACTTAGGGATATCAATGATACAGTTAACAGAGGGTTTGGTGACTATCACATACTTGATACCATATCAGCCTAATTATATCTCCTAATAGATAAGGCATTAATGAACATTCTAAGTGGTTTCTGACTAAGGCCTGTGGGTAATTTATATAACGCATATATTTATAGAAGACCTCTTTTTACCAATGAATATATTTACTTCTCAGTGATAAATTTCAAATCGCATAACCAAAGTGTGCAAGCACTGTATAGCAATGTATGTCAAAAGAAGCAACACAGACTAGAATCTTTCCCACATGTATGAATATTCGTAGCTATGTAGATTCAAATAAGAGAAATTGTGCAGCTGTTATTGGCAACTGACTTACCAGTACTTGTAAGGAAGTTAACATTTCTCATTACACCTTCCGTGTAAGCCCCTGGCTCGTAACTGTCCATTTCACCCGTGACGATGTGAGCAACTCTTGCTGCCCGGCCTCTGATAGCACCCGCAGCACGGTCTAAATTATCAGCATCCTGGTCTCTTAAGGCTATGATACACTTGTTGACATCTTCCAAGATATGGCTTTCTGTAAGTAAATGAATCAAATTAGTTTTTGCGTGTGTCTGTGTTTAAAATCATACAAATCTAGCATATTATAATTATGTTAACTTCTGACTTCAGATAGAGTGCACATTGGAAATGGAAGACTTTGAGAATTATAAAAAAATTGGAGACATATTTTGCTTACATCCCTTTATTCTTTAATAGCAAAATCCATGAAATATAACATGTTACATTTTTAAGAGAAATTTGTATTGACTGCATATTATTTTAGATTCTAGTTCCAGTAGATTAGATTTTAGACTGACATAGAGGTGGAAATTAAAGACAGTTTCTAGATTAAAATGAAAACAAAATATGTGATGATGAAATTCTACATCGTGAATGAAAGCAATATTATACAGATTATAAAACTTATATATACATAAGTCTTTTAAAAGATGGATTTAAACAAATGAATTCCAGAGAAAGTTGCCTACTCTGAAGAGTGTCTCCTGACCTCATCCTCTCCATTCTTTAGATGACTAGGCCATGAAGATAGCAGGAAGTTACTATAGCACAGTAATATTTTCTTTCTTCATAAAATGATTAATACTCCCAGCTAAAACTAATGAATGAAGATGCACAAATATGTGGAATATCAACAAACATGGTCAATGATATTTCTAACAAATTGAAAGAATATTAAAAGAATTAGTGTTCTGGCTTCTGGCTTTATCACATGAATCCCCACTTAATATCTTTAACGACTATTTCTTTAAAACACACACAGAAAACAATTATAACAATAAGATCTCAGTAATTCCAGAACATATCATTAATTCTCTTTCTCTCTTTTTTTGTCCCTCTCACTCTCTCTGTCTGTGTCTCTCTGTCTTTCTCTTTCCCAATCTGCTTGTGTATATGTGCTGACTATGTGTGTGTTTGCTACAAAGGACAATTATTCTTCAGTTTTCTTTCAGAGTCACACTTCCCTCTTGTCGTCCAAAAAATAAAATCAGTCTGGGTGTGGTGGCTCACATCTATAATCCTAGTACTTTGGGAGACCTAGGAAGGAGGATGACTTGGGGCCAGAAGTTCAAGACCAGCCTGGAAAACACAGCAAGACCCTTTCTTTACAACAAAATAAATTTAGCCAGGAGTAGCAGCATGTTGCTGTAGTCCTAGTTACTTGGGAGGCTGAGGTGGGAGGATTGATTGAGCCCAGGAGTTTGAGGCTACAGTGAGCTTTGATCATGCCACTACACTCCAGCCTGGGTAATAGAGTGAGGCCCTATCTATCTATCTATCTATCTATCTATATATATATATATATTAAATTAATTATATATAGTTAAAATTTAAATGTATTTATAAACATAACATTATTTAATCATATATGTATTCATATATTTCATAATGATATGTTCCGGAATTACTGAGATCTTACTGTTATAATTGTTTTCTGTGTGTGTTTTAAAGAAATAGTCATTAAAGATATTAAGTGGGGATTCATGTGATAAAGCCAGAAGCCAAAACACTAAATATATCCTAAATATATACGCACCCAATACAGGAGCACCCAGATTCATAAAGCAAGTCCTTAGAGACCTACAAAGAGACTTAGACTCCCACACAATAATAATGGGAGACTTTAACACCCCACTGTCAATATTAGACAGATCAATGAGACAGAAGGTTAACAAGGATATCCAGGACCTGAACTCAGCTCTGCAACAAGCAGACCTAAGAGACATAATTTTTGAAAAAAGAAAATAAAGTCAAACTACCATTGAATATGGTCCCTGTTAACCTTCTGAGATCTGGCTTCTATTATTCTGTTATACATATTTTATGATTTCCAAAATCCTTCATGATCTTCCATGCCTCTGTCCTGTGGGCATATTAGAACCTTGGCCTGAACAGTCTGTCCCCTTTGACCTGCTTGCTCAACTCCTACTATTCTTTCAAGCCACTAGGCAAATGTTCCTGCCTCAGGAAATGCATGCTGACCTCCTCATTCTCTACAACAAAACCAACTTTGTTCCATGTTGTTTAGGATTCACATAAAATGGTTTATGTGCCTCAATTAGAGATTCTACCTGTGTTTTAATTATTTACTTTTAAAAATATCTCTCTAGTAGAATTTGAAATATATCTGAGGGAAAGAATTTTATCTTATTCCTCGAGGTATTCTAAGTAGTACTTGTTATAATACTTGGCACTTGTTAGGCTAACAAGAATGCTTGTTGAATGAATGAATGAATGAATGAATGAAGCTCTCTTATAAGACATTCTTAAATCATGGGCTATGAACCTAAGTGAACACATATCTGTTATCTGAAATTAGATAAATTTAACCCATATTAAGGACATTTAAAGTCACTTATATTAAAAATATTAAACACTGAAAACCTTCATTATAAATTAACTAGGGCTTTAACCTAATTTGCAGCATTCAGTTATGAATGTATCATTAAGCCCTACAGTAAATACAGTCATGGTCCAATCTCAACAGAAAGCATATGTATATTATCATATTTCCCCTGGAACAGAAGTATAGGTTGGACCTTAGAAGGTATAGTAATCATCAATTTTTAAGAAGTCCACAGATGTACACTTTAATGACACATTAAGAAGCTACCATTTTCACCTAACCAAGATGGCCAAATAGGAGCAGCTCCGGTCTGCAGCTCCCAGTGTGATTGATGCAGAAGATGGATGATTTCTGCATTTCCAACTGAAGTACCTGGTTCATCTCACTGGGACTGGTTGGACAGTGGGTGCAGCTCACAAGGGGTGAGCTGAAGCAGGACAGGGTGTTGCCTCACCCGGGAAGCACAAGGGGTCAGCGGATTTCCCTTTCCTAGCCAAGGGAAGCCATGACAGACTACCTGGAAAAACAGGGCACTCCCTGCCCAAATACTGCGCTTTTCCCAAGGTTTTAGCAACCAGCAGAAAAGGTGATTCTCTCCCATGCCTGGCTCAGTGGGTCCCATGCCCATGGAGCCTTGCTCACTGCTAGTGCAGCAGTCTGAGATCGATCTGCGAGGCGGCAGCCTGGCTGGGGAAGGGGAATCTGCCATTGCTGAGGCTTCAGTAGATAAATACAGTGGCCAGGAAGCTCGAACTAGGTGGAGCCCACCGAGCTCAACAAGGCCTACTGCCTCTAGACTCCATCTCTTGGGCAGGGCACAGCTGAACAAAAGGCAGAAGACAACTTTGGCAGGCATAAACGACTCTGTCAGACAGCTATGAAGAGAGCAGTGGTTCTCGTTCTCCCAGCATGGTGGTTGAGCTCTGAGAATGGACAGACTGCCTCCTTAAGTGGGTCCCTGACCTCTGTGTAGCCTAACTGGGAGACACCTCCCAGTAGAGGCCAACAGACACCTCATATAGGCGGCTGCCCCTCTGGGATGAAGCTTCCAGAGGAAGGATCAGGCAGCAATATTTGCTGTTCTGCAGCCTCTGCTGGTGATACCCAGGCAAACAGGGTCTGTAGTAGAACTCCAGCAAACTCCAACAGACCTGCAGCTGAGGGACCTGATAGAAGGAAAACTAACAAACAGAAAGGAGTAGCATCAACATCAACATCAACAAAAAGATCATCTACACCAAAACGCCATCTGTAGGTCACCAACATCAAAGACCAAAGGTAGATAAAACCACAAAGATGGGAAGAAACCAGAGCAGAAAAGATGGAAATTCTAAAAATCAGAGCACCTCTTCTCCTCCAAAGGATCGCAACTCCTCACCAGCAATGGAACAAAGCTGGATGGAAAATGACTTTGATGAGTTGACAGAAGTAGGCTTCAGAAGTGTGGTAATAACAGACTTCTCTGAGCTAAAGGAGGATGTTTGAACCCATTGCAAGGAAGCTAAAAACCTTGAAAAAAGATTAGATGAATGGCTAACTAGAATAAACAGTGTAGAGAAGATCTTCAATGACCTGATGGAGCTGAAAACCATGGCACAAGAACTTCATGACACATGCACAAGCTTCAATAGCAGATTCGATCAAGTGGAAGAAAGGGTATCAGTGATTGAAGATCAAATTAATGAAATAAAGTGAGAAGACAAGGTTAGACAAAAAAGAGTAAGAAGAAATGAACAAAGCCTCCAAGAAATATGGGACTATGTGAAAAGACCAAATCTATGTTTGATTGGTGCACCTGAAAGTGATGGGAAGAATGGAACCCAGTTGGAAAACACTCTGCAGGATATTATTCAGGAGAACTTCCCCAACCTAGCAAGGCAGGCCAACATTCAAATTCAGGAAATACAGAGAACACCACAAAGATACTCCTTGACAAGAGCAACCCCAAGACACATGATTGTCAGATTCACCAAGGTTGAAATTAAGGGAAAAGTGTTAACGGCAGCCAGAGAGAAAGGTTGAGTTACCCACAAAGGGAAGCCCATCAGACTAACAGCAGATCTCTTGGCAGAAACCCTACAAGCCAGAAGAGAGTAGGGGCCAATATTCAACATTCTTAAAGAAAGGAATTTTCAACCCAGAATTTCATATCCAGCCAAACTAAGCTTCATAAGTGAAGGAGAAATAAAACCCTGTACAGACAAGCAAATGCTGAGAGATTTTGTCACCATCAGGCCTGCCTTACAAGAGCTCCTGAAGGAAGCATGAAACATGGAAAGAAACAACTGGTACCAGCCACTGCAAAAACATGCCAAATTGTAAAGACCATCGATGCTATGAAGAAACTGCATCAACTAACAGGCAAAATAGCCAGCGAACATCATAATGACAGGATCAAATTCACACATAATAATACTAACCTTAAGTGCAAATGGGCTAAATACCCCAATTAAAAGACACAGAGTGGCATGTTGGATAAAGAGTCAAAACCCGTAAGTGTGCTGTATTCAGGAGACCCACCTCATGTGCAAAGATGCATATAGGCTCAAAATAAAGGGAGGGAGGAAGATCTACCAAGCAAATGGAAAACAAAAAAAAGCAGGGGTTGCAATCCTAGTCTCTGATAAAACACACTTTAAACCAACAAAGATCAAAAGAGATAAAGAAGGCCATTACATAATGGTAAAGGGATCAATTCAACAAGAAGAGCTAACTATCATATATGCACCCAACACAGGAGCACCCAGATTCATAAAGCAAGTCCTTAGAGACATACAAAAAGACTTAGACTCTCATACAATAATAATGGGAGACTTTAACACCCCACTGTCAATATTACACAGATCAATGAGACAGAAGTTTAACAAGGATATCCAGGACCTGAACTCAGCTCTGCAACAGGCAGACCTAATAGACATCTACAGAACTCTCCATCCCAAATCAACAGAATATACATTATTTTCATCACCACATCGCATTTATTCTAAAATTGACCACATAATGGGAAGTAAAGTACTCCTTAGCAAATCTAAACGAAAAGAAATCACAACAAACTGTCTCTCAGACCACAGTGCCATCAAATTAGAACTCAGGATTAAGAAACTTACTCCAAACAACACAACTACATGGAAAATGAACAACCTGCTCCTGAATGACTACTGGGTACATAACGAAATGAAGGAAGAAAAAAAGATGTTATTTGAAACCAATGAGAACAAAGACACAACATACCAGAATCTCTGGGACACATTTAAAGCAGTGTGTAGAGGGAAATTTTTAGCACTAAATGCCCACAAGAGAAAGCAGGAAAGATCTAAAATTGACACCCTAACATCACAATTAAAAGAACTAGAGAAGCAAGAGCAAACACATTCAAAACCTAGCAGAAGGCAAGAAATAACTAAGATCAGAGCAGACCTGAAAGAGATAGAGACACAAAAACCCTTCAAAAAATCAATGAATCCAGGAGCTGGTTTTTTGAAAAGATCAACAAAACTGATAGACTGCTAGCAAGACTAATAAAGAAGAAAAGAGAGAAGAATCAAATGAACGCAATAAAAATTGATAAAGGGGATATCACCACCGATCCCACAGAAATACAAACTACCATCAGAGAATACTATAAACACCTCTACGCAAATAAACTAGAAAATCTAGAAGAAATGGATAAATTCCTCGACACATATAACCTCCCAAGACTAAACCAGGAAGAAGTTGAATCTCTGAATAGATCAATAACAGGCTCTGAAATTGAGGCAAAAATTAATAGGCTACTAACCAAAAAAAGTCCAGGACCAGAAGGATTCACAGCCAAATTCTACCAGAGATACAAAGAGGAGCTGGTACCATTCCTTCTGAAACTATTCCAATCAACAGAAAAAAAGGGATTCCTCCCTAACTCATTTTATGAGGCCAGCATCATCCTGATACCAAAGCCTGGCAGAGACACAACAAAAAAAGAGAATTTTAGATCAATATCCCTGATGAAGATTGATGTGAAAATCCTTAGTAAAAAACTGGCAAACTGAATCCAGCAGCACATCAAAAAGCTCATCCACCATGATCAAGTAGGCTTCATCCCTGGGATGCAAGGCCGGTTCAACATATGCAAATCAGTAAACATAATCCATCACATAAACAAAATCAACAACAAAAAACACATGATTATCTCAATAGATGCAGAAAAGGCCTTTGACAAAATTCAACAGTGCTTCATGCTAAAAACTCTCAATAAACTAGGTATTGATGGGACATATCTCACAATAATAAGAGCTATTTATGACAAACCCACAGCCCCCAATATCATACTGAATGGGCAAAAACTGGAAGCATTCCCTTTGGAAACTGGCACAAGACAAGGACGCCCTCACTCACCACTCCTACTCAACATAGTGTTGGAAGTTCTGGCCAGGGCAATCAGGCAAGAGAAAGAAATAAAGGGTATTCAGTTAGGAAATGAGGAACTCAAATTGTCTGTGTTTGCATATGAGATGATTGTACTTTTAGAAAACCCCATCATATCAGCCCAAAATATCCTTAAGCTGATAAGCAACTTCAGCAAAGTCTCAGGATACAAAATCAATGTGCAAAAATCACAAGCATTCCTATACACCATTAACAGACAAACAAAGAGCCAAATCATGAGTGAACTCCCATTCACAATTGCTTCAAAGAGAATAAAATACCTAGGAATCCAACTTACAAGGGAAGTGAAGGACCACTTCAAGGAGAGCTACAAACCACTGCTCAATGAAATAAAAGAGGACACAAATAATTGGAAGAACATTCCATGCTCATGGATAGGAAGAATCAATATCGTGAAAATGGCCATACTGCCCAAGGTAATTTATAGATTCAATGCCACCCCCATCAAGCTACCAATGACTTTCTTCACAGAATTGGAGAAACACTACTTTAAAGTTCATATGGAACCAAAAAAGAGCCCACATTGCCAAGACAATCCTAAGCAAAAATAACAAAGCTGGAGGCATCATGCTACTTGACTTCAAACTATACTACAAGGCTACAGTAACCAAAACAGCATGATACTGGTACCAAAACAGATATATAGACCAATGGAACAGAACAGAGGCTCAGAAATAATGCCACATATCTACAACCATCTGATCTTTGACAAACCTGACAAAAACAAGAAATGAGGAAAGGATTCCTTATTTAATAAATGGTGCTGGGAAAACTGGCTAGCCATATGTAGAAAGCTAACACTGGATCCCTTCCTTACACCTTGTACAAAAATTAATTCAAGATGGATTAAAGACTTAAATGTTAGACCTAAAACCATAAAAACCCTAGAAGAAAACCTAGGCAATACCATTCAGGACACAGGCATAGGCAAGGACTTCATGACTAAAACACCAAACACAATGGCAACAAAAGTCAAAATAGACAAATGGGATCTAATTAAACTGAAGAGCTTCTGCACAGCAAAAGAAACTACCATCGGCGTGAACAGGCAACCTACAGAATGGGAGAAAATTTTTGCAATCTACCTATCTGACAAAGGGCTAATATCCAGAATCTACAAAGAACTCAAACCAATTTACTAGAAAAAAAAACAAGTCCATCAAAAAGTGGGCAAAGGATATGAACAGACACTTCTCAAAAGAAGACATCTATGCAGTCAACAGACACATGAAAAAATGCTCGTCATTACTGGTCATCAGAGAACTGCAAATCAAAATCACAATGAGATACCATCTCATGCCAGTTAGAATGGCAGTCATTAAAAAGCCAGGAAACAACAGATGCTGGACAGGATGTGGAGAAACAGGAACACTTTTACACTGTTGGTGGGTGTGTAAATTGGTTCAACCATTGTGGAAGATATTGTGGCGATTCCTCAAGGATCTAGAACTAGAATTACCATTTGACCCAGCAATCCCATTACTGGGTATATATACAAAGGATTATAAATCATGCTACAATAAAGACACATGCACACGTATGTTTATTGCTGCACTATTCACAATAGCAAAGACTTGGAACCAACCTCAATGTCCAGCAATGATAGACTGGATTAAGAAAATGTGGCACATATACACCATGGAATACTATGCAGCCATAAAACAGGATGAGTTCATGTCCTTTTCAGGGACATGGATGAAGCTGGAAACCATCATTCTGAGCAAACTATCACAAGGACAGAAAACCAAACACCGCATATTCTCACTCATTGGTGGGAACTGAACAATGAGATCACCTGGACACAGGGTGGGGAACATCACACACTGGGGCCTGTCAGGGGATGGAGGGCTGGGGGAGGGATAACATTAGGAGAAACACCTAATGTAAATTATGAGTTGATGGGTGCAGCAAACCAACATGGCACATGTATACCTATGTATCAAACCTACATGTTGTGCACATGTACCCTAGAAATTAAAGTATAGTAGTAAAAGAAAGAAGAAGCTACTATTTTCAAGTATATTGGCAAGGTTTCTTTTTTTAAAAACAAATGCAACATATATGTATTCAACGAATGTTTACTCTGTATTCACTAAGGTGTTCAATTTTATATTGTAGAGCTATTTTCTTAGTCCTATAAAAGTGAAAGAATATTTACAGTAAAAACAATGTCTGTTCTTGGAAGATTAATAATATATAATACACTATGTAATTTCTCTTTAATTAAAGATGAAATGATAGCTTGTACAAACTATTTTTTCCCCAGTGAATTTTGCAGAGGAGAAAATATACAAAGAATATTCACTAACAATGAATGAGTAGTCACCTCTTCTGTAGAAGTATGATCTATATGCCCATGAATTTATTATTTAAAGCAGTGAATAAAAATATAGCAAGAATTTTTCTGGTTCTTTTTTTGTTTGGCTTTGCAGAAGGTTGTGTGATTACTGCTCACAATTAAATAATCCTGTCTGAGGCCATAGTGTTAAATCTTGTTGAAGAATTATAGATGTAAGGTCAGATATGGAAATAAAAGTCTTATATAAACATATGATATGAAAAAATTATAAATAAAATAACGAAAAGAAGCTATAACCAGACTTAACCCAAAGCAGCTATAGTAAGAATATTAGAGAAGATGTGTAAATGATCTTTGAAATTACTAAGATTAAATATAGCACAAAATAATTAGAAAAGGTTCACAAAGTTTGTATTACTGTGACACGTTCCCATTACCCTGAATGCTTTACAGAATGCTAGGAACAACTATTTGCATGAAGCTCTAAACATAGAATGCCCGAAAAAGAAAATCAAAATGTTAGGTACCTCCCACATATGCACAATAACTAAACATTAAGCAACTTCTTAAAAATGATTATTTCTCTGCTATTTATATTTCTGGTGAATTTAAGTGGCTAAAAGAACTTCATGAAGGCTTGAGCTTTTATGCCTAGCTACACAGCCTTTAAACTTTTAGGAAAGAAAAAAAATGCCAAATACCTTGTATACAACTTCCTACTGTTGAATCTCTTTAGACTTTGCTTCTGATGGAATGGGTTTACTCTTTAAACACAGCAAAAGTCATTTGGTTCTCTCCTCAAAAATTTTTTTTTTCTGAAGTAGATGCACTTGAACTCAACAAATGCATCATTTTTAAAATGAGGTTAAAAGAAAGAGAATATGTTATTATAGAACAAGCACATTTAGAATATTATGTTTTGAAGGATTGTCACATAGTGAAGATTTTTCTTAACAGCTTCAGAGTATCAGCTTAACATTTGCTCTGAGGTGAGGGGTGGAATGTCCTGGTGTTAGCGTAAATGCTGAAATGCATTCATTTAAGAGCAGACAATTGGTGAATTATTAGCAATTTCTATCAATCATTTTTATAGCCATCTTGAGATGCAAAGGGTGATTTCTATTTTGTTGGAAAATAGTAATACATGGGATAATAAAGGAATTGATGTTTTACTAAAAGATACTTTGTTTGGTGCAAGCTTCTCTGGCTAACTCCATCTTCAGTCACCACAGGAAGTGTAGCACAATAAAATTTTGAAATGCATTTTTAAAATTATAATTTTTTCTAGTTGTTCAGTTTCATTCATATATATATATGGAGAGAGAGAGAGAGAGAGAGAGAGAGAGAGAGAGATAAGGTCTCCTTCTATCACCCAGGATGGGGTACAGTGCCATAATCATAGCTCATTGCAACCTCAAACTCTTGGGCCCAAGTGATCATTCCACCTCAGGCTCCCAAGTAGCTAGAACTGCAGGAACTCACCGCCATGCCTGGCTGTTTTAATTTTTTATAGAGACAGGGTCTTGCTACGTTGCTCAGGCTGATATCGACCTCCTCGCCTCAAGCGATTCTCCTACCTCAGATTCCCAAAGTGTTGAGATTACTGGAGTGAGCCCCTGCACCTGGCCAGTTTTCAACAGTTAAAGCCAGAATTTAAAGGTCAAATCTATTGCCCCAGGGAAAGTAGAAAACAAACAAAATTCAGTGAAAACAAAATGTTAAATCACTGGCTTTCTACAGCCAAAGTAGAATTTTATAAATCTATAGTCCAGAGAACAGACTGAAAGTAGCAGCACATTTTGTTTGCAAAAGCTAGATTGGTTCAGAGGTAAAAGTTTCTCCTTTTAATTCCTGAAGTGGGACTTTGAATACATCAACAGCAAAGCCTTAAGGGGAAGAGAGTTTATGCTATAATCCATCAAGCAAGAAATGATACACTATCAACAGTTTCCTCCCCTGATATCTACATACACAAGAAAAAGATTCAGAGAAGGGAAGAAGAGAGAAAAAGATATTAACTAGTTTTTCTGGAGAAACTGAGTTATAATGCAAAATCGATTGAATTTTCTAAATTGTCAAGATTAATTCTAGCTACCCAGTGTATATGAGCTAAGAGACTTAAGCTAAATTTAATTATAAAAAAAAGTTTCCATTTTTGCATACCTGGCTCCATAGCTATAAATTAAAAACACATTACATAGGCAACTACATAAATGTTCAACAAATAAAAACAAGAATACAGTAATTTTTCTTTCCCATTTACCCAACATACATGAAACTAAAAAGCAAATAGAATGCATTAGTGTGTGAGTTAATTGTTGCTTATCTATGTACTTACAGAATTTGTTTGTCAGGAGTTTGACTATGATGATTGGTTTCCAAATTAAATAATATCCCACAGAAAGATCTAAGCAAAAACTAGCTTGAGAATACAGAGTATGCATACAGTTAAATGTAAAATGTAAAGTCCCTTCTTCCTCTTTACCTCCTAAATCCTTTCTTCTGTCTCTTCTTTCCAAAGTCTTAATATATGTTAGAAAATGTAGACGATATAAAAGATAAAGTACAGTCCCTGTCTGCAAAGGATTCACAATCTAGTAACCAGAAAATAAAGCACTTTGTATTTTATTGTCTTTTATTCCGCCCAATACAATAGTCAAAATTGTAGTCACTTGGTAATTTTACAAAAGTTTTGTTAAACTTTAACAAAATTTGCCCAGTTTCTTTGCACTGAAAGCTGCTTATTCTTTCGCTTTTAGACAGCTCGAATTTAGTTGACTTACTTTTGAAAATTATTGAAAGAAAAATAAAGTCCAATATTGCTATTTACAAGCCAATTATCAACAATACTTATACAAACTCTGCAGCACTTATTCACACACAATTCTATAGAAGAACACACACACACGAAAAAAAAGAAAGTCATTGAAGGCTTCATATTTCTCTCAATATGTCTTAAGTAGGCTCTTGTAACAACTTGTGTAGTTGTTAAGAAATTTATCAAAGCTTGGAAACAGAAAAAATGGACTATTGCTTGTCCTTTTAATGTCCTGTTGAACAGACATTGCAATCAGGCCCACCTGGCAAATATCTAATTCTCAAGGAGTGTGTATCTTTGTTCCACTTGCTATTAGTGTCGATCAGGATATTTTAAAACTCTGTAAGAGTTAATGCTCTTTAAAAAAAAATTTGATGACCATGTAAATGATTCTTGTTACAAAAAGTGTTATTTTTGTAGAAAAGATAATCCTAAAGGCTATAGCTTCATTGCTCTGTAGGACATTAACCAGTTTTGTTTCTAAATGAGAAATTTTATTGAACCATTCTTTATCTAAATTTTTTAAACAAGGCTTATCATTTTAGCGCCTCTCAAAAATAAATTTTTGACACATGCTCATGTTAAATTTGTAAAACTCAGGCTTTCAAATTTATAAAATTATCCATAGACTGTACACCTTGACTTGGAAGCTACTGATTTTTCAATTAGAGTGCTATCCAGAAGAAAAGATATAAAGCAAACATTTTATGTTAAATCATAAACCTACATTTAAAATGCAGTACTACAAAGCTTCTGTAAGATAACAGAGGAGAAACTCTAGGTGATCTTGGGTTTGGCAAGAACTTTTAAAATATAACACCAAAAACATAATTAACAATTTTTTTACAAAAAAATGAATACATTGGACTTCGTAAAAATTTAAAACTTCTACTCTGCAAAAGACACTTAAAAGAATAAAAAGATGCTGGGCATGATGGCTCATGCCTGTAATCCCAGCACTTTGGGAGGCTGAGGAGGGCAGATCACAAGGTCAGGAGTTTGAGACCATCCTGGCCAGTATGGTCAAACCCGTCTCTACTTTAAAAATACAAAAATTAGCCAGGAGTGGTGGTCCACACCTGTAGTCCTAACTACTCGGGAGGTTGTGGCAGAAGAATTGCTTGAACCTGGGAGGTGGAGGTTGCAGTGAGCAGAGATCGCTCCACTGCACTCCAGCCTGGGTGACAGAGTGAGACCCCTTCTCAAAAAACAAAACAAAAAAAAGAATAAAAAGCCACAGACTGGAAGATAACATTTGCAAAACACCTATCTGATGCACGACTGGTATCAAGGATGTACAAATAATTCTTAAAATTCAATAATAAGAAAACAGCTCAATTAAAAAATGAGCAAAAGATGCGAGCAGACACCTCACCAAAGACATACAGATGACAAATAAGGACACAAAAACATGGTCAACATTGTTTATCATCAAGGAATTTCAATTCAAAACAACACATGGCCCATCTATTAGAATGACTAAAATTTAAAACACTGATAACACCAAACACTGGTGAAAATGTAGAGCAATAAGAACTCTCGTTCATCGCTGAAGAGAATGTAAAATGACATTTTGGAAGACAGTTTGGAATGCCACTTTGGAAGAAATTTCAGCAGTTGCTTACAAAAGTAAACATACTTCTACTATACAATCGAGCAACCATACCTTGGTATTTACCCAGATAAATTTAAAACTTACGTTCACACAAAACCTGCACATGTGTCTTAATAGCAGTTTTATTTGTAATTGCCAAAACTTAGGTGTAACCAACATGTTCTTCAGTAGATGAATGGATAAACTGGAACGCTCAGTCAATGGAATGTACAAAAAGCGATGAAAAATGATACATCAAGCCAAGAAAAGACATGCAGGAAATTTAAATGCATACTGCTAATGAAAGAAGTCAATCTGAAAGGCTACATACTGTATGATTGCAATTACATGTCATTCTGGAAATGGCAAAGCTACGGGAACAATAAAATTCCTAGGGAGGGTAAAATGTATAGGTAGAGCGTAGGGGATTTTTCCAGATGGTAAAACTATTCTGTGTAATACTGCAGTGGTGAATACACATTAATATACATTTGTCAAAATCCATAGAATTTACAACACAAGGTGAAGCCTACTGTAAACGGTAGGATTTACATAATAATAATGTATCAGTATTGGTTCATCAATAGTAACAATAAAGGATGTTCTTCAAACATTCTACATTCAGTGTCAAGTCCATTTTAGACCTTAAATAAGCACTGTTCAGCTTCTAAAATAGGAATAAAAATATTCAATTACATACATTATTTACAGATGTCTACCAACAATGAAGTAGGAATTGTGAACATACTACAATTTTCTGAGAATATAACTAAGAAAAAGTTTGGTCCTATTCTTTCCCCAAGTTTCTAGCCTTCACACAGTAACACCTTCTGGTTGTCAACTGGTTTCTTGGAGTTTTTAACAAATACTGTTTGAGTCTCTCTTCTTTTCCAGGCACTGTGTTGGGTAACATATACATAAGATTTTGTTTAATTCTCATAATAATTCCAAGAGATAGATCTGTTACATTTCATTTTTATAGTTGGAGCAAAATAGAGCCTTTGAGCTGATAAATATGTTCTCAAAATTCACAAAGTTATAGTAATTTGAGTCATAACTCAAAATCAAGGTTTATCTAACCTGCTAAGTTTCTATAAAAAATGCTAAAGTCTCATCTGACTTCAAGATAAGGTGATTCTATAATTATATTATTCAGCTATTCCAAATGTATAATGGGAAGGGAAAATCATAGGTTTAAAATATTTTCTAAATTTTATAGAAATGGTACAAAAGATTGTTTATGCTATAGTAATCTATAGCTGAATGCATTATAAGTTTTCACATTAATTTTCATTGAGCATAAGATAATCATCTATGCATTTTAGAAGGATAATTTTAATTCTGCAAAGCTTACATTGACTATGCTCTGGTAATGTTAACATTCTGGATCTGTAATAAGGAGCCATCATAGCTAGAGGGAACTTCAAGTATTCTAGAGACATCACCAGGAAGGTGGCCATAGAAGAATAAATAAACAAATGAAGTTTAGTGCCTTAGCTACTTAGCTATTCTGGTGTAGGAGCTAAAGTCTAAGTTATTGCATTTTATGCCATTCTTATCCTGACAAAATAAACAAACAGAAAAAGTGAAACAAACCTTAGGCATTCTCACTCAGACCATACTCTTTTCCATCAACTCCTCTACTACTGAGCTTTTTCATGTTAATTGTCCCATTGCTTCCTCTCCCACAGACTGAGAACCTATTAACATCTAATAACAAAGCACTGGGTTAAAAAAAAAAAAAAAAAAAAAGAAGAAGAAATCTTTCAGGATATTACCAGACTGAGCATCAGGACTGTCAGCAGGAACAGACAGTAGTGAGCAATTCTCCCATATTATGCAATAAAACCATTCAAGTCTTGCACACTGGATGCTAATGTTGAATGCCTCTGTTGCTCGATTGTCTTATAAAAAAACAGTCAGTATTCAATCGGGTATTATTCCTTTCTCATAGTTCAAAATACAGAACAACTTGAGTGTCCAAATATAAAATCTGTGCTTTTGGACACAGAAAAGCAAATCCCAGTACTGTTTAAAATAACCCCCTAGAGGTATATGACACATATAGCAGAAAAGAAACCCTAAACAAATAAAGTACAATAAATGCAAATGCACAGATAGAATGCAAATGTACAGATAAAATTAAGAATAAATGAGTTGCTGATAACCTGGTAAATTTTACTAAGTTTTTATTTATTTTTTCCCCTCAGAATAATAAGTATATACACAGCTCAATTATCTTTACTACCTTCGAAAATACAGTATCTCTCCACGTGGGAAAAAAAGGCTAACAAAAGAGAAGAAGACTATTAGTAGATATACGTCTTAGGGAAGTTCACTTTCCTAGTCAATGAATTAATTTTAAAGTCAAGTACAGCATTCTTTTGCTGAAATTCATTTTTCTCTTATATTTTGCTCAGAGGTGCACAAAAATTGTCAGAACAGATCCCTCTCTATGAGACAAATTCTCTTCAGCATCATTTGTAATTGCTTCAAGGAAACCATAACTAAAAACTTGAATTTTCCACAGGTATGACAAAGGAGGAGTCCATGAGGTTAAAAGCAAACACAAGGTATGACTTTTTCCATGCCCAAATCGGTATCATTCACAAAATATTCTGTATCACCCTGATTGTTTTTATCATATGTAAATTGCTATAAAACTACATGGAATTGGACAACAAATTACAAAGACTAATAAAAAAATACAAGGCAAAAAGATATGGCTTAAAAGGTACCATGTTTTCAGGAATTCAATGTGGTTCATCTTACCTCAGATTTCCAAAAAGTCTGTACTTATTATTTACCTTTCCATGAAGTTTCTCCATGAACCTGCCACAAAGCTTTCTAGAAGATTCTCTAACAGATCCTAATCATAGCCATTCTGTAACCTCTGAACAAGATCCCAATTTCACCAGCATCAGTAATTGTTCTCTTAAGAGTTCTCTATTTCTTGATACTCTCTGTAATTTTTATTTATTTATTTATATTGTTTCAGATTCAGGGGTTTCATGTGCAGGTTTGTGTAATGGTGAGGTTTGGGCTCCTAGCATACCCATCACCCACGTAGCAAAAATGGTACCCAATAGGTAATTTTTCAATTCTTGCCCCACTCCTACCCTTCCCCCTTCTGGAGTTTGCGTTGTGTGTTATTTCCATCTTCATGTCTACATGTACCCATTGTTTAGTTCCCACTTGTAAGTGAGAACTTGTGGTACTTGATTTTCTGTTTCTCAGTTATTTCACTTAGATTAATGCCCTCCAGCAACATTTATATTGCTGGAAAAATATATGATTTCATTCTTTTTAATGGCTGCATAGTATTCCATGCATATACCATATTTTCTCTATCCAATCAAATAATAGAATACAAAGATATGTATTTATATACTATTAGCTTTCTAATTTAACTCTGAAAGCATATGCAGGAGCCAAAATCTTATTGAACTGAATAAACTATACTTATTTAGATATTAAAAGAGGGATACTAAAATTCCCTTTTAGTTATATTGAACCAGTTTTATCCTAATACATGGAATGTAATCAGGCAAAATAATTAATGATGTAGTTTACTAAACTTAATTTTAAAAAGTATTGAAATAACTTAGTACAATTTTCAAGGATTAAAATGTTAAGAGAGTAATTATATTTTCGCCTCAATTATAAATTGGGCATCCACATGAAAGTGACACCTTAGGCTTCTGACATGTATTAAAACCTTGTAAATGAACTCAGTTTACAGCAGATCTAGAAATGTTTATGAGTAATTTAACCACAGCTTCCCAACAATTCATTGGAATAGTTATTAAGCATTTTAAAGAAATGAGTTTATGGATGGGTAGAGTTAGATCAGGAAATAATAGTTCCCAAATTATCACCCTCAAGCAATTCCATTTCTAGTAAATAGTCCCCAAATTACCATCCTCAAAGAAATTCCATTTCTAATAAAGAAGATGCTTTTCTATGCACACATAAGTTTACAGATTCATGTCAAAATAAAATTTAAACCACAGCTACTGATTGAAGTGAAACAATGATTTTAATTTATAATGCAAACTAACCATTGGTAAACACAAATAATAACTTTATTTAATAGAATATAACAAACCAATATAAGCTTTTCACTTATAAAGTAATTAAATTACATAAAAAGATGCTTATGACATAATTTTAAGTGAAAAAAATCAGGCTATGTATCTATTAAATAGGACCCTCATTTAAAATTCATATATTTATTTCTCTACAATATAGCATATAATTACATACATTTTAAGAAAAATATATGGAAGGAAATTTCCAAACTCCTAATTGTAGTTTTCAATAAATAGTGGCATTATGAGTAGTTTTTATTTTTTAAAGCATTGATATATTTTCCATAAAATAATATTGCATGCAGTAATATACATGCATTACTATTGTAAGATACTATTAAAATTATACTCTATCCTTGATTAGCCATTGTTATTAAACAGAGAACTCTTATAGCTAAGGCTTAGGGAACTAAGCAAACTACCATTTATTAACATTTATATATTGCTGAAGTAAATATAACATTGATACCCACAGATAAAGCTTAACATCCTTAGTTCTTCCAGTATTGTTTTCCTCTCTCTCTTTGCCCACCAAATGATAGTAATTCCAAACTAATATTTTCTATTTAATTAGTACTCATATATATATTCACATGGTATATTCATTCATTCAATATCTCTTTCATTGAATAATGATATATTCATTTTAATGAGTATTTGCAGAGTTCCTACTACAAGGTATTTTGTGAGGTGTAGAGAAATTTCAAGATAAATAACTCACTGTCTTTGCTTTAAAAGAACTCACAGTCTAGTCGTAGAAATAAGCAACTAAAGAAATGACTCCAAGGAACATGATAAATGCCATAATGTACATGGGTAAACAATGCTAGACCATTTATTTTTCCAATGACATACTTACTTTTTCCACATGTGTACATCATTGCATTATGTACCGTGAGTTGTCCCACTGGGATCAGACTGATCACAATGTGTATATCTTGGTCTTTATGAAAATAATTTTTTAAAAGTTTATTGTGTATTTACAAGTTCCTGGGTGATTGTGGGAGTAGGGGTGGGGCAATTTTCCCATCAAAATAATAAGTATATGTTTAATAGGCATTGCTGACAACAGCTATTAAGAGTTTGAAGACAAGTAATTGACTTACTGTGAGAGTTATTACTAGAGTAATATTTATATAAAAGATATTTTAGTAAGAGAGTTTTATGTTACATAACCAATTTACAAATATTATTTTATCACATGGCTTATTGTTTATATTCTCTTTCTTTTCTTTGCACATTTTAAGTATTTTCAGTTGGCTCTTTCACAACTTGCAAAGTACAATTCGTGGCCTTTGTGTACAAGATTTCAGTTTTGTTTAGATCAGATTTATGAAAAGAGTGGCATGAAAATTAAAAATCTTCCCTGTTAAAGATAGGAACACCAATAGTTCTCTTATTTCCTAATTATGTGCTCAAGAACAAATTTTTTGTCTCATACAGAAACTTGGAAAGTGAAAATTGGCATGAATAGCAGTCATATGCCCAGCAGTTACAACAATTGCATGGGATCAGTGTAATGTATCTATGGTATTGTATTTAGAAGAAATTCTTGCCAGGACTCAAACATGATGAAAGACAGTAACGCATAGAACACACAACCATATAATAAGGATCACAGTAGGAGAAACCAGTGGACGTACTGTAATGAGGCCAGTGATAATAAAATCAGGAAGAAAGGTAACATGACGGCAAAAACACTGATAGAAATGAGAGGTACAGTATGGAAAAGATAGATAAAACATGAAACAGAACACTTTTTTTTAGTGCTAAGACTAAATTAAAATCAGAGAAATTATAATCTTCTCTTTTACTCAATTCAAGATCTTGAATGAAGATATGAAATTTCTTTTAAAAATGCAAAGAGTGCAGTTAGCCTACATAGCTTATTCTCCTTTTAGTTCTAAACCTCCACTGTCAGACCATCTAATCAAACCATCTTGCACAAATTCAGTGTTATTATCTCAGCAACCTTGCCTGGAAGGCCATTCCTTGCATTTAAGCATCTCTGCATGAAAAACAGATTCACAACATCTGGTCTGATTTCCTTTTACTTTAGTTTTCATTTTGTTGCCTCTTTGATTTTATTTCCTTTTCCAATCATGTCTGTTGAACTGAAAATAGTAATTTCACTGATATCTATGTTCTTTATTTCACTTCCTATTTTTAGGGTTAGAGGTCTACCCTGTTGCTTAAGGTTAGATGTAAAATAATAATCTGGGTGACTATAATTACCCTTGCTTTCTTCATACAATTTCAAATGTTGACATAAGCTTTGTTTTCTTATAGTATTATTCACACCAGACACCTGAGTTAAAATTGACTGTGAATATTTTCTCAATGCTGTGTATCCATGGGCTCTGATTTATTTTCCTTTCCTGCATCTGGTTGCCTCTTGTGTCTTCTGCACTAGTGAATTTTCAACATTTTAAGAAAGAAACTGATCACTTAGAACAATATTATTTTAACAGAAAAAAACCACAAGAGATATATAATATTATAGCCTGAATGATAAACATAATACTTGACTTTGACAGTCAAGAGTAAGTAAATGCGTGCATATGGCACCCTACATTCCATCCTAATTTATTCTGTGGTATATGCGTGTGAAGTGAAGATGCTATATATTATAAAATCACATTAAAGGAACTAAATAAGAACTGGACTATTTTTCTCACACTTACTCTGTCATCAGCTATCAAAGCCAAAATGCAAAATTCCTTTGTTCCTTATCCTACTATACAGATCTATGCTGTCATCTAAAAAACATTGCTGTATAAGACCTAATATCATTATATTTTCAATGAATAGTTATATGTAGTGAATTTAATCATGTTCCAGTGATACTGCTTTCTCTATAACTGGCTTATATGACATATGTTCAGCTCTTTAAGTGTTAATTTTTATAATTTGCTGTCAGGTGCCAAGAAAGAATATATCCCCTGATATGGATAATGTCACTTCTCTGTCCCAACAAACCTAAATTTATGCCACTTGTTTATAAGTTGTTTATGTCAAAATTATCTCCTTGTCAAAACAGCAAACTTAGAAGATGAACTCCTAAATATAATAATAATTTACAATGGCTTAAAAAAATTAAGATCCTAAAGGCATACACATATGCATATTCACACAGACATATATGTGTGCATACATACATATGCTTTTTATAGCCTATTAAATTTAGTATTTATAAGAATAATCCTGAAGCTAAGAAGCTGATAAAAAATGAAAACAAAACAAAGAATCAAAACATGTTTACAAAGAAAATATAAAAAATAGAAAAGAAGAATACAAATAAACCAACCATAAGGTTCAAGAGAATTACCATTAATATCCTACAGATTTGTCACTATGCTTTCTGGCAGCCAAGGCAAAAGAGAAACATAATCTGTTGGAACATGAGATAATTAGTAATTTTTATCATTTGCTTTTTATGTAACTTAAATATTCTCTTTGTCAAGCTCTTTTGCCCCAGTGGATAGCTTTGAAGAGCATATATTATAAATGGGTTATTGACTGAGGGGCCTAATGGCAAATGAAATCAATATACCCACACTAAGCACTTCAAGCTGTCGATATTGGCATGTGTGAGAAAGAGTGATATATATAGATATAGATATATAGATATATACACATAATACACATATTCATAAGTGGCAGCTCTATTTCCACCTCTCTCCCATGTCAATTCTATAACTGCATGTCATAGGTAATTTGGAAACAAAATCTCTGGTAGCTTTATCCCTCTCTTCCCTGCTATAATATAAACTTGTCTCATCAAGAAATGTTTGAGCTGACTCACTTTACTTATTTCTTTCAATAGATAGATAGCTATATCTATCAATTTTATTTTATTGCTGATTATTCAACTTTTGATACCTATTTTCTCTTCCAACAGCTTCATATAAAATCAAGGAACTCTTTGACTTCCCTATGAATGAATATGCCTTACTAGTATAATTGGGTGTGTCATATACAAAGACAACACAGACATAGAAATAAGCCTGGTACCTACTGTCTGATAAGTACTGGGAGTATTCTGAATTGGAAAATGGGGACTATGATCATTCTGAAAAGACCACAGGTATGTCATAATATAGAGAAGCAATCAGATAAAGAGAGGCATTAACATATAGATAAATTATGTGGCCTTATTGTTGTTTGACTAAATTATGAGTCCTTGAGTGTTGTTTTGGCTTTGCTGCTTACCAGTTCTATAAACTTAGATATAGTGTTAACCATAAACTTGCATTTCCTCATTAATAAAATGGGGTTAATAAGATTTACAGTCTCTGAGACAGTTGTAAGAATTAAATAAAAATATACATATAGTCCGGGAGCAGTGGCTTATTCCTATAATCCCAGCACGCTGGGAGGCTGAGGCAGGGGATTGTTTGAGGTCAGGAGTTTAAGACCGGCCTGGCCAACGTGGAAAAACCTTGTCTCTACTAAAAATAAAAAAATTAGCCATGGATGGTGGTGTGTCCCTGTAATCCTAGCTACTCCAGAGGCTGAGGTGCAAGAATCACTGAAGTGGAGGTTGCTGTGAGCCAAGATCGTGCCACTGCACTTCAGCCTGGTGACAGAGCTAGACTGTGTCTCAAAACACACACACACACACACACACACACACACACACACACACACAGCATAGTAGCTGGCATTTAGTAGGCATGCAAATATTGATTGAATTTTGATTTTACTTTTGCAAGTTGGTTCCATCATTAAATTATTCCATTTCTTTCTTTTTTTTTTTTTTTTTTGAGATGGAGTCTTGCACTGTTACACAGGCTGGAATGCAGTGGTGTGATCTTGGCTTACTGCAACCTCCGTCTCCCAGGTTCAAGTGATTCTCCTGCCTCAGCCTCCCAAGTAGCTGGGATTACAGGTGCCCACCACCACACCCAGCTAATTTTTGTAGTTTTAGTAGAGACGGGGTTTCGCCATGTTGGCCAGGCTGGTCTCAAACTCCTGACCTCAGGTGATCCACCTGCCTCAGTCTCCCAAAAGTGTTGGGATTACAGGCATGAGCCACCATACCCGGCCTCTTTTATTTTTTAGTGGTAAATAGAAATTTAGTTGTAAATAGATAGCTCCACCGATAGTGAGGTTAAAATGCTCAAAGTGGAAAATGCTCATGAGACAAAATAATAACTGATTTCATCTCACATGAATGTGAAATACCTCAGATAAAATTCATTTGTTCAATATAATGGTTATTATTTCATGCTGTATTTTATATTACTCATAATTCAAGGAACATAAGAAAGTAATCACTAACCCAACAGATATACAATATTAAAGAGACTGTACTGAATTAAATTAGTTGCATTTTTTATTATGAGAACCATTGATTAGATGCATAGAGTTTATTAATCCTCTGGCTGTTCAACCCTCTTTACCTGTATATTTCCCTGCTGACTGTGATTTCCTTGAGGAAAAACACTTTGTCTTCTTCATTTATTAAATGTTCAGTACCAAAAAGAGTGTCAGGAATACAATAAGCGTTCAATAAAAGTTGTTCAAATGAACCAATATCATACATTGGCTTTTTCTTACATTTTTATTTCATTAATTACTTTGTAAATTATTTTCAGTTTACTCATATGTCAATATATTAACAGTTAACAGAGACCTGAAATATTATTGAGATAGAGCAGGGATACCACTTTTTAAAAGCCTATGGATCTCAATCATGGACATAAAGACAAATGCTGAGTTTCTAGGATGGAAATTCTAGGAACCTAGTTAGTCCTAGAAATAAATAAGGAAAATAAGGAACTTGTTAAACAAGAAGATAATCGTAGCCTAAAACAACAGCCAAGGAAGTTAGAGTTCCAGAGATGCTTGCTTTCTGCATAGAAACTTATGGTAACATCTTAATGTCACTGAGTTGTCTTTCAGAAACTTGGACCCCCACAGGGAACCCCCCACCTAAGGGATCCACTGGCATGAAGACCTCAGATAAGGGGAAGTGAAGACTGAACTTTAATCATCATATTTGTTCCAAGTTTTTTCCCGAGGGCCTTGGAGAAAGTCACTCCCCCTACCTAGTTAACATTTTTCTACTCACTCCAATTCTTAAACAAACTTCTCTGCCTTAACCAATTGCAAATCAGAAAATCGTTGAATCTACCTATGACCTGTAAGCCCCTGCTTCAAGAAATCCCACCCTTTTAGGCCTAAACCAATGTGTAACCTCCATGTATTATTTATGATTTTGCCTGTATCTTCTGCTTTCCTGACATTTACCCTTGCCTTTAGACAACCTTGTGTGCAAGCCATCAAGGAGATCAGGATTTGAGCATTTAGCTGCCTGGTCCTCCTTGCTTGGCACCCTGCAATGAAAGCCTTTCTTTCTATCACTATCCTGGTGTAGATATCTGGTATATTAGTCCATTCTTACACCTCTATAAAGACATACCTGTGACCAGGTAATTGATAAAGAAGAATTGTAATTGACTCACAGTGCCACATGGCTGGGGAGGCCTCAAGAAACTTAAAATCATGGCGGAAGGTGAAGGAGAAGCAAGCACTTCCTACATGGAGGCAGGAGCAGGGGCAACTGCCAAACACTTTTAAACCATCAGATCTCATGAGAACTGACTCACTATCATGAGAGCAGCATGGAGGGAACTGCCCCCATGATCCAATCACCTTCCACCATGTCCCTCCCTCAACACACGGGGATTACAATTCAAGACGTAATTTGGGGGGAGACGAGCCAAACCATATCACCTCGTTTTACTGCACAGGGTGAGCAGACCCCAGTTTGGTCCTAAAACGGTATTTGCAAGACAGCTACTGTACAATCCGCTTCATTAATAAACTGCCCTTGCAAAATCATGACAGTAAGAGAAATCTGACATACTTGACTCCATCTTGCTTCTGACCTCTAAGCTGTGCTTGGTCATTCCTGGGCATCAGCCAAGCTAACTTTGCGAGGAATTTATAGTTTAACTTTGAAACAAAAATGATAATATTCCTTCCCTAAAACTAACTCCTCCTTGTTTGGAGACTGAAACTGTCTTTGTAAGACTGAGAGGCCACAAGATAGATGTAATTTCTAAAATCGCTTACTGATCAGGAGTTATGTGGTCAGGAGTCAAGATTTGTGACCTTCTCAATTGCTCCTACAGATAACATCACTACTGTAGAACCTCAGATTTTTTTTTCCAGATGTTTTTCAGACTAACCCCAACTGGACTCATGACTCTTGAATTTACTGGTCTTGTGGCCTCACTCAGAGGCAGACTCAGTACCTGAGGACCGTTTTCTACACCTTTATGATTTTATCCTCAACCAATCAGTAGCACCCATAACCTAAATCCTTGACCACCAAATTGTCCATTAAAACCCCCTAACTTCCAAGCCTTCAGAGAGGCTGATTTGACCAACAGCCCAGGTTCTCTTACATGGGCCAGCTTCAGGTCAATTAAACTCGTTCACTACTGCAATGCTGTGGTCTCAGTAGTTTGATTTTGTTTGTGCAGCAGACAGAAAGAACCTGTTACATGATTGACTAAACTCCTAGCGCATACTTATTGAGATTCTATTGTGTGCTGGGCACTTGGCTAATTTCAAGGTAAAGCGTAACAGTACTTTTTAATGTCCTGACTGTCTTGAGCTTAAAGTCCTTTAAGAGAAAGAGATATTAAATTAAATAATAAGTATAAAAGTAACAACACTTTGCCTAATGTTATTTTAGAGAACAACTTATGAATACATTCACATAAGATGTTTAAATAAGACACTTTAGGTCAGACTTCTCCAACCTGCAGCCCTGTGGCCCAGGACAGCTTTGAATGTGGTGTAGTTCAACACAAATTTGTAAACTTTCTTAAAACATTATGAGGTTTTTCCTGTGGGTTTTTTTTTTCACATAGTCTATCATTAGTATTAGTGTATTTTATGTGTGGCCCAACACTTCTTCTTCCACTGTGGCCCAGGGAAGCCAAAAGATTGGACACCCCTGCTTTAGATCCATGAAAAATGGTTAGGGGCAGAACATTCCAAAGAGAGGGGAGATGTGGGAGAAGTAAGCGTGATATCCTAAAGCCAGGGCGAGTTTGGTGGAATTGTATAATCATCTCCTGCCTTTGCCCTAAGGCCAGGGTGAGTTTGGTAGGAAGAAATACAGAAGAGTTAAGCAACTATCTAAAGGATGCTGTTTCAATAGTATGATCAATCAGAGTTTAACATTATAATGGACACAGAATGAGTGTCTTTATACAGATTCCAGTGAATTTATTTGGACTCTAAAAATGTTTAGAGTCAAATAACCATGATTGCACTCCTTGCTACACAGCTCTGGCTTAGATCTAATCAAAGTTTTTGATAGACTGCTTGACACAGAAAACTATGGTTGTGGTGTTAAATTATGTGATTTATATTAAATAAGTGACCTGATGTCTAGAACATAATGTGTTCTCAATAAATTTATTTATTAACAATAAATTGCGTTAATATTCCAACTAATAAATTATTTAAGAAAAATATGTCGAATAGAGTGCTAAATGATTGTAGTCAACTAACTTTAAACAGTGCATCTAATTTCAGTGTTTCCTTTTTAAGATTGGCTCAAAATGAGGTACACTGACCCCCATCATTGCCATTTGCATTCATTTATATCCAGTGTTCTTCTCTTATATATGAGTAATATAAGAATCCTATATATCTTTCTAACTTGAAACCACAAAAACATCTCCTGAACTTTTCCTCTGGTGGTTTGCTTTGGGTAGCACTACCAACTCAATTTCCTATTCTTTTGCTGCATATCATATTTGAGCCATACATCATAATGTACTTGACTCAGATGTCTGGTGTTCCTGTCCTATGCTGCACTAGCTTGCAAGGTCTTGCTTTTTCTTGACAACCTGCCTCTTAAAACAGATTTCAAACTAAACCTCCTGGTTTTGTAATTTGATCCAAGTCTACTCCCTTGGACAGAATATCAGTAACAGGATTTGCCACATCTTTTCCTTTCAGCCATACTGACTACCAGGGTGGAAATAGTCATATTTTGAAAGCAGCATCCTTTCAGACTGCTTTGTCCGCTTATATATACATTTTAACTCTTTAGTTTCACTCCACAGTGGAAAGAGAGAGGCAAAAATGGGTTTCTCTGAAATTGCTATCAGCAGTGTTATCTCTCTTCAAGAAGAATAAAAAAAGGATCTTATTAAATGGCAGTTAATGACAATGAAAAAAGGGATCTGAGAACTAATGAAAATAATTTTGAGGAATATTCTCTAACTATATGCATTATCTTGGCTCCCAAAGAAGACCCACCTCCACTTTTGAGGACCATCATTTAGAATGGGCATGAAACATAACTCAGTGGTTTGATGAAGAAGTGATGATTGAGATTCTTTCATCTCTTCATTTTTAGGCACTGTTTTTCATCACCACCACAAAGAATAAGAATGGAATACAAAATACTGTGGGGGTTTTTATGTTCATTGAAAAGCTTTTTCCTGTCCAAGGTACTTGTTCTATAAGCTTTCTTGCTGCCTGGATTTCCAGTGTTCCAAGGAAATTTTCAAAATGTATATGAATTTGTTTTCCATACCAATGCCTGAGTCTTAAACCAAAAACTATATGAAGAAAAGTCTTTATTGTTATAATAATAAGCTGATGTTGAATACTTGTACATCCAAGGAATTCTTCATATATTATTAGTTCCATTAATCTTCCAAATGACACAAAGAGATAATTAGTATCATTACCTTCATTCTTATCAAAGATATAGAGACAAACACTAATCAAGCAACCTGCTCCTAGTTCAAATACCAATATATTAAGTGGTATAGAGTTAGGATTACATCTGGACAATTCAACTCAAGAGCTCTTGCTCTAAACCACTTCTCCATGCTGCCACTCTTGTATAATTATGTCATTATAAGAATATAGATAGTATAATGATATAGATAATTTTTCCATGACTATTTAGTGAAATAACCATACTTATATCTTCCTCATAGCAAAAGCAGATCATTTCGATATGTTTTGATTTCTTAAGTTTTAAAAGGTTTCTGAATAAAATTTTCTTTCAAAGGATTTTATTTACATAGAACTAATTAATTTACCCTTTTATTAAACACTATGAATTTTCTCTTCAAAGGGCTCCTCTGATACTAATAAATGCCTATCCTCCGACTTTCCAAGAATATCAAACACCAGCCAACAGATTTATGTGATAGTGGAAAACACCCAATTAGCTTCGGTAGAATGCTTTCTTAAAAGTGCATGTATTCTAACCTTGTAGGGAATTTAAACAACTGTGCTTAAAAGAAAAAAAAAAAAACAGGAAAGGAAGATTTGAGTCAATTCATCATTTTTATTATGTACTCTCAACTCGACCCAAAACACATCTAAAAAAACCTATATTTTAGTGACATTTACTACTACTTTGCCACTCCACTTTTAAAGCAGCCTATGTGAATATCAAGTGGATGGGCCTGTTTCTGTACAATATCACATACTATAGGAGAAATATCTAGCACCGATGATAATAATAATAATAATTTAAAAACTCTGAACACTGCTGTTTGTTAGATTACTCCAGATATTTGAATATTCCTTTTCTTTCTTAGTTCTTTAATTAGCTGTGGCTTTGATATGAGACATATATTTATTTGAAGCTAAAAGCCCACTTTCACAACTTTTACATATTTTTTTTTTTTGAGACAGAGTCTCGCTCTGTCACCCGGGCTGGAGTGCAGTGGCATGATCTTGGCTCACTATCACCTCTGACTCTTGGGTTCAAGCGATTCTCCTGCCTCAGCCTTCTGAGTAGCTGGGATTAAAGGTGCCCACCACCATGCTTGGCTAATTTTTGTATTTTTAATAGAGACGGGGTTTCACCATCTTGGCCAGGCTGGTCTCGATCTCCTGACCTTGCGATCCACCCGCCCTGGCCTCCCAAAGTGCTGGGATTACAGGCGTGAGAAACCACACCCGGCCAACTTTTACATATTTTTAAATGTTTTCATTCATTATTTGCAGTTCTGTTCTAACGCATAAATTATAGTCCTTCCTGGTATCAATGCAGAGTTTGTTCTACAACCCCAACGGATATCAAAATCCACAGATGCTGAAGTTCCTGGTGTAAAATGGCATAGTATTTGCAAATAACCTACGTGCATCCTCACATACACTTGAAGTCATCTCTAAATTACTTATAATACCTAATAAAATGCCTACACATAGCTTCATCTGCACAGATTCGACATAGTACTCAATGTACAGTCAAATTCAAGTTTTGCTTTTTGAAAATTTGTAAAATTTTTATTTTCAAATATTTTTTATCCTTAGTTGGTTGAATGCACAAATATGGAACCCATGGATGTGGAAATCCAGTTGTACCTTTTAAATCTCCATTTTTTATACAATTCTTATTTTCCAAATGGTGGCCTTTTTTCTCTCCTTCAACTATAAAATTATAGTTCATTAAACCATTTATTTATTTTCATAGAGTATATGTCATATTTTAGTCACAAAACCTCGACCACATGACAGAAGGGGCACCTAATCATTCTCATTGGCACACAAGGTCTTGTTAAAATTATAAAGTAGACAAATATTCTCTTCAGTATCCTTCTATCTTTATATCATCTTTTAATGTTCCTTCTTCCAAACCCAAAATTTTAATCATCCTTAAGCTGTACAAAGTATCCTACCTAGGTCAGCCATAAAGGTCTTCCTGATATATAAATATTCCTCCAACTTTCCATTTATTCTTTCAATAATACTCTTACTCTTTAGTGAATATAGCCTTGGCAATCAATGTTTGGATTAAAGAAATTCACACTAAAATGTCAATGACTGTAATTCAGATGTCTAATGAGTACATTAAACATTTTAAAAGAACAGTGTATAAAACCTAGCTGAAATGAATATATAATTTATACACTGGAATGGAGAGATATTTTTCAATTGGAGAGTTCTTCATACTAATCTTTTTCTATATGAGCAGGCCACAACCACACATATCTCATTTTCTTGACAGAATCCTGATGGCTTAAGTTGAACTAGAATATTTGAAATAACTTCAAAGAGCATTGGCATACTTTTTTGCTAATAGGTACAGTATACCAAAACAAAATTATTAAATTTCTGGAGTTATCCTATCAGCCAAATTATTTTTCTATCAAGTCCACTTCTATTGACATTTTCTGGGTATTCTACATATCTCTCATATTCCAAATAGTGAATCTGCCTCTAGAAATATGGCTAATAAAGATGGCTTCAAATCAAATAGTTAACCTGCCTCTAGAAATATGGTTAATGAGGGTGGGTTCAATGGGAAATTCCTGGGAAAGTCTGAGCAATGAGAAGTGGTCAAAGAGAAATTTTGGGATTTGAGAATTTAGATTGCTCTAACTTTGCTTCATGTTTTTGGTCTACTTAACATGCCTTCTGAATTTTCACTTCACCTCATCTCATCCTCTTCAATCTAATTCTACAGAGAATTTTCTAACTGTTCCCAAAAAAAAAAAATGTCTTTTTAAGAAGGATAGAGATGAACTTGGGAATCTTCTTGGTTCAATAGTTACTGTGGGGAAACCAGGAGAGATAATATAATCATAATAAAATAAATATAGCCAAACATAGTGGTGCAGTATGATGAATATGACATCTATTATCAAGTCTGATTTTGTGGAATTTTAAATTGGAAATGCTTTGGGAAATCCAGAACTCAACGGATATACTCTGATGGCAGTGAGACCATAACTATACAATAGGTCACATTGTCTTCTAGCTGAAATTACTAAAGAGACATTTAGTTTATGTATTAAACACAAAACAAGACAGGATCGATAATATTTTTATAGTTTTAATAGTTAGGTCAACATCTAGAACTTAAAATGCAACATTTAAAACCAAGAACCTGATTATATAGAATTAGAAAGGTACAATCAGGGACCTTCACTTATTCCTTATTTTTCTCCTAAGGAAGTCTTTTAGAGTGTTCTGATACTGCCAGTTCTGCTCTGGGAAATCTCCATACTCAGGAAGCACCAAGTGCCCTAGACCTTTCCCAATTCTCTCTCCCTACCAGTTGCGTTTTCTACTCCTTCAGTGGCCTGGCTTGCTCCACTGTTATTCTGATTAAGTAATCTGTGCTAAAAGCAAGCAATAAACATCCAGACAAATACATCTATATTTTTAAAAGGACTTTCTAACATGAATGCTCTAATTACAAAATGTTGCAGTAAATCTATTCAGGAAAGCTTTATAAGTAACTAAATACATTTAAGGATGGCTGTTAAATAATCAGATCAAAAAGATAAAAAAGATCAGCCTTGACCTTGGAACAAAACTTTGGTAGAATAATTATCTTTCAGGTGGAGTCAAGATTGCAGACCAGCCTGCTCTTCACAGAGTATTCTAATCTTCAGATAGAAACACTCACTCTCTTCCCTCTAGTAGTTCCATCATACTTTAGTACCTACTCAGGCCTACTTCTAGAAAAACCAAAGGGGCATTTATTTGGTGAACTTTGCAACCCAGTACCAAATAAAGAGTATGCTAGTCCCACCCTGATGTTAGGCCCTGGTACTAGCAAACCTAAGCTTCTGTGCCTTGGCCCCACGCTTTTATCATGCACAACTGTTTCTGTGGAATAGAGTCTACCTCTGATCCTCAGTCCTTGAGATGAGGCAATTCTAAATACTGATTGCCCCCCACTCCTGACCTTTCCCTCTGCCTTTCTGCATATTAGGTGTATATTGGTTCTCTGTCACTGGGTTTCCCCTGCCTTCTAGAATAATCATAAATAATCTTTGTCAGGACCCTATCACAGATCATCTTCCCATCTTTTGCCTACTTCTCCCATTACCAGACACAAGGCTCCATCTGCCAGAGATGTACTGTTCGTGTTTGGAATGCGTGCTGTGTTTCTAAGGCTCTTTCTCATCCTGGTGTTGGTCATAAAGTGCCTGTGTCTCTTAAAACTTACACCATTAGCAAGCATTTAAACCAGCGGAACTCTTAAAGGCAATTGAGCCCTCTCAATATATAGAAGAGTATAGAGATCTAAAGAGTGAAGTGAATTACCCAAGATGGCATAATATGTAACTGGCAAAGCTGTGATTAGATTAATTTGAATTTCAACATTCAACACATATTTAGCTTCTCTCAACTTCAATTTCTTCTGTCAATTTGAAAATAATAATGTCCTATTTGCTAACAGTGTTTGAAAATTAAGAAAGACATGTTAATATGCCTAAAATTATTTTTCTGGCATAAAGTAGGCCTTGAGTAAATAATGTGTCCTGTGTTCACATTTTTTCCTCACATCTTTGGTAAAATCATTGATTCTTAAAGTATAGACCAGAATATTAAGAAAAATAATATAAAGCAAGTTATGTTTAGGACTAAGTTATCTAAATGCTTACTGTAATGGAGCTATTCAGTATACTCCTTTAATTTATTTTGATTTTGTGTTTTTCTTTGATTTTGTTTTTCCTTCTGGTACATAAACACTATCAGGAGATAACATTTTTATCATTACTATATTATATAAATATTTTTAGAAACTATTGTCAATATAGTAATTATGAATATGATAATTACCATGAGGTAATTTTTTATATAAATATGGAATTCAAAAATAAATTTAACAAATATTTATAAGGTTTACCATTGGATAAAGATAATGTGGGTGCTTGAGACACAGTGCTGAACATGAAAGACAAAGTTCCTAAGCAAGAGAGTCTACATTTTATTAAAAATAAATGATGACAAACCAGCAAGTAGATAAGGACTATAATTTCAGACAGTGATAAATACTGTAAATAAAATAAAATGAGGAAAATAACTAACAACAAACATGGTGGAGTTCAATTTTACATGAGTGTCTTTTAGATTGGTTCTGAGACACAGCTTCTTGTATGAAGAACTATATGCAGAGTTCCTCCAGGAAACACACCCAAAAGGAAATGAGGAAGGAATTGTGCAAAAAGAGAAGGTGACCCACTGAGCCCTCAAATGACATTCCGAGGAGCTCTGAAGCCTGTAAGGATTCTACCAAATTGGGGCAAGGAGATGACCTATCCCCATCTCCGTCAGTCGCTGATGAAAGCCATCACTTGAAAGGGTATAACTTTGGGCCTAGAAGTTTCCTACGGCAAAATTGTGGATCCAAGTACAAGAGTAATTATCACAATAGAACATGAAATCTAAGCTGAGTAAGACAGGAAACAAAAACGTGAGGAATGAAAAACATGCATTCGATATTCCAGCAAGATAAAAAGCTAATTTGGCATGAAGGATTAGAGAATACATAATCAGAAAGATAATAAAGTGGTGGTCAGAAAATAGCATCTTAAAAGAGAGATTCTGGAAAAGAAAAATATACTTGGAATAATAAGCACAGGAATGGCTGACTACAATAATGTTGAAGAAAAAGATCATTAAAAATGAAGAGGCCACAAGGTTGAGAGGCCAAGGTATTAAATAGGTTGGTGGAACAAATGTGAGCTGCACAGAAAGATAGCTTAAAAAGTAGTAGAAGGGAAATCAGAGAGCCAAATACTATTTTTTTTTTTTTTTTTTTTTTGAGACAGAGTCTCACTCTGTGGCCCAGGCTGGAGTGCAGTGGCATGATCTCGGCTCACTGCAAGTTCTGTCTCCCTGGTTTACACCATTCTCCTTCTCAGCCTCCCAAGTAGCTGGGACTACAGGCGTCCACCACCATGCCCAGCTAATTTTTTGCATTTGTAGTAGAGACGGGGTTTTATCGTATTAGCCAGGATGGTCTCGATCTCCCGACCTTGTGATCTGCCCGCTTCGGCCTCCCAAAGTGCTGGGATTACAGGCATTAGTCACCGCGCCTGGCCCCAAATATTAATTTTTATTTAATGTGAGCCAGTATCTTTTTTATTGTTCCTGGAATATTATTTGGTAAAACTTGAAAAAAAAATGAATTCAATTACCAAATAGTTTAGGAAACACTTAGGTGAAAGTCACATAGGTGTAATAACTCTAGGATTTCTTGAAGTGATTAACACTTTATATTAATTTTAAGTATCCAAAAGAAAGATAACATACATCAAGTTTTATAAAATTTTCAGTGATTATATCACAGGAATTGCAATATAAGTAACATGTTGAGGAAATGCTAATAATTCAGAGTAGCAGGTCACAAGTCTTTGAAACAGGATACAACTTATGAGTACTCTATCTTGTAAATGCACAGACACACACACATTGTATACAGTTTTATGTAGTTAGCACAAGTCTTGGTGGTAATCCATAGAGCCTACATTACAAACCTCTACTCTCCATTCTTGCTGGTAATATCTGGTCCATGGGTCAGCACTATTGGCACCCCTTGAGAACTTGTTGTATATCCAGAATCTCAGGTACCACTCCGGATTTACTGGATAAGAACCTACATTTTTAAAAGATTCTCAGATGATGTGTATCACATTCAAGTTTAAAAAGCCCTGCACTAGAAGGTTACATAGTTAATTTTCACACTCACAAAGAAAAACTGTTTTACATTGTTAGAGAATTACTATATTTTCAAACAGTGTTCTGAAATGTCTCTGAATATTTATAATGACTCAAATTGGCCTTAAAAACAGGTGGGAATTAGCTCTCTTAATATTTTGTCACTTTTATAAAACAAAATATGGTAACATGGTATTAACTATTAATTTTATAGTTGGTACAAGCAATAGAGCTTGAAAAGGTATTTTCTTGTGTCTTAATACCACTAATGTATGATTTATAAAGGCATGGAAATACAATCTCAGGAGTCTTAATATTTCCTTAGAAGATTAAACAGCCATGTAAATCCATTATCCAGAAGGTTAGACATAAATGTCAGTTCCTGAGTGTCCCACAAAGGAAAGTGTGGATTCTTAATAACAGAGAGGACACAAGGTCTTTCCTTGAGAGATTTATGTCTGATCACAATTTCCCACGTTTAAATATCCACAATCAACAATAGGTACAACTTTGTTTGCCAAAAAAGACTTTTAAAATATCAAATGGGGAGATACAGAAAAGAATATAGGACAATATTTTCTGTGCATTAAATCTTCACAGATAAATTCTACTACTTGATATAATCAGTCCAGTCCTTCCTTCCTTACAGATATATCTTTTAAGAGAAGAATTAGTAATTATTTTATTCTCCTAAATTTATTCTTCTTTTTTGTTTGTTTATTGGTGAAACAAAAGGATTATTAAAACACTTAAATATATTAGTATGTTTAAAACAAATGCTCTGGTTAGGTAGGTTAGTTAGGTAGTTCAAAAATGGGTTTTGAAATGGGCACCTTGGGAGGCTTCAGGATGGCTGACTAGGGAGCATTTTGTACTTGCTTTCTCCACTAAAAAGAGCTAAAATACCCAGTAGATATTAGATCATCCAAGAGAGAACACTGGAATCCAACAAAATAGTGACAGGCAATATCTAAAGTAAGGAATGGGAGAAGGAAGCAAGCAGCCTGTTCAGCCTGGATTGACTGAGAGCCTAGAGAGACTCCCCAATAGAGGGAAACGGTAGGTGAGAGATGCTCAGCAGCCTGCATTTTCATCATAGACTCCTATAGTCCTAGCCACGGGAGAGTCCTCAATACTCTCAGGCCATGAAACTAACATAGGGAGTTGCAAGAAGATTGTATTATGGCAGCTTCCCATGGAGGAAGCTTGAATATGGTCATGGTCCTTCACATTCCTTGTGACCTAAGCAACTACAGCAAGATGCCATTTTAGAACTTTGCCTGCAACAGACTGCACACTGTCCTGGAACCCAGGAATGCTGAGGCTAATGTGCAAGAGAAGCATTAGGCTGCTGCTCCCAGGGCTTAGGCACAAGTGACCTTGGGCCACTACACTCTGATGGAGTTGCAACCAGGGTATGGGATGCCATCTTTAGGACTGAGGTGCCAGCAAGGTGCCATTCTAGAGCACCATCCCCAGCAAACTGCACACTACCTGAAGCCCAGTGGTGCTGAAGCTGAGGTGCAAGAGAAGTGATGGGTACTGCCTGGGGTTTAGACACAAGTGACCACAGGCTTCTCCACCCAAGGCTGAGCAAGGGTGCCACCAAGGCTGTGGTGCAGGTGGCATGCATGCTCCCCACCTGCTGTCCTAGGCCATCATCACTGAAGCTGGTACCACCCTCAACCCCCACTGGCAGGGCAGCAGGGCAGCTACTATAGCCTCCCACTCAAGCATTCCACAATGACTTGGGGATCACCCCGCTCCTGACTACCATGGCCAGTGCCTGTACATGCCATCTGGGGGCCTGAAGATAAGCCAGCCTAGCCCAGGTTTCCCCATCATCCCCATGCCACAGCATACAGTCCAGGGGCCAGGGAATCTCCCAGTTTAGTTCACCACTGATGACATATGACCACTCCTCTCGGGGACCTGAGGTTAGGCCTACCCACACAGCAGCTACTACCACAAATTACCACCTGCAGGCCTGGACACTGACCTTCCCAGAACATTACAGTTACTTCCAATGACAGCATGCACCACAAGGGACCTAGAGGGTTGTCACACCACTGCCACTCGCATTGCCTACGCCATATTAGCTGCCCATGGACCCAAGAACCCACTTACCTGCTCAGTTCACAGCTGCCACTACTGGGCTTTGAGTAAGCCACCTGAAGGAACAAAAATTGGCCCACCTGTATGACATTATGGGGCATATGAGCAGGCACTCTCAGCCCACTGCTGCAACCACAGGAGCTCAAAGACTGGTCCACTTGACCTCTGAGTCCCAAGCAAAACTGCACCAGAGCTTTCCTCAATAACTGGACCCTAAGCCACCAAGGAAGTCTCAGATATCACTGGCACTGTTTGTAGCCAAAAAAATCAAGGGAGACTACACTAATTCATGTACCTAGAATTGAAACCAGAGTTCCCCACCCAACCAACACCACAGATTCTTCCTCAAAAAAAGTCCTTCCCTGTGAAAGCAAATTGAAAAAGTTAGAAGAAGCAACTGCTACATGAGATGCACGGATATCAATGTAAGGACACAGGAATCATGAAAAAGCAAGAATATATGACAGCTCCAAAGGAGATGGAATTCATAAAATCCTAGTAAAAATTCAATTATTGATTCTAAATAATTTCAGTGAGATATAAGAGAATTCTAAAAAAACAAAACAAAGGAATCAGAAAAACAATTCAGGATAAGAATGAGAAATGTAACAAAGTGATAGATAACGTAGAAAAGTATCAAACAGAAATCCTATAAATGGAGAATCATTGAATGAATTACAAAATACATTTAAAAGCTTCAACCATAGACTAGATGAAGCAGACAAAATAATTTCACAACTTGATGACAGTGTTTTATAAATAACCCTCAGACACATTTTTTAAAAAAAAAGAATGAACAAAGCCTTAATGATATATGGGACAGAAAAAAAAGTGATAAAATATATAAATTATTGGTATCCAAGAAGGCAAAGAGAGAAAGAGTTTAAAAACCTATTTAATGAATTAATAGAGGAAAATTTCCCAAATCTAGCAAGAGATTTAAACATCCAGATACAGAGTCCCAGCAGTCACCAAACAGACACAATACAAAAAGTTCTTCTTCATGGTATACTATAGTTAAAATTTCTAAAATCCATGAAAAATAGAGAATTTTTTTTTTTAAAAAAAAGCAAGAGAAAAGCATCTAGTCACCTATAAGAAACCTCCATCAGAACAAGAGAAAATTTATCAGTAGAAACCTTATAGGCCAGGAGAGAATGGGATAATGTATTCAAAATGCTGAAAGAAAAACTGCAAGCTAAGATACTATATCTAACAAAATTATCCTTCATAAATGAAGGAGAAATAAAGTCTTTCTCAGACAAGATAAAACTAAGATAATTCATCACCACTAGACTGACCATACAATAAATACTCAAAGAACTCCTAAACATGGAAGCAAAAGGACATTTATCTACATGAAAACACACAAAAGTATAAAAAATGGTGAAGCAAACATACAAATGTGGAAAAAGATAGGGCTCAAATACTATCCCTACAGATAACTACCAACTGCAATGACAGACATTAAGAGGAAAATCAAGAACAAAGAATATACAAACCAACCATAAAACAATTAACAAAATGACAGCAATAAAACCTCACATATCAATAATTACTTTGAACATAAATGGATTAAATTCTTCACTTAAAAGCTATAGACTGAATGAATGGATTTTAAAAAAATGATCCAACTACATGCCACCTACAAGAAACACACTTTACTTGAAAAGATTCCTATAGACTGAGAGTAAATAAATAGAAAAAGATATTTAACTCTAACAGAATTCAAAGTGAGCAGAGGTAGCTATACTCATATCATACAAAACAGACTTGAAGCCAAAAACAGTAAACAAAGACAACTAAATAGTGATAAAAGGACCAATCTAGCAAGAGGAAATAACAATTCTAAATATATATGCACCCAAAACTGGAACACCCGGATTCATAAAGGAAAGATTACTAAATCTGAAAAGAAAGACTCCAATGCAATAACTGTGGGGGAATTTACCACCTTATTCTCAGCACTAGACAGATCGTCTAGAAAGAAAATCAAAAAAGAAACATTGAAGTTAGAGTGGAATTTAGAACAAACAGACCTAACAGATATTTATAGAACATTTTATCCAACAACTGCAGAATACACATTATTTTCATAATCATACAGAATATTCTCTAGAACAGACCATCTATTGAGCCACAAAAGAAGTCTCAACAAATTTTAAACAAGCAAAATGGTATCAAGTACCTTCTCAGATCACAGTGGAATAAAACAAGAAATCAATACCAAAAAGAAACTTGGAAACTATATAAATATACAAAAATTAAATAACATGCCCCTGAACAACCATTGTGTCAATGAAGAAATTTAAAAATTTTGAAACTAATGAAAATGAAAACAAAATATATCAAAATCTGTGGGATACAGCTAAAGTAGTACTACGAGGGAAGTTTATAGAAATAATTGCCTACATCAAAAGTAGAAATATTACAAGTAAATAATCTAACAATCCACCTCAACAAAGTGAAAAATCAAGAATGAACCAAACCAAACATTAGCAGGAGGCAAGAAATAATAAAGATCAGAGCAGAACTAAATGAATCAGAAACTAGAAAAACAATAAAAAGCATGAATGAAATGTAACACTAGTTTTTTGAAAGTATAAACAAAATTGAAAACATTAAAAAAAAAAAAAACTACGAGCTAGACTAACAAAGAAAAGAGAAGACCCAAATAAACTCAGAAATAAAAAGGAGACATTACAACTGATACAACAGAAATACAAAAGATCATCAGAGACTATCACGGAAAACTGTATACTAACAAACTAGAGAATCTAGAGGAAGTAGATACATTGCTAGAAACATACATACAACTTACCAAGATTGAATCAGGAAGAAATAGTAAACCTGAACACACCAAGTAGTGAAATTAAATCAGTAATAAAAAGTCTCCCAACAAAGAAAAGCCCAGGTCTGGACTGATTTACTGCTGACTTCTACCAGGCCTATAAACAAGAACTAATACCAATCTTTCCCAAACTACTCCAAAAAATTGTAGGGGACTGATTTCTTCCTAACATATTCTATAAAGCCGGTATCATTCTGATACCAAAAGCACACAGGGACACACACACACACACACACACACACAGAGGTATAGGTCAATATCTCTGATAAACATAAACACAAAAAACCCCAACAAAGTTCAAGCAAACTGAATTTAACAGCACATCAAAAAAATAATACCCAATGATCAAGTGGGATTTACCCAAGGGACACAAGGATGTTCAAGATATGCAAATCAATAAACATGAAACATCTACAGAATAAGGAATAAAACTCATATGCTCATCTTATAGACAAAGAAAAATCTTTTGATAAAATTCAACATACCTTCATGATAAAAAAATTCTCAACAAACTAGGCATAGAATAAACATGCCTCAAAAAATAAAGTCCATATATGTCAAATCCACAAATAGCATTATACTGAATGGGGAAAAGTTTGGAGGCCTTTTCTCTAAGAACTGGAACAAGACAAGGATATGTACTTCCACCATTCCTAATCAACAAAGCACTGAAAGTCCTAGCCAGAGTAATCAGGCAAGAGAAAGAAAAGGCATCCAGATTCAAAAAGAGAAAGTCAAATTGTCCCTCTTTGCAGATGACATGATACTCATATTTAGAAAAGTCAAAAGACTCCACCAAAAAACCCTTAGAGTTGTTAAACAAATTCAGTTACACTACAGGATACAAAATCAACATTTTTTTAAAGTAGTATTTCTATACACCAATAATGAAATAGCAAAAAAAAGAAAAAGCAAAACAAAAACAAAACAGAAGAACAGAACAGCAATCCCATTTCCACTAGCTACCAAAAAAATTACATAGGAATAAACCAATGAGGTGAAATATCTCTACAAGGAAAACTATAAGAATCTGATGAAAGAAATTGAAGAGAACACATACAAATGTAAAGACATCCCATGTTCATGGATCAGAAAAAAATAATAGTGTTAAAAGGACCATACTCCATAAACAACCTAAAGACTCAATGCAATCCCTATGAAGACACTAATGCCATTTTTCACAGAATAGAAAAAACAATCCTACAATTCATTTGAAACCAAAAAATAACCAGAATATCCAAAGCAATCCTGAGCAAAAATAATAAAGCTGGAGGCATCATACTACCTGACTTCAAATTATATTACAGGGCTATAATAACCAAAACACTTGGCATTGGCATAAAAATAGACACATACCCAAATGGAACAGAATAGAAAACTCAAAAATAAATCCACATATTTACAGCCAATTGATTGTTGACAAAGCACCAAGAACATGCACTGGAAAACTGAGGTTTTCTTCAATAAATAGTGCTGGGGAAATTGAACAGTCACAGGCAAAAGAATGAAACTGAACCCCTATCTCTCACTGTACACAAAAATAAACTCAAGATGGATTAAATACTCAAGTGTAAAACTACAAACTATAAAACTCCTAGAAGGAAACATAGGAAACGCACTTCCAACAGTCGTCTAGGAAAAGATTTTATGGCTAAGACCTCAAAAGCACAGACAAATGGAACAAAAATAGACAAATGAGACTATATTAAAATCAAAAACTTCTGCATAGCAAAGGAAACAATCAAAAGAGTAAAGAAACCACCTGTATGGGAGAAAATACTTCAAACTATCTGACAATGGAATAATATCCAGAGTATATAAGATACTCAAACAATTCAACAATAAAATAAGAATCCCATTAAGTAAGAAGTAGGCACAGAACATTAATAGATAATTCCGAAAGGAAGACATGCAAATGGCCAACAGGTACATGGAAAAATGCTCAACATCACTAATCCTCAGGAATATGCAAATCAAAACCACAATGAAATATTATCTTACTCCAGTTAGGATGGCTATTTTTTTATTTTTATTTTTCTACCCAATTGAACAGAGAGTGTCTATTATTAAAAACGCAGTAAAATATCACATGCTGACAAGGATGTGGAGAAAAGAGAATGCTCATACCCTTTTGGTGGGAATGTAAATTAGTACAACCACTATTAAAAACAATATGGAGGCCGGGCACAGTGGATCATGCCTGTAATTGCAGCACTTTGGGAATCTGAGACGGGCAGGTCATGAGGTCAGGAGATTGAGACCACCCTGGCTAACACAGTGAAACCCCATCTCTACTAAAAATACAAAAATTAGCCGGGCGTGATGGCATGTGCCTGTAGTACCAGCTACTTGGGAGGCTGAGGCAGGAGAATCGCTTGAACTGGGGAGGCAGAGGTTGCAGTGAGCCAAGATCATGCCACTGCACTCCAGCCTGGGTGACACAGCAAGACTCTGTCTCAAATAAATAAATAAATAAATAAATAAATAAATAAATAAATAAAAAACAATATGGAGATTTCTCAAACAAACTAAAAATAGAACTACAATATGATCCAGCAATCTCACTGCTGGGTATGTATTCAAAGGAAAAGAAATCGGTATATCAAAGGGATTCCTGCACTCACATGTTTGTTGTAGCACTATTGATAATAGCAAAGATATAGAACCAAACTTAGTGTCCATTAACAGACAAATGGATAAGAAAACATGTGGTATATGTATACAATGGAATACTATTCAGCCATAAAAAGAATGAGAGCCTGTCATTTGCAGCAACATGGATGTCATTATGTTAAGTGAAATAACCCAGGCACAGAAAGACAAATTATTGCATATTCTCATTCATATGTGGGAACTAAAAAGATTGATCTGATAATGGTAGAGAGAAGAATGATAGATACTAGAAGCTGGGAAGGTTGACTGGGTTGGTAGCGGAGGGTGAAGAGAGGTAGGTTAATAAGTACAAACATGTAATTAGATAAAAGGCATAAATTTTATATTTTGACAGCAAAGTAGAGTGACTATGCTTTACAACAATATAATCTATATTTCAAAGTAGCTATAAGAAAGGACTTCCTAACCCATAGAAATAATAAATCCTCACAGTAATGGACACTTCAAAAACTTTGACTTGATAATTGTGTATTCCATGCATGTAACAAAATATCACATGTACCCCATAAATATGTAAAATATTATGTATCCATAAAAAGTGAAATTTTAGGCTGGATGCAGTAGCTCACACCTGTATTCCCAGCACTTTGGGAGGCAGATAATGAGGTCAAGAGATCGAGACCATCCTGGCCAAAATAGTGAAACCCTGTCTCTACTAAAAAAAATACAAAAATTAGTTGGGCTTGGTGGTGCACGCCTGTAGTCCCAGCTACTCGGGAGGCTGAGGCAAAGAAATGGCTGAACCCGAGAGGGAGAGGTTGCAGTGAGCCGAGACTGTGCCACTGCACTCCAGCCTGGATGGCAGAGCAAGACTCTGTCTCAAAAAAAAAAAAAAAAAAAGAAAAGTGTGTTTTTAAATTTCTAAGAGCTTCATAATAAATGTGATATATATATATATATATACACACACACACAAGAAAAAAAGAATTCAGAATTACAGGGTTGAAATGAATCCTGCTGATATCAATTCTTTGTAGAAATACCTTGGACATGGATTGTATTTTTTCCAAATGAAATTCCTACAAATTGCCATTTCTGGAGTCTTGACTTCATACAGTCTATAAACACACCATTCAATGTTGATATTTCTCAACGGATCCTTAGAAGTAAACATTGCACAAATATATTCTTTACTTTATAATCCTCAAGTTTGCATGTAAGTAACTTATTCTGCTTTAGTTACAATCAATGACTTTTGCAGCAATTTTTAATGCTGATCACAAATTGCTCAAAATGAAACTAATAAGATTTGAAAATATATATTAATATTTCCTCAGTAGCTCTTGCTAAATGAAATAGGCCCAGTTTCTTACAGATGTCTCAGTGAATCATCAGTTTTTTATCACTTAATATTTTTTTCTATGACCACTCCAGTTTCTCCATATCTCTCACAATAAAGGAGCATGTATGATTCTCAAATCATGATTTGTTTCTAACAAAAGGATATAAATATTCTGTCTTTCATGTAGGTCTATTATATGCATCATTGATGATCTTTTTGTTTCTTTTTCAAAACAAGAAGCTATTTTTTTTTCAAAACAAGAGGCTGTTTTTCTATTGTTGATAGACTCTTACAGTGAATTGTATCTACCCCCTCTTCTGGCATGCAACTGTAGGATGAATTGGTTCTAGAGAAATGCTATGTTTATTTTTCAACATTGCAGATATCGCTTTGATTTTTTCCATATCAATCTAGTCACTGAACTGCTGTTGTATTTTGAGAAAGATGATTTTTTTTTCTTTTTTTCTTGAGATGGAGTTTCACTCCACCACACCTGGTTAATTTTTGTATTTTTAGTAGAGATGGGGTTTCGCCATGTTGGTCAGGCTGGTCTTGAACCCCTGACCTCAAGTGATCCACCTCCCTCGGCCTACCAAAGTGCTGGAATTACAGACGTGAGCCACCACTCCCAGCCAAATTTCATTTTTAAAAAGAAGTTTGCTATGCCAAGAATAGCTCAGGAGGTAGGGGGGCAGCTTTAACTCCTTCAATCCATTAATCAACCACTACTACACCTGGTGGTAGTTTTACAGCCACTCCCTGTCCAACTCCAACTCTCATCTTCTCCTGTACAGAAAATCTAGGGCTACTAGGCTATATATGTATATACATATTCATTAAGAATGATAATTCTACTTGGTCATGATGTTTAAAAGTTTTAAAAACTTTAAAATACGCTGTCAGATAAGATTTGCTTTGTTTTTCATGATTTCCCATTACATATATGTTTATATGTGAAGCTGGCCTATAATTTTTTTCTTCTCCTGACTGCTGTGGATGTTAAAATTATACTAACAAATTTAATCATGTTCTTTATATCGTATTTAGTCTTAAAATAATTTGTAAAATATGGGAATAATATGTTTCTTGAATGTTTGGTAGAATTTGACAGAGCAGGAGCATCACTGTCTTGGACAAGCACTATCATTTTAAAGTTCCCCTTGATCAAAAACCACCTAAATCCAAAGGGCATCAGCCTAATGGCTAAGGTCAGCATGAACATAAACCACAAATGACATCTCGAACCAGAAACATTCCAACCCTAAGATAAATCCCTCCCAAACCAGAGACATGCCAGCCCTGAGGTAACCTCCTCTCTGCCCAGAGAGATGTTTAGCCCCAAGGTAACTTCCCCTCTGATCAGAGACATTACAACCCCACAATAAACTTCTCCCCGACACGAAAACATTCCAAGCCTGTGATAAGCCCTCTTGCCCTAAACACTTAAATACTCTCAGTCTGTAAGAGAGAATGCTCCTCACTGAAATCGGCCAGAAGCCCCTCTCAGGTTTATTCTAAAAAATAAAGTTGTCTTTGGCTGTTGAGCTGCTTTTTGTGTTTCTTTCCTCTTTCTTTAACTCTTACAGAATTTGCTTGGGAAAAACATCCATGTCTGGTGTCTTTGGCCAGGGCCAAAGGTGGAAGAGTTAATGTTGTTATTACTACTAGTTCAATTTATTGACCACTTGGCAACTTACTCAGGTTTTCTACTTTACTTGTCTATTTTATTAAGTATATTTATTTAAGAATATTTTATTTCATGAAAATTGTTCATTTCATCTAAATTTTCCAGTTTATTGAAGCTGCATTCCTAAGGTTTTTCACAGTATTCTCAAATTCTATTTATGCACTACTTTATTTACAGTATGAGTTCTCCTTCACAGTTAAATATTCCCTGTATTAAAAAAAAATTATTCAGTCCTGCAAGGGCTTTGTTTATTTTACTAAATTTTCAAAGAATCAGCTTTAAGTACTCCATATATTTTTGTTTATTTTACATTAATTTCTTCACAACTTTTTATTTTTATTTTCTTCTACTTTTTCTGGATTAACTCTGTTGTTCTTTCCACAGTTTTCAGAGATAAATGCCTAAATAACTGTGTCCCTTTTTCTTAGTTTTAAATTAAAAAGTTTAATACTATAATTTCCACAGTCATTGCAGATTTAGACGCATTCAGTTGCATTCCACAGGTTGTGAAATGAATTCTCATTGTCTTGCAATATATTTCTAATTTTTCATTATTTTTTCTTTTACATATTAGATATTTATAAATAAATTTGTTTTCACACATAATTTTCTGTATTTTTATTGCTGATATCTAATTTAATTGTATTGTGTTGAGATAATGTAGTTTATAGTGACCTCACTTTTCGAAACTTGAAGAGACTTTCTTCCTTTGTTACATAATATGTAGTCAACTTTCATAACACTGTGTGTGTGAAGAGAAGATACAGTCTCTGTTTGCTACAGGGGTATTAATTAAGACTTTGGGATGACTTGTTCAAATCTTATATATCCTTTTTAAAATTTTTATCTGAGCTTTCAATTTCTGATAGCATTGTACTCAAATATTCTATCATGAGGCTGAGGCAGGAGGATCACTTAAATCCAGGAGTTCAAGACCAGCCTGTGCAACAAAGCAAGACCCATCTCTATAAAAAATTAAAAATTAAAACTCATTTTTCCATCATGAGTTTGAACTTATCTATTTCTCCCTATGATTTGGTTGGTTCTGCTTTGTTCTGAAGCTATCTACAAATAATTGTGAATTATATACTGTGTGGATTGTTCTTTTTATGAAAATATATTGTTATTTAAAAAAATCCTCTATAGATGTTTTTGCCTTAAATTCTTTCTTCTGAAATTAATATTTTGACACAAGTTTTAGTATTTGCATAGTATATCTATATTTAATTTTTCTGTCTTTTTAAAAGATATTTTCCTATAAGATTAGCAGTTAGTTTTTTTAATCTAATATAATACATTTAATATTTTATTAGAAAACTAATAAATTTACAATGAGTATGATTATTGAACATATTTAAACTGATCTCTATGATCTTGTTTTAGTGTTCTGTTTAGAATTCCTTCTTTATTGTTTTTAGGGGAGGATCTTATTTCTTGCTTTTTTGATTTTCATGTGCTCTCTTTTTTCCTTTTATTAATTGTGTAACTGTACACACACTCAGATACGCATAATTTCTGACAGAGATTAAATTTTAGTATGTCCTGCCTACCAACTAAATAAGACAAGAATCTTAGCATATTTAAAGTACTAATGGAACCTTCCTCTTCCTTCTCCCAAGTTCTTTTTCCTAGAATTTTAGTTTTACCTATATACACATTTGTAGTTTTAATGTGCTACATTCTTCATATAAAGATATATATATATACACACACACACATATATACACACACATATATATTCACACACATGCTTTTTATCAAAGTTTAATGTATACAATGTTCATAAAGTATACATCTCACAGCTGTACTGCTCTATAAACTTTCACAAACCAACCACACATATGGAACCAGGACTGAGATTAAGAATACACAACATTACCAGCTCCCCAGAAGCTCCTTCGTTCCCCATACAGACCCACTGCTCTTTTTCCAAGGATGACCACATGCTGACTTCTACCAGCATAAAATTGTTTTTTGTCATTTTGTACTTTATATCACTTAATCATCTACAATGTATTTTTTGTATTTTTTATTCAACCCATTATGTTTGTGAGAATAATTTGTATCATATGACTGTTTCATTCATTTTCATTGTTTTGTAGTATTCCACTGTGTAAATGCAAGGCAGTTTATTTATTAATTCAACTGTTGATGAATATTTACTACTTAGAGCTATTATGGTCATTTCCGTATTTGTTCTTTTTCCAACTTTTGGCTAGTACTTGTCTTTTGGTGCACATATATGCTTTCTATTGGGTGTATACTTGGAATGACTGTGTCATAGGGTACTCAGTTATTGTTTTAATTATACTGTTAAAGTATTGTCCAATTTAACTTGTTTTTAAAAAATAAAACTGTAGATTTATTTAAAGGTAGAAGTGAAGTATATTACTGATACACTTTCAAAAGCTATTGATTACCGTGCTTTCTTTTTTAATTTACTCTTCTTGCTGAAGAAATACTTTGTATTTGTGGATTGTAAACTCCTCATTTTTTGAATATTTGAAAATGTCTCTATTTTGCTTTCACTCTTAAAGGATAGCTTAGCTACAAGTACATTTCTAGGCTGGTAGTGATTTTCACATAAAACTTAATTGCTTTGTTCTTAAGAAGTTAAAAGCCAATCTTTTTTTTTTCCTATGCAAGCAATCTGTTTTTCTTTCTAGTAGCTTTTAAATTGCCTCTTACCATTAACTTCTTTCTTTATTCCATGATATAACCAGTTAAGGATTGTGTTTATTGACCTGTTTGGCCCTCAATGAAGTCTTTCAATTTGAAAGATCATCCCACTCTTCAATTCTATAAAATTATCAGCCATATTTCCTCTGTCTTTAAAAAAAAATGCTTATTCTTTGTGGGATTCCTTTGATACATGTTATAATTTCTCAATCTCTTCGCCAAATACTTTATTTTTTCATATATATTTTAAATCTGTTTTTTCTCTTTGTGCTATATATTTCATGAATTCCTCATTTATATCATTCAAGTAACTAATATTCTGATATTTCATTTAAATTTACTTTGTCTATTAATTTCTTTAAATTTTAGCTTTTTAGTGTCATTCTCTCAAAGGCCCTTTTGTCAATATATACTTTTGTTGATGTTGTTTGATTTTCTATCAAGGACTTCCAGTTTTAAAAATTGTAACTCTACCCTTTAGTTGCATACAGTGTGCTTTGCTCCAATATCCCTCCATAACTGAGAAAATTTTGAATCATGGAGGTAAACACAAGCAAAAACTCCACATTGGAGCCCAGGATACCTTTGGTTCTAATTTCTTCTCACTGCCATGTGTTTCTTGATTTTTATCCTTGCTACTTATTTTCTTTTAAACTTTTTTTTTTGTATTTCTATATGGACTCACAGTACTATCTTGGCTTATATTCTGTTAGTTGTATTTGTATTTTGTACTAGCCTTCCCCTAAGCTTCCTTACGGTTGGAACTGTCTTAACATCTATAGGGTCAGTATCTGGGCACTTCAAACTATACAGTAGGCACTGAAGAAAGATTAGTGATTAGACAAATGAATTTTTGCAATGTGTATAATGTGTTTATCTAACTAGAGGAAATGTACCCAGTTTTCTATTGGTAACATGGACATTTGAAGTCATTTATCATATTTTTGCTCTTGTAAACAGAGGTGGAACAACAATAAGCCATTTCAGCATATGAGTGATATCTGCACTATGACATAAATCCTTTATAGACAAGCAAATGCTGAGAGATTTTGTCACCACCAGACCTGCCCGACAAGGGCTCTGGAAGGAAGTACTAAATATGGAAAGGAACAACCGGTACCAGCCACTGCAAAAACACTCCAAATTGTAAAGACCATCAATTCTAGGAAGAAACTGCATCAACTAATGAGCAAAATAACAAGCTAACATCATAATGACAGGATCAAATTCACACATAACAATATTAACCTTAAACGTAAATGGACTAAATGCTCCAATTAAAAGACACAGACTGGCAAATTGGATAAAGAGTCAAGACCCATCAGTGTGCTGTATTCAGGAAACCCATCTCACGTGCAGAGACACACATGGGCTCAAAATAAAAGGATGGAGGAAGATCTATCAAGCAAATGGAGAACAAAAAAAGGCAGGGGTTGCAATCCTAGTCTCTGATAAAACAGACTTTAAACCAACAAAGATCAAAAGAGACAAAGAAGGCCATTACATAATGGTAAAGGAATCAATTCAACAAGAAGAGCTAACTATCCTAAATATATATGCACCATATAAAGGAGCACCCAGATTCATAAAGCAAGTCCTTAGTGACCTACAAAGAGACTTAGACTCCCACACAATGATAATGGAAGACTTCAACATCCCATTGTCAACATTAGACAGATCAATGAGACAGAAAGTTAACAAGGATATCCAGGAACTGAACTCAGCTCTGCACCAAGCAGACCTAATAGACATCTATAGAACTCTCCACCCCAAATCAACAGAATATACATTCTTTTCAGCACCACACCACATCTATTCCAAAATTGACCACATAGTTGGAAGTAAAGCACTCCTCAGCAAATGTAAAAGAACAGAAATTATAACAAACTGTCTCTCAAACCACAGTGCAATCAAACTAGAAGGCAGGATTAAGAAACTCACTCAAAACTGCTCAACTACATGGAAACTGAACAACCTGCTCCTGAATGACTACTGGGTACATAACGAAATGAAGGCAAAAATAAAGATGTTCTTTGAAACCAACGAGAACAAAGACATAACATACTAGAATATCTGGGACACATTTAAAGCAGTGTGTAGAGGGAAATTTATAGCACTAAATGCCCACAAGAGAAAGCAGGAAAGATCCAAAATTGACACCCTAACATCACAATTAAAAGAACTAGAAAAGCAAGAGCAAACACATTCAAAAGCTAGCAGAAGGCAAGAAATAACTAAGATCAGAGCAGAACTGAAGGAGATAGAGACACAAAAAACCCTTCAAAAAATCAATGAATTCAGGAGCTGGTTTTTTGAAAAGATCAAAAAAATTGATAGACCGCTAGCAAGACTAATAAAGAAGAAAAGAGAGAAGAATCAAATAGATGCAATAAAAAATGATAAAGGGGATATCACCACCGATCCCACAGAAATACAAACTACCGTCAGAGAATACTGTAAACACCTCTACACAAATAAACTAGAAAATCTAGAAGAAATGGATAAAATCCTCTACACATACACCCTCCCAAGACTAAACCAGGAAGAAGTTGAATCTCTGAATACACCAATAACAGACTCTGAAATTGACGCAATAATTAATAGCTTACCAACAAAAAAAGTCCAGGACCAGACGGATTCACAGCCGATTTCTACCAAAGATACAAAGAGGAGCTGGTATCATTCCTTCTGAAACTATTCCAACCAATAGAAAAAGAGGGAATCCTCCCTAACTCATTTTATGAGGCCAGCATCATCCTGATACCAAAGCTGGCAGAGACACAAGCAAAAAAGAGAATTTTAGACCAATATCCCTGATGAACGTCAATGCAAAAATCCTCAATAAAATACTGGCAAACTGAATCCAGCAGCACATCAAAAAGCTTATCCACCACGATCAAGTTGGCTTCATCCCTGGGATGCAAGGCTGGTTCAACATACACAAATCAATAAATGTAATCCAGCACATAAACAGAACCAAAGACAAAAAACACATGATTATTTCGATAGATGCAGAAAAGGTCTTTGACAAAATTCAACAGCACTTCATGCTAAAAACTCTCAATAAATTACGTATTGATGGGAAGTATCTAAAAATAATAACAGCTACATATGACAAACCCACAACCAATATCATACTGAATGGGCAAAACCTGGAAACATTCCCTTTGAAAACTGGCACAAGACAGGGATGCCCTCTCCCACCACTCCTATTCAACATAGTGTTGGAAGTTCTGGCCAGGGCAATCAGGCAGGAGAAGGAAATAAAGGGTATTCAATTAGGAAAAGAGGAAGACAAATTGTCCCTCTTTGCAGATGACATGATTGTATATCTAGAAAACCCCATCATCTCAGTCGAAAATCTCCTTAAGCTGATAAGCAACTTCAGCAATGTCTCAGGATACAAAATCAATGTGCAAAAATCACAAGCATTCCTATACACCATTAACAGACAAACAAAGAGCCAAATCATGAGTGAACTCCCATTCACAATTGCTTCAAAGAGAATGAAATACCTAGGAATCCAACTTACAAGGGATGTGAAGGACCTCTTCAAGGAGAACTACAAACCACTGCTCAAGGAAATAAAGGAGGATACAAACAAATGGAAGAACATTCCATGCTCATGGACAGGAAGAATCAATATCGTGAAAATGGCCATACTGGCCAAGGTAATTTATAGATTCAATGCCATCCCCTCAAGCTACCAATGACTTTCTTCACAGAATTGGAAAAAGCTACTTTAAAGTTCATATGGAACCAAAAAAGAGCCTGCATTGCCAAGTCAATCCTAAGCCAAAAGAACAAAGCTGGAGGCATCTTGCTACCTGACTTCAGACTATACTCCAAGGCTACAGTAACCAAAACAGCATGATACTGGTACCAAAACAGATATACAGACCAATGGAACAGAACAGAGCCCTCAGAAATAATACCACACATCTACAACTATCTGATCTTTGACAAACCTGACAAAAACAAGAAATGAGGAAAGGATTCCTTATTTAATAAATGGTGCTGGGAAAACTGGCTAGCCATATGTAGAAAGCTGAAACTGGATCCCTTCCTTACACCTTATACAAAATTTAATTCAAGATGGATTAAGGACTTAAATGTCAGACCTAAAACCATAAAAACCCTGGAAGAAAACCTAGGCAATACCATTCAGGACATAGGCATGGGCAAGGACTTCATGTCTAAAACACCAAAAGCAATGGCAACAAGAGCCAAAATTGACAAATGGCATCTAATTAAACTAAAGAGCTTCTGCACAGCAAAAGAAACTACCGTCAGAGTGAACAGGCAACCTACAGAATGGGAGAAAATTTTTGCAAACTACTCATCTGACAAAGGGCTAATATCCAGAATCCACAAAGAACTCAAATTTACAAGAAAAAAAAAAACCCATCAAAAAGTGGGCAAAGGATATGAACAGACACTTCTCAAAATAAGACATTTATGCAGCCTACAGACACATGAAAAAATGCTCATCATCACTGGCCATCAGAGAAATGCAAATGAAAACCACAATGAGACATCGTCTCACACCAGTTAGAATGGCGATCATTAAAAAGTCAGGAAACAACAGGAGCTGGAGAGGATGTGGAGAAATAGGAACACTTTTATACTGTTGGTGGGACTGTAAACTAGTTCAACCATTGTGGAAGACAGTGTGGCAATTCCTCAGGGATCCAGAAGTGGAAATATCATTTGGCCCAGCCATCCCATTACTGGGTATATACTCATAGGATTATAAAACATGCTGCTATAAAGACACATGCACATGTATGTTTATTGTGGCACTATTCACAATAGCAAAGACTTGGAACCAACCCAAATGTCCATCAATGATAGACTGGATTAAGAAAATATGGCACATATACACCATGGAATACTATGCAGCCATAAAAAATGATGAGTTCATGTCCTTTGTAGGGACGTGGATGAAGCTGGAAACCATCATTCTCAGCAAACTGTCGCAAGGACAAAAAAACCAAACACCGCATTTTCTCACTCACAGGTGGGAATTGAACAATGAGAACACTTGGACACAGGAAGGGGAACATCACACACTAGGGCCTGTTGTGGGGTGGGGGGAGGGGGGAGGGATAGCATTAGGAGATACACCTAATGTTAAATGACCAGTTAATGGGTGCAGCACACCAACATGGCACATGTATACATATGTAACAAACCTGCACGTTGTGCACATGTACCCTAGAACTTAAAGTATAATAAAAATATATATATAAAATCATTGTATTAATCTGTGAAATATTTTTAAAGAATGTTCAACCTGTTAATATCCAGTTAGAGCAAGGATGTAGAAAAACTAGTACAATATTAAATTAATAAAAATATATCAAAGCAAGGAAAAGTTTGTGTTTTGATCTAGTAACTTCATTTTTTGGAATTCGTAAAATAATTCTGGATATTGAGAAATACTTTATTGAAGTATGGTATTTAATAATAAAAAACAAATTTAGAACAATAAAAGGTTAAGAAAAATATAATTTATTCAGTTAATGGTATAGTTTAAAATCTTAAAAGTGATTGTTACAAAACTAAATTGTATCAAAAGCTAACCTACTCATCCAGAAGAAAGCCACAATTAAATTGCAACATGAAACAATACTTTTAGTATACAAATATTATGGCACTAAAACAGCGATACGCATTTTTTAAAATTATTATTATACTTTAAGTTCTGGGATACGCCAGGTGCGGTGGCTCACGCCTGTAATCCCAACACTTTGGGAAGCCAAGGCAGGTGGATCACGAGGTCAGGAGATCAATACCATCCTGGCTAACACAGTGAAACCCCATCTCTACTAAAAATACAAAAAATTAGCCGGGCGTAGTGGTGGCAGGTGCCTGTAGTTCCAGCTACTTGGGAGGCTGAGGAAGGAGAATGGCATGAACCCGGGAGGTGGAGCTTGCAGTGAGCAGAGATTGCGCCACTGCACTCCAGCCTGGGTGACAGAGCGAGACCATCTCACAGAAAAAAAAAAAAAAAAAGTTCTGGTATACATGTGCAGAACATGCAGCTTTGTTACATAGGCATACTTGTGACATGGTTGTTTGATGCACCCATCAACTCATCATCTACATCAGGTATTTCTCCTAATGCTATCCCTACCCTTGCCCCCAACCCCCAACAGGGTATGTGATGTTCCTTTCCCTGTGCCCATATGTTCTCATTGTTCAATTCCCATTTATTAGTGAGAACATAGGGTGTTTGGTTTTCTGTTCCTTTGTTAGTTTGCTGAGAATGATGGTTTCCAGCTTCATCCATGTCCCTGCAAAGGACAGCAACTCATCCTTTTTTATGGCTGCATAGTATTCTATGGTGTATATGTGCCACATTTTCTTGAGCCAGTCTATCATTGATGGGCATTTGGGTTGGTTCCAAGTCTTTGCTATTGTGAATAGTACTGCAATAAAAATATGTGTACATGTGTTTTTATAGTAGAATGATTTATGATCCTTTGGGTATATACCCACTAATGGGATTGCTGGGTCAAATGGCATTTCTGGTTTTAGATCCCTGAGGAATTGCCACATTGTCTTCCACAATGGTTGAACTAATTTACACTCCCACCAACAGTATAAAAGTGTTCCTATTTCTCCACATCCTTTCCACCGTCTGTTGTTTCCTGACTTTTTAATGATTGCCATTCTAACTGGCATGAAATGGTATCTCATTGTGGGTTTGATTTGCATTTCTCTAATGATCAGTGATAACAAGCTTTTTTTCATGTTTGTTGGCTGCATAAATGTCTTCTTTTGAGAAGTGTCTGTTCATATCCTTTGCCCACTTTTTGATGGGGTTGTTTTTCTCTTGTAAATTCATTTAAGTTCTTTATAGATTCTGGATATTAGCCCTTTGTCAAATGGATAGATTGCAAAAATTTTCTCCCATTCTGTAGGTTGCCTGTTTCCTCTGATGGTAGTTTCTTTCACCGTGCAGAAGCTCTTTAGTTTAATTAGATCCCATTTGTCAATTTTGGCTTTTGTTGCCATTGCTTTGGTGTTTTAGTCATGAAGTCCTTGCCCATGCCTATGTCCTGAATGGTACTGCCTAGGTTTTCTTCTAGGGCTTTTATGGTTTTAGGTCTTACCTTTAAGTCTTTAATTTATCTTGAGTTAATGTTTGTATTAGGTGTAAGGAAGGAATCCAGTTTCAGTTTTCTGCACATGGCTAGCCAGTTTTCCCAACAGCTTTTATTAAATAGGGAATCTTTTCCCCATTGCTTGTTTGTGTCAGGTTTGTCAAAGATCAGATGGCTGTAGATGTGTGGTGTTATTTCTGAGGCCTCTGTTCTGTTCCATTGGTCTATATATCTGTTTTGGTAACAGTATCATGCTGTTTTTGTTACTGCAGCCTTGTAGTGTAGTTTGAAGACAGGTAGCATTATGCCTCCAGCTTTGTTCTTTTTGCTTAGGATTGTCTTGGCTATATGGGCTCTTTTTTGGTTCCATATGAACTTTAAAGTAGTTTTTTTCTAATTCTGTGAAAAAAGTCAATGGTTGCTTAATGGGAATAGCATTGAATCTATAAATTACCCTGGGCAGTATGGCCATTTTCAAGATATTGATTCTTCCTATCTGTGAGCATGGAATGATTTTCTGTTTGTTTGTGTTGTCTCTGATTTCCTTGAGCAGTGGTTTGTAGTTCCCCTTGAAGAGGTCCTTCACATCCCTTGTAACTTGTATTTCTAGGTATTTTATTCTCTTTCTAGCAATTGTGAATAGGAGTTCTCTCATGATTTGGCTCTCTGTTTGTCTATTATAGGTGTATAGGAATGCTTGAGATTTTTGCACATTGATTTTGTATCCTGAGACTCTGCTGAAGTTGCTTATCAGCCTAAGGAGATTTTGGGGCTGAGATGACAGGGTTTTCTAGATATACAATCATGTCATCTGCAAACAGAGACAATTTGACCTCCTCTCCTCCCACTTGAATATACTTTATTTCTATCTCTTGCCTGATTGCCCTGGCCAGAACTTCCAATACTATGTTGAATAGGAGTAGTGAGAGAGGGCATCCTTGCCTGTGCTGGTTTTCAAAGGGAATGCTTCCAGCTTTTACCCATTCAGTATAATATTGGCTGTGAGTTTGTCATATATAGCTCTTATTATTTTGAGATATGTTCCATCAATACCTAATTTATTGAGAGTTTTTAGCATGAAGGGGTGTTGAATTTTATCAAAGGCCTTTTTTGCATCTATTGAGATAATCATGTGTTTTTTTTTCATTGGTTCTGTTTATGTGATGGATTCCATTTATTGATTTGCTTATGTTGAACCATCCTTGCATCCTGGGGTGAAGCTGACTTGATTGTGGTGGATAAGCTTTTTGATGTGCTGCTGGATTCAGTTTTCCAGTATTTTATTGAGAATTTTCACATCGATGTTCATCACGGATATTGGCCTGAAATTTTCTTTTTTTTGTTGTGTTTCTGCCAGGTTTTGGTATCAGGATGATGCTGGCCTCATAAAATGAGTTATTTTATGATAATTTCTTTTCTATTGTTTGAAATAGTTTCAGAAGGAATGGAACCAGCTCTTCTTTGTACCTCTGATAGAATTTGGCTGTGAATCTGTCTGGTCCTGGGCTTTTTTTTGGTTGGTAAGCTATTAATTACTGCCTCAATTTCAGATCTTGTTATTGTTCTGTTCAGAGATTCGACTTTTTCCTGGTTTAGTCTTGGGAGGGTGTATGTGTCCAGGAATTTATCCATTTCTTCCAGATTTTCTAGTTTATTTGCATAGAGGTGTTTATAGTATTCTCTGATGGTAGTTTGTATTTCTATAGTATTCTCTGATGGTAGTTTGTATTTCTGTGGGATCAGTGGTGATATCCCCTTTATCATTTTTTATTGTGTCTATTTGATTCTTCTCTCTTTTCTTCTTTATTAGTCTGGCTAGTGGTCTATCTGTTTTGTTGATGTTTTCAAAAAACCAGCTCCTGGATTCATTGATTTTTTGAAAGGTTTTTTGTGTCTCTATCTCCTTCAGTTCTGCTCTGATCTTAGTTATTTCTTGTCTCCTGTTAGCTTTTGAATTTGTTTGCTATTGCTTCTCTAGTTCTTTTCATTGTGATGTTAGGGCGTCAAATTTAGATCTTTCCTGCTTTCTCCTGTGGGCACTTAGTGCTATAAATTTCCCTCTAAACACTGCTTTAGCTGTGTCCCAGAGATTCTGGTATGTTGTGTCTTTGTTCTTATTGGTTTCAAAGAACTTATTTATTTCTGCCTTAATTTATTTACCCAATAGTCATTCAGGAGCAGGTTGTTCAGTTTCCATGTAGTTGTGCGGTTTTGAGTGAGTTTCTTAATCCTGAGTTCTAATTTGATTGCACTGTGGTCTGAGATACTGTTTGTTATTATTTCCATTTATTTGCATTTGCTGAGGAGTGTTTTACTTTCAATTATGTGGTCAATTTTAGAATAAGTATGATTTGGTGCTGAGAAGAATGTATATTCTGTTGATTTGAGGTGGAGAGTTTGGTAGATGTCTATTAGGTCTGCTCGGACCTGAGCTGAGTTCACATCCTGAATATCCTTGTTAATTTTCTGTCTCGTTTATCTGTCTAATATGACAGTGGGGTGTAAAAGTCTCCCACTATTATTGTTTTGGAGTCTAAGTCTTTTTTTAGGTCTCTAAGAACTTGCTTTATGAATCTGGATGCTCCTGTATTGTGTGCACATATATTTAAGATATTTAACTCTTCTTGTTGCATTGATCCCTCTACCATTATGTAATGCCCTTCTTTGTCTTTTTTATCTTTGTTGGTTTAAAGTCTGGGTTATCAGAGACTAGGACTACAATCCCTGCTTTTTTTTTTTTTTTTTTTTTTTTTGCTTTCTATTTGCTTGGTAAATCTTTCTCAATCCCACTATTTTTAGCCTTTGTTTGTCTTTGCATGTGAGATAAGTCTCCTGAATACAGGACACCTATGGGTCTTGACTCTTTATCCAATTTGTCAGTCTGTGTCTTTTAATTGGGGCATTTAGTCAATTTACACTTAAAGTTATTGTTACATGTGAATTTGATCCTGTCATCATGATGCTAGCTGGTTATTTTGCCCATTAATTGATGCAGCTTCTTCACAGTGCCGATGGTCTTTACAATTTGATATGTTTTTGCAGTGGCTGGTACCAGTTTTTCCTTGCCATGTTTAGTGCTTTCTTCAGGAGCTCTTGTAAGGCAGACCTGGTGGTGACAAAATCTCTCAGCATTTGCTTGTCTGTAAAGGATTTTATTTCTCCTTCACTTATGAAGCTTAGTTTGGCTGGATAAAAAATTTTGGGTTGAAAATTCTTTTCTTTAAGAATGTTGAATATCAGCCCCCACCCTCTTCTGGCTTGTAGGGTTTCTGCCAAGAGATCCCCTGTTAGTCTGATGTGCTTCTCTTTATGGGTAACCCCACGTTTCTCTCTGGCTGCTCTTAACATTTTTTCCTTCATTTCAACCTTGGTGAATCTGACAATTATGTGTCTTGGGGTTGCTCTTCTCAAGGATTATCTTTGTGGTGTTCTCTGTATTTCCTAAATTTGAATGTTGGCCTGCCTTGCTAGGTTGGGGAAGTTCTCCTGGATAACATCCTGAAGCGTGTTTTCCAACTTGGTTCCAATCTCCCTGTTACTTTCAGGTACACCAATCAAAAAAGTTTGGTCTTTTCACATAGTCTCATATTTCTTGGAGGCTTTGTTAATTCCTTTTCATTCTTTTTTCTCTAATCTTGTCTTTATGCTTTATTTCATTAAGTTGATCTTCAATCTCTGATATCCTTTCTTCCACTTGATGGATTTGGCTATTGATACTTGTGTATGCTTCACAAAGTTCTCATGCTGTGTTTTTCAGCTCCTTCAGGTCATTTATGTTCTTCTCTAAACTGCTTATTCCAGTTAGCAGTTCCTAGGGAGACCTAGGGGAATCTTTTATCAAGGTTCTTAGCTTCCTTGCATTTGGTTAGAACATGCTTCTTTTGCTCAGAGGAGTTTGTTATTACCCACCTTCCGAAGCCTACTTCTGTCAATTCATCAAACTCATTCTCTGTCTAATTTTGTTCCCTTGCTGGCGAGGAGTTGTGATCCTTTGGAAGAGACATTCTGGTTTTTGGAATTTTCAGCCTTTTTGAGCTGCTTTTTCCTCATCTTTGTGGATTTATCTACCTTTGGTCTTTGACGTTGGTGATCTTTGGATGGGGTTTTTGCGTGGGTGTCCTTTTTGTTGATGTTGATGCTATTGCTTTCTGTTTGTTAGTTTTCCTTCTAACAGTCAGGCCCCTCTTCTGCAGGTCTGCTGGAGTTTGCTGGAGGTCCACTCCAGACCGTTTGCCTACGTATCACCAGTGGAGGCTGCAGAACAGCAAAGAGTGCTGCCTGCTCCTTCCTCTGGAAGCTTTATTCCAGAGGGGCACCTGCCAGATGCCAGCCAGAGCTCTCCTGTATGAGATGTCTGTTGACCCCTGCTGGGAGGTGTTTCCTAGTCAGGAGGCACCGGGTTCAGGGACCCACTTGAGGAGGCAGTCTGTCCCTTAGCAGAGCTCAAGCTCTGTGCTGGGAGATCCACTGCTGTCTTCAGAGCCAGTAGACAGAAACGTTTAAGTCTGGTGAAGCTGTGCTCACAGCTGCCCCTTCCCCCAGGTGCTCTGTCCCAGGGAGTTGAGAGTTTTATTTATAAGCCCCTGACTGTGGCTTCTGCCTTTCTTTCAGAGATGCCCTGCCCAGAAAGGAGGAATCTAGAGAGGCAGTCTGGCTACAGAGGCTTTGCTGCACTTTGGTGGGCCCCACCCAGTTTGAACTTCCAGGTGGCTTTGTTTACACTGTGAGGGGAAAACTGCCTACTCAAGCCTCAGTAATGGTGGATGCCTCTCACCCACACCAAGCTGGAGCATCCCAGGTCAACTTCAGACTCCTGTGCTGACAGCGAGAATTTCAAGCCATGGAGCTTGTTGGGCTCCATGGGGGTGGGATCCGCTGAGCTAGACCACTTGACTCCCTGGCTTCAGCCCCCTTTCCAGCGGAGTAAATGGTTCTGTCTTGCTAGCATTCCAGGTACCACTGAGGTATGAAAAAAACTCCTGCAGCTAGGTCAGTGTCTGCCCAAACAGCTGCCCAGTTTCGTGCTTGAAATCTAGGGCCCTGGGAGTGTAGGCACCCAAAGGAATCTCCTGATCTGTAGGTTGCAAAGACCATGGGAAAAGCAAAGTATATGGGCCAGAGTGCACTGTTCCTCAAGGCACAGTCCCTCATGGCTTCCCTTGGCTAGGGGAGGGAGTTACCTGACCCCTTACACTTCCCGGGTGAGGTGATGCCCCACCCTGCTTCGGGTCACCCTCCATGGGCTGCACCCACTGTGTAACCAGTCCCAATGAGATGAGTCAGGTACCTCAGTTGGAAATGCAGAAATCACCCACCTTCTGCATTGATCTCCCTGGGAGCTGAAGACCGGAGCTGTTCCTATTCAGCCATCTTCTATTCCTCATGATACACATTTTTAATATAATGGTTGTAATCTAATTATAACTTTATAAGATAAAATACTTATAAAGAAATACTTCATAAAGTACAATATATCAAATAGTACTATTTGTATTTGTATAATGAGATTATAAATTTATATTTTCTAATCTTTTTCTTAAAAAAAGGATACTATTTACATCATCACAACAATGACCCTATGAAGAACACACATTAAAAAAGCTGATAGGTTAGCATGATAAAAAATAAAGATTTGAATTTTAATCACAAATTTTGTAGAGAGTAGTTGTTACCTGAGGATTATGATACAGAGGTTAGCATGTGCATATTTCTGTAGATTTTGGTTTTCAGATTCTCTGACTTGTGATCTCAAAGATTCCTTATGATAAATAAAATAATTAAGCAAATGAAAAATGAAGCAAATAAAAATGGTAATATAACTTTTTACATAGCATGTATGTTACACATTAGATATAGCATAATAGACTATTTCAGAGGAATATCCGGCTAATAAATCAAAATAGTAATTATATAAATGGTTTAAATTAGGTCACTGGAGGGAAAAATAAAAATCACAAAATAGATTCATTTTTACCTCAACAATAAACGAGTTCATCAATATGTTACACTAGGTTATGAAGGACTATTAGATCATATATAAGGGCTGTTTATAAAATGTCAACAAAAAAATCAAATCACAGGTTTTTAGAAGTAGAAGCTGGTCAATACCTCAAAGAAAATCTGTATTACAACTGAAATAAGAATTAATATTCTTCCCATTAAATCACAAAGCCTTTTTATTTCATTCCTATAAAATCACATGAATGTGTAATTGAATATCACAATCCTTTATAACCTCAGGCAAGCTTCTTAATGTCTCAGAACCATACTCTGTTATCAGTTTCTCATATTGATAGCATTTATGTTATTGCCAGCTTGGGCTATTAAAACAGTATTCCAATAAATATTATTGTTCACATAGCTTTTGCAATTATATCTCCACTTTAGATATTTGAAGGTGAAATTAATGCGAGCCAAAATGGGCTCAATGTGACTGTCAGGAAAAATGATATCTTTGTAATATAATCAATTTTTCTTTGATTATTAGTACAGTTGAGCATATATATGTTTATTTATATAAATCAGGGCATTTCTTAATATATTCATTTTCTATTTCAGATTTGCCTATTTTTCTAGTGAAATTTTTTTATTGATTTGTAATATTTTGTATATAAAACCTGAAACACTTTAAACACCATATGTGCTATATGCATGGTATTTTCTCTGTGTCTGCAGCTTATCTTTTCACTTAATGTTTATGTTATCTTCTTCATATCAAGTTTTAAATGCTGACAAAATAAAATCTGTCAAATTTTCCTTAGGGCCTCAAGCTCTTACGATGATCAAAATGACCAATCTTTAGTGACTTTTGTAACTATACACTACCCATCTGACTCCAGATTATATGCTTTTAACCACTTCACTATTCTTGTTTGAAACTTGAGAATAGGGTAGTAGTTAAAAGCATCAAATCTGGAGCCAGATTATGTAGGTTTAAATCCTGGGGCACCCTCATCTGACTAGCTCTACGACATGAAATGAGTTACTCAACTTTCCTGTGTACAGTTTCTTGTTTATCAGTTGAGTAAATATAATTAAAGAGATTAGATTAGGGCCTGGCACACAATAAGTGCTAAATAAACATTTGTTATTATTTGTTCCCTCCAAACATGTCTGTTTCTCTAAGTAGATGTTTTTGTATAAATTCCAACAATGTGATGTTTATATCAAGATTTTATTCCATTTTTCTCATTTATTAATAACTGTAAGTGAGTTCCTACTATGTACTTCTCTGGCACCAAGCCAGGCACAAAAAACAGAGTAATTAATAAATATTAGGGTTGGGTGCCATGGCTCACACCTGTAGTCTCAACACCTGGGAGGCCAAGGTGGGAGCATTGTTTGAGGCCAGGAGTTTGAGACCAGACTTAGCAACACAGCAAGACCCTGTCTTTACAAAATATTTAATCATTTTAAAATAATTTTAAAAAATCAACACTAATGGTTGCTTTTCTGATGGTGCTTGCTGTCTAATACAAGAAAGTAAAATTGTAATGTGACAATTGACAGAAAAGAAAGATAAAAATGTTATGATAGATTGATCTGTTCAAGACTGGTAAGTTGCTTTCCTGAAGAAATAATGCTTAAATTGAAATATAAGGAATAAATAAAAATTTCTCTGGAGAAAAGGGAAAGGAAGTTCATTTGTACAAATTTAGCAAGGTAAAATTAATAAAATTACATTTTCAATTTATTTTGAAATTAGCCTTGCAAATACGAAGTAATTTTTAAGCAAAAGTTCTAAATATTGCTTTGCTATTCCAAGACTAAATAATTAAGAACTCTTCCAATTCCAGTTATTTGTGTGAATTACATAATGCAAACATTTGTAAAGAACAGATTGCTTTTAGAAAGTCTGATCTTGAATTTATTTTTCTTCGTTTACTCTCTTGCAGACATATCCATTGTATGCTTTCAAAACATTCTTATATTTTTCCAGAATATAAAAACACTGTGTGCAAATGTTCAATATACATGTAGCTGGAAATAGATAACATTTGGGTGGATGGCAATCTAATGTATACAAAGAGTAGATTCACAGCTGTGTATTTGCCAGATTAGAAATAAGGCTAGACTTCTGATTTCTGGAGAATTTTGGTAAAGCAAAATATAAGAGAAAGAGGTTTAGACTTGTTCAGTGCTATCTAAAATAGAAACTCTTGCAGAAAAAGAATTACATTTACTTAATCCATCCTTTCCATAATTATTCACACTGAAACTACTGAAATAGTATGTAAAATATTAATAGTACATTGTTTGAAAACCTATACAGTCAACCCTCTTTCTCCTGGGGTTCTGCATCCATGGCTGCTTCTGTATTGAACACGTACAGACATTTTTCTTGTAACTATTTCCTAAAAAATATAGTATAACTATTTACACAGCATTTACAGTATATTAGTTATTATAAGTAACCCTGTAGCAATTTAAAGTATACAGGGAGATATGCATAGGTTATATGCCAATAGTACACTATTTTATATAAGGAACTTGAACATCCATGGATTTTGGCATCTGCAGAAGGTCCTGGAACCAACCCCCCATGGATACCGAGGGATGGCTGTATAATATGGATTAGGTTTTTTTTTCCTAAAGTTCTTCAAAAGCTCTTGACCTCAAGCTTTTTAAATAAAACCTACATAAAATATTCTCAATTAAAATAACTGTAAATATATTTTGGAGCAGTACAAATTGCTTGGCATTTTACTTTTAAAACCTAAAGGCTGAATTCTATGTTAATAGATTACAACATAAAACAGATTCACTTATATGAAACAAGCAAGTTTTTTCTCATATTGTTTGCACCAAAGAAAGTTGCATTGATGAATAGAAAAAAAATAGCTTTATTCCCCTACTTCCTCAACACAATAAGAATGAAAGACAACTAAAATTAAACTTGTGGTGGAGCCAAGATGGCCGAATAGGAACAGCTCCGGTCTACAGCTCCCAGCGTGAGTGACGCAGAAGATGGGTGATTTCTGCATTTCCATCTGAGGTACTGGGTTCATCTCACTAGGGAGTGCCAGACAGTGGGTGCAGGACAGTGGGTGCAGTGCACCATGCACGAGCCAAAGCAGGGTGAGGCACTGCCTCACTCGGGAAGCGCAAGGGGTCAGGGGGTTCCCTTTCCTAGTCAAAGAAAGGGGTGACAGACGTCACGTGGAAAATCAGGTCACTCCCACCCTAATACTGCACTTTTCCAATGGGCTTAAAAAACAGCACACCAGGAGATTATATCCCGCATATGGCTCAGAGGGTCCTATGCCCACAGAGTCTCACTGATTGCTAGCACGGCAGTCTGAGATCAAACTGCAAGGCCACAGGGAGGCTGGGGGAGGGGCGCCTGTCATTGCCCAGGCTTGATTAGGTAAACAAAGCAGCGGGGAAGCTCGAACTGGGTGGAGCCCACCACAGCTCAAGGAGGCCTGCCTGCCTCTGTAGGCTCCACCTCTGGGGGCAGGGCATAGACAAACAAAAAGACAGCAGTAACCTCTGCAGACTTAAATGTCCCTGTCTGACAGCTTTGAAGAGAGTAATGGTTCTCCCAGCACGCAGCTGGAGATCTGAGAACAGGCAGACTGCCTCCTTAAGTGGGTGTCTGACCCCCGAGCAGCCTAACTGGGAGGCGCCCCCCAGTAGGGGCAGACTGACACCTCACACGGCCGGGTATTCCTCTGGGACAAAGCTTCCAGAGGAACGATCAGGCAGCAGCATTTGCGGGTCACCAAAATCCGCTGTTCTACAGCCACTGCTGTTCTGCAGCCACCACGGCTGACACCCAGGCAAAAAGGGTCTGGAGTGGACCTCTAGCAAACTCCAACAAACCTGCATCTGAGGGTCCTGTCTGTTAGAAGGAAAACTAACAAACAGAAAGGACATCCACACCAAAAACCCATCTGTACGTTGCCATCATCAAAGACCAAAAGTAGATAAAAACACAAAGATGGGGAAAAAACAGAGCAGAAAAACCAGAAACTCTAAAAAGCAGAGCACCTCTCCTCCTCCAAAGGAACACAGCTCCTCACCAGCAACGGAACAAAGCTGGACGGAGAATGACATTGATGAGTTGAGAGAAGAAGGCTTCAGACGATCAAACTACTCCGAGCTACAGGAGGAAATTCAAACCAATGGCAAAGAAGTTAGAAACTTTGAAAAAAGATTAGACGAATGGATAACTAGAATAACCAATGCAGAGAAGTCCTTAAAGGAGCTGATGGAGTTGAAAGCCAAGGCTCAAGAACTACGTGAAGAACGCAGAAGCCTCAGGAGCCGATGCGATCAACTGGAAGAAAGGGTATCAGTGATGCAAGATGAAATGAATGAAATGAAGTCAGAAGGGAAGTTTAGAGAAAAAAGAATAAGAAGAAACGAACAAAGCCTCCAAGAAATATGGGACTATGTGAAAAGACCAAATCTATATCTGATTGGTGTACCTGAAAATGACGGGGAGAATAGAACCAAGTTGGAAAACACTCTGCAGGATATTATCCAGGAGAACTTCCCCAGTCTAGCAAGGCAGGCCAACATTCAGATTCAGGAAATACAGAGAACACCACAAAGATACTCCTCGAGAAGAGCAACTCCAAGACACATAATTGTCAGATTCACCAAAGTTGAAATGAAGGAAAAAATGGTAAGGGCAGCCAGAGAGAAAGGTTGGGTTACCCACAAAGGGAAAGCCATCAGACTAACAGTAGATCTCTTGGCAAAAACTCTACAAGCCAGAAGAGAGTGGGGGCCAACATTTCACATTCTTAAAGAAAAGAATTTTCAACCCAGAATTTCATATCCAGCCAAACTAAGCTTCATAAGTGAAGGAGAAATAAAATACTTTACAGACAAGCAAATGCTGAGAGATTTTGTCACCACCAGGCCTGCCCTAAAAGAGCTCCTGAAGGAAGCACTAAACATGGAAAGCAACAACCGGTACCAGCCACTGCAAAAACATACCAAAATGTAAAGACCATCAAGGCTAGGAAGAAACTGCATCAACTAACGAGCAAAATAACCAGCTAACATCATAATGAACAGGACCAAATTCACACATAACACTTAACTTTAAATGTAAATGGGCTAAATGCTCCAATTAAAAGACACAGACTGGCAAATTGGATAAAGAGTCAAGACCCATCAGTGTGCTGTATTCAGGAAACCCATCTCACGTGCAGAGACACGCATGGGCTCAAAATAAAAGGATGGAGGAAGATCTACCAAGCAAATGGAAAACAAAAAAAGGCAGGGGTCGCAATCCTAGTCTCTGATAAAACAGACTAAACCAACAAAGATCAAAAGAGACAAAGAAGGCCATTACATAATGGTAAAGGAATCAATTCAACAAGAAGAGCTAACTATCCTAAATATACATGCACCCAATACAGGAGCAACCAGATTCATAAAGCAAGTCCTTAGTGACCTACAAAGAGACTTAGACTCCCACACAATAATAATGGGAGACATTAACACCCCACTGTCAACATTAGACAGATTAACGAGACAGAAAGTTAACAAGGATACCCAGGAATTGAACTCAGCTCTGCACCAAGCAGACCTAATAGACATCTACAGAACTCTCCACCCCAAATCAACAGAATATACATTTTTTTTCAGCACCACACCACACCTATTCCAAAATTGACCACATAGTTGGAAGTAAAGCACTCCTCAGCAAATGTAAAAGAACAGAAATTATAACAAACTGTCTCTCAAACCACAGTGCAATCAAACTAGAAGGCAGGATTAAGAAACTCACTCAAAACTGCTCAACTACATGGAAACGGAACAACTTGCTCCTGAATGACTACTGGGTACATAACAAAATGAAGGCAGAAATAAAGATGTTCTTTGAAACCAACGAGAACAAAGACACAACATACCAGAATCTCTGGGACACGTTCAAAGCAGTGTGTAGAGGAAAATTTATAGCACTAAATGCCCACAAAAGAAAGCAGGAAAGATCCAAAATTGACACCCTAACATCACAATTAAAAGAACTAGAAAAGCAAGAGCAAACACATTCAAAAGCTAGCAGAAGGCAAGAAATAACTAAAATCAGAGCAGAACTGAAGGAAATAGACACATAAAAAAACTTTCAAAAAATTAATGAATCCAGGAGCTGGTTTTTTGAAAAGATCAACAAAATTGATAGACCGCTATCAAGGCTAAGAAGGAAGAAAAGAGAGAAGAATCAAATAGATGCAATAAAAAATGATAAAGGGGATATCACTACCAATCCCACAGAAATACAAACTACCATCAGAGAATACTATTAACACCTCTAAGCAAATAAACTAGAAAATCTAGAAGAAATGGATAAATTCCTTGACACATACACCCTCCCAAGACTAAACCAGGAAAAAGTTGAATCTCTGAATAGACTAATAACAGGCTCTGAAACTGTGGCAATAATCAATAGCTTACAAACCAAAAAAAGTCCAGGACCAGATGGATTCACAGCGGATTTCTACCAAAGATACAAAGAGGAGCTGGTACCATTCCTTCTGAAACTATTCCAACCAATAGAAAAAGAGGGAATCCTCCCTAACTCATTTTATGAGGCCAGCATCATCCTGATACCAAAGCCTGGCAGAGACACAACCAAAAAAGGTAATTTTAGACCAATATCCTTGATGAACATTGATGCAAAAATCCTCAATAAAATACTGGCAAACCGAATCCAGCAGCACATCAAAAAGTTTATCCACCATGATCAAGTGGGCTTCATCCCTGGGATGCAAGGCTGGTTTAACATTCACAAATCAATAAATGTAATCCAGCATATAAACAGAACCAAAGACAAAAACCACATGATTATCTCAATAGATGCAGAAAAGGCCTTTGACAAAATCCAAAAACCCTTCATGCTAAAAACTCTCAATAAATTACGTATTGATGGGACGTATCTAAAAATAATAAGAGCTATCTATGACAAACCCACAGCCAATATCATACTGAATGGGCAAAATCTGGAAGCATTCCCTTTGAAAACTGGCACAAGACAGGGATGCCCTCTCTCACCACTCCTATTCAACATAGTGTTGGAAGTTCTGGCCAGGGCAATCAGGCAGCAGAAGGAAATAAAGGGTATTCAATTAGGAAAAGAGGAAGTCAAATTGTCCCTGTTTGCAGATGACATTATTGTATATCTAGAAAACCCCATCGTCTCAGCCCAAAATCTCCTTAAGCTGATAAGCAACTTCAGCAAAGTCTCAGGATACAAAATCAATGTGCAAAAATCACAAGCATTCTTATACACCAATAACAGACAAACAGAGAGCCAAATCATGAGTGAACTCCCATTCACAATTGCTTCAAAGAGAATAAAATACCTAGGAATCCAACTTACAAGGGATGTGAAGGGCCTCTTCAAGGAGAACTACAAACCACTGCTCAATGAAATAAAAGAGGATACAAACAAATGGAAGAATATTCCATGCTCATGGGTAGGAAGAATCAATATCGTGAAAATGGCCATACTGGCCAGGTAATTTATAGATTCCATGCCATCCTCATCAAGCTACCAATGACTTTCTTCACAGAATTGGAAAAAACTACTTTAAAGGTCATATGGAACCAAAAAAGAGCCCGCATCGCCAAGTCAATCCTAAGCCAAAAGAAGAAAGCTGGAGGCATCACACTACCTGACTTCAGACTATACTCCAAGGCTACAGTAACCAAAACAGCATGGTACTGGTACCAAAACAGAGATATAGATCAATGGAACAGAACAGAGCCCTCAGAAATAATGCCACATATCTACAACCCTCTGATCTTTGACAAACCTGAAAAAAACAAGCAATGGGGAAAGCATTCCCTATTTAATAAATGGTGCTGGGAAAACTGGCTAGCGATATGTAGAAAGCTAAAACTGGATCCCTTCCTTACACCTTATACAAAAATTAATTCAAGATGGATTAAAGACTTAACATGTTAGACCTAAAACCATAAAAATCCTAGAAGAAAACCTAGGCAATACCATTCAGGACATAGGCATGGGCAAGGACTTCATGTCTAAAACACCAAAAGCAATGGCAACAAAAGCCAAAATTGACAAATGGGGTCTAATTAAACTAAAGAGCTTCTGCACAGCAAAAGAAGCTACCATCAGAGTGAACAGGCAACCTACAAAATAGGAGAATATTTTCGCAACCTACTCATCTGACAAAGGGCTAATATCCAGAATCTACAATGAACTCAAACAAATTTACAAGAGAAAAACAAACAACCCCATCAAAAAGTGGGCGAAGGATATGAGCAGATACTTCTCAAAAGAAGACATTTATGCAGCCAAAAAACACATGAAAAAATGTTCATCATCACTGGCCATCAGAGAAATGCAAATCAAAACCACAATGAGATACCATCTCACACCAGTTAGAATGGCAATCATTAAAAAGTCAGGAAACAACAGGTGCTGGAGAGGATGTGGAGAAATAGGAACACTTTTACACTGTTGGTGGGACTGTAAACTAGTTCAACCATTGTGGAAGTCAGTGTAGTGATTCCACAGGGATCTAGAACTAGAAATATCATTTGACCCAGCCATCCCATTACTGGGTATATACCCAAAGGATTATAAATCATGCTGCTATAAAGACACATGCACACATATGTTTATTGCGGCACTATTCACAATAGCAAAGACTTGGAACCAACCCAAATGTCCAACAGCGATAGACTGGATTAAGAAAATGTGGCACATATACACCATGGAATACTATGTAGCCATAAAAAATGATGAGTTCATGTCCTTTGTAGGGACATGGATGAAACTGGAAACCATCATTCTCAGCAAACTCTCGCAAGGACAAAAAACCAAACACTGCATGTTCTCACTCATAGGTGGGAATTGAACAATGAGAACACACGGACACAGGAAGGGGAACATCACACTTCAAGGACTGTTGTGGGGTGGGGGAAGGGGGGTGGGATAGCATTAGGAGATATATCTGATGTTAAATGACGAGTTAATGGGTGCAGCACACCAACATGGCACATGTATACATATGTAACAAACCTGCATATTGTCCACATGTACCCTAAAACTTAAAGTGTAATAATAATAAAATTAAAAAATAAATAAATAAATAAAATTAAACTTTAATGACCTTTTGATCTACTCTCATTTAATCTGCTTTTATATTCCTCATATTTGGCAGAACCCACAATAATCAGATGAGATTGGCTAAGAGTAAATCCATATGTCTCTTTCTTTTTGAAAGATTTACTAGTTCACATTTTTAAAAAGTTAGAATTAGAAATTTTAGTCATTAGAAAGTAATGAAGAAATAATGACACCCATTGGAGTAATTATATAAAAAAAGCAAATGTAAAAATCCTAGAAAATATATGCCCAATAAAATGAGAATGCTTAAAAAAATGAGGAAAAAATGCCGAGCAAAATGAGAGATGAGGGACATAAATTACAAAGTAAAGGTGCTGGGGGGACATTCATCTACATTGAGTGCTGAATCCACAGATTACGGGAAAAATCACTGAAAACTGCATTATCCATTTTTTGGTGTTTCTTGGTGCTGACTGGAAATCTGTAATGTATGTAGATGCCAACCAACAAAGAAACAAGATGGGAGAAGAGTAAGGGAACGAACACGTCAAATACCACAGGCACGGTGCTGGATCCTTTACAGACATTATAATGTGGTCAAAATTACATGAAACAAATTGTCATTTTGTTTTCCAATTGTTTGATTTTTGGCATTTCAATACTTGAAATTAAAAATGCTTTTTTATTGTTAATTTTAGCTTCATAAATAATGTTAGTAAAATATTTCAAATGAGTGCCTTTGGAAAGCTTTTTCAATTCCAGGAAAGGCTATGATTTTTTGCCTTCTATAAATTATAACCTTCAGCAAAAGGTAGTAACTACTGCATTACCAAAGGGCACTCATCCAGAAAATCTGGATTCTGGAGAACACCATCATCTTAGAAAAACCATTTAATGACTCAAAGTCCGGCAATATATCTTTTAAAATAATACCACATAATAAAGAATATTAATCAGACATTTTTCTAGCAAGAATACATGCATTTCTTTTGATCTTCTACATGAAAATGCACATACTGGATGGACAAATGACAGTAAAATACTGAAAATTCTAACTTCAAAATGGGTTTCATTTATCAATAGAACATAATATTGGCTTTGATTTTCAGATTGCCTACTGGGGAATAAAATTAAGTTATCATATTCTCCATCAGAGATCTTAGTCTAAGTTCATAATTTTTTTTGAGGTAATTGTTTCAATAATTATTTTTTTAACTGACCTTCAAAAAGTGAAATCTTCTATCATTCCTAACTTCCATTCTGCAGTTTAGAGAGTAATGAAAGCAGTTAACATCCCCACTTACCCCAGATAATTGTCTAAAAAATCCCAGCCAAATATGTGAAAAGGACAAGCCATTTTTAGAAACTCATGTAATTTAAATTTATTTTCTCATTTGATATTTTGCAGTTATGTTTAAGTCACATGCTAGAAGAGTTTTGGTATTTTTTCCAGAAAATAAAAACACTTTGTTTGGAGTACTAACATAAATATAGCTGGGAGAAATAACCTGTAAACTGAAAGCAAATCTAATCTATATAAATATCAGTTTGTTGTTCTGTTTCCCTTGTATAATATAGTAAGGCTTTAGACCTCACTTTACTATACTGATGTTAAGGGGTCACCATACAGCAAAACACTAAGCATTTTACATTTCAGCTTTTTCAGAAATAACGTTGTATTCATTTCACAGTGAATAAGAAGATAAGGATGATATCAAAGAACATCACAGAATATAACAAGAAATTGCATTTTACAATAGGTAAGAAAATGTTCCCTAGAATATTTACACTTAAAAGAAAAATCTTGCTCCATTGATATAACATCTCAAGGAAGAACTAGCAATAGAAGAAAATTGTGCTAAACTTTAGACCCTGTTGTAGCAATATTTAAAATGCTGCCTCATTTCCTCACAAGCTAGAGATGTTACTTTGCTCCAACTTATTATTTCTTCTTTTTCAAGTAAATGTTGCTGAAATAGATTTGTAAAGATTTCTGATTAACCCAATTACTTTAACCCCAACTCACTCTTCAAGACACAAGTCTAACTTTTTTGAAGATAAAGTAACATAAGACTACAAACATTTTTCCGGTTTTAGCAGTTGCCAAAATTGTGATCATGGGCCAGGTATTTGTTCTTTCCATATCTCAGTTGCCTCCAATATAAATGGAACTTAACAATAGTAGATATCATCTATAGCTTTTGAGTGGATTCAATAGCACGTGTACACACACATACACACACATACACTCACATACACTTAAAGACTATGCCTTCACATAGTGAAGGCAATTGCCTTCGTGTGATAGTCTTTAAGTAAATCTAACCAATGCTTGATTGCAATAATGATTAATAGTGGTAGTTTTAGTTGTGTGAGTTAAGACAAGATGATCACGTAAGTAGCTATAACAAATATTTAGTGAACAGTTACTATGTGCAAGACACTTTTTATGCTTGACACGTGTCATTTTATTTAATCATGTAACAACACAATAAGGTAAATGTTATTATAATTATCCCCATTTTATGGATAAGGAGAGCTGGGATACAGAGATTGAGACAGACAAATGAATATAACACCAGAGAGAAATAAGAGAGACCTGTTTTAGAAGGCAAGAAAACAAGTTAGGAAATAAAAACGTATCTTTCAGATGCTATATAAAAATGGTCTAGATTCGAAGCAATTTGTTAATCAAGTGTAAAACATAAGGGTAATTAATGAAAATAATATTTTCATCATTAGTTTTAAGTTTTTAAAGGTTTTTAAGTATGTTAAGTATTAAGTATTTTTAGTTTTAAGTATTTCAAGTAGTTTTAAGTATTTCAAGACTTTAAGACAAGACTGATTTTTTGGACTCCTAGATACATAATTATGTGAGTTAAAATTGGGATTATCCATTTTTATAAGAAACTACTCAAAAATTAAAATATAAAAATTTTGGCTGCTAGCCAATCCAAAAACTTTCAATCCTTTTACCATGTCATAAAGCAAATGCTAACTCCTACTTCCTAAGCATCCCGACAGGGCCAAACTCTTCATGCTTTCAAGGATGTTATCTATAAGCATGGTCCACAGGATAGTTTAAAATTTCTGATTCTGCTTCCAAATTTGAACTGCACTCACATCTCACTCACTCTCATCTCATTTTCCCCAGCACTTTCTTCTCCCTCATCTTCCTATTTCTGAATGGTTCCCTGGCCAGTTCTCCAGCCAAAAAGCCTTTGGTTACCTAGTTTTGCTAAGGACTTTCACAACTGAGGCCAAGTGGCAGTGTAATTGCCTGATGGGTTTGTATGATAGTTACATTTCTTCTATATTTTTATTTTCAACTTCAGTAGCATTGAGAAATTTCATATTAGTATATTTATGTGCAATTGGCATTCTTTATATTCTATTCATATCCCATTTATATTATTTCGTGTACTGTATTTTTTCCATTAGACTTTTTGTCAAGGCAGCCTGAAACCTAGTAATGATAATAAATCTGTGACCCCAAGAGGGTGGGATGAACCTATATTACTTTTATTTCTCTTGTGTCTTCCTGGTGAAATTGCCTTTACAAAAATTATGACAGTGAAATAAATCTGACCTAAGTGACTCCATCTTGCTTCTAACCCCCAAGCTGCCCTTGCACATTCCTGGGTGTGGGCCTAGCTAACTACGGGAGAAACTTAGTTTATGGCCTAACTTTGGAACAAAGATGATAACAGCTCCTTCTTGGACAAAACCCCTCATTGCTTGGAGATCAGACTTCCTTTGTAAAACTAACAAAGTAGCCACAAGATTAGAAATTATTTCTCAGAAATCATGCAGCCAGAGGCCACAAGATTCCTAACTTCTCTGTTCCTGTGAATAACATTATTATTGTAAAACTTAAGGTTGATTTTTGAGGTATTTTTTAGGCCCTGCCTTCTGATGGACCAGGTGGTGCCACCCAGACTGGTAAACCAACTTACCTGATCTCACGGCCCCCAGGAACTGACTCCATGCAAGAAGATAAGCTTTGACTGCCTATAATTTCATCCCTGACCCAACTAATCAGCATTCCCCATCCCCTAGCCCTGTGTCTGCCAAACTACTCTTAAAAATCCGAGCCTCTGGCTGGGTGCAGTGGCTCATGCCTGTAATCCCAACACTTTCAGAGGCTGAGGCAGGCGGATCACGGGTTCAGGAGATTGAGACCATCCTGGCTAACACGGTGAAACCTTGTCTCTACTAAAAATACAAAAAAAAATTGTCAGGTGTGGCGGCATGCACCTGTAGTCCCAGCTGCTTGGGAAGTATAGGCAGGAGAATCACTTGAACCTGGGAGGCAGAGGTTGCAGTGAGCCGAGATCGTGCCACTGTACTGCAGCCTGGGCGACAGAAGGAGACTCTGTCTCAAAAAAGAAAAAAAAAAAAACTGAGCCTCCAAATTTTCAGGGAGGCTGACTTGAGTAATAAAACTCTGGTCTCTTGTTTAGCTAGCTCTATGTTTATTAAACTCTCTATTGCAATAACACTGTCTCAGTAGAGCAGCTTTTCTGGGCAGCAGACAAGATAAACCCATTGGGCAATTACACTGCCACTTGGCATCAGTTGTGAAAGTCCTTAGCAGAACCAGGTAACTAAAGCCCCAGCTTTTTGGCTGGAGATCCGGCCAGGGCCAGGGAACCATCAGAAGTAGGAAGATGAGGGAGAAAGAAGTGCTAGGGAAAATGACACTGCAATGTTGATTGTGAACCCCTGGCATCAACTCCAAACCATGCTTATGTGGATCTGAATGTAATCAGCCTAATCGAAGGAACAGACCACCTCTCAGGTCAGAGACTAATAACCACTAACATTGGACACATTGGAATAACACAGCAAATGCTTTAAAAATTGAACTGACATTGGAACCACAGACAATAGGATGCTAGATGTAATTATCAACTGAACTTAAGCATGTTGATTGCCTGATAAAACAACAATATAAGCATTCTCCATAGAAGGTAAACAAAGCCTCTTAATATAATATTAAATACCTGTAGATACTTTAGTAGGCAGAATAATGGCTCCAAAGATACCCAGATTGTCATCCTCAGGACCTGTGAATATGTTACCTTACATGGCAAAAATGGATTTGCAGATGTGATTAAGCTAAGGACCTAAAGATAGGGAGCTTATCCTGAATTATCTGGATGGATCCATAGTCATCACAGGTGAAAGAGAGAGGCAGAAGAGTAGGTCAGCGTGATGAGTTGTGAGAACTCAACCAGCCATTGTTGGTTTGGATGATGGAGGAAAGAGGCCAAGAGCCAAGGAGCACACAAAAGTGGGAAAAGGAAATAGATTCCCCCCTGCAGTCTCTAGGAAGGAACACAGCCTTGCTGACACCTTGATTTAGTCCTGTGTAACTAGACTTCTAGACTGCAGAACTGTAAGATAATAAATGTGTATTATTTTAAACAACTAAGACTGTAACTTATTATTGCAGCAATAAAACTGAAAAGTCTTTTAAATGCCACTAAAATTGATAAGACTCTAGCAAGATTGTCAAAGAAAAAAAGGAGAAAGCCAAATTACAATAATATGAATGAAATAGGGAATTATCACCATAGCATCATAGGCATTAAGAGGATACTGAGAGAAAACTAGAACAATTTTATGGCCATAATTTTACTTCTTAAATAAAAAGAACCAAACACTTTAAAGACACAGATTACCAAAATTCAATTAAGAAGAAATATATACTCTGAATATTTTTAAAACCATGAAGGGACTTGAATTCATAATTTAAATCTTCTCAAAAATGTCATCTTTGGTGATGATGTCAATTGTTAGTTTCTACCAAACATTTAGAAGTAATGCCAACTCTACAAAATCTCCTCCAAAAAATAGAAGAGGTAACACTTTCCATTTCATTTTATGAGACCAGCATTACACTGATATCAAAGCCAAAGATAGTATAAAAATGAAGATGAAGGAGGAGGAAGGAGAGGAATGAGAGGAGGGAGAGGAGGGGGAGGAGGGGGAGGAGGGGAAGAAAGGGGGAAAAGGCGGAGGAGAGGAGGAAGAGGATAAAAAAATATAAACATCATATATTAGCATGTGTGTATGTATGTCTGTACCACAACCAAATGGGATTTATTCTAGGGGTACAAGTCTGGCCAATATTTTGGCATCAATGAAATCTGTATTAATAGTCTAATGAAAAATGTAATAATTATTTCTTTTTTTCAGGAAAAATATGTAAAATTCAGTGTTCATTCATTATAGAAATTCTCAGCAAAGTAGGAATGGTAAGGAACATCCTCAACCTGGTGAAGAACATCTAAGAAAAACCTGTGACTAATATCATACTTAATGATAAAAGAATATTGGCTTTTCTCTTAAGATTGGGAACAAGGCAAGGATGTTCACTCTAACTTCTCCCATTCAATCTTGTGCTAGAAATTCTAACTACTACAATAACAATTTTAAAATATAAGAAATAAAAACTTAAAATGAAGAAATATAACTGTCCCTATTTACAAGTGATATGATCATCTACATAGAAATCCCAAGAAATCCACAAAAGACTCGTCAACCCAATGGAGTGCAGCAAGGTTATAGTGAGGTAGGAGACCAGCAGGACTTATTCCTGGTCTCAACAGGATGAAGTGAAGAAACCAGCAAGAATCAGTAGATGACAACAGAACCAACCTCTAGGTGTCCCCACTGCTCATCAGCATAAGACACTCCCACCAGTGCCCTGACAGTTTACAAATGCCCAGCAACACCCAGAAGTTACTGGCCGTTTTCTAGAGAGTTCTGAGTAACCCACTCCTTAACATGCATGTAATTAAAAGTGGGTATAAATACTACTAGCCAATAGTCCACATGCTGCTACTGTGGATGCTCAGGCTCTGGGTTAGTGCTGCTCCACAAGGAGCTGTCATTCTGCGGTACACTGACACTTCAATAAATAGGCTTTCTTTCACCACTAGCTCACTCTTGAATTATCTTCTGAGCAAAGTCAAGAACCCTTCTGGACTAAGCCCCAATTTTGGGGCTCACCTGCCCTGCATCAACAGGATACAAGATCAACATACAACAAAACAATTTTATTTCTGCACAATATGAATGTAACTATAAACTGAAAGTTTAAAAGAAATACCATTTACAACACCTCAAAAATTTGGTATAAATCTGGCAAAATGTGCAGAATCTGTATGCAGAAAACAACAAATGCTGATTAAAAGATATCAAAGGGCCAAATAAATTGAGACATATGATGTTCATAGATTGAAAGACTCAACATAGTAAAATGCCATTTCTTCCCAAATTTAGATTTATTGAAATTCCAAACAAAATCCCAGCAGAACTTTATAGATATAGATAAGCCAATTTGAAGATTAATATGGAAATTCAAAGGAATTATCATAGCTGAAAGGGTTTTGAAAAAGAAGAATAAAATTGGAGGAATCACCCTACCTAAATTTAAAATTTACTGTAAAGCTACTGTTATCAAGACAATGTGGTATAGATCAGCTGATCAATAAAGCAGAAGATAGTCTAGAAATATATGGCCAAGTGAATTCTGTGCAAAATAATCCAATGGGGAAAAGACAGTCTTTGCAACAAATGATGTTGGAAAACCTGAACATTTATATGCAGTTAAAACAACCTGACCTGGAGTTTGAGACCAGCCTGGCCAACATGGTGAAATCCCGTCTCTACTAAGAAAAATTAGCTGGGCATAGTGGCACATGACTGTAATCCCAGCTACTCAGGAGGCTGAGGCAGAAGGATCATTTGAACCTGGGAGGCAGAAGTTGTGGTGAGCCTAGATCACGCCACTGCACTCCAGCCTAGGCAACAGAGCAAGACTCCATCTCAAAAAACAAACAAAAAACACAAACAAAACAACAACAACAACAACCTGACCTAAACCTCACTTTATCCAAAATTTAACTCAAAAAACATTATGATGTAAATATGAAATGAAAAGCCATGGAACTTTTTGAAAAAATCAGCCAGGGGTGGTGGCTCATGTCTGTAATCCTAGCACTTTGGCAGGCCAATGTGTGAGGACTGCTTGAGCCCAGAAGTTCAAGACCAGCCTGGGTAACATAGTGAAAACCCATCTCTACAAATTTTTTAAAAATTAGCTGGGTGTGGTGGCATGCACTGGTAGTCCCAGCTACTTGGGAGGCTGAGGTGGGAGGATCTCTTGAGCCCAAGACGTCGTGTCTGGAATGAGCTTTGATTGTACCACCCCACTCCAGCCTAGGCATCAAATTGAGACCCTGTCTCAAAAAATGGAAAAAACAAAACAAAACAAAAAAACCTTTACAACTTGGTGTTAGTCTAAGAGTTCTTAGAGATAATAGCAAAAGCACAATCAATAATTTAAAAACAGATCAGTTAGATTTTGTCAAAATGTAAAACTTTTGCTTTACAAAAGACACTATTAGGAAAATGAAAAGCTAAACTTCAAAATTGGAGAAAATATTTTCAAACCACATGTCTAACACAGAACTTGTATCCAGAATATATAAAGCACTCTCGAAACTCAATAAAAAGAAAACAAACAACTCAATTTAAAAATTCATGATAATATCAAAAGGCTGGTGAGAATGTGCAGTGACTAGAACACTCCTACATTGCTGTTGGGCACTCTCTTGTTTACACTTCCCATATGCCTCAGCAATACTATTCCTGGGAATTTACTTTAGAAAAATAAAATTTATGTTCACAGAAAGATATGTACATGAATATAAACACAGCTCCATTCATAATTGCTGAAAAACGAAAACAAGCCAAAGTTCTAGCAATCAAAGCCTGACACATTTGACTGGTTAAAAAAAAAAGTTTATGTTATATTTAGACAGTTTATTACTTAGCAAAATAAAATGAGCAAAAATGCCAGATACCCAAGCCCCTTATCTCAAAGGATGACACTGAAACAAAAATAGCGAGTAATGTGATGATGTATCATCAGTAGTGGGAGCAACCTGCTGCTGCAGATCCAATTGCATCTTGCAGATAAGCAGCTTTATACTTTGCAGTTGTGCCCAAATAACAGAGAGGCAGAGAGCCTCAGGCCTCTTCAAAACCCATGAAGTGATGAGTAACTGTCTCATGGCAGCCTCCTTGGAAGATAGGTAGAGGGGGTAGGCTCTTCAAAGCCTCCCACACTCTCATGTTCCAGGAATATCTCAGAGCATTTTACCAAAACTTAGATCAGCTGTAGTTAAGCCTTGGCCAAATAGCCTCTCTAGAGACATGCAGGGAAGATGTTTATCATAAGCCCAGAAACCCCTCTCCTGGGATTAGAGAGACCTTAGGGAGTGAAAAATGTTGATCACACAAAACAATTGTATGTCAATGTTTGTAATAGCTCTATTATAATCACACAAACTGTAAACAATCCAAATGTCTTTCAACAGGTGTATGAACAAATTTTGGTACATTCATATCATGGCATACTACTCAGCTCTAAAAAGGAAAGAATTATTGATATACTCAACGCCATAAATGAAATCACTGTGTTGTAAATTCTAGATTTGTATTTCATTTAATATAATTTCTTCACTTTTAAAAAGTGTTAAACTTATATTTTCTTTTGACTATTGAGGTAAAATATACGTAACACAAAATTTATCATGCAAGTCATTTGGATGTGTACAATTCAGTGGTATTAAGTGCATTCACATTGTTTCACAACCATCATTTCTATTCCTCTTCAGAACTTTTTCATCATCCTAAACTAAAACTCTGTACCCATTAAGCAACAACTTTCCATTCTCCCCTCCCCAGATCCTGGTGACCACTATTCTATTTTCTGCCTCTACGGATTTAACTATTCTAGGTGTGTCTTATTAGTAGAATCAGACAATATTTGTCCTTTTGTGTCTGGCTTATTTCACTTAGCATAATGTCTTCAATGTTTATTCATGTTGAAGCAATCAGAATTTTATTCTTTTTAAAAGCTGAATAATAGACCATTGTATGATAAGCCATATTTTGTTTAACCATTCATCCCGTGAAGAGCATTTGGGCGGTGATAATCTTTTGGATATTGTACATAATGCTGCTGTGAACATTGGTGTGCAAATATCTTTTTGTGTCCTGGCTTTCAATTATTTTGCTCACACAGTTGGCCCTTGAACAACATGGGTCTGAACTGCATGAGTCCACTTATATGCAGATATTTTCAATAAAACTTACACTGACCATTCCTGTCCCTCCTGCCTCCCCTTCCACTTCCTCATCTTCTCCCAGAGACAGCAAGACCAGCTCCTCATCTTTGTCCTCCTCCTTAGCCTACTCAACCTGAAGACAACAAAGATGAAGACTTTTGATAGTCCATTTCCATTTAATGAATAGTACATATATGTTCTTTCTTATTATTTTAATAACATTTTCTTTTCTCTAGCTTTCTTTAAGAACACAGTATATAATACATACAACATACAAAATCTGTGTTAAATGGCTGCTATGAGTAAAGATTCCAGTCAACAGTGAGTATGTGTAGCTAAGTTTTGAGGGAGTTGAAAGTTAAATGCAGATTTTCGACTGCACACGGGTCAGCAATCCTAACCCCTGAATTATTCAATGATCAATCATATACCTAGAAGTAAGATTTCTGATCAGATAGTAATCTATGATGCTTTTTACAGTGGCTGTACTATTTTTCATTCCCACTGGCAATACCCAAGGGTTTCAGTTTCTCGACATCCTCACCAGTACTTTATTTTCTTTTCTTTAAAAACAAAATAACAGCCATGCATCACTTAATGGTGGGAATACATTCTGAGAAATATGTTGTTAGGTGATTTTGTCATTGTGCAAACATCATAGTGTGTACTTACACAAACCTGGATGGTATAGCCTGTTGCTTCTAGGCTAAAACCTGCATAGCATGTTGCTGTACTAAATACTGGAGGCAACTGTAACACAGGGTAAGTGTTTATGCATTTAAACATATGAAAACATAGAAAAGGTACAGTAAAAATAAAGTTTTATAATCTTATGGGATCATTGTCATATATATGTTCCATCATTGACTTAAACACTATCATGTAATGAATGACTGCATTTAGTAATTATTTATTTATTTTTTTAATTTCTTATATTGTTATTGAAACAAAATTTTGGTTCTTTATTTTAAATGGAACTCACTTTTTGTTATGATGTAAATGACAGATCTAACATTTTTTTCTTCCAAAATAGACAGCCAATTGCCAAAACAAATATATTATTTTTCTAGAATTATCCAAAATGCTACCTAAAATTCCTATTCCAAATGGATCTGATTATACGTTCTGTACTGTTTTCCATAGATCTATTTGATTATTTTTGTGTCAGTACTATACTGTTTTAATCATGATGGCTTTTATGCTTAGTTTAATAGCTGGTACAGCAAGCCTTCACTCACACTCTTCTGTCCAATTGTTTTAAACAGTTTAATTTAATGCTGCCCTCAGGCTGAGAAACTTGTGCCAGAATGTAAATTAAGTACAGCACTTACTATACCATCTACTTTACCTGATAGCAAGACTTTTTTCACAAATTAACTGGTGCATTGACCTATATTCTGACACATTCTGATAATGAACTAGTTAAAAAATAAAACAGTTCATGTAAGTTGCGATGGGTGGACTGCACTTGAGTTATATTGGTTTAGACTTCTTGGCTATGGGTAATCTAAAGCCAGGGAACCATGCTTGTTCTAGAAGGTTTTTTCCCCCTGCCCTCCTACCCCTCCTAACTTTCTATAGCATGCACATCCCTGCAAGTCCCTTTCTTGCATTTTCTCTCTAGTGTTTCTGATGACTTTTCTCTTCCCATGCTGCAGCCCATAGAGCGACTGAGCATTAGGACTTTCTGAAGGGCTTAGGCAGCATGGAATCCCATAAAATCTCTGGTATCATCTCTCACTTACCAACTAGTTAAAATTTCATCTTCTTCCTGAGTGGTGCAAAAACTATTCTGAAATCAAATTATGCATTCTTTCTTGCTTTATTACTTATAGTTTAAACTCTGGCTCCTTGGAACTCACAAATCTTTTTTTTCTCTCAAGAAAGTTCACTTTTTATAATAAAGGCTTGTTTTAGACTACTGTTGTGGTTATTGGCTTAAAACATTATTCTTGTAGATTTTTTAATTCCTGAAGTTTTTCTCAGTCTTTTAGGAAAAAAGAAAAAACACAAAAATGTGTTCAATGTTAGAGTCTGCTTCGATCTCTACTTATGGTTGAAGTAATGAAGACAGAGAAGTTGTAGCATGGGAAAATAATTATAGTCTGGTAAAAACTGGTCATTAGAGGAGCCTGGAGTTGAGGGAAGGAACAAGAGAATACAAGTACAAAGTAGACATGCTTGCAGGATGTGCGCATTTCCCCAGGAATCACTGGAAACATTTTTGGAGGGTATCTGATAAAGACTGAGCATTGTGTACTCATAATAGATGAGTTATGGATAGTCAGACCATGCTAGATGAGCCCGAAAGGGAAGGGTGACTCCTCAGGGTAAAGAAGTTACAGATATTTGAATTGCATGGGCAGTAGAAACTTACATGCAGCATATTATTTTAAAACAGTTCATTTATTCATAGCTATTATAAATTGCATAATAAAAAGAAGTAAAAAGTGAATTGGAAGTATGTTTCTGAGTGATTAGGTAATATATTTCCTACGAAATTAACAACTGATGAGTAGAAGAGGACTCAAGTAGTTTCGGATCCATCCCTGCTTCTTGGGTAGTGCGTCAATAAGACTCTTGGCAGGACACTTCTTAAGGGATTATTAGGTGTCGGTGCTTATAATCAGCATCTTATATAATAAGGAGATATCATTATTTCACATGTAGAGCTTCAGTTTGCACTCACGTTATATATATATGTATATATATATATATATATCAAGTGGAATATATTAGTAATATTTCAAAAGTACTGCAAATATTTCCTCATTTCAAAGAGTGCTCTTCTCTTCCTTCTACTGCTGAAGTAATATCCTTGTATATCTCCAATTTTTTTTTTTTTTTTGAGATGGAGTCTCCTTCTGTCACCCAGGCTGGAGTACAGTGGTGTGATCTTGGCTCACTGCAACCTCCGCCTCCCAGGTTCAAGCAATTCTCCTGCCTCAGCCTCCTGAGTAGCTGGGATTACAGGTGCGTGCCACCACACCCGGCTAATTTTCTATATTTTTGGTAGAGACAGGTTTCATCATGTTGGCCAGGCTGGTCTCAAACTCCTACCTTGTGATCCACCCACCTCGTCCCCCCAAAGTGCCAGGATTACAGGCATGAGCCACCACGCCCAGCCATGTGTCTCCAATTATTAATTCTAGAAAAAGATAAAGGCTTATTTTATATAAATTCCCTCCATATAGATAACCTTTTTATCCCTCAGAAAATGTACTTATAAAGGAGCAGAAATGGGGCAAAATGGTTTCACATGCTACTTATTGACAGGAAAAGACTTAAAGTTGGGGTGGAAAAGAGGATTCAATATCATGTTACACAATTCTTCATAAGATTTAGTTTGCTTTTTCTTGGAAGCACAGATTAATTTGGAGTCTTTTACCTTTACATATGGATTTCAATAACCTTTTTTTATTCTTAGTGTATAAAATTGCCTGCCATTTCCCTCCCACAAGTAATATCATTATAATTTTAATCTAATTAGTTTGCCTACATACTTGCATTCCTTCATCTTCTTCCTATTCCATTTATTAATATCATTCTTTCCTCTCTTTATTACCTATTTTGTCATAGGAATATAGTTCAATATCAAGTCAGCATTTACCTGACAATGATACTAAAAATAATAATACAACATTTCTTGAGGACTTATTAGCTCCCAGTGTATATGTTAAGCATCTTACAATCTTACACAAATTATTTCATTTCATTGTCAAAACAACTTTATAATATAGATACTAATAGTATATTTCATTTATGAGGAAACTGATATTTAATGATGGAGTAGTATCATCAAGGTATCACATAACTTGAAATGGAAGAATCAGGATATGAACTGTCTCAGTTCACAGTATCATTATAAATTTAAGTGATATTTTTTAACTTAAAAGTAACATTTATCTCCTATAAACCTTTTTATTTTCTGAAGTGTTTTTAAGGATAGTTTTCTAAAATTAAAGTTCAAAATGAAATAATTCATTTACATTCTTGGAGGAGGAATGAACGATAGGCAGTTTATTAAATTGATATTTCCTATCAAAATTCTTTTAGCTTCCATGTTCATCTTCTTTTCTGCATTGCTATTACTTCTAAATGATATAGTCGAAATGATATTCTTTCAAATTTGACCGAGTTTAGCTATTTATCCACTGAAAAATCTCTTGTTGAAATTTGATGTCCAATGTTGGAGGTTGGGCCTTGTGGGAGGTGTTGAGTCATGGGGGCAGAACCTTCATGAATGGCCTGGTGCCCTTCTCAAAGTAAAGACTGAGCTCTTGCTCTATTAGTTCCTTTGAGAACGGATTGTTAAAAAGAGGCTGGCATCTCTCTCCCTTTCTGAAACCATGTGATGCCTGCTCCCCTTCACCTTCCTCCACAAGTGGGGGCAGCCTGAGGCCCTCACCAAATGCAGATATCAGTGCCATGCTTCTTGTACAGCCTGCAGAATTATCAGCTAATTAAACCTCTTTCTTTATCAATTACACGCTCTCACATATTCCTTTATAGCAATGCCAACAGACTAAAACAAAATTGAGAAACTTCCCAAATAGATCACTCTGGGCTAAGTTGTCAGTAGAATAACATGCAGAAAACTTTACCAGTAAAACTGCATAGAAATTACCAGAAAAACAATAATATATGAAAAATCATTTCCATGACTAAAGTAAGCTACAAAAGTTATGAGACTCATGTATACCCTCTATTCTGGAAAGAAATGAAATAATCCCCTATACTGATAGGGCAGATCAGGAGAATCAGCCATTCCCTCCCTTGCTGCAGCCTCGTCAAAAATAGGTCTAATGTAGGCTTTGGGAGAGCTTAAAGTCAGAACAGAGAACGATGCTCTGGCAAAAGAGGCAAACCATGTGGTCTGAACAGAGGGAGCAGTCACTTTCCAATTTTTTTTTTTTTTTTACAAATAAGCGTAAGAAAGAAACAAGTTTCAAAGACAGTAGGGAAGAGGAATGGATATTTAATAGCTTGGTCTCAGGACCACTCAGGTTCCATCTACAAATTGTATTGTTGGCATTTGATTAAAACTTACTTATTACTTTTTAAATTAAATGACTTTATTAATATGTCTATTTTAGATACTCCCAAGAGTTACGGGAAAGGGAAAGTATGTTCGTTAGGCAAAATTCCATGAAATAAATCCCTAGGGAACTTTAAACTTTGTTTCAGTTTTTTCCAATGAACATGTATTATTTTACAATGGAAAATTTCAACTAAAATTATTTCCAGTAAGATCATAATAAGTCTAAATTTTTCAACTAAAGAATCTAAATGTAGTTGTTATTCAGCAACTACTCTTCCTCCTGCTAGGTTTAATGCTACTGGATCAACTCAATCTTTTCCACAATATTGTCACTCATACTTGCTTCTTTCTGTGAGTCTTTATTCCCTTGACATAGTTGCTATTTCCTCCTCCACAGGGAGCAACTGTATCTCAGGCAGTTACAAAATCAAAAATTTTCTGTCAAACAGCAAAATAGGGTTGGGCACGGAGGCTCACACCTATAATCGCAGCACTTTGTGAGGTAGAGATGGGTGGATCACTAGAGGTCAGGAGTTCGAGACCAGCCTGGCCAACATGGTGAAACCCCATCTCTACTAAAAATACAAAAATTAGCTGGGTGTGGTGGTGCGTGCCTGTAATTCCAGCTACTTGGAAGGCTGAAGTATAAGAATCACTTGAACCTAGGAGACAGAGGTTGCAGTTAGCTGAGATCATGCCACTGCACTTCAGCCTGTGTGACGGAGTGAGACTGTCTCAAAAAATAAAAAAAAAAACAAAAACACCTCAGGAAAATAAGATTATTAAACTGGAATTAACAATTTGTCTCTTACAGGCTAATTGGAATGGAGAATTTTTCTGAAGTTGGCGGCCAGCCTCATTAAAAAAAAATAAGATCTCAACTTTTAAACATAAGCTCTCTATTCAGCTAGATTACAAATATGAACTTGTAAAGTGGTAATGCTGATTTTCTTCCTTAGTTCCATATGGTAATTAGTAATGAGAGTAAATGAAATAGGGTGCGGACATAGACAAATGATAGCAAAATTTCAGAAACAAGAGACTGCCTAATGATTAAAACAGATTTTAAAGCTACAGCTATACCACAAATAAATTGCCTGTTAGAAGCTAACAAAATGTCCCAATAGATACATTGTAAAACTTAACCACACATAGAACATAGTGTGTGACAACTCATTTTAAGATTTAGTGTAACAGTGACTGATCACCAAACCTAATGAGTGGTACACCATGAAATATCCCTCTTGGGGGATCACTGTGAGTGTCCTTAAAGGGAAGAAAATCTCTTCTGAGACTTGTAGTTGGTTATAAAATTTTCAAATGTTTGAATCAGTGTTCAGACTTAGGATCACTTTTGATGTGACAAAATACATTAGGTCTATCTTTCAGAAATTACCCAGCACTTTGACCCATGCCATAAAATTTCTATATCACATTAGAAAGTCCCATTAGGATACATTGCAGTGAGAATCTGGTTAAGACCTGCACTGAAGCGTGTTTTTCAATCTTACTGTACATGAGGGCAAATTTTTACTTCCTTGCCTCTGCAATGCTGAGGCAAGTTAATTTTTACAGCCAAATCTCATGTCACTGGTCTACTGGTTGAGAATCAGACTCAGGAAGCACATCCTGTGCATTCTGGACTGACCTGCTACAAGACCCTGGTGACTTGCCATCTCCTGATGGGAAAGGAAACATCAGATGGATACTCAGAACATCACTGGGCATTAGTGTGGTTCCTAACCAGAATTTTGTTCAATCTGCACATGGTCCAAGAGATTATCTGATAGGGATCCCACAGAATTGTGAGATTTTAAAACTGAAAGGAATATTAGAAATCATATAGTTTCACCCAAATACATTATAGATGTGAACAAAATTTATTGAATGGAGATAGTACAATGAGACAACATATCTACATGTCCTTTGTGATGGTTAATTTTATGCCACAGTACTCAGATATTTGGCTAAACATGTCTGGATGTTGCTGTGAATTTATTTTTAAATTGAGGTTAGTTTTTAAATCAGTACACTTGAGTAAAACAGATAACCCTCCATGATGTGAATGAGCCTCATCCAATAAATTGAAGGCTCTAGAAAAATGACTGACATCCCCAAGGAAGAGAAATTTTGGCCAAAAGCCTGCCTTCACACTGGAGCTGCAACATCAACTCTTCCCTGGGTCTTAGGCTACCAGCCTACCCTGCATATTCTGGGCTTGCCAGTCTCCGAAATTGTACAAGTCAATCCCTTAAAATAAATTTTTCTCTCTCCACCCACCTACACCCACACACACACATACACGCACCCACCTATACACACACACACACACACACACACACACACACACAATCTATTGGTTCTGTTTCCCCGGAGAACTCCGACCAATATACTTTCATCCCTGCAAGGACCTCTCATCACAGTAAGTCATTGAAAATCCATAACGTGACCTATAAATTCCTCATGATCTGACTGCTGGAGACCCCTCTGACTTAGTTTACTACCATTTCCCCCCTCACTCATTGTGTCCAGCAACACTGACCTTCTGGGTCAGTTTCTATGTTGAGCTTTTGCATGTAACCCTCTCCTGTGGAATTTCCTTCCCCAGCAAGAGCACACTCTTTCATTTCACTGAGGTCTCTGTTCAACTCTCACTCTAAATCCTCACAACACAAGTGGGATTTATGAGCTAGTAGCATTGACATGGCCCAGGAGCTTATTAAAAATAAAGAATTTATCACAGATCTTATCCTAGACCTACTGAATCAAAATCTACATATTAGTAATATGCCAGGTGATTCATGTGCATGTCAATGCTTGAAAAGAATAGATGTAAAGTGTCACCTCCCATTGCTCTTTGGCTCTTTGCCTGCTTCTTCTTCATGGCATTCATTACTAATTGACATTATATTATTTTTTATTTACCTGTTGATTGACTGTTTCTCTCACTGTAAATCCTAAATGGCAGGGATTCTAATCTCAAGACTGGAATCTGACCTAGCACACAGTAGGCATGCAATAGATATTTTTACTAACTGAAGAAATAAATGTCAGGCTTGGCAGAATCTTCTTTCTCATTGTGTTTTATGTCTATAGCATTCTTTATCAACTCTATGTTCCTTTAACTCCTACTTAGAATTTAGGTCTCAGTCAAGGCAGTGCTTCTTTTGGGAAAGTCTTTTTTGATCCCTCCGGTGGTGACTGGGCCCTTTGGTGTGCATTCATGCACTGACTCATCACAGCACTTAAAACACAAGAGAGTAGGTCCTCCATGAAGAATTAATGAGTGAATTCATGCTGGTCATAACAAATAATTCTTGACTGACCACTCAACATCCTCTACTTGCTCCTTTCTATGCAATGACTGATTTTTGTGCAGATATCTAATATCCTCCAATATGCTGTGCTACAAACCATATCTCTTACCCACTCCCAGGGAGTATGATCTGACTTGCCCAAGACAAAAAATGGCAGTCCCCTTTTCCTTGCCAGTGACTGGTTTAAGAACGGGCAAGTGCTACAGTTCTCATTAAGGAGAGAGGAGACCATGCCCAGGTTCTTAGGGAGAGGCACAAAATAAGGCAACTCTTTTCTCCCTCTGAAAACTTTTGTTGTGTATGTGTGATATCAGATTACTATAACCATCATGCTAATAGCTATTAAGATGAAGCCAACCCGCATAAAAGGGTTTAGAAAAAACAATAGCAGAGAAGTGAAATCAGAACTTAGATTGTCCTGCTCTTGGACTTTGTATCATAGCGTATGGTAAGTGAAATTAGCATTGAGTTATTTGAACCTGGAAGCATCATTTTACTTTGGTGATATGAGTGTAAACTTAAAAACTACCTCCATAGTGGTTGAAAAGCAAAAGTAATTATTAGTCTCTGTTAATGTACATATTTTCTTTTTTTTCCCCAACTAGAAAATTTAATAGTAGTAGGAGGATCTTCTTAGCGTAATAGTAAGTAACAGACCCTTAAATTTATAAAACTTATTTGTTACTAGACATTAATCAACAAGCATTTACTAAACGTATAACTATTATACTATAATAGAGAAAATAGCGATTTTAATTTTGAAGCAAATCAAGAAATTCTTATTTGTTGTTGGCTGTCCGAAGGAGCATGTTTAGGTCACTTAGTTAAATTCTTTAAACAGTGATAGAATCAGTAAAGATGTTGAAATATCCAAAATCTATGATCTCCGAACTCCCAAAAGAAAAAGGAATTAATTGCGATGTATTTCAAAAAGTAAGTGTACAGAGAGATTACACCAATTTGTTATCTGACTAAATTGTTGCAGGACTCTGTGTAGGAACAGTACATACAACAAGGCATCTTTTAAAGGACAGAGTATTTCCTGAACTACATATTAATGTTATTTAGACAGATTTTTTAAAAGTTTGATATGTACATCAATATAAAATTTAAAAGGGAGTCATGGGTGGGGGAAATGGGAAAATGCTGGTCAAGGTGTACAAAGTTTCATTTAGGTAGCATAAAGAAGTTCTGGAGATCTAATGTGCAGCATGGTGGCTATAATTAATGATATTGTATTGTATCTTTCAAATTTGCTAAGAGAGAAATCATAACTTCTCAGCACACACATGAAAATAATAACTATGTGAAGTAATGTATATGTTTATTAGCTTGATTGTAGTAAGTATTTTACAATGTATACGTATATCAAACATCATGTTATATACTGTAAATATAAAAAATATTTGCCAATTATACCTTAATAAAGCTGAAAAATAAATAATAAGAAGCACTTATAACGCCACAGTCCAGAGATAATCACAGTCGAATTTTCTGGTATTTTTTCAATAGTTTTATATGCATATTTTATGACTTTAAGTATAAATCTACCACAATTTAATCTTCCCATATTTTTTGATATATATTTTGTTTGACTATTATAAATAGTACTGTAATGAATATGCTTTGCATAAAACTTTAAAAAATAAATAAAACAGTAAAAAAGAAATATAAATGAAAGGAGAGTCAATAAAAACCTGGATCCAATGCACAAATGCATGGTGGCATCTATTAATTCATTTAATATTTATTAAATAGTTTGTGCCAGGTATTGTACTTGACACAGGGAGTACAATGGTGAACAAAACTAGAAACAGTCTCTGACCTTTTGGGGCTCACATATTCAAGAAGGAAAACACTTAAATAGTAACACAAACATATGTTTGAAAGTATGAAAAAACATTACTGGAAGCTGTCAAGGAATTTTCAATGAGTGCAGAATATTTGAAAAGCTTGAGATATAAAAGATGAACAGAAGTTGTAAGGTGGGAGAAGAGATATCTGAGACAAAGGGTAGAGAATAAGCAGAGGTCCTAAAGTAGGAGCATTTTTGGAGTCTTGTGGAAGTAAATGATTTTTTTCGCTGTAACCCAGAGAACAAGAGTGGCACAAGAAAAATATGGAAGTATAGTAGGATATTGGACCCTGAAATTGTTTGCAAACTATGTTAAATGTATGTTATTTATCGTTAAAAAATAGTGAGATATCTACTTATATTAAGCAGAGGGTGCAAGGGGTGCATAAAGAGGTGAGACTGAAGTCTGTGCATGAGAAGTTCAAATTTGCATTTTAGTATACCCTGCACTACAGACACTGAAATACAGATAAGCAAAAATGGATGTAGGTGCACCAGTTGAGGGCTGTTATTGTGATTAAGGTGAAGGATAATGGAAGCTTTAACTATGATGATAGTAAAAAATGAGAGAAGTGAACAGAAGAGAAAGATATCTAGGAAGTAGAATCAATAAAATCTGGAGATGAGTTTAAAAGCAGGGTAGCACTGAATGGAGGCAGATACGAGACTTAATTGAAAACATAAAACAGGAAGAGAGGAAATGAGGGTAGTATCTTTTCTTCTATGAAGTTTGACTATAAAATAAAAGGAGAAAGACAATGAGATAGCTTACATCTAAAGGAAATTTTGTTTAAGTGAGGGAGACTTGTGCATGTTTAAAATATTTTGAGAAGGATCCACTTTAAGTAGTAAAACACACATGACATATAAAAATATAATGAATAAAGTAAGATTTTTGAGACCAAAAATCAGGACCAGAGTAAGCTGGAAACATGGGCTTTGGATAGGAGGAACAACAATTCCTCTATTGGAACTGGAAGAATGCAGAATATATTATAAGTGCTAGATTTTATTGAGAATATTGCTGTTTGCTGTTGTTTTTAATCTGTAAATTAAGAGACAAGGCCATCTGTCAAACATGAAAGGGGAACGCACGAACAGGAAGTTTGAAGACTGTGGAGAAGGTTTGAAATTGTAATTGCAAGGAGTCAACATGATCAGAATAGACAAAATATCTATAGGATTTGTAGATAAGATGAGGTTCAAATGAGATTGGCAAGCATTAATTTATAGCAATGTCAATCTGCCTGTTGTGCTTTGTCTCTTGAAGCTCTTGGCCACCTGGCTCTAGACATGGAAAAGTGGATAGTTGGAATCATCCAAGATGGAAGCATTTGAATGAAGCATTCTAAAGCAGTTATAAACATGGATTTTGGTGGAAACCTGAGGCATTCATTGTATTACTCAAGGAGAATGGGTAGACTAATAAAGAAAAAGGAAGAATATATTAGAGTTGGACAAGCCAGCAAAAGAGACAGATAAGTAGGTAGAAGTAGGAAGAAAGCCAAGAGAGCCTATTATCATGCAGAATGAAGGAGAGAAAGCAAGAAAGGTCACTAGTCAGCCGTGTCGATGTGAAAGGGAGGTGGAAACCAGCACTGAACATTTAGTAATTAAAATGTCATTAATTCTCTTGAAAAGAATAGACTGCATGAGGTAAAAAAATATGTATATCTGAAGGACTAAAGTCTGAGCAAGACAATTTCAAGAAACTTGTACTGGAAGAAAAAAGTGAGAGAAGCTTGCCATCAACTTAACTTTTACCAGCTTAAAATGGATTGTTTGTTATTCTTCCATCTGAAAATTTAAGGATCCAGATAAAATGGAAGGAGAAAAAACGGTCATCATCAAACTGCTAATAATGATAAATTCTGGAGAGGAAATGGCGTTGGAAATATGCAACATCCCCCATTGTTTATTGTCCATGGTTCTCTGTTCCTTGAAAACTGTCATTGAAAAAAGTAGCATTTTTTGTAATTATAAAGTCAATTAAAAATTCTAGAATGCTTCTAATAATTTGACACTTTATTTCTAGTATTATCTCTATCATATTTTTATAATGTATATCTATGTCTTACAACATATATCAATGCATATCTAGTATTATTATATCTTTCTTATTTTTACAATGATTCATAAAGAATACAGCTATAGTAGGCATTCCTTCAAATTGCTCAAGACTGTTTTGATTTCTAACTTAAATTTAAGTTTTCAAAAGTTCTTCAGCATATTGAGATGTTTTTGTCTTCTTTTTAGCACAGCTAAAATATTGCAAAATCCCTTTCTAAGCTAATTTTCCATTAATTTTCCATGTGGATATGAGTCTTTTATGTTTTGTTTTATTTTACATCAACAATTTTCACGCCAGTGAATTAAATACAGCTTTTTATTTCACTGCTGAATGTTCTTCAGTTGTCTGTAAAACTGAATACATTAAATAATTTATTATAATTTAATTAACAACATATGCTTACCTAGTGACATCACATATAAAGGTCGGCTCCACCGTGAAAATGCTCCAACTTAAGACATGCTCAGAAGTCATTTTAAATTTTGGTTGTTTTTATTGTTGTTTGACTATTCAATTCTGGGTGATAAATAAAACGCTTTCCCATGCTGTCCTTACACTGATTATACTCAAGATTGCTTTCTACCTAACTCAAACAAAACCCCCCAAAACTTACAAATATATATTGGTTGCTGAAAATGCTCATACACTCAATTTGAAAATATTCCAAATCTTTTATGGGTTAGACTTTTGTTTCTTGCTCAATTTCACACTGACGTGTGTAAAAGTATTATAAGCATTTGCTATTTAGTTCATTATGGGCAAAACAGCAGATTGTTTTGTATTTTGAAAGCATCCTCCCTGGGCTTTTAACTAATCTCTCAATCACATGAGAAAAGCTAAAGAAAGAATAAGATGCTAGCCTATATACACATCATAGAAGCTTGAAATTGGCCAAGTACCTTGGCAGAAAGAAGGGTGCTTTTATTCTAGTGAACAGAACAAAGTAGAATGAATTTAGATTTTTTTTTTTAGGAGAGAAAAGTGTGATTTACACAGGAAGAGCCATTTCGTCCAGGTTTGTTGAGATTTGGGCAGTGTGTTCTACAGCAAAGACATCTCCCCTGTAGACTCTGGAACATTCTGTATTATCCTATAACAGATGATCAGCCATATGGTGAAGGGGGAGGAAAATCAGGGATATAAGAATCTGCTGTACTAGTAGATGCATGAATGAGAAAACAAAGGTTAAAGCCAAATTTGGGGACTGTGGCTGGTTTTCTCATTTTATTTTAGAGATTTTTTATTGAGTAGCACTTCTTGGCATATGCCAATATATTTTTAAAGTTATATTTATGTATTAAGTTTTCTTATAAAAATATTTTTAAAGTTCTCTACAATAACAAAATTGAGATAAAGTCTCACAATTTGTTATAATTTGGATACCTCTGAATTATTAAAATTAACTATAAAAACTCAAAAAGTCTAGCGTTTCAGAGATGTTATAAAACATTTTGAAATACTTACATGAAATAATCTAATTATTCCAGTATGCAAGTTCCTGCTGGTAGTAGGTTAGTAAGTTGTTTTAGAAATCTACAGTAATTCTTTCAAAACACAAAAATATAGTGTGGTAGTAACTCATGTAATTTTACCTCAGCTGTTTAAAGTCAAACCAACTTCAACACTATCTCAATATGTTATGCAATCATTCATATAGCCTAAGAGATAAAAAAAAGTTTTATAAAATGACATTGGTAGAAAAGAGATCTGACACTTGCCTCCCACTTTGCAAACTTTCTCCATGTTTTTGGTATTTATTTATTTAATTAACATACAAATTGTAGATATTTATGGAGTACAGTGAGCTGCTTTGATACACATATATAGTGTAATAATAAAATGAGAGTATTAGCCTATCCAACACTTTATACATTTATCATTTCTTTGTGGTGAGAACATTTTATATGCTTAGGCTTTGTGTCCCCAGTCAAATCTCATCTTGAATTCTAATCCCCATAATCCCCACATGTCTAGGGAGAGACCTGATGGGAGGTAACTGGATCATGGGGGCAGTTCTCCCATGCTGTTCTTGTGATAGTGAGTGAGTTATCATGAGATCTGATGGTTTTATAAGAGGTTCTTCCTGCCTTGCTCCTCATGCTTCTCTCTCCTGCCGACATGTGAAGAAGGTCCTTGCTGCCCCTTTGCCTTCTGCCATGATTATAGTTTTCTGAGACCTTTCAACCATGTGAAACTGTGAGTCAATTAAACCTCTTTCCTTTATAAATTATCCAGTCTCAGGTATTTCTTTCCTTTTTTATTATTATACTTTAAGTTTTAGGATACATGTGCACAATGTGCAGGTTTGTTACACATGTATACATGTGCCAAGTTGGTGTGCTGCACCCATTAACTCGTCATTTACATTAGGCATATCTCCTAATGCTATCCCTCCTGCCTCCCCCCACTCCACAACAGGCCCTGGTGTGTGATGTTCCCCTTCCTGTGTCCAAGTGTTCTCATTGTTCAATTCCCATCTATGAGTGAGAACATGCGGTGTTTGGTTTTTTGTCCTTGTGATAGTTTGCTGAGAATGATGGTTTCCAGCTTCATCCATGTCCCTACAAAGGACATGAACTCATCATTTTTTATGGCTGTATAGTATTCCATGGTGTATATGTGCCACATTTTCTTAATCCAGTCTATCATTGTTGGACATTTGGGTTGGTTCCAAGTCTTTGCTATTGTGAATAGTGCCACAATAAACATACGTGTACATGTGTCTTTATAGCAGCATGATTTATAATCCTTTGGGTATATACCCAGTAAAGGGATGTTATAGCAGTGTGAGAATGGACTAATACAACTTTCAAAATCCTCTCTTCTAGCTATTTTGAAATGTGCAATACAATATAGTTAATCATAGTCACCCGTCTGTGCAATAGAACAGAAGTTATTCTGTCTATCTAACTGTAACTTTGTAGCCATTGACGAACGTCTCTTTATTGATTCCTTCCCCTCTACACTCCCTAGCCTCTGGCAAACACTATGTCTATGAGATCAACTTCTTTAGATTTCACATATGAGTGAGATCATGCAGTATTTGTCTTTCTGTGACTGGCTTGTTTCACTTTATCTTCCAGATTCATTCATGATTTTGCAAATGACAATATTTCATTTTTTGAATGGCTGAATAGTATCCCACTGTGTATGTATAACACATTTTCTTTACCCATTCATCCACTGATGGACAGTTAGGTTGATTCTAAATCTTGGCTATTGTGAATGGTGTTGCAATAAACATGGGAGTGCAGATATCTTTAACACTGATTTCTTTTCCTTTGGATGTATACCCAATAGTGGAAATGATGGATGATCCCATAGCTGTATTTCTAATTTTTTGAGAGACTTACATTCTGTTTTTCATAATGGCTGTACTAATTTAGATTCTGAGTAACAGTATGTAAGTGTTCTCCTTTCTCTGCATCCATACCAGCAGTTGTCATTTTTTGTCTTTTAGATAATAACCATTCTGAGGTGAAGTGGTATCTAATTGTAGTTTTGACTGAATTTCCCTGATGATTAGTGATGCCGAACATTTTTTCATATACTTGTTAGTGATTTGTATATGATTGTATATGGTGTTTCTTTTGGGAAAACTCTTTCCAGATCCTTTGCTCAATTTTTAATTAGATTGTTTTGTTTTGCTTTGTTTTTTGCTATTGAGTTCAGTTGAGTTCCTTATATTTTCTGGATATTAACCCCTTGTCACAAGTGCAGTTTGCAGACATTTACTCTCATTCTGTAGGTTGTCTCCTTATTCTCTTGACTATTTCCACTGCTGTAGAAGAGACTTGGATACCCATGTCTTCTAGTTTCATGTAACTTAAGTTGTTGATTTGTTTTTGTTGTCTGTGCTTTTGAATTCTTGACCAAACCAAAGTCATAAGGCATTTGGAAAAGTACAGTCTCTTCAATAAACAGCACTGGGAAAACTGGATATCCACATACAGAAGAACAAAACTAAGCTCTTATCTTTTACCATATACAAAATCAGCTCAAAATGGATTAAAGACTTAAATTTAGGACCCCAAAAATATAAAACTACTAGTAGAAAACATAGGGGAAATGCTTTATGATATTGGGGTCATTTATTTTTTCTCTTGTACATTTGTTTAAGTTTCGTATAGACTCTGGATATTAGACCTTTCTCAGATGGATAGGTTGCAAAAATTTTTTCCCATTCTGTAGGTTGTCTGTTGCTCTGATAATAATTTATTTTGCTGTGCAGAAGATACTTAGTTTAATTATATCTCATCAATGAACCCATTAAAAAGTGAGCAAAGGACATGAACAGATACTTCTCAAAAAAAGATGTTCATGTGGCCAAAAAACATATGAAGAAAAGCTCAATATCACTGATCATTAGAAAAATGCAAATCTAAACTACAATGAGATATCGTCTCACGCCAGTCAGAATGGCAATCATTAAAAAGTCAAGAAACAAAAGATGCTGGCGAGGCTATGGAAAGATAGTAATGCTTTTACACAGTTGATGGAAATGTAAATTAGTTGAAACATTGTGGAAGACATTGTGACGATTCCTCAGAGACCTAGGACAAAAAACACTATTTGACCCAGCAATCCCATTACTGGGTATATACTCAAAGAAATATAAATCATCCTATTATAAAGACACATGCATGCATATGTTCATTGCAGCACTATTCACAACAGAAAAGACATGGAATCAACGCAAATGCCATCAATGATAGACTGGATAAAGAAAATGTGGTACATATACATCATGGAATACTATGCAGCAATACAAAGGAATGAGCTAACATCCTTTGCTGGGACATGGATGGAGCTGGAAGCCATCATCCTTAGTAAACCAAGGCAGGAACAGAAAACCGAACACCACTTGTTCTCACTCACAAGTGGAAGCTGAACAATGAGAATACATGGACACAGGGAGGGGAATGACACATGAGTCTTATCAGCAGGAACGGGGGATGTGGGGAGGGAGAGCATCAGAAAAAATAGCTAATGAATGCTGGGCTTAATATTTAGGTGATGGGTTGACAGGTGTGACAAACCACCATGGCACATGTTTACCTATGTACCAAAACTGCACATCCTGCACATTTACCCTGAAACTGAAAATAAAATTAAAAAGTGAGAGACAGAACACAATTGACAACAGATTTCAATAGTATATTTTATTACATTTTTGCAACAGCATTCTTCTTGGCTTTTCCTTCAAAAATGATTTTCCAAATTTTGTACTGAGATAATTAAAAGGCAATTGAGTTTTTTCTAAAATAGTTGATTAAAACTTGTTTCCATTAGTGTTTATTTTTGTTATGTATTTATCTTATTTGTTAAATAATGAAAACTATTTACTTTTTATTTTTAATATGTATTATTTTATAACATACTGCAGAAAAATATATTTCATCTTCATTTTATAATTCACAATGTTATATAAAACCTCTCTACCAAGTTCTGTCATAAATGAGCTGAAAAATATCAGAACATTTGAAGCTGTCTTCTGCTATGTCTAATCTTAAGCATCCTTAGAATTGATTATTCTCTAACTAGTTTGATATTAATGACTCCTTAGAGTGGCAGATTTTTCTTTGTGTTATTTCATTGATATTTGTGTTTGGTGTCAAATTAGCAAGAAATCTAGATATTTTTCTCATGTCCTCCTAAGTCACATTCCTTGTCACTGACTATCAAACATTCAAAATGTATCCATTATTTATGTTAATATTTAACTCTTTCTCCAAATAAATTCCTGCTTTGATATAGTCTGATATTTTATTACAATTGGCTTGCAGATAACTTTTTGTTGATTTTATCATTCATCTTTATAAATTATATTTCATAATCTATGACATTAATGTCAGTACTCTGTTATTTAACCAATAAAAGTAAAGATGATGAAAGATAATATATTTGATATACATCAATTTTTATTTCTACAAATTTTCCTTTGTGTTATTTGAATTTAGAACATTTCAACTAAAATGGCATTTCTGGGCCTTATCAATAGTTTGACTAAATTTTTGAAATCTTGTTTGTATTTGGGTTTATCTTTTGAATCTTTTATATAATATTTCAGAGCTTTTAAAATGTTGATGTATCTATCATGCAAAAATTGGACAGAAGGGGTTGTTTTTGACAGAATCTGGCTTAGAGGAAGTAAATTTGGGAATGCATTAAGTTTAGGTTTAGTGAGTTCTACTTATGTGGTTGACAGTAATTTCAATGAATGATGTAGAAATGGCTTCCAGGAATATTTCTACGACCCACTCTGAAAATTCACTCAAACTCATGGCAGGAGAGTACAGAAACACATATCGTATTGTAATATGAATGCATTCTACAACCCCATCAACTCCAGCAAACACAAAGGAATGTGTTGATGGAGGGGAAGGTATAGTTTATAGTCATCTTTATAGGTCTGCAGAAGCATTTCTTGCCTGGATCTTAGGGCAATACAAACTATAACTTCACACATCAGGAGGCCCTTCATATCACAAATACTCACATAAAATATTTGTTAGATAAATTATGGGCAATTCTCAACCAGGATCTACATTCACAGCTGATATAGTGCAACTCCTAACTTTAAACATCCACTCTCATAAGTAACATCAACAGGCCCCAGGGAAATACTTCTCATATCTTGCCTTAACTTCTCGAAACAAAAGGTAGTTAATTTTGAATGCCTTCAAGACTTGTGTGAGTCAGACACTGCTTCTAAGTTCATAAAGTGTTTGAATAGATAAAGCATTTAGGTAAAAGAAGAAACAAATTAACCAAATAGTCAAATCTTCCTTTCAAGTAGCAATAATGCAATAGATTCTTACATAATGCAGCATTATTTTCCAGCAATGCTCCAGCATGCACTTTTATTCTTTGTTCTATGTTCCAATTTGTTGTTTCTAGGTATTCAAAAAGTTGTGCAGTATGCCCAAGATGCAGGCTAAGAATGATCTTACAGTATTAAATAATGGACCTGAATCTTAAATTTATGTACATGTGAGTGTCTATTGGTAGTATGTGTGAAGTATATCTTTACACTGACAATGAGATGGACACTAAACATTTGAATTGCAAACAGATTTTACACTTGAAAATATTTAATCAGATTTAATAAAATCTTCAAGAATATTAAGCATGTTCAGCTTTATTAAGATAATTTTTATTGAAAATTTTGAAATACATAATTGGTATTTTTAATTGAATAAATAATTGAAATATTTTAAGGACTATATTATTTTAAACATGTGTAAACTAATTTCATATGTAAACAAATTTCACTGTATGAAATTTAAATTTTTGATGAAAAAATATAGCTAATTTTTTAAAATTTGGAAAATAATCATGCTTTTAATCCTTTAGATCATTATTAGTAATAAAGCTTAACGCTATTACAATTTTATTTCAACAATGTAACTAGTAATTTTGCAAATATAATGTAATTAAAATAAATTTCATGAAATATATAATTATTTAGAAATATCTATGTCATTTTATTCCTCACCCAACATCCACTGGCCCATCTACTGTACTCCCAGACATGCAGAATAATGATAATATTTAGTAATTGGTATTCTGCAGATTTTTAGTTATATATAATTCATAGCTGTACACCTGTGATTTCTTGCTAAACAGAATTTTTCAATTTTAAGGTAGATGAATTTACCATTTTCCCCCTTATAGATAATAATTCTTATGTCTGGTTAAGAAATTTTTTTCCTAACCCAAGGTCATAAAGATATTCACCTTTTTTATTTCCTAATATTATATAGATTTTGTTTCTTTATTTAGATCTTTATGTAGAATTCGTTTTTGTACAGTTTTTGAGATTTGCATCTAGTTACATTTTTTAATATTTCTAGAATCATTTATTGTAAAGCCTACCCTTTCCCAACATCTCATAAGAACCACCTCTATTATCTATCAAGTCTCTACATATACTTGTATCTATATATTGGCTCTTAATTCTCTTTCATTATCTATATTCATATTGAAGTCTATATCCTCAATTTGTATGCCAGTACCACACTTCCTTAAATACTAAATCTCATGCTGGCTGGTAGGGCAAATATGTTCAAATTATTGTTCTACCTCAAGAGATTTTTGGCTTTTATTGACTCTTTGTACTTTCATATAAAATCTTAGAATAAGCCAATCACTTTTCACACACAAATCAAAAACATATTGTGATATTAATTTAAAATTCTTTAAATCAATACACAAATTTTTGGAAATGTGACATCTTTACAATATTAAATATTATAATCATATAACATGGTCTATTAGCCCATTTATTTTTTAAATGTCTCTACCAGCACCCCTTAGTCACAAATAATTATATTTTCTTTCAAAAGTGTATTAAAATTGTGAATCATAAGTACTTTGAAATTAAATAAAATTCAACACATATGTTGATCTCATACTATATTGTAAGTGTTGTGGTAAGACAAGAGTACGGAACCAAGGAAAGGCATGCTTATTATGACAGTGTTTTTTAGGTGTGTTTTTAACTGCATCATTTTTGAGTATTGTTTATTCTTTTTCGAAATACTTTAGCTGAATTTGTTATCTGGTTTGTGTTTTATGTGCCCTACAAGATACTTATATCAATCGAACATCTTTCTGCACATTCTCATCAAGAGATCAACAGAAAGACTTCACCACAAGATAATTAAAAATACCAAAGCATTCACACACACACACACACACACACACACACCCCAGAACTTTCAACTCAGCCCAGATTATGCAAATTATTAAGTAAAGCTAATGAACTGAAATCTAATATCAATCTGGAAATGACAGGCTAAAACTGAAGCTGATTTAGAAAACAATCCCAAATGGAAAATAGATCTGTTTCAAGACAGTTTTCATTTCCAAAGCTATTTACTCCTTGTTTGAGTAAATAAACTAGAGAAATTCAATTTCTTCTCTATTTCTATAGCTCATTTAGCTATATATCTCACAGTTGTAGTCATTTTCAAACTATAATTCTGGAGGTGGCAAGATAGAACAGTATGTTCCTAACTATGACTTACTTATTTAAATTTAAGATTTATACTTTTCTTGGAAATTATGAAAAGAAGTAAAATTATTTATTTGCTAACTTGATGTTCCCAGCTCCTCTAATCAATCATGTATTTCTGTGTCAGTGTATTTCTTTCAGTACTTTTCATTTGCTCTTTTAATTATTCATTCACTTATTTAACTAGTCATTTATTCTTTCGACAAATAGGCACTGGATATATGTCATTATAAAACAGAAACTTAGCCTCTGTGATCAGAGACTTTACAATGACTCCAATGATATTACATAATTTTCAGATGTTGGCAAAATAATTTATTTATTTATTTTTTTTTTTGAGACAAAGTCTCGCTCTGTCACCCAGTCTGGAGTGCAGTGGCGCAATCTCGGCTCACTGCAACCTCCGTCTCACAGGTTCAGCTGATTGTCCTGCCTCAGCCTCCTGAGTAGCTGGGACTACAGGTGCGTGCCACCATGCCCGGTTAATTTTTTGTATTTTTTAGTAGAGATGGGGTTTCACTGTTAGCCACAATGGTCTCGATCTCCTGACCTCGTGATCCACTCACCTTAGCCTCCCAAAGTGCTGGGATTACAGGCGTGAGCCACCATGCCTGGCCTAATTTAAATATTTTCTAAGTATACTTAAGTATTATTGCAGAGGCATGTCATAACCTTTGAATTTCATACTAATTCATGAATGAAAACTGACTTCTAACAAATTCATAGATTAAAAACTATTCTCAAAGCATACACAGTGAGTAAATAAAGGAGAACACCAAAATTAGAAGAGAACATAGAAAAAATTCCATGCAGTTCACAAAGTTTATATGTATAAATTGGTAGGCGTAAAGGTATATGTCTGTATATATGAGTATATGTGTGTTTGTGAGAGAGCAATTTTCACTACAAATTCAGGGTTACTGTATTAAAAATTCATAGCACTGAGAGGGTATTTAAAAATAAAATACACTTTACAGTTTTTTAATGCAAGTTTCCCATTAATTTGATTTGCTGTAGATTATTTAAAAATCAGATATTATTGACAAAACTAAAAATAAATGAACAAATTCATTATTCATCCATTCATTCAACAAATACTTACTAATTATTATAAGTATATGCTGTTTTAGGTATTGGGTATACAGAAACAAAGCAAAAACCTTATTCCCTTGTTTCTTTTTTTTTTTTTTTTTTTTTTTTTTTTGAGACGGAGTCTCGCTCTGTCGCCCAGGCTGGACTGCAGTGGCACGATCTCGGCTCACTGCAAGCTCCGCCTCCCGGGTTCACGCCATTCTCCTGCCTCAGCCTCCCGAGTAGCTGGGACTACAGGCGCCTGCCACCACGCCCGGCTAATTTTTTGTATTTTTAGTAGAGACGGGGTTTCACCGTGTTAGCCAGGATGGTCTCGATCTCCTGACCTCGTGATCCACCCGCCTCGGCCTCCCAAAGTGCTGGGATTACAGGCGTGAGCCACCGCGTTGTTTCTTGCATTAAAATATCAAACACTAAAAATAATAAGTAATAGTTGTTATATAATCACGACATGGTAGGAACGACATGTGTTGGTCCACGTTGGTCCATTTTGATTTTATCTTTAAACAGCACAGCAACACAGGTATTTGTATACCCATGTTAGAAAGATATGAGGATGATAGTTTTTACATGCTTGAAAGAAAAAAAAAGAGAGACATGAGAAAATAAATATCAATAGGGATGTTATTTTTCATCCAAATTAGGTCTAAATTTATGTGTATGTTTTTGTATGTATTGGGGGAGGAAGATATATTCTAGCTGAAAGTAAGATTTTTGTTAATAGTTTGAAAGAACTTCAAAATGCTAACAATTTTTAACATCTAAGACTGGAACTTAATTTTATGTCTAACGCAGACTGTCCCTTTGTGCTGGAAAACCAACACAGTTGAGCATATCATATTGAAAACAAGTATTCATTGTTTTTGGAGAAAAACCAAAAACAATGTAACACGAAATTCTGACTGAAAACTTAACTGTTTTGTTTTCTAAATGTAAATTGAGTATGACTATCTTTAACTACCAGTACCTCTAATAACTAAGGCTTACTGAGTGTAGGGCATTTTACTGAGGCTTTAAATAAAATGCCTCATTTAATCATGACACTATCCCTCCACAGTTTTTACAGACATTGGATAGATGAAGAAACCAAAGCTTAGGGGAATTTCAGTTTATCATTGGCCGCACTGCTTTTAAGTAGGAGATTTCTGAGCTGATGCGTTAAACCAATATATTATAATAATAATATTCTTAAGATAATATTTCCTTTGTACAAAGTATGCACTAACAATTCAGTTTACCTGTATACGATTGCTTTTTTTTAAGTAAATATATATGTGTGTTCTTGTCTGAACATTTTTCACAGGAAAATGGACATCACAGTAGTCAAAAACTTCAGCAAATGTACAGGCCTAGTTTGTTTTGTTTTGTTTTGTTTTTCAGTCAACTGAAGAAGAAATTGTAAATAAATTAGTAGGATTTGGTATAAAAACACAGCTCAGTTGGGATTGTTGATGATATTTAAACACAGACAAAAAAGCTTTTGCACCACTTTCCTTTGTGCAATGTGGGAATTAAGGAGGAGGGCCTGGTCCAGGGGTTGTTTCATCCTAAACTGATGGAAATCCCAGGAAAGCTAAGCCCAATGGAATAGCACTCTCATGATGACCAGCATCCAGTGTGGAGCACAGGAGAGGTTGGAGATAAAGAAGGACGTTTTCCTAAGCCAATGAGACAGCACTGTCAGAAACAGTCTGCAGTAGCTGGGGGAAGACTTGGAGGCTAACTATATTTTTCAACAGACTTGATGGTTATTCTAATAGTTAAGAGGACAGATTCTGAATTTGCACAGCTTGAATGCAAAGTCTTCCCTACTTATTATTGTATATCCTTGGGCAAATTAATTAATATTTTGGAGAAGCAGTTTCTTCAACTCAAGATTGTGGAAAACAAGAATGTTTATTTGTACTCCTGAGAGAATTAAATATCCTGATTTTGATAAAGTAATTAGCATCGCACCCAACACAGATGAAGTGGCCAAGAAAACTTGGCTTTTTTTTTATCATTATTATAGATGTACATGTATGATTTGTGGCCATGAGCTGCAGCTTGGCATTACATAGAATTGAGGGCAAAATAAAAATATTCATCCTCTGGCGATCTTCATTTAACTAAGTTTTACTTATTAAAAAATTATCAACTACAATCTCAAAAATAGGTTCCCTTACATTTTAGTCTGGCTGATAAAAGAGTAAAATTTTAAAAAGGGTCTTTATTTGTTGTCTTTACCTCCTACACCTCTATTCAGCTTTGAGAGATAGAGATGTAATGTACATGATATTGGAGACATGGACACTGGTTTATTGGAGGAACTCTGCAGTTCACGGAATTCTTGCATATGTTATAGATCAGGAATATGTTAATTTGTCCCTGAAATTACTCTAACACCAATGGCAATTCTCATCCCCACTCACCCTTAGAAATCGTTAAGACTAAGCCAGATGGGGCTAATGAACACTAGTTTCCATTGCCAAGAATTAGATTAACTTAAAAGAAGAGAAAAAAACTTAAAAAAATAAGATCTATCTGAAAAAGTCACTATGATATTAAAGACTACTCTAATTTCCTCGTCATACTGTACTACAATACTTTTTCCCCACTTTAGTTTATTAAATGATGAAAAAGGTAAAAAATGAGAACTACCTCTCCAAGGAAGTAATATTACTCTATTTTCCTTGTGGTTGCTATAAGTATATTAGCACCCTTGGAGACCAAGTTAAGCAAAATAAAATAAACAAATAAACAAAAACCATGTTGCTAATGCAACCAAAGCTCCTGGAACTTATAAAAGAATCTGTGTCCAAAATTTTGTGTTCTTATACTTGGAAAGGAAAAGCATGAAGTATCATTTTAAAATATTTCAGTTTATTTTTCTTCTTCAAGAAGCAAACTACACTGCTAGACATTTTTTTTCAAAATGTTCAAACAATTAAAACTGTTCCAAATTTTCTTTGAGGAAGTAATTTCAGTTTAAAGTTTTAAAAATAGCCAAAGAGGATAAGTGAATGCATTGGTTTACAAAATTTCATTTTTTATTTTATATATTTGAAACTTGTATATTTTAGGATATAAAAAAGAGAAAAAGAGAAAGAATAAAGGAGTGTCTGAAAACATGCATGGACATAGTGTAGTCCCTTCTGAGAAGCAATATGATAATGTGAAAAGTATAAAACAGAGAAAGATATGCAATCAGAAAACATGGGATTGGTTCAAGAATAACCCTTACTGGGAATCAGAAAAACTATATAAATAAAACCTGAGTGATAGTGACTACAACATGATGAACTGCAACTCCTTTAAATCAGTAACCGAAAACCTCCCAAAAAAGAAAAGCTAAGGACCAAACTCGTTTTACAAGGCTAGCATTACCCACATAACAAAGTCAGAAAAGGGCACTGCAAGAAAAAAACATATATAGGCCAATATTCCTGATAAATATACATATAAAAATCCTCAACAAAATACTAGTAAACTGATTTCAAAAGCTAATTGAAGGGATCATGTGCTATGATAAAGTGGGGTTTATCCCTGGGATGCAGATGCAAGGATGATTCAACCTATGTCAATGAATGAATGTGCTACACCACATTAACAGAATGGAAAACAAAAACTATATGGTTATATCAATAAATACAGAAAATCATTGACAAAATTCAACATCTTTTCATGATAAAAATACTCAGCAAATTATGTATAGGAGGAATGTACCACAACATAATATAGGCCATATAAAAGAAGCCCACAAACCCCATAATCAATGAGGACAAGCTGAAAGCTTCTCTTCTATGATCAGGAATAAGAAAAGTGTGCATACTTTTGCCAATTCTATTAAACATAGTACTGGAAGTTGTATTTAAGGCAATCAGGCAAGAAATTGTTTTTAAACAAAAGGTATCCAATTTATAAAGGAAGAAGTTAAAATATCACTGTTTATAGATAACACGATTTTATATATGGTAAGACCTAAATTTTTCACACTTGAAAACAACCTGTTAGAAATAAAAAACAAATTCAGTAAAGTTACAGGATACAAAATCAATATACAAAAATTAGTTGTGTTTCTCTACGCTAACAGGGAACTATCCAAAAGATAAATTAAGAAAACAATGTCATTTCAACAGCATCCTAAAGAGGAACATACTTAGAAATATATTTAACCAGGAAGGTGAAAGATCTGTTTACTAAAAATTATAAAACATTGATGAAATAAATTGAAAAAGACACAAATAAATGGAAATATGTACCATGTACATGAATTGGAAGAATTAATATTATTAAAATATCCATACTACTCAAAATAATCTATAGATTCCATGCAATTTCTATACAAATTCCAATGGTATTTTTCACAGAAATAGAAAAAGCAATCCTAAAATTGACACGGATCCACAAAAGACCATGAATAGCCAAAGGAATCCTGAGTAAAATAACAAACCTAGAGGCATCACACTATCTGACTTCAAGATATACTACAAAGCCATAGTAACCAAAACAGCATGGTTGGCATAAAAACACATGGAACAGAAGAGACAGCCCAGGAATAAACCCATGCATTTACAGTCAATTGACTTTCAACAAAGGTGTCAAGAACACACAATGGGGAAAGAACAGTCTCTCTAACAAATGGCACTGATAAAACTGCAGAAGAATACAATTAGGCCCTTCTCTCACACCATATACAAAAATCAACTTTGAATGGATTAAAGACTTAAAGTTAGGATCTGAAACTTTAAAACTAACACAGGAGAAAGCTCTATGGTGTTAGCTTAGGCAGTAATTTTTCAGATATAACCCCAAAAGTATAGGCAGCAAAAGCGAAAATATAAAAATGGGATTACATCAAACTGAAAATCATTTGTACAGCAAGGAAACAACAGAGTGAAGAGACAACTGTGGAATGAAAGAAAATATTTTCATATCATACATCTGTTAAGGAGCAGATATCCAAATTACATAATGAACTCACTGAACTCAATAGCAAAATACAAATAAGACAATTTTTAAAATGTACAAAAAAATGAATGGGCATTTCTCAAAAGAAGACAAATGGCTAACAGATATATGACAGAATGCTCAACATCACTAATTAAGGAAAGGCAGATCAAAGCCACGATAAGATATTACCTTACACCTATTAGGATGGCTGTTACCAAAAAGACAAGAGATAAGAAGTATGGGCAAGGCCATGGAAAAACGGGAAGCTTTGTACACTGTTCGTGGGAACGTAAAGTGCTACAGCCATTATGGAAAACAGTATAGAAGTCAAAAAAACTAAAAATAGAACTAATATATGATCCCACAATCCCACTTCTGGGTATATAGCCAAAGGAATTAAAATCAGTATTTTAAAGAGAAATCTGAACTCCCATGCTCATTGCAGTGTTACTCGCAGAAGCCAAGATATGGATACAACCACTCATCAACAGACGCATGGATGAACAAATACACACACACACACACACACACACACACAAAATGAAATATCAGTCAGTCTTAAAAAAAGAAAATCCTGCCATATATGACAACATACACGGACCCGAAATACATTATGCTAAGTGACATAAGCTAGGCACAGAAGGGCAAATCTTGTATGATCTCACTTATACATGGAATCTAAAAAAGTCTAATTCATAGAAGCAGAGAGTAGAACAGCGATTGCCATGGGATGGGATAAAGGAAATGAGGTGTTGCCCAAAGGGCATAAACTTTCTGTTATAAGACGAATAAGTTCAGGGAATCTAATGTACAGCATGGTGACGATAGTAATAATACTCTGTTGTTTACTTGAAATTTAATAAAAGGGCAGATTTTTTTTTTTTTTTTTTTTTTTTTTTTTTTTTTTTTTGAGACGGAATCTCACTCTTTCGCCCAGGCTGGAGTGCGGTGGCGCGATCTCGGCTCACTGCAAGCTCCGCCTCCCGGGTTCACGCTGTTCTCCTGCCTCAGCCTCCCAAGTAGCTGGGACTACAGGTGCCCGCCAACACGCCCGGCTAATTTTTTGTATTTTTAGTAGTGACGGGGTTTCACCGTATTAGCCAGGATGGTCTCGATCTCCTGACCTCGTGATCCGCCCGTCTCGGCTTCCCAAAGTGCTGGGATTACAGACGCCCCAAAGTGCTGAGATTACAGGCGCGGAGCCACTGTGCCCGGCCTAAAAGGGCAGATTTTAAGTGTCCCCACTCCCCAGCCGCCTGGCCCAAATGCTAATTACAGGTGGTAATGAATGTATTAATTAATTTGATTGTGGTAATCAGTTCACATCTACATGTTATCAAATCATCATGCTTTAAATCCTGAATATATACAATTTATTATTTGTCAATTAAATATTTAAAAACAAAACAAAACAAAAAACCTTGCAATCTCCTGCCAACAGTTAAACAACACAAACTATTCTTCACCAGTGTGTTCAAATTTATTTTGATAACAAGAGACTAAAGTAAACGTTAAATTTACTTAAGAAATACCTGAAAAGAGATTTTGGTAAATACTCTTTAAAAAGCTTGGTGGCTGTCTCAAAATCCATCTGGAAAATCTTCAGAAACATTTTACCAGGAATTAGCAAGGTAAGTGCCGTAAACCAACCTCATCCAACAGAAGTATTTGTGTATATGGGTAGAAAATCACTGCCATCAGCAGTCAGTCTGTGCTCATCCTCCCATAGCTCTGACACAAAATTATACTTTAAAAAGTTTCCCTTCGAATTCTGCCACCCCTCCACATACTTATTAATATTTATTAGCAAGCAAGCAAAAGTCACTTATACAATCTTTCTATAAATTGACAAATTCACAGATCTCTGTCTTTTGATGCAATTAGACCATACCTTGTATGATAAATCACTTGAAATAACTATAGCAATATTCCAAATAAATGATTTCATTACCTTTATAGTTAGCGATAAGAACCTAGAAATCTCCCTCATGCATGGACATAGATGAGTTAGAGATAAAGCCTAGGCAAGGCTATCTTTGCGATAGTCTAACTAATCTATATACCTTGAATTCCACTTATTTTACCAGTGAGAGCCCACTTCTAAAATCCATTATACTAATTAACAGGCCACTAATTTCACCAATGAAAACCCACTTCTTTCATTTTGCTAATTGTAAATGCCTTTGGTGTTGATCAAAGATAATGATAATGGAATGGCTATTAGTAGTTCCTATGGAGTGAGCATTTCCTGATTAGAATGCCAGTGTGAATTCCTGATTAACCAAATGATTGTCCCTACAGTGCAGCATAAACCATTTATACTTAAATATCACTGTCTTTAAGTTGAAGTTTTTCAAATTAAGTTATAGGCATCATAATAATAAAAATATTTTAAACAGCTGTCTAATAGATTATATATGAGTAACTGGCACATGGGAAGAGGTCATATGAAACATCATAGGAGCTAGAGATTTTTTTTTAATTGATCATGCCTCTCCAAAAAAGCCTAGAGCAAGGTAGGGGAAAGATAAAATTAAGAAGACCTAAAAAACATTTTAAGAACTTTACATGCAAGGACATATGATCTATAAAAGTAGACTTTTTTTTTTGGTGTGTCAAAGATAAAAGGGTAGATAGGGAATAATGGATTATAAATCATTGAGAAGTAAGTGAAGTTCCTATTGAAAGTTGAAGAGGAGAGGGATTTCAGTCATTGTGGTTTATCCAGGAAAAATTAATTTGATCTTTGGAGCCGAGAAGACAGACGTAGTGAATCAAAGACTACTACATACACAGGGTGCATTGACGAACCAAGGTTAGATCACTCATCAGAACTGACTGATATCTACTCGAGAGTTTGAAAAAATCCAGAGGTCAGATTATCAAAATTTTACTCAGAAGCTATTAACCTAGCTTTATAAACAATCAATGGGACAGAGTAAAAGCAGCTGTCAATTCATCTCTTGTCCATAAACAGTTCATGAGAGAGTTTCAGTTACATTTCTAAATATTCCTTGGATAAAAGGACGTTAGGAATTGATTGAAGGACAGCTAAATAGCTCAAGTATTCTGTGTGTTTTTGGGTTGTAACTCATGAAAATAGATATCATGGAAGAAGAAAAAATAAAGGAATGGCCAACTGGAAGAATTACAGAAATTATAAAGGGGAGGAAATTTAACGCTTAAAGAATAAAAACTAGTCACTATTTCTTCCTCTTGATACTCCCCAACGTTATGTACACACACACACTTGCGCATGCACACACACACTTGTGCATGCACACACACACGTGCACACACACACAAACACACACAGAGCTAAAGAAGCTTCCTAAATGAAGCCTTCCCTCTCCTTTACTCTTTCATGAGGCTTTAGGTATACTTATCTCATGCAAGTTATGAAGAACTTTGCTGTGCTGAGATTCAACTAGATACTTCAGGAAGGAGCCAGAGTCTCCAAACCCACTGGATTCTTTGTTAATGACTGGCAATTACAGGATGCTGGGGCAAGGGATTATGAAAGTCAGACGTAGACTACCATCACCTACTGGTCCAACTTGTCCCAAAAACTTGGAAAACTTGGCCAAAAGGCCTTCTATTTATTGAAAAATGCCTGCAACACTCTGGGCATAGGGAATGCTGGTTTCCATTTTTTGAGTAAACAATGTTGGCGAAGGCATATTATTGTCAGCATAGAGTAAAGCCAATTTATTTCGATAGTTTCTATCGAGTGGGAATTAGAAAAACGGATGACCCCTTTGTTTAACACATTTATATGGATAAACATATCTATTCAAATTCTAGACTAACTTTGGTGCCTCATTTTGTGGGGTCTCTTTTCTGACTTTGGACACAGCCATAACCTCTGAAGCCTTTACCATTTAACTTCTTAATTTTATATTTTCTGAATTTTAGCTATTTACCCTACTAGAATGAATTATATAATATTTTTTCATAATATTTTTCACATAGCAAGTATGTCACATTTGTTTAATACACATCATTTCAAGTTTGTAAGACAAAAGTTGAGGAGCAATATGACATCAATCTTTAAAAATAAATATGATGAAGAAGAGACAAGAACTTGTTCTCTCAATTTGTAATGCTTGAAGCCTTTTAACCTGAAACAGATCATCTTCCAACATATAAAAAGAAGACTATTTAAAGATAGTGTAAGCAATGCATGAGCTTATTTTTCTATGATCTTATACAGGTTAAATCTGTAACCCTATTATCAGAGAATTTATATAAGTTCATGAACCAGAGATAATTTATTAGTGAGGCAACAGGAGATTTGGGGAACATTTCTACAGTATCATTAGGGCAGTTCTCAAATGTGTCAGTTCTCTCAGATGACATTTCTCTGCCCACTTGAACTCATGTGGTAGCAGGGCCATGGGAAATTAAATGCAGCCAAAATAGCAATTCCTAGCAGAAGCATGTGTGTAGTTCGCATCTTCTCTTTACCTGGCCTCTATGCATGAGGAAGCAAGTTTCAAGATATAGTCTTCATCAGTATGGGTCTCTGCGTGACTAATACATGCTGACACCCCTTGCTGACCTCCAATGAACAACGAATATATGATGTAGTGAGAAATAAACCTTTTCACTTTTCATTTTAAGCTGCTGACATGTTTCATTATTTGCTACCAATCCTTTAATCCAGCTTGTCCCACATGATACAATTCTCCAAATCTTATGTTACTGATATCTTGAAATTCCTCAAAGCCCTTTAGGCCCTCAAGTAAATGGCTGAGGGTAACAGAGAAGAAATGCAATTGAAGAGCTGTTCCAGGACCTTAGACATCTAGAAACTCAACCATAGCCGCTGCACTTTAATCTATTTTATATAGATATTTATGTTGCTCTCAATCCATCTCCTCCATAAAAAATTGTACACCACTATTGCTAGGGATAGATCTTTTAGTCTCGGCCTATAATAGCATATCATGTTTTATTCATTCTACACATATTTGATAAGGCCTATTGCAAACAAAGATAGGTTATAAGGTACTGTAGAAAATACAAGAAGAAAAAGGTAACATTTCTTGTTCTCCAGAACCATATAATCCAGCTGAAACAGTTTACAAAATTTCTTTCAAAATTTCTCCAGATGGAGTGGAAGAAGCCTATGAACTTTTAACATATTTATTTATTCCCAAAGAAATGCACAGAATTAAATGTAATGACCATTTTATTTTTAAAATTAATATTCTCTGAAAAAACCCTACATATTTGCCCATGAGAAATTAGTACTAATTTCAGATCTCCTATATGAAGTCCTTTTTATTTCAGAATCCTTTTGCCTGCTCTTTTGGTAAATAGACATCCTTAAATGGATTAGGGAAAAATTTGTCTTTTTGTATCTGAAGGAGGCAAAAGGAATTAAAATAGGATTTCAAAAGGTAGCCAATTTCAAAATCAGGCAGGCTAATTTTGTTATAAATAGAGTAATTAAAAGGATTAGAAAAAGTGCTTCCCTTTGTTAGACTGACACTCTTACAATAAGATGTGAACACACATAAGGGCAAGGAAGTGTGTCATAAGTACCATTAGTGGCCATGATATCAGTCTCTTTGTTTTGGATATCCTTTTTCTTCATCCCCATTTTAGTCTTCTGAGTAGAATCTATCCATCATTTCAAATTCTCTCTTTTTTTAATGTTTCCTAATCAATCCACCAGGGATTGTTCTTATTGTCCCTCTGTACATATGAACACTTCAGTGGTTCCCTAGTTGTTTCATGTGTTTTAGCCTCCTTTCCTCAAACAGAAATTGATTTGTTACAAACTCCCATTTCCTACTTTTCTCAATGTTTCCCACAAGAAAATCTTGACTATACCTAACACATTGTAATCCTCTACACACCATCCTTTTTTGCATAATTCCCTTCATCTCTTAATCTAGAAACCCAGAGAAGAAAATACACTTATTATAGGAGGCCCAATTTCTAGTGAATTCATCATCTTCTTTATGCTTTTTGTTTTTGTTTTGAGACAATGTCTCACTCTGTCACCCAGGCTACAGTGCAGTGGTGCAATCATAGCTCACTGTAATCTTCAACTCCTGGGCTCAAGCAATTCTCCCACCTCAGCCTCCTGAGTAGCTGGGACTACAGGCGCACGCCACAAGGCCCAGCTAATTTTTTTTTTTTTTTTTGGTAGAGACAGGGTCTTGCTATGTTGCCCAGGTCACCATCTTCTTTGCTGTTCATGCTCATAAATGATTTAAACTTCTATTGTGGAAGTCTGTTGAAGTTCAACAATGATAGCAATCACTTATATTTTCCCCATTTTTTTGACAACAGGAAGTGGATTTTCCTTTCATTTCTCCAGCACCATTGTTATTCCCTGTGGTTCTGCAAAAATAACTGAAAATAGTTCTACATCAACATCTTCCAGTTCTCTCAGAATTCTGGAATGTGATTTGTCTAGCCTAGAGGCTTGAAGTCATTTAAAGCAGCAGGTAATTTTACTATACCACCAATTGGGCTTTGATTCCCTTAAGCATAGTTATTATACTCCATCTAGTTTAAAGATCATTCTCCTTGATAGAGAAGGAAGAAACAAAATAGGAGTTGAATGGTTCTGCATTTTTTTCCTGTCATCTGATTTCTCACCATCTGGCCTAAACAGTTGGGTTTATCCCTTCCTTGTTCTTCTTTGACATGAAAGGGGACTTTCATGAATTGTGTTGAAAAAAGAATTGAAAACTACTGTGAACATACCAAATTGAATTGAAAAGCACAGATCATATCTAGGGAAATGTAGTGAGAATATTACTAATTGCTAGATCAAATTTACAAGGAATAAGGAGACAGGAATGAGACAAGGAGATGAAATATTCATCTGGAACAATTAAAAGATCAATGGTGATACAATTACAAAACAGGAAACTAATGTTCTAACCAAAGCATGTTTTCTTCTTCAATTAATAATAATACAGTGTGCTGCACTATATAAAACAGCTTTATAATGTCAGTTGCATTTCTTTTGCAAAACCACAATGCAGGACAGACCAAAGAGATGGATGATTTGCAACAAAGGCAATGCACTGAAAACAGGAGCTTTTAATAGCTTTCTAAACTCATAAGAGCTGTAAAAATCCTCTTGAACCTACATCCATCTACTCTCCCAAAGAATATGCTAAAAAGGTTAAGAAAGCGGTAATTTAAGTCTCCCTTGTCATTTAATTCTTTGGGAGTCTGTTTGTGAACTTTCAAATCTACCTGGCACTTTTAATTTTTTTGTTGTTGTTGGGGAGAAGGGTTGGCTAACATTTAACTACAGTATTTTTTTTTTTTTTTTTTTTGAGACCGAGTCTCGCTCTGTCGCTCAGGCTGGATGGAGTTCAGTGGCGTGATCTCCGGTCACTACAAGCTCTGCCTCCCGGGTTCACGCCATTCTCCCGCCTCAGCCTCCCAAGTAGCTGGGATTACAGGCGCCCACCACCATGCCCGGCTAATTTTTTGTCTTCTTAGTAGAGACGGGGTTTCACCGTGTTAGCCAGGATGGTCTCGATTTCCTGACCTCGTGATCCACCCGCCTCAGCCTCCCAAAGTGCTGGGATTACAGGCGTGAGCCACTGCGCCGGCCTTTTTTTTTTTTTTTTTTTTTTGAGACTGAGTCTTGCTGTGTCACCCAGGCTGGAGTGCAGTGGCGCCACCTCGGCTCACTGCAACCTCCGCCTCCCGGGTTCAAACGATTCTCCTGCCTCAGCCTCTCGAGTAGCTAGGACTACAGGCATGTGCCACCATGCCCAGCTAATTTTTGTATTTTTAGTAGAAATGGGGTTTTGCCATGTTGGCCAGGCTGGTCTCGAACTCCTGACCTCAGGTGATCCACCCGCCTCGACCTCCCAAAGTGCTGGGATTACAGGCGTGAGCCACTGCGCTGGGCCAAACTACAGTATTATTAATGCAAAAAGTCCCTTCACGGAGACCTGAAGACATAATTTGTTGCTCAATAGAAATCCAGCATTTTAAAAATCCAGAAAAGAAAACTTGGTCCGATTAATCAGTTGAAGATTAAAGTAATGTGTAGCAGATACTGCCAGGTGGTATTCCAGGGTATTAGACCCTGTTCATTCCATACTTTCACAGAGACAGTAGAAAACATAGTAAAATTTCCAATATCATAAATTTCCCTTGTAGAAGCTATGGCTTATCATTCTTTTATTTCTACTAAAAATATTCACAAGATTGTGTCTAAGTTTTGTGCTTGCATTAGCAAAGAAGTATGACATTGGGTAATAGGCCACCCACAGTAATATCTTCCAAACTCTTAAGACTGGTAGCAGCAAAGGAGTAGAAGATAGAAGAGAAATTGTCTCACCTGACACAGAAATTGTTGAGAGTTTGGAAGTTTAGGACATAGGAAATGTAATGACTCTACAGAATGGAAAAGGGATCAAGCCATTTATTTTTAAATAATTTTGATTTAGAGTCAACCAATACCGTTGGGAGGATTCTATGCCACAGTCACTCTGTTATGCACTTTCACAACCACTGTCTATTACATTTCAAAAATTATCCTGTCACTTAGGAATTATCACTCCCATTTTACAGAAGAAGGAATCAAGGGATGTTAAGCAATTTTCCCAAGGCCAAATAGTTGGTGAGAGAGCACACACGATAGAATGTGATTTCCCTTGCCAGTTGAGGGACTACAGCTCCCCCTCATTGCGTATTGAACGCAGAAAATGCAGAGGGGAATGGGTGAATGGTACCCACATTTCATGTTGTATCGCCAACCCACCAATCAGTGCCAAATATTTGCCATTGCACACCCCATCAGCCTCTAGTTAAATGTATCTATTTATCAGTATATTAACATATTCACCACAGTAGCATGGCATATGCATAAACCACTATGACTTAGAAGAATAAAATTATTCTTTGGCTAGCCCATAAACTCTCAGAGTTCTTTATACATCCCACCGCCTTAGCAGCCAAACTCCGGGATTATTTTATAAGAGGAGAGAAAAGAAACCAAATTTTATCTGAAAAAAATCAGATTAATAAATGTAAAGGAAGCTGATATTAAACTTTATTTTAAAGATCACATATAGCCATAACGAGATATAGGCTTGAACTTGGTGTAATCAAAGAGGCATTAATTTAAAGGAACTATGGCTAAGGGAAAAAAAAATTCTATTGTTTATATATTTTGTTAGTATCTGGAGATACAAAGATCAATGTAGTAATCAATGACATAGCTGTGATTCCTTACAGCTCACTTATCAATATCATAACACAAAAGTATCTACGTAATTGGGAAGTTTAGCTAAGCTTTATTGTAGAAAAAGGAAATACATACTGGAAGTCATTTTGGGGTGTTGTTGTTGTTGTTGTTGTTGTTTTGAGACAGAGTTTCACTCACTCTTTCACCCAGCCTGGAGTGCAGTGGTGCAGTCTTGGCTCACTGTAGCCTCTGTCTCCCAGGTTCAAGTGATTCTCCTGCCTCAGCCTCCTGAGTAGCTGGGATTACAGGCGTGCACCACAACACCAAGCTAATTTTTGCATTTTTAGTAGAGACAGGGTTTCACCATGTGTTGGCCAGGCTGATCTTGAATTCCTGACCTCAAGTGATCTGCCTGCCTTGGCCTCCCAAAGTGCTGGGATTACAGCTGTAAACCACCACTCCTGGCCTGGAAGTCATTTTGTTTAGCTTATTTATAGAAACTATTTCCACCATGCAGTAATGACAACAATCTAAGGAAATGTCCTAACAACCATATTAGCATAGAGTGATAGATAAAAAGATATTATTTTTATTTTCTATATCATTTTCACATTCTCCTTCAGTTAACTGAACATTTAGCTGAGCAATATATGTCATGTGTCATATATTGCATGATTAAAACCTTTTACTCTAAGGAAACAGGTTTTAGTATCACCATATCGAACATGAAAATCATTCTAATACCAAAATGTCAACCTTGATTTTTTAAAATTCCGTAGTATAATCTGATTAATAGGTGTCATAAGGAAATGACTGAACTATTGGGTACACAAAATAATGTTCTAAAAGTTGTATTTTAAAACGATATATCTACATAAAGTGTGACAATATAATTATTTCCAGTTTGATTAAATGCTATAATCACTATCTCATTACTAGAATAATGAAGAAAAAATATAGAAATATTATCACATGATCCATACGAGAATTAAATTAAGTAGACATTACATAAACCAGAAGATTCTTACGCAATTTCAAAGTTGTCACAAATAAATTCAGGTTTGAAGGACAATAAAGAAGTAATGATGGGAAGGAAAGCTTGATAATTATAGCATGGTTGCTATTTATTTATTCAGTGTAAAGGATCAAAGAAGGAATTGTCTTAGTATTCTCCTACTTCACTGAAACAAAACTTTTAGTTGACAGTGAACACACGACAAAGGAAATCAATTTAACGACCTTTATTGAAGCAGTACTGGATACAAGGTATTGTGCTAGGTCGTTCAGAACAACGGTGAATAATAGCTATACTAGTTTGTCAGTGCATTCATAACACAGTATCACTGATTGATGTGGCTTAAACAACAAAAATTCATTTTCTCACATTTCTGGAGGCTAGAAGTCTGAGATTAAGGTGTTGAAAGGGTTTGTTTTCTCTGAGGTCTCTCTCCTTGACTGACAGATGGCTATCTTCTCCCTGTGTCTTCACAGGGTTTCCCTCAATACATGTCTGTATCCTAATTCCCTCTTCTTGCAAGGACATCAGTTATATTGGATTGAGGCTCATCCTAATGACCTCATTTTAACTTAATTACCTCTTTAAAGACCCTATTTACAAATACAGTCACATTCTGAGTTACAGGGGGTTACGATGTCAATATATAAATTTGGGTGGAGACATAATTCAGCACATAATAAAGCGTTCTTGCCCTCCAAGACTTTCAACATAATAGAGAAGAAAATATATAAAAATAACTATCATAGAAGGCAGAAAGTGATAAAAGTTATAGTGCACAGTCAAAATTATTAGGATGGTGCAAAAGTAGTTGCAGTTTTTGTCATCACTTTGATGACAAAAACTGCAATTAAATTTGCATCAACCTATATAAAACATAGAAAATGACTGGATAATTAAGAAAGGTTTAATGGAGAAAGTAGTTTTCTAGGATGAGATTTCAGCATATTGAGATAAATATAATGAAAAAGATAGGAAACAACAAATTAAAAGAAAACACTGTATAGGGCTAATTTTTCATTTAATTATAATTCATTTCACCATATTGAGATAACTGTAGTGGAAAGGATAGGAACAAACATGATTAGAAAAGAGCACTGTATAGGGCTAATGTTTCATTTAATTATAATCAAACTGTACTCTGATTGACATGGCATATTTTGTATTTAAGACAATAAAGATCATTTGACTGCTGATAGAAAAGCAGAAATAGAAAATCATGTTTTCTTCAGTTTTCAATGTAAAATACACCACAGGCCAATAACCAGACAAATAAAATAATTCTCCACCATCTTCCAACATATCATTTGTATTTATGGACATTTTTCAGAAGAAATAAAATAGGGAGAAAATTAGAATTGTACCAATCATAAGCCAGAAGAAGACATAGATAATAAAAGTCCACTAGCGATTGGATTGTCCTTTTAGGAAATCTATCTATCAAAAATCTATGCTTATAGCTCTTTGTTCAGAGGGTCAGTTCCCAAATTTATGTGCTACAACAGTATTTTAAATTCTTTCCTGTAATAAAATGTCACTGAGATTTTTTTTAAGTAGAAATGTGATATTTTATCACCATGGAGTACAATGTAAGTTTAGCTGCCTAACTCATTATTCTTAGTCCTGCTTGAAAAGTAAATCATATTTCTGACAATGACAACGAAATCTCAATTTTGATTACTTCTGTTTTAAAAGAGCATAGGATAATAGTAAGGAACCTATACAAAATACCATTTTAATATTTATAGAGGGGAAAATACTGAATTTTTATGGAATTATAATAAATATATACTTCCTTATGACTTCTTACACGTGGGTCACTGGCAGATAAACTTAATATTTACTTACTACCTAAAACATATGACAATTCAATGGTGCTCAGCCAGGTTATATTAACAGTGTGGCAAAAGTAAAGGATTTTCCTTTTGTTCATACAACTTATCCAATGGCACATTCAAGTTTTTCTCCTCTACTATTATGGCAATAATTTAGGTTCATGTCAGCAAATGTTTGAAAGACATATAAATCCCACATTTCGTATCACTTGTTAGTGTCTAATTAAGCAGAAAATTTTGAGTTCAGTGAATTACAAAATGAAATTTAAAACACATCAGATTTTACATTAGGTAATAAAGATCTTGGCACGTAAACCTTTAGCACTGTGGGAAATGAGCTTCATCTTTTACATTGGTGAAAGGTGCAGAGTGATCATTCTGTGCAATTACACAGCTAGAAGAAGCCTTGATTTGGAAACAGTGCTATACCAAGGAGAAAATCACGTTGCATAGTTGTGCTTAATTTTTGCAGTCTAACTAGAATAGTTATGCTACATACATACATCTGGCTTTGCTCTAAAGCCTATGTTGGGCATCTCTGAAACATAAACAGAGTAAATTTTGCCCTTGATCACTTTGGACGTTACTCCTGTAAAAATCATATACAAGTTTATTTGAGTAAAACAGATTTAATTAAACAAATGTTTATTAGGCATCTGCGGTATACCATATATTGTGTAAAGCACTGCAATGAAGTAAAACCTAACCATCTGTACAAATCCACAGTTGTCGGTTCTTCTCTTTCTTTGACTTCATTTTTTACTAATCTGATGTTTTGCTTGTTTCCCCCTACCCATTCCCACATGTAAATTTTCTTCTAGAATCCTACTAACTTCTGGTGGGAGAGGAAAGAGCCTCATTTGCCACCAAAACCATATATAATCTAGGTCAAAAGGATTTTTATATTGCCTTATTAAATCATGCAAAATTATCCAGCTGTGTTTGCATGGACAGCCAAAGAGGAAGGGACTTCAGCTTTTGTTCATTATTTGATTTAACAGCTGAATAAGTAACAAATAAAAAACTAGGCTTAACAGTCAGGTAAATATTTTTCCTGATTTAGAAAGGTTCCAGATGGAAAAACTTAGAATTATGATCTAAACATGGCATCCATATTTTGACATTAAAAAAGATACAGAAATTAATTTGAGAGGAAAAACAATTTTTTTTTGACACAGGGTCTCCCTATGTAGCTCAGGCTAACCTTGAACTCCTGGGACGACAGGGAAAATCAATTTTAATAGAGAACAATAGGCTGACCAGACTAGAGGATATATAAAACTAATATCATTGTTATTTATTGTCTTAGAGAATTTGAGCAATTAAGGAATTCTCTGTGACAGTTAATATTATGTGTGATTATACTAGCCAAATACCTTCCAAGTGGAGCAATAAATGAGAAAATATCTATGGAACTCCTAGAGATCTTGGGATAAATGGTTCCACACATTAACAGTTGCATTTCCTTTTTTTTTTTTTTTTAACAGAGTATCACTCTGTTGCCCAGGCTGGAGTGCAGTGGCACGATCTCCGCTCACTGCAAAATCTGCCTCCCGGCTTCAAGCAATTCACCTGCCTCAGCCTCCGGAGTAGCTGGGATTACAGGTGCCCGCCACCATGCCTGGCTCATTTTTGTATTTTTAGTAGAGATGGGGTTTCACCATGTTGGCCAGGCTTGTCTCAAACTCCTGACATCATGATCCACCTGCCTCGGCCTCCCAAAGTGCTAGGATTACAGGCGTGAGCCACTGCACCCGGCCAATAGTTGCATTTCTTAAGAAAAAAAGATTTTAAAAGCCACAAACAAAAGTAAAAAACAAAACTCACACATACACTATTTATTATAAATCCATAAAAAATTCAGCTATTCAAACCAAAAAAAATTGATACTAGCAAATTATAAATTTATTTAGTGAAATAGTGATAGTATAAATATATATCATGCTTTAATAAAGTATTTTAATTAATCCAGTCACCACACATGTTTTTGCTAAATATGACAGACAGAAGATAATAAAATAATAATTGGCTTACCACCCTAGATAAGTTTTAATTATTCCATGGTAGTTTTACATACTTTGAATATGATGTTAGCTTAAAATTCAGTGGTTGAAAACACCTTACAGAATTTTAAATAAGTAGATTTTCTGATCTAGTTTAAGAAGAAAGGGTCAAGTCACAAGGCCAAGGCTGAATATCTCTACCTTCATGAAATTTCCCATATAGTTAGGTGAAGAGTATTTATATGTAATTTAGGTATGAAACATAAAGTACATAAATCACTATCAAGACAGTGAATGCATATTTGCAAGTAAATATTAAATCATGGCATGGGAATTTAATGTTGCCATGTCAAATTATTTAGATACACAAAAAGGACGTATTTTTCTTTCCTCCCATGACCATTTTCCACATACAGTATTACAACTGTGCCTGAAAACTATGTTTCACCTACAACTGAAAGTCTCTGAAGTTGATTAAATTATAAGGTTATGGGGGATTGTAGGGTAGTTGGTCTGGATGTCAGTGAATATTTTAAAATTAATATTTATAATTAAGACAGATTTTATGAAGTGTCAAATATATCATTTTTTCTGGTTTAGAATTTTAATAGTTATATTCTACTGTTAGCATGTGGCAGTTACTGCCCTAATGCGATGAAAGCCTGAAATCTCAAAGCCACTGATTCCCTACAAGAAAATCTGACAGAGAAAACAAGCATTTGCAAAATTATTTATAAATGAATGTAAAGTGTTAACTTATTTATAAATTCCTGGTAATTACACATTTTACAAACTTATGAAGAACCAGATTGAAATTTGATTATTATACATCTGTAATTACTATAGAGATGAATGAAATCTATCACAGTGAACATGGATTATGTTTTGCATCTTATTTGGATTGTCATGTAAGTCTTTATAATGAGCTACTAATTGCCAATATATGAAATAGTGATCACAAATTCAAATAACAATGAAGAATGATGAGGTTTCAAAGACTGGATGTCACAGAATTACTTTGTTGATAGAAAGATAGCCTTGGTGTCTTTCCCAACAGAACCTATTTTAACACACTGTAATTATCAGGTGAGGGCTTGTTTCCCCCATTAGACTATAGATCTCTTGTGAATAAGTCCAGTAGGCTTTATCCACCATTTCATCTCTAGAGTGAATAGTAATTGCTCAATAAGTATTTGTTGACTGACACAATAAATGATTAACTTGTCAACACGAAAGTGTTCACTGGGCACTTGGCTTCAAAGGCATTCATTCCCCCCATACTATCAAGATTGCTATAAAGATGGCAGAACAGAATATCATTTAAATCTTGTTGTCATGCGCCTGTGAGAAACTTTTCAGCTTTAGCTTTGAGTTTTCATATACTCAGAGTAAGAATATTCTATTGCCTGAGGGAGATTCTGATTATTTTGATGCCCTAAATCTCCTAATCCAATAGATGGAAAATGTCTGTCATGCAGATTTGCTTATGAAGGGGCAAAGGCTTTCATCAAAATCTTTAGTACTAAAAAAGAAAAATAGTAAAAACCTGAGAAAGGTAACACAGGGGACATCAATTATACATGTAATAACAAGTATGAGAAAAGTTAAGACTCAGTAAGACTTCACCGTAAGATTACATTGTGATTCTATATGCTCTAATCTTTTATGGATGCTTGAAATATTTCAGAATAAAAGTATTTTTTTAATCTAGCTATCCTTTCCTCACACTCACCAACAAAACTGGAATGAAAAATGACATAAAACTTCAGAAAGTATTATTCTATTAGAGTCTGACCCTGGGTGATAAAGGTTTAGGTATTTTTCATTTTCACAAAGCATTTTTTAAACTGTATTACTGAGATTCACAGTCAAGTGAAAGAATATAGGATAATCACAATTCTTAGGTGAGTTTCAGGTACTGATATGTGTTGGTCTGGCATGATCTCTCTGTTCCCCAGGCACAGACTCATCTATGTCACTTGGCTTTGCACCCTGACATCTACTTCTCCTATTCAATATGTATTTTTTATTATAAATGTTTAAGAAAAGTAGAGATCATAAAATATAGAAAATAATCTATCTACCTCAATAATAACATGCACTTTTTTTCCCATTGGATTTTGCTCTAATTTTTAAAGGATAAAGCATTGTAGATAACACTGAAGTCCTATATGAACTCTTCCTCAGTCTCGTACCTCCCTCTCTAAAGTTAATCACTGTTATGTATTTGATACACATGGCATTTATGACATCCTACTGTCCATAAAACTTGCTCATCCACTCAATATTACTTTGAAAATTTCTCTTTTTAACATATGAAACTAGCTCATTTGTCTTAACTACTGTGTTTGCTGCTATTTGCTCATTTCCCCATTGATGGAAAAAAAAAACTCTATAATGATCATACTTGTACCGGGTTTTCCTTATGAATATGTGCACAAGTTTCTTCAATAAACCTAGAGGGGGATTCCTGGCAACATAACCCAGGTGCCACATATTGTTATTTTGTTCTTCACTGAGATTGTAACAATTTACATTCCCAGAAGTATTGTATGAGCATACTCTTTTAAGTATATCACATCTAATAATTGAAATTATCAGATTTTTTTTACTTTTAATATCTGATAGTCATGCACCCTAGCTCTTAAGATAATTCTTCAGTTATTTTGGTTAACTATATAGTCTATTATTGGGACAGGTTGAACAAAAGTGCTCCTTAAAGAGATTTATCTTTCTCATACTGGTTTAAATTTTAACACTGGCCTGCCAATAATGTTAGTAATAACAGTTATCTTTTACTAGGCCACTCAATATGTCCTAGACACTATTCAAAACATTTAAAATATGTAATTTATTCAATTCTTCCAATTGTAAAAGAATGTGAGCTCTAAGGATGCAGAGAGTTTTGTCTGTTCTACTGGTTGTTCTATCTTTAAAACAGTCCTATCACCTAGTAGGTGCTCACCAAATATTTGTTAATAAATGAGTACATGAATAAATAAATTATATAATTAACATTTTCAAAGAGGCATTTAGGGAGTCTGAGTGGTTATTTCCCAAAGAGCATAGATTTTTGTAGGAAATGACAGAATTATCTATCTTCAAGCATACATAACTCCCTCCAAAAACAGATTTTTTTTTTTAAGATGGAGTCTTGCTCTGTCACCCAGGCTGGAGTGCAGTGGTGTGATCTCAGCTCACTGTAACCTCTGCCTCCCGGGTTCAAGCAATTCTGCTGCCTCAGCCTCCCTAGTAGCTGGGATTACAGGCACATGCCACCATGCCTGGCTAATTTTTGTGTTTTTAGTAGAGACGGGGTTTCACCATGTTGACCAGGCTGGTCTTGAACTCCTGACATTGTGATCCTCCTGCCTCAGCCTCTCAAAGTGCTAGGATTACAGGAGTGAGCCATTGCGCCTGGCCCAGATTTTTCTTTTTCTATGTTCCACGTAGTCTCTAAAGAGAAAATTCACTATCTTCCTGTCAAATCTATAAGAATTACTTTAGCGGTGAAATTTTAGTAAGAACGATAGGCAGTTTGTAAGAACATAATTCTTTTTCTTTTAAAATTATTTCTTTTTTAATTAACAAATATTAGTTGTATATATTTGTGGTGTACAACATGATGTTTTGAAATATGTATATATTATAGAATGGCTAAATCAAGCGAATTAACATATACATCACCTCACATACTTAATCATTTTTTTATAGTGAGAACATTTACTTGTTCTCTCAGCGATTTTCAAACTGACAATATATTGTTATTAACTATAGTCAGCTTGTTGTATAATAGATCTCTTGAACTTATTCCTCCCATTTAACTGAAATTTTGTATCCTTTAACCAACATCTCCCCAGTCCTCTCCCTTTACCAGCAGTCCTTGGTAACCACTATTCTACTCCCTGCTTCTATGAGTTAGACTTTTTAGGACAATGTAACTCCTAGATGCATTTTAAAAACACGTAGAACTTGTTCACAGCACAGGCTCTGGAGCCATTCTCCAAGCAAAGGTTTTTACCGGTTTGTTAAAATTCCCCAGGATGCTTTCTAAGTCCCTAAGTCTATTGCAACAACAACTCGTAAAATCAGATACATGATTCCTGTTTTCAAATTTCCTATCTAGACCCACTTGGATAGCAAGATTGATGCTGTTCTCACCAGCCTAAAGCCCCTTCAGCTCTAGCTGAAATCTTTGTTCTCTCACAATGCCCAGGAACATGTCTTGGGCTCATTGGTAGGTAGGAACGTGCTGTGTGGCAAGGAGAAAATTTCCCTGTAATCCTTCATCTAATCTATAAAATATCCTAAAGGATTCACCATATTAACGATTTTTCCTCATCCAATTTATACTGATTATAGGTGGTTAGAGTTGAGATACACCCCTAAATAACTGAATACACATAAAATTGTGAGACTTCCTTTGACTCTCTATTGCTTTGTTGAAAGTCTTTGTCAATATATCTGGCCATTGAAAATAATATGGTTTATTAACAATGCACATACACTCACTGAGACAATTCTAAGCAAATTGTTTATAAACAGTATATTTTATCATTCACAGCCTTTGTCAGTACATAGCACATGCATCTGAAGTATTTAGAAACTATTATATTGTTATGCAAGTCTAAAATGCAAATCCTTAGGGCTATTTACTTTATCAGTAAGATTATTAATCATTACTCTAGCTATACCTTAAAGTTATAGCAAAAATTTTCAAATCTGACTTATTAAGACAGTCAAAAAAGGACTCCCAGTTATGGCTTTTCTAAAGATCTAAGTCATAATACTCAAAGAACAGTCCTGCAGTCTACTTATTGTTTATTCAAATGAAAGCACCTTAAGTGAACTTACCTGTTAGTACATGAAATGATGTGTGATAAATTCCAGTTGACATGCCCAAACTACTCTTCAGTCATGTAAGTACAGGCAGTAATTCAAAACATAATTACCAATAAAGCAATAATGGATTACTTTGGGGAAGCCTATTCAATCATTTCTGAATACACACTTTCTCTCTGTCTTTCACCATGACCTACATAAAGCCATGTGTACATTTCTCTTCAGTCTCCACAATGATCCCTGAACAATATACTGTAACATGAAAATGTAATCACAGATGACTCAGGGGAAAAAAATCTTACAGCTATGAAATCACTGTCTCTTAATTTTAGTCAATGTTATAGAAGATCCTGGCTGCAAGTCATCACTGGCCTGTCCTGACAAGGAAGAGCTTCTTTTCTCGGTAAATGGAAACCTAGGTTATTCGGCTTGAGCTAGGATGCAGTTATCAAACTGGTTCTCACCTTCCTATTGTAACATCTTGAATGTGTCAGTCATGTGCTTTCATTTTTTGGAGATAGAATGGAGAAAACGAGGGAACACCTGTTTTATATTGGATTTACTTTCATTTCTAAGGGCCATTAAGGATTATTTAGCACTACATCACTTACTTCTACAAGAAGTTGGCGTCTGGAGATGGTGTTCTAAAAACTGATAAAGTATACAACGTTACTATTTAAAATTTCAGATGGCTTACTGTCTTAGCCTGTTTGTGTTGCTATAAAGGAATATCCAAAACTGGATAATCTATAAAGAAAAGAGGTTTATTTGGTTCACAATTCTGCAGACTGTATAAGAAGCATGGCACCAGCACCTACTTCTGGTGAGGGCTTCAGGCTGCTTCCACTCATGGCAGAAGGTGATGGGGAGCCAGCATGTAGAGATTACTTGGTAAGGGAGGAAGCAAAGGGTGCGGGGTGCCAGGCTCTTTCAAATAACCTGCCCTTGCAGGAATAAATAGAGTGAGAATTCACTCATTACCAAGAGGATTGCTCCAAGCTGTTCATGAAGGATCCACACCCAAGGCCTAAACACCTCCCATTAGGCACTGCATTCAACACTGGGGATCCAGTTTCAACGTAATATTTGGAGGGGTTGAATGTCCAAACCACAGCACTTGCCTTTTCCTATGGAAGTTCAGGACCCTATATGAAGCCATCTGTTGACTTTTTAAGCTCAGTACCAATCCTGATGTAGTCTGTGCTTCTTTTATACTGGCCAACTTGCTGTCCCTCAAACCCACCTTGAATTTTCACAGTTTTTCCCTCTTTATGGGAGGCTTTTCCAATTTTCTAAAGGTTCAATTCAATAATCCAGCTGAACAGCTGTTTCTTTAAAAATATTTCCTCAGTATCCTGACAGTACAGCAGCATTAATTGTAAAAGATTTTGTTTACGTAACAAATACAATTCTTTTGAAATCTGATTCATATACACCAGATTGTGAGTTCTCTCAAAGCAAATTCTGTGTATTTTTCTTCATTGTATTTTCTTTCATTCCCCAGCATACTGTCTTGCACATAATAGATACTCAGTTTAATTTTATCAAAATCATTTTTTCAGGAAATGATTAACAATCTCCAATTTAAAAGATATATTTGTATTGAACCACTTCATGGCTTGATGCTTTTAATCAAACTAAATTTTGACTAGGTATAGGTTGAAGAATAATGTATAAGTGCAATGTATGGTAATAGGAAATTGGTTATAATTATATTGTATAATTAATATTTGCATAGATACATACTATATTGGTCATCTTTTATCCCAACTCCTATTAAATAAATATCATATTGAGATTTAATAGTGCTTAGTTTTGATGCAGTTAATTTTAACATTTTGCTCTTGCTAACATTATTATGTGTTTTTTGGCATCAGCTTATGAAAGAACATGGAAAATCAATTTATTTTCCATTTTCTTTGTCAAATTTAGATTAAAACTTTGTAGAAGCCAAAGGTCATGCTCACTATGATGTCATGGACAAAAAGGCCTTTGTTATTACATTTTGTTCATTTTTCTCTTTTTTTCTTTCAATTTTACTTGACACATAATAAGTGAAACATATTTATGGGGTACCAAGTGACAGATACATGTATACAGTGTGTGATTATAAATTCAGGGTAATTAAAACATTCATCACCTCAAGTCATTATCATTTGTTTAATGAGAACTTTCAAAATCCTCTCTTCTAGCTTTTTGAACATATACAATAAATTATTAACTATATTCACCCTACAGTGCCATAGAACACTAAAACATATTCTTCTTATCTAACTGGAACTTTATATGCATTGACCAACCTCCCTCTATCCTCCTTCTCCCTTACTGTTCCCAGCCTGTAATAACCAGAGTTCTACTCTTTACTTCCATGAGCTCATTGTTTTGCTCCTACATGTGAGTGAGAACATGCAATATTTATCTTTCCACGTCTGACTTATTTTACTTAACATAATGTCCTCCAGGCTCATCCATGTTACCAACGACAATATTTCATTTTTTAAATAGCTGAACAATATTCTGTTGTGTATATATATATATATTACATTTTCTTTATTTATTCATCTGTTAATGGACATTTAGGTTCATTCCATACCCTGGCTATTGAGAATAGTGCTGTAATAAACATGGCAGTACAGATATCTCTTTGCTATGCTGACTTCCTTTCCTTTGGATAAATACCCAGTAGTGGCACTGCTAAATCATATGGTGGCTCTGTTTTTAGCATTTTGAGAAACCTCAATAGTATTTTCCATAATAAATAGCTGTACTAATTAACATTCCCACTAACAGTACATAAGAATTCCCCTTACTCCACATCCTTGTTAGCATTTTTTTTAAATCATTTCCTTTCATTTAGATTCTGTGGAAGAGTTTCTTGGGTTTGTTTCTTAAATAACTAATAAAATTATATTAGTGATGTTGAGCATAATAAATTCTTACAATCTGATCCAATCTTTGTCCAATTAAGAGTGTGGTGGTGCAGGAGCAGCTCTTGTTTTTTTTTTTTGTTTTGTTTTGTTTTCTGTTTTTTTTTTTTTTAACAATTTCGTTGACTCTCAGAGTCTAAGACTTCAGGGCTGGGACCTTTGTCCAGCCTGCACGGTAGAGTGAGGCTGCCTCTCCCACCAGGCATTGGGATCCTATTTAGAAACGGCGTTCACTTCAGAAGGTACTTTTTAACTGCTCAGTTTTTGACTATTTTAAATAGTTTGCTGAAAACTCCTGATAACACTTGCAGCTCTTGTTTTTAAAGTTGCTTTCAGTTTGAGTATGGTCTTAAAGACTTCTGTTGCCACACTCCTGGTGCAACAGCTTCCCTATATGAGCCACAATTTTGGTACTTGCCACTTTTATAATGTATAAACTTCTGGGACTTTGTTATATATAATTTTATACTACTTTAACTGTGGCTATTTTCCTTTTTTAAAGCTTTCATATCTGAGTGAGAAGATATGGTGTTTGACTTTATTTTTCTCTTATTTCACTTAATGTCATCCAGTTCTATGCATGTTACAGTGAATGACAGGATTTAATTATCCTTTATGGCTGACTAGTATTCCATGTGTATATATACCACATTTTCTTTATCAATTCAACCTGTTGTTGAACACGTAGGTTTATTCCATATCTTCGCTCTTATGAATAGTGCTGCAATAAACATGGGGTTGCAGATATTTCTTTAATACAATGATTTCCCTTCTTTGGGATAGATTCCCAGTAGTGAGATTGCTAGATCATATGGAAGTCCTATTTGCAGTTTTTTGAGGAACCTCCACACTCTTCTCCATAGTGGCTATACTAGTTTATATTCCCACCAACAGTATATAAGAGTTCCATTTCTTCTGCATCAACACCAGCGTTTGTTATTTATTTTTGTCTTTTTGATAATAGGAATTCTGACTTGTGTGAGATGATACCTCATTGTGGTTTTGATTTGCATTTCCCTGATGATTAGTGATTTTGAGCATTTTTCCATATATTTATTGGCTATTTGTATGCCTTCCTTTGAGAAACGATGTCCAGATAAATCACTCATTTTTAAATTAGATTATTGTTTCTGTGCTGTTGTTTGAGTTCATTATATATCATGGATAGTAGTCCCTTACCAGATGAATAGTTTTTAAATATCTTCCCTCATTCTATAGGCTGTAACTTAACTCTGTTGACTGTTTCATTTGCTGTGTAGAAGCTTTGTAGTTTTATATAGTCTGATTTGTCTATTTTTGTTTTTGTGGTCTTAACCATAAAGTCTTTGCCTGGATCAGTGTCCTGCAACATTTCCTTTATCTTTTTTTACTAGTTTTATAGTTTCAGTCTGATATTTAATTCTCTAATCCATTTTGAGTTGATTTTTTAATGTAGTGAGAGATGGTCTTCTAGTTTCAATCTTCTGCATATGAATATCCAGTTTTCAGAGCACCATTTGTTGAAGAGGGTGTCATTTTTTTCAATGTATATTCTTGACATCTTTGTTGAAAATGAGTTGACTGTAAATATATAGATGTATTTCTGGGTTCTCTATCTTATTCCATTGGTCTGTGTGTCTGTTTTTATACCCATACCATGTTGTTTTTGTTTTTGTTACTATTACTGTGTATTATATTTTGAACTATCTATATTATATTTTAACTAACTATATTATATTTTGTACTATCGCCAGTTTTACCCTTTTGGCTTGGTATTGCATTGGGTATTTGGGGTCATTTGTGGTTCCAGACAATTTTAGGATGTTTTTCCATTTCTGTAAGGAATGACAGTGTTATTTTGATAAGGATTGCACTGAATCTGTAGACTGCCTTGGGTGAAATGGTCATTTTAACAATATTAATTCTTTCAGTCCAGGAGCATGGAATGTTTTTCAATTTCTTTTTATCCTCTTCTATTTCTTTCATCAGTGCTTTGTAGTTTTCATTGTAGACATCTTTCACCTTGGTTAAATTTATTTCTAAGTGTCTTTTTTTGTAGCTACTGCAAGTAGGATTGCATTTTTAAATTCTTTTTCACCTAGTTCATTACTGGTATATAAAATACTAATTATTTTTGTATGTTGATTTTTTTTATCCTGAAATTTTAATGAATTCATTTGCCAGTTTTAAGAGTATTTTGGCAGAGTCATTACATTTTTCTATTTATGAGAACATGTTGTTTGCAAAGAGGGACAATTTGACTTCCTCTTTTCCAATGTGGATGGCAATTTCTTACTTTCTTTTTCCTAATTGTTATGTGCTAGGACTTCTAGTACTATGTTGAATAAGAGTAGTGAAAGTGAGCATCCTTGTCTTCTTCCAGTTCTTAGAGAAAAAGCTTCCAGTATTTCTTCATTCAGTATAATGTTAGCCATGGGTTTGTCATATATGGTCTTTATTGTGTTGAGGTATATTCCCTCTATGCCTAATTTGTTAAGAATTTTTTATCATAAAGGGATGATGAATTTTATTAAAAGATTTTTCTGTCTATTGAGATAATATGTTTTTAAAATTTTATATTGTTAATGTGATGCATTACATTTATTGATTTGCATATATTGAACTATCCTTGTATCCTTGGAATAAATTCTACTTGATTAGGTTCATTATGTTTTTGACGTGCTGTTGGGTTCTATTTTCTAGTATTTGGTTGAGGGTGTTTAAATCTATCTTCATCAGACATATTGGCCCATAGTTTTCTTTTTTTGTTGTGCCCTTGTCTGGTTTTATTATCAGGGTAATGCTAGCTTCACAGAATTAATTAGGAAGAATTTCTTAATCCTCAATTTTTTGGAATAGTTTGAGAAAAAATGGTGTTAGTTATTTAAAAGTTTGCTAGAATTCATTAGTGAATCCATCTGGTCTTGGACTTTTCTTTTTTGAGAGACTTTTTGTTACTGATTTAATCTTCTTATTTGTTATTGGTCTGTTTGATTCTGTTCATTTTTGGTTCAATCTTGGTATTTTATACTTGTGTCTAGGAATGTATCCATTTCCTTTATGTTTTTTAATTTGTTGGTGTATAGTTGTTCCTAACAGTCTCTAATGATCCTCTGTATTTTTGTGGTGTCAGTTGTAATATCTCATTGTTCATTTCTGATATTATTTATTTAGGTCTTTTTCTTAATCTATATAATAGTTTGTTGATTTGGTTTACTTTTCAAAAACTAACTTTTTTCATGAATCTTTTGTTTGCTTTTTTGCCTCTAATTTGTTTCATTCTGTGCTGATCTTTATTATTTATTTTCCTCTATTAACTTTGGGTTTGGCGTGTTCTTGCTTTTCTATTTTTTGAGGTGTATCACTAGGTTATTTGAAATCTTTTTTTTTTTATATAGGTGCTTATTCCTTTAAACTTCCCTCTTGTACTATTTTTTCTGTGTTCCATAGGTTTTTTGGTATGTCTTGTTTCTGTTTTCATTTCTTTCAAGAAGTATTTAAAATTTCCTTCTTAATTTCTTCATTAACTCATTTGTCATTCAGGAGAATGTTGTTTAATTTTTATGTATTTTTACAGTTTCCAGTGTTCCTCTTGTTATTGATTTCTAATTATAATCCACTGAAACCTGAGAATACATGGTATAATTGCATTTTTGAAAAAATTATTTAGAGTTGTTTTGGGCCTAACATAGGGTCTACCCTAGAGAATGTTCCATCTGCTGATGAGAAGAATGTACATTTTGTAGCCATTGGAAAAAATGTTCTGTAAATGTCTATTAGGTTCATTTGGTATAAAATGAAGCTTAAGTACAATGTTTCTTTGTTGACTTTCTGTATAGATTAGCTGTGCAATGCTGAGGGTGAGGAGGGTGAGGTGTTAAAGTTCTCAACTATTATTACATTGGTGTCTCTATCTCTCTCTTTAACTATAATAATATTTGCCCTATATATCTGAGTGCTCTGGTGTTCGGTGGATATATATTAACAATTGTTCTTTCCTCTTGCTGAATTGATTTTTTAATCACTATATAATGACCTCTGTGTCTTTTTATCTTTTTATTTTTAATAAAAGTCTATTTTGTCTGATATAAGTTTGCTACTTTTGCACACTTTTTGTTTGCATTTGCAGCAAATATCTTGTTTAATCTGTTCTGTTATAGTCTATGTGTGTTTTTAAATGAGAAGTGAGTTTCACAAGCAGCAAATAGTTGGGTCTCAGTTTTTTAATTCAGCCAGTTTATATATTTCAATTAGGGAATTTAAACGGTTTACATTTAAGGTTGTTATTGATAAGATGAGGATTTATTCTTGTCATTTTGTTAGTTGTTTTGTAATTGCTCTGTATAGCCTTAGTTCCTTTCTTCTTTTATTATTTTTGTGGTTTGGTGGTTTTCTGTAGTGATAAAATTTTATTCCTTTCTTTTTCTCATTTGCATATCTGCTTTACCAGTGAATTGTATACTTTCATGTTTTTCCTTAATTGATAGGTAACATCTACCAATGATATAGACACATATCTGCTTTTGCTTAATTGATAGATAACATCCTTTCGCTTTCAGAGGTTGGAGTCCCTTAAGCATTTCTTGTAGGTTCAGTTTAACAGTGATTAATTCCCTCAGTCTTTGTATGTCTGGGAAAATTTTATGTCTCCTTCATTTCTAAAGAATAGCTTTATGGTTTATAGTATTCTTAGTTGAAAGTTTTTTCTTTTTTTTATTCCAGCAATCTGAATATATCATCCTATCCTCTCCTAGCTTGTAAGTTTCTTCTGAGAAATCTGCTGTTAGTCGGACAAAGATACCCTCATATGTGACTTGATGCTTTCTTTTGGTGTTTTTAGAATTCCCTTTTTGTCTTTACTTTGACAATTTGACTATCATGTGCCTCATAGAAGACCTTTTTGGATTTAATCGATTTGGGAACATTTGAGCTCCCTATATCTAGATGATTATCTCCCAAGAGTTGGAAACTTTTCAGCTATTGTTTCATTAAATAAGTGGCCTATTTATTTTCTCACTGCTTTTCCTTCTGGAATTTCTAAAACAGGAATAGACTATTTGTTTGCATAGTGATATCCCATATGTCATGTAAACTTTTTTCATTTTTATTCTTTTTTCTCTTTTTGCCTAATTCGCTTATTTCAAAAGATCTGTCTTCAAGATCACAAATTATTTCTTTTGCTTTATCTAGTCTATTGTTAAACTTGAGTAGGGTGCTTTGGCTTTGTTTCTGGGAGAATGCAGTACTGTAGTCACCATATGATTTCTTCAGCATTAGTCCAATCAGTAGTATCTATGGCTTCACAGTGTCTTATGCTCTAGTTGTTCCTGAAAGCTGTGATGTGACTTTACTGGAGATGGGGCCTCCAGGCAAGCAGTCCTTGGATCCCTGGGGAGTGCACACGCACCTCTGGTGGTACACATTGCATGGACCAGTTCTCAGGATCCTGGGTGGTACACAAAGGTACATAGTGGCCCTGTTATTGCTGGGCCAAGTTTGCTGGGTTGTGATGGTGGCACATCCCAGACAGGGCAGTCCTTAAGCCCTAAGTGGCACGTTTGGGGATCAGTGTTCATGGCAGTAGGTCACAAGCAAGCTGGTCCTCAGGCCCCTGGGCATTGTGTGCAGGCACATGATGGCCCAATTGCTGCAGGGAACAAGGTCACTGTCATCAGGGAAGGTGGCTCTCAGGCTCTTGGAAGCATGTGCTTTGGATTTCTATGTCCTGGGGAGAGCCTCCCTGACGTGCAGGACTGCCTATTCCCTGGGATTTAGGTCTCTGTGTGGGCTCAGGTAACAGAGACCCTGTGGCACCATTAGGTTCAGCTGGTAATGTAACACTGCAACCTTCTGGGATGGTGTCGGGGGATGTAGGCTGTGCACCTGTGATGTGGAGATGCAGCAGCAATTAGGCCCCAGGGCAGGATGTAGTCTGGTGTGACACTTGTTAGTGCATTTTTGATGGCATTGAAAGTTACCTTGGTGTTACTAAGCCAAGGTCAAAGAACATTGTGATGATTAATGCTGAAAGTTATTTTTTCATAATTTGAAGATTTTTTAAAATATTAATCCTGGGGCCAAACACATTAAAGGAATTAAGAAGAAATAAATCTGGAAAATTAATGTAGACACAGAATTTAAAATGGGAATAAATACTTTTACACATTCAGCAAATACCTATTAAGAGACTTCAGGCAAAACTATGGAAGTAAGAGGTCCTATTAAGATTCTACAGCAACTTAGGGAAAAGAAAGTTACTTGAACTGGCGTAGTAGCAGTGAATATGGGGGAAAAGTGAACATATTTAAGAAAAATTTAAAATATAGAATAAAACACATCTTCAACTATCCTTCAATACTACAGTTCACTAAAGGTCAATGTGATATTATAATCAGAACACTCCACAATAAGGGAATAACATTGCTAATTCTAATTTAGAAGTGGTCAATCTCTTTTTCAGAAAATCCAAAAACCATTGTCAATCGCTTCCACCAATCCTCATTTGATCTCCACCACCACAGTTCTTTTGCAAGTAATCTCTTCCACTACCTTTTACTCATTGTTCAATTTCCAGTACCTTTCATGGGATTTAGCACTCATAATTATGGAATATTAAATAAATAAACGAAGGAATAAATAAAAGAAAGGTTGTATTTTTACAAACCCTTATATTTAATCAGTTCTTAGTAATTGTTGAATAGTTCTTATGGTCCAAATCATTCATCCCTTCTATCAAAGTTTGTAGCTCATGATGAGTCAGTTTATGCAAACTGACCTCTGAAAATATATGTTTAACTATCATGAGACATTTGTTGATGGTATGAATAATTTTTAAATGATCATTGAAAAACTTTCAGTTTTAAATATATAACTGCAATGGATAAACAGAAGACATTTGTCATTAGAGATACCCTTATTTCAAGAATCTTTAGTCAATATTGGACCATTGAATCATACTAAAACATAATTATAAGCAAATATTTTACCACATGTGATCTTCCTCTGTGGTAATAACAAAAAAATAGTTTAAAGTCTAAGAGTCCTTTACCATTGATTTTAAATTTTTATTTGTATTTACATTTTAATGTAGAGAGAGCTGATATTCTGAGAATTCACACGTTTTCACAAATGATTCAGAAGAAAATGGAAATCTGTTTTGGACCCTTATTCCCTATATCTATCTATCTATCTATCTATCTATCTATCTATCTATATGGAAAATAGTCTCTCCCTCTCTGTCTCTCTCTCTCTCTCTATATATATATATAGTATTAGTATTGACTCCTGAAAGAAAGCCCATGAGAGGTTAAATGCTTATAAAAAATTTGAAAGTAAAATTTTCCCTAAGTAATTCACAACACAGATACGCTAAGAACTAACTTGTCAATTGATCTACCTGACAAAAGAGGAACCAGAAGTCTCTGAATACAAAACAACATATCACTCTAAAAGATCATTGTATTAGTCCATTCTCATGCTGCTCTAAAGAACTTCCCAAGACTGGGTCATTTATAAAGAAAAGAGGTTTAATTGACTCACAGTTCCACATGGCTAGGGAGGCCTCAGGAAACTTACAATCATGGTGGAAGGGGAAGCAAACACATCCTTTTTCACATCATGGCAGGAAGGAGAATGAGAGCCCAGTGAAGGAAGAAGCCTTTATAAAACCATCAGATCTCGTGAGAATTAACCTCACTATCACAAGAACAGGATGGGGGAAACCACCCCTGTGATTCAATTATCTCTACGGGGTCCCTCCCACAACAACATGTGGGAATTATGGGAACTATAATTCAAGATGAGATTTTGGTGGGGACATAGCCAAGCCATATCAATCATTCTTCACAAGTACCAGATAAGTTATTTGCTATTAAACACATCTGTAACTTTTCTAAGAAAATCTGTCCCCTACAGAAGATGCAAGATTGTGCCAATTCTCATCACAGCTATTCAAACTATGATTAATTATCTGGAAAAAAAAAAAAAAAAGGTAACCCATCTATTCATTGGTTTTATTTTGGACCTACAGCATCTAGGCTGGTACAAAAAAGATCTAGAGGGCCAGCTAGATTCTTTCTCTTTTGTTTGACTGGGAAAATTCTGAGAGAAGATGCCATAATCTGTGGGAGCAGATGTTGAAAAATTATGATGTTACAAAAAGATCACTGGTAAAGAATCATGGCTAAACTAATATAAGATAAGCTTATGAAGGCACAGAAACTTGAGAGAGCAGTGGAAACCACTCAGTATTTTAGGCAAACATGTCTGCTTGACTGTTTAATGGCCATTTCTCTTTTTTTACTAACAAATCTCTGATTTTGTTTGTGTAGTAAGTGACTAGTAATAAAGGTTAAATTGTGGCTGGTCTAAGCCTAGTGTTCAATTAGAACCTGTTTATTCCAGCTCACAAGAGCCGATTCTATGCATTTCGTACCAACTCAGAGTTCAGTGACATCACATTGGTAGCTTAAAACCTGCAAAGGTGGGGGTATTTATGCCACAGAAATAAACAAATGCTACAAATTAGGACTACCACTCCCTCTGGCTTCTAGTCAGTTGTTAATCACTTATCAGCACCCTCTAAACTCATCTTGGAAATCTAATTTTCTTTTGCCGGTAATTGGCTCAAGATTGAGAGAGGAACCAAGTTTTGACCTATGACAAGTAAGAGAAACTGATGAAAATCATCTGGGAAAGACTTTCTTCTCTAAAGTTAAAGCTGCAAGCCAGCTTCTTTTTCCGTTTTAAATTGTGTTGTGTAATGTTTGGAGATGCAATGCTTTAAGATGCAACCAAGAGGGAACATGAACAGAATTCAGAGATGCTTACACATTAATAACCTTGAACTGGGCCGGGCAAGGTGGCTCACACCTATAATCCCAGCACTTTGAGAGGTCAAGGCGGGTGGATCACAAGGTCAGGAGTTCGAGACCAGTCTGGCCAATACAGTGAAACTCCATCTCTACTAAAAATCAAAAAAATTAGCCAGGTGTGGTGGCACATGCCTGTAATCCCAGCTACTTGGGAGGCTGAGGCAGGAGAATTGCTTGAATCCGGGAGGTGGAGTTGCAGTGAGCCAAGATTGCGCCACTGCACTCAAGCCTGGGTGACACAGAGAGACTCTGTCTCAAAATAAATAAATAAATAAATAAAATAACCTTGAACTGTCAGAGGCATGTGAATCAGAACAACTCCATCTTGAATAGGAGCTTGGTAAAATGATTTTGAAACCTACTGGGCTGCATTCCTAGACAGTTAATGCATTCTAAGTCACAGGATGAGATAGGAGGTCGGCACAAGATATAGGTCATAAAGACCTTGCTGATAAAATAGGTTTGCAGTAAAGAAGCCGGCTAAATCCTACCAAAACCAAGATGGCCACAAGAGTGACCTCTGCTCATCCTCACTACTACACTGCCATCAGCCCCATGACAATTTACAAATGCCATGGCAACATCAGGAAGTTACCCTATATGGTCTAAAAGGGGGAGGCATGAATAATCCACCCCTTGTTTAGCATATCACCAAGAAATAACCATAAAAATGGGCAACCAGCAGTTCTCAGGGCTGCTCTGTTAATGAAGTACCCATTCTTTCATTTCTTTACTTTCTCAATAAACTTGCTTTCACTTTGCATTGCAGACTTACCCCCAATTTTTTCTTGCACAAGATCCAAGAACCCTCTCTTGGGGTCTAGAATGGGACCCCTTTCCTGTAACAGAAATATTACCAACCAGGGCAACCAAAATGCAGAAAATCATGAGCAGTCCACCATGGGCATAGAAAATAATGTGCGTTTTCTGTACAGAATTTAAAAATAATAATTAAACATATTAACCATCAGTCTACTTTTTATTATCCTCCTGTACGGACAATTCTAAATAATGTTAGCCATGAAAATATCCCTCTCCACATAGCTTAACTGCTCCTACCCAAGTCCTCCGTTTGCTAGGGCTAGTAACCCTAAAGCCAAGTATATCAAACATCTAGGTATATGAGATAAGGAAGGGTTTTTGTTATTTAAGTAACCTTTACATGAGTTTTCTGTTTCTTGTTTATGTTTTGAACTGCTTAAGTTGTCCATGAAAAGAAGCAGATCCAGAATATCGGTATATCAGGTTAATCTAGCACTAAAGGGAAAAACTATTAATTCCTGCTTTAAGGACCTACAATATCCCTGGATCCCAGGCCTCCCCCAGCTCTAATCATGCAAAGATTGGTAAATTATGGTTCCCCTTGTTGCATGTCCAGAGTATTCTCCCTATGTGCTGTCAGTATTACTATGCTAAACTACCTCTACATTGATGAATGTAAGTAGGTTCCTTTGCCTTTTAACCAAAAGAACCGAGAAACAGAACCTACTATTCAACAGTCAAATTACAAAAGGCTTTTCCAATATAAGGTGTTGACTGAATTTACTTTGTGAAGTCTATATGAAGGAGATAGCAAATAGACAAAAATATGCTTAATGTTGTTCATAATAATTAAAATTACTGTTTAAATGTTACCAAAAGAGCACATAAATGAATAAGTTCTTGAATAATATACAATCATGCAGAAATATGCAGCCAAATATGTGTAAAAAGGCAAGTAACATAAATATGCATATATACATGCATGATACACATTTGAAAATATAAATATATATTAGAAAAATGGTGAAAGGAAAAAAAATCAGTTAGCAGTGATTATTATTCCTGAGTAGTGGAATCAAAGGCCATTAATTTTTTTTCCCATACATTTTCTATATTTCCAAAGATTTTGATTCTATAAAAATAAAGTAGTTTAAAAATATGTAATTAGCATACATTTCATTTTCACTAATGTATCATGAAAATATAGTTGGTTTCTGGAATAATTTTTCATTATGAGAATGTATACATACATGAAAGTAATGAAGTCAATAGGTTAGACTGGAACAAATCAGGTAACTTTAAAAAATGAAGTTGGATATTCATGAGAATTTGCATTTTATAAGAAAGAATATTATCACATTCCAAGAAAATCCTTCTCTTACAAAAAAGGAAAAATGTATATATAATTTATTTTAGACAGAGGATTACTTTTTGAGAGAATAAAAAAGACGAAAATGTGTTCACTTCTTTGTTCTTACAACACAAACAAAACTTGAATTATGCTTCTGAGGATATTGATTTATGAGTATCTTCACAATCCTGTGGGATATTATTCTAATTTGTGATGAGATAATAATCTGGGCTTCACATGGAATCTCAACCTTGTCTGTTGTAGTTAGATATTTAGACTTGTTTGTTTAATTCTTTAGATTAGCACTGTCAAATACATATAATGGTTGTTGAATTATCATATTGCATCTGTGAAAGGAAAATAAATCTTGGAGCCCCAAAATTACTAAGCCAAAGGGAAAAGTCAAGCTGGGAACTGCTTAGGACAAACCTGCCTCCCATTCTATTCAAAGTCATCTCTCTGCTCAGTGAGATAAATGCATATCTGATTGCCTCCTTTGGAAAAGCTAATCAGAAACTCAAAAGATTGCAACCATTTGTCTCTTATCTACCTATGACCTGGAAGCCCCCTTCCCATTTCTACTTGTCCCACTTTTGCTTCAATTTGTTCCACATTTCTAGACTGAACCTTTGTTCATCTTACATATGTTGATTGATGTCTCATGTCTCCCTAAAATGTATAAAACTAAGCTGTGCTCTGATCACCTTGGGCACATGTCATCAGGAACTTCTGAGGCTGAGTCATGGGTGCGTGTCCTGAACTTTGGCAAAATAAACTTCCCAAATTGACTGAGATCTGTCTCAGATTTTGTGGTTCACACATTTCAAATCGATGATGTTTTCTCACTAATATGTTTTTTTCCATGAGGGGAGAAAAATTTGGTTGGAAAAGAAGCGCAGGGAAATCAGGATTTATTTGAAAATCTAGGAAAAACCTAAGATTCTAGGTATTATTTTCTAATATGTTTTGGCCATGAATAGGAGTTTCTTTTATAGACTCAGTGTAAATTGTTAAATTTAAAAAGATTACAAGAGGTCAGGCTCATAATCCCAGAGTAGACCATGGATGACACAACTGCTGCTAATACATAGCAACATATTGCATCCAAAAATACAATCAATTAAATGTTTACTGGATTAAATAAAATTAATCTTATTTAGTATTATTCTTTTTTTTTTTTTTTTTTTTTTTTGAGATAGAGTCTAGCTCTGTTGCCCAGGCTGGAGTGTAGTGACATGATCTCAGCTCACTGCAACCTCTGCCTCCTGGGTTCAAGCAATTCTCCTGCCTCAGCCTCCTGAGTAGCTGGGATTACAGACGTGAGCCATGACACCCAGCTAATTTTTGTATTTTTAGTAGAGCGGGGGTTTCATCATGTTGGCCAGGCTGGTATCGAATCCCTGACCTCAAGTAATCCACCTGCCTCGGCTTCCCAAAGTGTTGGCATTACAGGCATGAGCCACCATGCCTGTCCCAGTATTATTCTATTTTATAAAATTGACAAGAGAAAATAAACAAATTAAAAGAATAAAAACATACCAGATACAGCAAGGAAGTCATCAATGCTTGTAATGTCATCTACGGCTTCAGTGAGGACATGTATATGATTCTCCCATGTACGCTTGTACATTTCCATGGTGTTTTTGACCGCTTGACTTTTGGGTCTTGCAGCCAAAGCAAGTGCAGCATTAATAATCTATAAAGATAAGGATTGAAAAAATTACCTATTGGTTGCAATGTTCACTATTTGGGTGATGGGCACACTAAAAGCCCACACTTCACCACTATGCAATATATTCATGTAAGAAATCTGCACTTATAATTCCTAAATATATAAAATAAATAAAAAATATTAAAACAATAAAATAAAATTAATTAAATTATACTCATTCATGTTAAACATAAAAAATGGAATTTAAAAAAATCTGTAAAGATGTAGAACATTTACTCAGTGATTTATTTCAATACATTAAGTGTATTAAAATTAGATTATTTAAATTAAATTATGGTTAAATACATTCATCATCGACAATAGGAAAAACAGTAAAATGTCTCCATATATACAGTTTATATTGAAAAGTACAAAACGTTTTATATTTATTAGTATAAATTATATAGGTATAAATAATAATTTTTATTTTTAAAATTTTCCTACTCCCTCTATTATTGCAGAGTGAGTTTTTTAAATATAAACTTTGTTACCATAAGCTCCATCAAGTTCAAGACACTTTTCTAAGTGATGATATCAGGCATTTAATCAATCCTTAACTGATGATTCTGGTAATTTAAACATGCCAATCCAGTCTTTTTTACATTATTAACTGGTGAGAAATGGATGCCTTTAACAGATTTTTTTTTCAAATTAGTAAACAAAAAGAAATCAGAAAGAACCAAATTAGGACTGTAAGTTGAATGCCCAGTGATTTCCCATGGATATTCCTGAAACATTGCCCTTGTTTCAGGAGAGAAATGAGCAGAAGCACTGTAATGGTGAAGAAGGACATTCTGTTGACACATTCTTGGGCATATTTCTGTTAAAGTTTTGGTTAATTTTGTCAAACCACTCTCAAAGTAAGCAGATGTTATCATTCTTTGGCCCTCCAGGAAGTCATTAAGTAAAATGCCTTTAGCATATCAAAAAACTGTTGCCATAACCCTTGTTCTTGACTGGTCTGTTTTTGCTTTGACTGGATCACTTCCAACTCTCAGTAGCCATTGCTTTGATTGTGATGTCTTCAGAATTGTACTTGTAAAGCCGTGTTTCATCTCCTGTTACAATTCTTCAAAGAAGCAATTCAGGATCTTGGTCCCACTTATTTAAAAATTCCATCGAAAGCTCTGCTGTTGTCTGCAGCTGATCTGGGCAAAATGGTTTGGATACTCATTGAGTGGAATGTTTTTTCAACTTTAATTTTTTAGTCAGAATTGTGTAAACTGAACCAATTAAGATGTCTATGGTGTTGGCTATTGCTTGTGCTATTAATCATTGGTTTCCTTCAATTAGAGCATGAATAATATAATATTTTTTTAATCACAAATGGATGTGGATGGGCTGCTTCTGTGAGCTTCATCTTCAACATCATCTCATCTCTTGTTAAAATAAGTTATCAGTTTGTAAACTGAAGATTTATTTGGGGCATTGTCTCTATGAATATTTTTTAAAGCATCAGTGATTTCATCATTCTTCCACTCAAACTTTGCCATAAATATGATGTTTGTTCTTCAATTTTAGCAGAGTTTATGTTGCCTTTCATAGGGGTTTGATATAGTTTGGCTGTATTTCCACTCAAATCTCATCTTGAATTGTAGTTCTCATAATTCCCATATGTCATGGGAGGGACCTGGTGGGAGGTACTTAAATCATGAGGACGGTTACCTCCATGCTGTTCTTATGATAGTTGAGTTCTCACGAGATCTGATAGTTTCATAAGGGGATTTTCCCCTTTTGCTCAGCACTTCTCTTTCCTGCCGCTACGTAAAGAAGGACATGTTTGCATCCCCTTCTGCCATGGTTGTGAGTTTTCTGAGGCATCCCCAGCCCTGTGGAGCTGTGGGTCAATTAAACCTCTTTCCTTTATGGATTACCCAGTCTCAGTTCTGTCTTTATTAGCAGCATTAGAACAGACTAATATAGGGCTCTTTTCAAACTGATGTCTCTGATTTTTAACCCGTCAAACTAGATCCTGTCCACGCACGTTATCACAAGTTAGCACAAGTTTATTTTTGTGCAAAAATGTTGAATTCTATGCATAATTTTTTCATAAAACACATTTTCAGTAAAGGTTTTGAAGACCTCTCATACAATGACAACAATAAAAAGAAGCTTTTTCTACTGAATATCCTAAAGACTGTACCTTAAGTCACTTCCTGTCACCACATTATTGGAGGTAGAAGACGGAAAAAATTAGTTGCCTGAGAATAATATATTTAAATCCTCTTTTTTTGTTTCTTTTCTACAAAAGAGGAACATATTAAATTTTAAGGAAACACACTAACTTTAGAAATAACTACTGTGCAGTATGCCTTGACTTCAGTTTTAGAGTTTTATTAACCTATTAACTTACAATGTACCTTCGTGTATACTGCAGTGGCTCTGGTCCCTGGTGTTTCATTGTTCTTGCAATTGGACAGCTACGTACACATGTGGTTGTACTGAAATTATGCCTTCACAGCAAAGTATACTTTTAAAGTACTGGTGTAAAACCCTCAGTGGAGATATGAAGTTATGAATATAAGACAGGCTACATTTTATAAGAATATTTTCAGTTCTGCTGCTGATCCAATTTATCTGATTCAACACTGCACACTATGAAGAAGCTTTATCCTACTTGACTCTTGTGATATTTAGCTTAAATCTAAAAGAAGACACAATTCAGAAGAATTCTTCTAACCCTCTTTAGGGCAGAAAAATGTTCATCCCAATGTCACACTCCTAGAATTTTAGCCATATATCTAGAGAAAATAAAATAACCATTCTTAAATCTTCTTCACGTAAAACTAAAGCTTTTTTTTAAAATGAATTATGTTGCTTTCTGAGGCATTTTGTTTCTTTAAATTATGGTTGAAATATTTACATGTCGGTCACTTGACCCTGATAATTATCTAGTCTGTCAGTTTACCTTTGAAACAGTCTCTTTTGAGTTCGGGCCTTATTATATCTTAACTGGGCCATTCTAGTAGCCTTGTAGGTTTCTACTTCCAGTCTCTATTTGCTCTTAGACATTCTCCTTAATGCAAACACATTTCTTTCTCAAATGCCGAAGTGATCATGCCCCCCACTTGCTGATAACCTTTGATAAAATCCTAGTTGACTAAAAACAAACACCATATTTCTTTTCAGTAATTCATAGTCTAAAACCGTCCCCAGGTTGGTCCTTACCTACAGTTCATTCTGCTGTAATAATCTTACTCATTTTAGTCTTTGTTCCAGCCACAGTTTTAAGCTCCATTTCCTTATCACACCACTCATCTTTGTACCTCTGTGACTGTTTTTAGAGCTGAATCTGCCTTAATGCCCTTGCTCCATCCCTTTTTCTGCTCTACTCCGTCTCAGGAAACATTTTTCATACTTAACATATCCATGGAAATATCACCACATACTGTGAAGCCTGTTTAAAAAATATTTTGTCCATATAAATAAATAGTAGTTATTCTATTGCATGATTGCTCGTACACATGTCTATTCCTGGGTAATGAGCTCCATTATAGGAGGGACTATGTATTATTCATCTTTGCTTCTTGGTATACTAAACATGTTAATTACCATAAATGCTATACTTACAAACTGTCCCTAAGAGAAACTATTCTGCTCGCAGCCCACACTGAGAGGACAGCCACAGGAGGGCAGGTTTGGTATTATTTTCTCCCACTTCAACACTATTTAGGTCATAGGCAGGTACCCAATTCAAGAAGAGTTAATCTGTTGGCTGGCTGGTGATGGTTATGAGGTTTGACATAAAAAGTTGTGTTGTGTTAATCAATCTTGAAAATTTGAACTAGAATTTATGGAGAAATCATTAGTTAGCAGTCAAGATCAAAGCTGAAAGTTTCTGTAAAGAGCAGCCATCTTATAAAATCAGAACCAGAGGGGGCCAATGGAACTGAGGCTACAAGGAAACTAGAGCCAAAGTGCAAGGAAGAAGAAACTGTAAATAGACTGAACCTATAATGTTTAAAAAGAAAAAAAAATAGGCCAGGTGCGGTGGCTCACGCCTGTAATCCCAGGACTTTGGGAGGCTAAGGCAGGCGGATCTCCTGAGGTCAGGAGTGCGAGACCAGACTGACCAATATGGAGAAACCTCCTCTCCACTGAAAATACAAAATTAGCTGGGCGTGGTGGTGCATGCCTGTAATCCCAGCTACTTGGGAGGCTGAGGCAGGAGAATTGCTTGAACCAGGGAAGCGGAGGTTGTGGTGAGCCGAGATCGCACCATTGTACTCCAGCCTGGGCAATAAGAGCAAAACTCCATTTCAAATAAAAAAAAGAAAAGAAAAGAAAGAAAGAAAGACAAAAATAAACAGGCAAAAGCAAAGTGTGGAGTAAAATAAGCCAGTGGGTGGCAAGAGGAGAATGGGGAAAATATATCAAGAGAGTCAATAACATCAACAGAGAGAAAATGATACTCAGATAAAAGAAAAAAAAAGAACTAGGAGTTGACTGTTTTTGAGAGTATCCTATTTTGGATTACAAGGCCACAGAAATGCTAATAACGATAATAATAAAATACTAACAAAGTCCATACTTTGCATCATGCACCACTGTTCCAAACACTTTCTACATATTCACCTAATTTTTTTAACCTAATTTTTACACCACAATGAGGTAGGTAGGTGTTGTCATCTCCATTTTCAGGTAAGGTTACCAAGTTATTAAGGAGAAGTTGTCAACTTGACCTAGACTTCATGCTCTTAATTGCCACACTGTACTCTCTTCTATAACAATATTATACTAATTTATGATGCTGTGAGTAAGTGATGATCCTTGAAACCATAAAGCCATCACTGAAGGAAACATTACAATGCCTGGTGTAAAGAAAAACAAAAGAGAGAGAGTGTGTGTGTGTGCATGTGAAAGAGAGAGAGAAAGAATATATATATAAAATTCGCTAAGTTAACCATTTATAAAACTCAGTGGCATTAAGTACATTCACATAGCTGTGCAACTATCCATCTCCAGAACTTTTTAGCACATCAAACTGAAATTCTGTACTCATTAAACAATAGCTTCCCATTCTTCCTTCCCCCTAGTACCTAGTAAGCTCTATTATACTTTCTACCTCTTTTGTTGACTATTCTAGATACTTCGTATAAGTGGAATTATACAACATTTGTTCTTTTGTGTCTGGCTTATTTCCCTTAACATAATATTTTCAAGGTTTATTCAAGTTGTAGTATGCATCAGAATTTCATTACTTTTCAAGATTAAATAATATTCTACAGTATGTACATACTATGTTTTGCTCACCCATTCATCTGTCAGTGGACATTGGGTTGTTTCCATATTTTGGCTGTTGTGAATAATGCTGTTATGACCATTGTTGTACAAATGCCTGCTCAAGTCTTGGCTTGCAATTATTTGGGGTATATGCCCAGAAATGGAATTGCTGGATTATATGACAATTTTTTTAAAAAGGGGTCTCACTCTGTCACCTATGCTGGAGTGTAGCGGCTCAATCTCAGCTCACAGCAACTTCCACCTCTCAGGCTCAAGCGATCCTCCCACCTCAGCCTCCCAAGTAGCTGGGACCACAAATGCGCACCACCACACCCAGATAATTTTTTGTATTTTTGATAGAGACAAGGTTTCGTCATGTTGCCCAGGCTGGTCTAGAACTCCTGAGCTCAGGTGATCTACTGGCCTCAGCCTCCCAAAGTGCTGGGATTCCAGGCGTGAGCCACTGTGCGAAGACTGACAATTCTAAATTTAATTTATGAAATGGCCACATTGTTTTCCACAGAAGTTGCACCATTTTGTATTCATATCTGCAATGCCCAAGAGTTCCTATTTTTTCATATCCTGGCCAAAACTTATTTTCTCTTTTGTTTTTTCTTTTAATCCCAACCATCCTAATGGGTGTGAAGTGGCATCTCATTGAGGTTATGTTTGCATTTCCCTAATGATTAATGATGCTGAACATCTTTTCATGTGCTTATTGACGAACTGTTTATCTTCTTTGGAGAAATGTCTATTCAAGTATTTTGCCCATTTTTAAATTGTTTTTTCTTGTTGACTTTTAGGAGTCCTTTACATATTCTGGTTATTAATCTCTGATCATATATATGATTTGTAAATATTTTCTCCCACTCTTTGGGTTGCCTCTTCCCTCTCTTGCTAATGTCCTCTGATATACAGAAGTTTTAAATTTTGATGAAGTCCAATTTTTTTTTCCATTTTTTGTGCTTTTGGTGTCATATGCACATTGCCAAATCTGATGTCACGAAGTGTCACTCTATGTTTTCTTCTAAGAGTTCTATATTTTTAGTCACTATGTTTAAGTCTTTGATTCATTTTGAGTTAAGTTTTGTATATGGCACAAGGTGGGGCAAACTTCATTCGTTGCCATGTACTTGTTTTCCCAGCACCAATTGTTGAAAAGACTATCCTTTACCCATAGAATTATCTGGGCAGCCTTGTCAAAAATCATTTGACTGTAAATGCAAGGGTTTATTTCTGGGATATCTTTTCTATGCCATTTATCTATATGTCTGTATCACACTGATTTGATTATTGCAGTTTGTAATGAATTTTGAAATTAGAAAGTGTGAGGCCTCCAAATTTGTTCTTATTTTTCAAGATTATTTTGGCTACTCAAGGTCCCTTGAGATTCCATATGAAATTGAGGATGTGTTTTTTTCTATATGTGCAAAATACATTGTTGGTATTTTGATAGGGATTACATTGAACTGGTACATTGCTTTGGTTAGTATTATCATCTTCATAATATTAAATTTTATAATCCATGAACATATGATGTCTTTTCTGTTTTTTATGTCTTCTTTAATTTCTTTCAGCAATATTTTGTAGTTTTCAGCAAAAACTACAAAGGAAAAGACATTCAGGTAAAAGTCTTTCACCTCTTTCGTTAAGCTTATTCCTAGGCATTTCATTTCGTATGATGCTATTATTAAGTGAAATTGTTTTCTCAATTCCCTTTTCAGATTGTTCATTGTTCGTATACAAAGACACACTGATTTTTGTGTGTTGATTTTGTATTCTACTGAATTCTGTTATTAGTTTTAAGATTTGTGTGTGTATAATCTTCAGGATTTTCTAAATATAAGAGTATGTCATCACTGAACAGTGATAATTTTATTTCTTCCTTCTCAATTTGGATACCACCAAAAAAATATATAAGTTTTTTTATTCGTTTAAAGTTGGATTTTGTCAGGCAAGTAAAAAGAAAGGAATTAATTGGATTGATTGAGGTTATAGGAGGAGTACACAGAACTCCAAGGAACTGCTGAAAGCACTCACCAGCCTCCTTTTAAATGGGGCTTCTGTTATTCCAAGGACATTCCCTGCCCACGCTCGCTCATAAGGGCTGTGTTTGATCCTCATTTCTCTTTCCTCATAGAGGCCTGTCCAAATTAGCTCCTGTTAGACCCTGTGCATTAGGTTGTCTGACACCCCAGACCAAAGCCAGTTTAGTTAGCTTCAGCTGGTCCCATTCTATCTTCTTTAGGCTTCTCCCCATTTTTACTGGTATATATGGCCAAGACCTCAACATGCTTCAGGCTAAGCTTCCTCATATTTTTCTATTAAATCAGATAGACAACTTTTACTACATTCTAAACTCATTTACCTTGGGAAACCCTTGAACATCTAAACTACGTTCAGAATATTTAGGATTTTCAGACTGTCTCAAGATTTTCTTTGTGTCCCTCTAGGTATTAGAAGCTTGTATTTACAGGCATCTCATTTGTACAGACGCCTTCTAAGACCCATAAGAGACTCTAGAAATGTGTTCACATTGTCATTTATTCTAGTAAAACCTGCCACAAATAGTTTTGGGATCCAGCTAAGGGGAAGTTGAGTTGAGGATACATTTAGTTTGTGTTTAGTGGGTAATTTCAGGTGTTTTACAGTCACTTCCCTATATTTTTTACCACCTTCATACTTGTGGTATTGACATCGGATCATGATAGAACCAATAGAGACTTTGCCTGTCCTAATTATATGTGCTCTCCTTTCTGAAACACCCCCCAAACAAACTATGCTAAAACAAAGACTGAATTATCTTCTCAGTTTCTACATAGAAAGTGACATTACAAAATAACTTGTTGTCATTTTAGAGGTGATCAAGAGTGTGCAGTGAAAGACAGAAAAAAAGAAAAGAAAAAAGTTTTATGAGGGTGTATCTGACACATCATTTATACAAATGTATTATTTTTCTGGATTTTGCTATATTTTGATATTTGACAGCATTTTAAAATTAGTATCTAGTTGGTTTTTGTTTTCTAAATAAATATTCACTTTTTCTTAAGGCCCTCAAAACTCTGTATACTTTAGGCTCCACACAGCCTGGCCTATCACAATCAATGTATTATTTATTTATTATAATTTTTTTGAGACAGAGTTTTTGCTCTTATCAAGCAGACTAGAATGCAATGGTGCGATCTTGGCTCACTGCAACCTCCACCTCCCAGATTCAAGCAATTCTCCTGCCTCAGCCTCCTGAGTAGCTGAGATTACAGATGTGTGCCACAGTGCCCGGCTAATTTTGTTTGTATTTTTAGTAGATATGGGGTTTCACCATGTTGGGCAGGCTGGTGTTGAATTCCTGACCTCAGGTGATCCACCCGCCTTGGCCTCGCAAAGTGTTGGGATTACAGGCGTGAGCCACCGAGCCCAGCCAAACAGTGTTTTTTTTTTGTTTTTTTTTTTTAATAAAAAAACCTATCTTCTGAAATGATAAAATGAACACATATTCAACTGCAATATTTTTATTCTTTACAGAGAAAAATGACTTCTTTCCCTTCACCTTCCTTTTGATGTGACAGTGGTTTTCTTCAAAAAAGTTATTTTGCTTTTACTATATGTGTAAAAATGGAAGAATAGTGTAGGAGTTATAAAAATAACATTACTGAGGACCTGCAATGTGCCGGGCATGTTTCTAATTACTTGATTTGTATTGTTTTTCATCCCCTGAGAAAGATCTTATCAGTATCTCCAATGTGCTGACAAGACAATGGAGGCACAAAGAGATGAAATAACTTGCCCAAAATTATAGAAGAAACTCTAGATTGGAAGCCAAGAGGCTCAAGTTAAAGTTTCACTTTGCTTTAAACTGATTTTATGCCCATAAAAAAAGTCATATTACCTCTCCAGGACCTATTTTCACAGAAATACATGTATGCATACACTGAGGTGGGGTGTGGAGACAGGGTTTGAATTAGCTCATGCCTTAGAGGTTCTTCAGATTTTAACATTTGATTTAATGCTGATGTATATACTTCTCTTGAAAGATTTCTAAAAACAATTACTTAAAAGGTGAAAATAAATCTACGTAATTTAATTTTTCCCAGAGATAGTTCAATATTGGCATTGATACAAATAATCTTAAAAATTTTACTTAATATAACAAAAGCACTTTGTGGATTAAAAAGATGATTTATATGTAGTATCTATAGGTCTGATTACCTCAGTGGCACGGCAAGTAGAGAAAATTAAAATAACTAGATATATGATGCCTCGAATACATCTAAGGTTGTATGTGAGGTGAATTTATGTAACAACCACTTAAATTGGTAACATCATCATAATTTCAGAATTCTAGCAACTGGAGTAATGGCATCAAATTCAATGCTCTAACTCTGTTCATCCTTTTCTCAGTTGCTTAAATGATGTTCTACTACTACCAAATATTTCTCACTTTCTACGTAGTTTTTCCACATTTCTTTATTTTGATAACTTTTTCTATTTTACCTGCTCTCATACTATACTTCATCTATGGCAAATTACCTTTACACTTCAAATTACGGCATGTAATACTTCCCACCATGAATCTCCATGTCAGAACTTTATGTTAAATGATAAAAGCATTTCAGAGTAGGGGAGGGTGTGGTGCTGAGGAGACCTAACCTGCCATGGACTCCAGGTTTACAATTAATGAAACTGCATTCAACTTTGGCCTCACAACCTTTTTTGTAATCTTCTTACTCCATGAAGGGATGATCCCTGCATGATGGGATCACTCACACGGAAACTTCTCACAAGACTCTCATTTGCCTTGGATAAACGTATAAGAAACCAAGCTATCCTATTCTAGGGGTTAAAAGTATTTTTTAAGAGGAGAAGGGGACAAAGTTTATTTCTGGGAGGATAGAGCTTTCTGTGAAAGTATATGCCAGTATAAATTTTCGTATCTCATAAAACATACTGCTGAAGAGGAAAAGTTCAACCTAGGACTATTTCGGTTATGGAAAATGTAATAAGTGGGAAAAATAATGCTCCCGGGAGGTCTGTAAAAGGCAATAATTCCACATGAAAATCAAAACATTTATTTTACTGTCTTTTACACTAAATATTAAGATTGGACAACCTTCCAAATTAAATAAGTAAAAGAGGAAAAGAATATAAAATGCATTGCTTGTGATGATAAAACAAAATCACCAATACGTAGGGTTTGTAGACTAATAAAAATAGAATTTGGAGTGAGGACTCCCATTTTAATCCAGCTCCAGTACTTAGTTTTGTGTGGTTTTAGACAAATTGCTTACTCTCTGAGCCTCAATTTCCTAATCTGTAATGATCATTAAAATGCTTGTTACAAAGGTTGTTGGTAGAATTAAATTAGATTATGGTTTGTTCGTTTGTTTGTTTGTTTTTGTGAGATGGAGGCTTGCTCTGTTGCCCAGACTAGAGAGCAGTGGTGCAGCCCCAAAAATTCAAGCAATGCTCCTGGCTCAGCCTCCTGAGTAGCTTGGATGACAGGCACTTGCCACCATGCCCAACTAATTTACAAATGATTGCTTCTATAAAGATAATTTGAAAATAAAATACAAGAATGCTTTAGGGATTTAAAAGAATACTATACACAAATATATATACACACAGAATTTACAATTTTGTTGAACTCAACAATCATTTTAATATTCCAATTTTTTTAAGTCTGAGTTAAATAAATATAAATAAGAAAAATTGAATCTACACACAATTTTTTAGGGTTTTCCTGTAACATAAAACTAAAATAAGAGAAAAATTGCCTTAAAACTATCTGATACCAATAACACATATTACAGTTTAAAGTAATAAAAATACTTTAACTGGCAATGATGAAAAAATAAATATAGGCAACAGAGATTTTTTGATCCATTATAATTTGCTACTCAGAGATTTAATAAGTTTAGAATTTGGAGTGGAAAAAAATTGGTACTATCTCCCAAATCATTTCAGTTCAAATGGAGAAATTTAAAATGAATTTAATATTTTTGCCAAATCTCCTTTTTTTAAAGGACTTTTATGTCAGAAACATCTACAAAGTTTCTCTTTAATGTACCATCCAATTTCATATAGACATAAAGTCAAAATGTAAGCTATTCATTAATTGCCAAAGTGTGTTTCATATAATAAGAGGTTGGCAAAAGTTAAAAAGAAAAAACAAGGCCTGGCGCAGTGGCTCACACCTGTAATCCCAGCCTTTTAGGAGGCTGAGGGAGGTGGATCACAAGGTCAGGAGATCGAGACCATCCTGGCTAACATGGTGAAACCCCGTCTCTACTAAAAATACAAAAAATTAGCCGGGCGTGGTGGTAGGTGCCTGAAGTCCCAGCTACTGGGGAGGCTGAGGCAGGAGAATGGCATGAACCTGGGAGGCGGAGCTTGCAGTGAGCTGAGATCGCGCCACTGTACTCCAGCCTGGGTGACAGAGCGAGACTCCGTCTCAAAAAGAAAAAAAAAAAAAAGGCATGTATTTGAAATGCCTGACAGCTTGGGATTAGACATATTCTTTGTAGACTTGGATTCAGCTTTGGTTTTAGCACTAAGAAGAGTTCACATAACATTAAGAAATTTAACTTTCTTAATTGTCAAATGATTTTTGCTCTGTGTCTACCATTTATCTAAGTTAGAGAGCATAAGACAGGAGAAACTCAGAAAATATTTCACTTTAAGTGTTCTAAGGGAGAAAAGTCACGCATAAATATTCAATAAAGGACAACACGTATATGAAATCTATGTAAGCAATGTTTTCCCTGAGTTGCAAGGGCATGTTAAGAAAATATGAGTACAAGGTACAAATAGGGTCGAAATAGTTAGGGTTGACTTCTCTTTCTCATTCCTCTCTCATTGTTCATGCTCTTGCATGGTCTCCTTCTCTCTCCTTCTGATGGGTTCCTAGAAATTTTATTAATATCCTTGACCTAGTATTTTGACCTCCAAGATACTATGTCCACTGCCACAACCCCACTCTACACGATCATTATCTCTCAGTGACAACTGAGGTAGCTTTAGTTCTGTTCCTAGCCACTCTCTACAAAGTGATATTTCCAAATTACTAATTTCACAAAATTCCTGCCTCCTCTTTTATCATAGGATCAAAGTCAAAGTACTTAATTTAGCCTAAGGCCCTGAAATATTTGGCCCCTGTTTATTTCTCTAGCATTATTTCCTATCAGCACCCCTCGATTTCCACTCTTCTTTGTCTAGGGGCATTTGTCTATGCTTTTCTTTCTGTAGGGATTTACCTCTTGTTAGGTAACTCCAATTTATCCAGCAGGGCTCACCTAAAGCATTATTTTCTCACGAAAACTTTATTAAATCTAGGTCAGTTTCCTAGATTGTCACGGTTGAGCATTTATCACACTACCTCAAATATATCAAATCTAGGTCAGGTTCCTGGATTGTCGTGGGTATTTATCTCAATATCTCAAACTTTATCAAATCCAGGTCAGGTTCCATCTAGGGTGAGTATTGATCTCACTATCTCTTCTCATTAACGAGATGTTCATTAGAGTGATCATCTGATGAATGACTAATCTCTACTTTCCATTGTTATAAAAAAGCAGTGATCTTAATGTCTTTATGTTATTTTCCCAGGGTACGTGGAAAGTGCCAAATAGAATCCCTCTTCCCATGTAACCAGGGCTCCAGTCTAAGGCTCCTTCTACTTTGCAAGCCTACTAATTTATTAAAGGCTTTTCCCAAGTGATCAAGTCTATCCCTACAGCGAACTCTTATACCAGTAGCTATGGTGATGAAAATATGTCTATATGGTCAGGTATGGAGGTTCACGCCTATAATCCTAGTGCTTTGGGAGGTCCAGGTGGAAAAATGGCTTGAGGACAGGAGTTCAAGACCAGCCTGGGCAACATAGCAAGACCCCATCCTTACAAAAGAGTTAAAAAATTTTTTAATGTACGTATCATTTTATTTTATTTATAACTCTGCAGTCACAAAAAATAGGGCCACTACTAAAGTGCATATTCAACAGCAAAGTGTTCATCAAATATCCATATTAAGCTATTCTAAAGATTATTCCAAGTGAATCACCAGGCTTTCCTTGTTGATCCATCCTGTGCTCAACTCTAGTGAGTCTCGAGTTAGCAAAAGGTAAACATTAAAGTGTGATTTCCCCCATGGAACTGTTATGCTCAAAAACTGACCATTTTGCTATTTCTTCAGATTTTAATTATATTACTTGGTTAGCTAGAGGTCAGAACAGGAAAATAAGAATGAATTCAAGCTGGAAAGGCCATTTAGAAATACTGTAGCAATTTTACCACACATTTAAGGTAAGAAAAGCTCTATAATCTATTTAAATTGACCTGAAACAAAGTTCTTTATTACCAGTATAGGTGGTAGATTAAAAATAGAGTATAATAAAAATAGTCAGATGCTACTATTAAAAGAGAATATTGGATTTTCCCAACTAGGATAGGATTTTATAAAAATCATATATATATATATATATATATATATATATATGTATATATATGATTTTTATCATATGTATCTATAAATCATACATTTATGTTTATATATATAAAAGAGAAATAAAATTCCCTGAGAATAGAATAATGTCTTTCTTAAATTAGAAGCTTTGTCTATAGTTTGGGCAACCCAATCTTTGTATCTTTTTATTTTAATCAGTCAAATTGGTAATATATAAAATTATTCAGTAAATTATATCATTTATAATAATTTAATAAATTATAGTATTTACTGAATAGCAAAGATCATTGGGAGTGATTAGAAAACATAAATTAACTATACGAACTTCATGAATTACTATATTAAAATTAAATTATTTATTTTCTAAAGTTATGAAGTATTAAAGTTTGGAAAGAACATATTTTCCATTCTGGAAATGGAAAAAAAAGCATGTTTTCTCATTAAATAATTACAAACATTTCCATTTAAAATTTACTACTCTATTGGAGAATTCTTCTTGGCCTCAACAGATTGCAAAAATTGCTAATGTTTATTTCATTCTCCAGGACCTGGAGTCCTTAATTGCTGATGCATATTCACTGGCGCATGCAAAGTACTGCAGTGATGCACTACTTATTGTAATAATTACATATTAAAGAACCTATGGCCTACATTCAGTCAGACTCACTTTGTGAGTTTACTTCTTAAGGGGGAAAAAAAAAACCCTGAATTACCAGTTACAAAATGAGTTAGTTGATAGACAAAAATTACCCAAGGAAAACATAATCAATAATATACACTGGAAAAGAGCTCCTCTTTGTTGAGCACAGATCTGCAATTTGTAATTTAAAGTGTTATTTATTTTGTTCAGGGCAGGTTGAGCTGTAACATGCCGTGTAAGAGATAAATACGGCTATGGTTCTTAATTACAGACTTTAATTCAATGGGCTATGTATAGAACCAGGAATAAGGTACTACTGTTTCCTGGGAGTTGGACTATGTAAATTAGATTGAGTAGTAGGACACAAAGCTATGAATAAGAAGGAATTATCTCCGGGGAAATATAGGTGACAAACCTACAATGGCTTTTAGCATCTGGCAGGTTCTATTTGAAGAGCTAATGTCATTCTATGTAATGGATTAGGAAGAACTGGATGCACTCCATAATGCAGGCCAAGCATAATTTCCATGATGACTGAGTCTTCTAACATATCAGACACTATAGCTGCCTTCAATTTTCTAGTCTCATTTTCAACCCTGTGGTGAGGGATGGGGAGGGAGAAGTCTGTATTTCTCCATAGTCAGCTGAGGCTACAGCAGCTGTGAAAGCAGGATTTGAGGGATAATTAACATGTAGAATTCATAGAATCATGACCAGTTGAATGTGAGAGATAAGAATTATGAAGGAATCAAGGACAGTCTCAAATTTATGGCTTGATGATTTAATTAATGATTATTTCAGTGATGAAAATAAAGAACACAAAATATATGGTTTGGGTGAGCAAAATTATTAGTTGAGTTATAGACATGATGAAATTAAAATATTGCAGCAAATCTATGTTGAGATACACAGATATCAGAAACAAAATCTGGGGAAGAAAAATAGATTTTTAGAGTCATTGACATAGAGAGCTATAGATTGTTGTTGAAACAGGGTGATGGATTCAGTACCAGGAGGTGAAACGACATGAGAGAGAGAGAGAGAGAGAGAGAGACAGAGACAGAGAGAGACAGAGAGAGAGAAATTAAAAAAGGTAATCCTTGTGGCTCACACCTGTAAACCCAGCACTTTGGGAGGTCAAGGTGGGCAGATCACCTCAGGTCAAGAGTTCGAGACCAGCCTGGCCAACATGGCGAAACTCCATCTATACTAAAAATGCAAAAAGTAGCTAGGCATGGTGGTGTGCACCTGTAATCCCAGCTACTCAGGAAGCAGAGGCAGGGGAGTCGCTTGAACCCCGGAGGCAGAGATTGCAATGAGCCGAGATCACGCCACTGCACTCCAGCCTGGTCAACAGAGCAAGACTCTGTCTCAAAAAAAAAAAAAAAAAGTAATTCCAGTATTCATGAATGTAGACAAATAAAGAAATGCATCCAAAAGGAAATGCTCAGAGTAGTAATAATCTCAACAAGAAGATCATGGTCAATAGGATCAAATACTGAAGACTAGTCAAATAAGACAAAGAAATAGGGGTTCCTAAATTTTGGTACTTATGCAGATACTAATGCCTTTAACAGAGAAGTTAAAGGTAGAAAACCTACAACAGTAGCCTGAAAGTAACATGATGAGAAAAAAATGGATGATAGAGTAGATTATTTGTAATTGAACCTAAGTTTATTTCATAGGTACTTATTCTTCATTGAGCGTTGCACTAAATTATACACTGTAGTTCTTTGTACCTCTCTCTTTCTCTCTGTCAAACTCTCTCTCTTCTATTATACAACTGGGTATATAGGAAGGAATTTTATGTATCCTAAAATGTTTAAAGTGACATTTATGCGGTGAAAATAAGCTTCACTCTTCTGGGTCAACTGTGAAATAGCATAAAAAGTCCGAGGTTAAATTAGAAGCAAAGCATTTTCTGTCAAACACAGTTTTTACTGAAAAAAAAAAAGACTTACATAAAATATATAACTATGGGTGGCTCATTTAGTTGTATATGGCAGAATTTTTTCTGTCCTCTTTCCAAATAACTCGAGTGGTTTCTTCAGTTTGACAAATAGTTATAAAAACAAGTTTGCAGCATAAAAGAAAAGGTGGCAATCAGCTCCTGCACAAAAACTGATTATTAACTTAAACAAGTCATAGAAACTAATGGTCAGGATTGCAATTACAGTCACAAAGACCAGACCACATCTTTATGTCAGAGGGCATAGAGTTCACTCACATTCAAGGTTCAATATGTTTGAATACAAACACAAGATGGGTGATTACACAGAACCCAGTCCATGAGGTGACTTCATTCATTAACCTTGGAAAATCCTCCATTGAAATTAGACTTTTCTTAGTTTATCGATGTTTATGTGAGATAAACTCAAGGCAAACTTGTATGACCTCAACCATTTCCCTTGTCACTCAAGGAAAGGGAATTATTTATTTATTAAATTATAAATGTATTTATAATAATTATAAATAAATTGTTATAATTTTATTTTTAATTTATATTTTATATTGTTATAAATAAATTATAACAATGAAAACATTCACAATGCTTTAAGAATGGAGTCTTAGCCAGGTGCAGTGCTCACCCCTACAGCCTTAATACTTTGGGAAGCCAAGGCTGGAGGATCACTTGAGACCAGGATTTGAGACCAGCCTGGGCAATATAGTGAGACCCCCATCCATATGAATTTTTTTAAAAAACTTCTCTGTGAAGTTACTAAAATCAGCAAAAATGGGTTAATATTCTCCTCAAAGCAGAAAAAAAAAGATCTCCATAGTTCCCAGGTTTTTCTTTAAGAACTTTTACTATATTGAAAGGATAAAAGATCTGTCATTCCTCAGAGCATATCACAAAGTTATCTTCCAAAAACACCCTCCACACCATCACTACATGGCATAACTTCCCTATCATGAAGTAGTAAAGAATCAATCATAGATATTTTCTTAACATTGGATAACACACTGTTTCTCAGGGACTGTCTGCTTAAGGGTTTTCTAAGACACTATGGCCTCATTGCCTGAAAACAACCAGTTCCTCACTGGCTACTCTTTAATAACACAATTTTTTATTTTCCTTTTTCCCTCCCTCTTCATTTAATTGATGTGCACAGGAGAGCAGATAAGGGTGATGTTCGGCTAGTGATCAAAAAAATATTTTTGTCATAAAAATCAACAGAAGCCTCTATTCTAGCATTTTCAGGTGGTGGTTTCAGAGTCTTTCGGGTAATTGGTTTTCTTGGACTCAGCAAAGGCAGACTTGCTTTTTCTGGGGAAGATATATTTCCAGAGGTTAGTGCTTGTAAATCTGCTGTTAGGTGCTGGTATATTTAGTGACTTTGGATCTATGGAATTTGAACTTGAGAAGTCCTTCCTGTGGCAAATTTAAAAATAGAGCAGCGTTGCAACAAACATAACCAAAAAGAAAGTGCTTGCCTTTCTGACAGTTCAGCTTGAGTGCTTCCAGAGCAGATAGATACGTGACTCTCCTGAATCAGGCATTTGAGACTTTACTGACGAACCTTTTAAATAATTATCAAAAGGTCACTTACATATGCTGTTAGATAGACTAACCATTGAAAGCATGAGAAAAACTGCTGATTTTAAGTAGTCTGTTGATAGGAACTGCTGTGGATTTAAAGAAAAGATAAATGTCTTCTGTCACAATACTGTCTTATTGTAAACAAATTCTATCCTAGCTAGAGATTCACTGAACAGAAAAGGAGCATTTTTAGAGACAGTTAATGTATCAGGTTTAACTGATTTTCATAATGGTGTTTTTAAAAAATTTTCCCTAGCTTTATTATTTTATGATTTTCTAACTTATCAGTATCATTTGTTCACACATTACCATCTATCTTACCTAACCTGTAGAACTTCCGTTCAAGTAATATGGTGTATGTTAAATGACTATTGTTGTCATCATTGCTGTTATTGTCATAATTATATTACTCATAGAGTTGTTTAAAACCTTGTTGTTCAAAGTGTCATCTGCTGACTAATACGACATTGGAAATGAGTCTCAATCATCAAGGTTTATTAGCCAGCTATAGTGTACATCCGGAAAAATAGGAGCCACAGACACTTTTGTTTTTCCAAAGAGGCTTTATGTGGGTATTTATAAATTTCCTTGAAGTGGGAGAGGGCAGGTAGAAAGAGGGGCAGGTGAGCAGGAAGGCAAATGGCTACATTCCCATGAGACTTGGGTTAGTGCCCAGTAAATCTACATTTACATAAGATTAATGAATGTTTGAAGAGAAAAAGAGAGTAAAGGAAGAAGAAATTATGCAGATGTCTCTGGGTAGGTGGAGGAATGAGTCTTGACATTGTTCTGCACCTGGGAAGATAAGCTCATACTGGTCTTTATCAGTGTGAAATCCAACAGACTTTAGTTTTAAGAGCTAGACTTACATTGTAGCCCTGAAGTTACAATTGGCATTCCCTTGTTTATATGAGAGGCCAGCAAAAATTTTACTTTTGAATGATCTATAGGGACAGTCCTTTTAGATGCTTGAGGCCTTTTACCTTCCCATGGGGATCTGGCTAAAGAATAATGTTAGTGACAGCTATTCATTTGGAAGAGGGTGTGGCAGGACAGGCTTCATTCTCCTTTTTGCATAAGAAGTTTAGGGTTCCTGAGATTTTAAATTTTTTCCTTTACAAAAAACATCAGCATCACCTGGGAGCTTGTTAGACATGCAGAATCTCAGGTTCTACCCCAGACCTACTGAATCAGAGCCTGCATTATAGAAGAACCCCAGGTTATTCATAGGCACATTAAATATTTAAAAGTACTACCTTAAAGGGATAAAATTACTTAGGTAAAATACCTATAATAGTCCTGGTCAATGTTTGTTAAATGTTGTCTTCCCTCCCTAACTCAGAAAATGGATTAACTCATTTTCTGTCTATCTTAGAAAGCTGACCTTCTTTTGTTTGTTATCACCAAACATTATCATCATAAATAACAATAATAAGAAGAGGTATTACATCCTTACTGTTATAAACATTGGGAATATAAGTACAAGCTATGATCCCTGAAATAGAATATATAATCTATTTAGGATGGCAGGACATTTTATAGAAAGTACTTAAATATGAGGTATCTATGTAGAAAAACTAATTCTCTGTCTATGAAAAATAGCATCCCAACAAAATGACTAGATAGCTGGAACAGTCTCACTTGAAATACAGGCAATTTGTTGTACATGAAATTCACTTTGGAAGTTTCTAGTTTAGACGAGTTAACTTCTCAGAAAGTTAGATGGTTATCTGTGAGATGAGCAGAAACTGAGGGACAGTACAGGAGGACCACTTGGCCACTGATTGAGAGAGACTTGCCACATGTATCTGCTATCTTGGACAGAAAAGAAACAAAACAGTTTCTGTAATGAGTCAAAAACTGAAAGCTCTTAGCCTGGATGTCCTGAAGTGCAGAAATAAAGTTGAGCCGTTTTTTCATGTAAACTGCCATAAACGTGAGCATAAAAAGCAGTATCTTTAGGTCCCCTCCCCTCCCCTCCCTTCCCTTCCCTTCCTCTTTCTCTTCCTTTCTCCCTTTCTTCCTTTCTTCCTTTCTTCCTTTCTAGTACAGAGCCAGGCACCTAGTTTAAGGTTATCAGAAATTTGGGAGAGCCAGGGTTGGGTCTAGGTGAGGGCTGACAAAAGAACCGCTGCATTCCAAGTTCTAGTCCATGAATTGATAAGCCTGTATCTACCTTTTACAGAGCTTTCAAGACTGTATGAAATTAGATGTTATTCCCTCTCAGGCTTTATCTTTTAAAAGGGATGGTCTTCATGTGTGAATTCTTCCAACTCATTATATTCCTTAACTTTACGTAAGTCTTTTCCATATCCACTATAAAAAAAGTCAAAGTATAGCAATCAGATCTACATGGAATATTTGCGGAATCTGATAACCTGCTTTGAGTTTTTTTCTCTCAAAAAGAAAAAAACCTGTTAATAATAATCAACTATTTTAGCCCATTTGTCTGCATCAATTTGGTGATTTCAATGGAGAATCTACAGGGATGCTCAGGTGCCTCCTTATTGTTATCCCCTGTTCAAATCTCATCATTGTATAGGTGTGGCTTCAATTATTTTCTCTTAAGCCAACATTGTATTTATACCAAAGGAATCTGACTTGTTTCATTTCTGCTCAGTCTTCCAGAGCTCTAAATACTTCCTCAAATTTAATTACATCAATTTGGCATCTCCCTGGTGTTTTCATTCTGCACTTTCTCTTCTGGATCATTTGCAAGAATATTCGTGTATTAGAAACTCAACAATTTTTTTTCTGTCAAGTAAAGTCCTGATTAGCCTTCCATTGCTTCCCTTCATCTGAGCTACTTCCATATATGATTAAAATCTTTCTCAGTATAAGAAGTAAAGTTCCTATATTGAATGCATTTCTCACCAATTCCTTTACTAATCTATTAAAGGATTTTAATGTATTGTTAGGTAAAATGTTCTACAGAAATCATCCAAGCTTTTCTCTATAATGCATGTTTCTTTAGATATTGTATGATACTAAAACTTGAAAGTGGTCTGGTCTTGACATTCTACAAAGTCAAAATTTATTTTTTCTAATAGATAAACTCTTAGATTGTGAAACATGCACTTACCCCAAGAGAGAAGTCTCCTCATTCTTCCCCTTACTACTCAGTGGATTCTAACTTTACAACACGTAAGAGATTTATACTATTAAATAGCTGTTAAAGACTAATTTAAGAAACTTCCATATGTCTGTAAAGTGTTTTTGCAATGCGTATTTAAAACTTGAAATTTGCATAAACTAAAGAGCTTTTGCACAGCAAAAGAAACTACCATCAGAGTGAACAGGCAACCTACAAAATGGGAGAAAATTTTTGCAATCTGCTTATCTGACAAAGAGCTAATATCCAGAATCCACAAAGAGCTCAAACAAATTTACAAGAAAAAAACAAACAACCCCATCAAAAAATGGGCAAAGGACATGAACAGACACTTCTCAAAAGAAGACATTTATGCAGCCAAAAGACACATGAAAAAATGCTCATCATCACTGGCCATGAGAGAAATGCAAATCAAAACCACAATGAGATACCATCTCACACCAGTTAGAATGGCAATCATTAAAAAATCAGGAAACAACAGGTGCTGGAGAGGATGTGGAGAAATAGGAACACTTTTACACTGTTGGTGGGACTGTAAACTAGTTCAACCATTGTGGAAGACAGTGTGGTGATTCCTCAGGGGTCTAGAACTAGAAATACCATTTGACCCAGCCATCCCATTACTGGGTATATACCCAAAGGAATATAAATCATGCTGCTGTAAAGACGCATCCACACATATGTTTATTGTGGCACTACTCACAATAGCAAAGACTTGGAACCAACCCAAATGTCCAACAATGATAGACTGGATTAAGAAAATGTGGCACATATACACCATGGAATACAATGCAGCCATAAAAATGATGAGTTCATGTCCTTTGTATGGACATGGATGAAGCTGGAAACCATCATTCTCAGCAAACTATCACAAGGACAAAAAACCAAACACCGCATGTTCTCACTCATAGGTGGGAATTGAACAATGAGAACACTTGGACACAGGAAGGGGAACATCACACATCAGGGCCTGTTGTGGGGTTGGGGGAGGGGGGAGGGATAGCATTAGGAGATATACCTAATGTAAATGATGAGTTAATGGGTGCAGCACACCAACATGGCACATGTATACATATGTAACAAGCCTGCACGTTGTGCACATGTACCCTAGAACTTAAAGTATAATAAAAATATATACATTAAAAAAATAAAATAAAACTTGAAATTTGCAGACTTTAAAATAGAAATTCTACTTTTAGAAATGTATTCTAATGAAATAACTAAGGTAAACATTGAAATTTAGCTTAAAAAGGCTACAGTATTTTTTAATAAATAAACACCATATAGTAAATTACCAAAATGTATATCCACTAAGTAAGTTAGAGTGCAGAATTTTGTTTGTTTGTTTGTTTTTTCTTGCTGTGCTGCCCAGGCTAGAGTTCAATGGCGCAATCTCGGCTCACTGCAATCAATCCCTGCCTCCCAGGTTCAAGCAATTCTCCTGTCTCAGCCTCCCGAGTAGCTGGGATTACAGGTCTCTGCCACTGAGCCCGGCTAATTTTTGTATTTTTAGAAGAGACAGGTTTCACCATCTTGGCCAGGCTGGTCTCAAACTCCTGACCTCGTGATCCACCCACCTCAGCCTCCCAAAGTGCTGGGATTACAGGCGTGAGCTACTGCACCCGCCCAGAATGCAGGTTTTTAATAAAATGCTATGCAGCCATGAAAAATTACATTAAACAATATTTAATAACATGGAAAGGGGTTTAAGTTATTTTAAGTGAAGAAAAAAATAAATTAAAAATATATGTGATACATTTTATAGAGACAACTACCTACACAGAAGAAGCTGAAAGGTTATACACCAAATATTATTCATCATGATTTCTGGTAGAGAAATTACAAGAAATTTCTACTTTAAAATTTTTGTATTTTTTAATGAATTACATTTCTAAAGATAGTAGAAAAAATGAAGCTCTCTTAGAGCTGATTCAAAATCTTTCCTATTAGAACCTCTGTTCATCTCTGAATCTTATTTCAATTATAAGGAAAGCTGTGAATAGCTTGTAACAACATCCAATTCACCATTGTGAGTTAATTTTTTAAAGTTTCTTCTCCCACTGTATATGGTGAAATAGGTGAATGTATTAAAATTGCTAAATTTTGCTTTTTCTGAATTTAGCTAATCCTTCTTGAGATGTGTGTGTGTGTATATATATATATATATATATATATATATATATATATATATATTTGTTCTTCAGCATTTTTCTTTATTTTATTCTATCTCCTTTTGAGCTAAATGGATGACCTATCTGCCAGCTCCATTAGTAATTTTATTTACTGCTTCAGCCTTTGAAACAAGTTAATGCAGAAGATTGAATAGTATTTTAGAATTTACTTCACACAGTAATGTGACTCAAGGCTTCATTGGCTATTATGTCCCCTTTGGCATTAAATATTTTAATCTGCTAACTATGACAGATACAGGATGGCCAATTTCCCAGTAAATGTATTAGCCTCCTAGTAAATTACCCTTTCCCACCTTATACCATGCAGCCTATTAACCTATAAAATCCCTTCTCTTCCAATATAGGCAAGATGTCTTAACTGAAGACTTAATGTTGAACACATCCTAAAGCTTGAGAAGACCTTATTTCAGAGGGTTGGGAAAGGAAAACTAATCATTGCAAGCAAACTTTAAGTTGCTGAGACTACAGATGTCACTTTGGTTCATTTCCTATTACCATCGTTTGATGAGGATATAGCCCAAAAACCAAGCTAGATGAGTATTTTAATAAATGTGGACTGAGATTGCTTTAACAGAAAATATAAGAAATTTCTGTGTTTTTAGTAATATATCCTAGGTTCAAATTAATAAATCTCTTGATTATTCTGTGCCTTAAACTTGTATGACCATCTAGTCGTACCATTTGAGCAAATAAGTTACCACCTCAGGAAAAATGAAGTCAGCACTCAATTTATATCTATAGGATAATTGTGTTTTGTTTTGCTTTTATCTTAAGCCCACACTCTAGTAAACAAAAGCTATCAGAAGAAAGCTTTGTAAAATATTACAGATTGTGTTGTTAAATAATACTAAGAACTTTCTTGCATTTCATGGAAAAGATAATGCATATTGTGTACTTTTCATTATTTTAAATGTGTCTAGGACCAAATAAACCAACGGTGTTCTCTGTCCTTCTACTGGTTTGGGAAAAGATTTATGTAACAAACCATTATCTTCTAGTTAGAAATCATGAAAGATGAGGACTGTTGTTCCTGTAATTAATCACCCTATAGTAGAACTCTCTCACAGTGACTTAACAAAATACACTTATGTATGAATCTTAAATATGCAGAAGGAATACTAAAGTTGAACGGGTAGGATATTTTATCTTCTTTTAAGCTTTCATATGGTTAAATAAAACAAAAATTAAAAGTCTATAAAACAGAATGTATAGCTTTACAAATAATTATAACCAATACCCAAGTTGTGGAAAAGAATATTATCATAAATTACACACCCTTATATGCTAATTTTTCTTTTTAATGTTACCGCATAAACGTCCCTTTCTAAACAGTATAATTTTATTTCTTTCTGAAATTTACAAAAACAGCAGCTTTATTTCTTGCTTATTTTAGTCAATACTACACTTGTGAGATTCATCCAGATTGCTATATGTACCTATAAATCATTTATTTTGTTGTTCCTTTTTTCATTATATAAATATAACACAAATCCATTCTACTGTCAAACATTTGGATTGCTTCTAGGAAATTACAATTAATGCTGCTATTAATATTTTCTCATTCCTATATGCATCAGTGTCTTCAGATTATGTGTCTGGGAGTGGAATGGTTGGGTCACAGAGTGTATTAACTTTTCATTTCAGAAGACAATGCTAAACATGTTTCTAAGGTGTCCATACTGATGTAGTCTCCCAGCAACATATGAGTATTTTTGATATTTCACATCTTCACCACTTGATATTGTCAATCTTTTAAATTATAGCCATTCTGGAGAGAATACAGTTGTGTTTTTTATTCGGAGTTACCAATAACTAAAGAGATTATTCTGTTTTCTATATGTTCATTAGATATTTGGGTTTTGTCATTTGTTATTAGTATATTTAAGTCACTTGCCCATTCCCAAGTGGTTAGCTTCTGTCTTTGTATATTTTGTATATCTATATCTACAAACATATACGTATGTTTTATCTACATAAAATTATGTATGTACATTATATATTATATATTTAAATATAATATATTTATCTTCTGGATATAAACTCATTGTCAGTTAAGTATTTTGCAAATATATTTTTCCATGTGAAGGCTTATACTTTCACTCTCTTATGGATGTATTTTGATAAACACAGGTCCTTAGTTTTCATGCAGTATAATTATCTCCTGTTTATTTTTATGTTTACTACTCTTATTTCCTATTAAAACTTTTTCATATCCCAAGCTTATGAAGATATTCTACACTATCTTCTAAAAACATATGTTTTTGCTTTCACTTTTAAGTTACTAATCCACATGGAATTGGTTTACATGAAAGATATGAGGGAGAACTCAAATTTCATTTACTTTCACATGCATGTAATTGTCACAGCATCATTTACTGAAAAGAATATATTTTCCCCACTTTTGTAGCATCAAATCATCATCATAATAATCATAATAATAAATGTATATTTCTGTATTTTTATTCCATTTGTTTATCCTTGATTCAGTACAACATGGTTGGATCAGTCTGTTTTCATACTGGTATAAATAACTGCCCAAGACTGGGTAATTTATAAAGGAAAGAGGTTTAATTGACTCACTGTTTAGCATGGTTGGGGAAGCCTCGAGAAACTTACAAATATGGTGGAAGGTGAAGGGGAAGCAAGGCACCTTCTTCACAAGGCATCAGGCGGTAGATGTGAGTAAGTGAAAGCAGGGGAAATGCCAGATGCTTATAAAACCATCAGATCTTGTGAAATCACTCACTATCATGAGGACAGCATGGGGGAAGCCACCCTCATGATACAATTACCTCTACCTGGTCCCACTCTTGACACGTGGAAATTATGGGGATCATGGGGATTACAATTCAACATGAGATTTTGGGTGGGGACACAGCCAAACCATAGTCATGGTCTTAATTACTTTATTTTTATCAGATTTGATATGTCCCATGGAGTAATTCCTTCCATGTTACACTTTGTTTCTGTCAGAGTAGATTATACTGCAATAACAAAGAATTTTAAATTGCAGTGACTTATAACAACAGAGCTTTTTGTTTTGTTTTTCTTGCTCTCTCTAGTTGTCCATTTTGGGTTGTCTGGAGAATATACTTGATTTCTTCTAATTCTGGAGCCCACACTGATTGAACAGCTACTCTCTTGCACATATTGCTAATTACCTTAGCAGAAGGAAGTAGATAGAGTGTGGTGAATTATTAATTGGCTCTTAAATCTTCTAGCCAGGAGTCACAAATGTCACTTTCACATTTCATTAACAAAACACGTCACACGACCACTCATCACCTCAACCAAGAGGAGAAAATAAAATATTGGATAGACAGCACTAATGATTAACCTAATCTTTTAAATGAGTATATAACTTATTCTTGTTCCTTTGATTTTTCTTTCTTTCTTTTTTTTTTTTTTGAGATAGAGTCTGCTCTGTTGCCCAGGCTGGAGTCCAGTGGCCCATTCTTGGCTCACTGCAAGCTCCACCTCCCGGGTTGATGCCATTCTCCTGCCTCAGCCTCCCAAGTAGCTGGGACTACAGGCGCCCGCCACCACGCCCAGTTAATTTTTTGTATTTTTAGTAGAGACGGGGTTTCACCATGTTAGCCAGGATGGTCTCGATCTCCTGACCTCGTAATCCACCCTCCTCGGCCTCCCAAAGTGCTGGGATTACAGGCATGAGCCACTGCACCCAGCCTGATTTTTCTATATGAAACTTCTTATTAATTTGTGAAGTTCATAAATAAATATTTTAAAGATTTTGGTTGGTATTGCATTAAATTTATAGGTCAGCCTAAGGTTATTTGCAAGCTTTAAAATATTTGGTCTTACAATCCATAAACATGACCATAGTTAGATTGAGAAATACAGATATAGATTTCGGTCTTCACACATGTTTCTTTCAATTATGATTTTTGGTTTTCTGCATACAGGTCTTGCATAACTTTTTGTTACATCATTTCTTAGTATCTGATTTTTTTTTTTTTTTAAGATGGAGTTTCACTCTTGTTGCTCAGGCTGGAGTGCAATGGTGCAATCTTGGCTCACCACAACCTCCACCTCCTAGGTTCAAGTGATTCTCCTGCCTCAGCCTCCCCAGTAGTTGGGATTACAGGCATGTGCCACCATGTCCGGCTCCCATTTTGTATTTTTAGTAGAGATGGGGTTTCTCCATGTTGGTCAGGCTGGTCTCAAACTCCGAACCTCAGGTGATCCGTCCACCTCGGCCTCCCAAAGTGCTGGGATTACAGGTGTGAGACACCGTGCCTGGCTGTATTTGATATTTTTGATATTATTGAATATATTATATTTTATAAAACTTCATTGCTTATATCTTTTTTCTAGTACATAGAATTGCAATTGATTTTTTAAAATACTGACACTGTATCCAGAAACTGGCTAACTCACTTATTAAGTATTATAATTTGTCTTTGCATTGTATTTTCTCTACATTAAATTATTTCCAATTCTTCCTCTTTCTGTTCTTTTTCTCATATTTCATCCTCAATTAGAATCTCTAGGACAATAGAAAAGTGTGATTGTAAACATCTTTATTTTATTTCCAATTCCAAAGGAAAGCTTTCAAGTATCATTATTCCATTAGATGTTATAGATTTTTTTGTCAGATGTCATTTATCAGCTGTGAACATTTTCCATTGATTCCTAATTGGCTAAAATTCTGATTTTGTCAGATATTTTTCTGCATGTATTCAAGTGATCATCCAATATTTTAGTATTTTGTAAATTCATATGTTTAATTAAATCAATTAAAAATCAATTACAACAATTGATTTTTGAGTCTTACAGCAACTTTGCACTTCCTGAAAAATATGTATCTTTCTTATAATACATTTTTAAATGTTTCTAGTTGGTCATAACATATTATCCTTTTATATACTATTGGATTTTTTTGCTAATATTTATTAAGGATTTTTTTGCATTCATATTCACGAAGAATATTTCTCTGTAATTTTTATAATGGAAAGGTTTTGCTATTAAAATTATTCTGGCTTAAAATATGACTTGCCTTTCTCCATTTTTTTTTTTTTTTTTTTTTTTGTTTGAGACGGAGTCTTGCTCTGTTGCCCAGCCTGGAGCACAGTGGCGCAATCTCCGCTCACTGCAAGCTCCGGTTCCCGGGTTGACGCCATTCTCCTACCTCAGCCTCCCAAGTAGGTGGGACTACAGTACAGGCGCCCGCCACCACGCCCAGCTAATTTTTTGTATTTTTTAGTAGAGATAGGGTTTCACCTTGTTAGCCAGGATGCTCTCCATCTCCTGACCTCGTGATCTGCCCGCCTCTGTCTCCACCAAAGTGCTGGGATTACAGGCGTGAGCCACCACGCCCGGCCGCCTTTCTTCTTTGAATGTCTAATTGAATTAACCAGTGAAATCATCACCACTATGAGATTTTTTGTAATAACCCCTTTTCTATTTCTGATATTGATTATCGTTTTTATTATTGATCTGAATAGTTAGAATTTTGTCAGTTTTGTTGGTCTCTTCAAAGTGAGCTGTTCCCTTTCTCATCTGTTTTCTATTTCATTGATTTCTACTTTTGTCTTCACTGTTTTCTTTTACCTGCTTACTTGCTCACTTACTTTCACCTTGTTAAGGTGAAATCTTAGGACTTTAGTTTTAGATTGTTCTCCTTTTCTTATATAAGCATTTAAAGCTATGAATTTGCTGCTAAGCATTACCTTAGCTTTTCCTACAAATTGTAATATTTTATATTTTCCATGTCATTCAGTTTGAAACATTTTCTAATTATCTTGTAATTTTGTTTTAATTCATGAATTATTTAGAAGTGTGCTGTTTAATTTATAGATATTGGGTGTTTTCTTAGATATCTACTTTGATTTCTACTTTAATTATGTTGTGGTCAGAGTGCACACCTCGTATGATTCTTTTTTAATTTATTGAGACTTATTTATGGCCTGGCATAGGATCTAATTTGGTTTATGCACTATGCACATGTGCAAGAATGTATATTTTCCAGTTGCATATACTACTCTATTATACTAATAAGATAAAGACGTATCTTTAATGTCTTCATTGATTTTTGTCTAAATGTTCTATTTATTGCTGACGTAGAGGTGTTAAATTTACTACAATTATGAAATTGTCTATCTCTTAAATTCTATCAATTTATGCTCCATAAATTGAGGCCTATTATCAGGCACATATACCTTTATAAATGTTATGTCTTCCTGATGAATGCCTATTTTATCATGATAAAATTTTTACAATCTCTCATTATACACATTGTCTTGAAGTCTACTTTAACTGATAAACTATCCCCTCAATTCTTTTTATGTTTACAGATTCCATGATATATCATTTTCTTTTTACTTACCTTCAGTCTGTCTTTATAGATCTGTATCTTTATACTTGAAGTAGCTTAGAGTAAAATCTTATTTTATTTTATCCACTTTGGCATTCTCTATCCTTTAATTGGAATGCTTAGGCAAGGGATATGCAAAATAGGCTCACAGGCCAGCCACCTAATTTAGCAAAAATCGTTTTAAATTGGACACAACCGTGACCATTCATTTACATATTTTCTATGACTGCTTTCATGCAAAGGTGATTAGCTGAGACAGACACCATATGGCCTGCAAGATGAAAATATTTACTCTTTGGCCCTCTAAGAGAAAGTTTGCCAACTGCTAGTTTACATCATTAGCACTCACTGTAATTACTGATGTGGATAATTTTAGATCTACCGTTTTATTATTATTTTGTTGTTCCTCTATTCCCACTTCTTTGTTTTCTTTTTGATTATTTGAATATTTTTATTATCTCATTGTAATTTCTGTCTACTGGCTGACTTTTTTTTAATCTGTTGATTTTCTGCTTATAAATCTCTGATTTTTTTTTCAGTTTGTTCTAGAGATTACAATATGCATATCTAAGCTGTCATGGTTTACTAAGAGTTAATATTGTATTAGTTAATATAAAACGTAGAAATGCTGCTACTTTATAAATCCTTTTGCCCCATTGAATTTTAGGTTATACTTTATTGCTTTTATATACATTGAAAACCCCACCAGATAATTATTTTTTCTTTATTAAGTGAATTTAAAGAGAAAAATAACTGTTTTCTGCAATTACTCTAATATTTACCCTTTCCAATTGTTCTCAAGACATGACGGAAGGTCCAGATATCACTTTGGCATCATTCCCTTTCCTTTAGCCTTTTGTTAGCCAATGTTCGGGGCAGATCTGGAAGGTAATAATTTTTCTCAATTTTTATTTTACCTCCCTTCCTGAATGATATTTTTAGTGGATATAAAATTACGGCTTGACAGTTCTATTCTTTAAAATGTTGTTTCCCTGTCTTCTGACCTTCATTTTTTCTGATGAGACATTCTCATCAGAAAAATCTTATTCAAATCACTGCATTCCTGTAAGTAATATACGTATCAGTTTCCTCTAGCTGTTTTGAAGGTTTTTCTTCATCTTAGAGTTTTAGGGGTTTATGATGTGTCTATGGTTTTCTTTGGTTATACTGTTTGGGGTTTGCTGAGCTTCTTGATGCTATAAACTTAAGACTTCCATCAATTCAAAAAAATTTAAGACCACTGTTTCCTCAACTTCTGCTCCAGTCACTCTCTTGTTTCTTGTATTGTTACATTAGTAATTCCTTTTGATATTGTCTTATAAATTATCAAATTTGGAATTACGTCTTGTGTGTGTTTGATAAAATACTTTGTAACATGTGGATCTTGTAATACTCTGAAGAATGTTGATATTTTTATTTTAGTAGGCATTTAACTCAAGTTCCGTTTGTAAGTTCTGTTTTACCTTCTGAGAATGATAGGGATTAAATTTCAGTTTAGCTCTCAGTAGGTTTGATGTACTGTTTTGGAGCTGTCCGTACATGCATAGCTCATGGTGATCCTGAAAATTGTACAGGTTCATTCACGGGATTAGGGAATCTTTTCTTTTCCTTTTTTTTTTTTTTTTTTTTTTCTGAGACAGAGTCTCGCTCTGTCGCCCAGGCTGGAGTGCAGTGGCGCTGATCTTGGCTCACTGCAACCTCTGCCTCCTGGGTTCAAGCTGTTCTCCTGCCTCAGCCTTCCAAGCAGCTGGGATTACAGGCGTGTGCCACCACGCCCGGCTAATTTTTTGTATTTTTAGGAGAGACGGGGTTTCATCGTGTTAGCCACGACGGTCTCCATCTCCTGACCTCTTGATCCACCCGCCTTGGCCTCCCAAGGTGCTGGGATTATAGGCATGAGCCACCACTCTTGGCCGGGATTAGGGAATCTTCTTATCAGACTTTCTCTATGCTGGGATTTCCCCTCACTCTCCAGCCTTCTGGAGCTTTTCTTTTTGGTTCTCTAGACAGAAACATGAGAGTTGTATTGGAGTTTTAGCCAAAGAGACCATTACCACCATCTATATGATGCTTTACAACTGGGCCCACTTTGGGGAGCAATCCACAGGAGAGCATTTCAAACACACACATGCACACAACAGGAAAATCAACCCTGTAAAATTGCTTCTCCAAGTCTGTACTCTCCTCCAAAGTTGACATGCTTTTTCTGCTTTTCCAATTAAAGTCAGGTAGTCATTTTTGCATTTTGTCAGCATATTCAGTTCTGATCCATGAGACATATGGTCTCTAGTGAGCTTACATCACCATGCCAAAACTAAAACTGCTATTTTCTAATGGTTCTAGACTCCGATATTTTGTATTTTTTTCTAGGGATTTTGTATATGTGTTTATTTCAGAGGTTGGAGTATAATTTTTCTTTTTGAAAGGACTCTTTAGGTGCACTAAAATTTTTTATATATCTCTGAAAAATTAAACCTTTATCTTTATGAAGTGACTATTTCTAGCCTCATTATTTTTTTCCTTGAAGTCTATCTTCTCTGATATTAATATAGCTTCTCTGGGCACATTTTCCTTTTTTTCCGTTTAGCCTATTTTCTTTGATATTTGTTAAAAAAAATTCTGTTCAAAAATCTATTTTCTCTGATAGTTGATAAGTATTTTAAAAATATGCTGAGTGATTTTTTTGCACTAAAATCAATTTTCTTTGACATTAATATGTTTTTATGCATGAAGTCTATTTTCTCTGATATTGGTTATTTATTCATTTATTTTGCTGCCTTAAATTCTATTTTCTCTATACTAGCAGTATACTGGTATTTAATATGCTTAATATTTGCATGGTATATATTTTGTAATCCTTTTATCTTGAAAATTCTTTATCCTCATGTTTTAAATATAGTTTTTAAGTAGTATGGTTTTTATCTTTTAAAAAATGAGTCTGACAAACTTTGCTATATGACTCATTTTTTAATACATTTATATTTGGTGGAATTACTGGCATGGCTGAATTCAAATTTAACATGTTGGCATACACTTTATACTCTATATTTGTCCTACCAAATATATGTTTATTTTATTTTTTGCTTCCTTTTGGTTGATCATTGTTATTGTTGTACATTGTTTTCCACAGTAAGTTTGGAAATGAAGCATATCTTTTTTTTTTTCAGTGATTACCCTAGAAGTGACAACATGAATTATTCACCAAGATCTAATGATGAACAATACTTTTCTTTTTTTTTTTTTTTTTTTTTTTTTTTGAGGCGGAGTCTTGCTCTGTCACCCAGGCTGGAGTGCAGTGGCGCCCATCTTGGCTCACTGCAACCTCTGCCTCCTGGGTTCACACCATTCTCCTGCTTCAGCCTCCCGAGTACCTGGGACTACAGGTGACCGCCACCACACCCGGCTAATTTTTTGTATTTTTAGTAGAGACAGGGTTTCACCTTGTGAGCCAGGATGGTGTCAATCTCCTGACCTCGTGATCCACCTGCCTCAGCCTCCCAAAGTGCTGGGATTACAGGCGTGAGCCACTGCGCCCGGCCATGATGAATAATACTTTTACTCTCCTTTTGAACAATAAAAGGTCCTTCAATCAATTAATCCTATGTTTTGCCAAGCTGAATTATAGGCTATTTTTGTCATATATTTTATTCAAGTTATAATTTAAATTTGGCAAAACATTATTATTATTTTATTGTGTCACTGCTCATTTACCTACTTTTTGTTACTCCTCATTTTTTTCCCACACAGAGTCATTTTTCTTCTGTCTGAAAACACTTCACAATTTTCCTTTGTGCTTGTCTCCTGGTGGTGAGTTTTCTTATTTTCTTTCTGAAACTGTTAGTCCTCCATCTGGAAGAATATTTTCTTGAGATATGTAAATATAAATTGGAAATTATTTTCTTTCAACAGATTGAATATATTATAAAACATAGTTCAGCTTCCCATTGTTTTTGTTAATAAGTAGTTGCCTTTTTTCCCCTGAATACAGATATTTTATCTTTGATTTAGCTTTATACAGTATATCAGTGATATGTCAAAATAGGGATACATTTTTATTTATCCACCTTGAAATTTTTTTAGACTCTTTAAATCTATTATCTACTATCAGTGTGGGGTAAATCTTAGTCATAATTTTTAAAAAAAATAATTCTTTTTGCCTAATTCTCTCTGTTCTCCTTCTAGAGATTCCAATGGCAAATATGCCAGAACTTCTCCTATTTTTAATAGCTGTTACTCTTTCTTTTGCATTCCAGTCCTTTGTATCTTTGCATTTTTTTTCTGGAGAATACCATGCAGCCTATTTCCCAGTCCTCTGTTTACCTGTATATAATATTCTATTTAGCCCATTCACTGAGTTATCATTTTCAGCTATTTTTACCCTTCTAGGATTTCTATTTGGTCCTTTTAAAAAATGTAGTAAATGTAGTATATCACTTTCTATAAATTACAGTTTCCATATTTTGTCTTTTTATCTCATTAACAGAATAAGTATAGGCTTCTTCCTTCTTTCTTCATTGTTTCCTTCCTGTCTTCCTCCTTTCTTCATTTTTTTCAGTCTCTCACTGACACTGTTAATATCTGGTGTCCCTGTTCTTCTACTTTTTGGTTATTTTTTCTCTGCTATTTTTTGTTCCTATGAATTTAGTTTTACTGCATACTTGGCTCTCTGATTATATGTTGGATATTAGTTAAATAACAATTGTAGAAATAATTTCAGATCTGGGATGATAATTCCATTTAAGGGATTTTCATGGTGTTCTGGGCATTATTAACACATGACTGTCTTAGTCCAAGTTCAGGGTGTGGAAATTTTCATGATTTCTCAAATGACTTGAAAAGGGGTTCTAGTCAGCGTAGTCTGGTTTCATTTTGCTTCACTTTTATTCTTACATGTAGTTCTTCAAGGTCCCAGCCAAAAAACAAAACAAAACAAAGTTGTGGTGATCTTCCCTTTGGCAGTTCCTTGTTTAGACTTTTGCTTCAAATTCTTGAGATGTTGCCAAAAGTTCTGTTCATCCTCTCAACTGCTTCTTCCAGAACTGCAAATGCCATTAGATTAAGGTTGCTAAATGTTAAAAAAACAGAATGCCCAGTTACGTTTACACTTAAGATAAACCTTAAATAAGTGTAAGTATGAGAATGTCCCATGCAATATTTGGGACATACTTAATACTTAAAAATAATCACTGTTACATGAAATTCAAGTGTAACTGTGCATTCCGTATTTTATCTGGTACCTCAGGCCAAAAGTGACCAAAATGACTGGACTACCTCCTGATTTCCATTTTAACCTAGATCTTAGCCCAGGCCCGCTTCACTGTTCGGTTAGCATTTTGATGCTTTTAAGGTGATATTTTAAGCAATATTTTTTCCAGCTATTTTAGTTCTCTTCATGAGAAGTTTAGTCCAAATTACCTAGTCCACCATCAACATAATCAAAAGGCTAATATTCCATTTTCTTGGTGGCTTTAACATCAAATATACCAAAAATTACATCAAGAAGCTTAAAGATAGCTCCCTGACACTGACCCTGGAAATAACTTTTGGACAGTACAGCAAACAAGAGCACAAATAAACAAGTGGAACTATATCAAACTAAATAGCTTCTGCACAGAAATAAAAAAGAGCAATAAAATGAAAATGCAACCTATGAAAGAAAAATATTTGCAAACTAGGCATCTGATAAGGGGCTAATATCCAAAATATACAAGGAATTCACGTAACTCACAGCAAAAATAAAAAACAAACAAAAGCAAAAGCATAAGCAACCAAATAGACATTTTCCCAAAAAGGCATAAAAGTGGCCACCAGGTGTATGGAAAGGTGCTCAACGACACTGATAATCAGGGAGATGCAAATCAGAACCACAATGAGATGATATCTCACACCTGTAAGGATGAATATTATACAAAAAATGAAAGATTATAAGTGTTGGCAAGGGTGAGCAGAAAAGTGAGCCCTTCCACACTGTTAATGGGAATGGAAATCAGTATAGCCATTATGGAAAAGAATATGGAAGTTCATCAAAAAATTAAAAATAGAACTACCATATGATCCGGTAATCCCTCTTTTGGTATATATCCAAAGAAATTGAAATCAGTATCGCGAAGAGATTTCTGTACCCCTATGTTTATTGCAACTTTATTCACAACAGCCAAGATATGGAAACAACCTATGTATCTGTGAATGCATATAAGGAAATTATGATATATGTGTACATATATCATATATATATACACACAGTGAAATATTTAGCCTTAATAAAGGAGCTTCTGCTATTTTCAACAACATGAATGAACTTGGAGGACATTAAGCTGAGTGAATGAAGACATATACAGAAAGCAAAATACTGCATGATCCACTTATATGTGAAATACAAAAATGTCAAATACATAGAAGCCAAAGAGTAGAAAGCTGGTTATCAGGGGCAGAAAGGTGGGGGAAATAGAGGAACATTGGTCAAAGGGTACAAAGTTGCAGTTATATAAGATGAATAGGTCTAGCGATCTAACTTTCAGCATGATGACTATAATTAATAATACTCTTTTATACCAAAAATTTCTGAGAGAATAGATTTCAGGTGCTCCCAGCAGGAAAACCAATGGTAACTATCTGAAGAGAAAGATCTGTTAATTCACTTGACTGTAGTAATCAATTCATTATGTATATCAAAATATCATGCTGTACACCTTAAATATATACAATTTTATTAAAAAGTAAAAAAGTGTTAGCATTTAAAATAATACAACTGCAATTTTTTTTCATTTTCATAGTCATATCTTTGTGGCTACTAGGTGCTTATTAAGCATTGCTTTCATGACTTGCTCAATTCAGAACTAAGCATCTGAAAGAACATACATTCTCTATTTTTTGTTGAATTGAACAACGTGCTTTATATGTGTGCATATTGGGAAAAGGCACATATGCTACAAAATGGGGAAAAACAATATCCATCATTATTTCTAGCATATCAATTTTCTATAAGTTCTCTGAAATACAGGTGACACCATAAACAAGGCCCAATAAAGTTGTTGACTAAATGACTACTATAAATAAATGACCATTATCAATTTCCCATGTATCATTCACACAGGTGATGATAATGGTGTCATCATTAACTATTCCATACATGCTCTGATATGATAACACAAAAATTGGTATATACCATGTTCAGTCTCTGGTCAAAAACATTGTGAATATATTAAGCATGCTTCAGTGAGGGTTTGTTAAAATGATGACAAAGACAGAATAATGAGTGAATTTTACCATTTCCAAGGGAATTTTCTGCAACGGTAGGATTTTTGTTTCTCTCAATATCCCATCTGATTGATCACAATGTCTAAGTGAAGTAACAGACAGGACTTCGTCATTTCTGGCTGCTCACACATAAGTATACTCCCACAACTGGAGTTCCTATATTTATCTCCTTACTTGGTTTTCAGAATTGTTGAGCTCCTCCTTTTCCTGATTATGCATGAAATGTTCTTAGTCTTTCTTTTTCATAAGACACTAAGCCTTACAATATTCTGATTATCTGATTCTGATTAAAAATATTTTTTACATCACTTTTTTCCTGTTACCAATTTTGAGTTGGTTTTATATGTTTCATTTATTTCTGGTGATTAAATTCTTGTAGAAATAGTCATTAGATATAACAGTTCACTAGTAATTGAGTCTGTGGAGGTATTTCCAGTATATATATTTAAAATAATTATGACCTTCAAGGACAATCATACTCCTTACCCTTGAAAATGACATGGTCAGTGATACTGGAATGCCAGAGAACTGTGAATAGAAGGTGTAAAATGAGAGAATAAGCACTGGGGAAAACTGGGATATGGATAAGCACATGCCATCATTTGGAAAAGGCTGCAGGTACATTTGGACAAAGCAGCTAGGTTTCTGGGCTTGACCTCCCAGATCCTGCTGTCAGACATGAAGCCTTCAGTTATGCTTGTAAGAGCCATCTCTCCGGTTGCCAACTCCAATCTTTTACAAAAAGCTGAAGCACTTCTACTTTCTATATGAATAATGGTTTTAATTTAAATGTCTTTCTTTCCTACTCTTGCCAAGATTTTGTTCATATTATCATTTTCTTTTGGGGAAATGGCAAAAAATAACTTATACTCTTTAAAGAGGTATATTGGGTATTGGAAATCTTTGACACTTTTCTGGGATTCACTGATGGCCTGCAGGACTCTAGATGAAAAATTTAAGTAGTACTTTTGTCTTATAATAACTAGGTATCACATATTGCATAAATTCCTACATGGAAATAAAGGCCAAAATGCCCTGATATTGATGGTTTCTACTTCATTATTTTTCACACCTTGTGGGTGTGCACAAGTATGTTTGTGTGTACTGATTTGTGTCTATTTCATTATTGGAATAAGATAGATAAATATTTTAAATATATGACAAATTCATCAATGTTTATGGTACACCTGTCAGCAAGAGTCTGAAAAGGAGTTGAAACTGCTGTGGGGGAAATGACTGGTTATGACTAAAACCTCTTTCAGGGTAGAGAAAACATCCAATTTCACATTCACAGTTTTAATTAGTATCTATTCAAATCTCACTAAATAATTCTATCAGTCTCTCTTGGAGCTGCTGATCCAAATCCAAATGTCTTTTTATATTTCACCCTAATTTTAGAAAAGTCACTAAAAAACAACATGGTCTTCACTCTTCACATCTGTTCCATAAATCAGTAAATGGCATCATCATCTACCTATGTGAGCAAAACTAAGGATTCATCTGTGACAACTCCTTTTCCTTCAGGTTCTTATATCCAACCCAAATATCTCTCATATCTATGTTCATTTTTCCTTTGCACCAGAACCTCCCTACAAATATTAGTTATTACCTATACAAATCATCTCCTTCTAGCTATTCTTCTTCTCCTTGCAGCCAATCAGACCCTTCTCCACTCTGTTTCTATTCTGCAGTGACTCTGATACTTTTAACACAAATCTGGTCTTGCTCCCTTTCTTAAAAATAAGGACAAAAGGACTTGACATGGCTACAAGGCCAGGCATGATCTGGTTTTTACCCACCCCTCCCACCCTAACCTACACCATTTTTTTCCTCACTTGTTCTCAATGAGGCACAATATTGCCTCCTTCCAGAGGACATTTTGCAATGTTGCAGCTTTTTTAAATTGTATCAACTCTGGGTTGGGTATTTGCCTTTAGCATCTAGTGAGCAGAGGTCAGGGATGCTGCTAAACATCCTACAATACACAGGAACACCCCCCACACCCACCTCCAATTAGCAGCTGAGATTCTGCTTCATGGAGAATTTGGTGTACAACATTGAGTTTCTTTCAGTTTCTTATGCCACCATGCACCCCCCGCTCGGGTATCACGACAGACTTTTATACATGCTCATCTCTGGGTCTGAAATGTTCTTTCCTCATTTACTGGGTTAGCATGTACTCATCTTTTAGAACACAGTTTAAACCACCAATTCCTCAGTGATCCTCTTCTACCCTCTTGACCAAATGAACATCTCTCCATCCCACGCCACCCCCTTTTAAGCTCTTATAATACTACATAGTAATTCATTTTTAGTGTTTCTCTTATGCAATTTTACTTTCACTGAAATAATATTTGGGAAGTGTCTGTCTCCACTTCTACATCATAATCTATTTCTGTTCATCATTGTATCCTAGTGCTTAATCTGACGCTCAACACACAATAGGCACGAAATAAAGACAAGTGGGAAGAATGGAGAGAGGACGGGATTGCATGACTCACAGGGATTTCTCAGAAATGGTGGTTAGAGAAAAAAGCCATAATATGCTTTTCATCTTTGTTAAAAGTGTAAACTCAACAATGAGAATTACTCCTTAATATTTCTACTTTTTATTAAGCTGGTCATAATAAAAACTCCTTGTGTTCCATCTTCTAAGCAAAACACAGCAGGAAGATTTTGGGTTTTGTAGTCAGATTATTCAGGTTTTGAATTTGGAGATAGAAACGTGAGCGAATTTTATAACTTTTTGAGTCTTGGTTTTCTTATCTGTAAAACAGTAACCTACCTCATGGCACTGTTGTCATAATTGAATTGCCTACAAAGCACTTGATTCATAATAGTTGTACAATAAATACTTTAGTAGCTATTATTCCACTGATACCAAAGCTAAACGAGTAAGAAAATTTGTCTCTGTATCTTGCAATGTATGGTTATTGCAGAAGGTGTTGCAACACAGGTATCAAGAGTTCACAGCTACACCATTGCTATTGTTTTATCATGACTTTTTTGTACTTTTATCATTTGGGAATCTACAGCTTTATGTCCTAGCCTATTTGCAAAGCTAAATGGATATTAGTTTATGAATTCATTATTCCAAAAACTTCATTATATTCTCGGTCTTGATCTATAATGGAGTGTGGTATGAACTGAATGTGTCCTCCAAAATTCATACGTTGAAGTCTAATCCCTAATGTGATAGTATTTGGAGGTGGGGCCTTTGAAAGGGCATGAGGTTGGAGCCCTCATAAATAGGATTCATGCGTCTATAAAAAAAGAAATGAGAGAGCTTGCCTGCTCTCTCTCTCTCTCCCTCTCTCTCTGACTCTCTTTTCTCGGCCATGTGAGAAACTAGCAAGAGCACAGCCATTTGTAAACCAGTAAGTGGACCCTCTTGAGACATTGGATCTACCAACACCTTGATCTTAAACTTCCCAGCCTGTAGAACTGTGGGAAATAAATTTTTGTTGTTTAAGCCAGCCAGCCTAAGGTAATTTGTTACAACAGCCCAAACTAAGACAAGGTGACTCTTTAAAAAAATAAAAATAAAAACTTTAAACTCAAGAAAAAGAAAATACCAGTAACATCACTACAAGTTAAACATTAACAAGTTATAAAACAGAGTTTTACAGGAATTTTATCTTTTTATCTAAAATCAAGAGGAGTAGAATCCTGAAATTTATCAATGTACTTCATCTTTAAAATTCTTTTTGTTCCTTTGACATACAATGCACAAATGTACTGAGAGGGCAAGACAATGGGCAAACATACTGGAAAAACTGTATTTGTGAATTTGTTACATCTAACAATTATTATTAAATGTTTACCGTGTGCCAGACACTATACTTAGTACCTTACATATATTGTCTTAATTAATGCTCACAGGAAAGACATATCACAGGACTATTTCTCACATTTTTATCGGATACATTAATAAACTTGCCCAACATCACTTGGCTAGTACACAATAAAACCAAGTTCTATGTAAAGTGATTGGGTAAGAAGGATCTAACCAGGGGAATAAAGGAGAATTACAGTTTGCAAAGATGAGACCAGGGTTGGATGATACTCAGTATCACAAGAGAGGAAGTTAAAGGACTCTGATGAGAGGAGACATTCAAAACAGGAAGCAAGGAGATTGTGGACCTGGATGAACAGACTAAATAAGCAAAGGAAAATGCTGCAGGGCTTTAAAAACTTTACCTAATGGAAACTTTTGAGAAATCTTTAGCATGAGAGTGACCATAGGATTTATGAGAATAGGGATTTTTACACCCATTTTTTTGTTGTTTGCATGATCTCAAATTTCACATTATCCTACATGATTTGAATTGCTCTATATTGTCAATAACCTTTAGTCAGGTTGGCAATATACATCGTGACGATGGTTTGTGAGGGGGAGATCAAAGATAAGGGATCGAGTACCACATATGAGATGGCTCAGAGAAGAGAGAAGATAACAGGTGAGAGGTAACAGCTAAGTATGATTAGAAGTTCAATGAATAGAACTAGGAGTCAGAAATTACTATGAAAACCTAAGGCCTGGAGTTTTGTAAAAATTTATACACACGTGCATACATATTAGCAAAGACATAGGACATTGTGCATCTCACAGAATGTTGGTGCTAGAACAGGTCAATTTTACTGAAATCTCATTGTTCAAGGAAAACTTCAGCTAACAGCTTGACTTTGTTTTCATATATAAGGTAACTGACAAATTTCTCTTATTTACATTCTCTTTAATCCTTATTTTAATCATATAAATGTAAACATTATTACCCTCATTTCAAAAAGAAGAAACTGAGCTCAGATAGGTTAAGCCAACTGGCTGATGTTCACACACCTAAGCAGATAGCCCAGCTGAGATTTCTAACTCCCAAGTCCAGCTTTACTTTTCCAGCAGCACGTTTATCTCCTTTAAGTAATGCTAAGTCCTCCTCTATCCTTTACTCTTTGAGAGCCTATAATACAATCATGTGAGGAAAATTTTAAAAGAAAGCCACCAAAAGCACAAGCAATTTTACTATCCTCGATTACTCAATATTTAAGACTACATTAAGTGATGTCAGGTAGATAAGAGCCTTGCCCAGTGGTCTGAGCATAGAATATACTCAGTTTTATTTTTGTGGTTGTCATTGGATTATGCTAATATGTACAGATCAAAGGTAATTTTAGGATCTCTTTTAGTTTATTGATTGTAAAATAGTCTAATAACTATATTTATTATTTTATAAAATAATACTTTTAAGTATATAAATATTTTGTTCTAAGAAGTTTGAAGCATTTCACTGGAAATATCTTTATACTATTTGTTCAATAAAACCAATTACAGTTCATCCTAACTCCAACATAGCATAACTCCTATTAATGATCACTTTTATTGCATTTCAGGAACATTAAAATAATTTTTCGTGAAAATATGTAATATAAGCCTGACCCACACATTTTAAGGGAGGATGGCTTCATGAATACATCATCAATTCCTATTGCTTTTTATGTGTCAGTGTAGAACTGTCACTGCCAAAGAACAGCAGGTGACCACATAGCACTCAACTTCCCTTAGTGTTCTATAGACTGTAGTATCTTTGTAATTGCAAAGTTAATAATTATATTAAATAATGCAGTATAGAATAACCACTGCTTTTTTCTTTCAAATCTCTATCATTAGTAAATATCAGTCATACATACATTAGTCACCACAGCTGTTTCAGATTGGAGCACTGTTTTACAAAAAGAGAAACAAATCAAATGAAATAGCCATTTCTCCTTTATTTTGCAAATTACAGAAGAATTAAAAGTAATTCTTTTTATCAAAGACTTCTTTTTCTCTATGAATACAGGCATACCAAATCCTGATTTGGTTTTCTTTGCTGAAAATATGCTGTCATTTTGCAATTCACTTAAAAAGATTAAAAGAAAAAGTTGTTCCATTACAGAAAAAAAGATTTTTTAAAGATATAATTACATAATCTCTTTGCTAGTTGTTTCATATGAGAAAGAAAAATAAATCTTGGGGCCCCCAAAATCACTAAACCAAAGAGAAAAGTCAAGCTGGGAACCATGTTGGGCAAACCCTCCTCCGATTCTATTCCTACATAAGATAGTTACAAAGATAAAAGGTCTACATACCCCCCTCACAATTTGCCCACAAGGAAATTCCTTGTGGACAAAGGACAGACAGAACTAAGTCATCCCTCTGCTCAAATGAGACAAATGCACATCTGATTGCTTCCTTTGCCCTATTGTTTCACGAAGCCAGACTAAGACATAAGTGACTATTCCAATAAATTGTGTATTCAGTGAAAGGATAATCAGAAACTCAAAAGAATGTCTCTTATCTACCTATGACATGGAAGCCACCTCCCCACTTTGAGTTATCCCGCTTTTCCAGACCAAACCAATGTACATCTTATATATATTGATTGATGTCTCATGTCTCCCGAAAATGTATAAAACCAAGCTGTACCTCCACCACCTTGGGCACATGTTGTCAGGACCTCCTGAGGCTGTGTCAAGGGCACCTCCTTAACCTTGGCAAAACAAACTTTCTCCATTGACTGAGACCTGTCGCAGATATTTTGGGTTCACAATACTCTCCTTTATAGGAATAATCGATACAGTTTTATGCGCTTATAATAAGGAAAAGACTTCGCCAAAAGTTGTCTACTTGGTGCTATGTTCATATTTCCAGAACTGAAAAGCAGAGTTAAATAATGAGCAAAGTCCTTATTGCTGTGCCTGTGACATACTACAGATCTTGCCTCTAGCCAGGACCCATAATGAGCAGATGTACAATGGCCAGACTACCAGGAAAGGCTTCAGTGTCATACAGGTTTCAGCAGGGCTATGGTCTAGATGGCTACTCTTCCCTGTTTACCTCATGGGCCCGCTTCATCCAGATTACAATTCTCTTCCCCTAGCTTCTCCAAGCCTCTCTGCAAATAGAAAGTGATGATGCCATTGGGATTTGATTGCCCCATTGCTTAACTACTGGTTGGCAAATAAGGAGTGCTAGATCATTTGTTAAGTGAGTCGACAAGTGAGTCACATGTGAATGCTGAGGTCTTCTCTTTCTGATTTTGAGGGGACTTGAAAAGCACGGACTCTTTCATTCTCAGTAACCTACTTATGCTATCATATCCTGACAAAGTTACCAAAAGTGCCTTTTCCTTGAAGGACATAAAAGGTGAGGAAGGGACAAGGAAGAGAACTAACATATAATACTGAGCTTGAATTATTTGAGCTAGGCAATTTATGGATGCTAATTATTCGACGTTTACAATAAATTAGTGGGGGAAGGGTTATTTGTATTTTATTTTTTCAAGTGAAAGAAATGAGTTGCTCTTCAGTTAAGGCACTTGCTCAAGTCATAAAGCTAGTAAAAGTCAGAAATAGCATTAGAACCTATGTATCTTTGGCTATTTCCACTGGGCAGCTCTGCCTTTCGTATGCATATACAGGAACGAAAAATACCATTCTACCTTCCTTCCCTTTGGGAAAATGCATTCCAAGTTTCAAATTACTGAGTCATAAAACAATAATTGAAATATTTCACTTCCTTATACCAGGAGCTTCTTGGAGTAATGACATTGTAAAAAAGAAAGACACAATCTGTAAATATTTATTATCTAAAGCCAATAAAATTGACAGCACCTATAAAACAATCACTTCACCAATTTGTTGTTAGGTACTACTTGATCCAATGGAGATACTGAGTTTTTACTGTTCTAGCACCATTTTACGTTCTGGGAATACAAAGGATACATAAGAGATGGAGAGAGAAATAAGTAAAATGTGTAGGTAACAATGAGACAGATGTCAAGTAATAGCTAATTTATATAAAATGATGTGGGAACTGAGAGATGAGGGCCATGGGGCTCAAGAAGAGAGGCCATTAGCAATGTCAGGGAAGCTGCACTTAGAAGTAATACGTGAGACGGATCTTAATTAATATTCCATAAAGGGAAGGATAGGGGAAATATAATTAAACAGACTTTTACCGAACATCAAATGAAGTAGGGAAAACCTGAGGCAGAGGGTGAGGAAAACTCACAGCAGGTTGAAGGATGGCAGGTTGCCTGCTGCAGCTAGCATGGAGTCGCGCCTGAGGTTGCTGCAATTCATTCTCCAGATCTCTGTTTTAGCGACATAAACTCAGGAAAGTTTTTCAGAGCCCCAAGAATATGTCAGGTCTCTCAGGTATAGGCTTTCCGAGCTCTGAGCTCCTTCCTCTCATTGCACTGATCTCTCCTTGTGAATAAACATTTTCATTATTTGATTGTTTGCTCCCTCTCCCACATGGGCAGAAAACATTAGGAGAAAAGGAGATCTATCTGGTGTTGCTTTTCATTATATCCCAGCACCTAGTATTGTATCTGACATATTAGCAGCCACTGAAAAGAAAAAAAGGAAATGAGGTAAATAAATGTTGAAAGAAATCCTGAGGTCAGGACGAGTAGGTTGAAACCAGAACGCTAACGGATTCATAGACATTGTTCTGTGGAGAGTGGGAAACACTAAATTTTATTTATTGACTTTCAGTGGGAGGAAAACATAATCGGGGCTGTTTTTAAAAGTTAGCTTTGGCTGCAATGTGGAGGACTGGTAACTAAGAGTAGAGCCTGCAGGCATTAAATGAATGTTTCAGTATTCTCTCCAAGAGATAATGAAGTCCCAAAATGGAACAGTGATAGGACTTGGAGAAATGAAGAAAGACACGAGTTGCACATATTCAAATGCCCAGGATTTGGTGACTGATGGGGGAGTGGCAAAGAGAGGAATCAGGGATGATTATCACTAGTGTCCTAGATCATGACAATAAATATAAAACTGCTTGAAATTTAAAGAAGAGAAACTGGTTCTTCTCAACAGGAACATTTTGATGGTAAGTCTGTGCCCAGATTGAAATGCAGCTTAGCTTACATAATTGAAATAATCACGTCTGAAGTATTCAAACAATTCAAAATCAAACGCAAAAGCAATTTTCATGAATTGAGTGGGCGTATTTATTTTTGAGTTGAATGAAAATGTTTTTGACTAGTTGACACATGGTAAGAAAAATAATAACAGAACCAAGTATATGCAGTACAATGTGAATCTCCTTCCCATCGCTGTCTCCTTGTCCTCTTCATGCTCCAAGAGGCAACCCCTGCTACTAGGTTCCTGTGACTCCTGAGTAGGAGTCTGGCTAATCATCCAAAAATGTCAAAAGAGAAACCAAGGTGAATTTCTTTCCCAAGCTGAGATTTGAAATAAACTGCTAGAAGTTGTCACTGAATGTGGATATTAGCAAATAACTTTAAGCTACAGAAACATCACAGATTTCTGCTTTACTACTTTTCTGAATTTGTAAAACACAAAGAGAGGGAGAGAAAAAGAGAGGTGGAGAGGTGGGAGGGAGTGGGCTAGGGTGAGGGCAAGAGCAGGGAGCGGGGAGAAGAGGATGGTAGGGGGAGGGGGAGAGAGAGGAAGTGGGAGAAAAGGGACAAAGGGAAGGGGAGGGGGTAGGGAGAAAGAGGGGAAGGGGGAGGGAGGGAGGGAGGAGTGGGGAGGGGTTTAGGTGGCTTTTGAAGTCTAAAGTTCATTTTTCAATATCACTATCACTCAATATTATGAACAGGGAACTCACAGGCAGTTGACAGACACAGGCAAGGAATCATATGATTAGACTAATCAGTGGAAGGTGCAATGACAGAGGATGGCATGGGAGCCTATGAAGAAAGAGATGATGTTTCTGTATATTATACATTCTCCAGAAACTAAGAGCTCCAATAGTCTATCGAGACTTCATTTCCCTGGCCTGGCGAGGTGGATCACAGATGTAATTCCAGCAATTTGGGGGCCAAGGCAGGAGAATTGCTTGAGCCCAGGAGTTTAAGACCAGCCTGGGCAACATAGTGAGACCCTGTCTCTGTGAAAAATAAGATAATTAGCTGGGCATGGTGGTACATGCCTGTAGTCCTAGCTATTCAGGAGGCTGAGGCAGGAGGATCATTTAAGCCCAGGAAGTAGAGACTGCGGTGAATCATTATTGCATCTCTGCACTCTAGCCTGCGTGACAGAGCAAGTCTCTGTCTCGGGGAAAAAATAAAATAAAAATAAACGAGAGAGAGAGGAAAATTTCATTTCCCTTAACAGCGAAGGGCTTCACTAAAAACAAATTTATCATCCTGCCATTTTACTAAGATATTGTTTTCACACATCCCCCTTTCAGGTCATTGCCACTCAACCATGTTCAATCTTTACCCTCCTCATCTCTGAGCTGGCATCCATCCATCTTGGTTGATGATTTTTTCCAGCTCAGAGACTCAGTGCCCCAGCACAGCAGTTCTCCAAGTTACAATAATAAACTTCATTTGCTCTTCTGACTACTCTGGGTCCTGAAAATGTTATAACTGACACAGTTGCAGAGCCATCCATTGGAACAACTACACTAAAATATAGAGATTGTGTTCAAACATGTATACTTCACATTTACAGTAATTACTATGGCTTTACTTTCATTTGCTTCTCTCAGTTTTCCTTCATCTTGCAACAAGACAATCAAGAAAAAGCAGGTAGTAGGTAGCTTCTAACAGAAGAACAGACAAAAGAGAGCATAAAGAAGATATTAGCCAAGAAGTGATGCTTGACATTTTTTTCAAATAGAAATCTATTAAGGACCTTAAAAAATCATCTATTATAGCCAAACTGGTGCCTAACTGAAGTAGTAGCTGAGAGTGCTTCATTGAAAATCAATTAGAGTCCAACCTGATTGTAGACAGTGTCCCTTCAACAAAACTGACAAGCATTCTATCTCTACTTTGATAACATTTGTATCCAAAATGAGAAAACACTAGAGAAATATGAAAATAAGGCAATTTCAATGTATGAGTTATATCCCTTAAGTTCATGGATGACATTAACTAAGTTCTGACACCAATACCCCTAGGGTGTCTTTATTTCACTCCCCCTTCTGGAAATGATTGAATAATTTATAAAGGATATATCTTGGGGGTGGCCACTTCTACTTCCTGAGCTGCATACAGAACATAACATTTTTAGAGCTCAGAATTGGGTTCACCACCTTCCATTGCACAGTTAAAGAGACTGCAGTCCAAGAAGGGTAAGGGGTTTGCCTGCTGTCACAAAGCTAGGGAGCAATAGAACCAAAGTTCAAATCCAGCAATGCTGGCTGCAACTCTGGTATCTTCTTTGCATTCTTCTGCTTGTACCAAATCAGATGTTAGCAGAAACGCATGGAATCCTAGGAATAGTAAACAAAGAGAAACTGATAACAGGACAATTTACATACATGGGGCAGAATGACAAAGGAAACCAACCTGGGAAGCGAAGTCTGCCAGGGCTGGCAGCAGAGAAAGCCTTTGCTTCCTATCTCTACATCCTAAAGGAATGAGGAGGAGGAAGAGAGAAGTAACTGAAATCCAGAAAGTACTCTGACTATAGCAAAGGATCTGCAGGAGCTGTGGCCTTGGAAAGGAACATGCCCTCTGATAAACTGTGGCTTTGTCAGGAAGAAGCTAGAGAATAAAAGCTAGACATCATTTTGCTCCTGGCCTCTAATCACCTCCTAGTGCCTCTCATTAGCCTTGCCCAACCAGAAGCCAGAGAACAAAGGAGGCTGCCCCATCGATGTTCTCCTAGGACCATAGGAGGAGAGAAAGGGGATGTGGAGGGACAAATGGAAAATATTCAGCCAATATTTCTTAGCTGCGCCAGCCTTTTGCTTTGCAATTTAGTCTTCCTTACCCTCCTCTATTTTCTTTCATTGGGACAAACATTATCAAGGTTAATAAGAGATAATGGCCCATGTAAAAAGAGTATTGTATTCTTTTATGGACTTTATCTAAAATTTACTCAAATATAACAGAATCCTGTAGATGAAGCATAATATGCAACAGATATACTTTGCAATATTTAAAAATGATTAATCTCAAAAGTAATCATCTCAGTACTATGACTCATTAGCTGGAAGAAAACAGTAATAACATGTTTTGTGCACAGAACAATTTTAATTAATAAGCAGGACATATTTATTCAAAAATTATAATAAGACATTATTATTCTCAGAACATGAACTTTGATGGTAGGTGTTAGCATCCTGTTGGGTCCCAGAGAATGCACTTCTGGATATTAAACATGATGGCTTTGAGACCTCAAATATATCAGCTTGTACAGTCAGCTATTATCTACACTGACAATTGTTTATGGCTACAAATCACCCACGCTTGATGTGATATCTGAAAGTACCTCAGTAAGATATTATGAGCAATATCAGGAGTGGGTGGTGTAAAAGTCATTTCAGTAATAAAACAGTATTCAAAGAGTTGATTCAAAAGGCAGAGCCATTACTAATAAAAATAATATAGGTAGATATTTGTTAAATGTTTTCTTTCTTTTGAAGGGCAATACTATGAAAGGAGAGTGAGCATAGGGAAGTTGTCTGCAACCTCTGAGCCACACACCTTTCTTTGGTCTACCACATATCTGTGCAGCCATTAAGAATGACTCTCATCTCTTGCCTTTCCAAAATGAGGTGTAAGAGAAGTCATTCTGGTATAGACAGGAGATATGTTACCAAAACAGTCCAATGGACCCTTTTAGGGATACTTCAGTTAGAAGTTTTAGCTCTGTGTGGGTTCAGTGTCTCTCCACATTACCCCTGAGACCTAAATCCCACAGAAAATCTTAAAGGCAATAGATGCTAGTTTTCCTTATACCTTTCAAAAATATGATTTGTTTTGTTTTGTTTTGTTTTGTTTTGTTTTGACAGAGTCTCGCTCTGTCGCCCAGGCTGGAGTGCAGTGGTGCAATCTCAGCTCACTGCAACCTCTGCCTCCCGGGTTCAAGCGATTCTCCTACTTCAGCCTTCCCAGTAGATGGGATTACAGGCACATGCCACCACGCACAGCTAATTTTTTTATTTTTAGTAGAGTCGGGGTTTCATCATGTTGGCCAAGATGGTCTTGATCTCTTGACCTCGTGATCCACCCACCTCGGCCTCCCAAGGTGCTGGGATTACAGGCGTGAGCCACCGCACCCAGCCGACAAAATATGAATTTTTAAAGACCAAACACATCAGAACAAACCAGCTAACTTGACTTTTAAAAACCACTTGATTTCACACAGGTCTCAGATGGAGCAAAAGTAAAAAAAAAAAAATTAAAAAATAAAGACATCCCACTTGAATTCTAGACAAAATTTTATATTATCTAATGGAAATGTTTTTTAAACCACATAAACTGATGAGACATATCCTTTATCCTCTGAAAGAAAGAAGAAAAAAACAATATTTACTAGCTGAACAAAATGCCTTGAGTGAAATATCTGTGAGCATACATTTTTAATTTCCTAAGATGAAAACAGTTTTGAGCAAGGAGCTCTCAAAAAAATGTCCTGATGTTCTCCTAATACACCAAGAAATAAAATCTGTCAAAGTGCTGAGATTCTTATAGGTTTTGGTACATGTTCCCAGTTGATTTGATCTGGCTCCAGATGAAACATATTATTTAAGCAAGATAGTAATCAAGGTAACTAACAATTTTAAAAATTACTTCAAAGCATATACTAAGGCTTGACTAGTGTGTATTTATTCTCTTTCCATTATTTCTAGACGGAGAAACAATTTCATTATATTTTAAGTTGTATCGAAGCATTTGTTCTGGAACTTTCTGATGCATTAGCAGATTCTACCTTTAATATAGTCATATGTGTAGGTGTATTATCATGCCTGCTAGACCAGAAGAAGTGAAAGCCTGAATTGGTTATCGCATTCCCTTTTGGAGATTAAAAAATAGCATTACAACTATCTGTGTTGCATTTCAAGCTAAACCCATACTTTCATATAAATTGTTTCACTTGGTCTACATAATAATCCTGTGAGGAAAACAGGGCAGCAATTACTGCCCCATTTCATGGATGAGGAAATTGGCTTAGAAGAGTTAAGTGGCTTACTCAAAGGCACATGGCTGAGCAGTTATGGACCTCTGACTCATAACTAAGCCCAGTTCAAGAAAACACGTATTTATTCAGTGTTTTAAAATTATCACCCTAAGTCTTTTGGGTTCAAGGTAGTATACATATGGCAGACTAATGAACAAAAAGAAAAGTAACATTTATACAGTATTTATTATACAAGAGTCCCTCTCATAAGAACTTTATAGATAATAGGGTCATTATAGATTTATCTCATTTAACCCCATAGCGACCTTGTTAACAGTGAGATAAATCTGTAATGACCCATAACAACCTTGTTATGCAGTTAAATAAGATAAATCTATAATGACCCTATGTCATTGTCACGTCACAGATGAAGCCGCCGAGGCACAATGCAGATGATTAATTTGTATAGAATCACTGACGCATTTTTTAAAGAAATTAAACAATTAATTAGTGTGTATTCATACTAGTTGTACATATTTATGAGGCAATTTTGATTTTAGAGTCCATGTTCTTAACCACTATACATATTTGCCTCCAGAGATTCCAAAACTTACGGACATCTTTTCATTATGCTACACAGTCTCCCATGAGCAGAGTATGAAAAAAATCCAGATATGAGGCCGGGAGTGGTGGCTTATGCCTGTAATCTCAGCACTATGAGGGGTTGGGGCAGGTGGATCACTTGAGGTCAGGAGTTCAAGACCAGCCTAGCCAACAAGGTGAAACCCCGTCTCTACTAAAAATACAAAAAATAGCTGGGTGTGGGGGCACGTGCCTGTAATCCCATCTACTAGGGAGGCTGAAGCAGGAGAATCGCTTAAACCCGGGAGGCGGAGGTTACAGTGAGCCAAGATCGCACCACTGCACTCCAGCCTGGTTGACAGAGGAGACTCTGTCTTAAAAAAAAAAAAAAATCTGAATATGAATCTAAGCAAACATATACACACAAACAGGCATACATACCTAGACAAACTATATGTCTATCTCTACATCTACCTATCTATACATACACCTTATGCTGAGGGTCTTGAATATGATTGATAATCACATTCTGTGTGGCTAATTGCATTTAGGCCAGGACTCAAAAAAAAAAACAAAACATGAAATAAACCAAAATAACCTAGATGAGTGAGAAATTCTAAGTTTGAATTTTAACTGGGGAGGAAAAAAGATAAAGAAAACTTCACAGATTGGAGGCCACTTATCTCCACATTTAACTTTCAAAACCTTTCTCAAAATATCTTTGTATTTAAAAGAATCCATCAGTCTTTGCAAAGAGAGGAGAGAAAATAGACTTGAGGAAGATGTTTCCTTCTGTGTGCTGTGTGACTCAGGACACATGCTTCTTCTGTGCAATGCTTTACCATCATCTGCCAAAGACGTGTGTGCAAATATCAGTCTTGCAAACAGACAATATTTGCACTACATTGAGGCTAACCTGCCATCTGCTTATCAGATGTTCGGAGTCCAAATTGTACAGTTTTCCTTGTGTTTCCCCTAATGAAAAATGGAATGCTGGGGCTCTGATTACAAGTGTCTGTGCACAGGACTAATACTACATCCCTAGGTAGAGTAATGGAAACAGTGCATCTAGGGGAAATGGCTTATATATTGACATTGTTTAAAGAAAACAGAATTATTTTCTGTGGCTCAGGTTCACATGAAATATAAACCTCCTAGTTCACTAAAGTGTGATATATTTTTCTCAAAATTTGGAGAACCACTGATGTTCTGGACAACTGTATTTCAGTGTTAGGCCTAGCCGAATATATCAACTAAAAATGCAATCACAGTGAAAAATTCTAATGATATGCATTATTTCTGAATAAGCAAATGCCAGAAGCACAATCCCAACATATTATGAATGATGTGATTGACTACCAGGGTTGCTCGCAGCCCATAGCTTCAGGTAACACAGCTGTCTCCTCCCATTAATGAGAAAAGAGATAGCATTTTCTGTTTAAAATTAATAACTGTAACACTCCAGGATTATAGGAAAAATTCTAAGTGTTTCACACAAAGTGCTTCACAAAATTTTACTGAAGTTCAACAAAATCATTATATAACAAATACATATGAGAAATTCTTCTTTATGGCTTATTCTATTGAATTGCCTATTCATTTTTGCCTTCCCAGAATCCACAATTTTCAGCAAGATGAATATGAGCAGAAATAAAAATGCCCTTTCTATTTAATACCCCCTGCTTTCAATTAAAAGAAAACTGGTTAGTCATTTAGTATCTTAGAATATTTCTTACTTATAATGAATTAGGCATTAATTATATTCTTCTATATAACCAAAACAATTTTTTAGCAATGGACAACACTATTATTTTCTAATTCATGTTACTTTTTTTAAGCATGCCTTTGGGCATTGGATCACTATCAGCAATGTGCAGAGAATATCATCATCCTTTGAAAAGCTGTACTACTGATGTACTTTACAGATAAATAGTAAAAATGTTTAATGTACACCTAAAACACAATTGAAATAAATGCCATTTCAGGAATTTGAAAGTGTGTTGAGGTTACCAAGATTATCTGTGATCCTTTTCAAACAGCAATAATTTACTCAAAAGGCTGTCATGTCTGCTTACAAGACTGTGCAGATAGTTGACATAGATGAAATTAGTATTAATATATTCATTTTAATTTCTACCCATTTACTGTCTTACTAAGGGTAATTTAACTCAGAAATGCCGTCATAATAGGGTGATAATCTGATAATCCGGGGTGCAGTGGAGGCAGGGAAGAAAGGAAGAAAAAAGGAAAAACAATGACAATAAATGGCACAGGCAAGAAGAAAGCAATAATGTAATAATTACTACCATGTTTTGTTCAATTATCACCGAAAAATCCAGAAAGATATGAAAGGTGAGCAAAGGTTCTACCATGTTTTTGTAAAGAAATAAAAGCTCACTGAAATATTAGGGAGAAATGGAATCAAAAGTACCAATGAAAAAAGCAAAAATAAGATAATTTAAAAAGAAATTAGAATAAGAAAAAACTAGGAAATAACGTTCTTTACATGTGAATAATTTCTTTTTGGTTGAGTTGTAAATCACATATCTGTTATTCAAAAATATTTCCTGATTCATTTGAAAAGAAAACATATTGAAAAGGGATCTAAACAAAGGTTGTTTTTTTTTCCCCTCTTTAAATGTTGCTACCTCAAACAAGCTGTAATCTGAGTATTAAAGTACAAAACACTTAGGAAATATAATTTTCCATGATTACTTTGAGCTTCCTGTAAGTGTAACAGTTTTTTTACTACAGTTTTCCTCTCTAAAGACAGAAATGCACCGTATGGGCGCAAGGATGCTCATGCCATAGCCTATGCTCAAAAGAGGATTCTTAGTCTACATTCCAGATTCAGCTGGAGTCTATATTAACTGCATCCATTCTTTTAATGTTGGCCATCTTGTATGGGTTGGATGTCCCAAGAAGCCACTTAACTATGGGTGTGATTGTCTATTCAAGAACCTAGAAAAAATGGTAAACTGGTTACATAACAAATAACACATCTTGATCTAAGTTGAGAGGACTGGAGTCTTCTAGCTATATTATTTGAAAAAATGCAATCATGATTTAGTGACAAATTGAATAGCAACTTCATTAACCAGAATTTGACTGTAAACCCATGCACCGTCCTAGCCAGTATCTCTTTTCTCCGGAAGAGAGGCATGGGAGGAGGGGAGAGAAAAAGGTGAGCTATACTACTTTAGAGTCTTATGCTAGTTCTGTGAGGTAAATGTAACTACTATTTCCTTTATTTAACAAACAAAAAATGAGGCTCAAAAATTTAAACAACTTGTGCCAAAGTCACAGAGGTAAGAAATACTAGGGCAGGAATTGCTCCCATGTCTGTGTACCTTTAAAATTCACTTTGCAGCTGCACAGCTGATAAGTCTGCTCAGAAGATTTAAATTATAAGAGGAAAAAATGCCTTGCATCCCTGGCACTGTGCCTAGTTCTTTCCCCAAACTGAAAATGATACTTGCAATTTTTTGAGCCCTCACCATGTATCTGGATCATTTCAATTAATCTTGACAATGCTGGTCAAGGGACTATTATTAGTCTCATTTTGAAGATGAAGCTTAGAGAGGTAAAATAACTTGCCCCATATCCTACAGCTGGTGGGAGACAGAGATGGCATTCTCACCAGCTCTCTCTAAACTCCAAAGCCTGTGCTCTTCCCATTTATTCCATTCTGCTTTCTCTCCAGGAGTCTTCATAATAACTCTGAGTTCAGCAGCTGTTTTCAATGAGGATATAGGCTCAAAGCAAATACAACATAACCGGTACATGGTTAGATTTCTAAGCCTCTTGCCATTCCGCCTTGTGGACAAGGACATCAAATACAATGAAAAATGGGTGCCCCGCAAATCAATACATCTGTTCTTTAATACCTGTGATCACAGCTGTGAAATAGGCTTAATACACAGCCTGAAAATATTGTTGTGAAAATAACTGTGTGTTTGGCTGTTAAGTAAAGTTCAGCTGGACACATGATCTAGTAAGAGGTGCTAGGCTGCTGCATGCAAAGGAATTCCATTAGAAAAGACAGAGAGGTATGGGAGGAAACCGAGCACAAAGCAGTGTGTCCATTGATGAGAGAAGTCACTCCCACTTCGCCCACAGATGGTGGCATTAATAAAGATATCTTGTACAATCCAATGATGTGAATCTCAATCTTCAGCATGGATAAGAATCACTGGGGAGCTTGTTAAGAATACAGTTTTAGTGTCATCTCACCTAAGATTCTGATTCAATTAAGTCTGGGGTGGTGCCCAGGAACCTGAATTTTATAAACATCCCAGCTGGTTTTTTAATTATTATTACTATTGGTTTCTACTTTATTCTAGGTTTAGTGGTTACACATACAGGCTTGTTACATGGGCAAATTGCGTGTCACTAAGGCTTGATGTATGAATGAGCCCATCACCAAGGTAGTGAGCATAGTACATAACAGGTAGCCTTCCAATCCATGCCCCCCCACCACCCTCCCCAATGAAGCAGTCTCCAGAGTCTTTGTTCCTATCTTTGTGTCCATTTATATTCAATGTTGAGCTTCCAATTATAAGCGAAAACATGTGGAATGTGGTTGTCTGTTCCTGCACTAGTTTGCTTAGGATAATGACCTCCAGCTACATTTCATGTTGCTGCAAAGAACATGATTTCATTCTTTTTTATGGCTGTGCAGTATTCCGTGGTCTATATGTACCACAATTTCTTTATCTGGTCCACTGTCAATGGGCATCTTGGTTGATGCCATGTCTTTGCTATTGTGAATAGCATTGTGATGAACATATGAGTGCATGCATCTTTTTGGTAGAATGATTTATTTTCCTTTGGGTGTATACCCAATAGTGGAATTGTTGGGCCAAATGATAGTTCTGTTTCAAGTTCTTTGAGAAATCTCCACACTGCTTTCCACAGTGGCTGAACTAACTTATATTCCTACCAGCAGTGTATAAGCGTTCCCTTTTCTCTGCAGCTTAAACAGCATCTGTTGTTTCTTAACTTTTTAATAATAGCTATTCTGACTGATGTGAGATAGTATCTCATAGTTTGAAATTTAATTTCTCTAGTGATTAGTCATAATGAACATTTTTTCACGTATTTGTTGGCCACATGTATGTCTTTTTTTGAGAAGTGTCTCTTCTTGTCCTTTGCCCACTTTTAAATGCAATTAATATATTTTTGCTTACTGATTTAAGTTCCTTACAGATTCTGGATAATAGGCCTTTGTCAGATGCACAGTTTGCTAATATTTTCTCCCATTCAGAAGGTTGTCTGTTTATTCTATTGATAGTTTCTTTTATTGTGCAAAAGCTCTTTAAGTTAATTAGGTCCTTCTTGTCAATTTTTGTTTTTGTTGCAATTACTTTTGGGAACTTAGTCATAAATTCTTTGCAAAGGCCCATGTCCAGAATGGTATTTCCTAAGTTTTCTTCTAGGGTTTTTATTGTTTTAGTTCTACTTTTAAGTTTTTAACCCATCTTGAGTTAATTTGGGTATATGGTGAAAGGAAGGGGTTCAGTTTCAATCTTTTGCATATGGCTAGCCAGTGATCCCAGCACCATTTATTGACTAGAGGGTCCCTTCCCCATTGCTTGTTATCGTCAACTCTGCTAAAGGACAGGTGGTTGTAGGTTTGTGGCTTTATCTCAGGGTTCTCTAACCTGTTCTATCAGTCTGCCTGTTTTTGTACCTGAATCATGCTGTTTTGGTTACTGCAGCCTTGTAGTATAGTTTTAAGTCAGGTAGTGTAACGCCTCTGGCTTTGTTCTTTTTGCTTAGGCTTGCTTTGGTGATTCAGTCTTTTCTTTGATTCCATATGAATTTTAGAATAACTTTTTCTAATTCTGTGAAAAATGTATTGGTACTTTGATAGGAATAGCATCTAATATGTAAGTTGCTTTTGGCAGTATGGTCACTTTAACAATTCTGATTCTTCCTATCCATGGAATAGGAAGAATATTTTTCCATGTGTTTGCATTGTCTCTGATTTCTCTCAGCATTGTTTTGTAATTCTCTTTGCAAGGTTCTTTAAGGTCCTTAGTAAGCTGTATTCCTAGGTATTTTATTCTTTTTGTAGCTTTTGTAAGTGACACTGTGTTCATAATTTCGTTCTGAGCTTGGACATTATTGGTGTATAGAAATGCTACTGATTTTTACTCATAGATTTTATACTCTGAAACTTTACTAAGGTCATTTATCAGTTCTAGAAGCCTTCTGGCAGAATCTATGGGGTTTTCTAAGCAGAGTCATGTTGTCTTCCAAGAGTGAGTTAGACTTCCTCTCTATTTGGATGCCTTTTATTTCTTTGTCTTACCTGATTACTTTGGCTAGGATCTCCTTTACTATATTGAATAGGAATGGTGAGTGTGGGCATCCTTGTCTTATTTCACTTCTCAAGGGGAATGCTTCCAGCTTTCACCTAATTGCTATGATGTTGGCTATGGGTTTGTCATAAATAGCTCTTAAAATTTAGAGATATGTTCTATTGATGCCTAATTTCTTGAGGGTTTTCAGCACGAAGGAATGTTCAACTGTATCAAAGGCTATTTCTTTGCCTATTGAGATAATGATGTGGTTTTTGTTGGTAATTCTATTTATATGGTGAATCACATGTATTGATTTGCCTATGTTAAACCAACATTGCATCCCAGGAATAAACCCTACTTGATCACCGTAAATTAACTTTTTGATGTGCTGTTAGATTCAGTTTACTAGTACTTCATTGAGAAAATTTTGCATCTCTGTTCATTGGGGATATTGGCCTGATATTTTTCTTTCTTTTTTTTTTTTTGTTTGTTGTTGTTGTTGTGTCTCTGTCACATTTTGGTATCAGAATGATGCTGGCTTCAAAGAATAAGCTAGAGAATCCCTTCTCAAATTTTGGAATAATTTCAGTAGGATTAGTACTAGCTGTTTTTTGTATGTCTGGTAGAATTCAGCTGTGAATCCATCTGCTCTAGGCCTTTTTTTTTTTTTGGTTGGTAGGCTTTTTATTACTGATTCAATTTCAGAACTGATTATTGGTCTGTTCAGGATTTTAATTTCTTCCCAGTTCTTGGGAGGGTGAATTTCCAGGAATTTATCAATTTCTTTCAGTTTTTCTAGTTTGTGTGCATACAGCTGTTCATAATAGTCTCTGAGGATTTTTTGTATTTCTTTGAGATCACCTGTAAAGTCACGTTTTTCATTTCTGATTGTATTTATTTGGTTCTTCTCCTTTTATTAATCTAGTTATTAATTTATTATTTCCCTAAATAGTCACAAACCTAATTTGTCAAGTTATAGCTCAGTTGCATTACAAAAGAAGTTCTTACATCAAGTATTACAGAAGAATCAGTAGTATTTGCTTGGGCAGTACATGCCATCAGATTATGAATGGATTATAAATGCAAACTGACGTGTGACTTTTAAAATACCATGATCTATCCAATTTGAAAGAGACCATTAAAGTGGAGATTTCAACTCCTACCACTATAACTCTAAAGTATGATCTTTACTTTGGCAGAATATTACAGACTTAGAGGTATTGTTTTTATCACTTGGTTTTGTTTTTATCCATAGCAAAGCCTTCAATAATATTTCAGGCCACAGAGAAAATAATACAAGTTTTTGCATTGTTGATACTTCAACCAAGATAGTCATTCTTTTAATGTAGGTCTGCTGGTGTCAAATTATTTTATTGTTCCTTCATCTCCGAGAATTTCTTGATTTCTCCTTTATTTCTGAAGAGTATTTATTACTGGATATAGGATCCTGAGTTGACAAAATTTTTTCTTTCAGCACTTCAAAACTATTGTAATTTTTGCTGGCTTCCCTGGTTTCCGATGAGAGATCCAGTGTCATCTGAACGTTCTTTTTTCCACAGAGAATGTGATATTTATTTCTGACTGCTTTAAACATTTGTCTTTAATTTTCAGAAGTTTGTCTATGGTGTGATTTCATGTGGATTTCTTTGGGCTTATCATGTTTGGGGTTTGCATTATAGTCCCATACATTTCTGAGGTTGTGTTTTGTTTTTGTTTTCTTTAAAGTCTATTTTGTCCCTGTTGTTTACATTGTGTAATTTCTATTTGTATTATTTTTCAATGGACTGGTTCTTTTCTCTGTCTCCTCTGTTCAGCTATTGAGCCCATATGTTGACTTTTTAAATTATTATTTTATTGGTTAATATTTTTAGTTCTAACATTTCTATTTCATTCTTCTTTGATTTCTTTGCTGTAACATTCTATTTTTTTATTCTCCTTTGGTGACATTCTTCCCCTTTGCTTATTTTTATTTTTAATTTTTATGGCTACATAATTGTACATATTAATGGGGTACATGTGCTATCTTGATATGAGCATACAATGTATAATAAAATCTAGGTAATTTGAATATCGATTATCTCAAACATTTATCATTTCTTTGTGTTGGGAACATTCCAAATCTTCTCTTCAACCAATTTTGAAATAGGTGATATTTTTTCATTTGTTCAAGGATGTTTATGATTGTTCATTCATTTTTATGATGGCTACTTTGAAATCTTTGTAAGATAATTCTAACATCGCTGTCATCTATTAAATGTATTTTTTTATTCAGCTTGAGATCTTCCTGGTTCTTGATATGACAAGTGATGTTTGAATGAGATGGAGACATTTTGGTTATTATGTTAAAAGACTATGGATCATATTTAAAATTCTGGATCACATTTCTGCTTTAGTTGGCTTCTTCTGAAACTGCTTTGGCAGAGGAAGAAGAGGGTTGCCTCATTACTGCCTGGTGAGGGTAATCTTTAGGGGTAAAAGTGGTTCTCAGTTACATGGATGAATTGTATAATGGTGAAGTCTAGGATATTAGTGCATGCATTATCTGAATAGTGCATATTGTACTCAATAGGTAGTTTTTCATTTTTACCCCCTCACCCCTTTTAAGTCTTCGATGTCTATTATACCACTTGGTATGCCTTTGCATACCCATAGCTTAGCTCCCACTTATAAGAGAGAACCTTCAGTATCTCGTTTTCAATTCCTGAGTTACTTCACTTAGAATAATGGCCTCTAGTTCCAACCAAGTTGCCACAAAATACATTATTCCATTCTTTTTATGGCTGAGTAGTATTCCATGATAACATACATCACATTTTCTTTATCCACTCATCAGTTAATGGACATTTAGGTTGACTGCATATCTTTGCAATTGTGAATTGTGCTGCAATAAACATATGCACACAGGCATCTCTTTGATATATTCATTCCTTTTCTTTTGGGTAGATACCCAGTAGTGAGATTCCTGGATCAAATGGTAGATCTACTTTTAGCTTTGAGAAATCTCCATACTCTTTTCCATAGAGGTTGTACTAATGTGTATTTCCACCAGCAGCATATAAGTGTTCCTCTTTCACCACGTCCACCCGAGCATCTTTTGGGGATTTTTTTTTTTGACTTTTTAATAATGGTTATTCTGGCTCGGGTAAGGTGGTATACATTGTGGTTTTAATTTGCATTTCCTTGACAATTAGTGATGTTGAGCATTTATTCATATGTTTTTGACCATTTGTATATTTTTTGAGAAATATCTATTCATGTCTTTTGTCCACATTTCAGTTTTTAAGTTGTCTGTTTACTGTAATGATTATTTATTTTGCTGTGAAGAAGCTTTTTAGTTTGAGTCCTATTCATTATTTTTGTTTTGTTGGATTTGCTTTTAGGGGTCTTAGTTATAAATTATTTGCCTATGCTGGTGTCCAGAAGAGTTTTTCCTAGGTACTCTTCTAGATCTTTTATGGTTTCAGGTCTTAGCTTCAGGTCTTTAGGTCTTTAGTCAAGGTAAAGTTAATTTTTGTATCTAGTGAGAGACAGAGATCCACTGTCTTTCTTCTACATGTGACTATGCAATTTTTCTAGCACCCTTTATTGAACAGAATGTCCTTTCCCCGATTTATGTTTTTGTATGTTTTATCAAAGATCAGTTGGTTTTAAGTATTTGGCTTTATTTCTGAGATCTCTATTATATTCCATTGATCTACTTTTATACCAGTACCATGCTGATTTGGTTACGTTAGCCTTGTAGTAAAATTTCAAGTTAGGTAATGTGATGCCTCCAGATTTGTTCTTTTCGTTTAGGTTGCTTTGACTATTTGGGCTATTTTTTGGTTCCATGTGAATTTTAGGATTGATTTTTCTAATTCTGTAAAAAATAGTGTTGGTAATTTGATAGAAATTGCATTGAATCTGTAGATTGCTTTGGAGTGTATGGTCATTTTCATGATATTGATTGTTCTAACCCATGAGCAAAGAATGTATTTCCATTTGCTTTTGTCATCTACAATTTCTTTCAGCCGTGTTTTATTTTTCTTGTAGAGATACTACACCTCCTTGGTTAAGTATGTTCTAGCATATTTTATCTTTTTGTAGCTACTGTAAAAGGGATTGAGTTTTTTATTTGATTTTCAGCTTGGTTGTTGTTGATGTATAGCAGTGATACTGATTTATGCACACTGGTTTTGTAATGAGATTTTGCTGAATTCATTTATCAGATCTAGGAGTCTTTTGGAAGAATCCTTAGGGCTTTCTAGATATAAGATTATATCATTGGCAAACAAAGATAATTTGACTCCATGTTTTACAAATCGAATGCCCTTTATTTATTTCTCTTGTCTGATTGCTCTGGCTAGGATTCCCTGTACTATGTTGAATAGAAGGGATAAAAGTCAGCATCCTTGTCTTATTTCAGTTAATAGGGGAAATACTTTGAACTTTTTCTCATTCAGTATGATGTTGGCTATGGGTTTGGAATATACAGCTTTAATTATTTAGAGGTATGTTTCTTCTATGTCTAGTTTGTTGAGGGTTTTTATCATAAAGTCATGCTGGATTTTATTGAATGCTTTTTCTGCATCTATAGAAATGATCATATATTTATTTAAAAAAATTCTGTTTATCTGATGAATCACATTTATTCCCTTGAATTTGTTAAACCATCTCTGCATCCCTAAAGTGAAATCCATGTGAATATAGTGGATTATTTTTTTGATGCGCTGTTGGATTTGGTTTGCTACTATTTTGTTGAGCATTTTTGCATCTATATTCATCAGAGATTTGGTCTGTAGTTTTCTCTTTTTTGTTAAGTCTTTCCTTTGCTTTGGTACCAGGGTGATACTGGGCTTGTAGAATGTATTAGGGAGGATTCTCTTCTTCTCAATCTTTTGGAATAGATTCAATCGAATTAGTACCAATTCTTTGGATGTCTGGTAGAATTTGGCTGTGAATTCATTTGGCCTTGGACTGTTTTTGTTTGTTTGCAGTGTTTTGGTTTTTGTTGTTGTTGTTGTTGTTGTTGTTGTTGTTTTTCTAAATTACTGATTAAATCTCACTGCTTCTTATTGGCCTCTTCAGGATTTCTAGTTCTTCCTGATTCAAGCTAGCGGGGGTTGTATGTTTCCAGGAATTAATTCATTTCCTCTAAATTTTCTAGTTTGTGTGCATAGAGCTCTTCACAGTAGTCCCAAATAATCTTTTGTATATCTGTAGTATCAGTTGTAATATCTCCATTTTCATTTATAATTAGTCTTATTTGGATCTTCTCTCTTCTTGTCTTGGTTTTAATCTACCTAGTGTTCTAACAATTTTATCTTTTTGAAGGAGCTATTTTTTGTTTCATTGGTCCTTTGGATTTTTTTTGTTTCAATTTTATTTAGCTCTGCTCTGATCTTTATTATTCCTTTTCTTCTGCTAGCTTTAGGTATGTTTTTTTCTTATTTCTCTGGTTCCTTCAGATGTATTGTTAGGCTGTCAATTTGTGATCTTTCAGAATTATTGATGTTGGCATTTTGCACTATAAACTTTCCTCTTAGCTTTGCTTTTGCTGTATCCCAGAGGTTTTGATAACTTGTGTCACTGTTGTTATTCATTTCAAAAATTTTTTAAATTTCCACCTTAATGTCATTGTTAACCCAAAAATCATTCAGGAGTAGATTGTTTAATTTCTATGTATTTGCATAGTTTTGAGGGTTCCTTTTGGAATCGATTCCTAGTTTTATTTTACCGTGGTCTGACAAGAAACTTAATATGATTTTGATTTTTAAAAATTTATTGAACTTATTTAGTGACCTATCATATAATCTATCTTGGAGAATCTTCCATGTGCTGATGAGAAGAATGTATATTCTGTAGTTCTTGGGTAGAATGTTCTGTAAATATCTGTTAGGCTCATTTTTTCTAGACTGAAATTTAAGTCTAGTGTTTCTTTGTTGACTTTCTGCTTTGATGATCTCTCTAGTGCTGTTAGAGGAGTGTTGATGACTCCCACTATTATTGTGTTACTATGTATTTTCTTTTTTAGACCTGGTAGGAATTGCCTTATGAATCTGTGAGCTCTAGAGTTCGGTGCATATAAATTTAGACATGTTATATCTTCTTGTTGAATTTATCCTATTTTAATTACATAATGACCTTCTTTGTCCTTTTTTAATATTGTTGCTCTAAAGTCTATTTTATTTGTTTTAAGAATAGCTACTCCTGCTTGCTTTTGGTTTCCATTTGCAAGAAATGTCTTTTTTCACCCCATTAGCTTGAATCTATAAGAATCTTTACATGTGAGGTATGTCTTCTGAAGATAGCAGGTATCTATTTGGCTTGCAAATTTTTAAAATCCATTCTGTCAGTGTGCATCTTTTTAAAGTGGAGCATTTAGACCAGTTACATTAAACATTGAGATGTGAGGTGCTGTTCTAGTCATCATATTGATTGTTACTTAGTGACTTTGTTTTCTTCATATTGTTATTGTTTTATAAGCCCTGTGAATTTTATGCTTTCAGGAGTATTTATTCTGGTGAGTAACAACAACTTGTTTCAAGATTTAGTATTCTATTTAGCACTTCTCATAGAGCTGGTTTAGTATTGACAAATTCCTTCACCATTTACTTGTCTGAGAAAAACTATTTCTCCTTTATCTATGAAAGAGTTTTGCTGGACACAAAATTCTTGACCAACAGTCATTCTGTTCAGGAGACTAAAGATAGGACCCCAATTCCATCTGGCTTATAAGGTTTCTGCTGAGAAGTCTGCAGTTAGTTTGATTGGTTTTCTGTTATAGGTTACCTGATGCTTTTATTTTACTGCTCTTAGAATTTTTTCCTTCATGTTGACTTTAGATAGCCTGATGAGTATATGCCTTAGTGATGTTTTGTTTTTGCAATGAGTCTCTCAGGAGTTCTTTGACCTTCTTATATTTGGATATCTATGTCACTAGCAAGTCCAGGGAAGTTTTCCTCCCTGGAAATTTTCCTCAAATAGACTTTTGAAATTTTTGCTACGTTTTTCTCCCTCAGGAATATCTACAATTCTTATGTTTGGCCATTTTATATAATCCACATATTTCTTGAGACTTTCCTTCTTCTTTTAATTCTTTTTTGTTTACTTTTGCTGTGCTGATTGGGTTAATTTGAAAGCCTTGTTTTTGAGTTCTGAAATTCTTTCTTCTGCTTGGTCTAATCTATTTTAAAAGCTTTTCACTGCATTTTGTAGTTGCCGAAATGTGTAGTCTTTCATAGAAGTTCTGATTGGCTTTCCTTTAAAATATCCATCTCTTTAGAAAAGTTTTCATTCATGTCCTGAATTAAAAAAAATTATGTTGGTTTTCAACTTTATGTTAACTTAATAATCAACTTTTTTGAATTATTTATCTGGTATTTTATGTTGGTTTTCAACTTTCTCTTATGTCTCCTTGATTAACATAATAATCAACTTTTTGAACTCTTTATCTGGTATTTCAAAGATTTCATCTTGATTTGGATCCACTGCTGGAGAGTCAGTGTGATTGATTTTTTTGAGTTGTCATAGAACAACTCAAATGTTTTTTATGTTTCCAGAATTGTTTTTATGGTTCCTTCTCATTTGTGTAGGCTATTTCTTCTAATTATTTTAAAATTAGTTTTTGATTCAATTGGGTTTAAAAAAATTTTCCTCCTTGAAGATGTGACTTTAACATTTATAGTTTATTTACACTTAGTTTCAGCTCTGGGTGGTTTCAAGTGGCAAAGACTGTATGAGTTTCTTGGTTATAGAGAATCATTGTGAAGTGTCTTTCTCAGATGCCGGTTGTAGTGGCAGTGGGCTGGGTGTGTGAGTAGGTTCACTGTCTCCTAAGGGGCTGGAATGGCAGAGGTCTCATGAAGCTTATTTTGTTCCCCAGTGGTGTGCACCTTTAAAAGTTTTTCTTCCAGCATTTTATTCAACGGGTTGAGTAGTTCAGGCTTCAGGCCAGTAGGAGGTGCCCACAGATAAACACAGGTTGTGGCTAAAGCGGGTGGGTAAATGTAATATCCAACGATTGGATGAAGTCCCAGCTTTGACAGAGGCAGCTGGCAAAGCTCTCCGTGAAATACACTGAGGTCTTTTCATGGGGAAGTGAAGGAGCCACCCCAGCTCTCCTTCCAGGCAAAGCAGGAAAGCAATCCACCTCCCAGTCACACTGCTGACCTGGTGTTCTAGCTTTTCAGATCAAACAGGTATCTCTTTCTATCTGCAAGAATGCTGATGTTCCCTCTAAAGAAGGGTTGTAGCTCTACCTCTTGTGTAAGTCTGAACCTGTATGGCACACTTCCTGTGGATAGTTACCTTGGAGTGTTCCAGAAAGTCTGTCTACAGATGCATCCATGCTGAGCTCCCATGAGAGAAGCCCCAGCTCTCTGCAGTGTTGGGTGAGGGGAAAAAGAAATCACCTTCTCAAACCTTTCATGAGCGCTGTTTGACTGTTGGGGTAGAGCTGCAGACTTTCCCCACTGAGCCCAGCACTGCACTTGTGTCTCTCCCGAAAGAAACTTCTCACAAGTGGGAAGTTAAGGGACTCAAGGCCCATGGTCTGCTTTCTTTTATACCATGGGATGCTCCCTTAATGTGGTTCACTACTCTTTCCCCAAAAAATAGTAGTCCCTGAAAGCCAGGCTATTCTGAATTCTACTGCTCCTCTAGGTCTAGCTGTCCAGTGGGGCTGCCACAGTTCAGGCTGTACTGGAGAATATCTGCAAGGGATCCAGTGATGTGAACTGTCCTCTAGTTTCCCAGCACCAGGTGCCAGCATTACCTCTGATGGGGGTGGGTGGGGAGTGACACAGACTCTGAGATTTTCTTGGTTATAAATAGCTTTAGTGTTTTGGTTTTCTCAAATGCCAGCTGTAGTAGTAGTGTATTGGGCACATAGACAGACTCAAGACGTCCTATTTAGCTAAGGTAATACTGGCAATGGCAATAGCTGAGGTTGCATAAAAGTTTTTGGCTTCCTGAGTGCTGGGTTATTGTTTATGCAGATGTTTTAATGGGCTGTGCCGGTTGGCCTCCAGCCAGTAGGTCATGGCTTGTAGAAAAGCACCAGCTGTGGAGGTAGTGGTAGAATTTGTGCTTGCTTTATGTCACTCAGGGGAGGTATTCCTGTGTCTCAGGTAGGTAATGGGTAGGGCCATGGAGCTCCCAAACATCCCTGTATATTGCACTGTGCTACCAGGGCAGGTGGAGGGGCAAAGCTGGGTATGGGCTAGGTCAGGCAACTCCTTGCTCTGGCTCCTCACATGCAGGCACAAGCAGCGGCCCCAGTGAGGATCATAAGTCAATTCCTTGGCTACTGGGGTAATATTTCAGGGAGTAGCACAGCTGCCTCTGTTGCACAGAAGAATCCGCATGGGATGCAGGGGTTAGCAAGCAGCAGTAAGCCCCACTCAGCTCCCATGCACTTGGCAAGGCATGTATCCCACTCATAATGTTCGCTAAAAGCAGCAGGCTGGGTTCCAGGTAGTCTGTACGTAGAACTAAAAACTGCCCCAGGCCATAAGCCGTCCCAGTGGAGACCAGTGAAACCACAGCTTTCAGGCCGCACCCCTTCTGGTCTACCTGTGAAGCAGGAGTGCCCAGCTCCTGCGCCCATGGCTATAGCAAACTTACTACTTGCCCCTCATTTCTGGCCAACAGGGTTTATCCTCACTCAAGGTTATAATCTCATATCTCAGATGGGAGCTTCTCTCAACCTGTGACTGCAGCTTGAGTTAGCTGGTAGACTTCTGTGAGGTCCCCTGTGAGGTAGGATCAGGAATGGCTTCCCTCTGTCCTTGCTGGAGTGTGAAAGTGCAGGCAATGTGCATCCTGATACCGCTTCTTCTCACCCCATCACTCGCTAAATCAGCTCCAGCACTGGGTAGTGTTAAGATCTGCCTCCATGGCCTGAATTGCCCGGCTCTCCGGTGGGAGTGTGTGTCACGGTGGCAGTCTCTCCCCCTCTCACACACTCTGGAGACTCACAGTTTTCCATCTGGTTCACAGTGTAGGCTGCTGTTTCTTCTTTCAAAGGGTCTGTAGTTTCTTTCAGTTTTTCTGTTAAGTTCCTGTGTTGCTTCTTAGAAAGAAGTGCACATTGTGAATCTCTGCACACTATTTTGTCTTTCCAAGTGGGAGAGGCAGGCTAACAATGCCTCCAAACCACTGGGCCATTTTAAATAACACATAGGCCAGATTTTCAGTTAACACAATTCTTAAAACACCTGCAACTTAGCATGCTTCTATTTGACATCATTTGGGGGTCTGTTACATTATTTGAGAAGTCTGCTGTTAGTCTGATAGGTTTTCCTTTATAGGCTAGGGTATGCATTTGAAGACTAGTTAGCATATCCACTCTATTTCATTTATCTAATTATCCCATCACTCTCATAATCCAAAAGTCAGACACGAAGAAAAGGAAGAATACCAGCATATTTGGATGGGAATAAAAGACAAGAAATTTCTTGAGCATCAATATTAGGTGCATGAAATCTTGGGTAATCTAAGGTACAAAGTAGGAGTTGGACTTTTGAGGATGGACAAGGCAAAAATTCATTACAATTGAACCTAATTATAAGGATATTGCCAAGATATTGCTAGTGGGAGTACAGTGGAGATAAAAGAAGGTCTCTGTGTCTGAAGCCAACATCAGTTAAAGTGCCTTTGGTTATAAAAACCCAAAATTTAACTCAAACAGACTAGTAATTAAATACATTTGTTAACTCAGGTAACAGAAAAATTCTAGTTTTGTTTCTTAAGTAAGGATAGATCTGACAGCTCAACAATGTCATTTAAAATGTATCTTGTTTTTCTTTTCCCTTGATTTACATTGTGCTTTCTGAGTTTCACTTTGTCCTGAAGTTGGTTTCCTTTATAGTTATAAGAGGGCTTCCAGTGATTCTTAGGTTTATAAGGGTCATTGGTCACATCACATCCAGAGAGAGGGGGATCAAGGAGAAGATGGGGATAAATAGAGGAGAGGGGAAGCAGAAAAAAGAAAGAGGGATGAAAGGGGTGGGAAGTTCCCTAGCTAGATAATGAAATTCTTCTATTTCACTTTGATTGTGGCAATATATATCCATGCCCAATAAGGGAGTTGGTTTGGGTTAATCAGTACCTGCCCCTACCCCATGAAACTGAGAAAGTGAAATAGACATGAGAAAAACCAATAGTGTTTTCTACATTAACATTTTCTCTTTACTATAAACACCCATGGTTGTTCCTCTACATATCATTGTGCATCAACATCAAGGAGCTTCCCCTCCCTTGGGTTAGAAAACCAGTGCACATATTTGACTGGGTTTAACTCATCAGTGATAAAAGCACCTATTCCTTTTTACAATTTTCAAGAGTGGAATATACAGTCTTAAGAAATGGCATACAAGTTGAGATGTTGTCATATTAACAGAAATAATGGCAGCTGTTTAATCTGTTCTAAAACATATGATTTAACATGCTTTGACTCATCATTTGTTTCCATTGCTTTTTCCCTTAGATAAGATCACTTAAAAACAGTGTTAATCAGATAAAAGGAAGGACCATCCCACACATTTCAATGGGAAAAAAGCCAGTGGGCTCAGTGTACTGTGATATATGAATTGTTTTTGTGATTCCCATCATAAACGCTGCCTTAACTGTGTTATTTTTTTAACTATAAAGTAGAAAAAAATAAATTACTTTGCTCTTAAGGAGTATAAAGAAATATTGAAAGGAGTAAGATTTTTTGAAAAAAAGTTTGGTAGCCTAAAATATGTTTAGATAATATTGAAGTTTGTGAACTGCTAATTCAATGGTATTGTTTCAATCAAATTATAATGTAAAATATCTGTTATGTGTTTAAAGTATGTTTTACAGGTATAAACTAAGTTGAAGGCTTCCCAAAATAGAATATTAAATCTAGAAGGAATATTAGACATCTAGTCCAAATCTACCCACTTACAAAGGAGGGACTGAAGAATCTGAGAGTTTAAGGTTCAAGTGACTTGCTTAAAGCCACATCATTAATTAGTGAAAGAAGACTAGAGCACCCATTTCCAGACTGGAAGCCCACTGCTCTTTCTTGGTTTGACATACATGAAATATGAAATCACCCGTACCAGACAACTGGATACTGGCAAAATACATGTTACATATTTCATTTTGAGACAAAAGTGAAATTCAGATTATCCTACCATTTATCAAAGTGTATAATTAAAGCAACATACATCCATCTAGATACAAATCTGATTATGATTCGGTTAAAACAGTCTAAAAAGTGAATTAGGAAAATATACAACAATGAGAAAAATGAGGACCATGAATCAGAAAGCCAGCTTTACATTTGATTCAGTGAGGGTAATTTCATTTATTAAAATTGCTATGGCATTTATATTTTAACATAGTCATGTAACATGTGAGGATAATGTTAAAAATAGTTATAGTTTGCCTTATTTCTAGAGGGAGAAAAAATACTTTTCAGTAGTTCTAAAGAGGGAGAAAAAACAGTATTAGAAAAATTATAATTATAAAGGCCATAAAATATCTTCCTAACTGATAATGCATTTGATTAATAGAGGGAGAAAAATGGCTTATATATGTGCAGATATAAAAAGAGATGGCATTGCTAATATATCTAAGGCATCAAAGTTGTTTGTGGAATCTATAAACACAGGGACTTAGTTTTTCACACAGAGTACAATTTAATACGGTTTACTGAGTGGGAGTGGTTTTAAATGATAATTATTTTCCTGTCTTCTCTTATTAAGAAAATCAAAACAACAGTTTTGTCCCATTTTGCTGACACTGGTTTCTGTAGTGTGATTTCTATTGAAGCGGGAAAGAACAGAACATCATCTGTATCATTTTAAGAACTTGAGTTGTCTCCTAGAATTGTTTATAATTGCCCTTGCAAAAGAGAGCAGCCTCAGCAGGTTGGAAAATTACCAATCAGTCAACAAGTGTTTATTGAACTCCAGCTATGTGTTCAGAATAGTACTGAGTGGTATATAAAACATATTTTTCCCCCCTTGGGGACTTTCAGTGGAAGGAAGATTGTTGGGAATATTATCAACGCACATGGAATAAAGAGCAATTAAGTACCTTCATAATTAAATATGGTCTATCAGTGCAATTACATATCAGAAGGAAAAGATATCATTTTGAATAAGAGCAGCCTGAAGGCAACATGAGAGAGATAATAAAATCTCAAAATCATTAATGATGGAAACTGCTTTACTTGATCACTGTTCTTAAAGCAACCCATTCATCTGTTGGCTGCTCTGACTCTAGAAGAGATGCTCTTGACATTGACCTGAAACTTACCCCTCTTTTACCTCCAGCTATCCACCCATCTTTAGCTAACTCTCAGCTGTTCCAGCCCTTTCCTGTGGTGGAATTTTAATGCAGCAATAATATTCCCACATAGTATTCTCTCTTTATCCTGTCAGCAATGATAATGATGCCATCCTGATATTCATCATTTTTTTGCTCTATACTTTGTTAAAATCCCCTTAAATATAATATTCAGAAATAATACAACACTCCAAATAAGCATTGGCGAGTTAATAATACACAGGAAAAAAATCTTTTTCTTGATCTGAACACTATATTTCTTTAACTACAGAATAAGAGTATGTTAGTTTTATTGCCCGTATATAACCCTATCAGCTCATATTGAGTTTTAGCAAGTTTTATTTGACCTCTCCCATGAATTGCAGTCAAGCAAATTTGTAAGGACTTATAAATACAAGCGATGAATTTAATTGGAATGTAGACTTTATAGTTATTGCTGTTAAATGTTCCTTGTTGATTTCTGAATCATTATTCTAGCTTGGCAAAAAAAAAAAAATGGTGACTCATGACTCAACCATCCATAACATTAGCTTTTCCTCCTGAATTTACATTAACCACAAATTTAATAAATTAGATATCTGGTTTTTCAACAGACCTATACAATAATACTTTTCATAGGATTGTTGTGAGAATACAAATAAAATAAGATCATGAAAAAAGTATTTATCACAGTTTTTAGGAAACAGAAGTTCCATAAATGTCAGATTATTTTCCTTTCTTCAAAAAATATTTGAAAAGGACATAAGCAAGTTCAGAATCTCCTTCAGGATAAAATTTACCTACTTACCAAAACCCTTTGTGTCAACCTCCTACAATGTTCCCCAATTGTACTAACATCCAACCTCCACTTTTCCATCCTGGTCACAAATATATAATTGAAGACCACATTGATAAAATGTATCATTGTATCAGAATGTATATGACAGATAGAATGCATATGGGGAGTCAAAACATATAGAATTAAATAAACATAGGCCAGTCCTCTACAGAGTTATAAGCAAAAGCTGAGACACAGAAATATAATTGGTAAATTTAAAAGATGAAGGGATGGATATATGTTAGTGTGGGTTGAAGAATGGTAATTTGTGCTGGGTTTTAAAACAATAAAAGGAGATGGGAATTGATACAGAAAGCAATAGCAGCCACTGGATGACTTTATGTCAAGGTTTGGCAGAAAGAGGTGGGAGACACCAAAGTGTCTGCACAGGGTAAATATATTAGGCATATAAGTTAGAGAAGACTTTCATGGAGGTAGGAGGTAAGCTACTGTAATAATAGAGGCCAGAAGCAATGAAAATCTAGTTTGAAATAATGGTAATGATAACCGAGTAAAAGTTGTGACTTCTGAATTCACCCATTATGGACAATGAAGAAGAAGGCAAATTCAATAATTTTCAGAATCATGCCACTAAGAAATTTATAAGACGGAAAGGAAAGAACATTTGAGCCATATTATGGAATAAAACAAATTTAATTTTTATAATTTTCAATGTGTGGGGCTTTGACCATTGCATCAGCATTATGTAAGAATTTATTAGAAAAGCCAATTCATAGGATCTTGCTTAGACATACTGAATTCACCAATACTGGTGTGTTGGTGATGGTGGCAGGGCAGGGTGAGAACAGAACTAATCTGTAACGTTGAAGATTTCTGACTTTTCTGATTTTTGTACTCCCACCATGGCCAGTTTCAAGTCACTGGTGACATAGAGTTGTGAATAAAAGTGCACATTCTGCTCCCCAGACTCTCTACTAGGCCACTCATGCACACCACTGGCTCCAGGTGAATCTGTAGTTTGCATCAGAATCAGCTGGATGATGATCAAAACACAGTTGGACCACATCACCAAAGTTTCTGTTTCTTTAGATCTAGGGTAGGGCCTCAATATTTGCATTTCTAAGTTTCCAGGTGATTTTGATACTCCTGGTCTGGGGACCACACTTTGAATATCACTACTTTAAGTGTCCCTTAAGCCACCTTATTTAGAAATTTAATTAGCATACAGAGCCGTAATTGCCAAAGTCACATTGAATCAAAGTGTTTTTATTACTTCTGTTTGTGACCAAAATCCAAAAAAGCAGTCTCAAGTTCTCATCATACTTAAGGTCTCAAGCAGGAATTGCCATAGGTTAAACATATCCTTCTTGAAACTATTTCCTTAGTGTTCCACTATCCACAATCTCGTGATTCTCTTTTTCCTTCTTTGGCTATTCATTCTCAGTTGTTTTCTGTAGATTACTCCTTCCCTGATAGCTGAATTTTGAACTAGGCCTCATTGCTTTCCTTTTCTGATGGCTGAATCCTCCCTCTATGTTATATTATCCCTATCCCATCCAATGGTTTTAAATATCAAAATGTTAACAACTCCAAGTTTTCCTGCCTAAAGTTCTTCTCTGAACTTCAAAGTAGAAATATCTCTTCCACCTGACACTTCCATTTGGGTATCTGAAACAATACTGACCAAACGGAATTTGTTTCTCCCCTGCACCTCATGACATCTCCTCAAATCTTTCCCAGCTCAGTAAATGGCAACACTATCCACTGTGATGCTCTGACCTGGAACCCCAGAGAGTCTACACCTCATCTTGCCCTTTTAGCACATTCTACATCCACTAATTCCTATTACCACTCTTTCCAAAACATTTTCTCAATGTGACAAGTTTCATTGTTTCCACAACCACCACCTTTGGTTAGTCCACTATGATTCTTTCCCAGACAATTTCAATAGCTTCCTACTTCCATCTTGTACCCTTATAATCCATTTGTCATACAGCCATCATGGATCTGATTAAATTCTTCCTGTTTTACTGCAGTACCCTTAGAATGAAATCTCCTTCCAAAGCATAGCCCTACATGACCTGGTCCTTGCCCTATCTTCCCTATTCCCTACTCAAGTCTGCATCTCTTCATTCAAACAGGTTGCAGTCATCCCATCTGGATGCTTTTGCATTTGTTTCTTCTGCCTGAAAAGCTCTTCTCCTAGAATTGTACACGGTTTTTTCCTTTATGCTATAAAACTGTCAATTCAAATGTCACCATCTGTAGCAAGGCATTTTTGTTTTTTGCACACAGTCCTTTTCTATTTCATAATTTATCTGATTTTCCTGATATGGTAGCATGTAGTATGGTAGGCAACAGTATGGATTATAAAGCCAGATCATCTAAGTATGAATCTTAACTCTTGAGCTTCTTTCTCTAAATTAGGCAAGTTACAAGAATCTTTTGTACTTCACTTTCCTTATCTTTAAAAATGTATACATAATAATATCTGCCATATAAGTTTATTGTAAGGATTAAATGAGTTAATATATAAAAATTATTTATAACTGCATCTGGCACATATAAGAACTACATGCATGTTAGCAATTATTATCCACAATTATCTCGTTTGAGTGATATCAGCGAGATTGTGGAACTGGAGATCCCAGCCCTCAACCCCCAGAAGAAACAACAATTTTAACAAACACCCATGGTCAAAAATACCTTTATGTGAGCTCAAGAATCCAGCTAAGATTCCACTGTTCCAGCATCACAGTGGAACGACAACAACAACCAAAATCCAAGAATAGACGCATTAAAAAGCACAAGAAAAACAATTTCACTTTACCTATCTCACCAAGTGCCAAGAGAGACCCATAAAAGATGCATTTAGTTTGAATGTAGACTTTATAGTTATTGCTGTTAAATATTCCTTGTTGATTGATTGATCTTATTTATTATTATTATTATTATTATTATTATTTGAGACAGAGTCCTGCTCTGTCACCCAGGCTGGAGTGCAGTGGCGCGTTCTTGGCTCACTGCAGCCTCTACCTCCCGGGTTCCAGCAATTCTCCTGCCTCAGCCTCCTGGGTATTACAGGCGCATGCCACCACATCCAGCTAATTTTTGTATTTTTAGTAGAAACGGGGTTTCACCATGTTGGCCAGGCTGGTCTCAAACTCCTGACCTCAGGTGATCTGCCTGCCTCAGCCTCCCAAAGTGCTGGGATTATAGGCGTCAGCCACCGCACCCAGCCTGTTGATTTATTTTTTAAAAGAGACAGTCTTAATCTGTTGCCCAGGCCAGAGGGAAGTAGTAGGATCATGTGTCACTGCAGCCTCAAACTCCTGGGCTCAAATGATCCTCCCCCCTTAGCCTCTTGACAAGATGGGACTACAGGAGTGCACCACTGTACTTAGCTAATTTATTTATTTATTTATTTATTTATTTGTAGAGACGGGTTTCACTGTGTTGCACAGACTGGTCTTAAACTCCTGGCCTCAAGTCATCCTCCTCAAGTCATCCTCGACTTCCCAAAGTGCTGAAATTACAGATGAGAGCTACCATGCCCAGCCTCCTTGTTGACTTTTGACTCATTTTTCAAGTGCAGCAAGATATGGTGACTCAATAACTCAACTGACCCTCGTCCTACAATTTCTCTCATGAAGAAAAGTGGGAGCAGCTTCCTTCCTTCCAAGGAGACCCACTTCTGTCTCATCCCACCCAGAATACTAAGGGGATTAGCAAAATGAAATAATCTTGGGGACACTAGGAACAGGGTAAGGGGGTAGGGGCCGTGGCAGCCTGTATGAATATCTCAACAACTGGCCATAAATCCCACTGGCTGGTTCATGATGGTCTCCACTAGGATCTCTACCCATGACCCCTGTGGACTCCCCCAGCTAACTGATATGTATTCCCAGGATTCCATGCCCCTCAACTAAAATGGTTAGAGCCCTGCTGTCTACTACATATGGTACCCTATGCTCACCCACAGACAAAACATTGAGCCTTTGCAAGACAGCATGTGCAAGCTCCCAAAGATGGCAAGCAAATACCAGCAGCTGGCTTGACTCTGCTGGATTGGGAGGAGTCATACTATATTAAACAATTCAGGACACTGTCTTAAGGAAAATAAGTGAGAGTCTCTTAGCAACAAGCCTGGCTTTGCATGATCAAGAGAATATACAAAATCTAAATACTTACCTCTTTGAAGAGAAAAGAGAAATAGAGTGGGTGCCTCTACATACAAAAAGGTCTGAAAGACCCCCAAAATCTCCAACGGGGCTGACTGGTCAAGGTTTTTCTTTCCTAATATCAGACAGTAAACACTGAAGGAGATGACTCCTTCTTCAAATGTGAAGACACCATCAAACAGCTTCAAGAAACACAAAGAGTCAAAGAAACGCAACACCACCAAAGGAACAAAATAAAGTTCCAGTGACTAATCCCAAGGAAATAGACATCTAACAATTGTCTAACAAAGAATTCAAAATAATTGTTTTAAAAAAGCACAGTGAACCACCAGAGAACACAGATAGATACCTAAATAAAATCAAGAAAACAATACATGAACAAAATGAGAAGTTCAACAAAAAGATGGAAACATATTAATAAAAAAGAACAAGACAAATTCAGCAGAAGAATAAAATTAATGAAATGAAAAAATATAATAGTAAGCTTCAATAGCAGACTCAAGCAGAAAAAAGAACCAGTGAATTCAAAGACAGACCATTTAAAATTCTCCAGTCACAGAAATAAAGGAAAAAGAATGAAGAAAGCCTATGGGAATTATGGGATTCCATCAAGCAAACTAATAGCTGCATTATGGGAGCCCTATAAGCAGCAGAGAAAAAGGCAGAAAGCATATTTAAAGAAATCATAACAGAAGTCTTTCCAATCTGGGGAGTAAAATGAACACCAGATCTATGAAGCCCAAAGGATTCATAAAAAAGCCTTCACTGGGACACATTATAATCATATTATTCAGTGGGACACATTATAATCATATTATTAAAATTGAATGACACCCATGTCTGTAATCTCAGCACTTTGGTAGGCTGAGGCAGGAGGATCACTTGAGCCCAGGAGTTAAAGGTCAGCCTGGTCAACATGGCATTTTATTTCATACATATATATATATATATATATATATATATATATATATATATATATTTATTAAAAATTTTAAAAATAACAAATAAATAATAAAAATCAGTTACAAGAAACTCTGAACACAGAAAGAGAAAAACAACTTGTCACATACAAAGGAACCCTCATGAGATTATCAGTTGGTTTTTGTGCAGAAAACTTGCAGGCACAGGAGAGTGCGGATGATATACTCCAGGTACTGAAAGACAAAAAAATCTGTCAATCAATGATACTTTACTTGGAAAAGCTGTCCTTCCAAGAAATAAAAGATAAAGACTTTTCCAGAAAAGCAAAATCTGAGAAACTTCACCACCATTAGACCTACCTTACAAGAAATGGGAGTTATTTAATATTTTATTTGAAACAAAAGAAGGTTAATTAGCAACATTAAATATATGAAAGTATTAAACACTATTACACCGCTATTAGACACCGTTAGAAAAGAAAATCAGAGGCCAATATCCCTGATAAATGTAGATGCAAAAATCCTCAAAAATTACTAGCAAACCAAATTTAATAGCACATTAAAAGGAACATTCAACATGAAGAAGTGGGATTTATCCCAGGAATTCAAGAATACATAAATCTGTAAATGTAATATATCACATTTACAAAATGAAGGACAAAAAAAATAACATCTCAATAGATGAAGAAAAAAGCATTTGATAATATTTGACATTCTTTTTTGATAAAAACTCTCGACAAACTAGGTATAGAAGGAATATACCTCAACACAGTAAAGTCCATTTATGACAAATCCACAGCTAACATCACACTCAATGATGAAAATTTGAAAGCTTTTACTCTAAGATCAGGAATAAGACAAGGATGCCCATTCTCATCAGTTCTATCCAACATTGTACTGGAAGTCTTACCCAGAGCAATTAGACAAAGGAAAGAAATAATTGGCATCCAAATTGGAAATGAGGAAGTCAAATTGTTCTTGTTTGTAGACAACATGGTCTTATATATAGAAAACCAGAAAAACTCCACCAAAAACTGTTAGAACTAATAGGCAAATTCAGTAAAGTTGCAGGATTCAGAACATATGAAGAATCAGTTGAGTATCTATACACTAATGATGAACTACAAATCAAGAGAATAATTATATTTACAATAGCTACATAAAGAACAAAATACTTAGGAATAAATCTAACTGGAAAGATGAAAGACCTGGATACTAAAAACTAGAAAAAATTGATGAAAGAAATTTAAGAAGATATAAAGAAATGGAAAGATATCTGTGTTCAATGATTGGAAGAATTAATATTGTTGAAATATTTGTACTATCCTAAGTGATCTATAAATTCACTGCAATCTTTATCAGAATCCCAGTGGCATTTTTTACAGAAAGAGAAAAAAACTGTAAGTCATATGGAACCACAAAATACACCAAATAACCAAAGCAATTTTCAGCAAGAAGAACAAATCTAGAGGCATCACACTCCCTGATTTTGAAATTATATCACAAAGGTATAGTAATCAAAACAATATGGTACTGGCATAAAAACAGACACATAGACCAATGGAATAGATTAGAGACCCCAGAAATAAACCCTTGCATATACACATTTGTTATAAAAGCTTGAGAAAGCTACAAAGAACTGCAACAAATGACTGAAATCATACTTTTGTTCAGGCTTTCAAATATTTGCCTTTGAATTCCATGATTTCTAGGCAGCATCTGGCAGAAACTGAAATAATGATTATTATTTATTGACAGTTGACAGTATATTCCACTCAGAGAGGCAAAGACTTCAATGGAAAGATAGCTGTCAACTCTTTATTAACATCCACAAAGCTTGGTTCATAGGCACAGGCCATAAACTTAAGTATTCGCTTAAGAGAAAAACCATGAATTATTTCTGGAATGCTGACAGACAGTTTTGCAGTCATGGCTGTACTATTCCCTTCAATTTTTGGCCCATTTCTCCTAGGCTGCCCCCATGCTAGAGTTTGCTTTTCTATCCCAGAACTCCTATACTTTGGATTACCCATGAAATATTTCTTGTTACACAACAATACATTCTGAAAAAATACAGTAACACCATATAAGCCTCTGAAAACTCATTACAGGTGTTTTTCTTTTCTTCTTCTACTTTTTTTTTAATTGGGTGGGAATGAGTGACCTCAAAGTGTCTTAGGAAATGAGTTCCAGTGTTTGCTTTAAGTCCTTCAAAAGAAACTGCACCATAAGCAAAGAAACTGTTCACCACAGTTCCTTCCAGACTTACACCATGCCAGTCCACATATTAAGTAACTCTCTGGCCTCCACTTACCACCAACATAATTCAAATATCTTCAACATCACCACCAAAAATATTCAATAGCACCTATATGTGAGACAGAGTAAGTGTACATTCTCTTAGGTCACTATGTTACCTAGAGCTAAAGTCTTTGGGAAATGTTCACTTCTTATTCAATTATTCATTTTTAGCTAATAACTTGCCAGATTAGAAAAATGACTTAAGATAGTACAAAGTCATTGTTGATATGGAAATAAATAATAAAAAACAAAGTAGACAAAAGAAGCATATTTAACAACCAGGCTAACACAGTTGCTGAGATAGAACCTCAAATTTATGTTGAACTCACCTATAATAACAACCTAAAGAGGAACACATTAAGTTATATAATTTATTTAATGATTAAAGATCCGATATTCAGAAAAATGGTTTTTCATGATAGTAAATTATTTAAAAATTAGGTATATTGCCCTGGATCCTAAGCAGAAAGTTTTAATACAAAATATTATTTTAAAGAAAATAAGAACATATACCTTGAAATAATGTAATTTTTAAAATTCAGTCAAATTGTTTTTTCCAGTATCACTCATGTGCGTGTTCAAGGGACCATATATTGCTCTAATACCTTGAAATATACACTTTTATACCCAAACACCACCCATAAAAATCAGCCTTTTAATTTTTAGTCAAAAGCTTTGACTACTAGATTTTTGAAAATATTATGCCAAAATTGCATAACACACTGATCCATCATTTTTTACCTGAGGGAGTTCCTGTTAAGTAAATAAGGATGTTAAATGATTTGGCAAGAACTGTATTTTAACTTCCTCCCCCTCTTTGCTGTGTAATCTTACAGAACCCCCAAAATCTCTCTTGGTATCAAATCTTACCAAGTATGATACAGAAATTGTAAAGCCTGTTTTAATAATAAAGTGATACATAAATGTCAAGTAATATTGGCATCCTTTCTAATGGAGCTAAGGCCTTCAATTATGAAATAGCAAGCCCTAAATATATGACAGTCAAAAGCATTGCAGACTTAAATGTTGAAAAGTAAGATTCCTGGGATATTTTCTTTATCACGTCTTTTACAGCAAGGGGTAGTAGAAAAGTCTATGTTCTTTGGAGAATTACACAATTATGAGTAAATTAAACTCTGATGAAATAATTCTAAAACCAAGAAAATTATTAGTGTTCAAATCCTAAAGCATTTTTTTTTGTTCTTTAACTTTGGAGTAGTCACCTAAAATCTCTGAATTTCTTCTTCTTTATAATAGAATGAGCCCAGTAATGTGTATGTCACAATACCATTGCAAGAATTAAATATGGTAGCTCTAGGAAAGTACCTGCCAGATCTCAGATGCATGAGAAGAGGTCATCTTTTCCTTTATAAACTTTCTTACCAAACGCACAACCATAGCATGCCCAGAAGGTATCTACATGTTCAAAAGCAGATTCATGACTTTAATTTAGCATTCAACGAGCAGAAATTGAGAAATTGAAAAAAAAGTAGTTTATTTTGTGAGATATCTAACTCATGTTGCCCTCCATTAGGCAAAAAGTAGAATTTTATTGTGCTATAAGTACAGTTATTTTATTTCTGCATAAGCATGACAGAGATTAAAGTTATTTTTAAAATAATAAACTATGCAATATCATATTGATAGCTTGCTAATTACTAGAAACAACATTTGACTCTCAAGTTCTCCAAAACCAGTTCATTCTTTCTATGGAGCAATTACCTTATAGCTTCTGGATCTCAATGTAGTTCTGTTTCAGCTCCCTAGACCAAGTTTCTGCACACTGTCTGTTATACTAACCATCTGTAATGGGAGGACTGCTTAGACTGTTTTAAATTACCCTTGTCACATTCTCCTTGGGTAATCCAAAATGACAAATCTTATTTTACAGAATATTGCTAACAAACGCAGCCTTAGAACAGAAAAAAATAGAAAGTATAGGATGAAAAAATAATGACTATTGGTGTACATATAATAGACTTAGTGACATTCATGCTTAAGTCTGTTTCATTGCTTTTTAACACTACCTTTCCCAGATCGTCGCCCCAACCAGCTTATATACTCCAAGAAATCTGGAGTGAACTGCCAGTCCTAAACTTTTAGGTTCAGTGTAGATATGAAATTAGAATACTCTCTTCTTGAAAAGAAATACAGAAAACCTCTCTAAATCTAAATTAGGATGTAGGGGACACTAGCATTGTCAGTTATGACACATAAAATGAGAGTGCAGAGACTTTCAGTTATAGAACTACAATTTGTAATCTTGATTGTAGTACAAGGAAGAGGATGAATGATTGCTTAGATTTGTATAAGGTCTTTTGGTTGGAAAACTTGTCATGACTGGGTATAGAAGTTCTTAGGATCTATGGGCATGGGTAATTTTCATATTAACCCTCAAGACAAGGTTCTGGGAAGAAATAGTCAGACATTCTCCATTTGGTTAAACATCCTACTACAAATGACATTTCATTTCAGCCTCACATTTAAAATGACATTTAAAAATAATGTTATGAACAAAATATTTTTCAGCACTAACATTACCTTCTGAATTACATAAAAGTATCTTAAGTTTTAAAGCTTTTTTTAAAAAAACTGTTTATGTATTTAAGGTTAATCTAAGTGTGAACCACCTACAAGTCCAGGATATCTTATTTACTTACTGATTAATAATCAGTGAAAGCTCATACTAATATTTAGCTCCACAAGCTTGAGTTCACTATATAAAAACATACTTTAGAAAATGCTGCTAGAATTGCTTAAAAGCCTACTGCACTATGTAGATTCTGAAGACAAAAGGCAATATTGAAAAATTACCCTGATACCAACACCAGAGAGACTCAACAAAAAAAGGAAACCGCAGACCAATATATCTGACACACATAGATGCAAAAATTTTCAACAAAATATTAGCAAACAAAAATCAATAATACATTAAAAAGATCATTCACCATGACCAAGTAGGATTCATCCCAGGGATGCAAGAATCTTTTAACATGTGCAAATCAAAAAATGTGATACAGCATATCAACAGAATCAAGGACAAAAACCCTATGATCCTTTCAATAGATACTGAAAAAGCTTTTGATAAAATTCCATATCCCTTTATGATAAAAATCTTCAACAAATTTTGCATAGAAGAAATATACCTCAACACAATAAAGGCCATATGTGACAAACCTATAGCAATCATAGTGAATGGGGAAAACTCTAAGCCTTTTCACTAAGACCTGGAACAAGTCTACGATGCCCACTTTTGCCAATTTTATCCAACATAGTACTGGAAGTTCTAGTCACGGCAACTAGGCAAAAGAAACAAAGAAAGGGCATCCAAATTAAAAAGGAAGAAAGTCTAATTATCCTCGTTTGTATATAGCGTGATTTTATATTTAGAAAGGCCTATTATACCAAAAAATTCTTGGAATAGATCAATAAATTTAGCAAAGCTTCAGGATACAAAACCAAGACACAAAAATTAATAGTGTGTCTGCAAACTAACAGTGATCAATCTGAAAATAAAAAACAAGAAAGCAGTAACATTTACAATAGCTAAAAATATATATCACACATAAGAATAAATTTAATGAAGAAGTAAAAGGTCTTTGCAAAGAAAACTGTAAAACACTGATGAAATAAATTGAAGAGGACACAAAAAAATGGAAACATATTCTATGCTCATGGATTTGAAGAATTAATATTGTCAAAATGTGTCTACTACCTAAAGTGATCTACAGATTCAGTAGAATCCTTATCAAATATTAATGATATTCTTCAGGTAATTACAAAAAAATCCTAAAATGTGTATGGACACAAAAGACTGAATAGTTAAAGCAATCCTCAGTAAAAAATGCAAAGCTCGACATCATACTACATGGTTTTCAATTGTACTACAAAGCTATAGTAACTAAAACAGTATGGTACTAGCATGAAAAAAGGCATATAGAACAATGGAACAGAATAGAGAATACAGAAATAAACCCACACTATTACAGCCAACTGATTTTTGACAAGAGTGCCAAAAGCATACATCAGGGAAAGACAGTCTCTTTAATAAATGGTGCTGAGAATATTGTATATTCATATGCAGAAGAATAAGAGTAGATTCCCATCTTTCACCATATACAAAAATCAAATAAAATTATATTAAAAACATAAACATAAGATCTGAAACTATGAAGCTTCTAGAAGACAATATTTGGAAAACAGTATAGGACACTGGTCTGGGCAAAGATTTTTTTAGGTAAGACCTCAAAAGCAAAGGTGAAAAAAGCAAAAATAGACCAATGGGATCATATCAAGTTAAAAAAGCTACTGCATAGCAAAGAAAACAATTAACAAAGTAAAGCGACAACCTACAGAATGGCAGAAAATTATTTAAAAACTATCCATCCAACAAGGGATTAATAACCAGAACATATAAGGAACTCAAGCAGCTCAGTAGCAAAAACAAAGAACAAAAACAAAAACAAAAAATCCAATTAAAAAATGAGCAATAATCCCCATGCTAACACCACCACCAGTGTGACTGCATGCACATTCGCCAGCAGGGGCCCCCCGTTCCCCTGACTCATGCTGCCTCCACCGCTGTGGTGAATGTCCGCATGGAGGCAGGTACACTGACACCCATTAGCACCCTGCTGCAGCCGATGAGCGTGCACCCTGCCATGCTGTGGCTGCCACTGCTGCTGACATACGCGGATGAAGACAGATCCTGCTGTCACCATACTACGAAATGCTTTGGCTGACACCACCCATCAGAGAGTACTGACCAGCATTCTGGGAGTACCTCGGCCCCCTAGTGTAGCAGATTTCTAACCTCAAAGAACCAAAGAACACTCTCAGGTCACCATACTACTCCCCCAGAGTTACAGCACCCAGTACAGGAGCTGAGAGCTAAGTGTTCACTCCCTAAAGTCTTCCAGAAACAAAGCCAGTTGGCAGAATTCACTTCATAGCATAATCAAACCCTCAGGGTCATCAAATAGGATAAAAGCAAAAAAAAAAAAAAATCCAAAGGTCAACAACTTCAATGACTGAAGAAACATTAGTCCACAAAGATGAGAAACAACCAACACAAGAACTCCAACAACTCAAAAAGCCAAAGTGCCTTTTGTCCTAAAAATGACCACATCACCTCTCCAGCAGGGGTTCTGAACTGGGCTGAGATGGCGGAAATGACAGAAGTAGAATTCAGAATATGGATAGGAACAAAGATCATTAAGATGCAGGAGTACATTGAAGCCTAATCCAAGGAAGCTAAGAATCAGAATAAAACAACAGAAACGGACAGACAAAATAGCCAGTATAGAAAAGAATGTAAGCAACATGATAGAGCTAAAAAACACACTACAAGAATTTCATAATGCCATCACAAGCATTAATCGTAGAATAGACCAAGTTGAGGAAAGAATCTCAGAGGCTGAAGACTAGCTTTCTAAAATAAGACAGTCAGAAAAGAATAGAGAAAAAAGAATGAAAAGGAATTAATAAAACCTAAGATAAATATGAGATTATGTAAAGAAACAAAATCTATGACTCATTGGTGTCCCTGAAAGAGACAGAAAGAGTATAAGCAACTTGGAAAACATATTTCAGGATATCATCCATGAGAACTTCTCCAACCTAGCTAGAGAGGCCAACATTCAAATTCAGGAAATGCGAAGAACCCCAGTAAGATACTTCACAAGAAGATCGCTCCAAGACATACAATCATCAGATTCCTCAAGGTCAAAATGAAAGAAAAAATGTTAAAGCTGCTAGAGAGAAAGGCCAGGTAACCTACAAAGGGAAGCCCATCAGACTAACAGTGGACCTTTCAGCAGAAACCCTACAAGCCAGAAGAGACTGGGGGCCAATATTCGACATTCTTATAGAAAGGAAATCTCAACCCAGAGTTTCATATCCAGCCAAACTAAGCTTCATAATTGAGGTAGAAATAAGATCCTTTTCACACAAGCAAATACTGATGGAATGTGTTGCCACCAGACCTGCCTTACAAGAGCTTCTGAAGGAAGCACTAAATGTGGAAAGACTGTTACCAGCCACTACAAAAACACACTTTTAAATATACAGACCAGTGACACTATAAAGCAACCACACAAACAAGTTTGCACGCTAACCACCTAACATCATGATGACAGGATCGAATCCACACATACCAATACTAACCTTAAATGTAAATGGGCTAAATGCCCCAATTAAACACAGAGGGGCAAGCTGAATAAAGAACCAAGACTGATTTCACATGCAATGACACCCATAGGCTCAAAATAAAGGAATGGAGAAAAATTTACCAAATAAATGCAAAACAGAAAAAAGGGAGGTTGCAATCCTAATTTCAGATAAAACAGACTTTAAACCAAAGATCAAAAAAGACAAAGAAGGACATTATATAACAGTAAAGGGTTAAATACAACAAGAAGACCTCACTATCCTGAATATATATGCACCCAACACAGAGGCGTCCAGATTCACAAAAGAAAGTTCTCTGAGACCTTCAGAATCTTAGGCTCCCACACAATAATACTGGGAGACTTCAATACCTCACTGACAGTATTAGATCATTGAGGCAGAAAATTAACAAAGATTTTCAGGACCTGAACTCAGCACTGGATCAAACGGACCTGAGAGACATCTACAGAACTCTCCACTAAAAGCAAGAGAGAATACATTCTTCTCATCACCACATGGCACATACCCTGAAATAAATCATACAATCAGACATAACACACTCCTCAGCAAATGCAAAGTAACTGAAATCATAACAATCACTCTCTCAAACTACATCGCAATCAAATTAGAAATCAAGCCTAAGAAATTCACTCAAAACCATATAATCCATGGAAATTCATTACATGAATAACCTACTCCCAAATGGCTTTTGGGTAAATAATGAAATTAAGGCAGAAATCAACAAGTTCTTTGAAACTAATGAGAACAAAGATACCTCACGCCAGCATCTCTGGGACACAGCTAAGACAGTATTAAGAGGACAATTTATAGCACTAAATGTCCACATCAAAAAGTTAGAAAGATCTCAAGTTAACAACCTAACATCACAACTAAAAGAAGTAGGGAACCAACAGAAAACCAAACACAAAGCTAGCAGAAGAAAAGAAACAAATCAATCCAAATTAGAGCTGAATTGAAGGAGACTGAGACACCAAAAAGCATTCGAAAGATCAACGAATCCAGGAGTTGGTTTTTTGAAAAAATTAATAAGTTAGATAGACATCTAGCTAGACTATCAAAGAAGAAAGGAGAGAACATCCAAATAAACACAATTAAAAATGACAAAGGGGATATTACTGCTGACCCCACAGAAATACAAATAATCATCAGAAAACACTATGACCACCTCTACGCACATAAACTAGCAAATATAAAAGATGTGGATAAATTCCTGGACACAGACACCCTGCCAAGACAGAGCCACGAAGGAACTGAATCCATGAACAGACTAATAATGAGCTCTGAAATTGAATCAGTAATAAATAGCCCACCAATCGAAGAAAATGCAGGATCAGATGGATTAACGACCTCATTTTACCAGATGTCCAAAGAAGAGCTGGTATCATTCCTCCTGAAACTATTCCAAAATATTGAGGAGAATGGACTCCTTCTAACTCATTCTATGAGGCTACCATCATCCTGAAACCAAAACCAGGCAGAGACAACCAAAAAAAAAAAAAAAAAAAAAAAAGCAAGAAAGAAAAGAAACTTCAGGCCAATGTCTTTGATGAATTTTGAGGTAGAAATCCTCAACAAAATACCTGCAAACTGAATCCAGCAGCACATCAAAAAGCAAATGCATGATGATCAAGGAGGCTTCATGCCTGGGATGCAAGGTTGATTCAAATCAATACATGTGATTTATCATATAAGCAAATTAAAGACAAAAACCACATGATTATCTCAATAGATGCAGAAAAGGCTTTCAATAAAATTCAGTATCACTTTTATGTCAAACATGCTCAATAAACTAGGTATTGAGAAAACATACTTCAAAATAATAACAGTCATCTATGACAAACACACAGTCAACATTAAACTGAATGGGCAAAAGCTGGAAGCACTTCCTTGAAAACCAGCACAAGATAAGGATGCTCTGTCTCACCATTCCTTACCTAACATAGTATTGGAAGTCCTGGCCAGAGCAATCAGGGAAGAGAAATAAATAAAGGGCATGTAAACAGGAAGAGGGAAAGTTAAGTTATTCCTGTTTGCAGATGACATGATCCTATATCTAGAAAATCCCACAGTCTCAGCTCAAAAACTTAAGCTAATAAAAAAACTTCAGCAAAGTCTCAGGATACAAAATTAATGTACACAAATCACTACCATTCCCATACATCAACAACAGTCAAGTCAAGAGCCAAATCAGAAATGCAATCCCATCCACAATTGCCACAGAAAGAATAAAATATCTGGGAATACAGGTAATCGGGGAGGTGAAAGGTCTCTACAATAAGAATTACAAAACACTGCTCAAAGAAATCAGAGATGACACAAACAAATGGCGAAACGTCCCATGCTCATGAATAGGAAGAATCAAAATTCTTAAAATGACCATACTGCCCAAAGCAATTTATAGATTCAATGCTATTCCTATTAAACTACCAATGACACTCTTCACACAACTATAAAAAAAACTATTTTAAAATTCATATGGAACAAAAAGAGCCCGAATAGCCAAGACAATCCTATGTAAAAAGAGTAAAGCTGGAGGCAACATGCTACTAGCTTCAAACTATGCTACAGCACTACAGTAAAAAAACAGCACACCAAAATAAAAACAGAGACCAATGGAATAGAATAGAGTATCCAGAAATAAGGCTGCACACCTGCAACCATCTGATCTTCAAAAAAAAACTGACAAAAAACAAGCAATGGGAAAGGATTCCCTGTTCAATAAATGGTGCTGAGATAACTGGCTAGCCATACGCAGAAGGTTGAAACTGGACCCCTTCCTTACACCATACACAAAAATTAATTCAAAATGGATTAAACATTTAAATGTAAAACCCTAACCAATAAAAACCCTGGAAGACAACCTAGGCAATACCATGTTGGACACAGGAATGGGCAAAGATTTCATGACAAAGACACTAAAAGCAATTACAACAAAAGAAAAAATTGACAATTGGGATATAATTAAACTAAAGAGCTTCCGCACAACAGAAGAAACATTCAACAGAGTGTAACAGAAAACTTACAGAATGGGAGATACATTCTGCAAACTATGCATCTGACAAAGGTCTATTATCTTTTTTTTTCTTTTTTTGAGACAGAGTCTCACTGTGTCGCCCAGGCTGGACTGCAGTGGTGTGATCTCAGCTCACTGTAACCTCCACCTCTCAGGTTCAAGTGATCCTCCCACCTCAGCCTCCCAAGAAGCTGGGACCACAGGTATGTGCCACCATGCCAGGCTAAATTTTTTTTGTATTTTTAGTAGAGATGAAGTTTCACCATTTGGCCAGGCTGATCTTGAACTCCTGACCTCAAGCAATCTGCCCTCCTCAGCCTCCCAAAGTGCTGGGATTACAGTTGTCAGCCATCGCACCCAGCCAAAGGTCTATTATCTAGTATGTATAAGAAACTTATACAAGCTTACAAGAAAAGAAAAAGCAACCCCATTAAAAAGTGGGCAAGGTACATGAACACTTTTCTAAAGAAGACATACATGTGGCCAAAAAAATATGCAAAACGCTCAACATCACCTATCATTAGAGAAATACAAATCAAAACCACAATCAAATGCTATCTCACACCAGTCAGAATGGCTATTACTAAAAAGTCAAAAAATAACAGATGCTAGCAAGGTTGCAGAGAAAAAGGAACTTAGACACTGTTGGTGGGAGTGTAAATTATTTCAACCATGTGGAAAACAGCATGGTGAATCCTCAAAGACCTAAATTCAGAAATACCATTTGACCCAGCAATCCTAGTGCTGGGTATATATCCAAAGGAATATAAGTCATTCTATCATAAAGACACATGTATGTGTATGTTCATTGCAGCACTATTCACCATAGCAAAGACAAGGAATCAACTCACATGTCCATCAATTGGCAGACTGCATAAAGAAAATGTGGTACATATACACCATGGAATACTCTGCAGCCATAAAAAAGATTGAGATCATGTCCTTTGCAGTAACATGGATGGAGCTGGAGGCCATTATTCTTAGCAAACTAACATGGAACAGAAAGCCAAATACTTCATGTTCTTACTTATAAGTGGAAGCTAAATGAGGAACACAGATGGACACATAGAGGGAAACAATAGACACTGGTGCCTGCTGAAGAGTAGAGGATGGGAGGAGGAAGAGGATTAGGGAAAATAACTAATGGGTACTAGGCTTAATACCTGGGTGACAAAATAATCTCCAGGAATAGACTTCATGTGTATCTTTTGAATAGCCTCCAGTTTTTGTGTAAAAATACCCATGGGGGGGCTATGTTCCTGGAGCAATGCTTCAGGCCCCGTGACATGAGCTTACCCTATGTAACAAACCCGCACATGTACCCCTGAACTTAAAAGTTTTTTTAAAAAGGTCAGATAGTAACTATTTTAGGTTAGGTGGATGGTCTCTTTCCTTGTTGTATGAAAGCAACCCTAGACAATAAATAAAGGAACTCACATGGCTGTGTTTCAATAACAGTTTATTTAGACATGTTGGGGAAAAAAAAGTCCCAAAGACCTGAATAAACATTTCTCAAAAGAAGACATAAGAATGTTCAACATAACTAGTCATCAAGGAAATTCAAATCAAACCCCAATGAGATACAATCTCAGGCCAGTTAGAATAGCTATTATTAAAAGGACAAAAAATAACACTAGCAAGGATGTGGAGAAAGGGGAATGCTCATACATTGTTGGTGGGAATATAAAGTCATACGGTAAATATGGAAAACTGTATGGAGGTTTCTCAAAAAACTAAAAGTAGAAGTACCATATGATCCAGCAATCCCAATGCTGGATATATAGCCCCAAAGAAAGGAAATCAATATGTTAAAGAGGTATCTGTACTCCCATGTTTATTGCAGCACTGTTCACAATAGCCAAAATCCATATTTTGTTAATGAACCTAAGTGTTCATTAACAGATGAATAAATAAAAAAATGTGGCATATGTGTGTGTATATACATGCACACATACAATGGAATATTATTCAGCCACAAAAAAATGAAATCCTGTCTTTTGCAGCAATACAGATTGAACTGGAGGTCACTATGTTAAGTAAAATAAGCTAGGCACAGAAAGACAAATATTGCATGTTCTTATTCACTAAAACTGTGGATCTCATGGAGGTAGAATGGCGGTTACCAGAGGCCGGAAAGAGAATAAGGGGCAGTGAAGAGAAGTTGGTTAATGGGTACAAAAATAGTTAGATAGAAAAAGTAAGTTCAGGTATTAGATAGTACAGTAGGAAAATTATAATTGACAATAACTTATTATATGCTTCAAATAGCTAGAAGTGAAGAATTGTAGAGTCTCCAACACAAAAAAGGATAAATATTTGAGGTGTTGGATATTCCAATTACCCTGATTTGATTATTACATATTGTTTATGTATCCAAATATCATATGTACCCCCAAAATATATATAACTATGATATACCAATTAATAAACACACAAATAAAGAAAAAAATAACTGATAGTAAAAAGAATGGTAGGACTTTATGGTAAAAAGTCTGCAAGGTGGAGCTTCCCAGTGATTCTCTTTTCCACAATTAGGTTTACTTTTCAATTTAAGGGGGAAAAAATCTAGGAATATAGCTTCTGGCCCCTGCCCTCTCCTCATTTCTCACAATGCTGCTGAAACTATTCTTTGGTTAAGATGACTGCTCACTTCCTAATTTCCAAATTGTCAGTACTCATCCCTCTGGACTTCACTGGAGTATCTGTCTTTGCTGATCACTGTGCTGAAATGCTCCCATTTGCTAGGCTTCCAGCCACACTTCCCTGACTTTCCTCTTACTTTGCTCATTGTTCTTTTTCAGGTTCCTCTTCCTTTTCTCTCCCAGATGTGTTTTCTTAAGGTTACGCCTTTGATTCTTTTATTTTTATTTTGCTCTTTAGCAATCTCATCCCACATTTATGGTTCTAATCATCACATCTATATGAATGGTCACCATAATCTAGTGGTGACATCTCAAGTTCTTGTAGTTTTATTTTCTATCATCTCAACCTGGATCTTCTGGTAGTAACTTAAATATATTCATTTCTGTCCTAAAGTGTCCCTTTCTTAATTTTGTTTCCAATTTCTTCTAATATAACCACTATTTTCCCAGGTACTAGGCTATAAACCTCAAATTCATTCCCTTTCACCTCCATCATCACAATCATCTAATTTGTTTTCAGTTTCTGATCAATTTATATTGTCTATTTGCAATTTGTCCCATCTTAAAAATTCTTATTCCTACATCTCTTATTCAGATCCTGACTTCTGCATGTAATATTCAATTATCTTTTAGCAGGTCATGCCTCTCCCTTTTCCCATTCAGTTGACACAGAATTTTCAAATCAATCTTCCGAAAGCACAGCTGTGATGATGTCACTCTCCTACTCAAAACCTGTAGTACCTGTAGTAACTAAACCAAATCTATGAAACTGATCTAAACCCCTTCACTTGGCACTAAGGGCTACAACTTACCTTTCCACAGACTATGCCCTCCCACTGGTTCTTAAGTGGGGCAACATCACTTTACTGGGAGGTTTATGGAAATGTGTGAAGGCACTTTTGGTTATTAGAAAGACTGGACTGGGGGAGGTGGAAGTTGTGTCTTAGTGCTGATTCTGAGCTTTCTGGCCTCCCCAGAAAAGGTTGATCCCCACCACTGTGACTGTATCACACAACAAATAATTGTTCCACCCAAAATCCAAGGGTGCCTCCTGTAAAGAAACAACGTGGCTTAGACAGACTCAATTGTTTACTTTTTTCAATTTCTATTACATGTTTTTCCATCTCCGTTGCCTAGAATGCCCTTTTCGTATTTTCCCAAATGTGCAAATCTTGCTTCTCCTTTAAGGCCCATGGAAAATGACATTTTTCTGTGGGCTCTCCCTGTGTCCCCTGACATGAATCCAATTCTCATGCCATTTCCACCGATTCCTCCCAAACACCACTTCCTTTCTATCTGGATAATAAATTTTCAATTTTGATTATAAACTTAATGTCAGCAAGGCTCTACCTTTATTTTCCTCCGTGACTAGAAGAACATTGTACAGGCCAGCACAGATCCTTTATGTTAATGTGCTTAATATCACAGCACACACCATGATTATAAATGAGGCTGTAAACACTTTGGTTTGTAATTCATTCTGAGATTCTTGCCTTGGCCTGCATGTGAAACTATGCTAATTCTAGGCTATGTACTTTAAAGTCATTATCTAATTTTTTACCCCACTTTCCCACTTGAGTTTGATGGCCATGACTTCTCCTCCACAAATTCTGTTTCTTCTGCCAGGACACACCACCTCCGATTTTCCTTCTAATAAAACTTAGGCCTTAAAATTCTTATTTCTCAGAACTGCTCCACTGAGTACCCCCTAAATCCCCACTCCCTGCCCCTGCCTCACCCTAGCTTCATGGATGCTCCCAGTAGGTGGTCCGTAAGTATTTGTTGAATGAAGAGTTCCTTGGAGTAGGTGGAAGAAAGTGGCTGTGTAATTGGAACAAGATACAGGGCAGTGATAGGACAAAGGCACAGACATTTATTTCCAGTCTTAGTAGCTGTGCTCATAGCTGCACCCACGCACTCTCTCCCCACATAGATACCACACCATCACTAGAAAGAAACTGGTACTAAACTTACATTTGAAATCACCCTAGTCAGTCTTGAGGATACACCACTCAATTATTATAAGCTTTTTAAAAATAAAATCACCTCATTTAAGTCTTTTTTACATTATGACGCGACTGTTTGTTTCCAAAGTCTTAAGAGCATTTTGTGCCATTCCCTGAAGTGAAAAGAAATAAATTAGGCATAAATTATAAAAGGCCTGATATGGCTTTTACATGATTCTTAAAGAATATGGTCATTTTACATTGAATATTTGGGTCCTATATTGTTTAGTTGCAAACAAAACATCCATCATCATCATCAACAGTAGATGAAAGAGAATATGTTTGCTTCCCAAAGCTTGATACTTAGAAAATTAAGTGCTTTCAGTTCGCAGATATGACAACTTCTCTACCAGAAAAACAAATAAAAAACCCATACAAATAAGCACATAGCTTTCCATTTTAAAGAGATAGTCTAATGCTCTTACTGAAGTGTGTGCTAAATACATCATAACTTAATCAGAACAAGTTGCTGTTTTTACAAAATAGTCCTGTCTATGCAGAGAGAGATAATGCCAGTCACTTCACATGACTTGTACTTCAACAGACAAAGTGTCATACTGGGACTTTTTATCATTTTGATTAGAAATTGGGAGTTTCTACACTCCCAGAAAACAAAGAAGGAAGGGGAATAGTAATGGCTTCCAGCATTTACCTGCCAATGAATATAATCTGAAAAAGGTCATTGAGGTATAATCATTCACTCAGCAAAAATGTACTGAGTACCTACTATGTGTCAAGCATTATTCTTAGGATATATCAGCGGAACAAAAATTCCTATCCTCATGGAGTTTATGGCTTTCCATGCTAAAATATGAATACAAGTGATCTCCAGTGCATGCCCTAGCCCAAATACTTTGTTCTTTTTATATTTCACATGCTTCTCTAGGGCAATCTTGACTTTCTTCCCTACTTATCAACACACTCAATATATATCTCTTTTAGAAATTACAGATTTTCAGTAACAACTTATAAAAATATTATCTCTTTATACCCAACCACATCACTGAAAATAAATTAGGTATCTCTGGAAGCTGTTTTAGCCCTGTCAGGTTATTGGATACTACTTGGTGAGAGCAACAGATAGATATAACAAAGCAATACTACATAGTGACTCAAACTAGACCGTGATTGGAAAACTTGACTTATTTTAGAACCACATATTTTAGAACCACATTTCTCTCTTGTGATTTTGGAAAATCTAAGTACTTAGGAGGGTTTGCCTAATTGAATGTGTATTCACCACAGGGAAAATACCCTAGGTTTTCATCATGATTTTTGTTAATTAGTGAATCTTATTTATGGAAAGAACACTTAAGAGGATCTAATTCTTCTACTTCTCAATAATGAAATTCTCTCTCCAATATTTTTGTCAAGGTACACCCTATTTTGCTTTTGTTTAAACACTTCCAGTAATGAGGTGATAGCTCACTATGGCTTAAAACAACTTATTCTTTTTCTGCCTATCCTTTAAACTATGGGCCCAGGACTCAGCATGAAATTCTTGATGTGGACATTCCTGTGCCAAGTATATTGAAAATTTCCTTCTATTTCACAAGCTAAGTATCATAACCATTTTATTTTATTTTTCATGTCATATGAATAATGTGCTAGTGTCATAACAAGGTTTGAAGGAGGCACGTATCACACGTGAGCATGAAAATCCAATGATCAAACTTACACTACAAAAAGATCAATTATTTCAATGCTATAAGTCAGTCCCCATATCACGCTACTGACTTATACTGTTAAGTCACCTAAATTAGTACTTTTAACTTTCTGGACTTTTCAGGCCACAAATATTTTTCAAAGAAGAAGGAGACACAGGAAGGAGAAGGAACTGACATAGGGTGGGTATATTTTTATTTTTTTATTAGTAAAGTAAAAAAATATTTTTTATTGATTGATAAATAATTTATTTGTTGCCAAAAATAAAAATGTAAAAAACTATTATCTACTTTATTATTTCATAAATCAAATATTTCTGATAAATATAAAGTAGTAAATATAAAACCTGAGAATGAAAAGTTGAATAAATTTCACTATATGAAAAAAAGCTAACTACACTGAGCTACTTTTGCTATAGACCATGAAAATGCTTTCATAGATCCAGGTTTGAAATTCATTGAACAAGAGAGCAAATGTCCCTCTCAACTCCTGATGACCCATGTGCTTTTGATGTGCAATCGTTTCACTATATGCTCGTGCAATAGGTTGTATTTAAGCTAAGGCCCTGACTTTATATTTGCCCTTATTTAATTTCAGCTTATGAGTTTTCAAACATTAGACCATTCTACCTTTCTCAGTTTTGTGCCTTACACAAATATAAAATGTTTACTTTTTCAGTATTCTTCCAAGTCACTTGTTAAAGTGGAGCAAGGATTAAGCCCTATAGATCGCTTTATCCTTCCACCAGGTTGAGTATAACTGTTCACACACCTGTAGTACTCCAGCAATCATCCAGATCACATTTCTCTCTTTCATAAAACAGACAGATCCATTAGAGGATCTAAGGATTGGGTTTCAAAAGGCTTCTAGACCCACTTTTCACCCAAGATTTGTTTGTGCCCCCCACAAAATACCTTGGTCAACTAGTCACTCTCCTTGTGTTAAATGTCTGCAGTGTTGAGAAACTCCAAATCCTGTGTTCTCAATAAAGTCCAATTCCTGTCAGGATAGCTCTGTTAAAAAACTCTTCTCTATATTGAGATAAAATTTGCATTCTTCTAACATCTGCTCATAGGTTGTATTTTGCCCCTCGGGGCCCTTCAGAACAAGTCATTCACATCATAGTCCTTTAAAGATATAATGAGAGTGATTGTGTTCCTCCAGGTCTTTTCCTGGCTAAAAATTCCCTATTGCTTTTCTGAGGTGTTCATATGATATAGTTTCAACTCATGTCACTATTTCAAATATCTCTGCTAAATATGCTCCAAGTGACAAATCTTTTTTGAAGGGTGATACCTATAACTGGGCAAAGCTTTACAGTGTGGTCCTTTGTACACAGTAAGAACCAGAACAACTCAATTCACTGAAACCTACGTGAATTCAATTGTACTTAACAAATAGAAACTCAGGGCCACCCTATTAGCTCCTCCTGACCCAGGACTTAACTGACTCACTCTAAAATCAATCTAGCCTATGAATTCAGATCTCATCTTTGGTCAGTATCTATACATAAAATAGTCACTGTAAAGGATTTTTTTCTATCAGTTACAGCTCAAAGTAATTATACTGTCTTTTTTTCATCTTATTAAAAATAAGACACACCATATTAAGAAAAATATCAAGAAGCTGTTGCCAAAATCATCCCTGCCCTCTATGAATATAGAATGATTTATCATTCTAGCAACCTTCTCACTGATTTATACACTGAACAAATATTTATTGAACATCCAATATATATTTTATTTCTGCTAGGTACAGGGGATATTAATGGTGAATAAGGGAGATCAAATCACTGACTTCATGAACTTTCTGTGTGAGTGTGTTATATATAATAAAGGTAACAAATTAATATAAAATATAACTTCAGGTTGTGATATAGACTCTAAAATAAATAAATATGGTAACATAATAAGTCACAGCTGGAGGAGTGATTTAGGGAGAAGGGAGATTGATCTCTGAGAAGATGATATTTAAGCTGAGTCCTCATAAAGTGAACATAAAAGAAGTTGTCCAAACTGAATCCAGCAGCACATCAAAAAGCTTATCCACCATGATCAAGTGGGCTTCATCCTGGGATGCAAGGCTGGTTCAATATACGCAAATCAATAAATGTAATCCAGCATATAAACAGAACCAAAGACAAAAACCACATGATTGTCTCAATAGATGCAGAAAAGGCCTTTGACAAAATTCAACAACTCTTCATGCTAAAAACTCTCAATAAATCAGGTATTGATGGGACGTATCTCAAAATAATAAGAGCTATCTATGACAAACCCACAGCCAATATCATACTGAATGGGCAAAATCTGGAAGCATTCCCTTTGAAAACTGGCACAAGACAGGGATGCCCTCTCTCACCACTCCTATTCAACATAGTGTTGGAAGTTCTGGCCAAGGCAATTAGGCAGGAGAAAGAAATAAAGGGTATTCAGTTAGGAAAAGAGGAAGTCAAACTGTCCCTGTTTGCAGATGACATGATTGTATATCTAGAAAACCCCACTGTCTCAGCCCAAAATCTCCTTAAGCTGATAAGCAACTTCAGCAAAGTCTCAGGATATAAAACCAATGTACAAAAATCACAAGCATTCTTATACACCAATAACAGACAAACAGAGAGCCAAATCATGAGTGAACTCCCATTCACAATTGCTTCAAAGAGAATAAAATAACTAGGAATCCAACTTACAAGGGACGTGAAGGACCTCTTCAAGGAGAACTACAAACCACTGCTCAAGGAAATAAAAAAGGATACAAACAAATGGAAGAACATTCCATGCTCATGGATAGGAAGAATCAATATTGTGAAAATGGCATACTGCCCAAGGTAATTTATAGATTCAATGCCATCCCCATCAAGCTACCAATGACTTTCTTCACAGAATTGGAAAAAACTACTTTAAAGTTCATATGGAACCAAAAAAGAGCCCGCATCGCCAAGTCAATCCTAAGCCAAAAGAACAAAGCTGGAGGCATCACGCTACCTGACTTCAAACTATACTACAAGGCTACAGTAACCAAAACAGCAAGGTACTGGTACCAAAACAGAGATATAGATCAATGGAACAGAACAGAGCCCTCAGAAATAACGCTGCATATCTATAACTATCTGATCTTTGACAAACCTGAGAAAAACAAGAAATGGGGAAAGGATTCCCTTTTAATAAATGGTGCTGGGAAAACAGGCTAGCCATAGGTAGAAAGCTGAAACTGGATCCCTTCCTTACACCTTCTACAAAAATTAATTCAAGAAGGATTAAAGACTTAAACGTTAGACCTAAAACCATAAAAACCCTAGAAGAAAACCTAGGCAATACTATTCAGGACATAGGCATGGGCAAGGACTTCATGTCTAAAACACCTAAAGCAATGGCAACAAAAGCCAAAATTGACAAATGGGATCTAATTAAACTAAAGAGCTTCTGCACAGCAAAAGAAACTACCATCAGAGTGAACAGGCAACCTACAAAATGGGAGAAAATTTTCACAACCTACTCATCTGACAAAGGGCTAATATCCAGAATCTACAATGAACTCAAACACATTTACAAGAAAAAAACAAACAACCCCATCAAAAAGTGGGCGAAGGATATGAACAGACACTTCCCAAAAGAAGACATTTATGCAGCCAACAGACACATGAAAAAATGCTCATCATCACTGGCCATCAGAGAAATGCAAATAAAAACCACAATGAGATACCATCTCACACCAGTTAGAATGGCAATCATTAAAATGTCAGGAAACAACAGGTGCTGGAGAGGATGTGGAGAAATAGGAACACTTTTACACTGTTGGTGGGACTGTAAACTAGTTCAACCATTGTGGAAGTCAGTGTGGTGATTCCTCAGGGATCTAGAACTAGAAATACCATTTGACCCAGCCATCCCATTACTGGGTATATACCCAAAGGACTATAAATCATGCTGCTATAAAGACACATGCACACGTATGTTTATTGCAGCACTATTCACAATAGCAAAGACTTGGAACAAACCCAAATGTCCAACAACGATAGACTGGATTAAGAAAATGTGGCACATATACACCATGGAATACTATGCAGCCATAAAAAATGATGAGTTCATGTCCTTTGTAGGGACGTGGATGAAGCTGGAAACCATCATTCTCAGCAAACTGTCGCAAGGACAAAAAAAACAAACACCGCATTTTCTCACTCACAGGTGGGAATTGAACAATGACAACACATGGACACAGGAAGGGGAACATCACACTCTGGGGACTGTTGTAGGGTGGGGGGAGGGGGGAGGGATAGCATTAGGAGATATACCTAATGCTAAATGACGAGTTAATGGGTGCAGCACACCAGCATGGCACATTTATACATATGTAACTAACCTGCACATTGTGCACATGTACCCTAAAACTTAAAGTATAATAATAATAAAAACATAAAAAGTAAAAAATAAAAAAAAAGAAGCTGTCCATATGGCCATATGTGAAAAAAACACTGGTGAATTACCAAGTGCAAACATAATATAATGTTTATATAAACTTGTACATGTGTACGTGTATTTATGTTTATAAGTATATATGAACATGTGTATACAAATATATATTAGACAATGGAAATATTTATAAGTCCTTATGGGATGTGTGTGAAACAATGGTAGAATTTCACAATAATTGAGAAAGGATCAACTATTTAATATATGATGGTGGCCCAAATGTCAACACTACTAAATGAAATGATCTCTACCTCATGTTAGACATAAAAATATATTTCAGAGGGAATAAATATCTGTATGTTGAATAATAATACTTTACTCTTTTAACAACATAATGTGGGAAATATGTGACAAATTTGTTGATAGAATGTCTTAACGAGGTACAAAACCACAAACCAGGACACCCAGTAGGTGCTCCATAACTATATATTAAAATAATTAAAAGATAAATCATATGTTTACCTTAAAGTTCTTCAAATCTTCTGTGACTGAAAAATTATTTAAAAAATATTTCAAAAGACATGGGCAACAGAGATATTTTTAACAAACCTAAGCAAATTAATTACAAAATACAACCTAACAAAAATCGGAAAATTGGAAAACGATATAAGCAAGTCACCGAATTAGAAAGCCAAATAGTCAATAAATATTTGCAAAAAGAATGTTCTCACTAGGAATCAGAAAATTACACATTAAAACCAATGAGAGATACTTAATCCTCTTCAGATTGAAAAGGCATTTTAAAAAGTGATAACCTTGAGCATTATTCACAATGTGCAGAGATGAAAACACTTAAAGAGTGTTGATGGGAGTATATTTCATTCAACTACTTTAGAGACCTCATTGCAGTATTCTGTTCCCTCTGGAGTTTCATAGAAAATTGACATCAGTTGGGAGATCTCAGCTGCAGGTCCTCTAGATCCCACTTTTCCAGCTTGTTCTTACTTGTTAATCAACATTAAGTCCAAAGAAGCAGTTTCCTTCACAGTTTCCTTAATATTCTTAGAGATGAAATTGTCAGCAAGGCAAATCAATAATTTAACACATGCCCTACTTTTTGTAGACTGAGAATCTCAGGAGACGTCCAGAGACTTAAAGTCCCTAATCTTTGTTATTTTTCTCATCCTTATAACATTTGTGGTCTTTATTAGGAAGTATCCGTATTATATCCTGCTTCTTCTCAGATAAGAGTGTTTAAAATTTCTCTATGTGTATCTTGATTCATGGCTTCAAAACCATTTGTCATGTAGAAATAATTCCCTAAAAGTGTGTCACTCTTCAGATTTTAAGAAACATCTGAATTACCGACAAGAAAATATTTCTTAACTTTTTTCAAACCGATACCTTCTTTGATAAAAGAAAAAAAGAGTCAATTCTTTCAGCTGATTTGAAATTTCAAAATAAATAATTACTAAAAATAAATCAAATCATTTGGACAAAGCACCTTTGCCTCAGGAGATTCCAATATGGCCACTTAAAGAATGTCAGTCTTTTTCTCTACTCTCTTTTTAAGAATCGCCTTAGGACAATTCTGTCTTCCATGCTTCAAATAAACATTTTGGCTGGGCACGGTGGCTCACGCCTGTAATCCCAACAGTTTGGGAGGCCGAGGTGGGCAGATCACTTGAGGTCAGGAGTTCGAGACCAGCCTGGCCAACATGGTGAAACCCCATCTCTATTAAAAATACAGAAATTAGCCAGGCATGGTGGCGCATGCCTGTAATCCCAGCTACTCAGGAAGCAGAAGTTGCAGTCAGTCGAGATTGCGCCACTGCATTCCAGCCTGGGCAACAGAGCGAGACCTGGTCTCAAAAAAAAAAAAAGAAAAAAAAATAGTGTATTTTCATATGCATAAAAGCATTAGGAATTATATATAATTTTACACACAAAAAGTAACTTAGTTGTCATACCTGTGGACACAAGGTTTCCAAATGATTGGCTGCAATTTTGACAATTTTAATTCCATCTTCATTTGTTGACATGGAACAAGCAAGATTTGCCACCTTAAATACAATCCAAAATAATGGAAATTATTTTAGATTAGCAAGGAAATGCAGCAACACTTATACTGAACAAGAACATGTACACATTCATCAAGAATCTCAATGACAAATAACATTCTCAAAATCATCACTGGTATCTATTTTATGAAAGAATTCAGAGAATCTATTAAAGCAAATAACAATAAAAGGACCTAGATAATTGTTTAAAATGAGGAGAGACTAGTGAGAGAATCAGTAAACCCTATACAGTCTCTTGGTATCAACATCTAACCCATAATAAGAAGCTATTGTGAGACTGGAAAAACAAAAGTTTATCTGTGGATTGAATGCTAATAGGTTTTTGGAATCTCATATGATTGTGATTTATTTTAAATTTGTAATTGGTTTATTATTTCCCAGAGGTCTATTACTCATATTTAAGTTGCATTAAGTATGACTGTATCTTTATACATTTTGTTTGCATCAAATATACTACAAAGCTGAACAAATACAAGATAATTAACTTCTTCCTGCTCTTGATTTTCCACTACAACTTCATGGGCACTGTTTGACATTCCTGCAGTGCATTTGATTCAAGCATTAGTGACACCCAAATTTCTCTTATATTATTGCTTTTGAAATTTACATTTTCTTCCAACAAAATGAGTGCTGTTTTAATTACCATTATGTCCATGACCTAAATCCAAGGTTTACAAATACTTTCTTCAGACCATGAAAGAGCCATGATGAAGAGTGAGAGGTTATTTTCCCTTCCTCTGCACCCCACTCTTGTTCAAGATTCTTCTTACTAACACAGTAAGGCTTATGGACAGAGGCAATGTTTTCTCTGATCTACAAAATATCTCATTGTCTTTATCATTGCAAGGATTTACTTTATCTAACAGTAATTTTTCTAACTTTTAAAATATCTCTGTCAGTTGTTTTATACTTTAACGCATTGCAGTTTTTCCTGCTAAGATCTAAAATACATCCAGTTGCGGAGAAACTACGCATTAGCCACATGCAGTGGAAATAAACAACATATGACTTTGGATCACTATTTTAAAAGTACCACAAAATGTTATTTAAATGGATTTACAGTCTTTGCTTTTTTATAACATTTCTTTTAATATGCCAATAGTGAAATAACTCCTCGGTTTTCATTCACATATAATGAAATAACAGCCATACATTATTTAACTGTGGAAGGGCATTGCTCACTTTATTAATGTACATGGGGATGGCTTACTTGAAAAGGTCTTTTGTTGGCTTGAAGGTCACAATGCCTCAACTTTCATAATTTCTGACACATAATTAGCACATTTGTGAGTTGTTTGAAAAGGGCAACAGTTTCTGTGCCCCTTTCCACTCCCCAAACCCCAATCACTAAAAGTGAAACTTGACAGTCTAATTGCTTTAATTTGTATTATATTAATTCACACTGCATTTGCAAAAAATACTGACCTGTAAAATTGAGCACTGTTTGTTTAAAGTAAAAAAATAAAAATAAAAATAAAAATCATTGGCTCAATGTGGTCAAATTAGAAGAATGCTGGTTAACCCAAAGCTTAGAAATTATAAAAAACTGGCCCTATGTAGATACTTTTTTATTTTACTTACTTATATTTACTGTATCCTCATTTTCTTCTTTTTCCTTTTGAAAGTATACATTCTTCTTCTGGATATTTGCTGGCCACCGAGGCTTATTAAAAGCCAATTAAGTGACTGACATAGTATAGAAATTATGTTAAACACAGTGTGTGTTTATATTAGCAGAATTAATTTTATACAACCCTCTAATGAAAATACAACACAACTGAAAGTTGTGTTTTCTACTCAAAGTTTTCTGCTCAGTCATCATACTAACACTCTTTTTGTCTTCATGTATTCTATGCCTGCACATACTTGAACTTCTCCTTACCAGAACTGTTCTGTCAAAGTTACTAGGTAATAGAGTATATTTCAAGTCATGTGCAGTTTTAGTGCTATTGTGTACAAACAAGGTCGAATTTTAAGATAAGTAATATCTGTGACAAAACAGAAAAGTGTTAGAAATAAAATATCTTTACATTTCAAATTTGAATGATTTTATGACATATTTTCTAATGTTACATCAGTGTGTGAATAAAGCCAAATTTCTTCTAATGATGATTCTTCCTAAATTCTGCATGGCTCTTTAGTCAAGTATGTTCCCAAGAACAGTAGAAATGTAATTCCCTGCTGGTCAAAGAATACAGCCTGCAAATAAGATGTTCTGTAAAAATAGTTTTAGATATTTGGACATTTGATATCCTTTGTGTATCTGCGCAAAATGTGGGCAAAGCTTTGTTGGTATTCATAAGATCTCTGTAGAATGTTTCTGCTCACTGAGGGAAACAAGGATATCGGGAGTTTTTGGAGACAAACAGATTTGGGTTTGAACCCAGTTCCTACAGTTAATAAGCTTCTGATTATGAGCAAGATATTAAATTATTTGATCTTGTTTTGTCACCTATAAAATGAGTATGATAATGATGACCTCACTGGGATGCTTTGAGAATTAAACGAGATAATGTATGGGGAGAGTCTGAAGCCTGGTGGCCCTCACCATGTATGAATTGCCTTCCATTTAATCTATCTCTCAACTAATGGAAAGAAAAAGAAAAGAAAAAAAGAAATTTCATACTCTCAGAGGTTTTGTAGAATTAAAGCCTTAGGAGCCTAAAGAAATTTAACAATATGTCTGACCCAAGAGCCACAAACTCAAATGCTTTCAAGAGCCATGCAGGGGATGGGATACAAACATTGAGTCTAGATTGAACTCAGTAGTAGGCTGGGGTTGTGGGTCCCCAGACAAAATGATTATGTATGCCCTACTGAAAGGCATTCATTAAAACGAGAGAAATGAAAGGAAAAACTCAATGTCTTAGCCAAACTAACAGTCTGTTGGCTTACTTTAGTTCACAGGTCACCATTTTGTGACATTTAACCCCACTCTCTAATCTTATATTGTATAAATAAGAAAACAAAATTAAGCAGGGGGATGAAACATACTCAAACCAACCAATGGCAGGGCGACTATTAACTAGCAATATGTGTATGTCCTTTTTGCTACCCTGAAGAAAGTCTTGAAAAGCATTCTGGCATTGAAATGATTGACCAGACTTTTTATTGGTATTTTGCTACATCCTTAACCAAGTCTACAAAAAGCAGAATCTAAATTATCTTAAATAAATGGGACAAAAGGTAGTTATTTAAATTTACACATTTATTGAAAAGAAAAACCTGGGACAAAATGTTCTTTCATTTTTATGAAAGATTAAATTACATCCTTAAAATAATTACCAATATTGTAATAATTTAAAAACAAACAAGAAGTCTTCAAACAGGGATATGTGTCTTGTTATGAGAGGAGAGTGAAGTTTTTTATTAGCATCCCTCTCTTGCAGCTCTTTCCTTCCCACCATTCCTTCTGCCCTCTAAAATGTATGGTATATTCTAGGCCCTTTAAACATGGCTGACCTTATTGCCCTATTTGGGCTCTAAAAAACATTGTAGATGAGAATGCCTAGCCAGACAATTCCTCAGCTGAACAATCATGTTAATGTTTGTTCCCTTCCTTCTGGTTCCTAGTTCAAGTTCATTTTATTTACTTATTTATTTAGAGACCAAGTCTCACTAGGTCGCCCAGGCTGGAGTGCAGTGGCTCGATCTAGGCTCACTGCAACCTCCACCTCCTGGGCTCAAATGATCCTCCCACCACAGCCCCTCAAGTAGCTGGGACTACAGGTGCGCACCACCACACCTGGCTAATTTTTGTATTTTTTGTAGAGACGGGGTTTCGCCATGTTGGCTAAGCTGGTTTTGACCTCCTGACCTCAAGCAATCCATCTGCCTCAGTCTCCCAAAGTGCTAGGATTACAGCCATGTGCCATGGCACTGACCCCTAGTTCCAGTTCTGTATACTAGTTAGTATGTTTCTGTCATGATTTCCATTTGCTGGACTTTGAGTCTTTTCTTTCACTCAGCAGAGAACATAGTATCCTTCACTCCCTAACCCATGGTTTCAGGTGAGAAATTCCCTGTTGTGGAGCCTGGCCTTGTAGAATCCTGACACCTAGGCTAGTTCTGTCCCTCACTCTCTATCAAGGTCAGGAGGATGATCAGGCTTGAAACAAAAGGATGAGTCACCAGTGGTAGAGCCAGGGACGGCAATGAAACAGATATTTTGAGATGGAAAATTTTTTCAATGACCCTTTAAAAAAGATCTACCATACTATAGGTTAAGTCTGCTTTTCATCATTACTTTGTTCTAATCTGGTAAAGATATTCTATTTTAAATAAATTGAATATCAGAGCATGGTATGTTTTAACGTTCTAGTATTAAGTTTTATCTGAAATCTCAGGGGCACTGGTAGTGTTCTCAGTCATCTTAGAAAACTGAAATGAAATCATTGTTAGGAATGAGTACACTATTTGGACAGCTGCTTATCACATATCATTCAGTCTGTCACCAAGAAGTTCCCACACAGGTATTTACCTGTAATATGATCTCTCCAGAACACGAAGCAAACCTTGATGTTTGCTGAGATTTTCATTGTCACACATTCATTGTTTATATATTGTTCATATAGTTAATTGTAATATCATGTCACCACGTCTCCTAGCTCTCAATGGGGGAGAAAGGTCACTGTCTCATTTTCATGCATTTTCCCATCTGGCAATTGGTCATGCAACTCTTGTGTAAATACTTCCAGAGGCAGATAATTTATTGTCTTCCAGGGCAGTCTAGTCCCATTGCAGGACAGCCCAAAGTTACAAAGTTACACAAGTTATGAAGTTCTTCTTTATAAGGAGATGAAATATTTCTCTCAACAAATTTCTCCTACTTGTTCTAGAATACAGAATGGCAAATATATTCAATAATGGAAATAAAATGGGGCCTACAAAAAATCCAAATCAATAGTCCTCAACTTGTGGGATAAGAGAGATGGTAAGAGTAATAGAATCACCAGTAAATAGCTATTAAAAAGAAAAGTCCAATTCCCTTCTGTCAAGATATTCTGATACATTAAGTGTGTATACGCATGGAAGACAGAGGTGTAAGGACTGTATAATTAGATTTTTTAAAAGTTCTCCCAGGTGATTCTGATATACCACCTCCCCCATCTCCAACACATACACACACACAACAACAACAACAACAACAACAACAATACACACATGACAACACACAGATACATACTAGGATTTTGGTTAATTTTCATGTGTTTGAATAGACAGTCTTTCCCGAAGATAAATGTACTGAGGTGAAAGTCTAAAAAAGAATGACCTGAACATGTGTGGGTTAGCGTAGGAAGTTTAATAGAAAGCTTCACACATTAGAGGCAAGAAATAATGACTTAAACTTCTACTTGAGAAATAGAGAAAAGGCTAAAAATTAAAATAAGAAAATCAAGTATAGGGGATATTCTGGCCTTCCATCCAAAATCCATTCCTCCCTTTGGTAATAACACTGATTTCCCTCGGAGAACAGTTCTTTTTCTAACCTAGTGGTGTAAAGTCTTGGTACGACTGTCAATCAAGGATCCTGGTCCTCCCCTAGGTCTAGCCTGGGCATATCCCTTACTTACTAGTGCCACCTACAGCCCTGAATCACTCTTTGTTCTGTCGAATCTTAGCCTTCTTTCATTCTGATTTATGTGCATTACCTTATGTCTTCCATAAAGTCTTTATTTCTTTTTAAGTAAGCCAAATTTATTTTCCTTTGCATACAACCAGAGAACCACGATTCTTAGTAAGTACTGAGCCAGAAACTTATACCCTAAGAATGTACTAATCTCAGATGGATACTTTCAACAAAGTTGAAAGCTGGTAATGTATAACCATAATTATTTCTGTGAAAGGCAACTTCTCATTAAATGCCTGCCTCTGGGTTTAGTCAGCCTGCATGTCCTAGTGTTAGGAACAAATGTAAGGAAGGAGACAGTCATATCAGTTCCTGCACATACAGATAAGTGTCTTCCTTTGACGATCTAATTCTTCAATGTCTATTAGAACATGTTACATATCAGGTACAAGAGAACATCTAATTCTTGAAGAAAATAATTTATCATTTTTGAGTTTATCTTTCAGCAAGCTGCTCATTCTGTTTGAAAACCACCCCTCACATACTCTTTGAAAATCATACCTATACTTCAAGGCCTGGATCAAATATTGTCTCTTCCACAAACTCTTTTCAGATGCCCAGGATCCATATCTTTATCTTCCCACACTCTCGCATTATAGCGAATTCTCCTTCTCTCTAAACTCATTTATGTATCTATCAGATGGTGAGCTGCTTGAGGGTAAAGACGATGATATATTCTTTTAAAAATATTTTCCCATCAAGTTAAATACCCCGAAAATAGCATTTCATCTATGTAAATAAATAAAAATAATAATTTATCTCTATCTGGAACTGAATCATTGTTAATATAAATTATTGTCTATTGTGTCTGAAATTAACACATTTGGTGAATTCTATTTTTTAAAGTCCTGTGTACAACTTAATTTGTTCGTTGGAAGCTGTGTCCTTTCTTCCACTCCTTCCTAATAAAAATGATCCTAATTCTGTACCGTATGAATATAAAGGTAAGAATTATTGCTTTAGGTTATGGGGGGAAACACCTGAGAAAAGAAAGTCCTTAGGTTATTAAACTTAACTGCCCCGAGTGGATTTCAGTCTGACTGTGTATATTCATTGGAAACATCAAGATTAGACAAATCTGTAGCAAAGATACAAATAAACAGAGAAAAACTTTGAATATGGGTGTGGAAATAATCTAGCTGAAATGTGTTATTTATTTTTAACTTGTATTGGCAAAGGAGACTTGGGCTTCTTTCTGAATTTAGAAATAAATGGCAGTTCATAAAAGCTTGTGAAGAAGCATGAAGAAGGAAAAATGGTGTCTATGCCCCTTGGACACAGTAGTAAGTAGCAAAACTACAAAGTCACTAGCCAAATCACTGATAGATGGAACACTAGAAGTTCTTCAGGTTGGTAGGAGATAGCAAGAGTTGAATCAGATACTTTGAGTTTGAGTTGCCACTGAGATACATAAGAAGACATAAACTACATATAGTTAGATGTGTAGTTAAGAGGGGGTCTACAGTAGAGATATTAATTAAGAAGTTACTAGTTTATTGATGGTAATTAGATATGATTATGTGAGGAGAAAAAGTTCTTGGAGGTATATAAGATATTAATATTTATTAGGCAGAAACATGAGGTTACTCCTTCAATGAGACTTAGAAAAAGTGGCCAGAGATAAGAAAGGTTGCCCACAATACTGTGATGTCATGGAGACCAGGAGAAGAAAAGGTTTCAAGAGGATGATATCATATATCAACTGCTGAGAGGTCAAGTAAGTTATCCCTGAAAATATCCAGTTCAGCCACAGAGACAACCATGCTAATCATTCCTAGAGTGTTCAAGTCAAATGATGATGGTTAAACTAGTCTGACATGAACAGAGGACTGTGTATGAGGTAAAGTAACCCCATGAGTCTTATGACTCAAGGCAGAGAGCTACAGGTCGCCTGGATAATACTCACTCTCTCATTCTCCCATCTATCCATTTTAAAACATTTTACCTCTCAGTAATATCTCAAATCATGTATTAGGTTGGTGCAAAAGTGATTGTGGTTTTTGCAATGGCAGAAACTGCAATTACTTTTGCACCAACCTATATTTTTGCTGTCCTCTACCCTAGTTAAGATTTTGATCAGTTTTATTTATTTTATTCTTGTTTCCAGTTTTAGCTTTTGTTGTCAGCAAATGTTCTTTCTCTACAATATGTTCACATTGCAGCCAACAAATTTTTTCAGATGCAAATTTGGTTCCCCCATCATCACCTTTCCATCCCCACATCATACCCCCATCCCTACTACGTCTTGCAGTCTGGCCTGAGAGTCATCATGTGTAGTTCTTGTTCTCTCTTTGCTTCAGCTATATCAATGTACTTTTATGTATCAATGCTTGCTTCTGCCAGAAAACATCTGTACATACTGTTCTCTGTTGGCTGGAATGCTCTCTTCCTCCCTTTTCACAGCCACCTTCACACCACTTATACTTGCTTAACTGCTATCCATCAGATCTCTGCTCAAAAGTAATTCCTTGGAAAGTTTTTCACCAACACTGTCCTCCACCTCCACACAGAATACCTGAAACTTCTGCCCACCTAAGTCAGATTTTTCCTTCAGAGCATGATTCTCAGTTTATAATTATATGTTCACTGGGAAGATTATTTGATTAGCATACATTTCCCCAGATTTATAAAAGCAGGGACCACCCCTGTATTTGCTCATCATTCAGCCTACAGTGCCAGTACCTGACACACAGTAGACAGTCTATAAATAGTTCTTTGGGGAGTGAATGAATGCATGAATGCCTGAATCAGTATGCTTGAGAATGTATCATCTTCTTGATGAACATGAGATGACAAATAGAAGAAAAATGGGTTTTAAGGGAGGAGTCAGCAGCAGAAATTCAGGACAAGAAATAAAGAGGAATGAAATTTTTCCTTTGAAATTCATTTTCAATATTCTACAAAGGCTTAGACAACTGGACTTTCAAGAAAAGTACTTGTTTTTCTTCTAGTCTGGCCATCATCCTTAACAAGGCTTGGGGGGCAGCTTCTTTCAAGTTTTACCTTCACTTAAGATATCAAATATGGAACTACTGAATAGGTCCCAATTTAGCTTTTAATTTATTTATTTTTAATCAAGTAAAGTAACTCTTAAAGGGCCCAAGCTGGATGCCAAATGTTGGCAAGTGTGGCAGATGGAAAGAGGCACAGTAACTTCCATAGACAAATCCAAGAGCTTCATTGTCTATTTCAGAATGTAATATATGCTCTGCTTCTGATAATTGCAGAAAGAGCTCTGATCTCCCCATGTTGGCACCGAATGACCTCTGGCTAACAAGTCAGCCCTTCTCTTTCTCCTAGTGAAGCAGCGCTGCTCTGCTTCCCTTGGTAGTAATAAGAAATGATTATGAATTATGGGTTCTGTAGAATATTTAACTAATATAACTGTGCTGTAAAAGCACATAGCAAATTGCAGGGAAACAATTTCATCAACTAACAAATATTGATTATGCACCTATTATGTGGGCTGGGAACTGTCAGGGAAATGATAGAAGTCAAAATCAATGAAAGTGAATCCCAACAAGCACAATCTATTTAAAGGGACACGTGAAAGGATCAAAAACTAAAACTCTGTCTCCAAATACTACAAGAAGATAGAGGTAGGTGAACTTCATAGAGATGACTGTAGTAAGAGTGTTACATGGAGACAAATTATTACTTAGGAAATTCATATTCTCTTGAACTTTGCATCTCAAGCTGCTTCCCAAATTTTATGAATCCTCAATCACACAATCCGGTCTCTGATATTAGTTTTGCTTTACCTCTCTGTCTTTGGTCATCCATCTATAAGATGAGGAACAGATTGACTTCATTTCTAGACCTCTTTCCATTTCAATAATTTTGTTTTACTGCTTATGTAACTGATAACAAAATTAGACAGAAATTAGACAAAGGAGAAGAGCTATCAGGCAACGTTCCTATTAATTTAAACATGAATTTGTAGATGAAATATTAGCCAATTTAATTCAACTGTGTAATAAAAAATAATAATAAAGCAAGACAATGTTGTTTATTCCCAGAATGAACAAATGACTCATGACTGAGAGATCTAATACTGAAATTCCTTTTTGAACTGGATATCAATAGATTTTTAAAAAGCATTGATGACAGGTTTATGCCTATTCTGATTAAAGCAAAGCAAAACTACACTAAAAAACAAACTCAAAACCTTAGCAATCTATGAATAGGAAGAATAATTCTTAATCTCAAACAAAATCCAGAAATTTCCAGCAAGTGTCATGCTCAAAATTCAAGATTAAGATAAGCATTCCCACTATAAGTGAGGTTAATCAATATTTTACTCAAGGTTCTAGTAAATCTAAATGAATAAAAAAAAGCAATAGATGCAAATATTGTTAACAAATAACTATATTTATTCCCAGGTCTCAAAATTGTCTACCTAGGGAAAACAAGATTATCTGAAAACTGTTATTACTATTGAGTATTCGGTAACACTTCTTCATGCAGAATGAATGTGAGATGAATAATATATTTTTCTATATATTTTAAAAGTTTTCATGACAAAATTTGTTATTATAGCAACTAAATATTATAAATTTCATAGCAGTATATATCTATTGAAATAAGCACAATTATAGATATGTGTGCATATCTATAGATGTATTAAATTTTACTTAATGATATAAAAAGAGAATGGAATGAATAGTGAGAAATATCAGATTCCTGGATGGAAAAACTCAGTATTGCAAAATATAATGTTATCTCTCATAAAATTTGTCTATTAAATTTATAGAGCTATACTGAACTTAGGTAAATTTTAATGTGCATCTGGAAGAATATATGAAAGGCTGGCAAATAAGTTTTATAAAAATGGGGAATGGGCTGGGTACGGTGGCTCACGTCTGTAATCCCGGCACTTTGGGAGGCTGAGGTGGGTGAATCTCCTGAGGTCAAGAGTTTGAGACCAGCCTGGCCAACACGGTGCAACCCCATCTCTACTAAAAAATACAAAAATTAGCCGGGCTTGGTGGCGCATGCCTGTAATCCCAGCTACTTGGGAGGCCGAGGCAGGAGAATCGCTTGAACCTGGGAGGCAGAGGTTGAAGTGAGCCGAGATCACTTCATTGCATTCCAGCCTGGGTGACAAGAATGAAACTCCATCTCAAAAAAAAAAAAAAAAAAAAAGAATGAAGAAAAGTATTATGTGCCAGTAATTAAAAACACAAAAATTTAGTGTTTTTCAGGGTAATGGTAAAAAATATTGGTGATGGCCCAATTTCCTGCTCTCTACTTTCAGGAGAAAAGTGCAATTATGTAAAAAGGCTAGAATATATTACTACATAAAAAATTTTAAATGTCAAAATATTGAAAATAAAGTTAAAATACAAAAGATAGGCAAAACTTTGTTTTTATATTTGATAATAAAAATTATTATCCACAGGTATAAATAGCTCCTAAGTATCAATAAGGAAAAAAGGCCATTAAAAATGGACAAAATATTTAAATAGAGACTTTACATATGAAATATGACTAATAAATACATGAAAAGATTCTCAGTCTAGCTCTTACTAAGCAGGATATTCAACTAAGCAAGAAAATCACGGTTTTTGCTCATCAGATCAGAAATATGTAAAAAGTTTTTGATATTATCCAATACTGCTGAGAATATGGGGATACAACTGGAAGGTAAATGGCCAACTTTTCAGAGAGCAATTTAGTTTCACCTACGAAAATTTAAAATGTTCAGAACTGTAGCAATTCAATTTAATGGAATCTGTCATTCAGAAATACTTGCATATGTGAACAGACTCACAGCCACGTGAAAACTTTATTTGTAAAAGCGAAAATGAATCTAAATATTTAACAGTGGAGAATAAATTATGTAATATTATGATTCTGTAAAAAAAATAAAATGTTATGCTGCTGTAAAATATCTCAAGTATATAATTTTAAGTGAGATACTGCAGAATGGAAAACATGATTCTATTTAAAATTATTTACTTACATGACCAGGTGCAGTGGCTCACGCCTGTAATCCCAGCACTTTGGGAGGCCAAGGCGGGCAGATCACGAGGTCAGGAGATCAAGACCATCCTGGCTAACATGGTGAAACCCCGTCTCTACTAAAAATACAAAAAATTAGCCGGGTGTGGTGGCGGGCACTTGTAGTCCCAGCTACTTGGGAGGCTAAGGCAGGAGAATGGCGTGAACCCAGAAGGCAGAGCTTGCAGTGAGCCGAGATCCTGCCACTGCACTCCAGCCTGGGCAACAGAGCAAGACTCCATCTCAAAAAAAAAAATTATTTACTTAAAATTATGTATAAATGCAAAGTATAATGTCCACAGTGATAATTCCTACTGTTAATTTGAGTTATATATGGGAGAGAAGGTAGGATTACTATTGCTATGAAGAGAAGTATCCCCTTTTGACTATGTTTCTATATCGACTGAAGTTTTTCCAAGTATATTTTTCACTATATTAACAGTGAAATTAGTTTTCTAATTTACAAAAAAACGCGATTGATGAAATAGTCCTATATGTATTGGTGTATATGGAACACACCAATGACAAGTAAAACAGCATGTGTAATAATCTCATTTATGAAAGATGGTAAGGTTTTGTGTATGCATATGGAAATGTGATATCCAAAATGATCCTCCCCAAAATGGCAATTGTGATGATCTCTGAGGAGTGAAAATCAAGGTAATTTCAACTTTCCTTTTCTATATTCTTAATAATTTATAATTTGGCTTATTATAATAAAAATGAATCATTTTGAAGAGAATAAAACCTATCTATACCTGTATGTGAATTTTTAATACCAATCAAGAAAATTGTATTAATCATGACACTTATTGCGAAGCCTGAAGATACAGAACCATTTATAAATAAGGTTTCCAGAAAATACACATATATAATGATTACATAGAAAAAAATGCTGCTAAGCAGAAAATAGTTTTCATGGTCTCATATGCTGTTATATTTAAAATGATGATTCACAAAAATGATTGAGAATTCACAGTAGGGAAACAAGGCACTGGTTTTACCTTGTCTTAATGTCAAATAATGGCACAAAAACAAGTCAATTAAAGCTTCTTATCAATGACAAAATCATACCAGCCAATATTGATCTTAATAATGAATTTAAATTCAACATGTTTGGAAAGGTACTCTGTGCATGGTGTGTGTGTGTGTGTGTGTGTGTGTGTGTGTGTGTCTGCAGCAGATATAAGGTAATGATTCTTATGATTGAATAATTATAACATGGTCCTACATTTCTTCCTTTTTCCTATCTTACTCACACCTCCAATTCTATTCAAATTTGTGTCTGAAATTCTTGTCCCTCTCAAATAAGTCATTAAAGATGAAAATATTCATTTGTCTAAGTGGACATATGTCAACATTGTTCTGAAAAAGAGGTATCAGTATGCTGCGTCAGAATGTGCCATCACAAAAGAAGCAATTGAGATGAAAACACACATACACACAAACTCAAACATATTTGGCTGTTACAGTATTATTGCTTCCAATAAATTATGAGAAATATATGTTACATAGCTCAAATTGAAGTCTGCAATGTAGACTGCTCTAAGAGTCCCATTTTGCCAAATATATTTCCCTTTTAGTTTGGAACAATATATAACTGTAAATGGACACACACACCTCATATTGCTGTGTGATGTAAATTATAATGGTAAAACCAGCTAGATAGTTTATTCAAGGTCCCTCTCTAAATTAAGCTATTATTCACCTCAGAATCACCACTCAAAGGATAAAAGTATGTGTCACCTGCCTAGTAAATTTAATATAATAAACAGTACCAAATAAAATATATTGAAGTACCAAAGAGATGAAACAAATCTAAACTATAAATTAAAGACAGGATTAAGTGTTGTTTCCTAAACTAGTGTTATTCTTTGTTGTCACTGAGGTCAAGAATAAATATGAAGCATGCAGGTCTAATAAGTGTTTATTAATAGGATCATTGTGGAAAGGGTAGATGTCAAAACAATGCTATAATTAGCTTTCATTATCATTGAAATTGCTGTCAAATTTCAAAGCAATTTTATGACCAGTGACCTGATTTCTCACATGGCAGAAAGAGAAGGGATTTTCTTAAAGAGAGATACAATATATTAAAGCCAATATAAAGTTTTCAGTGAGTCTATTTCTGAATCAACATGTTTTGTACATATTGCACTGTTCAAATGCTATCATGGGAACAGAAGGTGTTGCATAGGACAAAGTTAATTGAATTGCAATTGTGTAAACTTCCTGGATGTGGATGAGACCATCAATATCACCTGATTCCCTAACTAATCACGAAATACACACCCAGATTCATTCCTTACTTTCACAAAAGAACGGGTCTCTTAGTAGAATGACAGTAGGCAATCAATCATCTGGCAACTTCTATCTTCGAAGACATCATAACAATAATCTGTGAAACTATTTTTTTCCTGTAGGCATCTATTTATTATGACTTTGAAGGAAATAGGCAAAGAAGCTTTGAAATTTACCATAATTATAATCCCAGAGAAAGCCCCTTGTCTCTGAGTATAAATTGCCGATAATGAGTGAAACAAATTGGAAGAACACTGTGTGTGTGTGTGTGTGTGTGTGTGTGTGTGTGTGTGTGTGTGTGGAGTGGAAGAGAGGCAAGCACATTTGTGTATGTATATATGAAGTCCGAGCAAAATTTACAAATATGTGCATGTACTATTATTAAATACTATGATTTCATATCCCCTCATTCTTGGGTCCCTGAATCTCAGGAGGGCTCCTTGAATGTGTTCTGCATTTAATTATATGATAAAAATGAAGTATAGCTAATTATGTAATATAGAATTAAAAGAAAATAAAATATTTAGGCCCTTTAACGTTAGCAGGGGCATAAGCTATTACAGGTTTAATCTTAACTACCCCTGTACCTCTACAGCACACTGAAATACTGGACACATACTGTGAGTAGTGGCCATTACTAGAGGATAGGATAAGACACTTGCAGTGTAATCTTAGTAATTTTTTTAAATATATATTATTTATGGTTCCTAGTAGTTCTAGAAGGGAGGAGGGAGGAGTAAGAAGGGATCTTGTATACTAACCTTCCATAATTAGAGCAAACCAACATATGAATTCTATTTGCACAAGGTTAAATTGTGAAATCCTTGAAGACAGAAACCATCTTACTCCTCTTTTTGGTTCTAAGATATTGCAAGCAGTGGGTTCTTAAAGCTTCTGTTGAATACATTTAACCCAACATTGCAAATAAAATATTTTTCACGTTGTCTTCTCTATACTTATTTATGATTGATCTCTTTACAGAGGCCTAAAGACAACAACAAAATCCACAAATATTTATTATCTATCAGGCATGTTCCAGGCACTGAAAGAAAAAGAAGAGAAGATGGGGAAAAAGTAGTTGCCATGCTTCAATAAATGAGAGATTTAGATGTAAATACACAAAACATTTAGAGCTATTAATAATGAAAACATTTAAATGACAGTGTATACTATGCTAAACGAGTAAAACACTAAATGCTGATGGGCTTCATAATAAGGAGATAACGCAGTGAAGCTTTAAAAAATGTTAGCTGGATAGTTTTAAAAAGTCTTAAAGAAAGACAATTTCTATATATCAATTGAATTGTTTAATAAAACTCTAAAAATAAGACTGTCATATAAAAATGTGTTGATAGAAAACATAGAAGTTTTAATATTAATAAATCCCAGTAACAGAAGATTTTTGGATAAATCAGAAATGTTTCGTTTAAATACAAATTCTCTTTAAGAAATAGTGAATGGTCTAATGAAAACTGTTATTGCAAATACTGAAAGTTACATTGCATGTTATTTTATTTCTATCCTTATTACAATACTTCCTATGTATTTAGTTGTTTTCAATTCTTATGTCAAGTAACATGAAACTTAAATCAAAATTCAAGAAAGCAATGCTGCATTCAAGGTAGCTCCATGCACATCAGCCACATGGCACTACATGGTTGCACCAGCCAGGCCTGGATTCTCACCAGCATTGCTCAAAGGCTCTGAGTCTGAGTCACAGGAGTTGGAGGGCATTTGCCATCAACTAGTCCAGTTTTTGACCCTGTTTCAGAAGGCTGGCTTGCTTGCACTGCACCTGGAGCCTTTCAAACCGTTGTCAGGCTCAGCCTCTGAAGAAAGAAATCCCACAGCATTCTGGCTTTGCTCAGTGTATGCCGTTTTGTTCCAGAAGTCAGGAGACAGGTTGCTTCCTTCCCCAGCTCTTGAGGGCAGAGGCTGAGCTTTCTCACCTATGAGATGGTAACCTTAATGAGCACCTCCCCCTTGGGACACAGAGTACAAAGCGTCCTGGATGCTCAGTAGCCAGAAACAGAGAATGCCAATAAAAGCCCAGTTCATTTTTCATCACAGAAGTTAGAGTCCTACCCTCACCTTCAGCCTCTGACTACTATGGATCCCTCCTGCCCCTGGCTGCCAGTCTTTGGAAAGCACACCCACACCTTGTTGGTTAATTAACACTAATGGGCAGCTGCCATCCCTGCATAAAACCACAACCATGGCTGGATTACTTGAGGGCTGATTATGCTGTTTGTCCAGGCACAATGTTTCTCTTCCCTAACAGCCTACCCTTTGGACCCTGATGGCTCATTATCACCTTCCACCACTGGAAGAACAAGACAAGACTGTCAGCTGCGTCACTTCTCACATTTCCAAGAAAAAGCTTAAATCTAAGCAATGCCATTCTAGGCGTTCTCTGCAAGGGTTTTTAGCTTAGCAAAATCCCTCTTGCAATCTTTGTTCATGATTTTGTCTCAAATTCTGAATTATCTTATTAAGAACTGGAAACTGTTCCTGCAAGTGACTTGTTTTTAAATTTGCTTTTCAGACATCTCTAAGGGTTGCTGGCAACTCAAGTGCAATTCGTGATTTCCTCTTTCCCAGCACATTCTATTTAGCCTATTAATTTCAAATGAATGTATTTTCCCTGCATCCTCTAGAAGCGGACTTTAATTGAATATAATATCCTCCCGCCGCCGCCCACCCCTCCGCCGCCCCAACTCTAGAAGTGGACTTCTGGGCGGGGGCAGGCAATTATATTCAATTGATATTAATAGGCTTAATCTATTCACTTGAAATTAATAGGCTAAAATCTGTTGCTCTTTCTTTTCCCATAAATAGACTAATGCCAGTCCCTGCTGTCTTCCTCCATTCATCTTCCACATCCTCTTTTTTCAAGGCCCACACCATCATCTTCCCTTCTCTGAAACTGAATTCAGTCTCTACATAATCAATGTACTGCTGTGATCACAGCTGGTACTTTCTGGTATCTCCAGGAATCACAGTTGACCTACCTTTGTTGATTTCTGGGCTCTGAACTATCATTCTTTTCTCTTTTCTCCCCCGCCCATTCGTTATTCTTGTCACATAGTTTCTTTCCCTTCCCACTAGTTATCCCATCTTGTAGAATACAAAATCCCTCATACTTTTCCTCTCATTCTGCCTTTTTCACATCACTGTCTCTGTGGTAAATAAAACATAACAAACAATATGTTTTTTTTAATCTTTGCACTTTAAACATATATTTATGTGCAGAGAAATAAAAATATATTTCTCTGTTGGTGAATAATTCATTTCCTGTTGCTTTGGAAATAGAGTCTGTGAGCCAGGGGCTAGTTTTATATCTACGTTTAGTAAATTGAATAGAATATTTTGCTATAATGCAGTAAGTGTACCTGAAATCACTGTTTTGGGAGCCACAAATTCATGAGGGAAAAGCCTCAAAGGCTATGGTACATTAGTTGAACCATAGAAAAAGAAATCAATTATAATTGCTTCTCCAGTTAAATATTATGAGTTACAGTGAGTATTTAAGATAGTTTTGAAAAAAACATTTTATTATTTCAAGATCTGCATCCTAGTTACAGTGGCCATTTTTATTAGTGGGTCCAATAAAGTATTCGTATTTATCCTTGCTCTGTTAGCAGGTGCTGATGAAGTAGAGGTTGCGCTATGAATATAGGAAGCAGTATGATTTGAAAAAAGGAGAAATGGCAGTATAGGTATTGGAATCCAGACAGAATGAACTTTATTTACTGTTATCTTATATTTTACTCATCTTCCATGAAGATGACTAACCCAAAGGGATTCATATTTGTGGTCCCCTCAAATATGTCCAGTTAGTGGAAACACATCACATATTTTAGAGTATGACTCAATAATATAACTTTAAATCCTTCTAACTCTCCACTCTTTCATATTCTCCAGTAAAAAGATAAAACTTGAAGTATTTATTTAGAAGTCACTATGCAACACTGTGCTTTGGGAGTTCATAACTACCTTAAAAAGACATAATCTGTAACAAGAATCATTCTAATACTGTGTGTCCTTTTATGTTTAAATAAGTATGCATGTAAAGCTAAAATAACATGAATAAATTTACCAAGTCAAAGATTTTACTTCATATATGTCACTTTTAATTCATTACTGTAGTCATTTTAAATCCCTAGGTAAGTTTAAAAAAAAGACTTGTTTCTCTTCTACAATTATACTACGGATGAACTGTGCACCTCTCTCTCTCTCTCTGTCTGTATAGCTACATACATGCAGATATATTTTACTTTAAGTGTTCAGAAATCTTATTATTTCAAAAGGAATATGTGCTTAATTAAAAGTTTTGGAAAACACTGTTAAATACAAAAGAGTAAATACACAAAATACACATTTTCAGTGTGGCAGATAAACTCACCCAATGCCTACTCTCAACTCCTCTTTCCTGTGTCTTTTCTCCCCTCTATTGCATATCACAGAGCTCTGGCCATATCTCCTCTTCATATTGGATACATCCATCTTTCAGCTGCTGGGGATAACTGCTATTGACCACTCATGGCATAGTCGTTCACTAGGAACTGTCCTAGGTTGTAGGAAACTACCTTCCCCAAGGCAATGTCTCTTCCCAGGGGAAGCTCACAATTAATGATGGAGTGAGTTGGGATTACAAAGGCATAGGTCCCTTGCCTCTACATGTGACAATTCTGAAAGGTCACCTGAGCTCCAGAGTCCCTAAGAGTTCAGGTAAGGTTTCAGTTGCAACCACATTCATTGTAAGTCAGCTGCTGCTTCTACCCAATTCTACCTTTCTCCCTTCATTACAGGCTTATCTCTGAAGATTACTCCCCAGTAAATCTTCAGGATAGAACTATCCGTATCAAAGTATACTTACGGGGAGCCAACTTAAGAAAATCATAATACCCAGCAAACAGAATACTCATTTTTTCGGTCTCCTTTATTGCTAGGCTGAACCATGTGCCAATGAGATTAGGCACAGTTCCCCAGGGAAGAATTTTTCCCCCCACCATTAGTAGTCAAGATTCACTAGAATATATTCCTTTGACTTTTTCCCCTTTGTTCTCCTCCCAACTGGGATGCAGACAAAATACCAAGAGGGCAGACATAATCTTAAAACTATAAAGATAAAAGCGAACAAACATACCAAGCATCCAAAAGATCCTTGGAAACATCATTGAGCAAATGAACGCATGCTAGCAATCACCAACCCCTCAACTTTTTGACATGGGAGAAAAAAACAAAAATCATTTTTAAATTGATTGTTATTTGCAGCCAAATGCAATCCCAAGTGATACAATTAAGGAACCACTCTATCTAGAAGTATATGTATATATGTAGTAGAGTGTTGTTTATAACAGCAAAAAAATGAAACTGTCATATAAGTGTTAAGTTATGGCCTATCCTTAGGAAGGAAAATTATAGTCATTGCAATAATTCCTTTGAAAAATGAAGTTGTTGAGAAATGCTTTTTATGCCATATTAAATTTAAAGATATAAATTCCAACACACATAGATATAACTACATATAGCCAATGAAGCCACCAATCTTGTGACACTTCTTTGTAGAAAAAGAAATTTCCATGTTGTAGCATATTGCATTTTCTAAAAATGGCCAGACTAATATTATGTCTCAACCCACATAATCTCCCTAAAATGGGTCTACACTCTTTCCATTGAATCTGGGTAAGGGCTTGTGACTGCTCCTAACCCACAGAAACTATAAGAGATAATAAATGATTGTTGTCTTAAGTCACCACATTTTGGGATGATTTATTATGCACCATTAGATGACAGGAACAGCTGTGTGTTATCTTTGTTATTTGATCTTTTGAAATATAGTTTAACTTGGAAACTGAAGACAAGTTTATTCCTTTATTTAAAACATATTTAATATGTGCTTACTGCTCTTTTTCATTGTGATAAAAAACTTTCATTGAGAGAGAAACATCTCTTAATATTAGTTTGTCAGGTGTTAGAATCCAGGACCCCTGCCCTGGAATTGTTCATGAGTCCAAGCAGTTGTAACTGCATCTAGCAAATAATGGTCTGCTTTGCTGTCTCCTTGTTAAAAGTACTTCAAAATGTATGCAAAATATGTCTTATAGCCAGCAGGCTTCTCATTCCTTGCTAGGGACTCTGTAAATGAAAAACAAAACAAAAAACCCAAAGCTACAGCAGAACACATTTGAAATTATGAATACAACCATAAAAATGGCAATTCTAAGGTAAGGTTTGAGAATACAGAACTTATCTGAGCCTGTTGCCTTCTTCTGTGCAAAAGAACCATTATAGATAAACAGGCAGCAGATAGTCACAATTCAATGCCATGATATGTGGATAAAACGAAACAAAGGTCGAGAAATTAGCTTACTTCCAGATGTTCTTTGGGTCAGGCTCATCTATCCCTAACTTCTCATATGAAAGTTAAACTGCCACAGCCTGAAATAATAGATAATTGAAATTCTCATTTTCTTCAGAAAATTCTGCAATTAAAATGTTGATATTTCTTTAAAATACACACACACACACACACACACAAACACACACACACACACACACACACACAAAACCTGATATCAAATCTTACATTCCCTCCACCCAGAAAACATGACTAGGTCATTTAAACAGTACTTGAATATATTCACAGAAAATCAGCAGGTCAGGTAGAAAATTACTCACCCTACACACCAGTTGTGTGAGTGTTGCAGAGTATGAACCGCTGCCAAGATATCTGTCATTGGCATATCTCCACTTTTCAATTTGATACAATGTGTTTAACCTATCACTGTTATTCAGTGTACTATAACTGCTATACAAGCACCTGTGTGTTTACCAGAGCTTTACTATTCCCTTGGCTAGAAATATTTCCAAACAAGGTACTAAATATAAATGCCCGCCATTTTCAAAAATATATATATATAATAAACATTCTCCAAATATTTTAAAAGCCTACAGTTACCAATAAGCTTTTGTGTACATAAATTAGAGAATAAGGGGCAAAGAAAACTTTATTAGCATACCATTAAGTACTTAATTTATTATTTTTGCAGTGACATCCTTGCAGGATTTCTTCTTTAACATGAAAAAGTCAACATCTTAACTGTTGAAGGCTCTGCTTTAGAATCCTAGGGGCATTTCCAGACAAGTTCTAGCGATTATTGTGAAAGTACCTGTTTCTAGACCAACTCTTTAAGCAGACCACTAAAAAGACCTTTTCAAATCTTCCATGTAAAGGAAAGCCTTGAAAGGGAGAGAGCTAGATAGATACATAGATACACATATATAGATAGATGATGGAGATAGATACAGAGAGGTCAGATGATAACAAAGATCAGATTATAACAAACTTAAATGTAGGTGCTCCAGCTAGCTAACAGAGAATAACAAATCATCACACAGTTTAGTGACTTAAAACAATTATCACATAATTTACAATCTAAACTTGTAAATCTTGTCAACAGCAATCAGGAGTCCACATTATCCTTTAAACCAAATTTTATTTCCAAGTAGAAAATATTTTCTTATTTAATTGTATACTGATCTGAATTCAATGTATCTTGTACATGAAAATAGCAACTTGGCTCTGCTGGGTAACTGAAGACCATGTTTGTGACTGGAAGCATGTTATTAATCTACTTAAAATCTTCATTCCTTAATAAAATCTACTCCCTGTCAACATTTATTTTAGAAACTGAAATCTTTGTGAGCATAGCTATATTGGCATCATAAGCTCTAAATGGAAGACTACTTAAGGGCATCTTCTTATTTCTAGTAGAGTTAATATCATTACTAACCCCAACTATTCTGATGAAATAGGTATCTAGCATAAACATCAATCATCTTCTTTTATAACTCATTGATAATTCCCCATGGTCCCTTGCTCTATTTTTCATCTGTTGTAACACATAAAGGGGTTCAACAACTACTTTATTCTAAGCTTTCTCTGCTGCAAACCGAAGGTTACTAATTCACTTCATTAACAATTACAAGTATTTGTATCTGTCCTCACAAATTCAAAATTGACCATTTTATAAAAGACATATCCCTTCTCTTCATTCTACCTTTGTTAGGTATATTTTTCTATTTCCAAATATTTATTTTATTTCCAAATCATGATTCATTCAAATAAGTTTTACACAAAGAAGAAAGTACAAGATGTGTAACAGCTCTAGTAGAGAACATTTCAGCTGTGCCACAAAAAGAAAACAGCAATATAATGGTGTGCTGACAAAATAGGCCAGGCATGGAGGCTCATGCCTATAATCCCAGCACTTTCAGAGACCAAGACAGGCAGATCACTTGAGCCTGGGAGTTCGAGACCAGCCTGGGCAATATGACAAGCCCCCGTCTCTGCAAAAAATACAAAAATTAGCCAGGCATGGTGGCACATGCCTGTAGTCCTAGCTACTTGGCGGGGTTAAGGTGGGAGGATTGGTTGAGCTTGGGAGGTTGAGGCTTCAGTAAGCCATGATCATGCTACTGCACACTAGCCTGAGTGACGGAATAAGAGACTTGGTCTCTCTGTCTGTCTGTCTGTCTGTCTGTCTGTCTGTCTCTCTCTCTCTCTATATATATATATATATAAAATAATACTTTACATATATTATATATATTTTACATATAGTATATTTTACATGTGTATTTTATATTTTACATATATATATTTTGAGACCAAGTCTCTTACTTGATCCAAACCCCCAGATCCCCCCCAAATATGTATATATATATATATGTTTATATATATATATACACACATACACAATATATTAGACACTATGTAAATGTCTGAAATAAATTTTAGTTGGGTTCTTTATTGAGATAATTACAAATTCACATGCAGTTGTAAGAAATAATATAGAGACATCCCTTGCAAACTTTATCCCCGTCTTACAAAATGTTACCACATCATCCCCCTGTGGTAACATTTTGTAAGACTATATTTTCAGGGTCTTGACACTGATATAACTCACTGATCTTATTTTTCTCCAGTTTTACTTGTATTAATTTTTCTTAGTGTGGTATGGGTGGGTGTGCAATAAGTCTATACAATTTTGTCACCTGTGTAGGTTCATGGATTCACCACCGCAGTCAAGATGTTGAACAGTTCCCACACCACAAGAGTATTCATGTTGCCTTTTTATAACTATATCCATCTCCCTCCTTCAAAATCCCACATCCTCCTGCTAGCTCAGTGCCCCCACACAACCACTAACTATTCCCCATTTCTAAATTTTATTATTTCAAAATGTTTTATAAGTGGAATTATATAGTATGTAATCTTTTGGGATTTTTTTCATAACATAATTCTTGGAGATTTATTCAACCTAAGGTGTTTATCAACAGTTTATTCCTTTTTATTGCTGAGTAGTATTCCATGGTATATATGTACAATACAAATATGTTCTCCCATTCTTTAGCTTGTAATTTTATTCTCACATGGTTTTCACAAAGTTAGCATTTTACATTTTGATGAAGTCTAATTCATCAATTTTTTAAATTCACACTTCATGATTGTGGTATCAAGGACTCTGCCTAGCCCTAGATCCCGAATATTTTTTCCTATTTTGTTCTAAACATTTTGTATTTATATTATAATTTTTTAATATTTTACCTTTGTCTCTGATCCATTTTGAGTTTATTTTTGTGTACAGTGTGAGACTTCGTTCGGAACTCATTTTGCTGCCTATAGGTGTCAAATTGCTCCAACACCATTTGTGGAAAATGCTGTCTTTCTTCTATTAAATTGGTTTTGCATCTTTGTCAAAAATGTGTTGAATATACAGATTTTTGTGTGGGGATATTTATGGGTCCCCTATTCCAGGGCTCCCCAACCCCTGGGCCACAGACAACTACCAGTCTGTGGCCTATCAGCAACCAAGCCACACAGCAGGATTGGTGAGTGAACTTTACTGCCTGATCTTTGCCTTCTGTCAGATCAGCGGTGGCATTAGATTCTCATACGAGCTCCAACCCTATTGTGAACAGCACATGCAAGAAATCTAGGTTGCACGTCCTTTATGAGAATCTAATGCCTGATGATCTGAGGTGGCACAGTTTCATCTTGAAAACACCCCTGCCTCCACTCACTATCCGTGGAAAAATTGTCTTCCATGAAACTGGTCCCTGGTCCCAAAAAGGTTGGGGATCGCTGCCCTATTCTGTTCCATTGATCTATGTGTCTATGCTCTGGCAATGTCACACCACTTTGATTATTGCAGCTATAGTGTAAAACTTAATATCAGGTAGAGTACTTTTCCCCACTTTATTTACCTCTTTTTATTATTTAACTATTTTTGCTATTCATTGTAAATTTAGACCACATGCATTTATATTTCCAAAAACTTGCCAGGATTTTGAAGAAATTGCATATAAATCCTTTTGGGAACTATAATGAAATTAAAGAAAGAAACAGAAATGTTCTAGGATAACAGAGCAAAGGCAGATAAAGTTCTGGCATTGGAGGAAGACTAATAAACTAATACAATATGAAAAAAATTGATGTGAAAAAATAGAATATCCACTTGAACCATACATGCGGACGTGTGGATAGGCATCAGCATTCCAGCACAACGGATGGGACAGAAACAAAAAATGAGATTATAGCACAAAGAGTTAACTTTAACTATGTAGTCATCACAGAATGTTATGGGAGCAAAACAATAACTCAGTCACAGCAATAGAAGTGTCAATTTTATTATAATAGTGCTGACCTTTTTTGGGGCAAGTGGAAGGGGTAGGGAGTAGAAGACTGTCAATAAAGACATGTCTGTATGGAAATACAGACATCTTTTGTTGGTAATCTGCTAAAACCACATACTTTTAAAGGTGAAAGAGAGATGAAAATACATTATGTTATTAAGGTATACTCTAAATTGCCAGGCAAGATTGAGAAAAGTGATGAGGCTTCCCTGATAGAGACTCCACAATTAGAACCAAAGCAGTACAGAGCAGCAACCTGAGCTTCCATCATTCACTCACTGGGATTCCCATCAACATACAGCATCCTTGGCAAGTCTTGTTCAGATGGAAAAGCAGTCACAAGAGGAGTGCTCTTCTAATCCTGTGCTAACCAATCTAAAAGCATTTGTGACTGAAGTAGTGGAAACTCTGAACAAAATTACCTTGTAAATTTTAGTTTATAGTAGCCCAGATATGTGGCCATGCTAGATTCCAAAAACTTCAGAGAAAAATGGGTATAATTAATGACCTCTTATTCTGACACTTTGAGAGGGTTTGAAGGCTATCAATAATAATTCTGTGATCTCAAGCAAAAAAGAAAAAAAAAAAGAAAAAGAATGCGGCTGCACCTCAGACTCCATGAGAAGCTTATATGTAAATGGACAAAATTCAGAAGAAATAAGTGCCTCGCACAGGCCTTAACACACAAGTTGTGCTCAATCATGTTTGGTAAAAGAATGAATGGACATTGTAAAACCAAAAATTAACATCTAAAGGGTTCATACACTACAAGCCAGGAGAGTCAAAGTATATATCATCTGTTCATCTAATCATTCCATCATTAATTTATTATGAGCTTCTTGCTTTCAGGGTCCCATAGTCCAGAGTGAAAAAGTGATATGCAAACCAAAAAATCAAAATACAGGAAAGTAACTATGACTAGGTAATTGTTTAAAATACTTTGGGAACAGGCAGGCTGGAGTTATTAATTAACTATATTTGGGGAAAAGAAGACTACAAAAGTCTTCACAATGTAGTTAACATTTAAGTAATTTTGAAGAATAGCAGAGATAGAGAGTTATAAAAATTACTCTTTTTTTTTTTTTTCTTGAGACAGAGTCTTGCTCTGTCGCCTAGGCTGGAGTGCAGTGGTGTGACCTTGGCTCACTGCAAGCTCCGCCTCCTGGGTTCAGGCCATTCTCCTGCCTCAGCCTCCCGAGTAGCTGGGACTACAGGCACCTGCCACCACGCCCAGCTAAATTTTTTTTTTTTTTGTATTTTTAGTAGAGAGGGCATTTCACCTTGTTAGCCAGGATGGTCTCGATCTTCTGACCTCGTGATCCACCCGCCTTGGTCTCCCCAAGTACTGGGATTACAGGCGTGAGCCACCGTGCCCAGCCAAAAAGAACTCTTTATATATGTTTTTGAAAAGAAGAAGAAAAGAGAAGCATATGCTATCAAAAAAGAAATTCAGTGCTGGAATGATAATGAGCTCAGAGCAAAAGTAAAGAGATAAACTGCCTATAGATTGTTTGGAGAGCTTAAGTTGAACCCTCCCTAGCCATTCCCAAAGATGCAAGCCCCCTATAAAAATTTGGAGCACCTAACACTACAAAGTTTGAAAGAATATTATCTTTGATATGATTCCTCCCTGTCTGTTAACTTCCATGTTTCCATCCCATTGGCCCTGCTTTTATGTATCCTCCATTGGCCTAACAGCTCTCAACCAGAGGTTTTAAACCCTGACAGCTCATTAGCATCACCAGAAGAACTTTTACAAAAGCCTTCCACTTGTGTCCCTTCCCCAGGGATTCTGATTCCACTGGTTTGGGGTAAGGGACCCTGTGTTGCCCACAGCGGCTGATGCCCATCAAAAGGGCATTAGGAAAATCACTCTGCGGGAAATCACTCTGGCCCGCCATGGTGAATGAGTGTTTTTAAGAGGATTAAACAAACATCAAAAAGAAAAAAATTAATGTCATGGAGTTCCATACCATCTTAAGACTTAATGATTCATATGCCATTACACAGAAGGAATTTGCCCAAGATAGCTATGAATTGTAGCCATGATCTCTAAAAAAGAGTCGAATATGCGAATCCTACCTAAAGACCGGGGACAAGTGATCCTTAATTCATACAAACAGTAATGGGGAGACACTAAAATGTTTTCTGAAGAACATTGACAAATTAAGATTTGCACATTATAAGAAATATTCTAGCTACATACAAGAAAAAATGATTGTAAAAAAATCAAAGATGATTCCCAGACTTTTGTTTGGGAAACCAGATGAACATAAATACAATTCATCGAGAGGTAATGGAGAAAAAAGTACAGGCGTGGCAGCGGAATTAGATGAGGACAGAAGTTCTCCTTTAGATATGCTGATTTTTGGGTATATATATTACATAGTGGTTTATACACAGGTTGGAAATTCAGGAGAAAAATCATTACAGATGGGAGATGTGTATTTGAGATCCATCTGCATATAGCTGGGTTGTTAAGGCAAAGAAATAGATAAGCTTGTTCTGGGAGGGTGTGTAGAATTCTCTTTAGGAGAAGAATACCTAGGGCAGAATTTAAAGGAACGCTAACATAGGCAGTAGAAAAACACCCACAAAGTAGATTCATAGGAAATGGCCAGAGAGGTAGAAGGAAAATCAGGAGAGTGTGGCATAATAGGTGCCAGAAGAAAAGAGTGTTTAAAGGAGGAATGATTGAACAATACTTGCAAACATTGCAATGATTTCAGTGGAGAATGCGACTGAAGTTTGATTAGAGTGAATTAAGGAGTAGATGGGAGGTAAAATAAAAAGTAGAAATAAGAATTAGAAAAGGTTTATAAAGATGGTGGAAGAGAACTTTCCAGTGCTTATCCCCACAGAGAAACATTAATTTGAACAAATATCCATGCACAAACAAAAGTTCACAAGAGCTAAAGAAACCATGTGAGAGATTACAGAAGCTGAGTGGAGCACAGAAATAAGAAAGACACACTGATAAAGGTAAGAAGGACAGTTTTAAATCACCTGTGAAGCCGCTTCACAAACTGTATACAGCACGGACACAGACAGCAGCAATACCCAACCCTTACGGGAAGGAAAGTGAGCACCAAACTTACTGTGGAACCCAACACTGGGCCTGCTCCAGCAAAACCCAACTTCACGCAGGCACCTATGGCCCCAGACTCCAGGCTGATACCTGCAGACTAAGCTTCCAGGCCCACCTGGATTCTAGGATAGCTCCCACAGCCCTGGGATCCATGCCTGCTCAATAGACTCAATCTCTGGGCCTGCCCCACTGCCAGGCTGACCCCAGCAGCCCTAGGCTCGGGAACAGCCCCAGTATCAGGCAAGCCCTACCAGCCCTGGCCCTTGGTCAGAACCAGACATCACAGATGTAGGCATAAGCCTGACCCAGGACCAGGCCTGACACAGGCCAGCACCTTGGGACCCAGCCTCCAGGTTAAGCCCCACAGACTCGGGCTTCAGGCTTACCCCAGGTTTCAGACAAGCCGGAAGCTAAAACATCCCATGCAGTCCCAGGCCTCAGGCCCCAACACCAGATTAGCACTCCTGGTCTCAATAGCAGGGGACTCAAATATCCCACTTTCAGCAATGAAAAAATTATCCAGAAAAAATATCAATAAGTAAACATCAGATTAAAACTACACTTTAGACCAAATAGACCCAACAGACATATACAGAACATTCCCATTAAGCAGCAGCAGAATATACTTTTTTCTCAAACACACACAGAACATTCTTCAGGGTAGATCATATGTTAGGTCATTCACAAGAGCTTAAGAACCCATGTGGGAGATTACAGAACCCGGGTGTAGCACAGAAATATTGGCAAAACAAGTCTTAACAAATTTGAAAAGATGTAATCATATTAAGTATTTTTTCTGATCATAATGGTAAGAAATTAGAAATCAGTTAACTGGAAAAATTTCAAAAACTTCACAAATATATGAAACTTAAACAATATGCTCTTTAACAACCAACGAATCAAAGAAGAAAGTAAAAGAGAAATTAAAAACTATTTTGAGATAAGTGAAAAGAGAGACACAAAACAGCAAAACTCATGATGTGTCCGGAATTGGTGGGTTCTTGGTCTCGCTGACTTCAAGAATGAAGCCGCGGACCCTCACGATGAATGTTACAGTTTTTAAAGATGGTGTGTCCGGAGTTCATTCCTTCAGATGTTCAGATGTGTCCAGAGTTTATTCCTTCTGGTGGGTTCGTGGTCTCGCTGGCTTCAGGAATGAAGCTGCAGACCTTCCTGGTGAGTGTCACAGCTCTTAAAGGCGGCGCATCTGGAGTTGTTCCTTCCTCCCGTCCAGAGTTGTTCATCCCTCCTGGTGGGTTTGTGGTCTCGCTGGCTTCAGGAGTGAAGCTGCAGACCTTCACAGTGAGTGTTACAGCTCATAAAGGCGGTGCAGACCCAAAGCAGACCCAAAGCTTCCACAAAGAACAAGGCTTCCACAGCCTGGAAGGAAACCCCAACACGTTGCCACCGCTGGCTCGGGCAGCCTCCTTTTATTCCCTTATCTGACCCCACCCACATCCTGTTGATTGGCCCATTTTACAGAGAGCTGATTGGTCTGTTTTCACAGGGTGCTGATTGGTGCATTTACAATCCTTTAGCTAGACACAAAAGTTCTGGAAGTCCCCACTAGATTAGCTAGACACAGAGCACTGATTGGTACATTTACAAACCGTGAGCTAGACAAAGAGTGCTGATCAGTGTGTTTACAATCCTTTAGCTAGACACAGAGTGCTGATTGGTGCATTTAAAATCCTCTAGCTAGACATAAAAGTTCTCCAAGTCCCCACCAGATTAGCTAGATATGGAGTGCTGATTGGTGCATCCACAAACCCTGAGCTAGAAGCAGAGTGCTGATTGGGTGCATATACAATCCTCCAGCTAGACAAAAAAGTTCTCCAAGTCCCCACCTGACTCAGGAGCCCAGCTGGCTTCCTCTAGTGGATCACGTGCAGGATCCCTGGGCTGAGCTGCCTGCCAGTCCCACACCAAGTGCCGCACTCCTCAGCCCTTGGGGGGTCAATGGGACTGGGCGCCGCAGAGAAGGGGGCAGCGCCCATCGGGGAGGCTCGGGCCTTGCGTGGGGAGGGGGGTTGGGGGGCAGTGCTCCTGCATGGCAGGCTAAGGGTCCCAAGCCCTGCCCTGCTGGGAGACGGCTGAGGCCCTGAGAGAATTCCAGCGCAGTGCCCGCCGGCCGGCACTGCTGGGGGACCCAGCGCACCCTCTGCACCTGCTGGCCCGGGTGCTAAGCCCCTCACTGCTCGGGGCCTGCTGTGCTGGCCTGCGGCTCCGAGTGCGGGGCCAGCCAAGCCCACGCCCACCCAGAACCCGCATTGGCCGGTTCCCACCCGCGCCTCTCCCTCTACACCTCCCCACAAGGAAAGGGAGCCGGCTCCTGCCTCGGCCAGCCCAGAGAGGGGCTCCCACAGTGCAACGGCTAAAAGGCTCCTCAAATGGTGGCCAGAGTAGATGCCAAGGCCAAGGAGGCACCGAGAGCGAGCAAGGGCTGCTAGCACGTTGTCACCTCTCAATGAGATGCAGCAAAAGCAGTTCTAAGATAGAAGTTTATAGCAATAGACACCCATAATAAAAAGGAAGATCCCAAATAAACAAATGTTACACCTCAAGGAACTAAAAAAAAAAAAAAAAAAAAAACTAAGCCCAAAGTTAGCAGAAGAAAGGAAATAATAAAAATCAGAGCAGAAATAAATGAAATAGTGACTGAGAAAATGATAGAAAAAAAATCAACAAAAGTGGCTTTTTGGAAGTTAATCAAAATGGACAAATCTTTAAGTAGACTAATAAAAAAGAGAAAGACTCAAATAACATTATGAATGAAGGAGGGGACATTACAACTGATACCACAGTAATGCAAAAGAGTATAAGACACTATTATGAATAATTATATTTCAATAATTGAATAACCTAGAAGAAATGGGTAAATTTCTAGAGATATCACCCACCCAGATTGAATCAAAAGAAAGAGAAAATCCAAACAAACTCATAATGAGTAAGAAGATTAAATCAGTAATAAAAAGTCTCCAATCAAAGAAAACCCAGGACCAGATGGCTTCACTGCTTAATTTTATCAAACATTTAAAGAAGAATTAATTCCAATCCTTCTCAAACTCTTCTGAAAAACATTGAAGAAGAAATACTTCCAAACTAATTTCATGAGGTTAGCATTACCACCATACCAAATCCATAAAAGGACACTACAAAAAAATAAAATTACATGCCAATATTCCTGGTGAACATAGATACAAATATCCTCAACAAAATACTAGCAAACCAAATTCATCAGTATATTTAAAGGAACATTTATCATGATCAAGTAGGATTTATTCCAGAGATGCAGGTATGGTTGAATATAAGCTAATCTAGAAATGTGATACACCACATTAACAGAATAAAGGACAGAAAAATATGATCATGTCCATGGATGAAAAAAGCATTTAACAAAATTCAATATCCTTTTGCAATAAAAATTATCAAAAAATTAGATATACAAGGAACATACCTTAACACAGTAAATTCCATATATGACAAATCCATGGCTAATATCATACTGGATGCCTCTAAGATTAGGAATAAGACAAGGATTCCCGTTCTTTTCGGTTCTGTCTAACTAAAGTGCTGTAAGTCCCAGCCAGAGCAATTAGGCAAAAGAAAAATAAATGGCATCCAGATTGGAAAAGAGGAAGTCAAATTGCCCCTCTTTGCAGATCACATGATCTTATAAATAGAAAAAATTAGTGACCTCACTAAACTACTCTTAAAACTGATACATTCAGAAAGTTGCAGGATACAACATCAACATACAAAAATCAGTAGTATTTCTACAGACTAACAACAAACTCTCCAAAAAAGAAATCAAGAAAACTATCCCATTTATAATAGCTACAAAAGCAATAAAATACGCAGAAATAAATTTAAACGAGGTAAAAGACCTGTGGATTGAAAACTCTGATACATTGATAAAAGAAATTGAAGAAGACACAAGTAGAGTTATCCCATGTTCAATGATTAAAAGAGTTTATATTGTTTAAAATGTCTGTATTATTCCAAGCAATCTACATATTCAATGTAATCTGTATTAAAATGCCAATGTCACTTTTCATAGCAATAGAAAAAAAATCCTAAAATTCATATGCAAGCACAAAAGATGCTGAATAGCCAAAGCAATCTTGAGCCAAAATAACACAATCAGAGGTATCACATTCTCCAATTTCAAAATATACTACAAAGCTATAGTAATCAAAACAGTGTGGTACTGGCATAAAAACGTACACAAAGACCAATGGAATGGAATAGACAGTCCAAAAATGAACCCATGTATATATGATCAACTAATCTCTGATGAGGGTGCCAAGAATAGAAAATGTGGAAAAGATAAGTCTCTTCAATAAATTTTGTTGGGGAAAATGGATATCTACATGCAGAAGATGAAATTAGACCCTTTTCACACACCATATGTAAAAATCAACTCAAAATGGATTAAAGATGTAAATCAAGCAATACCTGAAACTGTAAAACTGCTAGAAGAAAACATAGAGGAAAATCTCCATGACATAAGTCTGGGCAATGATTTTTTGGATATGATCTCAAAAGAAAAGGCAACAAAAGTGAAAATAGACAAATGGGATTACATTATGCTAAAAAGTTTCTTCACAGCCAAGGAAATAATTAACAGAGTGAAGAGACAACCTATGGAATGGAAGAAAATATTGTAAACCATATATCTGATAAGGAGTTAATACCAAAAATGTATGTGAAACTCCTCAATAGAAAAAAACCCAAATAACCCAATTAAAAAAATAGGCAAAATATCTGAATAAACATTTCTCCAAAGAAGTCATGCACACTGGCCAACATGTATATGAAAAACTGTTCAACTTCACTAACCATTAAGGAAATGTAAATTAAAACTGCAATGAGCTATATCACCTTATACCTGTTACAATGGCTATTATCAAAAGGACCAAAGATAAGTATTGGAGAGGATGTGGAGGAAAGGGAACTCTTGTACACTCCTGGTGGGAATGGAAATTAGTACAGCCATATGGAAAATAATATAGAGGTTTTTCAGAAAATTTTGAAAATACCACTACAATATGATCTTGTAATCTCACTTCTGGATATATGTCCAAATGGTATGAAATTAGTATGTCAAAGAGATTGCCTGCATTCCCATGTTCCTCACAGCATTATTCACAATAGCCAAAATATGGAATCAAACTAAATGTTTGTCAACATATGAATGGCTAAAGAAAATATGGCATATACACACAATAAAATACCATTTGGTCTTAAATAAGAAGGAAATCCTGTCATTTGAGATGACATGGATCCACCTGAGGGACATTAGTAAGTGAAATAAGACAGGCTTTACCACATGATCTAACTTACATGTGAAATCTAAAAAGGTTGAAATCATAGAAGCAAAGAGTGGAACAGTGGTTAACATGGGCTGTGGGATGGGGTGGAGTTGGGGAAATAATGGTCAAAGGATACAACATTGCAGCTGGATAAGATGAACATGTTCAAGAGATCTATTGTACAACCCGGTGAGTGGAGTTAATAGAACTGTATTCCTGAAAATTGCTTAGAAAGTATTTTGTGTTCTTACCACAAAAAAATGTTAACTATGTGAAGTAATGCATGTTAATTATCTGGATTCAGCCTTTCCACAATGTATACATATTTTAAAACATCATGTGGTACATGATAAATAAACACAATTTTATTTGTCATTTAAAAAATTACTTAAGGTTTAGAAAGTAGAAATTAGAATAGTTACCTCTTTAAAGATATTTGCACAATTAAAAAGATTTTTCATGTTTCTTTTTTGAAAAGTAACATATATACAATCTAGTACTAAACCTTAACAGATAGTTATTATTTTAAGACGACAGAAATGTGAACATTTTACTTCTGATGAAGAGAATCTATAAGAGAGAAAGATGGTGATGCTAAACAAATGAGAAATTATAATTATTAAAATACAACAAGGTATCTGGGATAGAAGCAAGACAGGTGGAAAGATTCACTCATGCTTTGCCCTGCCAGGAGGGAATATTCCAGTATAATGGGCAGAAAGGAAGAAAACATGGAATGAATGCAGTATGATTAAAAGTCTGGTGATAGGATAAGGATGCATCTCTAGTCTAGTGGCTTCAATTTTCTCAGCAAAGTAGGAGGACAATTCTGATAGTAAGGAAGGAATGGCAGGATTTTAGGTTTGAGAGGGTGAAGCGGGTGAAAGCACTGCAGAGACACTGAGGGAGATAACTAGGAATTACAGAAGAATTGCCAAAGAGCATTGAAGTCTCAAAACTCATCTTAAGTTGGATAAGTACACAATTTTAGGAGCAGTGATAGGTAAATGGCAGAAAGTATATACAAGTATTAAGTAACTTCAGGCTCAATTCCATCCACCGAAATGTTGGGACTTACAGAAAAGCAGATTCAATATGGAAGACGTGGCTCATATCTGTCATAGGAATAACAGAAGAAGTAGTAGTAAACGTTTATTGAGTACTTACTGAATCTTCTGTTTAAATGTTTTACATAAATTTTAGTACACGGCCAGTAAATAGTGTTATTATTTTCAGTGTTCTAATGAGAAAACCACAGCACAAAGAAGTTGAGTAATTTTCCCAAGGTCAACCAGCTACAAAGTGCAGAGTTTTAAACAGTGAATCCAATGCATGTCCAGAGAAAAGTGAGCAGGACAGCAAAGGATCTCTGCAATATAAGGAAGAATTAGATAATTGAGGATATTTTGCCTAAATAAGACAGGCAGCAGCAAATAACGATTGCTTCAATACTTAAGTAGTTGCTATATGGAAAAGGAATTAGAGTTTTACATTATGTTTCTTCAGGGAGCAAAACTAAAACTAATATGCAGAAGCTGCAATGAAGTAGATTTCATCTGGAAAGAATGATTTTTGTAGCCATGAGAAATACAGGTGAAGTAGAAGGAGCAGCTTCAGAAAGTGAAGTTCCAGTGACCAAGGAGTTTGAGCCCAGAAAGGGATGTTAGGAAGGACTTTATACATAGGTGAGAGAGGACTTGCTAGTTTATGTAAAGTTCAACACCCATTCTAACACTGAAAGTCTGCCTCTAGTGTGCATTTTATTAACCCCAATAAACATTTACTTTTTTATTTTCTCCCCAGAGTAAGCATGTTGGCAGATACATGAAGCACTTGGATCCATGTCATGACAATATTTGGATATAACAGATAAGACATAATGCTTTGCCAGGACTGCTAGACCTGGGCTTTCAATTGCTTCCAGGGCTATAATAAATTCAGATGTTGGGGGAAGAGAGAGGAAAGGAGAGAGTGCTTTTTGTTGTTGTTTTTTGTTTTTGTTTTTGTTTTTTGCAATGTAGCCCCTTCCCAAGAGTAAGAAAAAATATTCTTCTGACAATTGTAAAGCTGTTTCCTGCCAAAATTGTCATTGTTAAAACTTTTAAAAGATAATCCATATGTCCCCACACTTCATACTCTTGCACTTTCATGCAAAGAGCTCAAATAAGAAAATTTGAAGTTTTTCTCTGAGTAGAGGTCAGTGTTTCTGATGCAGTGCCAGTTTTAATGAGAAGATTTTATTTTCTCTCTCTCTTAAGAGAATGGCACGAGGAAGCTACATGTTAAGAAGTTAAGATGGTCTCTACTTGGACCTGATGCTAAAAGAAGGTTCATGCCATATTTTATTTGACATTGTAATCTTGATTTGGCTGCCCAATTTATTGAAAAGATTAATATTCTCTACAGGTTTTAGATAGCAAATTTTAAGTTTTGATCCTGACTTGCCTTAGAGAGCCTTTCTTTATAAAGCAGCTCTCGTTCTTTAATCTTATAGCAACCTTACTGTGTTCTTGCTCCTGTTCTTCAATGTGGTATTGTTTGTTTACCTGTTTGTGTAGAATGTTAGGATGCCACAGTTAAAAACAACACACATCCCAATTCATTATGATCCATAGGCATCACATGCTGCCACTAATATGTACGGTAAAGCTTACACCATCCAATCTGAAGCAAATGACAAATTCCTGACTCTTTATTTCAGGCACTTCTCTCCTTGATTTGTCTTCTTCAACAGCTGTCATCTTTGCAATTTCTCCCAAATCAGACCCTATATTACTGAGCAATGTACTTGCACACTTTCATCTTTGTAAACTACTGCATGTCTGCTGCTTTATAATTTTTATTTTATTAATTGAGAATAGATTTCCACCCATTTTTCAATAACATGCAGCAATCTTAGTCACTAAATATTGTTTAAAATAAATTCTGCAATTTTCTTACCTGAAAATCAGATAGTTTTACTTTTTGCTTCAAATTATTACAAAGCTACCGTATGGGAAGGCAGTCGTGCAATTAAACCCTGGTTATTAAGAATTTTGAGAGGGAAATCGAACATGGAAATATCACAGCTGAAATATTTACACTTAAGTCCTTGTACTTTTTTTGCTGATTGTTGGAAGCAAACCCAATCAGCAATTTTGGCAGTGAGTAGCTATAGTGTAAAACAAAGATGGAGATGTGGATACTTATCATGGAGATGTGTGTCCCTTTCAATTTGGTCTGTCTGATGAACAGGGAGAGAAACATTGCTACTTTATTGTTTTGGTTGTTATTGTTTTCACAACTTTCACCTAACTCTAGTACTCTAGTAACTTGTCTGGGAGACCTGGGCTTGAGTCTGATTTCCATCACTTGTCAATGACTAGAAAATTCTCTCTCTCTCTTTCTCTCTCTCTCTCTCTCCCCCTCCCTCTCTCTCTCTGCATTCATTTCTTCATTTGAAAATGAAGAGCTAGATTGGATACTCTCTAAAATCCTTTCCAGCTCTAAAATCTTGTTTTTATGAGACACTATTTCTGGAATGAGCAATTAAGAAATAAATAAATAAAAATTTAAGTGATGTGATAATCAAGATTATGTAACTAAAAAGATATGAGAGAATAAATTACCTTTTAAAATTCCTGAACAACTCAGTGGGGGAATTATTCTGCCTCAGTGAAAATATAAGAGAGGAGGTCAATGTTCTGTGTTATCACATAATTTTGACAAAGCCAATGAGTGAGGCTACCGTTAAGTGCCAGCATTGGAGAGTTTGCATGCAAACACAAAAGAAGTAAAAAGCGGAAAAAAGAAGAGGTGTGACAAATGGAAGGTAGCCTGATCATCTGCCTGCAGCCTGGCCTTCTCTCTCTTTTCTAAAATATTTTTTGGAGACAGGGTCTCACTCTGTTGCCCAGGTTGGAGTGCAGTGGCCTGATCTCAGTTGACTGCAACCTGTGCCTCACGGGTTCAAGCGATCCTCACACCTCAGCCACCTGAGTAGCTGGGACTACAGGCACCCACGACCACACCTGGCTAAGTTTTGTAATTTTAGTAGAGACAGGGTTTTGTCATGTTGACCAGGCTGGTCTCAAACTCCTCAAGGGATCCCCCCGCTTCAGCTTCCCAAAATGTTGGGATTACAGGTGTGAGCCACCATACCCAGCAGTTTTTTTCTTCTCAGTCATATTCATTCATTTATTCACTCATTCAACATGTATTCACTGAATGAATATTTATTAAATGCTTATGATATACCTGAAACTCTTCTAAGAACTGGGACTATATCATTGAACAAGAAAATTTTCCATACCTTATGAACTTTACGTTTTAGTTAGGGAGACAAAAAATAATTAAGAAAACACACACACACACACACACACACACACACACACACATACGTGTAGTTCAATTTAACTTCAGATATACAATGCTCAAATAAAAAATGAAGCACTATAATAAGATAGAAACTGACTAGGTATTTAGATGGAGAGAGAAGGTCTCTCTGAGGAGGTAACTTTGAGTAGAGACCTGTATAAGTGAGGAAGAGAACCATACAAAGATTTTTAGAAGGAGCTAAAGTTTTATTTAGAAGGAGCTCAGTTTTGTAACTGAGATCTTTGCTTCTATTATATTTTCTAACAGGTTGTTGTGAGAAAAGACTTAGAAAGACCTATTGTGTACTTACAAGGAATATTTAAATGCCGAAAGTGGAGCTGCTATGGTCTGAATGCTTGTTTTTTTACAAATATTCATATGTTTAAATCCTAACCTCCAAGGTGATGGTATTAGGAGATGGGACCTTTGGGAGGTGGATGGTTAATGAGAGCAGAGCCCTCATGAATGGGATTAGTGGCTTTAAGAAAGAGGTCCCAAGGGAGCATGTTTATCTCTTCTGCCATGTGAGGACACAGTTAGAAAGTATTATCTATGAACCAGAAAGTGGGCCCTCACCAGACATCAAATCTGCCCGAGCTTTGATCTTAGACTTCCCAACCTCCAGAACTGTAAGAAATAAACTTCCGCTGTTTATAAGCTACCCACTTTATGGTATTGTTTTATAGCAGCCCAAATAGACTAAGACCCTAGGAGATTTAATGAAAATAAAGTACTTCTAGGATCTAGGAGTCAAAATATCATTATGACAATATTGACAATATTCCTGGGTTTTTTTTCTTTTTCATAGTGACAGGGTCTCACTAAGTTGCTCAGGATGGTCTCAAACTCCTGGTCTTAAAAGATCCTTCTGCCTTAGTCTCCCAAATTGCCGGTATTACAAGCATGAGCCACTGTGCCCAGCCTATTCCTCATTCTAAGAGAGAATAGGGAATTAACCTATGCACATGGGTTCCAAGATCTTACCTGCCCATTTGCTCATACAACTGGTGACTGCTCATTGACTAAAAGAATGGAGAAAGGGGCTTTGCTCTATTTCTACTTGTGTACCTCAAGATGCCAGTGTGGTTCTTCTGTGAGATCACTAAAATATTAGTTGATAGTCTTTTAACTCACTGGTTTTTGATCCATGAGGCAGATAAGATAGCCTAATTTGTGATATGCCTCCAACCTCTTAACTTGTGATAACTCTAAGGTTAGGTGGGACATCCATATTTCTTTAGGGACAACCTTCATACTGCTGTAGTTCTTAGAGTTGTGCTAGAGAGACAAAGTTATGGGATTGAGCCTTGCAAAAATCAGTGACCAACTTGTCATCTCATAAATATGTGGTTGGTTACAAAAGGTCCCTGATAAGAAAGTATGAATGCATACAAAATTTATCATAAATTCCTTCAACATAGAAGGTATGCTTTTTGCCCAGGAATTTTAACTTGTTATTTCTTCTCCCTAGAATGATTTCTCCTCAGCTGATAATATGTATCACTTCTTTAATTCTTTTCAGGTTTTTGCTCAAACTCAGAGAAGTCTTCCTTCACTTCCCTATTTAAAATTGATCTCTACTCTCATTATCCCATATCCCCATTTCCTGCTTTATTTTCTCTCCAAAGCACTTATCACCATCTAATATATTTATTCCTTATTTATTGACTTTTGCCTATTGAAATGTGAGCTCCATGGGATCAGGGATTTCTGTATCTTTTATTCAATATTTTCCCAAGGCCTATGGCAACTAATATTGGTTAAGTGAATTAATGAGTTCTTAGTGTGTTTTTGTTAGAGTTTGGTATATTAAGTGCTCAGTACAGTGCCTCGTACATAGTAAATACTGAATAAATTATAGCTATAATTATTATTCATAAACCAACTGAAATATATATTTTTTGATACTAAACAATTAGATCAGTCATGTTAGACCATTCATATCACTATTTTCATTCTGCCAATTTTAGAATCTAATATTATATTAGTCCATTTTCATACTGCTGATAAAAACATGTCTGAGACTGGGAAGAAAAAGAAGTTTAATTGGATTTATAGTTCCACATGGCTGGGAGGCCTCAGAATCATGGCGGGAGGCAAAAGGCACTTCTTAAATGGTGGTGGCAAGAGACAAACCCCTGATAAACCCATCGGTTCTTGTGAGACTGATTCGCTATCACGAGAATAGCATGGGAAAGACCGCCCCCTATGATTCAAATCCCTCCCACAACACGTGGGGATTCTGGGAGATACAATTCAAGCTGAGATTTTGGTGAGGACACAGCCAACCCATATCAAATGTCATTTTCTTTTTAAACCTCTTAAAACATTTATATTAGTTAAAAATAATTTCATAAGGCAGAAGAAGTAAGTCTTGAGGTATAAAGCATTGATCTCTACTCTCATATCCCCTCTTGGTCTCCAGGGTTTTAAGTGCACCAAAACAAAACAAAACAAAAACAAAATAAAAAACCAACAACTATGTACAATGTACACCTTGGCCACTATTGCTGGAAGGCTAACTTTTATTAGCCTGAAGGTTGTTGATGCAGGCTTTATCACCGAAGAGATTAATGTAAAATTGCTGAGAGTCTGCCAACAGGGTAAATGTTCCCAGAGAGATGGCAAAAGCAGCAAGGTAAGAGATTTAAGTGCCTCAACATTTCTTATTAATTTTTAGTGAAAATGTTAAACAGTCGAATCAACGTATGGTGGAATTACAATTCAGCTCACAGTTAGTTTGTAAAAATTTCATGCAGCTTCAAAAAGTCTGGTTCAAAAACTGGTGCACTGCTCACCATCCATACACATTATAAAATTAAAAAGTTCTGGATGCCGCAAGTGACCTCTACATTTGCAGTTGTTAAATCCAAGAACTTTAGAAACTAGAAAACATATGCTTAAAAACGAATTGTTGTTTATCTAAAATTCAAATCTAACAGAGTCTTCTCTATTTTATCTGGCAAGTCTAATTCATGGGGAAAATACATTCTACTAAAATTCTGCTGCTAAATTAACTTTTCTTAAAACAATGGAGACATTGGTATCCTTAACAACATTAATCAATTAATTAAGACATACATTCTTGCAATGACAAAACATATACAATTTGCTTACTGGTCTCTCTGAATTCATAATCACTAACTTTAAGAGGGCGTTTAGCATACACCTGCAATCCTACTACATTTTGCTGGAACTTCCCTACTGTCCTAGATGACCATCTCCTAACTTTTCTTCACCTCTTAAATATGCAACAACCCTACCATTTTCTTTTGTTTTTGCAGGTACACTTTCTTCCCCTTTCATTAACAAATAGAAGCAACTGGAAGAGCTCTTCTACTTACTTTCTCAACATCTATTCACTCTCTCAGTCTATGCCCATGGCCTTCCTTCCTCTGTCCTTTCTGTCTCAGTCCTAAGGCCAATCCTTCCTCTTAAGCACCAGATCCCATCTCCTTTTGCCTCTTAGGGGTATTTCTACTACAATTGTTGTCTGCTTCCCTCCTTCAAGATCCTCAACTTTATCTTCTCTAATAGATTATTTCCATCAGCATTCAATCATGTAGCAATATTTTCATCTGAGAGAGAGAGAGAGAAGGAGGGGAGGAGGGAAAAAACAGGGAAAGGAAAGGAAGGAGAAAAATGCCTCCTTTGGTCTCATATCTACCTTCAAGTATAATTTCATTTATTTGTTTCCTCCTTCACATAAATCCTGCTTAAAATGTTTACCTACTTACTACTTTCAATTCATTCTATGGTCTTTCCTCCCTTGAACCCACTCCAGTCAAGATTTTGACCCTTCTTCACTGAAATTGCTTCTGTCTAATTTACCACTGACCTCCAGGAGCTGAATCCAATGGCACATTCTTCGTCCTCACCTTAATTGCTGTATGAGTTTCCTAGAGCTATTATAATAAAGTACCAGTCTTATCTTACTATAATCTATTCTCTACACAACAGCCAGAATGATCTGTTAAAAGGTCAGATCATGTTACTTCTCCATCTAAAACCTCTAATGATTCCCCCTTTTTTCAGAATAATTAACAATGTCCTTACAATGGCCTAAAAGCTGGCCCCTCCCCAGTCATGACCATCAACTCCCAAACCAATGCACCGTTCCCCTTATGTCCCTTTCACATACCTCAGAATTTACTCTTCCCACTCTTTGGGACCATCGTCCTCCAAATTTGTCCAGGATATTTTCATGACTTTCTCACTTAGTTTCTTACTTCTATGCAAAAATGTCCACTTAAAAAGGTTTTTGCCTTTTACAAAAAAAAAAAAAAAAATCCTCACCAGTAACCCAATTATGCCTTTCCCACTTTGCTTTTCACCTAGGCTTAAGACCACCTGACACATTACAAATGAATAAAAGCAATTATTTTGTATCTCTCCAGTTTGCTGCCTTTCTCTCCCACTCTACTGGAAACTAACTTCTAAGAAGACTGAGATTTTTATCTCTTGTTTTCTATTGCTAGTGTTGAAAGAATCACTGAATCAATCAGAACATAACTCTAAAAAGTTAATCAGAGTTCAGTTCTGTACACCAAGTTAAAGTCTTGTAACCAGTGAATACCTAGAGCAAAATTAAGAAAAGATTGTCCTTTAGAATGCAGAAACTTCTGCATACTTATAAAATCTTATAAAATTGTTACACTGTGAATTAAACATAGTTTTCTCCTTTTTAAATTAGCATTAGTCTCCAAAGAATTTTTTCTAGTTGGACAAAGACTGCTATTACTTATATTTTCTCTCCTTTGTCACCTTAAAGAGTAAAATTTTTTGCCAGTTATTCTTTTGTTTCCCTTAATATAAGATTAGAACCTCTGTAGCCATTTCAACATACAAATTCAGCCTATATCTCTCCTGCCAAATGTCTTCTGTACTAATTTTATATTTTATATTAATTTTTTATCATATACAAAAGGTTAATCTTTTATACAAAAGATTAATCTTTATTCTGTGTCCTGCTGAATACTTATCAGAAGTTTAATCTCCCCCAGACACTTTTATATAAATATTTATAGGGTTGACATTGAATAATAAAATGAAAGCTCCTGATACTCTTGCCCTGTCACATCTCAAATAGTTTTTTTAAAAAGTGTCAATCAGATTTATAGCACTAACTAAGTCACATAATTGAGCACAGCTTGAAGACCCTAAATTTACCAACCATAAAAGGAATAATTTTAGGAAACGTTTGGAGCTCTGTATGTAAGTTACTGGCAGAGACCTTCATGAATATTGGTCCCATCTCCATGCAGAGAAGAGAAGATCTTGGCCTCTGATCTAGTTGTGGGGTTGGATGAAGCTAGCCTAGTAGTTGTGAGCCTTGTCAGGCCCTTTGGGAAATGACAGATACAGGCTCATTATCTTTGGTGCCATGACTACGACAAGCCTGAAATCTAGAAACATGACTATTAACTGACTGGAATCATCTAGGTATGTTCCGTCTCTCCTACTCTTCCTGGTAGGGAGCAGAACATAGCATTCAGCCCAGAAGCTGATGTTGCTAGGAAGAAAAATCCCATGGGAAAAAAATCTCTCTCACTGATATTTCTCACTGGGAAATGCTCATTGAAATAATGCCTTTCAGGATCCTTTGATAATATTATTCAATTTTGTCCTTACGACAATATTATAAAGCTTTGCTCATCCACCCTGGCTGAATATGAGTCAGCTGAAAAAATTAAAAAAAAAAAAAAAAAAAAACAGAGATCCAGACCTTCCTACAAACTGGATAGGACCCAGACATCTCTGTTTTGTAAAGACTCTCCCAGTGATTTAATACAAATACACAGAGCGGATAAAAAATTATGTAAAAAAGATTGGCTGGGCCAATGTAGTTACTCTGTATAACAAGTAAGAAAACAGGTCAGACAGGTTAAGTGACTTACCCAAGGTCACACTGCCAACACAAGGTCTTCTCTTGCCATCATATCATGGTGCCCTCTCCCAGCTTCCCCAATTTCTACTATTTCATATAAATTTTCTGCCTTTTCAGTTAATGAAGCTTACTTCAGCTCATTTCAGCTCAGAGGAGAAAAACATGAACAAAATTGGACTAAAATGGGTGTAAGAATTGGTTCATGGAGGATAAAAAGCATTGGATTTCTGCCAGACCCTTCAGGATGTGAATCAGTCAAAGAAATCAAGTCAACACATAATAATAACAACAAAAGCAACAACTCTTTTGGTATTTTACATAGTAAAGCCCTTTGCATGCTGTAATTTCAATAATGATTCCTGCAAATGCAAAAGTCACACAATTTTATCTCTGTCTTTGTATTCTTTTTTATTTCAGACATTCTTTGTATAGGCTTAGATTTAAACAACATAAATATCTGAGAATCTTTACCCAATCATGAGTCTGAAAAAGTCAATTGATGGATTCTTATAAACATTGTCTAACTTCCCCGACCCATCTGTTTCAATGCCAGCATAGGCCAGTAAGGCCACATTTGTCCATTGAGGATTTAAAGGCCTGATGTTCTAAAAGTCTGAAAGATCCTCAGCTGTGGAGAGATGACAGTGTCAGAAATTCCTGACTAGCAATACTTTTATATGATCATAACTTCTTTTTAATCATAAAACACCTCTTTTGTTTTATAAATTTTTTCCCTTCACCTTTCTAAACTATTCTCAGAGATTACACTTTCCAAAAAATGATATTTTTGTCACATATTACAACTCAAGGGCCAAAACAGCTGGTTTATGACTTATAAGTACTTTGTGAATTGCTTGAGCTGGTGGGGAAGGTTAGACAATAGGAACGAAGTTTTCCTACTATAAATCATTGAGTCACAGAATCTTAGCTTTCTAGAACTAGAAAAGATAAACACAATCTAATATAAGTCCAACACATTGCAGGCGAGAAAACAGGCCCCTGGATGTTGGTAACCAGTTGGGGCCAAACAGGGAATTCTGGACAGAGCAGACAGTAGAAGCCAAGTTCGTTTGCCTTGACTCCCATGTATTTTCCTAAGCCAGACTGTCTACTTTGGAGTATGAGATCCTCTGAGCACATCTAACTCTGTCTTCTCCTTCAAGATTCAATTCATTTGCTGCCTGGTATTACGGAATTTCAGGAATGAAAGAGATGCTAAAATCATCCTGTCCATTCAGGGTTTGACTTTTTTCTACCATGGTCCCCACCACAGGGTCAAGTACTTTAGTAACAAAACTCCTAATGAAGCAGCCTGTTCCATCTTTGGATACTTTGGATTAAATAACTTATAATATTTAGCTAAAATGTTTTCCTAAAGCAACTGTTAAAAAATTGATCACTTTTGTCATATAAGAGTCTCTTATATACTTGAACATAGGTATAATAAGGACACCTTTTTTGCATTTTCCCCAGAATAACCATTGCTTGCCTTTAAAATTTCTTCATGTTGTGCCATCCTAATTGCTCTCCTTTATATGCCATTAGGTTTTGAAATATGTCTTAAAATGTGGTATTCAGAATTAAACACATTATTGTAAGGACTGCTAAGAACAGAATTTTTCTTTCTTCTTTCTAGAATATTCTCTATTAAATAAAGCCCATAAATGCTCAACAGGAGTGATATCACCCCCAAGAGGCTGAAAACTGGTTCTTGGGGAAAAAAAACTTACTTTTTTAATGTATAAAGCACATATAATGTACATAAAGTACATTAACAGATATGTTATGTACTTAAATATCTGTGGTATTCAAATTTCATTGGGGAAGTGATCAGAAAAAAACATTTTTAGGGACTCCTTAAAGGGATAATAGTTTTTTTTAAAAAAAGGCTGTGAAACAGTGATATAGCCTAAGATCACACTAGCACATTAGCTATTTTATCAGAGAATCATACTATTAACCCCTATTGAGTTTATAGTCAAGCACAATCCTTAAAACTATCTATCTAACCTACTTGTACAACTGTTGAAAGGTATTTTCACTACCGCGAGGTTTCCAGTGTGTTTGGTTGGTTAGATGATTGGTTTGTTTTTGAAGAGTAGTAATTTTTTTTTTGCCTAATTTTGTTACTATAAGAGCACAAAGTTAAATTTATTTCTGATAAAATTGCCCTTGTTAGGTTTTATCTATTCCCGCCTGTCCAGATATTTTGGAATGTAATACATTCATTATTTTCTGAAGCTCTGATTATTTGCAAATTTTATCTCCTATCATCTTGATTGCTCATGCCAGTAATTTGCAGAAACAACGTTAAGAGAACAGAGCTGAGAATATTGTCCCGCACACAACTTTTCCATTTTGTGTTAAAGTATCAGCAGTATGTTTTGACTAACATTTCTTCATCGAGGTATTAATGTTACTAACTGTACATTTCCTTACATAAAATCCATAGTTTTCTATTTTTTTTTATTTGTACACTCTGAGAAAGAATGTCAAGTGTCTCACAGAAATCCAGATTGCCTGGCTCTAGTATACTTTCTAACAGCCTAGTAAGCCAAGTGAATAAAGAAGCAAGATTTAGTCTTTTGTTTTTCTTTAATAATTCTGTGCTGGCTCACTCTCATTACTTCTTCAATTTATCTATACTTAAGAGGTTCTTTTTAGTAGTCTGTACAGACATCTCTTCCCAGCACAGCTTAAATATTCTATTGACTGCATTTCTCCCTATAACAGTATTTGTCAGTTACATCTAGTTGGCTCTTGCTCTGTTTGTTTTCATGGGCATATGCCTTAACTTTTCAAAAAAGATTATAAACTCCCAGGGTTGAAGCATATACTCTTATAGTGCCCACAGCTGCCCATTAAAGTATCACAGAAGATGATAAAAATAAATTGTTTGATTTACTAATAACAAACTACTCACTATCAAATCAGATTGATGAAAGGATCATGAATCATTCACTCACACCCTAGCCCAGGTTTACAGATTGTTTTAAATGCTTGCTTCTAATAAGGGTGTATTAAAAGAGTTAAATGCTTTCTTCTAATAAGGGTATATTAAAAGAGTTTCTTTCCAACACTCAATTTACTAATTTATCACTAAGAAATAGCGTTTTTGCTAAGTAATAAGGAAATTAAGAACTGATGATGGAAAAGGAAACTATATAGGGGAATATAATGGGAAACATAAAAGGGAAATATGTCTGCAAAAAGTAGGATTACAAGGTCATGTTTCTTTAGAATGAGGAGCCTGTTTCCATTTTCACAAATTAAAATCATTTGAAAGCACATATACTTATCAGGATGGGTTCCTAAAACTTTTTTCTCAACTCTCATATGTGTGTGTGTGTGTGTGTGTGTGTGTGTGTGTGTGATACACATCCACATATATACATACATACACATATATATTCAAAGATATATAATCTTATATATAAAATATATTGGCCGGGTGCGGTGGTTCATGTCTATAATCCCAGCACTTTGGGAGGCCGAGGTGGGCGGATCACTTGAGGCCAGAAGTTTGAGACCAGCCTGGCCAACATGGCAAAACCCGTCTCTACTAATAACACAAAAATTAACCGGGTGTGGTGGTGCACGTCTGTAATCCCAGCTATTTGGGAGGCTGAGGCATGAGAATCACTTAAACCTGGGCGGTGGAGGTTGCAGTGAGCTGAGATGGCACCACTGCACTCCAGCCTGGGCGACAGAGTCAGACCCTGTCTCAAAAATAAATAAATAATAAAATATCTCACATATATATTCTATATATATATATCTCATTGTGCAAAGTTCCCAAATTAGACATTTTGACTACATTAAAAACACAATGACTACTTGGATAAAAACTGGATTACCAAATTATCTAAATGAGCCATTTGTGTGCTATTTGATGGTGGTATATTTTTATATCTTGGATATTATCCATATACTGAATATATATGTTCCAATATTCTAAATCTCTAATATAATTCAATTACTTGAAATAACATATTAAATAATCTGAGAGAGGGCGGAGAACGAATTAAGCCTCAATTATTTTTACAATATGCTGTATGCTTGGTGTTAACACAGGTGTTCATTCATTATTCTCAAGGCCTTTTTGTATAGCTAAAATATTTCATATTATAATAAGTTGTGTGTCATAGCAGATCATGTTAAAAGAAATCTAAAGTTGCCCGAGCGTGGTGGCTCACGTTTGTAATCCCAGAACTTTGGGAGGCCGAGGCTGATGGATCACTTGAGGTCAGGAGTTCGAGACCATCCTGGCCAACATGGTGAAACCCCATCTCTACTAAAAATACAAAATTAGCCAGGCATGGTGGCATGTGCCTGTAGTCCCAGCTACTCTGGAGGCTGAGGCACGAGAATCACTTGAACCGGGAGGCAGAGGTTGCAGTGAGCCGAGATCACACCACTGTACTCCAGCCTGGGTGACAGAGCGAGACTTTTGTCAAAAAAAAAGAAAAAAAGAAAAAGAAATCTAAAGTTAAAAAATAATCTAAAGTTTCCATTTTGCCATTCAACTGCCATGTTTACCCACAGCTCCTCTTTTCTGGTAGCTGTTTTCAGTTAAGGAAAGGGAACACTGGGTGGAGGATGGGACAGGAACACTCCTTTCACAGAGGGCTCTGCATATAGCAGTCCCCTTGAGCATGAATTTTCCAAGCTTTGATAAAATCTATTGAGGAGGTAAAGAGAGGATTCATCTTTAAAATATTGTCAATGTATAGTTAATTAAATAGAGTTTATTCTGCTGCAATCTTACAGCCCTGAGAGGTACAGAATGCTGAGGTTCATAAATGCTGTCAGCAACACAGTGAGGCAGTGAGGGTGAGGAGAGGAAGGGGGGATAAAAACAATTGCATGAAAAATAGAATAAATTTTGAGATGTCTTCTAAATCAAAGCTCATCCAATATGGAGAATTGAAAAAAAATTAAACAAGGAACATTTGAGATTCATGGTATAGAAATCTCCCTTTCCCTAAACATTCTTTAAGGTCTTCTTTCAATTATTTCTGACAGTTATGGCAACATATTATGAGAGTAATATGTCCACTATGGGGGGGATACGCATTAGTTCACTATTGTTGCCATAACAAATTACCACAAACCCAACAGCCTACCACAACATAAATGTATTTGTTCTCAGTTCTATAGGTCAGAAATCTGGCTGGGTTCAGCTGATTCCTGGGGTCTAAAAGGTCCAAATCAAGTTGCTGGCCAGCCTGGGCTCTTATTTGAAGGTCTGAGCAAAGAAAGTACTTCCACGCCAAGGTCAGTGGCTGAATTCAATTCCATGCTACCATAGAACTGACATCTCAATTTCCTTGGGGCTCTTCTCCAGGGATGGTTCTTAACTTCCAGAGATCAATCACTTTCCTTGGCTCAGCGTCCCCTTCCTCCATCTTAAAGGCAGCAACAATAGGCTGTGTCCTTCTCACATTTTAAATCCTTCTAACCTCCCCTTCTACCTCTTCTCTTCTAGGCTCCCCTCACCGACTGATTTTTCTGTTCTCCGATTCTGCCCTTAAAGGGTTCATGTGATTACATTGATCTCACCTGGATAATCTAGGCTAATCTCCTTTTTCTTTAAACGTCAATGATTAGTAATATTAGTTTCATATTCAAAATTCCTTCAAAACATTACCTAGGTTAGCATTTGATTATAACCAGGAATGGGAATCTTGCAGAGACATCTGAATTCTGTCTACCACAGGGTGTGCCCACCAGATTCAAACAGACCTGCCAACCAGAAATTGGCAGTTTGATTTATATTTCTCAGTCTATGAAACATAACATTTCTCTAAATGAAGCATTCTTAAATAGTATTTGATTACTCAAGTGGATAACTTCATGGCTAATGATAAAGCTTTTCTATTAGAAGTTTCCATTAAGAATGCTTTTGTTTGAGTTGTTTTGTGTTTTAAAACAGGACTTGGATTTCTTGGGAGAAGCTGTTTAAACAAAGGAGAGAGGATATTATTTGATTACAATTAGAGATGTCTTTTTGTAGGAAGCAATTATCAGTATAAATTAAGAACCAAACTGCAAATTCAATTATTCCTAAGTATTTACTAGAGAAACATTAGTTTAACTGTAATTCTTCTGGAAATTAACCCCATAAAATATGTTATAAGAGCATTAATTGCATTTTTATAGTTAAAATATGACGCAATAACAATATTACAAAAGCTATTTGATCCATATTAATTTTGTACAATTGCTGAAAACCATCTATTGAAATCATTTTTTTAATATTTGAATTGGAGTGCATTAGGTTACTCCTTTGAAGATTTATGCATTACCCAAGAAAGAGAAAACCAATTTTTAAAAATACCAATTAAATGAAGATACTCAGTTAAATTAAAAAATAATTCTAATGCTCCAAATTCTTGCTGTGAATTTGCTTATTGTGGAATCAGAACATATTTGAAAGAATGAAAATGGCCGATTTTAAAGTACTTTTGAATTTTCTGTTACTTTTCTTGTTAAACCCTAAATAGTTATAATAATTGTAATGAAAATGTTTTTAGTTACTGACCTCCACATGAGTGGCAACATGAGTTTCACACAGTTACATATATTCAGCTGATAAACCAGGTAGTAAAAGGAAATGATTAAGATCACAGGACTCTGAAGTCAGACTACCTAGATTTCAGTCCCATTTGTCACTTTATCTGAATGGCTTGAGGCAAATTATTCAGCCTCTCTATGCCTCAGCTTCCTTCTGTAAAACGGGGATAAGAGTAGTACACATTACTCCCAGGGTTGCTGTGAGGATAAAATAGGATAATACATACAAGTAAATACATGTAAAGTCATGTAAATGTTTCATAGTTGGTATGGACTAAATAAATGCTGGTTATTATTCTTGAAGTGATGTCCAATGTTAGGCCCTAGACTGACAAACTGAGACCTCAACTCTTCAAACCTGTCAGCATTAGGATATAGAGGCAAACAGCCTTGGCCTCAGTAGAACTGACCTGTAGTCAAGTCAGCTGATCAACAGAGAGAATGGAGGAAGGGGCTGAAGAGTCCCTACAGAACTCCAGCAATTAGCTCTGTACTCCTACTGGCTAGCTATGTTTTCACCGCTACAAAGATGCTATCGATATATCCCTCATCCTGGCCATTCACCTTGGTCATTCATTTTTTATCAAAAAAAAAATAGTGAGTACCTAACAAAGTTATAGGCTCTGTGTGAAGAAGATATAAAGAGCTGAATTTTAAAATTATAAGATTTTCTGCTCTTACGGAGTTCACAGTCTTGCAAACAAACACTAGCAACCCCAAGCCATCCTTCCTTTTGACTCACTGATTTAAATTGAACAAGAAAGCCACTTTCCTATTGAAAGTAATAAAAATTAGGGAAAAAAGATGAAAATGGTATCATGAGATGTCGAAGTTGAGGTGCTATCAATGCTTTGGGGGTTATGTATCAAAATTTCCTTAAGACTTTTTTACGACATTGTCACTCACAGTTTTATTAAAACAGACACTCAAAGGAAAGCTATGGAAAAATAACACAGTGTCTCTGGTTCCTACAAGGTATTTGGTTATGGTGGGAGAGGAGACGTAAATTACCTCTTTACTTCCACATACCCACAGAGACCCTCCATCACATCTGCTTTTCTCCACCCACCCGAGCAACACCCACTATCTTAATACCAAGTGCTGTATAATCAACTGAGTTAAACTATTTTCAATTTAAGCTCAAGAAAGTTTAGAAGAGCTCCTTAAGGAGTAGCAGTTTAGATCCAAAAAGCTCTTAAGATTGATCAGCCTTCTTTCATGCAGTCTATATTCTGAGGGTCTCAGAATTTTAGGCTTAGAAGAAAATTTTAATATATAATAAAATTATTTTATTCTTCTAAATATTTGAATAATTTTCTCAAAGCCATATGGATGTTAGTTGCAAATCCAGATCTGGGCCTTAAATTCCATTTCTATTTCAACTTCTTTCCACATCAGCATGTATTATAATTGAATATAATGGGCATTTACTACTGCCAAGGATAGATTCTAAAGTACTGATTCAATCTATTGCTAATGAGGCATTAAATGTCCACAGCTGATAACAAATAGCATGAAAAATATTTGAAAACAGAATTTATCACCATTTAGCACCACTTTAGTCAGATTGCATACCACCTTTGTTTATGTATTCCATCATGCTTATCTCTTTGTTAAAGATTTTTGTTCGTTAAATCACCATATAGACATATTACATACATTAATGAAATTATAAACTTGACTTTGAAGTTGATGTAGCTAAAAAATATTGGGAAAAGAGTAAAAGATTCATTAAGTGTTGCTAAATTGTAAGTGGTTCTATGTTATGTTTCCAAACAAAAGAAATCGTCTACATTACAACATTGTAAAAGTAATGACCACAAATAAAATAACACTTTAATACACCAGGCTTGCTCCAATACTGAAATTTTTCTTTTAGTTTAAGATACAAAACTCCTAGACACTTGTTTATTAAGAATATCTTTACTGGTGGAAAATGATATATTTAAGCTTCCAATTTATGAATAATTAAATTCCTATGATTAGATATACCAAATACAGCCACATCGTCAAAGGATATACTACATAATCTTAAAGGCAATGAAGATTAGATATGGGCCTTATTATATTCATCATTTCAAAGAAACATCAAAAGACATCTGAATAAAATAAACAGGAGTTTTTATTTTTATTTTTATTTTTGCTTGTATCAAGAACTTTCTGAGCACACTGTCTGGCAAATTTAGAGTGTCAGATTAGAAGTTCAATGGCAATTTGATTCTTGTCTTTGTAAACATTTTTACATTCTACCAGGAAGTGTATAGGTTTTTCTTTTTATTATTGAAATTTAGAAATCTCACAATAATATCTAGATGTGAGCCTTCTTTCATTATCACTATACTAACTCAGCACTTGTTAATTTTTTTTTTGGTCTGAAGCCTCAAGTCTTTAGCTCAAGAGAGTATCTTCTCCTGTGACTATTGTTTCTCCTCAATCAATTCCATCTATTCTTATAAGATTTATGTATTGGGTGTTAGTGCCAAGATTCTCTAATATTTGCTGAGATTTTCTAACTTCTTCTTTTAAAATCTGACATATGGGATAACTCCTTGGGTTTGCTTCTGATTTTTATTGATAGCTGTTGTGCTCTTTTCTTGTCCTAGTAAGGGTTTTTATTTGCTTTTGGGTTTTTTTGTTGTTGTTCTTTTATTATTTCTTCAAAACAATGGTCATCTTCTTTTCAGTTTCTAAGTCCTTGGTATTCAGTGTATAGTGTAATTAAGGTTATGGGCACTGAATGTAGGTCTTTCTAGAGCCTTGGGTTAGCACTTTCCTAGCTATTTTACCTTGGGCAAGGTATATTAACTATGCCTCAGTTTTCTCACCACATAGAGATAATGTGCAATAATCTTCAGTAATATTACCCTATTGCTCCTTTGCATAGCAGTGTGTTTGCTCTTTTACAGAGTGAAGAAAAAAAAAACCTCCCAAATATCAATGAGGACATCAATTAGAATTCTAAATCATTATCTTTTGTCTACCTGTAATATCTATATTTCATTTGTTCTAATTCCCAGCTTTATCCCTATTCTCTCCAATGATGGGTAATACTTTATTATCTGTTCATATGTATGCGTTCAGCGTTAGATTGCCCATCCTAGTGGTTGATACGGGCTCCCTCTGCTTAGGCCACCTTTGATGTCATGAAATTGCTGTGTTCAGGGCATAAAGAGGAACAGAAAGGTTGATTTATTCCCAGGTGCATATGCTGGAAATGAACCTGATACATCTGTTTCAAAGAGAAAAAGCAAAGTTAAAGTGGGTAGGAAAAGCTCCAACTGCATTTAGAATGCCGATGACACCAAGTGGAAGAAGCACCAGGGCAAATATTTCAGCTATCTTCTCTCTGCAGAGCTCTAATAAATCCTAGAGGGCCTCTTGTGTGATTCTCTCTGACATTCCCACTCTTTCAAATGGGGGTTAAACAACGCTACAGCTTCCCAAGCATAAGATTCCCACAGTTTTCTGCTGGAAAGACTGTCTACTTGCCTCTCAGGGCTTCCTTACCTGGTTTATATTGAGCAAAACAAAAGCCATTGTCAGCTCCTTGATTAAACCCGATCCATCTGCTGCTGCTTTTTTTTTTCTTTTTAAATAAATTACTGAAAGAGTATGCTTGCTTGATGTTACCCTTCCTATTTTCTAGTATTACTACATACCTTTTTGCTCATTTTGTGCTTCTTTAGTCATTTTCATGGGGTTAAGATATGAAGGGAAGAAAAAAAATGAGTTGGTTTAACTTCCCATCCTAAAGCTGGAAATTATATTTTGGATCTTGAAAATAACCAAAATATTCATTATTTTTATGGCAGTTGAGTTAGTCGAGGAACAGATTCTATGTAATGTCATGTTAAGTTGCTTATTTAGCTAAAATGATGCAAAGTAAATAGCTGTCAACATGATTAAAATTACTTGCAATCTGAATTTAATTAAATTGAGAACTATGTTATTTTCCTACTTTCTCCAACCTCTGGCCACTTAATTAGTAAGATTTACTTTTAGTTCATCTCAAAATTTCTGTGCTTATGGTCAAGAGTGGTTATGTGAACAACTCAAAAGAGACATCCAGCCTGAATCATTTTTATTGGCACAGATACCATTATGTGACTGTTTGGGTTACTATTTGCCTTCTTAATTATATTATCTTCAGCCTAATACATGAAAATAAGATTTCAATCCCTGTGGCTATGACAGAATATTTGGGAGATACTATCTGGAGAAAGCAAAGGCTATGCCACCCAGAAATTTGAATCTGGAAACACAGAAGTTGCAACCTGACTATATAAAATCAAAAGGACCAAAGAGAGGTGCAAGGTCTCAGAGCTATTGTTTACATAAAACCAGTCATGTCTAAATCATTGGAAGAAAGCTTTTGTACAACGGAGGATTTATTTTCTGTTAACATAAATAATGGGAATTTCTACATGTTAGAGTTAAAACCTTTAAAACACACACACACACACACACAACTGCAATTTATCTTATTCCTTCCAGGTTGTGAAATGGACTGGGGGAAAAAGAAAACGGTGACAGAGAAAGAGGTTAGACTGGCTTGTTCTGTGTAGGCAGGCTGTCAAAATGGCTGCTGGGATAGGAAAAGGTATTCAACTTTATGCAGTGAAGGAAGCTGTACAGACTCCTCCTGAGCGTCTGTGAGGTCAAATGCTATGCACCCCAATCTACTTCCTGAAATTAATAGCCAGGTGTTATGCTAGTTACTGTACCTTAATCATTAATTATGACTGTGGCAGCAAGAGAGAAAAAAATTCTAGGATACATGAGCTAGAGTGATAAAGGGAAAGCATCAATCACGCATGACAGGAAAGCCAAAGGTACCCTCTCTCTGCCTGGGATACTTTCATTTGTGACTGCAGATTTTCTCCTACATCAGACTTCAAACTTCAGAGAAACCATTTCTCATAGCCTGCCTCTCTCTCTTTCTCCCTCTCACAACCAGCTATGGTCCTAGGACTCAGGAGGATGAAAACAAAATAAAACACATTTGTTAGTAATGCCATATTTTCCATGTACTACCACCAGGATCTATTTGAAATTAAAGGTAATTTATACAAATAAAATATTCAGTCAAGAGATGATTTATTCAAAAAAGCAAGCTACAGCAAGAATGGAGTTTAGAGTCAATAGTTAATAAACATTCTGGCAGCACAGGCTGGCCCACATGCCTTCATTTTTCTACAATGTCATAAATGTGTTGCATGTCATCTTAAACAAGTGGGCAGAGCAGGTGAATCTCCCTCAAAGTCTCATGGCACAGTCTAGTATGTTACAAATCTTGATAAGCAGAAACCCAAGCCACATTCTGGTGGTACTGAGTGGTCAGAAATGGGGTATTTGGAAGTAGGAAGAAATACATTAATTTAGTTGAATGGAAGGAAACTAAGTTGGGTTCTACTTTACTATGGTATTGTGGATAGATTACTTGACTTCTCTAGCATTGGTTTCCTGTTTGTAAATGACTGGTTTGAGCCAGATCAGGAACCCTTATTCTGGGGTGACATAGGAGCTTCAGAGGATCTGGCAGGAAACTCAAATTATAGGAGAAATTGTTCAGCATATTATTTAAGTGTTACTAAAAAAACATACACACTAAAGGAGTGCTTCTCTAACTATCTGTAGTGAAGAATTAGCACTTTGTAATTTCCAATCTGCTATGAACCACCTCCTTTTAAAAATCATACAAAAATGAAATAAAAAATAATTTTATACAAAATAGAAGCCCACTTTTTTTTTAATCAGACTCAATAGATATAAAAATACTCCTTCAAGTTGCTATAAAGATGATATGGTATGGCTGTGTTCCCACCCAAATCTCATCTTGAATTGTAGCACCCATAATTCCCACATGTCATGGGAAGGACCCAATGGGAGGTAATTGAATCATGTGGGCGGAGCTTTCCCATGCTGTTTTCATGATAGTGAATAAGTCTCATGAGATTTGATGGTTTTATAAAGGGGAGTTCCCCTACACAAGCTCTCTTACCTGCTGCCATGTAAGATGTGCTTTTGCTTCTCATTTCCCTTCTGCCATGATTATAAGCCTCCCCAGCCATGTGGAACCTCTTTCCTTTATAAGGTCCATTAAACTTCTTTCCTTTATAAATTACCCGGTCTCTGGTATGTCTTTATTAGCAGTGTGAGAATAGACTAATACAAAAGATTTTAAAATCTTCCTATCAACTTGGGTCATTGTAATGGACTGACCAGAACTGGACCATAGGTCAAACTTTGAGTAACAACTATTCTAAGGTTCCTTCCAGCTATAATCTTAAAACTTTCTATGTAAAAAACAGATATCCCTATGTCCATTCTGCCTCAACTCCTCCTGCCAAAACCATACAATCTCACTTGCCATTGCATTCAGCACTATAAACGGAACTCAATCTAAAGGTCCATCTTCCTTGAAATGCAATGAAAGATTGTAAATAATAATGACAATGACAACAAAATATGCTTTCCCTTGTCACTGGTGATTATTTATGTTCCCTGAACAACAAGGATAAAAATGAGGGAAAGCCTGTAGGACTACTTACCACTAGAACCTAGGCCATCTGCTCCCTGACCTAGTAGTTCCCTCATCTATGCTTTTGTGCTCTCATAATTATCCTGACTCAGAAAGCCTTTACTAGCCTTTCCCCTATTCCCTACCTGCAGTCTTTTCAAGATCCTTACTGCATTTATTGGGTACTCAAAGCTTATCTATTAAGCACTTACAAATAGAAGAGGATAAAATTATAATTATTTGGTCCCTGTCACATACACACACACATGCACACATGCATACACATATATACATATATGGCCCCTGCCCTTAAGTTGTCTAGAGCAATTCAATGTTTATAAGTATGTTATATGAAGAATCACAACAGGGAATGCAGAAGGGGCAATGACAAAAGTCAAAGTTAGACAGGAAGGGTCACATAAGACTTCTTAGAAGAACACTTTTGGGGCTATTTCTTGAGTCATGACTATCTGGTGATCTGGCTGTAATATTAAAGAGGCTTAGTCAGCTCACTGAACTATTACTTGCAGTTCTTCCCTTCCTTTATTGCTACATATTTGGTCTAGAAGTACATTCTTTCCAAAGAGTCGACTCCTCTTTCATCAAGAGTGTTCTAATTAACTAAGGGGGGAAAAACATGTGTATGAGAGTGTGTGTGTGTGTGCACGCAAGTGTGTCAGTTTTATGTGTTTGGTGGGAGAAAGGCAAAGAATCTGGGAGAGCAGCGCATGTAAAGTAATGTTTAAAGGCTGGAGAAGGAGGGACCACCAGGTCATGAAGCTTCTTGTATATTTCCCTAAGGATTCTGGATTCATCCTGAGCACACTGGTGACTCATTAAAAGGTTTTAAGTAAGGGTGTAATATGGTCAATGTTTTGTTTTTAAAAGATCACTCTAGCAGCATGATGTAGGATATCTAGGTGGTGAGCAGGGTGGATCTGGTAGTGCCAAGGTGTTCATCTAATAATTCAAATGAGAAATCATGAAATCCTAGACTAAGTCAGTAGCAGACAGGAATGCGAAGCCATTTCAATCTGAGACAGATTTGAAGCACACCAAGAAGGCAGAATTACTGGCTATGAATCATGGACAAATGAATGAATGAATGATGAATGATTTTGAGGATACTAGCTTCAGCAATTGGGAGATTGGTGATTTCATTCCCTGAAAGAGAAAAACACTCGTGTAAATACAAGATGAGAGTGTAACAAACAAGAATTCAGATTTAAATAAGTTAAATTCAAGGTGTCTGCAGAATGTTTATATGGAGAAGTCTGTTGGGAGGTAGAAACAGGAGTCTGTAGTTAGAAGTTGGGTCTGGACTAGAGAAAATAAGTTGATCAACAGTAACTGAAGGCTTGAGATGGGTGTGATTACTTCAGCATGCCTTGCCTGAGGAACTTCATTCCACTCCAATAGATTTGATTTTACCCCAGAAGTATTCTTCATTTTTATCACCTGTATGTTTTCCTTAATAGGCATTGTATAAAAATATACTCTTTTTTACTAAATAAAAACATAAGTGGGAAAAATAAGCTAAAGGGCCAATGAGGTACAGCAATGAAGATAAAGTTGGACTGTGACTTACACACAACATGCAAACTACTTGATACCATTTACTGATCTCTGGATCACACTCTGACACTACACTTTCAAGCAACAATGCAAAGGGTGACGAAATCGCAAGTTACATATTTAATACTCATACAATAAAAGTAAACCAATTTCTCCAAAACAGAATTATTTATGTTACTGTGAGCTGAGAAAAATTTCTCCTGAAGGTCCTCATAAGAAGAGCATTCACCATATTAATGGTGAGCAGTATCTTTTTTTTGACACGGATTCTCTGTCACCAGGCTGGAGTGCAGTAGCTTGATCTCGGCTCACTGCAACCTCCACCTCCCGGGTTCAAGCGATTGTCCTGCCTTAGCCTAGCCTCCTGAGTAGCTGGGACTACAAGCACATGCCACCATGCCCGACTAATGTTTTTTTTTGTTTGTTTTTTGTTTTTTTGTTTGTTTGTTTGTTTTACTAGAGATGGGGTTTCACTGTGTTAGCCAGGATGGTCTCAATCTCCTGACCTCGTGATCCTCCTGCCTCAGCCTCCCAAGGTGCTGGGATTACAGACATCAGCCACCACACCTGGCCAGTGAGCCTTATTCTTAATCACATCCCCATAGTGAATAAAAAATAATACTTACACAATTATTATATCCATCAATGTAAGGTGATAGTATAATAACAAAGAAGAGTAGAGGAAAGGCAATTCAAAGGAAGAAGAATGGCAAAATTCTGTCATTTATGTGGACAGCCCATGTGGATTGGTATGTATGAATGAACAGCAACATTTCCTTCAGGTATTCATCTATAATACTTGGGATATGGGATGTATTTTATCTCCCAAACTAGACTGGTATGTCCACATCTGCCTTTCCACTATTTAATGTCCACAACTTTCTTCAAGATGCATTCATTTGTTCCTTCAATAGTCAATAATTTTCTGAACTAAAGTCATGAAGGACTGAGTCTTAAAGGATACTTAGGAATGATTCAGACAAGATGGGAGACAGGGTAGGAATAGAAACACTTCCAAACAGATGGATACGTAGCATGAACAAAGCTACCAAGGTAAGAATGAGCTTGGTATGCAAAGAAATATAAGCAATTTAGCATGGCAACAATGATAATAATAAGGCAGAGAGAATGATGAGAGAGGAAGCTAAAAAGGTAGACAGGAGAGCATTGAAGGAATTTTTTCTTATCTCTACTCTTGGCAAATACAACTCTTGGGGACTGAGATCATATGTAGCCTTAAATGTTGCATAAGCTGTGTATATGGCACAGAGGTGATCTCCAGTGTCTACATAAACTTTGTGGAATTTCACTGATGAAACAGTTTGTGCCATGGCTGGAGAAAAGCATTTGGATGCATATTTATTGACTGATGTATCGGATGTGATGTGATGTTTGAAATATGTCATAAGAGTGCTTTCTAGAAGAATTACCCATTTGTTCATTATGTAAGAGAGAAATTGTTTCTGGTCCTCTAGAATAGGACTTTGGGGAGTGACTGCATATTACCCTGACTCATTCTGCCATCAATGTGCTGGAGTCACCATTCAACAACTGCTTCAACTCACTTGGTCCTAAGTTTGGCAGCTCAAAATTCCAACAACCTCACAGAATATACCTGGGGATCCAAACTGGAAACAGCTCATTAGATTCAAAATAGGAGGGTATATTTTAGAAAATAAAATCTAGCATACCTTTACTGGCTCTTAAAAAATCAGATTGGAATAGGTGGTCTGAAAATGAATTTATCCAGCAAACCATATTAAAAAACAAAACAAAACAATATCGGAGTCCTGGCCTAAATAAAGTGGTTGGTTACTACCTCCCTCTTCAATCACCTTAGGCTCTTGTAGCAAAAGGACTTTTACCATATTAGCTGCTACAAGATTTAATAAGGATATGATGTACTATATCCTTCATTTTGCTAGGCAACGCAACATTCTAAATAAGATTGAATGTTTGTCAATATTTGGAAGAGGAACCTCAGGGGTTTCTTTAAAAATTTCCTCTTTTCCTATTCCTCTAAGACTGATTTTAACCTAAAACTGATTTTTTCTTTTCATGTATACAAGATACCTTTTTGGGGGTTTGTGTTTATTTCCCCTGAAGAAGGCTTTACAGAGCTTGGATTTTAATGGAAATTTATTGCTGGATGTTTGATAGCCAAAAGGATTGTGTTTTGATCACAGTCAAAATGGCAATTTTCTCCACAGTAGCATAGCAGCATACTAGTACAAGGCCACTGCAGCTAGAAACCTGTGGGCGTGTCAGGTCCTTTGTAGTGAGTGTCAGTAGCACCTGCAAGAGCCCAATCCCTAACTGTGCTGGAAGGAGGTTTGATCCTATTAAGTTTCAAATAATATGTCAGCTTTTCAGCTTTGATACAAATTCCTCCAGAATTATCTATTTTCCCACTTGTGATATAAGACTTCGTGAAATGTGTAAAATCTAAGAGGGTCTGCCTCATTTTCTGTGTTGGGAGAGCTTTGGAATGACCTCGGACTCTGTCAAGACTAGTATTTCTTGAGCTTTCCCCAAACCAATTAATCTTTTCATCTGGGGGTTATACAATGCACAATAATAAGAATTAAAGGTAAAAATTAAAAGAAAATAAAGAAATCTTGTTGTATAAGAATTAATGCAACACAAACATAGAGGCCATCTCCTCAAAACTGACCTGGATGGCTACAGATTAAAATATGGATGGAAGGACCACTGAGAAAAAAGACAGACATAGAGAGCAAGAATTAATCTAATACTACATGTTTGGTACACAAACAACAAATCAAATTGAGCAAATTATTTTCTCAGGAGATTCTCTCAATCACTGTATTTTATTATCTGTGAATTCCAGTAAAATCCTCATTTTCTAGGTGGAGGCTTTCTTTTTTTTTTTTATTTCTGTTTTCTTTCTTTTTTCTTTTTCAGGTTTTATTTTAGATTCAGGGGGTACATGTACAGGTTTGTTATATGGGTATATTTCATGGTGAAGCCCTTTCAATAACAAAAGGAAGAGGTAAATAATTATACAAACAAAACAAAGAAAAGCAACATTAAAGAATACATTTAAATGTGAGTCAAAAGACCTAAATTGAGGGCCAACAAGCATTTGCTCTGTCACTTCACTTTTCTGTGCCTCAGTTTTCTTTTCTGGAAAATGGAGGTCATGAAAATACTCATACCTGCCCTCCTCATTTCACAGGTTGTGGAGCAAATGCAATGAGTGTGGCTCAATCATTGCCAGATCTTAACGTTGTACATAAATGTTAGTGACTGAGGACAATTATTTAACCCCTATGAGCTTTCATATATCCACCCGTCAAATAAAGCTTGGATACTGGCCTGCCTATCCCCAAAATGATCTTATAAAAATCAAGTAAGGTGATACCAGTGTGTGCTTTGAAGTAGTAGGTGCTATCAAGTATTAGACTGTCAAATATATTCAAACAACTGTGTGTGGGAAAAGATTGTGGTGGACTAGAAATAGCCAAACTTTAGAAGTATTCTATAGTCTTTGGGAATAAAGCTGGGATGTATGAAAAACCTTCTTATGATATTAAAATGTTCACCTTTGAGGAAGAAAGTAGACTAGCAGAAAGTTTCACTATCAAAATTCTAGAACATTAACTACTGATACTATTACAAGTTGTTAGGAAACAGTAAATTAAACTTTGTAATGCTCTCCCAAAGGAAGTAGAAATACACCATCATTACTTATAGTTTAAATTGGACTGGGAACAGTGGGCCAGCATGTATTATGGAGAAGCAATGCTTCAGTAGTAGCAAAGTGAACCAAATGACACTGCAGATCTTATCCATATTTAATGTTTGACAGGCAAAAATACTTACATTAATGCAGTAATGTGCTATGCAAGTCATCAACATGGGAATGCTCAAAGCTTTAATACTGTTTAATAAGCATCACACTATGAGAGCATATTTTCCCTTTCAAGTACGACTCATTCAAGTTTGAGGGAACTGCTAAATTGTCACACTTGGCAAAATCTTGAATGACAGCCAATCTAAACAAAAGCAATCATTTTGTATTTTGGGCTGGTTTGAAGAAAGATGGGAAGTGTGAGGTAGGCAGGGGGATGTAGGATACCCCAAAAGGCCACAATAATCAGACAAAACCCCCAGCAAAATTGCAAAGGTAGGATAGACAAGAAAAGGCATCAATGCTTTGCGATTGAACCTACACAATGACCTGATGTATACAAAAAAGATGGGATTTTGGTCAATGGTAAAGTTTATTTCAGGGGCTGGAGGTGTGAGACATGGCTCCTAAAAGTAGGTGTGTCAATGACTAATTATCTAATTTACAATAAGTTGACCTCTCTGTAATTCTGTCCCACTTTTTCAATTTCTAAACCAGCAGTTCTCAGTTGGGGAGGGGAAGGAGGATAAATTTTGTCAGGGATATTGGGGTTATCTGGCTTGTCACCACAGGGGAAGTGTGGTGCTACTGGCATCTAGAAAGTGGAGTCCAAGGATACTGCTACATATCCTATAATGCACAGGGTAGCCCTCCACAATAGAGAATTATCTAGCTGAGATTCAATAATACCAAGCTTGAGAATACACGTGCTAAACTAAAATCATCTGAGAAGTATATTATGGGGTAAAATGGGACCTAATCATTCTTAGCATAAAAGCAATTTTCTAAAAATCAGTATTTTATTAATATTACTGTTATTGCTTAAGCTTCTTTTCTACTGAGTTTCCTTTTAATTATAAAGCACTTGGCAGAAAAATAAGATTCATTTCTATAATAGGCTTAGTGCTTTCTTTTTCAGCAGTCTTTTTCTTCAATTAATTAACATTTAACTGCTTTCTTATAATGAAGGCCAAAAAAACAAGCTGTCTCCTTAAACTTCTCAGGAGAAGTGATAAAACTCTGTGAGTATATTAAATTTTTCTGATAAAGTATTTGTAGGACATAGATTTAGGAGGTCTTTCTCTCTTAGGAATGTTACTTATAAACATTTCTTGGAAGTCCAAGATAAAATTAAAAACACGTGCATGATTCTAGAGGCTACATATGCTATTGATGCTGAAAATAGAATGTTGGCACCGGAGAAGTCCTTACTATATATGTGGATGAAGATGAACTCCTATTTATTAGTAATTATGTAGGAATAAACGTGATGATTCTAAAAAAATTATCTTATTGTCTTTGTTGGCATTTATTTTAAAAATAAGTGAAAAAAAACTATAACCAATATGCAATTCATAGATCTTCTATCATGGCTAATAGTTCAAATTTTGCAAGCTATTGGTTTGAATTATTGCATTTGCTACATATAAAAATGGAAGGTTTCTAAAAGAAAATGAATAATAGAAAATATTCAGATGAAAACCAAAGCAAGCTATAAGGCATTCTTAGAAGAACTATATATATATACACGTATATATATATATACACATATATATATACGTGTATATATATATACGTATATATATGTGTATATATATACGTATATATGTGTGTATATATACGTATATATGTGTGTATATATACGTATATATAAGTATATATATGTGTGTATATATATGTGTGTGTGTATGTGTGTATATATATATATATATATATATATATTTTTTTTTTTTTTTTTTTTTTTTTTTTTTTTTTTTTTTGAGATGGAGTCTCGCTCTTTCGCCCAGGCTGGAGTGCAGTGGCGCTATCTCGGTTCACTGTAAGCTCCACCTCCCGGGTTCTCGCCATTCTCCTGCCTCAGCCTCCCAAGTAGCTGGGACTACAGGCACCCGCCACCACGCCCGGCTAACTTTTTGTATTTTTAGTAGAGACAGGGTTTCACCATGTTAGCCAGGATGGTCTCGATCTCCTGACCTCGTGATCCGCCCACCTCGGCCTCCCAAAGTGCTGGGATTACAGGCATGAGACACCGCACCAGGCCAAGAACCATATTTTTTTTAAAAAGTTTGCCACTGTAAACAAGATATTTAAAATGACCATGAACAATTTTTATGTATCTGTAGGCTTCTCTCTTTACCAGAATTAAAGTGTGGGGTCCTGGAAGAAGCAGAGGGCTAGAAGCCACGACACTTAGGTTTGTCTCCTCATCTTGGCACTTTCTGAGATGTTAAATTATTCAACTTCACTGATTCTTCATTTTCTTGATAATAAATAGAGGGGATTAGATATAGAGATGCACAAAATCCCTCCCAACTCTAAATTTTCATAGTTTTATAAGACTTTGAGTTTAAAATCATTTGATCTACTTATATAACACTCATAATTTTTGTATCTTTATTTCCATATGCACAGTTTATGTTATGACAAGAACCAACTCAAACTAGCTTACGCCAATACAGGAATTGATTGGCTTGTCTTCCACACAAATTCAGTCAGCATGCGGATCCTGCTCCAGGGACTCAAATGGCATCCTCAGTATTTGTTTTTTCTATATATCTCAGCTCTGCCTCATGCTATGTTTATTTAATTCTTGAGGTATATGTAGTAATTCCCTATTGCTCCAAGAATACTCTTCAGCAGCCTGGGCAACATGGCGAAACCCCATCTCTACAAAAAATATGAAAACTAGCTGAGCATAATGACACACCTGTCAGCCCAGCTCCTTGGGAGGCTGAGGTAGGAGGATCAATTGAGTCTTGCAGGTTGAGGCTGCAGTGAGCTGTGATTGCACTACTGCACCTCTGCCTGGGTGACAGAGTGAGACCCTGTCTCAAAAAATATATATTTTTTCCCATTTTCAAATTTCAGCAATAAATAAATAAGAAGCTGTTTTTCTTTTCTTCTCTCTACTGTCCTAGCAAAAGTCTGCTTCTTTCTAGTTTGCTTTGATCAGGCTATAGGCCTCTCTTTGAACCAGTGATTGCAGACATAGAAATAGGATACACAGATTTAAGTGGCATGAATGACATGTCTTCTCCTGGGACCAGAGATGAGGTAAATGGAAAGAATGTTCTTGAAGCAACAGGAAAATACAATAAATATTTTGAGTATTAAACCAATATAGTAAAAAGCAGAGCTGAGAGAGAGAAACCAAATAAGGACAATACCATTTGAATCCCTGAAAAAATACCTGTATGAAGACTGAAATTTCATGAAGAACAAACCAATAAATCTCTGTGATTTGCTTTAGTTTGAGTTGTTGTTGTTTTTTGTTTTTTTGTCACAACATAATTAGTACCAACTGAATTAAAGATAATTTTTTAAATTACAGAGTATTATATCCTATATTAAAATCAATAAAAAATTTTAAGCTCAAAGAACTTGATGATATCTTTGATACAAATGACATACTTTATACTTAATAGGTTCCCAATAAATATGTATTGTTTGGTACAATGTAATGAATATAGAATTAAAAGAAATATGTATGTACCAAATGAGTATGTACCAACTAAGAAGAAGGGAAAAAGGGTACATTCATTTCCTATCTATATAATAATATGGCAAAAAGAATGGAAAAATATATACATAAATGATGCAAGAAGGAGGCAAAAAAGGTGATAAATTTCAAAGTGGAAACACTCAAGATATATATGTTGTCCTTCACCAAGAAAATTACAAAAGACCTTGATATTGAAGGCTTCTTCTTTGTCTTCTTGATGCCTCCCATTTCTTCTCAGCGAATTTCATTGGTACATACCCATCCTAATATGATAAGAGCATTTTAAGAAATACCTGTAAATAATATTTTCCCCTATTCTGTTAGAATATAAGCTCCATAACTTTAGAAATCTTTGTTTTGTTTACTAATATATACCTTATACTACTAAGTAAATCCCTAGAATAAATAAACAAGACATAGTAAAATAATTGTAGGATGAATTACAAACAGGTGATAAAATGAAGAAGCCTGAGGAGAGGGCCAAGCAGGATATGAACTGTTCTGAATTCTTTCTTCTACCTTTTTTTCTCACCTTAAAAACTCTGGTCCTTATCACCTGTATTGATTCATATATATATATATATATACACACACACACACATACACACACACACACACATACCACTTAAGTCAGATTTCAGGATTCAGAACATATGGAAGATGGTGATTATCTTCTAGACTCTATATTCTAATGAAAGATAATATTTTCTTTTGGGAGGCATTTCATATATTCCATAATTTATTGAGGAAAAAAATGATATTGAGGTCAATTATACTATAGAGTTTGTAGGATAACTTACTTAATTGTGTTGAAGATTTTAGATTTGCTGAGCTTGGAAGAAGAAAGGAAGAGAGATTGTGTCAAACACCAAATGAGAAGCTGTTTTGAGGGTAAAAGATCCTAGAAATAAAAAATATATGGTAGAATTAAAGTAAAAATATATAAAATCTAAAAGAAGATTCCTACCCTTGCATTTTGACTTCTTCCCTGGTAGACAAGGCTAGAAGGAAACAGGATTTACATGGCAGGAGAGTATAAAAGATGACTCAAGTATTTCCGTGAAGAAAATAAAAAGATCATGTCCACTGTGTCATAAAATCACATCACCCTTCTGATCAAAAGCAATCAAGAACTTCCCTTAGGTTTTAGAATAAAATCCAAATGTTTCCCCTGCCTATGTCCTTTATTATTACCCATTTGCCCTCATGATTTTCTAGTCACACCAGCCTTCTTGCAGACCTCAAAGTCGCCATGCTTGTTTTCATCCCACCGGATTTTTGCATGGGTTGTTCCTCTTTCCTGGAATGTTCTGCCACCCTCAGCCCCCAACATTCCCGTAACTAGTCCTTCTCCTCAGTTAGGTCAAAGAACGAATGATGTCACTTCCTCAGAGTGACATCTTCTCTGACACTATCTACAGTAGCCAATTCACCAGTTACTTTCTATCAGCTAGACTGCTTTATTTTCTTCACCTCAGCAGAAGATTTTTTGTTCATTTATTGTTTGACTTTACTAACTTTATTTTCTAAAATTAAAGCCCCATAAGAGCAGAGACCGGCCGGGCGCGGTGGCTCACGCCTGTAATCCCAGCACTTTGGGAGGTTGAGGCAGGTGGATCACGAGGTCAGGAGATCGAGACCATCCTGGCTAACGTGGTGAAACCCGTCTCTACTAAAAAATACAAAAAAAAATTAGCCGGGCGTGGTGGCGGGCGCCTGTAATCCCAGCTACTGAGGAGGCTGAGGCAGGAGAATGGCGTGAACCTGGGAGGTGGAGCTTGCAGTGAGCCAAGATTGCCCCAGCCTGGGCCACAGAGCAAGACTCCATCTCAAAAAAAAAAAAAAAAAGAGCAGGGACCAAATGCCTATTTTAATACCCCCAAATACCTAGAAGAATACTTGACATACAGCAGTGAATCAATTATTATTGAAATCTCCTGTGTGTGTATGTGTGCACGTGTGTGTATCCATGAATCAATGAATCAATGAATCAATGAATCCATTAATCATCCAAAATTAGGAGAACTTGGGGCAAGCCTGAGACACTTAGGGCAGAGGGGGAATGAAGGTTAGAGCTGCTTCTGAAATAGGCAGAGTAAGCAGTGGTATAAAAATTTTTTTTGAAACATACTGAATTGAAGCAGAACTGAGTATCAAGACTTTCAACAAATGGCCTAGGTCCTTTTAATGAGTTTGTTGGCCTGGACAGTTGTCCCATAAAGCTCTCTCCAAAATTAGGTAATCAAAGAAAACTATTAATTCCTGAGAAATTGCCTTGTATTGCCTTTATTTCAAATATTTTACCATGTCATAATCATATTTATGCAAATGTGGCTTAAACAAACTTTTGGAACAATCCCAATTATTTGTTAAGAGTCACTTGCTATTAACATGAACAAAAGAAAATTTAAAGAGGTGATATTAATTATATCATATTAAAATATTATGGTCAGTTTTCTAGTAGCCCAAGAGTCCTTGGAGACATTTAAATAGACAATTTTGATATCTCAAAGCTCTTTGACATATTAATAATATTGAATGTTGCCTCACTCCTTAATGAGGAGTCCAATAATCTTCTAAATCATAAATAACAAGTGGATTCAATAAAATAACAAGACAGTAACTGCTGATATTGAAAAGTAATGAGAAGACCAATAAAGGAGAATGCAGTAAGACTACAAGGGAGAGAGGGGGAAAATGAGAAGAAAATAACTCAGTGCAGCTGGGATTTCACAGTATTCCTAATACTTGTGATCTAGTCCCACAAACAAGATAGAAAAGACACAGAGAAGGCAAAATGCTACAGATCTGCTTTCTCCACACTTGTTTTAATATTTTGGGAAATTTCTGAAAATAGAACAAAGAGGATAGCAATGAAACTGCAGAGAACAAAAGGACAAAGCTGATGAGTATTAGGCCCAGAGAAATTTGGAAAAGGGAAATTAGACACAGGAGTCTTAAAGCTTAATAAAGTATCCCTCAAAAATAAAGAATAAGAGGTGTGTAACTGGGAGTATGCATGTATATGTGTGTATTTGGGTATATGTTGAATGAAGGTTCATCAATGGTGGCTCTAGAAATAGATCATGGGAAGGACTTGGGTGCAGACTGAATTCTAATATAATTTTATTTACAGATACTTAAATTTGAATTTTACATTATTTTTATATGTCACGTCTTTTAATTTTTTTCTTTTTTTATTATTATTATACTTTAAGTTTTAGGGTAAATGTGCACAATATGCAGGTTAGTTACATATGTATACATGTGCCATGCTGGTGTGCTGCACCCATTAACTCGTCATTTAGCATTAGGTATATCTCCTAATGCTATCCCTCCCCCGTCCCCCCACCCCACAACAGTCCCCAGAGTGTGATGTTCCCCTTCCTGTGTCCACGTGTTCTCATCGTTCAATTCCCACCTATGAGTGAGAATATGCGGTGTTTGGTTTTTTGTTCTTGCGATAGTTTACTGAGAATGATTCCCAATTTCATCCATGTCCCTACAAAGGACATGAACTCATCATTTTTTATGGCTGCATAGTATTCCATGGTGTATATGTGCCACATTTTCTTAATCCAGTCTATCGTTGTTGGACATTTGGGTTGGTTCCAAGTCTTTGCTATTGTGAGTAGTGCCGCAATAAACATACATGTGCATGTGTCTTTATAGCAGCATGATTTATAGTCCTTTGGGTATGTACCCAGTAATGGGATGGCTGGGTCAAATGGTATTTCTAGTTCCAGATCCCTGAGGAATTGCCACACTGACTTCCACAATGGTTGAACTAGTTTGCAGTCCCACCAACAGCGTAAAAGTGTTCCTATTTCTCCACATCCTCTCCAGCCAAGATGGCCGAATAGGAACAGCTCCGGTCTACAGCTCCCAGAGTGATCGATGCAGAAGACGGGTGATTTCTGCATTTCCATCTGAGGTACCAGGTTCATCTCACTAGGGAGTGCCAGACAGTGGACGCAGGACAGTGGGTGCAGTGCACCGTGCATGAGCTGAAGCAGGGCAAGGCATTGCCTCACTCAGGAAGCGCAAGGGGTCAGGGAGTTCCCTTTCCTAGTCAAAGAAAGGGGTGACAGACGGCACCTGGAAAATCGGGTCACTCCCACCCTAATACTGCGCTTTTCTGATGGGCTTAAAAAACGGCGCACCAGGAGATTATATCCCACACATGGCTTGCAGGGTCCTACGCCCATGGAGTCTCACTCATTGCTGGCACAGCAGACTGAGATCAAACTGCGAGGCAGCAGCGAGGCTGGGGGAGGGGCACCCACCATTGCCCAGGCTTGCTTAGGTAAACAAAGCATCCGGGAAGCTCGAACTAGGTGGAGCCCACCACAGCTCAAGGAGGCCTGCCTGCCTCTGTAGGCTCCACCTCTGGGGGCAGGGCACAGACAAACAAAGAGACAGCAGTAACCTCTGCAGACTTAAATGTCCCTCTCTGACAGCTCTGAAGAGAGCAGTGGTTATCCCAGCACGCAGCTGGAGATCTGAGAATGGGCAGACTGCCTCCTCAAGTGGGTCCCTGACCCCTGACCCCTGAGAAGCCTAAGAGGGAGGCATCCCCCAGTAGAGGCAGACTGACACCTCACACGGCTGGGTACTCCTCTGAGACAAAACTTCCAGAGGAACGATCAGACAGCAGCATTCGCGGTTCACAAAAATCCGCTGTTCTGCAGCCACCGCTGCTGATACCCAGGCAAACAGGGTCTGGAGTGGACCTCTAGCAAACTCCAACAGACCTGCAGCTGAGGGTCCTGTCTGTTAGAAGGAAAACTAACAAACAGAAAGGACATCCACACCAAAAACCCATCTGTACATCGCCATCATCAAAGACCAAAAGTAGATAAAACCACAAAGACAGGGAAAAATAAAAGGAAGAAAAACTGGAAACTCTAAAAAGCAGAGCGCCTCTCCTCCTCCAAAGGAATGCAGTTCCTCACCAGCAATGGAACAAAGCTGGACAGAGAATGACTTTGACGAGTTGAGAGAAGAAGGCTTCAGATGATCAAACTACTCCGAGCTACAGGAGGAAATTCAAACCAAAGGCAAAGAAGTTGAAAACTTTGAAAAAAATTTAGATGAATGTATAACCACAAGAACCAATAAAGAGAAGTGCTTAAAGGAGCTGATGGAGCTGAAAGCCAAGGCTTGAGAACTACGTGAAGAATGCAGAAGCCTCAGAGCCGATGTGATCAACTGGAAGAAAGGGTATCAGCAATGGAAGATGAAATGAATGAAATGAAGCAAGAAGGGAAGTTTAGAGAAAAAAGAACAAAAAGAAACGAACAAAGCCTCCAAGAAATATGGGACTATGTGAAAAGACCAAATCTACATCTGATTGGTGTACCTGAAAGTGACGGGGAGAATGGAACCAAGTTGGAAAACACTCTGCAGGATATTATCCAGAAGAACTTCCCCAATCTAGCAAGGCAGGCCAACATTCAGATTCAGGAAATACAGAGGACACCACAAAGACACTCCTCGAGAAGAGCAACTCCAAGACACATAATTGTCAGATTCACCAAAGTTGAAATGAAGGAAAAAATGTTAAGGGCAGCCAGAGAGAAAGGTCGGGTTACCCACAAAGAGAAGACCATCAGACTAACAGCAGATCTCTTGGCAGAAACTCTACAAGCCAGAAGAGAGTGGGGGCCAATATTCAACATTCTTAAAGAAAAGGATTTTCAACCCAGAATTTCATATCCAGCCAAACTAAGCTTCATAAGTGAAGGAGAAATAAAATACTTTACAGACAAGCAAATGCTGAGAGATTTTGTCACCACCAGGCCTGCCCTAAAAGAGCTCCTGAAGGAAGCACTAAACGTGGAAAGCAACAACCGGTACCAGCCACTGCAAAAGCATGCCAAATTTTAAACACCATCGAGGCTAGGAAGAAACTGCATCAACTAACGAGCAAAATAACCAGCTAACATCACAATGATAGGATCAAATTCACACATAACACTATTAACTTTAAATGTAAATGGACTAGATGCTCCAATTAAAAGACACAGACTGGCAAACTGGATAAAGTCAAGACCCATCAATGTGCTGTATTCAGGAAACCCATCTCACACGCAGAGACACACATAGGCTCAAAATAAAAGGATGGAGGAAGATCTATCAAGCAAATGGAAAACAAAAAAAGGCAGGGGTTGCAATCCTAGTCTCTGATAAAACAGACTTGAAACCAACAAAGATCAAAAGAGACAAAGAAGGCCATTACATAATGGTAAAGGGATCAATTCAACAAGAAGAGCTAACTATCCTAAATATATATGCACCCAATACAGGAGCACCCAGATTCATAAAGCAAGTCCTGAGTGACCTACAACGAGACTTAGACTCCCACACAATAATAATGAGAGACTTTAACACCCCACTGTCAACATTAGACAGATCAACGAGACAGAAAGTTAACAAGGATACCCAGGAATTGAACTCAGTTCTGCACCAAGCGGACCTAATAGACATCTACAGAACTCTTCACCCCAAATCAACAGAATATACATTCTTTTCAGCACCACACCACACCTATTCCAAAATTGACCACATAGTTGGAAGTAAAGCTTTCCTCAGCAAATATAAAAGAACATAAATTATAACAAACTGTCTCTCAGACCACAGTGCAATCAAACTAGAACTCAGGATTAAGAAACTCACTCAAAACCACTCAACTACATGGAAACTGAACAACCTGCTCCTGAATGACTACTGGGTACATAACAAAATGAAGACAGAAATAAAGATGTTCTTTGAAACCAACGAGAACAAAGACACAACATACCAGAATCTCTGGGACACATTCAAAGCAGTGTGTAGAGGGAAATTTATAGCACTAAATGCCCACAAGAGAAAGCAGGAAACATCCAAAATTGACACCCTAACACCACAATTAAAAGAACTAGGAAAGCAAGAGCAAACACATTCAAAAGCTAGCAGAAGGCAAGAAATAACTAAAATCAGAGCAGAACTGAAGGAAATAGAGACACAAAGTACCCTTCAAAAAATTAATGAATCCAGGAGCTGGTTTTTTGAGAGGATCAACAAAATTGATAGACCGCTAGCAAGACTAATAAAGAAGAAAAGAGAGAAGAATCAAATAGACACAATAAAAAATGATAAAGGGGATATCACCACCAATCCCACAGAAATACAAACTACCATCAGAGAATACTACAAACACCTCTATGCAAATAAACTAGAAAATCTAGAAGAAATGGATAAATTCCTCGACACATACACCCTCCCAAGACGAAACCAAGAAGAAGTTGAATCTCTGAATACACCAATAACAGGCTCTGAAATTGTGGCAATAATCAATAACTTACCAACCAAAAAGAGTCCAGGACCAGACGGATTCACAGCCGAATTCTACCAGAGGTACAAGGAGGAACTGGTATCATTCCTTCTGAAACTATTCCAATCAATAGAAAAAGAGGGAATCCTCCCTAACTCATTTTAATTTTTTTCTAACTTTTAAAAATATGTAAAAATAATTCATAGATTGCAGGATATACGAAAACAGGTAGATTAGGTGCTCGCAGGCCATAATTTGCCTCTGCCATCAAACAATAGCATACCATAATCTACATCTGTGAATTCCAAGGGATCACAAACAGAAAAGCACAATGGCAGCTGAGAACAATAGTGGAAGAATACATTTTTATTACTGTTATTACTTATTCCACTTATACAAATGGAAAATGCCATTTTTAAATTTGGTATTTCCTCTTGTGCCTCCTCAGAAATTATACTAAATTTCTTTCAGAATTCATTTATTATTAATGTGCCCAGATTGTTTCAGTATAAGATTTCTTCATTAAGGTGATTTCATTTTGAACAGAGGCAAAGAAATACATTTGGCTATTTACTAACTATAAAATATACAACTGCTGAAAGCTCGATGGCACCTAAAGGAATTGACCACTTTGTTATCCCAAAATGTTCTGACACTTCAATGTCATTGAAATAATGCCAGAGATATTTCAAGGGATTTCTTTTCCTTTTCAAAGATGCACATTAAATAGATTGCTATGTAAAGCTGATACATCATTTAGTCCTCCCCAAAAGGGAAATGCAGGTACAGGCATGTTTGCCTCCTGACTCCCAGACACCATGGCTGGGAAATAAAACAAGCAAGGCTGGGAATCTTTGGAGTCAGGCAAATCTGGGCTCTGCTCAATAGGAAGTATTTGTTTCTTTGGGCAACATGGAGCCTTAGTTTTCTCTCCACTGAAACTTGGACCTTAGCTCCCTCACTTCTAAAATGGAAATAGAAATTTCTACTTCCCAGGGAAAATGAGAGGTTTAAACTTAAATGAAATGAGAAAGTATATGTAATATTCACATTGCTAGCACAATGTGTAGAATCTATTATTATCCTCGAATACCCTCTGTGATACACATAGAAATAGACACAGCTTCTCCCAGCAGCCTAGTAGTTGGTTGAAAATTGTTCTATATTCACAATAAAAGTCATTCCCAGAAGTTGTTGCAAGGAAAGAAGTGATCCTGTTACAGGTTTGTTGAGACAGGAAGATACAAGAAGACAAAAATAAAAATATTTCTTTAATATTGTTATTGGGCCATCTGACCTTAGAAGCTAGATTCCTGCTTAAAAATTCATGACTAATTTTTAGCATGAAACAGCAGAAGTTTCCAATTCTCAAGAGACCCACTGCATTGAAAATCCTGGGGTCTTTTTGTATGGTCCAAAACTAATGGAGACAACTTAGCCCATCTAAAAATTGGGTGAAAGAGACGTAAGGGGGGGGGGCAATAAAAATGTATTTTTCTAACTAGTTTTCAGGTATCCATATTCCAAAATAGAACAGCATCTTTGCCAGAAGTTCAAGTCATTAAGGAGTTGGTATGGCATTCTCACTTACATAAAGTATGGGCACCTCTGAACAATGACCTGAGGATTACTAACAGGTATGCAACATATTTGAAATGTCAGGTACAGCAAAGCAAATGACTTTATCAAAATATAAATCACACTTTTAGCAGAAAAACCAATAGTTATATGAATTTAACTTCATCTTTAAGTGCAAAGAGTAATATTTTGTGAATTTTCTAACCGTTTTTTAGATGTCATCAGTGTTTCAGAAACTGGTTTCTTTCATTTTAAAATAAAGAGATGCTATTTACTTCATCATTTTCCAGCCTTCCTGATAGGCGTATACTCACATGAGGAGATACAAAACTGAAAACATTATCTCATTATAGACTATCCACGATTTAAACCTTCAAGCTGGCAATATGTATTTAAATAATATGTCATAAACACCTCTTGGTACATAATAATGTAGTAAATATGAGAATGCCTTTAAAGTGAACTAACTTATTCTCCCAACTGTTAGATTATTCCCTGCTATGATCCCATCACCAAGTGAAATTTTAGGCATATTCCTCTAGGCAAAGTAAATAGTTATGAGGAAAAAAATATTGCTAATTCCAGTTGAAATAAGAAAGCCTCTTAATCATCTAAAATATTTCTGGGGCAGATGCAGTGGCTCATGCCTGTAATCCCAACACTTTGGGAGGCCCAGGCAGGAGGATCATTTGAGGTCAGGAGTTCAAGATCAGCCTGGGCAATAAAGTGAAACTCTGTCTCTATTAAAAAAAAAAATTAAAGAATTATCCAAGCATGGTGGTGTGCGCCTGTAGTCCCAGCTACTCAGGAGGCTGAGGCAAGAGGATCACATGATCCCAGGAGGTTGAGGCGGCAGTGAGCTCTAATCATGCCACAGAGTGAGATACTGTCTCTGAAGAAAGAAAGAAATACATAAATAAAATAAAATAAAATGTTCTCTATGGGCCAGATTTCTCTCTGCTTAGGTCAATTAAACTACAAATTTCTCAGTAATTTTTGAACGCTCTATCTCCCAAGATGCCTAGGTGGAATTGTTAGGAAGCAACTGCCCATCCACAAAATATACCTGGAGAATCTCAGATTTCATTCACTGCTTTTAAAAAAGGAAACAAGAAAATCTTCCTCTTAGAAGAAATTTAATCTTTTACCACTTTTATTACTTTTATTATAGAAATATATATGTATATATACATATGTGTATTTATGTGTGTATATATATCAGATATATCTATATATATATAGATATATAGATATCTATCAGAAAGCAAAACTTACCTTCCTTAGACAAATGGAGATTTGGGGAAATTGTATTGGAGTCTAGAAGAATAAATCCTAGGAAAAGCAAACACACGGTATACACACGCACACATACAAACCTCCAATAAACTTTGGGAAAAAAATTTATATACACAAACACTGATACACAAAATATATGGATTATATATGTATGTATATGTGTGTATATATATTAAAATATAGGTTTATTCACCAATCACTGAAAAACTACATCATAAACTACACCAAAGGAGTAGTTTTAGGACAAATGGCAAAAAATAGTACCTTACAGAGTTGACAGTTTGGAATTGCAATACTTCAGATGATCACAAGCTTTAAAAATGCTCAATGTGCTCGTCTATGAATTTCAAAATGGGTATAAATTAAAACTTATTACACTTTTTTTAAGTTGCATTCCCAGTACATGAAAAAACATTGTCCTAAGACTACCTCTTTGAAGCAATTTTCAAGGATTCGTGAATGAGTATCGTGAGCAATAAACTAAAGCTGCATAAGAGAGATATAGTGTATAAACTGTGCTAGCATATTATCTTTGGTTCCAATCGCCTCATAAGCATTGCTACACTGACTCAGGCCAATGGTGGTCTCAAAACAATGTTTTCATCTCCCTGAACCATTTATTCTTTTAGAACATAACTCATTGTTGGGTTTCAGGTGACTATTCTGACTGCCATTCCAAGGAAACAGGCCTTCTGAACAAGAAAAAAATCTGAAAACGGAATATTTCCTTTCAGAGATGTATGGAAACAAGCTCTGCCTTTTTACCCATGCCATAATGGGTCTTGCTGAGAGTTTGCTTCAAGAACCAGAACTCAGTAAATGTAAACATTCCCTTAAACAGATGCACATATGTTCTTAATATAAAATCTTCCAGATGTAAGTTTCATGCAAGAAAGCAAAGTGACCTAGCAAGAATTGAGCTTTCCATATCTGGTGAAGCATTTTTCTTAGTGTGTGCCACAAGCAGTTATTCTGAGAAATCATGCATCTGCTCCTCTTCACATGGACATTCCACTTCTGATGAGACTACATTCTTGGAAAATGTAGGCAGGAGCTGAATTCAATCTTACAATGTGTGTGCGCTTATTCCTTCCATCTATCACTTACCCAAAATACCTGCAGGTGGTATCAGAAATGAGCTTTAAAGGGCCTGTGGCACTGATTACAAAAAAATGTTAAGTGGTATTTCATATGGTTGTGGAGTGGGCAGACTCCTGCTTAAGATTCATAATCCTCATCAGTAACACAAGTGTATCACACTCACAAGATAATATTGAAGTAATAGAAGAAATCGTCCAGAAATGCAAAAAATAGTTCACGTAAGATGCAAAATCTTATGACAAAATGAAATCCTGAACTAATAAATAGCTCTGTACTGATATCAGGCCCTAAAGCCTATATTACTGAGAGATAAAACGTGGGGGACAGCAACTTAGAGATAGGGCTATTACATTAAATCTATGATTACATTAGCTAAAAAGAAAAAGCACAAGAGATGAAACAAAACATCCAAGAAACTCATCAAGATTTATGCTTCAAGCAATGTCCTAATATCTGAGAATATCAAGATATGAGGACACTAACAAAAGTATTATTATTCTACCGGATCATTTAAAAAATTCCTTTTGTTCTGAAATCAAATAAAAAGTAACAAGACTGGCCTGAGTAGCAGAATATACATTTCATACTTTATATTTGTGTATGTCTATATATATGTACCTTTACACATACACACAGATACACATAAACAATCACATCTGTATTTCATATCTGTATTTCAACCTTCTCCATTCACTGGAACAGACATTTAGGTTGATTCCATATCTTGTATATTGTGGCTAAGGTTGCAATGAATGTAGGAGTGCAGATATATTTTCAAGGTGCTGATTTCATTTCCTCTGGATATATACCCAGAAAAGGGATTGTTGGATCATATGGTAGTTCTATTTTTAATTTTTTGAGGAAGCTCCATACATTTTTTCATAACTGTACCAATTTCCATTATCAGCAACATTGTACCAGGGTTCCCTTTTCTTCACACTCTCGCCAACACTTGTTATCTCTTGGTGTTTTTCTTTTTTTCTTTTTTTTTAAATAACAGCCATCTTAATAGGTGTGAGGTGATATCTCATTTTGGTTTGATTTGCATTTCTCTCATTAGTGACATTGAGCACCTTTTCATATACCCGTTGGCTATTTTTATGTCTTGTTTAGAAAAATGTCTATTCAAGTACTTTGGTCATTTTTTTTATAAATACATACACATATGCACATGTGCACATATACATGGGTATGCACATACATATGCATATTTTAATAACTATGAGTACTCAATGATATTTACCTTTTTTTTTTTTGAGATGGAGTTTTGCTCTTGTTGCCCAGGCTGGAGTGCAAAGTCATGATCTCAGCTCACAACCTTTGCCTCCTAGGTTCAAGCGATTCTCCTGCCTCAGCCCCCCGAGTAGCTGGGATTACAGGCTTGTGCCACCACCCTGGCTAATTTTGTATTTTTAGTAGAGATGGGGTTTCTCCATGTTGGTCAGGCTGGTCTCGAACTCCCGACCTCAGGTGATCTGCCTGCCTTGGCCTCCCAAAGTGCTGGGATTACAGGTGTGAGCCACCACAGCTGGCCCACTTTGGTCATTTTTTTTAAATCAAGTTACTTGGTTTTTTTTTGTTTTGTTTTTTGCTATTGTGTGAGTTTCTTATTTATTTTAGAGATTATTAACTCCTTGTCAGATAGTTTGCAAACATTTTTTCCAACCTATAGTTTGTCTTTTTATTCTGATGATTGTTTTGTTATACAAAAGCTTTTTATAGTCCCACTTGTTTAATTTTGCTTTCAGTGCCTGTGCTTTTGGTGTGATGTTCAAAATATCATTATGAAGGACAATATCAAGAAGTTTTTCCCTTGTTTTCTTCCAGTAGTTTTAGAGTTTCAACTCTTATGGTTAGGTATTTAATTCATTTTGACTTAATTTTTATATATGGTGTAGATAAGGGTCCAGTTTCACTCTTTGCCTGTGGATATCCAGTTTTCGCAACACCAGTTATTGAAGATACTACCCTCTCTCCATCGTGTCTTCTTGGTAGCCTTGCTGAAAATTGGTTGACTTTATAAACTTGGGTTTATTTCTGGGCTTTTTATTCTGTTCCATTGGTCCATGCATCTGTTTTTATGCCAGTAACATAGTGTTTGGTTACTATTACTTTGTAGTATAACTTGACATTAGGGAATGTCATACCTCCAACTTTATTTTTCTTTCTCAAGATTGTTTTGGCTATTCATGGTCTTTGTAATTCCACATTAATTTTAGAATTTTTCCATTTTTGTGAAAAATGCTATTTAAGTATGTCCATCATTCTAAATTAATTATAAGAGTGAAGTTATGCCCTAAATTGTTCATTTTGTAAGATGTGCCTTGCAGTTTTGCACCTTGCAAAATGAGCATTAAAAATTAGGAACAGTATTTTGCTAATTTGTTCCTGTGATCTAGAATACATAATTTTATTCTATAGCAGGAGCTGTATATTCTCACATCGGAAGAAAGTAATATAATCTGCTTATATAGCACATGGTGTAGCCAATAAATAGCATTTTACATTTCGTCCCTTTTTTCCTTTCTCTCTCATACTTTCCTACTATTTTTAACAGCTTTATTGAGTTAAAATTGACATAAAATAAACATCCCACATTTCAAGTGAGTGTACAATTTGATAAATTTTTGGTAGGAGGTTATTGATTGAATTTTTTATATTAATAACCAGTTGTTCCAGCACCATTTGTTGAAATGATTATCCTTTGCCCACTGAATTGCCTTTGAACTTTGGTTGAGTATCAGTTGTCTACATCCATGTAGATCTTTATGGACTCTAGTCATTTCTATTGATCTATTTTTCTGAGTTTCCTTTAACACTACACTATCTTGATAACCATAGTTTTATAATGAGTTTTGAAATCAGGCAGTCTTAGTCCCCAAATTTTGCCTTTTATCAAAGTTGTTTTGACTATTCTAGGTCCTTTGCATATAAGTTTCAGAAACAGTTTTTCAATTACTAGCCAAATGAATGTTGGGATTTTGATCTGGACTCCATTAAATCTACAGATCAATTGAGGAGAAGAGAAGACCACTTTAACACTGTTACAGTTTCAACACTGTACAGTTTAACATCATAATCTGCATTTATTTAGGTCTTCCTTAATTTCTCTTGGCACTGTTTTATACATTTTGTGTACAAGTCTTGTTAATTTTTTATAGACATATTTCATATTATTGATATTATTGTAAAAGGTTTTACTATTTCAACTAATTTCAATTACTCTTAATGATACATGTAAATACTACTGATGTTTGTATACGGATCTTATATCCTGAAACCTTGCAAAGCTAAGTTTTGAGTTCTAGTAAGTAGTAGAGGTTGAATAACCCTATCCAATACACTTGGAATCAGAAGTGTTTCTGATTTTGTTTTTTAATTTTGGAATGTTTGCATATACATAATGAGATATCTTGGAGATGGGACCCACGTCTAAATACAAAATTCATTTATGTTTTATATGCACCTTATACCCATAGACTGAAGGCAACATTATATAATATTTTAATAATTTTGTTAATGAAAAAATTGTATATTTTAAATCATCAGAAGGCAAGTGTCAACATCTCGGCCACCCATATGAGCCATCTGTGGTTGTTTGGCATCACAATCATTCTTGATTTTGAACTTATAAGCTACTGATAAGCAACAATTTTCTTAACTTATTTACCCATAAGTACTTATCTGTAAAAAATATGGCATGCCATTTACACAGTAAAAAAAAAACAAATGTGTCCAGGGTAACTAAGCAGCACAGCAGCATCACCAGAATTCCCGTAACAGCTGTTGAACATCAGCAACAACCAACAATGGCAGGCTTTCAGTCTCCACCTATGATGCTGTGTTTTGATTAATAGGTTACTGTGTGCTGATTTTTTTTTAGGTGAGAGAAAAAAAAAATCAAAACAGTTGAAGGACCAGGAAGTGAGTCCTCTAGGGATGAAGAGGCATTTTGTGGATGGCTTTTAAAAATGTTTCCTTCAGAGTCATCTTGCCTCATTAACAATGGTTTTTGTCTTAGAAGTCTCCCTTTGGGATTACAGGCATGAGCATGGGTGGATCACCTGAGGTCAGGAGTTCGAGACTAGCCTGACCAACATGGTGAAACCCCATCTCTACTAAAAATACAAAAAATTAGCCGGGCATGGTGGTGGGTGCCTGTAATCCCAGCTACTCAGGAGGCTGAGGCAGGAGAATCACTTGAACTTGGAAGGTGGTGGTTGCAGTGAGCCGAGATCATGCCACCGGCACTCTAGCCTGGGCAACAAGAGTGAAACTCCACCTCAAAAAAAAAAAAAAAAAAAAGAATAAGTAGTAGTAGTAGTAGTAGTAGTAGTAGTAGCCATCGTCGTCGTCGTTGTCGTCGTCTCTCTTTGGCTTTATAAACTGACATGATTTCTTGTGCTGTTATAAATGTACAGTGCTGTAGTCCTTCAATAAGCCCGTCACACATTTTTACCTTATCCATAGGAACTTTTTCTTCAGTGTTAACAATGTCATTTTAATCATCACTATTATCACAATCAACTTGATTCAAAACCATCTGGACTATTTCCCCATTGGTCAATGAAGAATTGGAATCTCATTATTGATGTTAAAAATAATCAAGTTCTTTGATATTTACTTCTGCTAGCCTAGGGAAAGACTCTGAAATTATATTTTTTGTGTATGTAAGGAGGTCAGACACCATCTTTTTTTCTCAGTTGGCCCACAGAATTCTTCAAAGTCACTACCTTGTTCATCAAGATCACTTAATATAGTCACAGGCAAGAGGTTGTGCCAGGAGTGTACTACTGTGTCTTTAGTCACTGCGTTCCAAGTGTTAGCAATGGCATAAACAGCACCCTTCATGCTAAACTCCTTCTAGAAACCTTCCACACCCACACCTCTCTTCACTGGTGCTGGCATGATGTTCAAGAAAGTGTTTTTATATTTACTCTTCATCAATCTAAGGATACCTTGGTCACATGACTGAATTAATGAAGTCACATTTGGGGAAAAGTATATGGCATAAGCATTATTTTTGATGAAAATTTCAGCTGAAGGATGAGCAGAAATGTTGTCAAGGAATAACAAAAATCTAACAGTTGTCATCCAATCCAGCTTCCTTGCAGTAACCTTGAGCCTCTGGTATAAATGTTTGTGAAACCAATCAGAAAATATGTCCGTGGTGATCCATACCTTTTTGTTAACATAATAGTGGACTGCTGAGAAATTCACTCCTTGAAAACAGTGAGGATGCAAGCTTTTGCTTTTCAGAACAAGTTTATACTTTTGTATGCCTGCTGCATTAGCACATGCCAGCACAGTTATTGTCCTTGGAATCCTTAATTTTTGTAGGGGCTACCTCATTAGCTTTTGTCAGTGTCTTTCTGGGGCAACAGTACCAAAACAGTGATGTTTCATTAGCATTATAGACTAGTTCTGGCATCAGATTTTCATCAGCAATGACTCTGGCAAATTTGTCAATGAATTTTTCCACTACTACATGACCAGAAGATGCTTTATCACTACAAATCTTTAAAAATGTAATATCATAGTTTTTCTTAATTTTCTGCAGCCAGCCTGTTGAGTACTCATGGTTCCCTTCAATATTCATTTCCTCATTATAGATCTTTGCTTGTCTCCCGATTCGTATTCCATTAAGTGACAAGTGTTCACTGCAATGGTAATGGATCCACTATTTAAATACACAATCAATATTTTTATTGTTAGCTGTATACGGTGTTTTTCTATTTTTCATTGACTTCTATTCATCACTTTCAGTATAAAACTTCAACAGTTTATCCTTCTGTTTCTTCAGGTCATATATGGTAGTCAACACTATACTCTTCCATAGAACATTTCAACTTCCGCCACTGTCCAGTTTCTTCTTCTTCAACAGTTTGACTTTCTGTGCTGTAGAGAAACATAAATGCTTCTTTTTCTTATCACTGTTACCCAATACTGATATCACAGAGGGAACTGCAGGAGTTTTTAATATTTTTAATAATCTTTACACCATAGAGCAGATAATAAGAAAATAAAAACACAGTAATGCATGTAGGTCTTGGCCCCATGTGACACATTATTGGAAACCTGCCATTGGTGTGTTTGGCCTGCATACATGCCATTTTATTACCCTTTATGAGTGTGCCTGCATAGTGGGGGTGGAGGAATCTGGGTACTTAAGAAAGATATATTTCATAGCTGAAGGGGTCTGGGAGGGTCTTCTTCCCCTTAGGGATGCTGAATAAACTGTGTGCTCAGAGCCTGTTTTTTGACTACACCAGTCACATGAAGTCATGTATAGAATTTTCCACTTGTGGTATTATGTAGGTGTTCCAAAAAGCATCTTGGATTTTCACATTAGCAATGCTCAACCTGTACTAGTAGATTCCATCATATTTTCTACATAAATGATCTCATGTCATCTGTAAAGCTTTACTTCTTCCTTTCCAATCTGGATGTCATTTGTTCATTCATTCATTCATTCATTTATTGCTTTCCTTAGTGCACTGGCTATAGCATCTGGTATAATGCTGAACAGAAGTGGTAAGAGTGAATATCCTTGTCTTATTCTTGATCTTAAAGTATCCAGTCTTTCTGCTCTAATGATGTTTGCATTTTATAGACCCCTCTTATCAAGTTGAAGAAGTTTCTTTCCATTCCCAGTTTTTACTTTAGTTGAATTTGGTCATATTTTTGTCTGTTGGGATAATCATATGGTTTTCTTTTTTAATTTGTTACTATGGTAACCTTACATTGATTTGTTTTAATGTTAACTAACCTAGTATTCTTAGGATAAATCGTATTTCATTAGGATATGTTAAGCTTTTAGATACATTGAATTAGATTTGCCCACATCTTAAAAATAAATTTTTGTATCTATATTCATATCGATCCATATATTTACTAATTTTTTATAATGTCTTTGGTTTTAGCATCAGGATAGTGTTAGCCTCAGAGAACGAGTTGGGAAGTAGTTTCTCTGCTCAATTTTTTGAAAAATAATTGTATATACTTGGTAATAGGTACTATTTCTTACTTAAATGTTTGGTAGAATTCATCAGTGAAGCCATCTGGGCTTCAAATTTTCTTTGTGGGAAGATATAAATGTTAGCTGGATTAAATTGATAATGATGCCGTTTAAGTCATCTACATCCTTAACTAATATTTTGGTTTGAATGTTCTATCAATTATTGAGATTGAGGTGTTGACATCTCTAAATATAATTGTGTGTTTGTTTAATACTCCATCTTTTTTTGGAAGCATAATATCCCTTCCTTAACAAATTATCTTCTTTTATTCTATTTGCACTTTTACTTTTTATTATGTTCTTTTTTGATCCTTTTAAGAATACTGGTTGTACTAAATGCTACCCATGGTTACACTGATTTTTGTCTTAGGCTTTATTCATTTCTAGCCCAACTATATCTTCCTACCTCTTGTTTGAAACAGAAATATTCATTTTTCTCCATAAAGCAGGCATCCCTTCTAATCCTAAGCAACACAATTCTCCTAGACACAAGTATTTTCAAGCCAGTCATCTTTGACATCACTTTATAGAAAATACATCTTCTCAGTTAAATCTTTACTCAAGTAGTGTATTATCCTCCCTCTGCTATCAGTCCCTGACTGTACTTCATGTTATGACATTTTAAATTATTGTGGTAAACCTCTTCAGCCTCTAGAACAGTATTTCATACATCATCAGTGTGCAGTAGAAACAAGAACATCCCCAGGTTTACTACTGCCTACAAAAAACAATGGAAATTCTTCAGTCTATCCAAATAAACCAGTTGTCCTCCCTTGGCATCACTCTGTCTCCTTCCATCCTTCATCCATTCATTCTTCCTTTTCTTCTTTCCTTCCATTCAACAAATATTTATACTCGCTCTTAAATGCAGCTTTCATTCAATTAATCTACTCATTGTTGTCAAAAGATAGCTTATCTTTTTTTTTTTTTAATTGGACCATATGGCCCCACTACTCTTCCTATGCAAGTCTTGCAAGGCCCACTTTTAGCCCATCTTCTGAATGAACATTTTCTGTCTCCAAAGACAGCAATTTCTCTCATTTCTGAGCATATTATTGACTGTGTACATAAACACACCAAACAGCAGTGGATTAAAAAAACACACAGAAGCCATTACTGCCTCAATCAGTTAAATAAGAATGGTTAAAAATAATCTGTTGTTTAAACTGATGGAAACAGGAAGGAGAATGTCAGCTTGCTTTTTAGGCTATTGTCTTCCTGATAACACTGGTAGAAAGATAATCCTTTACCCTAAAAATTAATACTGAATTATGAGGAATAAATGCATACATAGTTCTTCCTGCCATGCAGTCCATATGAAAAGGGGGAGGGGGTCACAACAGCTTAAATAAAAGAGAAGTTTCAGTTTGTCTGTAAATGTCTACACCATAAGGAAAAAAATATTTGAAGCCACAGTAATGAGAGAGTGTTTCGGTAGAATAAAGTGTGAAATTTGTAGGAAGGAGAACCAAGACTGAAAATACAAAAACATTATTAGGAAAGAGACATTGCAAAACACTATAATGTGTACAGTTAACAGAATTAGCAGAGAATATAAGAGACACACAAGAAGATTATGAAAGATATCAATACTAGAAAGACAGAAGAGAATGTTTAAAATAGTAAGAATACTAATGTGTCCAATTTAAGCATTTAATGATGTTTAAATAAAAAATAAGCCACCCTTTAAAAATTCCTTCTTTATTTTAGAGTTCCAAGATAAAAATATTGGGAAGGTATTTTTCAATCAGTAAAACAAACTTCAGTTAGAAAAATTTACTATTAGATAATCTTATTAATATCTATAAAAGCTGCATTCATATTGATTTAGCCTACACCCACTTTGTGCACAATGTATAGAGAAAGAACAGCTTATAAAATTAATATCTAGGCAACGATGGCCACAGTGCATTTTAGGTATGGCCACTTTTACAGTCTTTTGTAATAATTACATTTTAATTTTTTTTTTGTCTTAGCAACTGGATCGTAAAATCTTTGAGGGCAGGGCTCCCTCTTACACTCTGTGTATCATATATAGTATCTAGCAAGGTAGAAATTAAATAAGATTTCCTGAATTATTCCCTGGCTGCTCATCTTAATTGTAGGAATCCATAAATGTCTTTCCTATTGATTCTAACATGTTGGGAGTGCCAAGTATCCTTAAGATTACATCCTTGGACTAGAGATTTAATAGAAACACTTCATTTAATATTAATAGAAAAGAAACTAACTCAGAGTACCAATTTCTTGGGTGGAAATACATGGATAATAAGTGACAAGGTGGTAGAAAAGCAAGCTACCTATTTCAAAACCATATTTCATGTGTCAGCTGGTGTTAACTAACCAGGCAACTACTATGGATGTAAACAATAACTACAGACAACACTTTCCAAGTCTTCATATCGTATCTCCTTAGAAAAAAGCTATTATCAAGCAGTTTTGAAATCCACTTAAACCTTTTCAAAATGTATTATAGATTTACTTAGGACAAAGTGTTCTGGTGCATTCAGTCATAATTGGTAGGAAATATCAATCAATTGTTTCATTTGTCATAATGTTAAAGTCACTCAATCTAGGGTCTTAGCTGATTTCTCTTTTCTGAAGAACTATAAAACGTACAAATAAACTTTATAGAAATGGGAAAATCCCAAGCATGTATTAAAAATAATTCTTGCCACTAACTATAAAACACATCAACTCTGGCAAGAGCCTTTCCTGGGGAGCATAGTGTACAAGGTCTAGATGTGACTATCATACAGAGCTTTTTTGGCTTGCCAATGCTGCCAAAAAAAAAAAAACACCACTGACTGGATGTAGCTTAAACAACATAAATTTATTTTCTCCTAGTTCTAGCGGCTAAAAGTCCAAAATCAAGGTGTTGGCAGGTCTAGTTTCTTCTGAGACCTCTTGTCTTTGCTTGCGGGTGGCGGCCTTCTTGCTCTGTCTTCGCATGGCCTTTCCTCTGAACTAACACACATTCCTGGAATTTCTGTGTGCCCAAATATTCTCTTCTTACAAGGACACTAGTCATGTTAGGTAAAGTCCCATCCTAGAAGTCTCATTTTGTCTCAATTACCCCTTGTAGGACCCTATCTCCAAATGCACTCTCATTCCAAGGAAGGTGCTAGGAGTTAGGGCTTCAACATATGAATGAGGAGGAGGAAGGAAGAGATACAATTCAGCCCATAACAAGAGGCCAGAGAGCTGTCATGAAATTTCAGGAAAGATATAGCTCTCTCAAATAATATTTTTACTGAGTATCACTGAATTTAGAGCCAAAAGAGACCTCAAAGTTGATCATGTCTCACCACCTAGGCAATGCTGAAATCCCTCGTAAGGTTGTAAGGTTTCACTGACTAGTCTCAGCCTCTGCTTCCTTATCCAGGGAATTCACCACTACCATGGAAATAGATGCCATTTATAGAGAGTTAATCATTGTGTGGTGGGATAATAATTTTGAAATATCAACCGTTTTTTCTTTTCCATTTTTCTATCTTGTATTTTCTCTTTTCATCAACTCCAGTGAGCTTTTATTCTATACTTATCACCTCACCAAGTGATATACACTAGAAGCTTTTAGTGTGAAAACGTCTAGGCCCCGTAAAGACCAGGAAGGATCTGGCATTTGCACTCTCCAAGGCCTGAATTCCTCTAGACCAAATTCATAAACACAGCAGCAGAACCTTATACACAACCTTATATAAACTTGAGAAAACCTAAAATATAGGGAAATAAGATTTCAGGGTAGAATGGCTTGCTCTGTGTCTGTTTCAGGGCTCTGTGTCTCCTTAGATGGACCTAAAACAGTCCACGGAATTTCCTGTGCTTGGATGTGGCACAGGAAAATGAATCCCATCTTCCAAAAGGGGCCTTGACATAGCTGAGATAGGACTTGTAGATAGGAACAAGTATTGATTCAGTAGCAACTTGCATGGGTGAATGACTAGAAAGGATAATGAGTCTCAGCAAATGTCAGATGAAATGGAAGCATAAAGGTCGTCATCCCTTGGCAATATGGAAAGCCCCATAAATTAGAGAGCTGCCAAATGGCTAAGGTTTAGTTTTTGCCATTCTGTCTCAAAACAGAAATTATTTCGAGAAAAAACCTCTATTTTTTGAATACTTGGGTTTATGACTACCATTAAACAAAAATATTTATTCCTTATTACTTCTTCACTCACTTATATTGATTACAAAAGTATGAATTATATTAAAAGTTGGTGTTGTTTATTACAAACAAGAATTGAAATGAGATCAACTAGTATATTTGTTCTTATACGTAGGTGACACACGGTCATTTCAATGCCCACTCTTTAAGACCCCTTGGGCTTGTAAAACATGAAGTACATATTAAGAGGTGTGAATATGTACAATACCAACAAACATGGCTGATTATGAGCCTCCCAAACATTCTTTAACCAAATCAGAACCCTAATGTGTAAATTTCGCTGTTGTAGTAAGAAATATACAATTATGATATTTGAAATGCTATTAGAAATTAAGAAAGAAACTAATAACACTATACGTTGCTTTTGACCCTAATAAAATACTCATAAAAATAAATTGGATGTGTCAATGTGTCCATCCTTTGAGATCAAGGCCAATTGTAGCGACATAGAATGTTGAAACTGAAAGGGTTCTTAGAAGCCATCTGGCAAACACTCTCATAAACAGATGTGAGAATTGAGATCCAGAAACATGAAAAGATGTGTTTAGGGCAACAGCAGTCACTGGCAAATCCAGTGTGGAAGATGGTGTCTTCACACATTCCACTTCTTTTTCTGCAGGCATCTCAAGGTCACAGCAGAATCATTTCTTCAAGGTTTCCTTACTCTTCTATAAGGGCAATCACATGGTTGATGCTTATTTAAAATATTTAAAACTATTTATAATCATGAATGAAATTTAAAAGAGTCAAGACACTAGCTAACCCAAAAGTTGGGCTTTTCCCTTTTGAGAAAATATTTTTCTAACTGATAGAACATTTGGTTTCTCAACTTTTATCTATCATTAATGATATGCTCCACTGCTAGAATGATGGAATGGCCTAGATTGTTTAGAGTACACGAAATTATCTTTAATGAAGATAATTTCATTATCTTTGTGATAATGAAGAATTAGCCTATCTTTGTGATAATGAAGAAATAAAGATTTCTTCACAATGATAAGCTTAGTTGAATTTAGAAAAATTAATATGTGGCTCCTAAAGCATTCATAATTATATATAAATCTCTTTAATAATTTTTTTCCTAAAGTTATCTCTGTGATAATATATATTCTAGACATATATTCAAATATATTTAAGATATATTAAAAGTAGTAATTTTAAATACAGTTTGAGGAAAGAATTAAACTCTGAGATATTTATAATTCAACATTGAAACAAATCTTAAAACTTTGTCATGCGCTTGTTACAATTACAGTTTTGTAATTCTGTTTGCATCAGGTATGTTGCAAATAATACCACCTCTTTATTCATTTAGCACTTTCTATCTATAAAACATCTTTTAAATATACTACTAATTTCATCCATGCCTTGCTGTAGAATCTTTAAAAATGTGTTAGCAGTTTATGCAGTTTTTTCTTCTAGTTATAGATCAAAAGATTCAGAGTTAGCCACCTGAGGTAGGCAGTGTGGAAACCTACTCTCAAATACATTTTTGGTGAGTGAACATAATCCTATTTTCTACCAATTGACACAAATCTCAAACTGATTTGTTAGAACATGTATTCTGCAATAGTCAAGCAATACAGGACCTGGAATACACAATTAGTCTCTTCAAGAAACTTTTTCAGCCTTTCACCGTGAACAAGAAACAAAAAAAAAAAAAAAAAAGTAAGAAACTTCAGCAAGATAAAGAACATAAACTCATCATGACCTTTAGCTTCAGAAATTTCAGAAATTTTAATTGAAACATTAAAAAACAGCTATATATCATGAAATATATGAATTTAAGTACTTGAACTCTCTAATAATGTATCTTCCTAGGTGTCCCTCATTCATATGTCCCATTATTCAGTCTGCTTTTGTCTTCCTTGTGCTTCTCTGTGTTGCTTCTTTACCCATTCAACAACATAAGTTAGGATAACTTGGTGGGCTTTTCTTTTTTCTTTTTTTGTTTTCTTGAGACAGAGTCTCACTCTGTCATCCAGGCTGGAGTGCAATGGCGTGATCTTGGCTCACTGCAAACTTCACCTCCCGGGTTCAAGTGATTCTCCTGTCTCAGCCTCCTGAGTAGCTGGGATTATAGGCGTGTGCCACCACACTTGGCTAATTTTTTGTAAATTTTAGTAGAGACAGGGTTTCACCATGTCTGGTCTCGAAATCCTGGTCTCACCAGGATGGTCTCGAACTCCTGACCTTGGTGATCTGCTCGTCTCGGCCTCTCAAAGTGCTGGGATTACAGAAGTGAGCCACTATACCCAAACCTTACTTTCAAAAGTTCTTACCTTTCTTGTGTTTTTACTATTTAGAATATTTGGCTGAAGTTTTTACTCTTTCTTTTTGCCTTCCCCAAGCCTAGGCCCCAGCCATCTTTTCTGACTGCTCCCATTTTTGCTAGGCAAAACCTAGCAAGAACCTCCTTTACACCAAAAACAAATTTTCCTAATGCTCTCTTGTCAAGGTCCAACAGTGGTAGAGCTGAAACAGAGCCAATGGAGTTGTTTATATCATCCAGCTTCGTATTTATTAGCCACATATGTGCTGCAAATCTTAGAAAGGGAAGGATGGTGCTAAGTTCTCTGCAGATGCTCAAATGCTAAATAATAAACATGTGATACAAGCTGAGATTCACAATAAAGACAGGGAATATCCAAAAATATGTACTTCAAAATTATATCAGTTATTTCCCCTAGGCAGTTTAGAATACAGGATTTTAAAATTCTTGATGAGTAAAGAGGGAGGAATTAAATGATAGGCAAACATGTAGCCTGCATATTGAGTAAGAATTTATTGTCCCAAAGAGCTGTTATCCCAAATCAGCTGGTTCTGATATTTCGATATTATTCAAGAAGGTAGTTAGTCACCATTTTAGGAATGGTTTAACTTTAGCTGAAACTGATTAGCAGTTTTTTCTGAATATAAAATATGGAGAAGTTATTAATAAATGTCAAATCAGTCTCTCTCTTAATCGCTCTCACTCTCTCTCCCTCTCTCTCTCTCTCTCACACACACAGCAAGAGACATTTGAATATACCATCAACTTTCATTGGCTTACTAACGCTATGGCACAGCAGAGTGTGTTTCTTTCCTTTGGAGCTCTATAGTAGCATAAGAAAACCTTGCTGAAAATTGAGCAACACTTTTTCATGCTGAATGATTTTGTTTTACATTTCCTCTGATACAAATAGAAAAGACGTCTCACATTCAGCTACCTATGCTAGACTACACCACAAATAAGCTCATACCTTTATAATGTGTCTACATGACAGTAACAACTGTGGTGAGCATAGAATTATTCATATGCCTATACTTATTTCCTATGTCTTTACTTAACATCTGGGAACCACTCTCAAGGTAGTGTCTCTGGTAGTTCTGGGAAAGCTGGGTGCTTCTGTGTTACTAGTATACTAAGACCTTAAGTAAGGGGTCCTCTTATGCTCTAGGGACTTCTCTAACCTCTCTCTGAAACCCTCAAGGTAACAGAGCTTTAGTTCCACACAGGAGGCTCGAGAACCACAAAGCTAGCAGGCTGCTATGATCTGGGTCTCTCTAATGCCTGTGCCCGCCCATATCTTATTCTCCTTCTCAACAGACAGAAATGAGTTCCAAAATCTTTTCAAATCATTTCTTCCTCTGGCAATATTCAATAGCAGGGCCCTCACCTTGGTTCCTGCAATTGCCTCACTTCCCATCTCTCCTAATCACTGTGGCTTCATTCCTTTTCAGTTTTGGTTCCCAAAGTAACTCTAACCAGGGATCTCTTTTATATGACAGTATTTAGCAGATTGGTATTTTAAATGTTTTAGAGTGTGGTTCCTGGCAGGCCTTTTTTTGTTGTTTGGTTTTTGTCCACAGTGTGAGCAATAAAGATCTTAATTAAAGAAATTAATGAAAATGTCACCTAGAGTTGGAAGCTCAATTCACAGTGTTGGGTTGCTGGTTCCCTACTAATAGATTATATCCTGGCAACACTGTCACAGTACAGCAATAAAAACTGTTCTGGCATCTTCCAGGTCCACCACAGAGTCTCATTCTTGCTGTTATGTCTGGACTGAACTCAGAGTAACCCAGAATCTTCCTCATACAAGCCTTGTCCACCTATATTCTATTCTCGAATCATATCTGAATCAGCATTTAAAACTCAAGTCACTCCTCCCAATAAAACCCTCCAGTAATATCCCATTTAATTTTTGGCTTGGCTTATAACTTTCATATATTTACATATTTCAACATATGGAAGGAGACACCTTCATTTATACTCTTGCCCTGGTTCATTCAAACATTAAGGGTGAACATGCATCCTGCTGCCTGTTAAAGAGAGTAATATTAATTTTACTAAGCCTAAAATAATATTTTAAAGTATAAGGACATACTACAGAGAAAATCACATGATAGAATATAATGAAGTAAAAATACCCATTCTGAACAGATCTACCTTGTAAGAGAGTAATTAAGTTAAAGGCTTGAGGCACTCTCCAAAGAGGAGACCACACCCAAAATGATCGAATCGTGATGGTGTATTGACTGTTATTGATAAATAACATTAGCATATTAACTATATTTACCTCAAACTTTTCCTAATGGAGCTAGTATATTCTGTAAGTAAATAACTTTCCCTCTTCTTTGGTTCAGCACACCCAAAGTTCAGTAATCCAGTTGTTGCATGATATTCAATTAAATTGCACCTTTACGCCAATGACTACAATTAAAATGGAAATCCATTCTCTTTCTCTCTTTCTCTAGATTACAGACTTGGGCTCTTTCATACATTCAAAAACAAGCAAGCCAGATACACAGTTATCCTCAACACTTGTGTCTTCCTTATCCAGACCTTGCAAATTCAGTTAGGTACTGTTTCTCAAAACTCTTATTTAGACCCTTCATCACTGCTTCCATAAAACTCCCTTTATTTTTCCCTGCTTTGTTGCAGTAATCCCCTATCTTGTCTACTTTCTGTAGATTCATCTTTCTAAACCATTCACCATCCACCTCTGCTTTTTTGAGCAGTGCTTCTTAAAGTATGGTTCCCGTATCAGCAGCATCACATCACTCAGGAGTTGTTAGAAATGCAAACTCTTGGGTTCCACCCCAGAACTACTGAGTCAGAAGCTCTGGAGGTGGGGCCCAGCCATCTGTGTTTCAACAAGCCCTCCAAGTGATTATCATGCATTTTAAAATTTGAAAACCAAGGTTCTAAAGTCATATTTTTAAAAGGCAAAACCAATCATGTCATTTGCTTGCTTAAAACTTCTTTAATGAGTCTCTTCTGAAGGATAAAAGCCAAGTTCTTGGGAAGACGTGTAATACCCTTTCTGTTCTCATATTTCAGCCCTTCTCTTTCCACTTCCTCCTTCCCACCCAGTGTTTTAGTCATATAAATGTTTTGAAATATTGTGAAGCAACCTGCTTTTTCTGCCTTTTTGCCTTTTCCTAGTGCACCTCTTCCCACACACAATTCATCCACCTGGAGGGGTTCCATTCATCTTTCCAGATCAAGCTCAAATGTCCCCTTTTTCAGAATGATTTCTGAGGGCTAATTTCAATAACTTACTTACAGCCTATTCCACTTCTTCCAGGTCCACCTACATAATTTTCCCAAATTAAATTTTTATACCTCCAGCTCTTTAAAAGGAAAGAAAGTCTGTTTACTGGGCAAGGAGGCATAGGAAAAAATATAAAGGGCACTGCTTATCCCACCTCACATCCTCCCACCCCTAGTTCACAAGTTAAAGATTGTCATCCATCTCTTGGAATAGTTATGGCTCCTTAAGGATGTTAATGCCCCCTCCTAGATGTTGTCTCAATTGTTTATTGGTAAGCCCACTCCTAGATATGCAGGACCCAAAGCAATAGTAGAAAGGGAGGCCTACATACCACATTTAAATATTTAAAAGTTATTTAAAAACTAAGAAACTTTAATAAAATATGTTCTATCATTGTGCTGCCTTAAATATATAATTTTTAATGACAAATGAAAAGTATTATGTAAGGCAATAGTTTTTAGATAACTAAAAGCTGGCAAAATATCAAAGATATTCAGTGCAATATTTGATAGCATACCTGGGCATTCTCTTGATGAGATAGCAATGTTTAGGTAAGTAATAAAATGAAACCAGCTTAATTCATAAACACACATGTGTTCCATAAAATTTATATTTCTCCTCTTTATTTCATCAAAATTATATTGCTATGGTCAAGATTTTTAATTTCTTGACAGGGATGAGCCAAAGGATTTAAAATAAAATGAAATTGTATTGAAGTTAGAAAATTCAAATATATTTCATTAAAAATTAAATATAAAAACAAAAATAAAATTATTTTTTTCATAATTCTTAAATATTCAAATTATCTATTAAGTCAAAAACTGAAATGCATATAAGGAATATCACATTTTAATTTCAGAATATTTCATTAAAGCTGACATTTTCTCATTTAATTTTGTCTCATTTAACATTGAGCATCCACTATCCATTTGCTTGCCAATATGAAGAATTGGTAGCACACTTCATACTTATTTTCTCTAACCCTACATATAGACAAATGTAGGAGTACTATGATTTATTTAATAATCCAAAATATACTTATCGTGTACAAATGTTATGCTAATTTGTCTGGACTTTCAAATCTACCAATGAAACATGAACAGATACAAGAAAATGGATGTTCAGCTCTACCCAGGAAAACAATCCTCGATTCTGCAATGATTTGGTGCGTTCATTCCACAAGGAAGAATTTGAAAATAATTTATGTATATTTTCTCTATAGTGCTCAAATCCTAGCCCACCCCACCCACCTGCTGCAAAATAAGATGTTCATCTCTCATATTGACAGCAGTTCAAACTGCAAATGTTCATGGCATTTGAGCTTTGTTATCTTTTTGCTACTAGGATGTAAGAAAAATTGTGGAGAAGAATTTTCCGGTAGCCCGAGTAATATTAACCACGAGAGTGAATGTTTAGAGTTACAGATTGCACTGAGCCAGTGCTGTAGGCCAGAATTGAGGCAACAGAGGCATTTATGTTTGTGTTTTTGTCATATGTGGGGCCCTCTAATGCATGGGGCCCAGGACAAAGACCTTTCTTTCCTGGATCTAAGCATGGCACTACCTAGGTGTTTGATGGCTTTACCCTAGGAGTAAGGTTGAGTTTTAAGGTGCTATCCTAGGGAATAATTTCAATATATCTTGGAGTTGGAACTTCTATACATTTGCAGTGCGTCACCCGACTTTGGTCTATCAAAGCAAAAAAACTTGGTCAGGCTTTGGTGCCTAGCTATCTGGTCAAATATTTATCTAAATGTTTCTGTGAAGGTATTTTACAGACGTGGTGAGCATTTCTTAATCAACTGACTTTAATTAAAGAGTTTACCCTTGATAATGTAGGTGGGCTTCACCCAGTAAGTTGGAAGCCATAAAAGCAAAAGATAAAAACAGAAAAAAAAAAAAACAGAAAACTGAGGTATCCCCCATAAGAAGGGATTCTGCCTTAAGACTAACATAGAAATCCTGCCTGAGTTTCCAGCCTGCCAACCTGCCCTACAAATTTCAGATCTAATATTGCAACATCAACTCTTGCCTGAGTTTATATAAAACCTACGCGATAGATTTCAGACCTGCCAGCCCCCGCCATGTAAGCCAATTCCTTTTGGAGGACCCCGACTGACACAGGTAAATAATTCCATCTTCTTTTATCCCAGTCCCCAAAGGCAGATAAAGAAAATGTAAACATATATATGTACTATATACCTTATCTTTATACCTTCTGATAGCACGTTGGACAAACCACGGTTTCTAGAATTTATGGCATAGTATTATAATCATAGGTTTCAAAGTCTGTCTCCTATTCTAGACTGGAAGTTCCTTGTGTGCAGAGGCTGTGTTATCACAGCGCTTTTTGAGGCTGGAAATAAACGTTCAATACATGTCTGTCAAAGGTTAGAGAATCAAAATTAACACATTACCTGGATAAGCTGGCATGTGGTGGGGACAGGAGTAGGGGATGGTGGAAGAGCAAGGAGAAAGAATCAAACAATGTGGACGTAGGAAGCAGTCTCCCTGAAGCTAAGACACCCCATGAGATGGTACTCATCCAGCTTTGCCAAGCTCCCAGCACAGTCTTAATCACCTCTCTCACAGCGACTTTGATAGCTCTGGCTAAGGAACTTGATACCTGCAAGCAATTAACTTTAATAAGCCAGCAGGTGATTTCCTTGAGAATGCTGACGATTCAATTTGCTGACAGCAGCTCTAGATTCTCTGGCTACTCAGCCATGGCTTCTACCTCTGCCCTTATGAACCCAGTGTGTGGTTGTGAGTAATAAATGAAAAGGTAGCCAAAGTGTGAATCCTTTTAACAGTGAAAATTGTAATCAGCTTTAAGGCATGATTATATATTACAGACAGAACCAAAAGGTCTTTTAAAGTTATGAAGAAAAACAAAAGCCAACAAGTTGTACAGCTACATTGGCACCAAACTTTTATAGTTTCTGTGAATGTGAAATGAAGGGATATAAAAGTACTTTCACCTGTATTAACCTTTTTTTTTTCTGTTACTCATCATAGCATTATCTAACGCAGAATCCTAGGAATGATTCTAAACTCTTTCTCTCTGTCTCAATAATCCTAAATGTTGCAATTGCCTTATTGTCCTATTTTACTGCATTATTTTTTACACAATGGCAGCCTAATGAGTTCCCCCGGCATCAGTCTCAGGCATCACCTATCAAACAACTCCACTGCTTGCGTCCTCTTCCCAAAATGCAAATATTATTTCATCTGCATGTAATTTCTTAATAGTTCTCCATTGTTAATTGACTACAGTGGAGTCAAATCTTAGAATTAAATTTTAAGGAAAAAGAGGCAAAAGAGCTATTTTACTCAAAATTAACACTGAATATTTCTTAAATTGTCCAAAAAATACAGTATGCTCCCCATTATATATGAAACTGTGCAGCAATACATGTTTGTATATGTAGTAATTTATGGTAAATAAATTTATAATAAAACTGTAATATTATAATTAAATATAATAATATAATGTAAATATCATTAATAATATAATAAAATAAACTTATAATAAAGAGAATGTAAGCTTTGTGAGGACAGTGATTTTCATTCATTTTGTTCACCGATGTACCCCAAAGGCCAAAAACTGTGCTTGTCATAGCAGGTGATCAATGAATACTTGTTAAATGAAAATCACATAACAATTGATTAACACCATTTTAACAATTGATTTGACAATTGTTATGTCACTGACAATTGTTTGTTAAAATCATTTCAAATAACTTTATTTTCCCTTTTTGTGCAACACATTTACCACTAAAGTAACATAGAAAGTCTGTGTGTGGTGGAAAGTCATTAATTTACATTGCTTTCTAGGTACTACCGTCTTCCATGATCTGCGCTATCCGTTCTGCACTTATACTTTGACTTCAGTGTATCAAATCACTCAATGTTCTCCAAATATGCTGTGCAAAGATCTTTGCACTTTGATTCCTCAAGCCAATTTAAGTGTCCTGTGATCTTACGAACTTTGTTTTTCCTCTATTTTCAATGTTTATTTCATTGCATTTTTATCGTTTTCTTGTGGGTCTGCCTTCTTGATCAGATTCTAAGACTCTTGATTATAAAATCTATGTCTTAATAGTGTTTTTAATAGTGTCTCTAGTACAATGTCGGTGTATCAATAGACACATACAGAGTATCTGATTTATATTAAGTGTTTATTTGTCTGTCTGTGCCATTATGACCACATATGTTACACTTGAACTTTCTGACCCTAAGTTAACATCTGATAACATGTGTTCTACATTTTAGGAGCAAAAGATATACTTAATTATTTCAACAAACTAATGAGCAAACAATTTTAGTATCAGCCTGCAGTAAATACTCTTTGATCCAGTATCCAGAATCCAGTACACAGTATCCACTGTGTAGCAGCTTCTGCACATGGGGCATCAAGGGTACCACCCCAGAAAAACTGCTATGACCAGAAGTATTGCAGAGACCAGGGTAACCAGAAGCACGATCATCTCAGAATATACCTGCAGCAGCATGCCTACAGTGGCCTTATATGGTTTGTGGGCAAGAGACCATTGTGAGGAAGTCAGAGAAACATATTTGAGTCACTTTGTTCCTATGCAAATATATGCCTCCCAGAGATCTTCTTGAGTTGGCAGAGAGGGACTTTGCTGTGGGAGAGGGGAGATATGTTTTTTGGCCTCAATGGTAGCAGCTAGGCACCAGTATAATTTGATATTAATCTAGATGCCTGCATTTCAACTCACCTCTCAGGCGGGAATATGGACTCAGGCTTTTAGAAAGCTTTTTCACAATGGGGGACAAAGTAGCAAGTGAAAGAAAAGGGTAAAGTGGAAGGAAAACCTTTTCCTGATGGTTAAGCAGTTCCTAACTTACATGTATGAATGCATACATACAAATATAAATACTAGCTTAAAGAAGAATACCCTATCCCATGCACTCCAGGTAATTAAATGTTTATTTCACTCTGATTTGAGATGTCTCACGATGCTAAGGAAAATATTGGAAAGACCTTCTCTCTCGTTATCTCACCTTCAGTTAAAAAAAAATGAAAGAGAGAAGAAGAGAGAAAAGAGATAAATAGAAGGGCTATTTGAAGGTAAGAAGGTGAAGGCAGTCACCTTTTATGCCTTCCTCCCTTCCTCCTGCCAATCATCCACTCTATTTGGTTGACTCCCAAGCTTGCTTTATAAACAGCTGGAGAGCAAAGCAAAACTTCAACTTTAGAAAGATAAGGTCAACTCATCCTTTCATTTGCAACAAGTTGATAGGGCCATTGCCGTGCAGGTTTGGCTGGTCCTGGACAAAACCGCCTTCTCCAGAATGGGATTTAGAGGAAGACCCTTCTCTCTCTAATGTGACTGAGGAAAACAGAAGGAAGGTAGGCAAAGGAGATCTGCTCTAGGCCAGGCACAGTGGCTCACGCCTATAATTCAAGCACTTTGGGAGACTCAGGCGGGTGGATCACCTGAGGTCAGGAGTTCGAGATCTGCCTGGCCAACATGGTGAACCCCCATCTCTACTAAAAATACAAAAAAATAGCTGGGCGTGATGGTGGGCACCTGTAATCTGAGCTACTTGGGAGGCTGAGGCAGGAGAATTGCTTGAACTCGGAGGCAGAGGTTGCAGTGAGCCGAGATCGCGCCACTGCACTCCAGCCTGGGTGACAGAGAGAGACCCTGTCTCAAAAAAAGAAAAGAAAAGAAAAGAAAACAAAAAGACCTGCTCTCCAGTAGCCTCTGAGGCCCCAACTTCCCAGAATGGGAGTGTTGATCAGGACCTATGGTAAATGTTTCCTACTCCAGTCCAACAGCTCACTGGGCTAAACAAAAGAGGCCCTTCACAGCCTCGGGGCAGACCCACAAATATTTTTATTTAATTGGTTTGAGATGGGGCCACAGACTTTTTGGACTGGTCCCCAGGTGAATCACACGTACAGACAAAATTCAGAAGCACTGGGTTAGAGGGCCAGCATGAGGGCTAGAGTGAGAGTTCAGATACTGCAGGGAGAGGCTATGGGATTTCCTCACGGAAAGAGACCCAAGGGTGTGGAAGGCATTTTCTGGAAGATGACTGAGGTACTTGGTTATGGGCAAGACAGTCTAATTTACAAAAACATGATAAACCTCTCGAGCAAAGCTTTTCAAGCTGTGCACCCCAGAAGGTGTGCAAGATGAGCCATGACAACATATAAGAAAACAACTGAATGTAACATTTCCATTCTAATTTTTATAAAATTTCTTTGTTTTACTTATTAGTATAGTAGTGCATATGTATTATTTATAAATAAAGAAACATTTATTAGGAGTATAGCCTCAACATCATTTTACTAATGGGCATAAATAATTCTAAAATTTGGAAACTAGTGTTCTAAAGAAGGACCATGATTCCTCACTGAAGGCTCAGCTGAGAAAGCTGTGATAACCAGGCAAACCAGAGAGGAACTTCATCCAGTTGCCTGGTAAGAATGATGAATATTCTGGGTTGCTAAGAAAATACATCAGCCAGAAGGGAGCAAGAGAGGCTGCCCTGCTGGGGAATGTTTGGGAGACCATAAAAACAGAAGGTGGGAGCAACGAGAGGGCTCTTCATCGCTACTGTTAATAACAAAACAATAGCAACAAATGTAATACCTGCTCTTACTTACTGAATTCCCAGTAAGGTCAAGCACTGTGATAGGCACTTTTTGGGCATCACTGTTAATCCTCATGCTGTCATACCCATTTTACAGATTAGGAGGAAAAAAACCTTTAAAAACCATAAGTGGTGCAACACAGATATTCTACTCCAAACTCAATGTTCCTGACATTATGTCATGCAGTTTCAAGAGCATGGATCATGAGTGACATTAGGAAACTGAGAGAAGAAGCATATTATAGCACTTAGAGGGTATTATAGTATAACCAGGTTGTATTTATCAGCTGTCTTTTCTTTCAATTAAAATGCTAAAGGCCGGGTGCGGTGGCTCATGCCTGTAATCCCAGCACTTTGGGAGGCTGAGGCGGGTGGATCACGAGGTCAGGAGATCAAGACCATCATGGCTAACATGGTGAAACCCCGTCTCTACTAAAAATACAAAAAATTAGCCGGGCGTGGTGGCAGGTGCCTGTAGTCCCAGCTACTGAGGAGGCTGAGGCAGGAGAAGGATGTGAACCTGGGAGGCGGAGCTTGCAGTGAGCCTAGATTGCGACACTGCACTCCAGACTGGACGACAGAGCGAGACCCTGTCTCAAAAAAAAAAAAAAATGCTAAACTGTGGTTGATGTTTTCATAAACAGAGAATTGGTGCTAGCTTCCCAGGCAATTTGAGAGAATAGATTTTCCTGAGTGTAAGTAAACCTACAAGTTAAAAGAAGTGACATCCACTGGGAGACTCAGGCCAAATGTGATTTCTTCCATACAAAGTCAGGTTTATCAACTCCCTCCCCCCACCCCACCACACACAGAAACACACTTTTAATACTTGCTTTTACACTCTGCATCTGTGTTCACTTTTTCCATTGACCCTCCAACCAAATTTGTGGTTCTAAAGCTCTGACATCAACAGTGCATTCCTGAGGGTACTTCTCTAGGACTGTCTTCATTTTAAGTCTTTGCTCATAGGCACAACTGTAAACTTATAAGAAGTTTCAAGCAACTGTAGAGTAATAAGAATCAGATCTGTCCTGGGGTTGTGGCGGGGGTGGGCGGGGGAAGTGTGGCTCTTGAGTAGACAGAGACTTGGCATGACAGTCCTTGTTTAGGATTGGGACTCAAGAGATTCCAGGAAAGTCAGTGTCCCTTCCGTCCAATCACAGTGTGAGGCCCGGTGATTCTGGCCTTTTCTGCTCTATCATTCAGAAATGAAGTCTTTTCTGCTCTATCATTCAGGAAAGAAGTCTTTTCTGCTCTATCATTCTAGCTTCTTAGCCACCTTGTTGGTTTTTATGGATTTTCTTTTTACCCTGCTCCTGCCTAGCAAGAAAGAATAAAGAAAAGGGAGAGGAGGGGAGAGAAAGGAGCTGACTCTGCAGACCACAACTTTATAATTATTTGAATATAAAATTAGCTGGTAATGTCTCTCTCTTTATGCAGGCTATGAGATACATGATAGTTGTTTCTAGTAACATATGTTTTCTCATTTTTATCTTTTGAAATGTTGTTGAAGTATTCCTAACTTTTATGGCTATTAATGGAGGATGCTGCTACCATCCTACCCAAGGGCCCATTTTTCTAAATCCTACAATCCTCTACGAATGGAAGCAATAGCACTACAGTTAACACTCTAAATTGTACCCTTGTGCACACATACAGGCCTAAATCACTTGGCCTTATAGCCACAAAACACAATTAGGAAGGACTAAGGTCATCAAAAAAAATCCTAAATGCCAGTTCACTGCACAGCACATTCTATAGTCATCTTACTTACTTGTTCTTGATAAAAATGAATCCCAGCAGGGACTAGAATGGTGACCCTGATTGTGAATAATGGCACACATGCAGTGTCCCTCAATGGCTACCAGAAAACAACAGCATCAGTTAATAGCCTGTGTTGTCTCTTAACTGCCCATTGCCAGCAATAGGTTTTGCTCTATATAGTCTGGATTCCCAGTTTCAAGGGTCTTCACTCCTACCAGGCAAAAGTGCTGTAATGAGAACAAGCCAAGAAAGGAATGAGGCAGGCAACAAGCCAAAATCCAGGCAGTGTTAGAACAGCCTTGTCAGGGAAGCAGAGAAACAAATAATTGAAATTAGAAAAAACTAGATTTTCAGAGGAGTCTCATAAATCAGACTTGAAAATTTAATTTGAGAGCTTTTCTCTTTCTTTCATCATATTTTTTCCCCTCCTGGAGCTGTGCTACAGGCCTGAACAGAGGAAGTGGAATGTAATTAATCGATGTAAATCTGCTTCATTAATGGATTGCTACTCCCTGTGTTTCCTCTAGTCAAGAATGTTTCTGAAAGTGCTCTCTGACAACAATGCTATTCACAGTCTGGATAATGGTACCAAGCAGGAGAAGAAACGATGAAGTACTTGCATGAAGGGAGCCCATGTTTGCTATTGACTGGTAGAGAAATTTAGTTAGCTCATTAAATGTTCTGCTTACAAACCCTATTCATGCTTTTTAATCAATTGATACTTGTCCTCCTTTCTCACATTGATTAAATACCAGGAAGTCCTCACAAGATAGTGAGATGTGAAGTTCCCATTGCAGTTAACAAATGGTCCTAAGACCCTTAGAAAACACATGGTTGTGCATCTTTATGCCCACAGGGAATACGCCATTAATCTGAACTAATAAAGAGGAACAGCAGGCTAATCATAGCTCATTTATATTTGGCCCTGGAATGTGTTATGTGGTTTTTGGCAGAAGATTTACCTTACTAATTATGTCTTACTTAAATTAATAATACAGTTAATTTGCATTCCCTTAGCACACACCAATTGACAGTGAGAAGAAATGTGCTAAGTGATAAGGGGATATCATCTCGAAATTTAAAAGCTTCATTGAATAATTTGTGTATATATGTATGTGTTGACACTATATACATTTAGGACAAAAACTCTCAACATACTTTGGAAAGAGAAGTTAAAATTATGTGTGAAAATCGCTATCACCTTTTGGCTAATTTGCATCATCATTGTTTCAATATTTTATCTCACTACTTCTGAGACCAATAAATTAGAAAGTTAAACCTGTAATCAACAAATATGTGTATATGTAACCTACCATATCCTGAGCACTGTTCTCAGTATTGTAAAGGGATTTGAAGAAATATACAGTCATTACTCTGTTTCAAAGTGGGGACTGGTTCCAGGACCCCCATGGACACCAAAATTCATGGATGCTGAAGTCTCTGATATAAAATGATGTAGTATATGCACAAAACCTATGCACATCCTCCTATTTACTTTAAATCATACCTAGATTACTTATAATTTATAACTCAATGTATGTGTTATGCAAAATAGTTGTTATTGTACTCTGCATTGTATAGGGAATAATGACAAGAAAGGAAAAGTTTGTACATGTTCAGTACACACACAACTACTATAGACCTAACCACATTTTTCATCTGTAGTTGGTTAAATACATGGATATGGAACCCATAGATACTAAGGGCCAACTGTAGGCTATTTTCTATCTTAAGATCTAAAAATCTGGAGAAAGAAATATTAAGAGATCTAGCACTAATATGCTTTAGGTGATCTTTGCCTTGTTTGTAGAGACTACAACTCATTTACAAACCATCTCCTATAGACCTGGATTGCTGATGTGGGGAAGAAAAAATTAAGGGGTTTACCTTTAAGCAGAGTCAAGGAGGTTAAGACCAGGTATCTGATTTTCCAGTAAATGAAGTTGATGAACACAATAAACCCATGTATCATTGCTAAAGTGCTGTAAAGTAGAGCTTTAATGCCCTCTGTCAACTTAGAATCAAGAGTAAATATCCACTAGCAATTCTACACTGGTATAACAACATTGCCCAGTTACTCCACCTTTGAAATCTTCCCAGACGGACAGTTGTTCACCATGGCAGATATGAAGATTCAAATATGTTTGAGCTATACGAAGTACATGATAATGTAATGTTGATCTATCTGGTTTTGGATGCATGAAGCAATGGTCCAAACTTGGATATGGAAAGGAAACCTCACTTGTTTCACAAATCACAGGCATATTTGTTTCAGATATTGTAACACAATGATTTTCACCCCTCTCACTTTTAGCACAAGTGTTGCATAAGACCCTTGGAAGTTGGCCTAATACTAGAGATATCACTAAGTCTTTTTTATAATCTATTTCTGATTAATTAGTCCTTTAGGATAACATATACTTATCAATATCATTATGACATTGCAGGAAAAACAAAAGCGGTATGGGTGGATTCATCTCCTCTAAACTTCTTTCTTTATGGTCTTGAACAAATTACTAAATTGTAATGAGTAAAATATGTATGTTAATACCCACATTATAATGTAGTTATAAGAGCTCGACATAATGTATGTTGAGTGCTTTTGCAAAGTGCTTTATATTTTAGAAATACTCTCCTTTTAGTGCAGCCATACTTTGATTCTTTTTCATTGCAATGACATGGAAATTTCAGGACACAAAAATCAGAGTGGCCAAAGAATTTCATGGGTTCCTTTCAAAGGATAAAACAGGAAATTAGAAAGAATAAGTATGATATAATTCAAAATGTAAAGCCAATATCTCGCCAACTTATTAATACATAAAATTATATGCCAATCTTAACAGAAATGAATGCTACAACGTGGTTTGCTAAGCTAATTCAATAGGACTACATTAATAAAGTTCCTATAACAATTGAGATGGTAATCTCATGTTACAGTTGGCTAGTCTGGCCAATCCAACAATACTACATTCTATTTTGAACATCACTTGGAGTGGTATTACCAAAAAATAAACTGGAAAGCATTTAGACAAGAATGGCTCAGACAAGGTAAGAGCTAAAAGTAACCATTTGAAGGGACTATAAAATTCACCTCAGAGAAGAGGGAGCATATGGAATACATGAGGGCTGACTTCAAATATTTCAAGAGTTGTTGCCAGGAAGAACTTTAAACATAGAGTAACTGATGTTTAACTCATGCCGTGAACTCATCCACTGTATGTTTGAAAACCAGTAGCCCAGTAGCCTGTTGGGAAGACAGATTTGTTTCATATGTAAGTAAAGACAATTCTTCTTATTGAAAAAAGCATGGACATAAGATCTGATAAATCCAGCAGAAAATTTCACCTTCAATCAAGTAGCAATGTGACCCTAAATATAAAACCTCTTTGAGCTTATTTTTCCAAACTATAAATCATGTCAACAATAAGGCTGATACAAGGATTACCTAAGAGAACATGTTTAAAAGCACCAGCATAATGCTTTAAATTTCATAGATGTGTAACAAGAACTAATTCTAACAGTCATATGTCAAAGATGTTCAAAGATGGAATTGAGTGTTATGGGAGACAATAATTTTCCTATGCTAGAAATTGTTTAGGCAAAGGCTAAATAACCACTTGGAAGAATACAAAAGAGGAAAGTCAAGCTTCAGAATTAAAATTAGATTACTTTCAGGATTCCTTTCAACTCTAAATCTGAAGATCTTGTGATACAAACATTAAAAAAAAGTTTGCCTAGGAAAAAATATCAAGAATAGCAACAGTTATATCTACAAGAGTAGGTAAAAATTGACTAATATTTGAAAAATTAGTCTAGCTCCCTATTAAAGTATATAGTTTATTACTCTTTTAAACTAGTCAAGGGGAAAAAATAAATAATATTGGTAAAACTCAATGCAGATCATATTTCATTAAACAAGAACATCTTTCTTTGCCAGATGTATAGGTTAGTTATACACTTTCAGAGGATACTATGATAATGATCATATACAATAACCCAGTTGTCCCATTCTTTGATATTAATAATTAAAGCAATATTTCTTTTGGAGAAGTTATTCCTTTAAAAATTCAACTGGTAGGATAAATCTAATAGAGAAGTAGCACACAGCTAAAAACAGAAGTTTTAGTAAATTAATGAGTGGAATGTTGAATTCAGCAGTAGCTTTAACTAATGTTGTGAACTCATCCACTGTATATCAGAAAAATTTACAGTACGTTAGAAAATAATTTGTGAAACCAATAGCCCAGTTGTCTAGGAACAAATGCACATCAAGTAATAGGGAATATTTTTAATAAAATTTAGTAGATTATGGTGTAAGGTTTTATACACAAATGTAAAGGTTTTAATTCAAATGTGATAAAGGAGATGTTTGTGGATTTATTTAGGGTATAAAAAGCCACATTTTTAATATAAAACTTTATTAATGTGACGAAATTTTGGAATTAAAAGTAGTAGGACGCTTACATCATATCCCTCACTAAATGAAGGGCGTATTGTTTATGAAATAATGTTACATGAGAAAGAAGACAATATTGCACATACATATTAACAAAGTCCTTAGCTATCCATAAAATCTAGTTTTTCCTTCATTACTAGTAACAGATGTGTAGCTTTTGCAAGTGGCTACCAGAAACACTACATTTCCCAGTCTAGCTTGTAGTTGGAAGGAATCATGTGGCTAATTTCAGGAGAAGGTAAGCAGAAATAATGTGTGACACTGATACCTGTAAGACCAGCCCTGTATTTTTCTTGTACATTTAAGTTCCCTGTACACTCTGGATATTAGACCTTTGTCAGATGGATAGATTGTAAAAACTTTCTCCCATTCTATAGGTTATCTGTTTACTCTGATGATAGTTTATTTTGCTGTGTAGAAGCTCTTCGGTTTACTTAGATCTCATTTGTCAATTTTTGCTTTTAATGCAATTGCTTTGGGTGTTTTCATCATGAAATCTTTGCCCCATGCCTATGTCCTGAATGGTATTGCCTAATTTTCTTCTAGCGTTTTTATATTACAGTTTTGGGTTTTTCATTTAAGTCCTTTTTTATTTTTATTTTTATTTTTGGCAGAGTCTCACTCCGTCACCCAGGCTGGAGTGCAGTGGTGCAACCTCTGTCATTGCAACTTCTGTTTCCCGCGTTAAGTGATTCTTGTGCCTCTGGCTCTCGAATAGCTGGAATTATAGGTGTGTGCAACCATGCCCAGCTAATTTTTGTATTTTTAGTAGAGACAGGGTTTCACCATGTTTGCCAGGCTGATCTCGAACTCCTGACCTCAAGTGATCTGCCCACCTGGGCCTCCCAAAATGCTAAGATTACAGGCATGAGCCATGGCATCCAGCCTTATTTAAGTTTTTAATAGATCTTGAGTTAATTTTTGTATATGGTATAAGGAAGGTGTCCAGCTTCAATTTTCTGCATATGACTAGCCAGCACTCTCAGCATGATTTATTAAATAAGGAGTCCTTTCCCCATTACTTGTTTTTGTCAAGTTTGTCTAAGATTAGATGGTTGTAAGTGTGTGGTCTTATTTCTGAGTTATCTATTCTGTTCCATTGGTTTACATGTCTGTTCTTGTACCAGTGCTATAAAAAGTGGACATGAACAGACATTTGTCAAAAGAAGACATACATGGAGCCAACAAACATATGAAAAACAGCTCAACATCACTGATCATTAGAGAAATGCAAATCAAAACCACAAAGAAATACCATCTCATGCCAGTCAGAATAGCTATTAAAAAGTCAAAAAACAACAGATGCTGGCGAGGTTACGGAGAAAAAGGAATATTTTTACACTGCAGGTGAGAGTGCAAATTAGTTCAACAATTGCGGAAGACAGTGTGGCAATTCCTCAAAGATCTAGAGGCAGAAATGCCATTTGACCCAGCAATCCCATTACTGGGTATATACCCAAAGAAATATAAATTATTCTATTATGTTCACAGCAATGTGGATGGAATTGGAGATCATTATTCTAAGTGAAGTAACTCAGGAATGGAAAACCAAACATTGTATGTTCTCACTTATAAGTGGGAGCTAAGCTATGAGGATGCAAAGGCATAAGAATTATACAGTGAACTTTGGGGACTCAGGGGAAAGGGTGGAAGGGGGCGAGGGATAAAAGACTACAAATTGGATACAGTGTATATTGCTTGGGTGATGAGTGCACCAACATCTCACAAAAACACCACAAAAGAACTTACTCATGTAACCAAACACCATGTGTTCCCCCAAAACCTAAGGAAATTTAAAAAATTTTAAAATCATTCTATTATAGGCCAGGCGTGGTGGCTCATGCCTGTAATCCCAGCACTTTGGGAGGCTGAGGCGGGCGGATCACGAGGTCAGGAGATCGAGACCATCCTGGCTAATGCGGTGAAACCCTGTCTCTACTAAAAATACAAAAAAAATTAGCCAGGCGTGGTGGCAGGTGCCTGTAGTCCCAGCTACTGGGGAGGCTGAGGCAGGTGAATGGCGTGAACCCAGGAGGCAGAGCTTGCAGTAAGCCGAGATTGTGCCACTGCACTCCAGCCTGGGTGACAGAGCGATACTCTGTCTGAAAAAAAAAAAAAAAGATCATTCTATTATAAAGATACATGTATTCATATATTCATTGCAGCATGAGTCACAATAACAAAGACATGGAATCAACCTAAATGCCTGTTAATGATAGACTGGATAAAGAAAATGTGATACACATACACCATGGAATACTATGCAGCCATAAAAAGGAATGAGATCATGTCATTTGCAGGGACATGGATGGAGTTGAAAGCCATTATGCTCAGCAAACTAACGAAGGAATAGAAAACTAAACACTGCATGTTCTCACTTATAAGTGGGAGCTGAATGATGAGAACACATGGACACATTGTTGGAGGGAACAACACACACTGGAGCCTGTCGGCATGGGGTGGGGACAGGGAGTGCATCAAGAAGAACAGTTAATGGATTCTGGGCTTACTACCTAGATGATGAGATGATCTGTGCAGCAAACTACCATGACACATGTTTATCTATGTAACAAACCTATACATTTTGCACATGTACCCCTGAACTTAAAATTTAAAAAAAGACCAGTCCTGTCTTTTCACATTCCCCTGATCTCTTCCTATGAGCTGGAATAATAAAAACCAGAGTGATCTTTTATATCACATGGTGAATAAGGCAGAGGCACTACCAGAATAAGACCTTGAGTGACTATGTGGAAGGAAGGCACTGCTAACCCAGAATACTCATTTGCAATTGTTATGTGAGAAAAATACACTTCTATCTTGTCTGAGCTATTGAATCTTACTTTATTTGTTTCAGTAGTTTAGCATTTGACCCTAAAAACTACTCTGACTAAAACTATGCAAAAATGCATGTTTATCTAATCATAGAGATAACAAGAAGCCCTAGGAAAGTACAAAGTGATTGTTTTAAGGTAATATTTTATAAAATTTAAGTATTTTCCAATTATGTGACAACATTTCTTTTGGATAATTATTATGGATCAGTCAAGGGCCAAATACACAATAAATTGTTCAATAGATTCAGTCTTCCTCTGAAATCCAAGGAAGGCCATATATAAAAACAGGAGCAAATTGCTAGGGGAATTCATATTTGATTCCTAATTGTACATTTACCAGAAGAAAATTTGGCATTTGAATTGAGCATTTAAATTCACTACTATTCAACAGCAATCTGAATCCCCAAGTTCAATTAAAAAGGTCATTACCCTCTAGAACTGGAGGTGCTCTTTTAATTACAATATTGCTAATGAATTGGGAGACAAGACATTTTGGCTTAGTTCAATTAGCACATTTAAGTCAAAGCAAACTTCAGCCAATATGGGTGACTTTCCCAGTGGCATGCTTTTTCTTTATTCCCTCCTTCCCTCCCTCCCTTCCTTCTTTTTGTGTCTTCCCTACTTCCTTCTTTCCTCGGAAATTTAAGCATAACTCTGGCACGTAAGTCTCTCATTTCCATTTTATCTGTAAACTGCTGCAAAGCTGTTAATAGCTAAGGACCTACAACCACATTTTTGTTTTGCAAAACTCTTCAAATTTATATGAATATTGAGAAAACATTTTGATGAGAAATTTTTAACATAGCTTTCTGAAGCAGAGTAAAACATAAATTTCACTTTCCCTAGCTAAAACAATAATTATCCAATCACTTTATCATGGTGTATTGCACATGCTTTTGCTATGGGAAAGGGGGAAAAGTGAACATATTTAACACTTTGCTACCAACAATGGTTTATTGAGGTTAATTTATATTAGGAAAGTGGAGTTTCCGGATGACATTCCAAACTAAAGAATACTAATGAATAGCTCCTGAGCTCTGAGCTTTCCTGCCTGGCTAGAATTCACAGGACATGACCTTAAATGTAACAGTTTTTGGTAAAAAAGAGAAAATCTTCCCTTCAAAGTGATTTGAAAAGTTCAGAAAATTAGCTCTTATGCTCAAACTAATAGTAACAAAAACACTGCTACCAGATTAAATTTAAATAAAGTTCATAACAGCTGTTTGTAACATCTAGATTTAACTTTAGGGGAAATAATTGACTCAATTTGCCCAGGTTATTCTCTTCCTTTGCTATGCCAGTAAAGGGCTTGGAGAGGTTGCCCATGCAACATATCCTACAGATTTGAGTCAGCTAGACTAGGTGTTTATTCATTTATTCAGGAAATACACTGAGCAGCCTACTGTGAGCTTGGAGGTGGGCAAACAAAACAGAGAAAAATCTAGACCTCTCTCTCTCTGTAAATTGACATAAAGATAGTTTTAGCCAAGGAGGAACAATTTCCTTCTAATTTAGCACTACAGAGTGTTCTCCTTGGAAAAGCCATCCACTTGGCTTTGTACCCTGATTAGTCTGTTCTCACACTGGTAATAACGACATTCTCGAGACTGGTTCATTTATAAAGAAAAGAGGTTTAATCGACTCACAGTTCAGCATGGCTGAGGAGGCCTAGAAAACTTACAATGATGGTGGAAGGAGAAGCAAACAGGTCCTTCTTCACGTGGTGGCAGGAAGGAGAAGTACCAAGCAAAGAGGGAAAAGCTCTTTATAAAACCATCAGATCTCGTGAGAATTCAGTCACTATTACGAGAACAGGAGCATGGGGGTAACTGCCCCCAAGATTCAATTAACTCCCACTGGGTCCCTCCCATGACCCATGGGGATTATGGAAAATACAATTCAAGATGGGATTTGGGTGGGGACACAGCCAAACATTATCCCCTAAACAAAGTCATACCTTTTCTTTTTTTTTTAAAGAAACAGATTCTCATTCTGTTACCCAGGCTGGAGTGCAGCGACATGATCTCAGCTCACTGCAACCTCCACCTCCCAGGTTCAAGTGATTCTCATGCCTCAGCCTCCTGAGTAGCTGGGATTACAGGCACCAGCCACCGCGCCCAGCTGATTTTTGGATTTTTAGTAGAGACGAGGTTTCACCATGTTGAACTGGCTGGTCTTGAATTCCTGATCTCAAGTGACCCTCCTGCCTCAGCCTCCCAAAGTGCTAGGATTACAAGTGTCAGCCACCACACCTGGTCAAGTCATACCTTTTTAAAATATATTCTCCTTTATTATATTCAAGTAAGATATGTTCTTTAAAGAAAATTTAGAAAAAAAAGAAGAAAAAACAAATATCTTCTTTCTTTGCCAAAGCAAAAACTGCTAACATTTTTAAAATTTTCTTTCGAATTTCATCTCTTTAACTCTCTTGTGTGTAGTAGAAAAAAAAGTTGTAATTATATTGTTTTTTAAATTTGTGCTAAGTTTTAATGCAAACTTTTCATAAAACATTTAGTGGAAGCATATTCCTTAATTTATAACATATTATGATTTTTCTTATTGTTTTCTTCATTGCAGATTATAATTAAGATGATCAACTTTTCAGATAACACTTTCCTAGGAGAAGTGTTGAGTCAAAGAATAAATATGTATGTTTTTATTTTAAAGTATATATGTATACACGAACACACACAAATATATATGTATATATTTTTTATTTGTTTAATTTGTATTGTTAAAGGGCTTTTCCAAAAGATTGAAACAAATTATACTCCATCTAAAAAAAATGCTTACTTAACCTCACTCAGGTATATACATAATCCACAGCTTACTCAGATGTATATATAATTTTCTAATGAGTTAGGAAAATGATTACATGCCTAAGATTTTCTCTGTATTTGTAACTAAAGTATGGTGATTTGTGAAAAGCTTCTTTACATCTATTTTCTATTAAGATGTTGTTAAATTTTTTTGCCTATCTTTGAGGTTTCTTTTCAATGGCTTATTGTGTGTAAAATAAACCATGATAAAACTATTAGGTAATCTTTAAAAAACAATTTCTAAGAGTGCTGTACATATTAAAAATATGAACTTTATATTGGCCACATTTATTGCAAATATTTTCCCAGATATAATTAGTTTTAATTTTATTTATGACATGTTTTACCAAAAAGTACAAGTTTTATATAACTAATTGTGATGTATTTCTTATATCAAGATGTTAACCAATATTTTTTATTCAATTCTTATTTTTCACTTCTGATAAATTTCCATGGTATTTGTCTCAAAGCTCCACATAATTCTCATCATTCCTTAAAAAAAAATATTGACTTTTTAAAGAAACTTCTTTTACTTATTGAATTTTATTACTCATTCCAAAAATGGTTAATTTTCTTCTCTCTCTTTTCTTCTCTCTCTCTAAACATATAATCTAAACAACACCTTTTAAGTTGTTTTTCTTCTCCAGTAATTATCTTCCTTATTTCCACTCTTATCACAGAAGCCAAACTTCCAGAACTATATAAAATAATAATAATAATGGGAATCTGAACTATTAGTTGTTAATATAATATTGATATTTTTCAGCATGTTAAGAAAATACCTTTTTATTTCTAAATTTCTCAAAAGTATTTTGTTGGTGGTGCTGGTGGAGAACTATTTTTACATTTAAAGCCAGAAATGATTAGTTATATAAAACTCTGACTTTAAATGTAAAAAAGTGCATTACATTATGAATTTTATTACAGCCAGGCATGGTGGCTCACACCTGTAATCCCAGTGCTCTGGGAGGCCAAGGCGGGTGGATCACAAGGTCAGGAGTTCGAGACCAGCCTGGCCAACATGGTGAAACTCTGTCTCTACTAAAAATACAAAAAATTAGCCGGGCGTGGTGGCAGGCGCCTGTAATTCCAGCTACTCAGGAGGCTGAGGCAGGAGAATCTCTTGAACTCGAGAGGTGGAGGTTGCAGTGAGCTGAGACTGTGCCACTGCACTCCAGCCTGGGCAACACTGTCTCAAAAAAAGGAAGACTGTTTCAAAAAAAAAAAAAAAAGAAATTTTATTACATTACGGAATCTTTTTTAAGGCATTTGCAATATATTCAGTGGCTAGCTTTGCAAAAAGTTCTTATGAATTTGTTTTATAGATAAGATGTTCAATATTGTCAGCATTTTTTGATTAAATATCTTTTTTATCTTTTATTGATAAAACAATATTTTTTATTATATATTATTAAAGTAAGTTATTCTGTATAACAGACTAGGCAACAGTGAAAGTTTTCTAAATGCTTTCTTGATTCACCTTAATATTGAATTTTGCTATCTATAATAAAAAATTCTATAATTATTACCTTTTTGTTATCTTTGTCAGGCTTTTTATAAGGTAATAATTATAGAATTTTTGGGGAAAATAAATCAATTGGTAGCTTTCCATACTTTTGCATGTCTTACAACAAATTCTATAGCATAGGAATAATTCTTTTAAAAACCCTAAATACTTTGGGACCAAATTCTTATTTAGAGGTAACTAACATTTTGATACTACTCATGACTAATGGTACATTAAGAATGTTTTTATTTTCTGGCTCAATTTAGGTAGTGTATATTTTCTCAGAAAAATGGCTTCTGAGACCTTCAAACATACTAAGATTTAATTTTACATAATATTTCCTTATTTTAAAAAGTTATTCTTAATATATTTCCATTTTAATTTATAACATTTATAACTTTATATATATTTACTCTTACTATTTGATTCACTATGGGTCAGTCTTGTTTTGTTTGAAATAACCAGAGTTGATTAAGTTATCAACTCTTCTGATACCTTTCTTCTAATAAATAAATTCTTGCTTTTATCTCCATCATTGTCTTTCCTCCATTTTCTTCTACTTTTTTAATTGAAGAGGATATTATAGAAGAAATTGTTATTTCTTCACAATTCTTCCTTAGCTCTCACTCTTGCCATGGTTCACTGTGGGCAGAGTAAATTCCTTGGCTCCACTGACCTAGGCCTGACCATGAGAGTTGCTTTAATAACATTTAGGTAGAAAAGAAGTTGTGTCACATCCAAATAGGGGCTTTATGGAGCATTCCATGTGTCCCTCTCCACGTGTCTTGTGTTCTTACCCTTGCCTTGGGAACATGCTTCCCATTTGGCGGCTGATCCTTCAGTCAGCATCCCAGAAATAGAAAAATGCATAAAGCAGACATCAGTCCAACCTGCAGAGTGCAGTTGAGCCACAGCGCCCAACAACGACCCAGCCTCTCTTATTCAACGTGCTGGGAAACAAACATTTATTACAGCCATTGAGATTCTGTACTGTCATGGAGGAAGACCTAGTGAAAAGTGACGAATACTTTTTTTTTTTTTAGACTGAGTCTCGCCCTGTCGCCCAGGCTGGAGTGCAGTGGTGCCATCTTGACTCACTGCAACTTCCGCCTCCCGGGTTCAAGCAATTCTCCTGCCTCAGCCTCCCGAGTAGCTGGGACTACAGGCGCACGCCGCCACACCCGGCTAATTTTTTTTTTTTTTAATTTTAGTGGAGACTGGGTTTCACCATGTTGCCCAGGCTGGTCTCGAACTCCTGAGCTGAGGCAATCTGCCTGCCTCGGCCTCCCAATGTGCTGAGATTACAGGAGTGATCTGCCGCACCCAGGCAACTAATACAATTTTACATTATTCTTTCTATCATTATAAATTGAACCCCTTCTTTATGCTCCATCTTACCTGTTTATTAATAATAAGGCTAAAATTATGCCACTGTGTACAGCTTTGTAAATGGGCCAAAAATTTAATAATTTTATGTTAAAACATTCTAAAAGTATGAAATTATAGTTATTATTTCCTATTTGACCTAATATATATTTACAATATATATTTTAAAATTTCTATCTGTGTGCTTTTATCATTTAATCCGTATTATTCGTTTACAGCATTCTTGCAGTGTTTTCAGAGAGATGTGGTCTTACAATTTTTGAGTTTTCAAATAGATTTAGGTTGCTTATATGGCTTACAATGTGATATTTTAAAATCACATTACTGTTTTGGTAAATAGTTGAAAAACATTTGATTTTTAATAACACTTTAAATGTTTTAAACTTAATCTGAATATTTGAATTTAATTTGGGATATAAATCTATGTGCCTTGATTATGATGACTGGTAAGATTCACTTTATCTCTGCACTGTGTGCTTTAATTTTCTTCAGTGATACAAAACCAAAACATTCATATCCTCCTAAATTTTTAAGCGCATTCTTAAACCATTTCCTCTGATTAACAAATTTATGAAAAATACAAAAACATTGGCCTGTGCATGTTTCATCCCCCAACACACACTAGTGTAAAATAATTTTTTATTTCTAGTTCACTTAAATTTTCAGTATTTGACAAGATATTTTGAGGATACAGTTGTTGATTATGACTGTTTAATGGCCAAACTTTTCATATATTTATTCTCTGGGAATTTTTTTAACATTTGCAAAATATTCCGTGGCCAGTGTTGCAAAAGTTTTTAAAAATCTTTATGTTGAACTGGAATCATGCCCACACCACTGTATATATGTTATTTAATTCTCTAGTTCTTAGTTGCCGCATTCTCATTTTTCATTTTATTGGAGCATATTTTCAAGTAGGATTATTCAAAAATGATTCATCAATGATATATGTTTTGAATCCTTTACAATTTCAAGAATGTCTTCACATAGAAATGACAACATGGCTACATTTATAAATATTGAAATGCAATTTTTTTCCCTGTGAGACTCCATATAAGTGACTTCTTCTAGCATTTATTATGGTGCAAACTTTGAATCTAACTTAAAAGTTGTACTTTTTTTTTTTTTTGAGATGGAGTCTCGCTCTGTCACCAGGCTCGAGTGCACTGGTGTGATCATGGCTCACCGCAACCTCTGACTGCCTGGTTCAAGTGATTCTCCTGCCTCAACTCCTGAGTAGCTGGGATTACAGGCATGTGCCACCACACCTAGCTAATTTTTGTATTTTTAGTAGACATGGGGTTTCACCATGTTGGCCAGGATAGTCTCGATCTCGTGACCTTGTGATCTGCCCGCCTTGGCCTCCCAAAGTGCTGGGATTACAGGCATGAGCCATCGCGCCCGGCCAAAATTTGTGCTTTTAAGTAACATCCTTCTCTTCCCTGCACTGAAGGATATGACTTTGTTATTGACATTTTAAAAATCTAACAGTATATTCTAGGCATAGGTCTTTTTCACCAGCTTTCCATGAAACATAGTGATCCTTTTAAACTTACAAAGCCAAAATCTTATTAGTTCTATAATAGCTGTTTTATTATGACTTTGATTATTCTTTTTGGTCAGTTTGTTTTGGCTTAATTCCCAAGGATTGTCAGCTATCTACAAATTGCATCTTTGTTTTCTTTCCTTGATATCTATTATGTTTTTGATTGATCTGCATTCTTAATGTACTTTTCAAAGTTGTTCTTTAAGTCACTGACTGCATTTCATAGTTAGCTGATTCTGTTTTTACCACCTCCAATGAATACTTTTATCAGTTTGATGTATTCTTTCTAATTTTCCTTCTCATCCCATATTTTTTATGCTCACAAGCTGCATCTCTGCAAATGACAACTTTGTATCATCTTTAATCTCTTCTGTAGTGAATTTGTCTTTTCTGGTTCTTTATTGAAAAAGCAAATATACATTCTAGAAAAAATATGTTTCTAAAATAATTACTTCTGTTTGCAATGTTAGGACATCAAATTTTTCTTATGTTAGCTCTTTCTGTAGAAAGAGTTTGGTCTTCATCGATTTGAACAAGGGGATCTTTACCCATATACACGTTTCATGTAAATAAGTGTATGTATTCATTTTAATCTCCATCACTATTTCCCTGTGTACATCCAGATATTCCTTTTCTGATCTTGTCAATGAAACCCAGATTAAGTGAGATTGTATCATCTCCTGTTTCCCTAATCCTTGCAGTAAAGTAGGTGTATTTATTTCTGGATAATTTTAAGCAGCCTGAAATTATTTTCTTCTATTTCCCGCACTACTGGTATTTTACAGTTCTACTTATAATTTGCTTTATAAATGTGTTGTGTGGTTTTCCCAACCCTTTTCACCTCTAAACATGCTGTATGGAAGTTGCAATCTCCAGAATAGAGGAAGAAAGATAGTGATGTGTGAGGGGGATGTGGAGGAGGATACAAAATAAATTTCAGTCATCTCAGTCACCCATAGACCTGGGATTATCACTAAATTCTCTAGATATATACAGAGATTATAAATCTCTGAACAAAAGATCCAGAGTGGGGATGAATGAAAGACATCTCCCACCCATTCTAATCACTTCTGGATCCATTCCATCTCTACTGTATTTAGAGCAATGGTTCTCAAACTTTAGTGTCCATCAGAATCACCTGGAGGACTTGTAAAAACAAAACAAAACAGATTGCTGTCACACTCCCAGACCGTCTAATTTAATAGGACTGTGGTGGATCCTGATAATTTGCATTTCCAACAAGTCCCAGGTGATGCTGATGCTGCTGCTCTGGGCACCAAATTTCAGAATCCCTAACTTACAGCAATTCTTCCAAGGGAGCTCAATCACAGATTGAAATATTTTTTAACTTTATATCAGTGTGTATTTTCACAGCTATCCCACGAGCATGTAAGGAAAGGTGAATTAAGCATCCACAGCTAGTGATTTAGTTAAAATATGTTATGTTTATATATATTTATTTACATTATTTATGCATTTTACTATTAGATTTCTTTTTAAGATTATCTTATATATAGATAGCTATTTAAAAGCTAGTTGGAAATGAAATGTGTTTCATTGTCTAATAGAACCATTAAAGGTACATTGTTAAGACTAATTTGTAACGTACTGGCCATTATATCTGGAATAAACTTGTTTTTAGTGGGGGATTAAATAAAAATTTCCTAATACAAAAATTGAGCTAAGTCTGATTGGGGAAAGTACAGTTGTGTGTTTGTGTGTGTGTGTGTAGACACAAACATATACATAAAATATATACATATGTGTATACATATATATCTGAGAGACTTGCTAAAGTTTATACAAAGAAAAATTCTAATTTCTGGCTGTGTGTATTAAAACATGAAGAACAAAGCCCTCCTGAGACAACATTAAGCACGTGCAAGATAACGTGGGAATGGAGTAGGAAAGGTGTTTGTTCCTGGCTGGCCAGATTCAGATCATTTGGGGAATCATGTCTTGAGTGCAGAATTGTGGGTCACTGTGTTTCTCTTTCTCTTTGTTGCTTTGAGTTATTAAACAAGAGCGGGGGACTTTATTAAAAAGAAAATGGTATTAATGTTTTAGTCCTGTTAATATCTTGAAAGTTGTTTCCCTAAGAGTGACCAGACATGGTGAGACTTTACTCAATCAGCAAGAATACCACCATGTACTTTAATAATGAAAGAAATTAGGCTGGGGCTATTGTAAGAACAGTTTCTGAATGACGATGCAAAATATAATAAACACAGAAGTCCCACACTGGCACAGCATCTGTGAGGCTCTGGGGTTTATGCTCCCTAGGTTTAGAAGATTTTATGTTTCAACTCCACAGACAGACATTTTCAGACTACCTTTATGTGATTACACTGTAATATTCAATTTTGTCAAATTATTTTTCTTTCATGCATTGAATTAGTCCCTTTTTCCTAATTCTCTTTGGAATTAACAAATTTAGATTTTCCAGCACATGGCAGTTCCATTTAAGTGGAATAAAATAAGCTCTGTTCATTTCTCTTTTGCTTTCTACAGTTTGCTTTTCTCTGTGTGAAAATGCTGTTTCTTTTTCAAATGTATTATTATTCTCACAGACACAAACAGAAGCTCCTTTTGCAATTGACTTGCCTCTCTTTCTGCCATTACAAAATTATCACTATGGTAGTTTCATGAGTTAGAAGATAAGTATGATTAAATTCCACTTGACCTTGTTTAACCCTTCATTCATAGAACACTTCCTAGAGCAAGGGATTTTGAAGCTGAAATATCTCTTTGAAGCTGATACATAATATGGAGAGGAAAAGCAATCTTGCCTTGAACTTTGAAAAGCTTACAATCTAGACTGTGCCACTGTTCTAAAAGCGTGGTCCATGAACATCATAGGTATCACTTGTGGATTTGTTGGAAATGCAGATTCATGGAATCACCTAGTGAAACAGAATTTTTGTTTAAACAACCATTCCAAATACACTATTTTATAAAATCCTTTAGGTGATTCTTATGCATATTAGGTTTGGAGGCTACTGCTATAATCAAAGATAAATTATGATTAGATTTTTTAAATGATATCTTAGTAGATTTCAGAAGTGAAAGCAATGCCTTCTGGTGCAGATAAAGGAAGTCTTCTGGCACTTGAACTGAAAGTAAAGAAGGCTTTTTCTGGGTTATGATAGTGGATCAATGGCTAGGTGGAAGGGAAGAGATGATACAAGCAAATTCCCAAGGCCAGGAAAACACAGATGTATCATTGCATAGGGGGCAGGTAAGTCAAAATACAAAGTCTAAAGACATTACCAAAGTACTTTGTGAGTACCATGGAAGAAAACGTCTGATACCAGCAAGAGTGAGGGGAGGCCTCACAGAGCAATTTATATAAGGCTGGGCCGAGATGGGTAATTTCAATTTACAAGTCATCTAAACTGACGGCTGGGAAAACACAAATTCAGATTTTCAGAGCGGAAGAGACCTTCAGGATAAACTAATACAATTCACTACACAATGCATGGATTCCTCCTCTACAACAGGTTGGATGAGTGTTTGGCCTTTGCTGGGTTCTACTGCACATTCACTAGCATTGCGGGAAGTCAGGGACCCCGAATGGAGGGACTGGCTGAAGCCATGGCAGAAGAACATAAATTGTGAAGATTTCATGGACATTTATTAGTTCCCCAAATTAACACTTTTATAATTTCTTACACCTGTCCTTACTGCAATCTCTGAACATAAATTGTGAAGATTTCATGGGCACTTATCACTTCCCCAATCAATACCCTTGTGATTTCCTATGCCTGTCTTTACTTTAGTCTCTTAATCCCGTCATCTTCATAAGCTGAGGAGGATGTATGTCGCCTCAGGACCCTGTGATGATTGTGTTAACTGCACAAATTGTTTGTAGAGCATGTGTGTTTGAACAATATGAAATCTGGGCACCTTGAAAAAAGAACAGGATAACAGCAATGTTCAGGGAACAAGAGAGAGAACCTCAAACTCTGACTGCCGGTGAGCCAGGCGGAACAGAGGCATATTTCTCCTCTTTCAAAAGCAAATGGGAGAAATATCGCTGAATTCTTTTTCTCAGCAAGGAACGTCCCTGAGAAAGACAATGTGTCCCTGAGGGGAAGCCTCTGAAATGGCCGCTTTGGGGATGGCTGTCTTTTATGGTCGTAGCTGTGGGATGAAATAAGCCCTGGTCTCCCATAGCGCTCCCAGGCTTATTAGGATCAGGAAATTCCCGCCTAATAAATTTTGGTCAGACCAGTTGTCTGCTCTCAAACCCTGTCTCCTGATAAGATGTTATCAATGACAATGCATGCCCGAAACTTCATTATCAATTTTAATTTCGCCCAGGTCCTGTGGTCCTGTGATCTTGCCCTGCCTCCATTTGCCTTGTGATATCTTATTACCTTGTGAAGCATGTGATCTCTGTGACCCATACCCTATTCATACACTCCCTCCCCTTTTGAAAATCACTAATAAAAACTTGCTGGTTTTACGGCTCAGGGGGCATCACAGAACCTGCCGACAGGATGTCTCCCCCGGACACCCAGCTTTAAAATTTATCTCTTTTGTACTCTGTCCCTTTATTTCTCAGACCGGCTGACACTTAGGGAATACAGAAAAGAACTTATGTGAAATATCGGGGGTGAATTTCACCCAATACACCAGGATTCTCTCATACATTAGGAAGATATCTAATTATCAAGACAAAGCGTCCTCTTCTGGTGTTCTCAATTTCTGTTTATTTGTTTGACATTTTTACCTGCTCATGAGTCAGTATCTCTGGTGATGGAATATTTTAATATGTAAACATCTTACCTTTTAACTATACTGCTCAGATAGTAGGTTTATATTTTACATCATTTCCTCTGCCCCTGGTTTTCTACCGTTTATACATGATTTTTTTTGAATAACAACCTGAAAGACCAAAGCTCTAACTTATTTTCATTGATATGGAGTAAAGTGGTATACATTTAAATTATGTATTGGACATAAGATCCAAGATTTTCCAACACACAAACCGAGAATGCATTTACCTTCTTGGTATGATCACAGGAGCACCAACATGACTGGCTGACCCCAAACACCTCCCCACTGGCTGATTATAATAGACATGTAAGATACATGTATTTTACAGGGATAAACTTGTAATATTCTTTCAGACATCTAAAAGGTGAACAGGCATCATTGTATCCATGTAGATACAGAATAGTACCTAATCTCTAAAGAGGAAAAACCCTTAGAATTAGAGGAAAAGATCGTACAAATTTACCCTCTGCAAATAAAATTAATAAAGTCATCAGCATATGACTTTTTACCTAGATATAGACATTTACTTATATGTAAATTAACCCTTAATATGAGATATTGCAAATATTTTCTGAAAATATGAGACTTTATCTGGGTTTATCTGAGATACTCTAAACCCATTTTGGGGAGATACTAGAGTATATTCTTGAACAGACCTGACTTGCCTATTTCTGCTTTAAGGAAAACTATAATCCACCTAATTGGATTGTAACATGTCTGGTGTGAGGTACTTCTAGTTATTCATAAAGGGGAAAACTGTATAGGAAGAATGCATTCAGAAAGAGTAGAAATGAGATCCATAGAAAGAAGGAGGAGGAGGTCGGGTGTGGTGGCTCATGACTGTAATCCCAGCACTTTGGAAGGCCAAGGCGGGTGGATCACTAGGTCAAGAGATGGAGACCATCCTGGTCAACATGGTGAAATCCCGTCTCTGCCAAAAATACAAAAATTAGCTGGGCACAGTGGCGTGTGCCTGTGGTCCCAGCTACTTGGGAGGCTGAGGCAGGAGAATCACTTGAACCAGGGAATCAGAGGTTGCAGTGAGCTGAGATAGTGCCACTGCACTCCAGCCTGGTGACACAGTGAGATTCCATCTCAAAAAAAAAAAAAAAAAAAAAAAAAGGAAAGAAGGAGGAAGAGGAGGAAAAGCAGAAAGAGGGAAGAATGAATGTAAACTGCAGGTGGCAGGGCTTTAGTCTGCAAGAAACTGACTACTATGACAGAGCAAATGCACGCTCTCAGACCTATGAGCTTCTAAAATGATCCGAATCCATGCTGAAAAAGGAAACTTTGGATCACTTTTTAGGTTTTACAAATAATCTTCATGCACCAAGAACTGATATGATCAATTTGTTAAGGTTTGCTTGTCTATTTAGCTCTTCTTAGTATAGTTTTTATTCCTTTGAATTGGCCAAAAATACTGTTTCTTCAAATAATTAAGGACTCTATGTCTTTTGCACATGACATTCTAATTTGGATCAAAGAATTAAGTTTTGTTTTTGTTTTAGTGTTAGAAGCACCTTATAGATCATCAACTTCCATATTTTTAATGAAAAGGTTAACATTTTGTCAAGATCACTCAACTAGTTAATGAGAGCATTGGGGTTAGGACATTGGGGTTGTCCTGTCTTGTGATTCAGGACAACTCTATTTCCAGTGCTCCATATCACCTATTTCTAGACAGTATCTAATGATCACTGGCTTCTTAGAGGTTAGTAGAGAAAAGTTGTTTGCCTTGCATTTATATTTTAAATATTTGACTTTATTTCAGGATAATGTTATTATATAATTGGCTAATTTGCTTAGTTTAAAATCTCAAATACTGTTTTATAAGGATTATTGTCTAATCCATACCCCTAAAATAAAATGCTTACCAAATGGCATAGAGAAAAATAATCAGTGTAATTAAGCCTCTTTTGTGTATGAATAAATGAAACTCCTGAATCTGAGGTATAATCACTATATCTTTAGGAGTTCTAGGGTTTTTATGTTGAGGAATAAATTGTAATAAAATATTTCAGAAGTCAGCACCCAAAAATGATTGTTTAATGACCTTTGAAATATCTTACTTGATTTCAAGGTGCTAAATTGTTTTAACTACACTAACACAAAAGCTCTTTAAAAGCTAAGAGTCACAATTCAAGACCGTGGGTTCATTATTTTATATGGATTGGCACAAACTCAGTCACCTGTTCACAGCCAGCTCCACCCCCAGCGCTTCTCAGCTCTCATCCACCATGCTGTCATCACATTCTTAGTTTTCAGTCAAACAAGGTCTGGAGCTCTCTTTACACTGCATCATGTTAACATCTTATTTGTTAGCTTCAAGTGTAATGCCTGTTCAAGTTTGGCATATGCAGAAGTAACCACATAGGTTCTAAATATTTTAAAACTTGATGTAAAAAGTCCAGATTACCTCATATTTAGTTATTCTGTGATTGGCCAAGGTCAAACAGTAAACTTGGTAAAAATCACACCAAAGAACAAGCTTATCTGCTGGTATTAACTCTACCATTTAAAAATACATTGTCAAGGTGTGCAGAATATCTAAAGGACTAAAGTTTCTGCTCACCATCCCTTAAAAGCCAGGCCTGCTGACAAAGGATGTGCTCCATAAGTGTCTGCATTTATTAAATCATTTAATTAATTGTAGAATGGCTACTATATGTCCCATACATGGAGGATCTAATGGTATATAATGCAGACAGCCTTTTTTTTTTTTTTTTTTTTGAGACAGAGTCTCACTGTGTCGCCCAGGCTGGAGTGCAGTGGTGTGATCTCGGCTCACTGCAAGCTCCACCTCCTGGGTTTACACCATTCTCCTGCCTCAGCCTCCTGAGTAGCTGGGACTACAGGCGCACATCACCACACCTCGCTATTTTTTTTTTTTTTTTTGTATTTTTAGTAGAGATGGAGTTTCACTGTGTTAGCCAGGATGGTCTCGATCTCCTGACCTCGTGATCCGCCTGCCTTGGCCTCCCAAAGTGCTGGGATTACAGGCGTGAGCCACAGCGCCCGGCCCACAGACAGCCATTATTTTAAGTGCTGATAACATAGCTGGGAAGAAAAGACACACAATATTATCCATGATAAGGCATTAGATAATAAGTCATATTAATGGTATTTACAATTGAGATATCTGGTAGTCAGTTAACCTTCCACCAACTAACTATATGCCATCGGCATGTTCCTTAATTTTCTTGTTTGCCAAATGAAAAAGAAATGCAAACTAGAAGGTCTGTTAAGCTTTTCCATCTCTCTGGCTGTCTTCGGTCCAATCAGACGTAACAAAGTTGGTTTTGCCATTGGGAGCAAATGCTAACAAATAATACTAGATAATATTAGGAAAACAAATTTCAAGGTAAAAATTATTAGTGAAGACAAAGACAAATATTTTATGAAAGGTATAATAGAAAACAAAAGATTATGGACTTTGAATCCATTTAGACCTAGTTTAGACCTAGGTACAAATTCTAGCTCTACTATCTTCTAACAGTGTGATGTCAAAAAGCTGATTCACCATTCTTAACATTCTATAAAATTTGGCAAATAATATCTAACTGAGATAAAGCCTGTAACATAGTCTGGCATGCAAAAGCATTTACACAGGATAGCTATTAATATTACTACAAGTATTATTTGCATAGCATTTTTTTTCCTTTTCTAAGTCCTCACACATTAGCTATGTCATTTTATCTTCACAACTACTCTGTAAAGTGGTATTGTCCCCATTCTGCATTTGAGGAAATGGAATCACAAAGAGGTTCACTCACTACAATAGGTAACTATAAGTGGATACCTTCTATGTCTCTCTACACAAAAATTGTGGTAGAGAGAGAGAGAGATGAAGGTGAGAGTCCCTTGACTCCCCATAAGTATCAAATTTTGCACAACTATTTTTCTCCCAATAAGAGTCAATCCTAAAATGTCTGCACTCACAACTTTAAAAATATTCCTTTTCTATGTTGCCAAAAATGGATGCAGTGTGTGTGTGTGTGTGTGTGTGTGCGTGCACACACATGTGCACAAAGGAATGCAGTGTCATGGAACTGCGATTAGTAATTAGTAGGGATTATTCATGGCATACTTTATAGATTTTTAGTCAGTAATGTCAAGATGTTTTCCAAGAGAAAAAAAAAAGTCTTTTCATCAATATAATGGAGATTAAAAGCATAACAGAAATAAAATGCTGGTGAAATGTATTTTATACAAAGGCATAATAGCCAAAGTCAAGTGACAGAGCCAGGAATAGAACCTAATTCAAATGTTTTGACTTTATTTCACTTAAATGTTGCTTACAAGCTTAGAAAGTATATATTGTCTCGGGCCTTAATGCTTTTTAATTTTTTACTGTGTGTTCATATCTTGGATAGAAAAGGCACTCAGTCTGTTAACAAGGTCAAAATAACTCCTTCCTACTCTTAGGAAAATAATAAATAAATTTGAAATTCTTCAAGACTAAATGGTTAATAGCAGCCACACTTGTGAGTAGGAAGTCTGCCTTTAAATAATGATCACAACCATGGAAATCTTGAGACCTGTCTAGCTCCGGTAAAACTGCCTGCAGGTCACACTCTCACTGCATCACTACAATCCTGTTTTAATGCAGCAGGTAGCTTTATAGCTGTGAATTTTCTGAACATAAATTGAATTATGGAAAACTGACCTATGCACGTCACTTAGCTACCTTCCAGTCATAACTCAGATCTAATCTTTCTTAGCTCCCCGCAGAAAATGTCTAAGACTGACCACAAATTCCAGAAATTACATGTGGGTTGGTCATGGGAATGTGGTTTTCATATACTGGGGGATTTAGAAAACAGGACTCCAAAAGCAGAGTCACCTGGGCCTGTGATGAATAACTACTCTGGTGTGGGCTGTTCTGCTCCAGTTCTTAGGAAGGAAGGTATCCTAGAAACAAGCAAAGAAATAGATAAATCCTGGGTGATCCCTATGCTTTTCCTCATTTATCTTCCTCTTGCTTTCTAAAAAAGGTTTATAACAATCATAAAAATAATACAATTACGTCCACAGTGAGGGGATTTTTTTCTCCACTGGCACCAACTCATAGGTCAAATGGGAGATTCATACTGACAAGAGTCCAGACTTCTCTACACAGCAGAATTGACAGTGACAGTCCATTTCTTAAAGAAAGCTGGTGTCTGTGCTTCCTGCTGTCAGTCCTTACCACAGAGCTCATCGACTCTGGCATCAAAGGTATCAGCACCATCTCATGCCAAACCTATACGAGGGAATCTAACTGCAAAGGGGCTTTGGAAATTGAAAAAGTTTGATTACAAAAAACGTTCGAATCTGGAGATTAATAACCTTCAAAGTTCTGAAAACAAAAATGTGAGATCCATTTGTGTGTCTCTGTGTTGAAAAAGCAATTCCGCAGACATTTTCACTGACTTCAAGGTTACCTTTTTTAAAAATTATACTACTGCTTTCATGTTTCTGTTCTGCTCCTTGCCAATGTAGTTAAAAATTGTTCCATTTTTGAAATCAGATAAATCTGCTAATTTGAGTGTGACTGTCCTCTTGTGGCTGCTTTCCTAGGTATATTTTATAGCTGACAGATGTACTGCAGCTCCTATATAATTAATATCCTGGAGTTTCTATGTTTAAACAAAAATGCTTAAATCATATTATTTAACTGTTGATCAGAGATAAATTAAAATTTTCATGAATAAAAGACATTTTTAAATGGGACATTGTCTCAGCATTTCTTTTATCCCACCAGATGTTCATTTTACCTGAGATTTGTTAAATGAATAAACCAATTAACAATTAATAAAATAATTAATTAATTCAGTTTATTTTTAGAGCAATTTTAGGTGCTCAAAAATTAAGCAGAAAGTACAGAGAGTTCCCATACACCCCTGTCCTCACACACAGACAATATACCCCTCTGTCTATATCCTGCACCACAGCGGTGCATTTGTTACAATCGATGAACACTGACACTTCATTATCACCCAAAGTCCATAGTTTACATAAAGATTTTCTCCTAGGTTGGGCACGGTGGCTCACACCTGTAATCCCAGCACTTTGGGAGGCCAAGGCGGGCGGATCACCTGAGATCAGGAGTTCAAGACTACCTGGCCAACATAGTGAAACCCCATCTCTTCCAAAAAAAAAAAAATACAAAATTAGCCAGCCATGTTGGCAGGTAGTCACCATGTAGTCCCAGCTGTCACCTGTAGTCCCAGCTACTTGGGAGGCTGAGACAGGAGAATCACTTGAACCCGGGAGGCAGAGGTTGCAGTGAGCCAAGATTGTGCCGCTGCACTCCAGCCTGGGCAACACAGGGAAACTCCAACTCAAAAAAAAAAAAAAAAAAAAAAAAAAGAAAAGGAAAGAAAGAAAGAAAGATATTCTCCTGGTGTTGTACATTGCATGCGGATTGACAATAATAACATGTATCCACCGTTGCAGTATCCTACAAAACAGTTTCACTGCCCTAAAAATCTTCTGTGCTCTACCTCCTCACCTCTCCCTCTTCACTATCCCCTGGCAACCACTAATCTTTTACTGTCCACATAGCTTTGTCTTTTCCAAATGTCATATTGTGGAATCAGATAGGATGTATCCTTTCAGATTGGCTTTTTTCACTTAGTAACTATGCATTTCAGTTTCTTCCATGTCTTTTCATGGCTTGGTAGCTCATTTTTTTGTGTTGAGTAATATTCCCATTGTCTGGATATACCCCGGTTTATTTATTCATTCACCTACTGAAGGACATCTTGATTGCTTTCATGTTTTGGCAATTATGAATAAAGCTTCTATGAACATCCATGTGGAGGTTCTAGTGTGGACATAAGTTTTCAAATCCCTTGGGTAAATATCAAGGAGTGTGATTGCTGGGTCTTATGGTAACAGTATGTTTAGTTTTGTAAGAAACTGCCAAACTGTCTTCCAAAGTGGCTGTACCACCAGCAATTGCATTCCCACCAGCAATGAATGACAATGCTTCTTGCTCGGCATCCTCACCAACACTTGGTATTGCCAGTATCTTGGATTTTGGCCATTTTATTAGATGTGTAATAGTATCTTGTTGTTTTAGTTGGCAATTCCCCAATGATATATGATGTTGAACATCTTTTCATATGCTTATTGGACATACGTATATCTTCTTTGGTTAGAGATTTGTTTAGGCCTTCAGTTCATTTTTCAGTTTGGTTGTTTTCTTATTGTTGAGTTTTAAGAGTACTTTGTACATTTTGGATGATAATAGTCTTTTATGGAATCTATGTATTTCAAATATATTATTCATGTGTGTGGCTTTGTTTTCTTATTCTCTTCATATTATCTTTTGCAGAACAGATTGTTTTTATTTTAATGAAATCCAGCATATCAATTGTTTCCTTCATTGATCATGACTTTGATGTTGTATCTAAAAAGTTGTTGCCATTCTCAAAATCATCTAGATTTTCTCCTATGTTATCTTCTAAAAGTGTTATGGTTTTGCAGTTTACATTTAAGTCTATGACCCATTTTGAGTTAATTTTTGAGCAGGGTGCTGGGGATGTGTAAAGATTCATTTTTCCACATTTGGATGTCCAGTTGTTTCAGCATCATTTCTGAAAAACTATCTTTTCTCCATTGTAATGCTTTTGCTCCTTTGTCAAATGTTGGTTGACTGTCTTTATGTGGGTCTATTTCTATGCTCTCTATTCTATACTATTTATCTATTTACCTTTTTTGTTCAAATACCATACTGGTTCAATCATTACAGCTTTACAATAAGGCCTGAAGGCAGGTAATGTCAGTCCTCCAATGTTGTACTTCTCTTTCAATATTGAGTTGGCTATTCTGTGTCTTTTACCTGTTTATATAAACTTTAGAAGTAATTTGTCAATGTCCACAAAATAACTTGCTAGGATTTGTATTGAGATTGCATTGAATCTATAAAGTTGTGAAGAAGTGACATGTTTGACAATACTGAGTTTTCCTGTCCACAAATATGGAGTATCTCCATTTATTTAGACTTTTAAAATATCTTTCATCAGAGGTTTGTAGTTTTCCTCAATTTAAATTTATACCTAAGTATTTCATTTTTGAGGGTGTTAAGGTGTAAATGATAATATGTTTTTAATTTAAAATTCCAGGCTGGGCGTGGTGGCTCATGTCTATAATCCCAGCACTTTGGGAGGCCAAGGCGGGCGGATCACAAGGTCAGGAGTTCAAGACCAGCCTGGCCAATATGGTGAAACCCCGTCTCTGCTAAAAATACAAAAATTAGCCAGGCATGGTGGTGCATGCCTGTAATCCCACCTACTCAGAAGGCTGAGGCAGAAGAATCGCTTGAACCCGGGAGGCAGAGGTTGCAGTGAGCCTAGATTGTGCCACTGCACTGCAACCTGGGTGACAGAGTGAGACTATCTTGAAAAAAAAAATTTCCACTTGTCCACTTGTTTGTTGCTAGTATATAGGAAAGCAATTGACTTTTGTATATTAATCATATATTCTGCAACCTTTCTACAATCATTTATTAGTTCCAGAAAGAGTTTTTTAGTCAATGCTTTGGATTTTTGACATAGACAATCATGTCATCTACAAACGAAGACAGTTTTATTTCTTTTTCCCAACCTAGGACTTTTTAGGTTTATATTTATTGTAATATTATTTGTACTACCTCATTGGATTGTCCCAATAAATGAATAGGTGTGCTGTCCATAGACATTGTCTTCATCTTCCTAATGAGAGAATGATGGGCTAAGTTGCTCAGATTCACATGGTATTGAAATCAGTATTTGTTTCACTCTATGCTCTTTCCTACTACATTAGACTATACTGCCTTCCAAGGTTCTAACAAGTTTTGATTTTAAAAGCAGCATCACATTTCTTACTTAAATTAGTTTATACATCAAATCAGTTAATTTAATGGGCAACTTTCCTAAAATTTCTTTTAAGTGTACTACACACAAAAAAGAAAAACCCATAAACTAACAAAATAAGTTAAAAAGCTTACAATGGATTTATGTAGTATAAAAATAGGTGGCAAATTTTTTGGCAATTAAAAATGTTTGAATGCTAAAAACTGCAAAACATTGATTTAAAAAATCAAAGGAGGCCTGAATAATTGGAGAGATATACCATGTTTGTGGATTGGAGAACTCAATACTGTTAAGATCTCAATCCTTTTTAAACTAATATAACGATTCAATATGATTTCTATCTTAATCTTAACAATAGTTGTGTAGGTACTGATAGGCTTATACTAAAATTTACATGGAAAAGCTAAAGAAATAGAGTAGCCAAACCAATTTTCTTAAAGAAAAAGAAAGAGGACTGACAACACCTGATTTCATAACTTACTATAAAGTTACAGTTTTAAAGACAATCTTGAATAAATGGTAGACACATAGATCAATGAAACAGAACACAGAGACCAGAGACATACCCACACATATAGGCCAATAGATATTTCACAAAGGTACAAACATGATTTAATAGACAAATGATAATCTTTTCAGCAAATAACGCTGAAACAATTAGACATCCATATGTAATAAATAAGTAAACTTTGACCCTTTATTTCACACCACTAATTAACTAATATACAATAATTAATGCAAACCCTAAAATTATCAGACTTCCAGAGAAACATAGAAGAAAGTCTTCATAATTCTGGATTAGGCAAAAGTTTCTTATCTAAGTCATAAAAGCATAATCCATATATAGTAAATTTAATAAGTTTGATTTCATTGAAATTAAATGTTCTGCCATGGACAAGATACTCTGAAGAGATTAGAAAAACAAGCCATAGAAATAGAGAACATATTTATAAATCCCATAAATAATAAAAAACTTGCATTCTAAATACATAAACAACTTTTAAACAATACAAAATAAGAAAATAGGGCTTGAAAATAAAATAAAAGATATCCACTTCAGAAAGGAAGAAGTATAGCTATATTCTCAGATGACATGATCTTGTATATAGAAAATCCTAAGGAAGACACACACACACACGCACACACACACACACTGTATGAACAAGAGTGACTCTATTTAAATGCTAATCTGCCATGTGACTCCTGACTAACCCTAAGTCTAGGAATGCCTCCAAGATGTCTAGCTGATGTATTACTTTTTATATAGAAATACCTGTTCACTGTAAGTTTTCCCTTTCCTCCAAAACAACCCTTGATGGTGTTGCATACATCATAGGCTATGAGGCCCATAGCTACCTACTCATTCCTTCTGGAGCACATATACTTTTTCCCCAATTCAAGCCTGGACTAAGGGGGTTGTGGTGCAGAGATCTACCTATCTTGCAGCTGTGTAAGACATGCTTCCATTTGTAAGTTCTCCCAATAAATCACTATTTTCCTATAATCTAGATTTGTCTGCCTCACTCTTTGCTTTCTTCACTGTTAGCCTTTGGAGGATGCTTTGTATATACAGCCCTTTCATGGAACACACATTCACACAGCAACAATTAGAGCTAAAAAGTTCAGCAAGGTTGCAAGATTCAAAATTAATATACAAATAACAGGCCAGGCACGGTGACTCATACCTGTAATCCCAGCACTTTGGGAGGCTGAAGTGGGCAGGTCACCTGAGGTCAGGAGTTCAAAACCAGTCTGGCCAACATGGTGAAACCCTGTCTCTACGAAAAACACAAAATTAGCCAGGCGTGGTGGTGGGCACCCGTAATCCCAGCTACTCGGGAGGCTGAGGCAGGAGAATCGCTTGAACCTGGGAGGCAGAAGTTTCAGTGAGCCGAGATTGCACCATTGCACTCTAGCCTCGGCAAAAAGAATGAAACTCCATCTCAAAAAAAAAAGAAAATATATATATATATACACACACACACAAATAACAAATTATATTTCAATACACTGCAATAAAAAAATCTGAAAATGAAATTAAGAAATAATTCCATTTACAATAGCATCAAATAGAATAAAATTTATTGATAATAAAATTTACTGAATAAATTTAATGAAATAAGTGCAGACTGAAAACTACAAAACATTGTTGAAAAAAATTAAAGGAGATCTAAATAAGTAGAAAGACAACTCGTGTTCATGGATCAGAAGACATAATATTGTTAAGATGGAAATACTCCCAAACTGATCTACAGATTCAATGCAATCCCTATCAAGATTTCAGATTGTCATTGAATAAATTACAAGTTTATCCTAAGATTCATATAGAAATACAAGGGACCTATAAAAGCCAAACAACCTTAATGGAAAGAAGAACGATACTGGAGGATTCATACTTTCTGGTTTTAAATCTTACTACAAAGATAAAGTAATCAAGATAGAGTGGTACTGGCATAAAGGTTGACATATAGATCAGTGGAATAGAATTGAATCTTGAAATAAACCCTCACATTTATAGTTGATTTATTTATAGCAATGTAATTGAAAAATAATTGTCTTTTCAAGAAATGAGCTGGAATAAATGGGAATCTACATGCAAAAGAATGAAATTGGACTCTTACCTAACACCATGTACAAAAAATAACTGAAAATAGATCAAACACCTAAGTGTGAGAGCTAAAAGTATAAAACTCATGGAAGAAAATATAAAAATAAATCTTTATGAACTTGGATTAGGCAATGACTTCTTATAAATGAAACCAAATGCACAAATGACAAAAGAAAAAAATAGATAAGCTGCATTTAATCAAAATGTAAAACCTTCATGCTTCAGAGAATACCATCAAAAAAGGGAAAAGAGAACCCACAGCATGGAAGAAAAATTTTGCGAATCATATATCTGATAAGGGGGTTACATCAAGAATTCATAAAAATGGGCAAAGGATCCAAATAGATATTTCTATTAAAAAGGTATACAGATGAACAATAAGCACATGACAAGCTATTCAACATCATTAGCCAACAGGAAAATATAGAGAAAAGCCACTTCACCCCCACGATGATGGCTATAATCAAAGGCAAATAGTAACAACTGTTGGCATGTAGAGAATTGAAGCCTTCATACACTGCAGATGAGAATGTAAAATGGTAGAGCCTGGCACCACTGAAAAACAGCTTAATGGTTTCTCTAACTGTTAAACATAGAGTTATCATATGACCGAAACCCAGAAATGCCACTCCTACATATATACCCAAGAGAAATGAAACAGTATATCTACACACAAACTTGCATATACATGTTCATCAGAATTATTCATAACACCCAAAAAAGCAGAAATGACCCAGATGTTCACCAACATATGAACAGAGAATGAAATGCAGTACACAACAGTATACATCAGAACTGGGCATAAGCCGGAATGAAGTACTGATGCATGCTACACATAGGTGAACCTTGAAAACATTATGCCAAGTGAAAAACAAGTCATAAAGACCACATATTGTATGGTTCCTTTATATTTAATGTCCAGAATAAGAAAATGTGTAGAGATAGAAAGTAGGGCTTGAAAGTAGATTAATAGTTTGATAGATTAATAGTAGATTAATAGTTACCTAGTTTCAGGGAGATAGAAAAAATGTTTTAAAATTGATTGTAGTGATAGTTGCACAACTCTGTGGAATATTGGAAACAATCGAAATGAGTGAATTGTATAAAACATGACTTATATCTCGATAATAGATATCTCAAAAAAGATCATTGATATCATTTGTAATTAGGGAAATGCAAGTTGAAGCATTATGAGATAATATTACATACATATTAAAAATGGAAAACAGAACACACACAAAAATTATCAATACGAAATATTGGCAAGGGTGTGGAGCAACTGGAATTCTTATACATTGTTAGTGGGAATGCATGTGCCATATGACTCAGTAAATCCGCTTCTGGGTGTCTACAAGAGAAACAAATATTTATTTACAGATAGAAATCTATACTCATTCCTCAGTCTAAACGTTGCCAGTCCTTCTGTCTCTAAACTTTCCCTCTATTCTCATCTCCTTTTCCTAATTCAACTTTTAACCCCCAAATTCTCTTTAGTTCATAGTTTAGAAGCCCACTTCTCAAAATTGGAATGTTTAATCCTAAACTAATTCAATCTGCATATAAGTTCCCATAAGACCCAGTAATTACAACCATACACAATTGCCATTTACTTTTATTTAGCTCCTCCTAAATGCTAGGATTCAAAGAGGTAGAGTATATTTCTTCTGATTGTGATTGAATCTCTAGCACCAGCAGTGCTTCTGTTTTATTTTTAAATTTATTTGAAGAACATTTGCCCTTTTGCAAGCATAATGCAAACTTTAAACATCATATTGCTAGCTAAGAAAAATTTAAAGCAACATAGATAATTCTCCTTTGACACAATGATCTGACTAGACCAATAGCTGGAATAAAATAATGAGAGGAAGACATTAGAGTGAAAAAAGAGGAGGACAGGAAGAGAGATCATTTGCAGTACACAGTCACTAGGCTGATTCAAAGCACCAAAGTGAAACTCTCTAAGGATGTTTCACTTTTATATTGGAACGCCATATATAATTTCATAAAAATGTCAAAGTGATTTTGAAAACTCAAATCTCTTCAAGTTGCTTATACTTAAGACAAAGCGATCAACGCAATTCAGAGTAAATTTGACTTTGTTTTTTAGTGATGGGAGCATTTCTTAAAAAGCATCAAATCTAACATTTCTATCTTGCAGAAATCACCAAGCCTAGTTAATTTTCTCATGAAAGGGACTTTCTGGGTATACACAGCTACAGATTTAACTAGGTCTAACATACACATGAATAATCCTTTGCAAGGTCCCCCTTCCTCTCTCCTGACCCCTACCCTAACATTGCTTGCAAGCAGCAGAGGAGATAAGGGGAAACAGCTGATCTCCTCTGTGTTTCTCTAATCCACTTCAATTCACCTCCTAATTCAAGATAAATCACTACAGGAAAGAAAGCTGGGAGGAACCCACTTCCCTAAATCAAGTTCCCTTCCTGTATTTTACTAGATAGTTGCAATACCTGATTCTCACCAAAATAACGTCCTCTAGATCTTATAGACATCTTTAACAAAAATCCACCTTGTTGAGCCTTGTCTTTTCAAAACTTGACCCTAGAGCAGAAATTGCAAAACTAGTGATTCTTGGCATTATGTATTGTCATAAGTGATGGGATTGTGTTTTTGCTTTAATTTTGCTTTAAATTGATTCAGCTCTCTACATTTCAAAACAAACAGGCTTTTACATTGAAATCCATATTTCTTAGTTCTTTTGAGAAATGTGAATGTCTGTCAACACTAGGCCTGCATTCATGCACAGCAATAATTGACTGGGGACGAGTAGAGGCCAACCCCTTTAGACTGAGTGTATACTCATTATTTCAGCACAGCCTCATGCTCCTGAGCCCTTTCTTTCACTCATTACTTCTTGGTAACCTACTGTAAGCATTTGAATTTTCTGTCTCCACCTTAGGGCTGAGAGGGGGCTGAGTGATAGGGAGTGGCAACTCTAAATGCATTTTAGATTAGGAAGAATATTCATAACAAAATGCCCTTCGAGTCTATACTTCTATTAGGAACTCAATAGCCTATTGAGGATTAAGTAAGGAAGCTAACTAGTATACATAGCACTGGTTAAAAGACAAAATGGTTCCAATCAACTTACAAATGGACTACTTGTACTTTCTCATTAGAAGAAGATGACTGATTTTCTTAGGTCTTGTGTCCTGGGCTAATCGCTAAGCAATAGCTAAGCAGTTACTTAAGAGTTAGAAAGAATGACTGCATGCAGATTTTACAGGCAGAAGTGTGGGCTTCCCAGCTCTCTGCTTCTCTAATTAAGGAAGGTGGAATAAGAAGAAATCTAATCAACTCAGAATTTTTGCAGCCTGATGTACTCAATAGCAGGTCTCTTGTCCAAAAGCGTTCAGAAAGGTTTCTCCTCTCTTCATTTAAATAATTAAACATATAAAACTTGGGCTCACTTTCTACTTTTAAATTTATTATGCTACCTTTATCCCTTTAATCTCTGGCATTGATAGAACTGAGCTGATATCTACTTTTCCATATATTAGCTGTGTGATCTTAAGTGAGTTGCTTAATTTCTCTCAGCTAGGGTTTCCTTATCAGCAAAATGGTAATAATAGTATTTATCTCCATCATTGTGAGCATTGATATAATGAGGTAATGAGTGTAAAGTATTTTGCATGATTTTGGCACAGATTACTAAATATTTTATTTTCCTTTATTTTCTTCCCTTTTCTTTTCTTTTTATTATTTTTAAAGTTATTTTCATCCTATAAAAGCCATAAAATAACCACTCCTGCAGTATGTCTGGTTAACTAGCCTCTTCCATTCACCATCAAATTACCTACATGTATGAAACAAATAAAAGAACTCTCCCCTTTGGTTTTTAGAACTTTCAATGCCAGGAATGGAGAAAATTATTTTAATCTCACATCTTCCATTTATAGATAATGAAACTGAATTCCAAAATTTAGTGATTTGTTAAAAGCACTTCAGCATGGGAGTAGAACTCATTCATTTTAAAACACAAAAGACAAAAATGGAATGAGGCTTTAACCAGCAGGGTTCAGTATATATAAGCCCTAAAGAGCACGTCGTAGGGACTCATTATGCTTGTGTTTAATTGAGTGGAATAGTGAATTGATTAAAAAGAACAGATCATCCCCAAAGTGCATGATCAGGCTGATGATTAAAACAAAGTTTGGTTTCAAGACTGGGATTATTCTTCAGCTAGTTGTCAGTTAGCATGTTTGCTTGTTACCTCTTGACCAAATACCATGTTGGAGGTCAATCTGGGGAAGTTTTCAAGTTCAGAGAAGTTTCACCCACCAATTAATTGTATATCAAAACTTTGGGCCGGGCATGGTGGCTCACGCCTGTAATCTCAGCACTTTGGGAAGTTGAGGCAGGCAGATCACCTGAAGTCAGGAGTTTGAGACCAGCCTGGCCAACATAGTGAAACCTCATCTCTACTAAAAATACAAAAATTAGCCATGCGTGGTGGCAGGCACCTGTAATCCCAGCTACTTGGGAGACTGAGGCAGGAGAATCTCTTGAATCCAGGAGGCAGAGGTTGCCGTGAGCCTAGATCACGTCACTGCACTCCAGCCTGGGTGACAGAGGGTGAGACTTGTCTCAAACAAACAAACAAACAAACGACAACAAAAGAACTTTGGGTACATAATTTTAGCAGAGAATTTTGCACATGACAACTTTTGACCTGTTAATGTTGCTGAAAAACAATTCTATCTGAAATTGAAAGTTGGATACAAGGGTCCAACAACATATACATTTGAAAATTACCTTATGAAGTGAAATTTTCAAAAGGAAAATGTCACCGCTTGTCAGAGCTATCTGAAGATTCAGGTGATCTCTTTTCAGGCAAGATTTTTGAAAAAAACATTTAGAGAAGAAAGGGAAGACAAATGTTTCCTGAACGATGATGTCCACACTGTGTGGCATTTGGTACTTTAATGTGTTCGTATTCATTGGATCCTACTTGCTTCAGGTTGCAGTGGAACACTTCTTTTACAAGGCAGATATAAGAGATATCAAGTGTTTTTCCTAAGAACACCTAGCCAGGATTCAAACCCAAGTCTGTCTCCATATTTCATACTTTACTCAATAAATCACGTTGTTGTCCACATTTCAAGATTTTCTATGGGGTTAATAGATGTTCGTTTATTCAATAATTCATTCAACATTTATTGAACACTGCACTTACTAAATGTCAGACTAAGAAACAAAAACAAAGGTTCTAGACAGTATGTCCAGGGTCCAGCACAGTATATGGTCACAATAGGCTTTAAAGACATATGTATTAAATTAATGAATAAAGACACTTCTGCTCTCAACTTGCTCATTATCTACCTAGAACTGCACTGTCTGATATCTGGCCACCAGCCATGTGGCTATTGAGCACTTAAAATGTGGCCAGGGTAGATTAAGATGGGCTTCAAATATAAAATACATCCCAAATTTTAAGTCTTAGCATAAAAAGAAATATAAAATATCTCATTAATGGCTTTTATATTGATTATATTGAAATTATAGTGTTTGGGGTATATTGAATTAAATGAAACATATTAAAACCAGTTTACCTGTTTAGTTTTTTACTCTTTTTAGTGTGGATCCTAGAAAATTTAAAACTATACATGTAATTTCTTTCAATTCCTATTGGCCAGCCTTAACCTAGTGCTGTTAAGTCCTGGGGCACTTGCTTTTCTGTTTCAAGTTCATTATTAAAACTAGTTCTATTCTCTCTCTTTTATGTATGATAATAAGTTAGGTTTAAATGCAGTTTATTTTAAATGCAATCTATGTTTGTGAGATTAGAATCAATTGTTAAAGGTTAGAAATTTTTGTATTCAGATGCAAAATAGTCCACACGCAGGCTCTACTGAAATATGACTTCCCTTTAGTCCCTTTCCTGGTGAGAAGCTACCACAGTTCTCCAGATATGTTACTGCCAGCTATACAAGAGGAAGTCTAACCCGTGCAGCCTGATAATCAAATATTTAAGGCTGTTCAACTGCCTCTATCCCATCTCATGCTCCTGCCAACTTACCTATCTAGATTTCCTTTCTACAGTATTCCTGGAACACAGGAATGAGCACTGTACCTTTATTCATGCTGTTATCTCTACTTGGAGTTTTTTGTTTGTTTGTTTGTTTTTCAATTCCAATGCCTGCCTAGTTTTCAAGGTTCAGCTTATTGTTTACTTCTTGCCAAATTCCCAAACTACTATAATCCCATATAATTTTCTCTTTTCTCCGAATTCTAAGACACTAACATTCCATTTGAAAATATCTATACTTGATTGTGGGAAGGCTCTTACTTTTCTATAAATGAATCATTACCCTTTTCTTATATTCCAAAGACCGTAAGTAGAAAATTTATAAAGAAATCACTACAACATGGAAAGGAACTCACCGTGCATTTGGTTAGGCTTTTAAAGGTCATGTTCAGCCACATCTTTTTAACAGTAAAAGGACTAAGATGCTGAGCAGTTTATAACCAAGGGAGTGGGCAGTCACACCGGTGTGCTCTGTTCTACATAAGTAAAGCATTCCCGCCTATAGCATCCCTTCCCTACCAAAACAGGAGAGCTGCCAAGATGCTCACTTAGAACAGTTGTTGGTTTGTGTACAAGTGTTAAGTATGGGTTTGTTCTTTTTCTTTTATATTTTTTTGAGGGAAAGAAGAAGGAAGAATGGAAGGGGACTGGAAAAGCTGTATTTATTTATAATCAAACATATCCTTATTTGATAACAGATGACCAATTAAAGCAATGTGTGAAACTTGAACAGCATTCTGTCAAAAAGCAAAGAAATTAGCAGAGCTCATAGCAATCAGCACTTCTTGCAAACTGCAAGAGTCCCCTCTAAAGCCTTCTGTCTTGGCACTGGGGCTTTGCTAAATAGGGCTCACCATTTTGCGAGTGGGAACAATCAGCTTTGTAGGTGGTAGGGAAGTATTATAATTAAATGTCCACCCACTTTTTCCTTTCTGATGAAAGGCTCCCATGAAACTTACTAAAATAAGGTACATAAAGATAGATGAATTTTTGATGAGTAAGTCAAAGCACCGACAAACCTGGCTTTCCACATAGAGAAAATTCTTTAATTTATAGAAAAATTTCGGCCTAGATCATTAATACTGTCATATTTAATAACTAATACGATAAAATCCATAGGGTAACTGGAGATTTCACTGTTTTCGTTGGTAGTGATTGTAGTGCTCAGCATGAATTGACTTGCAGAAAACAAATATAATTCAAAAAAAGAGTGAAATTTTTCAAAATTGATTTTAGAGAAATATTAAGTGATAGCCATTTAATCATAATAGCCTTTTTAATAATAAATAATGCATTTATTGAATGTAATGGCATTCTTCCGAATAATAGTTATAGTACCACTTTAAGGTTAGAAACTATATCTCTGATATAGCAAAGGGCTTGAAAGATGTTATTGAATTGTCAGAAACTTTTTATGAGGGAGCTCTGGAACAGAGTCTATAGAGTCTGCTTTTGATAATTAATGGTAATGGCATTTACTAAAATCACTGTGAATAATTAATTTTAAGTACTTATATGCAGTAGAGTAGGGAGCTTCTCTGCTTTATAACTGAGCTCAGACATATATTTCAAGTCCAGTTACTAGCATTCACAAAGTCAATATTTTAGAAAGAAAAAGAAATTAAAATTAATTGGTACTATGAATGTTTTCCTTCATTCAATGTGGATTTATTGGGCATGAGCTGTATAGACTTTGCTATCAGAGGAGCCTCAAAGCAATAATCCTCTCTAGAACTAATGAATATTTTTATTTTTAAGCTAAATTTCATATTTTTATCTTCCTGTTCAATAGATTTTATTGGCAGAAGCCAGTAGAGATAACGGTGCCCTAAATCACCAACAAGGTGAGATCAAAGTACTGGGGAGGATATGAACACATTTGTCATTAATTGAACACATTTGTCATTCATTGCTAATCACTATGTGAAGATGACTTTTAAAATACTCCTGACGACTTCTTATCCTTCCCCACTGTGGTTCTGTGGATCCAAGAACACAGAGTAACTGGATGCTCAAAGTAGGAAAAGTTTGCATAATAGGTACTCAGCTCAGCATAACTAAGATAAAATTAGCCACAAAGATCTAGATTCTCCAGTTACTGGCACTATCCAGGGTTTTATAACCATCATTACCCATGATCATTTTATAGTAAACTACAATAATAGATGTGGTGACACATCTGAGGTCTCCTCCTGTATTATTAGTATAGCGGGACACCTCAGATGTGTCACCACCAAGGAACAGGCATGTTCAGACCAAATTCTTCGGCCACTGTCCTCCTCATTCCCGTTTGTTTTTTTGAATTCCCCAGAACTTCTTGTTTTTCAAATTATTACCCACATACTTTTTTAATATTTCATTTTCTGCTTTGTGTTTAGTCCTACTTTTTACTATCTTTTTGTAAAAGTTACACGTTAACCATTATTTAAAGAGTTCCTTTAACAGTGTGGAGGTTTTCTTCAAAGACTTGATAGAAATCTTTAAATATGGGCTTTTTTCTCATTTAAGTCTTACTTCAACATGTTCACTGATTTTAGATTTCTCTGACAAACATGGTTGAGGTATCAAAACAAAGACATGTTGATAATAGCTTTTTCTCAAAGTCATTTAGAATGTAAGACTTTCTGCCGTGCTATGTCAAATTGCCCAACTTGGGAATAAGATGAGTGTATGTGCATGTCTGTGGGGTGGGGTGGTAGGGAGCAAGGAAGTAGGGGATTGGTAAATAGTCTATACAAGGAGAACTCATATTGTCCTCTAAAACTGATATATTTAGGCTCTCCTATTTTCCACGAGTCTATCATAGACACTTGTGTCTCAATGTTTGTAGTAAATTACTGATGATTTTCTCTGTTGCTTTGGTTAGGAAGATCCTTTCAAAAACAGATTTTTCTGGGAGATAAATGCAGTACTTTTTCTTCTTCATGAGATAAACACACACACACACACACACACACACACACACACAGAGAGAGAGAGGGAGAGAGAGAGAAAGAGAGAAAGAGAGAGAGAGAAACAACCTAGTGTGCAAGCAGTATGCCTAAAAATCATTTTTATTTTCTCCTGTTATAGGAATCTATAAGTCTGTAAGTCTCTCAGTTGAAAAAAAAATTGTTACATCATAGAATTTAAGAAACTTGGAATGACCTTAGATATTATCCTGTCTAACTTTCACTTTATAGATAAAGCAAATGAAACCCTGAGAAGAGTAGTGACCACAAATACTTTGCTATTCCTTCTATTGAGAAATGTAGTCTCACTGCTCCCTTTTCCTGTGTCTGGGCAGTCTCTGTAATTGGTTTGACCAATAGAATACAAATGACAACTGCAGCTTCCTAATTCTTGCTTGCATTTGGGACTTCTCATCTCAGAACCCAACCACCATGCTGTGAAAAGCTGAAGCTACATGAAGAAGCCATGTATTGATGCACCAGTCGACAACCACAGCTAAGCCCCCAACTGACAGTTAACGCACTTCCAGTCATGTGAATATGCCATTTAGCATGTCCGGACTAGGCCAACCTTTGGCAGGCTCCATTCCCTGCCAGTATGTGACAGCAATCACACGAGAAACCTTAAGCAAAAATTGCCCAGCTCTTCCCAGTCAACCCATAGATTAGTGAGAGATAACAAATAGTTGCTTTAAATTTCAGGATGGTTTGTTATATACTAAAAGCTCATCAGAAATGAAAGTGACTTAGACCAAAACTTCTAAGCATTACCAGAGTGAAAACCAGAACTCAAATATCACCCCAAACCTCGTATAATCTCATTATAATGTGTTAAGGAAACATGTCGAGTTAAATGAGATCCAGTTTCAGTCTCCCAATAGTTCATAATTCCAAAAGATTTTATTCTTTCAAAATTCACATGGAATGCAGAATTTCCAAAATTCTTGAACTTTAAAACAAATTCTTAGAGCTGTGTCTACATAACAGTAAACCATCATTTGGTATAAGGTAGCATTCCCAAGTGTTCCTCGAAGGTAGTGTCTTAGTAATGTGCCATGAAAGAAAGAGAGATAAGCTGATTTAATTTGTTTAAACTAAATTAAAGAGGTCTCTTTGCTTCAGGATTTTTCAAGAATGTAAATTTTCCAAGAGGAGCTATAGATAGTACTTATTTTCTGAGAATTGTTCGACCAAGGCACCCTTCTTCATCAAAAAACTAAACTGAGAAATAGGAAGAGGAATTCAATTTTGTCAGCATAAACCAAGTTTTGCTTTCAGAGGATTTCATAAAAAGAAGTTGTTTTCATAATTTGGTGTGTCTTCAGCTTAGAGAACACATTTTTAGATAACACTTTTATGACTGTCAGGGACTGTGCTTAGTTATGTCTTTTACAACCTGTTCCCATTTCTTCCCGCCTTACTTTTAACATTCTTTGGTGTCTACAGTTAATAAATCTTTCTGGAATGTGTAGACGAAGGAATAAATAAAAGCAGATAAATAATAAATAATTCAATTAATTAAAAATTATCCTGAAATGTTTCATTAACAATGTCAATGACTATGAAGAGGCCCAAAGGTTTTTGAGTCAACCTCTCATTTAGTTTAATAACCTGGAAATTAGCTCCAACTCTAATTAGCTTGGTTTGGGTTTTATATCTTTATTTACATCTAAGGCCAATTGAAATTGTAACACTTGCCATATCTAACAGAGTTCTTGGGAAATTCAAAGAAGATTTCAAAGTTGGAGGTGGAACGGCTTTGGGCTACAAAAATTGTAGCAATCATGTATTCATCCACTCCTTTCATCTTCTAGTTCTGGAGATTGAGATCCAGAAAGAGAGTTTATAGCGCAAATGCTAGCTGCATTGGAAACCTCCTCCCCGTGGATCCACGTTAAAGATGTTAGGAAAGTTCTCTTTTTCAGTAGATGTTATATTGAATGGTGTGATTCTAATTCACGTGCTGATTATTAGACAGACTATTTACAAGCATTTGGGCCGTAAAAACATATTTGACCACAGAATTCATGACTGGTATAGGAAGGTGTGGCAGTCAAAACATTTAATAACCCATATGGCATGGCCACTGACAACCAGAGTAGACACCAGCCATGAACAACTGGTGCAGCCATGCTGATGAGTATGAGCCATACTGAATATCATCTGAGATCTATGGATCTAGTAGATAACATTTCCCACTTCTTGCCACTGGTTTGTGGCCTTGTGAATACTTTCATCTTATTTGTATTAGACATTCCTCCATTCAGGCTGTCTCTTAAATATACTTGTGTTATTGACATCCATAATACAGTAAGTTCTATTATCTCTCTCCTGGGAAGCTATCAGCACTTCACAGCTCCTTCAGCAATATGCTATCCTGTTCCAAAAATCATGGTGCATTCCCATGTCTCTAGTTTCCAAGCAGAGGGAATAATAGTTTTATGGTCTTCTTTTGCCCCTGTGGGGACATGAGCCAGTTCACTACCCCTACTTACTTATTCCTGGATATCTCTACCCTGTATATTCCTATATTCTTGTTCTGTAGTCATGCTACATAGTTAAATATGACTTGAAAGGCTGACAGAGTAATGCAGCTACAAAAAGATGGCAGAGAAATAATAAAATAATATGTGATAGAGTATTTGATACTTTTAAGTCAGAATGGGAAGAAAATATTTGTAAGGATAAATCAAAGTATTCTGCATTTAGCCAGTTCCTTTGTGAAGCTCTAATAAAATATGTGTTTAAAAAATAAGACAAGCCAATGTGGAGTGATCTATACAATCGGACATATACACCTTCATATTACTTTGGCCAGACTCTGCTGTATTTGTAACACGGTGTCAAAAGTTTTTATTTAGGTACAATTCAACCATAAATGGAGAATGGGAGCCTCATTCTCCTGGACTTTAGTGAGTTACAGTTCTAGCATGCTTACCTCTACAAGCCTGCTGGTGTGTTCATGAAATATCGCAGCATATTCTTTTATTTCCTTTTCCCGGCCATTCTTAGCAGCTTCAATGAGAACCAAAAGAGGGACTGTCGTATCCAGGAAAGAGTCTGACACATGATCTATAATAGCCTTGCGGAGCTGAGAAGAAATGAAAAATTCAGGTTTTTTTTTTCCAGGAAATAGTTCACTGTGTTTCCTTTTCTTACAATCTCAGTAGTTACACAACTCATTTTTCATTTTTGCACAATTCCTAAAATCACAATACTTAAAGATATACAAGAATGTCCCTTAAGAAACTAAAAAACAAAATATCCAGGCAAAAAGAAAAAATCATCTAGCAATATTTCCTTTCCTCTCAAAAGTAATTTTTCTTAAGTTGTATTTAACCTGGAAGTCAGATTAAAAATGGTAATACTTTCTTTTTTGCTCAAAGAAATTGTGTTATTAGAATATTTATGAGTGTGTACACATAATATTGTACATCTTGTATTTTTATAATTACAAATTATAGAATGTTTTCTACCTTGTTGGAGGAACTGATGATAAATTTTGATTAGCTAAATTGTAGACTTCATAGTAATTAAGCCAAGTTAGATCACCGATTATGCCAGTTGATAACAGATTAATAGAGCAAGAAGAATAATAAATGAGTTTGATGTCCAATTTTCCCCATTTGCATTCATTGTTCTTGCCCTCACACTTTAAATTATTAAACAACTATAACATTCTGCTACAATTAGTTCTTTTCAATTAGATTACATGTAAGCTTATTAATGACAATTAGGCAATTACTCTAGTCAGCAGATATTTTCTGAGATTTAAAACTGCACTGAAAAATTAATTCATTGTGTTTATATAATATCGAGTCTTTAAAGATCATAATATCGGGCCAGGCACAGTGGCTCATGCCTGTAATCCCAGCACTTTGGGAGGCCAAGGCAGGCGAATCACGAGGTCAGGAGTTCGAGAACAGCCTGGCCAACATGGTAAAACCCCGTCTCTACTAAAAATAAAAAAATTAGTTGGGCATAGTGGCAGGCACCTGTACTCCCAGCTACTTGGGTGGCTGAGGCAGGAAAATCACTTGAACCCAGGAGGAGGAGGTTGCAGTGAGCTGAGATCGCACCACTGCATTCTAGCCCAGGCAACAGAGTGAGACTCCATCCACTCCCCCCGACAAAAAAAAAAAAATCATAATATCCTGAAATGTTTCATTAACAATGTCAATGACTATAAATGGGCCCAAAGGTTTTTGAGTCAAGACCTTCATATAGTTCAATAACCTCTGTACAATAAAACAGATAAATAGCTGTCAGACAGAAAAATGTAATTTTTCTGTCAAAGTTACATTTTAGAGTATTTTTTTAAAAGAATAGACACTTAGTTTAGTTTTAGATTACTTGGGAATGAATAGTAATACATTTTGGGAGAGCTGAATGATAGAGCTAAATAGAAAGTACTGTCTTCTATAATGATCATAGAATAATAAATCCATAATAATTACAGGTTTCTGGAAGAAAAATATCTCTGCCCAAAATAGTGAGCTTGCTCAGAAGCATTGTGAAATTTTCTGACTATCAACAATTTAAGAAAGGCTTCAGGAAGATCCCCAAGGAAGGATTCTGCTTAGTATGCAGAAAGGCAAATTACTAGTGGCAACTAATATTTACTGAGCACTTATTAGGACAAAGTATAGAGTGCCAAGGGGTTACAAGGCAAAGGGGAGACCTTAACTGAATGAATAATGTGTTTGCTGTCTATAGGAAGTACACCAGGGAAGTCAGGCGTAAGGTCACGAATTTATTTGAGCTGGGAACTACAGGTTGTGTAAGTTTCAGATACTGAAGAGAAAAGTAGAGATTCCTTCTAATTTCTCAGAGTGGGGGCATTTTTTAATGATTATCCTCCCCTTTATTCTTTTCTTCTTTCATTCATAATTAGGACATGTAGATTATTCTTTTCTTCTTTCATTCTAATTGAGACATGTAGAAGGAAAGCTCAGATGAAATCTACACTAGAGATATGCCATGAAGGGCCAGCATATGGGAACTAACTCAAGCGGAGAGTGTGGATGAGACCATATAGAGTGAGGAGACCCACAGAGGACCTCTTAGGAAACACTATCATTTACAGGAGTCATGATTAAAGAGTAGGGCCTAAAAAGAGACTGAGATAATAGCCAAGAAACAAAGAGACAAATTACCCACAACTAAAAGACAAACTTTCAAATATATCTCTGTGTTAATGCTCTTCAAATGTAGTTATCCTACCAAACATAACTATAATATTCCCATCATGGACTTGTTAAATCTTCTCTGCTGTGTAAATGATTTCATTCAATTCAGTAAATATTTCTGGAAACCATTTCCTCACCTTTCTACCAAGAGAAAGGTATTGAAGGAAATGTTAAGATGGAAATTCATGATCCCTTATAATCTAGTAGAAGAGTGAATATTACAATAATACATTAAACATTACAATAAAGAAAAACTTAGAGACTGACAGCAAAAAAAAAAATTAGAGTCAAATTTTAAAGATAAATTAAATTAAAAAAAAGGAATGAGACTTGTCCCTTGGGCTTGAATACTAAGAGGTTATTGATAAACTTGGTAAGAGCAGTTTCAGTGGAAAAGTGGGCTGAAGAGTCCTATTGCTATGGTTTGAAGAGTGAATGAGAGATAAGGCAGTAAAGACAGTGAGTATAAACTTCTGTTTTTAATAATTTGATTGTGACATGAAGAAGCAAGACTTGGTATTTACTACTCTGAGATATATGTTTAAAGAGTGACTGTTTTTCATATAAAGACTTCACTATAATTTCCCATCTGCAACTATAGCCAAAAAGTCTTATTACTCCCCTTTGCTTTGCTGGAAATACATATTGATTTATTGCCAAAGCAAGAATAACAGGTGAAAAAGAACTATTGTCTCACATTGTGCCAACTTTTGTCATCTTTTCGTCCCATGACAGAAGGAAATGCCCAGAAATCAGTGACTTGAGCTGGATGTGAATGAAACCTTTAGGAGCTAGCACATGGTCAGAGGCAGGGATGTATCTCTCCCACTGAAATCATCTTAACCCATGCAAAAAACAAAGTGTAACTAATTCAACCAACCCACAATATTCTCACCAGTCTAACCATTCTCCCTGTCTAACTTGCTGGTTCCTGATCCTTTACCTTCACTATTATGAACTACATTATAGACTTTTGGTGCCTTATATCTCATCCTCTGGATCTATCTCTGATTTCAGCTTTTGCTGGGGGGAACAGTTCCATGTCCTCTGAAGACATTCCATGCTTCTTGTGTGCCTTCCTTGTGTCTCTTTGTTATTCTATCTCAGGGCCTGTTCCAAGTCTCTGTGAAATTCTCAACCCAGCATAAACACTGCCTGGAAGTTCTTCAGCGTCCACACCACTGGGGGAAACCCTCAACCTATGCGGATAGAAACTACTGCATAAAATTCCTACCCTCCATCCATTAGTCAGACAATTCTGGGAAACATTCTGTTATTCTCAGAGATCCTCAAGCTCTCATTGCCTACAGCAGCAATCTCAATAGCATATCATTTCCTCTTTCCCTGCCTCGCTTTTCATGTTCTATAACACTTGCTTCCAGGAATCACCTCCTAAATAAATGACCTGCACTAAGGTCCTAGTTTTAGTCACTGCTTTCAGGAAAACCCATCTAAACAGGTACCTTTGTCTGGTATTAATGTTGTTTGATCATGCACCAAGTAAGAGACTCCAATGTCTTATGTAAACTACTCATTGCTAATTATACTCTACTACCTTGGCTCTGTACATCACTGGGTTTTGTTCTGCCATGCCCTGAATTATACTCACTGTAAAAGAGGAATTATTATGAGACAGGACTAGAAATGTAGGTAGGGACAAGATGTGAAAGGACTAGAATGTTATGCTAAGCAATTTTCATTATATGTTCTGACATATTCATATGGAATTGTTTTCATTAAATTGTATAGTCATATATACCTACATATAACAGCAAAGTAGCCTCTATCTTATTTATTTCCGCATTATTTTCCTGCCCAGTGGCACAATGCATTCCTTTCAGTTGGGTGATATACAAAAAGTTTAAAGAAGAATGCAATATGCCAATATAGAAATGGAAGCCAAAGCACTAAAATCTGAAGTTAGTGGGAGGCCAATAGGAATTACAGATACATACTTTCAATAAATACCTGTTTGTGGCCAGGCATGAAAGATGTTAGAACAAAACCAAACTGAGGTGCTTTTCATCTTTTCTCACTACAGTTTAATAAAAGGCTTTGAGACATCAATTTTTCTATTTCCTACTGATGTAAGTGGTTTGGGATCTCAAAATAATATATATCACTACAATTGAAGCCCAAAGTGAAAGCCCTATGTGAAAAGTCTAAAAAAGCCCCACCATTCCCACCAAATAAAGGAACAGAAAGAATGAAATTGTGATGGGAAGGGGAATGGAAAGGGGAGAAAGTGTTTCAGAAAGGAATCATCTTCAGGGAAACAGAAAAATACATTTAGACTAAAATATTTTATGTTAAAATATTGTATTAAATTTTAATAAATTAACAGTATTTAAATTTTAATAAATATTTTAAATTAAAAGCCATTTTAATTTAAATCAAATAGCAAAATGTGATTTTTAAAGCTTGGAATTAAATGTACTAATAATTATTTCACTGTGTATGTACTATGTAAGTTTAGTGAAACTTGTCTCTTGTGGATACATAATGTTATTTGATGATGAGGATGATGACCAGGAGGTATAAAAGCCTACATATTTTTTTCTGAGTGGTGAACTGGTACTATGCAACATGGAAGAGAGATGGACCTAACAATTCAGAAACTCAGCAACTAAAGAATTAATCAAGTTTTTGTTTTGTCTGTTTTTACCAAAATCCCATTTGACATACTTCATCTTTACTTTGATATTTATGAAATAAAAGACATTTTTCTTAATATACACAAATACAAATTTTAGCCTGCCTTTAGTGAAATCAAATATATTTTAGTATGTATAGTAAAATAGAAATAAGATATATTTGTTGCTTAAATTTTTTTATAAAGTAAAGAATGTTTAAAAAGTCTTCCTCCTTTTACTGAGAGAGTTGCAATAGGTATACAGTTTTCAAATGAATGATGGAAAAAGAGGCTAAAGAAAGAAGAAAATTTAACTTTAAAAAGGCATTTAAAACAAATAATAAAGAAAATAATACATGATGGTAAAATCAGTGTATTAGGCACTGGGAGGTTCTGAAAGTGAATAGGCCATAATCCCTAGCCCCTGGTGTGGTGATTACACATATGGGCTGGGGTTGGATGGACCTGGGCTAGAACTGTGTCTCTATCACGTAGCTGGGTGATGTTTGCTATGTTAACTCATTTTGGGGGACAAAGATAACAATACCATGGCATTATTTATTGTTTTAGGAATAAAAATTAATAATGTAATGAATATGCTTGGTAGAGAGCTTTGCAAAGCATTTAGTAAATGAGAGATGTTGTCATAGCTATCATTATAAGGACTTAAAATGCAGTGGGAAGAAAACTCATTACAAAAGAAAAAAATAGAAGAATATAATCATTGCTGTAATATGCACATGCTGTAAGTGTTCCAGGAAGAAAAAGGTCCATTCCAGCTGGTGAAAACAGCAAAGGTTTCATGGAAGCAATAGCATTTACACTACTCTGGAATTTAGTTGCTTATGAGTTGGGGTTGTGTGTAAGGAGAGTGAGTGGGGAAGGCATCAAGCTGTACAAGTCATATGTACAAAGATGCAAGTGTATTTGAGCGGGAGGTGATGCAAATTCTGGTAAATAACAAGTAGATTCTTTCATCAGAAAACAGGTTAATGTGGGCCAGGCCTGGTGGCTCACACCTGTAATCCCAGCACTTTGGGAGGCCGAGGTGGGCAGATCACAAGGTCAGGAGTTCGAGACCAGCCTGGCCAACATGGTGAAACCCTGTCTCTACTAAAAATACAAAAAAGTAGCAGGGTGTGGTGGCATGCATCTGTAATCCCAGCTACTTAGGAGGCTGAGGCAGGAGAATTGCCTGAACCTGGGAGGCGGAGGTTGCAACGAGCCGAGATCACACCACTGCACTCCAGCCTGGGCGGTACAGTGAGACTCTGTCTCAAACAAAAAAAAAAAAAAGAGAGAGAGAGAAAAGAAAACAGGTTAATGTGTTGGTGTGATGAGGAGGACACAACACTGCGAAGGAGAGCTGAAGGAAAAGGAACATTAAGAATAATGGGGATTAAGTCAGGGCCAAATCACAGAGAACCTAGAACACCATGCCAAGAACATTTGTCTTTGTTCTCTAGTAAAACAGGCAAGAAAGTCACAGAGGAAGAAGATTGAAACAAATAAATACTCTCGCCTCCTAGAACATTCCATCTTGATGTCCTCAAATCTATAATTTGCTTCTCCTTAGATATTTCTAAGCAATCTCTGTCATTCCTCTTGGAAGAAATCCAATCACCCTCTGAACTGAAGCTGAAATGTTTCTGCATTACTGATAGAAAGGCCATGGTTAAGAAAGGGGATAAGGATGAATGGGCAGGAAGATGGGCTCTGCTTATTTTTTACTAAAAAAAGTTTTAAAAGATAAAACCAGTTCTAAAGCAAACGATGAACATTAAATACTCCAAAGAAAAACATTTTAAGGGCAGTGCTTTCTCTTTCCTGTGAGAAGAACTATATGTGAGATGCTTACAACAACTGTTGGATAAACTTCTTAAGAACAAGAAGTAGAGATAACTTATATTGCTGTTTTAATTAACTGTGACTTCTACCAAAAATGTAAACATCAGGATGAAAAATAAAGTACTAGGGGGAGGGTAAGTGAGGATAATGAGAAAGAATCATAGCAACTAACTTCATCAAAACGGAAGATCATGGAGGTGTTCAAAGACAGCTTCTAACAATTCCATCCATTCCTGTACACACATACCACTTCTCCTACAACAGACAGAACTTCTGCCTACTCCTATTGAACTGGGACAGGGTTTTTGACTGTTTTTTACTTACAGATTATAGAGGAAATAGCATTCTCTGACTTTGGAGCTAAGGCACTAAGAATGCTTGTCAGCTTCCGTCTCCCTTTTCTTGGCAACTTGAAACAGCATGAAAGAGATCTAGGCTACCCTGCTAGAGATTGAAGCCACATGGAGAGGCCCTAAAACATTAGGCACCGTATCGAGAGAGGGAACAGGAAGAAGCACTGAGGTTCCAAACATCAAGTCCCAAATCTAGCCACAGATGCCATTTGACTGCCACTATGTGGAAAACCACAAGTGAAAACGGTACAGAAAATGGCCCCGCTGACGCCCAGCCAACCCAAGACATCGTGAGATGCAAATATCGTTGCTACTGTTTGTGGTGGTTTGTTAAACACTGATAGAAAATTGAAACAATGGAGATGTTAACCTGTGAAACCATACAGAATGTTAATACCTTCAGAGCACAGCAGTTTTCTACAAGATGGGAGTATCTTCTTACTATGAAGAATAGTATTAGTAATCCCCAATGCTATTTCTATATCTCACTGATGGTAGTGAGGTGGAAATACAAGTAGGATTGCAATATAAAATACAAGATGCTCGGTTACATTTGAATTTCAGATGAACAACTTTTTAAATATAAGTATGTACCATACAATATTTGGGACATAATTATACTAAACCATGTTTGTTGTTAATCTGAAATTCAAATTTAACTGGGTGCCTTGTGCTTTTATTTGCTAAATCTGGTAATTCCACACACAAGTAATTGCATTTTCTTGACTTTATTTAGAAAAATAATAATTCTAAAACCTTTAGAAGTATAAATGTAGATTAGCTCTTTATGCATAATGTTGTTGAAGGCAATATAGAGGGAAAAGACACGAACGAGAGACACAATCATTGAGAGCTCATAGAGACAACTTTTCTGAGTCCTAGGTGAAGCAGATGGGGTAGAAATCCTGAAGACGATGGAGAATAGGGATCATTCCACGAAAGGGGAGGATCGCTCTGAGGATATAAATTTCTGAGTCCTGGTACAGGTTCTGACTCGGTGCCCCATCCTCTTAGGCAGGTCACCTCACCACACTGACCTGCTTTCTCATTTGCATCGTAAGACAGGTTGTGCTAAGTTCCTTCTGACTCTTACATTCCATGATTACAAGTGTAAATGGTAGAAACAGAATTCACATTAAGGGCATAAAGTTGAGAAACTGAGATTTTCACAGACTTCAACATTATGTTTTTATGCAGCTATTATTAACTGGCTGGAGATCTCTATTCCATTTCCAAATCTACGTCCAAATTAAAAGATTGCTTAGCCATTTTACTAAATCTTGCCATTAAACTACGATAATACATTGCATTAAAAGTTCATAGTTGAAAAGCTTTTTCTCCCTTTTGATGAGTTAATGATGACCAAGTGAAAGTTCTGCATGAGAAAGAACTCTGGTTATTGAACAGAGGAAAGGAATGAAGAGCAAATGTCTTTGAAAATAGCTAAGTCTTCCTATTTCTGGAAAAATGTTTAACTTGTGGCATCATACTAGACTTATAAATTGTTTAATGAAATTCTTTCTAATCCCATGTTCCTGATGACTTAAGGTTAAAAAGAAGGCTTAACTTTTACAAAAACTAATTTTTGAAGTATCATGAAAAAAAATGGAAGGAGGAATGGGTAGGGTCTCTGAATTACTTACTAGTTAATCATTTGGATTTAAGCATTTGGATGATGAACTCTGATGTAATACAATCAATTGATCAACATTCCCTAAAAACTTGCTATGGGTCAGGCACTTACATGCATTTTATTGATTCCTCACAGCCCTATTGCATATTATTAATTTCATTGTATAGGTTCAAAGCAGCTCAGAGAGCTGAAATATGTGCCGAAGATCTCACAACTGATGAGAACAGAACCAGAATTTGAATGTAATTCTGTCTGATAAGGCACACATTCTTTCTCTGCTTTGTATTTGCCACAAAAAACATTTGAGGTATGAATATATAAATGTGGAAAGTATATATTTACTCTTTTTTTCCTGTTCTAAATTAATTTGAAAGGAACAAAACAAGAAACAAATATGCCTGCAATGAATAACAGTTTCATTTAGCCCCTATGTTTCTGACTCCATATCTCTCTCTTCCCTCACCTGTCTGCGAAGGTCTCTTGTCTTCTTACACATGTTGTCTAAAGCAATATTCAGGGTATTACTCCTTTCTTTTTTTCCAGCCTGCAAAGAAGAAAAAACGACATAAGCAATGGTATCAATTAATCTTTATCACTTAGCAATTTGCTTTCTAAATTTCCTGAAAATAACAGCTTGAAATTCAAGAATAGGTTTCAAAACTGCTATATTATATATGATTCATGAGCATTTCACTTAAGACTAAGTAGAATGGTGATTAAAGCTCACATTATTTTCATCTTTATGCTTCTGTAATATTTCCGATACGGAGTTAGGTTGTATTCAGTGTGACAATAGGCAGAGCATTATCTTCATGAAACTCTGATCTTCATTTTTAACAAGTCAAATCTTAAATCACTAAGCAGGCAATTAGCTTAAAAGCATTAGATGCCCAATTTGTCAACTTCTGTGGGAGTTTCTAAAGTCATTTCCATGGTGTATTGTGTAAGTTATGCAGAGCCATATTGGAATTTTGCTAAACACTAAATAAAGTATGCAGTGCAAATTCATACAATTTGCAAAAGTTGACCACAATTTTAGCTGACAATATTCCAAGAACAAATTGTTTTAAGTAAGAACTGGACGCTGTTTTTGGCTCTTTAAGATAATTTGTGCAACACCTTTTTATTCTTTGAGCAGAACAGCTCTCTGTTATATCCTTAACCTAAATCTTTAGGCTATTAAGCACATAGAGAGTCACCTTGGTTGGTATTTTCTACATATTATTTTTGTGCAAGACAACTGGATTAAATCTAATCATACTTTTTGCAGTGATATCTCACATAAAAGAGATTGGAAAAATCATTATGTGATTCACCTCTAGGAAAATTGCTGCTGTTTAAATTAATAAACTGAAAAGGGATCTTGAGAGAAGACCTTGAAAATCAGGAAGGCAAGTTTAAGCAGCTGATAACTGAAGGGGGTTACAGCACGAACTCAATGAAAAAGGACACTGAGGCCAAGTATAAACCACGAGGAAGCATGTCTGACACTTTCCCCAATGACTAAACTCATGCATAAACCCATACCCTGCAGTGGACTCCCTAACAAGAAATTTAAAAACTCTCTATACTCTGTCCTAACCTACTTTTTTACTCTTATGTACTGCTATATACTCTCCTTTACAGTAGCAATATTCCTATAATTTTCTGTCTCTTCTCCCCAGTTCTTACATGTAATGTACCTTTGATTTCAGAGATCATCTTCTAAAACACCTACTGAAGTCCTATCTACTCCTCACTGGTTTCTACAGGGAGTTCTTCCAACAACCCTGCTCAAAAGTAAAGTCTCACTTTTCCTTTTTCCAACAGCATTTTGAGTGTTTTTCAATATAATCATTTTATTTATGTGCATCCCCCTTATGATACTGTTAGAATCCTGATATTGGCAAATATATCTCAATTTTTTTTCTATTCCTGATAGTAACTTACATAGGACTTATCAAATAGAGTTGACTAGACTATAAATGAGCAATTTAATTCAAAACACAACATAGTTTGATTAGAGGCCTACTGTTTTCCAGGAAGGTGTCATTCTAGAGACTCTGGAGGAGATTTTAGCATTTAGCTCTCAAGGCACAGCTAAAGTTCTCTATGAGCTGAGGTTGCTGGTATCTACCTCAAACTCAGGTCAACCTATATTTTCCCAACAGCAGTGTTACTGATATTTAAAGTGTGAAAAATGGCCATCATTGGAGATCATTCGATACACTGCAAGATATCTGGCATTCGTGGACCCAGGTCTGCTAAATTCAATACCAAATCTGGCGCACTGTGACAGCCAAAAATTGGCACCACATATGTTCAGCTGCCTCCTATAGGAAGACACAGTAGAAGGCCAGTAAGTCTTTACCATGTTTTAGTTTCTTATAAAGAGATTGTGGAATGTGTACACCATGGAAACTGTGTCTAGGGAAGAGAGAAGTAAGAAAAGGGAAATAGGAGAGATTTGGTTAGGTTATTTCTATGAGCACTAATAACATTCTGGATATCAGAGCAATGGCAGCAATTACACAGATGAAAGTTGTGGCTACCTTCACAGCTCCTACTCAGCATTCTCTATGCTAGCAGTGGGGAATTATGAAGAGCTAACTCATGACTATACAGGACAATGGCATAAACAGATACACAATGAGCTCTCAGACAGTTTATAATTTTACCTAAAGAACCCAGCCCTTATTCTCTAGCTTCATGCAGTGTTTGCTCTTGGTTGTATCGCTTTCCACTTCATGAAAGCAGAGATAATAAAAAAGAGGCAGAAGTGGGACAGACAAAGAGACCTCCTACACACACACACACACACACACACACACACACACATGCACACACACACACACACACACAGTATCAGGAATAATATGGGAGACTCCTGTTGTGTTGGCTGTAAAAACCCGCTAGCTTCTGTGGTGTGATTCATCAGAACAACTAAAAAATGTCAGCTTTCTCAGAGCTAGCAGCAGAAGCATACCAAACTTTAAATAAAGGATGACAGGAGGTGACAGCACAAAGAGATTCAATAGGAACTATAAAAATTATTCCCTAATTTCTACCCAGAGCTTAACCCTAGTTTAAAATGTTTCACTGGGTCAAAGACATTTCATTGTCTAGGCAATAATAAACAGTCCCTATCATGACAGGAAGTTTAAAGGTCTCCCTTCTTGCTTTTTTCTCCCTTGATCCCCTATCCCCAACCACAATCACCTTTCTACTTTTTCACCTCCGGCTTTTTATTGGATCCTTGCTCTATTTATCTAGATTTATTTGGCTTCAGTCAAGCCATTTTATGCCTCTTTATTCCTTTTGCATAGCATAAAAATAAATAAGGCAAGGAGAAATAGCCCCGTCCTGCTTAAAGGCCCTCATTCCTTCTTTTTTCAAAGCCTTAACAAATCATCAATGAGCTCGGACTAAAGGTGAATTCTGTGTTCTGAGACAAGAGATGGAAATGGCAGGATATTAAAACACAACTGCAGATAACAGTCAGAACCTGCCTATATCCCGAGTGCTCAGAAAAGAGACTGCTCCTTAAAGAAATCCTTGACAGAAGCCATTATTAAGTCAGCAAATCCCTGCTAATGGAAAAGGGACCACTTACAGTGGAGTGTCAGGCAGATAGACACTCACATGGCACAGGTCAGCACTGTATAGGGAAAGCAGTCACATTCTTCATCTGTAAACAAACTGCCAAGAAAGACTTTATTAAAAAAAAAAATTCTGGGCCGAGTGCGGTGGCTCAGCCTGTAATCCCAGCATTTTGTGAGGCCAAGGCAGGTGGATCACCTGAGGTCAGGAGTTCAAGACCAGCCTGGCCAACATGGTGAAACACCATCTTTACTAAACATACAAGAATTAGCTGGGCATGGTGGCGCATATCTGTAATCCCAACTACTTGCGAGGCTAAGGCAGGAGAATTGCTTGAACCCAGGAGGCGGAAGTTGCAGTGAGCCGAGATCGCGCCACTGCACTCCAGCCTGGCAACAGAGCAAGACTCCATATCAAAAAACATTTAAATAAAAATAAATAAAATAAAATAGTAAATAAGAAATAGACAACCAAAAAATCCCAACCCTCAAAGTGCTTACTCCCTAGTGGAGAAACATAAGGTCTAATTATGTCCCTCCTTTGCTCTAAAACCCTTCACTGTATCCCTACTGATGAAATTAAGAACAAAGTCTTGATCATTGTGTTCAAAGCCTCATATAATCTACTTCTGTATTTACTAAACCACTAATAAGACACCTTAATGGGTCTTTTCTATTCTCTGCAATATGATTACAACTCAAGAACTCTGCTAGTATAAATACCTCTCTTTTCATTTCTTGTCTCTTACTTTTCTTGTTATGGACTCCTTCCTTCCTTCCTTCTTTCTTTTCTTTCTTTTCTTTCTCTTTCTTTCTTTCCAAATGTTTTGTTCTGTTGCCCAGGCTAGAGTGCAGTAGTGCCATCTCGGCTCACTGCAACCTATGCCTCCTGGGTTCAAGTGATTCTCCTGCCTTAGCCTCCTGAGTAGCTGGGATTACAGGTGCCTACCACCATGCCTGGCTTATTTTTTTTTTTGTACTTTTAGTAGAGGTGGGTTTTCACCATGTCAGCCAGGCTGGTCTTGAACTCCTGACCTCAGGTGATCCTCCTGCCTTGGCCTCCCAGTGCTGGGATTACAGGCATAAGCCACTGCACCTGGCCTGGTTATGGACCTCTTTCAAGGTATAACTCAGTTACTAAATTTTACATAGAGCCTTTGTTGATCTTCTCATTTGCAATTAATTACTCTCTTCCATGATACTTTCTTATAGTTCTTATACTTCTTTTATAACACTTGGTTTAATAAATAGGTCAACATAGTCAACAAATCTTTATCATCTACTATATGCGGGACACCATGCTAAGAACTAGTCGCTGCCTTTCAGGTGCACAAATCTAGTGATAGACATAAACACAGTAGTTTATAGAGGTACCTAGGATAACACATGGATTGATGAGAGCAGCACTCTCAATAATGATGAAGGAAGCATTCTTGAGTAGGTAACAATTGAGTATTACAGGATATATAAAAGTCAGCCAGGTGAAGAGAAGAGAAAAAGCTTATCAGGGACAGGTATAGCCTGAGCAAAGGTAAAGGTCCTTAAAGATTATTTGGTTATTAGTAAAAGTGTTAGGAGAGGCCTGATCCTGGAGGTCTTTGCTATGCCAAGAAATGAGCTTAACCCTATAGACAACTGGGAGTCATAGAAGTTAAGAAAATGAATGATACAATCAGTCCATTATATCAAACCGGCTGTGGAGTCTGCACAATGGATTTGAGGAGATGACAAGCAGAAATAGAAGCATTAAATGGTCACAGTAATAGTCCACAGAGAGATGAACAGTGTTGAAACTAATGCAATGGCAGTCAGGATAAAGAAAAACCACAGACTTAAGGACTCTATAATAGAGTAACCTGGGTAGGAGGATGACTGGCAGATGCTGGCAGGTGAAGGAAAGAGAACAATCTAGGCTGATGTCCTGGTTTCCAGCAGTGACAGCTGGCTAGATGATGGAGTTGTGAACTGAAATTGTCATTTCAAGGAGAAAGCCAGGTCAACACAAGGATGATGATTTCAGCCTGGGAACTGCTGAAGGGCTCATAAAGAGCTCATTTCATTAGTATTTGTCCTATGCTTAATTACTTACCTGAATGTGTCTTTCTCACTAGATGGTATGATCCTTGAAATATAAAAATATCTTACATATATTTTGTCCCTCAAAGGATCTAGCACAGTGCTTTGCACATAGTAGGGGCTCAACAGTTATTTGTTAAATAAATAGAGAAATAGAAGACTGGATAAGGTTTTGGCAGATCCCATTACGTTTCTGGGCCTTAATTTCCAAACCCATAAAATGAATATTTGTCCTAAATTGTTTCTATATTCCTTTCTAACTTTAAAATTCTATGAAAGGGCCATGTTCTCTAAAAGGAAGAATTGTAGAATAATATGTTACTTTTATTGCACAATTTCTTGCATAAACAGCCATTGAAAATATGTCAAAACATGTGTGTGTAATACGAAGCTGAAAATAAAAGGAGACGTTTGAAATAGGAAGGCCATGATGCTCACCCTATAAATTATGAAGCCTCAAACACTAAGAGATGAGGTTTAAAGCAAATAAAAATTTATCTAATTCATAGTCAAATGAAAATCAGTGCAGAGGAGCCCTGTGTGGAATTCAAACAGCAGGAAAATGTTTTTTGTTGTTGTTTTTGTTGTTGTTATTGTTATGTTTTATTTTTGTTTTGTAAGTGTGTGCCATTTTATTCAACCTTTTAAAATGATGCATTTTCCTTTTAATGGTAAAAGATGAAATATGATACCCTTAAACTTAGTTCTTCTCTAAAGAAATTGCTTGAAAAATAGTTTATGCTTAGCACATAGCACAGGCACAGATTCTAGTCTACATTTTTCAGGCATGAAAGACACACAAACAGACAAGTATAAGAAAGAAAAATGAAATCTCTCCTTCTAGAATACCACTGTACTGAATGGCGTATCAGGAAGACACCTGATGGGGCATGCTAAATGATCTGTCAGAAATAAGGTCTATAATGTGAAAATACAACTAAAACAAGCCAAAAATTAACTCTGAGTTTTGAAATGAGGTTTTTAAAAATTAACCATATAAGAATAGAATGATTTAGCTAACAGAGGAAGTAGGATGAAGACTACAAATGTCTTGAACTTTTGTATTGTTTGGGAAAGTAAGATGCCATCCCCATGTAGATGCCTGCTGGGGTATGTCTGGAAGTCAGTGAGAGGGAAACAACATTGTGTCAAATGTCTACCACATATAATAAGTACTTTACACGTACTGTCTCAACTGCTGTTCACAATAACTCTACACACATTTGTATGTGAAGACACTGAGGTTCAGTAAATTTAAATGTCCTGCCTCTGGAGGACACACAGTAAATTGTGTGTCAGGTAGAACTGTGTCCCATCTCAGACTTAAGCCACCATACCATGACAACTTGAAGCCACTGTAACTTAAACTCAATATATCTGTTATGTAAGCTTTATAAAAGTATTTATAAAATATAATGAGCAGAATATAAGTTTGTGGAGCCAGTTGAAATTGTATTCTAATCAGCTCCATCACCTGACAGCTTTATGTCTTTGAACAAGTGACTTAATCCTCAAAGTCTTAGTTTCTTTGCCCATAAAGTGGAGATAATATAAAATCTATATTACAAAGTTGTTATAAGGAATAAAAGGATAAAGGGTATACAAAGCTGGCAAATAGGAAGGGTTCAAGAAATGTTAGCAGTTATTATTAGACATATCATTGGTGTTACCAATGTCACACTTGGGTTTCTTGAACTAAACCAACTGGCTGATTTCCCTGTGCTTTTTCAAACACCAGCCTTGTCCTGGAATGCCCCCATCTCTTCTTGTTCAACAGGAAAATTCTTAATTCATAATCTGAGACTCAGCTCAATTGTCTCATTCTCTGTATCACCTTTTCTGACCCTCCTCAATTTTGCTATAAAAATTTAAAGTTACAAATCATCTCATTTGTTCTTTCATTAATCTCTTCATATATTTCCACTATATCTGTGAGACTTTTGTTATCTTTTATTTATACTCTGCCTCATCTTCTACACTGACACTTCTTAAATCTGTCATTTGTATCTACTATAACACCTGAAACTCAATTAATGGATGTGGGTAAAATGAATAAATGAAGAATTGTTAACCATACTTCTAATAAGTAATATTCAAGCTATATTATTAATACATTGAGTGTTTGTATTTTTAACAAAAATAATATCTATCCTATTAGTTATTAAATATTTTATTAAATCAGTGTTTTTATTCAAAGACTGCTGTTATTATTACCTATAAGTAGTACAATATAAACTTGGTATGAGGATAAAAATCTAACCTGTGAATCAGAAAATGGGGTTTCTAAAATAAGCTCTCTGGTTGACCTTAACTAGGATGAATCACCTCTCTTGTCCTGTCTCAAATGTCCTTAGCATGCATAAAAGGAGGCCATTACACTAAATGATCTTTAGGGTTCCTCTGAACTCTAACAGTGTGTGGCATTAGAGTTCTCTGTTGGTATCTAGTCTAGTAAATAACTAATTAAGTACTGAGAACACTACACTCCAGCTTGTTGCCTGTGTTCTCAGACCAGAGATACTCACGCCAGAATACAGAATTTTAACCGATATTCACCAAACATGAAATAAACATTCATGGGTTTGCACTACAAAAAGAAAATCAAATCATTTTTCTGAAGATGTTACTCACAGGTATCAATATAAACTATGACTTTGTCTTTTAAAGGTGTTTCCATGAAGAGTCAATCATATATCTGAAATATAGATATCTAGGCCAAAGTTCATAAATCCTTCAATATCAATTAATGATTAAATTGCACATTATGTCTTTACTGATATTTTAATTCCAAAACTTTTTTACTGAGTCACCATCAGAGGATCTGGAGTAAGATCTGACTCATTCTAGAAATCCTTTTGGTTTTGTGATGCCTGACCCAGCAGCCAGCTTTAGAAAAGTGCCTACCCCTGAAGAAAGCAGCTGTGATGCTAATATAAAAGCGTCTGTACGAACGTGGAGAAATGCAATATTTTATGCTGTCGATTACACTGTGAGCTCCTGTGAGCTCATATGGCAACGACTTTGTCTACAATATTCAGAACCACTACCAGAGTCTAATAAGCAATGACATAGCATTACACACATAGACCAAATAAATTATTTTCCCGCTTTTAAATAGAATCACCATTTTCTGGCAATTTTTCTGTCTCCACCATGTTTTTGGAGATAGAGAATCAGAAAACCACTGATCTTGTAAAAATTTTATTGTCTGCCATTCCTCCAGTTTCTTAAGTCTAATTCCTACTCTGTTTCCCAAGCCAGGTTTTCATAGTTTAATAATACTCAGTATGTCAAACTTCAGCCAACAGTGGGTTTTATGGCGTTTGAATAATAGACTGTCAAAGTATTTCCATAGCCTTTACATATGGCTATGGAAAGTCTATGAAACTTAGAACAGATAGACTTCCACGATTCTGGTTATTGTTTTCACTTTCACAGTGAACTGTAATCTGTGTCTTGCAGACATGTTTATTTTTAACACCATAAAATAAGAATACAATGGATGTATTCTTTGCTGATTAACATAAATATTTTCTATCATTTCTTTCCTAAATTAGCACTTTCAAGGTTCATAACGTGAAGAGTTTCATATTCTAAAGCATGTGAGAAAGTTAAATTAAAGCCTCCACTTTAAAGAAACTTGGCATATAAAAATTTTTCCTTCAAGATAAATTAGTAGGTAATAATTTTCTTTACAATAGGATGCATAAATATATTCTTTTATAGCAGTCCTCTTAGCCTATTGAAAATATTATTTGTTATGAAACTTGATTTGTGCAGACATCTTAAATTTTTAAAAATCTCATAAACAGGATCTAACTTATATACTGTCAGAAGAAATACAGATCTATATGGCATTACTTGAGAGGTACCAGTGGCTTCTACTCAAAGATAGTCTCTCCCTTTTTTCTTCCATTGCCAGATTCTAATATTTGAAAATCTCCATCTAATATTTGAAAATTTCCATTCTTCTTTATTTCATTAAAAAACTTTAGCTTTAACTAAATACATATAGGGCATTCCTCATTTCTGTGCCAGACCAAGATAATGATTTTCAAAAGAAATAATCAAAAACCACTACTTGGCTCTGAATAAAACCTCACATCCATAATAAAGGTATAAAGGTCAAAACATGTGGAGATTAGGGAAGGTTTATTGGAGAGGATTTATATAAAGAATCTGGAATTCCCATTCTCCTCCCTACTTTCTCACTCCATAGTCTAGAAAGAGACACTTCAATGGAACATTTAAAAGCAAAGTCCCTGGCAGCTGAGATTCAGTGGACACTTGTGAACTCTCTCCCAAGAAATCTAACTAGTGAAAGGAGGTCGGCTACTTGCTGATGAATAAGCAGAAAAAGATGTGAATGAATTCCAACATTTGAGCATTTTTCATGGTCCAGATATGGGCCTTATGCTAAAGACAGCTGGTCTGGGGTCACCTTGTTTTTTTGTTTGTTTGTTTTGTCCAAGGCTATTGCCTAGATCAGTAAAATAGAGAAAAGCTACAAGGAGTTATAGAAACATCTGGATTTCATAAATAAGCAGTCAGCTGCAGAAGAAGATATCACTCACATTAAGTGAACTGCAGGTCAGATGCAGACCTCCAAGGAACCCTCAAAATCACCTGTGACATCAACTTGATTGGGTTAAAAGATACCTAGGTAACTGGTAAAACATTATTTCTGGGTATTTCTGAAGCTGTTTTCAGAATAAAATTCGCATCTGGATAAGTAGACCCAGTAAAGAACAAAATGCCTCCACCAAGGTGAACAGGCATCATCTAATCTGTTGAGGGGCTGGGTAGAACAAAAAGACAGAGGAAGGACAATTTTGCTCTCTCTTCTCCAGCTGTGACATGCATCTTCTCCTGCCCTCAGAGCTCTCCTGGTTCGCAGGCTTTCAGACATCAGGACTTATGCCAGCACCCTCCCTCACCCCTTAACCTTGTACTAAGCCTTTGGCCTTGGACTGGGAGTTACACCATTGGCTCCCCTGGTTCTCTGGCCCTCAGATGGGGACTGAATTATACCATTGGCTTCCCAAGTTCTCCAGCTTGCACACAGCAGATCATGATACTTCCTCACCTTTATAATCACATAAGCCAATTCCCATAATAAATCTCCTCTTATATATGTATCCTATTCGTTCTGTTTATCTGTAGAATCCTGGCTAATATTTTATCTGTGCCAGATTTTTTCCATTTGCCCCTTTGGATCCACTCATCACCTTTTTTCACCACACTCTCTTCCCCCAACCCCCAGATATCACAAAAATTGTTCCATGTTTTCAGGTGAGCTTGTGCAAAGCAAGGGATAGGCAGGGAGGAGGAGAGTAGGGTTGAAAGATTTATTTTCTTGTTGCCATTCCAGGTAGTTGCTGTAAGTTGGTTGTGTCTGTCTACTGAAGACCACAACTCCTGGCAGAAGTCTTCTTCCTACAGCCACCCTGTCTTGTTCTATGACCCACTCCCTCCCCTTGATCCTACAGGCCTGGGAGTGGGCAGAGCTCCCTGTAGTTGCAGGCCTAGGGTCTTGCTCTATCCCTTATTGAGTCCCTCAAGCCTTGTTCATAGCTATATAAATAGGCCCTTTAATATACTCTCCTCAAATTACCAGCTTGGGGCACTGTTTTTTTTTCTCTTGCTGGGACCCTAACTGATACAGCAAGTTTATGGGAAAAGTCAGCCTTCAGAAACCTGAGAGCTAGAAATAACTTTTATGTTCCCTTCAGCTCTCCTTCCTCCTCTTGCTTCTACCCCAGAAAAGGGGAGAACAATAATAAAAAGCAATTAAGTTCTCTTTCAACTGCTGGTTTCCTACCTACAATAGGTCTAAGCTGTGGAAAATCAGCCCAATTGAAATCAAGGTATAAGTTTTGACAGTTATATTCTAGTTATTGATTAGAAGAGAGGGACTGGCACAAAAGACTGAAGGTAACTAGAAAAGTTTGGCCATTGATTGACTTTTCAGCCAGGGTGAAGGGAATAATTTACCCAACTGTATAAAATCAATGAGACAAGAAACAAAAATATAATAACTTCATTTTACCTGTTTTTTAAACATCTTAGTTATTTTAGTTTTAAATTCCAAAAGCTACCTTGGAAACATCCCACATATGAAATATGCATTATTGGGGGAAAATACAGTAGAAAGAAGAGAGTTTGTTAAGAAATATGTAGAATATTGACCATTCTTAGAGGGCAGGCCTGACAGTGGTGTTCAAGTCAGTTAAGTGGAAAGAAGGGCATGAAAAGGAGGACAACCTAAGGGCAAAGTCCAACTCTACAGCGCTGTCTCAGACTTACTCAGAGCCCTGATCACAGGATGATGCAAATTTAAAATTCACAATGCAACTTCAAAGAAAATCCTTCTCTATTCAAAGTGATATTCCTAAGACTAATTCCAAGTACATCTTTCTAAGTTCCTTTTTTCCTGCAAAATACTGATGTGGAGAAAAAATTAAAACCTCTACTTAGTGAGTCAGAGGAGAGGCGATTCCTACTCCTAACTTTTCCACTTCCTAGATGTGTGAACTTAAGCAAATCACACAGTTTCTGTGGGTCTCAGTTTCCTCTTCTGTAAGATGGCGTGTAGAAACAGATGTGTTGATGTCTCGATCAGATCTGATCACTATGTACTAAATGTTACTATTGGTGGTGTTCATTGCCTCTCGGTGGTATTTCCCTACAGGAAAGAGCATTTTTATTTTACTCTATAAGAGAAAATATTATTAGAGTAATACCCCCTGGTTCGCTGGTCTGTCTGGGTAGCACAACTTACTTAGGGGGTGAGGTTGGACAGAAGTTGGAGACGACTTATTCACAGCTTTATCTCTATTGGGCTTTTCTCTTTCTCCTTCTGCCTCTGTCTCTCCTTCCTCTCCGGGAAGTGCTAAATAAGTTGTCTTTAATGTAGGGAGGAAGGAGTAGCAAGCCCCTTTATGACCAAGACCTATCCCCTTGTCTAGTTTTGTTAGTTCTAGTTCCTGTAGTTCGAAGGGGAGGAGGGGCAAGTGACAAGCCACAACTAACGCACAGAAGTCGGTAGAAATTGGTAGCAAAAGATATTCTTGTTTTCATTTCAACCAGCAAGATTTAAAATGAAGTATCATTCTGGTTACAGGACTTATAATAGATACATGTTTCACCACATCCTTGCAAAAATGCAGATTTAGTGAGTGATTCTTCTACAATCAATGTGCAGAGATTTCTAAAGTAATTCAGTAAACTGTAATTAATGTTATTGAACAGAGCCTGGAGAACACCCATGTATCTGAGAGACAGAACTAAATACTGTCTATGCAAAAAGAATCTATAAAATAACCATTTGAAACACACTTATGTATCCAAAGCTGTTACTACCACTATTTTACCATGTTTTCAATAAATATATATGCTATTCTTCATCTTAGGTTTACAAGTCAAACTAGGAAACATCTATGTTTCATTATTAATTAGCACTGAACAAAACTCAGTAAATTTCACTTAATCAATGATATCATCTAGTTTGATTCAGAGGGGTTCAGAATCTTAAGTGTTAGACTTTTATTTCTTTAATGACCACCACCCTCCTTCCCAAGGGTCAACGTTCCCCCTCACTGAGTGGGTGCAAACTGACATACCCATCAGAAAAGATGGGCATTTGGAGAGCCATAAACTAAGCCTCTCTGAGCAGGGTGATTTGGACAGGGTGCTATATATCAGTTCCAGGCGCCAGGGAGGACTGATACAGCAGCACAAAGCTCCCGATGAAGCACAGCCCAGTTGCAGGAGATTGCTGTGATGATAATCGCCAGAACAAACCATAAATTCTGGACTCAGAATTAGGAATGGCCTGTAAACATCAAATAATGGGTGTCTAAATTGAAAATGAAACTATTTGTTGCCTGTAATATTTCTTGCAGTGTGGCTCAGAGAGCCAGTAACATTCGAGACAAGCGTGATCTTTTTCAATGTCTGTTGTTAGAAAGCTGAGGATATTAACTCCTCCTTCCATCAACCCCAGGGAAACAGAGCTAAATGAACTAGCTAGAAATCATGGGACATAAAATATAGATTTAACATTATGCAGCAAGAACATTACAGGTTAAAAAAAAAAGAACAGAGAAATACAAGTACTGCATTGAAGAACCATACTGGCGAGCACTGAAGGAACAGGCTCAAATAGTTTACTCAGGGCCCTTTCACACTCACTCATATACATTATAAAATGAAACTTGACTTTCTTGCATCTGGTTTAAGGGGGTGCCAGTCAACCTGGTGAGAATCTAGATTATACAACCACAGACATGACATTTGGGGATCCATAATAATTGCAGATTGGGAGATAGGTACTTGATGGATTTTTTAAGGCACTTTATTAAATAGGAAGAATCGTGTCTAATAAGCACAGTTTTAATTTAGTAAGATCTTTTGTTATAATAACAAGTGCATTGTTACAAGTGTTACAAGTACATGAACAAATATTTTTCTCCTGCCATTTTATAAATAAAACATATTTTTGCTCTATTTATCTGCTTACTAAACCTTTTTTTTGTTTATTTGTTTGTTTTGTTGTTGTTTTTTAAGTCTCACTCTTCTCGCTGAGGCTGGAGTGCAGTGGTGCGATCTCGGCTCACTGCAACCTCTGCCTCCTGGGTTCAAGTGCTTCTCCTGACAGCCTCCCGAGTAGCTGGGATTACAGGCATGCATCACCACGCCCGGCTAATTTTTGTATTTTTGTTAGAGACAGGGTTTCACCATGTTGGCCAGGCTGGTCTTGAACTCCTGACCACAGATAATCCACCCGCCTCAGCCTCCCAAAGTGCTGGGATTACAGGTGTGAGCCACTGTGCGCGGCCACCTTTGTTCTTATCAAAAGAAATGAAAGCCAAGATGCATAGATTAATGACATCTAAATTCACGAAAATTTACCAAATTCATGAAATTACTGTTACTCCTGCTAAATCAATGTACACATATACTCCATTTGACCAAGATCTTTTTTTATATATAATAACTTGTGGAAGAACAGAAGATATTGATTCTTGTGGGTTCTAGGTACTGTAATTAATAGAATATTTTCCATGTGAGTATAGGCGGATATTGTGTATGAAGTAGTTAAATAGTAATGTGACGTGGGGATAGTGATATTCAAAATGTTTAACAAACAGAAGTGCAGAAGTGCCTGAGCACCAGCACTCCCCTGCATGGACAAGGGGCATTTGGGAGCTAAGGGCAGCAAGATAGGATCTATTTGAGTATCATCCATAGAAAAGTATGTATTTAAGAAATCAGTGTTCAGGTAGGGCAGGATACTGAATGTTAGCTCAGCAGTACTCTCGCTGAGCAATTGCTGATGGAGGAGTGAAGGGAAAATATATTAAAAATGACACAGAGGACATGCAAGGCATAACGGGGTGCTCTTTATAAACATTGTGCCTCAATTAAGAGGTGTCTCAATGAAAAGAAAATTCCCTATCTCCAGGACTATGACTCTATAGACTAAAAATACTCAAGTTAAAGAAAGCTAACAGATAAAAATATTATTTCTGGCTGGGTGTGGTGGCTCATGATTGTAATGCCAGCACTTTGGGGTGCCCAGGCGGGTGGATCGCCTGAGGTCAGGAGTTCAAGACCAGCCTGGTCAACATGGTGAAACCCTGTCTCTACTAAAAAATACAAAAATTACCAGGCGTGGTGGTGCACATCTGTAATCCCAGCTACTCGGGAGACTGAGGAAGGAGAATCGCTTGAGGCAGAGGTTGCAGTGAGCCGAGATAACAGTGAGCCGAGATTGCACCACTGCACTCCAGTCTGGGCGACAGAACAAGACTCTGTCTCAAAAAAACCGTTTCTCAATTAACAAGTAAAGGTGTAGCCAATATGTTGCAGAGAATATGAGAGACAAAGGCTAAAGAGTATCAATAATATAAACAACAATAATATCAAATGTTAATGGTTTACTTATAATGTGCCAAGGCCTGGACTAAGTAGTCTATAAACATCATTTTACTGAATGCTTTCAATGGCCCCATTAATTACTGGTAATTATATTTTTGTGGTATGCCATAACTAATCTTATTATATGAGTATATTATTCTCATCTTAGGATACAGTATTGGTCATTCCAACCACATATTTTAATCGTCTTAACAGAATTTGGACCAAAGAATATCTTCATGTCCAAACCAAACTCATGACCTTCCCACCAAAACGTGGATCCCCTCACTGTCAGCCGTGAAGTGCCATAAGCCCAAAATCTAGAAGTTGCCCAGACTCCTGCTTATCCCTCCAATTGTACATCAAAACCTCTTATTTACTTCTAGAATCCATTCACTTTTACCTTTACCATCGCCATTACCTCAATTCTTTATTGCTTAAATTAATCTCATTATTCCCTAATTGGCCTACCTGTTACTTTTTACCCTCCCAGTGTTCAAGTTAATGTCCTAGCCCCCACTCTACAGCCAGTGTGATCTTAAAATAAACAAATAAACAATTAGAATTTCTCTTTGTGTGATACCCATTTGTTTAAAATCCCTCTGTTTACAATATGCTCCTCTGTTTAAAACTCCATTTAAAACCCCTTAACGGGTTCCCTTTGAAGGATTTTAAACAGGGAGTCAAATCCTTAACACATCCTAAAGCTCCTGTATGATCTGGCCTCTGCCTAACCATCTCTCCAGCTCCATCTCAAGCCACCTCTTCTCTTTACTCTTTGTGTTCCAACCATTATGGCTTTCCAGATAGTTAAACATGTCATTCCCTTCTTCTCCACAGGGCTCTGGTCATACTGATCCCTCAATTTGGAATTATTTTCCCATTCTTTACCTCCTATATTCTTATCCTGGTTATTTCCTACTCATTCTTCCAATCTCAATTCCAATGCCACTTCTGCCAGAAAGCCTTCCCAAACTCAGCACTTACAAATGCTTAACACAGCTTGTAATGATAAACTCATTTTTTGTAATTAATTGATTAATGCATCTCTCCCCCAATAGATATGAAAATACTAGCAGGGAAGAGGAATAAATCTGCTTTTATTCACTGCTCTCCTCACCCCCAGCATGTGGCATATGCCAGACACTCAGAAGCCTTCATAATTAAGTACTGAATCAGTTAGTGAATTAATTACTTGTTTTTATAAGAATACTGAGGATTTTTAGATAGGCCTCCTTACAATCAAGGTTTTCTCATCAGAGTTAGCAGTAGTTTGTGAAAGATACTGTCTTATCAAAGCTCATTTCTATATCGTTGGGTTATATACTATACTTATGCACTATAATCCGTATACATATAACTTGTACAACTGCAAAGTGTATAATATTTCACTGAAAAGATATAACATCATATGAGGAAAAACACCACTTCTATAGAACTATTTTGTAAAATAATTTTTAAAGACTCATAAATTATAAGTCATGATGACACATTTACCTACAGAAAATATTTCATCATTTGCATGAATAGCTTTAATATGCCACATGCTGATTTAAAATATCTTACTCTCTAAAAAAATATAACCTCCTTTAACATTTACCTTGTAAAAGAATCATTTTTTTTCTGAAAATGGGTAATCTACATTTGGTCCTGTCTTGAGGTTAGAAAAGACATTTGAAGTTAACAATTATTTGTAAGAACAACTATCGTCATGATGTCTACTAATATTCCTCGTATTTCATTATTTTCCATTTGTGATTCAGCATCAATAATTCAGATAAAGCATATTTTTTAAGTGTCCTAGAGTATTATTTCTCAAATCTTAATTTGCATAAGAATCTCCTAGAAGAGCTTGTTAAAATGTAGATTCTAATTATTTATGTCTAGGTGGGGCCTAAAATTCTCTATCACCCACAAGCTCCCAGGTGGTACTCACACAGCAGGTACACAGACCACAGTTTGAGTAGCAAGGATGTAGAGTAAGTGGAATACTCCAATCTAAATCCAACACTGTTCAGATACCCAGCATTTTCTGTTCTTTTGCTTTTGGCTTTGAGTTCTGGCACACAACTCTATACAATCCACTTAATGTTGTGAATGCCAAGAATCAAAAGTCAATTACCACTTGGCAACATGTACAAACTTTCTGTTTTTAAAATATCAAAATCTATGCTGGAGTAGTAGCTGTAATATTAGGCAAAATCAGAGATGATATTATCAGGAGTAATTATAGTATTCTAAAACAAACTTCTAAAGATTGCCTCATCACCTAGGTCTGGACAGAAGTTTGATTAAAAGCCACTCTATTTAGGTAATCATCTTCTCTAGAAGTTTACAGAGATGTTGAAGTGTTTTCAATTATGGCTTTTTATTGGCCAGTAAAGTATGGGAGACAAAAAAATCTTAATAAATATGTACAGAAATCACTTTGTTTTATAAATGTTGAAACTAAGTCAGAAACTTACCAAAATTAAATAGCTAGGTAATGATAGGGCTATGAGAATTAGGTTTGTAATCTATTTGTGTTGGATGTCCAATGGTAATCCACAGGTGTAATGAGGTTTTGGGGGGAGTAGGTTTTTGTTTCATTTTCTTGTTTGTTGTTTTAAGACAGAGTCTTCACTCTGTCACCCAGACTGGAGTGCAATGATCACAGCTCACTGCAGCCTCGACCTTCCCAGGTGCAGGTGATCCTCCCACCTTAGCCTCCTGAGTAGCTGGGACTACAGGTGCACATCACCACACCCAGAAAATTTTTTTCTATTTTTTATAGAGATGGGCTTGTGCTATGTTGCCAGGCTGATGCTGAACTTCTGGGCTCAAGTGATCTGCCCACCTCGGCCTCCCAAACTGTTAGGATTACAGGCATGAGCCACTGCAACTTTATATCCTGAAATTCCTACCATGAAACTGGCTTCCAATATTTTTTTTTTGCTTAAAGTAAACTTGTCTAAATAATATTTACCTACTTGTCCAGTATCTATTATACACCAGGAACTATGCTATTCCTCTGTATAGGTATTTTATCTAGTTTAGTAGCCACTCTGAAATTGATTATTATTATTTACCTTTATAGTCAGATAAATTACAATGTTTTCATAAGTGGTGGAGTTCACATTCATTACACTTTACTATACACTATGTATTTGAAATGTTTATAAGTATTTTTAAACATTTTATTGTAACTTTTTTTTAACTTGAGCTGTTATTGAGATGTCTCTTAAATAGACTTATGATATCTGCTGCATTGTTGTGTCAGTACAGTCATAATTCTGCAACTACATAAAGAACAATTCTATTTATTCCTTGTACTGGGATCACACCCTTGGCCTTTCTCCATACTGGAATTATATCAGCTTGGTTTTCTCATTAGCTATTAGTCACAAATATAGCAATACACAAGCAAATTTGGAATTTTGAGTCACTGAATTCAAACTTTCCCCCTCACCTTCTGCTGAGGCTTCCACTTAATTACAGACTAGTACGTTTTAATACTAAGCATTTAAGATTAAATTACCTGGCCAGAAATAGATCCTGAAAAGGCTGGTTAAAGCAGAACTAGGGCATGGTTTAGACAGACACAGAGGCAACATGAAAAGAAAATTCAAAATGTAAATAAGCCCCACAAAACTCGAGTAAGATGCTTCAAATGTGGGGCCTTAAACAACCACCATCCTTTACATAACAAGTTGGGAAAATGTCATAGATAAAAATCAAGTACAGGAATACCTCAAAGATATTCGGGTTCAGTTCCATACCAACACAGTAAAAGAAATACTGCAATAAAGCAAGTCACATGGGTTTTTTGGTTTCTCAATGCATATAAAAGTTAAGTTTACACAATACTTTAGCCTCTTAAGTATGCAACAGCACTCTACCACACTATAGTCTCTTAAGTGTGCAACAGCATTATATCTAAAAAATGTACATACCTTAATTTAAACATATTTATTGCTAAAAAATGCTAACAGCCATATGAGCCTTCAGCAAGTCAAAACCTTTTTTGCTGATGGAGGGTCTTGCCTCAATGTTGATGGCTGCTGACTGATCAGGGTGGTGGTTGCTGAAGGTTGGGTGGCCATAGCAGCTTCTGAATATAAGATAACTAGGAAGTCTCCTGCATCAATTGACTCTTCCTTTCAAGAAAGAGTTCCCTGTAGATATTTGAGAGTTTTTTACTAGCGGTAGAACATCTTTCAGAACTGGAGTCAATCCTCTCAAACCATGTGTCTGCTTTACCAATCAGTGTTGTAAGACATTCTAAATCCTTTTTTGTCATTTCCACAGTGTTCAAAGCATCTCCACCAGGACTCGATTGCATCTCACAAAACAATTCCTTTGTTCATTCATGAGAAGCAACTCCTCATCTGTCAAAGTTTTATCCTAAGATTGTTATAATTCAGTCACATCTTCAGGCTCTACTTCTAATTCTAGTTTTCTTGCTATTTCCACCACATCCTCAGTTACTTTCACCATTGAAGTCTTGAAGCCCTTGAACTCATCCATGAGGTTTGGAATCAACTTCTTCCAAATGCCTAATATAATGTTGATATTTTGACCTCCTCTCATGAATCATGAATGTTCTTAATGGCATCTAAAATAGTGAATCCATTCCAGAAAGTTTTCAATTAACTTTGCCCAGATGACCAGAGTTATTATCCATGGTAGTTATAGCCTTATGAAATATATTTATTAAATAGTAAGACTTGAAATTCAAAATTACTCCTTGATCCATGGGTTACAGAATGGATGTTGTGTTACCAGGCATGAAAACAACATTCATCACCTTGTAAATCTCTAACAGAGTTCTTGGGTGACTAGATGCTTTGTTAACAGTAATAATTTGAAAAGGAATCCTTTTCTGAGCTTCAGGTGTCAATAGTGAGCTTAAAATGTTCAGTAAACGGCAACATAAACACATTTGCTGTCATCTAGGCTTTGTTGTTCCATTTACAGAATACAGGCAGAGTAGGCTTAGCATAATTCTTCAGGGCCCTAGGATTTTTGGAATGGTAAACGAGCACTGGTTTCAACTTAAAGTCACCAGCTGCTCTAGCCACCAACAACAGAGTGAGCTTGTCCTTTGAAGATTTGAAGCCAGGCATTGACTACTCCTCTTTAGCTATGAAAGTCCTAGAAGGCGTCTTCTTCCATGAGACTATTTTGTCTACATTGAAAATATGTTGTTAAGTGTAACTACTTCATCAACGATCTTAGCTATTATCTTCTGGATAACTTGCTGCACCTTCTACATTAGCACTTGCTGCTTCACCTGGCATTTTCATGTTATGAAGCTGGCTTCTTTCCTTAGACCTCATGAACCAACTTTTGCTACCTTCCAACTTTTCTTCCGCAGCATCCTCACATTTCTCAGCTTTCATAAAATCAGACAGTTAGGGCCTTGCAGTAGATTAGGCTTTAGCTTATGGGAATGTTGTGGCTGGTTTGATCTTTTAGCCAGACCTCTAAAACTGTCCTCATATCAGCAATAAGGTTGTTTTGCTTTCTCATCATTCATGTGTTCACTGGAGCAGAACTGGAAGAGTTCCTACAAGAACATTTCCTTTGCATGCACAACTTGGCTAACTGGTGAAAAAGGCCTAGCGTTTGGCCTGTCTTGGCTTTTGATATGTTATCCCCACTAAGCTTCATCATTTCTAGCTTTTGATTTAAAGAAACAGATGTTTTACTCCTCCTTTCACTTGAACACTTAAAGGCCACTGCATGGTTATTAATTGACCTAATTTCAGTATTTCTGTGTCTCAGGGAACAGCAAGCCTCCAGGAGAAGGACAGAGATTGGGGAACACCAGTTGGAAGAGCAGTCAGAATACACACCCTTATCAATTAATTTACCCATCTTATATGGGTGCAGTTTGTGGCCCCCTAAGACAATAACAATAGTAAAATAAAAGATCGCTGATCACAGACCACTGTAACAGATATAAAAATAATTTAAAAATTTAAAATATTAAAAGAATTACCAAAATATGAAACAGAGGCATGAAACGAGTTTATGCTGTTGGAAAAAATAGTACTTGCCTGAAGCAGGATTTCCACAAACCTTCGATTTGTAAAAACCACCATATCTCCAAAGTGCAATAAAGTGAAACTCAATATAAGCTCAAAATAAATTATGCCTGTATGAATGCAAATCTAAAAGAGAGCAGTCAGAAAGACCAAGTAGGTATTAACAAATAATGAATAAATCAATAAGTGAATATATGAAATAAACCTCAGCTGTGTCCAAAAGCACAAAAGCTTCTGAAATTATAAGCCATGTAACAAACTAAAACTGATCTCAGCAAGATGATCTAGTGATCACTCCAGCGGAATATCAATGCTTTAGCCTAGTACACACATGTTCTGAGCTGTGAAGGTTTTTCATGATTATTATTTTTATCCTTCGTAATTATCTTTCAGTTTATATTTCTAGCCTTGAAACACATAAGTTATTCTTTGCATTTAGAGCCTATTAACACAATTTCAAGAAGAAAACTACAATAAGCAGGGCTTGTAAATTTGTTTTTTTTTTCCTACTGAAAAGCAAAGAGAAGTCGATTTGTTGACAACAAAAGTGCCTCAAGTGATTATGTTTTCTTTATTTATTCTCAGTGTTTATTCCCAATTCCTCAGTCCCAACTAAAGGTCTACTACAGAGAGTACATATTTCTTAAATCTGGAAAATAATTTAAATACATCAACTAACACTTGCATGGTGCAAAATACCTTCAGCTAGTTGATGCCAATGTGGTACTTAAACTATGGTTCCCAGGATGGCAATCCTACATTTCCACCACACTAGCAGCCCCACAAGATAGAGTTCACTGCCTCAATGAGTTCAAAAGTAAGAAAAAAAAAAAAAAAACCCACATTTAAATACTAACACTATTGTGCATGAATAAATGGCAAAACAAAGGAAACTAAGTGCTTTCCAATGGTTTAACCAAGAACCATTCAATGTCCCTTTTTCTGTTCCTCCTTAATAACTTTTTCCCTAGGTGAAGGTTGAAAAGAACAGTGCCATTATGACTTCGAATTTGGTGCAAAGCCAGTAACACATATTGATACTGTCAGTAGCTGTGCACGTGATTTTGCTGTTTTTAAAGGAGAGCTACATTTTAAAAACCGAGGTTGGAGCTTGCTCTCTCTAAAGTGTCTGTGATTGTCCTTGCCCTAGACCTCAGGTTACTTATTTCATCTCTATTTGAAGAGACAGAGGCAGGGTTGTTCCTCAGTCAATTTTTTTTTCAGTCTACAAATCAAGTTAAGCTCAAAATTAACATAACAATTATTTGGGCATGTAAAATATGATGAATTCCTATTTCCTATCTCATTTAACATTCCTTCCAATTTCATAATGTCAATAAACCAGGGACTAAAGCCCTTGTAAATTATTATAAATTTCTCCATATATGCATCCAGATTGGCCTTTGACAATATCTTACCACAAGGAGACTATTTTCATTATACACTCTATCTACTTTCTTCATGATATGTCTTACAATTAGCTCAGCAGAGCTATCCACTTACAGGTTGGAACTTTAAAAAATTGCTCAAGTCTCCATGAATTAAATGAAGATTTAGATGAAATTCAATGAAGATCAAAAGCTTAGAAGTGCCAAATCTCATTTAGCTAACACATATTATTCAGTCTCCTCTAAGTGTTTACTAAAATACCCATGGAAACATATTTTAAGTTGAAAATTGATAACAATATTATTACTAATATTTATAACAATATCTTGCAGTTAATATATTTAGAACTATTAACCTGTTTAGATTTATTAACTATTAATAGGATAAGGATAGCTTAAAAAAAGTTAATTGATTTAAAGTTTCTGTAAAGAAAGATACTAGGCAAATTATAGCACAGGTGGTGTTTAAAGGTGGAAAAAAATTGTGAAAATGGTGTAAAAGTGATGGAAGTTTGGGAAACTCTGGAGTTTATTGCCAATGCCACTATTTTAGTTAGGTAAATGGCTGTATAACTCAATTCAGATCAATCTTAGTTCTTTCGACATCTAATTGGAAACTCCAAATCCCAGAAAAAAAAAATGGGTAGAAAAGAGAAGAACTTGGAAATAGTGCATTGAATTCTAGGAGTTGAGGTGCATACAGGTAAACTTTGATTAGTGAAGTGATGAAAAAATGATTCTAGTATCAGTATATAGTGAGTATTGGAGTCTTTTCACCATGTACGTTACCTGTTCAAGTCTCCAAGGTAGAGGTAAAAAGTAACATTTCAGTCCTATTGAGATATATGAGATAAAAGACATATGAGATAAAAACCTGCTAGACAACTACAATTTTTCTATAAACCTTATGCATCAATCTGTCATCATCTATAGAACTGAAGGGTGATTCGGCCAGCATACAAGTAAAGAGAGTATAATTCAAAGTAATATATATGTACTGTTTCTTGGTAAACACCAAACTATGAGAGAGCTTTCTTTGCATGTAGAGTAAAAAGGAAAAGAAAAAACCACATGGCTTAAAAATTACAAATGGGACCTAACCCAAGCTTTGACAGAATCAAAATGATCTGCCAGTGACTTAATTCACTGTCAGAACAAACCTCAACACTCCTGAAATGAAATTAAAACAATCAAGAGCTTCTACAATATATGATCCACTGTGAATAGCTTACAATAAAAAATAAATAGTCATGTAAAGGAGTATAAAAGTGTGACTAATAAAAACTAAAATAGACAATACATATAGGCCCAGACATTTTCTAAATAATGAAGTTAACGGACAAGGACTTCAAAAGAGCTGTAATTAATATTTCAATAAAAATGAGTAATAGAGAGACAAAATGTATGAAAACATACAGTATTTCCACAGAAAATTAGAATTAATCATTTATGAGATAGATATTTTAAAACTGAAAAATAGAATATCTGAAGTTAAGAACTTATTATTGGACAGAACTAACAGTACTGGACATAGAAGAATACAAAATTAGTAAATCTGAAGAAAAGTCAATGAAAAATATTTAAACTGAAGCATTGTGGTGAGGAGAGGGAAGAAGGTAGAGACAAGCATTAGAGAAATGTGGGACACGGTCAAAACATTTAACACAAGTTTAATAAGAATCCCAAAAGGAGAGTGTAGAGAAAATGAAACTGAAAGCAATATTTGAAGAAATAATGGCTGATAATTTTCCACACCCGAAGAAAGGAAAAAGCACACAGATTCAAAAATCTCAGTGAGCCCCAACTAGGATAAATTCAAAGGAAACAGAACTAAGAACATTCTAGTGCAATTATTCTAAAGCAGTGATAAAGATAAAATCTTAAAAGCAGCCAGAGAAAAAGACAATTACCTTTATGGAAATAATAACATAAATGTTGAACACCTTTAAAGTACTTAAAGAAAAAAAAAATCCTGCCAACCAAGAATTCAATGGCCAGAGAAAATACCTTTCAAAAATAAGAGAAAAAGTCATTCTAAGATAAAAGTTCAGAGAATTAGTTCTAGATATCACACATTATAGAAAATACTAAAGAAAGGTCTTTAAGTAAGGTTGAATCATCAGTGTTTTTGATGGTATACAGCACAATTTGGATACAAAAACACATGTACAAATCAAAAAGACATTTAGAAGAATTAGATTGAATATAAATCATTCTAGTAATAATTTAACCCATGTACTCTGCTTATATTTTCCTCTTTGTTATATATACTACACTAATAAATGATAACACAATATGTTCAATTACTCAAAAGAACTCTTTTGATAAATTAATATCAAAAGCCTAAGTGATTAGAAGATGCTTATTTGGCAGTGTTTTATTTTCTTTCTTAGTGGTATTTCAGTTAATGATCTAGTTTATCCATGGAATTATAGGTTTTATAAAATACAGCAATACTTTAAAAATCAAGGCAGCAGAATTGAAAAATTCAATAACACTTCTTTAGATAAAAAACAATGAAACAGGCAAATATTTGAGACACTTATCTATGAAAAAAATACATAAACAAAATAAGGCAAAAGAAACTGATGAGATAAATAAAATATAGAAATTTTCAAATATTCCTAATAAATTTGAAGGTATTGAAATTTAAAAATGTCTACAAGAATATAACACAATTTTCTCATTAAAAAGTAGATAACAATCAGGAAACTACAACTATATAGGAACTATATAAAGACATGAATAAAGAGATTTTGAAGTTACCCCCATTAAGTCCTTCATAACTTTAATCCTACGTAGATTTATACATTGTCTTACAAGTATTTTTATTTGCTGAAACAAATAAAAATGGAAAAGCTTCCCCATTCATCCTACTTGCTAGCATAAGCCTATTCAAGAAAACTTGACAAAAATGGCACCAACACAACAACAAAAGATATCGTAAGTCTTATTTATGAAAACAGATGAAAAACATTCCTAAACAAAATATAATTTTTCACATACAAAAAAAAATTCCAGACTTAACTGGCTCCACTAGTTAATTCTATCCAAAATTTAAAGAAGTCATACTAATCTTATGCAAAATCTCTGAAAAAATATAGAAAGGAGCACTAAGTTGTTCTCCACACCTCTATTCAATAATAAGCTGGAGGTCTTAGTCAATCCAATGAGGCAAGGCAAAAATATTAGGGGGAAATAAATATAAAGTACAAAGAAAAAATGTCTCACACATCGTGATTTACAGACAACAAAATAAAATCACGTGAAATTAATCATCAAAGTATTATAACTAGTAAGTTAGCCAGATCACAGGCTACAAGTTCAACAATAAATTATATTTTTATATAATAAAAATAAGCAAACGGATAATGGAATTTACAGACAACAAAGTAAAATCATGTGAAATTAATCTTCAAAATATTATAACTAGTAAGTTTAGCCAGATCATAGGCTGCAAGGTCAACATTAAATTATATTTTTATACAACACCAATAAGCAAATGGATAATTGAATTTAAACATAATGCTATTTGAAACAGCATCAAAAGTTATAAAATACACAAAGGTAAATGTAATAAAAAGTTTAAAACTTTACTCTGAAAACTATGAAATATTTTTGAGACAAAGTAAAGCAGTCAAATAAATAGATCCCTATGCCCTATGCATGTATTGAAAATGTAAATATTGTTACGTTTTCCAATCTGCCAAGATTACTCAATGGATTCATTACAATCACAATTAAAATCCAGCAGGCTTTTATTTCAGAAATTGACAAGCCAATTCTAATTTTATGTGGAAATGCAAAGAATCTAGGATGGACAAAAGAATCTCAAAAGAGAATAAAGTGAAAGAATAATAGAACCTGATTTCAAGACTTCCTATAAAACTACAGTAATTAAGAAAATTTCCTATTAGCAAAAGTATAAATAAGTACATCAATGAAAGAGAAGATAATCCAGAAAGAGATTCATATTTACATGGTTAATAAATATTTACAAAGCCTTCAGAGAAATTAATAGGAAAAAATAAGTCTTCAATATGTGGTGCTAGAAAAACTAGATAACCATATTTTTTAAATGAACCTCAGTCCCTTTTTAATACCACAAACAAAAATTAGTTTAAAACTGTCCATAACTGTAACACCTAGGAGCAAAGAGCTTCTTGAAGAAAACATAACATGTTTACAGTATTGGAGAGGGCAAAGATTTTTTGGATATGATAAAGAACTACTTAAAAATGACAAATTAAATTACTTATAGAAAGATAAGAATATGAATAAGCATGACACAAATTGAGAAATATTATTCACAATGCATATATCTAACAATGGACTTGTAAGCAGAATATATAACTTACTCTTTCAACACATTAATAGGACAAATAAAAACCATAAAAAGAAGATATGCAAATGACCAATAAACACATGAAAAATTACTCAACATCAAATATCATTACAGAACTGAATACCATCTCAACACCCACTAGAATGGCTAAAATTAAAAAGACTGACCGTACCAAATGTTGGCAAGGATGTGGAACAATTTGGAACTCTCTTACATTGCTGGTGGGAGTGTTAGATGGTACCACGTCTTTGAAAAAAGATTTGTCAATTCTTACAGGAATAAATACATGTGTATAGCCAGATAATTCTACCCAGCATGTGTCCAAGAATATTAAAATATATATCAAAAAGAATTGTACAAAAATATTCATAGCCATCTGAATCATAATAGCCCCAAACCGAAAAAAAAAAACCCTCAAATGCCCTTCAGCATGAGAATGGATACATTTGCTGTATATTCATTCAAAACAATACTAGCCAATTATTAAAATGTTCCAACGATTGATATAGCCACGAATGTGGAGGAATTTAAAATCTTTTTCTCAATGAGAGAAGACTTACACATCTAGATAAATCTCTAAATGGGTAAAACTGATTTATGTTCAAAGAAATCTGAACCTTGATCATCTGAGGGGTTGTGGTGTATAAGATTTGACTGTAAGGGGGCCCCAGTGAACTTAATGGTATATCGGAAATATTCATTTTTTTTTAGAAATATGAGTTACACCCATGTACATATTTTTCAAAACACATCAAACTGTAACATTTAAGATCTCTGCATTTAATTTAAACATATTTCAATTTCAAAAATGCAAAGGTGTTGCATCGTTTTTATCTTCTTACAATAGATAATTTACTTTTTATTTTCAGGCAGGGCAATTATTAATCCATTTGGTTTGGTTCTGGATTTGTGTCTCTTTTCCTACCTCTAACTCTCATATTTTACAATCCGCCGTCATCAACTACTTACAATTCCCCAAACTTACATTAGCACATGAATTCTGTTTGCTTGGAATGTCCTTTTCCTCTTTCTCCACCTACACAACTCTCACTTCGAATTTCTGAGACTCTGCAGAGACCTCACTTCCTTTCCAAAGTCCTTCCTTCTCTCAGGCAAAGTTAATACCTCCCACCTCTGTTCAATTCTGCACTGCATACCAGCATTTATCACTACACATTGTATATTTTGAGAGTTTATTTGCATGTCTCTCACCATATATAGTCCTTAAGGGTACAGACCATAGCTACAGATCCTATAAAGCAACAATAACAACATGAACCATTTATTGAATAGACACTTATTGCAGGCAGAGACAAGCACCTTGCATAAATATCTCATTTAATTTTCACCATAATCCCCATTTTACAGATGAGCAACTGAAGCATAGAGAAGTTTATTGCCCATCAATAATCACAAAGCTAGTGTACTGAATAAAGTTAATTTTAAGCTTTTAATTTTCAGCTCTTTCTGATTCCAAAATCCATTCTCTTAATCACTAAGTAGGATTAACTACCTCTTAAATCTTCCATTTAAAAACAAAATAGGCATGAATAATGATTGCATTTAACTTGCCAACAATTTTTTGCCTTCATTATGACACTGATATACAAACTAAAGCAGTTACAATTAAAAGATGCCAGTTGTTTTTTTTTTTTTTAATTTAAGCAGTGGTGTGCATGTATTGTTTTTGGTTTTCATCTGTTGCCACTGACATTTGTGAATATGATCAGACAAAAGTGTATTTTTTTTACCTCTACTAGGTGTCTAGTTTATTGTTTTTCCCCAGAATACTGCCTACTATAATTGGCTCTGTGTATGACACCTATCTGTCTGTGGTTCACCCCCTGAAAAAGAAATAATATATTTCAAGCTCTTAAACTGGTTTCCAGAATACTGAAACTTGACCAACCCAAAACTTGCTGGTTTTATGTTTCAAGCAGTTAGTCTAGGTTTTATATATTGTTTTATTTTGTTTATTAAATCGTTTGGCTTTGTGACATTGGCCCTGGTCTCTCCAGCTGCCCCAGTGCCTCATTAGTGAACTCCAGCATCATCCCTACATCCGCGCATCTGTATCCTTGCTCAGTGTCACTTCTGGAAAAACTCTCTGTTCTGCTTTCCTAATGATAAGAACGATACCTCAAACCCTCTCTCCTGCACCCCACATGTCCCTTATTTGCCTTTTATGTCTACAATATACACTTTATTTTGCCTTTTTTCTTTGAACAATCTCTGAGAAGACTAGTGAAAAGATGATCCTTCCTTTCCTAAAATACTAGTTGGAGAATATAATGGCACTATTTTTTCTAAAGGGGTACTGACTAGATGAACGTTTATTAAACACCTGTAACATAAAATCTATATTGCTCTCCCTAGTTATTTTCAGACCTAATCCCGTTGCATTGTAGTTGTCATTAAAGCTCAATTTTTAGAGATTTTATGGAGTTAGAAATTGGCTCTATTTAGCTCCTGTTTAGAAAAGAGTTAACATAGCAGGAGTGAGGCTCCTTTTCTTATAAAGGCATGTTTGCAAGGCTGGCCCTTGACTGGAACTTGGGAGCTTGAAGAGTAAACAGTTTCTATATTGATACAAAATTTTCCCCAATTGATAAGAGTAGTTCACAGTGCCTAAATGTTTGTGCAAATAATATGCTTTATGTTGAATACCTATTTTCCTACCTGACTTATGTATGTGCTCAGCAGAGGGTGATTACATGATTAGCTCCCAATAGAAACTTTGGACTTCTGTGCTCAGCCAAGATTCCCTGGTGATAACATTTCACACGTGTCGTCACAATTTGTTGCTGGAGGAATTAAACATGTCCTGTATGACTCCACTGGGAGATGACCTCTGGAAGCTTGAGACTGGATTCTTCTAATCTTTGTCACTTTCATCTTTTCCCTTTGCTGAGTTTGCTTTGTGTCTCTTTGCTATAATAAATCATAGCCGTGTGTACAACTATATGCTGAGTCCTGTGAGTCCTCCTTGCAAATCATCAAACCTAGGAGCAGTCTTAGGGACTCCTGACACAGCTAATGTTCAGTTTTATTCTTTAAAAAAAAAAGAAAAAGAATATTCAGTTAAAAATCTCATTTGTTTGAAGACTGAATTAATTATGTGTTCATGATTTTTTCACTTTCTGTCTCTAGATTCCATATATATACACATATATATACATATATATTTATACATATATATATATATTATCCTTCAATTGTATTCTTGATTATACAAGTAAATAATAATGGTAATTTATGGGGGGGAGAAAAACATAAGGAAGGATTTTCTGAGATGTCTATTTTTCTCAGAAAATTCAAGCTATCTCTTTTATAGATTCATCTGTAAGCTCAAATTTTAAGAGGAATCATTAGATCCAGATAACAGTCAGAAAGTACAAGCTGAGGTTCTAAAGAGTTGGTTCCTTTAAATAGTCATCATCCTCAGCAGGAGATAATGTTTTGAAAGAGTTATAATATTTATTTTTCCAGGAAAAGAAATGCACATCTGTGTTTTTGTACCAGGAGGCTGAGAGAATGAAATGTAACAGGGACAGTGTGAGCAGCTAGAAAAGTATTTATCGATCAAGTTCCTGTGATACAAAATGCCAAGGAAGTTTTTTCAGCTTTCACATTTACATTTCATTTTCTAATTTGAATGGATTAGATGATACTCCTCTCATACTATTCATAAGGGTAATTTGAACTATTTCAAAGCAATAAAATGGAAAATTAGTTGGGAAAAAGGTCATTCTAATATAGTAACGTAAAATGCTCAATGATGAACTATCAAATAAATAGCTATTTGATTATAAGAGTGCTTTAGGGAAATAAAGAAGCAAAAGAGAGAAGGGAAATTTAAAAAGCATTAAATACTGAAGTTAGAGCATGATATAAATAATAATGTCTAAGCACATAGTATTTACTGTGTGCCAGATATTGGTGTTTGTGTGTGTGTGTGTGTGTGTGTGTGTGTGTATATATACTCATTTAATAATGGCAAAAATCCTAAGAGGTAGTTGATATTTCTATCAGTGCCATATAACAATGAGGAAATTGAGGTTTAGAGAGATAAATAAGAGTCTTTAAAGATCACACATTGAGTGGCAGAACCAAATCCAAGCTTTAATCACTGTACTATGTTGTACACTTAAAGACGAGGCATATTGTAGAAAGATTTCTCAAAATTGTGCTAAAAATTGTTTTGGCTTACTTACCAAAGTTTTATTTTATAAGGAACGAAAGTGGGTGAAGGGACCCAAATTGACTATTGTAACTTTTCTCACAGGACCAAACACTGTGCCAGGATTCCATACGCAGATATACTCAATGGAAGGCTAAGACTTTCCTGAGACCACATTCTCTATAAATATAGATGGAAATATATTCATCAATATAGAGGGAAATATATCCATCTATATTTATAGAGAATGTGGCATATATGTGTGTGTGTGTGTGTGTGTGTGTGTGTGTGTGTGTGTGTATACATATATACACAATGTGGTATGTGTATATAAACATACATATATATATTCGGCAAGTATTTTGTACAATCATAGCTTCTTCGAGTTTATAGATAAACATTTCAGGAAATTGAGAGAGACATCTATGTTGATAGAAACCAAACCAGTAAAACACAGGTAAATGGATGAGAGGTGACTGCAAAACACAGAGAATAGGATGAAAGCTAATCAAAATGACAAACGCTAATCAATGTAGGCAGAAAGGGCAAAAAGATAATTCTCATGAATACTTACAAAGTATATTCTGACCTTGGAAGTCTTAGGTTGGTGTTTATCAATGATGAGGCCAAAAGTTTGTACCTGTGTAACCCAGTTTCTCTGAGTTTTGGGTGCGCACTGTGAAAAATTACCTACTTGTTAACTGTTGTACCTGGAGCTCCTGCTTCAAAAAAAGTTCAGCCTCAGAAATACCAAAACTGCTTGGATCCAGAGATACCTGAGATGATGAATTTTGGTGAACTCCCCTCACTACTGTACTAAAATCTCTGCACAGGGAGGACCTTATTCTCCATTTTCTACATAAGTGACGTATGTTGAAGCATGATTGGTGACTGTGCCAGCACGGCCTTTACTCCAACCTCAGCTAACCAACCCAGTAAAAGCCCTGTTTCCACCATTGTTCAAGGAGGGACTACTTTGGGAACTATCCCTGGTGTCCTCTTCGTTTGTTGCAAGTAATAAAATATCCTTGTTAAATCCTCCTTGATTGTGGTCATTGGACTGTTACCTGACAAGCAACTGAACCCACCCGTTGTGTGGGTAACACCTGTACTTGGAAAACTAATGTCTAACTAAATTGAGTAATTAGACCAGTGTCTATTAGCTCAAAACTATTTTCCCTCACTATGAGTGAGATCTCTGGGTCTATTTTCCAAAATAAAAATTTTTAAAATACAAAATTCAGAGTTAAAAAGTTATCTTCCCCAGGCCTGTTTCTTCCTCAGAAAGTTGAATTAGAAAAAAAGCTTGAGTTTTTATATCATCTGATAAGCTTTCTCGCATTTTTTAATAAGAGCTATATAACTTCTTTAATCCACTTTGACTCGGGCTATCAATAAACTCATTTTCAGGAGTTTCCCTTAGTCTAGGTTTTCTATTAGTGTGATCTCACCACTCTTGCTTGCTTGGTTCTAGCCTCAGTATGCTTAATTTAGTTATTTTATTGTATTTGGAGTTCTCATGATAAGCCACTGCAACTTCTCTTTTGAAGTATATTAAATATAATATGTTTATGAAATGAAGCGCTTAAACTGAGGATAAAAAAGGCAGGTCTCATCGGCAAAAATGTAAGAGAATAGACCTAGAGATTTTATTGGACAGTAAGTTCAATGTGGTTAAGCAGTGTGCTGTGACTGCTAAGAAGTCAACTCCATTTTACTCAAGCTGCATCCAAAGATGTATATTACCTACAATAAAGAAGGATATGTCCCTGGCAAAGTAGTTAGACCAGAGCATACCATTTAGCAAGTATGTCTTGTAAATTTAATTGGACAATTTTGTTTAGACCACACATGGAATATTGTGTTCAGTGAGCAAAAGCACACTGCTAAAAAGATATATCTGACCATACTCAGTGTTGGCAAGTAGGTAAAGCACCTGAGACTCTGATACACTGCTGGTGTAGATACAAAATGGTACATCTGTACCTTCGGGAGTGGTTTGGCAGTTACTCAAAAAGTTAAACATACAGTAGTTCCCCTTATCTGAGGTTTTACTTTCCAAAGATTCAGTTACTCAAGGTCAACAGTATTCTGAAAATCTCAAGTGAAAAATGAACAATTCATAAGTTTTAAATTGTGTGATGATATCTCGTGCCATTCTGGTCTGTCCCACTCAGGACATGAGTCATTCCTTTGCCCAGCATTTCCACACTGTATATGCTACCAATCCAATAGTTACTTAGCAGCCATTTTGATTATCAGATCCATTATCACAGTGTCTCAGTGCTTGTGTTCCAATAATCCTTATTTTACTTAATGGCCATCAAAATTTGGAATGACTTATTCGCTTACTGGTCATTTAAAATTATGAAAAAATCCAATGATAAATATAATCAAAACTTTAAAATGAATCTTCAAGTGTATATTTAAATTAGTAGAAGATGTTGCTTTATTGAAACCAAATTATTTCTTGCAGCATGAATGTTATACCTTGGGCTGTTACAGCAGATGGTTGTCAGCATTGGTTACCTCCACGACTATGTATTATATGAAGACTCTCAGTGTCGTTATCATTTTCTTGTTGGAACTTGCATAACCCTTCTTTCTTAAAGCTTGCTGACATCATTTGGAAATTCTCAAACACTTGTTCTCTATATGAACTTTAAAATTGTTGTATTATGTGGTATGTGTGATTGTGTTTAAACAAAAGCAGGCAATTTGACTGGAATTATTAAATACATACATCTATCTGGCAAGAAATGACATCATTATGATATTAAGTCTTCTTATCTAGGAACATAGCATTTATTTCCAGTTACTTAATTTTTATTTTATCTATTAAATAATTTTTAAAATATCGGTTTACATCATTTTTACTAAAAGTATTCCTAGGTATTCTATATTTTTATTGCTAATATGAACGGATTTTTTCCATTACTAACTTTTTACTTTAACGTATTTTTCTTGGATCTGGGATCCTCACAAAATATTCATTTTTGTTCTTTTAACAGATTTGAATTGTTTAGATTTACCATTGAATCACCTTTAAGTAATGGTGATTAATTCCTTTTTCCAATATTTGCACAGCTTATTCCATTTACTTAAGTGATTCACTAGAAATGCTGAATGATATAGAATAGTCACGCTGATAGAAAGCATCCTTGATTTGTGTCTTATATTAAAGGATCAATCTTCAGTATTTCTTAATATTATATGATGGTTTTGATTAGTTAGACGGTCTTTGGCACATTTAGGAAAATGTTTTCTATTCCCATTTAATTTATGTTTTTACCTAGAATTGCTGATTTCTTTTTTTTTTTTTTTGAGACAAAGTCTCGCCCTTGTCCTCCAGGCTGGAGTACAATGGCATGATCTCAGCTCACTGCAACCTCCGCCTCCTGGGTTCAAGAGATTCTCCTGACTCAGCCTCATGAGTAGCTGGGATTACAGGCAACTGCTACCATGCCCGGCTAATTTTTGTATTTTTAGTAGAGACGGGGTTTCACCATGTTGGCCAGGCTGGTCTCAAACCCCTGACCCCAGGTGATCCACCTGCCTCGGCCTCTCAAAGTGCTGGGATTGAATTGCAGATTTTTAGCAAATGTTTTTCATGTCTCTGTTTCTACAATTATAGGATTTTGCTCTAAAATTCTCTTTTAGTATAATGAATAATATTGATACATTATTAATTGTGAATTACCTATCCATAGAATATAGCCTATTTTAAGCAGAGGAGTGAAAGTTATAGTTCCAACATCTAAATATACCAATATAGTATGAAGATGTTCTGGCTTAGCAGTAGTTCTGGCAAGCACATTAGTTCCCCCACATCCCTAAAGCCACTTCTTTCCCACATTCCCTAGCTTTCTGGAAGATAGCACCCTCCAGCCAGCTGGAACACTGAAGTCATCTTAGATCACTCTTTTTCTGTGAACCCCACATCCAATCTGTCCCCACATTCTGCTGATTCCACTTCAGAAACATCTCTCAATTTCAGATCTCCCATCCATTGACTTATTTTAGGTTCTCAATATCTCTATCTCTTTGCCCACAGATTTCTTATTGGGTTTGTGGTTTCCCATGTTGCTCCCACATCCCCTAAAATAACTCCAACACTTCAGCTAGAAACTGAGTAAAATATTTTGTTACTTAAAATCTTCAATGTTTTCTCATAAGTAAGATCTGTGTAACCAATGAATGCTGTAGTAACAGCAAGTATGTTAGCATGCCCTCCACATTCATGGTGGTCTTCAATGCCCCTCTGTCATTGCCCATGACCTCCATCCCATAGCTAATCAGCCTCCTGCCTATGTGTTTCTCCCCACAAGCCTCTTCACTAGAACTTGTGTCCTTCTTTCCAAGAAATCTCTCTTGATTCCCACTCTCATAGAATGAGTTACTCTTAGACTGTTATATTAGTCATCTTCCTCCCTGTCTTCATTTCATCTCTACATCCTAGGTATTAAGCAGAGTATATTGTACCATGTGGAGACTCAGTTGGGTTTCAGTGTATATAGTGGAACTTTAGATAAACGCAAATTGAAATTATCAATGTAGGTGCTGATTTGCAAGTTAAAAACTAAAGGTCAAAGTCAACAGTAAGTTCACAGTATACTGTGCAAGCACTAGTCCATGTAGTATACTTGCACTAAAATCAGGATGTGCATTTTAAAAGAAACAGTGAAAAATTAGAATGATTCTAGATAAGGCAACCAGTGTGGTGAGGGCTCTGACAACAAGGGCACATAAGATTTTCAAGATGTTCCAGATCCTGGGAGGACTAGCAACACAGCTGCAGGAACTTAGATGTTTAGGTTAGAGAAGAGAAACAAAAGAGAACAATTGTCTTCAACACTTAGAGGCCAGTGGAAGAGAGGAAAAGAAATAGAATCACAGATCATGGAATGAAGAGCCAATTCTGAATCTACGCAAGAGGAATTTAAGGAATTTTAATCCATATGGCAGAATGCATAGTAATAAAATCACTATAATTCTTTAGCTTCCCCTAGTGGGTTTCGAAATGGAGTAAAGGTAGTTTGAACGGAAGAGTTCTTAGCTGTATAGAATTAGTCTGGACATAGCAGAACATTTAGCGTCTCTGGCTCCCACTCACAAAAATCCAATACTAGTCCTAGGTCATTGGAATAACCAAAAAAGCCCTCACTCATTTACAAACGCTCTCAGTTGAGAACCACTGAAATTTATACCATGTGCTAGGAATTGTGCATGATCGCTTTAATACATTTTTTAATTCTCTCAATAACCAAGCAAGATAGAAACTGTCATTCCCATGTTAAGATGAGGAAATTGAAACTCTGCTACTAGCAGACAGACCTTCTGAATCAGATTGCCTGTTTATATCTCTGATAGCAGAGCACTTTAAGATTTATCTTAGATTAAGATAACCAAGACTCTGTATTAAGTTTCTGAGATACTATCGGTTTCATTCATGAGTATGTTCAGTGGCCATACTATTCACATTTGAGCTCCTGCTTCCTGAGATGAATTTACCTCTTGTAGCAGCTTTACTTTATTGAGATGATCTAGTTTTATGTCCCAGGTGCTCCTGGTTTTCTTTATCTCACTGTAGTCAGCCTTACCATGTACCAACATGGGAAAATTCTCTCCTTACTAAAATAAAACAAGTAGTTTAAGTGGAGAAATGAAGTAACTTGCCAAGGATAATAAGGCAAATGAAACCGGAGTAAAATCCATGCCAGTACTAAATTCAATAATACATTGAGGATAAAGGGAGTCAGATTGTAGTTCTGTGAAAGGAAAATATCTATAAATTATATATAAACATATCTTAGAAAGATGTCTTACTTTTGATTGCTAAATAGTGCTCATAGAAATCTGGTATTTTGTTGACACAAATACAATTACATGGTATTCTGCTATGACAATAATGCTAAATCCTAATTCATTAAGCAAGAGAGAGTGAAAGGCAACATAATACAATGGTTAAATATTTATGAACTGGCTTAGGCTGTATAAGTTTGAATTCCAGCTTGACAATTTATTAATTTCACGACTTTCGGTATGTTATTCAACCTTACATACCTCAGTTTCCTCCTTGTAAAATAGAGTAATTGTAGTATCTACTTCATAAGGTGAGAATTAAATACGTTAGTACATAAAAAGTGCTTAGAATATTTTTGGGAACAGTAAAAATATTAAGTATTATTATTATTAAGGAGCTTATATTTCCAACTTGCTATCTCAGGAAAGTCCTTTTATTTCTCTGGCTTGCTTTCTTCATCACTAACAATGGTTTGCATGAAAAGCCAGTCCAGAAATTCTAGATGTATAACTGCAAATTTATCACAATTTTTTTATCTCCACAATTTTTCACTGGATACATCTCACTGATGTAACAAAATAAGGATATCAATCATCAGTTGTACATATCCTCTTGAATATTACATAACTTTTGTTTTCTCTCACTATTTTGTTGAAACCCAAGCAGCAGTTATTTTTGTCTGTTCCTTGAATTAGTAGGTTCTGTTAACACCTTATAATTGTTCATAGTTCAGTTTTGTAGCTGCTCACCCAAAGAACATAAAGTGCAGACTGGCTATTACAAATTTTGTTTGCTTAATGAGAAGGGGAAAGGATAAAATGTTTGCAGGTACATCATGTTCAGAGTTTTGGAATATTCAATTTGCTTATCTTCTGAGAGACTTGCTCATGTAATATCTATGTTTTATGTCTTAATCTAAGACAGCCTTCTCTGCAAAATCCACACTCAAATTGCTGCATTTTATCCTGTCAGCTGCGTCTTTGGGATCTTGTCTAATAAAACATACAAGTGTCTTTTTCTCCTCCTATTCATTATCACTAAAAGCATTTCAGTGTCTCATTTGGTGAAAACAGGCGTCTACTCAATTTGTGAAATGATAGGGTATCTATGTTTTAAGTCATGCTTGTCAGCCACCTGATTTTCCACTAGAGTTAGGAAAGTTTAACTCACAATGCTGCTTTAATAAATCAGCTCAATGAATTATTCCATTCAGCATAAAATAATAGCTTTGCTGTAAAGAAGAAATTCATATGTAATTATTTAATAAATTCAATAAAATTTTTCTGGAAATTACTGGTCATTCGTTAATTAAAAGTTAATTATGTTTCTATTGTATTCCAAATACTGTACTGGGAATGAATTTTTCTAGAAAATTAATAAAACATGGCTCCTGCCCTTGAAGGGATCATAGTCTGATGAGAGAGAGTAAAAGAATTCTAAAATAAAAATCACCTTTTTAAAGATTCTAAGTATAAAGTCGGAAGGGGCAGAATCAGATTTGCCTTAGAGAAAGACTATTTGGGGGAAGGGCGTGTGTGTGTGTGAGTGTGTGTGTGTGTGTGTGTGTGTGTTTGAAAGGAGACAGAGACAGAGAAATGTGAAATGTAGAGGCAAAAAACTCACACAAGAAGCTCTCATGTGAAATGAAGGAAGCCTAAATTACGGCAGTGACATTGGAGACAAAGATGTGTAGTATAGATTGTAGAGCTGCTAGAAAATATATTCAATAAGACTGAAGACAAATTAGATGGGGAAAATTCTCAAGGATGACTTATAAGGTTGCTAAACCAAGAGACTGAGTGGATGATGGTGCCATTGAGGCAACTGGATATATGGGGCAAAAGCTCAGGAAAGGTATTGGGGCCCGGTATAGAAACGTCAGAGGCAGTAATAATTTAGGGAAAGTGAAAGCCTCTGGGGTGGGTGACATTATTCCCAGAAGAATGTTTAAAGTAAAGGAGGAAAGAAAAAAAAAAAAAAAAGAAACATCAATTTTTGAGAAATTTGCAAGACAGAGGAAACTAGAGACTGAGAATGAAAGAATGAAAAGTTAATAAGAACCAGAAATTTCCTTTAGCATTTCATTTAGGGGTCAAGCCTATGATGAAGAATTTATATAAATATCATTCATTTAACAATATTTTAAAATGCAAAAAGACGGGCTGGGTGCAGTGGCTCAGCTGGGTGCAGTGGATCACACCTGTAATCCCAGCACTTTGTGAGGCCAAGGCAAGCAGATCACTTGAGGTCAAGGAGTTTGAGACTAGCCTGGCCAATATGGCAAAACCTTGTCTCTACTAAAAATACAAAAATTAGCCAGGCGTGCTAGCACGTGCACCCGTACTCCCAGTTATTTGAGGGGCTGAGGTGGGAGTATTGCTTGAGCCTGGGAGGCAGAGGTTGCAGTGAGCTGAGATCGCACCACTGTACTCCAGCCTAGCTGACAGAGAGACTCTATCTCAAATTAAATAAATAAATAAATAAAGCTTAAAGACAAATGAAAATCTGAAGCAAATATTTGAACTTTTGTAACATATAAAAGTTAGCATTCTTTTTTTTTTTTTTTTTTGAGATGGAGTCTCGCTCTGTCACCCAGGCTGGAGTGCAGTGGCACAATCTTGGCTCACTGCAACCTCCACCTCCTGGGTTCAAGCGATTCTCTTGCCTCAGCCTCCCGAGGAGTTGGGACTACAGGCGCCTGCCACCACGCCTGGCTAATTTTTGTATTTTTAGTAGAGACGGGGTTTCACCGTATTCGCCAACATTTTTTAAACTTTCACCCAAATTAATATTTTATATACAAAAATGAAATGATGAAAATCTTTAAAATGGTAGAATAAGAACCTCCAAGAATCTTCTCATAAAACACAGCAAAATCGTCATAATTAACTTTTTCAAAACTCTAGAAATTAATCAAAGACTTGCATCAAAATCTGGGGAGTGTGTGTTCTAGAAAAACGGTTGAATTTCAGTAAGAACAGCAAATTTTATGGTATATGAACTTTTCCTATTCCCATCCCCTCCCTTCATCCCCAGTTCTGTGGCGGCCTTGAAAACAAACAATTCACTTCGCTGGTGAGAATCAGTAGCCTGGCAGCCACCAAAGGGGAAGGATGGGGCTAAAGTTCCCTCAAAGCCCCATTCCTCAAGAACTATTATTGTTTGACTTGTCTGGTGGTTCTTGGGAAGACTTATCTTTCATATTCTCTTTATTTGACACGATTTGAAATATTCGAATCTTTCATATTCAAATATTCTCCTTATTTGACATGATTTGAAATGTCAGCCCACGTGAACAGTGTCTTCCCCTAGGTATACCATCTTTGTTGATTGAGGTGGTAAATAAGTTAGGGCAAAAAAAAGGCAATCCAAAAAGCTTGTAAATAAAAGTTTGGAAATAATATATTTAAACTGCTAAAATTAATTTAAAAACTGCCACATAATCGAAACGTGGCAAAACTATCCTTCAAAAAATGAAGCAGAAATGACATTCTCAGGAAAAGAAAAAGTGAGACAATTGGTTGCTAGCCCTACAGCAAATACCAAGGGGCAATTTCCAGGCTGAAATAAAAGGACATAAGACAGTAACTTGAATTCAGATGAAGAAATAAAGAGCACCAGTAAAAGTTAACTACATAAGTAAATATAATACACAGTATAGCTATATTTTTGTTTGTAACTAATTTTCTTTGTGTTTTAAAACAAGTACATAAAGTGATAACTACCAATTCGTGTTGACGGGCATGCACAAAGGACTGGGGGAAAATGAATCTATAGAGGAGCAAAGTTTTGTGCTCTACTATAATTAAGTTGCTATTAATTTGAATTAAATTTCCATAATTTAATGTGTTAATTGTAATTTCCAAGGCAACCACTATAAACATAACTCTGAAAATATAGTAAAAGAAAATTATAACAGTACACTAGAAAATACATATTTAATACAAAAAAGCAAAGTAAAATGGAGGAATGGAGGAGCACAAAATATGTAAGACATAGAAAACAAATATCAAATTGGTAGACGTATATTCTGCCTTATCAGTATTCACATGAAATGTAAATGGGTTAAACACTCCAATTAAAAGGCAAAAATCGACTAATGGATTTTTAAAAATAATACAACATGCTGTTTATAAAAGAGACATATACATTCAAAGATACCAATAGAATGAAAGTAAAAGGATAGAAAAAGAAATACCATGCAAACAGAGCCCCAGAACACATGAGGAAAAACTGACAGTATTGAAAGAACAAATAGAAATTTCAACAATACCAGTTGGAGGCTTTAATACCTCATGTCTAATAAATAATAGAACAACTAAACAGAAGAGAAACAAGGAAATAGAAGACTTGAACAACACTATAAGCCAACTACACCTAATAGATATTTATAGAACACTCCATCTAAAAATTGCAGATTGTACATTCTTCCCAAATTCACATGAAACATTCTCCAGAATAAACCATATGTTAGGCAGTGAAAAAGCCTCAATTAACTTAAAAGGATTTAAATAATATAAAGTACGTCCTCCATCTATGATGGAATTAAATTAGAAATCAATAACAGAAGAAACATTGGGAAATTCACAAATATGTGGAAATTTAAAACAATCGTAAATTGCCAGTTGGACAAGAATAAATATCAAGAGACATTAGAAAATATTTTGAGATATATTAAAGCAAAAATACAACATACCAGAATTTATGGGATGCACCTAAAGCAGTTCTTAAAGGGACAGCCATAACTGTAAATGCTTATGTTAGAAAACAAATGAGATCTCATATCAATAACAGAAGATTTTATCTTAGGGTACAGTGTATACTGCTCAGGTGATGGATGTACCAAAATCTCAGAAATCACCACGAAAGAACTTATTCATGTAACCAAACACCACCTGTTTCCCAAAAATCTACTGAAATAAAATAAAACAAAAAACACATCCAAATTTTTTAAAAAACAAGTTAGCAAAAGAAGAGCAAACTAAACCCAAATCAAGAAAATAATAATAATTAAACTAGAAATAAATGATAAAAGAGGATAAAAAACCTACAGATAAAAGTCAACAAAACCAAAAATTAGTCCTTTGAAAAGATAACAAAATTGACAAATTTCTAGTTAGACTGGCCAACAACAAAAAAGAGAGAATTCTCAAATTACCAAAATCAGGAATGAAAGCATGGACATTACTATTGACTTAACAGAAAATGTTTAAATATTATAAGGAATAGTATGAACAACTACATGCCAACAAATTAGGTAACCTATACGAAACAGACAATTCCTAGAAACTAGCTACACTCAGGGAGCAACAGGCAAATGAATAAAGCTATAACAAGTGAAGAGACTGAATTAATAAATAATTACTGACAAAGAAAATCTCAGGATCAGATAAATTTACTGCTCAATTCTGCCAAATATTCAAAAAATTAATACTAATTCTTCACAAAAGAATTCCAAAAAAGAAAAGAGGACAAAAAACTTCCAACTTATTTCTTGAGGTCAGCATTACATTGACACTAAAACTAAAGACACCATGAAAAAAGAAAACTACAGATAAACATCCTTTAAAATATAAGTACAAAAACCATCAACAAAATATTAGCAAACTGTTTCCAGAAACACACAAAAAGCTTATACTATGACCAAGTGGGATTTCATTCCAGGAAGGCAAGACCGTTTCAACATATGAAACTCAATCGATCCCATAAACTATATGAATAGAATAATGAACCAAAACCACATGATCATCATAATAGGCACAGAAAATAATCCAACGCTCTTTTATTATTAACCAAAAAAAAAAAAAGCAGTCTAGGAATAGAAGACTACTTTCTCAATCTGATAAATGGTATCTACAAAAACCTCACAACTGAGAACATACTTAATGGTGAACACTGAAAGTCTTTCCCTAAGATCAGGAACCTGACAAGAATGTCTACTCTCATCACTTTGACTTAACATTGTGCTGGAATTCTAACTGGGGTAATTAGACAAGAAAAATAAATAAAAGTAGTCTTTGGAAAATAACTGAAGTTATCTTTACTTTAAAATGAAATAATTTTGCATATAGGAAATCCTAAGGAATACAGACAAACTATTTATGATAATAAATTCTGCAAGGTTGCAGGATGTAAGATCAATATGTGAAAATCATCTCTATATCTATACACTTGAACAGTCTGAATATGAAATTAAAATTCCACGTACAATGGCATAAAAAGTAAAATAGAAACAAATTTAACAAAGGAAGTTCAAGACTTGCATACTGCCTACAAAACATCACTGAAATAACCTGAAGAAGTTTTAAATAAATGGAAAGACATTCTGGGGAATGGATTGGAAGAATTAATATTCTCATGATGTCAACAATATCCAAATTGGTCACAAATTTAATGCAGTCCCTTTCAAAATTCCAGCTGTGTTTTGTGGGTTTTTTTCAGAAATTGGCAAGTTGATCATAATATTCATATGGAAAAGCAAGGGACTCGGAATACTCAAGACAATCATAGAAAAAAGTTAGGCTCACCATCGTAATCCCAGCACTTTGGGAGGCCAAGGTAGGCGGATCACTTGAGGCCAGGAGTTTGAGACCAGCCTGGCCAACATGGCGAAACCCCATCTCTACTAAAAACACAAAAATTAGCAGGGCATGGTAGTGCGTGCCTGTAATCCCAGCTACTCAGGAGGCTGAGGCATGAGACTCTCTTGAGCCACGGAGGCAGAGGTTGCAATGAGCTGAGATCGCACCATCGCACTCCAGAGCCTGGGCAACAGAGGGAAACTCTTGTCTTAAAAAAAAAAAAAAAAAAAAAAAGGTTGGAGTAGTATTGGCATAATGGATCAAATAGATCAATAGAATAGACTGGAGAGTCCAAAAATAAACCCATACATCTTTGGTCAATTGATATTTAGAAGAGTACCAAGATAATTCAAATGTGAAAAATATTATTTTCAACAAATGGGTCTGGGACAACTGGATATCCACATGCAAAAGAATGATGTTGGATCTCTATCTTACCCCATATACAAAATCTAACTTAAAACGAATCAAAGATCTAAAGGTAACTAGTGAAATTATAAAATATTTATAAGAAAACATTAAGTATAAATTTCTTGGCTTTGGATTAGTCAATAGTTTCTTAGGTATGACATCAAAAGTACGAGCAGCGAAAAATAAATAGGTATACTGGACTTCATCAAAATGAAGCACTTTTCAAAATGTGCTTCAAAGAACCCAATCAAGAAATTGAAAAAAACACACAAAATGGAAGAAAAAATATTTGCATGTCATATATCTGATAAGGGTCTAGTATACAAAATATATAAAGCAATATTACAACTCAACTATTTAAAAGAATAACCCAATTAAAATACAGGCAAAGGATTTGACTAAACATTTTTCTAGACATACAAATGGTCAATACAAACAGATACTCAGTATCAATTGTCATTAGAGAAACACAAATGAAAACCACAATGACATATCATTTCACAACCACTAATATGACTATAATTTAAAACACAGAAATAAAAAGGGTTGGCCAGGATGTGGAAAATGGGAAACCTTGCACATCACTGATGGGAATGTAAAATTGTGCAGCCACTGGGGAAAACAGTCTGGCAATTCCTCAAAATGTTATTCATATAGTTACCAGCTCATCCAGCAATTCTATTCCTAGGTATGTACCAAAGAGAACTGAAAATGAGTTCACACAAAAACTTGTACATAAATGTTCAGAGCAGCATTAGTGATAATAGCAAAAAAAAAAAAAAGTGGAAACAACCCAAATGTCTTTAATTGATGAGTGAATTAAAAATTACAGCATATTCATACAATATAATATTATTCCATCATAAAAATGGAATGAAATAATGATTTCTGCTACACATCATGGATAAACTTTGAAAACATTACGCTAAATGAAAGAAGCTGGTCACAAAAGCTATGTTTTCTATTTACAGAAATGCCCAGAATAGGCAAACCTATAAAGTACAGAAAGTGGATTAGTGGCTGCTGGGGGTGAGGGTAAGAAATTGAAGTGACTGGTAACGATTAAAGGGTTTTTTTTTGAGGTGACGAAAATATACTAGTATTAGATAATGATCATAGCTGCACAATTTTGTGAATATATTAAAAACTACTGAATTATACAATTTAATGTGATGAATTTTATGGTATATGAATTACAGCTCAAGTAAAAATAAATGACAAGCATGTACACATACACAGATATATACATATGTCATGGACATTATGAGGTGCTTAATAAATATTTGCTGAATGGCTGAAAAGACTGAGAGAAAAGTATATGGTAACATACTCCAAAAAGGAAGTGAAAGTAAAAAAAAAAAAAAAAAATTGTCCATGTTAGTTGTATATTGGTGACGGGATCATGAGTGGTTTCTACTTTCTATGGTATGGTTTCCTATTTCAAATTTTTTAATTACTTCTACAATCAGAAAAAATCATAATCTGTGGTTAAAATTTATAAAACTAGTTTATAACTTCTGATTATGACCAAAATAAGGTTAATTTATATACAAAAAGTCTTCTAGAAATAATAAGTCTTAAAAATAAAAATGCAAATATTGGACAAAAGCTCCCTCTGGTATATACAAAAGTGTTAGTCTTCCTTACAAAACACCCCTTTATATTTTGCCTCAGTTCCATCATCATTAACTTATTAGTCAGTCTCCATCCACTACAACATGTTTTAAAATATTATCAGCATACGTGATTTCTTAGAGAGATTTAATTATGGATATACCTGAAGCAAATTTAAACCTGTGTACATATGTGTACTCATATCCATAGACAACAATACACAAACATCTAAGTCTATTCATGCACATAGTTTCCTTGTAAATTTTGTGATTATGACGTATTTGAAAAAAATTGTAATTAGATATGCTTGACATTTTAAAGCAAAGAAAGATATAGATTTGACAGTTTAACCAATTTGAAAACCCAGAAGCCCATACAAGGTATGGTATGTCAAATTATTTCCAAATGTATAATGCTTTGCCAGCAGGTCCCTTGTCTTTATGGGCATATTCTGGCTATAAATATCTCAGTGAGTATAACAGTTTGGACAACGGAGATCAATATAAAACAAGCAGTGGAATTTAATAGGAGTTGATGTGAAAAAAGTGGTAGGAAAGATATAAACTGAGGAATCCAGGTATTCAAGAATTCACCACAGCTGAAAATTCACAGGGGAATCAATTTGCAATAATAGAAAACCAGCAGCAACCTAACCCACTGATCTTTATTACATACAAAAGAGCACTATCCATTTTCAACAGGGTTGTTTTGAGTCATAAGAGCAAATGATTCCTAAATGTTTAGCATTATTTCTAGAGACAGGAATGACACCATGTTGTCACCTCTTTGAAGATTCCTCATGAACTTATACAGGGTTAATTGCTTCTTCTTTTCTGTGAACACTCAGTCTGCTAGTATGCGCTTTTATCATCGTATTTATTAAGTCTTTGCAACGGTTTCCACACCATTTGCTCTAGTCAACCAAAGCACCTTCAAGACAGACACAAGAATTTATTTAGCTCTAGATCCACAGCACTGGAGCACACAGAAGTTGCTAAACAAGTTGTGGCTGAACAAATAAATGAGCAGAGTATTTGTTTCTGTAATTTAAATTTTGTCCTGAATATTTTTTGAAGCACACTGTTTAAATTTTCCATACTATGTAATTAACAACATCATTATTAATATATTATTGTTTACATTATATAAAGTATATAATTATGTTATATAAAATTACATATATTATATGTAAAATTTATGCATAAATATTACGTTTATATTTATGTCAATATATAATATATAAAGTATGTAATATGTTTATATTATATATTTTAGCAATATAAATAATTATAGCATCATGCTTTGGCCTAGCATAAATGGTGATTCTACGGATGACAAATATTTAATATATAAGATGTCATTTCCTTGTTCCATGACCACGGCAAGCATTGTTAATCGATCATGGCATTCTTAACTGGAGTTAGAACGGGCCTTCAGAATCCTCATCACAGTGTCCCAGGGAGCCGCTACTGATCAATCAGGATTGGCACAAGAGTTGTGACTAACCACTATTCCTGATTTTCTGGATACTTTCAGAGGAATATTTTCTTTGGAAACCCATTAATTTTCAATATTTACAAGTACAATTAATGAAGCACACCCATTCTCCTATACATATTATCAGCTTTCTAAAACTCTGTTATACCACTTATGTGTCCTAGAATTCTGCAATGCCATGTGAAATAAAGTTCTGGCGACACTTCCAGTAACCTGTAATTAAACACTTTCAATAGTAGACTATTATCAGTCTTCACTATTTTTAACGAAAGGGCACAGATCCTATTAAAGAAAGTTACTGCTTTTACTTCTTATGGAGAGAAAGGGAAAGAGAACAAACAAATACTTGTGGATAAGGATTCTTGAACTATCCCTCTGCTAGTAAGACCTGCCAGGAATGAAACTGCTACTTTGGCTGGGCAGAGCAGGTGCTGCTGATTGATTCAGTAAGTAAGGAACCTTTACATTTTTTTAGGTGTAAGATTATCTTCTTCCTGCTGCTCTGAAACATCTGATCCACAGGCCAGCACAAAGAAAGCTATGTTTTTTAATTGAGGAAGTAACAGACAGAACAAGAAAGGCTCTATGGTACGGCATACTGAGAAGACAACTACAATTACCACCCTGCAAAGCTGGGATTTGTGAGTCCTGGCAGGGGGCCTGCAACAATTCTGGTAGTAGCACAGTCCCAGACCAGTCTCTCAGAGCCTCCAACTAATGCAGAACTGTGTTTAGGAGTCTGGAAAATCCATATATTAACAGCTTGTCCACATTCCTAGCTGGTGGTGAGAACTGAGCAGTGACTCTGAGAGAATGCCAATGGTAGACATTAACTCAAGCTGGTTTCTTTAGAAAGTAAAACAAAACCTGAAATTCTTTAAAATTTTATTTGTTCATAAATTCCATGTCATCACCAAGACAAAATTCTGAATGCAAAATCCTTTTGTTATTAATTTCCTAACTCAAACAGATGTTTTATGTGAATTAAAAAAAAATTTCTTAAACAATTATTTCCTATTTACTAACTGTGGAAGCAGCCATTCTTCTTCTACAAGGAGGATGAATGTAGAGTTGTGATGGGCTAGTGGTCAGGCAGCTGGAGGCTGGAGCAGGGAGACACTGAGCATAGGAATGTCTGAGCAGGATGCAAGGCAGTGAGGAGAGTCGGAAACATCAGCTGCTGTTATTAGAATCATGGCCAATGCATCCAGTTTTTTCTTAATTAGTTTATCATACTAAGTATTAAAAATAACAATAATAACAATAGTTAATGTTTATTGAGTGAGTTTTGTGCTAGACACTGCGCTGGACACTTTATATGCTTTATCCCAATTGATTCTCAAATTGAATTTAGGAAGTAGATATTATTACCTAAATTTATGGATCAAAATAGCAAGGCTTAGGACAGGCTAACTGACAGACTCAATGACACACTGCTAATAACCAGAGGGGCCAGAATCAAACCTAAGCATACACCATCCACGGGTAAAATATTGGAGAGTTACCATATTCCCTCCAAGGGTCTTAAAGCTCAGATTGAATTCAAATTTATGTAACAGATAGAAAGGGAAAAGAAAGGAAAAAATGTGAATGTTCTTTCATTTGTCTCAAAGAAAGAAGAACCCTATAAATATGCCATACTCTTTTTTTTTTTTCCTAGAGAGTGGGCCAGAGTCCATTTCTTAATGGTTAAGAAATGTCATGTTAAAGAAACTATGTATGGGGTTCTATTCAGCATGTCTTTGCTCAACTTTAGGTGTTTCAATTCATGAGAGGGTTTGAGAGTATATAAGAAAATGGCACAGTGGCCTGTGTCGGCTAAGACTGTACTTTGTCATTCCAGTGCACTAATCTGTGATATAGCAGCTAGAAACTTATAAAACATTCAAGCAAAGCCATGTGCTGATTCAAGTCACGGACTAGGATACAGCTAAGCATTTTAGCCTCTGTTATTGAAGCAATAAGTACACAGGTGACTGAATGATGGCTATCTCAGAAGGATTTCCTGGAATTGGTCATTCAAATCTCTACTCATTTAAAAGAAAGCACTTCTTTACAGGAAACCCTGGTAGGCTGAAATGGTTAAGTATGATACCCAAAATGAATAGGTAAGGAAATAGGTACCTTGAACATGATTTGAGGGGAATATGAGGCTTACTGTTCAGAAAAGATTAAAGATCTATATAATCCAAGCATAAAATTAATAAAATGACCTTTTCTTTTAAATTGTGGATGGAACTTCCATTTGTTTCTTCAAAAGCAGACAGTATGTGGGAAACATCAGACAAACCCAAATTGAAAGACGTTCTATAAAATACCTAACCAGTACTCTTCAAAACCATCAAGGTCATCAAAAACAAGGACAGCCTGAGAAGTCATCGCCGTCTAAAGAACCTAAGGAGACGTGGTGACTAAATCCCATAACGGGATCCTGGGACAGAAAAGGGGCATTAGGTAAAGACTAAGAAAATCCAAATGAAGTGTGGAGTTTGGTTAACATTAATGTGCTAATGCCAGTTTCTTAATTTTGACAAATTTACCATAGTTATATCAGATGTTAACAATAGGGGAAACTGGGTGAAATGTATACAAGAACTCTTTGTAAGATTCCTGCAACTTTTCTGTAAATCTAAATTTTCAAAAAAAAAAAATTATTTAGAAAAACAAATTACACACACACTCACACACAGGCCAGAGTGTGCCCTTACAAATGGCCACATATTAAAAGCACATTCATAAGCACTTAGAACAATGCTTGACATATAGTGTAAAATAGCATATATTTTTTAAAAATACATATATATTTTAAGATATATATATTTATATAAATGACAATATATATTATATAAATAAAAATGTATATATACATATATATATATATTTTTTTTTTGAGATGGAGTCGTGCTCTGTCGCCCAGGCTGGAGTGTGGTGGTGCAATCTCAGCTCACTGCAACCTCCTCCTTCCGGGTTCAAGCAATTCTCCTGCCTCAGCCTCCCAAGTAGCTGGGATTATAGCTGTGCGCCACCACACCCGGCTAATTTTGGTATTTTTAGTAGAGATGGAGTTTTGCTTTATGTTGGCCAGGCTGGTCTCGAACTCCTGACCTCAAGTGATCTACCCGCCTCAGCCTCCCAAAGTGCTGAGACTATAGGCATGAACCACCGCACCTAGCCTTTTGAATGAATGAATAAATGAATGAATTAAATCACTTTCCGTAGTTAAAAACAAAAGTCTTCAATTGTTCCTTTTTATCTTAAACCTACACTCAGCCTCATTTAAGATCTTCCACAAGCTAGCCAAACTTTTTTTTCTACAGGTCATCAGAACACTGCCTCTGTTCGGGTCAAAGAAGTCATCTCACTGTCCCAGGATTGTGGAGCCCTCATTTCTGGCTTCGCTTTGTCATCCCTTACCCCAAAGCCAAAATGCTCTCCCAAATCATTCTGCCTGTTCCAGATTGAATTCAAGCTCCCCAGGCCCTAAGAATTGTTTCAAAACACTCCTGTATTCTCCTGAAATCTTCCTTCTCTGAATTCCTACTGTCTACTTTTTTAGTTCAACATGTATATATAAAATTGCTTATAGTGGTCAACCTAATTCCTTCTTATCCAAGTGTCATTTAGAATGGATTTTTAGGGGAGGAGTGAAAGGAACTTTCATTTGCTCCTTCAAAAGGAAGGGGTTACAAAAGGGCACTAGGAAAATTTAGGGGTGTTCAGTATGTTTCTTGATGGTGTTGTCAGTTCTTTTTGATAGACATATGTCAATCTTACGAAAATTGTACCCATTTAGTATGTGCAATTTACCCTGTGTCAATGGTAGAGCAATAAACCTGCTAAACATGTCTATGTAATTGAATGTTTGGTTTGTTTGTGTTTTTTTATTTGTTTACGACATGGTCTTGCCCTGTCGCCCAGGCTAGAGTGCAGTGGTAGGATCACAGTTCACTGCAGCCTCAACCTCCCAAGCTCAAGTGATCCTTTCACTTCAGCCTCCTGAGTAGCTGGGACTACAGGCTCACACCATCACGTCTGGCTAATTTGTGTATTTTAATAGGGATGGGGGTTTGCCATGTTGCCCAGCCTAGAATGTTTGTTTTCTAATTTATTATTTATTTACACATTTATTTATTATAATTACTGTAAGATAATAGAGATTTGTGTTATTTTCTGAGGTTTAAGCCAAAAGTAAGCTCCAAACAAATTTAATGTTTGAACTATTACATGAGTACTTGAGAAATAGTATGAGTATTCTCTGATTTTAAGTAGTTTGAGATATATATTTTAGCTCATTAATCTACTAAAAACTGAAAAACTGTCTCTCACTGTGATTGTATCCTGGTAACTTCAAAGTGATTGCAGTTTTAGAAAATGAACACATTAGATCACTGCTTACGGTATAATGCCAATTATATGTCATGGAGTAGTCATTTTATCTGGCTTTTCACAGAAACCTAAATAAACTTAACCTAAACCCTTCAACCACTTTCCAATTACTGTCCCACTCCCAGCCTCCAGCCTGGCTCTTTCATCTGGAGACAGTGACATGACTTGTGTGGCTGTACTGTACCAAGTTACTTATGATTTTCCAAAAATTGACTATATCTTTACTGAACATTTCTCCTTGACCAGCACCTGCAGCATCAACCTTGGCTATGGAGAACTGGTGCATAAGAGACCACAACCTCAGAATGAAGGTGGCACAGGCTCCAGCTGCAGGCTATCTACTAGTCTCAGTCTCCTTGGCCAGCTTTCTATCCACGTCCATCCCGCATTCAGAAGCCCCCTTTCTTTTCCTCCACTGCTGACTTGTGTTCTTTTGCAATTTTTACTCCTTTTGTTTTAACTTGTCCTGCTGGCTATGATGCTGCTTCATCAAACACCAAATCAGCTCCACCTTCTTGCCCTCCTTTACCATACTTACCTCCCATATTAGACATGTTTATTAATTTGCTTGCTTTCTCTCATGCCCTGCACAATCTCTTCCACTCAAATCATTAACAATGATACTTTCAATTTCTGATTTTGCCTTACCAAACACTCTACTTCTTCATATTCAGCTTCCCTTTATACCCAGCACATAGTAATATTGTCCTGCTATGCAATATAGTGGAAAAAGTCTCGTAATTGGAAACCAGAGTCTGTTTGAGTCATGGTTCTGTCACTGACTCAACCATGACTAGTTATATTATCTGGAATAACTCACTAAACCTCACTAAGATCCAGTTTCCTCATATTTCAAATGGCATTGTGAGAGTTACATAAAAATGATGCAGGTAAAATACAAACTACAAAATGCTACATGGATGCAAGATATTGCAAACAGGCAATGTGTATTTATTCCCAATACAGGTGTATGTCTTTGAGCTCTTTGAAAAATTAAGTAAAGTATTCCATTTCTGAAAGTAAAAGCTATAAAACCTTTCTAAAAGTCTCACAGTAACTTGGTAGACATAAAAGTGGAGAAAGAAATTGCCTTTCTGAATACTAGAGCTTTGTAAGAGATGAAACCGAGATGATATAAAACACAGGCTGACTTCAAAATGGAGAAGTGGGTAAAATTGAGGTACTAATCAAAATGTTTGAAGCCTGTCATCCTTATAAGAATAATGCCATGCTTAAGAGCCATGTGTTCAACATCTGCAAAGCAAAAGCAAATGAAAAATTCTATTAGCTTGTACCAGAAATGTGAACACTCAGCTGAAACTAACACTATTGTGAGGGGTATAATTCAAAGGAATATCAAGATGGAAATGATGAGTGAGGAGAAAAGGTAAAAATTATTACATAAACACAATTTATTTTGGAAAAGCACGTGAGCATATGCAAGGCAGCAAAATCTAGACTATCTCCTGGTAACTGAATAGCAGACTCAGCATAGGGTTTCAGAAGAAAAATCAGAAGCCAGACTAAACCAAACTAGTTTTTTCTGTGAAATCTTTCCTAATTCCCCTAGGCCAACTTAAGTACTTTATTCTTTATGCTCCAATTGCCCCTTGCACTTACCTCCATGGTAACTATTACCACAATGTATTATAACCATCTGTGTACGTGGCAATTTCCCTTAAACTGTTCTACTTGAAAAGCAGAAACCATTCTTTTTTCCTTTGCTTCCCCAGTGCCCAGTATGTTGCTTGCCACGTGGTTATTAAGAAATTGTTGGTAAATGATGAAGGAACCACATTTTGGCCAATGGTATATCTAATGATGAATATCAGCTTCTTCTGAGGACAGCAAATAAAGATACACTTATTTTAAAACGCTTAAGTGTTAGTGTATTGCTTATGGAAACAGCTTCATCATTTTATTAAAACCCAACTATTTTTTACTGCACTATTCCAGACAAATTATTAGGGACCTACCACTTGGAGAGTCATAGTCTGCCCAAGATAATTCACAAGATTGATTTCTGATTCTAGTGAAACCAGAGTTACAGGGTCAGCCCCCATACAGGTCAGACAGAGCAGCCACAGAGGGCTTGCCAGATTGCATACTATGACTGCACAGCTGTATGGAGGTGCCATTCACGTAGAGTAAATGTGAAGAGGCATGTAATGCAATACACACAACCCACATGACAGCCAGGTAGCTTGTTGACAAAATAAACCTGCCTATTTTGCATCCAAAGTATTTATCTGTGTTCCCTCAGTAATTCCACAAAGGTGTGTCTTTGCTTAAACAATAAAGGAAGGATATCCTTGGGCCACTCCATGTCAATAGCTAGAAAAAATGTCTCTGGTACAACACCTTGTAAACTCCCTTTATGGAAAGCAAGTTCTAAGGGCTGTTAATAGATACTCCAGTAAAAGTGGTTCAGGGCCAAATGAGTCAGAGGAACACAGGAATAAAGTTTAACTCTTTCTTTCATGTAGGATATCTTAGAATTTGTAATATGCGAATACATTAATCTATAAAAGACATTATAGGCTGGGTGCGGTGGCTCATACCTGTAATGCCAGCACTTTGGGAGGCTGAGGTGGGCAGATCACTTTAGGTCAGGAGTGAGACCAGCCTGACCAACATGGCAAAACCCCATCTCTCTTTACTAAAAGTACAAAAATTAGCCGGCCATGGTGGCACACACCTGTAATCCCAGCTACTGTGGAGGCTGAGGCACAAGAATTGCTTAAACCCGGGAGGCAGAGGTTGCAGGGAGCCAAGGTCACACCACTGCACTTCAGCCTGGGTGATGGAGTGAGACTCTGTCTCAAAAAAAAAAAAGACATTATATTATACAGTGTTTCTCAAATATATTTTACCTCTAAACACTTTTTCAATTAACATTTTGGAAAAAAAAAAAAAAGGACTAGTGCAATTTCATGAACCACACTTTGGGAAACACTGCCTTAGACTACAGCACCCATTCCTATTAGCCTTACACCACCACCTACTGATCAGAAACTATGAGGATAGGCCAGGGAGGTGTATTTTTAACAAGCTCCCCAGGGGATTTGTTGTTGTTGTTGTTGTTGTTGTTGTTGAGACGGAGTCTAGCTCTGTCCCCCAGGCTGGAGTGCAGTGGTGCGATCTCGGCTCCCTGCAAGCTCCGCCTCCCGGGTTCACGCCATTCTCCTGCCTCAGCCTCCAGAGTAGCTGGGACCACAGGCGCCCTCCCACAGGGGATTTTTATGTGACCAAATGGGCACTACTAGTGGACCCAAGTTTGGAAACCACTCTATGTGTTAACCTCATGTCTCACCACTAAAGATTTCCATTCTCAAAGGTTAAGTTTCTCTGGCTTATATTTCACAGACCTCAAAATCTCTCATGTCTATAAGCAGGTATGCAAGATAGAAAAACAGCCTGATTTCTAATACCAGATTAATACTTTTGTAGTTTCTGATTTACGATACTGTTAGCAAAGCTTCTCACTTGTTGAATCTAGAATTTAAATATGTGTACCAATAAGGATTAAAACAGTATTAAGATATTTAAAATGCAAACAAATACCTGAAGGTTTTTCTTTCCTAGAGTTTTCTTACAGGAGCACTCATAGAATCTTAGAAGATTAGAATTGAAAGAAGTACCGACAGAGGTTAAGTTATTTACCTGTAGTCCCAGAGCTCATTACTAGCAAAACTGGGGTTTAAATTCAGAGCTCCCACTCTGCTTCTACTCGTGCTCCTTCTTCAGCATAAACCAATGCAGCATGGAGAATTCTATTCTAAACACCTCAACCCCTCACAACTACTAATTTCTCTTTTTTTTTTTGTTTTTCCTTTTTGAGACGGAGTCTAGCTCTGTTGCCCAGGCTGGAGTGCAGTGGTGCGATCTCGGCTCACCGCAAGCTCCGCCTCCTGGGTTCCCGCCATTCTCCTGCCTCAGCCTCCCGAGTAGCTGGGACTACAGGCGCCCGCCATCACGCCCGGCTAATTTTTTGTATTTTTAGTAGAGACAGGGTTTCACCGTGTTAGCCAGGATGGTCTCTATCTCCTGACCTCGTGATCCGCCTGCCTCGGCCTCCCAAAGTGCTGGGATTACAGGCGTGAGCCACCGCGCCTGGCCTACTAATTTCTTCTTTAAGCAACCTTTATGTCCTCAAAAAGTCATAAAAAAGGGAAAAAAAAGAATTTTTGTTTTATATGTTTTTAAATGACAGCTTTAAAGACAGTTACCTGAAAATGAAACAAAGAATGATTCCAAAGCTTTACTCCCATGAAATAGCCTCTTCAATACTCCCCTGATCCAATGCATCACCATCATCCTCTTTCACCTGGACTACTACAATAATCAATCTTATGTCCTTCCAAATAAGTCTCTAATCTGCAGGAAAAACAATGGTCTTTTTAAAATGAAAACCTGATCATGTTATTTTATTTCTTTAAACTCCCCAGTGATTCTCTGATGCTCTTTGGATCCATAAGCAGTAAGGCCTTTGTAAGCTTGTGATCCTTCAATCCCATTTCTGGCCCATCTTCCCTTGTGTGCCAGGCTTCACTCGTTCTGACTTTTCAAATTTCTTAATTGTGCTATGCTTTTTCCCATCTCAAGACTTTACCATACGCTTGCTCTCTGTCTAGAACATTTCCTATGCCCAATCCAAGCTTTCACTCCACTAACTTTTAATCCACCCTTACCTCTCAGGTTTGAAATCTTTTCTGGGATGCTTTCTCTGGCTTTCATTACTGAGCTGTCTCTCTACCAGTTGGCACTTCAATTGTTTACTGGTTTGATTCCTCTCCTAGACTATAAGCACCATGAAAGCAGCGGATATTTTACTAGACAGTAAATCCTCAGCCTACCTAGCACACAGTAGCAATTCAATAAAGAGTTGTGCAGAGAAGAAACAAAAAAAAGGGGAAGGAGCATGAGATGCAGGAAAGCAGAGGAGAGAGGAAAGGGAAAGAGGGAAGAAGGGAGAGAAGCATGAAAACAATCCACTATTTTTCCAGCACAATGTCTTTAATATGATGAATTCTCTTTTATCTGATATCTTCAGGGATGAGATATTCTGATTAATTCATTCAATTTAAGACATAGTTCAAGCTTTCAAAAACTAATGAGGATAAGGCAAGCAGATTAAAGAAGACAAGGAATTCAATTGTATGGAATATAGAGCAAATCCTTTATCAACAAATAGCATAAGGAAAGGAATGAATTTGGTCAGGTGCTCTGAAACACTGAACAAAATACCTACGTACACAGCCACTCATCCTGAAAAACCCAGCACATTCTAACACCCAGAAGCACTGCAAACCACTAAGTAATTCACTGCTCAATTAAAGTTCATATCAAAGACATAATATTTCTATAAGTTGGGAAGAAACTACACTCATTTTGGCAGAAAAAATGACTCTATAGTTTTGATGATAAATTGTTATTCTTACAAAGAGAGGTCTGAGACCCTGTATATATCTATAAGCAGTAGACAGGGCCTTAATTTTTGAAAGTCTCATGTAGATATCTAAGATCACGCACTGTAAAAGCACACACAGCTCAATTTATCTGTCTTAGAAGGAAAGTGAGCCAGATGGACCCTGCTGGGATTTGTACCTGAAAGTTACGGGAAAATTTGAAGTTCCGGAAAAAGTTCTTAAGGCACACCAGTTAAGAAAAATAAGTTGAAAAATATATTGTTTTTGAGGAGGCCATTTACTAAGCCAACAAAATTAAATTAATGCCACAATCACTGAGAAAATAAAAAGATATACACGTTATAATTTTAGTTCTCAATTATTCTCCTGTAATCAGTTTGTCTTCCTACTAGTTGTGGATATATCAATTTTCAAAAAAAAAAAAGGAAGAAGAAAAGGTTTTTTTATGACCCAACTCAAAGTCACAGATTCTTCTAGCTAGTAGCAATCCAGAAATAACTCAGCCTAAACTTCTCATTTTAAAGGTCAGAAAAACTGAAGCTAAGAGACATTAAATGACCCTAGCAAGGTGACACCGTGAGACATTGGCAGAGTGAGGACCAGAGCTCTAATCCCCTAACTCAGTAGCTAGATTTCTGAGCACTAGATCACTGGAGGAAGCAGCCATATTTTTCTATTCAGAAATTTTTTTTCTTCAAAGCAAATGCATCACATTCTATTTGAGCTTGTAGACACCTAAAAACCCCAGATGGTCTCATATCAACTTCCTCCAAGGCAGTTCACCCCCTTCCTGAATTTGTGCGATAGATTATTTTTACTCTAAAAGAAGAATTTTATTTATATCCATGTTATATTTTATCTTGGTGCTTTCAGATCATTGTTTCTGCCTTTTAAGATCAAATTGAATTTTGGATCTGCCATTCATGTTGCTAGGTAGTCCTCTGAGGTCTGAATCATTGAAGAATCTAAAGAGCATGACTTGTGTGTCTTCATTCAGGTCACAGTGAGGACACTGAATAGGGAGAGCAGAGCTGCTGCTAGCCAGTCTGCCAGGAGGCTTAATGCATGAATCAAGACCTACTTCATTGACTGTTCAGTAGGCATTGAATCCACCTAAAGATTTTTTCATCCAATCCACATTTTTCTATCTTGTTTATATCTCTATAATAAGCATAATTGCACTGACTACGTGCAAATCCTTATAGAATAAGCATTTAAAAACAAAATATTACATTTCTAGGAGGTTTTTTAGTTGACAAAGTATTTTATGCACATTATTTCATCTGAAACTCAGAGAAAGTAAACAAGTCAGGGTTTATTATTTCTGTTTTGTAGATTAGGAAACTAAGTTTCAGAGAAGTTCATTGACTTACTCACCATCAACAAGCTAATACGTATTGAAGTAGTGTGTTCCTAGACACTTGCTCCAACACTTTTATGTTATTTCATCTGGATAGTGTAGGTAGCTGTCAAATACATGACTGAGATGAGTTTCAGTACTGTACTACAAAATCTCAAGTGAACTACATATCCAATTTTCTGAACACCAAGAGAGCCCAACAGGGAGAGAAAGGCTCCTCTTCCATGTGTTTTCTCAAGATGGACTAATAGGATTTCACGAATCCTGTTTCAAGTATTGTAAACACACACACACACCAGCTTGCTATTTTTCTATTTTGAATACCTAAGAAGCTTTTACCCATCCCGCCCTTTGTCCCAGTAAGTAGGCCTTTACTGTCAAGAAAAAGAGCCTAGTTGTCTTGCCAAAATGTTATTGGGAAGGTACCTTATCAAAGACCAACAATAGGGTGTATTGTTCCCATGTTCTTTCAATGACACACTCAGCTCCTTGGTATGTCTCCCTGGTTCCTAGATAGAGAATGCCAATACAGGTTTTAAGGGCTGCAGCCAATCCCCCACTTTTCCTGCCTTCTACAGTTGAGCTAATAGCCAGCTTTTGTACCTATTATGTGTACTCACATACAATTGTCAGGTTAGCTATTAAGTAGATAATCAGATGCTGTTTTGAGTGTTGGCTTTCACAGATCTATAAAAGACACCCTGCTACACACATACATGTGCAAGATATTACGTCCTAAGGGTCCACTGTGTATCCTGACTGTGCTGAGTATTACAAGGGGCATTAACAATAACACTTCACAGTTACACAGGATTTTAGAATTGACAAAATACTTTCATAGATATCATTGTGATCCTCACAATAGTTATATGAAATAAACAGTACAGATGCCATCATTTCCATTTTATAGATGAGAAAAGTGAGATACAGCAAATTCAGTGACCTACCCAAGGTTACACAACTATTGAGTCACTGAGTGGTCTTAATCTAAAATCTCTGCAATCCAATTTAGCGGAGAACACAAGTTATTTGAAGATATGACTTTAAGAAATGAAACAGTCAACAGCATGAACCACTCATATTCAAATGCTGCATTCTAAGCGTTCATGAAAAAAGTTGTAGATTTCCCGATTGAGCTCAACAAGGCATGCAAGGCCTGCTAGAGCTCTCGTGAAAATCTTTTAAATCTTTTCACCCTAGACCACAGTTCAAACCACTAAACACTTTAAACTGTGCTTTTCATGCACTAGAAAGAGCTCTTATTCTGTTGTGGAGAGTACAATAAGACAAAGATGCAACTCAGGTGCATTAAGTTATCCTATTCAAAGAAAATAAGTAAATTCTATTCAAAGAAAAGGGGAAACACCCTGTTCAACCTGGTGAATTATCTGATGGCAGTTAAAGGTATGAATCATAAGGCCATAGACACTGCAGTGAGGAAGCATCTGAGTTTCATCTGACACAATAGCAAAGTACTAAGCCTGTAAAAACTTAGTAAGACAAGGAAGACAAATGACAAAGTGCAGTATGACTCTGAATAATTTCTTGACAGTAAATGGAGGGCTCAGCAGTTTCCTGCACATTAAAAATCATGCCCTATATGATGTGACCTGTACCCTCCTTAAAGAAAAATTACAGTCAAGATAAATGTAATAAGAGAGAACAAAAAGCTGAGAAGCTGAATTCACACCAAAGCAGATAATTCAAAAGATGTTCTAGAGCAATGTCTTCAAGGGTGGCGCCTGGACCAGCAGCATGATCATCACCTGGGAACTTGTTTAGAAATGCAAATTCTCAGGCCCCAGTCAGACCCAAGGAATGGGAAACTTTAGGCCTGGGGCCCAGCAATCAATAGTTTAGCAAACCCTCTAGGGGATTCTGACTCTTAGGCCAGCTAAAAATATAGTAGTCCTGTTATCATATTTACTGATATCACTTGCCCTTTGGCAGTGCCTTCAGATGAAGAAAGTTAATACTGGATGATGAATGGTGTGTTTCCATCTGCTATGAACCCTGGAAGTGATACTTTTGACACACCCCCACCACCACCCACTGTGGGTGCTATAATTAGCAATCTGTGGAGGAAGTATCTCTGAAAGCTTAATAAGTACAATGGGACAGGTATGAGGTAATTAATCATTCAATTATGGTCATGATACAGTTAATTAAACATAGTTTCTCCTCCCTCAATCACCTAGCTCTTTCTTAGAGCAGTGATTATCATATTTTAGCATACATCAAATTCACCTAGGAGGGAGGGCTTGTTAAAGGGGAATCCTGAGACCCACCCCAAGAGGGTGATTTAGTAGGCTAGCGGGTGGGGCCAGATAATTTGCATTTCTAACAAGCTCCTAGGTGATGCTGATACTGCTGATCTAAGGACCACATTTTGACAACACCTGTACTAGAGAAAAAAAAAACAATTAAATTAATTTTTTAGGTACTGGACCACTGGTGTGCTGGTGAATGTTTAATAACTGGCTTTCCAGGAAGAAAACAAAAAGTAGTCAATGATTTGTAGCATTTGCCAATTCTGTAGCAAATATTTCAACCATGATCTATATTAAGCTACAACATGATGTCACTGAGCTGAGAGTTAGGTAGAGGTGTACACAGTCCATGTTTGCTAGCCAGCTCCAGTGCAGCTCTGTAGCCACTCCACATTTCTCTGGACTTGATACGTGCAAAACCTGCAGCATCACACTGTTTAAATTCCACAGTCCCCTGAAAGTAGGAATTTGCTGAGTCAAACAGATGCCCCATCTTAATTCTGCTTCCTTGTTTGGTGAGTCACTGACTCTTTAGCAGGAGAGTCATGTGAAGATCCATTTCTCACAATAAAACTCATAGTAAATTTCCCCAAATGGAGCTCCATTATCCTGAGTATCCAACACTCAGAACTTGATTTGGGAATGGTTTCGGCAGCAGACTGTCCACTAGAAAACGGGATACCATAAAAGTAAATGGCAAAATATAAAAGCTGTATTACCAGGCGAGTCCTGCAGTGGGGCTCCTAAAGTAAAATATAAGTGATTCCATCTGAGGAAGAGTTCAGATATCAAATGTGACAAACCCACTATGTGGCATGTAGCGAATAACCCAGTTCCTTTTTAAATATGGAATGCATGCTCTTAGAGTGAAACACTCAGAAATTTTAAATAAGTTCCAATAAGAAAAGATGAAAGGAAAAAAACAGATTCCTCTTTCCTTTCCATTTGAACCTCTACTAAACTATTCTGCATAAAATTCTATGTATTCTGTAAAAACTTCTGTGTTGCCTCGGTGAAATCATGACATCTTCCTTACCCCCACGTATCATTTTTTTAATGCAATTAATGCTGCCACAACTGGCCAATCATCCAGTCTTGTCAGAAATTCTGGTCAGAATCCTTACTCATACACTGGATAACTAGCCTTTGAATAATCAAAAGGTGACTGTAAAAGTGAAATCTGCTTCAGGTCTTACTTGCTTTGTGAAGGTAAAAAAATTCCTGATCAATGTGCAGAGAAAAAAAAAGTGGATCAGCAAAACAGTTGCCTTTAAGACATTCTCTTGCCTTAAATTTACTTATCAAGAGAGTCTCCTTACCTTGAATCCCAGCCAGTATTATTATCGAATAAGCAACATCAGAAAGTTTCACCACTACGAACAACAGAATAACCATCACAAGCCTTTTGGCAAAAGATAATGTGACACTCCATTTGAACAACAATTTTCTCTACATACTAATTAAAGTAGTTACTGTTGACCCACATTTTCATCTGGTACTAGGGGACAAAGATAACATGTCCATGTATCGTTTACCAGCACCAGATTTCCCAAGCTTTCAGCCAGCCCTTTCACCAACTTGCCATCACCAAGCAGTGACCCCTTCCTGAAGAGCTTAACCTACAGAGAGTTCACTTGGAGTCATTCAGCACAGCTCCGTAATTCCACACTTGAGAAGTCTCTCTTGTTGTTGGACCACAGCCAGAACAAAATTAAAGCATTTCCTATTCAATTTTGGCAACTGCAAGGACCCACTCACTTAAAGCTTGATAACAGTGAGTTGATTCAATTGCCATTCAAGAAGAAGCAGTTTTGCAAAATGGGTTTCCTGTCAGCAGCCCACATTAAGCTTCCATTTGTTCTGCCTCTCTCTTTCTCTCCTTTTCCAAAGATTTAGGAAAAGGTATGTCCCAAGAACTTAGCTTTTTTGGTGGTCCCACTGAGGACATATAGTAACCGAATTCCAAGATATATATTATTATATGCCATGTACATACCATTGCACAGTCATCAAGGACTATAAATATCCCTAATTCTCTGCCGCCACTTGTCCATGTCTCTGTCTACAGATTCTTCCATATTCATAGCTTTCAAACCCACCTGAGTTCCTCCTTTCTCTCATTTCAAACCCCAGTGACGGTACAGGTCTAAATCTGAAGAGTCTTCATTATTCGTCTTCTCCCTCATTCACTGCATCACCTAGGGCAATAAGGCATTTTTCAAAAGAAACTATCAAGCAAATAAGGCCTGAGTGGTTTGTTTATGATTCTAGGATAAAACTCAAAAGTTGCAGTCTTTTGTGATGCATGATTTAATAGAATAGGAAGCAGGCCAAGAACCACAGACTAGGGAGAGGGAGTGAGACCATTAATCAATTACAGAGGAGCACTCACAACAGTGGATATCATAGAAAGCCATGTTTTCCACAGTTCAGAACACACTGAGGTAATGTTAGATGATTCATGTATAAACAATTTTGCTTCAGTAATTATGTGTTTAGAACCTACAACAATAATAAATGTTATCTATTATTAGTACTACTGTTACATTATTTTGTCTTCTAGAAGCTAATTCTTTAAGAAAACTATTAGTGCTTTGATGATAAATAGGTTTTAATGTACTTGACAATTCTGAAAGATAAATAGTGGATGCCTGAAGAGCTATGTTGGGGAAGATGGTGAAGCCACGTCTAAATTCAGCAAATAAATAAATAAATAAAATGCCTTCATCAGTTAGAGATAACTATCATAGGCTTGGACAGCATATGTATAATACATTTGCCCACCTGCCCCCAGGACTAGCCTTTACGGTTCTCTAGGAGAGGAAATGTGCTGAGCTGCTGTGTTTTACACTGCTGTATTATCAATTCCTGGTGCATAGAACCTACTTAATACATTTTTGTTACATTGAATGCATTGATGTAGAAGCACTAAGACTTCGCTGAATAAACACTGAGCAAAATGCAAGTCTGTATTCTGGAACCAGCAGGAAAAAGTAACTAATCTATTACCTCAGACTAATCACTGAACTATTTCAGGCTGGTGCTTATAAGAAGTTGGACAGGATGATCTCTAAGTCCTTGGGTAGCCCCAAAGCCTATCACTATTTCATTCTCCCTTCTGTTTCTCTTTGGCGAAGACTTTTGTACCCTATGTTATCGATGTATGCCAATACATTCATACTTATAAAAAAAAAAACAGAATCAAGAGTAAGTTCTGAAAGAACAGAGAAGTTTGATATTTAAAATAGTTGAAAGTTGTGAAAGTATCAAATAGAATGGTCTGTGATAATGCCAAAGGGCCACAGAAGGTTTTAAATGAGTGGCTGAACCTTGGTTTGCTTTTTAGAGCTGAGCCTTTCAAATCTGATTCTCTTTATTCTGTGACATTTGTCAGTGACCACTGCTGATTACCTACTTGATGATGTTTGAGCTATGGGTTTATACTGGTGATTGGAAAGGAGAGAAGGGGTAGCTGTCAGAAATGTGACCAAAGAAAGATCATAACCTAGAAAATGAAAAACAGGATGGCAAAAATTCTAGTTCTTAGCTGACATATGACATGAATATGAGTACCTTACAGAGAAGGCATAAAAGTATACAGAATTACTAACCATGCAACCTAGTGAAATACAATCCAATAAATCTCTTATCAAAGCAAAAAGACACAAAAACTTCATAATAATAAAAATTTTTATCTGTTCTATCTAGTCTGGAATCCAAAATAGTACTTAATGTCCCCAGAAAATTATACATAGACAACTCTTCCATGATATTCACACAGCAAAAAGTGTGAAATGTGAAAGCACTTAGGATGAATATTCAGATGTCAATCTCCTAATATCCTCAAACATCTCAGAAAAGAACATTCGGAAAAACACAAACTGGAAAATCAAAATAAAGAGACATATGGACAGAAAAAGAGAACAAATTATAACAGGCAGATATAATCCACATATAAATAAACACAAGATCATGTTTTTCTGTCTTAATAATTTATACACTTTACTCCTTAGTGAAATCCAGGACTTTTGATGATATCAGCTCTAACCAGGAATCTACACTGCCCATTCATAGTTGTCTGTGAAATTTAGATGTTTGAAGTATCTGATTTGGGGTGGTAGGTCTTCACCCATTAATTAGCTCTGGTAATGAAAATCCCTCAAGTTATCTGAATTTGAAAGATTTTATGTGGCTTCAAAAACTAATCCCGAATAGGCCAGGTGATGCCCACTTGAGAAGCTAAGGAGAATTACTTAAAACACATTCTGGCTGCAATATTATTGTTCATGCTGAAATGCAAGAAGCCCTCACTGCCCAACAAGGGGCAAATGATCCCAGATCAGAGTAGACTGACTGAATTAGATGGAATATTTTTTCAACTGTTATTTCCTTCACATTATGGATAATGTCAGGCAGACTCTGGCTTACCCTTAACTTAAGGACTTAGATCCTGCATTTCTTCTTCCAAGAAGCCATCTCTCTCTCTCTCTCTCTCTCTCTCTCTCTCTCTCTCTCTCTCTCTCTCACACACACACACACACACACACACACACACACACACACCCCTCGGTATAGGTTGGAAGTCCTTCCTCAGTACTGCATTTACACCCTTTGCAAACCTGTATCATATCACCTATATTTTATTTGCTTTGTATTCTCAGCACCTGATGTACCTGAAACTTTGTAAAATCAGAGAAACAAAATGAAACCTAGTCAAGGTTGGATGAGTGAAAGAAGTCTTGAAAGTGATGTGTCATATCTTTTGCAGAATAACAGTACCCTATTTTCATTCAATACATGAATTCGAAATTCTAATTTATTTGCTTTCAATGTAGAATTTCCCAAGGTCTGTATATCAAAATAATAGTCAAGGCTGTTCTCTTTTTTAAAACTTAAGATACATCTTCAATTTCATATTTGTTCTCTCTCTCTCTCTGTCCTATTTTGTTGCTTGTTTGTTTCCACAAAGGACAGAATTAAGACTTATGAATAGCCAAAGAGAAGCATGGCTTAGCCCGTGACTAACCATAGGAACTATAGAGTAAATCAATTTCTTCCTCATCTGTAAAATGAGATGATTAGAATAACTGATCTGAAAGGAAGGTTTCTTTCTAATTTTGTCATTCTACAATCATGTATGTTACCTGTTCTATGATATATATTCAGGAAACCACATTAATTTGAACTATACTGATTTGGAATGGGTCAGAATGTTGACTGAGATAATCAAACTTATGTTAGATTGCTTTTTTTCCTTGTTTTCCCTATTAAAAGAAGAGAAGCATGAATAAATAAATTAACCACATAATGAAAAAGGTTGAGGGCACCTCTACTCTCCTAAGAATGCAAACTGGTCTTTAAGTGCTTTAGAAGTGTCTATTTACTTACAAACGGTGTAACTGCAGTATATGTAGGGTTGATACTGTTTAAAGTATTTTGATGAGCTAATTAGAGATCATCCTTATCTATTAATTAAAACTCCACTACACAGTGTCTGAGGAGTTATAATAGTTGCAGTTTTTATATATTCTTAAAGGGATTAAAACTAAAACAAGTATTCATCAATTTAATTAGCTTTCCTTCCAATTCATTCAAATGGATGATTGACAATGCTTATGTTAAATGAACTTATTTTGGAAAAAGTAGCTGCATTAAATAAATTATAAGAATGTTGATATATTGGTCATTGGTTTCAAATGTCAAGATTACAATAAAAATAGCATTAGGTAGTCAACCCTTATTTCCCAGAGTAGAGGGATGGCTCAGCAAAACAGGGGGACTTATGAATTAAGTCTGTCTATGCAACCATTCATAGAAGTATTTTGTTGAATCAAAGCATTCTCTATGTAATGAGTGAATAAAGCATTTCAAATCAATAATCATGCACTAAGGGCTAACAAGTGCTAGGTTCATAAATGGGCTAGTATAATGTATGGGTAATACATTTTTTGAAAACACAATTAAGCACTTACACAAACAAATATAAAGTATACTAACAACTGCCATAAAATGGATATGAAAAAATGATTTATGAGGGTCAAAGGTAGGAAAGACTATACCTCTGTGGCAGGAAAGAATTTCCCATGTGCTACTTTTTTTCTTTTTTCCTGATACAGGGTCTCACTCTGTCACTAAGGCTGGAGTGCAGAGGCTGCTCACTGCAGCCTCAACTTCTTGGCTCAAGCAATCCTCCCAACTCAGTTTCCCAAGTAGTTGGGACCACAGCACGCACACCAAACCTGGCTAAATTCGTTTTTCTTTTTTTCTTTTTTTTTGGAGAGATGCAGTCTCTCTATGTTGCCCAGGCTGGTCTTGAACCTCAGGGCTCAAGCAATCCTCCTGCCTCAGCCTCCCAAAGTGCTGGGATTACAGGTGTAAGACATCATGCCCAGCTGCTACTTTCTTAATCTACACATCAACCTTTCAAATAATATATTAGTATTGTAATGGAATATATAGACACAATCAGATGAAAAGAATTACTACAAAAAGGAAAAACAACGAAAGGCAGGAATAAGAAATAGGCATGAAGAATCAGGAAGAAACCAATCTGAAAGATTAACTGCCTCGTATTGAGAAGTAGAAGAGAACAGAATCACATGATGAATCAATGCCAGTAACCCAAGAGGAAAGTAAGATGGGGAAAATTAAAATTCGCTGAAATCTAAACTGGTCAGTGTGGTTATGTAGCCACAAAGCAAGTAGAGAAGAACTTAATTGGTTTTGCTGACTAAGGGCTGCAGGTGGGCATGGTGATACATAAATATATGAAGTGATGTGTGATTAATGAGGAAGGGGTGGTTTGTAGGCCTAACTGGCAGTTTGAAATGTAGTAGGATCACTGTTGTGATTTTATTCTAAGTATAATTTTTGCATTATAGCTAAGGGCATCAGAAATTTGGGAAATTGTTATATTCAGGGTTAACTCTTCAGAAACCTAGAAGGGAAAGAGAAGATGACCCTTCCATGAAAGGGATGAAAACACTGAGGTTGAAGAGACTGAATTATGGCTCCCTGAGCACTGCCTGCCCTAAGAGATTTTGATATGGCTGACTCAAACCAGGAAGCGCTTGGCTAAAATAAGGTGCACCAAAACAAGACCTCATGAAAGAGGGGCTAGTCAAATCCAGAGCAAAGAGTCACTTAGTGTACAGGTACTTCTCTCCCAGACTAAACAGACCAAAAGGATTTTCCAGAACTCTCTCCCCTAGACAGAGACAGAGGTTGGAAAATCAATACCCTGTGTAAGCAAAAGGACGTGGATGTAGATTGGCAGAGAAACAGAAAGCAAGGAATACAATACAGTAGCTCATGAAGGGATTGAAAGAGGGTCCAAAACCTGACATCTTCACTTTATAAATGAGAAAACCAAGCTCAGGGGGGTTTACGGGCTCACGATCACAGGGGATCAGTAGTTCTTAGGATTCAATCCCAGACCCCTGTCACTCCAAAGGCAAACTGCATATTTCTTTAACAAGCAGGCAAAGTTTGAGATGAACAACTGGAAAGCATTTGCATATGTGTAAAGGCATCCAGGTATAAGAATCAGGAGCAAAAGATGGGACAGAAAATGTGAGATGTGCCTGATAAACACCAGGGGTGCACTGTACTTTGTGAATCATCACTCAAACAGATGATGAGATTAAGCTATGAAATGGATTTCTTTGATGGGAAAGAGCAGACTTCTGAGGATGTGCAGAAAGAATGTGACCATAAGGGAATAGAAAGTCATCTAGGAAAGAGACAACAGAGGAACTTGACAGAGTAGGGAAAGCATCTTGATGAGGCAGAATCACAAAAACCAAAGGAGAAGAGAATTTGGGCATGTTTTTCAAATGCCTAACTTCAGAATCAGAAATTACTTACTAACAGAGAAGGACATGACCCTTTTATTTCTCATTCTTTTCAACCATCCGGGTCTTCAGGCAATTTTTTTCATTCCTTTCTCATTTCATGAATTGTTTTTGGAACGTTGATTTGGTGAGAAAGGGAGTGCAGTATTTATCAGCATTTTCATTCAGAAACAGAACCTAAAATATTCTATATTCACTAACGGAAGATGAAGAGTAACCAGTTTCTTTTATTTCTTTGTTTGACAAATAATTGATGCCCAATAGGGCATTTATTGGAGAACAATAATATCTCTATTATAGCTATAAATGTCTGGATCCAGAGAGCCCTGTTTTGCCTCTTGTCGGAAAATACCAAGCTTGTATAGCTGGCTAGTAATATTTCCAAGTACTACTGTTTGAATTTAGGCATAAATTCTTCTAATTAGATTAGATTTCTTCTAAATAAGAATTTACTGTGTACCCTTAGATTGCACTGTTTAAAAGAATTAGGCACTTTCTTAAATCCGAATGACTACTCTTGTTCTTTTTGAGTAGTTTATGGTTTTTCCAAATAATATTCATTAGGCAGTTCAATTACAGGGTATGTTCTATTCCTTGGTTATTCTTAGTCAATACCTGAGTGAAAGTAGTGTATCCTTTTCATGTTTCTGTTTAGCATTAGTCATTATTTGCTAACAGAGTAGCCTATTGATTGGTGAGACTTGTAAAATTAATGGCTGGGAAAACAACTTAACCTCATGGCATTCTATGAAATCCCCAGAGTTCCTTGGACCTTGCTTGCAAATTACTGTCTTTATGTCACTGGTTTTTACATACATGTAATATTTCTTGTTTAAATCTTGGGAATTTGGCTCATGTAAAGGCTCTTCTTCACTCAGTGATTAGCTAGTCCTTTGTGGAATCTTCAGAAAGATTTATATTAAGGAGTCAGTCAGTAATCTAAGAGTTATGAAAAAATAGTTTCATGAATCAAACCATGTGTGTCAGTGAGAATATTTTCATGCTGTTTCTTTTCATTACATTACATGACAGAGTTGATGATTTACAATGCAATAGCCCCCTCTCTGGTAGTAGAACAGGGACTAAATTGATATTCTCTCACAAACACTTGTTTGCAATATTTGTTTAAAGATAACCCCCTACTATGGCCCTAACTTTTTGAATGGTTAAGTGTCCTTCCTTCTAATTGATATATTTCATTTATAATAAACCTGGTTTCAAATAGGAAGAACATGTTGGGTGGTATAGAAAGGGGTGGAATGAGAACAAGTAAAGGTATAAGATAATATTTACATTTATTTTGTAGGACCACAAACCATGCAAGTCTAAAGATCACAAACAATTTGTAAGGAAGAATACAAATTATACCAACAATAGAGAACACACTTTCTTTAGGAAATAAGACATGAAAGAGGCTTTGAGAAATGGGTAGACTTTGCACTGACATGGAGAAATAAAGGATGGCATACTAGGCAATGAGAAGAAAGAAAGAACAAAGGTATGCACTGAATATAACCTGAATCGACATTTCTCCACAGAAGACATAAACGTGACCAACAGGTACATGAAAGGGGCTGAACATCACTAGTCATCAGGGAAATGCACAGCAGATATCACCTCACACCTGTTAGAATGGCTATTGTCAAAAAGGCAAAAGATACCAAGTGTTGGCAAAGATATGGTAATGGACTAAAACTGATACATAAAAATGTGATATATAGGCTGGGTGCGGTGGCTCACGCCCGTAATCCCAGCACTTTGGGAGGCCGAGGCAGGTGGATCACCTGAGGTCGGGAGTTCGAGACCAGCCTGACCAACATGGAGAAACCCCATCTCTACTAAAAATACAAAATTAGCCTGGCGTGGTGACAGGCGCCTGTAATCCCAGCTACTCAGGAGGCTGAGGCAGGAGAATCGCTTGAACCCGGGAGGGAGAGGTTGCGGTGAGCCGAGATCGCGCCATTGCACTCCAGCCTGGGTAACAACAGCAAAACTCTGTCTCAAAAAAAAAAAAAAAAAAAAAAAAAACTAAAAAGGTGAGATATATATACATACACACACACACACACACACACACACATATATATGTATGTATATAGGTGTACACACACAATAAAATATTATTCAACCTTAGGAAAGGAAATCCTGGCTGTAAGCGGTGGCTCACGTCAGTAATCCCAGCACTTTGGGAGGCCGAAGCTGGCAGATTACTTGAGCTCAGAAGTTTGTGACCAGCCTGGCCAACATGGTGAAACCCTGTCTCTACTAAAAATACACAAATTTAGCCGGGCATGGTGGCATGTGCCTATAGTCCCAGCTACTCGGGAGGTCAAGGCAAGAGAATCGCTTGAACCCGGGAGGCGGAGGTTGCAGGGAGCCGAGATTGTGCCACTGCACTCCAGCCTGGGTGACAGAGCGAGACTCTGTCTCAAAAAAAAGGGAAATCCTGCCTTTTGCAACAGAGATGAACCTGGCGGACATTATGCTAAATGAAATAAACCAGACCCAGAAACACAAATATTGCATGATCTCACTTATACGTAAAATCTAAAAAGTCAAACTCATAGAAGCAGAGTATAGTGATGGTTGCCAGGGGCTAAGGGATGGGGGAAATAAATGTACAGTTGCTTATCAATGGGCATAAAGTTTCAATTAAGCAAGATAAATAAGTTTTGGAGATCTAATGTATAGCGTGGTGACTATAGTTAATAATAACATATTGTATACTTGAAATTTGCTAAGAGAACAGATTGTAAATGTTCTCACCACACACACACACACACACACACACACACAAAATGAGGGGATAGATATGTTTGATTGTACAATCATTTCACAATATATACATATATCAAAACATCACATTATATACCATATGTGTGTGTGTGTGTGTATATATATATACACAAATTTCATTTGTCAGTTATACCTCAGTATAGCTATGAAAAAAAAGAAATAAATTTGTTTTCAAGTGTTAATACTGTGACTCTCTTTTTAGGAATGGATTTCTGGAATTTTACCTTGTAGCTTCCTCCAATCCAACCTTCAGTAGCCTGTCAGTCTCAAATCAGGTCATAGCCATTTGTAGTATCTGTCCTGAGGTGATACCAGGAATATTATAAATCCAGTTACAGAGCCAGGGAGTGGCTTTGTTGTAGTCCTGGTCTGAAATCCCTATTGGTAAGTTTTCTTCTCTCAGAGCTAGCAGTTTACAATAAGCAGTAGTCCCCACTCAGCTTTCAAAATCATGTTTTCCCCCATTCACAAACAACAGATTCTTACAGCAGCTTTTGACTTTGAATAGTGAGCTTGAATCTAGTGGTCCATCTTGCATGAAATATTTTAATTCCCTACATCCACAAGGGAGCCAGTTTCTAGGCTGCTTGCAGAAGTGTGCCCCACTAGTTGATGACTTTGGTCTTGCCTGACATTTTATGTTTATGTTCTATTTCAAGTCCATAGAGATGTTATTTCATTTTTGAAAGCAGCAATGAGTTTTTGTGTTTTCTTTTTATATGACTCTATTTTCTATATTTGAAACACAGCATTCTTGTCATGGTGTGAACTTACTCTGCCACATTGTCTGGAAGTCTTTTCAGGGCTATATCTATCATTCCAAATTGACAGGAAGCCAGAAATAAAATTATACAGAAAACATGGTGACCAACTATATTTTGAATATATAGAGAGAATATCTTAATTTATGTCAGTCAACTAAATACTCAATGACCATCTACTATCTTGAGGTATATAAATGCTAAAAGTATAGCCTTTGTAGCCAAACCGTTTGCATTTGAATGGTAGTTTTGTTGTTTGATCTTTTGAGTTCCTTTGAATTGCTTTACCCAAGTGCTTCAATTCCTCATCATTAAAATAATACTCATCTCAGAAGTTGGCTGTGAAGAATATATTAGGATATGTGAAATCCTTATAGTAATGCTGGGTCTAATAACAAATATATTTAAAATTTTCTTATTTATTTACCTTAGTGCAAAATGGTACCAGATTCTGTAGGAGATATAAAAAGTGCTCAGTACATATGTCCTGCATGTATAAATTTTATTTTGAGTTGGTAAGGGTATAAATGTAAAACAATTAGAGAATAATAAAGCCATTATGTCACACTTTTCCACATACTATTTTATCAATTCTAAAATGTATTAGGAATTAATAGATAATGTAATTTATTGAAAACTGAGATAGCTGAGAATAAATGTCTTAGAGAGAGACTTGAGGTATGTTATAATAGATGAGATAGATGGAGAGAAAACCCAGGTAAGGAGGCAACACAAGCTGAGATTAGGGGAGGAAACGAGAGTGATGTGTAGGATGAACATGCTATATGTGGAGAAGAACATGGCAGAGGATCTGGATGGTAAAAATGAGAGAAACAGCAGCGGATTATCATGGATGAGATTAGGGTAGATATATTTAAAAGCCAAATGAAAGAGTTTAGACTTAGGTGAATGATTTTCAATAGGGAACTGTGGTTCTTCTTTGGGGTAATAACAAAATGGAAATCATATATAGGCAAGATTTTTTGAGATAGTTACACATAATTTAATGAGCCAAAAACCTAATTTTATGCCCAGGCAAGTTCAAGTTTGCCTATAAGCATCTTTTAATTTGAAACAGGAATGATCTAGTCAGGCTCTGTACACGGTTTTAGTGATATGAGACAGAGGGCGCTGGATCCTCCCACTTGTCTGACAGTGAAGGGCACATTCCCATTGTTTCTTATGTTCACTTGTGAAAAATGAGAAATACAGAATCAGAGACATGACCTAATTTAAAGTCCACTTTGCATTATTACCAATGGAAATATCCCAAACTCTCCCAGTGGCCCTTAAATATTGTTTTAAAAATGCTGCTGTGAAAACAAACACCAAATTCTTGCAGATAAAATATATTTCACCTTATGAGCTTATACAGAATTCACATCAGGCTAATAAAATAGAACATGTTGACATTGTTAAAGTTAATGTACAGTAATTTAGTACTTGCTGAAGATACATTTGAAATTTAACATATCAGAACAGTAGGTAGGTTGAAACACCTTGGACACCAAATAGATATTTTCGTGTGTCCTTGAGGAGTATCTATGCTGCAATATTAATTCTGGAAAACCACCAAATGTAACTATAATGACAACAGTGCTGTTAGAGTTCCACAGAATTATTTTCAGGTTTTCTTTCATAATTGAATCATATTTTATTATTACCCTAAGATACTTAGATTGCACAACTGTGCATAAAATCCCCTGCCAGAAAATTGAGGAAAGAATGAACGAATTAGAAGGAAATAATGAAGCCATCCCCAGATTCCAGATGGATACAAAACTAATTTCATCTTTAAGGTCCTGCCATCTGTTCTTTTTATTTATTTTAGCATTACACATTTACATACCTTCAAGTGAAGAAGTCAAAAAGCAGACGCATTTGTAATGGAACACCTCATTTAAGGGGAGAAAAGGTCAAAAACCGTAATTTCTTTTGTAATGCTTTGGTGGAGTCTAGTTGTTTGTTCAAGATATGCAAATTTTTCCAGTAACTGAGAAATAATCAGGCTGACAAGCCATCAGGAAATAGTAAATTAGGAAAAGCAATAAAATTGTAGCAAATCCTATAATATGGTAGTCAAATCGTTAATGTGCTTTTAAATTTTTTCTTGTTGTTCCCTTATGTTTGTTTCCTTTTTGGTAAATTTGAATAAGGTGTCAAAAATTTTCAAGCTGGTATAGTAGATTGAATAGTGTGCCCCAAAATTCATGTCAACCTGGAACATTAGAATGTGACTTTATTCAGAAATAGTGTGTTGTAGCTTTAATCAATCAAAGTAAGAATCTAGATGAGGTCATACTGGATTGGAGTGGGTCCTAAATCCAGTGACTAGTTTACTCATAAGCAGAGGAGAGGAAACAGAGAGACATACAGAAACAGAGAATAAGGCCATGTAAAGTCGGAGGCAGAGCCGGAAGCCACCAGAAGCTAGGGAGGGTCAAGGAAGAATTCTTTCCTAGAACTGTCAGAAGAAGCATGGTCCTACAGATACCTTAATTTCAGACTTCCGGCCTCCAAACTCAGAGGAAAAGATAGCTGTTGTCTTAAGCCACCAAGCTTGTAGTACTTTGTTACTACAGCCCTAGGAAACTAATATGACTGCTAAGATTTATTGAATGTAGATTTTGAAATCTTTTGAAAGCTTAAATTTTTTACTTTCAACATTCTTACATAGCCATGAGTAAAAGCTGTGTATGGAAATTTGAAGATATGAGAGCATGTTTTTTTGCACTGAGTAATATAAATCAAACCAGACACATGGGGAAAGTCAATGTAAAAATTTACACATGATCCGCATTCCTAAACTATGCAAAATGCATTTAGCTACTATTCTAACTAAAGAGTTAATCAAGAAATAAAGAAGAAAAACAACAATATAGGGGAAGAAATGTTGTCCAAAGTTATTTTTAAAAGAATAAATAAAAACGAAAAATCTGGTAAGATCCTCTCCTGTTTCCCTGTTGTTTTAAATCTTTATCTTATTTCACAGAGTATCAGTTTTGAATCTGAAATTTAATGAAGATAAGCAATATCTGATAGCATGTTTATACTTGCATTCCTAACTGCTACGTGCCTATGGGACACATAAGATTGTGAAGGTGGGGAGAGACACGTATAGAATTAACAGCTTTCATTTTACTCTTCAAATTTAAGAGTTGGAGAGTTTTTCTTTTTTAAAAAATCTAAATTTTAATGAACCCTTTTATAGGGCAAAAAGCTTTGCTATTCTATATGCCTTAATCATGCTAGGATGTGTTTTGTTAACCAATGCATAGTGTTGTGTGGCCTCAGATTTAGGAGTATGCTTGTGTGTGGTAGTGTATCCTATATGATTTTTTTATTTGATCAGTTTCTTAATACCATTGTATTTTGACTACTATTCTTAAATAATAAGACAACCATTTTTTTTCAAGCTGGGTAGAGTATGTGAAATATAAGAAAGCACACTTAATTAAAATAAAAGCTGAAAATTAAAATCTTATCAAGCTTGCCTTATTTTAAGGAGCTCAGACCATTGCAAAAATAAATCTTGCTTTCTCATTTAGTTTCAGGTGACCAAGTCTCTGAATCCAACAGTTCTATCTTCTGCCTCCAAATGTAGCATGATATTTCCTTCAGATTAATGAACAGAAATACATTGCCATTGTAGCAACAATCAATCAGTTAAATCACACTTTCTAAGGCCATTTCAGGGATTTTAAATTATTTTTCTAAACTATTATACCCTGTTTTCATCATCACCCTCTCTACCAAAAACTTTGCATGACATTTAATGCCCTGTGAAAGAAAGTCCAGACTCCTCTCACCCTGGCAAAGACAACCTTCACTGATAACCTGGCTTGGAAGATCCTTTCTGATTTCCTCTCCTACTATTATTGCCTATCTGAGCCCTCCTCTCTGTGAAGTTAGGCTCATCCATTCACTGTTCCCCAAACACTTTATGAGCATCCTTTCTTCTGAGATTTTCTTCACTCATCTCACCAGAAATGCCCATCACTCTTTGAATGCATCCATATCCACCTACCTTGAAGCCTTCCTTCTGCTTCCTTTGAAATCACAGCTGTTACTACTTGGCCCAGTAATCTGGCATTCAACCACATAGGACTCACAAACCTGAAAAACGCTGTTTTTTAAAATTGTCAAGTGATATAGATAGATATTTGGATATTTGTCCCCTCCCAAATCTCATGTCGAATTATAATCTCCAGTATCGGAGGTGGGGCCTGGTGGGATGTGGTTGGATCAGGGGGGTGGTTTCTCCTGAATGGTTTAGCACCATCCGCGTGGTGCTCTACTCATGATAGTGAGTTCTCATGAGATCTGGCTGTTTAAGTGTGTGGCATCCCCACCCACCTCTCTCTTTCTCTCACATACACACACACACACACACACACACACACACACACACACGCCATGTGATATGCCAGCTTCCCCTTTGCCTTCTGTCATGATTGTAATCTTCCCATGGCCTTACCAGAAGCTGAGCAGATGTCCAGTGCCATGTTTCCCGTACAGCCTGCAGAACTATGAGCCAGTTAAACCTCTTTTCTTTATAAATTACCCAGTCTCCGTTATTTTTTATAGCAGTGCAAGAACGTACTAATACACCAATTAATGAGTGCAATAGATACATTTACTGACTGCTCAAGTCTCACTCCATGCTTGACCATCACCCCATGCTTGATCAACTGGGCAGTTGAAATCTGAATCAAAGACAACAATGGGATGAAGTATGGCTTGACAACTGGCTGAGGAATGAGGATGAGGTTCCAAGCCAAGGTGGAGCCCAGGAATACAGTGTCACGATAAAGGTCAAATGATTCCTTGCAAACTTACTCATTTACATTTTGAATGGTTCAATTGAACATTATGATAAAAAAGCTCAATTCAAATGGTCATGCAAAAAGTATGGTACTTGATTATATTTTATTTTATGGTACAGGTACCTTCTACTATTTCTTGATATCATATGTTATTACTGAAATTCAATGGCTGACATGGATATCAACTTGAATATAAACAATCTGATGGAAGGACATTTCTCTGACACCCCTCATATTTCTCAATATGGTACAATCTGTGATTATACAAATATTTGTTATTAGGTTAGTGCTAGACTATTAGGTCTTTGTGAAGTACAAATCTAAAAGAAAGCAATATATACTTGTGTTCAGAAATATATTCAAGAATAAAACATAAATGCCAAGAACTAGTCTTTCAAAAGGCAATAGGTACAGGAACAAAAATTTGAATATTCTCAAAAGGATAAATATTGTTATTCATGAACTGATAGCAATATTTAAATGGTATCATCTCCTTTGCAGTGACATAATATAAGCTAAACACTGGGGAGACGCATGAAGAATGTTAAAATGTATTAATCTTGCAGAATATACTGTGGCATATTTTCTAACACATATACTCAATAGTGAAATTGATCATTTCAATTTACCAATACTTGTAGTAGTACTGTAAAACATAAGTTTACATAAAAATCTCATTTTTAAAATAAAAGACACTCCTGCTATTGGTAAAATTTGTTTTTATGAATTAAAAAAAACTTCACACTGGGTTTTTGAAGCATTGCATTAGCAGTAATGTTTTTGTTAATTTAACTCCTCATCCCTTGTAACATTTCAAAAATTCACCACTAGTCATAATTCTCTTAAGAAAATAAAAAGCAGCTTTGAGAGCTATAGTTAGAGTTTAAGACAGAGGTCAGCCAATTATGTTTGACCATGTCTGGCTGACCATATGGCCAAATCTGGCCTGCCACCTGTTTTTGTATGGTTCATGAGCTAGAAATGGTTTCACATTTTTAAAGAGTTGAATAAAACTTAAAAATATACTATTTTATGATACAGGAGCACTATATGCAACGCAAATTTTATTGTCCATAAATAAAGTTTTATTGAACCATGGCCATGCTCTTTCATTTATCTATTGTCTATGGCTGGTTTCATGCCATGCAGTACTTGCAGCAGAGAGTATATGGCTCACAAAGGCTAAAATATTTATTATCCGGCCCGTTAGAGAAAAAGAAAGTTCTTATCTATAATTTCTGAGAAGGAAATACAAATTAATTAAGCTTTGCAAAATGAAAAATTAATTCCAGATAACTCTCTTTTATGTGCAATTAGTCAATTGGAACATTCTACGTTCAAGTTATATATATTCCCAGAACATGCAAGCACATACTCAACTTAAAAGTCATAAATTCAATAACACTAACTTAAAACAAATTTTCCACCACAATATTTAGTGTTATAATTTTAACACAAACCAATGAGCAAGATACTACATGCCAGATGTGACCTGAAAGTAACAACCCGTTGGTCAGAAAAAACTCACTGGACTGTGTAATCTCTAATAAGTACGAAGTGGTGATATCTAAAGCAAACAGAATAAAATCACTCTTTGTGGTAATCAGAATGACTTTCTAAACAAATGTTAAGACAAAAAAATTCTGCCGAACCACCAAGGACATCCCAAGCAATCATTTTATTTTTCTCTCTGCTTTGCTATTAGAGGCTATCTGAGCATTGTTTCTTCTAGATATTGAGAAAAGTACATAATTTCTACTAAGTATGCTACATGCATTAGTGTTCCCTTAATGATTACAAGTTGTAGATCTGCTAAGTGCATCCTGAATGCACTGAATGTGCAATTGTTTTGCATAAACGTGAAAAGCAGAGATTCTAAATAAAAAGCCGCTATTTAACCATTTGCGATTATGCTATCATCCCACACCATCGCATGTAAATGCACTTTTCTATTCTCTTTCCAGTTGCTAAAGTAAATGACCAGGAACAGAGAAATGCCCTCATTTCTTATTTATTGGTCACTTACTTCCTTGGCTTGCATATAAAATCAAACCATCCATAAAATCCCTTTAAAAAGTTGACACATTTAGGGATCAAATTATTTCACACAAAATTGAGATATTTCCAAAAATAGGCATGTTTTGAAGAATATCTCACATTACATGTGCAATTGAGTTCTTTTCCTGTCCCAGGTACAGATTTGTTAGGTGATCTTAATCAAATTGTTGCTTTCTTCATTCACTGCATACTATTCCTTTGGCAAATATGTTTCTGCCTTGATAATGAACTAGGTACTATGTGAAGTGTTATACAGAATAAAAAGATGAATCAGACATAACTATGATCTCTAGGATTCGACAAACAAGTAAAAGTATTAATCATATATATATATGTACAAATAACGGTGAGGTAAAAAATGCTGAGTGCACCTAAGAGAGGTGCAGATAAGATATTTTGGAAAGTCAGAGGGAGAAGCCATTACCTCCAACTGGGAAGATCCAGGAGGAATTTATTGGTGAGGCTGCATTTGAGCTGTACCTTAAAAAATGGTTAAGAAGAGTAAATTAAATTGACTGACAAGGGCATTTCACAAACTGACAGGTATGCAAATGACAGGTAAGAATGTGGTAGATGTGTGTGGGTAAAGAAGAAAATGTCATTTTTTTTTTTTGTCCATAGGCTTGGATGTGTAAAGTGGAGCAAGTTATAGTTAAATCTAGAGACATAGCATGAGAACACGAAGATAGTGCGGTCTGGAAGGAAGCATTGGACTCAGACAGATATAAGTTAGAATTATGGCCCTGGATACTGGCTGAGTATACCAGAGTACTTTACTTAACCTCTAAGTCTCTTCTAATGTCTAGAAATATTACATAACTTGCAAGGTCCTTGTAAAGATAAAAAATATATATATGCACATTTTATAACACAATGTCTGGCACATTATAGATGTCTAATAAATAATAGCTATTATTGTGTCAATATTATATTGAATAACAGGCTAAAAGTTTTAGATAGTGCTGTAAGAAGTTATCACACTCACTATGGAAAGTACCACAAGGTTAGCAGTTTCTGAAACTAGGAACTATTTGGAAACTAAAGCAGTTGGAGAGTTAGCTAGTGTTTTCAACTGGGACTGCCCATTAAAATTATCTAGCGATCTTTGTAAATCGTGGCATAACTAGGCTTTACCACAGAACAATTAAATCAAGATCTCTATCCGTGGAGCCTGGGCATAGTACTTTATAAAAGATTCCCAAGGATTTCTCAAGCATACCCAAAGCTGAGAGCTACTATTGCTCTAGATACAAGTTGTTACAATTAATATGATAAGTGTAATAAGTCCAGCAAAATATATTTTATGATCATAACTTGAGTTATTTTCACTCTGCTACACTAGTGAATGTCACTTTTCTAGATGGCCTTTCTCTGTCATAGTCTCCTGTTTGTCCAAAGACCCATTTAGCACCAAACAGGACCCAACACAATCAAGGCCAAATCCATGTTTATTGAATGGTGAATAATATCACTGACTCATATTATTACCATTCCCCATTAGATCAAAGTGACAAGATGAAAAACAATATAAGATAGGTACCATGTAGCAATAATTAAAATATTTATATTTTGATCCTTGTTTTCTTTTTCAAAAGCTATCTTGCATTAAAAGAGCTAAAGGTTCACATCATGTTCTTAAGGGTTATAGTAAGTAATCAGCTATGCCTAAAAATTAACATCATGAACCAACACATGCAAGGGTAAGTGCAAGACTAGTAACACATGTCTTCAGCCTTATCAATAATATTATCAATAATATCAAAGTAGTGGTCAACCACCTGTTTTCATTTTTTTAACTTTTATTTTGAGTTCAGTGGTACACATGCAGGTTTGTTATGTGAATAAATTGCATGCTTCAGGGGTTTGGTGTACAGATCATTTTGTCACCCAGATAATAAGCATAGTACCAGATAGGTAGGTTCTAAATCCTCACCCTCCACCCTAGAGTACACCCTGGTGTCTGTTGTCTCCTTCATTCTGTCCGTATGTCTGTAATGTTTAGTTCCCACCTGTAAGTGAGAACGTGTGGTATTTGGTTTTCTGTTCCTGTGTTAGTTTGTTTAGAATAATGGTCTCTAGCTCCAACCATGTTGTGGCAAAGGACATGATATTTTCTTTTATGACTGCATAGTATTCCATGTTGTATATGTACCACATTTTCTTTATCCAGTCTGCCACTGATGGGCGTTTAGGTTGATTCCACGTCTTTGCTATTGTGAATAGTGCTGCAATGTGTGCATGTGTCTTTATGGTAGAACAATTTATATTCCCTTGGGTATATAACCAATAATGAGATTGTTGGATTAAATGGTAATTCTGTTTTTAGTTTCTTGAGAAATCACCAAACTACTTCCCACAGTGACTCAACTAAATTCTCATCAGCAGTGTATAAGTATTCCCTTTTCCCTACAGCCTCACCAGTAACTGTTATTTTTTTACTTTTTAAATAATAGCCATTCTGACTGGTATGAGATGGTAAGACATTGTGGTTTTGATTTGCAATTCTCTAATGATTAATAATGTCGAGCATTTCTTCATATGCTTGTTGGCTGCATGTATGTCTTCTTTTGAAAAGTGTCTGTTCATGTCCTTTGCCCATGTTTTATGGGGTTGTTTTCTGCTTATAAATTTGTTTAAGTTCCTTATAGATTCTGAATATTAGACTTTTGTCAGATGCAAAGCCTGAAAATATTTTCTCCTATCCTGCAGGTTGTCTGTTTACTCTTTCAATAGTTTCTTTTGCTGTGCAGAAGCTCTTTAGTTTAATTAGGTCCCATTTGTCAATTTTTTATTTTGTTGCAATTGCTTTTGGCATTTTTGTCATGAAAATTTTTGCCAGGGACTATGTTCAGAATGGCATTTCCTAGGTAATCAGCCAGGGTTTTTGTAGTTTTAAGTTTTCCATTTAAGTCTTAATCCGTCTTGAGTTGCTTTTTGTAAATGGTATAAGGAAAGGGTCCAGTTTCAATCTTCTGCATATGGCTAGCCAGTTATTCTAGCACAATTTATTAAGGGAGTCCTTACCTCATTGCTTGTTTTTGTTCATTTTGTCAAAGATCAAATGGTTGTAGGTGTGCAGCCTTATTTCTGGGCTCTCTATTCTGTTTCATTAGTCTATGTGACCGTTTTTGTACCAGTACCATGCTGTTTAGGTTACTGCAGCCTTGTGGTATAATTTGAAATCAGGTAATGTGATGCCTCCAGCTTTGTTCTTTATGCTTAGTACTGCCTTGGCTATTTGGACTAATTTTTTTTTTTTGTTCCACATGAACTTTAAAATAGTTTTTTGTAATTCTGTGAAGAATGTTTTTGGTAGTTTGATAGGAATAGCATTAAATCCGTAAATTGCTTTGGGAAGTATGACCATTTTAACAATATTGATTCTTCCTATTCATGAGCATAGGATGTTTTTCCATTTGCTTATGTCATCTTTGATTTCTTTAATAAGTGTTTTTTAATTCTTATTGTAGATATCTTTCGCCTCTGTGGTTTTCTGTATTCCTAGGTATTTTATTGTTTTGTGGCTACTAATTCAAAATTTCATTCTTGATTTGCCTCTCAGCTTGGCTCTTGTTGGCGTATAGTAATGTTAGTGATTTTTGTACGTTGATTTTGTATCCTGAAACTGCTGAAGTTGTTTATCAGATCAAGAAGCTTCTGGGAAGACACTGTGGGATTTTCTAGATATAGAATCATATTGTCTGCAAACAGGGATAGTTGGACTTCCTCTCTTTCTATTTGGATGTCTTTAATTTCTTGCTCTTGCCTGACTGGTCTGGCTAGAACTTTCAGTACTATGTTGAGTATGAGTGGTGAGACAGGGCATCCTTGTCTTGTTCTAGTTTTCAAGGGAAATGCTTCTAGCTTTTACCCATTCAGTATGACGTTGGCTGTAGATTTTTTTTGGGCTGTTATTATTTTGAAGTATGTTCCTCCAATGCCTAGTTTATTGAGGATTTTTAACATGAAAAGATGTTAAATTGTATCAAAAGCCTTTTCTGCATCTACTGAGATGATTTTGTGGTATTTGTCTTTATCTCTGTTTATGTGATGAATCACATTTATTGATTTGCATATGTTGAACCAACCTTGCATCCCAGGGATAATGCCTGCTTGATCATGGTCGAATAGCTTTTTGATTTGTTGTTGGGTTTGGTTTCCTAGTATTTTGTTGAAGATTTTTGCATCTATGTTCATCAAGGATATTGGCTTTAAGTTTTTTTGTTGTTGTGTCTCTGCCAGGTTTTGGTACCAGGATGAGGCTGGTCTCATAGAATGAATTAGAGAGGATTCTCCTCTCCTCAATATTTTGGAACAGTTTTAGTAGGAATAGTACCCGCTTTTTTATACATACAGTGGGTACAATTCCGCTGTGAATTCATCTGGTCCTGGGCTTTTTCTGGTTGGTAGGCTTTTTGTTAATGATTCAATTTTGGAGGTCATTATTGATCTGTTCAGGGATTCAGTTTCTCCCTGGTTCAATCTTAGGAGTTTCTATGTTTCCAAAAATTTATCCGTTTCTTCTAGGTTTTCTAGCTTGTGTTCATAGAGGTATTTGCAGTTTTTGTACTTCTGTGGGGTCAGCGGTAATGTCCCTTTGTCAGTTCTGCTTGTGTTTAGTTGGATATCCTCTCTTTTTTCTTTATTAGTATAGCTAGTGGCCTATGTTATCTATTCTTTCGAGTAACAAACTCCTGGATTTGTTGATCTTTTGTATGGTTTTTCACGCCTCAATTTCTTTCAGTTCAGCTCTGATTTTGCTTATTTCTTATGCTCTGCTTTGAGTTCAACCATTTTGAAAAACTGCATTCCAGATTGTATTTTATCTAGACCCCATATATAGAGATCTTTTAAAAAGTTATTTCATGTTTCAATAGTCCTACAATAACATTTTGTGGGGTGATGCATCAATCATTGTTATGATGTTAAATTTAATAATAATTTTACAGAAAAACACTTTTGTATTCAAATGTATAATAGGGAATGTTGAAGTATGCTGAGGAATATGGAGACTGAGGAGTGTGTATTAAGAAAATCCCAAAGGACCCATAGCTTCTTAGAATTTGAAGGCACTTTCGAAAAGGCAACCTACAAAATAGGAGAAAATTTTCACAACCTACTCATCTGACAAAAGGCTAATATCGAGAATCTACAATGAACTCAAACAAATTTACAAGAAAAAAACAAACAACCCCATCAAAAAGTGGGCGAAGGACATGAACAGACACTTCTCAAAAGAAGACATTTATGCAGCCAAAAAACACATGAAAAAATGCTTACCATCACTGGCCATCAGAGAAATGCAAATCAAAACCACAATGAGATATCATCTCATACCAGTTAGAATGGCAATCATTAAAATGTCAGGAAACAACAGGTGCTGGAGAGGATGTGGAGAAATAGGAACACTTTTACACTGTTGGTGGGACTGTAAACTAGTTCAACCATTGTGGAAGTCAGTGTGGAGATTCCTCAGGGATCTAGAACTGGAAATACCATGTGACCCAGCCATCCCATTACTGGGTATATACCCAAACGACTATAAATCATGCTGCTATAAAGACACATGCACACGTATGTTTACTGCGGCACTATTCACAATAGCAAAGACTTGGAACCAACCCAAATGTCCAACAACGATAGACTGGATTAAGAAAATGTGGCACATATACACCATGGAATACTATGCAGCCATAAAAAATGATGAGTTCATGTCCTTTGTAGGGACATGGATGAAATTGGAAATCATCATTCTCAGTAAACTATCGCAAGGACAAAAAACCAAACACCACATGTTCTCACTCATAGGTGGGAACTGAACAATGAGAACACATGGACACAGGAAAGGGAACATCACACTCTGGGGACTGTTGTGGGGTGGGGGGAGGGGGGAGGGATAGCATTAGGAGATATACCTAATGCTAAATGATGAGTTAATGGGTGCAGCATACCAGCATGGCACATGTATACATATGTAACTAACCTGCACATTGTGCACATGTACCCTAAAACTTTAAGTATAATAATAATAAAATAAAATAAAAAGAATTTGAAGGCACTTTAGAGATAATCTAAAAGAATTGACTTCTTACAATTTGAATGGACTTTAGAAATAATCTGGCAGAATTTCTTGCCAAAATCAAGAAATGCCATTTCTCTTGAAATCTAATAGCGAAGAAGAAAAATTACTTGCTTCTTTGTAAAAACATCGAAAAACCTACAAAAATATCAAAGTTTATTTCCAACATGGAGGCCTGGATTTTGGGACTTCCTTATTAAATCTTAATATATTGACAGCACTTGTAAGGACCAACCTCATTCAAAAATATAACAAACAGATGGCAAATTCTACAGTCGGCAGAAGTAATGGGGGTATTAAAATGCTAGCAGCAGTCTCCCTCATGGCTCTTGTTTTGACAGGTGTCTACTCAGGTGCTTGTGTTTTCTAAGCAATGTTTCTCTGTTCCTGTGTATAAGCGGCCCTCACCTTTTTATGAGTATCTATGCCATTGCAGTATTTGCTATACATAAGACAATCACAACCATTAAACTGTCTCTAATCCTTTCCTGTTGTGGTTATATAAATTATTTGTTTACACTGAGAGTACATGAAATTTTTATAGGCACAATCTAGGATTGCATCTATCCAGCTTTCCTCTCCAATAAATTTTTTGTAAATATTCAAACTCATATATGCCTCAATGTAACCACATTGTAAACCCTATCTGTTGCTTTCACAGAAACCATTCAAGCTGGATAAATGGCCCACCTCATAGCCCAGGGAAGAACTCAATGATCAGATTCTAATTATCTTTCTTGGTTCACTTAATAGCCTTCTCCTCTCTCATGGGGGAGGCCAGGGATACCCTGAAAATGTGGTCTCAGGGAATTCATTGCAGTCATGTCTTCTTAAACATTCATATACAAATGATTCCTTTAAAGTTATTCATACAATAAAATGTCCTAGACACTGTGTTAGGATACTATGATGAATACTGAGGGTGCTATGATGAATAAAGGCAGTCACTGCCCTAAAAGAACTTGCATTAAAAACAACAATAAACAAATAGGAATTACAGTAGAACCTTGAATAATATTGTTCTTGGTCAACATTGTTTTGTTACAACATTGATAAGGAACTTCCCACTGGGGCCACTGTCTGTGTGGAGTTTGCACGTTCTGCCCATGTCTGCATGTGTTTTCTCTGGGTACACCAGTTTCCCCCACATCCCAAAGCTGTGCACATTCGGTTCACTGACATATTAAAACTGTCCCCGTATGAATGAGCATGGGTGTGTGTGAGTGAGCCCTGCATGTAATGGAATGGGGTCCTGTCCTGGGCTGCTTCCTGCCTTGTGCCTGAGCTGCTGGGTGACACTCCAGCCATCTCAGACCCTGAACTAGAATAAGCAGGTTGAAAAATGAGTAAATGAATGAATGGATAGATGGATACATATTGTAAAAATTCATAAATTATGTGATAATCATACAACCCTACAATAATAAATGATGTGGCACAAAAGTGCTTACTGAGCCCATCATATTTGTTGTTTGTTTTTGAGCTGTGTGGTGGTAGGAGGTGCTTCTTACAATTTTCACTTTTCAGACAATTATTCCTTGATTTAACCCACCACTATGACCACCATCACTCACTGATTCACCAAAATTTGGGTAAATAATTATCTTACTTGTTTCTTTAATATTTCTTAAATGTATGTATATCTCACATTCATTTCAATGTTTAATATTAGAAGTGGTGTGGGTTATTTCTTTAGAAGTTTGGTGATGTTAGCCAGCCACTGTGGGTCACACCTGTAATCCCAGCACTTTGGGAGGCCAAGGAAGGCTTATGACCTGAGGTCAGGAGTTCAAGATCAGCCAGACTGATATGGTGAAAAACCGTCACTATTAAAAATACAAAAATTAGCCAGGTGTGGTGGCACATGCTGTAGTCCCAGCTGCTCGGGAGGCTGAGGCAGGAGAATCACTTGAAGCCAGGATGTGGAGGTTGCAGTGAGCTGAGATCACGCCACTGCACTCCAACCTGGGCAACAGAGCGAGACACTGTCTCAAAAAGAAAAAAACAAAAAGAAGTTTGGTGATGTTTTTGTGACCAGAAATATGCTTAAAATCTTAACTCCTGTTTATATCAATTAGCTTTGTGATAAAATTGGCTTTCATTATATGTATGCTGCCTAAAGTTACAGTTTCTAAGAACTTATCAGTGATGTTAAGTGAGGATTTACTGTATGTCAGATAAAAATATGAGGTATGAATAAAAATAACATACATTAATAGATACAGAGAGTGACTAGGGCAGGGGATACTACTCTAGAATGATGGTCAACAAAGGCCTGTTTGTGGAGGGGATATGGAACAGAGACTTGAAGGTAGCAAGAAGGTCATTATCAAAGAGAAGACTATTCTAGAGAGAGAAAAAAGCTAACAAAGTTTGAAGACCAAAGTGTGCTGGGAAAAAATGAGAAGCAAGAAAGACAGAATTACTGGAGCAGAAAAGGAGTGGAGGACAGTAGTAAAAGATGAAATTCGAGAAGTTTGGAGCTGACATGGTTAATTTTACGTGTTAATGTGACTAGAACAATGGTTCCCAGCTGTTTGATCAAATATCATTCTGAGCATTTCTGTGAAGGTGGGTTACTGGCCGAGATTAATATTTGAATTGGTAGATTGCATAAAGCAGATTGACTTCCCTAAGGTGGGTGGGCCATATCCAATCAGTTGAAGGCTTAAATAACAAAAGTCTGCCCTTTCCCAAAGTAAGGAAAACTTTTGCCTCCTGACTACCTGTGAATTGAGACAGTAGCTTTCTCCTGCCTTTGAACTCAAACTGAAACATCAGCTCTGCTTGAGCTGCAAGCCAGCCATCCTTGAGACTGCAATGACACATCCATTTTTCTTGTTCTTAAACCTTTGGACTCAGACTGGAAGGACATCATTGACTTTCTTGGGACTCCATCTTGCTGACTCACCTGCAGTTCTTGTAAATTAGCCTCCATAATCACATGAGCCAATTCTTTACACACACACACACACACACACACACACACGCACACACATATATATATATAATACAATATATAATATATGTATTCATCCTATTAGTTCTGTTTCTCTGAAGAACCCTGACTAATACAGAAGCTTAGGAGTAGTATGTTCTACTTACTATTTAAAAAATCATCCGCTATATGGCATGGTCAGACTGCAGTGGGATGGGACAGGGATAAAATCAGGGAGAGTAGCTAAGAAGCTTTGCAATAATCCAGGCAAGAGACAAATTTGTGGCTTTTACTAGGGAGGTAGTGGTAGATGTAGTGAAAATTAGTGAAAGTCCATATATATTTGAAGATTGAGCCAACAGGATTTGCTGATGAGGAGCTGGAGAAGATGAAATAAGTTGAAAATTATCTCACAGGCCTTTTGTCCTTGGGCCAAAACTGGAGGAATAGAGTTTTCAGTTTCTGAGATGGGAATGGCTTGAGCTGATTTGCAGGGCTAATTTGAAGTTCAGCTTTAGAGCATTTTATTTTGAGAAATGTACTGGAAAAGCAAGTAGGGAGGTTGAATAAGCAATCAGGCATGTTAGTCAGAAGTTGAGAGTGAAATTTAGCAACAGGGTGTCTAATTGTGTCACTAGGAGGAGACCTCCTAGTGATCTGGTGTGGACATAGAAGATTTCTTCAGAAACGGGGGTCATCTCACATAGTTGGTAAGAAATATTTCATAATTCATATAGCACCTAACAAAATATAGTTTATCACAGAATTCAGTCATATGTAGAAATGGCATTGAGGTAATTAACAGCTTTTCTGTTTATTTTGTGTCAATTTCTACCAAAATCCTACCAAATCATAAGCTGCTTTACTTATTTCATGAGTCATATTAAGGTTATTCAAGTATGTGATTAATGTGTATGATTTTCTATGCCATTATTGTTTTTAGATTATATAGATCTAATAGGCAGATAGCTCATATGCTATGGTTGGAATATGTTTCCCAAAGATCATGTGTTGGAAACTTAATGTCCAATGCAACAGTGTTGGGAGGTGGGGCCTAATAAAATGGGATTAGGTCAGGAGAGCTCTGAACAAAGGATTAATGTTGTTATCACAGGAGTTGGTTAGTTACCATGGGAATTAGTTAGTTATCATGAGAGTGAGTTTGTTATCAATGTAAATTTTGCCCCCTCTTGCTCACCTTCTCTTGTACTCTCCTCCCCTTCCACCTTCCCATGTAATGACATAGTAAGAAGGCCCTCATCAGAGGACAGCACCTTGATATTAGTTCTCCCATCCTCCAGAACTATCAGAAGTAAATTTCTTTTCTGTATAAATTACCTGGTCTGTGGGCTTCTGTTATAGCAAAACAAAATGAGCTAGGACATCATATTAACATACACTAAAGAAATTATTCTGATAATTATATTTTGTAGGCTAACCTTAACTTGAAATTTGACTCTAGCTAGTCATCCCTATTTTCTATCTTGATCTGAAATAATTTATTTTGGTTTCATTATCTATAAAAAAAAAGTTTCTATTTTGCAACATTGCAAACACTGCAATAGAACGTCTCATACTCAAATTCTGTTATAGAGTGCTCATTAACATAGATGTAGCTTTTAGATATTTTATGTAGACTTAGATAAATTAAATAGCTTCCCAATATACATAGAAAACCTAAAATACATATATATTCTTTTTATGCCCATGAAAATGCAATATAAAATGTCTGTTATAAAAATGATTGTTATATTAAAATACGGAATTGTATACATTTAGATATTTTATAGGATAATGAAATTGTTTTGCTTTTTCTCCTCAGCAGTTAGAGTGGCATATTTTAGAGAAAAACCATAAAATATTGGAAAGAGAAAAGGATTGAGGGTCCCAATTATGCAACTGTTGGGATGACACCAAAAAAATCATTTAACCTCTTAAGACATCATTTTTCCATACTTATAAAATACAGATATTGAAGTAGATTGTTAATGTTCTTTATGAGTCTAACATTTATGAATGCTATCATTTAACAGGCATGGGGTGTGTGTGTGTGCGTGTGTGTGTGTGTGTGTGTGTGTGTGTAAATGCAGTTCCAAAAGGAAGTATCATTTTACTCCAGGCAAATTTTCATTGACCATATTTTATGCAAGCTACATAGTAGAAATACGGTCAGAGTACGTATTTCTATCATCATGTTAAAAAGACATAAATATAAAGGTGCCAGCATTTTGTCAGTAAATAATCAGAGAATCAGTCCTGAACAGTAAATTCGAGTATGTGTGCTTTTATCACAACCACAATGTTTCATTAATGTGTTTTTTCTTGCTGAATATTCTCGATTCCTTGAAATAAATTTTAATTAGCCACTTTATGCATATAATTTTCATATTTTCATAATTATACTTAATTATGCTCTTGGCACAATTTATGTAATCAAATAATTGCCATATGCAATTATATTATATAAAATATGTAAACGTAATGGAAAAAATCACAGAAGATGTATTCACACAAGATATTTCCTTTTTCATTTTCAGCTATCCACATTATTTAGTATTGATTTTAACAATATTTATTTTTAGCTCAAATCACTAGATATCAAAGAGAAGATTATATTCTTAAGGGGAAAATTTGACAGTGATTCTGCATAGAGATGGTATATTATTAAAATACACCATAAGTTGAACATTTGAATAAAAGTAATATGTAATATGCATTTTTTCAGGTGGTTTTAGGAAAAATAAAATTTACGTTTTGCTTTTACCCTTAATATTATTGATTTGTAATGTGTTAATTTTATTTATAGCTTTATACATTCTTATCTATACTCTTAATTGCCTATACCTAAATATGGAATCACAGAAATGCAAAAAAATCAAAGAAATTAAAATAAATATAAAGGTTATCTAGGTCATATCCACCTAACACTACACCTTGAGAAAATGATGTCCTGGGAATTTGACTGACTTCACATAGTCACAAAGCTAGTTCAGTTACTTCACATAGTCACAAAGCTAGTTAACAGCAGGACACAGCCTAACCTCAGGACTCCTGCCTGTCAGTACAGGGCCTTGTCCTTCTATACCAAGAGGATACTCAGTTCAGCACTTATAGGACTGTGTTTTCAATGATCTGCTTTTGTTTTTTATCTTCTTCCCTTGATTGTGAGATCTCTGAAGAAAGAGATTAGGTCTTCACCTTTGCATCCTCCACTAGAGCTTAGAATGTTGCCTACGCATCATCATAATTGCTCAACATCTAGCTTTTTGGAGGCTTTTATTTTGTGCAACTTTTGTGACCATTTTACAAAAATAAGTAATTGTCTCCTCATCTATTTTGTGGATACACAATGAATGTTGACCTAATGACAACTGGTTGAATACCTTATTGCAAAATTGAGACTTAATATTTGAAACACGTATTTTATTTGACTCTACAAAATATAAAATGTGTTATGTACACATCTACCAAGAACTCACACTGAATGGTAATTGTAGGGTATTGGGTAGGAGCCACGAGGTATTATAAATTTTCTGGCACTCCCATGGCAGAACTGTTTAAATGATGAAATTTCATTTATAGCAAAATTATCCTAACTCAAACACTAGTGAAAAGGAAAAATAAAAAAAGAAAAAGAATAGCTGATAGACAGAAAACTAACATGACTGATATGGTTTGGCTGTGTCCTCTCCCATACTCATCTTAAATTGTAGCTCCCATAATTCCCAGATATTGTGGGAGGAACCTGATGAGAGATAATTGAATCATAGAGGTGGTTTCCTCCATACTGCTCTCATGGTGGTGAATAAGTCTCATGAGATCTGATGGTTTTATAAGGGGTTTCTCCTTTCCCTTGGCTCTCATTTTCTCTCTTGTCTGCTGCCATGTAAGATGTGCCTTTCACCTTCTCACATGATTGTGAAGCCTCCCTGGCCACGTGGAACTGTGGGTCCATTAAACATCTTTTTCTTTATAAATTACCCAGTCTCAGGTATGTCTTCATCAGCAGTGTGAAAACAGAATAATACAATAACTATATACATTTTCATTATCTTCAGCATGCAAGTTTTCTCTCTGAAACAACTCAAAAACTCCATGTGTATTAGCATTTTGTTATTAAGTAAATGCTCCTCTGGGTTTCTGTCCTGAGGTTCCACAGGGTGGACATGCTTTTATTTTGTTTCTATTGAATAATTCACAGAAAGTTATTAATTGACTAACACCAAACCAATGACAAGGTTGAAGCTCTTAATTGCATATTGTCCTCACATTTGCAAATGGGAAATAAGGCACTGCCCAGGACATTCCAGGGGGAGATACAAAGAAGGATAAACTGAGGCTCTATTAGCTCTCACATTCTGTGTTATTTTTATGGAGTGTAACTTTGGCTTCAGAGGATGAGGGTACAGAGAGGAAGAACATAAAGCACCTGACTCCTCGCCTCTATTTTCTGAGGTAGATTGCTCTTCTAGCCGAGACTGAAATAAAAAATAGCTCTCACGTCTAAGTTCAAGCCTCACCATGTCGTTATTGGGAACAAAAAGCAAGTATCAATGAACAAAATAAACAAAATACTCTGAACATGCAATATGAGTCTACTATATCTCTTAAAATCAATATTTTTCAATGTACAGATACACATTTACATTTAAAAAGAATAGTTCCAATTGTCATTCTCTTCACGTGTCTGCCACACAAAAACTTTTTACCATTACAGATTAAGCCAAGGCACTACCAAAAAAAAAAAAAATTAACTTAGTAGGAAGAATTGCAAAATGCCAAATATTTTTCTGCTTTAAATTTGAATGTTTTTAATATTAGCATGTACTTTCATTAAGGAGTGGGCCTACTAGATACACTGAAGGTATTTGAGTATTTATGATAATAATAATGATTGCTATATAAAACTATAATTAGCCAGGCATGGTGGCTCATGCCTGTAATCCCAGCACTTTGGGAGGCTGAGACAGGTGGATCACCTGAGGTCAGGAGTTCAAGACCACCCTGACCAACATGGTAAAACCCCATCTCTACTAAAAATACAAAACATAGCCGGGCATGGGGGTGTGGTAGCTAGCACCTATAATCCCAGTTACTCCGGAGGCTGAGGCTGGAGAATTGCTGAAACCCAGGAGGCAGAGGTTGCAGTGAACCGAGATCGCGCCATTGCACTCCAGCCTGTGCAACAAGAGCAAAACTCTGTCGCAAAAATTAAAAAAAAAATAAAAAAAACTGTAATTAATAGACAAACACTGGCAGAGCAGAGCTGCACTGTCCTGGGCTCTGTGTGTTGACATAAAGAGTCAAACAAGGCCAGGCACAGTTGGTCACGCCTGTAATCCCAGCACTTTGGGAGTCCGAGGCAGGTGGATCACTTGAGGTTGAGTTCGAGACCAGCATGGCCAACATGGTGAAACCCCATCTCTACTAAAAATACAAAAATTAGCCAGGCATAGGGGTGGGTGCCTGTAATCCCAGCTACTCAGGAGGCTGAGGCAGGAGAATCGCCTGAACCCAGAAGGCAGAGGTTGCAGTGAGCCAGTATCAAACCATTGCACTCCAGCTTGGGCAACAGAATGAGACTCCGTCTCAAAAAAAAAAAAAAAAATCAGACAAAGTGCCTACCTTCAAAAAACTTACTGTGAGCATAGAGGAGACAAAATGGCACACAAAATGCACTTGACACTATGAAGCATTAGTGCTAAAAGCTAAATAAAAGTTAGAGATGATGAGCTCATAGGAGTTTTAAAATGCTAGAAGAAACAGAAAAACTTTTCTGGAGAAAATGAAACACCATGGGCCTTAAATAAGAGACAAAATGTAAATTCACAGGTTGCAAACTCAAATGCCTATCAAAGTCAGCTGAATATTGCTGGGTAGGAAGGTACCTACAGTGTTACCAAATTTTTCAAGAGAATCTAGAATTCTAGTTTGACATGTAACAAATACTGACTTTTTAAATAGTGTCAATTAACTCAAACAATTAAGTGCTGTATAAGCCAATAAAAACACTATATAATTATGGTCTGCCTGATTTATATTTTTTGTCATGTCCTCAAATATTAGAACAGGGATGAGATGGCAAGAGAAACTGCATGAGCTACATGGCTGTGATGAGACCGGATATAGTTAATTTAAAAGAACAATCAGGGCTGGGTGTGGTGGTCACACCTGCAACTCAGCACTTTGGGAGGCCGAGGCTCTTGTTTTTCAAGACCAGCCTGAACAACATGGTGAAACCTCATCTGTATTAAAATACAAAAATTAGCCCAGTGTGGTGGTGCACACCTGTAATCCCAGCTACTCAGGAGGCTGAGACATGAGAATCACTTGAACCCGGGAGGCGGAGGTTGCAGTGAGCCAAGATCATGCCACTGCACTGCAGCCTGGGTAATAGAGTGAGACTTTGTCTCAATACATTAAATTAAATTAATAAATAAAATAAAAGAACAATCAGAAGGCTGGTGCAGGAGGTAAGTAGTAGAGGAGACAAACTGGGGTCAGGTTGGAGATTATTTGGGGCATGAATAAAAGCATTTATATTGATTCTGGAGGCAGATTAGAGAACAAGTACATACAGAGGTGTGAGAGGCTAAGTGTATCATCTTGAATAAAGTCAAACTTCTCTTTGTGTTGGCATTCATCCTGTCTGCCAAGTATAATAGCTGAGTGTAACCCAAGGCATTTTAGAAATGTTAGAAGTGTCAGGAACCATGTACCACACATAGACCTCAAAGCAATGTTGCTATATTAGTCTTTTTTCTTTAACTTACCTGTAATCATAAAATATTGATTTAAAAACCAAGACTACTAATATTTCACAACACTATATTCACTTCTAACATACTACTGTCAGGTTAACATTTGATAATTCCAATTAAAAGGGTTTAAAATTTTTATAGGATTTACCATGGCAGTATCCCAAGGAAACATCGTACCACCCAGCTTGGCCAAGCACCTAGGCCATGTTTCAGCTGAGAATTTTTTTTTAAACTTCATTATATGAACATTTGGTGTCTCCTATAAACTGACAATCCAGTTTGTTAGAGATACAATATGCAAATTAGGAAATTAGCAACAATTTCTGATGCTAGTCATTACTATCCTATTCTCCACTTCAGATTTGCAAAAACGCAATGATGCAGTAAACTATACCAACGGATGTTTTGCTACGGCTATTAATGGACAATATTTTATTGTAATGTTAAATTTACTGCAAAACTTGGGAATTTACAATAGCATACATTATCCTACACAATCTAATATAATTCAATTTCCTTTGTCCTATGAGAAAAACAAATAAAGGCAAAATATATTGCAAACATACTCACTTGTGTGCTAACTTTACCATCTTATTAACTATTCAGTCAAATTCAGTATCACCCCAAATGCTGTGAACAAATTTCATATTCTTCAATGGGAAATTGAAGAATTTTTGGACTTCATAATATTGGTGAACATTCTAAGCTTTAGCCATGTTTTTCTGCTTAATCTAATTTCACCATCTCTCCTCTGTTCATTGATTATTCCTATTGTTACTCCACACACTGATGCCTAACTCCCACTCAAGAGGTACTAAGTGTATCAGAAGCCATTATTGTAAATGTGCAGTTCAAATTTTTTCCTTTGCTGCACATTTGTTTATGATTTTCTTTGTAGGGCCCTTTGACCATAGATTCTCATACCTAAATTCAACAACAAAGTCAGAAGTGCTTTTGTTTGGAACACCCTCACCATTGTCCTGAGGAGTCTACACAGAGCTAAAAAACCACTATGCAAAAGTTCAAGGGAAACCAGTTGATGCACTGTGGACTGAAGGCAGAAGCTGCTGACTTCTACATTTCAATAAAACTATTATGAATTGCATTTTAGAAAAAGGGCTTTGTTGCTGGTTTGTTTTGCTCTGCTGGTTTTGTTCATGTGTTTGTTTGTTTGTTTGCTTGATTGCTTGTTTAGAGAGCTAAATTACTTCTGTAAAACTCATTGGCAGAAAGCAGAGGGCGAATAAAGCTGACCATCTTAGGTTGAAGAAAATCATATAAACACCAGGAGAGCATCATCAGGTAATTTGTATTCTCTGATTTAAGCTATCACTCTGCTTTATACAAAGAAATTTAGGCTGGGCGCGGTGGCTCATGCCTGTAATCCCAGCACTTTGGGAGGCTAAGGCTGGAGGATCACCTGAGGTTGGGAGTTCGAGACCAGCCTGACCAACCTGGAGAAACCCTGTCTCTACTAAAAACACACAAAAAATTAGATGGGCATGGTGGTGGGTGCCTGTAATCCCAGCTACTCGGGAGGCTGACGCAGGAGAATCTCTTGCACCTGGGAGGCGGAGGTTGCGGTGAGCTGAGATCGCACCACTGCACTCCAGCCTGGGCAACAAGAGTGAAACTCTGTCTCAAAAAAAAAAAAAAAAAAAAAAAAGTACTCAACAATATGTTTTTCTAATATTAAGTACATATGGACAAAGAATTCCCATCAAAATTTGGAGATAAAAGCGACAAACTTACAAAATGAAGTGCTGTTGAAGTACATGTACTGTTCTGGAATCTTTACATTGAACAACCACAGAAAGATAAATGTCAGAGAGGAGAACTCATCAATAACTGGCATCTATTAGGGATTTTGAAATAATCATAAATGCCAGAGTTTAAAAGGATAATTTTCTTTGACTATGCTACTATCTCATAATTTTATACGATAAATTTCATGCAAGTATTTCTGACTCAGTCAAATCAATCTTCATCTTTACTGGACAAAAATATTCTGACCAATAAATTTTGCACACAACTATAGTATTATCTATATTAGCACTGCACAAGGTATAAATTCTGAGACTATATTCTCTATTGAAACACTATCAGCCAAATTCATTTTATAGCCCAATGAAAATAGGTGATTTTATAACAAAACCCTCCGTAACATACTTTTAAAATGTCTATCCACCTGGGAACTAAACATCCATTAAAATGCCCAAATCCTAATCTTCATGATCTTTGCTTATTTGGAGAAGCAATTTATTTTTTGTTTTTGCTCTTTGCATAAATAATCTTATTTTATCCATGCTGCAGGTGTTGTTAACCACATTTTATGTATGAGGAAGCAAGACTCACAGAGGTTAAAAACTTTCTTAATTTCACACAGCTATTAATTATAAACATCAGGACACAAATTGAGATTTTTCTGATTCTAGAGTTTATGTTATTTTTCAAAAAAATAATTTTCGCTGGGTTCAGTGGCTCACACCTGTAATACTAGTATTTTGGGAGGCCGAGGCAGGTGGATTGTCTGAGCTCAGGAGTTCAAAACCAGCCTGGCCATCATGGTGAAACCCCATCTCTACTAAAAATACAAAAATTAGCTGGGCATGGTGGCGGGTGCCTGTAATCCCAGCTACTCAGGAGGCTGAGGCAGGAGAATCACTTAAACCCCAAAGGTGGAGGTTACAGTGAGCCGAGATTGTGCCACTGCACTCTAGCCTGGGTGACAGAACGAGACCCCGTCTCAAAAATAATAATAATAATAATAATAATTTCAACTTTTATTTTTGATTCAGGTGGTACACGTGAAGGTTTGTTACATGGGTAGATTGTGTGATGCTGACATCTAGGGTGTGGATATTCCTGTCACTGAGGCAGTGAGCATAGTCCCCATAGGTAGTTTTTCAGCCCATACTCCCCTCCTTCCCTTCCCTGTCTAGCAGTCCTCAGTGTCTACTGTTGCCATCTTTATGTCCATGTACACTCAGTGTTTAGCTCCCACTTGTAAGTGAGAACATCTGATATTTGGTTTTCTGTTCCTGTGTTAATTCACTTAAGATAATGGCCTCCAGCTGCATCCGTAATGCTGCAAAGGGCATAATTTCATTGTTTCTTATAGCTACATAGTATTTCACGATGTATATTACCACATTTTCTTTATCCCAATTCACCATGGATGCACACCTAGGTTGATTTCATGTTTTTGCTATTGTGAATAGTGCTGTGATGAACAGAGGAGTGCACGTATGTTTTTGGTAGAATGATACCTTTGGGTATATATACCCAGTCATGAAATTGCTGGTTCAAATGGTAGTTCTGCTTTAAGTTCTTTAAGAAATCTCCAAACTGCTTTCCACAGTGGCTGAACTAATTTATATTGCCACCAACAGTGTATAAGCATTTCCTTTTCTCTGCAGCCTCAACAGCATCTGGTTTTTTTGTTTGTTTGTTTTTTGTTTTTTTTTTACTTTTTAATAATAGCCATTCTGACTGGTGTGAGATGGTGTCTCATTGTGGTTTTGATTTGCATTTCTCTGATGTTTAGTGACAATGAACTTTTTTTTTCATGTTTGTTGGCATCTTGTAAGTCCTCTTTTGAGAAGTGTCTGTTCTTGCCCTCTGTCCATTTTTTAATGGAGTAATTTGGTTTTTGCTTGTTTCAAAGAACCCAGAAATAAAGCCACATAACTACAACCATCTGATCCTCAACAAATTCAACAAAAATAAGCAAAGGAGAAAGGACGCCCCCATTCAACAAATGGTGCTGGGATAACTGGCTAGCCATAGGCAGTATAATGAAACTGGACCCCTACTTTTCACCACACACAAAAATTAACTCAAGATGGATTAAAGAGTTAAACGTAAGACTTCAGGCTATTAAAAATCTAGAAGAAAACCTAGGAAATATCTTTCTTGACATGGATCTTAGCAAAGAACTTATGTCTAAGTTGTTATTTATTTCCTTCTCTTCTCAGGGGCTTCTTGATGAAAGGATGAGTTAGTCTGGATTCTCCAAGAATCAGATGCCAACACAGGATTAAACATGTAAGCATTTTGAGCAGGGTAGGAAAGGTACCAGAGCTACCAGATTCAAGTCTGATGCAGAGACAGTGAGGGACGTTTGGGTGGGAGCCTCCTAGAATTCACATTCTAAAGAAGGTTAATAAAGCCATTTGGGAGTCCTCAAGTCACAGTCATTCAATGAGAGGGGTCCATGAGTCTCAGGAACAAGTGTACCTTAGAACTCCTGCTGTGCTCAGTCATTGTCTGTGAACAGCCCTCAGAGAGCATGGCCAGGGTACAAACATAGTGATGAATATCAGAGCTCAGCAGCTGGAAACTCTGGCCAACTACCGCCTCCATAATTGGAGGACCATTAGGTGTATTCACAGGGCTGCAAAAAGGAACAATTCCCAATTGAACCTCTTACAAGTTTTGTCATATTTGGAATATTATTAATCTCTCTGAGTCATATTGAAAGAAAAGAACTGTTATAGAAATAAATGTAATAAAATATGTGACAGTACCTACTGCAGTACCTATGCAAAGATATTAGCTATTTGTTTTCCCTCTAACATCCAGTTGATTGCCTGTGTACAGTAGGTGGTTAAGTAAAGGTATTATATTTAAACATGTATACATAAATATACGTAAGAAAAAACTATACCCACATGCAGTATGAATATAACTTCGTTTCAATTTCTCTGTTTAGAATTTAAAGAATATTTCTACTGAATTTCATGTTTTCTCTTTAAACTGAATTCATCCTGGTATATACCAATCTATATAATTTTCTTTTCTACCAAAAGAGGTATTTGACCAAGTGAAGTACTAGACTGACAAGGTTCTGTCTCTTAAAAACAAACAAAAATTACACATTTCTTTACCTGCTGTGTTTATTCGTTCATTTATGTTATTCATTCAACAAATATGTAAAACTCTGTGCTGGAATCCATGCTAGGGAACCAGAAACAGACACTATTCCTACTTCTGCCTCCATTTGGCTTACAGTCTAGTAGGAAGAAATACTTTAGCCAAGGTTCACGCAAACAAACCTGAAACTGCAGCTGCCACAGTGCTATGAAGGACAAGTGCAGTCTGTAATGAGATCCTATCATAGGTGGATTAGATGCAGCCAGGGAGATCAGCAATCGATTGCTAGACAAGTGGTGCTGATGACGAATTTGGAAGGTAATAAGGATAGGAAAGAATGTCCAAAGCAGAAGAAACAAATTACACAAAGTCCAGTGGTGGGAAGAAAGATGTGGGAGAAGTTTCGTGTGGAGAACAAATAGGAGAGGAGCAGGTTGAGAAGCTGCAGACATGAGGAAGGGCCAGGAACATAGTGGTTACATAACTGTCCCAAAAGGCTACAGCTGAAAAATAAACCTGGGTCCTATTCATGGATTCTCATCACACTGAATGAATTACCAGTGTCCATTTTGTCACTTTTGCTTTTAATCACTGTTATTTAAAAAAAAAAAAAAATAGAAGAAAGTAAATAGCAGAAAACAGGGAAAATATCAGTCAACCAGTTCCAAATCATTCAATAGTATTTAAATGGCATAAGAAAAGTGATCAAAACTACCAAAACAGGTTAAGCCTCACTTGCTTTAAGCCTCTTGCTGATTCAATCTATCAATCCAACATCTTAATTATTATTGGACCATATGGAAGGTAGTTATTCAATAATACGACAACATAATAAAAAGCTTTAAAATAAAAAAAATAGTAAATCTGCTAATCCAATCTCACAGAGCAAAACATTTAAATGTCATTTGAGATATTATTCTCAGTTAAGTATCCTATTCCTGTGCTTATGGCATGACAATCCGATTCATGCAATTATTGTGGAGAAAGAGTAGTAAAAAGAAGCAATCATCCACTGGCTCAGAGACCACTATCATAGCTAAGACACCCTATGGATTAAAAGAGTCCTTAAAGCATAAGAGCACATTCAGAGTTTTATGTACAGTATAAATGCTTAGCTGTTTTTCAGTGTCAGGTGCCTACAGATTTGTGGTGTGTGGCTCATTGGCTGACGTGTTAAATCCCCAAAGGTTACATCAAGCAGGCCCAAGACTTGTTTAAGAAAAATTGAGACCATGCCCTCAGTCTCTTAAGGGAGTGATATTACTAAGCAGAATACATAATAAATATCTGCCTTCTTCCAGAAGAAACAGGAAATATTTTCCTATTTTCCTTACTGTTATTTCTTCAGGGAAAGATCTGATAGTTGGTAAAATGGGCCATAGGGTAGCTTCACTAAGCATTTCTAAGAATTCCGCTCTGAAAACTTGTCGGAAAAGAAAAGCAACAACAACAAACTAGTTAAACAGAAAACTGAGCATATATTAGGATAAACAACGAAACAGAAAGTGCTAGGCAAATCACTAACTCTCCTAGGAAATTAAATGAAATTGAGATAAAGAACATTTGAAAGAAAGCCTTTGTATTAATTTTGTTTGGAAAACCAGGTATTGTTGAAGAGTCACCAGATACTTCTAAAAGTCACTATTTCATTTTAAAATGCATCTGCCTACACAATATGCAATCCTTATTTGACCTAATTCTTTCAATAATTCATTAGAATGACTTTTGTCAAGAATGTAATGTGGATATATCCTTATACACATTTATATCCATGCAAATCAAATTTTAGAATATGTTATAGTCTTCAACTCACCTGCAGCCATGATTGAAATCTGGGCCTTATTAGAATTTTTTTTTAAATTAGAGAAATTCTAAATTCGGCCCTAACAATGTTTAACCTTAGCAGGATCAAGAAAGAGTATGGTTGCTGCCAGGTGTAAAGAAATGCAAAGATGGGCAAGCAAGCAGGAGCAAGGGAACAGAAATAGGAACAAGAGGAAAAAGACAAGAAAGAGAAGTCCCCAGGCACAGATAAGGAGGAAAAAGGTAACTTATAAACAGTTGTTCTGTGACATGCAAACTCTGGAGATTCTTATTAGGTTCTCTGCATAAACCTTTGCTTTCCTCAAGAACAGTTTTGTTTATTTTGTTCTTTTAAAGACTAGAGTGAGTTACCTGGGAAGCCCTGAGTCACATAATTCAAAAAGCAGTATTGCTCTCTGCCTTTCTCTGAAGACGCTCAGGACAGAGAAATGGACTGAGCTGCCTGACTTTCTTACCTCTGCATCACCTGGCACCTGTCTTTCCCTCCTCTCACTCCTACTTCATGGTTGGCCAGCTTGTTTTGATAAGAAATCCTGCCTGTGTTCCTTTTGTGACCCCATCCTGGACCTCAGTATGGTAAGGGTTTGGGCACTGTGTTCTGGCCTATTCTTAGCAATTCCTAACCAATAGATTGGCCAAGCCCCAAAACGTAATGCCAACCTCAGAGTTTCTAAATAGATGGATCAGGGTATGGCGAGGGTTTAATAGGGAAGACCTAGGAAGCATCTCTTGAAACTGTTCTTTTGCACAGCAGGCACATTGCTTCTCACCTGAATTATATTTTCTTGAAGTGGACTGGGGCCAGGGATTAACTCCAGCTCTGATGCTGGCTCCAGCGTCTCTTTCACCAATGCCTGCTGCCTTTTATTACTATCTCATGAACTGTCACCTATCAATGCTTGCACTGGAGCCAGGAAAAGTGACAAGTTAGAAGCCTGATAAGATTCTCTCACCATTTATCTGTGAGATGGCCATTTACATTGCTCCTAGGGAAGCAATGAGGAAGTCTTTCTAAGAAAATAAATCCAGCTTTCCTGCTTCGGGCCTCATGACCATTCTCAATTACTGACTTTTGAACTCAGTTTAGAATCACCCCTTTTTATTCCATATCCTCTATTCTTGTCTTGATTTAGAAAAATAGGAAACTCCAACCTTAGGAGAGTAATTTTAGATCCTATGCAAAATGCAAGAAAATGGATTCTATTTTTGTACCCAGATCTAACCCAGAGACAAGGAAAGTTTGTTTATAATCCAGATTTATAGAGATTTATAATGTTCAAAACTTAGAAATATTAAGTTTGAAAGTCTAAACTGTTAAAGTCGCTAAGGCACTAGTGCTTTGTATAATTTACCCACTACAGAAATGATTTGTTTCTATGGTGGGTAAGGAAAATGTAGTTTCAATAAATCGTTGGCAGTTCTTGCCAGGCACTCGGTTTTCGGAAGTCAGGAAAGGAAAGCAATAGCTTGGATACATTAAAGGAAGAAAGTATCACCACTCACCACTTCCATTGTCCCTTCATTTTTTTCCATGAATGGGCATTTTGGACTTGATATCAAATCCTATCTTCCACATTTTTCTCTGTATACTTGTTGAAGTTTTTTGTCCGTTAAAACTCAGATAAATCTGTTAAATGTTTTAGAATACAATAGAGTTCTAAATCCGGCTCACGGCAGCCTCAACCCCCACTATTTGCAGCCTCAACTCCCACTATTGAAACGAGGCATCACACCCATGAAAACATATGAAACAGAGCAGTGCATACAATTTCACAAGCTTCACGGTAATTCAAAACGTTTGTAAATTCCATTTTTCCCCAGCACGCTGCCAGTATTCACAACAAATTAAATTCTCATTCAGCTGATCTGCTAGGAAGCATAACAAACAAGAGTGGGCATGAACCAAAGTGTCTTCCTTTTATTACTTTTTCTTACCATTTATTTTGATGTTCTAAATGGAGCTGCCCTCTGCCTGTCCATAGCCATTATAACCCTACCTGATTCTAGGAGCAACTGTGGTCAAGGTCGTCACATCACAGTCTCCTCCCACAATAAACCATCTCTCTCATAATTCAGGCTGGCCCTGCAGTCACCACAGGGAACAGGTCCAACACCCTACTGGACCAGTAGAGGTGGCTTTTTCATACCTGTACAGTGGCCCTAGCATGTGAGTTTTGGTGGGACACCTACTGCCAAAATTATTTTGGATAGAGCCCCCTTTGTGAATAGATTCATCCACCTGCCTGTTTTGCAAAGAAACTACAGAAAGATAAATGTGACTTTGTACAAACCAATAAAGTGATATTTATATTTTCTTAAATAATGTGAGTGGTAAATTAACTATTTTTGAGCAATAACTGTCAGGCACTGTGATTAGTGTCTTGTAGACTTTGTCATTTCATCATCTCAACAATTCTGTGATAGAGGTAGTTATTCTTACCATTTTACAGAAACACATTCAAGACAGCCAAGTCCCCAAAGCCACAGAGCCACTAGTTGCAGGTTCTAGGATTTGAACCCACAACTGTCTGGCTCCAAAGGCTTGTGCTGTTACCTGTGTAGCCCCTTCCTAATCATGGTATTAAGACATTGATTTAAAGCATAATACAGCACCAACATTTACTACTATGAACCATGAACTTGCCTGGGCCATTAATGAAAAGACTTTAAAACTCTGCTTATAAAAACCAAGCAAAGATAGTATCACTAGGAATCACAATATTCATCTTAAGACTTCTAAGCCACAGACCTCACACTCGAAATAAAAGTATAAATCCCATCATAATGTTAACATTAACTTTATAAGGAACCAAAGTCTATGGATCGTATAAAGCAAATTAAGAATACCTAGTCAATCATTCAGGCATCTATTCTCAATAAATCTTACCACACACTACTGTGTATTTAGCATCTTCCAGAGATCTTTGGGATGTACAAGAGTATATATAGCACCTGTTCTGCAAGTGACCTAGTAGAAGAGATAAGACAAATACCCATGAAGAGTTAAGTAATGATAAGAGTCAGGAATGCCAGCTGAATGACACAAATAATAGATAGAATGAGCATACAACAGAGATAGAGCAATTATCTTGGACTCTTGTACTGGGAACACTCAGGAATAGATAGAGACAGAAGGCAGAGTGAAAATTATGATGCAGAGGTAGACCTGGGCAACGCATGTTTAGAAAAGCATGAGTTTAATGCTGGAATTGGGAATTGAAGTTGAGTGTTCATGTTGGAGATAGATGCATAGGGATAAGCTTAGAAATGTAGCCTGGAGCCAAACAATAAAGTCTTACCTGACACATACTGGGAAATGTAGAGAGTATACATAATCAATGCTGGAGGAAGGAAGGTTGAAGATGTTGCAGCAAAGAACTGATATAAACCAGTGTTTAAAGAAGATTGTTCTGGCAGCAACGTTCAGAATGTACTATAGATGTCAGAGAACAAAACCAGGAAGACAGTATGGAGACAACTGCAGGTAATTGAACATGAAGTGATGAAGTCCAGGGAAGGAAAGTGAAGAGAATGAACTGAAAGTATGGTTGTGATAATGCTCTGTGTTTATCAGGTCCCCTTTCATCCTCATCTACCTGGACACACATTCCCTAGTTAGCTCTGGACTATGAGCTATAAGAAAAAAGTAGGTACAAGCTCTTTAGGTCTCTTTCTTTTCCATGTCATAGGGAACTAAAAGCCACATTTAAGAGTAAAGAGCCACAAGATGGTATCAGAGTGTATTCCCCAAGTCACTGCATAAAGAGAGCTACCCTGGAGAGCTGATGGACAGGCAGCTGACTTTGCACGAGCAAAAACTAGACTTGTGTATGTTCAGCTATTAATGTTTCAGGGTCTGTTACTCAAACATAGCCTAATCTCTTCCTACTAATACAAAGATAACTGTGTCAGAATTTATAGCTGTGCTCAGGGACTTTGATGACCCTAGTCTTGGAAATAAAACTAAAAATAGACAGCAGCTAGAATTTGCCAGTGACTTAAAAAATGGCACTAACACATCACATTTAGAGAATACCTGCTAGGCAATGAAAGCAATGACACTTTTTTTCTCCATTTGTGTTTCATTAGATTAACTGTGGGTTTTTTAATCATAATATTAATTAAGTCTTTGACAAAATTCAGAATTTCTTTTGCTCATAGCAAATGGCAGCCGTTTGCATAATAGCAGTTTTCCTAAAATGCTAAATTGGAAGCTAAGTAGAACTACACGTAACCCTGAAGTTACAGCCTTACAACTCTTAGGAAGTTCTTTCAGTTTTCTAACTATATAATAATAGAATTAAAGTAGATAAGAAGGAAAATGCTATAAGACATTCATCTGCATGTGTCAGCACAGGGCTAGCCATGGAGAATGTTGAATTAAGCAAGCAGAGTTTCATCCTGCCACTCAGTTCACACTCTACGTCAGCTGTCAGACACTATCAGGCAGCATCCTGGGTGACCTACTGGCAGGTTTTTCCAAATCATTCTAATTGCCCAATTCCAGTACCCATGGATGTTTCTACTCTTGGAGTCTCTAAAAGGAAGGAAACAGGATGAAAACAACATAAGAAACAGTTTATATGAACTCAGTTCCAACATTACTCAAGATAATGCACTGGTGTTCACACACAAAGCCAAATAATCTGAGTTAAATGGTCTTCCAACATAGAAAATGCAGAACAAACAAGCAATTATATACAATCTATAAAGTCTATGAGTAATTGAGTGCAATTTATTTAGGCAAAAGCTAGCAGAGCTGTGTCCTCTGTCATGATGTAGCTGAATACCCTGTGTGCTGGATTATTCTTATCACAGTGGACAACCTCACAAAAATTCAGCCTACAAAGGCCTTGGCTTCAGTGATCAATTGAGGACTCACACCATATAACATGATTCTACTAGAAGCTAAGAGCACTTCATCTGTACCCAGAAACATATTCAAATAAATAATAACTTTAGATTTGTGGTGCTTGTCATCTAATGTGCTGTTGTCATTCTTGGGTGTGGGCCCTTGGGTATAGGCTTTACAATATTCTAGTAAGGTGGCTGCAATGACACTGATCAGCAACTCTCTTTTTCAAAAGAGAAGATGCTCACAAAGCCTCCAGCAGGATTAAAAGAGCAATCTGTGATAATGCAATAGAATAAAGCTAAATAACTCACATGGAAACTAAATTCATAATCTTGGAAACTAAATTCATGATACACTAGGACTGAGCTTTTCTTTAACTAATAGAGCTAATTCTGAGAACAATAACCAGGTAATGTACGATGACAAACTTCAAACTGCAAACTAAATTTTATACTATATCTTTATTTTAGACCAGGACCTAGCCTGAAATAGTTCAGAAAGCCTTAACAAATGACCTTCTCGAGTTGTGGAGGAGTGCCAAATACACATGCTGATTCTATGCTACATTAGGTCACTGGCATTTTCCAAGAGGACACCTACAGATTCTCTACATAGGACATGGACATGAAAATGCCCTATACATATCAAAATATTTAGCAGCAACATGCCACTTTGGATAGCATTTTAAATCAGGTTCTTAGGGGTCTTTGGTGGGGGATAACGAAAGGGTGGAGACTTCATTACACTAATCCTGATCAGGCAAACCCAAAATGTACCTCATGTGGTCATGGAAACTATTTGTTTTAATTCAAAATTAATTAAATTTGAGTTAGAGCAGAAAGGGAACAGTCCCATAGCTTTAATTGCAGACACTCAATACAACACAAAGACTGGCATCCCAGTGCTTTTGGCCTTGAATTTCGGCCATCAAAACCATTAGTCAATTCAGAGACAGAGCTTGAACACTTGACTGCCTACACTCAACCCCATCTGCTATGTGCACCATTGCCAATACACAGTCCAGTGTGCCAATGGCACCATGCATTGACGGTTCTTACAGAGCATGAAAGATGCTTACATACTTCCACCAAAGCAACATGGTATCATTTCTCCTACTGGAAGAATATTCTACTTAAAAGCAACACTGTGAATCTGTACTTGCTTATTCCTTTCTTATTGCTTCAAAAAGTAGAATATATAACAGCACAAAGGAGAGTTTGGGGTTTGAGCAAAGCAAGAATAATAAAATTAGAAGCTACAGAACAAATGAGTCAAATATATATTGAGAGAAGTGAAATAATTTATCAAGGGGAAAAAGATGAAAGCACAAAAGCATGGAAACATAGGATGTAAATAATTGTATTTAGACTATTTTAACTTTGGCCTAATTGCTTTCACAACTGTTATAGGAGATAAAATTATTAATCTAATAAGCAGTTCTTAACATATTAGGAATACCTAGGAGGTTTTTAAAAACCCCAGATGTGTGGGCACCATCTGGCCCCTAGATCAATTAAATCAGAATCTCTGGGGTGGGACCAGGCCTCAGGAATTTTTTAAGAGCTCCTGGAGATTGCAACGTACAGCCATGTTTTAGAACTACTGCCTTGAACAAAAGAATGAAGTATCAGTTGTAGAGACAATGTTGATTCACTGTACTGCAAGAAAGAAATAAGTATTCCTAAATATATGTATGAGAAAAGATGACTTACAAAGCTTGGAAAGTTTGCCTAAGGCCACCAGCTCATAGGTGGTACAGCGAGTGCTCAGATCCAGGACCTTACGTGGACTGACATTTTCACTAAGATGTACTGAAGCCTCAGGGCAGAGATCATGGAAGGACAGGCTGAGTGGGGGAAGAAAGCAAGTCTTTGGACTGAGGAGAGCTCTGATAAAAATGTCACTTCACATCCATCTGCCACAGTGATTCCTACCATTTAGAAAGTTATGCCAAGGTCACCAGAAGTCCCAGATATAATGCAAAGCCTACAGTAATAATTAAGTGTTATTGTTATTACAACTACAAATTATCACACACCTGTTGCACCTAAAATGCTGTCTTCAGTGCCTTACATGTATGACCTCTGCTCTGCATTACATCCTGCAAGGTAGATACCAAAATGCCCATATTATGGTTGATTAAAGTGAGTGTTATAAAAGTTAAATAATTTTCCCAAAGTCCTTAATTATTAAATGGCAGAGCTAGGATATAAAATGGCTGCCTGCTCTTTTTTCATTTTTATACTATGTTGCCCAAAGGAGTTAAATATTTTAACACAACTACTCCTAATTATTTTAGTTTAGTTAGCAGTTATATCATCAGCTGAGGTCAGAAGATGTGAGAGAGATGAATTGAAGGCAAGGGTGGAGTATGTAAGATATGGTGGTGTCTTAGTTCATTATGTGTTGCTAAAAAGGAGTATCTGAGGCTGAGTAATTTATTTTTTTAAAAAAAGTTTATTTGACTCATGATTCTGAAGGCTTGAAAGTTCAAGACTGGGCATCTGCATCTGGTGAAGGCCTCAGGTTGCTTCCACTTATGGCAGAAGGTGAAGGGGAGCTTGCATAGGCAGAAATCACATGGTGAAAGAGGAAGCATGAGAGAGGGGGAGGTGCCAGGCTCTTTTTAACAACTAGCTCTAATGGAAACTAATAGAGTGAGGAAGGGCATTAATCTATTCATGAGAGATCTGCCTCCATGATCCAAATACTTCCTATTAGGTCCCACCTCCAACACTAAGGATCAAATTTCATATGAAGTTTAAAGGGGAAAAAACACCGAAACCATAGCAGGTGGTTTTAAAATATGCACATCAATTATTTGATGCACCTCCCTTCAAGAGTGGAGCTTAATTTTCTTCCGTGTGTGTGTGAGCTGTATTTAGTCACTTGCTACCAATGAAGAGAATATGGAGGAATTGTATGATTTTCAAGCCTAGGTGATAAAAGGTATCACTCACTCTGGGAAAAGCCAGCTGGCCTATCAAAAGGATATTTCACAAACCCCATGGGGAGACCCATGTGACAAAGGACTGGGGCCTCCTGCCAACAACCATGTGAATGAGCCATCTTGGAAGCAGATCTTCCAGTCCCAGTCAACACTTCACATAAACACAGCCCCAGTCAATGTCTTGACAGCAACTTCCTGAGAGATCCTGACCCAGAACCAGAGCTAAGTTGCTTCAGAATTCCTATCTCACAGAAACTGTGAGATAATAAATATGTTATTTGAAGTTACTAAGTTTCAGTGCAATCTGTTACATTGCAATAGATAACCAATACAGAGGGGCAAGAAACAGAGGGAGGAAGATAACAAAAGGTCAAGATTATGTGATTCAATGATGCATTAGAGTTTGGGCAATCCTGAACACCCAGGGGATACCCGTGTGGTAGTAGGCAAGTCATAAGATATGAGAAGGGGTTGGGGTAAAGTAAGAGCAAGGAGGGTCATAAGTTATTTACAATAGCTCTTTTGCAAAGGAAAGAAATACTGATTTGAGGGTAAATTCATTTTCCCAGGTTATTACATAGCTTGACAGCACTGTATGTGATGTATCAAAGGGCACCCAAGAACCTGAAGCAATAATGCATCATCCAAAGTCAAGTAATTTACAATTTACTCACTGGCAAGATGAGACTACTGTATCAGAGAGAATCAAAAGACATCCCTCATCGTGTGGAAAGATAAGTCAGGAAAGTCAAAATCATTTGCAGCAAAGCTTGTTTCTGTAATAGTTGTGGATTCAGAAGTAGTCTTATTTGGACATATGATATTCAGCAGGACTTTTAAAGTCCTTTTGCTATTTTACATAGTTCAATAAGGTTTTTTGTGAGAGTATGATGTTATTAATATGGACTGTATTAATGTGAGGCTAAGAGTTATATGTAATATCCCTTTGCCTATTTATCTTACATCAAAATGGTATTTATATCTTAATGAGCAACCATATCCTCCTGCAGATATAGATCTTTGAGATTCCATTATTCGCTCTTCCTTATTTAGGGTTTCAGTTAGGGAATGTCCAGATTCAGAACTCAAGTCCCCACTGAATTCCATATACCATGCTCTAATGAGTCTGTTAGAGAAACACTGGGAAGATAATAGGATATACTACCTTTATTCTTACCAGTAAATCACCTCCCCAGGTAACTGTTCTTACAATAAAACTACCAGCTGGGTGGCAAGTCTCTAGACCAAGATAAGGTTGTATTTTAGCCCTCTTGTGCATTCAGTACATATCTTAAAAATCATAAGAAAGATGAAAAATAAAATAAACTCCTGCTGAATAAAGGATAATAGAAAGAAAAATAAGAAAATAATTTGAGAAAATTCTTTGTAACACACCTCTGGCATTGCAGTTAATGCTATAAAAGGCCTTTGTTTCTTTAAGAAAATGAATTTATCACACCAGTTACTGATAATCCAATCTCTGCCCAACTGGATAACTGCCCAACCAACTTTCTTCATTTGATAATTATTTGTAAAATATCCCCTTTCAAAAATGTATAGAAATGTCTATGTCAGGACTTCCCAAAATGGTTCCCTTTGTTGCAATATTTTCCTTACTGCCGCCATAACCTCATAGCCTCTAAGTCCTTTTGCCAAGAACCAAAGGAGAGAAGAGAAAGGGATAAAAATGGGTTTAAAAGTAGGATTAGAGTGGCAAATGAGAGAAAAATTAGTAAAATAAATAAATAGGAGTGCCATAAATTTTGGAGAATGCTCTGGAATCATTTTTCAATAACCCTGTGACTGGGGTCCTGAGCCCACTTATAAGCTCAACAGACCTGGTCTCTTATTGCGAGAAACCCATTTGTGACCTCAGGCAGGATAGACTAAAGAAGCTCTGGCTCCATGATCTGTGACTGAGCATGAAATCAACCTAATGGTCCTGTGGTTTTGTATTCAGGTATCTTCACTCTGTCTCCAATCCCAATGTCTGCCTTCATCACATCCCTGATACTGGGACCCTTATGTTGAACTGCATGCTTTAGACCCTCAGAAACAGGGTACTCCCTCATTCTGCCTACATGCTTACCTCCAAGGACTCATAAAGTTCTGCTTTTCACTGTTATCTGCTCATAGATTTTCCATCGACATGTTATGAATTCTACCTCCAGGACCATCTAATTCACTGTTCTGCCAACATCCTCAGCCAATCAATAGCCTTAACAAGTGCTAGTTGACAGGAGCTAGATTTTTCCAGAAAGGCTGGAATTCTGTCTCATGTCTAATCCCATTCCATACCTGCATCCCGTTTCCTGAATTCCAGTTCTTACCCCATTTCAGACTGGCCCATTTCATTGTTATTACGTCAGAACATGTCCTGAGATACACCATTTTCCTTACTCAGTGTGAAGCAACAGAATTAAATGCAAGGCTTACATTTCTCAGAATATAAATGGAGAAAAGCTTTTTTTTCTTCAGTCCATCAAACTCCAAATCAATCCTGAGGCCAATTTGTTTGTCTTTATTAGAAAAATGGTACTGTTTTAAAGGGAGAGATTTTGATTGACTGATTGATTTACCAGTCTCAAACTAATGTTGAGTTGTAAATAGCAATGGCATTTCTAAGAACTGTGCTGTATCTTCAAACATGAGGTGATGGATGTCTGTGGAGTTTCATCACACCAGGAGAGCTGTCACACCACTTGCTTCATTCTATATGCTCTACTGGTTTGCTAGTTAACAGTTATACAATATATATTTGCTCACTCTCCATGCAAACAGATAAAGACTAACAATTAGGAGCTCATTATTATTTGGGAAAAAATCCTTAGCAACTCAGCAATATACACTTTAAAACAAACTGGTATCCAAAAGATGAATGATGCTCTCACTCTTTCTCAGTAGTAATGCCCTCTTTCTTTGAGTATGTGATTCAGTTTCAAAATATCACTAGCCTACTAACTCTTTATGCTAAAAGAAAAAGTCTAGTATTAGAGAAGAAAAACAATGAAAAAATGAAGTTTCATGATTACTTTTGTTAAACTCTTACGTAATTATTTTCTTATCTGCAAAGCAAGAGTGAATGTCAGTTGCAGGAAAAAAAAAATGTGTCCAAAACTTTCTCCAACCTTAACAATTCATCAGGGCCAATGTACCCGAGAACTAGAGACCAACAGCCCAAACAGATAGGAGTGAGTAAAGTTATTACTATCATACTTGTCAGACTGAATCTTTTGTCTATAGCTTCTGTCATCCCCAAATCTTTGTAACTTCAACTCCCTGAATCCCTATGGGTTTAATCTGACTTACTTTTAGAACCATCCCTAACTAAGTCAGCTGTCATGCACAGAACCAGAGGAAAAGATCCTAGGAGGAAGGCCCAGGAAATGCAAATTCTCTGAGGTAGTGGAGTGCTTTGCAGATTTGAGGACAGGAAGGAGGTTACTCTCCCTGGAGGCTGGAGTTCAAGGTTACGTGAGATGTGTGCTAGGCAGAATAACAGCCCTCCAGAGATGCTCATGTCTGCAGGAATCTTTAAATTCATACCAAAAGGACTGTGCAGATGTGACTAATGGTATAGACACAAAGAGAGAAAATTACCCTGGGTTATATAGAGGGCCCATTTTGATCATGGGAGTTCTTAAAAGTGGAGACGCTTCCCAGGCTGTGGTCAGAGAAAGATGTGACTATAGAAGAGTGGTCAGAGAGGCAACAGCCTGAAGTGTATAAGATGGCTTATTGCTGGTTCTGAGCTGTAGTGGCCCATGTGCAAGGACTAGATAAAGGCCTCAAGAAGCTGAGAGTGGCCTGGATGTCACCCAGCAAGGAAATAAAGACATCAGTCCCACAACCACTTGGAACTGAATTCTGTAAACACTTTAAGAGTAAGGAAACAGATTCTCCCCTGGAACCTCCAGAAAGGAAGCCAGCCCTCCTGACACATTGATTCTAGCCTAGTGATGTCCATGCTGAACTTCTGACATACCGAACTATGAGAAAATAAATGTGTGTTGTTTTAAGCCACTAGGTTGTGGTAATTTGTTATAGCAACAAGATACACCTAGATGACTAAGCTATACAGGTACCAGATCATGCAGGCCTTTCAGGTCATGGTAGTTTTTCATTTTTTTTTTTTAAGCAATGGGGAAAAAATAACAAATATTAAGGAGGAAAATGATTTTCCTAAAAGATTACTGTGGAAAAGATGCTTCACAACCTCATAGAGAAATGCAAATTAAAACAAGATACCACTACACACCTATTAGAATGGTTAAAATCCAAAACACTATAACACCAAATGCTGGCAAGGATATGAAACAACAGGAACTCTCATTCATTGCTGCTGGGGATACAAAATGGTACAGCCACTTTGGAGAACAGTTTGACACTTTAACGAAATTATACATACTCTCACCATACAATCCAGCTACTGCGATCCTTGGTATTTGCCCCAAAGGAGTTGAAAACTTATGTCTACACTAAAACCTACACACGGATGTGTATAGCAACTTCATTTATACTTGCCAAAATCTGGAAGCAACCAAGCTGTCCTTCACTTAGCAAATAGATAAATAAACTGGGGTATATCCAGACAATGGAATATTATTCAGTGCTAAATGAAATGAGCTATCCAGCCATGAAAAGACATGGAAGAAACTTAAATGCATATTACTAAGTGAAAGAAGGCAACCTGAAAAGGCTTCATACTGTATGATTCCAACTATAACGTTCTTGGAAATACAAAATTATGAAGGCAGTAAAACTATAAATACATCCAGCAGATGCCAGAGCTTGGGTAGGAGAGAGGGATGAATAGGTGGGACACAGAAGATTCTTAGAGCAGTAACACTACTCGGTATGATACTGTAATGGTAGATACATGTCATTGTAAATTTGTCCAAACCCACAGAGTGTACAACACCAGGAGTTACTACTAATGTAAACTGTGGGCTCTGGGTGATATGTCAATATAGGTTCAGCAATTGTAACAAGTGTACCACTCTGGTAGGGATGTTGGCAATGGGGGAGGCTGTGCCTATGTGAGTGCAGTGTGTATGTGGTAAATCTATCTTCCATTCGATTTTGCTGTGAACTTATAATTAATCTAAAAAATAAAGTCTATTAAAAAAAGAAAAAAAGATGACCGTGGCTCCTAAGTGGATTGTATGTGTAGGGTAGCAGGTACTTGCAAGAATAAGAAACAGCAAGATTGGAGCTGAATTTTAGAGGCAGAACTATAAGATTTTATGATGCATAAGGTATGAAATAAGTGAACGAGAGGGAGAAATCAAAAAGGGCTTTTGTGTTTTTGGCTTGAGAAGAAGAAAAGCTGAGAGAGATGGGGAAGATCAGGGGAACCACAGACCTTTTTTTTTTTTTTTTTTGAGACAGAGTCTTGCTCTGTCCCCAAGGCTGGAGTGCAGTGGTGCAATATTGGCTCACTGCAGCCCCTGCCTCCGGGGTTCCAGCGATTCTCCTGCCTCAGCCTCCCAAGTAGTTGGGATTACAGGCTCACGCCACCACGCCCAGCTAATTTTTGTATTTTTAGTAGAAATGGGGTTTCACCATGTTGGCTAGGCTGGTCTTGAACTCCTGACCTCAAGTGATCCACCCGCCTTGGCTTCCCAAAGTGCTGGGATTACAGGCATGAGCCACCGCACCCGGCCGGAACCACAGATTTAAGTGATAATTTGGAAAGCAAAATTTCCATTTTGGACATGTAAGGTTTGAAACAACCTTTAGACATCTCAGTGGAGATGCAGAATAGATAGATAAATGAATAAATCTGGAGCTCAGGGTTGAAGGCTTGGCAGTTAATATAAACTTGAGAATCATCAACCTACAGGTGGTTTCAGGCTCATGGAACGGAATAATATTACCTAAGTAGAGAAGTATGCAAGTGAACGTAGGAAAAGAGGAGAGGCTCTGAGGCATTCAAAGATTTCAGAATCAAAAAAAAAAAAATAGTAGCAAAGAAGGAGGAGAACATGAAAACATTTCTTTTAAGTGCATGATGGCTAGGAGGGCAAGAAAGGAGAGTGGTTCAACAGAGAAAGTAGGCAATTGTATTGATACTGGTGAGAGATGGGGTAAGATTAAGGCAAAGCAGGACAGTAGATTTGGTAGCATGGAGATCTTCAACAAGAACAATTTGAAGGGTGCAATGGGAGTAAAAAGAGATTGAAGTGGGTTGAAGAGTGAATGGTGTATGAGGAATTAGCATTGATGGATACCGACAAAACATCAAAAAGGTTAGTATAGAAAGAACGGAGATGAGCAGTTGTGGTTTAAGGAAGGTCCAAGAGAAGGCTTTAGATTATTCTCTTTTTAAGAAGAAAGATTTTGAAAAATCTTGGTGAACTATTAGGAATGATTTAGTAGGGAGAGAGAGAATGGTGATGCAGGGACGATGCCACCACTGAAGGACTGAAGTAAAGCCCTTTGAAGGAGTCAAGGTGTGAAATTCAGAGCACAGAGAGAAGGAGCAGGGGCAGGATAAGAGCCATTTGTGTGCCCCACCCACCTCAATTCTAGAAGAGACCTCTGGCCAGTCCCCAGGCTCATCTCCAACCTAAGGTATAGTTCATATTAAAACTCCAACCCTTCCCCTCCCATCTTTTCCTCATGGACTTGTGAGTGGAAGTATTACCATATCTCCAATCCAAATCTTAGGACCAGATAAGAATAATTCTGGTAAGCTATTTACCCCACTGTAATCAGTATTTCTATTTGAGCTTTTATTTCAATTGTGCATCAAAGATGTTAATATAGAGACCATTATGTAGAAACAAATATATTTTACTTTATTTTTACATATTAAGGTGAATCATACAGCTTGGAAGACATTGAAAAGATGAAGGGAAATTGAAAGAAATGCAGGTTAGGCATTTCCGTAGAAATCAGTCTAAGTCAATTTAAGTTCATGATGAGGGTCTGATAGCTCTCATAAAGCAACTCTCACTATGGAAGGCCTCATTCAAAGAAAGTCAAACTTTTACACAAATTTCTAAAACAGAATTTTGAAGGATATTTTGATTATATCATTCATCATTTTTAATCACATTCTGAAAAACTTCAAACTTTGTCTTCACTGTAAGGATAATCAGTCAATTTGTTTTATCCTAAAAAAACTAGCCATTTCCCTTGTAGATGTCATAAGCTGCTTCTGTACCTTTTCCATGATTTCATTTTATTTTCTTGTATGTAGATTTCAGAGAAAGTTCTCACTTTCTGAAACAGTGAAAGCAAGAAAGAAAGAGAGGGAAAGATAAGTTGGAAACGAGAGAATGAGAGAGACTTTTTAAAACTACGGAATGTTTTACAAATGTAGAGTGTGATTGTATGTATATAAAGCTTAGCCTAAGTCACCACTCAAATAAAGAAGTTACCATTCCTGTACCATTCCTGTCTGGGCTAGAAATCTCTTAATGCCTATTTTCTGAAATTTAACAAATCAAGGAATCACAAGGCACCATAAGTTCAGATAAGGGAAAAAACACTAGACTGGATATCTAGAAGCCGCATTTTAGTCTGCCATTGCCAAACATGTAACCTTGTGCAAATCACTTTACCTGTCTTATTTATACTGATCTATGGTTTTGCCTATTGTATAATAATCACTAAATAAAAAACCAAAACAAAAATGTTAAAATTATTAAAATTTTAGACACTTATTCTGAAAACAGAAATAACCATAATTCCTTTACATCTTTTATTTAAAAGCTGAGAACCCCTATATAAGAAAGGAGAAGGAAAGCTTTAAGTACAATGGCAACTAAAATGGCGGCACAAACAAAACGAAATTGCCTCCAAAACACTGAACTTTTAATTACGGACGATGTCAAAATGCAATGTGTTCCTTTAGCTTCATTATTTTGAATCTGTTTCTTGTTTCCCAATAAACTGAATAAATAAACAGTGATTTTTAAAATTAATTATGTAGTGCAATTTCCCTCCCGGAAAACCAATATAGCTTAATTTTCATTAACTATATTGTAAATCGCATTACTCTTTTGGAAAACGTTCAAGGATGCTTTTATTTATAAACCAATAGATGAGAACTATAATGCATTTATAGTAAGTCTGGACACTTTTACAGGGGGCTTCCTATTTGAAATAACCAAGAAGTAGAATTCAACAATGATATTTTTCCTTCTAAACTTTTTAAAGTGAAAAAATCCAATATATTCTTGAAGTCAGAAATAGTGGCATCCAGGGTTAAACTTCAGCATTCATGATGCTAATTAGCTAGCCATGACTGTATGTATAATGAAGATATTAAGCTTTCTCTAAGAACACTGCAACTTGAAATTCAAATAACTAACGTTATGGAATAATTGTGAAATATGATCAACTGATTTAAACACTACGAAAATGTAGCACAATTCCCTTTCAAGAGGAAGAACAAGTATATTCTATAGACAAATGCCAAAATCAGAATTAGCACATAGTCAAGAAAGAAGGTGACTAAGAGTACACTGGTAACCATTTTGAATAAATCACTTTAAAACTAGTCACAGTGTGAATGAGCATAATTATATGGCTCTCAACTCTGCTCATGTTTTTCTCTTTCACTTGCAAATCCCCTCAACTGTCATGTTTAGTTGTCTCTTTGAGATGTTACTATACATGGTAACAGATGAATCTGCTCTTCTGTGAGTTTTATATTTATAAATGATCTTAGCTCACGAAGCCATGGCATTAAATTTACATTAGAAAAGGTTTGACCCTTGGGTCCGTGCATGCAGTTCTCTGTTGCAGAAAAGCATTACAAAGCTCTCTATAGGGAGATCTGAAAAGACATCAAAAATATTTTGAAATGCAGAAAGCAGCCAAGATGCCCTATACCTTTTCATTGCTTGCACTGATTAACCGCTTACATAAAAGAATAACTAAATAAACTAACAAGTGATCCCCAGAGAGAAGCTGTCTTAACAAGAATGTTTAATTTTGGCCCTCTGAGTTCTTCTAGAAGGATCTAAATAATTATGTGTAATGTCTCTAACAACCAGAGAATTGCCAATAAAAGAAATTCAATAAACTCAGTCTAAAGCATAGATTAAGGTACAAACTTTCTAGGGGAGACAGGCCAAGAGAATATTGTAAACAACAGAATTTCAAAAAAAAAAAAACCCATTTAATTACAGTGACTTGCACTTACTAGCTACTTATGAGTGTTGATGACAAAGACTAAGAAAAGTAAGATTTACAAGATAAGATTAGAGAATTGTTTACTCTGTCCAGCAAATCAATGGGGGGAAAATATGAGGGAAACCTAATGTACTCAAATTCAATGCAAGATGAATCTTTTCAGTACTGAATGAAATACTCAAATTATTCTGGCTACATACTAAGTCCTTTTGATTTGTCGTGGATACTACCTAAAAGAACACAGATAATCAAGACTGAGTCCAAGGAAGTCCTTCTGCCAGAGGTCAGCAGAAAAAGTTTACAAGTTCTTTGCAATAGCAGCACAATTTTTCTCATCCTTATGTTTTTTGTATCTAATGCTGTAAGAAAAGCAATAGGTGTTTAATATATGTATTTTTAAAATTCTCTGAATCAACTGGTATCATCTACAAATTTATTTTTGGAGAATAAATCATAACAGAAAGAAAAAAGTTATTGCATGTTACCTTAAATCATGTGTCTAACAAAATATATACAAATAAAACAAAAATATTAATTAGGTGTTTATCCATGAATTTATTAGATGGTGTCACATGTTCTCAAAACAACTTCAGAAGTAATTTATACACGTTAATTTTTATAATTAAAAAAAAGAAAGCTGAGTTGCAGAGATGGTTAATAACTTGAGCAGAGTTTTACAGGTAAAGGAGTTTGAACAGAACTCATGACAGGGAACAATACCGGAAACCATATTCTATCCACTTTATCACTCTAAAGTCTATCCAGAACCCTGATTTTCTGTTTCTTTAAGTTGCTTGTTCTTATGTCTTCTTATATAAGCCTTTATTTTACAAGCTTCCCTCTCTCTTCCTTTCTCTTAAATATGTCAAAATGTTACAAAATATCTGACTCAAGCTTGTTTCTTCATTGAGAAGATTTTAAAAGTTATCTAAAAGACAAAAGAAAGAACTTAAAGATATAAAATAAGGGCAACTTAATATAGTATAAACAAAATATTTTTGTAACCGGATGTTAAAAAAATAATAAAACATTTTAGTATAGGAGTCTATATACTTACTGAAAAATTAATTTTCTTATTCCTCATATTTGTGTGAATGTATATTTTAATTAAGACATTTGCAATTATATTTCTGATAATACGTATCACTGATTACATTGTAGATTTTTTCAAAGCACAACAAGCTCAACAAAGAAAGGAAAGACATAGAACTATGCAGTTTGGGCTTTATTTATGCATAATTAAAACCAATTAGCTGTGGCACCAAATCAAAAAATCTTGTTTCCCTTGAAGCAAGTCTTTGTAGATACTAATACTGTAATTTATGTGTATATATAGTAGGCGTTTCATTTGCAAGAAGTTTAGAAAATGATCAGAGCATTTTCAATATTGAAAAATGAAGAAATTCACAATAAATTATATATATTTATATATAATTGTGCCATTGGCGAGAGCTATAGAGAAAAAGTGAAACAAATAAACAAAAAAAAAAAAAAAAAAGAAAGTGTCCTACTTGGAAATGTAGCCCCTGAAGAAGATGCATCCTCAATTCCATCTTTCACTTCTCTAGAGCATAGAAGGGTCTAGAACTAAATATAATCCTTTCGGAGTGACCTCTGGTTACATTGGGTCTCAAAGTCCCAAAAGCTATGCCCCAATTCTCACACTTTATTGTGTGAGACAGGAGGCATGAATTGCAGTCTTTTTGTTACAAACCAGCTGTGTCACTATATCTTGCAAGACTGCAGGTACCTCATCCGTCAAACATTGGGTATCAATGGATCTTCAACCAATGCCTTTAAGAGTACTCAAACTTTTATGAAGTAGATCAAAAATGGATTATCAGTAAAATCAAGAAAGATTTGTTCATTAAGCGGGAAAATGTTAATATTAAAAATTTCTTAATATAAAATGTTCTTTCACATATTATCTTCACCTTTATTATCTTTCAGCTTCTTTCTTTCTTTTATATTCCAGGAGAGAGACATGGTATGCTATTACAATTAACAGCACCCACCCTGGAGTCAGACTGCCTACATGTGAATCCCTACCATTCACCACCTATAATTGATACAGTCCATTTCTTTATGCCTCAGTTTTCCTCGTTTATAAAATGAGGATAATACAAGTGCTTCTTTATAAAGAAGCCAGGAGGATTAATGGAAGTAATACACATAAAGCACTAGAACAGTACAGACCTAAGCATCACATAAACAATAGTTGGGCCAGGCATGGTGGCTCACGCCTATAATCCCAGCACTTTGGGAGGCCAAGGTGGGAGGATAACCTGAGGTCAGAAGTTCGAGACCAGCCTGACCAACATGGAGAAAACCTGTCTCTACAAAAAAAAAAAAAAAAAAAAAGAACACACAGAATTAGCTGGGCATGGTGGCACATGCCTGTAATCCAAGCTACTTGGGAGGCTAAGGCAGGAGAATTGCTTGAACCCAGGAGGTGGAGGTTGTGGTGAGCCGAGATTGCGCCATTGCACTCCAGCCTGGGCAACAAGAGTTAAACTTCATCTCAAAAAAATATAAAATAAAATAAAATAAAATAGTTGCCATAAACAATGCATACAATAGGAACAAGTTTAGCACAAGATCTGATATTTATTCTAAAATTCAAAGGTAAATACTGCATGGTGCTCCACAAAGAGTGCCATGACTTTCTTGTGCCTTACAACTGAATATATCCTTCCTTCTAGGCCTAAATAGCTATAACTCTGTTATTTAAGTAGGCTAATGGACTCTATAAAACAGAATTCATATTTTGTTTCTTTCATATTTCTAGATTACATAACAAGTTTAGGGGGTGTGGTTAGCCAGATGATGGATAATTGGGCCACAGCTTTGTTTGTTTTTGTTTATTTACACTAATAATGATATTTTATTAAAGGCTGCAAATTTTATGGTGTATCCAACAGGCTGTGTTCTGATATTTAAGAACCTGACTGACAGTAACATGGACTACAGATCATTTCTTAAATAATGCTGGTAAATAACTGAATGAAGAGTGGTTTTTATAAAACCTAACTCCTGCCTAAAAGGTTCCTTTTTTTCCCTTTCTGGGCCAGTGAGAATCTTCCAGGCCACACCCATAGTACAAGGACTTCACCAGTCACGGCCTTCCTCATCTGTTTCTCTAGCCTCCTCTTGCTAGCGTCCATGCTCTCATTTCATCATCCATGGGACTTCTTGTATGCCTTTCCCTCTTCCTGAACCTTCCTGTTTCTACCTTTAACCTGGTTAACTTCTGACCATTCTGTAGGAGTCGGCTCAAGGCCTCTCAGTCTTGAGTTTTGTGTTCCTTGTTGCGCTCCTGCAGTAGCACCCCATGCTCACCTCCATTAGTCCTTACCATTGAGGAGCAATCCTTGCTTTAAGTGAATTCTCTGCTACTGCATCTGAAGCTCCATTCTGACAGAAGCTGTGGTGTATTAATCTTAGTATCCAAGAACATCACCCCTACTTTTATTGAGTTCTCAGCAAAAGTTTATTGAATGAATGAATGAGATTACCCATCCTGAATCCTGATAGGTCTCATGCTTAAAATGTCTGCTTTGTGTGAAAAAAATGAGAAATATTACTAAATATTGTTATAATATATTATTCCTATGAAAATAAGCAAAGTGTTTAAGCATATACAGTATGCTACCTTTTATATATATAGGAAAATATAAAGATGTGTGTGTGTATGTGTGTACATATATATATTTTAAACCAAAAATTAATAAAAGTGGGGATATCCATGGGAAGAAAAGGGACAAAGTAAAGCAAACAAGATAAGTTACACTTCTCCAAATGTGCTTTACTTTGAGGTTTTGACTTTGGAAACATGAAAATGTTTCAAATAATTATTAAACAAAATTAATTCAAAGTAAAACAGTAATTCATAAAAATTAAAAGAAAATTTAAAAAGGGAATATAACTGTGTATGGATTGGTAGTTTAACCAACAACAAATTATTTTAAAAGGCAAAAACCAATAACTTGATTGTATACTCCTGGTGGGTATTTTCTAAGGACAATGAAAAATGCAAGGAAATCTTAAATCATTTTTATTCATCAAATTGTTAATAATATGAGTTACTCTTAGAATACTATTAAATTGTTGCATATATAGAATCATATAAAACTAACACTTTTAGTTTAAGAGAAAAGAGATAAACATATGAATTAAAATTGAAAACAAAAACCTATAAACTCAAACTTAAATTAGAAGTATAAAAATATCAACATAAACATGCAAAATATTTCTCTTTCAAAACTTCTCTTCAGAAAAGACCTAGAAACAGTGACTAAGTGAGAAATGAACATTTCCAGTACCTGGACTGTGGATACAAAAGGAACCAAGGTGCCTTATTGATATGGTTATGTCCTGGTCAGGTCAGAAAATATAAGAGAAGAGGCTAATTTGTCCTACCAGAAAGTGAAAATGTGCTAATGACTAGTGGAATCATATCAAAAGGACTCAGGAGCAAAAGTGAAAGAATTCCTATTGGCAAATGAGATAAACTGAACATCATAAGGAACAATAACTGCAATGGATTGAAAAATACCAAATATCACAAAATCTATGCAGTCATAATGACATTTAAAAACAACTCAATGGTCATATCTACGGAATTTTAGAGAACCAATCACTTATCATTAGAGAGAGTAGCTTGCATTATTTCTGCCTTCTCTGTACAAAATGTGACTCAATATAAATACACACATAATATAGTAAGGTTGTTCTTTGTAGAATCAGGGATTTCAGAATAAAAATCCTAAAATTCATATGGAACTACAAAGTATCTGTAAAGCTAAAGCAATTTTGAGAGAGAAGAACAAAGATTGAGGCATCATATTTCCTGACTTCAAAATATACTACAAAGCTACAATAGTCAAAACAGTATGGTGCTGGCAACAAACAAGCAAACAAACAAAAAACAGACAGACCAATGGAACAGAATAGAGCATCCAGAAATAATACCACACACATATACTTAACATGAGTGCCAAAAAATACACAATGAGGAAAGATAGCATCTTCAACAAATAATGTTGAGGAAACTGGATATCCACATGCAAAGAACAAAACTGGATCCTTACCTCACACTAACTTACCACACACTAGACACAAAAATCAACTCAAAATAGATTACAGATTTACATGTAAAATCTGGCAATGTAAAACTCCTAGAAGAAAATATAATGGGAAAGTTTCATGACACTGAGCTTGGCAATGGGGCAATGATCTCTTGGATATGATACCAGAAGCTCATGCAACAAAAGCAAAATTAGATGACTGGGACTACATCAGGCTTAAAAGCTTCTGCACTGCAAAGAAAACAATAAACAGAATGAAAAGGTAATCTATGGAATGAGAGAAAATATTTACAAATCACATATCTGATAAGAGATTAATATCCAAAATATATGAGGAACCCCTACAATTCAACAGCAGAAAACTAAATTATCCAATTAAAAATGGGCAAAGGACTTCAATAGACATTTCTTCAAAGAACACATAAACATGGCAAACAGGTTATATCAAACAGTAACTTCACTAACTATAAGGGAAATGCAAATCAAAATTATGAGTTATCGCCACACACCTGCTAGGATGGCTATTATAGAAAAATACAACAACAACTCAAATGTCAGCAAAGATATGGAGAACCTGGAACCTTTGTCCACTGTTAATGAGAATGTAAAATGACACAGCTTTTGTGGAAAACAGTATGGAGTTTCCTCAAAAAATAAAAACAGAATTACCACATGACCAAGCAATCCCACTTCTGGGAATATATTCAAAAGAACTGAAATCAAGATGGTCGTTTCCAAGATGGCCAAATAGGAACAGCTCCGGTCGGAAGCTCCTAGCAAGATCGACGCAGACCTGCATTTCCAACTGAGGTACCTAGTTCATCTCATTGGGACTGGTTGGACAGTGGGTGCAGCCCACGGAGGGTGAGCCAAAGTAGGGCGGGGCATTGCCTCACCCAGGAAGTGCAAGGGTTCGGAGGATTTCCCTTTTCTAGACAAGGGAAGCCATGACAGACTGTACCGGGAAAAACGGTACACTTCCCCCCAAATACTGTGCTTTTCAATGGTCTTAGCAACCGGCAGACCAGGCGATTCCCTCCCATGTCTGGCTCAGCAGGTACCACGCCCATAGAGCCTTGCTCACTGCTAGCACAGCAGTCTGAGATCAACCTGCCAGGCTGCAGCCTGGCAGGGGGAGAAGCATCTGCCACTGCTGAGGCTTGAGTAGGTAAACAAAGCAGCCAGGAAGCTCAAACTGAGCGGAGCCCACCGCAGCTCAACAAGGCCTACTGCCTCTATAGACTCCACCTTTGTGGGCAGGGCATAGCTCAACAAAAGGCAGCAGACAACTTCAGACTTAAAGGCCCCTGTGTGACAGCTCTGAAGAGAGCAGGGGTTCTCCCAGCACAGTGTTTGAGCTCTGAGAACAAACAGACGGCCCCCTCAAGTGGATCCCTGACTCTGTGTAGCCTGACTGGGAGGCACCTCCCAGTAGGGGCCGACAGACAACTCATGCAAGTGGCTGCCCCTCTGGGACAAAGCTTCCAGAGGAAGGATCAGGCAGTAATATTTTCTGTTCTGCAATACTTGCTGTTCTGCAGCCTCCACTGGTGAAACCCAGGCAAAAGGGGCTGGAGTGGACCTCCAGCAAACTCCAACAGACCTGCAGCTGAGGGGCCTGACTGTTACAAGGAAAACTAACAAACAGAAAGGAATAGCATCAACATCAACAAAAAGGACATCCCCAATAAAACCCCATCTGCAGGTCACCAATGTCAAAGACCAAAGGTAGATAAAACCACAAAGATGGGGAGAAACCAGAACAGAAAAGCAGAAAATTTCAAAAAAACAGAGTGCCTCTTCTCCCCCAGAGGATCACAGCTCCTCGCCAGCAATGGAAGAAAGCTGGACGGAGAATGACTTTGACAAGTTGACAGAAGTAGGCTTCAGAAAGTCGGTAATAACAAACTTCTCTGAGCTAAAAGAGCATGTTCTAACCCATGGGAAGGATTAGAAAAAAAACCTTGAAAAAAGGTTAGATGAATGGCTAACTAGAATAAACAGTGTAGAGAAGACCTTCAATGGCCTGATGGAGCTGAAAACCATGGCATGAGAACTTCATGACACAGGCACAAGCTTCAGTAGCCAATTCGATCAAGTGGAAGAAGGGATATCAGTGATTGAAGATCAAATTAATGAAATAAAGCAAGAAGACAAGATTAGAGAAAAAAGAGTAAAAAGAAATGAACAAAGTCTCCAAGAAATATGGGACTATGTGAAAAGACCAAATCTACATCTGATTGGTGTACCTGAAAGTGACACGGAGAATGGAACCAAATTAGAAAACACTCTTCAGGATATTATGCAGGAGAACTTCCCCAGTCTAGCAAAGCAGGCCAACATTCACATTCAGGAAATACAGAGAACACCACAAAGATACTCCTCGAGAAGAGCAACTGCAAGACACATACTTGTCAGATTCACCAAGGTTGAAATAAAAGAAAAAATGTTAAGGGCAGCCAGAGAGAAAGGTCGGGTTACCCACAAAAGGAAGCCCATCAAACTAACAGCGGATCTCTCAGCAGAAACTCTACAAGCCAGAAGAGAGTGGGGGCCAATATTCAACATTTAAAGAAAAGAATTTTCAACACAGAATTTCATATCAAGACAAACTACCATTCATAAGTGAAGGGGAAATAAAATCGTTTACAGATAAGCAAATGCTGAGAGATTTTGTCACCACCAGGTCTGCCTTACAAGAGCTCCTGAAGGAAGCACTAAACATGGAAAGGAACAACTGGTACCAGCCACTGCAAAAACATGCCAAATTCTAAAGACCATAGATGCTATGAAGAAACCACATCAATTAACAGGTAAAATAACCAGCTAACATCATAATGACAGGATCAAATTCACACATAACAAAATTAACCTTAAATGTAAATGGGTTAAATGCCCTAATTAAAAGACACAGACTGGCAAATTGGATAAAGAGTCAAGACCCATCAGTGTGCTGTATTCAGGAGACCCACCTCATGTGCAGAGACACACATAGGCTCAAAATAAAGGGATGGAGGAAGATCTACCAAGCAAATGGAAAGCCAAAAAAAAGCAGGGGTTGCAATCCTAGTCTCTGATAAAACAGACTTTAAACCAACAAAGATCAAAAGAGACAAAGAAGGCCATTACATAATGGTAAAGGGATCAATTCAACAAGAAGAGCTAACTATGCTAAATATGTATGCACCCAATACAGGAGCACCCAGATTCATAAAGCAAGTCTGTAGAGACCTACAAAGAGACTTAGACTCCCACACAATAATAATGAGAGACTTTAACACACCACTGTCAATATTAGACAGATCAATGAGACAGAAGGCTAACAAGGATATTCATGGTTTGAACTCAGCTCTGTACCCCCAAGCGGACCTATTAGACATCTACAGAACTCTCCACCCCAAATCAACACAATATACATTCTTCTCAGCACCACATTGCACTTATTATAAAACTGACCACATGATTGGAAGTAAAACACTCCTCAGCAAATGTAAAAGAACAGAAATCACAACAAACTGTCTCTCAGACCACAGTGCAATCAAATTAGAACTCAGGGTTAAGAAACTCACTCAAAACCACACAGCTACATGGAAACTGAGCAACCTGCTCCTGAATGACTACTGGGTAAATAACGAAATGAAGGCAGAAATAAAGATGTTCTTTAAAACCAGTGAGAACAAAGACACAATGTACCAGAATTTTGGGACATATTTAAAGCAGTATGTAGATGGAAATTTATAGCACTAAATGCCCACAAGAGAAAGCAAGAAAGATACAAAATCGACACCCTAACATCACAATTAAAAGAACCAGAGAAGCAAGAGCAAACAAATTCAAAAGCTAGCAGAAGGCTAAAAATAACTAAGATCAGAGCAGAACTGAAGGAGATAGAGACACAAAAAAACACTTCAAAAAATCAATGAATCCAGGAGCTGGTTTTTTGAAAAGATCAACAAAATTGATAGACCACTAGCAAGACAAATAAAGAAGAAAAGAGAGAAGAATCAAATAGATGCAATACAAAACGATAAAATGGATATCACCACCGATCCCACAGAAATACAAACTACCAGAGAATACTATAACACCTCTATGCAAATAAACTAGAAAATCTAGAAGAAATGGATAAATTGCTGGACACATACACCCTCCCAAGACTAAACTAGGAAGAAGTTAAATCTCTGAATAGACCAATAAGAGGTTCTGAAATTGTGGCAATAATTAATAGCATACCAACGAAAAAAGTCCAGGACCAGACAGATTCACAGATGAATTCTACCCGAAGTACAAAGAGGAGCTGATACCATTCCTTCTGAAACTATTCCAATCAATAGAAAAAGAGGGAATCCTCCCTAACCCATTTTATGAGGCCAGCATCATACTGATACCAAAGCCTGGCAGACACACAACAAAAAAAGAGAATTTTAGACCAATATCCCTGAAGAACACCGATGCAAAAATCCTCAATAAAATACTGGCAAACCGAATCCAGCAGCACATCAAAAAGCTTATCCACCATGATCAAGTCAGCTTCATCCCTGAGATTCAAGGCTGGTTCAACATACACAAATCAGTAAACATAATCCATCACATAAACAGAACCAACGACAAAAAACATACAATTATCTGAATAGATGCAGAAAAGGCCTTCGACAAAATTCAATAGCCCTTCCTGCTAAAAACTCTCAATAAACTAGGTATTGATGGAATGTATCTCAGAATAATAGGAGCTATTTATGACAAACCCACAGCCAATATCATACCGAATGGACAAAAACTGGAAGCATTCCCTTTGAAAACCGGCATAAGAAAAGGATGCCCTCTCTCACCACTCCTATTCAACATAGTGTTGGAAGTTCTGGCCAGGACAATTAGGCAAGAGAACGAAATAAAGGGTATTCAGTTAGGAAAAGAGGAAGTCAAATTGTCCCTGTTTGCAGATGACATGATTATATATTTAGAAAACCCCCTTGTCTCAGCCCAAAATATCCTTAAGCTGATAAGCAACTTCAGCAAAGTCTCAGGATACAAAATCAATGTGCAAAAATCACAAGCATTCCCATACACCAATAACAGACCAACAGAGAGCCAAATCATGAGTGAACTCTCATTCACAATTGCTACAAAGAGAATAAAATACCTAGGAATCCAACTTACAAGGGATGTGAAGGACCTCTTCAAGGAGAACTACAAACCACTGCTCAATTAAATAAAACAGGACACAAACAAATGGAAGAACATTCCATGCTCATGGATAGGAAGAATTTACATCATGAAAATGGCCGTACTGCCCAAGGTAATTTATAGATTCAAAGTCGTCCTCACCAAGCTACCAATGACTTTCTTCACAGAATTGGAAAAAACTACTGTAAAGTTCATATAGAACCAAAAAGGAGCCTGCATAGCCAAGATAATCCTAAGCAAAAAGAACAAGGTATCACACTACCTGACTTCAAACTATACTACAAGGCAACAGTAACCAAAACAGCATGGTACTGGTACCAAAACAGATATATAGACCAATGGAACAGAACAGAGGCCTGAGAAATAACACATCCACAGCCATCTGATCTTTGACAAACCTAACAAAAACAAGAAATGGGGAAAGGATTCCCTATTTAATTAATGGTGCTGGGAAAACTGGCTAGCCATATGTAGAAAGCTGAAACTGGATCCCTTCCTTACATCTTATACAAAAATTAATTCAAGATGGATTAAAGACTTAAATGTAAGACCTAAAACCCCAAAAACCCTAGAAGAAAACCCAGGCAATACCATTCAGGACATAGGCATGGGCAAAGACTTCATGACTAAAACACCAAAAACAATGGCAACAAAAGCCAAAATAGACAAATGGGATCAAGTTAAACTAATGACCTTCTGCACAGCAAAAGAAACCATCATCAGAGCGAACAGACAAGCTACAGAATGGGAGAAAAATTTTACAATCTACCCATCTGACAAAGGGCTTATATCCAGAATCTACAAAGAGCTCAAACAAATTTACAAGAAAAAAACAAACAACCCCATCAAAAAGTGGGCAAAGGATATGAACAGACACTTCTCAAAAGAAGACATTTATGCAGCAGCCAACACACACTTGAAAAGATGCTCATCATCACTGGTCATCAGATAAATGCAAATCAAAACCACAATGAGATACCATCTCATGCCAATTAGAATGGTGATCATTAAAAAGTCAGGAAACAACAGATGCTGGAGAGGATGTGGAGAAATAGGAACGCTTTTACACCGTTGATGGGAGTGTAAGTTATTTCAACCATTATGGACGACAGTGTGGCAATTCCTCAAGGATCTAGAAGTAGAAATGCCATTTGACCCAGCCATCCCATTACTGGGTATATACCCAAAGGATTATAAATCATGCTACTATAAAGACACATGCACACGTGTGTTTATTGTGACACTATTCTCAATAGCAAAGACTTGGAACCAACCCAAATGTCCATCAATAATAGATTGGATTAAGAAAACGTGGCACATATACACCATGGAATACTATGACGCCATAAGAAAGATGAGTGCATGTCCTTTGCAGGGACATCGATGATGCTGGAAACCATCATTCTCAGCAAACTATCACAAGGACAGAAAACCAAACACCACATGTTCTCACTCATAGGTGGGAATTGAACAATAAGAACACATGGACACAGGGCAGGGAACATCACACTCTGGGGCCTATTGGGGGTTGGAGGACTGGGGAAGGGATAGCATTAGGCGAAATACCGAATGTAAATGACGAGTTGATGGGTGCAGCAAGCCAACATGCCACATGTATGCCAATGTAACAAACCTACATGTTGTACACATGTGCCCTAGAACTTAAAGCATAATTTTTAAAAAATTGAAATCAAGATCTTGAAGAGATATCTGCCCTCCCATGTTAATTGCAGCAATATTCGTAATAGTCAAGATATAACAAGCACCTAATTGCCCATTGATCATGACTAGATAAAGAAAAACATGGTATATACACATAATGGTGGAGTAGTGTTTGGCCTAAAAACAGAAGGAAATTTTGCTACATGCATTACGCTAAGTGAAATAAGCCAGTCATGGAAGGACAAATACATAATTTCACTTACATGAGGTATCTAAAATAGTCAAATTCACAGAGAGTAAATGGTGGTTGCCAGGCATTGGGTGAGGAGGAAAGAGAAAATTGCTTTTTAATAGCTATAAAGATTCATTTATAAAAGATAAATAAATCCTACAGATCTGTGTACAACATTGTGCCTATAGTTAATAATACTGTTTTGTGCACTTAAAATTTTGTTAAGAAGTAGATCTCATGTTAAGGGTTCTTACCATAATAAAAATATTTTAATAAAAACTTTAGAATTCCAGCTAATAAATGAAAAAGGAATAACAGAATATTACTATTTTACAATCTCTGTTGAACAAATAGATCTATGTAATAATCATCAGTGACTACTAAAGCATTAGATGAATAGTTGACAGGGAACTTGATAATGGGTGAATCAGGCCAACCACACTTAAATCTAAGGATCAATCTTAACACCATAACGAAGAGATATTAGATATTATGGGCTTCCTGATAGAATGCAGTAGAAGGAACTCAGCATCTTGAATGAAGTATTCTTGCCAAAACATCAAACCTGGATCTGATCAAAACTCTATGCCTAGAAATAGCTTACAGGAAGCAAAGGATCAGAGGAAAATTTTAAGCCATATCATGGAGATGCATTCAACAACATCCAAAAGTGGGAAATTCTACAGGACAAATAACCCAGTTTCTTTAACAAATAGAATACAAGTGGAAAATAGAAGAGAAAGTCTATCTTCAAAAGTATCTTCAAAGGTCCACTTCAGAGTGTCTTTTGGTAGTCTGCACCAGTCTTTCAAGTTTAAAGGAATTGTAGACTTATATTAATCTACAATTAATTTTTCGATACAATATGAGGAACTACTTTTGATCCTGTTTCAAAAATTGACAGTGTGTGTGTGTGTTTGTGTTTGTGTGTGCATATTGAATTTGGTGTTGACTGGTATTTGATTCGAAGTCATCAAATTTTTGCTAACTTTTTAAAGTAGAATGATAGCATTATAGCATTTTTTTTTAGTGCGTCTCTTTTAGAGTTACACTGAGATGAATTATATGATGTTTGAGATTTGCTTCAAGATGATCCATGAGGGTGGGGTATAACTGGGAGTATAAGTAAATAAACTCTGGCTTTATGCTAGTAACTGCTGACACTGAGCCTGAGCGACACATACAGGGAAGTCCATTAATTATTCTCTTGACTTTTGTGTATGTTTGGAAATTTACATAACATAATGCTAAACAATAAAAAACATTAAAATATAGAATTAGATACAAAAAAATCCTACTGAGGTTTTGATCAGGCTGCATTGAATTTATACACTGATTAATTTAAGCTATTGATTCTTTCAATTCAAAAATGTATCTCTGTTCATTCTGTCCCTCAATAACATTTCTCTTGTCATTAGCATTGCCACTTTCATTTCTATTTTCTAGGTATAAACTGTGCACATTTCTTAAGCTTACTCAGAGGTAAGTTATAATTTGTGAGATTTTTTTCAATTTCACTAATTTGTAAGTCTTTTTGTGTTTTAGTAACAATAAGCAGTTTGAAAACAAATATGAAGCAATTGCTTTTGTATACTTACTTTGTAATTTTCCTAGTTGTTATACTCTTTTTCTGGTACTAATAACTTTTCACTTGAGCCTCTTAGATATTTCAGGTAGACAATCCATAATCTACAAATAAATACTTCTTTTTCTCCTCTCTTTGAAAAATATGTGCTGACAACTGTATTGAAAGGGTTGATATCCTTTCAGTTGCTTCCTGAAATCCTTATTTTGAGAGGATTTCCATCTTAAAGCAAAGAAAAACTTGTATTATGTTCCTGCCAGACTTCTAGCTCTCAATATCCCATGTTAGGAACTTTCAGATTTATATACCTGATGAGTTTGCGCAATGATTTAAGTTTTCTATTCACTCTACCATCAATTATAGTTCAGAGAACATCATCAATATCAAGTAGTTGGGAATATCTACCCCAACAGATATCAAAACATATGTGCCACTACCACTGGAAGATTAGATAAGTGAAGGCTTCCTTGATTCTTATTTTCAAGCTGATGAAATAAGGTAATTAAATTAAAAGAAACCCAGACTGTCCCTTGTCATAAAGCAAATATGGTGAAGGCTATCATAGGAACTGACCAAAAAAATTAAAGCCAATCTCAAAACATCCATATGAATTTTCTTAACATGAGGGATGTATTTTGTAGAGAAGTTACATTATGATTTCAGAAGACATTATCTTGGCTTCACTACACATAGCACATCTGGGAATTGTCTACTTGAAAGTCTTGGCTAGAAGTTCTATTTGATGGCCTCAAATTAATTCTGATATTGAAAAGTCTAAAGGAAGTTAGTACATGCCACATGCCAGGCTACTTGGCATAACTGAGTAAGACACCTAATTTTCCAGTGGGAAAAGACCAAAAGAGTTGGACCAGGACTTCACATTGATCTTGTTATGAGATGAAAACTTTGCCCTTTAGTATACTGCTTCTCACAGTGACATCAAGTCTTTCACTTCTACCTCAAGCCTCTGGGATGACAATGTGACTCCATGCCAGTTTCTTGTAGCATACAGGCTGCCAGACACAATTATTTCTGACAACAGGCTCACATTTCTTTCAGTCAAGTTAGGGTATTTGTGGACAAGGATCTCATCAAAGCTGTCACCATTGCATTTCACCTGCTTTACCGAATGTTTAGAATGAAAGGCTGGTGCAGACTACCAAAGACACTATGAAGTGGTTTTTCATCGTCCAATATGTTATGGATGTTCTCTAAGAAGTCCTGGTCATGCTGAATACTACTTAGGTTAAGTTTCCTAACTTGTGTCAACCATCTCTATCGAGCATAAACTGAGAACTTATAAAATGAATAAGAGTATTCTAGCTGCTGCTATGGCTAGATTAATCATTGTTTTTTTTTAAAAAAATTCATTTTTATTATAGTAGTTTTGCTTTGCTGGCACTTAATTCAGGTTTTTCCCCTGTAAGTTGAGTCTGGATAGTGCCATTTTTATGGAGTCACAAAGCACCCTGTGCTTTTTTCATGCTAGCACTCCCTACACACATTGTAACAAGTGTTTATGATATGCCAGATTAGATTGTAAACGCCACAAGTGTGGAAATGTATCTTTTCTCTTAATTCTTCAGCACCTAGAATGGGAAGTAGCACATGGTAGACATATGAGGACCAGATTACAAACAGTCATTTAAATGAGGCTTCTTCAAGCTGGATTTTAAAGCCAGCCTTCTTGACACGGTATTGTTGGCAAGTTTTTATTTATTTATTTAGGCTACAGGTATTTCCAGTAAGGTCCTCATTGAAAGCCCACTTAAGCTAGGAGCCACTTGCGATAATACTAGAGGTAAGAAACAGGAAGAGTAAACAGCTCCAAATAAGGAATTGTCCCCAAATTGCCCCTGTACATGTTGACAAACACCCCAAATCAGGAGTAAATACAAGATCACTACCAGCCGGGCGCGGTGGCTCATTCCTGTATTCCCTGCAATTTAGGAGGCCAAGGCAGATGGATCACCTGAGGCTGGGAGTTCGAGACCAGCCAACACAGAGAAACCCCATCTCTACTAAAAATACAAAAATTAGCAGGGCATGGTGGCACATGCCTGTAATCCCATCTACTCAGGAGGTTGATGCAGGAGAATTGCTTGAACCCAGAGGTGGAGGTTGTGGTGAGCCAAGATTGCACCATTACACTCCAGCCTGGGCAACAAGACCAAAACTCCATCTCAAAATAAATAAATAAATAAATAAATAAATAAATCACTACCTTCGGACACAAATGAAATTTCCTTCAGAACAGGAAATTTCCTCCAACCAATTACTCAGATTGGAAGCAAATAAGAGAGCAATAAAAATCCATCTGCAACACTTGTTAGTCAAATAGAGACCAAATGGTGAAAAATACACCAGTACTCTGGTTAATTGGCCCAAATTTTGAGTGAGTTTCATGCTTAGTACATACTTTCCGCTTGCACTTATCACATCTTGGGTAACAGATTTGTGAATCAACTACAGGTATTCCCAGAGAACCATAATTATGATAATGATATAGCCATTAGGAGTAGCTACTTCTGCATCATCTTAATGTTTTCTTTTCAACACACATATATTGAGTATCCATTATCTGTTAAAAGTAGAATTCAGAGATGAATGAAACACCACAATCCCTGAATTTAAAGAATATTCTATGGGGAAAAGGGCAAATAAACAATTTAATACTATGCATTTATATGGCATATATAAATGGTTTATAAAAGTGCTTATGAGGAAGTCACCAAAATCCCTAGAAAATGTTTATGAAGATTATAATGTTTTAGATACATCTTATAGAAGATTTCACCAGATAAAAACTAAAGGAAGACTATTCCAATAAGAGAGAGTAGCATAAACAGTGATTTAAAGTCAGCTAGAAAATGGCTTGTTCGGGGAATAATAAATAATAAATACTTACAGTGTGGCTGTATTGCAGGTATGCATAGCATCTTGGTTAGTAAGTGCAAGTAATGACAAAAGGGTAGATTTAAGCCAGATGGTAAATAATCTTTGTATCAAGTTGAATTCTTTGTCCTTCATGGCCTCGCTTAAAGCATCTGCCAAGTCTTATACAATATGACTCTACCAACTTTATCACTACCCTTAACCATCACTTCTGCTGGAAACTTAGGGTGATCACCTTTTCCTAGAATAGCCAACTCATAAGCCAGATAGCAACCTATAAGATGGCATGGAAAAAAAATCAGAATTTTATTCTCTAGAATTTTAAACAGAAAACTATCAAAAGAATGAACTGATTTTCAGTACAACTAAGACAGTCACAAGGTAGCATGTAGGCATTGAAGATAACATGTAAAGCCAACTCCATGGCGAGCAAAAACCATGAATAAGCTAGAGCTGTGAGGCAGAACAGAGGTGAACACAAGACAGGTGACGTGGAGAAAAGCAAAGTGGCAGAGCACTGAAATGAAGCTATGGATGCCTCTCCAGTTTGGTTTCCGCTCTTCTTGAAAACCAATTGTTTGCCTTTAACAAAAATATAAACAAAATGACAACCTTGTGCGTCATGACAATGAGTCGCTATTTAACCAGAGGTCACAGTGAGCTATTCATGGGATTTAAAGAAGACAGCAACGTAAGCAATTTTAGATAGTATATTGGGAAAGTAGTAAGACCATTCTGAAGTTGCCCTTTGAGCCATTCCACTGAGGCCTAACCAAATTTCAAACAAGAAGGAAGCAATAATTCTTTTGTTTACCTTGTTACTTGAAGGGGAATAACTTTCTACTTAAAATATTATGCTAGCCATGTGGAAGATAGATTATGTGTGCTAGAATATTAGTAATTTCTTTCCTTTTCAGAGCCAATTATGCACGTTTCAGTTACTTAAGGGAAAGTCTGTATAATTCAACATTAATAAAGACCGTTCTATACATTTCCAACAGTAGGAGGAACTTAAAAGAATTGTTTTGCCCATGGCAAAGAATGCCATGCATTAAATTCAAGTTAATAAAAAATTTGTATAGTTCCCAATATTAGTAAGGATTACTTTTGGATGGCGAGATCATGGTTCATGTTTTATAATAAATATATATCACTATTATAATGCAAAGAAAACAAACTTAGAGAATAATTGAAGACTTGTTTGTTTCCTTTCTATTTAACAAAACAGATTTTAAGTCCTAGTGGTCTAGTTAAATCTATATGAGGTTAGGAAAAAAGTTATATAAAGTGTCAACTACTGTTTTTCACATTGTACAAAAACATTGATTTGACTTCAAAGAAGACAGAATGATTATAAGAAATAGACTAATCTCAAAGGATCTAGGCTCTACTCAAAGTCTTGTATCTGTGTCGTATATTAATTGAACCAGTTACTTCATCTCTCTGGTCTACATTTTTAAATCTGTAAAATGTGAATTGGACAAAATAATCTCAAAATCCCAATTACGTGAGTCTCTTAAGCCTTTATGTCACTACTACTTGGTATTACTACAATATTTTCCAAGTTTAACTTGCAAAGCTTGTAAGCCACTTGAAATTATGTAAAACCTCTCAAGTCGTTTAGAACTACCCACAGAAAATATATAAAGCCTAAGAATCAGGACTAATGGCCTGAACATATAATGACATGTTTAACTGTTTTGGTTTCTCTAGGCAGAAGCCTAGAGTATTTCAAAAGGAAAACACAATGATTGAAAATTGAATACACTAAATCAAAAATATTTTCATGACTTTAACTAAATAGAAAAAGTCTGGCCTCAAATATAGCCAATGAAGAGAAGAAATTTTACATTACTATTACCAGATTTTGCATACAGGCCCATACTGCATCATCAGAAGATTACAGATTTGGATTATACATAAGTGGTTGCCTATTTGAAGTTTAAATTTACTTGTAAACCTCTACTTCCTAGAGTTGTAAACACACACTCACCCTCACACACCACACCACCACCAGAACCATACACATATGTATCAAATTCAGGTTTTCTAGTTTTTTACTATAAAATAACAAATACAAATTTGAAAATAGCAAAGTATTCCAAAGCATAAATGATAATAATTAAAAACAAAATCTTGATACAAAAAAGTAGGAAAATGAATACAGATACCAATAGGGTATAGTTTGTTTCTTTTAAAAGTTTACATAAAATTCTATTCTATTTCATTAAAAATTAAAAGTTCTTTTTTTTAGAAGAAACATTGGGCTCAGGAAAATTAAACACCTGTAAGATATTGAAAACATTTAAGTTTGCAAAGTTATAATAAATACAAAGTATAAGATGCCAAAGCAAATTTAGTGTGCATGAACACAACACCAGGAAGAGTCATCCTATTTCCACCAAATACATTCCCTCAATATCTATAGTAAGATATAACCCCCAAGAACGGTAGTAAAAAATATTTTTTCCTAGCATTTTTGGAGGCTGCTGGGCTTGCTGATATTAGCAGGTTGGTCTAGGCTAAAAGGAGGATGTGGGAGAAACCTCATCAAAGTGATGATTCAAAATTCATAAATAAATGAACACACGGGGGAACATTTTAATCACTCCCACAGTAGAGTAAATGAAATAATGGCAGACACCCTTAACGAACTATACAGCCAAGGAAGCCACAAGTAAATACAATATATCCAAGCTTCTTCCAATTTAAAAGTTGTATTAAGAAATGCGTACATAGGCCGGGCGCGGTGGCTCATGCCTGTAATCCCAGCACTTTGGGAGGCCGAGGCGGGCGGATCACGAGGTCAGGAGATCGAGACCATCTTGGTTAACACGGTGAAACCCCGTCTCTACTAAAAATACAAAAAATTAGCCGGGCGCTGTGGCAGGCGCCTGTAGTCCCAGCTACTCGGGAGGCTGAGGCAGGAGAATGGCGTGAACCCGGGAGGCGGAGCTTGCAGTGAGCCGAGATCGCGCCACTGCAGTCCGGCCTGGGCGAAAGAGCGAGACTCCGTCTCAAAAAAAAAAAAAAAAAAAAAAAAAAAGAAAAAGAAAAAAGAAATGAGTACATAGTAAGAGACCTTAAAATGACACTAGTGCAAAATACATTGGAGGATATGGATAACAAAGGAGGACAGCATCTCACTTTTACAAAGATCTTCAGCTCCCATTTTCAACCTTGGGCTACAGTCTTAATTCATACGGCATCCTTCCAGTATCATCTGCCATGCCTGAAATCTGTCATGAGAAATCCATATCTGAAACACGGCAGATTGATCGCATGCTTTTATTGTCTCTTTCACGTCAAAACTCAAGCAATGACAAATGAATACAAATGAGGATAGAGAAAAGAGGAATGAATGAACAATTTCTACAAATTTTTGGAGAACAGAATACATGGTAGAGTCAAGGCAGCTACAGTCTAAGTGCTTACTGAAGGGGGACCTTATGTCGCGCCATAAAAGTCATGAGAAGCACCAGAAGTAGGGGTCACAAAAAAGATGGGGACTGATCTTCATAGAGCGAGATCAACTGCCAGATTTCGGTCTTTACCCCAAGCAATCAAAAGACTACCCCATCCCTCTAACAGAAAAGAGTTTATTTTCTGGCAAATTCAAACCTGAAAAGCTACACTGAAGTATACTAGGCATAGCAGTGAGACTTGGGACTGACAACCTAAGACTAAAATGAGAATGTACATGTTGAACTTGGGGCACCCAGCACCCTTTCCCTGCCTTGCCCCCAGAACACTGGTAGCAGGTGTACATCTTCCATGTAGGAGCGGTTGGCAGTCTTCTCTGGGTGTGTGGGGAGTGGAGTCTAAATACATGTACCTGAAGCAAGCTCTCTGTCTAATCTTGCTAACACAAAATCCACCACCAAAACCTTGCCCACTGGCAGGGTGCCTTCTTTTTTTTTTTTTTTTTTGAGACAGAGTCTCACTCTGTCCCCCAGGCTGGAGTGCAGTGGCACGATCTCGGCTCACTGCAAACTCTGCCTCCCAGGTTGACGCCATTCTCCTGCCTCAGCCTCCCCAGTAGCTGGGACTACAGGCACCTGCTACCACGGCCGGAGAATTTTTTGTATTTTTAGTAGAGACAGGGTTTCACCATGTTACCCAGGATGGTCTCGATCTCCTGACCTCATGATCTGCCCTCCGGCAGGGTACTTTCTATCAGTTTTTAGTGATTCACTCATTAATATGAATGAACACAGAAGAATCTTAACCGTAGAGAAACGCCTCCAACATGAAATGGGCCAACACGAACTGGCTAAATTACCTCAGAAGAAGTAGTGGCACCGCAGCAAGCAGTATACCACCAAAAAAAAAAAAAAAACTGCAAATAATATCCTCACAGTGAGAAAAAATGGCACATCCATGAGAGTAACAGTATGCTATGAAGAAGGGGCAAAAAGATAACTTAAAAAGAGCTCATGGAGCTAACCAATATGATCACCTAAATTAGGATGGGAGTTGGGGGATCAGCAAACTGTTTCTGTAAAAGGCCACGTAGTAAATATTCTAAGTTGCAGGATTTGCCATCTCTCAACTCTGCCATTGTAGCTTGAAGACAACCATAGACAATGCATAAAAGAATGCACATGAATGTTTCTTTATTTACAAAAACTTAATTTTATTTATATTGCTTGACCCAGTGGTATCATTGCTGGATTTGATTGTGCCATAATCTTCTGACATCTGGCCAAAATTTGTAATAAATAAATAAAAGATTGGATCATAAAGCATAGACATTACTCTGTAGGATGGAAAGAGATAAAGAGATGGAAAATAGGAAAGAAAAACCAAAGGATCAATCCAGGAAATCCAAAATTTGTCCAATAGAAGTTTCAGAGAAAGAGAACAAAGAAAAATGTGGAGAGATCATTTTTTGAAACATACAATACATTTGTATAGAACTGAAGGACACGTCTCCATATTTAAAAAGCTCACTGACTGCCCAAAAACTAACGAAAAAAAAAAAAAAGCACGAACCAAAGTATATCTGTAAACAATTTCCGAATACCAGGAGGGAAGAAAGTATCATACAGAGGAAAAAAATAGATCATACACAAAGAAATAAGAATCAGAATATTGTCTGATTCTCTACAGTGACAGTGGTATGGGAAGACAGTAATTCAATGTCTCAAAGATTCTGAGGGAAAATTATTTACCACCCAGAATTATATTACAGCAATCTATCAATCAGTAATACTGGACTAAAAAACTTAGACATGAAATTTTTATTTCACATGCACCCTTTCCTAAAAATCTATTAGTGGAAGGTGCTTCAACAAAATGAGTGGTAAACTAAGAAAATAAATACATGGAATCCAGGAAATAGGGATCCTGTTCTGGAAAATGGTGAAGTACTAGGTACATAGCTAGAATTGGATATTGGAGCCAAGAAATGGAGTGCTGCAGGCAAATAGGATTATCTGAAATGCCTGAGTGTTTGGAAAGCTTCGGCATTTGACATATATATATATATAATATATATATATACACACACACACATATATACATATATACATTTTTTTTTTTTTTTTAGATGGAGCCTCGCTCTGTAGCCAGGCTGGAGTGCCGTGGTGCAATCTTAGCTCACTGCAACCTCTGCCTCCCGAGTTCAAGCGATTCTCCTGCCTCAGCATCCTGAGTAGCTGGGACTACAGGCGCCTGCCACCACGCCCAGATAATTGTTGTATTTTTAGTAGAGATGGGATTTCACCATGTTGGCCAGGATGGTCTCAATCTCTTGACCTGGTGATCTGCTCACCTTGGCCTCCCAAAGTGGGCTGGGATTACAGGTTTGAACTACTGTGCCCAGTCCTTGACATATATTTTTAAATGTTGGGACAAACAACAAGCCCTAGATACAGACAAAAAAGCAAATGTAAAAGAGGTAGAGAGAGAAAGAAAATAGGAACAATCCTTAAACTGCAAGAAAAGCAAAACGCTGAATGAGAATGGCAACACAGTCTAGTACACCACTTAATTCATCAGTGTCTTTGTTTACACAGTGATTGTGAGTCATATCGCCTATTTATTTAATACTGTAATAATAACATATTAACATGGGAAGCAGGGAGAGTAAATGATACTGAATCCTCAGTTAAAATAGCAAGAAATTAAAATATCAACAAAATTCAAAAATATTATAAGAATTAAACAGTAGCTAAAATAAAATGATTGCACCTAAAAAGAGTAATTGGTAAGAAATTGAGAGGGAAGAGCAAGGATGAATGTTTTTAATACAGGCCTTTTCTCCTATTTGCTTTTTAAGCTACAGTATGTGCATAAAATGCAGTTCTCTGTGCTTCCTTAATACTTTCCATTTCTCAGACTCACCTATTAAATTTCAAGAATCCTGAGAAAGCTAATACTATAAGCCATTATCAGCTAATACCATAGGATTCATTTGTTGATAAGTGGAAAAATGTCCAAAAAGAACTGGGTCACCACAGGCACCTGGAGACAAAGTGGAAATGAAAGAAAATCAGTAAGGAAGAGGTAAGGAGGTGCTGGGGGGAAATTGAATTGCAGGACACTCAGTTGATGTCCAGAGAGTTGGAGAATTGGTTGGTATGGAAAAACTCCACACCCTGGTGTCAGAAGTGTGGAGTATATAAAAAAACAATTTTCTTTTCCTTTTTAATGGTGGCCAATGAAAACCCAAAAGGAGATTACATCTAAGGTGACAGGATTATGTGAGTTGCTCCCTACTTGCTCTCCAACGTCAACAACTCAGAAAGGGATTTTTCTGGCCACAGTATCAAATGGTCATTGCCCTCATCCTTGTTAGTCTTCTTCACAGCACTTATTACTAGTTGACATTGCAGTGTGTAGCTATTTTTATTTTTTACCATCTCATCAACAAGAATGCAAGAAGTCCTCCAGTGGAAGGCACTTTGTCTTATTCACTACTGTATCCCCAGCACGAAGAACAGTGTAAGAGTTTAATAAATACTCATTGAATAAACAAGTTAATTTTATTTTTATTAAGGATCTGTGGCATTTGCTACCCGGGACTAAGTAAATTTTTGCTCGAGTTACAATATTGGCACATGGGGGCTCTGCTGTTAGTTGCAAGAGTATCCTAAGCATTCCCCAACATTCTTAAGGGAACTGTTCAACTGGGAATGGCCACAGCTACAGCTACCAAGTACTAACAGTATAAGGAAGGATCCTCTGGTTTGACATATAGGCTGATATATTTTAGAGTAATATAAGGACCCACAGACTCCTGTTCTCTGCTACTTCATTGCAAACTATGCAGGGATTCTCATTTGTCAGAAGTTTAATATCTTTCAGATCTGGGCCCTAAAATAAAAACGTTTTTAAATCAGACATTGTTTCAGAAACAAAAATAAAACCAACCTATGGCATAGCTGTTTCTTTATCAAAATCAAGATTGTCTATTATCTTTCTCCTCCTGGTGACTGGGGAATTTAATTCCTAATGCTGATATAATTGCCAGGAAGTCGAATTTTAAAACACACCAGTGTATCCAGTTGAAACTATTATATACAGTGCTTTAAAAATACAATATGAAATTTTCTTCAAAAACTCTTGTCACATCAGAATACATGTGAAGTGGATATAGCAAAATGTTATGATACCATTTAAAGAACACTGACTGACTTTACATTCAAAGCACAGTCATAGATGCAAAGTAAAACATCAAATATTAAGGTATAAATTTGGTTAAGAGGTTTTTATAGTCCCTCTAAAAGTCTTTTCTCCACTGTGAGAAAATACAGGAAATTTAGGAATATATATAAAACTAGACGTTTTACAATGTGACTCTGGTGCCACATGTTTCTTGATGGAATTTGTTCTGAAAGAAAAGCTAGAAAACTGATTTCTCTCAGCTTAAGTGACTACAAATGAATTTTGATTGCTATCCTATTAATAAGAATTTTTTGTGCCTCAGTTAGATGAACACTTCAATGGCAATACAAAAATTAGCAGATTTATTTAGCAAGTACCAACAACAAATAATTGCTGTTGCTAAGGGTAAAAAGGCAATTGTGATGGGATGTGAAGAACAGAAATCCTGGTGATATGAATGTTAACCAATAAAGTTCTCAAACTTGCCATTTAGCGCATTCCTGAATTCTCTGATGGCATAAATACCACAAAGTAGAAGTACAACTTTACTCTAAGCTCTAAGTCCTGTATTACTCAAAAGTTCTTCAAATCTTAAACTGCTACCAAGAATGAATAGATGCCCCAAATATCCACTTTGGGGCTGGATATTCTGCTCAAATTAATGAATAGACTCTTGTTAAACATATATGCCATGAAAACTGACTATGTGCAAGTTAAAGCCTACAATGGGAAAACCACCAAATGCAGAACATGGAAAAAGCTAAAGTCCAAATGACGTGGCATCCAACACATCAATGGCATTACAAAATGAAAGAGACTTCAAATACATCAAAAACAAATGCAATGTGTGGGCTTTTTCTAAGATCTTGATACGAACAAACCTACTTGAAGAACTTGTTAATTTTATTAGGTATAATAATGCTAGATGGTTAAATTAAAAGGCTGTTAGGAATGCATCCTGAAATGTGCATGTGTGTAGATAGATAAATAGAGAGAGAGAGAGAGGTTATAAAGACATATGTTGGCTGGGTGCGGTGGCTCATGCCTGTAATCCCAGCACTTTGGGAGGCTGAGGCGGGCAGATCACAAGGTCAGGAGATTGAGACCATCCTGGCTAACACGGTGAAACCCTGTCTCTACTAAAAATACAAAAAATTAGCCGGGCGTGGTGGCAGGCACCTGTAGTCCCAGCTACCTGGGAGGCTGAGGCCCAAGAATCACTTCAACCCGGGAGGCAGAGGTTGCTGTGAGCCGGGATCGTGCCACTGAACTCCAGCCTGGGTGACAGAGCGAGACTCTGTCTTAAAAAAAAAAAAAAAAAAAAAGACATATGTTGAAGATTTGCTTTTAAAATACTCCAGAAAGAAAAAAATATTGCACTTATGTGGGAAGAGGTGTGAGTATCGACGAAATAAAATTAGCAAAATAGTAATAATTTTTGGAGTTGATATTTATTATACTAGCCTCTCAACTTTTGCGTATGCTTTACCTTTCCTACTGAAAGGAAGAAAAAAAAGTATTTCCTTGAAGTCATATAGTCTTTTCAGCCTTCATAAGTCTGCCACTGAAGTTTATAGTGTTGGCTAGATTTCTGTATTCCCATATTTACCTTAGGACTACCTTTGCAGGAAGTGACAGTGAGGAATGCAATAAAACCTGAGAATATGGATTGACGCTGCTGCATAAATGTATCTTCAGGTGAATGGGAGGGAGACATGTTGGATAACCTTGCAATGTCTCATTCATTAAATTTGTCTTTTCCCAGAAAGACACTGAGAGACCATTTTAATGGTCAGACCTGGAATATTCTTTATTCATTTATCTAAGTCAGAGATATTCACTCATAACCATATGTGACCAGACAGGGTTTTTAATGGAGCCCTTAAAGCAAGCAGATGGAAATCAAGGATATTTCAGGGAAGTGTTAATGCTCTGATGAAGATCTGGATATAATTACAAATGTAGACATGCATATGAGTATTCTAACTAGAAATGAAGAAAATTATTTTCACAGCTGTAGGAAACTCTATATTGGCATTCTGACAACCCTGATATATTGTTGGGTCACAAACATTAAACTCTTTACAAAAGCTAAATCAAATGCGTCTATTGGTGAAAGTACTTTATAAGCGAATACACAGAATATCAATGGTGTATTCTGTATAATAAATGGTTGTGGTATTAAAATTAGTAGAAAAGAAATACTGAGGAATGTTTCCTATAATATTAGTAAATTCTGGCATGTCCTTGGTCATGTTCATGACCCTTGATAACCCTTAATATATGCTCATGGCCACAGAACCTATACAGAATCAAGGGAAAATTAATTTTGTCATAGATACTCTGATTGCAGAAATATCTGTAACACTTTATAAATATTGTACAATGTACTTACTCATAAATCATGAAAATGGTTCCTAAGTAAAAATCCTTAAAAGTTTATAAGTCAGGTTTTATAAGTCCCATTTTGCAGATGAGCAAACTGAGACCCAAAGAAGTTTGCACAGAATCAGTTCCAAATTCCAAATGTCAACTGACATATGCAATAAACAGTACATGTGTTGAGTCCAAATGTTTCCTTACCTAGTCTTTATGCAATCTCGCATTTAGATTTTCATCAAATCTTTTGGCTCTACTGCCCTCCAAGGCCATATGCAAAGATGTTGCCTCTGTCTAGTTCATTTGAATGGAAATCCATTTGCTATTGTTTGGGGGCTAATTTTGCAAATCATTTCATAACTTTCTGTTCAAAAACTACCTTTAAAATATTTAAAAATATATCATGGTGCTTTGAGGCTTAAGATTAAGAAATATTTTCAAGAACTAAAGTCTCATAAAAATGAAGGAAAGCAAGAGCCAAATCCAGATTTAATCCAAATGTGTTAAACTCTTGGTCTTGCTCACAAAATGTGACCCACGAAAACAGTTATGGCTTCACCATCCCTAGGGTTGCTTAGCCAATAAAAATGAACCATCTTTACTTTCCCTCTTTATTTCATACCTCCACTTCTATTTCCTTAGAAAAGTTCTGTTGATTTTATTGTAAATATATCCCGAATCTAACCAATGCTCACCACTTCCACTGCTAACACCCTGGCCCAAACACCATCATCTATCTCCTGGATTGATATGGTGGCCTCGTTACTGTGTCCCCTGCTAAGAGTGATCATCTCAGTCAGTCTGTGCTTCTATAAACAAAAATACTATATCCTGGGTGGTTTAAACAGTAAGCATTTATTTCTCACAGTTCTAATGGCTGGGAAGTCCAAAATGAAGGTAACAGAAGACCTGATGTCAAAGACAGCCTGATTTCTGGCTTCTTAATAGCTGCCTTCTCTTGTAGCAGAGAGAGAGAAGAAGCAAGCTCTCTCATTTCTGTCTCTTTTTATCCTTATAATCCCACTGATCTGTCATGAGGGCTCCAATACCATGACCTAATTACCTCACAAATGCTCTATCTCCAAATACCATCACATTGGGAATTGGGGTTTCAATATATGGCTTTTGGGGACGGTAAATGAGAACATCCGATCCACAGCAGTGATCCTTTTAATAGGTTATTTGATCACATACTAACTCTGCACAAAAATCTCCAGTTAGCTCCCCGTTTTCTCCATAATAAAGCCAGTATTCTTAGAATGTCATCCAAAGCCCTCCATGACCTCCATCTCCAATTATTCTATCACTTGGTCTCTCCATTCTAGACTCATTGGCCTCCTTGTTGTTCATGGAACACATGATCTGCTTCCACATTAGGCCTTTGCACTGGCCACTCCCCATATATACATTTAAGTCTCACAAGCTCATATCCTTCAAGGTTTGCTCAGGCCAGTTTCTTAATGGCCCTAACCATCCTATTTAAAACTCAGCCCACCTCATACCTTGCACTCCCAATCTTCCTTATATTTTTCTTTTTTTTCATAGTACATATGACCTACTAATATACTGTATATGTTTATTTTTAATTGTCTGTCTTATCCCTTTAGAATGTAATCTTCACAAGGGTACAGGCCTTTATTTTGCACACAGATGTATTCCCAGTGTCTGGAACAGTGTTTAGCACACAATGGTTATTCAAATTAAATATTTGTAAAATAAATAAAATATCTGAAGTCAACAACTGTTAAGATATCAGTCCATTCTCTTTCAGTTATGAATTTCTAAGTTTATATCTGGCAACTCAGTTTCATATTGGACTAAAATTTGGCAGTATTGCCAAACTGAGATTTGATTTATTTACCCAATTTAAACAAAATATGTTTAGCTATTTGAAGTCCTATAAGCACAATAAAATAAAAAGTCTTTAGATACATGACACTATTTTTATAATTGTATAAATCATTAAGGCCCTGGATGCATTGGGGATATTTAACTCGTCAGGTAGTTTACGGTTTGTTCTGTATGCGATATTAAGTGCAAAAGAAGTTGCTAGTTTCTAAATACATAATGCAATATAATTTTGCTTCTGCTGAAAGGCAAATCAGAAATAATCAGCTCGCTATAGTCGACAAGTAAAAGGAGAAAAAACTTTTAAAAAGTATACAGGCAAATTACTAAAATCTTTTAGAACACAGTCTTTTCTTTTTCTCTTGAGGGACTACTCTATGTCTTTGCAGTAACTTCTGCAGCCTCAAGTATTCAGTGTGGCTTAGAATCACATTATTTTGTTTTGGATTTCTCAACTAGCCTCATGGATAATCTTCCCTCTTCAAACAATTTATTATCCTGAACCAGATCAGACCTGGTTGTGATGCCGACTTAAGGGGTCGTGCCAAAGTAGGGGCCATACACAGTTCCTGGAGGCTGACTCAGTCCAAGAGTGGCTACTGATTACTGTTGAGAAAGAGATTGATGGTCAGTATTTTTTTCCTTAATATTATTTCATTATGAACATTTTTCCTTGTCAATCAATACATTGCTACCAAAGCAATTTTTGTTGTAGCACATCATTCCTGTCATATAGTTTTGTTTTATTTTTATTTTATTTTTTATTTTTGTGGGTACATAGTAAGTGTGCATGTTTATGGGGTACATGAGATGTTTTGATATAGGCATGCAATGTGTAATAATCACATAAGGGTAAGTGTGGTATCCATGCCCTTAAGCATTTACGCTTTGTATAAAAAACAATCCAATTATACTTTTAGTTATTTTTAAATGCACAATTAATTCATTATTGACTATAGTCACCCCATTGTGCTAGCCAATACTAGGTCTTATTTACTCACTCTAATATTTTATACCCTCAGTTGTTAGTATTAAGACTAAATAAATATTAATCATAAGATCCAAAGGGTAGGTGTAAAGTCAGAACTATGCAGTAAGATAAGATCAGGAACCAAGATAAAAGAAAAATGTCTGAAAACTAAGAGCAATGTGTGTAACACAGCAGAGAATAATATTCACCGTAAATAATTCAAGAAGATTTATCCCAGGAAAAGCAAAGTGAGAGCCCACATTCTCAGTGGGTTCCTCTGTTCTTCTGTCAATGGGAAGTAAAGTATGATGAGCAAGAAGCACAAAGTTAATGGGTCCTCCAGCCTCCTGGAGTGGCTCTCTGCAGCTCTTGGGCAAAACAGATGTCTCAATGACTACGTGGGAGAGTGAGGGGAAAACTCAGAGCCTTTCAAGCAACAGAGGTGTGAGAGAGAAGTTATCAATATAATTCTCATTAGTCTGTTTTTGAGAGATACAAGTTGTCAAGCCCATTTGGGATATTAAATGATAAGGGTTCAGTATTACCCTTCTGTGCTGTGCAAAGGAGAATAGTCAAAAGCATATTTACTGTTCTCATGAAATTTGTAGTTTAACTATGAAGACAAGATATCTGTGAAAAGTAAAGATCACTTTCTGATCAACTAAGTTTTCTCACTTTCTAGTTTTTGTCTTTGTATATACCTCCTTTAAGAATACTTTCTCCAAAATTGTTTCCAGTCTCACTGACTGAGGAAATTTTCAGGACTCAATCCCATGTACAAATGTTGAACATTACATAATCAGTTATACTATATCCATTGTACTTGTGACTGATATAAAAACATATTTTTTTCAATAGCTATTTATTGCATGTCTGCAATGTGCCAAGTGCTGTTGTAGATATTAGGAAAAATGAAGTAGACAAAACATTGTCTTTGTCCTTGTGGAACTTACATCTCAGTATTATAAGTGTGCAAACCCTCTCTTCCTACTAGGAGAAAATATTATTTTTAATCATTCCTTCACAGTGAGTTTCTTAAACTTATTTCATCAGAGACTATTGAAAAGCACACACTCTTCCATCCCCCTAGAATGAGAATCCTGGGGGAGGGATTGGGCAGTCTATCTTTTTAAGAAACTCACTGGATGTTTCATGTGCATTCACAGCTTAGGTAACTCTGGGGGAAAGCACTGCCCTATTAAGAACATACTGCCCAAGGAATTGGTAATATCCATTGTACTATATCTGTAGGACCCCTTTTGATTGTCATTACTAGCCTTTATCAAACATCTCATCCTTGGAGAATGTGAAAGCTCTCCACGGTTTTCCACAGACAGTTCACCTAACAAAAAACAACAAGGCAAACTTTTTCAAGAATACCATTATTTTTAAATAAAATGCCTCTACATGGCAGATGTTATTATGTTCTACTTTGGAGATGAAAAGAATCGAACATTATTAGTCATGATCCACAGAACCAGAAGATTTATTTTAAAGATAAAGTTCAGATGATGAACATAAAGGAAGTTATCTCATCAAAGAAGGCAAGACTGAGTAAATCTCAGAAATCCACCATGTACAATATTTAAAAATGCTCACTAAAGTTGTTCTTTGTGAGTTAATGAAGGTCAGTATAGTCAATATTCAGTACGTAATCCTAGCAAGTACAAATAAAGTTAATATTATTCAAATATCTTACACAGGCTTATTGCATGCAACACACTGTTCTAAGTAACATACAGATATTAAAATGACTTAATTCTCAAAACATGAAGTGAGTTTTTGTTTTTATGCCCGTTTTGCAGATGAGAAAACTGAGGCATAGGGAAGGTAAGTAACGCGCTTAAGGTTACATAGCTGGTAAATTGTAGCCAGGAGTTGGAATCTAGGTGCCAAAATCTATGCTGTTAATCACTAAACTACGCTGCCTTAGTTTTTATACTTCTTTAGGAACCTCAGACCAAAAGAAATTTAGGCAATTCTAATAGAACAAGCAAGAATTTGCTAATCACAGCTTCCTTGCCCCAATCCTTTAATCGGCTTCATTTTCACTGACTTCTTTTTTAAATGAAGATAACAATGTTGTTGAACAGGATCATCTAGTGGTTAGTGGTTCGGCATAAGAATGACTCGCTTCTGAAGCTCAGCTCTAGCACTCGCTTGCTGTATGACCTTGAGAAAGTTACCTCCCCAAGTCTGTTTCCTCATCTTTAAAAGAGAGGTTATAATAGGACCCACATCATACTATTGTTTAAAGAGAAAACAACGTAGCCCATTTAAAGCACTTAGAAAGTGCTCCATAAATATTATTAGTGTAATAAATAGCAGCAACATCAATAAAGTATGAACCAAATGATCTCTTGATTCGTATCCTAACACTAAAAATGGTTTATTTCCCTTCTAATTAAAAGAGAATTACAACAACCAAAACAACAAACGAAACTATAGCCATAAAATCAATTATATCGTCTGTGAGAAAACCGGAAAGGCTATTGGACACATTAATTCACTTGTCATCAGTCATCCCCTCTATTCCAAAATGTTTGTGTTCTAACATCCTGAGACACCTTGCATAATATAATCACTGTGACTCCAAGAGGTCAAATGGGCAGGCAGTTAATGCTTCTCTGTGAAAAGCTCAATAATTCATTTTATAAATTTCAGTTTAAAGCCTGCGTTGAGGTTAAGAAAAATTGACGTTCGGTCTGTGAACTTAATGTCAAGCTCCAGAAAAACTCTGGGCAGCACATGTTTAGCAATTAAGTGGACACAGACAATAAAGACGTTGCCAAATTGTAAAACAAGACTTGGAAATCACAGAAAATGTTGCTAGTTATTGATCACGGTGACCATTCAGTTCCTACTGAGCCACCCAAAAGAATCATTCATTTTCCAGCAGAGAGCCTGCTCATTTGCAAGATAAAAGAGAGACATTTCTGCACATGCCCATAATGTTCTTCACCACTGGGGGCAGCTTTACATAAGACTGCATTCACTGAAACCAAAGCAACAGTCCGAGCAGCTTTCAGAATGACAGTCTGCAGAAGTGAGCTGAGCGTGTGCGCGGTACGGGGCTCTCCTGCCTTCTGGGCTCCAACGCAGCTCTGTGGCTGAACTGGGTGCTCATCACGGGAACTGCTGGGGTATGGAATACAGATGTGGCAGCTCAGGTAGCCCCAAATTGCCTGGAAGAATACATCATGTTTTTCGATAAGAAGAAATTGTAGGATCCAGTTTTTTTTTTAACCGCCCCCTCCCCACCCCCCAAAAAACTGTAAAGATGCAAAAACGTAATATCCATGAAGATCCTATTACCTAGGAAGATTTTGATGTTTTGCTGCGAATGCGGTGTTGGGATTTATTTGTTCTTGGAGTGTTCTGCGTGGCTGGCAAAGAATAATGTTCCAAAATCGGTCCATCTCCCAAGGGGTCCAATTTTTCTTCCTGGGTGTCAGCGAGCCCTGACTCACTACAGTGCAGCTGACAGGGGCTGTCATGCAACTGGCCCCTAAGCCAAAGCAAAAGACCTAAGGACGACCTTTGAACAATACAAAGGATGGGTATGTTTTGTCATTTTTCTTCTTTCCTTCTTAAAAACAAAAAACAAAAAACCTCTAGTGTGTGTAATAATTCTGCCTTAATTATTTTAGAGATTACCTTGCTCTGCTCTAAGACTATGAATTTATTTGCTTAGTGGCATGTTTCCTTGTTTAACTATTTAAAAAAACAAAACACTAAAGACAATTCTCTTTAATTACAAAGAGATAATATGTGATGTTAAGTGTTATTTAGATTTAAATTTTTAAAAATGAAAAATATATGCCTATTTTTGCTTGATTAAGGATTAATTCTTTTTTGGGGGGATAACTTTTCTAAGTTGTTTTTATTTCCAGGTTTCAATGTAATTAGGCTACTGAGCGGATCAGCTGTAGCACTGGTTATAGCCCCCACTGTCTTACTGACAATGCTTTCTTCTGCCGAACGAGGATGCCCTAAGGGCTGTAGGTGTGAAGGCAAAATGGTATATTGTGAATCTCAGAAATTACAGGAGATACCCTCAAGTATATCTGCTGGTTGCTTAGGTTTGTCCCTTCGCTATAACAGCCTTCAAAAACTTAAGTATAATCAATTTAAAGGGCTCAACCAGCTCACCTGGCTATACCTTGACCATAACCATATCAGCAATATTGACGAAAATGCTTTTAATGGAATACGCAGACTCAAAGAGCTGATTCTTAGTTCCAATAGAATCTCCTATTTTCTTAACAATACCTTCAGACCTGTGACAAATTTACGGAACTTGGATCTGTCCTATAATCAGCTGCATTCTCTGGGATCTGAACAGTTTCGGGGCTTGCGGAAGCTGCTGAGTTTACATTTACGGTCTAACTCCCTGAGAACCATCCCTGTGCGAATATTCCAAGACTGCCGCAACCTGGAACTTTTGGACCTGGGATATAACCGGATCCGAAGTTTAGCCAGGAATGTCTTTGCTGGCATGATCAGACTCAAAGAACTTCACCTGGAGCACAATCAATTTTCCAAGCTCAACCTGGCCCTTTTTCCAAGGTTGGTCAGCCTTCAGAACCTTTACTTGCAGTGGAATAAAATCAGTGTCATAGGACAGACCATGTCCTGGACCTGGAGCTCCTTACAAAGGCTTGATTTATCAGGCAATGAGATCGAAGCTTTCAGTGGACCCAGTGTTTTCCAGTGTGTCCCGAATCTGCAGCGCCTCAACCTGGATTCCAACAAGCTCACATTTATTGGTCAAGAGATTTTGGATTCTTGGATATCCCTCAATGACATCAGTCTTGCTGGGAATATATGGGAATGCAGCAGAAATATTTGCTCCCTTGTAAACTGGCTGAAAAGTTTTAAAGGTCTAAGGGAGAATACAATTATCTGTGCCAGTCCCAAAGAGCTGCAAGGAGTAAATGTGATCGATGCAGTGAAGAACTACAGCATCTGTGGCAAAAGTACTACAGAGAGGTTTGATCTGGCCAGGGCTCTCCCAAAGCCGACGTTTAAGCCCAAGCTCCCCAGGCCGAAGCATGAGAGCAAACCCCCTTTGCCCCCGACGGTGGGAGCCACAGAGCCCGGCCCAGAGACCGATGCTGACGCCGAGCACATCTCTTTCCATAAAATCATCGCGGGCAGCGTGGCGCTTTTCCTGTCCGTGCTCGTCATCCTGCTGGTTATCTACGTGTCATGGAAGCGGTACCCTGCGAGCATGAAGCAGCTGCAGCAGCGCTCCCTCATGCGAAGGCACAGGAAAAAGAAAAGACAGTCCCTAAAGCAAATGACTCCCAGCACCCAGGAATTTTATGTAGATTATAAACCCACCAACACGGAGACCAGCGAGATGCTGCTGAATGGGACGGGACCCTGCACCTATAACAAATCGGGCTCCAGGGAGTGTGAGGTATGAACCATTGTGATAAAAAGAGCTCTTAAAAGCTGGGAAATAAGTGGTGCTTTATTGAACTCTGGTGACTATCAAGGGAACGCGATGCCCCCCCTCCCCTTCCCTCTCCCTCTCACTTTGCTGGCAAGATCCTTCCTTGTCCGTTTTAGTGCATTCATAATACTGGTCATTTTCCTCTCATACATAATCAACCCATTGAAATTTAAATACCACAATCAATGTGAAGCTTGAACTCCGGTTTAATATAATACCTATTGTATAAGACCCTTTACTGATTCCATTAATGTCGCATTTGTTTTAAGATAAAACTTCTTTCATAAGTAATCCCCCACATTCGCTGTTAGCCTCCTGGTGGGACCAAATCTACAGTTATAGAAGGTTTGCACCTCACTGGCAAATCAAGGAAAGAGGTGAATGATTCCAGGTGCTCGGAGCTTGAGCTGATTCTTGGAGATGACTCAGTTATGGGAACATTTTACAGACAGGCAGAGCCTTTAAACCAATGCCTGACTTAGAAAAGAAAATTGCAGGAAACTATCAAAAGATGGTGCTAGGTTAAAGCAGCACCCTGAGCAGTTTCCAGAGGTGTCTGAATTACAGTAAGGCAAGCACAGGGACAAAGTGATGAAGGGTTAAAATACTGCAAGCAGACAACTGCAAAATGTGAGGAGATGACAAAAATGTAAAGTTTTCGACTCAGCCTTGTCTCTGAAACCCATCTCTGTAAAATCAGACTAGAGGTTTCACTGCCAATTTCTTCTAGCCTGTATGTTTCATAAATAAATAAATGAAACAGCATTGAGAAGCCAGATTTCTCCACCACACCTCACATTAGTTAGGGAGTTTTCAGATAAGGTTCGCGAATGGGAAAGCAGCTTGCTACAGGCATGTGGTTGAGAGCTTACCAGAATTTCTCTTTCCAGTTTTTTCGAAGACCCTAATGTAGTTAGTAGAATCCTTAGCTCTGTCCTGTTCTGTTCAGAATTTGTCAGGCTGCCCTGTTGTGTTCCATTACATGTCCTGCACACACCAGTCCCCTAATGACAGACACTTCATTCAGATGTGTAAAGAGAACACATTCCAAGACGTGCCTTCCACCCACAGCCTCATTGAAAAGGACGACTTTGATAACACCTTAATAAATGTATAAAACGAATCTTAGAGGAAAAAAGACCAACACTATGACAGTTCTCTGTTGCTTTTCTATTGCTGACATTACAATGTCCCTGCGTTCATCTGTATTGTGAACTCATCCATCAGTACAGTTCTGTACAGACCCTGTTGGCAATCTGCAAGCTGCATGCATGTTTTTATGTCATTGGTGAAAGTTTATTGACTGCAGCACGAATATCATAGCTTCCATATTTGAGTAACTTGAACCACAGTCAATTAAGGTTTTTAGAAAGATATATTTAGTCTGTATTCTCCTTCATCCTCCAAAATGAACAGTTCTATTATAGAAGCAAATATCAGGAACTGCAACATTGAGGCTGTTTCATTTAATTTGGCTTGCCAACCCCTACATCTTTAACCATGTCCCTCTTCTCTGAAAACAGAATCACTGCAGCAACAAAGAAAAAGTGAATGGCTATTTTTACTAATTTTTTTTTATTGTTTGGGGGTTTTTCATATGCTGAGAGGAAAAATCTAGGCAAGTCACCATAAAATAAAATTTTAAGGATGCCAGATCATTAAAATCATACTTTTATAAGCAATAAAGAAAAAGAAATAGTTAAAGTGGATTTCTCAAGGTACTTTGATATTGATTAAATCTTACAATAGATGCCACTTCAGAAAAACATCTTAGTTACAATGTTTACCCATGAATAATTGTTGAATATACATGTATTCATGACAAAAAGTCACATATTTCCAATGGATTAATAATGCAGATACTTCCTCACAGCTTACTGGATGACTGAGCTTATTGTGATTTTTTTACTGAAGTTGTAACTTTACATTTTTCATAAAGCATCAGTAAATACATATTCCATCTTAAAAAGAAATTTTCTTTGGCTAGCCTCATTTTTATCTGTACTAAAGATGTTTGTATTAATGAAATGCAGTCTTAAAGTGAAGAACCCCATTTCTATTCTTTTTCACTTAACCTTCTGCCTTACTTGTGATGGATACCAAATATATTTAGGCAAGGAATACTTATATTTTTGAATTATTGCAAATTCTCAATGCCATGGTGCTACTAGTATATATAAAATATGCTTGCTGTATTGAAAAGCATTCCTAAAATTCAAAGCTACTTGGAATATAAAATATGATATAACACTAAATGAATCACCAATATTTTGAAAGCTGTCACTTTTTAATGCCTAACTTTACTAATAAACATAATAATAGATAAGAACGAAAATAAAATCCCTTAGGTGGTAAAACTCATTTTGATTTGGGACATGAAATTATGGGAAAAAAGTTCTTTCTTTCTCCTCACTCTTTGAGAATGAATCTTCTGTAATTCTCAGTATCTTCTGAGCACAGATATATAATTCTTGTAGATTTAATAACTAGTTTACCACTGTAAATTTTAAAACGCCAACTGCCAGTCTCCTGCTCAAAAGTTGTTGCCTCACCTCCATCCCATGGTACTTTCTGGACTACATATCATAAATCTATTTGTATAAGTATTTCAAGTTCATGCAGATTAGAGAAATGTGATTGATATTTATTTTTCTAGTACGTATTTACATAAAATATTGGACTTCCCTCAAAGGTGACAACAGTTAAAAAAAAAAAAAAAAAAAGCCTGACCTGTTGAACTATACAACAGAACACAGAATACTTTGCTTTACCAAAACAGAGAAGAAATGGGATTTAGTCTCTAAACTTCATGTGAGTTTTTTTCCATTTTTATTAACCCCAGTACACATAGTGCTACCACAGCATGTAGTTAAATAGTCCCAGTGCCACAGTCTTGTAAGCAATACTTATGCAAGATATATTGCATTGAAATGAGTTTGTATTTTCCAAGGACGTTGACATTACATCTTTTCAAAGAATTTAAACAATTTTTTACTTGATTTGGTGAGTGAACTACCTAAGTAGACAGGCAGTAAATTGTCTTTCTATGGAGCAGCAGTGACCTCTAGTGTCTGGTTAGACTAACCACAGCTATTCACACATTTTAGCTTTTTATCCTGAATCCTTATGTAAACGTGGTTTACAACATGTTTTTTGACTAGTAAATCAGATTTGAATTTTATTTAATTCATTTCCTTGGGAAATATAATTATAATGTAATTTTTGAATGTTATACTTTTCATTTTGACTTTTATAGTAATGCTGGAACAGAGGCCATAGAATTGGTACTGAAGGCTAGAAATAAGTGTCCAAGATGAAAAGCGAGTAATAACGCAATAAGAATAGATAAGAAATATTTTAGAGTGCTTATACTCATCGATGCTGGCTAAGCATTTTGATATTTTTATTAAAGGGGTTAATATTTTTCATCAGCAAGATACATGTAATTTAGGTAGGAAAAACAAATTTTAATATTATATCAAAAGAGTCAGCATCAGTCATTTACTGGTCAGGGATATGTCAAAGGTGTCAAAGGAGGGGGGCCTCCCCTTCCGGCTTTAGAACTCTCCAGTTTGCTGATTGTGCCAGTGACCTGTGCTTTGCCTCAGCGCTTTCTCCCTCCCTCCCCCTTTTCAGCCAGCTGAACACTGGTTCTATTAGGCTCTCTGACAATGATGTTACAGTCTAAGAGGTGATGATTCATGGATAATGAAATTATGCTCTCCTTCTGGGGAAGGATAATGCAGAGTCAGATTCATGGATTTGGCAAGAGGTTTTAGGATGCTGTAGGTGCATGAAATATCTCTTCTTCCCTTGACATTTACCAAAATGAGAACTCAAATCGTTTATTTAAAGTGTGGATTAGACTGCATCAGAAACAAGCATCAGGTCATGAAGCCTGAGATAAAGTGAGTTCCAGACATGGCAAGTAAGAATCGAGCCATGAGAAATAAAAAATTCAGAATCTGTGTTGCTTCATCTATTCCTTTTTGCTCTGGATTCTCATTAGAATCCAGATCTGTAGCTAACCCACGGAGTTTTGCTATTGTTGTATTCTCCTAGCTACCTACACTAAAAATCAGAGGCAGTTGGGGGAAACAATGAGCACAACAGAATATATAGGTAAATTTGAATGACACAAGTTTTAAGAGAAATAAAATGGATGGATGTTAAATAGTTTGTATCAAATAGCTCTAATTAAAAATGAATTAAAGAAATAATAATAATACATAGGTGAAAGTCACTGCTTTCCTAATCATAATAGCCTACAGAATTGGACCCAAATTCTTTTAGCCTCCAAAAGTTGGTGATGATTTTGGATACTTAATACTACCAATAAAATCTAAATAACAATAATTTATGATTCTTTTGCATTTGAGGGAAATATCACAGCCAGGCATGGTAGAATACGGGCCTTAGAAATTAAGACCTAAATTCAAGTTCCTTTGACACTTGCTAATCAAGTCATCACAGGTACATTTCCTGGCTTTTCTGAATTTGAAGTTTCTCATATGTAACACAGATGTGTACTATTGACTGCTCATGGTAATTGGGAGGACGAAATGTGAAAAGTACTTTGTAAACTCTAAAATGGCAACTACCTCTTCTTTTCAAAAAGCCCTTAGTGAGATACTGAGTGGGGTTTGTTGTTCTATGTTTGGCATGAGCCAAAAAGAAATCAGTAACCTCCATGTTACAGAACCCCAAGCCCATTTTACATCATTAGAAGTCTAGAACATCGTCTTTGACTTTCTGTTTTCACATAGGCACAGCTTCTTCCACCTCATGTTATCTAAGTCTATGATTTTTATACTGATTATCACAATGTACAACAGACATAAAGACACCGACCAGCGAACACTAAAACAAATAATTATCAAACACATTGAAAATTCTACTTGTATTTCAGATCAGGCAACTATAGCAAGGGCTTTCAATCAGGACGTTTACCTGTCCACTCCCTTTCTAGTATCATTGTGTTCAATCCTTGTTGACTTTACACTGGATCAATATAATGTTTATATGGCAACATGACATCATTATTGAGCAAAAAGTAATTGCATATAACATGTTACTGTAGGATTAGCACGCATTCCAGGTATCAGTCACATGATATCTGCTCTGATGTTTCTCCCCTGGCCACTCCAGTGGAAGACTGTGCCCAAGATCTCCTCTTAGTATAGAAATTACTATTGACTTTATCAATTATAATTATTGAAAAATCACTGGATAAAAAGGGGTATAAATGTACAGGGACTTCCTTTTATATGTCATTGCTTATGCAAAATTACATCATTAATTCATCAAAGAATGACAAAAGGCTTCCTCCGCTGGATGTAGCTGCTCTTACCAATATGAAGTAGCAGGTGTATTTTCAAAATGTTTGTCATTTAAGAAGACACAGACTGTTCCTCTTTGACAGCTGAGTTCCTATGGCATATCTAAAGATCAGAGAGAGGATGATGGTTTTTCAGGTGGGGAAGCAGTTGTGAGTTTTCTGACATTTTAACTTCATAGGGTCATGAATGGACGCTCTTGAGTTAGGGATCCTGAACACGTGAGGAAAATTCCAGGAACACAGAGAGAACAGGAATATCTGGGACATGATATAAGACCAAGCAAGTACAATGTATTTTACAATTATACTTTCTAACAACAGAACTTCTATAAGCAATAATAATCCATTTTATTGAAAAAAAAGAAAAACAGCTTCTATCTTATCCTTTCCAGCAAATGTTGTAATGATAATTAATAACTTTATTAACAATTCTCCATGTTTTCTTTTTATTTTTAAGGGCTCTCACTTCTCCCAATCAGGATTCTCATTTATCCTTTCTCTCACTCTTAAATTGTTCTCCTTATTTGAAAGAGTCTGTAATTCCTATATCACCAAAAAATGTCTTCCTTTATAAACCAACACAATTCAGTCATTTGGCTCAAAAGAGCAGCATTATCTCCAAAAGAAAAGTTACACACTTGCATTAAATATTAGGACATAAAACAAATTTAAAGCTGGCTGACACTTCTCTTTCCTCTACAATCTATAAAACACCTCTACAGTATATTATGATTTGCAATTGAAAAAACAGGATATATAGTTGAATTACAGTCTTACAAAGTATTAAAGCTTACTGTTTTCCTCCTTAATTAGCTAATTCCTAGAAAACAAAGTATAGGACTTTATGTATAGGGGTACTCAACTATATTTCACCAATCAGAAACACTCTTTCCAACAATCAGAATTTTGTCTTCTCAAGGGTAAAATATAGTTTTTTTGGCCTGGCATATAAAATAGTAAGGCAAATACTACATTTAGCAAAGGCAATTTTTGTTGACATTTCATCACATCAATTACATCTATGCAGGGTGGAAAATACATTTTGTCAGTAAGGAGGCAATGACTTCAATTAAATGTAAATCCTTAGTCAGCATTCTTGGTGCTAAAGCTTATTAATGAAGTGGGAGCAGAATGAAAATGTCATCAGACAGTGAAGCTACAGTATCATGAGGCTATGCTACCTTGAGTGGTGTTCATAGCTTCAACTGGGTGGCCCTCATGTAGCTAAAAAAGTGCTCCTTGTCATTAATATTGATCTATGTACTTTCTAAAAGAAAGAATATGCTTACCAACAGAGCCCTCATATTGACTGTCTTCCTATAAGTTTCCCTCATTAATATTTGATGCAGTCAACCAGAATCTCACAAGAGCTTTAAAGGAAACTTGTAGAATGCATCATGTTGATATTGAAAAAGTAGAGTAGCTTTTAAAATTCTGATAAATGTGTGACAAGATTACAACAGTGAAACCTCTCTAAGGTACAACAGTGAAAATAGTTATAACGGTGAAAACTCTAGGAAGTTTACCATAGTGAAAACTCTCCAAGAAGTTTAAAATTCAGCGCTTTGAGATTAGTGTTGGCATGTACTTGTCAATTTATGAAAGGGATTTTGCCTAATGTATTCAAAATTTTAATGTGAAAGGTATAAATACTTGGTTTGTGTACTGGCACCAATAGAGGGTTAGGTAACATCACTGAATTATGATTAAAATGGAATATTTAAAGATCTTTCTAATATGGCAGAGGACATATTACATACGTATTTGTATTTCCACCAAGGTACGTATGTTGTACATGCCTAAAAAAATATATATATATTTTCCTATTAGGTGAATATTTTTCCTATAATGTGAAGATATTTTGGTATAATTGAGTCCTTATTATGTACCAGGAATTTGTATATATTATCTAATGATTTGATAAAAAGTGTTTTATGCGTTTCGTAAACTCAGATAGTTTTCCTTAAAATATAAGAACAGAGCCCTTTATATTGAGTCTGTCTTCCTGTAAGTTTCACTCATTAATCCTATACATTTTCACTTCTTTATAGGACTGCTCTAAAATAATTTATACCCCACCCACAAAAGGCTTCTCAAAGCCAAATCATGCATCTCCAGATCCCTTTAGGAAATAATTTCCGATGATTTACCATTAGAACATCCCTCTGCTAGTTAAAGTCTAATCTGCCAGTATAGTGTTCCTTCCAGCCTGTGGCACCCACTCCAGCCTATCTCATGTCATTCATTAAAAAGCAGTAAGTGTTTAGTCTTTTGGACTTTTACAGGGAGGACTAAGTAATAAAATGTAAAAATCTACATATATTTTTATGGGCTTTACTCTGGTCACTTTTATGGTCTAACACACACAGATGTGTGGAGTCTTTATTAGTTTACACTAAAATGCAAGAGCATTAAGCTAGATATAGACGAAAAGAGAAAGTCAAAGTAGATTTCAAAATAGCCAAAAGCTCACATTATACGTTTCTTAATGTTAAAAAAAAAATCCCAAATGATGGAGATCCTGTAATTCACTTTCTTGAAAGCTAATTTACCCTCCTCTAAGTTTGCCATCACATTCTTAAATTTAAGCTGACATTCCTTCTATTTTCCTATTTCTAATAGGTTTTCCTGGTGTTTTTTTGTTTGTTTGTTTTTTGGTTGTTCTGTTTTGTTTCTCTGTTGTTTTCTGCCTGCAGATCTTAATTCTTTGAGTGCACTGCCTTGCCTGTTTTTCTAGAATTCCCAATCAAATGTTGATCCTGTCAGAAAGTCACAGGGTCAGTTTCATGGTTGGAGTCATCGGACAGATGGACTAGATTGAACTCTACAGCGCAATCTAGTCAACTCTGAGATGTCTGCCTTGTGTCTTCTCAGCATCCCATTTCCATGTATTTTCTCTATTTGGAAGTAGTATCCATATTGAAATTCCTCCATCCAGTGGTGCCCAGAGCTTTCTTGGTTTCTTATGCGTTATCAAATATCTGCTCCCAGAGTGAGAGCAGGATTACTGTCCCTTCCAAGGGCACTCACCTTTAAATAGAGATGAAAGTCTTCAGCTAAAGGTAAGAAAGTTATATATTAAGAGCAGGCATAGCCAGCAGGGTTGGGGAAAGTTCTTCTTAGGCAAAGACCTTTGTAAAGCACTCTGAAATCATCCTCTATAGATTCCTCAGTATTTTTCTCAAACATGAGTTTGGGCCTTTCCAAAGGAGCCAAGGCAGGGTAAATAATCCATGTTTCATTCAATAAACTATATTTGAGAATTTTTTTTTCAGTGAATCGCCATTATACAAAGTCTTTCTCCTTAAATTTTTTTCATGGAGAGACAACTTTGTATACCAGAAAGAACTTGGACTATGGATCCAGTTTGAATTCTGTTTCTGGGATTTTAGTAACTGTGAAACCTTGAGTCTCAACATCGTCATCCTAATAAAAATGTGTAAAACAATGTAGTTATCATGGGATTGTTGCAAGAAGGCAAAGAATCAGCATTTGTTAAATATTTTTCCTGGTACATTTCATATATAATCTAATACTCATAAAGATCCTATGAAGATTCAATGAGATGATGTAGATAAAATCATTTAATACAAAGGTTGGCACATAATACTTTCTCCTTCCCTTCATTAGTTCCAACTGCTAAAAATCTCAGTACCACAATGCGCTTTGAAAGTCATATTACACTACCTATTTTTATTTTGAATAACAGACTCCTGGTGGACTTTCCGGAAATAGAATCTAAATTTCCATAAGCTCAAGGGCATCTGGGCACGTAGTTAATACTGAAGAGTGATGGTAGTACATAAAACCAATGTCCTCAGCCTCCCAACAAAGCCCAGCTACAACCACCTTTATTGCCCTACCCTTTCCCATGCTCTACCACTGGCAGGTTCTCAAAGTAGCCCATGCTTCCCAATCTCTGTGCTTTTGATCAAGCAATTTCCTTTGTGAGAAATGCCCTTCCTCCCTCCCAAGTCCTCCAGTCAATTTCTGAGCTTTTCCAGAATAGATCAAATTCTGCTCACTCCAGATGTCTTATTAATCTTTTCCTTCCCTCTTTTCTGTTTTTTTTCCCCCTCTCCCAGAGACTGCATCACAGTCTACCTTATGTTAGAGTTATTAAGGGGTTTGTATCACGATTTGAGGAAATGGATAATCTCTTCTTTTCCTTCTTCTTCCAATGGTGGCTGATACAGTCTTTTATGCATGATAGATGTTGTTGAATTGATTTTCTGGTCATTATTATGAAGTTATTATTGCAAACAATCTACAGTAAACATTTCAACTCTATGGAAACTTAATTGTATCAACCTTATATTTCTTTGTGTAGTCATAAAAACTTTTTTTAGTTTTAATTTAATATACACTTTTTCACTATGTACACTCTTCTCATTTACCATTTAACGGGCTTCAAAAATTATAGCTGACCACTAAACAATGTGAGGGTCAAGAGAACAAACCCTCCCATACAGTCAAAAATCCATATAATATTTTACTCCCCCAGAACTACTAATAGCATATTGTTGACCAGAAGCCTTACTGATAATATAAAGAGTCAACCCATATTTTATATATGTATCTTATTCTGTATTTTATAATAAAGTAAGCTAGAAAAATGAAAATATTATTAAGAAAATCATAAGGAAAAGAAAATATATTTATTATTCATTAAGCGAAATGGATAATCCTAAAGGTCTTCATTCTTGGCATCTTCATGTTGAGTAGGCTGAGGAGGAGATAGAGAAGCGATCGGTCTTGCTGTCTCAGGGTGGCAGAGTCGGAAGATAATCCACGTGTGAGTAGACTCATGCAGCTCAAACCCATATTGTCCAAAGGTTAATCGTATTCTTAGGAAAATACAGTTTTAAAGGATCATGTTCTGATTTAAATTGCTTGTGTGTTGTGAATAATCTACCAATCATTTTTTCCTGTGATAGTTACCAAAGCTATGAACATTTGGAGGGATATGTTAAAGGGAATAAGAGCTACAAAAAATTGAGACAAAGAAATAATATTTAAGTCTAGCTGCGAATACACCTTCATTTTTGTAGAGGCTAGGTAGTCAACGTTTGTTTAAAAGCCATACATTTGTGATCTCTCCCCGTCCACATCCTCCTGAGAAAGGTCCTTTGCTCTTTAGCTTGGATGTCTCCTTATCTCAGCCCCAGTTCTGCAAGGATTCAGCTTTAGATGCATTCTGAGGCCTCTCCTCTCTTACCCACACCAAGGGAACACCCTACGCTATGACAGAAACTAGGTCTTGGCCTCTGATTTTACGCGTTTCCAAAGTAACTACTCTACTGGAGGCCTCCAACACTCAGAAGCTGACAAGTAGTAATGCTCATCTTTTTTACCTCCTAAAAGCTGATCATGCAGAAGGCATGTTAGATCATACAGAACTGAAGCATCTTCCCTTTTCTGAGTCTCTCCTTTCCTCCCTTCTGTTCATTCCTTTATTCCTTTGCACTACATTTCTTTTTCTCTTTCTCATCTCCACTTAAAATTTCTTTCAATTTTTCTTTCTATCCAACTTTTAAGTCAATCCATACAACTTGGATATATGCCTTCAAACTGAGTTAAAAGGAAAATACTAATAGTTTTATCTCTCATGAAAGCAATAATTAAAATGACACCATCTAATAATTTAATGTAAAAGGAGGGAAAAATTCTATTTGTATTCAACTCTTTTGTTTGGGCCTATAAATGAAGAACTATAATTTTGTAAATTATAGTTTAATTTTAGAAATAAAAATGACCTCTTCCCTAATATATTTTAAGTTGCATTTTAATTACAATTTGTAAGGTAGGGCAGACTTACAGACCATCCATATCCCTTTTCATGTGAAGTATCTGTCAGCCTCTGGACCACAGTAAACTTTGTCATTCACAGAGTGGATTCTTTTTTGGAACATACGTGATAAACAAATTGAAATAAAACTTCACTTTAGTTATAAAAACTTGTAGTTATAAGGACTTTTGAGAACCTTGCAGTCCATTTTTTTTACCTTCTATTTGAAATTCCAAACTAATTTCATTGTACTTGTAACAATCTTCCAAGAACTGCAATCCTCAAGTTCTCTCTTTGTTATCCACTTCATGGTTTCACTGTGGTCACTGCATCATTTTTTACCCCTATACGCATCTTGCTTAAGATAAACCCAGTGGTTACTTAATTTTTTTTTTAATTCTTCTTTGTTTTCATTCTTTTTAAAGAGGAACAGTAAAATAAGTAGTTAGGTTTTGTGTTTGTTTTTGCTTTCAGTACTGGAATCTGCTTGGTCCAACTTAGGTAGAGAATCTTGGGCTCCAGAGCGCATAGTTTGAAAAGATGGAAAACGTTGTTCTGAAATTTGCATTAATCTACTTTAGATTCAAAAATTCCACATAGGCTGGGTGTGGTAGGTGGCTCATGCCTATAGGCCCAGCACTTTGGGAGGCCGAGGCAAGGAGGATCACTTGAGCTCTCAAGACCAGTCTGGAAACATAGCAAGGCCTCATCTCTACAAAAAATGAAAAAAAATTACCTGGGTGTGATGGCACATGCTTGGAAGCTGAAGTGGGAGGACTGCTTAAGCCCAGGGAGGATACAGTGAGCAACGATTGCACCACTGCACTCCAGCCTGAGCAACAGAGCAAGATCATGTCTCTTAAAAAATATATGTATATTTTGCATAGAGTGTCTCATGATGACTGAATAAAAGAAGTCCAGTGGTTAACTAATCTATAATTAATCATAGAAGCAAGAGGTTTCTGACAAAATGTATTCAGCAGCTTTAAATATGAAACCCACAAATTATATTTCCAGAGGTCAAATTTGCATATAACTCCTTGAACTATGACTATCTCCTCACATTCAACTCAGTTTTAAGATCCAGCAGTGTGTTGTACAAAGTAATCAATGGCTAAATTATTCCCATTTTGTTAGCTCAGTTCACAGTAGCCCACTGACTGGTTTAAACAAAAAAAAAAACTTATCTGATCTTCAGTTTGTATTTCAACTGTACCCAAGTGCAGATGCCATCTCTGGTAATATGACAAAACAGATTTAGGTTTCTAAATGTTTCTGTATGCTCCAATAACAGTATGCAGCCTGCAGTAACTATATCGTAGCTCAAAGTGTTGTAAAAAAATGCAACTGAGTTTGCTGAAGAATCATTTTAGAGTTAATTAAACCTTCTCCACCTGTAATTTAATAAAAAAAAGAAAGCCCAACATACTCTTAAAGACGATGGGGGAAAGGCAGTTTAAGAAATAAAAGTCCTCTGTTTATCCAGGGAGGTACTTTACAAGGCAGACAGCTACACCACAGTAGAGAGACAATATTTCCTCAGCTGAGTCGGTTAATTAAAATGCACAGTTACAACAGACTTTCTTAGAGCCTGCAGCTGAATGACTGAAGTCTCCATTTTACTCCAGTGTCACACAGAACATGAAGAGGCAAACATACTGCCTGAACACAATTTGACTCACTAAAATCCAGCACTATAAACACAAAATACATTTCTCGAGTGCATTTTAAAAGACTTATTATCAAGATTTATGACATAAGGATAGAAATAATTTGCAACTAGGCACTGCCAGGAGAATATCTTAGGTTCCTCTCAAGGTAATTTTAAGTAAAATTTACAAATAAATCTTAAGGTTAGAGTCCACTTTGAACGCAGGAATCTTCACCTCTTTCCTTTCAACTGTATGGAATTTGAATCTGACAAACAACCTGTCTGTTGCTAGAATTTATAAGTGATCTGAAAAAAAATCAAAGGCCATAAAAGCTATTTGTCAAATAAACTGCAGAACACGATATCAGTCTGCAGGGCTCATTTGCAGAACTCATGATGAGCATGGGAGGAGGGGATGCTAACAGCTGCAGCCTTGACCGCACTGCCCGTGCCAGCCAGAATTCAAGCCGCGTGAGCTGAGTGTGGCTGAAAGAGGGAGCACACAAATGACATCTTAGAAGACAAAAGCAAAAAATGACAAAAGAGGTTCTTATATCCAAGTTTTTATTATATCAGTACATCAGCATATACAGAGGATGACCTAAAAAAACCACTTTAAGATAGATGGGCCGGCAGAGTTTTAAAGGTTTTCAAATTAAGTCTGTTCGTGGAAGACTTACTTTGATTTCATGGTGTAGGAGGGAGATCGTAGACTTCGAATCCACTAGACCTGAAGTTAAATAAACCTGGGGTGCAGTTTTGGTTAGCCTGGTAGCACGGCATGGTATCAGTTTCCTCATCTGTAAAATGGGAACAATACTTCATGTCCCAGCACAATTTTGAGGATAAATTGAGATAACATATGTTTGCAGGCACAGCAGGTGTCAGTAAAAGTTAGTTTTCTCCTGTCGTTTGCTAGATATTTTCACAATGCAGCAAGTTGATTCAAGTGGTGAAGTGGAAATTCTCACATTAAACACATAAATTGCCAAGTCTGCAATATATAAAAAATGATTAAATGTCCTTGACGCTTACCAATCATTATTAAATCAAACCTGAAAAGGATCTACCAGCAATTTGCAAGCCCGTTATTAATATCCTTTAATGGACTTGCTCTATTAAGTATTCTTCTGTAACAATGTTGTTCAGCAACACAACAGAAAAATTCTGTTGTTAGTATTGTGTTTCTTCTAGTAATTCAACATCATTTCCATTTCATAAACATTACTTGAGGAATTAGTTCCATTATCCTACAAATCTCTCTTTAAAACATTGCCATAATGTCTCTCTCTCTCTCTCTCTCTCTCTCTCTGTGTGTGTGTATGTGTGTGTGTGTGTCTGCGTGTGTGTGCATGTGTCTCTCTCTTTCCCTTTTTTCTCCTTCCTCACTTTCTCACTCTCTCTTTCCTTTCTCTACCCCAAACATGGACATATCACACCTTCCCATACTCAGCACTCAAGAGAACATGCTATTGTTATTACAGTAAACCAAAATGGTCTGAGAACTTAGTAACTATTACATTTCTAGTGTGAAATAATTTAGGCATTTAAAGGAAGAAAACACAATATCAATATTTATGTTTTTAAAAATTCCAGTAGAGTCTGTGAAATGATGGCTAAATTAAGCAAAAGCAAATTAATCAAAGAGTTACAAAGGAAGAATTCCAATGGGCACTTAATGAGCACCTATAATGTGCAGGCACATAGGTTGACTTTTCTTTCTTCCCAGGGCAAACAAAATAGCTTCTCAGGGCAAGGGATATCAGAAATTTGGAGTCACATTAATAGGAAAAGCACTGAGTTAATTGACTGGCTTTGGAAATTTACTTCACAAAGCATTGGATTTTCTCAAGAGACAAATTTGATACATGTCCTTCACTGGAGACATGAAAATAATTCGTTCTTTTTAAAGACTTTGAAAAGAGCAGAGACGAGAAAAGCTAGAAGAGTTTCTAAATGACACAAGATCTGTGAAATGATAGATATTTAGCATAAACCTCATAGAGCTGTTGTGTGGATTCATTAGTTAATTAGTTAGTTAATGACTTTGAAGTGTTAAATCTTATTAGATTTTTTTTTACACTTTAACACATCTGAGAGAGAAATTACTCTTAAATTAGAAACTGACTATACCACTCAAAAAGACCATCTTTTTATGGTATATCTTCAAGATGCTCTTTCCTGTTCTGAATTTTTTTCCTGAAATCCTGGGAAGCCTATCTACATCCTGATCCCAAATCCAATTCCCCCACCCTTTTTTTTTTTTTCAGTATTAGCATTGGCTTCCAGTTAACACTAAGCACAGCCTTAAGAAACTCTCACGGCGAGGTGTTTTGTATAAAAATATAAAGATGTTATGTGGTAATAATGGCATCAAGAATTAAACATGCTACTTAAACATAGTTTTGTACTTTTGTACAGCAGGGGAAAACAAATACAGGCATACCTCAGAGATATTTCAGGTTTGGTTCCAGAACCCCACCATAAAGTGCATATCGCAATAAAATGAGTCACACAAATTTTTTGGTTTCCTAGTGAATATAAAAGCTATGTTTATGCTGTACTGTAGTCTATTAAGTGTGCAGTAGCACTATGTCAAAGAAACAATGTGCTTATAATTTAAAAATACTTTATTGCTAAAAAGTGCTCATGATCATCTGATCCTTTAGAGAATCACAATCTTTTTGCTGGTGTAGGGTCTTTCCTTGATGTTGATGGCTGCAGACAGATCAGGGTGGTGGTTGCTAAAAGTTGAGGTGACTGTGGCAATTTCTGAAAATAAGATAACAAGGATGTCTGCTGCATTGGTTGACTCTTTCATGAAAGATTTCTCTATAGCATATGGTGTTGATTGATAGCATTTTATTCACAGTAGAACTTCTTTCAAAATTGAAGTCAATCCTCTCAAACTCTGCCACTGCTTCATCAAATAAGTTTATAAGTTTATGAAATATTCTAAATCATTTGTTATTATTTCAACAATATTCACAACATCTTCACCAGGAGAAGATTTTATCTCAAGAGACAACTTTCTCTGTTCATCCATAAGCAGCAACTCCTCATCCATTCAAGTTTGATCATGAGGTTGCAGCAATTCCATTCCATCTTCACACTCCATCTCTAATTCTAGTTCCCCGCTATTTCCACCACATCTTCAGTTACTTCCTCCACTGAAGTCTTGAACCTCTCAAAGTCATCCATGAGGGTTGGAATCAACTTCTTCCTAACTCCTATTAATGTTGATGTTTTGACTTCCTCTCATGAATCACGAATGTTCTTAGCAACATTTAGAATGGTGACTCTTACCTTAAAGGTTTTCAATTTACTTTGCCCAGATCCATCAAAGGAATTATTATCCAAGGCAGCATGAGACTTATAAAAGGTTTCCAATTTACTTTGCCCAGATCCATCAAAGGAATTATCATCCAAGACAGCAAGAGACTTATAAAAGGTATTTCTTAAATAATACTCTTTGAAAGTCAAAATTATTCCCTGATTCATAGGCTGCAGAATGGATGCTTTGTTAGCAGGCATGAAAACAACATTAATCTCCATGTATATGTCCATCAGAGCTCTTGGGTGACCAGATGCATTATCAGTGAGCAGTAATACTTTGAAAGGAATCTTTTTTTAGCACTAGGACTCAACAGGAGGCTTAAAATGTCCAGTAAACCATGCTATAAACACATGTGCTATCATACAGGCTTTGCTGTTCCACTTACACAGCACAGGCAGAGTTGATTTAGCATCATTCTTAAGGGCCCCAGGATTTTCAGAATGGTAAATGAGCACTGGCTTCAACTTAAAGTCAGCAGCTGCACTAGCCTCTAACAAGAGACTCAGCTTGTCCTTTGGAGCTTTGAGGCCAGGCATTGACTTCTCCTCTCTAGCTATGGGGGTCCTAGATGGCATCTTTTTCCACTAGAAGATTATTTAGTGTAAGTTAAAGTTCTGTTGTATAGTGTAACCACCTTCATCAATTATCTTAGCTAGATCTTCTGAATAACTTGTTGCAGCTTTTACATCATCACTTCCACTTCAAGCGTTGTGCTGTTTTACTTTGCACTTTTATGTTATGAAGATGGCTTCTTTCTGTAAACCTCATGAACCAACCTCTTCTACCTTCAACCTTTCCTTCTGCAGCTTCCTCCCTTCTTTCAGCCTTTGTAGAATTGAAAGGATCTAGGGCTTTACTCTGGATTAGGCTTTGACTTAAAGGGAATGTTGTGGATGGTTTGATCTTCTCTCCAGACCACTAAAATGTTCTCCATATCAGCAATAAGTCTGTTTTGGTTTCTTATCATTCATGTGTTCACTGGAGTAGCACTTTTCATTTTCTTCAAGAACTTTTCCTTTGCACTAACAACTTGGCTAGCTATTTGGCAAAAGAGGCCTAGCTTTCAACCTATTTCAGCTTTCAACATGCCTTCCTCATTAAGCTTTATCATTTTTATCTTTTGATTTCAAGTGAGATAAATGTGACTCTCTTTTACTTGAACACTTAGAGACCACTGTAGGGTTATTAATGGGTGAAATTTCAACTTTGATGTGTCTCAGGGAATAGGGAGGCCCACAGTAAGGGAGGGAAATAGAGAATGGCTGGTCAGTGAAGCGGTCAGGACATATTTATTGATTAAGTTTGTCAGATTCTATGGTTGTAGTTTGAAGGACCCCAAAACAATTACAGTAGTAACATCAAAGATCATGGATCACAGATCACCATAATAGATATAATAATCATGAAAATGTTTAAAGATGTGGCAATAATTAACAAAATGTAACACAGAGACATGAAATGAGCACATGCTGTTGAAAAACAGAGCTCATAGACTTGCTTGAAACAGGGTTGCCACAAAACTTCAGTTTGTAAAAATCATAATATCTGCAAAGTGCAATAAAATGCAGTACAATAAAATGAGGTGTGCCTGCACTCTGTTGGATAATTAATTCTGTGAGAAAATAGAGAGGGAGAGAATTGGAATCCAATGATAATTATCTTATTCTTTGGAAATAGTGATCACATTTTGACCTGCATGCTGGAAAGTTGAGAAAGGATAGCAGCAGCATAATTAAGTTAGCAATATTTTAATATGTGAGAGACATTTGTATAGTTTAAACAAAAACTTTTTTTGTTGGCATATAATATACATAGAGAAAAGTGCACATATGGTCAATGTACAGCTTGATGAATAACTGAGCACACACAAGTTCTCTGCACACAGATCAAGAAACAGAACACATCAGCAGTGTTTCAAAGCCCCCTCTAGTTCTTCCAATCACTATTCCCATACCCAAGGTAACCACTACTGTTACCTGTAACAGCATAGGGTAGCTTTATCTGTTTTGGTACTTTACATAAACGCAATCATAAAGCATGTACTTTTGAGTCTCACTTATTTCTCATTTGACATCATGTTTTACAAGATTCATCTATATTCTTGAGTGTAGTTGTAGAACTACATATTTCTCATCTCTGTCCCTCCCCATTTTCTCTCCCCACCACACCCAGGCACACACATAGAATTAATCCCCCTCTTATTCAAATGATGGATCTACGTATGTACTTGGAAGTTCTTGATAAACTTCTTTTTTCATGTATTCCACAGCATGAATGACTCAGGAATTGCTAATGAAAATTTTCCTACAGTCTCTTTTCTTGGCGCTGGTAAATCTTAATCTTAGAATATTTTGCATTTTTAAAATCTATTCATGTACACAACCAGCTCCAAGAAGGACACTGAGGTAATCATCTTTTTAAGTTGCCCTTGTTTTCAGCCCCAAATCCCTGACTTTTACTTAATCTCTCCAGGGCAGCCTTCTTTCTGTCTCTGGCCTTCAACTTAGAAAGCCAGCCCTACTCTAATGATTGTATTAGAAAAAACTTGCATAAACTACTTTACACCAAGGTGTTCATGCCTAAATCTTTATCTTTCCAAGGTATGGCCCCAGGACAGTGTTGTAACTTAGAGGACCAATTACTCTCTGATTACTCTCTAATGGGGTATCTTGTACAGATGCATTTCTTGAGTTGTTCTGAGGTCCCACTATATTAAAGGACACTAAGAAACAGAGCTATCACACTCAATGCTGGTTTTACTATTAGAACATTATTGAAATTACCATTTCACTATATCACAAGGTATTTTCTTTATGAGGGTCCATGGGGAAAGGGGAATGGTTCTGCTTCTTCTACATAACTTTATTTTAAAATGTGTTGTTATTTAAGCAACTGAGCCTGCCCTCTTTGTTTCCCCCACCCTCTCTCACTCTGTCTCCCTCTCCCCTGCTGAAAATATAAAAAAGCATCAGAGACAAACACTAATAAATTTCCAGAGACTAATAAGTTTCTAGGACTTCATAATTTGTATTTTTTCCCTACCTTTCTCACCCTTGGTTTCACATACTTTTTCTTTCATTCTGTTTTCAAATATTTTTTTCTTTTTTTAATCTTGATAAATTTAGGGAAAATACAGATTAACTCAATAAAATATACTATTTCTTAAAGAAAAAATTTTAATCACTGACACTAAGTTAGGCTGGCCAAGAGAGGAAAATGCAGTCATGTGGCGCTTAGCGACAGGAATAGGTTCTGAGAAATGCATCATTAGGCAATTTTGTCATTGTGCGAACATCACAGAGTGTACTTACATAAACCTAGATGACAGTCTACTACACACCTAGGCTATATGGTATAGGCTATTGCTGTTAGGCTAGGAACTTACTTGTATAGCAAGTTACTGTATAGAATGCTGTAGGCATTTGTAACACAATGGTATTTGTGTAGCTACGCATATCTAAACATAGAAAAGGTAGGATAAAAACACAATATCATAACTTGTGGGATCACCATCATATATGTAGTCCCTCATTGGCCACAACATTGTTATTGTAGTGCATCACTGTATATTTTAGGGAGAGGGCTCTTCTCGAAATTCTCAAATTATGCCCACTTGGTGAACTGTGATCAGACAGACTGAAAAACCTGGTAGTTGAGGCATCGTATAACATAGTACCATGTACAAAGAAAGTTTTAATAAAGCTTTTCTGAATGCATTGACCAAAGATATTTTCCAACAAGCAAAATGGACAGAATGGGGAGAATGTCTAGGAAATATCTAGATCAAGGATAGGATAAAAGACAAATGCACTTGCGTAACAACATGGAGATGCGTTTTTAAGAGAGCAGACCTGTTACTACATGTGTTATGTGACACTTTGTGACAACTGACCGATTCTTATTTTCAATGCTCTCAATTAAAGATCTACTTGGGAAGATTTTATTAATGTGTTATTTATCTAAGAGTCATTGATTTATGGAGCTTAACCATAAGATATAGCATGGCTCATTTTCATTATAAAATTTATATCTACAGGAAGAATACCACAAGGACATGGGGTGTTCTATCCTGGACTGGTAAACCACATATGCAATCACACCAACTGATGAAATTGAACATATTAAATGATAACAATCTGTTATTTGCTCCCTTCATTCCTATGATCCTATTAAAATGAAGTAAAAAAAATCCCAGAAACTCAATGTGAATCCATAAATCATAACATAAAGCAGTCCAATATAATACTTCAGTGAAATGTTCTTTTCAGTAAAAGAGAGGGAGGAGAAGGTGTCAAGTGTGGGTCTCTTAATTAGGCTTTGTATTAATTTTGAGAACAAAGACATAATTCCAGATCAGATAAATTATAATTGTGTTATTTTTTTCTTTGCTGTTAAAGCTATTTGATTAGGAGACTCTGGAAAAAGCATGTAATCTTGCAAACAAATATAACAAATTTATTGTCAAACATTAGCAAAAATTTATAATCTGCATTGATAACATTCCTAAAGTATTCAATGGAGCCATTCAGCAATATGAAAGAATGCAGGCAAATTTCTATGATTAGTATTTATTCAAATATATATTTTGCCAAATCAATAATAAATTTACTGAGAAACTATCAGTTGTGGAAATATTATGATAAACATCCCCTTTAAAAATCACTATGGCCAGACCAGGTGCTGTGGGCTCATGCCTGTAATCCCAGCACTTTGGGAGGCCGAGGCAGGTGGATCACCTGAGGTCGGGAGTTGGAGACCAGCCTGACCAACATGGAGAAACCCCGTCTCTACTAAAAAAATACAAAATTAGCCTGGCGTGTTGGCATATGCCTGTAATCCCAGCTACTTGGGAGGCTGAGGCAGGAGAATTGCTTGAACCCAGGAGGCGGAGGTTGCAGTGAGCCAAGATCGCGCCATTGGACTCCATCCTGGGCAACAAGAGCAAAACTCCATCTCAAAATAAAAAAAAAAAAAAGTCACTATGGCCAATATGAAAATTAGGACCTGTTAGGTTGAAAACATCCAGTCTGCAGTGAGTATAGGATTAAACATGATTGGAGTACCACTACGTATGTTTCAAATGCTTATAGTATGTGAAAATTAAAGTCCATTTTCTTATGCTTGGCAAATACCAGCAGACTTGCTAGACACAGGCAGCAGCCTCCAATTTCACAGGGCTTGTGTTCCCAATGCACACCTAAAAGGATAGCTTTCTCACATGTTTTGTGATTCTAACAATGTGTGCAGAGAGGAATGGATACTGTAACTATGAAATGGAAAAGCTCTAGATTTCTGAGTGGTTCAGAATCACGGGCCTAAAGCCAGACATTAAATAGAAAACTTGTCACTTCACAGCTCAGAAAGTTCTAACATCTCCCCATGACTTAACACAATCTGGGCTCAACCTAGTCTTTCTGTTTCTCTATGCAATTACTCTTAATACCAATATGCTCCAACAAAACCATGATTTACCACTCTTTGAACGTCTCCTTCAGGGTCTATCTCTAATTTGCTCAAATTATTTCTTCTGCCTGGAACATTGCTTTTTGACAAATTATATTTTATAACCAAATTTAACTCTTACATAAACTATTTTCTGATACAACCAAAAGCATTTTTCTTCCCCATTCAACTCTAATTGTATATTATTATTATTTTACTTCTATAGCCATTAAAATTTTCTAACTTGAAGTATATTTACTTATATCTATAATTATCTTCCTTTCAGGGAAATTTTACAGGGAGGAAAAAATCTTACATTTTTTTTGTATCCTAAACATGCTTAAGGCAGGTTTTGAGATATACTATATGTTTAATAAATGTCTGTTTAAAGAATCATATGTGAATACATGAATGTCACACTTGTGAGAGTCTCACTGAGACTCTAGTATATTAAACAAAAGATCCTTATTTCCCTATCTTTGTCAAAATATGTATGATATTTGAGATTTAGTTCATATCATAAAACATTGCATTTAATATATTTTATATATTTTTAATAAATGTTTACCATTTTCAGTTATGTGAATGGCTCCATACAGCAAAAGAACCATTAGAAATATAAAAGCATCATCCTATGAAGTATAAAATTACTCCTGAATTATAAGCAACCTTTGTAGCTACATGCAAAACATTTATTCAGCTGCAACTATTTAATCCTTACAAAAACAAAAAAGCATGAGTTCATATAAGGGCCACACTGTGTGAGGGGCATAGAGAGAGATTTTAGAGGCTTCGCACAGTGCAGGGAGTTTGGTCTTAACCCATTTTATAGGTAAAGAAATTGAGGTGTAATCACATGAGACAGAATTTGAATTCTGATCTGTCGGATTCAGCACCTCTCTTGTCACTGTGCAGAAACTCCCTTTGAATGCTAGATTTCCTCTGAATAGATGGTATGCTTATTTAAATACAAGACAAGTCATTTTGCCTTGCTGCACTGTATTTATCACAAGGCTATTGCCAGCTTTTTCTTTAACATTAAATACACACACACACACACACACACACACACACTGTCTTTTTTTTTTTTTAAGACAGAGTCTTGCTCTGTCACCTGGAGTGCTGGAGTGGCGTGATCTTGGTTCACTGCAACCTCTGCCTCCTGGGTTCAAGCGATTCTCCTGCCTCAGCCTCCTGAGTAGCTGGGATTATAGGCATGCACCACCACCCCTGGCCAATTTTTGTATTTTTAGTAGAGATGGGGTTTCACCATGTTGGCCAGGCTGGTCTCAAACTCCTGACCTCAGATGATCCATCCGCCTCTGCCTCCCAGAGTGCTGGGATTACAGGCATAAGCCACCATGCCCAGCCCAACACCATATCTTTTAAATGGCTTACTATGTTTGAGGCATTGCAATAATGTGTCCCCTAACGTATTTAATTCTTACGACAAATCTATGAGATAGGTACTGTTTACTCATATTCCGGATAGGGAAACTGGGCATAGAAATTTTAAGTAATATATTGAAGATCACAGAGATAGGGCATGAAATGGAATTTGAACCCAAGTCTTTCTTGCTCCTGAATCCAAATTCTTAACCACACTATTGGCTTTTGTTCCTCTCCATTAATCCTGAATGTGATTTATTTTTTTCCCAAAAAGGAAACTGGATTACTTGACCTGCTGTTTGTTCAGAATATTTATTTTAGCATGTGAAACATTTAATACTACACTGGGAAGGGATCTAGAGGACAGAAAGTGGAGGTAGGGGATGCATACAGAGATAGGCTCATCTCACCTGGCCTGATTAAGTTGTTTACATTTTTCAGAAAGCCCATCTCCAAGTCCAGCCCTAAAATAACAGTGAACCTTCATCTTTAATGGACATAAGACCCTGTCTCAGAACTCTTTAGATAAACAGAGCACTTTTCAGAGAGGGAGCTAGTGACCTTGACAAATTGGCTGGCTTTCCTCTCATTCCAGATCCGTGACATTCAGCAGCTAAGCCTAATATGGGAAACAAGTCAATATTTTCCAGCATGCTGGGTCCATTTTCTCCCCCCAATATTTTTAAGCATAAGACAGGTGCAGAAATCACGTCAACCACCACTGGAGGGGTGTACAGCAGCTGTCACACAGCCACACAGTGGCAAAAGTCTTTGCTAAGATCCAAAATGAAAAGAATACTCATTGTAATTGAAACTATGCAGGGGACAGAGCTTCCCAGATGCATACAAAAGTTCTGAGGCTTTGAAAAGAGACAGATGTCACTTTTATACTCAATCTAAGAGCTACTACCTTTCAACAGCTCATCAGGAGGTAAAATCAAATCTTCAGAGACAAAAGACATAAGCAACGCATCTGTAGCAGCCAGAAAGTAAATTTTTTAAGCTACGAAGGGCCTTGGAGACGATTCAGGGTATGCCGTCTTGTTTTTCATTTGATGACATTAGGATATCATACCTAATGGAAAAATTAATTGTGTGTGTATTTATGTGTGTGTGTGTGGAGGCACGCACACATGCATGTGCATCATGATGATGTACTACTTAAGCAATAATGGGCCATTATAGAAGGTAAATCAATTAATTCTAAGTTGACATTGTCATAGTCAGGTAAATTGAGGATCTCTCTGAAAATCCATTTTCCTTTATAATCTGACTTGCAATTATTATCAATGTACCCATTATTTACAGCCAGGGACTCTTCTGCTTGGTTAGTGCTTATGTCCTACTAGTTGTTAAATATTTTGAAAATTAGCCCTGCTTGTAATTTATTATATAATTTCAACAATTTTAAGATAAGCCTGATACAAAAACAGGTTCTTCCCTGGTTAGCTAACCTAAGAGTCAAAAGCCAGCACAGTAGTGTTACAGCCGTTCAGAATGCAAGGTATCCTTTGAAATACTTCCACAGAAGACCTCCAAGTAGTTTTCAAAAACCTGGAGCTATTAATATGATTCCCACTATGTTCTTTACCTTCCACTGAAGAAAACAGAGCCTACTGAGAAACAACTCTAGTGTACAGAGAAACCAACCAGCAAAACCAAGTGGAAGTTTCTATTCAGGTCTGACCTCGGTTATCTTAATCATAAACCTGACCCAGTTGAGCCTCGCTGATGGGCTCATAACTTAGTTCCCTCAAGATCTTTCTGACTTTTGTGTAAGCAACACACAAATCAATCCAGCATATCACTTCTGATATCACAGAAAAGTAATTCTTATGAAGAAGGAAATCATTAATTGTCTTTGAATGTGCACCCACCAATAATTCAAGTTATTAAAGACAAAAATCTTCCCTAGTAAATGCTCACTGCCGGTTGTCTGAAATGAGAGAGTTGAAAATGAATACATGAATCAAGGAGGTTTATTTTAAGATTTTCCATATTTTGATCAAATGGTGATGATTACATTACATTTTTTTTCTGTACTTTCCCAACAAAGAATAAGTCATACCATCATGTTCTTCCAGAAAGACTCTTTGCTTGAAACAGTCTTACTGGCACACCATAGTTAGTTATGACTCATGGGTTTTGTTTTTTTCTAAGATAGCTATAAACTTCAAAGATACATTACCTTATAAAAATAATAAATATTGCTTAGAGAATTTCATCTATTTTCTACATAATAATTTTATCTTTGAAACTTAAAATAGATATCATCCAGATTGTGCTTCTGATATGTTTTATGACATGCTGACACTGTCCTCCTAAGATAATATTAGATGATATAAGTTTTATTTTTTTAAAAATTAGCCCAAGGCTTTGTAGGCCAGGTTCTAGAGACACTGGTCAGTTCAAATCTCAACCAGAAGAGCTATGTGACCTTGGAAAAATAACCCACCCATTCTGAACCTTCATTTCCTCTGCTATAAAATCAGGATAATAATAAAATCTATCTCAAAAGGTTGTTAAGACTATCACAGAAGTTTTGAAATACAAAATAATTAGAACAAAGCTGGTGCATAGTAAGTGCTCGCAAATACTAGCTGTTACTTCCATTCTGGATATGTACATCATAATTCCTAACTTAAAATGCTGGTCAAAAATAAAATTTATGCCTCTACTAGTCAGTAAATCCAGCCTCTTCTAAACATAAAATATTTATTTAAAATAAAGTTTCTAGTATGAAATTTGAAATATATAGATTTTTCTTAATACATTTCAGTATCTGCTTTTATAAATTGAATGTAACCATATAGTATTTGACAGACAAATGTGAATCATGTTGTAAACCATATATTTGAAACTTATCTTAAATTTGTTCTGTGTCTAGTTAAACTAATTTAAAAATCAAGGTTGCTGCTTCTTGAGCTCCTTTTGCAGGGCTCCTCAGTGACTGCAGAGGAGAAATAAAAACGCTTAAAATAGCGAAAATAATGTGACAACATTCAGGCAAAGGCAAGGCTACTATGTACAGGAGAGCATGTTGTGCACTACACGGTCCCGCAATGGATTACAATATTAATGCTGACCTCTTAGGGCAAACTGTAGGCACTGGTCATGCCCCATGGATGAATATGAATACATAAACTTAGCTTCAGTTAAAATTATGTCAAATTGTTAACAGAAGGAAAATGAGGTTTAAAGTCCATTGAAAATTATTTTTAGATAAATTTGGATTAAAATCCAATGTGCTAGCAGGCCTCAAAATGTTAAGTGATTTCCTGAGAAACTGTCACAGCCCAGGTATACCCTTCCTTGGCGGAATCGACTGCTACTTTTTCTTTTTTAATTGCTGAATTGTTCAAGTCTTTCCCACAAAAGGCTGATTATTATAGGCCTTGGGCTACAAGTAGAGAAATTACTGGACTAGACCTGGAGCTGTGGATTCTGGCCTAAACACTGTCATTGGCTTGTAATGTAATTTTGTGCAGTTTTCTCATATATAAAACGGAAGTAATAAGCTCAGATCTCAATTAGGAAAAGTACCAAGATACTAGACGTAAACATGCTTTGGAAAACATTGGAGCACATTAACATATATAGCATTATCAAAGTCTTTCCAAATTTCTTATCATATAATACATGGTAAACAACAAAATAGAAGGAAGACTTCCTCTAACCTCTGAAAAGTCAGAAACTTTTCCTAGGTGCCTTTGGTATTTTCTAATCTTACTCTGAGTATTGTTTCCCTGAAAAGATCCATTTTATTCTGACTCAGGTACAATATAAGACAGGAAAATGGATGTTATATACATAGATCATCAATAGAGAATAGGAAGAAAAAGATAACGATTATTTTGTGGTATCATTGTATCATGACTCTGAATAATATCTATCAATTACTGATTACTCACTATGTACCAAGCCCAGTAGGCACTATAGAAATGTATAATATCTTATTCTCACAATCACCCTATGATGTAGGTGATAAAATACATTCCAAATGACAATGCCAATTCAGTAAAATTAATCATCTTGCATGACAGTATGCATCTAAGAAGTCGAGGGAGACAGAATTCAGGCACTTATCTGTTTGGCTCCAAAGCCTACATTAATTCCAGTTTTCCTCATTGCCTCTCATAACAGCTGGCACAGAGTAGACACTCAATAAATGTTGGATGAATGGATATATGGATAGACACACGACTGCATGACTTCTGGGAATTAGAATTTATAAGAGCAAGACTGAGGCCACCTATCTAGACTGTCACAAACTGGAGATCAGCCTCCATTGTTCTTCCTCTTCTGTAATTTGAAAACCCTAGGTTACAAGAGTTTCTTCATTGATGGTATAAACATTACCCATTCTCCTAGTATTTCTGCCTTCACAGATGAGGGATTTCAAATTCTTGGAGCCCATTGTGTCTCACCTTCATCACCAAGATCTGACTGGGGGGTATCTTTCTCTAGTGACGCTACAACATGGCATTTGGAAATTTGCTTAGGCAAAATTTAGTCATTCTGGTCATGGAGTAGTGCTCTGCCAGAAAGGGGTGCTCAAATCTAACTTGCAGAGCCTTTAAGGGAATTCTGCAGAAGCTGACAAAAATATTAAGACCCTAGAGCTATGGCATTTGGTTTTGTTCTTGTGCATTTTGCAAAGGTACCTGACCACCCAAGGAAGAAGAACCTTTTTGCTTGTTAGCCTTCATATTTCCTACATGTGGGGGCTGCATCTGCCCAAAGAGTTCCTCTTTTTCTAATTAACACAAAGGTGATGGATAGGCCAGTGGCTGTCTTGTGCAAATCTAGGATGCGTTTCAATAAGCCAGACCCAGCAAATGATTCTCAAGCTTAGTAAGGTTTGAAAACCACTGGTAAGAGTTTTGGGAGCAGAGGGGATTCTTCCCAAGGGAAGTGGGAGTAAATTGAGCCTTAATGAGTAGGCATTGCTTGCTATCTTGTTAATGTATTGACCCTGTAAAACCAACTGATATCCAGAGTTAACTGGCTTGCAGAGCTTGGGCTGAGAATCTTTGCAAGTTATTGTCATCCAGGCAATAAACAATAATTACATTATTTCTACTCCTTAGCAAGGAGGAGGCAAGCTTTGCAGGCAGCTAGTAAGAGTTGTCAGTTCCCTCCAGTGAAATGTTCTCTGCAAAAAGTCAATAGTCAAAAGGCATAATGCTGTCATTTCAGAGTGAAATTAATTCCTCTTATTATTTTTACCTGTTGCTCTGTTTTCCTGCAGAGTAAATCTCAGTATTCTGACTGTGTTTAAAAGCATCTGTATTTTTCCAAAGTGGTTGCTTAACTGATTTCAACTGAATTTGGCAAATCACACTCTAAGAGGAGCCAGAAAACTGATGCAGTGACAGGCTCAACAGTAACCAATATTCCGTTTAATCCTAACCCTTAGGAGATCTGGCAAGGGCCTCATCCTCCTACGGGACAAAAAGAGTTTAGAAGCTTTTTGGGGAAATTATGTAGTAAGTGCACAGCAAAAAGAATGCCTAATGGCTTTGCTTTGGGGAAAGAAAACTAGTGGTAATAAAACCATGGAATGTAGAAGATAATTCAAAAGGGAAAAGTGGACAAACAGCCATAATGCTACCTAGCTCTGTCTAAATTGAATTCATGACATGTATCTATCACACATTTCCTGACAAACCATCTCCTGATGGGAAATAGAGAATAAACAGGTTATGTGAAGTCTTTAGTATAATGTTTTCTTTCTTGGTCAATAGGACCAACTTTATCAAAGATATCTCCCACAGTCTGGCTTCACCAAGTAAATCAAAAGAAGTGAGATGTAATCTTTTATTATCATTTTTTCCTAAATTTACTATTTGCTCATTTATTAAATTGAAAGAATACATTTATTCCACAGTAGAAATGAGAGACAAGTAAAAAATACTTTAGAAGAAATATATCCAGAATATGTGTGTGTATATATATACATATATATATATATATATATGCATATATATATATGCATATATATATATGCATATATATATATGCATATATATATATGTTTGATCCTGAAGGAAGATTACAAAGTTTTCTTGTACTCTTGGGCATAGTGGGAAGGACATTAGAATAGGGTAAAGAGTCCTGGGTCCCAGTCCCAGCACTGGTGCTTACCAGAGCTGTGCCAGTCTGGATTCTGTCAGGAAACAGATGATACACTCAAAAGGAGTGACTCAAGAAAGTTAATCCAGCAAACCTTTGCAAAAATGTAGGCCGACTTAGGGGGAGCTGGCAAGGATGGTGAAACATGGGGACAGCATCAGCAGGATGGCATCACCATCCTAAGGCAGAAGACAAGGGGAAAATTTGCTAGAACTGCTGAAAAGTGTGCTTACAGGAGATGGTCACCAGCATTGCAGCCACTACTAAGCTAGGCCTGAAGGGAGCCAGAGAAATTAGAGTTCTCCTTTCTCTCTCCTTCTGCCACCTGGACTTACGCATATGAACCCTACATATGGCCAAATGCAACCAGAAGCAGTGAGAGGGCCCTCTGAAGCATTTCATAAAGGTGAGCCTCTGTGGCCTGGAGCAGGGTACAGAGGAAGGGTACATAGAACTAGAGGGGCCAAAAGCAGTTATTGAACACACAAACTATGCAATTTTGATCATTCATCCTTGCTGGCCTTCAGTACCAGCTTCCAGAACATTAAGAATCTGAGCCAGATAATCTCAGGAGTTTATTCCATCTCTAGTATCATTTGTGAATATTGAATAAAAGAGAAAGGAAGAAAATAAATATTCTAATTGGCCCAACTGATTTATTTGAAACAGGAAGATTTAGCAACTTAGCATTTATTGGTTAACAAACCACAGGTCTTTTTTTCCTCCACCTGCTTTCTTGCAAAAAAAAAAAAAAAAAAAAAAAAAATGCCTGTGCCTGAAGGTTATTTAGAAAAACTCTTGAAAGCTATTAATAGAAAGCAGATTTAAACTCAGTCTCTAAAAGGCTTAACTTTGTGTACTATAGTTCTGCCTTTGTAGAAAAATAAAAAGCTTTTTTTTTTAAAAAAAATAGCATATAGCTCAGATTATTAGCTATCTCTTTGTCACAAATGTGCAGCTGGGTTCAGAATTTGCATGTTTCCCAGGCAAAAGAATTCAATAAGTAAGTAAGCGAATCCTGCCATTTTATTAAATACTTACAGAAAACAAAAGCAAAGCAAGCTTTAACTCAGCCGGAACCAGAACATAATCCCCAGAGCCAATAACACATGTTAAAATTCCAGCACCAGAGCCAAATTTGACAAAGGAACACTCACTATCCTACTACTCCTGGGGCAAACTATCCTAATTTTGATTCTCACACTCTTGCATTTTGAGATCCTCCAAATATGACTGCTCAAAGAAGAAGGAAAGGAATTAAAATGGGGAGAGCTAAGGTTTGAGATTTAAAATGCACTTTCAAGATACGTGATAAATGGGAGGTTCATGAAAGTTCCCTTTATAGGTCAGATATCATTTAACTTGTCCAAGTAGTTACGCTTCTATTCAGACATAGGGAGAGAGAGTGTAAATGAATTATCTCCTCCCCACAGCCTTTCTACAGACCCTTCTCTCTTAATTATACACATCCCCATTGCACAGGTCCTGCCAAGCGCTGGTATCCACAGGGTAGATGTTGAAAAAAGTTATAATTACTATCTTCAGTCTGCTGCTATTTTACACCCTCAGACTCACGGCAAAAGCTTACAGCAGAAGTTGGCTTAGTGTCCTAATGCAGCAGATTCAACTTTTTGACAATCTTTTATTCTCTTCAAAACCTCTTCCTCTCTATAGAATTTCATGTTCCCAAATCTTCAGTGATAATGGTAGCATTCTCAGGGAATGCCTGGATTGATGATCAGGGAACTCTTTGAGCTAGAAACCAAGACAGGATTTCTATTTTTATTCCTGTTTCAATCCTCATGCCCAGTAAAAATAATGAGATGTTTCTTTAAATCATTTATTTTATGAAGAGGAGTCAGGATTATCATTCTTTCCACTTCTGCGGCAATTGGGCCAAGAGAACAAAAATATGCAAGGGTTCAGAATTCAGTCCCCTGAGTTCTAAGGGCTCTGCCCCTGGTTATTTCCATGAGCTTGGGAAAGAGAATTAACCTCTCTGGGAAATCTGGAAAATGAACTGGTGAAAGTAGATGATTTCTACAACTACTTTCAGGTCTAACATTCCACAACCTTATTTGTGCCAATGCCCCCATTCTACTCTCAGTGCAACTGAACTTACTTGTCCCTCATTGCAATCTCTAATTTCTTAAGCTCGTCCTAATTTCTTAGCACACCTTTCTTTCTTTTCCTAGCTTTAATTTTCTCTCTATCCGACCAGAAACTCAGGAGTAAGAAACTTTGCTGACACAAACTGCTATCTTTCTTTTCTCTTTCTTAGCCCCATCTTCTTCTACCAAAGCCATTTGGCAAGGTCTCCAATCTCAAGACTCCCTCCACATCTATACTCCTATGTCTAAGTTTCTAAGCATGAGTTGGCAACACCTCAAACAACAGATCCTGCTACAAGGCTAGTCTGTACTGAGTTTATAATTGTTTCCTTTCAGAAGTCTCTTCAAGCCAGGTATGTAAGTTTCCCATGTTGACCCTCATAGCTATTTGAAATTTTTTTTTCTTTGCTAGCAGACTCCCTAAAAATATTTCTTTCTCTCCTCTTTCCTCAAGCTCTCTGCCTTCTCTCTCTGCAGATAACTTTATTTTTCATAAAGTGATTATAATAAAACCATTTTCACAATGAAAATGTGTAGAATTTAAAATACAGAAGTTCATTTTTAGTTTAATTACATTAACATAAAAAATGATCACAAATCTCCTACAAAAATCATGGAGCATTTTTGCATTTCTATATCACTTCCAACTCAGCTTCATTTTGATTTATAAGCTTGACTACACATCTAGCTGTCAAACCAGATGTTGTATGGAAAATACCAGCTAAGTCTGATTGAATTTTTCAATTTGCCTCATTTGAAACCCTACAGCAAAACAGAAGTAGTTAAGAACTTCAAAAAGTTTTAGAGTAGAGAACTAATTACTAATTACAATGATCTTTTCTCAGATAATATGTAGCATGAAAATACAAGTTAATTATTCACAAATGACTACAAGAGAAAAGAGAGAAAAACAGAAGACATTTGTTAATTGAATCAAATATTGTGAACATATTCCATCTTTGACATTCTGAAAGATATTGGAAGGTTCATTTAAATTTGCAAGCATCTCTTCATAGCATAATATTCCAAATTAAAATTTTAAGGGGGAAATACAGAACAGAACAGAATGGCATAGGATCTATGGTGGATAGCAACTTTAGTTTTAATTCCACTTTGTGACTGCCCTTAGAAAAGGGGGGATGGTAGGGTTAGGAATAGTGACAGTGTTGATAAAGCATAGGAGAAGGAAAGGATCTGTAGAAATCTTGAGAGTGACCCTAAAATGGGAATGGTTCTTAAGTTTTTTTGCTAAGGACTACTAGTTAATCACAAGGGATCCTTTCTGAGAACAATGTTTTTAAATGCATAAATAAAAATATAGGACTATAAATAACTTCAATTAACTTGACATAGTTATCACAATATTAAAAACACAAATTAGTGATACAGTAATAGATATGCTAATTCATAAAATGTTCAATAGCAAGGTCTTCTAGCAAGTCTAGAAACTGCCATCATTTCAAAAAAAGTTACGAACATAAACATTATCTTTAAAGCTAGCTATAATACCTGTAGTCTATTATGACAATATTGGTGATTTCTATTGTTTTGTATAGTCTCTGATCTCCAGTTCATCTCATTCTCTCTCTTACTCACTCCAAAATTTTGCTCCACAATTCTACCAAAACTGCTCCCCTTAAGGCCATCAATAAACTCCACATTGCTCAGTCTAAAGTCAGTTCTCCATCCTCCTCTTACTTGAACTGTCAGCACTATTTGACACAGTTGATCACATTCTCCTTCTTAACCTACCATCTTCATTACATTCAAGCATGCCACTCACTGGTGATTTTCTTCCAACCTCACTGGGACTCTCTTGTGAAGTTCTCTTTTCCATTTCATCTTACCAACCTCTTAATGTTGGGGTGTCCCAGGTTAGCCCTTGGACCTTCTCTTTTGTGTGTAAATTTACTCCTTTAGTGATTTCATCAATACTACTGATATAGACAAATCAAGATGACTCCAGATTTATATCCATAGCCTTGATCTCTCCCCTGAATTCTAGATTTGTATATCCTATTATCTATACAATATTTGCATATATTAAGTTTGAAATGTCTATTACTCCTTGAGGACATTTCAAAGGCTTAATAGACATTTCAAACTTAATACATGCAAAGTGACTATCCTGATCTTCACCTCCACTCCCTCCCCACTAAACCTATTCCTCCTCTAATATTCTCCAGTCCAGTTAATGGCATATGGAGGCCAAATGTTTGAAGTCATTCTTGATGTTTTTCCTTCTCTCTCAAAGCCACTTCCAACTCATCACTAAATTCTATGATTAGAAGACTCCACGCTGTAAATGTAACTTAAGTCTCTCATTTTACTAACCATATTGCCACTACTCTGGTTTAAGCCACCGTTATTCCTGTCTTGGTTTATTGAAGTAAGGCTTCCACCTTCACCTCATCTCAAAATGTGGGCTAGAGTGATCATTTAAAACATAACTCATAGCAGTCACTTTCCTGTTCAAAACCCTCTAGTGACATCCCCCATTTCCTCATCATGAAAGGCAAAGTAATTACAATGCCTCAAGGCCTAACAGAATTTCATACAATATACATTTTCTCACTGACCTTATCACCCACTAGCCTCTCTTTGGCTTATTACAGGAAGAGAACTTCCTCATGGTCTCCGTACTTACACCTCCTTCTGCCTATAATACTCTTGCCCCAAATGTCTGCCTCCTCAACTCCTCTAAGTTTTTTTTTGTTTTGTTTTTTGTTTTTGTTTTTGTTTTTTTTTTGAGACAGAGTCTCACTCTGTCGCTAGGCTGGAGTGCAGTGGTGTGATCTCTGCTCACTGCAATCTCCATCTCCCGGGTTCAAGCGATTCTCCTGCCTCAGCCTACTGAGTAGCTGGGATTACAGGCACGTGCCACCACACCCAGATAATTTTTTTTCTATTTTTAGTAGAGATGGGATTTCACCATGTTGGCCAGGATGTTCTCGATCTCCTGATCTCGTGATCTGCCTGCCCCAGCCTCCCAAAGTGCTGGGATTACAGGCGTGAGCCACCGTGCCTGGCCCACCTCCTCTAAGTCTTTATTCAAATGTCCCTTCAATAAGGCCTTCATGATACCCCCTACTTAAAATGGCTTTTAGAATTGTTTCTCCTTATTTTACTGTTCTCCAAAGCAATTATCACCATATAATATAGTACTTATTTTATTCATTTGTTTATCTGTCTTGCCCAACAATGCACCCCATAAAGGCTGAGATTTTTGCCTGGTATGTTCACAGATCTCTCCCCAGTGCCTGGCATAAGGCAAGAATTCAATAAGTAGTTGTTGACTGAATGAATGAATGAAGGGGTTCTTTGGAATCTTATCTTCCAGGAAGTCTAGCACATTTATCCATTGCAGTAAGACTCACACATACTTCTACTTGCCAAAACTATATCATACTCTGTAAATTAACCAAAATTATTTTAAATGTGATGCTTGAAATAAAACAAAGCTAGTACTTACAGTATTTGCTATAGAAATACTGTAAAAACTAACTAGTGGCTCACAACCACATGGGACAGTGCATCCACAAGGAGATGCTTCATTATGCCATGGAAGAGCAAGCACTTTGACACAAACAGACTTTTAGCTTTGAACTCCACCTCTGCAACTTGTGAGCTGTGTAGCACTGGGAAATTATTTACCTCTATAAGCCTCAGTTATTTGCTTGTAGTATGGAAAATGTGATTATATGATTAATGCATCTTAAATGAAATTATATGCACAAAGTTCCTGGGCACTTGAAAAAGATGATCCTTTCATCATTCCTCTTGACAACGATTACTTTCCAAGTAGATGTGAGCAAATAATAGTGTACTTAAAAATGGTCAAATATAAGAACAGGATTGGAAAGACTGTGATCAGATGAACTGATCACCTGCAGTGGTAGTTTGGGTAGAGAGGTTTACTGGGTTCACCCTAACCCTGACAGTTCCCACAAAAATGATATTTAGATCCCTTTTCAGGGTAAGGTATAGAGGGCATGTCGAAAACAGGTTCCAAAATAGAAGGAGACCAAGACTCTATTCATGAGAAAGAGCAGGGTGAGACATTATCATCTGAAATGGAAGGTGACAAAGCCAAGCAGAATTTGGGCTAGAAAGTGGTGTTGCCCCATTCTCAAGGATTTGTTGTTTTATCAGTGCATAGACATCAATTTTTTTTTTTTTTTTAAGATGGAGTCTTGCTCTGTTGCCAGGCTGGAGTGCAGTGGCGCAATCTCGGTTCACTGAAACCTCCAACTCCCTGGTTCAAGCAAGCAATTCTCCTGTCTCAGCCTCCCGAGTGGCTGGGTTTACAGGCATGCACCACCATGCCCAGCTAATTTTCGTATTTTTTTTTCAGTAGTGATGGGTTTTCACCATGTTGGCCAGGATGGTCTCGATCTTCTGACCTCGTGATCTGCCTGCCTCAGCCTCCCAAAGTGCTGGGATTACAGGTGTGAGCCACCGCACCCAGCCAGACATCAATTTCTGTCCACAGTAACATCGTAGGAAAAACTTTGTCACACTGCTTTGGGATTCAGCACAACATTCTTCTCTTTCCTTAGACATTTAAAGTATGAGGATTCTACATTGAAGAGCAGGTCTTTTTTTTTTTTTTCCGCATTTCAATCTAGATGTTTACATTGGTGGGGGAGATACACTTAGAAGCAGTGTGCTTTTTCATAAATCACTCTACCTTGTTTCTCTCATACTTTAAAATTACATACATTTTTAAACTGGCACAAAAGTACTGTCTTGGGAGAAGGCAAGAAAATAGATAAAATGTTCATCAGATGATAACAATTGTAAATATTCATAAATCAGGGACCAGGATTCCTATTTCCTAAGGAATGTGCTCAGCCTGGGAGAAACCTCACTTTAGACCAGTGGGGCTCTTGGGCACTTTCATCATGACATTTAAACAATAAATGTATCTGTCAGGTGATGGTGGATTCACTTCGGAGGAACTGACACCTTTGATGACCATCACAGGACTGAGTCACCAATTATACCTACAGCCTGCACTTGGTTTTCTTCTCTTACAGAATTTCATGATCCCTCCCTAAAACTGATAAGGCAGCATGGAAGTAGGAGGGAAAAGGGAGGAGATAAAGCAGATGAGAGGCAGACTGCAAACCCATCCAGCTTTGCAAGGACTGAGCTTCATCGCTCACAGAAAAGTCAAGTTCAAGTCACAACTCAAAATTAAACCCTGACTAATGTAAAAAACCTGTGTTTAGAAACATTTTACACAAAAGTTACATTTTGGAATAATAGAAAATTTAAAGCTATTAAAAAGCAATAAAATAAGATGAATTCTGCAATAAGATTGCCACGTTCCACTCTTGAATTAAAGCAAACAAGCAAATATTTCCTTCCTAAAACTTCCTGCCTTTATTCTGCTGGCTTCCACTCTGTGAGGGCCAACTGTGGGTCAAGCCCTGTTCTTTGTCCCATGCCAAAAAGACAGCTGGGAGCCACGGTGGAAGGCAGACAATGCCCTGGATTTAGGTACTAGTCTCCTCCAGGTTGTGTTTAAAAAGCTGGGTTTTTTTGGGGTTTTTTTGTTTGTTTGTTTTTTGGCTCGGCATGGTGGCTCATGCCTGTAATCTCAACACTTTGGGAGGCTAAGGCAGGTGGATCATGAGGTCAAGAGATCCAGACGATCTTGGCCAACATGGTGAAACCCTGTCTCTACTAAAAATACAAAAATTAGCCGGGTGTGGTGGCAGGTGCCTATAGTCCCAGCTACTCAGGAGGCTGAGGCAGGGGAATCGCTTGAACTGGGGAGGCAGAGGTTGCAGTGAGCCGAGATCGCACCACTGCACTCCAGCCTGGCGACAGAGCAAGACTCCGTCTCAAAAAAGAAAGAAAAGAAAAAAAAAAAAGCTGTTTTTTTTTTTTTTGTAATTAAACCAAACTAAATATTTCCCAGGAGGGCAAGACAGTTCCCAAAATGTCTAACGAACTTCCACGTAGAGAAAACGGTTACTGATTGTCCCAAAGCAAAACTGTAGCAAAGCCTTTCCCTGAATTTTTCTCTCTTCCTTCCATCTTCTTTTATTTCTTTGCTCAGTCAAAGGCCGCATATGTTTCAAAGGATACTTGATATAGGAGGGTAGAACAGTACTTTCAGCATGCAGATTTTTTTTCTATGTTAAGTGAAAATAATGATTTCATGAAATGTGCCTTCCCATCATTATAAAACAATTTTGAGAGAAATCCATCCTCCTTGGCAATTCCAAAGCCTGTTGTTTGCTTTGCAAGCACTATATAAGTCTGGAGAGGGGCCTGAAATTAATATAGCTCAGTACCATAAAGGCAGTGTATAGAACTGTAGTCAGGACTTAAGATTTGAGTCTTTTGCTTCCTTCACTTTGACATATTACTTGAGAGGCCTGTACCTCAGTTTCCTAATTTGTAAAATTGGGATAACAATAGTTATTATTTTATAGTGCCATTTTGAAAAATAGTGAAGCTTCTGACAGAAGACCTCAATAAATGTTACATATTTTAACCATCAGCATTAATAAACGAAAACAATTTTCCCTATTTTTGGTCAGAATTTAGGAAAAATAAGTTCCTTTTAAATTATGTGTAGACAATTAAATTAATCTTTTAAGTAAAAAAGTCTTATTCTCATTTTTGATGTACAGAATTTTAGCATCATCTAACTAATCCTAAAAGACTTTGTATAATGAAATGAAAAATTAATTTATTTGATGTCATTACTTTTTAAAATAACCAAATGTCATATATTTATCATTTTAAAGAATTAATATGCAGCTGGGTTAACTCGGCTATGTAATATATTTTTTTTTTCAGGATATACCTTTCAGATTATTCAAAGAAATAGCTAAAAATGAGCTATCAGATTCAAAGAAGCTTTTTAACATAGCCAACTGTAGGTCAGTTTTAGTGTTAAAAATTTAATAGATCATACACCTAATTTACGGCGAGGGGGAAGCAGTGGCTACATTTAACCAAAATAAGATGTTCTTCTACAAACATTAACATAAGAATAAAAACCACAAGTTTTGGGGTGATCACTGATAGGCAAACCATATTTAGAACTTAGCAGGGTTCTAAATCTGTAAGAAGAAAATAAATATGGAAAAAAACAACATGAATCAGTGTGCTCTCACATCTCCATATCTCTGTGTTACCCAACATAGAACTATAGCTTATTTAAGACATGTTTAGTAGCTTTTCCCATACTTTCCTGAATTCATTCCCTGTTTCAAATTCAACTAAATGGGAGAATTAGAAGAGAAATTTTTTGTATTTGGATATCATGGCCTATCTTACATTTGATATATGCTATTGCAATTTTCTTAAAATATAAGTTCATAGCGCAAAAAGAAATATTAAGTATAACATAGAACCTGGTACCACTATAAGCAGGTGATTATTAACACTCCATTAGGAACGTTGATGGTTCTGCTAATGAAACAATGGTTATAGCAAAAAATAGACTATTTTTCTGGAAACGTGAGATTTTTCTTATGTGTACAAGCACATACACGCATACATTAGCCTTGACATAAACCATGACCTTCTATTTGTTAACAATTAAAACATTGTCTTATATAAGCCCAGGTCATCTGCTAGTGGATAGATATAGATATAGGTATAGATAGATATAGATATGGATATAGACATATATATATATAGATAGATAGATAGATATATGTAGATATACATATATCTACATATGTGTATATACATATATACACACATGCATATATATATACACATAGCATGCATATGAATTACAATTAATTAATCAATAATGGTCCCATCTGGTTAACTGCATTGGAAAATGACATCTTTCCCTCAGCAATACAAGATTTCAACCACTACTTGCATCTGCACCCTCTATACCTTTAAGCAGTATGCAAATGATACAACCATATGAGGCGGGACTATGTAAAACAGTCCATTAAAATAATTTTCCCAGATCAAATAAAAACTGACACATTTTCTAACATTTATTAAGAATTTTTAAAAATGAACGTTCTAAAAATGAAGTCTTAAGAAAATTCTGAGGTGTGAAACATAAAGATAAGAGTGCCAGTGAGAAAAATAATCTGTTTAGTAGATTTAAATTATCATTATATTTCACCAAATCCTGTTAAGAAAGAATATATCCCCTCGAAAGGTTCAATTCTACAACAATGAGTAGTTAATAGGTTCTTAGAAGGGAGGAAGTCATTGTACTACTGAATAGTAATAAAATCTATGATTCAGTGTGTTTCAAACATTTAGGAATGCTTTTTGATGAATGGGTTTTTTAACAGCTACTGAATTGGATTTGTCCTCTTTATATAAAAGTCTAAGTCTATACTAAAAGAAAAGAAATTTATACTCTGAGCATGAAGTTACCACTTGGAAGTAGTTCTTTGCCCCATGACTGCTGAGCCTGAAAAACCCAATCTGTTTCTAGAAAAAACTTGCCAACAAAATCCACAGAATTTATTAGATAGAATTACTCAAGAGCAAAATACCATCTCTACCATCATCAAATAAGAGTATGTTGCTGGCTGTGGATTTTGGTATAGTTTTAATTTTTAAAAACAGTTTCCAAAACAATACCAAGAGGCAGTTTGATTCTACAGTATGGCAAGTAAGGAATATCAGACACTATTTTAGAGTATATATCTAAATAAATATTATATATATATATAAAACACATCGAAAAAAGATATACATACATATTAGTTTGACATTAAGGGAAAGAAATTAAAAAAAAGAGACAAGATGAATTTAAACTAGAGAAAATACAATTTTAGAACCACATTTAGGAAAGACAAAATGAAGAAACTGGATATGAAGAAAGTTCATATCTAAAAAAACGTGGTTAGAAGCGATTGGATTCAGGAGTTTCTGCAAACAAAAAGGTTGTCTCCTCAGTGCCTAAAACAGCACCTAACAGAGAAAAGACACTCAATACATATTCATTAAAAGAAGAATAAATAAGTGGCTATGAAACTGGGTATACAGCACCATATTGAGTCTTAAAGTTACATTTTTAATAGGTTAAATTTAAATACATATTTTTGGCCGGGCATGGTGGCTCACACCTGTAATCCCAGCACTTTGGGAGGCCAAGGTGGGCAGATTACTTGAGGTCAGGAGTTTAAGACGAGCCTGGCCAACATGGTGAAACCCTGTCTCTACCAAAACTACAAAAATTAGCTGGGTGTGGTGGCATGTGCCTGTAATCCTAGCTGCTGGGGGCGCTGAGGCAGGAGAATTGCTTGAACCCAGGAAGCGGAGGTTCCAGTGAGCTGAGAACACACCACTGCACTCCAGCCTGGGCAACAGAATGAGACTCCATCTCAAAATAAATAAATAAATAAACAAATATTATATGTAAATATATATATTTACTTTATGAGCTATTTCTTTTAAAATAACATCCATTGCTTTATTTTCTGACTGCAAAAGCAAATATACTCATTGCAGAATATTTTTAAAAATCAAATATTAATAAGAAAATGTAACATAATATTAATAGACAGATAAAACCACCAGCAAACATTCATACATCTATGCACAGGCATTTATATTTACAAATGTGAAATGATACTGTATATCAATTTTATGTCTTATTTTTATAACTTATCATTACATTGTGAACATTTCCATGTCATTAAAACTTCTTCAAAATCATGAGTTTTAATGGCCTCATATCGTTCCATAAAATGAATGTGCAATAATTGAATTATTATGCTATTGATGCACATTTGAATAATGTATAATATCAAAAAGTTGGGGAGAAAATTTTAAGCAGCTTTATCCATAAAACTTTAATTGTATCTTGGATTATTTCCTCGGGATACATTTTTATATGCCAAATTGCTGCATCAAAAGGACAGATTTAGCATTTTTGATCCATAACACCACACTGTTTTCATGATAATTTGTATTATAACTGCTCCCAGTAGTTATGAAAATTTTTATTCCATGATACTTCAAACTAGAAATTTTAAGATCTCTTTTACAATTTGATAGGTCAAAGCTGATATACTTCAAACTTGATTGCTGGTGAGATTGAATTTTTTGTTTGTTTATTAACTATTTGTACTTCTTTTGTGTGAGCTGCCTCACATTTGAGGAGAAAAGCTGCCTCTCACAACATTCATAAGGCTTCCTGACCCTAGAGACCCTCTATATTTCCACAACATGGAGAGTATCTGTAACTCCTATCAGAAACATCTTAGTGAAACAGCATGAAAGTTTATGAACCTCAGGATTACTACATGAACATGAGAGTAACAGTACTGACCTACCTCAGAGATTTCTCCCACATCATTATTACAAAGTACTATAAGGCTAGAATTGACTTGGAGTCAAGGCGAGTTCCATAGGTTTAATGCGTGGCACCTATCTCAACAACTGCAAAATCACTGTAACTTGTAAAAAATCCCAGGGCCACTCATGGACAGCCACATCTTTAAACCCACACAAAAATACAGACACTTTGATTACATGAAAGTTAGAAGCTCTAAACTAGAGCAAGGTCAGTTGTGGTAAGAAGGTATTAGATTCAAGCATCCACAAAAGTTTATAGTCTGTCAGTCATAAGGATGGCTATTGGGATTTCTTTACAGTTACTCTGTTGTATTTTCACTTTGGTTTTACAGCACTATCTCTTAGGAAGTCATCCATATATTACCTGCATACACAGTCAGCTTCTTCTCGATATACAGCAGATATGTAACAATTATTCTTTCCTTCCCAGACAGTCATGGTAATATTACATTTGAGTTCAGTGAGGTAACTGGTAGCCAGAAATACTCCACAAAAGGTCTATATTCTTGGGTGGGGGGGGGATACAATTCTTCTATTAGGGAAATTTTTATCACCTACTTATTTTTACATAAATTCTAATAATGCCAAGAAAATACATTTCAAAGAGGAAGGTATAGAAATTTAGAGATGACTGTGACCTCAAATATCCATGAAATATAACCAGAAAATCTGCATCTACATAATGACACTATTTTCACATAGCCCCAAAATGATATCTTAGAAAGCCAAAAATCTTTCCTTATCTCCAGGCAGAACTATTTCAAAAGATAACAAATGATTGCCCAAGTGATATTTGAATTATACCAAAAAAGAGACAGTATATACATGGTAACACCATCCTCTGTGTATTATTTCCTCTTGGTAGTCCTTCTGTTTTTCAAGATAATACAGATCTCAAGAATTCTCAATGTTCAAGCAAGAAAATTCCCTCAACCAAGTGAAATAGAAAGAAGTTATCTATTAATTGTGCCAGGATTTCAGTTGTTTTCTTTCCTTTCTTCTTTTCATGCAAGTTTATTTGCCTTTCTATGAGTATTTGCATTATTTGCTCTTTTTCCCCTTTGAATCATCTTAAAGGAAAAAAAATGAAAATGTATCTATTTGGACTTTAATTACACTGGGCAGCAATGAGGCAGGATAGTGAAGTTAAAAAAAGGCTGGGTGTGGTGGCTCACGCCTGTAATCCCAGCACTTTGGGAGACCGAGGCAGGCAGATCACAAGGTCAGGAGTTCAAGACCAGCCTGACCAACATAGTGAAACCCCGTCTCTACTAAAAATACAAAAATTAGCTGGGCATGGTTGTGTGAGCCTGTAATTCCAGCTACTCAGGAGGCTGAGGCAGAAGAATCGCTTGAACCCGGGAGGCGGAGGTTGCAGTGAGCCGAGATCGTGCCACTGCACTCTAAGCCTGGGCAACAGAGAGAGACTCCGTCTCAAAAAAAAAAATACATACATACATACATAAACAGTGTTAGAATAAGCATAAGACTGTGCTTAAATCCCAATTGTACTCTTTATAATTTGTATGGCTTTGTGCCAGTTTTCATCTTCTTTAAGCCTATAAAACCAGGAGTGTAATTCACTCCTTTACTATGAGGATTACTTTATGTAATGCACCTAGTAGAGTGCCCACTTAGAGTAAACACTCAATAAATGACAAATGTCATCATTATAACTGTGTTGGTAAGAACAGGTAAGGGTATAAACCACTCCCACCTCACTGAATTTGCAGGCAATTCCTGGCAATAGTGCCCAACAAAGAGAAAATATACCATAAACATAATTTATTTTAATTACAAGAGACCCTGTCATCTCTACTATTATTATAAATTAACAATAGGTTCTTCTCTTTAATATTTCTCATTTCTGAGCCAAAATCATTTTTTTTCAACAAGGTCAGAGCATATTCTTTTTTTTTTAAACATGCTAATGTACTTCAGTATATTCCATTCTGTAATATTTGTTTCAGGAAATGAAAATTAAATTTTCTTTAATTAACCCCCATGACTCTTGAAAATTTTCCTCATTGTCCTTGAATCTATGGTCTTTAACAGTCTTTATAATATCTTGAACTCTACACTCCACTGAGCTTTTAAGCTTTGTTTAGTGTTGCCATAGCACACCTACTCCTTATGATAGAATATCGCCTTCTCAAATTAACAACATATAGTCAATTTATTGTGGTTTTCCAGTTTCACTGGAATGAACAAAGATTTCTTTCTCTCACAGGCTAAAGTTTTCTCCCTCCTTCATTATTCGGCTTCAGAGTTCAACTCCTTTACCCACATGACATAATCAGCTCAAAATTTATTATACTATATATAGCATCAAAGAATACATTTTTTTAGAGATGAAATGAGGTCTATGTTGCCCAGGCTTGCCTCAAACTACTGGGCTCAAGCAGTCCTCCTGCCTCAGCCTCCTGAGTAGCTGGACCTAAGGCACGCACCACTGTGCCTTGCAGAATACATTTTATTAACGTAAAAATCATTATTTTCCTCTTACTTCTGCATAAATGGTATTTTTGGTCCATTTGCTCTCGGAGAATAGTTAACTTTGTCATTAACAGGCCCATCCAGATTGTTTTATTACTTCAGTTGATAAAAATTTATTTCATAAAGTGCTTTTTCTAAGTAAGACATGAACATAAGCAAACCCATAATATTAAAAGCTTTATATAGATACAATTTAAAGGTTCTGTCAAATAGATTTTTTTTTTTTTTTTTTTTTTTTTTATGAAATGGAGTCTGGCTCTGTCACCCAGGCTGGAGTGCAATGGTGCAATCTCGGCTCACTGCAACCTCCACCTCCTGGGTTCAAGTGATTCTTGTGCCTCAGCCTTCTGAGTAGCTGGAATTACAGGCGCCTGCCACCACGCCTGGCTAATTGTCTGTATTTTTAGTAGAGATGGGGTTTCACCATGTTGACAAGTTTCATAGATTAAAAAGTAGGATAAATAAATACAGTAGAGAGAAATAACATTTCAGAAATGTCAGTATTAAAAACTAAGTCAACCACAAGCAGTTTTACATCATGTTTACAAAATATGCTATAATAGTAATACACTTGAGGAGGGTTAAAAATGGTTCTTTTTTTATTGCTTCTCAGCCTTTTGGCTAAGATCAAATGAACAGTTCTTTTTCTAATTGTTCAAATTGATTTCATAGTCTTGTAATCTACATATTTATGAAAAATAATTTTAAATCTCTTATAAATATCAAAAATGTCAGTTTCCAATTGAAATAAAACAGTATTGAGTAAAGACTATAATGTATGAGTTTTGAAAAAGAAAATTGACAATTAGAAGAAAATTTCATAATATTCATTGTACTAGGACTTTCCACATTTTTGATATGACGCTAACATCAATATTACAATGAATTCTCAATAATTTGTATTAACAAATGACAAGAACAATCTGAACTAAATTGAACAATAAAGTATCTGTAAGCTTAGAAGCATTAATTTCATAGTAACTAAACTTTTGGTAACCAAGCAATTCTATATAGAAGACTTTTAAGTATGCCCTTCTAAGTTTGTTTTAGTAACATTCTCATTTATAATTAGCAATATATAATTTATTTTTTAAAGTGCTAAATTAAATACACTCTCAAATAATTTTGTTAGACTATTAAATTACTTATTTTGTTTCAAGACGGAGTCTCACTGTCACCCCAGCTGGAGTACAGTGGTGCGATCTCGGCTCACTGCAACCTCCATCTCCCAGGTTCAAGTGATTCTCCTGCTTCAGCCTTCCCAGTAGCTGGGATTACAGGCACCCACCACCATGCCCAGCTAATTTTTTGTATTTTTACTGAGATGGGGTTTCACCATGTTGGCCAGGCTGGTCTTGAACTCCTGACCTCAAGATTTATCCCCCTCGGCCTCCCAAAGTGCTGGGATTACAGGCGTGAACCACCGCGTCCAGCCTTATTTATTTTTAATCAACTTTATTGAAATATAATTTTCATAAAACAAAATGCATAAAGTATACGGTTTAATAGGTTTTACCAACTGTATACACCAGTGTAACCACCACACAAATCAAGATATAAGAAAATTTCTATCACCAAAAAAGTTGCCCTGAGTCTCTCTGTAGTCAGTCTTCTTATGCCCTACCAGATAGCCACTGATCTGTCTCTATCACCACAGATTAATTTTGCCTAATTTCGAGCTTGATACGAATGAAATCATTCAATGTAGGTTTTTGTTTCTTGCTTTCTTTTGCTCATTACAAGTTTAGGCCTACTTCTGATTCACAGCTTCTGGTGACATAGGCTGGAGAATAAGTTATTCCTTAAGAAGAAAGGAGTAATCTAAAAAAGTGCTTCTTAGCAGTTCATTCATTTTAATTGCTGAGTAATACTCCCCTGTGTATTCCTATACAGCACACTTTACGCATTCACCTGTTGGTGTTGATGGACATTTAGGTTGCCTCCAGTTTTTGACTATTGTGAATTAAGCTGCTGTAAACATTTATATACAAGTCATTCGCCAGCATATGTTTTTATTTCTCCTGGGTAAATATTTAGAATTGTAATTACTGGTTCGTAGTGTAAGTGAATGCTTACCTTTTTAAAGAATCTTCTAAACTGTTCTTCAAAGTGGTTATTCCATTTCACATTCCCATCAGTAATGTATAAGAGTTTCATTGGTTCATATCATCTACTAATACAACACTTAATATGTGACTTTTTGTTTTTGTTTTGTCATTTTAATGAGCAGGAAGTTATATTCTCATTGTGGTTTTATTTTTAATTTCCCTAATGACTAATGACATTGCACATCTTTTCATGTGCTTACCAACCATTTGTTTTTTTTTTTCTGAAGTGTCTGTTGAAGACTTTCATCTATATTTAGTTGAGTTGTTTTTTCTTCATATTGAATTCTAAGCATTCTTAATAATACATTTTTTTTAAGGAGAAAAAAGTATTCCAGTCCAGGTCAGCACAAGCTCTGAGTCAAGAATAGGTCTAAAATCCACAGATGCAATTCTGAAACAATAGGCCTGGAATCAAAGGTAGCTCTTGATGAAGAGGAGATGAGTAATCTGGTATTTTAGACTCCATTAAGACTCGCCATTTTGTAGCTGACCAAAAGGGTCATTCTTTAGTCCCATTTAAAATCGGCATTTCATCATTTCAAAAATCCTGCTTCAATCTAAGCAAATTATCATGTGATTCTGCAATTGATAGCTAGCTCAATAACTGATTTATTTGATAAGAGGGAACACTTAGAAAATATACAGCTCTCATATTTTCTAATAAAGGTATTCACATATAATTAATAGTAATAAGTACTATCTGTGAGTAGTATGCACAACATGCATGCTGCTGTCTTTTGCAAAGTATTAAAGCAGATGCCTAAGCATTGTAGGTAAGGATGTACTTGACTTAGTTATGATTTGATTAAATGTTCCCTGTTCAGATTGGCTTCTGAATCATCAGCTACTGGTGTAAGTAAAAATAAGTTGGAAAGGTTTCCCTTTCCTGAGGATTTCAGGAAAAGCTTCGCAACTATTTGGCTGGATATTGCAAATCAGATCAAGAATTGGGAAGCGGTCTGTCTTTGACTTATCTTGCACTATCCAATTCTATGAGTCTATGATTGTCATGTACAGAGCACTTGGCTTAGTGGTTTGTGTATAACTTTTCAGGATTAGTGGTGGCATTGAGCTGGTTCATCCACAAGTTTATCTGGTTCTCCATCAAGCTAAGTTCGTCCTATCTGCAGAGCAGACACAGTATTTCTGCTCTTTATTCTTGGCTGTTTCCTCTATTTAGCACTCCTTTCTGTCTGTTTTTCTAAGTTAACACATGATATTTTGGTATTTTAAACTCCATTAAGACTTGTCATTTTCTATCTGACCAAAAATCTTGGTCTTCTTCAATCAGTATATCAATACCTCCTTATAGGAAAATATATAAAAGTCATTTATTCTAAAGCATAAATTATAGACCAATAACTGCTTAACATGCTACTGCAGTTAAAAACCAGAGTTGATTCTTTTCTACCAACTGCCCTCTTTAATTTCCCTGTATAAAAGGCCCAATAATAGGTCAGTTAGTCCACAAAATTTTGTTGAATACTTACTGTTAGGTGCTAGTAGCTTTGTATTAATGAAACAAACATTGTTCCTGCCTTTGTAAAACATATGTTCTTGTGAGAAGGACTTTAAAAATAATTTAAAGTAACTCATGAAATAATTATAAGTATTTCTAATAGTGCAGGTGAGAAACAGTGTTGGAGAACATAGAAATGGAATGGCGGCACTAATATAGGGAATCAGGGACGATACCCCTGTAAAAGGGATATTTCAGCTGAGACCTGAAATTAAGGAACTGGTAAGGCAGAAAAAGTAGAGAAGAACATTTCAGACAAAGAAAAACATGTCAAACATCCTCTCGACTCTGGAACCCACATGACCTTTCCATTTTTCTCACCACCACTTCTATTCTTGCCTTCATCTCTTTTTCTATAGATTACTCCAATAGCCTCATTACTAGCCTACCCTACAAAGTGTTGAAAGATGTCTTCATATAATATAACTGTAATGACATCATCTCTTCCTAAAAATCTACAGTGACTTCCCTAAAGAAAAATGGTCATATTCCCAAGTTTGGCATTTTTGGCCCTTTTCAATACTAATCAAACTTACTTTTCCAATCTTATTTTCATGACTTTTCTGCCACACTGATCTATTTACTTTCTTCGTCAATACAATTTTATTCTCTGAACTTAGTGCTGTTTTCTCATTATTCATTTCATCTAGAGTAAGTCTTTAAATTTCATGTAAATGATTATTTTATTGGTAAAATGTATAACAAGTCACAGGCCTCTTAGGAGATACCCACGTTTTTGTTTTTGCTCTTGTTTTTGTCTAAAGACAGTGATTGCTTTCCAAATAACTACTTTGATGTGCTTATCATTTGGTTACTGAAATGAACCAAAATTTAAATTTCTAGTATGGGCGAGTTTATTGGGCCTTTCAGGTGAAAATCAATGTAATTTTATATCTACAAATGCTTCCAGGAGAATTAGCCAATGGTTGATAGTTCCATTGTCTAAAATAATGACCTAATATAAATCAATGGGAAAATAGATTAAGGCTTGAAATGGCAAGATTTGTTTAAAGGACCTATAATGGGTAGAATATATAAAGGTTGGCCGGGCACGGTGGCTTACACCTGTAATCCTAGCACTTTGGGAGGCCGAGGCAGGTGGATCACGAAGTCAAGAGATTGAGACCATACTGGCCAACATGGTGAAACCCCGTCTCTACTAAAAACAAAAAATTAGCTGGGTGTGGTGGCTGGTACCTGTAGTCCCAGCTACTCAGGAGGCTGAGGCAGGAGGATTGCTTGAACCTGGGAAGCAGAGGTTGCAGTGAGCCAAGATCACGCCACTGCACTCCAGCCTGGCGATAGAGTGAAACTCTGTCTCAAAAAAAAAAAAAATGTATAAAGATCATATGATATGACCCTCAGCCTAAGCTTAGCAATAAAACTTTAGAAACTACAAGAGTGGCCTCTGTTAAGAGCTCACAGAAGGAACAATTTTCTATGCTTCACTGTCACGTGTAAAATAGAAAGCCAGAGGTACTTCAGCATTCCTATCTAAAGAGCTTCCAAATGTGCTCTAAATTTGTAGATGTAAGCTGGGCCTTGTATGTTTTAAAGGTTAAATAAATCTTCAGATAGCTATCTACTATTGTTAGATAAAGGAGTCAACTTTTTGCCATAGCAAAGTAAAGGAAACAGGATTCTCTTTTCTGAGTTGGGTGGATAGTTTTTGTCCATAATTCTGTACTTCCAATTGTCACTAAAGATATGTCATGCTTTATAGCCTCCTATATGTCTGGATCACTTGTGCTTTCATTTGGAAACAATACAAAATAGTTTATAAATGTAAGTATCCTTGTTTAATACTTATGGAACCAAAACATATTTTAGGAAAAATGACACTTAGTCAAACTTTTATTCCTAAGTGTGGAATAATCAAGGTTGTATATAGAAATCCATACTTTAGTATAACATCATGAGTGAAATAAATTTGCACACACATATATATATATATACACACACACACACACACACACACATGCGATGACGTTCCTGAAAATATGATCCTAGATAATTAAGAGAATGGGGAGTTGCTATTCAATAGGTATAAAATTTCAGTTATGCAAGATGAATAAGTTCTAGAGATCTGCTGCACAACATAGTGCCTAGAGTTAACAATATTGTATTGTGGGCCAAGTGCACTGGCTCACACCTGTAATCCCAGCATTTTGGGAGGCCAAGGCAGGTGGATTACTTGAGGTCAGGAGTTCGAGACCAGCCTGGCCAACATGGCAAAACCCTGTCTCTACTAAAAATACAAAAAACTAGCTGGGCGTGGTGGTGGGCGCCTGTAATCCCAGCTATTCAGGAGGCTGAGGCAGGAGAATCACTTTAACCTGGGAGGCGGAGGTTGCAGTGAGTCTAGATCACACCACTGCACTCCAGCCTGGATGATAGAGTGAGACTCCATCTCAAAAAAAAAAAAAAAAAAAAAAAAAAATATATATATATATATATAGTATGGTGTACTTAATATTTTTAAGGGAGTAGATCTTATGTTAAGTGTTCTTACCACAGTTTTTAAAAAGAGAGAAAAAAACAGAGCTGAAAGAAACTATAAATAGCAAATAAAAATTAGCAATTCATAAAGTTCCAGTGAATAAATACATTTACTAAACCTGTCACATTATTTTATAAAGGATTTTTATTTAATTAAATAAAAAGTAGCATGAAAGCAAGGCCTGACATATGCAACAAATGTGGTCCTAAATTATTGCTTAGCCTGAATTATTATTAACTGTATTTTATGTAAATTTCACAAAGCCTATTATTTGAAGGAAGCCATTACTAAATCTTGACTAGCGACAAGTCCCTTGTTAAATAGCCACTCCTCACATACTTATTTCCTTTTTTTTTTTTTTTTTTTTTTTTGAGACAGTCTTGCTCTGCCACCCAGGCTGGAGTGCAATGGTGCAATCTTGGCTTGCTGCAACCTCTACCTCCTGGGCTCAAGAGATTCTCCTGCCTCAGCCTCCTGAGTAGCTGGGATTACAGGCACCCACCACCACACCTGGCTAATTTAATTTTTGTTTTTAGTAGAGACAGTGTTTCACCATGTTGGCCAGGCTGGTCTCAGACTCCTGACCTCTAGCGATCTGCCTGCCTCGGCCTCCCAAAGTGCTGGGATTACAGGCATGAGCCACCATGCCTGGTCATAACTATTTCTTAAGTAGGACTTTTAGAATTGGTTCATCCTAAAGTGAGATAAGCATACATGTATTTGTGAAAATAGTATTCAATTGAGTTTTAATTTGCTCACAGTATTAGAACACACCTATGGAAGTTTTCCTCATTTTTATGTATATTTATATTAAAAGAAAGAATGAAAAATTTAGTAATGTAAGAGTTTCTGGCATAAAATTCTGTATCACAGAAGCTGGAAAATTTCGGCCCAGGGTGCAGACTCAGGCACTAACTTGGGGGCTTTGATAATGACTCTGCCATACTTCTGGCCATGCGACCTGGAAGAATTTGTTAACCATTCTATCCCTCAATTGCCACATCAGTAAAATGGGGAGTATAAACAGAACTTAGAACATAGATGTTTGTGGGGATGAATAGGATTATATAGGTGAGATACAGAGTACTGTTGTGCACACATTGAGTGCCCAATAAATGTTAGCTATAATCTACTTTATCACTATCATAATAGAACTACAGCTTTTTCAAAATTTCCCAAAATTTTATTCTATGGAGAAAAGGTCCTTTGAAAGAACTGACATTTCCTGGATTTGAAACACTAGACTGAAAAACAAAGTAAAACAAAATAGAAAAAGCCTGTTTTTGTATTTTGTTGTGTTCTGCTTTGCTTTACTTTCCTCAAGTACTGTTGGAACACCAGGGGGTTCCATCAAGTTTTTATTCTTTTGTGTTCAAAAGAAGAGGAAGGAAAACAAGGTTATGCATTGGCACTGGAGACACTTTTTTCCCTAAAATGTTTAGAGGCCTAGAATGTACCTAATAACTTGTAAAGCACCAACTGTATTTCCTGGTTACTAATCAAATTTGTTTCTATTTCATTTCTGAGCCAGGAAGGCAGACACAAGTTATAGGTAAATGTCAGGTGCTTTAACTGACCTACGGCAGTCAATAACCAGTCTTTCCTCCCCTGATGAAGTCAATTACTAATTTAGAGACCACTGTGTTCCTTGTCTCTTCTCCTAAGCCAAGTATACCACAAGTCAACAAAGATAATTCTTTCAGCAGCCAAACACTAGGGCGAGGAAATGCTTACTGTCTGCTTGCTCTGTTAGCAGCAAACTATATAGGGAAGCCATCTTCTGGCTCACACAGAGAAAAGAGAACCCTGGCACTGCCACAGCTGTCACTGGCCTTTTCTGTTTCCCAAGCAAAAATCAGAATTGAACAGGAACCAAAACTATTGAGACCTTCCTTCTGTTTCCCAAGCAAAAATCAGAATTGAACAGGAACCAAAACTATTGAGACCTTCCTACCCACCTGTGATTAAATGAGCCAAATGAGTAGCAACGTGGCAGATGGCCCTACAGTTAATGAGATTCTTGCAAGCCCGCAATTCTGTTGAAATAAAATTTTGTCACTTCAGTTTTCAGTACAAAATTGTGCCAACTGAACCCTCCAACACTTTTCTCCAAAATGGGAATCGTCAATCTCACAAGGGTCCATTGTCAGAGGACAACCTTCATGTACAAGAGTGTTCAAGATAATCTTGAATTTTGTAATGGTCTGGAATTGCTATGACTCCCTGTACACCAGAACTTTCTTCTCACACATTGATCACTTCAAGCATCCACAGTTTTTCTTTTTCTTTCTTTTTTATTTATTTATTTTTGAGACAGAGTTTCACTCTTGTTGCCCAGGCTGGAGTGCGATGGTGTGATTTCGGCTCACCCCAACCTCCACCTCCCGGGTTCAAGTGATTCTCTTGCCTCAGCCTCCCTAGTAGCTGGATTACAGGCATGCTCCACCATGCCTGGCTAATTTTGTATTTTTACTAGAGAGGGATTTCTCCATGTTGGTCAGGCTGGTCTCGAACTCCTAACCTCATGTGATCCACCTACCTTGGCCTCCCAAAGTGCTGGGATTACAGGCGTGAGCCACCGCGCCCAGCCACATCCAGTTTTTCTAGTAGTTTATTCCTAAATCAATATCCTGACTACAGTTAAGCATCCTAAAAATGAATGATTACATTTATAGCTGTTTTCTTTACACCTTCATCTATATCTCTAAATATTGTTCTGATTAGACCTCCTGCTTTAAAACTTCATCAGCTCACTCAGGCATAAGTCACCCTGCATTCTGCACTCTTCTGGATTTTGAGTCCCTTTGAATTGCCACTGACCATATGACTTACCCATCCCCATTTCCATTTCCATTTATTTTTTTTGGCACTTCAACCTCAGTATCTTTCTCCTCCTCCTCATTTACAGCATATCTCCATTGCACTTCTGGCCAACTTCCATAGCACATTTTCTTCCTTCTGTAGCTAAATCTAAATCTGCAGCTGTTTTAATATGGCATCTGTGGTTAATTTTTAGTACAATATTGCACATATTGAATGGCAGTAATGCCCAATGCTACTGCAATATTATGCAAGACATCAAATGGATGGAACCTATTAACTCATTGCAAACTCATGCATTATGAACATGGCATAGCACTTACCTGAAACATACAGTACCTGTATGGAGAAACTACAGGTTCCTTCAACGACTTAAGAAGTGAGGACATCGAGCACATTGCATCATCTTCCTGCTGCTGCAGTGTTCTATAATTTTCCCACTTACTTGCTCCCAAAGTTGCATCAAAAGAACAAAGAGAAAATGAAATCCACAGGAAGCTCCCAAAGGCTGCCTATTTGGCTCAGCTGTCTGTCGATTTTTCTAGGTTATGAGATTGCTCTTGGTGACTTTTGACAATATGAGAACACTTCCCTCACCTTTAATGATGAGGCAAGGGGCTCCATACACATAACATTAGATAGATGAGAATTCCACGAAAAAGGATAAGCCATCCAATATGCTAGCATAGACCAAGATCTTAAAATAAATACATTTGCATTCTGGCAGTTTGAACAGCAGAGTTATTTGGAAGAATGGCACTAAAGAGAATGAGCCCCTTTAAGGGCAGCCAAGAGCTAGATTTTGCTAGTTAAGCATTTAATGTAAAACAGAGGCCAATTGGAATAATCATTTTGTACTGGAAAAAAGAAACACAGGCTTTGGAGTCAAACAGAATTAGTTTCAAATACCAGCCTTGCCCCTCAGTAGTGGGGTGACTCAGGCAAGTTACTAACTTCTCTAAATCTCAGTTTTTTCACCTCTAACCAAGGATAATGCATTCCTTACACACTTCTTGAGAAGATAATTTGATGTAAAGCACCCAGGACAATGTTTGGTGTATAGCAGTTACTTCAATTTTTGAAAGGTGGCATACAAACATAATTATAGCAGGCTTTGGCAGGAAGAGGTATAAAATATTATCTTAAGAATAAAACAGTAGGTACTGAAATTAGACAAAGACAATTGAAATAGAAAAAAATTGTTAACCTTGTGAGGTTATATAAAATAGAATAAAAGAGATCAATGAATAGATAAGGTCAGATGGCAAAAGATAAGCTAAGTAATAAGACAAGGAAGAATAAAAGGTGAGAGAAAAGAAAAGTAGCAAATAGATTAAAATGTCAAAATACAGGTATGAATGGAGTCTTGCCTTTCCAGTAAGATATTATGAGAACATTAGGGACCCTAAGAGAGAAGCTGAAGTCCTTCAGCTGACCTGGTAGGAAGAAGGGGAGAAGCATAAGACCCCAGGGACACAATGCAAGCTACATCTTAAGCAGACTGTCTGCAGAGGGCTTGAGCCTTCCAGCTCTGAAGGCGCCCTCGGCTCAGGCAGCACTAAAGGAAATGCACTAATGAGCAGAAGGGCAGGTTGCTGAGAGCAGCGACTGCCGAACTTCCTGGTCAAGCAGGGGTTTTTTGATTTCATAAATCAATTACAATGTGCTATATTGATTTCACAAAGTCAGCAGGACTTAAAAACTAATGAGCAAATTTTTTTATTATTATTTTTGAAAACACTGCAGTGTCTACAGCTCAGCACACTCGGCAGAAAGACAAATGGAGGCTTTGGCTGCCACAGATTTCATTCCATCCTAGCCCCCTCCCAGCCATGTTCCTCATCTCAGCATCAGCAAAGAATCAGGAGCTGGCATAAGACCCTGGTGCATTATGCCAACAAATCTCTCCCTGGTATCTGAAGCAGGGGCAGCCCCAACTAATGTGTCTGTGTTTAGGCACTAGTGAGTTTTGTACGGGTGCCCAGGCATCCCCAGATGGAGCAAACAAGGAAAAGAACAAGAAACCCACCTAACCAAGGATATAAAATACAGAAGGACTGCATTTGTGATTGTGGTTCTTAATAGGTAGCCACTGCCATTTTCTTCCCAACCATGGTAACATCTAAACTGGAGTTTTTATTGAGCTATTTATTTTGTACAACATCAAACATAACAAAATTGATAAGGAGATTATTCTGCCACTCAACCCCTGGCCCAATGCCAACAGCTTCAGAAATGACCTCAGGTGGAGGGAGGCATAGATAGTTTAGTCTTTCTCCACAGCAAAATAAATTATCCCATGATACAGTTTTTAGGAAAAAATGCAAAGTGGGGGATAAATACATTCTGCTAAAATTTTGCTGTTAAAATGTACTACCTGTTAAAAATGTACCATTCTAGGGTTGAAAAATAATTAATGTTAAAAATAATAGCTAATGTTTTAGCACTTGCTAGGTGATAGGCTCTATGCTAAGTCCTTTGCATGCACTATGTCATTTAATTCTTAGAACAACGGTAAATGGTAGATACTATTATTATCTCAATTTTATAGTTGATGATAATCGAGGCTTAGGTAGGCTAAATATCTCCTGAGTGCCATGTGGTAAGTGACATTATGAAGTCTCATCTGTTTACACTAGAGCCTGTGTTCATTCCATCAGTAAATAGTTATTGAGCACCTAACACATGCCAGGTACTATTCTAGGAGTCATCCGCTACCAAAAAAAACACTTTTTAAGTCAAGACAATGTATTTACCAGAAATGAAAATATTTCAACGAATGATGACGTTCTTTCAGAATATGATTTCATTTATTGTCAGGATTGAGAACCAGAAATCCAGAAGATAGTTGATAAACTGGCTAAAGGGAAACTAAGAGAATACCAAACATTATTCTTAGTATGTGAATACAACAAATTAGAGTGATGGGGGAACAAGAAGGAAGGTTAAAAGTCTAAGAAGTTAATTTTTTCTTGCATAGAGGAAGCAGATAAAATTGACCAAATGTAAATATGAGAGAAAGAGTAATTACTAGAAGTAACACTAAGGAAATAAAATCTGTGTTTCTTAGGAAGTCATTTTGTCTCACAAACACAACAAAGCCATGAGGATAGATTAAAAAATAAACTGCTACATAAACTTGATCTTCAAAATACTTCTCAATGCGTTCATGATTCCTTTTAATATTATTAGAGTAAATAGTAAATATAGCCTGCAGAAGTTTTACCCTCTTAATTTTCATTCCTTTATGCTTTTTTTCTTGTATGTACTTGATGACTAAAGTCACACTTAAATGACTTAAGAAAATGTGCTACAAAGAAAGGAAAACGAAAATTTAAATAATTTATTTTTGGTAATTTTCCTTTCACTTTCACAAAACTCACAAATAAACAGAATTAGGTAAAGACATGCCCCACAAAATACTGCCTTTTACTGACACACATTTTTTGCTCTGTTTTGGTGCTTTTTTTTTGTTTAAGTACAATAAGAACATTAATTCAAGGTAGGCACCTGCCTAGATCCCACCCTCATTTCCTACAATCCTCTCTCTTCTTCACTACTGTTGAGCCAAAATATTTCAGTTCTACAAACATACAGAGCTCATCCCTGCCTTTGTTTCTTTGTCTCAGATTTTTCCGTTGTCTAGAATGTTCCTTCCTAGATATTTTCCTTATGGCTGCCTTCTGCAAGACTAACATTATCTAATACTTCACCACAAAGGTATTTCCTACCACCTTTATCAGTCATGGGTGAGTAAAAAACAAATCAGGTACTCATATAGTTTATTTAGTAAAGGGGTGATTTATAGTAATATAGTGATTATTTATTGTTATAAAGTTTAACAATATGATAGCACATATAATGCAGAATTCTGTACTACAAGAGCCAGGGAGGAGTGGTTACCAAGGGTGAGAGAATAAAGGAAGAAACAGTTCCTACAGCTCAGAACATGAAAATATAGGGGAAGGGTGCCCAACAGGAACCTGGCCTTAGGTAAAGAAAAACACTGCCAATCAGTGGGGAGCTGGCAGGGAGGATCCAGGGGAAAGTATACCCAGCCCTCCTCCTCCCCTAGTTCTCAAATCTTCTGCAGATGGTTCCCATTGGTCAAACACAACCAGAGGCCAGAAGTAAGGCAGACCAACGACAGAGTCCATAAAGTTTGGTCTTCTGGAGTGGAAAGCAGAATGGAGAAGGGCAAAGAGACCAGGAAGGGCAGGTGGAAATGATCATCAAGAACCCAATCCCATTGCCCCTAGTCACTTCCTACCACATTCTTTCTGTTTGTTTATTTGTTTGTTTGTTTGTTTTTTGAGACAGAGTCTCACTCTATCACCATGCTGGAGTGCAGTACCATGATCTCAGGTCACTGCAATCTTCACCTCCTGGGTTCAAGCGATTCTCATGCCTCAGCCTCCCAAGTAACTGGGATTACAGGTGCTCGCCACCACACCCAGCTAATTTTTGTATTTTTAGTAGAGACAGGGTTTCACCATGTTGGCCAGGATGGTCTCGATCTCCTGACCTCATGATCCTCTGGCCTTGGCCTCCAAAAGTGCTGGGATTACAGGCGTGAGCCACCATGCCTGGCCTCACATTCCTTCTTTTAATTATTTGCATTGTACTTACAATTTTGATATTTTCTTTTTAGTTTGTGCATCTGTTTAACTAACTATAAATTCCAGATTTGCCTGTCTGGTTAATCAGTATGTCCCAGAGATTAAACCAGTGCCTGTATACTTTAGATATAATTACTTGCCAGATTAATTAAAATAGCAAGACTGCTGGGCATGGTGGCTCGTACCTGTAATCCCAAGGCTTTGAGAGGCCGAGGCAGGCAGTTCACTTGAGGCCACGAGTTCCAGACAGCCTGGGCAACATGGTGAAACCCCATCTCTACTAAAAATACAAAAATTAGCCAGGCATGGTGGCACATGCCTATAGTCCCAGCTACTCTGGAGGCTGAGACAGGAGAATCGCTTGAACCCAGTAGGCAGAGGTTGCAATAAGCCAAGATTTCACCACTGCACTCCAGCCTCAGCGACAGAGCAAGACTCCATCTTGCTAAACTAAACTAAAATAAAATAAAGTAGCAAGACCTCTGTGATTAAAAACAATACATTGAAAAAACTAATCATTCATGAGGAAATACTCTGTAGTTTATAGGAGAATGATACAAAATGATACCTCATTTTACCTGACAAGAATTTTAGAATGAATCAACTATAGTCAACTATACCTTGTAAGTCAACTTTTACAACTCCATGGCTATCAGGCTAATCAGGTTGATTTATCATATCTAGCAAAACAGAGATCATACTACCTATCTGCAGTTAACATGGCAGTTAAATAACACATATGATAGTCAATCATTTCTCCATCAATTAATCTATTAATTTAACAGATGTTTATTGAACACCTACTATGGGATTACACTAGACACTGTGAATACAGAAGTGCACCAAATAGCCAAAAATCACTGTCTTCATGAAGTTTATATTTGAATAAGGAGTCAAGGTCACATCGTCAGAATGGGCCTCACTAATAAGCTGATACATGAGCCAAGATCTGAAAGAAGCAAGAAGAAGAAACCAAGCAGATATACAAGATTTTCTGGAGAGAAAGAATAGCAAGTGCAAAAGTCCCGACGTGAAGTCCTTTTAGCATTTTAGAGGACAGCAAGCAGGCAAAGTTGTCTAGAGCCACGTGCGTAGGTTTTGAAACACGGACACAGGGCAGGACTAAGGGAGAGGGAAGCAGAATATGTTGTAAGGACTTAACTTTTTCTCTGAATGAAACGGGTGGCCACAAAGTGGCACATGACATGACCTGATTGACATTGTAACAGGGGAGCAAGGCAGAATTAGAGAGACAGTTATAAGAGTATCACATTGATTCAGATGAGAGATGGAAGAAGTGATCATAGTCTGTGGACTTATATTTGAAGGTAGAGGTGAAATGATTTCTTGATGATAGAATGTAGGGCTGAAGAATCAGAAAGGAGTCAAAAAATGCTGAGGCTTGGGGTCTTAGCAATCCGAGATGCCCAGAAAGACTTTGTTATTTGTTTGTTTAATTTATTTTCCAGTTAACTCTGAAAAAGAGAGGCTCATCCAGTTGTTATTTACCTCATTGCCATGAAAATTCATCCAGTTACTACTGTCTCATTCCCAAGAATCATTGAGGAAATGTCTTGTCCTTAAGCTTTGTATAGTTAACTTTGGAACACCATTTTTCCATTCAAAGACTTACCATTACACTTTAAACATAGAATATAAACATAAGGTAAGATGCTGGCAAAATAAAAATTATGAACTACTTCATTTCTGTGAATTTAGCTCATGATAACTAAATTTGGATAAATTTTGCAAAGATGGATTTTGATCCAGATTTAAGATTTAATCAGTGGCTTTACAATTTAAGTTAGTTTACAATGAATTAAAGGAACTCCTTTTTATGCAGAGGGTTTTAAAAAATCAGGTTTTCAATTTTTCAAATGATCTTTTAAAAACATTTCTATCATAACAAATGTGGGTTACCAAATTATAAGGAATTAGAATATAATCATATGCTTTAGTATCAAAACTTTATTTAATATAATTTAGTCTTTTTGTCAATAATTTATTATTCTTTAGGATGGCAGAGACTGTATAGTATCATGAAGGAACACAGGCTTTGAAGACAGAAACTAAGCTCAAATTTCCAATTCCTTTGTAACTTGCTGGCATCATAAACTTGGATCAGGTTTCCTAATCTTCAAACTCAAGTATCTTCATTGATTTAAAAATGATCCCCAAAATAATACTACCTCACAGGATCATTGAGGTAGGATTATATTCACAGGATTATATTCAAGTTTTCTGTTTGTTTGAATTTAGCTCATTTGGAATTTACTAATTTAACAGAGATTATGATTTTGGTAGAAATTCATCAAAGCAACATTTAAGCCAATACAATGATTTTCTAGCTATTACACAAATACTCATCTAAAGTTAAAGTATACATCTTTTACTGACATTCCACAAACTCAGTCATTCTTACTGAGTGGAAAAGCTCCAACTTCTGTGTATTGTGTGTTTTTATTTGGCAGTCACTTTGACAATTTTATTCTGAATTTAAATCTATTTTTAGACCTGCATGCATTATTTTATATAGTATTGTGAAGAAGCTGATATTTTTGTTTGATACACTATGTTATGTCAGTGCTTCTGATTGCCAAAACCAACAGTTCATGTTTAAAACCTTTCAGAACATTCTGCAGTCTGATTAGGTCACCTCTGAATACTAGGAACTAAAATGAGACCACAGCTAAGAAGAAAGGAGACAGGTGCAATTTTTTTCCTACTTATTCTCATTTCCTAATAATAATATAATCAATAGATCATTATAAACCTCTTTCCTGAAACTCTGCCCTCCTCCCTGTTTCTCTCCACCCTACACACACACACTTAAATACACCGGGTTCCCCTATTTGCTCCACTACTCACTGAAGGATCATCTTCCTCTTCATTTCCTTACACATCCGGGTGCTTCCTGGGCTTTGGTCCTCGATGTTTCCTCTCACTTAAAAAAAAAAAATCCCTTTTCTACCTCTCTTTTATCAGTCTCGTTACCTCTCATAGCAAGAAAAAGTGTTTTTTTATTTCCTGTATTTCCTGGAAATTGTATCTGTTTTACTTTGATGGCTCTTGTCTAGCAGCAAGAAATGAAGAATCCGACTTGGAGTAAAATCTTTTTGAAGGTAATGCCAAGCCCTTATTCCTCTTCTTTCTCCAATTGACTGTAGCAGAGGGCCCTCCTAGGGGTCAATATTTAACTCTTTAATTAATCAACTGTTATTTTAGAATACAGCATAAAGTTCTCACATATTTAATATATGTCAACTTATTCCCTAAAAGTCCACAGAAACAAGCATTGTGGCAGAGGAAAATTTATTGAAAAATATTGTTCCAAAATCTTGCTTCTTGATTATATTTGTAGGTATAACAGAATTAGACTACTTTAATAGCTGAATTCATTTTTATTTCATTGTGGAATAAAATGAGTGCTGCAGATGCCACACTATGGTTTGATTGTTATATATGTTTGGTCATGTGGGATTAGCCTGATACATGTATGAACTCAAATATCCATGTTAGCTAACAAACAAAAGGAGTGGGTAAAGAGATGTGTATATATATACATACTGAAAGAACTTTTTCTATATATGAGTGAATAGCTTACCTAACGTAACAGTCTTTACATAATAAGACTACTTATTTAAATTTTAAAAGAATTTACCTCTAGATGGGTTTTTGAGTGAATTTCCTCAGAAAATTCATTTTCATGGCACAGAGGATTATCATACTTGGCTGCTGGTCTGAGCTCATCCAGGAAACAGACTTGAGTGCTTTTATTATCCACTAGAGTAGATCTCAAAGAACAGAAGTTACTCTATGATTATTTAGCGGCAATAGGACTTACCACAGTTCCTGGCATTTAGTGTTCAAGAAATATTTGTTGAACTTCATTAAAAAATTAAGATAGCCACCTCAATATCTTAGTTTATACACACATTTTCAGGCACATATATATTATACGAAGAGAAATGCAATAATAATCCTTGCATAAAACAGATGAGAAGCTCATCTCACTATGAGATGGGTTGGAGAAGTCTTCATTTTCTTTAAGAGTTTATACTCAAGCTTGTCAGTAGACATCATTAAGCTGTTATGAGATTCCTTCTCTTGCTCAGTTGAATCTGCTTCATGAACCAAGTCAGGTTCTCTTCCATGGCAAAAGTAATGAGGTGGGGCCAATGTGTCCCATTGTCTCCCAATATCCACAGCAGCCACTCAACACTGTAGTGCTGTGGCCAGGTGAAGGGACTCTGAAACTGTAGTACTATCCTTTGAAGCTACCACAGTTCTTCTCCTCTATGCTGAATTAACCACATCCTTGTTTCCATTTAAATAAGAAAGATGCACAGAGGTTCAACCCACCCATTATTGAACATATTTTGCATATGGAATTTCTAATCACCATATTATTCCAGGGATGTTTGCAGACGGAACCTATTTAGATTTTTTTGTACATGGATGCCTAGAGAATTATGGAAAAAACTAGAAATCATCTAGTTCTAGTCTAATACCCACATTTAGCATTCAAGGTAACTGAGAAATAAAGAGGTCAAATGTTGCTCAAGATGACTCAGCAAGTTAGGAGCCAGTGTGGACCAGATAAGTGTCCTTTTCTCTACACCATGTGGATAATGGATGTTTATAGCAAAGTTAACATTGAACCTGTTGAGATTCATGTAGATAATCTGGAATTTTATGTCTCACTACTTGATAATGTTCATAAATTGAATTATGTAACCAAAATCTGTCCTTTACCAATACAGATATCCTATTCAAGGAAGTAAAATTTCACTAGTATCATGGGCATCTTTAGCATGTCAATTTCAGTAGACCAAGTAGAACTCTAGTTAATTTGTTTTGAATGGTGAGGCAAACAAAGCATCATTATTCCTATGAACATTTAACAGTTTTTGAGTAATCATGATGGCATGTATTGAACATTTTGGTGAAACAAATATCTGCTAATGATGGAAATGTATTTGCTAGTGGTACAAGTCTTACAAGACACGCTGCAGAAGAACCTTCAGAAAATAACCTCTGACCTTGAAGAACAGATGTTCTAAAAGCACACAACATAGGGGTTTTGTAAATGAGCAGCACTTTGGAGTTTTTCCAACTTTTCAAACATTCAGGGAAGTAAAAATGTCACTATGCCAGGTTTTCTAAATTTTCATATTTCAAATTAGTATAATTTGAGGGAAGTTATTTAAATGATCTGCACATTACTTATCAAGACATATATTTCTAAGTGCCAATGTCCAGGAATTAGTTTGCTTTTCTGAAATAATATTTAAGATAATCCTTTTTAAAATTAAAGGATATTTTATCAACATAAATAGCCTACTCAGAAAATTATATCAACACTAAATCACAGGTAACACCATCATGTTTTATCTCTATTTATTTTGATTTTTGAAGTAATTTAAAAGGGTATATTTAAACATTATAAAGTACACTAACAAATAAAACATTTTGTAGACTCAGTGAAAACAAATTTATTTATTTATTTAGTTTTTGAGATGGAGTTTCGCTCTTGTTGCCCAGGCTGGAGTGCAATGGCGTGATCTTGGCTCACTGCAACCTTCGCCTCCTGGGTTCAAGTGATTCTCCCGCCTCAGCCTCCTGAGTAGCTGGGATTAGAGGCATGCACCAGAAAACAAAATATTTTATTCATCATTAGTAACATTTGCCAGAACTCTGTGCTGTTTAAACTTCATAAAGTATATCACATGTAGGATATTTTCTAGTTTTCTAGTCTCTTCTGTATATATGCCAGAATAATATCAAATACTTTCATTTAATCAGTTATGATTATTTTATACCAAAGAAATCTCATTCTAGAAAAGAAGGCCATCTATTCACCACTCCTGTTGGCCATTAACCTTCATACCTCCCCTTTCAGTGTTCTGTCTTGGGTCTTCTTTCACCGTATAAATCCCAGGGTTGATTTGATCCAGTCACTCTGCAGCAAACATCCTTGTATGTCTCTTTGTGAACGTCAACAATTAGGATATGGACTTCCTCAGCCTTATCAGATGTTGCCAAATTGCTCTCCAAAGAACTAATATCAATTTACATTCCAGCCAGCAGTGAATGAAAGTTCCAGTTTCTCTACCTCCCAGACATATGTATTGTCATGCTTTAATTTTTATCATCTAATGGCTGTGAGATGCAATTTTATTATTGATTTAATTTTTATTTCCCTAATCACTGGTGAAGCTAAACATCTTTTTACATGTTTATTTGTCCTTTGGTTTTGCACTTCTGTAAATCAACTGTTTATATCCTTTGCCTATTTGTTGTTTCTTTGAGCTTCTCCCTCCTTCTCCTTTTCCTATTATTCTTCCTCCTCCTCCTCCTCCACTCCTCTTTCTCCTTCTTCTTGTTCCTAGGAGTTCTTAGTATTATCTGAATAAAAAATTCTTTGTCAGTTCTAGTTTTATGCATTACAAATATGTTCTTCCAGTTTGTGGCTTGTCCTTTACTTTTTTTTTAATGGCAACAGAAATTTAAATTCTAATGAATAAATGTATCAGTCTTTTCATTTAACACTTAATGCCTTGGATGAAAATGTTTTATCCCAGGGTTATAGAACTATTTTCTTAAATGTTCTTATCACAGTTTTAACATTTTGTTGATCACATTTAAGTCTTTAATCAATCTGTTGTTTGTATTTTTTCATAATGTGAAGCAAGAATCTAATTTTAATTTTTCCTTATGGATACTTCTCATTTATTAATTAATCCACTAGTTCTTCCTTCTTCTCAATTTTAATGCCTTTTTAGTGATACAACAAGGCTTTTATGAGTGAGGACTGCTTTGAGGCTTTGTATCCTCTTCAATTTGACCATTTTTGTATCCCGGTACTATTATTATACTGTTTTAATTGTTATAGCTTTATAAGTTTTTTGGATTGGTGTTTCAGTTATTTATTGCTGCAAAACAAAACAGTGGAGGTTTTCTAAAAAATCATTATTTTCCATGATTTTGTGGGCAGCCACAAAATTCCGTTTCCCATGGTATCAGCCCAGGCACTGGACGATCATGAGGTCCAAAATAGCCTCATTCGCATGGTTGACTACCACAGTGCTAGCTGACAAATGGGAGCTCAGCTGGGGTTTTCAACTAAAGCCTTTGTTTTTCTCCATGTGGGTATCTCTATGTGGCTATTTGAGCTTTGGAAAGCATGATAGGTGGGATCCAAGAAGAAATATTACAAAAAGCAAAGGCAGAAATTGCAGATGTCTTAAAGTCTAGCCTCAGACATCACTCAAAGCCACCTCTGCCTTATTCTATTCCTACAAGTTGATTAAAAGAAGGTAAAGTAGACTGCACCTCTTGATGGGGGAGTGGCAATGTCACTTTGCTAAAAAGTACCTGGGAAGGAAAATAGTGTTGTGATCATCTTTGGAAATAACAATCTATTGCATTCTGGCAGGACAAGCCTTATCATTTCATTAGGCTTCTTCAACACCATTTTGGACCCTTTTCCTTCCAACTATGAATCTATAAATTTTAGAATTAACTTGTCTGGTTCCATCCAAATTTTATAATGTGATTTTTGAGTGAACTTTCAGATAACATTCTTCAACAAATGTTTATTGAGTACCTACTATGCTCTTGCACTAATGATACATAAATGAAAAAAAAAAAAAAACAGATAAAACCTCCATCTTTCATTGAGCCTGTATTTCGGATTATGTGGAGAAAATTAAAATATTTATGACCTTTGTTATTCTAATAAATATATTTTGTTTTGCAAATTTGGTTAGGTCTTCTTTTATGTCCTTCGTCTAAGCTTTATAATTTCTTCTTATCCGATTTATTCTTAGACAAATTTTTGTCTTGTTTCTCCCAACATTTAGACTAAGCTCTTTGGGCAAATGTTTTAACTTTTTGTCTTCTGATAGCACCAAGTACACTGCCAGATATAGCAGGACAATGTAACTTGGTGAACAGACTGAATAAAAACTGAAGTAAAAGATTTAATTTTCCATTTGTAAATATTAATCATGCCAGGTCAAACTATCTTAACCAAGTTAAGCTCCTAGAAATAAGTAGCATTCATGTAGTAAGTGAGTTGCCATCACTATATTCTTATAGAAGGTCCCTCGTATAAAAACCAGTAAGTAATGTAAAGGAGCAACTACCCAGGTACTCCAGTGGTTAAAAGGAAAAGATGAAAAGAAAGAAGGAAGAAAGGAAAATGCTCTCCAAGCTTTATACGGACATTTAACGTAGTTAAAAATGGGTTTGCCTGGCCTTTGCTAATCACACCTTTAGCTAATAACTTCGAAATTTGCTTCTACATTAGGTACAGTGTGGAACAAATTAGCTCACTTAATAAATGGAATGAAGCTCAGTGTGAGTCTCTTTAAAAGCACAAGAACATTCCTATTTCATCCCTCAATTACCAAATATCTGCAATTCCTAGTTTTGCATCATGCTGAACTTCTAAAGTAGGAAAAAAGCAGTTGAAGTAATATTACAATAGCAAATGATACAAAAATAGCATTAAGTACCAAGGATACCTAAAGTTCATTATTTCAATTCTTTACTCTCAACAAGGGCAGATCTGACACTGTGAAAATTGCTGACAAAATCATGACTTACCACCAAACAGAATTTTCAACATTTCAAGTTATGATTAAGATAAGGAATAGCTTGATGACTATTTCACTACATTCAATACTATTTATAGAATACAGCTGCAGGGCTTTGTATATCTAATAATTATTGTGAAGAAGTTTTACAAAACATCAGTCCTTTGAGAATTTCTATACATTGTACAAGTTATTTAAAATCTGCCAAATGTTACAATATGAAATGTAAAACTAGGAAACCCAAATGCAACAAGTGGAAAACATGGGCTCAGCTAATACCACAACACACTGCCAAGATGGAACTCTCCACAAGGTCTATCTTCCTGCTACTTCTGTCCTGGTATTTCCCAGAGTTCATGCCTTCTCATTCCAAGTATATGCTAAATACTCCTAAATCTAGATCTCTAGCCCAAGATGTGTCAGTTGAGCAACAGACCCATGTTTCCAATTCCTCTGAGGTGTCATTGCTTGAATGTCACAGAAATAATGCACATTCCATAATCTCAAACATAACCCATGATTTCCATACTCTCCTCCTTTTGTATTTCTCTCTCCGTGAATAGAACCACCATCCACCCAGGCCTCTATGACAGAACCTTGGGTGTCACTGAAGACACTTTTTCCTCTCTGTTACTTCTCATATCAAATTGGTTACCAAGTCCTGGGAATTACACAGGATCTCATCTTTTTCCTTTTCTTCATACCCACTGCCATAGCCTTGGTTCAAGTCCTCATCATCTCTTACATGGCCCATGGTAGCAGTCAGCTAGCAGGACCCCCTGCTTCTAGATGTACCTCTTTTAATCCATTCTCCAAACATTCACCAAGTGATCTTTTTAAAACACGAAGCAGATAAAGTTACCCATACCTACCTGTTTAATACCTTTCAAAGGTTACCAATATTCTTGCAGGATAAATTACAAATCCTTAACATTATTCCCTGGCTCTTGTCTACATCTCTATATTTTTTTATTAAGTTCAGGTTCTTTCCTCATCTGCTACCTATCCATGCCAGACAACTAAGACTCAGACTCAGTCTCACTAATTTGTAGCTTTGCTTACACTGCTCCTTCTGCTTAAAAGATCTTCAAATCTTCTCCCCTACTTGCCTTTAACCTGATGAATTTCTACTCATTCTTAAGGTCTAATACAAGCATTACTGCCTCTACAAACCTTCCTGAAATCCACAGAGGAAATTATACACTTCCATCTTTGTTTCATAAATCTAATAAGAACTAATATTTATGGAGTACTGATATTGCATTAGACATTGTATTCAGTGGTTTATTACATTATTGTATCCTATAAACATAAATTATTTTCACATTACCTTACTATTATATCCTACACAATCACTTGTAAATTATTTTAGTACGCTTTATTTTACCTACTTATTTACATATTTTGTAATATTATCCTACTAAACTGAAAACTACTTAGGACTGAACTGTGGTTCATCTTACTCTCTATTGCCTAAGCTACTTCATTGCACAAGTAGGTCTCAAAGCTCTGTTGATAAATGAAGTTTAATGGTTTCAAGGAGACTGATATTATATAATTAGAGATGTTAACAAATGCATTAAAAATTTTAACGCATCTTGAATCAAAGCAATTATCTATCTAACTTAGTAGCTGTGCAACAAAGTAAAAAGAGCAAGAGTGCCATTAATATATCTCAAAGATAAGCTTGTTTAATAATGCATGTTTGGGCTGGGTGCAATGGCTCACGCCTGTAATCCTAGCACTTTGGGAGGCCGAGACGGGCAGATTGCCTGGGCTCAGGAGTTTGAGACCAGGCTGGGCAATATGGTGAAACCCTGTTTCTACTAAAATACACAAGAAACTAGCCGGGCGTGGTGGCGCGTGCCTGTAGTCCCAGCTACTCAGGAGGCTGAGGCAGGAGAATTGCTTGAACCCAGCAGGTAGAGGTTGCAGTGGGTCAAGATCGCACCACTGCATTCAGCCTGGGTGAGAGAGTGAGACTCCGTCTCTACAAAAAAAAAAAAAAAAAAAAAAGCATGTTTGTGTCAATCACTTATGTGTTTATTTGAGTTAATTAGCGCCTATGCAGTTTTCTGCTTGCTCAACTTATTGGAAAAAAAATTTCTAAGGGTATGTGCAAAAATATTATCTAAAGTAGCATTTGAAATTTTGCTCTACAATTACACTGTTAAACACAGTAATTCTAAACAATTCCATGTGAACTAACATCTGTAAATGTTCAGCAATTATCCACCTGTTGACAGTCTGTAATTCAGCTTTGTGAGTACTACTGGTTTGTGACATTAAATCAAGAGGTTTAATATTTTATCTTGGATTAAATGCAAAAGATAATCAAGAATAAGACAGACATTTAGCTGCCTGGATAGCAGTTATAGATCTGTTTATATTAATACTAACAGAGAGTCAAACAGTTCCCAAAACTTTTAGATGTGATGGCAAGAATAAGAGCAGAAGATGATCTGCACATCAAACAGCTTTTTCGTCTTTGCTTAGTGTCAAGCATTTGGCAAAACAACCCTTTGTATTATTTCAGCATTTCAGAGGCCTAATTTTCCATAGTTGTGACTCACATATCCTATTCATAGGCAGAGGTCTTATAAAAATGAATGTGACTGATACAATCTCTTATAAAAATGAATGTGACTGATACAATCTGAGCAGGAAATACTTATTACCAAATGACCACAAATTCTTTCTTGTTTGTAAAAATTAATTTACCTGTGTTAAATTGTTTTAATCAGATTTCATTTTAAAACTAGCACTTTAAGCATGATTTAATCTAACAACTGATAAAACAATAACATTTCAAAGGCATATCTAGAACAGTTTAAACCAAATTCTTGTCTGTTCATAAGCTCTGGTAAAACTTTTAGATCCCTGCTATTTAGTAAATCTCTTAATATGTATTCATGTAACTAAATACTCCTATACACTGTTTTCCTAAATTCAGGGTTCTGGATGTTCTTCCCCTCATTATTAGGACACCATCTCTCTGTTCTATCACATTTCTTCCCAAGCAAGTTTGTCATCTAAATACCTCATTAAATAATCTTATACCTTATTCCGTCATAACAATCTATAAGAGAATTGTTCCCCAGGCAGAGGAAGTCCTCAAATTTGTTGCTATTTCCTATTCTCTTCTTAATTAGTGGCTCAACTATCCACAAAATCACCCAAGCCAGAAGCCTACAGTCATCCATTCCACTCCATCCCCACACTCCTAATTGGTGATTAAGACCTATTGACTCTTCCTCCTGAATATATTGCAAATCTATTTGTTCCTCTTCAAGTTCACTACCACTGCTTCATCATTCATCACTTGGATTATTGCAGTGATTTTTCTAACTGGCCTCCCTGCCCACCAGGCTCAGTTTCATCCCCTCATTTCTCCCCCATTCCAGCTCATTCTTCTACAACAATTGTAATTATATTTCTAAAATGAGATGGCTGATGCCATTCCCCTACATAAATAAGATGCAAACCAAATTCCTAACACGGCATTTTAGCACAGCCTTTGCATATCTCACCAGATTTATGTCTCATCTACCTTCCCATATACTCCAGTGCTACAATTCTTTTTCTATAAGCAGAAATAAGTGCCTCCTTACTCTATGTTTACTTAGCATACACTGTTGTTTTAGTACTAGTTGCAGGAATAAAATTCAAAATAGAAGATAGAACAATATTTTTTAAAGCACAAGAAGCATAGTTAATGTAAAAGCATAGCACAAAATAAAATGTAGACATAAATCAAAATATATCAATAACCCAATAAATACAAAGGGACTAAATTTGCAAGTAAAGGACAGATATTGCAAATTATATTTTTATGCTTTTTGCAAGACACACAAATAAAATACAATGACACAGAAAAGTTGAAAATAAAAAGATGAAGAATGACAATGAACAGAAGAAAGTGAGACACTTGTAGAGAGGCAAAAAAGGCACATTGGAAATAAAGAAGTTTCTATGGAACAATAAAGAAGGAATCAGCAAAAAATATAGTAATTCCAAACTCATATGTGAGAAATAACATTGTCCAGAATATACAAAGTAAAATTGAGATTAGAAAGAGCAATTGTCACAGATCAACAATAATGGGAGATTTCAATGCACTTTTCTTATAACTGATACATCAGGCAGCAGAAGGCATTAGTGGATTGTGGGAGATACAAATAATGCAACTAAGAAGTTTGTTCCAATGGCTATATGTAAAACCATGGACCCTACAATTAGAGAACACACATTCACTTAAATACATAATAAGCTTTAAAACTGAACATATACATAAAGCAAATCTCAATCAACACCAAAAATTCAGTATCACTCAGAACTTCTGTGCATATAAGACAATTAAATTAGAAATGTATTTATTACTATTTTAGTTATAAAGAAAACGGAAGACAGGGCAAAAGTTAATAAAATTGGAACACTATAGAAACACAGAAAACCCTCATATTTCAAAATTAAAGATATTTGTACTACTTTTATTTATCATTTTCAATTGATGGTTTGCACTCAAATATTTCATTAAGACTTCAGTTATTTCAAGAATTTAAACATGATTTTATGCATTAAAAGGTATCAGTTAAAAGACCTGTGACTGAATAAAAATGTAAATCAATTAATTAAAAATAGGCATTGCTAAATCGACACTGGAATCTGAAATTATCATGGGCCTTCTGCCTAACATTTTCAAGAAAAAACTTGGGATTCCTGAAAAAAATATATAATCAAGGATAGGTAAGCATCTAATAATTAAATTAAGATCATCAATTTGTATTACACAGAAAACTGGGCTGTTGTCATCTTGTATGGATCAGAACATGATTATGCCATAAAATCCATTCTTCTAGCTTCAATCACTATTGTCTCTCTTTTCTAACTATAGAGGTGATCAGACAGCATGCATCCCTTTTAGGTCACAAAAGAAATCCTATTAAATGCCAACCTATAAATGGTGCTTCCGGAAACATAAACTAGATCAGGGTTAGTTTGGGATGAAATAGGCCTTAACTTAGATAGAAAGTAGAAATGAATAATGTACATTTCATAAGTCTTTAAGCAAAAAACAATTGGCAATTTTACTGTATTTTATCAATTTATCTTAGTTGAATTTTATATCACTGACAGATTACTTGACCATCAATTTTTCTGATTTGTATACTAATTCTAGTCTTATTTTCCTAAAATGTTTTCCTAATAACAGCAATGTATTCAGAAATTGTAATTAAAAGTCATTGAAGGTCATCTGATTTGTTGTGTTGGCTTTAGATCAGTGACTAGATTTTCCCAGTCACTGCTCTGTCAGCTTTAATACAATGCATCCATTTGTCTTACTAACACTTCAATTTATGGGATAGCTGTTTTTCACAATTAAAACTACTGAAGCTTTAGTATACATGGAAATGATCATGATAGCATTTTCTCCATATTTCTAACAACTCTGGAAGGCTCTATTGTAAAAATATAGGGCCTTCCAGATGACTAGATCTGGTTTCCTGAAGACAGCTTTTAAGATTGCTATATGAGCTCAAGAGAAACATTTACAAGAATCTTTAGATAAATTACTAAGTGCTGCAGAAGTAAAACCATTTGGAATAGATTTCTAAACTCCTCTTACATAAATAATTGGTGAGTGATTGAGGTAAGAAAAGGCTGCCCTTACTCTTGCTGACCCAATAGACAAGACAGCTGATGACGAAAGTTGATGGCGAATTGGCACAAGAAGGTTAAATGCAGGAGAAATGAAACCGATCTACTTATTGTGATGATGTTGACTGCTACCTAGTTAGTTCTATGAGAGACAACACCTACTTACACAAGGTCTTCCACTTAATTGGGCTTAAGGCCAGTTCAGTAATCACAAAATTACAACAAGCTAAAAATTACACCAATCACCTCCTCCAACCTCTGTATCTATAAAGAAACCATGAACTTATATAATTTACCCAGGAAACAGGAGTCAGATCTGCTGCCTCCTATTACAGGAGTCTTTACATTCAATTAAACTGAATTAGATATATGAATTCAATAGAAGAAATCTTGATGTAAAGTCAATTAGTATAAATACAAGTCCTCCCTCACCCCACACCTGACAATTACAATAAAATTCTATGGGGAGCGCATTATGAAGAGTAGAGAAGAATGCCAGTGCAATTCTGTAAAAGCTAAGGCAATCTGAGAATTTAATTTTGGTATGTCTAGCCAAAGTCAATTACTCATGAACAACAGGCTGGAAAGTGACCAAGGGCTGACTCAGCAGCTTTCAAACTCTTCTGTTGAGTTTAAAAAATAAAATGCGAAAGTAGAGAGAGAAAATAGGAAGGAATAGTCCAAGAAAGGACGATAAAAATTAAATAGGCCAGGTGCAGTGGCTCATGCCTGTAATCCCAGCACTTTGGGAGGCCGAGGTGGGTGGATCATGAGGTCAGGAGATCGAGACCATCCTGGCCAACATGATGAAACCCTGTCTCTACTAAAAATACAAAAATTAGCTAGGGGTGGTGGTGTGTGCCTGTAATCCCAGCTACTCGGGAGGGTGAGGCAGGAGAATCGCTTGAACCAGGGACTCGGAGGTTGCAGTGAGCCGAGATGGAGCCACTGCACTCCAGCCTGACGACAGAGTGAGACTCTGTCTAAAAAAAAAAAAAAGAAAAAAAAAGAGAAAAAAATTAAATAAACTAATAATAAAATCATAAAATCTGGGCTGTGAGTTCACTTCTAGAATGCTAGGTACTCATGGAAATTTACCTAAAACCAAAAAGGTGAAGTAGGAGCTGAAGACAGGGGTGGGGGACAGAAGGATGGGGAAATGGGAATGGGGGGCACAGACAGGTGGAAAATTTAGAGGAATATAGAATTTTTCACCAGCTTGAAGTAAAACTTTCTAATTATTTTAAAAAACCTTATAATATATCATTACTATGTAGAATTACCAACAGATAAATTTAGTCTTTAATACTCAAAAAGAATAATTTTATAAAGAAAGTTACCACAAGACAACTTTAGTGGATCCTAATTGTATTCATAATGCAATTTACAAAACTGTGATTTACATACATCTTGTCAGGCACACATCAAGGACACAAAAGGCACACTCACACTATCTCAAAGCATGTAATAAAAAAGGGTGCTATAGGAAAAGAAACCCACCAGTTTCTACTGACTGTATCTCTTCCTTTTCTTTCTGTTTAGCCTTGTCATCATTACCAAGGAGCTTGCTCATTCCTAAAACACATTTGCTACAACCAGGCATTTCTCTTTCAGTCAGGGCTTCACCATGGCTGGGAAATAGACATTGAGGAAGCAGAGAGTGCAGAAATGGGTATGAGTCTTAGAGTCCGAAGACCTAGGTTCCGAGGAGGTCACCGTCTGGTTGACTGACCATACTCAAGCTTTATTAACTTTTAGGAGCTCAGTTTCTTCACCTAAAAAAATGAGATCGTTGGATTCAATGATCTCTAAGCTCTCTGACTTGAAATGGATTCAATTCACTAATTTCCCCTTTTTGAATTTTCCTCATATTCTCTTAAACAGAGTCGAATGGGAAGCTTTTTCAAAACAATAAGTAATTATTTCTTATCTATAATATTCTACTTATATATCAAACTGCCCTCGCCTTTGCCAAAGCCCTCAGTGGACAAATAACTTCAAATAACTACTAATTCTCAGAGCAGTGCAAGTCATCTAGGATCATTGTTTACATTCTATACATATTGAAAGGCTTTCTGTAAAAGTGAGAAATGTTTTAATTTTTAATGATAGGAAAAGTAATGCTTTCTACAAGGTTGAATCTAAATCCAAGCCATAGATAAGAGCTACTTTAATTTAACTGGTATTTATGGTTGAGGAGCAGAAAACAAAAAGAAAAAAAATTCCTTTGAAAATGTTTATTTATGACAGTCTAAATTACTCCTTTGACACAATGAACACAGGTAAATTATCTCAGAGCTGTGTTTAATGGCTCTAATGGCTAGCTGGGTACTGGGCCATGTATTTCAGGATGCCTACTTGTTTATAAAACTTGTTTCCAAAAATCAGGCTAATATAGTACTAAGTTACCAAGCAGAATTTTTTTTTTAATTCCAGAGTCACTGGCCATATTTCATATATAATTGCTGGGTTAAATAAACACAATTAGGTTTTATTTAGCATGTATTTGATTATGAATGTCTTCATATAAATAAAAAACAATTTTTTAATAAACTAGACTAGGAAAGGATAAAAACTTAGTATCATTATTATTCTAAACATACCAAGGCTCAAGTTTTCATTACCTAAAATATACTCTTCGTAAGACTTGTGGCTGCCGAATAAAATACATTCATCAGATGCAGTATTGCTTTCACGGTAATTATGATACTATTTATAATGCCATGGTTATGTTCATAGGCCACTAACAAACATATGCAGTCTTTTAGCTACAACACTCAAACATAATTACAATGCCCCTTTCCATTGAAATAATCTATGCATCCCGCCACAGTGACTTCATTCCTTACCAGGATGCCTGCTGAATCAGACTGCCCCAATTATTCAGGCACAGTGCCTATGCTTATGACTAATAATATTGGGGAATAAACGAAATTAATGTCCATGACTTCCTGACCATTTTGGCCAATCTCCTTTCTTTGGTGTCTTCTGCTTTAACCCTAATACTGAGTAATCTTGAACTATTCCTGGCATAAAAAGAGCTTCACATACTGTACAAAGTCTTCAAGCCCTACACCAATATTTCCCATAGTATGTTCCAAGTATTTCAGTCTTAGGGGATATTGCTCAAAAAAATCAGAGTGCGGAGAGGTTCCAAGATCGAATACTTTTGGGAAACTTTGCATACTATATTCCCAATCCTTAGGATTCTCCTAATCTATTCATATACTGAAGGCTCTTATAAGTCCTGAAGTAAAGAAATATTTTATCTACATTTAACTCACGCAATTGCAAAACTTACTTAACCATGAAACCTATTTCATATTACTTTTTCAAGTGAGTCTTATTAACATAAAACTAGTGGCAAATATTTGGGTGTCCCTGTCTTCATGCAGAATTTGACTGCCCAGGTCCTATTCCTCTAGAGACTAGTTAGATTCTGGCCAGTTAACTGGAGAAATCAATACAAATTGAGAGGTTAATTTTGTTAATAGATTCATGTGTTGTCTCTAGCAGAGGGTGGTTGATTTTAACATACATTTGCAATGCATCAGCCAAAGTGCAGCATAAAACGGAAGAGAATAAACTGTGAGACTATACCTTGCACATGTTTTTTATTGCATGAGTAAGTTCTATATCAGGTCTGGAATTTCTGTACTCAAAGGACTTATATTCTGAAGCAACAATTACAAATATTGAGTGGAGGTAATATTTGTGGACATTGAATCAAACCAGTTTTCTCACCTAACATAAATAACTTACCTGCATTTTGATGTTAAAAAAAAAAAGCCACCTGCCAAGATCTGGCTGTGGAGCCATGGCTGTGTATCAGCCATGTATTTGAGTAGTGACAAATACTTAATTAACAGGGTCATTGAATTGAGAAGAAGGCCTGAATTTTGATTTCTACAAAAAAGTTTCAGAGAAAGATTTTTGCTTTAAAAGTCTGACTCTTTATAAAATTTCTTCCTGTCTTTAAAGAAAGTCAAAACATGGACAAAAGCCACAAGCCACCTATCAATATTCATGTGAATCAAAAAATTAAATGGTAATGATGAGGATGAGAAAAGGAGAGAAATGTATCTTGCTTCCCTGTTAAAATGATGACACATGTAAGGACAGCCCCATGGCATGGTGTCTGATACTTCATCTCTGTTAGCTTTTTCTTCCCATAATGCTTCTTCCCTCAAAAAATGCTGATCACAGAAATTTTGAAACACAAGATATTTGTGGCTTTTTTTTTCAGTGGAAACCATCATTATTGCCTGTAACCTTGATCCGTTCTAATAGAGGACTACAGAACTAATCCTACAATAAGTCAAGATAACTGATGGCATTGGCAAGTAGTTGAAATCCTTAGTCTAACAAATACTGCTTTCAAAAGACTAGTATACTCACTGATAAATGCCTTTTTAACTTATATCATGTCAATTATTTGCTATTCATTATCTTTATAAAATATTTCCTGGTTTGGGGAACTCTGCAAGTTTCTTGTTTCTGATGCTTTGTTTAAACATATACAACTATGTATGTTCAGTCTGACAAAGCCACCACTTCCTCCAGCCAAAAGGGAAATAACTCTAGTAGAACGCAGTATTTTAAGAACAGATTTTGTTGTTAGGCTGTATTACCCCCAAAGAAAAGGACAAAATTAGTAAGACTGAATTTGTTACTATTTACTCGCCAAACCCTCAAGGTAGTTTCATAGAGATAATCACAAAAACAGGAAATAGTACACAATGTGGGATTGGTGTTTTTCCTACAAGCTCCTTTTCCTATGGATTATTTTTTTTCCAATGGAGAGAAATGCTTTTTTACCTGGATAATAAATTAAAAAGTGGTTTCTTGACATTTTACTGCTTTTATTTATTCCATTTAAAGAAAATGATTTCCAAAGCCAGACAATGGTGCTGTTCAATAGAAAATGATGACCTTTAATTAAAACTCTGCCCCTTACTAATTTTCACATCTTTACCAACCTCCTCATCAATGTGGAAGAGGCATAATTGAAGGGAGAAAACACCTGATCTAAATACACTTTATCTAAATCACTTCCCCCAAGCAGACATTCTCTATCTCAGTTCCTAGTTCATTTCCTTCATTGTATTTCCTAATTCAAAATTATTTCTTTCTTCACCTGTTCATTGTGCCTGTGATCACATAGGCCATAGGTTTTATATGGGAGGGAGCTTTGTAGACTAGTGACTTCCCAGTGTTATTGCTGAAGAAAGGAATAGATAAGGGAAGAGGAGGCAAAGGTGAATATATCTGATGAATCGGAAAAAAAGGTATGTGGTCTCAAATCGCAATTAATCTCTAAATGTAACAAGCAAAAGCAAAAGTAATGCTTTTGTTTATTTTACTCCATCTTTTTTTTTTTTTTTTTTTTTGAGACGGAGTCTTGAGCTGTTGCCCAAGCTGGAGTGCAATGGTATGATCTTGACTCACTGCAACCTCCGCCTCCCAGGTTCAAGTGATTCTCCTGCCTCAGCCTCCCGAGTAACTGGGATTACAGGTGCATGCCACTATGCCTGGCTAATTTTTCTATTTTTAGTAGAGGCAGGGTATCACCATGTTGGCTAGGCTGGTCTCAAACTCCTGTTCTCAGGTGACCTGCCTGCCTTGGCCTCCCAAAATGCTGGGATTACAAGCGTGAGCCATCGCACCCAACCTACTCCATGATTTTTTTGATTATTTATTTTGAAATTATTCAGCATCTTATCTCATTATTCCATTATTACAGTAATTATCTACCACCTGTTGAACAGTACAGTGCCAGGTACTTTACAAACAACTTTGCAACTATCTTGCAAGGTAAGAACTCCTGTGCCTGTTTCTTGCAGGGAAGCTGAGTTGCATAAAGTGAAGCCACAAAGTCACAGAGACAGGAAGTGGCAGAGTCAGGATTTAAGTTTACTTCTGCCTGATTCCAAAGCTGTACTCTCTTCTCTACATCACACCACTTAACTATTAAGTGGTGTGATAAAGAGGTATGCTTAAGCCTCTTAAAGTATCTGTCTTACCAAATTGCTAATAAACTTTGCAAAAGTCGAAGCTAGAATCTATCCCCCTCCACCCCTTCTCTTTCTCCCTCTTTCTGTGCTATGTATATACTACTCTACATCTTGAAAAGAGTAATTTTATCTTCATTTGCTTTGTAGTTTATTCAACTTCTATTTCCAAAAACTTAGCTTTTTCCTGGGACAAATCCCCCAGATGTTTTCTATTCTCTTATAACTTCAACCTCTACCTGCTAAAGTAGAAGTCTCAATTATTTAAGAGATTCAGAATTATGTATTATAAAGTTTACAAATTATGTAATAAAAATTTAAATTCATTTAAAACTTGAGTAATTATGATGCCATCAGCACACTATAAGATGTAAACATTTTAATGGTGAAATATTTAAAATAAATATCTTTGAATGTTCAAATTCTGTTTGATACATTTGTTCTCTTTATTTCCTCAAAATTACAGTCTTAAATTTTTTTTTCTTTTGAGATGGAGTCTCACTCTGTTGCCCAGGCTGGAGTGCAGTGGCAAAATCTCAGCTCACTGACACCTCTACTTCCCGGGTTCAAGGCATCCTCCTACCTCTGCCTCCCAAGTAGCTGGGATTACAGTCATGTGCCACCACGTCCAGCTAATTTTTTTGTGTTTTTAGTACAGATGGGGTTTCACCATGTTGGCCAGGCTGTTCTTGAACTCCTGACCTCAAATGATCCACCCTGCTCAGCCTCCCAAAGTGCTGGGATTACAGGCGTGAGCCACCACACCCAGCTTACAGTCTTAAAAATTATGTATTGCTTATTGGTTCTTCACTGTAGGTTCAAGAGCATTGTCAATTATGCCTCTGTGACTCCTAAACCAGATTTTACCTTCAAATTCTTGGGTGTCAGTTCCTGTTTAGCATCAACACATTGAACTGAAATTAGACTGTGACTCACCATGTATTTCCAAGGAATTAACAAATTGGCTCTTTTTCCTCTCCCACTATTTGGATATTGAAATTAAAGTAGCTAACTTTAAAATAATTTCTTGATTTTTAAATTACCCTTGACCAACTTTTTATTGGCTTCAATCTGACTTTTTTTTTTTAACATAAAATAGCCCTTAAATGTATACTTATCATGATTTTTTTCATTTCTAAAATAAGAGATAAAATATTTGACAAGCAGGACTTTCACACTGTAGGCAGTTCAACTGCCACTGAAACTTTAATTAGGTCAAACTTGGAATCTAAAATCTTAAAATGATATCCAGTAAAAGGGAAAACCTGAAAACATAAGGTAAAGGCTTTTTTCTGAAACCCTTGCCAGTGTTTCCCTGTAAATGTTACAGCCTTCAAAGACCACTCAACATTTCCCACCATTTTAAAATCCATAATTTATTACAAATAAGTATAGTAGAAAGGTTCTATTCCATACTGAATATATTAATAAAAATAGTATTTTTAAAAAAAAAGTTCAAAAAATTGTCAAGTAACTCAAAAGTTACACATAACATAAAAACCATTCACCTCAAAATAGCCATTATTTCAGATATTTTGATAAAAATATATACAAAGGAAGCTACAGAGGAAGAAAGGCCAACAGGTAATGTGGATAGGAACTGAAGATCAGTTTTGTTAAAATGGACTCAAGCTACCCACACTATATTAAATATATGTACCATATTAAATATAGCTATACTTGAATTAATCACAGTATAAGAACTTTAAATGAAATTAATGAATTTACTAAAAAATGAGATGTTTCTTTTTTCTTGTTTTTTTTTAATGCCCATCTTTATCCTGCAGTAGAGATAAATGTTTCTTAACACTCCAAAATGTATTGTGTAATAAAATATTGATGAGTTCAGGAAAAACTTATGCTTTAAAAAGTTGGGACCATTACTTGCTATAAAAGCTGAAGAAATGAACATATTAATGTTTTATCCTAACTTCCATCAATTTGATATTATATTTTTCATTGTTCATTCATAGTTTCTATTTTATTCAATAACCATAGTGCTCATGGTTTTTAATTTTCGTTCTGAATTTACATTGATTAAAGATTTATATTCAGTTTTTTAGTTGGAATCCCTCCATACCTGAATTGTTTGTCTTGATTCACCTCTTAGTAGGCTGAAATTCACTACAGCTTTTTTGTTTGTTTTGTTTTGTTTTTACAGGGTGGCTATTCAATTTTTTTTTACTTATAAGAACAATAATGTATTTGTTCATAATTGTGTGAGTTAGCAAGGCAATTCTCATCGGGGCTGGCCTGGCTCATCTCTGAAGTCATCTGCCAGTTTTGAAGGGGATTGATGGTCTAGGATAGCCCCATTCATTTGTCTGGCTCTTACAAGCTTGTTGGATTTAGAAGCCCCAGCTAGGATAGCACATCTCTGCTCCATGTAGTCTTTCATCCTCCAGTAGGCTAGCTCAGGCATATTCACAAGTGGTAGCCTCAGGATTCAAAACAGCAAAATAAGACAGAAGGCCCCAGTGCATAAGAATCTTTTTAAGTCTTTGTTTACCTTATTGTTTTTCAGTGTTTTCTTGTTTTAATTTTCCTTAATGAGGGTTTATACTATCTTGTGTAACTTCTTATGGGCTTGAAAATGTTTGTGCATTTGAATTTATATTTAAAAGATAACTTGGGTGGGTATAAAACCTTGGTATATACTTTCTTGTACTCAGAATTTTTACACATAATTCTATAGGATTTTGGTATTTAATAAACCTGTGGGAAAACTAACCTCATTTTTCTCTCTTCCATGTGACTTGATATTCATGCTGAATAAACACATACATGTATTCATTATTTTTAATATTTATTAACCTTACCGTGATACAGAATGCCATTAAAATCATATGTAAGTCTTTATTTCAGGAATTTATCTTCTACTATTTTAATATTCAAGAATACAAATTATATTTATATTGGATCCCTTTTTTTTCTTTTCCACATCTTTCATCTTCCCATAATAAATGTTGTGTTTTTGTGCATTTGAACTAAATTTTATGGGATTTTTTTCAAAGCTTTTCTCCATATTTCTAACTTGGTTTTCAGTCACATTTATTCCACTTGTTGTTATTGCTTCTAATATTTTTGTCTATGAAAGCTTTCGTGTTTCTCTCCCATTTCTCTCCTGATATACATAACCTCTTTCATCTGTTTTTCATTGAACCTCTACTTTGATTCTCATAGATATTTTTTCAGGCTTTTTGTTTGTTTGTTTGTTTGCTTGTCCGTATCATATCTAGTATAATTTCCCTGAGCGAATGGGTAATTTTTATCCTAATCTTCCAATGTTTTTTGGGAAATTTCTCTTGTGATTTTTTTATACAGCTCTTTGTTGTGTTATTATCTCTTTAGTCTCCTTTCTATTTGATGGTTGTAGATTGAGAGAAAAAACAGGAGCAGTTTGCAGTCTCTTGTTTCTCTTGCTAGACTTTTTTACTCCATTCCTCTGTCACCAAATCTCTTATTTCCTTTTCCCAGGTCACACCTCTCCATCTGGAGTGAGTGGCTAAAAACATATCCTTTTGCATCAGAGACTTTCTATGTTATGGTTTGTACGTACTGTCTCTTCTTCCTTCTTCACTCCTCTTCATCTCTGGCATTCTCTGGTTCTGAAACTTGGATCTAAGCAAGAACCCTGTCATTCTAGTATAGATTCTTCTTCAGCTACCTGTCCTGGAGGCTTTAGGGATTCAAACTTGTCCTTCCATTACTATATATCTCTTCCTTCTGAGTCAGGGCTCTTTAGAACCTTCAAGATTGTGACTCTTGCTTTTGGAGAATTATTTATCATACTCTAACTAGTACTATGGCATTACAAGAAAAATAAACACACACGCATATGCACTAAAGCAGAAGATTACACATATCATTTATAAATACATATTGTTCTTTAGAAAAGTTATTATTATAGTTATAGCAACTAACATGTCTCATAATTGTATGTAGGCAAATATACCTCCTTCCCACATTAGTTAGAATAATCTTTGGATACAGTAACAGAAAATCCAACAATGTTTTAAAATTGTTTTAAAATATGTTTTAAAATATAAAAGGGTTTATCATTTACCTTTGAAAATAAAAAGTCAGGAAGTAGTGTCACCTAATGTTGGATTGCTGACTTAATGATGCCTAATATCTCTCCAATTATTTTTGGCTTATCACCTCATAGTCCCCAGATGGCTGCTATCCTGTAGGTATTAGATCTGTGCTCAAGGCAAGAAGAAGAGTGGGGGGAGCACTAGCTACAATCATCCTCTTTTAATAAGAAAACAGAAGCATCTTTACCACCGCCACCACCACTATCACTTCCAGCAAGTTTCTGCTCACATATCAGTAGCTGCTAGGAATTTTCCAATGCTTTTGTATAGCCATGCAAGAAAGAAGAGTGTTAGCAAGAGCTTTCGACTCAGCCAACCAACAATGTTTGCCATACCCCAAATGCTGAACTCCTCCACAGAAAGGATTTGAGCATATCCATATTTGTATGCCCAGTTCTCAGCAGAGTTTGACATATTTGTAGATACTAATTAAATATTTGTCAAATTATACTCCTTTATGGTTAACATTATTTCTTCTAAACCTAACAATTGAATTGACATTTTCAAAAACACATTTACCATGAATCTTAGACAACTATAATATAATAGAGAATCTACAATATAAATCTATAAAATCTCATATTATTAAACTGAAATTAAGATTATTTGTCAACTATGTCAATATAGGCCAGGCGCGGTGGCTCACGCCTGTAATCCCAGCACTTTGGGAGGCCAAGGCAGACGGATCACGAAGTCAAGGGGTCAAGACCATCCTGGCTAACACGGTGAAACCCCGTCTCTACTAAAAATACAAAAAATAAATAAATAAATTAGCCGGGTGTGGTGGTATGTGACTGTAGTCCCAGCTACTCGGGAGGCTGAGGCAGGAGAATTGCTTGAACCCAGCAGACGGAGGTTGCAGTGAGCCAAGATCATGCCACTGCACTCCAGCCTGGGGCAGAGCAAAAGTCTGTCTCAAAAAAAAAAAAAAAAAAGCTAGCCTGTTCTGTTTTTAATAATAAACTATTCAGAAGGTTACAAATTCAGTAGAATACACAATTGCTAGTGAAAAAACAGAAATTTACCCATAGAGTGCAATTAGGAAGCCAGAAAGTGCTTTACAGTGCTGCATTGTCTTTCTGGAGTTAAACTTAAAACTTTACTGTCAATATTTATGGAAACTTTCATTCTATTCCATAACATGTACATGTTGGTGATAATATAAATGAGTATTTTTTCCCTAAAATTTTTAGTAGAATTTCACCCTAGGCTATGTGTAACTTTAATAATGATGATGATAATGATGACGATAGCAAATATATAGAGTGCTTACATGTACCAGGTACTTTTCTAAGCACTTTATATGTATGAACTAATTTAATCCTCATAATAACCCTAGGAGGTAGGTATTATCATCAACCATACATACAGAAGAGAAAATGGAAGCAGAACTTGAGGAAGTAATTTGCCCAAGGACCTACAGGTTGCATGTGGCAGAGGTGGAATTCAGTCCCAGATCATCAGGCCCCAGAACCTGGCTTCATAAACACCTGCCCTTGAAACCCACTATGGAGCCCCAGGAGTACCCATCCATGGTTTTGACCAACATTACCTCCTCTGTCATTTCAAGAACTCTATAGGCATTATCTTTAGGTTTAATATATGAGGAAACAGAAACTTAAAGAAATTATGGTAACTTGCCAAAAATCACAAGCTCCGTAGATACAAGTCAAACACAACTCTCTCTGGCTCTGGAGTCTACATTCTTATCCACTGTGCAGTGCACTGTACTGACAGAAGGGGAAAACCCTACAGTGTGTGATGCACTTCCTATGTCACAGAGTATGAAGAATGTCACAAGGTCACGGAATTTCAGAGCTGAAAGGGATCATCTAGTCCAACCCATTCATTTCATGGGTAGAGAACTGAAACCCAGAGAAAATAGAAATGCCACCACCTCGGTGCCAGATCTCCTAGATGCCCACCTACAGGTCAGTCCTCTCTATAGTATCTTCTCCCCTTTTCCCTTTAGGTTGATTTTTCATTTAAAAATTATTTGATATAATATAAATTGTTATAGCTCACAATTGTGAGGAAATTATAAATATTTGCCTTTATGATTTTAGAATGATGAAAACCTTTGTTATTCTGCAGACTTTCTCCAAAGCTTTATTTCAAAAAGCATCATTGTTCTTTTTCATCTTAGAAAACATAAAACCTACTTGCTTGTCTTCAGGAACCCTACGAAGATAAAAATTATCACAATTTATACCCAACATACCTAAAGAACCCTGTCCATTGTGCCCTCATTGGTTGTCCTCTTAACTTGGACAAATGTAATCACGTCTTTGATGTATTTCCAGCTTCACGGTGGTTTTGGATATACACTTCTGTAAAATGATCAAGATTTTTGTTGGAATTCACGAGTGTTTGTTAAAGTTTTATTAAAAGCGATCCTAGAAAATATAACTAGAGCTTACTATAATATGTTCTGCAGGTGGGAAAAATGTTACAGCTCCATGAACATAAAGCAATCATTAATTAGCAGCAAAGACACGCCATTTTCAATCTTATCTTTTCATGATTTTAAAAAAACCAACACTTTTCCCTTATATTTTCCAGGTAAGGCATCTTACCAGTTCTTATGCACTGCAATGGCCACTAGGTAATATTCTTTAAGCAATACTGTTATACATATTATTATATTACAGCAATCCTAAACGAGATAGGAAAGACATCATCTTTCATTTTCTACATGGAGAAATTAAGGCTCAGAGAAGTTAGGTGAAAAGACTAAAGTCAAAAATGCTAATGGGTGTAAGAACCTGACTCAAATTCAGATCTGTCAAATGCATCTGGTGTCTGTCCTTAATACTCTATTAAGTTGCCTCTCTTCATTTAATAAAATTCTCTACCATTCAAAATTAAAGTTGTATATCTATAATGTTTGCTGTTTATTTCAGTGAGTAGTTATTTCAGTTTTTAATAGATATGTTTTCCTTTATTAGGATTTGTTAAAACTAAAAAAATTAATAATAACTTCAAACAATCATTGTTATCATTTCCAATAAGCAAAGCAGACAATTTAAAGAGACAGAATTCTCAGACATGCAATGCTATTTCAAAGTCCATTCACGTGCTGTGCAAAAAGTCACATTAAAACACTTTATACTGAACTATACCATGACCTCGGCAAACACAGTACTCCTAAAAGCACAGTTATACTTGTTGATGGCTATGAGTACAGATTACTTCCTTTTCTTGATACAAAAGTATTAAAAGTATTAATACCATACAGTTAAATCTGAGGAATAATTAATTTGAAGGAAGGTAATAGGCAGGTAAAGCAGCTCAGTATAATCAAAATTTTCCTTTAAAGAGGTTGACAGTTACTCTGATGTAATATCCTGGAAGTTTTTTTCCAAATGTGCACTTCTGATTTGCATGAATTTTAAAGTCATTACTGGTGAATACAGAAAAGATACAGGCCCACTCTCACAAGGATGTAGATTGATCTCTGATATCTAGCCTTCCCAGTGTGCCATTTGGGGTGTGAAAAGGTACCCCAGAGCCCCAAGGTCTAAAAACCCACTAAATCAGGGTTTCCCAGGACTGCTGTTTTATAAACACTCCAGAGAATTTGTCTCTAAAAACAAGTGATGAAGGACAGAGACAAAAGGGGGAGTGTAAAAAATAACCTTTTTTCCCCTTAAAGCAAAGAATCAACATTAGTTTGTATTTTGGTTCATTGTAGAAGTCGATCACTATTGTGCACTAATCATTTCACTAGAAAAAGTATTTCTTTTCCTACCATTCTTCACCATGCATGCTTTAGTGCTTCACAGGTGTACAAGTGATTTTCTTAAATTTATAACCACAGTAGACTTACATAGATCCCTTATAAAATTGATGCAGCAGTGGTAATAGGTTTACACAAAAATTGTAATTTATGTCATTCTGTTTTGTTGAAGGGAATCTTGGCTTCTATTTACAGCTTTAATTAACTACTGTATACTTCCTAATTGTATAACCTGTGAGATTATGGACTATATAACTTAAGAAATATCTTTATCTGGGAATCCCAGGTGGTGCCTGTTTGTAACATATGCATTCTTGAAATATATTCTTCTAGACAAAATTAGTTTTTAGATTAAAATATTGGAGAAGATACTGTTCCTATGATCTCTTTTATTTTGTACTTCAATTCCAAAATTTATAATGTATTTGCCAAAGACTTTCTTTAGTAGCTAATGGAAAAAAATTCTAAAGAAGAGATGGTGGTAAGGCTGTAATTTTTTAAAAGAATGACTATTCTTTCATTGAGATGATATATGTCCTATATAAAAACTTCAAGTAATAAAGAGAAGTTTCAGAAAGTTTCACTTTAAGTCATCCAAATTCCATTTATCAGAAAAAAAACAGCCATCTCTACCACCAAGTAAACATCATTCCAAACATAGCTAAATGTTTACCAAGGTAGAAAAATGGTCAGAGAGATGTATACATACATAAGCCTTAATTTTGAAAAAAATGAAATCAAATTATATATGCATTTTAATATTTAAATGTTATATTTTCTTTTCCTTTAATTTGACTAAAGAAAATTTGAACTAAAAACTGAAATTCAGGTAAACGTTTCTTAAACCCAAAACATGTTTTCTTTTCTACAAGGGCACTCCAAAGTTGAGGTAAAAAATGGAAAAACTTTAGGAGGTTAGAATCATCTGTCTATTTCAACATTAGGTAGTAGCTATTAACCCCATGCTATGTAGTTAGGGAAATTAACTGATACCTCTTCCAATATTACCTTGTCACATATTAATCATTTTCATTAACATGCTTTCATTATCATAGTTTATACCATTTATATGCTATTCTCTAATTTCTAAAGCTGTTATTTTTTATCCATAGATAGATTTGATGCTAACCATCTTAAATCAGAGTTCCTCCATTCTTGAGCTACTGATGTTGACTCATCATGTATGTGCATGCACATGAGTTTAAAGAAGAGCTCCAGGGTTCTATATTGTCTAAGTTTTGTTTCAGAATGTCTTTCTCTTGATACTATATTTGACTGAAAATAAAACTTGAGTCATACTTCCCCTCCTTCAGAATTGTGTAGTAATTGCTTCTCTGGGTTCTCATATTACGTGGAAATTGAAAGCCAACCTTTATTCTCCTTACATGTAGCTGGTATCTTTTCCATAAATGTTCATCTGGTTGAATATTTATCCTTGGAGTTCAGGAAACAGTTTAAAGTATCTCTCAGTATTCATTGTTCTATCTAAAATTGTCCTAGAACAGAGTATGAACTTCAATTTGAAGATTCAAATCTTTGTAACAATTTTCTTCTTTTTATTTTTTATTTTTATTGATTCATTTTTTTCTGTTCCCTATTCTTAGGATCACCAATTACGTACATGTTGTCTCTCTTTTCCCTGTCTTCCGTATCTTTCTTCATTATAAAAACTTCACACTGTTCATACACATTTCATTTTGTCAGATTTTTTTCCAACCTAGTATCTATGCTTGTGACTTTGTTTTCAATCAAGTTTATTCTATTTGTGTTGCTTCCAGTGTCTATTTTATTTCTGTCATTTTTTTCATTTCCATTTTCATTTTTTACTGAACTCTTGTTCTGTTTTCACTGCTTTTATTGCTGTATACTCTCTTCTTTGAATTCATCTGTCTCCTTTCTGAACCCTATTTTTAGAATACGTATTTGTTGTGATATACACTTGTGTCATTTATTTGCTTGTTTTCCTCTCCATGTGTGAAACAGAAAATGGTAGTTTTATGCATGAGTTTATCCACTGTTCCCTTTCTGATCGCTACTCCTCTTTGAATGAGATAGCAACTGACCAAGTAGTACAATGGGGAGGGGAAGAGGAAGGGGATAGCTGGAAATGTACTGAGGAAGTTGGCAGCCACTATTTCAGCTTACGAACTCAAACATCTTCTTTCCAAATATTTTATTTTCTTAACATTGAAAGTAGTTCTTCCCTCGTTTCTTTTTGTTTGTTTGTTTTATTTAAGGAGTTTGCATGGATCACAGCAAGTTTCCCTACAGCAGTGTACCACCTACTTCTTCCACCTTCTTTGACAGACTGCCTGGGCTGAAAGACAAAGTGGTAGAGAATAGAACGAGGTTGTTGGCAGAAAGTCCCTCTGAGGCTTCCCTTCCCTACCATTCTAGAGTCTCAGGCGGGATTTCTACGTGGTTATTCTCTACTTTTCTTATGTATCACGCAGAAACTAAGCTCTCTTTAATCAAAAACTACCAAATATTTTTGGGGGAAAGGCACCTATTGATAATGTCTGAGTCAACATCTCTTAGTGGGTTTGATTATCTATTTCAATATTTAATATATGGACTTCGTAATTTGTATCATTGCAGTTGTGAGGCTTCCTTGCTTTCTTGGAGATGACAATATTTTCCCTCTTTTTTGACTTCTTTGATAATTTTAGTAGACTTTGAGAAAGTAAGAAAAACACCTCTATAACAATATCTAAAACTGGAATGATACGAATATTTTATATCCTATCAAAATAAGTTTTACCATCAAAATGTCTGGTTCAAAATAGGGGATTTCTAATTAGTTCACATAAATTGTATCTACTGAATACCTTCTATATATGAGAAGAACCTAGACACTTGGCTAGGTGCAGGTGTCTGTACAAAAATTAATGAGCCAAGATCTGGAATCTCATGGAGCTCACAGATTTATAGCTAATCATTGTATAATAAAATAGATGTAACAATAACTGAGCAAACAATATATTCATAGTATGAAAATATGGGATTTAATATTTTGTGATTTCCAAAGTGTTTTCAGGTCCATTTAACTAATATTCATTGAGGGCTATGTTAGATCTAAAAACATTACTGAAATTGCCAACTTCAAATAAACTAGGCCAAGGTTAGGTTAGTTCCCAAGAACACAGTGAGGTTAGGTTAGTTACCAAGAACACACTGACATAGAGAAAGGCTGTTTCTGATTAGAATCTAGGATTCTTTCTACCACATCCTGTTGCTCTGGAAAGAAGAACAGAGTTGATTATGTGGAATAAAAAGAAATCTACTCTGTGAGCCACGATTAGTCCTCCACATACCATGCTGGCATCCACAATCTATCTTTTGTGTACCACACTGGGAACCACAATCCATCCTCTATGGTTCGGCCTTTAAGAAATATACTGTGATTCACCCTCTTGCAGTAACAGAAACTCATATGGCTCTACCTACAACACCAGCCATAGTTCTAATGTTTGGAAGTGGAGGTATTTGAAAATATTTCTTTCTTACAGGACAGTTAGTAGGTTAATCAAAAAAGTTGACAAAATGTGATGTCACAAAAATCATCTGTGTGTGTGTGTGTGTGTGTGTGTGTGCGCGCGTACAATTTTATGTGTACAATTTTATTTTGAGATGGAGTCTCACTCTGTCACCCAGGCTGGAATATAGTGGCCCAATCTCGGCTCACTGCAACCTCCGCCTCCAGGGTTCAAGCGATTCTCCTGCCTCAGCCTCCCAAGTAGCCGGGACTACAGGGGTGTGCCACCACGCCCAGCTAATTTTTGTATTTTTTAAGTTGAGATGGGGTTTCACCATGTTGGCAAGGCTGGTCTCAAACTCCTGACCTCAAGTGATCTGCCCACCTTGGCCTCCCAATGTGCTGGGATTACAGGTGTGAGCCACCATGCCTGGCCTGTGGATATATATTAAACATATATTTTAACTTAAAATATATAAATGTTAATTCACTTTTCAAGTGTTTACAGTAGGGCCAAGACTTTGTATTTTGGTAGTGATTCACTCACTATAAATATGTACTTTTCTGTATTTTCCACTTTCATTTATTTTTACTTAAAATGAGAGCATAAAGGCATATGAGGCCAACTACAGCAAATGTCTATGTTTTATGAGGTAGTTTACTCTTCGCTTTCACCCATTTCTGATTTGATTCCTGATTCCTGATTTTCTTCACCCAACTTTTTAAAGGCAACACCCCTTAAGTCTTATCAGCATATTCAAATTGGTTATAAATGTCCAAAACCACATTTGTATTTTGCATTTCTAGTATGTTACATGATATTTGATTAAATTACATAAAAAATCTAGTACAACTGTTATAAACATGTTTGGGAACAAATACAGATGACCTTTAAATAAGGTTTCAATTCAACTGGTGAGAGCAGTAATAGACAGACCTGCTAGTGTTGTTACCTAGTGATTAAGTCTGTGGGCTCTGGAGCCAGAATGCCTGGGTGTGAATCCTGATCCATTACCTACTAGCCTTTTTAACCGTGGACAAGCCACTTAACCTCTCTGTGCCTCAGTTTCCTCATATGCAAAATGAGAATGACATTAATTAAGGTTTTGTTGTGAAGATTAAAGGAGTTAATTTGAGCAACGCACTTAAAACAGTTCATGGAAGGTGTTAAGTGTTGTGTATAAATATTAGATATTATTACTACCCAGGCATTCAGTGTATAAGAGACGCCAGTCAATGTGTTTTGCAGATGAAATGGAAAACACTAGCTAATCTGGCAAGTGGGTTAAAGGGAAACTATTAAGACAAACTCTGATTTTCAGTATCAGTTTGTTAACTAGTGACCCTTATTAGATCATAAGTATCTTGAGAGCAGGAATTAGATCTTCTGTTCCATTCACTATTACATATCTAATGAATACAGTGCCTGCACTTACTAAATATTTTCTGAGTTAATTAATGAATCAAGTTCAAATATGGTAGGATGATAAGGTTTTTACAACAGGATATCAATACTACCTCATAAATATGGGTTACTTCACATTTGAAACCATTCTTGCCACTTTTCTTTTTTTAATTTTATTTTATTATTATTTTGTTTTGAGACGTAGTCTCGCTCTGTTGCCCAGGCTGGAGTGTAATGGCGTTATCTTGGCTCACCACAACCTCTGCCTTCCGGGTCCAAGCGCTTCTCCTGCCTCACCCTCCCAAGTAGCTGGGATTACAGGCATGTGCCACCACGCCAGGCTAATTTTGTGTTTTTAGTAGAGACAGGGTTTCTCCACATTGGTCAAGCTGGTCACAAACTCCCGACCTCAGGTGATCCCCCTGCCTCGGCCTCCCAAAGTGCTAGGATTACAGGCATGAGCCACCGTACCTGGTTTCTTGCCTCTTTTCTAATTGATTCTTGCAAGAACTTTATCGTATATAAAATTATGTACACTTTATAAATAAGAAATATGGAGTACAAAGAGGTTGAGTAATTTGTTCCAGGTTACACAGTGTGAGTCATTGATATAGCTGGGGCTCAAAGTCAGGACTCCTGGAGGTCTCCCTATGTAATGTCATCCCTTCCATATAAATAGTCTTAAAATAACCTCAGTTAATCCTTTGTCTCCATGAATACCATCTACCCTGTTTGTCCTATTTGACTTTTGATGCTCCTTACTCACTTTAAGTTCAAATTCTAAGCGTCCGTTTATGAACAAATCTGTTCCTCTTCCGTTCTTGCCTAATTTTCTCCATTGCTGTAATTCTACCATAAAAACAGCCAAGCATGAGATTAAATGCATTTATGAAATAAGAACGTCACTTGTTTAATTTGCTTTAAATACCTCACCTGTGATGCATTTAACAACATAATTGTGTTAATACCAATATCAACTGCTTTCCCTCACTGTGTCAAGAAGTACAGTAGTTTAGATTCTACCAAGGTCACCTTCTCTTGCAGCACAGTCCCAAATCGCCTTACAATAAAAAACATGTTGTCAAAATCAATGAATGGACAGAATTATAGTATTTTTTATAATCATAGCTTAATGAAATTAAATGGGTGAGCCACCTCAATCTAAGCCAATCTTTAAAATATCATCCTAACAAATGAAGCAAATAAGTAAAGAACTATTATGTGGGAGGGGAAGCAAGGGGTTGACAAGCGCTCAAATATACAGCCTCATGTTAAATTATATTATTAAGAGCACAAGGGCTTCTTTATATTCATAACCATTCTTAATAATATGTCCCTTCTGAGCTTTTATTATCTTCTCTTATGAATGGATGGCAGCAGGGATATTGTAACTTATCTCAATTGTAAGTTAAGCTATGTAGGATTCATCTCTGTTCACTTACAGAGTCTAACAATTTATCCCCTCTATAAGTTTCACAATAGTCTTAAGTTTATTGAACTCAAACCATTCAACAAATATTTACTAAATTTTGTTATGTCTTATCCACTGTATTGGGCACTGTAGAGAATCAAAGATTGCTTAAGGACAGCCCCTTACTTCAACGAACTTAAAATGGAATGGAAAATTCAGATTTGGACATCAAAAGTTATTTAAGGGGAGAATAAGCACTAAAACCTGGGTTTTAAAAAGGCATAATGAAAATACAAACTAGATTAATTCTAATGGAATGACCATGTAAGTTTCAGAAAGGTGTAGTATTTGATGGTTTCCTAATTAGTAGGGTTGGAACAGAGGGGCTTCAGATGAAGAGATGAGAGTGACTAATGCATGGAAGAGGAAAATAAGGGGCCTCAGGAATAAGAGTATGACATTGTGGCTAACACTTACACTACCCGGAAGATAGTGTGAGAAAAGGCTAGAAGGCTAGTTAAACCTTGACTATGGAAAGTCTGAGATACCAACTGAAGAGTTTGCCCTTACTTGACAGTTAACAGGTATTAAAACTTCTCTTTGTTTCATTTTTGCAGTGGGTTGATTATATACATTTTGTAACTATTACTCTGACAGGAGGAGATAAAATGTGACGGAAGAGGAAGGCCAGTCAGGCTATTGAAAGTAATTTAGGCAAAAGTATCAAGATCAGAAAAGAAGTTCAATTATCCAACACAATACTGGGAAAAAAAAGCTCAACTTTGTCAATTATTAAGCAAAGATATATACAGAATATAGTACCATTTCACACCTTTAAAATTAGCCAAAAATTTAAACAATAATTGTGAGGTTAAAATGTAAGAAGCACTTGTATACAATCAGTGAATAAATCAGTAAATAATACTTTTGGAAAGAAATTTGATATTTTAAAAGTCATATGAAACATATATATTTTACTGAAAATATAAAATTTTAAATACCGTTCATACAAAGAGTCACTGTCATGTTATTTGTGACAGTAAAAACATTAAAAAATCCTAGATGTCTAACAAAAATTACAATAAAAAATTTGATGGGTTGCTATGTAGCTATCAAAATTATAATCATGAAAGTTATGTAGTGATATGAGAAACATGTAAAAATGGAATAAAATTGTATCTATACTATTATTGCAACTAAAATGTAAATATATATTCCGAAAAAAATGGCAAAAGTACATATAAAATTAAAAGTTGAGATACTAAAAAATTTCCTCTTAAGATTTCTGGACTTCTTAAAATGTGCACAATAAGTAATTTAAAGCATTAATGTGATGCTGAATTAGGACAATGGCAATCCAAATGAAAGGAAGTACTATAAAGGGAAACATGGTAGAAATAAACAGGAGTGAAGTACTAGGAGTTTGAAGGGATGAATGAAAAGAAGGATGCAGACTTAGAGGCTGAGAGCCTGGTAGAATAGTCAGAGAATTAAAAGTAAACTAAAAAGGTTTATTCATGCCAGTTAAAGCAAACAAGTTCTGCTCTAATTGTTAAGTCGCAATAGACCTTTCCTACGCATTTGGAAGTACGAAGTGTATTTCTGAAGAAATATCAGTGCTAAGACAGGAACTTGGACCTTCCCTGAAGTAGCTTGTATTTGAAGCCAAAGGAGTGGGAAAAAAATATATATCAAATTTAAGGATGTAGAACAAGAAGAGAAGACAACTTTGGAAAGAACATGGAGCAACACTTCCAATATAAAAGATAGGAAATTCAAAAAAGCTACAGAAGCACTCTGGAAATGAATAGTCAGTGTTAGAGATCCATGTTAGCATACTGCCATGGCAACTGAGAAAAAGCTTTTTGTACACACATGCCTCTGTGTGTGTGTGTGTCTGTGTGTGTGTGTTCTATGAAGGAACAAGTTATCCACATATTATAGAGAAGTAGAAAAGGAAAATTGGGAAAACAGATCATAGAAGTTGGCTACTCCAAGATGACCCTAGAAAAGTAGTTTTCACAGACTAATAAAAATAAAATTTTCAGAGATGACAAAGGAAATGGCAGGAAGGTCATGAATTTTAACTATGCCTTCAAAAAAGTGAATTTAGTAAGGTTGCAGTGTACAAAGTCAATATACAAAGGTAAGTATACTATTTTTTACCAACCACAAATGATGAAAAATTTTAAATATACACTGAAGGCCGGGCACGGTGGTTCATGCCTTTAATCCCAGCATTTTGGGAGGCCGAGGCGGGCAGATCATGAGGTCAGGAGATCGAGACCATCCTGACTAACACAGTGAAACCCTGTCTCTGCTAAAAATACAAAAAAATTAGCCGGGCGTGGTGGTGCACGCCTATAATCCCAGCTACTCAGGAGGCTGAGGCAGGAGAATAGCTTGAACCCGGGTGGCGGAGGTTGCAGTGAGCCGAGATCATGCCATTGCACTCCAGCCTGGGCAAGAGAGTAAGACTGTGTCTCAAAAAATAAATAAATAAATAAATAAACTGAAAACAAAATTTTCTGAGTGAAATTTAAAAAGACTGAAATAAATGGAGAGGTATAATATGGTCAGTGATTGGCATACTCAATATTTTCTAATGTCACTTTTCCCCAGTTGAGCTATGTATCTAATTCAATGCCAATCAAAATCCAGGTAGACTTTTTGTAGAAATTGACAAGTAGATTCTAATATTTATGTGGAAATACAAAGAACCAGAACAGTCAAATAAAGGAAAAGATGGTATGGTAAACTTAAGATAGTATCAAGATCAATTCTCTAGGTAATCTACAGTGAATAGGCCACAGAAGATAGAGACCCAGGGAATGTGAAACTGCTGAAAAGGTTCTATGTAGAGTAGAATAAGACATTCCTCCATGAAAAGTTTCCTCATGGCTTTTCATGCTTCCTGAAGTCAAGAACTTCAGGAAAGAAGCATCAAACTTCAGCAATAATTCCAACCCCTGACAATCCACCAGGCTTATCCATGGATCTTCTATAGAGAACGATGACTAAAATCTACCCCTAGAGCTGATTATTTAATAGAATAGCTCTAACTTAAGGGATCTATGATAATACATGATTCTTCCACTTCTCATACCCAAGCAAAGTCTAATGCTGTCAGACAAGGTGATGATCCTCAGCTTGGAAAGACCTAAAGTGGGAATGCTAATTCCTGTCTCTATACTGTCATTAGAATCTATGGAGAAAAATTGAGTCAATATGTATCGATCTATTTCAGAACTACTAATCTTCTTACAAAGACATCAAGGAAAAATTACATAGAATATAAATTGCTGAAACATGAATTGGATTTTACTTAACATAATATACAAGAAAGCATGTAAGACTGCAAGGTTAGGATACAGGAGTTTTACAATTTTGCTACAGATTATGTAACTTCAGGTAGAATGACACTCAATACTTGGATGGTGTTACTATGAAATTCATGGGTAAGAAGTTGGGCTAGATAATTTCTAGGATTATTTTGGGTTATTACTCAATTTCTAATCCTCAGAGTCTATATTAATTTCCTCTTGCTGCTATAACATATTACCACAAATTTAGTGGTTTAAAACAACACAAGTTTATTATCTTCCGGAGGACAGAAGTCCAAAATCAGCCTCACTGAGCTAAAGTCAAGTCAGCAGGACTGTGTTCCCTCCAGAGGTCTAGGGGAAAATATGTTTCCTTGCCTCTCTAGCTTCTAAAGACTACTACACTCCTTGGCTCCTGGATCCTTCCTCCATCTTCAAAGCCAGCAATGTGGCATCTTCAAATTTTTCTCCTCTCTAGCTGCTTCAGTCATCTCATTGTGTTCTCGTAGAGTCTGACTTTACTGCTTCTGTCTTTATATTTTTTCTCTCTTACCATGACCTTCCTGCCTCCCTCTTACAAAGACCTTTGCAGGTACATCAGTGAGCCCACCTGGATAATCCAGTATCATTTCCCTATCTCAAAATCCTTAATTGTTCTGCAAAATCTCTTTTGCTGTGAAAGGTAACATAGTTGCAGGTTCTGGTGATTAGGAAGTAAACATCTTTGGTGGGTGGAGGGCATTATTTGGCCTACCATAAGACCACGTTAATATATGCTTCAAAGTCATTATGTTTTGGAGTTATGCTATAAAATCATTTTCCTAACTTTGAAAGAAACAACAAAATGAGCCATATATGCAAATGGGTGTAACCAGCAAAAGTTACCTTAGAAAAATAGATAATTGGTTCATTGATCTTGTTAATGCTCAGATATTGGTAAATTATTTATTTGGAAGGACCTTCAGAGCCTACTAAACATTCTTTGGCATGTCATTGATGTTGCTTTAAATATTTTAACTTGCTCAAAAGTTATTTATAACCAATATTAATGAATTTTAAAAGAAACCACAAGAGGCCGGGTGGGGTGACTCACGCCTGTAAATCCTAGCACTTTAGGGGGCCAAGGCGGGCGGATCACCTGAGGTCCGGAGTTTGAGACCAGCCTGACCAACAAGAAGACACCCTGTCTCTACTAAAAATACAAAATTAGCCAGGTGTGGTGGCGCATGCCTGTAATCTCAGCTACTCGGGAGGCTGAGGCAGGAGAATCACTTGAACCCAGGAGCGGAGGTTGCGGTGAGCCGAGATCATGCCATTGCACACTCCAGCCTGAGCAACAAGAGCAAAACTCTGTCAAAAACAAAAAAAAAAAAGAAAGAAAGGAAGGAAGGAAGGAAGGAAAGAAAGAAAAGAAACCACAAGAAATATTTTTCAGTATCACCCACCAATTGGCACTGAAAGTAATTACCAAAGACTCATTCAGTTAACTAAATTCTGGTATATTTGCATTTTTAAGTTGTTTGATTAGCTCATAAGCCTATTTTGTAAGCCCATGCAAAAAAAAAAACTCCTCTCCCCAAACTAAAAACATGGTTTTGTAAAGGCCACATATCCAACTTTTTACCTCCCCTATATAATTTTTTGATATACTTGTTCTCTCCTAAGTACAATGCTTGGGAAAATAAGATCATAGATTACCAATCACTCAGAAATTCCAGACTTCCTATATAATAATAAAAGCAAGTTTATTAAAAGGGTGAAAATGTATTTTGCATCTTGTTATTTGCAATGTTACTGAGAATAGCTCGGTTTCTGACTTTTTTCTTTAACCCCTGGAGGAAGAATATTTTTAAAATCTATATAGCAAGTTGAAATCCTCTCTAAAGTACTATATAAGTACTATATCATTACACAACAACAACAAGTATTGTTCTTAGTTACATTTTGAAAATCCAGACAAGTTATAATGCCCATTAACATATGTTCTTAATTTTTACTCAAATACTGATGATCGCTATAAAGACACATGCACACGTATGATTATTGCGGCACTATTCACAATAGCAAAGACTTGGAACCAACCCAAATGTCCAACAATGATAGACTGGATTAAGAAAATGTGGCACATATACACCATGGAATACTATGCAGCCATAAAAAATGATGAGTTCATGTCCTTTGTAGGGACATGGATGAAATTGGAAATCATCATTCTCAGTAAACTATCGCAAGGACAAAAAACCAAACACCGCATGTTCTCATTCATAGATGGGAATTGAACAATGAGAACACATGGACACAGGAAGGGGAACATCACACTCTGGGGACTGTTGTGGGGTGAGGGGAGGGGGGAGGGATAGCATTAGGAGATATACCTAATGCTAAATGACGAGTTAATGGGTGCAGCACACCAGCATGGCACATGTATACATATGTAACTAACTTGCACATTGTGCACATGTACCCTAAAACTTAAAGTATAATAATAATTAAGAAAAAAAAGAGAGAAAAAAATACTTATGACCATCTGGCAATCCAGATTCAAGTAGAGTTTTAAGAAGATGAATTAATATTTTTGGAACATTTTGTAAATATACATTTTGTAAATATTTTTATATTTGTAAATATAAAAATAGAACTAATGAATTGTATTAAATACTATTTAAAATAAAAACAAAATAATATAACAAAACAAAAGAAATAAAGCAGTGTTATATAAGTAATATGGAAAAGTTTTAAATCTTCATAAAGCTAAGAGGGAAGACATTCAAGAGGAACATGCCTTCAAATAGCTCCTTATATATTAGTCAAAATTATCTCTCAAGAAAGAACAGTCTTCTGAACATTCATATTGAAGGAAAAGGAGCTTAAACCCTGGGAGGAAACCAATTTCTTCATAAAGCATCTCTTTCAGTTTGAGCAACCAGTGACGAAAAAGTATATTAACGTTCATTTAAAACCTCTTCTGTCTGGTTCTTAGTTGTTCAAAGAGTTGATTGACATAAGGAGAGATTTATGAAAAATGAAACAAACTCTTCTCATGTGTTAATTAAAAGAGTTCAGAAACCTAAAATCTACAAAGCTTATTTTCCTCATATATCTCCTTAACTCTGAGAGGTTGTAATTTAAGATCACATTAAAATAGAAACCATTTAGAAGAGGGATCATGCCTTCTTTATTCTGTATAAGACACAGTTAATTCTGGGTTCTCAGAAAATAAATGATGATAAAACATCTCCTTTTACCAATTCACAAATAATTTCAAAGGACTCAGCCAAATCTGAAAACTCTCTGAGAGCGTAGATTTTTGCCTTCTACTTCTTTTATATCCCTTATAGCATCTCTAGAATTCTGCTGATAGAGTGAGTGCCCAATAAGGTGAGAAGACAGAAGAGGGAAAGGAGCGTAGGAAGTAAAGGAAGAAAACAAAAGGAGGAGAGATGAGGAAAGGAAGGATGAGAGGAGGAAAAGGAAGATAGAGCTGAATGAGTCACCTAGATCTTTTTAATTCCCCTCGTGGAACTCACTGAAAGTTTTACATCTGACATTCAACTGACATTCTTCTAAAATTGGTATTCCTGGATTACTTTAATGACTCAGAAAATATTAAATACCTATATTTCTGTCAATGATAATGACTTGCCTTTTTTTTCTTTCATGACTTTTTTTTTTTTTTTTGATACACAGTCTCGCTCTGTCACCCAGGCTGGAGTGCAGTGGTGTGATCTCGGCTCACTGCAACCTCTGCTTCCTGGGTTCAAGTGATTCTCCTGCCTCAGCCTTCCGAGTAGCTGAGACTAAACATGTGCGCCACCATGCCCAGCTAACTTTTTTGTATTTTTAGTAGAGACAGGGTTTCACCATGTTGGCCAGGATGGTCTCAATCTCTTGACCTTGTCATCCACTGGCCTCCCAAAGTGCTGGGATTACAGGCATGAGCCACCGTGCCCGGCTGACATTTTCATATAATTGTCCATAGGTATTTCTGAGATTGCCTAGGACATATAATATGTCCACCAGAGTACCTACAAAGAGTATATTCGTTTTTTCCTTTTAAAACTTTAAAATTTACACTGATAGATATTTGCTGTTTGCTTCTGAATGATAAGCTCTTAATGTCATAATGATGATGATATCACTTTATATTTGTATAGTACTTTTTTGTTTATAAAATCTCCATCTGTTTTCTCACTTGACCCTCATAACAACCCTGTGAAGCAAGTAAGGTAGCTGGTATTAACTGTATTTCATATGTGAAAAAGACCAGCTGAAGTTCAGAGGGAACTATCCAAGGTCACACTGCTATATTCGTTTATTCTTCTGATCCTGAGACATTTTGCTTTTCTCTACTGATGAGTGTATGCTGCACTGCATTGGACAACTTTATATGGAGCCCAACCTTTTCTTTTCACTGGAGTTTCCCATCCACTCTTATTTCTTCAGTTTTGTGGTTTGTCATTGTTTGTTTGTTGTTGTTGTTATTTTGTTTTGTTATTTAATGTAATGGCACAGGCAGATAAATTAAATTTTGTCTTTATGGCAACAATTTTATGGATTGACTCAGAAGCTACAGAATAGATTTGGAGAGTACCTATCATCCACAGCTTGCATGACTTCCAGTATTTAACATTTCTCAACCAAAAAATTTAGGGTTTGACAATCAGTCTTTATTAAAAAAAAAAATCTAGAAGGTAGTACTTGAGAGTGGATGGCATCTGGCAAACTAGGAAGTAAAGACTTTAGGCAAATAGTCAATGAAATCGAGCAGACATTTTGAAAATAGAATGTAGTTATGTCAAACAGCATGTGCAATGAGAATTTTCCAGGCCAAGAAGGAAGTCAGAGATAACTGATACAACAAGCTAGTTCTACTTAAAAAAAAAAAAAAAAAGTTCTTGGAGTTTATTTTCCCTTAATATTTAGCAAACTATTTAGAACATTTAAAATCTAAAACGATTAAGGTCTTCTAGGAAAAATGGAAGCAGGCTAGTGAAGTCATTTTAGCATTTTTGAGGTTTCCTCCCAAGCATTCTACAAGTAATTACATTAGGAAGATAGGAAATCCCTGAGTAGACTATTAGTAGTTTAGTATTAAAATATCAAAATTAATGAGTCATTTTAACATTTTGGTGCAAGCATAAGGCAAAACTCAACTTTTTATTGTACCACATACTTAGAAATTAGAGTGCCTCAAAAATCAACAGCAATCATATCGCAACTCCCCACTAAGTGTTTTCTCTGTGCTTTCCATTAATAACATCAGACTAGCCCAGGAGTATATGTGGATGTAAGAGCACACTACGGTGAGTTCAAAAGGTGTGCTTTGCTGATCTTTCTTTATGTCTCTCTACTGTTCAGCATAATCACCTCTTTTATTAGCTGATGACTTCTATCCAGGCCATTACTCCATAAGCTAAATATTAGCAGCTATTTGAAAAGGTTCACTAATGTACCAAATATTCTTAAATAAAACATGAATTTACAGTTGAAATAAGAAGTTTCAACTAAACAATTAAAACAAATCCCAAATCCATTTGGAGGATATTAAGCAAATTTGTAAGCAAATAGGGTCATGGATATTTTGGAGCTGGTTCAGAGCAGGTTGATTGATAAATGGGGAAGACCTATAAAGAGAGGTTAAAGCAGTTGGCATTTGGGCATGGTTGAGGGTTGGTTTAGTTACTGTCTTAGGAAAAGCATGATAACCGGTGGGTACTCATCTACTTGAGTCAAGTATACACAAACACAAACATTATTTAAGCTATAGCACTTAAGATTTTGAATGTCACAAGTGAGTTTTAACATTGTATTATTTAAAACTTACGTAGGTTACAAAAGAGAGGTTTGGGATGGCTTTTTCTCATTGCCTTTAAAAATAAATTTTAATTTTCCCAAAAGACTTAAGTGTGGCTCTACTAAAGCGTAAAACAAAAGATATTTTTACAAATTAACTTTTAACTCTGTGATTCTATATCAAAAACCAATCAATACCTGTGATGTCCAATAGGGTAGCCACTAACCTCATGTACCTATTTAACTTTAATTAAAATTAAAAGCACGGTTCCTCAATGACACTAAAAACCATTCTAAATAGACACGTGTGGCTACTGGACACTGCACTGGACAATCCAGATATAGAACAGCCCCATGGCTGGCCAAAGTTCTGTCAGACAACACTGACCTATCCAAACATATTCCAAATCCTTCATAAATGCATTAAGATATTTGTGCCCTGTATTTCAAACACTTTGATAGGTAAATAAAATTAATTTTTTTCTAAAAAACAATCTTGTAATAATCATATAGAAGGTGTATTTTAATCATCAAAATAATCTGTTTTCAAAGTTTAGCTAAATTAATAACAAATAAGCTTGTGCTAAAGCACCAGTTGGATGGTTTACAAGGGAAGTCAGACATTCATTTATTGCATTTTTACACTTAGCAGCTTCACTTTAAAGCATTCTGCTCTACATAATGGTGCTCTGTTAAACAATGTTTAAAGTTAAGAAACATTTGAAGTCGAGTTCTAAAGCAATCTGCATATGCTATCATTTAATTTATAAACTTTTGAAGCACTTTTAAAAACCCTCTTAATTATAAAATTAATGAAATATTTAAATAGCTCACCAGTTAAAAATTTAGGCCCTGTTGTGAATTAAGGAATTAATCTTGAACTATATTTATACATTATGTGTATATAATATATTCACACCCACACAAAAAATATATAAATACATAAATTAATACTGAAGTGCCCCAAAGGAGTGATTTTACATATTGTATATAATAATTTTATATATTTTTATGAAGATAAATATCTGATTTTGCATATTTTCATGAAGATATTATGTAGATCAATATATTTGTTTATCACCATTATTATTTCTCCATAGAGATAATGAAGCTGAGGTAGAAGAGATAATTTAATCCAGAATATCAGAAAAGTACCGGTCAGATGCGGTGGCTCACGCCTGTGATCCCAGCACTTTGGGAGGCCGAGGTGGGCAGATCACGAGGTCAGGAGTTTGAGATCATCCTTACCAACATGGTGAAACCCCGTCTCTACTAAAAATACAAAAATTAGCCAGGTGTGGTGGCGGGAGTCTGTAATCCCAGCTACTCAGGTGGTTGAGGAAGGAGAATTGCTTGAACCCGAGAGGTGGAGGTTGCAGTGAGCCGAGATTGCATCGCTGCACTCCAGCCTGGGCAACAAGAGCGAAACTCCGTCTCAAAAAAATAAATAAATAAATAAATAACTTAGCTGTGTCACACACAGCCTCTGAACACACATTTTACCCCGTCATACTTGACTTCTGTTTTCACATGTTTGTAAAGAGTTTAAACTAGATGACTTCAAAAGTAACCTTTACTTAATAAAGTTGTATTATTCCAGGTATAAATAAAACCCTCTGATTTATATAAATTGATATATATGTCTATATATAACAATACATTTGTCTAGGTCCTTTCCTAGTAAAACTGTTCAACATCAAATGAGGTAGAAATTCACAGGTTTTAAATTTTTCAGTAACAGAGAAGGGAAAAAATGCAAGAAGTCAAGTGGTTTGCAGATGATAGAAAAAATCAGTGTCAGATCTAAGAATATCATTCTTCGTCTTCACTTCTGGCTACATTATCCCTTTCTACTATACATTGTGCTTATCACTAATGTATTGAATTAACATGAGCTCACTTCAAAGATTTTCAAGAAAATTTATCATTTTCCTGATAATTAAAAAGGAATACTGCCAAGTAATGTCACTAAAAGACTGACAGGGACTACTTAGGACCTTTAAGAGGACATAATGTAACAGCACTTTTGCAGAAGTCAGGTTATTAGAACTTAAGTGTTGGAGGTTTGAAATACGCCCATCAACCTGGTAACAAAACTGTCAGAATTAACAAATTGAAATACGCACTTTGAGTAGACTAGGACCTTAGTTTCCGCTCAAAGATAATGTAATTCTTGTGTTAAAGATCTAAGAAATGAGTGAGAATTACTCTGTTCTTAGAGTTCTGCAATGTCACAAGATCATAAAATCCTGAATCAAGAAGGACAGATCAGAGGTCATTTTGAGCAGCCTCTTTTATTGGGCCACAAAACATGCTTATCCCCATGCAATAATGGCATTCTAATTCCAGTCTTTATCAATAGTAACAATAACTTTAGCAATTACTTTTTAATCTCAGAATTCTAGAAATCTGAGTTCTAACAAAAACACGGTGTATATAAAATGGTTTATGGCCATGCATAATTTGTCTGCCTTCTTTTCCAGTAAAATGAGGTAGGTCATGTACATTTCATATTTTAGCTCATGAAATCTTCACCATTTTCCCACAAGGTTTGTTTCCACTTTATATGTGAGAACCTGAGGCCTAGAAAAAATATACAACTTGCCCATGGACACACAACTAGCAACTGGTTATCAGCCAAGATTTAAGTCCTCTACTTTGACTCCAGAACTGACATTTTTTATATTGTGCTTCATTGCTTTTTTTTTGTTTGTTTCCAGAACAAGGGTTACCTATGCAGAGGTAACTGACATATGAAAACTATCCTTAGAAAGAAATCAAGTAAAGTAAATTTGCCTACTTTCCTCAATAGCCCATTTCGCCTCCAATAAAATCATATTTAACGGGTTGATTTCCAAAGTATGAGTTTGTTTTACAAAATTTAAGAGGAGGAAAAAAAGAATATGGGTGGGATTTGTGGAGGTCCTGCTATAGTTAATGAGAAGATATCACAAATCAGGTAAAAATACTCTCTACAGATTTCTTTTATGTTTGCCTCACATACTGCCAGGTATTAAGCATCAGACAGATGTTATTGATGTAATTTCTACAGTTACAATTTTTCACTTGAAATTCAAAGGTAGTTAACAGAACATTATTCAAATTGAATCTGTATCATGTTTAAGGCTTCTAGCTTCATTATATAATATCCTGTGTAAAAGAAGCCAAATAATAAAATGTCTTTGATGTCAACAAAAGCAATTTTCCTTTTTTTATGTGTTCTCAGTTCAATTAGCTCCCCTATCAGACCACACTGAATCCTTGGCTCTCAGTTACTAACATACAAGCTTTTCAGCTGTATATTAAAACAACTAAGGTTTTGGTACTGCATAATGACATTTTCTATTTAATTTTCAGCACACCATGGAATCTGAAGTGATTCAGAATGGCTGGCTTTTGAAATTCCTTTGAACTAAATAAAGCACCTTCATTTTTACTTGAATTATTTTACAGTACTTTTACCAATGCCTAAAGGAACAAAGATAACAGCTATTTTTTTCCAGGAGGATTTTGGAAACTCGAAATTCTTAAAAGAACTATTTTAACAAAAATAAATTGAAGGAAACCGACTGATTTTAATTTTAGAGATCATTGCTTTCAAATATATGATCTTCAAGTCCTCTTGAATTTTGAGCTATTTTGAAATCAAGTTCTATTTGTATAAGGCTTTCTCTCTGAGGCAAAGTGTTATGTGAGGGTGCTTTCCAGCATTCAAAAGCATTATATCTCAGGTCTTAACCATATTTCCACATGTGCACATCTTCCATCAAACTGTGGCTCATAGCACAGTTATGCAACACAAATCTCGATGCTTCTCTCCCATCAATTTTTGAGGAAATTTTTGAAGAGTTCCCCAAATCAGATTATTATCTATGTATCAATACTTGGTCAGAAAAAATTCACCTGAAAACCATTACTGTATACTGTACCAATACACGATGTAAATAAAAGTTGAGTGCAGTAGACATAGTTCACTTCTACTACTTATAACACACATAGTGCCTAATATGTGCCGAGCACTGTTCTAACTACATATTGTAACTCATTTAATCCTCACAACAACCCTATGAAGTTAGTACTATTATTTTCCCCATTTTAAAGAGAAGAATACTGAGGTACAGACAGATCCTAAATGGTGGAACTCAGATTCAAACCCAAGTAGCCCACTTCTAGAATCTGCATAAGTAACTTTTACTGTATAGTGTTTCTTTTTGTTTTTTTTGGACGAAGTCTCACTCTGTCGCCCAGGCTGGAGTGCAGTGGTGCGATCTCAGCTCACCGCAACCTCTGCCTCCCGGGTTCAAGCAATTCTGCCTCACTCAGCCTCCCTAATAGCTGGGATTACAGGCTTGCGCTACCACACCTAGCTAATTTTTGTATTTTTAATAGAGACCAGGTTTCCCCATGTTGGCCAGGCTGGTCTCAAATGCCTTACCTCAAGAGATCCGCCTGCCTCGGCCTTCCAACGTGCTGAGACTACAGGCGTGAGCCACCGCGCCCGGCCTATACTGCTTCTTAAAAGGAAAAATAAGCTGACACATTGTTAGAACTGCAGCCAAACCAGTGCTTTTAATTACCTAACTAGTGCCAATGGACTAGTTTCCTATCCTTTACCATCCTGTACTATCCTTTGCCTGGTTGCCAGGGCAACCGGGATCACTTTCTTTAACCACACTGGAGCTTATTCTGTGTAATCATTTGCCAAGCAATCATTTGCCAAGCAATCATTTATTCAGTCATTCAACAAGCACAAATCAAGTGCCTTTTATGTGCCTCACACTTGTAAGTGATGAGGATACAATGCCCAATAAAATGTTCTGGTTGCCCTCAAGAAGCTGATATTCCTTCTTGCAATACTTCTATGTTGGTTTATGATCTATCACATCTTCTAGTGTCCAGTGCCTATACTCTCTAGTGTCTTAGGCTCTCCCTTTCTGGTTCCTGGGTATTGTCATCATTTCAATCTCCTACCCTCCATTAACACATTTATATTATCCTTTCCACTCCTTCAATGCCATCATCCAAATTCAGGTCTTTACTAATAACCTACAAATAAATTACAAGAATGGCCGTGTGTTCTGTTCTCCTTACACCTAATCTTTCTCAAACGAACTTATTTAACCACATCACCACCCTCCTACTCAGATGCAAAAACTGACTCTCTAGTGGCTGTATAATAAGTAAATCTCTTTCATGTAATATTAAATACTGTTTACAATTTGACCCCCAACCTACCATATCAGTCTTGCCTCCTACCATTTGCTTCAGATGCACTCCAGTCTAATAAAATATATCTATTTGCAGTTCCCTGCTTACCATTTGATCATGTTGACATATCTCTTGGCAATGCTATTTCTTCTGGCCTTCTTACTGCCTGAAATATGCCCACCTATGTCTATACTAGGAACTCTTGGAAGGCCCCGTTCAGAAATCACTTATTTCAAGAAGCCCTTATTGAGGTCACCAGTTAGAAGTGCTCACTGTATTTTATGAATACTGATAGCTCCGCATAGCCCAATCTAATATTCACCTGTATTGAATTATCTGTGCATATTACCTCTGCTAGACTGTCCTATTCCTTGCTGATACCAAGTACAAGTTCCTTACCCATATGAATATATAGATATGTATAGCATAGTGCTCTGCATATAGAGTATCTATATATATAGTCAAATTAAGTAAAACTATGATTTAAAAATATGCTGCAAGTCACTAGATTTCTTAAGAATTGCATATAACATCATCATATTTACTGTTGTCAAAATATAATGTTGAGAATGATTCAGAAGGGACCAAAACTGAAGCTAAGGAGTTTGGAATGACTTTATATTTATATGCGTTATTTAAAGTTAAGTTCCTTTGAAGTTGTTGCTCTTGTAGATGTTGGTATTTTTTTTTAATTTTGAAGTTGGGGATCAGGGAGAAAGTAAAGAATATAGGAGAAAGTTTACTTGTTTTTTAATGTGAATCAGTAAATTCTAACTCGGAGAACTTTTTGACACACAATTCCAAAAACCCTATCAGAAGCTTTGACAAGAGAAGCAGAAATATAAGGAAAATTTAAAAAGCCCAAGAAATGCTATCAGTTCACCTCCCTCAGTACTCAAAATTCAATCTTTCAATCAAATTAGGCAATAGACCTGAACCACATCAGCTGAGTACATCACAGAAATGCTTTCACTGTATTGAGCTTTAATGTTATTCTTATAGCTTTTATCAACATTTGCTTTAAAAAAAAATCCATAGCTGAAGCATGCGTCTGCATTTTACAAAGAAACTGTCCAGTACATTATTCTATATTCCCTATTTAGTAGCCAACATTAGAATTTTAATTCAAGTTATGCTTTCACTTTCTCCTTTCTGAAAACTAGAACTAGACAACTTTTCTTGCTTTTCTTTTTTGACAAAAACAATGCTTTAATAAAACATGGATACAGAATTAGAGCAATTATGTTAACAGTATGGCTACTGAATTTGCATCTTCTAACCTCTTTAGGCATGACCTTATTTCTATTAGAGATATTAGACCTTAGTAGAGATAGTCTCAATTATAATTGTTTTACATAATTTGGGGATTTATTTTATTTTATTTTATCTTATTTTGAGACAGAGTATCTCTCTATTACTCAGGCTGGAGTACAGTGGCATGACCATGGCTCACTGCAACCTCAACCTCCTGGGCTCAAGAGATCCTCCACCACACCCAGCTTTTTTTTTTTGAGACAGAGTTTTGCTCTTGTTGCCCAGGCTGGAGTGCAGTGGCGCGATCTCGGCTCACTGCAATCTCTCCCTTCAGTTTCAAGCAATTCTCCTGCCTCAGACTCCCAAGTAGCGACACCTGTAACCCCAGCACTTTGGAAGGCTGAGGCGGGCAAATCATGAGGTCAGGAGTTTGAGATCAGCCTGGCCAACATGGTGAAACCCCGTCTCTACTAAAAATACAAAACTTAGCCGGGCGTGGTGGCAGCTTTTTAAAAAAATTTTTGGTAGAGACAAGGTCTCCATGTTGCCCAGGCTAGTATCAAAATCTTAAGCTCAAGTGATCATTTCACCCTGGACTCCCAAAGTACTGGGAGCCACTGCACCTGGCCAGGGGTTTTATTTTTAAGAGTATACTTTTTAAAGGATAAATATCGAGGCTGTGCCCATTCATTTGTTTATTTATGCAATAAATATTATCTTTTTTCAATTCTAGAGATACAACAGTGAGCAGAGACAAAAGTTTCTTCCCTCAAAACACATATAATTCTAACTCTGGGAAATGAATATTAAAGTAGGATAAAAGCAAAATATATAAAACATTGGATAAAAATTGTGAAAAAAAATAATAATGCATAAAAGAGGAAGGAAAGGGTAGTTGTTTTAAATAGGAGGAAATGATACTTGGTTGACAACCCAAAGGGAGTGACTCATTCATCTATTTGAGATGCAGGCGATCTAGTCATTAAGTACAGAGACCTTGGGTGTTCCGGGGCTACCTGGAGACCAAATGGTTGGAGTGAAGTGAGCAAGGAAGAGAGGCATTTGACTGGGTGAGGATCTTGGAGTTTATTATAAGGACTTTACATTTGACTCATTAAACAAGTAGAGAGATGTTCACACATCTCAACTAATAGTAATAGGTAATTTTTAAATGATGTTTACTTGTAAGTAATGTGTCAGTAAGCATCAGCAAAAAATGTTACTTTAGAGATATTTAATCATTTAGTTTAATGCCATCCTTTCTCTTCTTTCATGTACTCAGCAAAATCATATTCAGCAGTTACTATGTGGCAACACTATGTGGCAACAATGGAAATCTAAAAAAAAAAAAGAAAAAAGAAAAAAAAAACATAATTCCAAACCTCAAAGAAATGTCTCTCAAGTGGCAGAGATAAGTATTAATTATTAAAATTTCTTTTCTTTAGCTTTTAGGTAAGGGAAACTATATAAGATGTTTAGGTAGAGGAGTGATCATCATATCTGCATTTCAGGTAGATTCACATGTAGAAGAGATTTGAATGAAGTATGACTGGATGCAAGGAGATGAATTAGAAAGCTGTGAAAAATGATGAAAACCTGAACTAAGACACTAACAGAGGGTGAGGAACTAAGTAGAAAGTTACAATCCATTTTTAGAATGGAGTATTGACAGGACTTTATGACTAAATAGGTGTAGGTGGTGTGAGAGGAGGAGGAATCAAGAATAACTCCCAATTTTTAACTTGAACAAATACATGGATGGTAGTTACAGTCAGTGAGTTCAGCTTAGGACAATTTGAGATGTATTGGTAAATTATGATTAGCTGACAGTTGATATTATGGAAACCCAGAGAGGTTGATAGATTTAAAAGAAGGTCCAGGACAGAAACCCAGGAATACCAACATTCAAACAGGAGGCAGAGAAATAATTGTTCATTAAGGGGATTAACATGAATAAACAGAAAAAAATTCATGTAAGCCATAGGAGACGAGAGATTTTACATCTAATAATATTGTTGACTGTGTCCACCTGTAGTGGCAAACTTGATGTGATTATTTATTTCGATTTAATAGTACTGTTTATATGAGTATTGTAGAGCAAGCATTTCAGAGCAAGTTATTATATTTATAAAGATTATCTGAAATTCAGTTGGATAATCCTCCTGAATATAAAATATATTGTATTATTTTATTGTTGTTGTTGATTAGCCATTCTAAAAAAATCTATCCTCCTAAAATAAAAATGCATTGTAAAATTATTTCCTTCAGTCCTTCAAATGTAGTCACTTCAATGTGCTTTTAATATTTTAGTTTACTTAAGTCACTATATGTCAATTAATATCATTTATGAGGAAAGAAATAGCAGTGCTACAAAGAAACAAAAATACGTACTATAAGAAGATGAAAATATATGTCCATTAATTAGAAAATCCTAGGCTACTGTGTGAGCTCAGGAAAAGGACAACTCATTTATGAAAATGAGGTTGATATATATTCTGATATCATGGAAATTTCAATGGATTATAAAATCAGTGGAAGCTCAATGCTTTGAAGAATACATTAAATGTGCATAATAGCAGCTAGTATATTTTTGTTATCTGGTCTTTCAACCAAGTACTTGTCAACCAAGAATTGCTTACAAAATTTTCCTATCAATTCCTAAGGTGAAACAATTAACAGGGTTAACAGTCCAAAATCATTAGTCAGGTCATTGGCAGAACCAGGAGTTCAATATGAGATATTTTTTAAATGTCTCTCTTTATATTGTCTGATACTTAAAATCTTTAAAAGTAAATGCATAAAATGAAAACATCAATATGTCTTTATATATTATGTTATAATAATACATACAAATTTAGTAGAAAGGAACAAATTAACTATAAAATCCAGATAACTTGTAGCATATGTAAAAAATAGTCTTTTGAGAAGATTCATGATAGATATTAATTTTTCAGGCATAATCAAGAATTGGAATCCAAACAGTAGAAAATTCGTGTTAGAAAGGACTTGAGGTTGCTATATCAGCAGATATGTTCTCCTTTATTTTTACAGTTTCTACCTGTCATTTGCTCTATAATAATACATGAACAAATGCCTCACACTGAGATTACTATGAAACCATAAGCTATACTGTTACCATACTTAACATTATAACCAAAATTACAACTTCACAAACTGTAACTCGAGGAAAATTACAGGTTATACCAAGTGTAGCAGATGTATAGAACTGTAGCAGCTGTTAGAAATCCTGAATATTATACCTTATGAAATTATATTTCCAGTTAACATAAATGCTAAAATAAGTTATTTATTCTAAGAAGTTTTTTCTGGAGACAAACATTTCCCTGTGCAGCAGAAAAAGCCTAGTATTAGAAAAGCCTGCTCTTACAAGTACATTCGAATGTTCAGAAATTCAAATGAAGCATATGTTGTCAATTAATCCAAGTATATAATAATTTTTAAATTATGCCTCTATTTACCTATGGGTGATGCATAATAATTTATTAGGAGAGTTGTTGATACTTTTTTTGTTTAAAAAATAATTATTAGATAACTAGCTCAGCATCATAGAGAACTAATATCTAGAGGTTAGAGGTGAAAATTAGTAAAGGGACCAGAAAAATTAAAAATCATGACAGAACACCAGCATTATGTAAACAGTTAAGTAAATCAGGATTAAGAACCATCCCAAAAATGCACCTGCAAAATCGAAACAAGCAAGTAGATTGTTTAGATCTACTTGCTTAGTCCACTGCTTCAGAAATCAGCACTGCTTTGTTTAAAAGATAATTATTGATTGCTATGTTATATAATAATCTTCCAAGACCGTTACAGATTAATCTGAATACCTATGACCTCAATCTGAATTTCTATGTCTTAGAAGTTTTGGAGATAGCCAACCCACCAATCTGTCATAAAGCATATTAGCTGTCTGGGGGTTACCAGTTCCTCAGGAATGTCACCCTGTCCTGTCCTCTCCATGTGCTGATCATGAGGAGGGTTAGTGACACTCCACACCCATTCATCTCTCTCTTTTTTTTGGTAGTGTAATGAGTACAGCAATCATTCTAGCAGTATTTGCTATGACAACATCATTCAGCCCCAACTTATGCCAAAAATGTGCATGTTAAGTGAAGGGAAACAAGCTCTAATGGTGCCCTTTAATGTTCTGAAGACACAGGTGTTCTCTGTGAACTTGACATTTGCTCGGTCTACATGTGATCCTAAGGGTTCCAGATAAGATGAATTACTGTGTGAAAGTCCTCAGGCATTTTCTCACAGATAAATAGCATGAAATTTTGTGATGGAGAGAGAACAACCTCAGTAGTAACTAGGTAAAGATTGTACTGGTTCCCCAGTTGATAATGGGAGCCACTGCACAAAGGTCAAACAATTTGGATGCAAAGTATCCAATTTGTCATCACAAATTGGATTTGAGAGTGCCATGAAAATGATGAGCCAGCACACTGCTTCTACCCCATGGTGACATTTACTCTCTCTTACCCACTCTCCCTTAGTTCTTATGGATTCTTCTGAAAATATAAGATGGAATTTTTTTCTAGATGGATTAGAGAAAATATGTGTCTATATTTTTTAAACAGTATACAATGGTGACATTATTAAGATGATGACACTGATGGTGATGCAAATTAAAACCCCTGAGAATCTTCACTAGATGCAGTAATAAAAAGGTTAACCAAGATGTCAGGAAAAAATGCATCCTGAAATATCAGCGTAAAAGCAGAATCCATTCTCTGTGGTATTTTTAAAATTATACCACATGATGTTAAATTATAAGCACACATCAGTTCAACCTAGCAAACTTTCATTGAACAACTATGACATACACCAAAGAGACAAAGATAAAAAAGACCTTGACTGACCCTTCAAGGAGCTTGCAATCCTTTTTAAGTGGCAAACATTTATGCCACTAATAAGGTGATATAAGCATTTTATACTTTTTTTTAGATTTAGAAATATTACAGTAGGAGAAAAAGCAGATCTTTTTACACACACAAAGAAAACACTTAGAATTGTACTGATAATAAGATTAGTGTTATTTGGTCCATAGAGATGCCAAGGTATGTCAGTTGTCTCACTGAGAACTAGGGAATTCAGCCAAAAATGGTTCCTGATCATGTTCTGCCAGAGCAAATAGTACTGAAGAAAATCAAACTTGTCAGAATAGATTTTCTGAGATGTGATGAGCTAGTGTTAGAATGTGAACCAACTAGTGCTTGAATGTTGAACTATGCTTCCAGCCTTATGGAGAGTTAAGGCTCCCCAAGCTGCCCAAGGGGCCTTCGTGATACCTGTTTTGTTACTATAAATAATAGAGGTTACTTAGTGAATGCCAAAAGTGATCTAAACATTCATTAGTATTAACTGTATACCTATGTTGCAAATATCACCAGAAAAGATATTGGAAAGGTAATCACCATCAATTCTTATATTCCTAAAGCTTTCTTCCAGTCCTCTTTTTCTCCTTTCATGAAATAGTTTTCAGACGCAGTTTGGAAAACAAGTATAGTAATTGACTGGCTCATAAAAGCAATGGAAATTAAATTCCAGCTGTATTGTCATTTTCAAACTCATGTTTTTGGCTACCTCATACCTCTAAAGCATTAAAATTGGCATGTGTCTATTAATACATTCATCAATTCTTTCATTCAACTCAATAAAATTGAGTTCTTACCATGAGCTAGGCCTTGATGACTCATAGATAAATAAGATAATATTCTATCCTCCAGTTTTGCTTAGAATTCAGTAAGGAAAGAATGACAATAAAGTGCTGTAGCTGATATATTGTATTCAGGTTAAGATAGGAAATAAGGCTGTAATGATTCATTCTCCCCCTGTGGGATTGGGATCACATTCATAAAAGCAATTGTACTGGGGTATCAAAAAGTTTGTGAGGTTGAAACAGAAGGACACATTGGGCATATATAGTAGTTTGATAAAATTGAAGTAACCTTAAAGTACGTGTGAAGGGATAGGAGACGTGAGCAGAGCTGAGGCTGAGAGACAAAAAAAGGCCTATGTGGTAAATTCAGAATTTAGACTTTTTAATAAACAGGAGAAAACTATGAAAGAAGAGGATTTTTGGACAGAAATTCTAAAATGTGTTTTATGTATACATTAAAAAGAACAAACCTGGATGTTAGAGGGCTAATTTGAGGGTAATTTCAATAGTGCAGGGGATGAGCAATGGAAGCCTGAACCCAAATGGGCATCTCTGTGATAGAGAATCATAGAGGAATGACATTTGAGAGGCAGGACAGACAGAGCTGACTATCAGTTGGATGTGAGACATGAATAAAAAACATGATTTGACTCCCAAGTTTCTGGTTTGGATAAGCAGTTGAATAATTATATCATTGGGAAATAACAAGAGTATCACATTATTTGAGTTTTCCATGTCTTCTAAGCATGTAGATTTTTAGATCTGGAGCTCAGGAGAGAGATTTGGAGTCATATATGTATAAGACATAGAGTGTGGCAGTGGATCAAATAGTGTGGGCAAGAACATATAAGGTAAGAAAAGGGCTTGATGAAAACACAGTACTGTCAGAAGCTAGGAGGAGAAAGGAAGTCATGGAAGAGAAGGAACGGAGGAAAAGTCAAGTAGGGTGAGGAAAGGTAAGAGTGGGGAAACTATTAGAGGAAAAAAAAGAGGTGGTCAGCAAGTTTGATTGTCATAGAAAAAGAAGGAAGAGTAGGACTGAAAATGTTTGCTGGATTCAGAACAAAGAAGTCCATGGTGTCAGTTGTCAATGATTAGATAGTCAACGAGAGTTAATTTAGTTCCAATGGAAATGTGAGGAATAGGAGGTAGTTAAAGGGCAATAGACCAGAGGGTTTAACTATATTTCCTGTAACAAATTTGAATATATTCGAACGCTATAAAAGAGGAGCCAAATAAGTGAAAACTGAGCAGCTAGGTCTCCATACCTGAGGAATCAGCAACCGGTGGAATAGTACAAAAGCAAAGTGGAAGAAGTAGTGTTAAATAGGAGGAAGCAAGTCAGGAAATACAGATATAAATTACCTGCAGGTGTGAGGGCTAGCTCTTGGGAGATTTCATGCCTCAAGGCTCACTTTCTTTCTTTTTTTTTTTTTTTTTCTGTGCAATAAGATCTGGGTCCATTTCCAACTTTTCTCCCTATAGCTCACATACTTGAAGTGTGCCAAGAACACCAGATATGGCAACATCCCACAGATGATGAATGGTATGAAAATGGCCTGAGGGTTCTACATCATTCATATATTCTCTGATCACTAGAGATTTATTCTCCTATGTTCTCTAGCAAAATGATTACAGAACCACAGCAATAATAGTGGTCTGCTCAATTAGCCAAAACATGCTACTGAAACCCTTTATTTGTTCCACAGAAAGAAATGATCTAAAAAAATCTTTTCTGAGGGAGTAGGTTTTCCTCCTAAGCTGCATGTCATTTAGCTCTTCCAATTTCTTCTAGTATAGGGTTTATTTCAATGATTTCTCTGCCTAATGTGATGCTGTAACACTCTGAATCTCACATCTTTCCTCAGTCATTGATGTGCTGATCGTTCAGTCTGCCAGATCATTAACAATGATTTTTTTTTAAAGAACAGTTAACACCAATTCTTGCAGTAATGCCTACCCTTTAATCTCCCACTGCTCCTAAAAAGGAATCATCCATCTTTATATGTCTTTTCATCTATCATTGGTATTTGTGCTTTGTTCTTTGACAGTTTCAGTCAATCTGATTAGGTTTTATGCACAGCAACTCAATAGCACAGGATAATTATGATACAGTGAGGACTACTTTTTTTTCTGTTTACTTCTATATGCCCAACATTCTGTTCTGTAGGCAATCTGACAATTGGAGAATTTTAATGCAAAAATAATCTCTTTAAAAAAACTTTCAAAAATTTCAACCTCTATTTTAGATTCAGGGGGTACATGGACAGGTTTGTTACATTGATACACTGTGTGATGCTGAGGTTTGGGGACACAAATGATCCCATCACCCAGGTAGTAAACATAGTACCAAATAGGTAGTTTTTCAGCCCTTCCCTCCTCCCTCTTTCCCCCCAACTAGTCGCCAGTGTCTATTGTTCCCATTTTTATGTTCACATGTACCCCATGGCTAGCTCTCACTTATAAGTGAGAACATGTAATATTAAAGAAAAAATATGGCTGCAACATAGTAGGCAAAATTCATTTTCAAGGAGATCAGAAATCCAATTGATTATAGCCTAATCCAAATAATTTATTATTTAACAATTTAACGAGGGGGAAGGGGATATTTCCAAAACGTTTAAAGTTTATTTCTCATAGGATTTTAAAATTACCTGGCACTATAATATGGAAATAGAGAGTAGCATTAACTTGTCAAAAATTAATAAAAACTTGCTTTTAAGAAGAGGACAAAGGGAGTCAAAATGGATTGTCTAAAATTTAAATGCAATGTTAGAAAGATCACTTTTGATGCTATCTGGAAAGTTTCCCAGATTCCCCATTGAGCTAATCTCTGTGAGTGCTCATTATAAGAAGTGATAGCTATCCCTCTGTCTCAGAGACAGGATTTGTCTTATTCTGATTGACACAGCTCATGTTATATTAAGTTTGTGAAATGAATACAAAAGCTAAGATAACTTTTGTTTTTAATGACTTGCACCTTTTTTTAAAAGAACTCTTAGGGATGTTATAAGGATAAAGTAACATAATAGATATTTTGCTCAGCAAAAAGCATGATTCAGCCTAGCACAGTGGAAAGATCATGGTCTTTGGAGCCAAGAAAAAACTGAATCCAAATCTAAGTAACCTCAGCTCTGCCACTTTCTAGCTTTATGACCTCAGATAAGTTTCTTACCTTCTTAGCGCCTCTATTTCCCCCTGGGAAAAACGGGGATAACCAGAAGCTGTGAAAAGTAAATAAGATTTGATATTTAAAACCTTGCCTAATGCTGACCACATCTAGGAGACGCTCAATAAATGTTAATCCCCCCAGGTTCCCAATAGCATAGCTTTTGAACAAGTTTATAGATGCCAAATATGAAAGAAATAAATACATATTAAAGACTACCAGATACGTGATGCTACCTAGTTAATGCTTACATACAGTAAATGCTGAAGCATACAACAAAATACAAAATGTTTTGTATTTCTTTCCCAGACTTGTAGTGGTATTCTTAGTTCTTGAGATTACTCTACCAACATTTATTAAATACCTGTTTTGTGACAGTAGAGTATAAACACAGATAAGAAACCATCTTTGTTCCCAAGGAGTCCATGATATACTTTAAAGAACCACAGGAGATTGAAATTGGCAGAAACCCTGGAGGTCACCAAATACCTCCATTTTTTAAAAAAAATTTATTCATTTTATTTTTGTTGGTTTTTTTGTTGTTGTTGTTTGTTGTTGTTGTTGTTGTTTTACAAACCCTTGTGTTGCGAGGGCTGACTTTCAATAGATCGCGGCGAGGGAACTGTTCTGCTACGTAGGAAACCCCGACCCAGAAGCAGATAGTCTACGAATGGTTTAGCGCCAGGTTCCCCACGAACTTCCATTGCGTGACGGGCAAGGGGGCAGCTGCCTTTGCGGCCAGACCCCGTTTCCCAGGACTAGGGGCACTCCGCACTGGACCCTAGTCCTGGCGCGGGATGGGGCGGCCCCCAGGCGGGGATAGCGGGGGACCGACATCCGAGACCAGCCAAGGCCCCCCTCTGTTTTTTTTAAAGAGGAGAAACCGAACTGGAGAAAGTTTCAATGAATTACTCTATACCACATTGCTAGTTAGTGGCAGCTCCAGTGAAGCCTTCCTGACTCCTAACACAGTGACTTTTCCTTTAACCTGGTCCCCCAAATAATAAGCTGTAAAAAGATTTACTGGAAGAAAAATGCACAAGAACTTCTCGAGTAGGTCAGATTTCTTTTTTTCTCTCTTAAGTATAACCACATCATGTTTGATCCATTGAATTTCTGTAATGGTAGTGTATCATTACATAAAATAAAAGTGAAAAAGAAATACAACAAATTTCAGACTGCCTTATGAAATACAATAGCTAAGCTTAAATATTCACAGGGCTAATCCCAGAAAAGGCAGTCTGGACTCGGTTATCCACATAACTACCTCTATTATCCATTTCATATTAGAATGTAGAATTATAACATAGTTAATGGGGTTTCAATTTAAAGACCCCGTGTCATCTTATTAGCCTATCATCTGCCCTATTTTCTCCTTAATTTACCTTATGTTTATACAATTCTTATCTCAGGGCCACGTTGCTACCATAAATCAAATATGCCAGGTTTCAAGTTTCAGCATATGAGCACAGATGTGAGCGAACAGCTTTTGATCACTCAGTTATCTCTACCAGAGTAACTGAAACAGGGATTCTCAACACATAGAACTTCTAATCCAGGCTGACCTCAATTAACTGCAAGCTAATAGACATTGCCACGATATCTTCCTAGAAGAACAAGGGGATTCCTGGAAAGAAAAGGAATCTATCCGTCTTTCATCCCACTGGTCAATACCTTTTTCTCAGAATCAATTATTGACATTTTATAATCTATGATCTTCACCACCGTAATAAGACTTCAGGAAAAAAAAATGTAATTTCAGCAGAAAAGATTGGAAGCATGGTACTAGGGATACTATACATTGGCACAGGAGAAGATAAATGTATTGACTCAGCATTTTGTTACCATTATCCTTCTCTCTAAAATCTAGTTCTGAATAAATAAAAGCAGGGACTCAGAGCCTGGCAGGATATCTTGCCCTGAATGCATGGCCCATAATCGAAGCTTTCAACAGGACTTTTTGGGTGAGTAGATAGGAATTAAGGGTCCAAAGAAAATTTGGGCACTGCCTTCCTTTTACATTGATGACTTAAAGAAGAAGAGGTACATTAGTAGGTAAAGAAGAAATAATTACCAATTTAGAAAGAGGGTACAGAGGGTAGAAAAGAAATAGTCTAATGTTTGCAATATGTTTGGAACATATATTCAGGGTCCAGGAGCACTGCCTGTATCTGATTCCTTGCTTCTGCTTATCCAGAGATGAGTTTAGACAGAGGACAATGAAGACAGTACTCAGACAGTACACTTATCTTCTCCCATCCCAATATATAGAATCTCTAGTACAATGCTTCAATCCTTCCTGCTGAAATTGTTTTAACATTTTTTCTGGAGCCTTATGGGAGTGGTGGAGTCTCTAGATGTGTAAAATGCCAATAAAGAATGCTTACTGGGAAAGGTATTGACTAGTGAGATTAAAGACAAATATGCTCCTCTTCTTTCCAGAAATTCCCTGTGCCCCTAGGAGGAGACTGTGTCTGTTAAATAATGTTAACTCCAGAAGGAAAGATCAAAAACAAGAGAGAACAATGAAAGGATAGTGCTAAGTGTGAAAGAAAAACATTAAGGAAAGGAGTCGGAGGGAAAGTAAGAGTGTTACTGCATTATATTTAAACCAGCCTGTCACAAGGAGAAAAGAGGCAGAAACATGTGTGCTTCTTGTCTGACCACTTATCTACCAAATCCAGTTCTTCTACCTTTACCTTCATCGTTTCAGGCTCTCGTATAGGCAATAAATGGTGTCAAAGATTCAGCAAGTTGCTACTATATATTTATGAAATAAATTCACATATATTTATGAAATAAATACCCATCAGCTTTCACATACTAAAATAATTAGTGTAAAAGCTATTACATTAAATTAAATTAAATTAAGATTTCATTTTCTAGCATTAACAGGTGGCTTTCCCCTTATTCCTTATTCCATGGTAACATACCCTTCTAAAAATAAAAGTTTCAACCAGTTTTCCTGCTCTTAGTTCAATGTCATCCTAAAAACAAAAAAACAAAACAAAAGTGGCCCTAACACCTACTGGGTGTTAAAAGATAATCTTGGATTAGCAGATAAGCTTTCTGAAGTGGGAAAGTGAGATTGAGCAAGGGGAATATTAAATTGTCAAGAACAGTACCATGTGTTCTTTCTAAGAATGAAAAACTTAGAAATTTGCTATCAGAAGTGACCACCTCTCTAAATAGTCTAGAACAAAAAATAAAATAATTTATTTTGTAAAAAGAAACATCTTCCCTTCACGGTCTTCCTCCCTTTCCTACCTCTGTTCATCCCCTGCCATGTTCATGAGGTACAAACAAAAATAACAGTAGGATTAACCTGGAAGACCCTACTCATGAAAAATCATTTATATAAACGAGGAAGAAAATTCTGCCCACTTTCTAGCATATCAAGGAATATTGTTAAACGTATTTAAAAGCCAGTCTGTGATTTTGCATGGCTTTATTAATAATGTTCTTGAGAAAACAAAGCCAGTACATAGATAAATTCCTTACATGATGATCAACACCAAGGAAACCTCTTACTGTTCTCAGACCTAACATAAAGAATGATGATTTTCATTCACTGTCAGGTACAAAAGCAATAATATATGCAAAATAGGAATACAGGAAATATTGCACAGCTCACTAATATACTGCAAGTTACTAATGGGAAAAATATCAAAATACCTTAAGGACTATTATATACATTATCACAACACTCAAAGAATGAAAATCACTTATTCCTTTGAAAATTGGGATACTTTTTATTTTGAGAGCTGCAGAAAACCCTATGACGCACTACATAGCTCTCACAGTAAATTTCCAGGATCAAAGTTCAAAAACAGGTACATGATAAAATGAGCAAAGTGAGGTAGACAACAGAAAATGCCAAAATGACAATAACTGAAAATATTAATTTCCAAGTATTATATCTCATAACATAATAGTAACATGATGTCTCACCGTTCCCAGCTCATCACATGTTCTAAAGCTGTTCTCCTCCTTTTTATAAAACTTTATTATCCTGCTGAAGTTTCACTCATACAACTAGTCATTCCTTAATTTTATACTTAGTTATTCCTTAGTTATTCTTAGTTATTCCTTAATTTTATTTTCTTTTAACATAGTTATTTTATAGCAAAAATTTATGATGATAACTGGTTTTTTTTTTTTTTGTACTCTTCTTATCTTAAAAACACCAGTTAGAAAAAAATGACATTTATAACTTGTGGTCTATGGAACAAGATCAGTAATTATTCCATGCAGGATAATGTTAGTATACTAAGTGAGACAGCATCATTTAGAGGAAAAGAGGACAAGAAAAGATGATGATGGTAGAAACAGGAGGCAGGGTCAGTTATTTCCATATTGATCATGTAGACCGTGCCTGATAAGGTAAGAGGTCTATTATTAATCAACCAATTCAACCAATGATGAAGGCTCAACAGAACCCCAATGTCAGGGAAAAAGCATTAAATTTCAAATCCCATTATCCAATAAGCAGTTATTTATGAACTACATACAAAATGTAAACTGAATTTCTAAGCCACATACAACTATCAGTATAATTATTCTATAATCTAAATATATCCTTGACTCTAAGAATATACATATTTCCTACTACAAAAATTTACTCACCCAGTTTACTGATAATTAATTCCACCAAGGTTGAGATGATAAAACTTCAAGGGTTTATTTCACAAGGTTGCTTTGTGTTTAACTTGAACAAAAAAGGGAAAATAAACAACAAAACTAAAACAACCATTGAACCAACACACCTGAATTTTCAGGGGTAGAATTTTAGGAAGAAAACAGTCCCTGACAAGTACAAATTCTCTACATAGAAAACTGCCTATTCGGCCTCAGTCTATACACAAAAATTACTACTGCACAGATTCTGTGTAGTAGCACAAATAGAACAAAGGTCAAAGATTAAATGTAGGTATGTGCATGTGTTTTATATATATTACAAATATAGTAATATATACACACACATTTTGTATTAGCCTATGTTATTCTAAGCATTAGTCTTAGCATATGCTGTGTTTCACATTTAGAAATCCCTAAATGTGTTCAGAACTGAGGGATGTATTATTCATAACTTATCTTTAAATGTATTATTTAATGCAGTATCCATTTGTAAGTTAGTAGATGCTGATCTCACCAATTCATTGACTGTGGCTAGGCATGCACAAATTTCACATAAAGATATAAAGCTAATATACATTTCCTTCCTCTGATTTCCATTGCCCGGATTTCTTGCACTAAACTTTTCTGCTGTGTTGCACATAGTGCATGCAGAATGCATGTAGAACATGCCCTGAAGAATCTGCAATGCAGATAAGAGGAAAGCATTATTCCCAATTTGCATATCACACCACACACAGTAACTGATTTGTCAAATATCAAACAATTTACATATTCTAGGCCTCCTGCTCTCCCTTTCTTGAGCGTTCGGTCTACTTTTTCTTTTTGCAACTGAATTTTATAGAGAGGAAAATATATCTTTAGCTAAGGTGATGTAATTTGAAAATATAAGTATTAGATTTCTCCAAATGACTTAAGAATATTAGAAAAGAAAAAAAAAGTACCCATTCAGCTTAGATTGCAGAACAGACAGGGAGCTTAAACAGCAGGCTCTGACTGAAAATTAAATTTAAGCTTCCAGTTACTGCAGCAAAACCTAAGACCACCTTCCCTCTGTAGCTCGAGTGGGAGACATTGTTCTGCTGTCTCTCTAGGCTCTTTGGTACGCTGAGGCTGATGTGATTGCCCAGACTCGTGTCCTGCATGGAATTTAAACTACTTTTGTAACAGCAAAAGGAATTTACTGACTTCCTCTCAGATTGAAAGCAGAAATGACCACTCGCATCAAATTATTTACTTCGATTTGTAGCTTATTTAAAATGAGGTAGGTTGTGATTGATGTTGATTTTTATTCAATGGCTCATCTATTCTGATATTTCAGTTTCTTAAAATATTTATGCAAAGTTTTGTTTGGATTACTTACATACGTAGCACAAATGATTCTTTATTTGCCATGGTGACAGCACAAATCACATTATTTGCAGAGGTTGGGGAGTCCCACAAATCAGCCCCCACAACAACAAATATTTATTTATTGAACTCTTGGAACAGTTACAAAGAAATATAAGAGACAGTTTCTGTTTTCAAGAACCTTACAATATGGGAAGATAAAATATTTACAGATACAAATTAACCAATAAAATAAAGACAGAGATACAAGCAATGCCACAAAGCCAAAATCATAGTGGAGATTCTGCCCTGGCAGGAATGAGATCTCATTACCTGGGTGAATTATTATTCCTCTAGTTCTCAGTCTGTCTCTGAAAAATGAAGACGTGAACTAAATTTTCTCCCAATTCAACAGCCTTAAAATTTAATATGAATTCTCTTACACCTAACCTTAAATGTCTTCACAATTGTACTCTATGTCTTATCTATGGAAAGGGAAGTTAGTAGCCACCAAAAGATATTTCAATTGATCTATTTTCCCTTGGACATTTTAACAGCTAATAAGCCAAGAAATGCTATCTAATTTCCTTACACATCTTTTTTCTTTTTTCTTTTTTCTTTTTTTTTTTTTGGTGACGGAGTCTCACCCTGTCACCGAGGCTGGAGTGCAGTGGTGCAATCTCGGCTCACTGCAACCTCCGCCTTCCAGGTTCAAGCGATTCTCCTGCCTCAATCAGGAGATGGTCTCGATCTTTTGACCTCATGACCTGAGATGGTCTTGATCTTTTGACCTCATGATCTGTCCACCTCAGCCTCCCAAAGTGTAGGGATTACAGGCGTGAGCCACTGCACTCGGCCCACACATCTTTATACAAGAGGAGTGAAGTTATACACATTGTAGTCTATCCTACAATTTTTTTTTTTTTTGAGATGGAGTCTCACTCTCTCTCCCAGGCTGGAGTGCAGTGGCACCATCTCGGCTCACTGCAACCTCTGCCTCAGGGGTTCAAGTGATTCTCCTGCCTCAGCCACCCAAATAGCTGGGACTACAGGCATGCCCCACTACAGCCAGCTAATTTTTGTAGTTTTAGTAGAGATGCAGTTTCACCATGTTGGCCAGGCTGGTCTCAAACTCCTGACCTCAGGTGACCCGCCCACCTCAGCCTCCCAAAGTGCTGGGATTACAGGCGTGAGCCACCACGCCTGGCCTAACCTACAAATTTTTAAATGGGATTTTGTTTGGAGGGGTCGTTGAGAGTCTATTTTTCAGATAAAGAAACCACCTTACCTAGTTACAAGCATTGAGTTTTCTTTCCCTGCTAGGTCCTCTACCTTATCTGTGGTACCAGCCAAAAAGTCAATTATTTTTAACTCCGAGAAAATTCTGACTGCAAAGCACTGCCTCTTCCTACTCAGTACAGATGATCAAGGTGGGATAACACAGAAGAATCTTCACACCCACTCATCACTCTCTCTCTCTCTCTCTCTCTCTCTCTCTCTCTCTCTCTCATTAAAAGCACTAAGCGGCCAATGCCTTACTGTCTATTCCATGGGCTTCACTAGGCTGTCCCTTCTTAGGCCTAGAACGAAATGGGCTTCACAAATAGAAATTATTCTAATCCAAATAATATTTCCCCAAGTCTCACAGTGCAAAACACCACAGCAGAGAGCACATGGTGATCAAGAAAGACAGCATTATCATAAACATTTGTATTTCTTATGCTAACAGATCCCATTCTTCCAGTCTGTGGCATTGTCCCAAACTGCCCCATCAAAGGTTCTAAAATATGCTTAGGGCATCTCTATTAAGAGGATGAGGAGAAAGGAGGAGGGGGAAGATGCTAACAACTAAATGGTAAGTTTTTACATAATGGTACATCCTGCCAGCCAACAAGTTTTACTACAAAAACAAACAAACAAAGAAACAAACAAAGTTTACAAATCCTTTCTCTTTTTTTTAAGTTTTATTGATTCTGCTGAATGAAAACAAAAAACAAAAAATAAATGTTTATATTAGTCCTAAATGTAAGTTTCGTAAATTCTAAATGTAATACAGCTGAAGCAATAATAGTACTCATTTGGCTCACCTAAAGTGCCAAACCATTTACCTCAAAGTATGTTCATTGTACTTACACTGACTATGTGTTTCAGTTGTAAAGAAAAATAACATTAAAGAGCAGGTATAGAAATTTAGTCTATAACACATACAAAAGCTAGAGCTATACCATCCCCTAAAACATGAAGAACTTTGTAATACTGCTTTGTAATGGTAATATAATTACTTTATCATAGTATTCTGTTTTCTGGGAACCAATCATCTTTTAGAATATTAAGGTTTGGTCAACCTTCACACAATTAACTTTAGTACAAGCATGAGAAAATAAGGCTACCTACACACTAGGATGCAGTGTTTTCCAAATACGCTAATCTTAGAACACTATACAAATACAAATACAAATTTGCAGGACATTACTGGAAAAATCTGATTCCATTGATCTGAGGTGAGATAGAAGAAGTTGGAATTTTTTTAAGAGTATCTCTAGTAATTCTTATTTTCTGGCAGACTTGAAGAACATTTTTATAATGTACTCAAAACCAAATACTAAGAATTTTAGATTATATTTGCCAGGCTGCCCATCAGTCAGTATCTATATGCATATCATTTGAAGAAGCTTGAAATAGAGTTAGCATTAAAAATAGTTCCTCCATTATCTATCACACAAACAGCATAAATTCTTTTGTTTTCATCTGAAGCACTTTTTGCTCTTTGAGGATCCTTTTCTAAACTGTAAATTTCCTGGAAATGCTACCAGTCAATATCTTTGAGGAACTAAATAATAGTCCTTGAAGAGCAAAAACAAATGAAAAAATAAATGGTGGTAAGCAATGGAGAAAAGGAGTATGAAACGAATTCTGCTAAAGGAATTGCAAGATGGAATTGACTCATTTTCCCATTGAGATTAATCTTTTGAAGCCAAAACAAAATCCGAGGACCACAGATGTAAATGAGCATGACTTGTATATCTATGACTTGTGCTAGAAAGGGCTATATTGTCATGATTACCTCCCAAATGGTCAATGAGACTCTGGCTAACCTTCCCTAATGACCTTATGTCATCCATATATCTTAGGAAAAGTAACTCCCTCCCCTACACGATATCTCTAAAAGAGCCCACTGACCAGTTTCCTTAATTCTGTCCATCTTTGCAGATTACAGACACTTAGTATTTACCGTTTCAAAAGTAAGCAGCTTAGTATCCATCGCTCCTTTATAATTCCACATATTCACGTAAGAAGGCAATGATAATTCAGGAGGTACTTCAAGATCAGTCAGTGCCTCCTGGTTATTAAAAAAAAAACTTTATAAATAAAAAGGCTGTACCCCAATAATATAAATTTGTCAACAATGTGGAGATATAAAAATTTACCCCAGAACATCAGGAAGAAACATGTAGAATAAAAGTACTGAAATGTAACAAAAGCAGAGATGTGACCTATAGGTTCCTTTAAGGGTAAGCTTTTGTGTCACACAAAGCTAAGTGACCAATGAGGACAGCAGGATCACACCATTGATCCACCAAGTCAATCTGAGCTTCTTCAATCTCTGGCCTAATGCTTCATTATAGCATGAAGTTCCCCCAAAATACACTAATATGGGTTCAACAATGGCGACTTTTTAAAGTAAATGCTTGGCTATTAATGCCTTATTGGTTCCCTAATAGAAAAGGGCAATGCTCATATGATTCCTTTCTTACCACTCTTCCTTCCAGGTTCAATATGATGCAGTATTTCCAATGGCGGGAGACAGAAACAATGTCACAAAGTGGGAGAGGCACTAAGAATGAGATCTGGCACCACTTACTCTTGTTTCTATACAATCGAAGTACAACACTTCTCAATTTTCTAGGCGTCTTTGGGGAGAGATCTTATCTCTCTTAATGGTACCAACTCAGTAACCCAAACTGTTCACCAATACTTCTTTTAAGTAGTTGTGAGGTAGGGAGTCCAACACTTCCCAAGAGATCCTGTTAGTACATTATAGCAACTACAGGGAATGTTTTACAAATGACTGTCATTATAATGTTAAATCTAACATATATGCCAACCCCCTTAGTTTATACAATAACTTTCCTCCAAAAATCTTAATTAAAAATAAAATATAGCTGACTTCGTTATAAAGAGACTCATTAACCAGGACATTGCAGTTTTTATTTTATCAAATAGAAATAGTGAAAATGAAAGATGACATATTTTAGAGTCAGCACATCCTGGGTCCAAATTCCACCTCTCCTGCTTCCTACCTACGCATCTTTGAGACAGCTGCATAGGCTCTTTGCATCTCAACTTTCCACATAAAATGTGGCACCCCACATGGAACATAAGTTTGTTTTTTATCCCTTCCATAGGTGTCACCATTAGTACAAGTATTAAAACTTCTCATAATTTCCCATTGAGTTTTCATATTATTGGAACAAACTCATTAAGCAAAGATTTTATGAGGCTAGAGTAAAAAGAGAGCAGTCAAACTATAGACACAGAAAGCAGTCATGGACAGAGATTCACAACAGAACTTTACACAGTTCCTGTCCAAAGGGATAATTAACAAAGCAAATAGGTAGGTGTTGTTTTAACCAAACAGACTAAGATAATGAAAAAGGAAAACTGCAGCTCTGGAAAGGAGACAATGCCATTTGCAGGCTAGAAAGTTATGGAAAATTTTCTAAGCAATAAAAACTTAACATGACCCAAAATATAATCAACACAATATTTTGAAGGCAGACAATGCTTCAGAAAAGATGAATAGGATATCACTTACCATGGGCTTTGTTCTTTGTAAGAATTTCCTGGTATTTTTGTGGGAGTAAGGCTTGGGAATTTCAGACCTCAGAGCTAACAGTGGGCAGAGGATGAAAGATGTACCTCAAAGGTTCTTAAAAGCCATAAGGATATCAGGGGTGTCTTAAATTTCCCCAACAACCTCCATATCCCTAATGATAAGTTGCCACTGTAAATGGCTGTTGTGTAATCCATCATGAATATAGATTTAGTTATTGACTGGGAATTCTGGTCAAGGAGGAATATTTTCAGGTTTTATTTACACTGATGATAATGTGTTTCCTCATGAGCATAATACTGTACTCTTGCCTCACCTCTTATGTTCTTTTGCCACATGTAATATATGTATATTATATTGTTGAGGTGGAGATGAAGAATGCTTGTAAAGTATTGGAAAGAACAATGTCACGTTTTTATGTCCTCTGAGAAAATAAAAGGGTAGTCTACCTACAGCCTGAAATACATACTGTCGCCCATTCATGGAATTTATATCACATAAGAGTTGATTAACTGAGCTTTAATAAAATATGGTTGGTATACAAGTTCTAATTCAAGAACTGGAGTGCCTGTGGACCCACTAGGATGTGTTTAAGGAAAATATGTTTGGGAATTCCTTTGGTTTGGGTGAGGCAATATTTCTCTGGCTTGCAGTTACTTCTATGCATAATTGGTCATTGTTAGTCTTCCCAATGTAGGACTGGATTACAGGAATGCTCGTACTACCCATTTTTGCATCTAATTTTATGTTCACAATTTTGCATTATTTTTCTTCATGAGGGTCTCTCAAATTGTATAAGCTTCAGGCTTGTGAAACCAAGATCCACTCCTGATCTGTATCTGTAAACACTGTACTTCTTAAGCATCAAAGGACAGGTTTGAATACCATCAAAGGACACTCACAAACTTTCTAAAATATCCACATTCCTAAGGATAACAATAAGGGCATTCCAAATTAAGTGGCGACAGAAAAATAAACACAAACCCAACAGTCCTCCACCCACAAAATTACATTATACAGTAACTTTCAATCACTATGATCTCAAGAGCTATAATTAAAATAGCAAGTTCAAGTACTTTATATGACAACTATGATATGAATAAATCTGCTAGAGCAGGATGAAACAAAAGACAAAGTGTGTCATTTACTTGTATAACCTGCATCACCTCAGGAAGGTGCATATGAGGTTACATCAATATCAAGTGAGAGAGCAAGGATTATGTGGTGGCCTGAGTGAATCTGCTCATGCTCCTGGGTGCAAAAGAGTGGGAACTGACTGAGACTGATTATCTTTATTCCTTCTTGACAGCTTAATTAAGTTCTCTAATTAGTCACAGTCATTAAGCACTACATCAGCAATTCTGCCTCCTCTTGGATTGGCTTCTTCTCTAGTCTAATTGGTTAGAAAAGTTAGCTGATCTAAAACATTGTCTTTCAATTTTGGGAAATCTTCTTTTTCACTTTTATTGAGATATAATTGACAAATAGAAAGAGTTTATATTCAAGGCATACAATGTGATGTTTTGATATACATATAAATTGTGAAATGATTGCCACAATCAATTAATATATCTATTATGTCACATACTGTGTGTGTGTGCTGAGAATACTTAGGTTCCACTTTCTTAGCATATGTCAAGTATACTCTAAGTTATTATTAACTATAGTCACCATGCTGTGCATGGTCTTCAGAGCTTATTCATAACTACTAGTTTGTACCCCTTGACCAACATCTCTCCATTTCTCTCACTCTGGGACCCCTGCTACCTACCCTTCTACTCTCTGCTTCTGTGTATTCAATTTCTTAGATTGCACATATAAGTGGGACCATGCAGTAGTTCTCTTTCTGTGTCTGGCTTATTTCACTTAGTATAATGTCTTCTAGGTTTATCCATGTTGTCTCAAATGACAGGATATACTTCTTTTTTAAGACTGAGAATACTGACCCAGCAACACGAGGTTGGTTTACTTCAAGAAGCACCCTCAGGAAAGTTGTAAGTTTGCTGAACTGGGTCCTCAGCCCTGTCCTGATCACCATTTTACCACCACCACCACGATGAGCTTCTTCTTCACTCTCTCTCCCACTCTCACTATTCTCTCAGCTATTCATCCTTTCACACTGTCTCAGTCTCTTTTGCCATCCCTTGAGGAAAACACCACCAAAGATTGAAGCCAAAATATGAGAGTTCATACTCTACCCCACAAATCAGTTCTTACAAAGAAGACTTCAAAGAAGGTAATGCTCTCAAGGATATCACTTTGCAGAAGTGATTTCCTATAATTCCAGAATGATAGGCAATCAGCAGGAAAGATAAGTGATTGCGCAAAGTTCCCCACATCATAGACACACCTAGAAAAGTACAGTGTCCCCAAGACCTGTCATGTCTTTCAACTAATCTTTTCTTGCATGCTGGTGTCTCTTCACTATTATATCCAATGCAGTAATATATTTAATACCTCGAATTACAGTTCCTATAATCTTAGGAAATTATTTTGTGATCACATTTCTAATCACAGCATCTCATGAAACACCCCCAACCACTACACTGCAACAACTTACAAAAGTATTCTGGGATTATGCAGATACCATATTTGGTCTTAGTCTATCACATCATTCTTACTAGAGAACTTTGTTCTAGGCTTTTGTCAGATAACATATTGTTTTATGTATTACATTGGTTTCAAGAGAAATTTTATAATTCTTATTCTTTTTTAAAGTCCACCACAGGTACAATTTCTGGCTGTAAATCACTACTTTAAAACAACAGCAGTAAATTAGCAGTAAACAACATTTGAAGTAAATTACAGCATTTTGAAAGAAATATCTTTGGCCCTTTCTCCACTATATTCAGAACTGAGTGACTGGCCCATGAACTATATCCCTCCTCACAAGGTATCATTCACATCCTCCATTGCCCTGCAAGGCCCCTTTTTTTTCTGTGCGCAGAAGCCCAGAGAGCACTTTCTACAAGTTTAGGGAACATGCTGATGTAGAAACATGAAGGATAACCACAGTATACAAGTAGTGCAAGCTATTTCTCTTTTTGCAAGGGTTACCTGTTGTGTATCTAAGGAATCGTGACTAGACTTGTAATGTCTGCATCACAGAGCATCTACAAACCAGAAAATCTGAGTTCTAGGCTGTTTTCTAATGATTCTTAGACACATATCAATTTCTAAGATCATAAAATGAAGATACTTAGTATGACTACACCTGCCTATCTTCTAGGCAGGCGTCAAGGACATTGTAAGCCATAAATCACCAAAAAAAGGCAAGAAATTATTTTTATCATGACTAAAAATTTTGTTTTCCCTCCTTTAGTCTTTAAATTCTGCTAATGCAGCCTTCTAAGAAGGACATTTCTCACAAAGGATTGATAAATATCTGCACACACAAATGAGTCCACTTAGTCTTGAGAATCTAATCCTTTAGTCATAATTATCTTGGTCTCCATGCAGTCTAATTTCAGAGTTCTAGTAACAAGGTAACATAACATCCACTTTCTAAATGCCCTCAAGTTGGTCACATTATAAGATTAATGAGCCAGATCACCATTTTCCAAAAATAAATACATAGAACCTTGATTTGAATTAGCTAAATGAATTGACATCATGTTAGTGATGTCAAAAATGGTAGAGACTTCTATTTCAGCAGAGAAAAAGCAAAATAATATTTTAAGACCAATGAGGTTTAAGAAAATGAGGAGTAAATAAAGAATTGAAAACAATTAATTGCAAAAATTGGAGGGGTATTTGGGCACAGACAGATTGTAAGAGACACTCGATGGCAAGAATGAATTTAGGTCGAAGGTAATATGAAATTTAGCCATAGAAAATTTTTAATAAGGATGATATGTCGTCAAAGTATATTTGGTGCCATTTGGAAAATGACTGAGTCTTAAAGGATTTTTAAATGATTTCCTTTTTTTAAAGTTGTCATAGTCAGTTTGTTCTGATCTTGAGAAAGTAAATCTGTCTTCTGATGGTCAAGTGATGGTTTCCCTGAACATCCAAACTTGGTCTTCATGAATAAGGAATCAGAATGGAGAAAAATCTGAAAATGCATAATGAACTTTTCAGTTTAGCTATGTTAATCTGTCTCAAAATTAGGAGTCCATGACTTTTATTTATACTAATGTATATTTGCATATATAATAGCATGTATGTCTTTATTTTGCTATTAAGTCATTTTGCAATGAAGATATGTAAATATTTTAGGTGCCATAGGGACACCAAAAAATAGAAGACACTGTTTCTGTTTCTAAGATTCTACAAATATGTTGAGGGAGATAAAATTAGCACTAATAAGAATGGCTTTTTTAGGTGAGGCACGATGATAAAAATGTCTTTTTTAGGCCAGACACAATGACTCACACCTGTAATCCCAGCACTTTGGGATGCCAGGGCGGGTGGATCACTTGAGCCTAGGATTTCGAGACCAGCCTGGGCAACATGGCGAAACCCCATCTCCACAAAAAAATACATAAAATTAGCTGGGTGTGATGACATGCGCCTGTAGTCTCAGCTACTTGGGAGGCTGAGATGGGAGGATTAATTGGGCCTGGGAGGTAGAGGCTGCAGTGAGCCGAGATTGTGCCACTATACTCCAGCCTGGTGACAGAGACCTTGTCTCAAAGAAAAGTCTTTTTAAAAAAATTCTGTAAATGTATACAATTAATTGCCAAGTGACTAAACAGAAGACAAGCGTATATGAAAGTATGTTCTAGTATTGAAGCACTTTCATGAAATTTTAATTTATACTCAAGTACATAAAAGTAAATGTTTCCAATTGTGGCAGAAATAGCCATGCTCATCAAATATTCCAGTTAGTTTTCTAAATATCCCAGTAACTTTGCAGTTAGGCAGCACCAGATAACACATTCTAGTTCATGGGCACTAGTGGAAAGGATTTGTGTCACTTCTGGGTTAAGGTAGCAAAAATCTCATGTGCTGTTGGCAGTTTCTCTTTCTTTACCATGGGTTCCTGTCTCTCTCTCTCTCTCTTCTTCTACCATGGCCAGTGAGGAGTCTAGGCATCATTCCAGATGATGTAGCTAGAAAACTGTGGTGCCTCTGTCAGCCTAGGTTCCTGAGTGACTATGGTCCTTAAAACTAGGTGTGTCTCCCAGTACAAATGGTTGTGTACATATATGACATGAAAAAGAAATACATTTTTGTTTTAAGCTATGACTTTAACTAGTTTTTTTAAATTGTTTTTGACAGTGCAGCATAGACTAGCCTATCTTGACTGGTAGAACAAACTAAAGCTGTGTGAATGAAGAAAAAGGCATCCAGAAGTGACCTGTCAAAATAACCTCAAAGAGTCATGGGAACCTTCCTTAGTGACTCAATGAAATTTTATTTTAATACACTTGAAATAAAAATTCATTAATTCTATTCAATCAATAAAAAAAACTAAGGCTAAAAATTAACGGTTTGGGGAATAGCAGAATAGTGAAAAATAACAGAGCTTTGAGAGAGTTATCACCTTGCTTCCTCTATGATACCTGGCATATTAATAACTACCAAGACTCAGAGAAGCTGAACTGAATGAAAGCATTTTACCTTTATTCTCCCCAACTATTAGCTTATTGTCCTTCCTTTGCCTCCCTAAGAAGTTACATCAGGTGCATATTGCTACACCAATATGTGAACTACATGATGACAGCACTATTTACAAAATAGAAACGTTTGGTTCATCAGCAAAGTAATTTTTAGATGTGGTATCAGAGTTCCTTTATTGTTAACTCCCCCTGTCCTGGGTTTTTATTTTTCTCTCTCCTGCTTCTCTCCATACCATTTGGCTCTTCTTATCTCTGTTCTGCATCTTTAGCTGGAGTGGAGGCTGCACTTCCCTTGTCCCTTAACAGGCATATCAAAAAATGAATATAAGGGCCAATAGGAAGGCTACCTGTGAATTGTAGCAATGTTTTAGCAGAAGAGAAAGGATGTTCCACAGAAGTGATTCCTTTTACCTGTCCTCACATCTGGTCAACATAAAAGGGATGATGAAAGAGAAACGATATTTCAGCAGTTGTGTGCATATTCTAATATGTATCTTTGTTTCTAAATAGTTGATGCATTCTAGCTTAATCCTTAATAAGAAAGGACAGCTTCATTACAAAACAAATTCCTCATTGGCAGATAAGCAGATGAGAGGGAGAATATTTAACATTACTGATAAAGAATCAAGTTATGTTCTAGATTCATGCAGAGTTTTATAGAATTGGTGCAAAGTATTAGAAAATTTATAAGAAAGCTTATTTACTGTAAAAAAAATCAATCTTAGGAAATAGCCACCCACACATTTTTCAACCTACTTCCCCAAAACCATAGTATAACCCTTAGAAAGAACATTGAAGAACAGATAGGAAGGGGAGGTAATAATATCTTTAAGAACTCACTAATATGAACCACTTTATATATATATACATTATCTCTTAGGATCATATAACAAAGTTTGAGGCAGGTGGATGATATTTGTATCCCCATTTTATAGATAAGAACGTTAAAACCCACAGAGAGTAAATTGTTTAAAGTCACTCAAGTACTAAACCTTACTCAGTGTGATCAAAAGCCCATATTCTTTATTGTAACTTATAGCATATAAGCTCCTATAAGGAAAATCACTTACTAAAAATGTCTTCTCTTCTGTACATGCCAGCAGTGCTATTCCTCAAAGCAATAATCTGCATAGTTTTAAAATTAGTGGTGCTAAATGTCAGCGATGACTCATGCTTTAGCATTATCTCTTAAGTATGCAGGTGATAAACTTTAAAAATTAAGTACATTCATTGTATTTCAATATTTCTCTAGCCATTCTTTTTGGTTGAAAGTGTGTGTGTGTCTGTGTGTCTGCGTGTAGATATGGGGCATTAAGGCAGGCAAACTTAGAACACAAAATATAAAAATTGGGTGGGGAAACATCTGGATGACCTCAATATTTACCTAACATTCTTCTTTGCAAATGTTCTGAATTGTCTCATCAATTCTGCATCATCTCTGCCCCCTTATACACTTTTCCCTGCATTGCCTGGAAGCTACACTCCCAGAATTTCTTACCAGCATGGTTCCAAATTTGATTCTGCTAATGAGGTACACTTGCAAAAGATTTGGAAGGCAGATGAGAAAGAAAAATTAATTTTCCTCCAACAACAGCTGGAAGGCAGGTGTCAGACCTGAAGTTTGTGTGGGCTTCTGAAAATCACCAACTTCAGTGCCCAGGTAGCCAAGATCAGCAGCAATTTCCTGCAGTTTTTTTAGCTCTCTCATATGCTGAGAGTTAATCGTTTTGTTTTTTTTTCTGATCGTTGTCTTTTAGGCTTTCCAGTGCTATGTAAGCACCTAATTTCCTAAAGTTAATTACTTCTGACTTGAAATATTAAGTGTGATTTCTATTTTCCTAACCAAACCCTGACCGATGCAGTATGTCCAATAAGAACTCATTATCAGACTACCAGGAAAACATATTTTAACACAGGCTTACAAGAAAAACAGTTACCAAGTATGGATGCTCAAGACAGCCTTAAAGCAATGCCTAGTAAGAAGTGCTTTATAATAACTCTGATGCAAGATCACATGTCCAATTTTTAAAAGATGTATTAGTTCACATTTGTTGCATTAAATGATTTTGGGGAACAACATAGCCTGAGATAGGACAAAACTGAGAATCAAACTAGATAAAGCTGAATGTGATAAAAATATATGCCTTTAAAAAGTTAGGGGTCTCAATCAGGAGTTAAATTCATTAAAGAAAAGGTTATGAGTACTCCAAGTTCCAACAGTGAGGCAGGGTCAAGAGTTCACTCCAGCTGGCACGAACAGGCAGGTAATAGAGGACCTACCAGGTTTAAATGGGGAGGTTATCACTGTCAGATATGAAGTGGCTCCAATGAAAGGTTGGGACCAGTGAATATCTGCCTTAGTTTTAGATAATGCATATGACATGGCTTTACCCACTGACCAGTGCTCTTTCGAGAATAAATACTTAGACACCTAATACGTATGAAGTCACACAGATAATTGGCATGAGCCAAATGAGGGTTACTTGTACTCTATATAAACTCTTACATACTCTCTTATCAGTAGAAATTTCTATTGAGAGGTGGCTTGGAGAAGATCTCTAAGTTGCTGAATCCCACAAAGACTTTAAAAAGGTAGAAAATTCTAAAAGGATGATGCTAGCAATCAATCAAATACTCTGGCCTCCTCTAGAAGGAAACTGATTTGATATGTTTATGGGTGCATTTACCTTCTGCACACACACTCGTCAGCTAATCAACACAACAAAAGTAACACAGTCAGTTGGATGGAATTTTAGAGTCATCTCCCTCTATGCACGTGTGCTTTGGCAAAATCAGGTACAATATACCTGACGCTTCAGCTTTTCACTTAATAGTGCACTTATTTCTAGTTAGCCCTTGAGTCATCTTCCCAGATGTGTTAGCCTATCAACTTGTTTTTTTCATGAATATGATAACTACTTATCTTTCATCTTACATCATTAGAACATTTGAATTGTTAAAATTCCACATATTTCAATATGATGGTGTCCTGTAATCTCTGAAGTCTTGGGTTACTGAGTCTGCTGTGTGTCTGAAGCTACACTATGTATTAGCATTCTTGTTAGGTTTAATTTCATTTTCTACAATGATCCATCCCTTGAAGCTCCACAAAAAATATGCAGAGCATATTTATTGCTAGTACTAGTGTAACCGAAATTACCAAAATCTATAGAATTTTCATAAATTTATGTATTTTAGAATAAATTATTATAAAAAGAATTAAAGGATGTTTAAGTTCACAATAAATTTTACATCATCTATAGACACTGAATTATTAGTCAGCAAGCTTTCTCTATAACATTTATAATTAGAACCAAATAATTTTGACTCTTCCCCTTAGTCATCATTTGTGTTTTAATTTCTGTCCATGTCAATAAGGTTATTCACAGAAGGCAAAGAAAAAATATTTTTTAAGGGTTTGTTTTGCTAAGTTACATGGGGAGTCAGAAATTCAGTTAAGATGAACTGTGTGAGGTATTAATTGAAATTTAAGTGTATAATATTCTTGAGTTAGGTATGGAAGATGACAGTAATTTCAATCTCACTTTTACTTCACATACATTAGATGTGGTAACTTCTTTTCAGTCAGAGGGACAGATGAATTCTCTAGGAAATTTATATGTAAGTATTTGCAGGTACCTTTAAGCTAGTTCTGAGGAGAAAAAAGTTATATGAGGCAAGAAGAACTTTCAATAAAGAAAATGCATGTAACTGCCCAGACCCTCCTTGGAGTTATAAAAGAGCCATATAATTTCCACAGCTTCCATATACCACCAACACTTATGGTCCTACATAGCAAGTCCCATAAAGCCTCAGTAGACATGTGACATCCCGAAAACAGAGCAATGCCCATGATCCTATGACATGAGGTAAGAAATTCAAGGCACCATGGTTCCCTCTGACACCTGATAAACTGTATGTATTTATTTTTTCCTAGAAAAAAAGGGTATTTGACACATATCGGGAGACACAGTTTCAAATCCCACGTTGACCATACACATGCTGTATGGCCTTGGGCAACTCCTTTGAGTCTCTGTTTCATCATTTAAAAACCAAGGTTAATAATTCCTATCTTCACAGAGTTGTGATAACAATAAAAATATATTATGAAAATGAGGAGGCTTTATAATTAATAAAGGTATAAGGGCATTGATTATTTTCTCAACCCTTTACATAAATTAGTAGATTATTCTAATCTTGTGACAGAGAAAATAAAATAAATATTGAAAAGTATTATGACAGAAACTAGCTAGCTTCCCACCACATCTGTTCCATCTTCTTCCTGGGCCCACAGGAAGTATAAGCTTCCCACTCTCCTTTACAGTTAGAAATGGCAATATGACTGCATTCTAACATGAAGGAAGTGGTGGGATATTTCCAGTCTTAGCCAATAAAATTCTCCAGTGCCTGGTCCTCCATGCCCTTTCCCCAAGCATGAGCCACGGGAAGAGAACTCCAAGGTCCTAGATAAAAAACTAAGCCACACGATAAAGGAGGCATATATGTGAATGACCAAATGGAAAGCCTCTTACTGACCAGGAACACCAGTTTTGAATTTCACATGTGCAAGTTATGCTAAACCAGTGAGATTTTGGGGTTTGTCTTTGACATAATTCAGTAGGACCTCAACTAAAAGAGGGATATAGACAAGTTAAGTGTGAAAAGGAAATACCACCCTCAATCAGGCTGCCATTCAAAAAAAAAAAATATGCCACCAAGTATACAGATGTCAACTATGATTGTCATATTTTGACAAAATATTATTAGAAATAATAATTGCTCATTTTAGAGAACTGATGATCTATGAGGTTATTTAGGGTCTGTGTGAAACTTTTAGTTCTCTCAATCATCTGGGGATCATGAGGGAGCTGAGATGAGATCTAACTTTCTCAATACCATCACCAGTGCTCGTTTCCCTATAGCACACTGCTGTGCCCACTGAAGTCACTGGCTTTTTTTTTTTTTTTTTGAGACAGTCTTGCTCCATCGCCCAGGCTAGAGTGCAGTGGCACCATCTCAGCTCACTGCAACCTCCGCCTCCCGGGTTCAAGAGATTCTCCTGCCTCAGCCTCCCAAGTAACTGGGACTACAGGTGTGCGCCACCACATCAAGCTAATTTTTGTAATTTTAGTAGAGACAGGGTTGCACCATGTTGGCCAGGATGATCTCGATCTCTTGACCTCGTGATCCGCCTGCCTTGGCCTCCCAAAGTGCTAGAATTGTAGGTGTGAACCACCGCACCTGGCCAAGTCCCTTGCTTTTTAAGATACAGTTAGTCATGCAGTTCTTGACAAAAAAAAAAAAAAAAGGTACATACACACCAACCATTACAGAAGCCAAAATATCAAGTCTAGACTGACAACCTCTGCAGCTACACTGAAACCCCACATCACTAAATAATAAAAAATCCTAATGTGACTTTCTCATCTTGAATAATTGTTAAACAAATATTATCCCTCTTCCTTTCTGCCTTCTACTCTTTATATTCTTCATTTTGGAAAGTTTTGTTTATGAACTAAAATATTCGATATTATATTTAGTACTTAGACACATCTCTTCTAGCTTACCATCTAGCAGAAGGAAATGTAAATAGTGATGTTATATTAAAAATCTGCCTTTAATTTAATTTTAAAATGAAGGGTAATGGTAAATTAATATGGAAGTTTGGACATGAGCAATATTTATTTGGCTGAATAACAAACCCTCTTTAAAGTGAATCCTGTCTCTTAATTTAACAGAGTGAAATTTATGTTTTTATAGGCAATTATGTGTCAATTCAGAGAATCTCAGATTTAAAAGTGGCAACCACTTCTGAATGAAAATGCTTTGAGTATATTTGTGTGATCTGGATATATTTTTCCCAGAAAGTCATTATGTATTCATAAATGTGAATAAAAACCACATATGACATAAGCATGTCATATAATAAATCTTAGCAAACTATATGGAGAAATATACCACAGAAGTGAAACAATTTTTAAGTATGTGTGTATATTTATATATTTGTCTGTTCGTATTAGAATCATTTTATGACAAATGGAATAATTCAGTAACCACTTTAATACTGCATGTTTAATATTTATTGAGCAATAAACCATATACTAAGCAAAAAGTTACTAACCCTCCCCCACCAAAAATGATTTGCTCGTATTCACTTTTTCCCTTATCTAATGCTGCAAAGATAATTACTTTGTCCCTATAATAACATTTCCACAATTCATTTCAGGACCAGTGATTAGTCCACAAAGTTTGGCAGGTTTCAGATCAGAAATATGTGCATAAAAATGCTGACTATTTGAAAGATAAGTAAATAAATTAAGATAATAATTTAGACTCATGTTCCCCAAGCTTATCTAATAAAAAGAATCTCCTAGCTTTTTCCTTAGAGTACATCCTAGGTAACAGCTAAGAGTCAGTATTATTAACAAGCTCTTAGGTGATTCAAAATAAGAAACTGGAAAACATAGATTCAGACTAAGCTCAATTATCCTATTCATTCATTTATGCAGTCATTCATTCATTATTTTATTCATTCAATCTGGGCACACTATGTGCTGGATACAACAGGATAAATAAGACATACTCTCAGTCTCATGAATAAATGCAATGAAATATGACAAACGCTTGGCTGAAAGTATGTACAGGGTCCATTGGCAACACAAAGGAAGGAGGTGTCAATTCAATCTGGCAGGTTGGGTAAAGGTTTGTCCTGGCTTCACAGGGAAACCCACATTTAAACCAAGTGTCAAATTAGTAGGTAATCAATCACCAAGTGAAGAATTAAAGAACATCCTAGTAAGAGAAATAAATGCCGGGTTCATTGTGCAGAATGTATCAGCTGAGTATCAAATTAGAAGACAAATCTTTTTGGAAACTATTTAGAGAAATAATGAGAGCTAAACTAAGCTGAGTCAGTGGAAAATAGAAGAGAAGGGGGGAAGGATATATAATATTAGAAAAGAAGGTGGATTGGACCTGGGAAGTGACTGGATGTGGAAAGAGGAAAGGGAGGGATTGGAGAGTCCAAAATAGCTCCAAGGCTGCATAAAACACATATAGATGGTGACACTATTTTCAGGTAAAGGGAATAATAAAAGATGATAAGGTTTGGGGGAAAGGTAGGAATTCAGTCTTGCATGTGTTACGTTGGGGGACATTCGATGGATCTGTCTGTTAAGTAGTTGAATACGTAAGACTAGAACCCTGGAGAGTTCTGAGTTTAGAGACACAGATTTGAAACTTAACAACAGGTGAATAGTGAGTGAGGTCTTAAAGTGGTTAAAATCACACAAAGAATTTTATAGTGTGAGAAGCAGGTCAAGAACAGAACTTTGGACAGTTCTTATATTTTAGTAATTATCAGAGAAAAAAAGACAAGAAGAAAATGAGAGTGACATCAGAAAAGCTGAGGGGAGAGAGTTTTAATAAAATGAGTTATCAACAGCAAATGACCCAAATATGTTAGAAAAAGACTAAAATAATCCATCAGATTTGTTCCTAGAGTGGTCAGTGATTAAGAAGTGGTATGAGTTTGGACCAGGCATTGTGGCTTACGCCTGTAATCCCAGCACTTTGGGAGGCTGAGGCAGGAAGATCACCTGAGGTCAGGAGTTCAAGACCAGCCTGGCCAACATGGTGAAACCCTGTCTCTACTAAAAATACAGAAATTAGCTGGGCCTGGTGGCAGGTACCTGTAATCCCAGCTACTCAGGAGGCTGAGGCAGGAGAATCACTTGAACTTGGGAGGTACAGGTTGCAGCTCAGATCACCACTGAACTCCACTCTGGGCAACAGAGCAAGACAGGAAAAAAAATATATATATGTAAAAATATATATGAAAGAAACAGAAAAAGAAAAAGAAGAAGACAAAAGAAGTGGCATGAGTTTAAGAGGAAATGGGAGGTAAACTGGCAACAGTGAAAGTAGGCTATAGTCTCAAACTTGATTAGTAAAGAAAAAAGAAAAATATGCAGATGAATGATCAAAGTATACCCTTTTTTAAAAAAATTAGAGAATCTCAGAATTAAAAAGAGTTTGGATAATCATCTAGTGCATTTCTTTTACCCCAATGCAGAAATGCCTTCCAAAGTCTCCCTTACATGTAATCATCCAACTTCTTTATTTGAATATTTCCAAGAATAGGAAGCTTATTAACTCAAAAAACGCTCATTGTAATTAACTTGTTTTTGAAGTATAAGATTTTATATATATTATATGTATACATATCATGATGGTGAATATTCATAAACTGAATACATCTATGTAAGCAATATCTAAACTAAGAAACAGATATTACAAGGTGTACAGCAGCCCGCCCCACCCCACCCCACCCCACCCCACCCAGTCCCTGCCCAGAGTAAACACTATCCTGACCTAAATACATAGATTAGTTCTGTCTGTTTTTGAAATGTCTATAAGTAGAATCACTCAGTATATACTCTGTTGTGTCTGAATGTTGTGTCTCACTCAACATTATGTTTATAAGATTTACTCATTGTTATACATGGCTGATATTCATTCACTCTCACAACTGTATACTTCTACTGTATGAATATTCAAATTTCTTTTTACCTAAGGACCCATTGATGAGCATTTCTGTTTTGGCACTATTACAAAAAGGGCTGTTTGAACACTTTTGTACATCTTTTGGTTAACATGTGTACATATTTCTCCTGCATGTATATCTAGAAGTAGAATTACTGGGTCATGGGATATGCATTGTAGATGCCCTCAAAATTTTTCCAAAGATGTTTCCATTTATACACCCACTAGCAGACCATGAGAACTTCCATTGCTCTACATCGTTGACCAACACATATTTTCTGCCTTTTTCATTTTAGTCATTCTCGTCAGTGTGTAGTATTATCACATTTTGACTTAATTTGCATTAGTATAATGATTGTTGAAGTTAAGTTCTTTTTCACACATATATATATTGCAATTTGGATATCCTCTTATGTGAAGTGTCTGTTCAAGACTTTTACTCACTTTTTTATTGGATTGTCTTTTGTCTTTATCTTTTTTATTTGCAGGAGTTCTTATGTAATCTGAATGAGTCATTTGTCAGATGTGTGTATTAAGAATATCTTCTCCCACTCTGTGACTGTCTTTTCATTCTCTTAATGGTATGTTTTGATGAACAAAAGTTCTTAGTTTTAATATAAACCAATCTCTCTCTATATATATATTTTTTATGTTTGTGTCCCGATTAAGAAATCCTTGTGGCGGGGAGCAGTGTCTCGTGCCTGTAATCTCAGCACTTTGGGAGGCCAGGGCAGGCAGATAACAAGGTCCGGAGATCGAGACCATCTTGGCCAACATGGTGAAACCCCATCTCTAGTAAAATACAGAAAATTAGCTGGGCATGGTGGCGTGTGCCTGTCTTCCCAGCTGCTTGGGAGGCTGAGGCAGGGGAATCGCTTGAACCCGGGAGGCGGAGGTTGCAGGGAGCTGAGGTCACGCCACTGCACTCCAGCCTGGCAACAGAGCAAGACCCCATCTCAAAAAAAAAAGAAAGAAAAGAAAAAAAAGAAATCCTTGCCTACTCCAGGGTTACAAAGATTTTTCTGCTATGTTTTCCTCTATTTCCTACCTAGTTGCCCTGTTTACTATATTCTTTTTTTCTCATAACTTTTCTCTGCATTAATCAAACATCCATTTATTTATTTGTAGTAACATGCTAACTACACTTTCTTTTACTGTTCTTTTAGTGTTTACCTGAGGAATTGCAACATGCATTCTTGAGTTGGTTCTATATAATTATTACTTTTAGTATCTTCCCAGAATTGCTAAACCTAGAAGTTTTAAACTTCATTTATCACTTCTTACTTTTGCAATGGTATTGATGTCACATATTATTCTGTATGTATTTTAAATTTCACAAAGCATCACTCTTATTGTTCAATATAGTTCACATTCATTTGTATAAAATGCATTTACACTCTCCAGCATTCTTCAATCACTCAGATATTTCCAAGGTTCTATTTAGGGTCATTCTTCTACTTACAACAATTCCCTTTGGTATTCCTTTTAGTGCAGGCCTCATACTGATTAATTCTCTGTTTTTGTTTTGTTTTTGTATTTTGGGTTTTTTTTTTTTTGGTCAGAAAATGTCTTTGTTTCGATATTTTCAATAGATATATTTGTATTAGTTACAGAATTGTAGGTTTGCAGTTATCTTCTCTCAACACTACATTTCATTTATCTTCTCACTTCTTTTGTTAAGTCAATTCTCAATCTTGTACTTAGAGCTCTTTAAAGTTTTTTTTGTTTGTTTGTTTCTTTGACTTCATTTAAGATCTTGTTATCTGGTTTTCAGCAGTTTTACTGAAATGTCCCTATGAATGTTTTTATTGTATTTATCCTGCTTCAATTTTGCTAAACTTCTTGAACTTGTGTGTGGCGGTCTTTCCAAAATTTTAGAAAATTCTTGGCCTTAACTCCTCAAAAAATGCATCTCCCCGTGTATTCTCTCCTCTCCTTTGGGACTTCATTTTTACTTATGTTTAAAAAAATTAGCATAACACAAATACCATTTACACAATATCTAATTTTTCCCTTTTTCTTTCTATGCTTTGAGTATTTTTTCAGTTCACTAAACTTGTATTATACTGTGCCCAATTTATCATATGTCCCTAGCAAACTCTTAATTTCAGATAGAGGTAGGACTTTGTTTTGTTTCAGTTCAAGAATATGTGTTTGATTATTATTTTTATTAATTATTTTTTTGAGACACAGTCTCATTCTGTTGCTCAGGTTGGAGTGCTGTGCACGATCTCAGCGCACTGCAATCTCTGCCTCCCAGGTTCACGTGATTCTCATGCTTCAGCCTCTTGAGTAGCTGGGATTACAGACATGCACCACCAAGCCCAGCTAATTTTTTGTATTTTTAGTAGAGATGGCTTTTTGCTATGTTGGTCAGGCTGGTCTCGAACTGCTGGCCTCAAGTGATCCTTCCACCTTAGCCTCCCAAAGTGCTGGGATTATAGGCATAAGCCACCATGCCCAACCTGTTTGATTATTTTCTATGTGTCCCACTTCTCCAATCGAATTTTCTTTTCCTTCACTTTTTTTAGTCCACCTTTTAAGTCCTTGCCAGTTACCTGTAATATCTGGATCATCTATGTATCTGCTTCAAATGTATACTTTTTCTTTTGATTATTTGTCATGTAGTTTCACCTATTTGTATGTCTACGTACTCTTTTATTGTATGATAGAAATTAGTTAAAGAAGAACTACAGAATTCCAAACGATATCTTCCACCAGAGCAGGTTTCTCACTTTCGATATTAAGCAGAAGAGACAGAGGCTGGACGTCTCAAGCCAACCAAGGACTCAGCTGGGTTGGGGCTAGATTGCAGTTTTAGTGGAATGTAGTCTTCCCCTTGTTTATCTATACTTGTAAGCCATGACACTCCCTGGATTTTGATTGAAAGCCTGGTATATCTTTATCTTCTGGGCCCTGAAAAAGTTCTCTTTCAGAAGTTTTCAGCTCATTTCTTTATCTTAGGGCCCTAACAGCTACAAAATTTGGTAAATATCTTCAAAAAGAGTTCAATGGTATGTTTGAGTTTGGTGTCTCCAGGCTGCCAAGTCCTTTTGTTTGTTTATTTCCTACTAAAATTCTACTGCCTTTTGGAAGCTCTGCCTTTGGCTTCCTATGCAGCCTCAAAACACAGCAAACATCCCTTGGAGAAAGATGTGTGTTTTAGATCCCTCAAGTCTCCAGTTTGTCCCAGCCTTGCAGTATCACTAAAAGTTTTGCTAACTTTTCTTACTCCCCAAAGACACCTTCCGCCTAGGCCCAGTCCAGTCCTCAGACCACACTCAGAATAAGCAAATGCCCTCAGGGAAATAAATACATGCATGCCTTGGAATAATTTTCCCTTCTGAAATTTTAGTTCTTTTAGTCCTTGTTGCTTCCACAGCTCTAGGAACTATATCTAATTTATTTGGTTTGTACAGAAAAACTGGTCCTATGACCTACTTGAAAATCAAAGCTATTACATTTTAATAGCTCTGATTAGTTTTTAAAACTCTATTGACACAAAATTGACTCTCCCATATTTTCCATTAATTGGCTAAATTTTGAAACCTGGAACAGTATTTTACCTTCAACCATATTGCTTTTTTTCATCTATTTAAGATTATCTCCCTTAAATATGTTTTTCCTTCAGTCTAAATATCACCAAATTCTAAACTTCTATTTTATGTTTAAATCCTTTGCCATCCTGATCATCATCTTCAGTAAAAACTCTCGTTTGTCAACATCCCTCTTAAACAAGTATCAACAAAAATCCTAGATGCTATGATTAAGCCCAATAAAGAGAAAAAATGAGAGAGTCATATTAAAAAAACAGAGATACAAAATAAAGAGGAAAAAAACGAGAGAATCACACACAAAAAATAATAGAGATACAAAAGAAGTTATCTAGTGAGGTGTTTTTAAAAGCACATGAACAAAAGATCAAAAAAAATCAAAGACAGATAAACAAAATAGAGATCAAAAAAATGAAATGAAAGCTTCCAAAATTCTCATGAAAAATGCTAAGCATAATGAAAAGAACATTTTGATCCTTTCTAAGTCTTTGTTTCACAATTACCTGAATTCATTCTCACAATTCAATCACATTTTACTGATGAGTTAACTTGGAAAATGTTAAGTAACTTTTGACCAATAACAAAATGTAACTAATAGCAGAGTTTCTAGGTTTGGATACAGATATTTATTTCGCACAGCTACACTCAGATCTACTGAATTATCAAAATAATGCCAAGTAGCCATTTTAACTCTTTTTTTTTTTTTTTTTTTTGAGACAGAGTCTGGCTCTGTCTCCAGGCTGGAGTGCAGTGGCGCCATCTTGGCTCATTACAACCTCCTCCCGAGTTGAAGAGATCCTCCTTCCTCAGCCTCCCAAGTAGCTGGGACTATAGGCACGTGCCACCATGACCAGCTAATTTTTGTACTTTTAATAGAAACGGGGTTTCACCATTTGGCCAGGATGGTCTTGATCTCTCGACCTCATGATCTGCCCGCCTTGGCCCCCCAAAGTGCTGAGATTACAGGCATGAGCCACCGTGCCCAGCTGCCACTTTAACTCTTTTTTTTTTTTTTTTTTTTTTTTTTGAGACGGAGTCTCGCTCTGTCGCCCAGGCTGAAGTGCAGTGGCACGATCTCGGCTCACTGCAAGCTCCACCTCCCGGGTTCACGCCATTCTCCTGCCTCAGCCTCCCGAGTAGCTGGGACTACAGGCGCCCACCACCACGCCCGGCTAATTTTCTGTATTTTTAGTAGAGATGGGGTTTCACCATGTTAGCCAGGATGGTCTCGATCTCCTGACCTTGTAATCCACCCACCTCGGGTTCCCAAAGTGCTGGGATTACAGGCGTGAGCCACCGCGCCCAACCCACTTTAACTCTTTTCATACAAATTTATCTAGAGAAAATGTCCTTCTAAGAATAGACATTTCTATTATTCAAAGAGAAATCTGTGTAGATTCTGTCTTATGCCAGCTAAAGACATGTATATAAAACCACAAAATACATTCTTAATATTATGAACATAACATAATTTATTTATGTATGTATGTATATTATGAATTATAATTCATTTATGTATGAAAAGCACACATTTGAGAATCAAGCTACCTATTAAAATGGTCTATATTTAACACACAGACATCATGCTGAAAATGGGTAGCTCTCTACCTCCCTTTTGCATATTAAGCAATATCTGTGTAATTGATTCTCTCTCTTTTGGTACTTAAAGATGCATTTGGCACTTGAGAAAGCTATCTTCAGCTTCTAACAGTAAGTTTGTTTCCTAGAGCTGTTTGGTACCTGAACAATTCAGATACATTTGTAGTTACTAAGGCTCAGAGAAGAGGGATACAAATTTGGTTGTTTTGTGTTGCTTCTAAGGATTTCTGCACACACACACACACACACTCACACACTACTATTTAAAATGCTCTTAACTGAACAATTTTAAAGAAAAATATAATGGTCAGAAATCTTAAATTAAAAAAAAATCAAAGCCTACTTTATCCATAAGTAGGTAAAGCAATGGTTACATTTAAAACTGTATTAACAAGAACAAGTATTTCATTCCACCATTAGGAAAAGAGTTACCCTGAGAGAGATGCCAGTTTTACTTAAATTCATTGTAAGAGGTAAATGAGAGCAGAGTTGACTTGGGTCTGGGCACAAGTAGGACACCTGCCACTATTAAGATGGAAAAGAGATAAGAAAGGTGAAGTTGGAAATACTTAAGATTCTCCAACGTCACGAGACTACATACTTGCAGTTCTGCCAATGTTTAACATTTTCTCAAAGTAAGATATAGACAAAGTGCTCCAGTCTAGGAAATCAGATGGGCCCAACCTACCACTAGGAGGAAAAGGAAGCTATGACATTCTGAAGTTTGGCACCTCGTAAGTGCCCACTACTATTAATTGCATTGAATATGAACTGAACTGTGGGTTCACTAAAAGCATGCTTCTGGAGTTAGGAGGCCTTGGCAAATGAGGCTAAAAATTAACTCACACATTCAAAGCCATCTATTTTTAAAATGCATGATAAGCAACACAGGAAGCTTTTATAACTAGCCAGCAAAATCTGAGCTTTCAATCAACAATTTCTTTCAACGAAGGTGTGGAGCATGGAAAGAATCCAGAAGCACAGATGGTATTTTACATCTGCACATGCAATTTCCTTTTTCTCCATTTTTATATAAACCTCTCTCTTTTTTTAAGAATGATAGAATTTACCAGTAAAATGCAGAACTACTTAATTGCCTCTAGAAATGTTCACACCTCCATTTCACATTTTTAGCAGCAATTTAACTGCCTTTAAGTATATGTAGAAAGATGGGAGGGTGGACCTTTTAAGCTCCCCTGTATTACAAAGTGAATAATTTCAGAAGATTCAATTCCTCCAGAGAGCTACAATTTTTCCAGCACTTAAAATAACTGCACTCCACCATCCTTATCTCTAACTATTTTCCTAGGATTAATGCTAACTTTTCACTGGATCTTAAGGCTAAAATGAACTTCAGAGATCATGTTACTTCAGTCCTCTCCTCAAAATATGAGTAATCATGATCCAGTAGGGCTGGCAGCTTGTTCAAGGTCACTTTGCTGCATAGCACAGGGGAAAGGAGCAAAGTCCACCTGCATCATAATCCACAATCACAGAGACAAATGTAGGAAGACCAATACATAGCTGTGTCTCCAAGAATCTATTTCCAGGACTCCATCAGAATGCCAAGCCCTTCTTCTTATAAAGTAAGTCAGATTCATTTGAGCACATAGAGAAGCCTGACTTTTAAAATCTAAAAGCGTTTCTTTAAAAATTGAATACAAATAACAGGTTTCACTGTCATATTACATTCAAACCAAAGATAAATAAGGCATGAAAATAATATTGGATAGAATGAAATTCCAGGTAACCAAACATGGTACAGGGGACTGAATTTGTACATTTAGGTAACGGGGAAAATAAAAATACTACAACATAAACTAAGAGAAACTTTCAAAAGCAATGTTCAACTTACCTTTAGAAAAATGCTCTACTGAAATAAAATCAATTGACATATCCTCTGTTTTTCATACTAATTCCTCTGGCCCAAACCTCTCTCTTGAGCTCTAGAATTGAACAAAGTACCTCCATGACATCTCCATTGGACTATGTCAAAATCTCCTCGTCTTTATCACGTCTAACACCACACTCACCGCCAAAGCAACTTGCATTGTCTCTTGTTTCAGGCAACGCCCCCAACATGAAGATATTTGTGCATCCAGAAATCTAAACATTCCTCTGAGACCTCCTAATCCCTTCAGCAAATCCTGACCCTCTACCTCAATCACTCCTGAAACCTGCTAAATTTCCTCCATCTCTGTGGCCACTCCCTGCATCCACACTGCCATCTTGCTTCTCTCATGGATCTTCCAGTAGCCTTTGAACAGCTTTGCACATGTTCGCTCTGGACCTTTGTTGTCCCTCCTCTCCAGAATGAACTTTTGTCAATGCAAACCAGTTCTTATCACTCTCGTGCTTAAATCCTTCATTGGCTTCCACTGGCTTTATGATAAAGTCTAAATCCTTCAAAATCCCTAAAAATTTATAAAATGGTCCACAAGGAACTAGTGGCCCTGATGGCTTTTTGAGTCCCACCTGACCCAGTCCCTTTGCCCCACTCCCCCATCCTGCCATATCCCTGTAGTCTCCAGTCCAACCATTCTGGACCCTCTGTCCCCTGCCTGCCTCTCATCCTTTGCACAATGTTACCTTGGCTTGAAGCATGCTTCCTCCCACTTTCTACTTGATTCATTCATCTCAACTCTTGTGAAACTTTCTTAGGAAAATCTTCTATGATGCAACTCCCTGAAAGACTGGTTCCCTGTATTTTTCCTCTGTAACCAACATCAAAATTTGTAATCTTATATTTGTATAACTATTGTTTAATGTGTATCCCCTTATGATAATATCTATTTCTATTTATTCGCTCATCTCACTAGCACCTAAGACAGTAGGTGGCATATTATACATACTCAATGATCATTTATTAAATGAATGAATTAATAAAGAGAGAAAATTACTAATAAGAGACAAAATTAATAAAGAAAAGATAGAAATCTTTTTATCTAGATTTCTAGATTAACAGAGGAGGAAGGGAAGGGGACAGAGAGAGAATATAAGTGATTTACAACACAAATCTCACCAACAGCTTAGAAAGTTCAATTTTATGTGTAACTATCTGTTACTTTGGATAATTCTGAGCTAGTAGGATACATCCTAACTAGACCACAGACCAGGGTCATACTTGGACCAAGTCAATCCCAGTTACCCAAACTTCAGTCAGCTTAACAGCTCTCTCTCAGGAGTAATAACCTCTAACAAAGGTATTCTGAAAGTCTCCAAATAAAAGAACACCACTTTTAGGTTCTTTGCTTGATCTCAGTAAACATCCTCAAATGGGCATGAAGAGTGATCTTCCCCCAATTCAAGTTCTGGAAAGACTTAATGTGTACTTCCAAGACTGTACCACTATAGTGCCTACTAACTGGCCAAGGTACAGTGTCAAAAGCCCTAAAGCACAATTGCTCTAAAGTTTATGTGTGTGAATATTTGTTCTGTAAGGAAATGAGAAAGAAAATGATCAGAAAGAAAAATATTTGAGAGAGGGACCAACAAAATGTTACTCCCCTTAAATTATTTAGGAAAACAAAGTCAAGGCAATTATTATGATTTATAAATTTTTTTCTGATACCTTTTTTATTATTATTATTATTTGAGAAGGAGTCTCGCTCTGTCGCCCAGGCTGGAGTGCAGTGGTGCAATCTCGGCTCACTGCAACCTCCGCCCCCTGGGTTCAAGCAATTCTCCTGCCTCAGCCTCCCAAGTAGCTGGGATTACAGGCACCCACCACCACACCTGGCTAATTCTTTGTATTTTTAGTAGACATGGGGTTTCACCATGTTAGCCAGGATGGTCTCAATCTCCTGACCTTGTGATCTGCCCACCTCGGCCCCCCAACGTGCTGAGATTACAGATGTGAGCCACCGCACCCGGCCCTCTGATGTCTTCTTAACATCACAATTCTCAAACTTCAGAGCAAGGTTAGCAGGACACTTGTAATTTTGACAATGCAAAAGCAGAGAGAGACAGAATATGCCAATGCAATGCAGTAGACCACTTCATTTGATTATGTGACTTAGAACACTGGCATAATTTGGCTCCCATTAAGAGTTTTCTGAAGTTTGGATACAATTTCTAAGACACTCTTAATCCACTTCAACTAGAATGTACACTATGAATTTCAAGCCACCAATAATTCATAATATCTGGGAGGACCAGGAATAATCCATATTTATAAGTTTCAGAGACAAGATTTGCATTCCCCTTTTGGTTTCTCTGATGTTCTGCTGGCTGTATTTTTTGTGTGGGGATGTATGCAAGGTTAACTTATGAGCACACGCTGTGCACAAGAAACTCTGTGTTATAGAACAAGGGGAAGAGTCCTAGGAATTTAAGAAACTATCATAAATACAGACATCATGGCCATGTAAGCCATGGCTTGGCTTGCTGCCAGTTCTCTGCCACAGTTGCAGAAGGAACACAGCGATAGGGCAGTTCCTAGATATAATATCTAACAGATGAGCAATCTACATAAAACATTTATTTCTAAGTTTAGAAAACCCCAATAAAGCCAATAAATTCGCAAATATCTCCCGAGGATCAGAGGAAACAATAGAAAAGGCAAAGTATTACAATTAAGCATCTGTGTTATAATTAGGAAGATAAAACATAACAATAAGATAGTCACAGCCCAGCGCGGTGGCTCATGCCTGTAATCCCAGCATGTTGGGAGGCCAAGGTGGGCAGATCACAAGGTCAGGAGTTCAAGACCAGCCTGGCCAATATAGTGAAACCCCATCTCTACTAAAAATGCAAAAACTAGCCAGGCGTGGTGGCGGGCACCTGTAATCCCAGCTGCTCAGGAGGCTGAGGCAGGAGAATCTCTTGAACCCGGGAGGCGGATGTTGCAGTGAGCTGAGATTGCACCACTGAACTCCAGCCTGGGTGGCACAGCGAGACTCCATCTCAAAAAAACAAAACACACACACACACACACACACACACACACACACACACACACACACACACAAAGATAGTCACTAACACACAGCAGCATGTAAGAAGTGTCAAGAGAGGAGTAAAATAAAAAATTGCTGTAGTTAGAGGAGGGTGGTTGTACAAGGTTTTGGTTTTGTTTTGTTTTCTCCAAAGTCTTCCTACAGCATGCAGAATTTAACCTGCCTCTTGCTGGGATCCAAAGAGGCAGGGAGGGCATGGCAAGAAGAACCAGAAGGGGTGACAGCCCCAAGTGCTTGTATTTCGTTAAAAAATTCCCTCTTCTCAAGAAAGAAAATTATTCCTTTTACGTGAGCTACTGGATTGTTTTGCAGGCTAGAGCCATTTTCTGCTGGATTGGGTTTTGAAATGGTATTTTTCCATTTATTTTACAGTATCTTATGGGGGTGGAAAGAGAAGTATCAGCAGGTTAATTTCTACCTTTCACAGAGAATCTGCTGTTTACAATGTAAGACAAAACTACCGAAGTATGGGACACAATTAGGGAAGTCAGGAACACATTTAAATAAACTGATGTTAATGAAAAAACTGAATTCTGCATATAATTCCCACTTAGAATGTTAGGTCCCAGCATCGCAATACATCTACTGACATGAGATTTTTTTTTCTCCTCAGAGAGGAAATTTATGTTTTATTATTTATCATTCCTATGCTTAAGCTTGCTTATTGGATTTATTCAATAGGCATCATCTTCATCATCTTATAGATGTGCATAGAAAAGGTGAAGTAACGGCCGGGCATGGTGGCTCACGCCTGTAATCCCAGCACTTTGGGAGGCTGAGGCGGGCGGATCACGAGGTCAGGAGATCGAGACCATCCTGGCTAACACAGTGAAACCCCATCTCTACTAAAAATACAAAAAATTAGCCCGGCGTGGTGGCGGGCGCCTGTGGTCCCAGCTACTCGGGAGGCTGAGGCAGGAGAATGGCGTGAACCCGGGAGGCAGAGCTTGCAGTGAGCCCAGATCTGGCCACTGCACTCCAGCCTGGGCGAGAGAGCGAGACTCTGTCTGAAAAAAAACAAAAAAACAAAAAAACAACAAAAAAAAAAAAACAAAGAAGAGGTGAAGTAACTTACCTAAAGCTAAACAATAAATCAGCATCCTATATTAGAATCCTCAGTCCCTTATATTTACCCTAGTTGGATATTTGGCACTTAAACTATGATGCTTTCCAGTAATAAGCCAACAATTTTAATAATGTCTAAATGTTTCTCTCTCCTTCAGTTCTGACAGACAGAGCTTATACATTTTTGAGCACATCAATTTGATTGCATCTCAAATACAGATTAATGTGGAAACAGTAATAATTATTGGAGAAATGACTGTTGGCAGGGCATTTAAAATGCTTAATTCTCTAAGCTCATTTCAGGTATATACTGAACAGTGATATGAGAGTGACAAGCAGTGAAATATGTAGAAAAAGAAAGGACATGAGGAGTTTTTCAATCAATCAGTAGTAATACAATCATCTCTTTCACTTATTGAGAACTTACTATTTCAGGAAACACAAATATATTTTCTCTAGCACTAACAACAAAACTGTAAGATGCAGATTATTATATCCATTTAACAGTGCCAATATTGTGGCTCAGAGAGGTTAATTAACTTGCCCAAGGTCACCAATCTAATAAATGATATAAATTGACCCATTGTTTCCAACCCTATTGATAGTATCTGACTTCAGGCTCTCATCATCTCTCGCCTACCATTTTGCTATGCCTGTATTCTCATATGTATACCTGTCACTGTTGCTCCATATACATTCTTTGCTCCTGCCATTTTGAGTAGTTCTAGTCTCCTGGACCAGCTATGCTGTCTCATGCCTCTGCACTTCTGCCTAGAACAGTCTTCCTACTTTTCTCTGAATGAGTTCCTTGTCTTCCTTCAAGACTCAGCTCAAGAGTCTCCCCTCTGAGGTCTTTCCTGATCCTAGCCCAGCAGAGGTGATCATGCCCTCCTCTGGAGCCAGTATATAGCCCTGTTTATTCACTAGTTTACTCACTAGTTATGTTTATATGCATGGATCCCTATTAAAGACTTAGAGCTCCTTGAAAACAGTATTCATGTTTTATCTTTGAATTACCAGCACATAACACAGTTCCTGAAACTTAATGTTCACAAAATAGGAGTACCTAGGCTACCTTTGTTAGAAGTTTAAGCTGGACCCAAAGTTGATTGCAGATTGCAGTCAGCATTCTCAAGAACCAATTTTCTTTCAATGCTATAGAGAGGATTTTTTAAAATTAAAAAACAGAGAATTTTTATATTACATTTTAATTAAAAATTGGATCTGCTACTCCTTCATTTGCTGTTCATTTCCCCTGTTACATTTATTAATTATCAAATATATTAGTTGGTTTTAACCGCTGCTTGCTCCCTTGTAGTCCATCTGTGCTTTCTTCTCAATAATGCATTGAAGTCATAAGTGCTAGATTTATTGCCTTGGTGATTTTCATGGCACAAATTGCGATTTCGCTAGCACTGAGCAGAAGGAAGAGCTAATAGGCAAGGCAGAAAATGCCTAATCAATATCACTCCTGGCATAAGTTTAAAACCCTAAACCCCCAAGCAGATTTTGCAAAGGGCTATACTTAAGGCCATAATCTCTAGAAATGCATTTACTATAGTAAGAAGTTGAGAATCACTTTCTTTCCTACCAAATTCTCAATTACTTCACAAGCCTCCTAGGAAAGCACTAAGGTCTTTGAATAACTCAGCTGGCCCGCAGGAGAAAAAAGGAAACCGTGCAGGAATTAGATAGGAATATGTTATTTCCAAGAAGGGCCCTTTCTCCTAAAGATACATCCTTTTTTCTAAAGATAAAATAAAGTACTTCTACATCAGCATAGAGAAGAGGATTTCTGAATATGAGTGTTAAAAGACATCCTAAGGATTAGATATCAGTCATGAAACTGATTGGAGGCATGTTCTAAACTGGGTAGTCTGGGGGATGGACCACAATATTATGAGTCAAGCAACTAACCAGATTTTGTTGACTAGAAGCCACCCACCTCCTATATTAACTACATCAATGAAATTAAGTGCTCATGAGGCATTAACTGGATTGCTGAACCAGACAGGCATTTCTGCTATAGTCATGAGTTCTACCAGAAGCCACCTGTGTGTTCTCACAAAAAAGCAGGTGTTCACCTAAGGGTCAGGAGAGGCAAGTGTGATCAGGGGACCAGTGAGCATCCTGGTATAAAGACCTTCATTACTCAGCCTTTTAAACTTTGAATCCCTTTAAATATCCATAGGTCTACCTAATTTGAGAAAAAAAAAAACTTCCTTTATTCGAAACCACATTGCTAATGTCCTCAAGTAAAAAGAAAGTGTCTAAAGTGCAGGCTTAGCACCATAACACAAATATAAGCCAAATAGCTGCCTTTTCATTTAATACACTATGAAGACCAAGCAATCAATATAATGATTAGGAAACAGTTCCAATCAGTTATTCAATGTTCTTTCTTGGGGCTACCATCTAGGAAATTTGTCTCAGTGCAAAAAAAAAAAGTATAGTCCTATCTTCCTGGCCACCCCCACTAAAGCAGAATAACCTGATCCCACTGTGTTATGTTTCGTTGTCTACCTCAACACATTTCAACAATGTGCTAATTTTAACTACATTTGAGTTATATGTGAATTGTTTTTATTTTTTAGAATTTGTACATTTTAATTTTCCTTGAGAAGAAGCTAAGAATTATTCAGATACTAGACAGTGATAGCAGTTTCACAATAAGAACTTGTGCATGTATTAAGCAACCATGTGGCTTTCCCTCTACCCTATCAATAATACATATATGTCTCAGTTTCATGTCCCTTAATAAATAATTAAGAAATCACTAAAATAAACAGCCAAGGCATTCAAAATACATTAGTTCTCCCCATAGACATTGGGATGGTTCCCATTACATACTTTTTAAGAGTCTGATTTACTTGCAAAAGCTACACATATTTTATTAAAATGTAAGTAATCAAAGCAAAATTTAAAAGCACATGAAAAGAATAAAAATAAAGATAAGAAAAATCTAATCAGTTCTCTATTAGGAAGGGAGAGGGACACAGTCAATTCAGCTAGAAATATAATGGTTTCCAAGGTCAATGCCAGTTCAAGGAAGAGGTTCGTTGCTTTGCAACACTTTTCAGGGAGAAGGTAGGATCAGGAGCTCCAGTGTTTCCTTATAAACAAGCACAAAATATGATATATTAAAACACCTATATTTATAACTAATCTCAAATTCACTTATCACTTTTAACTTGGTATTCATATATTCAGAATAATAATAGAAGCTCAGAGATTTAAGCAATCTATCCTCATATGTATTGTTCCTTGAGTTATCCTCAAATGGTTGGCAAAAATCTACACCTGGAGTGAGAATTCCACAAATACTTACAGAGAAGGAAAAATAATAGGAAGAAAATACCAAAGATGCTCCTGTTGGGCAACAGTCACTAACCATGACCAAGTTAAAAATTTTTATATTATCTAATTGACTATCACAACATCATGAATACATTTTAAAGCTAAATCTGAAGTGGAGAACCAAATATTAAAATATATATTAATTTAAATATTGTTTATAATTCTACTCTAAATTTCATTCACAGCAGAACACCCTCAGCCATGAGAAAAAATCATTTTCACCCTTTAGATTAGAAAATTTCCTGATCCTACATTAGATTTCCTTAACCATATATTTTTACAAGATTCATGATCAGTCCTGCCTTTCCAATCTTACTACTTGGGTAACAGATACTTTGATAACTTTTATAATGGACACTTAAATAACAGAGTAAATAGAATGAGAAATAATAAATTATTGCTATTACTCATAAAAGCATAAGATTAAGCTTTTTCATAGAGAAGGCTGTATCGCATAAAAAATCTGCCTAGACTACGTTTATAAATTAAGGTTCATCCTTTCCTTCATTGCTGATTTTATATCATTCAGGTTATAGATTAGCAGTATAAATGATAGGATCTAATAATAAGAAAACCAGTTTAAAATAATTACATGAAACTCCTTCATATTATGTTATATTTGTGCCTTGTATGTTATAAATATCAAGACATGTCAAAGGAGTTAAAACATATTCTCTAAGTAGGGTATCCTAATGATACTGAAGATCTTAACCTTGAGCTTCAAATTTGCTGTCCAAATATGGTCTGAATTATTTTTAATTTTTAATTGCATTCAATATCTACTTTGAACTGTGAGTGAAAAGCAAATAATTACATTGTTAATGAGACAAGATACACTATCAAGAATAACACCTCACATTTTTTATGTAGTTTATTTTTTAACTTGTTTTGATCAAAGCCATAGTTGAAAGAAAATTGTCTACATATATATGTGGCTGATCACATAATAGTAATCAAAAATATGACTAGTCTTCTTGTTTATTATTTATAAGAAACAAAAGAAATACTACATCCTATGAAATAAAGTAAGAAAAAATGAACCCTAATTTGTAAATGCTAGATGCAACTGTGAAAAAAAAAATGAGAGGGACTAAAAGTAAAAAACATAGGTAAGACACTGAGAAGAGCTATTCACCACATCACCCTCCAATATTACCTCCAATCAGTCAACGTTAGTCACCCTCATATAATCTATGTGTGCTCATAAAATTTAGAAGTTGATCTTTATTAAAATATCAACAAGAAGTATTTTATTGCATAAGAGCTGTATTGTCAGACTTACTTTTAAAGTTTATGTTTGTGTCATATAAAAATTTGAAATAATGAGTTAGTTTACCTTTACATATTAGCTCATCCCTTATTATGATATTTTCATTACAAATGTAAATACATAGACTTGGTTATAATCTATTCAGTTCCCTGCCAATCTTTCCACTCTCAAGAATTTTCAAACTTTTACTAATACGCAAGCCTGCACAAACCCTGAGAAGTCTTTATTCTCTATTGAATTTACAATCTAGAGAGATAGATTATGTTAATATCAATGAAATAACAGCAATATATAAATAAGACCAACCTGGCCAGCTTAAACATGACGTTATCTATATAAAGCCTCATAGCAACAGCAGAAGATCTTTCCCTCCACTCTCATCATATCCTACACATAATTCCACCCTAGGAACATGGTGTTTAAAATGGCTTGCTTGTAAAATCAGGGAATTGGTTTCATTCACCCAAGATCTCTAGGATATTCAATAATGATGGATGGATATGATATGGACAGATGAATGAGTGGATAGATGGATAGATAAATGGATGAAGGGGTGGAAGAAACAGTATATTTTTTTTCATACTTATGTGGATATAAATATAAATTTTGAAGAAATTCATAGCAATACCTCATCCCTATAAAATGAAACTCATCTGAAGGATTTTCTTTAAAAAATGTTACTTGAACTAAAACAGGTGCAAGATTTTTATGCAACCTGGCAGATGCATACAGAATATCACTTCATTTAGTTGGGACAGAATATCACTTCATTTAGTTGGGAGATAATCTCAACCAAAGTCTCAATTAATTTAGTAATGAAGTTGAAGAGAAATTCAATGCTTATCAGTAAGTAATCATATCATTTGAAAGCCTGTTTGGATGTCAGCTGCTTGGGTTCAGCAAATCCTGAAATGCTCCTCTGCAATATCCAAGTCCTGCCAAAGCAGGACAAACTATTTTTAGATGAGGCATGTCAAAAACGTAGTCTGTTTTATAAAGAATGTGAAGACTACATCAATATAGTAAGGAAGAAAATGCCAGTTGGAAAGCAAGTGGGCTATTAGAAGTCATGAGACACACACACAAACATAAATGCCAATGTTCAGGGAAATCATATATAGAGCCTCTCTGTGAGACCAAAATACCCTATCAGTCATAGATATGGAGAGTTCTTTCCACCAGTTGCTTCTATAACAATTCCAAACACTAGTATCTGTTATGTTTGTTTGCTTTATAATTTTTAATATAATGTAATTTTCATTCTGCCATACTTATATAAACCTAGACCAAAAACATTAACTGATGTAGTGTTATTATAAGACCCTCCAGTGGACTGTTGTGACTACAATTTCCAAGGGGATTAAAAAAAGGAAAAGAAGAATGAGATGTTTTCATACTGATTAGCAACTGCACCTCATTGCACCACAGTATGAAGAAACGGATTTGGAAACACAGCACCAAGATTAGAGAGGCTTTTGAGCCATAGTTTCAATTTAGGTCTCATCACTTTACCTGGCAATAGTACCAATTTAGCAGGCACTGGGCTGTGCAGAAAGATTTACATGTAAATGAACACACTTTGGGGCATTTTGCTTTGCCTCAGTTAAAGAGAAACATCACTTTTCATTGGCACTACAAAAATAAAACAGAGGTTAACACAGAAGGGTCCAGGGAAGAGTCCATTAGTGGAAAAGCTAATTTGGCAGCTGCATCAAACTCCTGGAGATCATGAGCAGTGCTTCTAGGAAGCACTAAAGAATTTGAAAAACACAGATATTGTGGAAGTTATTAGATGATAAAGTGTACACATAACATTTTGCAATTTATAGGGGGAAAATCACCAAATTAAGGGATGATTATCTTATTTTTAATATTCTTTTAAAAAGTTTTATACATTTAGATACACAATTCATACCTTCTCTAATATAAATATATTAAAATAAGTTTAAAATAAAATAAAGTTTTAAATAAAAATAATAAAGGATTTTTAAATAGTTAAAATCAAATAAAAAATAAAGTGGATCTCAAACATCATAATGCAGTGCCATGTGCCTCATCATTAGTGTGGATTTCTGCTCACTCATTTTAGCCCTCTACCTCTAAGCTAATGTCATAATGGCCTGGATCCTTACATAATTCGATTTTAATAGATTATCTCAGTCATATAGTTCCTATAAAGCCCAGTCACCGGGGGATGGAGGTTTGTGATTTCTTCTCAGACTATATTAACTAACCCTTACTCTTTTCTTTCATTCATTCAAGTATTCATTCATTCAATAAATACACATATAGTGCTTAATAAGTATAAGGAATCATGTGAGACAATATAAGGCATGGAGAAATATGATTAGTCATAGATTCTTGTGCTCAAAAAGGTTATGGTCTAATATGAGATAAAAGATCTGTGCAAATAAAGACATAATCTAAAAACAGACATATAATAATATCATGTGGAAATACCATGATAATTTAAAGAGAAAGAAAGCAAGAACAAGAGTGAGAGAGTAAGTGAGTGAGTGAATGAGTGAAAAATTGAGAGATGCCAAATGGGGAGATAAGAAATGCTTTTCCTACATGGAATCCTCTGTCTTCTGCTTGCTAGGCATGTATTGGAATGGCTTATGTTCCATCCAGAACCCTTCAGGACAAGAACTTGGCATATGGCCCAGAGAAGGCATTCAGCAAACCTTCACTGAAGGAATGAGTGAATAAATTAACGAATGAATATTTCTCTTTGGTTTTGTAGACATTAGCATGTGAATTTATAAAAACAATGCATATAGCCAATCCATATTTATTTTTTCTTGCAAAACTGAAACAAAATGCTTCATAAAACACAAAATATATTCAAAAGTGGCCACATCATTTAAATAGTTAAGATTTTTTATTGCAAAGATAAACGGTGCCTGCATTACATAAGACTCTCCCTGTTACTTAGATGGACTAGGGGCATTACTGAAAGACAAATTTGCAAGACACCCATAAAGCTACCAAAATTCAGAATGTTTTTTCCTTACTCTAAATGCATTTTGATGCAAGGAGAACTGTGACCTTTCAAATAGAACTCTTAAGTTTTTTTCACTTTATATTTTAACTTTGCAGGATTTCACTATAATGAAGTTTTTGCACAAATACCACTAAAAGAATTATTATTATGTTCCTGCAAAAAATATTTTGTCTCTCATTATTCTCGTTACAGACACTTGAAAATCTGCAAATTTATATTGAGTTCCTGCCTTATTATCCTATACTGTCAGCCCTCCATATCCATAGGTTCTACATCCATAAACTCAACTAACTGCAAATTGAAAATATACAAGAGAAAAACAAACAATAAAAAATAACAATACAATTAAAATTAATACGAATAGAACAATACAGTATAATGACTACTTAGATAGAATATACATTGTATTAGGTATTATGAGTAATCTACAGGTGATTTTAAATATATGGGAGGATGTGTGTGGATTAAATGTAAGTACTACACACCATTTTATATAAGGGACTTACATAAACCTAAGGGACCCCCCATAGGTTTTGCTATCGGGAGTCCTAGAGCCAATCCCCCATGGATACTGAGGGAGGACTGTACTTGTGACCTCAGAATAGTAACTGTTACTTTAGTTGGCAATTTAGCTCTTAAGAAAATATAAAAATTAAGTACCAGGGCCTGGATTACATTTAAGAATTATAAAGGTTATTTTCAAATGTTAGGTGTTTAAATTTAAAGATAGACAACATAAATTCAGGCTCTTAATTATGTGCTTCTTGAAAGTGCTTTCTTAAAAAATAATTTACTAGTAGAATCAAGATAATTAAAATTAATGATCCAACAGCCTGTTGTACTCACACCAATTAACCATTGGAATGCTAAAGAGTTCTAGGAGATAGATTGCTCTTCGAACAAATAAATCAGTTTCAAAGTAAAGTATATTATCTCTGTGGGGGAGTCTATAAAGTAAATATTGAATCACTTCTCAGCAATATGGACTCTTGCCAATAAATCTCAAAAACAACATTATTTTCAAAGAAAAAAGATGGCTACCTCATTTGGCACACATAAAGGATGAATGATATAGTTAGTCGAATCAGCCAATCAGAGTATACATATGTGTATATACATATGTGTGTGTGTGTGTGTGTGTGTGTGTGTGTGTGTGGACAGAAACACATATACTGTATTTGTCTCCTAGGCCCCCCATCCATTGCCTTCCTTTACTATCTTGCACCATTTGTCCATCCCTTTCACAAGCCTATAATTTTGCCAGAGAGCAGAAATTGTGTCTTCATCATGTTTGTTCTCCATTTCCCAGTCCTGTACTTCTGCAGCACCTGCCTAGCTATGTTTTACATAAAGAAAAAATTCAAGACAAGTATAGTCTCATATGAAACAAAATAATCAAACTACAGATTAATTCAAGTTTCTTTTTGCACATTTTGTTAAAAAGAAAAGCTAACATATTTTAACTGGAAAATATCTGCCAATTTCTAAGTCAACACAGGGATCTAACTTTAAAAACCCCAAAGGTCTTCCTGAACATTTTTACACATATATGTATCCAGGAGTATACTTAAGGTTCCTGTCCCCATCTTGAGTGTTTTCGAGATTGGACTCTTCTTTCTATGCCTTGTATTGGTCAATATGTGTGTAGTAAGAAGCAGAGAACTCTGATTTTGAGCTGTCACTATCTTACCCACATCTTAAATCCATCATAAACTACGTTTCTTTCCTGAAGACCCAATGTGCAAAGAAGCATCATAAAACTACAGTATAAACATAGGAAATCTTAATGTTCACACTAATGGAAATAAGAGCTAAATGTTGAGAATTAGTGTTACAGAGAATCAGATGCCTATATTGTGTTCACCTCTCTAGGTTCTAAGGCCAGTAAGAATTAGATAGAGTGATAGATAAGCAACAAAATGTAGTGGTTAAGAAGGCAGGCAACCACTTAGGCAACTCACTAGACGAGTGATTTTATACAAATTATTTAAACTATCTAAGTCTTCCTTTTCTCAACTGTTAGTCTTAGAAGGCTTAAAATAGGCAACCTCTGTCCAGCATGTAGTATAGTACCTGTGCTACATAGTAAATGCTTAATGAATGAAAATAATGAAGAGAATATTAGAGACGTGTCCAGGCCACGCATCAACTGACAGACGCAACAAATGCCCACAGCTTCTTCAGGTGGCTAGGCAGAGTAACAGCTGCAGAAATCCTAAAGAAACTAAGGTAGAACCTGCGGTAACATCTAGGCCGTCCCTGACACTTTGCCAGGGACCCAAGCTGCAGTGTGATAATTGCTTACACTATTTATCTCATATAGCACTTATATTTTATCAACTGCCTTAACACTTAGAAACCAAAATAGTGATTAGTGACAAAATTTTCAAGCTGGGAGTCAAGCCGGTAGAAAGGTATTTTCAATCAAGAGTTTCTTAATATTACTCAAATAATACCAAAGGGACAGCTTTCTATTTTGACTCTAAGTAAAACTACCAGCCTGTATATAAAGGTCAAGCTTCATAGGACAAAATAAACGTTGCTAGCCAATCTCCAAACACACATCAAATTGCGCATACCTTAGCAAAACCCAAAGCTAGTTATGAAAATCAGCTTATATAAATGAAACAGATAGTAGAGGCATCAAAATGAAAAAGAATAAAGTCATCATCAAGTGTATTTTTTAGAAATTAAAACATTTCTTTAAGTAAATTGAGAATTTAAAGACAGTGTGATACATACACAAACATACATGCATAAATATATACATGTATATATTTAAGGAATATATGTAAATAATATATTTAAGGATGCCAATTTCCCAGAATAAAGTATACTTTAAATCCCACTTCTTTCCAAAGACAAAGAATAATGCTTCAGACATGACCACCCCCCAAAAAAAGGAAAACAAAAGAAGAAAGTATTTACTATTTTCTACATATTGCTTACATTTAAATTAAAAATATAGCTAATTTCCTCCAGGATAAATTTATAAATGCCCAGTTTTATTGGCAATTCTACAGATTAGGGAGACCAGTCATAGTCACTAAGGTGAAAAAGGTAATGATACTTTGAGCCGAGATAGTGGTAACAGAGATGAGAGATGTGTGTGCCTGTCATTGATGTCAAGAAAGTAACTGGCAAATCATGGGACATTTGGAACAAGAGACAGGGAGTCAAAGTAGATGGGCAACAAGTAGATTAAGCTGACTTAATCTAATAAGTATTCCCTAGAACAAAATAGGGACCAAGGAAGAGGAACCAGTTTGTATTCAGAGATAATGAGCTCAGTTTGAAACAAATTTAAAGACAAATTAGAGAAATATCATTAACTAGAAGAAGACTGAAATGCCTATTTCTTATTTTATATGTTAGTAGGTAGAAATAAACTCAACTGAAAACCCCTTAAGTTTAGTAGATGAAAAATAAAAGTAAGAAAATACGCCTCTGAATTTCAAGATAAAATGCAGAAAAACATTTCGATAGTGACAAGGACTACATCTAAAAAACTGAATTTCTTCATTAAGAAGTCTGTTTCTTTCACTGTATGCAGATGATCAAAAATGATATTTACAAAAACCCTAAACTATCATCTTTTCAACAACCTAGAGAGTTAGAAAACTTACTAGATAACATTCAGCCTTACAAAAATGGGAAGATTTCCCCTGTGATATATGAGGAGAGCATGAGAATTCTCTCAATGAGTAGAGATATTTATACATACTAAAATCTCTATTCAGACATAACACTTACCAAGCAAACTAGAGAGAGAATTCTAGAGAAGGAAAACATGGCCTTTTTGTTATTCCTTCACAAAAGAAGACTGTCATTTTCTGTTCTTCAGAGTATTTTGTACTTTAAAAATAACCTTTTCTATCCAACAGAAGAGATTCTTGAGTGACCTTAACCAAATTATGAGAAATTCATATGAATGTTCATATATATACAAAGATATTTGTACAAATATACCTAGATATTACTTATATAGTTAATATGTGGTAAAAATTATTATTTTTACTTAATCACAACTTAGAAACTTTAAAAAACTATTCTTATCCTTTATAATCACAAACTCAAATATTACATATGAATGGGAAAAAGACCATTAGTAATTAGTTATTTTTAACCATCTAACTTTGTACTTTTTATGTGAAAGGTACATAGCATTGATGTTGATACGAGACAGTGATATGAGACTTGGCACATCACTGGAAAATTACTGCTAGGGCAAATATCATTGATGTCAAGACACTACTAGTGTAGCAGAATCGAAATTATTCCTAAGGGAATTTCCTAAATAATGGGTCAGCTACTACTACTCATTATTACAATAGCATATAACGATTTTCTTAGCTAAGAGTATACATGATAATGCTTTCTAGAGAGTAAGTTTTTATACCCCTGAATCTCCACAATTCATAGCCTTAAGAAGAATTACCTTTCTTGGAAAACGGTGATTTAGAGGATTAAAAGAAACCAGAAGTAATGATAAACAGGAGTTTAGCAGGGTAAATTCATGGAGAGAAACTTAATTCTCAGAAAGATATGACAAGAAGATTCTATGGACACTTTAAATAGAGCCTTCCAACAAAAGATCTGGAGAAGCAAATGCCTTATTAGATTTAAATTTCCTATTGCCCTTCCCTGAGCCTATTCCAACTAGCTAGTTCAGACACTTAGGGTAACTGTTTATTTTATGAAATAATGTATTTGGGTAACCTTCAGGTAGGTTGACTAAGTCATTTATTGTCAAAATGGGACGATAAGCATAAATTGGGACTGTACTGTTGAACACCCTAATCTCAGGAGAGACCATGTTAATAAAAATTAGGTAAAAATGGAGAAATAGAGAGAGGTTACTGTGAAAAAAAGAAAAGAATAAAAGGACCCAAAGTCACTTGATGGTTATGTGAAGAGAATGGAATTTATTGTGAGTTGGTGACAGGAAGGGATCTACAAGGTTGAGTCAAACAGATTTGTTTTTTTAATGCCAGCTGGTAGCCTCTCCATTACTACCCAGCGACCAGTCATTTTTTGGTGCAAGGACATACCCTCCCAACAAAACTGAAACTCCCCCCCAACAAAAGATTGCTGAATTCACAGTCGTTGCCCAAACCTCTGCATCAGGTATTTACCCTGGTGTGAAAAATACCATATGCAGATTTTAATTTCTTATCATTTTAGATTTAGTTTATTTGAAACATAAATAGGTTTCATCCTAGTCACACTCCTTTTTCAAATTATGGCACTAACACAAATTGTCATTTGCCATATTCTCAAACAACTGACTATAATTTGAAAGGGACGGATAATCTCTTCATGGAAGAACCAAAGAATACCTCTTAAGGCAATACCGTGATGTCAGGCAGCAGGTAGTGCACTGCTACTTGAGCAGAAAATGTGTTGCACACTCAGCATCTGACTTCCTACTCGAATTAACTTATGTAAAAATCTAATACCCTAAGCTGAGAAAGTAATCAACATATGATGTTGATATAGAGAAGAAAAGATATTACAAACAATATATGTAATATTTTTCATGAGGAAGACTTGCTCTGACAAAGAATAATTTTCTCATTATAAATAATTAGAAGCAAAAATATCCCTCCCTTACAAATTTAGATAATAGAGACTATTTTTATTTTTATTACATTTAAGAATCATTGGGTTCCTAAATGGATATCCTACATGGATATTCTAACGAAATAAGTATTTCCAGATAGCATAGCCTTTTAATGTCATCTCATTAAACAGTGAACTAGGTCTTTTAAATTGAAGTAAAATTTATTTTCATTCTACATATTTTAAAATACATGATAGCAATTGTATTTAATGTAAACATCTAGTAAATTATTATTTATAGTAATTGGGGGAACAGTGTATAATTAAAAAGAAAATTACTGGCCATATTCTATACCTAAATCACTTGGTCCTTCCACTGATATTTAGGTTCTTCATATTGTCAAGCATGGTGCCTCATATATCACACAGTTTCAATAATTTTTATCCATCTGATTAGCCACAAAAGAATAAACATACCTTGTACTACATCTGTATACAATACTTATAAATTAAAAATTGAGGAAGAAATGACTTAAATTTAACCAAATATTTTATATATTAAAAAATTATCTTACTTGACATTCCAATAAAATTGTCAGTGCAAAATATTCATAATTCAACAAAGACTTACCTGAACACAATTTGAAAAATTTATGAGTAAATGTACACACATGTGCATACATATACCATATCATGTATATATCCATAGGTATGTATACTATATTTACATGAATCTTATATAGATGTCATGAGTATGTAAAAGTGGTCCAAAACTGATGTATCACCAAAATTTGCATTTTCCATACCTGATTTAAATGATTTTGAAACTATAAGTAATTGGCTTTAAGTTTATACATATATGTGTATATACATATATGTTTATATATTATATATGTATCTGTATGTGTGTACCCCTATATATACACATGGGTATATATCCAATGCTAACTCTCTTAAATTTTCAAAATCATTTAGGTCAACCTGGGAAAAATCTACTGTGATGCTGTATTCAGATATGGCTAGCTGTTACATTCTACTTACTGATACATCTTACTATGTTATTTTATTGTTAATAAGATAGAATCAACTTTAAAATGCACTCTCAATTACATGGAAATGATATATGTTAAACATTCACGTTGCTTATAAGTTCCATCCTAATTTCAGAAATAATAAAATGTGAAAAAATGTGGATTTATATTTAAACAGTATAATCATGGCATAAAGTATTTCAAAATAAGACATATCCAACAGTAAGAAACTCACTAAAGAAAATAATATGTGGGATTTTTAAAACAGATCATCAGAGCTAACTATTTAATTGATAATGGTTCAAATTAGGACTTGCACTCTGCATACCAGTCAGTAGCCTTGATACATTAAATCAAGCAGGAAATTGTGTGTGCACACACACACACAGAATAAATGTATCATGGTTTATTATTTTTCATAAATCATCACCATAGAAATTACAAATTATTCACAGTAGAGTTAATTCTAAGTAAGCCAGAAATGATTCTGCATATATGAGGCATAAGTTTCCATGACGAATAAGGACAAGTATATAAAATCCTACAGATATATGACCCATAACACATTACAGAGCACTGATTTCCCAGAGGATAATGTAAAACTCGTGTACCCAGTAACAGTTCTATTTTTGTTCTCTTCTATAACTCAAATCTATTCATGCTGCACATTTACTTTTACATAAAAATGTATTTTAGTTATCTGGGCTATTTCATCTGTGACAACAAGATTCTTATTTATTTTAAATGGAAGTATCCTATTTTATTCTTAAGCATTTTCTTTACGATCTTTCAGTCGCCTTGACCATTTTTTAAAGTATGTGATATCTTTCATTCACGCATCAGATAACTTCATGTTTTAAATCTTAAAAATCCACATAAATAGGAAGAGTTACTCTGGAATTTTCATTTAATAAGCTGGATTACATTTCTCTAAGAACTAAGCTATATATATTTTATATGCCGAAATATTCATATTATAAGCAAATAATCTTAAAAGAAGTGATTAGTTTTATTTTTTATTTTTTTGATTACTTTTATTAAAGAGATAAAAGGTAATATTTGCTCCAGGAATTTTCACTGAAGTAGAAATACATGTAAGTAGAACTGTAGGGATGGAAACAGAAGTGGCAAAGACGGTTCTAATGCATGGAGAGAAGGGGAAAGAATGTAAAGATGCAGTTAATAAAAAAATAATACCTAGGCCTTCTATTTTTCTTAGCTTTGGACTCTAATCTCAGCTAAGATCAGAAAGGAAGTTAGTCTGATGTGCTCAAACAAATATACATTCTATCTGTTCACCAAACAAGAATGGCAGAAGCTTTTATCCTCCAGAGAATTCAACAGCATGAATTAGTAATTAGGATATTAAACCAAGATCAGGACTGAAGGTTCCTGAAATCTGCCTACTTTTTAGGACAAGTTTTTATCTTATTGAAAAAGAAATGGGAACTATCTCTAGACTTTGATATCTGATTATATTTCAGGCTCCCCTTTGTCTGTAACTGTGTTTCCCTTCTCACCATGGTCATGCTTGCTTTTTCCCTCACTTTTAGAACTTGCTTTCTTTAGTTGGCAAGGGAGTCCCTTCCTCATGTATACTACTGGTTCCTTCAAACTAGCATCATCCTTTGATGCTTTTTGGACTTTCATAGGAACCATAGATTTTTCCTGGGAATTCTCTATGCTCATCTAAATTTTAGATATATGGACCAAACTACAGACATTAATATTTTAAGGAATCTTCATGATAAAATAAATATTAAGAAGTCATGGGTAAGAATAGCCAGAATGGCTTGTCTAGATAATTCTCTTCTGCAATGGTTATCGAAGTGTGGTGTGTGGATTAATAGTCCAGCATCATATAGGAACTTGTAAGACATGTGGATTCCAGGACCTATACCAGACCTACTGGATGAAAAACTTGGGTGGCAGGGGGTTGACTAGTTAAAGAAGTGGGTGGTGATTTTTGTGAATGCTAAAGTTTGAGAATCACTCTTGTTCTATTGTATCCTAACCAAATAATAGGATAATTAACACTAATAATAATAATAATAGTGTTTATCAGTTCTAAAAACACAATTATTTTCCCAGTTAGCGAAAGCAATTTTCTGACTGTTCCAATAAATCTTTTATCATTTTCAGAACCATGTAGGCTACTACTTATCCAAATCTTCTAGTAAAGAATTAAGCAGTTTCATCCCAGGATTTAAAACTGTTGCACTGATCTCACCATATAGGAATAGGGGGCATTAGCGGGATAATATAGGGACACCTGGGCCACAGGGCCACAGATATAACCATGGAGGTTAGTCAGGTCAGCACTTCAGTCTCTAAATCTTTCCCCTAAAGTTGTCCATATTTTTATAACTGACTTTTCTCATGTCATTTTTCCCCAGATACCTTTATCAATGAATGTGTCAACCTTTCTGGCATACGACCAGCCCACAATAAGTTACTGTGGGGTGCATCATGAACTTCTCTCCCATAAGTCCTTTGAAACGAATGCACAGGAAGATACGATGGAAACACACCTAGAGACTGAGCTGGACCTGAGCACAATCACAACAGCTGGCCGAATCAGTGACCATAAACAGCAGCTAGCTTAACTGAGATCATTGGTAGCCAGGGGTTGCTACCAAACTTTGTAACCTCAAGGACAAAATGAGGAAGATGTGTTCATTGTGGACTCTAAAAACAAAACAAAACACAAAATCCCCTGTTCAAATAAACAAAAAATCCAAGATTGATTCATGAAATAAAGAAGACATGAATTGTTTTAAGTCTACACTTTGTAATTAGCTAAGTTGTGCAGTATTTTTTGACTTAAACAGAGTATGACCCTGAAAAATAAAAGAATCTTTTTTTTTCAAAACTCATCCTACCTACCTGTAAAAACTGTACAAAGCTAATGTATTTTTCATATTGTAAAGTTTCAATTGTAGAAACAACTGGTATGTACAGTACCATAATTTAATTACATTTTACTTTAAAAACTTTACACATTTCAGTTTCTAAAATTTTAAATTAACAAAAATTATTTCTTGTGTTATTCAGAGTTACTCAGTTTTGTAAGGACTGTTTTGTTACTGCTTTTGTGCCCAGAAACCTTGACTCTAAAATTCTGTGCTGTGCGAAACATGCACGATTTTTATTATGCTTACTGCGTAGAATTTTATCTACTTGTTCCAGAAATAATACATTAACCAAAAAGGATTTAATTGTTCAGACTTGTAAGAGGTTCTTCAATTACATAGGCAGGTTTTTCTTAAAAATGAAAAAAAAATCAAAGATTTTTTTAACAGTTCTCAGACTTAACTGTTGCCTTGAATTACAGCCTAGTTTCTAAGCAGTGAAATGTAATGATAAAGAGGGATATTTTAACATATTTCCGAATGAATGACTCATTATTTCATTCTTTTGAGTAACCATTGTTAAGGGTTGGGGGAAAGCATGGACAAAACATCACTGGAAACAAAGGCTGTAACCACAGCAACAGACTTTGTGATACAGTTAAAAGGTGCAGCTGCCAGTGACAAATAAAAACTTTTGTTACATCTCATTATTTTCAGGCCAAGGTGGGAGTATAGTGCATAATAATTGTACAGTAGCAATTTTTATCCTAATTAACCCATAGCGGTTTACCTAAAAGTAACCATCAGTCAGTGCAAAATGTGCCTGGTTCTTAAGACAACTTTTTATTTAGAACTGTGAGACCGGTATTTTGGAAACATTTCAAAGGAAACATATGAATTTGTTTTGCGTTGTGCACTACATCATTTCTCTCCTGAGGAAGAATTTTAAACATGTACAGCTCATTCAATATAGATATGAGCCATGGTGGAGAACTTTATCACTCAAGTAGACGGTAAACATCCTTAATATGTTCTAAATTGTTTATATTGCTATCCATAATGGGATTCACCTCCAAATTATCAAAGAAATAACTCAGAGTAATTTGACACCAGCCCAGATCATATATTGATTATACAATTGTATTATAAAGTTCATTCAAATCAAATTAAGAAAACCTGAGTCTTTAGAAGCTGAAATAATCAACTTGTTTGTGCTGTTTGCTTGACATAGGTTATTGTTTGAAAATATTGTTACTTTATCAATAGTAATCATGCATTCTTGTGTTTTTTTTTAATGGAAAACTGCAAGTTTCAATTACTGTTGCACTAGAAGTGCTTTTTATGTTGTCATTTTATATTCATGCCATCAAAAGTAGATTGACAATACATCAATCTAACAGGGGCCAATCAAAACAATGAAGAAAAGAATAACTGAAAACAATGTCAAACTTTTAAATTTTTATCTCTTCCAAAGAAGTTATATCTATAAAATCTAGTTTTATGCAGGTTTGTCACAGCAAATGTAAAAGCGGATTCAAGAAGAATGAACTTAAAAACTGTGGAGCAAATTTTTGTTGAAAATATATAAAGTCAGAAAGAAAAAAGATGTAAATGTTGGAAGAAGCAAATTCTATTACTAATTCAAATGAAACTAAATGTCAAACACAGTACTTGTGTCAACTATTTAGCATCCCAGATTTTGTAACATATTTTGCATAAATTATTTGCTCTTCAAAAATTTTTGTCATTTTAAATCTAATTTTAATCTTTATGTTTTCCATTTTCTAATTTCCTTGCAATGTATTATTCTTATTCTTAATTCTCTACATTGAAATTTGGCTTTACGTCGTTAGCAAATTTATAAAGGGTTATAAAGCTATGATTCGTGAGTCTAAAATCAAATGCAAAATTTTATTTATTATGTAAACCAAAATGTCATTTGCAAGTTTTCTCATTAGAAGTTATCCTTGCAAAGATAGAAAAAGAAGAATTAATTTGTGTAAACAAGCACAAATTAACATATTTGTTAATAAATAGGTTTATCTACTAATAAACCTATTTCTAGACACATTCAAATTGATAATGATTTTTAGAAATGTTAAGGTTCCAAGGAGTCTTACAAGTGTATGCCCTTGATTTCCTGAAGGAAACCACTTTCTTTCTTAAATATTTTAAATTCATCTAAAGTGAACGACTATAAATAGAAGCAATCACCTTGGAACCACAGCTCTGTGCAACCAAGGCCCTAAGCTACACCAAATACGCCAGGAATTTTGAGACTTCTCATCTTTAAATTCAACCAAAAGGGTCTTTAGCAAGAAAAAAAATGCTGGATGATGATTATTATTATTTTTGCTTAATTTTTATTTTGCCATGTCCAGGTTAAGGGTGAGGGTGGTGACAATCTGAAAGACTGTGTCTGGAATCTTTATCACATATTTCCAATTTATTTCAGTTTTTGTCTAAAACTTGCATTTCTAACCTATCTTTTCCAGCATTTGATAATCTCCCATTTCCTCCTTCTAACCCCCATTCCTATGTCTCCCTTCCTGTCTATTCCTCACCGATTTAAACAACTGAAATGTTTACTTATGTTTGGAGCTGAAAAATGGAAAGTTTCACCCAGCATGGTTACAATAACAGCCAGCAGCTGCAGCAAACCATAAAGTTATGCAGTGTTTTGAAGTTCACAAACCACATTTTACATAAATTATCTCATTTTGTCTTCATAACAACCCTATGAAGACACATTAATCTCAAAGAAATTGAGCTCTTACCCCAAAACACAGGGCCAATAATTGGTGCAGTTGAATTATTCTCAAAATTTACAGGCTGTTAGTCTTTCCACTGTACTAAAAGATTTCTTTCTCTGATCAGAGCAAGAGAACTTCCAGAGATAATGGATAGAATGAAAGAATATATATCTATATATATTTGACATGTTGTTTAGTAATCCCTATTTTAATTCAATTCTCCATCTGTAAAATATTAGCTAACTGAATTATTTCTGTGTTCTACTCTGGGCTCTCACATTAAAACTCTGTTCAAAAAGTTTAACAAGTCACATATTTCTTAACATACAAGTTCGTTTGTGAATGTGCAGAACAGATGCTCCCAAGATGTGGATGCATGTAGGCCCCGAGGTACAGACATAAAATCAAGGAAGCACAAGGAAAGAAACCCCAAGGAAAAAACCAAAGACCTTCTAAATTGAGACTGCATAATTATAAAAGAGATCCATAGTACAGGGTTGAACACATGTTCAACACTTTGTCAACTGAACACATGTTCAATTCGGAGCTAATTGGGAAGACTTACATAAAATTCTTTTTCTTTTTTTCTTTTGGCAAGATTTCTTCTTAAACCATGAAATTTTTTTTACTTGTAATAATAGAGAACAATTTTCTCCATTTTCTTATAAGAAAAATAAAATATAATTTATCCAAATTGATGTATAGAACCTAAAACATATGCTAACTTGCAAATAATATATTTTACTGATCAACTCATTTTTGTCAAGTCTCTATTTCTAGTCCCTCCTGAATGTTTTGGAAAACCACAAAACTATACAGATTAATACAAATTACATTTTTACAAGGAAAGAAAACATTCCCAAATTTAACACTCAAGACTAATCACATAATCCTATTTTGAACTCAGATCTCTCTGACTCCATTGACTGCTTAGAAATAGTAAAATCTTTTTGAAAAAAAAATTTTCTAAAATAAAACTATTGTATATGAGAGTAAAAATATATTTGTTTTTGATTGTTCCTGACTAGAAGACAGATATCATCTCTCAAACTAAACACTCAAAATAAGAAATTGAATTCATGAAAACCAATACCTGATGTGAATTGTTGTTATTCAACTGTATAAAAGAAATGCAGATGTTCTGGGTATGTCAGAGCATGCGAAAGAAGAAGTTATGGGACTGGCAGGTATTTGGCCTCAGGAGAAAAGGTGAAAATTTTCCAGAATAGATATAATAACATCTTATATTGGCACAGCTCTTAACAGTTTATAATGCTGGGTAATATAACAATCTCCTAATTCATCAAAAAGTCTCAAGGTGCAGATGAATTGGTCTTGCAATAAGAAAGAGCTTCCAACTCCTCCCATGACCTTCCCAATTTTCCCCAACTGTCTCTAAATAGGGAGGCGCCAAGTACAAAGGACCCAGGAGCAATGCTTTCAAAATTCTGATTTACCCCAAAGGTAGGGTACCTGGACAATCAACAATTGGGCTTCATTTTATCATCAACATTAATGGGAAAGAAATGTTTAAAAATTTAAAACCAAGCAAACACACACACGCACATCAAAGTGGTGATGAGTCTTTTTTGAAGGTCTCTCATGACTTGCATTATAGTTTTATTGTGAGATAGGAGGCAACTTATATTTAATTTATTTAGGGTAAATTTCACATTTTAAAAAGTCCACCATTGACTTTTTTATTCTATGAAGGACAGTGATCTTACAGCAGCAGAGTGCCTCAACCATCTAGGACTTAGGCTACTAAGTTTCTTCCTCCTAGCTCTCATTTATAAATTTTGTGTTATATGATATTTGTCTTCCTGAAAAGGTGAGTGAAAATTTATTTTGTGTAAATCAAATAATATTTCAAATGTATCAAGAGACCTTGTGATAAAGGAACCTTGAAATTGCTTTTTAATCTAAAATATTACCTGCTAATTTATCTTTTTTAAATTGATTTCCATATATCTTGTGTTATTATAACACAGCACACTTGTACTACATGGTTTAAAGGTTCTGCAAGACAGTCTTTTCCTCAGTCTATAGGAAATGACGGTCTGATTCCAGGTTTTGAGTTGGTCAGTTGAGCAGTTTCAGTCATTTCCACTTACTGACTTTATCTGGATTAATGTGGAAAATAGTAGTAAGACAACATGGATGGATAAATTTGACAAATAATTTTATTTGTTTAAACTTTTGCCACCTATAATATCCTTGAAGTTACTATTAAGAGGTCAAGTTGACTCCAAATCCCTTGTGTCAATACTAGATTTACTGAATCAGAACCACTGGGATGGATCCCAAAATATGCATTAAGACATGACTGAGGTGATACTAATGCATGCTAAGTTTTGAAAAATAGTGCTCAAATGAATTTATTTTTCCTAAATCATTCAATTGCTTTCTATTCTAAAGTAAAATTGTGAATTCTTGTGCTTTCCCATATCAATGTGAATCTAGTTTTCTAAGCCTGACTGAACATTTTTCTTGACTGAGGAAAGCATACCAAAAGACAACTATATATAAAATGCTCAGGTTGCTTCCTGACAGACTGTTGTTTATAGATTTTATTCCCCATTAACTCTTTCGAGAGGCATATCTGAAAAGTCTTAAGGCTTCTGGGTTAGTTACTTGTTAGTTGCACCCATGAATATAACAACTGAAAAGCTGGAAGTGGGGAGAAAGGCAGGAAGTAAATTATGATGTAGCAGGCACTATGCCCTCCTCTCATTTTTAAATCATTTTAGGAAAGAAGTATAACCACTATTTTAAAGAAAGGAAAATAAGGCTCATAGTAATTAAATAATTTGCCAAGGCTCACACAGTGGGGTTGAAGATTCAAATCTAGATTTGTTAGGCTCTAAGGATGTGCTCCTACCCCCATCATAGCACATTTTCAAAAGTGAGAAGAGATTATAATCAACATAATGAGGCTTATATATATTATTCTGAATAATTTATACAGAATTATTTATTCTGTATTCAGAATAAATTCTTATTCTGAACACAGCAGAAAAAGAATTTGCCTATTTCCAAATAGAAAAATTATCTTACACTGTGTAGAGACTTCCTTCAATATCCTAAACCAGAGGCCTAATGGAAAAAACAACAACAACAACAATATTTTCTTGAAGTTTTATACATGGTTCCCTAAAAAGAGTAGACATTTGAAAGAAAAATCCTTCAAAACATAAATACCCTTGAATATTGATGTCATATTTTTATTTCCAATCATCTTAGCCCTTTTATAAATTTACAGCCAAAATTACAGCCAAAATTACAGCCAAAATTGATAAAGAAATATCAATAATATAACCTTCAACTGGCTGAAAAAAAGAGGTCAGGTTGCCAATTTTACCAAAAACTATATGGATGAATGGTCAATAAAGTCACCAAGTACAAATGACAAGGTGGAGAAAAACACCAATAATCTACAGTCGCAAACTGTAGCAATGACATGGCTTGAGCTACAGAATATTTCCTGTGAGTGATTTTAAATGGCAATATTCCTTATAGGAGTATTATAACTTACACAGATGATATGGGATCTGGAAGCATACTACATCAAAAGAGGCTGAAAGATAACCTTTATAATAAGGCAGACTCTACTTGTCCTACTCAGAATGTAATATGTAGTTTAAATATAAAATAAATATCATTTCCTTGTTTCATTACTTCGTGGAGATGGACAAATAAAATTATTTTTTGAAACTTATTTTTAAACTCACATCTTGAAAAACATCTTCCTCAGTCTCAGCTATTCACAAATGATTCTTAAGTAGACTCTCGACTCCATTAGTGTCTCAGGAGCTTTTTATTAAACCATTGAGTTATCTCTTCTATCTCTCCCTGAACTCCACAAGTGCAAGTAATCCCATTGGTTTAATTACATTAGCATTTTACTCCATCACAGGATCTGAACATATAGCATCCATGAAAAACATACTTCTATAATACACACAGCATTCAAGAGCCAGTAAAGCACTCTGTAAGTCATGCCTCCTACTAAAAATGATCACGTCTATAACTGTGATAAAAACTAGGCTATAAATTTAAAACAATAAATCCAGCAAAGAAAGAAATTCTAGCACACTGGATCTAATATCATTGTGTCTTCTCATTGTGGCACCATTACCACCATACAGAAATGTTATCTGAAATATCTAGAATAATTCTGATTGTGGACAACAAAGATGCTCCTGGTATCTGGGTTGAAGATGTGGTAAAAAACAACAAAGAAGACAAAAATTACACATACCAAGGTAAGTGAAGGGCATGTGATTTATTATTAAATAATCTGCCAGTAATTTTAAAAACTAAGACCCATTATTAAAATTTACAATAACATTTATGCCATCAAGTGTCATCATAAAGGCTAATGTGGATATTTGGAATATAAGAGAAATGTGGTATTTGTGATGGCAATACATATTAAATGATAGATAGATAGATAGATAGATAGAATTAATTCTACCAAAAGAGAGACTATTAAGAATAAAAATTAGTCCAAGAACTATTTCTATTATTTCTCTAGAGAGAAACTGAATAGACAGAGAAAAAGATTTAAACTAAATGCTACATGTTCTTTCCAAGGTCAAATTTGAAATAGTCCAAAACTATAAACTCTTGAATTGCTGCTTCAACCATATGAGTAATTACATTAATTCACATACACCTTGTCAAAACCTGATGTTGAGAAATGAATTGTAATTTTAAATATACTCCATCTGTTCTTGCTGTTTTACATCAATGATATATTTGCTTTCAATTACAGATCCATAAATATAATGCCCTAAACAGTCTGATGAAAATGTGGTGAAAGATTGGTCACCGCTGTTTTTCTGTTCTACCATAAGGCAATTATCAGAGTGGAATGGCCACCACAATGGGGAGCTGGAAATATGATTTTTAAAGTCCTCTCTAGAGGTCTTATTTTATATTCACTTATAAATTAAGAAAATTATTGCCTTGAGGCAAAAGCCTGAGAGCCCATACCAGCTCTAGTCTGACTACACTTACACCAGAGAGGTCTAGGGAAAGACACTGAACATCTCTGAACTTGCATATTATCTGGAGAAAAGACTGAGATCCTTGTGATGTCAACATTTTTCCGCCTTTGGATGTGATGGAAACTTAAGTTCAGTGTATTGGACATCCTTCAAAACTCCCTGCCAGTTTCCTCTTTAACAAACTTCAAACCTGAGTTTCTTGAGCCACCATTGGCTTTGACACGCAGCTATTTAATAATGAATCCTTGTTACACTTCATCATTTTGTGGAAGAATTACACAACTGGGGTTGTAGCCCTTAGCGGCTTTTCCCTTGCCTTTGGATCCAGTTATGGGATAAAATGTGTGAACTTGACATGACACATTGGTACTACCACAGGGGTACTGGAAGAAGAGCCTTCTAACAGATAAACATTTTATGTAATATAAAACTGAAATGTAGTTTGGGGCCACTTCTTTTTAACTTAATAATCTGATATAGTTTTCAGATAACTGCATGCTTTTCTGCCACTGAGAATATAAATACTATTGTCTGTAATGAAAACATGGTTTTGTTGTCATATACTTTCGCTTTCTGAGGACAGATTTCAGACAACTGATTGTGTTCTGTAATTACCAAAAAGAATGTCTATTTAGTTTCAGAAAGAATGGCTTAATGCCAAACACTTTAAGACAAAATAACAACTAACACTTACTGAATGTTTACTTTTCTAAGCATTTTACGGGTGTTCATTCAGTCAACATTAATATGGCAAACAGAATTAATAATAATCCTATGAAGTAGATACTATTGTTTTTCCCTTAGAAAGATAAGAAACGGATGCACAAAGCAATTATATAACATATAGCTATTAAATTGTGCAGCAAGGATTCAAATCCAGTTGACTGATATATTGAAAAACTGACCCCTCTAACTGCTCATTTAAGGTCCACTGTATAGACCCCAATGCTAAGTTCAAAATTCTACCTATTTAAGGCTATCACTGAAGACATTTTTTCAATATAATTAATGTGTTTATTACATACCTAATATATGCCTCTTGGAAGGTAAGAAAATTTTAGAGATACATGAGTATATGACATAGTCCCTGTGCCCAAGGGACTTACAGTCTTAGCAAAGAGAAAAGACATCCATATTCAACAGAAATAAAATTCAAGAACTAAGTTTAATACCTGCAATCATAAACAGCAGTTAGGAGAAGATAAAATCAAAGTTAATAAGTTTGTTGGGAATATCTCAAGGCAAAAGTGATAAATGACATAGAACTTCAAACTAGCAGTGAATTCAGATGGGCAAGACAAAGATGAGAGGGCAGTGAAGGGAGAATATTATATTTTTATTTACTAACATCTATTATTCCAATAGGATTTGTTAAATTCATGCTTCTCTGGAAGAGAAAGACCAGGCTCAATTTTTGTCCTGATTGCCTAAAAGCTCAGAGCCAAATTAAATCTCTTGGCCTTTCTAGGCAAGCCTACATATTTCCCACATTTTTCTGAACTCTAATTCTCTTTACATTTCTATTTTATCTTCTTTGAGGTGGGGGAAAAGAATATTAATCCTTTGTTTAAAATGTTATGTCAGTTTCAATAAAATGTTCATACAACATTTTGAAGACTGATCCAGGCAATGGCATTAATTTCAAATAATTATGTGAATTAAATCAAACAACTTTTTAGAAGCTAATAATTGTAACATCCTCCAACAAAATACTGTTTGGCACAAATGAAAACACGGCCTTTAGATTGATTGACTTTTTCTTTTCAACCTTTTTAGTCTTTATGTTAGTATTGGTGAATATTAACCAGAATTTTTATTTCAAAGAGTAAAAATAAAAATCATTTTTGATTGCTACATTTTACAAACAAACAAACTACAGTAGAATATTATTAAAGACCATGATCAAAATCATTTAGGTGATAGTGAGACAGCCAGGTGTGAGGGGGTCCCTGGCAAAACTCCAAACAGGTCTGCACACTGGGAAGGTGCACTCGGGTGCAGTCACACAGAGGTTCCAGTCCATTTGCAGCAAGGAAGAGCCTGGCCCCTCCTCTTCCTGTGTGGAACTTGGGATTCAAGCGGCCAAGCAGGAAGTGCTCTAGCAGGGACTCTGGCCTTGCGGAGAGTCCCTGTTTCCCCCTTTTCTTCCTTTTCACCCAATAAAACCCTGTCTTACTCACCATTCAAATTGTCTGTGAACCTGAATATTCCTGGCCATGGGACAAGAGGCCTATCTTTAGCTGAAATAAGGAAAAGTCCTGCAACAATAGCAAACAGACCAGTACTAGAATGTACATTTACTTATAATTATTTTTCACTAGAGTGAAATATTTTTAATTTATGAATGCACTGACATTAAAGAATATGCAGAATTATTTCTGCCTTAAAAGTATAAATAATTGTCAGTAAAGTTGTCATTTAAAAAGTACAGTCAAATATATATATTTCTAATCTGAAACATGATACATAAGAAGCTACTTTAGTTTTTTTGAATTTTTTTAAGTTGAGAAATATTCTCTTCATCAAATTCTGGACAATTAAGTTACAGTTACCTCTGTGTTTATTTGGTAGGTACAAATTTTCATTCACGGGTATTTGTTCAATGTGTCTTCTATATATTTTATACTATATAATGATATTTTGATATTTTTAATTCAAATCAATAAAATAAGCATTTATTCATTTTTATTATGGTATTCCAGTGACTATGATGTGAGACACAGTGATCAAATGCTTATAGTGAATAAATAATTGTGACTCAATGTGATATTTCTAAAAATGAAGTCTGTACATGATGCTGTGAAATGATTGGGTTTGCTGAAAATCAGAAAAGACCTCACAGAGTAAATGCTACTTGAGAAACTTTAGGTTTGCCATTTATAAAACTCAGGTCTGTCTACAGGCTCCACATCCAGATCCTAACTAAAATTTAGAAGTCTTTAGATGTCTGTGGATATTATCATCTGGAAAACTGGGACTCTAATAGTTTCTGAGTCTAGTATTTTCCCCATATAGCTACTCAGTTTTTTCTAGTATATATGTCAAATAAAATTTTGAAAAAATTACCCCTTCCCACAATCTTTGCAAATTAATCCTCAAATGAAAAGGATTTAATTTAGCTATTCCATGATAAATAAAAAATATGCAATTTTATTGAATAAACTTAAAGTAATTAATAAATTCAATGTACTGTCAGAAGTTTTCTGTTTTGTTTTGTTTTTAAAAATGTCCATTAAAATGCTACCTATGTGGGTTAAAAAGCCTATAATACAATTTCTAACTTCAGGAATATGTGACAACATGTAGAAAGGGTATATTGGGCTGTGCAATTTAAATTTTCATCACCTACAGGTTATGGCATAAGACTGATATGAAAATGAATGAGAATTAGGTTATATGTAGAGTCTTTTGTCTTTTGTTCTATTACTATAAAATATTTCATTTAAAAAGTAGGGAAAAAATTACTAAGGTGGTGAATTTGCCTGATATACCAATAAGCACAGTTGTTTTGGAAGTTGCTTGGTACCACTGACTTTTTGCTTCTTTAAATAAGTATTTCTTTCCTTAGCAAACACTTCTCTTTATGAGAATACCATTACTCTCAAAAGATTCCAATGTTTATTTTGTGCTTATGGCACTTTTTAATTTAAATTTTCAAGAATGCACTTTGCATTAAGATGAACCAAAGTAGTATTAGTGAATTCAGCAACCAGTTCAAGGCATAGTTTTCTGATTTTCCTACTTAAGAAAATGAAGGCCAGGCGTGGTAGCTCACGCCTGTAATCCCAGCACTTTGGGAGGCCGAGGTGTGTGGATCACGAGATCAAGAGATCTAGACCATCCTGGCCAACATGGTGAAACCCCGCCTCTACTAAAAATACAAAAATTGGCTGGGCGCAGTGGCCTGCGCCTCTAGTCCCAGCTACTCGGGAGGCTGAGACAGGAGAATGGGGTGAATCTGGGAGGCGGAGCTTGCAGTGAGCCGAGATCGCGCCACTGCACTCCAGCCTGGGCAACAGAGAGAGACTCAATCTCAAAAAGAAAAGAAAAAGAAAATGAATATATTTTAATTTTAGAATTTCAGAACATGTCCGTATTAACTCGAAGAAAGTTATCATGAATAATGCTATTTTAATGAATGCTGAGGGAATTGTGCCTAATATTCTAAAATACTCTTGAGAATTATGAAGAGTGTGCAGTATGGCAAAGGCAGCCATGAGAATTCCCAATATATAAAATGTATACTGTATTCAAATAATTATTTCTCAAAAGTATAAATTTTCACTCTAGATAGTTTTCTACAGGGTGGCACATGCTATGTGGTAGTAAATGAGCCTGTAAAACTGAACTCATTAGACAATAACTACTTCTATTAAATACCTAAAACACCCTTAATGTGAATGTTTTGAATTTATTTTTATATGTGTAGAGTCTATAATTTGTTAGTGACTATAAATTAAATTATAACAACCTTTAGCTTTTTTAAGTTTCACAATTGTTCTGTATTCCAATTAAGAGGCTCAAAATCTAGTCTGGGAAACTCCACTTGGCTTACAAAAAAAAATCAATATGCTTTTTATTTCATGGGGCTCTGGGATTGTTAAGATTAGCATGAAATACTGACATTTACACTCCTGAGTGGACTAGAAGGGGAGCAGGATGGAATGATGATGGCAAGTAATTGGACAATTGGACAGTTTCCAGAAAGGCTTTAAGAAATACTATTAAATCTCCATCTGCTGATTGAAAATTCCAGGTTCATAAGGTATAACAATAGCTGAAATACAAGCCTTAGATGATCTCTATCTTTCCTTTGCAGGTTTGTACCCCACCTACTTTGCAAGAACCTGTGACAATTTTTTAATTAAAACATCTGCATAATTAAACATTTTAGGCTAATGATGACAAGAAGACAGGCCATATTTTATTACTTTTGTTGAACTGCCCAGTGTATATTACATTTGCTATAAATTAATTACTCAAAATCCTGCCTTGAAAATATCTGTTATAATTTTTAAAAAAAGAAAATAAGGAAAAGAGAAGAAATAGATTAAAAATTAAATTAGGGTCTTACACTTATAATGAGATGGTTCTAAGGAGGTAAGACTTAACCTAAATAAGTTTTCGTTCCTTTGAATTAGTGGAATAAATACATCTTAAATTTCTCCATTCCATTAGGACAGATCACAGGTGAACTTGGTGAGGGAGTAAGCGAAGAACAGTTAGAGTTGCAGGGTCCTAAATCAACCACAGGGAGAATAATATATTACTCTGCTTATTTTACTCTTCCTCTCCTCTTCACGTTTATGTCTTCTTCAGTATTTCCTTCTCAGTTTGAGTTTTATATAGCATATGACATACACATATGTGCCAACACAATGTGAGTGACAAGACTGGAAGAGGAAAAGCTTACATTAATTTATCTTGAAAAATGAAATGTCCAATTATACAACATTATAGAGTGCTAATAGCTCACCAAATAACATAAATAAGATTATATTTCACTCAGTGCCAGACCTGACAACCAAACCTAGGTTCCAAAGTAAGCCTTTCTTTTTATCAATAGATTGAATATACTAGAGGTTAAGAAAATTCACATAAGGCCGAATCTCCTCTTTAAAAAATCCTTTGGCATTTTTCATAAAAACAGCTCTTTGCCCGTGGCTCAATTTAGGACTTTCACAAATCCCTTGAATAATGAAGGTCTTGGTTTTACATGACTGTTTATGTGTGGTATTCTATGAAAGGTCCAAAAGCTTGTTAAGGACAATTGCTAAAAAAATTAAAATATATCAAGATTATTTTTGTCAAACCAATATGTGTTAGAAAGTTATCTATTGAAGTGTATTCCATATACTTAATATAATATTATTATAATAAATGGCAAGATAAAAAGAAATCCACTACAGGATATTCCCATTTCTCTCCAGAGTCATGGTATCAACAGATAACACGCCAGTCTCCCCAGGATACCACTATAATTTAATACATGCAAAGTATCCATCTAATTTACCTGTTACTGATGAGGAAATTCCAAAAGTAAGCTTCTCATCATAGCAAATCCTGAAGAACTAGCATTTAAGCTATTTCATTATGGGGTGAAAAAAATCATCATTTAGAAATAAAAGTACCAATTAGTAACAAATTATGTACAAGTCACTCTAGCACAGTGTATTTCAATCACTTCAGTAATTTTTAGCCTCCCAAAAAAAAGTGTCAGAAATGAGGCATGAAAAGCTATTAAATGAATCATTCACACGTTGAATAGATGTTGTCGTCAGTTTGTTCTCTCAATGGAAATAATGAACAACTGATTTATTTATAACTGGTCATTATGATAATACACCTTCATGTTCCACCCTTTTCAATATATTATGGATATGTTATAACTGTCTTATTTTATAGCTGATCTAAAATCATATGCTTCCATTAAAATTTCTTCTTTTCCAGGCTTTCCCTTAATTTTAATGTTCCTTTGGCTTGGGGTGTAATTAAAATGTTTTTACTGACTTGGTTCCCTTGTCTTTTTTTTCCTTCCAATTTTCTGTCTTTTTGCCTGGTGGAATTTATCCATATCTTAAGTGTATGTAACTAGAGTCTGAAATATGAATTTTAAGTAGCTGCAGAATACATTTATGTAATCACTATAAAGTGGATCTTGTCAGCACTTATTTAGTCAAGTTTACCTTGTTTTCCTTCTGAGATAAAGGTAAGCAGAATGGATAAAGTAAGATAATGGAAGCTGATTTGTATTTCAGAGAAAAAAATTCTTGGTCTTAAGAGTCAAGGCAAGAAGACTTCATTCGTTTTTCATTCTTTTTTTTTTTCTAAATTTCAGAGCAGAGAGGAACATTTCCCTTGAATGTTCCAGTTCTAACACTGTAATTAATTTTGCAGGGTTACATTCAACAATTTGTATGTTTTGCTGCATAACACTCTGTATATGCACTGGACTCTGCCCTCAATCTGCACTGCAGGTTTATATAGGAAAAAGCCTTCAGGGATTTTCTTCTACATTTAATCAAAACTCTTTTTGAGAAATACATCCATCACATTATGGAATATCATTTTTTAAAAAAAAACATGTGAGTAATGTACTTCAGAGCTAGGTCTGGAAAAAAGATTCCCTTGGGAAATGGTTATGCTTCATCCCCAGTGAGTACTAGAGGCCTGTAACACAACCTGTCTTCTCTATACCTTTGCTCAGAAACCCAGAACTGGGTTACATTCGCTATCATGGTGACCATGTTAAGACTCCCATGGAGTGTCCCAGCTTTCTCCTTTGTAAATACTTTTTATATACTTTTTCTAATCCTGTTTTGTTAATCCTATATCATATGTCTTTTGTAATATGTTCTCTGAAATTATTTAGAGAGAAGTAAAAGGTAGAAATGAGGAAATAAACCAGAGATACTATTCTTTAAAAGAATTTTTTTTATTTTTACTGAAATGGTGGCATTATCTTAACTTTAGGATGCTAATTTTTTTCTTCCTAACATCATGCCCACGTACCATTATCTCATCCCTGACTCATCTTTTAAAATTTTAGTTCCTTTATTTGCAATTTACATATAAGATGTGTGGAAAAACCCACAGATACACACTCACACAGCACGCCACTCTTCTCATATGCTGTTGTTCAGACATAAAGATCACTAAGCAAAATAGGAGATAACATTTCAAGACTTTCTCCACTAACAGAAACATATTCTCAGGTGATCGGTTAGAGTCCAACAAGGTTTATTTTCAAAAGAGTCAGCAAGCGTTAGAAATGAATTTCTCAACAATTTTTGTTTTTAAGAGACAGGGCCTTATTCTGCCACCCAGGCTGCAGTACAGTGGTATGATAATAGCTTACTAGGCTGGGATTGGAGGGGCAGACAGGCAGCTCAGAAAAAGAGATTTAGGCTATCAGAGAAGGTGGAAGAATAAATGTTTGGATATAATTATCATGGCTTATTATCTACAAGGTGGAATTTGGCTAACTTTGTTAATAAAACAAGGTACAAATCATTTAATGACAACCTATAGACTTTTAGCTTACATTTAGAAAATACTTAAAAAGAATTTTTCCAGCCTGAGCAACATAGTGAGATCCCCATTTCTACAAAAAGTTTTTTAAAAAATTAGCTGGGCATGGTGGTGCACACCTGTAGTCCCAGCTACTCAGGAGGCTGGGGTGAGAGGATCACTGGAGCCCAGGAGTTTGAGGCTTCAGTGAGCTATGATCACACCACCGCACTTCAGTCTGGGTGACAGGGGGAGAACTCAAAAAAAAAAATTCAAAACAGATATTAGATGCAAGAAAAGAAAAAAAATTAATGTATATCAAAATATTAAATTCTGTTCCCAATTATTATATAATTCCTATATCACCAACTTTCTTTGAAAATTAAAGACTGAATTTGTACCAATGTACTAATTATATATCTATAATTGGTATATTTAATAAGTTAAAATTTTGGAATATAAGGCCTCTACATTTACATTTTAAAAATATTCTTAGACAAGGTTCTGGATTATATTTCAATTCTGTTCAAAGAGTAAAATGGAAATGTAAAAACAGAGATGTCTCCTTAACAGAGTGAAATTAATTTACAAATCTAAGCAATATAAAAACATGAGTAAAAATCTAATTTAATTGAATTATTAATATTAAAGCTAGTCCACACAAAATGTATTTATTCTGGAGTCTCTGTAGATTTTTTTTATTGTTTTTCCTGCTGCCATCAACTTTTGTTATACTATAAATATGGATGTAACTGTACCTACATAACTACCAGCACACACCTAAAATTAAATAAGAAATTTTAATCCAGTAGTTCTTAATTTCTTTTCTAATCCTAAGTACTTAAAGATATAACACACTATTAATAAATCACCATAGTGATGGTTCTTAAAGGTGTGTGTGTGTGTGTGTGTGTGTGTGTGTGTGTGTAGCATGTGGGGAAGGTGTCCTGGAGAGGATACAACCTTCTGTGATTTTCCTCTGCTAAGAATCAGCCCTGAAGGGTACAATTCAATTACCTCTTTTTTTAAAAAAATCTCAGATCTTGGCTTGGGTCTGAAGCATGAATCATGTGGAGTTTAATGCAGCTTTGGGTCAACCCTGATCAAGAAGACCCCAGGAAGAGTGTGGGAAAATTTAAATTTGGATACCCCAGAAATGGGATTATGTATCTAAGAATCCTATATAGCATGTCTTGTCGTATGCCATTTGTGTCAGCTCAGAACTTCCACAGTTCTTTCACAAGCTCAGATCATATCTCTTGGAGCCACTTTGGTCCCTACACACCACAGATTCCATCTCTGGGCTAATATTTGACTAACTTCAAGATTATGTCAACACTGTCTATGCCTCATGCAAAAGCCTCATGGAAGCAATTAATCTAACAACAGTGCAAACAAGACGACTATAATCACCCAGGTGATCATGAAAAAGAACATGAGGGAAATAAAAATGAGATAGACAGATTCTGGAAGCATGCTGTAGATATTATGTTTTTCAGTAACAGATTTGGGGACTGTTGTGGGGTTGGGGGAGGGGCGAGGGATACCATTAGGAGATATACCTAATGCTAAATGATGAGTTAATGGGTGCAGCACACCAGCATGGCACATGTATACATATGTAACTAACCTGCACAGTGTGCACATGTACCCTAAAACTTAAAGTATAATAATAATAAAAAAATAAAATAAAATAAAATAAAATTGATGAACATGGGTGCTACATGATACAAGTATCAAAGGAATTTCAGACTTGAGTAATTCTGAAGCCCACAAAATTAGCCACAGGATTTATCTTTTGTTCTTCATCTACTAGAGGAATGGATGTTACAAACCAATACAATGAAATTAAAAATAAAAATAAAAATAAATAAACAGATTTACACCAAAACTTTTAAAGAAATTTGTGATAGGAAATGGTTAAGAGGGTGGGGAGAGAGGGCAAAAGTTGGGTCTTCAGATCCTACAAGCAGAAAGGGGCTCTCTTTTAGGTCAGAGCTGATCTTTAGTTGTTTTGTAATGACATTTCATCTGACACTTCCTAGGCCAAATATTTAAATAGACACCTCTAAAGAAGTTTAGCAATTTGATCCTCTCTGCTTGCTCATTTATATTATTTCTTTAAGTTACATTTATGCTCAGTATTCCTATGCTTCATAGGTATTTGACAAAAAAATTTAAAGAGTTATTTTTTCTTTCTTTGTTTTTTTCTTTTTCTCTAGCTTGCTAAAGAACAATCAGCCAGATCCAACTAGATGAGTCAACTATTCCCCAGGCATAACTCCTGGGGTCATATCAATTGCATTTGCAGCAGTGGTATAATAATTTACTATAAATGTCTTAAATTACAGCATTTGAACACGTGCCAGGAAATAATACTTTTCCCCAAAGCAGATGAATCATGAACCTGAAATACATAATGCACCTCAAAGGCATTTAAAATTCTTCTAAGGAGTGACTTATTCAGATGATAGAATGTTGACCATTTGATTTGAGTGGTGACCTTCCAAAAGCAATGAATAGCATTTCAATGATTTTCAAATGTTATTATCAAAAATAAAGTACGATAGATATATAAAATAGGTAAATATAGAAGCTTCTCTAGTAATGCCTCCCTTGGGAGGTAGGGAGCCTGGGAACCAACTTCAATAAGAATCTTGGCTTCTCTGCCCTTAGTTTTTGTAGAAGGGCCCTTCTCATATGTAGAATTTTGCCTCTCCAAAATAGCTCAGATATCTGTGAGGGAGTTTGGTTGAATTTGAGAGTCTGAGAGCAAGTGATATTAGATAAAGTTTATATAAAGGCTACAGTCAACATCACAGAACAACTCAGTTTATTTAGAACAGCCAGTTGAAATAAATCTAAGGATCGTAGCACCTAACCATCTGGAAGTCAGTTTTGAAAATATATATATATATATATATATAATATATAAAATATGCTTTATGATTTTGTTTATGTGATTTAAGTAGATCTATGAGATAAGTAAAATAAAAATTAAAAATTCTATAGCTTTACTTTATATGTGTATAAACACACATGTATATGCATATATATTGTTGAGTCTACTAAACAGTGTGCTTCTAGATTTATTCATGCATTCAATAATATTTATTGAGAACTTACTATCTTCAAGACACTATTAGAGATTTAAAAAATAAATTAGATATAGCTGATGGTGTAAAAGAGGCTTAAATGTGATTCATCTCAAAATCATCAGAATAAATAAGACAGAAAATTTTAATTACTGGTAGTAAGAAACAAAGATGATGAAAACCTAAGCCAGGCTGCCATGAATTGAACAACAGAGAAAAACAGCCCTGGGTCTGATCAGTTTGACCTTCAGCAATGTCAGCTCACTTCTTTGGGATTCTGCTTCTTTATCTGAAAAATAAGGGAAATTTAACCATGTGATCTTCAGAGTCCCTTCTGGCTCCAATATTTAAAAAAAAAAACAACTATACTCCATAAGTATGATTTAAACCAGAAGGTTCAAACCTCATTCTTCACTTGCGATAGCTTCGCTGATGAATAGGAATGTCAGCCAACATTCCATCTCCTTTCCCTTTCCTGTTCCAGTTTGATGGAGGTACCAGCTAGCAATAAAATAGCATTGAGGAGTTGGGACTCACAAAAAGAATTGTATCCAAAACCACAATACTGTGACTATGGAATTATTGTTTCTTTACCCTAACATATTAAAAATAGCTGATGAAGAAAAACAATGAAAAGAAGACTGTAAACAAGTCGAATTTCAGAAAATACCTGGGAGACAAGTGTATAAATATTGTTTGAAATTTTTTTAAAAAATGAACATTCAAGTATTTCATTCAGAATTTTTTAAATGTGCAAATTCAATTATAAAGCCATGGTGATCACAAGATACAAGGTAAAGTTTTATTATTAATTTGAAATGTCTTGGTTTGAAAAAAGTTTGATAGTAAAATCAAGGTTAAATGAAATATCATGAAGCTGTGCAATTAGGTTAATAATGAGGTGCCTCAGGGATCAGTGCTAGCACAGGTGTTCAGTATATTTATTAATGACTTAGAAGAGTTCTGAATAATATGGAAGCACATTTGGATGACTTCATAGATATTTATAGCAATCAAACGGGTAAATGACTGCTTTTCATGACCGATTCAAGAGCAATTATTTAACACATTACAGCAAATAATCAACAAGAGCAAATTAATGTGAAGTGGGTGGAATTACCCAAGTTTTCTTAGCATGCTAATAGCTAACTGAAATAGTTATTGCCTTTCAGACAACAGTGGGCGCATCTAAGACATCTGTCCAGTAAACAGCACTTTAGGAAAAAAGCATAATCAATAAAGGTTGGAATAAAGAATAATGCAAAAGAATTATCTAAATCAATAATTATTGCTGAAAATTTCTACACACCAGAGACTTGCTCTACTGAATGGCACTGTTGGAAAAGAGTGTGGTTTCCCAAACCACATGCTAGGATTATCTGGTGTCTTAGCTGGTGATTTTCTAAGTAGTTTTCCATTATCATCCATTCCTCTCCGATATCCATTCACTGGCATTCCCAGATGCCTCTCAGGCAGGAATAAAACTTACAAGGACATGCCCTTCTCACTTCTGCTTTGCTCTGTTCTAAAGGATTTCATTGATATTAACTTTTATGTTGAAGATCTCAAAGCTTTGGAAAAATTAAAAGTCATCCCTTTTCACAAGAAAGATGGCATAACACTATTCAATAATAGCATGAACTCTATTATATCCTCCCCTTATCCCAAAGTTAATTATTGTGCATAGAAAGAAAACTTAAATGTAGCATCATTTCAGTTATAATTCATTCATTCCAAAATATTTTCTGAGTGCCTATTTTATCTAAAGCACAGTAGTAATAGAATAAAAATGATATTAATAAAAATATTTGGAGCCTGCCCTAAAAACTTAGAAAGCCATGTCTCCCCTCTCATGAACTAAGCATTTCTCAATCCTAGTCCATATAAACTACACATAAATGTCATCAATTATATCATAATTTGAAATATATGAAAATTAATAAGAATCAGAACTGTTTATGTAGAAATATATAATAACATTTTTAACCAAAGCATCATTTTCCGCTGCCATTTATCTTTTGTACCAGAGAAAATATTATGAACCCTGAGGTAAATTTTCTCATATGAAATATAACTTAGATACTTCCCCAAATTTTAGAGAAAAATACAATTTCTGGACTGTTTGGGACTAAGAAAGTAGGCCAATATAACTGGAGTAAAGCCAAATACTAATGAAAACATCAATGTGTGTTCATATTAGCTCTACAAAATAACCAACCAGCAAATCCACTGACAGAATGAAGATATGTGTGAAGTACTGAGAGTGAGAATTTTTCTTTTTCTTTTTTTGGAAGATTTGGTAAAGCATCTCTATTCTCTATTTATGTCCACCTGCAAATTTCAGATGTAAACATCTAGAGTAATATACCATGATCACATAAGAATTCACAGACTTTCAGAATCTCAGTGTTAAAAGGAAACTCAGACGTTAACCATTGTTTGAGCTATACATCTTCTCTACATCACTGGACATACTACTACCGGAGATAAAAAAAACATACACACAAAAACTCATTAATTAAAGCCAAAGACTTGCAGCGAAAAGCAAATTTTCAGCAATTAAGTAAACAATGAACCTCTGTTAGAACCTCAAACATACTTACTAATGAGATTTACCAGAGGGTCTGGAATTATCTATTTAAAATATAAAATTACAACTTGGAGAACAATTCACTTATCAGAGGTGTGACAATTCTGTTAATTTTTCTTTCTAAATCTTTTAGTATCTATGGGTTTTTGTGCAGTGTGATTTAAATATAATTTTAGTAAGGGAAAACAAGTAGTGAATGAGAATTCATTAACAGGTGGTCAAATGCAAAGAGTCTATCAATCATGCTGGTATTTTTAAACATCAGCAAATTTAATTCCATCTCTGGGGGAGTAAACTCATTCTCTAAGGTATGTGACACATCGTATTTATTTTTAAAGGACATTTCAGAGTGTTCCTTGATTATGAAATACTGCAAGTATTTCCTGCCTTAGGTTTCCTAGGCAGACAAAAAGGCAGGCAGAATCCACCACTGCAAATCAGATAATTCTAAAATAACCAAATAGTGTTTCTAAAAATGAGAACATTTCCATATCTTAGCTCTAGATAAAGAGATTTGTCATGGTAAAACCAACAAATCTGAATCAGACCTTAAACTATGAAATAGCACACAAGAGGGATGCAGAATTTTGTGCTGAATTACAAAGAGAAGTCAGATCTGCAAATCCACAATGACATAATAATTAAATAAATTTAATCAGCTTTTACTGAATTCCAGTTTTTAAATGTCAGGCAATTATTATGAAATGACTTTTTCTACTTGCATAATCCATTGTGTATTATATTTCTACCCTGAATCAAGTGAATGACTTGTTAGTTTGATCAAAAATTATCACTTTATACTACGAGGGAAAGCAACCATCTTATCCAAACTACATGGCATTAGACTGTATAAGCTTCCTTTGGTGAAGCAAGATATATATATTGATTTTATCATACACATAGACTCTTCAAGGTCAAATAGCAAGTTGAAGGGAGAAGAAGTATCCTGAATGACCATTAATGCTCTTCTATACCATGGCTTCAAAATCTTAAAATACTTTGCATTTCACAAGAAGTTATGTGGCATTTGAAAACCCTCTGAAATGAAAAGAAATTTCTGATCCCCAAATGGAGTAGTCAAGAAAATTGAGCACTTTCCAGAAAATAAAAGACTCAATATTTCAGGGCACCCTCCTGCATGACAAGGAGAGTTACAAAAGAGAAAAGCCAACAAAAACATCTCACCTACTGTATATATCTTGTTTATTGCCCATTTTCTTGATGAATATTATAGGAACATACAGACTGATAAGATTCCCTTACCGTACAAAGAAAAGTTATCCTGTTTTGTAATGCGTAAGTCTTTCCTAAACACAGAGACTGAATTTTGGTTGTTATTCTACTACGTGGAGAAAGAACTGATGTTGGTGAAGGTGAGTTGCAATATTGTACCATTAACGTATAAATAAAGCATGCCCATTGCTGGTAGTTATCCCTTCCCAGGTTTCAAATAGGAACTGGGATTTTAAATATTTCAGAAATAATTTCTTCTAAGTCTCTATTGTCATTGTATCTCTTTCAATTTTACCACACCAATGATATTCACTGAGCAAGATTCCAAAACCTTTATAAAAGCATTCCCTTGAATAACACCTTAAATCTTACTCTGTTCTAAATTTTTAAACTAATAATAGTTTATCTGAACTCTCCCAACTGGTCAATTCTGTCATAAAGCTACATAAAAACCATCTTCCGTATTGCAGATTATTTTTGACCAATCGATGGATGAAATTTTGGCTATTCTTGTTAACAGTGTCTCAGTGTAAGCATTGTTGTAGTTATCAGCTTTGTAAGAAGTTTATGGAAATGACAGAAGCTTTGGACATGTACTCACTGATAGACACCAGAATAAATCATGAACAAAACCAATTTGATAGAGAATCAAGGGAGTCAAACTGTAAATGGTAATGGCAGATTACCCAGTGCATGGGTGAGACAATGGCATCCAAAGAGATGGTTAGCCTCTATATACCTCCTCCATAGACCATGTAATCTGAAACTCCTAGCCGTTAGATTCATTCCTCTAAGATAATGGCTGCAAGATAAACTACTTTAGTTGAAAGTATCATGTTTGGAACACACTATTGAGTAGTATAGGATAACTTTCAGTGCCCCGCAGTGCTGGCCACAGTACACGTAAGTTCCAAAAAATCATTCACAACCTCAAGTGTTCAGAGGGTCAAGCAAGTACTGGGCATGAAAAAATAAACAGGCAAGTGCTAATGTCAATTGACCAGCAGCCTCAATGTCTGCAAAACAATAGAGAGCAGTGTAAACTGAGGTAAGCCCTTGTCCCATCTAAAAGGGACAACTACCACTGATCTCCAGAGAACTGTTGCCAAACAGGGATATAGGTCCATATCTTCCAGGTTTTCTAGAGAGGTAAAAAATCTGAATTTTTTATGTGAAATCTCTAATTTTCAAATGTTAGAAACTAATTTAATTGTGTAGCACGCTCTTAGCCAACATTATTCTGAGCAAAAAAAAAAAAAAAAAAAAAAAAAAAGCTGAGGGCCAGATTTGGCCAACTTGTTGGCAATTTCCTAGAATGCCAGTCAAGGACGTGAAGAAGGGAGATTCAGTTGGGATGAGGATGAGTTCTAGACTGTCAATTAAGAGACCAGGTAAGGGCTATAGATAGCGTCTTTCCTAAGGGAAAGGATAAGCAAGCAGACTCTACATATGAAAACCTAAATGCAGTAAGCCACTTGTTATGAATAGTACATTTTAAGAAAATGTACATTATTCATTTTTTTAAAAAAAGGTCTTTTTAATTATTTTATTTTCTAACTTTGTCTTTACCCTTTGTCCAAAAAAAGATTTACAATAACATAACAAAGTCTTCAATAGAATAAAAGTAAAAATAAATTATGAAAGACCTAGAAGAAATGATGTTAGTAATAGTAACCTAAAGTACACCAAATGCACGCTGAATACAGTCAAAAGAACAAAAATCTCATTAGCCATTAATTTATAAAATGGATTATTATCTGCATGGGGCGGGGGAAGATGTGTCCATTTGCAAAGTCTATTTTCTTTTTTAAAACATACAATTTGGTCTGTGGTGTGGATGAATCTATCTTGTTCATAACTAATACAGTAACAAATGCTGCATATCAAAACAAAGGAGCATTATTACTTATTTTGACTCTCTAGATTATTTGTTTCCAGATTTAAAAAGCATTAAGGGATGTCTTTGTGAGCCAAAATAGAGGGCAGAACAGATCCCTTCCTACTTAGGATTTTAATACTCCCTTGCCTGAAAGGGAAAGATTTTTCAATAATAAGAAAAGGCAATGTGAGTTACAGGAGCATCGGTCTGATGAGGCCATATACAGGATATCTTACCATCAATATTCCTACCTAATGTGTCAGAATTGTACAGCTCTTTTTTAAAAAGCCACATTAATAAAAATAAGCACTTCTACCAAGACAAATTGATTGTTGTTTGTTGTTACTCTAAAGGAAAGGAAAAAAATAGGGCTGCAGCAGTATCAGCAGGTAGGTATTAGTGTATTCTAGTCTAATTTCAACCCCAAATCCATACTATTAAATACAATTTGGAAAGGCTCAGCTGTTAGAGGATCAGAGTATGTGCAGCCCATATGTAATGAAGAAACACTCCTGTAAATCAGTGAATGAGCACCATGCATTCTGATGAACCAAGTATAGAGGCTGAAATTTTAAGTAGGCAAAAAGCTTTCTCTCCTTACCCAGCATTCCTGAATAAAACTGATAAGCTACAGCCCTAGAGACCAGGTCTCTGCATTTAATTTGTTTAACAAATATTTATTGAGTATCTGCTTGATGTATGCTAGTCCTGGAAAAAAATTATTCCAATGAACGGCCAGTTAATTCATGCCAACTAAATAGTATCTATTCTATGTGCATAGCTACAAAAATAGCAGAGTCAATTCACCACTGCAGCATAATACAATTACAATAACAGCTCTAGTTTATTAACACCATTATTTAATTTTATTTTGTCTTATAACAAAAAACTTTTTACTTTAAATCATTAACAGCCACAACAAAATGCTGCCAGATATCTGAACACATTTTCTTTAACCCATCTACACTACTAAACCTAAAATTGTACACAATAAAATTCCACCTTGAAGTAACAACCTTGGAGCATTGCAAAATGTTCAATTATAAAAGATAAAGTAAATTTTCATAGAATGGTGTACTTACTGAGAAAGAAAAGCATCACACATACATCAAAAAGATCTTCAATGTCAAAGAAAGAAATCAAAAATTTTGGTCCTTGTAATCTTGAATTAATCAGATAATGTAATGCATTAGAATGCTTTCTTCTTTCTACTCCAGTATTTCAACCAAGTAGGTTATACTGTTTCCAATACTACAAATATGCTATCTTAAGGGTACTAAACACAGCCCTGAGGACAAGGAGAGAAAAACTAGAATCTAGCATCAAATCTTCTGTCAATTACACATATACACATACACACACGTGTGGACATAAAGTGTAAACTTCAGACTAGCCTCACCTGAAAATTAGTTAGAAATCCAAATTCTGAGGCCCCAGCCCAGGAACTCTAAGGGTGGGGCCCAGAAATCTGTGTTTCTACATAAAGGGGATTCTGATGCATGCTGAAAATAGAAAATCATTGCTCCAAAAATAAGAAATGATACTATAAAATGTTCAGACCTCTCAATTCCAAAATTGACATAATGTTTCAAATTTTAAAAATATGAAATGCTACTCAAGCTCATAGCTGTTACTTATACTTAATTATGATTAATGGGAGCCAGTCTTCTCGCTTCCTCTAGTTCTCTCTCTCCTCCTGCGTGTAGGGGTGTGTTAGCGGTGTGTGTGTGTGTGTGTGTGTGTGTGTGTGTGTGTGTGTGGTCTATAAATGACTGTGGAAGGTTCTATGTAAACACTCTTTACTCCCAATCATAAACAAATCTATATGGAAAATATTACAAAAAATCAATTTCTAGATTACATTTGTCACATGGAGAATAACCAATTTCTAGTCACTTGTCATGGGTGCATAACCTATTACCAGAACTGATTCACGGTGAATTGACTAGCTATGTCAAAAGGAAGATCTGCAGTCTACAGAGAAATAATCCATTTAGTGTTCGAAATTTTACAGTAAAGGCTGCCAAAATAACAGAATTTATTACATATTTTTACAGGTATATTAAGCTATAATAAATTCGTCATTCCTAAATCAAGATAATTCATTTATAGCCTATTCAAAACTTACTTAAATTAATCATGAAACATTAAATGCAAAATGTTTTTTTCTTCACATAATGTCACAAAGTGACATGAACTAATTTGCCAACATGTTTTCACAGTATTGTTATTCTGACATATACTAACATACTAACCAAAGATTATCACCAATAATGTTGGCATTCATGGCTAAAGGGGCAGTAATAATTTTATATCTACAAGGACTGAATTAGGCCTCTCAGACAGGAGGCTTGGGAAAAATCATTTTTCAAGTTAAGCCAGGTGAGTCTGTAATCAATGACCAGAGCTCTGCTGGAACTGCAGTGCCTCGAAGGAATCAAGTTAAGTTATGAGCTACAGAAGAAAATATTGATTCTTGCTTTTACCTGTTTGTTTCACAAACTAGAATAGAAATAAATATTACTAATTTTATGTTGTAAATATTTAATACGTTTTTTCAATAGTCACTATAGAATATGTAAGGAAACCAAAACAACCACAGTTGAAAGTCCTATGACATTAGCAAAGCTCAGGAACTTGGCATTTTCCCAGTGATGATGAATAAAATTAAAATACTGATTTCAGTGACCTGAGTGTGACTGTCATTTGTCTAAAATATACTTATTATAATGTAGTAAGAATGCGCCCGGGAAAATACGTTATTCCCCCAAATCTCATTTTTTAAAAAATTCATTTTATAAAAAAATGAATCATTAGCAATTGATGTTCTTTCCAAATATTTTAGTGCCCCTAAAGCCTAAAAGTGTATCCTAGAATAAATTTATACCATTCCTCAAACTTACATCTATGAATATTAAACATTTATTGCTTGACTATAAAACTTTTCTCCAGACTATGTCAGTATCTCCACTTATAAAAAATTAGGGAAAGATTAACCAAATAGAACTGAAGAGAATAGAATCTACAGTGGGGTTGTACCGTAAACGCATATAACTTACACAACTTCAATTATGTAAGTTGAGAAGAAAGCAATAATGCCAAAGATTGGTCTGCCAATTTGTATGGCCTGGACAGAGTGTGAAATGGGAAGTGTTAATCCACCATGCCCTCATAAGCACAAGTAGCCCTGTTGAGGGTGATTATGATATTTAAAGGTATGTCTTGTCATATATCACAACCCTTGAAAAAAAGTCAAGTATTTCTGATGCTCAACTAGAAAAAACTGGCTATTGAACTTACTGAGACATAGTATATTGATCCCCAATATGCCCTTTTTAAGAGTACTTTATGCTTGGTTTTTCACGTTCTGTTAATTCTGGAATCTAACCTCTGAATACAGTGCAATGTTTTCCTGTGGATCAATCATATCATGAAATGCCTTTCACAGCAAAGAAAAACAAAAGTGTCTTTCAGCATAAAAGACATTGTGGAAAAGAGAAGAAATACTAATTTTATTATGTATCTTTCATGAGAGGTTTCAGGACAGCTTAAAATAGTAAGGAATCTCTGACATAGCTTCAGAATGATAGACAAACAAGACAGATAAAATTATTTATAAGAATACAAAATTAGGCCAGGCGTGGTGGCTCACGCCTGTAATCCCAGCACTTTGGGAGGCCAAGGTGGGTGGATCATGAGGTAAGGAGTTCAAGACCAGCCTGGCCAACATGGTGAAACCCTGTCTCTACTAAAAATACAAAAGTCAGCTGGGCGTGGCGGCGCGTGCCTGTAATCCCAGCTACTCGGGAGACTGAGGCGGGAGAATCGCTTGATCCCGGGAGGCGGAGCCAAGATTGTGCCATTGCACTTGGCTTGCAGCGAGCCAAGATTGTGCCATTGCACTCCAGCCTGGGCAACAGAGCGACAGAGCAAGACTCTGTCTCAAGAAAAAGAAAAAGAATACAAAATTATAATTGTTACTCAGATTCCATCTCAAAGAAAATCTTCATGCCAGCACTTTCTTCAATATATCTCAGCCACAAGGCAAATATATGCTGACTAAACTCTACTTTCAAAGTGTGGTTAAGAGATAGGTGGTGGTTGAGAAACCTCCTAAAAAGATCCATATACATTGGGGTGAATTCATCTTTGTCCAAAAATGTAACCGTTGTACCAAATGTAACCTAATGTAACAATGAGACACTCTGAGCCTTGCTGGATGGTTTAACTAGACAGGTGTTCTGGGAAGCCACATAATGACAACCAAGTAAATGAGGAACCAAACTATGCACTGTTTGGGAGTTTTCAGATTTTGTTTTTGTTTTTTTCTTCTGTTAGGGAGCAGAACCCTCTCTAACAGAATTCTTCACTGAATTCCATCAAACCTTTTAATACAGCTACAGCATATATTTTCTGCCTGACAACTCAAGTGAGTAAACACTAAACACTCATTTCTATGTATTTCTTTATTTCCTCATGAAGAAATAATTATTTTCCCGCTTTATTTTGATGTATTTTGTACATTTGTATTTAGATTTTAACCCATGTAAATAAACATTTATGATACAACCCCACTGTAGATTCTATCCTATCTAGTTCTATTTGGTTACTCTTTCCCTAATTTTTTATAAGTGGAGAGATACTGACATAGTCTGGAGAATTATTGACTTATTATACACTTCATTTTTAAAGCTAATGAAAACAATAATAATTCAGTACATAAATAATAAAAGGAGTTCCAAAGTTTGTGCTTCATAGGAGAAAGACCATTCTCAAGCCCTACTAATCACCTTCACTTACATAAAATGAACATCATCATTCCAGGATTTAAGCTACATGTCCCAAGTCTTCTTTCCTTCTCTAGCACTGACCTCGCATTAAGATGATTGAGAGTGGAATATCCATTCTTTCCAGGAAAAGATGACCCTATAATCAGAGATGTGGTTTGATCTTCTGCAATGCCAGCAAAACAATCAGACTTCATATCACTCCCCAACATCTGAGTCATAACATTGAGAATATAACAAAAATAACATTGTGTGGGAAGTACCGAGATTCCTGTCTAGGTACATCTGTACCAGGTACAGTCAAGCTCCTTTTCAGTCTCTCCTTAGGACCTAATCTCACCCTCACTCATTTTTTACATTATATCTGTAACAAGTAATAAACATTTCTTCTACACTCTGACTTAGAGTTATTATTCAAACTTGGTAGGAAAGAACTTGAGATTGTGATCAGAGACTTTATAATTCTGTGTGTGTGTCTGTGTGTGTGTGTGCATGTGCGTGCACATGTACATGCATGTGTATCAAAAAGAGCTTGGGTTTAATCGTTCACATTAATTACCCCACATCTTTACTACCCATGTTTTTCCTCACATGTCCTCAACTTAGCAAATGACACTAACCAATAGCTCAAGGTCAAAACTCTGGAGTCATTCTTGACTCCTCCTCTTCATCATCTCCTATATCTAATTAATGTTCAAGTTTTATAAAATTCACATTTAACCTTGTGATGGTTAATTTTATGTGTCAACTTGACTGGCCATAGGGTGCCCAGATACTCAGTCAAATATTATTCTGGGTGTTTCTGTGAAGACATTTTAGATAAGATTAACATTTAAAGTTATAGACTGAGTAAAGCAGACTCAGTTTATAATTTTAAATGTTAATCTTATCTAAAAAAGATTATTCCAAAAGGATGTATGGTTTTTCTAAAATCAGTCCTTCATAGAAAGCCCAATTCTATTTCTACTTTTAAAAGTAATTTATTTAATTTCTACATCTCTCAACTGGGAAACAATAATTCCAAAATAATCTGATCCTTTTTTTTTTAAAGAATAACCATGAAATATTCTTCCCCAGGTTAACAAAACTAGTAGCCCACCTGCAATATTCTCGATCACAAGCACTTTGCAGGCTGCACTATACAGAGCTACTTGGGTAGAAATATTTTCCTTTTGTTCCTTTAACAGCTTTACCCCTTTGACAAGATTTTAAAACAATCAAGTTTAATTTTTCCAATTTCTTCCTCAGTATTACTTTGGCAAAGGTTTGGGCATTAAGTGAGGTAGAAATCAATAATTCTCCAAGTAATGCTTGCCCCAGAAGGTGTCCACATGAAAATAAATAGGTGTCCTGAGCATAAAATATTTTTTATAAATACCTATTTGAGGGAAACAAAAATCTTAATGCCTCAAGTATTTAAGACTTTTTAAAAAGTAAAAGAAAAAAATACAATTCCTCATTTAATGGTGGAATAACTACATCTAGTAAGATTTTTTTCCTTTTCCTTCTAAACATAGAAAATTAATACAAGTTGAAACTAGGCTAATCATGAAAAAGTGTAAATTAAAAATGTACATTAATTTAAAAATTCTTCTGACCACATGAATTATAAAAGACTGCAAATATAAGGGAGGAAAAAAGAACTGTGAAAATTAGACTGCTCACTCATTTGAAACCCTTTGATAAAAAGCACTCTATCTTCTTCGGACTGCCACCCCTGTGAGGGAAGGGACTGTGACATTTTGTATTAATCTCTACATAGCACTTGCCTCTGTACTATGCCTGTGACAGTATTTCATAATAAAAAATTTTCAGATTTTTTCAGTGGAACCATGTTCATTAAATAAGAAACTAACAAGATGTGTTTGTCATCCCAATTGCCTTGGAACATTAACCATTTCATTTCAAATGTTACCACTTTGCTTGCTAAATTTACTTATTCCTCTAAGTTTAAAAGTATCTCAAATCCTGAAATGACTTTATAATTTAGCTGTTAATTTTCTCTAGCCACTTGCTTTTAAGTTAACAACAATTCTGACACTATAGCTTATTAACCACAAACAGTTATGAATTAAATCAAGTATAATGTGCAATTAAAACTCAGATGCAGAGTCAAATAGGATTTCCCCACGTCTACATAAGAAGCTTTGAAATGCATACAATAATGACACATGAATCATTACTATTATAGAGATGAGAAAAATGTTGAATACTAGGATTTTACAATCAAACGAGCACTTGTTATTTACTAGATAGTAAATTTCACCATTTACGTTTCTTTACTTCCTTATGCCCTGTATGAAAACACAATAGAAACGAAAGTGCTAAGTGAAGTCTTTCAGTATTTTAAGAAGTAGAAAACCTTGGTTGAGACCTCACTCCATTCAAACATTTAGCAAACATCCACTGATCACAATCTGTAGTCAATCACTGTGCTACTGAAATATGTGGCCACCATGATTGTGACAGTTAAGGAACCATCTGTAAAGAATGATTCTTGCCTGGTATTTCTCACTTATTCTGAAAAATAAATCTTGACTAGAAGAGAGTTATCTAGGATCCATATAGAAGCATACTTAGATATTTTCTGATATATAAAATGAAAAAGAGAATGTCTTGCAAAGAACAGAAATTAAAAGCACATGAAGGACACTGTCTTTGAAATCTACCCCCCTTCCAACATCATGCTTGTTCAAGCACCCATCACCATTCCTTTAAAGAAACCCTCCTTTAAAGAAACCTCAGGAGGGTTCCTGCCTCAGTGTTGCTCCTCTATGAACCTCCTTCCACTACTAAGAGTGCCATCTTTCTAAAACCTGACCAGAACATCACGGTGCCTTAAGCCCTCAGTGTCTCTTTCCCATCAACTAGATGAAATCCAGTCTCCTTGGTTTGTATGATGAGGCTCTTTGTGATCTAGATCCACTTATAGGGCAGGCAGGGAGAAGCCACCCTCTATGAGGGAGGTGAGGAAAGAGTAACCCATAACTTTTGCTATCTCAAAAGGTTGCTGACCCTAACACCATTTAGGCAAAGCTGGTCAATGGGGAGATATTGGATAGACTCACATTAGAAGTCACTCTGAGAAATTACTAAGACTCCAGATCATAATTCCCAAAATTTAAAATTAGATAAACCTTCTGAAATGGACCTGTGACAGATAAGAGTGTAAATCTGAAGAAATATACTCAATACAAGGGCCTAACGATTTGTTGAAGAGATCTTTTCAATACATTGTGTAGCTTATGTTGGAAGCCTTTCTAAATTAATACATTTTAGCATAGTTATGTTGAGCATGGAAATGGGAACTAGAACGGTTTATAATCCTGTGATCTGAGCTTGGAGCATCAATGGGTCCTGGCCTGGAACCTGTCCCACAGCAGAAGATGAGGACCTGGTAGACGATATCCAACACAGCACTACATACAAATGGAAGCACTGACAGTAATACAGACATTGGATACCCTTTCTTCCTCTGCTTGAATTGCATTAACTTCTGGCATTTTGGACAGGCATCAAGAAGGTAAGTCATTCAAGAAGGTGAGGAAATGAATCAAGGATGGCACAAAGATAAATATAGGGCATGCAGAGTCTAGAGTAATTGATTCAAAAAATTAAAGAAACTTGGCTCCATTTTTTACCTTATCCTGCTTATACTTGCAATACCTCTGGGCATTATTTTTCACTCTTCTTCCCTTCCTACTTTACGCTTACCAACTCAGAACTCAGAATACACTATGCTCTCCCATGTCTCCTCGTTATGCTCTTTCCTTTGCCTAGAATGCTCTAGGAAGCCTTTTCTGAGCCAAGAGGGTTGGGTTAGGTACCTTTCTTTGGTGTTTCCATTGTATTCTGAGGATGTGTTTATATGATACAATTTATTCAAGCAGCTTATCCTCTATATGCCTCTATTTCACTTGTAAAATGGAGACAATAATAGCATATACTCCATAGGATTGTTTTGGTTATCAAGCAAGGTAATATATGTGAAACCATTTAAACAATATCTGGCACAAATAAACAACTATATAAGTAATAGCTATTGTGTTATTATTATTATTAAAACACATTATGCTTTTATCAGGTACTATGTGGCAGTCATTATGCCGGGTGTTGGTAGACCATTGGTGAACAAAGGAGGCTTGGTTCCCACTGCAGTGATGCTATATAAAATTACTCATTCTTCAGTATGTGTCTCCATGCCTCCCAGTGTCAGAGATCAATCTTTGTCATTTTTTGTGTGTTATCAGCACCTAGAAGAGGATTTATCACAGAGCTGGGCATATAAGAGGTGCTCAAAAATTATTTAAAAATAACCCCAGAAAGTCCTGAGCAGAGGAAAAAAACATGTGGCTTGTAGACATGCAACAGCATTAAACTCACTGAAATTATGTGTGGCTGGGACCCAGGTTAAATGAGAATAAGTGAAAGAAAATGCAGCTGAAGAGAAGGAAGCCTAGATCACAGTGGGCCTAATACTATGAGAAAGAGTTTAACTTAGAATGGGAATTCAGAAAGCATTTTAAGTAAGGAGTATCATACTCATATTTCCATTACAGAAAGAATGGAAACTGTGAAGGCCAATGATTGGAAGAAACTGAGACTAGAGGTAGAAAATAGGATGGTATTTGCAGTATTCTGCATAAGATGTGATGAAAATGTGATCTAAGATAGCATCAGTGTGAATAGACAGACAAGGATAGAGCAAAATTAAGACAATAGGTCTGATAGGCCAATAGGATACAGCATTTGAAGAAAAGACAGAAATCTAATATGACTCTTATGTTTCTAGCTTGGGTGCTAAATACATTGCAAAGCATTAAGTGAGATGATAATATGAGAATAAGGTTAGGATTGATGCGACAAAATGGAGATCAACTGCTGAATTTTAGGCATATGGAGGCATCTATGAGATTAAGTAGAAATCTAAGAGTCGGTAGGTTATATGCACTTAGGTATCAAGAAAGAAAATGGAAAGTGGTCTTTGCTGGACAACTATAAAACCTGGTGTAAATTAAGAGATCGTGTTTCCAGGGAGATGAAAGAGAAAGTTAATCATGGATTAAAAAGTATATGTAGATGTACAAGAAATCGAGGAGATGTACAAGAATTGACGATCCTTTCTAGTAATATTTTAGTCAAGATTATCAACTCAAAGTAAATGAGAGGGATATGGGTTACGAATTGAGGTGGTTAGTGAAGGTTTGAGAGAAATGGAAAAGAAGGTTATCAAGGACACATAAAATATATTAGGCAAGGAACCAACCTAAGTGTCCATCAACAGACGAATGGATAAAAAAAATGTCGTATATATACACAATGGAATATTATTCAGCCATAAAGGAAAATCATGTCATTCACAGTAACATGTATGGAACTTGAGGTCATTATGTTAAGTGAAATAAGCCAGGCACAGAAAGACAAATGCCACACGTTCCCACTCATATGTGAGAGCTAAAAAACTTGATCTCAGGGACATAGAAAAAAGGACCATAGATACCAGAGACTGGGACGGGTGAGTGGGGGTGAGGGGGTATGAAGAGAGGTTGGTTGTGGGCACACACATACAGTTAGATAGAAAAAATATGTTCTAATATTTGATAGCAGACTACAGTGACTATACTTAACAACAATATTATGTATATTTTAAAGTAACTAGAAGAGAGGACTTGAAATGATACCAACACATAAAAATGATAAACACTCAGGTGATGGAGACCTCAAATACCCTAACTTGATCATGACACATTTTATGAATGTAGCAAAAACTCATATGTACTCCGTAAATAGGTGAAACATTGTATGTCAATAAAAGAGAAAAAATTAAAAAGCAAGGAAAGGATATATATATGCTTGATACCTAAATGCATAGTGTTCTATAGCCTTAGCTAGAGCATATTGCCTGATATATATATATATATATTTATACACACACACACACAATGGTAGATACATACATACATACATATATATATATACACACACACACACACACACACACAATGGTAGATATATATATAGCAACAATAGTAGAGAAACACAGAAGGTAAATGGTTGGACTGATTTAAAGCTGAAGCTTTACAAAGTCGTGGTGAAGAAATACAAAGGAGCAAAGGAATGGAGGGAGCTGCATGCCTAGGGAGCATCCATTGCTGAGAATTATGCCACATAGAGAAAAAATGTAGTTAGAAGAAGGGATTAACAGGCTTAAGGGAAAAAAATGAAAGAATCAGGAGATTAAAACTCTAATTAATTTGAAGAGTAAATGCAGCAGATCAACTCAAAGAATAAGAAGGTACGTCTTGGAGTTTAAGATTTCAGAGACTGAAAATTCTAATACATGGAAAAGACCTAACATGTAACCATATGAAGGAGAGCTGAAACTTGCATTTTTGAGCATCTGTAGGCATTGTGCTTGGCATTTTACATATGCCATCTCATTTGATAATGATTTTCTTTATTTAGAGAGACAAGGTCTTGCTATATTGCCCAGACCGGTCTCAAACTACTGGACTCAAGTGATACTCTTGCCTCAACCTTCTGAGTTGCTGAGATTACAGGTGTGAGCCACTACACTCAGCTTGATTCATTATTTTTATAGATGAAAAGACTAAGTATGAGTCAAGTTACATGATTTGCCCAATGTTACACAGTTAGTCAGTAGCCGAACTGGGATATAAACTCTAGCCTGTGTAATTCCAAAGCATATACTCTTTCTAGAATAACACACCAACTGCTCAATGTGAGAAGGTTGTCAGGGAAAAATGGAGCAAAGATTACTTGAAGTAAGTAAATTAAAGAATTCTGAGACTAGATGGTGGATGGGGTGATTCAGGTAGACACAGAAGTCATTCACCTGACAGCTAAACTTGAATGGAACAATCTATTAGTTAATTCCATAATCATTGAAAAATGTAGAGAAGTGATAACGAGACTGATAAATGGAGTATCCCATGATGAGCTCTGCTACAGGTTGGCACCATGATGGGTGAAGAACACAAAAAAAGGAATGTATATTACTGCAGCATATCATGAATGAATTTCCTAATAAAATAATACGATGGATGCTAGAGATTTTATGGGGCCACTCTCACAAACCCTCTCATTAAAAGCCAAGTTCTGGGAAACTGGAGCTGGTGGATTCCTCAATTCCTGCTTGTTACATTGACCCTGAACTTTGAGCACCCATCAAGAGAGCAAGGAGACTGGAAATCTGCATCCATTCAGTTTTATTAAGCTTGTATCCTAGATATCTGCATCCATTCAGTTTTATCTAGCTTGGATCCTAGCTTGCACTCTTTGTTTGCTAGTTTAGTGATAGGACAAATTAAAAGCAACTTTAAACTAAGGCTGAGTCATCATCCTACAGTCTTCTAACCTCTAATAACTGCTGAGGAGTGGTTAGTTCAGGATATGGGATATCCAGAAGTTATGAGTTCCAAAGAAGGAGGGATTTTTATATGACAGAGAGGAGTCACTCTGTAGACACAGAAGTAAAAGGCAAGGTGAGTGATTGCCCACTACCACCGCTGAGACCCATGATTCCTAGAAGGTGGGAACATAGGCAGACACCATTCCATATGGTGGCAGGATAGAGCTATCTTTTAATTAATAGAAAAAAGATAGAGGGGTAATGTTCCTTAAGGTGTTCTGGTTTGTTTTCAAGTTGATATGGTTCTGGAGAATTATGGGAAGGGTTGGGAGATGAAAAACAAAGGGAGGAAATATCTAGAGATACAGAGAATGAAATAGTATAATGATAAGTTCATTAATGAATATGGGTGACTCCTGGAGCTTGTATTTTGTTAGGTTGACACAGATGGCAGGGAATAAAAGAATGGTGGTACTAATTTCATGTGTTTCCTTGTATCTCTGACATAACAAAAATATAGTCTTTCAGCTGAGCATAATCCCCGCTTCACAATGAGAGTAAATCTTTTGTGTCACAACAGACCTGACCAGATATATGCAGTAACAACAATGGACATACAGGTAAGTCACAATGGCTCATGCCTGCAATCCCAGTACTTTGGGAGACCAAGGTTGAAAGGATTGTTTCAAGGCCAGCCTGGGCAAAACAGTGAGACCTCATCTCTACTAAAAAATTAAAATAAAATAAAATAATTAAAGGGGTATGGTGGTACATGCCTGTAGTCCCAGCTACTCAGGAGGCTGAGGCAGGAGGATTACTTGAGCCCAGGAATTCAAGGTTGCAGTGAACTATGATTGCACCACTGCACTCCAGCCTGGATGACAGAGTGAGATCATGTGTCAAAAAAACAAAAACAAAAAAACCAATGGATGTACATGTTTTGGAAGGGTAAGATGATCATATATGCCCTCCACATACCAACACCAAAAGCATTGATTTAAATCTCACACTAGTCTCAATCTCACAAATATCTCAGTTTTCCTTATAAATAATAAAAAAATTAACTCATTCAAATTTCTTTTGACCCAATTATATGTTTCTACTTTACTATGTATTTGCATAACAAGTTTCAAGAACCACTTAAGAAGCAAAGCAGTTTATCTTTCTTCTTGAATCATGAATGCCTCTTTTAAAGTTCACATAATGGTTATAGAATATTCTAGTATTCATAAACAAGATTTGGAGAACAAGGTCATTTTAACTTTTCCTTTATTTTTTATTTAGCCTTCAATCATATTCCTTTGAAGCTTTTAACTTTTATGCTAAACAACACTGCTGTTCTGATTTGAGAGGGTATTTTTTGTTTGGTTATCTGTTCATCTGGGTTTTTTTGTTTGGTTGGTTTTTTTACCAGTCATTACATATTCCATTATCCCTTATATTTTCTATTTTTAGGGTAATTTCTATTTTCCTTATACCACTATTATATAATTATATTCTCTCATATGGTATAAAGATTTATGTGTGTGCTTCCAAAGCTATAAATCCTAAAAAGCAGAGAGTGTTGCTGCTACCTTTATTTATTCCGCTTTCAGGAAATAAACAATAGTTACACTATATTTTTAATTAAATTTCTATGTAATTAGAATTTTTAGAAAGTTAATTTCTCCTTAGAAAGTAAATTTCCAAAGGAGAAGCAGGTAAACGATAGTGCACACAAGAGAAAATAAAAGAATGATTGCAATATTCTAATTACAAGAACACTAGAAAAAGAGAAAGAGAGAAGGAGAGAGAGAGAGACACAGAGAGAGAAGTTTGCATTTTCTATCTCCCACCAGCTTCTGGCCATATTTTCAACTAGTATTCCTACATTAAACAAAATCAAGGAAAAATACTCTAGAAAAGTCTTTCAATTTGAAGGTAACATAAGCTTCCTCCAACTATACTGAACTTCCTCAAAAAAGAAACTTGAATCTATGAACCCAGCACAAGAAATCTTGCCAGGGTGAGAATATAGAAAGAAATCATCCTAGCAGGGGGAAGGAAGAGTAAAAGCCAAATTGCCTTAAGTATTTGGATGTAAATACCAAAATTACAGGGACAACATCTCTCATTCAGAGAAGAAAGAAGAGAAGATGATGAGTATTAGTTCATTTTTAGTTGAGAGAGTAGGGGGCATATAAAAAGGACCAGGCAAGAAGTGACTCCAACCTAAACTCCAACATCAGAGTAGAAACAGTCTTCCCACCATTTCGTACTTGCTCCTCTGGGTAGCTGTGGCTGAAGATCAAGGGTTGGATGAGGAGAGGCAGGAGGACAGACCCGAAACATTCAGAAAGACAGATGCCCAGGTCAACAGGCCTACAGCAGTAACAGTAAGTGTTGCATGAATGGCATTTGGCAGAGATGATCGCTCTGAGGGTTACCACAAGTCTACAGATAGATGGAAAAGTATGTTAGCTATTGTAATAAAAGTTTATATATTGTTTATATATTGTTTTTGTCATAAGAAAATGATTTTGTTGCATTTTCTGTATTAAAAAAATATCAAACATCTTGGATTGCTCTTACACAGTTCCGCAAATAGATTGAGCCTATCATGTTTTAATTTTGTTAATTTTAGTAATCTTAACTATTAACCTTTACACTTGGAAGCATGATTTGTCATCTAACAAAGTGTTTTCCTATAGTTACTCAATTTCATATCAGAGGCACAAGATAAGGTTGAGAAATTCTGCTCCTATATATGCAAGTCAGAAAAAGTTTTAGTTTTGTAACAAATCATAGCACAAAACCCATTTGACCCTAGCCACCTCAAAATTGTCTCATTCTCACAACCAATTTTGAAGACACACATACATCTTTTCTCTCCACATAATGTTCCTTTGTCATAGCCACTGAATAGCATGAACTAACAGCGGTCCTGAAATTGTGTAGGCTTGGTAAAGCCACCTGCAGAGGAATAAATATGTTTAATTAAATCCTTTTAAAAAAAGAGTTTAAACAGTATTATTCCATCTTCCACCCTAGCCCTGCCAATGTAGTGATTATATGTCTATTAAAAAGGAGGGCTTGTATGAGTTATCATGACATGCATCACTAGATTGTAGATAATAGAATTTAGTATGTAATTTATTTTATATATTTATTTAAATATATAATAAAATATAATCCCAGAATACAAGGTCCTAAGGTTCAAGCTTATGCACAAAATTGTGTCCTTTCTTGGGATATGCCATCCTCCAGGCATGGACATTTGCTTACAAAATAAATATTGTATATTATAACAGGAAGAGACTTCAAAATTCATGATTGTTTATTTTTTCCCTTTCAGATGCACCTCCAAGAAGAAACATTAGATTTATATATGTATGGGTGTGAGTGTGTGTGTGTGAAATCTGGAATGGAAGTAAAACTGTTAAAATCCATGAGAAGTCTTGAATTAATGAAGATTCAGAATTAGGAAACACAGTACACATGTCCCATAAACAAAGAAGCCAGCAGTGGACCCCTTCAGGTAGTCATCAAAGAACAACATAAGTGGATATCAGAAATAAACTTTCCCAGGATTTAACAAAAATAACATTTCTCATTTATAAATCATACTGTTCAGTAGATCATAATCTGTAGCAAACTAAATAAGTAGATCCCTGTCCTCTGAAACAGAATTGAAACTGCTGCCTGAGCATCTAACTTATCTATACTGCTCTATCAAATATTTCTTAATCAGTTTTAGCATTTGTTTATTTTCTCTCTTCTGAAACAATGGCTAATAAGTGCCCAGCACTGTCCCTGACACAACTCACATACGTGCTCATTAAAATAAAGCTATTTAAAGTAGACATTGTCTTGTCGTACAGCACTCCTCTTCTAAAAATTATTCCTTTCAACCAGAGGGTTCAAATGGCAGCTGCCAGCTTCTCAGATGATTTGCCCATAAATGAGCACCCAACCCAACTTTCTGGGTTTTTTGAAAAAAAATAGTGGCCTTATTGTTATTGTTTTGTATGTATATCTTAGTGTCCACCAGCATCCATGCATTTTCCTCTGTGGGATATCCTAGAGATTTTACAGAAATTAAATTTCCTAAGTCATCCATCTATAGGGGTAGGGACAGTGGACAGGGCACTTTAAAATTATTTTTCTTGGAAAACAGAAATGAGCACGGATCTTAGAAAGCTCTTATATATTTAGCAGATGTAAATCTGTTTAATATAAATACAAAATAAAATCATACTCTTAAAGATTTTCAGGTACAATAAAAAAGCTACAGTGTGAAAATAAAAGATACATATGTGATTTTTAAATTTGACATTATACTTTTTCACAATATTTCAAATTCAGATTAAAACATTTAATTGATTTTATTTATTTATTGTGATGGAGTCTCGCTCTGTCGCCCAGACTGGAGTGCAGTGGTGTGATCTCAGCTCACTGCAACCTCCGCCTCCCAGGTTCAAGTGCTTCTCCTGCTTCAGCCTCCCGAATAGCTAGGACTACAGGCACATGCCACCACGCCCGGCTAATTTTTTTTTTTTTTTTTTTTTGTATTTGTAGTACAGACAGGGTTTCACTGTGTTAGCCAGGATGGTCTCGCTTTCCTGACCTCATGATCCGCTCGCCTCAGCCTCCCAAAGTGCTGGGACCACAGGCACGAGCCACCATACCCGGCCTATTTTTATTTTTTAAGATGGAGTTTTAAGATGGAGTTACTGCAACCTCTCCCCTTCCCGGATTCAAGCAATTCTCCTGCCTCAGCCTCCTGAGTAGCTGGGATTACAGGTGACCACCACCACACCCAGCTAATTTTTGTATTTTTAGTAGAGACAGGGTTTCACCCTGTTAACCTGGCTGGTCTCGAACTCCTGGCCTCAGGTGATTTGCCCGCCTCAGCCTCCCAAAGTGCTGGAATTACAGGTGTGAGCCACTGCGCCCAACCTAAAAAATGTAATAGATTTAAAAGCCAAATATAAATCCATAGTTTAGTGAATATTGAAATAAGGCTATAAATAATTTTATAATCAGTGTGTTTATAAAACAGCGTATCATTATGGTACAGAATTTAAAAGTTCAGAAAAAAATGTAATGCTTAAACTTTTGTCCCAATAGAAAGCTTCCATTAACTCAAAGGGAAATCTCTGAGAAGTATTAATGTTTCCTAATGAACATTATGGAATTTCTAAGCCTACATTAGACACTTGCAACTTTGATCTGTCTATAGAGTGCTTTAATTCTTCAAGCAATTTTTTAGAAGTCTCCAAGTGAAAATATATTAGGAAAATCTCTTACTAAAGAAATGCAGTAGGATTGATGGGATGTTTTATTTCTTACCTTTGAAAACATCCCTTATTTCTAGCCTAATATATACAGACAACACATATCTACATTTATTCATTCAAATTGCTATTGAAATAGCCATAAAAAGAAAATATCTTAAAATTGGTAAGTCATCACTTCTTTATAAGATGGTTTTATTTGTAGGTCAATTTTATAAAATTCTCTTTTTGAGTGTTATGGTTAATAACATATTTAAAGATTTAAATCCATCTGAGAGTTTAAACAAATTGCCACTATTTATGATTATTTTGTATTAGAATAGCAAAATGGGCTGCATTAATAGTCCAGCTCTAACACAGAAGAAGCATTCGATTTATATTAATAATTACATATAACTGGTTTATAAATTATTTGCATACATCCCAGATATATATACATGACTGAAATTTAAAATAATTTTTTTAAAAATAAAAAGACTTCTGAACCCAGATCTACTAATTACATGTACAAAGAGAGATGCCCTATAAGTTGGAAGAAAAACAAGTATAATTTAAAAGACAGCTAAAATGTATGAAAAGCAAACACGTTTATTTTTAAACTTCAATATGGCCCAATAACAAAGACTGTGATATTAGTGAAAATGGTAAAACAAAGTCCTTTTTGGTACTATAAATACTAATATTCTAAGGACAGGTCAAGTCCTATTTGGTTTTATGTGCCACGTGAAGGGGGAAATACCAGTTCTTTTGTTATTCCTTTTCCTGGTGAGAGAGGGCCTTCAAACGGCCACCACAGTAGCCTGCATGAACAGTGCTTTCTTACAAGACAGCATTGCTACATTACATTGCATCTTTAGGCCTATTTAATGGGTGAGGTGTTGATCATATGCCAAGAAAGACATAAAGAGAATGAGGAATGTACATAGAAATGCTATTAAAATGATCCCATGCTTGAGAAGAGAATCAAGAGCTAAGAAATTAAGAAAAACAGTTTCTGCTTTGAAGGAGCTTAAAATAGGACATCACCTCAATGTAGAGGCATGCTCCCTTGCCGTCTCAAAGATAATATTTGGTGATCAGAGCCAGAAAAAGGAATCTAAACTACTTGTTTTTGTAGTTAGCTCTGTCATTTAACCATAGTCTAATTATCCAGCTCTATATATTACCATAAAAAAATCTTTAAATGTACACCATGTAACAACACTTATCAACCTAAGAGGAATGCCAATTAATGCTTGCAAAGGCACTCTAAGATTTTTTTTTTACAAGCAAGTGCTATATAACAACAAAATATCTATTACTATTCTATCTTTCCAACCAAAGCAAGTTTTGTCCTCCTAGGATTGCTGGGAGCAAAATAAACCCGACGTCATTCTCCTAAGCCCAATTGGCAGCCCAGCTGTGCCATTATCCCCGGGAAGTGTGGTCATGTACGGTAATACCCGCATTATGTGACAATGACCAAGTCAAAATTACCCCCTTGGAATAGAGTTCAGCCTCTGAAAATGTAGAACTGAGAAGACATGCTGGGTTCAACAGAGTAGCCATAGTGAGGGCCATTTTTGTTTGATAATGGCCCTAAATTACTGATATCAACTTGGCGTCTAAGACTCAGGGCAAAAGCAGCTATTTTCTTTCTATGGAACATTCACCAAAAATATAAATGCAGCTGCCTTAGTCTTGATTTTCTTCCCTGTTTTTATGGGATATATAAGGTCACGACTATAAATATAGATAAAATTTATATAAAACACCAAATTAACTGGAAAGCATTTTATATATTCTAAAATATATCCAGGGTGTTTTTTTTTCTTATTTATAGATTTTAGAGGCACATAAAACCTAGGCCCCAAGCCAATTTACAGTTTAATAAACAGCTGCATAGTTGTGAATTTTCTGGTATAAAATATACCAAAATGATAAGAGGCTGGTAATTCAGTGCATTACCTACAGCAATAGCTTGATGCAATTTTTCCATATGCTTGATTTATAAAAACAAACTCATTTTCTGGAAATGGAAGATTAATCTTCTTCAACAAAATTTTCTTTATGAAAATGAAAAAAAGTGTTTTCTATACCAAGAAAAAATAACATATATTAGGACGTAGTCGGGGGCAGGTGAGAGGAAAAAAAAGAGATATTATTGGAGAACAAAAACTATATCCATAATCCCTTTCTCAGATAACTGCTTATTGACTTTTTTAGAAAGTAGAACATAGTCAAGGTTAGTAAAAGGTATATTCTCTTCTCCTCCACAGTTCTGTCTCCCTGGGTTTCCTTCCAAAAAAAAAATTTTTTTAATGTGTATTAGTACATACTCACATGAAAAATACATGTGTGTATATATCAACTTTTGTTTTTTCCTATTACAATGAGTGAACCTGCTGGGTTAAAAAATACAGGCATTCCTCAGAGATACTGCAGGTTTCGTATCAGACCATCACAATAAAGCAAATATCACAATAAAGCAAGTCACATGGATTTTTTTGGTTTCCCAGTGCATGTAAAAATTACATTTACTCTATATTACTGTAGCCTATTAAGTGTGCGGAGCATTATGCTAAAAAAAATGTACGTACCTTATTTTAAAAATATTGCTAAAGGCTGGGCGCAGTGGCTCACACCTGTAATCCCAGCACTTTGGGAGGCCGAGGCGAGTGGATCACAAGGTCAGGAGATCAAGACCATCTTGGCCAACACGGTGAAACCCCGCCTCTAGTAAGATACAAAAAATTAGCCAGGCGTGGTGGCATGTGCCTGTAATCCCAGTTACTTGGGAGGCTGAGGCAGGGGAATCGCTTGAACCCGGGAGGCAGAGGTTGTAGTAAGCTGAGATCGTGCCACTGCACTCCAGCCTGGAGACAGAGCAAGACTCTGTCTCAAATGTATATGTATCTCTCTCTACAAAATGCTAAAAATCATCTGAGCCTTTAGTGAGTTGAAATCTTTTTGATGGTGGCGGTTCTTGCCTTGATGTTAATGGTTGCTGACTGACCAGGATGGTGGTTGCTGAAGGTTAGGGGTGGCTGTGGCAATTTTTGAAAATGAAACAACAATGGAGTTTGCTGCATCGATTGACTCTTTCTTTCACAAAAGATTTATCTGGGCCAGGCGCGGTGGCTCATGCCTGTAATCCCAGCACTTTGAGTCAAAGGCCAAGGCAGGTGGATCACCTGAGGTCAGGAGTTCAAAACCAGCCTTGCCAACATGGCAAAACACCATCTAAGCCAAGCGTGGTGGCGGGCGACTGTAATCCCAGCTACTCGAGAGGCTGGGACAGAAGAATTGTTTGAACCCAGAAGGTGGAGGTTGTAGTGAGCCGAAATCACGCCACTCACTACACTCCAGCCTGGGTGACTGAGCAAGGCTCTGTCTTAAAAAAAAAAAAAAAAAAAAAATTATCTGTAGTATGTGAGGCTGTTTGACAGTGTTTCACTCACAGTAGCACTTCTTTCAAAATTGTAGTCAATCCTCTCAAACCCTGCCACTGTTTTTTCAACTAAGTTTATGGAATATTCTAAATCCTTTGTTGTCATTTAACCATGTTCACAGCATCTTCACTGGGAATAGAGTTCATCTCAAGAAACCACTTTCTCATCCATAGAAGCCACTTCTAATCCACGATAACTACGTCATGAAAATGCAGCAATTTGGTCCCATCTTCAGGCTCCATTTCTAACTCAGTTATCTTGCTATTCCTCCCCTGCTTTAATTTGTGGTATCTTCCTCCACTGAAGTCTTGAAACCCTCAAAGTAACTCATGAGGGTTGGAATCAACTTCTTCCAAACTCCTGATAATGTTGATATTTTGACCTCCTTCCATGAATCACAAATGTTCTTAGTGGCATCAAAAATGGTGAATTATTTCCAAAAGATTTTCAATTTACTTTGCCCAGATCTATCAGAGGAATCACCATCTACAGCGAGTATCGCCTTACAAAATGTATTTCTTAAAAAATAAGACTTGAAACTTGGAATTATTCCTTGACCCATGGGCTATAGAATGGATGTTGTGTTAGAAAGCATGAAAACTCCATTTATTTCTTTGTGCATCTCCATCAGAGCTCTTGGGTGACCAGGTGCATTGTCAATGAGCAATATTTTGAAAGGAATCTTTTGTTCTGAGCAGGTTTCAACGTTGGGTTTAAAATATTTAGTACAACATGCAGTAAACAGACACGCTGCCATCTAGGCTTTGTTGTTTCATTTATAGAGGACAGTGTGGGTTTAGCATAATTCAAGGGCCCCAGAATTTTCAGAAGAGTTAATGAGCATTGGTTTCAAGTTAAAGTCACCAGCTACATTAGCATCTAACAAAAGAGTTAGCCTGTCCTTTGGAGCTTTGATAGGCATTGACTTCTCCTCTCTAGTTATGAAAGTCCTAGATGACATCTTCTTCCAACAGAAGACTGTTTTATCTACATTGAAAATCTGTAGTTTAGTGTAGCCACCTTCATCAATGATCTTATCTACATCTTCTAAATAACTTACTACAGCTTTTACATCAGTACTTGCTGGTTTACCCTACACTTTTATGTTATAGAGCTGACTTATTTCCTTACATGAAACAAACACTGCTGGCTTCAGACTTTTCTTGGGCAGCTTCCTTATCTCTCTCAGTCTTCACAAAATTGAAGAGGGTTAGGTTCTTTCTCTGGATTAGGCTTTGTGGCTGGTTTGATCTTCTATCCAGACCACTAAAACCTTACATCAGCAATAAAGCTGTTTTGTTTTTTAATCATTTGCATGTTCACTGGAATAGCACTTTTAATTTCTTTCAAGAACTTTTCCTTTGCATTCACAAATTAGCTAGCTTTTTGGTATAAGAGGCCTAGTTTTTGGCCTGCGTAAGCTTTCAACATGCCTTCCTAACTAAGCTTAAGCATTTCTAGCTTTTGATTTAAAGAGACGTGCGGCTCTTCCTTTCATTGAATACTTAGAGGGCACTGTAGGGTTATTACTTGGCCTAATTTCAATATTGTTGTTTCACAGGGAATAAGCAGGCCCAAGGAGAAGGAGAAAGCTGGAGGAATGGCTGTTCTCTGGAGCAGTCAGAACACACACAACATTTATCAATTAAGTTTACTGTCCCCCATGGGCATGTTCCATGGTGCGCCAAAATAATTACAATAATAACATCAGAGATCACTGGTCACAGAACACCTTAACATATATAATACTAATAAAGGTTAAAATATTCTGATAATTGCCAAAGCGTAACACAGAAACATGAAATGAGTACATGCTGTCAGAAAAATGGCACTGGCAGACTTTTTCCCTATTCCTGAATCAGTTAACCCAAAAGAGTTGTTTGATGGGGTAGTAGGTGTGGAAACCTTGGTAATAAAGGAACTAAGCTGACATTATTATTTTTTAAATTTTTTTAGTTTTTTTTTTTTTTGATGGAGTCTCAGTTTGTCACCCAGGCTGAAGTGCAGTGGCGCAATCTCGACTCACTGCAACCTTCGCCTCCTGGGTTCAAGTGACTCTTCTGCCTCAGCCTCCTGAGTAACTGGGACTACACGTGCACACCACCATGCCTGGCTAATTTTTGTATTTTTAGTAGAGACGGGGTTTCACCATATTGGCCAGGCTGTTCTAGAACTCCTGACCTCGTGATCCACCTGCCTTGGCCTCCCAAAGTGCTGGGATTACAGGCATGAGCCACTGCGCCCGGCCTGATATTATTTTTTCATACGGTATCTATTATAAATATATATTTGAAATATTTTTCACTATTATCCTAAGCTAATAATAATAGGAACAAAGTTACCACATGTGCAAAAAGCTAGATGTTTAGTCAGCAAATATCTCTAATATTTATTTGCAGTTCTTGGTTATTACCATATTGAGGATTTATTCTACCTTGAAGGTTAGGAAAAATGCCACTTCAGAGAAGGTTTGCTAGGAGAAAAAATTTCTTCCTTGGCCTAATATATTTCAATTGTTGTCAGGTGTTCCAAGTGTGAATTACTGGGTATTGTACTGAATCATCTTCTATGGATCCATGTACTGCACCTTCCAACCAACACCTCTACCCCAGCACCCCTCCACACACACACACTCATCAGATACTTTCTTGAAATTTGCATTAAAATAATGTTGAAATGACTTGGCTCAAAAGCATTAAGTGAAGAACAAGACTTAGAAAAAGCAAACCTTTCATTATTCTTCTCTGCATTAAGTGCCTAGCTCTCTGTGAATTGCAACATTTTTAAGAACATATCCATAGTTTGATAACCTATAGATACATAGAAATTGTCTAAGTGCTAATTTTCCAAACTAACTGAGAATATTTTAAGTGTCTATCTATATACCTCTGCCTCTAGGAGAGTAGCAAAGAGATTCAAATATGAGCATACTCGTATTCTCCTTGCTTCAGGAATCTAGACGAACATTTTTACAAAAATATATACACAACACTGTTCATGCATATTATAGCCACACATATTATAGCACTCACATAAACCCATCTCAGAGAATAAATGAAATTGTTCAAAAAAGAGAGCCAGTTAGTAATCATTTGGGACTCTCAATTATGGGCAAATAACGTTCATTCTGTATAAAGGTAAGTACAGGATTGGTGGGATTTAAGAGAGATGCTTGCATAGGCATCTCTTAGGCAATCTGGGTCAGCTTAGGCAATCTAGGTCATTTCCCAAAATATTAAAGAAAAAACATCCAGAAATTTCTGGAAACATCATGTACTATAATTTATATACAGTCATGCATGGCATAACAGTGTTTTAGTCAACAATGGACCACATATACAACTCTGGTTCCATAGATTATAATAACATTTTTACTGGGCCTATATCTAGACATATAAACAGTTAACATTATGTTACCATTGCCTACAGTATCTAGTACAGTAACATGCTGTACAGATTTATAGCCTAGGCCCAATAGGCTGTACCATATAGCCTAGGTGTGCAGTAGTAGGCTATACCATGCAGGTTTGTGTAAGTCCCCTCTATAATGTTCACACAATGACAAAATTGCCAAAGGACACTTTTCTCAAAACATCCCCACTGTTAAGCAACACATGACTATACATCCACCTCTTTCTACATTTAAATCTTTCTCCTTGCTAAGTTTAAAAAATCATAAATTGACCCTGTTCAAATTGCAATTTGTAGTCTTTTAAATGAATACAACTTAAGTAGATTAGAATGAATGCAGCACTGAGAGGCAAAATAGCCTGAAGTTTTAAGTTCTGGACCAGACAACTTGGTGAACTTTTACAAGTTATTTAACCTCTGTGCCCATTTTCTCATCTAAAAGCCTGGGATAATAATAACACCTATCTCACAGAATGGTTATGAGAATTAAATGATGTATAAAGTTTCTAAAACAGTAACTGGTACTGAGTAAATATTCTATAAGTGTTTATCAACCACATAAAATAAATATTTCACTAAAGCACAAAATGTATTCTTTTCTTCCAGGGTCAAAATACACTAATAGCTCTTCAAATAGCCTGCTAGATCTAACAGTAATTGATGAACACCTTTAAGAATAAACTGAGATAAATGAGAAAAGCAAGATATTTTTGTATTGCAATATTCAGATTGTTTCCTGGTCTTCAGTACACGTGTAAACTTTCAAATCAAAATAGTACATTTTACACTACAATTGTATTTGTCTTCTGTTGTTTTGCTCTTCTTTTCTCATAATCAGGCTCTTTTTTTTCTAGTCCCAGGAAATTTTGGTTCAACATTGAACTCAAAATTACAAAAATGTGAAAAAAATGTGTAAACATTACTTTCATAGCAGTTTGCTAATATTGAAGCTGTATAGATTGAACATTTAGACATTATTTGCATTTCTTCAAAGCCTAGTATCTTATTAGGTAAGCATCAAAAATATATACAAGAATTACTCTTGTTTCTTCAATAACTTCAGAATAAAAGCAGAAATTAATGGGATGGGTGGGCCACATGGTTATCACCAGGAAGTTATTAGGACCTAACAGCATCTGAAGCTGGCCCTTATGATGGGAAGAGAAATGGAAAGGATTCAACAACAACTAAAATGTCTGTTCCATTAATTATCACTTGCTTATAAAAGCTATATATGAACTAGAAAAATAAAGAAGATCCCACTGGGGAAAAATTGGATTTAGGACATACATACACACAAAAACCCAAAAATACATTGTTCCCAGAACAAATAAACTGCCATTCTCATTGCATACAGCCATCCTCCTAAAACCAAATCCAGCCTTAGGAAAAGGAAATATATTTCCTGAATAGCCAGCAACCTCCTTGAGGTCCTCTTGAATGAACTAATATACTTCTCCATGTGTGCCCAAGCCAGTGCAGAAGGAAAAGGCTGACTCTCTGTCACCAGTGTCTCGTAGAGGGAAGTAATATGATCATCTAGGTACCTCACATAAATTAGAACAGATGGAAGTATGAGTTTCTCTTTACCAGATCATGGGGTTAGGATGGAATGACTTTGATTCTCCCAATTTAAATCCTAGCTTGCCTGAAAATGCAGGCTTGTCCTTACTGTAATTCCTTCTTCAGAAAAATATCTTTAATACCCAATAAGCATAGAGAAATGAAAATACTCAGATAAGATGCATTTACTGACAAACATATCACATCAAAATTTCCTCATCCAGTGCACTACCCTCTTCTTACATGTGGGAGCAAATGTGACCCAAGGTGAAATCTACATAAAGATGAAAGTGAAAACACATAGCAATTTATAGGTAATTTGTAATAAAGCTTGCAGTAAGCATTACTGCCAAGAAATGCAGTAAATCCACAATAGGACTTCTATCATAGCTGTAAGAACTGGGTTTGTGAGAGTTTATACATTTAAGCTAAATTTCTCATATTTCCCATTTTGGCTCCTCTTATCTTCAGCATATTAAATAATGAAAAATAAAGCTTAAATCTAATCTTCAAAGTATAAATTGTCTTATGGCTAAATTCAACATCCAAATTCAGCCCTCCACTGTGACCATTGTTAACAACACTCAGGTAATGTGAAAGGCAAGAAAAGCAGGGGCCTGACATAAAATATATTTTTCAAAGTAAACGCCCAACATAAAATTTATCCAATATTCCCAGTTTACTCTCAGGCAGTCATGATGCTTACTTATTTTACACATTAATATAGCTTGTGAACATCACTCATCTACTACTACTACTAGGTACTAGGGACAATCATGGCTTGGAAAATGCAATTCTTGTCTTCTTCAACTATAAGTAAGGGGACAGTTTGAGCAGAAAGTCAAAAGAGGCCGGGTGCAGTGGCTCACGGCTGTAATCCCAGCACTTTGGGAGGCCGAGGCGGGCAGATCATGAGGTCAGGAGATTGAGACCATCCTGGCTAACACGGTGAAACCCCGTCTCTACTAAAAATACAAAAAATTAGCCCAGCGTGGTGACAGGCGCCTGTAGTCCCAGCTTCTCGGGAGGCTGAGGCAGGAAAATGGCGTGAACCCGGGAGGCGGAGCTTGCAGTGAGCCGAGATTGCGCCACTGCACTCCAGCCTGGGCAACAGAGATAGACTCCGTCTCAAAAAACAAAAAGAAAGTCAAAAGAAAGGTGGTAATATGAAACTTCTAAACTAAGAGTTGATTTCCTGATTTGCATGTGAACATGGTAAGTAGCTTGTCCAACATCACAGAGTAAATGCTAGAGTCTAGAAGTTCTCTGAGAACACCAAATAAATAAAAGTATATAAAATGCATAGCTCAGTGCCTGGTCCATAGTCAATATTCAAAGAATGCAGCTCCTGCGCCGATCAAACTCTCTTAGTCCAATTTGAGTGTAATACACTATCAATCAGCATACCCTGGCATTTTGATAATGTTTTTCGAGTTTGAGAATTATAAAACAACAAATAATGAGGCATTCTTATTTAGAATTTTAATAAATAATTCACACTATTCAGAAATTTTACAAATCAGAAGATTTCAATGCACATTTATTGAAAATCACTTCCCTAAATCAAATTATCTAAAAGAGCTTACCAAAACCACTGAGTATAGAAAGGTTATAAAAGATCGATTTACTTAAGGTCAATTATGCATATGAATAATTTATCTCCAGTGTTTAATGTTACTTAATCTAAGGATAAAAATTATTTTTAATTATTAAACTTGGAATATCAAGCAATCTCTCTTTAATAAGCTAAACTTATTAATGCTTAAATGTGTATTTGGAAATTCCATGGAATTTTGATTTGCAAACATCACATATAAGGTACTTCAATATCTACTTTTAATTTGTCTGAAATGAATTACCTTGAATATACTTAAGACATATGCTGTATGTAGGAAAAAAATAAATATGAATGAATCAGCATGTACAGAAACACTAATTTTAATCAGAATATGACTTTATTTTGGCCATTTGCTTAAATACCAAGTAGTTTATTTGTTTGAGGAACAAAATATTCATCTCCACTTTAATGTAAATGCCCTTCATTCCACAAAGATCATGTTAGTAACATTCTTGCAGATTCTCCAACGGAGAATTAATCCAATTATAATGCCATTTCAAATTTAAGGTTCTAAACCAGAAAATATAGTCAAAAAGAATCACAACAATATCAGAGTTGAGATCATTAGAAGTCTTCAACAGCTGTAAGAACATTCTCTTTTCAATGATGCTGTATAATACAAAACTTGTGAGAGTTTACTAGCCCAAAGTCAGTGATAAATAGGGTAATAAGACATGGACAGATTCCATTATCTGTATGCACTCATCATGGGGAGATGTAAGGAGGCCAACAACACATCATGTTTAACAGATTTATCAGCCTTATTTTGAGATTTGGTATGAGGGGAAGAATTTTTTAAAAGATTTACTTGGAAGACTTCATTCTCAATCTACACGGCTATCCTTTCTTTTAAGTTCATAAATGGATAGTAAGAGGTATGTCCCCACCCTGAGTTCCAGCTCTACACACATCTTCAAAAAACTCTTCTTCAGTAGATAATGGAATTTTTTCCCATGATGCACAGATGGCTAATTCCCAAGGCTGTCTTCACACAGATACTTTTTCTTCATTTCCTCCTAAAACTAAAAATTACTTTAAAAATTTTTTTTCAAGACCATGTTTCCAATAGTGCTTGTTTTTCTTATAAGGTGAGAAGAAAGGCCTTCCTTTGGCTATCTCCCTCAAAATAATTCAATTAGGAATACAGAACATTAAAGAGAATCCTTAAATGTCAATATGCCTTTTTGTTTAATTTTCATCTGTATGTAGAACCACGAGAAGTATGCCATCAAATTTTCCAGCACTGTGCAAACTTACAGTGAATAAAAAAAAATAAGGTAATGTATTTTATTCCTTTATTATTTCAAAAAGCAAGACAACGAGTTAACAATAACATGACACCAAGTATCATATGGAAAAGTGGAAAAGTGCCCAATCACTTTAATTAGGTTTATAAACAAAAATACAAGACATCAAGTCAGATAATCAGGAACAAAACAAGCTTCATCTCCCTCATATGACCTCAGAATAATCAGTAATATTGTGTATCCCTTTTCACCCTGGAAAATAAGTCCTTCAAATTCCCTTTCTATGGCTTATATAAAGCCTGATGTGCTCCCCAAGGTTTCTGTAAATCACCATAGGCTTACATGCTCAGGGAGCTAAGCTGCAGCTTCTATCAAAGCAGTTCAGTTTACGGAGTATCACAGCATTCTGCAGAGCAGCATCCATATGTACAAGTCAGCTCTTTTCCATGACTCACACAAAATAAAACTTGGTGTTCGAAGTTTTGAGGAAGGAAATATACATGATAGAATGCAAACTTAAGATTATCCATTAAAAACTCTTGTTCTTATAGGCCACTCCAGCCATTCCCCTAGGGGATAACATGCTGTGTCATCCCCTTTCTGTTGTTCCTTTCTTCTCCAGTTTCCCCCTATTCTGCCCTCCCCAAAAGAAAGTCTGAAGCCACTAGTTGACAATTGTTGTTTTCCTTGATGTGGTCTTTAATTTAGCTCCATATTGTAAGAGTTTATAATCTAAATCAGTGTTTGTCAAACTTTCTTTTTAGCAGAGGAACCTTTTGAAAAGTGAAATTGTACACCAAACTCTAACATATGACTAAGAGAGTAGAGTTGCTGTTTGAAGTGGAGGCAGGGAGTGAACTTGGAGACTTCCCTTCAGCCTCATCATCTACCTCTCTTGTCTAATGGCTCCCAGTCACTCACTGAAAGATCAGGTCTTCATATCATCAAGTTTGAAAAATATTGAACTACATACAGAATAAGAAGAAACTGCCAAATTAGGTACTTTTTTGTATTTAAGAAATAAGAGAAGATGAATCAAAGTTGACCTAAAAATTATGTGCCCGTTACACTGGGAGAAAGATAACACCATTGATAGAAATCAATAAATTGGGAAAAGCATACATTACGTTTAGTGTCATAATTAGTAATCTATAAATGTGGATTTATTTCATAATGCAATTAGATGAAATGCATATAAAGATGGTGACTTATGAAATGACAAAGAATTCTAAAGCTTATCATAAAACTTAAGCATTTTCAAATGAATAATAAATGGCCATATTCATCAATGCCTCCCAGTATTATAATTACACATTTTTAATTAAATCTCTGTTGATATAGGATAAGCTAAATTAAATTTCAACATCTAACTATAAAGAAAGGGACTATTTATAATTACCCACAAAATAGCTTCTACTTGTTATACTTTGCCAAAGAGAATGATTATACTTTTTCCTATCTTTCAGTAAACCTTTATATAGCTTATAGCTGTCTTTCCAGAAGGAATCTAAGTTTTTTATAAATTGAAGACAACTAACTTATATGAGAAAGAGAATGAAACTAACGTTTATTACATGCCTACCATAGGCGAGGCACTGTGCTGATGCTTTTATATTACCAGTTTTCAATTCACACTACATACTAAAATCGCCCAGCAATCTTTTTTTTTTTTCTGAGACAGGGTCTTTCCCTGTTGCCCAGGATGGAGTATAGTGGTGTGATATCAGCTCACTGCAACCTCTGCCTCCCAGATTCAAGCGATTCTCCTGCCTCAGCCTCCCGAGTAGCTGGGATTACAGGTGCCCACCACCACACCCAGCTAATTTTTGCATTTTTAGTAGAGACGGGGTTTCACCATATTGGCCAGGTTGGTCTCGAACTCCAGATCTCAGGTGATCCACCCACCTTGACCTCCCAAAGTGCTGGGATTACAGGCGTGAGCCACCACGCCTAGCCAGGAATCTTTTTACAAAACATTTTGATTCATGAGTGTATCCTCCAGAGATTCAGATTTAATTGGTCAAAGGTGGGGGCCTTCACTTGAGAAATTTTTAAGCCTCTCATGTGATAATAATGTGCAGCCAGGATTGAAAATCACAATTTTATATACTTTATCTCATGTCATCATCAAAACAATCTGACCAGGTAATTATATTATTCCTTTTTTCAGATAAGAAACTGGAATTTCAGAAAGGTTGTGAAATTTGCCCCAGGGCATAGAGAAGGTATCAGAGTTAGAATTTAAATTCAGAGTTCTCCGACAGCAGCGATCTTTCTAACCTCCACTTTGTCAAATTCAAAACACCAGAATTATTAGTGTGAATTTAGAGTAGATTTCTATATTTTATTTTACTCCTGGCTTCAAGAGGTGGTGGAGTAAAGTATGTTTTACGTTAATTTGCTAGCAAAACACAATATTCTTTATTGAACTAATTAAGCTGTTACTCAAAATGAAGTTGCTTTGTATTTTATAACATAAAGTATGGAATATTTTCTCCCTTTCAAAATGTTCCTTTTTTTCATAGGTACACTATTTAAAAATTATTGATTTTAGAGTTTCTTATCAGAGATAAGAAGGAAAATGCAATGTAAAAGTATTCAAGGAACAAAAAGTAGATTATATTTGCCAACCATTTTATTTTGTCAACCACCTTTAAGGGAGAAAGGTAATTTCTTATAAAATATAATTATTTGTTAAACAGCAGCCAAAATTAAACAGAATTCTCAATTAAAAAAAACTTTGTTTTACAAACTATATCCAATGTATAAGTATTTTAAAATATAAATACATTTCAATATTTTATTTAAACTTTAAACAAGCCTATACATATTATAAGTTAATTTAGGAATGTTTTATAACTTTTACGATAAGAGTAAAATGTTAGCATGTAATTTCAACTGTCAAGCTGAAAATAAATATATGAATAACCTTCATTCTATTACTTTTCATCTTAAAATATATCGTTAATGGGCTTTTTTTTAAGTCATACCAAAGGTGATATTACCAACTCCCTAAGGACAACGAATTCTGCTAAACTAGAATTCATATTTCAGAGAGGAGATGGATAACATCTCACAATTCAACTTCAGCAGGAGTCATTAAGTCAGACACCTATGTGAGGGCTGTATTTCTCATTGAATTACAAATCCAATAAGAGCTTTGCCTTTGAATTACTAGCACTACAAAGATTAAATCAATATACTGTGAAAAAAGGAAAAACCCTTGGATGCTTGAAGATTAGAATAAAACGCATGAATTTTTTAGCTCAAATGGACAACCATAGAAGTCATTAATCCTACTTTTTCATTATACAAACCCGCTACACGGCTTTTGCAGAGGTCCCCCTTTCATTCTTCACCCCTCCAATCCTATAGCGACTGCACTCAGTTTAATGTCCCAAAATGTTCATATGAGCTGTATGGCCCAGCATGACCCCTACCTTGCCTACCTGCCTCCCAGTCTCATCTAACACTATATGCCCCCTCAATCTCTGAACTGAAGCCACTCAGTTCTTTCCAGAATTCACGGGCACTGAGCTCTTTTCCCCAGGAGGATGTCTGCATAAACTGTTATCTTTTTAGGAATGTGTTTTTTCATCTTCACCTCCTACTTCTCCTGGATAACATCTACCTTATCCTTTTGGCCTCTAACATAGAGAGGTTTTCTACATCACCTCTTTCCCTTTAAATTCAAATTGTTTCTTTTTTTTAGCACCCTGTATATTTCTTTCATTTCTACTCCATTCGTAATTACGTATTAATTTAGAGGACTACTGTTTATGTCTATGTTACCAGTAGGCTGTTGGCTTCCCAAGAACAAGAAGCATGTCTCTTTAGTTCATTAATATATCCTCAGCACCTTTTACAATGCCAGGTGCATAACAGAAGCTCAATAAATATTTATCAAATGAATGAATTAACTGGATACTAAGGAAGAGAGGTAAAGAGCAGAAGCTCTAGAGTCAGGCTGCCTTGGTGCCATCATTAATTCAACTACAAAGTGGTTGTTAATTCTTTTACCTTTAAAGTTAGCATTTTAACTAGCTACTTAGAGAATTGTTGTAATGATTACATGACAATAAGTAAATTATCTAGTACAGGCCAAAGAAATGTTAAGTTATCATTAATAATTACCAAGATATAATGTTTCATTAATGTATTATTTAAAATATACATGTATATACTATGTATATGTGTTTGTATTAATATATGTGTGTGTGTGTGTGTGTGTTGTACATTCATTCTTCTTTTAGTTACCAAATAATCCTATTATGTACATTGGGATATGTTGTTTATTCATTTTACAGATGAAAATACAGATTGTGTTATAATTGTTTTATCCATGATTGGCTTCCATCTTCTTTATCAGTACTTTTTTTCTAAGTTTTTCTAGCATAAAGTAAAACTTACTAAGTTTGGCATCCTGCATTGGTGGTATAATGGTTAGCATAGCTGCCTTCCAAAGTTTGTCATCCCTAGGTCATTTGTTACTGCGTTCAGAAGTGTTCCCTTCTCTTCAATTTTTAGAAGAGCTTGAGAAGGATTGGTATTAATTCTTCTTTAAGTATCTAGTAGAATTCACCAGAGAAGCTATCTGATCTTGGGCTTTTCTTTGTTGGGAAGTTTTTGATTACTGATTCAATCTCTATACTAGTTACATATAATGATCAGATTTTTTATTTGTTCATGATTCATTCTTGGCTAAGTTGTATGTTTCTAGACATTCAGCCATTTCTTCTGGGTTATCCAATTTGTTAGTGTAGAATTGTTCACAGTAGTCTTTTAAGATCCTTTCTATTTCTGTTGTATCAGCTGTCATGTCTACTCTGTCATTTATAATTTTATTTGAGTCTTTTTTTCTCTTACTTTTGCTAGTGGCTTCCCAATTTTGTATCTTTTCAAAAAAACCATCTCTTAGTTTCAATGATTTTTTTCTATTATTTTTCTATGTTCTCTTGTATTTATTTTTGCTCTAATCTTTACCATTTCTTTCCTTCTACTAACTTTGGGCTTAATTTGTTCTTCTTTTTCTACTTATTTGAGATGCAAAGTTAGATTATTTACTTAAAATATTTCTTCTTTTTGAATGTCAACAGTCATGGAAACTTCCCTCTTAGTACTGGTTTTGCTGCATTCCATGAGCTTGGTGTGCTTTGTTTTCAATTTCATTAGTCTCAAAATATTTTCAATTGCTTTAGATTTATTCTTTAACTTGTTGTTTATGCAAGAGTATATTGTTTAATTTCAACATACTTGTGAATTTTCCAGTTTTTCTTCTGCTACTAATATTTAATATTTAGTTTCATTCAACTGTGGTCAGAAAAAAAAAATACTTGGTAAGATTTCAATCTCCGTAAATTTGTTGATACTTGTTTTGTAACCTAACATGTAGTCTATCCTGGATAATATTCTGTGTGCATTTGAGAAGAATGTATATTCTGTTGTTTTTGATGGAATGTTCTGTCCATGTTTTTTTAGTTGCATTAAGTCTAAAGTATTGCTCAAGTCTGCTGCTTCCTTATTGATATTTTGTCTGTATGTTCTACTCATACTGAAAGTAGGATAGTAAAATATCCTACTGTTATATTGCTATCTAGCTTTTCCTTCAGTTCTGTTAATATTTGCTTTACATACTTAGGTGCTCTGATGTTGGGTACATATATTTATAGTTGCTGTATCTTCCTAATGAATCAACCCTTTTATCACTATATAATGTCCTCCTTTCTCTCTTAGTACAGTTTTTGACTTCTGTAAAACATAGTACTATAAGTCCTAGTTAGAGCAATTAGGCAAGAAAAAGAAATACATAGCATCCAAATTTAAAAGGAAGAAGTTAAATTGTCTCTGAAGATGACATAATCTTACATGAAGGAAATTATAAAGACTACACACATGCAAACACACACACACACAAATACACCAATGTTAGAACCAACAAAACGTATCAGTAAAGTTGCAGAGTACAAAATCAACATACAAATAAGTATATCTGCCATGAATTAAGCTCATGTGCAAACATGTGTAATTACTGGTCTTGTGTCATCTAGACTACTTTAAAAAAGGTGAAAAAGGTCCTGTTTAGTTCCAAAAGGGAGAAGGCAGCCCCTCCTGTATGAGTGGAAGCTACAACCCCTTGAAATTAATAATTACAAATCCCTTAAACCCAAGGTAGAAAAAAGGAGAACACATATCTCTGGGCATCAATAGGAAAAGACTAGGTCCTACAGTAAATATCTTAGTAAAAGAGGAGGTTTGTAAACTCTCTCCGGAACCAGTATTTCAGACTTTCTATGATGAACTAAATGTGCCAGTACCAGAGACTCTAGGAAAAACCAGGAATTTGTTTTTGCAATTAGCCGCGCATGTAGCCCAGTCTCTAAATGTCACTTCATGTTATGTTTGTGGAGAAACTGTAATAAGAGATCAATGGCCATAAGAAGCCCAAGAATTAGTGCCTACAGAGCCAGTTCCTGATGAATTCCCAGCCCAAAAAAATCACCCTGATCATCTCTAGGTTCTAAAAGTCTCAATTATTGAACAATATTGCATAGCTAGAAAAAGGAAAGAATTCACTCATTCTGTAGGAGGACTTAGTTGTCTGGGGCAAAAACTGTATAACAGTACCACAAAAAAAGCAGTTATATGGTGGAGTTCAAATTACATAGAAAGAGATCCTTTCAGTAAATTTCCAAGGTTGCAGACTGTCTCGGCCCACCCAGAATTCCACCGGGACTGGACTGCCCCCACCGGGTTATACTGAATATGTAGACATAGAGCCTACACTAAGCTGCCTGACCAGTGGACAGGTAGTTGTGTTACTGGCACTATTAAACCATCTTTCTTCCTACTGCCCATAAAAACAGGCAAACTCCTGGCTTCCCTGTCTATGCTTCCCGCGAAAAATGAAGCATAGCCATAGGTAATTGGAAAGATGATAAATGACCTCCAAAAAAAAAATTATATAATACTATAGGCCTGGCACTTAGACACAAGATGGCTCATGGGAATACTGGACCCCCATTTACATGCTCAACTGAATCATACGGTTGCAAGCTGTTTTAGAAATCATCACTAATAAAACCGGTCAAGCTTTGACTATTCTGGCCTGGCAAAAAACTCAGATAAGAAATGCTATCTATCAAAATAGATGGGCTCTCGACTACTTGCTAGCAGCTGAAAGAGAGGTCTATAAGAAATTTAACCTTACTAATTACTGTCTACACATAGATAATCAAAGGCAAGTAGTTAAAGACATAGTTAAAAATATGACAAAACTGACACATGTGCCCGCATAAGTGTAGCACGAATTGGACCCTGAAGCCATGTTTAAAAATCAGTTCCCAGCACTAGGAGAACTTAAAACTCTTATAATAAAAGTTATGATAGTAATAAGAACCTACTTACTGCTTCCTTGCTTGCTACCTGTACTTCTTCAAATGATAAAAAGCTTCATCGCTATCTTAGTTCACCAAAATGCTTCAGCACAAGTGTACTATATAAATCACTATCAATCTATTACAAAAAAAAAAAGTAACAAAAATAAAAGTGAGAACTCCTACTAATAAAAAAGTGAGAGCCTCAAAGGGGGGAAAGGAGGGAAGAGAGAGACCCTCTCATATTGTTTTATATTGTTTTATACTCAGTACCTGTTTTTAAAAAAAACAACAAGGAAGTAAAACCAAAGACAGGCAGCCCAGAGCCACGCCTGAAACCAGGCCTGGGCCTGCCTGGCCTAAACCCAGTAGTTAAAAATCAACTCATAACTTAAAAATCGATGTTATTCACAGATTCCAGACATTGTATAGAACAACACTGTGAAACTCCCTGCCCTGTTCTGTTTCTCTCTGACCGCCAGCGCATGCAGCCCCTGTCGTGTACCCCTTGCTTGCTCAAATCAATCACAACCCTTTCATGTGAAATCCTTAGAGTTGTGAGCCCTTAAAAGGGACAGGAATTGCTCACTCGGGGAGCTCGGATTTTAAGGCAGTAGCTTGCCGATGCTCCCAGCTGAATAAAGCCCTTCCTTCTATAACTCAGTGTCTGAGAGGTTTTGTCTGCGGCTCGTCCTGCTACAAAGGAATCATACTTCTGGATTTCAAAAAAGATTACAAAGCTACACTAATTAAGACAGTATGGTACTAACATAAAGACAGACATACAGACCAATGGAACAGAATAGAGAGCCCAGAAATGAAACCACATGTTATTTATCAATTAAAAATGAAATTAAAAATGTTTTAAAAATCTACATGTGTAAAGTCAACTAATCTTCAACAAGGGTGTCAAGAATACAGAATGGGGAAAAGGTAGTTCCTTCAACAAATGATGCTGGGAAAACTGAATATCCATATACAAAAGAATTAATTTGGACCTTTACCTTACAACATATACAAAAATCATCTGAAAATGGATTAAAGACTTAAACATAAGACCTGAAACTGTAAAATTCTTAGAAAAAAATAGGGGAAAAACTTCATGACATTGGATTGGCAATAATTTCTTGGGTATGACTCCAAAAGCATGAGCAACAAAAGCAAAAATAGAAAAGAAGGATTATATTAATCTAAAAATTTTCTACACATCAAAGGCAACAATTGAGAGAGAAGACACAACCTATAGAATGGAAGGAAACATTTGCAAATCATACATCTATCTGATAAGGAGTTAATATCTAAAACAGATCAGTAATTCAAGCAGCTCAATAGCAAGAAAACAAATAACCCAATAAAAAAAATGGCAAAGGACCCGAATAGACATTTCTCAAGAGAAAAAATACAGATACTCAGAGTATATGAAAAAATGTGCAACATCACTAGTCATCAGGAAAATGAAATCAAAACCAGGAGATATTACCTTACATCTGTTAGGAAAGCTATTATCAATAAACAAAAAAAGATCACAAATATTGAGGAGGATGTGAAGGAAAAGGAATGCTTGTACACTATTGATATAAATGTAAAATGATGTCACAGCTATGGAAAACAGCATGGCATTTCCTCAAAAAAATTAAAAATAAAAATACTATATGATCCAGCAATCCCGCATTTGGGTTTATACATGAAGAAAATAAAAAGTAGCTGGAAGAGATATATGCACTCTCATATTCATCACATCTTTTTTTTTTTTTTTTTTTTTTGAGACAGGGTCTTGCTCTGTCCCCCGGGCTGGAGTGCAGTGATGTAATCATGGCTCACTGCAGCCTCGACCACTTGGGCTCAAACAATCCTCCCACCTCAGCCTCCCTAGAGCTGGGACCACAGGGGTGTGCCACCACACCCAGTTAATTTTTATATTTTTTGTAGAAACGGGGTTTTGCCATGTTCCCCAGGATGGTCTTAAACCCTGGGCTCGAGAGGTCTCCCTGCCTCAGCCTCTCAAAGTGCTGGGATTACAGGTGTGAGCCACTGTGCTCGGCCTCACGGCATCATTATTTACAATATCCAAGATGTTTAAACAACCTAAATGTTCATCACCAGGTGAATGGATAAAAAATATGTGGTATATACATACAATGAAATATTATTCTGTATTGAAAAACAAGGAAATCTTGCACTGTGACAACATGAATGAATTCTTGAGAACATTATGCTAAGTGAAATAAGCTAGTCACAGAAGAACAAATACTGCATCATACCACTTATATGAGGCATATGAAATAGTCAAACACAGAGAAGCAGAGGGTAGAATGGTGGGTGCTAGGGGATTGGGGAGGGAGAAATGGAAAGTTGCCATTCAACAGGTATAAAGTTTAAGATATGCAAAACAATTTAGTTATAGAGATATGTTGTCCAACATTGTGCCTCTAGTTTTCATTTGATATATTGTTCACTTAAAAATTTGTTAAGATTGTAGTTCTCTTATTGAGTGCTTTTGTCACAATAAATAAATTAAAATAAATAAAAGTAGTAATCTCTGAAGATCAAGAGAGAAGAAATAACAAAAAAGTAAAAATATGAATAAAAATACACTTCTTTCTTCAGTTTTCTAAATTATGTTTGATAGTTGAAGCAAAAATTAAAACAGTCTTACGTGTTTCTCAATATACATAAAACAAATATTTAATATATTTATATAATAAATGAGTGAGATAAAATTACATAAAGGGTTCTACATTTTCCTCAAACTGGTAAAATGTCAACTTTATTAAATTATGATAATTATGTGTATATAATGCCATACCTCGATAAACTACTAAAATAGCTATATAAAGATATATACTCAAAAATACTATAGACACATCAAAAAAGAATCTAAAGTGTATTCAAGTAACTGACAAAAAGTCATGAAAAATAAATTAAAAACAGAGGGAACAAACAGAAAACAAATTAGATGGATAGGTAGATAGATTAGACATAATCCTTACCACATCAATAATTACTTAATATACATGGTCTAAATACACCAATTAAAAGACAGAGGTTAGCAGAACAGATTAAAGACCTAACTCAACTACATGCTATCCTTAAGAAACTTACTTCACACATCATGATACAGGTATATTAAAAGTAAAAGGGTGGAAAAAGATAAACCATGCAAACATTAATCAAAAGAAAGTAGCTTTATTAATATCCAGTAAAGAAGACTGCAAAGACAGAAAATTACTCAGGAGAGAGGGAGACATTACATAATATTAAGAGTCAATCCTTCAAGAAGACATAGCTAGCCTAAATGCGCATGTACTTAACAACAGAGCTATAAATATAGATGAAGCAAAAACTGACAAAGCTGAACGGAAGAGTGGACAAATTCACAGTTATAGCTGTAGACTTCAACATCCTTCTCTCAACAATTATAAGAACAACTAGACAGAAAATCAGCTAGGATATAGAAAAATTCAACAATACCATCAACCAACAGATTCTAGTCAACATTTTATAGAACACCTTACCTAACAACATTATTTTTAAGTTTTTCAAGTTTTCAAATTTGTTTTAAATTTTTCAACAAATTCTCAAGACCACGAGTGGGACAAGGAAATATCCTACAGGCAGCAAAGGACAATAAGGGTAAATACATATTATTTTTAAGTGCCCATTAAACTATATTAAGATAGACCATATCCTGGGCCATAAAATAGCCTCAATATATGTAAAAAAAAATTAGTCACAAAGAGTGTGTTCTCTGCGCACAATCAAATCAAAATAGAAAATTGATTATTGAAAGACAACAGGAAAATCTGCAAAAGAGAAAACATTCCAGCTCTCACTGGGCTTGAGTTTTTAAAAAAAGAGGCAGAGAAACAGAAAATATCTCACATCAGTAATCTAATCATCTATCTCAAAAATCTAGAAAGAAAGCATGAAATACACCCAAAGTAAGCAGAAAGAAGAAAATAATAAAGAACACAAATAAAATTGAAAATGAAAATCGAGAAATTCAATGAAATAAAAAAGCTTCTCTTTGAAACTATCAAGATAAAATGTTAAAATTCTAGAAAAATTAACAAAAATAAAAGAGAAGATACAAATTTTTAAGACCAGGAATGAAACAAGGAAATATCCTACAGGCATCAAAGCACAATAAGGGATTATACAAACAACTTTAACATGTAAGTTTGACAAGTTAGATGAAATAAACCAATTCCTTCAAAAGCAAAAGCTATCACAACTAACTCAATATGCAACAGATAATTTAAATAGCTCTATAATTATTAAGGAAGTGGAATTCATAATATAAAAACTCCTGGAAAAGAAATCTCCATCCCCAGATGGTTTTCTTGGAGAACACTGCCAAATATTTAAACATATGTAACACCTGTTCTACCCAACCTTTCTAGAAGATAAAAAAAGAGGGAGTACTTTCCAATCAATTTTATTACTACCATGATACCAAAAACAAAGATATTATAAGAAAACTGCAAATTAATACTCTTCATTAATAGAGATGAAAATATTTCTAATAAAATATTAACAAATAGAATTCATCCATATGTAAAATGAATTGTATACCATGACCAAGTAAGATTTATTCCAGGGTTGCAAGGCTAGTTTGATATTTGAAAATCAATGTAATCTACCATATTAACAAACTAAACAAGAAAAATCATATGATTATGTAAATTGATGCAGAAAAGGCATTTATCTGACAAAATTCAACACCCATTTATCACACAAACTCTCCAAAATCTAGAAACAGAGAAGAACTTCTATATCTTGATTTTTAAAAATCTATCAAAAAGAGATCTAAAGCTAACATTGTATTTAATGGCAAAAGACTGAAGGCTTTCCCCCTAAAATAGGCAACAAAGCAAGGATATCAGCTCTCACCACACTTACGCACCATATTTCTGGAAGTTCTAATCGGTGCAGTAAGGTATGAAAATTAAGTAAAAGACATACAGATTTAAAAGGAAGAAATAAAACTATTCCTACTATCTATACATGACATAATTTTCTATGTAGAAAATCCCAAGGAATCCACCAAAACGACAATAATAACAATTCCTGAACTACTAAGTGATTTCAGGAGGGTTGCAGGATATAAGATAAACATACAAAAATCGATTTTACTTGTATATACTAATAACAGGTGAAAATTAAAATTAAAAATATAATAACATTTATAATACCTGAAAAATGAAACAATTAGGTATAAGTCTAATAAAACGTGTACGACTTCTATACTGAAAACTGCAAAATGCTGATGAAAGAAATCAAAGATCTAATTGAATGGAGAGACATCCTGTGTTCATGAACTGGAAGACAACACAGTAAATATGTCAATTCTCCTAAATTGATATACAAGTTTTTATAATTCTTATAAAACCTAAGAAAAAAATTTTAGACATTAAAAATTATTGTAAAATATACATGGAATGACAAAGTAGCTAGGATAGCTAAAAACAACTTTGAAATAGGAAATTAATAGGAATAACTCTAAGTGATTTCAAGACTTATTATATAGCTACAGTAGTCAATGCTTTGTGATATTGGCCAAGGAATAAACAAACAGCCCAATAAAATAGAATCATGAAACTAGAAATAGCCATACACAAGTACAGCAAATTGATTTTTCACAAATATGCAGAAGTAATCCAATGGAGGAACAAATAGTGCTAGAGCAACTGGATATCAATAGGCAAAAAGTAGGAACTTTGAGAAAAGTCTCACACTTCATAAAAAGTTAACTCAGAATGGATCATAAATACAAAATCAAATGTAAAATATAAAACGTTTAGGAAAATAGCAGAAAAGAAATTTTGGACCTAGAACTCGTTGAACCATTCTTAGACACAAAAAGCATGACACATAAAAGAAAAAATAGATAAAGCTTACTTCATTAGCTACAAACTGCAAGAAAATATTTACAAAACTAATATCTGAAAAGGTCTCATATATAGAATGTATAAACAACTCTTAATAATTAACAGTAAACTACTATACAAAAAATCCTATTAGAAAATAGGCAAAAAACATGATGAGTCATTTCACTGAAGAGTATGTACAGACAGCAAATAAACACATGAAAAGATGTTTGACATCACTGGCTATTAGAATGAAGATCATAATATCACTACACACTGATTAGAACATCTAAAATAAAAAATAGTGAAAATATCAAATGTTGGTCAGAGTGTTGAATAACTAGATACATTGCTGGTGGGAATGTAAAATTGCTCTGGAAAATAGTTTGGCAGTTTCCTAAAAACTATGCATCACATACCATAACCTAGCAATCACACTTGTGGGTGTTTCTCTTAGAGAAATTAAAATTTATGACTACACAAAAATCTGTACCCAATTGTTCATAGAAGCATTATTTGTAATAGCCCCAAACTGGAAAAAACAGAATGTCCTACCATAGTCAAATGTATAAACAATGGTATATCCTACCATGGAATACTAATTAGCAATAAAAAAGAATAAACTATCAATATATCCAACTTGGATGGATCTCTAAGGCATTATGCTGAGTTTTTAAAAAGCCAATCTCAAAAGGTCCTACACTGTGTAATTCCATTTATAAAACACTGTATAATAACAAAATTATAGAAATGGAGAATAGATTTGCATTTGCCGAGGGTTAGGCACGGGGCAGGGGCAGGTGGTAGGGGTAGGGAGGGGCAGGTGTGATTGGAAAGTGGTAGCACAAGGGAGATATTTGTAGTGATGGAATATTTCTGTATCGTTTTTGTGTTGGTGATTACACAAACCCATATATGTGATAAAACTATATACATAATTTATGTCAATATGTCAATGTCCTTGTTTTGATATCTTGCTATATAGTTACACATGATGCAACCTATATAGGAAACTGGGCAAAGGGTACAAAGAACCTCTCTGTGCTGTCTTTGCTACTTCCTTTGAATCTATAATTATTTCAAAATTAAAAGTTTTTTTAAAAATTTAGTTTCTAGTCTTTGAGAGGTATTCCTGGGACGAAAATGAGAGAAGATGGATAGGCTTTCCCATATAGCATAAACAGCTGAACTAAAATTAAAAGCAGTTATCAAGTAGATTCAGTCAGTTTTATTTTTACAAGTGTTAGGTTTAATATAAAAGTCAGAAACTAAATAAAATGAACAGTCAATACTTCTAAAGGAGTTGTCAAATTAGAAAGAGCTTGTTTCTACAAAAGACAACATAATTATCACAAATAGTGATTATCATATCTCTGCTATGCACCAAACAAAAATTATTTTTCTCTTCCCAGTTGTAAGCCAACTGCCATACTAACCGTCTTGCCAACTTTGTATTTTCTTTGCATATTCCTTTTCTCCTGAGCCCCCAGTACTGCACTTAAAATTGCCAAGGAGGAAGGGAGACTTAGAAACTGCAAGAGGCTAAATAAACATTTGCCTGTGACTATTCCACAGCATAAATTATATAATCACTAGGTATTCAATGATTCTAATTTAATACTGCTAAAGAGGGCAGGTGATCATAACGCACATTTTAGAAATATCAATTGTGGGTCACCTGAAAAAGTTTCAGTCATTCTTAAATGCAATTACCAATATCATTATAACATAAATGCACTCAGACAAAACTAAACTCATTAAAATGGAATTCTGCAAGAGTGTAACTTACCTAGCTTTCTTGGTTTTTTTTCACACTGGACACTAGAATCTTTACCCTTATAATTAGATAAGGTTCACCCACTTCAGATCTCTGTTATAAGTGTTTAATTTATATACACTGGTTTAATTTTTAACCCGAGACTTAAAGAACATGAAAGATTTGCAGGGATTAACTAAATCTATTCTTTGTAATAGAATCCATTAATAATTTTCTCTACATCTTTCTACCTACTAACATCAGTTTTGGATTCTTTCTAATAAAGCTGTAACTAACAACTCTTGACCATTATGGCTAAGGAGACAGTCTAACTCATCCTAGAATACCCTCTAGGCTATTCCCTACATTTGTTGTTAGGGTAATTCAGATCCTTTATGTTCTTCTCAAAGTAAAGTCTTTGCCTAAAAAATTGTATAGTATTATGATTATCTATTATTGTGTAAGAAGCCATTGCAAAACCTAATGTTTAAAAAGCAACAACTTCTGGCCGGGCGCGGTGGCTCATGCCTGTAATCCCAGAACTCTGGGAGGCCGAGGCAGGTGGATCATTTGAGGTCAGGAGTTCAAGACCAGCCTGGCCAACATGGCAAAACCCTGTCTCTACTAAAAATACAAAAATTAGCCGGGTGTGGTGGCACATGCCTGTAGTCCCAGCTACTCAGGAGGCTGAGGAAGGAGAATCACTTGAACCCAGGAGGCAGAGGTTGCAGTGAGCCAAGATCGTGCCATGGCACTCCAGCCTGGGTGACAGAACGAGACTCCATCTCAAAAAAAAGAAAAAAAAAAAGGCAACAATTTTTTATTCTTTCTTATGGTTCTGAGGTTTGGCTGGGCTCAGCTGAGATTTGACACATCAGGTCTCTGAGCAGCTGCAGTCAAAGTTTGGCTGCAGTGGGAACCATATAAAATTTTGAATAGGCTAGACATACAAGATACCATATTTACAGTGCTGGCAGTTAATGCGGGCTTTTGGCTAGGAATGCAGCTCTATCAACCAGAGTGCCTACCTAATTGTTATCTCTCTGTGTAGGCTGGGCTTCATACAGCCTAGAAATTGCATTCTGAGGGGAAATGTCTCAAAGTTGAGCACTCCAAAACAATCAGGTGAAAGCTAAAAGCCTTTTTATAATCTAGCCTCAGAAGTCCTAGAATGTTACTTCTGCCATATTTAGTTGGTCAACCAAGTTATTAAGTCCAGCCAAGATTCAAGAAGAAAAGTATTAAACTCTATCTTTTTGATGGAGGAAAAGCAAAGTCATGCCAGAGGAGAATTTGCAAAATGTGAAATATTGTTGTAGCTATCATTAGAGAATACAATCTATGACATATAGAAAATTTCATTCCTTTCCAATATACAAGTATAAAATGCCACTTGCTTATTTTACTGGATAACCCTAGGAATGACAGCATGGTGAGGTAGCTCTAGATATCCCTGACCTAAGTATTCTCTCTCCTTTCTTTTATTACCCCAACAGTAGCATTTTTAAAGTTATAAAAATATAGAGGTTATCGGCCGAGTATAGTGGCTCACGCCTATAATCCCAACAGTTTGGAAGGCCAAGGCAGGTAAATCACCTGAGGTCAGGAGTTCCAGACCACCCTGGCCAACATGGTGAAACCCCATCTCTACTTAAAAAATACAAAAAAATTAGCTGGGCATTCTGGCTCACACCTGCAATCCCAGCTACTCAGGAGGTTGAGGCAGGAGAATTGCTTGAACTGGGGGCCAGGGATTGCAGTGAGCCGAGATGGCGTCACTGCACTTCAGCCTAGGCAACAGAGTGAGACTCCATCTCAAAATAAAAAAAGGTTATCCAACATTAAAAACATCATGATGTAGCCAAATTCTATTAATACCAGATGTACAAAGAAGAGCTGGTACCATTCCTACAGAGACTATTCCTTAAAATTCAGGAGGAGGAACTTTTCCCCAACTCATTCTACAAGGCCAGCATCATCTGGATACCAAAACCTAGCAGAGACACAACAAAAAAAGAAAACTTCAGAGCTATATCCTTGATGAATATCAAGACAAAAGCCCTCAACAAAATACTGGCAAACCGAATCCAGCAGCACATCAAAAAGATAATCCACCATGATCAAGTAGACTTCATCCCCAGAATGCAAGGTTGGTTCAACATACACAAAGCAATAAATATCACTCATCACATAAAAAGAACAAAAGACAAAAACCACTATTATCTCAATAGCCACAGAAAAGGCTTTTGATAAAATTCAACACCCGTTCATGTTAAAAACTTCTAATAAGCTAAGTATTGAAGGAACATACATCAAAATAATAAGAGCCATCTATGACAAACCTACAGCCAACATTATACTGAAAGGGCAAAAGCTGCAAGCATTCCCCCTTGAAAACTGGCACAAGATAAGAATGCTCTCTTGCCACTTCTATTCAACATCATATTAGAAGTCTAAGCCAAAGCAATCACGCAAGAGAAAGAAATAAAGGGCATCCAAATAGGAAGAGAGGAAGTCAAACTATCTCTGTTAGCAGATGACATGATTCTATATGTAGAAAACCCCATACCCATAGTCTTAGCTCAAAAGCTCCTTCAGCTAATAAACAACTTTAACAAAATTTTAGTAAACAAAATTGACTTACAAAAATCACTAGTATTCCTACACACCAATAACAGCCAAACTGAGAGAAAAATCATAAAGGCAATCTGATTCACAATTGCCACAAAAAGACTAAAATGCTTATGAACACAGCTTACCAGAAAGGAGAAAGATCTCTATAACAAGAATTACAAAATGCTGCTCAAAGAAATCAGTGAAGACGCAAACAAATGGAAAAACATCCAATGCTCATAGATAGGAAGAATCAGTATCATTAAAATGGCCATACTGCCCAAAGCAATTTACAGATTCATTGCTATCCTATCAAACTACCAATGACATTCTTTACAGAACTAGAGAAAATGATTTTAAAATTCATTTGGAACCAAAATGAGCCTGAATAGCCAAGGCAATCCTAAGCAAAAAAAAACAAAGCTGGAAGCATCACGTTACCCAACTTCAAACTATACTACAGAACACAGTTACCAAAACAGCATGGTACAAAAAAAGACACGTAGACCAGTGGAACAGAAGAGAGGCCCAGAAATAAGGCCACACATCTGCGACCATCTGATCTTTTGACAAAGCTGACAAAAAATAACAATTGGGAAAAGACTCCCTATTCAATAAATGATGCTGGGATAACTGGCCAGCCATGCACAGACGATTGACTCTGGACCCCTTCCTTACACCATATACAAAAATCAAGTCAAGATGAATTAAAGACTTAAATGTAAAAACCAAAACTATAAAAACACTGGAAGAAAACCTAGGAAATACCATCCTGGACATAGGAATGGGCAAAGATGTCAGGACAAAGACACCAAAAGCAATCACAACAAAAGCAAAATTTGATTAAACCTAAGAGCTTCCACACAGCAAAGGAAACTATCAACACAGTAAACAGACAACCTACAGATGGGAGAAAATATTTGCAAACTATGCATCTGACAAAGGTCTGATATAAGAAACTTATAAGCATCTATAAGAGACTTAAACAAATTGACAAAAGAAAAACAACCCCATTAAAAAGCAGGTAAAGGATATGAACACACTTTTCAAAAGAAGACATAGATGTGGCCAACTAGCACATAAAGAAAAGCTCAATAACACTGATCATTAGAGAAACGCAAATCAAAACCACAGTGAGATACCATCTCACACCAGTCAAAATGGCTATTACTAAAAAGTCAAAAAATAACAGATGCTGGCAAGGTTGCAGAGAAAAGGAAGCACTTATATACTGTTGGTAGGAGTGTAAGTTAATTCAGCCATTGTGGAAAGCAGTATGGTAATTCCTCAAAGAACTAAAAGCAGAACTGCCATTCGACCCAGTAATCCCATTACTGGGTACATACCCAAAGGAATATAAATCATTCTATCATAAAGACACATGTACACGAATGTTCATTGCAGCATGATTCACAGCAAAAACATGGAATCAACCTAAATGTCCATCAATGACAGATTTGATGAAGAAAACAAGGCACATATTCACCATGGAATATTATGCAGCTATAAAAAATAATGAGATCGTGTCTTTTGTGGGAACGTGGATGGAGCTGGAGGCTATTATCCTTAGTATACTAACACAGAAACAGAAAACCAAATACCACATATTCTCACTTATAAGTGGGAGCTAAATGACAAGAACTTATAAACACAAAGAAGAAAACAGTAAACACTGGACTCTTCTTGAGGGTGGAGGGTGGGAAAAGGGAGAGGAGCAGAAAAGATAACTACTGGGTACCAGGCTTAATACTTGGGTGATTAAATAATCTGTACAACAAACTCCCATGCCACAAGTTTACCTATGTAATAAACCTTCACATGTACCCCTGTATCTAAAAAAAGGTTAAAAAAACCACAAACACTATGATGGAGAAGGCAATTCTGCATAGTGCTATGCTGTCTACCATGGCAGCCACTGGCCACATGTCGCTATTGAACACGAAATATGGTTAGTCCAGCTACACTATAAATGTAAAATACACATCAAATTTCAAGGACTTATAACTAAAACAGAATGTAAGATATCTCATTATGATGTTTATATTGATTGCATATTGAAATGATGATATTTTGCATACACTGACTTAACTAAAATTAATTTCACCTGTTCCTTTTACTGTATGTAGCTACTAGAAAATTTAAAATTATCTATTTGGCTCACATATTATTGTAGTTTGCATAATATTTCCATAAGATAGTGCTGGCTAATAAAATAAACTGAATCATATTTTCCAGTATATAGTACCACAAAAGGTCATGGTTTTTGTACCATTAAATGGTTTTCAGGCATTTTAATTGCTTCTTGCTAAATCTTATGTGAGACATATAAGCATATTCAAAGTAAATATTTTGGTACTTCTAGGCCAGGCGCAGTGGCTCACGCCCATAATCCCAGCACTTTGGGAGGCTGAGACAGGCGGTTCACCTGAGGTTGGGAGTTCGAGACCAGCCTGACCAACATGGAGAAACCCCGTTTCTACTAAAAATATAAAATCAGACGGGTGTGGTGGCATATGCCTGTAATCCCAGCTACTCAGGAGGCTGAGGCAGGAGAATTGCTTGAACCTGGGAGTCAGAGGTTGCAGTGAGCCGAGATCACACCATTGCACTCCAGCCTGGGCAACAACAGTGAAACTCTGTCTCAAAAAAAAAAAAAGAAAAACAAAATATATTGACCAGGCCTGGTAGTGCACACCCGTAGTCCCAGCTATTCAGGAGGCTGTAGTGGGAGGATGACTTGAGCCTGGAAGGTCAAAGCTGCAGTGAGCTGTGATCACATCACTACCCTCTAGCAGCCTGGGTAAGAGAGCAAGACCCTGCCAAAAAATAAAAATAAAAACAAAATAAAAAGATAAATTAATATATTTCAATGGAAATTGATTTATGAATATAAGACAGCCAAGATGATATGAGGGACTCATAACTGATTAACATTGAAGAAAAATAGGCAAAAATTAAAATTCAGCTTGTTTTAGAAGGAAAAAAATATTGGGAGTTTATCAAATATTTAAAAGAAACACATTTGCAAACTAATGGCCAGTACTTAGTCTCATATCCTTCCTTTCTTTCTTCCCTCTACTTTTCCTCCAAACTGAACTTCATATATTTCCTACAACAAACAACCTATGTGATTCCTGCTCTGTGCCTTTGCACAGGCTCTTACCCCTTTCTGGAATTCCCAACTCCCTCAACTGTCTAATGAGTACCTACTTCTCCTTCAAAAGCCAGCTTAAGAGCTTTCTCTCCTCTGAAGCCTGATCCACCCCAGGGGAGTTAACCACTTACTACTTGGTGCTCTTATAGTACTTAGCATTCATCAGTATTACAGTTTTTATCATGTTCCATTTCACGTACTTGTCTGTTTGATTCTCCTTGACAACTAAGACTGCAGTTGTTAGTACTTTGAAACCACCACTTCTTAGCACAGTGTTTATAGAAGAATTATGTAACTAGAAATGCAGTAACACCAATAGCATTTTAATTTAAATTTTACAGTTTAGCTATCTGTTATAGCCCATACAAAATCTGTCAGAAAAATGTGTTAAATCTCTCTCAAAATCCATCATATGTATTCTTGTGTTTATTATATATATACATATGTATAATACATACATATATATACACACACACACTATAGTCATATAGTCATATAGTTTCTAGGTGGCCATACCTCTCAGTTTGCTTGAGATGCCTTTTGTAGATCAATTAAGGTCTGTTGACCATTTTATGAATCTTTGTCTCTCAGAAGTAACGCAGTTTTGGCCGGGCACGGTGGCTTACGCCTGTAATCCCAGCACTTTGGGAGGCCGAGGCAGGCAGATCATCTGAGGTCAGGAGTTCAAGACCAGCTTGGCCAATGTGATGAAACCCTGTCTCTACTAAAAAATACAAAAATTAGCCAGCTATGGTGGTGTACACATGTAATCCCAGCTGCTCGAAAGGCTGAGGCAGGAGAACCACTTGAACCCAGGAGGCAGAGGTTGCAGCGAGCCAAGATTATGTTACTGCACTCCAGCCTAGGTGACAGAGCCAGACCCCATCTCAGGAAAAAAAAAAAAAAATGTATCCCGGTTTGGATAACAAATTACATGTTTCTCCTAATAATTTTCTAAACATTACCAATAGTAAATTAAATTCTCTGTGAAGCCAAATATTCTGACTATAGTTGCTAACACAGGATAATATTTCATTGTTCAAGGGCTATAAAAACAACCTTTTGATTTTTGCTATTAACTGTTGTAGTGAATAATGTGGTGCTTCACCCAGATTTCCTTTATAAGGGATTCCCTTTTCAGCTGGAAATACCAGCTGTGATGGCTCACATCTCTTTTCCTCACTGGGAACAGTCCTCAGTTGCAGGAACCTGCCTCATCCAAAGTTACAGAGCTCCTGGGATGATATGCCATCAATGATTGACAGTTGCAGGAATTCTAAGGGTCCATTCCCCCGTTTCAATATGAGACAATTCTGAAAGGCCATCCCAGCTCCAACACTCCCCATAGGACAGCTAAGATTTCCATTGTAAGTTGGCTTCTCTGCCAATCTGCCTTTCTTTATATGTTTCCTTATATGTTTATTTTCTGAAAGACTGTCCCAACAAAACTTTTTTGTACTCAAATTTACTTTCAAGTCTGTTCTAGTGTATATGATCTAAGACAACAATCACTCTTCATTCTACCATCAGCTCCCACCTAGGAACTCTACTAGGCTCAGGACCCTTATATTTCGTCCAAGTTAGAACTAATACTTCATGCCAGGATTCTTGATTCTTACTATATTCCTGTCATTTCTACCATTTGACCTAGTTTTATTTTATGTAACAAACAACTCTGAGTAAAGTTTAATGTTAAAAAACCATAGCAGGAACTTCTAACATATGAGGAATGCCTAAACACTAGGGAGTAAAGGAACCCACTTCTTGGGAAAGGATCAGTTGGAACAATCCACAAAGTGAATGACTGACCTGCCCCACAGGTATTAGAAATCATGGCTGCCTCTGCTGGAAGGCAAATGACAAAGGGCTCTCAGGCTTTAAGCTCTCTGGCCAAGAGGATGTAACCTTTAGGGACTTTCACCTCTGTATTGCTCTCTGCTTTTCACCTCTGTATTGATTGCTCTCTGCAAGACTTAAGTTTTGACACTTTGGAATATTCTCCATTACTTTATAGTTACTTTTATTTTACAAAAATTATTTCATTCTCCTCCTGTGCTCTGGCTCTATCTGATTAGTTTCCCTTTTATTAAAAAAGATAAAAATGGCTGCCTACTTTTTATTATTTCAGCTTTTCTTACTAGTTCCGCAATCACATAGCTTGCATTTCTGTAGGATTCTCACAATTAATTTTTATTATTAAGAGAGATTAGTACATTAGAGCACAAAGAAGAGATATATGAGAATAGTCTGTTTCCTCAATAGAGGAACCCAGATGCCTCCTTTTCCCCAATGAGCACTGCACAAGCTCCTCTTAAACCCCAAAGTGGATATTCTATGCCAGATCTACGTGACACCAAACTTAACTTGTCAAGAAGGATTTGGAATCATTATTTAACAGTCATCTATGGAATTAAGGAACATTTAGTAGAGGAATAAGACTAGGAACCCAGAGCAGCTCAGAAAAATAATAGCTGAAACAATAAAGTTATTTCCAAAACAATTCACATATGCAAATACCTGTGTAATACTTAGTCCTTAATTTAGGCACAGAAAAGAAATCAGAGAAAAAAAAAGCATTTTGCCAACTTAACCAGATCCCCACTATTTATTATTTCTCTCAACTCCCAGCTTGTTGAATCATCAGCTCCTATATTCCAGCTTCAATATCTAAATCCAGCCTCTTTCATTGGGATGATTCCTTTATATCTTCTTGGACTTTGACTTTATGCTCTAATCAATCTGACCTTGGTTGATATCTCTGTTTTTGGCATATCCACTCTTGCACAGACCTATATAGGATACTATTTATTTCTTTTAAGTTATCCAGATATCTGTAAACTGAAAAACATTATCTCTAACCAAATCAACCACTCAAAAATCAGTTACCACTACATAATAATGAAAACGGTTAAGAATATAAAAATGTAAAGCATCTAGTACAGTACACTTGAGGTGATAATGACAATTCTCATATGCAGTCCATGCCAAAAAAAAAAAAAAAGAAAGGAAGGGAGGGAGGAAGGGCAAGAAGGAAGGGATGGAGGGAAAGGGAGGGAGGGAGGGAGGGAGGGAGGGAAAGAAGGAAAAACATAGGCTGAAAACTGCCTTTACATTTTTAGAATTTTAATTCTAACCTGTCTCTTGTATTCAAAAAGCCATTGCATATTGTTCCTCCCAACTGTTTTACCATATCATCATAGGAAATAAAAATAAATTAATTAATTAAGGCTGGAATTATTTCCAAAATGCATTTTCAGGAGTGAGATGGAGGTCTATACAAAAGGAAAAATCCCATAACATCTCTTTTCGTGTAGGCTTTATATGAATTTTCAGAATTTCCCAAGACATGGAATGCATTAAACTCAAGACACACAATAAAACAGGTTTCTGAATAACAAAGCCAGTCCATTTGATTCTTTATTCACTCAGCAAATACGTAATGAGAACCAACAATGTGCTTCCACATAAAACACCAAGAGAAGAAACAAGTGGGTGGATGAGAGGTCCAGAAATGCAAATTAGTTCCTGCATGGAGCTCAGATCTGACTTGTTTACTCTAGCAGCATTATCTCTCACTCAGTTCTAATAATCCCCTATAGTCATGTATCACCTGAATATTAACTTTACTAATAATTATATGTCACCTATCTAACACATCCAACCCAACTACAACAATATGATTTCAACCCAGTCCCAGAAAAATATCCATGCTTGGTGTTATCTTAGAACTCAAACATGATGGCTGCCTACCTACAATTCTATTTTCACCAATTACAGAAAGATCACCATGTAAAAATAATTGATTTCCTGAAGATCATTCCTTTTTCACAGGGCCTCGTTGCTCTGCCCCATTTATAAAAAAATTCCTTAATTATGTTATACATCAGAGAAGATGAACTAGGTCTAACCAGTCATAGAGATATAACAAAATCAGCAGAAATATCTTAGAAATATATATATCCCTAAGTTTTAAAAGACAAAAGCTATATTTTTTCTGATCCTAAATGTTTCCTGGAGTGTATTTTTAATGAATAAAAATCCTGTTCTAGAATAGGGCTGGATGTGGATCCAAATGCAGAGATTAAGATAAAAAAGAATTTATTTCTGGATATTTACATTGATTTCCAGAAGAGATTTAATGCTTTGCAAAATAAGACCTTTTATAACAGGCAGTCCATTGTATAAATGTAGTAGATGCTTGAAACTCATTTCAGTTAATGTCAGAGAGGCTGTTTCTCCATTACATGGCATATACAACATGCAATCATTTCATTCACTCTTTCATCCAAAAATACAATTCAGCTTTTTCTAAATTCTATGCATTGTGCCTGAGGCTTGGGATAAAACTAAACAAAACAGACATGTGATCTGCCTGCACAGAGCTTAAAGTGTATGAGGGATGCTGTCTATAATGGATTCGAAATGAAAGGATTGATAATGATTCCACCAAAGAGACTAGGGAAGACTAGTATTGATATAATGTTGTGAGTCTCCCAGAGATGTCCACATTCAAATTCCCAGAACCTATGAATATGTTACCTGACATGGCAAGAGGGATTTTGCAGATGTAATTAAGGTTAAGGGCCTTCAGATGGGAGGATTATCCTGGATAATCTGGGTGGCTCCCACTAATCACATGAGTCCTAAAAAGAAGAGAATCTTTCCAAGGTGTGGTCAGAGAAAGAGATGTGAGGTTGGAAGCAGGGTCAGAGAAACATGACGTTGCTGGCTTAGAAGATGGAGGCAGAGGGCCATGAGCCAAGGAATGAGGGTGACCTCTAGAAACTGGAAAAGGCAAAAATAATGGACTCTTCCCTAGAGACTCCAGAAAATAATGCATTCCTCCAACAATTTGATTTTTACTCCAGTGAGGCCCAGGTCAGACTTTTGATTACAGAGCTGAAAGACAGAAATTTGTGTGGTTTAAGACACTAAGTGTGTGGTAATTTGTTACAGCAGCAATAGAAAACTAACCAAACATATATACATATGTATCCACTCATATAAATTTAACAGGACAGTATATATTAGGGCAAACATACATAATCAATAGTGTTAAGTGGTTGTCTGTTTTGTCCGTTATAGACCCATCTCATCTCATTTCTTGCTAATTTCTTCTTAATGTGACAAGACATTGAACTTATTGAACGTTGAGATTCCATTTTAAAAAATGATCAAGACTTGCTGATCTGTTTAAGGAACTGAATTTATTTAGACTCAGAGGAGTCATATGGTTGTGTGGACTGAGCCTGAGACAAACATAAGCTGCATTCATTTCTCATTGCGGAACTGCTCTGGCTGGACGCAACAGATTTGCAAAATTTAAGCCAATCTCTGAAGTCCCCTTCACCTAAAAGACTCACAGGTTTTGATGAATTAATCACTTTCAGTTTTCATGCTTATCATCAAGCATTTGCTCCATCAGCACAGCTCAATTACAAAAGCTACTGACTGATCTGAAAAACAACTGGGTCCACCAAAGGAGACACAGTATTCCTTAAAATAGAAAGATGAGGACTTAAGTATTAGAGCCATCCCAAGTCTTTGAGCAAACGGTGAGCAAGGTTTGAGTTCAGCTAGTTCCAGAAAAATGCATTCCCTTTCATTAAAACTGATGCAACAGCTATAAAGAAGCATTATTTGTGATAGAAACCTGGAGTGACAGTAAACCTGGGGATGAGATACAATAATACACTCCACAGTTTTCCAGGTTGGTTCCTGCTACTTAATTACACTTAATTACAATATTCATTAGTTCAGTCCAATTTGCTCAGTTTAAGAAAACCATAAAATCACCATTATTTTGATGTGATATGTGTTTATTATACACAGGGGCAGCTTCAGGGACCTGCTACTGCACATAGGATCCCAATTTTAGACAGGGGTCCCAGGCTTGGGTTTTCATGCTCTGCTACCACAGTCTTGAATTTTTTAACAATTTTACCTGTGAATCTGTGTAGTCCAATGCAGCAATGAAGCACATGTCTTGGCTCATATGCAGTCCTGCCTCCGAGTGACTTCCTGGGATAGGTCCTCAGCCACCTGTTCTCCCACCCAGTGATTACTGCCACCCTTTATTCCTTGTGGGGGCCTTGGCACACCCTGGGGTGGGTCAGGGTCATTTGGTGGGGCCACAGATGCCTGTGAGGGTCTGCAGTCACTTTATAAGTACCTCTATACTCTAGAAATCTAACATTAAATAGCAAATAAAAATAACCTTTCATAGGTCATAGTCTCTCGTGACCTATATGTCACGAGACATATAGTCACTTTATAAGTACCTCTTTATATAGTCACTTTATAAGTACCTCTTTATATAGTCACTTTATAAGTACCTCTATACTCTAGAAATCTAACATTAAATAGCAAACAAAAATAACCTTTCATAGGTCACGAGAGACTGTGTAAGAAAGCTACAGTTCCTTTCTCCTGCTTTTTGAACAAGAAGCCTCACATTTTCATTTTGTATTAGGCCCCACAAATTACGTGGCCAACCTTACCTATGTATGTGGGTAAGTGTGCACATGTATATATATCTGAATTTGTACCTATAAAGAATAAAATAACTTTCTATTTTAGATAAATTGAACTTACAATTTTATAATTTCTAGGAAAAATAAATGTATATATAACTTTACTATATTTTATCTGTAAAGAGGAAAATAATAATTGTAACAGTTTGCATATCATGAAAGAAGGCATTTCAATAAAATATTATCTTCTAAGTTTTTTATGACTGATGAATTACCTTGAAAAATCTTTAAGAATATATTATATGCTAAAAATGGGGATATTCTAGCTTCAGGCATTCTAGGACATGTCATGTCTAGGACATGACAATACTAAAATTTTCTTATTAAAGAAATCTACCTTACAACTTTGATTTATCGACAGGTGAGAGATTTCTGGTCAGGAACCAAAGTCATCAAATATTAAGAGTATGAAGATACATCAAATGTGTTGAAGGGTCTTCAAAATGCACCAAATAATTTTAGTGCATTTCAATTATTCACATAATTGAACAATCTCAAATATCTTAAATTCATACCTGAAAAGTCATACCCTTTGTAACTAATCATTCTCAAAACACACCTACATGAATCTTGAATTCTTCTATTTATAATAATGCAGATGAACAAAATATTGCTATTATAACTTTCATTTTGTTTAGCTCTATTATTTAAGGAATCTTCATAATCAATATATAATTGAAAATATATTCAAGATTTTTCTCTTCACTTTATAAATATTACCAAGATTTGAGGGGAACAATAGTTACAGACATTCCATAGATGAAGAGATATGTATTTCATATATATGTATAAATACAGTGAAACAAAATGGACTTTGAAACAAATATTTTTGCCCTAAATTTAGACATTTACAATATTTCTGATAGCTAAAACTTCAAAAAAAAAAAAAAAAAAAACTAGACACTGTCACATTTGAAAAAGATTAAGAGCTGCCAAAACTACGTGGGTGCCTGTAATCCCAGCACTTTGGGAGGCCAAGGTGGGAGGGTCACTTGAGCCCAGTAGTTTGACACCAGTCTGGGCATTATGGCAAAACCCCATCTCTACAAAAACTACAAAAATTAGCTGGGCATGGTAACACACCTGTAGTCCAAGCTACTTGGGAGGCTGAGGTAGAAGGATCATATGAGCCCAGGAGTTCGAGGCTGCCATTAGCTGTGATTGCCCAACTGCACTTGAGCCTGGGCAACAGATCAAGACCCTGTCTATCTCCATAAAACAACAACAACAAAAAAACATAACAACCTGCATGGGCTCTTTACACGCCTTCAAACATAGCTCATGATCCCTGTAATATCACTGTTATTGGATACTAACTTCTAATGGCCTTTCATTATTCACTAACTTGATCCTGAGCAATCTGCCCCTCTCTTTATCTTCTTTATATTTCTTAAATTGATGTGCAACTCTAGTTTCCTTTCTCCAATCCTGATTCCCTTCTTCAACTAATAGTGAGATACTTCCACAAACAAAACAATCACCTGTAAATACCCTTCTGGTTCTGATCTCATCCCTAGAAATTCCCAGGGTTGTTGTTCCCTGTAAATAACCAAGCAGAACTCACTTAGAAAATCAACCTATGTAAAATCACATACTCATTTGTAATTTACCCTATTTTGTATACGGAAAGTATCTCAGCCTATATTCAAAGTACAAGGGAAGAGGGGCTAGGGATGGGAAGGCAAACCAGTCACCTACGTTGTTCATGTACTCTGAAAGCAGATCCTGAAGAGCCTGGCGAATGGCGTTGCATTCTGCGATAATCCGCTCTCGGTGTAAGTCCCTCGTACATGAAGAATCCGCCAGCAGAGCAGCCCCACTGATAATGGCTTCAAGGCGTTTCTCTAGTGATGGTCGTATTTCCTCCTCAGTTACTGTGAGTGGATTCAGGACAATTAAATTCTAAGAGAAGAACACATTTGTATGGTTAGAGCTCCATGGCATTTCACTTTTATGAAAAACAAATGTTATTTTGTTTTTGCATTTAGAATTCAGATGTGATAATAAAGAGAACTGTGTTTTACTGCCTCGGCTGGTTCACACATAATGCTATGTAGTGATTATTATTCTGATAAATAATGAAAGTGATGCAATTATGAGCTTTTGTTCTAGCCTCAGACAGACCTGGATTCAAATCTTACATTTCTCCCTCATGCAGGTGTCATACACTTGCTGAGCCTCAACCTCTTGATCTATAAAAGCAGAATATTAATGTTGCGTGTGTTGTAAAACTGTTGTAAGAATGATATAAATGCTTAATACACTGACTGGAGCATATTAACTGTTATTTACAATAGTAACTTTTATAGACTGCACTGTTTATACAATATTTTCATGTATCTCATCCTGACAGCACCATGAGGAAGTAGGCAGCAAAGTATTAATAACTACACATTTCAGCTGATGATGAGTGAGGCTGAAAGGCTGTCTTACCCAAGGTCATAGAGCAAATAAACAGTGACGTTCAGACAAGTATCCATGTCTTTCAATACCAGATTTAATATTATTTTCATTATGCCTCACTTTAAATCATAAACTTTAGTTAACTTTAACACTAACATATCAAAGTAAATTCTGAATTTTAATTATTTAATTTAAAACAAAACTGCTTCTTCCTGTTGATCTATTATAACTTCCAGCTATTTCCAGCTATTAGAACCTGACACGGTATTTTTAAGGTTTCCATTAGACATATCTTCAGGTAATAGAAGTCGAGATAATCTACAGCCTCTTAAGAAAAGATGGAAGGTATATGCTGCTCTAAGGGTCTTTTATTAAAATACTCCAAGAGAGGAAGTCTTTCCAAGATTAGGCATAATGTGAGAATTGAAGAAAGAGATAGTGTAGAATAAAAGCTCTCTGAAGAACCCTTAACATGAAATGCAATCACATAATGATCTTCAGAGTGTGAAATTCTGAGTGTGAATCTACACACAAACACACTGTGAAGATATTATAAGATCTTCCTAGTATATAATCTTATGTATAAGATTATAGATATGTATATGTATTTTATATAGGTAGAGGTGTTTAAGTATGTAAATAAGTATATGTGTGTGTGTTTATATATAAAATCTTATACTTATCATTGTGTTACATTACATTCTGATAAATATTTGGGGATTGAAAGTAGCCAGGATACAATTTTAAAAGCCACAACTGCAGAGTCAAGCTAGGAAGAAAAAATTATTATAGAAAAAGATATAGTTTTAAAACATTTTTTTTAAAAAAACAGCACTGTGTAATGTTCCCTTACTATAAAATGTGAGGGGTTTTGAGTGAGTTTCTTAATCCTGAGTCATGAGTGAACTCCCATTCACAATTGCTACAAAGAGAATAAAATACCTAGGAATCCAACTTACAAGGGATGTGAAGGACCTCTTCAAGGAGAACTACAAACCACTGCTCAATGAAATAAAAGAGGATACAAACAAATGGAAGAACTTTCCATGCTCATGGGTAGGAAGAATCAATATCGTGAAAATGGCCATACTGCCCAAGGTAATTTATAGATTCAATGCCATCCCCATCAAGCTACCAATGACTTTCTTCACAGAATTGGAAAAAACTACTTTAAAGTTCATATGGAACCAAAAAAGAGCCCACATCAGCAAGTCAATCCTAAGCCAAAAGAATAAAGCTGGAGGCATCACGCTACCTGACTTTAAACTACACCACAAGGCTACAGTAACCAAAACAGCATGGTACTGGTACCAAAACAGAGATATAGACCAATGGAACAGAACAGAGGCCTCAGAAATAAAGCCAATCTACAACCATCTGATCTTTGACAAACCTGAGAAAAACAAGCAATGGGGAAAGGATTCCCTATTTAATAAATGGTGCTGGGAAAACGGGCTAGCCATATGTAGAAAGCTGAAACTGGATCCCTTCCTTACACCTTATACAAAAATTAATTCAAGAAGGATTAAAGACTTACATGTTAGACCTAAAACCATAAAAACCCTAGAAGAAAACCTAGGCAATACCATTCAGGACATAGGCATGGGCAAGGACTTCATGTCTAAAACACCAAAAGCAATGGCAACAAAAGTCAAAATTGACAAATGGGATCTAATTAAACTAAAGAGCTTCTGCACAGCAAAAGAAACTACCATCAGAGTGAACAGGCAACCTACAGAATGGGAGAAAATTTTTGCAATCTACTCATGTAACAAAGGGCTAATATCCAGAATCTACAATGAACTCCAACACATTTACAAGAAAAAAACAAACAACCCCATCAACAACTGGGCAAAGGATATGAACAGACACTTCTCAAAAGAAGACATTTATGCAGCCAAAAGACACATGAAAAAATGCTCATCATCACTGGCCATCAGAGAAATGCAAATCAAAACCACAATGAGATGCCATCTCACACCAGTTAGAATGGCGATCATTAAAAATTCAAGAAACAACAGGTGCTGGAGAGGATATGGAGAAACAGGAACACTTTTACACTGTTGGTGGAACTGTAAACTAGTTCAACCATCATGGAAGTCAGTGTGGTGATTCCTCAGGGATCTAGAACTACAAATACCATTTGACCCAGCCATCCCATTACTGGGTATATACCCAAAGGATTATAAAACATGCTGCTATAAAAACACATGCACATGTATGTTTATTGCGGCACTATTCACAATAGCAAAGACGTGGAACCAACCCAAATGTCCAACAATTGTAGACTGGATTAAGAAAATGTGGCACATATACACCATGGAATACTATGCAGCCATAAAAAATGATGAGTTCATGTCCTTTGTAGGGACATGGATGAAGCTGGAAACCATCATTGTCAGCAAACTATCGCAAGGACAAAAAACCAAACACCGCATGCTCTCACTCATAGGTGGGAATTGAACAATGAGAACACATGGACACAGGAAGGGGAACATCACACACTGGGGCCTGTTGTGGGGTGGGAGGAGGGGGGAGGGATAGCATTAGGAGATATACCTAATGTTAAATGACGAGTTAATGGGTGCAGCACACCAACATGGCACATGTATACATATGTAACTAACCTGCATGTTGTACACATATACCCTAAAACTTAAAGTATAATTAAAAAATAAATAAATAAAAAATAAAATGTGAGGGTACTCCAAAAAGTTCACGTAAAAAGTGGAGTTAAAATATAAAAATAAAAAATGTAAACTTTATTTCTCAACGTAAGCTCCATCAAGTTCAAGAAATTTATGCAAGTGATGATACCAGCTATTTAGTCTACCTCTAAAGAACTGAAGGTTCTGGGAATTCAACTATGTCAATGCAGTCTTTTTTACATTATTAACTGAAGAAAAATAGGTGCCCTTTACAATTTTTTTAAGATTAGGAAACAAAAAGGAGTCAGAAGGAGCCAAATCGGGACTGTAACATGGAAGCCTAATAATTTCCTATGCAAATCTTGCAAAATTGCCCTTGTTTAATAAGAGGAATGAGCACAAGTATTATTGTGATGGAGAAGGACTCTCTGGTGAAGCTTTCCTAAGCATTTTTCTGCTAACGCTTTGGCCAACTTTCTTAAAACACTCTTATAATAAGTAGTTATCATTCTTTGGCCTCCCAGCAAGTTAACAGACAAAATGTCTTGAGAATCCCAAACACTATTACCATGACCTTTGCTCTTGACTGGTCCAATTTTGCTTCGACTCGATTACTTCCAACTCTTGGTAGCCATTGCTTTGACTGTGCTGTGCCTTAGGGATCGTAGTGGTAAAGCCATGTTCCATCTCCTTTTACATTTCTTTGGAGAGATGCTTCAGGATCTTGATATCAATTGTTTAAAAAATTTCTATTGAAAGCTCTGCTCTTATCTGCAGCTTCTCCCGGAGCAACATTTTTGACACTCATCAAGTAGAAAGTTGGCTCAACTTTAATATTTTAGTCAGAACTGTATAAGCTGAAGCAATTGAGATGTCTATGGTGTTGGCTATTGTTTGTGCTGTTAATTGTCAGTCCTTTTCAATTAAGACATGAACAAGATTAATTTTTTTCCCACAAATTGATGTGGATGTTCTGCCACCTTGAGCTTCATCTTTGACATCATCTCATCCCTTACTAAAATGAGTTACCCACTTGTAAACTGCTGATTTCTTTGAGGCATTGTCCCTATAAACCTTTTATAAAGCATCAATGATTTTACCATTCTTTTGCCCAGTCTTCACCACATATTTGATGTTTGTTCTTGCTTCATTTTTATCAGAATTCACATTGCTGATAGAGGTTCTTCAAACTGATGTTTTATCTTTCTCAGTGCCTCAAAATAAATCCCATTCTGACATGTTACAACAAGTTAGTATGAGTTTATTTTGGTGGAAAAAATGTTGAAATCCATGCATAGTTTTTTATAATACACATTCTTCATGAACTTTTTGAAGGCCCCTTATATAATGTAAAATGTAAACTAGAATATAGATCTGATATAAAATTGGTTAAATATCTTAAAAGCATGCAGGAGAATTCTTCCTTTCCTGACTGTTTTCTTCCTATTTTTCTTTTTTTCTTTTCTTTTTTTGTTTTTTAGATGGAGTCTCACTCTGTTGCCAGGCTTGAGTGCAGTGGCGCGATCTCGGCTCACTGCAACCTCTACCCCCAAATTCAAGCGACTCTCTTGCCTCAGCCTCCCAAGTAGCTGGGACTACAGGTACACGTCACCACATCCAGCTAATTTTTATATTTTTAGTAGAGAGAGGGTTTCACCATGTTGGCCAGGATGGTCTCGATCTCTTGACCACATGATCCGCCTGCCTCGGCCTCCCAAAGTGCTGGGATTACAGGTGTGAGCCATCACGGCCGGCCTTTTTTTCCTTTTTTTCTATGCCTCTATTGAGTCTCTCCATTTTTCTGTCTTACATGGGCAAAAAAATTTTTAAAAACATGAAAGGAAATTAACTTTACAAAAAGCAAATTTAACATTTCTTTTTCTTTACCCAGTAGATATTATTTTTGATGAAACCATAATCCCTACAATGGGGCTGGCCATCAGTTAAGGCTTCATTCATCTAAGTCTTCCTCCTTATTTCATTTGCCACTTTTACCACATCTTTCTTTGGCCCACTCATTTAGTACAAACTTTCCACTACAATGTTTCATAACAAAAATTAAACCATTTAGGCCAGGTGCAGTGGCTCACACCTGTAATCCCAGCATTTTGGGAGGTTGAGGTGGGCGGATCACAAGGTTAGGAGTTCAAGACCAGCCTGGCCAACATGGTGAAACACTGTCTCTACTAAAAATACAAAAATTAGCTAGGCATGGTGGCATGTGTCTGTAATCCCAGCTACTTGGGAGATTGAGGCAGGAGAATTGCTTGAACCGGGACCCAGGAGGCAGAAGTTGCAGTGAGCCGAGATCACACCAGTGTACTCCAGCCTAGACTACAGAGCAAGACTCCGTCTCACAAAAAAAAAAAAAAAAAAATTAAACCATTTAAAACCTTTTTGGAAATGTACTTCCAGTGTGGCATCATTAAGAAAAGACTATGCAGGCAATAGAATTGCTCTTTAATTGCTCTAATGTAATTAGAAGATGTGATAGAAACAGTGAATATGTCTCCAGCATTGTGACAATAGGAAAAAACTGATTACATTTCAAATCTGTTTGCTGTAAGTACTGCAAGAAAAAACTGCCGTGATTTTTGGCAGTTCTGGCTTTTTTGCCATGTTCTAGCTGTGATTTCATGTTAGTAAATAGCCTATATTGTAGAATTAAGTTCACTCTAGCTTCTGCTCTACAGGTTCATTCCTCAAACTATCTCAGCATTTGGAATTTTACATGCTTGACTTTTAAGACTTCCGATTCTTCAAGCTCATCTGAACTCAAACCGTTGTCTGTTCTGACATCTGACACCTATAGGCAGGTCTCTTGATTTTGCCTGAAACAACTGTCCTACTATTCCAACCTACTAAAGTTTTCACTAACCTTGTCACTGAATCAATAAAAAGGCAAGAATTTTTTAAAGTAAATCAAATGTCCTGTGAAATGGCACTGGATTTGTTTAAGACCAACTGAAATAAGTTTTTACCTCTTCCGATGCACAATAGCTATGTTAAAACAGCATTTCAGTGTGTTTCATGGCATTAATCCCATGAAAGACAATCAATAGGATATTGTTTTTTCAGGATGCCACTCCATTGAAATAGAAAATATTTTTCCTTTTTTAAGGTTCCACTCAATGTATACTTACCTCCTTAATAATTTGATTGCTGACAGAACATTATTTTTTAAATATAATTAAGAGTCCCAACTCCATATTCTTCTATTATATTATTTTGTTTAAAAGAGTAAGTATAGCTAGAAATTTAGAACCCAGGTCTTAGAAGCAGATAGCCTGGGTTTGAATCCTGGCGCATAGCTATAAACAAATATATTTGTATTGATATCATCCTCTATATTTTTATCTCTCTCTGGAGAGCTTATAATTTATTTGATTAATAAATTTATTCCTTATTTTTCTTCCTACCACTTCTTTTCAAAATTAAAGACTTTAAGTAACTTACCCAAGATCACTCAGCTAGTAAGTAGCAGAGGGAAGAGTCTGTCCAAATCTGTCTACTTCCAGTTCCATGCTATAACTACCATGCAATGCTGCTTTTGTTATCTTATTTAACCATTACCAACCATTTTGTGGGGTATTATCATCATTAATTTATACATGTGAAAACCGAGAGTGAGCAAGATTAAGTAAGTTGTCTAATAATCCCCTTAAAAGAGAAGATATAGGATTCAAATCCAATTTTATGTAAGTACCAAATCCATACACTTTCTACCACTCTGGGGAAACTGAGATGAGACCACCTGGCAAACTTCTTCATTCACCTGAGTCTCATTATGTTTTTCCACTCATTTCTTCTCCTCCTTGTCTTCAAGGAAGACATAGTCTTTCTCTCTCATCATTTTCTTTCTCTCTCTTTATCTCTCTCTCTTTCTTTCTCTCTCTCTTATCTCCCCTTTGTTTCTTTCTTTTTTGAAAAAAATTTGAGGAATGTCTCACTCTGTCACCCAGGCTGAGTGCAGTTGTGCAATGATGGCTCACTGCAGCCTTGACCTCCCCAACTCAGGTGATCTTCCCAACTCAGCCTCCGCAGTAACTGGAATCACAGGTGTGTGCCACCCCACCCAGCTAGTTTTTGTAATTTTTGTAGAGATGGGGTTTCACCATGTTGCCCAGGCTGGTCTCAAACTCCTGAGTTCAGGCAATCCACCTGCCTTGACCTCCCACAGTGCTGGAATTATAGGTGTAAGCCACTGTGCCCAGTGTTCCCCTTTATTTTCAAGGCTATCTTCTCCTCATCACAAACCCCAAGTACTCTTCAACTTTTCCTTCCTTACATTCTGAGTCTCTTAAAGAGCCTACTCTGTGCCAGGTACTGTGCTAGGAATTGGTAATAGAATGGTGAGCATCCCTGCCCTCCTCACAGGGCTCACATCTCAGAACTTAACACTATTAACCAAGAAAATCACAAAAATACGTAACTACAATGTGGATGTGTTGTATAAATAAAAAGAGTAGTTAGTTAAGCACAGATTGACCAGACGTAAGTCTGGACAATTAAATGCAGAATCAAAATGGTTAAAGGCAAAGTAGGGCTAAGCACAGTGGCTCACGCCTGTAATCCCAGCACTTTGGGAGGCACAGATGAGCCAATTGCTTGAGCCCAGGAGTTCAACATCAGCCTGGGCAACATAGTGAAACCCGTTTCTACAAAAAATATAAAAGTTAGCTGGGCAAGGTGGCACATCCCTGTATTCCCAGCTACTTGGGAGGCTGAGGTAGGAGGATCATTTGAGCCTGGCAAACCAGTCATTCACAGAATTCTTAGGGAGGGATTTAGATCCATAGAACATGGAATTGAAAGCTACAGGTAATCTTGATGACAAAGATGTAGAGAAAAGGGGAATCCTTGTATGCTGCTGGTAGAAATATAAATTGATACAGCTATCATGAAAAACAGCTGGAGGTTCCTTAAAAAATTGAAAATAGAACTATCATATAATCAGCAATCCCACTACTGTGTATATATCCAAGGGAAATGAAATCAGTATATCAAAGAGATATATGTACTCTCATGTTCACTGCACCATTATTCATAATAGCCAAGATATGGAATCACCCTAAATGTCTACCAATGGCCAAATGGATAAAGAAAATGTAGTATATATGCAATGGAATACTATTCAGCCTTTAAAAAGAAAACAATCTGCAGGGTGCAACGAGTCATGCCTATAATTGCAACATTTTGGGAGGCTGAGGTGGGTGGCTGGTGGCTGGTTTGAGTCCAGGAGTTCAAGACCAGCCTGGGCAACATGGCAAAATCTCATCTCTACAAAACATACAAAAATTAGCCAGGCGTGGTGGCGCATGCCTGTAGTTCCAGCTACTCGGGAGACTGAGGTGGGAGAATTGCTTGAGCCCAAGAAGTCGAGGTTGTGGTGAGCTGTGAGCATGCTGCTACACTCCAGCCTGGGTGACAGAGCGAGACCCTGTCAAACAAACAAACAAACAACAACAACAACAAAAAAAAAAACAGAAAATTCTGTCATTTGCAGCAAGATGGATAAGCCTAGAAGACATTATGTTATGTGAAATAAGCCATGCACAGAAATACAAATACCACATGATCTCACTTGTATGTAAAATCCAAAAGAATCTAACTCGGACACAGAGTGGAGTGGTGGTTACCAGGGGCTAGGGGGCAGGGACAGGATTCAGGAGATGCTGGTCAAAAGATTCAAAATTTTACTTTGACAGGAGGAATAAATACAAGAAATCTATTGCATAACTTGGTAACTATAGTTAATAATAATGTACTGTGTACTTGAAAATTGCTGAGAGTAGATATTAAGTGTTCTTACCACAAAAAAATAAGTATGTGAGGTAGTGCATATGTTAGTTTCATTTAGCCACTGCATAATGTGTATGTATTTCAAAACATCATGTTATACACCACAAATATACATAATTTTTATTCACTAATTTAAAAAATTTTAAATGAACTGCTAAAAAACAGTCTGGATGTGATCTTATCCAGATTTTATGTTATCAAGTCTTCCTGAACAGGCATCAGCATTATAATTATACAGCTAGAAGCAGAAAGACTGAAACTTGAAAACAAGTCAAAGAGAAGACAGGTACTTTACATCTGAGTAAACAAAAAAACTGCATCAAAGGTAGGGAAGGGATCTGTGAAACCAGGAGAATACATATTTCATTCATCTATAGGAGTTTTAAAAAATCTGACACTATGACGGAATGATTAAAATTAAAATAAATTGCAAATATCAATATTTTAAAATACAAAAGATGTATACCACCCACAGAATGGAAGTATGAGAACCAATTCAAATAGTGATGTGGGGAATGTCTTATATTAAATCATTTAATGGAGAATATGTAGTTTACGTAGGCATTGCTGATCATTTTTCTTTTTGGTTGTAGCCTAAAGGCTATCTTCCAGAAAATAACTTATAAGGATTATTTTAATCAATATGACTTACAGTGAAAGAAAACTCTATGGCCTCTAGAAACAGAAATAATTGCTACATTTTGAGAAGACTGAGATCATGGCTCTACATGTATTTGAGTGAACAATGTGGGATGAATCTATATATAATAGCTTGAAAAATTGCCAGAATATATGATAAAATAAAAAACAGAAGTGGCAGGATGATATATATAATGATATCATATATATTTTTAAAACGAGCACACAACAACACTTTGTATTTTCTCTGAGTGCATATGTGTATATGAGAGCCTAGGAAAAGGTCTAAAGGAAACATACCAATACCATAGCAATTATTATTTTGGGGGGAGGATGAGACAAGAACCCAAACTGGGGTAGTAAAGTTTTAATTTTTTAATAACTAGGCTTCATTTCATATTACTTATAAAAATACAAAGTAATTAAAAATTCAAATTCTTAAATTTTAAAAAAGATAATTATGGACCAAACGTTTATTACTCTTTTAGATTCAAGTATTAATCAACTAATTATTTTGGAATCAAATAGACAAAATGCTTTCTTTGTTTACCAGAATGAATATAATATTATTTTTAAATTAATCAGTTGCAAGAATTTCAATTTTATTATGTTAGGTTTACACTGTTTAAACTATTACAAATATGTTTGGCTAATATATGTCTTTTAAAAAATAAAGACATCAAGAGAGTGAAAAAACAAGACACAGACTGGGAGACAATATTTGTAAAAGGCATATCCGATAAACGATATTATCCAAAACATATGAAGGATTCTTAAAACTCAACTATAAATAAATAGCCTCATTTTTAAAAATAGGCCAATGACCTTAACAGATAATTCACTTAAACATATATACAGATAGAAAATAAGCATATGAAAATAAGCATAAGTCATAAGGGAGATGCAAAGTAAAACAGTAATGAGATACCACTACACATCTATTAGAATGGCCAAATTCCAGGACACTGACAACACCAAATGCTGGCAAGAATGTGGAGTAATAAAAACTCTAATTCACTGCTGATAGGAATGCAAAGTGATAAAGCCACTTTGAAAAACAGTTTGGCGGTTTCTTACAAAATTAAACATATTGTCCCACTCTCACCATTTCCACTTAATATATTCCTGGAAGTCCTAGCCAGAGCAATTAAGCAAGAAGAAGAAATAAAAGGCATACAAATCAGGAAAAAAAGAAGTAAAATTTTCTCTGTTTGCAGATTATATAATATTATGTATAGAAAACCCAAAGACTCAACCAAAAACCTATTATAACTAGTAAACAAATCCAATAAAGTTGCAGGATACAAAACCAAAGTACAAAAATCAGTTGCATTTCTGTATGCTAACAACAAACTATCTGAAAAAGAAAGAAAACAATGCAATGTATATTAGCATCAAAAATATAAACCACTTAGAAACAAATTTAACCACAGATTTGAAAGATCTGTGGTTACATTAAAAATTACAAGGCATTGATGAAAAAAATTGAAGACACAAACAAATGAAAAAGTACCCTGATGTTCATGGATTAAAATAATTAGTACTGTTAAATGTCTATATTACCCAAAGTGATCTATAGAGTCAAAACAATCTATGTCAAAATTCTAACAGTATTCTTCAAAGAAATAGAAAAAACAATCCTAACATTCATATAAAACCACAAAAGACCACAAATAGCCAAAGCAATCTTAAGAACAAAACTGGAGGGATCACACTTCCTGATTTCAAAGTACATTACAAAGCTATAGCAATCAAAACAGTATAGTACTAGCATAAAAACATACACAAACACCATTTGAATAGAATTAAGAGCCCAGGAATAAACCCACACATATACAGTCAACTAATATTCTGTAAAAGCACAATGGGGAAAGAATAGTCTCTTCAATAAATGGTGCTGGGAAAACTGAATATTTACAGACAAAAATAAAATAAAATTCGACCCTTATCTACACCACTCACAAAAATTAACTTGAAATGGATAAAAGACATAACTGTAATGCCTGAAACTGTAAAACTCCTAGAAGAAAACATAGGGTAAAAGATTCTTGACATTGGTCTCAACAATGTCTTTTTAGATGACACCAAAAGCACATGCAACAAAAGCAAAAAGATTTAAGTGGGACTACTTATAAAAATCTTCTTCTTCTGCAAAAAATCTTCTGCAAAGCAAAGCAAACAACCAAAAACATGAAAAGGCAACACACAGAAAGAATGGGAGAAAATATTTGTAGACCATGTATTCAATAAGGAGTTAATATCTAAAATATAGTAGGAAGTCATACCACTCAATAACAATATAATAATAATAATCCAATTAAAAATAAGTAAAGGCGCTGAATATACATTTCTGAAAAAGAAAACATACAAAAGGCCAATAGTGCATTAAAAGATCTTCAATAGCACTGATCATCAAGGGAAATGCAACTCAAAACCACAGTGAGATATTACCTCACACCTGTTAGGATGGATATTATTAAAAAGACAAGAGATAATATTTGAGACGATGTGGAGAAAAGGGAACTTTTGCACACTGCTGGTGGGAATGTAAATTGATACAGTCATAATGAAAAAAAGTGGGGAGATTCCTCAAAAATTAAAAATACAACTACCAAAAGATCTAGCAATTCCACTTCTGAATTTATATCTGAAGGAATTAAGTAGCTTGAAAAGACATCTGCACTCCCACATTCATTCCATCATTATCACAATAGCCAAAACATGGCAACTACCTAAGCATCTGCAGATGAATGAATGAATAAAGAAATGGTCATATATATGTATATATACAACCACTTACAATAGAATAGTATTCAGCTATAAGAAATGAAGAAAATCTTGCCATTTGTGGATGAACCTGGAGGGCATTTTGCTAAGTGAAATAAGCCAAACACAGAAAGACAAATACAATATGATACCACTTATATGTAAAATCAAACTGTTTTGATTTTACATAAATCATAAAAACAGAGTGAAGCAGCAGTTGCCACAGATGAGAGGGTGTGGGAAATGGGGAGATGTTGACCAGTGGGGGCAAACTTTCAGTTATAAGATAAATAAGTTCTGGGGATCTAATGTACAACATAGATGGTAATTGGTATGTTAATTAATATGATTGGGGTAATCATTACACAATGCACATGTATATCAAATCATCACATTGTGTACCTTTAATATATACCTTCTTTGTCAATTGAATATTTAAAATTGTTTTAATTCAAATTTTAAAAACTAAACATAATTTTCCTAAACCTTTTAAGTCGGAGTACCTGTGCAGGTTTGTTATATAGGTAAACTTGTGTCATGAGGGTTTGTTTTACAGATTATTTTGTCACCAGGTATTAAGCCTAATACTCATTCATTATTTTCCTGAACCTCTCCCTCCTCCCACCCTCCACCCTCTATTAGGCACCAGTGCCTGTTGTTTCCCTTTATGTGTTCTCATCATTTAGCTCCCACTTATAAATGAGAGAATGCAGTATTTGGTTTTCTGTTACTGCTCCAGTTTGCTTAGAATAATGGCCTCCAGCTCCATCCATGTTCCTGCAAAGGACATAATCTCACTCTTTTTATGGCTGCATAGTATTCCATGATATATATGTATGAGATTTTCTTTATCCAGCCTATCATTGGTGGGCATTTAGTTTGATTCTATGTCTTTGCTATTGTGAATAGTGCCGCAATGAACATATGTGTGCATGTGTCTTTATGACAGAACAATTTATATTCCTTTGGGTCAAAATGAATTTCTGTTTTTTAGGTATTGAGGAATTGACACACTACTTTCCACAATGGTTGAACTAATTTAGGCTCCCACTAGCTGTGTATAAGTGTTCCCTTTGCTCCACAACCTCGCCAACATCTGTTATTTTTTTACTTTTTAATACTAGCCTTTCTGACTGGTGTGAGATATCTCATTGTGGTTTTGATTTGCATTTCTCTAAGATCAGTGATGCTGAGCTTTTTTAAAACTATGTTTGTTGGCTACATGTATGCCTTCTTTTGAAATGTGTCTGTTCATGTCCTTTGCCCACTTTTTAATGGGGTTGTTTGAAAAACAAACTAAACATACTTTACAATATAACCCAGCAATTGCACTTCTTGGTATTTGCCCAAAGTAGTCAAAAACATGTCCACACAAAAACCTTCACATGGATGTTTATAGCAGCTTTATTCATAATTGCCAAAACTTGGACGCAACCAAGAGGTCCTTTAGTAGGTAAATGGATAAACTGTGGTACATCCAGACAATGGAATATTACTCAGCACTAAAAAGAAATGAGATACCAAACCACAAAAAGACATAGAGGAAACTTAAATGCATATTACTACATGAAAGAATCCAATATGAAAATGCTGCATCCTATGTAATTCCAACTACAGTATATGACATTCTGAAAAGGGAAAAACTATGGAGACAGTAAGAAGTCAGTGGTTGCCAGTAGTTAGCAAGGAGGGATGGAGGAACAGGCAGAGAACAGAGGATTTTTAAAGCAGTAAAAATACTCTACATGATACTAATGGTGGATGAATTTTATTATACATTTTTCCAAGCCCACAGAACGTACAACACCAAGAGTGAACTCTAATATAAACTAGGGATTGTGGGTGATAACAACGTGTCAGTTTAGTTCATCAATTGTAACATTTGGGGGATATTGATAATGGGGAGGCCATCCATGTGTAGGAGCAGGGGATCAGAACACAATGAGGGGAATCTCTGTAAGTTTCTCTCAATTTTGCTGTGAATCTAAAACTGCTCTAAAATAAAGTCTTAAAAATAAGAAAAAAATTAGTATTACAGAAAAGTCTTCTAGTCTTTAATACTAAAAGGCTGAAAGCCTTTTATTTAATACTAATATTCCCTATAAGGAATCTGTACTCCATGAAAGGTTGCTGATTTTATATCTTAGGATGGGAAGAATCAAAATGTGTCTGGAATATCTGGTGGCCACTAACCAAAATCACTTAAAATTAGCAGGGATGATAGCAAAAGAACAAAGGAGTCCAGTCCATTTAAAGGGGCTCCTACTATTTAATTCCTGATAAATTGAGTATTATTTAGACATATTGAGTCTGGGGAGCCATTAATTCATAATGCTACTCAAAAGGTAAATTATGAAAATGTTTTTACTAATGAAATAAATATGGATACTTATCTTTAAGAAAATTAGAAGAAAATAAAGACATATGATCTAAAATAGCAGGGCTCTCTTATTCAGTGGAGCTCTGGAGTCAGAAAAACTGAACATGAATTTTGGCCCCCTACTCACATTGGGAAAGTGGTTTAAGCTGCTGAAGCCTTTATTCCATCCCTGGTAGAATGAGGAAAATAAAATCTACACCTACCATACAGGACTTTACTTAATGTAGCTTTATAACATGTTTTAATATCGGGGGCGGGGGGCGGGTAGGCTCCACCTCAGTGGTCTCCTTGCTAATGTTATTTTTTGCATTTAAATGCACTACCATCTATACCTGATGAATAAAGCCATAGACCCATATGAAGGAAGCAGCTTTTCCTAAACAGAACACTCCAATATACCATACAGATGTGTATCGTTCCACCAATATTTATTAATCATCCAATATATTTCAGATTCTGAACAAGGCTGTGACCATGCCTTACCAGGACATGTAGAACTTATACACAGTCTTAAACAAGCTGAAGCACAAAATCAATATTTTGGTTGGAAAAAGTTTTCTGTATTTTAATAACATGATGGAATAAATGCTATTCATCATTCACATACTCTATATTCTCTGATGGGATTGACCTGATTTACACTGAAAATACTAAAAATCTTACACCTATTCTCCAAAGTGAAATTGCCTATCAAATGAGATGCAGCTACAATTATAATCAAGTACCAACATTCTTCACAAAAACACATGCTATGCTTCACGTTGAGAGCAGCAGAAATAATAAGCACACAGCATAAGTAATGTTTCTCAAGCAACTATATTATCAATCTTCAGAATGAGTGATAAAAATGGAATGAAATTTTTCCTTATGATTACCAATAGAAAATGCTATTGAGAGAGCTCATAGACTCCCTTTTGTCTAGTATATTTCCTGTTTTAATGCATTTCTACTTAATCTAAAGAATAGAAGCTTTAGATATAAAAAAAATTTTAAGAAGGCAAAATGTGAACAATAAACTAAATTAGCAAGATGATCAATACAAATTATTTATAGTACTTTGGTACATTAGTGTAATCTACACATACAAATCTAAATACATACTTAGCTATAGTAAGTCAAAGAGTACATAACTTGCATTTTGTTGTGTATCAATTAGCACAACAGAAAAAAAGAAAATATTTTAGAGATACTCAATATACTTATCAATTAAATATAATACATACAGACTCCTTTAAAAATCTTGTAAGTAATGAACATATTACATTTAAATGGCCCTAATACTGTAATGATGGTTAAACCAGAACAGTGATAAAAATTTCACTCATCTGATTTCACTCATTTCACCTAAGGTAGTAACGTCTTCTCCTAGGCATATTTCTGTCAGTTAAGCAAACCAGCCTATGCACAGCACCACACATCATGAATTCTTTCAGTTTTTTATCTTTTTATATCAATAATATGATAAACTTTGAAGGATTCTCCTACTTTCACAATCTCTGTATAAAAGAATAGTAACATAAGCACCTCCAGGAATCTGTTGATTTTGTTGTGATATTGAATATTATATTGAATTAATCTTACCATAATATTATAGACTGAGGCAATATATATTAATGAAAGAGTCCTTGTGTGATTATCTGTTTGGAAATATGTGTTTACATGTTTGTGTTTTACATGGTCTGTATTTAAAATGTGTAAAAAATCCTAAAAATATAGACGCAATGGTGATTAACTTATTCTGTCTACATTGAACTTAGAGAAAATACAGATGATTTTTATACACAATAAGATTGTCATTAAAACTAAAGTATATGCCCCAATATTTTTAAGTATATTAAATCTTAATTTCTCAGTAACATCATGTGTGTCCCACCTTCTATGTCCATGAGGCTTATGATTCCAAGCCTAAATGACAACAAATCTGCAAAATTTAAACAAACATTTGAATAGTTCCTGTCATTTCCGAGGTTTATGTCAATTGTTATTCCTGTGGAGTTCTCCCAGAAAACAATTCATCGACAAAGAAGAAAAGAAAAGGTACACAGGGGGCAAGTGGAAAAAATAAGTAATCCCAATTGTGCTCTATTTCTGTTTGATTCTACCTTTCACTTCTGTCTATAATGATGTCCTTTGGGAGAAATAGCAGGTTAAGTACAAGCCCTGGATTCATGGGTGAATTGTGCATAGTAGAGCATTAAAAAAAAGTAGCTGATATGGTGCAGTCTTACCTTGCAACTGTAAAATTCTCAAAGTCATATCTGCTGTAGAATTCCTTAACAATGATGAGTGTGAAAATGACTGCTGGGTGGTGACAGTTTCTCAATAACAGCATCCTTCAGATGTTCTTGATGTGGTCCCTGAGGTCTTCCCCATATTCTCTAGAGCACTGCTGTTTAAGGATTGTGGGTATTCTGAACATTTTGAAATTACAACCAACTAAAGATGTTCTTGGTATGAAAAGAGTTAAAAATCTGCTCTTTTCCTGGAGTTTAATATCCAGTTAAATAGAAATTAACTCAAATGTTTCTAAGTCATTTTCCAGTTAACTAGGGCTTAAGAAAAAAAAATTGCTGTAGTCACTGTGTTTAAAATTTTACTTTAGGACGTATTAGCCTATAAGTGCCACAAAATCATCATTTTGGAGTCTACATAAAGCTACATTGTCTTGGTAAGAAATTGCAAAGAAACTGTATTGACTCTAAAGTACACTCTGGAGTACTGCCCAAAAGAGCAATCTATGTTGATGAAAATTTTCTGTATCTACAATGGTCAACACAGTAGCTACTCAACATCTGAAATTTGGATAGTACAAGTAAGAAACTGAATTTTTAGTTTATTTAATTATGATTAATTTAATTTTAAATTGAAAAGCCACATGTGAGTAGTGGCTACTATATTGAACAGCACAGCTCTTAAAGTTGATTTTCACTGTATTTTCCATATGAGATTATGTCATGATATGTTGTGATATCCTTTAGGTATCTAGGTGGTTGATGGTTGATTGATTGTGATTAAAAGCACTATTTCCCTAAGCAAGTGGGTATCTTTGGAGAAAGCACTGGTGGAGGATAAAAGTTTAAGCTGTTGCCAGTCACGAAGGTCTTACTTTATCAGGTCCTTTTCCCTAACAACTAGTTGAGAATGAGTTAGACTAAAAAAGAGGCAGCTCCAGAGAATATGAGTCACAGTGTGGAAGGACAAGAAGCAAGTCTTATGTGGCTAGGATATAGAGATACTGAGCATCAGTGGGAAGACAGGGAAAAGATACTCTGAGAAAAAAGAATTCTGAGAAGGAAAATGGAAAGGACAATCAAAGGCAACATTCATCTATTTCACAGTTTAATTCATTCTGCTCTGTTTTATATCCTTCTCTTTTTATTAATGAAGGATGTTGCTGGTGCTGTTCTCATAGGGTGTCGATGCAAGACTGAAAATGTCAGTCCCTGGCTTAATATCCTTTCCAAATTGAGAAGACCTGTAGAAAAAATCAACTGTTCGTGCATTTTACACTGTTTGGATCTTTTTGCTTTGCTAGTTATGTAATGACATACACAAAAGTTGGTCAGAAAAATGTTAAACCAACATCATTCCTTCTGCTATGCTTTGATATTTATAGTCTTTAAAGTTTTTACCAAAGAGCCTTATTTTTTCCCTTGGTGCTTTATCAATATGATTTACATTTTTCATCCTATTAAGGAACAAGAACATGTGCAATATAAGGAGGAGGGGGAGATGGAGGAGGAGAAAGGAAGGAGAGAAAGAGGAGGGAGATGTAAAAAAAATAAGGTAAAGGGGGAAGGGAAAGAGAAAAGGGGATGGAAGGAGAGTTGAGAAGGGGACTGACAGGATAGAAGAGGAGGAACTGGGAAAAGAGAGAAAGTGACAAAAAAAGAAAGTGAAAGTAAAGAAACAGTTTGCTAAACACTCTTGTGTCATTCACACTGCAAGTAATAAAACCAATACGCTTCTGTGTTTCATGATTCAAGAGAACATTTAAGTGATAAAGGGATAACTGTGGAGGTACCTGACAACTTTGCCAAATAAAAATCCAGCTTTCATCACTATAGAAAATTTTAAATGGCTACAAGTTTTTTTTGTTTTTCCTTTTTGTTGTTGTTGTTGTTGTTTTTCCAGATGGAGTTTCGCTCTGTTGCCCAGGCTGGAATGCAGTGGCGCATTCTTGGCTCTCTGCAACCTCCGCCTCCCGAGTTCAAGCGATTCTTCTTCCTGAGCCTCCCAAGTAGCTGGGACTACAGGCGCATGCCACCACGCCTGGCTAATTTTTTGTATTTTTAGTAGAGACAGGGTTTCACCGTGTTAGCCAGGATGGTCTCAATCTCCTGACCTCATATTCCACCCACCTCGGCCTCCCAAAGTGCTGGGATTACAGACGTGAAGGTTTTTGTATTTTTATAAAGTGCAGGTGTTCAGCATGTCCCTTCCTGAACTTTACAATATTCACATAGCTTTGGCAAATGGGATGCAAAACAACATTCAGAATGAAATTAATGTTGAAAGAGTAGTATCATCTACATAACTAGACTATTTTTCAAGTAGATATTGACGTTATGCAGTGGGATGTGCTATTAAAGAGCATAAACTATATCCTTTAAATTTAACAATACATAATTCCATCAAGAAAAATCCCATCACTGAACACCGCTCCAGACTTTTCTTATCAGGATATTATAAAACACTAGTTAACTACTACGAATACCAAGCAAAAGTATGGTAAGAATACTTTGCCCCTTTTCTTTGCAGACAGGAAAAAGCAATTGAATATGAAGGCCAAAATCTCTGAGAAGGAGTGCTTTATCTAGAGAGACAAGCAGGGGCACATATCACAATAGCGAACAGGAGAGATATATTGGGTCCTGATGAAAACTAATATAGGAAGAAATTGGCTGAATTTTTTCTGTACCCTGTATGAGAAATGATTAAATTTAAAGGGTTTTTAAATTAACTTACTTGTGACCTTGCCTGCTATTCCATATTTGAAGATCTGGTGGGGGGAAAGTATGTAGAAACTTCAAAATATGCTCAGGAATGCATGAATAAAAAAATAGAAATTCTTACTATTGATAAAAAGAGAAGAGAATCCAACTTCTCAATTTAAGGGGACTTTTAAAATAAAGAAAGGCAGTTTAATACTCCCTAAAGAAGGCATAAAATTCCTATAGAACCAAGATTCTTGGTTGATACTGCCTCTGCATCAGCACCAAAAATTATCCCTCTAAACATCGGTGGTTCCAAGGAGGCTCCTTGGTAAATTGTAGCCTGCCTGAATGAGGTAAAGTGATCCCATCTCCAAATCAACCCATACCAGGAAGGCCAGGAATAGGAGTCTGTATCAAGTCAAAATTCTTTAATGCCTTCCCATGCTCAAGCCATGACCTGCAAAGATGCCCACAAGTCATATACCAGGTAGACAATACTGCTCAGCCTACTGCCCTTTCCTCATTAACTCCCTAAAGCCCAAAAGACAGTCACGCATGCACTTTTCTTTCCGTTTCACAAAAACAACTGTAATGTGAACACCATACACATTATACCTTGTTACAAATATTTTAAGCCCTATATTTAAGTTAGAAATATTAAGACTTAGAAATTCCTAAGTATTAGAAAATATCAACTAAAACAGACTATTCTCACTATCTTCAGTTTGATGTGTCTCAGTATGTGTTTCCTCCTGTTTTTTCATCAAAGGGTCAATTGACCCCAACGGATGCTCTCTCTGTCTCTGGGTCACTCATCTGTTTGGCTGTATCTATTTATTACATTGCTTCATCCATCACCGGAGTTCCTACTCTGCATTGGGCCTCCCTCCCTGTCCATAAGACTGACTCAACACTCACATGACTAAGATAGTAATGTGAGGAAAAAAATATTGTCAGACTCATTCTAGGCATTGAAGAAGCAAGCCACTATGCCTGTTAGAGACAGCATGGTTTCCACGTGAAACAAATAGGATTAGTCTACCTCCTATAATGCAACTACCTTTTTCAAAACTCATGGATATTGTCAGGCTGCTTAACAAATATAACCTCCAGCAGCTGCAGAGCAGATCCATGCATCTGTACAGTACATGTTTGCACATACTCCTTTTCCATCTGCAGGACATGACATATGCCAATTGATTGGCTTATAGTAGGCTTGGAGAGGAGTCAGAGTATTGGCAGGCACCTTATGTCTATTCTTTTTTTTTTATTATTTTTTTATTATTATACTTTAAGTTTTAGGGTACATGTGCTTTCCATTTTTTCCTTTTACTCTGAAGCTTTTAGACATTGCTCTTTTGGATCCTGCCTACCAAATTATTCATTTAACTTCAAGTGTTCATTTGTGGCTAACGAAGCTGAGATTTTTGTTAACATATAACTTGCATTTAGTCCAAACTGATTAGATGTCAATAATCAACCTAAATTATCAGGCTTTACTTTAATTGCAATTATATCCTCCATTTCACATGTTTAAAGGTGAGTTCTTATCAGGTGATGGGAACTAAGCAGAGTCCAAGTCAACCTGAAAGAAACCAAAAGATTCATCCACGATCAGCTACGTGATTTGGAAGGCTCAGTGCAATGTGGAAGTATAAGGTACCTTGTTCAAAATATATTCAGAATTTTAATATAGCAACCTCAGGTAATTAAACCAAATATGAGATCCTTCCATCTGTGAGACACACCCATGAAGAGAGCCCTGGATTTGTCAAAGAAAACATAAGACATTTTTGCCATTTCTTTTAAATGTTAATCACGCTTATGATAAAAACTAATATGTTGGCAATATTTTCTTCAAAGTCAATAGTATCTTCATCAAAAATTTCTTTTTAGAATTTACAAAGACTTCTTTTTCCTTTTCGATTGGTCTCAGAAAACAAGCTTTGAGGTTCTATTCATAACATAAAGTTCAATTCAGTTTCAAAAAATAATTGCCCGATACCCTTCTTGCCTTTCCAAATCTTACTGTAAATACAAAAGTATGAAAATAAAGCCTGTAAATTATAGATCCATGGCTAGATTTGGAAAACCCTAAATCTTAAACTTAGCAGTGAACACCTGACAGTAACAAAAGCCATAAGCGCTCACTCTAGGAACAGCATGGCCACTGAACAATGTTCTCCATAATAAAGCCATAATCAACACCCTACAAAGCAAAATACTATACTATGATCCACACTACTAACCATATTTTATCAAACTGTATCTTAAAACAAGGAACTCTACAACTTACTACCCTCCATCTCTTGATAAAAGTAAAAACAGATTCCTCTAAATTAAAGCTGGAATTCGCAAGACCAAACTAATAAAAACTAATAAAAATTATGTTTTACTAATTTTTAATGTAAGAATTAATAATTCTCATAGGCTACTTCTCTTTTCTTGATTTCACCTTACTCTGAGAACATGTCTAAAATAAACATCATTCCATTTTGAACGAAGTGCTTTATCCAACAGACCGATCATGCTAGACAGAAAGTTTGCACCAGGTGGTAGAAAAAAAAGAAAACTGTAATATCACTTTACATAGTAAATGTAACCTTCCAAAACAAATTTTTATTATATTATTATGATGGTACCTACAGCCATATAAAAAGGGAACTCTGGACATATCTGCTTTAAAAAAAAGCTAGATAATCTTCTGAACTTGGAATAATTTTAACCAACATTCTTTAAGGAATACTTATGGAAATAATTAATTGCTTATTTTAGTTTACATACCATGTATACTTGTGTTAAAATGATTTACCTCCTAAAACTAACTCCAAAAAAAGGTATTTGAATACTCAGAAGCTTGTATCTCTTTCTTTTTGGCTGTCTCCCTTGTTCCATTTCCTATCTTACTTCTCCCAATTCAGTTTATCCTCTGATATGGTTTGACTGTGTCCCCACCCAAATCTCACCTTGAATTGTAATAATCCCCATGTGTCAAGGACAGGGCCAAGTGAAGATAAATGAATCATGGGGGCAGTTTCCCCCATACTGTTCTCCTGGTAGTGAATAAGTCTCACGAGATCTGATGGTTTTATAAAAGGGAGTTCCCGTGAACACGCTCTCTTGCCTGGCACCATGTAAGAAGTAACTTTGCTCCTCATTCGCCTTCCACCATGATTGTGAGGCCTCCCTAGCCATGTGGAACTGTGAATCAATTAAACCTCTTTCCTCTATAAATTATCCAGTCTCAGGTATGTCTTTATTAACAGTGTGAGAACAGACTAATACGCCCTCCTACTGAAGATATGATGTCACCATTCTTCCAAGCATAGATCCATTGGATATCTAAGCTATCTTGGGCCACTTCCAGTCACTACAACTGTCAGTTCTTTTTTCATACCTATCCCTCTCCTTTCCATTCCAACTCCTTTACATTGGGTTTTTATTACACTTTACCTGAAATATTATAAAAATATCTTGATTTTTCTTGCTTCCATTAAACCATGCAAAATAATCTACACATCATTACTGATTAATCTTCCACAATACCTGTTTGATTGTCCCTTCCATGACAAAATATTCCTCATTAACAAAGTCCAAATTTCTTAGCTTGGCATTCAATATGGTTCCTCAAAATCTGGTTTCCAAGCCAGATTATCTTCTCACCTGTTGCAGATACTGTAATACGGTATTAATGAGCTTGGGCTGGAAATTCCCATTTCATTACTACAGAAAAGGTGTAGTGATGTTACCTGCAGGAGTAATTGAGGGAGTTCCAAGTCTTGTGACTGCTGGAATATGGCTGGTAATACAGAAAAGGAGTGATATTAGCCCTCTCTTTAAAAGAAGAAAATATGAACTTAGGAATTCAACTTCCTAAGAAGGAAATGGGCTTTTATTAGAAGGAAGTGATAAAGCAAATCTCTTAGACCTAAAAGTATTTTTTTCCCAGATATGTACTATGAAATGTCTTGATTCCTGCTGATATGGTTTGGATACGCACGTCCCCACCCCAAATCTCATGTCAAAATGTAACCACTAATGTTGGAGGAGGGGCTTGGCGGGAGGTGATTAGATCATGGAGGCAGAGTTCTCATGAATGGTTTAGCACCATCTCCCCTTGGTACTGTAGAGTGAGTGAGTTTTCATGAGATCTGCTTGTTTGAAAGTGTATGGCACCTCCCCCCCTCTCTCTTCCTCCTGCTCCAGCCATGTAAGACATACCTATTTCCCCTTCACCTTCCACCACGATTGAAAGTTTCCTGAGGCTGCCCAGAAGCTCTCGTGCTTCCTGTACAGCCTGCAGAACTGTAAGCCAATTAAACCTGTTTTCTTTATAAATTTCCCAGTCGCAGGTATTCATAGCAGTGCAAGAACAGACTAATACAGCTACTAATAAGAAAGCTGAATTTATGGGATCTAAAACAAAGTATGTTGATCTACTGATTAATCAAACTGACATGACAGTCCGGAAACGACCCAATGGGTTCTTCCTGCCCACTGCACAAAGCCAATTCACTAAGACCACAGCATTGCAATAAAGATTTTAATAGACACAAGGTCAGCTATGCCATGTGAGAGATGGAGTTATTACCAAATTAATCTCCTTGAAAATTCAGAGGCTAGGGTTTTTCAAGGATAGTTTGGTGGGACAAGGAGTCAGTTTGGGTGGGGCCACATGACAGATGGGCAGGGGTAGACTGTCCTCAGAAATGTAAAAACCTGAAAAGATATCTCAAAAGGCCAATCTTAGGCTCGCTCTGTAATAGTGATGTTATCTGCAGGAGTAATTGCGGGAGTTGCAAATCTTGTGACCTCCAGAATAATGGCTGGTAATTGTTTATGTCTACACCTTAGCAGAATTCAGGATCCTCATCTCTTCGTAACCTGGTGGTCTTTTATTAGCTTTACAAAGGCAGTTTAGTTTGGGGGAAGGGTTATTAACATTTAAACTATAAACTAAATTTCTCCCAAAGTTAGCTTGGCCCTGGCCCAGAATAATTAAGGGCAGTTTGGAGGTTAAAGGCAAGATGGGGGTTGGTTATATCAGATCTCTTTTATGTCATAATTTTCTCATGTTTTATTTTTTGCAAAGTCGGTTTCAGTCCCAAGTAAGACCAACTTTAATTCTGTTCTGCTATTCATCCTTAATGGTGTGTTCCTGTATGAAGGTTTTCTGGCAGATAAGGGGCCTCTTACTAGTAAATAATTTTATTTAGTTCTTATTTACCCACCAAAATTGCAAACTCTCATATATTTATAGGCATCAGAGTTTTGTAAACCCCCTTTTAGATAACTGTGAAAAGTCATTAAACATTCTATCAAAATCTCCCATCCTTCAAGGCCTAGCTCAATTTCCTTTCCATAAAGACTTCCCTGTTTGCTTCTTGCTAGGTTACAGGAGGCTTGAGAACAGAGTGAAGTGTGGATTCAACAAACATTTATAGAACAGGTACTGTGCTAACAATTTACCCCTCAGTTATACTCACACTTGTATATACAGAACAATCTCTGGACTAAAACACCAAAAAATGGTTTAAAATACTTGTTTCTGAGGAAAAGGTAAGGATAAATACAGATCTTAAAAGAAGCAAAATATAATTTTCCTAGGGAAAAAAGGGAGAGACACGTTACCATTTACTTTAGAAAACTTGTCATGGTGAGTCTTTCTCTGCCCTTTGAAACGTATGTAAATCTTCTTAAAAGTGAAATAAGCTTCTCGCCAGCTTTTCAACCCAAGGATGAAAAGAATCTTGGGAGAATGTCTTTCTCAAGAACCTGGAAACCATCTCTTTTAAATATAATCATCAAAGAACGTAGTGTCCCTATCTCCCAGTTTCTGTGGGAAGGCAGGAGCCTAACTTTGGTGGGTGCCTGGCTCCAAGTTACAAACTTGTCTTCTGTCAAAAAGATATAAAAAGTTCCTTTGGATAAAGGCAATTAGTGAACAGAGACAGTTATTCAAATTACCAGGTGAGTTTAGGATGAACTATGTATGTAAATGGTACTGTCAAGTCCTCTTACTTGAGGAATAGTTATCATTTATCTTGAGAACATGTATCTAATGGGTTGTGTCTCCTAAGCTATATAAAACATTGAGATTTCTTTATGTCTCTGCATTTCTTTAGCTGATTGCCTGTGGTATATATCACATTCTGGTTTAATGCTTATCAATTATAAAATTGTTTTCCTTTGTGAAGGGTATCCTGGGTTGGCAGGATATATTGTTTTAAATTATATTTCCCCAAAACTCACTGGAGATTACTGTATCATTTAAATATGTAAATGTGCAAATGTTTTAACTTCTCAATAAAATGAAAGGAACCAATTAAGAAACTAAAGAATAAGGAGGGAAATTGTGGAAGAAGAAGGGAAAGGAAGAAAAGAGGGAGGGAGGAAGAAAAACAAAGAACAGGCTATTAGCAAAAACTCAACAAAAAGCACTTCCACTTAGGGAAGAAAAGACCTTCAAAAAAAAAAAAATTAAGAGTTTCCAACAGGACTCTAGAATCAGGCTTCTAGAGCCTGCACCTGATTCTAGAATCTAGATTCTAGAATCTAGAATCAGGACTCTAGAATTCAGTCTCTACTGAACATATTGTCTGCGAAGTAATTAAAGGGGAGAACAATCAAGCCAATATCCCATAAAAACTAAAACCCCTTCTCAAAACAACTCACGCCTGTAATCCCAGCACTTTGGGAGGCTGAGGCAGATGGATTACTTGAGGTCAGGCGTTCGAGACCAGCTAAGCCAACATGGTGAAACCCCGTCTCTACTAAAAATACGAAAATTAGCTGGGCGTGGTGGCAGGCGCCTGTAATACCAGCTACTCAGGAGGATGAGGCAGGAGAATCACTGGAACTCGGGAGGCGGAGGTTGCAGTGAGCCGAGATCGCACCATTGCACTCCAGCCTGGGTGACAAGAGTGAGAGTTCATCTCATAACAAAACAAAACAAAAATTGTAATGCATAAAAATAACAGATACAATTTTAAATGGAAATCAATTCCATTGACAGATATAATTTTTTAGTCATTATATTAACATGAAATAATAAGATCTAGCAGTCAGCCTAATAACTCTCATAATTCAGACATAGTGATAAGCATACATGACATAATGTGGTATGAAAATATCTGTAATTTCTATAGGTGACAAAGTCTTAGGTATCTTATGCACTGTGGTTTGTATTTAATAATATTAATAACTAAAGTGATAAATTTCAGATAGAACTTTATAAAATAAAGAACTATTTATTTTTCTCATCCAAGTCCACAGACACCCTGAATTCTACATATGAATCCCCATGAACTGTAGCTTAAGAACCTCTGTGGGAATTGTAACAGAACTCAGGATGAGTTCTGCTACCAGAAAAACTAGGCAAGTCTACCACAAGAGACAAGAAGCTTCTTCTCCAAGAAGATAAACTATTTGCTTTCCATGTTCTAAAGGGCCACCTACATCTCCATGTTGCCCTCCCTCCAGTATAGCGACTTGACCTAGCATTCCTAGAATCAGAACCTTACAATCTTACAAACCTGCAAGATTACCCGAATACTCAGTCTAACTGAAAAATATACAGCAGCTAATAATACTGTATAATCTAGATTAATGGTTTGGAACATTTAGTGTGCTTAAGGATCACCTGGGAAGGCTCGTCTTTGAAAATGATTCATGACCTCATCATCAGAGTATGTCTAAATTTGGGAACAGAAATCTTCACTTTTAACTAGCACCCAAAGTGATTCTTGTGCAAGTGGTTAATCACCAAACATTTGAGAAACATCAACAGAATTAGAGTCCCCAAACTCAACAAACAGAAGAACTTAAGGAAACATAATTAGTATAATTAATATTCTAAAAGAGATTCAAATGTTTATCATAGCTATAAGAACAGCCAGGCCAGGCGCGGTGGCTCATGCCTGTAATCCTAGCACTTTTGGAGGCTGAGGTGGGTGGATCACGAGGTCAGGAGTCCAAGACCAGCCTGGCCAAGATGGTGAAACCACGTCTCTACTAAAAACACACACACAAAAAAAATTAGCTGGGCCTGGTGGCAGGCGCCTGTAATCTCAGCTACTCGGGAAGCTGAGGCAGAGACTTGCTTGAACCCAGGAGGCAGAGGTTGCAGTGAGCCGAGATCGTGCCACTGCACTCCAGCCTGGGTGACAGAGCAAGACTCTGTCTCAAAAAAAAAAAAAAAAATAGCCACAGAAAACACCACTGGTATTCTTGGAAATTTAAAATGGTATTGCAAAAATAAAAACTAGACAGTTGAAGACTTAAAGAGCGGAATGAAAATAGCTAACATCAAAATCAGTGACCAGAAAAGAAAGCCAAAAATTCTCACAGAATGAAAAGGATATGCAAAGTATGAGACAAAAATTAAAAGCCACAAGACTCATCCAGACAGACCAACATTCATCTTAATAAGAGTTTTAGAAGAGAAAAGAAAATGTGTCTCTGCCTAGAAAAGCGTCTGGAAAATATATACCAAGTCCTTAATTGCAGTTATCACTGGCAATAAGAATTGAATTGAGGTGAAGTGAAAAGAGACATTAACTTTTTTCTTAATTTCCATAATTGTATAATTATTTTACAAGAATAAATTCATGTATTCCTTATGAAATTAATTAATCTAGACATGAATAAAATTATTGTCAAAGATACACCAGGAAAATGCTAATAAAAAGGAAGCCAAGAATATCAATATTAATACCAGACAAATTGAATCAGAGTAGACACTATTAAAATAAAGAGGAACATTTTATAATAATAAAAGGTACCTTCCACCAGGAAGTCATAGGAGTCAAGAAAACTTCTAAATCTAATAATATAAGGGTATTGTTATTTTTTGTTGTTGTTGTTGTTGTTGTTAAGACAGAGTCTCACTCTGTCACCAGGCTGGAGTCCAGTGGCACGATTTTGGCTCACTGCAACCTCTGCCTCCTGAGTTCCAGAGATTATCTTGCCTCAGCTTCCCAAGTAGCTGGTTTTACAGGCACACGCCACCGTGTCCAGCTAATTTTTGTATTTTTAGTAGAGACGGGGTTTCACTATGTTGGCCAGGCTGGTCTCGACCTCCTAACCTCAGGTGATCCACCCGCCTTGGCCTCACAAAGTGCTGGGATTATAAGCATGAGCCACCGCACGGGCCTAATATAAGTTTTTAAATGTATGGAACAAAATACCACTAGAAATACAAGGAGAAAATGGTATTTTGCTGTAATGTGAAAGACTTCAACTAACCTCTCTCAAACAGGTGAAACAGAAAACAGAAGTAAGAATGAAGACACTTTATTTATTACAATTACGAACTTTTAAAACTTCCTCCCAAAGAGAGAATACACAATTTTTTCAAATATGTATAAATACAACTTTCAAAACATGAATTAAGCCACAAAAAATTTCAGTGTTCCCCCAAAAAAATTCCAAACATTTTCCAAAATAAAACCTATATTTTCTGACCAAAATTCAGTAAAACTAGAAATTAATTTTAAAGGATGACAAAAATAAACAAAAAACAATTTTAAAACACCAAAAACCAATTTTAACATTTTTAAAACACACTTCTAGTAGTATAAGGCAAAGAAAAAAAAACTAAGTTAAAACTAACACCTATTTTTTAAAATACAGATAAAAGTACTGCTTATTAAACATAGGTGTTCAGAGGAAAACTGACACCATGAATGAGTTTACAAAAGAAAAAAACCAAGTAAGAAAAACAGAAAAAGAGAGACTAAAAATTAACTCAATAAATATATTCAAGATATTATAAAAGATCAGCAAATTAACCTAAGAAATTAGAAAATATAAGTTAATAAAAATAAAAGCAGGCCAGGCACGGTGGCTCAAGCCTGTAATCCCAGCACTTTGGGAGAGCAAAGCAGGCAGATCACAAGGTCGGGAGATCGACACCATCCTGGCTAACATGGTAAAACCCTGTCTCTACTAAAAATACAAAAAATTAGCCAGGCATGATGGCATGCACCTGTAGTCCCAGCTACTCTGGAGGCTGAGGCAGGAGAATTGCTTGAACCTGGGAGGCAGAGATTGCAGTGAGCTGAGATTGTGTCACTGCACTCCAGGCCAGGTGACAGACTGAGACTCCATCTCAAAATAAAAATAAAAATAAAAGCAGAATCTAGTAAATAATTAAATAGTAGTCTTAATTGCTAAAAAGAAAATTCTTTACAGAGAAGAAAATAAAAATTCAGATTTTTAAAATTCAAACTAAAAAAAAGAAGACACATGTTCCTAATGTCATTCATCTATTGCCTCTTTTTTGTACACATCTGTGGAATACAACCTGATGCTTTGATATATGTATGCACTGAGGAATGACTGAATCAAGCTAATTAACATGTCCATCATCCCACATACTTTTTTGTGGTGACTCTTTTATTGAGGTTTTCTTTGCAGCCTTTGCTCCATTTTTGTGGATCCATTTTGGATCCATTTTTCCATAGCTATTTGAAAGATATGCGTCCTCTGTTGCATGTGAAGTTCTATACATGAAATCAACTTTCCATACTGCATATGGGGGGGGGCTCAATAAAAAATAATAAATAAAAATAAAAACTGTTCTATTTTGAGGTCCTCTATAAATTTCAATCAGTAGTCAGTGTGAATTATCCACTCCTATTACACAATCCCTTCATCAGCTCTCATATTTATTTTTCCTTCATGCCTTTTCTCATTTTGCAGTGCTCACAAGTATGGTCCCTAGTTAACGCTAAACTAACCCTAAAACTAAACATCATCAAGGAATCGGCATCCAAGAAAGCCCGACCTGTGTCATGTGAGTGAGGATCTAAAGGAAGAGTTGTGCTAGCTTTTATTGCTTGATTTATGGTATTCTTATCTCCTGAATATGCAATTTTTAGGATTGGAGGCTTTTTATTTTTACTTATTTTCTAGCTCCCATTAAGCACATGACAATGTGGAAATAGAGAACAAGTACCTAATAAATACTGATGATTAACTGATGGTCATGAGACTCATGATACAAACATTTTATAAGAATTTGTTTTTAAAAACTTGCTGTGGATTCATTTTGGTTTTTTCAAGTTTTGGAGAAAAAAAAAAAAACATTACTATAACTGGCTGCCAGAGTTTTCTCCAAGCTTGACATCGGGTCCATATAACAGCAAACCTTGAACACGATCTATAATGCCATGTACATCATGGGGTCTAAGAGTCCCAAGAAGCCAAGAGCAAACAAGGTCTAATACTCATTACTATCCATGTGTTTTATTTAATCATCAAGATAAAGGAGATGTTGTCCTTCTTTTATTGGGTAAATATTTATTAGATGCATTAAAACCTCACACTAGGTTCTGAAATATCAACAATTCATTGCTTTTTCAATAAATATGTTTAAAGCAATTACTATGTACCTGGCAACTTGCTAGGCGGTGACAATATAAATATGAATAAGGCATTATTCCTCTACTCATATAATTCATCCAATAGCAAAGACAGATGCATAAACAAATAAATGTATTAAACTCAAGACCTAATTGTATTCCAACAGTCTCCATCATTTGTCACAAGAGCATTATTTGGAAAGAGTAATTGTTGGGAGGGCTCACGAAATATGTGTTCAAGTTATAACTCTTCTAATTCCTGTTTATTTGACTTTGTACAAGTTACACAACCTCACAGAAGAGTAGTTTGCTCCTCTATAAAGTACACAATAACTCCTGACCTATGTGCTCTATGAAGCAATTTGATACTATTAATAAAATGTGCAGATAAACACCCTAAATAGTACAAATGTAAGATGCTAGTACCTTAAATTTGTATTAAGCCAGTACCTAGCACAAGGGTTCACACAGACATTAATTACACAGAAAATAGATTTAATAAATATTTGTTAAATATAAACAGTACATTGTTGTAGCACTTATTCTCAGATTTACCACCCATTTTAACACACTTTATTCAATTTCATTATTAACTACCTCAAACATAAGAGAATGTATGAATAAAGAATAATAATATAACACACATTCATCTACCAACCCAGCTTCTGAAAAACAATATGCTCAGTAGCTTTAAAGCTCCTGATGTGTGTATGCAACCTCTTTCTCCCCACTCCTCCACTCCTCAATATTGCATAAATCATTCTCTTCCTTCTCTTTATATCTTACCAGACATGTCTGTAACACTAGAAATGTGTTGTTTAGTTTTGCTTGTGTGAGCCTTTATATAAAAGTAAAAATGCTGTATGAATTCTTATACGGCTTGCTCTTTTATGGTAAAGCTTTTTGTTTTGGTATCATTCATATTGACATGTATTACTATAATTTACTCATTTTTATTCATTATGGCCTCATGTCTAAGTTTAAAGGGAGTGTTTTTAATTACTCAAATTTAACTATGAAGTTTACTGTAGAATTTTACAGAAACCCTTTATCAAGAAAACTCACTTCTGTTCCTAGCTTTCTAGAAGTTTTAAATAAATTATATTGAATTTTTCAAATGTTTTCTGTATCTACTGAGATTATTATATAGTTTTTCTCTTCTAACTTGTTAATGAGGTGAATACCATCAGTAAATGTTCTAATGTTGAACTAACATTACATTCCTGGAATAAATTCAACTTTGTCATAATGACTTTTTTATCTAGTGCTAAACAGTTTATTCACATTTTGTTTGCAATTTTTGCATCTAATTTCATAAATTAGATTGGCATGTGAATTTCCTTACTTATCTGACCTGTGTAGCATCGTTTCACACTTGCTTCACCAATTTCATATAATGGATTGAGAGCTACTTTGTTTGTTTGTTTGTTTGCTATTCTCAGGACACTGCTGTAGAAATACATTTACATATTCCTGGAAGGGTTTATAGTATTCTATCAAACTATCTGAGCCTCCTATTTGCTTTCAGTAAAAACTGTTAACTACTAATTCTATTTAATTATTTCATTCAGATTGTCTATACTTGAGTCAATTTTGTTAATTTATATTTTCTTAGGAATTTTTCCATTTCATCCAAATTTTCATTTTTATCAGTATAAATTTGTTTATAATATTCTTTTAGTGTTTTAGTATTTATAATATTTAGTATTTAGTCATAACCCTGTAGTTATGACTCCTCTTCTGACTTTCACTCTTACATGCTGTTTTTTGTCTGCTTTCAGTATTCTTAATTTATCTCACCAGCAGTTTGTCAATTTTATTGGTCTTTACAAATAATACACTTTTGGCTTTGTTGAACTTCTCTACTGTATCTTTGTTTGTGATTTAATTAATTTCTATTCTTATCTTTATTAATTTTTTCCTTCTGGGTTTTTTATATTGTCTGTTTCAAACTCCAAGTGGAAACTTAGCTCCTTAACATCCAGCTTTCTTCTTTCCTAATATAAGCATGTATAGGTGAGAAATTTCCTTCTATGTACTCCCTTTAGCTATATCGCTCAAGTTTTGTTGTTATTATACATTATCATTATTTCTCAGTTATAAGTATTTTTTACTTTCAATTATAATTTATTCATGACCCAGTAGTTATACAGATATGGTTTTCAAAAAAGATTCCAAATAGTAGGGTAATTTCACTTATTTACCTAAATACATTTCTAGGTGGCCTGTATAATACTAGTGCTTTGAAAATCATGACTCAGTATGCTGTCAATTTTTGTTAATTTTCCATGTGTCCTCGAAAAGAATGTGTTACAACCTCCTGGTGAATTTATCCTATCAGTAGATAGTAACTGTCATTAGCATTTTTACTAGTATTGATATAGCTATACCAGCTTTCTTCAGTTAGAATTTGTTGGATATCGTTTTATCCTTTGACTTTCAAACTATCTTGATTCTTAAGTGTTAGATGTGTTTTTATAAACAGCATATAGCTAGATTTCGTTTTATATTCTAAGCTGTCAGTCTTTTGTCTTTGGAGAGTTTAGGTTTCCTTTTTACATTTATTATGATTCCAAGATTATTTGGATTTATTTTATTATGTTTTCTACTGTGTGTACATCCTTCTTTTTCCACAGTGTTTTTTCCTCCATTTTTTTCTTCTTTTGGACAAACTGAGTTTCTTATTTTCTCATTGCATTTCTCCTTTTCCATATTTGGCAATTATACAGTCTATGACTACACATTTTTAGTAGTTACTATAGACATTTTAACATGCTTATTAAGATAAATGCCTAATATAAGTCAATATTTTTATCCTTCCCCAAAAAATATATAAAGACCCTAGAACATTTAACTATGATTCTATCCATCCTAATTATACACTGTGTTTCCAGACACAATCATTCTACAATTTTAATTATACAAAGTATACATAGTTATTAATCATTTATAAAAAGTAATATGTAAGCAGTAATAAATCCTTATGTTTACCATTTCCTCTGCTTACAAATTCTTGCATTTGCACCCTTAAGATAGGATAATTTTTTTATTTTTCTTTAACAATTTCTTCAGTGAAAAGTTGTTGACAATAAACTATTCATGTTTGGGACTGGGTAAAAATATATTTATCTTTTTTCTTGAAAAACAGCTGTATCATGTATTGAACTCAAGGTTAACAGTTATTTTCTCTGAGAATGATTTACTATCTTGTAACATTCATGTTTAAGAACTCGGCTATCATTCACAGATAATCAGTCATCATTCATAGGTAACTCTTTTTTTTCCTATTTTCTTTTAAAAATATTCTTTTGGTCTTTGGCGTTCTTCAGTTTCACTATGATACGTGTAAATATAGGTTTCTTTAAAGACACCTTGCTTGGGATTTACTGGGCTTCTTAGCTATAGAGAATGGTGACTTCCATCAGTTCTAGGAAATTCTCATTATCTGTTTTATACTTCTCTCTCTTCTGAATTGTATATTATAATATTTTAGAACTTGTCATGGCATGTATCTTAACTGCTTTTCAAAAAATACTTTTTACTTCTGTGTCTTTCTGTGGGAAACTCAAAGTAACCTCTTCAAATATCTTTCAGATCACCAATTCTCTAACCTAATCACCTGTTTTGCCTAACCATTGAATTTTTCATCATTATATTTTTCATTTTAGATAGCTCTGCCTGGTCAATTTTGACAGTCTTTTGTTTCTTCAACATATTCATTAGGGAATAATGTATATTAAAATACTTTTTTCAGTACCTTATAATTTCAATATCTACAGTGTTTGCAGACCTGATTCTGTAGTTTGTTCATTCTATGAAGTTACTCAAGATGGCTTATTTGTGTGTCTTGTGAAAACCATCTTCCTTGGAACCGTATGAGAATTTTTTGAAAGCTGTGTATAAAGTGCAGAAAGAATCTGAGTTTCCTTCTGGCAGATCTCTGGAGGTATTGCCAGGATAAGGCAATTTTAAACTAGATTTTTGGATGGGGTTTTAGAGGCTACACAGATAATATGAATGCTGACCCAAAGTCCAGATAAGGACAGGCCTATGGCTAGAAAATTCCAACATGGATTCTGTTCCTTTTTTCTGAGCTTCCCAGAGCCAAGGCTATGCTAGTCAAAAGTTCTCCCAACATCTCCTGCTATTCGGGTTAGTGTTATTTTCATTTCTCCAACAAGGTGGTCAAATTTTAAAGATTCCCAGTAACATGCAAATGTATCTTACGGGACTTTCCAGTTGGCAGGATACAGAATTTATCTTTTGTCTTCAGTTCACAGTCTTTCAAGATTCAAGCTCCAGGCCATAATTGAAAAGCAGCTACCCCATCCCCCAGCATAATGCTGGTGTTGGCTCACTAGTTTGGATTTTGTGCTTTTTGTATCAGCCTCAAATAATTTCCATAATTCAGTTATCAGATTATTTATGTATATAAAAATATTTTCTTCATCTCTTTTAGTTCTTATAGTTCACTATATATCTAGAAACCAAACCATTTTTTAAAATCATATTAATGTGCTTCTAGATAACAGTGATATCTATTTCTTCTTTAGCTTCTAAATGCTAATCTGACTAACAGAGATCCTGTTTTCTCCTAACAGGTGAAAATGTAAGAACATGAGGAGTATCTTCCCCAAAATTATTACCCTTAGTAAAAGACAGAGTATCTTGGAAGTAACAGGGAACTCTGACTAAGGCTGGACAGCTGCTGAGAGAAGAGAATATATATAAAGTTTTTTCTCTTTGTGCTGCCTTACCACAGAAAGGATTCTGAGCAGTGTATCACTTACATGTGCTTCTGGTAGTTTCCATCACTATAAATTCATGGCCTGGTTAAAAGTTAAAGTAGAGCCATATACCCCCAAATACATCCACTTTCAGTCGGAGGAAGGAGAAAAAAATAAGGGTAAGGAAAAAATGCTTTTCACTGCAAAATCACAAAATGGCATGCCGTATTATTGCATTCATTCATTCATGCATTCATTGATATTTACCTAGCACTTACTACATTTAGGGCATTATTCTAGGTGCTGGAGATATAACAGTAAACAATGACTGTATGAATGATGATACATGAATATGTAAAAAAGTTAAAAAAAGTGAATATGACAGCTCTCTAAAAATAAGAAAATATACATACATATCATTTGTTATCATCTTTATTGCATGGGAATTCAGATTAGTTCTTGTGTACCACAATGACAACAGCTGCTTTTTCCCTCCTCACAGGAGACAATATGTCTTAATGGACTTGGAATTTTCAAAGCAATTTTTATTGGTGAAGTTTCTTGCTTCATAACATTTTCAAAATTCTCTTAATCTACAATTCAGCACTTCTCAGCTCTCATTCAGCCACAAATACAGAAGAAAACCCCTATAATTCACACTGGCCTTTCCAATAAATCAATTGATTTAGCCAGTATAGTGTTCCAATTCAACTTCTATTTTCTCCACTCATAAATTTCAGGTTTCATACTCACACCCAGCCAAGGGCCAGAATGAAAAATTTAACAAAAGCTTCAGCATGGTTGTTGAGTAAGCACTCTGATACATTCCACACTATAAACATTTAATGAGACTTACTCCCAACAGAGTATTTACTACATCAATTTACTTCATAGTATTATATTTGCAGGAGCAAAATAGAGCAAAGGTTATTTTGGATCCTTTACCAATACAGCTTCCTGTAAATAATGAAAAGTGCAACCATTTAATTTACCAAATCATTAAAAAAGGTTAAATGCTCAATAAATTCTGCTTTATCTAGTTCAGTCAGCCACAGCAGCTATTTGTAACTTGGATATAAAAAATATAGAAAACTTAGGCATTTTTTACTAGTTTGTGCATCTGTACCTTTGACTAGAACTAAATTTCAAAGGTTGTTCAGACAGTTTAGAATCCTCATTAGGATCTCAGAGAAATATCTTTTGGACCCCTTCCCGCCTCATGAAGAACAACTGAGTCTGCCTTTCTTAAGAGAACACTGTTGCCCTGCCTATGCCCACTCCCACTGAAGTTACACACATAACACGCACACTTTCTCCTCCTCTCCAACCACTGCCATTTTGTGCCTGTGGCAGTCACTTTCAACTAAAAAGAGAAAAGAGAAGAGGTCTCAGAAGGAGGAACAATTTGGAAATGTCTTCTTCTTTAATCCTAAAATACAGAATGCATTGTCTGAGATAAACTGGAGCTCTTATGGGAGCATTCTCTGACACAATTGTGTTTTAGTACTGTGAAAAATGTGCTATACAGGTTGAGCGTTGCTAATCTAAAAATCTGAAATCCAAAATGCTCCAAAATCTAAAACTTTCTGAATGCCAATGTGATGGCACTAGGGAAAAATTCAGCATCTAACTTCATGTGACAGGTCGCAGTTAAAATGCAGTCAAAACATCATTTCATGCACAAAATTTTTAAAATGTTGTATAAAATTACCTTCAGGCTATGTGTATAGGGTATATATGAAATATAAATGAATTTCATGTTTACACATCAATCCCATTCCCAAGATAATTCATTAGGTATATGCAAATATTCCAAAATCCAAAAAATTCCAAAATCCAAACCACTTCTGGTCCCAAGCATTTCAGATAAGGGATGCTCAACCCGTATGATCCTATCTATCTACTCTAACAAATTTCAATGTATCACACTCGGCACTCCCCAGATACAGACTACAGATGGTCCCTGACTTGATTTAACAATGGTTCAACTTATAATTTTTTCCAGCTTTATCATGGTGCAAAAGTAATACATATTCAGTGTGTATATAGAGTGTTTCAGGCCCCTAAAGGTCATACCCTTCCCAGGGTAGAGTAACCTGCATCCAGTGACTGAAAGAGACATACAGGCCTGGCCATTTCTGCCTGACAAGGTACACTCTGGAGGGCAATGCTCTCACCAGAGCTCCCTGCTGATTGGCCTAGGCTTTGCGGGTCTAGCTGTCAGGTAGACTTCTTCCTCTATCCAGTCCCGCTCCTTCCCTCTTTCCTTCCCAAATGTAACACCTTGTTTTCCAAACTCCATTCTGTGTGTGATTCTGGAGGACCCAGCCTACAACACTAGCCATGACTCCTTCCTTTCATTCATGTCCCACATCCATTCTATCAAAATTCAGTTGACTCTATTTACAAAATTTAGCACTGATGTCCACCAACACCACTCTAGTCTAAACTAAAACATGAGGTGGTTCATGTAAAGTGTATAAATGGAACCTGGGTTACTACAATAGCCTCCAGCCTGGTTTTTCAGTTCCTCTCATTGTTCTCCTTCAGTCTATGTTCCTTATGCAACTATCATAGTCCTTTTAAGACACGAGTCGCAGCATGTCACACCTTTGCTTAAAACCTTTCAGTGTATTCCCATTTAACTTGGAGTAAAAGCCAAAGTCCTTAAAGGCATACACACTCCTAAATGGTTGGTTCTCCAACCTTAGCTCCTGCTACTCATCACTTTGCTGTCTTCACCTAGACACCCTGGTTTTTATGTTGTCACTTAAACACAGGGCACATACCTTCAAGCCTTTGCTCTAGATCTTCATCTGCCCGATTCCTGAACTCTTTCAAGGCTTTGGCATTATCTCACCTTCTCAGTGTAACATCTATACAATTTTGTTCTCTACAGTGTTTATTGGTTTTATTTTTTGCCTATAATCACCTGCTAAAATGTAAAAATTTGTCAAGGGAAGTGATCAGATATGTCCCAAGCACATAGAACAGTAATGCCAATAAGTATTTGTGGAGTGAATAAATCTTATGCTTCATAAGTAGATCTACATAAAACAAAGTCATCATTTCGATCTAATTAACAATCCCACTTCAAATTCATTGGATTCCTTGGCAGAGATGTACAGGAGTCAGAAGTTTACTAACAGAGTACTTTCCTGTTAATCAATTCTTTGGAAGACTCAAGAAGGTGATAGAGACTAATCTGGATTTTTTATTTTCTCATGCTCTAAACGCCAACATGTGGATCTTCTTCTGTTTTATTATTATTATTACTGTATTAGGACATCAGATCACACTTTATCTTTCTCCCGACTTACCTCCAGCTCATCAAGGGCACTTCCCAGGGTTGCTGCCTGAGGTTCTGGTGGGGTTGTCATATTCTGGATCCCTTGTGAAGCATTTGAAATTACATTGAGAGCATTCTGAATTTCTTCACAAACTGTGTCCTTGCTTGCTTTGAGGGAAGCAACATCAGAATGCTCCAAACAAGCTGAACAAATTGAATGCAAGAGGGGAGAGTTCTCCTTCAGTGAAGCTCGGGCTCCTGCAATTTCATCTCTCTGATTTGGAGATTTTAAGTCCTGAGAAGGTAAATAAAAAGAGTGGTATCTTACAATGGGTTATGGGAGAAAGACTTAAATTAAAAAGCTTCTTTTTTTGTAAGTATAAATGAAAAGATAATAGACATGAAGAAGTCAGCTATAAGTTATAATCAAGGGCATCTATTATTTCTACATTCTTTCAGTTTCTGTTAAAAATTCTGCAGTATAAACAATGACACAGTTAATAAGTAAAGGTCCCCGTAGAGCAGATGTGTAAAGATCCATTACTATTCAGTCAAGTCCTTGTCAGTCAAATCCTTATAAGTAGCTAAAATACTCTGGCATTCACATTATTAAGTGCATTACATGGGAGCTTGAATTACAAGGATGCTGATTACCTCATTCCATAGATGTTGATAATTGCATTTAACCTCTCCGTTAAAATTAGACCAATTGAGTTAAGAACACTAATGAAACCTCCCACCATTCAGCTATTTTTCTTTTTCAGAAATACTAATAAATTAATCCTATATCATTCTTTCTTTGATATTTATTCAACAATTAGTTACTGAGCACTTAGCATATTCTAGCCCTTGTGCTGGACTCCAGTGTACAGATATGAAAAAATCCTACAAGGACCTTGTTCTTCTTTCTTTTGGGGGGAAAGGGCCTACAGACAAACAATGAACTAGATGAACAAATATACGAGATGATTTCAGGTGACAATAAATGCTATGAAGAAAACACAAAAGTGAAGTGTCATAGAGATTGACTTGAAAGGAAAAGCTGCTTTAGGCTGAATGGTCCGAGAAGGTATTTCTTCAGAGATGACAATTTGCAGTAAATGTAAATGAATAGCATTACATCAGAGAGAAGAGAGGAAAGAGAATGCCCTGTCTAAGTGATAGGCGATCAGAACTAGCTCAATATACAAGAAAAAAATCTGGCAAGCCCTACCTTAACCAAGTGATGAAATTTAACATAATCAGTGATATCACATGGATATCATGTACCCCTTGATATACTGTGACAGGAAAAGTATGCCATTTCTGTGGTATTCCCTCCAGGAACCCATAATTCCAGTCTAATCATGAGAAAAGCAACAAACAAAATGAGATTGGTGAACATCCTAAATGACACCTGGGCAGTATTCCTCAAGACCATTAACATCATGGAAAACAGGAGATGGACTGACAAGCTGTCACAGAACAGAGAAGATTGGGGAGACATAACTAAATGCAGTGTGGTACTGAGGATTAGATCCTGGAACAGAAAAAACATTCATGAAAAACTGCTGAAATCCAAATAACCATTATTAATAGTTAATAGCAATGCATCAGTATCCATTTCTTTGTAGTGGCAAATGTAAGATACAGCATTAACAATGGAGAAAACTGGAAAAAAGGTAAATGGGAACTCTCTGTACCACCTTTGCAACTTTTCTGTAAATCTAAAATTACTCCCAAATAAAAGCTTAAGTTAAAAAAAACTAATTCAAGGGACATTTACAATAGTTCATTCACTTCATATACAACATTTCATATAATCTTTATAAAAACTCATGAGAGATGTGATTATTCCCATTTTAAAACTCAAAACACTAAGGTTTCAAGAGACTAAGTTTCTTAGCCAAGTGGCAGAGCTAGATGGTGGTATTTCTTGTATTGTAACCCACGTCAGTATAACTTCCAAGCCCTTATCCTAAAAACTATGTGACATTATTTCCTACATAGGAAAAATTTTTTTCTTTTTTCTTTTTTTATGACAGAGTCGCGCTCTGTCGCCGAGGCTGGAGTACAGTGGCGCGATCTAGGCTCACTGCAAGCTCCGCCTCCTGGGTTTATGCAGTTCTCCTGCCTCGGCCTCCTGAGTAGCTGAGACTACAGGCACCCACCACCACACCCAGCTAATTTTTTGTATTTTTAATAGGGACGGGGTTTCATCATGCTAGCCAGGATGGTCTCGATCTTCTGACCTTGTGATCCGCCCGCCTCGGCCTCCCAAAGTGGAAAAATTTCTTATTTGCTACACAGAATGAGGACTTGTATTTGTATAATATCATGTAGCTTATAAAGTGCTTCTATACAGTATCTTACTGATCATGACAATAGTCTTTGAGGGAATGAGGCTGCTATTATTAGTCCTATTTTAACTAAACAGGTGTTTGGTGCAAGGAGATAGAAACTAGTAAAGGAACAGAGATCTAAACCTAAGTCTACTGATTGCTAACCTTATGCCTTTTCACAAGACTCTGCTACTCTGGGAATAATGTTGCATGAGGTTAATAAATGGCTTGTGCTACTATATTTTTAGTTCCTTCCCTTCTGAAAATAAACACTGTCTGCTACTTCACTCAGGCTTTGGAGAGATTAACTTCGTTACAAAATGTAGGGAGGACAGTTAGAAGTAGCTATCAACCCACTGTTCATAGTCACTAATCACCCAAGAAAAGACACTATGGTTTTCTTGGCTTGCTACGATTTCCCCCTTGTATATGTGGTCTGGGTTTTAGTTTTAGTTCTGTCATTAGCACTGTGAGCTAGGTAACTCATCTCTTTCGGTGTCTGTCTTTCTATCTGTAAAAATGGGATAATGATACTTCTGCCGACCCTCTCACAAGATTGAGTACATAGCACATCAGAAATGGAATATAAGTGGAAAATAGAGAAAAGGTGTAGAAAGAATACGGAATTGTTTTATTCCTTACATCTGTCAAACTTGGTGTACTGTTTCTGTACTGATAATCTTAGTGATTTTTGTATTTCCCACAACGTTGTACAAGCTCTACCTACAGTCATCAGTGTAACTTAGAGGATAAATAGTTTAATGTTTAGAAAGGATGCACAGCTCCTCAGATGAGTAATAATTAAAAGTATAAATATTTAGAAAAAGGTAAGGCAAATTCTCTGATATTACTGTACAATCACAACTTAATACATAATTCTCTCTGAAGTGACCTATACATTATGCTTCTTTATTTAGAAGGACAGTGTCAAGGTTTAGTTTGTTTCTGAAAGGTGAAAAACTTGAACATAGATTATAATCAAGAAGCTAAAGTTAAAATTATTTCTTTTGCTCTAATGGTAGCAATGTGTAATCTGATGGTAAATTGTAGTAACTTTAATGCCATGGGGACTTTGAAATGTTAAAAATACAAATGTATTTTGAATTTGGAGCCTATGCTTTGTCATCTCTGCCCAAGGCAATTACAGAATCCATGAGCCCAAATAGCAAGTCCTTGACGCCTGCGAAAAAGGACTAGATCAGTGAACATAACAAATATAACGTTACAGCAGTGGACAGGGGCAAAGGGGCAGGTGGCAGAGTTTATGTAAGGAAAACTGACAAGGCATGACCATTTCTCCCAAAGGACATCAAGCATGATAAACTTAATGTAGTAAATAGGCACACAGATAAAAGAGAAATTAATGACTGTCACCTCCTAAATGTATGTTGTGGTAGTGGTGTTTGTAGTTGTTTTATTTTAACTGATGATACCATAGGTTCAAAGGTTCTTGTTTGTCCATTTACCCTAAAATTTTACATAAAGTCAAAATAGGCATTAAACAGTAAAGTTAATCAGGGATTTCTTTGGATGGAGAAGTATAAAGAATTCAGCTCCTCAAGGATTGATACTTATTTATAATCTTTTTTTAAATGCTCCAGAAGAAAGCTCACAGGAGATTTCCAAGTTAAGAAGACATTAAATGTTTCCAGCTGACGAAGAAACACACAGATGGGATTTAAAAAGACCTTAAAGTCTGTGCAAGTGGGTAGAGAAGTAACATATGAGTTTTAACCCTGGCAAGAGAACAAAATATATTTAGGAATATTATTTTAAAAAATACAAGTGGAGGGCTTTAAGCTATCAGTTAATTAATTCAACCATTCCTTCAACCTGTACTATGTTGAGCCTCTCCTATGCTGAGCCTCGACTTTGCATCAAGGCAGTGTGCTAAATGTTGGAAATGCAAAGATAAAGATCAGGAGGGGAGACAAATAAACACATTTACATGGGAACTAAAATAGAGTTACCCACAGCATAGAGGACAGTCTCTCAGTTTGAAGGGATTAAATAAAATTTCTCAGAGAATGTGAATCTTTTTTCCAGCTTTATTGAGGTACAATTAACAAATAAAAATTGTGTAGATTCAAGGTGTACTATATGATGCTTTCATATACATATACATTGTGTAATGATTACTACAATCATATTAATCAATATATCCATCACCACACAGTTACCCTTTGCGTTTGTGTGTATGTGCTGTGAGAACATGTAAGATCTATTCTCTTAGCAAATTTCAAGTAAGCAATACATTATTATTAACTGTCTTCACCATGCTGTGAGTTAGGTCCCTAGAACTTACTCATCTTATAATTGAAAGTGTATACCCTTTGACCAATATGTCCCCGTTTCCCCCACATGCCAACCCCTGGCAACTATGGTAAAACTGCTTCTATGAGTTTGACTTGTTTAGATTCCACATATAAATACAATCATACAATATTTATCTTTCTGTGCCGGGCTTATTTGACTTAGCATAATGTCCTTCAGGTTCATCCAAGTTGTCATAAGTGGTGGGATTTCAGAGAAGGTGAATCTTAAACAGTGAGTAGAAGTTATCCCTATGAGGGAGGACCCACAGACCCTTTGAAGGAAGCGGACTGCTCCTGCAAAATCTGGGAGACACCACAAATACTGTGAGTGCCCCAACTGCGGAAGTGGGAAAGGGAGAGCCTCCTCTCCTGAATACACAACCCCACTGGGGCAAATGAAGGTCTGTTTGCGGGAGAAGTTTCTGACCTTACCTGGAGCTGAGTCAATTTAAAGAGCCAAGCAAAAAAAAATATAGAGAGGAAGCAGCAGAAAGTCCCTAGGAGCTCGCTGGGTCCCCAGTCAGGCCATTCCTGCCTGGCATCACAGGGATCCACTGGGAGGGCAGCCAGAGAAGCAGGGGTTGGGGGAGGGGGAAGCACCACAGGGAGAAGGAAAATTCCAGCTGAACTTCGTAACAATTTGAACAGGGTGAGAAGCCTCATGGCCAGAACTTGAGGGAGGGTGTGAATCCAGCATGCAGACTCCACAGCGTGGGGGAAGAACCAGGCCGTTTTCATTTGAAGGTGGCAGGCAGGTAGCCTGGGGCAAGTTCTCAAGCCCAGCTTGCCCACCACCTGGAAACAGACTTGGGGCTGTTTGGGGGCACGGTGGGAGTGAGACCAGCCCTTTGGTTTGCCTGGGAGCTGGGTGAGGCCTGTGATGGCCAGCTTTCCCCCACTTCCCTGACAACCTGGATGACTCAGGAGAGGCAGCCATAATCTTCTTAGGTGCACAACTCCATTGACCTGGGAATCTCACTCCCACCCCCTACAGCAGCCACAGCAAGACCCACCCAAGGACAGTCTCAGCTCAGACACGCCTAGCTCTGTCCCTATTTGATGGTCCTTCCCTATCCACCCTGGTAGCTGAAGACAAAGGGCATATAATCTTGGTAGTTCTAGGACCTGCACGCTGCCAGTTCCTCTCCATACTACCACAGCTGATGCTCTCTACAAAACCCCATCTCCTGGCAGGAGGCCAACCAGCACAAAAATAGAGCATTAAACCACCAAAGCTAAGAACCCTCACGGAGTCCACTGCACCCCGCTGCCACCTCCACCAGAACAGGAACTGGTATCCACAGCTGAGAGAGCCATATATGGTTCACATCACAGGACTCTGTGCAGATAACCCACAGTACCAACCCAGAGCAGGGTAGACTTGCTGGGTGGCTAGACCCAGAAGAGAGACAACAGTCATTGCAGTTCGGCTCACAGGAAGCCACACCCATAGGAAAAGCGGGAGAGTACTACATCAAGGGAACACCCCTTGGGACAAAAGAATCTGAAAAACAGCCTTCAGCCCTAGACCTTCCCTCTAACAGAGCCTACACAAATAAGAAGGAACCAGAAAAAAAAATCTGGTAATATGACAAAACAAGGCTCTTTAGCACCCCCAAAAAGCACACTACCTCACCAGCAATGGATCCAAACCAAGAAGAAATCCCTGTTTTACCTGAAAAAGAATTCAGGAGGTTAGTTATTAAGCTAATCAGGGAGGGACCAGAGAAAGGTGAAACCTAATGCAAGGAAATCCAAAAAACAATACAAGAAGTGAAGGGAGAAATATTCAAGGAGATAGATAGCTTAAAGAAAAAACAACCACAAATTCAGGAAACATTGGACACACTTTAGTAATGCAAGAAGCTCTGGAAAGTCTCAGGAATAGAACTGAACAAGTAGAAGAAAGAAATCCAGAGCTCAAAGACAGGTCTTCAAATTAACCCAATCCAACAAAGACAAAGAAAAAAGAATAAGAAAATATGAACAAAGCCTCCAAGAAGTCTAGGATTATGTTAAACGACCAAACCTAAGAATAATTGATGTTCTGGAGGAAGGGGAGAATCCTAAAACCTTGGAAAACATATTTAGGGGAATAATCAAGGAAAACTTCCCCAGCCTTGCTAGAGACCTAGACATCCAATTACAAGAAACACAAAGAACACCTGGAAAATTCAGCCTGAACAGATCGTCTCCTAGACACATTGTCATCAGGTTATCCGAAGTTAAGATGAAGGAAAGAATCTTAAGAGCTGTGAGACAGAAGCACCAGGTAACCTACAAAGGAAAACCTGTCATATTAACAGCAGATTTCTCACCAGAAACCCTACAAGTAAGAAGCAATTGGGACCCTATCTTCAGCCTTGTCAAACAAAACAATTATCAGCCAAGAATTTTGTATCCAGTGAAACTAAGCATCATATATGAAGGAAAGATACAGTCTTTTTCAGACAAACAAATGCTAAGAGAATTTACCATTACCAAGCCACCACTACAACAACTGCTAATAAGAAGCTCTAAACCTTGAAACAAATCCTAGAAACACATCAAAACAGAACCTCTTTAAAGCAGAAATCATACAGGACCTATAAAACAAAACTACAAGTTAAAAAGCAAAAACAAAAAACCAAAGTACATAGACAACAAAGAGCATGATGAATGCAATGGTACCTCACATCTCAATACTAACACAGAATGTAAATGGCTTAAATGCTCGACTTAAAAGATACAGAACCACAGAATGCAGAAGAACTCACCAACCAACCATCTGCTGCCTTCAGAAGACTCACCTAACATGTAAAGACTCACATAAACTTAAAGGGGTGGAAAAAGGTATTTCATGCAAATGGACACCAAAAGCAAGCAAAGGTAGCTTTTTTTTTCTTTTTTTTTTTTTTGAGATGGAGTTTTGCTCTTGTTGCCCAGGATGGAGTGCAATGGCGCAATCTCAGCTCACCACAACCTCTGCCTCCCAGTTTCAAGCGATTCTCCTGCCTCAGCCTCCCAAGTAGCTAGGATTACATGCCTGCACCACCATGCCCGGCTAATTTTGTATTTTTAGTAGAGCCAGGGTTTCTCCATGTTGGTCAGGTTGGTCTTGAACTCCCAACCTCAGGTGATCTGCCCGCCTTGGCCTCCCAAAGTGCTGGGATTAAAGGCCTGAGCCACCATGCCTGGCCAAAGGGGTAGCTATTCTTATATCAGACAAAACAAACTTAAAGCAACAGCAGCCAAAAGAGACAAAGAGGGACATTATATAATGATAAAAGGCCTTGTCCAACAGGACAATATCACAATCCTAAACATATATGCAACACTGGAGCTCCCAAATTTATAAAACAATTACTAATAGATCTACGCAATGAGATAGCAACACAATAATAGTGGGGGACTTCAATACTCTACTGACAGCACTAGACAAGTCATCAAGACAAAAAGTCAACAAAGGAACAATTGATTTAAATTATACCTTGGAACAAATGAACTTAACAGATATATACAGAACATTTCATCCAACAACCACAAAATACACATTTTATTCAACAGCACATGGAACTTTCTCCAAGACAGACTATATGATAGGCCATAAAATGAGCCTCAATAAATTTAAGAAAATTGAAATTATATCAAGCACTCTCTCAGACCACAGTGGGAAAAAAACTGGAAATCAACTCCAAAAGGAACCTTCAAAACCATGCAAACACATGGAAATTAAATAACGTGCTCCTGAATTAGCATTGGGTCAAAAATGAAATCAAGATGGAAATTTAAAAATTCTTCGAACTGAACAAAAACCTCTGGGATACAGCAAAGGCGGTGCTAAGAGGAAAGTTCACAGCCCTAAACACCTACACCAAAAAGACTGAAAAAGCACAAACTGACACTCTACGGCTATACCTCAAGGAACTAGAGAAACAAGAACAAACCAAACCCAAACCCAGCAGAAGAAAGGAAATAACCAAGATCAGAGCAGAACTAAATGAAATCGAAACAAAATGAAAACAGATGATAAATGAAACAAAAAGTTAGTTTTTTTGAAAAGATAAATAAAATTGGTTAGCAAGACTAACCAAGAAAAGACAAGCGAAAATCCAAATAACCTCATTAAGAAACAGGAGATAGGCCAAGCACAGTGGCTCACGCCGGTAATCCCAGCACTTTGGGAGACTGAGGCGGGCAGATTACAAGGTCAGGAGTTTGAGACCAGTTTGGCCAACATGGTAAAACCCCATCTCTACCAAAAATACAAAAATTAGCAGGGCGTGGTGGCAGGCACCTGTAATCCCAGCTACTTGGGAGGCTGAGGCAGGAGAATCGCTTGAAACCGGAAGGTGGAAGTTGCAGTGGGCTGAGATCGTGCCACTGCACTCCAGCCTGGGCAACAAGAGTGAAACTCCATCTCAAAAAAAAAATAGAAAGAAACAGGAGATATTACAACTGATACCACTGAAATACAAAAGATCATTCAAGGCTACTGTGAACACCTTTATGCAGATAAACTAGAAACCTAGAAAAGATGGATAAATTCCTGGAAAAATACAACCCTCCTAGCTTAAATCGGTAAGAATTAGATACCCTGAACAGACCAATAACAAGCAGCGAGATTGAAATAGTAATTAATAAATTACCAACAAAAAAATCCAGGACCAGATGGACTCACAGCAGAATTCTTCCAGACATTCAAAGAATTAGTACCAACCCTTTTGACACTATTCCACAAGATAGAGAAAGAAGGAACCCTCCCTAATTCACTCTATGAAGCCAGCATCACCCTAGCACCAGAACCAGGAAAGGACATAAACAAAAAAGAAAATTATGGACCGAGATCCCTGATGAATATAGATGCTAAAATCCTTAACAAAATACTGGCTAACTGAAACCAAAAACATATCAAAAAGATAATCCACCATGCTCAAGTGGGTTTCATACCAGGGATGCAGGGATGGTTTAACATATGCAAGTCAATAAATGTGATACACCACATAAACAGAATTAAAAACAAAAATCACATGATCATCTCAATAGATGCAGAAAAAGCATTTGACAAAATCCAGGATCCATTTATAATTAAAATATCAGGAAAATCGGCATACAAGGGACATACCTCAATGGAATAAAAGCCATCTATGATAAACCCACAGTCAACATTATACTGAATGGGGAAAAGTTGAAAGCATTCCCTCTGAGAACTGGAACAAGACAAGGATGGCCATTCTCACCACTCCTCTGCAACATAGTACTGGAAGTCCTAGCCAGAGCAATCAGACAAGAGAAAGAAATAAAGGGCATCCAAATTGGTAAAGAGGAAGTCAAGCTGTCACTATTTACTGATGATATGATCGTTTACCTTGAAAACCCTAAATACTCCTCCAGAAAGGTCCTAGAACGATACAAGAATTCAGCAAATTTTCCAGATAAAAGATTAATATACACAAATCAGTAGCTCTTCTATACACCAACAGTGACCAAGTGGAGAATCAAATCAAGAACTCAACACCTTTTACAATTGCTGCAAAAAATAAAATAAAATAAAATACCTAGGAATATACCTAACAAAGGAGTCGAAAGACCTCTACAAGGAAAACTACAAAACACTGCTGAAAGAAATCACAGACAAAACAAATGGAAACACATCCCATGCTCATGGATGGGTAGAATCAATATTGTGAAAATAACCATGCTGCCAAAAGCAATCTACAAATTTAATGCAATCCCCATCAAAATACTACCATCATTCTTCACAGGATTAGAAAAAGCAATTCTAAAATTCATATGGAACCAAAAAAGAACCTGCATAGCCAAAGCAAGACTAAGCAAAAAGAACAAATCTGGAGGTATCACACCACCTGATTTCAAACTATACTATAAGGCCATAGACATGAAAACAGAGTGGTACTGGTATAAAAATAGGCACATAGACCAATGGAACAGAATAGAGAACCCAGAAATAAACCCAAATACTTAAAGCCAACTCATCTTTCACAAAGCAAACAAAAACACAAAGTGAGGAAAGGACACCCTTTTCAACAAATGGTGCTGGGATAACTGACTAGCCACATGCAGGAGAATGAAACTGAATCCTCATCTCTCACCTTATACAAAAATCAACTCAAGATGGATTAAGGACTTAAATCTAAGACCTGAAATTATAAAAACTCTATACGATAACATTGGCTTAGGCAAAGATTTCATCACCAAGAACCCAAAAGCAAATACAAAGATAAACAGTTGGGACTTAATTAAACTAAAGAGCTTTTGCATGGCAAAAGGAACAGTGAGCAGAATAAACAGACAATCCACAGAATGGGAGAAAATCTTCACAATCCGTAATCTGACAAAGGACTAATATCCAGAATCTACAATGAACTCAAACAAATCAATAAGAAAAAAACAAAAATCCCATCAAAAAGTGGGCTAAGGACATGAATAGACAATGCTCAAAAGAAGATATACAGAGAAGCCAAGATAGCTGAATAGGAACAGCTCGGTCTACAGCTCCCAGCTTGAGCGACGCAGAAGACAGGTGATTTCTGCATTTCCATCTGAGGTACAGGGTTCATCTCACTAGGGAATACCAGACACTGGGCGCAGGTCAGTGTGTGCACACACCGTGCGCGAGCCGAAGCAGGGTGAGGCATTGCCTCACTCGGGAAGCGCAGGGGGTCAGGGAGTTCCCTTTCCTAGTCAAAGAGAGGGGTGACAGACCGCACCTGGAAGATCGGGTCACTCCCACCCGAATACTGCGCTTTTCCGACGGGCTTAAAAAACGGCGCACCAGGAGACTGTGTCCCGCACCTGGCTGGGAGGGTCCTACGCCCACCGAGTCTCGCTGATTGCTAGCACAGCAGTCTGAGATCAAACTGCAAGGCGGCAGCGAGGCTGGGGGAGGGGCGCCCGCCATTGCCCAGGCCTGCTTAGGTAAACAAAGCAGCTGGGAAGCTCAAACTGGGTGGAGCCCACCACAGCTCAAGGAGGCCTGCCTGCCTCTGTAGGCTCCACCTCTGGGGGCAGCGCACAGACAAACAGAAAGACAGCAGTAACCTCTGCAGACTTAAATGTCCCTGTCTGACAGCTTTGAAGAGAGCAGTGGTTCTCCCAGCACGCAGCTGGAGATCTGAGAACCAGCAGACTGCCTCCTCAAGTGGGTCCCTCACCCTTGACCCCAGAGCAGCCTAACTGGGAGGCAACCCCTAGCAGGGGCAGACTGACACCTCACAGGGCCGGGTACTCCAACAGACCTGCAGCTGAGGGTCCTGTCTGTTAGAAGGAAAACTAACAAACAGAAAGGACATCCACACCAAAAACCCATCTGTACATGACCATCATCAAAGACCAGAAGTAGATAAAACCACAAAGATGTGGAAAAAACAGAGCAGAAAAATTGGAAACTCTAAAAAGCAGAGCACCTCTCCTCCTCCAAAGGAACACAGTTCCTCACCAGCAACAGAACAAAGCTGGACGGAGAATGAGAGAAGAAGGCTTCAGACGATCAACTTACTCCGAGCTACAGGAGGACATTCAAACCAAAGGCAAAGAAGTTGAAAACTTTGAAAAAAATTTAGAAGAATGTATAACCACAAGAACCAATACAGAGAAGTGCTTAAAGGAGTTGATGGAGCTGAAAACCAAGGCTCAAGAACTACGTGAAGAATGCAGAAGCCTCAGGAGCCGATGCGATCAACTGGAAGAAAGGGTATCAGCAATGGAAGATGAAATGAATGAAATGAAGTGAGAAGGGAAGTTTAGACAAAAAAGAATAAAAAGAAACGAGCAAAGCCTCCAAGAAATATGGGACTATGTGAAAAGACCAAATCTACGTCTGATTGGTGTACCTGAAAGTGACGGGGAGAATGGAACCAAGTTGGAAAACACTCTGCAGGATATTATCCAGGAGAACTTCCCCAATCTAGCAAGGCAGGCCAACATTCAGATTCAGGAAATACAGAGAACGCCACAAAGACACTCCTCGAGAAGAGCAACTCCAAGACACATAATTGTCAGATTCACCAAAGTTAAAATGAAGGAAAAAATGTTAAGGGCAGCCAGAGACAAAGCTTGGGTTACCCTCAAAGGGAAGCCCATCAGACTAACAGCGGATCTCTCAGCAGAAACTCTACAAGCCAGAAGAGAGTGGGGGCCAATATTCAACATTCTTAAAGAAAAGAATTTTCAACCCAGAATTTCATATCCAGCCAAACTAAGCTTCATAAGTGAAGGAGAAATAAAATACTTTACAGAGAAGCAAATCCTGAGAGATTTTGTCACCACCAGACCTGCCCTAAAAGAGCTCCTGAAGGAAGCACTAAACATGGAAGGAACAACTGGTACCAGCCACTGCAAAATCATGCCAAAATGTAAAGACCATCGAGACTAGGAAAAAACTGCATCAACTAACGAGCAAAATAACCAGCTAACATCATAATGACAGGATCAAATTCACACATAACAATATTAACTTTAAATGTAAATGGACTAAATGCTCCAATTAAAAGACACAGACTGGCAAATTGGATAAAGAATCAAGACCCATCAGTGTGCTGTATTCAGGAAACCCATCTCACGTGCAGAGACACACATAGGCTCAAAATAAAGGGATGGAGGAAGATCTACCAAGCAAATGGAAAACAAAAAAAGGCAGGGGTTGCAATCCTAGTCTCTGATAAAACAGACTTTAAACCAACAAAGATCAAAAGAGACAAAGAAGGCCATTACATAACGGTAAAGGGATCAATTCAACAAGAAGAGCTAACTATCCTAAATATATATGCACCCAATACAGGAGCACCCAGATTCGTAAAGCAAGTCCTGAGTGACCTACAAAGAGACTTAGACTCCCACACAATAATAATGCGAGACTTTAACACCCCACTGTCAACATTAGACAGATCAATGAGACAGAAAGTCAACAAAGATATCCAGGAATTGAACTCAGCTCCGCACCAAGCGGACCTAATAGACATCTACAGAACTCTCCACCCCAAATCGACAGAATATACATTTTTTTCAGCACCACACCACACCTATTCCAAAATTGACCACATACTTGGAAGTAAAGCTCTCCTCAGCAAATGTAAAAGAACAGAAATTATAACAAACTATCTCTCAGACCACAGTGCAAGCAAACTAGAACTCAGGATTAAGAATCTCACTCAAAACCACTCAACTACATGGAAACTGAACAACCTGCTCCTGAATGACTACTGGGTACATAACGAAATGAAGGCAGAAATAAAGATGTTCTTTGAAACCAACGAGAACAAAGACACAACATACCAGAATCTCTGGGACACATTCAAAGCAGTGTGTAGAGGGAAATTTATAGCACTAAATGCCCACAAGAGAAAGCAGGAAAGATCCAAAATTGACACCCTAACATCACAATTAAAAGAACTAGAAAAGCAAGAGCAAACACATTCAAAAGCTAGCAGAAGGCAAGAAATAACTAAAATCAGAGCAGAACTGAAGGAAATAGACACACAAAAAACCCTTCAAAAAATTAATGAATCCAGGAGCTGGTTTTTTGAAAGGATCAACAAAATTGATAGACCGCTAGCAAGACTAATAAAGAAAAAAAGAGAGAAGAATCAAATAGATGCAATAAAAAATGATAAAGGGGATATCATCACTGATCCCACAGAAATAGAAACTACCATCAGAGAATACTACAAACACCTCTACGCTAATAAACTAGAAAATCTAGAAGAAACGGATAAATTCCTCGACACATACACCCTCCCAAGACTAAACCAGGAAGAAGTTGAATCTCTGAATAGGACCAATAACAGGAGCTGAAATTGTGGCAATAATCAATAGCTTACCAACCAAAAAGAGTCCAGGACCAGCTGGATTCACAGCCGAATTCTACAAGAGGTACAAGGAGGAACTGGTACCATTCCTTCTGAAACTATTCCAATCAATAGAAAAAGAGGGAATCCTCCCTAACTCATTTTATGAGGCCAGCATCATCCTGATACCAAAGCCGGGCAGAGACACAACCAAAAGAGAGAATTTTAGACCAATATCCTTGATGAACATTGATGCAAAAATCCTGAATAAAATACTGGGAAACCAAATCCAGCAGCACATCAAAAAGCTTATCCACCATGATCAAGTGGGCTTCATCCCTGGGATGCAAAGCTGGTTCAATATACGCAAATCAATAAATGTAATCCAGCATTTAAACAGAAGCAAAGACAAAAACCACATGATTATCTCAACAGATGCAGAAAAGGCCTTTGACAAAATTCAACAACCTTCATGCTAAAAACTCTCAATAAATTAGGTATTGATGGGGCGTATTTCAAAATAATAAGCACTATCTATGACAAACCCACAGCCAATATCATACTGAATGGGCAAAAACTGGAAGCATTCCCTTTGAAAACTGGCACAAGACAGGGATGCCCTCTCTCACCACTCCTATTCAACATAGTGTTGGAAGTTCTGGCCAGGGCAATTAGGCAGGAGAAGGAAATAAAGGGTATTCAATTAAGAAAAGAGGAAGTCAAATTGTCCCTGTTTGCAGATGACATGATTGTATATCTAGAAAACCCCATTGTCTCAGCCCAGAATCTCCTTAAGCTGATAAGCAACTTCAGCAAAATCTCAGGATACAAAATCAATGTACAAAAATCACAAGCATTCTTATACACCAATAACAGACAAACAGAGAGCCAAATCATGAGTGAACTCCCATTCACAATTGCTTCAAAGAGAATAAAATACCTAGGAATCCAACTTACAAGGGATGTGAAGGACCTCTTCAAGGAGAACTACAAACCACTGCTCAATGAAATAAAAGAGGATACAAACAAATGGAAGAACATTCCATGCTCATGGGTAGGAAGAATCAATATCGTGAAAATGGCCATACTGCCCAAGGTAATTTACAGATTCAATGCCATCCCCATCAAGCTACTAATGACTTTCTTCACAGAATTGGAAAAAACTATTTTAAAGTTCAAATGGAACCAAAAAAGAGCCCGCATCGCCAAGGCAATCCTAAGCCAAAAGAACAAAGCTGGAGGCATCACACTACCTGACTTCAAACTATACTACAAGGCTACAGTAACCAAAACAGCATGGTACTGGTACCAAAACAGAGATATAGATCAATGGAACAGAACAGAACCCTCAGAAATAATGCCACATATCTACAACTATCTGATCTTTGACAAACCTGAGAAAAACAAACAATGGGGAAAGTATTCCCTATTTAATAAATGCTGCTGGGAAAACTGGCTAGCCATATGTAGAAAGCTGAAACTGGATCCCTTCCTTACACCTTATACAAAAATCAATTCAAGATGGATTAAAGACTTAAACGTTAGACCTAAAACCATAAAAACCCTAGAAGAAAACCTAGGCATTACCATTCAGGACATAGGCATGGGCAAGGACTTCATGTTTAAAACACCAAAAGCAATGGCAACAAAAGCCAAAATTGACAAATGGGATCTAATTAAACTAAAGAGCTTCTGCACAGCAAAAGAAACTACCATCAGAGTGAACAGGCAACCTACAAAATGGGAGAAAATTTTTGCAATCTACTCATCTGACAAAGGGCTAATATCCAGAATCTACAATGAACTCAAACACATTTACAAGAAAAAAACAACCCCATCAAAAAGTGGGCGAAGGACATGAACAGACTCTTCTCAAAAGAAGACATTTATGCAGCCAAAAAACACATGAAAAAATGCTCACCATCACTGGCCATCAGAGAAATGCAAATCAAAACCACAATGAGATATCATCTCACACCAGTTAGAATGGCAGTCATTAAAAAGTCAGGAAACAACAGGTGCTGGAGAGGATGTGGAGAAATAGGAACACTTTTACACTGTTGGTGGGACTGTAAACTAGTTCAACCATTGTGGAAGTCACTGTGGCGATTCCTCAGGGATCTAGAACTAGAAATACCATTTGACCCAGCCATCCCATTACTGGGTATATACCCAAAGGACTATAAATCATGCTGCTATAAAGACACATGCACAGGTATGTTTATTGCGGCATTATTCACAATAGCAAAGACTTGGAACCAACCCAAATGTCCAACAATGATAGACTGGATTAAGAAAATGTGGCACATATACACCATGGAATACTATGCAGCCATAAAAAATGATGAGTTCATGTCCTTTGTAGGGACATGGATGAAATTGGAAATCATCATTCTCAGCAAACTATCGCAAGAAGAAAAAACAAAACACCGCATATTCTCACTCATAGGTGGGAATTGAACAATGAGAACACATGGACACAGGAAGGGGAACATCACACTCTGGGGACTGTTGTGGGGTGGGGGGGGTGGGGAGGGATAGCATTGGGAGATATACCTAATGCTAGATGACAAGTTAGTGGGTGTGGCGCGCCAACATGGCACATGTATACATATGTAACTAACCTGCACATTGTGCACATGTACCCTAAACCTTAAAGTATAATAATAATAAATAAAAAATAAAAAAATAAAAAAAGAAGATATACAAATGGCCAACAAACATATGAAAAAATGCACATCACTAATGATCAGGGAAATGCAAATCAAAACTACAAGGCAATACCACCTTACTCCTGCAAGAATAGCCATAATCAAAAAATAAATAAAAAACAGTAGATGTTGGCATGGATGCAGTGATCAGGGAACATTTCTACACTGCTGATGGGAATGTAAACTAGTACAGCCACTATGGAAAACAGGGTGGATCTTACTTAAAGAGCTAAAGGTAGAACTACCATTTGATCCAGCAATCCCACTACTAGGTATCTACCCCAGAGGAAAAGAAGTCATTACATGAAAAAGATACTTACACACATATGTTTACAGCAGGACAATTCACAATTGGAAAATTGTGGAACCAACCCAAATGCCCATCAATCAATGAGTGGATAAAGAAACTATGGTGTATGTATATATATATATATATATATATATATATATATATATATATATATATACACACACAATGGAATACTACTCAGTCATAAAAAGAAATGAATTAATAGCATTTGCAGCGACCTGGATGAGATTGGATACTATTATTCTAAGTGAAGTAACTCAGGAATGGAAAACCAAACATCATGTGTTCTCACTGATATGTGGGAGCTAAGCTATGAGGACACAAAGGCATAAGAATGATATAATGGACTTTGGGGACTTGGGGTGGGGAGGTGTGGAATTGGGGGAAGGGATAAAAGACTATAAATATGGCGCAGTGTATACCGCTCAGATGATGGGTGCACCAAAATTTTACAAGTCACCACCAAAGAACTTACTCTAGTAACCAAATACCACCTATTCCCCAATAACTTATGGAAATTTTTTTAAAAAATTAAAATTAAAAAATTCAAACATTGCCTAAGTATAATAGAAAAAAAAAGAAGCTATCCCTATGAGCAATGCAGAACAAAAGAGCATGTGGAAAGGTCTGAAGCATGAAAAGGCGAGGAAGGTGCAGGTCACTGCAGGTGATATGACAAATACAGGAAACCTAAGCATGAATGGTGATGAATCCAGCAGAAAAAGGTAGGCAAGAGACATTTCACGTGCTCTGCTAAAGAACTCTGAAAGCAACAAGCTCAGATGTGTATTTACAAAGATTGCTCTGGCAATGGGTTTTTGAGTGGATTGGAGAGAATGAAATTGCAGTCAGAGAGACCAGGCAATAACCCAGGTCTGGGAAAGAGACAATAAGTGCCTGAACACTATTGCTAGGCTATAGTGGGAGAGATCCAGGAAATTTTTAGGAGGTACAAATGGTAGGATTTTGGTATATCTAGATGGGAGTAGGGAAGAGAAGATATTTGAAAGCATCTAGAGAATTGTTTCAGCAATCGTGGAAGTGGTGATGCATTCACCACAATGAGAATACAGAGAGAAGAATGTACTTGGAAGAAAAAGGTGAACACATTTTGTAATCTGCCAAATGTAATATATCAGCACAAGATCCAAATGAAAATACAATACACATGAATCTAGACTTCAGAGGAGAGTCTGGGCCAGAAATAGAGATATGTGAAACACCAGCTCACAGTTGGGAGCTAAAGCCATGTGTGTGAAGGCTACAGGACCTGCATCCAGGGTGAATATTACAATAAGGAGAAGAATCTAGGAGTCATCGTAAATTGTTCCTTGAGTATATCAACCCAGTAATTTTATGTGCTAGCCCAAAAGGCCAAATATATATTTATATTAGCAAGAAGGGTATCAGCAAATACTAAACTAAAAAAAAAAAAATTCAATTAAAAATATTTTTAAATAGGCCAGAAAACGCATGCAGGCTACAGAGTTAGAATCTAAACTACTGTGGGTAATCATGGTCATCATACCTTAAGATAACAAATGATTTTTCTTTAAAAGCAATTTTGAACAGAATGACTTCTGTTTCTGGAAAGCTTAAAAATATGAGGTCTGTTCACCTTGGAAAGGGGAAATTTTTATTGGAAAACGCATGATAAAAACATCTGTAAATCATGAACGAACTTGATAACTTGTTAATGGGCTTCTTTACTTAAATCTGGAGATACTAGGTCATAGAAGTAGCTTTTTAGATTTGAGTAAAATAAATTATATCTGTTCATACTTCTGTCTTCACTACTTCATTATAATTCTCTTGAATGCAAGTACTATGGCTTACTTATTTTATACCTCATTATCTAGTAGTATACAGCACATATTAGGAGTTTAATACATTTTTGTTAAGGAAACAGACAAATGAATAAGAATTAAGCCAGAGGAAGTCAATATGCTCAAAAGGAGATAGAAACTCCAGATATGATTACTCCAAGAAATAAAACATGGGGAAAATATACCTTAATCCAGAGAGTTTGAATAAATTTATGCATGGCAATGCCACAGAAAGCTGAAGAGCAAAATTAAACTATAACTATCTTCACATTAAATGGTAGTGAGGCCGTTGGTACGACTACTTTGGAAAATGATTTGATAGTATTTACTGAAGCTGAGTATATGCATGCCCTGTTACCCAGCTATTTCATTCCTAGGAGAGGATACACACATATGGAAATATGTTCCTATGTCCATCTAAAGACACAGGCAAAAATGTTCCATACCAGCACTGTCTGTAATAGTCCCGACCTGGACACAACCCAGAGTAATGAAAAAGAAAAAAAGACAGCTACACGTGATAAAAAAAAAAAAAAAGCAAGACATAAAAGAGTATGTATGGTTTAATTCCATCTATGTGAAGTTCATACTCAGGCAAAAGTAACCTATCATTTTAAAAATCAAAATAGTGGTTATTCTTTGGGGGGTGATTAGAGACTAAACAGGGAGGAGGAATCTTTCAGTTTCTGGTAATTTTCTATTTCTTGTCCTGGGTGCTAGTTACACCAATGTGTTTAGTTTGGAAAAATTCATTGAACTGTTTATTTCACACTATGCATTTTTCTGAATGTATGTTATACTTTAATTAAAAAAGCTTCACATAAAATCAAGGAAATGAAAAACAAAAAGTAAAGCCAATATCTACAGTGTGAGCCTTCTTTTGGCAAAGGACACTGGTATAAACTAGCTATGGACTGGCTATGTTGTCATATTACCCATGTCATTAAGGGAAGAATGAGAAAATTAGATATTCTGTCCATCTGTAAGAATCCTGTATCCACTTTGAGGGCTCATATTTTTAAAAAAGAAAAAAAAGTCTGAAATATAAAAATAAGAAGAGAAAGCTCCTGTAGCCTGACCATCAGAAAAAGCAAACCTAAGAGGTTTTCACAGCAACTGATTCCATGAACCGTTGGACAAACCTGCATTTCTGAGAATCAAAGAAAACTTCCTTACGAAGCTACATTCCTGCCCACATGGAATAGCTCAGCATATACTCTGCTCAACAAAGCAGAGCTACATACAAATTACTGAGTTTCTCTTCCAGGTGTTTAAATGAGGTTTCTGAAGCTGACAAAACCACTCTGGTAAGGGAAGGAAAGGGAGCTTATAAAAAGAGGTTTTGTTTGTTTGAGATTAAGATGTGCAGCAGAAAAGCCCATGTATACTTTGCTATTTGGATTCCATTATGGGTTGGCTTCTGTCTCCAGTCTTCTCTCTGCCAAGATGCTGCATACCAATTGCTTCACTGGTCATTGGGCAGCTTCATGTTCTATTAGGAAACAAAATAACACAAACACCTGCTAATTTAATGTTCTTGGCCAACTTAAATTAGGAAATGGAAACTTAGTCTTAACTGAGCTGAAGGATATAAGATGGTGAAACAACAGTAGGCTTCAGGTAAAAGAAAGTTTTGAGAAGAAAAATTAAAATTAAAAAAATGCAAGATTTTACAATAAAAGCATCATTAAGGAGCAGAGAGAGGCCTTTACTACTTTTCTATCCTTATTTCCCATTTGTCATTTCATAGAAATAGGACAGATTCAATAAAAGAGAAAATAAAAGAATTCTTCAAATTCAAATAGGAAACTGAGAAACCATATCATAATAGTATTAAGATATCTCCCAAGGTGTGCATTCTGGGCCATTAATGCATACCTTGGGTAACTGAAATACACCAAGGTGAATATTAACTCCAAAGAAACCTATGAGGAAAACATTATCACTTAATTCTAATGCGGACTACTGTGTCAGTCAAGAAAATGTAGGGGGGTGTGTGTGCACATGTGTGTGTGTGTAAAGTTCAAAAATGCACTATGTTCATTTCCTGTTCATCTGAAGCAAATACAATATGTATTACATTTGTCTATTGTTTGCTTAGAATTTATATCTCAAAATAAATGGTATCTGAAGCCATCTGCCGCATGATTAAAAAGTAAAAGGAATACACAGAAAAACAAAAAAGTTATGGGCTATTTTAGCAAAATTCAGTGGCTGTACTTAATGCATCCTTTCCATTGGTGCATATGTTTCATCATTTAATCTATCAAGAAGAGTCAAATATCCATAGGTCAGGGCCAGGGGTGATGGCTCATGCCTACAATCCCAGCACTTTGGAAGGCCGAGGCAGGTGGATCACCTGAGGTCAGGAGTTCAAGACCAGCCTGGCCAACATGGTGAAACCCCATCTCTACTAAAAAAATACAAAAATTAGTTGGGCATGGTGGTGTGCACCAGTAATCCCAGCTACTCGGGAGGCTGAGGCATAAGAATCACTTGAACCTTGGAGACAGAGGTTGCAGTGAGCCAAGATCATGCCACTGCCCTCTAGCCTAGGTGACAGAGTGAGACTGTTTCAAAAAAAAAAAAATCCATAGGTCAGAAAATTTTTCCTCTAAAGCATAATTAACAATTATAAAAGTAAAGTTGAATTTTTTAATTTAGTCAAAAATCAATAAATATTTTTATCCTTGCAATTCCTTCCTATTTAAGTTTTCTTGTGAGAAACAGACCACTTGTTTCCTGAACATTATGGTGCATCTCAAAGAGCAAACAGAATCACTTAGATCAAATAGGGTCCAAAGCCCAGGGATGTTGACCCAACTTCCTAGTTAATAATTCATTACATTTGTGTAGTGATTTATTCTGTTCAACATATTTCCAGCCATTCTTCCACAAGGAGTTCTATGAGAAATCATAAAAAGCGGTATCCCTTGTTGTCAAAAGAAGAAATGGACATTTGTCAAAAGGCACACACATATTAATAAAAAGTGGTGATGGTGATTTTTTTCAGAAAGCCAACATTTACCAAGCAGCTATGATGCTTCCTATATTCAAGTACTCTCTAATCACTTTCTCATTTAATGGCCCCACTAGGAATAGGATCCAAGACTGGCTCCTGTCTCAACACTCTTTCTACTCGACACTATTTCTATTTGTTGTCAGTAGCTCCCACATCTGCTCTTAAAGCCTGTCAAAAAACTCTCCTTTAACTCTGCCCATCTGCGGTGACCCAATAGAGAATATATATTTCAGGCATATCTTCCTGACAAAGAACTGTTGTAACTAATACAACTAAGTTAGAAACATTTTCCTGAATTCAGTTTTAGAACAAGGCTGATACAAAAACCTCAGGTCAAAACTACAAGATTAAAAATTAAAGTGTGGTCCATAAGGTCATTTAGAATGCTCAAAAATATAAGTCAGATATGTGGAGAAAGAATGAAACTAATAAGTATAATCTTGAATATTTCAATCTAACTTTGATAAAGGAAACATTCTAAATATGGCATATTTGTAGACTAATGGTTGATTTTCCCACAGGAAAAAAGTGTTTTGCTTTTTAGTTTAATTCAAATAGCTTGAAATGCCTGCTATAAGGTGTGACTTTAAAGCTAAGACTACAAACTCAAATGTTTAAGCAGGAAGCGTGAATAGGGCAGATGAAAGTAAATAGGGAGTGGTGAGGCCTTGGCACACTATACTGTATCTGCCCCGATTTAAACACATTCAGATCCAATTGACCAAACCAAAAGAATCCCTGAATCTAATATACTAGCACAGATGTTTCTGTGAGCCTTATTAATTCAGTCACCATGCTGTGCATTCATGCAATATATGTGCCTGACCTTGGAAGACCTCGGAAAGATAGGAAATGCATGTCTCCGGGCCTGATGAGCCTACAATAAGCCAAAAGGACTGAATGAGGAGCAACTCCAAGGCAGGAAGTCTGCCTCATTTTAATGGAAATAGCATAAGCTTTGAGGTTAGAATCCCAGTGCAAAAACACTCCAATAGCAGGAGATTTCAGGCAGAATAATTAACCTCACTTCAGCTACAAAATGTGAACAATTCCTACCTTTTAGGGTATTAATGAAGTTAAATGATTTAATGTCAAAGACTTTTCCAGCATTTTCTTATTTGATGTCTCTCCATGCAACAAACTATTAGCCATATTCCCTCTTTACAATATTTCTCCCCTGTTTTCTTAGATGACAGCAACCTAAATTTAAACTGAGAGGTGTTTACCTCTCCTCTAAGTTCCAGCTGCATATCTCAAGTTGAGTCTCAAACATGTCCGAAGTTGAGCCCATTGTGTTTCCTACACTCCCACTCCCCATGTTTCTCTCCAGCATTCCATCTGCATGGCCCTAATATTCAGCTGATCAAAAAGAAACGTGAGGAATATCCGTGACTTTTCCAACCCCCCCAACCCCCACCATTAGGTAAGGTCTATTATTACACTCATTAACTATTTCTCCAATATACACCCTTGCTCTGTTCCTCACTAGTAGCACTAGTCTAGAGGAGAAATAATTAGGGATAAAATTAAGGAAGTGCACGTGAACACAAGGGAGATGAGAGACTACAGAAATATTTAGTAAGACAGAACTTTTTGACCAATCTTTTCTCTGTCATACCATCAGAGGAAACTCTTTAAAACTTAAATCTGGTCATCACTCCTCCAATGTAAAATTTTCTAATGATGGTTAATCCACAAATAAGAAAACTCATATTTTTTGTTATAGACAAGCATGCTTCTCTGGCTTCTCTCTCTAGTCTTACTTCCTACTACTCCTGTCACGGTCACTCTTTTCTCCAGATACATAGAATCCATGAGGTTCCACTGGTGCCTTTGCATGAGCTATGTTCCAGTCTCCCCTGCACCTCCTAGGAAATGACTATTCATCTTTTAAGTCATCGTGGATTCTTACATTCTATCACACACAGACTTCACTCATGTGCCCCCTTTATATGGCACTAGTCTAGCAGATATTTTAAACTATTACTCTTTGCTGTAACTATTTGTTGACACGTCTGTGTCTCTCACCAAATCATGAGTTCCTCCTGAGGCCAAAATGATGTCTTCATTCCTCCATCCACTAGGCCTTGCATAGGAACTAGCTGAGAGTAACCAATGAATTGATAACACCTCTCACCACTTTAAAGTAATGAGAAAACCTTGAGGGTCACTGCCATAAAATAATTTACTTTTCCATGAAATAAAAATTGCACTTTTGTAAAAGGAAATCACAACTGCAAAAAAGCTCAGATATGCTCAGTCTAGAATGGAAATGTTTTTTAATCTTCCCTGACTAGGCTAAGTAGATTTGTTTATGAACTAGTCTTCAAAGTTTTCTGGTCTAAGCCTCTTTTAAAAAACCAGTGATGATGGTTTTTAATCACTTATAAGAAGGTGTGTCTTTCAGAACCTATTGCTTTGACTCTCAGGATGTTCTAAAATATACCTAATTTCTAACACATTCCCCAACAGAAACAAGACTGAGAAGAATGCAGATAAAGATGTCTCACACTTGACATGCTTTTCAGAAAGTTAAATTAGTGCTCCCTATGTTAACCAATAACTAGATTCATCTGATCGAGGAAAACAGAGGTAACTTAGGTTGATAATCTTGCTAAATTTCAGGTATTCTGAAAAACTGATTTCAACAAGTATTTATATAGTGGAATTGTGCTTAGAGCTGTGAGAAAATAGAAATACCAAGTAAAATCAAGTACCCAGCTCTGCAGTCCTCTGTTCTTCAGAAATTGTTAGATAATGATATGCTAAAATAATAAATTTGGCTAAAATTAGTGAAATAGATAATAATTACCATAGGAATTATAAGGAAAGCATGAAAAGCTTAAGAAATGCTTCAGAGAGAGGAAGATGCACATTTCTAAATGTACCACGTAAAAGCTAGTCCAGAAAACCGGTATGAAAGTCAGTTGGCTTGCTAGTAGGCATCTCAGACATTCTGTATCAAAATTTGAGCTCCTGATAGTGCCCCTCAGCCCACTATTCTTACGGTATTTAACAGTTCAGTTAACAGCAATTCTTCTAATTGCCAGTGCCAAACACTTTGTTGTCATCTTTAAGCTTCTCCCCTTCTCTCATATCCCACATCCAGTCTGTCAGAAAATCCCATCAGTTTTACCTTCATTTATGAAAAATGTGACCTCTTATTACCTCTACAACTTACCATGTCACTGCTTGGCTCAGACCATCCTATGTATCTCTGTGACCCCACTCCCAGTACTCTCCTTGCTTACCCTGACCAGCTCCATGGACCTCCTTGCTGCTTATCCAAGAAGCCAGGCACATCCCTACATTAGGCCTTCCCACGGCCGGCATGCTCTTCTAGATCCATGACTCCCTAACTTCTTTCAAGTCTTTCCTCAAAAATAAACTTTTCAGTGAGACCTCCCCTGGTCACCCTGTCTAAAAGTTCAATCAACAATTCCAACCTCAATATGCCATATTTCCCTTCCTTGCTTTATTTTCTCTGTACTATTTGTCACTAATATATACTACATTTATTTATCATGTTTGTTTTCTGTCTTCTCCAGTGGAACGTAAGCTCCATGAAGGTACATAAGAGGTGATAAATATTTACTTCATGAATGAATGAACAGCAACCCAAATCAAGAATTTTCAATTAATTTGACATATTTTACTGATCACACATGCAAAAAGTTATCCTATCATATGGCAATAAAATACCAGAGAATTGGCCAGGTGCTAGTGGCTCACGCCTGTAATCCCAGTGCTTTGGGAGGCCGAGGCGGGCGGATCACGAAGTCAAGAGATTGAGACCATCCTGGCCAACATTGTGAAACCCCGTCTCTACTAAAAATACAAAAATTAGCTGGGCATGGTGGCATGTACCTGTAGTCCCAGCTACTCAAGAGGCTGAGGCAGAATTTCTTGAACCTGGGAAGTGGAGGTTGCAGTGAGCCGAGATTGCACCACTGCACTCCAGCCTGGGTGACAGTGCGAGACTCTGTCTCCAAAAAAAAAAAAAAAAAAACCAGAGAATTATCTAGTTACAACAGGGAAGACAGATAAAGGGCATACAAATAGCATAAACTTCCTGCTCCCTTTTGGCTCTCATTCTAGAGGCAAATATTAGAACATTCACCTGCATATCTTAGGATTTGGTTTTGTATTCTACTTAGGTCATCTTTCATGTTTGCGAGAATTCATATAGAAAGCTTCTGAACCCAAAACACAATGGCTGCTGTTGAAAGGTCAACTGCGTATGACTGCCAATTAGATGGCAAGTTGTATTTAAAATCCAGATCCCTAATTAATAACGATTTTGCCTTACTCAAGAACTGTACGCAGAGCATGAATCATCTATATGCAGAGTATTCACTGTTTAGTTGTTGCCAATTTAAATATTCATGTCTCTAGGAATGGCTTCAATCCACCCTGGTGCATAAAATAAATTAGCATTCTTGCACTCTAGAGAGAAGTATGTGTTTAGCACCAAATGGAATCAGCAGATGACTAAATACTCTTTTTTTCCTCTCTTGTTTCTATCATAAATACAACAGATGCAAGATGCTGGAATGTGGACAACCCCAGAAGGTTGGTGTTTGCCTCTAATGCAGAAATAAACCATTCAAAAATTCATTCCATATAGCATACCAGAGTTAGCAAGAGCCCTTGGGTTCCTTTATTGCCATCAAGTTGACTTTATGACTAAACATATCACAGCGACCCCCATAGTACAAATGAAGCATAAGGCTACCTTTGCTACTAAACATCACGGAATATCTTATAAATTTACAGCAATGATAACTGATTCAGAGTTACTACAGTTCAACAGTAAATTTTGAGCATTACCCAAATTCATGGGACACTTAAAGGTATGAGACATGGATCTTTAAATGATAAGTTACTGGAGTACAACTGTTCCTATATTAAATAGGGAAAAATTCCTTTCTAGGAAGACTCAGCTCTCTTCAATCACACCTCTTTTACAAGCAGAATGCGCAAGGAAAATGGCAGGACCTCAACAGTTGTCTAATTGTCCGGCTTATGTTCCTCAAGGTTCTCTAGCTTTTGCTATCTCAATGTGAGTGGTACTTTCATTCTCATTTTTATTCACTATTTGATGTGTAAGGAATGCATACTCAGAGACAGTCAATTTCAGTAAAAAATACATAAATAAATCTTCAACCACAGCTAAAATCATAATTAATAGTGAAAAACTGAATGCCTTCCTCCTTAAAATAAAAAACTAAACAAGGATGTCCCCTTTCACTAGTTCTATCCAACATTGCACTAGTTCTAGTCAAATAATTTAAGAAAGCCAAAGAAATAAAAGGCATACAGATTAGAAAAGGAGAAATAAAACTACCTCTCTTTGCAGATGCCATAATCTTATGTGTTAAAAATCCTAAGGAGTACACTCCCCGCTGAAAACAGTAGAGCTAATAAATAAGATTGATACAGTTCGCAAAAGGCAAGATCAATAGGCAAAAATCAGTTGTACTTATAGACACTTGCTGTGAAAAATCTCAAACTGAAATTAAGAAAACAATTCCACTTAAAATAGCATCAAAACATAAAAAACTTAGTAAAAAAATTTAACAAGAGAAATACAAGATGAGTATATTGAAAACTACAAAACATCATTGAAATGAATTAGGCAAGACATAAATAAATTTAAAGACGTTCCATGTCATGGATTAGAAAACAGTATTTTTATGATGACATTATTCCCCAATTTGAACTATAAATTTAATGTAATTTCTATCAAAATTCCAACTGTGTTTTTGCAGATCCTAAATGCAAAAATGAATTTTGTAATCCTAAAATTCATATGAAAATGTAAGGGACTCAGAATAGCCAAAATTATCTTGAAACAAAGAGCAATGTTGGAAGAATTCCCCTCATTTGATCATTACACATTATATGCTTGTATCAAAATACCACCTGAACCCCAAAAATATGTACAACTATTATACAAACATATCAATTAAACATTAATAATTCTTTTAAAAAGAATTCCCAGTTTCAAAACCTACTACAAAACTATAAGACAGTGTGTTACAATCATAAAGACAGACATATAGATCAATGTAATAGACATCAGAGTCCAAAATTAAATATTTCTATTTATTGTCAATTGATTTTCAACAAGGGTATCATGACAATTCAATACAGAAAGGATACTCTTTTCAGGCCTCGTGCAGTGGCTCACGCCTGTAATCCCAACACTTTGGGAAGCTCACGGCAGGTGGATCACTTGAGTCCAGGAGTTCAAAACCAGCCTGGGCAACATGGCAAAACCGTATCTTAATTAAAAATACAAAGATTAGCTGGGTGTGGTGGCACGTGCCTGTAGTCCTAACTACTTGGGGATGAAGGTGGGTGTGGTATGCGGCAGGAGGACCACCTAAGCTTCTGGGTGTTGAAACTGCAGTGAGCCCTGATTGTGTCACTGCACTCCAGCATAGGCAAGAGTGAGACCCTGTGTCAAAGAAAAAAAGAACAATCTTTTCAACAAATGGTGCTAGGGCAACTGGATTCTTTTTTCGTGTTTTTTGTTTTTGTTTTTGTTTTGTTTGTTTGTTTTGAGACAGGATCTCGCTTAGTCACTAGGCTGGAGTGCAGGTGGCACAATTTTGGCTCACTGTAGCCTGGACCTCCTGGGCTCAGGTGATTCTCCCACCTCAGCCCCCCAAAGAGCTGGGACTACAGGCATACACCACCACACTTGGCTGGTTTTTGCTTTTGTTTTTATTTTGGTAGAGAGACGGGGTTTCACCATGCTTCCTAGGCTGGTCGCAAACTCCTGGGCTCAAGCGATCTGCCAGCCTCAGCCTCCTGAAAGTGCTGGAATTACAGGCATGAGCCACCACACCTGAGCAACAATTGGATATATACATGCAAAAGAAAAAAGCTGGACTCCTACCTCACACCATACAGAAAATTAACAAAATGGATCACAGACCATTTATGCCTGTCTCAACCTATTTATGCCTAGTGTTCCATTATTGGAATGCTAAGGATGTGGGAGTTATTTATATCCTACTGCTCAAGGTCATTGCCAAGGTCTGATTGCAAAAATTCAAAAAATTGCAACCTCAGGCATAAATGGGTTTTAATATAAGAGCTAAAACTATAAAACACTTAGAAGAAAACATAGGAGTAAATCTTTGTGATTTTGGTTTAGATGGCAATTTATTAGATATGACAACAAAAGCACAAACAGCAAAAGAAAAGATAGATAAATCACATTTCATGAAAACTAAAAAATTTTGCTTATCAAAGAGTACTATAAAGTAAAAAGACAATATACAGAATAATAGAAAATTTTTGCAAATTATATATATGATGTGTCATATATCTGGAATATATAAAGAGCTATAAAAACTCAATAATAAAACAATTACTCATTAAAAAATGGGCAAAGAGTCTGCATAGACATTACTCCAAAGACAATACAGTCATCCCACAGTACCACAGGGTGTTGGTTCCAGGACCCTCATGGAAACCAAAATCTATGATCTTCAAGTTCTTAACATAAAATGGCATAATATTTACATACATCACATCCTATCATACGCTTTAAATCATCTCTAGATTATAGTAAATCCTCATTTAACATTTTTGATTGGTTCTTGGGAACTGTGACTTTAAGCAAAACAATGTAACAAAATCAATTTACTATAGGCTAATTGATATAAACAAGGGTTAACTTTCTACCGTATGTATTACCGAGCTTGTAAATAAAGACCAAAACATTTCTAATATTAAACATTGAAATAAATGTGAGCCACACATACATTTAAGAAAGACTAAGGTAAGTATTTACCCAATTATTATCATTAAAGGTGGCAGGTGACAGAGCCTATCATGGCAGCTCCAGGTGCAAGGCAGGAACCAACCCTGGACAGGATACCATTCCATTGTACACAGGGCTCAGTCACACACATACCCACACTCATTCATACTGTGACAATTTAGATTCACCAGTTTACCTAACATGCACATCTTTAGGATGTGGGAGAAAACTGGAGACCCAGAAAAAACCCACACAGACATGGGTAGAACACGCATACTTCACACAGTTAGTGGTCCCAGCTAGGTACCAACATTGGATGAAACAACATTATTGGAGGACCTGCTGTACTTACAATACTTAATACAGTGTAAATGCCATGTAAATAGTTGTTATACTGTATTTTTAATTTGTATTATCTCTATTGTTGCATTTTTATTTTTTATTCAGATTCAGTTGACCCTTGAACAGCATGGGTTTGAGCTGCACAGGTCCACTTACACAGATTTTTTTCAACCAAACATGGATCCAAAAGACAGGATTTGTGGGATATGAAATCTAAGTATACAGAGGGCCAACTTTTTTTTTTTTGAGATGGAGTCTCACTCTGTCACCCAGGCTGGAGGGCAGTGGCACGGTCTCAGCTCACTGCCACCTCCACCTCCCAGGTTCACGTCATTCTCCTGCCTCAGCCTCCTGAGTAGCTGGGACTACAGGTGCCTGCCACCACGTCTGGCTAATTTTTTGTATTTTTAGTAGAAATGGGGTTTCACTGTGTTAGCCAGGATGGTCTCAATCTCTTGACCTCATGATCTGCTCACCTCGGCCTCCCAAAGTGCTGGGATTACAGGCATGAGCCACCGCGCCCGGCCACAGAGGGCCAACTTTTTATACACATGGGTTCCGCAGGGCAGATTTCAAGACTCGAGTACCTGGGTATACCTGAGGGTCCTGGAACTCATCCCTCATGTATACAGAGGGATGCCTGTATATTTCAGCCACTGTTGGTTGAATCTGTGAATGTGGAACCAGCGCATATGGAGGGCCATCTCTATACAAATAGATCACATATGCATGAAAGATATTCAACATAGTAGCCATCAGAGAAATGCAAATAAAACCACAGTGAGTTATCACTTCACGCCCACTAAGATGGCTATGATAAAAATGCCCATAATCAATAACACTTGTTGGCAAGGATGTGGAGGAAATAAAACTTTCACTCATTTCTAGGCTGACTGTAAAATGGTACAGCCACTTTGGAAAATAGCCTGGCAGTTCCTCAAAATGTTAGTCATACATAGAATTATCATACCACCCAGTAATTCCTCTCTTCAGTATGAAATCAAGAGAAATGAAAACATATGTCCACATAAAAACTTGTACATGAATGTTTATGGCAGCATTCTTCATAATAACCAAAAAGTAGAAACAACCTCAATGTCCATCAACTGATGAACAGGTAAGCAAAATAGAGTATATCCACAAAACAAAATATTATTTGTCAATGAAAGGGGATATAGTACTGATACATGCAACAACGTGGATGAATCTTGAAAACATTATGCTAAGTAAAAGAAGCCAATCACAAAAGGCCACATGGTATGAGTTAGTTTCTATGAAATGTCTCTAGAATAGGCAAATCTATAGAGACAAAAAGCAGATTAGTGGTTATCTGGGGGTTGGGGGCAGGAGTGACTGCTAATGGGTACAGGGTTGCTTTTGGAGGTAAGGAAAATGCTCTAAAATTAGGTTATATATTGATTGTCATACATCTCTGTAACTATACTAAAAACTATTGAATTGTATAATTTAAATAGGGAATGTTATGATATGTGAATTATGCCTTAATAGAGTGGTTAGAAATAAAGACAAAGACATACCCATACATATGTCATCAGAAAGAGGAGTGAAGAGGCAGCCTGTCCTAATAGTAAAACTCAGACTTGAAGGATGCTAATACTTTGGCAGCTCAGAACCAATGAGGAAGAAGAGGAAGTCAAGATCAAGGGACGGGGGTTGGAAAACTGCTGGTTTAAAGCACTTAAAGAGGCCAGGTCACGTTTGTCAACAGAAAATAATCTCAATATAAATTACAGATAGAGCCCCTTCTAGAATTTGCCATCGTATGGTCAGGTCACAACAGTAAGGAATTCAAGATTTGAGGAAGAGAGGGAGGGGCAGTATTAACGTAAACACAGAGAGACATGGTATCCAGCATCAGGAAACTATTTTCCACAAGATCATCACTAGTGGCCTCAGATGTTTAGAAAGAGAATCAAGACCTGAGGAGGTGGTGGCTCACACCTGTAATCCCAGCACTTTGGGAGGCCAAGGCAGGTGAATCACTTGAGGTCAGGTGTTTGAGACCAGCCTGGCCAACACGGTGAAACTCTGTCTCTACCAAGAAACACAAAAATTAACCGGGCATGGTGGTGTGTGCCCGAAGTCCCAGCTACTTGGGAGGCTGAGGTGGGAGAATCGTTTGAACCCAGGAGGTGGAGGTTGCAGTGAGCAGAGATTGTGCCACTGCCCTCTAACTTGGGCAACAGAGCAACAGAGTGAAACACTGTCTCAAAAAAAAAAAAAAAAAAGACCTAAGGACTAAGGAGTAAGGTAGCTATTACGTGGAGAATTAGAAGCTCATCTACTGTCTGAGGTTGAAGGAGGCAGTACAGTCATCCCCCTTATCTGCAAAAGATATGCTCCAAGACCCTCAGTGGATGCCTAAAACCCTGGATAATAACAAACCCTATATGTACTGTTTTTTCCTATACATACATACCTATGATAAATTTTAATTTATAAATTAGGCACAGTAGAAATCAGCAACAATAACTAATAACAAAATAGAACAAGTATAACAATGCACTGTAATAAAACTTATGTGAATGTGTTCTCTAACTCTTTCTGTCTCAAAATACCTTATCATACTGTACTCACCCTTCTTCTTGTAATGATTTGAGTTTATACGATGCCCACAGGATGACATGAAGTGAGGTGAATTACATAGGCATTGTGACATACCGTTAGGCTACTATTGCCGTGTATTCCTGAATCATGTGTAACCATCCCTTACTTGAAATAAATGGCTTGGTGTCACTTGTTTCAGGAGACTCCTTGCTGAAATTCTCAAATAAACTCAATGTTTTCTGGTGCAACATGCTGTCAATCAGAACACATTTTCTGTTTATGTCTTTCACCAACAAATTTAATGCATTTTCCATCTAATTAATCACTTATTATGCACTGTATCTGTAAAGTTTGCAGTTTGAGGTATGACAACCAAACTAGAATTTCTTTCTCCTTCTTCACAATTTAATGGATAGAAGATTCATTCTTACCATAGAGCAACCTCAGCATACAATTATTTTTTTCCTTACTAATTCAAGAAATTTCAATTTTGCACTTAAAGGAATAACTTTATGGGTTCTCTTTGGCATATCCCAACCACCAGCATCACTACTCTTGTGCTTTGGGGCCATGTTAAGCAAAATAAGGATTACTTACACACAAATGCTGCAATACTGTGATAGTCAACCTGATAACCGAGAGGGCTACTAAGTGACTAACGGGCAAGTAGTATACAGCATAGATGTGCTAGAGGAAAAGATCATTCACATCTCAGCAGGACTGAGCAAGAGAGCACAAGATTTCAAAATGTTATGCAGAACAATGTTTAATTCAAAACTCACAAATTATTTATTTCTAGATTTTTCATTTAATATTTTCAGATCACAGTTGACTGTGGGTAACTGAAACCTCAGATAAAGGGAAATTACTATATTTTTAGACCATGCAAGTAGAAAGATACAAGGAAAATGTGGAGAGTTAAATAGGGCTACAAGGGGTTAATCTATAGTTCAAAGACTAGGATGTGGGAGATGAGCGAGATGATTTAAATGTTCTCTCTCTCTCTTTCCCTCTCCTACACTTAAGTCAAGTCCTGGGAATGGCATAAGTATATAATGGAGGCCATCAGGGGATTCAACTGTTGGGAGTAGAGAATGCAGAGTCAGGAGGTAACCGGCAATGCCAATACCATGGGAGATTGTAGCTGTTCCCTGCAGTTTCCTCCAATGCAGCAACACCAAAGGAAATCATAAATGAAAAACGATGGTGATGATGAACCATGACTGGCAGAACAAAGCACAATACCAAGGCCAAATTCTGGGTTTTATGGGCCCAGGAGGCCCAGAAGGTAATGCAATATGAGGGCCACTCAAATACCCATAGTTCCTTCCTGACTGGCTATTCAGACTCAGGATCCAGTATACCAGGAATGAACTACGAAAAATATGTACTGTGTGTCCACTATATAAACGGCAGTATTCTAGGTGCTTTCCCTTCCTTCTATGATTCATGCATAGAGAGAGAGATTATTTAAACTGCAATACAGTTTTCCTTTCTTACCAATTTATTTTCAACTATATGCTCTAAATATTTACAAGTTCCTCTGTTGTCCTTTTCAGGATTTACCATCTTGCTACCTTTCATATGGAAAATACTGGCAGAAAAAAGAAGACATTCAAAGTTGGGCTCATAAAAGAAATGCCCCAAAGTGGCCCCCGAGACTCACTTTAGTTCAAACTATGCAGTGACTTATAAATTAATTAGAAACATGAACAAATTGCAGCTAAGAAAAGCCCCCTAAAAAAAGAAAAGAGGAAGAAGTAAGAGAGAGGGATAAATAAAAACTAACATGTATCAAGTGTCTGCTATATAGATGGTAAGGTTCAAGGTATTTTCCCTTCCCTGTGAAGTGGGAATCATTATCACCATTCTTATTGACAATAACAGAAACACAGAAGGATCATAACTCATCCAAGGTAATAGGATTGCTACTACAGATGGCACTGGAACCTAGGTCTTTCTGATCTAAATCTATACTCTGAGCCCAATGTAATGCTACTTCTATTAACAGGTCTCTCAAGCTCACTATTCTAATATCATCATGTACAACAAAATAACATTTTAGTCAACGACAAACCACATATACAATGGTGGTCCTGTAAGATCGTAATGTCGTATATTTTTACCTTTTCTATGTTTAGATATGCTTAAGTAAATAAACACCATTGTGTTACAATCCCCTGTAGTATTTAGTAAGTAACATGCTGTACAGGTTTGTAGCCTAGTAGCAACAGGCTGTATCATGTAACGTAGGTGGGTAGTAGGCTATACCTTCTAGGTTTGTATAAGTACACTCTATGCTGTTTTACAATGAAATCGCCTAATGATGCATTTCTCACAAGTATCTACATTGGTAAATGATGCATGACTGTTTATCAAATGAAAGGCCTAAATTTTGAAGTGTCACTCTAAAATTTTTGTGTGATTGTTTCTATGCTATAAAACCACAATAATTTCTGGCCGGGCATGGTGGCTCACGACTGTAATCCCAGCACTTTGGGAGGCTGAGGCAGGTGGATCACCTGAGATCAGGAGTTCAAGACCAGCCTGACCAACAGGGAGAAACCATGTCTCTACTAAAAATACAAAATTAGCCAGGCATGGCGGTGTGCACCTGTAATCCCAGCTACTCAGGGGGCTGAGGCAGGAGAATCACTTGAACCAGGGAGGCAGAGGTTGCAGTGAGCTGAGATAATGCCATTGCACTCCAGCCTGGGCAACAAGAGCAAAACTCCATCTCAAAAATAAATAAATAAATAAATAAATTAATTAATTAATTTAAAAAACTACAATAATTTCTAAAATCTATTACAACTCCAAAATTCTCTAATTGTATCTTAGTCAAATAATATGCAGAAGGAAAATTACACAACTTAAGATTCCAACAATCCTGAGACCTATGTTTCTTCTATGTATTACATAAGCACAGACGCTAATTGGCTCTGTGTATAGTGCTTATTACTGGTGCTTACTGCTATACCCGCTTTATAGCTATTAAATACTTTAATCCTTCTAATAACCCTATGAAGCAAATTATTGTCTTCATTTTATAAAGAAACTGACATGCAAACATATTAACTGTTCAAGTTAAAACACTGATAAGCAGTGAAGGTGAGATTTAATCCAAAGTATTTTAGCTCCAGAGCCCATGTGTGTAACTGCTAGGCTGTCGGACTTTCCAGTAAGAACTGAAAACCTTCTCCTAGAGGTTCACAGTGTTTTAGTTTTGTATACATTTTCTCATTTGATCCCATTATATTGTGCTCATTACATAAATTAATAATCTAAGAAAACAATGGCTTATTTAATGTCATTCAGCTATCAACCAGCAGAAAACACTCTTCTAATTCTTGCAATACACCATGAGATTTTTTTCTTAGTGAATTCTTACCACTGAAAACCAGCACCACCAGAGAAATAATCACTTAAATATAATAGATATAGAGTATATATAACAGATAAAAGAGACAATAAGAACAGCAGCAAAAAAAAAAGGATTTCTCTCCTTTAAAATTCTTAGACCCTTAAATTATATTATTTTCTCTATCACCAAACTGGACTAGATTACACTAAGACCTTTGAAGCTTAGAGATTTAAGACAATTAGCTAAACCATTAGGAAAATATTATTTGCCACACCTTTCTCTTGCCTTGCTCTTTCTTTAATTTGGCATAAATGCATTTTTTCTAACTGCATTGATTGTTCACCAAACTAGGAAGCTTGCTCTTGATGCTAGTGAAGCAATGTCTTATTATCTTGATTGTATACCAAGATTATGCTTCAGTCTGAATTGTTTACTTAATAATTTCACTGCCTTACCGAATGCCTTCTTTTGATCTGTCTTGATGTCCAAAAATATTAGGGCATTAAATTTATTTTCATTATTAAAAGAACAATATAGACTATAAAAACCACATCGCTTCAGCTCCTTTTTGCATAATATGATGGGACACATGAATTTGATCATTACCAGATGGTTTATCTGAAAGATTACCCAATAAAAATGACTGCTTTTTCCCTAAAGTCTCTTTATCCTTACATTCGATTAAATGACATAAGATGGGATGATCTAGATTTTCTTAGAGTGAATTATCTGGGAATTTAACATTGCTTTGAAAAGTCTCTGAGTGATGTTAGACATTTATTTCCCACCAGGAAGGATAAACAGAACACAACATAAAATATTCACCCTAAGCTTTAATTAAAATCATTTAAGATCAAAAAGGGAGGTAGCACAGCAATACAGGGAGGAAAACTGCAAAAACTTCAGTATCATGGACATTAAAAATACCCAGTGGTACTTTTTTTAGTGAAATTTTTAGAACAAAATCAATTTAAATAGTTAAGAAAAAGTTTAGTTAAATAAAAAAAATTAAAATTGCAAAATGCAAACTCTGTTTATGAATGTCTTCCTTTAAATAAAAAAATGCATCTTTGCTAAGATTTTATGCTTATAGAAACACTTGCTTACTCATAATTCAAACATTTCACGAGTTTCCAGCTATAAACATGTTTATAATTTTAGAATTCTGATAGCAGATAATCATTTTATAACTATAAAACAATATCAAACAATAGTTATCTAAATAGTTTCTTGAATCATCATGTGATGTTTACACAGCTGGGCATTTAAGACCAATGTGTGAGAGATAATTGCATAGCTATAATTCCGAGCCTGTTGTTTTAAGAACAAGCAGGCTCTTGGGGAGATAAAGACAGGGTTTGTGATTTTCTAACTCAAAAAGTAATCTGGAGAATAAAGTATGTAAAGACTCCTAGAGTGCAATGCTGAAAGCACAAATTTCAGTTTAAACTAGGAAAGGCAAAAGCTAATGTTTTCATTGCCACATTAATTTTCTCACATTATACCTGAGCAGTGTTCTTGTTTCTAATTATATTCCTACATGAATGCCTTATTACATATAATGTGGGAAATATTACAGTGTGATATCTTGTGTTTCTTGGCTTGTGCTTCTTTTATATTTATAACTTTAATGTTCTACTTAGTGAGATTTTGTATATAATAATTATGCTCCAGTACACTGACTCTGCTCCACAAAACGCAAGTACAAAGTTCTCTTAAACAGCGGGTGGACTAGTGTTTCGTGCATGTTTTTTTGGTCTTGTTTTGTCTTGCGTCATTTTTGTTTTGGTTTTTTTGACAAGTTGGATAAGAAAAACCAAATTTTTTCTTTAATTAAAAACAATAATGGAAAATAATATTACAGATAATATAAAATAGAATAAAGAATTGAGGTTTTGTGTAAATTTTTGTGAATATATCTGAAAGGTTTTCTGAAAAACATGAAGTGTTCAGGTGTGACTTCCAGAAGCTGAAAAGCAATAGCTGTTTAGACTCTCCTTACATCATCACAAAGTTTAACAAAACTGACTTCTTGCCCAAGAGTTCATGAAATCATTTATACTCCCAACATTTATTAAGGGCCTAATGTGTGTGTCAGACAATCTGCCAGTCACCTGGGTTTCAGATTAACAAGGATAAGTCCTTTCCTTGTTCCTTCTACATATGCAATCCCTCTTCAAAAATCTGCATTTCCTTGCTCATTTCAACAATGGTTATCCTTTGTTTGTTTGTTTGTTTGTTTGAGATGGAGTCTCACTCTGTTGCCCAGGCTGGAGAGCAGTGGCTTGATTTTGGTTCATTGCAACCTCCGCCTCCCAGGTTCCAGCAATTCTCCTGCCTCAGCCTCCCGAGTAGCTGGGACTACAGGTGCACACCACCACACCTGGCTAATTTTTGTAATTTTAGTAGAGATGGAGTTTCACCATATTGGTCAGGCTGGTCTTGAATTCCTGACCTCAGGTAATCCACTCGCCATGACCTCCCAAAGTGCTGCGATTACAGGTGTGAGCCACAGTGCCCGGCCACAATGATTTTTCTTAAAAGTACTTGTCATAATACCCAAATTTTCTTAAAGTAACAATTTATAGTTTTCCAAAAGCGAACACCTAGAGAACTTTCATGGCACTTTGTTTAGCCGACAACTTTGAAAATTTTATTTTATTGTAGTAAGAACACAAAATAAGATCTATCTTTCAACTGTGATTTTTTTTACCCTTAAGTGATGTCTGCTTTATTCTATCCCTTTCCATGAAAACTGAAGCCCCAAAGGTTGAATGAATCTTAAAAATTAGTCACTTTCTCAGTGTAAAAACATTCATTGTATCAATATGTAATTTAAATATGCTATTTTTCAAGCCAAGTATTGTTTCAGAATTAAAGGTGTTCAAATATTCCCTCAAGAATATGTTTGTCCTTCGTACCAGAGGGCATTGGTTCTAGGATCCCCACTGATACCAGAATTCTCAGATGCTCAAGTCTCTTATATAAAATAGCATAGTATTTGTAGCAAACCTACACACCTCCTCTCATATCCTTTAAATCATCTCTAGATTACACATAATACCTAATATAATGTAACTACTATGTAAATAATTGTTGTACTATATTTTTTCTTTTTATTATTTTTATTGTTGCGTTGTGCTCTTTTTCCCCACATATTTTCAACCCACAGTTGATTGAATCTGCAGATAGGAAACCAGTGGATTCAGAGGGACAACTATATTCTCCAAAACATAATCTTAAATGCTCACATTTTAGCTTTTAACTACTTACTACTACAACACAAGTTCCCAGTCTGCAGAACCTAAACCCATTCTGCGGAGTGAAACCCAAGATAATCACTCTTTAAGTGTATCTCTTAGTTGTCTCTCCATATTTTTATAGATTGGAGACATATCTTTACAACATCTTTTTTATCAGCCTTAAAGCTCTGAACATAAATCTAAAACATCAAATCTCAACACTGACCCTGAAGTTATATAATGCAAAAACAAACAATAAAAAAAAAAGCATTTAGCATTAAAAGAGCTGAATACAATCTTGGCTCACCTACTCCCCAGTAAGTTAACAAGACCTGAGCTAATCATTTACGCAGAAGCTTGGATCACTTTACAGAGTGAATAATACTTATCACAAGGAGAGTTTGGAAAGATGATAATAAGATAATATGCATGTGAGAGCACTTACACTGTAAAATATACGTCCCTGAGGTTGCTGCCTGCTGCCTACTTCATGACTATTTTTGCGCCACTTTATGTTCCCGCTTCCTTGCTTCTAACTCCCATGACCCTCTATGTTTTTGCCTAATTGGCAAACATATTCTCAGTTTCTCAGCTGCAGGATACCAGGTGACCTTGCTCTCTGATTCTGCCTCTTTTCTACTATTAGTCAAATGAAGTAGCTTCATAAGTAGCACAGGCAGTTTCCTGTAAAGTGTAATTGGGATAGTGTTGGAAGGGCCCCTTTCCCAAACACACCTCCTCTACTGTTCTGCCTAGGGCATGTAGTTTCATCATCAAAATATAATTATCATACCATATATACTATATGTTAGTATAATCCATTACCTTGGATTAAAGCACAATTTCTTCAGCAGTCCTTTACTAGATGCCAGTACCCTAAAGAATAAACTAATCAAGTAACATGTATTTGCTCAGCTTATTTTATATACATTAGCGCTGCGCTAAATAACAAATGAACCCAATAACGGCATCGTTTCCTAAATAAGAGCCATCATCTGGAGGGAGTGGGACCACAGAGGTTAGGTGTTTCTCATTCAGCATGATAATGGAGAAGGAAAGAGTGGGCAAGAACCTAGCTTCTGAGGAACAGAAACTCAGAAGATGCTACACTCGGAAGAGGACCCAAAGTAGCCACAGTGCAGAATGGAAGTCTTATGTATGAAAAGGATTCAAAACACTATGACATTTGCTGTTCCTTTATAATTAGCCTTCTCTTTGTAAGTAGTCCTAATGAAGAAATTTGGCAACAAATATAAAATAGTTTCTCCACAAAATAATTTTAGGGACTCCCTTAAACACAGAAAAAAATGTAGTAGCTGTTATTTAAGTGCCCAGGAAGTCTCCTCACTCCAAAATATCTCTCACATTCAACACCTAGAAATTCATTCTTCTATAGATCCAAACCATTAGGCAAGAAGTGTCCTACCAATAATGCCGTCCTTGAAATGCAAGCATTGCAGGTATAAATAACATTGAATCATAACATGCTACGTGACTTTCACTGTTTTGTTTTGTTTTTTTGTTTTTTTTTTGTTTTTTTGAGGTGGAGTTTCACTCTTGTTGCCCAGCCTGGAGTGCAGTGGCTCAATCTCGGCTCACTGCAACCTCTGCCTCCTGGGTTCAAGCGATTCTCTCGCCTCAGCCTCCTGAGTAGCTGGGATTACAGGCATGTGCCACCACACCCGGCTAATTTTTTTATTTTTAGTAGAGATGGGGTTTCTCCATGTTGGTCAGGCTGGCCTCGAACTCCTGACCTCAGGTGATCCACCCACCTTGGCCTCCCAAAGTGCTAGGATTACAGGCGTGAGCCACCACGCCCAGCGACTTTCACTGCTAAATCCATTTCTTTGACAAAAGAAAGTGAAGTTATCAAGTGCTCTGATAGAAAGCCTCAGTGGTCATTCATGTGGTCAGCCTGTCTATAAGTCATCTTGGGGACTGGTTTTTAATAAGCAGAGGGTTTCCTGTGCTCCAAAATTTGCTTAGGGCTGACCCTGACAACTCTATTTATTTATTTATGCATACAAACACAGTTTAAATTAGCAAACAGATGAGTTAAAATAATGAGATTACCAAATGAACACAAAAGGTATCCTGAATCTTCCCAAACCCAATTCAAAGCCAAGCCTTAAAATCAAGAGGGACAGAAGTGCTCAGCAAACCACCTGCAATTTAACTGAGTTCAAGGAGTTAAAAGGTCTTAAAATTAACCATGAAATGTGAAAAATATATGAATGGTCTTCAAAAACAACATTTGGGAAACTTTATGTCAGAAATACCAACACTGTGGTTGCCAAGAGTGAGGCATTTTGCGATGACTAACAAATTAAGGCATCTTAATGTGAAAACTGATTATATAATGCATAATCAAGCAGAGTAAGGAGGAAACAGAGGTATGCTTTCTCATTAATTCTGGCTTAGAACTACATTGCGTAACATCACCAGATTTATGAATATAGAGCAACTTTAAAAATCCACGGATGTTCCCTGAATCAAATCATTTTTATAGCTCAAAGAGGCTGTCATTTCAAATACACACATTTATTCAAAATATTTTTATTGTCTCTATTTACTATAAAATCTCAAAACTATAGTAGTCAGGATGGTCAGCAAGGGGTAATTGGTCCAGAAAAACAATTCAGAAAAGAGAAATCAGAGAAAAATGGCTCATTTTCAGTGATGCTGCCTCTAGTTCATGTTGGGGATTTTTTTCTTTATGTATGTAGCTACACAGGGTTCTGCTATACAAATAAGTTGGATATGTTTTTTAAAATCAACTAATACTAACACAAATGTAGCACTGACTATGTGTTGAGAACTGTTCTATGTATACTATCTCATTTAAATATAATACTCAATACACTTTAATGATGCATGGTATAATATTGTACAATAATATTAAATATAAATTGCTCAATCTCATTCAATATTTCAATGATCTGATACTTTTTAGACTAAAAATAAATGGGAAAAGAGAAAGAGAGAAGAGAAAAGGCATAATTATTATTATAAGCCACAAGTTTTCACGTATAATAGGATGAATACTATATTGGCATTCAAGTAATTTAGTTCCCACAATAAATAATAAGATACATCATCCAACCTATTATCTGCTATATCATAAAAATAATTTTATATGCAGGATCAAAAGGGGTGATTTTCTTGACTTTTCTGTGACTATTTTCAAAAGTCATGAAGCAGAACATCCACGCAAGAGGATAAACTGGCTCTGCAGCTGACCCCTGGAGGTACTAATGCAGAGTTTGAAAGGGGAGGAAAGCTTATTACTAGTGACCATGAGATTCCCCAACTTATATTAGTCAGAAATAGCACCCCAGGATGGAATACTAAATCATAAGGGTATCCTACAAAGGCAGTCTAGAATGTGAGAGGTCTAGGATCTGTGGATGTCAGAGAAGTCTGTATTTTCACAAATCATAAAAACCGAAACCGCTTTAAACAGTTTTTTTAAAAAACAGCTCATACTCCCTCTGTGATTTCACAAAAGGCTGTCCGTGGATCTTTGGCGGGGAAAAATCCCTGCTAGAGACAAAAAGGGGAACAAATTAAACAACAATATAAAACCCAAATTGATTTAAAACTTGTCAGGAAAAAAATTATTTCACAAAAGCAAAGAAATAATGTTAAAAATGAGAATGCAAAATAACACAAAGGGGAAGTGAAAAATAGCACCGCTAATCAGCAAAGGCAAGAGTTCCAATAAATTACGGCTCATTCTGAAATGACAGACTCCAGGGTGTTTTCAATCAGTCTTCAGTGAGAAAATATTTAAAAAGGAAGAACTGTATAAGTTCAAGTAATTAACATCTTACTTGTATAGGAACTAGTTAGTAGGGAGAAGGGGATAAAACTTGATGCCATAACACAGCACTTGGAGAAAACTAAGTCTCTACAGGTTAGCAGGTCCAGATGGCAAGAAACCCAAGGTAATATAACAAGCAGTGGTGGAGTATTTATTCAAACTAGTCAATCATCACTGCAAGGCCCTGGTACCTTTCTTTTACAAATGAGTTCTTGTTTCAGCCATCAACTTCATCATCCCCAGAAGCCCAAAACAACACTCCAGTTTATAACCTGATTGAATTGCAGTGATTTCAGACCTAGTACTATTGTGATCTGGGATCTTTTTATTACGGCATCATAAACATCACTTTCAACAACTTTCCTGTATGTCTTTGCCCCGTTCTGAGAGATATAAGTCAGAGGTGGAGAAAAGGCTACAAATGCGTTGATTTGTGGCATGAAGAATTGTGCAGAATCTTTTCCTTTGATATGACAGTCCAAGGGGTATATTAACAAGGGCAGATGGTTGCCATCATTTGTTACAAGCACCTATTCATTATAAAAAAGGAAAAACAACTCATCCCTCAAGAAAGGATTTAAAGTGATACCAGAAGACCTCGATCTTCCACTCTCCAGCCTCCCTGCTTCATCTTGGTAAGGATGTTGTTCCTAACCCTTCCTTCTATGCCAGGGAAAGGATATGCAAACTAAAAAAGAAGAAGTACCAGATGTGAAATTCTATAAAATGCCAACTGATTCACACCCTACACTCTGAGGATTTACACACACTTCCACTTCTGGCAGGACCAAGGGTAATGAGAATTCTGCTGTCGCTGGTGAAGAAGTAGCAAATCACAGCCAAAAAGGACACCTACCCCTGGGAACGAGAACTTCAATTCCAATAAATGAGGCAATGCTGATGAGATAAAATTTACATTTAAGTCACAAAGCTACTGGAACTGAATTGTAATAAAAAAAAGTGTCAGACAATAAAGCAGTTTGATAACGTCAGCTTTTTTACTGTTGTGTGTGTATCTGAAAGAAAGTTTCTTTAAAAAAAAAAGGGTAACATTTGAACTAGCATTGAAGTTATATTATTTTACAATATTTTATATTAAGGAAATATCAAAAATGAATAATATACTATAGTTTATTAAGGACACATGATGGGTTAGGGACTTGACATGTTTTATCTCATTTAGTATACTTGATCCAGATAGACCCATTTTTAAGCAGCAGCAGCTCAGAAAGGGTGAGTAACTAGTCCAAAGCCCTGGCGGTAGGAAGGACCAGAAGTGGGATTCAAACTAAAGCCTGCCAGACTCCTAAGTCATTGTTGTTTGTGCCTCAGATTCCCTTTGCAAAATTCACTATTAAATTTTTTCAAAGTTATAATAATAACTATTAAGGGCTTACTATGTTCCAGGTATACTGTCTCACTATATCTCCAAACAGCTATATGAGGTACTATTTCACCTATTTACAGTTAGGAAACTAAGACTCAAAGGAGGTAAGTAACATGCCCAGTTAGAAAGTAGGATAAACATGATTCACATTCAAATCACTGCCTCCAAAGCCTCAGCACATTTCCAAAATTCATAAGAGCTACAAAATTGGAACAGACATTAAATGCCTGGTCTTTGGGGAATTCCTCTATTCTGCAAATTTTAGATTTAGATTCCCACCTGTCTAGCTTCATCTTTTATGTGTTTGTTTTCTCCTCTCTTCTTCTCATTATAGATACCATAACTTCCTAGATTCATGAAATGTTAGAGATAGAGGTTCACCCTCCGAAAAATTGACCTACTGAGGACTAAAAGTAACTTAATAACAAAGTACAATATACATCCCAAATTGCTCAACAGTTGGATAAACTTTCCACTGCATGATGCCGTAATTCACCATTTCCAAAATAAGTAAATATGAAGGCATCGAGAAAAGACTATGAAAAATCCAATTCTAGTGTTTTGAAGGTAACAATTAGATATAATGACTTCGTATCAAGGGTAAATTTTTGAAATCAGTCACTACTTTAATAGGATTTTCTTATGCTATAAAAACATCAAAATATGCAACCTAGCTTTGAAAGCTCTCTAAGTTGTGTTCCCAACCTGGCAAACCCTGTACACCAGCTCATCTGTTCTACTTGCCATACCTAGTATAAGTCCTTGTCTGTCCTATTTCTGGAACTGTGACAACTTTCTCCACATTTCCATCTTTTAAAATAATCAAACTCAACCATTCATCCTTATAGCTTCTATCACAAAGTCCCAGCCATGATCAGTTGAAGGCTCATATTCCGTTACTTTGAAATTCTATCAACAGATTTATGATGACTTGATTATACTTTTTTTATATCTTCTCTTTCCCCAAGACTTCCCTAAAATGGTGAAAGAGCAATAGACACATACAAAACAAATAAAAGGCCTAACTGAATGAGATTTTCAGCATATTTGCAAGGAGGGTGCTAACAAAAGATGGATAACTTACTTAGCAGGGAGGGGAAGCTATAACTTTAAAAGGGGAATAAAGATAAGAGAGTTGATTCACTTCACAGAACCCTTAAGGAGGTTTGGGGTTTAAAGTCTGTTTCTATGGGGTACAAAATGCCCACACACACCTCCCTCCTACTCCCTGCACTAGATACAAGCACCAAGAGAATACCGCATTTTCCATGGGATAAATTTAACTGGAGTAGCTCAACACTCAGAGACATCAGGTACTGTGAAGAGCAAGGAAAAAAAGTGGATTAATTAAACATCCATGTGTTGAGTTAAGAGATGCCTCCTCCTCAGCCTCTATCTCTTCATGTGCAAAAACCTGGAAACCAGGCATCTTCCACACACATAAGGAATCAAAGATTACTTCCTTGGAAAAACTGACCTGCCGCAGAGAAAAATATCTTTATTCTCAGCTTGAGGTTCTCCAGCAAAGTGCTAGGTCCTAACACCCCGGAGATTCCAAAATGAAACAGATCAATCGACAAGGCCTAGAAACAGATCTGCAAATCAGCCTTTTAATGCTTCATTCAAACCTAGACTGACACCCAAGAAACACCAAACATTTCATGAAAGATTTCAATAAAAAGAGAGACCAAAATAAACAGAGAAAAAAATTAAAACTGGAAGAAGCTGATATACGCTAGAAAGAGAAAAAAGTCATCAAAAAATTTTATCAGTATCCTCAGAAAGGTAAATGATTAAGATTACAATCTTAAAATAAGGACAGGATACTACAGAAAATGAAAAAGCAAAAGACAAGAAAGAACACTAAACAATTCAACTTACACTTCATCTTATGCATGCAGTGAACTGTATTTTTGTTCAAAAAAAATATATATGTTCTACCCCTCTCAGAGGGGAGGCTATCCTCCCCTGTCCCCTCCATGGCTGGCTATTTGCTATTGATTTCCTTTGGGCAATGAAATGTGTTTGAATGTGATGTTTCACCGAAACCTTAGAGCGAGCATGCGGTTGGCATTTTTCCCCCTCTGGCACAAGACTGGCAATATTCTAGATAGCAGTTAGAATATTGATATAATCTAGAATATGATATAATCTAGACTATTGATATCATCTAATATTGAATATTAGATTCCAGCATTTTGAATCCTCAAAGGAAGATGATGTGGACACATCTGTAGCTGACCCACAGTGAGTAACTATCATGATAAGGAATTAACTTTGTGGAGATGAGTAACTCAGAAATGAGGAGTTGCTTTTCAAAGGGTACAAAGTTTCAGCTAGATAGGAAGAATACACTTTAAGATCTATGTCACAGCAGGGTGACTACAGTCAAAAACAACATATTGCATAGTTCAAAATAACTAAGAGAGTAAACTTCAAATGTATCACCACAAGAAAAAAGTTAAATAGTGAGGTAATGGATATGTTAATTAATTTGATTTAATCATTCCACACTGTATACATACATCCAAAACATCAAATTCTATGCTATAAATGTAATACAATTATGATTTATCAATTAAAAATAATATTAACTTTAATAGAATTAAACTTTTGTTGTTGAAAGCTTTTGAAATTCTGGGCATGCTTTTTTACTTCAGATAATCTGGTCTATCCTGACAATTACAATAGGTTTGATCACATTGACAGGGCTTTGGATTTTATTTTAAAAGACTGACCCAAATTAGTAGGCACATAGAAAACGAAGAAATTAAAACACAAACAATTCTTAACTCTGGATAAAACGAAAAGAAATATAAGAACAAACTGTAGCCATTTTACACTATGTGATTCAGAGTAAAAAATATTTACATAGTAATAATAGCATAATCACTTCATACTGGCTGAAATAAAAACACGAAATTACTGAAAGGATAGGAAGAAGTTCTGTGTGTGTGTGTGCATGTAAAAGCGATATGAAAATTAAATTATAATCTTCTTTTTTTGTTTTTGAGATGGAGTCTCGCTCTGTTGCCCAGGCTGGAGTGCAGTGGCACGATCTTGGCTCACTGCAAGCTCTGCCTCCCAGGTTCATGCCATCCTCCTGCCTCAGCCTCCCAAGTAGCTGAGACTACAGGTGCCTGCCACCATGCCTGGCTAATTTTTTTGTATTTTTTAGTAGAGATGGGGTTTCACCGTGTTAGCCAGGATTGTCTCGATCTTCTGACCTCGTGATCCACCCACCTCGGCCTCCCAAAAATTATAATCTTCTTCAAAAGGAAATCTATAAAGATCTAACCTTGAAACATCAAGAAAAACAGTATACTGTGTGATATTTAGAAATATGAATATAAATACTAGAAGAAACAATTAAAAGATTTAAAATAGTTGCCTCTGAGGCATGAGAACTGGGAGACAGGCTGGAACATGGGACAGCTATTTTTTATTATAGCATTATTTGATTTATTATATGTACTATTTTGGTAAAAGTGAAAATTAAATGAAAACAGTAGTTTACTCTTATCTTTTACAAATACTGAGTTAAATATCAGAAGAAAGAGCCAAGAATTTAAAAATAGTTGTCTCTGGAAAATAATTGGGAAGTGAAGAGGGGTTAAGCACATAATAATTTGATAAAATTTAAAAAATTAAAATTTTCTAAGAGAAAATGAGTAATCTGAAATAACTGAAATTTGTGAATAAGTGGAATTTGGTTTTGGCATAGTGGGTCAAATCATCAGAAAACAAACTCATATGAGAAATAAACTACTCAATACTGGTTTATCTCCTGGTAGAATCAATCATTTAACAGTGGCCAAGCATGGTGGCTCATGCTTGTAAAGTCAGTATTTTGGGAGGCGAAGGCAGGAGGATTGATTGACGCCAGGAGTTTGATACCAGACTAGGTAACATAGAAAGACTCCCATCTCTACAAAAATAAATTAAATTAAATTAAATTAAATTAAATTAAATTAAATTAAATTAAATAAATAAATAAAAAATCAGCCGTTAGCGGCGGCTCATGCCTGTAGTGCCAGCTACTTGGCCACTAAGGCAGGAGGATTGCATGAGCCCAGGAGTTCAAGGCTGCAGGGAGCTATGATCACACCACTTCACTGGGCAACAAAGGGAGACCCAGCCTCTGAACAAACAAACAAAAAAGCTTTGGGTCCCTCTACGGCCTTTTTTGTTTTTCAAAATGAGACTTTTTAATAAGGTCACATTGGGTGCTTTAAGAACTTCAATTATTATAAAGCGTAAATTACTTTTAATATGCAGTTCCATACTTAGACTGCACAATGCACATCTCAGAGGCATTCTCAACAACCATTAAACATTTTGAATTCAATTTTCAGTTAAACCAGTATTTTATTAACAACAGATTCCAGTTAAATACAACAAATATTAAACAGCTATTGTATATGCAAATGACATTGCCCTAGGCTTTGTTGGGGATAAAAGTTAAAATATCTCAATCTTTAATTGAGTTTATAATCTTCCAAGGAATATAAGCCATGCAATAATAACTACTAAAAATAAAAAAAATGTCCAAAAGAGATGGTTAAAGGAAAATCCTTATCATTCAGAGAACCGTGGTCATTGGAAATAGGATTTGAACATCTGAATCCAGACAGAGAATTATCTAAGAGTAAAATAGTATCATAAAGCATGAGAGAAGGACAGTATGGCACATGTGAGTGCAGAAAATCATTCATTTTGGCTGGAACATAAGGTGGATTCAGGGGAGTAGTAAAAAATAAATAAAGTAAATAGTCTGGGAGAAGATCATGGGGCTCCTTGAGAGTCAAGTTAACCTTTTTATAATTCATATAACAGAAAGGTTGGAGTCATTAAAGATTTTTTATGAACAAGTGGCTTATCTAGATTTATTGTTTAAAAAATTAGTCCAGAAATGTATATGAGAAGGATTAAAAGGGAAAGGATGAAAGCTATGTTTTATTTTATATTAATAGATAATAATGAGAAAATCTTATTCTCTGAATAAATAGCTAGACATACATTTTGAGGATTATTATTCTCAAGCACTGTGTACATTTCAAATGTGCTTCAATATTTTGTGAACATTCAATATTTTGTGAAGGTGTTTTAGAGAAGTCATAAGCAAGCAACACATGCATTGAGCTCTGTAAACTCTGTTTATGTTATTAATCAGAATAGCTCCTGTCCATCTAAAGGAGGAATAGATGTCTTTAAGAAGAAATGAAAAAATAAAGTAAATGTGAAAATTTCCCTTACTTATTTCCAAACAAGTGCTCCTCCAAAAAAATGCAAATAATTAAGTTTCTGAAATGGTGAACATATCAGATTAGTAGACATATGGCAGGAGCAGCAAATGAGCAGATCAAGTTGAAGTCCTAGTATTACCAATCTGTTAATGTTGACAGGAAGACTCATTTTGACTGTTCCTTTTATATCAATAAATGAGTGGATTTCAACTACTCTAAATAGGAATGCTAAAAGCAGCACTGCTAAAAGTGCATATCAAACCAATAATTTTCTGATGCTGTTTTGGTATATCCTACAAACATTTGTAGGACAACAACTCAGAAGGGAAAAAAATATCTTATGCCTTTGAGGTCTGTACTGAATGCTAATGCATTTGTATATGATGGGTTTAATACAGAACTGAGAATAAATTACTTTCAGCAGCTGCACTCTAGACCTATAAATCGCTCTGAGTACTACAAAATCCATACAAAGGAAGAACAGCTGGATAATTTACACCACCAGTATTTGTCAAAAAAAAAAAAAAAAGCTGAAAATACAGAACCTGATTTGTCCCTTTTTCGAGTATACACGTCTACAAAAATTAAACATTATCTTTCTAGAGAATCTATTAGGATAGGCACATCTATTCGCATCTTGACATGTTGCTCTTTTAAAATAAACATAATTCCTCTTATTTTAAAAGCACTTTTTAAAAGGATAAAAGCAGCAAAGAAAAAAACTTTTCCTTATAACCAAACGCAAGCACAAAGAAAAGTCTGTTAATGTTTATTTTGTGTTCCAATTGCTATGCTCTGGTAAAATTCTACAAAAGGAAACACGTTAACCAGATGACTTGCAGAGCACAGTGATACCAAAAATAGTACTTAAGTTAATACACTAATTGCAAAGTTGCAGAGATTAAGTTCACCATTCTAGTTCTTGGATAAACTTTTGGAGAGGGAGTATTTAAAGTTTAATATAAGGGCTGTCTTAAGCTTCCTAAAGAATAATACAAGCAGTAAAAATGTGCTCCGTATAAGTGAACTCCAGAAATAGAAAGCTGCAGTCACTAAAGGAATATTAGCTTTTGTGTAAGCAACAAAATTACCCTTTTGCAACTTCTATTAAAGTCAATACAAGAGAGTGGCTAATGGCTAATTTTGCTCACAAATCTACCATTGTTTTGAGTTTTTATATGTGACGCTAATTCGTAAAGAAGCCATACTACCTTGATAATAACAACAAAGAAAAATTCTTAAGTCCCCACATGGTAATTACTGTGATCTATATGTAGAAATTTGACAATATGTCAAAATTTGAACCTATTTTCAAATGAACCTATATCAGTTTCAGAAATCTAAGCGTTCCTAAAACAATGATTAACAAAAACCAATTGGTGTTACTCTCCAAATCATGCAATCTAGTGGACTGTAATTCCAATATTATAAAAATGCTGTGATAGGAATATGCATGAGTGAACAAACAGGCGGCTTTATCTGCCTGCCAATTTCACATCCACTGGAAACAAAAGGAATAGGTGAGGTTATTCTTAATTGATGCCTGTCAATCTTTCTTTTCCTACACTACTAATATGGTTAGGCTTTGCGTTCCCACCCAAATCTCATTTTGAATTGTAATCCCAATAATCCTCATGTGTCAAGGGAGAGACCAGGTGGAGTAATCGAATCATGGGGGTGGTTCCCCCATGCTGTTCTTGTGATAGTGAGTTCGTTCTCAGGAGATCTAATGGTTTTATAAGGGGCTCTTCCCCACTTTCGCAGCACTCAACTCTGTCCTGCCGCCCTGTGAAGAAGTTGCCTGCCTCCCCTTTGTGTTCTGCCATGATTGTAAGTTTCCTGAGGCCTCTCCAGCAATGTGGAACTGTGAGTCAATTAAACCTCTTTCCTTTACAAATTACCCAGTCCCAGGTATTTCTTCATAGCAATGTGAGAACGGACTAATACAACTACACTCTTCTAATCACTTTATTTTAAAATCAGATAGCTTGGAGCCCAAACAAGGCCTCCTCTCTGTCAATTGTCCTTAATCTGAACTCAGTTTTAGAACACTCACAACCACATAGGATATAAACTCATTTAGCAAAATGCCAGGGAAAAAAATAATAGGCATCCAGTAGTAGAAGTAAGCAAAGATTGACAAAGAATCCAAGCCCTAAAGTGTCCATAAGGTTGAAGAGTTTAAAAATGACACACTAGTTTATGTGAAGTAAGAGTCATGCAGATAACTGGAGGACTTATCTACTTATCTGTATTTCTCTCAAGTTATGCTGCTTACTAGTTCACAGCATAAACCACCAACCAGATGGCTTAATTGCACAGCAGACATTCTTACATTGCCTTAAACTAGGAATAGAGGGCTACTAGTAAATATACAAAAATAAAACAAGTAACATTGTTTATGGCCCACTAAACTGTATACATTTATGTGATTCTCTTCCCTATACCTCTGTCACAACTTTGTATCTTTTCTGGATTCTCTCTTAGGAGTTCATGGACTGAACTGAGCTAACTTTAAATGCACTACTATACTTAACTATTCTATAATTCTGAAGTTGCCGTAATTTCTCAAGTTAAAATACCCTGTGGTTCCAAACTCAACCCAACTTATTTCAAGACTGGTAGCACCCAATTTTTTTAAATGTCCATTAAGGCTGGGCACGGTTGTTCATGCTTGTAATCCTAGCACTTTGGGAGGCTGAGGCAGATGGATCACTTGAGCCTAGGAGTTCAAGACCAGCCTGGGCAATATCGAGAAACCTTGTCTCTACAAAAAAATACAAAAATTAGCTGGGAGTGGTGGTGCATGCCTGTAGTCCCGGTTACTTGGGAGGCTGAGATGGGAGGATCGCTTGAACCCAATAGTTGGAGGCTGTAGTCAGCTATCATTGTACCACTGCACTCCAGCCTGAGCGATAGGGTAAGACCCTGTCTCAAAAAATAATAATAAATAAATAAAATGCCCATTAAATAAAAATCTTAAGCAAAGTTAATACTTTATTAATTCATTGTTGTGGAAACCAAACCATTTTAGCAGAAGAGAATACAAAATAATGTTCAAAGAATAGGGAAGAAAGTTTTAGTTCTCATAATTTGCAATGCACTAAAGCATCTTGATAATTACTTGTTAAAGTTCCTGGCCTCAAATAATCTTATAATTTTGAGGACATTTTCTGATTGATCTCTCTATTATTACTCCATGTAGGTGCATGACTATCTTTTGCATGGAGGTATTTTTACAAACCTCTATATCCCACAACACAATACCACTACTTGATAAATAATTATTTATCACTCATCTGTCACTCATCAAAATCTATCATTTCCACTTATTTTCTTTAATCATCTCAGCTCACATGGGTTCCCTCTCTCACATAAAGTCCCATACTACTTATTATTTGTAGCATAATGTAGTAGTTACAATTACACAGTTTTCATCCTAGCCATCCTGTATCAGAGTTCTATCATTTATTACTCATGAGACTATGGAGAAGTCACATAACCATCATAACTCCTATTCCTCATACCTAAAATGGAAATAATTATATCTATTTCCCAAGGTTTTTGTGAGAAATGACTAAAACCATATATGAAAGTGCTTACAACTCAATAGAAAGCGGGAAAAGATAAAAATAAATAAAAATACAACTCAATAATAAGACAAACAACCCAATTTAAAAATGGGAAAACTATGTTAACAGACACTTACAAAGAAAGACATATAAATGGCCATTAATCACATGAGAAGATACTCAAAATTATATTCATTAGGGGAATGCAAATTAAACCACCATTAGATGCCAATACACATCTGGCAAAAGCTGAAGTTCCAGCAACCAGAACTCTTATACATTAGTCAGTCAGAGGGTAAAATGATAAAACTCCTTCAGGAAAGAGTGTGACCATTTCTTATAAAACTGAAAATATGTCTATCCTATGACCAAATAATTTCATTCTTATTTATTTAAGAGAAATAAAAGTATGTTCCACAGAAAGCCTTGTGCATGGATGTAAATAGCACCTTTATTTATAATAACCAAAACTTAGAAATGCCCAGGTGTCAAAAAATAGAGAAATGTATAAACAATTGTGGTATATTACTACTTTCCCATAAAAAGAAACAAACTACTGGTATATATAATGACATAGATAAATATTAAAAATGTCACAACAAGTGAAAGAAGACTTACACAAAACAGAATGCACTGTGTGATTCCATTAATGTAAAGTAATGAGAACAGGCAAAACTAATGAAGGGTGGAAAAGGTGAGAATAGTGGTTGTCTAGTGTGGGAGGCACTCCTGGCTCACAAGAGGGATAAAGGAACTTGAAACTATCTGAGGTGATGGGTTACAAGGATGTTTGTATTCATCAAAATGCAGAATATGTACGCTTAAGATTTAGGCATTTAAATGAAAGTTTTGCCATAAATTTACTATAAAACAAAAACATTGGAAAATAACTATAAATTAAAAGCAGAAAACAAATCAATCTATTGATAAGCATAAATTAGAGTAAAATAATTAAACTGAACAAAGAGATTCTCACAACTGTTCTTAGTTCAGCTTCATGCTGTTTCAAGAGAAAACTATAGAAAGATTCAAACAAAAGAAATGGAAGAAGAGTTACAAAGCAGATATTAAATAAAAGAATGTTGAATAAGTTAAGAATAAAGGAAATACTGTTTTTATACCAGACCAAAAAAGATGTTTAGGCCAATAAGAGTTACTAGTATACAAGGGTCATTGGATAAAGACAATAGGAATATTTACTAGGAAATAATTACAATTCTTGATTTCCACGACCTCAATAGCATAATCACAAATATTTGAAACAATAATTGACTGAATTATGAAGACATTGGCAAATTTACAATCGCCATGAGAGATTATACCACATCTCTTTTGGTAGTTAAAAATTAAGGAGATGGCCTGGCGCAGTGGCTCACACCTGTAATCATAGCACTTTAGGAGGCTGAGGCCAGCGGATTGCTTGAGCCCAGGAATTCAAGACCAGCCTGGGCAATACAGCAAAACTCCATTTCTACAAAAATACAAAAAAATTAGCTGAGCACAGTGGTGTGTGCCTGTGTCCCCAGCTACTCAGAGGCTGAGATAAGAGGATTCCTTGAGCCCAGGAGGTCAAAGCCACAGTGAGCCATGATCATGTCATGGCACTCCAGGCTGAGGGACAGAGATAGACTCTGTCTCAATAAAATAAAAATTTTACTGACAAAATATCAGTAAGAATCAGATTTGAACAACATGATTATTATTTAATTTAATGAACAAATATAGAATCATTAGATATATTCAATAGAAAATATATTCTGATTAAAGCATTCATGAGACATTTACACTATTGACCACCCACTAAGCCAGAAAGCAAAGCAAATCTCAATTTGAAGAATCAAGATTATACAACCCACATTTTCTGACCATCATGATAATACATTAGAAGTCAGTAAAAATGTTCCAGAGAAATAATAGTAGCAACGCATATGGTCCTTGCTAAGTGGTGGGCACTCTTCTGAGTATTTTAAATACGTTAGCACTTTTAATCCTTGTAACAACTATATAAGGTAGGTACTGCTATTATCATCCCAGTTTCATAGATGAGCAAATTGAGGCAGAAAGAGAATAAATAAGGTGCTAAATAACCACACGTGCACACATAAGTGGTGGAGCTCAGCTGTGGTCCTTGGCAGCATGGCTTTGGAGGTAGAACTCTTAGCCAAAATAACATTAGGATCAAAGAAAATGTCTTTATGTAAATTAGATAATAGATGAGAAACTTTGATCAAACTACAACAGCTACATATTACCTGGAGGAAAATAAAGAGCCTTAAATATTTGTGTTAGAAATTATTTTTAAAAAATGACTGACAATGAATGTGCTAAGCGTATAAAAAACCGAAGAAATTGAAAAAAGAATAACAGTAAACCCTAAAAGAAAGAAGAAAATGATAAGGATAAAATCAGAAATTAATGAAATGGAAAAAATCAAGATTAATAAATTCAAAAGGGTACCTCTAAATTCAAAAAAAGTGGAACCAAACTGGAATTTTCCCATTGGTGTTTACATTGCTTAGGAGGCATGTATCACATTATAAACTGTCCTAAGAACTATCTTCTGTAATTCACATATATTCCTGAGCTCTCTCCTTTTCAGGTTAAATCAACACAATTTCTTTAGCCGTCTTTACTGATCCTGCTTTCTAGCCCTTCACTAATTTCCATTTATTATCTTCTGATTTTTTCCACTTCTTCTTAGTCTTCTTAATTTATGGATCAGAAAACTAGCTCAGAACCTTAATAAGAATCCGAATGGCACTGAGCATAGTTGGAAAATCACTTCTGGGTTTTACATTATAAATATTTAGAATGATCATATAAAATGAACTGCAATATGTTTCAGGAAACTTTAAAAATGTTCAGATAATACTAACGGGGCTTCATAAGAATATCACCAAAATACAGACTTACCAAGACTGGCCATTCATTGTCACTAGTTGCAAATTAAATCTGCAAACATCATCCTCAAAATTTTACAATTAATTTTAATGGATTATGGAAGAATTTAGGACAGCCTATCCATTATAACAAATTCCTGAAACAATGTTTTTGTCTGATTGGAGAGTATAAAAATTACCTTGTTGAGTTTGCCTGTTTACTTTTCAAACCAGGTATTGAAAATTGAAATATAGTCACCAGTCAGAAGTTGTTGCAGTAGGCTTCAAATAAGTTTAATATACTTATTGCTGCCTTTCTAAAATTCTATGCAAAGAAAGCAATCAGATACTGAAATAAGTATTTATGGGCAAAGATTCTCAGTGCAGTATTGTTGGTATTATTAAAATTCAGAAACAAACCATCCAAAAGTACAGCTATTGTTAAATAAATTATAGTATATCCACACAAGACAATATTATGCATCCATTGTATTTGTATTTTTTAATTAATTCTATGGGGCAATGTGTGATATATAAAATACAAAGAGAAAGTAAACTATATAAAATTATATATGGTTGATACATTTGCCGATGAAATGACATAATGATTGCCATTTGCTTCAAAATAATATGTGAGGGGAATGAAGTGGGTGTGACAGAGATGAAACAAGATGGATCGTGAATTGATAATTACTGAAGTTGGGTGTTAGGGACACAAAGGTTCATTACATTATTTTTTCTACTTTTGATAATGTTACAAATATTCTATAATAAAGGTTTAAGAAGCCTATATATACATTGTGGTTCTAATTATAAATCTATATATACACATATATATATTATAATATAACTAGTGTTTTATAACATATGTTCATCTTGAAGAAGACATCACCAAAATGTTAAGGCTGGCCCAAAGTGGTTGATCATTCCTTATTCATTAATACTTTTCTAATCAAACTTCTAAGTTTATAGGCATCCCAGGTCTTCCAAGATACTACTTTAAAATGTTACCTTTTTTCTAATTCATGCTTTCAAGTGGCAATTCATATAATTAAGAAGAATATGCTGATCATCACTCTACTTTATTGTTTCAAATTATCTTGAACTCTTAAACTCATAATCCTACATAAGATGACTATTTCTACCATGGCAATCCCTGTGGTTATTTGTTCAATGCCCACTGCCTTCTGATGCAACTGGCTCCCAGTACACCAGAAAGGTCCTTTATTGGCTGAGCACATTGATGGGTGGTTGTATGCAGTTTGAATAAAGATAGGAGATTATTAGGTAAAATAGAGGGAAAAGAAACCTAAAGTTGGATAATGATAACCTAGAGGAAAGGTAGTCAGAAGCTGGGGAAGGTGAATGCTTCTTAGTCCTGAGAAGACTAAAGTGTAAAGAATCTCCTTGGCAGCATGGTAGTGTCAGAGGCCTTTGAACCAGAGCAACTTCATCTTAAATAGGGGCTGGGTAAAATAAGGCTGAGACCTACTAGGCTGCATTCCCAGGAGATTAGGCATTCCTAGTCACAGGATGAGATGGGAAGTCGGCACAAGATACAGGTCACAAAGACTTTGCTGATAAAACAGATTGGGGTAAAGAAGCCGGCCAAAACCTACCAAAATGAAGATGGCATCAAAAGTGACCTCTGGTTGTCCTCACTTTTCATTAAAGGCTAATTATAATGCATTAGCATGCTAAAAGACACTCCCACCAGTGTCATGACAGTTTACAAATGCCATAGTAATGTCAGGAAGTTACACTGTCTGGTTTAAAAAGAGAAGGAACCCTCAGTTCTGGGAATTGCCCACCCCTTTCCCAGAAAACTTATGAATAATCCACCCCTTGTTTGGCATATAATCAAGAAATAACTATAAGTATTATCAATAGAGCAGTCCAAGATGCTGCCCTGCCTATGGACTGCCATTCTTTTATTCCTTTGCTTTCCCAGTAAACTTGCTTTCACTGTACTTTATGGACTCGCCCTGAATTCTTTCTTGCACAAGGTCCAAGAATCCTCTCTTGGGGTCTGGATTGGGACCCCTTTCCAGGAACAGGAGAACAAAGATGATTTCTGGAGAACGTACAGGTATAACAAAGATTTTTACAGTAATTTGTTATGGAATGTGCAAGGTAAAAGCTTTCCTTTGATGATGAAAAGAGTCAAACTCTGTAAAATATTTTAAGAGATTTATTCTGAACCAAATATGAGTGACCATGGCCTGTGACACAGCCCTTGGGAGGTCCAGAGAACATGTGCCCAAGGTGGTCAGGGTACAGCTTGGTTTTATATATTTTGGGGAGGCATGAGGCATCAATCAAATACATTTAAGAAACACATTGGTTTGGTTCAGAAAGGCGGGACAACTCAAAGCAGGGGCTTCCAGGCCATAGGTGAATTTAAACATTTTCTGGTTGAAAATTAGTTGAGTTTATCTGAAGACTGGGGATCAGTGGAAGGGAAATGTTCAGGTTAAGATAAAGGATTGTGGAGACCAAGTTTTATTGTGCAGAGGACTCTCTCAGATAGCAGACTTCAGAGAGAGAGCAGATTGTACAATGTTTCTTATCAGACCTAAAAACTTACCTGCCTTTCAGTTGACTGCCTCCTGGATCTAGAAAGAAAGGAAGGAAAACGAAGGGGGAAGGAGATTCTCTGTAGAATGTGGATTTTTCCCACAAGAGTCTTTGCAGGTCAATTTCAAGGTATGGCAAGGAAATATATTTTGGGGTAAAACATTTTGATTTTTTCCCTTCTTATCCTATAGTCAGATTGGAAAGTAAGCCACGATACACAGGGTTAAATAAAACCCATCTGATGAGAATTTATGGTTTGTAGGGCATGATTCCCCAGACCCCTTAGAAAGGAATTTGGGCAAGATAAAATCAGATCTCAGTCCTCACCTCCAAAATAACATTCAGCACAATCACCATTACTTACTGATGCTTTAGGCGTGGGTAAATTTTTTCTGGAGAATGCAAAGGTGGTGTTGAGTCCTGAGTTGTTTACCTATGGAGCAGTAATCAGAAAAACTGACATATGGGATCCATACTAAATAAGTGACATTTACTGCACCCCAAATACATCGAGTCAGTCATAAAACCTAGAGTCTAAGCAACACCAAGCCCTCAAAAGACTAAGGACACATAACAATTAACCCATCATTAGTCTATTAGTATACATACATTAACAATAACATTTTGAACCTGGAGAGAGCCATAAAATCATTCATTTGTAAACCAAAGTGTATCTGAGACAGGTCTCAATCAATTTGGAAGTTTATTTTGCCAGGGTTAAGGACATACCCTTATTAAGAAATAAACATAAAATCACCGAAACAGTCTGTGGTCTGTCTTTCTCCGAAGATGAACTTGAGGGCTTCAATATGTAAAGGGGGAAAGCGGGCTGGAGGGGAAGGAGGGAGAGTATGGAAATACACACACTGCAAGAGGAAAGGGGCAGATAGGGTAATAGTCAATTAGGTATTTGTCTTGTGCTTGGTAAATTGGCACTTTACATAAGTTAAGGTGAACACTATGTAGCTACGGGGAGATATTTAACCTTTTATCTGTAGCTATCTGCTTAGGAACAAAAGGAAAGGCGGCTGACTCAGCCTTCAGCTTAACTTTTTCCTTTTGGCATGGTGAATTGGGGTCCCGAGTTTCTACTTTCCTTTCACAAAATCTAACCTCCTAAAGCCACCCAGCTAGTTCCAGTCACAGCCAGATATAAAATCAAGGCTTTTGACTCAGTGCTCTTTCAACTACTCCAAACTGATAAGGTTTACTAGGGGAGGTGGAAGAGAAAAAACTGAGAAAATGAAAGAAACGGACAGAGAAAATTTCATTCATTGATAAAAACAGATGACATCTATCATTACTTCATAAAAGATACCAAAAATCATATCTATTACACAATTATAGAAAAATATATTAAATAATAGGCCTTACCATAGAAATTGTAGGAGTCCAGAGAACAATACCCCAAAGTATGGTGCTTTGGCATGCTGAGTTCTTTTAAATTAAAGGATATCAAAAGGCCTCATAAGCAGCCCCAGAACCAAGGACTTTTTGATCTCCTGTTTCTCACTCCAAGCACAGAGTGGAACCCTCTCTCTCAAATTCCTTTATCTGAGCTTTCCAAAAGGCACAGAATTGTCTTTTGTCCCCCGCCCTGAAATTTAATTATCTATGGCAGGAAAGAAGACTAAGGAATGTAACCAAAACTGGATGGACTTTGTCAGAAAATAGTGTCTGTCTCTAAAGCTCATTCAAATGCCAAAGAGAACCATTTACAAGCTAATTTCTGTCTCCTGGTGATGCAGGATTTTTTTCCTCCTTAGTTCGGGTAAAATCCAGGTTCTTGTCTCACAACCAGGAAAAATTAGGCACACAGATCCATTGAAAGGTAAGGAGAGCAGAGTTCATTGGGCAAAAAGAAAACTCTCAGCAAACAGGTGAGGGAGTCCTGCCAACCGGCTCCCACTTCACAGACTGAATACCAGGTCACCACACACAAGCTGAAGACGCCCGACTCCTGCCCCTGCATAAGGTGTCAATTCCTGGTGACTCCACCCCATTCTCCCAGTGTGCACATAGGCCCCCAGTGCATTGCAGGCATGCCCAGGCAAGAAGACCCTGTGCAGGTTCCCTTATCTGCCTCCTGCATTTATCACTGGGACCATTTAATTTCCCTAAAAATCATTTACAATCCCTCAAAATTGCCTATATTTCCTCCATTTCCCTCCCCCAATGAAGAGGGTATATAAGCTTCAACTGTCTGTCTGTTTCTTTGAGTCTTATATCTGTGGGACTCTCATACCCATGTATGTGCACAATAATAAACTTTTGTGTCTTTTTCTCCTGTTAATCTGTCTGTCTATTGTCAGTTTATTTTGGCAAAATGTGTCAATCATCAAAACATCAGAGGGAAAGTAGGCTTCCCCACAAAACACAGCAATTCTACACATTTTTACGTTTGACATTTTCATCATTATCCTCCCTCCACCATTCTGTCTTTATTTTTTCTCCTATTACTGATTTTAGGTCATGATCTTTACACTTTTGAAAAAAAAAATGAGAGGACAGTCAAATATTTTTCACCTCAAAAATGATTTAATCAAATAGCAAGATTTAACTAAATAAGACCAATAGTAGCAATAAAGACCTGTTTAGCATTTTCAAAGTTATTTTCTAACAAAAATGTTCACTTAAACATACTCTGGTCAATAGTTTATTTATTGCCTGATCTATGTAATCCACTACATTTCATCACTTTGATTCAGTTGCAAGTCCTTTTGTTTTCCTTCTGCAGCACCTTCACTAAATATAAAATATATCAGCACGCTGAGTGCTCTTTATTTACACTTCTGAGTGACTAGAGAAATTTATTTGATTGCAAAGCTTAAAAGGAGCCCAATAAGTCAGGAAAAAAATGCACAGCACTGCTTCTCTACTCAGACTAATTTTTTTCTAATATATATGATGGTTTATAATTTGCAGATATCTTTAAATATTTATAATTCAGCAGGGACTCCTTATTAGTTAAGTTTATTTGGAATAAAAATTAATTTTCCAAGATACTTCAATTTCATAGATTGTTACTGTCCTTTATGTCATATAGCATGAAAAAATGTCTAATGGGACAATCACTTGTATTATATTATTAATCATGAATAATTGATATGTAATCAATTCACTTTAGTTCTGAATATAAATATCCCACCAGCCAAATGAATCAAATTCAATTTATCTTACTTTTTAGAGGACATTTTCAATGTAACAAGAATGATAATGATTTCTAAGGAAAAGATCCTTGGATTATGCTTCCATAAGATGCATTCATTCATTCACTGATTCTTCAAATAAATATTGACTACTCTCTACATAGAAAACCTCATGATAGGTCCATATGACAACGCAGAGAGAGTTGCCAATCATTGTGGCCAATAGAAAACTGTGAAGTTTCATTTTAATGATAATACCAGTATGTCCTATTACACAAATAATGATTTCACATTATCATTTAAAGTAAATTAAACAGAAAATAAGACTATCATAATAAATATTATTTTTTAACTTATACTTTCTATTAGAAGTAATTCTACCCTATTCCTTACGCAACTTGGTCCAAAATTTATTTTAAAATTTTATAACTCTATATTGAATCCCTACTATATGTCAGACACTGCTAGTCTTGAACATACAAAAATGTTCCTAAGCCTAGCTGTGGAGAGAGATTCAAAGGCACTAATATAAACAATATAACATCATGATGAATGTTTTCCTGTAGGTATACTCCCATGGGAACACAAATTTGAGTAGGATGCAGAGAATGCAATTCATAGGAAAAGGCTTCTCAAGGGAAGTAATATTTATCCAAGCATAAATAAGAAAAGGAAAAGGAGAAGGAAGCGGATCTTCATATCTAAAAACAATTGCTTAACCCATGGTAACCTAAGTCTACTTTTATGTTTTCTTTTCTCACATTTTATGTTTTGCTCTTACATTATTTGATACAAATTACATCTTTAAACATTATAAAGCAATAAACGCAGTTTTACAATTTATGAAATTGTCTCAGGGGTATGGAGCTTTTGAGGCAGCTCCAAATCCATTCTTCTTTTTTCAGTGGCTGCTCAGCTGTGGGTTTCACAGCTACCATGGTTGTGTGACTACTGACTTTCAAGATTGGGGCTCAGAAAACAATGCCTCAAAATGAAGGCCTTAGCAGTAGCTCAAAAGCAAACATTTTTATTTGACCTTCTCCTGCATGCCTGTCTCTCAGTCCCATTCTCCCGCAAGGCTAGCCATGAAAACTAGAATCTCTCTTCCCCAAGGTGGGTCATAGAAAGCAGGACCCCTTTTCCCAAAAGCCAGCCTTAGAAACCTAAAAATAGTCTATGTAAAAACAGGCCATAAAGAAATTATCTAATCTATTTTGTTTGACATTCCAGAGGGGGCCCCATCCCACACCCAGAAGGAAGGACTGCTGCACAGAGAGGACAAGAAGAATCTAGACAGACAGGACTTGCTGGGTTTCCCCACTCAGTTTTTTAACACTAGATCATATTGTTATAGAAGGTAGTTAGTGAGACACAAGCATGGTAGGAGAGGGTCCACTGCTTCTTCACCAGGAATGTCAGGCAACCATCAGGTGATGGTAAGGTGGTTGTTATACAGTCTTGCTAAAATAATAATTGGTCGCAGCCAGTGCCAGGAAAAGGCAGTCTCCCAATAGACAGATAACATCTGAAACTGGTAATCAGCAGCTTCCCAATAAGATCTCAGGAGTTGGGTGAGTGGGCTCAAGCACGCACCCTAAGAGGCAAAATGGCAGATGACCTTCCTCTAGGAACACTCAGTTGGTAAGGAAAAAACATCTCAAGTGACTATGTGTACAACTTCAGTAAACACACTGTGCATTCAACCCCTCCAAAGTCCTAGTAGGTCACTGTGCATCTGGATGGCCCACCGCAAGGAAGAATCAGGATATAAGAGATGCAGAGATGCAGACCCCAGAAGCATGCTAATGAAATGTATAAAATCCTAAGTCAAAGGTCAAATCACATACTTGATCTCTCAAGTCACCCACTTGGCCCTCTTCTAAATGTACTTTACTTCCTGTCATTCCTGCTCTAAAACTTTTTAATAAACTTTCACTCCTCCTCCAAAACTTGTCTGGGTCTCTCACTCTGCCTTATGCCCCTCGGTCAAATTCTTTCTTCAGAGGAGGCAAGAATTGAAGGTTGCTGCGGACCTGTTTGGACTCGCCACCACTAACAATATCCTTTTGAACAATCATATTTCTACAGGTATGTCCATACTTCATTGAATCTCAGCCTAAAAATGGATAATGTATCTTTGTCTTCATTCTGAAGGCCACTGTGTATACACATTGAATAAATGTGTATGCCTTTTCTCCTATTAATCAATCTGCCTCACGTTAGTGATTTTTCAGCAAACCTTCAGAGGGCTGGGGTGGGGAAAGTGGGGAAGCTCTCCCTTTGCCCCCAAACAAGGCTACTGTGATCCTAGAGAGAGGGAGATGGAAATAGGGTAAATTAAAACACCACAAAAATCATTGTTCTTGTATCAATTCTGCCATTTTTCTTGTTGCAAGCCTTAATTTCCAGAGTTCTGAAAAAGTTATTTTGACCATTTTTGCCAGTGTTCTCATTGCTTTTAAGGAGTGAATTTTCAGATGTCCCCACTCTGCCATTTCAAAAGTACTCCCCTGGGGCTATGCTTTTGAATTACATTTAGGAGTGAATTGATTTAACGGAGAACAAAGAAGCATCTTTAAAGTAATTGACTTTTCAATGAAGACAAAAGAATTCATGCAACCAAATTAGTATTATTTTGTTCAAAAGCAACATCTTAGAAAGAAGTAACACTAATTCCATGGTAGTTCACATACTTAAATATATTTTGAATATTTTTATCTGTACTTACAGCGAGTAAGTAAAAAAAAATTAATGTTTTAATAATGGCAAATGTACCCTTTGGGAGAAATTTAATTGAACAAAGTCTAATTAAAAAGGTATTTGATCAGGCTGAATGTATCATCATTTTTTTATCTAAGCCAATTGATGGCTATAAAGTAATCAGGGTAATATTTGCACTTGGATCATAACCTAACTACAAAACCCTCATTCCAAAAGAGTAACTTTCCTTAAAATGTTATAACCAATGGAGAAAACATTGGAATAAGCTTATAGCATTCCCAGTGGACATATTTGGCTTAACAAGTTCTATAGTGAGTGTTAAAAATATTGAAAAAAGAAAAATAGCTCAGAGAAGTCTAAGCTATGTGAGGAATACAAAATTTATCAAGCCTGGAGAGACATAAGACTTCAGTCATCCCCTCACCCCCTGGGGGTGGCACCTATGCCCAGGGGTAATTGTTTAAAAGCGTTTTTGCTCCTGACTAGCTGCCTCACCCATTATCTTCATGTTCCTGGAATTTGTGACTTCTTCAAGACTTACTCCAAATAGATATTTACTCATTTCTCTGAGCTATCATGTATATAGAAAGTACACGTTATTAAACTTCTGTTTGCTGTTCTCATGTTAATGTCTTTTAGACATTAGAAGTTTTAGAAGACACTGTTCTCATGTTAATGTCTTTTAAACATTAGAAATTAGACATTTAGAAGTCCCAACTAATAACTAATGAAAGGTAGAGGAGAAAATTGTTTTTCCTCCTTTACAGCATTGCAGAGCTAGCTATGGGCCCCTAGAAATCATCCGTAAACTTCACATATTTAAAATAAGGAAATAGACGGCTAGAGAACTGCCCAAAGTCACTTAGCTAGCAGAGATTTTACAAAACATCAATGGGCATCTAAGAAGTGCCTACAATACATCAGGCACTGGGCTAGACACTACCCTTCACAAAATAAAACTATAAGTTGGGCCAATGACATTCAGTCTACTGCTCTTTGCACAACTTCACACTGCATAAATGAATAAATTCTCAAATAGCCATCAAAAATGAAATATCCAGAGGAGGCAGTCTAAAGAATTACAATGAATTTTTAAAGTAACACTTGTTTTGTAAACAGGAAAGTACATAGAAAGGAAAAGAGAAAATCCATTCTATATAAAATAGAAAAATATGTTTGTACTGACTCAATTATTTAAAATTAATATTGTGTGGCCTAGGAATATGTTTTTATATAATTAATGTTTGTTTTTTACAAAGGTTCCTACAGGCAGGAAATGTGTTTGATTTTTGTGTATACTTCAGATTTCATCACAACAGCAATATAATGCAGGACTCAATGCAAAGTAAGAAAAAACACCAGGCAATCAGTTTTGGTTGCTTTTTCACTAACAAAGCTTGTTAAGAAAAGAAGAGCATTTTTATTTTTTATAAATAGAGGATTTTAGTGCCTATTTTGGAATAGCAGGTAGTATTCCAGCTGTTTGGGGCTGCTTTGGGCTCTAGGCATTTTAAAATTAATGGGCTGGGCCAAACAAAGAGTGTATTTTCATTCCACATCAAATGTGTATGCTGGTTTCTAGAAATACAATATGTTTGTGCAAGTGTGGCAACATTTATCCTTCCAGGTAGTAAATGAAGACATCTGCCTTCTCCTAGAGACTTAGCTCTCCAAGTCAATTTAAAGAAACCAGCAAATAACCCTTAGTGACTCTTACCCTCACACAGAACAAGCTGATTTCTCATGACAGCTATATTCAATCTATGACTAAATAATGCCATTTTAAATGACCATGTGTGGGAAGTAAAACTATAAAGTGAACATGTGCTTTAGAGCCTGGAGCTCTTAGTTCAAATCCCAGTTCTGTCATTTACTAGTTGTAGGACATTTTTAAAATCTGTTAATTTCTCTGGATGGTCAGTTTCCTCCTATGTAAAATGGAGACAATATTACCTACCTCACAGGGTTAATGTGAAGATTACATTATATAGCTCATGTAAAGCACTTAGCTAAATAGCTGGCACAGAGTTGACACTTGATGAATGGTGCCTTTTATCTGCCCCCTCTGCAATTACTTACTTAAAGTTATCTATTATTTAAGCATCTTTCCATTCTTACCAAACTTAAAATTGGTACCCAAAAAAATCACCTAATTTTTCTCCTGTTGTACTAAGTAGCAAAAGAAAAACATTCAAGAAATGGGAAGGCCTTCATGATACAAGTTTTCATGTCTGTAAAATTAACTCTGCATTAACTCCTGACTTAAAATTCTACAACACAGAACTACAAAATTTTAAAAGAACAGAATATTAATCTAGAGTTGATATAAAAATACTAGCTGTCTCAACTTAAGGCATTTCACAAGCCTGAGAATTATTTCTGCTTTGACTTTGCAGCTCTACTGAAAGAAACCCTTACCCTAGCTGCAAACCTGGACAGATTCTTGAACACAATTTCTTGGCGCTTCCTCTGAAATCCCCCTAGAAGCAAGAGCTTCTGCTGAGCGACTCCATGGTGACTGGAACATGAAAAAACATGCTGGGCCCGAGCGCGGTGGCTCGTGCTTATAATCCCAGCACTTTGGGAGGCGGAGGCAGGTGGATCATGAGGTCAGGAGTTCGAGACCAGCCTGGACAATAAGGCAAAACCCCATCTCTACTAAAAATACAAAAATTAGCCGGGCATGGTGGTACACGCCTGTAGTCCCAGCTACTTGGGAAGCTGAGGCAGAAGAATCACTTGAACCCAGGAGACGGAGGTTGCAGTGAGCCCAGATCCCACCACTGCACTCCAGCCTGGGCAACAGAGTGAGACTCCATCTTGTAAAAAAAAAGAAAAGAAAAAACATTCTTACAGATTGTCTTTGTGATAGCCAAACCCATTCCAGACTAGTCAATGGTTTTGCCATCACTTTCGTGCAAATATTTTCTAAATATCTTTGCATATAGTATGATGTATTATAAAGACAATCCTCTGGAACTATTGTGTATGTTCACCATAAAAGGTACTCCTTATGCACATATTTCTCACACTGACTGCATACAAATGACTTGAATTTATAGAAGGATTTTTCTTCTTGTAGCCATTCATACCCAGCTCACAGCCCAAGCCAATGTGCGTCCTCCAAATGCAATCAGATGATGTGACCAGCCTTGAAACGCTCATCAGACATGTTTTCTAACATATATTCTTGGTCCAGTCTAAACTTGGATATTTGGAAACAGACTACTTAGAACACCAGCATTTGATATTGTGTTCAAAGATTGCAGAAAAACATGTAGTTATAATCACTCTAGTACTCTCCCTGATTATATAATTAGGGGTGTAGTTTTAGTCTTAAAAGAGTACCAAATAGACTTTGAGTCAGTAAAAAGAACAACTTTTACTGAGAGTAGAAGAGCATCTTTGCCATCAAATATGAGCTTTTGCAGTCAATTTAGCCCCTTCTCTAATTGACACTGTTCATAAAAGACATTTAAAACCATTTCATGTATTGTTAATATGCACAGTTTCAACACCATTACATAACCCATCAATGTGAAGATCAGAGGTTTATAATCACTGAAATTGATTAGTCCAATCCTCAAAACAAATAGCTTACTATTCTGTAAAATTTTTTCCCTGGTGCAAGTGGAAGTAGTATTGTAAAATGTCTTTGAAATCCAACAGGAATACAGATTTCTCCTGTAGGACACAGTTTTGCAAAAATTGCTTTAATCATTAAGTAAAGTTAAGCTTGATGAAAAATCTTTCTACTACACGTCTTTGAGTCCCAACAACAGAAGCACAGATGATGGCTGTGTGAACTTCTATCAGTTTGCTTCAAAATTAAAGAAAATCTTCTTAGCATACAAATCCCAACAAGTAGCCTAGCACCACTTTTCATTTATTACCAATGCAACCAATTTAAACAGAACTTATTCAGTTTATAAGATGGATATCTTGTCAACTGCTAATCATAATATAAACAATGAATTTGTACTGCATATTATCTGTGCATTTTTTCTCTTCAAATAAGATTGCAACCTTAACAGAAAATGTGGAACAAACCAGCTTCCGCAACATAGTTCTTTCTTTAACAATAACAACAATAAAACTATGCTAAAACTACACTGAAGCTACACTACAATAAACTGCAAAAAATCAAAAGATCCAAGCACTAACACTGAGTCACATTGTACTCTGGCACCTGTAATAAGATTACCTCCTTGTGACCTGCTCAAATTCTGGACCCAAAGAAAGTTTTCAGAAAGTTTTTCCAAAATCCTCTGTCTGTCACCCATAAAGCTTCATTCAGGTACTAAATGATAGGTAAGTTTAGTAGTGTAGTCCTAGCTACATGAAAGGCCAGGGCAGGAGGATTGCATGAACCCAGGAGTTCAAGGTTATAGTGAGCTATGATTGCACCACTGCACTCCATCCTGGCAAGAGAGCGAGATCCTGTCTCTAAATAAATAAATAACAGATAAATGATTTACAAATTTTTTATCAAGCACTCTTTAGAAAAACTTCAGCATTCACACATAATATATGTATTTATACATTATATACAAGTTCTAATCTCAGCCTTTATGTTAAATAATTACTAAACTTTGTTTTTTACTTAGATAAAAAGTAATTATCCGTAGAATTTCTAATATTTTTCAGATGTTCCACTGGATCATTGTGCATGCCTTCTGGGTATTCAACTTTGGAGAGTACTGTACTATATGAGTCAGGATTATTAGACAGAAAACCAATTAAAAACCTTAGATGTAAAAAGAGAAGAGAGAGGAGAGAAAGAAAGCACCAGTTGCAAATAGCCTAAGTTTTAAAGTACATCAAACATCGTTATATGCCAGAGCTTCACATAAATTATCTTAGTAAATCCTCAAAAAAGGCATTAAAAGAGGTATCATTTTTGCTCTTGTACAGATGAGGAAACTAGGATCAGGGTAATTACATCCAAGGTCTAAGTGTCAAAACAAATGATTGTCAGAGGACAGGAAGAAAATAAAAGGGAAGCCGTTAATCAAACATTTGGCCCTCTCATATCCCAAAATTCTAAAGATCTCTTACCACAAAGAAGGCAAATCTAGGAATAATCATCTAAAACATGTTCAGTACATGTATTTCAAGGCTCTAGAGACAAAGGGCAAAACATACTAAATTATTATTAGTGCTTGAGAAACTAATCAATTATCTTTTGATTGCCTGTCATTTCTTAAGCAGGTAACATGGATCCAACAAAGGAAGGATGGATGAATGGATGGATGGATGGATGGACGGATGGATGGATGGTTGATGGATGGATTTATTTATTTATTTATTTTAAAGACAGTGTCTCAATCTGTCTCCCATGATGGAGTGGAGTGGCTCACTGAAGCCTCAAACTCCTGGGTTCAAGGGATCTTCCCACCTCAGCCTCCCAACTACCTAGGACTGCAGGCATATACCACATGCCAGGCTAATTTAAAAAAAAAAAAACATTTGTAGAGACAGGGTCTCACTGTGTTGCCCAAACTGGCCTCAAATTCCTGGCCTCAAGTAATCCTCCTGCCTTGGCCTCCCAAAGTACTGGGATTACAGATGTGAGCTACCATGCCTCACCAAAGTCTTTAGAATCTCTATTAGCAGTCTTTAGAACTGTGGTATCCTTCATACAATGTATAAATGCTAGCAGCTCCAGTGATTCCCTGCTTACAGTGTTAAGGGATGGAGTAATACCTGCTTTTTTTATTTTATTTTGGTTTATTGGAGACCTGCACAACTTGTGTGGCATGTAGCACCACAAATCCTAGTCTGTTATGTAAAGAGAATTTAAACAAATTAATCACAAACATTCATGAGCACATATGCTTATTTGCATGACTGTCTTGTATTATAGCCTAAAAGTTATTCATGTCTTAAAGGTGTAGAAATACTGTGTCTTTCATCAACATAGCCTGAGACAATTGAGAATTTAATAAGATATGCAAAACCATAAAAATCATGGCTAATATTTATGCAACTTTTCTATGTGCCAGGATGTGTTCTAAGCATTTTATGTGTATTATCACTTTGAATCTTCACAAACACCTCATAAAGTAGATGCTATATGTGTCCCCATTTCCAACCAGGAAAACTGAGGCAACAAGAGGTAAGAAATGTGACCAAGGTTACATCACTAGCAGGATAACCAGATCTTTGACTCAAAGATGTCTGACTCCAGAGCTTCCTCCAAGAACTATGACAGACATACAGTAAGAGAGTTCAAAATACAGCAAATTGTTAACAAATATGTAGAGCAAATGGCTAACAATATCAATTAAGCACTCTGATATATCTCCAAGACTAGTTCTGCAACCCCTCGCAGCTATACATCCTAAAATATTCTGCCTCTTACATGTCTCAGAAATTAAAAGAAGATTCTGCTAATCCATGTTCAGTCTGTCACACATAATTGATGTGTGGGTGATGTTGAGTTTGCTTATTTGTTCACCCTTTCTTATGTAATATAATAGGTGATGTTACAGATGATAGAAAAACATAAGGTTGAAAGGATGGACTCCGGAGTCAGATGCACAAGGATTCACATTGCTCTCTGGCTGTTTTTGGCTATATAATAAATTGATCCCTCCAAGTCTCAGTCTCCCCTTCTATAAATGGAGATATTGACACCTGCCTCATTAAATAGCTGTAAGGAGAAAATGAAATAACATATGTAAAAGAAAATAATACATGTACAATGCTTGGGACGTGGTGAGCTCCCAAACTATGCTAGCTATGGTAAATAAAAATAACCCCACTAATAGTGACACAGCTGGTGTTAACAGTGTGATCTATGGTACATGGACACAGAAGAGATAGTTAACCTATTGAGTGGCTAAAATTGTGAGCTTGGTGTGAAAGATGAATGATCTATCCTGGTCCACTGATTTTCTATAGGTCTCCACAGCACTTGCTCACCCACCTCTTTACAAAGCATTTCTCCTCTCTCTAGCATTTCTCATTGTTATCTCTAACAAGTGATTTATTTTAAGTTCATCTTTTCTCATTTCCTGTGACCTGTTCAGAAGCTCATGTACATCTACCATTGTGAGCACCCAAATAGTTTGTTATCTCCTCACACAATACTTCATAGTCAGCTGATTCACTGGGGTTCGTTTTACTATGTAACCATCTACCATAAATACCTAGATTGTTTAAAAGGCCACACCGCCACTCACACACAAAAAGAAAGCTTTGCATATTACTGTAACCTCTTCACATGATTTACTAGTGTTAACACAGCTTTCTATGAAAAATGAAAGATAAAAGTTGTAGAGACCAAGGGAAAACTCCTTCAGCCTCTAAAGGTTCATGGAAAAATCAACTCACAAAAGGCAAATTAATTACAGAAACGGCATACAAATGTATTTAATGTGTACATGAGAGCCTTCAGAATGAAAACCCAAAGATGCAGGGGAAATTGTCCATTTATATGCTTCAGTTCAACAAAGTATGAACAGCCATACTCAAATAAGATTGGACAAAAAGTTTACTACCTAATGCTAATAGGTTGAGTGGGGAAGGTCTGTCTAGACTCTTCTTGGCCTCTCTGAGCATGCCTTTCTTCCTTCCGGGTATGGGGCAGGACTCTCTCTTGAATGGCGGGTGGGGGTCTTAAGACCTACAGTAAAACAATGTCAGTTAGATAATTTCTTTATGGCCAGTTTTTACACAGCAGGGCAGAGAGAAAGTTTGAGTAATATTTTTAGGTGTTATGGGGGGCTTTAGGGAAAAGAAGTTCTAGTTTCTACGACATGCCCTGGGGAAGAGGGATTCTCATTTCTATGGCTGGATGTAGGTGAATGGGGCTGAGAGACAGGAGGGCAGGAGAAAGTCAAAGAAGCTTTCACTTCTGAGACCTTCATTTTGAGGTATTTTTTTTTCCGAGTCCCAACAAAGTAAAGTGGGAATCCAGACAATTCTCCACAATTTCATGTAAAACAATAAGCGCAATGATTGTAATATACTGATCTACTTCTCAAATTTAAATGTCAAATGATACCACATCATTTTACTTTTTCAGATTCCATAATTAGTCCCCCTCCCATTTTTATATCTATAAACTCCTACTTGGCTATTTTCTTTGAACTGCTACAATGAAACCATACTCTAAGGGATAGAACAATTTTATCAACGTTTGTAATAATGAAAACTTTGAAAGCTTTAGTTTTACTTAATAATCAGTTAATAAAAAGCCATAAAGCTGTTAATACATTTTAGATTCAAGTAAAAATAGTAATGACTTTCAAAGAGCAACATTTCTGATTGGCAATATTAAATAGGAACAAATCATTGTGGTTTGAGATGTGTTTAATGCAGAAAGTCCTGTGTGCTCACCATGTATCACAATTAATGTTTTCTGGTAACTCTAATGGGCTCACAGGGATTTGGAAGTTTGGTAACTATCAGCACTTGAAACTTTTTCCTCTTTGTCCAATACTAGATAAATAAACCATTCTAGTTTAGGATATTGAATCATATAAATTCCTAAAGAGAATTAGTAGATTAAGAAGAGTCAATAAAGCAGAACCATCAGAAGTTCTCTAAATGGAAAGAAGTTATAAATACTACCTATTTCCTTGTTAATATCAGGTTACATAAAAAAATTATTCCTGAAAATAAAGTTGCTAAGCTTGATCAAGTAGACTTTCTTTTTTATAAGTAGATTAGACTTTTCAACCTAATGTTTTGAGGAAAACATCTCCAAAGGTCCTCTTAGAAGGTAGTTGGAAGGAGCCCTAGTAAAAGAAAAATCTATAAAGCTTACAGATAAAAATCAGCTTAAATTGTGTCCATCCATGAATGTCAATTTCTATTACAGGGCAGAATTTAATTAATTTTGTTTCATTTAATAAATATTCTCCTATGGTATACAATTCCTTACTAGACACTATATCAGATTTCTAAGTAGTTCAAAGTATTAAGGATTACTTATGACTGGAACATGTTATCAATGTACATATTAAATTTTCTCCTCCTTCTAAATTACACATTTTATTTTTTTTATTATACTTTAAGTTTTAGGGTACACGTGCACAACGTGCAGGTTAGCTACATATGTATACATGTGCCATGTTGGTGTGCTGCACCCATTAACTCGTCATTTAACATTAGGTATATCTCCTAATGCTATCCCTCCCCCTCCCCCCACCCCACAACAGGCCCCAGTGTGTGATGTCCCCCTTCCTGTGTCCATGTGTTCTCATTGTTCAATTCCCACCTATGAGTGAGAGCATGCGGTGTTTGGTTTTTTGTCCTTGCGATAGTTTGCTGAGAATGATGGTTTCCAGCTTCATCCATGTCCCTACAAAGGACATGAACTCATCATTTTTTATGGCTTTATAGTATTCCATGGTGTATATTTGCTACATTTTCTTAATCCAGTCTCTCACTGTTGGACATTTGGCTTGGTTCCAAGTCTTTGCTATTGTGAATAGTGCTGCAATAAACATACGATAAATTACACATTTTAAGTGCTCTAGGTTCAATTGGCTCTGAGCATGGTAAACAAACTGCAGTCACTAAAGAATCTCCAAAGGCTTATCTAATACCAGTCAAAGTTATAGATTCTATTTGGAAGGCTTTTTCATCCTACAAAGAGGATGAGGTCTTATTCGTTGTCCCCAACACCTCGCTTTTTGAGTGTTCGCACAGTGTTTGGCACTCAGTGGCACTCAATAACTGTTTGCTGAAAAAAATAAATCAATGAGTATTTAGAGACCCAAATATATATAAGGAAATCTAATACTCGAGTAAATATACCAATAGACACAAGATATAGGTGGGGAAAAAGACTATGTGTTGCTACAATTTCAGGGTAATTACATACATACAATCATTCAAGAATTTCAAACTTAAAATGTATTCAACTACACCAAGTTAACCTTCTCAATAATATGTTCCCTTCTGTTCCACAAATTATTCTTAATTTGATTTTTTTTAAAAATCACACTATCAATTCAGGTAACATTTTTACAAATAAAATGTTTTGATTTTTAAGAAGAAGAATAATGACTACAAAGCTATGTATATTGTCAAATCAAATAAATTTATCATGCACCTGAAACTTGCACCAAGGAAAGGAATTCTAAAAAAGTGACTCCCCAGTTCTCCCACTGAGACAGGAGTTAAAAAGATTTAAGACACTGACAGTTAAATCAATCTCAGTGATCTCTTTTACTGGGGGAAAGTACTGATTTGATTTATAAAAGTTTAATTTCAAATTAAAACAGCTGTTAATATCCTTTACCAACCATTATTTTGTTATACGTGGCAGGAAAATAAGCAGATGAGGTCATCTGCCTAGACTGAGGTGTTGTGATTATTTACAGCCCTAATTTTTGTTCAGTAATTGGTAGGTACAGTTCTAATTCTTGCTAATGACTACGATATATTGCTCAGGCAAATTAGAGGAATAGAATGTTCTGTTACTTTAGCAGTATTGGTAAAAAGTGACACAATAAAAATGAGTACTCGTTGAATTAAATGCCTTCAACAACATCATAATTCACCCCAAAGATGCTAATACTAAAAACACATCCTGCCCCCATGAAGTGGACTTCAGTAGAATGGAATTTCTGTATTTATTTAGCATTGGCTTCTATCACTAATTACCCCTTCTTTAATGTAATTTTGGGGCATAACGTAGTAAGTGGTTCATGATCACTAATTAAATGCCTACTATCTGTGAGAAAACATATTTTAAATTGTTCTCTTGAAATAAAAATGAAAATACTCAAAAGAAAATTCTTTCTTAAAGGTCTCAGAAAGAAAGCAGGATTTTTTAAAAGTTAATTCATGACAACAGATAGATCATAAATTGTAAAATTATAAAGCCATTTTTACTGGAATAGAAGAGGATTAGCAGCTAAGGAAATACAGTCACGGGCATGGTAAGATATACAGGTACTTTCTAAGTTGCTTCATTTGAGTCACGTGGGAATTCCAAATTGAATCATATGGGAAGTTAGGTCAGAGAACATTCTTACTCCAGGAGTTTTTCAAGGATAATAGCTGAGACCTGCTTATATATAGGCCATAATGCAGCTATTTAAAGTAAATAAAGTCTTCAATTCCTAAAGTGGCAGATTCCATACCAAGTTCTAATGTACCCAGCCACTCACAGCTAAAGCCACAAACAAATGAAATCAATAAAATCAGGCAGTAAAGCCAACATCTGGGGTTGCTGTTCATTGCCTAAAAGTGTCAATGTGGGTTTTAATTAGCTGGAGTAAGAAGAATAAGAGTTGAATAAAATCAACTTAAATTAGAAGACACACACCTGTGATGCAAATATTTTATTCTGTTAAATCTTGTTTATTATACTACTTATCACATTTATCTCAGATGCTGATACAAAATGCTATGCAACAGGCTTTGAAAACTGTAATGTACCATACACATGCAGGGCCACTACCTACGGATGCTCAGGATGCGCAGTTCATTGCAGTGCCACATCTAAGGGAGGGTCCATAGTAGACACTGTAGATATCATGAATTTTTCAGGGTGATCAAAGTTAAATGTCTCAGTCTAACAAGAATTTCTGACAAAGGTGAAGTGTGAGTAAGCAATGACCCTGTAAGATATTATTTTTAACCCAAAATTTATATTATCTCAGCAAAGAGGTTTCTGGAGGAAGCAAACACAGTTGAAATTATAGCATTTTTTTTCTTTTCTCTCTAAAATATTATTAGATGCTCATTTAAGGCAAACACCACAATGCAGTACAGCATCATAGCCTAACAGAGCATTATCGCCTACCTAGCTCTATGGCTAAGCATTTAAGAGGTCAGACCATCATTCTACAAAGCTAGCTGTTTCTGAATTATATACATACAGTAAACCCAGTAAATTCTGTGGGCTTGAAATCACTAATGCCATAAAAAGGTCTGTTAATTGAAGGTGATTTTATGGGTATACCATGGAGATGGATAAAATATTTTATAAGTCCAAAAATGGCAGCGATTTTAGAAGCACTGTAAGAAAAGGCAAATCAATATTTGGACTTTGCGTCTTTCTTTGTGAGGACAAAGCATGGCATCCTCCAGGTTGAAAGGGGTTTAATGCAATCCAGTTGTCACTTGGTAGTTGGATGACCAATGATGCTGTATCAAGGGTTCAGTGCTGGGCCGGGCGTGGCAGCTCACGCCTGTAATCCCAGCACTTTGGGAGGCCGAGGCAGGAAGAACACCTGAGGTCAGGAGTTCAAGACCAGCCTGGCCAATGTGGTGAAACCCCGTCTTTACTAAAAATACAAAAAGTAGCCAGGCATAGTGGCAGGTGCCTGTAATCCCAGCTACTTGGGAGGCTGAGGCAGGAGAATCGCTTCAACCCGGGAGGCAGAGGTTGCAGTGAGCCAAGACTGCACCATTGCACTCCAGCCTGGGCAACAAGAATGAAACGCTGTCTCAAAAAAAAAAAAAAAAAAAAAAAAAAAAGAGTTCAGTGCTGGTCCCTGATCCTAGCAAATTAAATAGTCAGCAACTTGTTGAAGTCAGATCAGCTTTGTAGAGGAAAAACCCATATTGTTGAGCTTTGTATGACCTCTAGTCAGTCACCACAGCCACATTGTACGTGGACTCTCTGACCAAGCAACAGGGTAGCTGGAAAAAGTTGACTGACATTCACAGAATGAGTCATTTGACCACCTGAAAACTGAGTGTCCCATTTACTGTGAATCTCTTTGGTAGGCATTAATGTGAGACAGGAATATCCTCACACTCCATGACAGTTCCAAGAGGTGTCCTCCAGATCCTCTTTGTCACCAACTTCACAAATATTTTCTTTCCAACTCCCTGACCAGCCAATCAGTTTGCTAGGGACCATCCATGAATTACTGCATATTGATACCTTAGGACATCTTTACTTCTATAGGAAATTAACAACTAGATGTAGTGCTCAGAGTTCAGCCCACTGGAAGGATTTCCCTTCCCACTGTCTTTCACGGTCCTCCCTGCATAGGTTACACCTATCCCCTATAGCTGGTTTCAGTATACTATGCAATCCATCCATAAATGGACCACATATTTTCCTTCTCTGTTAACATATCATAGGAAATTCCCCACGAAGCCATAGATATGGACTGAAGAAGAGGCAGAGAAATAGTAGAATCAAGTACCATGGGAGTGTAAATCACCTGCTTGTGCAGTTTACTTGGTGGGCATTCTGGGTCTCTCAGGCTGCTCTTAATATGCCACATCTGATTACTACTGGAATGCTCTTAGGCACATCCTATTTTAAGGTTCACTGGATTCGATAACACCTTGTTCATTATGGACAGGTCAGGTCACATACTTTGCATCCTGCGGTCATGTAGGGTCCAGAAGCAAGCCAGAAAAACTGCTTTTTAAATGGAAAATAGTTGTTGGCAGATAAGAAATCTGGCCATGATTCTCCTTTGAGGTTTCTTCCAGAAACTCCAAATAGTAATTCTGTCTATCGCATACATTTCTAGTACATTGAGCCTGCTGGGCCATAAAATTAATGAGGCATAACAGTCATTGGAATGGTAAGATGTACAAGTACTTTTTAAGTTGGCTTCATCTGAGTCACATGGGAATCCCAAACTGAATCATATCGGAAGTTAAGTCAAAGATGATTTTTACTCCAGGAGTTTTTCAAGGATAACAGCTGAGACCATCTTATAGATAGGCTGTAATGCAGACAGGACCTAAGGACCTAATGCAGAGACCTTCCTTTCTCCTGGATTCACTCAAACTGCCAGCCTTAGCATTTATCCAGTAAATGGTCAGCAGTAGCCCATCCGAAGGTAATATGTATTGCATTCAAAATCCGAAGTGTCTCACCAAGCATTGTGCTTGATGGTGGATGGGGTTCAAGGTTCAGGTTTAATAATCTGTTTTTCACTTTAGAATAACCTGCTTTAGTGTCACTCTAATCCTAGAAACTTCACTGATGTGGTTAGCCCTTCAAATTTTACAGGATTTATCTCCCACACTCCAACATGCATATATCTAAAGTTACTATAGTACTTGCTTCTTCCTGCCTGTTAGGCCGAATTAGCATAACGCTAACAATTTAATAGTATATTTGATGTTCTATTGGGTATAAAAGAAACCAAAGTCCCTCTAGATTATGAGTGATCAGCTAGGTGTTACTTATGGTAAACCTGTAAAGATATACTGTTGTCCCTGCCATGTAAATGCAAACTACTTCTGATTTTTTCATATCAATGTTAATGGAAAATAAAACAACTTCTAAAGGGCTGTGCTAGTTAGTTCCCATAAATGTTGCACAACTGGAACTATATGTGCAAATAGCATCACAACCTACTTAAGTCTGCAAAAATATACTCTCATGCTCCATGACCCACATGTTTTGCATCAGCCAAACAGTCAAATTAAACAAATATGTAGTAGGAATAGTCACTCTTCATATGTTGCATTTTTTTTTTTTAGACGAAGTCTTGCTCTGTTGCCAGGCTGGAGTGCAGTAGTGCGATCTCCTGGGTTCAAGTGATTTTCCTGTCTCAGCCTCCCAAGTAGCTGGGACTACAAGCACGCACCACCACACCCAGCTAATTTTTGTATTTTTAGTAGAGATGGAGTTTCACCATGTTGGCCAGGATGGTCTCGATCTCTTGACCTCATGATCCACTCGCCTTAGTTATATCTTTTATGGTGGTACTAATCTCTGACATTCCCTCAGGAATGTGATGTTACTTTTGGTTTACTACCTCAGCTAGGTGAAAAATGTCATTCCAGGAGCTTCTGCTTGGCCCTTTCTTATCATAATAGCCTTCATTACATGGATCAAGAAACCAACGTGTTGATTCCACCAGTTACTAATTATATCTATTCTCATTATATATTCTGAGACTAAGAAATGCTGTTAGATTTAGAATATGATCAAGATCTACGTAAATCTCTACTCTGACTTTTAAATACTATGGTGGCATTTAGAGTCTCTGGGGATCAGAATGAATTTAAAGCCAGAATCGAATAACTCAGAAGTTCTGAGTATTATTTCCTTTTCTCCCGTGTAAAGTCACCCTGGTAGAAGGCTGTAGGATTCTTTATATTGTGAAGATTTCTCTTTCCCACTGGCTTTCAGGGTCATCCCCATATGGGGTTTTAGTGCAGCACCTATCCAATTACAGCTGGTCTCAGTATGCCATAAAGATTCATCCATAAATCAGGACCACACAGTTTCCTCCTCTATTATTATAGAAATATGTTTAGAGATGGCTTGGAAAAAATGCAAAATATACAGCCATTGCTACATTGCAAGGCCCTTTTACAAAGAGACCTGACCTTTTCCTCAATTGAAAGGACCTAATATATAAATTGGCATACATCTGAAAACACTAAGTTAAATTGTTTCTGCCCACAAGACTTGACATAAGGCAGAATTTTTCTGCCTATATATGTAAGACAGTACATTGGAAGGCTGCACATGTATTTCATTCTTAGAACTACATCATCAGTTAGCTATTGCTTTAGATTAATGGTTCTCGAAGTGTCATGTCCAGGCCAGCAGCATCAGCATTACCTAGGAATTTGTTAGAAATAAAAATTTTTAGACTCCACTTCAGACCTATTGAATTAGAAATTCTGGAGGTGGGGCCCAGCAACCTGGGTTTTAGCAAGCCCCCAACATAAGTCTGACACACAGTGAGGTTAAAAAACCGCTCCCCCCACAAAAAATACAGAAAAGAAAATCATTCCCATAGATGCTTACAGGTCAAAACTCCATCCCTGTGGCTTGTTGTAATTTCAAACACCTCGTTTGTAATGATTAAGGGCCACCAGCTGGTCTCCATCACTGTCAAACCATCATGAATCCTACTGGATCAGGAAACTCAGTTCCATTATGGCATAACCTACAGTCATCTCCTTCCTACAGAGGACAGCAACCACAGAGCTATTTAACAATGCTGTTATCCCCCTCACCAATGCATATTATAGTGCTTTCATCAAAACAGCATCCTCTGGCCTTCCTAGGGAGTACGGTTAGGAGTTGGCTGATCCATTCTAGCATTTCCGTTTCCCCAAGCCTGTGAATTCCTTCCTCTAGAGTAGGTCAGGTAATCTCAAACATTTCTACCTTATTGACTATAGGTCATCATTGAGTTCAGGCTTCAATTAATATATTCATAGACTATTAATGCCTCTCCCAAGTGCTCAGACCAACATATTAAACCCTAAATTCCAGGTGAGTACACCAATGTCAACAATTTAGCCTGATGAACATTAGCATTCACTCCCCATGTATGCCAATACAGACTGGTGGGGTCTTGACCTTCTTGACCTCTTTCAGTGTATAAACTGTTTCTCCTGGACCAGGCCTTGTACCTTCCCATCTGGGCTATGTTGAGTCAATAAGAGGTGGCAAAGATTGGTCCTGAGGTTAATCAGCATCTGCCTGTGAGACAGGTAAGAATTTTTTTATGTACAATATTTTTTATTTAAGTTTTAAAATAAATTTTATTGTATAAATTTAAGGTATACAACATGATGTTATGGTATGTTTTGTAGCAAAAGTAAAATACTTTTATACACTGAGTAGCCAAATCCCTTAGTGAGCCAGGAGGAGTTAGATTTAGGGCCAGAGGCTCCTCAGCCATACCTGGTCTGAATCTGGAAGAGATGGGAAACTCTTTCAAGTCTGCAGTGGAGAGCTTCGTTTGTCCACACATGTCCTTAATTGTATGTGCCTAGTTTTTAAATTACTCCTTTTTTCTATTTAACTTCCTGAGAGACATAAGAAGAAGCCAGGGACTCCACAATCTTTACAATTATTAAAAACCACAATGAGACATCTCACCTCATACCTGTTAGAATGGTTTTTATCAAAAAGATGGAAGATAAGTATAGGAGAGAATGTGGAGAAAAGGCAACCCTTGTACACTGTGGTGGGAAGGTCAATTAGTACAGCCATTATAGAAAACAGCATGGAGAGTCCTCAAAAAACTAAAAATAGAGCTATCATATCATCCAGCAATCCCACTACTGGGTATGTATTCAAAAGAAATGAAATCAGCATGTCAAAGAAATATCTGCACTCCCATGTTCATAGCAGCATTATTCACAATAGCCAAGATATAGAATCAACCTAAGTGTCCATCAACAGATAAATGAAGAAAAAGTGGTATATATATATATAAGGAATGCAATTTTGCCTTTAAACATAAGAAAATCCTGGCTGGGCATGGTGGCTCACGCCTGTAATCCCAGCACTTTGGGAGGCCAAGGCGGGTGGATCACGAGGTCAGGAGATGGAGACCATCCTGGCTAACACGGTGAAACCCCGTCTCTACTAAAAATACACAAAAATTAGCTGGGGGTGGTGGTGGGCGCCTGTAGTCCCAGCTAATCGGGAGGCTGAGGCAGGAGAATGGCGTGAACCCGGGAGGCGGAGCTTGCAGTGAGCGGAGATCGCGCCACTGCACCCCAGCCTGGGCGACAGAGCGAGACTCGTCAAGAAAGAAAAAAGAAAGAAAGAAAGAACGAAAGAACGAAAGAAAGAAAGAAAGAAAGAAAGAAAGAAAGAAAGAAAGAAAGAAAGAAAGAAAGAAAGAAAGAAAGAAAGAAAGAAAGAAAGAAAGAAAGAAAATCCTTTCATTTGCAACAATAGGGTGAACCTGGAGGACATTATGTTAGGTGAAATAAGCCAGGGCACAGAAAGACAAATACCAAATGATCTCATTTATATGTGGAATCTAAAAAAGTTGAACTCACAGAAGCAGAGAGTACAATGAGAGTACGATGGTAGTTACGAGGGGCTGGAGGAATGGGGGATTGGGGAGATGTTGGTTAAACAATTCAAAATTTCAGTTCAATAGGAAGAATAAGTCAAGAGATCTATTGTACAATATGGTGACTACAATTAATAAGAATGTATTGTATTATGTAAATCAATAAGAAAATAGATTTTAAGTGTTCTCACCACAAAAATGATAAGTATGTGAGGTAATGCATGTATCAATTCGCTTGACTGAGCCATTCTGCAATGTATACATATTTAAAAATGTAATGTTTATACAATAAATATAAACAATTGTTGTCAATTAAAATAAAATAAAATGGTAAATAAGTTATCACTGACATACAATTAAGAACCACAGCCACTTGACCTCCAATAATCTATCTTCCATGTACACTTCATCCCCATGTTACCACCAGTGATAATCTGAGTAATTATGCCACCTCCTGCCATAAACTGCCCATGTCCCATTTTCTTCCGCTGTACACTTTGAATACATGACAAAACTAATTCCGGAATTTCATTTTTGGTTCTGTTGACTAGGAACATTTTTGGTAAAGTGGGAAAGAGTACTAGGCAGGGTGCCAGCATTAAACAGATGGTATAACCAAATTAGAATAATTGAAAAAGGATTGAATAAAAGGACAATTTAATAAAGCTATAGGCAAGGGACAAGGAAAACATAGGCTCTTTAAATGTGGTCTCTGAACCAGCAGCACCAACATCACCTGGGAACCTGTCAGAAATGCAAATTTTGGACCTCACCCGAGACCTATTAAATTAGAAATCCTGGGAGTGAGGCCTAACCATCTGTATTGTAATAAACTCATCCAGGTGATTCTAATGTGCACCAATGTTTGAGAACCACTGACATAAGGTATAATGCAGTAACCAAGTGCTAATAGCTGTGAAGCTGTTACCAATCCTAGGTCCAAAGAGACAAGAGAACAGATCCGTATTTGAAACCAGAGAAAGCCATAGAGACAACCACCTTGAGAGAATCAGTGACCTTTGGTCAAGAGACCCAGGCTACCCTAGGAAACCCAATAACAAGGGGATAATATAATAAATAACAAAGTCTCATTTTCTCCCTTCTTCCAGTTGTCAACCTGGACTCCCAAGTGGCCAAATTCAACCAGAATCTAGAAGGCGAGGGAACCAGATAATTTTGTACATTACAGCCTTCCAGGCTGAAGAAGAAAGATGTATCTGAAGGAACAAATAGAGGAGATCCGGCATGCAGGCCTAATTTGCTTTTGTTAACACACCCAAGTTTTGATAAAACTCCAAAACATGTATTTAAGGAAGCTAGAAATTTAAAATATTTTGCAATTTCCATGGCAAGAATGGTTTCTCAGGAATGGTCATTTACTATTTAAGCTAATAACTAGATTCCAATAAGAAAGTTCTTTTATGGTTAGTGACCAACCCCTTTTCTTGTTCCCTATAATACAGTATATTGTAGATATTAAAGAAATGTCAGGGATTGTTACTATTATTCATTTTATAATCACCTCCTTTCCCCTATTTAGATATTTAAGTCTCTCCTTGTTTCCATGCCGCATCTGCTAAGTGAGGATCTAACCTGTCACTGAATTCTCCTAGGATTTCTGTTCATATCAGAACCCTTCCCTCTTCTGAATGCCATAATCTAAGCTCCATTCACCCACAAGCTACAACCTACTGACTTACTTAATTCCTTTCTCTTTTATAAGCTATATTTCTTTATTTGCATTTAATCCTATGTACCGTTTTGGGCTTACTCTTGCTTTCAGCTAGACAAACTGCTCTAGCCTCCTCCTTGTTCTTAGTTCTATACTACACTTTAACATTCGCATTGCCTTGATGCTTGAGATGTAAACATATATAATGTGGAGTTGGGCAAAATTAAGGGTCTGCATCCCCATTATTGACTTTTAGACAGCACCACTTCACCGTGCCCCTATCTCCATCTATTTCTATTATACAATGCTTGTATCCATCTATTCAGAATTTGTCTGAATGTGAAGTCTCAGCCATCCTTGTCAAACCCATCTCTCCATAGGCACTTCACTATATAGGACAAGTACATACACAAGAATAAGAAGCCTTGTTTATAATTATAGACTGCTTTACCACACACATTCTCATCAATGTTTCATCTTTCACGACACTGATAACTTGAATTAGAAAGGATTCTGGACAGTCAGCAGAAACTTGTTTTAAACTGAGCTTTGTTAGAAAATAAAAGTAAGACTGAAATAAATATTATCTGATTATTATGAATGTGTCCCTCAAATGTGTCCTGCAAATTTACCTCTTGGCTTTCTCTGAAATGAAAGAAATCTATTTACAACTATTTTTGGTTTTTTTTCTACTAAATAAAATAAAAGGTGTATCTTTTGAGGTGTTGGAAGGATCAGCTAACCAATCTCACCCAATCATTACTTGGTATCTGCTACGTGTCTGACGTTATGCTAGTTGCTATTGACTCAAAGGAAAAAGGAAAATTGTCCTCTGCCTTCAAAGGGAAACAAAAAATAAGCAGGTAGTTATAGTTATTAGTATTTCATCAAGGTACAAAGCAGGTTATGTACTCTAGACTCTGTGATCAGAGAAAGGCTTTCTGGAGGAGACATCCCAGAACTATGACCTAAAGAGTATAGTAAGTCAAGCAGAAGGAGTGAGGATAAGGGAAGAGGAGGAGGTACAAAGAAGAAGCTATATATAAAAAGGTATAAAGGCATTAGAAAATGTGAGGTATTAGGCTGGGTGCGGTGGCTCATGCCTGTAATCCCAGCACTTTGGGAGGCCGAGGTGGGCGGATCACGAAGTCAGGAGATCAAGACCATCCTTGCTAACACAGTGAAACCCCGTCTCTACTAAAAATACAAAAAATTAGCAGGGAGTGGTGGGGGGCGCCCGTAGTCCCAGCTACGTGGGAGGCTGAGGCAGGAGAATGGTGTGAACCCGGGAGGTGGAGCTTGCAGTGAGCCGAGATCGCGCCACTGCACTCCAGCCTGGGTGACAGAGCGAGACTCCACGTTAGTGGGTGCAGCGCACCAGCATGGCACATGTATACATATGTAACTAACCTGCGCAATGTGCACATGTACCCTAAAACTTAGAGTATAATAAAAAAAAAAAATTAAAAAAAAAAAAAAGAGAGAGAGACAATGGGAGGTATTAAAGTAAAAAGTGAAAAGTGAAGAGGAAAAGTCTAGATAGGTATGTAGGGGAGAAATAAAGAAGGGTCTTGTACCCTATGCTAACTATGCTAAAATCTATAGAGAATCATGGAAGAATTTTAAATCAGGGAGTTGAAGAGTAATATTTTCCTTTTTAAAAGGTCACAATGTGAATTGTAAAAAAATAAATAAATAAATAAAGCTAGATTGGAGGGGCAAGACTAGAAGTGGGGAGATAAGTTAGGATACCATTACAGTTAAAAAAAGAAAAAAGGATGAACCTGCACTAGAGTGGTAGATGTGAAAGTGGAGGGAAGTAGCTTCATTTGAGAGATTAGGGAAGCAGACTCAATAGGACCTGGTGACTATCTGGTTGAGTAGCTAGAAGAGATATCAGTGGATGCTAATACAGGACTGAGCTCAGAAAGAAAAATAAGCAAAGGTGACCAAAACAGAATGATCAGAAAACACAAGAAAAACTATTATGGCATTTCACACCCAAAACAAGCGTTTGAGGAGATATTGGTCTATGGTATAGGTTGAGTAAATGAGGTCTGAAAAAGAATCAGTGTGCTTGACAAGTAGGAAGTCAGTGAAATTTGCCAGAGGAGTTTCAGAAGTGGGGTGGAACTAGAAGTCAAATAAGCAAAGTGAGGAGAAAATAGGAGGTGAAGAAACAGATAAAGCAGGTGCAAATTTCTCTTTTAAAAAAGCTTAACAGTCAGGGATAGAAAGAACTGATAGCAAAAAAAAAATTATAGAGCCCAGGGAAAGTGGTGGCCTTTTAATTTTTTTAGATGGGAGGAACTGGAACCTTCATCAGAACGAGCTAATAAAAGATAAAGTTTGGGAAAAATAGGATTGTATTCTTCTTATACCAGACATTGGGGTATATTGAGTAAGAGACACTACTGACACAAAATGTCTTTTAAATAATATGTTGGAATAAACTCCCAAAAGCATGAACAATATTCCAATAAAGTTATGCAAGTTGCAAGATAGGTGATTGAAGAAGAGCTCTTTATTAATCAAAGAAAACTCTCAGGTACACACTGCCTGACATCCTTAAATGGTAACATGTAGCTAAAGATGACATCCAGGAACCTTAATTAATAAAACCAGGACCATAAACCTCAGGAACAAGAGTTGGAAAGAAGTTTTACAGAGGAAGTTTCAAAAATGGCAATGAGTGGCCGGAAAAAGAGGAAAAATCAGCATGCGTGTGCTGATGATATTTTACCAGCTAATAGCTCCTCAGAATTTCTTCTCCATCAGTCTCCCACAACCCCAGATCATCACACTGCATTGGACCATTTTCTTGATAGCTTTGGCTCTGAGCCTCTCTAGAGCCCTCTGCTGGTGGATTTTTTTAAAAAAAAATACAAGGATTAAGGATTTTACCTGACTTCTAGATCCCATCCATCCAAGGTAAAACCCTTCACATATCTGGCTTTCCTGGGAAGAGTATTCCAGAGGAAACACTATTTCCACTTTAATGTAAGTGTTCATGGGAAGTGAAAGTAAACATTTTGCACACAGAGAAAACCTATCAAAGACTCAGAGCAGGAGATAAAAAGGAAGGAAGATACAAAAAAATGTAAAAATCAAGAAGGGAAAGTTATGCATTGTGGGTGACTGCAGGTTCTGGAAACAATCTACCTGAATTCAAACTCTGGCATTATGCTTTAACAGACACATGGCTGTTAACAAGTTGCTTAGTATTTTTGGACTTCATTTTCCTCATCAGGAAAGTATGGAAAAAAATATCTTTTATTATGTTGATTAAATAATTAATAAATGCAAAAAAATGCAAATGGATTCTATTGCTACATTTTCGGTTCTCTCTTCAGTGTCTTATAGAAAAGTAAAGGAAATCAACTTGTCAACTAGCAGAAAGCAGTATCTAATAACTGATCAAATTATACGGGCAGTAATGCTAATTGATTAAAAGTCATAGCATATCGTCATATACTGAGTTCCAACAGATGGCATGAAAAGCCTTTGCAGTCCTGAATCTCTGCCTTCTATACAACATGCTACTGATTAATTGTTTGTTTGTTTGTTTGTTTGGTTGGTTGGTTGTTTTTACCTCAGCAACTAAATATCCCATTCATATAAACCACAGCACTAGTATCAGAGACCCATTCAGTGCTTGTCTAGTCTAATTTCATGAAGGAAAACATCATGCTTATTTGAAGACTATCCTTGAAAAGCTACAGTGGTTAATTTCAGTATTCTAGATATGTCAGTATCAGATATTGAGTCCTGCTTTGCCTATCACCTCTTTCTAAGACTGAGTGTACAACCTATACCCCCAAACCTCAGACTGTGCTCCAAGCATCTCAAAGTGGCCATTAGGTGACCAGTACATTAATTCTCGTGTACATTAAATTCTGTACAATGGGTGGAAGTGGTAAGTGGCTAGGTAAATCAGATTTCATCACTCGGGACCTATAAAGGAAAAATATGGATGAAATTAACCAGTGGAATTAGGAATTAACACACAAAAAGAAAGAGTCTTATTAATGGTAGAGTGCTAGAGTCAAGATCCATGAAACTACCACTAAGAGGAATAACATTATCTGGTCCCCATTCTCAGAAGGTCCTGTGGGATTCTGCTACTCTACCCTACATGTGTTCTCATAAAACTCCAATCATTCATGTTCTCCATGACAGGAAATTGCCAAACTAGCACATTATAGCATTTAATTATCATTCCTTCCCCTCTTTTGGCCTACATACTTACTGGATCATCCTTTCAACATTCAAGAGACTAAATTACAGAATTACATTGATATGGCTTAGCTGTGTCCCCACCCAAATCTCGAGTTGTAGCTCCCATAATACCCATGTGTCATCGGAGGGACCCGGGGGGGAAGTAATTGAATCATGGGAGTGAGTTTTTTCCTTGCTGTTCTTGTGATAGTGAATAAGTCTAATGAGATCTGATAGTTTCATAAAGGGCAGTTTCCCTGCACATGCTCTCTTGCCTGCCACCATGTAAGACATGACTTTGCTCCTCCTTCACCTTCTGCCATGATTGTAAGACTTCCCCAGCCATGTGGAACTGTGAGTCCATTAAATCTCTCTTTCTTTATAAATTACCCCATCTTGGGCATTTCTTCATAGCAGTATGAAAATAGACTAATACATACATCTTTGAGACATTTTTTTTCTAGCCTAAATGTTAAGTGGTATATGCATAATGAGTATGGAAAGACTTCATTAATTAAACATTCCATTTAAGAGGACTGAGCATAATATTCAAAGGAAAGAAAGAATTCTAGGATTCAATCAAACTATTTAAGTACTAAAGTTCACTTAGAGACCCAGTTAATCAATCCCTCATTTGAAAGTTAAGGACATTGGGAGCCAGGAAGTAAGTCACTAGGAACTGAGAGACCTGTCAAAAATGACACAGCTATTTAGAGGCAAAGGCAAAACCAGAATCAGAGGTACAAATTCCTACTTCAAAACTTTTTTTTTCCTATTAGTGAATTTTAATTCTCAAAAAGTTTACTTCTACTCTTGGTCTGAAGTGACTTTTTAACCTCTTAACCTTAATTCCAACATCTTTGAAAGGTGCTCATATAATTGTGACTGCTGAGAGGATGTTACTTCATTTTGTGAAAAACTTTGAAGATAAATAGCACCATTACAATTATGACTCATCTCAAAAAGTTTAACATTTCAACCTTTGCTTCTTATTGTCTTTTTATGCAACATGATTAATGCACTCTATTTTTTTGTGGCTGTCACAAGAGCCACAAAATCTCTCACTTCCTTTATTGTGACTCAGTTTGAAAAAAATATGCACAAACTTTTTCTTGAGTGCTTGCTTACATAAATTTACCAAGTAAAAAAATTATACTACTCACTCACCATCATCAAGTGAAATACTATGTCATCTTACAGCAGCATCTCCTGGCTGATGTTTGTGGCAAGTCTAAAGAGCTTCATAAACCTTTCCTACATTTCACTCTGTAGGAAAAGGTATGGGAGGTGGAAGTATGATTGTAAGATAAAAGAGAATTAAGGAGAAAAAATGATGTGGACATGGATGAGAAGCCTGGGAGACAATAGAAGAGGCACAAAGAGAGAAATGAAGGGAGCTAATAAGAATAAGTGTGTGTATACAGGTGTGTGTGTTGATGTGTACATGTGTGTTTGTGTGCAGCTGGTCACAGAAATACAGTCAGAAAGAAGTCGTTATTATGTTGTTTTGACTGATCTGTTGCAGAACAGGAACTGTGATGAAAACAGCAGCAAACAGGGTCAACTTACTATTGATCAATATACCACAATTATAATAAGTAGTTCTAAATTAATCCAAGGCTATTTCAGAAATCCCAAATAGAACAAAAAAATGAAATTCTACCCTTATTAATCATACCATTGCCGGCCAAAAGGAGCAGAATTATACTCCTGAGAGTATTCTGAAAATGTCAGTGCAACATTGTTCTGTACCAAGAACTGTTAGCCTGCAAATGTATCCTTCCTTTAAAAAAAATTGCCACCAAAAGTAGATATTAAAGGAGCAACTAAATAGATGTTTCTATTTACCCAAACAAGCTCCAGAGGAACTTACGTGAAGTGTCTTAGGCAGAATAAAGCTATACGTTACTCAGAATAAATAAATAACCAAGAATGTTATTTCTTGCACAGTTCAGAGTGATAGAAGGGTTAAATAAGTAGGTGGAGATAAGGGAAGGCAAAGCTTAAAGGCTCACACCTTGGAAGATATTTAAGTAGGAAAGCATATTGCAAAGTTCATAAGATTGTTCTCCTAGTCTATTTTACCACTGTAAACCCTCTATTTAAGTATCTAGCTGTATGCATCTTCCGACATCTAAACCCAATTAAATGCCAACTGAAATAGCCTTAAATTACTACCCCTAAGTAATTCCCTCCTACTTCCATAAATAAAACAAGGAAAGTAAACAGCACTAAAACCAGCTGTGATGTCCTTCACACACACACACAAAAAAACTTCTTTTTAAAAGCAAAGTTTTCTGAGATATTAAATTTGTAAGAGGAAAAAATCAACACAGACTCATTCATTCCCCAAATGTGCTCACAATTTTTAAAGTTTTAATATTACCATATTAGTCCGTTCTCATGCTGCTATAAGGACATACCTGAGACTGGGCAATTTATAAAGGAAAGAAATTAAATTGACTCACAGTTTCACATGGCTGGGAAGGCCTCAGGAAACTTACAATCATGGCAGAAGGCAAAGCAAACACATCCTTCTTCACATGGTGACAGGAGAGAGAAGTGAAAGCAAAGCAGGGGAAAAGCCCCTTATAAAACCATCAATCTTGTAAGAAGTCACGGACTGGCACAAGAACAGCATGAGGGTAACTGCCCCCATGATTCAATACCTCCCACCGGGTCCCTCCCACCACACATGGGGATTATGGAAACTATAATTCAAGATGAGACTTGTGTGGGGACACAGGGGACATAGCCAAAACATATCAACCACTTTATTCTTACTCCTAGTTATTATAAATTACTGTATTTTATAATAAAGATAATTTGTGAAAATGAGCTTAACTGTCATCTTTTGTTTTACTTTTCCCCAGTTTCATACACAATATCCAGGTGCCACAGAAAAGGTAACTAGTATAAAGGAATTTACAAAATTATAATTTATGAGGTTTATTCTGTACCTTCTGCGCCTTAAAAGAGGTGATACTATTGAAATTTGGAGGTGAAAAGATTTTGACTCTGGAAAAAACTGAAGCCTTTTAGGGAACCACTTGTGGCCAAAGTCTACAGTAGACTTATATAGCAGAAAATGAATTAATAATGGTATTTGAAGAGGAAGAATGAAGCAAGAGGAGTGAGGGGTATTGGAAAAAGAAGCAAAAAAGTGAGACAGATAAAGGAAGAATGAGAGCAGCTTCCAAGCTCTATAAAGGATCATGGAAGGAGGGGGGTTGGGAATCTAATAGGTAACTTTAAACAAGAAAAATGGTATTAAAACCAAATACCTGAAAAACTAATTGATAGTGACCAAAAGCAGATCTGTGGTTGCCTGTGGCTGGGGATTGAGAAGGGAGCTTGCCTATAAAAAGGCAGACAGAAATTTCTAGAGTGATAGAAATCTTATATTTCAATTATGGTTGTGGTTACCTGAATGGCTACATTTCTCAAAACTCAATCAACCATTAAAATGGGTGCATTTTATTGTATTCAAATCATACCTCAATAAAGTTGATTTTAAAAATTGAATGTTTAGTAAAGCACACTCACAGACATATATTTAAGTGTATAGAAGAAAGAGAACACCAAAAAGGCTGCTAAAAAGAAACTTGCACGAATAAATAAAGCAAGGAAAGCATAAAACTATCCCATAATCTTTAGGAACAATGTGTTCTAGAAGAGTAAATTTTATTGAATACTGAAGCTTATGTTTTTAAAGCCTCCCATTTTTTCAATTCATTTCCCCTAGTATCCCAACCCCAACATTCTTTCTACCACATTGGATCACCAAATCCATCAATTATATCAACTTTTTAGTCACACACACACACAAACACACACACACGCACACGTACCACCTCACCTCACTACAATCACACCACACCGAGCTGATTTTTTAAAGTGTTAAGTCTGCAAGGCTTGTGAAAAAATATATACATTTAAATTACTTTTTTTTTTTTTTTGAGACAGAGTCTCGCTCTGTCACCCAGGCTGGAGTGCAGTGGCACAATCTCGGCTCACTGCAGCCTCTGCCTCCGGGGTTCAAGCAATTCTCCTGCCTTAGATTTGCAAGTAGCTGGGATTACAGGCACGCACCACCGTGCCCAGCTAATTTTTGACTTTTTGGTAGAGACGGGGTATCACCATGTTGGCCAGGCTGGTCTTGAACTCCTGACCTCATGATCTGCCTGCCTTGGCCTCCCAAAGTGCTGAGATTATAGGCATGAGCCACTGCACCTGGCCTTAAATTACATTTAAAAGAAATTTGGCTTTAAGTGTATCTTGGCTTTCAGTGGAGGTCCCATTCAGAAACAAGGAACAGAGAAGTGACAGTAAAGCTGAGTGATCACCATATTGAGAAAATTCTACACAGAGGGAGGAAAATAAGCCAACAAAAACAAAATAGTTCAGTGCATCAAGGGAATCATAAATAGTCAATCTCGCTGGAAATAATAAGGGGGAGAAGAGGAGACTGGACATGCACATAGCAAAGACCAGCCTTAGAAGTCTGAGGACGATAGCCATTGATTCTGTGACAATGAAACCTGTGTTTTGTTCATTAGCATGTCCCTGGACCGTAACAATTTTCTAGGATGTACTGGGTGCTCAACAAATATTTGACAAATAGATGGACAGATGGGTGGATATATGAATAAATAAATGACTGGCCTGAATCATGGAGGGTTTTGTTTGTGGTAAAAAGTCTGGACTTTGATCTAAAACCCAGCTTTTGCTAACCATAATAATAGACAATCATTTATGAAGTATGTCACAAGTAATTTGTTAGAAATTAAAGTCAAAGTACCATAATTTGTGAATAATTTACTTTTTAAATTTAAATTAGAGTCTGTTCAAGATTACCCCTACATTACTACCTTCATGTTCATTCCTTACTTTACTGAGTGGTAAAGTAAGGAATTTTAGCCAATTCACCAATAAATGCACATCTATTATAAGCTGTTATTGATAGTAAATTACCACGGCTAAACTACTAATAACTGTGGCCATTATAAATTATTGAAGTCTGTACTTCCTAAAAAATAAACTTTAGGTAATCCTAGCACTTTGGGAGGCCAAGGCAGGCGGATCACGAGGTCAGGAGATCAAGACCATCCTGGCTAACACGGTGAAATCCCGTCTCTACTAAAAATAAAAAAAAATAAGGCATGGTGGAGGGGCCTGTAGTCCCAGCTACTCAGGAGGCTGAGGCAGGAGAATGGCATGAACCCGGGAGGCGGAGTTTGCAGCAAGCTGAGATCGCGCCACTGCACTCCAGCCTGGGCGACAGAGCGAGAATCCGTCTCAAAAAAAAAAAAAATAATAATAATAATAAAATAAACTTTAGCATTTCTCAAAGTTGGGCAAATCACTGAAGTATACAAGGCATGTGAAATCACCAGTCATGTGACTCTAATGAAGGCAACAGAGAGTCATTGAATAATTTTAAGAATAGGATTGATATTATGTAATTTGTGCTAGAGAAAAATCACTTTTGTGGCAATGCCAATTAGTGGAGCGTATGAGACCTGAGGCAGGAGACTGCTACAAAAGTATAGGTGAGAGGTGGAGAAAGTCTGAACCAAGATAGTAGCAACAAATATGTAGAAAAGAAAAGGACAAGAGAAGTAAATAAGCAATAAAATTAAGACTTATGCATCAATTAGATTCACTACCTTAGGCAAAATGGCTTTGCTTAAACAACAAGGTCAAACAGCATATAAAAGAAGAGGGTCATACTAGGTAGGAAAGATAAGAAGTTCTATATTAGACATGCTGACTTGGATACAAGGATGCCAAACTGAGAAAAAGAGGTCTGGAATAGAGGTACTGATTCAGGATTCCTGAAACAGAGGTGTAAAAGCCTAGAGAGAGTGCATAGAGTTAGCAAAAGAGAATGTCACACAGACAGAACCTGGAATAATATCACTTTTAAGATAAACAGCAAGTATTTGGGCTTCTACTGAACCCCAAAAAGAAGATGCACATAATTTGAATCATAGACCGTTAGTTCCTCCAAGTAGAGTTCCTCTTAGTGTAATTTCATGCATAGTATAGGCATTTAATAATTAAAATGAATAATTAGAAAGCCAAAACTAAAAAGAAAGAAATCATCTATACTACGGCTAGGAAATCAGTTTCAAGACTAACTGCAGTCATTTTCGCATGACTATCTATAAAACTGTGTCAATAGACTCTGAGGTCAAGTATGGAATTCAAAGGAAAGACTCCCATAACTCTCAGGTAACATTAAAGCCATGGGCTCAGGACAAGAGAAGCAATCATTCGTGTGTCACATATTGCCACTATTGATATTTTCTGTTTATTACATAGTTTATTTTTTATTTTAGTATATAATTTAACTATGAAAATAATACAAGTAAATTGTAATATCAAACAATACAGAGATAAATGCAGAAAATATAAATAATATTCCCCAACCTGCTCTGAAGTCTTATTCCCCGAAGGCAACAAATACTCAACAAGAGTAAAATGTTCTGCATTTATGCTCTCACTCCTTTCTCCTGCTCATAAAAGGGTTTTGTTTTGGTTTCATTTGTTCATAAAATTATTATCAAAGGAAGACATTATGACATAGGAAGCATTATGGCATATGGATAAAATTGCTAATGTCCAAATTTATTGTTAGAGTTGACTATCATTTATTATTGTTTAAAAAGTATTTTCTATAATTATATGTAAGATTATATTTTTCTTCTCTAAGAAGGTTTATCAGTAGTTTGCCTGCTACATTGATTTTTATCAGCGACCCAAATGACTTCTAAGTGGCCCATTCCAATGTTCAAGTTTCAGTCTTCTTGGCAGCATTTGACACAGCTGGTCACTTTGTCCTTGAGATTTCAAGTAGTGTTCTTACCAGCTTAATGAAGTTCCTTCTCAGATTCCCTTGCTATTCCTCCTCATTCTTCTGACATCTAACTGCTGGAGTACACACACAGTGCCCAGTCCTCAGACCTTTTCTTTTCTCCATCTGTACTATCATCCAATTCCATGTCATAATTGCCATCTTTATTCTGTCTACCTCAAGTATGTATCTTCAGCCCAACCTCTCTATCACTCAGCATCTTCATTTTATTGCCTAACAGGCATTCAAAATTCATACCCAAAGTAAACTCCCCATCTTTTCCTTACCCCAAAATATTACCATTGATCATTAAATTGGGTGAGTTGGTTATTCAGCAAATTGATTGACAACTTAGCAGATATTTACCTCCACCCCTCTCATTAATCTATCCACTGAAGAACTGACCATAATAATATCTAAAGTATCTCAGTAACGGGGAGGGGGAACTAAGAATTTTATATTCAGCAAAGTTGTCCTTTAACTATAAACTAAACTGATAGGCCATCTCAAATATATTAAGAACTTAGTAAAATTAAGCACTTTGTAAGTGCTTAGTAAAAAGCACTTACAAGTGCTTCCTTAACAAATTCCCAGACCACAAAATCTAACCATTCAAACAAACAAACTCAGTAATATCGAAATAATAGTAATAGGGCTGGTGTTGAGCACAAACTCTATTTTTAAATGGAACAAGGAACATGTTATTAAATAGCTTTAATAACTACAGTTACAGAACAAACAAAAAATGTACTAAATCAATGTATAAAGAATAAGATATCAAAAATCAGAGGAGGGGGAGGGGATCTGTTAAAAAGTATGTTTGTTATTTTTTCATCTTTTATAGAAAATCACTAGTGATTGCACTGCTTTAATATGTTAACTTTGTGCTCTACAAGCCTCTACATAACTTTCAAACATGCTCTGTTCCTATGACCATCACTACATTAGAATAGAAAACAATTGAAATTGACTCCTAATAAATAGTCGTACTTGAAAGAAAAAATATGTTAATTTCAAACTCTTAGACTGAGTTTATTCTTTTTGAATAGTGATAATGGGATTTGTAAATCGGCTATATCATTTATGGTAATGAAATATTTATCTGAGTGGAATCAACAGCTCCTCCAGTTTTATTTCAATCTCTCTTTCTTATGTTAAATTCAAGTAAAAGTAAATTAATACTTGGTATTTAAAATGCCATGTATACTGTGATCCCATTTTCCTAAAATTACATCTAGCTATATTTTGCTCAATATAGACACACTGAGAAATGTCTGGAAAGATGTTCAAATGCTGAGAATGGTTATTTCTGGAAAGTGGAATTTGGAGTGTTTTTCTGCGTTCTTATTTTTCTGAGTTGTTTAAATTTTATAATAATCACATCATTTTATAACAAAAGCTATTAAATTTTTTGTCAAGGGCCTTAGTACAAACAGAAATATTCTAATAGTTAAATCTAGTAACTCCCACCACCACCACCATCAACAAAAGCAAGGCCTTTTGCAGTTCAAAATACATGGAAGGGATCAAAGCTCAGAGGGAAAGACCTCAAGATCTTGCTTTTTTGGGTATGACATTGATCTCATCTCTTCAACAGTAATAGATAATTTTGGTTTTATGTCATCTAGCCATGACAGAGCCATTCATTGCATCATTGGTTGAGATAATATAGCATAAAGTATTTAACAGCAACCACCCTAAAGATGACAATATGGAAATACTGCTTAATGGACAGAAATTTTTTTATCTGTAAAATAGCATAAGCCATGTTTTACCTCCTCACATTCAGAGGAGGTGATTAATGATTTTCCCCCTTGAAAATATAAAGTATTTTTTAAATGCCTATACTTCCAAATCCATATAATAATTAAGTAGCTCTGAACTTAACCTTTCAAAATTTATTCTAAAGGGTTTCTTTTACTTTTTATTCTGGCTTTCAAAATAGTAAAAGGCATTATTAAATTCCTTTCCGTAGCTGTCACCCAAATTGTACCTTTAGCACACATATACCACCGATCTATTTGCATCTAACATTTCATTTCTTTATGCTTAAAAGCAGTAAATGTTTCAAAAACTGTAGATCTTCTTTTCAGCATAATTTTCTTTTGAAAGAAAAAATTAGATAGCAATTATCTGTTGATTTCATAAGCAGCACATATCATCGGGTTTTGTTTTGTTTTGTTTTTTTCTTTTTGTTTTTTTCTTTTTTTGCTTCTTTTTTAAATTTTATTATTATTATACTTTAAGTTTTAGGGTACATGTGCACAACATGCAGGTTTGTTACATATGTATACATGTGCCATACTGGTGTGCTGCACCCATTAACTCTTCATTTAGCATTAGGTATATCTCCTAATGCTATCCCTCCCCCGTCCCCCCACCCCACAACAGTCCCCCGTGTGTGATGTTCCCCTTCCTGTGTCCATGTGTTCTCATTGTTCTTTTTTTTTTTTTGAGATTGAGTCTCTCCCTGTCGCCAGGCTGCAGTGCAGTGGCACAATCTTGGCTCACTGCAACCTCCGCCTTCCGGGTTCAAACGATTCTCCTGCCTCAGCCTCCCAAGTAGCTGGGACTACAGGCACCCATCACCATGCCCGGCTAATTTTTTGTATTTTTAGTAGAGACAGGGTTTCACCATGTTAGCCAGGATGGTGTCGATCTCCTGACCTCCTGATCCACCTGACTCGGCCTCCCAAAGGGCTGGGATTACAGGCTGAGCCACCGCGCCTGGCCATCATCGGGGGTTTTAAGGTCAAACATACTACTTTCTGGATCTGTGTTCAGTAGGTATGCTTTGGCCATGTTTCACCCTTTTCAACTAGACCTTCTTGGTGTGACTGTTGCAGAGTTGCCAATGAGAGAAGTTAACTTTAAAGTCAGCTTTAGTTTATTTTTATAGCCCTTGTGAAAAACCACAGTTGAATCTCTTTAAAATCAGGAGACAGCTTAATAAACTTTTTCTTTGTTTGCATATAATCATAATGGGGGCAAAAGAGGGATGGCTTAACAGGCAATGAAAACCATTTTTTTTTTTTTACATAAGGAGGGATAGATGTGAGGTGTAAAGACATTTAATTGAATTATCAGACATTCTAATATGTAGGAGAAAATGCCTATTAGGTATTTACTACTTGTTTTACCCCCTACTTACTCAGGATTAGGCACCCCAGTCCCCTTCTATTCTAAACCAAAAGAAATAATTGAACACATTCTGCCTGAACTATCCTGAAGCAGTGTGGCATCCATTTATTATCAACTACATTAATAATTAGGATTCTCCTAATCTTGATGGAAAGATTGAAACATTAATGTTCTACATTTTATCCCCCATTCTCCCACTGAAGATCATGTGACCTTAAGCAAGCTACCTGTCATCACTTAGGGCTTAGTTTTCCACCTGTAAAATGATGGAAGTTACCCTAGATCTGCAGTTAGTGGATGTTGGGGGCTCACAGAATCAAAAGAAATGAAAACTAATGGATCTTTCCCCAGTAAAATGCACACATGCATAAACCAAAGAACAAACAATGTTCTACAAGGTCCCATATGGTATAGCCAGCAGTCCTCTCCCCAAACCCTAATTTTCCACCTTCATCTCCATGTTCACTCTGCTCCAGCTACATTGGCCTCCTTGCTCTTTCTCAAACATGACAAGCAGACTATCAACTTAGGGTAATTGCATTGACTGTTCTCCTCACCTGGAATATTCCTTTTTACCTCCAAGCCTTTGCTCAAATGTTGCCTTCTCAGTGAAGCTTACTCTGATCACCTTATTTAAAATTGCAGACCACGTTGCTTTCCAGCTTTACTAGCCCTTGCTCCTTGCTGTAAAATTATTTTCCCCAATGCACTTGTCATAATCTAGCTGTTCACAAAAAACTTAACATAGCAGACCTAACTGCTACCCTTCAAAAGGAAGGCTTAAAAGGTTGGTCCTTGGCTGGCATCTAGAAACTTGGGTTTCAGGAGGGTTTCCACATGCCTAGAACTGGTAAGAGTAGCTCACTATACCTAAGTGTTTGTGCAAACAATGTAGTTTATGCTGACCATCTGCTTTCCTTTGGCCAGTATACAAATTTGGTATGTGCTAGGCAGAGGGAGGGTGCTGTGTGATCAGCCCCCAATAAAAACCCTGAGCACTGAGTCTCCAATAAACTGTACTGGTAGACAACATTTCATATATGTTGTCACAACTCATTGCTGGAAAATTAAGTGTATCCTGTGTGACTTCACTAAAAGAAGTGTGTAACTTAGTCTTTCCCAGACTTTGCTTCTTTTCCCTTTTCTCTTTGTGGATCTCGCCCAATATCTCTTCACTGTGATAAATCATAGCTGTGAGTAAAACCATATACAAGTCCTGTGAGTCCTCCTAGCAAGTCATAGGGACCAGGGGTAATCTCCGGTAACCCCAACCCGGTAGCACACTAAAATTTACTCATGAATTATGCCTAGCACATAAAAGGTGCTTGATTAATATTTATTAAATAAGTACATGCAAAATTTTGCAATTAATTTAAGAAAGTTAATGGAGCTCCCTAAAAAAAGTGCTAATCATTGATACTGGTAAGGACTCCTTTCCAAGATGCTCTCCTTATAATTTGAAGATTCAAAATTCTAAGCAATGGCCAGGTGCAGTGGCTCACACCTGTAATCGCAACACTTTGGGAAGCCTAGGCAGATGGATCACTTGAGGTCAGGAGTTTAAGACCAGCCTGGCCAACAAAGTAAAACTCCATCTCTAATGAAAATACAAAAAATAGCCAGGCATGGTGGCGGGTGCCTGTAATCCCAGCTACTTTGGAGGCTAAGGCAGGAGAATCACTTGAACCTGGGAGGTGGAGGTTCCAGTGAGCTGAGACTGCTCCACTGCACTCCAGCCTGGGTGACAAGAGCGAGACTCAGTCTCAAAAAAAAAAAAAAAAAAAAATTCTAAGCAAGAAGATCTGTCTCTGAACTAGTTTCTCTTCCTGAAAATGCTTACATTTATGGAAAAGTAGAAGGAACTGTATATGTTTTAGTTGGCCAAACTAGGCACATGTCCTCAGAATTAAGTGTGACGGCATGTTGTAAACTTGGTAAAAACCCTGGCTACACATGAGCCCTTGATGGAAATATGAGGTTTCCATTTTTCTTGGATACCATAGCTTCAAAATTAGATTTGGGAAAGCCTCTTAAAGCCAGACTTTTGAAGCTCAGTAATCTTCTGAGCCAAGTTAATCTAGAGGGAGTCTCACGGCCTCCTTTAAAAATGAAAAACATGGAAAGTTAAAGAAATTTTAAAGAGGAAATTAGAAAAAGCCAACTCTGAGAACAGAGCCAATCTTTGAGTATGTGCAGAACATATGAGGGAGGGGAGAGGAAGAAAAAGTTGTTATTACTGTTAACTGAATCCTGTCAGAATCAAAAAACAATGTGCAAAGCCCTCTCATGTCAGCAATACTACAATAGAGATAACCAGCAGCTTGGGTGCAAGCCTACATTTTAAAATATTTAATCTTTTCTGGTAGCAAGAAATATTGGCCAATATATTTATTTTGGCAAGAAAGATGCCCACTTGTAGACAAAATGCTCACAGAACTAAATTTCATGCTGGGTACTCAAAGGGAGCATATGAGTAGGTTCTGTTATGGGGGCATAGTAGGAGTTCAATAAATGCTAGTGAAATTAATAAGCATGCCTGGTAGGTATTCAATAAATGTTAGTGAAATGAATAAATGTGTGCAAGACACTGGGCTACACGTTGATTATAGCCTTAGTGCAAATCATACAGGTCTTAATTACTTTCTATAGTAAGTCTGGGCATATTACAGAATTTGGGGGAGATTACAAAAGCAGACCCTTAGTCAGTGAATTAAAAGAAGAGAATTGAGATTGGAAGGAAACATTTCTGCTGTTTTTAATTAACAAATCCTAAAGTAGTTATTTTAGCTGTTAAAATAGATTCTAAGTCTTTATTCAATTTTTGCAAATTTTATCACTAAATTACTTAGCAATAGCTTCTTCTCTAAACCATCCTCCCTCCTGCTCCACCCCACACAACGCTTTTGGTTCCATTAAAACCTGTAAGAATCTTGATTTCTTTGCAGAAAAAGTTCTTTGTGGCCCAACACTAACTGCACTTAACATATGATCTTATCATGATATTGTTAAAAACTGTAAAACCTCAAAGGTAGCCAATTTCAAAGAGAGAAGATAAGCACTAATTATTCAATCACCAATCCCCATGTTTATAGTTGCAAAGTGCAATCAAGAATTAATTTTTAAGCTAGTCTCAAAGCACCTAAGAGAAGATAGATTAAAGATGCAGAAAGAAACATTCTAACTTCTTTACACACTGAATTCTATGTATCTCTAGAAGGAGCCTCTGGAATTCCCATGTCATCAGTTCTTTGATGGAAGCATTTATGTGATTCTACTCTTCATTCCTACTTATGACTTAAACAGCCCGTATCTTCAGTCAGGATTCTGCATGATTAAGTGCCATCCTAGACCAATGGGACGGGTCTCAACAGGCAGATCAGCGGCACCCAGAGGGAAAGAAATCCACATCAGATCCCAACACAGACCATAATCTTTTGACCATACCATGTAGATTTCTTATTACATTCATGAGACTGGTTTCAGAGCCCTCTTCTTACCTTATCCTAAACTTTCTCTCTAGATGATCTCAAATGCTGCCATAACTTTAAATATCATCTCTAAGCTGAAACTCCAAATTTTAAATCTCGAGTCCACACCTCTCCTCTTAAATTCAAACTCACATATACAACTTGATTTCTGTTTTTGGATGTCTCACAGGCATTGCAAACTTGTATGCAAAATTGAACTGTTTCACCCTACCACACACCTTGGATCTGCTTCTCTTCAACTTCTTCCATCCCTATAAGCAGCCCCTCCACCTACTCATTTGCTCAGGTGGAATATTTGTGTCATATTAATATTTATTTTTCACCTCCCTCCATACACACCCCACATTGAATCCATCAGCCAGGCCTAGTGTGTGCGCCACACAGATCACAAACCTGTCAAACCTTTTCTTATACACTGACAAGGTCCTAGTCCAAGATACTGTGTCATTTTTCACTTGGGTTTCAGCATGGGGAGAAAAGTCCATGCTTATACTTGAAAAAAAAAGACCTTTTATAAAATTATAACATTACAAATTTTAAACAGGCATTTAAGAAGTCTCATACGTGTGTTCAATGGAACACACTTGTGTTTCTTTTTCTTTTTTATTTATAACTTTTATTTTAAGTTCAGGGTACATGTGCAGGTTTGTTATATAGGTAAACTTGTATCATGAGGGTTTGTTGTAGAGATTATTTCATCACCCAGGTATTAAGTTCAGTACCCAGTGGTTATTTTTCCGGATCCTCTCCCTCCTCTCACCACCCACCTTTCAATAGGCCCAATGTGTATTGTTCCTTTCTGTGTGTCCATGTGTTCTCATCATTTAGCTCCCACTTATAAGTGAGAACATGTGGTATTTGGTTTGCTGTTTCTGCTTTAGTTTGCTAAGAATAATGGCCTCCAGCTCTATCCATGTTCCTGCATAGGACATGATCACATTTTTTATAGATGCATAGTATTCCATAGTGTATATGTACCACATTTTCTTTATCCAGTCTACCATTCATAGGCATTTAGGTTTATTCCATGTCTTTGCTATTGTGATTAGTGCTGCAATTAGCACACAAGTGCATGCATCTTTATAATAGAATAATTTATATTCCTTTCAGTATATACCCAGTATTTGAATTGCTGGATCAAATGATATTTCTGTCTTTAGGTCTTTGAGAAATCACCACACCATCTTCCACAATGGTCAAACTAATTTATCCCACAAACAGTGTATAAACATTCCTTTTTCTCTACAATCTCACCAACATCTATTATATTTGGACTTTTTAACAATAGCCATTCTGACTGGTGTGAGATGATACCTCATTGTGGTTTTGATTTGCATTTCTTTAATGATCAGTGATTTTAAGCTTTTTTTCATATGATTCTTGGCCACATGTATGTCTTATTTTGCAAAATGTCTGTTCATGTCATTTGCCCACTTTTTAATGGGGTTGTTTTTTTCTTGTAAATTTGTTTAAGCTCCTTATAAATGTTGGATGTTAGACCTTTGACAGATGCATAGTTTGCTAAAATTGCCTCCCATTCTTTAGGTTGTCTGTTGACTCTTTTGATAGCTTCCTTTTCTGTGCAGAAGCTCTTTAATTTAATTAGGTCCCATTTGTCAATTTTTGCTTTTGTTGCAATTGCTTTTGGTGTCTTTGTCATTAAATCATTGCCCATGCCTATGTACAGAATGGTATTGACTATTTTCTCTTCAGGGTTTTTATAGTTTTTGGTTTTGCATCTAAATCTTTAATCCATCTTGAGTTGATTTTTGTATACGGTGTAAGGAAGGGGTCCGGTTTCAATCTTAGCATATGGCTAGCCAGTTATCTCAGCACCACTTATTGAATAGGGAATCCTTTCTCTATTGCTTGTTTTTGTCAGCTTTGTTGAAGATCAGATAGTTGAGGTGTGTGGCCTTATTTCTGGGTTCTCTATTCTGTTCCACTGGTCTATGTGTCTGTTCTTGTACCAGTACCATGCTGTTTTGGTTATTGCAGCCTTGTAGTATAATTTGAAGTCAGGGAGCGTGATGCTTCCAGCTTTGTTCTTTCTGCTTAGGATGGTCTTGGCTATCTAGGCTCTTTTTTGGCCCCATAAGAATTTTAAAATAGTTCTGTGAAGTGTTTCAATGGTAGTTTAATAGAAATAGCATCAAATCTCTAAATCACTTTGGGAAGTATGGCCATTTTAACAACATTGATTCTTCCTGTCCATGAGCATAGAATGTTTTTCGATTTGTTTGTGTAATCTCTGATTTCTTTGAGCAGTGTTTTATAGTTTTCCTTGTAGAGAACTTTTACCTCCCTGGTTAGCTGTATTCTGTGGTGTTTTATTTTACCTTTTTTGTGTGTGACACCTGTGAATGAGATTATGTTCCTGATTTGATTCTCAGCTTGATTGTTGTTGGTACATAGAAACATTAGTAATTTTTGCACATTGATTTTGCATCCTGAGACTCTGTTGCAAAACTGTTGAAGTCGCTTATCAGGTTAAGAAGCTTTTGGGCTGAGATGATGAAGTTTTCTAGTTATAGGATGATGTCATCTGCAAAAAAGGGATAGTTTGACTTCCTCTCTTTTTATTTGGATGCTCTTATTTTCTTTCTCTTGCCTGATTGCCCTGGCCAGGACTTCCAATACTATGTTGAATAGGATTGGTGAGAGAAGGCATCCTTGTCTTGTGCTGGTTTTCAATGGGAAATACTAGAAATGCTTCTAGCTTTTGCCCATCAGTATGATGTTGACTGAATGAGTTTGTCATAGATGGCTCTTATTAATTTAAGGTATGTTCCTTCAATACCTAGTTTATTGAGTGTTTTTAACATGAAGGAATGTTGAATTTATCAAAAAGCCTTTTCTGCATCTATTAAGATAATCATGTGGCTTTTGTTTTTACTTCTGTTATGTGATGAATCACATTTATTGATTTGCATACATTGAACCAACCTTGCATTCTAGGGATAAAGCCTAATCGATTATGGTGGATAATATTTTTGATGTGCTGCTGGATTCAGTTTACCAGTATTTTGTTGAGGATTTTTGCATCAATGTTCTTCAAGGATATTAGTCTGAAATTTTCTCCTTTTTTTTTTTTTGTCTTGCCAGATTTTGGTATCAGGATGATGCTGGCCTCATAGATGAGGTAGAAAGAAGACCCTCCTTCTCACTTTTGTTTGGAATAGTTTCAGCAGTAATGGTACCAGCTCTTCCTTGTACATGTGGTAGAATTCAGCTATGAATCCACCTGGTTCTTGGCTTTTTTGATTGATAGGCTATTTATTACGGCTCAATTTCAGAACTCATTATTGATCAATTCAGAGATTCAGTTCTTCCTGGTTCAGTCTTGGGAGGTTGTATGTGTCTAGGAATTTATCTGTTTCTTCCAGATTTTCTAGTTTATGTGCTTAGAGGTCTTCATAATACTCTCTGATTGTTATTTGTATTTCTGTGGGGTCAATGGTAATGTGTCCTTGTTGTTTCTGATTATGTTTATTTGAATCTTCTCTCTTTCCTTCTTTATTAGTCTAGCTAGTGGTCTATTTTATTAATTTTTTCAAAGAAATGGTTCCTGGATTCATTGATCTTTAAATGCTTTCTCGTGTCTCAATCTCCTTCAGTTCAGCTCTGATTTTGGTTATTTCTTATCTTCTGCTAGCTTTGGGATTTGTTTGCTCCTGGTTCTCTAGTTCTTTTAGTTGTGGTGTTAGGTTGTTAACTTGACATCTTTCTAACTTTTTGATGTGGGCATTTAGTGCTATAAATTTCCCTTTTAACACTGCCTTAGCTGTGTCTCAAAGATTCTGGTATGTTGTATCTTTGTTCTCACTGGTTTCAAAGAACTTCTTAGTTTCTACCTTAATTTCACTGTTTACTCAAAAGTCATTTAGGAGGTTATTCAATTCCCATGAAATTATGTGGCTTTGAGTGAATTTGTTAGTCTTGATTTCTCATTTTATTACACTATAGTCCATGACATGGTATGTTATGATTTCAGTTCTTTTGCATTTTGTAGAGAATTGTTTTACTTCTGATTATGTGATCAATTTTACAATGTGTGCCATGTGGTCATGAGAAGAATGTATAATCTGTTGTTTTGGGGTGGAGAGTTCTGTATATATTTAGCAGGTACATTTGATCCAGAGCTGAGTTCAGGTCCTGAATATCTTTGTTATTTTCTGTCTTGATGATCTGGCTAATATTGTTAGTGGGGTGTTAAAGTCTCCCCCTATTATATTGTGGGAATGTAAGATTCTTTGAAGGTCTCTAAGAACTTAGTTTATGAATCTGGGTGCTCCTGGGTTGGGCACATAGGTATTTAGGATCTTCTTGTTGACTTGACCCCTTTACTATTATGTAATGCCCTTCTTTGCATTTTTTGATCTTTGTTGGCTGGCTTAACATCTGTTTTGTCAGACACTAGGATTGCAACCCCTGCTTTTATCTGTTTTCCATTTGCTTGGTATATTTTTCTCTATCCCTTTATTTTGAATTTATGTGTGTCTCTGCATGTGAGATGGGTCTCTTGAAGACAGCATACTATGATTTTTGGTTCTTTATCTAACTTGCCACTCTGTGCCTTTTAATTGGGGCATTTAAGCCATTTACACTCAAGGTTAGTAATGATATGTGTGGATTTGATCCTGTCATCATGACGTTACCTGGTTGTTTTGCAGACTTGTTTATGTAGTTGCTTTATAGTGTCACTTGTCTGTGTACTTCAGTATGTTTTTGTAGTGGCTGACAACAGTCTTTCCTTTCCATATTTAGTGCTACCTTTAAGAGTTCTTGTAAAGTAGTTGATGGTAACAATTTCCCTCAGCATTTGCCTGTCTGAAAAGGATCTTATTTCTCCTTCATTTATGCAGCTTAGTTTGGCCGGATAAGAATTTCTGGGTTGAAATTTCTTTTCTTTAAGAATGTTGAATATTGGCCCCCAATTTCCTCTGGCTTGTATGGTTTCTGCTGAAAGCTCCACTGTTAGTCTGATGGGCTTCCCTTTGTAGGTCACCTGACCTTTCTCTCTAGCTGCCTTTAACACTTTTTCTTTCATTTCAACCATGGAGAGAATCTGATTATTATAGGTCTTGAGAATGATCTTCTTGTGAAGTATCTTAGGGGTTCTCTGCATTTCCTGAATTTGAATGTTGGCCTCTTTAGCTAGGCTGGGGAAGTTCTGGATGATATCCTGAAATATATTTTCCAAGTTGGTTCCATTTTCCCCATCTCTTTCAGGGACAAAAATGAGTCACAGATTTGGTCTCTTTACATAATCCCATATTTCTTGGAGGTTTTGTTTGTTCCTTTTCATTCTTTTTTCTCTATTCTTGTCTGAATGTCTTATTTCAGACAGCCAGTTTTCAAGCTCTGGGATTCTTTCCTCCACTTGTTCTATTCTGCTATTAATACTTGTGATTGCACTATGAAACTCTTGTAGTGTGTTTTTCAGCTCTATCAGGTCAATTAGATTCTTTTCTAGGCTGGCTATTTTGACTGTCAGCTCCTGCATCATTTTATCATGATTTTTAGCTTCCTTGGATTGGGTTTCAAAATACTTCTGTAGCTCAATGATCTTTATTCCTATCCATATTCTGAATTCTATTTCTGTCATTTCAGCCATCTCAATCCAGTTCAGAACCCTTGCTGGAGAGGTGATGTGGTCATTTGGAGCAAAGAAGGTACTCTGGCTTTTTGAGTTATCAGGGTTCTTGTGCTGATTCCTTCTCATCTTTGTGGACTTACCTTCCTTCAATCTTTAAAACTGCTGACCTTTGGATGGGGTTTTTTTCCTTTTATCCTATTTGATGACCTTGAAGTTTGATTGTGGTATAAAGTGAATTCAGCTAACTGCCTTCATTTCTGGAAGATTTTACAGGGCCAATGCTTAGCTCCCAACTCCTGGACTGCATGCTGTAACTCTGGGGGACTTGTATTGAGCCCCAACTTTGTTCTCTGGCTCCTTGAGGTTAGGAATCCACTTCACTGGGGAGGTGGGGGAGAATGAGGTGCTCCCAGACCACTGGTCAGTACACTCCAACGGGTGGTGTCAGCCAAAGTGTTTCAGAGTGCGATGACAGTGGGACCCATTCTTGCTCACAAGTGCCAGTAGCAGCAGTAGCAACAGCTGTGGCATAGTGGGTGGCAGGTGCCAGGATGCCTGCCTCCCTGCAAGTGTTCACCACAGTGGCAAAGTCAACGCAGCTGGGGGGCCTCCGCTGGTGACTGTGTGTGTGGTCACCCTGAAGGTGGTGTTTTGGCTCAGGAGTGGGGCACTGATGGGTGCAGGTCTGGGTGTATAGGTCTCTGTGCCTCGCAAGCAGGAATGATTGCTCAGGCATGGGAGGATCCACCATTCTCTGCAGAGTGTTACCATAAGGGCAGAGCACTGGCGGGGGCAGGGCTGGCTGACTCTGTGCCCACCAAGACTCTGTCTGCAACAGAGGTCAGTGGGGAGAGGAAGGGTAGACTGCACACCCAAATGCTGATGGTCAAGAAAAGCAAAACCCACCTCCACAGACACATGCCAGCAAAGCAATGTGGGGAGTTGCCTTAGGCCTAAAGAAAGCTGCAGTATGGGAGGGAGCATGGGGGTTGGTGCATGGCTGTAGGGGCCATCCTGCTGGAGCTCTCTACCAGTCAGGCACAATCTGCCAGTGCAGAAGCTATGGTGTGGGACCCCAGGGCACCCGAGGCTGCTCTGCAAGCAGGTGTAGCCAGGCTGGGGCTCTGGGAAAGGACAGCAGACCAAGGGGTTCTCAGGTCAGACTGGCCTCGTCTGATGGGCAAGACCACCCTGCAGAGTTCAGGACTGACAGTTCCCCTAGTCCTGCACCAAACTCTTCGGGCTCCACATCAGCTGGCTGCTGCCCCTAACCCTTCTCTAAGCAGCTCTCCATGCCATCTTGAGTGTCCATAGTGGTCAAGGGGTCTCCCCCTGCCAGGGTTCCAGAGGCCTGTGGCAAAAGCAGTTTGCTCCTTGCCAGTGCAACTCACCTGTTCCCTCAGAGCCACTGGGGGCCAGGAATGAGTGTGGGTATACTGTAGCCCCATGTAGCGTTTCCAGCTTTCTCACCCTTCAGCCCAGCTTCTGCGTCTTCCCTCTGTCCATTCTTAGTGCCTTTATCTCTGAAGATGTGTTAGGAGTGTGTCAGTCATCTGAGTCCCTTCATGAGAGCCGTTCCACCTGCCTGCGTCTAGTTGGTCATCTTGTCCCCCACCAATTCTTTTTCTTTTTTTATGATTAATAGGATATTATAGGACTTATTTGGTTTTGAAACTTTTTCAATATAAACATACATAAACACATGTACTTTTTCATTGTACCATAAATGTAGCATAATATTAAATATCAGAATTCTGATTTGTAACATCCAGATAAACCCATAAGTGATTTTTCCAGTAATCACTCTTTCTAATTGATTTATCCATTGATCCTACCCCACTGATCTAATGTTTAATATAAAATGGCAAATGGGCTGGGTGCAAGGGCTCATGCCTATAATCCTAGCATTTTGGGAGACCAAGGTGGGTGGACCGCTTGAGCTCAGGAGTTCAAGACCAGCCCGGACAACATGGGAAAACCCATGTGTACTAAAAATACAAAAATTAGCTGGGCATAGTGATGCATGCCTGTAGTCCCAGCTACTTGGAGTGCTGAGGCAGGAGGATCGCTTCAACCCAGGAGGTCAAGGCTGCAGTCAGCTGAGATGATGCCACTGCACTTTAGCCTGGGTGACAAAGTGAGACCCTGTCTCAAAAATAAAATCAAATAAAAGTCAAATGGTAATAAATAGTAACATACTTAAAGTACATTTGGTTTGCTACATGGATGTGGCAAGGGAGTTTTACCTTGATACTTGTAAGTTGTATTCTAATATTTGGATCTTCCTCATTACTTTAAGAAAAAAGGAAAACCACTCAGGCCCTGTTGCCCAATTATTTTACATTTACAGCATGATTTTGAATGTAGAATATACATACATATTGTCACTGTTCTTATAAAGTAACTCAAATAGATGATTCTAAATATTAAAATGGGAAGAGATAAAAAACTCAAATCAACAAATATTTACGGAGGGCTTACTATGCACAAATAGTGAAGCTACTTACAATCCACATTGTTAAGTAGGTATGAAATGAGCAATTAGCTGCAAGTTAAAGACACTCAAAATCACAGTGCTTCAAATGAGACAGAAGTTTACTTTGCTTTCACAAAAAAAGTCTGGAGGTAAAGTGCTCCTGAGCTGATGTAGTGGTTCTGCTTTATAAAATACCTAGGAACCCAGGCGTCTTCCAACTTCTCACTCCGCCACCTTAGGTGTGGCCTTATCCTCATAGTCCAAGATGCCAGCTAGAGTTCCAACCATGACATCCACATTCCAGGCAGCAGGATAGAGCCAAAGTGTGCAGGTAGACTAACTTTTATGGAAGTTTGCAAAAGTTACCCAATAAAAATTTCACTTATATGTCATTAATCTTACTTGCATCTCAAAGCATAATTACAGCTGCAAGGGAAACTGGGAGGTATAGCTGCTATTACTGTTGGTCATTAATTTAGCAGGATTCTGTTTTTAGAAGACAAGGACAATTCATATTGGAGGCAACATCTCACTGTCACATCTCTCTCCTGCATGTTTCCCAAAACTCAAATTTCTGAATGTTCTGTGTCTATTCTGCCCAGCCATGCTGTAGGAGGCAGCATGAAGCAGCTCTTAAATATTTCTATATTTAAACTGCCTGGATTTGAATACAGTCTCCAATGGGTCCTCATCTGTGAAATGGAGATAACAGTAAGATCTACTCCTAGGAGCTGTAAAGATTAATCAGTTCGTACATATAAAGCGATTGGCACAGTGACTGACACACTGAAAGATAAGCGCAGCATATATTACTATCATTATATCAATTTAGTCAAGAGGAAATGGAAGTAACTTAACTACAGGCTTAATAGCTTCCTACACAGGATCATGGGAGGCAGTCAGAAGAACAGAGTTACCACTACAGTTTTCATGGTGAGTCCTGCTGCCACCCCAGTACCGTCCATAAAGAAAATAGAGAGGAACTGACTTGTATAAAGTGTCATTTTCTAAAAAAAAAAGCTCCTTATTCATACCACATTAATAAAGTTAGGCAGAAAATCTAAACATACAGATCACTCCCCAAACCTTCCTCAGACGATACCTGGGATAAACTGGTATTTCACCCTGCCAAAGAGAAGTAAAATACGGATAAAGGAAAAGCAATTACGGCAATTTGTTAAAGGCATCCAGCACCAAAGCTAAGATCTGAATTCAAAATCCCTCCCCACTAATCCTGTGGACAAAATGGTGGAATTCATACTTGCTGAAACCACCTTTACTTATAAATATTATGAAAATACTTTAAACCACAAATCAAGCAATAAAAATCAGGTTTAGGGGGAAATTTTCTGGGTATTTTTTTCCCACACACATTCAAAATTGCTTTTAAGTCTTTACTGACAAAAGTGACATTGTTTTTTAAAAATAAATTGGGAATACAGAAACTGCCAGATTACTGTGTTGGAGTAGTGTTGCTGGGATATCACCTCTCTTCCATATTTCCCAGTCTTCTAATGTTAAATTTAGGCTCCTGTTGGCAAACTGTTTTTCTTCTTTTATGGCACAAAATGATTATCTTACTTCAACTGCCAAAGTCCAAGCTTGAGACATGCAGGATAAAGAAAAGTGAATAAACTGCTGTGTTTCCATTTTCCAACATCACTTGCAGGCAGCAGGAAGTCACAAGCATAAAGTCACAGGGAATTATCACAAAGACAAAACAATTCATTTAAGGCTATTTAGAAGCATATTTTTTTATTTTTGCTCCCAAATGTTGTCTAGTCATAGTATTGTGAGAATCAACAAAGGATTCTCCTCCAACTGGGGGAGGGCCGGGGGAGGGACAGAATGGGCTAGTTCAGATTTGGAACAGTGACCTAGAAGGCAGTTCTATCACTCAGCTATTCAAGTGATGTGGCCATCTGAACATCTTTCCCTTCCTTGGTAGCAGAGTGAGATGAATATATATGTGTTAACATTCTTGAGATGAGATATAGTATCTTTCCTAGCCAAACATAACTTCTCCAAAGCCAACTTTTTCCACATGCTTTAGAGTAAGAAAGATAATATTTTTAGAGATGTTGAGAACTTTTAGGCTTTATCACTAAAACTGAATTCACCCAGTGAAGAGGAACCCTAAGGAAAATTTCAAACATAATGTCTTCCCAGTGAATTTCATCTTTACTCCTGAATCTGAGGCAATAGGCTACTTTCTCCCTTATTAAACATAAAGAAAAATAATTACTTAATGAGAGAATATATAGCCATTCTCAATAAAAGCAACTGGGATTCCACAAACATTACTATGTCATGACTGAATGAATGAAGTGCTAAGATAAAGAGTTTAGAAAGAATGAAAAACCTAATTACTTATAGGAATCTGTGTGATTAAGTCTAGAAAAATAAAAGGAAGAAAAGTGCATTAGTCTAATGAGATGTAGACAAAATATTTAAAATTGGCTCAAAGTGTTTGGTTGAATTATCTTGAATAATAAAAGATTAAATTTCCTAGAAAATCTTTGTTCCAAAGTAAAATGATTTTCTGATTCATGCTTTTGAAACTTTATAAAGTGAAACAAAAGGGCATTTTCCTATTCTTTTTAGTGTTGAAAAATGGTAACTGGGCCTCAGCAGAACTGAATTTGGGAACCTAAATGGCAAACCTAAAAATTCACTTAAAGAAGGTGAATTAGGAAACTTTGTTCCTCATAACAGAGCTCCAGTGCTTGAGAACTAAAGCATAAAACTACTTTCTGTGAACTGTAGAGATAGATTTCTGTAAGATGTCTGACTCCTCCATTAGGAACTAGTGATCCACATTTTTAAATAAGCAGGAGGTTCATGGATACAGATCCCATTTTTTGAGAAATGTTGACCTAAACAACACTTACCTGTTCTGTTGATGCAGAATGAAATCAGGTAAACTGCCCTAAGCTTCCTCAAGATCTACTCAAGCTCAGTTTATCCTGTTAGCCTATATCTATCTCTTTTTCTTTACACATTTTTTAAAAGCAATTTTCCCTAATTTCATATCCCATGATTTGGAGTCGATTGTCCACTCTCAATAAGAAGGTATTTCTCCTACAGCTCTAACTCTGGAACTGTTTTATGAAAGCTTGCAAACAGTTAGTAAGCATTACACTCACCTCTGAAAGATTTTTCCTACCTGTAATTTAATTTAGCTCCAAGCTATAGCACGTGAATGCCCCTGCATTCTTTATATGACTCTTTACGTCAAGTCTCTACACACTGGATTATATGAAGATCCCCTATGATTCACACAGTCAATAAATAAATCAACAAAAATGTAGAAAGGAAGGAGGAGGATCCAGTTTTAGATAGTAAAGATCAGAAAGAATAGTCTACATACTTTATCAAAGCGTACTGCAATGAAAAGTGTAAGCATGACTACTTTCAAATGCAGATTCCTAGCATGTTCATTTCCTTTGTTCTTCAAGTATTCATGGAATTAAAGAAACAGGAAACAATCAGTTATGTATATTAGTGCTTCCTTCACTGCACTAGGTCATCATAAGCTTCTGATGACCAAACAGAACTAAGACTAAAATGGCTGATGTTCCTAAAAACCTCCCAGTTGACCCAGATAATAAGCTAGGATCAAAAATAACAACAAGCCAATGCAGCTTTTTTCTCTAAGAAATTCTGTTATTGCTGTTATTAGATTTACAGTTACATTGGGATGCTAAGATTTCTTGCTGTATTTTTATGGTAATTGCAGTTTTATATACATAATATCATCAACAGCTCATATATTCTGTGGGCTGGTTTTATGCTGGGTTGGATTTAAATGCTCTTCAAGGAACTGTACTTTTTTGTCCCCATTTAAAAAGACTGTAGACAGGTCAGATAATAATAGCAATAACTCAGAAACCTGAAGATTAGAAAATTGAATAAGGCTGATTCTAAAAAGGCATGGAAATTTCATACCCATGCTATTTTGTTGGCTCACTGAGTACATGATGGAGTAAAAAGAACATTGAAACTAAAATCTGGGAACATCAGCTCTAATTTCAGCTATCACACTGTCCTTTAAGGTCACTGGCCTCCTTGGGCCTCAGTTGCCTCATGTGAAAAATGAGAGGTCTACTAGATTATACATGGCACTTACTTTCATCTCTCACATCAATTACAATCAACTGATAATGGCTGGCTGAAGCACTGTGTTAAGAAGGATTATGAGGCTGATTCTGGACAAAAGTAGAGTGTCATGGGTGATTTGCTAAGTCTTCCATAAGGACATTGAGGAAATAGCTGTACATATGCAATATATTTTCCTTATTTGACCCAAAGGACCACTAGGATTTCCTTTAGTTACAGTCTATAAAGCATATTTTACAATAAAATATCATAAGATCCTTTATACAAAATGTTTGGTCTTGTTGCTTCCTCCAGCCACCCAAGCTGCTGAAAGGAAAGAAGGCCAAGGCAGAGAAGGTGGTTCTAGTCCCTTATCATAAAGAAGCAGAAGGCCAACAAGGTGGTGAATCCCCTGTTTGAGAAAAGGTCTAAGAATTTTGGCATTGGACAGCACATCCATCTCAAAAGGAACCTCACTTGTTTTGTCAAAGGGCCCCACTGCATCTGGCTGCATCAGCAAAAAGCTATCCTCTATGAATGGCTGAAAGTGCCTCCTGCAATTAACCAGTTCATCTAGGCTTTGGACTGCCAAACAGCTACTCAAATGCTGAAACTGACCCACAAGTACAGAGCAGAGACAAAGCAAGAGAAGAAGAAAGCTGCTGGCAAAGAAGATGTTCCCACTAAGATAACACCTGTCCTTTGAGCAAGGGTTAACACTGTCACCACCTTGGTAGAAAACAAGAAGGCTCAGATGGTAGTGACTGCACGTGATGTGGGTTCCATCAAGCTGATTGCTGAGGGCTCGCCCTGTATCCTAAGATGGGAGTTCCTTACTGCACTATCAAGAGAAGGCAAGCCTAAAAGACATCCAGTCCCCAGGAATACTTGTGCCACTGTGGCCTTCACACATGTTAACTCAGAAGACAAAGGAGTTCTGGCTGAGCTGGTGGAAGCTATCAGTACTAACTACAAGGTTAGATATAATGAGATCTGTCAGCACTGAGGAGGCAACATCCTGGGTCCAAAATCTGTGGCTTGCATTGCCAAGCTAGAAAAGGCAAAGACTAAAGAACTTGCCACTAACCTGGGTTAATGTACACTGTTGAGTTTTCTGTGCACAAAAACAATCCAAATTCTTTAAAAAACAGCTTGGTTGTATAGATTATCTATAAAATGATTTCTATATTGAAAATCACTTAACTTCATGACACTGTTTCCTCAATAGTATACACACACACACACACATATACACACACACATTGATGAGAAAAAAAAATCTACTGCCAGCCAGAGCCACTGTCAGTATGGGGTTTCCACATTCTCCCCATCTGTTTGAGTTTTCTCGTGGGACACCAGTTTCCTCCCGTATCCCAAAGATGTCCACATTAGATTAATTATTGTATCTACAATGTCCAAGTTGGAGTGAGTGTGGGAGTGTGTGTATGAGTGAGGCTGCAATGGAATGGAGTCCTGTCAAGGGCTGGTTCCTGCCTTGCACCCTGACCTGCCAGGATAGGCACCAGCCACCCACAACCCTGAACAGGAATAAGCAGGTTGGAAAATGAATGAATATAAATTATTGTAAAATAAATTTATTTTGACACCAAACAGTGGGGTCCAAAAGTGCTCAGCAAGCCTGCCATATTTATTGTTTGTTTTTGAACTGTGTGGTGATAGGAGGTGCTCCTTATAATTCTCACTTTGCAAACATTTATTCCTTGATTCAACCCATCACCACTACAACCACTATCACTCACTGATTCACCAAAACTTGGGTAAATAATTATCTTACTTGTTTTTATTAATCTTTCTTGAATGTATGTTTGGCTCACATTTATTTCAATGTTTAATATTAAAAGTGTTTTGAGTCTTTACTTAGAAGTTTGATATTTCTATGACAAACATGCTGTAGGAGCTTACTGCTTGTTTATGTAAATTAGCCTAAGGTAAAGTTAGTTTTATTACATATCATTTTGCTTAAAGTTGTAGTCTCCAAGAACCTATCGACAACGTTGAGAACTTACTGTGTGTAAATGTGTGTATATAACCTTGTTTTATTGTGCCTCACTTTATGGCACCTCACAAATAGTGTTTTTTTTTTTTTTTACAAATTGAAGGTTTGTGGCAAATCGGTGTCAACTGCTATTTTTCCAACACCATGTGCTCACTTCCTGTCTCTGTGTCACATTTTGGTAATTTCCACAATATTTCAAACTTCTTCATTATTATTATATCTGTTACAATGATCTGTGATCTATGTTACCATCGTAATTGTTGTGGGGCACCATGAACAGCACCCATAAAAGAAAGTGAACTTAATTACTCAATGTTTTATGTGTTCTGGCTGCTCCAATAACCAGTTGTCCCCATCTCCTCCATCTCTCCTTCTCCTAGGGCTTTTTTATTCCTTGAGATACAATGTTGAAATTAGGCCAATTAATAATCCTAAAATGACTCTAAGTGTTCAAATGAAAGAAACTGTAGCAGGTCTGTCACTTTCCACCAAAAGCTAAACATTTCCTTAAGCCAAAACCTAACCCAGAGCAAGACCTACCTCTTTTCAATTCTATGAAGGCTCAGAGAAGTAAGGAAGCTTCAGAAGAAAAGTTGGAAGCTCGCAGAGGTTGGTTTATAAGATTTAGGGAAAGAAGTTTCCTTCATAACATAAAAGTTCAAGGTGAAGCAGCAGGTGCTGAGGGAGAAGCTGCAGCATATTATCCAGGAGATTAGCCCAGATAATTGATGAAAGTGGCTACACTAAACAACAGATTTTCAGTGTAGACAAAACACCCTTTTAGTAGAAGAAGATTCCATCTAGGACTTTCAGAGCTAGAGAGGAAAAGTCAATGCTTGGTTTCAAAGCTTCAAAAGACAGGTGGACTCTCTTGCTGGGGCTAATGCAGCTGATGACTCTTAAAGTCATCAACTTAATTGAAGCCAATGTTCATTTACCATCTGAAAATCCTAGGGCCCTTAAGAACTGTGATAAATCTACTCTGCCTGTGCTTTATAAATGTAACAAAGCCTAGATGACAGCACATTTGTTTATGGCATGGTATACTGAATATTTTAAGCTCACTGTGGAGACCTACTGCTCAGAAAAAAGATTCCTTTCAAAATATTACAGTTCTTTGACAATGCACCTGGTCACCCAAGAGCTCTGATAGAGATATACAAGGAAATAAATGGATTTTTCATGCTTGCTAACACAACATCCATTCTGTAGCCCATGGATCAAGGAGTAAATTCAACTTTCAAGCCTTATTATTTAATAAATACATTTCATAGGCTATACCTGTCATAGATAGTAATTCCTATGATGGACCTGAGCAAAGTAAATTAAAAACCTTCTAGAAAGAATTCACCATTCTAGATGCCATTAAGAGCATTCACGATTCATGGGAGGAGGTCAAAATCAGCATTAACAGGAGTTTGGAAGAAGTCAATTCCAACCTGCTTGAAAAACTGTGAGGGCTTCAAGACTTCAATGGCAGAAGTAACAGTAAATGTAAGAGAAATAGCAAGAGAACTGGAATTAGAAGTGAAGCCTGAAGATATGGGTAATTGCTGCAATCTCATGATAAAACTTGAATGGAGGAGTAGTTGCTTCTACTGGGTGTGCCAAGAAAGTAGTTTCTTGAGATGGAATCTACTCCTGGTGAAGATGCAGTGAACACTGTTTAAATGACAACAAAGGATTTGGAATATTACATAAACTTAGTTGATAAAGCAGTAGCCGGGTTTGAAAGGATTGACCACAATTTTGAAAGAAGTTATATTATGGGTAAAATGCTATCAAACAACATCACATGCTATAGAGAAATTTTTCATTAAAGTAACAGCCAATTAATAGGTCTAACTTCATTGTGGCCTTATTTTTAAGAAATTGCCACAGCCACCCAACATACGGCAACTATTACCCTGATCAATCAACAGCCATCAACATTGAGGTAAGACCCTTCACTAGCAGAAAGATCATGATCCACTGAAGGCTCAAATGATCATTAGCATTTAGCAATAAAGTATTTTTAAATTAACATATGCACAGTGTTTTTGGATATAATGCAATTGCACACTTAATGGGCTACAGTATAGTATAAACATAACTTTTATATGCACTGGGAAATCAAAAAATTTGAGCGACACTTTATTGCAATATTTGCTTTATTGCAGTAGTCTGAAATAAAACACACAATATCTCCAAGGTATGCCTCTATATATAAAGAGAGGGAGACCTAGGAAAATACTTGAAATGTATTAATTAATTTGTTTCATCTTCAGGAGCCAGATTGTGTTAGGCTATTCTTGTACTGCTGTAAAGAAATACCCAAGGCTGGGTAATTTATAAAGAAAACAGGTTTAATTGGTTCACAGTTCTGCAGACTGTACAGGAAACATGGAGCTGGCATTTGCTTCTTGTGAGGGCTTCAGTGAGCTTACAGTCATGGCAGAAGGAAAGGGAAGCTGGCTTGTCACATGGTGACAGCATGAGCAAGGTGTGGGGGGAGGTGCCATATACTTTTAAACAATCAGATCTCATATGAACTCAAAGCAAGAACTCCCTCATCACTAAGGGGAGTACACCAAGCCATTTATGAGGGACCGAGGGACCTGCCCCCATGATCCAAACACCTCCCACCAGGCCACAGTTTCAACACTGGGAATTACATTTCAACATGAAATGTGGAGGGGACAAACATCCACACCATATCAGAGACCAATTCTTCTCTTTATTATACAAATGCCAATAAAGCCCAGGAGAGAAAATAACAGAAAAAAAAATTGTAGCTAATGGCAATCACTGATAAGGAATCATAAATGAGACTCAGAATATCTTAAAATAGTTGTGCAAATGACAGGAAAATCAAAACAACCTTCTTCCAGTAAATGTCTCATGAAGCAATTGTGTATAAGCAAACTGCAGTAGCTTGCCTACAATAGCTAACAACATCATCTCACTTAAGATGGATGAGGTAAAAGACATTTCTGCCAATCTTGCTGTAGCCACCAAAAAGCAAAAAATATGTAACAGTCTTTTCGATGTCAACATTTCTTTGATGATATCTGTAAACATTTGTTTCCATGTAACAAGCAACCTATTCTTCAACCAATGAATACAGCATGAGATAAGAGTCATAAGACTTGAAGTTTGCTCCCCTCTTTCATGGAATCATTGGGGTCTTCATAACCCACCTAACCTCAGCTGCCTCAATAAATTATGAAAGTTGACCAATATTTCTCTTCTAGCTCATAAGAAAATGAATTGAAGTCTTGTAGAATGGAGAAGTGGCTGAGTTGCAAAAATCCTTGGAGAGGCTCTAGACCAGGTACTGGTTGTCACCTTTACATGGCCATGGTGGGCTTCTTGCAATCACTCATTCTTCAGGATAAATTCTATCCCTGAGCAAAGAAAGCAAAATCTTGTCCTTATTAAGACTATATTTTTATTGTCTTTTTTTTCCAAAGTGGACATAAATCCTAGCTTACCTATTAGTAATGCACACATAATCACATCAAGTTTGGGCAAAGCTAATGACTTATCCAATATCACATGGTGGTTCAATAAAGAAATTAAATATCACAATTCCCAGATCTTGTTCCAACTAAATAATGGCAATACTGAAGCAAAATTAGGATATACACGATATATCCTAAGGATTATAGGCAAACTCAAAAGCCTACAATGTTTAGTTGTTGGAGTTAGAGTGACAATCAGAAATGTTAATGTTTATCCAACTCCGGTATTCCATAAAATATCCCAGTTTCATGTCAAATAAGTTATACCTACAATACTTTTTACTACGGAGAACTAGAAAAATCTAAAATGAAAAGAGAACTAAATACAACATGTTCTGATATATTATGCTCTAGGCAATGATCATGTTCCTAATTTACAAAGTCCATGAAAAGAATACTCTTATGTTGAAATAGCTGTTATTAAAAGTGAGTGCTCTTACAGTGAAAATAGATCAGATGTAACATATCTCTAAGAAATTATTGTTGTTCTAGCCATTACTTTGTGAAGATGTGCTTTGTTTTGATTGATTTAGAAAATTGTAATAAATAAGAACTGTTCAGTTGGAATATGATGTTTATTCCTTATGCCAATATACGACCAAAAATATTTTCTCACTTCAGCCTAGAAAGTGAGATGTGTATTATTTATCTCCAAATAAATGTGTAAAAAGATGTGTGCTTTCAGTTTTTCTTCTTTATCCCAAAATATTTAAATGCCTAATAAAATAATATTGTTCATTAATATATTAATTGTCCTGCTTATATTTTCAGTATCCAATTAGTCATTTCAAGTATGAGATATAGAAAAGAATGCTTGGAATGTTTGCTATGGCTTTGTACAAATAAAATATAATACCTAACAAGGGCAGGAGGAAGGAGGAGGGATTTATAAGTTTGCTTATTGTATTTTTAAAAGTCAAATTTCATTTAAAATTATGTTTAAATAATATTACCAGAATATTCCAAAATAAAAGTCAAAGGTAAGAAAAATAATGTTAAAATCTTCTCAAATTTATGAAGAAAAAATGAAGTAAAAAATAAAAAATCTTGTGAAATTTATCTGGTCTTTCCTGAAGCTCTTTGGTATCTCCATAGACATGGTTTGAATGCAAAAAACTGCCCATGCAGTGTCTATGATAAGATTGCCTTTAACACACTCAGCATGCTAATATATCAGGTTCAAAAAATGATTTCATAATTGTTTTACTTAAGACTAACAGGCAAAGATTGTCCTGAATTTGCTGCTCTGCTGTGTTTTTGTAGGACCAAATCCCAGGTGCAGTTTGGCCTCTAAGAGGCATAATCTGCTCCAGGAAAGCCAATCAGGAAGTCTTCCTTTTAACTATGGCACAACCGTTCAGATTCACCTGCTACTGCTGTTTCCCCAGAACTTCTACTCTAATTGAATGTATCAAGTTGTTAAGCAATTTTACATAAGATGTGGCTTAAAATAAGTAGCTTTTTATATAGAATGAAATGTTCTGATGAATATAGTATTACACTTTGAAAAGGAAGAAAAACATCTAGTGGATATTGTCATGTTTGATATTTCTTTTTGGTGTCAATGGAAACTGAATAGTACATTTTTTTCAACTTTTACTACATATTAAAGGGATGGAGGAAGTAGAAGCGTAAACAGAGTAAACAGGGATGGCAAGACAAAGGAGTGTTAAGTCCTCGAGGATTTTACAATCTAGTTATTGAAATAAGACATATAGGTTTTTATTTATTTTTTCAATTTTTAATTTTTGTGGGTACATAGTAGGTATAAATATTTATAGGGTACATAAGGCATTTTGATACAGGCATGGAAAGCATAATAATCACATCATGGAGGATGGGGTATCAATTGTCTCAAGCATTTATCCTTTGTGTTACAATCAAATTACACTTTTAGTTATTTCAGAATGTATAATTAAATTATTATTGACTATAGTCACTCTGTTGTGCTGTCAAATAGTAGGTCTTATTCATTCTTTCTACTTTTTTTTTGTACCCATTTACCATTTCCATCTCTGCGTCACCTCCCCACAACTACACTTCCCAGCCTCTGGTAACCACATTCTACTCTCCATCTACATGAGTTCAATTGTTTTGATTTTTAGATCCCACAAATAAGTGAGAACATGCAATGTTTGTCTTTCTGTGCCTTGCTTATTTCACTTAACTTAATGATCTCCAGTTCCATCCATGTGGTTCCAAATGACAGGATCTTATTCTTTTTTATGGCCAAATACTACTCCATTGTGTATATGTACCACATTTTCTTTATCCATTCATCTGTTGATGGACACTTAAGTTGCTTCCAAATTTTGTCTATTGTGAACAGTATTGCAACAAACATGGGAGTCCAGATATCTCTTCAATATATTGATTTCCTTTCTTTGGGGCATATACCTAGCAATGGGATTGCTGCATCATTTGGTAGCTCTATTTTTAGTTTTTGAGAAACCTCAAAACTGTTCTCTATAATGGTTGTACTAATTTATAATCCCACCAAGAGTGTACAATGACTCCCTTTTCTCCATATCCTCATTAGCATTTGTTATTGCCTGTCTTTTGGGTATAAGCCATTTTAACTACGGTGAGATGATGTATAATTATAGTCTTGCTTTGCATTTTTCTGATGAGCAATGATATTTAGCACCTTCCATATGCCTTTTTGCCATTTATGTGTCTTTTTTTTGCCTCAAACTCCATCTATTCTACATAGCTATTCCAGTTTTCTTTTGATTCGTAGTTTCCCAGTATATATTTTTTATTCTTTTAATTTATTTATTTTTCTTCTTTTTTTTTTTTTTTTTTTTTAGACAGAGTCTCACTCTGTCGCCCAGGCTGGAGTGCAAAGGCGCGGTCTCGGCTCACGGCAAGCTCCGCCTCCCGGGTTCATGCCATTCTCCTGCCTCAGCCTCCCGAATAGCTGGGACTACAGGCGCCCACCACCATGCCCGGCTAATTTTTTGTATTTTTAGTAGAGACAGGGTTTCACCGTGTTAAGCCAGGATGGTCTCAATCTCCTGACCTTGTGATCCACCCACCTCGGCCTCCCAAAGTGCTGGGATTACAGGCGTGAGCCACCGCACCCGGCCTGTTGGTTGTATCTTTAGCTGAGTGAATGATTTGCAACTTGACGTGATCCCATTTGTCCTGTTTTGTTTTAGGTGCCTGTGCTTGTGGGGTGTTACTCAAGGAATCTTTGCCCACTCCAATGTCCTGGAGATTTTCTCCAACGTTTTCTGTAGTAGTTTCATAGTTTGAGATCTTAGATTTAAATATTCAATCCATTTTGATTTGATTTTTGTATATGGAAGAGATAGGGGTCTAGTTTCATTCTTCTGTACATGGATATCCAGTTTTCCCAGCAGCATTTATTGAAGAGACTGTCTTTTTTCGCCAATGTATGTTCTTGGCACCTTTGTCGAAAATGAGTTCACTGCAGGTGTGTGAATTAGTTTCTGGATTCTTTATTCTGTTCCATTGGCCTGTGTGTCTGTTTTTATGCCAGTACCATGCAGTATTGGTTACTATAGCTCTGTAGTAAATTTGAAGTTAGGTAATATAATTTCTCCAGTTTTGTTTTGTTTTGTTTTTTTCTTTTTTTGGATGGCTTTGGCTGTTCTGGCTCTTTCGTGGTTCCACATAATTTTCCTTTTCTTTTGAGTCTGACTCTTGCTCTATCACCCAGGCTAGAGTACAGTGGCACGATCTTGGCTCACTGCAACCTCTGCCTCCCACGTTCAAGCAATTCTTGTGCCTCAGGCTTCTGAGTAGCTGGGATTACAGGTGCACCACCATACCCAGCTAATTTTTGTATTTTTAGTAGAGACAGTGTTTCACCATGTTGGCCAGGCTGGTCTCGAACTCCTGACCTCAAGTGATCTGCCCGCCTTGGCCTCCCAAAGTGCTGGGATTACAGGTGTGAGGCACCGCGCCCAGCCCATATAAATTTTAGGATAGTTTTTTTCTATTTCTGTGAAGAATGTCATTGGTGTTTTAATAGGGATTGCATTAAATATATAGATTACTTTAGGTTGTATGGACATTTTAACAATATTGACTTTTTCCAATCCATGAACATGGAATATCTTTCCATTTTTTGGTGTCTTCTTCTATTTCTTTCATGAGTGTTTTATAGTTTCCATTATAAAGATCTTTCACTTCTTTGGTTAAGTTAATTTCTAGGTATTTAATTTTATTTGTGGCTATTGTAAATGGGATTCCATTTTAATATTTTTTCATATTGTTCACTGTTGGCATATAGAAATGCTACTGATTTTTGTATGTTGATTTTGCATCCTACAGCTTTACTGAATTTGTTTATCAGTTCTAACAGTTTTTTGGCAGAATATTTAGATTTTTCCAAATATAAGATGATATAATCTGCAAACAAGCATAATTTCACTTCTTCCTTTCCAATTGGATGCTCTTTATTTTTTCTCTTGTCTGATTGCTCTATCTAGGACTTCCAGTACTATGTTGAATAACAGTGGTGGAAGTGAGCATCTTTGTGTGTTCCAGATCTTAGTGGAAAGGCTTTCAATTTTTTCTCCATTCTATATGACAGATCCCCAGCTAGTATAACACTACAGCTTTTATTATATTATATATTTTATATTTTATTATATTATATTAATTATACTTTATTTTATTATAGTATAATACTATAGCTTTTATTATGTTGAAGTATGCTCATTCTATACCCAGGTTTTTTAGGGTTTTTATCATGAAAGGATGTTAAATTTTATGAAATGCTTTTTCAGCATCAATTTCAATTGAAATGAATGTATGATTTTTGTCCTTCATTCTGTTGATATGATATATCACATTGATTGTTTCATGTATGTTGAACCATCCTTGCATCCCAGGGATAAAATCCACTTGTTCATGATGAATGACCTTTTTAATTAATTGTTGAATTTGGTTTGCTAGTATTTTGTTGAGGATTTTTGCATCAATATTCATCAGAGATATTGGCCTGTAGTTTTCTTTCTCTTTTTTTTTCTGATGTGTCTTTGTCTGGTTTTTGACATCAGGGTACCACTGGCCTCAAAGAGAGAGTTTGGAATTTTTCCCTCCTCCTCTATTTTTTGGAATATTTTTACTAGCATTGGTATTAGTTCTTCTTTAAATGTTTACTAGGATTCAGCAGTAAAGCCACTGGGTCTGGGCTTTTCTTTACTAGGAGACTTTTACTACAGCTTCAATCTTGTCACTTGGTATTGATCTGTTCAGGTTTTTTATTTCTTCATGGTTCAATCTTGATAGGTTGTATGTGTCTACGAATTTTTCCATTTCTTCTAGATTGTTTCACCTTATTAGCTTATAGTTGCTCATAGTAGCCACTAATGATCCTTTGAATTTCTGTGGTATCAGTTGTATGTCCCCCTTTTTCATATGTGATTTTATTTATTTGGATCTTCTCTCCTTTTTCTTACTCTGCCTAAAGGTTTGTCAATTTTGTTTAGCTTTTTAAAACACCAACTTTTTGTTTCATTGATCTTTTATATTGTTTTCATTTCAATTTCATTTATTTCTGCTCTAATCTTTATTTATAGTTTCTTCTACTAATGTGGGGTTTGCATTTTCTCTCACTTTTCCAGTTCTTTAAAATTCCTCATTATGTTATTTATTTGAAGTTTTTTTTTCTTTTTTGATATAGACATTTATAGATATAAACTTCCCTCCTGGTACTGATTTTACTGCATTCCACAGGTTTTGGTATGTTGTGTTTCCATTATCATTTGTTTCAAAAAATTTTTCAATTTCCTTCTTAATTTCTTCATTGACCCAGTGGTCATTCTAGAGCAGGTTGTTTAATTTCCTTTTATTTGTATAGTTTCCAAAATTCCTCCTGTTATTGGTTTGTAGTTTTATTTCTTGTGGTCAGAGAAGATGCTTGATATTTCAATTCTTTTGAATGTTTTAAGACTTGTTTTGTGACCTAACACATGGTCTATCCTTGAGAATAATCCACGTGCTGAAGGAAAGAATGTGTATTCATTGGATGACATGTTCTGTAAATATCTACTAGATCCATTTGGTTCATAGTGCAGATTAAGTCCAATGTTTCTTTGTTGATTTTCTGTCTGGTAGATCTGTTCAATGCTGAAAGTGGGGTGTTGAAGTCTCCAGCTATTATTAGGGGCCTCTCTCTTTAGCTCTAATAATATTTGCTTTATATATCTGGGCGCTTCAGTGTTGGGTGCATATATATTTAAAATTGTTATATCCTCTTGCTGGATTGATGCCTTTATCATTATATAGTGACTTTCTTTGTCTCTTCTTATTGTTTTCGCCTTGAAATCTATTTTGTCTGATATAAATGTATCTACTTCTGCTCTTTTTTAGTTTCCATTTGCATGGAATATCTTTTCCCATCCCTTTATTTTTAGTCTATCTGTGTCTTTATAGGTGAAGTGTGTTTTTTGTAAGGCACAGATCAATGGGTCTTATTTTTTTATCCATTCAGCCACTCAATGTCTTTCGATTGGAGAGTTTAGTCCATTTACATTCAATGTTATTATTGTTAAAAAAGGACTTACTCCTGCCATTTTGTTGTTTGTTTTCTAGTTGTTTTGTGGTCTTCTCTTCCTTCTTTCTTCCCTTCATGTCTCCCTTTGAATGAAGGTGTTTTCTCTGGTAATGTTTAGTTTCTTGTTTTTTTTATTTTCTGATTGTATCCATTGTATATTTTTGGTTTGAGGCTTCCATGAGGCTTGCAAATACTATCTTATAACCTATTATTTTAGCCTGATAACTACTTAAGTTGTTTGTAGAAAGAAAGAAACAAACAAAAAGAAAACTAATAAAAACTCTATACTTTGTTCCCTCACTTTTTAACTTTTTTGTTTCTATTTATACCTTATTGTACTATCTAGGTCTTTAAAAGCTTTGTAGTTATTATTTTTATTGGCTCATCCTGTAGTCTTTCCACTTAAGAGTAGTTTATGCACCACAATTACAGTGTTATAATATTATGTGTATTTCTGTGTACTTACTATTATCAATGAGTTTTGTACCTTCAGGTGATTTCTTATTGCTCATTAATATACTTTTCTTTCTAATTGAAGTACTCTCTTTTCCATTTCTTGCAGGACAGGTCTGGTGTTGGTGAAATCCCTCAGCTTTTGTTTGTCTGGGAATGTTTTTATTTCTCTTTCATCTTTGACGGATGTTTTCACCAGATATACTATTCTAGAGTAAAAGTTTTTTTTTCCTTAAGTGCTTTAAATTAAATTAATGAATAAATGGACCTTATTAGAACAGACGAGGCTTGGACCTTAAAGGGCACACTGTATATGGACAAGTAGAAAATATGGAGAGAGAAACTTCTAGTTATAAGTGAGTTTCTGCAGGCCTTCCTAATCTCGTGGCGATAGATGAGAGTTCATTAATAGAAATAATCCAAATTTCTTCCCTCAACTATCTAATGTCAGGTCTCCTTCCTGAAGAATTTCTGTGAAGCCTTAAAGAGTGTCAAGATCATTCCCTCATGAACTTACATTTAGAAACCCTTTCCCACTGATATCAATGCCACATCATTGTCCCTCCTGCTTGTGCCCTCAGCTTGAGACAGCAGATGTGATACTCAAAGAGCTGCCTGCCTCCAAGGGACCACAGAGGCATTCTATTTCCTGCAGTCCTCCCTGAGTCAGAATCACTCTAATGAGTTAAAATTATGAGAATTTTTTTATTATTGGAGGAAGTTATTTTATCTAATTCTTGATCTACTTATAATAAGTAATCCTAGAATTTTTTTTTTTTTTTGAGACAGGGTCTCATTCTGTCTCCCAGGCTAGAGATCTCAGCTCACTGCAACTTCTGCTTCCCAGGCTCAAGCGATTCTCTAGCCTCAGCCTCCCAAGTAGCTGGGACTATGGGCATGAGCCACCAATGCCCAGCTAATTTGGGTTTTGTTTTGTTTTGTTTTTTGTAGAGATGGGGTTTCACCATGTTGCCCAGGCTGGTCTGGAACTCCTGAGCTCAAAGCCATTTTCCCACCTCAGCCTCCCAAAGTGCTGGGATTACAGGCATGAGACACTGTACCCAGCCAGTAATCCCAGAATTTTTACAAAAGCTCCTATTGTTGCATAATGAAACAGTATTCTCTTGCCATTATTTAAAGTCACTTTTTTCACTTTCTGGTAAAAAAATTCGTTCAATCATTGACAAATATTTGCTGAACACCCACTCTGTGCCGTGTACTACTATGTTAGGTGCTGGATATATGTTGATGAATGAAACAAACTGTATCCTTGTAGAATTTGAGTCTGCTGAACTCAGAAGTAAATTCTTTGAAAGTTAGGATGGATAGTAAAGTTGAGTACTCTTAGTTTCAATATTTAACATGTTGCTCTTATCAATTTTTTAGTAAATGTTAGTGTACAAAGGTAATTTAGGTTTTGAGGTGTATCCAGAAAAATCTGGTTTTTTTAATCAAGAGAATCCACTCAAGAGACTACTCATAGAAAAGAATTTATATGATGCATCAGATAGAAAGTAAAATTTAGTGTTTTCCTGAAAAAAAAAAAAAAAACACAAAAACCAAATACAATGGAGGCTTCTCTTCCACATTCTGTGGCATTTGTTTTTTCAACTAAACACCAACACTACACTCATGAAAACAACTCCTTCAGCACTACCTGTACTCTGCTTCACCAAACCAGAAACGTCAATATAAAAAACAAGCAGCATGCCAAAGGTCAACTGATCTTCAACAAGGGTGCCAAAAATACACAATGGGGAAAGGATAGTCTCTTCAACAAATGGTGTAAAAACTCATATCCATATGCAAAAACATGAAATTGAACCCTTACACCATACATAACATTCAACTCAAAGTAGATTAAAGACAAACATAAGACCTGAAACTATAAAACTTCTAGAAGAAAACATAGTGGAAAATCTTCATGACCTTGGTCTTGGCAGTGATTTCATGAATATCTCATCAAAAACACAAGCAACAAAAGCAAAAATAAACAAATGAGCCCACATCAAAGGAGAAAGCTTCTGCACAGCAAAGGAAACAATTGACAGGGTGAAAACGCAACCTACAGAATAGGAAAAAATGTTTACAAACCATATGTATTAGTCCATTCTGCATTGCCATAAAGGAATACCTGAGACAGGGTAATTTATAAAGAAAAGAGGCTTATTTTGGCCCACTGTTCTGCAGGCTGTACACAAAGCGTGGCACCAGCATCTGCTCCCAGTGAGGGCCTCAAGAAGCTTCCAACAATGGTGGAAGGGAAAGGGGGAGCCTGCGTTTCACATGATAAGAGAGAGAGCAAGAGACAGAGGGAGGAGGTGCCCGGCACTTTTAAACAACCAGATCGCACATGAATTCACAGAATGAGAACCCACTTGTTACTGCAAGGACAGCACCAAGATTTTCATAAGGGATCTTTCCCCATGACCCAAACACCTCCCATTAGGCTCACCTCCAACATTGGAGGTCACATTTCAACGTGAGATTTGGAGGGGACAAAACATCCAAACCATATCACCATATATCTGATAAGGAGATAATTCCTAAAATATATAAGGAACTCCCACAACTCAACAGCAAAAAGACTAATAACCCAATTTTTTAAATGGGGCAAAAAAACTTGAACAGACTATGTCACAGTATCTATGTGAAAATATACGCAACATCATTAATCATCAAGGAAATACAAATCACAACCACAATGAGATATCATCTCACACCTGTTAGAATGGCTATTATCAAAAAGATGAAAGATAAGTGTTGTCAAGGATATGGAGAAACTGGAACCTTTGCACACTGTCAGTGGAAATGCAAAATGGTATGGCCGCTATGGAAAACAACATGAAGTTTTTTTAAAAATTAAAAATAGAACTACCATATGATTCAGCAGTCCCACTCTGGGTATTTATCCAAAAGAACTGAGATCAGGACTTCAAAGAGCAATTAGCATTCCCAGGTTCATTGCAGCACTATCTACAATAGCTAAAATGTGGAAACAATCTAAATGTCCATCAACAAATGAATGAATAAAGAAAATGTTGTATCTATATACAATGGAATATTATTCAGCCTTTAAAAAGAAGGAAATTCTGCAATATATGACACCAGAGATGACTGAGGAAATTGTGCTAAGTGAAAAAAGCCAGTCATCAAAGGACAAATACTGCATGATTCCACCTATATGAAGTATCGAAAATAGTTAAATTCATAGACTCAAAGAATGGAATGGTGATTGCCAGGGACTCAAGGGAGAAGAAAAAGGGAAGTTGATAATCAAGGGGAGTAAAGTTTCAATTAATCAAGATAAATAAGTTCTAGAGATCTGCTGTACAACATTGTACCTATAGTTATCAATACTATATTGCACACTTAAAAAATTTGTTGAAAGTAGATCTCATATTAAATGTTTTACAACAATAAAATAACATAAAAAATAAAATGACAAAGAAGCATGCTGTAATGGCTATTCCAGGTTATCTTCCAGTAGGCTTTGCTAATTGATTTCCTCCAACCTCAGCCTAGAGCTCCCAGGCAAAGCAACTCCTTATGACCTACACAGTTGTTCAACACTCATACTCAGACATGGATTAATCACACTTAAGTGGGAACCCCTACACAGGAGGATTAAGGTAAGGTATCAGGGCACTCAGTATATCAGCTTAATTATGTCAGAAGATTTGTGATGATGAACTGTGACAGACAAGGCTAGTCAAATAAGATGAGTCCTGTTGCAGATGGTAATTTAATTACCAATTTCGGGCATGTATTGAGCCCTGACCACTTGTGCAAAATGTTTTATTTAGGTCTTATCATGACCTATTTGAAAATGACAAACTGAGGTTTAGCTATATTAATCTGTCAAGGTCACTCAGCTAGCGTGTGGCAGAGCTGAGAATAAAACCATGCCTAGTGAATGTCAGAGTCTCTGCCCTTAACTACTAGACCATACCATGGTTGTGAGAGAATCAGTAAAGGGTCATGAACAAATGTTGGTATGAAGAAAGCACCATTATAGAAAGACTGGATTGCTGGGGACAATGTATAGGAGAGAAAGATAGTTGGAGGAGGGGAAACTTGTTGCTTTCATTTAATGTTAATTAGTAAAAGTTCAGTCCTAATCCACAATAATATTTATACTTTCTCATAGCACTAGTGTGTTTCCTTAATAAATGGACTAAAGCAGTAGCTTGGAATACCAGCACTAAACTTAAGTTTTTAAGATTATAACCATAAAGATCTGTGTGAATGATGACCAAATGGTTAGTAAAAAAAAAAAAAAAAAATTATGTAATAAAAAACCCACCACCAACAACAAAGAAAATTACCCAAAGATGACTGAGAAACATCTTTACACCACTATTTGCCTAATAGAATGACTAAATAAAACAAACAATGCCAGATGCTGGTGAGGATGTAAAGCAACTGGAGCTCTCATAGGTTGCTGATGAGAATAGAAAATGGCATAGCCCTGTGAAAAACAGTTTTCCAGTTTCTTATAAAGTTAAACATATATTTAGCATATTACCCAAAAATCCTACTTCTAGGTATTTACCCAAGTGAAAACCTCTATTCATACAAAAAAAAAAATCTGTATGTGAAAAAAGTATGTGTATATATATATATATATATATGCATTATTCATAATTACCAAAAGCTGTAAATAACCTGCATTCCCCTCAAATAGACATGTGTTTTTAAAAATGGTGATACGCCCATAGTGTGAAATAGTATCCAACAATAAAGATAAATAAACTATTGATACATGCAACAAAGGGATGAATCTCAAATGCTTTATGCTAAGTGAAAGAAGTCAGACTCAAAAGGCTATAGTATGATTCCACTCATTCATATAACATTCTGGAATAGGCAAAACAGATGAGTGGGTGTCAGGTGTTAAAGGTATGGGGAAGATTTGACTTCAAAGGGAGAAGATAAGAGAATATTAGAGGAGGTATATTGAAATTGTTCTTTATCTTAACTGTGGTAATGGGTTACATAACTCTACCTATTTTCCAAAACTCATAGAAATATACACCAAAAAAGTCAATTTTACTGTATATGAATTAAAACTACACTTTCAAATAAAAAATCTCTTCTACAAGAAAGCATACAGCAAAAGTTTCACATATTCTAAATGTTATAAACCACGAAACATTTCACAAAGCACCATCTACAAAAAAGATAATGTAACTGAGTATTTAAACAAAAAACCAAGCTATAATTTTTTAAAAATTATATACAAGGCATAAAACATGCCTATTAAAAGCATAAGTAGTTGGCCAGCGTGTTGTTTACCACCTCTGAATAGCTGTAAAATGTTTATAGATTTTTATACCTTTCATGAATAAAGCAGAGTAAATTAATGCAAAGTTATTTTTCTGAGAGAAGCTGTCAAACTCCTTTCTGGCCAAAAGGGAATTTGTGACTTCCTGTTATGTTAAATTTGGTACTAAAGCCTGAATGAACCACCTCAAATGGGCTATTTACTATGATAAATACTGTTTCCTAACAAGAGGAAAAGTGGTGGCCTGGGAAGATAACTGCTGGGATTTTAATGCACTCTCTGAAACACTCTGACATACTCTGTTAGAGAAAATAATTTAATATTAACCAGAAGTCAGGCTTAACATTCCATTTCCTGAAAATGATCATCAAAAGACAAATGCAATTTAATTCACCAAACATGTATTAAGCATTTAATATATGCCAAGCACTGTGCTAGGCATTAGGTAAACAAACTGAAAATAACACAATATTTGCCTTTAAAGATTGCACAAACTAGCAGGGGATAGAGACAAGTAATAAGCAAATATACTTCCATACAATAATCTAAGTGTGATGATAGAAGTGTGATCGGGTACGGGGACAACCAGGGGAAAAAGTGATTGTCTGAGTTCTAACAAAAAGCACATCAACCAGATCCTAGGACTCCCTAAATCTGCCTTCAGATGATTAAAATGCTAACAGGAACAAATAGAAAGCTGCATGATTTGAAGAGGCCATTCCTTTTATATTTACCACCACCATCTTCCATGACAGTTTTGAAAACACTGAGCAAGGCATACCTGTGCTGATGTATTTATTCCTTGACTTGAAATAATCCTCCAGGTGATGAAATTCCCACAGGACAAAGGAATAATAATCTAAAGTCTCCCTTTCCAGAAAGTGGAAAAGTTCCAAGTAGTATTATTCCTTACTGAAACCTAAGATCCCTTTATGCAAAAGAATAAAAAAAAAAGGTCTCATGCCTCATGCTAATTCACTGTGGCTAACTACACTACTTAAAATTAAGATAGAAAGGTATGAATGTTCCATTTTTCCTGTATGTTAGCAGTGATCATATCTAACACATAATTCCAATTCACTGTTACTACGAAATGTAACTATTGCTCCAGTACTCTCACAACGGATTAAACAAGTAAAAGTAAGCATTCCGAAATAATGGAACTCCTACTATCTCCTGTGTCTTCAAGCCCTTCCCTGAAACTACTAGCCCTAACAGAGAAGAACCCAGTAGCACTTTCTTTCCTCTCTTCTTTCTATCCTTTCCATTCTATCCGTCACAGAAAGTAGCATCTTTTTTCCTTCATCCTTTTTATTCTATCCATCACAGATATTAATTCCAGGTATGTACACAATGGCCAACTAGCAGAAAATAAATCATTAGAAAATGTTAAAAGCAAAACAGTGGGAAGGAAAACCTAAGTGTCACATCTTTGAGGGCCAGCACTACGTTTCCAAAATGGGAAAGGTTTTATAGCTAGAAGATCTGGGCTCAGATCCTGCTTCCGCCACTTACTAGCTCTGTAGCTTTAGACAACATATTCACCTGTCTGAATGTCAGTGTTCACTTCCACAAAATGTAGATGATAGGAACTGCTACTTTGCATAATTATTCTTGAGATTAGGTGCCATACAAGACTGATTCTCAATCCCACTGCATGCTAAAATTCGGGGGCACCACTCTGAGACTCTGTTTTCATTGGTCTACTGTGGGGCATGAACTACAAAAAGAGAGAGAGAAGAAGCAGCACATCTCCAAGGTATTCAACTTTACAGCTGGGCAACAACCTCTGCATTATAGTAACTGCAAGAACTCCCTAAACTTTAATTCAGTGCAGCATTTCACAATTTATTATTGTATTTTAAAAGTACCATTGAACTCATCCTGTTATGCACGTTACATAGTCTTAAAGATTGCTAGTAATTCAATAGTTAAATTTGATGTTTACTTAGAATGCCTCCCTTGACAAGCAAATCATCATTTTCAACAACTGAGAATTGTTACAAGGAGCTGAGAAAACAAGATATATACATTAAATGATTAAAGTCACTTCTTAGGTGCCAAAAATGAAAGGAGTATGATGATGGGATAAGCTTTATGATGCTTGAGGTCAGGTACCATGATTTTTAAAAATAGTTTCAGCATCAAGGACAGTGCACAGAACTCAATAAATATTTGTTAAATAAGTAGATGAATGTGTGAGTGAACGGATGAATGTAAAGATTTCCACAGGAATTTACCAAGAGTCATCACTAAAGACTGGAATGAAGAGGAAGGTATTTTCATTGGAAAAATAAGTCTCAGCCACTGCCACCAATGAAGCTGCAATGTCTCTAATGAAGAGACCGAACTTCAGGTTTGAAAGGTAAATTGCAGTCCTTGCATTTTCAGTTAAATCTTTCAAACAGCAGCCCACTCCGCCTCCATTCTTGGTCCCAATTCTGACTCTCCTCCAAACTTCTAACATTAACAATTGGCACAAGGCTAGCTTTCTAAAACAAACATTTCTCATTACTAGGAACATTACAAAAGTCTTGCTTTCTGAGCATTGGATACCTGCTTTAAGAGCTAGTTAATGCACAGTATAAAACAAGGAAGACAAAAGACATGATCTACCCAGCTGGGTTAGCCAAGGGGCCTGGGAGATAAATTGACCAACTGCCTGTGTAGCATCTTACATTCTCCAAAATAACCCTACAAGGTTGCTGCAGATCTCAGATTAAGAAAAATTTATTGCTGAGTTTATTATTTTTAACATCCTTTGTCTGAGCACCTAGCAACTAAAGTGATAAGTACCTTCAACTTGCAAGGATAAATGCTGCAAATATCTTGGCTGAATTACCCATTTGTATGTATGTTTGTAACTTGAATTATTCATTTACATTTTTTATTTTTTAAAGAGGAGAATAAAACTAGAAAGAGAAGAGATACTAAAAAATCTCATTGCTGTAGATTTAAAGGTTTTCCGGTGGTAGGAAGCCAAAAGGCCCCTTCAGCAATAAACAATAGATTTATTCTACAATCTAATTAATACTCACAAACTATGTTACTTATGAAACAAACAATATATCTAGGGAATGCAATTGCATCCAAGCAAAAGTATCCATATTAATAAGGAAAAATCTTACAAAAGTAGGCTTGGAAAAGTATGTGCAGCAAAAAAGTTATGGTTTTTCTTTAAAACTGTATTTGAATACTAACAACAATGGGTAGGTCCCATTTAATTGCTGGTCTTACAATAAAGCAAACATTTTAAATTTGGGTGACGATATGAGCTTTCCCTGAAAACTTTGCTAATAACAACCTAGGGTATCTATTTCTTATTTGAAAAGGAATGAAGGGTTTCCTACACCTATGTGTAGGTGATAATGCAAGACCATGAAAATTCTAGACCCATAAACCTACCATAGAAAAAAATTTAATCCCTTCCAAATTAATACTTTGCTATTGTCCAAATGATAGTTTAAGATTAACATTGATTTATTTATTTGTTTTCTTATTAACAATAACACCACCACTTTGTCAATGGTTGTCAAAGTGGGGTATGTCATTGTGATGTGAGAAGAAAATATCAGAACTTCTACTTGTACTTATTTTTATCAAAAACAGAAAGAAATTAAACTTTATTGATATTTTAAAAAGAAATTACACTGACCCCATTCCCTGTCCCTATATCAAATGTAAACAAGACAGGCAGATTTCATGAGATAGGCAGAAGGAAGTAGTTGTTGGTGAAACACTCACTCATCTCCTAGCTTTCATCAGGTTGCAAAGTACCATACTGTGTGTAGCCACGAGTAGTGGATTTACTGAATACATTACCTAGTTTTATTTAAACTAACCCTACAAAACAAAAAAGAAAGAAAAAAATTCTTGCAAAGAATCATGGAATTTATGATTACACAAATAATTGATGATTGATAATAATTGGTGGCTATACAAATAATGTAAGCACAAAAAAAAAGGTGGAGCTGTAACTTCTGCTCCTGCGGTGAGTTCTTCATCATTCCTGAGTAAATCAGCCTGACAAGAAGTCAAGCAAAAAAAAAAACCTTTTCATAATATTAAAATATGAACATTCATCCACCATCATTAAAAGTCAAGGTAGCTTTAAGTATATAGAATGCCTTGAGATATTATGCAATGATAATACAAAGCTATCATCGTTTTCAAACCGTTTAAAAATGTTGATTACTTCACCTTTATCCCATTCTTCCCTTTATATATTGCACTGTGTACAATCTGTATTAGGTCAGTAGTACATATGCATAATTCATAGTGAAGAGGGAATCCCAGACCTTATTCTCCAAGTCACACTGCCCTTCTCCCAGCCTCCACACCATCATCTACAGGAGTTAGAGAGTATCAAAGTTCTATATCTGTCTCCACAACACTCATAGCCTTACAACTTTAAAGACCATCAAGAGAAATTCCATCAACCTCTTTATCACCACAGGAAACCCAAAGTTCCTGGGTTTTCCCTCACTACTAGGTCTCTGGTCTATGCATCCTTAATTTCACCCTGTCTTCCCAAGTTCAGAGCCCATTACACTATGTCCTCTGGAGAACATAAAGTCCCTCATGTTCTATCTCCTCCTGAATACTGCCTCCACCTCTTTGCTGTAAATAAAAGCCAGTTATTCCCCAAGGACTCTCTTCCCCTGTAGGGTCCACAAATGATGGCTATTTTCTCTCTCATATTCCAACTATCACTGTCCTACTTCCTCATCATTGTAGAAAACTGTGTCCCTTCTACCTCCCTCCAAAAATCCAGCCTTGCAACTCATGCCATCAAATTAGACAACTTTTACTACTACTGGCTGCAGTTAACTTCAGTTTCTATAACTGCTACAAGATTTTGATTATGATTTTATCATTTGCATCTGTCATTTCCACATAACTGAATCTCCCAGTACCCTCAATCCTCAGATCCTTAAATTGTAAACTTCAATGAGCTTGTCCTCAGCCATTTCATGGTGATCTGGACCTCTTTTTTATTATCAATAACAGCAGCCCTCCATGACCTCAACTCCAAGTATCCAGTTCCAAAATATTACTTCCCATTTTTCCAGCTCACGCCCTCTCATTCTTTGATAACAATCCTTAATCAACTTTTTGCTGTATTTTACCTCCTTCTGTTCTAGTTACATTGCCTCCTTACTTAGCTTAGATTCCATGGTCCATCATTACAATCAGCTCCCTGGTGGCCCTCTCTTCCCTTGTTTAATCAACCTGGTAAAACTTATACTTTGACTAAATACAGCTTTCCACCCACTTGAACCCAAATATCTAAACATGGGCTGAGAGGATTACACACCATCCTTACTGGTTTCACTTTAAATTCATAATGATAATCTTCAATGGGGCTTCAGTTCCTCCCAGTGATCTTTTATGCATTTCTGCAGTCAATTCATTCTCCTACACAACCGTTTAACGTCTCTTTCCTCAAACCTCCAACATTTTCTCTACCATCCTCACTATAATAGATGAAACATATTCACAGATATACACCACCATATCTAGCAGCCTAGCATTCATACACCCACTAGTGTAAACTATCCAAGCTCTTATCTAAGAAAACCTCTCCACATGTATCCTAACTTTTAACTCTCCTCACTGTCTGAAATGCATTACTCTCTTCCTCTTCTCTCTCATTGTATCAACACTATTTTCTCAATTGTGGATCATTTAATTTACATCAAACATGATGTTATATCTCCCAGAAGATAAAATATATCTGGAAAACCCAAGAGAATCAACTGAAAAAAATACTATAAACAATATGAGAATTTACTACAATATCATGATGCATATTAATACAGAGAAAGCACAAGGCTTCATATATTCAATAAAATATGCCATTTACGATAGCAGAAAAGACACTAGAGTAAACTTAATAGAAAGTATGTAAGATCTATAGGAAGAAAACCTAACAACACAACTGAAAACACAAAAGAAGACTTCAGAAAATGAAATTACATCAGCTAGAAAAACACAACATCATAAATATGTCAATTCTTCTTAAGATAATTTATAAATATAAAACCATCATAATAAAAATACAACAGTTGGTTTGGGGGACTTTTGATGTTATTCTTTTATTTTTGAACAAAGTAGCTGACCCCAAAGTTCTTATAAATAGTAAGCATGCAAGAATAGCAAGGGAAGCTATTACAAAGAACAATAAAGGGGTGAGGGTATGAGCACCACCATACATTAAATGAGAAAAAAAGAAGAGCCAAAACAATGCTAAAAAATTAATTTTAAAAGTCCAAGAACTTGAACTGTCTGACTTCAGAATTCAACATAAAGCCTCAGTAATCACCGCAACACATTTTTGGGTTGAATATAGACATATAAATTAATGGAGCAAAATACAGAGTCCAGAAATAAACCTGGATATATATGAATAATTAATTTTCAACAAAAGAGCAAAGCAATTTGATGAGAAAAGGATAATATTTTCAATAAGCCATGCTGGAAGAATGACTAACCATATGCAAAAAAAAATCTCCACACTTACCTCATGATACACAAAAATTAATTCAAAATGGGTCACAGACCTGTTAAATTTTAGAGTTAATACTTTAACTCCTAGAAGAAAACATAGAAGAAAATCTTAGTGATGTTGGGTCTGGCAAAGATATTTTAAGCAGGGCACGAAACTATAAAAGAAAACTGAACTGGACTTCATCAACACTAAAACATTTTGCTTCTCAAAAGACACTATTACAAAAATGAAAAGGGGATCTTGGACCAGATGGCCAACTAGACACAGCCAGGAAACATCTGTCTCACCAAGGAAAAAACAAAATATGGGGTAAACCATCACACTTTGCACAGATCTTTTGAGAGAAAACATTAAAAGTTGACAAAAAAGAACCACAGACACCCAGTTTGAAGAAGGAGGAAGCTAGGAAGCCTACATAGAGTCCCTGAGTGCCAGAACAAGCTCCTAGTCCTGCAAAGGCCCTAAAGAAGGGGTGAGTTAAGGAATTCTGGGGACCTCAGGAGTCCTAGCTACAAGGATACCCTGCCCAGGTATCTTCTACACTTGACCTACTACATCAACAGACCACCCATAGACATACCCCACAACCCATTCTGACTCTTGCCAGGCACAGAGGACCAGTGGGTCGTCAGAGAGTTGTAAGTCTCCTTACAACTGACCTTCAGCTCAGGCTTCCCCCAAAAGAGAAGGAGGTGCAGCCCACCAGGGACCCCCTTGGGGCTAAGGAAATGCAGGCACTGCAACAGTGATTAAAGAGGTCTCCCCCAAGGCCCCAGAATGGATTTGGTAAGGGGGTCATCACTTGCACCCACCCCCTCGTCTTCTCCTCCCCAGAACACTGCTGTGAACAGAATGAAATATAAGAGACATGCATGGCTGAGCAAGATCCTATCTGCTAGCCCTTACTCTTAAGCACCATCTAATAGAATGCAGCCTAGATGACACCACGAAAACATAAATAAATTCCATAAATATGCATCACCTGTGAAACCCAATGCAGCAAAACTAATCACAACGAAGGAACCCATACAGAGCCTTGGTTCTCTGAAAGCACCTAGAAAAAGGACCAATTGACTATATACAGTCAAACCCTCAAGTGAAAAAAGTACAAAAACAAAAAGGCCCATTCAAATGACATAACTTTAAAAAAAAAAAAAAAGAAAGAAACAAAGAAACACTAGCCCTCTCAGGTGAGAAGAAATCAGTACAATGACTCTGGTAATTAAAAAAGTCAGAGTGTTTCCTTACCTTCAAAAGATCACACTACCTACCCAGCAATACACCCTAACTAGATTAAAATGTGGAAATGACAGACATAGAATTCAGAATCTGGATGGGTAGGAAGCTCGATGAGATTCAAGAAAAAGTTGAAAGCCAATCCAAGGAAGCAAGTAAAACGATCTAAGAGTTGAAAGATGACATAGTCATTTTAAGAAAGAACCAAACTGAACTTATAGAATTGAAAATTTTACTGCAGAAATTTCAAAATACAGTTGGAAGCTTCAATAACAGACTAGACCAACCTGAGGAAAGAATTTCAGAGCTTAGTCAGACAAAAATAAAGAAAAAAATTTTTTGATGAACCTTTTAAAGCCTCAAAGAAATATGGGATTATGTAGAGACCAAATCTATGACTCATTGGCTTTCTTGAGAGAGGAGAGTAAGAAACTTTGAAACATATTTGAGTACCTAGTCCAGGAAAATTTCCCAAGTCTCACTAGAGAAGTCAACATGCAATCCCAAGAAACTCAGAGAACCCTCATGAAATGCTAAACAAGAAGATCATTCTGAAGGCATTTTGTAATCAGACTTTTCTAAGTCAACAAAGAAGGAAAAATCAAAAAGGTAGCTAGAAAAAAGGGTCAGATTACTTCAAAAGGCAACCCCAGCAGGCTAACAGCAGACTTCTCAGTAGGTTTCTACTTTTCAAGCAAGAAAAAATTGGGAGCCTATTTTTGGCATCCCTAAAGAAATGAAATTCCAATCAAGAATTTCAAACCCCACCAAACTAAGCTTCATAGTACAGGAGAAATAAAATCTTTTCTGGACAAGCAAACACTAAGGGAATTTATTACCACTAGCCCGGCTATAAATGAGATCTTTAAGGGAGCCCTAAACATAAAAAAGAAAGAACAACACCTGCTACCATAAAAACATATGTAAGTACAGAGCCCACAGACCCTATAAAGAAACAATGCAATTGAGAATACAAAGCTACAAGCTAATAATATCATGACTGGATCAAAACCTCACATATCAATATTAATCTTGAATGTAAATGATATAGATGCCCCATCTAAAAGGCATAGAGAGCAAGCAGGAAAAAAAAAAAAAAAAAACAAGAACCAAATGTCTTCTCTCTTCAAGAGACCAATCACACATAACAGCCATAGGGGCAAAGTAAAGGGATGGAGAAGCATCTATGTATTAGTCAGTTTTCACATTGCTATAAAGAATACCTGAGACTGGGTAATTTATAAATAAAAGAGGTTTAATTGACTTACAGTTCTACAGACTATACGGGAAGCATAGCAGCTTCTGCTTCTGGGGAGGTCTCAGGGAGCTTCCAATCATGGTGGAAGGCAAAGAGGGAGCAGGCATCTTATATGGCAGGAGCAAGAGCAGAGAGGGGGAGGTGCTACATACTTTTAAACAATCGATCTCATGATAACTCACTCACTATTGCAAAGACAGTACCAAGGGAATGGTACTAAACCATTCATGAGAAATCCACCCCCATGATCCAGTCTCCACTCACCAGGCCACACCTCCAACACTGAGGATTACAATTCGACATGAGATTTGGATAGGAACACATATCCAAACTATATCAGTCTATCACATAAATGGAAAACAAAAAAGAGCAGTGATTGATATTCTTTCATAAGATAAAACAGACTTTAAACCATCTACAGTAAAAAAAAAAAAGAACAAAGAAGGGTATTACATAATGATAAAGTGTTCAATTCAACAAGAAGACTTAACTATCTAAAATATCTCTGCACCCAACATCAGAGCACCCAGATTCAGAACACAACTGCCTATAGACCTACAAAAAGACTTAGATAGTCACATAATAGAGGAGGACTTCAACACACCACTGACAGCATTAGACAGATCACTGAGGCAGAACTCTAACAAAGAAATTATGGACTTATATTTGACACTTGACCAACTGGATCTAATAAACATCTACAGAATACTCCACTCATCAACCACAGAATATACATTCTTCTCATCTGCACACAGAACATACTGCAAGACTGATCACATGCTCAGCCATAAAGCAAGTCTCAAATAACTTTAAAGAATGAAACATACCAACCATACTCTTGGACCACAATGCAATAAAAACAAATCAATACCAATTAAACATCCCAAAACCACACAATTACATTAAAATTAGACAACTTGTTCCTGGAAGACTTTTGGGTAAACAGCAAAATCAAGGCAAAAAATAGAAAATTATTTGAAATTAATGAAAACAGAGATACAACATACCAAAATCTGTGGGATGCAGCAAAAGCAGCATTAAGAGGAAAGTTTAGAGTGCAATATGCCTACATCAAAAAGTCAGAAAGATCTCAAATTAACAATCTAACATTGCAACTATGGGAACTAGAAAAAACAAGAAGAAACTAATTCAAAGCTAACAGAAAATATAAATATCTAAAATCAGAGCAAAACTGAATGGAATTGAAAAGTGAAAATCCACAAAAAGCAGCAACAAAACCAAAAGTTGGTCTTTGAAACAATAAACAAGATCCATACACTGCTAGTCAGAAACAAAGAAAAAAGGAAGAAGATCCAATAAACACAATAAAAAAATGACAATGGTGACATTATAACCAATTTCATAGAAATACAAAAGATCCTCAGAAACTATTATGAACACTATCTATGCATACAAACTAGAAAATCTAGAGGAAATGAATACATTCCTGGAAACACACAACTTCCCAAGATTGAAACAGGAAGAAATTAAAACTCTGACCTGATCAATAACAAGTTCCAAAGTTGAATCAATAATAAAAATTCTACCAACCAATAAAAGCCCTGAACCAGATGGATTTACAGCTGAATTCTACCAGGGATACAAAAAAGAGCTGCTACCAATCCTGCTGAAACTGCTCGAAAAAACAGAGGAGGAGAAACTTCTCCCTAACTCATTGTTCAAAGCCAGCAACATCATCATAATACCAAAACCTGACAAAGACAGGATGAAAAAAGAAAACTACAGGCCAACATCCCTAATGAACATGGATGCAAAAATCCCCAGCAAAATACTAGCAAACCGAATTCAGCAGCACATCAAAAAGTTATTTCACCATGATCAAGTGAGCTTCACTCCAATAATGCAACAGTGATTCAATATATGCAAATCAATAAATGTGATTTACCATATAAACAGAATTAAAAACAAAACCATATATCATCTTAATAGATGCAAAAGAAGATTTTGCCAAAATCCAAAATCCCTTCATGTTAAAAAACCTAACGAGCATATCTCAAAATAATAATAGCCATCTATGACAAACCCACAGCCAACATCATACTGAATGAGCAAAAGCTGGAAGCATTCCCCCTTAAGAACTGGAACAAGAAAAAGATGCCCACTCTCACTACTCATTTTCAACACAGTACTGGAAGTTCTAGCTAGAACATTCAGGCAAGAAAAAGAAATAAAAGGCATTCAAATAGAAAAAAAAAAAAATCAAACTCTCTCTCTTCAGAGATGATATGATTCTATACTTAGAAAACCCTGAAGTCTCTGCCAAAAGGTTTCTAGAACAGATAAACAACTTCAGCAAAGTTTCAGAATACAAAATCAACGTATTAAAATCAATAACATTTCTATACACCAATAACACTCAAGCTGACATCCAAATCAAGAACACAATCCTATTTATTAATACAATATCCACACACAAAAATAAAAGACCTAAGAATTCATCTAACCAAGGAGGTAAAAGATCTCTACAAGGAGATCTACAAAACACTGTTTCAAAGAAACCAGAGATGACACAAAATAAAAATAAAAATAATTCCCTGCTTATTGACAGAAAGAATCAATATCACTAAAATGGCCATATTGCCCAAAGCAATCTACACATTCAATGCTATTCCTATCAAACTACCACCGTTTTTCACAGAATTAGAAAAAAAATTTCTGAAACTCATATAAAACCAAAAAAGAGCCCAAATAGCCAAAGCAATCCTAAGCAAAAAGAACAAAACCAGAGGCATCACACTACATAAATTCAAACTATACTACAAGGCTACAGTAAACAAACAACATAGTACCAGTATAAAAATAGACAAATTCAAAAGCTAGCAGAAGGCAAGAAATAACTAAGATCAGAGCAGAACTGAAAAAGAAAGAGACACACACACACACAAAAAAACTCTTCAAAAAATCAATGAATCCAGGAGCTGGTTTTTTCAAAAAGATCAACAAAATAGATAGACTGCTAGCAAGACTAATAAAGAAGAAAAGAGAGAAGAACAAATAGATGCAATAAAAATAATATAATAATAAAGGGAATATCACCACCAATCCCACAGAAATAGAAACTACCATCAGAGAATACCATAAACACTTCTACGCAAATAAACTAGAAAATCTAGAAAAAATGGATAAATTCCTGGACACATACACTCTCCCAAGACTAAACCAGGAAGAAGTTGAATCTCTGACTACACCAATAACAGGTTCTGAAATTGAGGCAATAATTAATAGCCTACCAATCAAGAACAGTCCAGGACCAGACATATTCACAGCCAAACTCTTCCAGAGGTACAAAGAAGAGTTGGTACCATTCCTTCTGAAACAATTTCCAACCAATAGAAAAAAGAGGGAATCCTCCCAAACTCATTTTATGAGGCAGCATCATCCTGATACCAAAGCCTGGCAGAGACACAACAAAAGAAGAGAATTTTAGGCCAATATGCCTGATGAACATCAATGCAAAAGTCCTCAATAAAATACTGACAAACCCAATCCAGCAGCACATCAAAAAGCTTATCCACCATGATCAAGTCGGCTTCATCTCTGGGATGCAAGGCTGGTTCAACATATGCAAATCAATAAACGTAATCCATCACATAAACAGTACCAATGACAAAAACCACATGATTATCTCAATAGATGCAGAAAAGGCCTTCAACAAAATTCAACAGCCTTTTATGTCAAAAACTCTCAATAAACTAGGTATTGATGGAATGTATCTCATAATAAGAGCTATTTATGACAAACCCACAGCCAATATCATACTGAATGGCAAAAACTGGAAGCATTCCCTTTGAAAATTGGCACAAGACAAGGATGCCCTCTCTCACCACTCCTATTCAATGTAGTGTTGGAAGTCCTGGCCAGGGCAATTAGGCAGGAGAAAGAAATAAAGGGTATTCAATTAGGATACTTCAGCAAAGTCTCAGGATACAAAACCAATGTACAAAAATCACAAGCATTCCTATACACCAATAGCAGACAAACAGAGAGCCAAATCATGAGTGAACTCCCATTCACAATTACTACAAAGAGAATAAAATCTAGGAATCCAACTTAAAAGTGATGTGAAGGCCCTCTTCAAGGAGAACTACAAACCACTGCCCAACAAAATAAAAGAGGACACAAGCAAATGGAAAAACATTCCATGCTCATGGATAGGAAGAATCAAAATCATGAAAATGGCCATACTGCCCAAGGTAATTTATACATTCAATGCCATACCCATCAAGCTACCACTGACTTTCTTCATAGAATTGGAAAAACCTACTTTAAAATTCATATGGAACCAAAAAAGAGCCCACATAGCCAAGACAATCCTAAGCAAAAAGAACAAAGTTGGAGGCATCACACTACCTGACATCAAACTATACTACAAGGCTACAGTAACCAAAACAGCATGGTACTGGTACCAAAACAGAAGCATAGACCAATGCAACAGAACAGAGGCCTCAGAAATAATACCACACATCTACAACTATCTAATCTTTGACAAACCTGACAAAAACAAGAAATGGGGAAAGGATTTCCTATTTAATAAATGGTGCTGGGAAAACTGGCGAACCATATGTAGAAAGCTGAAACAGGATCCCTTCCTTATATCTTATACAAAAAATAACTCAAGATGGAGCACAGACTTAAATGTAAGACCTAACACCATAAAAACCCTAGAAGAAAACCTAGGCAATACCATTCAGGACATAGGCATGGGCAAAGCCTTCATGACTAAAACACCAAAAGCAATGACAACAAAAGCCAAAATAGACAAATGGGATCTAATTAAACTAAAGAGCTTCTGCACAGCAAAAGAAAATACCATCAGAGTGAACAGGCAACCCACATAAAGGGAGAAACATTTTGCAATCTACCCATGTGACAAAGGGCTAATATCCAGAATCTAAAAAGAACTTAAACAAATTTACAAGAAAAAAACAAACAACCCCATCAAAAAGTGGGCAAAGGATATGAACAGACTTTTCTCAAAAGAAGACATTTATGCAGCCAACAGACACATGAAAAAATGCTCATCATCACTGGTCATCAGAGAAATGCAAATCAAAACTATGATGAGATACCATCTCACGCCAGTTAGAATGGCAATCATTAAAAAGTCAGGAAACAACAGATGCTGGAGAGGATGTGAAGAAATAGGAACGCTTTTACACTGTTGATGGGAGTGTAAATTAGTTCAACTATTGTGGAAGACAGTGTGGCAATTCCTCAAGGACCTAGAACTAGAAATACCATTTGACCCAGCCATCCCATTACTGGGTATATACCCAAAGGATTATAAATCATGCTACTATAAAGATGCATGCGCACGTATGTTTATTGCGGCACTATTCACAATAGCAAAGACTTGGACCCAACCCAAATGTCCAACAATGATAGACTGGATTAAGAAAATGTGGCACATATACACCATGGAATACTAAGTTCATGTCCTTTGCAGGGACATGGATGAAGCTGGAAACCATCATTCTAAGTCAACTATCACAAGGACAGAAAACCAAACACTTCATGTTCTCACTCATAGATGGGTGTTGAACAATGAGAACACATGGACACAAGGCAGGGAACATCACACACACCAGGGCCTGTCGGGGGTTGGGGGGCTGAGGGAAGGACAGCATTAGGAGAAATGCCTAATGTAAATGACAAGTTGATGGGTGCAGCAAACCAACATGGCACATGTATACCTATGTAACAAATCTGCATCTTGTGCACATGTATCCTAGAACTTAAAGTATAAAAAATAAAATAAAATAAAGAAAAGAAATTCACTGACATTCAGAAAAAAAAATAGACACATAGTCACCTGAGGTCAGGAGTTCGAGGCCAGCCTGGCCAACATGGTGAAACCCCGTCTCTACTAAAAATACAAAAATCAGCCAGGAGTGGTGGCACATGCCTCCAATCCCAGCTACTTGGGAGGGTGAGGCAGGAGAATTGCTTGAACCTGGGAGGCGGAGGTTGCAGTGAGCAGGAATCCTGCCACTGCACTCCAGCCTGGGTGACAAGAGCAAAACTTCGTCCAAAGGAAAAAAAAAAAGACACATAGATTAATGGGACAGAATAGAGAACAGAAATAAGGCCACACACCTACAACCATCTGCTCTTTGACAAAGTTGATGAAAACATACAATGGGGAAAGAACTCTCTACTCCCTATTCAATAAATGATGCTGAGATAACTGGCTATCCATATGCAGAAGAATAAAACTGGACCCCTACCTCTAACTACATACAAACATTAACTCAAGATGGATTAAACTATCCTCTAAAACTGTGAGAAATAAATTTGTTGTTTAGGTTAAAAATTTTCAAAAAGTTTAAAAAAAAAGGTGGATTGCAGACTTAAATGCAAAACCTAAAACTAAAAATATTCTAGAAGAAAAGCTAGGAAATGCCTTTTTAGACATCAGCCTTGGAAAAGAATTTATGGCTAAGTCCTGCAATTGCAACAAAAATGAAAAAGTGGGACCTAATTAAACTAAAGTGCTTCTGCAAAGCAAAAGAAACTATCAACAGAATAAAAAGACAACCTACAGAGTTGGTGATAATATTCACAAACTAGGTATCCAACAATGGTCTAAAATCCAGACTCTATAAGGAACTTAGAAAATTCAACAAGCGAAAAACAAATAACCCCATTAAAAAGTGGACAAAGAACATTAACAGACATTTCTCAAAAGAAGACATACAAGTGGCCACCAAACATACGAAAAAAATATTCAACATCATTAATCAAAACTATGAGATCCCATCTTACACAAGTCAGAATGTCTATTAATAAAAAGTCAAAAAAAAAACAGATGTTGGTGAAGGCTACAGAGAAAAGTAAATGCCTATAAACTGTTTGTGGGAATGTCAATTAGTTTAGCCACTGTGAAACACAGTTTGGAGATTTATCAAAGTACTAAAAATAGAATTACCATGCGAACAGCAATCCCAATACTAGGGATATATCCAAAGGACAATTATTCATTCAACCAAAAAGACACACACACCCAGATCTTCATCACAGCACTATTCACAATAGCAAAGACATGGAATCAACCTAGGTGCCCGTCAAAAGTGAACTGGATAAAGAAAATGTCGAATACAGTATGCCCATAAAAAATAACGAAGTCTTGTTTTTTGCACCAATATGGCTGCAGCTGGAAGCCAATATCCTAAGTGAACTAATGCAGAAACAGAAAACCACATACTGTATGTTCTTGCTTATAAGTGGGAGCTAAACATTGGATGCACATGGGCATAAAAATGGTGACAACAAGAGTGCGGAAAAAGGGAGAAAGGAAAGTGTTGAAAAACTAATCATTGGGTACTATGCTCAGTATGTGGGTGATAGGTTTAATTGTATCCCAAATCTCAGCATCACACAACACACCCTTGTAAAAAACCTGCGCATGTACCCCTTGAATCTAAAACAGAAGCTGGTGGGAAAAGGGCTTACAGAGCTCCAAAAAAAATGAATGAAAAAGTACACCACGGAATGGGAGAAAATATTCGAAAAATAAATGTCCCACAAAGGACTTATACCTAGAATATTTAAAGAAGTTTTACAACTTGATAGAAGGACAAACAAAAGATTGAACCTAACAGGCATCTCACCAAAGAAGATGTAGAGATGGCAAATAAGCACGTGAGATGTTTAACATCATTAGTTATTAAGGAAATAGAAGTTAAAACCAAATTGAGATAGTTCTACATGCTCACTAGAATGGCTGAAATTTAAAAGGCTGACCATAAAAAGACTATTGGCAAGGATGTGGACCACTGAAACTCTCATACACAGATAGTGGGAATGTAAAATGGCACAACTCCTTTGGAAAACAGTTTGATGATTTCTTAAAAGTGTAAAAATACATCTACCATGTGACTAAGCCACTGCACTCCTAGATATTTGCTCAAGATAAATCAAAATGTCTCTTTACACAAAAACTTAAATACATGAATGTTCATGACAGTTGTACTCGTAATAGCCTAAAACTGGAAACAACCCAAGCATCTATCAGCAGCTAAATAAATAAACGAATAATGGTATCCATACAATGGAATACTATTTCACAATATTTAAAACTACTGATAAACACAACATGATGGATGAATCTCAAAATAATTATGCTGAGTGAAAAAAAGCTACATAAAAAGAGCACATGTTATATAATTCCATGTCTATAAAATTCCAGAAATGTGAATTAATCTACAGTGACATAAAGCAGATCAGTGGTTACCTGTGGAGAGGAGGAAGAGAGACACAGGAGGCAGAAAAGGGAAACATTGCAGACGGGCAAGAGAAAACTTTAGGGAGAGATTGGTACATTTACTATCTTGACTATGGTGATGGTTTCACCATCGACATATTTCAAAACTCATCAAATTGTACACTTAAAATGTATGCACTCTACTTTAGGGGCTGAAGCAGGGGGATCTTTTGAGCCTAAAAGCTAGAAGGTAGCCTGGGCAACACAGCAAAACCCTGTCACTAAAATATGTATGTATAATGCATTACATATATTAAACCTCAATAAATCTATTTTTAAAGCCTTGGTAATTAAAATACTGATGCTGTAAGATGAATAGGAAGAATTAAAAATCCAAAAATAGATTCAAATACATAAACGAATGCATTCTGTGAAAAAAGTGATATCTCAAACAAGTTAGGAGACTTGCTGGTCAAGACTTGCTCTTGGAAAAACTGGATAAACATCCAGAAAAAATTAAATAAGATTGAATCCATACCTCACATTATATCATTATATTCCAGATGCATATATTCTAAATAGATCAAAGATTTGCTTGTAGAAAGTGCAACCATGTGATAATTCCTTTTCAACCTTGGGCCTGCGAGCTAACTATGACTGAGTCAATAAAAGAAAAAAATGTATAAATCTGACAACAATTAAAATCTTCTCCATGGCGAAAATACACCATAAGCAAATTCAAAAGACAACAATCTGGAAAAAGTGTAATTGCAAGTCATATTACAAAGAGTTAATCTACTCAATATTTTAAAAGCTCCTAAAAATCAGTAAGCAAAAGAAGTCCAGTAACTCAAAAGAAAATGGGTAAAGAATGTGAACAAATATGCATATGTACAGATAAAGATGCTTAACCTTTCTAATAAAAAATGCAAATTAAAATAACACTAGATAATATCTTTTGCCTATCAGCTTAGAAAAATAACCAAAGTTAAAGACACTGTTAGTTAGGCTTCAGCATGCAGGTATTCTCATACACCATGAGAATGTAAATTAGTACCACCATTTTGGAGGACACTTTGGCAATATCTGTACAAATTACAAATGCATATGCCCTTTAACCCCAAACTTTCACTTCTGAGAATTTATCCTACAAATAACACTTGCATGCCTATGAAGTTGTATATATGCATGTGTAGGTGTGTCTACATACTTAAGTGTATGTATGTATATATGTATGTATGTGTGTATATATATAGTTATTACTTACATTATTCTGTGTAATGGCAAAAGATTGAAAATCATTAAAATGTCCATCAATAAAGGACTGGTCAAACAAATTTTGGTATGTCTATATAATTGAATACTATAAAGCTGTTACAAAAAATAAGGCAGATCTCTATATGCTGATGTGGAAAGATCTCCACTTGATTTTTTTTTATTCAGGTTTCATCATTTTACTTTTTTCACAAAATTTGTGTATGTGACTCACATCAATTCATTTTGATATATAATTTATTTCTGATATTTTGTTTATTTGAAGTGACAGGTAACTGGGTAATTATCTATACTCTGCTTTTACCATGTATTTTATTTCTAGGTAAATTTGAAAAATCTGAAGTATTTTTCTAAATTTGATCATGGTTTATTTGACAGTTTACAAGTACTTGCAGGCATGTGTTTGCATGCGAATAACGACAAATAGCTAAGAAATCTTACAATAGTATAGTTTCATAATTTGGGGGTCCTGGTTATACATTTTACATCTGTAGGTTAGGAATGCATATTGTTAATTTCCCTTCATGGTTCCTTATAACTAAACTCTGTTTAGTAAGATTTTCTACTTATCAAAGGCATAATAACTCACTATTTGGTATATTTGCTCTTTAATGTGACATATGACATATTTTCTGTGGATAAGGAGAACTCTGTATTTGTGTGTATATGTACATATAATGTTTTCAACTAATCACTATTTCAGAGAAAAAACAGATGAAAAGAAACTTGTTTGCATTACATTAAATATAATCCTATACATGTTAAGAGGAAGTTTTTTTTGTTTTTTTTTTTTTTTGAGACAGAGTCTCGCTCTGTCGCCCAGGCTGGAGTGCAGTGGCGGGATCTCGGCTCACTGCAAGCTGCGCCTCCCGGGTTCACGCCATTCTCCTGCCTCAGCCTCCCAAGTAGCTGGGACTACAGGCGCCCGCCGCTACGCCCGGCTAATTTTTTGTATTTTTAGTAGAGACGGGGTTTCACCGTTTTAGCCTGGATGGTCTCGATCTCCTGACCTCTTGATCCGCCCGCCTCGGCCTCCCAAAGTGCTGGGATTACAGGCGTGAGCCACCGCGCCCGGCCAAGAGGAAGTTTTACAGCAAGAAATTGTTCCTTTTTTTCTTCCCATTTTTCTTTTTATATATACATATTTTTTTTCTATTATACTTTAAGTTCTAGGGTACATGTGCATAATGTGCAGGTTTGTTACATATGTATACATGTGCCATGTTGGTGTGCTGCACCCATTAACTCGTCATTTACATTAGGTATATCTCCTAATGCTATCCCTCCCCCCTCCCCCCATCCCACAACAGGCCCCAGTGTGTGATGTTCCCCTTCCTGTGTCCATGTGTTCTCATTGTTCAATTCCCACCAATGAGTGAGAACATGTGGTGTTTGGTTTTTTGTCCTTGCAATAGTTTGCTGAGAATGATAGTTTCCAGCATCATCGATGTCCCTGCAAAGGACATGAACTCATCTTTCTTATGGTGTCATAGTATTCCATGGTGTATATGTGCCACATTTTCTTAATCCAGTCTATCATTGATGGACATCTGGGTTGGTTCCAAGTCTTTGCTATTGTGAATAGTGCTGCAATAAACATATGTGTGCATGTGTCTTTATAGCAGCATGATTTATAATCCTTTGGGTATATACCCAGTAATGGGATGGCTGGGTCAAATGGTATTTCTAGTTCTAGATCCCTGAAGAATCACCACACTGTCTTCCACAATGGTTCAACTAGTTTACAGTCTGACCTACAGTATAAAAGTGTTCCTATTTCTCCACATCCTCTCCAGCACCTGCTGTTTCCTGACTTTTTAATGATTGCCATTCTAACTGGTGTGAGATGGTATCTCATTGTGGTTTTGATTTGCATTTGTCTGATGGCCAGTGATGATGAGCATTTTTTCATCTGTCTGTTGGCTGCATAAATGTCTTCTTTTGAGAAGTGTCTGTTCATATCTTTCGCCCACTTGCTGATGGGTTGTTTTTTTTTTCTTGTAAATTTGTTTGAGTTCTTTGTAGATTCTGGATATTAGCCCTTTGTCAGATGAGTAGATTGCAAAAATTTTCTCCCATTCTGTAGGTTGCCTATTCACTCTGATGGTATTTTCTTTTGCTGTGCAGAAGCTCTTGAGTTTAATTAGATCCCATTTGTCAATTTTGGCTTTTGTTGCCATTGCTTTTGGTGTTTTAGACATGAAGTCCTTGCCCATGCCTATGTCCTGAATGGTAATGCCTAGGTTTTCTTCTGGGGTTTTTATGGTTTTAGGTCTAACATTTAAGTCTTTAATCCATATTGAATTATGAAATGAAGCGTGAAGAGAAGTTTAGAGAAAAAAGAATAAAAAGAAACGAATAAAGCCTCCAAGAAATATGGGACTATGTGAAAAGACCAAATCTACGTCTGATTGGTGTACCTGAAAGTGATAGGGAGAATGGAACCAAGTTGGAAAACACTCTGCAGGATATTATCCAGGAGAACTTCCCCAACCTAGCAAGGCAGGCCAACATTCAAATTCAGGATATACAGAGAACACCACAAAGATACTCCTCGAGAAGAGCAACTCCAAGACACATAATTGTCAGATTCACCAAAGTTGAAATGAAGGAAAAAATGTTAAGGGCAGCCAGAGAGAAAGGTCGGGTTACCCACAAAGGGAAGCCCATCAGACTAACAGCAGATCTCTCGGCAGAAACTCTACAAGCCAGAAGAGACTGGGGGCCAATATTCAACATTCTTAAAGAAAAGAATTTTCAACCCAGAATTTCATATCCAGCCAAACTAAGCTTCATAAGTGAAGGAGAAATAAAATACTTTATAGACAAGCAAATGCTGAGAGATTTTGTCACCACCAGGCCTGCCCTAAAAGACCTCCTGAAGGAAGTACTAAACATGGAAAGGAACAACCGGTACCAGCCACTGCAAAAACATGCCAAATTGTAAAGACCATCGAGGCTAGGAAGAAACTGCATCAACTAACGTGCAAAATCACCAGCTAACATAATAATGACAGGATGATTCACACATAACAATATTAACCTTAAATGTAAATGGGCTAAATGCTCCAATTAAAAGACACAGACTGGCAAATTGGATAAAGAGTCAAGACCCATCAGAGTGCTGTATTCAGGAAACCCATCTCACATGCAGAGACATGCATAGCTCAAAATAAAGGGATGGAGGAAGATCTACCAAGCAAATGGAAAACAAAAAAAAGGCAGGGATTGCAATCTTAGTCTCTGATAAAACAGACTTTAAATCAATAAAGATCAAAAGAGACAAAGAAGGCCATTACATAATTGTAGAGGGATAAATTCAACAAGAAGAGCTAACTATCCTAAATATATATGCACCCAATACAGGAGCACCCAGATTCATAAAGCAAGTCCTTGGAGACGTACAAAGAGACTTAGACTCCCACACAACAATAATGGGAGACTTTAACACCCAACTGTCAACATTAGACAGATCCATGAGACAGAAAGTTAACAAAGATATCCAGGAATTGAACTCAGCTCTGCACCAAGATCTCCACTTGTTAAGTGAAAAAGATCTCCCACAATGTTAAGTGAAAAAAAGCAAGCTACAGAGGAGTTGTATAGTTGTTACTTTTCTGTAAAATGATGGGGTAATAAGAATCTATATTTATGTTTTCTTATATATATAAAGAGTCTCTGGAAAGATACATAAGAAACACATAATTTTGATTACCCTGATGGATGGGTGGGGTTGTATAGATGAGGGCAGAGAAGTCAAGGGAAACTTCACTGTACATTTCATATATAATTTTTCTGATCTGTTTATATATCTGTCTCTCCCCTGAAAACAACATGCTATGCCCCATGGGGTCAGGCACTTAGTTGTAATGTTTAATGTAATGTTTATGTTTATCTCCAGTGCCTCAAATGGTTCCTAGCAAATGGTAGAACTTTTGTAAAACTTATTTTTTGATAGAAGTGCACATTTTAAAAACTTTCAGACCACTGTAGTAAATTATGTCTAGATTTCCTTACAGCTCTAGAGTAGGTTTCAGCAAAATTTTTCTATAAAGAGCCAGATACTAAATATTTTAAGGTTTGTTGGCCATATGGTCTCTGTCACGATTACTCAACTCTGCTTTTATGGTACAAAAGCAGCCACAGACAATAAGTAAACAAGTGGGTGTGACTGTGTTCTAATAAAATATTATTTATAACAACAGGTAGCCAGCCAGATTTGGTCCAAGGGCTGTAGTTTGCCCAACTCTGTTCTGGAATTTTGTTTCTCTGATTATCCATCAGTTGAACCTTGAAAGGTATGTAAGATTTCCATCTTTCAAAATAAAAAAATTGGATAACGAATGAACGAATAAATAAATAAATAAATATTAACCAACTTTTCCATAAGGAAGAGTTATTCATATTCTTATTCATCCGATCTTATTCATCAGATTTACTTCTTTTATATTGGGCTATATGATACTGTATCTCTAATGAGACTTTTTTGCTTTAAATCCACTGCATTTTATTTTATTAATTTATAATTTTTATTGGTACATATTAGGTGTATATATTTATGGAGTACATGAGATATTTTGTTACAGGTAAATAATGTCTAGTGAGGTGACTTTTGAACAGGGACTTGAAGGAAGTAAAGCAGCAATCTATATGGTTAGCTAAGGGAAGAGGGCCTCAGGGAGAAGAAACAGTCAACATAAGCTACTTGAAGAGAAAATTTGCTTGGCTTGTCTTAAAACTATTTTTAATAATTTCATTAAAGCAAAAAATTCTACATTATAGAACACCAAATATACAACTTATTTAGTTTAATATACAAATATATATCTCTTAAGAACACAACTCCAAAATGAAAATATTTAGATATTAAGTTAGGACATAAATAGACTAATCATTTAATGATACAACTCCAGGAGGCACATAGCCCTAAGACATGTTTGACACCGACATACTAAAAGTTGAAGATGCTATTTATTATCCTGCCCAAATTATTTAAATTATTTTAGTGTATGCTTGGTCTTGCCATGATTGTGAGAAGAGCACAGAGACATCAGAGGATCTAGTTTCTTATCCTAACTCTACCACTAACTAGCCATGTGACAAGTTTTTAATGGTAAACACAGGAGTTGAACTAGATAATGCCTACTCTTCCTATATAACATTCAGCAATATCTGGATAAATTATTGGGTATCACAATGAGTCAAGGTCAGGGATGCTCTTAAAAACCTGCAATGGGCCGGGTGCAGTGGCTCATGCCTGTAATCCCAGGACTTTGGGAAGCCGAGGTGGACAGATCACCTGAGGTCAGGAGTTCACAACCAGCCTAGCCAACATGGCGAAACCCTGTCTCTGCTAAAAATACAAAAAAATTAGCCTAGCTGGGCGTGATGGCATGTTACTGTAATCCCAGCTACTCGGGAAGCTGAGGCAAGAGAATCGCTTCAACTCGGGAGGCAGAAGTTGCAGTGAGCCAAGAGCACTCCACCCTGGGCAATAGAGCAAGACTCTGTCTCAAAAAAAAAACAAAAACCTGCAATGCAGAGGACATCTCACACAATAATTATTCAACACTAAATGTCAATAGTGCCAAGGTTAAGAAACCCTGTCCTAATGAAAAGGATTCTTCTCTACTTCATTGAAGGTGGTCAATGACTATCATATATTAATTAGGAATCCTTCTGGCTAACAAAACCTGAAATAAATGGTAGTTTAATTTTCTGAAAACAAATTCATAAGGGTGGCTGCCAACAACAGAACAGCTTCAAGAACTCATAGGCTAACCCCCAAAGTGATGATATTAGAAGGTGGGACCTTTTGGGAGGTGATTAGTTCAGGAAGGCGGAACCCTTATGAATAGGATCAGTGCTCTTATAAAAGAGGCCAAAAGGAACCCATTTACCTTCTACCTTGAGAGAACAGAGCAGGAAGGCACTGTCTATGAGAAAGTGGGCCCTCACCAGCTGCCAAATATACCAGTGCCTTGATCTTAAACTTCCCAAACTCCAGAACTGTGAAAAATAAACTCCAGTTGTTTATAAGCTACCTAGTTTGTGGCATTTTGTTACAGCAGACCAAATGGACTAAGACAGGGAGAAAGCAGTAGTACTAGCCACATCTATGTCTTTTATCAGGAAAGCAAAATCTAACACCTTAGGGGACAGAACTACCTTCAAGGGAGGTCAGGAAAGTCACTTAACCCTCACTGCCTGCAAGGGAGGCTGGACTAGTAAACACTTAGCTTCCTTAGACTTCATAGTGGAGTCTGGCAAAAGAGAAGAGGATTGGAAATTGGTCTTAGGTTAATCAGTTAATAGAGCCTACCTTATAGTCAATATCCTCTCACATGAATTAAGATGAATACTAAATAATAAATAAGTCCTCATCAAACAGTTGATTTCTGGGATTTCCTCCTTGGTAGAGATGAAAGAATAGGTGCGTAAGGACTACAAATCTAATTCATATAGCTCACCGATGCTCTGTGGACAATGTCATTTAAAAAGTGGTGCTTTCTTCTTTAATTGACCCACTGTTCACACATTCAGCTTTATGTTATGCTATGGTTAGATATTAAGTTAGGACGTAGACAAAAGAAACTAGTAAGCCAAGTATCCCTCTTTCATAGCAGAGTAAGAGACAAACTAAAAAGCTATCAACCAGAGACTAACATCGTGAAAAATCTTGGAAACCCTCTTAAGGGAACTCTTGGAAAAGTAGTTTAATTACAGAGAACAATCTCAATTGCTGCAGGAAAAGCCATTCCTAACTAACCTGCCAGGGCACTTCAGAGATATTACAGCCTTGATACGAGAAAGTCAATACACATCAAAGCTCAAAGATATATGTTAGAGCCCATAGCTATGATGCCTTTTGAATCTGCTCAGCGCCATCCAAGCAAGTGGTATAAATTCAAGATTATTTGGCTTATATTTAAAATGAAAAAGGCATGTTTGCATTCCAGTGCACAGATAAAAGTGCTCTCTTCCTCTAGGGATGAATATATCCTAACCAGTTTAACATACTTTAGTTTGGATTTCTGTTTGGTACAGTAACAATGTAGACCCTGCTAAACTTTATGTAATCCACAGTAGATGTAATATATTCAGATTTTCAAACAGACCTAAAAAGATTTAACCTCTGAGATTGCTGTTAAAAAGAAAACCTTCTGTACTAGAAAGTAGAATGTGTATGTAGCAGCATCAGGGAGAAGAAAGAAGATGTATATTAAGGAAAGAATGAGAAGTCACCAATAGGAAAATTTGTCAGAATAAGTTAAGAGTAGGGACTAGTTGAAATCTCCTAGGTCTTTTCAGTTTAGCATTTCCTTCTCTAGAGGGAAATTCTATGAAGTACTTTTCTATTATAAACTTGAATTTCTCATCCTAATACTTTCCAAATAAAATTATTTTACACTAACATTCAACGACTGATTTAAAGTACAGGGTCTGGAAATTTGGGGATAAATTGTTTTAAATTTTTTGCAGGTTGCTGAATTCTGAGATGTTTTTGCTCTAACTATTCTTTCTCTATAAAAAGAGCTTATTTTAAAAAAAATTTTCATTGACATATAATAATTATATACATTTATGGAGTACATAGTGATGTTTCAATGCCTATAATGTATGGTGATCAGAGCAGGGTAATTAGCATATCTACCATCTAAAACATTTGTCATTTCTTTGTGTTGGGAACATTCAGTTTCTTCCTTCTAGGAGTTTGAAACTACATAATATATTATTGTTAATTATAGTCATCCTACAGTGCTAGAGAACACCAGAACTTATTCCTCCTATCTTGCTGTAACTTTTTTTTTAAGAGACAGTCTTGCTCTGTCACCCAGGCTGGAGTAGTAGCACAATCATAGCTCACTGCAGCCTTGAACTCCTGGGTTCAAGCCACCCCCACACTTCAGCCTCCCAAGTAACTGGGACTACAGGCGCATGCCACAAAACAAGGCTTCTAGCTTTAATTTTGTACCCTTTAACAAATCTCTATCACCTTCTTCCCCCTACCCTTCTCAGACCCTAGTGTCCTATGTTCTACTTTTTACTTTTTTTTATGTTTTAATGTTTTGTATAATTACAGTGATATTTGTTCCAAACCTCAAACTGGGACACTTAATATAACAAAAGATTTTAAACATTTTGAGAATTTTTAAAATTTTAACTTGTTATTTTGAAATAACTTTAGACTTACAAAAGAGTTGTCATAATGATACAGAGAGTTTCTGTATATCTATTGCCCAGCTTTCTCAAATGTTAACATCACTAATGTTAACATCCTACATAACCAGGTATGGTTATCAAAACTAAGAAACGAATATTTGTGTAGAACACTATTAACAAATGCCAGACTTTATTAGAGTTCTACCATTCTTTTTTAATGGATGTCCTTATTCTGTTTCAGGGTCCAATCAAAGATGTTATGAAACATTTTGTGGTCATCTTCTTTTGTCTCCTCAGATCTGTGAGAATTCTGTGAGAAAGACAGTCTCCATCTTTCCTGTTCTTTCATAACCTTGACATGTTTGGAAAGTCCCTCATCCACGTATGACTTAGAACATGCAGTTTTTAACTGTCTGTTCCTGACTTATTTCACTTAACAGTGTCCTCCAGTTCCAACCATGTTGCTGTGAATGACAGGATTTCATTCTTTTTATGGCTGAATAGTGTTAATGGAATATATACACAATGGTGTATATATACCACATTTTTTATTTAATAGATCATTTTATGCCCTTTAGAATTTATTTAGTTGCTATCATAATAAGTAACATATAAGGGCAATTCCATTGAAGCATTCTGGACTTTGGCTAGGTAACTGAACAATTATGAGATACATGTCAAATAATGGGCACTTGATACATTTCTGTTGCCATTTGTCATTTTCAATTGTCGTTTGTCTACATTGACAAATGCAGAGCTTCTTCACTGTGTTTGTGTACCTAACTGCATCAACCATTTAAAAGGTATCTAAAAATCTATGTCTAGGAATTCTAAATACAAGATTTGACCTTTTGTGGAAAATACTACATATGTCTTAAAATATTTCTCTGTTTAAAACATAATATTACATTATTATAAAGTTGCCATGAGCATAATTCTGTCTTTTATTTTTTAATACTCATCCAAAGACCACATTGTATAGTGAAAATAGCATAGAAGTAGGAGTCAGGATGCCTGTGTTTCAGCTCTAGCCCCCCGCTTGGACAAGTCTCTTAAAATCCTCAAGCCTCAGATTCATCTTCTACAAAACGAAGGTGATATAACTTCCTTGCCTAGTTCACAGGGCAACTATGATCATTATATGCTATGATCCTTATGAAAGTGTTTATAAATTGAAAGGCATTATACAAAGATATTAATATAGTTAAATATAAACAAGAATATGGCATATAACCCTTGGTGGGGAAAATGGACTAAAAATATATTTAGAAAGTATCATGCGAATATGAACATCACATTGCTTTTCCCAAAGGTAAAGCAAACAAGTTTATACTTTAAAGGCTCTTGGTAATTTTTTAAATAGGATCAATAGGTGACAGGTCCACACTTAATACAAGCCATCTGATCTAGAATAGGAAATCCAAGACTTTAGAGTACAATGAGGTGAAAATCCTAAACCATGAGTAGAGCATAGAATTAGTCTGGAGAGGCCGGGCGCGGTGGCTCACGCCTGTAATCCCAGCACTTTGGGAGGCCGAGGCGGGCGGATCACGAGGTCAGGAGATCGAGAGCATCCCGGCTAAAACGGTGAAACCCCGTCTCTACTAAAAATACAAAAAATTAGCCGGGCGTAGTGGCGGGCGCCTGTAGTCCCAGCTACTTGGGAGGCTGAGGCAGGAGAATGGTGTGAACCCGGGAGGCGGAGCTTGCAGTGAGCCGAGATCCCGCCACTGCACTCCAGCCTGGGCGACAGAGTGAGACTCCGTCTCAAAAAAAAAAAAAAAAAAAAAAAGAATTAGTCTGGAGAGCAAACAGAACACTTACAGTAGGGGCATTATGCCTGTTATCAAACTAATCTAATTTCTATGTAAGGCAATGTTCTTTTGTATTTTGCTGAAGAAGAAATAAGAGGAATCTGAGAGGTCTTAGAAACTAATTTTTGAAAGATTATATTTTCATTCAAAATGGATCAGATAAAGTTCTAAAGTCTAAGAAAATCTAAGGTACGATGTGAGCAACATGAAATTTTTCATTCCACTTAGAAATTCTGAAAAAAGAGAACATACTATAACCAGTGAAATGGGAATGAAAATTCAAGTAAAACCTTTTCATGAAAGATTATTCAATAAATAAAAGAATATTCCTGGAGATTAACTGTAATCTTCCAAGAGGCATAGGTGCATAGGTGGCTCCTTTCATGGGTTGTGTATAAAAGTTAATTCAACAAATATGCATTGAGTTAGTACCTAAAATATCATAGGTAATAGGGAGGAAACAGTATGTGGCATGACCTGTACTTATGAAAGACTAAAGGATCAATATCTTTTACAACTAAGAGAAAGTTTGATATACTCAACTGTCTAAATGAATGGTACATATTCTATATGCACAGATGCTTCCACATTTGTTAATGAGTACTAAGGGCAAATAGGGAAGACGAAAACAGTAGGAATACAAAAGAAGGGTTTCATGAAGAAGTGGAGGCCAGAGACTGGTCTTACAGAACTGATATGATTTGAGTAAGGGAGAGAGCAACTACTATAAATGGAGCAAATTCCTTATTTGCAATCTTGGAAGGAAATCTTTAAGAAGTTACTTTAGTCTTCATTTTTCTATTTCACTTTGTACTTTTTAGTGACTAAAATAGGTTAGCAGAGAGCACTAAGAGAAATATAATACCAAGAATTAGAATCCTAAAACCTCAAGGGCTTCAGGTACCATATAACAAATCTATTGCCCTGAACTCAAGCTCCATTACCACAGTCCTGATGACTGTCTCTCTGCTGATTGAGTATCTCCTTGAACCAAGAGCTCACCATTTTATGAAACAATTCCCTTCCTTGTTTCAGAATAGTCTACAGATATGAACTGAAGATCATTAAAGTATTTTAAGTACACAAATCAATATTCCCATTTGCTAGCCATAAAAACACTGAAAAGTCAAGGGGAAACATCTGCATAATAAAATTAAAGACTTTCATATAACTTTTAGGTTTCAAAATGAAACTACGTGTAAGGAGACTAAAACCCAGACTTTCCTAAGGCCACAAAGCAATTTAGTGGTAAAAACATTCTCTATAAATTCAATCTTCTTAACATCTTTCCAGTATGTGTTACTGTCCCACATATTCTAATCCAAAAGACTCTATTTTGTGTTTCATATCAAGAACTACATGCTCTGCTCCACAGCCTTCTGAAAATGAAAAAAAAGAAGTTTAATGATCTATTCAGATGTGTTTCCCTTCCTTCGTGCACTGTAATTATTTCCAATAAAAATTTAAGGAGGTTAACTGGAAGATCTGACACAAAGCTTGAGCTAAATGTACCACCCTCTCCTCATACCACCACCCTCCCCTGACCCTCTTTCATATAAAAAATAGTACATTTTAACTTCAAAGAAGTTCCTGTTATCTGTGTACTCTCTGCCCATGGAAATTACATATACAACATACATACAGTCTCCAGATACTCCATTTCTATATAGGCACTTTCAAAGGAGGAACTCAGGCATTAAGTTCTTTCTAGAATTGAAAACGCTCACTCAGAAATAGCACCTCCAGCCCTTTCTGACAGGTGAAGCCCTGTCTATCAATCATTGCCCTGCTGCCTTGTTTTCTTTCTTTTTTTTTCCAGTCCAGTGTGATCAACTGAAACAATATCACTATCCAGCTCTGAGCATATTCATTTTACTTACATGTACATTGGAAGTTCTTTGGTGACTAATACTTAAAATTATATCAGTTTACTTAAACCATGTTCAATGAAAAATAGATAATCAAAAAGATTTTTTTCCACAGAAGCTGTTTGACTAACAGTTTATGAGAATTCAATGTTAGTTTCTTTCATTCTAACTTTTTAATTATTTTTAACTAAACATAGTTAAGAAATGGAGGTTTCTGTCAGCAATCCAAGTCTCTCAAGTTTTCCAGGATGTTTTATCTACTGAATTCTTGAAATGTCTACTAAGAACAGTGCAATAATTTCCATAAGCAAAGGATGCCTACCAGTACAGAACCCAAAGCACTAAGCCCTGCTAAGGCACAGCATTCACATGGCACACTAAACAAAAATTTTAACAAAATTGTATTCATTTTTATCAATTTATAATTTATCCTATCAATTTTCAAAAAACTTTAAAACAGTGTAGGATAAATACATGTATAAAATAAGCAGAATTAAAATAAAAATCAACTAAAAATCAACTAACAAAGGTTCATGTGATAGAAATTATATTAGAAAAATATAATATGTATTTGTAGGAACTACTAAAATTAAGGTTTCATTAATTGTTATGATCTTCTTGACAACATGGCTCTCATCATCTGCTATAAGTGGACCCATCTGTTTCTTACTATACATACATTTATACATGTATGTGTATATGCCTCCCTGTGTTGGTCCATTTGCATTGTTATAAAGGAAATAACCTGAGGCTGGGTGATTTATAAAGAAAAGAGGTTTATTTGACTCATGGTTTATTTGGCTCATTCTGCAGGGCTTCTGGTGAGGCCCAGGAAGCTTTTACTCATAGCAGAAGGTAAAGGGGGAGCCAGCATATCTCATGATGAAAGCGGGAACAAGAGAGAGGAGGGGGTGCCAGGCTTTCTTAAACAGTCAGATTTCATGTGAACTCATACAGTAAGAATTCATTCATTATCACAAAGACTGTATCAAGCCATTCATGAGTGATCAGTCCCCAAGACCCAAACCCTACCACTAGGCCCACCTCCAACATTGGAGGTCACATTTCAACACAGGATTTTGAAGGGGCAAAACATCCAAACTACATCACTCCATAAGTTGTTAATGCAGTGTTTATCAAAGGCATGACTTAATGTAAGTCTTGGAACTGTATTCATTGCTTAGTTTTAATGTTACATATTATACATATTATATAATCTCTATTAATAAATTCTCATTAAAAATTAAGAACAATTAATTGTTAATGTACTAGGTGATTTGTTTAAAATAAATTTCTAAACAGGAAGTATAATGTTCTCATTCATCTATTTATTCATTTATTCAACAGGAAGATGAAAAAGCCATGGTACCTACCCCGTGGCAAGCACCGTGAACAAGGCATTACATGCGTAATGCTATTTAATCTTCACAACAGTCGTGGTAAGAAAGTATTGCCATACCCATCTTACAGCTGAGGAAACTAAAGCTCAGAAAGATTAGAATATACCAGTAAGTAGTGGAGTTGGGACTTGAACTCATTTGCCTAGCTGCATATTAAGATTCTCACCACTACATAATGTAGTCTCACAACAAGTACTAACTTACCATTTATGTAGTACCAAAGACCAACTTAAAATGTAGTGTAGACTCAGAATCACAACTAGAATGTGGTCCTTGATTTTTAAGGTGTTTACAGTCCACTTTACCTCACTAACCTAACTAGAGCTATGCTAGGCATATCTTGGAGTTCAATGATTAGTTAACAATAAATTTAAATATAGAATGAGTCAGTAGATATAATATTGAGTTTCTATTATATGGCAGCTGCATGCAAAACATTGTATATGATGAATAAGGTGAAAATAACCCACTTCTAACATTAAACAGTGACGTTTACTAGAATCTTTGATGTAGGTAACAGAGAAGTAAAAATAATCTGTAGTTGCTTTTTAACTTTTTCCTTCAGACTACTGAGGAAATTATGTTCCACTTAATATCAAACCAGCTTTCTTGATTTATTTTCTAAGCCAAGGTTAATGCTCTTATACTAAGGGTCACTAACAGATTCCTTACCATTTACACCATTAGATTGTATAGCATTAAGATAAATCTACACTAGCGTGAGAAACATTACTGTTTTGCTCCTTATCATTACTTATATATGTATATATCACCTTGTGCCAGAAAGGATATAAAGTGTTTTATAAGGATACATAAAACACAAATTAGCATAAATTTAAAGTTGGTTAAAAAAAAATAAAGGTAAAGACAAAGTAAGGTCGCTATACATCACTGTGGTGGCTGCAAATTTGGCTCCTTTCTTTCTAGCAACCTACCTGAAATAAGAAAACTTATCACTTATTGAATTTACAATTCCAAAGGTATTTTTCTCATTGCTTAAGGAATATATGATATCCTTGGAATTAAGATGTTTTAATTTCTCCAAACCTCTTTTAAAAATATGTGACCTAATAAACAACTATTTTCATGCTTCATCCACTAAATATATGCATTATCTTCATAGACATGGTTTTTCTTGTTCCAGGAATAAAAGAAAAGGTACTGAGTTACATGTTTGCATTCTTCTAGATTCCCACTACTTACACACACACCACCCACTAAAATAACAGATTCTTGTTTGTTTGATAAATTCCCAGGTCTTCTTCCATTGTGCAGGCTCAAAGTTCCAGGGGAGCCCAAAACTGAAACAGCTCCCTAAGGCTAGGCAGAACTGTTTAATAAAACTCTGAGCCAGTGAAGAAAGGGAACAAATACAGGAAGCTCGTATGACTCAGTTTAGAGAAAAAGCTTTCTGAGAGCTTAGAAATAGAGCATGGAATGAGAGGAAGAAATTAGGCAGCTGCTACATATAGAAGATTGTAAAAATGAGAGAATAAGGAAAAAATATTTAAGAAAGCCTTACTGAGTATTATGCAATTATTCCCCTTTGCCTATTTGATAAGAAAAAGTGGTAAAGATTTGAATTTCTTTTCAATTATTTTTGATGCTACTTTGTTGCTTCTTTCAATGTGAATGCCACCAAAAAGGCCTATTTTGATAAGAAAAAGTGGTAAAGATTTGAATTTCTTTTCGGTTATTTTACATGCTACTTTGTTGCTTCTTTCAATGTGAATGCTACCAAAAAAGGGCCTATTTTGATAAGAAAAAGTAGTAAAGATTTGAATTTCTTTTCAATTATTTTATATGCTACTTTGTTGCTTCTTTCAATGTGAATGCTACCAAAAAAGGGAAAGAGATGGCTTGCTTTATGCAGCTTATAGTCTAATGACCTCAGTATAGAATAATGGCATCCCAGGGCCTCCTGTGGCTCCAGCCATCTGCACACTTGTGGTTGACAAGGGACTTCTCCTTCTGTCCAGAATTCACTTATGCAAGAATGGGACTTTTTAATTTTTTCAAACCTCAGAAGTTTTCTTTCAGAAACTAGAAAAAGCATAATAAGGAAACTTGAACCAAAAAGAACACTTCTACCTAATATAGTTTTTGAGGTGCCCCTAATCTCTATTGAGACCCAGAATCTTTCAGTGATCACACATTCATCAAAGTAATGGTTTTCAGCCTTCTTCACAAACTCTAATAGAATAAAGTTTGCACCACTGTTACCTTTGATTGTACAAATATCTATATGTGTATAGTTAAAAACACTAGTTTAAAGGAAGAAGGAATCATATATAGGAGAATTACCCAACTCTTCACCCTTTTTTTTCTCTTCCCCACTTCATTCTCCTAAACCAAGGCTGCATGTGAAACTTGAGCATTCTGAGCGCAAAGCAACAGCACCATCAGAGCAAGACAGCTGTGTCCAGGAACTACATTCCTACAGAGGGTTTGGCAGCCAGTGTGGTCCCACAGTGCCTGGTGGGGATATACCCTGAAGGATCTCAAAAAAAAAAAAAAAAACCTGGGGAGTGTTGGAGGACAGCAGAAGTTTCACAGTCATGCAAGTGGAAGCTACCAGCCTGTGCACGGGAGCTTTAATATTAATGTGACCTCCTGGTCACATACAGTGCAGTAAAGGGACATTTAAATAATATACAAAATGGAAATACCATCACCTTATCTGCTTATGTCTCTACATTGTTTCGAGCATCTAAAAATGAAATGCATAAAAAGGCACTCAGAAACTATAATGTACAATATAAGTATATGCCAATATTCTAACTTCCAAATAAAACTTACTCATAAATTAGGTATAGGGTTAGACCTGATTCTGAATTCTTTACATTGCCATGCACCATAGGGAATGTGCTTCTAAAAATATGCAATAAGTTATTTGGACAGTCTGACGAAAGCATAAGGAGTTCTTACTTTTTATAATTACACATTGAATTTCATCTCATTTATTTACGTTCGGTCCTGTTTTCAACTACTTGGAATTCTTCTGAGCAGAAATTTTTCTTTATACAGACATTACATAACTCACAGGTCTCAGGCTACTCACCCCCTCCATGTCCATCTCCTTCTGCCCCTCTAACATACCACATACCACCCTTCTTACCCTCTCTTCAGATGGTAAAATGGGCGTTTCTCACATTCTTTTACCTAAGATCTGACTTCAACACTTGTTTGAACTGAGTTGAAAGCCTTCATTAAACATCAGCAGAAAAAAAGACTGACAATAGATCCTAGGGGGAAGTGAACAAAAAGGAAAGAAAAACAAAGCACTGAGGAAGATCATCTTAAAGGAAAAAGATAGAAAAAGTCTTATACTTTAATCCCAATGGCCTTTGTATATGTTTTAAGAATAGTGCCAGAACACGAAAAATGAGGGGTTTCATTTACTTATGACTGAAATACTGAGAATGATAAAGGTAGGAAATAGTGTCTGTCACTTAATGATTACATGACTGATAATTACCTTAAGAAAGTTGGCCATGCACATTAACATGAGTTCCACATAATGTTAATAACAAAGCAAACCACAAGTTCCTTTTTGGTTAATTCAAGTCTGATCAAAAGCAAGTGAAAGCACATACAATTCTCACAAAAGTTAAGTATTTGTTAAGACCTCATTCCAAAACCTCCGTCCTACCTTCCTATCCTTCTTTAAATCATCTGAAGTTCTGATCTGTAACAAGAAGCCCGTTAGTTGAGGGAGGACCCAAGACGGCCGAATAGGAACGGCTCTGGTCTACAGCTCCCAGCGTGAGCGACGCAGAAGACGGGTGATTTCTGCATTTCCAACTGAGGTACCAGGTTCATCTCACTAGGGAGTGCCAGACAGTGGGCGCAGGTCAGTGGGTGCGCGCACCGTGCACCAGCCGAAGCAGGGTGAGGCATTGCCTCACTGGGGAAGCGCAAGGGGTCAGGGAGTTCCCTTTCCGAGTCAAAGAAAGGGGTGACGGACGGCACCTGAAAAATCGGGTCACTCCCACCCGAATACTGCGCTTTTCCTAGGGGCTTAAAAAACGGCGCACCACGAGAGTATATCCCGCACCTGGCTCGGAGGGTCCTACGCCCCACGGAGTCTCGCTGATTGCTAGCACGGCAGTCTGAGATCAAACTGCAAGGCAGCAGCGAGGCTGGGGGAGGGGCGCCCACCATAGCCCAGGCTTGATTAGGTAAACAAAGCAGCCGGGAAGCTCGAACTGGGTGGAGCCCACCACAGCTCAAGGAGGCCTGCCTGCCTCTGTAGGCTCCACCTCTGGGGGCAGGGCACAGACAAACAAAAAGACAGCAGTAACCTCTGCAGACTTAAATGTCCCTGTCTGACAGCTTTGAAGAGAGCAGTGGTTCTCCCAGCACGCAGCTGGAGATCTGAGAACCAGCAGACTGCCTCCTCAAGTGGGTCCCTGACCCCTGACCTCTGAGCAGCCTAACTGGGAGGCACCCTCCAGCAGGAGCACACTGACACCTCACATGGCAGGGTATTCCAACAGACCTGCAGCTGAGGGTCCTGTCTGTTAGAAGGAAAACTTACAAACAGAAAGGACACCCACACCAAAAACCCATCTGTACATCACCATCATCAAAGACCAAAAGTAGATAAAACCACAAAGATGGGGAAAAAACAGAACAGAAAAACTGGAAACTCTAAAAAGCAGAGGGCCTCTCCTCCTCCAAAGGAACACAGTTCCTCACCAGCAACGGAACAAAGCTGGATGGAGAATGACTTTGACGAGCTGAGAGAAGAAGGCTTCAGACGATCAAATTACTCTGAGCTACGGGAGGACATTCAAACCAAAGGCAAAGAAGTTGAAAACTTTGAAAAAAATTTAGAAGAATGTATAACTAGAATAACCAATACAGAGAAGTGCTTAAAGGAGCTGATGGAGCTGAAAACCAAGGCTCGAGAACTACGTGAAGAATGCAGAAGCCTCAGGAGCCGATGCGATCAACTGGAAGAAAGGGTATCAGCAATGGAAGATGAAATGAATGAAATGACGTGAGAAGGGAAGTTTAGAGAAAAAAGAATAAAAAGAAATGAGCAAAGCCTCCAAGAAATATGGGACTATGTGAAAAGACCAAATCTACGTCTGATTGGTGTACCTGAAAGTGATGGGGAGAATGGAACCAAGTTGGAAAACACTCTGCAGGATATTATCCAGGAGAACTTCCCCAATCTAGCAAGGCAGGCCAACGTTCAGATTCAGGAAATACAGAGAACGCCACAAAGATACTCCTTGAGAAGAGCAACTCCAAGACACATAATTGTCAGATTCACCAAAGTTGAAATGAAGGAAAAAATGTTAAGGGCAGCCAGAGAGAAAGGTCGGGTTACCCTCAAAGGGAAGCCCATCAGACTAACAGCGGATCTCTCGGCAGAAACCCTACAAACCAGAAGAGAGTGAGGGCCAATATTCAACATTCTTAAAGAAAAGAATTTTCAACCCAGAATTTCATATCCAGCCAAACTAAGCTTCATAAGTGAAGGAGAAATAAAATACTTTATAGACAAGCAAATGCTGAGAGATTTTGTCACCACCAGGCCGGCCTTACAAGAGCTCCTGAAGGAAGCGCTAAACATGGAAAGGAACAACCAGTACCAGCCGCTGCAAAATCATGCCAAAATGTAAAGACCATCAAGACTAGGAAGAAACTGCATCAACTAACGAGCAAAATAACCAGCTAACATCATAATGACAGGATCAAATTCACACATAACAATATTAACTTTAAATGTAAATGGACTAAATGCTCCAATTAAAAGACACAGACTGGCAAATTGGATAAAGAATCAAGACCCATCAGTGTGCTGTATTCAGGAAACCCATCTCACGTGCAGAGACACACATAGGCTCAAAATAAAGGGATGGAGGAAGATCTACCAAGCAAATGGAAAACAAAAAAAGGCAGGGGTTGCAATCCTAGTCTCTGATAAAACAGACTTTAAACCAACAAAGATCAAAACAGACAAAGAAGGCCATTACATAATGGTAAAGGGATCAATTCAACAAGAAGAGCTAACTATCCTAAATATATATGCACCCAATACAGGAGCACCCAGATTCATAAAGCAAGTCCTGAGTGACCTACAAAGAGACTTAGACTCCCACACATTAAAAATGGGAGACTTTAACACCCCACTGTCAACATTAGACAGATCAATGAGACAAAGTCAACAAGGATACCCAGGAATTGAACTCAGCTCTGCACCAAGCGGACCTAATAGACATCTACAGAACTCTCCACCCCAAATCAACAGAATATACATTTTTTTCAGCACCACACCACACCTATTCCAAAATTGACCACATACTTGGAAGTAAAGCTCTCCTCAGCAAATGTAAAAGAACAGAAATTATAACAAACTATCTCTCAGACCACAGTGCAATCAAACTAGAACTCAGGATTAAGAATCTCACTCAAAACCGCTCAACTACATGGAAACTGAACAACCTGCTCCTGAATGACTACTGGGTACATAAGAAATGAAGGCAGAAATAAAGATGTTCTTTGAAACCAACGAGAACAAAGACACAACATACCAGAATCTCTGGGACACATTCAAAGCAGTGTGTAGAGGGAAATTTATAGCACTAAATGCCCACAAGAGAAAGCAGGAAAGATCCAAAATTGACACCCTAACATCACAATTAAAAGAACTAGAAAAGCAAGAGCAAACACACTCAAAAGCTAGCAGAAGGCAAGAAATAACTAAAATCAGAGCAGAACGGAAGGAAATAAAGACATAAAAAACCCTTCAAAAAATTAATGAATCCAGGAGCTGGTTTTTTGAAAGGATCAACAAAATTGATAGACCACTAGCATGACTAATAAAGAAAAAGAGAAGAATCAAATAGATGCAATAAAAAATGATAAGGGGGATATCACCACCGATCCCACAGAAATACAAACTACCATCAGAGAATACTACAAACACCTCTATGCAAATAAACTAGAAAATCTAGAAGAAATGGATAAATTCCTCGACACATACACTCTCCCAAGACTAAACCAGGAAGAAACTGAATCTCTGAATAGACCAACAACAGGATCTGAAATTGTGGCAATAATCAACAGCTTACCAACCAAAAAGAGTCCAGGACCAGATGTATTCACAGCCGAATTCTACAAGAGGTACAAGGAGGAACTGGTACCATTCCTACTGAAACTATTCCAATCAATAGAAAAAGAGGGAATCCTCCCTAACTCATTTTATGAGGCCAGCATCATTCTGATACCAAAGCCTGGCAGAGACACAACCAAAAAAGAGAATTTTAGACCAATATCCTTGATGAACATTGATGCAAAAATCCTCAATAAAATACTGGCAAAACGAATCCAGCAGCACATCAAAAAGCTTATCCACCATGATCAAGTGGGCTTCATCCCTGGGATGCAAGGCTGGTTCAATATATGCAAATCAATAAATGTAATCCAGCATATAAACAGAACCAAAGACAAAAACCACATGATTATCTCAATAGATGCAGAAAAAGCCTTTGACAAAATTCAACAACCCTTCATGCTAAAAACTCTCAATAAATTAGGTATTGATGGGACGTATTTCAAAATAATAAGAGCTATCTATGACAAACCCACAGCCAATATCATACTGAATGGGCAAAAACCAGAAGCATTGCCTTTGAAAACTGGCACAAGACAGGGATGCCCTCTCTTACCACTCCTATTCAACATAGTGTTGGAAGTTCTGGCCAGGGCAATTAGGCAGGAGAAGGAAATAAAGGGTATTCAATTAGGAAAAGAGGAAGTCAAATTGTCCCTGTTTGCAGACGACATGATTGTATATCTAGAAACCCCATTGTCTCAGCCCAAAATCTCCTTAAGCTGATAAGCAACTTCAGCAAAGTCTCAGGATACAAAATCAATGTACAAAAATCACAAGCATTCTTATACACCAACAACAGACAAACAGAGACCCAAATCATGAGTGAACTCCCATTCACAATTGCTTCAAAGAGAATAAAATACCTAGGAATCCAACTTACAAGGGATGTGAAGGACCTCTTCAAGGAGAACTACAAACCACTGCTCAAGGAAATAAAAGAGGATACAAACAAATGGAAGAACATTCCACGCTCATGGGTAGGAAAATCAATATCGTGAAAATGGCCATACTGCCCAAGGTAATTTACAGATTCAATGCCATCCCCATCAAGCTACCAATGCCTTTCTTCACAGAATTGGAAAAAACTACTTTAAAGTTCATATGGAACCAAAAAAGAGCCCACATCGCCAAGGCAATCCTAAGCCAAAAGAACAAAGCTGGAGGCATCACACTACCTGACTTCAAACTATACTACAAGGCTACAGTAACCAAAACAGCATGGTACTGGTACCAAAACAGAGATATAGATCAATGGAACAGAACAGAGCCCTCAGAAATAACGCCGCATATCTACAACTATCTGATCTTTGACAAACCTGAGAAAAACAAGCAATGGGGAAAGGATTCCCTGTTTAATAAATGGTGCTGGGAAAACTGGCTACCCATTTGTAGAAAGCTGAAACTGGATCCCTTCCTTACACCTTATACAAAAATCAATTCAAGATGGATTAAAGACTTAAACGTTAGACCTAAAACCATAAAAACCCTAGAAGAAAACCTAGGCATTACCATTCAGGACATAGGCATGGGCAAGGACTTCATGTCTAAAACACCAAAAGCAATGGCAACAAAAGACAAAATTGACAAATGGGATCTAATTAAACTCAAGAGCTTCTGCACAGCAAAACAAACTACCATCAGAGTGAACAGGCAACCTACAAAATGGGAGAAAATTTTCACAACCTACTCATCTGACAAAGGGCTAATATCCAGAATCTACAGTGAACTCAAATAAATTTACAAGAAAAAAACAAACAACCCCATCAAAAAGTGGGCAAAGGACAAGAACAGACACTTCTCAAAAGAAGACATTTATTCAGCCAACAGACACGTGAAAAAATGCTCATCATCACTGGCCATCAGAGAAATGCAAATCAAAACCACAATGAGATACCATCTCACACCAGTTAGAATGGCGATCATTAAAAAGTCAGGAAACAACAGGTGCTGGAGAAGATGTGGAGAAATAGGAACACTTTTACACTGTTGGTGGGACTGTAAACTACTTCAACCATTGTGGAAGTCAGTGTGGTGATTCCTCAGGGATCTAGAACTACAAATACCATTTGACCCAGCCATCCCATTACTGGGTATATACCCAAAGGACTATAAATCATGCTGCTATAAAGACGCATGCACACGTATGTTTATTGCGGCACTCTTCACAAGAGCAAAGACTTGGAACCAACCCAAATGTCCATCAATGATAGACTGGATTAAGAAAATGTGGCACATATACACCATGGAATACTATGCAGCCATAAAAAATGATGAGTTCATGTCCTTTGTAGGGACATGGATGAAATTGGAAATCATCATTCTCAGTAAACTATCACAAGAACAAAAAACCAAACACCGCATATTCTCACTCATAGGTGGGAATTGAACAATGAGAACACATGGACACAGGAAGGGGAACATCACACTCTGGGGACTGTTGTGGGGTGGGGGGAAGCAGGAGGGATAGCATTGGGAGATATACCTAATGCTAGATGATGAGTTAGTGGGTGCAGCGCACCAGCATGGCACATGTATACATATGTAACTAGCCTGCACAATGTACACATGTACCCTAAAACTTAAAGTATAATAATAAAAAAAAAATAAATAAAAATAAAAATAAAAAGAATGTGGCCATGATGACAGGGAGGAAGATTTACCTCAGACCTGCAGTATGGACTTCTACTCATCAATATTTACTGGTCACAGAAACTGCTGAATTCAAAATCTGCCAACAATACCATCTGTGTGCTACAGAATACCTTATTCAGGATCATATTATTACTCATACCATCATTGTTGACCAAGGAATTTATTTTACAGCAAATAAAATGTGGCAAAGGGCCCTTGCTCATGAAATTAACTAATCTTGCCATGATTTTCTTCATAGCATGGATAATAGTATGGTGGAATGGCTTTTTGAAGACTCATTTATGATGTCAGCCATATGGCAACACTTTTCAGAGCTGAAGTAATATCCCCAGTATATTCTGCATGGTCAGCATACATGTGTGGTGCCATATCGCTTACAGTCCAAATGTATGGGTCAAGGAATCAAAAGGAGGGAAAAAAAATTAGAATGTACTATCACTATTTCTTCAGGTGATATACTAGCAAACTTTTGCCGCTCATTGCCATTATTTTAGGCCCTGTGAGTTTAGAGATCTTAATTTCAAAGGAAGTAATGCTTCTATCAAGTGATAATGCAATAATGATTGCATTGAACTAGACATTGAGACTTGACCCAGCCAAATTAGGGCCTTCAATTAACAGGCAACAAATGGGGTTTCTGTACTAGTTGGAGTGATTCTTCTAGCTATCAAGGTAAAATTAGGTTTCTACTAAAAAATAAAAAGATATATATACCTGAAATGGAGGAGATCTTCCAGAGTGCTTATTAGTATTCTCATTTCTTGTGATTGAAATCAGTGGAAAACTAGCACAGCTCAATTCAGGATGGACTGATAATCACCCAGATCCTTCAGCAATAATGATTTAGGTAACTTCATCAGGCAAGAAATTAAACAAACTGAAGTTCTTGCTGGGGGCAAAGGATATAAAAATGGTAGTGGAAGAAGCTGTTTAAACATACCAGCTATAACGATGAGACCAGTTGCGGATATATGGACTAACTTAATTATGAGTATTTCTTATCTTTATATAAATATGACTCTTTTGTGTGTGTGATATCACATACACAATGTTTACTTTATTTTCTTTCTTCCCTCATTCCCTAATCATGTAAAATAAGATGTGTTAATAATGCTTAACTTTATATCTCAGTATTTAAGGTACACCGTATCAATAATGGAGCATGAATAGAAGAATGAATATCAAAAAAAAAAAAAGAAGCCCGTTAGTTAAATCAGTATGGGAAGTGGGCAATGCTGTAAAACAGCAGCTGACATCAGTATTGTAAAATACATAAAATCTTTCATAAAATGAAAGATAGCACAGACAGCTATAAGAGGCATGTTTGCTTTGAAATACCCCTTAAGAATCTTAGCACTACACAGTACCTGCCACAGAGTTACCTTTTTACAAAGAAAGAGTAATTCTCCAAAATCTTACAACATTTCTGCACAATACTGGCTAAGGTCATTCTGATCCAGTATGACCCAGCCAGATATTGCATTATAATACCTGTATTAGAATGACAATTCTCACCTCCAGGATGTTAGTAAAATACCAATCTGATTACTAATTCAAACAAAAATACAGGGAGGGAGCATCAAATATCCATAAAAATTATTTACAGCAACTGTAGTTATTCAGGTCATTTTTACAGAAAGCCTATCCCCTGGGCCAATGTATTTGTGGCATTTTTTTTTATTACTACATAGCTCAAAAGTGCCTTTCATGCTCAGCAGGCACATCATAGGCAAAGAACTGACAAATTGAAAAGCTATCATAAGAATATAAATCAAAAATTCTATAAAATTTGGCTTATATGCCCAAAGATGTCAAAAACATGATATACTACATCAGTTATTCACCATCAACAAAAAGAAACATTGAAAGCATCTATTTTAATCCTGATTTTTACACTTGCAGATTTTCCCCCACCAAATTTATCTTAAATAATTCTTAAGTACACTTTCTCCTCATATATATTTTATTGGCTTTCCCTTAAACATGAAAAATTATAGCAGTTTCTCTACACATCTAATCAACTCATTTCAGTAAAAACCATAACCAATTAAAATTTATTCTCAAAAAAAGGAATCTAATTCTTAACCATAGGCTAATGATGCTTAAAAGAATTGCTTTGCAGCTTGACCAGCAGATGGGACATCACTTTAGACTGCAACACAAGGAGAAATTGATGAGAAAAAACTAAGAGACTTTCTGTTAGGAGAAAAACTGTAAGGGACACCACAGGAAGGAGCCATTTATAATCATTTTCTCCTCCACATAATTTAAAGCTGTGGGCCAGGAGCCAAATGATGGCAAGGAACACACCTCCCACCAAGCAAGAATTAAGATAACCAGCTCTAATATAAGCAACACAAAACTAATTATTCTCATAAATTCCCTTCATAGTGTTAACACAAAACATCAACACTATGGTGCTGACAGCAGCAGGCAGGGAAGTGGTAGAAAATTTAGATCCAGCACTTTCCTTTAAACTTAGATTAGTACATCATAGCAATATCTATATTGGAAAAGTACAAACAGAACTAACAGAAGCATAATGGAACAAATTTCAGAATGTGAATAGTAGGAAACATTTTCAGATTATAACAACATATATTCTAAATGATGACATTACATAACAACAATAGTTAAGATTTTTTAACATTTCCATTAATCCCACTATCCAATTTAATCCCCCAACAACCTATGTGGATAGAATTATTTCCCTACTTTACAAACAAGAAAGTAGAGGATTTCAGGGTGACCTCAAGGCAATAATTAGTTTAATGGCAAAGCCACAAGTCTTGGTTTCCATTTCAGAGCTCTTTCCAATATATTAAGCTGCCTATCTATGTATATTTTTTAGTATTATTAACAGTAAATATTAAATTAACATTTAAAAACATCACTTTAAATGTATGTTTGTAAAATAAAAGCAGAGTATATTTTTAAAGAAAGATCATTGAAAATTTTAAATGACATAAAAATTTCTTTAGATGATTACTGTAACCAAAAAGAAATAATCACAAAACTATCTGAAAGCAAATAACAACATCAACTTGTAAACATCAATTATTCAGAAAGGAAACAGAATATATCCTAGGAAGACACAAAGTTGAAACTCAATATGAATCTAGAAAAATAGGATTATATGTTTAAACTTATAATTTATTTGATGATGACACTATAAAAAAGAACATTCAAATAAAATATTAAATAAGATGCTTCTGACATTTGACTAAATTCAATAGATATTATCATTATTAATATGGTATCATCATCAAAATTATCATATTGGTAAAATTATCATTCCAGCTATGTAATTTGATCATGTTTTATTATAAGCATCAAAATCAATGTACAGATGACCACTGAATAACATGGGAGTTAGGAGTGTCAAACCCCACACAGATTTTCAGCTGCATATAACTTTCAACTTCCCCAAAATTTAACAGGAATGTCTACTGTTGATCAGAAGCCTTACCAATAACATAAACAATTAACAAACATTTTGTATGTTATAAAGCAAGCTAAAGAAAAGAAAATGTTGTTAAAACAATCATAAAAAAGAGAAAATATATTTATTATTTGATATGGTTTGGCTCTGTCCCCACCCAAATCTCATCTTGAATTGTAGTTTCCATAATCCCCATGTGTCATGGGAGGGACACGGTGGGAGGTAATTGAATCGTGGGGGCAGTTACCCCATGCTGCTGTTATTGTGATAGTGAGTGAGTTCTCACAAGAGCTGATGGTTTTATAAGGGGCTTTCCCCCGTTTTGATTGGACTTCTCCTTCCTGGCACCATATGTTTGCTTCCCCTTCGCCATGTTGTAAGTTTCCTGAGGCCTCCCCAGCCATTCTGAACCGTGAGTCAATTAAACCTCTTTCCTTTATAAATTACCCAGTCTTACATATGTCTTTATTACCAGCATGAGAATGGACTAATACAGTATATTGGTACCACAGAGAGTGGGGTGCTGCTGTAAAGACACCCAAAAATATGGAAGCAACTTTGGAACTGGGTCACAAGCAGAGGTTGGAACAGTTTAGAGGGCTCAGAAGAAAACATGAAAATGTGGGGAAGTTTGGAACATCCTAGAGACTAGGAGAGCTCAGAAGACAGGAAGGTGTGGGAAAGTTTGGAACTTCCTAGAGATTTGTTGAACAGCTTTGACCAAAATGCTGATAGTGATATGGACAATAAAGTCCAGGCTGAGGTGATCTCAGATGGAGAGGAGGAACTTTTTGGGAACTGGAGCAAAGGTGACTCTTGTCATTCTGTAACAAAGAAACTGGCAGCATTTTGCCCCTGCCCTAGAGACTTGTGGAACTTTGAACTTGAGAGAGATAATTTAGGGTATCTGGCAGAATAAATTTCTAAGTGACAAAGCATTCAAGAGGAAGCAGAGCATAAAAGTTCGGAAAATTTGCAGCCTGAGGATGCAATAGAATAGAAAAGCCCATTTTCTGGGGAGAAATTCAAGCCTGCTGCAGAAACTTGCATAAGTAACAAGGCCAAATGTAATCACCAAGACAATGGCTAAAATGTCTCCAGGCCATGTCAGAGACCATCACAGCAGCCCCTCCCATTACAGGCATAGAGGCCTAGGAGAAAATAATGATTTCATGGGCAGAGCCCAGGGCCCCCCTGCTGTATGCAGACTTGGGACTTGGTGCCCTGCATCCCAGCTGCTCCAGACATGGCTAAAAGGGGTCAAGGTACAGCTCAGGCTATGGCTTCAGAGGGTGCAAGCCCCAAGCCTTGGCAGCTTCCACATGGTGTTGAGCCTGTGGGTGCACAGAAGTCAAAAACTGAGGTTTAGGAACCTCTGCCTAGATTTCAGAGGATGTATGGAAATGCTTGGATGTCTAGGCAGAAGTTTGTTGCAGAGGCAGAGCCCTCATGGAGAACCTCTGCTAGGAAGTGTGGAAGGGAAATGTGGTGTGGGAGCCCCCACACAGAGTCTCCACTGGGGCACTGTCAAATGGAGTTGTGAGAAGAGGGCCACTGTCCTCCAGACCCCAGAATGGTAGATCTGCTAAGAGCTTGTGGCTGGAAAAGCAGCAGACACTCAATGCCAGCCAGTGAAAGTAGCCAGGAGGGTTGCTATACCCTGAAAAGCCACATGGGCAGAGCTGCCCAAGGCCATGGGAGCCCACCTCTTGTGTCAGTGTACCCTAGATGTGAGACATGAAGTCAAAGAGCATTTTGGAACTTTAAGGTTTAATGACTGCCCTATTGGATCTTGGACTTGCATGGGGCCTGTAGCCCCTTTGTTTTGACCAATTTTGCCCACTTGGAACAGGTGTATTTACTCAACACCTGTACCCCCATTTTACCTAGGAAGTAACTAACTTGCTTTTGATTTTATAGGCTCATAGGTGGAAGGGACTTGCCTTATCTCAGATGAGACTTTGGACTTGTACTTTTGGGTTAATGCTGGAATGAGTTAAGACTTTGGGGGACTGTTAGGAAGGCATGATTGTGTTTTAAAATGTGATGACACAAGATTTGGGAGGAGCCAGGGGTGGAATGATATGGTTTGGCTGTGTCCCTACCCAAATCTTATCTTGAATTTAGTTCCCATAATCCCCACGTGTCATGGGAGGGTACCTGGTGGGAGGTAATTGAATCATCTGGGTGGTTACCTCTACACTGTTGCTTTCATGATAGTGAGTGAGTTCTCATGAGATCTGATGGTTTTATAAGGGGCTTTTCCCCCTTTTGCTTGGCACTCCTCCTTCCTGTCTCCACGTGAAGAAGGACATGTTTACTTCCCCTTCTGCCATGATTGTAAGTTTCCTGAGGCCTTCCAGCCATGTTGAACTGTGAGTCAATTAAGCCTCTTTCCTTCATAAATTACCCAGTCTCAGATATGTCTTTATTAGCAGCATGAGAACAGAACGAATACACTATTCATTAAGTGGAAGTGGATTATCATGAAGGCCTTCATCCTTGTTGTCTTCACACTGAGTAGGATGAGGAGGAGGAGAAAGAGAAAGGGTGGGTCTTGCTGTCTCAGTGGGGGCAGAGGCAGAAGAGATGGAGGAGGCAGAAAGGGAGGCAAGAGAGACAGGCACCCTCCATGTAGCTTTTATTTTTTAAAATCTACATATAAATGCACCTGCACAGTTCAAATCCTTGTTGTTCAAGGGTCAACTATAAACGAATTTGTTAGAGTGACAGACAAGTACCACCTTTGCTCAAATTGTAAAACCAATATTATTAATTTTATAGCATTTTATCAGCATTTTTTCATTAAATGAATATACAATTGTCACATTAAATCCCCTAGACTCTCATCAAAATTGTAAATCATTTCATTAGTAATCAAATAAAATTTGCAGTTTTTGGCTAAGTCATTGACAACACTCCATGCTCTGTCCCATCCTAACTCTTTCAACACCATTTTCTACCATGTAATCCAAATATACTGGGCATTTTATGCTTTCTCACTTTTACAACATCTCCCAAGGTTTTTTCCAGGTAGAACACCCTCCATTTCTCCTTGTTAAAATAATACCTGATCTTCACCACCCAACTCACATCCTATGTCCTTAGTTCAGACTTCCCTGATCCTGTCAACTGTTGGAGATCTTTTCCTCCATTAAGGTACTTACCAAAGTTTGTCTTATGTTTCTGATAATTTTCATAAGTCTCAAATAACTATAAGCATTATGGTAACCAAGACTGTTTTAAACTTTTGTATCTCCCAAAATACTTCAGTACCATAGATCAAGTACACATTCATGAATTCTGCATCTACTACATAGTCAGAAAAGTGGAAGAATTTCTATAGTTATATTTTAATTACAATTTTTTTTTATTATACTTTAAGTTTTAGGGTACATGTGCACAACATGCAGGTTTGTTACATATGTATACATGGGCCATGTTGGTGTGCTGCACCCATTAACTCATCATTTAGCATTAGGTATATCTCCTAATGCTATTCCCTCCCACCTCCCCCCACCCCACAACAGTCCCCGGTGTGTGATGTTCCCCTTCCTATGTCCATGTGTTCTCATTGTTCAATTTAATTACAATCTTTAAAATCACAGAAACTCTTGAATACATATACCAAAACCTTCAAGATGCCAATAAGAATTTTACTCTGTTGTGAGTGCTTGTCATTTGTAACTATATTGTTCCCACATCTAACAATCTATCACCCATAAACATGTCAAAGTACTGTGACAAAGTATAACAAATGATTCTCCAATATTTTGAATAGATTTACTTTTAAATAAATGTTACAGATGTATTATGAAATAAGAAATAAGCTTACAAATACATTTATTTTAACATCTTGTGTTGATTATGAGAACAATAAAAATGAGCAATTCACGGGAAAATAATTTCAGATAGATTTTGTCTCCCTACAAATGGGCATCCTGATATTCACTCTGGAATAAATACTTTAGGAAGAAGATGATATTGAGATCATATCCCTTTGTTTGGTAATCAAAGGCTTATTTTTCATGTGGAAAATTTTAAGTGCTAATAAATAATCCACTGCAAACCACATAATTTTTGAAAATAACCCCCAAATTATATACACAAACAAGTAAATTTTAGTGAATGTATGCAATTGCTATTGGCAGTTATTAGATCCTAATTACTTTTCAAAAGTGGAATTAATAATATGTAATTTAATGTCTTACAGGATATTATAAAGATGTAATTTTATTGGACTTTGCTTCTAATACACTGAACCATAAGGCTAAATTTAAAACCACTTAGAAAAGAATATTAGAATTAAATTACAGAGAAATTTACAACTAAATTAAGAAACTCTATCAATTAAAAAACTTTGCTGTCATCCTCAAATGTGAGTGCTTATCTAATAATATGATCCTGGACTAAGTGTTGTGTATACTTCAGATATAAAATTTTCATATAGGCTATTCCTAGGCAAATACAAAAAGTAAACAAAAACAAAACAAAAAATACTGATGACTAGTGATCACATTAAAATAAATGACATCATAAAAGTGACCCTTTTCCCCTTCCACCTCCCACCACATTAGGACAGCAACAGAGCATCAGCTTGGAAGCAAAAGCAGCCCTCACAAGATCACACCTGTCAGTGCCTTGATCTTGAACTCCTGAGCCTCCAGAACTATGAGAAATAAATTTCTGCTCTTTAAAAACCACCCAGTTTCAGCATATACTGAAAATTCAAAACTTGCCATACTTTTAAAATATAGATTGGGACTAGATACAGTCAGAAATTGCCACTCCCACAGAAAGAGACCCAATTTAATATACACCAACATAATTTGAACAAATCTTCAGAGAGAAACTACCAAACATGGATTGAGAAAAGATGCAGTCCCAGAGACTGAAGAAGAAGGAAGTTAGGCACCCAATGTGGGGTGCCTGAATGCTAAGGCTGATTTCCAAACTGGAAAGGTACCTGGGGAAGGGGATTGGTCCAGTAAGGATATGGGTTATTTCCATACCAGACCTCTCCCTAAGGGAGCCCCGTGGCCCCAAAGACCTAATAAAAACAACAACAAAATCGAAGGTACAGTGCTAGTGATTGGATGTGGCTCCCCCAAGCAGACCTGATGAGGGGGTCATCTATTTCCCCCTTGCACTGCAGAACACAGCTGCAAATGTTAACATAGACAAAGGAACCACAAGGCTGAGTAGAAGCCTATCTACTGCCCATTGCTCTCAAGGACCATCTACTAGATTGTAGCCCAAACTACAACACCAAAATCACTTTACTAATCCTGCCCTTGCAAAACCAAGAGTAAGAATTCTGCAACGAAGACACCATACAGAGCCTTAGTTCTCTAAAAACTTTCAGAAACAAAGCCAACAAAGTACACTCAATTTACACCACAATTAAAAGAATACCATCCCTCCCAGATGAGAAAGAATCAGCATAAGAACTCTGGCAATTCAAAAAGCCACACTGCCCCCTTACCTCCAAATGAGCCCACTAGCTCCCCAGAAATGTTTCCTAACCAGTCTGAATTATCTGAAATGACAGACATAGAATTCAAAATATGGATGGCAAAGAAGCTCATTGAGATCAAGAAGAAAGTTGAAACTCAATCCAAGGAAGCCAAGCAATCCAGTAAAATGATTCAAGGGCTGAAAGGTGAAATTCTCACTTAAAGAGAGACAAAAACTTAATTTCTTGAGCTGAAAAATTCACTACAAAAATTACATAATATAATTGGAAGTATTAACAGCAGAATAGACCAAGCTGAGGAAAGAATCTGAGAGCTCAAAGAGCAATTCTTTCAATTAACACAGTCAGACAAAAATACAGAAAAGAGAATTGAGAAAGATGAAGAGCAGAGAGTGGGCCGAGACCTCCAATTAGAAGTAGCTATGGTGCATGGCACTCATAAAGAGGAAGAAAAGCAGTGAGTAAATACAGCACCTTCAACTGAAATATCCAGGTTTTCGCACTGGGACTGATCAGGGAAATAACCAATCCACAGAAAACAGAGAAAAGTAGGGCAGGATGATAGCCCACCTGGAAGTGACGCAAAGCCAAGGGAACCCCCACCCCAGCCAAGGAAGTGGTAAGTGAATGTGCCACCCTGGGAAACCACATTTCTCCCATGGATCTTTGCAACCCTCAGATCAGGAGATCCCCTCATAAACCCACTCCACCAGGACCTTGGGTCAGATACACAGAGCTGTGTGGAGTCTCAGCAGGGCAGCCACTCAGGTATGCACAGAGACCCAGGAGATTTACATACCCCAGCCACAGGATCCCTGGCAAAGGTGACTACAACTCAGTCAAGGCGGGAGGTCCATACATACCCCTAGGAAGGGGGCCGAATCCAGGGAGCTGAACAGCGTCCATCTGTGGGCCCCATTTCCAAGGCACCTCACAAAATAAGACCCACTGGCTTGGAACTTCAGCCAGCCACCAGCAACAGGGTAGTGCCTGCCTGAGATGGAATGGAGCTGCCAGGGAAAGGGGTGGGCTGTCACCTTTGTTATTTGGACAACTCAGCTGTTCAAGTCTGTGGGCTTTGGAGAGTCCAAACAGTCTGGACAAGTAAGGGACCCCCAGCACAGCACAGCACAGCTGCTCTATGAAAATGTGGCCAGACTACTTCTTTAAGTGGGACCCCAATCCATTCCACCCCACTGGGCAGGACTTCCCAATAGGGACCTCCAGCCACCCCTGCCCATATTCTAGGAAAGAACTCTGATCTCTCCCTTGGCTGGAGTGCCCAGTGGGGAGGGATGAGCTGCCAATGTTGCTTTGAGCCCATTCCAGCCTGTAGGCTTTGCAGAATCCAAGCCAATACAGGCAGAGATGGATCCCCAGCAACGCATGGCTGTTTTGTCAAGGTGTGGCCAGACTGCTTCTTTAAATAGAACCCCAATCCATTCCTCCTTGCTGGGCAGGTCCTCCCAACCAGTGCTTCCAACCACCCTCACCCATGTTCTATGGCTGACAAAGTTCTAATTTCTCCCTGTGATGGAGTGCCCAGGGGGCCAGGTGGGCTGCCACCTGTGCTGTTTGGGCATCTCACCCAGTCCAACCTGTGGGCCTTGGAAAGTGCAAAACTATATGGGGGTGAAGGGAAGCCAAACACAGCACAGCTGCTCTACAAAAACGCAGGAAGGCTGCTTCTTTAAGGAGGTCCCTGATCCCATTCCTCCTGACTAGGTGAGACCTCCAAAACAGGGTTTCCAGCCACATCCTATGGGTGCATTCAGGCTGGCAACAGGTCAGTACTTCTCTGGGACAGAGCTCTGAGAGGAAGGGGCAGGCTGCCATCTTTGCTGTTTTGCAGCCTTCACCGGTAATACCTACAGGTACTGAAAAAACTGAGGTGACTAGGGTCTGAAGCAGCCGCCCAGCAAATCATAGCAGCCCTACAGAAAAGTGGTCAGACTGTTCAAAGAAAAAACGAGCAAAACAACAAGAACAACAACAACAAAAACCCATCCAAAGGTCAACAACCTCAAAGATCAAAGGTAGATAAGCCAACAAAGATGAGAAAGAATCAGCACAAAAACACAGAAAACTCAAAAATCCAGTGTGCTCCCTTTCCTCTAAATGACCACAACACCTCTCCAGCAGGGATTTAGAACTGGACTGAGGCTGAGATGGCTGAGATGATAGAAATAGGATTCCAAATGTGGATCTAAAAAATGAACTTCACTGAGCTAAAGGAGCACTTTGCAACTCAATGCAAGGAAGCTAAGAATCATGATAAAACAATGCAGGAGCTGACAGCCAAAATAGCCAGTATAGAGAGGAATATAACCAACCTGATAGAGCTGAAAAAAACACAACAAGAACTTCACGATGCAATCACAAGTATTAATAGCAGAATAGGCCAAGCAGAAGAAAGAATCTCAGAGCTTGAAGAATGTCATTCTGAAATAACACAGGCAGACAAAAATAGAGAAAAACAATGAAAAGGAATAAACAAAACCTCCAAGAAATATGGGATTATGTAAAGAGACTGAATCTATGACTGATTGGGGTACCTGAAAAAGATGAGGAGAATGGGACCATTTTGGATAACATAATTCAGGATATCATCCAGGAGAACTTCCCTGACCTACCTACAGAAGCCAACATTCAAATTCAGAAAATGCAGAGAACCCCAGTAAGATACTTACTCCACAAGAAGATCGTCCCCAAAACATGTAATCATCAGATCCTCCAAGGTCAAAATGAAATAAAAAATGTCAAAGGCCACTGGAAAGAAAGGCGAGGCCACCTACAAAGGGAAGCCCATTGGACTAACAGTGGACCTCTCAGCAGAAACCATGCAAGCCAGAAGAGATTGGGGGACAATATTCAACATTTTTAAAGAAAAGAAATTCCAATGCAGAATTACATATCTAGCCAAACTAAGCTTCATAAGAGAAGAAATAAGATCCTTTTCAGACAAGCAAATTCTGAGGGAATTTGTTACCACCAGACCTGCTTTATAAAAGCTCCTGAAGGAAGCACTAAATATAAAAAGGGAAAACTGTTGCCAGCCTCTACAAAAATACACTGAAGTATACAGACCAGTGACATTATAAAGCAACTACATAAACAAGTCTGCAAAATAACCAGCTAGCATCATGATCACAGGATCAAATCCATACATAACAGTATTAACCTTAAATGCTCCAATTAAAAGACACAGAGTAAAAAGCTGGATAAAGAACCAAGACCCACTGGTAAGCTGTCTTCAAGAGACCCATCTCACACGCAAAAACATACACAGGCTAAAAATAAAGGGATGGAGGAAAATTTACCAACCAAATAGAAAACAGAAAAAAGCAGGGATTGCAATCCTAGCATCTAACAAAAAAAGACTTTAAACCAAAAAATATCAAAAAAGACAAAGAAGAGTATTACATAATGATAAAGGGTTCAATTCAACAAGAATAGCTAACTGTCCTAAATATATGTGCACCCAAAACAGGAACACCCAGATTCATAAAGCAAGTTCTTAGAGACCTTCAAAGAGACTTAGACTCCCACACAATAATAGTGGGAGACTTTAAAACCCCATTGACAATATTTTCTAATATCTCTATCATCAAGACAGAAAATTAACAAAAATATTCAGGACCTGAACTCAACTCTGGATCAAGTGGAACTGACAGATATCTATAGAACTCTACACCCCAGAACAACAGAATATACATTCTTCTCATTGCCACACATCACTTACTCTAAAATTGGTCACATAATCAGAAGTAAAACACTCCTCAGCAAATGTAAAAGAACTGAAATCATAATGAACAATCTCTCAGACCACAGTGCAATCAAATTAGAAATCAAGATTAAGAAATGCATTCAAACCCACATAATATGGTTTGGCTGTGCTCCCACCAAAATCTCCTCTTGAATTGTACTTCCCAAAATCTCCACCTCTCATGGGAGGAACCTGGTGGGAAGTAATCAGAACATGGGGGCAGTTTCCTCCATGCTGTTCTCATAATAGTGAGTGAGTTCTCAGGAGAGCTGATGGTTTTATAAGAATCTGACATTTCCCCTGCTGGTACTTCTCTCTCCTGCCACCTTGTGAAAAAGAACATGCTTGCTTCCCCTTCTGCCATGACTATAAGTTTCCTGAGGCCTCCCCAGCCATGTGGAACTGTGAGTCAATTAAACCTCTTTTCTCTACAAATTACCCAGCCTGGGGTATTTCATCATAGCAGCATGAAAACAAATTAATACCCCACAAAATTACATGGAAATTGAATAACCTGTTCCTGAACAACTGTTGGATAAATAATAAAATTAAGGCAGAAATCTTGAAATTAATGAGAACAAAAATACAACATACCAAAATCTCTGGAACCCAGTTAATGCAGTGTTAAGAGGGAAACTTACAGCACTAAATTCCCACATCAAAATGTTAAAAAGATCTGAAATTAACAACCTAACATCACAACTAAAAGAACTAGGAAACCAAGAGTGAACAAATAACAAAGCTAGCTGAAGACAATAAATAACCAAAAGCAGAGCTAAACTAAAGGAGATAGAAACATGAAAAACCTTTCAAAAGATCAAAAATCCAGAAGCTAATTTTCTGAAAAAAAGTTAATAAAATAGACTGCTAACTAGACTAATAAAAAAGAAAAGAGAGAAAATTCAAATAAACACAATCAGAAATGACATGGAGGATATTACCACTGACCCACAGAAATAAAAACGACCATGAGAGAATGTTATGAACACCTCTATGCACACAAATTGAAAATCTAGAAGAAATGGACAAATCCCTGGACACATACACCCTCCCAAGACTGAACCAGAAAGAAACTGAGTCCCTGAACAGATCAACAACAAGCTCTGAAATCAAATCAGTAATGAATAGCCTATCAACCAAAAAAAGCCCATAACCAGATGGATTCACCGCTTAACTCTACCAGAGGTACAAAGAAGAGCTGGTACCATTCCTATTGAAACTATTCCAAACAATTGAAAAGCAGGGACTCCCCCATAACCCATTCTATGAGGCCAGCATCATCCTGATACTAACACCTGGCAGAGATATAACAAAAAAGAAAACTTCGGGCCAATATCCTTGATAAACATTGATACCAAAAATCCTCAACAAAATACTGGCAAACTGAATCTAGCAGCACATCAAAAAGCTTATCTACCATGATTAAGTAGTCTTCATCCCTGGAATGCAAGTTTCGTTCAACACACACAGATCTATAAATGTGATTTATCACATAAACAGAACTAAAAACAAAAAACACATGATTATCTCAACAGATGCAGGAAAGGCCTTTGGTAAAAATTAGCATCCTTTCATGTAAAAAGCTCTCAATAAACTCGGTTTTGAAGGAACATACCTCTAAATAATAAGAGCCATATATGAGAAACCCACAGCCAATATACTGAATGGGCAAAAGCTGGAAGCATTCCCCTTAAAAACTGGCACAAGACAAGGATGCCCTCTCTTACCACTCCTAGTCAACATAGTATTGGAAGTTCTGACCAGGGAAATCAGGCAAGAAAAAGAAATAATGTGTATTCAAATAGGAAAGGAAGAAGTCAAACTCTCTTCGTTTGCAGGTGACATAATTGCGTATCTAGAAAACCCCACTGACTCACCCCAAAAGCTTCTTAAGGTGATAAGCAACTTCAGCAAAGTCTTAGGATACAAAAATCAATGTGCGAAAATCACTACCATTCCTGTGGAACAACAGCAGGCAAGTAGAGAGCCAAATCATAAATGAACTCCCATTCACAATTGCCACAATGAGAATAAAGTACCTAGGAATACAGCTAACAGGGAAGTGAAGGACCTCTTTGAGAAGAACTACAAACCACTGCTCAAAGAAATCAGAGATGACACAAACAAATGGGAAATCATTCAACAACAGGCAAGTAGAGAAACAAATCATAAATGAACTCCCATTCACAGTTGCCACAATGAGAATAAAATACCTAGGAATAGAGCTAACACGGAAGTGAAGGACCTCTTCAAGGAGAACTACAAACCACTGTTCAAAGAAATCAGAGATGACACAAACAAATGGAAAATCATTCCATGCTAATGAATAGGAAGAATCAATGTTTTGAAAATGGCCATACTGTCCAAAGTAATTTATAGATTCAATGCTATTCCCATCAAGCTACCATTAACATTCTTTACAGAAATAGAATAAAATATTTTAAAATCAATACGGAACCAAAATAGAACTCGTATAGCCAATCCTAAGCAAAAAGAACAAAGCTAGAGGTACCACATTCCCTGACTTCAAACTCTACTACAGGGCTACAGTAACCCAAACAGCACAGTACTGGTACACGAACAGACACATAGACCAATGGAACAGAATACAGAACCCAGAAATAAGACTGCACACCTACAACCATCTGATATTCAACAAACCTGACAAAAATGAGGAATGGGGAAAGGATTCCCTATTTAATAAATGGTTCTGGGAGAACTGGCTAGCCCTATGTAGAAAATTAAAACTGGACCCCTTCCTTACACTATATATAAAAATCAACTCAAGATGAATTAAAGACTTAAATGTAAAACCCAAAATTATAAAAACCCTAGAAGAAAACCTAGGCAGTACTATTCAGGACATAGGCACAGGCAAAGATTTCATGATGAAGATGCCAAAAACAACTGCAACAAAAGCAAAAATTGACAAATGAGATCTAATTAAACTAAAGAGCTTCTGCACAGCAAAAGAAACTATCATCAAGTGAACAGATAACCTACAGAGTGGGAGAAAATTTTTGGAAACTATGTATCTGACAAAGGTCTAATATCCAGCATTTAAAAGGAACTTAAATTTACAAAAAAAAAAAAAAAAAAGCCATTATAAAGTAGGCAAAGGACTGAACAGACACTTCTCAAAAGAAGACATACATGCATGTGGCCAACAAACATGTGAAAAAAAGCTCAACATCACTGATCAGTAGAGAAATGCAAATCAAAACCACAATGAAATACCATCTCATGCCAATCATAATGGCAACTATTAAAAAGTCCAGAAACAACAGATGCTGGCAAGGTTGCAGAGAAATAGGAACACTTTTACACTGTTGGTGGGAGTGTAAGTTAGTTTAACCATTGTGGAAGACAGTGTGGTGATTCCTCAGAGATCTAGAGGCAGAACTACCATTTGACCCAGCAATCCCATTACTGGTTATATACCCAAAGGATTATAAATCATGCTACTATAAAGACGCATGCACACGTATGTTTATTGCGGCACTATTCATAATAGCAAAGACATGGAATTAACCCAAATGCCCATCAATGATAGACTGGATAAAGAAAATATAGTACACATACACTATGGAATACTATGCAGCCATAAAAAGGAACAAGATCGTGTCCTTTGCAGGAACATGGATGGAGTTGGAAGCTGTTATCCTCAGCAAACTAATGCAGGAACAGAAAACGAAACACCATATGCTCTCACTTATAAGTGGGAGGTGAATGATGAGAACACATGAACACATTGAGGGGAATAACACACACTGGAGGCTGTTAGGGGTGGAGGTGGGGTAGGGGGAGGGAAAGCATCAGGAAGAATAGCTAAGGGATTCTGGGCTTAATACCTAAGTGTTGGGTTGATTGTGCAGCAAACTATCAAGGCAAATGTTTACCTATGTAACAAACCTGCAAATCTTGCACATGTACTCTGGAACTTAAAATAAAAGTTGAAGGACAAATATTTTTTAAAAAGAAATGCAAATCAAAGCCACAATGAGATACCATCTCACACCAGTCAGAATGGCTACTGTTAAAAAGTCAAAAAATAACAGATGCTGGAGAGGTCGTGGAGAAAGAGGAACACTTACACACTGTTGGTGAAGAGTGGAAATTAGTTCAACCATTGTGGAAGACAGTGTGGCAATTCCTCAAAGACCTAAAGACAAAAATACCACTGGACCCAGCAATCCCATTACTGAGTATATACCCAAAGGAATACAAATCATTCTGTAATAAGACTCATGCACACATATGTTTACTGCAGCACTATTCACAATAGAAAAGATATAGAATCAACATAAATGCCCATCAAAGATAGACTGGATTAAAAAATGTGGCTCATATACACAATGGAATACTATGCAGCCATAAAAAGGAATGAGATCATGTCACTTGCAGGGACATGGATAGAGTTGGAGGCCATTATCCTTAGCAAACCAACACAGGAACTGAAAACCAAACACCAAGTTTTCACTTACAAGTGGGAGCTAAATGATAATAACACATAGACACATGGGGGGAACAACACACACTGGGTCCTGTCAAAGGGCAAGGGGTGAGAGGAGGGAGAGGATGAGGAAGAATAGCTAGTGGATGCTGGGCTTAATACCTGGGTGGTGGAATGATCTGTGGAGCAAACCACCATGGCACACATTTACCTATGTAATAAATCTGCACAACCTGTACATGTACCCCTGAACTTAAAATAAAAGTTGGAAATATAAAAAATAGTGTTGGCAAGAGTACAGAGAAAAGGGAACTCTTCCACACTATTGGTCAGAATGTAAATTAGTACAGCCTTATGGATGATGCTTCCCCCCACCCAAAAAAAAAAAAAAACCCACAGAAATAAAGCTACCATATGATCCAGCAATCCCAATATGTAATAAAGTATGTCCCACTACTAGGTATATACCCAAAGTAAATGAATCAGTATTTCAAAGAGATTTCTGCTCCCCTATGTTCACTGCAGCCAAGACACAAAATCAACCTAAGTGTCCATCCACAGATGAGTAGATAAAGAAAATGTGTTATATATACACAGGGGGAACCTGTTCAGCCTTAAAAACAAAGGAAAGCTTTTGATTTGCCACAACATTGATGAGTCTGGAGAACATTATGTTACATAAAATTAGCCAAGCACAGAAAGACAAATACTGCATGATCAAACTTGTGTGTGGAATCCAGAAAAGTCAAACTCATAGAAGCAGAGTAAAAATAGTGGTTAACAGAGGCTGGGAGTGAGGAGATGGGTTACCCAGAAAAATGCTGGTGAAAGGATACAAAATTTCAGTTAGACATGAAGAATAAGTTCGAGAAATGTACAACATGAGGACCACAGTTAATGGCAATGAGTTGTGTACCTTAAATTTCCAAAGACAGCAGATTTTAAGTGTTCTCATTACAAAAAAATGAAAAGTATATGAGGTCATGTGTATGCTAATTAGCTTGATATAATCATTCCACAATGTCTACATATTTCAAAACATCATGTTGTATGCCATAAATATATACAATTTTTGTCAAGTAAAAATTTTTAAAGGCCGAATTTACTCAAAGGTTAATTTAATATGACCAAAACTGAGTGGTTCAAGGGATTTGCTTATAGGCATTTCTAGGTCATTGACTCAATTCCTTTTTATGGTCATAGTTTTCAGTAACTTGGCTCTGTGTAGCAGCCCATTCCAAATGAGGATCTGTACCCTGTTATATTTCTGTTTTGTCCACAACTGAGAAGAATATTCATTGGATTGTGTATCTGAGTTAGGGGAAAGTCTAGTGCTTCTAGAAAACTCCATGACAACTGTAGATCAATGCACAGTTTTCTGCCTTGAAACTTGAAATTTCAATTGTAAGACAATATTAAATAGAATAAAAAATGATACTCTGGCAAATATAACAGAGTTTTCCTTTTTTGTGGGAGTGTCAGATTTTGAGTTTTACAGGAGAACTAGGCCTTCTAATTCTGATTTGACTTTCCAACTAACATCAAACTTAGAGCTCCATATCTGAGGGATAACTGGACTGGTGATTGTGCAAAATATTTCTGTCTTGCATTTAAAGTTGTAACGAATTGATAGAAATCAATCTTACCAGCACTGGCTGTCATTTAATTCTTATTCTTAACTTTGGTGATAAAAAAAAATAAATCTGTTGAATCTGTGCAAAGAAGCCTTTCTGAGACCAAAATGGCAGCTAAAATTATTTCTGTAATTAATTTCTGCCTTGTGTGTCAATGTTCTTTAGAATATAAATGATTTTGTAAATACTTGGCAGCAATTTGTTTAATTTGGAAGGGCACAAAGTACACTCCATTGAGTTGGCAAATGCAACATCCTTCTAAATATTTTTCCTAAAACATCAAGTATATTATATGTATTTAAATTTATATTACAACACTTTTCTGAGAAAGTGTAATTTTTAATTATGACCTAAGTCTGACTACATGCATGTCTTTGCCTTCTTGTTTCATGCATTCATTAGCAATTTGAATAGAATTTTAATAAAATTCAACAAAAAGAAAAATGAACAAAACATCTGAGAAATATGGGATTATGACCAAATATATGATTCATCAGCATTCCTAAGAAATAAGGAGAGAGAATAAGCAACTTGTAAAATACATTTGAGGACACAGGCATGAAAACTTCTCTAGTGTCACTACAGACATTGACATGCAAATCCAAGAAATACAGAGAATTTCAGCCAGATACTATACAAGATGACCCTACCCGAGGCACATAGTCATCAGAATCACCAAGATCAATGCAAAAGAAGAAATCTAAAAGGCAGCTAGAGAGAAAGTGCAGGTCACCTACAGAGGGAATCCCACCAGGCTAGAAGCAGATTTCTCAGAAAAAACCTTACAAGCCAGAAGAGATTAGGGGCCTATTTTCAGTGTCCTTAAAGAAAGGAAATTCCAACCAAAAATTTTTATATCCTACCAAACTAAGCTTCATAACTGAAGGAGAAATAAGAGGCTTCTCTGACAAGCAAATGCTGAGGGAATACGTTTAAACTAGAGTAGCCTTACAAGAGGTCCTTAAGGGAGTTCTAAACATGAATTCAAAAGAATGACACCTGCCACCACAAATGCACACTTAAGCACATAGCTCACAGGCACTATAAAGCAACTACACAAGAACCAGCTAACAATACAATGATAGAATCAAAATCACATATATCAATAATAACCTTGAATGTAAATGGGCTAAACAGCCCACTCAAAAGACACAGAGTGGCAGGCTGGATAAAAAGACAAGACCCAACCAATCTGTTGTTTTCAAGAGACCCATCTTACATGTAATGACACCCACAAACTCAACGTAAAAGTATGCGGTAAGATCTACCATGCAAACAGAAAACAAAAAAGAGCAGGTGTCACCATTCCTCATCATTCATTCATTCTTCATCATTCAATTTTCATTCTTCATCTTTCATCATTCATTCTTCATGTTTCATCATTCATTCTTCATTCATTCATCATTCATTCATTCATCAGATAAAACAGATTTTAAACACATAAAAATGAAGGACAATGAAGGGCACTGCATAACAATAAAGGATACAGTCCGACAAGAAGCCTTAACTATACTAAATATATACACACCCAACTTTGGAGCACTGAGATTTATACAACAACTTCTTCTTGGCCTAGGAAAACACTTAAACAACCACACAATAATAGTGGGAGACTTCAACACCCTACTGACAACATTAGATCATCAAAGCACAAAACTAACAAAGAAACTCTGGACTTCAACTCAACACTTGACCAAATGGGCCTATAAAGCACTCCATCCAACAACCACAGAATATGCATTCTTCTCATCTGCACACAGAACATATTCAAAGATCAACCACATGCTCAGTCATAAAGCAGGCCTCAATAAATTCAGAAAGAAATTGAAACTATACCAAGTATACTCTCAAACCACAGTGTAATAAAACTAGACATCAATACCAAAATGATCTCTCAAAATTACACAAATAAATGGAAAGTAAGCAACTTATTCCTGAATAACTCCTGGGTGAACATAGAAATTAAGGCAGAAATTTAAAAAATTATTTGAAGTTAATGAAAATAGGAACACAACTTACCAAAATCTCTGAGATATAGCCAAAGCAGTGTTAAGAGGAAAATTAATAGTCCTAAATGCCTTCATCAAGAAGTTAGAAAGGTCTCAAATTAACAAACTAACTTTGCACCTACAGGAACAAGAAAGAAAGAGAACAAACCAACTCCAAAGCTAGCAAAAGAAAAGAAATAACTAAAATTAAAGAAGATCTTAATGAAATTGAGATGCAATAAACCATACAAAAGACCAATGAAACCAAGAATTGGTTCTTTGAAAAACTAAGACTGGTAGAATCCCTAACTAAATCAACAAAGAAAAAGAAAGAGACTATCCAAATAAGCAAAATCAGAAACAACACTAATGATATTACAACTGATCCCACAGAAATACAAAAGAACCTCAGAGACTACTATGAACAACTCTAGGCACACAAATTAGAAAATCTAAAGGAAATGGATAAATTCCTGGAAGCATACAATCTCCAAAGATGGAATCATGAAGAAATTGAAACTCTGAATAGACCAATTTTAACTTCTGAAATTGAATCAATAATAAAGAACCTACCAAGCAAAAAAAGCCCTGGACCAAGTGAATTCACACCCCAATTCTACCAGACATACAAACAAGAACTGATACTAATCCTACTGAAGCTATTCCAAAAAACTGAGGAGCAGGGGCTCCTCCCTAACTTATTCTATAAGACAAGCATCAGCCTGATACCAAAATCAGGCAGAGATACAACAACAACAACAAACTTCAGACTAATATCCCTCATAAACACAGATGCAAAAATCCTCAACAAATATTAGCAAATTGAATCTAGCAGCACATCAAAAAGTTAATACACCACAATCAAGTAGGCTTTATTCTTGGGATTCAATACTGAAATCACATTTGTTGTGATTTGTGATTTGCTGTGTTGCAAGATTGCAAATACTTGCATATGTTGCAAATCATATTTGCGTTTGTTGCACATGTTGCAAATCAACAAACATGATTCACCACACAAACAGAATCAAGAGCAAAAACTATAGGATCATCTCAATAGATGCAGAGAAACCTTTTGATAAAATTCAACATTCCTTCATTATAAAAATCCTCAATAAACAAAGGAACATACCTCAAAATAATAAAAGCCATCCAGGCAAACCCACAGCCAACATCAGACTGAATGGGCAAATGATGGAAATATTTCCCTTGAGAACTAGAACAAGACAAGGCTGCCTACTCTCACCACTTCTCTTCAACATAGTACTGGAAGTCCTTGCCAGATCAACCAGGCAAGAGAAAGAAATAAAAGGAATTTGAAAAAGAAAAGAAGAAGTCAAACTCTTTTCACTGACGATATGATTTTGTACCTAGAAAACCCTAAAGACTGCTAAAAGGTTCCAAGAATTAATAAGCAACTTTAGCAAAGTTTCAGGATAAAATCAATGTACAAAAATCAGTATCATTTCTATACACCAGCAACATCCAGGCTGAGAGTAAAATCTAGAACACAATTCCACTTACAATAGCCACAAATAAAATGAAGTATCTAGGAATACAGCTAACCAGGAGGTGAAAGATCTCTATAAGGAGAACAACAAAACATTGGTGAAAGAAATCAGTGATAATGCAAATAAATGGACAAACATTCCATACTCATGAATTGAAAGAATCAATATTGTTAAAATGACCATACTGCCTAAAGCAATTTACAGTTACTGCTATTCCTGTCAAACTACTAATGTCACTGTTTACAGAATTAGAAAACACTATTTTAAAATTCATATAGAACGACAAAAGAGTGTGAATAGCCAAAACAATACTAAGCAAAAGGAAAAAAGACAGAGACATTACACTACCCAACATGAAACTGTACTACAAGGATATGGTAATCAAAACAGCATGGTATTGGTACAAAAATAGAAACATAGACCAATTGAACAGGTTAGAGAACCCAGAAATAAAGCCACACACCTACAACTATCTGATATTTAACAAGGCTGACAAAAATAAGCAATGGGGAAAGGACTCCCTATTCAATAAATGGTGCTGGGATAACTGGCTAGCCATATGCAGAAGACTGAAGCTGGGCCCATACTTTTTACCATATACAAGAATGAACTCAAAATGGATTAAACATTTAAATGTAAATCCTCAAACTATAAAAATCCTAGAAGAAAACCCAGGAAATAGTCTTCTCAACATTGGCCTTGGCAAAGAATTTATGGCTAAGTCCCCAAATGCAACTGCAATAAAAACAAAAATATAGTGAGAACTAATTAAACTAAAGAGCTTCTGCATGGCAAAAAAAACTATGAACAGAGCAAAGAGACAACCTATAGAATGATACAAGATATTTGCAAACAAGGCATCCAACAAAGCCTAATATCCAGAATCTATGGTAAAAAATAAATAACAAGCAGAAAATAACCCCATTAAAAAGTGGACAAATGACCAGGCGTGGTGGCTCACGCCTGTAATCCCAGCACCTTTGGGAGGCCGAGGAGGGTGGTTCACGAGGTCAGGAGATCGAGACCATCCTGGCTAACACAGTGAAACCCTGTCTCTACTAAAAATACAAAAAATTAGCCGGGCGTGGTGGCGGGCGCCTGTAGTCCCAGCTACTTGGGAGACTGAGGCAGGAGAATGGCGTGAACCCGGGGGGCGGAGCTTGCAGTGAGCCGAGATCGCGCCACTGCACTCCAGCCTGGGCGACAGAGAGAGACTCTGTCTCAAAAAAAAAAAAAAAAAAAAAAAACAAGTGGACAAAGGACATGAACAGACACTTCTCAAAAGAAGATAAGTGGCCAGTAAACATATGAAAAAATACTCCACATCACTATCAGAGAAATGCAAGTCAAAACCACAATGAAATTCTACCTCACACCAGTCAGGATGGCTATTATTAAAGAGCCAAAAAAACAACAGATGCAGAGGCTGCAGAGAAAAGGAAATGCTTATACTCTGCTGGTGGGAATGTAATTAGTACGGCCACTGTGGAAAGCAGTCGGGAGATTTCTCAAATAATTTAAAACATAGCTACCATTAGACCCAGCAATCCCACTACTGGGTATATATGCAAAAGAAAATAAATCATTCTACCAAAAAGACACATGTACTTGTACATTCATCACTGTGCTAGTCACAATAGCAAAGACATAGAATCAACCCAGGTGCCCATCAATGGTAGATTGGATAAAGAAAAAATAGTACATATACACCATGGAATACTGTGTAGCCATAAAAAAAAATGAAAATGTGACTTTTGCAGCAACATGGATGGAGCCCTTGGAGGTCATAATCCTAAGCAAATTAATGGAGGAACATATAACCAAATACCACGTTTGCACTTATAAGTGGGAGCTAAGCCTTGTGCACACATGGACATCAGTATGGGAAAAATAGACATTGTGGACTCCAAGAGGGTGGAAGGCAGGGGATATTGGGTTAAAAATCTACCTACCAGGTACTAGGCTCACTACAACAGTGGACGGGATCTATACCCCAAACCTCGGCATCATGCAATATTCCCATGTAACAAATCTGCACATGTACCCCCTGTATCTACAAGTTGAAATTAAATAATAACAATAATAAAAAGTAAAAGTGCCTGGGGTGGGGGAAGGTATTATCAAGGTGTAAGTTTTCAGAGTGGATCTACCCTAAAAGTCCTTATAGAAAGCCGGTTTATTTTATTCAATAAAACAAAAGAAAGGAAATAACTCTAAGACAAAAGATAGGGTTGTCACATGTTGTAAATATAATCTTCATTCATATACAAATCCAATTAAATTTAAATCCAATTTAAATTGGTTTAAATCCAATTTAAATTGGATTAAATCCAGTTTGGATTGGGTTAAATCCAATTTCGAACCCATCCACTGTATAAATATGAGGAAAATATGTTAAATTTTTTATATTTATATCTCTCCATTTAAATTCTTACATATTGTGAATAAAATCAAATTTTATTGACATATTGGCGAAGCATAATTCAATATTAAAGCATATGTCCACACAAAACTTTTACACAATGTTCATAGCAACATTTTTCATAAGAGCCCAAAAGTGGAAACAACCCAAATGTCCATCAACTGGTAAATGGATAAGCAGCATGGAGCAGAATATCCATACAAAGAAGTATTACTTGGCAATAAGAAAGAATGAAGTACTGATACATGCTACAACATGGATAAACCTTAGAAGAATTATGCCCTCACATTCTCCACCATAGTGCAACCTTTGTTCATCAAAGAAAAATGAAATAACGTCTTTTATTCCTTTATTATTTTGGAAAGCAAGAGAAAGTTATTAACAGTAACATGACAATAAATATCATATGGAAAAGTTTCAAACTGACCAATTCACCTTGCACATTGTTCATTCAAATGTAAATTAGTGCAACTATTATAAGAAATAGTATGAAGTTTTCTCAAAATCGTAAAAATAGAACTACAATATGATCCAGAAATCCCATTTCTGGGTACATATAACTTTTTGTCAAAGAGATCTGCATTCTGATGTTTATTGTGGCCTTATTCACAACAGCCAAGATAAGAAATCAACCTGTATCTATCAACACATAAATAAATGGATAAAGAAACAGGGGTATACACACACAATTGAATACTATTTCACTGTAAAAAAAAAAAAAGACAATATTGTCATTTGCAACAACATGGGTGAACTTCAAGCATATTATGTTAAGTGATATGTCAGGCACAGTAAGAGAAATACCACATGATCTGACATATGTAGAATCTAAAAAAAGTTGAACTCACACAAGTAGAGAGTAGAATGCTAGTTACCAGGGTCAGGGGCATTATTGGTTAAAGAATAGAAAATTTCAATTAGATGGAAGGAATAAGTTCAAGAAATCTATTGTAAAACATGTAGTAGAAAATCCGTGCAAGGAAGTATTACAACAGAATAACAACGTATTGTATTTTTGGAAGTTGTTAAGAGAATAAATCGTAAGTGTTCTCACCACAAAAAAAATGATAAATATATGAGGTAATGAATATATTGATTAGCTCAATTGAACTATTTCACAATGTGTACATATTTTAAAATATCATTCACATGATAAATATACATAATGTTTATTTGTCAATTAAAATAAATTTTGTTTACAAAAGAAAAAACAGTATGCATATTTATATTTTTCAGGATTCTTGTTACATTGACTTTGTTTCCAATAGTAATTGTGAGGTTCTTCATGAACTGTGCCCATGGGCTCCAGTGATTGGTAAATTATTCCACCTCTACCATGGTGACTGAATTAAACAAGATCCTCAGGTGGTTCATGTGTACATTAAAATCTGAGAAACACTTAAAAAACAAAAAATGGAACAATGAAGACATTTAATAAAATAAATCTTAAACAAATTATATAATTAGATAGGACAATACAATAACATGCATTATCCTTGTCTTAAAACCAAAAGGATATTTTTTCTTCCAATTTTCTTATTTTTAAATTTATTTTTAATTTCAACTTTTATTTTAGATACAGGGGGTTCATGTGCAGATTTGTTATGTGGGAATATTGCATGATGTTGAGGTTTGGAGCATGGACCTCGTCACCCTGGTAGTGAGCATAGTGCCTGATAGGTAGCTTTTTAACCCACCCAGCCCACTTCACCCTCTAGTAATCTATACAGTGTTGATTGTTTTTTTCCAATTTTCTACATATGCCTCTAGAGTAATTCTGTCATCAATTACAAATAAATTAAAGCGCTTTCTCATATCTCTGAAGGATGTAAATGAATATTAGCAAAACAGTTGGTCTTCAGAAATTTAGAAACTAATGTAATTTGAATCTTTCCCTTGCCAGGGAACATACATGCCAATCTAGATACTCAAGAGCTATGATTAAAATTTATTCTTTTGTAAAAACACCAGTACAGTAGCTATATTCACATAATCCCTTTTCTTAAATTAGTCACATATCTGATGCACTAGTGTTCTTCCAGAGTTAAACAGGATTTTTTTTTTTTTGACAGTCTCGCTCTGTCGCCCAGGCTGGAGTGCAGTGGCACGATCTTGGCTCACTGCAACCTCCACCTCCCAAGTTCAAGGGATTCTCCCACTTCAGCCACCTGAGTAGCTGGGACTATAGGTGCCCACCACCATGCCCAGCTAATTTTTGTATTTTTAATAGAGACGGGGTTTCACCATATTGGCAGGCTGGTCTCGAACTCCTGACTTTGTGATCCGCCTGCCTCAGCCTCCCAAAGTGCTAAACAGGACATTTTAAAAGCCAACATCAGCTAATAAGCTAACAGCATTTTATTTTTACTAATGAAAAAAACATTTAAATCTATCTGTGTAGTTTTTTATTTCAATCCTCTAAAACAAAATCAAGAACTAACAAATGGTTAAGTGAATTATGCATGATAGTATGATTTTTTATTATAATTAAAATGCTCTTTTTCAATATTTCTAAATTATAAATAATTTTAACATATAGTACAAAAACTTTGCAGCAATAAGTCAGCATAACTGGTAACTGAATAAAGACAATTTATTATGATCCTGGACTCACAAGACAGATTCTCTGGGTTCAAATCCCAGCTCTGCCTTTTCCAGCTGCATGACATTGGAGAGTACTTTAACCTCTCTGAACCACATCTGAAACTAGGAAGAATATTAGTACCTACATCAGAGGGATTTTAGGAGGGTTCAATGGGCTAATACATGTAACACACTTACGGTGTTTCCTGGCACATAATCAGTACTACATGAGTTAGCTCACATTATTATATTTATTTTATTTATTTTCTCAGAGCACAGAGTATTATCTTTATTTTCCTTATTACTATTATCCTTTCTTATTTTATTGTTATTATCTTCAGTTATATTTCATGAGCAAAGTAGTATTATCTTTATTTATTTTCTTAGAGCACAAAGTATTGTTATACGATATTAAACCAAATTGTAAAATAGTTGTTTCTTATTATTGATATTAATACGTATAAAGTTCAGGGGTTAATGAGTCTCAGTTGAAGTAAAGAGTGTCTTTTATCAAACTTAATAGTTTTGTTGTTGTTGTTCTAAAGAAAATAATTCAAATTTACTTATAATAAAATAATGAGTATGCCACAGACACAAGGTACATGTTAAAGGCCTCTTCTTTATAATGAAATAACATCACCTTCATCTTATCATTTTAGAACATCATCAGACATCTCCACTTCACTAAAGTCTAGGGAACAGGAAAGGAAGAAGTTGAATTCTCCTCATTTATCTGAATCAAAAGACATCAATAAAATCTATGGAGCATGCCTCCTAGATTGACAAAGACATGGTCTTTCACTAAAACCAAAGTGAAAGAACTAAAGAATTTGAAATATGTCTGCTACTTTGCAGGTTGCAGGATGTGAGAAATGTCTGTATAAAATAGAAAATATCCATCATGGATTCAGCTGTGGAGATTTTCCTTATGATTATAATTCCATGGATAACTCACAAAGTTAATTTCTTACTACAACCCAGTATTTCAGGGTGTTTTTGTTGTTATTTTTTGTTTTTGTTTTGTAGACCAAACTGCATCTGCTCTAACATCCTCATAGATTGTATGTACAAGTAAACATGTCTCAGGTAGAATAACACATCAGCTTCAGAAGACTACCCACAAGGGCACCTTTCCCATTGTCACATGGGGACCATGAACACCTCTCTACACATCATGGGCTTTGGGTTTTTAGGTACATTAAGCACTCAATTTACACAACCCTTCTTTGGGTTTCTTGAACAATAAATCTGAATAATGATTTCTTCTTAGATTTCTTACAAATTTTAATAAATTATGTTTTTTCATCACGAAATGAAAGAAGCTAATCAGATTAATAAGACTTTTCTGATACAGATATTTTCTTCTACTCTTTCTGAATTCTCCAGAATGACTGATAAGGTATTCTGCATGTTATATAAACTTAAAAAAAATACTGATATAAACAAACAAATGGACTAGTATTGGTGGCATTAGAATAAACTCATTGTTTTGAAAATATATACATAGAAATATAGATGTATGTATATGTATGTGTGTATAATATCACTAATATTGGGACAACCAACATCATGCTCACACTGAGGACACAATATCGCTTTGTGCTATTGTTATCAAAAATGCATAGTCTGAATTTAATCATGAAAACATCAGACAAACTAAAAACACAAACACAAGACAAACTGAGAAAATCTTCCACATTAAATGAAACTAAGGGAAAAAAATTCAGTACAATGCATGACCCTGGAATGGATCCTGGACTGTGAAAAATAAATAGACATAATCTGGGGACAACTGACAAAATTTGAATATGTGTGGACTCTAAACTAGATAATATTATATCAATGTTAAATTTCCTGATTTTGATAACTGTATTGAGATTATTCAACACAGTGTCCTTGTTCTTAGAAAATATACAATAACGTATGTAAGGGTAAAGGGGCAGGGTGTCTCCAACTTACTCTCAAAAAGTCCAGAAGGAAGAGAGAGAGAATGAGAAAGGAAATGATATACATTGTAAACAATTAATGAATCTGAGTAAAATGTGTATGGGTAAACAAGAGCTTCTTGTACTATTTCTCCAACTTTTTTGTAATTTTAAGTTAAACTGAAATGAAGTTACCCCAGATATAGCTTAGATTTGTCTCCCCACTCAAATCTCATGTCAAATTAGAGGAGGGGCCTGGTGGGAGGTGATTGGATCATGGGGGTGGATTTCCCCCTTGCTGTTCTCATGATAGTGAGTGAGTTCTCACTAGAACTGATGGCTAAACATGTGGGCACATTCTCATTCACTCTCTCTTTCTCCTGCTCCACCATGGTAAGATGTGCTTGCTTCCTCTTCACCTTTTGCCATTACTGTACGTTTCCTGAGGCCTCCCAGCCATGCTTCCTGTACAGCCTGTGGAACTGTGAGTCCATTCAACCTCTTTTCTTCATAAGTTACCCAGTCTCAGGTAGTTCTTTCTAGGAGTGTGAGAACAAACTAATACACTCCCCCAAAATATTAATCTGTCAAAAGGAATAGAGGAATGTTCTTTCTAAAAGGCCTAGTAATTAAACAAACAAGAAAAGGTTGATCTTTTAAATAGAGGTGATTTCCAATATACTCTTAGATTTTATGCTCTTTGGTAAATTTATTATGCAAAGTGATATGAAAGCCTAGATTTATTTGAATATATTAAGGAATTTTCTTTAAATAAGCCACCCAAACAATTAGGCTTTGCATATATTTGTGGTAGACATCCGTTGTTTTACCTGCTAGCATCTCTTAGTCCTTCTTCAGGAAACAGCACCTCTCTCCTCCCTCCCCAACCCCCAGTTAGCACTCTGCCCTTTCATCACTTCATATGACTATAAATGCTGTCAATATTTTCACTTTATCTTTCTCTCCTAGGAGTAGCACACAACCTCAATTGACCAACCAGAACATCTTGTCCCAAGATTTTACATGACCCAGGCAGAGCCAATAAGAATGTTTAGAGATATTGACATAGAAGAAAGAGGGTAATTATCAGCTAATAAAAAGAACCATGGAAGCCTAAGGTTTCAAGGAACTCGCTTTGCTACCTCATAGAGAAGTCAGCCTGAGAACAGAGCCAACTCAGAGGAAAACAACAGCTACTTTGGGTTGTTTTCCGAAGACAAAGATTTATCTAATTCAAAAAGATAGACACTAAACACTTTTCAGTTTTAAATCAAATTCAAAATGAGAACTAGAATATTCATTTTATTTTCTTATTGCAACCTTCTCCCCACCAAACATACCACAAAAAGAAATGAATCAACAACACAATAGTAATACATGAGACAAAGTTAACATTATTGATGATTGATAATGGAGTGTATTATTCTCTCAGATTCATAGAACAGGGCCCCACCTATACAGGCAGTGCCAAGAAAAGGACTTGGCACATAGTGTGCTCAATCAATGTTTGCTGAATAAATGAAGGTCGGGGACTCTTCAATCTTTACAAGTTACTATTGTTATCAAAAACGAAAGTGCCTCAAAATAATAACTGATAGAGAATGAGCATATCATCTTCCCTTAGAAATATATTCTAAATTTCAAACATAGCTCTTTCTGGATCTTCTTATTATGAAAGCATAAATGCTGTTCTAGTCAGGAAAAAGAATCAATAAATACTCAAAAAATTACCAGGACCTACAAAATGTGGGTCAAATGTCAATTAACACAGTCAGCCCTAATGAGCTGTTCTGTTACCATCTCTCACCTTCACCCATTATCTGTAGGTGTGCGACTGATGAGGATGTTTAAATGAACAGATAAAGGGGTCCCTGCTTCTATACATTTCATATTACTGTTGACATTTATCACCAAGCTTTCAACCCCAACTGTCTTTGACAATAGATTTTAAAAGATAATAAAATTCTTCAACAGGCTTTCAATTCAATCCTCTTGTCATTGTAACAAAACAGCACTAAAAATGAAACGAAAGCCAGATATGACAGAAACTGCTGAGGAGCTAAGGATGTATGATCATTCTTTTTAATGTTGATATTTACATATGAGTTTTTGCTTTTCCTACCAAACCATAAATAAAAATTTCAATAGAAAATAAATAAGTTAATTCATTCTTCTTATCAATATGGTTTCTATAGCATTTCATTTATTAATACCTTTAAAGATAACTGAAGGATTCTGATTATATAACATTTGCTAAGGCTTCAAGGTACCCTAGATAAATTTTCCAAAAACTTTCTTTTTTATATTTTGAGGCAAACAATTTCTAACTACTATTTCTTTCCAAAACAGAAAAAATAGAATCATCATTATACTCAATAATTTTCTTCCTAGCACTTAACTCTCTAAACAATTATTTCTATATTTATTTGTCTAATTATGCTCATCGACTAAATTGTAAGTTCCATGAACAGAGATTGTGTTTGATGATGTTGTCAATCTTTGTTACCCAAGCATCAAACCTGGTCCATAGTTGGTGCTCAATCAATGTTTGTTAAATGAATACATAGGTCTGCTAACTTTCCCACTTCTTTTGAAAATACTCAAAAAACATTTAATTTAATCCAAATTCATTCAGTCCCTAATACTATTTTTAAAAAGCGTGTATTAGAAATGTTTTCGGAATTAACTGGGGGCTTAGACATCAGTGTGTCACTCAAAGCACTTAGTATAATGCTTCAAAAGTACTCCCTAAATGTTAAATTGAAATAAATTACATGTAATAAAAGTTACTTTGCTTCTACCTGTGAAATATAAGAAAAATTTAACAACATAGCAAAACTAAAAGATGTCTTAATTAACTTATTTTTGCTCATTTTGTGGTGTCTTTCATTCATTCAATATTTATTGAAGGCTTATACTCAGCCATGTAGGTGCTAGACATACCCAAATGGATGAGATATAGTTTAGTGAAGGAGACAGGTGAACAAACAACAATGGTATAATATGAAACCTCTGTAATAGAAGTATACACAAAAGAGCTGCTGGAGCACAATGCAGCAGAGAGGCACTCTCAATGACAGGAAGGAAGAAAGTTTCAAAAAGAGATGGGTGATCAGGCAGAAAATAGGAAATTATTAATTCCATACAAAGAATATAGTACATTCTTGGTTCTGCAGAACTGGAATGCTTTTTCTCTTCATCTGTTTTTTGAAGAGGAAAAAAAAACCGTGCAGAAGCAGGGTATAGCCACTAGGAATTTACTTTTCCTTTATTTGCTATCAAATATGGTGGCAAGCAATATCCATATATTAGCTGCTTTGCCTCAGCCCGCCATCTGAAGGTAGGGTTCTTCAAGTGCCCAAATGGTGCAAAATCTCGAAGCTGATATCACTCACTCCATAATGAGATGAATCACAGAGGGGTCTTTTGCTACTCACAGCTGGGCCACTGTGGCCATGCATCACCACTCATAGAGAAGGGGGATGGAGAGAGGTGTTATGACCGTTTTTGTTGCTTTTTGTGGAGTGAAAATTATCAGCCTATGGTGTTTTCCAACCACAACATTCTTACCTCATATACTCCTCCATGCTGCAGAGAGACATCCTGTTTCTGGGAAGGGCCTTGAAGACTAGAGACCTTGGCTTATTTGAGAACTAGGGTCACCCTCTGTTTATTGCATAGCCCTATGGGGTGTCACAGGTCCTAAGGAAGAGACTTTCCTTAAAGGTCATAAAGCATAAAACACACACGAGTGTTCCAGCGCATGAAATGTTCAGAGATCAGCAAGAATTCCCAAATGGGTAGAAAAAACATAGAACAAATGAGTAGAAGAAGCAGAAAATGACCTTGAACTAACATATGAAGAGATTTATATTCTAGGATAATGAAATTATTATGACTTTATCCTCCTAGCAATGTGGAACCAACAACACTTTTGAAGCAAAGAAATGGAGCAAACAAATATGTCTGGCTGATAACTATGGTGGTAGCAAGAAAGATGGATTGAAAGAGAACCTAAAAGCAAAGGGGAAAACTATTTCTGATTTCCAAGTGCAACTTATTAACAGTTCCTCATGAACTGTAGATAGGAAATACACAAAATTAAAGCAAATGATGCTGTTTGTAATAATAGTAAGTTGTAATAGAAGAAAGAGTAGAAAGTTGGTAAAGGATGAGTTCATGTCCTTTGCAGGGACATGGATGAAGCTGGAAATCATCATTCTGAGCAAACTATCACAAGGACAGAAAACCAAACACCGCATGTTCTCACTCACAGATGGGAATTGAACAATGAGAACACTTGGACACAGAGCAGGGAATATCACACACCGGGGCCTGTCGGGAGGTGGGAGCCTGGGGGAGGGATAGCATTAGGAGAAATACCTAATGTAAATGACGAGTTGATGGGTGCAGCAAACCAACATGGCACATGTATACCTATGTAACAAACCTGCATGTTGTGCACATGTACCCTAGAACTTAAAGTATAATTAAAAAAAAAAAAGAAAGTTGTTAAGTAGTAGCAACTTGCAAGGAAATCTTGAAATAAAGATGCAATTTAAATAGCTAACTACTTAGTGCATTTATGATACATGCTGAAAATTTTCAATGTACAGGAAGAAACAGTATTTTTTCCAGATTCAGTCATCAAGAGACAGTTAACTTAATTTTGAAGATGAGTTTTCATTTCTTATTATTTAACTTAGTGCGTGGTAATTAATTTTTAATTTATAAATGAACAGAAACCAGATGGTTTCACTTGATGGCTTTAACAAAATTACTGTATGTCATTAATGATTCTATCTGATTCTTTATGGGTACCAGGCATCTTTTGGGGGATGTTTAAAAGATCTACCAATTTTGCTTCTATAAAAGGCTAAATAAAGGAGGGGTGACTGGGCACACAGTATGGCTAGTTTCTCCAACAGTCCTCACTCCCAAGAGTGAGGAGATCTGCTTCATATACAACTGTCCTAGAAAATCCACTCTGAGTCAAAGCCCCAAATAAGTTCCTATATTCCTGGAGAATCTTCCTGGAGGGAGATATGCCAGGGGAAGGGAGTACTAAAAAGTGTAATGTTGTGATTAGATATGTCATATTGTTTGATATCATTAAATAGCAATTAGATATTCTTGCCTTAAACAAAATTATGTCATGTTTTGGCCCCTTCTCTTTGTAAAAATTCAAAAAACTCATATTACTGCCGAGAAAGCTCACTGCCTTCTCGAGATTATTTTTCCTCTCAACTTAAACTGTGGATGTAGATACTTTTCTCATACGTATTATGTGTATATGAATATATATAATTCTTATATAAAGTAAACTAAGATCCAAAATATTTAACTCTGTTAAGTGCAAAGTCTCATTTTTATAAATCAATAAAATGACCAGGGCAAAAAACTAGACAGTGAGCTGGGGGTCTGAGGATTCAGATCCATTCCCAGCTGAGCTTTGACACCACCTGTTGAAGGCTGTCCTCACCAGAGTTCAGTATGCATGGGGATGATTCTGGGCCCAGAAGATGGGTGGACTTGCAGAAAATAATGATGCTTACAGAAGACCTCCCAGTTGGTTAGCTCTAGTTCTGTTAGTTCAATAGAGGGAGACAGCTTAGTGAACAGTGAGGTCTCAAGGTCCACCTTTCATCTCCCTGCTTCTAGAGAAAAAATTTTCCCATGAAAAGTCTTCTTCCCCCTCAGGTCTCCCATAGAAATTCAGTCCACTCTTTTGAGAACAAGGGTTAAGAGGAAAATAGGACCCAATTTTAAATTATATTATATCCAAGTAAGAATTCAAAACAATTAACATAAACATTCATGAACAGCCTTCATATGGATATAAGATATTGAATATCCCTTGACTTGACAGTACATATGTAGTAGTTCAGAAATAACAATTGGCATCCTAGGTAAGTATGATGAATTAAATGCTCTTATCAAATTCCATAGTTTACCTTTATAATTTTGGAGTAATTTTAGTATTTACAACATTTTTCTACTATAATAATATACAATAAAAGGAAATTATTTATATATCATTAATGAGTTGAAGACACGTAAATGAACAAATCATTTTAAAATGGGCCTTAGTAATAGAATTAGAGAGATGTAAATTAATTAAGAAAATACTTTAATAGGTTTTTCCAGGAACACAACTAGAATAATTGTAGTTGTAAAGGGAAATATTAGCATTATAACATAGCTTAATAAATGGACAAATACCTGGGGAGATGAGTTAATTACTAAAGTAGTTTCATTCCAAACATAAGTGACTGTGATGGTTAACACTGAGTGTCAACTTCATTGGATTGAGGGATACAGATTATTAATCCTGGATTTGTCTGTGTGGGTGTTGCCAAAAGAGATTAACATTTGAGTCACTGGGCTGGGGAAGGCAGATCCACCTTTAATCTGGTGGGCACAATCTAATCAGCTTCCAATGAATATAAAGCAGGCAGAAAAATGTGAAAAGGGGAGAGATGGGGCTAGCCTACCAGCCTACATATTTCTCCCTTGCTGGATGCTTCCTGCCCTTGAACATCGGACTCCAAGTTCTTCAGTATTAGAACTCAGACTGGCTCTCCTTGCTCCTCAGCTTGCAGACAGGACCTTGTGATCATGTAAGTTAATACTTAATAAATGCCCATTTATATATATCCTATTAGTTCTGTCCCTCTAAGAGAACCCTAATACACTAATACAGTGACACTTTCTTTACTCCTGCAAACCTCAAATAATATACTTCTTCCAGAACTTGATTATGATGTTTGTTTTTATCCTTACTTGGATATGGCAATCACACATTAACTCTACGAATTAGTTTTTGATTTGTGTTTGTCTAGTATTAAGTTACTTACTAGAACTTTGGCCCCTCCTTACAAATAAAAGCCCTAAAATTATCAAAATCAACCCTTCAAACTTTTCTCAAATGCTTTCATTAAAATAGATTAAGAATAAAATGATTTAGTTTGCATCCATATTTCTCCCATATTCTTATATATTTTACATCTTTTTTATAAAAGGCAAAGAGCCTGAATAGAAATAACAAATTACAATTTGACTATAATAGTGGTGGTGCAATGCTATCAATGAATAAGTGTATAAAGACCCAGAGTTCTGTTTTCTTAATAATTTTGAGGACAATTAGAAGAGATTAATGATTCCCCAAAGCAAGAAATACAGGCATTTATTTGTGTTGTATATAGTTAGCTAAATAGAACTCATTATTAGCTAGTAGAACTCAGCAACATTCCAAAATAGTCTGATCATTATTTATTTCCATTTGTATTTGCTAGAAACAGAGAAACAAAAGGCAACATCAAGAAAAAGTATAAAAACATCCAAATCCCTTATTTTTGCCTGATCAATTGTGTAGGTTTTTTTCTACATGTCGAGGCCTTTTTGATAAAGCAAATTGTCTATCAGAGCCCAATCCAGCATCTCTCCACTCCAAACTGGTAAGGCAATTATCTAGAAGACTATTCTCCTGAGAAAACCAATTATAAATGTTCTCTCAAAGTAAGTAAGCATACCAATTTGGATGCACATGTTTTTTTGGTTAGCACTTAAAAGAGAAACAAAAAAAGTGTGCTGAGAAAAAAAGATCTCTGTCTCTCTCACTCGACACAAACCAAAGAATCATCAATTGAGGGAATTACCAAGAATTAACTGATAAAGGAAAAAGACTTCCATTGATAGTTCTCCATAAAATTTATTTTTGGTGAGAAGAGTATATTACTTTCTCTTGGTTTGCTCTGCCAAATCTCTTGTCCAAATCCTTTATATTTCATTTTCAAGCAATGCTACTTGGCTCCCACCTCTATAGTCCTCCTACTCTTAAACATTCCAAATATGACCAAAAATACAATGTTCTTTATCTGTTGCTTTAGCCACGGAAGTAAACAATTCACAATTACCCAATTCAGCTCAAGGAGCACAGTTGGTTCCTAGAAAAGTGCTAGATTAGAAATCTAAAGACCTGGACTGTAGTCTTGGATATAAATTTACCAGCTGTGTAATCAAGGCAGTATCACTTCAACTCCCCTAGTGTCCATTTTCACATATGTTAATGGTGGAGGTTGAATTGGACTAGATGTCCTCTAAAATCTCTTCCCATTAAAAGAAGTATGGGATCTTATTATTGTGATTAGGAACTTCTACTCCAAAGGGCAATTTTATATTTAATAGTAGAAGGAAATGATATATTTAATAGTACCCAGAATTTTTTTTTACTTTCCTAATACAAGGGAGATGGAAGGAGATAATAGGAAAATGGTTATGATCCCCTCCTTCATGTATACTCAGGTCCAGGTCATTCATTTATTCAAAAATAGTTATTAAAACTTGGTATGTGCTAGACATATCAAGCATTAGACAACAGTAAACAGGTGTGAAACATCCTTTAATGCAGCTTAGGGTCTAATGAAAGATTAAAATACTGTATATGCAATTATGGGCTGGAAAAAATGGTCCTCTTTTAATGAATGAGCATGACTCAAACATAACTACACACACACACACACACACACACACACACACACCCTCACACATTTCGCCTAAAAAGAAAACTGTTCTCCAAGTGGGCAAGAAAATCACCTTTTGTCCCCAGCCTAAAGATATTATCTTTAGCAAAGATAAATAAATTTGTCATTCTTGCTAAATTCCTCTGAGTTTGTTTATAATTGAAACTTCAGATAGCTCCTTAAGTTAACAAAATGGGTAAATGGCATTAAGCATGAATTTGACCATTAAGGGAAGGCTATTGTCCTGTTGCTCCTGCCTATCATCTTTCTCAAACTGTCATAGGTATTTTCACCTTTGGATATCAGTTGAAGTCAACCACTAATGGACTATATTAATTTTTCTTCTGATGTCAGCAACTGAAGGAACAAGTACATCCCATGCCTGAAATGGAAAAGGATGGTGGTTATCAGTGCAGCTTTATTCCCTAGGAACTCTAAACTTGTCTTGGAAAACAATTCCCTTTGCAGTTTTCAGGGTCTTTGACCGCAGACTTAACATATCTCAGAATCAGAGTATCTGCTCATGAACTACCTTTACTGGTTGTTTCAGGTACTCTTCTAAATGCTTTAAGAATAGGGACTTATTTAGTCCTTCTAACAAACCCCATGAGATAGATACCTATGTTATCCTAATTTTACAGATGAGCAAGCAGTTCTCACAGCTTGTATGGCAGAAATAGAATTCAATCCAGGTAGTCTGGCCCCATGTAGATACTTTTAACTATGTAGATACGGGTACAAAATGCAGCAAATGACAAGAAGATGCAGCCTGAAGGGTACACTGAGAATATGAAATAACCCAAAATGGACTCTGGGGTAACATGTACAGCATTCTTATTATATTAAATACCCATTAAACCAAGATGAACAAATCTCCTCTTGTTTAAGAGACACAGGGTTAGAAGTGTTAATTTTTTTAAGGAATATAAATAAGATTGAAAATGAACCCACATGGCTTAAAATGAAATTAATCAAACAGGAGCCTTTCCAAAAATGGAAGCACTATCTCATAGGGACTTTAATCCCATAATTCAAAATGGAATATCATTCCCCAAAACATGTTTCTCCTCCAGTGTTCGTATTCCAGTTATGGCACCACTACTCTCTTAATTAGAAACCTGGGAACCATCTGAACTCCACCTTCTCCTCCAACCCACATATTCAACCTATAATAACTTAGATTCAAAAAATGAAATTAAAAATATTTTGAACTGAATAAAAATGAAACAGCATTTCAAACTTGCAGGATGCAACTAATGCAGTGTATAAAGGAAAATTTATATCGCTAAATGCCTATATTAGAAAATTAAAATGGTCTGGAACCAATTAACTAAGCTCCCACCTTTAAAACTAGAAAAAAATCAAGTTAAAGCCAAAATAAACCAATAAGAAAGAAATAATAAAGATAAAATTAGAAATTAATAAAACAGAAAATGTACACTTACATTAAAAATTTCATATATGTTTCTGCTAAAAAACTTTAGTACCTATGTTTCTATTAGTTTCCTGAGGCTGCTTAAACAAATTGCTACAACCTTTGTAGCTTAAAACAACGTAAATTTATTCTCTCACAGTTTTAGAGGCCATGAATCCAAAATCAAGGTGTCAACAAGGCTGCACACCCTATAGAGAGATGCTGTAAGAGAGAATCTCTTCTTTGCCTTTTCCAGCTCCTGGTGGTTCCAGGTGTTCCCTGGCCTGTGGTGCTATCACTCCGGTCTTTGCTTCTGTCTTCACATCACTTTCTCCTCTATGTGCCTGTGCCAAAACTCTCTCTGCCTTTTTCATATAAAATACATATGATTGCATTTAGATCCCAACCAGATCATCCAGGATAACCTCATCCTCATGAGATCCTTATAATGTGATCACATCATTTACCATATAAAGTAACATTCACTCTTTTGCCATATAAGGTACTATTCACAGATTCTGAGGATTAGGACATGAATTTATCTTTTTGGGGGTCACCATTCAGCCCATGACAACGATCATGAGAGATATAGTTTTTCTTTCTTGCAATGTTTCTGTCTGATTTTGGCATCAGGGTGATGCTGACTTTATAGACTGATTTGGGGAGTTTTTTCTACAATTTTTCTAGAAGAGTATGTGTAGCACTTGTATTATTTTTTAAATATTTGATAGAATGCATTTTTAATTTCCTTCATGAACTTTTCCTTTGCCTTCACAACTTGGCTGTTTGGCACAAGAGGCCCAGCTTTCAGCCTGTCTTAGATTTTGACATACCTTCCTCACTGAACTTAACTATTTTTAGCTTTTTACTTAAAGTGAGAGACATGCAACTCTTCCTTTCATTTGAACACTTTGAGGCAACTGTAGGGTTATTAATTGACCTAATTTCAATGATTTTGTACTTCAGGTAATAGGGAGGCCCAAGGAGAGAGACACAGATGGGGAAAGGCTGGTTAGTAGAGCAGTCAGAACACATACAGCATTTGTTAAGTTCACCATCTCAAATGGGCTTGGTTTTTGGTCCCCAAAACAATTACAGTAGTAACATCAATGAGCACTGATCACAAATCACCATAAAAATGTAATAATAATGAAAAATTTTGAAATATTGCAAGAATTACCAAAATGTGACACAGACAGGAAGTGACCACACGCTGTTGGGAAAATGGAGCTGATACACTTGCTCAATACAGAGTTGCCACAAACCTTCTATCTGTAAAAAATGCAGTAACTGCAAAGTGCAATAAAGTAAAGCACAATAAAACGAGGTATGCCTGTGTTTCTTTGTATTGCCTTTATCAAACACATTGAACATTTACAGTAAGAATTCAATGTATTGAATGTATCAAATTAATATGTATGAAAATATGTATTGGATGAATATATCATGAAAATGTATTGAATAAATAAAATGAATGAATAAATGAACAAGTGAATAAACAAGTGAAAGTTCCTGTCCGTGCCATCATCATATATTCCTTAGACACCACTTCGCACAATAGCTTTAAGTGGACAAATATGAATCAACCCTAGCCATACCACCTCTCTAAAAATGAAGTGTTCAAAAAATTATTTTCCTGAAGTTTATAATCCTACATCTACTAAGTACTAGGCAGTCAGAACTGCCTGGATTTCTTGAACTTCCCTCTCCAACACACCCTTTCTCACCTCTGAGATTTCTATCTAGCCTGGGTACAATCTCCTCAATACACTTTTATAATTTTGACATTTCAGTGACATTTTCATTTGAACCACATATTAGTCTTTCTTGTCTCCTCTATTAATCTGAAACTCCTTCAAGACAGGCTTTTGACTATTTTTTAATATATTCCTAAAACCTAAAAGAACAAAAGAGCCACAGCTTTGGAATGAGTCAGACCTTAATTTGAATCCTAAGTGTTTCTGTTAACTTGCAAGCTGAGTAGCCTTGGGTAAGTTACCTCAACTCTCCATCTCAATGTCCTCATTTGAAGTTGGCAATAATAGTATCTATCTTGTAAGGTTGTCATTAGTACTAAATAGGATAAGGTCCATAAGCCCCTATCACAGTTTCTAGAATACTAATAATGCCATCAATAGTACTTAAAGTATGGGTGCTTAATGAACACTACAATTATTTTTCCTTTAGGAAAACAGAAAGCTTCACAAGGTACACATTTTAACAGTGTCGAGATTAAATCTATTTAAATCCAGAAAGCATCCCCTATTATTTGCTGAATGGCATTTACTGACTATAAAAACTCAGGCGGTGCTATATATCCATATATGTGTGTGTCTGTGTGTATATGTTTAAGCCCATTGTAATAAAGAAATTGCTCAATTAGACTCAAAGAATTGCCTAAAATATGTACTGCCAGCAGCTCAACTATATTCACACCAAAACCCAAGCGACATCATGGAAATTTAAAGCTGAAACCTATAAGGAATCCTAAAAAGCACCTGATTCGCTTCTTCATTTTTCTGATAAGGAACCTGAGTTTGATGAAAGTCATGACTTACCAAGTCAGCATAGTGAGTACATAGGAGAGCCTTGTTGCTGCCTCCCAGATTTGAAAGTATTACTGTTTCATATCTAAACCCACATTCCCTCTATCTTCAATCACCTGAGTACCTGTGAAATCAGAAAGTAACCTTAGCAATAATAAAGGAGTAGATGTATATACAGGTAGCCTCCGAAGCAGTGTGATGTTATGCCTATTGTTCCGATATATTGCTATAGGAATCTGCTCCATGTTCTACAATTTACAAATAAAGCATTTCTTTTTGTTATGTATTCAAATGTTCCTAGCTTTTTCTTTCTCTCATTGCCTTTTATTTGTAACTAGTGCTCAGACATAAAGGTTTCTTTTTCTATTAAGTTTTAAGCCCAATTTCAACAGTAATTTCAAGTGTAATTACTGCTCCTTTCTGGCAACAGCTCTGAAGTAAACCCACATTCATACTGTTCAGCAACATAGACAAACTCAAACATCCATACATCCGCTTTCACATTTTACTCTTAAAGACTGAATTTGAACATACCTTAATGTAATAAAAGCCATCTGTGACAAACCCACAGCCAATATAACATTGAATAAGGAAAAGTTGAAAGCATTCTCTCTGAGAAAGGGAATAGGCCCACTCTCACTGCTCCTCTTCAACATAGTACTGGAAGTCCTAGCGAGAGCAATCAGACAAGAGAAAAAAAATGAAGGGAATCCACATCAATAAAGAGGAAGTCAAACTGTCACTGTTTGCTGACAATATGATCGTTTACCTTGAAAACCCTGAAGATTCCTCCAGAAAGCTCCTAGAACTGATACAAGAATTCAGCAGTTTCTGGATACAAGATTAATGTACACCAATCAGTAGCTCTTCTATATACTAACAGCAACTAAGCAGATAATCAAATCAAGAACTCAATCTCTTTTACAATAGCTGCCAAAAAAATAAAATACTTAGGAATATACCTAACAAAGCAGTCGAAAGACCTATACAAGGAAAACTACAAAACACTGCTGAAAGAAATCACACACAACACAAACAAATGGAAAAACATCCCATGATCATGGAGGGGTAGAATCAATACTGTGAAAATGACCATACTGCCAAAGACAATCTACAAATTCAATGCAATCCCTATCAAAATACCACCATCATTCTTCACAGAGTTAGAAAAAACAATTCTAAAATTCATATGGAACCAAAAAAGAGCCTGCATAGCCAAAGCAAGAGAAAGCAAAAAGAACAAATCTGGACACATCACACTACCTGATTTCAAACTATACTATAAGGCCATAGTCACCAAAACAGCATGGTACTGGTATAAAAATAGACACATAGACTAATGGAACAGAATAGAGAACCCAGAAATAAACCCAAATACTTACAGCCAACTGATCTTCAACAAAGCAAACAAAAACATGAAGTGAGGAGAGGACACCCTTTTCAACAAATGGTGCTGGGATAATTGGCTAGACACAAGTAGGATAATGAAACTGGATCCTAATCTCTCACCTTATAAAAAATCAACTCAAGATGGATTAAGGACTTACACCTAAGACCTGAAACTATTAAAATTCTAGAAGATAACATTAGAAAACCCTTCTAGACATTGGCTTAGGCAAGGATTTCATTACCAAGAACCCAAAAGCAAATGCAATAAAAACAAAGATAAATAGCTGGGACCTAATCAGACTAAAGAGCTTCTGCACAGCAAAAGGAACAGTCAGCAGAGTAAACAAACAAACCACAGAGTGGGAGAAAATCTTCACAATCTATACATCTGACAAAGGACTAATATCCAGAACCTACAATGAATTCAAACAAATCAATAAGAAAAAAATAAACAATCCCATCAAAAAATGGGCTAAAGACATGAAAAGACAATTCTCAAAAGAAGATACACAGATGGCCAACAAACATATGAAAAAATGCTCAACATAACTAATTATCAGGGAAATGCAAATCAAAACCACAAGGCAATACCATCTTACTCCTGCAAGAATGGCCATAAGCAAAAAATCAAAAAACAGTAGATGTTGGCATGGATGCGGTGATCAGGGAACACTTCTACACTGCTGGTGGAAATGTAAACTAGTACAGCCACTATGGAAGACAGTATGGAGATTTCTTAAAGAACTGAAAGTAGAGCTACCATTTGATCCAGCAATCCCACTAATGTGTATCTACCCAGAGGAAAAGAAGTCATTATTCGAAAAGATACTTGCACATGCATGTTTACAGCAGCACAATTCACAACTGCAAAATCGTGGAACCAATGCAAATGCCCATCAATCAATGAGTGGATAAAGAAACTGCAGTAAATACATAGATGGAATACTATGCAGCTATAAAAAGGAATAAATTAACAGCATTTGCAGCGACCTGGATGAGATTGGAGACTATTATTCTAAGTGAAGTAACTCAGGGATGGAAAACCAAACATCATATGTTCTCACTGATATGTGGGAGGTAAGCAATAAGGACCCAAAGGCATAAGAATGATACAATGGACTTTGGGGACCTGAGAGGAAGACTGGGAGTGGGGTGAGGGATAAAATACTACAAATATGGTGCAGTGTATACTGCTTGGGTGATGGGTGCACCAAAATCTCACAAATCACCACTAAAGAACTTACTCATGTAACCAAATACCATCTGTACCCCAATAAATTTAATAAATACCCCAATAAATTTAATAAATACCCCAATAAATTTAATAAAATTTAAAAATATAAAAATTACACAAAAAAACAACTAATTTTAGAAATGATCTAATCATGTAGGAACTACAACCTATGTAACTGGCCATTTGAGTTGTAATATAAATTAGTAAAAATTTTTCACTTTGTCTTTCTTTTATCAATTTCTTAGTAAGAAAAAAAGAAATAGAACTTAAATATTCTTAGATATTTTTAAGGTTGATGTGGTAATTAGTTTTATAACTTTTTTCTGGAATGAAATGAAAATAGGAAAAAAGAGCTGTTTTAGCTAACTTTCTGACTGGGTATAAAAATGGTAAAATAAGCCTATAATTACTTTTTCTGGAGAAATATGAAATAAAAGATTTAAATTTGCTAAAGAAAAATACTGAATTTGAAAGGGCAACAAATAATGGCTTGGAGGAAAATAAATTAAGATAAAATAATTATAAAAATGGTAGAATTTTGGTATAAAAATGGTAGAATAAGCTTATAATTACTTTTTCTGGAGAAATATGAAATAAAAGATTTAAACTTGCTAAAAAAAAAGAAAAAGACTGCATTTGAAAGAGCAACAAATAATGGCTTGGAGGAAAATAAATAAATTAAGAGGAAAGGGTCAGGGAGCACTACCGACTCACAGCCAAGTTGTTTTTCCCACTTACTGGCATAAGCAGTACTTGGCAGTTTGGGCATGATGGGAATGTTCCCACCACCCCTCCTAAAAGAAGAAAAATTGTATGTCAACATACAAGAGGCAAGGCTGCCAAAACTATCAATAAAGTATAAATTTCATGAGGGTAGAAATTTTTGAGAGTTTCATTCACTGCTGAAATCTCTCAGGACAGTATCTGACACACAGCAGGCTCTCTCTAAACATCTGCTCCGTGAAGGCAGTACATAGACCTTATTGGCCTCAGCATCAGATCCTGACAGTGAAACTCCTTACAACACCACTAGCATCTAAAATTAAATATTCAAGGGAGGAGCAAGATGGCCAAATAGAAGCCACCATCAATTGTCCCTAAAGCCGGAATACCAAATTTTAACAACTAACTACACACAAAAAAGCACTGACATAAGAACAAAAAATCAGGTAAGCAATCACAGCACCTGGTTTTAACTTCATATTGCTGAAAGAAGCACTGAAGAGGGTATGAAAGACAGCTTTGAATTGCTGGTGCCACCCCTCCCCAATCTCCAGGCAGTGACCATCTGGCACAGAGAGAGAATCTGTGCACAAGGGGGTGGAAGAGCACAGTGGCTGGGGCACTTGCTGCCTTGAAGGAAGATTGAACTTATGCCCTGTCACAGCAGAGAGCAAAGCCATGCTGGGCTTAGCCAGCTCCTGCCCAAAAAGGGAACATTTGGACAAGCCCTAGCCAGAGGGAAATCGCCCATCCCAGTGGTCAGAACTTGAGTTTCTTGACAAACATCACCACTGCGGGCCAGAGAGCTCTGGGGTCCTTGGTAAGCTTTAAAGGCAGTCTATGACACAAGGACTGAAATTCCTCCTACTGCTGAGCTTAGAGCCAGTGGACTAGGGTGGCACATGACCTAGGGACAGAGTGAAAAACGGGGTGTTTTTTCTACTCCTCCCACAAGCCCAGGCAGCCCTGCTCGCAGAAATGAAAGTGACTCTTTCCTTCTGCTTGAGGAGAGGAAAGCAAATAGCAAAGAGGACTTTGCCTTGCATCTAGAATACCAGCTCACCCACAACAGGATAGGGCATCAGGCAGAGTCCTGAGGCCCTGTATTAGCCTGTTCTTGCATTGTGATAAAGAAATACCTGAGGCTGAAAATTTTATAAAGAAAAGAGGTTTAATTGGCTCATGGTTCTGCCAATCAGCATCAGGAAACATGATGCTGGCATCTGTTCAGCTCATAAGGAGGTCTCAGGAAACTTACAATCAATGGCAAAAGGCAAAGGGGAAGCAAGCACATCTTACATGGCCGGAGCAAGAGCAAGAGAGAGAGGGGGAAGGTGCTACACACTTTTAAACAACCAGACCTCATGAGAACTCACTCACTATCGTGACAACAGCACCAAGGGGGATGGTGTTAAACCATAAGAAACTGTCCTCATAATCCAATCACCTCCCACTAGGCCCCCCACCTCCAACAATAAGGATTACAATTAAACATGACATTTAAATAGGGACAGAGAACCAAACCATATCAGACCCCCATTCCAGTCCGTAGCTCCTGGGCAACATTTCTCAACACACCCTGGGAACCTGCCCAGAAGGGAGCCTGCTACCTTGAAGGGAAAGACCAAGTCCTGGCAGGATTCATCATCTGACTAAGGAGCCCTTCGGCCCCGAACAACCAAAGGCAATATCCAGGTAATATGCCATGGGCCTTGGGTGAAACTCTGAGACATGCTGGCTTTAGGGGAGATGCAGAATATTCCCAGCTGTGGGAACTATGGTGAAAAATTCTTTCTGCCTGAGAAAAGCATGGGGAAACGTAAAGGGGGCTTTTTCTTGCACATTAGGTACCAACTCAGCCACAGTGAGGTAGAGTATCAAGCTGACTCTTGGGGTCCTTGAGTCCAGACCTAGGTTCTTAAACAGAATTTCTGGACTTACCCTGGGCCAGAAGGGAGCCCACATCCCTTAAGGGTGACTTCCAGGCCTGGCAGCGTTCACCACAAGCTGACTGAAGAGCCCTTTGGCTTTAAGTGAACATCAGCAGTGGCCTGGAAGTAACTCTTGTCACCTGTGGTGGTGGTGGTGGCGATGGAAAGAGACAGCTCCGCCTGTGGAAAGTGGAGGGAAGAGTGGGAAGGACTTTGTCTTGTGGTTTGAGGGCAAGCTCAGATGCAGTAAAACAGAACACAAGGCAGATTTCTAAGGTTTTTTTACTAGAATCCCTGGCTCCTAGACAGCATCTCTGAACCTACTCAAGACCCAGGAGAACTTTCCACTCTGAAGGGAAGGACATAAACCTAGCTGGCTTCCGAACCTACTGATTGTAGAACCCTAGAATGAGCTAGTCAGTAGCCAGTTAGTGGTTACAGTAAGCCTTTGGTGAGACCCAGTGCTGTCCTGGCTTCAGGTCTGACCTCTGTAGTCCCAGTATTGGTGGCCACAGGGGGGATTGTGTTACCCCATCCCCAGATGCAGGCAGCTCAGCACAGAGAGAGAAGGTCCATTTGTTTGAGAGAAAGTAAGAGAAGAGAACAAGAGTCTCTGCCTAGTAATCCAGAAAATTATTCTAGATTCTATACAAGACCACCAAGACTGCACCTCTATAAGTTTGCAGGAACCACAGCATTATTGGGCCTGGGGCCCAAATCCCTTCAAATACCTGGGAAGCCTTTCCAAGAAAGATGGGCACAAACAAGCCCAGACTGAGAACACTACAATAAATACCTAACTCTTCAATGCCCAGACACTGACAAATACCCACAAGCAACAATACCATCCAAGAAAACATGACCTCACCAAACAAACTAAATAAGGCACCAGGGACCAATACTGGCGACACAGAGATAGGTGACCTTTAAGAGAGAGAATTCAAAAAGCTGCTTTAAGGAAACTCAAAGAAATTCAAGATAACATGGAGAAGGAATTCAGAATTCCATCAGATAAATTTAACAAAGAGATTTAAATAATAAAAAGAAGCAAGCAGAAATTCTGGAGTTAAAAAATGCAATTGACAAACTGAATAATGCATCAGAATACCTTAATAGCAGAACTGGTCAATCAGAAGAAAGAATCAGTGAGCTTGAAAACAGACTATAAGAAAATATACAGTGAGAGAAGACAAAAAAAAAAAAAGAATAAAAAGCAATGTAGCATGCCTTCAAGATCTAGAAAATAGCCTCGAAAGGGCAAATCTAAGAATTATTGGTCTTAAAGAGGAGGTAGAAAAAGAGATAGTGATAGAAAGTTTATTCAAAAATACAATATCAGAGAACTGCCCAAACCCAGAGAAAGATATCAACATTCAAATACAAGAAGACTATAGAACACCAAGCATATTTAACCCAAAGACTACCTTAAAGCATTTAATAACAAAACTCCCAAAGTTCAAGGATAAAGAAAGGATCCTAAAAGCACCAAAAGAAAAGAAACAAATCACATACAATGGAGCTCCAATACATCTGGCAGCAGACTTTTCAGTGGTAACTTTATAGGCCAGGAGAGAGTGGTATTACATATCTAAAGTGCTGAAGGAAAAAACTTTTATTCTAGAATAGTATATACTGTGAAAATATCCTTCAAGCATGAAGGAGAAATACTTTCCTGGACAAAGAAAAGCTGAGGAATTTCATCAAGACCAGACCTACAAGAAATACTAAAGGGATCTCTTCAAGCAGAAAGAAAAGGATATTCATTATCATAAGAAGTCATCTGAAGGTACAAAACTCACTGTTAATTGTAAGCATACAGAAAAACACAGACTATTACAATGTTGTAATTGTGGTGTGTAAACTACTCTTAAGTACAAAAACTAATGATGAACCAATCAAAAATAATTACTACAACAACTATTCAAAGCCTAAGCAGTGCAATAAGGCATAAGCAGTGCAATAAGACCTAAGAGAAACAACCAAATGATAAAAAGCAGGGAGATGAAGTTAAAGTGTAGAGTTTTTATTAGTTTTCTTTTTGTTTTTTTGTTTATGCAATCAGTGTTAAGTTGTTATCAGTGTAAAATAACGGGTTATAAGATAGTATTTGCAAACTTCATGGTAACCTCAAATTGAAAAAACAGACAACAAATACACAAAAAAATAAAAAGCAGTAAATTAAATCATACCACCAAAGAAAATCACCTTCATGGGGAAAAAAGAAAGAGAAGACCACAGAACAACCAGAAAACAAATAACAAAATAACAATAAGTCCTTACTTATCAATAATAATATTGAATGTAAATGGACTAAACTCTGCAATCAAATGTCACAGAGTGGCTAAACAGATTAAAAAAAAGAGAGAGACCCAATGATCTGTTGCCTACAAGAAACACACTTCACTTACAAAAATACACATAGACTGAAAACAAAGGAATGATAAAAGATACTCTATCTGAATGAACAGCCCCCCAAAAAAGGAGTAGCTATACTTACATCAGACATAATAGATTTCAAGACAAAAACTGTACAAAGAGACAAAAAAATCATTATAAAGGATCAATTCAGCATGATAAAGGGTCAATTCAGCAAGAGGATATAAAAATTGTAAATATATATGCACCCAATGATAGAGCACCCAGATATATATCATTAGAGCTAAAGAGACAGGTAGACCTCAATATAATAACAACTAGAGACTTTAACACCCTACTTTCTTTTTTTTTAATTATTATTATACTTTAAGTTTTAGGGTACATGTGCACAATGTGCAGGTTAGTTACATATGTATACATGTGTCATGCTGGTGTGCTGCACCCATTAACTTGTCATTTAGCATTAGGTATATCTCCTAATGCTATCCCTCCCCCCTCCCCCCACCCCACAACAGTCCCCAGAGTGTGATGTTCCCCTTCCTGTGTCCATGTGTTCTCATTGTTCAATTCCCATCTATGAGTGAGAACATGCGGTGTTTGGTTTTTCATCCTTGCAATAGTTTACTGAGAATGATGATTTCCAATTTCATCCATGTCCCTACAAAGGACATGAACTCATCATTTTTTATGGCTGCATAGTATTCCATGGTGTATATGTGCCACATTTTCTTAATCCAGTCTATCGTTGTTGGACATTTGGGTTGGTTCCAAGTCTTTGCTATTGTGAAGAGTGCCGCAATAAACATACGTGTGCATGTGTCTTTATAGCAGCATGATTTATAGTCCTTTGGGTATATACCCAGTAATGGGATGGCTGGGTCAAATGGTATTTCTAGTTCTAGATCCCTGAGGAATCACCACACTGACTTCCACAATGGTTGAACTAGTTTACAGTCCCACCAACAGTGTAAAAGTGTTCCTATTTCTCCACATCCTCTCCAGCACCTGTTGTTTCCTGACTTTTTAATGATTGCCGTTCTAACTGGTGTGAGATGATATCTCATTGTGGTTTTGATTTGCATTTCTCTGATGGCCAGTGATGATGAGCATTTTTTCATGCGTCTTTTGATTGCATAAATGTCTTCTTTTGAATAGTGTCTGTTCATATCCTTTGCCCACTTTTTGATGGAGTTGTTTGTTTTTTTCTTGTAAATTTGTTTGAGTTCATTATAGATTCTGGATATTAGCCCTTTGTCAGATGAGTAGGTTGTGAAAATTTTCTCCCATTTTGTAGGTTGCCTGTTCACTCTGATGGTAGTTTCTTTTGCTGTGCAGGAGCTCTTTAGTTTAATTAGATCCCATTTGTCAATTTTGGCTTTTGTTGCCATTGCTTTTGGTGTTTCAGACATGAAGTCTTTGCCCATGCCTATGTCCTGAATGGTAATGCCTAGGTTTTCTTCTAGGGTTTTTATGGTTTTAGGTCTAATGTTTAAGTCTTTAATCCATCTTGAATTACTTTCATTTCAGAATTGGACAGATCTTCCAGACAGAAAATCAACAAAGAAATGTAATATTTAATCTGTGCTATAGAACAAATGGACTTAATAGAAATTTACAGAACATTTCAATGGCTGCAGAATACACATTCTTTTCTTCAGCACAAGGATCACTCTCAAGGACAGATCATATGTTAGGTCCCAAAACAAGTCTTAAGATATTCAAGAAATTAAAATAATATCAAGGATCTCTTCTGGCCACAGTGGAATAAAACTAGAAACCAATAACAGGAGGAATTTTGGAAACTATACAAACATATGAAAATTAAACAATATACTCCTGAATGACTAGTGGGTCAATGAAAAAATTAAGAAGAAAATTTACAAATTTCTTGAAACAAATGACAATGGAAACACAACATACCAAAACCTGTAAAACACAGTGAAAGTAGCTCCAGGAGGCAAGTTCATACCTATAAATGCCTACATCGAAAAAGAAGAAAAACTTCAAATAAATAACCTAATGATGAATTTTAAAGACCTAAAAAAGCCAGAGCAAACCAAACCCAAAATTAGTAGAAGAAAATAAATAATAATGATCAGAGCAGACATAAGTGAAATTGAAATGAAGAAAACAATACAAAAGATCGATGAAATGAAAAGTTAGTTTTTTGAAAGCCTAAACAAAATTGACAAACTTTTAGCCAGAATAACTAAGAAAAAAGGAGAGAAAATCCAAATAAATAAAATCAGAGATTAAAAAAGAGATGTTACAACTGATACCACAGAAATTCAAAGGATAATTAGTAGCTACTATGAGCAACTATATGCCAACAAATTGGAAAATCTAAAGGAAATGGAAAAATTCCTAGACACATACAACCTACCAAGATTGAACCACAAGGAAATCCAAAACCTGAAGAGACCAATAATAAGCAAAGAGATCCAAGCCATAATAAAGTGTCATCCAGCAAACAAAGGCTCAGGACCTATGGCTTCACTGCTGAATCCTATCAAACATTTAAAGAAGAACTAATTACTACAATATAGTTTATGAAGAACAAATAATCAGGAAAAAAAAACTAATACCAATTCTGCTCAAACTACTCTGAAAAATAAAGGAGGGAGTACTTCCAAACTCATTCCATGAGGCGAGTATTACCCTGACACCAAAAGCAGACCAGACAAAGACATAACAGAAAAAAGAAAACTTGCAAGCTTAATGGTAACCTCAAATTGAAAAAAACATACAACAAATACACACACAAAAAAAGCAAGAAATTAAATCATAACACCAAAGAAAAGCAACTTCATAGGGAAAAAAGGAAAACAACAAAACAACCAGAAAACAAATAACAAAATAACAGGCATAAGTTCTTATAAATAATATTATTGAATATAAATGAACTAAACTCTGCAATCAAATGATGTAGAGGAGCTAAATGCATTAAAAAAAAAAAGACCTGTTGATCTGTTGCCTATAAGAAACACAAGAAAAGAAAAGAGAGGGGTGAACCCTTTCTTTGCCCTTTGCCCCACTCCCAAGATAACAAACCTACTGCAACCCACTTCCATGATAACAACATTAATCCATTTAAGAAGGCAGAGCCCTCATGACCTAATCACCTCCTATTAGGCCCTACCTTCCAAACTGTTGTACCGGGGATTAGATTTCCAACACATGCTTTTTGGGAGACATATTCTAAGCATAGCAGAGAGGTCTTTGGTTCTTAAAGCAATACCACTATTCAGCAGCCAAAGGTAGGCTGAGTTTAAGCAGGTATTCTTTGAATAATAACAGGATCATCAATAGAAATTTATGTTTGAGATATACAATTATGGGATTACATATAAATTTTATTTCAGCAAATTACTGCATACAGCCATCATAGAATTTATCATCTTGCACTGCAATAACCCATTTACTCATCTATCTCAAGTAGACAGTGAGCTTCCTGAGGGCAGAGAAAGCTTCATTTTGTCCTAGTGTCTGGTACATGACAGATGCTCAATAAACATCAGAGAGAAAAGATAAAAGGGACATACCAGTTGACACACTGACCTGTTCCCTCACATAGTATTAAAGCATAGATGGCAAGTTAATCTTTCATTCAACAAACGCGAGATACAGTCTCTGCCCTCAAGCACCTTACAATATGGAATGCAAGGGAAGGCAAACATGAAGAAAAAGGCCTGTATTTTGAACCGAATCAGTCATTTGTGAGCTTTGTACATCTCCTCATTTAACTTAAGCCTACACCCCTTCTAACATCTAAACCCTTCCACTGTATCCCTTAAAATCTATACTGTGCTCTCCTACACTCCCACCCCTACTCCCTAGTCCACCCCTGACAGAACTTTCAAAAACTACAACCTCCACCTGAGCTCTCCTAGACCGAACTCTCAATGCAGCAGATAGGGTTTCCTTCTAAAACCCCAAAGGAATGTGTCATTCCCCTGCTCAAAACTTCTCAGGACCCTCATCTTACTCAGAGTAAAATCTAAAGTGCTGACCACTGTTCATAAGGTCTGTTTCCTTCTCTCACTTATCATCTATGTAAGGACAAATACAAAATTTTTAAAAGGCTTAATTTTCCCTGTTGAAAATAAGAGACCCTCCTCATCTTTTCTTATAGCATTTACTTCAGAAAACTTGTAAGTACTTTCTTCTCGCTTTGAAATGTATATAAATCCTTTTGAAAACTAGATAGGATCTTACCAGTTTCATGACCAAGGAATGTCTTTCTCAAAAACCTTGGAGCCATCTCTTTGAATATAGACATCAAGGGAGATAGGAGCCCTATCTCCCAGTTTTTGTGGAAGGATAATAGCCCAACTTAGGTAGGCACTTTGTTCCACATTGCAAAACTACATCCTAGGCCAGGCATGGTGGCTCACGGCTGTAATCCCAGCACTTTGGGAGACCAAGGAGGGTGGATGATGAGGTCAGGAGATCGAGACCATCCTGGCTAACACGGTGAAACCCCGTCTCTCCTAAAAATACAAAATATTAGCCGGGCGTGGTGGCGGGCGCCTGTAGTCCCAGCTACTCGGGAGGCTGAGGCAGGAGAATGGCGTGAACCCAGGAGGCAGAGCTTGCAGTGAGCTGAGACCGCGCCACTGCACTCCAGCCTGGGTGACAGAGAGAGACTCCGTCTCAAAAAATAAAAAACAATAAAAAAAATGACAAGTTGGTTTTCCTCTGGATAATGCCAATTAGCTAACATTGATGGTCACTCCAATTACCAGGTGAATCTAGCGTAAGCTATATGTGGCAAGTGGTGCTGGGAAGTTGTCTTGCTTGAGGACTAGTTATTGTTTATCTTAAAACATGCGTGTAATAGATTGTATCTTCTTGGCTATGTAAAAGAATGAGATTTTTTTCTTTGAAATCTTTCAGTAGATTGCCTATGATATGCAACACAATCTAGTTTAATGCTTATTCAATGATAAAAGTGTTTTCTTTCTCAACTACCTTTGTGAAGAGCATATCTGGGTTGGAAGATTTTGTTTTTAATTATATTTCCCCAAATACTACCACTCTTCTCCTTGCTCCTTGTTCCTTCAAAGAAAAGCCTCCACCTTTGTTCTGCACATATCCCCTCAGTCTAGAACATTCCCCACCACTACCACCCATATCTGTTTGGCCCATTTCCTCCCATGTATTCAGGTCGCTGCTCAATGTCACTTTCAAAGAAAGATGATCCCTGACCACCTTGTATCAAACAACACCCCTTGGTCATCACATTTCTACTTTACCTGTCTTTATTCATCCTCATAGCTCTTATAACTGCTTGATGTGTATGTGTTTGTTTACCTGCTCATTGTCTGTCTTCTCTGACCAGGATAAAGTCTCCCCAAGAGCAGAGACTTTTCCTGTTTCATTCACCTCTTATATTTCCAGGGCCTAGATAAGAGTCTGGCACAAAGGAAGAGCTCTTTCAATGTTAGTTCAATGAATAAATTATTGTTAATTATACAAAGCAAAAGAGATTCAAATAAAGTGCTATTAGAATGAGCCACTTAACTTTGCAGAAAGTGCAACTCTGTATAGCTAGAGCTATAAAAGAGCTGAGCTTTTGGCTACAGAAACACCTGAGCAAGAATTTATGATAGCTGAGTGCTTCTTGTCACCCCTGCTTTCAAAATAACTGCAAATTTGTGATGGACAGCAAAGAGTTGTCATCTTCATGCACCAATTCATATGATTCGTATGGTCTTACCTCACTAATCAAATAATGAGGGAGGAGAGCAGGGAAAGGGACTGGTTTTTAATAATGAAAAGTGAAATATTAGAATATATGAATAAATGTTCCTGTGTATGAAGAGAAATTAAAGAAATTCTGTCCAATTCATTTATAGATTTATGCAACTCCAATCAAAACTCCAATGCAATTTGTTCAGAAAGTGATAGAATAATTCTAAAATTCATCTGGAAAATTAAGCAGGTAAGATAATTCTAAAAAGAAAGAGATTAAGCATCCTAAAGCTATAATAATAAAACAAAGTGCTACGGATATAAAAGTAGATTAATAAAACAGGATAGCTAGCCTAAAATAGAAAGAACTTATTCATGATTTAAAAAACTCCTAATCAAAGAAGAATGAATGAATGAATGAATAATAAAACATATCATTTAATAAACGCTTTTGGGATAATTGATTATGTATTTAAAGAAAAAATAATTTGAGCACCTGTTGTACATTTTATACTAAAAGAAATTCTATGCGAGTTGAAGAGTTAAGATGGAATCTTAAAGATTCTTTAAGATTGAATTAAGATGGAATTCTTAAAGATTCCATCTTTAACTCTTTAACTCGCATAGGATTTCTTATCAAAAACTTGATAAAAAATTACTATTTATTATAGATATATAATTGTTATACAATTTAGAAATATATATTATTTTAATTTCTAAATATATATTAAATATAATAATATTTATATATCTATAGGTGGCAGATGACATGATTCTATATCTAGCAAACCTCATAGTCTCAGCCCAAAAGGTCCTTCAGCTGATAAACAACTTCAGCAAAGTTTCAGGATACAAAACCAATATACAAAAATCACTTCCATTACTATACACCAACAACAGTCAAGCCAAAAGCCAAATCAGCCGAATCTCATTTACAATTGACACAAAACGAATTAAAAACCTAGGAATACAGCTAACAAGGGAGGGGAAAGATCTCTAAAATGAGAATTACAAAACACTGCTCAAAGAAATGTGAGAAAACAGAAACAAATGGAAAAACATTCCATGCTCATGGATAGAAAGAATCAATGTCATTAAAATGGGCCAATCTGCCCAAAGCAATTTATAGATTCCATGCTATTCTTACCAAACTACCAATAACATTCTTTACAGAACTAGAGAAAACTATTTTAAAATTCATATGGAACCAAAACAGAGCCCAAATAGCCGAGGCAATGCTAAGCAAAAAGAACAAAACTGGAGGCATCATATTACCCAATTTCAAACTATACTACAGGGCTATAGTAACAAAACAGCATGGTAGTGTTACAAAAAGAGGCACCTAGCCCAGAAATAATGCTGTATACCTACAACTATGTGATCTTTGACAAATCTGACAAAAACAAGCAATGGAGAAAGGACTCCCTATTCAATAAATGGTGCTGGGATAACTGTCTAGCCATATGCTAAAGATTGAAACTGGACCCCTTCCTTACACCATATACAAAAATCAACTCAAGATGAATTAAAGACTTAAATGTAAAATCCAAAACTATAAAACCCCTGAAGACAAGCTAGCCAATACCATTCTGAACATAAGAACAAGCAATGATTTCATGACGAAGATGCCTAAAGCAATCAGGACAAAAGCAAAAATTGACAAATGGGATCTAATTAAACTAAAGAGCTTCTGCACAGCAAAAGAAACTATCAATAAACAGACAACCTAAATAGTAGGAAAAAATTTTGCAAACTAACAAAGGTCTGATATCCAGCATCTATAAGAAACTTAAACAAATTTACAAGAAAAAACAAATAACCCCATTAAAAAGTGGACAAAAGACATGAACAGGCACTTTTCAAGAGAAGACATAACATGTGGCCAACAAGCATATGAAAAAAAGCTCAATATCACTGATCATTAGAGAAATGCAAATCAAAACCACAATGAGATGCCATCTCACACCAGTCAGGATGGTTATTATTTAAAAGTGAAAAAATAACACATGCTGGTCAAGTTGTGGTAAAAAGGGAACACTTATATATTGTTGATGGGAGTGTAAGTTAGTTCAACCATTGTGGAACGCAGTGTGGCGATTCCTCAAAGACCTAAAAACAGAACTACCATTTGACCCAGCAATCCCATTACTGGATATATGCCCAGATTAATATAAATCATTCTACCATAAAGACATATGCACATGAATGTTCACTGCAGCACAATTCACAAACAACCTAAATGCCCATCAGCGGTAGGCTGGATAAAGAAAATATGGTACATATACACCATTCAATGCTATGCAGCTACAAAAAAGAATGAGATCATGTCTTTTGAAGGGACATAGATTGAGCTGGAGGCCATTATCCTTAGCAAACTAATGCAGAAATCGAAAATCAAATACCACATGTTCTCACTTACAAGTGGGAGATAAAGGATAAGAACTCATGGACACAAAGAGGGGAATGACAGACACTGGAGCCTATTTGAGGGTAGAGAGTAGGAGGAGGGAGAGAATCAGAAAAAATAACTATTGGGTACTAGGCTTAATACCTGGGTGATGACATAGTCTGTACAACAAACCACTGTGACACAAATTTACCTATATAAAAAACCTGCACATGTACGCTGAACCTAAAATAAAAGTTTAAAAAAAAGTTAAAGATTGAATCATAGACAACTTTATGAAAAAAAGACTTTATTCTAGATATATAAATTGTATGTAATTTATAAATATATATTTATTTCTTTTAGATATAATATCTATATATCTATAGATGGCCTTTCGAGACTTAGAACCTGCTATGGTTTGAAAGTGTCCCCAAAGTTCATGTGTTAGAAACTTAAACTGCCATTGTAACAGTATTAAGAGGTAGGGCCTTTATGAGGTAATTAGGCCATGAAGGCTCCATCCTCATGAATGGTTTAATACCAACTTTGCAGGAGTGAGTTAGTTATCTCAGGAGTGGGCTCCTGATAAAGGATAAGTTTGGCCCCCACTTTCTCTTCATCTAGGGTACTCACTTCCACCCTTCCATGCTTCTGCCTTCTTCTATGGGATGACACTCATTAGATACAGCCGCTTGATCTTGGACTTCCCAGCCACCAGAATCACAAGCCAAATAAATATGTTTTCTTTATAAATTACGCAGTCTGTGGTATTCTGTTATAGCAGGAGAAAACAGACTAGGAAACTATAAAAATAAATGTAAAAAGACTAGAAAGATGTGATGTTAGAAACCTATGGTAAAAAAAAAAGCAATTATGAGAAAAAGTTTTTGTTGTAAACATGATAGATCTAGCTTAATATGTTGAATAAAGAGATCAAACAAGCAGATAACAGAAACACTAAAATCCCAAAAGATAAGTGAGCAAAGGTCAAAAACAGACAATTCATGAAAGAGGAAATACATCTAGCAAAAAGACATATGAAGCAGGTTCTGGCTCTTATCCTAGATTCTGCTTCTGGTATCCAGTCCACTGAACTCTTGGTTTGATGCTTCCTGACAGCCAATAATTAGCCTCCATTTTGCTCTTCAACTGTGCCCTTGCTTTTCAACTAGAATTTGATACTTCATTGCTGCATCTTCTGTTCTAACTTTCACACATTCTCAGTTCCCAGCTTTTCTATGCCCTGCCTTATGGAAGGGTAAGAAAACCATAGGAAATCTCTATTTTCCTTACTTCATATTTTACCATTTTATTCATTCAGTGCTGCTACATAAAGGCCTATATTTTATTCTTCATCACTTTTTCTTTTATATACACTATCCAAACAGGTTAAGTAATCCCATACACAATGTACAATGATCCGTGTTGTGATAACTACATGCAAACACATAGTTAGAGTTCCGAAGGAAATAAGGAAGGAAGAATAGGAAGAGGGAGAAAGGGATGGAGGGAGGGAGGGAGGGAGGAATGGAAGGAAGGAAGGAAGGAAGGAAGGAAGGAAGGAAGGAAGGAGTAGGGAGAAAAAAAGGGAAGATCATATAAGCAACACTTTAAAGCATCCAAAGCAAATACAAATTCCAGGGCGTTGTTAATTTACTAGGCATTATAGATGCATTTGGGGGAAATATAATGTTTGCAATACCCTGTGAAAAACTAATATTGATATCAAAATATAAAAAGAAAGTAAAAATGAATAACGTAATTGCCTGCAAAATGTATTATGAGACTCAATTAACTTTAAATTATGCTATCATAAACAATTCATTATATTTAAAAAGTTTGTATATTAGTTTATCTTACTACAAAAGAATTCCCAATGGTACCTAACATCTAATTTAAATTAAATAGTATTTATGTGTGAGCAAGAATCACAACACATGAATTAAACATTACTCATAAGATATTAAATTTCAAAGTACATTTATAAAAATATTTCCAAATTTTTCTATATCAAAAACTACGTTTAATGTTGGGTTGCATTGTAAGTATATTTTAATACATTTGCTATGAAGTGACTGAAGCCTCCAAAAACAAGAGTGCTTAAGGCAGAAAAAGTTTTTCAATGGTTGTGGCACATGCTTTGAAAATTCAGATATGTCCAGGAGGAGCGGAGGGTTCTCTTTGCTTAATGAAACTTGTCTTGAAGAAAAGGATAGGCAGGAACACAGATAATAGTTTCCAAGTGAGGACTGAGTTTGAAATAGCACAGTAATGTGTTGTTAAAATTGTCCTTAGAGTCAGCTGAAGCCTAGGAGTCAGGGGTCAGGGGGTAGTTGGGAGGAGAAGACTAAAATATAATAGCAAATTAAAAATTATATAATCATATCAGCAAAATCTCTAAAAGGAACTGGTGAACACAACTTGGCACAAATAGTAGTGGAGGGTATTAGCCACACTTCAACATGTGGCTGGCAGTGTGTTACTTTTTGACACTTACCTAGTGGAGAAAGAGTGGGGCCATGTTACCAGATAGAGACGGAGGCAGCCAGTTATGTAGGAGCACTACAGCCTGGGCACTGGGCCAGCTGCCTCCACTGATCATCAGCTTGAGAGCTAGGGCCATGCAGCCAGTTACCAAGTGGAGAGAAAATAGTGATTGTATGGCCAGTGCTAACCTTATGAACACATATGAAAGACATGAAAATCCCACAATAGATATACAAAGACATTTTTGTCATGACAGTTATGATGTACTCCTAGCAGGTAAGGCCTAGAGAAACATGGGTTATATAAAGAATTCTATTAAGTAGACACATAGAAATCCTTGAATATGCATTAGGGAAAAAATGTTGTCAAATGGTCAACTTGGCCATGTTATTTCTGAAAATATAAGGTACTAACTCTGTGGGAAACTTTCCAAGGTTTAACTTTTGCTTTTGTCCTTGCTACAATTGTTGTTGCAAACTTATAGTAAAACATTAGTCAGATCTAGATCAACAAGGACACTGCAAGGTATTTCCAGCATGGAAAACAAACTTCACTTTCCCAAATTCCAATTCTGTCAAACCAGATGATGCATCCATTTGGAAAAGAAAAGAAAACAAGGCAACTACTTCAGAGCAAGCTTCATTAATAAATGCAGAACAGTCTGTTATCTGTAAAAATGTGCAGATAAGAGAGGAAGAGAAAAATCTGCAAGATTCCCAGGCTTTGTTGTGAATAAATATAGCATGGCTGTCAAAACAAAATTGTAAACCGTATTATGTAGAGTTTCCTTTTGTTAATTTGGAATTTAAATGTTTAAGTCCAATCCCCTAAATGCAAAAGTGATCAATCCCAGAGCAATATGATTACTGTTTCTTGACAATGTGGATAGAAACCATCAAAGCCATATGTATACTTAAAAACAACAGACACTGTTATTTTTATTCACTTTATTTTATTTTATTTCTCTGAAACCCATACACACAGAATAAGAATTTCCTCTGTATGTAAACAATATAAATAAAATATGCATTGGATATGAGATAATATCATATGAAATCTACAGAGGAAAACATTCATTTCTTTATCAGGCAGAATCACTATATTAGAGATGAATACATTCTCTTAAGACTCTCAAACACTTTTAGGTTGCCTATCCTTTAGTTTTAAGGTACATTACTAATACAACATCTTTTAAATTTGAACCAAGTGACTTTTTAACATCTATTGAAGCTATTGGTACCTTCAATAGACAGGAGATGGATCAGAATTCTCGTGGTTATTTAAGAAATACATATGTAAGTAAGTTCAATTCACAACTGAGCTTATGTTTCCTCTATATGATAAACATGCTGAAAACAAGTTATTCAGGGAAAATTTTTCTGGCTGTATTGGAAAGCTTAGGCCAAAGTCAAAGAGAAAAGAAGAACTAAAGCAATCTAGCTTTTCCCATATGCAAACGTCTATTTCGAAACATAGGATGCTGATTTACAGTGAAATTTCCGAGTCAAATAAAAATGAAGCATTGTTGTATAGTGGGGGAAAATGCTGGCCTCGCATCAAAAGTTCTACATTCCAATCTCACTTTGTTCTTGCTAGCTGATAACCTATGCCAAGTCTCTTATGGGCCTTATTAAATGAGGAGTGAATTAGATCATTTCTAACGATGTTCAACTCTAACATTTTATGAACCTCTACCAATGGAATCAATGTATAAGAAAATGAGCCAAACAAAAGAAAATAAAAGGTATTAAAGAAAGTGGAATAACTAACAGAGAACTATACTCAATTTACATTGAAAAGACAAAACATTTTGTACCATTCTAATCTCATAAATAAAATATAATTCAATCTATTTTGTGCAAAACACAGTTTAGAGAATTACAAAATAAAGATATGACCCTAAAATCTACTTTAGTTTATTGTGCATATAAAGAATTTCAAACTGATTTAAATTTAGGTGATGTTTCCAATTTTATGAAACAGGAAAAAATTACCTTAAATCACTGCATCCAAGATTTAAGAAAGAATTTCTTCATAATACAGTTAATAAAAATTCTTTCTAAAGGAATTTGTGAAACTGTCCTCCAGATGATTCGATTGTACTTTCTATTATACTGCATGGCATCAATTTTAACATGCACATTTTCCCATATGTTCACATTTCTCAAATTAGGATATGTCTTCCAAGTGATGGCATCTTAGATACAATAAAATAGGGTAGTTTTTAAAATAGGCATGCCTTATCTTCTCTATCATATTGTATTTGAGAAGGAAAAAATAGAACTGTGCAAGAAATCAATATCAAGTCATAATAAACAAATAAAAGAAAAATAAAATCCCAATTGTTGGGATACCGAAGAATTCCAACTAGTTTACAGATACTCCCCCTCCAGGAAGAGGAGCTTAAATCTCCCCACCTTGAGTGTGGACTGCATTAGTGACTTACTTCCAAACAGGAGAGTAGGAAGGGGAAGGGACAGGGTGAGGAAGTAACCTTGCAGTGGAAAAACCTGGCAAACACTACATTGGTCAGTGATCAAAGTTAATATCATCATTGATAAGTCATGTCAATAGAATGTCCCCTTTATATAATGTCAGAGAATGTCACTTTACCTTTGTGGTCATCCTCCCCAAAACCCAAACCCCAGTCTAACCCTAAGGAAAATGTTCAGACAAATCCCATTTAAGGGCCATTCTACAAAATGCCTGACCAGACCAGTATTCCTGAAACTGTCAAAGTCATGAAAAACTTCCTTGTTTTTCATGTCTGAAAGACTGTCACAGAGCAGAATGTGGAGACATGATGATTACATGTAACACTGAATCCTGGCACAGAAAAGACATTAAAGGAAAAATTAGGGAAATCTGAATAAAATGTAGAGTTTAGTTAGCAATAACATATCAGTGTTGGTTTATTGGTTGTGACAAATGTATCATAGCAATATAAGGTTACAATAGAAGAAACTGCAAGAAAGGTATACAAGAACTCCTCTGTACTATCTGTAATTTTTCTGTAAATCTAAAACTATTCTAAAATTAAAAGTTTATTTAAGAAAACCAAGCCATGCATAATTTTATATACATATTCTACAATAAAATGACCCAACAAATCAAAATGGAAGAGAATTAGATCCTAAACTAATCCAGATTTTTAGAAAAATAACCAAGCTAATAAGTGTAATAATACAGGAAGATAAAATGTACCAAAGAGAATTAAGAGGCTCTTATCTCAATTCTTACCATGGGAACAATTTTTCATTTGTGACAAGACCTGAATTATATGTTAGTCCATTTAGTACAAAGTAACCATCAAAATAGTTAAATCCTCAACTGTTGTACACTCCTATGGATAGCAATATTTCTAGAATAATGAACCTTGTCCTCCCTTTTTCTGATAACCCATCATAACTCTGGATGTCTTGGGTTTCCAAGAAAGACTTGTGGGAAAATATGTGAAACAAGTCATTAAACTTGGGCTTCAACTGCTATACAGCTCATAAAACAAATAGAACTAAACTGATTTATTTGAGCCATCTGATTTTTTGCTCAAGAGACAGGGTCAAAACCACCCTTTAGGGTTCAAATGGTAATATTCTTTCTCTGTATGAACATGAGCAGTGTAGTCAACAATTGCTATGTAGTCTAATTCCTTAATTGACTAAAAATACTGTCAGGCCCCAACTTATAATCAAATTGTGTTTTAAACTGCTGTCATATCTGTTATGTATAATTTATAACACATGTTCTCAATGACAAAATTCTTATAAAGGATGGCTAAATGCAGTCTAGTTCAGAAAACTTTTTAACCCGTAAAATAAAAGATGTTCACAGCAATGTAACCAAGGTGACTACTGCCCTGAAAATAGACTATGAGCCAACTCTAGCAGAAAGCGAGCCCCCTCCAAACAAACAAACAAACAAAAAAACATATCCTGGATTATTCCCTATTCAGACTCCACCTCATGTTTTCTAAAGAAAATGGAAAGTAAGCATCCAGGGTAAGCCAGTTGCAGTGTTTCAGAGAGTGGATAGAGGTGGAAAGCAGGATTTATAATATTAGATAGAAAGGAAGGATAGCTAATATAAGAAATACTCTGTGAACAGGATTTTTCCACTAACTGTCAGCAGCACTGAAGTTTCAAGAAAAACTGTGGACATTTCCAAGGTCCTGGATGAAAAGGTATGGACAGCAATCCCCAAAGCCAAAGTTATGGCCAAGAAGAGCTGAAGATGCTTTGCATAACCAAGCAAGGCACTCAGCTAGGAAAAACACTAGAATGGCCCACTAAGACAGGCAAGAAAGTCTTGAGCCCAGGGCCTGCCAAGGACACCTGAAGGATTCCAAGTAACAGTGGAAGGCCACACACTAAATAGAGTGCAGGCTTTGGAAATAAATCTGAATTTGAATCCTCTGCCTTTAATTAGACCTGTGACCATAAGAATCTTTCTTAACTGCTCTAAGACGCAGTTCTTTCATTCATCAAATCAGAATAAAAAATATCCATTTCTGAATTTCTAACAGTTTTATATTGATGTTCTAACAAATTATCACAAATTTGGCTGCTGAAAACAACACAAATTATCATTTTACAGTTCTGGAGGTAAGAAGTCTGAATTAGGCCGCATGGGCTAAAATCAAGGTGTCAGTAGGACTGCGTTCCTTCTGGAGGCTTTAGGGAAGAATCTATTTCTCTGCCTTTTCCAGCTTCAGCAGGCCACACACATCCTTGGCTCTTTACCCCATTTCTCTGTTCTCAAAGCCAGCAACATGGGGCCAAGTCCTTCTCATGCTGCCATCTCTCTCCTGCCTCTCTCTTCCATGTTTAAAGATCCTTGTGATTACACCGGACCCACCCAGGTAATCCAGGATCATCTCCATATTTTGCAGGTCCATTGATTAGCAACTTTAATTCCCTCCGCCATCCTAATTCCCTTTGCCATGTAACACATTTCATATTTATAGTACAGAATTAGAGCATAGAAATCTTGGGGGTTGGGGGGTCTATTATTATGCTACCACATCATCATATAGAGTGTGAGAATTATATGCCATAATGTATATAAAGCAGTTGGCATGTAGCATGAGTCCACAAAATAATAGTTTTCTCAGCCTCCCCAGCTTCCCTCCCTCATTTACCATCAGAAATCTTCCTCTAATAAATCTCTTGCATATCTGATACTGTGTGAACATCTTCTTCTTGGATGACCCAATTAACCAGTTACATCAACTCCAGCAGAGCTTCCATACTGTCAAGAATCATAGTATTAGAATCAAAAGACACATAATAAATGCTCTATTCCAATCACTTCATTTTATAAATGAGGGAAACAAGACCAGAACAAAGAGTAACTTGCCCAAGGTCTAAAATCAGTAGGCAGCATAGCTTGTACAAGAATACTTGTAGCACCATTAGGATTATTCTATGCTGCCTGTGGGATTCTGGGGCAGGAACAAGCTCTTTTATGACTACAAAAGTTGATATTCCAGTGTAAAACTTCTGGAAGTAGAAAAGAAGATTCTAACAGTGATGAATCTCAAGGGAACAGAGAAAAGGAGTCCTCTTCTAGAAGAGGACAGGCCAGGCACGATGGTTCATGCCTGTAATCCCAGCGCTTTGGAAGGCCGAAGTGGTCAGATCACTTAAGGCCAGGAGTTCAATACCTACCTGGCCAACATGACAAAACCCCATCTCTACTAAAAATACAAAAAGAGGTTTATGAAACCATCAGATCTCTTAAGAATTCACTCACTTATCATGAGAACAGCATGGAGGAAACTGCCCCCATAATCGAATCACTTCCCACCAGGTTCCTCGCTTAACATGTGGGGATTACAATTCAAGATGAGATTTGGGTGGGGACAAAAAGTGAAACCATATCAATCCCCAAGAACGTGGATTATTTCTCATGTGACTTTCTCAAACAACACTTTTTCTCCAACTCCCTAGCAATGGTGCTAAAAGAAGGAAAGTACACACCATGGCAATAGCATCAAACAATAGTTTTAAGAAGGTGAAGCCTAGAATAGAACAAATTTGTGAGAAAAGAGCACCACTATTAATATATGAATATTGAGCACTATGTCTGTTTTAACCATATATTCCATGTTCAATATATACCTACAACAGTGCCATCAGTAGAAACTCACTGTCCTTGCTCTAATACACTCAATATTTTCACCCAAATAATAGAATCCTTTCCCCCAATTAGTATGAGTGTAGAAGAAATGACAATGATCTACAGTGCAACTTCTCATGTAATCAGAAATTGGTAGAGCATGCAAATCCAAGGCTGATGTATTCACATCATGTCCGAATATCAGGCTTTGCATTAGTAGTGGGGATGGGGTAGGATAATATCAGTGTCTGATTTCTGCCCACGTGGTCAGCCACCATTAGTATGTTTTGCAGGAAAGTGGATAAGTGAAAACCAACTTAAGCTTCTTCTGCTTCAAATAGGATATTTTCATCTTTTCAAGCCATGTATTTTTTCTTTGATGAATGTTTTATAAGTCTTCTCTATTTTCTCTCCTTCATAGTAACACTTCTGTTGGACATGAATAAGATTTAGAATTCATGACTGTCTGTGACATGTCCTGAAAACTAGTTTCACTATCTCAGATCATAAACTGTACTTGTCTCATGTCATGGAGCAAAAGCAAAATGTCTTCATCACTTTTTAAAATCACCATGTAAGTAAATTACTCTTTTGACATATGCCTTAAAATTATCTTTTACCTCTTAGCAAAGATTAAATGCCTTAGCTTTGCCCTACAACAATATAACACTACTTCTTATACTTCCATCTCTGAACCTGAAGAATCTACATTACAGCCAAGCATGCTCCAAGAATCTACACTAAAACCAAGCATGCTCCAAAGTCAATCTGATATATTCCTTTTCTCTCTTGAAACATTGTATATTAACTTTCATTTTTATGACTTGCTTTTCTCACATTGTTATCGTAGCTTCTACATTCTTTATCCTTCAAATACATTTTTATAATTCCCTGATTTTACCCAATAATAAGATTAAAGCATGTGAGTGCTCTAGGCAGGCTAATGACATGGTATTCCTTCATACCAATATTCTTTAAATACTGTACATATTCAACATAGGTTTATATACTTAACACTGTCCAGGAGATAGGCAAAGAATGAAGAAAGCACTTTCCTATGGCTTTGTTTTCATTCTAACTGTTGAATTAGAGCTTTGACTTCCAGATATAGGGCCACTGGTTGGACCTGAACCCAAATGAATTGATGTTATTTCCAGGACATAGTCCCTGGGTGTGGAAACCAGTTGTGTAACTGACTAATACTGGTAATATGTAAAGTGTGTAATGGCAGCACATTGTTTAAATTTGCCAAAGTCTGGCTCGTTTGGTTTAAGAGAATTTTTTAAAAATTAAATAAATTTGCCCAAGTGATTTTTTGTAGTTGACAATCCAGCTTTTCTATCTACCAATCTCAAAAAAAGAGACATACTGCAATTAGTAAAAATTATTTGAGAAGTTTTCAAGACTTATAGATTATTATTTCAAAACGAAACAGCATAAATAGCTTACTTTTTCATTTTATTACTTTTCTATGATAGTAATCTGTTTTAAGATTTTCTTTACATTTATTCATTTATTTTGCTGCCAAGTGTCCTGAGACTCTTCTGGCATTATTTTTGATTACAGGGAGTAGGAAAAAAAAGACTTTAAAAAGGCCATTTATTTTTCCAATACAAATTTCATTATGGAGGTAATATTAATCATAAAAGAAGATACTAACCAAAAAAAGGAGAAAAAAGAGAAATGAAAATATATTGTGTCCAGGTTAGAAGGTCTCTGATAAAAGACAATCTAAATCTCCCAATACTATACAGTAAATTACTAAGGTAATAATGTTCTGTCATGTGAATATCCATTCCTATTGTACTTTATATGATTTGTGAGTTGGTGATGTATGAAGCTGGCATTGAAAGCAAGATCAGTGAGTAATTTGATTAAACATGCTGAATTTACAGAATTTACACTACTTGGATACTAAAAATTATCAGGCTTTCTGTCTCACTAAAATTTACTAGGAAAAGAGGCAAGTTCTTCCTAGAACAGCAATTCTCAAGCTATGGTCTAGAAACAAGCACTTTCCTGAACATTTGGCTTGGTAGAATAGAATGAACACACTATAGAGGGAAATATCCCAAGAGGACATTGAGAGAACACTGATATATTAGGTTATTTCTCTTTTTCAGTGAGTCTTCAGAGTAGAACATTTGGAGTGCCACTAACCATTAAAATTGTATTCCAAGATCTTAGAAGGGTACTCCAAGATCTTAGAAGGATATCCCAAGTACCTGTCTTATGCCCCTATCAGCAATGTGCCCCAAAATCCCCATTCCTGACCTACTTAGCTTGTAGTCTATGAAAAGGAACCACAGTAAGATAAAGAAAAGTGAAAAATTGTCAATGTTCAATATACAACCTATATTTTTCAATCAGATTTATTTATATGACCACACTTAGGACAATCTCACTATTTGCAATTTTCTGAATCACCAAAAAGAAATAAATAGGGAAGCAAAAAGGTTGTATAAAATGACCACAGAAGAATCACAATTATTTCAAAATTTTGCCAAATAAAGAAATCATAAGACATGAAGAAATCATAAAATCTCTATTCCTCTTTGAGCTCTATTTAATGCAAGTCTTTCCTAGTCAATTAACCTCCAGGCTTTATATCATTAATCTAATATTTATATCATTGGCCATTCTGTCTTAAAAACATCATGTATGTTTCATTAAACATCCAGCAACACAAACAACATGATGCATTAGGAGATGGCCAGTCCTAGAAAGAGAAGCTCTGATTAACCTTTCATTATTTATTCACATAAGAAGTATGAATTCACAGAAGAAATCTAGATGGCCATCAATCAACTCCAGAAAAGAAATGATTTTGTTTTTAATCACAGCTACTTATGTTTGCATTAGCCAAATTCCTCATTATATTTGTAGTCACCAGTTTTGTAGGTATGAAAGGAAGTTGTTGTAATATGTTGGTGGTAGCAGCTTCCTGACCTCTGAATCTCAGCTCTGGATCTCAGTTTCATGATATCCCTTCTGGCTTCCACTGCCCCAGCCATTCTAGCAGGTGTTATAAGCACCTAATTCTCTCTGTTCCCTCAATTCCAAGTGAAAATGTCTAGAGTGGTTGCTATTTCCAGCACTGAACTCATTGACAGATGCCTTCTCTGACTCCTCTTCCACAGCAGGAGATGCTGTAAGTCAGCACCTTGTTACTACTCAACATTCAGGTAATTAATATCCTCGATTAACACACACTTTCAAACTCCTTACCATCTTTGTCTTGCCTGTTAAAAACACTCACAGTTATCTGAATCTGTAAGTGTGTTTTTCATTTTAAAAACATTTAACAAGCAAGACAAGGAAAGGGCACCTTCTAGTGCCTGGGAAAATGACATCACAAATTTGCATACTTCCTCTCTTCAAAAAGGGAAAGAAAGAAGCAGAAAGTTTAGTGTCTTATACAAAATCCCAGGGCAAGACTCTGATTGGCTCAGCTTGAATCTGGCTCTGACATGCATCCCTGGACCAATCTATTGTGACTAGAATGAAGCTCACATAATAAAAAGGTGTCTGCTAGAAACCACTCCTCTAACAATGAGTAAAGGGAAGACGTGGTGATCTGAGAAGGTGAGATAAACAGATATTCTAGTAGATTTTTATTATACCTGTGTTCAAATCCTAGCTTTGCTAATTGCCAGCTGTTGACCTAGGGATTGTTATGGAATCTCACTAACACAGAGTTTTCTTTTCCATCAAGAGAAAATAATTTTTAAAATTTACATCGTAAGATTTCTGCAAGGATTTTTTTTCTTTTTCTTTTTTTTTTTTGAGATGGAGTCTCGCTCTGTCACCCAGGCTGGAGTGCAGTCACATGACCTCGGCTCACTGCAACCTCTACCTCCCAGGTTCAAGCAATTCTCCTGCCTCACCCTCCTGAGTAGCGGGGTTACAGGTGTGTACCACCACACCCGGCTAATTTTTCTATGTTCAGTAGAGACGGGGTTTAACCATGTTGGCCAGTCTGGTCTCAAAACTCCTAACCTCAGCTCATCTGCCCACCTTGACCTCCTAAAGTGCTGGGATTATAGGCGTTAGCCACCACACCCGACCTCTGTAAGGATTATTTTACATAATACAAATGAAGCAATGGGCACGGCATCCAATATATTGTAAGTGCTCAGTAAATCTGAGTAGTTTGTTTTTATCATTATCAGGATGCTTCAGCTAAGTGGGAACAATCACCATCAGTTTTCTTGGCAAAAGAAACCAAAATTTACCCTTGATTTCATTTGCTTGATGTCTAGACCCTACACCCAAAGACCATCTGAAAAAACTGACCACACAAACTCATATCAGGTTATCAGCTCAAAAAGGACATCGCCTTTCTAGCTGAACTTAAATGACACAAAGGCAAGATAAAAGGAATCCATGATTACAGTCATGTCCTCTGGAGAAGGGAGCAATGCACATTCACCTCAATACATGTGTTCAATTTAATCTAATACATAAAAGATCTGGTTTTCTGGGAGCCTTTTGTTACCAAACCAGCATCTACAACTATAAATAAGGTTTATTTAAATGATTTATCTTGAATTACCTAATAATTTCAGACAGGGGTTAGTAAATTTTCTCTATAGGCTTTGCAGGCCATATAGTCTCTCTTGTGAATATTCAACTTTTCAATGAAGCACAAACACAGCCATAGACAATACATTTTTTATAATGAGCATGGCTGCATTCTAATACAATTTTGTTTACAAAAACAAACAGAGATCTGTATTTGGCTGATAGGCTGTCAATTGCCAATTCCTAGTTTAGATACAAAAGTCCTTCCCTCCCTTCCTACCTCCTTCTACCCCTTCTCATGATCCTCAATTATGCTCCTACGAATGCTCTAACCCCAGTTCATCACCATCAGATGAATCATTCTAAAATACTGTTGTGTATGCCATTTTCCAGCTCAAAATCCTTCAAGCATTTCTATTACCTAAAACAAAACATTGAAACTCGATCCTGTTATTTAAAACATTCTATAATCCGGCTCTAACTGATTTTCCCATGTTATATTCCTCTTCTCTTTTACAGAAATCATCCCATAAACTGATCTATTCATGCTTGCCCTTGGATATTTCCTTCTTAATTCTTTTCCTCATGTTTTCCCCACTATAGCAGTCTTTCGCTCCCCTATCTTCTTCACCAATTCAAATTTTTTATATTCTTCAAGGTCCAGAAACAAAAATAATAACTCGCGAATAAAAAGTACCTTGATCCCTTTAGATCCCAATTATCTTTCTTGTGACTTTTCAAATAAAAGCTATTGTTCATATCACTCCTGCGGCCCTTATCACATACTATTTACTCATCCAACTTGTGTTGGTTGTGTTGCTGCTGCTGATGTCATTTTATTGGAAGAGCAGACAGCCTGTATGTTTCTTGAAAGTAGTGGCTGAGTATTAAACCTCTTTGAAGAGCCCAGCAGACCTTTTGGGGTACTTTGTACATACACTGAATATATAATTCATTAAAGCTAAAGGACAAAAAGATATCCATGTATCCCTTTTTGCAGTAAGTGCCTTTCAGCAATTAGTGGGCCTTTTAACAAAAAAGGAGTTTGAAATGATTCTATAAAGAAAAAGGACACTTTGTCCCCAAGAAAGAACCCAGGGAATGATTATTCAGGATGTATAAAATTCTGGACTTTTGTTTTTGTTTTACCTAAAACCTTCCACATTGACCGTTTCTTATCATCCTCTTCAAAACTGTAGGTAAGAAAAAAAAAAAAGAAAAAGAAAGTACAGATCATTCAGTATTCTTCCTTCTTAGAGGCTTCGGGGGAGAAAAGTTTAATGGGGGAGAAATAGTAACAAATACCTAAAAGATTTTTAATGCTTTATGAAGGCAATTGCCTGTGTTTTTGCTGTCTCTCATAACCATAGATGGGTAATTGAGAATTAGCGTTGCTTCTGTCAAGTGCCATGGAAGCATTTTAGTTTCAAGCTGGAAAGATTCAGTGACATTTTGCATCATTTAAAATAATAAAGTCTTATGCATGTGGTGTCATTATAAGCAGTAACTTTTGATATCTGAAAAATGTTGCATTCTATTTATAAAAGGACCCTGTTTTTACACAGAATTTTATTTTTTTAAAGTAATTCTGTTACTCTCATTCTCCAGTCTAACAACAAAACCATTTTCAGCCTTAATCGCCCAACTCAAAATACCAGCTATAATACTCTCATGCAATAGAAAGATGGTTTCAAAGCTGCCCTCCCCAAGTATTTCACAATAAGAGAGTTTGTATATTCTAGATTATAGACGAGGAAAGGAAAGGAAAAGAGAGGAAAACGATGAGGCTAGAATCAACTTTTCTAGTAAAGTTTTATCAATTTATGATGCCTGCTGTTCAAAGGAAAAAATCCAAAACAAGCAAATAAATAATAGAGGTTTCAAGTAAAGAGCACATTTCAAAAAAGGGTCCACAGCCTTCAGGGAAAGATGTACCATAAAACAATTATCCTTGATAATACTGTATGCCCTTGTCCCCAGCTATGGTTATAACTCACATGGAGGTCAACTCAGCACCCAGGGGAGAGAACTACTGCCTATCAGAAAAATAAACAACAAGAAAATAAAACACAGAGGAGACTGTAGAATGTTCTTTTATTTGGAGAAGGTGAAAAACAGCCTCTGTACTGCACATGCACAAAAAATTAATAATAACCACATGAAAATCAAGCATTTAGTTATTTTCCCCCACATCGAAAGACACTGCCATTTACCTTGTCAACTGAGAACAATTCCTCTCCTCCCAAAGTCATATTTTTGTTTCAATTTGTATAGTATTTTCACTTGCATGGTTTTATCTCTATAGAATTCCTGCAGGTATGTTTTCTACCTGTCAGGTTATTTTTTATTTGCCATTTTAGTTTGTATCTAAAATTCTATATATGCTTCCAAAGAAGAATCAAAACTTATTTTGGAGTTAATTGTACACAATTATCAAATGTTCTTTGGATCTAAAGACATACTAATATGCACCATAATTTGTTTCTGCCAAAAAAAAATTTTCTCTCTTCATCTGTACAATGCTATTTTTTCTAATTATATGTGATGCTTTATTAATGGTATCTCATAGGGGAAATATGCCCAGATTCTTTTTTAAAATGTAAGCAATCTAAATATGTTCAAAGTTGTGCCACAAAATTATAAAATAGAGTTGGAAAACAATACAACAAGTTTTTTTGTGAGATTAACCCAGCAATAGCTTTCTACATGCAGTCAAATAATCAAATACAACAATGAAGTAGCAATACTGTGGTATAATCAATTGTTTTCTTCTCTTTCTACGTAATTATAATTGTTCTACTATAGAAAAGTTTAGGTGCTACCATTGCTTTTAGGATAATCAGATATGCAGAGCCAAAAACTGAGACATATTTTTCTCCCTAGGAAGAATTTCAGTGTTGGCTGTACATTCATGTGTGAACAAAGCCAAAGAAGATGGCAAGAGTAAAATATGGGTTTGCTATATCCAAAGCGGGACAAAATGAGCTTCCGGGGAAATGAGGGTAGAGAAATATCACAAACTATGAGATGTCAAGCGGTGTTTGAAAATCTAAATAATATCTGATGGTAGCCAAGACATGCCTATAAAATTGTTTCTTACATATGACAAACAGTTGTTTGTCTTTCTGGATTTGTACCACTTTCCCACTGATTCTTCATCATAACTTAATACCAGACTCTAACCTACAAGCACTTTAAAAGATCATAGCTATGTTATGGTGAAGATCCACAATTAAGGTAGCAATCAATAGATGCTCCCTAAATTTCAATGTGGAATAACGAGGGAGCAGACAGAAAACCAAAAGGCACACTGAACAAAAAGAATAATGTTGCTGGGCACAGTAGCGCACATCTATAGTCCCACTGGCTAGGGAGGCTGAGGTGGGAGGATCACATAAGCCCAGGAGTTCAAGACTGAAGTGAACTATGATCACACCACTGCACTTCAGCCTGGGAGACAGAGTGAGATCTCCTCTCAAAAAAAAAGAAAAAGAAAATTGTTGAACTGGAACCAAATCTCATAGTAACAAAGTTTCACATTTTAAAATTTCAGAGGGAAAACCTACTTTAATCACTAAAAATCTACAGTCTGAGCATGGCTAGTTAAGTTTTTGACTACACATTATTGTCTTGGTAAACCAAATATTGACAGAATCTTCCAGCTTTTTTCATGCTCAATAACCACACTAAATTTGAAATATTATGATATTAGCCCTACATAAGTTTGGATGATCTTAGTCCTTCACAGTTTTCCCTACTTTTAGACTTCGTTCTCTAATAGACTTTCATGCCATTCAAATATTGCTTTTTTTAAAAAAAAATCCTTTATTATCTACCCCTAGGCATCATTTCACACATCCTTTACACCTAAAATGATAAACATCTGATTCCCATTTATTGAACAACATATTTTCATTCTAAATACTCATTTAATCTAACATCTTAGAGAACATGTGTTTAAAAACATAGGCTCTATGGTTGACTCTCTAGGTTGTAACTCATGACTATGTGACTAGTGTGACTGTAAGTTTCTTTATTTTATTTTATTTATTATTATTATTATTATTTTTGAGATGGGGCCTCACTGTCACTTAGGCTGGAGCACAGTGGTGCAATCATGGCTCACTGCAGCCTCGACCTCCTGGGCTCAGGTGATCCTCCCACCTCAGCCTCCTGAGTATCTGAGACTACAGGTGTGCCCCACCATGCCTGGCTAATTTTTGTATTTTTTGTAGAGACTGAGTCTTGCCATGTTGCCCACGCTGGTCTCAAACTCCTGGGCTCAAGCAATCTGCCATCCTCAGACTCCCAAAGTGCTAGGATTATAGGCATGAGCCACTGTGCCTAGCCTCCAACTTTCTTTTTTTTTTTTTTAACTTTAAGTTCAGAGGTACACACGTGGGTTTGTTATTAATACATTGGTAAACTTGTGTCATGGGAGTTTGTTGTACAGATTATTTCATCACCCAAGTATTCAGCCTAGTACCCGTTGGTGTTTTTCTTGATCCTCTCCCTCCTCCCACCTGCCATCTTCTGATAGGCCCCAGTATGTGTTGTTTCCCTCTAGGTTAATAAAGTAGGGAATAGGCCAGTTGTGGTGGTTTATGCCTGTAGTCCCAGCTACTCAGGAGGCTGACGGGGGAGGATTGCTTCAGCCTAGAAGTCTGAGGCCAGCTTGAGCAGCATAGCAAGACCCTGTTCCTTTTAAAAAAAAAATGGAAAAGAAAGGAAGAAAAATAATTTAAAAGTTTTTTAAAAAAATTAGTGTATGCACCGCCATTGTAGACATGTGACCACATATATTCAGCCACAGAGTGTCAGTATAGAAGTCTTTAAAAGACTGAACAAATCTTATGTAGCATGGATTGCCCCTCCAGGGTACAGAGATGTAGCTTGGAGGCACTCAGGCCCCCTCACATCTGTGTACAAGCCTTCTAACTAGTTCTCATCAAAAGAACATGTGAACGTAAGTGATATATGCCGTTTTCTGCTGGTGCTATTAAGAAGCAGGTAGGGATTTTTCTCTCTTTCCCCTTTTACTGGTTAGAGGCAGATGATACAGAAGTCACACAATGGAATCAGCTTTTTATTCCTGGATCCCAGAATTACCAGGTAGATGAAAGCTGCCCAGCAACCGGGAACACACACATTGGATTATCAGGTGACTGAGCAAAAAATTTTTTATTGTGAATACCCCCACTGAAATGAGGGGGTTTCTTTGTCACAACAGCAAATGACAGCTTACCTAAAACAATCACTTCTCCTATTTTTATTTTCATTTGTTTTGATGAGAACTTGCATTCGTATAAGGAAGCTTAAGCTTAAGTTCACTGCTTTGAGGCAGATGGGTACATCTTACTGTCTACTGTCAGAGGTAGTTGGGAAATAAGAAAGGGTTGGAAGAGTGTACCTGGGACCAATGCTAATTTTTTGAAAATTCTGTGAGCTGAAAACTCTAAGAACAAAAAACAGTCTTTTCTGTTCACTTAAAGCTTTAAAAAGCACTGCATAAAAAATTTCATGAGAGTTACTAAAAGGAGACATACAGTGTTATTCATTCTATCCAAAATCATTCTGATTTCCTGATTTTTCTCCGTACTTTCAAAGTCCTAACACCCTTAAAAATATACTAAATGAAATAATAGAAATGTAAGAATCTCTTATGAAGGACACATAAATCCCCCTAAAGTTGAAATCAATTTAATCCTTTTTGAAGCTGCTTTGTTCAACCTCTGAAAAACATATGCATGTTTAGGAAAAGTGGGTTTTTTTAAGGATGAGTTCATGTCCTTCACAGGGACATGGATGAAGCTGGAAACCATCATTCTCAGAAAACGAACACAGGAAAACAGAAAACCAAACACCGCATGTTCTCACTCATAAGCGGGAGTTAAACAATGAGAACACATGGACACAGGGAGGGGAACATCATACACCGGGGCCTGTCGGGGGGTGGGGGGCTAGAAGAGTGATAGCATTAGGAGAAATACCTAATGTCAATGATGGGTTGATGGGTGCAGCAAACCACCATGGCACATGTATATCTATGTAATAAACCTGCACATTCTGCACATGTACCCCAGAACTTAAAGTACAATAAAAAATAAAAAAAAGAAAAGTGATGTTCTTTAATTTTTAATTTTAATTTTTGTGGGTACATAGTAGGTGTATATATTTATGGGGTACATAAGATGTTTTGATACAGGCATGTAATGCATTATAATCACATCATGTAAAATAGGGCATCCATCCCCTCAAGTATATATCCTTTATGTTACAAACAATCCAATTATACTCTTTTAGTTATTTTTAAATGTACAATTAAATTATTATTGACTATAATCACCCTGTTGTGGTATCAAATACTAGGTCTTATTCATTCTTTCTAACTAACTTTTTGTACCTATTAACCATCCTCACCTCCCCTGCCACCCTCCTACTATCCTTCCCAACCTCTGGTAACCGTTCTCTTGCTCTCTATCTTCATGAGTTCAGTTGTTTTGATTTTTAGATCTCACAAATAAGTGAGAACATGTGATGTTTGTCTTTCTGTGCCTGGTTTATTTCACTTAACATAATAACCTCCAGTCCCAACCATGTTTTGCAAATGACAGGATCTCATTCTTTTTTATGGCTGAATAGTACTCCATTGTGTATAAGTACCACATTTTCTTTATCCATTCATCTGTTGATGGACACTTAGGCTGCTTCCAAATCTTAGCTATTGTAAACAGTGCTGCAATAAAAATAAGAGTACAGATATCTCTTCAACATACTGATTTCCTACAAAAGTTCTTTTTAAAATCAGCTTCTCAAAGCCAATCCAGCCTTTTAGGTAAATACGTTACTGAGTTTATTTTTTTAAAGGCACATTATATATTTGATAGATCACTTGAATCTTGTCTAGACATACAGACTGCCTTAGACAAGTGATGTTTCCTTATTCAACAGACTAGAATTTGTGTTATTTGGCAAGTTTGCAACACACACACACACACACACACACACCGCAGTGAGACTATAACTATGACCCAAATCTGTGTTACTTTAACACAGAATTCCTCAACCCCAGCACTATTGAGTTTTTGGGGCCAGAAAAAAACTTTGGGTTAAGATTTTTTGTCTTTTTCTTTTCTTTGACACAGAGTCTTGCTCTGTTGCCCAGGCTGGAGTCCAGTGGCATGGTCACAGCTCACTGCAGTCTTGACCTCCCAGGATAAAGTGATCCTCTCACCTCAACCTCCTGAGTAGCTGAGACTACAGGCATGTGCCACCACACCCAGCTAATTTTTGTCTTTTTTATTTATTTATTTATTTATTTATTTTTGTATTTTTTGTAGAGACCAGGTTTCACCATGTCGGCCAGGCTACTCTCAAAGCCCTGGGGCTCAGGTGATCTTCCTGCCTCAGCCTCCCAAAGCACGGGGGGGTGGGGCAATTACCGGTGTGAGCCACTGCACCCAGCCAAGACCTTTAGTCTTAACAAGTAATTCTGTGTTGTGGGGGTTATCTTTTGCATTGCAAGATGTTCTCACATCCCTGGCCTCTACATGGTAGATACCAATAGCACTCACTTCCCCTTTTAAACACAATATAACAACCAAAAATGTGTCTAAAGATTGCCAAATGTCCCCTCTAGGGTAAAACTGCCCCTAGTTGAAAACCACTGCACCAGCAAAAAGCTTCCATTTCTCTTGGAATATCAGAACGTAAGGATGTACTAAGCTTACAAAGCAAGCATCTATTATGAAGCTAAATCTGAACTTCAATGGCTTAAACTTCTGCTGAAGCAGTGGTGCTAGACTATCGTCTACAGCTTTTACTTTACGGATTCAGTAATTCCTTCCCAATCTCAAGTTCCTCTTTTAAAAATTTCATTAAAAGAAAACTTAATTCTGTTTAACTCTTCAGAAACTGAAGAAAAAAAGAACTGGATTCCCCTAATAAGAGTTGCAAATCCTTCTTGTTGAGGATAGTAAGAAAAAGAGAAAACAGGTTTGGTACAAGAGGGGCAAAGTGAAAGTTAAATCGGGAGTGGATGTTTTTAGACATGCCTGCATCTTGCCAAAGATGAGACCATGTACATTTTGGCCTTAATTATGTATGCTTTTGTCTCTGTGAAAAGGAAGACATTTTAGTCAGTGAAATATTTATTATGTAACTATTAAGGGCCAGAAACTGTTCTAGGGTCTTTCTGCAAAAAGAATGAGAATGTTTGCTCCAAATATAAAAAAATAAACAACTATAAGATACACAGATCAATGATGGAAACCATTGCTCTTTAGTCTCCTACAAACTCTTTGCTAAAGCAAAGTAGCAAAATTGTGTCTTTCTTAAATCAAATCGTACCAAAAATTATAACCTCACAATAAGAATACTTTCCAAAATCATCACAAAACTTGATTCAATGATTATTTAGTTATTTACTAGTTGCTAGGCAATGTGGCAAATGTGTAAGTTTCACTGCATAGATTCACTCATAAAGGAACTCACAAACTTTTGAGAGAAGTTTGATTTACAGCAGCCTACACTCCAGCCATATTAAAGTATTTGTACTTCCTGGACTTTCACCTATATTTCATATCTCTGCACTTCTACACAGAGATATGAATACTAATCACTCTATACATAGAATTACATTTCCCCTCTTATCTGTTCTATCTTAGATAAAAATGCAGCAGGACTAGTTTCCAAGACAACAGGTCACAAGACATCACTGGTAAAACAAGAGACAGTGAAGGAAACTGGCCAAAACCAGCTAGAACCAAAATGGCAATGAAAGCCATCTCCAGTTACCTTCACTGCTCATTATATGCTAATTATAATGCATTAGCATGCTAAAAAACACTCCTTCCAGTGCCATGACAAATGTCATGGCAATGCCCAAAAGTTAACTCTGTATGGTCTGGATAGGGGAGAAAACCACCGTTCTGGGAGCTCCCTGCTCCTTTCCCAGAAAACTCATGCATAATCCACCCCTTAGTAAGCATATGTAATCAAGAAATAACCACAATTATAACCAATGACGAGCCTGGGACTGGGGGGATAGGGTGCTCTGCCTATGGAGTAGCCTTCCTTTTGTTCCTTTGTTCTTCCAATAAACTTGCTTTCATTTCTCTCTGTTGGCTCACTCTTGAATTCTTTCCTGCACAAAGCCAAAGCCAAGGACCAACTTGGCCTTCTGAGTTGAGCCCCAATTCTGCATTTCACCTTGCAACATCTCCACCTTCAAAATGTAAAGCCCTTCATGACCCTTTCCCCAAATGGAGTTGATCACGTTCCCCTTTTACCTTTCTCCATAGCTGTACATGTTTACTGAATTATCACTACGTAAGGCAATCACTTGCTCATATGTTTCTCTCTCCTCCTATACCTAGTTTCATGAATACTTGAATGCTATCTTTAAATGTTGTAACCTTGTAAAACAGTACAACAAATTAATGTTAGATGTATGACAAAATGAATGAACAATATATGAAGTGAAGACTATTATTACATGATGAAATGCTTAACTATTACAATCTGGCTAAGATCATCCTTTTCTTTAATATCCAGATAAAATGTCTCAAGCCCTCATCATACATGCTTTCCAGGATTTTCAAAGATTCCCAGGAGCTTTACACTCTCAGGACACCTCTCATGGAATTCTCACTCACTGTCTTCTATACTTGCCATGCTTTTCATATATGCTCACGCTATATGTCTCCACCACACCTCCTCTACTATTCTCCATACTTGACTAAAAAAAATCCATAACATTTGTACTAAATATTAGCGATAACAGAGAAATACACAACAACACAGAATATGAAACTAATAATATTTCATGTCAGATATCCATGTTCAGCCTATTACTTTATTATGCAGAGCAATTAGCTATCACTTTCCATCCAAGACTAGAGTCTAAGTATACCTTTGCATAACTTAAGAGGCTCATTAAATTACACTGTAAATACAGTGGGCCCTACATATTCACAGATTCCAAATCCACAGACTGAACCAACTGCAGATCAGAAACATTGGAAAAAAATTAAAAATAAAAAATAACAATACAACAATTAAAAATAATGCAAATTTTAAAAATGATATATTATAACAACTATTTACATAGCATTTACATTTTATAGGTATAATAAGTAATCTAGAGATGATTTAAGCTCTATATGGGAGGATGTGTATAGGCTATGTGAAATTAAATAATTCAAATTTAAATCTATTGGAACTTTATATTATTCTGAGCCTTGACAGGAATGTAGCTATGTAGCCCGAGTCACATGGCATATGCAGCTGCAACTTCTGACTTTTTTTCCTGTAAATATTAATAATTAGGAAGGCCACATGACAACAGAGATAAGATTCCCTTAGATCTTTACCCCTCCTCATTGAGTAATAAAGTAAACTTCCTTGGAATATAGCAATCTGTAACCAAACAAATCATTGTAATTGGTCTTATATGGAAAATGCTTTAACTCTGCCAAAACTTCTCTGGCTTTGTCTATATACTTCAGGTATATGCAAATACTATGCCATTTTATATAAAGGACTTGAGCATCCATGATTTTGGTATCCATGGAGGGTCCTGAATACCAGAATGTGACTGTATTTTGAGATAAGGCCTTTAAAAAGGTAATTACATTAAAATGAGGCCATCAGGGTGGACCCTAATCCAATACGACCGCTGTCCTTATAAGAAGAGAAAATTTGAACACACAGAGTCACCAGGAATGTGTGTACACAGAGGAAAAACCATGTGAGGATACAGCTAAAAGGTGACTGTGTGCAAGCTAAGGCTTTGGAAGAAACCAAACTTGTTGACTCCTTTATCTTAGACTCCTAGCCTCCAGAACTGTGAAGATAAAAATTTCTGCTGTTTAAGCCACCCAGTCTGAGTTCTTTTATTATGGCCATCTAGCATACTAATACACCTCCCCTAAAAAAAGGCAAAAGACTTTAACAGATACTTCACTAAAAAAAGATCTATGGAAAGCAAATAAGCACATGAAAAGATTATTAACATAGTCATTAGGGAAGTACAAATTAAAACCACAATGAGATACCACTAAATTCTTGTAAGAGTAGCTAAAATTAAAAACATTTTTTAAAAGTCTTACTACAAAATGCCTGTGAGGATACAGAGCAACTGAAACTCTTATTCATTGCTGCTGGGAATGCAAAAAGGTACAGCCACTCTGAAAAACATTCTGGCAATTTCTTATAAAGTTAATTATATGCTACCATATGACCTAGAAATCCTACTCCTGGATATTTATCCAAGTAAAATGAAAACTTACATTCATGTAAAAATCAGAGCATGATTATTTATGGCAGCTTTTTTCATCATAATCAAAAATTGCAAACAACTCAAATATCCTTCAGCTAATGAATAGAAAAGCAAATTGTGACACAGCCATATATTAAACTATTCAGCCATAAAAATAAATAAACTACTGATACAAACAACTGGATGAATCCTAAACGCATTATGCTAAGTGAAAGAAGCCACACACAAACAGCCACATTATTACATGATTCCATTTATGTAACATTCTGAAAAAAGACAAAACTACAAGGATAGCAGACAAAGCAATCATTGCCAGATATCAGGAAGAGGAGTTAACCACAAGGGACAGAAGTGAATTTTGTGGGTGGTAGAACTGTTCCATATTTTTATTGTGGTGGTAGATACACAACTGTATGCATTTTCAAAACTCATAGACCTGTATAAAACAAACAGTTAATTTTGCTGTATGCAAATTATACCTCAAAAAAATCTGTCATAAAAAAATTCCTACCTATGGCTTCCTCCTTCAAAAAACACAGCATACCTAGGAAGAAGGTAGGGAAGATGATGGGTTTAAAATACCAAATTACCAAAGACTATATCCCTATAGTACTTCAGTGAATATAAATAATTTAAATTAAAAAGCATGGATATATAGAGGTATTTAATTTTTAAGATTCCAGTCAAAAACAACAAAAAACGTTAACTTCCAATATTAGAAATAGTCACTTATCTGAAACTCTTAATTTCAAAGATTTCTGTAATTTTGATTATTCATTATCATGACTTTATATTCATTATCATGAGTTACTGAATGGTGAAAGTTCAATAAATACAGATGAAAGCAATGAATAAAAGCTTCCATTGGATTTTCAAAGATCAGAAGAAGTTTGGATTTAATCTGAATGGAGGTAAGAAATCACTATCGTTTCTTTAGAATGAGGGAACATGACAAAATATTATGTTAGGAAAATTAGTCTAGTAATCATATATGAGATTGAGTTGAAGGAAAATATTAAAGCAAAGATATAGAAGATAGCTGCAGTGATGAAGAGGGCCGGGGCCAGGATGATAGCCAGAGGATTGTAATCATTATATTCAAAATGTGTATCTTTTCCATATTTAACTGAATACCCAGAAATGATGTCACATTTGCTACACAAAGTTCATTTGAAATTGAGGCTCAGGTGGCAACTTGGCCTATAAAATTTAAACCCGCGAGTGCACTTGCTCACCCAGACTGCAGCCTGAGTCGTCCCCACCCACCCTTCCTATGCAGAAACCGTGGTACAGCGCAGAAACCGTGGTACTGCTCCATGCCCAGGCAGATCTCCAGGCACTAAAGCACCTGCTCACCTGGATTGACAGCCTGAGCCATCCCATTAGTCCTGTGCAAAAATCCAGCCATCAGGGGGCACTCTCTGCTGGTTCAGCAGCCAGAGACACCCACTGTTCTTATGCAGAGAGAGTGGTGCAGTGGGTCCCTCTCCACCCCACTCCCAGACAGATCTCCAGGCAGTCGGAGCACCCACTCCTCCAGCCTGAGCTACCCCACCCTTCCTGCACAAAGATCATGGTGCAGCAAGGCCCTTTCCAATCCATACCCAGGCATATCTCCAGGCATTGAAGCACTTGCTTGCCTGGAACAGCAGCCTGAGCTGCCCCACCCTTCCTGCAAAGAGATCGTAGTGCATCTGAGCCTTCTTTGCACCATGCCGATTAAACTTCAGATCTCCAGGTGTTTGGAGAACCCACTCACCCAGATCAACAGCCTGAGCCACCCTACACTTCCTGTGCATAGATCGTGGTATAGTGGGGCCCTATGTACTCCATACCCCTGCATATCTCCAGGCATTCAAAGCACTTGCTCACACAGAGTTACAGCCTGAGCCACCCCACCCTCCTGTGCAGAGTTTCAGGTACAGGGGAGCGCCTCTCCACTCCACCCTCAAGCAGATCTCCAGGCATTCAGAGTACCTGCTCACCTACTCAGCATCCTGAGCCGCCTCAGCCTTGCTGTGCAGAGATTATGATGAAGTAGGGCCCTCTCTGTCCCATGCCCAGCGATACCTCCAGGCAGTCAGAGCACCTGTTAATCTGATTTAACAGCCTGAGCTGCCCAACCCTTCCTGTGCAGAGACTGTGTGGTGCAGCAGGGCCCTTTACACTCCACACCCAGGCAGATCTCAAGGAATCTAGAACACTCACTTTCCTGGACTAAGAGTTTAGGCTGCTCCCTCTCTCCCTGTGCAGACAACTTGGATCCAAGGAGGTTTCCATCTCAACACCTAGGCACACCTCTCGGTGGATGCTCACTACATTCTCCCTCAGTCCAGATGTTTGTACCTGCCATCAGGAAACCTGTAGGTGGGCCTACCCCGTATGGCCCCACCCATCTTGCTCCCACCCCACCCCCGGGGGCAAAGCAGGGAGCTCAGACCACTGTGCACTCCATGAATTAGCCCACTGCCTGAAGCAACAGAGAGCTTCTCCCAGTAAACAATGATCAAATATATACCCAGCTGCACTGACCATAGCCAGCTTGTAGGTCAAACTGCACAGCCCAATATAAAACCTGCATAGCCCAATACAAAACCTGCCAGTAAAGTGCAGCCCTATAGTGCGTAGGGCTATAACAGAAAAGCCAAAAGACTACCCATCATTGTCTACAGTCACACTTCCTAAGAAGCGGGGAAAGGGAAAGGGAGAGAAAACAATATTACAAGGAAAGAAAGCAAAGAAAATATCCTCCCTGCAAGAAAATAATTACAAAAATTAGAAGTACCAGTGACTACAGATGAGAAGGAACCAGCTAAAGAATTCTGGCACCTGAAAAACCTGGATGAAGCAACACCACTAAAAGATCACACTAGCTCTCCAGCAATGATACCTAACCAAAATGGAAACATAGAAGTTACAGATAAAAAATTCAAAGCACGAACTGCAAATAAGCTCAATGAGATGGAAGACAAAGTTGAAAATCAACACAAAGAAACTGCTAAAGCAATGCAGGACATGAGGAAAGAGATAAACATCTTAAAAATAAATCAGTCAGAGCTTCTGGAATTGAAAACTTGCTTAAGAAATTTCAAAATACAGTTGAAAGCTTTATCAATTGCCAAGATCAACATGAAGAAAGAATTTCAGAGCTTGAAGATAGGTCTTTTTGAATTAACTCAATCAGACAAAAATAAGAAAAAACTATTTTTAAAAATGAACAAAGTCATTGAGAATTAGGGAATTATGTAAAGTGACCAAAACCATGAATTATCAAAATTTCTGTGAGAGGAGAAAAAGTAAACAACCTGGAAAGCATATTTGAGAGAATACTTCAAGAATATTTGCCTAATCATGCTAGAGAGCTAGACATCTCTAGCAAGATGTATAGTCCGGTGACTACTCAAGGTCAATGTTATAAAAAAAATCTTAAGGGCAGCTGGGAAAAAACATCAGATCACATAAAGGGGAATCCCATCAGGCTAACAGCAGACTTCTCAGCAGAAAATTTGTAAGCCAGGAGAGATTGGGAGCTCATTTTCAGCATTCTAAAAAGAAATTTCAACCAAGAATTTCATATCCCACTAAATTAATCTTCATAAGTGAAAGAAAAAATAAAATCTTGTCCAGACAAGCAAGCACTAAGGGAATTCATTACCACTAGAGGAGCCTAACAAGAGATCCTTAAGGGAGTCTTAAACATGGAAATGAAAGAACAATAACTGCTACCACAAAAACATACTTAAATAAATAGCTCACAGAACCCATAAAGCAATCACACAATAGAAACTACAAAACAGCCAGGTAACAACTTTGATAGGATCAAAACCTCATATATCAATATTAACCTTGAATGTAAACAGTCTAAACACCCCCACTTAAAAGGCACAAATTGGCAAGTTGAATTAAAAAAAAAAAAACAAGACCTATCGCTCACACACACATAATGACACCCATAGGCTACCAAGTAATGAGTTGGGAAAAGATCTATCATGTAAACAGAAAACAAAAAAACGGCGGGAGTTGGTATTCTTTTATCAGATAAAACCAACTACAGTAAAAGAAGACAAAGAAGGTTATTACACAACGATAAAAGGTTTGATTCAACAAGACTTAAATATCCTAAATATATACAGACTCAACAGTAGAGCACCTAGATTTATAGAACAAGTACTTCTAGACCTACCAAAAGACTTAGCCACATAATAATAGTGAGGGACTTCAACATCGCACTGACAAAATTAGGCAGATCACTGAGGCACCAACTAAGAAATTCTGGACTTGAGATTGACACTTGACCAATTGGATTTAATATACATCTACAGAATATTCCACTCAACAGCCAGAGAATATATAATACATTCTTTTCACCTGTACATGGAACATACTCTGAGATTGACCACATGCTCAGCAATAAATCAAGTCTCAATAAGTTCAAAAAAATGAAAATCATACCAACCATACTCTCAGGGCACAGTGGAATAAAAATAGAAATTAATACCAAGGAGACCTCTCAAAACCACACAAGTATATTAAAATTAAACAACTTGCTTCTAAATGACTTTTGGGTAAACAACAAAATTAAGGCAGAAGTAAAAAAATTATTTAATAAAAACAGAGACACAACATCCAAAATTTTGGGGATGCAGCAAAAGCAATGTTAATTTATAATACTAAATGCCTACATCAGGAATTTAGAGAGATCTTAAATTAACCATCTAACATGACACCTAGAGGAACTGGAAAAACAGGAACAAACTAACCCCAAAGCTAGCTGAATGAAAGAAATAACCAAAATCAAAGCAGAACTAAATGAAATTGAAACCCCAAAATACATACAAAGGATCAGTGAAACCAAAAGTTGGTTTTTTGCAAGGATAGACAAGATCAATAGACCACTAGCTAGATTAACAAAGAAAAAAAGAAAGAAGATCCAAATAAGTGCAATCCAAAATGACAAAGATGACATTACTACCAATCCCACAGAAATACAAAAGATCCTCAGAGACTATTATGAACACCTCAATGCACATAAACTAGAAAATCTAAAGGAAATGGATAAATTTCTGGAAACAACCTACCAAGATTGAATCGGGAAGAGATTGAAACCCTGGACAGACCAATAACAAGTTCCAAAATTGAACCAGTAATACAAAGCCCACCAACCAAAAAAAAAAGCCCTGGACCAGAAGAATTTACAGTCAAAATTCCACCAGATGTACAAAGAAGAGTTTATAGCAATCCTACTGAAACTATTCTAAAAAACTGAGGAGAAGGGATAGGACTCCTTTCTAACTCATGCTACAAAAGTAGCATCAGCCTGACACCAAAACCTGGCAAAGACACAAAAAGATAAGAAAACTACAGGCCAATATCCCTGATGAACACAGATGTAAAAATCCGCAACACAATTGCTAGGAACAGGCCTCAAGCCTGGCCATAAACAGGCCATGAGAAACAAGCCATAAACAAAATCTCTGCAGCCCTGTGACTGCAGAGATTTCTTGCTGCTATGATGGCTTGATGGCTATGATGCCCATGCTGGAAGTTGCCGGTTTACCAGAATGAGGACAAGGAACACCTGGCCCACCCAGGGCAGAAAACTGCTCAAGGCGTTCCTAAACCACAAACAATAGCATGAGCAATCTGTGCCTTAAGAACATGTTCCTGCTGCAGATAACAAGCCAGAGCCTGTCCCTTTGTTTCCTGTAAGGAATGCTTTTAGCTAATCTATAACCTATAGAAACAATGCTTATCACTGGCTTATTGTCAGTAAATAGGTGGGTCAAACTCTGTTTGAGGCTCTCAGCTCTGAAGGCTGTTAGCTCCCTGATTCCCACTTTGTACTCTATTTCTGTGTCTTTGTCTTAATTCCTCTAACGCCGCTGGGTTGGGGTCTCCATGACCAAGCTGGTCTTGGCAACGATACTAGCAAACTGAATCCAGTAGCACATCAAAAAGTTAATTCACCATAATCATGTAAGCTTTATTCTAGGGACGCAACGTTGGTTCAACATACACAAAAAAATAAAACTAGGCCTAGTTTGTTAGGAGTTTTTTATCATGAAGCAGTGTTAGATTTTATTAAAAGGTTTTTCTGTGTCCATCAAGATGATCATATGGTTTTGGTTTTAATTCTTTTTATGTGGTGAATCACATTTTTTTTGTACATGTTGAAGGAAGAGACCTCAAAATAATAAGAACCATCTATGATAAACCCATAGCCAACATCATACTGAATGAGCAAAAGCTGGAAGCACTCCCCTGGAGAGCTGAAACAAGACAAAGATGCCCACTCTCACTACTCATCTTCAGCATAGTACTGGAAGTTCTAGCTGCAACAATGAGGCAAGAGAAAGAAATAAAATGCATCCACATAGGAAAAAAAGAATTCAAATGATCTCTCTTCACTGACAATATGATTCTGTATCTAGAAAACCCTAAAGACTCTATCTAAAGGCTCCTGAAACAGATAAACAACTTCAGTAAAGTGTCAGGATACAAAATCAAAGTACAAAAATCAGTAGCAGTTCTATATACCAATAATGTTCAAGCTGAGAGTCAAATCAAGAATGCAATCACATTTACAACTGCCCCACCCCACCAAAAGAAAAGCAAAAAACATAGGTATACATCTAACCAAGGAGGTGAAAGAAAGATCTCTACAAGGAGAACTACAAAACACTGCTCATTGTAGATTCTGGATATTAGCCCTTTGTCAGATGAGTAGGTTGTGAAAATTTTCTCCCATTTTGTAGGTTGCCTGTTCACTCTGATGGTAGTTTTTTTGCTGTGCAGAAGCTCTTTAGTTTACTTAGATCCCATTTGTCAATTTTGGCTTTTGTTGTCATTGCTTTTGGTGTTTTAGACATGAAGTCCTTGCCCATGCCTATGTCCTGAATGGTAATGCCTAGGTTTTCTTCTAGGGTTTTTATGGTTTTAGGTCTAATGTTTAAGTCTTTAATCCATCGTGAATTGATTTTTGTATAAGGTGTAAGGAAGGGATCCAGTTTCAGCTTTCTCCATATGGCTAGCCAGTTTTCCCAGCACCATTTATTAAATAGGGAATCCTTTCCCCATTGCTTGTTTTTCTCAGGTTTGTCAAAGATCAGATAGTTGTAGATATACGGCTTTATTTCTGAGGGCTCTGTTCTGTTCCATTGATCTATATCTCTGTTTTGGTACCAGTACCATGCTGTTTTGGTTACTGTAGCCTTGTAGTATAGTTTGAAGTCAGGTAGTGTGATGCCTCCAGCTTTGTTCTTTTGGCTTAGGATTGACTTGGCGATGCGGCCTCTTTTTTGGTTCCATATGAACTTTAAAGTAGTTTTTTCCAATTCTGTGAAGAAAGTCATTGGTAGCTTGATGGGGATGGCATTGAATCTATAAATTACCTTGGGCAGTGTGGCCATTTTCACGATATTGATTCTTCCTACCCATGAGCATGGAATGTTCTTCCATTTGTTTGTATCCTCTTTTATTTCATTGAGCAGTGGTTTGTAGTTCTCCTTGAAGAGGTCCTTCACGTCCCTTGTAAGGTGGATTCCTAGGTATTTTATTCTCTTTGAAGCAATTGTGAATGGGAGTTCACTCATGATTTGGCTCTCTGTTTGTCTGTTATTGGTGTATAAGAATGCTTGCGATTTTTGTACATTGATTTTGTATCCTGAGATTTTGCTGAAGTTGCTTATCAGCTTAAGGATATTTTGGGCTGAGACAATGGGGTTTCTACATATACAATCATGTCATCTGCAAACAGGGACAATTTGACTTCCTCTTTTCCTAATTGAATACCCTTTATTTCCTTCTCCTGCCTGATTGCCCTGGCCAGAATTTCCAACACTATATTGAATAGAAGTGGTGAGAGAGGGCATCCCTGTCTTGTGCCAGTTTTCAAAGGGAATGCTTCCAGTTTTTGCCCATTCAGTATGGTATTGGCTGTGGGTTTGTCATAGATAGCTCTTACTATTTTGAGATACGTCCCATCAATAAACAACCCCATCAAAAAGTGGGCGAAGGATATGAACAGACACTTCTCAAAAGAAGACATTTATGTAGCCAAAAAACACACGAAAAAATGCTCACCATCACTGGCCATCAGAGAAATGCAAATCAAAACCACAATGAGATACCATCTCACACCAGTTAGAATGGCAATCATTAAAAGGTCAGGACACAACAGGTGCTGGAGAGGATGTGGAGAAATAGGAACACTTTTACACTGTTGGTGGGACTGTAAACTAGTTCAACCACTGTGGAAGTCAGTGTGGAGATTCCTCAGGGATCTAGAACTAGAAATACCATTTGACCCAGCCATCCCATTACTGGGTATATACCCAAAGGATTATAAATCATGCTGCTATAAAGACACATGCACACATATGTTTATTGCGGCACTCTTCACAATAGCAAAGACTTGGAACCAACCCAAATGTCCAACAATGATAGACTGGATTAAGAAAATGTGGCACATATACACCATGGAATACTATGCAGCCATAAAAAATGATGAGTTCATGTCCTTTGTAGGGACATGGATGAAATTGGAAATCATCATTCTCAGTAAACTATCACAAGGACAAAAAACCAAACACCGCATGTTCTCACTCATAGGTGGGAATTGAACCCATGGACACAGGAAGGGGAACATCACACTCTGGGGACTGTTGTGGGGTGGCGGGAGGGGGGAGGAATAGCATTAGGAGATATACCTAATGCTAAATGACGAGTTAATGGGTGCAGCACACCAGCATGGCACATGTATACATATGTAACTAACCTGCACATTGTGCACATGTACCCTAAAACTTAAAGTATAATAATAAAAAAATAAAAATTAAAAAAAAAAACAAAAAAAAAACAAAACACTGCTCAAAGAAATCAGAGACAACACAAACAAATGGGAAAACATTCCATGCTCATGGATAGGAAGAAATCAATATTATTGAAATGGCCATACTGCCCAAAGCAATCTACAGATTCAACAATATTCCTATCAAACTGCCAATGACATTTTTCACAGGATTAGAAAAAGAGTATTCTAAAGTTCAAATGGAACCAAAAAAAGAATTTGAATAGGCAAAACAATCCTAAGCAAATAGAATAAAGCCAGAGGCATCACATTACCCAACTTCAAACTATACTCTAAGGCTACAGTAACCAAAAGGGCATGGTATTTGTACAAAAACAGTCACATAGACCAATGTAACAGAATAGAGAGCCCAGAATCAAAGCTACACACCTACATCCATTTGACAAAGTTTACAAAAACAAGCAATGGGGAAAGGACTCCCTATTCAATAAATAGTGCTGGGACAGCTGACTAGTCATATGCAGAAGAATGAAACCAGACACTTATCTTTAACCACATATAAAAATTAACTCAAAATGGATTAAATATTTAAATGTAAGACCTCAAACTATAGGATTTCCTAGGAAACACCATTCTGGACATTGACTTTGGGAAATAATTTATCACTAAATCCTCAAAACCATTTACCAAAAAAAAAGTGAGAAGTGGGATCTAATTAAACAGAAGAGCTTCTGCAAAGGAAATTATCAACAGAGCAGACAGACAATCTACAGAATGGGAGAAAATATTCACAAGCTAGGCATCTGACAAAGGTCTAATAGCTAGAATTTATAAGAAACTTAAACAATTAGATAAGCAAAAACCAAATAACCCCATTAAAAAGTGAGCAAAGGACATGAACAGACACTTCTCAAAAGAAGACATACAGGTGGCCAACAAACATATGAAACAATGCTCCACATCACTATTCATCAGATAATGCAAAATAAAACCACAATGGGACACCACCTCACAGAATGGCTATTATGAAAAATGAATGGCTATTATGAAAAAGTCAAAAAAACAACAGATGCTGGCAAGGCTATGGAGAAAAAGGGGATGCTTATATATTGTTGGTAGGAATGTAAATTAGTTCAACCCCTGTGGAAAGGAGTTTGGAGATTTCTGAAAGAACTTAAAACAGGACTATCATCTGGCCCAGCAATCCCACTACTGAGTATATAACCAAAAGAAAATAAATCATTCTACCAAAAAGACACATGCACTCATATGTTCATCACAGCACCATTCACAATAGCAAAGACATGGAATCAACATAGATGCCCATCAGTGGTGGACTGGATAAAGAAGACACAGTACATATAGACCATGGAATACTATGCAGCCATAAAAAAGATTGAAGTTGTGTCCTCTGCAGCAACATGGATGCAGCTGGAGGCCATTATCTTATGCAAGTTAACACAGAAACAGAAAACCAAATACCACACGTTCTCATTTATAAGTGGGAGCTAAACATTGGATACTCATGGGCATAAGGATAGCAACAAGCTTTCTTGGGGACTAGTAGAGGTGGGGACATTGGGAACTACTAGAGGTTAGAGGAAGAAGAGGAGTAATAGCTGAAAAACTACCTATTGTGTACTATGCCCACTACCTGGGTCACAGGATGAATCTTAGCCCAAACCTTAGCAGCTTGCAATATAACCATGTACATGTACAAACCTGCACATGTACCCCTTGATTCTAAAATTAAAATTAAAACAGAAAGAAAGATAAAAACCTCCCTAGTGACTATGCTGACCCATTTAAGGTCACAGCAAGAGCAGCAGTACCCAAGTTAGGTGGTGATAACACAGTGGAAGTTAGACCCAGTGATGATAGAAATTAAACCCAATTTTACTTTCTCATCCTTGGCTTTTTGTTTTCTACTAGTAACAAGTGTTAATCTCCCCTTTGAACAGGAGTATGTGGCTTCACTGCAGCACTTTCAGTCAGAGACAGAGGCTAACGGCATACCTAGCCAAAGCACAAGAAACCTAAAAGGCCTCAGCTTTGGTCTGATTCCACTCAGAAAAGCTTTCCTTCAAATAAGTCAACTAGACGTCTCTTCCTTTTAAAGCCAACAGTGATCATCTGATAGGAAACACTTCTTTGTTGGTTTTCTTTTGTTTCAGTGAAATTCATATTTTCCCTACAGGGATATAAATAATGCCGTATCTTCTGCTATTTAAAAATTCCTAATTAGAAGCCTTTTATGTTATAAAGCTGCTAAAAAGCAACCCAAACCTAAGGGAATTTTAAAAGATAAGTTATTGGTGACATAGATGTTACAACTTAAGCTATGAAGTCAAAAGTGTTGATTGATGAGGCACAGAAGGAGTCTTGTTCACACTCATTCACCTGTTTCATTTTTGAGACTGTCCATGCCCTGGGAACAAGAATCTACTTTAGCCAGAAATACATAGGCGTGCTGGATGAAGTTGAAGTTTGCCTCCAGAATTAAGGTCTTTTTGTATATGTCACCTCATATCTGATAAACAGACCACTTATCTGGATTCTGATCTTCACCATCTTCTTTTACTATATGGGTTCATGACCCTCCACCCTTCACCTAGTACTCAATTCCAATAGATCTTCTAGTTCTTGATAGTCTAGATATTTAACCACTACTTTTGCTTCACTGTGTCTTCCTAATTCCTGTATTTTTGCTTCATTTCTTACCTGTGACTTTCACATCTAGTATTTGTATCTACATTCAATTTCTGCTTCCCTACCATACTTTGGTAGGTCCCCAAGTTTAACCTCTATGTGCCTCAGTTTTCTCATTCATAGAATGAGAAAAACAGTAAGATTATTGTAAAAGTATTTCAAGGATTACAGGAAATAATAAGTAAAGTGATTAGCATAACCTGAGATAGAGAAAGTGCCAAATAACTGCTAGCTGCACTCAAGCATATTTATGCCTGAATAAGAGCTTTGTCCTCTGATTTTGTTCTACATTTGTGGAAATAGATAATAGCCATTTGCTACCTTAAGAGAAATTCCTTTGTTTTATATATGAAGAATTATTCTCTTCTTACCTTTCTCTTCTAAGGGTTAAGTAAATTCATTTTCTTTCTAATGAATCATGTTTTCTCACACTTTAGTCATTTTACTACTTTCTTCCAAGGTCTCCAATCTTATTTTAGTTGTAGAAAAAAATACAAATCTCCAGTAATATTGATACCAATCCAAAAAGTATTTAACTAAACCTATCATCCCAAATGATTACCTGGCACCCCCAGCCATGATGAGGCCCCATCAGTGTCCCAGGCAATGCTCCCCATTCTGCCCAATGCTTCAGAGGAACCAAGATGCTACTGACTGCACTAAGCACCAAAGAGCCACTCCAGCACTTGGATCCAGGAAGAAATAGCAACACCAAAAAAGCCTGCGAAAGTGTCAGTTTTCTGTGCATAGTTCAGTTAACAGCTAGATAACACCAATCATCCAAGGCATAACTGTTATAGGTTTTGACAGTAAGACATCCCCCTTGGCAAAAAATGTCTCCTCCACTGGCTGCCAAGGCTCCTGATCATCCTAGGATCACCTCCTGTGTGTTGATTAAGCTTTTGCTGGCTGAGACGCAGCTGGCCTTTACAGCAGGAAACCCACGGAAGAGTGTGTACGTGTGTGTCCTCTCTCAACTTCTGGCTGAGTCACTCAAATCAAATAGTCACTGAAACATAAAGGGGGTTCCCTACACCTAATTTTGGTGGTAGGGGAAAAAATGTAAAATCATCTGGGGCAATCAAGGACTATTTTCAGGAACATTTGTCTTTAAAATCTAAAATTAAGCCACCTCACAACCTGGGTGGTTCCCCATGGAGGAAAAGAGGATGAGCTCTGAAAAGCTAGAGTTGTAACCTGTATCCTTGGGAACACGGCTATAGGCAGTGTGAAGAGCTGTACATATAACTGATAAAGGGTCCAGCAGGTTGTCCCATTCCTGCAGGAAGAGCAGAGCCCCAAATCCCATTTCAACCTGCTTTAGCACTCACACACCTCACCAAGACAGTGGTGACTGCCAGCTTCTCTCTTGACCTTCCTCACCCCTAGGTACCACAGGATGTCTAATGGGAAGGCACAAGAGCATAAAACTTGTTGCTCTCAGAGTTCTATGGATGAGGAAACTCTGAAATATGAGGACAGATGTGAGAGAATCTCTAGAAACCTTAAGCTTAGGACAGAAGGAGGAGAGCATCCCGCTCACACTGTCTAACAATTTAATAGGGATTCATGCATCTAAGTATGTTTGTGAGGGAGGTAGATGTTAAGAAATCATACATACAGAACCTCGTTGAGTTTCGAAATTGGAGGTTCTTGGGCAACAAGGGACAGCATGGGGTAACAGACTGTTTGGGGAGGAGAGGAAGGGAAAGACAGGAAATGAAAAATTAAGCACCTGGCTAGAACAGTACAGGGATACAAGGATGGTATTTGGGAAATATACCAAAATAATTAACTTTTGAAAGCAAGAAATGAAGACATTGAAAGGAAATAAATGGCTCTCCAAGAACCAGAAAGACAAGTATGAAATGGGCAAGACTCTATGGGTCAGAGATCCCTTGCATCAGCTGATTTCTTTCTTCTTTTTGAGACGGAGTTTTGCTCTTGTTGCCCAGGCTGGAGTGTAGTGGCGCAATCTTGGCTCACTGCAACCTCGGCCTCCCAGGTTCAAGTGATTTTCCTGCCTCAGCCCCCTGAGTAGCTGGAATTACAGGCACATGCCACCAAGCTCAGCTAATTTTTTGTATTTTTAGTAGAGATGGGGTTTCATCATGTTGGCCAGGCTGTTCTCAAACTCCTGACCTCAGGTAATCCACCCACCTCGGCCTCCCAAAGTGCAGGGATTACAGGTGTGAGCCAAAGTGCCCGGCCTCTTTTTTTTTTTTTTTTGAGACAAAGTCCCTTCTGTCACCTAGGCTGGAGTGCAATGGCACGATCTCAGCTCACTGCAACCTCCGGCTCCCAGGCTCAAGCAATTCTCCTGTCTCAGCCTCCTGAGTAGCTGGGACTACAGGCGCATGCCACCGTGTCCAGCTAATTTTTGTATTTTTAGTAGAGACAGGGTTTTGCCATGTTACCCAGGCTGGTCATCGCATCTGGCTAATTCTTGTATTTTTAGTAGAGATGTGGTTTCGCCATGTTGCCCAGGCTGGTCTCGAACTCCTGAGCTCAGGTGATTCGCCAGCCTCAGCCTCCCAAAGTACTGGGATTATAGGCATGAGCCACCACGCCCAGATGGATCAGCTGATTTTTTTATAGTACTTGATTATTTTTCCCTAACATGTATCAGTACAGCTAGTATCACATAGGTAAAAAACCAAACTAAATTCCTTTTTATAGAACAATTATTTCTATATCCCTGTTAATGTATCTTTTACAGATTTCCCTGGGAGTCTTTTCTTTATGTACCTAAGATTTAAATTTCACTTGCAGTAGTAAATTATTTAAACTCAATTCAAAATGAAATGTGTTTTCATTTAATTATCGGAAATGCATTTCATAATGCCAAGTGCTGGTTAAAAGTAAGTAATTTCCCCCATTCCTCACCCAAGCCACCTCTGCACCACCACCCACAAAAACAAATTAGTCTTTTTGGTTGAGAAAAATGAATCATTACTTCTCAACCTAAGTTGCAACTTGTCATTTTTCATTTGAGCATGTATTCACTAGAAGCAGGTGCTCTTTGCTCTTTTGACAGTAACCAAACATTTAAGCGTGGAAAGAGACCAAGAAAAGCACCTTGGCCCACCTTCTCAGGGGCTTAGATAAGTATCTGGAAAAAAATCAATATCATGGAAATGAAGTGCCAAATTGTTTTAAAACTGCTTAGCTCTCACTATTGCTCCTAGGACTGAATGCAACAAAACCAATTAGCAGGCATTCACTGAGGCAGGAAATAGAGTGGAAAGAAAGGGTAGAAATGGAGAAAATGAGGAAATAAAAATATATTAAATTTATATATACTTAAGTATATTTATAATACATGATTTTATATATATATATATATACACACATTAGGTGTGTGTATATACATATATTCATTCATTCATTTAAATTTTGGACATGTTGAGCTTGAAAAGCCCATTAAGTAACTAGATAAAGTTGCTTTGGGTTCCACATTTAAGTGAGATCATGTAATATTTGTCTTTTTGTATCTAGGTCATTTCATTCCTCTTGAAAAGAAAACTCATCACAGGTATCTTTAACACAAAGCACCAATCTTAATGTAATTTTATTCTCATGTATTTTCCCACTGGTCATAAATTTTGAAGGCCCTAATTTGCTTTCCATTGCCCATGTTCTAATCTGAATTCATCCAAGAGTGAAACTGATGCGAAATCTCATCTTCTATTTCTCTTAATGTTAAGCACTTTGTTTCTTAAATTGATGCTGTAGACAATTTATGTAGCCAAACAGAAATGTCACAACAATTTTGGGAAACATCTCAAGTTATTTGTTTCAAAGAAAGAAAATAAATTATTTTACCAAGAGATAAGTGAAAACATTGTTTTTCAATCCCTTTAAACATTTATGATCGAATTCTGGATAGCCAAGGTGATGGCAGCTGCTTAAGTCTGAATCTCCCAGCACATACTCCAAAAATAAAAATAAAAAATAAATAAAACTACAGAAAACCTATGCTGTCAGCATAACTAGAAAAGAGAGAACAACCTAGATTTCAAATTACACGTGAATAAAAAATTAACACCAACTCTTAGCATGGAATTTCTCACCCTTCTGGTGCAAGCCTACCTGGGGAACAAGGGCAAGATGGGGCCAGAGTGGAGGGATGGTGGGAGATGGGGGAGAACCATACTGAAAACAGAAGAGAGAACCTAGCAATGAAATTTAAAATTGATCTAAAATCACAGCTATAAAGAGAAATTCTACTCTCATTGCAAAAATAATGGAAAAAGAGTCCTGGTAGATCAGAGCCTACTAGAAGGAGGAATGAGTATGTGGGGCTCTAAGAGGTGGTCTTAGAAAGGCCTTGGGAGAGAGAAGGGTAACAAAGGAATGGAGAAGCACTCTGGAAACTACACAGTGAACATAAGAAGAAATAAGAAAGGGAAAATCAGAATCCAGTAAGACAAAAGAATTTTTCTTAATTGAAGAAAGCTACTGAGGAAATAAACTATCTTTTACAACCTTAACAGAAGAGTTCTAACCAGGGATCTTGTAAACCATCCCAAACCATCACAGAATTGCTGAGGCTTAAGCAACCTACAAGTATTCTAAAAAGAAAAAAAAACTAATATGACAGGAAAACAGAAATAAAAATTTTAAAAACTCAGTTGAAAATATCCCCTCAAAAAAACCAATAGTGAATCAAAATAAAATAGTAGCATAATATCCCAAAGTGAATCAAACAGCCTCAAAAGATTATGAAGACTTTCACCAAAATTACAGACAGATATAGATAGAAATAAGAATATAGATATACACAAAACTGTGCAACCATAGTTCATTTGGCAACCATTTATTAAAACATTAAAAATCAACTTTGTCCCTGGCACTGTCCTAGTTGTTGGGGAATAGAGAGGAAACATTCTCTATGACTTCAAGGAGCTTATTACAGTAGAAGGAGAAACACATACAGTATGACAAGTGATGGGATAAAAGTATACAGGAAATCCTTTCGAAACACCATAAAGTAGTATCTACCTCCAAATTAGGAGCCATCACATATGCAACTGAAGTACAAGTAAGAGCCAGATCAGAAAATTCCAGGAGGAAAATAATCATGCAGCTGTAACAGTATATGCAAAGGCATGAAGTCAGAAGAAATGTGATGTATTCAAAGAACGGAAAATACTCTGATATGGCTGAAAACAAAGCTCTGGGAAAATAAAGGGTCACAGTTGCTTTATACAATTTAGATTTCATTCTAAAGGCAACAGAGAACCAGAACCATTGAAGGATTTTTACTTGAGGATATGTTCAGATTTTCATTTTAAAATAATCCTTCCAGTAATAATATTTAGGCTGAATTAGAAAGGGGTGAATTTGAATGCAAGATAACCAGTTAGCAGGCATTCACCAACAAGGAATATAAGTGGAAAAAAAGTATAGGAATGGAGGAAAGAAAAGATAATATATTAAATGTATATAAAAATGTATTTACAATATATGATATATAATACGTTTAAATTTTGGACATCTTGAGCTTGAACACCTCATTAAGTAACTGGATAAAATCTTGAATTGAAGAGAAATATATGGGGTAGAAATAAAGATATGGGAATCATCCAATTGTTAGATTAAAGGCAGTTATTGACTCCGTGGGTGTATATGATTTTACTCTATAGAGTATACAGAGGGTGTAGGGGAAAGAAAGAAAAATGAGAAGGAGAGAAAAGGAAGAGCAAGTTATGTTCTGGGCAATATCAACATTTACTCTGACAGGAACTGGGAAGAGTCCAGACATGTAGGAGAAAAATTGGGAGAAAAAAAAAGAAAATTAAGATTTACAGGAAAAAAGAACAGTTGAAGTTAAAAGGTCTGAAAAATGTCAGTTGGATAAGTGATCATAATAACAGTGTTTGTGCAAGTGAAAGGCAGAAATAGATTACTGAGAAGTGAAAAGTCAAGTTAATAAAAAATAGTATATACAAACCTCTCCTTAGAAATGTTTGACTTCTGACTCACTTGTATACTTAACCTTTCATATCATTCATTTCTCCAACAAGTGTTTATTGAGTGCCACTTAATATCAAGAGAGACAATGTGCTTATGTCCCAATGGAGAAGCCAGGCAATAAACAACTTAAAGATCAAATGTGCAAGATAATTTCCTACAGTGATAACTGCTATGAAGAGGCGAAAGTCTACATTAGATTAATCAGAGAAATCCACTGTAAGGAAGTGATACTTAAGCTGAACCCTGAATGATAAGAAGGAATTGTCCTGTGAGCTCTAGGGGAAAATCATTCCACGAAGAGGGAACAGCAAGTACTAAGGACAGATTAGCAAGCACATAATTAAAACATCCACAGTAATAACTATACTGATACTTACATCCACCCAACAACTGCTAATAAAACCATGCCTTCACTGAGTCTGCTGGCAGGGCTGTTGAGCTGGTCACAAGGAGGCAAATAAGCTGGCTCATATTGAAATAAGAGAGGAAGGAATCATAGAAAAAGAAAAGACCATGGAAACCTCCCCTCCTCTACAATTAACAATTTTAAACTGTTGGGAGTATTTCATGTTCATTGAATGAACAAAAATGTTAATAATAGATTGCCCTAAATCTTGAATTTTAGCTGCATTTTGAAGATCCTTGAAGCAATAAAAATGCCTGTGCTTTTTAAAGGTAGTTTTGTTTTGTTTTTTTAAAAGGCGGGGGTTGCCTTTCAGGCCAGATTTCTTTGATTTCCTGTTTCAGAAGCTTCACCTAGCTCAACGTGGGGGAAAAAAAAAAAAAAGCTCGCAAAAGGAATATTTGTACAGCATAGCTTTTATGTTAAGAGTTTGATTTTAGGCCGGACACGGCGGCTCACCCCTGTAATCCCAGCACTTGGGAGGCCGAGGCGGGTGGATCATGAGGTCAGGGAATCGAGACCATCCTGGCTAACATGGTGAAACCCCGTCTCTACTAAAAAATACAAAAAATTAGCTGGGCGTGGTGGCACGCACCTGTAGTCCCAGCTACTCGGGAGGCTGAGGCAGGGGAATGGCGTGAACCCGGGAGGCGGAGCTTGCAGTGAGCAGAGATCGCACCACTGCACTCCAGGCTGGGTGACAGAGCGAGACTCTGTCTCAAAAAAAAAAAAAAAAGTTTGATTTTATATGCTTAACATGTATTTTTTAAGGTATATATTAACATTTCTTTTTAATTATTTTCATGATTAACTGGAATTTTTGTGGCATCTGATACTTAATGGAAATAGAACACCAGTTAACAAAACTAGCTCCAGGAAACATTCGACTCCCTCGCTTCTGTCCAAAAATGGATGTAGTTAGTAAGCAGGTCAGCGCACCTAAAATCTTTCAGAAACTTAGCATGAGGAAAAGAAGAAAGACAGGACTGTCGCTGGATGGGGTATTGCTTTGAAAGAAGGTTACCATTGCTGCTGCTGTTGTTGCCAGCATCGTCATGTCGTTTGGATCAAACTTTAACAGGTTAATATGCTGAAAAGGAAAAATGAGTAGAAAAAAATGAAAAGTTGACAGTAAAGGCAAAATACAACTTCCTATAAAGGAAGGTCCTCAGGGGACAGAAGAAAATGGGATTCAGAATACAGGATTATTCTGGGCACAAGAGAAAACTAAGTTTAAGGATAGCATACTTTTTGTGACTCTGGGATCTCAAAATAGATGCTGAAACCCAGCTATCCAAACCAGATGAAATGCTTCATACAATCACTATGGATTCCACTGAAGAAGAAAACTGAGGGTTTTTTTAATTGCTTTATAATTTGAAAGTTGCTGATAATTAGAGCTATTTAACTCAGCACAACATTCTTCTAAATGGCATCATTGTGTCACTGTACTATTTTGGTTAAACTCCCACTGGTTTAATTTCAGAAACATCCTTTGAATAAAATGCCAAGTTAAAAAGAAGTAATATCTCATTATTTCTTTAAAATAATTCAATTAATTTCAAAAGGATGTTTCCTGGGAAAGACTTGTAAGGTTTCTTTTGTAGGCCTGACCATAACACAAGAGTACATTATAGAAAATAGCAGCAGCTACCTACCAGTCAGTTTTTAAGAGCACCTTTCTTTACACAATAAATATGTTCCTGAGGAGCTTTTTAAATTTTGAATGTGTATTGTGGAGGCTATTTGGACCTGCAAAAACCTGATGCTGCCATTTACTATTTGTGTGTTCTAGAACAAGCTACTAAATAGGTTACCCTCTCGAAATTTTCTAGGGATTAAATATTTTCCATTCTATTTGGCCTAATTGGGCTGCCTCAGAAAGACAGACTAACCCATCAAGAATTAAGAATTACTTCTTGAACTGAGAATTACTTCTTCTATGAAATGTAATATTAACACCTGTTGTGGGGCACCCACCTGTTGTCAAACTTCAAAGATGGATAAAGCACAGGATAGTTTGATTCCTTCACTGGCTCAGGGCACCAAAGAGTTGTGTTGCCAGATTTAGCAAATAAAACATTCCCAGTTAAATTTCACTTTCAAAAAGAATAAATATTTTTATTAGCATAAGTGTGCCCCATGCAATATTTGAGACATAATTCTACTAGAAAATTATTCATCATTGATATGAAATTCAAATTTAACTGGGCATTCTGTATTATTTTATCTGGCAACCCTAACCAAAGCAACAGCTTGTCTCCCACCTGGCTATGGCAGAAGTGGAATACAAAAGTCAAAGTACATGATAAAGTGCTGTACCCACACACACCGCCATCTAAACCTCTGTATACTTCCAAAATTACAATGTTTCCTGACTGAGGCCTGCTTCCCCTGCTCTCCTCCATGTGATCAAGCTCCCTGACACCCTCTCTCCACTGACTTCTACCCACACTCTGGACCTAAGACAAAATTTCTGATGCCCCTACACACTATCCCAGAACTAAAAAGACTCCAAGGTTACAACATGGCAGAAACATTCTCTCCGTTTCCCTAAGACTCCTAGAAGCATTTTTTAGAGTCATAGGTCCATACAGGGCCTGAGATTCACTGGCCATCTCAGATCTCCCAAATTTCATTGCAGTAAATTCTATCATGTCTCCTACCCTGGAGGAATGGGCGGGTAGTGGCAGACAGTAGTGGTAGACCAGCACAAAAACAAACCATGTCTAAGTTTATTCTATTCCTATCCAACTCTCCTCTTCTCCCCAAGTTGGAGGGTATTTGCTCAGGAGGCACAGAAGAGGTGACATGGAAGAGGCAGTATAACAACTTGGTTATGCCTATTGTCTCTCATTCCAAAATATCAAGAATTTGCCATTTTTTATTACTTAGGCCTGATTTGAAACTTACATCCTGTGTGAGTGGCCCAATAGGGGAGAAAATTGATATTCCCATTATATGGGAATTATAAGGGGAAAATAATATTCCCATTATATGATTATTGTAAGAATTAAGTAAATCAAAGACCTAACCTGTATAGTAGGCACTTCCACAGCTTCAGAGATGGAAAATCTGTATTACTAAATAATGTCCAGTAGGCACTATCTCCTAACATTCCAACCTCTCTGTCAATAATTCATAAATGAATATTCACATGCTCTAAAAGTTCCTGTTATTATGTGAATAATCATCACATATTTTCTGTGAAAGTGAAATGCTGTGTAGTATATTTCTTATATCGAGCACCCTAGTAGAAAGTATTTACATAATGCGGGAAGAGTCTACCTTCTTTCCATAAATTGACTTTCTTTATAATTGTATTATTTTTTACAACCCTTCTAAAACAAAATGATATCCATGCATAAAGAACACAGCTTTCATCTTGCGGTGTGACAGACTCCTATGTGCCTTTTTATTTTTAATAGACTGGCCTCACACACTGGTGGGGGTTGTATTCATGAATATATGGCTTATGTTTACGGTTAGGAGAAAGATAGGTTTAAAAATAATAATAAAGGACTTTCTGCCTTTACTGAAGCCACGTTCCCAGCCTTTCATAATTTACTACACTATCTCATTATTTTTTAATGCACTTGCCTTTTTAAAAAAAATCCAAACCTTCCAAATTGTTGCATGATAATTTTTCTTCCTTTTCAACAGGAGGTTCTCACCCCTCTGTTGTCTACTCCAGCACTGGCCCAAGAGAACCTCTTGTACAACCCAGTTTTAAAGAATGATTAAGAAGGATTTCATATAGGTAACTGAATATGAAATTAGTTATAATTTTGAGAGCATGGTTATCTCATATGAATAAAATTTTAATTGCTTATAACATTAAATAATGAAATAAATTTGTAGCGCTGTCCTAATTCCATCAATTTTGGAATACAGTTCAAAATGAGATGTAGCAAGTAAGAAATACAAATTGTATTTCTCATTAATAATCATAAGCCATATATAATATCTGTTGTCTATAATTCCAATGATAAACACTTACTGTTTTCAGAGAAGTTCTAGGTAATACACACTCAACCTTCTATAAGCTATCTTAACTTTTTTATTTTTCTGGCATAAACTATGTGTCTATCTTTTTTTAAAAAAATTACACTTTAAGTTCTGGGATATATGTGCAGAAAGTGCAGGTTTGTTAAATAGGTATACACGTGCCATGGTGGTTTGCTGCACCCTTCAACCCGTCATCTACATTAGGTATTTCTCCTAATGCTATCCCTCCCCTAGGCCCCCACCCACTGACAGGCCCTGGTGTGTGATGTTCCCCTCCCTGTGCCCATGTATTCTCATTGTTCAATTCCTACTTAGGAGTGACAACATGCAGTGTTTGGTTTTCTATCCCTGTAATAGTTTGCTGAGAATAATGGTTTCCAGCTTCATCCATGTCCCTCCAAAGGACGTGAACTCATCCTTTTTTATGGCTGCATAGTGTTCCATGGTATATATGTGCCACATTTTCTTTATCCAGTCTATCATTGATAGGCATTTGGGTTAATTACCAGTCTTTGCTATTGTGAACAGTGCTCCCATAAACATATGTGTGCATGTGTCTTTATAGTAGAATGATTTATAATCCTTTGGGTATATACCTAGTAATGGGATTGCTGGGTCCAATGGTATTTCTGGTTCTACATCCTTGAGGAATTGCCACACTGTCTTCCACAATGGTTGAACTAGTTTACATACCCATCAACAGTGTAAAAGCCTTCCTATTTCTCCACGTCCTCTCCAGCATCTGTTGTTTCCTAACTTTTTAAAGATAGCCATTCTAACTGGCGTGAGATGGTATCTCATTGTGGTTTTGATTTGCACTTCTCTAATGACCACTGATGATGAGCTTTTTTGAATGTGTTTCTTGGCCGCATAAATGTCTTCTTTTGAGAAATATCTGTTCATATCCTTCACCCACGTTTTGATGGGGTTGTTTGTTTGTTTCTTGTAAATTTGTTTAAGTTCCTTATAGATTCTGGATGTTGGCCCTTTGTCAGATGGATAGGTTGCAAAAATCTTCTCCCATTCAGTGGGTTGCCTGTTCACTCTGATAATAGTTTCTTTTGCTGTGCAGAAGCTCTTTAGTTCAAATTAGATCCCATTTGTCAATTTTGGCTTTTGTTGCCATTGCTTTGGGTGTTTCAGTCACAAAGTCCTTGCCCATGCCTATGTCCTGAATGGTATTGCCTAGGTTTTCTTCTAGGGTTTCTATGGTTTTAGGTCTAACACTTAAGTCTTTAATCCATCTTGAATTAATTTTTGTATAAGGTGTAAGGAAGGGGTCCAGTTTCAGTTTTATGCATATGGCTAGCCAGTTTTCCCAACACCATTTATTAAATATAAAATCTTTTCCCCATTGCTTGTTTTTGTCAGGTTTGTCAAGATCAGATGGTTGTAGATGTGTGGTGTTATTTCTAAGGCCTCTGTTCTGTTCCATTGGTCTATATATCTGTTTTGGTACCAGTACCATGCTGTTTTGGTTACTGCAGCCTTGTAGTATAGTTTGAAGTCAGGTAGTGTGGTGCTTCCAGCTTTGTTCTTTTTGCTTAGAATTGTCTTGGCTATGCAAGCTCTTTTTTGGTTCTGTATGAAATTTAAAGTCGTTTTTTCTAATTCTGTGAGGAAAGTCAGTGGTAGCTTGATGGGGATGGCATTGAATCTATAAATTACTTTGGGCATAATGGCCATTTTCATGATATTGATTTCTCCTATCCAAGAGCACGAAATGTTTTTCCATTTGTTTGTGTCCTCTCTTATTTCCTTGAGCAGTGGTTTGTAGCTCTCCTTGAAGAGGTCCTTCACATCCCTTGTAAGTTTTATTCCTAGGTATTTTATTCACTTTGTAGAAATTGTGAATGGGAGTTCACTCATGATTTGGGTCTCTGTTTGCCTATTATTGGCATATAGGAATGCTTGTGATTTTTGCGCATTGATTTTGTATCCTGAGACTTTGCTGAAGTTGCTTATCAGCTTAAGGAGATTTTGACCTGAGACAATGGGGTTTTCTAAATATACAATCATGTCATCTGCAAACAGAGACAATTTGACTTCCTCTCTTCCTATTTGAATATGCTTTATTTCTTTCTCTTGCCTGATTGCCCTGGCCAGAACTTCCAATACTCTGTTGAATAGGAGTGGTGAGAGAGGGCATCCTTGTCTTGTGCCAGTTTTCAAAGGGAATGCTTCCGGTTTTTGTCCATTCAGTGTGATGTTGGCTGTGGGTTTGTCATAAATAGCTCTTACTATTTTGAGATACGTTCCATCAATACCTAGTTTATTGAGAGTTATTAGCATGAAGCGGTGTTGAATTTTGTTGAAGGCCTTTTCTGCATCTATTGAGATATTCATGGGTTTTGTCGTTGGTTCTGTTTAGGTGATGAATTACGTTTATTGATTTGCATATGTTGAACCAGCCTTGCATCCCAGGTATGAAGCCGACTTGATCATGGTGGATAAGCTTTTTGATGTGCTGCTGGATTCGGTTTGCCAGTCTTTTATTGAGGATTTTTGCATTGATATTCATCAGGGATATTGGCCCCAAATTTTCTTTTTTGTTGTGTCTCTGCCAGGTTTTGGTATCAGGATGATGTTGGCCTCATAAAATGAGTTAGGGAGGAGTCCCTCATTTTCTATTGTTTGGAATAGTTTCAGAAGGAATGGTACCACCTCCTCTTTGGACCTCTGGTAGAATTCAGCTGTGAATCCGTCTGGTCCTGGGCTTTTTTTGGTTGGTAGGCTATTAATTACTGTCTCAATTTCAGAACTTGTTATTGGTGTATTCAGGGATTCGACTTCTTCCTGGTTTAGTCTTGGGAGGGCGTATGTGTTGAGGAATTTATCCATTTCTTCGAGATTTTCTAGTTTATTTGTGTAGAGGGGTTTATAGTATTCTCTGATGGTAGTTTGTATTTCTGTGGGATCGGTGGTGATATCCCTTTATCATTTTTTATTGTGTCTATTTGATTCTTCTCTCTTTTCTTCTTTATTAGTCTGGCTAGAAGTCTATCTATTTTGTTAATCTTTTCAAAAAACCAACTCCTGGATTCATTGATTTTTGGAAGGGTTTTTCATATCTCTATCTCCTTCAGTTCCGCTCTGATCTTAGTTATTTCTTGTCTTCTGCTAGCTTTTGAGTTTGTTTGCTCTTGCTTCTCTAGTTCTTTTAATTGTGACGTTAGGGTGTCAATTTTAGATCTTTCCCACTTTCTCCTGTGGGCATTTAGTGCTATAAATTTCCCTGTACACACCACTTTAGCTGTGTCCCAGGGATTCTTGTATGTTGTGTCTTTGTTCTCATTGGTTTCAAAGAATTTATTTATTTCTGCCTTACTTTGGTTATTTACCCAGTAGTCATTCAGGAGCAGGTTTTTCAGTTTCCTCGTAGTTGTGCAGTTGAGTGAATCTCTTAAACCTGAGTTCTAATTTGATTGCACTATAGTCTGAGAGACTGTTTGTTAAGATTTCTGTTCTCTTGCATTTGCTAAGGAGTGTTTTACTTCCAATTATGTGGTCAATTTTAGAATAAGTGTGATGTGATGCTGAGAAGAATGTACATTCTGTTGATTTCGGGTGGAGAGTTCTGTAGATGTCTATTAGGTCTGTTTGTTCCAGAGCTGAGCTCAAGTCCTGAACATCCTTGTTAATTTTCTGTCTTGTTGATCTAATATTGACAGTGGGGTGTTAAAGTCTCCCACTATTATTGTGTGGGAGTCTAAGTCTCTTTGTAGGGCTCTAAGAACTTGTTTTATGAATCTGGGTGCTCCCGTATTGGGTGCATATATACTTAGGATACTTAGCTCTTCTTGTCACGTTGATTGCTTTACCATTATGTAATACCTTTATTTGTCTTTTTTTATCTTTGTTGGTTTAAAGTCGGTTTTATCAGAGACTAGGATTGCAAACCCTGCTTTTTTTTGCTTTCCATTTGCTTGGTAAATATTCCTCCATCCTTGAGGAATGTGTGCCTCTGCACGTGCGATGGGTCTCCTGAATACAGCACACTATGTGTGCCTCTGCACGTGAGATGGGTCTCCTGAATACAGCACACTGATGGGTCTTGACTCTTTATCCAATTTGCCAGTCTGTGTCTTTTAATTGGGGTATTTAGACCATTTACACTTAAGGTTAATATTGTTATGTGTCAATTTGATCCTGTCATTATGATGCTAGCTGGTTATTTTGCCCATTAGTTGATGCAGTTTCTTCATAGTGCCGATGGTCTTTACAATTTGGTATGTTTTTGCAGTGGCTGGTACCAGTTTTTCCTTTCCATATTAGTGCTTCCTTCAGAAGCTCTTGTAAGGCAGGCCTGGTGGTGACAAAATCTCTCAGCATTTTTTGTCTCTAAAGGATTTTATTTCTCCTTCACTGATGAAGTTTAATTTGGCTGGATATGAAATTCTGGGTTGAAAATTCTTTTCTTTAATAATGTTGAATATTGGCCCCCACTCTCTTCTGGCTTGTAGGGTTTCTGCAGAGAGATCCACTGTTAGTCTGATGGGCTTCCCTTTGCGGGTAACCCGACCTTTCTCTCTGTCTGCCCTTAACATTTTTTCCTTCATTTCAACCACGATGAATCTGATGATTATGTGTCTTGGGGTTGCTTTTCTCGAGAAGTATCTTTGTGGTGTTCTCTGTATATCCTGAATTTGAATGTTGGCCTGTCTTGCTAGGTTGGGGAAGTTCTCCTGGTTAGTATCCTGAAGAGTGTTTTCCAACTTGGTTTCATTCTCCCCATCACTTTCAGATATATCAGTCAAACGTAGGTTTGGTCTTTTCACATAGTCCCATATTTCTTGGAGGCTTTGTTCATTCCTTTTCATTCTTTTTTCTCTAATCTTGTCTTCATGCTTTATTTCATTAAGTTGATCTTCAATCTCTGATATCTTTTCTTCCGCTTGATCGATTCAGCTATTGATCCTTGTGTATGCTTCAGGAAGTTTTCATGCTGTGTTTTTCAGCTCCATCAGGTCATTTATGTTCTCCTCTAAACTGGTTATTCTAGTTAGCAATTCCTCTAACCTTTTTTCAAGGTTCTTAGCTTCCTTGCATTGGGTTAGAGCATGCTCCTTGCCTCAGAGGAGTTTGTTACTCTCCACCTTCTGAAGCCTACTTCTGTCAATTTGTCAAACTTATTCTCCGTCCAGTTTTGTTCCCTTGCTGGTGAAGAGTTGTGATCCTTTGAAGGAAAGAGGCATTCTGAGTTCTGGAATTTTCAGCCTTTTTGTGCTGGTTTTTTCCTCATCTTCATGGATTTATATACCTTTATTGGTCTTTGATGCTGGTGACCTTCGGATGGGGTTTTTGTGTGGATGTCCTTTTTGTTGATGTTGATGCTATTCCTTTCTGTTTGTTAGTTTTCCTTCTAATGGTCAGGCCCCTCTCCTGCAGTGCTTCTGGTGTTTGCTGGGGGTCCACTCCAGACCCTGTTTGCCTGGGAATCACCAGCGGAGGCTGCAGAACAGCAAAGACTGCTCCTGTTCCTTCCTCTGGAAGCTTCATCCCAGAGGGGCACCTGCCAGATGCCAGTCAGAGCTCTTCTGTATGAGGTGTCTGTCAACTCCTGCTGGGAAGTGTCTCCCAGTCAGGAGGCATGGGGGTCAGGGACCCACTAGAGGAGGCAGTCTTACCCTTAGCAGAGCTCGAGCGCTGTGCTGGGAGAGCTGCTGCTCTCTTCAGAGCTGGCAGATGGAATGTTTCAGTCTGCTGAATCTGTGCCCACAGCCACCCCTTCCCCCAGGTGCTCTGTCCCAGGGAGATGGGTATTTTATCTATAAGCCCCTGACTGGGGCTGCTGCCTTTCTTTCAGAGATGCCTGCCCAGAGAGGAGGAATCTAGAGAGGCAGTCTGGCTACAGCGGCTTTGCTGAGCTGTGGTGGGCTCCACCCAGTTCAAAATTCCCACAGCTTTGTTTACATTGTGAGGGGAAAACTGCCTACTCAAACCTCAGTAATGGCAGACATCCCTCCCCACACCAAGCTCAAGCATCCCAGTTTGACTTCAGACTGCTGTGCTGGCAGTGAGAATTTCAAGACAGTGGATCTTAGCTTGTTGGGCTCTGTTGGGGTGGGATCCGCTGAGCTACACCACTTGGCTCCCTGGCTTCAGCCCCCTTTCCAGGGGAGCAAACAGTTCTGACTCGCTGGCATTCCAGTTGTCACTGGGGTATGAAACAAAATTCCTGCAGCTAGCTCAGTGTCTGCCCAAACGGCCTCCCAGTTTTGTGCTTGAAACCCACGGCCTTGGTAGCATAGGCACTCAAGGGAATCTCCTGGTCTGCAAGTTGCAAAGACCATGGGAAAAGCATAGTGTCTGGGCCGGAATGCACCGTTCCTCACAGCACAGTCCCTCACGGCTTCCCTTGGTTAGGGAAGGTAGTTTCCCAATCCCTTGCACTTCCCGGGTGAAGCAATGCCCCACCCTGCTTTGGCTCACCCTCTGTGGGCTGCACTCACTGTCTAACCAGTCCCAATGAGATGAGCCAGGTACCTCAGTTGGAAATGCAGAAATTACCCACCTTCTGCATTGATCTTGCTGGGAGCTGCAGACCACAGCTGTTCCTATTCGGCCCTCTTGCCCCTATATGTCTATCTTAACTATTTTTTTTTATTATTCTGGTGTGTGATTTCTCTCTTTCGTTTAATGGTTTTCACAATAAATAAGCCTTAATGCCAGATATCTTAAAAATAATATTTGTAGTGTCATTCACTTAATCTAAAAATACTCACAATTGTTCTTCAGTGTTGCCAAGTTTTTCAGTCTACTATAAGAGCTTGATCTTAGAGTGTGTTCACTGACCTCATATTACATATAGAATGTATACAAAAAAGACCTTTAAAATGTAGGGTGATAACATCTATTCCATATATGCCAACATTCTTAGATATTCTCAACTTTAGTCTTCTCTCAAATTGATCCCCTACTGACATTAAAAAATTACTAACTTTTTATAGCAGCACTGTGCACAGCTCTTATATCAAGAGTAAGAAATAAACTTTTCCAAAACCGCTTAAAAACAGAGTAACATTCAGCCAGGCGCGGTGGCTCATGCCTGTAATCCCAGCACTTTGGGAGGCCAAGGCGGGCGGATCACAAGGTCAGGAGATCAAGACCATCCTGGCTAACATGGTGAAACCCCGTCTCTACTAAAAATACAAAAAATCAGCTGGGCATGGTGGTGGGTGCCTGTAGTCCCAGCTACTTGGGAGGCTGAGGCAGGAGAATGGTGTGAACCCAGAAGGTGGAGCTTGCAGTGAGCCGAGATCACGCCACTGCACTCCAGCCTGGGCAACAGAGCAAGACTCCGTCTCAAAAAAAAAAAAACAGGTCGGTGCCAAGGCTCATGCCTGTAATCCCAGAACTTGAGGAGGCTGAGGCGGGTGGATCACAAGGTCAGGAAATCGAGACCATCCTGGCTAACACGGTGAAACCCCATCTCTACTAAAAATACAAAAAAATTGGCCGGGCGTGATGGCAGGCGCCTGTAGTCCCAGCTACTCCGGAGGCTAAGGCAGGAGAATGGCAAGAACCACTGCACTGAAATCGCACCACTGCACTCCAGCCTGGGCAACAGAGTGAGACTCCATCTCAAAAAAAAAAAAAAAAAAAAAAAAACAGAGTAACATTCATTAGAAGAACATAGAAGAAAGAAAAAAAAATAGAGTAACAAAGATGTCAAGACATTCTCTATATCCACTAGGCCAGGTGTTTGGAGTAGAAGAAAAATGCATAGTGACTGATACAAGTTACTCATGAGCACCAACCACATGTTCACAAGTGGTACCTTACTTATCACACATTGGTTAATACCAAGTCTAACTTAAGATTCCTTCCCTGGATAAACATCCGATCATTTTTTTATGGATCCAATTCTAGCCCACTATTTTAGCATAACAAAGGTCAAACATGTTAGATATCTTAAACCCAGAGTTATTTACTCTCTGTTTTTAAGACAAAAATGTTTCCTGATAGATTTCAAAGAGATTCCAAAAAGACAGCTTCCTCTAAATTTAAAATAAAGTTCAGGTACGCTTAATTTATTTGCTTCTGTTTCATCTTTGGATTTAATGTTTTCCATCCCAGGTAAAATAAATTCCCCCAGTTGTTAAATGAATTTGATCTTAACTATGCCCAATCTTAATATATGGTATAGATGTATGTTTATATTAGAATGGGCAAAAGGCCAACAAAAACTTCCTGTCTGATTTTTTTCTTAACAAATTGTACACTGCTGCCTACCAAAACTTCTGTTTATTCACATAATGCTGTATCATATTCCCAGGACTTGCTGCTCTGACCCAAGGTGAGAAGAAATGCCTTTGTCCTACAAACATGAGCATTTAGCTTAAGTTCAAACACTGACAAAGAAGACTGAAATTGGATACTTACCAGAATAATCTCCCATATTTAGTTTCTCTAAATTCACAGATGATCATTATCAAACTTTCAAAAATATCATAACTATTCTCAATGACTTTAACATTAAAGTTGGGAAAATGACTAAAATTCAGTTACCTTTAATTTTAAAAATGCAAATTTAACATGAAGACATAAATGTGTCACTATCAGTAATGACACATGTGGTGGACCATTACATTCTGCACCAAAAGTACCAAGAAGGGCTTCAGTAACTCCCAATGTTTGGATGGGGAGCTTAGAACAATAGAGATAAATACCAACATCAAAATGAGAGGGAGGAAACATTATAATTTCTTCATTAAGCAAACAGTAAGGTTAAAACAAAATATGTAACTTAAACTTCAAAGCACAAAAATAATTCTTCAAAATATTCTAAACATTTTCATCCAATAAGTACTCCGTATCAACAATCAGCACCTCACTTGGAAAATCAGTCACAAGTCAGCTGTTAATGCTGTGTGGATGCAACCACAGATCATTACCTACTTAATTGTGTATACATCTAATAGGCTCATACAGCTCTTTTAGAACAAAGGTTTTATAATGGAGTAGATGATAAATACTGAACTGTAGTGCTACCAGGTGCTATACTAATATGAGCAGAATTTATATAGAGAATTTTAGCCTGTATTAATGCTGTAACTAAAATAGAAAAAAATGATTTAAAATCAGGTTTGTAATAATACAGTTAAAAAAGAAATGCAATATTACAAGTTCATATTGTGGCATCTTGCTAAAATCCCATAAGTGATACTAAAAATGTTAAGCTAAATATAGTTTATCTGGTCAATGAATGCAACTGTCAGTTGACCACAGAAGAGAGAAAAGCAATTTACATTGTAAAAATTTAAAGACATCCAATCTAAAATTTAATGTTGACTCTGAAGAATATCAATTAATTTATATTTTCTGTCATTTGAAACTAGAGTGTATGAAAGTAAACCTGTACATACACATACTCTTCTAAATCATTGAACAAAATATGGAGCAAACCAGCAACACTACTCCATCTTCTGGTGACATTTTCCCTCACCTAGATGTATTTCAGTGTAAGTGTTTCTACTGCTGTCACATTTGGAGCATGAGATAGGGTATAAAAGATGATTAGCTTCTTCCTAAATAGCAAACATGAAATTGTCCAAACATGATAGTTTAGAGAGCAAAAATAAGTACGCCTTAAAAAAAATAACAGAACAAACTAAACTTCTCATTACATATTAAATTAGCCCTCAGGTAATCAGCCCCTAACAAACAGCTTAACATCTACAAAAGGCTGCATGACTGGTGTGTGCCTGTTTAAAGCTCTGCTGTAAGCTGAACTGTTGGTCTCAGCTAGGCATCCTCAACATTTCCTTTGAATTTTAGCCAACAGTGCCCTAGGCATGCTCCTAGCACTACTATTAACAAAACAGCTGTAGTTGAAGCAGTAGTCTTTTTGCCTGACAAGGACACCGTAACAGTCATTGTGATGTCTTCTGATTGTGAACACAGGTAGAGATGTACAGCTTGGATACAAAAATTTAATATGAGTGTATTTGAGATTATAATTTTTACTAGTTGTATAGTAAATATGTGACTAAGCTTGCTTTTCTGAAACAAATGCTGCTGAGTCAATACCAGACAGTCCCATGATCAGTTTGGCCAAGTCACAGTGGACAACCCAGAGCTAAAGTATGACATTTTTACTCTTCTTCAGCTCCCTGTACCTTAGTCTCAGCTGTTCCCATATTCAGTCTCTTTAGCTAGACTAACAAAAAAAGAATGGAGACTCAAATAAAACCAGAAATAAAAGAGGAAACATTAGAAGTGATACCACAGAAATACAAAGAATTAAAAAAGACTCCTGTGAACTATTATATGGCAAGAAATTGGATAACTTAGAAGAAATGGATAAATTCCTAGACACATAAAAACTACCAAGATAAAATCATGAAGAAATGGAAAATCTGAATAGACCAATAATGAGTAAGAAAATTAAATCAAGGCCGGGTGCAGTGGCTCACGCCTGTAATCCCAGCACTTTGGGAGGCCGAGGCAGGTGGATCACGACGTCAGCAGTTCAAGACTAGCCTGGCCAACATGGTGAAGCCCAGTCTCTACTAAAAATACAAAAATTAGCTAGGCATGGTGGCACACGCCTGTAATCCCAGCTACTCAGGAGGCTGAGGCAGGAGAATTGCTTGAACCAGGACCCAGGAGGCAGAGGTTTCAGTGAACTGAGATCATGTCACTGCACTTCCAGCCTGGGCTACAAAGGGAAACTCCATCTCAAAAAAAAAAGGAAAGAAACAAAGAAAAAAAAAAAGAAAATTAAATCAATAATTAAAAAGTCTCATCAAAGGAAAGCCCAGGACCTGATGACTTCACTGCTGAATTCAACTAAAATTTAAAGAACTAATACCAATTCTCAAACTCCTCCAAAAAACTGAAGAGGAAGGAATACTACAAACTCATTTTATGAGGCCAACATTACCTGACACCAAAGCCAGACAAGGAGGCTACAAGAAAAGAAAATTACAGGCCAATATTCCTGATGCACAAACATGCAAAACTCCTCAACAAAATACTAACAAGCTTTAAAAGACCATTCACCATGATCAAGTGGTACACCACATTAACAGAATGGAGAACAAAAATCATATAAACAACTCAATAGATGCAGAGAAAGAATTTAACAAAATTCAACATGCTTTCATGATAAAAACCTCTCAACAAATTAGATATAGAAGGAATGTATTTCCTTTTTTTGTTGTTTGTTTGTTTGTTTGTGATGGAGTCTTGCTCTATCACCCAGGCTGGAGTACAGTGGCGCAATTGTAGCTCATTACAACCTCCACCTCCCAGGTTCAAGCAGTTCTCCTTCCTCATACTCCCGAATAGCTGGGATTACAGGCCCACACCACCACACCTGCTAATTTTTGTATTTTATCAGAAACAGGGTTTTGCCATGTTGGCCAGGCTGGTCTCAGACTCCTGACCTCAAGTGATCCACCCACCTCAGCCTCCCAAAGTGCTGGGATTACAGGTGTGAGCCACCGTGCCTAGCAGAAGGAATGTATTTCAACACAATAAAGGCCGTATTTCACAAGCCCATAGTTAGTGTTATGCTCAATAGTGAAAAGTTGCCAAAAATACACAATGTGGAAAAAATAGTCTCTTCAATAAGTGGGGTTGGGAAAATTGAATATCCACATACCAAAAAACAAATTTATTTTTATCCTACATCACAAACAAAATTTAACTCAAAATGGATTAAAGCTGTAAACATAAGCCCTGAAACCATAAAACTACTATAAGAAAACAAAGGGGAAATGCTCTATGACATTAGTTTTCACAATTTTTTTAAATATGATGCCATAAGTACCAGCAACAAAGGCAAAAATAAATAAGTGAAATTATATCAAACTAAAAAGTTTCTGCACAGAAATGGAAATAATCAACAAAATGAAATAGTAACCTATGGAATGAAATAAAATGTTTGCAGACCATACATCCAATAAGAGGTTAGTATTGAAAATCTATAAGGAAGTCATTTAACTCAAAAGCAAAAAAGAAAAGAAAAGAAATGACCCACAAATAACCTAATTAAAAATGAGCAAAATACCTAAATAGACATTTTTTTTTTTTTGAGACCTAAGTCTCGCTCTTGTACCCCAGGCTGGAGTGCAATGGCATGATCTCAGCTCACTGCAACCTCCGCCTCCTGGGTTCAAGCAATTCTCTTGCCTCAGCCTCCCGTATAGCAGGGATTATAGGCACCTGCCACCACGCCTGCTAATTTTTGTATTTTTAGTAGAGACGGGGTTTCACCATGTTGGCCAGGCTGGTCTTGAACTCTTGACCTCAGGTGATCTGCCTGCCTCAGCCTCCCAAAGTGCTGAGATTACAGGTGTGAGCCACTGTGCCCGAACTAAATAGACATGTTTCTTTTTTTTTTTTTTAAATCCTTTAAGTTCTAGGGTACATGTGCACAATGTGCAGGTTTGTTACATAGGTATACATGTGCCATGTTGGTTTGCTGCACCCATCAACTCGTTATTTACATTAGGTATTTCTCCTAATGCTATCCCTCCCCCAGCCCTCCACCCACCGACAGGCCTCGGTGTGTGATGTTCCCTGCCCTGTGTCCAAGTGTTCCCACTGTTCAATTCCCACCTATAAGTGAGAACATGTGGTGTTTGGTTTTCTGTCCTTGTGATAGTTTGCTGAGGATAATGGTTTCCAGCTTCATGCATGTCCCTGCAAAGGACATGAACTCATCCTTTTTTATGGCTGTATAGTATTCCATGGTGTATATATGCCACATTTTCTTAATCCAGTCTATCACTGATGAATATTTGGGTTGGTTCCAAGTCTTTGCTATTGTGAATAGTGCTGCAATAAACATACGTGTGCATGTGTCTTTATAGTAGCATGATTTATAATCCATTGGATATATACCCAGTAATGGGGTTGCTGGATCAAATGGTATTTCTGCTTCCAGACCCTTGAGGAATTGCCACACTGTCTTCCACAATGGTTGAAGTAATTTACACTCCCACCAACAGTGTAAAAGCATTCCTGTTTCTCCACATCCTCTCCAGCATCTGTTGTTTCCTGACTTTTTAATGACTGCCATTCTAACTGGCGTGAGATGGTATCTCATTGTGATTTTGATTTGCATTTCTGTGATGACCAGTGATGATGAGCATTTTTTCATGTGTCTGTTGGCTGCATAAATGTCTTCTTTTGAAAAGTGTCTGTTCATATCCTTTCCTGACTTTTTCATGGGGTTGCTTTTTCTTGTAAATTTGTTTAACTTCTTTGTAGATTCTGGATATTAGCCCTTTGTTAGATGGGTAGATTGCAAAAATTTTTTCCCATTCTGTAGGTTTCCTGTTCACTCTGATGGTAGTTTCTTTTGCTGTGCAGAAGCTCTTTAGTTTAATTAGATCCCATTTGTCTATCTTGGCTTTTGTTGCCATTGCTTTGGGTGTTTGGGTAATGAAGTCTTTGCCCATGCCTATGTCCTGAATGGTATTACCTAGGTTTTCTTCTAGTGTTTTTATGGTTTTAGGTCTAACATTTAAGTCTTTAATTCATCTTGAATTAATTTTTGTATAAGGTGTAAGGAAGGGATCCAGTTTCAGCTTTCTACATATGGCTAGCCAGTTTTCCCTGCACCATTTACTAAATAGGGAATCCTTTCTTCACTTCTTTTTTTTTTTTTGGTCAGGTTTGTCAAAGATCAGATGGTTGTAGATGTGTGGTGTTATTTCTGAGGCCTCTGTTCTGTTCCATCGGTCTATATATCTGTTTTGGTACCAGTACCATGCTCTTTTGGTTACTGCAGCCTTGTAGTATAGTTTGAAGTCAGGTAGCATGATGCTTCCAGTTTTGTTCTTTTTGCTTAGAATTGTCTTGGCACTACAAGCTCTTTTTTGGTTCTGTATGAAATGTAAAGTAGTTTTTTCCAATTCTGTGAGGAAAGTCATTGGTAGCTTGATGGGGATGGTATTGAATCTATAAATTACCTTGGGCAGTATGGCCATTTTCATGATATTGATTCTTCCTATCCATGAGCATGGAATGTTCTTCCATTTGTTTGTGTCCTCTTATTTCCTTGAGCAGTGGTTTGTAGTTCTCCTTGAAGAGGTCCTTCACATCCCTTGTAAGTTGGATCCCTAGGAATTTTATTCTCTTTGTAGTAATTGTGAATGGAAGTTCACTCATGATTTGGGTCTCTGTTTGTCTATTATTGGTGTATAGGAATGCTTGTGATTTTTGCACATTGATTTTGTATCCTGAGACTTTGCTGAAGTTTTTTATCAGCTTAAGGAGATTTGGGGCTGAGACAATGGGGTTTTCTAATAAACAATCATGTCATCTTCAAACAGGGAAAATTTGACTTCCTCTTTTCCTAATTGAATACCCTTTACTTCTTTCTCTTGCCTGATTGCCCTGGCCAGAACTTCCAACACTATGTTGAATAGGAGTGGTGAGAGAGGGCATCCCTGTCTTGTGCCAGTTTTCAAAAGGAATGAATGCTTCCAGTTTTTGCCCAGTCAGTATGATATTGGCTGTGGGTTTGTCATAAATAGCTGTTATTATTTTGAGATACATTCCATCAATACCTAGTTTATTGAGAGTTTTTAGCATGAAGGCTGTTGAATTTTGTTGAAGGCCTTTTCTGCATCTATTGAGATAATCATGTGGTTTTTGTAGTCGGTTCTGTTTATGTGATGGATTATGTTTATTGATTTGCATATGTTGAACCAGCCTTGCATCCCAGGGATGAAGCCTACTTGATTGTGGTGGCCAAGCTTTTTGATGCGCTGCTGGATTCGGTTCACCAGTATTTTATTGAGGATTTTCTCATCGATGTTTATCAGGGATATTGGTCTAAAATTCTCTTTTTTTGTTGTGTCTCTGCCAGGCTTTGGTATCAGGATGATGCTGGCCTCACAAAATGAGTTAGGGAGGATTCCCTCTTTTACTATTGATTGGAATAGTTTCAGAAGGAATGGTACCAGCTCCTCTTTGTACCTCTGGTAGAATTCGGCTGTGAATGTGTCTGATCCTGGACTTTTTTTGGTTGGTAGGCTATTAATTATTGCCTCAATTTCAGAGCCTGATATTGGTCTATTCAGAGATTCAACTTCTTCCTGGTTTAGTCTTGGGAGGGTGTATGTGTCCCGGAATTTATCCATTTCTTCTAGATTTTCTAGTTTATTTGCGTAGAGGTGTTTATAGTATTCTCTGATGGTAGTTTTTATTTCTGTGGGATCAGTGGTGATATCCCCTTTATCATCTTTTATTGCTTCTCTAAATAGAAATTTTTCAAAGAAAGCATACAAATGGCCAATAGATATATAAAAAGGTGCTCACATCACTAATCATCAGAGTAATGCAAATCAAAACAAAATAAGATATCACCTCACACTTGATAGGATAGCTACTACCAAAAAACAAAAGGTAACAAGTGTTGGTGAGTGTAATCAGAAATGGGAATGCTTGTAGAGAAATGGGAACCTTGGTGGGAATGTAAATTGGTACAGCCACTATGAACAGTAGTATGAAGGTTCCTAAAATAGATTTTAAAAAAATAGAACTATTATATGATCCAGCAATCCCACTTCTGAGTATATATCCAAAGGAAATGAAATCAGTATTTTGAAGAGGTATCTGCACTCTCATGTTCATTGCAGCATCATTCATGATAGTCAAGGTATAGAAACAACCTAAGTGCCTAGGATATACTTTAAAGGTTTAGACGACACGGGATTCTAGAAATTGTCAATAAATCAAAATTCCATTGCAGTAGAAAACTACAAAATGATGTACTTTCTGTATTGTTTGTGTATCCACGATAAAGTGGCTGAACCAGATGATGCTTATAAGTCTTTCCTTTGTCTACAGTGTTGTAATATTATTGCATTTTCTTCTTTAAAAAAAAAAAAGGGCCAGGAGCGGTGGCTCACACCTGTAATTCCAGCACTTTGGGAGGCCGAGGCAGGCAGATCACAAGGTCAAGAGATCGATACCATCCTGGCCAACATGGTGAAACTCCATCTCTACTAAAAATACAAAAATTAGCTAGGCATGATGGTACACACCTGTAGTCCCAGCTACTCGGGAAGCGGAGGCAGAAGAATTGCCTGAACCTGGGAGGCAGAGATTGCAGTGAGCCAAGATCGCGTCACTGACTCCAGCCTGGCAACAGAGCGAGAGTCCATCTCAAAAATAAATAAATAAATATTTAAAAATTTAACATTTTTAAAAAGGCACTACTGAATTATTTTCATTTACTGGCACCTCACCGCCTAATACAGTATATTCGCATGTATAGATAAATGTTAAAAGCATCTTTGTTGTTCCTGCAGTTTGATATGAAACCCAATTTCCTGGATTATTCCATAGTCCCAATGCAACAAGGTTCCTACAGACTCAAGAAAGTCCATACCCATTCTGGTACTCCTTTCATCCTGGTAGAAAATTCTGTTCTACTTCAGATTCCTAGGGCTCAATCTGAAAGAGCAGAACTCCCACCTGGAGGACAAGCATAATCAGAAAGAAGTGGACTTCACTGAAAAGTCAATTGTGCTGCATCCTCATTTCAGTCCTTTGTTGTACATTTCTGTGAACACTCAAAGAAGTTCACTCCTTTCTTCTTGAGTAGGAAAGTGGAAATGTAGAGTGGCTGGAGGCTTGCGTTTTAGAGAAGACTGCACCCACATCTTTTATTAAGGGGACTATGAGGGGCTCCTCTATTCCACATGTCCCTGAATACAGGACAGAATGTCACTACTCGACCACCTAGCAAGTGTCCAGCAAAGGAAATGCTCCTCAAGACACAGGAGGTAGCAGAAGTATGTTTTTCCCTGGAGAGAATGGGGCTCACTTCCACAAAGGCTGCCATCAGAGCCTTTCATTATAGCCATATATAAGCAAGGCCTCCCAAACCATGAACCCCAGTGAAATAAACTGAATGTCCTGGCTTTGTTTTAACATTAGAAGAGATTTCTGCAGCCAGTCCAATCTCAGCATCATGCAGCTTTTCAAACAGGAAAAGAATGCTTTTCATACTATAGGTCCTCTCTTGGTTTCAGGATACAAACCAGATACCAAGGATCAATAGAGGGCTCACCAAAGAACCAAAGGTTGTGAGAATATATCATTTCCTGTTATTGTCCCAACTCTTGTCATTAGCAAAGTATGTGGCCTTGTACAAGATATTTAATCTCCTTGCAACTCATTTTTTTCATCTTTAAAATAAAACAGTTGGGGCCAGGCACAGTAGTTCATGCCTCTAATCCTTGCACTTTGGGAGGCTGAGACGGGTGAATCGAGTTCAAGACCAGCCTGGGCAACATGGTGAAACCCTGTCTCTACGAAAAATACAAAAAATTAGCTGGGCATGGTGGTGGATGCCTGTAATTCCAGCTACCTGGGAGGCTGAGGCAAGAGAATCACTTGAACCCAGGAGGCAGAGGTTGCACTGAGCTGAGATTGTGCCACTGCACTCCAGCCTGGGTAACAGAGCGAGATTGTCTCAAACATAAAAAATAAAATAAAATAAAACAGTTAGGTTAGATGAATTCTAAAGATTCTTTACTTGGTTTAAGGTTCTCTAGTATAGCATAGCCTCTGTAATTTGCATCTTAAACCACCAAAAGTCATAATCTTAGTAGTGAAAGATTACCTTCTTTTCATGCACAGATCACTTTCAAAGTGCAAAACAGACTAAAGAAGACATTTTCAGAGTTAACTTGTCTATTTTTTTTTATTATTATACTTTAAGTTTTAGGGTACATGTGCACATTATTTCTCCTCAATACCAACTTTTATTGACAACCTTATGGACTTAGGTATGTCAATATAAGACATGCACAAATAAGCACCATATTGATGCAAACACTGAAGTTGTTTTTTGTTTGTTTGTTTGGTTGGTTTTGGGTTTTTGTTTTGTTTTTGTTGTTTTTTTTTTTTTTGCCATCTCTGGAATTCCTATCAGCATTGTAAATTTTGAAACAACCCATAACAAAGAATTAACTTGTTTCAATAAACATTCCCCACATAAAGTAGCTATAAGCTGCCCACAACGCAAACTACTGTATAGCAAACAACCTTGTAAAAATTAATAAATCTTCTCTGGTGCATGAAAATCAGCTAACGCTTGACTCAACAGCTTTCTACCTAAGTGCCACCAATAAACTGAGCCCCAGAGACAACAGACGGAAACAGAATAGCAAACCTTAGGAATTAAAAGATGTCTCTATAATGTTTTTACTTTGCTAATTTAATAGAAGACACTTAGTTATCATGACCATTAACTATCCAATGTGGAAATCAAATTTTAGGAGGACAAATGTATAATATGCATCATTTTCATCATTCATTTTAAAATAAAGGCAAGTTTCTTACATTAAAAAATCCATAAGATTTTTTCTTCAGACTGTAACTATAGAAAAACAAATCACCCTATAAAGATCTGTAGTTTATGAAGTAGTGAAAATGATCAAATGGCTATTGCAAAAAGCTGGATATTAGGAAATGTGAATATTAATTCTGAATTTGTTACTGACTCAGGATGACCTTGCATGATGCATCCAACCTTCTTTTCTCTATATCAGAAAACTAAAGAATAAATGTAACATCACATTCTTTTCTCCTTTGGGACAAACAACTATGTACAATTGAATAAAAATGAAATTGCATAAGTAGTGGATAGAATATGTTTGGGTTGGTTTGAACTTAGCACACTGTTTAATAATTCAACATTTTTTATACCTGTGCAATAAATTTTTAAATGATGTCTGAAATGCTTTGAAATCTTCAGAAACAGGTTTATAAATGGCATAAAAAATCATTTTATTTGATCTGGTAAATAAGAAATAGAATACCACCTAAGACAGACATGAATATTTTAGTATAGCAGTCCTTGGTTCACTTACCCTTAAAAGGAATAATTCAATCAGAATTCTTTCAGGACAGTTAGATTAATTACAGAAGAAGGAAAAAAAGAATCTTCTCCCAATTGAGCAATTAACATACTTCATCTTACAAAGGTCACTGAAGTTAATCCATGGCTATAGAACTATTGCTCTAGAAGCTTAGCACCTCCCCTTAGTACTCATTCAGTCCAGCTCCCACTTACACCCTTCCTTAGACTGCATCTAAACAATTCCAGATACACATGTTCTTTATCTTTTATTTTATTGATTTATTTATTTTTTGACATGGAGTTTTGCTCTTGTCACCCAGGCTGGAGTGCAATGGCATGATCTCATCTATCTGCAACCTCTGCCTCCTATATTCAAATGATTCTCCTGCCTCAGCCTCCCGAGTAGCTGCGATTACAGTTGCCTGCCACCATGCCCGGCTAATTTTTTGTATTTTTAGTAGAGACGGGGTTTCACCATGTTGGTCAGGTTGGTCTTTATTTTTAAAGGTCTTAAAGAAAATATATTTACAATTCCATTTTAATGTTAGCCCCAATGGAAAGTTAGTCCCTACCTTATAAGGTCCTTGTAGATAAGCAATTCCCAGTGCAATATTATTCTAGCTGATTCACTACTTTTTTCTTGCTATAAGTCCTTACATGATTGAAGGATATTATCGGAACTCATCAACTTTTTCTTCTCTATATGCTATAGTACAACCACAAGCCTAGCACTATTTAGTTTCATTTTCTAAGCATTTCTTCCACAGGATCCCTACATTGTTTTGTTGTATCCTCAGAGTTCTCAAGTTCCCAGAGTAAGCCTAAGAGTATTTTCTATGTGGTCAGTCATTATCTATCTAGAATTTTATTTTTTGTTTTGAAATATTTGATTGACAAAGATTGAATATATTCAAAGTGTGCAACAAGATGATTGAGAGATATATACACATTTTGTAATGACTACCACCATTAAATTAACACGTCTATCATCACTCGTGCTGTTTATTAGGTCCCCAGAACTTGTTCATCTTATAAGTGAAAATGTGTACCTTTGATCAATATCTACTAATTTCCTCCACCCACCAATCCCTGGAAAGCACTCCTCTACCCTCTACTTCTCTGAGTTTGACATTTTCAGATTCCACATATAAGTAAGACCATACAGTATGTGTATTTCTGTGTCTGGATTACTTTGCTTAGCAAAATGTCTTCCAGGTTCAACCATACTATTGCAAAGGCAGGATTTCCTTCCTTTTTAAGGCTAAATAATATTTCATTGCTTATATGTATACCACATTTTCTTTATTCATCTGTTAATAGACACTTAGGTTGTTTCAATATCTTGGCTGTTGTGAATAATGCTGCAATGAACGTGGGAGTGCAGCTATCTCTTCAAGATACTGATTCCATTTTCTTTGGATATATACCCAAAAGTAAGATTGATAGGTCTTATGATAGCTCTATTTCATATGTTTTTAGCAACCTCTATACTTTTTCCGAAATGACTGTACCAATTTACATTCCCAACAATGTGCAAAGGTTTCCTTTTCTTCACATCATCACTAACTCCTGTTATCTCTTGTCTTGCACACCTGTTAGGATGGCTATCATGAAAAAGATAAGAGATAACAAGTAGAATTTTATTTTTCAATTGAAAAATATTAACCCGCAGTCATTTTTATCAAATAAATTTTATCTAACTTATTTTTATTTTTCTTCTGTTTAATAAAAGTTTGTTTTAAATTCAATTTTTATCCTACAAGGTATTATGTACCCTTCTGGCTTTGGAATTACCTAAAAGGGGTCACACACCCAGTTTAGTAAAAGAAAAAAAAAGCAGTTGTTCACTCCTGAGCATCGTCACTAAAAAAGTACCATGTGCTGAACAATACCTGAAGCATAAGGGAAGCTTGGATATATAGAATGTATTATTAACCTGAATTGGACGTTAGCCAGAACACTGAACCTACTTCCCCCAAGAGATTGTCATAGTACAAGTCCTCAGTACTTTAACTGCCCATCAAGAGATATCACCTTAGAAACATATTAGAACAAAATGTTGCAGCTCCCTTCTTGAGAGGTGTCAGCATGTTCTTTTTGTTACATAGATCACCAACTGCTAGACTATGTATGTCCAAAAACATTCTATCCCATATGTTCAGAACAGTGCTGGACCCTATGTACAGCACAGAAGTATACAAAATAAAGAACATATCCATATCCTTATGGAACTTACAACCTATTTAAGAAAATGGCTTATGAGAATAACAGAAAACATATAATAGCTACCAATTATACTAAACACATGTCAGGTGCAATGTTAAGTCCTTTATACATATTTCATAGGACTTACTTTATACTTGATATATTGTTTCCTCAAAGCAAGCTATTTAAGTTAGGGTTATTTTTCCGATGCTTTTTAAAAAGAAACTCAGGTATCCAGTACAAACAGTCTAACCAGGTTTGGGTAACTACAAAGCTCACACTCTAATCACTGTACTACATGGATTCTCAATGAGTATATCATCAATCAAATGCTAAATTGTATGACACAAATAAAAGCTAAGAATGGCAAAGAGTGAAGAGTTATATTGACTAGAGGTCACAGGAGGAGGTGTTATGAGGGAGGCTAGACTTCAGTTTGACTTTAAAGAATGATTTAAGTATGTAAAATGAAACGGGCTGTACATTCTAAATACGAAGTTATATAAACCTTGTGCACAGGTCAGAAGGCAAGAATAGTATGCCGTGATCAGAGAGACAAGAATCAGATACGTGATGTGTTCCAACATGCATGCAGGTCTGAAGTACAATAATTTAATTTTACATATTTTTATATCAATGTCTAAATGTGCTTTAGTCTATATAATGTTCAACTCAATAATGTCAACTTTAATTTATATCAAAAGACTTCAGAAGCCTCTGGAAATGGATGTGTTTTATAATGTTATTATAAGTTTTAAGGGTAGATAAAGAGAGGAATGAATTACATTAGAGTCCACATTATCAAACCTTATTTTGTTTTACTTCACAAAACGAAAGCTCTAAGGAAACCTCTTGATTTATAAGCACTCAAATTAATACATAAATCTGAGATCGATATAATAGCTGGAACTTGTTATTACCATTCCTATGTCACACCAACTAGAAGGATGAAAACCAAGTAGTCCAAGCAGATAAACTCCAAGACTGTACCTGCCTTTCGATAGTAAGAACCAAAAGAGTGTCCAAATTCTCCGGTTAATCCTGCTTTGTCATCCGTTTACTTTAGGCTGATTCATCCCAGTAAACCCACCACCTCACCTATCACAGCCTCCTCTCACACCTTTTCCAATCAAAGCTATTTCAACATTAGTCTTTTTGAAAGTAGGAAAATGTAGAGATGTTGTGCCCTGACCCAAGGAATAGCTGATGTGCAGGCACTCACTCTTTTAAATAAATAAATACTAAGTTCAGACCTAGGAAAGAAAGCACAGTAACCTCAGAAAAACAGAAGTGAGAGAATGGAGCAAAGAACTCCAGTAGTCTTATCTTGTGCCGAGAAAGAAATCTCTCAAAGATGATGTTAAAAATATCATAGAAGGGGACAGAAAATAAAACCTAATGGATGACTCCAATAAAATAATTATAGTCAATTCATTGGACATCCATAATTCAGAGTTAACACTGGCATTTTCTGTTTGTTTTAAAAAATGGATAGAAGAATAAAATATGTTAGGAGAAAACCTCAATAATACATAGGGGCAAGGGAAAATCTCTCAGCCCTTGGTATCCAGGAAACCAAAGGCTTATGCTCTTTTGAATTTTAAATGTGTAGCAAAACACATTGATTTTAATTGCCTATAATCTGAGGTCAAACCTTTTGGCATGGTTCTTTGTTCATAGCAACAACACCACCAATAATATTTACTGAGGATTTGCCATGAGTCAGATACTGTTAGGAGCACTGGAGAGGATACAGCATTAAAGGTGACAGACGAGGCCCTGTCCTTTTGGAGCTTATGTTCTGTCCCAGTGCGGAATGATAAATATGGTTGGACCAGGGAACAAACCATGACTAATTCTCTAATACAAAGAATACCACCTTATAAAGAGGAAACTTTCTTGCTAAACTGGCAATTTTACAGAGGCCTGAATCTTTTCCATTAGAAGAAAAACACTTTCTGGCGTGTGCTTCATCAGGTTTTGGAGCTTTAAAGGAATAGAATGCGAGATAAAAGATAAATCCCATCAAGCTAGAGAAGAGCTGATGTTCTGACCCTTTGACCCTGCCCATCAAGAAGACATAACACTCCAGGTTTGAAGTCAGACTTGATTTAGATTTGAAGCCCAGTTTCACGCCTTATTAGCTCCATGACCTTAGGCATGTTACTTAACTTCCTTAACAATTTTCTCATCTGTAAAATGGTGCTAACAAAAGCCACCTCACTGTATTGTTATAAGCATTTAAAGATTCAATTCATAAATGTTTAAATCATACCATGTGCCATATGCTTTTCATTTAATAAATAGTATAGATGATTTATATAGGCATATATGTATACACTCCATGTGCTCATCTTTTCTTTATGCACATATAATTTACCCATCTATCCTCAATGCCATTCTCCCAGAGTTCTACCCTTCTGCCCCTGAGGCATTTACATTCTTCCAAATTCACAATTAGCTAATAAAAGAATCCAATCACTGAAAATGTGTTAATGAGAAACGATAACAGAAGAGTACAGTGACTACTGCCTGCCAGCTCAAATACCCCTCCATGGTAAAATATGGTTTTGGAAACAAAACTGTACTAAAAATTGCATAGGCCGGAGGAGTGACTCTGGTGTGAACGCTAAGCAGCATCCTCTGGGGGTTTGTTATAGTAGCACTCAGTAACCATCAAGTGCTAATACCTAGATCATCATTAATTTTTTTAAAAAAACAAAACTTAAATGGACATTGTATCCTTTTTCATGTAAATTAATGTGTCTGCAAAAAGAATGTATTTGCCCTGGAACATTCTATAAAACAAATATAACCCCTAGGAAAATAAGGCCATAGAAAGGTTAAATGTCCATGTAACATCTGTGATAGAGCAATACCTAGAACACAATTCTCTTTTTGGCCCAGTAATTCTAGACCATATCATGTTGACTTAATGAGATTTAACTAAAAATAGAAAATTCTGCTTTGAAAACCTTCATCCAAAAGGATCCAAAACTTGTGAATTAGGCAATGGTGAGAATGCCACACCCTTTGCTACTCTAAGAGGAAAGTCTCTCAAGTGATCGACTCGAGGCCTGGCCATGCAAGTCAGACATTTAGTCATTTTTCTAGACTCTATCCATCATGGAGCACATTACCGAATTTCATGCAACCTCATTTAAACATTTAACTGGCTGTTCTGATCGGAATAAACCTTTGGTGGAAGTAAAAGCTTGACAACGCTGACACCTAGTGGCTGTGAAGAAACTGGAGCAGATTCAGCCTAGGAAGAGTAGTGAGCTACTGTGGCAGTGTCTCCAAAACACACAGCATTTAATCATGATGAATATTAGGTTATAAAGTACCAGTTCTAAAACAAACCCTATAAAAGTTTATTTCAGCTCTCTATTTATCTAGGGGCCTACAAAAGGAGGCAATTAAAAACCTTGTATTTGAAAAGTAAATCTTCCTTCAATCTTCCACACTTAGCAAATTACTCATCTTCAAAGATCAAAGAAAACTAAAGATCAATTCATATTTTGGCATATTTATGACTATTTTCCTTAATGTTGCATGTACACCCACAACCTTATCCTGGTCTTCAGGTGATTTTTCTCCCCAGGTCAAATATAAAAGCCAACTGGCCAAGCCATTATAGAGACTCCCTTTATGCCTCTGAAGCGTCCCTAGTCAAAGGGTAGTTGGATTTTCACAAACCAGCAGGAATTTTCTTTAAGAGAGGTATAAGGACACATGTGGAAACCCCTAAAGTACACATCTAAAAGCAAGGACCACATTGAACACTGTGGGAAGCCATATGAACACAGCAGATCAGCACAGCACAACCTGTATCTGCTCTAACCATTAGAAGATAAGTTTCCTCAGACCCACCTGCACCTCTGACAGGCAGGATGGCAGGAAGCCTAAAGTGTTCATCTCCTCCACCAAGGAGAGCTCTGACTCCTACCTGCTGACGTTTGAAGGCTAAATAATCCAAATTTTCCAGCTCCTTCCCAAGCTTCTGGTAGGTTTTCTGGAGGTCAGATTTGTTGGCAACATTTTTGAGAGACTCAAATGTCCTTTGAAACTGAAATTGAAAACAAAAGTAGATCATTAGGATAGCAGCAGATTTTTCTCAAATTCTCAACTTGCTAACACGAAGAGTCGATAATGAGCCTCAGTTTCTCCCATTCATAATACAGTGATAACAAATGCTAGCTAATTATCTTTCAATGAAATAATTAGGGACACAGAAAGAGTTATAAACCATATTCTAAGTATAACCAACATTACTGCATGCATGAGAAGCCTGTTCAGTCCTCATTCTAACAAAAGAGCATACTTCATTTAAAAAAAATAAAAAAGAAAGTTCATCTTTTAGGATATACTTCTGCTTTAAAATTTTTTAGAAAGCACTGTGAATGTATAATTTTAAATCATAATGAGGAAGCATTAAAGAGTGCTCACATTTCAATCATGGAAACAAACAAATTTATGAAAATGTAGTTGCTTACACGATATTTTGCTATAATGGCATGGAATCTGGCTTGCCTCTATAATAATATCTATGCAGAATAGGTCACCCAACAAACTTCAGCAAGAAAGATCTCTCAGAGCTTGTATTTTGAGAAGGAAGGAAAACTTAACATTTTGATGATCAAAGCATATGTGGCATGTTCAGCAAACATTTATTCATTTCTGCTCTATAACACAGATGAGCTATGAGCAGATGAGTTATGATCAGAAAGAGAGTTCTGATCAGTTCTGCTGAATCAGAATGCTCCTATTCTTTTTAAATCAGATACTAGATAAATACAAAGGTGAAAAATTGCAACGAACCACAGAATACTGTCTGCTACTAATAATTAATTAAGCAAAGGAAGCTCACAAGAAATTGGATTCTTGGTTTATTTTCATAAATTAGAACATACTTTGGAGGGTTAGTGATTGAAAATGTCAAGTAATGTAATTTGCAAGACATTTGCATTTGCTCTCTCTTTATGTCATTTATTTCCCATATTCTCACTCTGTGCCATTAGACAGATTTCTACAGATAGAGACTTGACCATCTTAAACACACCAGAACTCCACTGTGACTATGATGCCATGAGACAGGCTAATAAGATTTTATAGAATATAATTAAGTTTCCAGGGAAATGATTTGACCCTTACTATATCAAACTCTATGAAATAAGTCATATTAAAATGGCATTCTACTGAATTAAATCCCTAATTTCATGAAAGCAACATGTTTATCTCAATCCAAGGTGACAGAGGGAAAAGAAATGGGAAATAACAGTGCTAAGCTTCCATGACAGGACAGTAAATTAAATTCAACAAATAATCATTTAGAACCTACTATGCACAAAGCACTATGAATATAAAAGACATTTCCTGCCCTGAAGGAACTCATACCACTGGAGAAACTAGACATGAAATTCGGAAATGAGATGGACACTGACACTTACTGAGTGCCCACTCAGCCCCAGGTACTTGATGCTTTCCAATTTAATCTTCACAAGAACCACAGGAGTTCCTATTTCTCTTCTCATTCTATAATTGAGTAAACTGGGTTTCAGAAAGTTTGATTGAACTGGGTTTTTATTACAACATTCATGTTCTTTCTACTCTATCCTTAACTCTAACACAAGGCAAGGTAGTAAAGAGAGTGCAAAAAAAGAGAGATAAAGGTAACATTGGTGAAAACTCGGAAAACTCACTGATACTGACACTGACGGAGGGACTCAGACCACGTAGAAGACGTAAGACAATTTGAGTTGGGCCCCAAAGGACAGGAAGTCTTTTAAGAGTCTGACGTGGAAACCAATTCTACCCAACATATTAAACACAGCCAAAATCAGTTCATTTTCCCCCACTTATAACAATAAACAAGTTCCTTTCAACATAATTTTAATGACCTTTATATGAAATATTTATTATATTGTATAATCATTTCTGTGCCTTGCCCATTTCTTGGTTCATTCTCACTATGTTCAAATCAAAATAAAACCTTATCTAAGATTCTAAAAAATTTAAGTAATTTTATCTATGATTTAATTAATACAAGCTATTTTACTGACAAATCCATTTAACTCTAAAGCATGTTTTAGCCCCTGCACTTTGTCTTCCCTAAGAAATATTAGCTCTACTTCTTAAAATATTTTTTCTTCATATTTATCTCTGTAAACATTATACAACTCCAAATGGGAACTTTAGAGCAAACACACTTGTAAAGAGTGTTCAAAATAGCCGGGCGCGGTGGCTCACGCCTGTAATCCCAGCACTTTGGGAGGCCGAGGCGGGCGGATCACGAGGTCAGGAGATCGAGACTATCCTGGCTAACACGGTGAAACCCCGTCTCTACTAAAAATACAAAAAATTAGCCAGGAGAGGTGGCGGGCGCCTGTAGTCCCCGCGGGAGGCTGAGGCAGGAGAATGGCGTGAACCCGGCAGGCGGAGCTTGCAATGAGCCGAGATTGCGCCACTGCACTCCAGCCTGGGCGACAGCGAGACTCTGTCTCAAAAAAAAAAAAAAAAAAAAAAAAAGAGTGTTCAAAATAAGAAACACAGAAAACCAACACTTCAGGTAATATGCCCATGGCCAAAGGAGAAATGGAGAAAATCCAGTAACAATACATGATCACAAGAATGTTTTAACTAAAGGTCGGACTTTGTATAATATGGAGATTTCAGCTTGAACTTTTGTTATCAGGAATTATATCCTCCATTTATTGATAATAAAGAGTTCAAAATACTGTAAAACCATGATAATTTCATTCATTTAAGCAGTTTTTTTTGCTTACAACAATAATTAATTGTCAAGGAGAGGTCATATGAAAGCTGTGGTATAGCTCTGGCTTAGCTCCCTATTAAACACACCCCATCCCCACCTGCACACATGTACGCTTAAAGATACTAAAGAGTGAAAGCAATAATCTTACTTTCCAAGTGATGCTGAAGTACAGAAGATAAAAGTTAGGTTGAGGCCTAGGTTTTAAAGAGTATTCACTTGGCTTGAAGATTTTTCTAATAGGCCACAATGGTTAATCATTGAAACAAACCTCCAAGATTTTCTATATTTGTTCAGTACATGATAATTTTCTTATATTGATTATTTCTCCAAATAAATGATCTCCCAGTTGGAGACAAGTTGGGGAAAGGAAGCACAATTAATTGAAGAGATTTTTAATACTGCTGGATTTTACTTATTCATAGTTTTGAGTGGGAATTTAAAATGAGCCAAAAACCCCAGAATAATTTGTTGAACCTTGAATTTATCCTGTGTTTTTTTTTTTAACTCGTTATAAACCAAACTCAAACTTTAAAAAGCTCAGTGAATTAGACTAAACCCAAAACAAACCTTGGACATACAAGATAAGAATGGGTAGAGGAAAACAATATCCCTAAGCCCAGCACTTGCTGGAAAAGTAAGCACTGTCAACACTCCCAGAGTGTGTTTTCTCATCAAATTATTTCTGCTCAGAAATAATAATAGTAATCCATCAAATAAAACAGCAGAAACTATAATTGCTCATCTCACATTAAAATAGCTGACAAATTATTTTGCAAGAAAGAGAAGCATAGAAAAGGCAACAGGAAAATGTCTACTTTGTCTCAGCAGTCCCTTTTCCCAGATACATTTTTTCTCCTTTTTCCTGACAATACATATATAAATAAATCTAAGCCAGTGTTCTATACAAATTATGCATCCAATGAGTTCATGTAAATTATGTAGATTTGTGGAGTAATTTGAGAAAGACACGAAGAAATAGGCTGAAACAGCAGGAAAAAAAAATGCAGCCAAGGCTCTGGCAAATAAAGTTTTCCTCTCCCTCACTGCCAACGCCCTGGCTTCCTTTTGTAGTCAGATCGATTGATTCAAATAACTCTAGAGCTCCAGCAGCCTACTAATTCCCATAATTTAAAAACATCAAGTAGCATTGCTCCAAAACAAGAGCCAGCTCCACAGTCATCATGTTTTCTTATTTAATATTTCATGCATTTATACGAGGTGCTGGGTGCTACCTGTAACATGAAAAGAAATCCCATACCCGCAGCGTTATGTGTACAAAAGGGTATACAGTAAGTGCCTGATGGAAAGCATTATATCACCAAGTGTGATCTTAGTGTCCCTAAATCATCTGTTTAAAACAATGCTAAAAGTTTCTGGAGCCTAAAGCAGAAGGAAAGAATAGTCAAAAAAATAATATATTGATGCTCTATAAATATTAATACCTAGAGTAAAAAGAAATTGTTTTAAGCATAAGAAATAGCTAATCTACCTTACTTAAATATGGCAACCACAGAGCAATCAAAAATAAAGTATTACAGAGAAAGAAATTATTTAATGTTTCTGAATTTAATCCATTGACTTTCATATTTTCCAAATGAACTTACAAGATGATAATACCACTCAATAAAAAGAAGTTTACAACTGAAGCAGAAAATTAAAGCTCACATACATATCTCAAATGATTTTTTTTTTTTTTTTTTTGCTGTAAGGAATGACTATAAAAGTTAAGAACATAGAGCAAAATTGGGCTTGAGATCTAAATTAGAAATAGTTCTATGTAGGTGAAGGCACACTGGCCTTGAGGTCTGAGGTTCAAGTCCTTGCTATGCCATTTAATAACTGCATCACTTTGGACAAGTCATTATTATTCCAATTTTGATTGTGTTATCTATAACACAGGACAAATTGTCTTTGCCTGCCTACTTCACTCAGTTGTTGTGAAATCAGTTGAGGAAAAATAAAAGACATTCATTCAACAAATATTTATCAATGAGCAACATACCAGACATGTAAGAAACAGAGGAAAACAAAAGAGAAACAACTCTTACCCTAACAGATTTTACAATCTAGCTTTATAGGTTACTGCTTTATAAACTTAAAAGTTCCATAAAATTGAAAAGACCATTGTCATTAAGATCATGACACCTTTCAGTAGTGAATAAGGACTGAACAAAAGGGTCATTCAATAATTGTTTATAGAGCAGCATCACTGTGCAAAGCACTGGGCTTGACGCTGTGAGAAACATCACATTTATGGTGAGGCTTGGGTGGAAAAATGACGAAATCATTGATGCTTTATGAAAAGTTTGGCCAGGTACAGTGGCTCACGCTGTAATCTCAGCACTTTGGGAGGCCGAGGCTGGCAGATCAATTGAGGTCAGGAGTTCGAGACCAGCCTGGCCAACATGGTGAAATCCCATCTTTATTAAAAATACAAAAATTAGTCAGGTGTGGTGGCATGCACCTGTAATCCCAGTTACTTGTGAGGCTGAGGCAAGAGAATTGCTTGAGCCCAGGAGGCAGACGTTGCAGTGAGCCGAGATCGCACCACTGCACTCCAGCCTGGGTGACAGAAAAAGACTTCATCTCAAAGATAAGATAAAATAAAATAAAATAAAAAGTTTATGGGCAATGTCCCCAAAGAAATCAGCAGTTTACAAATGGATAATCCATTTTGAGAAGGGTCAAGATGATGTTGAAGACAAAACCCACAGCAGCAGACCATCCACATCAATTTGCAAGGAAAAAATTAATCTTGTTTGTGTCCTAATTGAAGAGGACCAACAATTAACACCAGAAGCAATAGCCAACATCATAGACATCTGAACTGGTTCAGCTTACACAATTCTGACTGAAAATTTTCAGTTGAGCAAAGTTTCCCCTGGATGAATGCCAAAATTGTTGCACATAGATCAATTGCAGATAAGACCAGAGCTTTCAATGAAATGTTTTAACAATTTTAATTTCATCAAGCTCCTTAAGTATTCCTTTGGAGAAATCTAACAAAAGATGAATGTGGATTTACCAGTATGATCCTGAAGACTGAGCACAATCAAAGCAATATCTACCAAGAGGTGGAAGTGGTCCTGTCAATGCAAAAGCAAGCTAGTCAAGAGCAAAGATCATGGCAATAGTTTTTTAAGATGCTCAAAGAATTTTGCTTGTTGATTTTCTGGAAGGCCATGGAATGATAGTATCTGTTTATTATGAGAGTCTTTTGAGAAAGCTAGCCAAAGCTTTAGCAGAAAAACACTGGGAAAGCTTCACCAGAGTCCTTCTCCACCACAATGCTCCTGCTCATTCTGCTCATTCTGCTCATTAAACAAAGCCAATTTTGCAAGTTTCAATATAAAATCATTAGGTATCCACCTTACAGTCCTGGTTTGGCTCCTTCTGACTCTTTTTGTTTCCAAATCTCAAAAAATATTTAAAGGGCACTCATTTTTCTTCAGTTGATAATGTAAAAAAGACTGCATTGGCACGGTTAAATTCCAGGACATTCAATTCTTTAGGGATGAACTAAATGGCTAGTATCATTATTTACAAAAGTGTCTTCAACTTGATGGAGTTTATGATGAGAAATAAAGTTTATATTTTTTATTTTTTTCTTTTAATTCCATTTTTCTATGAACTTTGTGAAGTCCCCTCATCATTACCCTGCTTAAAATTCTTTCATGGTTTCCCCTTAGCTTTCAGACTATAGTTCAAACTTTGTAACTTAGCACATAGACCTTTCAAATTAGGTCTATGCCTACCTCTCCAGCTTCAACTCTTGTTCCTCTCACACAGTTCACCCTTCATCTCAGCCATTCAGGACTATTACAAGTCTTTCAGCATACATCCTCTTCTGCAGGTAAAATGCCCTCTGCCCCACTACCTTCTTTCTCTAGTCAACTCTCCAAACTCAGCCACACAGTATTCATTTAACATACCCTCTCTTAATACAATTCCAACCTCCATAACACTTTGTACCAACCTCTACCATAATAACATATTGTTAATTTACTTTTTATCTAGTCTGTAAATTCCAAGAGAGCAGGATCATGATGGTATTTTTAGAAATTTGAATCCCTAGCACATACTAGAGTGATGGTGACTGCCACAAAGTAAGCACACAAAAATAACCATTTGCTGAGGTAATCCATTAATTAATCAAATCAGAGATAACTGGAAAGATGCTGATTCCTTCTTAAAAAATGAAAATTTTACATGGTTTAAATTTGTATGGTCAAAGGTCATAAAATTTCAATTAAACAGGAGGAATAATCTCAAGAGATCTATTGTACATCATGGTGACTGCAGTTAATACCAATAAATTATATACATGAAAATTGCTAGAGTAAATTTTAAGTGTTCTCACTACCAAAAATTGATAAGTATAAAAGGTAATGCATATATATTAAGTAGCTTGAGTTAGCGATTCCAGAATGTATACATGTATTAAAACATCATGTTATATACCATAAATATATATAATTTTTACTTGTCAAAATAGGGGGATATAGAAGGGATGGTTAATGGATATAAAAATAAAGTTAGATGGAAAAAAATCTGGTGTTTGGTAACATAATAGAAAGACCATAGTTAACAATAACTTATCACATATTTCAAAATAACTAAAAGAGTAGAATCAGAATGTTCCTAACACAAAGAAATGATAAATGCTTGAGGTGATGGATATTCCAATTACCCTGATTTGATCATTACACATTATATGCTTTTATCAAAATATCATATATACCCCATAAATAAGTACAACTATTATGTATCTATATGAGAACACATGGACACAGGAAGGGGAACATCACACTCTGGGGACTGCTGTGGGGTCGGGGGAGGGGGGAGGGATAGCTTTAGGAGATATACCTAATGCTAAATGATGAGTTAATGGGTGCAGCACACCAGCATGGCACATGTATACATATGTAACTAACCTGCACATTGTGCACATGTACCCTAAAACTTAAAGTATAATAATAATACAATAAATAAAATAAAATAAAATAAAATAAAATTTAAAAAATATACGTTTGAAAAAAAAATTTCTTCTTCCCTAAAATTTCCAATAGGAAATTCATGACAAATCCAGCAAGTATGCCCTATTTGTCTCTATTTCTAATTTCTCCTCTTATATCTTGATGTGGTTTGGCTGTGTTCCCACCCAAATCTCATCTTGAATTGTAACTCCCACAATTCCCAAGTGTCATGGGAGGAACCCGGTGGGAGGTGATTGAATTATGGGGGCAGGTCTTTCCTGCACTGTTCTCGTGATAGTGAATGAGTGTCACGAGATCTGACGGTTTTAAAGATGGGAGTTTCCCTACACAAGCTCTCTCTTTGCCTGCCGCCATCCACATCAGATGTGACTTGCTCCTCCTTGCTTCCACCATGATTGTGTAGCCTCCCCAGCAAGGTGGAACTGTAAGTCCATTAAACCTCCTTCTTTTATAAATTGCCCAGTCTCAGGTATGTCTTTATTAGCAGCATGAAAACAGACTAATACAGTAAATTGGTACCAGTAGAGTGGGGTGCTGCTGTAGATACCTGAAAATGTGGAAGCAATTTGGGAACTGGGTAACAGGCAGCGGTTGGAACAGTTTGGAGGGCTCAGAAGAAGACATGAAAATGTGGGAAGGTCTGGAACTTCCTAGAGACTTGTTGAATGGCTTTGCCCAAAATGCTGATAAGCATATGCGCAATAAAGCCCAGGCTGAGGTGGTCTCAGCTGGAAATGAGGAACTTGTTGGGAACTGGAGCAAAGGTGACTCTTGTTATGTTTTAGCAAAGAGATTGGTGGCATTTTGCCCTGCCCTAGAGATTTGTGGAAATTTGAACTTGAGAAAGATGATTTAGAGTATCTGGTTTAAGGAACTTCTAAGCAGCAAAGCATTCAAGAGGTGACTTGGGTACTGTTAAAGGCATTCAGTTTTATAAGGGAAGCAGAGCATAAAGTTTGGAAAATTTGCAACCTGAAAATGTGATAGAAAAGAAAATCACATTTTCTGAGGAAAAATTCAAGCCAGCTGCAGAAATTTGCATAAGTAATGAGGAGCCAAATATTAATCCCCAAGACAATGGGGAAAATGTCTCCAGGGCATGTCAGAGGACTTCCCAGCAGCCCCTCCCATCACAGGCCAGGAAGCCTAAGAGGAAAAAGCAGTTTCATGGGCCAAGCCCAAGGTCCCCATGCTGTGTGCAGCCTAGGGACTTGGAGCCCTTTGTCCCAGCTGCTCCAGCCGTGGCTGAAAGGGGCCAATGTCGAGCTTGGGCTGTGGCTTCAGAACGCAGCTTCTGAAGCCTTGCCACCTTCCATGTGGTATTGAGCCTGCAAGTGCATGGAAGTCAAAAATTGAGGTTTGGGAACCTCTGCCTAGATTTTAGAGAATTTATGGAAACGCTTGTATGTCCAGGTAGAAGTTTGCTGCAGGGGCAGGGCTCTCATGGAGAACCTCTGTTAGGAAGAGTGGAAGGGAAATGTGGTGTTGGAGCCCTCACACAGAGTACCTACTGGGGCACCACCTAGTGGAGCTGTGAGAAGAGGGCCACTGTCCTCCAGAACCACCCTAGAATGATAGCTCCACTGACAGCTTGCACTGTGCACCTGGAAAAGCCGCAGACACTCAATGGCAACCCATGAACACAGCCAGGAGGAAGGCTGTATCCCGCAAAGCCACAGGGGGAGAGCTGCCCAAGACCATGGGAACCCACTTCTTGCATCAGCATGATCTGGATGTGAGACATGGAGTCAAAGGAGATCATTTTGGAGCTTTAAGATTTGACTGCCCTGATGGATTGTGGACTTACATGGGGCCTGTAGCCCCTTTGTTTTGACCAATTTGTCCCATTTGTAACAGCTGTATTTACCCAATGCCTGTACCCTCATTGTATCTAGAAAGTAACTAACTTGCTTTTGATTTTACAAGCTCATAGGCAGAAGAGACTTGCCTTGTCTTAGATGAGATGTTGAACTGTGGACTTTTGAGTTAATGCTGAAATGAATTAAGACTTTGGGGGAATGTTGAGAAGGCATGATTAGTTTTGAAATGTGAGGACATGAGATTTGGGAGGGGCTGGGGGCAGAATGATATAGTTTGGCTGTGTCCCCACCCAAATCTCATCTTGAATTGTAACTCTCACAATTCCCACATGTCATGGGAGGAACCAGTGGGAGGTGATTGAATTACAGGGCCAGGTCTTTCCTGCACTGTTCTCATGATAGTGGAAGAGTCTCAGGAGATCTGATGGTTTTAAAAACAGGAGTTTCCCTCCACAAGCTCTCTCTTTGCCTGCTGCCGTCCATGTAAGATGTGACTTGCTCCTCCTTGCCTTCTGCCATGATTGTGAGGCCTCCCCTCACAATCATGGAATCCACATGGAATCCATGTGGAACTGTAAGTCCATTAAACCTCTTTCTTTTGTAAATTGCCCAGTATAAAGTATGTCTTTATCAGCAGAGTGAAAACAGAATACACATCTTAAATACCAGTCTTGACTTGCTCTTTTTCTTTACATCTTAATATGCTTTTACATATTTTGCCTAAGATCTTCCACAAAATATACATAGCTTCTAACAGCTCTTAATTATACAGTAATTTTCCCTTTATCAGCTGCTGATATCTTCAGTAATAAAAGGCTTTAGAAAATCTTTTTGTTGGTACACATCTGCCTTTTAAATAGAGGGTGGCCTCGGAGAGTCTCAGCTGCCAACATGGTAATGTGATTTTTCTGTCAATATAAATATTTGTCATAGTCAGAATTATTGTTTGTCCACAAATGCTTTATAAAATTATGTAGCAAATGTTAAATATACATTTGACAAAAGTTGTTAAATTCTGGACCCATTTCCTGTAAGACACTGGTCTATTACCTAATCCAAAGGGATCAACATTCCCAAAACAAGTAAAACATGACTATGGTATGATAAATGGAAAAAGTTAGAAAAGTTAGTTCAACTCAATAGTCAAATTTCCCTTCATTTTTAGGAATAAGTACAACATTTCACTCCAAGGGCCAAAAAGTGGGAGCAAGATACCAAGGAGAAGAAAGATGGGACAGGGAAAGAAGGTGAAAGAGAACTTATACCAGTTCTTGCCAAGTAATTTATGTCATATATCATTCAGTCTTCACAAAACCCTTTCAAGGTATTCGGAATAAGTTTTATTCTCCCCATAACTCAGAAGAAGAAACCAAAGCTCGCAGATTTTTAACTTTCCCAAAATCACCCAGCTAATCAACAACACAGCCAGGATTCAAGCAAGGTCTCCATGCTGCCAAAAGCCATGTTTTCTTCCCACGATGTCCTGACCCAGTAAGCAGAAGCCATCCAAACCTATTTTCTTCCAAATAAAATTGACCCTTAGAAATCCAGATGCCAAGGTGGGCACGGTGGCGGACGCCTGTAATCCCAGCACTTTGGGAGGCCAAGGTGGGCAGATCACCCAAGGTCAGGAGTTTGAGACCAGCCTAGCCAACATGGCAAAACACTGTCTTTACTAAAAATACAAAAATTAGCCTGGCATGGTGGTGCACACCTGTAATCCCAGCTACTCGGGAGGCTGAGGCAGGAGAATCACTTGAACCTGGGAGGTGAAGGTTGCAGTGAGCCAAGACCATGCCATTGCACTCCAGGTGTGCAAAAAGAGCAAATCTCTGTCTCAAAAAAAAAAAAAAGAAATCCATATGCCAATAAAACAAGATGTGGAATCCTAAGAAGAACAAATAGTACAGAAAAGTCTGAAACACTTGAACAGTATCATAGAGATAAACATTTTAACTTAAATTCCTATAAAAAATTTATAAACAATGGTGACAATAGAGCCAAAATACCTTTCCAAGTTTCTACAATTGATGAAATATTGAAATATCAGCACTTTTTTCCTCTGTCCCCTATTACCTTTCATTTGGACCTGTTTTTCCCCAAAAGAACACACACATTTCCTTAAGGAACTAGACACGTTTAAAAGTGCCATGTCAGGAATCCTTGATTATTTAATTTGGCAGTACTTGTCCATTTTTGGTTGCTCAGTGACCCATGTTTACACTAGTTGGTGGTCTCAGACTGTGTCCTTGTAAATGTTCTATTGTAATTGCTTCTCCTGGGGCAGTCTCAGTGGAAAGAGTATAATTTAATAGAAATAAGAAAGCTTTACAAAATCAGGAAATATATAGATACATGCTATTAAAAGAGAGTAACATCTCATTTATCTGACATCTAAAAGGAAATATACTTCAACGGGATTGAAAAAAATCTGTTATGTAAGAAAAGTCATAAGAAGGAAAATAAGAGTAAGGCCACTTAAAAAAAATTGTGAGCTCAGAGGAATTCTTTAATGCTATGAAATAAAGAACAAAAACAGAAAATGTAGCAGGAACTTGTATAAGTGTCAGGAGGGAAAAAAAAAAAGTCCAGAAGCCTGAATGAAATAGTAAAGACAAGGAGAAGAAAGGCAGGCCTTGGCCCATTACATGCAAAATAAGGGCAAGAAATAAAAAGGCAGTCCTCTGTTTTGGGGGAAAAAAAGTGTGTTCCCAGGAGAAATTCATGTCTTTAAAGTGGATACCCTCCTCCCACCAAAAATCTATAATAGATTATTATATAGTAGGATTGGGGAGTGTGATGGCTGACTACAGAATGCTTCTTAGGAAGGGCACTACCTATACTGAAGAAAATACCTTAAGGAGTAATTTAAGGTGGGTAGTGATATCCTAAGGACAGAAATAAGCAGGGGCCAAGTGGAGTGCTAGAGAGATAACTATTCTTTACTGCATTCCAATGAACATAATTTAGAAGTTTGAGGGAAAGTAGCTAGAGAAAAAATGTGGAAGGGCAATGAGATGGAGTTGCTATCAATGAGATTTTGAAGATTTCGAACATACAAATTGAAGCCCTTTAGAATATATTGTTGCAATATAGATATCCCTCCCTTCCGTCTTCCTGTAAGTTTCTGTAAGGTTTACTACATTCATGTATTCTGGTCTGCTCTGGTAGGTTGGAGAATGTGTGTATCTGTGTGTCTATTCGTGCAAGGGGAAAAGGCCAACTCCAGATTCTGGGTGAATATAATGTAGAATAGAGACAGAAAGACAATCTATAAATGAAAATAATTCAGTGGAAGCAAAAGCTTGGAGACAGAGTTGACCCTGAAAATATGAGCTCCCAAGGAATTTGCAGAAATTTGGGGGAGAACATTATACTTGATAGGACACAGAATGAGGGTTTAAACTAATTATATTGAGATCTTAAGAGCAAGAAGAACCCAGCAACAAGTGGTTTTGCATCATAATTAAGTGGATTATAAGTAATTTAAAAAATGAAGGTCAGAACAAAGGAGAAGAAAATAAAAGCAGGCAAGCAATGGTCACTTAGAGCTCTTATTGGGTCATTAAAAAGTAAGTCATGCCAAACTAACTTCATTTCCTTTATAACTGGGATTACTAGACTGATAAATCCACAATGCCACAAACAGTATATCTTGATTTCAAGAAAGTCTTTCAAGAAGTGCTTGAAAATGAAATAAAGAAGCATGGTTTATACAGCAGCCCAATGAAGCAAGCTTGAAGCTCATTTCAACAACTTTACTCAAAGGATGTTCATATTTGATTGGTATTATCTAAAAGAAAGATATAATACTGTTTTCCATGTCATTAAACATTTTTTCATGAATAAATTTGAAAATGATATCAGGTTAGGAAAGGAAGACAAAATCGAGAGTCAAAGGATGATGGACTGTAACAAAAAGCAGGAATTAATAAGATAAAGTTCAATGAATATAAATGTAACTTCTACCTTTACATAATTAAAAAAAAGACTAGTATCAGAGGAGGAAGACCTGGATTAGGAGTAGTTTGAGCTCAGAGAGTTGGAGGTTGTAATTGCTTTCAAAATCAATATGAACCAACAACATGACAAGGCTACTGTGATAGGTAAGATCATGTTAGACATTAAATCAGGGATGTAATTGTCCATTTATATCATGGAATGTTCACATCAGAGAGTTTGTTTTGATTTCAAGACACTGATTTCAACATTTCATGGAAGTTACCTACAATCTAGAATGCATAGAAAAGGATTTACAGAGATGATTTGGGGGACTTCTATTTCTTGTAATAGCAAATTAGAAATTCAGTCTGATCCTCTGCTGAAGGAAACGAAGGTTTGATGATAAAATAATTCATCTTAAAAACATCACAGAGCTAATAAGGCAGTGAGAAATTTCCTGAAGTGGGTTTCAGAAGAGGTGATGTTCAGTATCCAATCAAAAATAGCCATTCACATTATAAGACAAGACACCATGAGTAAAAGCAAGGAAAATGATAGCAGAAGCAGGCACCCAAGGAGTCCAAACACCAGAGTTCTCAAACCATGAGGATCAGACAGTTCTGCTCACCATGTCGAGTAGATCAAAATAAAGACTGAAAATTTCAGCAGGAAACTAAAAGTCATACAAAGAAATGTAAGCCAATTTGAAAAATATATAGAAATTCTATGGTATTTACCATATAAAGAACATCCAAAAGTCAAAAAATTTTTAGCCTAGAAAAGGGGAGACATAGGTAAGTCCTAAGAGTAATCATCAGTTATTTGAAAAGAGCCTTTTCTATTGCCTTGATTCTGTGTTGCTCCAGAAAGCAAAACTAGACGCACTGTTTGAAATAGCAGGGAGGCAGTTTTAAGCTCAGTTTGAGAAATTTGTCTCCAACAATTAGAAGTGTCCAAAATCAGCTTCACTGTCTCAGAAAATTGAGATTGTTATCATTGTTAGTGATCATCTATTGTTAGGCAGTTGCATATGTTGCATATTATCAGAGAGTCTTTCTACGTCAGGTAAAATATTAAACTGTAAGGGCACTGAAGTTTCTCCACTATGATTCTTTTGATTCCAAGTAGAAGCTAATATTGTCATAAACATTATTAGAAAAATTCCAAACTGATATTTCCCAAAGTATGGTTTCAGAAATTTCCAGGATTAATATACTATGGAAGAGTTCTGGGGTCAAAAACATTTGGGAAATTCTGAGTTAAGCAGAGTTAAACAGGCTTCTTCATGGCAATATTTCTCAACAATTTTAACGCGCTAATGTGCATCAAAACATTCATGGGAATTTCTATGTGCAGCATTGATCATTACAAAAAGAAACAACTTTTTTCCTCTTCCATATTTTCAAAGCATGCTCTACAGAATACTTTTGGGGAAATGTTGGGCTAAATAATTCTAATCCTGATGATCTCAGAAACAATTTAGTGATTTTCATTCTACATGAAGTCTTGAAATAATTGAGTTGATAATGATTCATATATAAACTTTTCATGAGGATGAAACCATGAAAAACTATCACGATTTACCACAAAAGATGTTCCCTTCTCTTTGATAAGATGCCACTTCCTTTTTCATAACATATAATTGTTTTACTACACATACTTATATGTGACATATAATCCAGTTGAAATTCAGGCTCTAACAAGGCACCAAGTGTGAGAGAGGATGGTTAGAATTTAAAACACCTTCTGGTGTATCTAACTTACTTTAATAACTGGTTGTAGGTCCATGAATTTGCCTAAACTTTTAAAAGCTGTTTGTAGTTAAAGCTGTTCTAACCATTAGAGTAGTTAAGTTCCAAAAGTTTTAATTCTTTCCTGTTTCCTTGAGCAAGTTACTTAAATTCAATGTGCCTCAGCTTTCTCATTTGTTAAATAGAAATCATGATCATAGGGCTGTTATAAGAATTGAATTAAAAGAAATAATCCAGCACAGTGTTTGGCACATTATAAAAACCCAGCAAATATTAACTATAATTTTTACTGCAAGAGGTACTTTGCTTTTGTTTGATCTACAATGCCATCCTGCTTCATTTGCATGGTATGATGTATGTGAATTACCTACCTCTGTGCCTAACTCCTAGTGGACACTCAATTAAAATGGTAGTGAAGGTGGTTTTATTCTTTATATACAGTTACCTCCTAATTGGTTATGAAGGTGGCAATTTTCACCTTACAAAAGCCCTGCATTCTGCCCTATCTCAACAAATTTAGAGTCTAAAATAGGAATTATTGGGTCATTGGAACTAGGAATTACCTGCCACTTAATCTTTTGTACCCATTTCTTGTTTACAGCATTTGTTAGTGTCTGTATTCAAATATGAGACAAATGAATCTCAGAAATGTTCAGTAATTTGTCTGTGGTTATTAAACAAACCAAGAAGCAAGTAACAGAAATCTTTGCTCAATTATGACACCTACAAATCCACTAGTAAACAGCTGCTGGTGATGAGAACAATTCCCTTTCCTAAAAAGCTACTTAAACTAAAAAAAAAAGATTGAATTGCTCTTTTTACTGTAATAAAACTATCAGTTCAGTAATTTGTCTATGGTTACTCAACAAACCAAGAAGCAAGTAACAGAAACCTTTGCTCAATTATATCACCTACAAATCTTCTAGTCAACAGCTGTTGGTGATGACAGCAATTCCCTTTCCTAAAAAGCTACTTAAACTAAAAAAAAAAAAAAAAAAAAAAAGGTATTGAATTGCTGTTTTTACAGTAATAAAACTATCAAAAGAAAAAAATGAAAGTACACAGAGAGGGTCACTCTAGCGTTAAAATAAGCAATAGTGAATACAAGAAAGATGTGGCTGGGAGCACTGGCTCACACCTGTAATCCCAGCACTTTGGGAGGCCAAGGTGGGAGGATCACGAGGTCAGGAGTTCAAGACCAGCCTGGCCAACATAGTGAAACCCCCGTCTCTACTAAAAATAAATAATACAAAAAATTAGCCAGGCATGGTGGTGTGTGCCTGTAATCCCGCTATTCAGGAGGCTAAGGCTGGAGAATTGCATGAACCCAGAAGGCAGAGATTGCAGTGAGCCGAGATCACCACTGCACTCCAACCCAGGCGACAGTGCGAGACTCCATCTCAAAAAAAAAAAGAAAAAAGGAAAGAAAGAAAAGAAAAAGAAAGATGCAAAGAAAGGTTTAGCTTAGCAGTTAGAGAAAATGATTTTGACATGAAGGTTAATCAAATAAGACCATTGCTTACTTAATAGAGTAGTTATATTAAAATCACAGACACTTTATGAAAATGCAGATTTATTTATAGACAGAGTATAAGGGTCCTATTTCAAGCAGAAAATACAACAGATATAAAAAGAGTTCTTTGCAACCTTTTCATCTGAACACTACTAATGATTTGGTCAAACTCTGAAAACAGGCTTTAATAAAATTCTCTCTCTACTAAAAATGTGCTAAGTGGGTTTGTCTGACAAAATAAAGCATTCAGGATATCTTGCTAACTTTATATCCTCCTAGCTAATATACATTATTTACTCATATTAAATACATGTCTACATTTTCCTAATGGATTACTACAGACATCACAGACTACCTGTAAACATGCACTCTTTATCCTGAATCAAGAGGACATGGCAAAGTAGAATTCATTTACAAACCAGGATAAATTTCCAAATGTCTTCAACTTTAAGGTTTCTATTTCTCAAGTTATTTATACTCATATGTTTATCATATATTATCTATATAATTATGTTATTTATTTATTTATAGAGAGCATAGTTATTTAAATGATCAAAAGTCTAGAACTTTTCCTAGCCATTTCCTTATAAGCAAGCCATCTCCTGTTTAATTTCCCATTGGCTTTAGAACTACTCTGGCTTCCTTATTTTGAGGTATACATTAGTCTTCACAACCCAGTCTAGTCTGCTTCTGAAGGGGTGATGTTAAGAAATGAGAGTGAAGCCAAGATGCACTAGGATCGACGCCAGGTTCAGAGAATGAAATTAGAAGTGAAGACAATGCCAAGGTAAACTAAGCCATCTTTTACTTACAGCTGACACATGTTGCAAGAGGCACATGACATCAATCATGTCCGCAAGGATAAGGAGTCTCGTCACCGCAGCCAGCAAGGCACGGGCAGCTTGAACCACAGCCTCCCTTTTTGGGAGAAAACAGGGGTCATCTGTAAATCTCTCAGCTGATACTTTCAGAGCTTCACCTGAAAAATACAACCCCATATAAGTTATACTTTAAGTTTCAACTATGCCTATTTCAGGATTTATCAGCTAACCTAATTCCAAGTAAATTCCAAGACTAAGCATAATATAAAAATATTGTCAGTTGACAATTTTCTCTCTCAATAAACAATGCAGTTTCAAATTAACATTTGTTTTTCACAAATATTTTGGAATTAAGAAGCATAATATCATTTTCCTGCAAGAAAGTTGTGCTCAACTGACTAGGAACATCTAGTAAAATTGCTGCCAACTTCTGCATTTGCTGAATCTCATTTCTTGTAAAAGGTTTTATTACTAAAGCTTCAATCATAAACAATCCTGCTTATAAAAACAAGGTAAATCTTTATTGAGTTACTTTCCAAATCAATGGATGTTAGGACTGCAGCTCTCTGATAAAAGTTTAACATAGGCAAATTTATTCTAAACTATCAATATAATGAATAAACTATATCCTAAATTTAGTCACAGAAATAGTACTTCATAGTACCTAATTGTTAGAGAATATTGTGTCCACTATTTTTAATGCCTTTTCATTTAAAATATATTTTATTATAAAAGAAATATGTATTCTTTCATTGTTTTAAGTTCCCAGTTCAAAAGGGTATAAAATGAAAATATTTAATAAAAAACTCTCTTTACTCCCATCCAACAACATAATTGATAATTACCACATCCACTATTTTTTAAGTTTTTAAATCTAAACTTCTTTTTATTATAAAAGTACTATAATACGTGTCCATTACTTTTAAATAATTTACCACACTAAAGAACATCAAGTAAAAATTTTAAAAGTCTCCAAACTAATCCCCCAAAGCACCAACTATTCAGCTCTTGCATATCTGTCCAGAAATTTTTCCATGAATGTATGATTTATGTGTATAAGCATATATAGATACATGTTTTATATACATAAATGTATATGTATGTTTTATACATGTATGTGTTTTATGAATATATTCATATACATTCATATATACAAATATGTTTTATAAAGACAGATTTTATAAGAAAACATATTTTATATGTTATAAGAAGAAAATGTAAAAATATAGAGCCTTTAGCAAGTAGTATCCTACTAGAGAGATTTTCTGTAATTTCTTCTTTTTGCTTTTCAATTTATTTTCCTTTCATACTGGGAAACAGATGACCAGGAGGCAATATAGCACAGTAATTAACAGTGTGTACTCTGGAGCCAGACTGCTTCAATGTCTCTGTCCTAGTATCTCAATCAAGTCACTTAACATCATTACTCTTCGTTTTCTTCTTTTTTTAATAATATAAAATAATAAACCTACTATTTTATGAGTATTAAATAAGAGTACATAAGTTATATTTCATTGATACACTGTAACTTATTTTACCAGGCCCCTATTGAACACATAAGTCATTTCCAACTTTTTCCTATTTTATATAATACTATAAAGAACGTCCAGGACATATATCTTTACATGCATGAACAAGTTTAGCTTTAGGATAAATTCCTAAAAGTAGAATTCCTGAGTCAAGGGGCAAATGAATTTTAAGTTTTGTTATATATTGCCCCAAAATTCTCCAAAATACAGTCATCCCATCAAAAATATACAAAAGGGTCTGTCTTATCCATTTATGGATTACATCCATAAATATTTTAGTTTCATTGACTCATGAACCTTAACATAAAGAAAACTGAGTCAGTTATTTTATTAAATAAAATAAAGAATACTGTTTCTTATAATAGACAAAACTTGTGAGGAGGGTCTGAGACTGTCTCAACATGTTAGTATGTCTCATTTAGATCTCTTTAGCAATACCAAGTTAGGAACTAGGACTCTAGACACTTCTGAGATCAAATTCATATATTCCCCCTCTAGTTCTGGGAACTTGGACAGTAAATGCCTTCAATGTCCTTATCTATAGGAAAGGGGTAAAAATATGACTTATCTCATAGTGTTTCTTGGATGCTTAGATGACAGCATTCATATATTTAGCACAGTATTTAAACATGGAAAGCACTCAACAAAGATTAACTGTTATTTTGGAGGAAATTTCTAATAGAGATGGTAAATTTTTAATGCCAATAAGTGGGTGATTTTCATCTGCTTCTCTGCAAGTCAGAATTGCTGCTATGAGACTGTGAAAAGTTAAACTGACTTCCAGAATTTAGAGAGCAGATGAATGCCCACAAAAAAGATTAATTTTTTCTTTTTGTGATTCTGAGTTGGAAAGTTATAATAGCCTTTTTAGAATACTGTCTTTGACTTCACATACTAAAACTAAATATATATCAAAAAATTATGTATTTTTGACTCTAAAAATGTTGGAATGTTGAACAACTGGCTGGAGAGCCATATTCAGAAAGAGATCATTTAAACAATTAGTATATTCTTGTCTTTGTTAAAGGAATATAAACAGCCAGTCAGGTAGCTCTGTTGGGAAGAGAAAAGTCACTCCCAAAATACATTAATAAAGATGCTACAACTTAAATTCTTATTGCTGGACTTATCCCTAATTTCCCCAATATTCCTAACCCTTTTCAGCTGGTTTCAGCCCACACTCTGGTCCTAAGTTAAACATCACTTCCTATGGGAAGCTTGGACCCCCCATTACCAAGATAGGTCTTACAATAAGATTCTATGTTTTCTAGCATAACCTTCATCATAATTTATTATAACAAATTGTATCAAAACCTGTCTTTTCTTCTGGATCATAAAACTAGTAAGTGCAAGAGCTGCATTGGCCCTGGTCACCACAGCATTTCCAGGATCTAGAAGAGTGCCTACTCTGTTGCAGATATTCAATACATTGACTATCTACTGCCAAATGAATATATGAATGAACATTATTCAACTTTTCTTTGATAAACATTTGTTGTTCCCTCTATAAAACAGCTGTATCCTAGGTATCCAGGATATAGATATCAGTATGAAACAGTATTTTTGCAGCCCAAGAAGTTCAGATCAAGTGAAAGTCAACAAACACTGATACAGGTTTCTGGTACAGGCCTGTACAAAGTACTAAGAGACACAGAGGAGGATCTACCTCTGCCTGAGGTGTCAGAAGATATACAAAGGAATGTTCTAGGTAAAAGAAACATGTTCCAACTATTGATAAGGTATTGACAACGACAGCTGGTTTATAGAATTTAGCCAGTTCACTGTCATATTGATTTCTGACAGGAGAAAATGGTTATTTTCCTAATTAAATAGAAAAAAAGGTACAGGTTTCCTTTCCATCTAGAATATTAGCATCTATGTTTTATAAAGTCTACATGTGGAGAGTCTACTCTTTTGAAATATCATTCCCAATCTTGCTTATAATGCTTTTACTTTGAAGTTTGCTGAATAGGAAATTTCACTTTTAAAATACATACAAATAAAAATAACTACATTTTTTCTTCAAGAAATCCCACTCTATACATAAAAATAATTTACTAAAGGTCTTGAAAATGCCAGAAGAACTAGGTTTAGAAAACTTCTTTCTACTGAGTCCATTTAGTTCCTTTCCTAAAAACGGGATTTTTTTTAATCGTTAAAAAAAATCAGTTATGAAATGCCTAGGTACTAGAGTATATAGTCTACAAATATCTATAGAGATAACTTTTACACACCTATATAAGTGTAAGAGATGACAATTTCTGAATATACAAAAATCTGGCTGATAAACTTTTTATATGATCAAATAAATAAACTCCAGAAGTACAAAAAAATTGTTGGCCAAATACACATATTACCAAATATTCTTTATTTTATAAAGCTTCCTATATGGTTATTTTACAAGTTCCTTTGCTTCATTTAAAAGTATAATTCTACTTTCTAAAAGTGCTTATATTGATTATAAACTTAAAAGTCAAGGAAAACATAGTATAAGAAAAATATCCAGAGGAAAAAGAGAATAACCAAAATGAAAAGGGGCAGGTACTAAAGATAAAAAACTTCCCAAACTTTTACTTGACATTATGTTTATTATTCAATTAAGATTTCTAATATATGCATCTGTCCAAGTGATACAAATACATCATGGTAAAAGGTTTATATCATACACATATAACATGCATTAGTACATATTCATTGATTCAATATATAATAGGGTTCACAGACTGAGACTCAACATTCAGGGTTTGGTTTTATTTGTTTTTGGTTGGGAAACTGCCATTTTGAATTTGAAAACTCTGAAGAGGTAGAAGCTTGAATTTAACTTTTTAGCAGACAATTATTTTATTTGGCAGGGAAGAGAGGAGGATGACCTCAATTCGATCCTAAACTTACACAGATGTTAAAAAAAAATAGTAAAGACTCCCCTTTAAAATGTTCAAGACAGTTTGACTACTAGGAGCAAACATGTTTTGTATGATAAAAGAAAACCTTATCATGGCAGGTGGAAGGGCAGCAAAGCTAGCCACTGCTGTGTGGACCCAAGGTTGGGTGCTACGGCAGGGTTATAGACTAGGAATGTGGCTGCATATGGTTGCTATTGTAAACTATTGGCTATGTCTTATTTCCATTTTATTATCTTCGAACTCAGTAAAGTCTTATTAAAAGTTATAATTTGCTTCCAGTCAAGGGAGAATAACAGAGACCAGATTCCTTTCCTACCTGAAACAAAAAAATAGACCAAATAAATGCAAAAATGGTTATAAGGCACTGGATGTTAGGCAGTGAAGGACAGTAATCCCTGAGAAATGGACCAAAAAAAACAGGATGAGCCCTTTGATAGCCCCAGCTTACCACCATGAGAGACTTTCCAGGCAATGATACAGGAAGGGGAAACCAAGGCAGAGCCTGGCAAACTCTCTGAGCTGGGGAGACAAAGCTGAGAGTCCTGGGAGATCAAGGCAGTAAATGTATAAAACAGAATAGAGAATGATAAAGGGAAGAGATACACAGAGAAAGAACACTGATAATCTGCACATGCTCCCTCTTGAGTATTCAGCTGAATACTGATCAACCAGTATACTGGAGGAAACCACCCAAGGCTAGGGAAAGAACCACCCAAAAGGATTTGAGGTAACTGTACTTGCCACTCACACAGGACTGGGAATAATGCTTGTCCAACCACCAGACTGGAAAACTTCATAACTCATGGGACATTGGATAGAATACAAAGAAGAGTCTTGCCTCAATAGTGGGGAAGAATTAGCCTTAGACTGAACATTGCCCTAGTGCCTTCTAACAAAGCAATTCAGAGAAAACAGAATTCCCAATTTCAAGACCAGCAGCATTCATGCATCAGAGAAGAGAGATAGCCAGGTAAAGGCAACAGCAGACTAGCATAATGATTTAATGAAAATGGAAGGACATGAGCAGCCAGTCACTGAGCGCTGCACCATTGGGAACTCTCAAAATAAGCTGGGAAATACTTTGATTGGGCTGATTCTATTAAAAAAAATTTTTTCATAACTAATCTGTGTTTTTTTATTATTATACTTTAAGTTCTAGGGTACACGTGCACAACGTGCAGGTTTGTTACATATGTATATATGTGCCATGTTGGTAAAATTATATAAAATGTTTTATAAAACATAAAATTTGATGGGGCTAGTTTCTATAAAAGTAATAGAAACATCTCCCAACATCATAGATAGGATATAGTAGAAGCTGTCTTAAAAGACCTCCTCTTAACCACCTCTCTAGATTAATAAACTTTTTATTCCTCTCAGCAACATATTAATGGTATCTCCTTTCCGGTATGTAAAATATACTGAAGACCTTCTGCTTCCAATAATTGAAGTTAATCAAGAAGTTGAAAAGGCTTGCTCCCCAATCTTTTCATGTGAGTTGTAATTATAATTATATAGTTTTATTAACTATATAAACCTATCAAATATAAGTGTAAAAATATCTATTAATTCTTTAAAAACTAATTTTTAATGCTTTAGAGACATTCAGTAAAGATGAGTTGTTAAGTTGGGTATGGAAGGAAAAAATGGTAAAAGTTGGAGCAGGGCAAGGCAAGGAAAAGGATTATAAAAGATCAAGAAAGATTCTGCAGTTAGGTAGCTTCGCAAGTGTCATTAAGTTTTCTTCCATGAAGACACCAAAACTGGAAATTTTAGTCAATATAGTTTGGTTGTGGTTTCGGTCAAAACGACTATATAAGTTATGCGTTTGTGTGTGTACAACTAATGAACTAATGAACTTTTTACTTCTAATAATGAGAACAAATATATCTTGAAGCAAAAATTATCTGCTATATTTTAAAACACTGGAAATAACTTTCAGTCACATTTAGTCAAACTTTAATTATGTACTTGTATGTAAAAGTACACAACTCCTAACTTAAAACTTTATTAATATCTTTTTATGAGCAAAATATTTTGTACAATGTATCTATAAACTATGCACCTAAATAAATTTCAATATTAAGGAAGATTTTAAAATAGAGCTAAACATCTCTTCAGAATTTCAAAGAAAAATGAAATTTTTTAATTTTCAAAAAATTGACCAAGTAATTTCATGTCATATTTAAATTTGACAATTTTTTTTTCTATGCAGGCTCTCACTTTGTCACCTAGGCTGGAGTACAGGGGTAATCTTAGCTCACTGCAGTCTCAAACTCCTGGGATCAAGCAATCCTCCTGCCTCAGCCTTCCAAGGAGCTGAGACTACAGGTATGCATCACCAAACCCAATTAATTTTTTGTATCTCTTATAGAGATAGGGTCTCTTTTTGTTGCCCAAGCTGGTCTAGAACTCCTGGCCTCAAGTGATCCTCCCTCTTCGGCCTCTCAAAATGCTGGGATTATAGCCATGACCCACCCCACTGAGCTAAATTTGACAATAATTTTAAGATAATAAAATACACAAAATATATTCCTGCAACATTATTATCATCTCCTGGGGTTAGAAGTTTCATATACCTAAAGTGGTTTACAGTAAAACAAACTGACAAAGGAACAAAGCAATCCATATTGTAAACCAGTCAATAAAAAGAAAATAGTATGGATTTATAACTTAAATAAATGTTTAAACTTTGAGCTGAAATAGCTGCCCATAATTATTCTCTATTGAATTTCTTTCCCAACAACCTATTGACTGATATGCCACCCACCAATAAACACTTTTATATTATTCTTGATGTAAATTTAATTCTTTTGAGGTGAAAAAATAAACCTTATAACTAAGATTTCCGACTAAAGTTAATTTATCATTTTTTCTAATATTTCCTTTTATGGCTAAATGTAGTAAGCTTAGCCATGAATACACTTAAATTATACTATGATGAATTGGCAAAAACTGATATCTTTGCTTTTTTGACATCTGCTAAAAGAATCTCATTCTAGTGCTTTGAAGTTGAAAGTTAATTTTTAATAAATGATACCTAACCCTTACAAACAGTTCATTCATTCATATATCAACTATTCAGCACTAAAATACGCAAAGCACTATGGGGTATACAACAACGATTATAACATGGTCTCCACCAGGTACCCTCAAATAGGAAAATGAACCACTTCAATGAGAAGATTCTTCTGTTTGGTTTTAAATGTCAGCATCTTCAGATACACCTACCTTAAAGTATATTAAGACATAATTCCATAGCACCTCCCCCCCAAAAAATACAAGTATAATAATTCTTCATATGCACAATTCCTAGATTTCAATATTTTATGTATGATTTAAAAGTTCTCTGAGAAAAAATGAAAAACGAGAGTGACTACATCAAAGGATCACTCAATCATTTTAAAATAAAATTACCAGTTATCAATTATCACTTATAATCAGCCTCAACAAAGTTCTATTCATCAAGAGGTTAAGTAATAAAGTAGAATTCAGGCTTCACCTTACTAGAAATTCAAGTCCCACAGCTGTGATCAGAGCAATAAATATTTAACAAATTTATTCTTTCATATATCACCCCATTCAGAGTACTACAGCTGTTAATCAGTAAGGTCAAATTTGGCCCTATTGATATGCTCCTTATGCAGAAATGACAGAAGTTATTTTAGGGCCCCATTATAAAGTCTTAGTTCACAAGCTCACACAAAACTTGCAAGGAAGTCAATGTGGCCAACTGTACATACTGAAAGTACAGAGTGAAACCCAAAGGAGCATAAAAATTTAGTGAAGATAAACATCCAGGATTCTGAACCATTACAAAAGTAAATACATTCCATTCACAAGAGCATCCAACAAATAAAACATTTAGGAATAAATTTAACAAAGAAGTGTAAGACTTGTACACTGAAAACTGCAAAACATTGCTGACAAATTAAAGAAGACCTAAATAAATGATCATATCTCATGCTCATGGATTAGAAGACTTAATATTGTTAAGATAGCAATACTCCCCATATCGGTCCACAGATTCACAATAATCCCTGACTGATATCGCTTAGATGTTTATCCCCGCCAAATCTCATGTTGAAATGTAATCCCCAGTGTTGGAGGTGGGACCCAGTGGGAGGTGTTTGGGTCATGAGGGTGCATCCCTTATGAATGTCTTGGTGCTGTCCTCATGATAACAAGTGAGTTCTTGCTCAGTTCCCATGAGATCTAGTTGTTTAAAAGAGTCTGGGACCTCGCACTCCTCTTGCTCCCACTCTCGTCATGTGACAATGCTAGCTCCCCCTTTGCCTTCCACCATGATTGGAAGCTTCCTGAGGCCCTCACCAGAAGCAGATGCTGGTGCTATGCTCCATGTACAATCTGCAGAACCATAAGCCAATTAAATCTCTTTTCTTTATAAATTACCCAGTCTCAGGTGTTCCTTTATAGCAATGCAAAAATGGACTAACACTTTTAACAAAATCCTTACTGGCTCTTTCAAAGAAATTCACCAGCTGATCCTAAAATTCATACAGAAATGCAAGGGACCCAGAATAGCCAAAACAATCTTGAAAAAGAGGGGCAAAGTTATAGAAATCACACTTCCCAATTTCAAAACTTACTAGGAAGCTATAATAACCAATAGAATTGCTATCTCAGAAATAAACCTTTACGTTTATGGTAGATCATAGACCTACTTGCAAGAGCTAAAACTATAAAACTCTTAGAAAAAGAAAACAGGAATACAACTTTATAATCTTGAGTTAGGCAACAATGTCTTATATATAACACCAAAAGTACAAGCAATAAAAAAAATTGATGAACTGGACAATCAAAACTTAAACCTTTTGGACTCCAAAAAAAAAATCATTAAGAAGGTAAAAAGACAACACACAGAATGGAAGAAAATGTTTGTAAACCCTATATCCAATAAGGGGCTTATATCCAGAATCTATTAAAAAAAAACTTACTACTTAATAATAAAAAGACAATCCTGTTTTTAAAATAGGCGAAGAGTCTAAATAGACATTTCTCCAAAGAAAAAATACAAATGGTCAATAAGCACATAAAATGACATTCTATCATAAATATAATCTAAATTATTAAAGCATAATTAAAGATGTACAGAGGTTTTAGTAAGGACCTTTGAATAAGTTTTTTTTATTATTTAAAAATAGGCACATTTCTTGTGTAGTCAAAAACACAAGGCTAAAAACATACCTGCAGAGGGGACCAAAAAAAAATCAATGTGTATGTATATGTACTGGAAACTGTCACTTTAATAACTGTAAAAACTAGTGAGTAATTATTATAATGAAGCAGTAGAAAAGTAACATTTACATACATTGCAGCTAACTTCTCTCCTTGGGGGGAATATCAAGATCATTAAAAGGGTGGGGGTAGAGGGTGTCGATCTTGTTCACCATGCTGCCCCAAAACCATGAGCAGAATGCATCTCTCTCGGAAATCCCTGGAGACCCCATAGAGCTCATTTTGTAGCTAAAAGCAAACTCTGAGCTATAAATATTAGTTGTCTTTTGCACAAAAATTAACAGTAGCTTTAATTGTCCTTTCTTTTTACTTTTCCCACCAATGATACATTCAGTCTGAGAAACTTGAGATTCTTAACAAGTAAGAGGTCAAATATTTTTGAAATTCCTTGTATTCTTAGTTCCTTTACTTCAGACAGAGTCGGCAAACTATGGAAACAAGCCAAATCCAGCCTGCCCTGTTTATGTGCAGCCTACAAGCTATGAATGTTTTTTATATTTTTAAAGGTTGGGAAAAAATCAAAAGAATAATATTTTATGACATGAAAAATTATATAAAATGTAAATTTCAGTATACATAAATAAAGCTTTATTGGAACACAACCATAACTTTTTGTTTATTGCTTACATATTTCTATAGCTATTTTCATTCTTCAACACACAGAGTTAAATACTTGCAACAATGTACGGCCCACAAAGCCTGAAATATTTACTTTCTGGCCTTTCACAGAGAATGTTTGCTGATCCCTCATCTGAGATAAATGAACTAATAAAATTCATAATCTGTTTTTTTAAAAAGCACTTCATTTTTAAAAAGTTCATACAACTAACAAGGGTCTCCATTTTGATATATATAAATGTGGCCCTAAAAATTCTTTTTCAAAAATTATTTAGTTGGCTTTCATATCTTAAGCTGAATACATGGACCTTGCCTGAAAATCCCAGACAACATAAAGTTGAGTTTATCCCTTAAAAGAATAAAATTTGACCCAGCAGTCTTTCAGCTTCAGTATTCATATATCTAATAATATTAGCATCTCAGGAATTTCCCATATGCCTCAGTTAAATAGTTCCCCGAAGAATACTCAGCCAGCTCTAAATAATGCTCCCAGTGTAATATCAAAAGGAGGTATGAATTTTCTCCTCACCCCAAAGCATAATAGTGAAAAACTATACTGCAGGAGTCAACAGCCAGCTCATCTACCTTGTTCGCTACCTTTCAATGAAATCCTGAGCAAGTCACATAATTTTTTGGTATCAATATCCTTATTATGCAAACACAAAGATTATGGAAACACATAGAATAAAGAAAATAGGTGAAATAAAGAAATAAAGGTGAAATGAAGAAAGAATAAAGAAATTATTTAAAGAATAAAGAAATTCTTTTTTTAAAGAATAAATTATTTAAATTAAGAATTCTTTATTTAAAGAATAAAGAAATTCTTTTATTAAAGAATAAAGAAATTTCTTTACCGTAGAATAAAGAAATTTCTTTATTCATAGAATAAAGAAATAGGTGAAATAAAGAAAATAGGTGAAAGCCTTTAGTTCTCAGAGAAACATACTAAATAAACATGGAGTTTTTAAAAGGCAAAAGTATCCTCACTGCTGTGTTCATATTTTATATATTTTAGTGTGAAGATTTATCACGTCAAAATCAAGGCTACTCCCATGAAACTTACAGAAGAATTTCCCATGGAGCTTCAGCAAACTTTCGTGTCTCAGTCTATCATAAATCTCAGCTTGCTATTGACAGGGAAAGGAGGCAGAGAAGAGCTGGGTAGAGGAGGGTGTGGTTCCTGGCGAGGGCTCCACCTCCAGGCCTGTGCCCACAGACCTAGGTGAGGACAGGCACTCCTGACTTTGCACCCAAATGTTGCATTTCCCAGGACTGTCCTGGCCTGCCACTCCCCAGTCCTGTGCCTGTAAAAACTCCCGAGACTCTGGCAGGCAGACACACAAGCGGCTGCACGTGGAGAGAAACACATCTTGGTGGAGGAATACACAAGCAGCTGAACATTGAGAGGGCGTCGAGAGGAGGAGATCGGTGGAAGAAGACACAAGTGGCTGGACGTGAAGAGGACATCAAGAGCAGACCCGCAGGCCATCGACCGGTGGAACGACGTGGAGTTTTACTGGGCAGTCGGAGAAGAGTCAGGCAGTTTTCTAGGGGAAACCATCTCCTTTCTGTCTCCCCCACCTGCTGAGAGCTACTTCCACTCAATAAAAGCTTGAACTCATTCTCCAAGCCCATGTGTGATCCAATTCTTCTGGTACACCAAGGCAAGAACCCCAGGATACAAAAAGCCCTGTCCTTGAGATAAGGCAGGGGTCTCATTGAGCTAACGCAAGCCGTCTACGGATGGCTAAACTAAAAGAGCACCCTGTAACACATGCCCACTGGGGCTTCAGAGCTGTAAACATTCGCCCCTAGACACTGTTGTGGGGTTGGAGCCCCACAGCCTGCCCGTCTGTATGCTCCCCTAGAGATGTGAGCAGCGGGGCACTGAAGAAGCGAGCCACACTCCCATCACACACCCCCTGAGGAGGACAAGGGAACTTTTCCCGTTTCACTATCAATCACACTATTTTAGGGGTTCAACTGTCCATAACCAGTGGACTATCAATAGAAACTCTCACTTCCAAATGCCTCCCTCAGGGATGTTTGAAACTGGTATTTATTAAACTGGGTAAATGCCATAGACTAAAGAGGAAAGAAGAGGTCAAAAATATTGGGTAAAAAAAGGAGCAATGAAAAATTTTGGAATAGAAGGAGGAAACGGTGAAGCAAGTAAGGGAAAATAAGAGTTGCTAATTCTTTCTTTTGGGTTATCAGTATAGACTGAATATTTGATGAGGAAGATAAAACAGGAGATCTCATTGATAGCCGCTAGTGTCCAAAAGCAAAGAAAAATGAGAAGTATTATCTCATATAATGTGCTAGCACACAGAAAAGGATAACAACGCACATTCAAGAATACAATACGACAATTCAAGGATGCATTTGATATTACAGGTCCATGCATATTTAAGTACAATCATTCCTTATTTTATAGTTTCTTATAGGTTTTTTTTCGTTGTTAGAGGTTAGACCTGAACCAGCCAAATCCTTGAGCCAACTTGGAATAATGATTATATGATTTTCATGCAATACTATTTTTTTTCTTCAACTTTTAAGTTCAGGGGTACATGTGCAGGATGTACAGGTTTGTTACCTGTACATCGACGCCCTCTCAATGTTCAGCTGCTTGTGTATTCCTCCACCAAGATGTGTTTGTCTCCACATCCAGCCACTTGTGTGTCTGCCTGCTAGAGTCTCGGGGGTTTTTATAGGCACAGGACTGGGGAGTGGCAGGCCAGGACAGTCAGGTAAATGTGTACCATGGTGGTTTGCTGCATAGATCATCCCATCACCTAAGTATTAAGCCCAGCACCCATTATCAATTATTCCTGATGCTCTCCCTCCCCAACCCAACCCCTGACAGGACCCAGTGTGTGTTGTTCCCGCCTTGTGCCCATGTGTTCTCATCACTCAGCTCCCACTTATATGTGAGAACATGCAGTGTTTGGTTTTCTGTTCCTGCATTAGTTTGCTGAGGATAAGGACTTCCAATTCCATTCATGTCCCTGCAAAGGACATGATCTCATTTCTTTTTATGGCTGCATAGTATTCCATGATGTATATGTACCACATTTTCTTCATCCAGTCTGTCATTAATGGATGCAATACTATTTTGAGTGGATTCTTCATCAATTTTTTTCTTTGGCCCTTTTTTAACCCCGTTTTTTTACCACCCAATCTCTTTCATTGCCAGAAACTTCTCTTGTTCTGTGATCTTAAATTTTCACTGATTTGGGGGCACTGGTGCACCTTTTAGTTTTGTCTTTCAACTGTGATTTCAATTTGAGCAGGAATTTAGTATGGAATGTGTGTGTGATAAAAACAGTTTTGCTGTAAAGAACATGCTCTTCAATAAAGTTCAACAACTCCTTTCTCTCCATAATAGACCCTCAGGCACTTAGACACACTAGCTCCTAAAAATCGTTTGTAACTATACCCCTTAAATCTATATTTAATAATAATATATTATGTACAAAATTTAATTCATTTTACCTAGGTTTATACATACTAACTGGTACTTTGAAGTCAAGTCATTCTTTCTAAATGCTTCTTTTATTAGAAATGAGTTCATAAGCTGTGATCCTGGAAAAACATCTTGAGTCACTATCGAAATCTAAACATTTTAAAGTCCTCTTAAAATGTTACTAATTAACTGAGAGAGTCTTTAGCCCAAAGCGTCTCCTATTAGTGTGGGAGAAATAATAGTAATCTGGACATTAAGAAACCTGCATTTTACTTATTAGCAGCATTTGAGGAATGGCATTTAAAAATACGGGAAATAAGATTATTCTCTGGGAATTAAACTGCAGTCATCACTTACACAATGGATGGAAGAGATATACAAAAAAAGAAAAAGAATTTTCTTCTCACATTCAAGAATACAATAGAAATGAATTATATTTTGAGGGTCAAATGACCAGTCATCTTTTTTTCTTTTCTTTTTTTTTTAATTATACTTTAAGTTCTAGGGTACATGTGCATAATGTGCAGGTTTGTTACGTATGTATACATGTGCCATGTTGGTGTGCTGCACCCATTAACTCATCATTTACATTAGGTATATCTCCTAATGCTATCCCTCCCCGTTCCCCCAACCCCACGACAGGCCCCAGTGTGTGGTGTTCCCCACCCTGTGTCCAAGTGTTCCCATTGTTCAATGACCACCTATGAGTGAGAACATACAGTGTTTGGTTTTCTGTCCTTGTGATACTTTGCTCAGAATGATGGTTTCCAGCTTCATCCATGTCCCTACAAAGGACATCAACCCATCCTTTTTTATGGCTGCATAGTATTCCATGGGGTATATGTGTCACATTTTCTTAATCCAGTCTATCATTGTTGGACATTTGGGTTGGTTTCAAGTCTTTGCTATTGTGAATAGTGCCACAATAAACATACGTGTGCATGTGTCTTTGTAGCAGCATGATTTATAATACTTTGGATATATACCCAGTAATGGGATCACTGGATCAAACAGTGTTTCTGGTTCTACATCCTTGAGGAATTGCCACACTGTCTTCCACAATGGTTGAACTAGTTTACAGTCCCAACAGTGTAAAAGTGTTCCTATTTCTCCACATCCTCTCCAGCACCTGTTGTTTCCTGACTTTCTAATGATCGCCATTCTAAGTGGTGTGAGATGGTATCTCATTGTGGTTTTGATTTGCATTTCTCTGATGGCCAGTGATTGTGAGCATTTTTTCATGTGTCTGTTGGCTGCATAAATGTCTTCTTTTGAGAAGTGTCTATTCATATCCTTCACTTACTGTTTGATGGGGTTGATTTTTTTCTTGTAAATTTGTTTAAGTTCTTTGTAGATTCTGTATATTAGCCTTTTGTCAGATGGGTAGATTGCAAAAATTTTCTCCCATTCTATACGTTGCCTGTTCACTCTGATGGTAGTTTCTTTTGCTGTGCAGAAGCTCTTCAGTTTAATTAGATCCCATTTGTCAATTTTGGCTTTTGTTGCCATTGCTTTTGGTGTTTTAGACATGAAGTCCTTGCGCATGCCTATGTCCTGAATGGTGTTGCCTAGGTTTTCTTCTAGGGTTTTTATCGTTTTAGGTCTGACATTTAAGTCTTTAATCCATCTGGAATTAATTTTTGTATAAGGTGTAAGGAAGGGATCCAGTTTCAGCTTTCTACATATGGCTAGCCAGTTTTCCCAGCACCATTTATTGAATAGGGAATCCTTTCCCTATTTCTTGTTTTTGTCAGGTTTGTCAAAGATCAGAATATTGTACATGTGCGGTATTATTTCTGAGGGCTCTGTTCTGTTTCATTGGTTGATATCTCTGTTTTGGTACCAGTACCATGCTGTTTTGGTTATGTAGTCTTGTAGTTCAGTTTGAAGTCTGGTAGTGTGATGCCTCCAGCTTTGTTCTTTTGGCTTAGGATTGTCTTGGCAATGCGGGCTCTTTTTTGGTTCCATATGAACTTTAAGTAGTTTTTTTCCAATTCTGTGAAGAAAGTCATTGGTAGCTTGATGCAGATGGCATTGAATCTATAAATTACCTTGGGCAGTATGGCCATTTTCACGATATTGATTCTTCCTATCCATGAGCATGGAATGTTCTTCCATTTGTTTGAGTCCTCTTTTATTTCGTTGAGCAGTGGTTTGTAGTTCTCCTTGAAGAGATCCTTCACATATCTTGTAAGTTGGATTCCTAGGTATTTTATTCTCTTTGAAGCAATTGTGAATGAGAGTTCACTCATGATTTAGCTCTCTGTTTGTCTGTTATTGGTATATAGGAATGCTTGTGATTTTTGTACATTGATTTTGTATCCTGAGACTTTGTTGAAGTTGCTTATCAGCTTAAGGAGATTTTGGGCTGAGACGATGGGGTTTTCTAGATATACTATCATGTTATCTGCAAACAGAGACAATTTGACTTCCTCTTTTCCTAATTGAATACCCTTTATTTCTTTCTCCTGCCTGATTGCCCTGGCCAGAACTTCCAACACTATGTTGAAAAGGAGTGGTGAGAGAGGGCATCCCTGTCTTGTGCCAGTTTTCAAAGGGAATGCTTCCAGTTTTTGCCCATTCAGTATGATATTGGCTGTGGGTTTTCATACATAGCTCTTATTATTTTGAGATATGTCCAATGAATACCTAATTTATTGAGAGTTTTTAGCATGAAGGGTTGTTGAATTCTGTCGAAGCCTTTTCTGCATCTATTAAGATAATTCATGTGGTTTTTGTCTTTGGTTCTGTTTATATGATGGATTACATTTATTGATTTGTGTATGTTGAACCAGCCTTGCATCCCAGGGATAAAGCCCACTTGATCATGGTGGATAAGCTTTTTGATGTGCTGCTGGATTCGGTTTGCCAATATTTTATTGAGGATTTGTGCATCGATGTTCATCAGGGTTATTGGCCTAAAATCCTCTTTTTTTGTTGTGTCTCTGCCAGGCTTTGGTATCAGGATGATGCTGGCCTCATAAAATGAGTTAAGGAGGATTCCCTGTTTTTCCATAAATTGGAATAGTTTCAGAAGGAATAGTACCAGCTCCTTTTTGTACCTCTGGTAGAATTCAGGTGTGAATCCATCTGGTCCTGGAATTTTTTTGTTTGGTAGGCTCTTAATTATTGCCTCAATTTCAGAGCCTGTTATTGGTCTATTCAGGGATTCAACTTCCTCCTGGTTTAGTCTTGGGAGGGTGTATATGTCCAGGAATTTATCCATTTCTTTTAGATTTTCTAGTTTATTTGCTTAGAGGTGTTTATAGTATTCTCTGATGGTACTTTGTATCTCTGTGGGATCAGTGTTGATATCCCCTTTATCATTTTTTATTGCATCTATTTGATTCTTCTCTCTTTTCTTCTTTATTAGTCTTCATAGCAGTCTATCAATTTTGTTGATCTTTTCAAAAAACCAGCTCCTGGATTCATTGATTTTTTGAAGGGTTTTTTGTGTCTCTATCTCCTTCAGTTCTGCTCTGATCTTACTTATTTCTTGCCTTCTGCTAGCTTTTGAATGTGTTCGCTCTTGCTTCTCTAGTTCTTTTAATTGTGATGTTAGGGTGTCAATTTTGGATCTTTCCTGCTTTCTCTTGTGGGCATTTAGTGCTATAAATTTCCCCCTACACACTGCTTTAAATGTGTCCCAGAGATTCTGGTATGCTGTGTCTTTGTTCTCATTGGTTTCACAGAATATCTTTATTTCTGCCTTCATTTTGTTATGTACCCAGTAGTCATTCAGGAGCAGGTTGTTCAGTTTCCATGTAGTTGAGCAGTTTTGAGTTAGTTTCTTAATCCTGACTTCTAGTTTGATTGCACTGTGACCAGTCATCTTAAAGTAACAGAATGGATCCCAGGCTTCAATGGCTAACCTTGACTATAAATTAACTAAAAGTTTTGGTATATCTAAAAAAAGGAATTATCAATCAAAAAGGGACTGTGTCAACCATGGAAAAAAGAAAGTTGGTGATATTCATCCAAACAGTTTCCAACAGAGTAAGAGCTTTATATAATAAACCATACATAGTAGAACCCCATTGGTAAGATTATCTCTACAGAAAGGATAGATGAATCTGATGATTTTTAACTTTCACCATTAAGCATTCAATTTATCCAGCCTCCTTTGTTCTATCTCTATGCTCACTAAGCAATCTTCTGATTATTATTTATGTTGCCTATATTGATCCATCTACAGTGAGAGAACATATTGGTTGTGTGGGTGTACTTTGTTCTGCATAACTTTTTCATTATAAATTTAAAATAGGTTCTGATTTTACATCTTAGCTTCATGATCTTAGTTAATGTGAGTATACTCCTGAGAGACAAATCTGGTCTTGGCATATGTATCTGAAAGGGATCTCAGTTTCAAATAACAGAATCTATTCTAACTAATTTAAAAGGTAAAGGAATTTGTTCAGGGTTATTGGGTTGTTTACAGAATTTCTGCAAGGCCCAGAAAAGCCAGGTTTGAATGATATTAAGGCAGGAACATCAACCAAGAACAACTTCTAATGCCACCATAGCTCTATTTTAGGTAGAAACCCCACTACTACCACCACTCATTACTCAACACCTATGATACTAGGAACTGGGCCTGAGAAACTCTGTCAGGGCTGCCCTAAAAGAACAAATGCTTCTGCCACTAGATTGCAACAAGACCCTATCTCTCTAAACATGGCCACTCTCATACTGCTTACCTCATCCTTCCAAGTTTCACAGGTATGCATCTTTTTTGCAGAACCTAAGCCATATTCCCAAATGCAAGAAGAGTCTTGGAAATGTATCTTTTTATCTTTCCAACCTTTCTAAACATGGCCACTCTCATACTGCTTACCTCATCCTTACAAGTCTCACAGGTATGCATCTTTTTTGCAGAACCTGAGTCATAGTCCCAGATGCAAGAAGAGCCTTGGAAATGTATTTTTTATCTTTCCAACCTCTGTAGTATGGTCCCTCCCAAATATACTCCACTAGAAAGGAGCTGGAATAGGTCAAGTGAATCTTACCTTATTAAAACTATTATACTGCTTAAAACACTTTTAAAACTGTGTCATGTTTGACACCTCTTCCACCCACCCCTTTTTCTCTCAGTTCTACCATGCTTAAAAATAGGCTTTTAATATCAATTCTATTCTTCACTGAGATTGCTATAAAGATCTTGCCATTGATATATGTCAAAGTGTTCTGAAAAAGCATGAAACTATCTGAATGCGGCTGGCAGCCAAGATGGCCGAATAGGAACAGCGCCGGTCTACAGCTCCCAGCGTGAGCGACGCAGAAGACGGGTGATTTCTGCATTTCCATCTGAGGTACCGGGTTCATCTCACTAGGGCGTGCCAGACAGTGGGCACAGGACAGTGGGTGCAGTGCACTGTGCGCGAGCCAAAGCAGGGCAAGCATTGCCTCACTCGAGAAGCGCAAGGGGTCAGGGAGTTCCCTTTCCTGGTCAAAGAAAGGGGTGACAGATGGCACCTGGAAAATCGGGTCACTCCCACCCTAATACTGCGCTTTTCCAACGGGCTTAAAAAATGGCACGCCAGGAGATTATATCCCGCACATGGCTCGGAGGGTCCTACGCCCACGGAGTCTCGCTGATTGCTAGCACATCAGGCTGAGATCAAACTGCAAGGTGGCAGCGAGGCTGGGGGAGGGGTGCCCGCCATTGCCCAGGCTTGCTTAGGTAAACAAAGCAGCCGGGAAGCTCGAACTGGGTGGAGCCCACCACAGCTCAAGGAGGCCTGCCTGCCTCTGTAGGCTCCACCTCTGGGGGCAGGGCACAGACAAACAAAAAGACAGCAGTAACCTCTGCAGACTTAAATGTCCCTGTCTGACAGCTTTGAAGAGAGCAGTGCTTCTCCCAGCACGCAGCTGGAGATCTGAGAACAGGCAGACTGCCTCCTCAAGTGGGTCTCTGACTCCTCACCCCCGAGCAGCCTAACTGGGAGGCAACCCCCAGTAGGGGCAGACTGACACCTCACACGGCTGGGTACCCCTCTGAGACAAAACTTCCAGAAGAATGATCAGACAGTAGCATTCACGGTTCACGAAAATACGCTGTTCTGCAGCCACCGCTGCTGATACCCAGGCAAACAGGGTCTGGAGTGGACCTCTAGAAAACTCCAACAGACCTGCAGCTGAGGGTCCTGTCTGTTAGAAGGAAAAATAACAAACAGAAAGGACATCCACACCAAAAACCCATCTGTACATGACCATCATCAAAGACCAAAAGTAGATAAAACCACAAAGATGGGGAAAAAACAGAGCAGAAAAACTGGAAACTCTAAAAAGCACAGTGCCTCTCCTCCTCCAAAGGAACACAGCTCCTCACCAGCAACGGAACGAAGCTGGACGGAGAATGACTTTGACAAGTTGAGAGAAGGCTTCAGACGATCAAACTACTCCGAGCTACAGGAGGAAATTCAAATCAAAGGCAAAGAAGTTAAAAACTTTGAAAAAAATATAGACGAATGTACAACTAGAATAACCAATACAGAGAAGTGCTTAAAGGAGCTAATGGAGCTGAAAACCAAGGTTCGAGAATTACGTGAAGAATGCAGAAGCCTCAGGAGCCGATGCGATCAACTGGAAGAAAGGGTATCAGTGATAGAAGATGAAATGAATGAAATGAAGCGAGAAGGGAAGTTTAGAGAAAAAAGAATGAAAAGAAATGAACGAAGCCTCCAAGAAATAGGGGACTATGTGAAAAGACCAAATCTACGTCTGATTGGTGTACCTGAAAGTGATGGGGAGAATGGAACCAAGTTGGAAAACACTCTGCAGGATATTATCCAGGAGAACTTCCCCAATCTAGCAAGGCAGGCCAACATTCAGATTCAGGAAATACAGAGAACACCACAAAGATACTCCTCGAGAAGAGCAACTCCAAGACACATAATTGTTAGATTCACCAAAGTTGAAATGAAGGAAAAAACGGTAAGGGCAGCCAGAGAGAAAGGTCGGGTTACCCACAAAGGGAAGCCCAGCAGACTAACAGCGGATGTCTCGGCAGAAACTCTACAAACCAGAAGAGAGTGGGGGCCAATATTCAACATTCTTAAAGAAAAGAATTTTCAACCCAGAATTTCATATCCAGCCAAACTAAGCTTCATAAGTGAAGGAGAAATAAAATACTTTACAGACAAGCAAATGCTGAGAGATTTTGTCACCAACAGGCCTGCCCTAAAACAGCTCCTGAAGGAAGCACTAAACATGGAAAGGAACAACCGGTACCAGCTACTGCAAAAACATGCCAAATTCTAAACACCATCGAGGCTAGGAAGAAACTGCATCAACTAACGAGGAAAATAGGCAGCTAACATCATAATGACAGGATCAAATTCACACATAACAATATTAACTTTAAATGTAAATGGACTAAATGCTCCAATTAACAGATACAGACTGGCAAATTGGATAAAGATTCAAGACCCATCAGTGTGCTGTATTCAGGAAACCCATCTCTTGTGCAGAGACACACATAGGCTCAAAATAAAGGGATGGAGGAAGATCTACCAAGCAAATGGAAAACAAAAAAAGGCAGGGGTTGCAATCCTAGTCTCTAATAAAACAGACTTTAAATGAAAAAAGATCAAAAGAGACAAAGAAGGCCATTGCATAATGGTAAAGGGATCAATTCAACAAGAAGAGCTAACTATCCTAAATATATATGCACCAAATACAGGAGGCCACAGATTAATAAAGCAAGTCCTTAGAGACCTACAAAGAGACTTAGACTCCCACACAATAATAATGGGAGACTTAAACACCCCACTGTCAACATTAGACAGATCAACGAGACAGAAAGTTAACAAGGATATCCAGGAATTGAACTCAGCTCTGCATCAAGTGGACCTAATAGACATCTACAGAGCTCTCCACCCCAAATCAACAGAATATACATTCTTCTCAGCACCACATCGCACTTATTACAAAATTGACAACATAGTTGGAAGTAAAGCACTCCTCAGCAGATGTAAAAGAACAGAAATTATAACAAACTGTCTCTCAGACCACAGTGCAATCAAACTGGAACTCAGGATCAAGACACTCACTCAAAACTGCTCAGCTACATGGAAACTGAACAACCTGCTCCTGAATGACTACTGGGTACATGACAAAATGAAGGCAGAAATAAAGATGTCCTGTGAAACCAATGAGAACAAAGACACAACATACTAGAATCTCTGGGACACATTCAAAGCAGTGTGTAAGGGAAATTTACAGCAATAAAAGCCCACGAGAGAAAGCAGGAAAGACCTAAAATTGACACCCTAACATCACAATTAAAAGAACTAGAGAAGCAAGAGCAAACACATTCAAACGCTAGCAGAAAGCAAGAAATAACTAAGATCAGAGCAGAACTGAAGGAAATAGAGACACAAAAAACCCTGCAAAACAATCAATGAATCCAGGAGCTGGTTTTTTGAAAGGATCAACAAAATTGATAGACTGCTAGCAAGACTAAGAAAGACAAAAAGAGAGAAGAATCAAACAGATCCAATAAAAAATGATAAAGGGGATATCACCGCCAATGCCACAGAAATACAAACTACCATCAGAGAATACTATAAACACTTCTACACAAATAAACTAGAAAATCTCAAAGAAATGGATAAATTCCTGGACACATACACCCTCCCAAGACTAAACCACGAAGAAGTTGAATCTCTGAATAGACCAACAACAGGATCTGAAATTGTGGCAATAATCAATAGCTTACCAACCAAAAAGAGTCCAGGACCAGATGGATTCACAGCCAAATTCTACCAGAGGTACAAGGAGGAATTGGTACCATTCTTTCTGAAACTATTCCAATCAATAGAAAAAGAGGGAATCCTCCCTAACTCATTTTATGAGGTCAGCATCATCCTGATACCAGAGCCGGGCAGAGACACAACCATAAAAGAGAATTTTAGACCAATATCCTTGATGAACATTGATACAAAAATCCTCAGTAAAATACTGGCAAACTGAATCCAGCAGCACATCAAAAAGCTTATCCACCATGATCAAGTGGGCTTCATCGCTGGGATGCAAGGCTGGTTCAACATACACAAATCAATAAAGGTAATCCAGCATACAAACAGAACCAAAGACAAAACCACATGATTATCTTAATAGATGCAGAAAAGGCCTTTCACAAAATTCAACAACCCTTCATGCTAAAAACTCTCAATAAATTAAGTATTGATGGGACATATCTCAAAATAATAAGAGCTATCTATGACAAACCCACAGCCAATATCATACTGAATGGGCAAACACTGGAAGCATTCCCTTTGAAAACTGGCACAAGACAGGGATGCCCTCTCTCACCACTCCTATTCAACATAGTGTTGGAAGTTCTGGCCAGGGCAATCAGGCAGGAGAAGTAAATAAAGGGTATTCAATTAGGAAAAGAGGAAGTCAAACTGTCCCTATTTGCAGATAACGTGATAGTATATCTAGAAAACCCCATCATCTCAGCCCAAAATCTCCTTAAGCTGATAAGCAACTTCAACAAAGTCTCAGGATACAAAATCAATGTGCAAAAGTCACAAGCATTCTTATACACCAATAACAGACAAACAGAGAGCCAAATCATGAGTGAACTCCCATTCACAACTGCTTCAAAGAGAATAAAATACCTAGGAATCCAACTTACAAGGGATGTGAAGGATCTCTTCAAGGAGAACTACAAACTACTGCTCAATGAAATAAAAGAGGATACAAACAAATGGAAGAACATTCCATGCTCATGGGTAGGAAGAATCAATATCATGAAAATGGCCATACTGCCCAAGGTAATTTATAGATTCAATGCCATCCCCATCAAGCTACCAATGACTTTCTTCACAGAATTGGAAAAAACTACTTTAAAGTTCATATGGAACCAAAAAAGAGCCCGCATCGCCAAGACAATCCTAAGCCAAAAGAACAAAGCTGGAGGCATCACACTACCTGACTTCAAACTATACTACAAGGCTACAGTAACCAAAACAGCATGGTACTGGTACCAAAACAGAGATATCAACCAATGAAACAGAACAGAGCCCTCAGAAATAATACCACACACATCTACAACCAGCTGATCTTTGACAAACCTGAGAAAAACTAGAAATGAGGAAAGGATTCCCTATTTAATAAATGGTGCTGGGAAAACAGGCTAGCCATATGTAGAAAGCTAAAACTGAATCCCTTCCTTACACCTTATACAAAAATTAATTCAAGATGGATTAAAGATTTAAATGTCAGACCTAAAACCATAAGAGCCCTAGAAGAAAACCTAGGCATTACCATTCAGGACATAGGCACAGGCAAGGACTTCATGAGTTAAACACCAAGAGCAATGGCAACAAAAGCCTAAATTGACAAATGGGATCTAATTAAACTAAAGAGCTTCTGCACAGCAAAAGAAACTACCATCAGAGTGAACAGGCAACCTACAGAATGGGAGAAAATTTTTTCAATCTACCCATCTGACAAAGGGCTAATATCCAGAATCGATAAAGAACTTAAACAAATTTACAAGAAAAAATCAAACAACCCCATCAAAAAATGGGCAAAGGATATGAACAGACACTTCTCAAAAGAAGACATTTATGCAGCCAACAGACACATGAAAAAATGCTCATCATCACTGGCCATCAGAGAAATGCAAATCAAAACCACAATGAGATACCATCTCACACCAGTTAGAATGGCGATCATTAAAAAGTCAGGAAACAACAGGTGCTGGAGAGGATGTGGAGAAATAGGAACACTTTAACACTGTTGGTGGGACTGTAAACTAGTTCAACCATTGTCGAAGACAGTGTGGCGATTCCTTAAGGATCTAGAACTAGAAATACCATTTGACCCAGTGATCCCATTACTGGGTATATACCCAAAGGATCATAAATCATGCTTCTATAAAGACACATGCACACGTATGTTTATTGTGGCACTATTCACAATAGCAAAGACTTGAAACCAACCCAAATGTCCAACAATGATAGACTGGATTAAGAAAATGTGGCACATATAATCCATGGAATACTATGCAGTCATAAAAAAGGATGGGTTGATGTCCTTTGTAGGGACATGGATGGAGCTGGTAACCACCATTCTGAGCAAACTATCGCAAGGACAGAAAACCAAAGACCGCATGTTCTCACTCATAGGTGGGAATTGAACAACAAGAACACTTGGACACAGGGTGGGGAACATCACACACTGGGGCCTGTCATGGGGTGGGGGGAGGGGGGATGGATAGCACTGGGAGATATACCTAATGTGAATGATGAGTTAATCGGTGCAGCACACCAACATGGCACATGCATACATATGTAACAAACCTGCACGTTGTGCACATGTACCCTAGAACTTAAAGTATAACAACTGTATATATATGCATATATGTGTGTGTGTGTGTATATATATATATATATATATATATATATATATATATATATCACTATGATCAGGTGGGTTTTATATCGTGATGCAAGGATAGTTCAACATGGCCAATCAATAAAACCTGATACATTACATAAGCAGAATCAAGGGAAAGAAACATATGTTCATCTCCATAGATGCAGAAAAAGTATTTGAGAAAATACAGTATCCCATCATGATACAAACTCTCAACAAAGTGGGCATAGAAGGAATCTCCCTGAAAATAAGAAAGACCATATACGAGAAACCTACAGTTAACATCATACTGAATGGGAAAAAGTTGAAAGCATTTTCTCTAAGAACTGGAACAAGACAAGGATGCCCACTTTCGCCATTCCTATTCAGCATAGTACCAGAAGTCCTAGCCAGAGCAGTCAGGCAAGACGAAGAAATGTAAGGCATCCAAATTGGAAAAGAGAAAGTCAAATTATCCCTGTTTGCTGATGATATGATCTTATATTTAGAAAACCCTAAAGACTCCATACAAAAACTCTTAGATTTGATAAATGAATTCAGTAAAATTTCAGGATACAGAGTCAGTGTACAAAAATCAGTGGTGTTCTTATACACCAATAATGATCTATCTAGGAAAGAAATCAAGAAGTAAATCTTATTTACAATAGCTACAAAAAGATATGTAGAAATAAATTTAAACAAGGAGGTAAAAGATCTCTACAAGGAACACTAGAATTCACAGATAAGAAATTGTAGATGACACAAACAAATGGAAAAACATCCCATGCTCATGGATCAAAATAATTAGTATTGTTAAAATGAACATACTGCCCAAAGCAATCTACAAATTCAATGCAATCCTTATCAAAATACTAATATCATTTTTACAGGATTAGAAAAAACAATCCTAAAATTCATACAGAACCAAAAAACAGCCCAAATAGTCAAAGCAATCCTGAGCAAAAAGAACAGAATAGCTATTATTTTTTTTCCCACACAGTTCACTGATGTATAGAATGGCTATTATTAAAAGGACAAAAAATAACAGATGTTGGCGAGGATGTGGAGAAAAGAAAACCCTTATATTCTGTTGGTAGAAATATAAATTAGTACAGCCTCTATGGAAAACTGTATGGAGATTTCCCAAAGGACTAAAAATAGAACTACCATTGCATCCAGCCATCCACTACTGAATATCTACCCAAATGAAGCCAATATATAAAAAAGATACCTTCACTTGTATGTTTATTGCAGCACTATTTACAATAGCAAAGATATGCAATCAAACTCAGTGTCCATCAATAGATGAATGGATAAAGAAAATGCAGTATATATATATTATATATATATACACACACAAACACACACACACACATATGTGTGTGTGTATATATATATATATATATATATATATATACAAAACCTAGGCATTACCATTCAGGACATAGGCATAGGCAAGGACTTCATGTCTAAAACACCAAAAGCAATGGCAACAAAAGCCAAAATTGACAAATGGGATCTAATTAAACTAAAGAGCTTCTGCACAGCAAAAGAAACTACCATCAGAGTGAACAGGCAACCTACAGAATGGGAGAAAATTTTCGCAACCTACTCATCTGACAAAGGGCTGATATCCAGAATCTACAATGAACTCAAACAAATTTACAAGAAAAAAACAAACAACCCCATCAAAAAGTGGGCAAAGGACATGAACAGACACTTCTCAAAAGAAGACATTTATGCAGCCAAAAACACATGAAAAAATGCTCATCATCACTGGCCATCAGAGAAATGCAAATCAAAACCACAATGAGGTACCATCTCACACCAGTTAGAATGGCGATCATTAAAAAGTCAGGAAACAACAGGTGCTGGAGAGGATGTGGAGAAATAGGAACAATTTTACACTGTTGGTGGGACTGTAAACTAGTTCAACCATTGTGGAAGTCAGTGTGGCGATTCCTCAGGGATCTAGAACTACAAATACCATTTGACCCAGCCATCCCATTACTGGGTATATACCCAAAGGACTATAAATCATGCTGCTATAAAGACACATGCACATGTATGTTTATTGCGGCACTCTTCACAAGAGCAAAGACTTGGAACCAACCCAAATGTCCAACAATGATAGACTGGATTAAGAAAATGTGGCACATATACACCATGGAATACTATGCAGCCATAAAAAATGATGAGTTCATGCCCTTTGTAGGGACATGGATGAAATTGGAAATCGTCATTCTCAGTAAACTATCGCAAGGACAAAAAACCAAACACCACATGTTCTCACTCATAGGTGGGAACTGAACAATGAGAACACATGGACACAGAAAGGGGAACATCACACTCTGGGGACTGTTTTGGGGTGGGGGGAGGGGGGAGGGATAGCATTAGGAGATATACCTAATGCTAAATGACGAGTTAATGGGTGCAGCACACCAGCATGGCACATGTATATATATGTAACTAACCTGCATGTTGTGCACATGTACCCTAAAACTTAAAGCATAATAATAATAAAATAAAAAAAGAAACAGATGCAACAACTATATTTCCAATAAAACAAGACAATAAAAATAAGAAATGAGAAAATGGCAAAAAAAAAAAAGAATGAAATATGTCTTTTGCAGCAAATTGGATAGAACTGGGTATCATTATCATAAGTGAAACAAGCCAGGGACAAAAAGACAAATATTGCATGCTTTCATAAGTGGATGCTAAAAATTGTGTATAAATGAATGTAGAAAGTGGAATGATTGATAATGGAGACTTGGAAGGGTGAGAGGGTTAGAGCGGAGAGGATAGTGAGAAATTGGTTAATGCGTACAATGTACGTTACTTGGGTGATGAATACCTTGAAAGCCCTGACTTAACCACTATGTAATCTATGCAAGTAATAAAATTACAGGTGTACCCCATATATTTGTACAAAGAAAAATCTGTATCCTTTCATGTGAATTATCTGGAGCTTGAATGTGCAGTCTAATGTCTATAGCCTCGGTAGTTATGCCTACCAGAGGTAGCAATTCCAAACAGATACCACGGGCTTCATGTTCATGTATGTTTACTGGGAGAGGTCTTGCAAATTAATGGAAGCTTGCCACTGCTAAACTGCCTCCCATCTATTTTTAATTGTAGGCCTCCACCAAGGTCATCAAGAGTCAGTTGGAGGGCTAGGAAGATTAATGTGGAGCTTTCGAATCTATCAGAAGCTAACTATAGCTCTCCTTCCTAAATATGGGGTTATGGTATTTTGTATTAAAAGAAATGCTATGGTATTTAGTATATTAATGCAGGAGCCTCCCAGCTGCATGTTTGTAGAGCTTAGGCCTACAGTAGTTGACAACTTGCCCCACTTTGCATGGCTCATGAATATGTCTGGCAGGGTAGTGGATGTAGCCAGAAACTAGGGGACTTTCTCTCTCCCTTGTGAGTAGTAAACTTTGGGTTAAAAAATGTTCACATACCTCATGTGCATAACATATGTACTTGTGTATTTTTTCTATTTATCTCTCTTTCTACATTTTCATAGTTCTTCATCTCAATGTTTGCAAGACTCCAGGCTACAGACTGTTTTTTTTTTTGCAGTAGGAATTAGGAGTCAAGGCTTACCACCATCCATATTAGTCAGAGAAAACCATTACTTCCAGAAATGATTATTCTTGGAAAGTGGCATCCTGGAAGTGTACTTAATCTTCCTATCAGTATACTTAGGTACTTAAACAACAAATGGCATTATAGAATTTTCAATATTGAACATTTAAAATGTTACCTATCTTCTCCCTGATTGTTCCAGTATATATATATGTGTGTGTGTGTGTGTGTATAGTACAGTACATATTTCCTTGCACGCACACACACACATATATATATGCATATTTATATGCACACAGACACACACACATATATATATATGCAAGGAAATAAATTTTGTCCTAGGGAACTAGAGATTAGAAAAATTTTTACTGGTGTCCATTTTGGGTTACCTGTATTGAAAGAGCTTTTGAAACTCAGCTATATTGAATATTTATTTATAAAAGAAAATAGCAGTTCAATTTTTGTTAACGATTCCTAAGTAACGGGTCAGCTCCATCTACTTGTTCAACAATGTTGCAGTTAGGACTTAGGTGAAATGTTTGGTATTTACCACCAATTGCTCACAGCCTATATATGGTTTCAAAGGCAACAGCTGCTGCCCTCATTACTTCCATCTCTTACTATGTTGGTGTTGTGTGCATTTAACTGTTATTATAACTTAACAATGTCCTTAGATAAGCATTAAGACACAAATGCAATATTCTTTTCAACTTGGTATAGCATGCTTCAGGAGACGCAGTTCGTTCTTCATTTGAAAGAGAATGATGAACTCTTGTTCTAACACATTTTAACATGCATGCATTGTGTCCTGTAGCTGGCAGAAAGTTTATGGAAACATTTCCATTGAAGACTGATGAGATAATTAGCTACATTGCTTGTAAACTACTAATTGCTAAAAAAACGTTCAACATGGTATTCCATAATGTTCTCTTGAAAAATCTTCAGCAGACTTTTCTTTTAGTGCATTTGATATTTTCAGCAAACTCCTCAGTGTCAACCATTATGAGGTGTGCGGATGATTGGGAAGTACTTAATATGTGTGCATAGCCATTCCAATTTGAGTTACTTGATATGCTGGACATATAGACAAGCTGATTTAAGAAATAACAGTAATTCCAGTTTTTAAAGTATGAGAAATTCTGTAAGCTGTGTACCATTTACTTTGAAGTATAATTCAAAGGTGGGAGCAAAGATTTAATGCATGTTAACAGGTTGATTTGTAAGTAATGAGTCCTAGAAACTAAAATGTGGCCTGAAATCTCAGCTGGTAAAGAGTCTGAAATCAGAGGTGTGATTCTTATATTAGCCATGGCTCTGCTCTCCTTCACAGCTATAGCGATGGCACCACAGCGTAGCCATTTCATAAATGTGTGCAAAGGTAACAGAGTGACCTAAAGTTTATGTTCACAGAAGATGGGTCTGAAAATTATTGTTGTGTTGCACATTCTAGCATTAAAGAGTGCATTAAGCTATTGCAGTTGCTCAGGGGGAGGAATAAAAATCTTAAGAATTTCTGTCCTTGACTGTTTCTTCTCATCCCTTTCTTAAGTTTCAAAAGAAGTGGTGTTCCTTTTTGCTCTTTAAAACTAATCTTTCCAATCATTATCTGGATCTTAGCTCATCCCTTCTCTTCTCTTCTCGAGAGACTTTTATTCTACAATTACCTTTTTTTCTGTAGCATGTTCATTTACCTTCCTTTTCATTAGTTCTTTCTTCACACATATTAGCTTGCCCCTGCTTTACAACTGGCAAATATTCAATAACAATTCCACTTTCTTTTAGTCTACTCTTTTCTTAAACTCCTAATCCTGTTTTACCTGACCTGTTCTGCTTGGTGTATTTGTTGTTTAATCCAATTACTTTTGAACAATTTTAATTCTCTTCAACTCCTGTGCTGCATTCGACATTTATTTACTCATCCTGAAACTTTCCGCCTTTCTTTTAGAATATTATATATGAAATTCTTCTATTACTTCCCCACATCGTCTTTCTCTTTCCTCATTGACTTCTTCCTCTTGTCTCTTTTTTTAGTGTTAGTCTTGGTCCTCTCTGTCACTTCTTGTTTCCTTTCCTGGGAGAGCTTCTTCATTCTCATGATTTGAATTACAGTTGCTATATTGACAACTTTTAGTTCTCATGTAAAGTTCCACTGCCAAATTCTGAGTGCTTCTCAATAATTTTTCTACATTAATACATAGATAATCATACTCATCTCACTCCCACAAATAATGGCCACTCTTGGGAATGTTTGATGTTCAACATACTAGTTGAAACTGTTCATTTCTTCCCCAGTGAGTAGTGACACATACTGTGGACAACATTACTGCTGTAACCTTTTACTAGGTGGTTCCACCTGGCTGTTTTGGTATTACATACTCACCATGTATAAACTGAACTCAGCATCTTCTTCACAAGGTCTTTACAAACTTTGCTATCTCTAGTGTCATCTGACTTGAACTCTCAGCATATTTGACATAGTTGATTATTTTCTCTTTTTGAAATACTGTTTCCTTGACTAATGGAGCACTGCCAGTCCTGGTTTCTTTTTCACATCTTTGGTAATTTCTTTTCAATCTCCTTTTTGGTTCATCATTTTCATACTGGCCATCCAGTGCTGGAACTCCTCAAAGCTGGTTCATTATGTGGGATAGATGGAAAGTGAAGTTGGAAATAAACTTGGAATGATAAATTTGGAATAAACCTTGGAGATCCTTCAATGGCAAGATAAGGATGCTGGGGCATCCTTACAAAATTTTTTAGTCAAACAGTAACAGGACTAAGTCTATGTTTTAGGAAGATTTATCTGGCATTAATATGTGGAAGATAGGTTACATCTCCACAGTGCCTCTCTAATATTAATGATGATAATAATAACTACAATAATACTGATTTGTATTTATGTGTCTTGATGAGATAATGCACATAAGGCAAATAAGGAGACTCAAATCTAGAAAGAAAAAATGATTTGCCTAGAGCTACCTGGTTAGTTATTCACAGAGTTGGGATTGCCTTTCAAGTTTATACTAAAGAAATATTTGTTGACTGTTTGATAATTGTGTATCTCCATTTCCCTTTATTTTTTCTGTCATTTAATATATGTTACTCTGGTCACTCTAAGTATCTTTGAAATTGCTTGAGAATAATTCTCTAGTACAGCCTCAAACTGTGATCCTTGGAAAACAAGTGTTTCTAGAAATGTTAAGAACTCTTCTGTAAGAAAAACATTAAGTAAATTCATAAAACTCAATTAAAAATTCTAAGCATGGGTTCATTACTAGATAACTTCTCAGTCAACATTCTTAAAATGCTGAATTGTATTGCAAATCTCTGCGAGTAGATTATAATAGACTATAGTTTATACAGGCTGGGTGCCCAAGTAGCAGAACCTAAGATGGAGGTTCTTGTGCAACTGATTTACTGGAGTCCCGTCAAGTGAAATCTACGAGGGGGTGAGGGAAGCAGGAGAGGGCAGAGAAGAAGCTGAGAGAAGTTGAACTAAAGCTTGGACTGTACGGGATGGCAAACATTGACTGCATGTGGCCGCTGAGCACTTGAAATGTGCAGAGTGTGACTGAGGATCTGAATTTCTAATTTTATCTAATTGTAACTTAAATTTTAAAAACCAATACTTCATTCAGCTATTGAAAAACTTTAAATTATGAGTATGTGAATCATCTTTTTCAACTATAAGTTTTTATGACATCTAAATACAGATCAAGTATTTCTGATGAAAATTTAGTATCTGAATTCAGATGTTTTATAAGGGTAAAATACATAATGGATTTCAAATACTTTGTATGGGAAAATGTAAACTGTCAATAATCTTTTTATATTGATTGCATGTTGAAATGATATATTTTAGATATGTTGGATTAATCAAAATACAGTTTTAAAACCAATTTTACCTTTTTTTACATTTTAAATATTTGATTTTTTTCTATTTACTTAAATTTTTTTTGTAAATGCTAATAATTTTTAAAATATGACTACCAAAATATTTAAAATCACATATGAGGCTCACATTAGCTTTTCTACTGGAAAGTGCTGAGCTAAAGTATAGCTCTAACTGATCCCATAGGAGGTCTGGAGAGTGAATCGCACCAGAATGATCTCCCCTTAAGGCAACAGGTCAGTCTTTTGTGTCCCAGGGTCAGCCAGTCATTGGTTGATCCTTTATCCCCTCGAAGCATAACTTCCAGGCCTAATGCAGTTTGGAATTTTCGAGAGATTCTTTCATAAACTTTACCACCAGCCTGTTGTGTGCTATATTGGATTTGATGAGACCACCATACAATCAGTAAGTCTCAAAGGATGGAAATCACCAAACTCCATTGATTTTCTATGTAATATTTTATTTCCTAAGATGTCTGCCTTTCTCAGGCAGTTAAGCATGAAACTCACTACACAGAAATAGCAACATTTAGCATATCTGTTCTGATGCTTGTTTCTGAGTTACCTAAGTGCTAAACAACTATCAATAATTTTGATTTCTCTTGAGAAAGACTTCTAGATTAGGTGCCCCAAGGAGAATTTTATGATCGAAAGCTATGTTGGGCCCCAGTAGCTCATGCCTGTAATGCCAGTACTTTGGGAGGCCAAGGTAGATGAATCACTTGAGTCCAGGAGTTCAAGACCAGCTTGGGCAACATGGCAAAACCTTGTTTCTACAAAAAGTATAAAAAGTTAGCTTGGCATGGTGGTGCACACCTACAGTCCCAGCTACTCAGGAGGCTGAGGTGGGAGGATCACTTGAGCCTGAGAGGTTGAGGCTGCAGTGAGCCGTGATTGTACCACTGTGCTCCAGTCTGGGTGACAGAGTGAGACCCTGTGTCAAAAATAAAAGTAAAAAAATAAATAGAATAAAAGCTATGCTGCTCTCCTACGCCTTTTAGATCGATGTGATTATCATGACATCATTACGAATTGGTGTATAGACAATGATGGGATTAGGATACAGTCAATTCATTGGCATTCAAAGAAATGGGAAAAGCCCAGTGTCCCTACGACCAACCCCCAAAAAAAATTTCCTCAAAACCAGAGATAAAATTTGCTTCCTCTTTCAGTTTGCAAGCATGCAGCCTGGACAGAAAAGGAAGCAAGTGCAAAACTTGCTTGGAGAAGGGTGACTGATAAGTCTTGAGGTACATGGAAGAGACAACATTCCATAGCTTATGTTTTCTTTTTTCACCCCCTTGAAATCAGACTATGAGACAGAGAACAGGTGCCATCTCCCTATCTTATGTGAACTGACAGGATTGAACACATATTCCCGGGAATATCTCAGCACTCCTAAAAAATAATTTCAGAAACATTTGTAAAAGCTGAAAAGAAGAATAAAACACTGGCATATGAGATGAAGACAGAAGGTTAGATAGACTACAGAAAATCAAGTATTATATTAGATAAGAAAGTTGAAAGTCAAGTCCTTCCCTTTCCTTCCCTTCCCTTCCTCTCTCCCTCCCTCCCTTCCTCCCTCCTTCCCTCTCTCCTTCCCTCCCTCTATCCTTCCCTTCCCTCAACACTTAATACATTATCACAATTAAAAATATATTGTACTATGTATCAAATGCTGATAATCTCATTAAAAATAAGTTCTGATTACTGACTTCAAGGAACTTCAGTATAACTTAGTTTTAGGAAAGTAAATGAGAATAATTATAGCAGATGAAAATGTTCAAGATGTTATAGTACCTTTAAATATAAAAGTGTTAAGAGAGTACATGTGGAATGGTAAGAATGAAGAAGGCTAATTGATAATTTTCCAGGAGTTGAAGTTCAGTTCAGATCTATAAAAATTTTAGATCAAAATATGCATATCATAAAACATTAAACAGAGCAGAAGAGCTTATGATGAAAAGCAATAATCTTTTGCCCTGCTCCTTGCTACTTTCAATCCAACACCCTAGGAAAAACCTCCTTTGCTTCCAGTCCCACAATCTGGAGGAAGCAGGTTTGATTTTAGATCTTCTGGTGCTTACTTCATAACTTTAAGTCGTATGCTTATATCTCTTTTCTTTGATTGATTTATTTAAGGAATTATCTATTTACTCCCTACAATGAAATATGAAAGTTTTGTTCCCCTACCTCTGTGTCCTTACCCTTTCTTCCTTCCAATGTTTGATAATTTGAATTATTTTTTGTTTTATTATTATCCCTCTGTTTTGTATTCTATCATTTTTAATTAGTGTCCTGACCACTCTTTGTGTATAGTAAGACTAACAGCATCCATTCCACTTCCTCCCCCTTTACTTCTGCATTCCACCTTTCCCTTCTGTTTTCTGTCACTTCAAATTGTATTCTTACATTGACAAGGTTGTTAACTTTTTTTTTTTTTTTTTTTTTGAGACGGAGTCTCCCACTGTCGCCCAGGCTGGAGTGCAGTGGTGCGATCTCTGCTCACCACAACCTCTGCCTCCTGGGTTCAAGCTATTCTCGTGCCTCAGCCTTCTGACAAGCTGGGACTACAGGCACCCACCGCCATGCCCGGCCAATTTTTGTATTTTTAGTAGAGATGGGGTTTCACCATGTTGGCCAGGCTGGTCTCGAACTCCTGACCTCAGGTGATCCACCTGCCTCGGCCTCCCAAAGTGTTGGGATTACAGGCATGAGCCACCAAGCCTGACCAAGGTTGTTAACATTTTAATTCTGATATGCAACCATAATGAAGTCATCTGCATTTGTTCGTTAGCTAATAGTAAAAGTTGAAAATCACAGTGCACCATTAATGTTACTGTGACTCTATACATTTTATTTAGTACAGGGTGATGTAGGATACTGAAATCATATCTTCTTCTCCAAGGACCCAATGTCACAACCCCTGGGCCACTCAGAGGGGAATGATTTATGATGAAGGTCAAATAGATTCTCTTTTCTATTGCTTAAAGTTGTGCTACACTGATCTAGTTTATGTTTGGGTTATGCGTTTCCTATATATATTTTTTGTTTTCTCTGGAGGTTCTGAATCTTGATCATAGCCTAAATTTGGTCTCTCTTTCAATCATAATAACTATTTTGTGAAGTCTTCTTCTTTTTTTCCCCCATAGAGATATTTCTTCTGAAACCGTATGTCGTCCTTTCAATTGTGTGTTTTGAGACATCTCTGGATTAGGCACACCATTTTATTTATCCTATGTCTTTCTGTTTCTGGCATTTTCCCTCTTTCTTGCCATAAAACAGCTTTTCTCTGGGGCCATACTCCCCAGATAATTTCCTCAAATTATGTTGTGAAAAAAAGCCCTCATTTTATGACTTGGGGTTAAGCGTTGAGCTGTTGGCAAACAGTAATAGAGAAAGTGACAGGGAGCACAGCATTTCACATATAGGAATTCAAGTGATCACCTCAGTTTTCAGACCCACTGCTCATTTCTGCCTTGTATCATACTTGCCTACTCCAAGCCAGAGATTCTTTGGATTCTAGTGGGCAGAGTGACTCTGACATCCTCTGCAGACTCCTCATATCATATTCTAAACTGTAGCTTTCTCTTCTTGTTTTCATCTGTCAACACCCTTCTGTTAGCTTTCCTTCTTCAGAAGGCTCTCAGCTACTGTTGGCTCCCCTTAACAATCTTGTTATGGTTGTATTCCTTTGCTGTAGTTTCTCTATTTCTGTCTCTGTGAAGTCTGGAGAAAGACTTGATTAAAAGAGCTCGGGGTGCCATTTTGAAAAGGACTGATACACCCAGTGGACCTCCTAGTCAAGGGAATGGTCTGAGCAAAGATAGATTAGTAGAGTTAAAAGGATTATGGTAAATAGTTCACCTGAAACAGAGAATGAATCAAGTGAAAGTAAACACTTTAGGACTTGCTGATTCAAAGTTGAACCCACCCTTAGACAGAAAAGATTGCATTGATATGTGAGGAATCAGGGAGCAACCTTAAGTTCTTAAGCAGCCAAGTGTTATTATACATAGACTTTAGCAGGCTGGGCTTAGTTATTTAAAAGCATGAAGCTTCTGAAGGCCATTTCCTGGGCAGGTTTCTGTAAAAAGTAAACAGTTGTTTACTTTTACATTTCAGGTTTAATTTTAAGCCTTGACCTTGAGAGTCATTTGACCTAAGTAAATAGATGAATTATCTGAAGTATCTGGGAATTTATTTAACTACTTTAAATGGCCACATACAAATATAATGAGAGGAGGCATTATTGTATAGTTGTTAATAGTTTTCCTTACCCCCTCTACTATAATTGTTGTATAAAATCTAAAGTTTTTAGTTCCATGAGTGGTACACGGTAAGCTTTCAAAAATTAGTAATTATAAGAGTGTTCTCTTGCATTCAGATAGTTTCTTTATTTTATTTTATTTTATTATTATTATACTTTAAATTTTAGGGTACATGTGCACAATGTGCAAGTTAGTTACATATGTATACATGTGCCATGCTGGTGTGCTGCACCCATTAACTTGTCATTTAGCATTAGGTATATCTCCTAATGCTATCCCTCCCCCCTCCCCCCACCCCACAACAGTCCCCAGAGTGTGATGTTCCCCTTCCTGTGTCCATGTGTTCTCATTGTTCAATTCCCACCTATGAGTGAGAACATGCGGTGTTTGGTTTTTTGTCCTTGCAATAGTTTGCTGAGAATGATAGTTTCCAGCATCATCGATGTCCCTGCAAAGGACATGAACTCATCTTTCTTATGGTGTCATAGTATTCCATGGTGTATATGTGCCACATTTTCTTAATCCAGTCTATCATTGTTGGACATTTGGGTTGGTTCCAAGTCTTTGCTCTTGTGAAGAGTGCCACAATAAACATACGTGTGCATGTGTCTTTATAGCAGCATGATTTATAGTCCTTTGGGTATATACCCAGTAATGGGATGGCTGGGTCAAATGGTATTTGTAGTTCTAGATCCCTGAGGAATCGCCACACTGACTTCCACAATGGTTGAACTAGTTTACAGTCCCACCAACAGTGTAAAATTGTTCCTATTTCTCCACATCCTCTCCAGCACCTGTTGTTTCCTGACTTTTTAATGATCGCCATTCTAACTGGTGTGAGATGGTATCTCATTGTGGTTTTGATTTGCATTTCTCTGATGGCCAGTGTTTTGGCTGCATAAATGTCTTCTTTTGAGAAGTGTCTGTTCATGTCCTTTGCCCACTTTTTGATGGGGTTGTTTGTTTTTTTCTTGTAAATTTGAGTTCCTTGTAGATTCTGGATATTAGCCTTTTGTCAGATGAGTAGGTTGTGAAAATTTTCTCCCATTTTGTAGGTTGCCTGTTCACTCTGATGGTAGTTTCTTTTGCTGTGCAGAAGCTCTTTAGTTTAATTAGATCCCATTTGTCAATTTTGGCTTTTGTTGCCATTGCTTTTGGTGTTTTAGACGTGAAACACCCATGCCTATGTCCTGAATGGTAATGCCTAGGTTTTGTATATATATGTATGTGTATATATATACACACATATGTGTGTGTGTGTATGTGTATATATATACACACATATGTGTGTGTGTGTGTGTGTGTATATATACTACATTTTCTTTATCCATTCATCTATTGATGGACACTGAGGTTGATTGCATATCTTTGCTATTGTAAATAGTGCTGCAATAAACATACAAGTGAAGGTATCTTTTTTATATATTGGCTTCATTTGGGTAGATATTCAGTAGTGGATGGCTGGATGCAATGGTAGTTCTATTTTTAGTCCTTTGGGAAATCTCCATACAGTTTTCCATAGAGGCTGTACTAATTTATATTTCTACCAACAGAATATAAGAGTTTTCTTTTCTCCACATCCTCGCCAACATCTGTTATTTTTTGTCCTTTTAATAATAGCCATTCTATACATCAGTGAACTGTGTGGGAAAAAAAATAATAGCTATTCTGTTCTTTTTGCTCAGGATTGCTTTGACTATTTGGGCTGTTTTTTGGTTCTGTATGAATTTTAGGATTGTTTTTTCTAATCCTGTAAAAATGATATTAGTATTTTGATAAGGATTGCATTGAATTTGTAGATTGCTTTGGGCAGTATGTTCATTTTAACAATACTAATTATTTTGATCCATGAGCATGGGATGTTTTTCCATTTGTTTGTGTCATCTACAATTTCTTATCTGTGAATTCTAGTGTTCCTTGTAGAGATCTTTTACCTCCTTGTTTAAATTTATTTCTACATATCTTTTTGTAGCTATTGTAAATAAGATTTACTTCTTGATTTCTTTCTTAGATAGATCATTATTGGTGTATAAGAACACCACTGATTTTTGTACACTGACTCTGTATCCTGAAATTTTACTGAATTCATTTATCAAATCTAAGAGTTTTTGTATGGAGTCTTTAGGGTTTTCTAAATATAAGATCATATCATCAGCAAACAGGGATAATTTGACTTTCTCTTTTCCAATTTGGATGCCTTACATTTCTTCGTCTTGCCTGACTGCTCTGGCTAGGACTTCTGGTACTATGCTGAATAGGAATGGCGAAAGTGGGCATCCTTGTCTTGTTCCAGTTCTTAGAGAAAATGCTTTCAACTTTTTCCCATTCAGTATGATGTTAACTGTAGGTTTCTCGTATATGGTCTTTCTTATTTTCAGGGAGATTCCTTCTATGCCCACTTTGTTGAGAGTTTGTATCATGATGGGATACTGCATTTTCTCAAATACTTTTTCTGCATCTATGGAGATGAACATATGTTTCTTTCCCTTGATTCTGCTTATGTAATGTATCAGGTTTTATTGATTGGCCATGTTGAACTATCCTTGCATCACGATATAAAACCCACCTGATCATAGTGATATATATATATATATATATATATATATATATATATACACACACACACATATATGCATATATATACAGTTGTTATACTTTAAGTTCTAGGGTACATGTGCACAACGTGCAGGTTTGTTACATATGTATGCATGTGCCATGTTGGTGTGCTGCACCGATTAACTCATCATTCACATTAGGTATATCTCCCAGTGCTATCCATCCCCCCTCCCCCCACCCCATAACAGGCCCCAGTGTGTGATGTTCCCCACCCTGTGTCCAAGTGTTCTCGTTGTTCAATTCCCACCTATGAGTGAGAACATGCGGTCTTTGGTTTTCTGTCCTTGCGATAGTTTGCTCAGAATGATGGTTACCAGCTTCATCCATGTCCCTACAAAGGACATCAACCCATCCTTTTTTATGGCTGCATACTATTCCATGGGGTATATGTGCCACATTTTCTTAATCCAGTCTATCATTGTTGGACATTTGGGTTGGTTTCAAGTCTTTGCTATTGTGAATAGTGCCACAATAAACATACGTGTGCATGTGTCTTTATAGAAGCATGATTTATGATCCTTTGGGTATATACCCAGTAATGGGGTCACTGGGTCAAATGGTATTTCTAGTTCTAGATCCTTGAGGAATCGCCACACTGTCTTCGACAATGGTTGAACTAGTTTACAGTCCCACCAACAGTGTAAAAGTGTTCCTATTTCTCCACATCCTCTCCAGCACCTGTTGTTTCCTGACTTTTTAATGATCACCATTCTAACTGGTGTGAGATGGTATCTCATTGTGGTTTTGATTTGCATTTCTCTGATGGCCAGTGATGATGAGCATTTTTTCATGTGTCTGTTGGCTGCATAAATGTCTTCTTTTGAGAAGTGTCTGTTCATATCCTTCGCCCATTTTTTGATGGGGTTGTTTGATTTTTTCTTGTAAATTTGTTTAAGTTCTTTATCGATTCTGGATATTAGCCCTTTGTCAGATGGGTAGATTGAAAAAATTTTCTCCCATTCTGTAGGTTGCCTGTTCACTCTGATGGTAGTTTCTTCTGCTGTGCGGAAGCTCTTTAGTTTAATTAGATCCCATTTGTCAATTTAGGCTTTTGTTGCCATTGCTTTTGGTTTTTAACTCATGAAGTCCTTGCCTGTGCCTATGTCCTGAATGGTACTGCCTAGGTTTTCTTCTAGGGCTCTTATGGTTTTAGGTCTGACATTTAAATCTTTAATCCATTCTTGAATTAATTTTTGTATAAGGTGTAAGGAAGGGATTCAGTTTTAACTTTCTACATATGGCTAGCAAGTTTTCCCAGCACCATTTATTAAATAAGGAATCCTTTCCTCCTTTCTTGTTTTTGTCAGGTTTGTCAAAGATCAGATGGTTGTAGATGTGTGTGGTATTATTTCTGAGGGCTCTGTTCTGTTTCATTGGTTGATATCCCTGTTTTGGTACCAGTACCATGCTGTTTTGGTTACTGTAGCCTTGTAATATAGTTTGAAGTCAGGTAGCATGATGCCTCCAGCTTTGTTCTTTTGGCTTAGGATTGTCTTGGCGATGCGGGCTCTTTTTTGGTTCCATATGAACTTTAAAGTAGTTTTTTCCAATTCTGTGAAGAAAGTCATTGGTAGCTTGATGGGGATGGCATTGAATCTATAAATTACCTTGGGCAGTATGGCCATTTTCATGATATTGATTCTTCCTACCCATGAGCATGGAATGTTCTTCCATTTGTTTGTGTCCTCTTTTATTTCATTGAGCAGTGGTTTGTAGTTCTCCTTGAAGAGATCCTTCACATCCCTTGTAAGTTGGATTCCTAGGTATTTTATTCTCTTTGAAGCAATTGTGAATGGGAGTTCACTCATGATTTGGCTCTCTGTTTGTCTGTTATTGGTGTATAGGAATGCTTGTGATTTTTGCACATTGATTTTGTATCCTGAGACTTTGCTGAAGTTGCTTATCAGCTTAAGGAGATTTTGGGCTGAGACAATGGGGTTTTCTAGATATACAATCATGTCATCTGCAAACAGAGACAATTTGACTTCCTCTTTTCCTAATTGAATACCCTTTATTTCCTTCTCTTGCCTGATTGCCCTGGCCAGAACTTCCAACACTATGTTGAATAGGAGTGGTGAGAGAGGGTATCCCTGTCTTGTGCTCGTTTTCAAAGGGAATGCTTCCGGTTTTCGCCCATTCAGTATGATATTGGCTGTAGGTTTCTCATAAATAGCTATTATTATTTTGAGATATGTCCCATCAACACCTAGTTTATTGAGAGTTTTTAGCATGAAGGGCTGTTGAATTTTGTGAAAGGCCTTTTCTGCATCTATTGAGATAATAATGTGGTTTTTGTCTTTGGTTCTGTTTATATGATGGATTACATTTATTGATTTGTGTATGTTGAACCAGCCTTGAATCCCAGGGATGAAGCCAACTTCATCACGGTGGATAAGCTTTTTGATGTGCTGCTGGATTTGTTTCACCCTTATTTTATTGAGGATCTTTGCATTGATGTTCATCAGGGATATTGGCCTAAAATTCTCTTTGTTTGTTGTGTCTCTTCCAGGCTTTGGTATCAGGATGATGCTGGCCTCATAAAATGAGTTAGGGAGGATTCCCTCTTTTTCTATTGATTGGAATAGTTTCAGAAGGAATGGTACCAGCTCCTCCTCATACCTCTGGTAGAATTCGGCTGTGAATCTGCCTGGTCCTGGACTTTTTTTGTTTGGTAGGCTCTTAATTATTGCCTCAATTTCAGAGCCTGTTATTGGTCTATTCAGGGATTCAACTTCTTCCTGGTTTAGTCTTGGGAAGGTGTATGTGTCCAGGAATTTATCCATTTCTTTGAGATTTTCTAGTTTTTTTGTGTAGAAGTGTTTATAGTATTCTCTGATGGTAGTTTGTATTTCTGTGGTATCAATGATGATATCCCCTTTATCATTTTTTATGCATCTATTTGATTCTTCTCTCTTTTCTTCTTTATTTGTCTTGATAGCGGTCTATCAATTTTGTTGATCCTTTCAAAAAACCAGCTCCTGGATTCATTGATTGTTTTGCAGGGTTTTTTGTGTCTCTATTTCCTTCAGTTCTGCTCTGATCTTAGTTATTTCTTGCTTTCTGCTAGCGTTTGAATGTGTTTGCTCTTGCTTCTCTAGTTCTTTTAATTGTGATGTTAGGGTGTCAATTTTAGGTCTTTCCTGCTTTCTCTCGTGGGCTTTTATTGCTGTAAATTTCCCTTACACACTGCTTTGAATGTGTCCCAGAGATTCTAGTATGTTGTGTCTTTGTTCTCATTGGTTTCACAGGACATCTTTATTTCTGCCTTCATTTTGTCATGTACCCAGTAGTCATTCAGGAGCAGGTTGTTCAGTTTCCATGTAGCTGAGCAGTTTTGAGTGAGTGTCTTGATCCTGAGTTCCAGTTTGATTGCACTGTGGTCTGAGAGACAGTTTGTTATAATTTCTGTTCTTTTACATCTGCTGAGGAGTGCTTTACTTCCAACTATGTTGTCAATTTTGTAATAAGTGCGATGTGGTGCTGAGAAGAATGTATATTCTGTTGGTTTGGGGTGGAGAGCTCTGTAGATGTCTATTAGGTCCACTTGATGCAGAGCTGAGTTCAATTCCTGGATATCCTTGTTAACTTTCTGTCTCGTTGATCTGTCTAATGTTGACAGTGGGGTGTTTAAGTCTCCCATTATTATTGTGTGGGAGTCTAAGTCTCTTTGTAGGTCTCTAAGGACTTGCTTTATTAATCTGTGGCCTCCTGTATTTGGTGCATGTATATTTAGGATAGTTAGCTCTTCTTGTTGAATTGATCCCTTTACCATTATACAATGGCCTTCTTTGTCTCTTTTGATCTTTTTTCATTTAAAGTCTGTTTTATTAGAGACTAGGATTGCAACCCCTGCCTTTTTTTGTTTTCCATTTGCTTGGTAGATCTTCCTCCATCCCTTTATTTTGAGCCTATGTGTGTCTCTGCACAAGAGATGGGTTTCCTGAATACAGCACACTGATGGGTCTTGACTCTTTACCCAATTTGCCAGTCTGTGTCTTGTAATTGGAGTATTCAGACCATTTACATTTAAGGTTAATATTGTTATGTGTGAATTTGATCCTGCCATTATGATGTTAGCTAGTTATTTTGCTCATTAGTTGATGCAGTTTCTTCCTAGCATCGATGGTCTTTACAATTGGCATGGTTTTGCAGTGGCTGGTACCGGTTGTTCCTTTCCATGTTTAGTGCTTCCTTCAGGAGCTCTTTTAGGGCAGGCCTGCTGGTGACAAAATCTCTCAGCATTTGCTTGTCTGTAAAATATTTTATTTCTCCTTCACTTATGAAGCTTAGTTTGGCTGGATATGAAATTCTGGATTGAAAATTCTTTTCTTTAAGAATGTTGAATATTGGTCCCCACTCTCTTCTGGCTTGTAGAGTTTCTGCTGAGAGATCCACTGTTTGTCTGATGGGCTTCCCTTTGTGGGTAACCTGATCTTTCTCTCTGGCTGCCCTTAACATTTTTTCCTTCATTTCAATTTTGGTGAATCTGACAATTATATGTCTTGTAGTTGCTCTTGTTGAGTAGTATCTTTGTGGTGTTCTCTGTATTTCCTGAATTTGAATGTTGGCCTGCCTTGCTAGGTTGTGGAAGTTCTCCTGGATAATATCCTGAGGAGTGTTTTCCAACTTGGTTCCATTCTCCCCGTCACTTTCAGGTACACCAATCAGACGTAGATGTGGTCTTTTCACATAGTCCCCTATTTCTTGGAGGCTTTGTTCATTTCTTTTCACTCTTTTTTCTCTAAACTTCTCTTCTCGCTTCGTTTAATTCATTTGATCTTCAATCGCTGATACCCTTTCTTCCACTTGATTGAATCGGCTACTGAAGCTTGTGCATTCGTCACGTAGTTCTCGTGCCATGGTTTTCAGCTCTATCAGGTCATTTAAGGTCTTCTCTATGCTGCTTATTCTAGTTGGCCATTTGTCTAATCTTTTTTCAAGGTTTTTAGCTACTTTGTGATGGGTTTGAACATCCTCCTTTAGCTTGGAGAAGTTTGTTATTCCTGATCATCTGAAGCCTTTTTCTCTCAATTCATCAAAGTCATTCTCCATCCAGCTTTGTTCCGTTGCTGGCAAGGAGCTGCATTCCTTTGGAGGAAAAGAGGTGCTCTGATTTTTAGAATTTTCAGCTTTTCTGCTCTGGTTTCTTCCCATCTTTGTGGTTTTATCTACCTTTGGTCTTTGATGATGGTGACGTACAGATGGGGTTTTGGTGTGGATGTCCTTTCTGTTTGTTAGTTTTCCTTCTAACAGTCAGGACCCTCAGGTGCAGGTCTGTTGGACTTTGCTGGAGGTCCACTCCAGACCCTGTTTGCCTGAGTATCAACAGTGGAGGCTACAGAGCAGCAAATATGGCAGAACGGCAAATGTTGCTGCCTGATCCTTCTTCTGGAAGCTTCATCTCAGAGGGTCACCCAGCTGTATGAGGTTTCAGTCAGACCCTCCTGGGAGGTGTCTCCCAGTTAGGCTACTCGCGGGTCATGGACCCACTTGAGGAGGCAGTCTGTCCATTCTCAGATCTCAAACTCTGTGCTGGGAGAACCACTACTCTCTTCAAAGCTGTCAGACAGGGACATTTAAGTCTGCAGAAGTTTCTGCTGCCTTTTGTTCAGCTATGCCCTGCCCCCAGAGGTGGAGTCTACAGAGGCAGGCAGGCCTCCTTGAGCTGCAGTGGGCTTCACCCAGTTCAAGTTTCCTAGCCACTTTGTTTACCTATTCAAGCCTCAGCAATGGCAGATGTCCCTCCCTGAGCCTCACTGTCACCTTGCAGTTCCATCTCAAACTGTGTGCTAGCAATGAGCGAGGCTCCATGGGCATGGGACCCTGTGAGCCATGTGCGGGATATAATCTCCTGGTGTGCCGTTTGCTAAGACCATTGGAAAAGCACAGTATTTGGGTGGGCGTGTCCTGATTTTCCAGGTACCGTCTGTCACGGCTTTCCTTGGCTAAGAAAGTGAATTCCCCAAGCCCTTGCACTTCCTGGGTTAGGCGATGCCCCGCCCTGCTTCAGCTCACACTCCATGGGCTGCACCCACTGTCCAACAAGCCCCAGTGAGACGAACCTGGTACCTCAGTTGGAAATGCAGAAATCACCCATCTTCTGCGTCACTCATGCTGGGAGCTGTAGACTGGAGCTGTTCCTATTTGGCCATCTTGGAACCCTTAATCCAGTGTAATATATTTTTGATGTGCTGTTGGGTTCAGTTTGCTAGAATTTTGTTCAGGATTTTTGCATCTCTGTTCATCAGGGATAATGATCTGTTTTCTTTTATATGTGTCACCTCTGGTTTAGGTATCAGAATAATACTGGCCTCAAAGAATGAGTTAGGGAGAATTCCTTCCTCCTCAATTTTTTGTAAAAGTTTCAGGAGGATTAGAATTAGTGCTTTGTATATTTGGTACAATGCAGCTGTGAATCCATCTGGTCCTGGGCTTTTCTTTTGGGGGAGTTTTTTTATTACTAATTCAATATTGCTACTAATTATTGGTCTGTTTAGGTTTTCTATTCTTTCCTGCTTCAATCTTGGCAGGTGGTATGTTTCCAGGAATTTCTCCATTTCTTCTAGGTTTTCTAGTGTGTGAGTATATCAATATTTATAATCGTCTCTGATGATCATTTGTATTTCTGTAGTTATCAGTTGTAATCTCTTCATTCTAATTTCTGATTTTACATGAGTCTTCCATCTTCTTGGTTGGTCTAGCTAGCAGTTTATCAATTTTGTTTATCTTTTCAAAAAACCAACCTTTTGTTTTGTTGATCTTTTGTATTTTTTTTAGTCTCTAATTCATTTAATTCTACTCTGATTTTTGTTATTTCTTTTTTCCTGCTAATTTGGGGTTTTGTTTGTTTTTACTTTTCTAGTTCCTTGAAGTGTTATTAGATTATAAATTTGTAATACTTCTACTTTTATGATGTAGGTATTTAATGCCATAAACTTCCCTCTCAGCACTGCTTTTTCTGTATCTCACAGATTTTGGTATGTTGTGTTTTAATTTTCATTTGTTTCAAAAAAATTTTTATTTCAATAATAATTTCTTCATTGACCCAGTGGTCATTCAGGAGCATAATGTTTAATTTCCATGTGTCTGTATACTTTCCAAAGTTCCTCTTGGTATTGATTTCTAGTTCTATTCCACTATGGTCTGAGAAGATACTTGATATGATTTCAATTTTTTTTAATTTGTTGTGACTGTTTTGCAGCCTAATATATGGTCTATCTTGGAGAACATTCCATTGCTAATGTAAAGAGTGTGTATTCTCCAGTTGTTGGGTAGAGTGTTCTGTAAATGTCTGTCAGGTCCATTTGGCCTAAAGTTCAACTTTTCTTTATTGATTCTCTATCTCAATAATCTGTGTAATGCCAGGAGTAGGGTGTTGAAGTCCCCTAATATTACCATATTGCTGTCTCTCTCTCTTTAGATCTAGTCATATTTGTTTTATGAATACGGGTGCTCCAGGATTGGATGCATGTATTTAGAATTGTTCTATTCTCTTCCTGAATTGATCCCTCTATCATTATATAATGATCTTGTCTTTTTTATGGTTTTTGACTTAAATTCTGTTTTATCTGATGCAAGTACTCCTGCTTGCTTTGGCTTCTGTTTTGTGGAATATCTCCCCACCCCATCCCTATTTTTAGTCTATATGTGTCTTTTCAGGTAAGTTTCTTATAAGCAGCATATGCTTAGATCTTTTTTAAATTAATTCAGCCAGTCTACATATTTAAGTGGAGCAGGTAGTCCATTTATGTTCAAAGTTATTATTGATATGTAAGGGATTTTTTCTGTCATATTGTTAATTGTTTTCTAGTTTTTAAAAAAATTCTTTGTACCCTTCTTTTTCTCTTATTGTTTATCATTGTGGTTTGGTGTAATTCTGTAGTGGTTCCATTTGATTTCTTTCTCTTCCTCCTTTGTGAGCTTGCTCTACCAATGACTTACACTTTTAATGTTTTTCATGATGGTAAATGTCCTTTTCCTTTCAAGTTTAGTACTCTCTTTTTTGTGTGAGACAGGCTGTGGCTCTGTTGTCCAGACTGGAGTGCAGTGGCCTGATCACAACTCACTACAGCCTCTACCTCCCAGGCTCAAGTGATCCTCCCACCTCAGCCTCCCAAGTAGCTAGGACCAGAGGCATGCACCATGACACCCAGCTAACTTGTGTGTGTGTGTGTGTGTGTGTGTGTGTGTGTGTGTGTGTGTGTGTGTAGAGCCAGAGTCTCACTATGTTGCCCAGGCTGGTCTTGAAATCCTGGACTCAAGTGATGCTACTGCTTAGGCTTCCCAAAGTGCTGGGATCATAGATTGGAGCCACCATGCTCAGCCTAAGTTCAGGATTCCCTTGGGAATTTCTTGTAGGTCTGGTCTGGTGGTGATGAATTCTCTTAGCATCTGCTTGTCTGGAAAGTGTTTATTTCTCCTTCATTTATGAGGGTTAATCTTGCTGGATATAGAATTATTGGCTGATAGTTGATTTCTTTCAGCACTTTGAATATATCATGCAATTCTTTTCTGGCTTGTAAAGTTTCTGCTGAGAAGTCCACTGATAGTTTGATGGAGTTTCTGTTGTGACTAGGGGCTTTTCTCTTGCTGTTTTAGAATGTGCCTTTCACTTTGGCTTTAGACAGTCTGATTATAATGTGCCATAGCAAAGTCCTTTTTGCATTGTATTTATTTGGGGATCACTGAGCTTCCTGTATCTGGATATCTAAATCTCCTGTTATACTTGAGAAGTTTTCATCTATTATTTCATTAAATGGGCTTTCTAAACCTTTTGATCCCTTTTTGCCCTTATGAACACCAATAATTTGTAAATTCAGTTACTTTATGTTGTGCCAAACTTCTCAAAGGCTTTGTTCATTCCTTTTCATATTTTTTATATATTTTTGTCTGACTGGATTATTTTTAAAGATTTGTCTTCCAGTTCTCAAATTCTTTTTTCTACGTAGTCTAGTCTATTGTGGAAGCTTTTGAATACATTTTCTATTTCCATCAATAAATTCTTCAGTTCCAGAATTTCTGTTTCTTATTTAATATCTGTCTCCTTGATTTCTCATTCATATTCTGAATTGTTTTCCTGATTTCTTTACATTGGTTTCAGATGTCTCTTGCATCTCACCGAGCTTCCTTAAAATCAGTATTTTGAATTCTTCATCTGGGATTCTGATAATTTCTTTTTTGTTAAGATCTATCTTATTATTAATTATTAATAATTAAGAATTATTGTGTTCCTTTAGGTTTAGGTTTCCTGAATCTTTACATTGATATCTCCACATCTGGTGTAACCGTTGTTTCTATTTTTGAATTTACTTTTTTTCATGGAGGGTGCTTCTTCCTGAAGCTGTGTCTCTGGTATTGCTTGGGTGGGGCCCTTTGGCTTTGCTTGTGTGTGTGTGCAGTAGTGAAGTATGACTTCTTTGGCTATAAACCTTAGTGGTATCTGCGGTTTCCTTGATACATTAGGTAAAGTTATTAGTGGAGACTGTATTGAATTTATGGGGGGGGGACTGGATTGGCAGATGGACCTGTCGTCAGGCTTTAGTGGTAGTAGTGGTGGGCTAAGCATTAAAGTATGCATGGGTTTGATTAGTGCTGTGCTCCACCTTTGTAGGCATCCTGGCTTCTCTGAGTAGTATACAAAAAGTTGAGCCTTAATCTTTCCCTGAACACTCTTGAAATTTTAAGTTAATTATCCACTTATAAGTTAAGGAACCATTATATTCATTTTATTTTACTAGGAATCTAAAAATGTGTTAGATTTTTAGAAATCTAACACATTTTTAGATATCTAAATCTAATGAGAAAACTATTTTATACTAATATCATTTTTAAACGTTTCAAGAAGAAAGAATCTATACACTTTAAGAATTAAAAGCAAATCTCTTTACTTTTTTTCCTGTCTGTCTCCCACTAAAATGTTAGTCAGCTCAGTGAGGGCAAGCCTTATCTATCTAGTTGACTTTTGCGAGCCCAGCATATATAACAGAGCCTGGCCCACAAAAAGGTTTCAATAAATAATTATTTTTAAAAGAGAGAAAGAAATGTAAGGCTCTGGGGAAAGACAGATAGTATACAGATAATACTTATCTGTATTCATATGAGGGAGATTCACTTTCCCCTACTTAATAATGGAAAATGAAAGAACTTTGGAAACACTATTTGGAAACGCTATTTGATTGCTTTTTCCTATGTGCCTCCACAGCCTTTGTTCATACCATTACAGTGTCATTTATCAGACATTATTACAGCTATTTGCATATCTATTTTTCCCAATATACTCTGGGTGCCCAGGACATATCTTATTTATTTTTATATACCCAGGGCCCAAAATAGTACCAAATATAGGCACTAAATATTTAACCAAAATAGGTAAACAGTAGACATTCAATAAATGTTTGCAAATTAATAGGAAAAAGGCATAGGAAAATAGTATAAATAGTTTCTTTTGTGATCCTCTTCTTTCTCTCCTAACAACACCCACTGTTATACTGACTAATCACTTCCTTTCCATAATCTTTCTCTCTCATTATAAACTCTTATTTCTGATTAGAACAAATGCTGAGCCAGGCTTATTTTATATTCCACTATTTTTTCCTGTTCTTTTTATATTCATCAAAGCATTAATGAAAAAACAAGAGAATGCCTTTTCTATTGCAATTAAAATCTATAATTCCATGTGAAAAGTTTTTAGTAGTTGAAAGCAAAAGCTAAAACCTGGATAACTGAGAACCTTACCCTCTGTGGGGATCTCATAGTACTACTAAGCCACCTTTCAAGTAAATTTCAACCAAGTTTGCTCTACAACTCTAAATTTGACTGACAAATCTTTAAGACTTGTTACACACAGATCATTAGTTATCTTTTTCCCCAACAACAAAACTAAATAATATTTTTGCTTACTATTTGTCTCTAGAATTTATTCTGAAAGACAACTCATGATGCTAAAAAAATCTCAAAGTCAAGTTATCCCAGCTACCATAATAATAGATCATGTATCACTATGCTGACTACACTGTATACATTTTTCTCTATCTTAGAAAAAATATTCCTAAATGTTTATGAATACAAAATATATTAATTATCTGTTACAATACTCTGTTCTTTGCAATATCATGTATAAGCAGCAAGTATCATATACTACATTACATCACTTTTGCAAAACTGGTTACTCACATAAGCCAAACAAAGTACTAAGGCTTTACTATCCTAGGGGATCCCAAAGGGACAGGCCATGTGTGTTTGCATAATTCAAATGTTTTCTGCTTTTTAAAATTACCATTCAAATGTTTCATTTCAGAGAAAACATCTCATCAAGTACCTATCTTAAAAAAGTCTATTGCATTTCTATACACCACCACCACCAGAAATGGAATTGATCTGAGTCAAGAAACATAGCCATGCATATATGGAACTTTGGCATTTGACAAACGTGACATACCAAAACTGTTTTTCAAAGTAGTTGTACCAATTTACATTCCCACAAGCAATGTTTAAAAGATCCTATTGCTTCAAAGTCTTTCTAACATATGGTATTGTCAGACTTTTTAATTTTTGCCAGTTTAATTGCATAAAATGATACCTCATTTGCATATCTATCTCACTAATGAGGACAGACATCTCTTTATATTCTTATTGATGTCATGTGTATACTCTTCTGTGAAATTCTTTTCGGGCCATTTTCCTTTTGTTCATTTTGCTTTTCTTTTTGATTTGTGAAGGTTCGCTATATGTTCTTGTTACAAATCCCTTGTTGGATTTATACCAATATCTTTTCTCAGTGTATCTTTCCATTTTCTTTTAAAAATTTTTTGACAGAACAAAGTTCTTAATTTTGAAGTAGTAAGATTTGAATTAGTAAAATTTAAACTAGTTAACTTTGAGCTAGTAAAATGTATGTCTTTTCATAGCTTTTTGTTTCATGTTTAACAAATCTTGCTCTACTCCCAAAGCGTAAAAAAAAACTCTTATTTTTTAAAGAGTATTTAAAATTGTTTTTGACATTTAGATCCTAAGTCTACCTGGAGTTGACTTTTTGTCTATAGTTATGAGAAGCCAAGTGGTAGAGAGACTGAACAACAAAGAAGTCAAAAGAATGTTGCAGCTGATTAGAGGAACTGGGCAAATAATTTTAAGCCTTTTCTCAGCAAGTTAGGAAGGTAAAATTGGAGTTCTGGGCCTACCTAGGAAGAAATGTCTAGCCAACATTCCACATTTTAAATGGTACTTTACCAAACTTTAAAAATTAATTCTATAATTTTAATACACAATATCCAGCATCCAATAAAAAATTATCCAACATACCAAAGACAATATTGGATACTTAAGAAACCAAAAGGAAAAATAGACAATAGGAACAAACCTACAAGAGAGCCATATTACACAAATTAGATATGGATATTAAGTATAAATGAGATGATCAAGAAAAATTATATCATGATGAAAATTTCAGCAGGAAATTATAATTTGTAAAAACATATTAAGTGGAAATTCTTGAACCAAGTAATATAATAAAGATTGAAACAGTTGGATTCAATGTCACATAGACATAGCTAAACACAGGATTATTAACCATAATATGTTAATAGAAAATGTCCAGATAGAAGCATGAAGAGAAAAACAAATGTACAAAATACAGAAAAGAGCATAAGAGACCTATGAGACATGATGAAAAAATATTAAATGCATAATCATAATTTGAAAAGACATGTAAGAGAAGAAGAAAAGGGATATCTGAAGAGAAAATGATCAAGAATTCTCCAAAATAAATGAAAGACATCAAACCATAGACTTCCAAGTGCTATAAACCCCTAGCAGGATAAATACCAAGAAAACCACATGAAGGCATATTATAATAATATTACTGACAGCAACAGGAGACAAATTCCTCTGCAGACAGGGATGGGTCCCCAGTGAAACCCAACCTTCAAGCAAAGGAAAGTCTAAAACCTGAAAATCGAACTGCCAGTTCAGCATTAGAGTCCACGACTGGAGTGAGAACTTTCATCCCTATCTTACCCCCTCTCTCTCAACTGGTTCCTTCTGAATGATGTCTTTTAACCAATTGAATGGTGCTTTTTCCAAGACCACTCAAGGACCTATCAGCATGCAGTCCCCCATTCTAAGCCCATAAAAACCCCAGACTCAGCCTCACAGCCTTACCCACTTTCAGGACCCCTCTCATTGCTGAGAGTTTTCTTTCTGTCACTCAATAAAATTTTACTTTGTCTTACTCAATCTCCAATGTCCATGTACCTTATTCCTCTTGGTCTCAGGACAAGAATTTGCTGAACTGCTGGAGCAAAATAGCTGTAACATTCCTCCTCACCAAGCTGGGGGCAGCAGGAGTAAAATTGCTGTAACATTCCCTCCCACTCACCAAACAAAGGGAGAGAAGAAGCTGCTGGACACCACTCTCTTCCACTCGCCGAACTATGGGAGCAAAAAAGCCACAATATTTCTAAAAACAAAAGATTTTAAAAATGGTTTAAACAAGTCAGAGAAAAAAGGCACAGTACCTTCAAGGAAGTTGCAAAATGACTTATAGTTAATTTGTCAGTAGCAACAATGGAATCCAGAGGCAAAAGAATAACCTCTCCAACTTGCTTTAAAAAAGAAAAAAAGAACTGATTTCCAACTTAAAATTATTTACTCAGAGGAAAAAATAAACTCAAAACAGAAAGTGGCAGTTTCCACTGCTAGCAATAATAAGATAGAATACATATGACTAATCCTCTCACAAATAACAGACAAAATATATAAACCAACTACTTTTTTTAACTTTCTCCTTCCAACATTTATTTTAGGTTCGGGGGTACATGTGCAGATTTGTTACATCAGTAAACTGCATGTCACTGGGTTTGGGGTACAAATTATTTCATCACCCAGGTAGTAAGCACAGTACCTGGTAAGTAGTTATTCAATCCTAACCCTTCTCCTACCCTCCACCTTTAAGTAGGCCCCAATGTCTATTATTCCCTTCTTTGTGTCCATATGTACCCAATGTTTAGCTCCCAAGTATAAGTGAGAAGATGTGATATTTGGTTCTCTGTTCCTGTGTTCATTCACTCAGGATAATGGCCTCCAGTTGCATCCATGTTGCTGCAAAGGACATGACTTCATTCTTTTTTATGGCTGCATAGTAGTCTATGGTGTATACATGGTACATTTTCTTTATCCAATCCACCATTGATGGGCACCTGGGTTGACTCCATGTCATTGCTATTGTAAATAGTGCTGCAGTGAACACATGAGTGTATGTGTCTTTTTGGTAGAATGATTTATTTTCTTTTGGATATATATGTAAATTGCTTTAGGCAGTATGGCCATTTTAACAATATTGATTCTTCTGATCCATGAGCATGGAATGTTTTTCCATTTATTTGTGTCATGTCTGATTTCTTTCAGCAGCATTTTCTAGTTCTCCTTGTAAAGACCTTTCACCTCCCTGATTAGCTGTATTCCTAGGTATTTTGTACTTTTTGTGGCTATTGTGAATGGATTGTATTCTTGATTTGGCTCTTTGCTTGGATGTTATTGCTGTATAGAAATGCTGGTGATTTTTGTATGTTGATTTTGTATCCTGAAAGTTTGCTAAAGTTGTTTATCAGGTCTAGGAGCCTCTGGGCAGAGACGATGAGGTTTTCTAAGTATAGGCTTAAATCGTCTGCAAAGAAAGATAGGTTGAATTCCTCTCTTCCTACTTGGATACATTTTTTTTTCTTTCTCTTGACTGATTGTTCTGGCTAGGACTTCCAGTACTATGTTGAATAGGAGTGATGAGGGTGGGCATCCTTGTCTTGCACCAGTTCTCAAGGAGAATGCTTCCAGCTTTTGCCTATTCATATGCTGTTGACTGTGACTTTGTCATAGATGGCTTTTATTATTTTGAGGTATGTACCTTTGATGCCTAGTTTGTTGAGGGTTTTTAAACTGAAAGGATGTTGAATTTTATTGAAAGCCTTTTCTGTATCTATTGAGATGATCGTGTGTTGTCTTTTAGTTCTGTTTTTGTGATTAATCACATTTATTGACTTGTATATGTTGAACGGAACTTGCATCCCAGGGATAAGGCCTATTTGATTGTCATGAATTAGCTTTTTGATGTGCTGCTGGATTCAGTTTGCTTGTACTTTATTGAGGCTTTTTGCATCTATGTTCATGAGGTATATTGGCCTGAAGTTTTCTTTTATCATTGTGTCTCTGCCAGGTTTTGGTGTCAGAGTGTTGCTGACCTCGTAGAATCAGGGAGGAATCCCTCCTCCTCGATTTTTTGAACAGTTTCAGAATGATGGGTACCAGCTCTTCTTTATATGTCTGGTAGAATTTAGTTGTGAATTCATCTGTTCCAGGGCTTTTTCTGATTAGCAGGGATTTTTTTATTACTGATTCAATTTCAGAACTCATTACTGATCTGTTCAGGGTTTCAATTTATTCCTGGTTCATTCTTGGGAGCTTGTATGTTTCTGGAAATTTATCAGTTTCTTCTAGGTTTTCTAGTTTATGTGCATAGAGGTGTTCATAATAGTCTCTGAGGGTTTTTTATGTTTCTGTGAGGTTGATGGTAATGTCCCCATTTTTATTTCTGATTGTGTTTATTTGGATCATCTCTATTTTTTTTTCATAATCTAGGTAGTAGTCTATCAATCTTATTTGTTCTTTCAAAAAACAAACTTTAGGTTTCATTGATTTTTTATTTTTTAAAAAAATTATTTCCATGAGTTTTGGAGGAACAGGTGGCATTTGGTTACATGAGTAAGTTCTTTAGTGGTGATCTGTGATATTTTGGTGCACCCATCACTCGAGCAGTATACACTGTACCCAGTTTGTAGTTTTTTATCCCTCACCCCACCTCCCACCCTTTCCAATGAGTCCCCATAATCTATTGTATCATTCTTATGCCTTTGCATCATCATAGCTCAGCTCCCACTTGTGAGTGAGAACACACAATGCTTGGTTTTCCATTCCTGAGTTACTTCCCTTAGAATAATAGTCTCCAGCTCCATCCAAGTTGCTGTGAATGTCATTAATTTGTTCCTTTTATGTCTGAGTAGAATTTTATCATGCATATACACACCAAAATGTGTTTTACGTCTCAATTTTATTCAGTTCAGCTCTGATTTTGGTTATTTCTTTTCTTCCATTAACTTTGAGGTTGTTTTTCTCTTGCTTTTCTAGTTCCTCTAGCTAAAATTTAGACTGTCAATTTGAGAGCCTTCTGCCTTTTTGATGTGGGCATTTGGTGCTATAAACTTTCCTCTTAACACTGCTTTAGCTGTGTCCCAGAGATTCTGGTACATTGTATCTTTGTTTTCATTTATTCCAAAGTATTTCTTGATTTCTCCCTTAATTTTATTGTTTACCCAAAAGTCATTCAGGAGCACATTGTTTAATTTTCATGTCATTGTATGGTTTTGAGAGACCATCTTGGTATTTATTTCTATTTTTATTGCACTGAGGACCTGGAATGTGGTTGGTATGATTTCAGTTTCTTTGAATTTGTTGAGAATTGCTTTATAGCTGAGCATTTGGTTGATTTTAGAGTATGTGCCATGTGCAGATGAGAAGAATGTATATTCTGTGGTTGGGTGGAGTCTTCTGTAGATGTGTTAGGTCTATTCAGTCAAGTGTTGAGTTTAGGTTTTGAATATCTTTGTTAGTTTTCTGCCTCCATGGTCTGTCTAATTCTGTCAGTAGGGTGTTGAAGTCTCCCACTATTATAGTGTGGTTATCTATCTTTATAGGTCTGTAAGAACTTGTTTTATCAATCTGGATGCTCTAGTGTTGAGTACATACATTTTTAGAATAGTTAAGTCTTCTTGTTGAATTGAACCCTTTAACATTATGAAATGCCCTTCTTTGTCTTTTGTCATCATTGCTGGTTTGAAGTCTGACTTGTCTGAAATAAAAAATATCAACCTCAGCTCTTTTTTGTTTTCCATTTGCTTGGTAAATCTTTCTCCATCCCTTTATTTTGAACATATGGGTGTCACTGTAGGTGAGATGGGTCTCTTGAAGACAGCATGCAGTTGGATCTTGCTTCTTTATCCAACTTACTTCTCTATGCCTTTTAAGTGGGGCATTTAACCCATTTACATTTATGGTTAACATTGATATGTGCAGATTTGATCCTGCCATCTATGTTGTTAGCTGGTGTTTATGTAGACTTGATTATGTAGTTGCTTTATAGTGCATTGGATCTATGTACTTAAGTGTTTTGTGGTGGCTGGTAATAGTCTTTTGTTTCCATGTTTAGCACTCCCTTAACCCATTTATACCTGAGGTTGCAATTTTTTTAATTTTTACAATCAGACCTTGGTGATGACCTTGAGTAGTAGGATATAAATAATTCCCATATGCTTATTGTTCCAATGATGGAACACTAGGTGTAAATGGGTTTTAAGGACCTCTTGAAAGACAGGTCTAGTGGTAACAAATTCCCTTAGCATTTGCTTTTCTAAAAAGGGTTTTATTTCTCCTTTGCTTATGAAGCTTAGTTTGACTGAATATGAACTTCCTGGTTGGAATTTCTTTTCTTCAAGGATTAAGCATGCTGAATATAGGCCTGTAGTCTCTTCCAGATTCTAGGGTTTCTGCTGAAAGGTCCACTATTAGCCTGATGGGATTCCCTTTGTAGATGACCTGCCCCTTCTCTCTAGATGCCTATAGTACTATTTCTTTGGCATTTGCCTTGGAGAATGATAATTATGTGTCTTGGGGATAGTCATCTTGTATAGTATGTCACAGGGGTCTCTGAATTTCCTGTATCTGAATGTCAACCTCTTTACAGAGATTGGGGAAATTTTTGTGGACAATATCCTCAAATATGTTTTCCAAGGCATTCTCTCTTTCCCTCTCTTTCAGGGATGCCAATGAGTCATAGATTTGGTCTCTTTACATAATCCCATATTTCTCAGAGGTTTTCTCCTTTTTTGTCTTTTTCCTTTATTTTTATCTGACTGAGTTGTTTCAAAGAACCATCCTTCAAGCTCTGAGATTCCTTCCTCAGCTTGATCTATTCTGCTTTTAATACTTCCAGTTATATTACAAAATTCTTTTGGTGAGTCTTTCAGCTCTATCAGATCAGTTTGGTTCTTTCTTAAAATGGCTATTTTATCTTTCAGCTCTTGAATCATTTGACTGGATTCCTTAGATTCCTTGGATTGGGTTTCAACTTTCTCCCAAATCTTGATAATCTTTCTTGCCATCCAAATTCTGAATTCTATGCTGTCTTTCAGCCATTTCAGTTGGGTTAAAAACCACTGCTGGTGAGCTAGTGCAGTCATTTGGAAGTAAGAATACATTGACTTTTAGAGTGGCCAGAGTTCTTACACTGGTTCTTTCTCATCTGTGTGGGTTGATGTTCCCTTAAATCTTTGAGCTTGTTCTCCTTTGGATCGAGCTTTTTGCTTTTATATTCTTTGATGCCCTTGGTGGTTTGACTGTGGTATAAGTTGGATTTGGTCAACTGGCTTCATTTCTGGATGATTTCAGAAGGTCAAGGCTCAGCTCATCACTTCTGTGCTGCATGCTCTAACCCTGTGGGGGCTGGGACCAAGCCCACAGCTTTGTTCTCTGGCCCTGCTACACTGGAGAGACCAAGATTTTCCTGGTCCACTGGCAACAATACTCTGATGGAGGGTGCTGACAAAAGCCCTTCATCAGGGTGGTGTCAGTGGGGTTCATGCTCACATGTGTGCACCTGCAGCAACAGGGCAGTGGTAGGGCGGTGGGGGCTGTGCATGCACATGTGCTCCAGTGGCACCAGGGTGGCAGTGGCAAGGTTTATAGGAAGAGGCTGCAGGTGAATGCACACCAGCAAAGTGGTGGGTGGAAGCTGTGAGAGGGTGCACACTGGTGAGGGCCCATCTGCAAAAGTTATCTGACAGTTATATTGGATCTACCAGCCAAAGAGTTATGGTGGTGGCTACAGGAAAGTATATCAGCTGGGCGTCTGAGGCTGTACTGCAAGTGGATGCAGCCAGACAGAGACCTTGGGAGAGGCTGGGCAGACAGAGGAGCACTCATCAGACTGGCTCCACCCTACAGTTAGATAGCCCTGTTCTGTCTAGATCTGACAGTTAAGAAAGGCCAAAACCACCTAGAGGAGTATGGCAAGCCTTGGGGGCTGGGCATCCCTGGCCATGTGCCACTGTGATCATTCTTGTTCCAAACCTTCTGGGTTCCATGCAGGCTGGATTCCTGTCTTTGCCAGCTCTCCAAACAGCTCTCCTTGTCAGTTCAAATGTCTATGGGGATCATGGGGTCTCCTGCACCTAGGATTCTTGAGGTCCCTGGTGAGAGCAGGCCACTCTATGCCTATTTAACTCATCCCTTCCCTGGGAGCCTCTCAGGGCCAGGAATGAGTCCTGGTGCTTGGCAACCCCATGCAGGGTTCCCAACTTCCTCCCCCCTTCAGCCCAGGATCTGCATTCTCCTTCCAACCACTTTCAATGCCTTCCTTCCGAAGTACTGTTCAGAATGTGCTGATTTTGACGGTGTGGTCTCTTGGTGGGAGAAGCTCTTCCTGAACCCTGTAGTCAGCTATCTTGGCTCCTCCCAAAACAACTATTTCAAGGCACCTGACAAGGACAGAAAGAAAAAAGAAACTGGAGAGAATTTGACTCTTGAAATACTAGAAACCGTAGTGGTTGAGAGTTACATTTATATGGCATTTCCTGTAAGTACACTCTCCACTGGGACAGCATAGGGCAGTTAGAACTCAAGTAGAAAGCTACCATCTTACTGATTTAAGATGTCACAGGACAGAGTCTGGGAAAGGACAGAATGAGCAAAAACTGAAGGTAAAAAAATCTCATAAAAGAGAAAACTACAGACTGGGGAGCCCTAAAGGTACACATGAATTTTTCTAAAATTGGGGAGATGCTGAAGAACCCAATAGAAACCAATACTCATAAGGAAAAAAAATAAAAATAAAAATCTGTGCTGTGATTTCAATTGCTGCCCATTTCATTTCAGGAACAACAGAGTTTAAAGTTTGAATCCTGCAAGTTAGATGGGTTTTGTAAACACATCAAACTGTCCACTGAAACTCCACCAAGGCCACACTATAGAATAAAAGACTATGTCCCAGGACTAAGAATTCTCTGTAAGAATAAAAACCGAATCAACCTGTTAAAAAGGCTACACAAACTCCTGGTTATTCATCAGTAATTTAACCACCTGCTGAAGTAAAACTCAACACTCTTCCAAGGAAAATAAAAGAATCCGAAACATCTCTTTCTTTTTCCATCTCTACCATTTCACCCAAACAAGAATCCAAAATACTTATAGTCTATTTTCTATGCTGTCAAGTATATAACCAAAACTTACTATCATATGAAGAAACAGGAAAATGTCACCCATAGTAAAAGAAAAATCAGTCAACAGAAACAAAACCCAGTTGTAGTCAGCAAATAAAGGGTGTAATGCAACTATCATAAATAGATTTTAAAAGAGGCTAGTCCTAATGGATGAATAGATAGGACATTTCAGGAATGGAAACTATTTTCAAAAAACAAATGAAAATTCAGGAACTAAAGTAAAAAAAAAGTTCACTGGATGGATTTTAAAATAGACTGGAGAGGGCAGAAAGAATTATTGTGATATATTTAAATTAAATGTTATAAAGTACCATTTAAAATATCAGAAGATATGAAATACTTGGGGACAAATTTAATAAAATATGTGCAAGATTTGTATCCACAATAAATGTAGAGATATATACCATGTTTTTAATCAGAAGACTCATCACTGTTAAAATGTCAGTTCAGCACAAATTGATCCATAGATCTAATCTAGTCCTAACCAAAATCTCAGTGGACTTTTTTGTAAAAATTAACAAGCTAATTCTAAAATTTCTATGAGGTTCAAGGCACCTAGAATAACCTAATAAAAATAATTTGTATTTCAATTACTATGAGGTACAGTAATTAGGACTATTGTGGCATTGGTGTAAGAATAGATATATAAATCAAAGATTCATATTCATGTAAGAGCACCTAAGTAGACCCATACATATATGGTCAACTGGTTTTCAACAAAGGTGAAAGAGTAATTCAAAAGAAAAAAACAGTTTATTCAATAAGTGGTACTGGAAAAACTAAACATCTAAATGCTTATAAATGGTACTGGAGCAATTAAATTTCTGTATTTCAAAAAAAATATGACCTCTAATTCACACAATTCATAAAAATTTATTCCCAGGTAGATTATAAAACAATAAAGCTTCCAGATAGTAACGTAAGAAAATATCTTCTTGACTTTGAAGTAGTTATGTTAACAAAGTTTTTTTTTAACAGAACATAAAAGTCTCTACCCATAAAGGAACAAAATAATAATTTGGAATTTATTTAAATTAAGAACTTCTGAATATTAAAAAATGGTTAATATTATGAAAGGGAGAAGATATTTGTAATACCTACAACTAACAAAAGGACTCATATCTAGAACATATAAAAAGTTATCACAGAAATACAAATTAAAACTACAATATAATACCACTACATACATTTGAATTAAAAACACTGACACTTGCCAACACCAAGTTCACCAAGTTCACAAGAATGTGGAGCAGTTGGAGCTCGTATTAGAAAATTCACTTTGGAAAGCTGTTTGGTAATATCTACTAAAGCTGGGCATATGTATACCTTATGACCCAGAAATTTCATTCCTAGGTATTAGTCCAAAAGAAAGTCTACATTAATGCACTGAAAGTAATACACAAATGTGTATATAATAGCAATGCTCATTAAAGAAAAAACCAGAAATAATTCAAATGTTCATCAGCAATAGAACAGATAGATAAATTATGGTTTATTATCAATGAATGAATGAACTACTACATGGTGAGCTCTCACAGACATACAACATTAAGCAAAAGAAATCAGACACAAAATACAACATACTGTATAGTCTCAGTATTTGAAGTTCAAAAAGAGGCAAAACTCACCTATGGTGTTAGAAGTCAGGATAGTGACAGAGTAGTAGCTGGTAGCGGGGACAAGGGGCCCTCTTAGGGTTCTAATAATATTCTATTTCTTGACGTGGGTGGAGGTTACATGAGTGTGTTCACTATGTGGATATGTATTGTTGTTAGAGATAATGTGTGCACTTTTCTGTATATATGTTATTCTTCAATAAACCATTTAAAACATTAAAAATAACCACTTGTGTGGCTTAGAACAGTTGTCCCCAACCATTTTGGCACCAGAAACCGGTTTCATGGAATATAATTTTTCCACAGATGGTGGATGGGGGGAATGGGGATGGTTTCAGGATGAAACCATTCCACTTCAAATCATCAGGCGTTAGAGTCTCATAAAGAGCACACAAACTAGGTCCTTCACATGCGCTGTTCACAATAGGGCTCACACTCCTATGAGAATCTAATGCCGCAGCTGATCTGTCAGGAGGTGGAGCTTAGGCAGTAATGCTCACTTGCCTGCCACTCACCTCCTGCTGTACGGCCTGGTTCCCAATAGGCCATGGACCAGTACCGGTCCACGACCCAGGGTTGGGGACCCCTGGCTTAGAAGCAATGTCTAGAGATTTTAGGGTAATAGAAACTATATAAAGGTAGTATATATGCTACAGGCAAAACATGTAATCTAGACATTATAAACAACTCTTACCTAATTCCTGGGTAACTGCTATACGAATATTCTAAAACTATTTAAAGAAAATGTCAAATTTAATACTTTGTCATTGTATTGGTAGTGTAGGAGTAAGCCATAAGATCATGAGTAACTATAAGTATTACTTACAATGTGAACCACCTCTGCTGAATCTCTACACTTCTACCCACATACTACACATACTACCTTTCCTTTCACCGTCTCTCCTTTATACTACCCCTGTTTCACCTTTCATGGGCAGGTTCTTTAGGTAACCAAAATACCCACATTATTTATCACTTCAAGTCTGTAAATAAAGCCACGGATAGCAATAAAACAGAATCTTGTAGTAAGGCTACATAAATTATAGTATGTCTTTATTGGAAGGAAAAGTTTTCTAAATTGGTCTCAAAATTCTTAAAAATAAGTCAATAAATATATAATAAAGCTATCTGTACTCTCAATATATTTTCACTTTTCCAAATACTTTAACCTTATTAGTTGTTCTTCATTAGTCCTTCACCTTATGCCACTGGACAAATACCTTTAAAAAAAAAAAAACTCAAAGCAGGAAACTACTTAAAATATGTTTCAAGTATTTTGTAGAGTTTATTGGATCAGAATCCATTCTTCTTATACTTCAACCCCACCACTGAGCTTAAAATTCCTTCCAAGCTTTTGGGAACAGTGCTTTCACTGTCACTATCCCTACTATCCATAGGATAATCATTGGCTGTTCCCCAAATTCCAGAACGATGTGCCATTGCATTGCTTTCCTCCCACACTGAAGTTGCTGGCGGTAGCTCATTTTGGCAGTTTGTCAAATAAATCACACAGTAAAGCATTTGGTGATCTTTAACCAAATGAATCTGTTGTGTATACAGCATATGACATGTAGAGGTATTTCACACATTATAATAGAACACAGTGAAGGATATACCCTGTACAGCATAATCCTAGAATCAAGACTTCTCTTTGAGAACTTCTCTTTAAAATAACATCTTTTTTTTGAACTAAAAAGATTAACTTACTTAAAAACAAAGGGAAATACCATCTCATGGCAATTATTGTTCCCTTCTGAGAATGACTGATGACGTACATACTTATTACCAGACAGTTTATGGAAACTATGTTGTCAAATAGATCACATTTTCCTACAGAAACAATGTCAGGATAGGGCTCATATCCCTTACCAAAGAATCAACAGAGAAACTATAATTATGAGAGTTAATTTTCCGTAAAAGCAAAGATAAGACTATTACAAAATTTTATAATATAAAGTGACAAAAGGATGCTTCAACTTTTTAATTTATTTAACAAACGTTTAACAGGTGTCTGTGATGTGTCAGGCATTGGTAATCAAATAACACTTGGTACCTGCCACGCTCAATAAATTAACTAACAGTCATGATTTACTAAACAAGTACATCAATGTTTACTGTATGGGGTGGTTAGTGTCATGAACGAGAGGTGCTCAGTCTGTAAGGACACAGAAGACAGTCATCTAAATCAGCATACGGGGTCAGTAAACACTTCCTGGAAAAGATGACCTGGGCTCAGCTTTGCTACATGAGCAAAAACTGGCTGAATTAGAAAAGCAATCCAAGTGACGGGAATAAGGTCATGTTTTGCATAACAACATTTTGGTCAACAACAGATGCGTACATGACGGTGGTCCCATAGGAATATAGTAGAGTCGAAAAACTCCTATTGCCTAGTGACCTCATAGCCATAGTAACATTGTAGTGCAACGCCTGTGGGTTTTGGTAACACTTCCAGAAGAAGGCATTGTTATCACAGGAGATGAAAATTCCCATGCGTGTTATTGCCCCTGAAGACCTTTCAGTGGGACAAGATATGAAAGTGGAAGGCAGTGATATTGATAGCCCTGATTCTGTGTAGGCCTAGGCTAATGTGTGTATTTGTGTCTTAGATTTTAGTAAAAAAAACTTTAAACCGTAAAAAAAAAAATAATTAAAAATGTAAAAAAGAAAAAAACTTATAGAATAAGGACATAAAAAAGAAAATATTGTGCAGCTGTACAATGTGTTTTAATCTAAGTATTACTACAAAAGAGTCAAAAAGTTAAAAATTTTTTAAGTTTATAAAGTTAAAAAGTTGCAGTAAGCTACGGTTAACTTATTATTGAAGAAGGAAAAATATTTTTAAATAAATTTAGGGTAGCCTAAGTGTACAGTATTTATAAAGTCTACAGTGATATACAGTAATGTCCTAGGCATTCATGATTCCCTGACTCACTGAGAGCAACTTCCAGTCCTGCAAGTTCCATTCATGGTATGTGCCCTACATAGGTGTACCATTTTTTAATTTTTTATACCATATTTTTACTGTGTCTTTTCTATGTTTAGATATACAAATACTTACCGCTATGTTATATTAATAATTGCTGGCAGCATTCAGTATAGTAACATGCTGTACGAGTTTGTAGCCTAGGATGCCTAGGTGTGTTGTAGACTATGCCATCTAAGTTTGTGTAAGTACACTCTATGATGTTCACACAATGACAAAATGGCATATGGATGCACTTCTCAGAACATGTCCCCATTGTTAAGTAAGGTATGACTGTAGCTGATAACACATGCACAGAGGCATAAAGCAACACGGAACATTCAAGAAACTGCGAGTTCCTGTTTGGAGGAACATATGAGGGAGGTGCATCACAGGAAAGAGGTGCAAGATAATGGTAGAAGCCAAATCATGAAATGCTTTGGGAGGTAGGTTTAAAAGTTTGAACTTTATTGAAAAAGATAGTCCCCCTGATCCTCCAACAGCTACTAAAAATGATTTTAAGCAGAGAAGTAAAATGAGCATATTTTCATTTTTAAAAGATCTATTTGATTTTACTATGGAGGAAGGCTAATGCAATAATCCTGAATTCATGAAGCAATGTTAGGAATAGAGTAGAAGGAACAGATCTGAGAGACAACAAGGAGAAAAAATTCATTGAACCTGACTGATAAAAGAATCTGTACACCAAACCCCCATGACGCCAATATGACAAACCTGCATATGTACCCTGAACCTAAAATAAAAGTTTTAGAAAAGTTTTTAAAAGTTCATTGAACTTAGACATTAATTGGAAGAGAGGGTGGAATGAAAGGAAGAGTCTAAACTGGCTTGGTGACTAAGATGATGATCAAGAACAAGGACAAAGAGAGGGTCTCAGTTGGTAGGGAGCAGGGAAAAACAACAAATATATTTCAAATTATTTTGCACATTATGTTTTCTATTTATTGTCTGAAGAATACCTATAAAATATAAATTGTATATAACATACATAACAAAGTGTAGCCATTTTGGAAAACAGTATGGAGGTTCCTAAAGAAATTAGAAATAGAACTACCATTAAGAGCCAGCAATCCCTCTTCTGGGTATAACACTGAAGTAAAGGAAATCACCACTTCATAAAGATGCCTGCACTCCCATATTCACTGTATCATTATTCACAATAGTCAAGATATGAAAACAACCTAAGCATCCATCAACAGATGAATCGATAAAGAAATTGGTCTATATATACAAAGGAAAAAAGGAGAACCTGTCATTTGCCACAACATGGATGAAAGTGAAGAACATCATGCTAAGTGGAATAAGCTAGACATAGAAAGAAAACTATTGCAGGATCTCACTTATATGTAGAATCTTTGTTTAAGAAAGTCATACAGAGACAGAGAATAAAACAGTATCTACCAGGGGCTGGGGGCAGGAGTGAGGAAATGGGTCAGTGCAAATCAAAGGATACAAAGTTGCAGTTATGAAGAATGAGCTCTAGAAATCTAGTACACAACATGAAGACTATAGTTAATAATGCTGTATTCAGGATTTTTACTAAAGGAGTAGATTTAGATGCTCTTGCTACACACACAAAAAAATGGGTAACTGTGAGATTATGAATATGTCAATTTACTTTATTACAGCAACCATTTTACTATTTATATGTATTTCATAACATCATGTTGTATACCTTAAATATACACAGTAAAATTTATTTTAAAAATAAATTCACATAAATACAAAAATTTTTTTTTTTGAGACGAAGTCTCGCTCTTGTCCCCCAGGCTGGAGTACAATGGTGTGATCTCGGCTCACTGCAACCTCTGCCTCCCAGGTTCAAGCGATTCTCCTGCTTCAGCCTCCCAAGTTTACAGGCGCCTGCCACCACACCCAGCTAATTTTTGTGTTTTTAGTAGAGATGGGGTTTCACCATGTTGGCCAGGCTGGTCTTGAACTCCTGACCTCAGGCAATCCACCTGCCTTGGCCTCCCAAAGTGCTGGGATTACAGGCATGGGCCACCGCACTCGGCCAAAAATTTTTTTTAAATCCCCTGTATCATACATGTGACATAAAGCTTATTGTTACTAGTATATTCATTTTAATTATTTAATTAGCAAAGGCTTCCTGATTTTCTTAAAGTTACGTTGGGGGATTGAGGGAGAAAAATATTTAAAAATCCCAAGTCTCTTTTACAAAGCTGAACAAGAAAATTTAACTTTCCTTTTCCTCCCAAAATAGATACTTGCAGAAAGCTGATATATACGAAATCATTCCACTAACCAAAGAATATTCAGCAATTATTTTAAACTGTCCTACAGTTGAGACCTATATTCATTAGAAAATTGCTGTATTATCATAAGTAAAGATCTCAAAAAGATGAAATATATGCTTTTATTATGTAATATTAACAAAGCAGCAACTTGGCTCATTCACAGTTTATGCAAAGCATTTTTTGAAAAGTTTAGGAAGTCTAAACCTCCAGAAATTTGCAAGGTTAAAAATGTACTTCTGAGATGGTCAGGTCTGAAACTTCTATTTCCCAGCTGTTTTCAAGGAACTTCATAATTTATTTATGTATAGACAAATAAATCTTCAGCTTCATTAGTCATTTCTCACTATATTCTAAGACCAAAAAAGGGTACTCTTCTCTTTGTTTATTATGGAAAAGCTATGGCAAGGCAGGGGAGGAAGAGGAATTGCCTGGGGGGACCGAGCAACTAAAAAGAAGAGCCTGGAGTGGGACTGAGCCTTGGAGCTGTCTAATGAGCCACTCTGCCTCCCACAGCTAGCTCCTCACAGCTCTGCAAAAGACTAAAAAACTGGAGCCAACAAAAACAAAACACTCACAAATCTAATTTGGGTGACTAACACCCTAAAGATATGCAGTTTGCTCCTGACCAGGATTGGAGTACTCACTTTCTTTGCGAACTTCCTCAAGTGAAGCCGTAAGCTCATCCTTTAAAACTGTAGCTTCCTGGGCAATCTTCTCTCCCTTGTCTAATAAATTCCAAGTTGCTTCCTCCACAGAAGCTAGAAGGACACTGGCTCTTTTCGAACGTCCTTTTTTCCTGCTGGAAGGGTTCTGGGGACAGTTTACAAGTGTGGTAACCTAAAATTGGAAAAATACAAAGTACTAAATTGACAAATTGTAAGGAGAACACAGTCCTGGGATATTACAGACCAGAACAAAAGACAGTACAGTTGACACTTGAGCAACTCAAGGGCTAGGGGCGCCAACCCACCGTGCAGTTGAAAATCTGAGTATAACTTTCAACTCCTCAAAAACATAACTACGAATAGCCTACTGTTGACCAGAAGCCTGATAACATAAATAGTCAATTAACACAGATTTTGTATCTGTATGTACTATATAACTATATTCCTACAATAAGATGAGCTAGAGAGACGATAGTGTTATTTGTTATTAAGAAAATCATAAGGCAGAGAAAACATAATTAAATAAATCAACAAGTAGAAATGGATCATCATAAAGGTCTTCATCCTCATCATATTCATATTCCTGAGGAAGATGAAGAAGAAGAGGAGGGTTGGTCTTGCTGCCTTGGGGGTGTAAGAGGCAGAAGAGATGGAGGAGGTGGAAGGGAAGGCAGGAGAGGCAGGCACACTTGATGTAACTTTTATTGAAAAAAAATCTGATTAAAAGTGAACCTGCATAGTTCAAACCAGTGTTGTTCAAAGGTCAACTGTATTTCATAGTAACATGACTCATTTCCAGTGCTGTTGGTACACCTACAAAAGTCAAGTCATGGCACCAAGAACAGCAACAGCAGCCACCGTGGAGTTCCCAACTAAAAATAGGAAGGAAGTGGGAGTCTTAGTGATTGAATTTCAAAATATAGACATTAAAATGTCCTCTCTTCAACTACCCCAGTCATCAAATCATTTCTATGTTAAATATTTACTGAACACCTATTTTTTACATTGTTCTGGATGATGGAAAAGAAATGCATTTCATGCTTTCATGGAGTTTACATTCTTAATATCGGCAGCATACAATAAACATATAAACAAATTTAAAAATGTAAGGTTCAGTAAATGTTTTGAGGAAAAATAAAGTTGGCGGAGGGAATACAGTGAGAGAGAGTGGGGATCGGGGTGGTCAGGAAAGGCCTCTTGACAGGGGACTTTGAGTGAGACCTGTTTGAGAGGCCAAATGAGTTAGGGGAAAGGGTAGAAGACAGATCTGAAAGGTTACAAAGGGCAAGAAAGTAGGTCATAGTAAGGATTTGGACTTTGTCCCCTGAAGCAACCACTGTTCTATATGATTCAGAATGTTTCTCCCTCTCCTAATATTAGTTATCTCTATTCTCAGCCTAAATAGACTAATACTGACTTAATTATAATTATTTTTGGCTCCCTCTTAATGTAGATTGCTGGCTTAAAAGTGGTATAAATTTTATTTTATAATTATTTGATATTTTGGAGATACATAATTTTCTACTCTCATTTTTGACTGTTTTATCAAAGTTCTGTATTTTTTATATGAAGTTTCTGTAATTAAAACAATACACACATACACAGCCTTCTAGAGCATTCTTCGAGTAGCAAAACTTGAACAAACTCCTCACCACAAGTATATGAAGTGAGAAATGTGTTAATTAGCTTGATTTAATCATTTTACAATGTATACATATATCAAAACATCACAGGGTACACCATAAATATATATAAATTTTATTCGCCAATTTTAATTTAATAAAGCTTGGGGAAAAAAAGAAAGAAATGAATCTTAACAAATACAAGAACAAACTCATAATAAGAACATTATTTGAAGATAAAAATTAAGCTTCTGTATTTGGAAACAAAAACATCATACTGAATTACATTATTAAAAAACACCCATTTCTGGCCAGGGGCAGTGGCTCATACCCATAATCCTAGCACTCTGGGAGGCCGAGGCGGGTGGATCACCTGAGGTCGGGAGTTCAAGACCAACCTGACCAACATGGACAAACCCCCTCTCTACTAAAAATACAAAATTAGCCGGGCATGGTGGCGCATGCCTATAATCCCAGCTACTCAGGAGGCTGAGGCAGGAGAATCGCTTGAACCCGGCAGGCAGAGGTTGCGGTGAGCCGAAATCACGCCATTGCACTCCAGCCTGGGCAACAAGGGCAAAACTCTATCTCAAAAAAAAAAAAAAAAAAAACAACCCATTTCTTAATTAAATCTTGGATCACAATTACAAGTTTTGGATTAAATTTTTATAAACAAAGCTTTAAAATCACCATCGTAGAGGAATGAGAGAAAGGAAAAAAACAACTTGTATCTAATATTTAAAATAGAAGACCTGAAACTCCTCTTGAAAGCTAATCTGCTGCATGTCATGAAACAGTGGAGGCTCATGATAATCATGCATCACATCTTTGACAGCAAACTACATAATGCTTCCTGCTCAGTAGTCCCTAGAGATTTTCGTTGTTGTTTGTTTATGGAGCATTCGATGTTTGTTTACTTGGATATCTGGACCCAGTTTTTATCCATGAACTAAAAAAAAAACTTAAGAAGTTATGGGGGAAATATGCGGATGAAAATCATTTTCATCTGCCCTCCTACCCTCCTCCCCTTACCCAATAGATCCTCTGTTTCATTCTAATTTGCTTTATTTCCATGTTCATCACCCAGAGTGGAATGTCTTGTGGCAGGCCTTTGTTTCCTCTCTTAGAAAATAAAAACAATCATTGTTATCCTACAAGACTGGGGAAGGTCAAATAAGGTAAAGTATTTTGGAAAATGCATAATATGACACAAATATTTGTTGGCATTTCATGTATATTTTCTAGTTTGTTCCCCATGTAGGTGCAGAAAATTGGTTATAGGAATCTTTAACAAAGGTATTCTCTCTGGATCTAAGTTTATCTTGCTCTTGGGGCCCCCCATGCTAAATGTGGCAGTTAGCAAAGCTCATTCTATATGCTTTACAAGCAGCTAAATAAGATCATGTGTCTTCATCATGGATTATATAAGAATAATAATAAGCCTGATTTATTACATGGGTTTTCACAAATTCCAAAAGGCAAATATCTCACTCTTGTCAGTCTAATTTATATATTGAGAGTTGAAAGGTATTTGTCCAGATTAAGACAAATTATAACTACCAGTTTAAAATCTTTGTTTAAAACAAAGAATAAGTATCATTGTCTGAAGTGTTCCCTCGGAATGTATTTTAAGTGCTGCAATTCATGATGCTTCCCACTGCACATTCCTCCTCTATTGTTCAGATCCTCCATGCGCCAAATGTTTTCCATAGAATAGCCTGGGCTTTGAAATTAAAATGAGCGTTCCAGAAATGCTTTGTTCCTTATAATAAATGCCAGAGAAGTAAGAAATGTGAAAAGAACTTTGTATAAGAACATCATGCTTCCATCAAAAAAGGCAATTGCAACTTGCAAGTTATTCACTTTTATAAGTTGTTTGTACCTACGTCTTCTTTTAAAATACTCCAATACAGTTATTTGATATTGATTAAACTAAAGTCAAGTGAGGTTTTCAATGATTCCTTTTATTTCAGAAAGTAAATATGGCTTGGCAATCCTGTGGAAAAAAAGAAAGCTGAAACTATTTTTTTTAACCCTAACTCACCTAAGAGATTTAACTTACTCCTATCAGTGACTGTGACTCACCATAGCAGATGATTCTCACCAAGGCGGAGGATAGGAGGGCGCTATTTGAAAAGGTCTCCCACCTCTTGAAGGAATACCAGCAACCAGTAAAATTAGCTTTCAAGTTATCCTGTAAAATAAATCCTGTGTCCTCATTTTCTTTTTCAGTACTAAATCAGTTATATTTCTGTAAGGAAGTTTAGTTGGAACAACTTGCAACAAAGATGATTCTAATGTAGGGTTTAAGCCCATGTCTTGCTAACTTTACCTTTTGCCATAGATACAAAACCCTCCCATTCCCCTCTTTCTCAGACTTCAGGGGTCCCTCTCATATAGAAAATCTCCAAGCTTGCAGCATTAGAGAGCTTGGGTTTGCTTACTTTCTTTAGTCTGTAAATCTGTGCTAGGCTATAAAGACACACCTTCATCGTAGATACAGGAAGGAACTTCCATGGGAATGGTGCTAAATTAAAAGTTTCAAGTAATTTATAAAGAAGAAATTCCCACTCTATTAATTCTGCAAGTTTAACATTCCACAAAACCGGACATATTTTCAATGGTGTGTAAAAATATTTATATATTAAAATTAAGAGTATAAAAAAGGTTTTTATAGATTTTCCAAATTTAGGTGTGCTTCTCTAAATGCTCTAAAGATGCTGAAAATTAAATTGATAAGCTTAATGAACCAAGCCATCAACTGTCATTATATAGAGCCACACTGGCACACAATATGAACACTGTAGAATATGTTGACTTTTTTTTTTTTTTGAGACGGAGTCTCACTCTGTCGCCCAGGCTGGAGTGCCGTGGCACGATCTCCGTTCACTGCAAGCTCCGCCTCCCAGGTTCACACCATTCGCCTGCCTCAGCCTCCCAAGTAGCTGGGACTACAGGCACCTGCCACCACGCCTGGCTAATTTTTTTTGTATTTTTTAGTAGAGACAGGGTTTCACCATGTTAGCCAGGATGGTCTCGATCTCCTGACCTCATGATCCGCCCGCCTCAGCCTCCCAAAGTGCTGGGATTACAGGCGTGAGCCACTGCGCCTGGCCGTGAAATGTCTTTTTTAATGCCAACTTGGGTAACACAATTATATTCTATAACCTTGTTCCTTCCCAATATAGTTCTGATTTTTTTTAATTCTACCCTCATTGTAGTATAAAAAGGCCCTGTTAACAGCCATCTCTTTTCTTGTTTATTAGCTAAAACACTTTGAATTTCAACCTTCCTCCAATAGCTCACAGGAGCCTTCAGGGCTACTTTTGCTCCCTTGAGTTAATTTTAATGTATGAAATAAAATATAAGACATTTAAGCTATGTTAATTAGCTAAAACTTCAACAGGGTTCTGAAAGAAATTAGAAGGGTAGAAAAATAAAACTGCCTATAGATAAGTAAAAACTGTGATCTTTCAAAGTAAAAGGTACAAACCAGTCTCGGGGAGGAGAGGGGGTGTCCCTTCTTCAAGTCATTGATAATTTCAACTATTCTTTTACTTCTACCAAAACAACCCTTACTGGATTAACAAAAGTACAGAGGAAGATTAAAGGGTTGAGAACCCAAAAAATGCCTCTAGATAACATTCAACACCCCCCCAAACCAACTTCAATCTTCTTTTAGTTCCTTTCAAGCCAATAAACACTTATATTTTGTTCAAAATAATACCCTAGGCATTCAGGAAATAAATATGAATAAGCTCCAATATGGCAATAAGAGAAATACACAACTAGTTGCAACATTAAAGGCAGAATGATAACTGTTTACACTTATATAAGTACAAAGAAAGTGCTGCCAAAATTGCAAACATTCACAAGGATTAAGTAGGACTTCCAAGAAGAGCCTTTAAGAACAGATAATTTTCTACCAGAAGAGATAAAAGGGAGGTATGTAAGCCAGGGAAAGAAAATTGTGTGCAAAGGGGCAGAGAAAAAAATTTATTTTGTCTGAAAATAGCAGATAGCCAAACTTAGCAAACTGTGGGGTAAACACAGGCAATAGGGTGAGAAGGCCAAGAAATAGGTTTCATCTTAAATAAAAAGTTATAAAAGTCAAAGAAAGAGTTAATATTTAATGTAATAGGTGATAGAAAATGAAAACACAGCATGCCCAAAGTAGAGAAGCCTTTGCCCATCAACCTGCCTCTCCACCATCTGTATTTTTTACCTCAGTGGCTAACACCTCTAACCTGAAGCAGAAACCCAGAGGTCATCTGGGCTAGTCTCTCTCTCATCTTCCTCTCCAAGTCCTTGTCATCCAAGACACAGAAACGGGGCATCATTCTCTGCCCCATTCACCAATCTATCATTATGAAAAGTGTGTGCAATGATTCTGCCCTCGTTGAATCTTTCATGAAGCGTCTTCTGAGAGGTCTCACTGCCTCTGCACCAGCCCTACATTCCCACTAGAGCCGTCTCTTGAAAATGTAAATCTCTCATATTTGCACTACCTGTAGGCTACCTGCTGCCTACAAGCAAAGTCCAAACTCTTTAGCGTAGCTTTTGAGGCAATTTTGATCTCACTGCTCACTAAATTTTCATTCTCATCTTCTATCTGTGGAATCTGACCACAAACTACTTGTTAGGCTCAGAACAGGAAATGTTCAGCAACCTCAACCTGGGGTGACTCCCTCCCCTCACAGCTCCTTGTTCGTAGCTCTTGTATCACTCATTATACTGTCTTGTAATTAGCTGTTCACATATTGCCTCCTCTGCTCTACCACGAACTCAATAAGGACAGGGGCCGTGCTTGACTCATCCTGAAAACACAGAGCCAGCGTACTGTGAAAAATAAACAAACAGTGGTTTACTGGATGAAAAAAAAAAAAGAATAAAACCCTACATTTTAGAAGCCTTTAAATCAAGAGTCACAATGTTCAGTGATTCATACGAGGTTACCAAAAGAATGGGTTGCTACAGCAAAATTAAAGTTTAGTGATAACACATAGCAGCTTTCATTAAAAGGAAGTCCTTAATGTGGGATTTTCTGCCATATCTCCTGTCTAGTTTAGTTGGGGTCTGATCAGTTCAATGTAATCTAGGATCAAGTATATTATATCCAGTCTTTTTTTGCCCCCCCCAACAAAGACACGTTACATAATTCATTTTCAAACTACAAATAAAAAGAGCTGGCACATCCTTTTTATTACTGATTTTTTCATTTTTTTCAATCCTTGTGTTAGTTTTCTAGGGCTGCCATAACAAAATACCACAGACTGGGTGGCTTAAGCCACGGTTCCCCAACCTTTTTGGTACCAGAGACCCATTTTATGGAAGACAACTTTTCCACAGACCCAGGGGTGGAGTGGGGGTAGACGTTTTTGTGCCCGGAGTTGGTTCCTTCTGGTGGGTTCGTGGTCTCGCTGACTTCAAGAATGGAGCCACAGACCTTTGCAGTGAGTGTTGCAGCTCTTAAAGATGGCATGGACCCAAAGAGTGAGCAGTAGCAAGATTTATTTTGAAGCGTGAAAGAACAACACTTCCACAGCAAGGAAGCGGACCCTACCAGGTTGCCACTGCTGGCTGGAGTGGCCAGCTTTTATTCCCTTATTTGTCCCCGCCCATGTCCTGCTGATTGGTCCATTTTACAGAGTGCTGATTGGTCCATTTTACAGAGCGCTGATTGGTGCATTTTACAAACCTCTAGCTAGCTGCAGAGCACTGATTGGTGCATTTTACAATCCCTTCGTAAGACAAAAAAGTTCTCCAAGTCCCCTACTTGACCCAGGAAGTCCAGCTGGCTTCACCTCTCAGTTTCAGGATGATTCAAGTGGATTACATTTATTGTGTACTTTATATTATTATTACATTGTAATATATATGAAATAACTATACAACTCACCATAATGTAGAATCAGTGGGAGCCTTGAGCTTGTTTTCCCACAACTAGACGGTCCCATCTGGGGGTGATGGGAGACAGTGGCAGATCATCAGGCATTAGATTCTCATAAGGAGTAGGCAACCTACGTCACAATAAGGTTCACTTTCCCATGAGAATCTAATGCCACTGCTGATCTGACAGGAGGCAGAGCTCAGGCAGTAATGCAAGCGATGGGGGTTGGCTGTAAATACAGATGAAGTTTCTTTTGCTCACCCACCCACTGCTCATCTCCTGCTGTGTGGCCCAGTTCCTAACAGGCCATGGACATGCACCAGTTGGGGTACTCAACTGGTACTGGCACTGGAGGCCTAGGGGTTGGGGACCCCTGGGTTAAACAACAGAAATTTATTTTCTTACAGTTCTGGAGGTCAGAAGTCCAAGACCAAGGTGTCAACAGGTTTGGTTTCTCCTGAGGCCTTGCTCCTTGGCTATCAGATGGCTGTCCTCTCTCTGTGTCCTCACATGTATGCACACAACAATGATGTCTTTCCCTGTACATCCTAATCTCTTCTGATAAGGACACCAGTCATATTGGATTAGGGCCCACCCAAATGACCCCATTTTAATTTAATTACTTCTATATCCAAAGGCCCTGTCTCCAACTACGGTCACATTCTGAGAAACTGGGGTTAGGGCTTCAATATGTGAATGTTGGGGTTGGAAATGGCACAATTCAATCCATAACAATCTTTACCACAAGTGATACAAAAAGTGTAAAATAACCATAACCTTTTTAAAAATATAATTTAGGGTTTTGTTTGTTTGTTAGATAAACAACCACTGCTAACATAAGCCATTACTCCGAACTATTGAGGGACAGTAACAAAGCACATGTAGATCCCTCTCCAATTCCACCAGCCCTCTGTGCCACACAGATGGCATAACAAAGCAAAGAGATTTACGTGTCAAACACATAAGCAGTTGTAGCTAAATATCCTAATCCAAGAAGTGCACTTACTCCTGGATAAATATAAAGCTAAACACAACTAGGAAAAGACCACATGCTGAGAATAATACCAAATTAGTTTCTTCTAGTTTTCACTTAACCACTTACCATCCAAAAACAAACGAGTTTGGACTTTACCATTCATTTATTCAACAAATATTGATGGTGCACCTACACTGTGCCAGAACATGGCAATGAGCCTCATTCTAAGAAGGTGGGGGAACAGAGAATAAACAAATACATAAGTAAATGTGTAACACAACGGCAGGTATTCTTTTTTTTTTTTTTTTTTTTTTTGAGACAGAGCCTCACTCCATCACCCAGGCTAGAGTGCAGTGGTGCTATCTTGGCTCACTGCAACCTCTGCCTCCTGGGTTCAAGCGATTCTCGTGCCTCAGCCTCCCAAGTAGCTGGCATTACAGGTGCCTGTCACCACGCCCAGCTAATTTTTGTGTTTTTAGTAGAGATGGGGTTTCACCCATGTTGGCCAGGCTGGTCTCAAACTCCTGACCTCAAGTGATCCACCTGCCTCGGCCTCTCAAAATGCTCAGATTACAGGCGTGAGCCACTGCACCTGGCCAATAGTAGGTATTGACAGATGCTATGAGGAAAGTGAAAAAGGGTAAGAAAATAAAGAGTGAAAGAGAAGAGCTAGTTTAGACTGCATATTAGGGAAAGCATCTCTGATTAAGTAAGAAGGATCCAAGGAAACAGAAGAATAAGACATTTAAATATCTGGAGGAAAACATCCCAAACAGAAGAAACAGGCGCAAAGGTTCCAAAACAAGAGCTTGACTGTTGTATTCCAGGAGCAATAGGAAGGCTGGTATGGAGGCACCAAATTGTGCAGGACTTGTAGATCACCACTAATGCTCTCAATTCTATTCTTATGACTGGAAGTTACTGAAGTGCTTGAAACAGGAAAGTAACATGATCTGACCCCAAATTTTAAAGCATCATTCTAAATGCTCTAGGCAAAACAGACTAGAGACAGCTCTATGCAAAACAGACTAGGCAAGGATGGGATGAGGAATAGAAGAAGGGAAAGCAGTTAGGAGTCCGTTGCTGTAGCCCAAGTGAAGACCACACTGGCTTCTTTGAGGAAGCAGTGGCGGAGTTAAGAAATGACAAAATTTTGGTATATTCTAAAGTGTCAACAAGGTTTGCTGACAGATTGAATATGGGTTATGAAAGCAATATGGCATCAAGGATGACTCTGGCATCTGGCCTGAGCAGCTGAGTAAATGGAGGTAATATTTACTAGTTGAGGAAAGTAAAGGGACATGAGTAGGAAGGGAAATCAAGAGTTGATGGATTACCATGGCATTAGCCATGTTAAATTTGCCTTTTAGAGTTTTTAAAGTGGAGACTAGTATACAATTCTGGAATTGAAAGAGGTAAAAGTTGGAGATATGTTTCGTATAGGTTACTTTTTCAATTTAATTGTTCACTTGTCAGTAGTTTTGCTGATCTTACCAAAATTGCAAAGACGTTTGGGGAAAAATTTTTTTTTAATCAGAGATTGAATGAGATCTCTTAAAAACGATGTATAACTGGAGAAGAAGTCACAGGACTGAGCTTTGAGAAACCCCAACAATTAGGTGTAGTATTTCTCAGGAAACCCAACCGTTAACATATTAATTCTAGGATATGTAGATTTTGTCATTTCGAACATTACTATTATTTAGAGGAAATGCCTGGTTTTTGAAACTAAATTTAATAGTTGTTTTTTAACTTTTATTTTAAGTTCAGAAGTACATGTGTAGGTTTGCTAAATAGGTAAACTCACGTCATGAAAAGTTGTTGTACAGATTATTTCATCACCCAGGTATGAAGCCTAGCACTCAATAGTTATTTTTCATGATTCTCTCCCTCCACCCTCTTATAGGACCCAGTGTCTGTTGTTCCCCTCTATGTGTCCATGTGTTCTCATCATTTAGCTTCTACTTATAAGTGAGCACACAAGTGGTATTTGGTTTTCTGTTCCTGCATTAGTTTGCTAAAGATAATGGCCTCCAGCTCCTTCCATGTTCCTGCAAAGGACATGATCTCATTTTTTTTTAATGACAGCATAGTTTTCCATGGTGTATATATGCCACATTTTCTTTATCCTGTCTACCACTGATGTATATTTAGGTTGATTCCATGACTTTGCTATTGTGAATTGTGCTGCAATGAACAGGCACGTGCATATGTCTTTATGGTAGAATGATTTATATTACTCTGGGTATATATCCAGTAATGGGATTACTGGGTCAAATGGTAGTTGTTTTTAGGTCTTTGAGGAACTGCCGCACTGTTTTCCACAATGGTTGAACTAACTTACATTCCCACCAACAGCGTATAAGCATTCCTTTTTCTCTGCGACCTCTCCAGCATCTGCTTTTTTTTTTTTTTTACTTTTTAATAATAGCTATTCTAACTGGTTTGAAATGTTATCTCATTGTGGTTTTGATTTGCATTTCTCTAATGATCAGTGATGTTGAGCTTTTTCTCATATGCTTGTTGGAAAAATGCCTGTTTTATACAGAACAAAAATTCAGACAAATTCAGTTTTAAAAATGTAATGTTAATCATATAGTCTCCTTTTCTACAAATAAATATTTCAAAAAATGAGAAGAAAAACTATAAAGATATTAAATTAAGCAAACTAAAGAGAAATTATATTCATGCTGTAATTTATTCCTAAATCAAACAACTAGTAATTCCAGTAAATCAATAATCCATAGTTTATAGGACAGTACTGATTCAAAGAAATGTTGAATAAGAAAAAGCAAAAAGTCAACCTTTTTCCATCAATAACCTTTGACTGCTTAAAGGAAGCAAAACAAAAAGTAAAAAATCCAATCATACCAAAGAAGACTCTAAAATAAATAAGTTGACTGCACATGTAATAGCTTAGATATGTTCACATAATCCCTTGGTCCGTCCAGCCCCGCATTCCACTTCCAGCAGTGACTGATGGTAGAATATGGTTATGACTCCTACTTACGTATTCCAGAATTGTTTGATAATCATTTACAACCCTATCAACCATAAATTGAATAAACTATGCCAATATTTTGTCATTTGTGTTTGCTTTACCAACATAAACTTAGAAAGTTTTATCTGCATTTCCCTCCCACTATCTGCTGCCGGATTCCCTTTTTCACATCTACCTTAGATGGTCAGATTTACTCTTTCTTGTTCTCTTCTAACACAAAACTCCATTTTATTGACGATATCCAGGAGAAAATATACATAGCTACTTGCTCATCATGATGAATATGAGAGATAATAAACATTAAGCAAAAAAGATCATCAAAGATAGTGATTAGATTTGCAGGGCTGAAGATTTTATAGCAACCAAAATATGATTTAAATATAGCTCATCAGCAAATTAAATACTTATATTCAGTTTAAGATTGATTAGGCTGTATCCACCTCATTTGTCAGAACTCTCTCTAAGTCAATAGTCATTTTGTCTCATTGTTTGGGGTAAAAATTAAATACCAGTCACCCATCTTGAATCTCATTGGCCAGCACTTGATCTTTAATGTCCCAAAGTCCCTTCTTTGATATTACCATAGTCTCTCAATTCTAAAATACTATCAACTACAACACAAACCACCAATGTAATCACTTCTCTTAAAAGTGTAAATATGGATATTTTGTCAATATTGAACCTTCCATAACCAAGGTGAAGCCAAGAGACTTATTGTCTAGGAATAAAGACAGCAGACAGAACAAAGATACCATTGATCATCTTTGAGTTTCAAAGCTGACTTTCTTAAGCTCTCAAGAAAGAAAATAATTGTGAAGCTGGAGGCATCATACTACATGACTTCAAAATTTACTATAAAGCTATATTAACCAAAACAGCATGGCACTGGCATAAAAACAGACATGTAAAGCAATGGAATAGAATAGAGAACCCAATACCAAATCCATACATTTACAGCCAACTGATTTTTGACAAAGGCACCAAGAACACTCACTGGAGAAAGGACAATTTCTTCAATAAATGGTGCTAGGAAAACTGGATATCCATACACAGAAGAGTGAAATGAGACCCCTATCTCTCACCATATTCAAAAATCAACTCAAATGGACTAAAGATTTAAATGTAAGACCAAAAATTATGAAACTAGTAGAAGAAAACACAGAAAGAGAAAATCATTTTCTAAATCCTTTTGGCTCTCATTTAGCAAAAGCTAGATCTGATAGACTAGATCACAGTTTTATGATAAAGAAGATCTGGTCAGACAGGAAAAAGAAGTGTGGACTATTGGAAGAAAGGTCTCAGAAACAGGTTAGACACATTTTATTTCTCTTCTCTGGGCTTCACCCAGATTAAAAGCTGTAATGGCTCTCAACTAACACAGTTAGTTGGGAAACACAGAAAGCCGAGGAATTTTTATTCCATTTATCTTCAAGACTTTGAAAGAAAATTGTTTTATGAGCTCCCCTGCACAAAACTTCAGGGGTAGCTACAGTGTAATCTTGCCATCACAATCTTGAAGCTCAATAATACATAACAATGTAAATGGGTAGAGAGAAGGTCAGCTTAGCTTTCTTAAATCAGTCTTGATTCCCATGAGGCTTAGATGAAACCCAGAACATCCTAGATACCATGAAAAACAATCAAAATGAGGCTATGTTGAAAAGCAGTGGGCCTGCCCTGAGTTCACCATGGTGAAGAGCCAAGTGATCTAGCAGAGTCTGAGGGTACACAGATAATGCCAGATACTGGATGGAGGATGTAGCTGGGACTTCGAATCTGAAGCACCATCAAGGGCCAAAGTGGGGTTAAAGCATCCTGGAGAAACCACAGACCCTAGCCAAGCTACAAAAGAACGCCCCACAAAGCATATAAGGACATCAAGAAATGCACAGAGGTGCCCACAAGATGACCATGCATGGGACCCATCACTCCCTCAAAGGTCACAGTCCAGAGAGCATTCCAGACCAGCCACTCGGCAGGCACTAAGTGTCCAAAGGTCACCACATGGGTCCAAAGGCCGCATCTCCCACCGTGAAATCATATAAGCAACACCCTCAACCCAATCTCCTGTTTTAGAGCATTTTATCTAAAAAGACTGAGCATTTACCAAAAGGGACTGTTTATATTGTTGAATCACATCAGTTTACCATCTTATTGGCTTAAACAGAAGGCATTTATTCCAATTCCCAGTAGGTAGGAGTTTATGAGGAAGGTCAGATCACTTACGAAAGATAAACTAAAGTGTGCTGTGGGAAAACTTGTAATCCCCTACAAGTACAAAAAGGAAAGCTACATTAAATGTTTATTTCCATTATACGATGCATCCTAATTTCAGAAATGGTAAAAAATGTGAGGTGGACAATGTGGGAAAATGTGTTTAAATTAACGAAATATGGTATCTTGCAAATCAAGATTGCGAATGCAAACTGTTTCCTAAAAGAAAAAACTCATCTGAAAAACCACATTTATTAAGCCTTAATTTATTTAATTTGTAGAGCTTTCACTACTGTACATATATATGTGTATATATATGTATATGTGTGTGTGTGTGTGTGTGTATATATATATATATATATATATATATACAGAAATGTGGATATCTATGTATTCAAATTCAGCTACAATGAGGTTAAAAAGGCATAGAAGGGGCACCATTTTATGGCAAGCTTTGGACCAAGAGGCAGAACCATGCTCACTACTGGCTGATATCATGGCCAGCATAACAGTTCTGACATGGTAATCACCTGGGAGCTTTAAAAATTATTGTCTAGTCCTACTTCCAGAGATTCTGATTTAACTGGTTTTGTGTAAGGCCTGGGCATCAGGACTTTTAAGAGCTCCCCAGGCAATTTTATTGTGCAGCCAGGGTTGAAAACCACTGGGCTAACAGAATCTCAACAATAACAGGGATTTTCTGAATTGCCTACTTAGTACTCTTCCTCCAAGTAAGCCTTCTGTATCTCCCATAGGGCTTGGCCACAAACCACTCCATCATACTTTATCTCACTGGGGGCTCTCAATTGTGTGTGAGATAATGCCCATTTCTTACCCTTCCTTAACCAGGGAGTGCAGAGTAGCTCCATGAGAAAATGGTCAGTCTAGGCCAGGCGCAGTGGCTCACGCCTGTAATCCCAGCACTTTGGGAGGCTGAGGCAGACGGATCACGAGGTCAGGAGTTCAAAACCTGCCTGATCAACATGGTGAAACCCTGTCTCTACTAAAAATACAAAAAATTAGCTGGGCATGATGGTGCACGCCTGTAGTCCCAGCTACTCAGGAGGCTGAGGCAGAAGAATTGCTTGAAACTGGGAGGCAGAGATTGCAGTGAGCCAAGATCGAGCCACTGCACTCCAGCCTAGGCAACACAGCTAGACATCATCTCAAAAAAAAAAAAAAGAAAAGAAAAGAAAACGGTCAGTCTAGAACCAGGGCCTTCCAAGACATAGAAGGGGCACCATTTTACATCGTAGGAGCCAAATCTGGCCTCTTGTCTATTTTGGTAAATAACAAAATTTTACTGGAACACAGCCACACCCATGTGTTTACATATTATCTAAGTTTGCTTTCACATTACAACAATAGCAGAGTAGTTGCAATAGAGACGCTATGGTCCCCAAAACTGAAACTATTTACTATCTGGACCCATACAGTAAAAGTTTGCCAACCACTGGTCTAGAGTCAGAGTTTTCAAGCTGCAACAGTATCTCATAAGACAAGTTAGATGTCCTGAAATAGCCCCGGGGAGTCTATGAAGGGTAGAGTCAGACCTTGAGCAGTGAAAATGACGACATCTGGGGAGATATGGACTCTTCTATCCTTTCAGCCAGCTGAAGCACAATTGCTTCTATCAATCTATTAATATCATTTTCCACTAAGAGGGCAGGTGTATCTTGGCTTATCAGTCTGCATCACCTGGCTGCCCACACAATCAGTTTATAAGAGAACAATTATATCCTAAAGCTAAGTTAGAAGTGGGTATCTATGGAATCAGTCTGAATTCATTGAGGAAAAGATGAGCTGTGATTGAAAGATAAAGTATTAACAGAAACAGAGTGAACTGGGGTTGGTTGGAGAACCCTGAAAAAGAGGGGAGCAACATTAAAGTGAAGAAAATCACAGTCTAATAGGACAAAAGGTTTAGGAAGCAAGCTGAGAAGAGGTGAAGCACATACAATGAATGGCAGCTACCCACAGATCATCTCAAAGCTACCAGTTTCTGCTGGTGGGGGCCTCCTTGTATCCTTGCCATGCACGCTCCCACTGGACTTGTACTATTTTAATCAATTAGCTATGGGTTTTCCTATCCTTATTTTAATGTAATGAGTGACTTCCTTTTTCTCCACTATTTGTGTCTTAAGAAATACTATAGCCTAGCCATTTTCCCATGGGAGCAGTTTTCTGGCAGTAAAATCATGCAGAAATTGGAGAATTCACTTTATTAGAATCAACTCAGCTATACTGAATCATCTTAAACTTTAAAACATTACTGAGGCAGAATTAAGTTTATTTCTTCATCCTACCATAAAAATAACATCTTTATACTTATTAAGCCTTAAGCCTATTAGTATTTAAAAGACACTTAATTTACTAACTTTTAAGGTTACTCGTTGAGGTTATAGTCAAAACTCCAATATTTGCTTACAACGTGCCCTACAAGAACACTCTATGTGTGCAGACTTCCTTTTGAGATTTCCTTGGAAGCTTCAAGATTAATTCTGATACAAATTCTATTGATAGAATAATCAGCAAGAGTACAAAAAAGAAGCTTGGAGGTAAAACCAAGAAAGCATAAGTAAATGGCATCATGCTTATTCAAAATGACCTATAGAAATGACAGAAAGCAACCACAAACAAAACTTGAACTGTTTTCTGAAAGAAACAAAGGAAATTATCTTCTAGAAGGCTAAGAAGCCAAAGGGGGCAGACATGTTCTCTCCCTGCTACCTGAAAGCCAATCAAATCTGTCTGTAGAGCAGTGGAAAATTAACTCTTTGGGCATCTAGGCATCTCTTTGCATAAATTGATATATATGATTGCTTGCTGCCTTTAGAGGGGGTTGTGGTCAAGGAGAGTAGAAAGGAATTTTGACGAGAGTGGGGTGTAGCAGAGAGGTTCTTCATAGGAGCCAGGCAGGAAAGAAAAACATGGTGCTTGGAAAAGCTAGGACTAACTACTCCCCATGCAGTCACTAGGACTGGCCTTGACTCTAGTAAGGAGCGGGGAGAGAGTAGAGAAGAAGCTGAAAGGGATCATTTTCATAGGAATTGTGTGTGACTCTAGGTGCAATCATTGCCTCACTGGGGCCCATATGAGAGAGTGCAGCACAGAATTGGGAAGAGAGGCATTCTCCCCTCTTTTGTAGGAGCCTAGCGCCATTCTACCACATTGAGGATTGGCAGCTGAAGGAGACCAGAGAATTTCACCCCAAAATATGGTACCCTGGTATGTTTATTATTATTATTATTTTGAGACGGAGTTTCGCTCTTGTTGCCCAGGCTGAAGGGCAATGGTGCGATCTCGGCTCACTGCAACCTCCGTCTCCCAGGTTCAAGCGATTCTCCTACCTTAGCCTCCTGAGTAGGTGGGATTAGATTACAGGCATGCACCACCACGCCTGGCTAATTTTTTGTATTTTTAGTAGAGACAGGTTTCTCCATGTTGGTCAGGCTGGTCTCGAACTCCTGACCTCAGGTGATCTGCCTGCCTCAGCCTCCCAAAGTACTGGGATTACAGGCATGAGCCACTGCGCCCAGCCGATTATTTTAAATTAAACACCCCTGGGGACCAGCAGACACTGGAAGGAGCTTTACTTTGATACTCCCTAATCTGCCTAATGTCCAGACTCGCCAAAGAAAAAAATAATTACTTCTGGTCCCTTCCCTGAGTTTTCATCAATTTAATAATAACTCTAATCACAGGCAGGTAGACTGAAGTCTGTCAACACACCTGGACAGACGTTTGTCAAAAATCATGCTCTGCGGGCCCAACAAACTTTGTCCCAGGCCACTGTATGTTCTCCAAGTCCACTGAATTTCCCCTAAAAATCATTTACTACACCCCAAGTTGACACATTTCCCCTATCTCCCCTCCTCTATGAAAAAGGGTATATAAGCTTCTGTACCCGTTGGGTTATGAGGTAATCATTCTCCTACTATTCCCCTGTGTTATGCACATTGAAATAAATTTTGTGTGTCTTTTCTCCTGTTAATCTGCCTCTTGTCAGTTGATTTTTCAGCAAAACTTCAGAGGGCAAAGAGGAAGCAATCCCTTTGACCTTACAGATTTGGCATTGTTGGTGGGATAACCAAAACTGCTCTGCTCCTCTAGAAGCTGCAGTCAAAGGAACACAGGACCTGATAGGTGAACAGAATGATAAGAAATTCTTACCAGTCAGACTCCCAGTCTCTCTCTCTGCATAATCTGGTCAAGCAGACGAGAAAAATCAGTTTGTCTCTTTTTTCTTTCCAAATTTAAGATTAATGGGAGAAAAGCATTTGTATGACTAGTCTTAGATGTAATGACTCTGGTATATTTTTGCTATGAATATTCATATTGTCCATCCTTTTCCTCACAGAAGTAGTCTTTATTTTTTCCTTTGTCTCTGTCTTTCTGTGAAGAGTCCCTCTTGTTTTATGTCCTTGAGAGCTTGACTTTTGACCACGTAGGAGCCCTATCTCTTGGTCTCTGCCATCCAGTGGGCATGATTTTTGGGCCACGTCTGGTGGCCAGCCTAAAAGGACTAGGAACCCGGAGGTACCTAAGATATTAAGCAGCACACTCTGTTCCAAATGTGCCAAGCTCTCAGCAAAGTTTTTCTTAAATAAGAAATCCCATCCATAAGGGGCTTTTGTTGTCCTAACTCTTGTTGCCTGGATAGTCCTGGAAAGTCCAATCCCAGGAGGACCTACTCAGTGTCACAGATTAACAGATCTATGACTGGTGCCCCTCCCTCCTCAATACTGGAGGCACCATATGAACAAACACCTCCTCAACCATCTGTCACAAGTGTCCTTTGCTATATTAGACTTTTTCTGAAAGTGAATTTTGAGGGGATCATGAGAACTACATCATCTTCCCATTTTTATACTGCCACTTATACTGTCCATGATAGTCTAAACCTGGAAAGCTACCTCTGAGACTCCATGAAAATGGCTCATTAACTTGAGTCATTTATGGAATAAATAAATTGGCTATACTTAAAAGAAAACTTTTTAGAGAGTGCTTGTCTTAAACAGCTATCTTATTCGTACCTATTTTTAAAAATATTAAAGGAATATAGCCTTAGAAATTCTCTTAGTAAGATTTTTAAAGCAGAAATAATATTCAAAGGAAACTTAAAATCCTGTACACTCAATTGCCTGCTTTGGATCCATCTAGGATCTGCAAAAAGCACTCTGGCCTATGGTCTAATGGCTAGGATTCCACTGTTTCATTGCCTCAACTCAGGTTTGATTTCTAGTCAGGGAACCAGCCCCTTGGAGATGTAAATCCTTTAACTCAGGGGAAAAAGGAAACATTTATAAAAATTAGTTTGAGGGTCAGGCACGGTGGCTTATGCCTGTAATCCCAGCACTTTGAGAGGCTGAGGCAGGAGGATCGCTGGAGCCCAGGAGTTTGAGACTAGCCTGAAACAGATCCCTTCTCTACAAAAAATTAATTTAAAAAATTAGCCAGGTGTGGTGGCATGCATCTGTAGTCTCAAATACTCAGGAGACTGAGACAGGAGGATGGCTTGAGCCCAGAGATCAAGGCTGCTATGAGCCATGATTACACCACTTCACTTTAGCCTGGGCAACAGAGCAAAACCCTGTCTCAAAAAAAAAAAAAAAAGAAGTTTGAATTACTTATTTTGAATTTATATTTGTGTGACCCTTGACTTTTTGGGGTACCCATTTGTCATTGATCTTTTTCCCTTCCATGGACAGTTATGTTCCTGTTCATCACTAAGTCTCTATTTTCTTCCAGAGGTCTTTGTGGGGTGGCTCTGGATTTTGTGAAGACTGCTTCTTTGTACCTCTTTGGAGATGTCTTGTGCTCCCTTGGTTAAATCATAAATGGCTTTTTTGGTTCTGAATCACTTGGTAGTTACCTTTGGTTTAAAAGAAAAAAAACTGAAGTTCAGATAAATAAAGTTTTAAAAAAATAAAGTTTACTTCTCCTTCCTTTCTCTACGTCTGATACACATGAAGGGATCTAGATGGGACTTTGAGTGACCCTGAAGCCTCTTGAGAACCACAACAAAAAGGTACCACTGACTCCCTGTTTTGGGGTTCTCTGTTTTCCTCATGGAGACTCAAAAGTCGTGAATGGGTTCCTCTCAGGTCTGAAATCTCTACTCTTTTTTGCATTAAACTCCCTCATCTATTTGACTTTTGTATACATACATGTATACGTGTGTGTTGTATGTTGTGTCTACATGTATGTGTCTATACATGTGTTTGCATATTATCTACATGATATCAAATTGACTTAAAAATAAATGAGTACTCATAAATTATATAACTAGCCCAAAACTTTTCAAGTTCCCTTGACTTTAATAAATCTTTGGTAAATAAAGCTAGTTTTAAAATTGCTAGTAAAATAAAAATGTCTTCAAAATTTAATTTAGACATTTTTGCCTAGGTCTACTGGTCACACAGGTTTATGCTACCTCTGTTAGATGTTTTAAGGTCATAAAACTGTTGTTTCTATGATATTCTTGATATTTTCTTGATTTGTATATAAACTAAAACTGTAAGTGCTGGCTGCTGGGCTCCCAAAAGTCTTACACACATCCTACTGTGGCTTGTTGAGCCAAGCCCAATATGGCCCCATCCTCCCTGGTCCAGCTCTGCCTCCTGGTCATGCTGAGAGGGGTCAGATCCTCCCAACATTGTCTTCACAAGTCCGTCCTCTGCCCTGGGCCCTATATTAGGTGTGCAAATCCAGGATTCAGACAGGTCCTACCCTTCGTAGTCATCCTGGGTGCCACATGGGTACTCAGAACCCAGGACAACTAGAGTAGGGACAATGGGGAGGGACCTGTGTCCAGTATCTCAAAGGCCTTAGTTAAGATAAAATTAGCTGATGCTGGTTTTGCTTTTTCAAAAAAAATACATAATAACCTAAATAAATAGCTTTATTTTCCATGAATAATTCAAATATAACTGTTAAAAAATATTTTTCAATAATTTAAAATCTTAAGGACATGTTATGTTAAGTAGTAGAGAATCATGAAATGTTTGAGTCATTTCTAAGTAAGTTAAAATACTAAAACATTAATTATTAAGCATAGTTTAGATAATTTTGACATCTTGTTCTTATATGGCATAGAAAAGCTAAATATATCTGTATCTGTTAATGAGCAAAAAACTGATGAAACATCTTTCTAAAAATTATAAAATTGTTTTCATTTACAAACACTGATATAAAACAGTTCAAAATTACTTACTTCCTAGGTTTTCAGTAGAAACTAGGGTTACTAAGAGTTACTATTATAATTAGTATATAATTAAAACTACTGTATATGATAAACAACTATGTATGGAGTATGTAAGGGAAGTAAAATGTTATAAGGTATGAGGATGTGCTTTTGTTGAGAAAAAGCAATTTCATATAGTTCAGAGATTATGTAAAGGTTGTTTCAAAATGAGAAAAATGATATAAATAAAACTAAATGGGTATAGAAAGTTGAGAAAGAGAGAATTTCAAAATAATTAAGGTGAATGAAATATTTAATATTTAATATTAAATTTATTTAAAATTTACTATTTGTTTTTAAACTGAGCCTTAAAATCAAAAATAGTCTACAAAACTAGAATTTTATTTTCTCCTTTGAACAAGATTTTCATATAGTATCAATAAGAAATAGTAAACGACTTTGGTTCACATTTTGAGTAAACTGCAAAAAAAAAAAAAGGGGAGAAACAGCTTTTGTGTGCCTCATGCTATCTTAATAGGTCTTTTGAGTATTTGAAAAACTAAGTCTCATCTCTGTCAAACTGTCAAAGAGTAAAGGTTTTGGCTTTTGGAAATCCTTTATTACACCAGCTAAATGAATGACTTTATTTCACAGTAATTTTTGATCAAATATTTTAAATGTTTGACATACTTGACAAGCTTCCCAAAATCAACCTTCAAATTCTAAAGTAAGTCTTTTTGACTTCAAACTAACTTTGGGATTTTCCCAAAGACCCCTGAAGTATCCAAAAGAGAAATAATAAACAGGTTTAGTTTATATATTAAATTATATGGGAAGAACTGTCAAATAACAAATAATGTTTAACCTTTTTTCTGAGTTATATTTATATGGCTATCTTGTTAGTATGTGTTCCAAAACTGTATGAGATTTCTTAAAATATGATATATCTTGGTATATGTTGTCATTCATAATTATGAGTGTTATGTTGAATTGTTGTAGGCCACAAAAAAAAGACCAAATATCTTTGTCAATTGTTTATTTAACCATGGCCATTTTAAGTCCCATTGTCCACAGTTAATTGTTTTATTCTGATGCTTTTTTTTTCTTGAAAGCTCTTCCCAAATCCTGAAGTATGGGTCTTCAAAGAAGTTCATGGGAATAACACTGACAAATAAAGGTTTCTGACAACTCTGAAACTGTATAAGTGAATCAATGAACTGTGTAAAAATTCCAGAACTCTAATAAAAAAAAAAACTGGACTCATAAAATTGCTAAACTACCATCAAGCAGAACAATAATTAATTACATGGGACTGAACTGATAAAAGACTGAAATGATTATTTATGATTTTTTATTTAGGCTAATTATTTTTATGTTTTGTTCTCCAGAGTTAAAAAAAAAACAACAACTTTTTAAAGGCTACAATTCCCCTGTGTTATGCACACTGAAATAAATTTTATATGTCCTTTCTCCTATTAATCTGCCTTTTCTCAATTGATTTTTCACCCGAACTTCCAGAGGGCAAAGGAGAAATTTGGCCTTCACCCCTACACTGCTTTGAAGCCACTAGGACATGGCTACCTTGGCATGTTCATTTCCAGTTTCCCAGAGTACCACCAGCAGCAGTCACCATCCACCAGCAATAAGCTGAAGCCAGACAAAACTGGAATACACGGCAGATACGCTGGTTTGGGAGCACAAGTGAGTCATAATTCAGAGACTTCAAAATTTGGAAATGCAGGAATGAACAGAAGAGAAAAGAGGTTTTATAGGAAAATCCCCACTCTAGCACAAGCAAGTGAGGTCAATTACAGGAACTCTGGATTGCTGCTGCTAATGGGACTTCCTTTGAACTTGCAAGGGTAGAGTAGGAGGCCAGGGAATCAGATTACATAAGGATAAGCATCTGGCCTACATGGCCCAGTGGTCTGGGAACTGAAAACAATGAGTCCCACAGAGGCTGAAGTATAATTCTGAGAATAGAATGTAGTTTGGAAACTGAAAAAAATCTGTTAAAACCCTGGCAACTAGGTAATCTTATTGTTCCTGAACAGCAGGAGTTTGTGAATCCAAACCTGAAAATGCCACATTCACTATGACTCAACTCTTCCCCTTGTTTCTACTTTCTGTGTATCTTTCAGCTTTGCACCTAATAGAACTGTTTAACCCTAGGTACTAACTGCTTAAATCTCAGAATATAGTCAACTCCTCAAAAAGAGGATGCTAACGGGACCAATTCATAATCATCCCCCAGAGGCAGAGCTCTCATGGCAGAGCACGTCACAGGGTTCTTGCCAACCTATAACTGAGTGTCACTAAGTCAGTTGCCCACCCTGATAAAGTTAGCTGTAACAAGGGTGCCAAAGTGTCTTGAGAGCATTATGGAGACTTAACAAAAGGAACCCCTAAAAAGAAGGCAAAGGGAATGTAATAGTTATTAAGGCTGTTCACAAATATTCCCATTGTCCTCTGGGCACAGGGCAGGATCACATACCCAACATCCACTTTGACCACATAACTTGCTTTGACAAAAGCAATGTAAATAGAGGATTGACATATGTCATGTCCAGGTGAACATTTTAGGAGTTCTCGCATGATTTATCATGTTCCATTTCCCCAGTTGCAATGACAGTGGAAGCACATGTTGAGATAAGTCTATATTAGCCTGGGTCTCTGAGTGCCTGTCTCAAGCAGAAACCCCAGCTCACATTGAACATGTAGCTTGAGCAGGAAATAAATTTTATTAAGCCTCTGAGATTTGGGGGTTGTCTTCTTATCACAGCACAACCTTGCTTATGCTGACTAATACAGGGGCTGGTAGGTAAACTTGCCCCAGTGAGTATTAAAAGCTATCCCCAAGGGGACAGGTGGGAGACACTATGGAGGTAGAAATGAAAAAAAGGCCAAGAGGTCCTACAATACTTAGAGGTGAACGACAAAGAAATAATGTTTATTACTGTTCTTCTAACTCTAGATTTACTTCTTGAAAACATGGGATATATTTACAGTCAGAAAATACATTTGACCTTTGCCCTTCAAAAAAAAACTTTACAAAAGATAACACATTATAAAGAGTTTGTTATTACTATTATTTTAAGGGATTTTGAGTAAGTCAATTCTTTTAACTCACATTCAACATAAATCTGACACCTACCAAACTGTATTTTGCAGCAAATAAGATTATAGACAGTTTCATTATATAATGACTGTAGCATGATCTAGCAGTTTATATCCCCTTCAGAGAGTATACAACATAGAGATGTAAATTCTTTGAAGCACAATTCTGCATAAATAGACTTTCTGCATTGCATTGCCAAACTTGGATCTTGAAAGTGATAAAGTGCAGATGCCTACAGTTGCAGTCATAAAAATGTAATTGCTGAGAAATTATTTCTGATCCATTGGAAGAATTTATTACAGAGGGATGCAACTGTGTAAGTTATCACACAAGAAACTGAAAGTGAATGATTGAAATATATCCCAGGCTAAATATCCCTGCAAAATGACCCAAGAGAAAAAAATCTCTGTGCCCAAGAGAAAAAAAAAATACATTAAAGATAAATCAGGTTTGGTAGGGAAGAATTTGGTAACCATAAAAGAGCAGAATAAAGATTTATGAAGAAATGAATTCAGAAGTTAGAGTGACATAATAGTATCTATGACCAATTACTCCAAAAATTAAAATGTAATTTTGACTTTGAGTTATATACAGAGGTGATAAGTAATTTCTGTGGAACCCTGGAAGCAAAGGAATATAACATGAAGATAAATCATGAGGAAAGTGAAGAAATTTTTAATGGGACTACTGAATTAATAACTTTAGCTGGTGGCAATGTGAACTTAAAGACATGAACTTCTTTTGGAATGTTTTCCAGTGAAATCAGAGACTATATCATGTACTTAAACCATGTAACTATTTCAAATTAAACACTCTTTGTAACAGTAGCCAAAATATGGGAACAACCATCTACAGATGAATGAATAAAGAAAATGTGGTGTTTATGCAATCGAATACTATTCAGTCATAAAAAAAAGTAAATCCTGCCATTTTCTAACATGGATGAACCTGGAGGACATTATGCTAAATGGAATAAGCCAGACACAGAAAGGCAAATACTGTATGATCTCACTTATATGTGAAATCTAAAAAAGTTAAATTCAAAGAAGCAGAGGGTAAAAGGGTGGTTTCCAGGTGCTAGCGAATTGGGGAAATGGGGAAGATTGTTGATCAAAGGATATAAAATTTCAGTTTTAAGATGAATAAGTTTTGGGACTCTACTGTGTAGCATGGTGACTATAGTTAACATATTGTATTCTTTACTTGAAATTTGATAAGAAAGTAGATTTTAAGTGTCTTAGCCACACACACACACACACACACACACACACACACACACACAGTGGTAACTATGGGTAGAGATGGATGTGTTAATTCATTTGACTGTGGTAATCATTACACATTGCATACATACATCAAATCATCACATCGTACACCCTGAATGTACAGAATTTTTATTTGCCTCATTACCTGTCCATTAAATATATTAAAAAAAAAAAACACTCCTTCTCCTCCTCCCCTGGGGTAGATGGCGGCGGCTAGATTTGGAGCCCCAACCTCGCTGCCGGCACCAAGATGGACAATTAGAAGCAGCTGCGGTCTGCGCACTCAGAGAGGAAGGAAAGGAGCAAGTGAATTCAGCACCTTCAACTGAAGTATCCAGGTTCTTGCATTAGGGCTGACTAGGCAAACAATTTGACCCACGAAGAACAAAGAAAAGCAGGGTGGGGCGATGGTCCACCTGGGAGCAGCACGGAGCCAAATGAACCCCCACCCTGAGCCAAGTAAAGCAGTAAGTGATTGTGAGACCCCACCTGGAAAACCACGCTTTTCCCACGGATCTTTGTAATCCGTGGATCAGGAGATCCTCTCGTGAGCCCACACCACCAGGGCGTTGGGTCTGATACACAGAACTGTGTAGAATGTTGGCAAAGCAGCCGTCCAGGCACACACAGAGACCCAGGAGTTTTCCACACTCCAGCCCCAGGATCCCTGGCAAGACGAGAGATCTGTCCGTATATATCCCTAGGAAGGGGGCTAAAACCAGGGAGCCAAACAGCGTCATTCTGCAGGCCTGCTCCCACAGCACCCCACAAGTTAAGACCCACTGATTGGAATTCCAGCCAGCCAATGGCAACAGGCTGAGATGAGACCAAGTTCCTTGCGGGAGGGGCGGCCACCATCTCCATGGTTCAGTCGACTCAGCCATTCCAGCCTGATGGCTTTGGAGAATACAAATGGTCCAGACAAAGAAGGGTCCCCGACAATAGCACAGCTGCCTTGCCAGATTATAGCCAGACTGATTCTTTAAGTAGGACCCCAATCCATTCCTCCTCACAGGGTGGGACCTCCCTGTGGGGGTTTCAGCCACCCCAGCAAGGGCTCTACAGACAAAGCCCTGATCTCTCCCTGGGATGGAGCTCTCAGGAGGAGGGGTTGCCACACCATCTCTGTGGTTCAGTGGACTCAGCCATTCTAGCCTGCCAGCTTTGGAGAATACAAACGGTCCAGATGAAGAAGGATCCCTCACTCCCCGCCCCAACGCAGCATATCTGCTCCACCAGAAAGCATCCAGACTGCTTCTGATCCCATTCCTCCTGACCAAGTGAGCCCTCCCAACAGGAGTCTACAGACACTTCCTACAGGCACATTAGGAACAGCAACATGTCAGTACCCCCACTGGGACAGAGCTTCCAGAAGAAGGAGCAGGCTGCTGTCTTTGTTGTTTCACAGCCTTCACTGGTGATACTTCCAGGTAAGGAAAACTGAGGCAACTAGGGTCTGGAGTGGACCCCCAGCAAACCACAGCAGCCCAACAGAAGAGTGACCTGACTGTTAAAAGAAAAACAAACAGAAAACAACACAACACCAACAAAAAAGACCCCATAAAAACCCCATTAAAAGTGAGCTTGAAGACTATCTTGCTGAAATAGAGCAGGAAGACAAGATTAGAGAAAAAAGAGTGAAAAGGAAAAAACAAAACCTCTGAGAACTACAGGAATACATAAAAAGACCAAACCTATGACTGATTGGAGTACCTGAAAGAGACAGGGAGGATGGAACCAAGTTGGAAAACACAGTTCAGGATATCATCCAGGAGAACTTCCCCAACCTAGCAAAACAGGCCAACATATAAATTCAGGGAATGCAGAGAACCCCAGTAAGATGCTCCATGAGAAGATCAACCCCAAGACAAATAATCGTCAGATTCTTCAAGGTTAAAATGAAAGAAAAAATGTCAAGTGTAGCCAGAAAGAAAGGCCAGGTCACCTACAAAGGGAAGCCCATCAGACTAACAGCAGACCACTCAGTGGAAACCCTACAAGGCAGAAGAGATTGGGGGCCAATATTTAACATTCTTAAAGAAAAAAATTCCAACCCAGAATTTCATATCTGGCCATACTAAGCTTCATAAATGAAGAAGAAATAAGATCCTTTTCAGACAGGCAAATGCTGAGGGAATTTGTCACCATTCAGTCTGCCTTGCAAGAGCTCCTAAAGGAAGCACTAAATATGGAAAAGAAAAAGCATTATCAGCCACTAAAAAACACACTGAAGTACACAGACCAGTGACACTATTAAGCAACTACATAAACAAGTCTGCAAAATAACCAGCTAGCATCATGATGATAAGATCAGATTCACACAACAAGATTAACCTTAAATGTAAATGGGCTAAATGTTCCAATTAAAAGACACAGAATGACAAGTTGGATAAAGAGCCAAGACCCATCACAGTGCTGTCTTCAAGTGACCCATCTCACATGCAAAGACACACATCAGCTCAAAATAAAGGGATGGAGGAAAATTTACCAAGCAAATGGAAAACAGAAAAAAAGCAGAGGTTGCAATCCTAGTTTCTGACAAAATAGACTTTAGAACAACAAAGATCAAAAAAGACAAAGAAGGGCATTACATAATGATAAAGGGTTCAAACTGACAAGAAAAGCTAACTATCCTATATACATACACACAATATGGGAGCACCCAGATGCACAAAGCAAGTCCTTAGAAACCTATAAAGATACTTAGATTGGGAAATTTAAATACCCCACTGACAATATTAGACAGATCATCAAGACAGAAAATTAACAAAGATATTCAGGACCTGAACTCAGCTCTGGATCAAGTAGACCTAATAGATATCTACAGAACTCTCCACCCAAAAACAACAGAATATATATTCTTCTCATTCACCACAGAGAATACTATAATCACCTCTATGCACATAAACTAGAAAATCTAGAAGAAATGGATAAACTCCTGGACACATACACCCTCCCAAGACTGAACCAGGAAAAAACTGAATGCCTGAATAGACCAATAATGAGTTCTGAAATTGAGGCAGCAATAAATAGCCTACCAACCAAAAAAAAGGCCCATGACCAGAAGGATTTATAGCTGAATTCTACCAGAGGTACAAAAAGGACTGGTATCATTTCTACTAAAACTATTCAAAAAATTGAAAAGAAGGGACTCCTCTCTAACTCATTCTATGAGGCCAGCATCATCCTGATAAAATCTGGCAGAGATACAACCAAACAAATAAAACTTCAGGCCAAAATCTTTGATGAACATCGATACAAAAATCTTCAATAATATACTGGCAAACTGAATCGAAGAGAACATCAAAAAAATTATCCACCATGATCGAGTTGTCTTCATCCCTGGGATGCAAGGTTGGTTCAACATATGCAAATCAACAAATGTGACTCATCACATAAACAGAACTAAAGACAAAAACCACATGATTATCTCAATAGACGTAGAAAAGGACATCAATAAAATTCAACATCCCTTCATGTTAAAAACTCTCAATAAACTAGGTATTGAAGGAATATACCTCAAAAAAATAACCATCTATGACAAACCCACAGCCAATATCATACTAAATGGGCAAAAGCTGGAAGCATTCCCCTTGAAAACGCACAAGACAAGGATGCCCTCTCTTACCACTCCTATTCAACATAGTATCAAAAGTTCTGGCCAGGACAATAAGGCCAAGAAAAAGAAATAAAGAGTATCCAAGCAGGAAGAGAGAAAGTCAAATTATCTTTATTTGCAGATGACATGATCCTATATCTAGAAAAAGCCCATTGTATCAGCCCAAAAGCTCCTTAAGCTGATAAGCAACTTCAGCAAAGTCTCAGGATATAAAATCACCGTGCAAAAATTGCTAGCATTCCTATACATGAACAATAGGCAATCAGAGAGCCAAATCATGAATGAACTCCCAATTATGATTGCTACAAAAATAATAAAAGATCTAAGAACACAGCTAACAAGGGAAGTGAAAGCCTTCTTCAAGGAGAACTACAAATCACTGCTCAAAGAAATCAGAGAGGACACAAACAAACGGAAAATCATTCCATCCTCATGGATAGGAAGAATCAATGTCGTTAGAATGGCCATACTGCCCAAAGCAATTTATAGATTCACTGCTATTCCTATTAAACTACCACTGACATTCTTCACAGAATTAGAAAAAAAACTATTTTAAAATGTATTTGGAACCAAAAAACAGCTCAAATAGCCAAGACAATCCTAAGCAAAAAGAACAAAGCTGGAGGCTTCACACTACCCAAATTCAAACTATACTACAGGGCTACAGTAACCAAAACAGCATGGTACTGGTATAAAAACAGACACGTAGACCAATGGAACAGAATAGGGAACTCAGAAATAAGACCACAAACCTACAACCATCTGATCTTCGACAAACCTGACAAAAACAAGCAATGGGGAAAAGATTTCCTATTTAATAAATAGTGCTGGGAGAACTGGCTAGCCACATGCAGAAAATTGAAACTGGACCCCTACCTTACACCATATACAAAAAGTAACCCAGAGGAAAGATCAGGCAGCAACATTTGCTGTTCACCAATATTCGCTGTTCTGCAGACTCCACTGCTGATACCCAGGAAAACAAGGTCTGGAGTGGACCTCCAGCAAACTCCAACAGACCTGCAGCTGAGGGTCCTGAATGTTAGAAGGAAAACTAATAAACGGAAAGGACATCCACACCAAAACCCCATCTGTACGTCACCATCATCAAAGACCAAAGGTAGATAAAACCACAAAGATGGGGAAAAAACAGAGCAGAAAAACTGAAAATTCTAAAAATCAGAGCACCTCTCCTACTCCAAAGGAATGCAGCTCCTCACTAGCAACGTAACAAAGCTGCATGGAGAATGACTTTGATGAGTTGAGAGAAGAAGACTTCAGATGATCAAACTTCTCCGAGCTAAAGGAGGAAGTTCGAACCCATGGCAAAGAAGTTAAAAACCTTGAAAAAAGATTAAACGAATGGCTAACTAGAATACCCAACGCAGAGAAGTTCTTAAAGGACCTGATGGAGCTGAAAACCATGACACTAGAACTACGTGACGAATGCACAAGCTTCGGCAGCTGATTCGATCAACTGGAAGAAAGGGTATCAGTGATGGAACATCAAATGAATGAAATGAAGCAAGAAGAGAAGTTTAGAGAAAAAAGAATAAAAAGAAATGAACAAAGCCTCCAAGAAATATCAGACTATGTGAAAAGACCATATCTATGTCTGATTCGTGTACCTGAAAGTGACGGGCAGAATGGAACCAAGTTGGAAAACACTCTGCAGGATATTATCCAGAAGAACTTCCCCAATCTAGCAAGGCAGGCCAACATTCAAATTCAGGAAATACAGAGAATACCACAAAGATATTCCTCAGGAAGAGCAACTCCAAGACACATAATTGTCAGATTCACCAAAGTTGAAATGAAGGAAAAAATGGTAAGGGCAGCCAGAGAGAAAGGTCGGGTTACCCACAAAGGGAAGCCCATCAGACTAATAGCTGATCTCTCGGCAGAAACTCTACAAGCCAGAAGAGAGTGGGGGCCAATATTCAACATTCTTAAAGAAAAGAATTTTTAACCCAGAATTTCATATCCAGCCAAACTAAACTTCATAAGTGAAGGAGAAATAAAACACTTTACAGACAAGCAAATGCTGAGAGATTTTGTCACCAACAGGCCTGCCTAAAAGAGCTCCTGAAGGAAGCACTAAACATGGGAAGGAACAACTGGTACCAGCCACTGCAAAAACATGCCAAATTGTAAAGACCATCAAGGCTAGGAAGTAACTGCATCAACTAATGAGCAAAATAACCAGCTAACATCATAATGACAGGATCAAATTCACACATAACAATATTAACCTTAAATGTAAATGGGCTAAACACTCCAATTAAAAGACACAGACTGGCAAATTGGATAAAGAGTCAAGACCCATCAGTGTGCTGCATTCAGGAAACCCATCTCACGTGCAGAGACACACATAGGCTCAAAATAAAGGGATGGAGGAAGATCTACCAAGCAAATGGAAAACAAAAAAAGGCAGGGGTTGCAATCCTAGTCTCTGATAAGACAGACTTTAAACCAACAAAGATCAAAACAGACAAAGAAGGCCATTACATAATGGTAAAGGGATCAATTCAACAAGAAGAGCTTTCTAAATATATATGCACCCAATACAGGAGCACCCAGATTCATAAAGCAAGTCCTTAGAGACCTATAAAGAGACTTAGACTCCCACACAATAATAATGGGAGACTTTAACACCCCACTGTCAACATTAGACAGATCAGTGAGACAGAAAGTTAACAAGGATATCCAGGAATTGAACTCAGCTCTGCACCAAGAGGACCTAATAGACATCTACAGAGCTCTCCACCCCAAATCAACAGAATATACATTCTTCTCAGCACCGCACTGCACTTATTACAAAATTGACCACATAGTTGGAAGTAAAGCACTCCTCAGCAAATGTAAAAGAACAGAAATCATAACAAACTGTCTCTCAGACCACAGTGCAATCAAACTAGAACTCAGGATTAAGAAACTCACTCAAAACCACTCAACTACATGGAAACTGAACAACCTGCTCCTGAATGACTACTGGGTACATAACAAAATGAAGGCAGAAATAAAGATGTTCTTTGAAACCAATGAGAACAAGATACAACATACCAGAATCTCTGCGACACATTTAAAGCAGTGTGTAGAGGGAAATTTATAGCACTAAATGCCCACAAGAGAAAGCAGGAAAGATCTAAAATTGACACCCTAACATCACAATTAAAAGAACTAGAGAAGCAAGAGCAAACACATTCAAAAGCTAGCAGAAAGCAAGAAATAAGTAAGATCAGAGCAGAACTGAAGGAAATAGACACATAAAAAACCCTTCAAAAAATTAATGAATCCAGGAGCTGGTTTTTTGAAAAGGTCAACAAAATTAATAGACTGCTAGCAAGACTAATAAAGAAGAAAAAGAAGAATCAAATAGACCCAATAAAAAATGATAAAGGGGATATCACCGCCAATCCCACAGAAATACAAACTACCATCAGAGAATACTATAAACACCTGTATGCAAATAAACTAGAAAATCTCAAAGAAATGGATAAATTCCTCGACACATACACCCTCCCAAGACTAAACCAGGAAGAAGTTGAATCTCTGAATAGACCAATAAAAGGCCCTGAAATTGAGGCAATAATTAATAGCTTACCAACCAAAAAAAGTCCAGGACCAGACAGATTCACAGCCGAATTCTACCAGAGGTATGAGGAGGAGCTGGTACCATTCCTTCTGAAACTATTCCAATCAACAGAAAAAGAGGGAATCCTCCCTAACTCATTTTATGAGGCCAGCATCATCCTGATACCAAAGCCTGGCAGAGACATAACAAACAAAGAGAATTTTAGACCAATATCTCTCATGAACATCGATGCAAAAATCCTCAATAAAATACTGGCAAACCGAATCCAGCAACACATCAAAAACCTTATCCACCATGATCTAGTGGGCTTCATCCCTGGGATGCAAGGCTGGTTCAACATACACAAATCAATAAATGTAATTCAGCATATAAACAGAACCAACGACAAAAACCACATGATTATCTCAATAGATGCAGAAAAGGCCTTTCACAAAATTCAACAGCCCTTCATGCTAAAAACTCTCAATAAATTACGTATTGATGGGACATATCTCAACATAATAAGAGCTATTTATGACCAACCGACAGCCAATATCATACTGAATGGGCAAAAACTGGAAGAATTCCATTTGAAAACTGGCACAAGTCAGGGATGCCCTCTCTCACCACTCCTATTCAACATAGTGTTGGAAGTTCTGGCCAGGGCAATCAGGCAGAAGGAAATAAAGGGTATTCAATTAGGAAAACAGGAAGTCAAACTGTCCCTGTTTGCAGATGGCATGATTGTATATCTAGAAAACCCCATTGTCTCAGCCCAAAATATCCTTAAGCTCATAAGCAACTACAGCAAAGTCTCAGGATACAAAATCAATGTGCAAAAATCACAAGCATTCTTATACACCAATAACAAACAAACAGAGAGCCAAATCATGAGTGAACTCCCATTCACAATTGCTTCAAAGAGAATAAAATACCTAGGAATCCAACTTACAAGGGATGTGAAGGATCTCTTCAAGGAGAACTACAAACCACTGCTCAATGAAATAAAAGAGGATACAAACAAATGGAAGAACATTCCATGCTCATGGATAGGAAGAATCAATATCATGAAAATGGCCATACTGCCCAAGGTAATTTATATATTCAATGCCATCCCCATCAAGCTACCAATGACTTTCTTCACAGAATTGGGAAAAACTACTTTAAAGTTCATATGGAACCAAAAAAGAGCCTGCATTGCCAAGTCAATCCTAAGCCAAAAGAACAAAGCTGGAGGCATCACACTACCTGACTTCAAACTATACTACAAGACTACAGTAACCAAAACAGCATGGTACTGGTACCAAAACAGAGATATCGACCAATGGAACAGAACAGAGCCCTCAGAAATAATGCCACACAAGTACAACCATCTGATCTTTGACAAACCTGACAAAAACAAGAAATGGGGAAACGATTCCCTATTTAATAAATGGTGCTGGGAAAACTGGCTAGCCATATATAGAAAGCTGAAACTGGATCCCTTCCTTACACCTTATACAAAAATTAATTCAAGAAGGATTAAAGACTTAAATGTTAGACCCAAAACCATAAAAACCCTAGAAGAAAACCTAGGCAATACCATTCAGGACATAGGCATGGGCAAGGACTTCATGTCTAAAACACCAAAAGCAATGGCAACAAAAGCCAAAATTGACAAATGGGATCTAATTAAACTAAAGAGCTTCCGCACAGCAAAAGAAACTACCATCAGAGTGAATAGGCAACCTACAGAATGGGAGAAAATTTTTGCAATCTAGTCATCTGACAAAGGGCTAATATCCAGAATCTGCAAAGAACTCCAACAAATTTACAAGAAAAAAAACAAACAACCCCATCAAAAAGTGGGCAAAGGATATGAACAGACACTTCTCAAAAGAAGACATTTATGCAGCCAAAAGACACATGAAAAAATGCTCATCATCACTGGCCATCAGAGAAATGCAAATCAAAACCACAATGAGATACCATCTCACACCAGTTAGAATGGCAATCATTAAAAAGTCAGGAAAAAACAGGTGCTAGAGAGGATGTGGAGAAATAGGAACACTTTTACACTATTGGTGGGACTGTAAACTACTTCAACCATTGTGGAGGTCAGTGTGGTGATTCCTCAGGGGTCTAGAACTAGAAATACCATTTGACCCAGCCATCCCATTACTGGGTATATACCCAAAGGATTATAAATCATGCTACTATAAAGACACATGCACACGTATGTTTACTGCAGCACTATTCACAATAGCAAAGACTTGGAACCAACCCAAATGTCCAACAATGATAGACTGGATTAAGAAAATGTGGCACATATACACCATGGAATAGTATGCAGCCATAAAAAATGATGAGTTCATGTCCTTTGTAGGGACATGGATGAAGCTGGAAACCATCATTCTCAGCAAACTATCGCAAGGACAAAAAACCAAACACCACGTGTTCTCACTCATAGGTGGGAATTGAACAATGAGAACACTTGGACACAGGAAGGGGAACATCACACACCTGGGCCTGTCGTGGGGTAGCCGGGAGCGGGGAGTGATAGCATTAGGAGGTATACCTAATGTAAATGACAAGTTAATGGGTGCAGCACACCAACATGGCACATGTATACATATGTAACAAACCTGCACATTGTGCACATGTACTCTAAAACTTAAAGCAAATAAAAAAACAATAATAATAATTAAAAAACCCAAGATGGATTAAATATTTAAATGTAAAACCCAAAACTATAAAAACCCTAGAAGAAAATTGAGGCAATAGCATTCAGGACATAGGCAAAGGCAAAGATTTCATGATGAAAATGCCAAAAGCAATTGCAGCAAAAGCAAAAACAGACAAATGGGTTCTAATTAAACTAAAGAGTTTCCTCACAGCAAAAGAAATTATCATCAGAGTGAACAGACAACCTACAGAATGGGAGAAAATTTTTGCAATCTATTCATCTGGCAAAGGTCTAATATCCAGAGTCTACAAGGAACTTAAACAAATTTACAAGAAAAAAAAAACATTAAAAAGTGGGCAAAAGACATGAACAGACACTTCTCAAAAGAAGACATACATGCGGCCAATAAACATGAAAAAAAGTTTATCAGCTGGGTGCGGTGGCTCATGCCTGCAATCCCAGCACTTTGGGAGACTGAGGCAGGTGGATCACCTGAGGTCAGGAGTTCGAGACCAGCCTAGCCAACATGGTGAAACCCCGTGTCTACTAAGAATACAAAAATTAACCGGGTATGGTGGCATGTGCCTGTAAATCCAGCTACCAGGAAGCTGATGCAGGAGAATCACTGAAACCCAGCAGGTAGAGGTTGCAGTGAGCTGAGATCATGCCACTGCACTCCAGCCTGGGTGACAGAGCAAGACTCTGTCTCAAAAAAAAAAAGTTCAACATCACTGATCATCGGAGAAATGCAAATCAAAATGACAATGAGCTACCATCTCATTGTCAGAATGCTTATTAAAAAGTCAAAAAACAACAGATGCTGACAAGGTTGCAGAGAAAAAGGAATGCTTTTACATTGTTGGTGGGTATGTAAATTAGTTCAAACATTGTGGAAGACAGCGTGGCGATTTCTCAAAGACCTAGATGCAGAAATACCATTTGACTCAGCAATCCCATTACTGGGTATATACCCAAAGGAATATATATCATTCCATTATAAAGATACATGCACATGCATGTTCACTGCAGCACTATTCACAATAGCAAAGACATGGAATCAACCTAAACGCCCATCAGTGATAGACTGGATAAAGAAAATGTGGTACATATATACCATGGAATACTATGCAGTCATAAAAAAGAACAAGTTCACGTCCTTTGTAGGGACATGGATGGAGTTGGAAGTCATTATCCTCAGCAAACTAATGCAGGAACAGAAAACCAAACACCACATGTTCTCACTTATAAGTGGGAGCTGAAGGATGAGAACACATGGACTCATGGGGGGAACACACTGGGGTCTGTCAGCAGGGGTGGGAGGAGGGAGAGCATCAGGAAGAATAGCTAATGGACGCTGGGCTTAATACCTAGGTGATGGGATGATCTGTGCAGCCAACCACCATGGCACGTGTTTACCTATGTAACAAACCTGCACATCCTGCACATGTACTCCTGAACTTAAAATAAAAGTTGATGAAAAATAAATACTGAGGTCTACTTAGTCTTTTCAAATAAACAGGTTACTCTTTTTTTTTCTTTTATTATACCTTAAGTTCTGGGATACATATGCAGAACGTGCAGGTTTGTTACATAGGTATACACATGCCATGGTGGTTTGCTGCATCCATCAACCCATCATCTACATTAGGTATTTCTCCTAATGCTATCCCTCCCCTAGCCCCCACCTCCCAACAGGCCCCAGTATGTGATGTTCCCCTCCCTGTGTCCATGTGTTCTCATTGTTCAACTTCCACTTATGAGTGAGAATATGTGGCGCTTGGTTTTCTCTTCTTGTGTTAGTTTGCTGAAAATGATGGTTTCCAGCTTCATCCATGTCCCTGCAAAGGACATGAACTCATCCTTTTTTATGGCTGCATAGTATTCAATGGTGTATATGTGCCACATTTTCTTTATCCAGTCTATCATTGATGGGCATCTGGGTTGGTTCCAAGTCTTTGCTATTGTGAATAGTGCTCCCATAAACATACGTGTGCATGTGTATTTATAGTAGAATGATTTATAATCCTTTGGATATATACCCAGTAACAAGATGGCTGGGTCAAATGGTATTTCTGGTTCTAGATCCTTGAGGAATTGCCACATTGCCTTCCACAATGGTTGAACTAATTTACACTCCCACCAACAGTGTAAAAGCATTCCTATTTCTCCATGTCCTCTCCAGCATCTGTTGTTTCCTGACTTTTTAATGATCACCATTCTAACTGGCGTGAGATGGTATCTCATTGTGGTTTTGATTTGCATTTCTCTAATGACCAGTGATGATGAGCTTTTTTTCATATGTTTGTTGGCCACATAAATGTCTTCTTTTGAGAAGTGTCTGTTCCTATCCTTCGTCCGCTTTTTGATGGAGTTGTTTGTTTTTTCTTGTAAATTTTAAACAGCTATTCTTATCTAAAAAAATAAAAATAAACACTTTTTGAAAAACAAAAAAGAATGTAATGAGACACTTAACATGATGTTATCCTAGAAAAAAAAACCTTTAATATAATTTAATGAGATATTTTATTTGTGTTGGTGGGTTATACATGATCAAAGTGACAGATACAAGAAGGCTGAACATCAAATCCAGAAAGATCAGTTATTTTAAAATATAACTCTTTGACTTTGAAATGTACTGGTTTTTGATAAGGAGAATCCCATTATTAAAAAAACAAGAGTGTATACAAATAATTTAGTTAAATAGAATTCTGCTTTATAAGATAGTTATTGCATAAGTTGATATTATATAAATTATTAATATTTTAATTTAATATCACTTGAGTATTGCTAAGACCATAAAATCATTTTTATACCTGAGACGTTGATGTTTTATACCAAAGTACTTTTAAGAAATCAGTGACTATTTTGAAAACATTGACATCAATCTTAAGGAAGACAAAATTAGCAATTATATTTACATGTAACAGAACTGTCTGGTATGTAAAAGGTAATGAGTTCCATTTCTGTGACTCATCTACTTGTGGATCATGAAAAGTTTGAATCCAAGAACATCAAAAGCCCTCTAAAACTAGTATAATCACACTTTTTAAAAGAGATACATTTCTTTCCAATCAAACAAGATTACTCAGGTCATTTTCATCCTTCTAATTTTATAGGTGAACTCAATAAATGTTTATAGATGGTTATTATCTATTTAGAACATGCCATAAAATGTGCACGTGCGCGCACACACACACACACACACACTGTGACTAGCATTACCCTTTAATGTGAATTTACTTAGAATACTTTCTATTAACTTCTTTAGCAATGTACTTGACTAAAGCAAAATATCTATTAGTTTCAGTTAGAATATAAAAAGTAGTTTCCCCATGATACTCTCTCTGTTTATAAGCAATATGTCAGCAACCTTTGTGATTAGCAAGTTTTAAGTGACCAACTGTAATGTTCCATTGTTATAGAGCAAATAAGGGTTATAAACTAGCATTAATGTATTTGTTTTCACCAGCCATCTCCGAAATGAAGGTCATTTCCCTATTCCTACTCCTTATAATTGGATAGGAACAAAACCTTAAATGACTTGTGAGAACTCATTTAAAACTGTCCCCAAAAAACTTGGTGATATGTATGAAAAAGTATAAAAATATTCATATCTTGGCCATTAACTTTTACATTTGTAACTAATTCTAGTGAAATAATACAAATTGATGACAAAAATGTATATACAAAGATGTTCAGCAGAGCAATATTTATAATAGGAAAAAAATAGAAACACCCTAAATGTCCAAAAATGTGAGGCTACTTTAAAAAAACTGTAGTGCAGCCATATCATATATAAGTAAATAGCAGCTTTATTAAACCATGCTTACAAATAAATAGGGAAATTATTAAAATATCATTTAAAATGGAAAAGTGGGATTAAACCCTGCATATATAGTACTAGCTCCACTTGTTAATATATATATATTCTTCATATATATATATATAATATATATACGTGTAAGGATATATATAAAGAAGATATATTCTTTAATATTACAAAGTACAAAGATGATAAAAATCTCCCACAACTTTATTGTACTGGAAGTAAACGCACCAAAACATTAATGTTTATCTCTTGGTAAAATTATGAGTGTTTTTATTCTTTTTTTTAACTTTTTTTGACATTCCAATTTTTTTGTGAACTTCATTAGAAAAACAAATGAGGGTTTTTCTTTCTTTTTTTTTTTTTTTAAACAGGGTCTCACTATGTTGCCCAGGCTGGTCTTTAACTCCTGGACTTAAGCGATCCTCCTGCCTTGGCCTCCCAAAGTGCTGGGATTATACACATGAGCCACTGCACCCAGCCTTTTTTCTTTTTAACATGAAACTGTTTAGTGAGTGGCTAAGACGGACTTTAATGAAGTCTCCACAGTCATCTAGTATAAATTTCACACCAGATATTAGTGCCGTTAAGACTGCCAAAGTTAACTATTAAGGTATCATCAGGGATGCACATGTTTTGAATTGTCTTTCGAGTAGCAGATATCAACTTGTACAACATGTACAAATTGATAAAAATATGTAAACTTGTAAAAATATATACAAAGTCTATTCTCAGAGCTACTCCCCTCCCCACATCCATCTCACAAAAAAGATAAGCAGAACATATTTAAATTATCTGAGGAAAGGTCGGCATAGTTTTTCACCCAAGTAACCCTTGGGTTCTTTGAGTCCCTAGGAAAAGGGACTTGAATCTTGTATTAGGAGGCAAGATGTAAGGCAGGCCTAAAGGGGAGTTCCCTCACAAATTGTGGGTTAATGACAAAAATTTAAATCTATACCACTGCATAAGTTTCTTCAAGCCCTGCTCTAAGAAAATCCAATACATGAAATCTCGACTTACATAATAAAAAAAGTCAGAGAATCATTATGCATATCATCAAAGGATTATTCACCTTATGAAAGACTTCATCACAGAATTCCTTTAAATAGCTGCTTTTCTCATACATTTTAGTATTTTAAAGGTAGTTTCCCATTTGGCAAATGAGATGCCATGTGCCTGAGGCAAGTTAGTGAAATTCTCTAGGCCTCAGTTTCCTCATCTATGTAATAAAGATGGTTTTAACCATGTTACCTGCCTCATTCAGTTTTCACGATTATCAAAGAAGATAATTTATATAAAGGTACTCTGAAAATTATATATATATATATATATATATATATATATTATTACTGCTATTCTTGCTAAAAGAGAATGTGGGGGAAACTTTCAGAATACATACTTTTTCACATCTTAACAACACACATACCTACTTTTCACATCTTAACAACTCTTTAAAGGACAATTTTAGATGACATATTTATATATAAAAATCAAATCTTTTATTCTTCATTATTCATTTTTCCCACATATTTTTCATTCTTCTGCAGTTACTATATATCATAATTTCCATGGTATTAATACCTGGATTATGAGAGGCTCCAGTAGCTTCTCCACGGTGAATGTTTGGACCTGCAGATCCTGAGGATCGATATTCAATGTGATTGGTGTTTCAGCTGACATGCTGCCTGTGCACAAACACAAAAGGATGCTTATTAATAAAGAAAACTGTTTTCTAAAGAAGAACACTTATGAAATCATGGAATAGGTAAAACTTGTATTCAGCACCTCTTCCTGATATCAACCATAGCCCTCAGAGGACCAGGCTACAAAATCTACCTTCAGAGAAAGAAGATATTCCCCAACTGTTCCCTGAGGTCATGCTGCCTGGGCTTAGGTCCTGTAACAAATTAATCTACACAAGTATGTTCATGATTAAATTAACAACTCATCCGGGGTGGGTTTGTATTTGATCAGTAGTCTTAAGTGATCAGAAAGGTAAGACACATCTTACAGCATTCAAGTCCTTTGGCTTCTGTGAAATCACAGCACTGAGGCAGCCTATGCCCATATTTTGCTTCTTCTTGTTAATGATGACTTAGACAAGGAACAAGTAAACCTTTGAAAGACATGGGAACAAGTAAAGATATGTCCTTACTTGATTTAGAGATTGTTTATTTGAGGGTTTTGATTGGAGAAGGTTAAAGGCAATTTACCTTCTTGGACAGGAAAAGAAACTAATACAAATTGCACAGTTGTTGTAAAAAGAGAGAAGCCCCTGAGAAGGCATTGATATTTGGTCAAGACAAAATAAGAAGAAAAAAAAGAATTGCAAGCCATTCTCTAAGGCATTAACGTTATCCTTAAAAATCAATTCAGTGAGATTTTTGCCTAACAATATACATTTATACCAAATGACCATATGTGGCATGTCATAGTCGGATTAACGTTCAAAAACTCTAGCCATATTTTCAAATAGCTATAATATATTATTTATTAATCTACTAAAAACTACAGTAAGTGTTAAGAATTTTAGATGAAACCCACTGGCATCGTTGATTGCAAAGAGAGAGCACACTTCCTGAAATGTAGCACATTTCTAGATAGTTCTCTTTCTCTTATTGAAAATAACCCAAATGGCCTGCCCAGGGCCCCATTTGCCCCTTCAAACCTGCCAAGTGTGTCCTTGTTCCTAGTCTGTGCTTAACTCTATCACAAGCCACTTACAGGGTGGCTACAATTCCTTTACTTTTTGAAAGATTTTGCCTTGAAAAAATAATTATTCAAATTCTATTAAGTGAAAAGATATTACTTGAGTTTCTTCTCAAATCAAAGTTTCAAATTACTGTTATTGGCATATGATACATCAACATATAAAGTCAAAGCCCTACAATTTAGCCCTGTTTTACCTTGTTTCTCTCTCCTTTGCGTTGATTTCATTCTCCTTCTAAAAGTAGAAACATGGTCTCTTTTCTCAGCGATTCAGCTGCAATGTAAGAGACACGCTTCAAGAAAGGCTCCAAACACTATTGCCAAATGGTTTCTCTCAAATGCATTTCTAGAACTGAAATGTTTTAGTTTGGTTTGGTTTTGATTTTGCTTTTTCAATCATTTCACCTACCACTTTGATTCCTTCTAACACAGGGAAATCTAAATTGACAGATAGCCTATTCCTGTGGTGACCTTTCTGCATAGCCCAGAGCCAATCTGTGCAATAGGATATGTCCTTCAGTGTATAGCCTTAGGGTTCTATCAAATAAGTGCTCACAAAAGAATTTATTTGTTACTCCTCTACGACAGGTACTATCCTACATAAAAATCAAGTCAAGATTTCTGCCATTGCTTTGTTCTTTCATCTGAAGGACAAAAGTAGAGGAGACTGTTGTGAACTAAAATAAAATTTGGTGAACCTTCGCAGCCTTTAAAAACATGTCATTTTCACCGTGAAATTCACGACTGGTTTCCAAAGCTACATGGCCACCAGAAATTGAAAGTAAGGAAGATAAAAAATTAAGGAGAGCAAAAATTATCCATATCATATGTAAATCCTTCTAGAAGAATTTTTCAACCTAGAAGGAGCTTTCTAAAAGGAGTGCTTTTTAGCCAAGAGATAAAAGACAACCTAATTTAGCCAAAGTATCTTTTAAGTCTGTGTTCATGTCTTTAACACAAATTAAGTAAAAGTTTTTCAAAAGTTCATTTTTCCATGGTAAAAATTACTTAAAAAAAATAAATCCTTAAAGAACTTGGCTTCATATAATTATTAATCTTTAAATAAATGCTATTTCTTATTTTTAAAAAGTCTTCCTGCTCTTTTGTATGTCCTGGTCAGTATTCCTGACTGATTGGAAATTAGGGCTATCATAGGCAGAAAACTGCATAATTTTGCAAATGAAATTGAAGCAAAGTCAAAATCTGACAAATTTGTAGATATAGCAATACCACAACGCAAATCCAAAACAAAAATCCTACTAGGTTGTAAGTATTACATTCTGAGGCATTTGCATTTTATTTTGTTTTATTTTTGAGACTGAGTTTTGCTCTTGTTGCCCAGGCTGGAGTACAATGGCCTGATCTCGGCTCACCACAACCTCCGCCTCCCAAGTTCAAGTGATTCTCCTGCCTCAGCCTCCCAAGTAGCTGGGATTACAGGCATGCACCTCCACGCCTGGCTAATTTTGTATGTTTAGTAGAGACAGGGTTTCTCCATGTTGGTCACGCTGGTCTTGAACTCCTGACCTCAGGTGATCCGCCCGCCTCACCCTCCCAAAGTGCTAGGATTACAGGCGTGAGCCACCACCCTGGCCGGCATTTGCATTTTGTAATCTATAAAATCTTAGGAGTTAGGCAGTACCTCCCAAACGATTCAAGAATACCTTCTACACAACCTTCATTTCACCAACACACTGGGCTTGGATGAATAGAAATGATGAGAAGCTTACTATACCATTAGATGCTCGTTGAGTTGAAACCTGCCACTTTTAAACTTTTATCCAAAAGAGATGGCTTAATAAAGGGGAAAAAGTACGCTTTATAAATAAAGTAAGAAAAGTACAGATTTGGAGAGAGACTATAACAAAATTCCAGTTTTCAGAATTAAAGGAAGGAGAACAAATCTCTTGACAGTGGTGATAGATGTCTCCAGAGAAAGACACCAAGGCAGGGCAAACCCAACCATATGGATCCTTCCCTTCTCCCCAAACTATCTTTGTCTGCAATGACTCAATTTTCTTCATTCCACTTTATTCCCTGCTGGAAACTGAACTTTTATCATTTTATATCAATTTTAAGTTCATTTGGTTTAACACACATTTCATTTCTAAATGCAGTTAATTCTGAGAGGTCATGGGGTGCACACATTCAGTCACACATTAGTATGAACTAGCTCATTGCTTGCCATTTGACACCCTGTGCACGTCTCTATTACAGCACGAACCACGTTGTGTTTTCATCGTGCCCTGGCAGCAAAGGAGAGGGATGATGGAAGATCAGAGAGATGCACAGAGAGGCCAGTGGAAAACTATTCATTTCCAAAATTTGCCTAAGGGTTGCCATTCCCTCACAAATATTAAACAGAAAACATTTGGCACCTACTTCTCCTCCCTACAGTAACACATAACCACCACCCCCTCCCCCACTGCCTCCCCACTCTTCACCACCCACTCTAGAGCTCAGGCTCCTCTTAGTAAAACTACAATTCTTTTACATAAGTTGTCATGTTCTTGTGGGATGGCTTGGAAACCTAACCATCTGTAATGTGGTTCCTATAGAAAATTCCCTAATATCAAATATTTAATTTAAAAAAAAAAAGATTAACTTTTGTAACACAATTAGTTTGTAAGGTGATGGCTGATTCTCCTTTAAGCTTATTAAATTCCATGACACAGTCATCATACTTACCTAATTAGTCTAACTTTATACTCACTTTTCAACTAAAATGTTTAAGTCTTTTTTATTTCAAAGATTATTGCAAACTCAAGTCTCTCATCACATCTTTAAACAAATGATTTTTATTTACTCCTAAATGCAGAATTTTATTTTGTCTTCCTAACACCTTATCCTGTAGAATATGGACTTTTATTCCTGCTAGTCAAAAATTGGTTTGGGAGAACCCAACACATTAACACCCCCTCCCATTTCCCTGTTTATCCATTAATTTGTCCAGTATGAATTCTAGAATTCCCTATTAAGTCATTAAACAGGTGAAGGCCAGACATAAAACCTAATTTTGATACTGTTACAAATCTCTTTCCAGATATGTAATGATCAATTAATAAACACTTTAGACATGATTTTCAATATTATTAAACACTGTTGTGTGAAATAATCTACCTTTTTCATTTCGTCAAAAATATAGATATATCATGAAGAGGCTTTTCCCAATGTTTTAATGAAATAGAAACACCCTTTCTACACCTTCCTGTTTAAGAGCTCAAAAAATATATATTTATAGTTTGGCATGACTTGTTCGTGAAGAATTCATGCTGACTGCTAGTAATTACTGCCCTTTATTTACAAATTAGGTTTTTAGTTTTCCTACAGATTGGCACCTAGATGTCCAGTCTAATTAAAGAGATCATCTTTTTACCTATGTTGAAAATAAGAATATTTGCTCTTCTCTATGTATTAGTTCATGGTGCTATAACAAATATATCATAGACTGGGTGGCTTAAACGACAAACATTTACTTCTCACAGTTCTGGAGGCTGGGAAGTCCTAGTTCAAGGTACTGGCCCATCTGGTGTCTGGTGAGGGCCAGCTTTCTGGTCTGCAGATGGCTGCCTTCTCTCTGTATCTTCGCATGGCAGATAGCAGAACACATCATGTCTCTTCTTATAAGGACACTAATCCTATTGATGAGGACTATACACTCATGGCCTAATTAGCTCCCAAAGGCTCCACCATTCTAATATCATCACCCTGGGAGTTAGGATTTCAACACATGGATTTGCAGTGGCAGGTGGGGAAGATACAAACATTCACTCCAGAGCACTCTGCTTTCTGGCAGGTCTACCATTTCTCAGGGATTCCCAAGAAAGTTTCTGTTATCACATCTAAAGATCATTTTAGGGTTCAGGGATATACTCCTTTTGGATGTATGTACTTCAACTAATTTAAAGAGACTAGGCTATCTTCTTTACTTTCATCATCTAGAGTTTCAATTATTGTTTAATTAATTAAACATTTTATTAGGTAATACAAGGTTTAATAATGTATATAGTGAAACCAAGTCTCTCTCTCTCTCATCCCTGTCTTCCTACCACCTAATTTCCCTCCCAGAGGCAACTACTTTGGGCACTTACTCTTATAGTTCCAGAGATATCATACATAATACCAGAACATATGGATTTATATATTTAATACGAATTATAACATTTTTGTTTTTCTACTCAATTCAATTCCCTTAATCTTTGTTCCACCCTTGCCAATTTGACATCATAGTTTAGATGTATCATAAGTCATCTATTAATCCCTTATCATGTGACTAATGTAGAGGATCTATTCCTTCCTGTTTTTGTTTTTCTTACCTTCAGCATGTCCTGCCAGACCTAGCAAATGAGAAGTGCTTTAGCCTTCCCAACTTTACTTTTCCTAGTTTCTGCCATTCTCTTTTATTTGCCTTCAGTCAGGTGTCCCTGTATTAAGCTATTCTTGTATTGCTATAAGAAATACCTGAGATTGGGTAATTTATAAAGAAAAGATATTTAATTGGCTCATGGTTCTGCAGGCTATACAGAAAGCATGGTGCTGGCATCTGCTCAGCTTCTAGGGAGGCCTCAGGGAGCTTTTACTCATGGCAGAAGGCAAGGTGGGGAGCAAGCATCTCACATGGTGAGAACAGGAGCAAGAGAGAAAGAGAGAGAGGTGCCACACACTTTTAAACAGCCAGATCTCTCAAGAACTCACTCACTATCATGAGGACAACACCAAGAGGCTGGTGCTAAGCCATCATGAGAAATCCGCCCCCAAAGTCCAATCACTCCACACCAGACCCCACCTCCAACACTGGGAATCACAATTCTACATGAAACTTGGGTGGGGACAAATATCCAAACTACATATGTCCCTCTTCTCATCTTTAATTCATATTCTTTCAAATTTGTACCCCTACACAGATACATTGGAGTTTGGGGTTGTTTATGTTGTTGTTCAACAACTATTTATGGAGGACTTAAACACATCAGCCACAATCTTAGGTTCCAGTGAAAGAAAATGTAGTAAAGCCCAGGCCCTACCAACTATGCATCTTCTTTCTTCATGTTTAATTTATCACATTCCTTTTATGTCATATATAGTCCCTTGGAATCATATTTCGTGTTAATCTGAAATTGTTGAAATTTACTTCTCTTAAAGTCTAGGAGGCATGTCTAACATTATCTTATTTGGGATTATCACCCAAATAAATGGCCACTTTCTCTATAACCCTGGGCAAAAGCTTCCCCACCCCCTATCCTCATGCTTTGGAAGTGTCCATGGGGCCAAGATGATGCACCCACCCAGAGCCCACATCTATTCTATCCTATCCTACCCAGGGTAGCCAGTGTCTCAACTCCCTGCTCAACGAGTGCAAACCCACTTCCAGTGCCTATGTTGGCCTCTTCGTGGAATCCATCCTTCCAAGACTGAACCATTCAATGTGCCCAACCCTATACCTGAGAGGTAGCCAAAAGGCAGCTGTTTGCCAATGAGTGCAGATTGAGTTTGGGTGTACAGGCTGGGCTGTCAACTTGCAGGCACTCAAGGCCCCTCAAGTGCAAGACAGCCAGAAGTGGGAAGAGAAGAGAACAGGCCATGTGTCAGGGACACAGAGGTGAGCTCCACCTCCACCACCTCCTTCTAAAAGGAACCCAAGGATTCTAAAACCAATCTTGCCTTCTGGGTTATTTGAAGGTATATTTCTCAAAGTAGAAAGATTGGCGAGTAGAGCCTACTTTAGCAGCCTATTACATAGAATTGTAACTTATACACATAGGCATATGGTGTGCAGGCCTCCGTCTGTACCCTCACACTTCCCAATACAAACGTTAAAGATAGGCCTGCCCAGACTTTCTAGCACTCCATATCACCAAGTGGTCAGATTTGCTTCTTTCATTGTTTCCTCAATATGCCAAGATATATAATTGCCAAAGAGTTAAGGTGAAAAGTCATGTTATTCCACTTTTTTTTTTTTTTGGAGGCAGGGTCACTCTGTTGCCCAAGCTGGAGTGCCAGTGGCGTGATCACAGCTCACCACTGCAACCTCCACCTCCCAGGCCCAAGCAATCCTCCCACTCAGCCTCTCAAGTAGCTGGGACCACAGGCGCGCACCACCACACCTGGCTGTTATTCCACTTCTAAGAGAAGGTTTCTTAAAATTTTTAGAATGTGTCATCTGTTACTGTAATAGTTTTTTAAATCTGGACCAGTAAAGTTACTGAAGTATTAAGCTGTGTGACAATATCTCTTCTCTTACTTCTCTTTCCTCCATCCAAATGCTCTCTGTTATTATTCTTTCCTTAAGCTTCTGATTTCCATGCAAGAGTGTGCATTCACTATATGTGTATTTCTCTACCTCTTTTATTAAAATTATTTTGTGAACATTCAAAATTCCATTCATGAGTAAATAATTAAAGGTTAAATAGTCGAAAACACAGAAATAAAAAACATTCATGATTTATTAGTATATCTGTGATTATATTTAATTTGTGTTCTCCCAGGTAACTATTCTTATTTATTATCGACCTTCTCCCATGTTTTCTCCTGATAAGTACTATACATCATCTCTATTAACATGGTTCTTTCTATGCCCTGATTATTGTCATAACACTAACACATACACACAGGTGTGCACATTCATATATGTTTGATGGTTTTATCTGGAAATAAGTGTCTCTTCCTCAAGTTTAAACTATTCTGATCATGTCAACAAGTCTTCCACCAAAAGTATCTTTGGGCTTCATGGATTCACAGTGGATCTCATTTAGTGAAACTCTATTTAGTTAAATATAAAAGAGAAATATTTGTATTAATAGTAGGTGCCAATCCCCACCATCATCACAAATGTTAACCTTTGCCTAATACCTGTCTCCCAAAATATCAGAAGAAAGGATCAGCAACTAGTGAAAGACTGTCAAGTACTGAAATAATGTTATAAAAGAGTATTTTAAAAATTTTCATTAAGAATTTATCTTGAGGTCGCGTGCGGTGGCTCATGCCTGTAATCCCAGCACTTTGGGAGGCAGAGGCCAGCCTTCCACTACAATCTCCTGAGGTCAGGAGTTCAGGACCAGCCTGGCCAACATGGTGAAACCCCATCTCTACTAAAAATACAAAAATTAGACAGGCATGGTGGCATGTGCCTGTAATCCCAGCTACTCAGGAGGCTGAGACAGGAGAATTGCTGGAACCTAGGAGGCAGAGGCTGCAGTGAGCCAAGATTAGAAGATCGTGAAACAGAGCGAGACTCCGTCTCAAAAAAAAAAAAAAAAAAAATTTATCTTGAATGCATAACTGAACTTTATAAGCCTCGCTCTCCCCCATCACCATGCCTCAGAAAAATTAGTATAATATAGTCAGGAATAATGTGAAGGATTGAAACCAGATGTTAACTGAAAAAAAAAATCTAAATCATCACAAGAAGATTTAAGTAAAGGAAAAGGAGGCAAGGGAAGTTTGCCATACAATATTATCATAGCTGATTTTATACAATTGAGTCTTGGCTAGAGTGAAATAAAATGGAAAGAAGACAACTGTAATATAAAACTTCCACTACAATTTCTATACACACTGGTTTTCCAAGCCCCACCTCCATGTTTCCAGTGCAATAATTTGCTGGTATGTTTGGCCTACCAAGAAAGAAATACATACACCTTCTACTCTCTTGGTAAACAAAAGGATCTGAGGTTTGTCAGATCAATAAAATCAAGAAACTGCCTGATATCGTAAGTGATGAAGGAATAGTTGGGTCTCATTCTTTTCAAATGCTCTTCCTGGACTTTACAAATATTTTTGATGTGTTTACATAGAGGGCAATAATCTATATAAACTCTCCCACCTAGCTTTTTGGTAGGCTATAAGAGCAAAATGATGTGAGATCAGACGTATCCCTAGACTATAGGGCATCATTCATTTATTCATTCTTTCAACTTATATTTACTGACTATCTACTCTGTGCCAATCACGAGGAGAGTGTGACCATAAACAATAAAGATAATAAATAGTAAATGATTTCGTATATTAGAAAATAACATATGCCATTTTAAAAAAGAAAAAGCAGAATAGAGTAGGCAGGGCTGGGTGATAGGGAAGTTCAGAGCAGATTTCAGTATTAAATAAGGTCAAGACTAGCCTCATTGAGAAGGGGACATCTGAGCAAGACTCGAAGAGGCAAGAAAATTAGCCAAGCAGACAGCCGGGGGAAGAGCACTGCAGGCAGAAGTAACATCACAACAGAAGCCTAAGGCAGAAAAGCAGTGGCAGAACAGCAAGGAGGCCAGTGTAAGCAGGGCAGAGTGAGCTACAAAGAGCATAGTAAGAGAGAAAGTCAGAAAGGTATGGAGGCTGCAGATCATAAGAACTATTGCAGATGTTTGAGCACTAAAACATCAACTGTTTTATTTAGAGGAATCACTCTGGTGAATAGAACGAAGTACGAAGGGCAAAAGAAAAAATAGGGACAGCCATTGGGAGTTCCCATAGTAACCTAGATGAGATAAAATAATGGCTTAGAACTGGTTGGTGGTAGCAGAAGTGGACACAGGGTTCAGATTGTAGATATAGTTTGACAATTGAGACAACAGGAATTCATGAAAGATTAAACATAGGCTAGAGAGAACTCAAGATATCTTTAAGTTTTTCGATCTGGAGCAACTGGAAGGATAGAGTTGCCATTAACTGAGGTGGGAATGGCTGCAAGAGGAGCAGGAAGAAGAAGAGTCCAGCTGGGGACATGATAAATTTGAGGTGCATATTAACATCAAAGTGAAGATGTAAAGTAGGCAGTTAGATATACAAGAGCAGGGTTTGAAAGAGAAATCTGAAATGAAAATATAACTTTTGGAGTTGTCAGCATAAAGGTAGATACAATGAGACTACCAAGGAAGCATGTAGACTAGAAAGAGGTAGGTTGAAGTCCACTATTGCAAGTGAATGGAAATACAGGCAGTGATATTCAGAGTATGACTGTAGAATTGAGATTTGCCTTCAGGTGAATTAAAAAAATATGCCCCTTCTGGACAGATGGATTAGAAAACTGACCAGGCACGGTGGCTCACACCTGTAATTCCAGCACTTTGAGAGGCCAAGGCAGGTGGATCACCTGAGGTCAGGAGTTCGAGACCAGCCTGGCCAACATAGTGAAATCCTGTCTCTAATAAAAATTTAAAATATTAGCCGGGAATTGTGGTGGGCGCCTGTAATCCCAGCTACTCGGGAGGCTGAGGCAGGAGAATCACTTGAACCTGGGAGGCGGAGGTTGCAGTGAGCTGAGATCACGCCATTGCACTCCAGCCTGGGCAACAACAGTGAAATTCCATCTCAAAAAAAAAAAAAAAAAAAAAAGACAAGACAAGAAAAAAAAGAAAACTGTGCCACTCTCTGAGTAGACACAGCCCTGCAAGTGTTAGCAGAAAGGCCCACAGTTTGCCCAGCAGAGGGAGGGCTAGATTTCATCTCCACTCAGACCCTTAGCAGGGTAATATGCAGCAGCCCATGTGAGACATCCTTTCGCTTCACCCTGCAACCCCCACCGTCTGCTAAAGAGTTCTTAAATTCTCTTACCTCTCACCACTATTGGGCCTCAGTGATTATCAGCATCAGCTTTAAAGTTGGACTGCCTGGGTGAGAATCCAGGCTCTGTTCCCTGCTCGCTGGTGACTTTAGATAAATTACTGATCTTTCCTGAACATCAGTTTCCTAATCCATAAAATGAGAATAATAAGAGTACCTACCTCAAAAGGATCTTAAAGATTACCTAAGAAAATCTATATAAAATCCATTAACTTAGCCAATATCTCTGACACCTGGCAGGGGCTCAACAAACATTAGTTGATATCATTATCCCCTTTTAAGTGAAAGAACAGAATCTACTTGTCTACATTCAGATTAAACCTCTCCCTCATCTATAGACCTCATAATTATTATTCAAGAGTGCTTTCATTGATTGTTTTCATAACAAAAGACTTTAAAACAAAGCTTCCCTCCGGTGGCCTCATTTTATTGGATTTCTTGACTTCAAAATCAATAAGGCATATTTCCTACATGTGCACTAATTAGAAATGCAACATGCCTAAAGTACTGTCTTAAAAAAAACAAACAAACACATTCCTAATGCACAACAGCCTCCTAAAGGATCTTGAGCCCTTTGAAATCAATTCCAGAGTGGTACATAAAAGGTATGCCCCAGGGTTAGGGCTACAACTGTTAGATGCACTAAGTGTGGGGAACTCCAAGAGTCTGTACTTTTTATTTCCTTAGCATCCAAAATCTCTGAATTTCAACAGAACAAAACAATATTACATTTTAGAACAAAAGGTAAATATCATTAGCATGTTGTAATTCAAACTTTATAAGCTTGAGTATTTGAAGTTCTCTTTATTAAACCTTTAGATAGCCATCTTATTGATGTTTTTGAAAAATGATCAAATTGAGCCTCCCCCAAAAATGATGAGTTTTATGAATTCTTTATGAAAAGATTCAAACAAAATTAATTAAATTAAAAAATGTGTTTACTCTAGCCAGAGCAACCAAAATTAAACATGTTTCCTCACACATACAACCAAAATGAAAGCAGCAAAAAAGGTAAAAAAAAAAATTACTTTAACCAATATGAAATATGAAAACAAAGGAAAACAACAGATTCTACTTATATTTAGGTCTTACAATGTCCTTCTGATCATGAATAGCTGGTCAAATCTAATCTCCCTCTTAAAAAAAGCAAAAAGTCATAATTCAATTTCTGACTTACCTGAAAAGTAATATTGTACATGAGAATTCCACAAGATGACTTTATGACCCTGACAACATACCATTTAGTTATTTTATAACATGTCAGTTCATACTAAAAGCTCACCACAATGGCACACATTTTCAAAATTGCAGCTACAGAGAAAGAACAGAAATGCCCCATGGTCAGTTACTCTATGTAGCAATGCCTTCTACTTAAGGACATTTTGTACCATATAAAAAGTATGCCAAAATGGAGACCCATCTTATATAAGCCCAGCATGAAGGTTACCTACATATTTTTTAAAAGCCATAGAACTAAATTAGTCAAATTGAAGTCAAAGAAGAAGCTAATCTAATATATGAGACAACAGAAAAGCTTTCACTGAATCACCAGAACAAGAATAACCTTCAGCTACAAGGCATCAACTTTAAGCAACCACGGCAGAAGTAATGTGCCCTTCACATACACTTTGAAAGTGACAGAGGCTTCTGTTGCTGCAAGTCCAGTGAGCCTATGGGTCCATCCCATTCCATAATATTGTAAAACAGCTCAACTGTATATGAATTCTCGTAAGGTCTGATATTTTTAAAAAGCAGAGAACAAAAAGAGAATGGCAAAGGTAGTAGAATTCTCATCAACCTCAATGTGAAGCCAAAAAATTCCCATTTCTTCTTTGTTCTCTGTTCAGCTAGAAATAAATAAAAGCCTGCTTATCAGAATAAATAAAATGAAACCAAAGTCCTTGAAAAACACTATATTCATTTTTCTGTAAATCAATAAATACACTTAGGAAAACAAATAGTATGTAACTGGGGAATTTCAGCTTCTTCTGTGTCTCCTAGTTTTCCATTCTGTCATAATCCTTGAAGAGAATTTTAAAAAGTCTCTGCTAGAATCTTTAAATCTAACCATCCAAGTTCATTATTTATCAATATTTTCTTAAAGTTTCTCCAGGAACACTAGCTAAATACCTATTAACCCTACTTAACTGTTTCTTATTACACATGTTAAATATCCTCTCTATAGGAAATAGATGACTTTTCTCCCCTGGCTTCAAAACACCACCCTCCTGCTTCTCCCCAACAATTTAGAATTCAAGAAACAAATGGAAGCAAGCAACAAAACATTAGTAACATTAGAAGTATCCCATACACATGGACTGAGAACACATTTGGGGACATGGTGGGCAGACTAGCAATTTGCTGTGGAATTACACAGCAAAAAAAGAAAAGATGGAAAAGCCACAAACACTCATCTTCACTCATCTTTCATAGCAAGAGATTAATAGATACTATTTGAGGTTGAATGCAATTTCTCATTCATGGAAAAATATGTAAACTTAACCATGTAAAAAGCCTCCCAACCTCATTCATAATAAGAGAAATGCGAATTAAGTCCGGGCGCAGTGGCTCATGACTGTAATCCCAACACTTTGGGAGGCCGAGGCGGTGGATCATGAGGTCAGGAGATCGAGACCATCCTGGCTAACACAGTGAAACCCCATCTCTACTAAAAATACAAAATATTAGCCAGGCATGGTGGTGGGTGCCTGTAGTCCCAGCTATTCGAGAGGCTGAGACAGGAGAATGGCTTGAACCCGGGAGGCAGAGCTTGCAGTGAGCCAAGATCGCGCCACTGCACTCCAGCCTGGGCGACAGAGCAAGACTCCGTCTCAAAAAAAAAAAAAAAGAGAAATGCAAATTAAAATACATTGAGATATTCTTTCTCACCTTTCAGATTGGCAAATACCAAAATTTTTATAACAAACTGTTAGTAAGGCTGCAGAGAAACAAATACTCTTATACCTTGCTTGTGGATATTTAAAACATTATCCCTATGGAGGGCAAATATGCAATACATGTATATGTATATGTATGTATTTAAACTTTGACCCAGCAATTCAGTTTTTAGGACTCTACCACAAATATAAAAATAAAAAGTGATGTATTCCCAAGGCAATTAATTGCAGCAATTTTACTAAAACAAAAAAAAAAGAGAGAGAGAGAAAAGGAAGGAAGAAAGAGAAAAAGGAGGGAGGGAGGGAGGGAAGAAAGAAGGAAGGAAGGAAGGGAAGAAAGTCAGGAAGTTAGGCAGGGAGGAAGGGAGGCAGGGAGGGAATGTTGGCCCTTTCTTCACATCACATACAAAAACTTACTTGAAATGGATCACAGAGCTAAAGGTAGGACCTAAAGCTATTAAACTTCTAGAAGAAAACATAGGAAAAAAATCATTGTAACCTTGGCAAAGTCTTCTTAGATGCAACACCAAAAGCATGATCCATAAACGAAAAAGTTGATAAACTGGACTTCATGAAAATTCAAACTTCGTGAAAATACAAACCATAGACGGGGACAAAGTATTTTGAAAATCTACATATGACAAAGGTCTTGTATCCAGGAAATAAAAAGAACCCTTAGAACTCAATAATTAAATGAAAAACAACTCAACTCTTTAAATGGGCAAAAAAAAAATTGAAAAGACATCTTACCAAAGAAAATATATACATGGCAAATAAGCACATGAAAAATGTTCAACATCATTAGTCACTAGAGAAATGCAAATTAAAGCCAAAATATGTACTCCTCCACACATGCTAGAATGGCTAAAATTTGAAAGATTATAAATACTGGAGCTAGCAAAGATGAGAAACAACTGGAAATCTCACACATTGCTAGCAAAAACGTAAACTGGTACAGCCACTTTAGAGAAAAGCTTGGAAGTGTCTTATAAAGTTAAACATATACCCACTCTATAGCTCAGCAATTCCACTCCTTAGGTATTTAGCCAAGAGAAATAAACACTTATGTCCATATAGATACCTGTATGCAAACATTCATGGTGGCCTTACTCATAAGACAGTCATCCCCCCAATCCTTGGGGGATATGTTCCAAGACCCCCAGTGGATACTTGAAACCTGGGATAGTACCAAACCCTATATATACTATGCTTTTTCCTATTCAACACACATATAATAAAGTTTATAAATTAGGCACAGTAAGAGATTAACAACAATAACATAATAAAATAGAATGATTTTAGCAATATATTGCAATAAAAGTTATGTGAATGTGCTCACTCATTCTCTCTCGCAAAATATCTTATTTTGTGTCATATTTTTGAACCATGGGTAGCTGAAACTGCTAAAAGTGAAACCATGGATAAGAGGGGACTACTGTAGTCAGAAACTAGAAACAACTCAAATTTTCATCTACAAGTGAATGGATAAACAATCTGTGGCACAAGAATACCATCACATGTTATGCAAGAAGAAAGAATGAACCAAGTATACATGCAATGACATGAACGAATATCAAAAGCGTTTTGCTGAGTGAGAATCAGACATAAATAAGTACACACTATATGATTCCATTTATATAACATTTTTGAAAGGACAAAAATACAGGGACAAAAAACAGATTGGTAGTTGCCAGATGCCAACAGTTGATGTAATCAGTTGACTGCAGAAGGGCACAAAGAAACTTTTTAGCATGTTGGGGATATTCTATTTGATTGTGGCGGTGATGGTTCTATAACTGTATATGGTTGTCAGAACTCATCAAACTGTAAACTTTAAAGGAGTGAATTTAATATGGTATATATAAGTTATTTCTCGGTAAATTTGACTTTTAAAAACATCTTTTGTGTTCATCTCTTATCCCAGTGGCACAGAAATATTTCTACATTATTTCATTCACTATATAATTACAAGTTTCCACTGATATCCTTTGGCTCCAGGAGCTCTTCCTTAAGTTCTCTGAATTAATACTTTCAAAAGTTGATTCACTTTTTCGAAGTGTCTTGGCCCTTCTTGTACATCTGTCAATTTACAGTATTTGGTGCCTAAACCCTACCTAACTTCTTAATAGTATTCATTCCCAGGCTTCACACCTGTGTGTTCAGGTTATTCTCAATATCATCCTGTGCATCTGATCAGTTATGTGTTATATATTTGATTTATAATTTTTCTGGCAAGAACTCTAAGTCAACCTATCTATGTGTTTACAAAACTACAAAAACAAGAGCTTTCAGTATTTGTTTTTGTACTGCTTTAAAAAAAAATTTCTTTTTATTTTTCTTTGTGTGTGTGTGTGTGTGTTAAAGCTAGCTGAGGTTTTATTTTGGACCAAAAAAAAAAGCAATTGAATTGTTTTGTAGCTGGAGGCATGGGCAAGTGCGGTCCCCAGTCAGTAAACTCTCCCGTGGGTGGGCTGAGGGGCTAGGGCTGAGCCTCAGGTGGGTCTCCTCTTCCCTGTGCTCCTCTGCACAACGGCCTCCCTCCCAGGATCTGGGGCAGCCGCAGGAGGGGCAGGCTGGGAGGGGCTGCCGCAGCTGTTGACTTGGGCAGGACGTCAGAGGACTCGGACACCAGCTTCCCATCGCGGGTCTCGGTCTTCTTCACAACCACAGCCCTGGTGAATCATTTCTTATTGACCTTACTTTTAACAACGAATAAAAAAGAGCCAAATGACTGTCCCTGGCTCATCATGTTAATATCAGAAGACAACACTGAAAATCCTTCGCAAATTTTAACTACTACCCTCTTGTCTTTTTTCAATTCTGCTCTCTGACAGCAGCGAGTTTCTAAGCTAGTTCACTTAGACAAGCCCAGTTTAGTGAGTACAAGGCCCAGAGTCCAGAATCTTCAACATAGTAGGTGTCCTGCGAGTATGTGAAGATGAAAGTACATTATAAAGTCCTGTCTCTGGTTTCCTTCTTTCTACCCAACAACTTTTTTTACAAGTTAGATCAATCCAGTTAATTTTGACCTTACTGAAGTTGAAATTCAAGTTAAATTTACTGCTAGATTAAAAGTGTGAAAAGAAGGAAAGTAGCTAATCCCATTTACAACAATTTATTTTTTAAAATTGTAGGACTAGTATTCATACATTTATACAAAATTGCTAAATATATTTTATTTTAAACATTGTCTTGATCATGTCTGTTCTATTATGTAGATATTTTATCTTATTTAGATCACTCTGGTGTTTCCAAAAAACTAAGCTTCTTTAATCTCTCTTCTGAACTAACCAAATTTTTTTCTGAACATTTGGGGCCACATTTACTTTCACATAAGTTAGTGTGTGGGTTAAAAGGGCAGCATTTCTTCACTATTTTTCACCAAAACACGAGTGACATTTAAAGCATATTTAATATTTATAATCTAATATACTCTCCTCATTCCAGACTGCCACCAAGGTAAGAGAAGGCAACTGGTTTGTATGAAACTCCACCATAAGATTTCTGAAACCCTATATTTTCTCTCTCATCTATCCATAATACACCAGAGTTATCATTGAGAATTGCTGCATTTATTTTATTGTTTTTTTTCTTACTCCTGGCTCTGTTTTATATCCCACACTTGTTTTCTTTCTTCTTTCACTCCACATTTAATTTATCCTATCTTGAATTTCATGTAGCCTTATAAGTCACCTTAAATCCTTTCTAGAACAAGACAAGGAATAAATAAAGAGTCATTCTAGGTATCTGAAAAAGCAATCTTTTCTCATTTACCTTAGATAAAGCCTTACAACTTTAACTTCTTGCTGCCTCTTAGCTATGCTCTACCGTATTGAATACACAAGTATCAAAAATCATGAGTTTCTCCTTTTTTGCTTTACCAATTCTCTGTTTAAAAATATTTAAGTCTGCGCACAAAAACTACAGGGAAAAATCCATGCACAATTTAAGTTTAAAAGCCCATAACTTTTAATTAAAAGCAATTAAATTATTTGCACAAATAACCTACTCGCTGTACAATTTTTGTGTCTAAAGTATGTAAAGTTTCTAGTGCCTTGCATACAGTTACTCAATCATTATAGTAATAGCTCAGTTACAGAGTAGGAGTTTTTAAATGAGCTGATGTAAGACTACTATAGCTTGGGTATTGGCACATGAGAATCTGTTTTAGTGCTATTTTTAAAACCACTAATAAACAGCAGACTCGAGCCTCTGCTCAATTGAATCTGCCTGAGTTGTGAAAGAAAAAATGTGTAAGAGAACCACATTTTTATCTAAATCTGAAATGCCTGCTAATATACTCGGAAAAGTAGACATTTAAAATTGGAGCTTTCATAAAATAGTCTAGAGTTTAGTGTTACTAAAACGAAAATTAGTTATAAAAGTAAAAATTGCACAACATAATAGTTTCTATTCATCCCATTTTATAGAAATAATGTCCTTTCATTTCCCCCAAAGTTATCTAACCGAGCAACAGATAATCTATAATTACTAGGATTTGCCTTATAGCAAAGTTTGATTTTTAAAAGTTTGACACTCCACTCACCTACTGCAGGACAGAGTATTGCCCATATACAGATACTAAACCAATTGTCTAAGCAATTTCTTGTATTTAGAAATTCAGTGCCACTATCATGGCTCACAATTTGGCTTATGATGCATCTGTAAGCAAACAGCCTGACAAGCACCCTAGTGTATTTCAGGATGACTGACAGGACACAGTGGCCCAAGCAAGAAGGGGGGATGGGTGCTCTTAAAGCAACATGCCAGTGAAGGGTAACATCAAACAGCAGAATCAGACCTGAAATTCTATTTTTCAGATTTACAATGAAATAATAATACATTACCCACTATCAACTTCTAAATACAACTTGCATGGTCATTATGTACCCAAAACACTGTAAATCCCAAAGTAGAATTTTTGAGAATTTGTAAAAGTAGAAAGAAAAAATATAAAACAGGCATGTTATATGATACTTCCCTGAAGCGATCAAGCTTTCAGGTTACTTAAGAATATGCCTGTTATTTTTAACAGAAATTAAATCAGGCTATCCACAGAAAAGCCATTCTTTCTTTTCCTTATAATATCAACTTTTATTTTAGATTCAGGAAGTACTTGTACAGGTTTGTTATATGGGTATACTACATGATGCTGACATTTAGGGTATAATTGATCCCGTTACCCAGGTAGTGTCCAGTGGTGGGGTGAGAAAAGCAGTTCTTATCTCACCTTCATATATTTGTCAATAGCTCTTACAACAGTAATTTAGGAATAACTAATGAAGGTAATTTAAATATCTTGAATTAATCTGAATTGTTATTGAGGATAGGGGCCAGAGATTCACGTATTTTCCCCCTACTGCATTCCTTCCCTATGACCTACTTCATGATTAAAATATAGACCAAAAGATTCAGAAATTCTACTTATAGATATTTCTACATTAATTTCACTTTAGAAAACATTTTAGTAACATATTGGCTTCATTCTTCACATTTACAATTTTTTCCTATATTATTTCACAATACTCTGCACTGCTCAATCCTTTTATAATAGAGCAATCATCCATATTTTAAAAACAAACAAACAAAAAAGCCAAGTCACTCATTTTTAAACACAATTCCTCATTTAGCCAGCAGAGGGTATTATTAGATTCTGAAAGCCCACATATTGCACCCAATGACATGTATTTTTATACTTCAGCTAGGAACTGGGACACATCATCTCAACTTTCCTTAGTAAATGTGCTTAGAAATATCCCATTTTATTTTGCCCATATAAATTTGACTTTTAGAGCCCAGATTAATGCTTCTCATCTGTATCACACTACCATTATTTCCTCCTCTATCTGCTCCAACAGCTGCATCCTCTGAAAAAAAGCACTAGAAGACCAAGAAGTGGCAGAATTACCAAGAAGAAGCAGAATTGGGTTCAATCATCAGAAAGACTTCCCACAATCCTAAATTTTTCTGGGACAAACAAATGAACAACAATCTTACATAAAGATTCTAAGCTCCATTAGAAAATCGAAAACAAATCCTGAAGAAAACAGAACTAAATTACAGGATAAAATCTCTCTTCAAAATTATATGACATTTGTAACCTCTTTAACTCCCTGTTTAATATTTGCTAAATTTTCATTATATATTAGAAGCCACAGACTAATTTTAAAGATATACTTCCTGTTATTACAGCATTAATATATTTCTCATAAACATGCGGTATTATGACTAACAAAGTTCCCTTACAATTTATAGGTTCTTTATTTCACAACTTAACACTCACTTAGTGTGGAAAGACATGGACAGCAATTTGCCTGATTTATTCTAAAAATAAAAATTTTACTATCTAATTAGCTAAAATCATTAACTTCCACAAATTTATCTTGGCTGAAGATAAAAAATTTTCTGTTTCTTTGATGCAATTATATCACAAACATCAAGTTAACTAAGTTAACTATGGCAAAAGTGAAAAAGCAATTTCAAAGAGCAATCTCTTTTTCCTGCTCTCAGATTTGCCACTAATGGCACATCCTCTATGCTAAAGTACTAAATTTTCCAAAGAGAAAATAAATGTTAATTCTCTTCCTCAATTGTCATTCAAAATAAAAAATTATAGGTTATTTTCCTTTAAAGGGGAATTCTATTTCTAATAATAAAAACAAGCATTGGGTTCTTCATTGAAAGAAACTGCTCTATAAGATCGTCTCTCATACTCAAATGTGGCAGTTTCTTTCCTCATGTAATAACTAACAATAGCCAGGTAAATATCATATTTTACATTTGGAAATAAAATAGGATACCTCTTAATTATATTCTTTTATGAAATTTTATATCTTCAATTTTCTAAACAGATACATTCGCTGTAATATAAAATAGATACCTGGGCTTTTTTCTCAAATTAACTTATAGGATAACCCACTATTCAGAATAAAACTGAAAAGTCAGTTTTGCCAGTAATTTGCTTATCCTTTTTGCCAATCATCCACACATTTTGGAATATGTATATAAATAATTTTGTTATTGTTGTTGTTTCTAGTTACCCACTTAATTCTACTTTACTTTTCAGCTCTGAGTTTGGTACCTGACACAGGCTCTCCTGAACTATGTCTCACTCAATGGTTTTTGGTTTTCGCAGGTGCCTTAAGAACCTACATCTAAAGGCCTTATTAGCCTCAATTCTATTTGTAGATTAAAAAAAATTAAGGATAACGCTTAGGGGTAGGGAGAGATTGAATAAGCAGTGAATAGATACTACTTACTTAAAATACTCCTTTTTACTTTTAGCAAAAATGCCTCCATACACTATATGCTGTATCTGAATTTTCAATATATTTTATATAGGCAATAGTCCCCCCTTATAGACAAGGTATGTGTTCCAAGACCCATAGTGAATTCCTGAAACCACAGATAGTTCTGAACCCTATATATGTTTTTCCTATACCTGCAAACTATGATAAAGTTTAATTTATAAGTTAGGCAAGAAATTAACAATAATAATTATAAAATAGAGCAATTATAACAATATGCTTGCATCAGAACTCTTGCGCTTTGGGGCTAGGCCACGACAGTCCATTTGAAAATCTAGATGGCCTCTAGGAGTGACTAATGGGCAGGCAGCATATACAGCAGGACATGCTGGACAAAAAGATGATTCGTGTCCTGATTGAGACATAACAGGATAACACAAGATCTCATTGTGCTACTCAGAATGGCACACACTTAAAACTTGTGGATTGGTTATTTCTGGAATTTCCATTTCATATTTTCAGACCAGGGTTGACCTTGAGTATCTAAAACCACAGAAAATGCAACCACAGATAAGGGGCCTACTGTGTTTCTTTTTTTTTTTTTTTTTTTTTTTTGAGACGGAGTCTCACACTGTCACCCGGGCTGGAGTGCAATGGCGTGATCTCGGCTTACTGCAACCTCCGCCTCCCCGGTTCAAGTGAATCTCCTACCTCAGCCTCCCGAGCAGCTGGGATTACAGGCACTCGCCACCATGCCCGGCTAATTTTTTGTATTTTTAGTAGAGATGGGGTTTCACTATGTTGGCCAGGCTAGTCTCGAACTCCTGACCTTGTGATCTGCCCGCCTCGGCCTCCCAAAGGGCCTATTGTATTTCATTTATCTTCAAAACAACTTATTATTCCCCTAAATTACAGCAGTGGGCTCTTAGCAGGTAATATTCACACCAATTGACAGGTATAGTGCAAGCTCGGACTCTGACATAGGTTAGGTATGCTAAGTTTGAGGTGCAGTGGCATATGCAAATAGTTATGTCCCATGAGCAACTGGAAATGCAGAATCCATGAACTTTGGAGAAAAATTATGCCTAGAGATACAGATATAGTAACCTGTCCATCCATGTTACACTCTAATCCATAAGAGTAGATGAGCTCTCCCAAGATTAACTATAGAAGGAATGAGGCAGCCACATTACAAAACAAGTACAGTGAAGAATATGATGAGAAGAAATGTCATAATAAGAATAGTAAGAAATGCAAAACAAACTGGGTTCAAATTCAAACTCACTTTACCCTCTTTGGCCTCATCCACAATGACCCCAATTTACCCTGTTTTCCTGATGTGAAATGAGACCTATAAAACTTCTATGAAGAGTAATTACTTATAAAATTACACATAGAATATAATGGAATGCTAATTACCATGCCAAATAATTCATTTATCAATTATTGTTATTTTGTGGAAAGATACTTTTCTCTTTGTGAAATTCTGCTTTTCAAAACCAAAATGCCATTGAATTTTAGAGGGCTGCTGTGAAACACATCAAACAGATTGCCCCTTTGATTTTTAAATGGATAGAGAATGATTATGTCCACACAGCTTTATTTAGCAAATTGAATCCATGCCATCAATGGAAGTCTTCTACTCCATCCACGTTAATAATTTATAATTGGATAGCAAGAAAACCTGGTACTGAAATGGAAATATGTTTAGAGCTTCTTCCAAAGTTGCAACATGCTTAATAAATTAAAGGGACACTAACACATATTAATAAACTGAGTATTTTTTGGAAGAGTGGGTATAGAATGGTTAAAGATAGAATACCGAACTAAACACAAACAAATGACACTAAGAAAAAATAGAAACCTCTGTGTCTTGTTCCCACATAAGACTTGTGGAGTTGTGCCAACCTGCTTCATTCCAGAGCAGAGAGCCACTCAGTCACTGAGGCTATATTAGAAAGAGAGGAAGGAAATCCTTTTCTCCCACACTCTCTGTTTCCAAAGATAATAACAGAAAACTAGAGAGTGATGGATTTCACTACTAAGCAGCCATGTCTATTTTACTCATGTCTTTCATTGACTCTCTAAGTCTAGTTCTACTGATTTTGCATAATAGAACAAAAGAAATATATGTACAAAAACAAAATCAATTTTGCAAAACTTGTAATATCCCTAAATTTTCCAAAATATAACTGCTATAGTCACTAAATTAAAACTATAACATCATTCCTATTAGGTCATCAATTGTATTCAAAAGAATGAAGCTTATCACAGAGAAAGGTAAAATAATTAAATTCAGTCATAGAGCCAATGAATCACACTTCTTTTACTTCAAATGATAACCCTGCCAAATCAAACAGTCTGAGTAACCCACACACACACATCCCAAGCCAATCCACTTTTATCCCCCTGGGTCTTGGGTGCACAGAATTAGACTGACACAATCAATCATGGTCCTAACTGGTGGACTAGTCTATGAAAAGCCTGTTTTATTTTTTGTTTTCATAGTCTATATTCCCTGTTCTCAGTTCCATTCCCCTCTCTGCTTCTTATGGTAGTTAATGGGTACATTTCCAATTAAACTTCCGTAACTTTTTTTACATATGCTATATACGTCTACAAGAATATATAACTTTATGTGTATGGATGTTTAAATTTACACAAATAATATTGTATTTCCCATCTCTTTCTACTTCTATCTCTCTGTGTCTGTTTCATTGTGTGGTTTTGTTTTTTTGTTTGTTTGTTTGTTTTTTGGTCTATCTATGTTGGACTATAAAGATGTGGTAAACATTGCATGTTTGCTCACTCAGCACATAGTCCCAACCTTATTCTCCCTTATCTTTCTCTGCTATGGAGGCAGGACATTTGATTTCCCAGCCTTCTTTGCAACTCAGAATGGCATGTGAAAGAATTCTGGCCAATGAGACGGTAAAGCTTTTGCTTTCCCTATCAAAAGGACATCAGCATCCTTGCCATGTCTTCCTTAACCTGACTGTGGTAAGGTGCCTGGAAATAAAACAATCTTACTGCAAAGCTGAAGAGGAAGGATGACAGAGCAGAACTATAGAAAGAACTTGGGCCCTTGATGACATCCGTTATTAACTTCTTTTTTCTTAATTTTATTATTATTATACTTTAAGTTTTAGGGTACATGTGCACAATGTGCAGGTTTGTTACATGTCTATACATGTGCCATGTTGGTGTGCTGCACCCATTAACTCGTCATTTAGCATTAGGTATATCTCCTAATGCTATCCCTCCCCGCTCCCCCCACCCCACAACAGTCCCTGAAGTGTGATATTCCCCTTCCTGTGTCCAAGTGTTCTCATTGTTCAATTCCCACCTATGAGTGAGAACATGCGGTGTTTGGTTTTTTGTCCTTGCGATAGTTTGCTGAGAATGATGGTTTCCAGTTTCATCCATGTCCCTACAAAGGACATGAACTCATCATTTTTTATGGCTGCATAGTATTCCATGGTGTATATGTGCCACATTTTCTTAATCCAGTCTATCGTTGTTGGACATTTGGGTTGGTTCCAAGTCTTTGCTATTGTTAATAGTGCCACAATAAACATACGTGTGCATGTGTCTTTATAGCAGCATGATTTATAATCCTTTGGGTATATACCCAGTAATGGGATGGCTGGGTCAAATGGTATTTGTAGTTCTAGACCCCTGAGGAATCGCCACACTGACTTCCACAATGGTTGAACTAGTTTACAGTCCCACCAACAGTGTAAAATTGTTCCTATTTCTCCACATCCTCTCCAGCACCTGTTGTTTCCTGACTTTTTGATGATCGCCATTCTAACTGGTGTGAGATGGTATCTCATTGTGGTTTTGATTTGCATTTCTCTGATGGCCAGTGATGATGAGCATTTTTTCATGTGTCTTTGGCTGCATAAATGTCTTCTTTTGAGAAGTGTCTGTTCATATCCTTCGCCCACTTTTTGGTGGGGTTGTTTGTTTTTTTCTTGTAAATTTGTTTGAGTTCATTGTAGATTCTGGGTATTAGCCCTTTGTCAGATGAGTAGGTTGCGAAAATTTTCTCCCATTTTGTGGGTTGCCTGTTCACTCTGATGGTAGTTTCTTCTGCTGTGCAGAAGCTCTTGAGTTTAATTAGATCCCATTTGTCAATTTTGGCTTTTGTTGCCATTGCTTTTGGTGTTTTAGACATGAAGTCCTTGCCCATGCCTATGTCCTGAATGGTATCGCCTAGGTTTTCTTCTAGGGTTTTTATGGTTTTAGGTCTAACATGTAAGTCTTTAATCCATCTTGAATTAATTTTTGTATAAGGTGTAAGGAAGGGATCCAGTTTCAGCTTTCTACGTAGGGCTAGCCAGTTTTCCCAGCACCATTTATTAAAAAGGGTATCCTTTCCCCATTGCTTGTTTCTCTCAGGTTTGTCAAAGATCAGATGGTTGTAGATATGAGGCATTATTTCTGAGGGCTCTGTTCTGTTCCATTGGTCGATATCTCTGTTTTGGTACCAGTATCATGCTGTTTTGGTTACTGTAGCCTTGTAGTATAGTTTGAAGTCAGGTAGTGTGATGCCTCCAGCTTTGTTCTTTTGGCTTAGGATTGACTTGGCGATGCGGGCTCTTTTTTGGTTCCATATGAACTTTAAAGTAGTTTTTCCCAATTCTGTGAAGAAAGTCATTGGTAGCTTGATGGGGATGGCATTGAATCTATAAATTACCTTGGGCAGTATGGCCATTTTCACGATATTGATTCTTCCTACCCATGAGCATGGAATGTTCTTCCATTTGTTTGTGTCCTCTTTTATTTCATTGAGCAGTGGTTTGTAGTTCTCCTTGAAGAGGTCCTTCACATCCCTTGTAAGTTGGATTCCCAGGTATTTTATTCTCTTTGAAGCAATTGTGAATGGTAGTTCACTCATGATTTGGCTCTCTGTTTGTCTGTTATTGGTGTATAAGAATGCTTGTGATTTTTGTACATTGATTTTGTATCCTGAGACTTTGCTGAAGTTGCTTATCAGCTTAAGGAGATTTTGGGCTGAGACAATGGGGTTTTCTAGATATACAATCATGTCATCTGCAAACAGGGACAATTTGACTTCCTCTTTTCCTAATTGAATACCCTTTATTTCCTTCTCCTGCCTAATTGCCCTGGCCAGAACTTCCAACACTATGTTGAATAGGAGTGGTGAGAGAGGGCATCCCTGTCTTGTGCCAGTTTTCAAAGGGAATGCTTCCAGTGTTTGCCCATTCGGTATGATATTGGCTGTGGGTTTGTCATAGATAGCTCTTATTATTTTGAAATACGTCCCATCAATACCTAATTTATTGAGAGTTTTTAGCATGAAGGGTTGTTGAATTTTGTCAAAGGCCTTTTCTGCATCTATTGAGATAATCATGTGGTTTTTGTCTTTGGTTCTGTTTATATGCTGGATTACATTTATTGATTTGCGTATGTTGAACCAGCCTTGCATCCCAGGGATGAAGCCCACTTGATCAAACTAAATCTATTATATTAGTTAAGAACTCATTTTTATCACATAACAAGAAGTCTAGAGGTAAGAAGTTAATAACGGACGTCCGTTATTAACTTCTTACCTCTAGACTTCTTGTTATGTGATAAAAATGAGTTCTTAACTAATATAATAGATTTAGTTTGTTCCTTTATTTTCCATTGTGTAGCATTCTATCACATGCATTTATAAATATATTTTGTGTCCATATCACTAATCAAGCACGTTTCGGTAATAGCCAACTCTTTGCTGTAGGAGACAATGCTGTAATAAACATTCTCATACATGTCTCTTTGTGTGCCTATGCAAGAGTCCCTCTGGTGTATACATTCTGTTATGGGCTAAATTGTATCTCCTCAAAATTCCTGTGTTAAAGTCCTAAACCCTAGTACCTCACTCACGATATGACTGTATTTGGAGATAGGTCCGTTAAAGAGGTGATTAGGTTAAAATGAGGCTGTTAGGATGGGCCCTAATTCAGTCATACTGGTGTCCTTCTAAGAAGAGGAAATTAGGACATAGAGAAGAAAAGACATCAGGAATGTGCACATAGAGGGGCAACCATGTGAGAAAGGTGGTCATCTGCAAGCCAAGGAAAGAGGCCTCAGAAGAAACCAAACCTGCCAACACCTTGATCTTGGACTTATAGCCTCCAGAACTGTGAAAAAATAAATTTCTCTTGCTTAAAGATCCCAGTCTGTGGTATTTTACTCTGGCAGTCCTAGCAAACTAATACAATTCAGAAGTAGAATTTCTGGGTCAGAATGTGTGTTCAGTTTCAATAAGTATTGTCAAATTGGTCTCCAAAAAACACCACCAGCAGAGAATGTAGGTTCACATGTCCCCACCTCCTCACCAAAACAAGATATTACATGACATTTTAACTCCCATCAACATGGGACATGCAAAGGAGATATCACATCACTATTGTTTTGATTTGCACTTCTGATTACCAGTGTAAATGCTAATCTCTTTTTAGTTGATTAGTCAGCCATTCAAATATCCTTTCTATGAATTGCTTACTTGTATTCTTCACCTGTTTTTCTCCTAGGTTGCCTGTTCATTTCCTTACTGACTTCAAAGAATTCCCTATATATTGTAAATATAATCTTTTGTCAGTAATATTCCTTGAAAATATCCTCTCCCTGCTTCATATGTCCCTCTTTGTCTAGGATACCTTCCCTTGAACATTGTAACATCTGTATATGAAAGTTCCATTTTCTTCATATCCTTACACATTCTAGGTTATTGCCATACATTAATATCTACCAATTTAATGAGTAGATAAAGTATCCCATTGTTGTTTTAATGTGTCTTTACCCAGTAACTAGTGAAGAAAACTAAGTTTCTTTTGACTTATTTATGGGTCATTCTAGTTTTCTTTTCTGTGAATTACCTTTTCACATATCATTGACCCTATTGGATTGTTCGTTTTTTGATTATCTTTTCCTTATTAATTTTTTGGAGTTTTTAATAAAATCTTATGATAAATGACTTTTGTTAAATGATGTATGAGTCAACTATTTTGACAATAACACCATATAAAAAAAACTACCACTGAGGTTTAGAACTCAGTGGCCTAAGAAAACATTTATTATTTCTTGTGGATTTTCAGGTTGGCTAAAGATTGGCTAATTCAGAATGGACCTGGCTTAGCTTGCCCCAGGCTATAGTTTTGGGATCCAGATCTGCTCCACATTTTTCTCATCCTCCTTGGACAAGTAGGCCACTTGGAGCATATTCTTCTCATGAACAGAAACACAAGATGGGCAAATGGAAACATTGAGTACCTCTTAAGGTGAAGGCTCAAAGTTGGCACTCTGCCTTTTCTGCCCACATTCTAATGGGCAAAGCAAGTTATATGGCCAAGTCTAACTTTTCTGCCCACATTCCGACAGGCAAAACAAGTCATATGGCCAAGTCTAACATTAATGGAGCAGGGAAATACACTCTGCCTCTAGCAGGAGGAATTGCAAAGACACATGGCAAAGGGGATGGATATAGGGAGCAAGAGGATTGGGAAACAACAATGCAATCCACTTTATATGGATGAATGTAAACATACCCTGTCAACTGGTAGTTTTTGTTTCTTTTTATTGTTTTTTCAGTCTTTTAATTAATTAATTTTTGCATTAATGTAATAATTTCAGTTTTTTACTTTATGGCTATGTTTTGGGAGTCTTATTTAAGAAATTATGTCCTATCCTAAGATCATAAATATATTCTATATTTTCCTCTAGAATGCAATCATAGGGATCAATAACCAATATATTTTAAATTAGCATATGCCTAAATGTAAGATTATATCATATAAACTAAAGGCCGAGGCACCCAAGTTAAGTAATCAAAATTAAAAATATTTACCCAAGGATGGCTACTTATTTCAGGTTAATTTTTTAGCTTGGTCTTTAAAATATATTAATGATACAGGCTGGCAAAGAAGAGAAAGACCCAGGAATTATAAGAAATCACAAAACTTGATTGTCTTTTATAAACAGATCTTTATTAATCTAAGCAGTATAGGTATATTCAAAAATGCAAAGCACAAGAACACAGAAAAATATATACAATCTTCTGAGGTCATGCCACTGGAAAAGGAAAAAAGAAACTTTCACAGAACTGAACAATTATAAAATGATATATGTTATGATGTCATATTTGTAAAATATATGTGTATATGTGGTAATAGCAGGGTCCACTTCAATAGTTTTGGGTAAAAATGAGGTCATTACTATTAATTTTTCAAGCTAAAACCACTTCCCAATTGCCAGACTGGCAGGGAATCCAGTATCTCTCTTGTCTCTCAAATTGTTCAAAAACTCTGGGGGCATCTTCATTCACATGCCACAGAGAAAGAAAGGCAGAGAAGTGGATTAGAATACAAGTGGGCTTTGTTGAAGGATGCTGGTGCTCTGTTCCTGGTACACAGTTTACTGATGGAAGCTGACTCCCCATAGTTCAGTGAGACCCTTTCTCCTGCTGCACTCTAGCTGTTGCTGTGGATCCAGTGAGAGGCCACAATGATTTAAGACAAGCATACCATTCCGGCAAATGTATGGCACAGAACCCATGCCTTCAACGTTTTAATTTACCAAGCCTAGTGGCTGAGTCAGGAGGGCCTTCCAGTCAGTTACACATGTGCCAGAAACAAACACTTCTAGGGTAACATAGGCCACAAGGGGGGTTCTAGTTTAAGGGTCTTTGGTGTTCTTTCTCACTAGCAAATTTTAGTCAGTACTAATTTGATGCAGGGGTCAGAAGAACTCTTCCTAACAACAGATACATTGTAAAAGGAAAGAGTCCAGGTTTTCAGTCTTCTCCTGTTTGAAGGCTCCCAGATTCTACAAATTTCCTCCAGTCTCCCCAGTGTTGACCAGCCCTGCAGCTGAAACAAGACTAGAAAGGGCAAGCTTTCTCAAGTTAGAAAAAGACCCTTTTACGCTAGTATCTGAGACACAAAATGATAAGGATCTCATTAATGATTTCCAAACACTGGAGGAAAATTTTCCCTTACCTTAAGGTTCACAGATAAAATACAAAATGCCCACTTTGACTTTCAGATAAACAAAGAATAATTTTTTGGCATAAGTATGCCCTATGCAATATTTGGGACATACTTACACACGCACGCATGCACACACACATATGTGCTGTTTCCTTGGAATTTAAATCAAGAGTGTGTCCTGTATTTTTATTTACTAAATCTGGCCACTTTACCTTATCTACTTCATGAATTATAAACAAGGAAAAAGGGAGCTGAAACTCACTTGTGTCTAAATTTGCAACAACCTCACATCCCACCCATGTATCCTCACATCCTATCAAAGACTTGGGGCTGGCACAACCAATCAAAAAGTCAGCTTGCACCCCCTTACTTCAAAGAAGCTGCTTTTCAGGTAGCCAGGGGTGTTTCCTAGACACCTCCTAGCAATACATTTCTAACTACACTCAGCCAGAAGATTTTGAGTCGCAGAAATGCAGCACAGGATGAGAGGGGACAAGGAAAGAATGACATATTGTACTCTGGTATGAGAAAGCCCCAAAAGAGAAGGCAGACATAAGAAAAACACAGACAGAAGGGTGCTCTGGAGATTAGGTTTTATGTGTCTCTTTTAGAAAGGTGAATCGAATTGCTTCAGATTATCTAGGGTTAAATTCACCTCCAAGTAGAGGAACAAATAATAGGAGTAGGAGAAGAGTTGCCCCGATGCAAATGTACCTCCTGTAGCCCAGAAACTTAACAAGATACTTGTCCTTCACTTTAAGATTTGAGAGAATAATTCTGTAGAATCAAAACTAATACTGATTGAGCTCAAAGGCTACACATACCTCATTTCTGACAAACACCAGGACTAAATATAAATCTTATGTATTTCAAAAATAACAGAAAAAAACAAAATTTAAAAATCGTGTAACATAAAAGAGGAAGACACTTTCTTAAAGATGTAAGGGAAAATTATCACCAAGACAAAAGAAAATTTAGAATATATCTCTTCTGTGTTCTCAGTGAAATACCCAAAAATGTAAATTCTAGGAAAGAAGTGATGGAAAGGCTAAAAAGAAAAGAAAGTTGACTGAAGTGACAGGTCAAGATAAAAAGAGACCTGGCAAAGATTTAAACATCCAAGAATTTGGCAAAAGAAAAAGACAATGAAGTAATTAAAATCTGAATCATTCCTCTCCTTTATCTCCTGCCTCTCTACCAGCAGCTTCATCATTCAGAGGGCAAAAGAAGCAAAGAATGGAACTGCTACCCTGGATTTAATTATTACCAACAAAGAATGATACGTTAGGGAAGTGAAAGTGACAGGAACCTTGGGGAAAATTGAACATATCACCTTAGAGTTCATTACAGTAAAGAAAGAAAACACAAAGCAAAGTAAGACAAGTATCTTAGATTGCTTAGCAGTTGAGAGAAAATATAAGAATGTCCCAGAGCCACAGACTTTAAATGAAAAATAGGTCAAAAAACTTAAGCCATTACTACATCACACAGATGGTATACAAGGAGCCTTCTAAAGAGCTGAGATGTTTAAAGAACACACAAAAGAAGGAAGAAGGTAAAGGTTAGGATGAACACATCACTGTAGTATCAGTCTATTAGAAAAGTAGTGTAAACCTAGGATGAGCAAAGACTTAAACAACACAAAAACTTTTAAGGTTGTGTTTGATGATGGAAGTAGATAAAAAAGGTACAAGTCTCCTCCTCCCCCAGACAGATTTCATATTAACAAGTAATAGAGAGAAAGCAAAATAACAATATTTTTACTTTGCTTTCATCTTGTCTCCCAAGGAGAATGGTCTTTAAAATAAAAAGATTGTACCAACAATCTTGAGATGAAATTGATAAACGAGAAAGGAGAAAAGATAGTAAGAGAATGCTTAACAATTTAGATAAATGACCATTTCTGGGTATATTCCATTAAAGCAGGGTTTCTCATCTTCAGTGCTATTGACATTTGAGGCTGGATAACTCTTTATGGTTGGGGGCTTTCCTGTGTGTTGTAAAATGTTTAGCAGCATCCCTGGCTTCTACCCACTAGATGCCAAAAGAACCTGCCCCCTAGTTATGACAGCCAAAAATGTCTCCAGACATTGCCAAATGTCCTCTGAGAAGCAAAAGCACCCTGAGTTGAGAACCACTATTTTACAGAGCACTGAAAAACATGCACATATTATCACAGAATTCTTGCTGGCATTTGGCATACTAATGGAAAATGAGAGTGGTAACAGAATATTGGGAATTCACAAATGTTTTCCCATATATCAGAAAGGTAGAATTTAAAAAGTAAAACCAAATTCTATCTTGGTCTCTAGAAAAGTATCAAAATATTATTAATTAGAAAAGAGAACAATGATTTTTTGCTACATTGGTATAGGTTCATTAGGAGCCACTCATAGTAAACTAACTTAATTTTCTTCTCTTCCTTTTTTTAAAAAAATCATTGCTAAAAGATAAAATTGGTTTCACTCAAACATTTTTTAAATCTTTTGTGAAATTTTCTTTGCCAAGATAAAGAAATGTGAGCTATCTCATACACTGTTGGTCAAAGTGAATATTGGTAAAATCTCTTTGAAAAGCATTCTGGCAGTATCCACAAAATTTTATATGCACGAATTATTGAACAAAGTAATGCCACTTCTAGGGATCTGAACATACGAACAAAGATGTATATCACAAACTGCAGAATTGTTTGTAGCAACAAAAGGTAGAAACAACCTAAATGTGCATTAATAAGGGACTGGTTAAATAAATTGTCATATATTCTTTCATTGGTCTGACTTTTAATTATTATTAGTGGGTCAGAAAAGCCTTAAAAAATATATAGAATCTAATTGGATGTCAATTGAGTAACAGTAGGAGAGATATTAAAAATATTTAACAACCAGCATGGCTCAGGCCCCAAGCAATCAGAGCTTAGGCTGGAGCTGTCTTGGAAGCTTCATCCTGTGCCAAGTGTTTACCTTTCAGTTGCTGGGTCTAGGAAAGGTCCAGGGGGTCTCAAGCAGAGGCCAAGTGAAGGAAAATCACTGGTAAGGGTAAGGGAGAAGTACAAAAGCATTTCATATTTTAACAATTTGTATGCCTCACTAGGGACTATCAGTCCTCACTAACAGATAAAACATTAAAATAACTCAGAATAACATGGAGCAATAAATTGACTGAAATAGAACCCAGATTTCACCAATCAATCATGGCTTGGGTGAGATTTTAGAACGTCACAGGAATCAGATCCTTCTAGGAAAGCTGCGATGGGGCTTCCAGTGTCCAGCCCAAAAGCACCAAACGGTAGAAACCAGTACTTCTGTATCACTGTCCAATCTTCCCAGCTGCATTGTCTTTGTTTCTCTGGCTCTCATGGAGAATCTATGAACTACCTAATGTCATTTATGAAACTCTTGTTGCTTAAACCAGCTAAAGTAGACTTTAGTTATAATCAAAAACCCTGGCTAAGGTACCCTTTACTAAAATAAATATGCATATATAACTTTTTACTTTAAGAAAGTTAATTTTTATAAATGACTTTTTAAAAAAGATATGTGGACTGATTAGTTACAGATCTGAGGAAACACCTGGTTGAAGAAATAAATCCAAAAGAGCAGTATAGAGATCTAGATCCCAAAAGCCCATATGAATATTAGCTGTGTATCAACCACCGGAGGCACTTCTTAAAAATACAAATGTGGACCCAAATCAATGGCTCACTTTCTTACACATAATAACTAATTTTAAAATATGATGGAAGGAAAGAGACCGTTTATGATACCAATAAAAATTTTTTAAATACTGATATGAAAACAACTTTAAAACTCTACTGAGGGTTGTAAAAGAAGAATTAAGTATATTAAAAAGTGATGTATAGGCAAATTGAACATTACAGAAGTGTTAATTCTCCCTGTTAAATGTCCACAGACCACTTGAGAACTTGATAAAATGTTAAAATTCATCTAGAAATAAATATTATGTGATTACATCTAGGAAAATCCTGAAAGGACAGAAAAGAATATGGAGAAGGATTATTCCTTCCAGTTATTAAAACATATTATGAAATGAAGTTATTTTAAAAGTAGGGATTGGAAAAAATAGGAACAAATATTAATAGAACAGGAAAGACAGCTGAGAAATGGACTCCAATATAAACTTAGCTTATGATAAATACGGCTTTTCAAATTATCAGGAAAAAAGGTGATTCTTAAATAAATTATAATGATCAACTGAATAAACATTTAGGAGAAAAATTAAAAATAAAGCTTACTCCCTGCTCACTCTTTTGCCCAAATTCAATTCCAGATGTAGCAAGAATTTTAAAGTTCTGAAAGTATGAATATATAAGTTTATGTATAATAAATGTATAATAACTAAGTGGAAATTTTTATGTATAATACATTTTTAAAGTATGTATAATAAATTTATAATAATTAAGCAGAAAGCCCTTTCTAAGCAAAACTCAAAACCCAGAAGCTATAAAGGAAGAGGTTTAAAATTTTGACTACAAAAATATTTTGTTTTCTATATAATTCAAAAATAAAACAAAAGTCATAAAATAAACAACAAATTATGGGGAAATACCTGGAACATATTAAACAGGCAAAAAGCTAATTTGCTTAATTTACTATGGTGGGATAAAAAGAAGAACTCAGCCAGGCGTGGTGGCTCATGCCTGTAATCCCAGCACTTTGGGAGGTTGAGGGAGATGGATCACAAGGTCACAAGATCAAGACCATGCTGGCTAACACAGTAAAACCCCATCTCTACTAAAAACACAAAAAAATTAGCCAGGCGTGGTGGTGGGCACCCGTAATCGCAGCTACTCGGGAGGCTGAGGCAGGAGAATTGCTTGAACCCAGGAGGCAGAGGTTGCAGTGAGCCGAGATTGCGCCATTGCACTCCAACCTGGGTGACAAGAGCAAAACCCCGTCTCAAAAAAAAAAAAAAAAAATTTAGCCCAGCGTGGTGGTGGGCGCCTATAGTCCCAGCTACTTGGGAGGCTGAGGCAGGAGAATGGTGTGAACACACGAGGCGGAGCTTGCAGTGAGCTGAGATGGCACCACTGCACTCTAGCCTGGGTGACAGAGCGAGACTCTATCTCAAAAAAAAAAAAAGACTCAATAGAAAAAATTGGGCAAGTATTTGTAAAGGCAATTTATGTAAAAAGAAGGGCAATGGGTTAATAAGTACTTAGAAATTGTTCAACTATACTTATAATTAATTAAATGCAAATCAAATAAAACAAGATATTATTTTCACCAAGCAGCCAAAATTGAAAATTTTTGATATGGTATCATCAGTGCTGTTTAAGTGTTAGGAACATAAGCTCTTAGTATACACTGTTGAAGGGGTATAAACTGATATGAACTTCTTGAAGAGAAATATGACAATACATCTCAAATTATAAATTATGTGTACTCTTGAATATTTCCAATTAAATGTAATACTTATGAAATTTTAAAATAAACATTCCCATTGATACAGCAATTCCACTTCCATGAACGTATTCTAAGGATACACTCAAAAAGTACACCAGGATATATGAACAAGCATATTCATTGCACACAGCAACAGGACAAACAAACAACAAATACTGAAAACTACAAACATGTCCATCAATTCAGAATGGGCTAAATAAATTCTGCTACATACACAGAGTAAAACACGACAAAGCTGCTGGAAAGAATGAGGCAGGTCTATTAGAACTGCTATGCATCTGTCTTAACCAAATATAACTGTCTTAAGCGGGAAGAAGATACAAGATCAACCTGCATAACATTATGCCTTTTTTTTCTTGACCCAAATTAGGGTTCTGTCAATTAGCAAGCAGAGGAGAATACATGGATATTGCATAGGCAACCAACAGTGTCTATCACAGACTATTTGATTCTTAAGATTCCTTTGTAATCCCACATTGGGAAAATAGAAATTGCAGAGTCTAACAGAAAAGCAAGTTAATCCTGCAAATTCCCATGAAAACATGACCCATGAGCTTCAGCCCTGGACTAAGAACCCAGGATCTCTTCTGGTGAATCTCAGAGAAGTTGGTTTATGTATTACTCTGTCTTCACCCCCATCCACAAAAACACACACATTAGAAAGGAAACATCATGAGGACAGGGTCTATTTTTGGTTCACTGGTATTTATCTCCAGACTAAGAACTATGTCTGGCACACAAGTCATATAGAATGAATGAATGAATTCCAAACCAACATTAGAGTAGACCCAGTGTAGCCCTTCAGCAATCCTGCCTCTCAGTTATTCTGTGGGCTCCTCAATGAGCTAACTCTGGGCCTCTTTGAACTGATGCCACCCCTAGAGGCCTCATCAACTGAGAATTGGTAATTCATTTATTACCCAGTTAATTGTATACCTTCATCCCAATTCTCTGCCTTCATGCATATAGGTAAGAGTGTGTCCAGAATTGGTTCCTTCTGGTGGGTTCTTGATCTCACTGACTTCAAGAACGAAGCCACAGACACTCGTGGTGAGTGTTACCACTCTTAAAGATGTTGTGTCCAGAGTTTGTTCCTTTAGATGTGTCCAGAGTTTCTTCCTTCCGGTGGGTTCACGGTCTTGCTGACTTCAGGAGTGAAGCCACAGACCTTCTCAGTGAGTGTTACAGCTCTTAAAGGCGGCATATCCGGAGTGGTTTGTTCCTCCCGATGGGTTCACGGTCTCGCTCACGTCAGGAATGAAGCCGCAGACCCTCGTGGTGAGTATTACAGCTCATAAAGGTAATGCGAACCCAAAGAGTGAGCAACAGCAAAATTTATTGTGAAGAGCAAAAGAACAAAGCTTCCACAGCATGGAAGGGGACCTGAGCGGGTTGCCGCTGCTGGCTCAGGTGGCCAGCTTTTATTCCCTTATTTGGCCCCACCCACATCCTGCTGATTGGTCCATTTTACAGAGCGCTGATTGGTCCGTTTTACAGAGTGCTGATTGGTCCGTTTTTACAGAGTGCTGATTGGCACGTTTACAAACCTTTAGCTAGACACAGAGCACTGACTGGTGCGTTTTTACAGACTGCTGATTGGTGCATTTACAAACCTTTAGCTAGACACAGAGTGCTGATTGGTGCATTTTTGCAGAGTGCTGATTGGTGCATTTACACATCTTTAGCCAGACACAGAGCACTGATTTGTGCGTTTTTACAGAGTGCTGACTGGTGCGTTTACAAACCTTTAGCTAGACACAGAGTGCTGACTGATGCGTTTACAACCTTTAGCTAGACAGAAAATTCTCCAAGTCCCCACCCAACCCAGAAGCCCAGCCGGCTTCATCTCTCAATCCCCCCTCTAAACAGGACACCCCAACTGCTTTTGGGAATTGGGCGATGACCGCTCTAGCTACTTCCTGCTGGATAGGGGCAAAGAAGGGGCCTGCCCTGCAGTTCTAGTTTCCTCCAGAGGGGATCTCTTTAGGCCAGTGAAAGGGCCAGCGGGTCACTCCAGGGGTCCTCAGTAGAAGTTGTTAGTTGAGCTCATTTGGGGTTCCATTTGTAAGACCATCTGTAACTTGATGGCCTTGATTCTAGAGGAAACAAATTTGACGAAGAGGTTAAAAATACAGGGCCCGAAGGTGAGTAATAGCAAGATTGCTGTCATGGGACCTAGAAAAGGGAGAAGCCATGTTGCCCAACTCCAGAGGTTGGTATAAGAGTTTGAAAGGTGTTGTCTGATTTCAGAAGCCTTTTCCTGTAAACGCTGGGCGGCATCTTGTACTATCCCTGACTGGTTAGTGTAAAAGCAACACTCTTCCGCTAAGAAGGTGCAAAGTCCTCCTTTCTCAGCAGTGAGGAGGTCTAAGCCTCGGCAGTTTTGGAGAGTCACTGCTGCCGAAGAGTCTATTTGGGATTGTAGAGTAAGGATAGATTTTGTTATTTCTTGCAAACTGTCTGAGAAATCCTTTGAGAGTGTGTGGTAGTAGGATAATACATGTTACTCCGTTAACTTTTAGCAAACTTTACTTTTGTTGAAAACCTTGTAAGTTTGGGATTTTAATTATTCTTTGCTATTAATAAACCCTCGTTCAGTCCATATTAACTTAGAATTGGTATAGATGGCTCCTTCCTGATTCTGTAAGTACTTTAAGGTTTAGCTGAGTGCAAACAGCTTGCACATTTAAGCAGACCAATTATTAGGCAATTTTCCTAACTCTGCTTCTACAAGAGTTTCCTTATCACTTACTGAACACCCATTGTCTTTTTCCCTTAATCGCCCAGGAGGAACCATCTATCGTCCTGTCCTGAAGGGAGTTCCTCCTAGGTCTGGTTGGACCTTTGTATGGTAATTAATTATGATTTAGATCCCCTGTTAGGAAACTTGCTGTGTTAAGGATTTTAGATAGGAAGGCTATGGGTTGTCAGTGGCCTCAGTGCTTTCGGGCTACACCCTTGTTTACACTGACAACAAGGTGGTATTTGAGTGTTATAGGGTTACAGAGAAGACCTTCAATTATCAATTATAGGTTTTTAATTTACCCTGGCTTTTAAAGGAATAGGGTACACTGTTTTTTCTTTACTACTTCTATCTCTCTCTTTCTCCCTCTTTGATTTCTTCATCTGTCTGTCTCTTTCTCTCTGACTCCCTCTTTGTCTCTTCCTCTTTCCTTGTTTGACTTTCTGTCTCTCTGTATCTTCCTCTCTCTGTCTCTCTCTTTGACTCCTTCTTTGTCTCTGTCTCTTCCTCTGTCTCCTTCTCTTTGTCTATCTGTTTCTTCCTCTCTCTCTTTCCTTCTGTCTTTGACTTTGTCTCTCTCTTTCTTTCTCTCCATCTTTTCTCTCTGGTGGTTTTGGCAGTCTTATACTCCTTGGGTTTTTGCATTGTATGCAATAACTCCAGGGTTTCCTTGTGATATTTAATGGGGGTTCCCCCAGAGGTTAGGAACTCCCTTTCTTTCCATATTGCAGCATGGGCATGTAGGATTAGATAAGCATACTTGCTATCTGTATACACATTTATTCTTCTTCCCTTTCCCAGTTCTAAGGCTTGGGTAAGTGCCACTAGTTCTGCTAACTGGGTGCTGGTCCCTGGGGGAAGAGGCTTAGTTTCAAGTACTGTTACTATGGCATAACCTGCCCTTCGTATCCCATTCTCCACAAATGAACTTTCATCGGTATATAGGTTAAGGTCAGGATTAGCTAAGGGGACTTCTAAGAGATCATCTTGGGTGGCATAAGTCTGGACTATAACCTGTTGGTAGCCATGCTTGACCAGCTCCTCATCCTCTGGTAGAAAAGTGGCAGGGCTGAGGGCCACACATGTATGCACTTGAAGCACTGGTCCCTCAAGGAGTAGCGCCTGGTATCTAAGCAGGCGGTTGTCTGATAACCATAAACTTCCTTTGGCACCTAGTATGCCATTTACATTGTGAGTAGTCCAGACAGTGAGATCCTTTCCTTGTATTATTTTGATAGCCTCTGACACTAAGACAGCCACCGCCACAACTACCTGTAAACAGTGAGGCCAGACTTTTGCTACTATATCAATTTCCTTACTTAGGTATGTCACTGATTGTGGGGTTGTCCCATGAGTCTGAGTAAGGACCCCAAGAGCTATTCCTGCTCTCTTTGTGATGTATAAAGAAAAGTTTTGTCCTGTGGGAAGGCTTAAGGATGGACCTTGAGTTTGTTCCTTCCAATGCCCAGACTTCAGGGTTGATTCCCTCCTCAAGCAGGGGACAACAAATGGGTAACTTGTTCCCCATATTCATAGATAATAGCTCCAGCTTTGGCTAATATGTCCCTCCCTAATAAGGGTGTGGGACTTTCAGACACAACAAGAAAGGCATGTGAAAAGAGCAAAGTCTCCCAGTTACAACTGAGGAGGTGGGAGAAATACCTGGTTACAGGCCATCCCAGGATTCCTCAGATGGTAACGGACCTTGAGGACAGCTGTCCAGGACAGGAGATTAACACTGAGAAGGCCATGCCAGTGTCCAGGAGGAAATCAATTTCCTGGCCCTCAATGGTTAAACATACCCGGGGCTCAGTGAGGGTGATGACATGAGCTGGCACTTGCCCCGGGCATCCTCAGTCCTGTTGTTGGATCATCTGGTTGGGGGCTTCTGGCCCAGAGAACCATTGTACTCTGGGGCAGTGAGCCTTCCAGTGATTGCCTCCGCATAGTGGACATGGGTGAGGGAGCAGCTTATTTCTAGTAGGACAATCTTTTTTAAAGTGTCCTTGCAAACCATACTGAATACAAGCCCTACCAGGTGATTGACCTGCTCTATTTTCTGTCCTCTCTGAACCACCAAGGTTTGTTTGTCTGAGGGCCATGACTAAGGCTGTGGCCTTTCTCTGATCTTGCTTTTCTTTTTGGGCCTGTTTCTCTTGGTCCCTATTATAGAACACCGAGGTTGCCAGGTTTAATAATGCCTCCAGATTTTGTTCAGGGCGCAAGGCTCGCTTTTGGAGCTTTCTCCTGATATCTGTGGCTGATTAGGTAATAAACTTATCTTTTAGAATCAATTGACCCTCGAGTGGGTCGGGTGACAGGAGAGTATATTTTCTTAAGGCCTCCCATAGCTGTTCGAGGAAGGCAGAAGGATTTTCTTCCTTTCCCTGAGTTACGGTGGACATCATTGAATAATTCACAGGCTTTTTCCTAATTCTCCTTAGTCCTTCTAAAACACAGGTCAACAGATGTTTGCAACTCCAGTCCCCATGATCTGAGTCGAGGTCCCAGTGGGGATCCATACTGGGGATGGCTTGCTGACCAGTAGGGAATTTGCCCCTTTCTTCGACTGTCATTCTATCATTTACTTGACTAAGATACCAGGTATCTCCAAACTCTCGGGCTGCAACTAAAGCCACATTCTTTTCATTAAAGGCCAGAGTTTGACCTAATAGCATGATATCTCTCCAAGTGAGGTCAAAGGTTTGCCCTAGACCCTGTAAGACATCTATATACCTAACAGGATCATCTGAAAACTTCCCCAGATCTGCCTTGATCTGCTTTAAATCAGAGAGGGAGAAGGGGACATGTACCCGGGTTGGGCCAAATTCCCCTCCCCCTACAGCTTGAAGGGGACATAAATGATAGCTCAGGGGTTTTTGTGGTCCTTTGGAGATTTCTTTGTTTGTTTCCTTCTGGGTGGGGGAGATTAGAGGAGGCTTATCATTAATAGGAAGGGGAGCTATAGGGAGGCTAGGATATGGAGGTAAGCTGAGAGGTCCTCCTGTGGGATGTAAATTGCAAGTTTTGCATAGTTGTGTATTCTCCTTCAATGAAAAGAAAGCTTGGACATAAGGTATTTCACTCCATTTGCCTTCCTTCTTACAGAAAAAGTCAAGCTGCAGGATAGGATTGTACTTTATACTTCCTTCAGGTGGCCATCTTTCCCATCAGAGAGAGAATATTGGGGCCAGGCCATAGTGCAGAAAAAAGTTAGCTGCCTCTTTTTCAGGGTTTGCAGGTCAAATTGGTCCCAATGGCTTAGGATGCATTTCAAGGGTGAGCCTGTTGATGCCTGAGTGTTTCCCATCTGAAAGACAAAACCACCCTTGGTCTTGGTTTGTTTCTACCCCTCCCCAAGAACCCACAATAGTCCCTGGACCCTGCTGATTGGAATAGTTGCACTTACTGATGCAGCAACAGAAACACCTCTTGCCCAAGAACCCGCAACGGTCCCTGGACCCTGCTGATCAGAATAGTTGTGCTCACCGACGCAGCATCAGAAACACTAGTTTTCCTCTTAGACCAAAAAGAGGACCGAGGAAGGTCAGATTTAGTGGCCCTTACTGATGCATTCTCAAAAACCTGCATTCTTGCCTGTCCTCTTAGACCACAAAGAGGACCAAGAAAAATTGGATTTAGTGGCCCTTACCGATGCATTCTCAAAAAGCTGTTAGAGTCCTAAGCATTATCCTGTTAGTATTGGGACCTTACCACTGTCCTATAAAGATGTTATGCCCCAAAAATGAACTGGACGGACATACCCTGAGAGAGGGAAAGGATCTCCAGAGTTGGAAGAGTGATGCTTTTTGTCCTCACTTATATGAATAGGAAAGATACCATTTCCGAAGCTCCCCATATCCTAGCTTCAGGAATAGCTTTTGTTAGGCCTGCTTGTCTGAAGAGGGATCCTAAAATTCCAGATAGTCCCTTGCCCAGATGGGACTTTGGGCAAAAATTATGTCTTTCTGATTGGTGAGCCCGGGTGCCTAAAGAAGGTAAAAGAGTCCTGAAGTTTATACTAGAAATCATTCTTATAGGAGAAACTAGAAAAGCACCAGAGACAGGGAGTGCTTTTTAGAAGTGGACTAGCCTCAGAGAAGAGAGGCGAGAGGAAGTTTGTCTGACAGGCATTAGGACCCAGGAGGCAAGGGTCAGGAGATAGGATAGATGGGCAAGTCTCGCTTGGGTGACATGATTTTGAGAGTTCCACTCATGGCCGCAGGGTCAACCAACTTGTTGTTGGGACCCCGGAGCTGAATGGCTTTCCTCTCTGTCAACCCTCGGCTCAGCCTGGAAGTACCATTAAAGTGGAAGCTGGCTCCAGGCAAACCAACATTCCCAACTCCATAGAGTCAGGGATTGTTAGAGAGCCCTATCCCAGAAAGCCTGGCACCTGTGTCTTTAGTCCAGCGGCCGCGCTAGTTGCTTTTAGCTGACCGACAGGTGCCCAGTATTTACCCCCAGAATTCTAAGGAAAAACAGGACAGAATAGCAAGCAAAAGGGGTCTGATGGTACTCATCACTTGGCAATAGGCGAGAGTCCCATCTGGGTTGCCAAAATGTGTCCAGAATTGGTTGCTTCTGGTGGGTTCTTGGTCTCGCTGACTTCAAGAATGAAGCCGCAGACCCCACGGTGACTGTTACCACTCTTAAAGATGGTGTGTCTGGAGTTTATTCCTTCAGATGTTCATATGTGTCCGGAGTTACTCCCTTCCGGTGGGTTCGTGGTCTTGCTGACTTCAGGAGTGAAGCCACAGACCTTCACAGTGAGTGTTACGGCTCTTAAAGGCAGCACGTCTGGAGTTGTTTGTTCCTCCCAGTGGGTTCATGATCTGGCTGACTTCAGGAATGAAGCCACAGACCCTCACGGTGAGTGTTACAGCTCATAAAGGTAGTGCGGACCCAAAGAGTGAGCAGCAGCAAGATTTATTATGAAGAGTGAAAGAACAAAGCTTCCACAGTGTGGAAGGGGACCCGAGCAGGTTGCCACTGCTGGCTCAGGTAGCCAGCTTTTATTCTCTTATTTGGCCCCCACCATGTCCTGCTGATTGGTCCATTTTACAGAGTGCTGATTGGTCCATTTTACAGAGTGACTGGTTCTGTTTTTACAGAGTCCTGATTGGTGCATTTACAAACCTTTAGCTAGACACAGAGCGCTGATTGGTGCATTTTTGCAGAGTGCTGATTGGTGCGTTTACAAACCTTTAGCTAGACTAGACACAGAGCACTGATTGGTGCATTTACAATCCCTTAGCTATTCAGAAAAGTTCTCCAAGTCCCCACCTGACCCTGAAGCCTAGCCAGCTTCACCTCTCAAGAGGAGATAAATGTTTATACAGTGTAACTTAAGCAACGCTACTCAAACTGCAGGTCTGCGATGAGAAAAGGAGCTTGTACCAGAATGTAAGTTAATGAGTGCTTCCTTCATCTAGAAAGTCTTGCTACAGCCTCTCCCTCTCCCTCTCCGTCTCTGTCTCCCTCTCCCCACGGTCTCCCTCTCCCTCTCTTTCCACGGTCTCCCTCTGATGCCGAGCCGAAGCTGGACGGTACTGCTGCCATCTCGGCTCACTGCAACCTCCCTGCCTGATTCTCCTGCCTCAGCCTGCCGAGTGCCTGCGATTGCAGGCGCGCGCCGCCACGCCTGACTGGTTTTCGTATTTTTTTGGTGGAGACGGGGTTTCACTGTGTCGGCCGGGCTGGTCTCCAGCTCCCAACCACGAGTGATCCACCAGCCTCGGCCTCCCAAGGTGCTGGGATTGCAGATGGAGTCTCGTTCACTCAGTGCTCAATGGTGCCCAGGCTGGAGTGCAGTGGCATGATCTCGGCTCACTACAACCTCCACCTCCCAGCAGCCTGCCTTGGCCTCCCAAAGTGCCGAGATTGCAGCCTCTGCCTGGCCACCACCCCGTCTGGGAAGTGAGGAGCATCTCCGCCTGGCCGCCCATCATCTGGGATGTGAGGAGCCCCTCTGCCTGGCTGCCCAGTCTGGAAAGTGAGGAGCGTCTCTGCCTGGCCGCCATCCCATCTAGGAAGTGAGGAGCGCCTCTTCCCGGCCACCATCACATCTGGGAAGTGAGGAGCGTCTCTGCCCGGCCGCCCATCGTCTGAGATGTGGGGAGCACCTCTGCCCTGCCGCCCCGTCCGGGATGTGAGGAGCGTCTCTGCCCGGTCGCCCCGTCTGAGAAGTGAGGAGACCCTCTGCCTGGCAACCGCCCCGTCTGAGAAGTGAGGAGCCCCTCCGCCCGGCAGCCGCCCCATCTGAGAAGTGAGGAGCCCCTCCACCCAGCAGCCACCCCGTCTGGGAAGTGAGGAGTGTCTCCGCCCGGCAGCCACCTCGTCCGGGAGGGAGGTGGGGGGGTCAGCCCCCCGCCTGGCCAGCCGCCCCGTCCAGGAGGTGAGGGGCGCCTCTGCCCGGCCGCCCCTACTGGGAAGTGAGGAGCCCCTCTGCCTGGCCAGCTGCCCCGTCCGGGAGGGAGGTGGGGGGGTCAGCCCCCCGCCCGGCCAGCCACCCCGTCCGGGAGGGAGGGAGGTAGGGGGGTCAGCCCCCCACCCGGCCAGCCGCCCCATCCGGGAAGTGAGGGGCGCCTCTGCCCGGCCGCCCCTACTGGGAAGTGAGGAGCCCCTCTGCCCGGCCAGCCGCCCCGTCCGGGAGGGAGGTGGGGGGGTCAGCCCCCCGCCCGGCCAGCTGCCCCCTCCGGGAGGGAGGTGGGGGGTCAGCCCCCTGCCCGGCCAGCCGCCCCCTCTGGGAGGTGAGGGGTGCCTCTGCCCGGCCGCCCCTACTGGGAAGTGAGGAGCCCCTCTGCCCGGCCACCACCCCGTCTGGGAGGTGTACCCAACAGCTCATTGAGAACGGGCCATGATGACAATGGCGGTTTTGTGGAATAGAAAGGGGGGAAAGGTGGGGGAAAGATTGAGAAATCGGATGGTTGCCGTGTCTGTGTAGAAAGAGGTAGACATGGGAGACTTTTCATTTTGTTCTGTACTAAGAAAAATTCTTCTGCCTTGGGATCCTGTTGATCTGTGACCTTACCCCCAACCCTGTGCTCTCTGAAACATGTGCTGTATCCACTCAGGGTTGAATGGATTAAGGGCGGTGCAAGATGTGCTTTGTTAAACAGATGCTTGAAGGCAGCATGCTCCTTAAGAGTCATCACCACTCCCTAATCTCAAGTACCCAGGGACACAAACACTGCGGAAGGCCGCAGGGTCCTCTGCCTAGGAAAACCAGAGACCTTTGTTCACTTGTTTATCTGCTGACCTTCCCTCCACTATTGTCCTGTGACCCTGCCAAATCCCCCTCTGCGAGAAACACCCAAGAATGATCAATAAAAAAAAAAAAAAAAAAAAAAGTCTTGCTACAAAGTGCTTAGGGTGTAGCTGATTTACTTTCAGGCACAAGCCTCTTATCTCGTTTCATAGATTAGTTAAAAATTGGGAACTTCTAATTACATTTTGAACAGTGCTAATTTAAAGTAGGGGCCTCCATTGTTCAAGTTCCAGTATTTGAGAGACTTTCTTTGCACTAAACATTGCCTTCTCCTTCAAATCAATTTCCCCATTGCCAGGAGGCATCTGAAGCAGAAAATCATCCTGGTTAGGATAATGAAAGGCAAAGAAAAGAGGTGGGGAGGGTGCCAAATAAACTTGACCTAATCTTCCATTTTGCACACAGGAACTCAAAGTCACCTATCATATGCTAGAAGCTAGTGATTAAATTGGTTACAGATTACTCGCTGAATCCCAGGCAAAAATAATGTGGTTAAAAACAGTATTTAAGCATGTGAAAAATCAGATGTATCGGCTAACAGTCCTGTTCACCTTCAAAAATTCTGCAGCCTCAATTATCTGTCACTTTCCATTAGATTTGCAACTTTGCTAAACTCCGGAGTTCCACCCCGCTGTACCATCTCACTTAAAATCCAGTATCCAAACAAGAATCAGAAAATCACACTTTTTAAATCTCTAGACTAGCATTCCCATGAGCCAATGATCCATAAATAAACACTATTTTCAAGTTTTCATTACAAAGCGCATAATTTCTCTTCAGGCCAGTTTGGGTTGCCAACTTCTCTTCTTAAATCTTAATCCCTTCTATTCCAAAAAAAATAGAAACATGCAAACAGAAGTTCATGGGGAATAGAGAATGAAACTCCCATCCTTCTGTAGCTATGGTTTTTCTCTAAATATTATTACTGAATAATAAAAACTTCACAATTTAAAAAGTTTTTTAATACAGGAAGAATATATTATTTGATAATTCATAACTCTACCTCTCACTTCACACCACATAATATTGATATCTCTAATCTCTCCACTTTGATTACTTGGGACCAGTAACCACTTCCAATAATTAGTTGTATTTATCACTAATTCCTTAGCTTTCTTCCTTCTACTCTATTTACACAACATGGTTCTCAAACTCAACAATGACAGAATTAAAACTTATCTTCTCTGACTCCTACCATAGCCACGCCTAATTCCATTCTCATGTTTTCCCTATAGAAAAACCCAATACTGAATTGCTCCTCTAGCATGTGCCCTCTATCCCTTTTCTTTCTAGTCTGTTGCCTACAGATTTTCTCCAAATACTTCTAATTTCTCCAAAGATTCACAATAAGTAAAGAATTTATTCTTCCTATTCCTATTTCTTTGTCACAGTTGTATCATAAAAGTCATATAAATCACTATGTCTACATGGTCTTCTAATAAAGTTACTTATACATTCTGTTATTTTCATGTGCAAAGTAACGTAAGTGATCAACAATACTATCTATCGGTTTCAGGCAGAGCTGAAGTATTTTCAACTCTGACATGTAGCTTTGTTGATATCTGTAAAAGTTTATTGAGTGGAAATTTTGTAGGTAGGAGAGATTCCATCCTTCTAAACACTAAGTATTTTGGTATCTATGTGCCTGATAACAATGTTTTGCACATCATAGACAATAAATATATCATTTGGTAGACTAGGAATTTTACAATGCTTTAAAAGAATAACAGTAAAAACACATCTTAAATATCACAACTTTTACCTTCAAACATAGTGTTCTCTAATCCAACACTTCTACAGTTAGAAACAGAGATTAAGGAAATTATCTTAAACATATCTACAACATACATATACACATAAGTAAATAAATACACAAAGATGTTTACCATAGCATCTAGATGTTCAGCAATGATTAATAAAATTATATTCATTCACTTGAACAAATGTTACACAAATTTAAAATAACACCACTGTAGAATAGGTAATATTCTGTGGAAAATGTTTTGGTATATGGTTAAATGAAAAAGCAAGGTTCCAAATTTTATCTATACTATTATTGCAATTATTTTTAAAGCCATCTAGAAAAAAAAAGACTAGAAGGAAACACATCAATGAAATTACAGGAAATATTTTTCTGTGCTTTCAAAATTCCTACGATGAACATTTAATGCTTTTATAATGAAAAAAAGTTTTACCAATCTTTACTCAAATAGGAAGATTTAGACTATGTGTAGGAGGTAACAAATGGGAATAACTTTGTCTATACTGTCTGTATTTTAGGTTTCTCCATTTAACAAACTTGTCCTATGGTTCTACTGAGATAATTTTTTATAATGGACAATGAAATTTTAATAGCACACTCAAATATGCCATTCAAATCTGACCATGGATAATCTGAATCTTCAAATCACAACTATTCTCAATATGTTGAGCTTTCAATCTGTCTAAAAAGCTAGCCACAAACCCAGAACCAATGCAAACTTGAAATCCTGCTTTTTCCACTTTGTTTTAAGCAAATCATTGCATTCTCACGTTATCTCCAGAGATCTTAGTAGGCACATATCAGTGACTCAAAACCTCTACAGTAAATGAACTTTCTGATGTCTAACCCCAATTTCTTCTTGTTTCCATTTGAACTCATTTCTTTTATTTGTCTTCCGTGTAACTGACAGCAGCTGCTCACAATCATTCAGATCCCATTAGATAGTGACCTTTTCTTTACATGATTGATCATTACATCTCATGATCATTCCATACAGTGATTTTCATTTGACTATAACTGGTCATCAAACAGTTCTGAGAGCATTCCTCAACCTCTTAATATTCCTTCCAATTATAAAACAAATAGACATTAAATTCAGAAATTAATGCTTTTTGCCATTATCTCACTTGAAACATCTTCCATTTACTATGAATTAGCTTTTGGTTGAAAGTAAAATCCCTTCAAACATATTCCATCTTTGCTTCCTTTTCCCCACTCCCATGCCAAAGCACAAGCATCCAGGCCATATCTTATCTTTTCCTGCACAGTATCCAATCGGCTTTTTATAGCCAGAAACTCTCTGAATGCAAAGCACGACCTTGGCTACCAGCTTCCCCTGGCAATAGTTCGAAAGTTATTTATAACTTTAAAATTAGCGTGAAAGCCTACGTTTCTCATAACTAGTCAAAACATTCCTATTTCATACAATAATGTGATCTTCCTCAGTTCAGAAGAAAACCCCAAATTTTAAACCTATGATTATAACTAAGACACAGGAATTCAATGCAGAAATGAGAATTCGCTGAAGTTCAGCTCTTCTCTTTACAAACTTGATTCTTACCTTTCTGTTTCTTCCTATAAAGTAAATGGGCTTAAAATTCAGCTCCCGTAGGGAATTTTCCAAAAAGAGCTTTGTGGGGGACGGAAAAAGGCTTCTTGGTGGTCACAGAGTTACAGAGTACCAAATTGAGAGGCAGATGACAGTGGGGCAGTCAATTTCGCTGAGCGTTGTTCACCCAGGATAAGAAAGAAAGGGGAGGTTACAAGCCAGGGTGGGTGGTATCTAATCCTGAACCGCTAGTCACTGACCTCACTGACAACTTGTTACTGAAAATACTTCGTTGAAAAAGGCCAGACACATACTTTGCCTAGAGACCTACAAACATAGCTCTGAATAAGTTTAGATTTGCATTTCTCTAGTTCCTTTCCAAAAGAAGAACCTCTTCTATCTAATTAAAGCCAAAGGCTGGAATTATTGAAAGTGAAAAATGATAAAGCAGGGAAAACAAGAGTCCAGGAAATCCTCACATCAAAAGATCAATTATGTAAAATTCAATGTCTTCAGAACCCTAGAGATGATGGCATCAAGGCCATGTGTCACATCTGAGATCGTATTTTTCTTCTTCTGAAATATTACCTGTCTCATCCCTTGTACCAAGCATCACACTCTCTCCTTCCAGTATTTATGAGGAACCACATCATTATCAGTAAAGAATCTAAACTGAAGATTTACCAAAAACTCAATAGGTTAACCCATTATTAAATTTAAGCCACCAAAAAAAAAAGTCTTCTCCACCAAAATTTATTTTTTCTCTCTATGACTATTCTTTTTCACATTTCCTTTTCCCTTTTTTTTGATATCTTCTCCCTCAATATCTTCACATCCACTGAAACAATCTTTATCATTTCATCAATTCCTTGACATCCCACTCGAACTTCTGTGGCATTTCCTTGGACATTACCATTTTTCCGACTTTCTTCTAATAGCTTCTAAAACAAGAGGTGCTAACTAAAATATGAACTACTTGTTTGAGTTTTGGCAGTCCTGTTCTTAAAAGGCTGAATTCAAAATAAAAAGAAAGCATTTATTTATTGGCTCTCCAGATACTCTTAGCACAAATTTCAGGGAGCCAAGAGGAAAGGCAGGGTCTGGGAACTGTCAGAGAATCAACTATGAAAGGAGTTCATTTTATATGATTTTCAGGATAGCCTTCAAAACAACTGTATTTTTATGTAGCTACCTTTAAAATGGGCATAATTGACAATATATTTATCTAAAGATTCTTAGTTGCTAACATGCTATCCTCCCCAGATTTTTTTAAAGCAGCTTTTTCCCCCTGGAGAATCTAGGAATAGCATCTTTTCACAGTGAAACAAAGAGTAAGTTTTATGTCTCTCAATCCATCTTTTCTTGAATAAAGAAATCACTTGACACTTGCAAAATAGCAGGTTTTGTTTTAGAGCTTTAATAATGAATGTTTTCCAAACCAGGACTGTTGAATTGAGCCCAAGATGAGATATCCAAATTCTATCATAAGCCTAGCTTGTCCTGCTGTGAAACCACAATAAGTTACTTACCTGCCCTGTACCTCTCCTTTCCACCTACAAAATGTAGATGAGAACTCTTATTCTTTTCATTTGCTTTTCAGAGGATATGTGAATTAAATGGATAAAAGCTGAAGAGCTTTAAATTACACTGAACTCTTCAGAGATGCAATACAGATAAAACCTTCTTACAGAATTTGGTGTTATCAAAACAATTAAATATTATAAATATCTGAAATGTAATTTTAAAGAGCTTTTATAGTGGGTTTTTTTTTAATTCCTTCATAAAAATATCTGCAGCCTCCAAGGTAGTATTTAGCTGAAGTATTTCCCACTATAGCCACAAGAGGTCCCCTCCTAGCAATTCAAATCACGTTGGATTTGTTGATCACAGGCCCCATGGTCCTCTGTATTTGTATCAGTTTGCTGACAGAAAACATATATCACCTATGTCAAATTTCCATAGCTAACTATAGGGTAGGAGACAAAAGCAGAGAAATCTGCCTTTCTCTGTGTGATCGCTGAGGCATGCTGGAGGCTAAATAGTTCCTGTAAACTACACAGCCCCTGCATTTTGCATCCTGGCCCTCTTCCAGATTTTCACAGTAGTTCTTTCTTGTCACCTTGCCCAGTCTTGTTCAGTATTTATTCTCCTTCCCTATTTACTTGTTTCCTTTCTTTATACTTTGCAAACTTTAAAATTTTGGCTCACATGCCTCTTGCAAGCAATCAAACATTGAGGGTAGAAGAGCTGGGGAAAAAAAAAAGAGAGAAAAAAGAGAGAGAATAAATCAGGGCCATTACTAGCAATTCTCCCGAGGTAATCAAAAGTAAGTTTTTTCGTTCTGGGCATCAGGACCGGCCCCAAACAAAGTCATTCAATTGGATGTATTGAGAAGCCCCTTGATGCAGAGCCCTGTGTTAGGCGCCAGCTAGAAGATTACAGGAGAGAAGGGAGGCCTCCAAAAAGAAGATAATTCTATCCCTGTCAGTAGCCTCTCTTGGAAAATAAATCCTCCAGGGTGCAATATGTTCTTTAGTCAGAATGGAGTAGTTTCTTCTTGTCAATAAAATCCCTTATAGAATGAAAATCACTTTTGCATGAACCATGAGTCCATTTCATCTGTCCATAATATCTCAAAATACTGGCAATTTCAGGTTCGGGCTTTAAAAATATGTAATTTTCTGAACAGCCATAATACCTTTCTAAAATGAGATTTAAAGCTAGGAATAATCCCTGTTTGTGATAATTAAAACCATTTTTTTCAAAAATATGTGATAAATACTTCTGGCACCTTGTCAGGTATTTTAGGTGAATCTAAATGAATCTGCCCCTGATTTGAAGGTCTTATGTACTATTAATACAAAAAAAAAAAATGTTTCTCACTCTCCCTTCCCAACCATCCTTATTATTAGCAGCTAACCAACTCTCCTGCCTCACTAAGAAGAACAGAAGCCATCTGGAAGATGTTTCACATCTTTCCATCATCAAATCTATAAACCCACTAACACCGAGCCTCATCTTCTCTACCCTCCCTCCTATTAAAATGCAAGAAGTCCTCTTGCTCTTACCAAAGGCTAATCTCTCTTGTGTGCTGGATCCCTTCTTCCCTCACCTTTTCAAGGACTCTGCTCCTTCACGATCACCTCACACACTGCATTATCACCCTTTCTCCAATGATCAGTGCAAAAATATGCCACAGGACTTCTACCTGAAAATTTTCAAACAAACAAAACATACTTTTACCCTACAACTCCCTGTGGTTGCTACTTAGTTCTCTGTGCCTTCATCATAATACTTCCCAAATGAGTTGTCCACCACCCCTATGTTTTTACCTCTCACTTCACAACCCACTAAGATGATTTATTTCCCCTTCACTCCCAAAAGGGTCATTTTTAAGTCTATCAACAACCTCCAGGTGGCCAAACCATTCTGTCACCTGAGGGGATAACACATCCTAACCTATGGCTTCAAATGAGATCTTTAAATGACATAGGATATTGAGTGGGACTTCTCCTGTTGCCAATAATTGGTGACTATGGCTCAAAATGAAAGACAATGAAGCCACCCAGGTACACGCTAAGGAATTTCCAGTATTTGAGGATAGACATTTCACTCAGGGATTACTAAGAAGCAGTTAAGAAAAGAGAAGGTGGAGCCAAGATGGCTGAATAGGAACAGCTCCGGTCTACAGCTCCCAGCATGAGCGACGCAGAAGACGGGTGATTTCTGCATTTCCATCTGAGGTACCAGGTTCATCTCACTAGGGAGTGCCAGACAGTGGGCGCAGGACAGTGGGTGCAGTGCACCGTTCGCGAGCCGAAGTCGGGCAAGCCACTGCCTCACTCGGAAAGAACAACGGGTCGGGGAGTTCCCTTTCCTAGTCAAAGAAAGGGGTGACAGACGGCACCTGGAAAATCGGGTCACTCCCACCCTAATACTGCGCTTTTCCGATGGGCTTAAAAGACAGCGCACCAGGAGATTATATCCCGCACATGCTTTGGAGGGTCCTATGCCCACAGAGTCTCACTGATTGCTAGCACAGCAGTCTGAGATCAAACTGCAAGGCAGCAGCGAGGCTGGGGGAGGGGCGCCCGCCATTGCCCAGGCTTGCTTAGGTAAACAAAGCAGCCAGGAAGCTCGAAATGGGTGGAGCCCACCACAGCTCAAGGAGGCCTGCCTGCCTCTGTAGGCTCCACCTCTGGGGGCAGGGCACAGACAAACAAAAAGACAGCAGTAACCTCTGCAGACTTAAGTGTACCTGTCTGACAGCTTTGAAGAGAGCAGTGGTTCTCCCAGCACGCAGCTGCAGATCTGAGAATGGGCAGACTGCCTCCTCAAGTGGGTCCCTGACCCCTTGACCCCCGAGCAGCCTAACTGGGAGGCACCCCCCAGTAGGGGCAGACTGACACCTCACACGGCCAGGTACTCCTCTGAGACAAAACTTGCAGAGGAACGATCAGACAGCAGCATTCACGGTTCACGAAAATCCGCTGTTTTGCAATCTCCGCTGCTGATATCCAGCAAACAGGGTCTGGAGTGGACCTCTAGCAAACTCCAACAGACCTGCAGCTGAGGGTCCTGAATGTTAGAAGGAAAACTAACAAACAGAAAGGACATCCACACCAAAAACCCATCTGTACATCACCATCATCAAACACCAAAAGTAGATAAAACCACAAAGATGGGGAAAAAACAGAGCAGAAAAACTGGAAACTCTAAAAAGCAGAGCGCCTCTCCTCCTCCAAAGGAACGCAGCTCCTCACCAGCAACGGAACAAAGCTGGACGGAGAATGACTTTGACGAGTTGAGAGAAGAAGGCTTCAGACGATCAAACTACTGCGAACTACAGGAGGAAATTCAAACCAAAGGCAAAGAAGTTGAAAACTTTGAAAAAAATTTAGACGAATATATAACTAGAATAACCAATACAGAGAAGTGCTTAAAGGAGCTGATGGAGCTGAAAGCCAAGGCTCGAGAACTACGTGAAGAACGCAGAAGCCTCAGGAGCCAATGCGATCAACTGGAAGAAAGTGTATCAGTGATGGAAGATGAAATGAATGAAATGAAGGGAGAAGGGAAGTTTAGAGAAGAAAGCATAAAAAGAAACGAAAAAGCCTCCAAGAAATATGGGACTATGTGAAAAGACCAAATCTACGTCTGATTGGTGTACCTGAAAGTGATGGGCAGAATGGAACCAAGTTGGAAAACACTCTGCAGGATATTATCCAGGAGACCTTCCCCAATCTAGCAAGGCAGGCCAACATTCAGACTCAGGAAATACAGAGAATGTCACAAAGATACTCCTCGAGAAGAGCAACACCAAGACACATAATTGTCAGATTCACCAAAGTTGAAATGAAGGAAAAAATGGTAAGGGCAGCCAGAGACAAAGGTCAGGTTACTCACAAAGGGAAGTCCATCAGACTAACAGTGGATGTCTTGGCAGAAACTCTACAAGCCAGAAGAGAGTGGAGGCCAATATTCAACACTCTTAAAGAAAAGAATTTTCAACCCAGAATTTCATATCCAGCCAAACTAAGCTTCATAAGTGAAGGAGAAATAAAATACTTTACAGACAAGCAAATGCTGAGAGATTTTGTCACCAACAGGCCTGCCCTAAAACAGCTCCTGAAGGAAGCACTAAACATGGAAAGGAAAAACCGGTACCAGCTGCTGCAAATTCATGCCAAACTGTAAAGACCATCGAGGCTAGGAAGAAACTGCATCAACTAATGAGCAAAATAACCAGCTAACATCATAATGACAGGATCAAATTCACACATAACAATATTAACTTTAAATGTAAATGGACTAAATGCTCCAATTAAAAGACACAGACTGGCAAATTGGATAAAGAGTCAAGACCCATCAGTGTGCTGTATTCAGGAAACCCATCTCACGAGCAGAGACACACATAGGCTCAAAATAAAAGGATGGAGGAAGATCTACCAAGCAAATGGAAAACAAAAAAAGGCAGGGGTTGCAATCTTAGTCTCTAATAAAACAGACTTTAAACCAACAAAGATCAAAAGAGACAAAGAAGGCCATTACATAATGGTAAAGGGATCAATTCAACAAGAAGAGCTAACTATCCTAAATATATATGCACCCAATGCAGGAGCACCCAGATTCATAAAGCAAGTCCTGAGTGACCTACAAAGAGACTTAGACTCCCATACAATAATAATGGGAGACTTTAACACCCCACTGTCAACATTAGACAGATCAACGAGACAGAAAGTTAACAAGGATACCCAGGAATTGAACTCAGCTCTGCACCAAGCGGACCTAATAGACATCTACAGAACTCTCCACCCCAAATCAACAGAATATACATTTTTTTCAGCACCACACCACACCTATTCAAAAATTGACCACATAGTTGGAAGTAAAGCTCTCCTCAGCAAATGTAAAAGATCAGACATTATAACAAACTGTCTCTCAGACCACAGTGCAATCAAACTACAACTCAAGATTAAGAAACTCATTCAAAACCGCTCAACTACATGGAAACTAAACAACCTGCTCCTGAATGACTACTGGGTACATAACGAAATGAAGGCAGAAATAAAGATGTTCTTTGAAACCAGTGAGAACAAAGACACAACATGCCAGAATCTCTGGGACACATTCAAAGCAGTGTGTAGAGGGAAATTTATAGCACTAAATGCCCACAAGAGAAAGCAGGAAACATTCAAAATTGACAACCTAACATCACAATTAAAAGAACTAGAAAAGCAAGACCAAACACATTCAAAAGCTAGCAGAAGGCAAGAAATAACTAAGATCAGAGCAGAACTGAAGGAAATAGAGACACAAAAACCCTTCAGAAAATTAATGAATCCAGGAGCTGGTTTTTTGAAAAGATCAACAAAACTGATAGACCGCTAGCAAGACTAAGAAAGAAGAAAAGAGAGAAGAATCAAATAGACGCAATAAAAAATGATAAAGGGGATATCACCACCGACCCCACAGAAATACAAACTACCATCAGAGAATACTACAAACACCTCTACGCAAATAAACTAGAAAATCTAGAAGAAACGGATAAATTCCTTGACATATACACCCTCCCAAGACTAAACCAGGAAGAAGTTGAATCTTTGAATAGACCAATAACAGGCTCTGAAATTGTGGCAACAATCAATAGCTTACCCACCAAAAAGAGTCCAGGACCAGAAGGATTCACAGCCGAATTCTACCAGAGGTACAAACAGGAGCTGGTACCATTCCTTCTGAAACTATTCCAATAAATAGAAAAAGAGGGAATCCTCCCTAACTCATTTTATGAGGCCAGCATCATCCTGATACCAAAGCCTGGCAGAGACACAACCAAAAAGAGAATTTTAGACCAATATCCTTGATGAACATTGATGCAAAAATCCTCAATAAAATACTGGCAAACCAAATCCAGCAGCACATCAAAAAGCTTATCCACCATGATCAAGTGGGCTTCATCCCTGGGATGCAAGGCTGGTTCAATATACGCAAATCAATAAATGTAATCCAGCATATAAACAGAACCAAAGACAAAAACCACATGATTATCTCAATAGATGCAGAAAAGGCTTTTGACAAAATTCAACAGCCCTTCATGCTAAAAACTCTCAATAAATTAGGTATCGATGGGATGTATCTCAAAATAATAAGAGCTATCTATGACAGACCCACAGCCAATATCATACTGAATGGGCAAACACTGGAAGCATTGCCTTTGAAAACTGGCACAAGACAGGGATGCCCTCTCTCACCACTGCTATTCAACATAGGGTTGGAAGTCCTGGCCAGGGCAATCAGGCAGGAGAAGGAAATAAAGGGTGTTCAATTAGGAAAAGAGGAAGTCAAATTGTCCCTGTTTGCAGATGACATGATTGTATATCTAGAAAACCCCACTGTCTCAGCCCTAAATCTCCTTAAGCTGATAAGCAACTTCAGCAAAGTCTCAGGATAGAAAATCAATGTACAAAAATCACAAGCATTCTTATACACCAATAACAGACAAACAGAGAGCCAAATCATGAGTGAACTCCCATTCACAATTGCTTCAAAGAGAATAAAATACCTAGGAATCCAACTTACAAGGGATGTGAAGGACCTCCTCAAGGAGAACTACAAACTACTGCTCAATGAAATAAAAGAGGATACAAACAAATGGAAGAACATTCCATGCTCATGGATAGGAAGAATCAACATCGTGAAAATGGCCATACTGCCCAAGGTAATTTATAGATTCAATGCCATCCCCATCAAGCTACCAATGACTTTCTTCACAGAATTGTAAAAAACTGCTTTAAAGTTTGTATGGAACCAAAAAAGAGCCCGCATCACCAAGTCAATCTTAAGCCAAAGGAACAAAGCTGGAGGCATCATGCTACCTGACTTCAAACTATACTACAAGGCTACAGTAACCAAAACAGCATGGTACTGGTACCAAAACAGAGATATAGATCAATGGAACAGACCAGAGCCCTCAGAAATAACGCCACATATCTACAACTATCTGATCTTTGACAAACCTGAGAAAAACAAGCAATGGGGAAAGGATTCCCTATTTAATAAACGGTGCTGGGAAAACTGGCTAGCCATTTGTAGAAAGCTGAAACTGGATCCCTTCCTTACACCTTATACAAAAATTAATTCAAGATGGATTAAAGACTTACATGTTAGACCTAAAACCATAAAAACCCTAGAAGAAAACCTAGGCATTACCATTCAGGACATAGGCATGGGCAAGGACTTCATGTCTAAAACACCAAAAGCAATGGCAACAAAAGCCAAAATTGACAAATGGGATCTAATTAAACTCAAGAGCTTCTGCACAGCAAAACAAACTACCATCAGAGTGAACAGGCAACCTACAAAATGGGAGAAAATTTTCGCAACCTACTCATCTGACAAAGGGCTAATATCCAGAATCTACAATGAACTCAAACAAATTTACAAGAAAAAAACAAACAACTCCATCAAAAAGTGGGCGAACGACATGAACAGACACTCCTCAAAAGAAGACACTTATGCAGCCAAAAAACACATGAAAAAATGGTCACCATCACTGGCCATCAGAGAAATGCAAATCAAAACCACAATGAGATACCATCTCACACCAGTTAGAATGGTGATCATTAAAAAGTCAGGAAACAACAGGTGCTGGAGAGGATGTGGAGAAATAGGAACACTTTTACACTGTTGGTGGGACTGTAAACTAGTTCAACCATTGTGGAAGACAGTGTGGCGATTCCTCAGGGATCTAGAACTACAAATACCATTTGACCCAGCCATCCCATTACTGGGTATATACCCAAAGGACTATAAATCATGCTGCTATAAAGACACATGCACACGTATGTTTATTGCGGCACTATTCACAAGAGCAAAGACTTGGAACCAACCCAAATGTCCAACAATGATAGACTGGATTAAGAAAATGTGGCACATATACACCATGGAATACTATGCAGCCATAAAAAATGATGAGTTCATGTCCTTTGTAGGGACATGGATGAAATTGGAAATCATCATTCTCAGTAAACTATCGCAAGAACAAAAAAACAAACACCGCATATTCTCACTCATAGGTGGGAATTGAACAATGAGAACACATGGACACAGGAGGGGGACCATCACACTCTGGGGACTGTTGTGGGGTGGGGGGAGGGGGGAGGGATAGCTTTAGGAGATATACCTAATGCTAAATGACGAGTTAATGGGTGCAGCACACCAGCATGGCACATGTATACATATGTAACTAACCTGCACATTGTGCACATGTACCCTAAAACTTAAAGTATAATAATAATAAAAAAAAAAAAGAAAGAAAGAAAAGGGCTACATGCTCTTCCTCTCGTATGCCCTCTCCTAGCGTAACCGACATACAGGTTCAGTTGCCCACAGCTTGCAGAGTCCAATTAACTAGAGCGAAGTCTGGTATAAAGAAGGAGACTTTTTATTCCAAAGCTGGCTTAGGGGAAGAAGTGCAGACTTCTGCCTTTAAGGGTGCTGCTTCACTTTTGAAGCAGAAAGCAGGTGCTTTTAAAAGAGGTCTTGGCATGAATGGCATGCAGGGGAGGGAAATGCAGATGGGGGTCTGCATAACTTGCTTTGATGCCTTATCTACTGGGCAGTCAAGCTGGTGACCACTAGTGTCTCTGTGGGCAGAACCATCTTGTAAAAATAGCCGAAACTCTCCAGTTAGGAAAGAGTTTTGTAGCAGGCATACTTTGAGGTGTAGATTAACTGTCTGTCATCTCTCAAAACAGTTTCCTGGTGGGAGAGAGTTGGGCTCTGGAGCTTGTAAGCACATAGTTGGATTAACTCACCCTGCAGGGATTGTCTGGTGAAGAGGAGGTAAAAGGTTATAATTGCAGTTCTAAAGAGCTAAGTAGGAAGTGAGAGAAAGGAGGAAAGAAAAAAGAAGAAAGAAAAAAAAATCTCTTAGAAAAATGGGGGTACTCAGTTATACCAGCCATAATATTAGAGGAAAAGTTAGTGGACTTGAAAAGTTAGGGGAACAAGGCCAACTACTTCCTCTCCTCTTGAAGATACCAGAGCAGAAGTGATGAAAAAAAACTCTTCCCCCATTCCAAGTCCCTTGGGAGGACATCTGGTCAGTGCTGGGGGAAAGGGAGGGAGATTTAAATTAGAATGAAATGGAAGTGTTAAATTGGACAAGCAGGCCTTTAAAGAACTAAAAATGGCAGGCACCCACCTGATGTGTCATTAAGGAATAGGAAAGGGAGAGGCAACAGAGCAAAGGGAGATACAGATAGAAGAAAACAAGCTAGTTCACTGAAACCAGTTACACATCCATATGCTAATGGTTCCCAACTTTGTATCCTAGTCCAGACCTCTCTCATGACCCCCACAGCAATATATCTAAACTGCCTTGTCCATCTGAATAAACAATACACACTTCAAACTTGATATGTCCCAAAAAGGAGCTCTTGATTTTTGTCTCTCAAACCTATTTTTCTCTGACATTCATATCCCAATAATTGGTACCATCACCCAATTACTGCATAAGCCAAAGCCTAGGAGTCATCCTTCATTCATTCTTTTCCCTCATTACCATCCAGAATTCCCACTGATCCTACTTACAAAATTTGTCTTTAACATGTCCACATTTCTCTAGCTCTCCTACCCTGACTATTCCAACATTGGTAGCCATTCTCTACATAGCTTCTAAGTGATTTTTCAGAACTTAGAAGTTTAGCTCATGTTATTCTCCTGCTTAAAATTATACAAAGGCTTCCTATTACTCATAGCAGAAAATCCAAATTCTTTACCAAATCTACAAGACCTTGATGATCTGGCTGTTGTCAACCTCTTTTACCTCAACTCACAACATTCTTTCCCCTTGACTCAAAACACTCTCCCCTCTAATATACTGACTCCAGATATACTCTCTATTTATAAAATAACCAACCATATTCCCCTAGGGCAATTGCACTTGCTGTTCCTTTGCCTGAAACCATTTGCTCCCAGCTATTTACACGTCTGGCTCATTTTCATCTTTGATATCATCCTTCACCTTCTCATAGAGGTCTTTCTTTACTATTTTTTATCTCACTGTTCCCAGTCACTTATCACGACCTTGCATTTTTTTAATTTGTTTAGTTATTCTGTCTTCACCATTGGGATAAAAGCTAGGGGCAGTGGCAGTGTCCGTTAGTGTATGGCATATGCAAATTAAGTATAATACAAGGTAAGCATCAATAGCTATAGGAATTAAAAGGAGGTAGGGATAGCTCCAGGAGGAGGGGATAATCAAGGAAAATTTCCTGGTGAAAGTTACATTCACCTTGATACGAAATGAAAGATGTCAGCTTCATCAGAGATTGGTATTCTATTAATTTTATTTCTCCAATAGCCTTCAAATCCATTGCCTTATCTCCATCCTTACAACTATTAATGCTACCTTACCTTACACAAACTAGAGTTATGCCTTGCTTGTTGTCTTTATGTATTATAGTTACCACCTAATTTCTCTCCCTACCTGTATTTCACTTTGTGTAAACCCAAATATCACATTTAGATGTCAGTCCGGGTGAATTTAGTGCTAATGTTTTCAGTCTCATTTTAACTATTTCAGAACAAACTATTGAAGTTGACACATTAGCTTTGTTGCCTTGGTAATAATAGAAGGGCTAAAATGAATGTTTTTCTCATTAATTTTTCTCATTTAATTTTCCCAAGGCACCATGCTTCGGTTTTGACAGCCCATCTTGCTGTTAGTCAATAACCTTAACAAGCAGAGTAATTACAGTCAATCATGTCTGCTTTAGTTCATTGATTACTTGGTTACTTCTTTCTCAACTCTTTAATGAGAATTCCCAGCCCACACCTTTCAGGTGACATTTCTTTTATCAATTAATCACCATCTCAATCCCTTGAATATATTCATAAACCAGACCATCTTGTATTGATGGTTCTAAAAACAACTTGCTTCTGCAGCTTTGAAAATCACAATCATTTTCAGAGACACGGAACACCTAGAATGAAATTAACATTTACTGTCATTGAACCTTCTTATTTCAAATTATTTGAACAGGGCTTTATTATACCACTTCTGAAGCATTAACACACTTAATTTTAAAAGTAATACAGCTTTTAAAATGTTAAAGAAATTGTCCTGTCTTTGCAATTCTAATCTCAAAAGTCCTGTCTCTGTTCTGAGAAAACAAAGACAGTAGATTTTCTGTTTGTGCAAATGTAAAGCAAGTCTCACCTAAATGTCATGAAGGAAATAATTGTAGTTGTTTCACTCAGAGAAATTCAGTGAGCTATGTCTCTGTAGAGTTTTATTGTTTCTTAAAGAGAACTGTTTATTTTTCCTGTATGAATTTACATAGTCCTCGAACCCATCAGAACTTATACTCTCTTTATAAAACAAATATTTTTGAATGTTCCTTTTTAATATCCTGAAATGAAATTTATAGTTACTAACTACAAACTGACTATACTAACTCATTAAAAATATATTTTATATATATCTTATATATATGTATGTATTCACATAAATTATATATTTGCATTTCATTATATAAATGATCAGGCATACTTGCACTGGAAAACAGTCACTCTTCCCCTTATGCACAGAATCACTATGAATGTGGCAGCTACAAATGTAGATAGATAAGGATGCACTGTTGTATTGTCAATTCAAATACCACAAGCAGCATTTCAGTAGTGACATGATTTTTCTATAATAGTGCACAACTCTTGATATAATACAGAACAAAATAAAAACAATCTTCCTTTGATATACCTAAATGGTTGCATTCCTAGAAATTCAGTATATATTAAAACTGCGCCAAAAAATACTACGTGTTTATGAGTAAAACCAGAGTTAGGTTCAAGGCTTAGAAAATTATAAGCAGAACATACATGAATGTCCACTGGGAAATTAGAAAGTTGCATGGGATGTGGGGACAATTCATTATAGAGGACAGTTCCACGCACTGTAAACCCTCTAAGTTTCTTTGGACTGACAAAGATTCCTTGCTTGACAAAACTGTAGCTGACCTTCTGAAACTTCATCTAGGCCCATTTATGTACTTCCTTGAAAAATCTAGTTTTCATAAACACCCCTGCTAAGTCAGTTTAGCAAGAATCACCCCTCCCCCCAACCCTCCCGCTCCATATCTGATCTCCCTTGATTGGGTTCCTCATCCACCACCATTCCCCAGGTGATATCTGATCACCTTGGCCTGTCTTCAGCAAGAATCTAGTTAGATTGGTTTACCCAGAACCCCTCTTACCCCTGATGTTTCTTCCTGGTAATTTTCAGTGACCCCACTCTGGTCACTGGCTATAAATTCCCACTTGCCCATGCTGTATTGAGAGTTGAGCACAATCTCTCTCCTCTACCACAAGACCTATTGCAGTGGTCCCTATACTGTGATAGTCCTAAATAAATTCTTCTTTATCAATGCTTTAACAAATATCACTTGTTAATAGTTTTCTTTTTAACAGGCCCCAGCAAATTAAATGCCAGGTGTGTCCCACAACTACCGTGACAACCAAAACTGCCCCTGCGGTGGAAGGAAGAAAAGAAACTTGAGAAGAAGCATTGCTATAGAACACTGCATGTTTACAAGGGCCCCAAGACTAAAATGAAAAAGGATAGGAAGAAAGGGAGGAAGAGGAGGGGGACAGAGAGGAAGTAGGAAGGGAGAGCGATAAAGGAAGGAAAGAAGATAAATTCTGTAAACAGCCCCACCCAGACTGGCATAGCACAACCTGGAATGGACTATTTAAGTCCCAAACATGATGTTAAGAGAATAATTCAGATTTCTAGGAATGCACTAAAGACAGCTATAGCAATTGCCTGGACAAGAGGAGGAGATGGGAGGTACTCACAGGACCAGACCATATCCTATAGTGAAGGAATGAGATTAATCCTGAAGAGAATGGATATCCCCATTGTTACTTATTCTGAGGGAGAAGTTAATTCTGGGACAGGAATGTGAGCTAGAAACCCAGGATTTTAGCCAAAAAGGGGAGAACGTCCCTTTTCTCTCTGAAGCTCCACAGTTTTGGGGGCCTAGCCTCCAGATGGAAGAGACAAACTAGAGAGTATCACACAGTGACATATCCACAACAGTGGTAGATAGAAACAATTCAGAAGAACACTTTTCAAGGATACCTTGAAAATGGGCCAGAACTTGGACCAAAGGGTACTGGGTGTAGACACAGTTACTGTTGTAAACCATTATCTGTATTGTCTTTTCTTTATCTTGCCTCTTTGTGGAAAGTCTGGTTAAAATGCTATTCTATGGAAAATTAGGGAAATAATCTGTGTCCTGACTGGGATAGAATAGTGACCTGGAGAACAGGATCCAAAGCAGCAGGGCAAGGCATCCAAAACAGAAAAACATAGTGGACCTTGATATAGTTTGGCTGTGTCCCCACCCAAATCTCATCTTGAATTCCCACGTGTTGTGGGAGGGACCAAGTGGGAGGTATTTGAATCATGGGGGCAGGTCTTTCCAGTGCTGTTCTCATGACAGTGAATAAGTCTAATGAGATCTGATGGTTTTAAAAAGGGGAGTTTCCCTGCACAAGTTCTTTTCTCTTGTCTGCCACCATGTGAGACATGCCTTATCTTCCACCATGATTGTGAGGCCTCCCAGCCATGTGGAACTGTAAGTCCAATAAACCTCTTTCTTTTGCAAATTGCCCAGTATTGGGTATGTCTTTATCAGCAGTGTGAAAGTGGACTAATAAAGTAAATTGGTACCAGTAGAGTGGCGCATTACTGAAAAGATACCCAAAAATGCGGAAGCGACTGGAACTGGGTAATAGGCAGAGGTTGGAACAGTTTGGAGGGCTCAGAAGAAGAAAGAAAAATAAGGGAAAGTTTGGAACTCCCTAGAAACTTGTTGAATGACTTTGACCAAAATGATGATAATGATATGGACAATGAAATCCAGTCTGAGGTGGTCTCAGATGGAGATAGGAACTGGAGAAAAGGTGGCTCTTGTTATGTTTTAGCAAAGAAACTGGAGGCATTTTGCCCCTTCCCTAAAGATGTGTGGAACTTTGAACTTGAGAGAGATGATTTAGGGTATCTGGCAGAAGAAATTTATTTATTTATTTATTTATTTTTTATTATACTTTAAGTTTTAGGGTACATGTGCACATTGTGCAGGTTAGTTACATATGTATACATGTGCCATGCTGGTGCGCTGCACCCACTAACTCGTCATCTAGCATTAGGTATATCTCCCGATGCTATCCCTCCCCCCTCCCCCCACCCCACAACTGTCCCCAGAGTGTGATGTTCCCCTTCCTGTGTCCATGTGATCTCGTTGTTCAATTCCCACCTATGAGTGAGAATATGCGGTGTTTGGTTTTTTGTTCTTGCGATAGTTTACTGAGAATGATGATTTCCAATTTCATCCATGTCCCTACAAAGGACATGAACTCATCATTTTTTATGGCTGCATAGTATTCCAAACTAGTTCAACCATTGTGGAAGTCAGTGTGGAGATTCCTCAGGGATCTAGAACTGGAAATACCATTTGACCCAGCCATCCCATTACTGGGTATATACCCAAAGGACTATAAATCATGCTGCTATAAAGACACATGCACACGTATGTTTATTGCAGCATTATTCACAATAGCAAAGACTTGGAACCAACCCAAATGTCCAACAATGATAGACTGGATTAAGAAATTTCTAAGCATCAAAGCTTTCAATATATGACTTGGGTACTGTTAAAGGCATTCAGTTTTAAAAGGGAAGCAAAGTAAAAAAGCTTGGAAAATTTTCAGCCTGACAATATGATAGAAAAGAAAATCCCATTTTCTGAGGAGAAATCCAAGCTGGCTGCAGAAATTTGCATAAATAATGAGGAGCCAAGTGTTAAGCCCCAAGACAATGGGGAATATGTCTCCAAGGCATACCAGAGGTCTCCACGGCAGCCCCTCCCATCACAGGCCCAGAGGCCTAGGGGGAAAGAATGGTTTCATGGGCTGGGCCCAGGGTCCCCGTGCTGTGTGCAGCCTAGGGACTTGGTGCCTTGTGTCCCAGCTGCTCCAGCTGTGGCTGAAAGGGGCCAATATAGAGGTCCGGCCATGGCTTCAGAGGGTGCAAGCCCCAAGCCTTGGCAGCTTCCACATGGTGTTGAGCCTGCAAGTGCAGAGAAGTCAAGAATTGAGGTTTGGGACCTGACAAAAACAAGCAATGGGGAAACGATTCCCTATTTAATAAATGTGTTGGGAAAACTGGCTAGCCATATGCAGAAAACTGAAACTGGACCTCGTCCTTACACCTTATACAAAAACTAACTCAAGATGGATTAAAGACTTAAATGTAAAGCCTAAAACCATAAAAATCCTAGAAAAAAACCTAGGCAATACCATTCAGGACATAGGCATGAGCAAAGACCTCATGACCAAAACACCAGAAGCCACTGGAACAAAAGCCAAAATTGATAAATTGATCTAATTAAACTAAAGAGCTTCTGCACAGCAAAAGAAACTATCTTCAGAGGGAACAGGCAACCTACAGAATAGGAGAACATTTTTGCAATCTATCCATCTGACAAAGGGCTAATATCCAGAATCTACAAGGAACTTAAAGAAATTTACAAGAAAAAAACAAACAACCCCATCAAAAAGTGGATGAAGGATATGAACAGACACTTCTCAAAAGAAGATATTTATGCAGCCAACAAACAAATGAAAAAAAGCTCATCATCACTGGTCATTAGAGAAATGCAAATCAAAACCACGATGAGATAACATCTCATGCCAGTTAGAGTGGCCATCATTAAAAAGTCAGGAAACAACAGATGCTGGAGAGCATGTGGAGAAATAGGAATGCTTTAACACTGTTGGTGGGAATGTAAATTTGTTCAACCATTGTGGAAGACAGTGTGGTGATTCCTCAAGGATCTAGAACCAGAAATACCACTTGACCCAGCAATCCCATTACTGGGTATATACCCAAAGGATTATAAGTCACTCTACTATAAAGACACATGCACACATATGTTTATTGCAGCGCTATTCACAATAGCAAAGACTTGGAACCAACCCAGATGCCCATCAATGATAGACTGGATAAAGAAAATGTGGCACATATACACCATGGAATACTATGTAGCCATAAAAAAAGAATGAGTTCATGTCCTTTGCAGGGACATGGATGAAGCTGGAAACCATCATTGTCAGCAAACTAACACAGGAACAGAAAACCAAATACCGCATGTTCTCACTCATAAGTGGGAGTTGAACAATGAAAATAGATGGACATAGGGAAGGGAACATCACATGCTGGTGCCTGTCGGGGGATGGGAGGAAAGGGGATGGAGAGCATTAAGACAAATACCTAACGCATGAGGGACTTAAAACCTAGATGACGGGTTGATAGGTGTAGCAAACCACCATGGCACATGTATACCTATGTAACAAACCCTCATGTTCTGCACATGTATCCCAGAACTTAAAGTAAAATTAAAAAAAAAAAAGAATTGAGGTTTGGGAACCTCTGCCTAGATTTCAGAAGATGTACGGAAATGCCTAGATGTCCACCAGGCAGAAGTTTGCTGCAGGGGCAGGGCTCTCATGGAGAACCTCTGCTAGGGCAGTGAAGAAGGGAAATGTGGGACTGGAGCCCCCACACAGAGTCCCTACTGGGACACCATGTAGTGAAGCTGTGAGAAGAGGGCCACCATCCTCCAGACCCCAGAATGGTAGATCCACCAACAGCTTGCACCATCCATGCACCTGGAAAAGCCACAGACACTCAATGCCAGACCATGAAAGAAGCCAGGAAGGAAGTGTACCCTGCAAAGCCACAGGGGCAGAGCTGCCCAAGACTATGGGAACCTACCTCTTGCATCACTGTGACCTGGATGCAAGACATGGAGTCAAAGGAGATCATTCTGGAGCTTTAAGATTTGACTGCCTTGCTGGCTTTCAGACTTGTGTGGGGCCTGTAGCCCCTTTGTTTTGGCCAATTTCTCCCATTTGGAATGGCTATATTTACCCAATGCCTGTACGCCCATTGTAGCTAGGGAGTAACTAACTTGCTTTTGATTTTACAGGCTCATAGGTAGAAGGCACTTGCCTTATCTCAGATGAGACTTTTGACTGTGGACTTTTGAGTTAATGCTAAAATGAGTTAAGACTTCCAGGGACTGTTGAGAAGGCATGACTGGTTTTGAAATGTGAGGACATGAGGTTTGAGAGGGGCCAGGGGTGAAATAATATGGTTTGACTGTGTCCCCACCCAAATCTCATCTTGAATTCCCACATATTGTGGGAGGGATTTGGTGAGAGGTAACTGAATCATGGGGACAGGTCTTTCCCATGCTATTCTCAGTGAATAAGTCTCATGAGATATGATGGTTTTAAAAAGGAAAGTTTCCCTGCACAAGTTCTCTTCTCTTATCTGCCACCATGTGAGACATGTCTTTCACCTTCCACCATGATTGTGAGGCCTCCCCAGCCATATGGAGCTGGAAGTACAATAAACCTTTCTTTTGTAAATTGCCCAGTTTCTGGTATGTCTTGATCAGCAGCATGAAAGCAGACTAATACAGACCTCTTCCTGAGCACAATTGAGAGAGCTCTTGGGATGACTCAGAAATAGCCAAGAAACACTTTAAAGGGCTAATTTCTGGCACTTGGACAATAGAAACTTGAGCTATTGGAATCTACAAATTTAAAAGAATATATAACCTTATTTTAGAAACCAGATGTTGAATCTCAGACATTTGAGTCACACATAGTTTTCAATAAATGGTAGCTATTTTTAATCATGTTAATGACTTGGATAATGGTATATAGTTCATATTGCATTTTACAAAAGCTCCACCTCAATTTTAGCAATGAACAGTGCAAGAACAAGAAGGGATCAAGTAATAATAAGGGGCCATGCAGGAATAAGACTAGGAGAACTGACCAAATGAGAAGAACTGACCAAATGATAGGGCTCAACCCCCAGGAGACCTTGAGAGCAGCTAATCAAAATGGCTTGGCACATAAGAGGACATAGAAACTTTTATTTAATTAGGAACAGTTACAATGTCTGAGAACCGTCTATCTAGTAGGACACTGTAGCAGGAATCCCTTCTCTGAACTGTTACTCTATGTTACGGTGTGATGATTCCCTATTTCAGGTGGTTCATCTGGAAACTGGCAAGAATTAGACAAGGAGTTAGAGCCCTAGCCAAGTGCACTGGCAGAAGCCTAGTTACATAGATTGAATAAACATTGAGAATTAGAACAGGGGCTGTGATTCAAAAGATATTTTAGCCCCATCAGATATGGGACTAAAATTACAGGTTCCATCTGAAAGACCAATCTGCCTGGAACTGGCTGGGCTGTATATTGCAAACATTAGTATCTACACAGGTGAAAAAGTTTGGGGCAGGTATTTTTTTTAAATGCAGATTTAGTTCTTCTCAAATAATACATGCAAATGCTTACAATGTTCTGAGTTGTAAGATCCCTTTTCATATACCCTTAAGAGCGGGTAACTTAATTGACTGTAGCTAATCAGCTGGATAAGCAGGACCTTTACTATAAGGTACTCTGGATATGAACGATCCTTGTTTGGGAATGCTACTCTTTTTACTAATACAAAAATAAGAGTTTAAGGTTTCATTATTAAAATCAATTCATGTTATCAAATATAGGTATATTAACAATTATCATGTGTAAACCAAGAATTTATGCCTCAGAAGTTATGCAACAGCAAATAAATATCAGAGATTTTCAGGTATCCCTAAAAAGGGCCTAATACCACTGATTCAAAAATAAGGAAAAACTAGACCATGATCTTTTCTAATTCTGATTGTTGATAATGAATTTAAATAAGTTACAACTTTTTTTTAATACTTTAAGTTCTAGGATACATGTGCAGAACATGCAGGTTTGTTACATAGGTATATACGTGCCATGGTGGTTTGCTGTACCCACCAACCCATTATCTACATTAGGTATTTCTCCTAATGCTCTCCCTCCCCTAGCCTCCACCCCTCAACAGGCCCCAGTGTGTGATGTTCCCCTCCCTGTGTCCATGTATTCTCATTGTTCAATTCCTACTTATGAGTGAGAACATGCGGTGTTCGGTTTTCTGTTCCTGTGTTAGTTTGCTGACAACGATGGTTTCCAGCTTCATCCATGTACCTGCAAAAAACATGAACCCATCCTTTTTTATGGCTGCATAGTATTCCATGGTGTGTATGTGCCACATTTTCTTTATCCAGTCTATCATTGATGGGCATTTGGGTTAGTTCCAAGTCTTTGCTATTGTGAATAGCGCTGCAATAAACATATGTGTGCATGTGTGTTTAGAGTAGAATGACTTATAATCCTTTAGGTATATACCCAGTAAAAGGATTGCTGGGTCAAATGGTATTTCTGGTTCTAGATCCTTGAGGAATCGCCACACTGTCTTCCACAATGGTTGAACTAATTTACACTCCCACCAACAGTGTAAAGGCATTCCTATTTCTCCACATCCACTCCAGCATCTGTTGTTTCCTGATTTTTTAATGATCGCCAGTCTAACTGGTATGAGACGGTATCTCATCATGGTTCTTATTTGTATTTCTCTAATGACCAGTGATGATGAGCTTTTTTTCACATGTTTGTTGGCCAATAAATATCTTCTTTTGAGAAGTATCTGTTCATATCCTTTGCCCACTTTTTGATGGGGTTGTTTTTTTCTTGTAAATTTCTTTAAGTTCCTTGTAGATTCTGGATATTAGCCCTTTGTCAGATGGATAGATTGCAAAAATGTTCTCCTATTCTGTAGGTTGCCTCTTCCCTCTGAAGATAGTTTCTTTTGCTGTGCAGAAGCTCTTTGGTTTAATTAGGTCTCATTTGTCTATTTTGGCTTCTGTTGCCATTGCTTTTGGAGTTTTAGTCACGAAGACTTTGCTCATGCCTATGTCCTGAATGGTATTGCCTAGGTTTTTTTCTAGGGTTTTTATGGTTTTCAGTTTTATATTTAAGCCTTTAATCCATCTTGAGTTAGTTTTTGTATAAGATGTAAGGACAAGGTCCAGTTTCAGTTTTCTGCATATAGCTAGCCAGTTTTCCCAACACCATTTATTAAATAGGGAATCCTTTCCCCATTGCTTGTTTTTGTCGGGTTTGTCAATGATCAGATGGTTGTAGATTTGTGGCATTATTTCTGAGGCCTCTGTTCTGTTCCATTGGTCTATATATCTGTTTTGGTACCAGTACCACGTTGCTTTGGTTACTGTAGCCTTGTAGTATAGTTTGAAGTCGGGTAGCATGATGCCTCCAGCTTTGTTCTTTTTGCTTAGGATTGTCTAGGCTATACGGGCTCTTTTTTGGTTCCATATGAAATTTAAAGTAGTTTTTTCTAATTCTATGAAGAAAGTCAGTGGTAGCTTGATGGGGATAGCATTAAATCTATAAATTACTTTGGGCAGTATGGCCATTTTCACAATATTCATTCTTCCAACCCACGAGCACAGAATGTTTTTCCATTTGTTTCTGTCCTCTTTTATTTCCTTGAGCAATGGTTTATAGTTCTCCTTGAAGAGGTCCTCACACATCCCTTGTAAGTTGTATTCCTAGATATTTCATTCAATTTGTAGCAATTGTAAAAGGGAGTTCACTCATGATTTGGCTTTCTGTCTGTTATTGGTGTATAGAAATGCTTGTGATTTTTGCACATTAATTTTGCATCCTGAGACTTTGCTGAAGTTGCTTATCAGCTTAAGGAGATTTGGAGCTGAGAAAATGGGGTTTTCTAAATATTCAATCATGCCATCTGTAAACAGAGACAATTTGACTTCCTCTTTTCCTATTTGAATACAATTTATTTCTCCTCTTGCCTGATTGCCCTGGTCAGAACACCCAATACTATGTTGAGTAGTGGTGAGAGAGGGCATTCTTGTCTTGTGCCAGTTTTCAAAGGAAATGCTTCCAGCTTTTGCCCATTCAGAATGATACTGACTGTGGGTTTATCATAAATTTACAATTTTGAGATACGTTCCATCAATACCTAGTTTACTGAAGGTTTTTAGCATGAAGGGGTGTTAAATTTTATCGAAGGCCTTTTCTGCATCTGTTGAGATAATCAAGTGGTTTTTGTAGTTGGTTCTGTTTATGGGATGGATTACATTTATTGATTTGCATATGTTGAACGAGCCTTGCATCCCAGGGATGAAGCCCACTTGATTGTGGTAGATAAGCTTTTTGATGTGCTGCTGGATTTGGTTTGCATTTTATTGAGGGTTTTCGCATCGATGTTCATCAGGGATGTTGGCCTGAAATTTTCTTTTTTTGTTGTATCTCTGCCAGGTTTAGGTATCAGGATGATGCTGGCCTCATAAAATGAGTTAGGGAGGAGTGCCTCTTTGTCTATTGTTTGGAATAGTTTCAGAAGGAATGGTACCAGCTCCTCTTTGTACCTCTGGTAGAATTCGGCTGTGAAGACATCTGGTCCTGGGCTTTTTTTGGTTGGTAGGCTATTAATTACTGCCTCAATTTCAGAACTTGTTATTGGTCTATTCAGGGATTCAACTTCTTCCTGGTTTAGTCTTGGGAGGGTGTATGTGTCCAGGAATTTATCCATTTCTTCTAGATTTTCTAGTTTATTTGCATAGAGGTGTTTACAGTATTCTCTGATGGTAGTTTGTATTTCTGTGGGATCAGTGGTGATAACCCCTTTATAATTTTTTATTTTTTCTATTTCATTCTTCTCTCTGTTCTTCTTTATTAGTCTGGCTAGTGGTCTATTTTGTTAATCTTTAAAAAAAAACAGTTCCTGGATTCATTGATTTTTGGAAGGGTTTTTTGTGTCTCTATCTCCTTCAGTTCTTCTCTGATCTTAGTTATTTCTTGTCTTCTGCTAGCTTTTGAATTTGTTTGCTCTTGCTTCTCTAGTTCTTTTAATTGTGATGTTAGGGTATCAATTTTAGGTCTTTCCTGCTTTCTTTTGTGGGCCTTTAGTGCTATAAATTTCCCTCTAACCACTGCTTTGAATGTGTCCCAGAGATTCTGGTACTTTGTGTCTTTGTTCTTATTGGTTTCAAAGAACTTATTGATTTCTGCCTTAATTTTGTTATTTACCCAGTAGTCATTCAGGAGCAGGTTGTTCAGTTTCCATGTAGTTGAGCGGTTTTGAGTGAGTTTCTTAATCCTGAGTTCTAATTTGATTGCACTGTGGTCTGAGAGACTGTTTGTTATGATTTCCATTCTTTTGCATTTGCTGAGGAGTGCTTTACTTCCAATTTTGTGGTCAACTTTAGAATAAGTGCTATGTGGTGCTGAGAAGAATGTATATTCTGTTGATTTGGGGTGGAGAGTTCTGCAGATGTCTATTAGGTCCACTTGGTCCAGAGCTGAGTTCAAGTCCTGAATATCCTTGTTAATTTTCTGTCTCGTTGATCTGTGTAATATTGACAGTGGGGTGTTAGAGTCTCACAGTATTATTGTGTGGAAATCTAAGTCTCTTTGTAGGTCTCTAAGAACTTGCTTTATGAATCTAGGTGCTCCTGTGTTGTTTGCATATACATTCGGAATAGTTAGCTCTTCTTGTTGCATTGATCCCTTCACCATTATGTAATGCCCTTCTTTGTCTTTTTCGTATTTTTATTGGTTTAAAGTCTGTTTTATCAGAGACTAGGATTGCAACCCCTGCTTTTTTTTTTTTTTTTTTTTTTTGCTGTCCAATTGCTTGGTAAATATTCCTCCATCCCTTTATTTTGAGCCTATGTGTGTCTTTGCACGTGAAATGGGTCTCCTGAATGTATTCAGGTGTATTCACACTGATTGGTCTTGACTGTTTATCCAATTTGCCAGTCTATGAGGCTATTGAGTCTATTGAGTCCAATTGCCAGTTAATTGAGGCGTTTAGCCCATTTACATTTAAGGTTAATATTGTTATGTGTGAATTTGATTCTGTCATTATGATGCTAGCTGGTTATTTTGCCTGTTACTGATGCAGTTTCTTCATAATGTCGATGGCCTTTACTATTTGGTATGTTTTTACAGTAGCTGGTACCAGTTGTTCCTTTCCATATTTAGTGCTTCCTTCAGGAGCTCTTGTTACGCAGCCCTGGTGGTGACAAAATCTCTCAGCATTTGCTTGTCTGTAAAGGATTTTATTTCTCCTTCGCTTATGAAGCTTAGGTTGGCTAGATATGAAATTCTGAGTTGAAAATTCTTTTCTTTAAGAATGTTAGCTGGGCATGGTGGCTCATGCCTGTAATCCCAGCACTTTGAGAGGCTGAAGTGGGCAGATCACCTGAGGTCGGGAGTTCAAGACCAGCCTCAACAACATGGTGAAACCCTGTCTCTACTAAAAATACAAAAATTAGCCGTGTGTAGTGGCCAGCACCTGTAGTCCCAGCTACACGGGAGGCTGAGGCAGGAGAATTGCTTGAATCTGGGAGGCGGAGGTTGCAGTGAGCCGAGATCATGCCACTGCAATCCAGCCTGGGTCACAGAGTGAGACTCCGTCTCAGAAAAAAAAATGTTGAATATTGGCCCCCACTCTTCTGGCTTGAAAGGTTTCTGCAGAGAGATCTACTGTTAGTCTGATGGGCTTCCCTTTGTGGGTAACCCAACCTTTCTCTCAGGCTGCCCTTAATTTCTTTTCTTTCATTTCAACCTTGGTAAATCTGATGACTGTGTATTATGTGTCTTAGGGTTGCTCTTCTCAAGGAGTATCTCTGTGGTGTTCTCTGTATTTCCTCAATTTGAATGTTGGCCTGTCTTGCTAGGCTGGGGAAGTTCTTCTGGATAATATCCTGAAGAGTGTTTTCCAGCTTGGTTCCATTCTCTCCATCAGTTTCAGGTACACCAATCAAACTTAGGTTTGGTCTTTTCACATGGTCCCATATTTCTGGAGGCTTTGTTCATTCCTTTTCATTTTTTTTTCTTTAATCTTGTCTTCACGCTTTATTTCATTAAGTTGATCTTCAATCTCTGATATCCTTTCTTCCACTTGATTGATTTGGCTATTGATACTTACGTATGCTTCACAACGTTCTCGTGCTGTGTTTTTCAGCTCCATCAGGTCATTTATGTTCTTCTCTAAACTGCTTATTCTAGTTAGCAATTCCTCTAACCTTTTTTCAATGTTCTTAGCTTCCTTGCATTTGGTTAGAACATGCTCCTTTAGCTTGAAGGAGTTTGCTATTACCCACCTTCTGAAGCCTACTTCTGTCAATTCATGAAACCCATTCTCCATCAAGTTTTGTTCTTTTGCTGGCGAGGAGTTGTGATCCTTTGGAGGAGAAGAGGCCTTCTGGTTTTTGGAATTTTCAGCCTTTTTGTGCTGGTTTTCCTCATCTTCATGGATTTATCTACCTTTGGCCTTTGATGCTGGTGACCTTCAGATGGGGTTTTTGTGTGGATGTCCTTTTTGTTGATGTTGATGCTATTCCTTTCTGTTTCTTAGTTTTCCTTTTAACAGTCAGGACCCTCTGCTGCAGGTCTGCTGGAGTTTGCTGGAGGTCCACTCCAGACTCTGCTTGCCTGGGTATCACCAGCGGAGGTTCAGTTGGAAATGCAGAAATCACCCACCTTCTATGTTGGTCTTGCCGGGAGCTGCAGACTGGAGCAGTTCCTATTCAGCCATCTTGCCAGCCATGGTAAGTTAAAACTTTTAACAATCTCAATGGTTCCCCTTGTTCATATACAAAATCAGTATTTTATCTCAGATACTAGTGCAAACACTAAGAACCAAATTTTTAGAATTCAGCATTAGGGTTTACATCTAGCAGAATTTCACAGGATCTCTGACTATTAGTTTGGGAATAGTTCAGAGAAAGGCTGATAGGGAAGGTGAGAGACAGATCAAAGGGGTTAGGAGAGGATTGTTTCAGTAGTACTAGGCCAGCTCTAGTTTTTGTTCCCCTTTTTCTATAGAAGGTGAGGCAAAGCATGAATCATATGTCATGAAGTTTTTGCTATCCTCCTTGCTCTCCTTGAATTTTAACAGATATCTAAAGGCAATCAAATATACAAACAATTCACAGCTACCAATCTCAAAGAGAGAAAACAATATAAAGATGATATCCCAAAAGAAACTGTCAAGGCTGAAGAGGTTTAATTAGAAAGTAGCTTGGGACTGTATTGATATTTTCTCTCTTCCTTTACAAAGTGGAAACAAATCACGGCAAAGACATATAATTATGTATCAGAAGCACTAACGCCTCCAGAAATGCTATCTGAAAGAAATTTGAAAGCAGTAATTAATGCCTATACCACACAAAAAGTGTTTTATATCAACTCTTATCCCTTATAGAACACCTACAAAAGACCTTTTAAATGACTGCATGGTTTCATAAATTAAGCTTATATTTTCAGATTTCCAATATTAAATATTCATTAAATAAGTGAACATATTTGCTCAAATATTTTAAATGTTGATGAAATAGATTAAAATCCCTTCTATGGATTTCTTATGATAAAGAAACACTCTATAACACAGAGTTTTACTTGAGGAAGAGGACGTAAAATGGAGAATAACAATTATATCTTTCAGCTCTTTTTTTTTTTTTTTTTTTGAGACAGAGTCTCACTCTGTCGCCCAGGTTGCAGTCCAGTGGCGTAATCTTGGCTCACCACAACTTCTGCCTCCTGGGTTCAAGCAATTTTCCTGCTTTGGCCTCCCAAGTAGCTGGGACTACAGACACGCGCCACCACACCTGGCTAATTTTTGTATTTTTAGTTGAGATGGGGTTTTGCCATATTGGCCAGGCTGGTCTTGAACTCCTGACCTCAGGTGATCTGTCCCACTTGGCCTCCCAAAGTGCTGGGATTATAGGCATGAGCCACGGCACCTGGCCTCTTTTTTTTTTTTTTTCTTTTTGAGACAGGGTCTCATTCTGTTGCTGAGGCTGGAGTGCAGTGATGCAATCGTGGCTCACTGCAGGCTGGACCTCCTGGGTCCAAGTGATCCTCCCATCTCTGCCTCCCAAGTAGTGGAACTACAGGCGCAAGCCACCACATCTAGCTAGTTTTTGTATTTTTAGTAGAGACTTTGGGGTTTCACCACATTGCCTAAGCTGGTTTCAAACTCCTGAGCTCAAGCAATCTGCCTGCCTCAGCCTCCCAAAGCACTGGGATTACACGCATAAGCCACCATGCCCGGCATCTTTCAATTCTTTGATAAACAATTTAATCCCACAAGACCCATGATCCTAAATCGTAGCTTCATTGTGAATAAATGCTTTTTGGTCCACTTTCAAAACATAAAGTATCCTCTGTATCAGATGCTTCTGATGCCCTGCCCACACCTGCTTAGCCTCACTTCTGATTCCAGTCACGACTGTGAAGGATAGTTCCTAGCAGACCACAATTCTCTCATGCAGTCAGTGTCATACCCCACGTCTTTCTCGGTATGCTATGGGGCTTCTCCAAAGCCAGAAATGACACAGGGAGCCTACTAAGTATATGCATATCCATCGAAGTTCAGAGGAGTTAGTGCCCAAGATTAACCCACAACCAATGGGGACGAGGAGCTGGCAAACAATTGCTCCTTCCAGTAGACCTTTAGGTAGAGAACTCTAACGGACATTCAACACAATTCTCAAACAGTTCTGAGTAGCATGATGCCCCAGCTGGGCTCAGCAGTGACCCTGATAATGCAAGCTTATCCTACATTATTCTTTCCACTTTTTCTTCTGCCCAGTCCCTCACCCCTGCTCCCTGGTGTTACCACCCAGATGAACTACCTAGAGTTGTTCTCTCTGGCTCTTGCTTTTAAGGAGAATCCAAGCTAAGACTGTTTATACCAGGAGTGGGCCTAGAAAACAGATCCTTAGGATGATACTGTTGAACTGGATCATTCACAAGCTAGATGGAAATGAGGGTCTATTTTTGGTGATAATCCCTGGTATATGGTATCTCTCTAGAGTGGATTAGATGGGGTACAGGTAGAAGAGCTTATTGTGAACATCAATTCCCAATTTCGCATTCAGTTACATCATGCAGATAATTTGAAAGCAGCCGGGTGACAGTATTTACACCACAGAAATGGCAAGCACTACAATTTCGGGTTTCCCCACCCCAAGTGTTCCATAGAACACTGGCTTCTCCAAAGCCACAGATGATACAGGGAGCCCACATGTGCATATCCACAGAAGTTCAGAGGAGTTAGTGCCCAAGATTAACCCACAACCAATGGGGGCAAGGAGCTGATAAACAATTGCCAGCTCTTATGCAGAATTTCAGCCAGCGTTCCAGTTTTCAGCTTCCCTCTTCACATAATCCTATTTTTTAGAAGTACCTAGTATATTTTCCAAGTTTTACGGCCCGAATCACTAAATCCAAAGCTATTCCTGGTGCTGTGGCATAAATTTGCTGCCTTCATTGTAGGATCAGTCCTTATCCAAGTGCAGGAAGCCTATTTGTAATAATTAGAGGCTTAGGAAAGTTTCCAAATACATATTTATACAACAACTTGCCAGTGCTCACGTAAGAATTTCATATACCAAAACCTTAAACCTTACTTCCTATTACACAAATTCTTATTACATTTTATTACACAAAAATATTCTTGTTAAAATTTTTATAATTTATAAAATTATATCTATTTATTCTCCCACTATAATTTATTATCAACTTTTTACTTTCTCAGGGTATACACTATTTGATAAAACAACGGATTCGTAGTTCTCCATGAGTCACTTAACTATACATCCATCCACTTATATATAGTATTAATTTATTAATTTACCTTTTTTTTTTTTTTGAGACGGGAGTCTCGCTCTGTTGCCCAGGCTGGCGTGCAGCGGCACGATCTCGGCTCACTGCAAGCTCCATCTCCCAGGGTCAGGCCATTCTCCTGCCTCAGCCTCCCAAGTAGCTGGGACAACAGGCACCCGCCACCACGCCCAGCTAATTTTTTTGTATTTTTTAGTAGAGACAGGGTTTCACATGTTAGCCAGGATGGTCTCGATCTCCTGACCTCGTGATTCGCCCACCTCGGCCTCCCAAACTGGTGGGATTAAAGGGGTGAGCCACTGCGCCCGGCCTTATTGTACTTTTATATAGTAAGATCTGCCTGTCAAATATGCTCTAAGAACAAGACACTTTTATTTCTCCCAGTGTTATCATTTGTCACATATCAGAGTCCCCTACCTAAATCCAGAACAAACACAGTCATAATTATTATCTTAACAGAGCCAAGATAACCAAGGGAGGGAAAAAATAAAGAGATAGGGATAGAGAGAAAAAGAGATGAGAGTCAGGGGGATGGTCTAAGGAGAAGAGCTTATGCCAAAACCTATGTTCTAAATGTTAGAGGTTGGTTCTAGAAAAGGCAAAAGGCTTAAGAAGATTCCACCCTGCCCCATGGCACCCCTTATTCGCCAAAATCTTGATTTTTTTAAGTCTTATTGTAAATACGTAAGGTGTACCTTCCTCAACAGTGACTAGAATGTCATATATATAATATATATAATTATATATTGTACATAATATATAATTATATAATTATTTTTAGTATATGTATATATAATATATATGTAATATATACTATATACTATATATTATATATTATATATCTAAATCCACATATTTATAAATGGAATTCTATTATATACAATTATTAATATAAAAAATAAATATATTTAAATTATATATTATAATATATAATTATATAAGATTATATATTATTATATTAGATAATATATATTATATTATATATTATAATATATAATCTTATATAATAATATATATTATTATAATATATAATATATCATATATTATACATAATACATCATACATTATATATTATATATTATATATAATATTGTATTACATATTATATATATTATATTACATATTATATATGATATTATCTTACATATTATATATATTATCTTACATATTATATATAATATATGATATATATGATATAATATATGATATTATATATGAAATTATATATATTATATATTATATCATATATAATATTATATATTATATCATATATAATATATAATATTATATATGATATATGATATAATATTATATATTATATCATATACAATATATAATATATTATATATTATATTATATTATATATATTATTATATATTACATATTATATAATATAATATATATTACATATTATATAATATGTAATATTATATTACATATTATATAATATATAATATATATTATATTATATATAATATATACTATAATATATTATATATTATATTAATTATATAATATATGATGTATTATATATAATATATATCATATATCATATATCATAATATACAATATATTATATATGATATATCATAGAATATGACACATATATCATATATAAATATATATGATATTATATACATCATATATTATAGATATCTATGTATCATATATAATATATAGTATAATTATACATTATATATAATTATATATTATATATAATGATACATCATATATGATACATTATATACATATGATATAAATTATATCATATATCATATATATTATATATTATATAATTATATATATAATATACGATACATATATAATTATATATAATATATGATACATATATGATATAATTATATATAATATATGATACATATATGATATAATTATATATAATATATGATACATATATGATATAATTATATATAATATATGATACATATATGATATAATTATATAATATATGATACATATATTATATAATTATATATAATATATGATACATATATTATATATATTATGTGTATATATACCTATATGTATATATGTATATTACATATTATATACTACATATAAATATATAATATATGTAAACTGTACCTTCCTCAACAGTGACTAGAATTTTATATATATTATATATGATATATTATATATTTATATATTATTGTATATTATATATATCATATACATATATGTATATATGTATGTTACGTATTATAATTATATAATATGATACGTAAGCTGTAACTTCAAGTGACTAGAATTTTCTATATATTATATATCATATATATCATATATTATATATTTATATATTATATTAAACATAATATATCATATATAACATATCATATATTATGTAACATATTATATATAATAGATCATATATAATATATAATATGTAGCATAATATATGATATATATCATATATCATATATTATATATGCAATATATGGTCTATTATATATTATATATTATTATATTATATATGATATATAATATAATATATAAATATATAATATATAATAGATCATAGATAATATATATAAAACTAGTCACTGTTGAGGAAGTCATAGCTTACTTATATTATATATTATATATAATATATAATATGTAAAATACATATATACACATATGTATTATATATCATATATTATATTACATATAATATAGTATATATCATATATTATATTATGTATAATATAGTATATATCACATATTATATTATGTATAATATATTATGTATATTATATATTACATATTATATTATGTAGAATATAGTATGTATAATATATAATAGATGACACATAATACATATATGTATACATGTATATTATGTATTATATATCATATATTATATATGATATATAATTATAATTATATATAATTATATGTATATTACATATTATATATTATATAATATGTAATATACATACATATACATAGGTGTATATATAACACATATATGTATATATATTATACTTTAGAGTTTCTAAGAATATAAGCTGGGCCCAGTGGCTCACACCTGTAATCCTAGCACTTTGGGAGGCCAAGGCAGGAGGATCACTTGATGTCAGGAGTTCAAGACCAGCCTGGCCAACATGGTGAAACCCCATCTCCACAAAAATACAAAAATTAGCCAGGCATGATGGTGGGTACCTGTAATCACAGCTACTTGTGAGGCTGCGGCAGGAGAATCGCTTGAACCTGGGAGGTGGAGGTTATATATATATACATAATATATACTATATGTATGTATATATGTATATGTGTATATATATTATAGAGATATACATATTTTTTCTTTTTTGAGACAGAGTCTCGCTCTGTTGCCCAGCTGGAGTGCAATGGCACAATCTCAGCTCACTGCAACCTCCACCTCCAGGTTCAAGCGATTCCAGGTGATGTCAATGCTGCTGGTCTGGGAACCCCACTGTGAGAACCACTGGTCTAAATAATTACACTTAATTATTATGTATATGCATGTATTTGTATACCTACATTTCATTAACATATGTAATTAATTTTTCATTGTTTTATTATGTTCTAATTAATATATTATCTGTAATTATTAATAATCACAGCTGTGTGCTAATTTATGAAGCTCCATAGTTAGCTAGATTTGTTAGGTCGGACTGACTGCTATGTGGTACTTACTTACACACTGAAACAAAAATGAAAAATAGGCCATCTGTATATTTGATTAATAGAATAGGACAACAAATCTGGCTTCACTACTCACTACAGCTAACCAAAGCTGCCAAGAATTGGTTTTCTAGAGGAAATGATGCCTCCTTTAAAGCTTCCATATTAATTTCTAAATCTCAGTTACAAAGTAAATGAAAAATGGTTAGTAAGTAAAGCAGGAATTTGAAGGCAGTCTAATTTTTTAAATTACACTTTTAATTTTTAAAATATTTAAATATTAAATGTTAAGAAGAGTTTTGAAGGGAAAAATACTTTAAAATGTTTAAAAGCAGACTCTGGCCCTTTTCCTATTCCCTTTTCTTATTGTTCCCTAAAAGGTACCAGAATTATTCTCCATGTAATTCCACCCACTTTAAGCCTGTTCATAGGAGAATCTCCAACACAGAATGACAATGATAATCATCCAATGGCATGTGACAAATGGCAGCATAATCAGCTGCTGAAAGAAAGAAACATTTATAGATCTATTAACTTATTTGTTAAATGAACCATTTCTTGATGAGATTTTTCCTACTCTCTAACCTGCATTTTCAAAGTTCTGTACCATTACATTTCTAAACATCCCAAAACAAAAACAATAAAGACAATGTTAATCTAATTTTTAAAACAAAAATTGTCCTAATTTAATTTCTATATTGCTAAATTCAAAGAACACAATAGGCAGGAAGGACATTAATAAACTTTTGTGATTTTCTGATAAGAAAAGTATAAACTATCTACAAAGTTGTTCATTTTTAAGGAATTGCATGGTCAGAATATAATAAATTGGTTATTTCCAGAGTTACTAATATATAAAGACCAAATTTTGAAGCAAAGATAAAAGTTTATGTTCTATGAAAAGAATCAGTATCAAGTTTTCACAATTTACAGTGATTAAAACATTTTAGAACTAGATAGAGGAGGTAGTTGTACAAGGTTATAAATGTACTAAATGCCGCTGAAATGTCCACTTTAAAATAATTAATTTTATGGTTAATCGTTATGTCCATTTCACCTCAATTTTTTAAAATATGTAAAAATAAAAAATAATGGCAAGAAAACTTTCACAACTTTCAAAACTTTCAAGTCATTTTGAGATTCTTGCTCCTAACACTGTACAAAAGAAAAAAATGTAAGAGGAAAATGTTAGAGTTCTTATGTATAAACCAAAAAATAAATAATCCTGAATGCTAATCCTAGAAAAGTATTTCATTTGGTGTTCCCCACCCACCAGGATCTTCATTTACACTCCCTTCTCTTGTGGAGGGACAATCTCAGTCTAACTTCATACATGTTCTTTTAGAGTCTAAGGAAAATCTTAGAAATTTCTAAGTAAAACTTTACACATACTCGAGCTAAAAAGCAGAGAGGTAAACAGATTACTTTTAACTAGATCAGATTCAGATGGCTTCCATCTTTCCAAATAAATACAAAATTTAGCCCTCATTGGACCTTTCCTTGGGCATTTTTTTTTTAAGAATGTTAAGATTTGTGGTGAAATTTTTGTTAACCCTACCATTTTTTTAGCCAGTCACACTATCAAACACATCCAAGAATAAAGACATTTTCAGATGTGCAAAGTTTAAAAATAATTTTTGCCTCTCCTGTGCCCTTTCTGAGGAAGCTGCTGGGGTACACGCTTCTCTAAACTAAGAAAGTAAACCATGAAAGAGGAAGACATGATCCAAGAAAGAATAGAAGACATTACGGAAGAGAACTGAAGGGAGATCCCAGGATGACAGGTGAGCAGTAGGCTTAAGATTGGAGCAGAAGGATAGAGGCTCTAAGAAGGGATATCTAAATGAATAAAAGAAAGGAAGAGAGAGAGGGAGAAAGAAAAAGATAAAGGAGGGAGAGAGGAAGAAAAACTTAACAGATAATCTGATATTTAAATATAATGAGAGATTTATAATTCTTTCAGACAATTTGGTGATGAATTAGTGATAATCAAATAGAAAACTAAGCAGACAAAAGGGAACAGTATAATCATTAATCCCTGGGAAAAAGAGAAGTTCTAGTAGAAAGGAAATTTAATTATAGCACAATATGTGGCTTGGCTGTGAAAAATACATACTCATAATATTTAATAATATAAACATTGAATATTGATTTAACCAAATATTATCACATACTTTAAAAGATATGGGAAAGGAACAATGTATAAAAAAGCTGACAGCTTACATTTCATACTAGCAAGTCAAGAGATAAAATCCAAAACTAAAAACTCAAGAAATAGTTGTATAAAAATATTATTTAGAAAAATAGAAGTAAATACCAGAATAAGCAATTAAGAGTTAAAGGTGGTTATTATATCCAGAATGAGACATGAAGTTGGAAAGCATGGTGTAGGAAATGCTGTTTTTTCATTAAGTCTTATGATAGCCAGATGTGGTGGCTCACACCTCTAATCCCAGCACTTTGGGAGACTGAGGCAGAAGGATCACCTGAGGTCAGGAGCTCGTGACCAGCCTGGCAAATAGGGTGACACCCTGTCTCTACTAAAAATACAAAAATTAGCCAGGGGCTGAGGCAGCAGAATCGGTTGAACCTGGGAAGCGGAGGTTGCAGTGAGCCGAGATCGCACCACTGCACTCCAGCCTGGGTGACAGAGCAAGACTCTGTCTCCAAAAACAAAACAAAAAAGTCTTAAGATATTTTGCTTTTAGGCCGGGCGCGGTGGCTTACACCTGTAATCCCAGCACTTTGGGAGGCCGAGGCAGGCGGATCATGAGGTCAGGAGATCGAGACCATCCTGGCTAACACGGTGAAACCCCGTCTCTACTAAAAATACAAAAAGTTAGCCAGTCGTGGTGGTGGGCGCCTGTAGTCCCAGCTACTCGGGAGGCTGAGGCAGGAAAATGGCGTGAACCCGGGAGGTGGAGCTTGCAGTGAGCCGCGATTATGCCACTGCACTCCCGCCTGGGCAACGTGCAAGACTCCGTCTCAAAAAAAAAAAAAAAAGATATTTTGCTTTTAAACAATGGTTCACATCATTAGTTTTTGTTGTTGTTGTTGTTTTGTTTTCTTTTTTAGTAGCTGGGATTACAGGTACCCGCCACCAAGCCCGGCTAATTTTTTTTGTTTTTGTTTTTGTTTTTGTAGTTTTAGTAGAGACGGGGTTTCAGTGTGTTGACCAGGCTGGTCTCGAACACCTAACCTTATGATCCACCCACCTCGGCCTCCCAAAGTGCTGAGATTACAGGCGTGAGCCATCATGCCTGGCCCATCTTTTTTTTTTTTAAGCTTAATTGAAAAATAATAAGACTTGTTATCAATTGTTGAACTTGAGTTTTTTTATTTGTCTAAATTTAAGGGGCACAAGTGCAGCTTGGTTACATGGATATATTGCATAATGGTGAGGTCGGGCCTTTTAGTGTGTGAACTTGTATTTTTCAAATCAAACAAGAGTACTATGGTATATAAAACAATTTAAATTGTGCTTAAATTAAAACATGTTTATGCATATATAGATATGTATTCAGTTAAAATCTTATTTGGGCATCTGAATAGGACATAGTCTTATGAAAAAAGTATCATAAAAATCTCAAAAATCATAATGTTTACAACCATTGTTGACTTTATCTTCTTGATAAGTAAAAACCTGTTACTAATTTCACCCAAGTTGAGAAGCCACTCGTGGTCTAAGCAGTTCTGATTCTTGACATAACTTTCTAATTAAAAATGCATTCTGTCTTAGGACAAAAACATAACCCTTCATTTCAGAGCTCATCAGTAATAGAATGGCCTTAAATCTCACTACATATTTAGTTGAATAATGAGCCAACAACACAAAAATGGGCAGCAGTTTTAAAATCAAGATATTCTTCTAATAGGGTATGAAATTAGATAAAATGTCTTCTAACTTATTATTTCTCTCACAACATTAGTTTCTCATTATTTTTTCATTTGTCCATGTAAGCCTATAAAAAAACTCAGTATCAACACAGTGTAATATAACCAAAGAAAATATTTAAAATTAGGTTAAAGATGGCAAATTGAACGTAGCCTTCTCCCTCTTTCTCTCACTCACGCACACACACACACACACACACACACATTCTCTCTCTCAAGACTCCGTTAAAAGTGTAGAATTGAGCAAAGAAGTCAAGCTCCAAAATACAGAGCAAACACACCAAGGTATGTAACAGCGTTTATGGGGAAAATCCACACAGATGTGAATAGTAGCAGCTGCACATTCCAACACCCCACTACATAATGAAAAATGTAAATATTTTATCTATGTCAAATAAGTACATGGTCAAAATCAAATTATGTGCAAGGATTATAATGAGTTAACCAGGTACCTTTATTACACACCTAAACATTTAAATTTTTAATTAAAAATTAATATTTAAAGCTAAGTTTTAGAAAAGCTGAGATTAAAAAATGAAATGACCCACATAAATTTTCTTTGAAAAGTTGCTACTATTCTTCCAGTTCATAAGGTTTGGTTTTGCCCAAAAGGGTTCCAAAGTCAGATCATGACAAATCTATTTGAATGCGTTAAAGGTATTTCAGACATAATACATCTAAAATGGAATTCTGGGTTCCTCAACCTACTCTACATCCGTAGATCATACCCATCTTCCACCAAGGGACCTTTATTCAAGATTTAGGAAGGAGGCTTGTCTCTGCTTGGAGAACAGCCACAAAAAGGACTGCTGGTGGTATGCAAGCTATCCTATTGCTTAAAGCAAATCACTTCTGGCCCTAAATTATACTCACCACTTAGCTGGATTCACCATCCTTAGAAAATAGTTTAGCAACATCTTTCATTACTGGAGCATGTTCCCTTGGAAATGTCACTTACCTTTCCGACAAATACTCACTCCACTACAAGTGTCACTCCTTCCTACCATATTTACCTCTCTTCCTGCCAGGTATTCTAGAAAACACAACTTAACCCTATTACATTGCCACTCATGCTTTAATAACTCTTGTAAGGGTATATTCTGGGCAGCTACCTGGCAGTCAGACCCTAAATTTGGCTGTGGCTTTAAGAGATTAAAAAATAGCAAAAGATGCCACAGTCCCTATCCTTCAGAAATTTATAGTTTCCCTTTCCATGAAAAGGTTCACTTGAGCCCTTTAGAGGGAGACAAATTTTCACAAAATACTTAAATTTTCCACCAGGGAATTTATTTTAAAGCCTCATAACAACCACGCTGGATTTTTAAATTTATATCTAGCCTAAATTTTTATAGGTAGAGTTTAAGTTCCTTCTATCTACTATGTAATACCCACTTATAGACATAAGACCTTATTAAATAGCCTTCCTCTTTTCTCTTTTCCTGGCCAGTCAACAAAATTACCATAACTTCTGTTCAAATATTAACCCTACATGTTAATTAATTCAAATTAACTTTTTAAATATAAAGCCAAGAACTCTGTGAAGATAAAGCTCCTGACTGTGGTCAGAATCAGTGTGCAGATAAGACTAAAAAATCAACAATTATATGTTCTGAATCTGGAGTTCAGAGTTGAAGAATCTACTATTTTTGAGAATTCAAGTCAAATATATAAAAATTTATTCAGTGACTACCAGGCAAGGCTCCAGTAGGGTGAATAAAAATAAATATAAGACTCAAAGATATATATGATCCTGGGGAAAGGAATAATCTAGCAGAGGAGAATAACATGAAAGATTGTACCTATTATACAGAAATAATTAACATGAGTTAAATCATTAGTCAAAATAAGAAGATACTATCTCTTGCTTATTGACCAAGATTTGAAAGAATGATAAAAGTGTAGACATAAGGAAGTCAAAGCTCTAGAGAAGCAGATACTAGGATAATTCCTGGTATGAATATGAACTGGGAAAACATTTCTGGAGGGCAATTTGGCACTAAAATCCTTTTAAAAGTACATACTTTGACCAAAAATAATATATCTAAGGGCTTGTCCCAGGGAAATAATCAGACAAGTCTTTAAAGGATTTACAGGAAGCAAGCAATATGGTTTATAACCATGGAGAATTATAAATAATCTAAATGTCCTATAACATGGGTTTTTTTTAAATAAAACCTATGATACATACATGGACATTAAAATGATGATATAGCTGATTATACATACATATATCAATATGGAAATGTCTTTAAGATAAAGTAAATTTTACAAAACAGTTTCTTAAAAGGTATGCAGTATTTCTTCAAGTAACATGTATCACTGTTTCTAAAGGTACACAATGTCCTCGACACTGACACAGTAGGTCTAGAGCAAGGTTGGAAATGTAAACTTTTAACATGTCCACCCTTCCAGCAAGTGAGCACACACACACACACACAAACACACACACACACACACACACACACACAGGCTCTCTTAGGTGATCTTAATGTAAGTGTTCTATAGAGCATCCTTTGAGAAATGGCACATTAACATATATCAAGTCTGGGAAAGAGTATATGTGCAAAACAGGAAGATGATGAAATAAGAATCTGGAGTTTGGAGTGGGTGTTGAAGTACAAAGAATAAGAGATAAAAGAATCAGGAAATAAAATATAGTACATCAACTCAATGGACAATTATGCAGTCATTAAAATAATAACCATGATGACAGAACGGATATAATATAAGTTATATTAATCAACAACAAAAAACAAAAAACTCAGATCAAAAATGGGTAAAGGACTTGCATGATCATTTGTCCCAAGGAAATATACTAACGGCCAATAAGCACATAAAAAGAGTTCAACATCATTAGTCATTAGGCAAATGCAAATCAAAACCGCAATGAGATACCACACCACATCTATTAAGATGGTTATGTTTTTAAAAAAAAGAAAGAAAGAAAGTGTTGACTAGGATATGTAGAAATCGAAACCCTCATATATTGCTTGAGGAATTGTAAAATAGTGCACTGCCGTTGCTATGGAAAACAGTTTGGTAGTTCCTCAAAAAGTTAAACATAGAATTACCATACAACCCAGCAATTCTACTTCTAGGTATATACCCAAGAGAATACCTGAAAACAGATGTTCAAAGATTTATATATAAATGTTCACAGCAACAGTAGTCATAATAGACAAAAGGTAGAAATAATCCAATGATTAATGGATAAACAAAATGTGTATACTCATGCATTGAATTATTATTCAGCCATAAAAAGAAATTAGGTGATACTTGCACACCAATGTTCATAGTAGCATTATTTACAACAGCCAAAAGCTAAAAGCAATCCAAGTGTCCATTATCAAATAAATGGATAAACAAAATGTGGTATATACATACAATGAAATATTATTTAGCCAAAAAAAGAATTAAATTCTGATACATGCTATAACATGGACAAACCTTGATAACATTATGCTAAGTGAAATAAGCCTGACACAAAAGGATAAGTATTGTATAATTCCACTTATATGAGAGACCTACAGAGACAGAAAGTAGAAGTTACCAGAAACTAGGGGCAGGAAGGAAAGTGGGGTTACCATTTATTGGCTACAGAGTTTCTGTTTGGGATGATTAAAAAGTTCTGGAAATGGGTAGTGGTGATGGTTACAAAACATTGTAAATGTATTTAATGTTCCTGAATAGTTCAATAACAAGTACTTAAATGGTAAATTTTATGTTATGCATATTTTACCACAATTTTTTTTTTTTTTTTTTTTTTGAGACGGAGTCTCTCTCTGTCACCCAGGCTGGAGTGCAGTGGCACGTTCTCGGCTGACTGCAATCTCCGCCTCCCAGTTTCACGCCATTCTCCTACCTCAGCCTCCCAAGTAGCTGGGACTACAGGTGCCCACCATCACGCCTGGCTAATTTTTGTACTTTTTAGTAGAGATGGGGTTTCACCGTGTTAGGCAGGATGGTCTCGATCTCCTGACCTCGTGTTCCACCCACCTCGGCCTCCCAAAGTGCTGGGATTTGGGAGCCACCACACCCGGCCCACATTTTTTAAAAGAACAAAGAAACATTAGATTTAACTAGACTTAACTAGACTTAAGAGGCCTGACATTTACAGAATATTTCACCAACTGCTACAGAATACACATTCTTTTCACCAGCACACAGGACATCCTACAGAAAAGACCATATATCAGGCCACAAAACAAGTCTGAACAAATCCAAAAAAGAAGAAATCATATCAAGTACCTTTTTATTTTAATTTTTTTTTGGGGGGGACAGCGTCTCACACTGTCACCCAGCCTGGAGTGCAATGGCATGATCTCAGCTCACTGCAACCTCCACCTCCCAGGTTCAAGTGATTCTCCTGCCTCAGCCTCCTGAGTAGCTGGGATTACAGGCACACACCACCACACCGGGCTAATTTCAAGTACCTTTTTAAAGCACAATGGACTAAAACTAGAAATAAAACCACCATAACAAAAGAAACCATGGAAACTTCACAAGCACATGGAAATTAAATTACATGCTCCTGAATGACCAATGGATCAATGAATAAATTAAGAAAGAAATTTTAAAATGTCTTGAAATAAATGAAAATGAAAATACAACATACCAAAAGATACACAATAGAGGAAAAGCAGTACTAAGGGAGAAGTTTATAGCCATAAACACCTATATCAAAAAAATAGAAGGACTTCAAATAAACAACATAACAATGCACCCCAAAGAACTAGAAAAGCAGGAACAAACCAAACCCAAAATTACCAGAAGGAAAGAAACAATAAAGATCAGACCAGAAATAAAAGAAATTAAGACCAAAAAATGCAAAGGATCAACCAAATTAAAAGTTAGTTTTTTGGCAACCCCATCAAAAAGTGGGCAAAGGATATGAACAGACACTTCTCAAAATAAGACATTTATGCAGCCAAAAGACACATGAAAAAATGCTCATCATCACTGGCCATCAGAGAAATGCAAATCAAAACCACAATGAGATACCATCTCACACCAGTTAGAATGGCGATCATTAAAAAGGCAGGAAACAACAGGTGCTGGAGAGGATGTGGAGAAATAGGAACACTTTTACACTGTTGGTGGGACTGTAAACTAGTTCAACCATTGTGGAAGACAGTGTGGCAATTCCTCAAGGATCTAGAACTAGAAATACCATTTGACCCAGCCATCCCATTACTGGGTATATACCCAAAGGAGTATAAATCATGCTGCTACAAAGACACCTCCTACAGGCACATGTCAGTACCCCCACTGGGACAGAGCTTCCAGAAGTAGGAGCAGGCTGCTATCTTTGTTGTTTCACAGCCTTCACTGGTGATACTTCCAGGTATGAAGAAAACCGAGGCAACTAGGGTCTGGAGTGGACCCCCAGCAAACCACAGCAGCCCAACAGAAGAGTGACCTGACTGTTAAAACAAAACAAACAGGAAACAACACAACACCAGGAGGGGCCGAAAGACACCTCATACAGGCGGGTGTCCCTCTGGGACAAAGCTTCCAGAGGAAGGATCAGGCAGCGATATTTGCTGTTCCGCAATATTTGCTGTTCTGCAGCCTCTGCTGGTGATACCCAGGCAAACAAGGTCTGGAGTGGGCCTCCAGCAAACTCCAACAGACCTGCAGCTGAGGAACCTGACTGTTAGAAGAAAAACTAACAAACAGAAAGGAATAGCAACATCAACAAAAAGGACATCCACACCAAAACCCCATCTGTACGTCACCATCATCAAAGACCAAAGGTAGATAAAACCACAAAGATGGGGAAAAAACAGAGCAGAAAAACTGGAAACTGTAAGAATCAGAGTGCCTCTCCTCCTCCAAACGAACGCAGCTCCTCACCACCAACGGAACAAAGCTGGGGGGAGAATGACTTTGATGAGTTGAGAGAAGAAGGCTTCAGATGATCAAACTACTCTGAGCTAAAGGAGGAAGTCCGAACCCATGACAAAGAAGTTAAAACCTTGAAAAAAAAAAAATTAGACGAATGGCTAACTAGAATGACCAATGCAGAGAAGTCCTTAAAGGACCTGATGAAGCTGAAAACCAAGGCACAAGAACTACATAACGAATGCACAAGCCTCGGAAGCCAATTCAATGAACTGGAAGAAAGGGTATCAGTGATGGAAGATGAAATGAATGAAATGAAGTGAGAAGAGAAGTTTAGAGAAAAAAGAATAAAAAGAAATGAACAAAGCCTCCAAGAAATATGGGACTATGTGAAAAGACCAAATCTATATCTGATTGGTGTACCTGAAAGTGACGGGGAGACTGGAACCAAGTTGGAAAACACTCTGCAGGATATTATACAGGAGAACTTCCCCAACCTAGCAAGGCAGGGCAACATTCAAATTCAGGAAATACACAGAATGCCACAAAGATACTCCTGGAGAAGAGCAACTCCAAGACACATAATTGTCAGATTCACCAAAGTTGAAATGAAGGAAAAAATGGTAAGGGCAGCCAGAGAGAAAGGTTGGGTTACCCACAAAGGGAAGCCCATCAGACTAACAGCAGAAACTCTACAAGTCAGAAGAGAGTGGGGGCCAATATTCAACATTCTTAAAGAAAAGAATTTTTACCAGGGCAATTAGGCAGGAGAAGGAAATAAAGGGTATTCAATTAGGAAAAGAGGAAGTTAAATTGTCCCTGTTTGCAGATGACATGATTGTATATCTAGAAAACCCCATTGTCTCAGCCCAAAATCTCCTTAAGCTGATAAGCAACTTCAGCAAAGTCTCAGGATACAAAATCAGTGTGCAAAAATCACAAGCATTCTTATACACCAATAACAGACAAACAGAGAGCCAAATCATGAGTGAACTCCCATTCACAATTGCTTCAAAGAGAATAAAATACCTAGGAATCCACCTTACAAGGGACGTGAAGGACCTCTTCAAGGAGAACTACAAACCACTGCTCAAGGAAATAAAAGAGGATACAAACAAATGGAAGAACATTCCATGGTCATGGATAGGAAGAATCAATATCGTGAAAATGGCCATACTGCCCAAGGTAATTTATAGATTCAATGCCATCCCCATCAAGCTGCCAATGACTTTCCTCAAAGAATTGGAAAAAACTACTTTAAAGTTCATATGGAACCAAAAAAGAGGCCGCATCGCCAAGTCAATCCTAAGCCAAAAGAACAAAGCTGGAGGCATCGTGCTACCTGACTTCAAACTATACTACAAGGCTACAGTAACCAAAACAGCATGGTACTGGTACCAAAACAGAGATATAGATCAATGGAACAGAACAGAGCCCTCAGAAATAACGCCGCATATCTACAACTATCTGATCTTTGACAAACCTGAGAAAAATGAGAAATGGGGAAAGGATTCCCTATTTAATAAATGGTGCTGAGAAAACTGGCTAGCCATATGTAGAAAGTTGAAACTGGATCCCTTCCTTACACCTTATACAAAAATTAATTCAAGATGGATTAAAGACTTAAACATTAGGCCTAAAACCATAAAAACCCTAGAAGAAAACCTAGGCATTACCATTCAGGACATAGGCATGGGCAAAGACTTCATGTCTAAAACACCAAAAGCAATGGCAACAAAAGCCAAAATTGACAAATGGGATCTAATTAAACTCAAGAGCTTCTGCACAGCAAAACAAACTACCATCAGAGTGAACAGGCAACCCACAAAATGGGAGAAAATTTTCACAGCCTGCTCATCTGACAAAGGGCTAATATCCAGAACCTACAATGAACTCGAACAAATGTACAAGAAAAAAACAAACAACCCCATCAAAAGGTGGGCAAAGGACATGAACAGACACTTGTCAACAGAAGACATTTATGCGGCCAAAAAACATATGAAAAAATGCTCACCATCACTGGCCATCACAGAAATGCAAATCAAAACCACAATGAGATATCATCTCACACCAGTTAGAATGGCAGTCATTAAAAAGTCAGGAAACAACAGGTGCTGGAGAGGATGTGGAGAAATAGGAACACTTTTACACTGTTGGTGGGACTGTAAACTAGTTCAACCATTGTGGAAGACAGTGTGGCAATTCCTCAGGGATCTAGAACTACAAATACCATTTGACCCAGCCATCCCATTACTGGGTAAATATCCAAAGGACTATAAATCATGCTGCTATAAAGACACATGCACACGTATGTTTATTGCAGCACTATTCACAATAGCAAAGACTTGGAACCAACCCAAATGTCCAACAATGATAGACTGGATTAAGAAAATGTGGTACATATACACCATGGAATACTATGCAGCCATAAAAAATGATGAGTTCATGTCCTTTGTAGGGACATGGATGAAATTGGAAATCATCATTCTCAGTAAACTATCGCAAGAACAAAAAAACAAACACCGCATATTCTCACTCATAGGTGGGAACTGAACAATGGAAACACATGGACACAGGAGGGGGAACATCACACTCTGGGGACTGTTGTGGCATGGGGAGAGGGGGGAGAGATAGCATTGGGAGATATACCTAATGCTAGATGACGAGTTAGTGGGTGCAGCGCACCAGCATGGCACATGTATACCTATGTAACTAACCTGCACATTGTGCACATGTACCCTAAAACTTAAAGTATAATAATAAAAAAATAAAAAAATAAAAAATAAAAAAAGAACAAAAAAAAAAAAAGAAAAGAAAAGAATTTTCAACCCAGAATTTCATATCCAGCCAAACTAAGCTTCATAAGTGAAGGAGAAATAAAATACTTTACAGACAAGCAAATGCTGAGAGATTTTGTCACCAACAGGCCTGCCCTAAAACAGCTCCTGAAGGAAGCACTAAACATGGAAAGGAACAACTGGTACCAGCTACTGCAAAAACATGCCAAATTCTAAAGACCATCGAGGCTAGGAAGAAACTGCGTCAACTAATGAGCAAAATAACCAGCTAACATCATAATGATAGGATCAAATTCACACATAACAATATTAACCTTAAATGTAAATGGGCTAAATGCTCCAATTAAAAGACACAGACTGGCAAACTGGATAAAGAGTCAAGACCCATCAGTGTGCTGCATTCAGGAAACCCATTTCACGTGCACAGACACACATAGGATCAAAATAAAGGGATAGAGGAAGATCTACCAAGCAAATGGAAAACAAAAAAGGCAGGTGTTGCAATCCTAGTCTCTGATAAAACAGACTTTAAACCAACAAAGATCAAAAAAGACAAAGAAGGCCATTACATAATGGTAAAGGGATCAATTCAACAAGAAGAACTAACTATCCCAAATATTGGGTGCACCCAATACAGGAGCACCCAGATTCATAAAGCAAGTCCTTAGAGACCTACAAAGAGACTTAGATTGCCACACAATAATAATGGGAGACTTTAACACCCCACTGTCAACATTAGACAGATCAACGAGACAGAAAGTTAACAAGGATATCCAGGAACTGAACTCAGCTCTGCACCAAGCGGACCTAATAGACACAACTTTCCACCCCAAATCAACAGAATATACATTCTTCTCAGCACCACACTGCACTTATTCCAAAATTTACCACATAGTTGGAAGTAAAGCACTCCTCAGCAAATGTAAAAGAACAGAAATTATAACAAACTGTCTCTCAGACCACGGTGCAATCAAACTAGAACTCAGGATTAAGAAACTCACTCAAAACCACTCAACTACATGGAAACTGAACAACCCGCTCCTGAATGACTACTGGGTACATAATGAAATGAAGGCAGAAACAAAGATGTTCTTTGAAACCAACGAGAACAAAGACACAACATACCAGAATCTCTGGGACACATTCAAGGCAGTGTGTGGAGGGAAATTTATAGCACTAAATGCCCACAAGAGAAAGCAGGAAAGATCTAAAATTGACACCCTAACATCACAATTAAAAGAGCTAGAAAAGCAAGAGCAAACACATACAAAAGCTAGCAGAAGGCAAGAAATAACTAAGATCAGAGCAGAACTGAAGGAAATAGAGACACAAAAAACCCTTCAAAAAATTAATGAATCCAGGAGCTGGTTTTTTGAAAAGATCAACAAAATTGATAGACCGCTAGCAAGACTAATAAGGAAGAAAAGAGAGAAGAATCAAATAGACGCAATAAAAAATGATAAAGGGGATATCACCACCGATCCCACAGAAATACAAACTACCATCAGAGAATACTATAAACACCTCTACACAAATAAACTAGAAAATCTAGAAGAAATGGATAAATTCCTCTACGCATATATCCTCCCAAGACTAAACCAGGAAGAAGTTGAATCTCTGAACAGACCAATAACGGGGTCTGAAATTGAGGCAATAATCAATAGCTTACCAACCAAAAACACTCCAGGACCAGATGGATTCACAGCCGAATTCTACCAGAGGTACAAACAGGAGCTGGTACCATTCCTTCTGAAACTATTCCAATCAATAGAAAAAGAGGGAATCCTCCCTAACTCATTTTATGAGGCCAGCATCATCCTGATACCAAAGCCTGGCAGAGACACAACCAAAAAGAGAATTTTAGACCAATATCCTTGATGAACATTGATGCAAAAATCCTCAATAAAATACTGGCAAACCAAATCCAGCAGCACATCAAAAAGCTTATCCACCATGATCAAGTGGGCTTCATCCCTGGGATGCAAGGCTGGTTCAACATACGCAAATCAATAAATGTAATCCAGCATATAAACAGAACCAAAGACAAAAACCACATGATAATCTCAATAGATGCAGAAAAGGCCTTTGACAAAATTCAACAACGCTTCATGCTAAAAACTCTCAATAAATTAGGTATTGATGGGACATATCTCAAAATAATAAGAGCTATCTATGACAAACCCACAGCCAATATCATAATGAATGGGCAAAAACTGGAAGCATTGCCTTTGAAAATGGGCACAAGACAGGGATGCCCTCTCTCACTACTCCTATTCAACATAGTGTTGAAAGTTCAGGCCAGGGCAATCAGGCAGGAGAAAGAAATAAAGGGTATTCAATTAGGAAAAGAGGAAGTTAAATTGTCCCTGTTTGCAGATGACATGATTGTATATCTAGAAAACCCCACTATCTCAGCCCAAAATCTCCTTAAGCTGATAAGCAACTTCAGCAAAGTCTCAGGATACAAAATCAATGTGCAAAAATCACAAGCATTCTTATACACCAATAACAGACAAACAGAGAGCCAAATCATGAGTGAACTCCCATTCACAATTGCTTCAAAGAGAATAAAATACCTAGGAATCCAACTTACAAGGGATGTGAAAGACCTCCTCAAGGAGAACTACAAACTACTGCTCAATGAAATAAAAGAGGATACAAACAAATGGAAGAACATTCCATGCTCATGGATAGGAAGAATCAATACCATGAAAATGGCCATACTGCCCAAGGTAATTTATAGATTCAATGCCATCCCCATCAAGCTGCCAATGACTTTCTTCACAGAATTGGAAAAAACTACCTTAAAGTTCATATGGAACCAAAAAAGAGCCCGCATCAGCAAGTCAGTCCTAAGCCAAAAGAACAAAGCTGGAGGCATCACACTACCTGACTTCACACTATACTACAAGGCTACGGTAACCAAAACAGCATGGTACTGGTACCAAAACAGAGATATAGATCAATGGAACAGACCAGAGCCCTCAGAAATAATGCCATATATCTACAACTATCTGATCTTTGACAAACCTGAGAAAAATGAGAAATGGGGAAAGGATTCCCTATTTAATAAATGGTGCTGGGAAAACTGGCTAGCCATATGTAGAAAGCTGAAACTGGATCCCTTCCTTACACCTTATACAAAAATCAATTCAAGATGGATTAAAGACTTACATGTTAGACCTAAAACCATAAAAACCCTAGAAGAAAACTTAGGCAATACCATTCAGGACATAGGCATGGGCAAGGACTTCATGTCTAAAACACCAAAAGCAATGGCAACAAAAGCCAAAATTGACAAATGGGATCTAATTAAACTAAAGAGTTTCTGCACAGCAAAAGAAACTACCATCAGAGTGAACAGGCAACCTACAGAATGGGAGAAAATTTTTGCACCTACTCATCTGACAAAGGGCTAATATCCAGAATCTACAATGAATTCAAACAAATTTACAAGAAAAAAACAAACAACCCCATCAAAAAGTGGGCGAAGGATATGAACATGAACAGACATTTCTCAAAAGAAGACATTTATGCAGCCAAAAAACACATGAAAAAATGCTCATCATCACTGGCCATCAGAGAAATGCAAATCAAAACCACAATGAGATACCATCTCACACCAGTTAGAATGGTGATCATTAAAAAGTCAGGAAACAACAGGTGCTGGAGAGGATGTGGAGAAATAGGAACACTTTTACACTGTTGGTGGGACTGTAAACTACTTCAACCATTGTGGAAGTCAGTGTGGCGATTCCTCAGGGATCTAGAACTAGAAATACCATTTGACCCAGCCATCCCATTACTGGGTATATACCCAAAGGATTACAAATCATGCTGCTATAAAGACACATGCACACATATGTTTATAGCAGCACTATTCACGATAGCCAAGACTTGGAACCAACCTAAATATCCAACAACGATAGACTGGATTAAGAAAATTTGGCACATATACACCATGGAATACCATGCAGCCATAAAAAATGATGAGTTCATGTCCTTTGTAGTGACATGGTTGAAGCTGGAAACCATCATTCTCAGCAAACTATGGCAAGGACAAAAAACCAAACACCACATGTTCTCACTCATAGTTGGGAATTGAACAATGAGAACACATGGACACAGGAAGGGGAACATCACACACCGGGGACTGTTGTGGGGTGGGGGGGAGGGGGGAGGGATAGCATTAGGAGATATACCTAATGCTAAATGACGAGTTAATGGGTGCAGCACACCAACATGGCACATATATACATATGTAACAAACCTGCACGCTGTGCACATATACCCTAAAACTTAAAGTATAATAATAATAAAACTTAAAAAAAGACTCCATGAAAAAAACTGTTAGAGCTGACAATAAATTCAGTAAAGCTTCAGAGTACTGAATCAACATGCAAAAATCAGTAACTTTATATATGTCAAAAGCAAAAAATCTGAAAAAGAAATTAAGAAACCATCCCCATTTATAATGTCTACAAAGAATACAAAATACCTAGAAATCAATTGAACCAAGGAAGTGAAAGATTTATACAAAGAAAACCATAAGACACTGATGAAAGAAATTGAAGAGGACACAAAAAAATAGAAAGATATTCCATGTTCATGGATTGGAAGAAATAATATCATTAAAATGACAATACTGCACCAAGCAATTTACAGATTCAATGCAACCACTATCGAAATACCAATGACATTCTTCACAGAAATAGAAAAAACAATTCAAAAATTTACATGGAAACACAAAGGCCCCAAATAGCCAAAGACGTCCTGAGGAAAAACAACAAAGCTGGAAGCATCCCACTTCCTGACTTCAAAATTTACTACAAAGCTATAGTAACAAAATCAGCATGGTCCTAGCATAAACAGGGACACAGACCAGTGGAACAGCATAGAGAACCCACATGTAAATTTATGCATTTACAGCCAGCTCATCTTCAACAAAGGTACTAAGAACATACAGTGGGGAAAGGACAGTCTCTTCAATAAATGATGCTGGGACAATGGGATAACTATATGCACATGAATGAAACTGAGGGAGTGGGGCGGAGCTGAGATGGCTAACTAGAAACAGCTACAGTGGGAGGCTTCCACCAAGAAGAACCAAAACAGCATGCGAATCCTGCATCATTAACCAAGGTATCCATGTTCTATCATCAGGACTGACTAGGTGTTTGGTTTGACCCACGGAGAGCAAAGAAAAGCAGAGTGGTGCCTCAGCCCACCTGACAGCCACATGGGACAAAGGCAGCCCCCACCTGCAGCCAAGGGAGACGGTGAGCAGTCGTGCTACCCAGCCTGGGAAACCACGCTTTTTCCATGGATCTGTGCAACCTGCAGATCAGGAGATCCCACTCATGAGCCCATGCCACCATCAGGGCCTTGGGTCCCAACCACAGAGCTGTGCAGATTCTCAATAGCCATTCAGCTGCAGTCTGCCTAAGACAACTGAGCTCCACGGGGAAGGGACAGCAGTCATCATGCAGCTGCCTAAAATGACTAAACTCTGGGGAAGTGGTGGGGGCAGGAGCCAGCGGGAGAAGGGCAGCAGCTATCACTGCAGCTGCAGAGCACCATTTTTCCCCTGCTGGTGCTGGGGAAACTGGATGGCTTGGACCCAAGAGGTATTCCCCACAGTACAGCACACCACCTGTGGCAGATCACAGCCAGATTGCCTCTTTAGGCCAGACCCTGACACATCCCTCCTCACTGGGCAGGACCTCCCTGCAGGAACTTCAGCAACTCTAGCCAGGGGCTTAGAGACAGAACTGTGATCTCCCTGGGCCTGAGCCCCTAGTGGGTGGGGTGGCCATGGTCTCCATGGACCAGCAGACTTAGTCTTTCCTTCCGCTAGCTCTGAGGAATATGAGCAGACCAGACGAGTGGGTTTCCCCCCAGTGCAGCACACCCCCTCCACCAAGGGGCAGCCAGCGTGCTTTATTAAGTGGGTCCTGGATCCCATGCCCCCCAACAGGGGTCACCGGACACCTTATACAGGAGCATTCCTCTTGGCATCATGTCAGTGACCCTTTAGGACAGAGATTCCAGAGGAAGGAGCAGGCTCCCATCTTTGCTGTTCTCCAGCCTCCTTAGGTAACATCTCCAGGTGCGAGAGGGACCCAGGTGAATAGGGCCTGAAGTGAAACCCCAGCAAACCACAGCAGCCCTACAGAAGAGGGGCCTGTTAAAAGAAAAACAAACAGAAAGCAGCAACAGCATCAACAAAAAGGTCTTCACAAAAACCCATCCAAAGGTCAGCAGCCTCAAAGATCGAAACTAGACAACTCATGAAGATGAGAAAGAATCAACGAAAAAACGCTAAAAACTTAAAAAGCCAGAGTGCCTCTTCTCCTCCAAATGATCACAACACCTCTCCAGCAAGGGGACAGAACTGGGCAGAGGCTGAGATGGATGAATTGACAGAAGTAGGCTTCAGAAGGTGGGTAATAACAAACTTCACTGAACCAAAGGAGCATGTCCTAACCTAACGCAAAGAAGCTAAGAACCATGATAAAAGGTTACAGGAGCTGTTAACTAGAATAACCAGTTTAGAGAGGAACAATATGACCTGATGAAGCTGAAAAACATAGCACGAGAACTTTGTGATACAAGTATCGATAGCTGAATCAATGAAGCGGAAGAAAGAATATCAGAGCTTGAAGACTTTCTTGCTGAAACAGAGCAGGAAGACAAGATTATGGAAAAGAGAATGAAAAGGAACAAATAAAACCTCTGAGAACTATGGGACTACATAAAAAGATCGAACCTATGATTTATTGGAGTACCTGAAAGAGACAGAAAGAATGGAACCAAGTTGGAAAACACACTTCAGGGTATCATCCAGGAGAACTTCTCCAACTTAGCAAAACAGGCCAACATTCGAATTCAGGAAATACAGAGAACCCCAGCAAGATACTCCATGAGAAGATCACCCCAAGAAACATAACCATCAGATTCTCCAAGGTCAAAATGAAGGAAAAAATGTTAAGGGCAGCCAGAGAAAAAGGCCAGGTCACCTACAAAAGGAATCCCATCAGACTAACAGCAGACCTCTCAGCAGAAGCCCTACAAGCCAGTAGAGAGTGTGGGCCAATATTCAACATTCTTAAAGAAAAGAATTTCCAACCCAGAATTTCATATCCAGCCAAGCTAAGTTTCTAAGCAAAGGAGAAATAAAATATTTTTCAAACAAGCAAACGTTGAGGGAATTTGTCACTGCCAGGCCTACCTTGCAAGAGCTCCTGAAAAAAGTGCTAAATATGGAAAGGAAAAACCAGTACCAGCCACTGCAAAAACACACTGAAGTGCAAAAACCAATGACATTTTGAAGAAACTGCATCAACTAGTCTGCAAAATAAGCAGCTAGCATCATTATTACACGATCAAATTCACACATAACAATTTTAACCTTAAATGTAAATAGGCTAAATGTCCCAATTAAAACACACAGACTGGCAAATTGAATAGAGTCAAGATGAATTGGTGTGCTGTCTTCAAGAGACCCATCTCATGTGCAAAGACACACATAATTGTCTTTGCACATGACATGTCTTTGCACATGTCTTTGCACATAATTTGTCAAGCTCAAAATAAAGGGATGGAGGAATATTTAACAAGCAAATGGAAAGTGAAACAAAAGCAGGGGTTGCAATCCTACTTTCTGACAAAACAGACTTTAAACCAACAAAGATCAAAAAAGACAAGGGCAGTACTTAATGGTAAAGGGATTAATTCAGTGAGAAGAACTAACAATTCTAAATATATATGCACCCTATTTATGCATATATTTATGAACACAGATTCATAAAACAAGTTCCTAGAGACCTACAAAGAGACTAAGACTACCACACAATAATAGTGGGAGACTTTAACACCCCACCGTCAATATTACACAGATCATCGAGACAGAATATTAACAAGGATATTCAAAACTTGAACTCAGCTCTGGATCAAGTGGACCTGATGGATATCTACAGAACTCTCCATCCAAAGAAAATAGAATATACATTCTTCTCAGTGCCACATGGCACATACTCTAAAATTGATCACATAATTGGAAGTAAAACACTCCTCAGCAAATGCAAAAGAACTGAAATCATAACAAACAGTCTCTCAGACCATAGTGCAATCAAATTAGAACCCAAGATTAAGAAAGTGACTCAAAACCACACAACTACATGGAAATTGAACAACCTGCTCCGAATGACTCCTAGGTAAATAATGAAATTAAGAGAGACATCAAGAAGCTATTTGAAACCAATGAGAAAAAAAGAGACAATGTACCAGAATTTCTGGGATGCAGCTAAAGCAGTGTTAAAAGGGAAATTTATAGCACTAAATACCCACATCAGAAAGCAAGAAAGATCTTGAATTGACACCCTAACATCACAACTAAAAGATATAGAGAGGCAGGAGCAAACAAAGCCAAAGGCTAGCAAAAGACAAGAAATAACTAAGATCAGAGTGGAACTGAAGGAGACAGAGACATGAAAAACCCTTCAAAAAAAATCAGTGAATCCAGGAGCTGGTTTTTTGAAAAAAATTAATAAAATAGATAGACCGTGGGCAACCCGCTTGGGTCCCCTTCCATGCTGTGGAAGCTTTGTTCTTTCACTCTTCACAATAAATTTGCTGCTGCTCACTCTTTCAGTCTGCACCACCTTTTAAGAGCTGTAACACTCGCCGTGAAGGTCCGCGGGCTCATTTTGAAGTCAGCGAGACTATGAACCCGCCAGAAGGAAGAAACTCTGGACACATCTGAAGGAATAAACTCCAGACACACCATCTTTAAGAGCTGTAACAGTTACCACGAAGGTCCGTGGCTTCATTCTTGAAGTCAGTGAGACCAAGAACCCACTGGAAGGAACCAACTCTGGACACAGCAGGACGTGAGACTTCTAGTGCTCACTCAGAATCATTTCTGCACCAACCATGGCCATCTTTGTGGAGCTCAATACCAAAGCCAAGATGCCCATTGTGGGCCTGGGCACTTGGAAGTCTCCTCTCGGCAAAGTGAAAGAAGTGGTGAAGGTGGCCATTGATGCAGGATATCGCCACATTGACTGTGCCTATGTCTATCAGAATGAACATGAGGTGGGGGAAGCCATCCAAGAGAAGATCCAAGAGAAGGCTGTAAAGCGGGAGGACCTCTTCATCATCAACAAGTTGTGGCCCACTTTCTTTGAGAGACCCCTTGTGAGGAAAGCCTTTGAGAAGACCCTCAAGGATCTGAAGCTGAGTTATCTGGATGTCTATCTTATTCACTAGCACAGGGATACAAGTCTGGGGATGATTTTTTCCGCAAAGATGATAAAGGTAATATGATCGGTGGAAAAGCAATGTTCTTGGATGCCTGGGAGGCCATGGAGGAGCTGGTGGATGAGGGGCTGGTGAAAGCCCTTGGGGTCTCCAATTTCAACCACTTCCAGATAGAGAGGCTCTTGAACAAACCTGGACTGAAATATAAACCAGTGACTAACCAGGTTGAGTGTCACCCATACCTCACACAGGAGAAACTGATCCAGTACTGCCACTCCAAGGGCATCACCATTATGGCCTACAGCCCCCTAGGCTCTCCGGATAGACTTTGGGCCAAGCCAGAGGACCCTTCCCTGCTGGAGGATCCCAAGATTAAGGAGATTGCTGCAAGGCACAAAAAACCACAGCCCAGGTTCTGATCCATTTCCATATCCAGAGGAATGTGACTGTGATCCCCAAGTCTGTGACACCAGCACGCATTGTTGAGAACATTCAGGCCTTTGACTTTACATTGAATGATGAGGAGATGGCAACCACACTCAGCTTCAACAGAAACTGGAGGGCCCGTAACATGTTGCAATCCTCTCATTTGGAGGACTATCCCTTCGATGCAGAATATTGAGGTTGAATCTCCTGGTGAGATTACACAGGGAATTCTCTTTCTTCGCTGAAGTGTGACATCTCCACTCAAGTCCTATTTTAGCCAAGCTTATCTGAGATCACAGTGACTTCGTCCTGTTGCAGGCCAGAATCAAGGTGCTGTTTTAGACATTTATTTCTGTATGTTCAACTAGGATCAGAGTATCACAGAAAAGCATGGCTTGAATAAGCAAATGACAGTTTTTTCCACTTATCTGAACAAATGTCTGTCTGTCAAGCACCAGAAACTCTGCCAACACTGAGGATGTAAAGATAAATAATAAAAAATAATGATCGTAAAAAAAAAATAGACCGCTAACTAGACTAATGAAGAAGAAGACAGAGAAGAATCAAATAGACACAATAAAAACTGATGAAGGAGATATCATCAATGACCCCACAGAAATACAACCAACCATCAGAGAATACTATAAACACCTCTACGCAAATAAACTAGAAAATCTAGAAGAAATTGATAAATTCCAGGACACATACATCATCTCAAGACTAAACCAAGAAAAATTCGAATCCCTGAATAGACTAATAACAAGTTCTGAAATTGGGGCAGTAATAAATAGCTACCAACCAAAAAAAAAAAAAAAAGCCCAGGACCAGATAGATTTACAGCCAATTCAACCAGAGGTTCAAAGAGGAGTGGGTACCATTCTTTCTGTAATTATTCCAAACAACTGAAAAGGAGGGACTTTTCTCTAACTCATTTTATGAGGCCAGCATCATCCTGATACCAAAACCTGGCACAGACACAACAAAAAAAGAAAACTTCGGGCCGATATCCCTGATGAACATTGATGCAAAAGTCCTCAATAAAATACTGGCAAACCAAATCCAGCAGCACATCAAAAAGGTTATCCACTATGATCAAGTCAGCTTTATCCCTGGAATTCAAGGCTGGTTCAACATACACAAATCAATAAATGTAATTCATCACATAAACAGAACTAAAGACAAAAGCCACACAATTATCTCAACAGACGCAGAAAAGGCCGTTGATAAAATTTAACATCCCTTCATGTTAACAACTCTCAATAAACTAGGAATTGATGGAACACATCTCAAAATATTAAGAGCCATTCCTGACAAACCCACAGTCAATATCATACTAAATGGGCAAAAGCTGGAAGCATTCCCCTTGAAACCTGGCACAAAACAAGGATGGCCCTCTCTCTTTCTCACCACTCCTATTCAACATAGTATGGAAGTTCTGGCCAGGGCAATCAGGCAAGAGAAGGAAATAAAAGGCATTCAAATAGGAAGAGAGGAAGTTAAACTGTCTCTGCAGACAACATAATCCTATATTTAGAAAATCCCATTGTCTCAGCCCAAAAGCTCCTTAAGCTGATAAGCAGCTTCAACAAAGTCTCAGGATACAAAATCAATGTGCAAAAATCACAAGCATTCCTATACACCAACAATAGACAAACAGACAGCCAAATCATGAATGAACTCCCATTCACAACTGCTACAAATAAAATACTTAGGAATACAGCTAAAAAGGGATGTGAAGGACCTCTTCAAGGAGAACTACAAACCACTGCTCAACGAAATAAGAGAGGACACAAACAAATGGAAAAACATTCCATGGTCATGGATAGGGAGAATCAATATCGTGAAAATGGCCATACTACCCAAAGTAATTTACAGATTTAATGCTATTCCCATTAAACTACCATTGCCGTTTTTCAAAAAATTAGAAAAAACTACTTTAAAATTCTTATGGAACCAAAAAAGACCCCATATAGCCAAGACAATCCTAAGCAAAAAGAACAAAGCTGGAGGCATCATGTTACCCAACTTCAAACTATACTGCAAGGCAATAGTAACCAAAACAGCATGGAACCGGTACCAAAACAGACACATAGACCAATGGAACAGAATAGAGATCTCAGAAATAAGGCCACACATCTACAATCATCTGACATTTAACAAACCTGATAAAAACAAGCAATGGGGAAAGGATTCCCTATTTAATAAATGGTGCTGGGAAAACTGGCTAGCCACATGCAGAAAATTGAAACTGGGCCCTTTCTTTATAATTCATACAAAAATTAACTAAAGATGGATTAAAGACTTAAATGTAAAACCAAAAACTATAAAAACCCTAGAAAAAAATCTAGGCAACACCATTCAGGACATAAACAAAGATTTCATGACAAAACATCAAAAGCAATTGCAACAAAAGCAAAAATTGACAAATAGGACCTAATTAAATGAAAGAGCTTCTGCACAGCAAAAGAAACTATCATCACAGTGAACAGACAACCTATGGAATGGGAGAATATGTTTGCAATCTATCCCTCTGACGAAGGTCTAATATCCAGAATCTACAAGGAACTTAAACAAATTTACAAGAAAACAACAAAAAACCCCATCAAAAAGTAGGCAAAGGACGTGAACAGACACTTCTCAAAAGAAGACATTTACGTGGCCAAGAAACTTATGAAAAAAAGCTCAACATTACTGATCATTAGAGAAATGCAAATCAAAACCACAATGAGATACCATCTCATGAGTCAGAATGGCGATTATTATAAAGTCAAGAAACAACAGATGCTGGCAAGGCTGTGGAGGAATAGGAACACTTTTACACTGTTGGTGAGAATGTAAATTAGTTCAACAATTGTGGAAGACAGTGTGGTGATTCCTCAGGGATCTAAAACCAGAAATACCATTTAACCCAGCAATCCCATTACTGGGTATATACCCAAAGGAATATAAATCATTCTATTATAAAGATACATGCACACATATGTTTATTGCAGCACTATTCACAATAGCAAAGACATGGAATCAACCCAACTGTCCATCAGTGATGGACTGGATAAAGAAAATGTGGTACATACACACCATGGAATGCTCTGCAGCCATAAAAAGGAACAAGATCGTGACCTTTGCAGGGAGATGGATGGAGCTAGAAGCCATTATTTTCAGCAAACTCACACAGGAACAGAAAACCAAATACCGCATGTACAAGTGGGAGCTGAATAATGAGAACACATGGACACAGGGAGGGAAACAACACACACTAGAGCCTATCGGGGGGGCGTTGGGAGGGAGAGCATCAGGATAAACAGCTAATGCATGTGGGGCTTAATACCTAGGTGATGGGTTGATAGGTACAGCAAACCACCATGGCACATGTTTACCTATGTAACAAACCTGCACATCATGCAAATGTATCCCAGAACTTAAAATAAAATAAAATTTAAAAAAAGAGGGAATGAAACTAGACCCCTATCTCTCACCATACACAAAAATCAAATCAAAATGGATAAAAGACTTAAGTCTAAGACCTGAAACTATGAAACTAGTATTAATAGAAGAAAACATTGGGGAAATGCTCCAGGACATTGGTCTGGGCAAGATTTTCTGTGTAAGACCTCAAAAGCACAGGCAACCAAAGCAAAAATAGACAACTGGGATTTTATCAAGATAAAAGTCTTCTGTACAGCAGAGGAAACAATCAACAAAGTGCAAAAACAACCCATAGAACGGGGGAAAAGATCTGCAAACTACGTATCTGACAAAGGATTAATAACCAGAGTATATAAGGAGCTCAAACAACTCAATGGAGAAAAAAATGACAATAATCTGATCAGAAAATGGGCAAAAGAGCTGAATAGACATTTCTCAAAAGAATACATACATGGCTGGACATGGTGTCTCAAGCCTGTAATCTCAGCACTTAGGGAGGCTGACATGGGAGGATCAACTGAGGACAGAAGTTTGAGACCAGCCTGGAAAATATAGCGAGACCTTATCTCTACAAAACAAAAAAATTAAAAAATTACCAATGCCTGTAGTAGTCCTAGCTACTTATGAGGCTGAGGCGAGAGGATCACTTGAGCCCAAGAGTTCAAGGCCGCGGTGACCTATGATCACTCCACTGCACTCCAGCCTGGGTGACAGGATGAGACCTTATCTTTAAAAAAAAAAAAAGGTGATGATATACAAATAGCAATGGGTATATGAAAAAATGCTCAATATCACTAACCATCAGAGAAATGCATATCAAAACTACAATGAGATATCATCTCACCCCAGTTTAAATTGTTCTTATAAAAAAGACAAGCAATAACTGATGCTGGCAAGGATGTAAAGAAAGGGAAGCCATTATACGCGATTGGCAAGAATGTAAATTAGTACAGCCACTATGGAAAACAGTATGGAGGTTCCTCAAAAGACTAAAAATAGAACTACCATATGATCCAGCAATTCCACTACTGGGTATATATTCAAAAGAAAGAAAATCAGCAGGGCATGGTGGCTCATGCCTGTAATCCCAGCACTTTGGGAGGCTGAGGCAGATGGATCATTTGAGGTCAGGAGTTTGAGACCAGCCTGGCCAACATGGTAAAACCCCATCTCTACTAAAAATACAAAAATTAGCCAGGTGTGGTGGCACACGCCTGTGATCCCAGTTATTCATGAGGCTGAGTCAGGAGAATCACTTGAACCAGGGAGCTGGAGGTTGAAATGAGCCGAGATCACACCATTGCACTCCAGCCTGGGCGACAAAAGTGAGTCTCTGCCTCAAAAAAAAAAAAAAAAAAAAGAAAGAAAGAAAGAAAAGAAAATCAATATGCCAAAAAGATATATGCACTCCCATGTTTATCAAAGCACTATTCACGATAGCCAAAATATGGAATTGATCTAAATGCTCATCAATGGAAGAATGGATAAAGAAAAAGTGGTATAAATATTATCCAGCCATAAAAAAGAATGAAATCCTCTCATTTGCAGCAACATGTATGGAACTGAAGTTCATTATCTTAGGTGAAATAAGCCAAGCACAGAAAGACAGATATTGCATGTTCTGACTCATATGTGGGAGGTAAAACAGTGGATCTTATGAAGATAGAGAGTAGACTGGTGGTTACCAGAGGCCAGGTAGGGTGGGGGGAACAGGGAGATGAAAAGAAGTTGATTAACGGGTACATATTTACACCTATTCAATAGTTTAATAGAAGAACTAAGACCTAGTTTTTAGATAAATCAGTAGGGTGTCTATAGTCTACAGTAGTCTATTGTACATTTCAAAAAAGCTAGAAGAGAATAATTCAAATGTTTCTAGCATAAAAAAGACAAATATTTAAGGTGATGGATATCCTAACTACACCAATTTAATATTTACAAATCATGTATTAAATTATCATATGTACCTCAAAACAATGTACATCTATTATGCATCAATAAAAATAAATAATTTTTTAAAAGGCAAGTAACAATATTTTCAAAACACTAAAAGATAAATGAAGTAGCAATACATGCTGTAACATGGATAAACCTTGCAAATGTGCTAAGAAAAAAATGGACACAAAAAGCCACATATTATATAATTCTATTTACATAAAATGTAATAGGCAAACAGAATATAGAGACAGAAAGCAGATTAGTGATTGCAGGGGCTGAGGAAAGTGGGGAGTGAAGAGTGGTTGCTTAATGAGTTCAGGTTTTCCTCTTGGGCTGATAAAAATGCTCTGGAATATACATTAGTGACAGTAACACAATATTATGAATGTAATGGAAACCACTGAATCATACACTTGAATGGTTAAAATGGTGAATTTTACCTCAATATAACAAAAGTAGAAAAATTATCATGTACACAGTTACAGCTATGTAAAAAAATATATATAAGTATAGGGGAAAGGACTAAAAGAATAGTTTTTAAAAGACTTAGGTGGGTTGAGGTTTTTTTCTATTTTTCAAACTTTTTATTAACATCATATTGTTTTCACAACAAAAAAAGATAATTATCATATATTGAGTACCTACTACATATTAAGCACTGTGCTAGGCATTTTGAATCAAGAGTGTTTTCCAGCCTGCTGGATAAACAGAAAACATCTGACAGAAACATGGAATAGAGCAAATGTATCTAGTTCTAGGGGGAAAAACTGAATGCCTTAGTTATCTATTGCTGTATGACAAACTATCCCTAAACATGGCAGCTTTAAACAATAAATATTTAGCAAATATCTCTGTGTATTTAAAGGCATGGGCATAGATGAGCTCTCTAAGGTCAACGTGGTGGTTAATTTTACGTATCAACTCGACTGGGCTAACGGATGCTGTGATGGTTAATACTGAGTATCAACTTGATTGGATTGAAGGATGCAAAGTATTGTTCCTGGGTGTGTCTGTGAGGGTGATGTCAAAGGAGATAAATATTTGAGTCAGTGGACTGAGAGAGGCAGACCCACCCTCACTCTGGGTGGGCACCATCTAATCAGCTGCTAATGCGGCTAGAATAAAGCAGGCAGAAGTTGGAAAGAACAGACTTGCTGAGTGTTCCGACTTTCATCTTTCTCCTGTGGTGGATGCTTCCTGCCCTCGAACATCAGACTCAAAGTTCTTCAGCTTTTGGACTCTTAGACTTACACCGGTGGTTTGCCAGGGGCTCTCAGGCCTTTGGCCACAGACTGAAGGCTGTTGCACTGTCAGCTTCCCTACTTTTGAGGTTTTGGGACTCAGAGTGATCCACCACTGGCTTCCTTGCTCCTCAATCTGCGGACAGCCTATCGTGGGACTTTACCTTCTGATCGTGTGAGTCAATTCTCCTTAATAAACTCTCTTTAATATATACGTCTATCCTATTAGTTCTGTCCCTCTAGAGAACCCTGATTAATACAGATGTCCAGATATCTGGTAAAATGTTATCTATGGGTGTGTTTGTGAGGGTATCTCCAGAAGTGATAAACATCTGCATCAGTAGACTGAGTAAAGAAGACCACCCTCACCAATGCAGGCAGGAAGTATCCAATCCACTGAGGGCCTAAATAGAACAAAAAGGCAGAGGAAGGGCAAATTTTTTCTCTCTTTTATTGAGCTGAGATATCCATCTTTTCCTGCCCCCAGACATCAGCATTCTTGGTTTTTGAGCTTTCAGACCCGAACTGAACTATACCACCAGTTTTCCTGGTTCTCCAGCTTGCGGATGGCAGATCTTGAGACTTCTCAGCCTCCTTAACCACATAAAACAATTCCTATAATAAATCTCCTCATGTGTATATGTATATACACACACACACACACATATATATAAATATATATACACACACACACACACACACACACACACACACATATATCTTAGCCACTCTGTTTCTCTAGAGAACCCTAATACAGTCAAGGAAAAAGACTTGGTTTTCCTATATAATTTAATAGCCCCCCAAAAAATAAGAATTAGTAAAAGGAATGACAGTATCTTGTAAAGAAATAAAATGGTGCTATAATCATAATTCCTTAAAGTTATAAGATGGGTGGTCTGCGGATCTAGTTGTGCCCCAATTATAATCCCAATACATTGATCATAGCTGTATTTTAATGTAATCCTTAAAATTGTCCATTTCAGTTGCCTTTATAAAAACCGCACTACATCAACCCCATATATAGAGCTTGTCCATAGAGTTTTATAGGGAATCAATTCAATTCTATAAATAACTGGGTATAAGATTTCATTCTTAATAAGCTTATTCTGCCCTTCGACATCTGATTTGGTTTAAAAAAAAATAGATTAAGATGTCTTTGGTAAGTCCAGATCTCTGCTATTACAAAGTCAAAGAAAACTACTTTTTTGAGAATTTGAGGTTGAATATTACACTGGTATCACACATTTAAGAAAAGAAGACCCCATCCTTCTTGATTCTTCTTCTTACTTCTTAATTGGCCATGGCATTAAGAGACTGCTTAGGTAGGAAAATCCTGTAAGTAAGCTGCCCCTACCTAAGCTGCTTAGGTAGGAAAATCCTGTAAGTACTAACTAGGATATATCTTCAATCTTCTTCAAACATTTATGTATAAGTACCACAGTGACTAAAATCCAACCCACAATTAATTGCTGAAGCTTTAAAAGTACGGTCATTTGCAATGCAGCAATTCCTTGATAATTATTTCCATCACTTTTCACGATACCTTTAATTTACTGACTAAATCTTAATGAAGGTTTTATTGCCAGTAACTTCATAATTTTCTTTGTCCAATTTGTACTAAGTCCTCTCACATATGGTATCCAAAACATATACCTAGAGTTATTCTCCAATTCATATAAAATTACAGAAAAGAAATCCTAAATAGTGGCAAAGCCTCTAAAACTCTGCAGTTGTTGTCAAACCTATTCCTTTTGAGTGAAGTGCAAAAGCACACAAGGCAGCTAAGTTAATATTACCATACTTTGATCACCTCTTGTTGGTTACTATGTGTTTTGTGTGAAATTTTCATAATACAATTGTGTAAAAGAAAGAACAAGGATTTGGGGTCTGATTGGCCTAGCTTGAATTGTGTGGTAGGCAAAAATCTAAGATGTCCCCAAGATTCCCACCCCTGCTGTTACACTCCCTAAATAATCCCCTTCACTTGTGCAGGACTTGTGAATATAATAGAATAATCACTTTGATAACTGCATTCTATTATATAAAACTCCATTGTAGCAGACTATAGAGGAATTATCGTGCTGACCTTGAAGAAGCAAACTACCATGTTGTGGAAACAGCCACACGGCAAGGAAAAAAGTGGGTAGCCTATAGGAACTGAAAACGCCCCCCTACTGACAACCAGCAAGTCTTACAACCATAGGAGCTAAATTCTGCCAACAACTAGTTATCTTAGAAGAGGACGCCAAACCTCAGATGAGATTGCAGCCCCAGTCACCACCTTGAGACCTGATGAGACCCTAAGCAAAGAACCCAGTCAACACATAACCACATTCCTCACCCACAGAAACTATGAGGTAATAAATTTGTGTTGTTTTACGCCACTAAGTTTATGGTTCTTTCTTATGCAGCAATAGAAAACGAATACAAGTCACATGCCCATTCCTTGGCCAGAGGAGGGTGGGATATCTTGATTGACAGATAAAGTAAAGTTTCATCCAATGGCAGAGGGGTGGTGCCCCTTAAGTACAATTAAGGTGTCAGTATCAGTTGGGAGGATAGATATTGGAATAAAGAACAAAAATTACCCATCACAACACATTCGTTATCTGACATATGCCTTCAACATTCAACTCGTGACTCTTCCCTACTGGAGGCATTGTCTACTGCCATCTACACGTCTCAATTTATATGCCATTGTGCCAGAGACTAACAAATAATACATGAGGGCAACAAAATGAGTGAGAACACTAAGCTAATATTACAAGTTATACCCCTGTCTGCCAATACACTCATGTGTCACTTAATGATATGTTCTGAAAAATCCATCCTTAGATGATTTCATCATTGCGCAAACATTATAGAGTGCACTTACACTAACCTAGATGGTATGGACTACCACACACTTAGTCTATATAATACAGCCCATGGTGTCCCCAACTGGTACCGGTCCGTGGCCTGTTAGGAACCGGGCCACACAGCAGGAGGTGAGCGGGTGAGAGAGTAAAGCTTCATCTGTATTTACAGCCATTCCCCATTGCTCACATTACCGCCTGAGCTCCACCTCCTGTCAGATCAGCATTAGATTCTCATAGGAGCATGAACCCTACTGTAAAGTGCACAACCTACTGTGATGTAGGTTGTGTGTTCCTTATGAGAATCTAATGCCTGATGATCTGTCACTGCCTCCCATCACCCCCAGATGGGACTGTCTAGTTACAGGAAAACAAGCTCAGGGCTCCCACTGATTCTACATTATGGTGAGCTGTGTATTTCATTATATATTACAATGTAATAATAATAGAAATAAAGTGCACAATAAATGTAATGTGCTTAAATCATCCCAAAACCATCCCGTGGAAAATTATCTTCCACAAAACTGGTCTCTGGTACCAAAAAGGTTAGCGACCACTGGTGTAGCCTGTTGCTCCTAGACTACAAACCTGTACAACATATTCAGTAGGCAACTGTAACACAATAGTGTTTGTGTATATAAACATATCTATCTAAACACAGAAAAGATACAGTGAAAATACAGTATTAAAGTTTTATGGGACTGCTGCTATATATGTGGTCCAGCATTGACCCAAATGTCGTTATGAGGCACATGACTGTAATTAGCTATGTGAACTTGGGCAAGCTATTCATGGGCCACGGTTTCCTGCCTGTAGATGAAGAGATTGGACTAACTTTAATGGTTCTTCCAGCATTAAACTTCTATGATTTTATAAAATGCTCCCAAAACCATCAAAATAATTTAAAATAAATTTCTGATTTGCTATAAAAGAACAAAGAAATGCCATACTGCTCCCAATCACATGCCCTGTTCCTCCCAGTATTCTGTCTGCCTCTGAACATGGCACCAAGAAAGGTTTTCTGAGAAAGCCAAAACATATTTGCCTTCCACACCCAAATTAGCTTAATTGAAACCGCCACATAAAAGAACAGAAACACGAGCCGGGCGCGGTGGTTCACGCCTGTGATCTCAGCACTTTGGGAGGCCGAGGCGGGCAGATCACAAGGTCAGGAGATCGAGACCATCCTGGCTAACACAGTGAAACCCCATCTCTACCAAAAATACAAAAAATTACCCAGGCGTGGTGGCAGGTGCCTGTAGTCCCAGCTACTCGGGAGGCTGAGACAGGAGAATAGCATGAACCCACGAGGCGGAGCTTGCAGTGAGCCGAGATCGCACCACTGCACTCTAGCCTGGGCGACAGAGCAAGACTCCGTCAAAAAAAAAAAAAAGAACAGAAACAGGGAGTGGCAGGGAGGAGATCATCAGGATTACCACTGGACCTTTACCAACTGAAATTTGCATATGGTTGCAAAACAATGTTTTATGATATTATTGTCACGAATTAGGAACATATGAATTTTACTTCTGTATTCCTAACTTGCCGCTCACTGCATTAAATGACAATGCTAAAGACCTAAGGTTGGAGCCAAAAGAACTCATTTGGATTTGGAAATTCACACTTTTGGGGGCGGGGGGAATCAACAATTTTGATCTCGGCTCATTCTAGCACTATGATAAATCAGCCAAAAAAAAAAAAAAAAAAGATTATTTCACTGTTTTAAAAGCCTACATTAACTCAAACAAGCTAAAAGTTAAATGTTAAATATAGGTATTTCCCTGGAAATGTTGCAAAGACATTTTAATCACAACTGTTCTCACAAAATACACAATAACTTTATAATCGATCATTTTCCCCATTGTCTTGCTTTCCCCTCCCCCCCCCAAAAAAAAAAAAGCCCTCTCAAAGTAAAAACTTTGAGCAATGTTAACCATAATCAATTCCCATTACTGTCAAGCTTTTAAGCGAGTGAAGAGGATTCTTTAAAGGGGAAGGGAAGGTTACAGAAGAAAAGGAACTTCCAGTAAACATTATCAACATTCAACTGCACAGAAGGAAAGATAAAAAGGGCTTCAAGATCAAAATACAACGAGTAAAATTAGGTAAGGTTAAATTCTAAGTTATCTCAGGGTATAGGTAAGGGAGGAGACCACCCCTCATATTGTCTCATGCCCAATTTCTGCCTCCAAAGAAAGAAGAAGTAAAAACTAAAAGGCAGAAATGAAATCCACAGGCAGACAGCCCGGCGCCACACCCTGGCCCTGGTAGTTAAAGATCGACCCCTGACCTAATCAGTTATGTTATCTACAGATTAGGGACATTGTATAGAAAAGCACTATCCTATTCTGTTCCATTCTAATTACCGGTGCATGCAGCCCCCAGTCACGTACTCCCTGCTTGCCCAATTGATCACGACCCTCTCACGCGGACCCCCTTAGAGTTGTAAGCCCTTAAGTGGGACAGGAATTGCTTACTCGGGGAGCTCGGTTTTTCAGACGTTAAGTCTTGCCGATGCTCCCAGCCAAATAAAGCCCTTCCTTCTTTAACTGGGTGTCTAAGGAATTTTGTCTGCAGCTAGTCCTGCTACGTAGGTACAATCTAAGGACAAGATTTAAAAAACAAAAATGTAGTTCTTGGACAATATCTATTGGAAAAAGTGCAAGTGAATTTTGTGTTTACGATAAAATTCATGCCTGGCAATGTCGGGAATTACTTTGTTCCCATGCAGTATTCATAGAGAAAATGGGATCCCTCCTGTAGCTCTGCCAAAATTTAAAAAAAAAAAAAAATTCCTAAAAGAACAATCTCAGACAAAATTTATCCTTACAAGTCTCAAATATTCTGCTCTCTTCCACAATTAAATGGGTGTAGACACTCAGCACCATAATTTGGTTTCGAGAAATGGTATGGAAGGTCTCAAGAAAAGTTACACACCTTATCAAGTGGAGTCACAACATAGAGGCTTCCAAAGGTCGAGTTGCCTTCCTGCCTTATTATGAAATGTACCATTATGAGAAGGGCAGTGGGGTTTCCATGAACACTCCTAGAAACTTCAACTAGTAAAAGGCCTTCTGTTACTTTTCTCAAATTGCCCATCGACAGAAGTTGGCGCTTCTGTGGCGCTACGTGACAAGGGCTGCGCATGCGCTCTGGGATCAGCCAGGCCCACCCGCGGCACAACCCCAGGCCTCAGTGCCGTCAGGTGGGCTAAGACAGAACAGACCTCGGTTCTCAGGGCTTTAACGAAATAACGCGGGTAAAGCACCTAGGGCAGAAGCCACACAGAACACCAGAAGGCATTAATGGCATTTAAAGGTATTGAATGCAGACTAATGCGCAGAACTTGGTTCTCAGACCACGTCCGCGGCCACCCCTCTCCTGAGAGAGCAGAGAGCACACTTGCAGCCTGACATCTCCCAGTTGAGCTCGGCAATGAAGGGATCACTGGGGATTTAAAAAATGGGAGACGGCTGCTTGGGCAGAAGCCCGAGGGGGCGGGCGGGGGGGGGGAAGGGACGAGCCCACAGGCAGCATCCCGACACCTCACACTTCCTGCCTCAATGCACAGAAGAAAGTGTTCTGAAGGCGACGCCCCCAGTCTTGGCGGGAAACGCCGCGGAAGACGCTTCTCTCGCAGAAATGCCAAATTTTCGGGAGCGCGGGCTCGCAGCACGTAACAGAACAGATCTTTTTGTTTCACGGCCCTCTCGTAGACCTAATAAGCGCGAGGGCGAAAACCAGGTCAGCGACCAGAAGCCAGGCAAGGTTGCGATTTTCGGAGCACAGCGAAGGGGAGAGTTTCTAAGTTCTGAATGTACCTCTATTTAGGGTGGTTTCTATTATTTCTTCGCGTCTACCCTGTAGTTGCCGCACCCTGAGCCCTCAGCCCCGCCGCTTCGCACGGAGCGGAGCTCAGAGGGTGCGCGCTCCGCCCTTTCGCGGGCCTGGCATGAGCGCAGTGGTTGTTACACTAAAGTGTCTCCGCCTGTCGAATATTCTCGTGGCAGCGATGGCCGAGTGGTTAAGGCGTTGGACTTGAAATCCAATGGGGTCTCCCCGCGCAGGTTCGAACCCTGCTCGCTGCGGAAGCGGGTGCTCTTATTTTTTCTATTTTTTTAAATAAACACCTTCAAATGAAAACTTTTACTCTTCTCTGTATTTTCAATGCCTGTCAGCTAAATGGCGCGCCTACGGAGTGGTTTTATACGCTGTAGAAAAGCGAATAAATGTCAGTGCTGCAAACATGTACTGTTTACACCAAGAGGAAAATCCTTCCACTGTCCTAAAAGGCAAGGTAACTCTTCGTGCTCCATGAGAAGAGCAAGGTGGCAAAATAGAAATAAAATGAATATAAATATTGACGCAAGTTTTCGGGCTATCACAGCCTGAGCAAGCTATCAGCTCACTAAAACTAAGAAAAAGCTATGCCACCTTCCCTTCCATCCCAGAATCACTTCCGACGGTTTCCAGACCACATCCAAAAGTGGTATGAAATGGGAAATAATAAAAGCAATTTTAAAGTTCTACTTATAAAGCATCTTAGATACATCCACATAATGGAACACTATGCATGTAAGCATTAAAATGATGTTAATGGCCGGGCGCGGTGGCTCACGCTTGTAATCCCAGCACTTTGGGAGGCCGAGGCGGGCGGATCACGAGGTCATGAGATCGAGACCATCCTGGCTAACACGGTGAAACCCCGTCTCTACTAAAAATACAAAAAAATTAGCCGGGCGTGATGGCGGGCGCCTGTAGTCCCAGCTACTCAGGAGGCTGAGGCAGGAGAATGGCGTGAACCCGGGAGGCGGAGCTTGCAGTGAGCCGAGATTGCGCCACTGCACTTCCACCTGGGCCACAGAGCGAGACTCCGTCTCAAAAAAAAAAAAAAAAAAAAAATGATGTTAATGATGTGTGAGGGCCTTCCCAATGCATTGCCAAATGCAAAAAGGACAGATCAAAAAACAGCACATCATACTATGATCATATTTTTGTTAAGCAACTCATGTATATACCCATCTATGTGGGAAGAATGGGAGAGAAAGAGAGAGATGGAGAATGAATGGAGGCTGGAAAGAAATACACCAAAGTGTTAGCAGGGATTATTATCCCTGGGTGGTGTGATTTGGGAAGATTTTTATTTTCTTAAATAATTTTTTCCTTAACTGGGTTTTCTAAAATTTGTACATGGACCCAGTATTATGTTTTAAATAAGAAAATTGTGAGGTTAGTCTTTGGGACCCTACACATCCCCTGTCTGCTACCTTTAACCCACTTTCACCATATCTCTCCCACCCCATGTTTCCCAGGTGCTCTTATGGACATACCTGATACCTCAAGGCTAGGGATAGTTTTCTGTGGTATCTACGTGGATTCCACGCACACAGCCCCATCCTATTTGAGACTTGGCTGAACACACACACTCACCACATTTACATTTTCAATCCATCCTCTCTGCCCAATCCCCTCCCTTTCTGCCCCCATTTAAGTCACTTACAAGCAGCTGCATTAGTTTCCTAACTGGTCACCTTTCCTTTATCAGTCAGGATTACATTCAGCTGCAAATAACAGCAAATCCAATTCTAGCGGCTTAAACTCATAGGGATTTGTCTCAAAAAACCTGGGAGATTAATACCGTTCCTGTGTCCAAGAGAATGAAATAGTGTATAACTTACGTGTTTCCATTTAAAAATTTTAAAAAAATACTTGACACTATAGTAAAATGTCAATACTGGCCGGGCGCAGTGGCTCATGCCTGTAATCCCAGCACTTTGGGAGGCCAAGGCGGGTGGATCACCTGAGGTCAGGAGTTCGAGACCAGCCTGGCCCCATGGTGAAAACCCCATTTCTACTAAAAATATGAAAACTAGCTGGGCGTGGGGACAGGGACCAGCAATCCCAGCTACTCAGGAGGCTGAGGCAGAGGAATCGCTTGAACCGGGAGGCGGAGGTTGCGGTGAGCCGAGATCGTGCCACTGCACTCCAGCTTGGGCAACAAGAGTGAAACTCCATCCCAAAAAAAAAAAAAAAAAAAAAGTTAATCCAAGAAGAGATATCCAAAATCCAAAACTATAAATTAAAACATTCCATCAAAAAGGCAAATTAATGATCAATTTTATTTCTAAATGGTACTCTCCAAGCTGTAAAGGTAGCTTCGTGAAATCATATCTTACTGTTTCAAGAAATTTTTTCAAATAAATAATCACTTGTCACCATTTTTTAAAAAAGAAAGAAAGAACAAAGAAATCTGGGCATAGGAAATTCTCAGATGGAACAGGAAACAGGCCTCTTTCCATCTTTCTGCTCTGCCATTTTTAATATGCATATACAGCTTTTCATCTCATAGTCCCAATATGGTTGCTATACCTTCAGACCTTACACATGCATTCAGCCAAGAAGGGGAGAGACAAGAACCCTCTTTTATATCTCATTTACCCAAACTATGTATCATGGCTATCATTAGCTAGAAGGAATCTTGAGGAAGTTTAGCTGGGTATATTGCTCCCCAAATTGAAATTGGGAAGGAAGAAAATTAGATGGTACTAAGTGAAAATCAGTTACGTCTACCACAGTCCTATAACAGGAAAGTCAAAGCTTATAGACATTGGGCTTTCAAGACAAGTCCCCTGCCTTCCTTTCTGGCCTTCCCACCCTTCTCCTCCTTCTCCTTTGGAGTTATTGGAAGACCTCCCAGTGCTGCATGCTGGCTCATACCTTTGGGCCTTTTTAACTGTTCACATGCAACTACCTGGAATATCTTCACCCTTGTCCCCTCACTAGAGGAAGAGGGCTACCTAGCATTTGAAATCCCTTCTTATTTAGGGCACTTGCTTTCCTTTTGAACCTAGGTGTGAGGCTGTAATCCACTCCCAACCCCACTCCCAGCATAGAAGCTGAAAAAGTCACATACTTGCTGTCTCAGCCTCCCTTGCAGCTGAGGAGGCAGCATGTGACCTAGACTCGGCCAATCAGATGTGCCCATCTCCAACTTTCAATCAAGAGCTATTATTAATAATACAAAAAGCAGGTAGGATAGAAATCCACCCTTGCAGTGGGCAGAGGCAACAATGGCACTCACAGGGATTGCCAGGGCCAGAGCTGCAACTGGAGTTTACAGCTGTTCAGCAACGGAACAGTAGGGTCTGCACGAGACTAATTTTGTGGCGTCATTCTGCTGTGATCTTGGACTCTGCCTACCCTAACTTACTCCTGTTCTACTTTCCAAAAGTGATTTTGCAGCCTTCTTGGCAATTCTACAAACTATTCAGTATCCTTCCAGTAAGTTCCTATGAGTTTCTGCTTAAATCAGCCCCATTCAAAAAAAAATTTTTTTTGGCTTCCAAAAGTTATAGTATAACCCCCTCTCACCCCATCATTTTCTGCTAAGAAAACTCATATTCTTTCAAGTCTCACTTCTTAGGGAAAGCATTCCTGCAAAATCTCCCAGGCTGATTCAGAAGCCACCCCTTAGGCAGGATGCGGTGGCTCACACCTGTAATCCGAGCACTTTGGGAGGCGGAGGTGGGCGGATCAGCTGAGGTCAGGAGTTCAAGACAAGCCTGGCAAACATGGCAAAACCCTGTCTCTACTAAAAATACAAAAATTAGCTGAGCGTAGTGGTGCACACCTGTAGTCCCAGCTACTCGGGAGGCTGAGGTAGGAAAATCGCTTGAACCCAGGAGGTGGAGGTTGCAGTGAGCCCAGCATTGCACTGCAGCCTGGGGGACAGAGCAAGACTCCATCTCCAAATAAATAAATAAATAAATAAAGCCACCCTATTTTTTATATTTTTTTCTTTTTCTTTTTCTTTCTTTTTTTTTTTTTTTCTGAGACAGGGCCTTGCTCTGGTCACCCAGACTGGAGTGCAGTGGCAATCACAGCTCACTGCAGCCTCAGCCTCGGACTTAATTGGTCCTCCCACCTCATCCTCCTGAGTAGTTTGGACTGCAGGTGCACACCACCATGCCTAGCTAAATTTTTTTTATTATTTTTTTGTAGAGACAGGGTCTCACTATGTTGCCCAGGCTGGTCTCAAATTCCTGGCTCAAGGGATCCTCCCATCTCAGCCTCCCAAAGTGCTGGGATTACAGTCCTGAGCTACAGTGCTTAGCCTCCAGAAACCCCTTTAATTCTCCCATTTCCTATTATAGCAAGGCTCACATTGCACTATTTCTGCCTGTTTGTCTTTCTTACCACTAAATGGTAAACTCCCTGAGGATGTGTAAAGGGATCATATCTCTCATTTTTGTGCCCCTACATACCACAGAAAAGGGACTCAAATTTTTGATGAAGAAATGAATGAATATTCATTTCTTCATCAAAGAAGAAATGCTGAAGTATGGACGTCAGCACATGTCCAAACTTCACCCCTAGAATGCCCAAAAAAAGTGGGAGAGAAAGGAGGGGCTTAACATGCTGTTCTCCTTTTGAAGGTCACTAATCTTTGCCTTAGTATAATTTATTGTAATATTGAGTATCCCCCACCTAGAATAGTTTTAATATAAAAGAGGGCAGAGGACAACAGCCTATGTACCCTTCCTTCCCTTTCCATATTTTTCCTTACCTTTTCTTCCCATTCTTTGTCTTCTAGCACTGAAAGGGCAGACAGAACCAGGAGGCAAGTACATACAGACCTCTGCCTCCATGGGTCACCCCCACCTTTGTCTCCTTGAGAATGTTCACTTTCCAACTGGCCTCCATGCAACTCGAGGTTTAGCTCTCTCCATGATGAGCAAAGAAAAATCCATGGAAGGGGTGGGGGTGGATGTGGAAGAGGTTCTGCAGTGCACTCCTCTTCTCAGAGGAAACCATTTCAACTCCTCTTTCCACATTTCTCTTCTCCAGAGTTCTCTTATCCACTACCAACCCTCCTGTGCATCCCCTCGAGCCAGCTTTTTCTGACCCAACCTCACATGATGCACTGTCTTGAGGATTTTCTCTCAAGACCCCAGCTTTTTCATTCTTTTATGTTACACAGCAATTCAGCCTTGTCCCTGTGCCTCAACATGCCTGGCAATCAGACCCCTCTTCGAAGGCAGAGGAAGTTATAATATCAAGGTCCCCTTCTCCCAAATGTTTTTCTACCTACTTCCTTTAGTAGAAATTAGGTCCTGCAACTTTCTGATCAGTGTTCAAAGGTTTTAAACATAAATAGACTGAAGTGAATTTTTTGCAAATTGTAATCAGTTAATCTGTAGAAATGCTAAATTTACAATTATCCTTCCCTTCTAAATCCAGGTCCCAAATCCATTCCAGTTTGTGGCATTTCCAGCCATGGAGCAGGATACACCCACTTGGAATGATCCTGATATTTCCCTATTCCTTAACCCATTTCCTATTCAACCCAAGTGCCATTGAGTTTGCCCCTAAATATGCTGAGAATCAACTTTGTTCCATATTTACTACCACCACCCAGTCCAAATCAACACTACCTCTCATCTCAACTACTTCTCGGCCTCTTAATTATCTCCTCCAATCCACTCTTCCTCCCCTCCAATCTGTTCTCCATAAAATAAATTTTTCTTTTAAAATGCACATTTGGTCTTATAACCTTCCTCCTGAGAACTCTTCTGGGGATTTCCATGTGCTTTTACAATAAAGACTAGAATCACTAGCATGACCCCATAGCTCTCCATGATCCTGCATGGCATAATTACCGGGCCTCTCCCTGTCATTCTCTAGCCAAATGTACTTTCTTTTCTTTTAGTTCCTTGAAAAGACCAAACTCTTTCCCACCTTAGGAATTCTGTACATGTTCCAATGTCTCCCTCCCCATCAAACTGATCAGTCCTCCTTCTTATGTAATTTCATACCATTTTACTCTTTTTCTTCACAACACATCATGCTTTGTGATATTTTAGTGTGAAATATTTGCTTAATGTCTCTGTGTGTGTGTACACGTGTGTGTAAAACCACAAAATCCCCTTATCTGCTATTTAATGGGCCTTCAATAAGTAATATTGTTGAGTGAATTTTGTGATTGTGAGGATCAGAAAGCAAGAGGTCTCAGAACACCTGAAGGGGTGGGAAGCAGAGGGTAAACTGTTTTCCTGCAGCTTTGGGGATGAATCAAAACTGTGCCTGAAGAGATTTGTGCCCTGAGTGCATAGATCTGCAGGAATATTGCAGCTCAACCATTTGATATATTGCACCACTGTTTAGCATGATTTATGAAGCTGTTGTTCTGTTTTAACTCAACATGTTCATTGTAAAGGAGTTTCATCCTCAGAGGTTTCATTAATGGAGGCATTGTTGTGTAGTGAGGCAGTAGAAAAAGGAAGTGAGAGATAGGGCTGGCCTACAACCTGTGTAAAGCTTGCATTTCAAGTCCCCTCTGGAGGGAATGCCCATTTCTGGAGTCTTGTTTCCCAATATGCCCATGTCCCCAAAAACATCTGGTCTCAGGCTCTTTCTACATACTAGAGTGCAAACAACTAGTAATAATACCTAAGTCTTAGCTCCTGCAGGGGTGAGAGAGACAGAGGCTCTGACACTGGAATTTTCAGGTAAAACAGATATCCTGTTCTATCTGAAGCACTGATGAAGAAAACATAGAGCTTTCAGCTCTTGTTCCAATGACTAGTTTCTTTCCCAATCTGCATGAAGTTGGTCAGTCAAGCTCACCCAGGCTCATAGACTAGAAGCCCCAGGAAATGAATTATTTCTGTTTCCTTCCCACCATCTCACACACATGCTCTTAAAATATCCATTCCCTTCCCTTGCCTCGGATCCTGGGTCCTGAGACAGGCTCTCACAGCCCAGAGAGTGGTTGTGATGGACTTAGTCTTACCTCAGCTGCTTTGTCTGGTGCTGGGCTGCCAAGGGAGGCATGCATGAGCAAGGCCAGTTCTCCATTCATATCTCAGACTATTTAGAAGAATCCAGTGACAGAGGACGTGGCCTGTGGGCTTTATGCTTGTGATGCTTTCTGCTGCTTGAGGTCGGGGTGGAGAAGAGGCTAGAGCTGACAAGCTTCTCACTCAGGGGCTGAGGTGGGGCACAGCTCCTGTCTGCTGGACTCATAAATCTCCTGGTCCCCACCCCAGGGATCTCAGAGCCCCCTTTGTTCTTTTAATTTTTATTCTAATAAAACCTCCTACATAACATAGGTCTACAAAGACTCTTGGGGAATATATTTCCCTCCCAAACATATTCATTTGAGACACAATTATCAAAACATTTGTTCAGGCCAGGCGCAGTGGGTTCCACCTGTAATCCCAGCAGTTTGGGAGGCCAAGGCAGGCAGATCACTTGAGGTCAGGAGTTTGAGACCAGCCTGGCCAACACGGTGAAACCCCGTCTCTACTAAAAACACAAAAACTATCTGGACATGGTGTCGCATGCCTATAATCCCAGCTACTCGGAAGCTGAAGCCAGAGAATCTCTTAAACCTGGGCAGTGGAGGTTGTAGTGAGCCAAGATTGTGCCACTGCACTCCAGCCTGGGCAACAGAGCAAGACTCAGTCTCAAAAAAAAAAAATTGTTCAGCACACGAACTTTAGACACATTTTATCTGACACCACAAGTCATTCCAAGAGATGAATATACACAGTATCCCTCTGAAAGCTACTTGTCTTCCAGATGTAAAGACATCTGTCTCCATCATTGGAGACAGAATGCTAGTGTTTTGAAATAACCTGTGCTTAGGATGTTGGAGCACAGAAATGCTGCACTTAATTTTGGTACCCACCTCTAGTGCAGGGATTAGTTAGCAACTTTTTCTACAGGTCAGCCAGTAAATATTTTAGGTGTTGCAGGCCATATGGTTTCTGTTGCAACTACTCAACTCTGCCTGTGTATCACAAAAGCAGCCATAGATAATCTGTAAACAAATGAGTGTGACTGTGTTCCAATAAAACTTTATTTACAAAAACAGTGGGCTGGATTTGGCCTGTGGCTATAGTTTATTTCTGCTCTAGAGGACTCTCCTCACTATAATAAAAAAAGTTCTTCCCAGGTTATCACTGTGAAGATATCATTAAGTGGGACACTGTCAAGAGGCTGGTTGACGTTTCACTAGTTCTTCCTGGTTTATACACATCCAAGAAATCTCATTATTTCCATTAACACAAAGATACCAAGAAAGGACATGAATGTTTTTTAAGATCATTTTATCTCAGTACATCAGAATGGCCCAAATCCTTCCAGAATCCTCTCATGTACACTGGGATTGTCTGCTCCACTTGACAGCAGATGGGGTGCAGGTCCTGGAAATGCTTACCTAGTTTCTCCTTTCTCTGTAGTTAGTACTGTATCTGCTGTTGTAAACAAAGCTTTTCAGCCCTTGAGCATGTTAAGATGTAACCTGAAACCAGGTTTGCAAGTTTATTTGTGAAGTAATTTGAAGGAATAGGAAGAATTTGAAGGAATAGGAAAAACAGAGACTTTGAAGTCAGAGCAACCAAGCATCAAATATAGGCTCCTTCCCTTTCTTGCTATGTAACTTTGGGCAGTTTGCATAACCTCTCTGAGCCTTAATTTCCTTATCCACTAAGTGGTAATAATAATTACTTCTACCTCATGGCATTGTCAGCAGTCACTGCCATTTTCTAAGTTCTAACCACAGGTCAGGCACTGTGATGAGTGTTCATTCATTTAACATCCAAAACAGACCACAGCTAGTTTATAGATGAGGAAGTGAAGATGAGATCACATGCTGGTATTCTCTTCCCCTTTTCACCAGAATGGGTCCCTCATAGAGGTATCTGCAACCAACTCAAGGGAGCCACTGGACAGGGATAAAAAAAGGCCATTTGACTCATGTTATTGAAGGAGTGGAATGTTCTTTGCTCTTTTGTCTCTCTGAGCTGGATAAAGGGAGGAACAAGTTCCCTGGGAGTTGATGTACAAAGCTGCCCAGAGTTGACTCTAGCTGAGGATGTGTTTGGGACTGCATGAGGCCATCTCTGAGAGGCTAACAGCAGCTGCTCTGACATTCTCTCTGATCTAGGCCTTTTTTTTTTTTTTTTTTTTGGTGCCTATTATAGCTCATGATTGGTTTTACAATATAATTCCCCAGCCTGTGTAACATTCATCATTCCAGATTCAGCTCTGAACACTTTTTAAAAAATATATATCAACTGCATGATATGTGTCAATGACCCCTGAATATGAGATATTCTATCCTTGAAAGGAAAGACTTGGAGGAGCCTTCTCTCCTGGCATCCCTGGACTGCGTAAGGCTGTTTAGTCACCATCACCATTGCCTCTTTTTTTTTTTTTTTTTGTGAGAAGGAGTTTTGCACTTGGTGCCCAGGCTGGAGTGCGGTGGCGCAAACTCTGCCTCCCAGGTTCGAGCAATTCTTCTGCCTCAGCCTCCCAAGTAGCTGGGATTACAGGCATGCACCACCACGCCCGGCTAATTTTGTATTTTTAGTAGAGACAGGTTTTCACCATGTTGGCCAGGCTGGTCTCGAACTCCTGAACTCAGGTGATCTGCCTGTCTCGTTCTCCAAAAGTGCTGGGATTATAGGCGTGAGCCACCATGCCCAACCACCATGGCCTCTTTCTAGACACCGTTCTGACCACCACTCTCTCCTGCCCGCAGACGTCCAGTAGGTGGCTGGCAGAGTAAAGGCCAAGCTTCCCAGTTTCATTCACAAGGCCCTTCATAATTTGGCCCTAACATCTTTTCAACTTTGTCTCATACTACTGCCCAGCATGACTCCATAAGACAAGTTAGGCTGCCTTACACACTCCCACAGAACAGAATAGCAATTTCTGGTCCTTTCACATATTGACATCCTTGGCTAGAAACTTCTCCAGTCCTTAATGGTTTCCTGGAACATACACACTCCTCAACATGCACACACACACACACACACACACTCCACACACATGCACACACATAGATTTAAGAACATACACACAAATAAATTTAAATATATATAAGCAATAACTAATTTATGTTTGGTCTCATTTTCAACAAATACTCCAAGGCCGGCCATGGTAGCTCATGCCTGTAATCCTAGCACTTTGGGAGGCTGAAGCAGGCGGGTGGCTTGAGGTCAGGAGTTCGAGACCAGTCTGGCCAACATGATGAAACCCCATCTCTACTAAAAACACAAAAATTAGCCGGGCGTGGTGGCGGGCACCTGTAGTCCCAGCTACTTGGGAGGCTGAGGCAGGAGAATCACTTGAACCACGGGGGGCAGCGGTTGCAGTGAGCCAAGATCACGCCACTGTTCTCCAGCCTGGGCGATGGAGCGAGGCCGTGTCTCAAAAAAATTAAAAAAGAAAAAGAAATACTCCAGAAAAGCTAGGTATACTAGAAAAACAGTCAAGAATTAAAACACCAAGAATCTTATTTCATGGCAAGACAAAGCAGTGATTTTTGTTATTAAATAATATTAATTTGCTTATTGAATAGGTAATATATTCTCATGGTTCAAAAATCACAGTGGCTCCCTCTCACCCCTGTCCTCCTTCCACCGAGGTCCCCTTCCCAAAGGCCATCAGTTATCAGTTTCTCACTTTTTATTTCAATGTATTCTTTATGCACATACAAGAACATACATATTGTACACAAATGTTAGCATATTATTCAAAATGTTCTGAACCCTGGTTTTGTTATTTAAAGGTATACACTATCTTTCTGTATGAAGAGTTGGCTCATTAAAAGTGGCCTCTGCTAACTCATATGCCAGCTGCAGGTAGAGCTCACTGCCTCAGAATAAATAGATCATTATTTATTTAACCAAATCCCTATTGAAGACCATTAAAGTTGTTTCTAATCTTTTGATTTCCCAAAAACAAATGCTTACTAAAAAAAAAAAAAAAAAACTCTTGTATATGTGAGATTTTCTAAAGCAGGAATCTTAACCCAAGTCATCCAGAATTAGAAGGGGTCAGCCCTTTGTTCAGGTATCAGGAATTGGGCACAAGAAATCACTACAGTCCAGCAGTCCTAGAAAAACAGCCTACGCAAATACCCTAGAAAAAGGAAGCACACTCACTCCCACCTCAGTCTATTCCATTTCCTGGGAAAAGAAAGAGCCGGAAGGAAAAGTATTCCTTTACCTTATGACTTCTCAAATGAGTCAATTCTTAGAAACTGTTCCTTTCTTTACTATTTCTGTCTCCTCTCCCTTCTCCTTAGCTCCATAAGCTCCCCAGAAAGACTGGACTTCCTGGAATTTTTTACCAACAATTCAAGATGCTCCAGTCATAATTTCTGTGACCATAGCCTCTGCTAACTCAAATACCTTCTGGGTGTAACACTCACTGCCTCTGGCTCAGAAGAGGGACAGATAATGACTGGAGTTACAGAGAAAGTAGGTCTGGAGCCTTCCCTGCAGAGTAGCAAGGGTCATTTATAAAGCAAGAGAGGGGTGGGAGATCCATGAGACCCACTCTCAGTTCCTGCTTCTGCTTGCAGAACCTTTCAGGGGTGAGATGTATAACTATGAATTTTTTTCAATACCTACATGTATATCATGACACAATCCCAACTCCTTTGCAAGACCGACTTGAAGGTACATTCATTCTGGAAACCAATTTATTTCTAAAATGCAGTCAAAAAGGCTCAGAGATGCTGTTATCTACTGCTTCTCCTATTCCTGCTTTTGCCACAAAAATTAGCCAATATATCGTTCAAATCTACTTGTGACTATTTGATTTTGGTTTACATTCATCCAGGCTTGAAAAATGACCAGGGCTGAGGCATATTGATGCCTCCTGAGCCACTTATTTCTAGCACATATTAATACATCGGCAATACCTTCAAGTAGTATGTCTTTCTGAATTATTCTTTGGGTTTTTTTTTCTCCCACTGCTTTTAAAGCTTCTTTTTAAAAAATAACACTCAAACCATTTTTCTCAAGATTGTCTCTATAAAACATCCAACCTGTTACCGGCTAGGCTGTATCTTCACATCTCAGTTTTTTAGTTGCTCTTTTTTACTCTCTATTATTATTACTACTACATTTGAGGATTTCTCAGTGGGGGTAATGTTTGGCTACTGGGGAAATAGGGAGGTTTTCATCTTTCCAGCTAAAATCTACCACAAAGCTGTAACATTTTCTTGTCATGACTCTTCGGGCTGCAATGTCACAGGTTCTGGTGGATGCTGTCTACATTTTTTAAAATATAAAAGTATCAGACTTCTTATATGAGTCAGGGCCTCAGCAGGAAACAGAAAGCACTGTCAATTTAGAACAATTCTATTCAGATTTAATAAAAAGACTACAAAGGTATAGGGAGAGTATAAAGAAACCACAAGGGACACTGAGCTGCCATCACCCCTAAGAAGGGAGAGGGCAGCCACCAGATTCCTGAAGGAGAAAGTTCTGAGGCTAGGGCTGCCCCTGAGGAAGAATAAATATATACTCCTAAATTGCATTGCTAAAGAGGACACAACCAGGGCAAGGTGATCCTTCTGGGAGGGAGCTGGGGTGGTAATATACCACCTCACTCATCTCCCTTCTTCTGCTCCCCAGTTAGGCCTCCCTGTTGGCCAAACGCAACTGCTCAGCCTCTGTGTCTGAGAACAGGACACGGAGTGGGTCTGGAAAGACAAACAGGAGATAGCTGGGACTCGGACTTACAAAAAACCTGGGAAACAGAGAAAATAATCATCCGTAATCCAGCACCTTAACACATTGATCTTTCCTATATTTATATTGTCTAATATATGGTTACATTAAAAATTAAATTATTAGGGGGATGGTGGCATGTGCTTATAGTCCCAGCTACTCAGGAGGCTAAGGCAGGAGGCTGATGTGGGAGGATCACTGGCGTTCAGGAGTTTCAGTACAGCCTGGGTAACATAGCAAGACCCTGTCTCAAAAAAAAAAAAAAAAAATTGCCAAGGCTGGAGTGCAGTGGCACAATGACAGGTCACTGCATGCAGCCTTGAGCTCCTGGGCTCAAACCATCCTCCCACCTCAGCCTCCAGAGTAGCCGGAACTAAAGACATGCGTTACCATGCCCAGCTAATTTTTTTCTTTTTTGCATGGATGGGATCTTGCTATGTTGCCTAGGCTGATCTGTAACTCCTAAGTTCAAGTGATCCTCCTGCCTCTGCCTCACAAAGCACTGGGATTATAGGCATGAGCCATTGCCCCCAGCCCCCACCAAAAAAATTCTTAATTCTATATCTAATCATTTCAAAAAATAAGAATTACAAAATTACAAATTAAATCATTAAATCATTGACTATTTCAAACATACAGAGATGCACAAAAGATAACATCATATATTTTGTATTTTTCATTAAAGTTATGGACTTTTTGCTGCTCCTTTGTCTTCATAATCATGATTTTTTTTTTATTTTTCCTTTTTGGTTCTGTCTCTGGAGACATAATCATTGTTTTTAACAGCTCTATAGTAGACTACAAAGTAGCTGCATCAAATTTAAGAAATCAACTGTTGCACACTTAAACTCTTTTTTTCTTTGCATGTAATGTTGTTATGTGTATCTTTATGATACAAGCTTTTTTCCATAATTCGTGTCATTCCTTTAGCCCTAGATCTATAGTTCCAAGAATGCAAATATTAAGGCAGAGGATATGAACATGTTTATGGCTCTAAATATGTATTTCAAATTGCATTGCTAAAGAATTATACCCATGTTTAGGGCCACCAAGAATGTATAAGAAAACTGGAATCATGGAACCCTTGTCTACATTGAGTATTATCGCTTACAGCTTTTTTTCCCCTTTTTTATTTTTTGCTAATTTACTAGGCAAACACACTCAGTTTTGTTTAATTTGCTTTTCTTTGATTACTAGTTGCCACTAAATTGAATTTGCTATTCAATTTCTGGCTTTCTAACTTTCTACCAAATCAGTTATTAGGCCCTAAAACTGCAGCTGAAATTGATTCTTGGGAGCATCCTTACTGAAACAATTGAGCACCACAGTAGTAAGATAGTAATTTAAAAGGAAAGAGGCTAATAAATTTCAAGTTGAGGATATATAGTCTTAATATCTGCTTTTTGGAAAGTTTATAACTCTGTTAGATTTTAAGATTTATCTACCCCTTCCCCATTTTACCCAACTTGCCCCACATTCCAGCATTAAAAATAACTGATACAAAGCAAAATGCAACCTGAAAGATAACAGTAATTAATTCCCATCACTTTCTGCTCCTCATTGACAGTGTAATGGTTCAGAATCCACTTTGGGAGATATTAGGGGTAGCTAGGCTTGACTGACTGATTCTGAGATATATGTGTCTATTGTGGTCTAAACTTTCACTCCTCACTCTTTTCTTACCTTACAGGCTATTTGAGGAAGTATCTTCCTCGACCCACCAGGCTCCAAGGCTGTAGAAGGTTCTTCTTCATCAGAGATTCTCAAACATTAGAAGAATCACCTAAGAGAGCTTATTAAAAACACAATCCCTGGACCTCACTGTTGGAGATTCTGATTCAGTAGATGTGGGGTGAGCCTAAGAATCTACACTTTTTAAACAACTAAGATGCAGTGCTGTCCTGATCACACTTTGGGAAACTAGTATAGATCCTTGAAATAGAAAGCATATCTATACTGAGAATATTCGAGGTGGCAGGGGAAATGAGGCTGGGAGGAGGGAGAAGGGGAATATAGCCCAGCAACAGCTCCTTCTCAGCCCATTCTCCAAAAGTATCATTGTGGAAAAAACTGTAAGATCATGATTTGGTGGTAGAAAAGGTAATCAGTGTATAGAAACGTTTCTTTCTTTTTTTTTTTTTTTTGAGACAGGGTCTCACTTTGTCACCCAGGCTGGAGTGCAGTGGTGCACATCTGTAGTCCCAGCTACGAGGGAGGCTGAAGGGGGAGGATGGCTTGAACTCAGGAGGTTGAGGCTGAGGCTGCCGTGAGCCATGATCATGCCACTGCACTGTCTCACTCTGTTGCTCAGGCTGAGCGCGGTGGCGTGATCACGGCTCAATGCAACCTCAACCTCCTGGACCCAAGTGAACCTCCCACCTCAGCCTCCTGAGTAGCTGGGAATACAGGCATGCAACCATGCCTGGCTGATATTTTAATTTTTTTGTAGAGGTGGAGGGTCTCACTGTGTTGCCTAGCCTGGTCTTGAGCTCCTGGGCTCAAGCAATCCTCCCACCTCAGCCACCCAAAGTGCTGGGATTGCAGACATGAACCACCATGCCCAGACTGTGGCAATATTTTTGTATGCTAAGGATATGGTGGTCAACAAAACAGACATATCCCTACCTTGTTGAAGGCCACCATCTAGTGACAATTCATTATAACATCATTTAGTGATATTTAACATATTTTCAGTGTTGTATCACCTATTTCATAACATCCTAAAATGTTCATCTAAGCTTCCACATCAATCTTACTTCTGGCCACAATGCTTTCAGATAGCAAAAAGTTTCAGATTCTTGGCACACACATATTCCCTTTGGGAACAAAAGTATTTCTCTTCTGCACTGACAGCACTGGCCTGGGCAATTGCAGAATTGCTAGATTGTTTAAGATATCTTCAAGCCCCGCTAGGTTTTATTCATGAAATGTCTGCAGTGGACAACAATAATAGCAGACCACACCGTAGAGTTATAGAAACAACCAGATCTGGAGTCTTTTTGCACCATCACAGCTACTTGGAAATGCTTGCTAGGTGGAGTCTTCTGCTACTATTAGCCCAATGCTGCCATCTTGTGGCCATCTAAAGAAACGTGACCAGAGTTTACAGACGTGAAGATTTTTTTCTGGAGATCATGTAAATATTTTGTGGGGGAGGAGAAACCTTTACACTTCCTTATCATGTCCTCTATCAACTTTTCATCTAGGTAGAACCTACTTTGGGAAGCTTTGAAAGTAGAATAAAAAATTCTAAGCAGAGAAGCTTAGATCTTAGAAATCACCTAGTAAAGAGATGGCTGGGGGTTTTTCTATTTTATTTTACTTTTTTGAGACAGGGTCTTGCTCTGTTGCCCAGGCTGGAGTACAGTGGCGCAATCATAGCTCACTGCATCTCAGCCTCCTGAGTAGCTGGGACTTCAGGCACGTGCCACCACGCCTGGCTAATTTTTGTATTTTTTGTAGAGATGAAGTTTCATCATGTTGCCCAAGCTGGTGTCAAACTCCTGGGCTCAAGTGATCCGCCTGCCTCGGCCTCCCAAAGGGCTGGGCTTTTTGTAAGACAAGTTTGCCCAAATGCTAAAATCTTGATGTACACTCTGCTAAAATCACTATAATATCAGATTATACATTTATCATAGGGTAACTTTGCATCCTGAAATTCTTGTTTTTTCTGAAATGGAATCACTCCTAAGGAAAAATTTCATTCCATGCCTTCAAGAAACCAGCATGCATTTGTTTGAAGTGCTTCCCAGGCTCATTTTTCTCCAGGGCTTCAACTGTACATGCATATCTAGAGTGCTGATGTCTTCCCTTGAGCAAAGAAAAATCCTTCTTCCAAGTTCTTGTTAAACACCCATTGTACTGTGTCACTTTCTTGTTTCCTCTCTGAAACCAGTTGTAAAGTTTAACCCTCAGCACTAAAAAGCACAAAGTCTAACCTGGACAAGCACTTTAGTTGTCCTCAGCACAGTTCTGGGCATTGCAGCAAATGTATAACCAACGCCATAGCATGGATAGGGTGGAAGCCCTGGTGCTGGGAGTAAGGAGGGGGATGTCTCCGAGACTGATCTCCAAATAGGAATGTGGAAGGACAGTCCCTAGCAGAGCCCAGAGTAAAGAGTTAAAACAGATACACACAGATGTATGACTTCTTCTCTAGTCCTCTGAAAGAGAATTTTTACCAAATGTTTGCATAGATTTACCATAAATACAATGTGGTTATGTTGGCTACTTTCATTAAGCATCTGCTACATTACAAGGCCAGGTGCTCAGAGAGGAGATCCTGTGGTGAACAATACACTTCCTACCTCGGAGAGCTCCCAGGCTTGCCATAGCCACAGATGATAGCAGAGGACAAGACAGTGTGATGCACGCTAGAGCAGGTGCTGGCTGAAGGAGCCCCCAAGCCAGTGTAAGAGCAGTAAGGAAGGCTTCCTCATGTAACTCATCTCCCTCACTTTCCTGAGGAGAAAACAAGTCTTCTATATGTAACAGCTTGTCCACCATCTCCGAGTTAGAAAATGGCAGTGCTAGGACCAAAAACCAGGTCTCATGACCCCGAGAGGAACTAACAATGGCTCAAAGGAGCATGGCTTATTCAGGACATGCAAGAGGCCTGGTGAGGCTGTGTAGAGTTGAAGGTTCTTGTTTATGCCTTTGTCTAGTTTTCTAAGAATCCCTCTTTCCTTATCTGCCCCTCAACCTCTCACTTTTGGATTTTCAGTTCTGTATCATCCTCCTTATTCAAAGTAACAGAGCAGGCTGGGTGTCGTGGCTCATGCCTATAATACCAGCACTTTGGGAGGCCAAGTCAGAAGGATTATTGAACCCAGGAGTTCGAGACCAGCCTGGGTAAGATAATGAGACCCTACCTCTATTTTTTTAAAAAAATACAAAAATTAGCTGGGCGTGGTGTTGCATGCCTGTGGCCCCCACTACTTGGGAGGCTGAGGCAGGAGGATTGAGTGAATCCAGGAGGTTGAGGCAGCAGAGAACTATGATTGCACCACTGCACTCCAGCCTGAGCAACAGAGCTATGACCCTGTCTCAAAAAAAAAAAGTAACAGAGAATCATACCCAAAGTGGACACATAATGAAGGTATTTAGATTATTAGGTACCTACACATAATAAAGGTATTTAGATTATTTAGAGGAAGCAGAGAAAAAGAAGAAGAAAAAGAATTTAAGGGAGGAAAGTAGTTAATCTTTATTTTTTAATTTTTTATGATAGAGTGTATTAGTTTCCTAGAGCTACCATAACAAAGAACCACAAACTAAGTAATTTAAACCAAAAGAAATTTTTTTATTTATTCATTTTTTTGAGACAGGGTCTCGCTCTGTCACCCAGGCTGGAGTGCAGTGGTGCAATCTCGGCTCTCTGCAGCCTCGACCTCCCAAGCTCAAGCAATCCTCCCACTTCAGCCTCCCTAGTAGCTGGGACTACAGGTGCACGTCACCACTCCCAGCTACTTTTTGTATTTTTTGTAGAGGTGGGGTTTCACCATGTTGCCCAGGCTGGTCTTGAACTCCTGAGCTCAGACAATCCACCTGTCTTGGCCTCCCAAAGTTCTAGGATTACAGGTATGAGTCACTGTGCCTGGCCTAAACTAAAAGAAATTTATTGTCTCAGTTCTGGAGCCTAGAATTCAAGGTGTTGGCATGCTCCTTCAAAGGGAGAGTCCTTCCTTGCTCCGTCACAGCTTCTGGTGGCAGCCATCAATCTTTGACATTCCTTGGCTTGCAGTTCCATCACTCCAGTCTCTGCCTCTGTCATCACATGGCCTTCTCCCGTGTGTCTCTGTCTTCACATGGGGTTTTCCTCTAAGGATACCAGTTATACTGGGTTAGAGCACACACTAATGACCTCATCTTCACTTGATTACATCTGCAAAGACCCCATTCCCAAATCAGGTCACATTCAGAAGTGAGAGGGGACTAGAATTTCAGCCTACCTTTTAGGGGAACGTAATTCAATAACATGGAGTATTTCAAGCATAACACATATGCAAACATATTTAGAAGTAGAGTCTAGTATGATGAACCTTTTAAGTATCCATCTCCCAGGTTCAACAATCATCAATTCTCTACCAATCTCATTTCATCTGTATCCCCATCCACTCCCCCTCCTCTCCTGTGTTATTCTGAAGCAAACCTCAGACCTTATATCCTTTCACCTGTAAACATCTGATCTATCTCCAAAGATAAAGACTCTGTTTTAACATAACCACAATAACATTATTACACCTTAAAATGTTGATCAATAATATCCAGTCAGTATTCAGATTTGCATTGTCTCATAAATTATCTTGGTTTTATAACAGTTTGAATCAGCATTCAAATAAGGTCCTCAGAGTCACTGATATTTAAACCACCTTCCTAGGAGGTGGGCTAACAATCTCAGCATCTTTTTTCTCCCTCTGGTGGAGCTGAACACTAGATTACTTCACTCACTGAAATTGACTGTGGGAGTGGGGGTTTGAGGATTTCTGAACTGCTCTGAATGATAGGAATTTAAAGTGGATGGAGGGAGATCTTAGTGGGAGGGAAGGAGTGAAAAAGAGAGACAGCAGAGGTAAGGTGAAGAGAGGAGCCAAGAAGAAGATGGTGGATCCAGGAGTCTCAAGGCCACGGTGAAAGGAGCCTGCGGAAAGGCGGTGAGGTGGCTTAAACAGTGGTGGGGAGAGGCTAGCTGGCAGACTTTTAAGAACAAGGAAGTCTAATGTGCAACTGTACATGCCCTACACATCAGCCACCTAGAAACTTTCACTTTCCAAACACAGTAAGTGCTGTGAAGCCTCCACACTGTTCCTTCCACTAAAAATACCCTCTTGCCTCTCATCCTAGCTCTTCATCCTGGAGAACTCCTATGCATTCTTCAAAAGCCAGTACAGATATCCATACCTCCATGAAGACCTCTCTGATTCCTCCCCCACAAGGTTGGCTTGCTCCTTTATCTACAACTCTATAAGGCTTTGAACATGTTTCTACTATAGCACTTCTCAAATTGCCCTGTCATTATCTACATGCATGTCCGAGTCCACCACTAAACTATGGGCTCTTTGAGGGAAGGGGCAATATTGGTTCATCTTTTTATCCTGAGTCCCTACCGCAGTGCCTGGCACATTCAATAAATGCTTACTGAATGAAAGAAAATTAGAAGAGGAGGAAGAGAAGAAGAAAAGGGAAGAGAAAGCAAAGACAAGATCAAAACAAGAGGAGAAAGAAGAAAAGGAGGCAGGAAAGGAAGATATAAACAAGACAAACAGCTGACCTTGGCAAGTGTTAAAGCAAACTAAACATGGCCTGAGAAGGATTCTGTACTTGTATATTTGAGTCCTTGTGGACAAACCGTAACCTAGCTTAATAGGCGGACAAAATTGAAAACCTAACTTACTAGTATGTACCTGTAACAGTGGTTGAGTTTTGGCCAATCCCAGCAGCCATACTTCAGCCACTCATAGACTGCTGAGTGTTCAAACTGTGTTCAAATAAGGCAAACGTGGAGCTGGAACCAATCCAGCCGTTCTGTACCTCACTTCTAATTTCTGTACATCATTTCCCTTTTTTTGTCTATAAATTTTCTTCCACCACGTGGCTGCACTGGAGTCTCTGTGAATCTGCTATGATTCTGGGGTCTGCCCAATTCATGAATCATTCATTGCTCAGTTAAACTCCTTTAAATTTAATCTGGCTGAAGTGTTTCTTTTATCACAAGGCAGAACAGGCCAGTGTGATCTCCAGGTTGCAACACCAAAGTGAAATTAGGCCTTCAGGAATGTTTCCTTGGCCAGTACAGTATATAGTGTATAGCTTTTTTTTTTTTTTATTAGACAGAGTCTCCCTCTGTCCCCTACGCCAGAATACAGTGTTGCAATCACAGCTCACTGCAGCCTCAACCTCTGGGTTCAAGTGATCCTCCCACCTCAACTGAGACTACAGTCATGCACCACCATGCCTGGCTAATTTTTTTTTAATGTTTTATAGAGAGAGGGTCTCACTATGTTGCCCAGGCTGGTCTTGAACTCCTGGGCTCAAGCAATCCTCTTTCCTTGGCCTCCCAAAGTGATTACAAGTGTGAACCACCACACCTGGCCTCAGTACATCATTTTTTAATTTTTAATTTAGTGATCAAAATGTAAGAATCATATAAAAATCCAAATTTCTAGCTTCTCAAACAAAAATAGAACTGCCTAGCCCAGCCTATCCTGGGCCTAGCCTCCTCCCTAGTAACTACTGGCTGGATCAAAACATGCTTTTTCTAGGTTACCACACAGTCCCCACCACTTCCTACTGTAGCCCCAGCATGTGGGTTGAGTATCATCGGCCACTTATCATGTTTGTGCTCCTGGTTCTCTCATAATTGGCCTACCTCACTCATTTACTTTACCCACCTGGCTCTTATAAACATTAGCTTGTCAACTTTGTCTCAGGCAATCTGCTCCTCCCAGATGCCCTACAGTTATAAAAGATAATGGTAATGATTATTGTAAAGCTGCACTGTCCTATAGAAGTTACTGAGATGATGGGAATGTTCTATAATCTGTACTGTCCAATATGGGAACCACTAGCTCCATGAGTACTCGAAATGTGGCTAGTGTGAATAAGGAACTATGTGTTGAATTTTATTTAATTTTAATTAATTTTAATTTTCATAGCCATGTATGCTTATTGGCTATCATATTAGAGATACATTTCTAGGGCAGTGCTTCTCAAGGTTTATTGAGCATGGAAACACCTGGGGATCTTGTTAAAACACAGATTACAGTTTAGCAGATCCAAAGTGGGGCCCAAGATTCTGCAAGTCTAATAAATTCAAATGCTTGTGATGCTGAGCTTTGGACCACATTTTGAGCAGCAAGATTCTAAAACAGTTCCGCTAAAACTTTAGCATGCAAAAGAATCCCCTGGAGAGGCTATTAAAACAAATTCCGGCCAGGCATGGTGGCTCACACCTGTAATCCCAACATTTTGGGAGGCCAAGGCAGGCAGATCACAAGGTCAGGAGTTCAAGACCAACCTGGCCAAGAGACCAGCCTGGCCAGTATGGTGAAACCCCTTCCCTACTAAAAATACAAAAATTAGCCGGGCATGGTGATGGGCACCTGTAATCCCAGCTACTCGGGAGGCTGAGGCAGGAGAATGGCTTGAACCTGGGAGGCAGAGCTTGCAGTGAGCCGAAGGTCGTGTCATTGCATCCAGCCTGGGCAACAGGGCAAGACTCCACCTCAAAAAAAAAAAAAAAATTCCTGGGCCTTAGACCTCACAGATTCTGATTCAGTGGGTCTGGGGTGGGGTCCAAAAACTCGCATTTGTTACAAGCTTCTGGGTGATGCTGGAGCACTATTCCAGAAAATGGGAAAGTGATGAAAAAATAGTTTTAGTGACTCTCTAATTTTCTTTCCCAGTTGCTGCTTGCGTTGGTCCATTTGTGCCATTATAACAAAATGCCACAGACTGGGTGGTTTACAAATAACATAAATTTATTTCTTACAGTTCTGGAGGCTGGGAAGTCCACCACTATAGGTTTGGTGTTTGGTGGGGGCCCAGTCTCTGCTTCCAAGATGGTTCCTTGTTGCTGCATCCTTAGGTGGGAGGAACACTGTGTCCTCGCATGGCTGAAGGAAGGGGAGAGCAAGAAGGCAAACTCTCTCTGAAGCCCCTTTTATAAGGGCATTCATACATACATGAGGGTAGAGCCTTAAGGACTCTTAACCACAGAACCAACCCAATCAGGTTCTACTTTGTGTGATAAAATGGTGAGTTGTTTTTCAATTGCCATGGACCCCCAGGTTGCAAGTTAAATAACCTCATCATGCTCAGATGAACCAAGCATGCAACCACAGGTGGAACCTAAGTGCTCAGACCAAGGAACCAGGACTGAATTAAGAAGCAAGCACATCATGGCATGATCCATGATCCAATCAGATCAAGCCCTGGCCTCACCCCATGGCATGATCCAGTCAGATCACACCTCCCAGCCTCATCTCATGGCAAGATCTAATCATATCATGCCTTATTACCCTCTGCCTATAAAATCTGCCCCAGCTCCCAGGTTGGAGAGACAGATTTTAGCATTGCCTCCGATCTCCTTACCAGTTGACTTACAATAAGGCCTTTCTTTTCTCAAAAGCCAGTGCCACAGTATTGGCTTCTATGGGTGTCGGGCAGCAAGCCCATTGCTTGCTCTATAACAACTTAATCACTTCCCGAAAGGCTTCACCTCCTAATATCACCACAATGGAAACTAAATTTCCACATGAATTTTGCAAAGGACATCACATTCAAACTACTAGCACTACTAGCAGGCCACGGTGGCTCACACCTGTAATCCCAGCACTTTGGGAGGCCGAGGTGGGTGGATCATCTGAGGTCAGGAATTTGAGACCAGCCTAGGCAACATCGTGAAACCCCGTCTCTACTGAAAATACAAAAATAGCCAGGCATGGTGGTGCACACCTGTAATCCCAGCTACACAGGAGGCTGAGGCAAGAGAATCCCTTGAATCCGGGAGGCAGAGGTTGCAGTAAGCCGAGATCGGGCCATTGCACTCCAGCCTGGGCAACAAGAGTGAAATTCCCTCTCAAAAAAAAAAAAAAAAAACTAGTTGGGCATGGTGCTGCACACCTGTAATCCCAGTTACTCAGGAGGCTGAGGCAGAAGAATCGCTCGAACCTGGAAGGCGGAGGTTGCAGTGAGCCAAGATGGTGCCACTGCACTCCAGCCTGGGTGACAGAGCAAGACTCTGTCTTGAAGGGGAAAAAAAAAAAACTATAGCACTACTATTAACAGCTAATATTTTGTGTCCTACACAAAGGTAGTTGCCATCTCCATTTTACAGATTTACAGATAAGGAAACTGAGGCACAGGGAGGTTAATGAACTTGCCTAACATCACACTGCTCGTAAGTGCCATCCCCAGAGCTACCCTCTTCGCCAACACACTTTACACCATGAACAATGTGTGTTTTGCCAGTAGCGGCCTTGCTGTGATAAAGAAACTCCCTGAGTCCTTGAATTTAGACCTGAAAATAACTTTTTAAATCAGTCAGTCTGATTTTGATTCACAATTTTCCTAGTTTAATTTTATATTTCCTCATTTTACAAGGGAGGAAACAGATTCAAAGAAGGGACTTGCCTAACACTACACAGCTATTTCTCTTTAAGGATTGTTTGATGAACAACCTTCACATCAAATGATTGACAGCTTCTATTTCTAACATTTTCTGTCCCACCTTGTTTGAACACTATTGGAATTTCTAAAACAGTATTTTTAGCTAGCTGCTACTAGTGGAGACACATCACTCTCCCTCTACACGCACACACTGCGGAATCTTTTGTCCTTTATAGGCCCAGGTGTTTCTTTTTTGAAGCTTGGGGAGGAAAGGCATTTGCAAGGGAACAAGATGAGAGAGGAGGGAGATGGTCAGAGAAAGCTAGGACTGTGCTCCCTACCAGGCCCGACAGTCAGGATCTGTGGCCGCATGGTTAAAGGGTGAGTTCCAGACACTGAGAAACTGTTCAAGTTGAAGTCTGGCGAGAAGGAAGCTGCCAGGAGAGGGGACCGCCTTTCTTCCACCAGCAGGTACTCAGCAGCAGGGGGCGCTCCAAGATGGAGCTGAGGATCAGAGAATTAGGGCAGAGACAGGGACCGCCCTAGGTCATAGACCCGTTTGGGAGCTCAAGCGAAGTGCACCTCGGGTCATGGCGACTCCTAAAAATAACAGGTGACACGGAAGAGGGAGAGCCACCAAGATATTAATCATTTCACCTACAGCTTGTATCGTTTAAGCCACCATGATCCTCAACCTTAGTGGCACGTTAGAATTACCTGAGATTTGTAAAATTCCTACCCAGAAACATGAAATCTGGGGTTGGTGGAGTGGGGTGGTATTGAGATACTGGGAAAACCAAAGCGTTTTGCCTATCCTCCTCTATTATGCAGAATGCTTCACCTCTGGTAACTAAAATGTGTGGGGATTTCTCCCCACCACCAACTAGTCAATTCTCCAGCAGATTCTCCAGCAAGGTGTCCTCAAATTCAATTTAATTGTGACACTGTCTACCTGGAGATAGCATGAGATCCCATAGAGCGAGGACTCAGTCCCACAAGATTCTCCCCGACTTCAGATACCAATTGCAAGCCCCAGCTTGTGTCCTATGGTTCTGACCGACTAACTGTAAATCAGGGTTGCCACCATCCCCCTCCTTGGGTTTCATTAATTTGCCAGAGTGGCTCAGAGAAATCAGAGAAATCCTTTACTTACATTTACTCATTTATCATATATGATATTACAGAAAATACAGGTTGTCGACCTAAAAAAAGACTGAGGCAAAATTAATATAAAGAGTTTATTTTTCAGCCAGGCGCAGTGGCTCACGCCTGTAATCCCAGCACTTTGGGAGGTCAAGGAGGGTGAATCACCTGAGGTCAGGTGATCAAGACCATCCTGGCCAACATGGTGAAACCCTGTCTCTACTAAAAATACAAAAATTAGCTGAGTGTGGTGGTGCGTGCCTGTAATCCCAGCTACTCGGGAGGCTGAGGCAGGAGAATTGCTTGAACCCGGAAGACGGAGGTTGCAGTGAGCCGAGATCACGCCACTGCACTCCAGCCTGGGGAAAGAGCAAGACTCCATCTCAAAAAAAGTTTCTTTCTTTTCTTTCCCAAGGTGAACAGCCAGGTGGAAGAGATGCATAGGGCAAGGTATGTGGGAAGGGGCGTGGAGCTTCTGTGTTCTCTCCAGGCACCACCCTTCAAGAACTTCCATGTGTTCAGCTATCCAGAAACCCCTCCCCAAGCCCTGTCCTTTTGTGTTTTTATGCAGGATTCATTAGGTAGGCATCATTGATTACATCATTGGCCATTGGTGATCAACTTTTCAGCCCTTCTCTCTTCTCCTGGGGGGTAAGGCTGAAAGTTCCAACCTTCTAATCATGCCATGGTCTTTCCAGTGACCAAGCTGCATCCTGCCACCAGTCATCTCATTCGCATACAAAAGACACATCATTCCAGAGATTCCAAGGGTTTTAAGAGCCCTATGACAGTAAATAGAAATAAAGACCAAATATATACTTCACAGTGTCACTGGTGAGAAGCAGCGTTTTCATATTCCCCATTGAATCCAAGGTTGAGAACCAGTGGTTTAAGAAAAAAAAAAAAAAAATAGAATGAAAAAAATGTTTTCCATTCTATTGTGGTTTTTAAAATGTAACAAAAGCTACATTGAAATGAGATTAGTTGTGAGATTCAAACAAGTTATATCAGGAAATGCTTTGGAAATTATTATTAAAGGTAGTAGTTACTGTTGGTATTATTATTAGACCTAGTTTAGAGCCTCATTTCCAGCTCTAATGAACTGGAAAGTATTTACTATAGAAATTTCACCCTTGTCTTTAAAGGTGGGATGCTGTCTAGAATAGCATCAAACTCAGCTGAATGTGAAAAGATAATTGAGGTGTTTGGGGCTGTTGTATATAGATGTACCTAATTAAGTATAATCTTTCCCTTTCTGTCTCTGTCCTTTTACTTAAAAGACTAGTAAGAAAGGACGAGTTATTAGAAAGGAATGATGGAGAAAACATATCCTCTTTCTCTGCCTTCCATGTCCCTGACAATCCTCAACTTCCACTTTTGGCCTACAAATTCCTTGCCAGTTCCCACAGTGTCCTGGCTCCCACCCAAGGTCCTAAACTGGCCAAATTTGGGGCTAGTCCTTGACCAAGATCCTGTGTTCTACAAAGGGGAGATCCTTTTATCTAGCCACAGGTAGAAGAAACTGTATCAGGGAGCGCAAGTAATCTGCCCTAAGTCCCACAGTAGTTTAGAACCAGAGAAAGATGCACTTCTTCACAAACCTCTCTTAAATTCCACAGATAACTTAAGAAATAATCAAGGCAAAAATATTGGAAGAAACAAAAGAGGCCAGGTGGGAGGAGAAAGGGTAAGAATGAACTGCCTGATGCAAAATATTCTCCCACTGTGAGGCTGAGTTGCCACAGAGAGCTGAGAAGTAATAATACTGTGGACAAGGCCACACTGATGCATATCACAGAACCGGAAATTGAAGGGAATTGAAGCCTTTCATTGTGAGACATTTCATCATTTTCTCAGTAATTGCATCAGTTTTACAATTTCTTCCATCACTGACTCCCCAGTAGTCCTGGCAACTCCCGTCTGTGGTGTAGAAGTGGCAAGTAATGGTGTTTGCCTCCAGGAAATTAAAGACTCCTCTCAATAACTGTATTAGTCATCAACGCTTGCTGCTGTGATTGATCTTGTAACCACCATCAGATCTGGGCAGCGAAAGGATATGAAAATTCATAAGCAGGAAAACAACCTTATCTTCTCCTTATCCAGCTCTGTGATATAGAAGGAATATCTGCAAACTCTTTTCTGTATTTCTAATTTGCTCACCAAGGAGCATATTTTTGTCAGGCTGGGAATATGTCCAGGTACTGAAAATTATTTGTATTCATTGGAAATTGTGAATTCTGCCTAGGTTTCCCAGCATTGCTCTGTTGAATTTCCCTTTACTTAAAAGAACAAAAATGTTCTAGAATTGTATTTCAACATTTCAGGATACCCAGAAGGCAAGTAGCCACAGCACTGAAAAAAAAAAAAACAAAAAAGAAACCTGTTCTCTCTCTCTGTGGAAGGTGCCAGAAGAAATGTGTACTATGGTTTTATTATTGCTTTATATCTTGGGCAGTCCCTGGTATTAGGGGCTAGGAAAGATGCTGGGTAAATTATTCCATAAGCACAGTGCTTCACACTGAGCCACTCAACAAAGTCCAGTCTAGAGTGAAAAAAAATCTAAAGGCAAGAATCTCAATGAATAAGCAATGTTTCCTGGGTTTTTTAATCCAGTGGCCCTAAGATCTCTGAAACCTGTCAAATTGCACCTATTGCTTTCCTGAGAATATGGTAATCAAATTCTAAATGCACATACATACTCTTTAATCCAGAAATTCCAGTGCTAGGCATTTATCCTACAGGTATACTTTACATAGAAGAAATACTTTTTACAAAGCTGTTCATTACAGTGCTATTTGTGATTGCAAAAAAATTGTAAATAGCTTGAAAAGGCATCAGTAGGGACAAGTTAAAAAAAAAAAAAAGAGTGTGGTTCCAAAACTTAGCTGGGCATGGTGGTGGGCACCTGTAATCCCAGCTACCTAGGAGGCTAAGGCAGGAGAATCGCTCAAAACCGGGAGGCAAAGCTTGCAGTGAGCCGAGATGGCGCCAAATGCACTCCAGCCTGGGCGACAAGAGCGAAGCTCTGTCTCAAACAAAAGAAAAGAAAAGAAAAGAAAAGAAAAAAGTATGGTTTATCCACACAATGGAATGCTAAGTAGCAGGTAAAAAGAATAAAGTAGCATTCACACACTAAAATGAAAAAACTCCCAAGATATATTAACTGAGTAAATGGGAGTTATTCAGCAGTGGATATACGGTGCTACCATTTGCGTAAAGAACAGAAACACATATATGTGTGTAAATGCATGGGATATCTAAGGAAAGATATGCAAGAAATAGTGCCTCAACACACACTAATGCAGTAAGAATGGGAACTAATACACATAGTGCTTACTCCTCATGTTCTAAGCACATTACATATTTAAACTAATTCAGTACACTCCTTTTAAACTGACAGATATTCACATACCTGTCTTACTTCACTGGAATATCAGCTCCTTGAGTGCATAAACATGGCATAAGCCTTTTTATATGCTACACAGGCCAGGTGTTGTGGCTCACACCTAAAATCCCAGCACTTTGGGAAGCCAAGGCAGAAGGATCACTTGAGGCCAAGAGTTTGAGACCAGCCTGGGCAATACAGCAAGACCCCATCTCTACAAAATATGTGTATTGTGTATGATACATATGTGTGTGTGTGTGTGTGTGTGTGTGTGTATCCTACACAAATGCTAGTATATTTATCACATAATATTCTCAGGAAGTATGTGTCTCATTCAGTCAGTATCAAATATAAGAGAAAATATCTTCATTTAGAGCTGCTGATCTTAGAGGTTAATAATCATTAAGTAGAAATATATTTTCATAATGAGTTTGCCGTAGCATGAAGTTGAGCCACAATGCAAAAATAAGTGGCATTGAAAGTGCGCTATTCTATATATGTACACCCAATTATAGTTGTGCTGGACACACCAGGGAACTGAACTGAATTATTGAAGAAACGTCCTGTTTTCTTCTTACTTTCCATTCAAAAGACTGCATTATCACAGCACAGTCCCCTCCCTTTTTATACTTTGAGTTCAGGGGAGTATTTTTAAGTGTTTAAGTTTAAAAGGTCTGCTACTAAGTTAAATGGGATCAAGTATATAAAGTGCTTAGTACAAGCCTGCCCCACCATAAACCTCCTTTAAAGTGGAGCAATGTCTCTTTTTCATGTTGGAGGCTTCAGGCATTATGGAAGAGAAAAGTAAACAAGAGCTGGTGCTCAATCTTGTCGACAATTGGGAAATGAGTCTGTAACAAAAATAGAGTGGAACGTGGGAGTGAAGTGTTTTTGCCTTTGACAAGTCATTAAAAGTCATCAGTGTTATAAATCAGACAGTCTGGGGAAAGAGAAAAAAAATAAATAAAACCCTGATTCTTAGATTCAAAAATTCACTTGTTCAATATGGTATTTATTTGGGTGCCTACATAGGTGAGGCAGGCATTATAACAGGCAATTGTTGCCTTTTGGCGGGAACCGCTCTCTTCCAGTAATTCGCCAAAATAACAAACACAAAGGGAAAGAGGAGAGGCACCCATAGATGTTCTCTAGGCCTTTTAGAAAACATGGACTTGTTCCTTTGACCCCGTATATGCGAATCTATTAGAAAGGTGACATTGTATGCATAAGGGAATGGGTACTGTTCAAAAAGGAATGCCCCGCAAGTGTTACCAGGGCAAAACCGGAAGAGTCTACAGTGTTACTGCATGCTGTTGGCATTGTTATAAACACACGAGTTAAGGGCAAGATTCTTGCCAGGAGAATTAATGTATGTATTGAGCACATTAAACACTCTAAAAGCCGAGATAGCTTCCTGAAACGCATGAAGGAAAATGATCAGAAAAAGAAGGAAGCCAATGAGAAAGGTTCCTGGGTTCAACTGAAGCGCCAGCCTGCTCCAGCCGGAGAAGTGTACTTTGTGGGAACCAATGGGAAGGCGCCTGAGCTGCTGGAACCTATTCCCTATGAATTCATGGCATAATAGGTGTGAAAAATAATAAAAGACCTCTGAAATGTAAAAATGTTCCTCTTCATTGAGTAGAAGTGTGGTGTCCCTTCCCCCAAAGAAATATTTAAAGCAAATTTTAATCGTGTCCTAATTCACTGTGTAACGTCTTTACTATTCAAATTTAATGTATTTCTTGCTGAAAGATGTGAGGTGGCTTATTGTGCAACAAATTACTCAATTGGTTACAAAATAGCCAGATATTATTTATGGCTGGTTTGAAGATAGTCCCTCTAAATCACCATGGAAGAAACAAAATAATTTACAAAAATTTAAGTTAAAAAAAAAAAAAAAAAAACAGGTGGCCGGGGGCGGTGGCTCATGCCTGTAATCCCAGCACTTTGAGAGGCTGAGGCAGGTGGATCACCTGAGATCAGGAGTTTGAGACCAGACTGGTCAACATGGTAAAACCCTGAGTAACTACTAAAAATACAAGAATTAGCCAGTCGTGGTGGCGGGCACCTGCAATCCTAGCTACTCTGGAGCACCTGCAATCCTAGCTACTCAGGAGGCTGAGCCAGGGAGAATTGCTTGAACCCTGGAGGCGGAGGTTGCAGTGAGCCGAGACTGTGCCACTGTACTCCGGCCTGGGCAACAGAGAGAGACTCCGTCTCAAAAAAATAAAAATAAATAAATAAATAAATAAGCTACAATGATTGGAAGGACATGACATCTAAATAACAGACAGCCCTTTATACTGAATAAATTTAGCTTTTTAAAGGACACTGCCTGTGGGGGAGGGGAGTGGGAAAAAAATGGAAAACAAAGTTGTTGTCTTAGTCCACTGGGCTACTTAACAAAATACCATAAACTAGGTAGCTTATAAAAAACAATATTTTGTTTCTCACATTTCTGGAGACCGGGAAGTCCAAGATCAGGGCAGATTCATTATCTGGTAAGGCCCCACTTTCTGGCTTACAGATGGTGACTTCCTGCTGTGTCCTCACATGGTGGAAGGAATGCAAGGGGTCTCTCTCTCTCAATCCTCTTTCATAAGAGCACTAATCCCATTCATGAGGGTGAGCCCGCATGACATAATCACCTCCCAAAGGCGTCACCTCCTAATACCATCACCTTGGGTGTTAGGATTTCAACATGTGAATTTGGGAGGAACATAAACATTCAGGCCACAGCACTTACTATACTCTTATCTTTCTCAGTGTGCTGTAGCCCAGTGAAAACTCTGTCACTGACTAAGGAACCTCTACTCTAAAATCCTTTTTTTTCTTTATTTTTCATTCACTTGTTTGCAAGCTAAAAAGTAAATATAGACTACATGTTTTCATCAATAATTCCAACCTAAAGAAGTTCTATTACCTAACAGGTTCATTTTCATAGTTAGAATGTAATTTATAAATTTATCATTTGCAGCCAGGCACAGTGGCTCATGCCTGTAATCCCAGCACTTTGGGAATCTGAGGTGAGCAGATCACTTGAGGTCAGGAGTTTGATACCAGCCTGGTCAACATGGTGAAACACCGTCTCTACTAAAAATACAAAAAAAATAACTGGGCGTGGTGGCACACTCCTGTAATCATAGCTACTCAGGAGGCTGAGGCAGGAGGATCGCTTGAACCTGGGAGGTGGAGGTTGCAGTGAGCTGAGATCATGACACTGAACTCCAGCCTGGGATACATAGCAAGACTCCATCTCAAAAAAAAAAAATTATCACTTGCTTATATAACACAAAAAATCTTGTAAAAACATAATTTCCAGTTGGGCGCAGTGGCTCACACCCGTAATCCCAGCACTTTGGGAGGCCGAGGCGAGTGGATCACAATGTCAGGAGTTCAAGACCAGCCTGGCCAAGATGGTGAAGCCCTGTCTCTACTAAAAATACAAAAATTAGCCAGGTATGGTGGCAGGCACCTGTAATCCCAGCTACTTAGGAGGCTGAGGCAGGAGAATCACTTGAACCCAAGGGACAGAGGTTGCAGTGAGCTGAGATCATGCTACTGCATTCCAGCCTGGGTGACAGAGTGAGACTCCATCTAAAAAATATATATATACATATATTTTTTTCCTCAAATAAATCATAACTTTTAAAATTAGGTTAGAAATATCTATTCAAATTATTTTTAAAATACCATCAAGGCTGGGCATGGTGTCTCATGCCTGTATTCTGAGCACTTTGGGAGGCCAAGATGGGAGGATCACTTGAGGCCAGGAGTACAAGACTAGCTTGGGCAACATAGCAAGACCTCACCTCTATAGAAAATAAAAAATTGGCCAGACATGGTGGCGTGTGCCTCTAGTCCCAGCTACTAGGGAGGCTGAGGTAAGAGGATAATTTGAGCACAGGAGTTTGAGGTTGTATTGAGCTATGATTATGCCACTGCATAGCCTGGGTGACAGAGCAAGACCCTAAAAAAAATTGAATTATAAATTCATTTATGAACTTTGGGAAAATTATTTATTTCTCCCCACGGGGTTCAGACAAGTAATTTCACATTTCATTGTAAGTCAAGGGTAAGAAAACATTTTTTGTACATCCATCACTAATAGAGATCACAGTATGTCAATGAAATATTTAAATACACTGTACAGAGATTGCTTTTTAATGGATTTCTATAAGTAGTATTAATAGGAAAAAGCATATAATACAATCTACTCTGTATCTAAGAGCTTTAATTTATTCAAATATTGGAAGAAATTCATCTTCTGAATTTTTCTTATTTAAAAAGCATTATGAGAACTGATTCAAGGATGGAGGAATCAATTAGTACTCAGCAATTCACAGACATGACATAAACATGACATTTTTAAGACATAAACAAAGACTGCATGTTGGCAGCATAGGGGACAGTCTTGCTCTTCCTCATTTTTTGAAGCAGAGATATTTCATATTTCATAGTTTCTGAACTTCCTCAGGAGTTCTGAGGGAGCATCCTTGGACCAGCGGAAACGAAGGTGCCAACCATTCACATCTGCAAAACCTTTAAAGGAAAGAAAGTAAATATTTAAAATCAGAAGTAGGAAAAGTCGATCTTGTTATAGTAAAACAGCTTGGGGATAATATTTCACTGCAGCAGGTACAATGTAAGGGTAAGACTTTGGTATGAATTATTAACATCTTAGAGAAATGGATTAACTTAAACAGACTGGAATTCTTATGAACACGAATTACAATTTATATGGATGATAAGACCTCACATGCTTAAATACTTAATAAGAGGAAATACATAGATGCCTCTGGTGGTGGGGAATTTGACAATTCACATGCAAAGAAATTTGAAACAAATTACACAGTTTTCAAAAACCTTTCAAAAGTTAAAAGTCAATGGCAAAAGGATCGCTTGAAATACAAGTACTATAATTGAATTCCATGGTAATAAGATTTTTTTTTAGTTATAATAAACAACATTGTTGAAAACCAGAGGAAAAGAAGGTAATTTTCCTTCCCTACTAGAAGTATGAATTAGCAAAACCCCTCTGGCAGGCAATTTGGCAATATTTATCAAACTCGTTAAAATGTATAAACCTTTGCCAGGCGCAGTGGCTCACGCCTGTAATCCCAGCACTTTGGGAGGCCAAGGCGGGCGGATCACGAGGTCAGGAGATCAAGACCATCCTGGCTAACACGGTGAAACCCCGTCTCTACTAAAAATACAAAAAATTAGCCGGGCGTGGTGGCGGGCGCCTGTACTCCCAGCTACTCGGGAGGCTGAGGCAGGAGAATGGCGTGAACCCGGCATGCGGAGGTTGCAGTGAGCCGAGATAGCGCCACTGCACTCAGGCCTGGGCGACAGAGCGAGATTCTGTCTCAGAAAAAAAAAAAAAAAAAGTATAAACCTTTGACCCAATAATTTTACTCCTTGAAATGTATCCTAAGGAAATAATAATGGATGCACCCAACGATTTAACTCTAAGGATGTTTATAATGATACCATTTATAAATTTTTTTTGCAAACCAAGAAACATTCTAAACTTTAGCAAATGAAAGCTGGTTAAAAGGTTTTGATATCGTCATTAACAATATCTTAATATTTACCATTATAGAAAAATGCTCACAGCATATTGCTAAGTGACAGTTAACAAAACTGTTTATATAGTATGATCTCATTCCTAAACTCATTATTTACATGAATATTTATGTGAAATTTTTTTAAGTCTAAAAAAAGAAGGCCCAGCATGGTGGCTCACGCTTGTAATCCTAGCACTTTGGGAGGCCGAGGCAGGTGCCTCTCTTGAGCTCAGGAGTTCGAGACCAGCATAGGCAACATGGCAAAATCCCGTCTCTACAAAAAAATACAAAAAATTAGGCGGGCGTGGTGGTATGTGCCCGTGGTCCCAGCTACTCAGGAGACTAAGACAAGAGGATTACTTGAGCCCCAGAGGGGGAGGTTGCAGTGAGCCGAGAGGGTGCCACTGCACTCAAGCCTGGGTAATAGAGTGACACTCTCTCAAAAAACAAACAGATAAGAAAAGGTACACCAAAATTAATAGTATTTATCCCTGGATTGTTACAATAGATGTGATTTTCCTTTTTTTTTTTTTTTTCCTTTTCTGAAACGGAGTTTCGCTCTTGTTGCCCAGGCTGGAGTGCAATGGCGCGATCTCAGCTCACCACAACCTCCGCCTCCCGGGTTCAAGCGATTCTCCTGCCTCAGCCTCCCGAGTGCTGGGATTACAGGCATGAGCCACCACACCCGGCTAATTTTTGTATTTTTAGTAGAATCGGGGTTTCTCAATGTTGGTCAGGCTGGTCTCAAATTCCTGACCTCAGGTGATCTGCCTGCCTCAGCCTCCCAAAGTGCTGGGATTACAGGCGTCAGCCACCGTGCCCGGCCAATTTTCATTTTTAATACTCTTTTTTGTTTATCTGTACTTTCTTATTTTTCTGCAATAAACATCTATGCTTTTCGTCTTTTTATGTTAATAATATTGCTAATGAAAAAGCAGGTTACAGAATAATATATAAAATACACTTCCATTGATATTTTAATATAGTATATAAATATGTAGTCAGAAAAAGCATATACAGAATAGTTAACAATGGTTATCTCAGAAAAACAGATTACACTGACACTTTTTAAAGAATTATTGGAGAAAACAAATCTGAAGAATTTTCATTTGGGGAAAAAGCAAAAAGGAAATTGTTTCTGATTGCTATAATTGTTCCTATAATTAAAACTTACTCACAAAATATGTACAGTATGATCCTTTTAGATATACTAACACAAATGAAAATATACCAAAATATCGATAATACATATTTCTCTAAATGATAAAATTATGAGTTATATGTTCTTCCTTTTGCTTGATTATATTTTCTCACATTTTATATAGTAAGTAAGTGTCATTTTTGTTTAAAAAGATGTAGTTTCTGGCCAGGTGCGGTGGCTCACGCCTGTGATCCCAGCACGTTGGGAGGCCGAGGCGGGCAGATCACAAGGTTGGGAATTCGAGACCAGCCTGACCAACATGGTGAAACCCCGTCTCTACTAAAAATACAAAAATTCGCTGGGCGTGGTAGCACACGCCTGTAATCCCAGCTACTCAGGAGGCTGAGGCAGGAGAATCACTTGAACCCAGGAGGCGGAGGTTGCAGTGAGCCAGGATCACGCCACTGCACTCCAGCCTGGGCGACAGAGCGAGACTGTCAAAAAAAAAAAAATGTAGTTTCTAGTTAGGGTTCCCGTAGAAATAGACATGCAGACAAGAACTTGAAACAGGTTGGGCACAGTGGCCCACACCTATAATCCCAGCACTTTGGGAGGCTGAGGCCAATGGATCACTTGACCTCAGGAGTTTGAGACCAGCCTGGGCAACATGGCGAAACCCCATCTCTATAAAAAATTAGCCGGATGTGGTGGTGCACACCTGCAGTCCCAGCCATTTGGGGGCGGAGGTGGGAGGATCATCTGAGCCTAGGAGGTCGAGGCTGCAGTGAGTCGTGATCACACCACTGCACTCCAGCCTGGGTGACAGAGAGAGACTCTATCTCAAAAAAAAAAAAAAAAAAAAAAAAAATTGAAACAAAGTGGCTAATTTGGGAGGTAATCCCAGGTGGCACCTTAGCAGAATGAGAACCAAAGCTATAAAAGGTACATTATCAAACAAGTTACTGCCATGGGTAACTGCAAATGATCCCACTGGGGAACCCTGGGAGATAATATAAAACTTCTTAGAGTTATCTCACATGAGGGGTGAAGGACCTGGAGAATTTAGCTTCCCACTTCCACTCATTATTGTCATCCAAAGGGCATTTACTCCCTGACACTTACTGCCTGCTGATTTGCTGCCAAGTAGGCTCCATTGCCAGAGCAAGCCCTCTGGCAGAGTCACAATGTTTGTGGCTGGAGCCACAAGGTTGGCAATGCCTAGGAAGGTAGTGCCCAGGGACACGGCAGCACACCAAAATCATTGCGTACATTTAAATTTTTCTTGGTGGGACGCGGCGGCTCATGCCTGTAATCCCAGTGCTTTGGTGGGCCGAGGTGGGCAGATCACGAGGTCAGGAGTTCGAGACCAGCCTGGCCAACATGGTGAAACTCCGTCTCTACTAAAAACACAAAAAATTAGCCGGGCATGATGGCAGGTGCCGTAATCCCAGCTACTTGGCAGGCTGAGGCAGGAGAATAGCTTGACCCGGGAGGCAGAGGTTGCAGTGAGCCGAGGTGGTGCCACTGCACTCCAGCCTGGGCAACAAAGCAAGATTCTGTCTAAAAAAAAAAAAAATTTCTTTCTCTTTTTTACTCCAAGATGTTACACAAAACTATTTTATTTTAGAACTGTATTTATCAGAAGACATATTTATTGCATATTTAAGCAGAAAGAAAGTAAAAATGAGATTGTCTCGCACAGTGGTTTTCAGATGCAGTGCTCCATATTTTACTTTTTGCAATAAAGAATTAGAATGTGGTGGGGGCTATTTGGTGGCTGCTCATCACAGAAGAGACATCAAAAGGCAAATTCCAAAGTGAATATCTAGCACTGCTTGAGGAAATTAGCAAATATGCTGAAAAGTAATATATAAGAAGCCACTCAGGGCTTGGTAAAGTTGACAGGAATAATATTTCTTAAATGCTGACATTATAAAAATTTACGCTGCAGTAAAATGAAATCATAAATAATCATGCAACAGCACTTTGATATATCCAACTCCAGCTTTAAGGCACTAGTCAGAAAAGCCAATAATCTTTTAAACAGCATAAAGAAAATACTTGTAAATGCAACCTTTGGCAGAATTTCATAATTCTCCAACAACAGCTTTTTAGAACAATGATTCCCAGTTGGATGCAATGGCTCATGTCTGTAATCTTAGCACTTTGGGAGGCCAAAGTGGGCAGATCACCTGAGGTCAGGAGTTCTAAACCAGCCTGGGCAACATGGTGAAACCCCATCTCTACTAAAAATATGAAAATTAGCCAGGTGTGGTGGCGGGTGCCTGTAATCCCAGCTACTTGGGAGGCTGAGGCAGGAGAATCTCTTGAACCCAGGAGGTGGAGGTTGCAGTGAGCCGAGACAGTGCCACTGCACTCCAGCCTGGGCAACAAGAGCAAAACTCTGTTTCAAAAAAAAAAAAAAGAACAATGATTCCCATCCCCTCCACTTCATTCTTTTTTTTTTTTTTTTTTTTTTTTTTTTTTTTTTTGACACGGAGACACAGGGTCTTGCTCTATCACCCAGGCTGGAGTGCAGTGGCAGGATCATAGCTCACTGCAGCTTCAAACTCCCAGGCTCAAGTAATCCTTCTGCCTCAGCCTCCCAAGTAGCTGGAACTACAGGCGCACGCCAGCATACCTAGCTAATGGTTTTTTAATTTTGTGGAGACAGGGCTCTTGCTATGTTGCTCAAGCTGGTCTCGAACTCCTGGACTCAAGCGATCCTCCCATCTCAGCCTCCCAAAGTTCTAGGAGTACAGGCCCAAGCCACTGCAGCTGGCTCCACTTCATTCTTAAACAATAGCATACATATCACAATATGAAGACATCAAAACTGGCATCACAATTTGTTCTGAGTAAATTATATGTGAAAATTGATTATATGAATTGGCATTATCTGTTATTACCCAAGTAAATTAGAGCCGAGAACCAGGGAGAGGAAAAGAAAAGCACTCAGGACACAAATGCCTACCCAAGAATTCTATCACAAGCCAGCTGCCGAAATGACCTGCCTTGCCTCTAAGGCTAGTTTTACCTATTGCCATCACTCACCAATTACAGCTTGCTAGCTCCCAGAACTTTGCTAGTGCCAATGAGTTTTCTTTCATAACAATATGTAACATTTCTCTTTCTAATAAAACCCCCAACATTTTATTTGTTCTTCAGACACACCAAAGACCATCCCATCTGTGTGTATGCCTTGAATTGCAATGTAGTTTTTATATATTTTCCCAAGTAAAATGTTTTACATAGAGATTCGAATCTATATTTTTGTTTGACTTTGACATAACATATATCTACACTGTGGAATGTTATCAGCTGTTAAAAAGCAGGAATTCATTCTGAATGTAAGGATTTAAAGAGAAGTCTCTTAATAATAAAAGTTAACACTAAAAAAAGTGTTTACAATGTGCCTGGTATTGGTCTAAATATTTTACGTATATTAAGTTATTGTGCGTGTGTGTGTGTGTGTGTGTGTGTGTGTGTGTGACAGGATCTCATTCTGTCACCCAGGCTGGAGTACAGTGGTGCAATCGCAGCTCACTGCAGCCTCAACATCCCCCCCCACACACACACCCGGGCTCAAGTAACGGGATTACAGGCACGCACCACCACTCCTGGCTAATTTTCATATTTTTTTTTAGAGATGGTTTCACCATGTTGCCCAGGCTGGTCTCAAACTCCCGGCCTCAAGCAATCCGCCCACCTCACCCTCCCTAATTGCTAGGACTACAGGTGTGAGCCACTGCGCCTGGACAATTAAGTTATTTACTCCTCAAAAAAAAAAATTTTATGAGGTAGACACTAATATTTTGACCATTATATAACTAAGAAGACATAGATGCAGAGGGGTTAACTAGCTTGTCCAAGGTCATACAACTCATCAGTGAAAAGCTGAGCCCACATTCTTAACCACTGCGTAACACAGAGAAATGTGTACAGTATAACCCCATTCTTTACTTTTAAAGCTCTCATAAGTGCACATATACACACCTGTGTTAGCATAGAGAATAGTGGAAGGAAACACACCTGAGTGTCAGCCTTGGTTACTTCAAGAAACAGAAGCAGAGAAGGTTGGCAACCTGGCTATATATGATTCTTTGAATTTTTTAACAGCAAGTCTATACTACTTTTGTTTTTATTCAGTATCTAAATTACTATTTTTTTAAAAAGAAGGAAAATTTCGTAGAATCCTATGAGAGGGGCTCAAGAGGCCTCAGCATCATGCCTGAGTCTCTGAAGTGTCTCCCACCCACACTACACCTAATTTTGGTGTGCACAGACTTGGTCTGAATCTGACAGAAACAGAAAGACTTGGGGAACCCCCAGGGGTTCAAGAAACACAGAACTGAACATTCATCGTGTTTACATGTAGGGGAGTGATTGTACTCCTGTGTTTGCTTAAAACACTGTTTTTCTACACTTCAGGCTTCTCCTTTGATCAGTTTGTTAAATTATAACCATTTCCAGTTACTGGGTGATGCAATCAATGTGCAGACTCCACAGCCATCTCTTGGGTAACCAACAGAGACATCTGAATCAAACTCTATGGATCTTCATTCCCAGCAAGAAGAGAAGATGTAAAAGTTCTCCCCAAAGAGAGATTTGAAGTGACTATTTCTCAAAAGACTATAATCCACCACAAGCCATCTAACTATCTTCTTTTGAATACAAGTGTTCTAGGGTGTTCAGGAACGTTCTGCTTAAAGGCTAAATTCTAATAGGGTGCTACATCACAACCCTGAGAATCAACACATAATAATTTGAAGGACAGTTACAATGTGTGTATACAATGTGTGTATATACAACACATCCAAACTAGTTGGATGGCTAGATAGATAGCCAGCCAGATAGACAAATGATACAAACAGGTAACATTTACCTAGGGCTTCCTAGAGGTGAACCGCTGTGCTAAGCATTTTTTATGTATCTCCCCATTTAATCCTCATGGTAACCCTATAAGAAGGTACTATTTTTTATTTAAGAGATGGAGTCTCACTATGTCACCCAGGATGGAATGCAAGCACCTAATCACAGGAGTGATCATCACACACAGCAGCTTTGAACTCCTGGCCTCAAGCCAGCCTCCTGCCTCAGCCTCTTGAGTAGCTAGGACTACAGGTGCACAACAATGCACCTAGATGAGCAAGTACTATTATAATCCCTATTTTATAGATGCAGAAACTGAGGTCTAGAGAAGTTAAGTAACTTTGCCAAGTAATACAGATAATAAGTAGTAGAGCTAGGATGTGAACTCAGGTAGTGTAGCTTGGTAGCCAGGAGGTAAACTTCTATAATACTCTGCTTCAGTGGATTTATAAATGATTCAGAATGTCTACAGAGCTATTTACAGATAAGGCATTATTGGGCCGGGCATGGTGGCTTACACCTGTAATCCCAGCACTTTGGGAGGCCCAGGCAGGAGGATCACCTGAGGTCAGGAGTTTGAGACCAGCCTGGCCAACATGATGAAACCCCATCTCTACTAAAAATACAAAAATTAGCCAGGCATCATGGCAGGCGCCTGTAGTCCCAGCTACTGGGGAATCTGAGGCACAAGAATCACTTGAACCCAGGAGGCAGAGGTTGCAATGAGCTGAGATTATGCCACTGCACTCCAGCCTAGATGACAGAGTGAGACTCCATCTCAAAAAAGAAAAAAAATTAAATTCAATTCAATAAGGCATTATCATAGGATAGGGCAATGCCTTGGAACACTGACTGAAGTCAACCTGCCTTGGTTCAGACCCCTTTCCCTTCCCATACAAGCTGTATGGCTTTAAGCAAATTATTCAACCTCCTGGCCTTTGGTTTTCTCATCTATAAAATGAGAATAATATTGATATCAGCCTCACAAGCTTGTAGTGAGAATAAGTTAATATATATAAAATTAATATTAAATGAGATAATAAATGTAAACTAATATATGTAAAGAGTGTTCCTGCACATAGTAAACATTCAATCAATGTTAGCTAGCATTATGTCAGTAAAGCCAAAGACACTGAGAATTGTCTCAAGGTTTCCCTTCTGAGGAATACCTTCTAGTTTCGGTGTCAATGCTAAGTGTCTTTTAAGATGATAAACCAATCTTTAAACTTGGCACTGCTGTGCAGATTGAAAAAGTTAAGAATAAATGCAATATAAACAAAACTCTTTAATTTCAGACCTTCTCCATTCTGCAGTTATATAACGTGACTTACCTGAAGAATCTGAATTTTGCGGGGAGACTGACTTCTCTAGGGGCTTGGGTTCTTTCTGCTCCGTTTTCTCTGCGGTTGAAGCCAGCTCCTCTTTCTTTCTTTCTCTTTGCTCATTACATTCCTCATTTTCCATCTTGGTGGTATGAGTCTTGTCAGATTCTTCCAGCATCAGGTCTTTTTTACCTCTGACAACCCAGTGCATTGACTAAATTAATGTAAAGCAGAGATATAAAAATTAAATTGATATTATATGATTTTCTATATTTAAAGTTTGATATGTGGTAACACCTGACCTACTACTGTAGTGCTAATTAACAGCATGTTAGACTTGACTATTAACAAGATACTCATAAATTAATCCAGATATTAATTAATCCAACTATTAATAGTTACTTTTCACCATACACCCTTTTGTACCTTTTTCATTTTCTGTTCTGTATATGTATTTCCTATTAGATCTAAAAATTGGACAGATGGATGAATGAATGGAGGGATGGATGGATGAACTAACAAATGAATACAGTGAAAAAGAGCGCTTTTGAGTTTGCTGTATCAAGAATATTTCAAGTGGAATCATTAGCCCTACCATCAACCAAAATAATGCATAACTATTTCTTAAAACCTCATCGGGATATTGTGGGAAGCTATTCCTGAAGTACTAAGAAACAGTGACACACTACCTCTATTACCACAACTCAAGACTAGAAGGAAACATAGCCTTTAACACCCTAAAATTATAAATATTCTAGCTCTCTGCCCTAATCAAATCAAAGAAGTCATTTATTCCCACCTTCAACCTATCTCTTCCCAACTACAAAGAAGTGTCATCCTGAATCCTCTTCTCCAAATATAACCAGTCCAAAGGCTAATCAACCCCAAGATCCAAGAACCACCCCATAAAGCAGTCATTGCCACCAATAAATGTAACCAGCTCTCACCCTAACAAGAAAAAGAAAAGAGGCTGGGCACAGTGGCTCATGCTTGTAATCCCAGCACTTTGGGAAGCCAAGGTGGGTGGATCATTTGAGGCAAGGAGTTCGAGACCATCCTTGGCCAACAAGGTGAAACCACGTCTCTACTAAAAATACAAAAATTAGCTGGTCGTGGTGGTGCACACCTGTAATCCCAGCTACTCAGGAGGCTGAGGCGGGAGAATTGCTTGAACCCAGGAGGTGGAGGTTGCAGTGAGCCGAGATCGCACCATTGCACTCCAGCCTGGGCAACAGAGCAAGACTCGGTCTCAAAAAAAAAAAAAAAGAAAAAGAAATGGGAAGGAAAGGCACCAAAATATAACTGTAGTTATGCCTGTGTAACAGAATTACATCTTTTGTTTTTGTATTTCCCAAATTTTCTATGAGAAGATTATATATATGTACAATTAGAAAACATTGTATTTTAGGCTGGGCGCAGTGGCTCACACCTTAATCCCAGCACTCTGGGAGGCCTAGGTGGATGGATCACAAGGTCAGGAGTTCCAAACCAGCCTGGCCAACATGGTGAAACCTCACCTCTACTTAAAAAAACAAAAATTAGTTGGGCAAGGTAGTGTGTGCCTGTAATCCCAGCTACCCGGGAGGCTGAGGCACGAGAATCACTTGAATCCGGGAGGCAGAGGTTGCAGTGAGCTGGTATCGCACCACTGCACTCCAGCCTGGGTGACAGAGCGAGATTCTGTCTCAAAAAAAAAAAGAAAATATTCAATTTTAAAAATTAGGCGAAGTTTCGATGCAAAAACATACAAGGTGGGAGATTCCTGGTGCCAACAATATGTGTGGGAAGGGAATAGTTACAGAGTAAACACTTCAAAACCATTTGCTAAATTGTAAATGCAAGTATTACCCATTTCTCTGTAGATTTTATTTCAAAATAAAAACGTTAATTTTTAAAAGAGGCAATGCCTCAGCTGGTATTAAAAAAAAAAATGACTTTTGTTTGGTTGGTTTAGGTTTGTTGTTTTGGTTTGGTTTTTGCATATGCACAAAATAAAAGAGGCTGCCAGTGACTTCCTCTGCAGAGGGAAAAGGATATTAGGAAGGTTAGTGAAAAACAAGGAATAAGACATTCAAGAATTCAGGGCCCAGAGAGCTGAAAATGTAAACTGTGAGCTTCACAAGCCAGCAAAGTGGCCTGTACGTGATGTATTGATCTCTGTGCCTCAGTACTTCTCTCTTGAAATCAAAGTACCTGTGGTCTGTCTTAGATAGGTTAGGATTAATGTCTAATCCACAGTAAATGCTTTAAAGGTCCTCAGTGAAAAGATGTTCTGAAATAGTAGTCTTATCCATCTCCTTTGTGAGTAAATCAGAATAAAATATGTTATCAGACTCCCATATCTGCTGATCCTCATTAAAGAAATATACAGAAGAAATATCCAAACTGTATCTAACCTTAGATACAAGTGCTTCTCACGCTTTGTAGTTCAATCAAAGGACTAACATCAGAGTGATGCTAAGCAGCCTGGTTTGCTGGGACACAGTTAGATAGTCTGCAAATCACTCATTTCTGTGTTCACAAGCATATTTCTCAACTCCACAAGGGTATTAGTTGCACAGAACAACATTTAACATCAAGCGAACTAGTCTATTATGCAGCTACTCATTTCAGTAGAATCAGCATCAATAAAAGATATCAAATGACAGCAATTGATACAGACTAAGAGAGAGACTAGAAAGGGGAGAGTCTACAGCAAGATAATAAAATGCACAAGACAGAAAATCTATATATGCATGGAAGGAACTAACGCTAAACAGACAGCAAGCCTAGGTGCAAAGGCCACTAATCTTAACAGTCTGTGAAATTTCTATGTTGTTATTCTGCCTTCACAATTAACTTGTTTACTAGCTTTCTTGAACGAGTTGGTTTTTTTTCTCTAGGAAGTCATTTTCTTACATTCTAGACCTTGGTCAATACTAGGAAATAGTGCTCGTCTCAGCAGCACATATACCAAAATTGGAATGATACAAAGAAAATGATCATGGTCCCTGTGCAAAGACAACAGGCACGTTCGCGAAGCATTCCATTAAAACACACACACACACACACAAACACACAGGGAAATAAAAAATTTTGTTTACATGCCAGTAAACATTGGCACAACATTTTTTTAAATCCATGGACTCAGATGAGCCATAGATCAGCTGAATAGCTATACAAAATTGACTGGTTATTATTATCCTGGATCAGTGATCACCATGAGTGGATTTTTCACTTATCAGGGTGATTTCTGACCTGCTTTTGGATAACATCCAATTAAGACAGATTGCCTTTTGAACCAGCAGAAGGTGTTGAATTGCATACTGTTTCCCATCTGGCTGGTGAAACTGTGGCCATGTGGGCATAGTGTAGGAAGCTTTCTGGATAGGTAGTCTATGGCCAGTTGAACCCACCCCAAAGACACCTTGCCCAGCTGGGAACCCAGAAACAATCAGCAGACAAATAGGTCCACACGAGGCTGACCCAACAAGCCCTCCCAGAGGCAATCAATTTGTCAAATGATCAATTCACCAAAAATGTGTTTCTATTAACTCTTTATAAAATTTACAGCAATTGAAGTGGCATAAGATAGTTTTAACGGCTTATGAGAATTTTTTTTAGCCATTCATTTTGACTGTGCCTTTGCTGTGGCTTCTTTTTCCCATAGGCATCCTAAATCCATGCTGCCATATATTTTGGTGCTAGAGGGAGAGCCATCCACACCCTGGGTCTCTTTGGGTAAAACCATTTAGCATGACAAAGATACATTTCCCTAAGATTCTCTGGAATCCTGGGATAACTCTTCAGGTTATCCCAGGATCCCAAAGGCCTGAATTACTGAATCCTCACTCCAAACCTTTTTTTTCAAACCAATACTACATGTCTAAATTTAAATCGCCAACATATTCATTGACCTGGGTGAGGTCTTAAAATATTTTTACCAATTAAACTAGCAGGAGGAACTTCTAGAAAACAAAAAGAAATAAATAAGTAGGTAGTAAAGTGACAGACTTAGTGTAGGGAAAAAATACCAGTTCAGTTGCATCACTCCTGGATGATAGAAATGTGGTGGATATATACACCATGGAATATTACTCAGCCCTAAAAAAGAGCAAAATAATATCTTTTGCAGCAACTTAGATGGACCTGGAGGCCATTGTTCTAAGTGAAGTAACTTAGGAATGGAAAACCAAATATTGTATGTTCTCCATTATAAATGGGAGCTAAGCTACGGATACACAAAAGCATACAGAGTGGTATAATATAATGGACTTTGGAGACTCAAAGTGGGAGGCTGGGACGGAGAGTGAAGGATAAAAAACTACATAATGGGTACAATGTATACTACTCAGGTGATGGGTGCGCTAAAATTTCAGACTTCACCACCATACAATTCATCCATGTGTCTAAAAACCACTTGTATTAGTCCATTTCACACTGCTGTAAAGAACTACCTGAGACTCAGTAATTTATGACGAAAAGAGGTTTAATTGACTCACAGTTCCTCAGGCTTAACAGAAAGCATGACTGGGAGGCCTCAGGAAACTTACAATCATGGCGGAAGGTGAAGGGGAAGAAAGGGCCTTCTTCTCATGGTGGCAGGAAAGAGAGAGAAGGTAGAACTGCCACATACTTTTAAACCATCAGATCTCATGAGAACTCACTATCATGAGAAAAGCAAGGGGGAAATCTGCCCCCATGATCCAATCACCTCCCATCAGGACCCTCATCCAATTCAACATGAGATTTGGGCAGGACACAAATCCAAACCATATCAACACTTGTACCCCAAAAGCTATTGAAAATTTTTTGAAGTTTTTAATTTAAAAAAATGTGGCACCCCTGAGGCTGTGGCTCGTTTGAGGAATTCTCCCAAAGGAAATTCCCAAGATATGATCCTGTGTGTGATGCTACAAAAGTACACCGTGATTTGTCCTGCCTTGTGGGTATAGGGACTAATAATGTTCCCAAACAATGCTTTTCCGTTCCAGAGGGATTATACTATTTAAACAAAAAGCAGAAACACAGGGTTGATGGTGTGAAGGAAAGGGAATTTATGAGATTTAACAATCTAGCCAGGTGCGATGGCTCATGCCTGCAATCCCAGCACTTTGGGAGGCCGAGGTCTTTTATCAACAATTTGCTCAAGTCTTCTAAAATAAAAACTATGAAGAAGGAAATCTAAATGTAACCCTGAAGGGCTATAATTTAAGAGATGTGAATCATTTTATACACTAATTCTAACAACTGTCCCTGAAAACTTACCTATGAGGTAATTTCTGTATTATAAGTCCCATGTCATAGAAAAGTGTTCCAATGGAGAGAATCTAGGTAATAAATCATGCCTAAATCTTTAAAATTACATTTTGTCTATAATATATAAAGGTCAATGTTGAACAAAATAAATATATGACAGTAATTATAGTGAATATTTTGATATTTATGCCTTTTAATGACATGAAGAAAGATAACACAATGTTTTTAAAGTCTAACAATTCTTTCACCAGAATGTTTAATAGGAATAATTCATGGCTTTCTCTGACTAATCAGATCCTGCCTTTTTAATGAAAATTCTAAGCCTTGAAAAGAGAGCAAGCTGACATAAACTAAAAAGATGGAGAATGTGAATTTACAATGGTTAAAACTCAGCAATTCATGAGCAACTTGAGAAGTACATTTATTAGAGCTCATAAAATAGTAAGCAATAACAGGGAGTGTGTATACTGAAACAAACAGCCAAAGAGATTGAAAGAAATGTAGTCACAGGCTCTTCTGGCACAAATTCATTGCCTTTATTCTGATGAGCTTCTCTTCATGGGATTTACGGACACTGAATTATATCCAGACTCTGCTAACTTCTTGGTTTTCTCCCTCCTATCGCCTAATGACTCTTTAAGCTACTACATGAGTCTAATCCATGGGCATCCTGAGCTTCACAAATTCACGTCGCACCCAGCGAGAAACCCACCGTCTTCACTGAGTCATTCAAAGCTTCCCACTGCTGGAATGGCATCGACATCTGGCTCCTTCGCCAGTGGTCATAGCGGGCTCGACTCTCTTCATTGGTCAGAATCTCCTTTGCCTTCTGCAGTTTCTGAAAAGTCTCCACTGGAAAACAAATCAAGAAATGAGCACTTCTCTCTCGGAGAGGATATTTTAAACTCCAAAACTATCCAACTGCTCTTACTAAAACCATGACTGCCACTTAATAGCTATGTGACCTTGGGCCAATTTACCTCATTAAGCTTTTGTAAAGGGTATCATAAGGACAAGCAAGATCATGGATGTAAAGTGCTCGGCACAGTTTATCCACTCCCTGTATTGTGCCTCAGTCATGTGCCAGAGGCTACTCCCGGTGCTGATGACACAGATGTGAATAATAGACATTATTAGCAGGGGAAAGAAACATTTGTAAACATTGAAAAAATACTATTCCACCTTATAGGAAGAAAACTACCTTTTTTAGTGCTGGGTGTGAAACAGGGCAGTAATTAGGCAAGAGGGACAGTAAAACTGAAGACTATAAAGACTATAAAACTGAAGACTATAAAGACTATAAAGACATGACTGAGGCACAATACAGGGAGTGGATAAACTGTCCCAAGCACTTTACATCCATGATCTTGTTTGTCCTTATAAAGCAGGAAGGAGCACGGTGACTTAGAGGAAGTAGTAATTGCCAGTGTGGCTGGAGGACACAAGGCTAGGGAAAGAACGATGAGGGATGGGGCTGTAGAGTAGACAGACAATAGCTCAATCAACCAGGGCCTGAGATGTCATGTTAAGGATGCTGGCCTGCTTTTTGTCGTAAGAGAAACGGGAGGCTTTAAGTATAATAAATAACATGGTAGATGCTGGGACAAATGGTAGCTTGTCACTAATCTACTTGACCAGATGGTATATAATAGAAACCTTTTATGGCTCTGTTAGAAACACCTCCAAAGTCTCTTCTGCTCCTCAGTGAAGTAAAAACTTTCTGCAGAGCAGAATACAAGATTTATATACAGGCCGGGTGCAGTGGCTCAGGCCTGTAATCCCGGCACTTCGGGAGGACAAGGTGGGTGGATCACGAGGTCAGGAATTCAAGACCCAGCCTGGCCAAGATGGTGAAACCCCATCTCTGCTAAAAATACAAAAAAAAAAAAAAAAATAGCTGGGGGTGGTGGCAGGCGCCTGTATTCCCAGCTACTCGGGGGCTGAGGCAGAGAATTGCTTGAACCTGGGAGGCAGAGGTTGCAGTGAGCCGAGATTGTGCCACTGGACTCCAGCCTGGGCGACAGAGCGAGACTCCATCTCAAAAAAAAAAAACAAAAAAAAGTAGCCAGGCACGGTGGCCCAGGCCTGTAATCCCAGCTACTCAGGAGCCTGAGGCAGGAGAATCGTTGGAACCCGTGAGGCAGAGCTTACAGTGAGCCGAGTTTGCACCACTGCACTCCAGCCTGTCCGACAGAGCAAGACTCCATCTCAAAACAAACAAACAAAAATTCATATGTTGAATTCTTAACTCCCAAAATGATAGTATTAGGAGATGGGGCTTTTGAGATATGATTAGATCATGAGGGTGGAACCCTCACGAATGGAATCAGTGCCCTAATAAAAGAAACCCAGACAACTCGCTCACTCTGTTTCCCCCATGTGAAAACACAGCAAGAAGACAATTAGCTAGGCATGGCGGTGGGCGCCTGTAATCCCAGCTATTTGGGAGGCTGAGGCAGAAGAATCTCATGAATCTGGGAGGTAGAGGTTGCAGTGAGCCAAGATCACACCACTGCACTCCAGCCTAGATGACAGAGCGAGACTCCGTCTCCAAAAAATAAAAAATCAATATACAAATATCAGTGGTGTCTCTACACAGTAGCAATGAACAATCTGAAAATGAAATTAAGAAAATTCCATTTATAAGAGCATCAAGAGCCGGACCCAGTGGCTCATGCCTGTAATCCCAGCACTTTGGGAGTCCGAAGTGGGCGGATCACGAGGTCAGGAGTTCGAGACCAGTCTGGCCAACATGGTGAAACCCCGTCTCTACTAAAAATACAAAAAAAAAAAAAAATTAGTTGGGTGTGGTGGCAGGCGCCTGTAATCCCAGCTACTCAGTAGGCTGAGGCAGGAGAATCACTTGAACCTGGGAGGCGGAGGTTGCAGTGAGCTGAGACCATGTCATTACACTCCTGCCTGGGTGACAGAGCAAGACTCTGTCTCAAAAGAAAAAAAAAAAAGCTTCAAGAAGAATATAATATTTTTAAAAAATTGAACAAAAGAAGGAACTACACAATATTGTCAAAAGAAGCTAAAGAAGATCTAAATAAATGAAAAGACATCCCACGTTCATAAAGATTTACTATTGCTAAAATGATAATACCCCCCAAACTGATCTGCAGATTCAACATAATCTCTATCAAAATCCCAGTTGCCTTTTTTGCAGAAATTGACAATCTAGTCCTAAAATCTGTTTGCAAATACAAGGGACCCAGAATTGCCAAAAAAAAAAAAAACTCTTGAAAAAAATAAGAGCAAAGTTGGAGAATTCACACTTCTGAATTTCAAAACTTATACTACAAAGCTACAGTAGTGAAAACAGTGTGGTACTAACATAAGGATAGACATACTTATAAATGGAATAGAATTGAGAATCCAGAAACAAACCCTTACATTTACAGTCAATTGATTTCAACAAGAGTGCCAAGACAATTTAATGAAGAAAAAAAATAGTCTTTTCAACAAATGGTGCTAGGATAACTAAATATCAATATATAAAAAGCATGAATTTAGATTTCTACCTTAAGCTATAAACAAATATTGACTCAAATGGATCACAGATCCAAATGTAAGGGTTAAAACCATAAAAAACTGGGAAAAAAAAAACATAGGAATAAATCTTTGTGACCTCAGCTTAGGCAAGAGCTCCTTAGATATGACACCAAAAGCACAAGCAACAAAAGAAGAAATAGATAAATTGGACTACATCAAAATTAAAACTTTTGTGCCTCAAAGAATACCATGAAGAAAGTGAAATGACAAACCATGGAATGGGAAAAAATATCTGCAAATAATATATCTGATAAGGTACTTATATCTAGAATTTATAGAGAACATTTACAACTCAATAATAAGACAAATAACCCAAATGCAAAATGGACAAAGGGCTTGAATGAACATTTCTCCAAAGAAGATATACAAATAGCCAACAAGCACCTGAAAATATCCTGAACAGTATTAGTCCTTCAGGAAATACAAATCAAAACCATAGTGAGATACCACTTTATACCTACTAGGATGGCTAAAATTAAAGGATAATAATTGTCTAGAATGTGAAAAAATTGGAACTGTCACACATGACAGGTGGGAATGTAAAGTGGTATATAGTCACTTTGAAAAGTAGTTTGGCTGTTCTTCAAAAATATTAAGCAGAGTTGCCATATGACCCAACTATTATAATCCTAGGTATATATCCATGAGAAATGAAAACATATGTCCACACAAAAACCTGTATATGATAGCAGCATTACTCATAATAGCCAAAAGTGAAAATAACACAAATGTCCATCAACTGTGAATTGATAAACAAAATGTGGTATATCCACCTAAAAGAATTATCATCCAGCCATAAAAAGGAATGAAATGTTGATATGTGCTACAACATGAATGAGTCTTGAAAATATGCTAAATGAGGCTGGGCACGGTGGCTTACACCTGTAATCCCAGCACTTTGGGAGGCCAAGGTGGGCGGATCACCTGAGGTCAGGAGTTCAAGACCAGCCTGACCAACATAGAGAAACTCCATCTCTATTAAAAATTCAAAATTAGCTGGGCGTGGTGGTGCATGCCTGTAATCCCAGCTACTTGGGAGGCTGAGGCAGGAGAATCGCTTGAACCCAGGAGGTGGAGGTTTCGGTGAGCCGTGATCACACCATTGCGCTCCAGCCTGGGCAACAAGAACAATACTTCGTCTCAAAAAAAAAAAAAAAAAAAGAAAAGAAAAAAAAAGATGGGGCTATTGAAAGCTACAGGAAAACAAATGAACAAATAAAAGTATCTTGCCATAGCAGCTTGGTCCAGCGAGAGCAAATCTTCCTGTTGCTGACGACAATGTAAATGTCCCATTGTATAAATGATACGTCACTTTTTCCAACAGGAATAAAAAGCTTATTAAATTACCACCAAGGATGCACATGCCAGTTGCTACTCATGTGGGGCTTGTAAAGATTTATGTATTTATCTGTGAGTCACCTTCTCTTTTCACATCATTGTTGGCTTCGCTTTCTAGAATTCCCAGAATGAAAGAAGCTGCTTAGAATTATTCTGATGTAAGTCCCTCAACAACAGTTGATAAGCAGAAAGAAAAAAGAAACCTTATCTTTCCTATAATGTGACCTTTCTCTTGTTCCATCCACTTCACCACATTTAACAAAAGTGAGTTTGGGTTTATATTTTTCCATTAATGTAGCAACTAATCAAATGAGCCACACAAGGTAAACACTTGCCAGTTCTGGGAAGAGAGATCTCATTTTGTAAGCTTATAGGAGCAAATGATGCTGGAAGTCTTGCGAGACATTCTGATTTAACTCCTGGGTCTACCTTCAAAATATAGAGGTTATTTTAAATTCATATTTTGCAATAGAATTTGTATTACAACAGTCACATTTTAAATGTATGCCATTTACAATTACTTAAGAAATAATAATATGATGTCAAAATATGCTTTGAAAAAATCTGGAAGAAAATATACCAACTGTTAATAGTGGTTCTCTATCAGGGAAAGATAAAAGCAAACTTTTTCTTCCAACATTATTTATTAATTATGTTATTTTTATTATATGGGGAAAAACAGTAAAGACTATAAAGTAAAAAAAAAATTGAGACATTAAAAGATGTTAGTTAACAAAGGACAAATTGCTCCCCTTCTTCTAATATCCAAATGTCCTTGAAGTTTGCACATCAGTAACAAAAATACCATTCCACAGGTTCTTAGTCTGAAGTTTACTTTCTTTTTTTTTTTTTTTTTTTTGAGGCAGAGTCTCTCTCTATAGCCCAGGCTGGAGCACTGTGACACAACCTCAGCTCACTGCAACCACCGCCTCCTGGGTTCAAGTGATTTTCCTGCCTCAGCCTCCACAGTAGCTGGGATTACAGGCACCCGCCACCACACTCAGCTAATTTTTTGTACTTTTAGTAGAGACGAGGTTTCACCATGTTGGCTAGGCTTGTCTCAAACTCCTGACCTCATGTGATCTGCCCACCTTGGCCTCCCAAAGTGCTGGGATTATAGGTGTGAGCCATCACACCGGCCTTAAGTCTACTTTCTTCATGGCCATGGAGAAGTTAATATAGTGCTAATCTGAAACAGTTACTGTCACCCACACAGAGCGCTGGCATGAGCACCAGCCAGGAGCTCTGGGGCTCAGTGACACTATTTTTATAGCAAAGTCAGTCCTGTCTGCAGCACCCACATCTGGAGAGGGGAAGGGATTTCTGGTGGCCTTAGATTTACTTTTTTTTTTTTCAGGGAATAAAAGAATGATCTAATCATTACTTATAAAAAGAGAAAACTATCCCATCACGTTAAATGTTTACCTTGGGCTGCTACATAAAACAAGGAAAGACAATCCACTGAATTAAAATTGCCAGCATCCATTAAGCACTTTCCACATGCAGGACTCCTCATTTAATCTTCACAGCAGATGCATGAAGTAATATACTACTAGTCTACCTGTTTTACCTACGAGAATGCTGAGGCTTGGAGAGATTGCCCAAGATCAACTAGACTGTAAGTGGAATGGGAGCAATCCAGACAAACAAGCCTGTGTTTATATCCACTACTCCATCATGCTACCACATCAGTAATTTCAATGGCAACAGTTGAGACTATATTTAGTGGACGAAAAAGGTATAGATATAAGTTTAATTTATCCTACCCAAAGTTCCTCTACTGTCTAGCTTTTCACCTTAATTAGATACATTTCAAAATCTTTCCATTACATTCTGAATTTCTGTCAAGCTAAACTTCAGTATCCAAGTGAATTTTTAAAGATATTTTGAGGCTGGGTGCAGTAGCTCACTCCTGTAATCCCAGCACTTTGGGAGGCCGAGGCAGGTGGATCACTTGAGGTCAGGAGTTTGAGACCATCCTGGCCAACATGGTGAAACCCCGTTTCCACTAAAAATAAAAAAAATCAGCTGGGCGTGGTGGCACACACTTATAGCTCCGGCTACTCAAGAGGCTGAGGCAAGAGAGTCACTTAAACCCAGGAGACAGAAGTTGCAGTGAGCTGAGATTGTGCCACTGCACTCCAGTTCGGGCGATAGAGCAAGACTCCATCCCCCCAAAAAAATAAAAAATAAAAAAAGAGATTTTGAAATAGTCTGGCCAGGCACAGCAGCTTATCCCTGTAATCCCAGCACTTTGGGAGGCCAAGGAAGGCAGACTACTTGAGTCCAGGAGTTTGAGACCAGCCTGGGCAACATGGCAAAACCCCGTCTGTACTAAAAATACAAAAAAATTACTCAGGTGTGGTGGCGCACATGTGTGGTCCCAGCTACTTGGGAGGCTGAGGTGGGAGAACTGCTTGAGCCTGGGAGGTTGAGGCCAGCAGTGAACCAAGATCGCACCACTGCACTCCAGCCTGGGAGACAGAGCGAGATCCTGTCTCATATATATATTTGAAATATTTTCATCAGTAACCTTAATCATCCAAGTGTGTAAAGATCCACATAAACGTTCAGAAAGTTGTATTAATGAAAACTGAGTAAACGGATGCTTAAATAGATTAAAAAACAACCTCTACCCAAAGGTTGAATCATATATCAAATGCATGCCTGCCTAGAGAAGATATTGATGTCTGTGTACCTTTTCATTTTAAACAATATTTACACAGTCCACTGTTTCTCTGAACAAGACGCCTTGAGGCAGCCCATACATGAAAACCCCCATCACTATGGCAACTAGAAATGGCAATAATTACACAGTGATTCATCATGTATCCTGAATAAAAATTGTTTGTCAGGGACAGAGAAACAACTCACAGTCATGCTTCACTGAAAAGAACCCAGTTAAAGAATAACCTGGGGTGGTGGTGGTTTTTAAGTGTTTATCAAATTTTTATAATTTTTTTTTTTTTGAGACACAATTTCACTCTTGCTACCCAGGCTGGAGTGCAGTGGCGCGATCTCGGCTCACTGCAACATCTGCTCCCGGGTTCATGCGATTCTCCTGTCTCAGCCTCCCAAGTAGCTGGGATTACAGGCATGTGCCACCACGCCCGGCTAATTTTGTATTTTTAGTAAAGACAGAGTTTCACCATGTTGGTCAGGCTGGTCTCAAGTTCCTGACCTCAGGTGAACCACCCACCTTGGCCTCCCAAAGTGCTGGGATTACAGGCATTAGCCACCGAGCCCGATCTAAATTTTTATAATTTTATGCTAGGACACCTATCTTAATATTAACTCCAGTTCAGACAGGTAGTTAATATGAATCCTAAAGAAATGTTTGGGCCAGGGGTCGGGAGCGGTGGCTCACGCCTGTAATCCCAGGACTCTGGGAGACCGAGGCGGGCGGATCACGAGGTCAGGAGATTGAGACCACCCTAGCTAACAAGGTGAAACCCCGTCTCTAGTAAAAATACAAAAAATTAGCCGGGCGCGGTGGCAGGCGCCTGTAGTCCCAGCTACTCGGGAGGCTGAGGCAGGAGAATGGCGTAAACCCGGGAGGCGGAGCTTGCAGTGAACCAAGAGATAGCGCCACTGTACTCCAGACTGGGCGACAGAGCGAGAAGCCGTCTCAAAAAAGAAAAAGAAATGTTCGGGCTAGGCTCGGTGGCACATGCCTGTAATCCCAGCCCTTTGGGAGGCCGAGGCAGGCGAATCACCTGAGGTCGGGAGATCAAGACCAGCCTGGCAAACATGGTGAAACCCCTTTTGCACCAAAAATACAAAAATTAGCCAGGTGTGATGGCGCACGCCTGTAATCCCAGCTTCTCGGGAGGCTGAGGCACGAGAATTGTTTGAACCTGGGAAGCAGAGGTTGCAGTGAGCCGAGATCATGCCACGGCCCTCCAGCCTGGGCAACAAAGTGAGACTGTCACAAAAAAAGAAAGAAAGAAAGAAAGAGAAAGAAAGAAAGAAAGAAAGAAAGAAAGAAAGAAAGGAAGGAAGGAAGGAAGGAAGCAAGGAAGGAAGGAAGGAAGGAAGGAAGGAAGGAAGGAAGGAAGGAAGGAAGGAAGGAAGGGGAAGGAAGGAAGGAAGGAAGGAAGGAAGGAAGGAAGGAATGTTTATGCATTCACTTATTCAAGAAATTGTGCAGAATAGGTGTCCTCTTCAGTAAGTGCCATGCTAGGGGCATACGACTGTGAACAAGACAAGCAGGGCGTCTGCCTTACTGAGCTTCCAGAATGACTAATAAGCAAACATGCAATAAGGAGACAGTGTGACACACAGTCTACTGCCTGACGTACAGGGTGCTCTTGTTAGATGGGACACATGGGACTTCCCAACTGATGGTCAGCTGAGACCTGACACAGAAGCACAAACTGGCCAAGTAGTCAGGGATGTGTGTGAACCATGGAGTGTTTCAGGCAGAAAGCATCAAGCATAGAGGGCTGGAGTGTAGAAAGAGCAGAGCACATGAATGAACTAATGTAATTCTGAGTGGCTGAAACATGAAATTCTAGGCATGGTGAAGGAGAGCAAAAGGGGATGGAGAATTAAGGTACACAGCATGAAGGAATTTGTGCCTAAAGGCTCAACAATGACAAAGGATGAACTACTGCACAGTATAACACAGACATAATGCAAAGCGAAAGAAGCTACACACAAAAGAGTACATACTGTGTGATTCTATTTATATGAAATCCAAAACTGCAAAACTAGTCAATGGTGATAGAGATCAAAAAATGAGAGAGGGTGCTGACTTTGAACAGGAAGGGAAAAGGGATTTCTGGGGTGCTGAAGATGCTCCACATCTCTCTGGGCAGTGGTTGACCTGGATATACATATGCACAAATTTATCAAGCTCACACTTATTATTTGCTCATAGTACCTTAAACAAGTTAATAAAAAGGGAAAAAAAATCAAATGAGCAGAAGCAATAGTTAAATATCTAACAAAAGATGACCTCACATATAGAAAAAATGATCTGTTTTTGCAAATCAAAGGAATCAATGATTTCTAGAGAAAATTAATAAAGAACCTTAAGACAAGGGACAAGGAAAACATTTTCTTTTTTCCTTTTTTTTTTTTTTTTTTTTTTTGAGATGGAGTTTCACTCTTGTTGCCCAGGCTAGAGTGCAATGGCGCAAGCTCTGCTCACCGCAACCTCCGCCTCCTAGGTTCAAGCAATTCTCCTGCCTCAGCCTCCCAAGTAGCTGGGATTACACGCATGCGCCACTAGGCCCGGCTCACTTTGTATTTTTAGTAGAGACACAGTTTCTCCATGTTGGTCAGGCTGGTCTCGAACTCCCGACCTCAGGTGGTCCACCCACCTTGGCCTCCCAAAGTGCTGGAATTACAGGTGTGAGCCACTGCACCCAGCCAAGGAAAACATTTTCTAAATAAAGAAGAGTTTGGATTTGTGCAATATGGAATTATAGATAGGTCTTAGTATGATATTATCCTTATAGAAAAAGCACTTATACACACATGCTATACGCATATAGTAAACATAACTATCAAATTTAAGATATAAGGCCAGGCACAGTGACTAACACCTGTAATCCCAGCACTTTGGGAGGCCAAGGCGGGCAGATCACCTGAGGACGGGAGTTTGAGACCAGCCTGACCAACATGGAGAAACCCTGTCTCTACTAAAAATACAAAATTAACTGGGCATGGTGGCACATGCCTATAATCCCAGCTACTCGGGAGGCTGAGGCAGGAGAATCGCTTGAACCCAGGAGGCAGAGGTTGCAGTGAGCCAATATCGTGCCATTGCACTCCAGCCTGGGCAATAAGAGCAAAACTCTGTCTCAAAAAAAAACATTAAGATATAATATTATCTACCCTGAGGATAAAATCAGAGTAGGAAAACACAAGAGATTTCAATTGCACTGGTAAAGTTTTAAGCTGGGCGGAACATATGTGGGCATCTGTTAGAGTATTTTTTATTCCTTTTTGTACATATTATTTTTTTCCATAATTAAAAAGAAAAATCTGCAATGAGAAGCACTTAAAGAATGCTGTAGCAATCCAAGCATGAAATGATGGGGGCTTACCTACAGCAATGGCACCCAGCATGAAGCGAGGAGGACACAGTAGAGAGAGATGAGAAAGGTAAATCAACAGTGTTTGGCAATTTCCCAGATATGGACATGAGGGAGAGGAAGGAGACAAGGCTTCCATGACACCAACTGAATGGATGGTGGTGTCCTTCATAGAGATGGGAGAACACAGAAAAATAAGCGAGATTTCAGAGGAGGTGATAGGAAAATAATGAGTCTAATTTTTGACAGGGTGACTTTGAAATGTTTCCAAATGGAAATTTCCCAGAAGCAGTCAAAACCACAGTCTTAAGATGGGGAGTGAGAACTAGGTTAAGGATAGATTTGGGAGCCATCAAAAGAGCTGGTGATTTAAGCTACAGACCTGGACAAGGCTTCAGGAGAAAATGGGGAGTGGGCTCAGAAGAGAGCTTAGGAGGGAACCTTGGGGCAACAGAAGAGTCACAAAGGAGACTGAGAGAAAGCAGCCCAAAGAGGCTGGAGGAGAACCATGAGTGCATAGTATCCTGACAGCTAAAAGAAAAAAACTTTGTTTCAAGGAGGAAGGTATGGTCAACAGGGCCAAATTGTGATGCAAGTTCAGGGGAGATAAGTACCAAAAGGTAACCACTAGATTTGATACTCAGGCAGTCCTTGGTCTATTTCTGAGAAACTAGGGAAGTCAGAGTGGAACAAATGGAAAAATAGCGAGAAGGGAAATAGAGACATCAACTGTGGACTTCCTTTTCGGGAAGTCTGGGTCTGAAGAGAAGAAGAGAGGCAGGAAAGTAGAGAAGAGAGACAGGTTGCAGAGGGATTATTGGTTTGTTCATATTTTTCCCAAGCTTGGATAGGTATAAGCATGCTTAAGTGATAGTGAAGGAAAGAAACAAAAGTATGAATATATGGATATATTCAGGTCCCCAGTAATGAAGAAATCACAACAAGTTTCTCATGAAGACAACCGCCTAGCCGGGCACACGCCTATAATCCCAGCACTGGGAGGCCGAGGTGGGGGATCACTTGGAGGTCAGGAGTTCGAAACCGGCCTGCCCAACATAGTGAAACCCTGCCTACTAAAAAAATACAAAAAAAAAAAATTAGCTGGGCATGGTGGTGCACGCCTGTAGTCCCAGCTACTCAGGAGGCTGAGGCAGGAGAATCACTTGAGCCCAGGAGCCAGAGGTTGCAGTGAGACATGATCGCACCACTGCACTCCAGCCTGGGCGACAGAGACTCTGTCTCAAAAAAAAAAAAGACAACCACCTGGTTACAAATATACTTAAGTTATGTTAACACTCAATAGCTGGTGAAATAAAGCATGAACTAGAAGAATTTTAAACCACAAAGCAACACAGTACAGCAGAAAGAAAAATAGATCTTAAACGACTACTATTAGAAAAGATCCTGCACAGCCCTCTCCCTTTCTATCATCCAATAGTGCAAAGAAAGAATACGGTTGAGCATAATAGACAAGAGAAAATTGAGAAAATTAAGTTACTATTCACTGGCTTTTGGTTCTATATACTACTCATTTTCTTGAGAAGTAGCCTTTATTAAGTTCTTACCAGCTTTGGGGTTTTCAGGATGCTTGTCTGGGTGACATTCCAGAGCTCTGACTTTAAATTCTGCCAGGATTTGTTCAACCTGAAACAAAAATCAGTGTTTAAAATAAAGAGTCATGCCAGGCGCAGTGACTCACGCCTATAATCTCAACACTTTGGGAGGCTGAGGCAAGCGGATCACCAGGAATAAGACCAGCCTGGACAACAAAGCAAGACCCAGTCTCTACAAAATATAAAATAATTAGCTGGGCATGGTGACACATGTTAGTAGTCCCAGTTACTTGGAAGGCTGAGGCAGAAGGACCCCTTAAGCCCAGGAGTTCAAGGCTGTAGTAAGCTATGATGGCACCGCTGCACTCCTGCCTGGGTAACACAGCAAGATCTTATCTCAAAAAAAAAAAGGTCAAACTTAAATGGCATGAAGGAAGAAGTTGGGGCATCAATCCCCAACCCAAAACAGCCATGATCAACCCAACTTTTTTTGATCCTTATATTTCTATTTTGACTTTTTCCTCTAAGAAATAATAAAATTCAGAAAGCATCCAATAAACGCTCCTATTGAAATAGTCGTTGTGATGACAATTTAACTACTTAATTTAAATGATGGCCCAAGATACCTATGAGCTCAAAATATTTAAATATCCAGTCCAGACGTGGTGGCTCACGCCTGTAATCCTTGCACTTTGGGAGGCTGAGGTGGGCAGATCACAAGGTTAGGAGTTCGAGGCCAGCCTAGCCAACACGGTGAAACCCCGTCTCTACTAAAAATACAAAAATTAGCCAGACATGGTGGCAGGCACCTGTAATCCCAGCTACTCAGGAGGCTGAGGCAGGAGAATCGCTTGAACCTGGGAGGCAGAGGTTGCAGTGAGCCAAGATCACACCACTGCACTCCAGCCTGGGTGACAGAGCAAGAGTCTGTCTTAAAAAAAAAAAAAAAAAAATATTTAAATACCCAAAATGATCAGGTAGGTTTCTCCTAGTAATATATAAAATATCCAAATTCTTCAAAGATGCTTAGCCACCATTACTCAAGGATAACTGTCTCTGAATTATAAGTTATAATTTATAAATTATCTATTATAAAGCTCCTTCTTCCTGTCTTTTGGTCTTTTTCTTTTATATTAAGAATTTCAAAATTAAATGAAAAAGAACATAATTCAAACCTGATAATTTTGTTACCAATTAGGAGCTTCATTAGAGATTTTGACTGGGAAAACAGAAACTCCAGCCCAAACTAAAATGAGATGTGAGAGGCATCAATGATTTGATTTGATTTCACTTACCCATCTAATTCCTATTATCATGAATTATTAAGACTTGGCTTTATTAATTGTAATTGCAATTACAGCAGCAGGAAACAATAGTGGTTATGTGGCTCTAGAATCTGACTGCTTGGTTTTATTTTATTTTATTTATTTATTTATTTATTTTTATTTTTGAGACAGAGTCTCACTCTGTCACCCAGTCTGGAGTGCAGTGGCGTGATCTCCGCTCACTGCAACCTCCACCTCCTGGCTTCAAGTGATTCTCCTGCCTCAGCCTCCCAAGTAGCTGGGATTACAGGTGCCCACCACCACGCCTGGCTAATTTTTGTATTTTTAGTAGAGATGGGGGTTTCACCATGTTGGCCAGGCTGGTCTCAAACTCCTAACCTCAGGTGATCCACCCGCCTCAGCCTCCCAAAGTGCTGGAATTATAGGCGTGAGCCACCGTACCTGGGAAGACGGCTTGGTTTGAAATCCCAGTTCTGCTACAAGGCTTTAGGCAAATTACATAACATCCATGTGTCTAGGTTTACTCATCTTTACATCAGATGAATAATATAAGTAGCGCACTTAACACAAAACCTGATCATAATAAGAACTCAATAATAGTGGCTATTATTAAATATAAGTGGTTAAGTAACCTATCCAAAGTCATTCAGCTAGTTACTAAAAAGAGCTGAGTTTTTTGTTAAGTTAGCAGTCAAACTTTGTTTTTCTTTTTCTTTTCTTTCAGAGACAGTCTTGCTATGTTGCCCAGGCTGAAGTGCAGTGGCTAGCCACAGGCACGATCCCACTACTGATCAACACAGGTGTTTTGACCTGCTCCATTTCCAACCTGGGCAGGTTCACCCCTCCTTAGGCAACCTGGTGGTCTCCCACTCCCGGCCATATTGATGCTGAACTTAGTGTGGACACCCCGTTGGCACAGCACTACAGCCCAGAACCCTTGGGCTCAAGCAATCCCCTTGCTTCAGCCTCCCAAGGAGCTGAGATTACAGACATGTGTCACCACGCCCTATGGCCAAATTCATCAGGCTTAGGAAATTCTCATGGGGTTCCATATTTACTAACCACTAATTATCAGTTCCGTGTCATCCTTAGTCAACTCTCATAAGGAATGTCTTCACTTTTACAATCAAAGTCAGACGGTATTAGATACGCATATGTATAAAACCCAGACTAATAACTCTATTATTTTCTTTGTTAAACTTCTGAGAACACCTTCGAATAATAGGAAAAGATGACTTCCTGTTAGGAACTGTAATTAACTATGTGTTTCCTCTTCCTGGGTGCTGTCTTTAACCATCAGTCACCATAACCTACTTATATAACAAATAAAACTGAGAACTAGACTTGTTTTTAAATTTTAAAGTATTAAATATTCTATACAGTGTAGTAGTAAGCATTTTTAAATTAGTAAGTCATTTATAAATACAAACTCTCTTTGAAAAACGTTCTATCACTACAGAAAAAAAGTAAAAAAGTCAAAATCCTTTTATTCCTCATCCAAGGAATATACCCAAGAGAACAGATTATATCCTTGAAGACATATCTTTTTTTTTCTTTTTTTTTTTGAGTCAGCTTCTTGCTCTGTCACCCAGGCTGGAGTGCAGTGGTGCCATCTCGGTTCACTGCAACCTGCACCTCCTGGGCTCAAGCAATCCTCCCATGTCAGCCTCCCAAAAAGCTAGGACTACAGACACAGGCAACCACACCCAGCTAATTTTGCATGTTTTATAGAGATGGGGTTTTGCCATCTTGTCCAGGCTGGTCTTGAACTCCTGGGCCCAAGCAATCCGCCTGCCTTGGCCTCCCAAAGTGCTGAGCTTACGGGCATGAGTCACCATGCCTGGCCTAAAGATGCACTTTTAATGCATATATATATATGCATATATATATATATAAGATGCTTATATATATGCATATATATCATATATATCTCACATATATATCTTATATACATCATTATATATAAGATATCTAATAATATATATAATATATATCATCTAATGATATATATAAGATATCTAATGATATATATTATATATATCATTATATATAAGATATCTAATGATATATATTATATATATCATTATATATAAGATATCTAATGATATATATTATATATATCACTATATATAAGATATCTAATGATATATATAATATATATCATTATATATCTGATATCTAATGATATATAATATATATCATTAGATATCAGATATATAATGATATATATAATATATATCATATATAAGATATCTAATGATATATATTATATCTATTATATCTATTATATATGTCTAATGATATCTATTATATGTCATTATATATGATATATAATATATATATCATGATATATATAATATATATCATGATTTATATATATCATGATATATTATATATATATCTCTTAGGGCTTTTAAATAGATAAAATTATACCTATATATCAAAGGTAGAAAGTTTTGGGGGTTTATCGTTGCTGTTGTTTTATTTTTAATTCCTATCCCACTAGAAAACATTCTGGGCTGGGTGCGGTGGCTCACGCCTGTAATCCCTGCACTTTGGGAGGCTGAGGTGGGTGGATCACTTGAGGTCAGGAGTTCGAGACCAGCCTGGCCAACATGGTGAAACCCTGTCTCTACTAAAAATACAAAAATTAGGTGGGCATGATGGCACGAGCCTGTAATCCCAGTTACTCAGGAGGCTGAGGCAGGAGAATCCCTTGAGCCCAGGAGGTGGAGGTTGCAGTGAGCCAAGATTTTGACACTGCACTCTAGCCTGGGTGGCAGAGCAGGGCTCTGTCTCAAAAAAAAAAAAAATCTGGGCTGAGCACAGTGGCTCACGCCTGTAATCCCAGCACTTTGGGAGGCCAAGGTAGGTGGATTATCTGAGGTCAGGAGTTAAGAGACCAGCCTGATCAACATGGTGAAACTCCGTCTCCACTAAAATACAAAAATTACCCAGGTGTGGTCATGGGCGCCTGTAATCTCAGCTACTCAGGAGGCTGAGGCTGGAGAATGCTTGAACCCAGGAGGCAGAGGTTGCAGTGAGCCGAGATCACGCCATTGCACTCCAGCCTAGACAACAAGAGTGAAACTCCATCTCAAAAAAAAAAAAAAATGTACTGGTATTTAGTACATGGAAGCAAATGTGTCAAAATGGTTGATTCTCAGTTTGTTTACATGCGTGACTGTTATTTTCTTCTTTATATTTTCTAGGTTTTACCAATTTCACATTTTAAAAATTAAGAAAGTCTATATCTTTCTTTCATTATTTTTCATAGCTTTACTATCATGAAGTTTATTACAAAGCTTCCATAGAGCTGGCTCTATGTAAACTGGTAAAGTGGGTTAGTTTATCTTGAACACATTGTATTTATCTTCTGGCCTCCCTACTCCATGTGACCACTGCCAAGTGCAGTCCATTGGAGCTGACACCCCCGATGTCAAGGTCCACTAAATCCTGCCTTCCTGACCCAAGTCCAGTAGGCTGCAAAACTGCCTACCCTGTTGTCTTGTAAACATACAAAAAATTTTCAACTCTACTCATAATCAAATAAATCAAAATATCCAAAGGATTGTAACGACCAGTGTTACTGAGAGTGCGAAGAAATTAACATTCATGCTCTGCTGGCGAGGATGTAAATAGGTATAGACTTTCTTGAAAAAAATTGAGACATATATGTTTGTATGTGTGTGTATATATATGTGTGTGTATCTATCTCTCTATATATAGATATATGTGTGTATCTATCTCTCTATATGTAGATCAGCTCCATGTCATCCTTAGTCAATTCTCATAAGGAATGTCTTCACTTTTACAATCAAAGTCAGGCTGTATTAGATAGGCATATGTATAAAACCCAGACTAATAACTATTATTTTCTTTGTTAAACTTCTGAGAACACCTTCGAATAATAGGAAAAGATGACTTCCTGTTAGGAACTGTAATTAACTATGTGTTTCCTCTTCCTGGGTGCTGTCTTTAACCATCAGTCACCATAACCTGCTTATATAACAAATAAAACTGAGATCTAGACTTGTTTTTAAATTTTAAAGTGTTAAATATTCTATTTTCTCTCTCTCTCTCTCTCTATATATATATATATACACACATATATATGAAGAGCCTTTAATTTATTTCCTAGCCTTTGATTCAACAATTCCAATTCTAGGAATTTGTCTAAGGAGATAATCAGAGGTAAGAAAAGAATAGCTGTAAGAAGGTCCAAGAATAAAATATAAATTTTAAACAAAAACCTATGATAGAGCAAGAGCACCATCAACTCAGACAGACATCGCCACTTTAAATTCCAGTTCCCTTTCTAGTCTCATGCATTTCAAGGAAATCACTTCTGTTCGAACTACAAGCAGCCAGAAAGAGCAGACAGTAAAACACAAATAAGACAGCTCGGGCGCAGAGGGAGGTGGGGGGAAAGTCTCTGGAGCAACTGCCAAACTTCACCCTCACAAAATGGGCCCCAGTAAAACAGTGAGCCTTACTTAATAAGCACATTCCTTTCCCTTCAGGTGTACCAAGATAGGGAAGCAAAAAGCAGACTCGGGCGGGGTATGCCTACAGCTGCAGAAAGATGGATGGGAACAGACACACAACTCTCCCTCCCAGAAAAGCACAACAAAGAGACAGAGAAGCAGTCCAAGCCTCTGATAAACTCTCCCACCCTGAAGCCTTAGAAACTCTTAGTCTGTAGGAGAGTGTGTCTCTAACCTAACTCAGCCAGCCGCCCCTCTCAGGTTTATTCAAAATAAACCTGTCAGGCCGGGTGCGGTGGCTCACGCTTGTAATCCCAGCACTTGGGGAGGCCGAGGCGGGTGGATCACGAGGTCAAGAGATCGAGACCATCCTGGCTAAAACAGTGAAACCCTGTCTCTACTAAAAATACAAAAAAATTAGCCGGGCGTGGTGGCGGCCGCCTGTAGTTCCAGCTACTCCGGAGGCTGAGGAAGGAGAATGGCGTGAATCTGGGAGGCGGAGCTTGCAGTGAGCCGAGATTGCGCCACTGTACTCCAGCCTGGGCGACAGAGTGAGACTCCGTCTCAAAAAAATAAAAAATAAAAAATAAAAATAAATAAACAAATCTGTCCCTGTTGACTGTCAAGCCGCCCTTTGTGTTTCTCTCCTCTTTCTTTAATTCTTACAACCTATATGTCCAATAATAGGATGTTTGTTATAGTTGATTGTAATGTAACTGTAGGTTAGAATACTTTACTCATTTAAAAAATTATCTTGTCATAAAAGATTTTTAACAACCTGAGAAAATTTAAATATTTCTATGAGAAAAGGTAAGATATGTGCAATATATTATGTTATACTGCATATAATAATATGTAAGTATTATGTGCAATTTAAATCCATGTCTTATCTCAAAAGGGATTATGTAACTATATATGTATATAATAATGATAATTATTATCATTTTAAATTTATTGACCTGGGTGCAGTGGCTCACACCTGTAATCCCAGCACTTTGGGATGCTGAGGCGGGCAGATCACCTGAGGTCAGGAGTTCAAGAACAGCCTGGCCAATTGCCAAATGGCAAAACCCTGTCTCTACTAAAAATTAAAAAATTAGCCTGGCATGGCCTGTAGTCCCAGCTACTTGGGAGGCTGAGACACAAGAATCGCTTGAGCCTGGGAGGCGGAGGTTGCAGTGAGCTGAGATCGCGCCACTGCACTCCAGCCTGAGTGACAGAGCAAGACTCCGTCTCAAAAAATAAATAAATAGGCCGGGCGCTGTGGCTCACTCTTGTAATCCCAGCACTTTGGGAGGCTGAGGCGGGCGGATCACGAGGTCAGGAGATTGAGACCATCCTGGCTAACACAGTGAAACCCCGTCTCTACTAAAAATATAAAAAATTAGCTGGGCGTGGTGGCAGGCGCCTGTAATCACAGCTATTCAGGAGGCTGAGGCAGAAGAACGGCGTGAACCCGGGAGGCGGAGCTTGCAGTGAGCTGAGATCCCGCCACTGCACTCCAGCCTGGGCGACAGAGCAAGACTCCGTCTCAAAAAATAAATAAATAAATAAATAAATAAATAAATAAATAAATAAATAAATTTTTTGATACTTAATATGTGCCAGGCACTTTTCTAAGCACTTTACATAGAATGTTTCATTTAATTCCCACAACTGTATGAGGTTAATACTATCATTATTCTCATTTTGCAGATTAGGAAATCAAGACATAGAAAAATTAAGGAATTCTCCCAAGGTCACACAGCTAATAAGTAGCACATCTAGGAACTGAACCCATGCAGTCTGACTCCAAATACATACAAAAATACACATATAAATACATACACATAGGCCAGGTGTGGTGGCTCACGCCTGTAATCCCAGCACTTTGGGAGGCCAAGGTGGGCGGATCACGAGGTCAGGAATTGGAGACCAGGCTGACCAACATGGTGAAACCTCATCTCTACTAAAGATACAAAAAATTAGCCGGGTGTGGTAGCACGTGCCTGTAGTCCCAGCTACTTGGGAGGCTGAGACACAAGAATCGCTTAAGCCTGGGAGGCAGAGGTTGCAGTGAGCTGAGATCGCACCATTGCACTCCAGTCTGGGCCACAGGGTGAGAATCTGTCTCAAAAATACATACATACGTACATACATATACACATATGCATTTACTTATTTATATACATATACAGATATAGCATATATGCACAGATAATTAACATGTATAAGTCATACTCCAAAATGTTAAACATGTAGGTTAACATTTTTATTTGTGCTTTCTTTGTATTCCACATTTCCTTATTGAACATATATTAATTTTAGAACTTAAATTTTAAAACTTAGAAACTTATCTTTTCCATATTCTGCTAGCAAAATATTTTTGTCTAAGCAAGGAAATACTCCAGTGTGCCATGGAGACTAATCCAATTCCCACTTGGATGAATATTCTCCAAGATTTCCTAGCCATACAAATGCCCTGTCTCTCCCACAGTGCATTAAAATTATGGCCATCTAGTAAGGCCATTTCAAGCCCCATCTCTTTCTGAAGTCTATTCAGATATTCTTTCTTTAATTTCTGCTGCACTTATAGACAGTACAGAGCACAATACTTAATTGTTCTCAAATTGTTTCCTGTGTATTAGCTTTGGCTCCTCAATTGGATACCAGGTTCTTTATACACTAGCATCATGTCTCACCTTTTTGTTTTGTTTTGTTTTGTTCCCCACCCTATGTCACTTCTAGTACTGGCCCAACAGGAAATGTTCAATAAATACTTGATCATAGACTGACAGATGTTCTTCAAGTAACATAACTATAGTGTAATAGGAGCTTTCTGAAAATTATGGCTAATTCATTAAGAGTGAATTGATTCCAGTGATGGAAATTCATATGATGCAAAATGTGCTGCAGAAAAGAGAAGATTTGGCTGGGCACAGTGGCTTACGCCTGTAATCCCAACACTTTGAGAGGCCGAGGTGGGCAGATCACCTGAGGTCAGGAGTCTGAGACCGGCCTGACCAACATGGTGAAACCCCATCTCTACTAAATACAAAAAATTAGCTGGGTGTGGTGGCGCATGCCTGTAATCCCAGCTACTCGGGGGGCTGAGGCAGGAGAATTGCTTGAACCCGGGAGGCGAAGGTTGCAGTGAGCCCAGATTGCGTCATTGCACTCCAGCCTGGGCAACAAGAGTGAAACTCCATCTCAAAAAAAAAAAAAAAAGAAAAGAAAGAAAAGAAGATTCATTTTAATACTGATTTAATTGATATATATTATTTTAATTCACTCAGTTTAAAACTAGATTTTTCCCACAAAATTCCAGATATTAGCAATATCCCTGAAATAAATGAGAGATCCTCCTACATTACTCTAATCAAATGATAATTAATTAAGTCATGAGGCATAGAAACAATTTGAGACACAAAATAAATAATGGTAATATTTGGGTTATAACACTTAAAATACAATAACTATTAATTGATAGTGATAAAACTAAGCCAAATAAACAAATAAATGTGGGAGAAGGGATAGTTTTTCCTTACTGAAGAATTTCCTTACTGTAGAATACTAATAAATGTAAAATTAATGAGAAAAAGAAAGTCACCATTAGGCAAACACCATAGTAGTAACTGTTACAGGCAAGATCCACTGAAGGATGCTAAACTTAGTGAGTAAAAGTTTGAGAAGAAACAGGACAGTCTCAAAGTACCTTCCCCAAGATATTTGTTAATTACAAAAGGAAAAATAATAACCCTACCTTGGAAAAACCTAGCAGAAGACACCTGACAGACATCACCTTAACGAAGTGCTCAAGGTCAATAAAGCACATCCATTTCATGCACCCCCACATGAGATACTAAGAAAGGCACAACATCACTTCTGAGGAGTTCTTTCCAAAAATGCATAACCTCAATCTAATCATGAGAAAATATCAAAGTCAAATTGAGGGACATTCTACAAAATACTGACAGTAGTCTTCATACTGTCCAGGTCATGAAAGACAAAGAAGGTAGAAGAAAGCATCAGATTGGAGGTCATTAAGGGTTAAGCGTAATAAGGGATCCTGGCTTGGATCCTAGAACAGAAAAAGGGCATTATTAGGAAAACTGATGAAATTAGATAAGACTTATAATTTAGATCAGGGATTGATTGACTCTGGCCTGCTGCTGCCTGTTTTTTAATTAAAGTTTTATTGGAAGACAGCCAAGATCATTCACTTATATTGTCTATGGCTGTTTTCTCCAATGGCAGAGCTGAGTAGTTAGGACAGAGACTGTAAGGCCTGCAAAGCCTAAAATATTTGCTATGCCAGGATCAGCATTAGGTGAGGCAAGCAGGACACCTAGGTCTAAGGAAATATCCTCTCTCTCTCCCTCTCCCTCTCTCTCTCTCTCTCTCTCTGTCTCTCTCAAATTTCTGTACATGCGCAACCCTAAATGTTAGTGCCTCCTTAAATTTTGCATCCTACACACCCTACTTGCCTCATTCTAGTCCTGACTCTGTCTATCTAGTCCTTTACAAAAAAATGTTTGCTGGACCATGGTAGGGTTAACTATAGCAATGTTAATTTTCTGATTTTTTGGTGGTTTGTGCTTGCGATCGGTGGCTGCGTCACTCTGGTAAAGGTGTGCAGTTTTGGGCCATGATCTCTGGGCTGGGATGATCCAGGCTCTCGGTAGAGGCAAGGGAGCCCAGCTATAGCCATGGCCAGTACAATGGTAGCAGTTGGACTGACCATTGCTGCTGCAGGATTTGCAGGCCATTATGTTTTGCAAGCCATGGAGCACATGGAGCCTCAAGTAAAGCAAGTTTTTCAAAGTCTATCAAAATCTGCCTTCAGTGGTGGCTATTACTGAGGTGAGTTTGAACCCAAAATGACAAAACAAGAAGCAGCATTAATGCTAGGGGTAAGCCCTACTGCCAAAAAAGGGAAAATAAGAGATGCTCATTGATAAATTATACTCTTAAATCATAGCAGCCAAAATCAGTGAAGCTAGAAATTTACTAGAAGGTCAAGCTAAAAAATGAAGTAAATGTATGATGAATTTTAAGTTCATTTTAGTTTATGTATATGAGTACCAAGCTTTTATAATAAAATGCCTCAGAGCTATAATTTTTTTTAATTTCTGATTTTGATCATTATACTTTCATTAGGTATGATGTTAACATAAAGGGAAGCTGGGTTAAGGGTATATAGGAACTCTGTTGTACTATTTTTACAACTTTTCTGTAAGTCAAAAATTATTGCAAAATAAAACATCTTAAAAATAATGCAAACTCAAGGATAGGATAAGTGTACTAAGTTCCAAGTGCACAGTAACACTGTGGGGGCCAAAACAACAGCCACAACCACAACCACCACAACTTAGCGCTCTGCACCAGGCACTGTTCAAAGTACTTTATATATCACGTATTATTTAATCCCCACAACTCTGTGAGGTGGGTACTATTTACTTCCATTTACAGGTTAGAAAACTGAGGAATAGAGGCCGGGCGCGGTGGCTCATGCCTGTAATCCCAACACTTTGGGAGGCCAAGGCGGCGGATCACTTGAGGTCAGGAGTTCAAGGCCAGCCTGGACAACATGGTGAAAGCTCATCTGTACAAAAATACAAAAATTAGCTGGGCATAGTGGCATGCACGTATAATCCCTGCTACTCAGGAGGCTGAAGCAGGAGAATCACTTGAACCCAGGAGGCTGCAGTGAGCTGAGATCCTGCCACTGCACTCCAGCCTGGGCAACACAGTGAGACTTCATCTCAAAGAAACAAAAATTTAAAAAAAAAATCCAATATAGGGAGAAAGGCTAACTGTCTTGGAATCAATCTTTGTTAAATTGTTTTGAAATGGGGAATATATTGTTTTCTATATAACATGGAAATCCTCCCATAATTTATATATGTCATTATGTAAACTAGAAAATTAGTCTCATTGCTTGTTTTCATGGTTGTATTTTCAATTTCTGAAAGATAATTTTAAAAACTCTCTGAGAAGGAAAAGCTTCAGGATTACTGCTCTAGAACCATTAGAAAATACATAATTTTACTTTAATCAATTTCTAGCACAAACTTTAAATTGTAAGAACTATATACCAAAGCAAAAGTATTATGTGGGTGTCTCAATTCAATTGTGATAAGTAAAATTAGAATATCAAATTGTTTTGAAATTATAACAGCTAAAATGCTTTCGGGCATGATGAGTTCTGGTTAATTTTAGAGCATCAAATGAAGGAATACCTGAAGTAAAGGCAATCTATCCAATACAAATCAAGTAAAGGAAATGTCATATTAGTCAAAAATGTCATAAAAATATTTTTGAAATGAGAAGCATACCTATAAAAAGAAGAGAAAAGCCAGGTGCGGTGGCTCACGTCTGTAATCCCAGTATTTTAGGAGGCCGAGGTAGGCAGATCACGAGGTCAAGAGATGAAGACCATCCTGGCCAACACGGTGAAACCCCGTCTCTACTAAAAATACAAAAATTAGCTAGGCATGGTGGCATGTGCCTGTAGTCCCAGCTACTCAGGAAGCTGAGGAAGGAGAATCACTTGAACCTGGGAGGCGGAGGTTGCAGTGACCTGAGATTGCACCACTGCACTCCAGCCCGGCAACAGAGTGAGACTCCATCTCAAAAAAACAAAAAAAAGAGAGAAAAAATGACACACACACACACACACACACACACACACATATATATAAAGAAGTGACAATATTATGACAAACATTTCATTAAAAATAAATAATTGTTATCTAGATATGATATGCCATTGACAGACCAGTAAAATACATCCAGTAAAAGGAATGTTGAGACAAGGAAGTATGACTCCACCTGGTAACCATATTTTGAATATTACACATTAACAACGAGATTATTTTCTGTAAGGCTGTCCAAAATGAATCCTCCTTCTATGTAGATTGAAAAGACAACAGCATAACTTCAAAAGACTGACTATGCAGCCATAAAAAAGAATGAGTTCATGTCCTTTGCAGGGACATGGATGAAGCTGGAAACCATCATTCTCAGCAAACTAACACAGGAACAGAAAACCAAACACCACATGTTCTCACTCATAAGTGGGAGATGAACAATGAGAGCACATGGACACAGGCAGGGGAACATCACACACCGGGGCCTGTCGGGGGGTGGGGGAGAAGGGGAGGGACAGCATTAGGACAAATACCTAATGTATGCGGGGCTTAAAACCTAGATGATGGGTTGATAGGTGCAGCAAACCACCCTGGCACATGTGTATCTATGTAACAAACCTGCACATTCTGCACAGGGATCCCAGAACTTAAAGTAAAATTGAAAAAAAAAAAAAAGGACTGACTAAATAGGTCACAAGATTATGGAGATATAATGACCCTTACTGTATAAGCTAGCATGTATTTTTTTAAATCCAAATTGTCAGCCTTATCAAGTTAAATTATATTCCTTTGATTTTAAATTATTCCTTCAAAAATTGTTTGATAATAGTATAATTTCAACTGTGAATAACACATGGTAAAAATGGTAATAAGCTTTCTCAATTGCTATAAGCAAATCACCACCAACATAAACAAGAATAACACATTCTTGAGAAGAAATATGCAACTAAAAGACCATTATAAGCTATTCTGGGGGCGGGGCAGTTTTTTTAATTTCAACGTGTCTAAGATAACTTCCTCAGCATGGCAAAAATAGAGATTTTAATCCTTTGTGTCCAGTAATGCATTCTATTCTTAAAACAAAACTAAGCACATTTTATTAATGAACTACTGCCTTTATGAAACAACAATAAATATAAAAACATTTTGCTTTACAATGTTAATTTTACTACTTAGATTTTAATAAAAATAAATAAAATAAAATACATTAATTATAAAACATAAATATATCCTAATAACATGATTTAATAATATATAATTTAATAATGAATATATTTTATATTAATCTCAACATTATTTGAAATATTGAAAAATTGGAAATAAAATATTTAACAATAAGAGAATAATTCAACTGTGGTAACACAGCAAAATAAAATATTTTGCAACCACTAAAAAGTGTACAAGGAAAGTTTAATAGCATGGAAAATTCCTTGTTATAATACGAATGGGTAAAAAGCAGGAATCAACAAGTACATATAATATCCTCCCAAACAGGTCTTTAAAGAATATACATAGAAAGAATAGTGGAGATTAATATGCCAAAATATTAATACTGTTATCCTTGGGAGAGAGAATTATAAATGATTTTTCCATAATTTAAAAAACCTCTACAACCTTTATAATTGTTTATTGAGAACTTTAAAAATTTTGTTTTCTTACAGATCCAGTGAACAGCTACAGAGTTTTCACATGTTTTGTTTCAGAAGCCACCCTTTCAAGAAGTAATTTCTGTCACACAATTTGAAATATTAACATAAAGGGATGCTTCTTTGTTTCTATTTTGACTGCTCACATAGGAGTACACATTTTAATAAAATATATTAAAATCCCTAATTTTATAAGAAATTTCATTTCACCTCAATTATGAGTCACCATAATAAAGGTATAGCTTATATATACTGTGAAACACTGCCATCAGAAATTACAATAAAATTTCAAATATTTATTTTTAATATACTATATTGTGAAACAGCATATGGCCATGTGCCAGAATACACATATTTAATCAGAAGCTTCCGTAAAATTCCCATAGGACACTATTCAAGTAAAATCCCAACATACATTTAAATTCTTAACTTTCTCTGAGCCAAAAGTGCTTTAAAACAACACAAGGTTAGGTTTGTAGGCAATGTGACTAAAAATTCAAAGTTAAAACCTTAAATAAAAACTTGAAATACTATTGTGAAAAAGAATACTGTTGTGATAAAAATATTATCCACTGTCTTACCGAAGATAGTTCATCACATCCCAGTAATGTGTAGTAATCTTCAGTATCTTCTGACCTGTAATTCAGTATTGCATCCATTTAGATGACTTAATCAGTCCTTCTTCCCTCGGAAACAAGAGGCACAGTGAGCTTCGAATTAACAGGAAGAAACTCTTTAAATCTGAATTAGAGCAGCATGTTCCACATAGCAAAAACTAGCTTTAAGACTGGCCACAGTCAATACACCAGATGTCATCCTAGACCTTTGTAAACTCTGCCTCTCATTGGCTGTTTACAGAGAAGAAAAGAACAGTCCACGTGTCTATTATTGCAGTGCTGCCTGGGATCTGTAGTTTGAGTTTATATAAGAGATGCATGTGAACCATTTGTCTTATGAGTTAATAAAGACTGTCTATTTTCAGAAACTTGCCACATTAGCCACTTCTCCATCTCCTATATATTTTTGTCTCTATCCTTTAAAAAAAAAAAAGAAAAAAAATGTGAAGCAATGTGGTAAAATCTTAGGATGTGTTAATAAGGATAATGGGAGCTTTTCTTAGTGTTTAAAATACTTAATTTTATTTTTTATTTGTTTATTTTCAGACAAGGTCTCACTCTGTTGCCCAGGCTGGAGTGCAGTGGTGCAGTCTCAGCTCACTGCAACCTCTGTCTCCCCAGCTCAAGCGATCCTCCCACCTCAGCCTCCCTAGTAGCTGGGACCACAGGCACATAGCACCATGTCCAGCTAATTTTTGGTTTTTGTTTTGTTATGTTTTAAGAGGAGGGGGTTTTGCCATGTTGCCCAGCCTGGTCTCGAACTCGTGAGCTCAAAGCGATCTGCCTGCTTCGGCCTCCCAACGTGCTGGGATTACAGGCATGATCCACAGCGCCCAGCCAATAACACAGTCTTGATTTTTATGGAGCTTACGCTCTGATGGAGGAAGACAGCTGAAAAACATGCAAAAAAAAAAAAAAAAAAAAAAAACACGATCATTTAAAATAGTGATTTGTAAGCCAGGCATGGTGGCCCACACCTGTAGTCCAGCTACTTGGGAGGCTGAGGCAGAAGAATCACTTGGACCCAGGAGGCAGAGGCTGTAGTGAGCCGAGATGGTGCCACTGCACTCCAGACTGCGCTACAGAGCAAGACTCCATCTCAAAAAATAAAAAAATAAAATAGTGATTTGTGCTTTAGAGAAAATAAAATAGGACAATGAGAAGAACTGTATGATAACTCGGGTCAGATGGCTGTGCTATTTCTCCTGGGTTGGTTCTCCAGACTCAGGAGTGTCTCTAGTCTGAGGTAGGTCCAGGCAATTTATGTTTCAGTTCATTTTGGCCCTAAGAAACACAGTTCAGGTCTGGGATTTAGAGAACAAGGTGAGTGGTCAGGGACACAACACTTTGACTGCCTTAACACTTTTTTTGTTTCATTTTTCAGAGAGACAGGGTCTCGCCATATTGCCCAGATTGGTCTTAAACCCCTGGACTCAAGTGATCCTCCCACTTTGGCCTCCCAAAGTGCTGCGATTACAGATGTGAGCCAACATGCCTGGCCCTTAACACTTTAAATTCCCCCACCTGAGGGGAAAAAATAGTTTTTCTTTTAGCCCACCTATATACATCTTTTTAAAGGTTTATTTCTGAAGAGAAGCAAGAAAAAGCACTGAAACACCATTTTTTACTAATCCTTCATTGTACATGCTGTCTTGCTAAAAGTTCTATATAGAATTTTAAGGCCAGGCACGGTGGCTCATGCCATAATCCCAGCACTGGGAGACCGAGGCGGGCGGATCACGAGGTCGGGGGTTCGAGACCAGCCTGACCAATGTGATGAAATCCTGTCTCTACTAAAAATACAAAAATTAGCCAAGCATGGTGGCACGCACCTGTAGTCCCAGCTACTCAGGATGCTGAGGCAGGAGAATTGCTTGAATCTGGGAGGCGGAGGTTGCAGCGAGCCGAGATCGTGCCACTGGACTCCAGCCTGGGTGACAGAGCCAGGGTCCATCTCAAAAAAAAAAAAAAAAATTAGATCACAATATCTTGATCTAAATCACTGATAAATGGCCTTTTAATGATGTGAAGTTGCCATGGTGGAAAGCAGTATGGTGGTTCCTCAAAAAATTAAACATAGAACTACCATGTGACCCCACAATTCCACTTCTGGGTAAATACACAAAAGAATTGAAAGCAGGAACTTGAAAAGATATTTATATACTCATGTTCATCAAGGCATTAGTCATAATAGCCAAAAAGTGGAGGCAATGCAAGTGTCCATCAACGGATGACTAAACAAATGGAATGTTAGGGCTGGGCATGGTGGCTCACACCTGTAATCCCAGAACTTTGGGAGGCCGAGGCAGGCAGATCACTTGAGGCCAGGAGTTCGAAACCAGCCTGGCCAACATGGCAAAACTTCATCTCTACTGAAAATACAAAAAAGTTAGCTGGGTGTGGTGGCACATGCCTGTAATTTCAGCTACTTGGGAGGCTGAGGCACGAGAATTGCTTGAACCCAGGAGGTGGAGGCTGCAATGAGCTGAGATCACACCACTGCACTCCAGCCTGGGTGACAGAGCACGACCTTGTCTAACACAAACAAACAAAAAAGTGTGGTATTGGCCAGTTGCAGTGGCTTATGCCTGTAATCCCAGCACTTTGAGAGACCAAGGCAGGAGGATTGTTTGAGCCCAGGAGTTCAAAACCAGCCTGCGCAACATAGTGAGACTCTGTCCTTATTTTTATATTAATAATATAATTTTTTTTTTGAGACAGAGTTTCACTCTTGTTGCCCAGGCTGGAGTGCAATGGTGTGATCTTGGCTCACCGCAACCTCCACCTGGGTTCAAGTGATTCTCCTGCCTCAGCCTCCTGAGTAGCTGGGATTACAGGCATGTGCCACCATGCCCGACTAATTTTGAATTTTTAGTAGAGATGGGGTTTCTCCATGTTGGTCAGGCTGGTTTCAAATTCCAGACTTCAGGTGATCCACCCGCCGTGGCCTCCCAAAGTGCTGGGATTAGAGGGGTGAGCCACTGTACCCGGCTTAAAAGTTTTTAAAGTGTGTGGTATCTTCCCCCTGGCTCTCTTACTCCTGTTCTCACCATGTAACATGTCTACTCCCACTTCACCTTCTGCCATAAGTAAAAGCTCCCTGAAGCCTACCCAGAAGCTGAACGGATGCTGGCTCCATGCTTCCACATTCTGCAGAACTGTGAGCCAATTAAACGTCTTTTCAGTATAAATTACCAAGTCTTAGGTATTCCTTCATAGCAATGCAAGAATGGCCTGACACAAAAAATTGGTACCAAAGAGTGGGGCCTTGCTATAAAGATACCTGACAAAGTGGGAGCAGCTTTGAAACTGGGTAATGGGCAGAGGCTGGAAGACTTTGGAGGGCTCACAAGAAGACAGGAAGATGAGGGAAAGTTTGGAACTCCTGCAAGACTGGTTAAATGGTTGTGACCAAAATGCTGACGGTGATATGGACAGTGAAGTCCAGGCTAATGAGGTCTCAGATGGAAATGAGGAACTTATTGAGAACTGGAATAAAGGTCACTCTTGTTATGCCTTACCAAGGAACAAAGCTATATGGTATTCATGCCCTAGGAATCTGTGGAAGTTTGAACTTAAGAGTGATGACTTAGGGTATCTGGCAGAAGAAATTTCTAGGCAGCAAAGTGTTCAAGAAGTGACCTGGCTGCTTCTAACAGCCTATCCTCAGATGCAGAAGCAAAGAAATGACTTAAAGTTGGAACTTATATTTAAAGGGAAAGCAGAATGTAAAAGTTTGGAAAATTTGCAACCTAGCCATGTGGTAGAAAACAAAAACCCATTTTCAGGGCAAGAATCTAAGCAGACTGCAGAGCAACCACTTGCTAAAGAGATTTGCATAAATGAAAGGGAGCCAGGTCAGAGGCTGATAGACAAGACAATGAGAAAAAAACCTCAAAGGCATTTCAGAGATCTAAGAGGCAGCCCCTCTCATCACAGGCCTAGAGGCCCAGGAGAAAAGAATGATTTAGGGGGCCAGGCTCAGGGTGCTGCTGCCCTGTACCACTATGGGAGGCTGCTTCCTGCATCCAGCCACTTCAGCCCCAGCCTCAGCTCAAAGGGGCCCAGGTACAGCTCAGGCCACAGCTCAGAAGGGTGCAGGCTGTAAGCCTTGGGTGGCTTCCATGTGGTGTTAAGCCTGCAGGTGTTCAGAATGCAAGAGTGAAGGAGGTTTGGCAGCTTCCTCCTAGATTTCAGAGAATATATAAGAAAGCCTGGGTACCCAAGAAGAAGCCTACCACAGGGACAGAGCCCTCACCAAGAGCCTCTACTAGGGCAGTGCAGAGGGGAAATGGGAGGTTGGAACTTTAACATAGTTTGGAAAGTCTCCCTGCCTGAATCTCATGTTGAATTGTAATCCTCAGTATTGGAGGTAAGGCCTGGTGGGAAGTGATCAGATCATGGGACTGGATTTCTCATGAATGGTTGAGCACCATCCTCTTGATGCTGTCCTCACAAAAATGAGTGACTTCTCTGAGATCTGGCTGTTCAAAAGTGTGTATCACTTCACTCTCTGTCTCTCTTGCTCCTGCTCCCACCATAGGAGATGCCTGCTCCCCCTTCACCTTCTGCTGTGATTGCAAGCTTCCTGAGGTATCCCCAAAAGCAGATGCCTGTGTTATGCTCCCTGTGCAGCCTGCAGAACCATAAGCCAATTAAATCTCTTTTCTTTATAAATTACCCAGTCCCAGGTATGTCTTTTCTTTTCTTTTCTTTTTTTTGAGACAGAGTCTCACTCTGTCGCCCATGCTGGAGTGCAATGGCACAATGTCAGCTCACTGCAACCTCTGCCTCCTGGGTTCGAGCAATTCTCTGCCTCAGCCTCCTGAGTAGCTGGGATTACAGGCGCCTGCCACCACACCTGGCTAATTTTTTGTATTTTTTAGTAGAGATGGGATTTCACCATCTTGGCCAGGCTGGTCTTGAACTCCTGACCTCGTGATCCACCCACCTTGGCCTCCCAAAGTGCTGGACTACAGGCATGAGCCACTGCACCCGGACTTAGGTATTTCTTTTTTCTTTTTTTTTTTTTTTGTGATGGAGTCTTGCTCTGTCACCCAGACTGGAGTGCGACGGCGCAGTCTTGGCTCACTGCAACCTCCACCCCCCGGGTTCAAGCGATTCTTCTGCCTCAGCCTCTCAAGTAGCTGGGACTACAGGCACAAGCAACCATGCCCAGCTAATTTTTGTATTTTTAGTAGGGACAAGGTTTCACCATACTGACCAGTCTGGTTTCAAACTCCTGACCTTGTGATCCGCCTGCCTCAGCCTCCCAAAGTGCTGGGATTACAGACATGAGCCACTGCACCTGGCCAGGTATTTCTTTATAAAAATGTGGGAATGGCCTAATACAAACTCCCACACAGAGTCCCCACTGGGGCACTGCCTAGTGAAGCTGTGGGAATAGGGCCCCCACCTTCCCGGCCCAGAGTGGTAGATCCACTGGCAGCTCACACCCTGCACCTGGAAAAGTCACAGAGTCACAGGCACTCAACTCCAACCCAGGAGAGCAGCCTGCAAAGCCACAAGGGCAGGGCTGCCCAAGGGATTGGGAGCCCACCCCTCACAGCAGTGTGCCAAGGACGTGAGACATGGAGTCAAGAATTATTTTGGATCTTTAAGATTTAATGAATGTCCTGCTGGGTTTCAGGCTTGCTTGGGACTTGTTGCTCCTTTCTTTTTTTTCCTTTTTTTTTTTTGAGGTGGAGTCTTGCTCTGTTGCCCAGACTGAAGTACAGTGGCACAATCTCGGCTCGCTGCAACCTGCACCTCCCAGGTTCAAGCTATTCCCCTGCCTCATCCTCCCTGAGTAGCTGGGATTACAGGCATGTGCCATCACACCCGGCTAATTTTTGTATTTTTAGTAGAGACGGGGTTTCACCATGTTGGCCAGGCTGGTTTCCAACTCCTGACGTCAGGTGATCCACCCTCCTCAGCCTCCCAAGGTGCTGGGATTACAAGCATGAGCCACAGCACCCGGCATGTTGCTCCTTTCTTTTAGCTGATTTCTTCCTTTTGGAAAGGGAATGTTTGCCCAATGCCTGTATCTCCATGTATCTTGGAAGTAAATAACTTGTCTTTTATTTTACAAGTTCATAGGTGGAAGGAACATGGCTTGAGTCTCAGATAAGACTTTGGACTTGGGACTTTTGAGTTAATGCTAGAATGAATTAAGACTTTGGGGAACTATGGGCAGGGGATAATTGTATTCAGCAATGTGAGAAGAATATGAGATTTGAGGGGTCAAGGTAGAATGATGCAGTTTAGATGTTGTCCCCTCTAAATCTCATGTTGAATCATAATCCCCAATGCTGGAGCTAGGGCCTGGTAGGAGGTGATGGGATCATGGAGCCAGATTTCTCATGAATGGTTTAGTACCATCCTCCTGGTGCTGTCCTCAGAATAGTGAGTGAATTCTCATAAGATCTGGCTGTTTAAAAGTGTGTGGTATGGCATCTTCCCCCTCACTCTCTTGTTCCTGTTCTTGCCATGTGACATTCCTGCTCCTGCTTTGCCTTCTGCCATGAGTAAAAGCTCTCTGAGGCCTCCCCAGTAGCCAAGCAGATGCTGGCTGCATGCTTGTACAGCCTTCAGGACCACGAGCCAATTAAAACTCTTTTCTTGGCCGAGTGTCACAGCTCATGCCTGTAGTTATAGCACTTTGGGAGGCTGAGGCAGGTGGATCACTTGAGCTCACGAGTTCGAGACCAGCCTGGGCAACACGGCAAAACCCCATCTCTACAAAAAATACAAAAATTAGCTGGGCATGGTGGCGTATGCCTGTAGTCCCAGCTATTCCAGAGGCCGAGGTGGGAGGATCACTTGAGCCCAGGAGCTCAAGGCTGCAGTGAGCCACAATCATGCCACTGCACCCCAGCCTGGGTGAGAGAGTGAGACCCTGTCTCAATGAAAAGTAAAAATATATATATATTCTTTATAAATTACCCAGGTTCAGGTATTCCCTCATAGCAATGCAAGTATGGCCTAAGACAATGTGATTTTTAGGAACTTTTTAACCCAGGAATTCATAGAAGCACTCACAAAATAAATGAAAAGCAGGAGAAAGGAGCAAAACACATAAGCTATCATACAGAGATGGAAATGTCCATTGCGTGTTCAGTTAAAGGTAAGGAAAATGACCTTATGGCAAGGTATGTTGGAGAGAATGCCTTTAATACTGGGATTGAACAGAAGACCTGGGCCAGAATGTAGAAAGCCTTGATGATCAGGTGGAAGACACTGAGTGAGTATGGATGCAATAGGAACTGTTGTAGGTTCTTGAGCATGTGAATAACATGTTAAACTTAGAGCTTTTAAGATTAGTCTGGTCAGCCAGGCGCGGTGGCTCATGCCTGTAATCCTAGCACTTTGGGAAGCCGAGGGAGGTGGATCACGAGGTCAGGGATTCAAGACCAACCTGACCAACATGGTGAAACCCCGTCTCCACTAAAAATACAAAAATTAGCCAGGCATGGTGGCTCACATCTGTCATCACAGCTACTCGAGGGATCACTTGAACCTGGGAGGCAGAAGTTGCAGTGAGCTGAGATCGCACCACTGCACTCCAGCCTGGTCAACAGAGTGAGGCTCCATCTGAAAAAAAAATTAATAATAATATAAATGTATTTCATACATTTATGGAGGCTTGGAAGTTCAAGATAAAGGTGCCAGCAGATTCAGTGTCTGGTAAGGCTTACTCTTTGCTTCATAAATGACACCTTGTTGCTGTGTCCTGACGTGACAAAAAGGGCAAGGCAGCTCCCTTCAACCTTTTATAAGGGCACTAATCCCATTCATGAATACAGAGCCCTCATGATTTAATCACTTCCCAAAAGGCCCAACTTCTTAATTCCATCACAATGAGTATTCAATTCCAACATAAATTTTGGAGGGACACACTCAAACCACAGCAATACACTTCTGAATCTTAGTGCTCTTTTTCCCTTTTCACTTGATTGTCTCATTCTTTTCAACATCTGCACAGCATTCCACCCTGGTCATACAATACTTTATTTGTCTTTTTTTTTGAGATGGAGTCTCGCTCTGTCACCCAGGCTGGAGTGCAGTGGTGCGATCTCAGCTCACTGCAACCTCCACCTCCTGGGTTCAAGTGATCCTCCCACCTCACCCTCCCGAGTAGCTGGGACTACAGGCACGTGTTACCACACCCAGCTAATTTTTTGTATTTTTAGTAGAGGGGTTTCACCGTGTTAGCCAGTATGGTCTCGATCTCCTGACGTCGTGATCTGCCCGCCTCGGCCTCCCAAAGTGCTGGGATTACAGGTGTGAGCCACCATGCCCGGCCTAACCAGTGTCTTTTTTAAGTTGCGTATGGATTAGAAAATTTTCATTACTTATTTTAATAAATATTGGCATAGGATATTGTTCAGAAAAAGCAATAATACAAGATGAGCAGATGTTTTGAGGGAAGTTGGAGTGCCACTTTGTTATTCCTGCTCTGTTCCCCAAAACTAACCTTCAAACCTGTTGCAGCATCTCATGGTAGGATATAATTTTAATATTCTTTGGGATTTTCTCCCCATCTATAGAGGTAACAAAAATCATGACAAGACCACTAGCTAATCTTTTGGAGAAGTGATAAATAATAAAGCTAGAGCCACTCCTCCTTATACCAAAATAAATTACAGAAAAATCAAATAACACAGAAGCCATGGAAAAAAATCTCATGAGCATAACTATATAAAAATTAAGTGGCCTGGCACGGTGGCCCATGCCTGTAATCCCAGCACTTTGGGAGGTCAAGGCAGGTGGATCGCTTGAGCCCCAGAATTTGAGACCAGCCTAGGCAACATGGCAAGACTCAGTCTCTACAAAAAAAAAAAAAAAAAGCACTTGTATCCCAGCTAGCTACTAGGGAGGCTGAGGCAGGAGGATCGCTTGAGTCTGGGGAACTCCAAGCTGCAGTGAGCTGAGATCACGCCACTGCATTCCAGTCTGGGCGACAGAGCAAGACCCTGTCTCAAAAAAAAAAGTAAGCACATTTATGTGACCAAAAAAATACAAAAGCAAAATCAGAAGGCAAATAATATACAAAGAAAAAAATTTCATAATTCTCATAACAGACAAAAGGCTAACTTCCTTAATATACAAGTGCAGACAAATCAATTTTAAAAAGCTTAACAACACAACAGAAAATTAAGCCAAAAATGCCGGGCTTGGTGGCTCACGCCTGTAATCCCAGCACTTTTAGGAGGCCGAGGCAGGCGGATCACCAGGTCAGGAGATGGAGACCATCTTGGCTAACACGGTGAAACCCCGTCTCTACTAAAAATACAAAAAAAAACAAAATTAGCCGGGGGTGGTGGCAGGCGCCTGTAGTACCAGCTACTCGGGAGGCTGAGGCAGGAGAATGGTGTGAACCTGGGAGGCGGAGCTTGCAGTGAGCGGAGATCACGCCACTGCACTCCAGCCTGGGCGACAGAGCGAGACTCCGTCTAGAAAAAAAAAAAAAAAAAAAGAAAGAAAGAAAGAAAATTAAGCCAAAAATACAACTACTTTCAGAAATACAAACGACCAATAAACATACAAATAGTAGTGCAACATCACTAATAATTATGAAACTGCAAATCAATCCAAAGAGGATAAAGTTGTTCACCTCTCAGATTAGCAAAGGTTTGATAATACCCATGCCAGAAAACAGAAATGACGAAGAAAGCATTTCCATACATTGTTGGATGAGAGTGTAATTTGGTACAATTTGGCAATTTGGTGTATTTATCACCTTTTATAAAGCATATCTATACTTGACAGGGCAATTTTGTCTCTACAAATTCAGCTTGTGGATATACACCAAAATATGTTCAAGAGGACCACTGCAGCGTCGTTTGCAACAGGAAAAAATATATATACAACAAAATGTTCATCGGTGGAGTTGAGGAGGGCAGGAGATGAATAAATTATGCTATTTGTAGGATGAACTATTGTATTGCCAGTGAAAAGAGAATAAAGATAGCTTTTTATGTGCAAGTATGGAAAGATGTCTAACGAGTGCTATCAAATGAAAAAACAGGTTTGAGAAGAGTATTACAGTATTATCTCTATTGTGTACTTTTTAATAGTATGTACATTTGCACTTGTAATTTTTTCTAAAGATAACTGCCTTTAAAAAGCAAGCAACAGGCTGGGAGCGGTGGCTCACGCCTATAATCCCAGCACTTTGGAAGGCCGAGGTGGGCAGATCATGAGGTCAGGAGTTCAAGACCAGCCTGGCCAACAGGGTGAAATCCCCGTCTCTACTTAAAAAAAAAAAAAAAAAAAGCAAAAATTAGCGTGGCATGGTGGTGCGTTCCTGTAATCCCAGCTACTCGGGAGACTGAGGCAGGTGAATTTTTTTAACCGGGACCCAGGAGGTGGAGGTGCAGTGAGCCAAGATCGTACCACTGAACTCCAGCCTGGATTACAGACCGAGACTCCGTCTCAAAAAAAAAAAAAAGCAAGCAGCAGGCCGGGCGAAGTGGCTCATGCCTATAATCCCAGAACTCTGGGAGGCTGAGGCGGGTGGATCACCTGATTGAGGTCAGGAGTTCGAGACTAGCCTGGCCAACATGGTGAAACTCCGTCTCTACTACTACTACTAATAATAATTAGCTGGGAGTGGTGGCGCACACCTGTAATCTCAGCTTCTAGGGAGGCTGAGGCAGGAGAATTGCTTGAACCCGGGAGGCGGAGGTTGCAGTGAGCCGAGATTGCGCCATTGCATTCCAGCTTGGGCAACAAGAGCCAAAGTTCATCTCAAAAAAAAAAAAAAAAAGCAAGCAACAGTATTCTTTTAGGGGAGGAACTGGGCAGGTACTCAAAAGAAGATTTTCATTTCCTTTTATACTTTTTTAAACTGTGTGAAGTCGATGTAGTCATCCCATAATTTTTCTTCTGTATGGAAGAATATAGCGTATAGTAGAAATTATGTAGAACTTTTTAACAGAGTTAAAGCTCTGTGGAGGCCGGGCGCGGTGGCTCACGCCTGTAATCCCAGCACTTTGGAAGGCCAAGGCGGGTGGATCACTTGAGGTCAAGAGTTCCAGACCAGCCTGGCCAGAATGGTGAAACCCCATCTCTACTAAAAATACAGAAATTAGCCGGGTGTGGTGGCGGGCGCCTATAGTCCCGGCTACTCGGGTGCCTGAGGCAGGAGAATTGCTTGACCAGGCAGGCGGAGGTTGCAGTGAGCCGAGATCGCGCCACTGCACTCCAGCCTGGGCAACAGAGTGACACTCCGTCAGAAAAAAGAAAGGGGAGGGCAGGGGAGGGCAGGGGAGGGCAGGGAAGGGGAGGGGAGGGGAGGGGAGGGCAGGGAAGGGGAGGGGAGGGGAGAAGAGAAGAGAAGAGAAGAGAAGAGAACCACACACACAAGACAAGAGAAGAGAAGAGAACCACACACACAAGACACGGAGAGTCCGATGCTCAATCCTAGGCCTTGGAGGCCTGTTCCTCCCTGCCGGGAAGCGTCTCTCACCCGAGACTACAACTCCCATAAGGCATCGCGAGCATCGCGAGAACGGCGCCACAGAGGAACCGGAAACAAGCCAGTTACTTTCATACTCAGGGACACCGTCCCCCCCTCCGCCCCCCGCCCTCCGTAAGTGCTATTTTTACATCGAATGCCCTAGTCTGGAAGTAGGTAAACTGAAACTAAGCTCAAATCAAAAGGAGAAAGGCTGGAAAACAAGAGGCTACAAGCTCCAGAAGCTCCGAGCGAGGATGAAAATTAGCCAGCCCACAGGTGGGCTCTGCGCGGCCCTGAAAGTCGCACTCTGACCTGACCCTTTCCGCCTCTCGTTTTTCCTTCCAGCCTCGCTTCAAAGTTCTGTATTGCAGAATGAAATCGGCGCCTTTCCCCAGCGGTTTTTCCAAATACGAGCAAAGGAGGCACAAAACGCAGGTTCCAGAAACTGTGCCTGCAACCATTCGTCCTTATTTCCCGACACACGGGCCCCTGCTCCCCGCTAAGGCTGGGGTCCTGGACACGAGTTTTGCGCTCTGATAGAAGGGCTTAGATTCCAGATTGACACTGGGCTCTCTAAAGCCTGCTCCTCAATCTACTGATCCGGTCCAGCTTAAGATCCAGTAGAAAGAAAACATAGCCTGCCCGGACCGTAACCTTTTTGTTTCAGACCCTGCATTTGTAAAATAGCCTAATAAAATCTCTCCCTGGCTTACAGAGCAAGACAGCGTCCTGGTCCAAGAACCGGATGAGTCAAAAGGCGTTACTGTTGAGTCAGACATAGAATACATGAATACCTAGAAATTCGTAAATGATTCTCCAAAGGCTGTTGAAATAGCGTTTTCAGGCCGGGCGCGGTGGCTCACACCTGTAATCCCAGCACTTTGGGAGGCCGAGGCGGGCGGATCACCTGAGGTCAGGAGATGGAGACCATCCTGGCTAACACGGTGAAACCTCGTCTCTACTGAAAATACAAAAAATTAGCCGGGCGTGGTGGCGGGGGCCTGTAGTCCCAGCTACTCGGGAGGCTGAGGCAGGAAAATCGCTTGAACCCGGGAGGCGGAGCTTGCAGTGAGCCGGGATCGCACCACTGCCCTCCAGCCTGGGCGACAGAGCAAGACTCTGTCTCAAAAAATGAAAAAAGAAATAGCGTTTTCAAGTTATAATCAGGTGCGATGATGAATGCTATTAATGCCATTTTTAAGAATAGTAAGTGCAGGATGTTGATAGGTTATTCTGGGAGGAAGGGAGATGGGGTATGTGAACTCTGTACTTTCCCCTCAATTTTGCTGTGAAACTAAACTGCTCTAAAAGTAGTTTGTTTGTTTGTTTGTTTTTAAGTAACAATAAGAAGTATAATAGGCCGGGCACGATGGCTCACGCCTGTAATTCCAGCACTTTGGGAGGCCAAGGCATGTGGATCATTTGAGGTCAGGAGTTTCAAGACCAGCCTCACCAACATAGTGAAACCCCGTCTCCACTAAAAATACAAAGATTAGCTGGGCGTGATGGTGGGCACCTGTAATTCCAGCTACTCCGGAGACTGAGGCAGGAGAATCACTTGAACCGGAGAGGCGGAGGTTGCAGTGAGCCAAGCTCGCACCACTGCACTCCAGCCTGGGCAACAAGAGCGAAACTCTCTCAAAAAAAAAAAAATAGACGTATAATAACCACTCATCAGATAAAATTACAACAAATTTAAAGATCTTAATTGGCTTTTATTTGCAATAAATCAGATAACACCTCATTCTGTAAAATAAATTGAGTGTTCTGGGATCTGGGCAGGAGGCTGGCTTTATAAGCCAAAAAGGGGCTGAAGAAAGCAGAAAGAGATAACAAAAAGCAGATTGGTCGTTTCAAAGTTACTTTCCTTGTAAAATTAAAGCACAGCCGACTTTCTTATTATGCCAGCTGAAACTGGCCTGTGTGGGTTTCTCTCCTGATTTCTTGGAAGGTGGAATAAGCAACTTAGTTTTGTTTTGGTGACATGGTAGTTTGGCATGAGTAACTTCATTTTGGTTTTGTCTATTGGGCCTAGTGCAGGAGCTCAGTTCAAACCAATGGCCTATAAATTTTATTTAACACCATTAGTGAGCTCTTATTATGTGCTAGTGACAAAGCTGGGACTTGAACTCTGCTGTGTCTGACTCCAAAGTCCCTGGTGAAGAAAATGTTTAAAATGTTACATCAAATTATCTGGCCAGAATTGTGGCATATTAGAAAATGCTTGTAATCCCAACACTTTGGGAGGCAGGAGGATCGCATGAAGCCAGGAGTTCAAGACCAAACTGGGCAACAAAGTGCGATGTTATCTCTACTAAAAATAAAATACAATAAATTAGCCAGACATGATGGCATGTACCTGTAGTCCTAACTACTCAGGAGGATGACACAAGAGGGTCTCTTGGACCCTAGAGTTCGAGGCTGCAGTGAGCTATGATTCCACCACCAATGCACACCAGTCTGGGGGACAGAGGAAGACCCTGTCTCAAAAAAAGGAAGAAGGGGGGTGGGGAGGAAAGGAAGGAAGGAAAGGGAAATAAAGGAAAGAAAGAAATGCACTAGACGAGGTGTCAGAAGACCTGATTTAGAGTATCAGTTCTGCACTGGCTCCTTGCAGAACCATGCTTCCTTGATTTGTTAAGATTGGACAAAAACAATGATTCTCAAACTTAAAGGTCCACACAAATCACCTGGAGGTCTGGTTAAGATGCAACTTCTGCTTCAGGATGCCTGGGTGAGGTCTGAGACTCTTCTTTTCTAGCAGGCACCCAGGTGAGCTCCATGTTGATCCAAGGACCACACTTGGATTAAAAAAGGACAGGATGACCTCCAGATCCTGTTACACTCTAACACAATGAATCAGTCTTTCCCTTTAACCTTAGCTCCGTTACTATCAAGGAAATATTAAGGAAACTGTCAAAAAAGAGAGTGATTAAAGAAAATTCCTATCTGGGGCTGGGCACGGTGGCTCACGCCTGTAATCCCAGCACTTTGGGAGGCCAAGGCGGGCGGATCACGAGGTCAGGAGATCGAGACCATCCTGGCTAACATGGTGAAACCCCATCTCTACTAAACATACAAAAAATTAGCTGGGCGTGGTGGTGGGCACCTGTAGTCCCAGCTACTCGGGAGGCTGAGGCAGGAGAATGGCGTGAACCCAGGAGGCGGAGCTTGCAGTGAGCCAAGATCACACCACTGCACTCCAGCCTGGGTGACAGAGCGAGACTCCGTCTCAAAACAAAAAAAAAAAAAGAAAAAAAAGAAAATTCCTATCTGAAGCCAAAAAATAAAAAAGAACTATTTAACTTACGATAATAATGTCTCTGGAAGGATTCACAAGCAACCCATAAAGTAGTTGCCTTCAGGGGGAGGGACTAGATGGCCCTAGTACAGGCGTGAGCCATGGCGCCCGGCCCCCGTCTTATCTCTTTAATTGCAATCTAAGTTCCTTATGGGAAGAACCACTAAAATAGATTCCTTTTACACCTCCTGCAGCACTAGGCATATACCATGTTCTCAAGGAACTTTTGCTGAGCCATCAATCTCCTCATGAATATTATTCTATATTTATTTCACTTCCTTTTGGCAGACATTCATTTGGCAAGCTTGGGCTATCACAGAATCGTATGGCATTTGTGACTCTATCACTGAATCAAATGGATTCTCTGAATTTACCACAGAGGACAAGGCCTAGGGCATAGAAAGTATGTATTACAAGTTCTTGTTTTTATTCCATTAATATTTCCTATAGATTAACATCCTTGGTCTACGTGACACCTTGCTGCACATTAGAATCATTGAGGGGAGCCAAAAAAAAAACAAAAACAAAAACAAAAAAACCATGCTGACTGGGTACAGTGGCCCACGTCTGTAATCCCAGCATTTTGGGAGGCAGAGATGGGAGGATCTCTTGAGCCCAGGGGTTTGAGACCCAGCCTGAGCAACATAATGAGACCCTGTCTCTACAAAAAAATTTCTTAAAAAAATTAGCCTGGTGGCATGCATCTGTAGGCCCAGCTACTCAGGAGCAATGGGAGGATTGCTTGAGCCTAGGAGGTGAAGGCTGCAGTGAGCTGTGATTGCACCACTGCACTCCAGCCTGGGTGACACTGTGAGACTCTGTCTCAACAAAACAAAACAAAACAACCTATACCCATGCCCTGAGACTCCCTTTTAATTGGTCTGCAGGAGAGCACTGTCACTCTGGCATTGTCACGTATCTATTTAACTTCAGCAAGAGTTATGTAGCTTTGAAACGATTCCAAACATATGTGAGTGGCATATGTTTTTGCTGTGATAAGAACATGGAGTGTCCTCCTTCCAGTGAGGATGTTATAGCACACCCTATCAGACCACAGATGTAAGTTATTGGCCTCAACTTCTGGAAGTAGTTTTCTATGATCATTAAAATGTTTTTTTGAAAAATACATTCACATAGTAAAAACTCAAAATATAGAAAAGAATCCAATGTGGCCGGGCACGGTGGCTTACGCCTGCAATCCCAGCACTTTGGGAGGCCGAGGCGGGTGGATCACGAGGTCAGGAGATCGAGACCATCCTGCCTAACACAGTGAAACCCCATCTCTACTAAAAATACAAAAAATTAGCCGGGCGTGGTGGCGGGCGCCTGTAGTCCCAGCTACTCGGGAGGCTGAGGCAGGAGAATGGCGTGAACCCACGAGGCAGACCAACAGAGCGAGACTCCATCTCAAAAAAAAAAATTAGCCAGGCATAGTTGCACACATATGTAGTCCCAGCTACTCAAGAGGCTGAGGTGGGAGGATCACTTGAGCCCAAGAAGTCGAGGCTGCAGTGAGCCATGATCTCACCACTGCACTCCAGCCTGGGTAGCAGAATGAAACCCTGACTCAAAAAAAAAAAAATATATATATATATATATATATATACACACACACACACACACACACACATATATAATACATATATATACACACACACATACATAAAATATATATACACACATATATACATATATACACATATATACATATATACACATATACACATATATATACATATATACACATATATATACATATATACATATATACACATATATACATATACACACACACACACACACACACACACACACACACACACACACATATATATATATAAAGTTCTCTGGACTCACGTTCTGGCCCCTATAGACATTTGGGTTTATGAGGACCCATGATTTACACTTATTAAAATATATATTCAGTATCCAAATAGAAACAGCACATTCAAATACAGCTTGCTGCTTAAATGCATGTGGTCTACAGTCAGACAGGGATTCAGGGCCATTAGGTGGGATCCCACAGCTAGTAAGTGGTAGCTGAGCAAGCAGGGAGGAAAGGGTGGCTTTTTCCTTTCTTCTTGATCAGCTACCACTTACCAGCTGTGGGATCCCACTGAATGGTCCTGTGCCTCAGATTGCCCCTCTTCATCTGTACAGGGGGGATGAAAATAGCACATCCCTCACAGGGTTCGTTTGAGGATTGAACAAGATAGCATGAATTACTATGGTATCTGGTACCCAATAACTGCTTCATAAATATCAGCTATTATTATCCTCATCAGGGAGTGCTAAAGGGCGAGTTAATGTGGGGGGCAAAGTGAGTTAATGGAGAAGCTATGTAGCTGACCAAGCAGGGAGGCAAAGGCGTTTTTGCCAAAGTGGAGAGAAGACAGGGCAGGATAGGCTCGAGCAAAGGCTCAGAAGAGATGGGGACCAGGACCTGGGCATTTAAGCCATACCATTTCAAGACAATCCCAGTGGAGAGTTTTCCTGATGTTTTAATTTTAAAATCTAAAGACTTTGCTGGCCCCTGCTTCATGATATACAGTTGATGACTGCTGTGATTGTAATAGCAATTTTATGATTTTTCCCAACCATCATTTGGCAAGGATTACACAATTTCAAGAATTCAAACTTCTGTTGAGTGTTTCAGAGTTCTTTTTTTTTGAGACGGAGTTTCGGTCTTGTTTCCTAGGCTGGAGTGCAGTGGCGCGATCTCAGTTCACGGCAACCTCCACCTTCCGGGTTCAAGCGGTTCTCCTGCCTCAGCCTCCCAAGTAGCTGGGACTACAGGCATGCACCACCACGCGCAGCTAATTTTGTATTTTTAGTAGACACGGGGTTTCTTCATGTTGGTCAGTTGGTCAGGCTGGTCTCGAACTCCCAACCTCAGGTGATCCACCCGCCTCGGCCTCCTAGAGTGCTGGGATTACAGGCGTGAGCCACCGTGCCCGGCCGAGTGTTTCAGAGTTGTATTAAAGATATTTTAGCTCTCACTCCAGGATGTTTGTGCTGGGACATAATCACCAGCACTACCTCATCATCACCACTAGGGGAACTAGAACCAAAGGAATTATCAAACTGCTAGGTACAGTGTTTACCTTCACTGATTGCTGCTCAATATTGTATTAATGTTTTTTACTTTGAAGCATATTTGTTTTATGCATATTGAAATGCTTTAAAAATTCAAACTCTAGTAGAATATAGGAAATTAAAGAGTCCTACTGATTCTCATCTCCAATTCGCACGCACAAAATTGTCACTATTAATAAGATTTTTGTGTATCTTTCCAGACATTTTCATGTTTAATCTTTAATTTAAACCCATGATGTGTCCCCTGACTACCACTCTAACTTCATCTTCTACCACTCAGATCTTCAAACTTGTCAAACTTGTTCCAGCCTCAGGACCCTTGCCCTCACTACATTATCTTCCTGGACACTTTCTTGTCGTTCTTTTTCATTTTTCTTTTTTTTCTTTTTGAGAAAGGGTCTCACTCTACTGTGGCCCTGCTGCACTCACTGCAACCTCTGCCTCCTGAGCTTAAGGGATCTTCCCACCTCAGCCTCCCTGGTATCTGGGACTATAGGCGCATGTCACCACGCCCAGCTAATTTTGTATTTTTTGTAGAGATGGGGTTTCACCATGTTGCCCAGACTTGTCTTGAACTCCTGAGCTCAAGCAATCCACCCACCTTGGCCTCCCAAAGTGCTGGGATTACAGGCATGAGCCACCGCGCTGGGTCCTGGACCACTTTCTTTTCCCAGGTTCCCTCACTCAGATGTCAGCTCCTATGTCACTCCCTCACAGAGGCCTGTAGTGACACCCATCAAGTAACTATTGCCCAATCTAAGTCACTCTCCATCACTATGTTTGAGATTGCCTTGTTCATTTAAGTGCTTGCTTACTTATTCACTGCTAAAATGTGACCTCCATGAGAGCAGGAGCCTGGCTGCTTTGTTTACTTCCATATCCCAAGTGTCTAGAATGCAAATTAAGAACTCAAAAGCATCTATTAATTGAAAGAAATGAATGAAAGAATGCTCTCTATACTATTCTGCAACGTGTATTTTTCACCTAATCTTATACAAGTTATATTTTACTATATGTGGATAAGCTTTATTTCAGTCATATCCTTAATGTTTTAAATTTGATTTTCTTTGGGTTACACATTCACATGGCTCAAAAAACAATCTGAAAAGGTATTCAGTGAAAACTCTCACATCCACTTCTATCTCTCATCTGTCTAGTTCTCACACAACCAGGTAACCGTTCCCATTAGTTTATTGCATATCCTTTGTGCAAATACATACATATATATTCTTTTGGTTTTTGTTTTTTGTTTTTGAGACGAAGTCTCGCCCTGTTGCCCAGGCTGGAGTGTAATGGTGTGATCTCAGCTCACTGCAACCTCTGCCTCCAGGGTTCAGGCGATTCTCCTGCCTCAGCCTCCTGAGTAGCTGGGATTACAGGTGCGCAACACCACGCCTGGCTAATTTTTTTTGTATTTTTAGTAGAGAAAGGGTTTCACCATGTTGGCCAGGCTGGTCTCGAACTCCTGACCTCATGATCTGCCCACCTTGGCCTCCCAAAGTGCTGGGATTACAGGCATGAGCCACTGCACCCAGCCATACATACATATTCTTTTTTTTTTTTTTTTTTTGAGATGGCATCTCACTCTGTCACCCAGGCTGGAGTGCAGTGGCATGATCTCGGCTCACTGCAACCTTCACCTCCCTGGTTCAAGAGATTCTTCTGCCTCAGCCTCCCGAGTAGTTGGGATTACAGGTACCCACCACCATGCCTGGCTAATTTTTGTATTTTTAGTAGAGACGGGGTTTCACCATATTGGCCAAGCTGGTCTCGAACTCCTGACCTCATGATCTGCCCGCCTCGGCATCCCAAAGTGCCAGGATTACAGGTGTGAGCCACTGCGCCCAGCCATATATATTCTTTTTTTTTTTTTTTTTTATGAGATGGAGTTTCCCTCTTGTCACTCAGGCCGGAGGGCAGTGGCACGATCTCGGCTCACTGCAACCCCCGCCTCCCAGGTTCAAGCGATTCCCTTGCCTCAGCCTCTTGAGTAGCTGGGATTACAGGCGCCTGCCACCATGCTCAGATAATTTTTTGTATTTTTAGTAGAGACGGAGTTTCACAATGTTGACCAGGCTGGTCTCAAACTCCTGACCTTGTGATCCCCCTGCCTCTGCCTCCCAAAGTGCAGAGATTACAGGCATGAGCCACTATGCCCGGCTCATATATATTCCTATTCTCATTTTCTTCCCTTTTTGTACAAACTGTTCTGCACCTTAATTCTTTTAACAGCATAGTGGTATTTATTTGTAAATTTTATAAATGGATTTATAATTTATTTTACTCAATTCTGTGTTGATAGACTTTTGGTTGTTTCAGTTTTTGTTATCGCAAACAATGTTGCAGTAATCATTTTCATGCTTAATAAATATATGGTACAATAAATTCCTAGAAGTGGAGTGGCTAAATCAAAACGTACATGTATGTTGAATCATAAAATATCTTAGCGGCCAGGCCCAGTGGCTCACACCTGTAATCCCCGCACTTTGGGAAGCTGAGGCAGGTAGATGAGGAGGTTAGGAGTTCAAGACCAGCCTGGCCAACATGGTGAAACCCCATCTCTACTAAAAATACAAAAAATTAGCCAGGCGTGGTGGTGGTCACCTGTAATCCCAGCTACTCGGGAGGCTGAGGCAGGAGAATCTCTTGAACCCGGGAGGTGGAGATTGCATTTAGCCGAGATCACGCCATTGCACTCTAGCCTGGGCAACAGAGCAAGACTCCATCTCAAAAAAAAATAAAAATAAAAAAAATAAACGTTTTATCAAAAAAAAATGGTTTTATAAAAAAAAAAAAAAGATCTTAGCAAACTTCCCTCCAAGAGAGCTGCCACAATTTATAACTCCCACCAATGGTGCACAAGAGCACCAACTTTCCCACACTCTTGCCCAGGATAAATATTTCAGACTTTTAAATGTTTGCCACTCTGATGAGTGAAAAATGGTTGGTCACTGTTGGGTTTTCTTTTACATACATGTTTAATATCACTAATTTTCTCTGTATCATTCCAATTTTAGCATATGTGCTGCTGAAGCAAGCACTGCTCACTGTTGTTTTAATGTTCATTTCTCTTATGAAGTTGAATATCTTTTCATAGTTTAAAAATTGATTTATTGACATGTCATTAACATACCGTACAATTCACCCAAAGTGTACAATTCAGTGGCTTTTCGTATACTCACAACCATCACCACAATCAATTTTAGAACATTTGCATTACTTCAAAAAGAACCCCATATACTTTAGCTATCACTCCTGTGTCTCCCTATTATCCCCCACCCTAAGCAAACACTAATCTACTTTTTGTCTCTATTGATTTGCCCTTTCTAACATTGCATATAAATGGAATCATATAACATGTGGTCTTTTGTGACTAGTTTGTTAGCATAATGTCTCAAAGGTTCATTCATGTTGTAATATGTATGAGTACTTTATTTCTTTCTTTCTTTGTTGAGACAGGGTCTTGCTCTGTCACCCAGGCTGGAGTGCAGTGGCACCATCATGGCTCACTGCAGCCTTGACCTCCTGAGCTCAATCGATCCTCCTGCCTCAGCCTCCCAAGTAGCTGGGACCACAGGGGCATGCCACCACATCCTAATTTTAAAATTATTAAATTTTTTGTAGAGGCAGGGTCTCCCTATGTTGCCCAGGCTGGTCTCAAACTCTTGCCTCAAGCATTCGTCTCTTGCCTCAGCCTCCCAAAGGGCTGGGATTATAGGTGTGAGCCATGGCGCCTAGCCACTTCATTGTTTTTTTGTGTTTTTTTTTTTTTTGTATTTTTTTTAAGACGGAGTTTCCCTCTTGTTGCCCAGGCTGGTGTGCAATGGGGCGATCTCAGCTTACCACAATCTCCACCTCCCGGGTTCAAGCGATTCTCCTGCCTCAGCCTCCCGAGTAGCTGGGATTACAGGCATGCACTACTATGCCCGACTAATTTTGTATTTTTAGTAGAGACAGGGTTTATCCATGTTGGTCAGGCTGGTCTCGATCTCCTGATCTCAGTTGATCCGCCTGCCTCAGCCTCCCAAAGTGCTGGGACTACAGGTGTGAAGACTGCGCCAACCTTACTTCTTTCTTTTTTATGGCCAAATAATATTCCATTGTATGGCTATGCCATTTTTTTAAATCCATACATCAGTTAATGGACATTTGTGTTCTTTCCACCACATTTTTTTTTTTGAAACAGGCAAAGAAAGACCTTTAGAACTGTGAAGATGAGGCTGGGCGCGGTGGCTCACGCCTGTAATCCCAGCACTTTGGGAGGCCGAGGTGGGCAGATCACAAGGTCAGGAGGTTGAGACCATCCTGGCTAACATGGTGAAACCCCGTCTCTACTAAAAAAATACAAAAAATTAGCAGGGTGTGGTGGCGGGTGCCTGTAGTCCCAGCTACTTGGGAGGCTGAGGCAGGAGAATGGCTTGAACCCAGGAGGCGGAGCTTGCAGAGAGCCAAGATTGTGCCACTGCACTCCAGCCTAGGGGACAGAGTGAGACTCCGTCTCAAAAAAAAGAAAAAAAAAAAAAAAGAACTGTGAAGATAAGATGAGATAACACTAAGCAGTTTCCTTAATTGCTATAACTGAGCTGTCAAATCTGGTGGGCAAAACATCAGGCTAGGAAGCACAACACTCAAAATATTGACCTTGCCACAGAAGGGTTATCTGTGTAATACTGATGTTTCTCAGCTTTGAGCTTTGTTTACCAAATGTAAACTGACTTCTACCTACACATCTACTACGGAAGAATGAAATCAAATCAAGTTCTTTGAATTGCTTGGAGAAATGCTTACCAACTCATTTAAAACTGCTGTATTCTATAAGAAAAAAGTAGGAGGAAGAAGTTAAATAAAGAAATGTGGGGCCGGGTGTGGTGACTCACACCTGTAATCCCAACACTTTGAGAAGCCTAGGTAGGAGGACTGTTTGCAGCTAGGAGTCCAAGATAAACCTGGAAAACACAGTGAGACTCAGTCTCTACAAAATATTTAAAAATTAGCCAGGCATGGTGGCACACACCTGTAGTCCCTGCTACTCCAGAGGCTGGGGTGGGAGGATTGCTTGAGCCCAGGAGGTGGAGGCCGCAATGAACAATGATCATGCCACTGCACTCCAGTTTGGGCAACAGAGTGAGACTTGAGGCCTAGAGAGATTAAATCAGAATCTCTCAGGCCTCAGAGTAGCACTTAGTTCACTTAAAGCTACTGTGCTTTGTAAGAACAAAGGAGGTCGGGTGCGGTGGCTCATGCCTGTAATCCCAGCACTTTTGGGAAGCCGAGGCAGGTGGATCATTTGAGGTCAGGAGTTCAAAACCAGATTGACCTACATAGTGAAACCCCGTCTCTACTAAAAATACAAAAATTGGCCGGGCGCGTTGGCAGGCGCCTGTAATCCCAGCTACTCAGGAGGCTGAGGCAGGAGAATCGCTTTGAACCCAGGAGGCAGAGGTTGCAGTAAACCGAGATTGTGCCACTGCACTCCAGCCTGGGCGACAGAGCAAGACTCCTTCTCAAAAAAAAAGAAAAGAAAGAAAAGAAAAGAAAAAAAGAAAGAAAAAAAGGAAAGGGAAGAAGCCAACTAATAAAAAAAAAATACCTTCTTCGCCAGACACGGCGTGGTGGCAGGCGCTTGTAATCCCAGTTACTCAGGAGGCTGAGGCATGAGAACCCAGGTGGCAGAGGTTGCAGTGAGCCAAGATTGCGCTACTGCACTCCGGCCTGGGCCACAGAGCAAGACTGTCTCAAAACAAACAAACAAACAAAAACCCTTCTTCATACTTCCTGTGGAATATATACCCCAAATATCAAGTATGCCCTAATATCGTTGTCTACCCTTGAGTATTTATGGCAGACTAAATCAGCTTGACTTATAAACAGAACATGCTAACTAAAATGCAATGAGCCTTTGCCTGGAAGGTAAGAGGTGGGCTCCCAGCTCACTCCAAAAGCAGCCTTCACTGCACATGAGAATAAGCTGAGGAGTTTTAAAGATATTCATACCTGGGTCCCACCCCTACAGATTCTGTTGTAGTTCGTCTGAAATCCAACCTTAGCATTGGGATTTTAAGAGCTCCCCAGAGGATTTTAATAGCAAGTAAAGGTTGGAAACCACCGCCAGCTGAGTTCCACCTGGGTTCCATTCTTGTGTCTTTACAATGATCCCTTTCAAAGATTCACTGAGTCTTTTTGCTGTCATTGTCTTCTATTGCATTATTTAAAATAAACTTTGAGACCTACATTGAGATTTAGATTTTGGTATCTTCCCAATCCCTGGGTCACACAAGGGCCTGAGGGCTGACCTAGAAGCAAACCACCCTCCTCCCCCTGACCTTGTGGTCTAGAGGAGATCAGCCACTCTGGATACAGTCCTCCTGCAGCTCAGTACCCTTTTCCCTTGGCAGTGCCGTGGGTTTGCTTTTGAGTGTGTTTTCAGATGGACCTTCTTCCAGCTCTCTTAGTTAAGGTTTTGCATCTCCCATATCCCTTTGGTCTAAGAGGGAAAGAATGCATGTGGGAAGAACAAACACCTCCTTACCCTCCCCACCCCCAATCCCCGCCCCCTCCATTTGCACTGAAGGCTTGACTGGAGAGTAGGAGAAGTGAAAATCCCAATTTGATGGCAGTACTGAGCCATTACATTCTAGCCTCAGGCAGAACAAAGCTGCTTCCTACCATCCTGTTTTTTTGTTTGTGTTTGTTTTAATTTTAAACATATATTAATGTTTGACACAGCACCCCCCCCAAAAAAAGTCTCCTTTGACTTATTCATGATTTTCTGAAACCGTGTGATTTCCACCATATGTACTATGTACCCTGAGAGTGAGTTCAACGCAGAACTCATGTGCTGCCCACCCACCAAGTGCCCTACACTCTGCCAGCATTGGCGACCCCAGATGTTTAATTTACAGAATAAGGGGCCCTCCTCAAAACATTTAATTCAGTTACAGTACTGTTCTTCCTTGGACAGTGCAGACACACTGAAAATGTGAATTATAAGATGGTAAAATTCTGTGATGTAAGAGTATTAATAAATATTCTTTCAATGTGTAAATTTGGAAATAATGCAAATTTCCCAAAGTAAAAAATTATCAAAATTACATTATTTCAAAGCCGGGCAGCTAATTTAATTGCTAATATTGTTGCTGCTTTAGCTGCAAAACAGAAATGGTTTCACCACAGTCCTTTGTCCAAATTAGTCTTGAAAAATGTAAGGTTTGAACTGATGTGGGATCTTCAGGAGCACAGGTGATGCCCAAATGAAATAGTTGTACGTCTGAGTTTTCTATAGATGAATTTATTTCCCTAGCTGGTCTATCTCCCTTACCTCCCACTATACACACTCCAAAGAAACACAGAGCTTTTACCCAGGGTTCAACAAATCTATGTTGAATTTAAGAGTAATTAGAGGAAATGGTTCATTTCACATGGTAATCTGCCTTTCTGAAGTAATGAGGTGGTAAAAGGCCTACAGGAAGTCAACGTAATGGAGATTAGGAAGCAAGAATTTGACTGCAGTTATCCTGCCCTGTCTAGTCAGGGGACCCTATTTCTGGCAGAGTCTCCTTGGTCCCAAGGGGGAGGCCAATGTCTACTGACCAGGCCAATGTCTACTTAGCCTGGTGCTAAGGGAAGGGAGAATAGGAAGGGAGTAAAGATAATAAGATAAAGTCGTTGACTGGGAGGAACACATATTTCAGGGTCAAAGTCTTCAAACTGGAGAACAGGAAGACTTTCTAGGGGATACACAGATGTGCAGAATTTTTTTTTTTTTTTTTGAGACGGAGTCTCGCGCTGTCGCCCAGGCTGTCGTGCAGTGGCGCAATCTCAGCTCACTGCAACCTTCACCTGCCAGGTTCAAGCAATTCTCCTGCCTCAGCCTCCCGAGTAGTGGGATTACAGGTGCCCATCACCACACCCAGCTAATTTTTTGTATTTTTAGTAGAGACGGGGTTTCACTATGTTGGCCAGGCTGTCTCGATCTCCTGACCTTGTGATCCACCTGCCTTGGCCTCCCAAAGTGCTGGGATTACAGGCATGAGCCACCATGCCCGGCCTAGATGTGTAGAATTTTAAGAAACTCTATTTCCACACTTTCAACTTCCTTGCATACCCTCCCTAAAGCATGTCTCAGGCTATCCTTCCTATTTCCCCGCCGTAGCAGCACTCATCCCACTTTACAAAAAAAAGTCATTCCCAACCTCCATCCTGAATATGACTGCAGTGTGACAAAGTCCCAAGTGTGAGAACTTCTAAGATGCCAAACCAATGGACAACTGGAAACAATCCCTTTAATGTTAATCAAGATACCATGAATCCTCCTTAGAGCTTCCTGCCTTTCCCAGACTTAAATGTATTTCTGTTTAGGGTGAATCACTGATTTATAAAGGAGATATATTGGTCTTGTTGGGATGTTCTGAAATTAATGTGGACTGTGGAAGCGGTGGTGATCTTGAGACAGAGTAGGGACACCTTTCTTAGGGGCAAAGGCGCCTGCGGGCCCCTGAAGCACAAAAATAAAGGAAAACCTTGAGTTCCTTCAAGGGAAATTCCAGGCACCTAATTAGCCTTGAGAAGTAAAGGAGCAACTTCATAATCAAGAAGATAGCTTAAAGCCATAGTAAAGGAAGTTAAGGCCTGGCACGGTGGCTCGCGCCTGTAATCCCAGCACTTTGGGAGGCTGAGGCTGGCGGATCACTTGAGGTCAGGAGTTCAAGATCAGCCTGACCAACATGGAGAAACCCCATCTCTACTAAAAATTCCAAAAAACTTAGCCAAGCATGGTGGCGCATGCCTGTAATCCCAGCTACTCAGGAGGCTGAGGCAGGAGAATCGCTTGAATCTAGGAGGCAGAGGTTGCAGTGAGCTCAGATCATGCCACTGCACTCCAGCCTGGGCGATAAGAACGAAACTCTGTCTTAGAAAAAAAAAGAAAAAAACAAGGAAGTTAAAAATCACAGGATGTTTGGTTCCCCTATAGAAACTAAAGAAAACATCTGAACATACGTGTCTGAGTTGTTTTTCAGAAATCCAGATCCCCACCAAACGGATCCTCTGGCACAAAGACCTCAGACAAAGGAGAACTGAAGATTGAACTCTGACCAAATTTGTTCCAAATTTCTTCCTGAGGGGACTGGAGGAAGTCACACCCACAAGCGAGAGCTAACATAGGAGAAAAAGTCTTGGAATCTACCTATGACCTGGAAGCGCCCTCCTCCCCCACTTCAAGATATCCCACCTTTTTAGGCCAAACCAATGCATAACCTCCATCTACTGGTTTATGATTTTGCCTTTAACTTCTGCTTTCCTGGAATTCACCCCTGCCTTTAAAAATCTGTACCTGCAGGCCAGGTGCAATGGCTCATGCCTATAATTGCAGCACTGTAGGAGACCCAGGCAGGTGGGTGGTTTGAGTTTAGGAGTTTGAGACCAGCCTGTGTAACATGGTGAAACCCTATCTCTACAAAAATCTACAGGCATGGTGGCTCGCGCCTGTAGTCCCAGCTACTTGGGAGGCTGAGGTGTGAGGATCACTTGAGCCCAGGAGTTTAAGGCTGCAGTGAGCCATGATGGAGCCACTGCACTCCAGCCTGGGCAACAGAGCAAGACCCTGTCTCAAAAAAAAAAAAAAAAGTCTTTACCTGCAAGCCATCTGGGAGGTTGGGACTTAAGTGTTAGCTGCCTGATCCTCTTTGCTGCTGCCCCACAAATAAACACCTTCCTTTCTCCGCTTCAAAACTGTATAGATAGGGCAAGCAGACTCTAGTTCCATTTGATAACATTTGCATTGCCCAGGCTAGACTGCAGTGACTACTCACAGGAGCAAGCATAATACACTGCAACCCCAAACTCCTGACCTCAAGTGACCCTCCCTCCTGAGTAGCTGGGAATACAGGCTCATGCCACCATGGCCCACTCATAATTTCATAATTTCTTTTAGAGTGCATGTGGATTATTCAATTCAGTAGTTAGAACATTTTTATTTTATTTTATTTTATCTTATTTATTTTATTGTATTGAGATAGGGTCTTGCTGTGTCACCCAGGCCGGAATGCAGTGGAGCTATCATAGCTCCCTGTAGCCTCAAACTCCTGGCCTCAAGCAGTCCTCCTATCTCAGCCTCCAAATGTGCTGGGATTACAGGTGTGAGCCACTGTATCCATCTAGAGCATGTTGTATTAAATCATATCAATAATACTTAGTTCCTTACTATAGGCCATCTGTATTCATTTTTTATATTACGTTAAAAATTACTATGAATCATGAATTTAGCAGCTCAAAACAACACACCTTTATTATCTAAGTTTCCAGAAGTCCCAGCAGGATTTAACTGAATTCTCTACTCAGTTCTCACAGGCTGCAATCAAGGCGTAGTCTGGGGGTCTGATTTCATTTGAGGCTCGGGATGGGGTCCTTTTCCAAACTTAGTGGTCGTCAACAGAATTCAGTTCTCTCAGTTGTAGGCCTGAGGTCCCAGCTTTCTTACTGGCTGTCAGCAATCTGCTCTCAACCCCCAGAAGCCCTTGCAGCTCTTTGCCTCATGGCCCTCTCACAGCCACCCTCACAACATTGCAGTTTACTTTATAACCAGCTGGATATTCTCTCATCTGCTGAAACAGTCTTGTATAATATAACCTAATCAAAGGATCGGCTATCCCATCACGTTCACAGGCCCTGCCCACGCTCAAGGAGAGGGGATCATACGGGGCATACACACCAAAGGGGCAAGAATCTTGAGACAGGGGCCATCTTAGAATTCTGCCTACCACCCCATCGTATCTCCATTTTTGAAATGTTTGATATTTTATGGTTTCTATGGCCAAAAAGTAAAATCATATTCCAGCAGCTGGAGTAACTGATTAATTTTCAGGCCGGGCACAGTGGCTCACACCTGTAATCCCAACACTTTGGGAGGCCAAGGTGTGTGGATCACCTGAGGTCAGGAGTTTGAGACCAGCCTGGCCAACATGGTGAAACCCCATCTTTACTAAAAATACAAAAATTAGCCATGTGTGGTAGTGCGTGCCTGTAATCCCAGCTACTCAAGAGGCTGAGGCAGGAGAATCATTTGAACCTGGGAGGCAGAGGTTGCAGTGAGCCCAGATCACACCACTGCATTCTAGCCTGGGTGACAAAGTAAGACTCTGTCTAAATATATATTATATATATATAATATATATATTTTAGCATTATATGACTTTCTCTTTTTTGCTAAATACATAGGAAAAATGTGTGGTGTTATCTAAAAAATTAATGGCATAATATTAGGATTCATTTTAAATTAATAGAATTATTTTATGGTTTTTATTCAACTGTTCCTAAAAATCAAATACCAGGGATCAATATGTACATATGCACATTTGCTTATATATATGCCACATCTTTTTTTTTTTTTAAGACACAGTCTTGCTCTGTCGCCCAGGCTGGAGTGCAGTGGCTCAATCTTGGCTCACTGCAACCTCTGCCTCCTGGGTTCAAGTGATTCTCCTGCCACAGCCTCCCGGGTAGGTGGGACTACAGTCGTGCACCACCATGCCCAGCTGATTTTTATATTTTTAGTACAGACAGGGTTTCGCCATGTTGCCCAGACTGGTCTCAAACTCCTGTCTTCAAGCAGTATGCTCGCCTCAGCATAATAAGGGTCTTATATTTAAGATTATGTTTTATCATTTGCAATACAAAACAGATTAATTTATGTTACACCAAAGTCGATTTAATCTGGCCGAATTCGGGGGCTCATGCCTGTAAATCCCAGCACTTTGGGAAGCCGAGGCAGGTGGATCACCTGCAGTCAGGAGACCAGCCTGGCCAACACGGTGAAACCCTGTTTCTACTAAAAATACAAAAATTAGCCAGGTGTGGTAGCATGCACCTATAGTCCCAGCTACTTGGGAGGCTGAGACAGGAGAATCGCTTGAACCCAGGAGGTGGAGGTTGCAGTGAGCTGAGATCTTGCCACTGTACTCCAGCCTGGGCATCCAGCGAGACTCCGTCTCAAAAAAAAAAAAAAAAAATTAACATACATGACTCATTATGTTTCTATTTGACAACATTTTTGTATACATTGAGCTACATCTGGAATTTCAAGGTTTTGAGAAAAATATATTCAAGGTACTTGATAAGATAAAATAATTTTATCAAAAACTTTGTGTTGTATAGAATTTAACAATATTTAATATCCCCCAAACTTCCTTAAACAAGGTGCCTCTAATAGAAGAAAATTAGGTACAGCTAATGGTTGGTAAGTCTTGCCAAACTTCTCACAAACTGAGAAAATGAATGACTCTAATGACTGAGTAAAAATCCTTTTGAAAGTAAGGTAGTTTCCAGTTATTTGCTTTCCAAAAGCCAAAGGAGAAACTAATCAAATTGTCAGCTAATAGGTCATTAAAGACAATTTTTGAAGACAGAAAATTATGTGATTTTTGGCATATAACTGGAAAGTTTGAAGAATTGAGTGACATAGTTGTAGCAAAATTCCCTCCACTTTATATATGTGAAACAAGGTTTTTCACAGCTGATTGATGCTGAGCCTGTCTCATTCTAGTAATGACTAATATTCATTTACACACACTTAAATTAATTTTAAAAAATTATTTATTTATTTTATTATTATTATTATTATTATTATTTTGAGATGGAGTTTTGCTCTTGTCGCCCAGGCTGGAGTGCAATGGCACGATCTCAGCTCACTGCAACCTTCTTCTCCCAGGTTCAAGAGATTCTCCTGTGTCAGCCTCCCGAGTAGCTGGGATTACAGGTGCCCGCCACCATGCCCAGCTAATTTTGTACTTTCAGTAGAGACAGGGTTTCACCATGTTGGCCAGCCTGGTCTCAAACTCCTCACCTCAGGTGGTCTACTGGCCTCGGCTTCCCAAATTGCTGGGATTACAGGCGTGAGCCACCATGCCTGGCCTTGAAAAAGTAAAGTCCAATTCATCTCATTAAGAAACGTACTTCCAATAAAATTTTATTTTCTTAGTAATTATGAATATTATATTAATGTTATTTTGGCAAGTTGTATAATAATAATAATGGTGATGATAGCTCAATCCAGAAGAAATATTTTTAACACTCAGGAAAAACATTTTTTAATTAAATTTCCATTTAAAGATATCTTTTTATAGTAGAGAAGTATGATATGTGATCAGTAAAAGACTTTTCAAGATTTCTGTTACCGGCCAAGATAGAATAAGCCTATCTTTTTTTTTTTTTTTTTTTGAGATGGAGTCTCACTCTGTTGCCCAGGTTGGAGTGCAGCGGTGCGATCTCGGCTCACTACAACCTCCGCCTCCCGGGTTCAAGCAATTCTCCTGCCTCAGCCTCCTGAGTAGCTGGGATTACAGATATGGGCCACCACACCCAGCTAATTTTTGTATTTTTAGTAGAGATGGGGTTTCTCCATGTTGGTCAGGCTGGTCTCTAACTCCTGACCTCAGATGATCCACCCACCTCCGCCTCCCAAAGTGCTGGGATTACAGGCATGAGCCCCTGAGCCTGGCTGGATCAATTTCTTGAAGGATACAAGCTATCTTGTATCTGCAGTTAAAAAATTATCCAAGGTAGACAACTCCAGTCTATCAAACATTTAAGGAAGAAATAATACCAGAAAACAGAAGAGAAGGAAACACTTTCCAACTCCTTATACTTTTTAGTCTGTGTTACTCTGATACCAAAACAAGAGAAAGATATAAGAAATTAAAACTACAGATCAATGTCACCGATGATCATAGATACAACAATCTTCCACAAAATATTATCAAATTGAATCTGATGGGAGTTATTTTGGAAATGCAAGGCTAACTCAACATTCGAAAATCAATTAGTGGGCTAGGCATGATGGCTCACGCCTATAATCCCAGCACTTTTGGAGGCCAAGGCAGGAGGACTGGTTGAGCCCAGGAGTTTGAGACCAGCCTGGGTGACAAAGCGAAACCCTGTCCCTACAAATATAAAAATTATTATTATCATTATTATTATTATTGAAACAGGGTCTCACTCTGTCACCCAGGCTGGAGTGCAGTGGCATGATTACACCTCACTGCAGCCTCAACCATCTTTCCTGGGTTCAGATCGTTCTCCCACCTCGGCCTCCTCAGTAGCTGGGACTACAGGCCCACACCACCACACCTGGCTAATATTTGGTTTGGTTTGGTTTGGTTTTCTTTTTGTAGATACAGGGTTTTGCTATGTTGCCCAGGCTATTCTCAAACTCCTGGGCTCAAGCGATTTGCCTGCCCTGGCCTCACAAATTTCTGGATTATAAGTATGAGCTATTGCACCTGGCCAAAATATTTAAAAATTAGTCAGGCATGGTGGCACATTCCTTGTACAGCTATTCAGGAGGCTGAGGCCAGAGGATCGCTTGAGCCCAGGAGGTTGAGGCTGTAGCAGTAAGCTATGGTCACGCCACTGCACTCTGGCCTGGGTGACAGAGTAAGACCCTGTCTTAAAAAAACAAACAAACAAAACAAAACCAGGCCGGACGCGGTGGCTCATGCCTGTAATTCCAGCAATTTGGGAAAGGCTGAGGTGGGTGGATCATGA